>NC_000009.12:20010000-25010000 GCF_000001405.40 Homo sapiens | reverse complement strand
AGTCCAAATATGGTAAGGGGACCTCTGATAAAATGTTAGTAGCCAGGCTCAGATAGGAAAGAATTATGTTTTCATAATTTGAAAGTGTGTTTAATTGTACACAGCAGTGTGCTCACAGAATGTGAATGCTGATAGAGAAGTTTTCTGGGATTATCAAGAAAAAATATAAACTGATTTACCAAGGGATTTTTAATTAAAGTCATGTTTTATGTAGAAGATTAAAAACATTCCATATAAACTAGAGTTGCTAGGAAGAAGAGGATGCCTAGTTTTAAAGGTCTAAGAAATGACACAAAATCTTCTTTGTTGCATATGAATCCATAGCCTGGAATGGCTGAAACCATGCTCTATCAATTATATATAGGAATAACTCTTTGGAAATTAGTGTTTTAGAAGAGCTTTACCTCAGATTTATTAAGAGTAATGGGGAAAATGAAGTGGGTAAATCACTTATCACAATGTCTAGATAAACAATAGACCTCTTTCTCATTCTGTCAGCTGTCTAAGATTATTGGATGCTTTGGTTTTAAAGGGAGCTATCTAGGATTAGGCTCCTCAGAAAACAGACTCTGAAACTATGACCTTTTCATGCAGAAACTTTATTGGGGAGTGCTTTACTAATTAATTCTTATACTGGAATGAGCAGAGCAGGACTGGTCAGAGAGAGATTTTTTAATTATAATGCAGGTGCAATTGAGACTTCATCTGATTCCAGGGGAAATTCTTGTGGGCACCTGAGGAATGAATGCTTCCATTCTCAAGGAAAAAAAACTGAGGAATGACCACACATGGTAAGGACAGTTTACATGATACCCACCCTCTTAACAAATCTTAAGGTGTACAATACATTATTGTAGACTATATGTACAACATTGTATAGCAGATTTGTAGGGCATATTTATCTTGCTTAACAGAACTTTACACCCATTCATTGGTGACTATTTACTTTCTCCCAAATATCAGTCTCCCCATCATTGACCCTATAGCCAACATTCCACTCTTGATTCCACAAATTTGACATTTTAGATACCTTATATAAGCAGAATCATGCAATATTTGTCTTTCTGTTAAATGGCCCATTTCACTTAGTATAATGTCCTCAAGATTCATGTATTCTGTCACATATTGCAAAAATCCCTTCTTTTTTAAAAACTGAATAGTATTTGCTTGTATGTGTATCCCACATTTTATTCATTCATCTTTTGATGGACATTTAGGTTGTTTCCACATCATGGCTAGTGTGCATAATCCTGCAATGACATCAGAGTAATGTATCTCTTCAAGATCTGATTTCAATTCTTTCTTTTTAATTTAATTTATTTATTTATTATTTATTTATTTATTTATTTATTTTTGAGATAGAGTTTCACTCTTGTTGCCCAGGCTGGAGTGCAATGGTGCGATCTTGGCTAACCACAACCTGTGCCTCCCGGGTTCAAGCGATTCTTCTGCTTCAGCCTCACGAGTAGCTGGGACTACAGCCATGCGCCACCATGCCCAGCTAATTTTGTATTTTTAGTAGAGATGAGGTTTCTCTATGTTGGTCAGGCTGGTCTCGAACTGCTGACCTCAGGTGATTCGCTCGCTTCGGCCTCCCAAAGTGCTGGGATTACAGGCGTGAGCCACCACGCCCGACCCAATTCTTTTGGATATATACCTAACAGTAGGATTGCCACATCATATAGTAGTTCTATTTTTAACTTTTTGAGGAAGCACATTCTGTTTTCCATAGCAGCTACAGCATTTTGCATTCTCACCCAATACTATGCAAGAGTTTCAGTTTTTTCTGCATTCTCACTAATTCTTGTCTTTTATTTTTAAAAATAGGTATCCTGACAGGTGTGAAGTGATACCTCATTTAGATTTTGACTTGCATTTCCCTGATGATTACTGTTAAGCAGTTTTTCACATACAGGTTGGTCATTTGTATATCTTCTTTGGAGGAATATCAATTGAAGTCCGTAGCCCATTTTTAATTATATTAGTGTTCTTTTAAAAATACTGAGTTGTAGAAGTTATATACTTTGGAAATTAACCTCTTATTTATCAGATGTTTGGTTATCAAGTAATTTTGCAATTCTTCAGGTTATCTATTCACTTTGTTATATTCTTCGCTGTACAGATACTTTTAGTATGATATAGTCCCTTGTTTGTTTTTATTGTCTGTGCTTTTGTTATCATGTGCATAAAATCACTGCCAAGACCTATGTCATGAAGCATTTCCCTTATATTCTCTTGTAAATATTTTACAGTTTGGGGTTTTAGCATCTAAGTGTTTTCAGTCCATTTTGAGTGGATTTGTATATGAAGTAAGATGAGGCTCCAAGTTCATCCTTTTGTATATTGATATCTAATTTGCCTACATCATTTGTTGAACTCTTTCCCTATTGTATAATATTGATAACCTTACTGAAAATAACTTTACCATATGTATGTGGGTTTCCTTCTGGGCTTACTAATTTGTTTCACTGGTCCATATATCTGTCCGTATGTATTTTGGTTATTGTAGCTTTGTAAGATATTTTAAAATAAAAATGTAATACAGTCAGCTTTGTTATTCTTTATCAAGATTGATTTGGCTATTTGTGGTTTTTTGCAGTTCAATGTGAATTTTAGAATTGTTTTTTCTATTTCTGTAAAATTTTCCAGGAATGAGGTAAAAATGCTCACTCTCATCACTTCTAGTCCATATAGTACTGGAACGCCTAGTCAGAGCAATAGGGCAAGAGAAAGAAATACATAGCATCTAAATCAGAAAGTAAGAAATAAAATTATCCATTTTTGCGGATGACATGCTCATATATATAGAAACCACCCAAATACTGTTAGAACTAATAGATGAATTCAGTGAAGTTGCAGGATACAAAATTATCATACAGAAATCAGTTGCATTTCTTAATCAACAATGAACTATCTGAAAAGGAAATTTGAAAAACAACATCATTTCCAATAATACCAAAAAGAGTAAAATACCTAGGAATAAAATTAACTAAGGAGGTAAAAACTTGTGTACTGAAAGCTACAAAGTATTGATGGATTAAAGTGGAAACAAATAAATTGAAATGCATCCTGTGTTCATGGATTAAAAATTTTAATATTGTTGAAAAGACCATACTACTCAATGCAATCTATAGATTTAATGAAATCCCTATCAAAATCCCAAGGATTGTACACACCGTTAATGGAAGATATTTGCAGAGGAATCATAATGAAACCACAATGAAATGGTTATTAACTTTAACAGGCCTATTGTGTAAGGGAAGGTTTATGAAGAGGTGAATCTTCAGTTGGTTTTGAAGATAGGTGGTGTTAGTATAAACAAAAGCAGAAGTAGAAGGGCATTTAAGAAATCAGAGTATCTTTTCAAAGCTCTCCGAAGATATGCCATCACCAATTCCATTCCAAAGACTTAAAAATTCTAAACAAAGAGAATTCTGTCTCATTGTAATAGGCTTATACGTGGACAATGGATTGGAGAAAATTTATAGCTATATCTTGATAAATTAACCAAAAAAGGTTATTTCTACCTTACCTGAAAATCCCACATGATATTTTTATTTAATATTCAATTTGTAATTGTTCAATACTCTAATTTTATATAGGTAAATTCATATAATAACATGTCTGAAAATTTAGAATGTCAATGTATCTCTTCTCGAAAGAGAATGATGCTTTTGAATTTCACTTGGAACTTTATGTTAAGAATGCCATAAATTAATTCAGATTAAAATAGATATGCTAACATCACTTTTTAATATCCATGATTAGAATAATAGACATATAATATTGTAAAAAGAAAACATTTTAAAAATATATGTTCTAACATCTGAATCCTATGACAAACGATTTAAATTTATGTAGGCACTGTGCAAGTGTCATTTCATCTAATATTTCTTCAAACACTTCAATATTTTTCTCTGCTAGTCTTAAATTTATGTATTTTTGATGGTCTTCACTTTATGATAATGGCCTTACATTTCTTAACAAGCGTATTATAGAAAACTTTCCTTTGAGAAATTCATTTATTTTTCCCACTCTACGGAGCAGAAAGTTAGATCTTGGGCTCAGTGAATGGAGGCATAAGCAATAGTGCCTCACTAAAACAGTGAAGAACTTGTCCATTTACCCATCTATAGTCATTTATTTATTTTCTCACTTAAACAATGTGAGCACTCACTATATGCATGTCACCATGAAACTGAATAACTTAAGGACCTGCACAGGAGGGTGAAAACTTTGAAGCTGATTTTGTCCAGGTGACACTGTCTTTCTCCCTGAGAGTATGGAGTCCTTCTAGCCCATCTTACAGTCTTACTTTTCTTTCATTTCTGTTGACTTTATGCATAATCTTTAAACAATAAATCCCTGCATACAAAACAACCAGTCTTCATTTTTTTTTTGTTTTTTTCCCAATTTATCTTCCCACCTATTCATTATTCTATTTTTACCCTTCTGTTTGCTCTGCTAAGATTGTTGTAATGGTGGAGCAACTACTGTGTACCGTGAACATTCAATACAAGGAGTCCCTAGAGATCTTCATCTTAGATAATATATTTTCTTCATTGACAATCCAAGGCTCTGGAAGCCCTTATATAAAATATTTGTATTGTTTTATTTGTTCACCGACTCCCTGTGAAACTTTGAGACACTCCCTTTACTATCACCCTCTAAGGTTCTGTTTGAGTGTGTGTGTTTGTGTATCTGTGTGTGTATTTATTTATGGCTGATAATATTCACTTATTTTCTAGTTAATATAGACAAACAACTTATTAGACAACTTTACTTTTGAATCAGTTACCTTAACCCCCTCCCCAATCCCTTTTCCTTACTCCCTTATTTGCCATTTTAATCCACATCAAACTCACATTCATTGAACACCTTCTTGTCTTTAAATAATTTTGATCTTTATACATCACATGATCTTCTATTTCATTATAGGCAGACCTTAAATTTCAAGGACACTAATCTAAAATTGATGTACTAGAAATGAGTAAACAGCAAGACCAGCTAGTTAAGAAGCAATTACACTTGAAGTAAGTAAGAGGTAATGTAATGCTGGACTATTGCATTCGTATAGCTTTTAGTGAAGGGATTTTGCAGCGGATAGATTTGAGAGAGAAAGGCACTGAGAATGAACAGAGGGAAGATACAGAAGCTGGGCTGAAGGGGGAAGAAGCTGAAAATTCTGCACAGGATTACCATGCCCAAGGATTCCTTTCTGGCTCCCAACAGCTTCAGGGAAATGGGTTAGTTGAACTAGCAAGGAGCAACCTGCTCCAGCTACAAGTCTCTGGAACCCTGGCAGGAGGAGACCCCTCAACCACCACAGACAGAAAGAGCTGATTAGAGAAGTGGTAGGGGCAGTACTCCTGTAACTGTGGAGCCCAGAGGGTTCATTGAAGGACCGTCTGTAGTGAAGCATGGCCAAGGACACCCATGCCCCTAGGCTCAACTTGCTCCCATAGGAGACTTTAGTTTTAGGGGAACAGTGTGACCTGAACTCTGCAGGTGCTCTTGTCCATTGCACTGGGCCATTCGACCTAAACTCCCCTTGGCCTAATGAACTCTCCTGGGACTCCCTTGCAGTGCAGCCTCGGGTGCTCTGGGGGTCCACATCATAGTTCCTACACTCTAGCTTACCATGCCTGACTGGCAGAGAGCTCCAGCTTAACAGACCCCAGGGACAGGCACCAGTCTGCTTGCTTCGTTCCCCCACTGCAGCTTCCTTCCAGGCCCACAGCCACTGCTCACATCACTTTTGGGGTGGGTGTACCTGCAGATGGATATTGTTTTCCCTGCCTCACCAACGCCATGTAGGTGTGTACCCTGTCCTGCCACTGCTGCTGGAGTGAGTGCATTCCATCCCACCCCCAGCACACATCATAAAGCCATTGTAGTAGGAGCCTCGCCTGGCAAAGAGCCCACCAACCCCACCCCACCAGCGTCCAGCCCGAGCCAGCACTGCTTATGGAGTGAAAACTAGGCATGGAAAACAATGGACCTTCCCCTACACAGAGCAGAGGGCACACACAGACCTGTGCCCGCCAGCGCCCCACCCCCGTGCTAACACAACCACCAGAGTGACCACACACATAGTCACCAGCAGGGGGCTCTAGTCCCCTCCCCCGCCACCCTCTGCCTCAGCTGCAGCTGAGGCGCGTGCATATCCCTGTGCTGCTGCTGCCTTTGGTCTAGGAACCTCCGCACAGTGGATTCCTAACCTCAAAGAGCCAGAGAACAAGATCCCTCCGGTTACTAGTTCCACAGTGTTAGAGCACATAGTCTAGGAGTTGGGAGCTGAGCCTTGGCCCTCTAAAATCTTCCAGAAATAAAGCCAGTTAACTGAACCAACCTTATACCACAACCACAATCAAACCCTCGAGTTCATCAAGCAGAAAAGAAAAAAAAGAATCCTAAGGACACCAACTTCAACGATTGAAGAAACATCAGCCCACAAAGATGAAAAAGAACCAATGCAGGAACACTGACAACTCTAATAGCCAGCATGGCTTATTTCCTCCAAATTACTGTACTAGCTCTCCAGCAAGGGCTCTGAACCAGGCTGAGATGGCTGAAATGACAGAAATAGAATTCAAATCTGGATAGAAATGAAGATCATTAAAATGCAAGAGTATGTTGAAACTCAATCCAAGGAAGCTAAGAATCACAGTAAAATCATACAGGAGCTCACAGAAAAATTAGCTAGTATAGAAAATAACATAACAGACCTGATTAGAGCTGAAAGGCACACAAGAATTTCATAATGCAATCACAGGTATTACAGACAAAGCTGAGTAAAGAGTCTCAGAGCTTGAAGGCTGGTTTTTTAATATGAGACAGTCAGAAAAGAATCAAGAAAAAAAGAACAAAAGGGAAGAAACAAAACCTCTCAGGCATATTGTATTACGTAAAGAAACGAAATTTACAACTCAGTGGTGTCCCTGAAGGAGATGGGAAGAATGGAAGTAACTTGGAATATATATTTCACGATATCATCCATGAAAACTTCCCCAACCTAGCTAGAGAGGCCATCATTCAAATTTAGGAAATGCAGAGAACCACAGTAATATACTTCACAAGATCATCTCAAAGACATATAATTATCAGATTCTCCAAGGACAAAATGAAAGAAAGAAATGTTAAAGGCAGCTAGAGAGAAAGGTTAGGTCACTTACAAAGGGAAGCCTATCAGACTAACAACAGACCTCTCAGCAGAAACCTTACAAGCCAGAATAAATTGGGGGCCAATATTCAACATTCGACGTTATTAAAGAAAAAATTCCAACCAAGAATTTCATATCTGGTTAGACTAAGCTTCATAAGTGAAGGATAAATAAGATCCTTTTCAGACAAGTAAATGCTGAGGGAATTCATTACAAACAGACCCACCATACAAGAGCTCCTGAAGAAAACCCTAAACATGGAAAGAAAAGACCATTACCAGCCACTACAAAAACACACCTAAGGACACAGATCAGTGACACTATAAAGAAACCATACAAACAAGCTAACATCATGGTGACAGGATCAAATCCACACATATCATACTAACCTTGAATGGAAATGGGCTAAATGCCCCAATTAAAAAGTATAGAGTGGCAATCTGGATAAAGAACCAAGACGCATTGGTATGCTGTCTTCAAAGACACATCTAGCATACAATGACACACGTAGGTTCAAAATATAGGGATGGAGAACACTCTACCAAGCAAGTGGAGAGCAGAAAAAAGCAGGAGATGTAATCCTAATTTCAGACAAAATAGATTTTAAACCAAAAAAAGATCAGAAAAGAGAAAGAAGGGCATGACATATTGGAAAAAGCTTCAATTCAACAAGAAGACGTAACTATCCTAAATATATATGCACCCCACACAGGAGCACCCAGATTCATAAATCAAGTTATTAGAGACCTTCAAAGAGACTTAGACTCCCATGCATTAATAGTGGGAGACCTCCACATTTCACTCATAGTATTGGGCAGATCACTGAGGCAGAAAATTAACAAAGGTATTCAGGAAGTTCATTTCATGTCATTCCCATGAATCTGAAAACAAGCTCATTATTAGTTGTGAATCTTGAAAAGTAGCATGTATATCCTTATGCATTAGTGTAGAAGTTCTTCTACTTAACAAGAATTTATCAAAATAATGTTGAAACTTTTTTCTGAAATCAATGTAAATATTGTTAAATAAAATATAAATGACGAGAACACATTTCATAAGATATTTCCTACATATTTGCAGATACAAGCAGAAGTCGTTCATTATAATCAAAAGAAGTATAAATTGCTGTAATATGAGTAATATTGGTTACTGGTAGACCATCACTATCTGAAATATTTAATATTGTGTACCTGGTCAAAACAGAGTATATTCTACTATAATAATAGAAATCAGTGTTTTCCATAAATCCAGTCAAGGAAACATGCTTTCTGTACAAGTCTAATCAAGGCATATTATTAGAAATCATAACTTAAATGCATTCACATTCAATTTCCTAAATTAAGTGCAGATTAGTATCTTTAAGATTTTGGTTTCATACATGTGCGTTCAAGCAACCCTAGATGAACAAAACCAAACAAAACACAGAATTAAACCTTAAAACTGTTCCTGGATCTTGCCTCCTGGAAAGGAACTATAAATCCTATTTTCCAATATATTTTCTTCCTTTCTGGACTCTAGAATTCTTAATTGATTTAGTGTCTCCTACTAATCTTGCTCTACCGTGTTCCTGGGGTCTGTTACCATGGGCTAAATTGTTATTAATCACCATGTTTAATTTCTACCCAGCTTCACACTGTAAAGGCTACTTGAGAGCATTGTCCTTTTTTTCTAAAGAAATGGTTTGCCACATGAAAGATTAGTGATAGAAACTATGATAAAGGAAAAATGTTAAATGTGTTAATGTTCTGCCGGAACAGTTGACCCTCAAGCAACATGGATTTGAACTGTGCAGGTCCACTAATATGGGTATTTTCTTCTGCCTGTGACACCGCTGAGACCACAAGGCTACCCCTCCTGTTCCTCCTCATTCTCAGCCTAGTCAAGGTGAAGATAACAAGGATGAAGACCTTTATGATGATCCACTCTGCTTAATGAATAGTAAATATATGATTTTTTCTCACAATTTTTTAAAGAACATTTTCTTTTCCCTATTTCTTTTCTCTCTTACTTTATTGTAAGAATACATTATATAATACATGCAAGATATAAAATATGTGTTATTTATGTTATCAGTAAGCCTTCCGATCAAGTAGGCTATTAGCAGTTAAATTTTTGGGGAGTCAAAAGATGTACACAGATTTTCTACTGTGCAAGGGTAAGTGTCCCTAACCCCAGTATTGTGCAAGGATTGACTGTATTATTCCAAAGAGATCTATTTAATTTCTAGCTGAATCAATTTGTAGTCATTACAAAACATTTTACTACACCCCAGGTGACGCCTCCCTTGAGATCATTCACCCTCTTTTCTATTTGCAAAGTTACTATGTATTTACTCAACACACGTTTTCTACCTGTGTCTGATTTATACTCAGCACTAGAACAAAATTGGAAGAGCAGAAATAAAAAATAAGAAGCAATTCGAGCCCTCATGAGGAATATAATGTATATTCATTATATATATCTTATACACACAATAATGAATGTTCACAAAAGTCACAAAATTAACTACCACAACAAATAGAAATTACAGCCTTCATGGTCCATCTTTAATTTTTCAACATTTAGTAATGCATGGGTCCAAAATATACTTTATTTTCTTCTAAGTTCTCCAATAGAGCACAACAGTGGAAATATGATAAGTAGGAACTGACCAAAGTGCTTTGATATCGAGAACACAATAAGAAATCAGAAAGATTTGGATATAATACCATGTAGCAATAAAAGCTAAGTCTTGATAATCTGTCTAATGTTTTAAGGGAAGTCAGATATCACTATTTTTTTAAATAAATGCCACTGACTTTTAGATGTTGGTAACTAATTATTTTTAGTTCTTTTTTAAATTCTATGTTTTTAAAGCACAGATTGTGCCATACTTTGCCAAATCTACAAATGAGGTCTCCTTGGTGGACAGGAGGCCTCTTTGTTAATAACAAAAGTAAATTTTGACAGCCAGATGAAATTTGCTATCCTTCTGGTGTCTATGTGACATGTGAGTCCCATTTCTCATACCAAAAAGGAAAAACATTGCCAAACCTTCTTTGATTTATGCAGAGAATATTTTCTTATATGGAGAATGAGGGCTGATGGGTAAAATCGTCTCAATCTCTTTCATAAACTTCAAAAAAACATATCCAGAGTTTTGGAGCTAAGTCTGCCCTAATTGAAATGGCAAATTTTCTTTAAGAACCAGAACACTTACAATATCTATTCTCATCCATGTCCCCTCAACTATTTCTTTAATTGCTATTTGCAGACACATTCTGCTACTCTTTCACAACTTCTAGACTGTCTGTCTTTCCTGCCCAGAAGGCCTTCTAATCTATCTGAAATATCTAAGATGACAACTTTTGAGACTAGTACCTGCTCTTGTCCGCCCAAATACAGCAGGCATCAATGGGGTTAAAAAGTAAAGCTCTTTTACTATAATTTGTATGCAATTAAAAGCATTTAAAATTAACATTGGGAATAACAGTTTTATTACATTTAGAAATACTTCCTAAACATATTCGGGCAAAAAAATGTCCCTCACTTCCCTAAAGGCCTGAAACGAAGCAAAAGGCATTTTCACAAGGTGTTCACATGCAGAAGGCACGTGGTTTTCGGCATCAGCTGGTGTGTGCACATTCATCAAGAGTCACACTTCCAACAGCACCTGCTATGCTCAGATTTCTACAACAGCAATTAACGGCAGAAATGGTAGAATGGTAAGGACAAGCTTATTGTTACCCTAAAATTATTACATATTGCCATATGTTATTTGTATTTGTTAACTATTTAATCAACATCTTATAGTTTGCCTTTTTAAAGTATAGGTTAAGTTGTTTGTTGAAGTAAGGCACTGATTTTCAGTCTACACTGTGTTAATGATCAATTTTTATATTAATGCATGCTAATAAATGTGCAATGTTGTGAAACTTAAAAAAATACATACGTAAGTGCCAGCACCTAGCACAGTATTGTGTACATAATATATGCTCAGTTAAGTTTTCTAAATTCAATTTTAAGTCTCGGTGATAATCCCTATAAATTTTTCTTTTTCTTGGAAAGATTTGAGGTTTGCCACCTGCTTCCTGTCTTTCCAAGCTGTGATTTTCTGTAGTAGCTATTCAATAAATAATTAGTCTTAGAAAGTTGAGAATTTTTTTTTATGGCTGTTTGTAGTGAAGTAGCATTTAACTCAAATTTGATTTTAAGCTAGCTATTTCGAAAACCACTCCATGAGCTATCATTGTATTACACAGGTAGCAGTCATGTCTTAACTCACCTATTACCTTTTTCTTACATTGTCTAAATAAACATCAGTAACTTGTAGTAAAGTAAATCTTGGAATGAAGGTTTTTTTTTTAACCTAATTTTCTCTGAGGGACACACTATGTGTCTTCTCAGAAGTTAAATAGAGAACTGTCTCATGGGGTATTGTTTTGTTTATCACAGAGTTTAATATTTCTAAGCCCTTCACAGAGAAGCATGTTCATGTTGAGAGACTGATATTCCTTTGGGATTTGCTTAAGTCACTCAATCCCAATATTTTAATATCCCCTTAAGAAAATCACTGTAAGATTCCATCTGTGTTGTGACATTTTTCTCAGTTGCCATCTCACTGGTTCCTGACAGTTCTTCAATACCATTGGGTCACAGAGTTCATTTCATCAAAGAGTCAAGAGTTTTTGCATATCTGTATGTTACCAGTGTTTCACAAATAGTGTTTCATGTTTTAAAAAGTGTTGCTGTTATAGTACATAGCACCTTTTACTCATAGTTTTTCAGTTCTGAAAAATTATTTTCTACCTTTCCACCATTAAAATCCTTGATTACTATATAATTTCTTGTGAAAAAATCGATAAATTCACTATGAGGATAGATTAGATTCTTCCTGGATGGTGAAAACTTTATTTCCTGTGTCTTCACAATAGGGTAGAATCATGGATAATAAATATAAGAATATCTTTACCCCATTTCTCCTCAGTTTTAGTAAGATATTTATCATAGACACAAAGTGTTTTTGTATGAGATATTATTAATATTCATTAAAGTTTAAGCAATCAGTTCATCAATTTTATGCAAGGAGAAACTAAAAATAATTTTCACTTAGACCTTCATTTTACTTTACTGAAAATAGGCCAGAGCAATTGTTTAAAATTTGATTAGGAATTACTTGTGCATGCTTGAATTAAGGATAGTTGATTTTGGCGTGCAAAATTGCAGTTCACTTTGTCTCCTTTCTACTGACTAAATAAAACCAATCACCAACGTTAGAATGATGCAATATTATTAGGAAAAAGCAAAATAATTTTCTAATTAAGTTCAGAGTAATAACTTCCTAATACAAATAAACACATACTTCTGAGCTTAGCTGTGAAAGAAGAATCATCTTGGTGGAAGATGAAGATGACACAGAAGCCTGACACTTGCCAGTGAATAATTCAACAAGAGTTCAGGTGCTGAAAAATCAACCTTTGGTTCAAAAACTGGCTATTTCACTTACATCTGCTTGGTTTTAGGTATATTATTTATATCTAATTATAAATTTTATCACCTATAAAACAAAGATAGCAGTACCTTCTTTATAGGGTTGACTAAGGATTAAGTGAGATTAATTCGTATAATTCATTTAACATAGTACTTCACAAATAGTAGCAATTCAATAAATATTAATTGTTACAGTTAGTCACTCTGGCATCTGTTAATTTTAATTCTCATTGCTCCCACTACAAAGGCTGGCAGGAGTAAACCTTAATAGATAGCATGTGTATAAATTACTTTCCTTGGGTCTTCTTTAGGACAAATGTAGTAGAATAAAACCTTTTAAAACATCTACTGAAGACTAATGTTAGCACCACAGGCATGGACCTAGAGAAGTCTGAAATATCTACTTGCTAGTCACAAATACCTGGCACAAGTTTGCAGGATTTGTCTGGAACATTCCCTCCTATATTTGGCATAGCTGTATGTGGAGGGTATGAATTTAATAAAAACTATCCAAGATCCTCTTAGTCTTTCTTGGCTGTTATTTTCAAACAACAAAGCTATTCTTCTGCTATAACAATTCAAGACATTGATTGAAAATTTTGGGAGGCTTGCCACATTTCAAGAAAAGTTCTTCAATAAAACTTGCGACATAGGCAGGAATTTAAGGAAAACTAAGTAGTCACATCTGTAGTAACCTCAGCTTCTGCTGCAGAACATTAAATGCCATTGTTTTCACAGTCATAAATGCTGCAAAACTAGGTGCTACTGCCACTGCTGCTGCCACCTGCTATGAGAATGGATTTTGCACAGCATCCACCATACTTAATCTGAAGTTTGGGATAGTGAGTTTGATGGTCAGAGTCTAGGAAAGACTAGAAATCTGATTTTTTTTCTTTTAAATTATCATTATAAGATTTGGGGGACTTGTCTCCAAGATTACTCCAGATAATTGGCAAGCTTGCATAGGTTACTTGCTAAGGTCAATCAGGATAATATGTCTTAGTTCAATTTAATAACATGTAACTTAAGGAATTATACATAAGCTTTACTGTAAAGCTGATAACTTATTTGTTGGCATGAGTGATCGTAGGTAATGAAAGAGCATAGGTAATGAGAAAGAAACAACTGGATTTGGCAATACTGAAAAAATTTACAACAGATCATTCTAAGATAGACTAGTTTCCTTTCCCCCAGACTAAATCCTTTTTACTCTTAAGATACAGGATCTCCAAACAATCATCTCTACAAATTTCCCCCTTCCCATCCTACACAGACATGTAAGCTGAGATAGATGCTGTTATTCTTTGCTATTCAGACATATTGTATATATTTCTTATAGTTGCTATTATATTTAAAATTTCTCTTTAAGCTTCTAATCTCATCTTCCCTGTCTAATATACCAGTTTCCACTGGTGGGATCTTAGAAGACAGAGTCACGCCTTAATCCTGCTGCCTTCCCAGTAACCAACATGGCGACTGACTCAAAATAGGTCATTGTTAAATATCTTTTGATTGTTATAGTTTGCAGATGCATGCAAATATTCAAAATACAAGTGGGTACACAGAAAATAAACACATTGAATTATAAATGACAGCATCTTGCAAAGTTCTTGATTTAGCTAATTTTGAAGTATAAACAGCTTCTAGTTGCTTAAGCTGCATGGTAGGAAAAAATATAGAATCCATAGACCACAAAATATTCTAGAAAGGTGGAATCAGTACTGATAATATAAATGGGCAATTTTTTTGTTCTTTCCTAGGGAATATCAAAGAGAGAAAGGAGTCAGAATAACCTCTTTTTAATAATGGCTTCTGTTTATTGTGTATTTACTTTGTAAGCATACTATGCTTGGTATTTACTTACTTCATTTATTTCTTGCAAAAGCCTTCGGAAGAAGGCTTTTATTCTAGATTTAACAAAACTAAAGGAAATTAATAATAATATCAATGTTGAATTATTAATGATAAACAAGATATAACAGATCAGTCCTCTCTGCAATTCCCAGCTGACCATGGAATTTTTTATCTGAAGAATTGCTATTACATCATTTTTAAAAAGAATAATTTAAAATAAAATATCAGATGTCCCGTGAACTACTGATCTGATTGTAAGATTTAAAATCTGTCACTTTTCCATAGAAGAAGTTCATCTACACCCAGGAGCCTCCATCTTTCAGAAATTATTTTAAAGTTTCCAAGTATTTCATCAACATATTGAATGTAAAATATATATATAATGGAAAAAATTAACTACCCAAATAATAAAGAAAAATATAACTTTTAGAACTACAGTGTAAGTCTATACAATGTCCATTCCCATCTGAGTAGCTCTGTGTAAGTACTTATACACAAAATTATATGGATTTTGAGCATCTTCCCACTTTTTTTATTGTTAGTAAATTTTGGTAATATTTAAGAAAAACAAGTCTTAGTAGACAATTACTTTTGATGCTTTACTCATTGGTATTATTTGAGTAATTGTCAGTTTCATTTAACATTATTCAATCATCATTTTTCAATCAGTAGTCATTAATTATTAATTTACAAGTCCTATATAATTTTTTGTTAGATTCATCCAAGCAATGCACAGGTACTAGGCAACCATACTCTGCATTGTCACCCCAATTTATCCAGAAGTCCCCCAGTGTTCCTTCTTTCTAAAAGCTATTTATGTTTCGAGCAACTTCATGCTGAAGGTTGTCAGTGATACTCCTATTTTTAAGTATTTGGGTTCTGTACTGAAAAGAACGCCTATTCCCCTTGGAAAAGTGATTTGGGGGACTGAGCTTACTGTCTTTTTAAAAGTTCCCCTGATTCATCATAGAGGGCCTCCAAATCTCAGAGAGATAGTCCAATCTCAACTCTTTTTATAACCCATTTATCAACCCTTCTTTGGTGAACATAGCAATTCTAGCATAATGGAAGACAGCTGAGGATTGGGTTGACTAATACTGAAGTGGCTCGTTGGCACTCACTGTTCCATTCTGCTAGTCTTGGATGCAGACTTATTTTTCACAATGAATCTCTTGATTAGAAGGCCATCAGCTAATTCCAGTGTTCTTAAAATTTTCTGCCAAATGTCCTTCTACAACAGAGAATAAACACACGACCTATAGTCTAAAACGTCTAAGAATATAACTTTAAGCAGCTTGTCATAATAATTAAATGTCTTCACAGTCACCACCTTTATGTTTAAAACTCATATGAATTTTGTAATGTAATTGGTAACAATGTTTGCGTTTAACATAAAAGTTTATAAAATAGCTGTCTAGTAAAATGCTCCAAGAAGTTGTGTCAGATGTGCTCCCTATTCTCATAGTGTCCAATGCCAGCAACATAACCTCTAATATTCCTGAGGATACCCTTGTTTAAGATAAACACAGCGCTACAAAAAGAAATCTTCTATGATCTTAGTGTTCCATTTGAGGTCCCTCAAAAACTCATGTTTTTTGTCCTCATCTTTGTCACACATCACTTGCATTGACTCACTGAATAGTTCAGGTCGTAAGGTGGTCAGACGGGCAATGGTAAGTAAGGGTAAACCTTCTGAACGTATTAATTTAAATATTTCTAGCTGTCGTGTCCTCTATAATCTCAGTGGATTTTAAACTTTTATAGAATAAGAAGTTACACCCTTTGTGCATCTCCCCACATCCTTCTCTACCTCCAAAGTTCAAATACAATAAATTTCACAGTATAGATGTTCAATAAATGTTGATTTCCATTTTAAGATCCTGTGAAATTCTTTCAATCGGAACACTTTTAAAATTTTAGCAGGGTGAAATTCTTCATTTTACAAGACAGTTACCTGTAGTACAGGAAATGTATTATCCCCAGATCCTGGAATTGAAATACTAGTAATATTCCCAGATAGTCTGACAATTAGAAATTCTTCTGCACATTCTTAAACATTATTTTAAGGTATTAGTACCACTCCTTGTAGAGGAACAATAAAAGTTCACTTGTACATAAATGTATACATAAACTCAAAAAATTCAACACTGAGAGGAAAGGAGAAAAAAGAAAGAAAAAAAGCAATTGAGTCAATTCCAATTAAAAAAGGACAACAAAGAAAAATAAATAAATACAATTCCAAGTAATAGAAACTATCATTATTCCAAGTCCCTGAAAAGTTGAAGATCCACTTGGGTAATTGGGTAAATTAAAGAAAATTCAGCTAAAATTAAAATGTTGGCATCTTCCTACCTGTGATACATAGATGTCAGAATTACTAATAAATTTTTTAATATTCTCAAGAAAAATATGTAAATGACAAAATAAAAACTTAACTTAGTCAAAATTGTTTAACTCTCATCTTATGATGGTATTTTTGCCCTCCTATTTTATTCTTTTAAGTAAAGATTATTGAACGGCTACTCTTTGTCATACATTGAAATAGGTGATGAGGATTAACTAGGCAAGGACATTATTTGTATTCAGATAAACATTATGATAGTGGTTTGTCCAGGTGAAGATGACATACAAATAAAGGAGAGGTCCTTTCTATGTGAAGTGTGGAGTGAGTAGCAGGTGTAAAAAAGTAAAGAAAAACAAATAGCCTTTCCTGTCATTAAAAAATTCTTCACTAAAGTTGACCATCACTAACTTCATAAATATAGTTCAAAAATCTTTAAGTAATGTTTTTCTCAAAAATTTTGCACCATTTTCTCTTAATGAGGATGTGGCTATAATATAAGAACCATTAGGCTCAATAAGTATTGGCTCCATTTACTGTTGGATGGTGAGCCATGTTTGAGCAAGTCCAATATTGCAAACTAGATGATAAGAGCTTTACAAACAGGAGTGGAGACAACATTTAGTATAGATAGGATCTAAATGATAATTGCATTAATGATTGGAGAGTTACCCAAATGAGACTCCTTGAATAGCCAGGGAAAGAAACATTTGGAGACAGCTGCCTATATTAGGGCAGAGGTGGAAGGTATCCAAAAGGAGCTTGAGAACCCAACTGTACTTCTTTTCATTACAGCCTTTCAGAATAGCTGTTCCTGCTAAAACACTAATACAAACTCTGCAATGCTTTCTAGATTTGCTGACCTCTATTTCTTTTAACCCTTGCTGAGAAATAAAGGTGAAAGAGAAACAGGGCATTTGGGTCCAAATAAATTTAGAAAGAAAACCAAACTGAAAGGCTCTGAGGGCATGCAATATAAACACAGACCAAGGAGTAAAAAATGTACAAAGAAAGCCTGTGTAACTCTGGAATTCAATATAACTGGGCTTCCCATTCAATTCAGTTTCTTTTTAAAAAAAGATTTTGGCCGGGCGCGGTGGCTCACGCCTGTAATCCCAGCACTTTGGGAGGCCGAGGCGGGTGGATCATGAGGTCAGGAGATCGAGACCATCCTGGCTAACAAGGTGAAACCCCGTCTCTACTATAAATACAAAAAATTAGCCGGGCGCGGTGGCGGGCGCCTGTAGTCCCAGCTACTCGGGAGGCTGAGGCAGGAGAATGGCGTGAACCCGGGAAGCGGAGCTTGCAGTGAGCCGAGATTGCGCCACTGCAGTCCGCAGTCCGGCCTGGGCGACAGAGCGAGACTCCGTCTCAAAAAATAAAAAAAAATAAAATAAATAAAAAAAATAAAAAAAATAAAATTAAAAAAGAAAGATTTTATATTCATAGGTTTTTAAGGAACAGGTGGTATTTGATTACATGAGTAAGTTCTTTGGTGGTGATTTGTGAGATTTTGGTGCACCCATCTCCTGAACAGTAGGCTCTGAACCCAATGTGTGTGCTTTTTAGTTTGTTATGTTTTTGTTTTTTTGTTTTATTTGTTGTTGTTTTTTTGAGTCAGAGTCTCGCTCTGTCACCCAGGCTGGAGTACAGTGGCACAATCTTGGCTCACTGCAACCTCTGCCTCCCGGGTTCGATCGATTCTCCTGCCTCAGCCTCCCGAGTAGCTGGGACTACAGGTGTGTGCCACTATCCCTGGCTAATTTTTGTATTTTTAGTAGAAATGGGGTTTCACCATGTTAGCCAAGATGGTCTCGATCTCGTGGCCTCATGATCCGCCCACCTCAGCCTCCCAAAGTGCTGGGATTACAGGCCAATGTGTGGTCTTTTATCCCTCACCCCCTTCCCAGCATTTCCCCCTAATTTCCCAAAGTCTGTTGTGTGATTCTTATGCCTTTGCATCCTCAGATTTTAGCTCCCACTTATGAGTGAGAACATACGATGTTTGGTTTTCCATTCCTGAGTTACTTCACTTAGAATAATAGTCTTCAATCCCAGCAAGGTTGCTGTGAATGGCATTAGTTCATTCCTTTTTATGGCTGAGTAGTATTCCATCATATATACATACATATACATATATATACGCATATATACATATACACATATATACGTATATATGTATATATATGTGTATATATATACATATACAAATATACATATACATATATATGTATGTGTGTATATATATGTGGGTGTATATGTATGTGTGTGTGTATATATGTGTGTGTGTGTATATATATATATATGCTTTAAAAACAGGAGTAGAGACAACATTTAGTATAGATAGGATCAAAATGATAATTGCAATAATGGTTGGATATATATATATATATATATATATATATATATATATATCTCACAGTTTATAGACTCATTGATTGATGGGCATTTGGGTTGGTTCCACGTCTTTGCAATTGTGAATTGTGCTGCTATAAACATGTGTGAGCCAGTATTTTATTTTTCGTATAAAAACTTCTTTTCCTCTGGGTAGGTACCCAGTAGTGGGATTGCTGGATCAAATGGTAGTTCCACTTTTAGTTCTTTAAGAAATCTCCACACTGTTTTCCATAGTGGTTGCACTAGTTTACATTCCCACCAGCAGTGTAGAAGTGTTCCGTTTTCACTGCATCCATGCCAACATCTATTATTTTTTGATTTTTTTTATTATAGCCATTCTTGCAGGAATAAGGTGGTATCACATTGTGGTTTTGATTTGCATTTCCCTGATCCTTAGTGATGCTGAGCATTGTTTCACACATTTTTTGGCCATTTGTGTATCTTCTTTTGATAATTGTCTATTCATATCCTTAGCCCACTTTTTGATGGGATTGTTTTTTTCTTGCTAATTTGTTTGAGTTCCTTGTAGATTCTGGATATTAGTCCTGTGTCAGATGCATAGATTGTGAAGATTTTTCTCCCACTCTGTGGGTTTTCTGTTTAATCTGCTGACAGTTCCTTTTGCCATACAAAAGCTTTTTAGTTTAATTAAGTCCCAGGTATTTATTTTTATTTTTATTGCATTTGCTTTTGGGTTCTTGGTCATGAAATCTTATCCTAAGGCACTGTCTAGAAGGGTTTTTCCGATGTTATCTTCTAGAAATTTTACCTTTCTTTCTCTTGTCTGCTCTGACTAGGACTTCCAGTACTATGCTGAATAGAAGTGGTGAGAGTGGGTATCCTTACCTTGTTGTGCTTCTCAGAAGGAAGGCTTTTAACTTTCCCCCATTTAGTATTCTGTTGGCCATGGGTTTGTCATAGATGGCTTTGATTACATTGAGATATGTCCCTTGTATGCCAATTTTGCTGAGAGTTTTAATTATAAAGAGATGTTGGGTTTTATCAAATGATTTTTCTGCATCTATTGAGATGATCATGTGATTTTTGTTTTTAATTCTGTTTATTGTGGTATATCACCCTTATTGACTTGCATATGTTAAACCATCTCTGCATCCCTGGCATGAAACCCACTTGATCATGGTGGATTATCTTTTTGATATGTTGTTGGATTTGGTTAGCTAGTATTTTGTTGAAAATTTTTGCATATATGTTCATCAGCGATATTGGTCTGTAGTTTTCTTTTATTGTTATATCCTTTTCTGGTTTTGGTGTTAGGGTTATACACATACTGGCTTCACAGAATGATTTAGGGAGGTTTCCCTCTTTATCTTGTGGAATAGTGTCGATAGGACTGGTACCAAGTCTTCTTTGAATATCTGGTAGAATTCAGCTGTGAATCTGTCTGGTCTAAAATTTTTTTTTGTTAGTTATTTTTTTATTACCATTTCAATCTTACTACTTGTTATTGGTCTGTTCAGGGTATCTAATTCTTCCTCATTTAAGCTAGCAGGTTTGTATCTTTCCAGAAATTTATCCATCTCCTCCAGGATTTTTAGTTTATGCATGTAAAGTTGTTCAGAACCTCTTTAAAGCATAAATTTCACATGACCTATAAAACAAAATACAATAAAAAACAAGGTATACAGGCAACAAATAGCATAGGAAATGGTCTAAATGTTCCACTTAAAAGACACACAAATGCAGAATAAATAAGAATTTACCAACCATCTGCTGCCTTCAAGAGACCCACATATCACGTAAGGACTCACATAAACTTAAAGGGATGGAAAAAGGCATTCCATGCAAATGGACAGACAAAACAACTTTTAAAGCAACAGCAGTTAAAAAAGACAAAGAGGGACATTATATAATAAAAGGCCTTGTCCAAAAAGAAAATACCACAATCCTAAGTATATATGCACCTAACACTGAAGCTCCCAAATTTATAAAACAATTACTAATAGACCTAAAAAATGAGATAGACAGCAACACAGTAATAATGGGGGACTTCAATACTCCACTGACAGCACAAGACAGGTCATCAAGACAGAAAGTCAACAAAGAAACAATGGATTTAAATTATGCCCTGGAACAAATGGACTTAACAGATACTTACAGAACATTCTACCCAACAATCATAGAATATACATTCTATTCATCAGCACATGGACCCATGGACCTTTCTCCAAGATAGACCATATGATAGGCCACAAAACAAAACTCAATAAATTTATGAAAATTGAAATTATATCAAGTACTCTCTCAGACCACAGTGGAATAAAACTCAAAATCAATTCTCAAAGGAATCCTCAAAACCTTCCAAACCATACAAATACATAGAAATTAAATAAGCTGCTATTGAATGATCATTGGGTCAACAATGAAATCAAGATGGAAATTAGAAAAATTATTCAAACTGAACACTAATAGTGACACAATCTATCAAAACCTGTGGGCTACAGCAAAGGTACTGCTAAGAGGAAAGTTCATAGCCCTAAATGCTTACATCAAAGTTTGAAAGATCACAAATAGAAAATTTCAGGTCACATTTCAAGGAACTAGTAAAATAACAGAAATCAACCCCAAACCCAATACTTTCTATTATTTATTATATTCTAATAACTGGATAAGGAGAAAGCTTAGTGTCATCTCATTTATTATTCTAAGGCTACTTCTTTGAAATTTTTTCAACTATTAAATGTTTCAGGGAGAGATTTCAGATGGCATTAAAATACTTCAGGAAACCTAATTTCAAATTCATTCTTAGCTTAGTGATTTATCTGATAACCCGATTCTTAAATAACACTGAAGGAAACAACAATCAACAACAACAAAACTCACACAGAGATCGTTCTGAGGATTGGATAAAAGATTATCATCTCCCAAACTCTTGCTTTTGAAATTGTACATGTTTTTGAAGGAAATAATATTGTTCTATGTGGTGGAACTGCTTCTCCAAACATCATGCTTCAACGCTGTTATTTAAGAATAACACTATACATTTGGCATGTCTTCTAACAACTGCACTCTTCTTGAAAGATAACAAGTAATTTTATCTTATTTTCTCACAGTGAAAGTCTATGGTACAGGAATGACCATGATTCCCTCTGACAAAATTTATTTTGAGAAAATAGTGTTATGCACAGAACTGCCAAGCTTAGGCATTGTTTTTGAAAACTCACTGAAATCCAGACACAAGATTGTGTTTAAGAGAACCTTTTAATTTAGATTATGGTGATTTAATATTAATATTTTCATCTCTAAAGACTCACTTGAAAACATTTCAAAAATTAAACAAGCTTAATGTCATAGTTAAAAATAAGTTTATCATTTGTATACAACCTTGGAGAAGGCTTCTTATATTAGGAGCTACCTAAAATAAAGAGCTATCACCTCATATTTGTTATAAACAATACTTGTTTTATTATTATTATTATTATACTTTAAGTTTTAGGGTATATGTGCGCAACGTATATCTCCTAATGCTTTCTCTCCCCCTCCCCCCACCCCACAACAGTCCCCGGTGTGTGGTGTTCCCCTTCCTGTGTCCATGTGTTCTCATTGTTCATTTCCCACCTGTGAGTGAGAACATGTGGTGTTTGGTTTTTTGTCCTTGTGATAGTTTGCTGAGAATGATGGTTTCCAGCTTCATCCATGTCCCTACAAAGGACATGAAATCATCATTTCTTATGGCTGCATCCTTGTTTAAAAAATGGCATTTTTGTATTTGAAAGTTTTTATGAAAATAAATCCATTAAAAATCTAATATAAAAGAGTATTTTGTAATCACAGAGGATGTTTTATAGTCTATAATATTGTGAAGTCTTATCATTGATTACCTACCAAGTATATTACATTTAGACAATCCAGAAAGATACTAAGGTAGTAATGAAAAACCAATAGTGTTATAAGGATTATTTCAGCAACAATATTGAAATGCTGAGCTAATTTAGAAGAAAAGTGTGCCGTCCTTTACCCTAGAATTTCAGCATGTATTTGTTAGTAGTTTGTTGTTGTTGGACTTTATCTGTAGATTAATGTAATTTAATTTAACAAGTGCTTTTTAATGTGTACCAAAAATTGTGCTAGTCATGAAGAATACAAATAGAAAGCAGAAAATATTATGTGCTTTGTGCCTTTGAAAATCTAAGCATGAGTGTCATGATTTATTTATCGTAGAAGACACCTTCTGTCCCATGTTCCGTAACCACTAAGCCTTCCTGTGATTTCAGCACAGCAGCCGTGGACAGTTCCACATTTACTGACAGCCTCTCCCAGAGGCTGCTCTATGTATTTCTGCCCATGACTTTCTTCAAATCCATAGGAATTTTATTGTTCTATAAATTCAAGTAAGTTAAATTCCATGGAGAAGGGAACATGTGCAATTACTTCCCTTTCTCCAGCTCTGCTTTTGGGGAAACCCAAACTAAGACATTCAATGAATAAAATTTATTTCAACAAGGATAAACAGAGTGCCTACTAGGAGCCCAGCACTGTGAATATCTAATGTATGTGCCAGATATTAAACACAATATCAAACATATGTACAAGATATTATTACAAATGGAGAAAAGTACTACTCATTTTACTTACATCACCTCTAAAACCCACAATAATCTTGCAAGATAAATTTTACAAATGAAGAATAGAATGTTCAGGACATCAACCAACTTGCCTATGCTTATACAACTAACACATTACATTTCTGAAATTTGAAACCCATTTTTTAACTCAAATGCTGTTTTTTATTTTAATAAACTATCTCAACTTACTTATAAATGAATAAGATGCCTAATGGACATTATCCTCACGGAGTTTATAGACTAATAATAGAGATCAACAAGTAGCATATAACTGAAATTCAACATAAAACTGTATACTTACGTAAAGATAAGAAGAGACTGACTCTAGTCAATTTACCAATATTTTCTCCAATATGTGTGTGTGTGTGATTATTTTTGCTCTTTGGTCATAACCTTTCATATTAGCCTCTGTCCCTGAAAAATTTGACTAGATATCCCTGCTCTGAGATCATAGAAACTTATAAAAACTATTAACATACACAATATAAGCAATTACTCTCATGTTGTATGCTCTTGAGATTGTCTTCCAGACCTCAACTTCAGGATCTCTTCTCCAGTTTGATACCTTTGTCACTTTAAATTTGCTTACTTCTGGACTTCACTTTTGATGTCTAGGTTTCAAGATTCTGCTTAATTTTTGACTTTGCTAAATCAGTAAGTTTTCTCTCACATACAGAAGGACACAAACAAACACACTTTTGATTCCTTCATCATGAAACATCTCTGCGATATTCTAACAAACACATTTTTCCCATATGCCAAAAATCTCTAACATGTGTGTGTAAAACTTATGACAATAAATTACCAGTAAGTAATTTATATCACTGATTGCTAGCAGTTAATTTCTATCACTGTATTCTACATAGATGTACCTTCTGTTAAAGAGAAACTTCTATTGAGCAAGAGAAGTAAAGGGGGTATCATTATTTTCACTAAATATTCTCACCCATGCATTCTCAATAAAATAGAACACTTTCATCAGTAGCGTAGAGGAAATTCTCTCTTTCATCTTCTCTATTAGTTGTGTAAGGGAAGTATTAATACATTCCACAGTCAAATGAACCTTGGAGATAGTTAATTTACAAAGCAAAATGCTCCATCATTATCAATGTGGTTTAAGGTTATAAATTCATCCTTATTTCATTCATTAACCATGAAATTACTTTGCTTACATATGGCTAATCATAAAAATGCAAAGTGAATATCGTCAAATTTACTTTCGTTCTCCGATTTTCCTTTCTTCCTTTCTCCTTTCCCTTCTCCATGTCTCTCTCTTGTTTTCTCTCTCAGAGATAATTCAATAGATTTGCAGCCTGTTATCAGGAAAGAAGAAAGCAGTATCTATTTATGTCACAAAGTTATTTTGTCTGCTGTCTCCAATGCAGTCATTACTCGTTATTCTGGAACACTTTATTTAAAGCACAAGGAGAAAATGACTGCCAAATAATCTTGTATTAAAATGTCATTATCTGACACACCCTAAAACACAAGTCTTAGTCTATATCAAATTTTATTAATGCTATAACAATTACACGAACTTTTAGCAGGACTTCTGATGAATACTTTTTCATATTATGCAGGACAAAAATTTGCAAGGTGACAAAAGGGATTATAATATTAAACATAAGGGTGAACGTGAATACAAAGTAACTCGGAAGCAAGTAAAATTAGAGTGTATCATCCCTCTCTCTGAAACATCTGCTTGGGATCTCACAGTTGAAAGCTTCTCTGAAATAGTAATTCATCATGGAAAAAGTAGACTCCTGTCACAAAAGCTTAGCACTGTTTAGAATGTACTGGAGATTAGACATTTCTAATAGAAATCCCAAGGTTTACTTTCTTCTCTGAAGAACAACATTCAAGTGGATAGCCAAGATAATATTAACTCTATCTTTGTTGACCTGATAAAGCTAACAAGGCCGTTATTGGGCATGTTGGACTTATGATGTGAACAATGAAAAAACATGAAATATGGTTAATGATCTTCTAAACAGGTCTTGATTAAACTCTAAATAAGGCATGTTTGGACAATGAATCAAAATCCTCTGTAGAATCTTAAATTACCTGCCATGTTTACTGTAATATAGTAGCACGCCATTTAATAAGATTCACTTGCAGTTACATGGGAGTGGTAATTTTGTCTTTAATTGATAAATTTATTTAATAGTCCTTGATGACTACATTTAGGAGAAAATTACCCAATAGGTTAGAAGATCCATATCTCATGAACACATCATTCCAGCAAAGCAGAGGACCTCTCTTTCTCTAAGCTGTGTAACAGCTCACTTACTCAAATCATTTAATTTACATTAAAAAAGGGAATTGCTATGGCATATATCTAAAAGAAATCATGGCAGAAATTCTTTTAGAGTGAGTCTTTTCTCTGGAGAAATTCATTGAGTTGCCACAATATAATTGTGTGATTTCTTGATTAAAAAAAAAAATCTGTCATTATGAAACAAAAAATTATAGATTTTATTTCAAAATGATTGAAGCCTCTGAAAACACTTTATTTACAGAAATTTTGATGCCAAAATCTATACAAACTGAATAAATTAGGAATTGGGAAATAAATAAGGTTGGTTACATTTAAAACAAAAACCTGAATCCAGTATGAACAATGGTTAACCAGCCTTTCAACAAAATGGAGAAGGATGAGAGAAAAATTTGGATACAAACTTAAAACAGCTTCATGTCCAAGTCAAATGTGTGAGAATCTCTCTAGAAAACATTAGAAAGGATAGCTATCTTGGGACTAACAAGAGGCACTTTAACGATAACCAGTTCAGTATCAGTAGATAAAATTTTCGGTGAAACGTTCATGAAGTGGCAGACCACCTAACTTAAATGGAACTTCTGAAAACACAAAACTTGTGCTGTCTTTGTCAGCTGAAGCAAGTAGTGTGCATTTTTTTATTGTTCTATTCGAAGCATATTCAACTATAACCATGAAATTTACTGTGGATTTCAATATGCTATTTTAAATCATCTTGTTTATGTCGTTTCAAACTTGTCCTTCTTTTAAAATTGTCCCAGGTGGGAAACGATTTGTACCACTGAAGCCAAGATATACTCGTGATATCTGTGCTGAGAGATTTTTGTCATCGTTTCCTGAAAATCACTCAATGGGCAAAAGTTGTTCTTAAGGGAAGGTCATGCAGAACTTCTTCAAGGATTGAGTTTCTTCTTGTGAATATGAAATAAGTGCCTCTTTCCCTATTTTATTTAGGTACGCAGAGGCTATTTCTCCCTGATGACCTGACACAGACCCAGCCAACACCATCTATAATGAAAATCAATGGCACCAAGTCACTAAACAATTATTCCGTCTTCTTTAAAAATGCACAAGTCTTCAAAAAACAAGGATTCAGAGACTGATTAATTTGCCATTTGTCTAGAAGATTGCACTAGCTGCATTATTTAAGAAGTGCCTTGTCTCTGTGCCCTCAAAAGCTGAACCAAGATCAAAGATATGAGAATCACCAGTTTCCATGAAGGAAATTTGGTGAAAGTATGAAAGGCAGCTGGAAGTTGTGCTATGGGTTTGCAGCACTTAGAATCTTTCAAACATGTAAGACCATGAATGTTTGCAGCTTTTCCACATATGTAAAATAGAAAAGAAATCATGGCTCAAAAATGACTGTATATTTGTTTACTCATAGAAATATTCATGGGAATATATATTTTTCATGCATATTTTCTAAGAGAAGGAAAACCAATCCAACACATCCAACTGAACCTACCATACTCTAATCTTGATTCTGTTTTCTTCTTCCTCCCTTCCTTTGCAATTTATCTGTAAGTGTTGATTCTATCATAAGAAAATGATTATCTCTTTCGTCCTTATTTTATCCTCTTTATAACATTTCTCAACATAAGCTCCCACTCTCAGCATTTCTACTCCAGAACACACAGTAGAAAAATTCACCAAGACATTATATTGTATGTATATTCTTTCCCCTCCTCCCACTGGCACCATTCAGAGAGTGTAGCCAAGTATTTTTCAACTGTAAACTCATTAATTTAAATGTTTAACTCTTACGTGTTTTGTGATTAGGTTATTTTTTCAAAGCACAGAGAAGAAACTGCTAGAAGCTATGTTTTCTTTTCTTTATAAAATCTTCCAATTACTAAAATTATTTTATTAGGAGTGCCTTTATTGACAACAGAAAACGGTAGAAAGAAATTTCTCTGAGACTGAAGAAATGATATAGGAATTGAGAGACAGCAGAGCCCACATGTTTCCCTGGACAGTTCCCCAGGAAGTGGGAAAAGGTGGCCTCAAGCAGAAAATGAACGTACCCCAGGAAGTGTCAGTGTGGCTGCATCTATGAAAGGCAGACCTCAGGGAGATGACTGTGCACATCACTTCATAGATGACTTCAGTGGAGAGGTCAATCACTTCAATATGCTTTCTTTGGTTTTCTGAATATTACCCTGAGTTATATAGCATTATATACTTTGTTTATATTTGTTAATATGCCATTTAACTGTTCTTGCATGCTGCTTCTCACTCAGCAGGTGAAACTAATTTCTCAATATATATCTGCTCAGTGAATGATAAAGTTAGGAATAAGTAATGGTTGATGCCTAGCCTGAGATGAAGTAGTATCCTCAATTTTATTTAGGATAAGCTTATGTGAAGAGAGAATAAAGATGATATCCCAACAGCCTTCTTCTTCCACACCCATGACTAAGATAAGTAGTTTTGAAGATAATCAACAGATAGTCTTTAAGAGGATGGGGAGTGAAAACTTTTGAATGTTAGAAACTGGGGCAAATTGATTGTTGATGGCCTGAGAGTTTTCTAAATGTGTGCATTGTTATACCATACAATGTTGAAAAGGGAATCATTCACTTCTCTGACACTTGTGTACACAGTATAATTTAAACACACATTACTTGTGTTATTCTTAAGTCAACACATTGTAACAGATGATGCCAAACAGATCTGATTGACTTTAATTAGCAGATGAGCACACCAAAGTTCAGAGAAGTGAGGTGACTAACTTAAGCTACATGGCCCCTAAGTGGCAGAGCCTGACTTAAACTCATCTTTCGTATCTTCAACGCCACTTGTATTACCTTATGCCACCTCTTAATTCTAAAAAATACATAATGAAAAAAGACAATCCACATGTCTGGTTTATTTTTTGTCACTTATTTATTCAATAAGCTATCAGAAGGAGTGTAAGTTCAATATGATAAACGGAAGGAGAGGGGAAAACAAGTCTCCTCTACCTAAGGTCTGTGAGTGTGTATTGTAAACTCAACGTTACTATCACTACCTCCTAGAAGAAAAAAACAAGAATTGCATATTCAGACTGTACTTCCACATATGGTTCCAGGTTAGAATTTGCCAATAAAGTACCCTCATGTGAGATTTAGAAGGCTATAAAATAGGGGAGTCCAAATATTTTTCACTTTTAGAGAAAATGCTACCTCTATATCATAACAATATTACCGACTATACAGAATGCTCATATGGCACAAAAACTACACATAAAGTCTCCACAAATATTAGTATTTTAAAATGAAAGTATTGGAACATCTAGAACACTTCTGCTAATCTCTAGCACAAAAATTAAACAATAGTAAAATTTCTGATGGTTTTAGGTAAATAATCGGTTTCCTTAAAAATAAAATTATGGTCATATTACTGATAAGATGTTTCTGATATATTTCCATATAAATGTATTGTATGCTTCTGTGTCAATGAAAAATACAATTCAATCCCTAAAATAGATAAATCATATAAAATGAAGTGGAATATAGCATTTATTAATTGATACATGATTTATAAGTCTATTAGTTATACTTACATGTTATCACTACATAATTTCATACTATTAAATTTCTTTATGGACAAATTTAACTCATTCACACTTAGTTTCTTAGTTTTTAGATAATATTCCTTCCTGATTGTGTTAATCATGTTTTTATTTTCTATACTTTATGATGCTTTGACATCTTGGGGCCTTGTGGACCCAGGAAGGGACTGCTCCTCTCAAGGTTAGCTAATTCTCAGAGACAGCAAAACCCTTGCCTGTGAGGCTACTTTTAATAGGCAGACCAACAAATCCCTATTCCATACTGCCATCCACCTGCTTTTATCAGGCTCTTGCGGTCTGAATTACCTTGCAGTGCCAGGTTCCAGAAAAATAGGGACCACCTTTATGGCCCAGTCCCTACTGAAATTATTTACACGAATTGTAAACTGTTCATCTTGCCTACCCATTCCTTCCCACCAAACTGCTCATCTTGCCTGACCCGTTCCTTCCCACCAAAACCTCAATAAAGGAACTGGCCTTGCTTTCCCCTCATTCCTTGTGCCTTTGGACTGTTCCTGGTGCTCCCACATATGGCCCTGAGTGGTGTAGTGTTCCCCTTCTTCTTGGGAACTGTGCTTAACAAGCTATCTTTTAACTGGCAATAATCCCTTTATTAGTGACCTCACCGCGCATACCTGAATGAAAAACAGAATCTCAGTACATTTTAAAATCATAATCAAACCCACTTTTTTTCAATAGACCCTAAGTCCATTTCAGTTCCATGAATTAAAAAGTTTGATATAACTGGTATGAAGTTTGTGTCTTTGTAGAACAGAGTTGATAGAAACAATGCAGAAGACAAAAATTTCTTGAATGGAAAATAGTTATGTTGCAATCTTGGTTCTGAAGCACATTTGGTAATTAAATATTCAGCAATAGGTTTAACCATATAAATCTTCTCTTCTGAAAAATGATGACTTATACTAGAAAGAATAGTTTTTACTTTATAAATTGTCCAGCACACATTAAGTGCTCAAAAATGTGTATTTTTGTTCACAAAGTAATTGAGTAAAAATTTCAAATTGGGAAGAAAGAGTTAATTTAAATGTTCCTACATTTTTAATTACAATATTTATGTATGTTTAATTTATCATAAAACAATACAGACTTTTATAAAGAAAAAGTAAATGAACACCCAGTCCACATACACAAACCTCAGTTCATCTTGCACTAATGTTACTACCTGGCAACAAATTTTTCAACACCTTTTTTAAAGGAAGAGTTTAAAAGCTTAAATTTAAAAACCACAAAGTGTTGATCAGGGAAGGCTTCTCTTGATGGAGGAATTTCAGTTGATTAATATTAAAAGTGATAGAATTATTTTATCAATTTGCAATTCCCATCATTACTTCAGGCTCAGTTGGTGAGTATATTAAAAAACCACTAGATTAAAATGTATTTTTTTCAGGGGGAAATTACTCCCACAATGCCAAGGTATCACCCGAGAGATGATTTGTACTATTTGTAAGAAACAATCAGATATCTACAATGAGGAGTTCTACAGATTATCACTTTAAACAAGTGGTCCAAATTAACATTACTAATATTATGACAAGCTCATATATGCTCCCGTCATATGATCCAATTAAGAAGTACCTCTTATGAAGTAGTCTAAAAAATTAATTTAAATATAAGGAAGCCTTTAGAGTTAATTTTCTCTTCATAGAAAATAAGGCTGATAGGGTTACTTAGTACATAACCAGCAATCAGACAATCCAGAACATGGAATATTCTATGACACTTTGGATTCTTCAACAAGTCATATCCTGAAGAAGATTTTTTTATAAAAAGGAATGGTATATTTTTGATGAAAGGAGATTAAGAGAAACTTTTTAAAAAATGTAACATGTCGGGAACTGCTATGGTCCAAATTCATCCCCCCAGATTCATGTATTGGAAGCTTAATCTCCAGTGCATCCTTATTGGGAGGTGGAACCTTTTGGGAGGTGTTTAGAGCATGAGCGGCCCACCCTCATGAATAGATCAATGCCATTATAAAAAGGGCTTGCAGGAGTGAATTCTCTCCCTTCTACTATTCTACCATGGGAGGAAACAGCATTAGTCTTCACTGCCTCTCCCCACTTTTTTCACTTCTGAATATTACCTGATTGGACACCAGATGTCTGTGCCTTGATCTTTGACTTCCCACCCTTCAGAATATGAGAAATTAATTTTCGCCTTTATAAGTTACCCAGTCTCAGGTATTTTGTTATAGCAGCGCAACAGACTAAGACAGAAACTTTGCGCACTTTCTGCTCAATTTCACTGTGAACTTGAAACTGCTCTAAAAAGTGGGTGAAATATGTATATATTATATACATATTTCATGTATATGAGATTTTACTGAAATCTGGTTTGGAAAACAAATCTAAAGCAATTGAAAAAAGTTTAATATTGAATAAATATTCAGTTATATAATTGTTAATTTTCTTAGTTGTGATAAGTATATAATTGTTAATGTTCTTAGTTGTGATAAGTATATATCCTATATAGGATTAATTATATAGGAAGAAGTCTTTTTCCTTAGAAGATGCGTGCTAAAGTACATAGGAGTGAAGTGTAGTAATTCCTATGATTTCTTTTTAAATAGTTTAACACCAAAAACACCTATAGCCCTGTGTGTGTGTGTGTGTGTGTGTTTGTGTGTGTGTGTTGATACACACATAAGGATAGAAAAAATATGTAAACATTCTAACTACTTTGGGATGTATAGGGATGTCTATTACTATTCCTTAGACTTTTTTAAATGTTTGCAAACTTTTTTAATGAAAAGAAAAAACACTGCCCTGTAGGTTTTCCTACATCAGTCTTTGATTGTGAGGACCATGTCCCTACAAATTCAGATTTTCATCATGGATCTGTACTGCAAAATATAAGGAAATAGCTATTCTGACTTTTGTATATTTGGGGTCTGAATGCTACAAATTTTTTATTTATATTTTATTGGCCTACTAATTCTCTTTTTTGTATTTATTGTTCTAAAGAAAATGGAGTTGCACAACTGTGAGGATGATTGGATATTCTTACTAGTATCCGGATGTGGAACAGAAGCCGCTCTCTTGCTTTGTGAGGTATTGATATGTAGTTAAACTATAATAAAAGAAATGTCACCAAGATGAAACTGTAAGTACCTAAATCTGGAGACCACGCGTGTTTCCATTTTAATACGCTCAAGCACTGCTCCACTAAGTTTCTCACCTGCTTTAATTGCATGCCCAGTCTCCTATAAGGGCCTGAAACATTACTTTCTTTGAGTAGCATTTTATAAGATGAAAGTCTCTATGTTTACAGCCCTCAATTGTTGAAAAAATCTTTTTTAAATTTTTTATTTCTTCTATAGAGTTGAACACTAATTGGTAGCTCTAACAATTACTAAAATTTTTTCCACTCTTATCAGAACATAACTCAGTTGTAGGTCAAGTTTGCATTCTTTGCTTCCTTTTATTTTGTTCCCCTTGGCTCTGGATTCTTCGGACTTTAGATCATTTGTCATTTTTGCCAATTAAAACAATGAACTTGGCCAAATTAAAAGGGCTGCTACCCCTTTAAGTACATATTTAATAATTCATGCATGAAATAGGACTTTTTGTTCTCTGCTGGAATGAACAAAACTTCCTAAGAGATTGCTTTAGTATTATATCTAGATAATGCTTTCAGATTAGAATCTAAATCATACCAGAATAACTGCATTAGAATTACTATGATACATCATTCTAATGTACAGACTTACAGTGTAATGTTGCAGTTGGAGTAATCCAATAAAATCAGTGGGTCCCAGAACTAGAAGTGTCTGAGAAAAGCCTTGATGACTGCTGAAATATATATCTTTACAGAAAGGAAAAGAACCTGTACATTTGCGTTCATACAGCTACATATAGCCTTTCCCAAGGATATATGGAAATAATGTTAGAACTAAAGCAAAAAGTAGACTGTAATTTTAAGTCCATGTCCAGAAAACGGCAAATGGTTCAAAAATCCTTGCATGCTAAAAGTCATTTTGGCATAATGCAACTGACACGCATTCACTTGAATTTTATATGATTAATGTGAAAGAGAAGTTTAGATATTATGTGATAAGTTTTGAGTATCTAACTTTTTTTGAAAATTTATGAGTTTTTTTCACAACTGATTTTGGTATATGATATCCACTATATTGTCTTATTTAAAACATAAAATTTGATATCCCATTTTACTAGTTTCTGTAGAAAAGACTGAATGGCTTTGAGAAAATGAAGTTCAAACTTCTTATTTGATATACTTTTGGGGGGAATTTGTACATTGTTATGTGGGCAGAATATGTAAGGTATCTTGCAACCCCAGGAAATGGCTTAGGTCATGGGAATGATTGAATTGAGAGACAGGGGAAAGTATGGCAAGAAAAATGTCTGTAGAGTGTAGGAATTAGTCAAGATGTCTCCTAACATTGACTTGTTATTTCAAAGTCCTTATATTGAAAAAAACAAACATCCAAACAAAACCTAGGAAACTGAAGATTAAACTACCAATTCAATTTCTTTGTAGAATACTTGTAGAGATCTTCATTTATTTCAGATGAACTTAACATATTAAATTTATAATTATAGAATTTACAGGTAAGCAAATTGTTTCAGTACACAGTTTGTTACCTACACTTTCTAATGTATTTTCATGGGCAAAACCTTAGCAAATAATCCAATTCCCCTTGTCCCTCATAATAGGCATTATAAGTGCTGCTTTTGTTTTGTGTGTGTGTGTGTGTGTGTGTGTGTGTGTGTGTGTGTTTAAACAATTTATCCATGTTGCAAGGAGTGTAGACTAATCTGCTCATTTCCAAACATCAGAGACATCTATCAGCCTTCAAGACTTAACTTCTTTATAAACTGGGTTTCACTCATTTTAATTAATATGCTATATCCTTATAATTGTATAATAAAAATAAATGTTTCGGTGTTTAAAATTTCTAGTAATTAAAAATTTAATACTATTTTATATGTTGGTATTTGTTTTAGGGTTGAGAATTTTTTCCAGGAGCACCAAAGACCTTGTACTGAAAGACTTTGAGAAATAAAGTTCCATATAATTTTCATCAGAATTTTTAACAATATTCTTTGTAGTAGAAACCTACTGTTTTGGCTATCAGTACAGCTGCCATTGGGAGCAACTGTCTCCCATTTTCTGGAAACAGCCTCTGCCTTTCCTTCCATGGTCATAGGCACACTCAGAATACTTGGCTTCACTTTTTTGGCCATAATTAGTCGGTCCAAAGTTGGGCATGTGAAGTAATTTATACCATCCAAAGTCTGGTTTGTGGATTTAAAATGTAGATATAATAATTCTTTCCATCTGACTAATCAATTAGAGGAAACAGATTTTTTAAACTAAAATATTAATAGTACCCATCTGATTTCTATGAAGAAGTAAGTATCTAGTCTGTATGAAGAGGACTGAAGGGTTTGTATTAAGGAAAAATGCAGATGAGAGAGAGAGAAAGAGATTGATTCCTGAGTCCCAGGCTAAAATTTGTCTCTATGCCTAAGTTGTATTCTGTTCCCTGAATACTAAGAAATGTTCCTTCTATCATTATTTTAATAGTTATTATTGTCATTATTATTTTTGCTTAAACTCACTACACAATGTTCACTTTGTACCCAAAAGAACAAACAAAAACATTTCTAGGTGATATATACCCATGTTGGAAGGGAGGTTCAAAGGTCACTTAATAGGCTTGGCATTAACATGTGTTTGTTCTAAGTCTCAAACTTTTATTCCTGTTGTCTTGCATCAAGTATATCATATTGCCAAAAAATGACAAATTCTAACTTGTTGATTCTGGAAAAATAGTAGAAAATGTGTATAACTTCCATGAAAATTTATAGATTTTTATGTAGGTCTCTCTTTATTTAAAAATTTGAGGCCAGGCGTGGTGGTTCACACCTGTAATCCCGGCACTTTGGGAGGCCGAGGTGGGCGGATCACCTGAGGTTAGAAGTTCGAGACCAGCCTGGCCAACATGAAGAAACCCCGTCTCTACTAAAAATACAAAAATTAGCCAGGAGTGGTAGCGGGTGCCTGTAATCCCAGTTACTTGGGAGGCTGAGACAGGGAGAATTGCTTGAACCTGGGAGGCGGAGGTTGCAGTGAGCCGAGATCGCGCCATTGCACTGCCATCTGGGCAACAGAGCGAGACTCTGTCTCAAAAAAAAAAAAAAAAAAAAAATGAGTTGACAAAATTAGGTGAGATGACACACATATTTCCTAATAATTTCCAGGCACAGCCTCTGTGAATTGTGCCCCCAGACAAACATTTTATAATTCAAGGTACTCTTCATTACTTGAAAAAAAAGATAGTCAATCATTAATATGGTTTCCCAATCTTCAAACATCTACAATTCAAGCTGTTTTATTAATACCTTTCATCTCCCTACTCAACATATTCTTTTCATTCTCAGGAAACACTCAGTTTTACATTCACAGCTTGTTCAATACCTTTCTTCTCATCATTTTTAAGTGTGGTTTTATTGTTGAAGGTATCTGTTGAGTATTCGATCCTCATCACTCAAACATGAACACTACTGCATGTATAATAAGTACACACAGACTGCTAACATGTTTGATTTACAAACATCTTCAGTAGGCCTCCAGCTAATCACAGAAAGCACCCCCTGCCCCATGCTTCTGCCCTTTCATTCCTCATTACTTAAAGGAGAAAACAGATTGATCTGTTGTCTGACAATTTGTCATCCTCCACAGCCTGCTGGTGTCAATCAGGGCTAGGGGACAGACATTCATCAAAATCACTTGGACCCTATCATTAAATGTGGACGTGCATTTCCTATAAAGTTGATCTGAAATCTGAGCGCCCACAAAAAGGGCAACAAATAGGATACCCTGAAGGCGACTTGAAGGTAACTATTAGCTACTGAAAGATGGCAACAGCATTTTCTTGAAATTCATGGTCATGTTTCTTTTACGGGACAGAAGAGGAAAGAAAGAAAACAGAGGCAGAGAAAAACAACTGATGTGTGAGAATGCTAAGGGTTTCATGAGGGTTTAAATATGATTGTTAGAGTGAGATGCAGGGATATTTCTAAATTTAAAAAATCATTCTGGAGGCCGGGCGTGGTGGCTCACGCCTGTAATCCCAGAACTTTGGGAGGCTGAGGCGGGCACATCACAAGGTCAGGAGTTCAAGACCAGCCTGGCTAACATGATGAAACCCTGTCTCTACTACAAATACAAACATTAGCTGGGTGTAGTGGTGCATGCCTGTAAATCCCAGCTACTCAGGAGGCTGAGGCAGGAGAATTGCTTGAACCCAGGAGGTGGAGGTTGCAGTGTACCGAGATTACACCATTGTACTCCAGCCTGGGTGACAGAGCAAGACTCTGTCTTGAGGGGAAAAAAAAAGTCATTCTGAATACTCTAATAAATGCTGTCTTTTATACATTGCTATTGCTAAATTATACCATTTCGTAACATTATTTAATAATGTTAAAGCCCCAGCAAAACTTCAGATAAAATTTATTTCATGGTAAAAATAAATTACAATATTTAAAATTAAATTTGTTTAAGAAAAGAGTTGATAGCAGTTATCATTAAAGACTTCTGACTAAAAAATATAAAATATACATAATTGTGCATCACTTAGATTTCAGAACAGCATTCATTAGCAATCATTTTTTATTGCAGTTACAGTTACTTAGAAATTCTAATATTCCTGTAAAAATAATCGTTTCTCTTACACTGTGTTTGAAAATGGTTATTAAATTGATTAAACATTTTTATTTTATGGTAGGTTTTCTAATACTGAAACATTATCCTGATTTAGTTATCTGGCTTATGATAATAAGTCAATGATCAGAAAAATTTAAAAAGAATACTACCTTATCATTGAGTTGGAGGTTACTTGCTTAAATTGTGTTTCATCTGGGTGCTTATTAATTACATAATTTATTGACTATTCTAAACACAAATCCACACCTCTAAGTACAATGGATCTTGAAGTATCATATAATTAGTCAAATGAATTTAAAGTTTCATTTAGTAATTTATTTAAAAAGTAATACAATACTCTACTTCCTCTAGTTATTGATTTGCCCATTGATTCAGTAAATATTCACCTAGCTCTACTAATTTTTATGCACTGTACTTGGACATAAATGAACAGTGATGAATGAAAATGACAAGATCTCTCTTCCTTAATAGAGTAGCAAACCTAGGTGTCAAAACAGAATATTAAAAAGTCATCACAGATATATTATCATGTTATATGAAGTGTGATGAATGAAGTGGAAATTCTCCATGAGAAAGAAAAGTAATTTGGAGAAAGGAACTACTTTAGATAACAAATGAAGTTCACCCTCTTTGAGATTTAGTTTAAGTACAGAAACAAAGAATAAGAAAGGTCCATGATACGAGGAACAAGGGAGGGTATTCCAGGCAGAGAAAACGCCAGGTATGAAGGTCCTGCAGCATGCTCAGCATTTAGTAAATGAGGAAAAGAGTTGTGCAGGATGTTGTTGTTTTGAAAATTAGCAGGGTGAATAACTTGAATTATCATTTATCCGTAACAGAAATCAATGATGGTTGTTAAAGAGACAAAACCAAAATCTCTTTCATACATACATATACATATGTACATATATATACACACACATACATACATACACACACATGCATATATTTCTAGTGGGTATATTAATTAGCACAATACTTAATCTGTTTTAAAATCTAATAAAAATGTACATTCATGCTAAGACAAAAATCCTGTATCTGTTGGAAAACAATAACCATGAAACAAATACGTAAAAATGATGTCTAAAATGTCTGTTGCAGCATTATTTATGAAACCAACAATTGAAGAAAATCAAAATTGCCAACTATCATTAGAGTAAAAGGATGCACTTGAACAAACAATAAAATCAAAACTATATTGTTTATATAATTTATTTTTTGTATTTATAATCATATCTATTATAAAGTCTATATGAATACCTCATATTAATGTTTATAAGACATGGCTAATGTACATGCTTAGTCAAACATATATACTTAAATTGTTGCATTCTTTATAACTAGAAAAAAATGGAAAAGCCTAAATGTTATTCAGTAAGAGATTGACAAAATACTCTATATATCCACTCTAAAAGTATTGTGTGTGTATATATGCACAATCCTTTACCTGTTTTAAAATTCAATAAAAAGTACCCATATATACACAAACACAAAGGGGGAGTTAATATGATTTTCTGATAATTGTTGCTGCTTTAATCCTGTTGAATCTAAATACAATATGAACCTCAATGAATGAGGAAGAATGACATCTGAATAGCATGAAAACAGGGACTCAGTAGCCTACATGCAAATTAAAAATACAGTTGACCGGCTGGGCGCGGCGGCTCACGCCTGTAATCCCAACACTTTGGGAAGCCAAGGCGGGTGGATCACTTGAGGTCAGGAGTTAGAGACCAACCTTTCCAACATGGTGAAACCCCATCTCTACTAAAAATACAAAAATTCCCTGGGCACGGTAGCACATGTCTGTAATCCCAGCTACTCAGGAGGCTGAGGCAAGAGAATGGCTTGAACCCAGGAGTCGGAGGTTGTGAGCCGAAATCGTTCCACTGCACTCCAGCCTGCGCGACAGAGCAACACCTTGCCTCAAAATAAATAAATAAATAATAAATAAATAAAAATACACACACACACACACACACACACACACACACACATAGTTGTCCCTTGAACAATGCAAAGATTAGAGGTGCTAACCTCATGCAGTCAAAAATCCATGTATAACTTTTGATTCCCCCCAAAATTAACTACTAATAGCCTACTGTTGACCTGAAGCCTAACCAATAAATAGTAGATTAACACACATTTTCTTTATTATATGTTTTATATATTGCATTCTTCAAGTAAGCTAGAAAAAAATAAAATGTCATTTAAAAAATCAAAAGGAAAAGAAAATATATTTACTATTCATTAAGTGGATTGGATCATCATAAAAGTCATCATCCTTGTCATTTTCAGGTTGTGTAGGCTGAAGAAGAGGGGGAAGAGAAGAGCTTGTTGGTCTTGCTCTCTCAAGGCTGGCAGAGGCAGAAGAAAATCGTATATAAGTGGACCCATGTAGTTAAAATTCATATTGTTCAAAGATCAACTATATCACCTCAAAGTGGCTGTCCCTTTTCCTCCCACAACTCTTGCTTTTGTTGCAGATCCTGGGTACTGTGATTCTATGGGGGTAATAGGGACCAAAAATGTTTCCTAAATGACAACGTGTCTTGCCATTGTGTGTGGAGTTCCAATTCATGTAAAGTGTCTAATTAAAAGTTTCTGAATTATAATTGGCAATCCGTCCATTGTGTGTAAAGCAGGAAACCTAGTCCTACATTACGTGTTCAGAAATGTGTAAGAATCAAAAAAAAAAAAAGAAGAAAAAATACATGCCAAGACACTCAGTTTAATTCAATTAAATCTCCTTAAATTTAACCAATAATACATATACAGAGATTAGGTAAATAGTATGTCATATTATTTGAATATGGCAAATAGACCTAACTTCAAGTAACCTCAAATAATCAGAATTGTTTATGTGGCCTACTGTATGTTAATAGCAATGCCAGGAAACTACAATCCATCATCTTTTGTCACAGCCTTGATGAGCGCATCGTAGAGAATACTGAGTTGCTTACTCTGTTTAAAAATATTTTTAAAGTATGACTATGTTGTATTTCTCTTAATTTATAAGAAATGATCCCAAGCAAAATCACAAATTCGTACATGTAATATGAAATGATTGTGCAACAATAACTCTGGGAGACACAGAGACAGTCATTTTATATGCAATTTATATGCAGGTTATTCTTAAATCTACATCTCCATCATTGAGCTTTTCCTGGGTTAGTGCAAAAATATCTGGGTTTTTAGCATTATTCGGTTTTTCCCATCTGATATTGGAATACTTAAATAAATGTAAATTATTCTTTAATACATGTGGTTTTGTTATACATCATTTTAATGGGCATTTCTTGCTTTATTTTTTTGCTAATGACTTATTACTTACTGTTTATGCTTATTTTAGACTGTGGAAATTATGTCAGACAAAAAGCAAATTCGAGCGATTTTCTTATTCAAGTTCAAAATGGGTCGTAAAGCAGCGGATACATCAACGCATTTGGCACAGGAGCTGCTAACCAACGGACAGCGCAGTGATGGTTCAAGAAGTTTTACAAAGAAGAGGAGAGCCTTGAAGATGAGGAGCTTAGTGGCCGGGCCATCGAAAGTTGGAAACAACCCATTAAGAGCAATCATCGAAGCTGATTGTCTTACAACTACACAAGAAGTTGCGGAAGAACTCAAAGTTGACCCTCCTATGTTAGACATTTGAGGGAAATTGGAAAGATGAGAAAGCTCGATACGTGGATGCCTCACGAGCTGACTGAAAAGCTAAAAAATCGTCCTTTTGAAGCGTTGTCTTTTCTTATTCTACCTAACAATGAACCATTTCTTGATCAGATTGTAGCGTGCTATGAAAAGTGGTTTTTATACGACAACTGGCAATGACTAGCTCAGTGGTTGGACCGAGAAAAAGCTCCAAAGCCCTTCCCAAAGCCAAACTTACACCAAAAAAAGTCATAGTCACTGTTTGGTGGCTTGCTACCAGTCTGATCCACGACAGCTTTCTGAATCTGGGTGAAACCATTACATCTGAGAAGCATGCTCAGCAAATCGATGAGATGCACCCAAAACTGCAATGCCTGCAGCCCGCCATTGGTCAACAGAAAGGGCCCAATTCTTCTCCATAGCAATGCCCGACCACACATCGCACAACTAGCACTTCAAAAGTTGAACAAATTGGGCTACAAAGTTTTGCCTCATCCACCATATTCATCTAACCTCTCGCCAACAGACTACCACTTCTTCAAGCATCTCAACAACTTTTTACAGGGAAAACACTTTCACAACCAGCAGGATGCAGAAAACGCTTTCCAAAAGTTCGTCAAATCCCGAAATACGAATTTTTATACTACAGGCATAAACAAACTTATTTCTCATTGGGAACAATGTGTCGATTATAATCGTTCCTATTTTTATTAATAACAACGTGTTAAAATTCACAGTCCAAAGCAGCAATTAATTTTACACCAACTTAATATTCAATACTTCCAATTTCGGTCATAGATTCCTAATACTTGCCTTCAATTCATCCTGAACTGCCTCATACTATATATTCTAATTGTAAATTGTAAATTTTATTTCTATAATTGTCTTTCACGCTAGACTCTCACATTAGACTAGGAACTTCTTGAAGGTTGGTACCCTGGACATCAAGATCTGTCTTCTGAGTTTCTCTCTGTGACCACCCACTGCCATAATGTCTTAGGGTTTATTTTCTTTAATCTCACCTTACATAATTTCATTGCAGTATTTTTATCTCTACCGAGGAAAGCAAATTGGGTATGTGTAATTTGGTGGATAATGCCAAGCTGTAGCATAGTACCTGGACTGATTACTTGTTCTACACACACCTTTACCCCAATACACTTACCATGTTTATATGCAGATTTATTGTGCAAATTGTTCAACTAAGATTTTACAGTTCTCTAAAAATAGGTACAAACTAAAGTAACAGTAATATGTTTTAAGATATGTAATATAATTATAATAACCTATTCATTTGCTTCACTTGTTTGATTAGTGTCCCAAGAAAAATGCATCCATTTGTCATTCATCAGTATGCCTAGACATTTTAACATACAAAATATCTCAGCATATTGATGCTTCAAAATAAAATATTATTTTTTTTAATTTTTACAGTTTTGGGGGTACAGGTGGTTTTTGATTACATGGATAAGCTCTTTAGTGGTGACTTCTGAGATTTAATGCACCTGTCACCTGAGCAGTGTACACTCTATCCAGTATCTTGTACTTTATCCCTCATCTCCTCCCACCCTTCCCACTCCAAGTCCTCAAAGTCCATTATATGTCTTTCTGTCCTCATAGCTTAGTTCCCACTTATAAGTGAGAACATACATAATTTTTTTTTCCATTTCTGAGTTACTTCACTTACAATAATGGCCTCCAGTTCCATTCAAATTGCTTCAAAAGACATTATTTTGATACTTTTTATGGGTGAGTAGTATTACATGGTGTATATATACTATATTTTCTTTATCCATTGATTGGTTTATGGGCACTTAAGTTGGTTCCATTTCTTTGCAATTGCAAATTTTACTGCTATATACATGCGTGTACCCTTGTCTTTTTCATGTAATGACGTCTTTTTCTTTGGGTAGGTATCCAGTAGTTAGATTGCTGAATCAAATGGTAGTTCTACTTTTATTAAGTTCTTGAAGGAATCTCCATACTGTTTTCCATGTGGTTGTATTAATTTGAATTCCCACCAGCAATACAAAAATGTTCCCTTTTCTTCACATTGACACCAATATTTATTGGTTTTACTCTTTGTAATTACGGTCATTCTTGAAGAATTAAGGTACTATCTCGTTGTGGTTTTAATTTGAATTTCCATGATGGTTAGTGATATGAGCATTTTTTCATGTTTGTTGGCTGTTTGAATATCTTTTTTTGAGAAATTTCTATTTATGTATTTTGGCCACTTTTTGATGGGATTATTTGTTTTTGTTTTTGTTTTTTTCTTGCTGACTTGTTTGAGTTCCTTGTAGATTCTGGATACTAAACCTTTGTCAGATGCATAGTTTGTGAATATTTTCTCCAACCCTGTGTGTTGCCTGTTTACTCTACTGATGATTTATTTTGCTGTGCAGAACCTTTTAAGTTAAATTAGGTCCCATTTATTTGTTTTTGTTGCATTTGCTTTTGGGGTCTTAGTCATGAATTATTTGCCTAGGCCAATATCCAGAAGAGTTTTTCTGATGTTATCCTCCAGAATTTTTATGGTTTTAGGTCTTAGATTTAAGTCTTTCATCCATCTTGAGTTGATTTTTGTATAAGGTGAGAGCTGGGGATCCAGTTTTATTTTCTATATGTGACTTGCCCATTTTTCCCAGCACTTTTTATTGAATAGGGTGTCCTTTCCCCAATTTATATGTTTGTATACTTTGTTGAAGATCAGTTGATTGTAAGTATTTGGCTTTAGTTTTGAGTTCTCTATCCTGATCCATTGGTCTAGTGCCTACAAAAGAAAATTTTAAAAATTCAGGACTTAAATGGTGGGAAATAAGTCATCTACCTGTATAATGTTACTGGTGTCAGGTAGGTTCTTAAAACAGTTTTCAGGACAGTTGATTATTGCTTGTCCTCCTTTAACCAACGATGCATTGTTTAGGATTAAGTGATTGTTATTTCACTTAATCATTTATTTCACCATTTAATAAACACTCATCAACATCCCGTGTAGAAGAGTTCACTTGATGATGAATTTACACAGATTTATTTATGCTTAGATTTATTCACTGTCATTAGGTATGTTGCTCCTTCTTCCTGACTTCTTACACTGACCTGCATGGCATATTCTGACACAGTCTCCAGCCCTCAATTTCAGAATTGCCTAGCTCCTTAACTCATGCAGACAGAATTGAGAATTTCTTTTCTGTGCCTTCATTGCACCCTATACAATTCCATTAATATTTAACACACTATATTGTAATTTTCATAGACATGTTTGTTTCAAAACTATTAACTCAGGAAATGTATTTTAACCACTTTTTTGTACCCAGGGTCTAACAATGCTTAAAAATGTGTTCTGAGTAAATGAATAAATCCATGTTTTGAAATGACAAACGATTATCTAATCTACTAGCATACCTTCCCACCCTCATTAGATAATAGGCTGCAAGGAATGAATGAACATGCATAATCTATCACTTTCATTAATCTGCTGATATTGAATGCTGAATGAATCCAAGCATTCAAGACTTGAAAAAAATCTTCAAATCAAATAAAATGTACACTGTGTAAGATAGTGCTTAAGTGAATAAAAAACAACCAAATTGTTGAGCAGCATCAAATGTAAATAATGCCAATTGATGAAGAATTGTTAACTATAAAACAAACATACTTTAGTAAAATAATAGGGAAAATTCATAATTCAAAAGATAGGATCTCAACTTGTTAAAAAATGCATGGCTGTCATTGCATTAGGCATATATGATGAAAAATATATTAGATCAAATTTTAGATAAATGTAAAAATGATATGCCTAAATATTTATAATTTTAAAGTGCATATAAAAGCTAAGATAACATTATAATCAAAGTGGTTTATAGCAGCAATAGTATACTCATGATTTATTCTTTCAAGCACCTCTGCCAATAAATGAAAATTATCAAGGGGAAATGAAAAAACTAGGTAGTATTAAAAACATATTTCTATTTGCTTAACAAGAACTTCTTTAAAATGTTTTATTTCCAATTTGTCCTAGGTACATTTTAGCTTAGAAAACAAAATGCATATATGCATGTGTACATATAAACATTTCACTTTAGCTGCTAAATAGGACTGCTATTTTTTTCAACAGTCTAACTCCTTTTTACCACATAAAGGGACAGTTTTAAAACATATTTATATCCCATGGTTTAAACTATAGCATGATTTATTAGAAAATAGTTAATTCAATACCCTTGATTGAACTTGCAATTTGACAATAAATCAGGAAACTTTTGTGTTTCCTTAAAAAAAAGAAAATAGTTTAACACAGCACACTGGAATGTTAAAATGCTTCAAGGAAGATTAATAACATCCAGATAATAGTTATTTTCTTGCTTTGCAAGAAAACACATTATCTATTCCATAACAATTGATAGCTTTCCTGTGCAATGTCCTTGATTTCAATAGTATTGTTCAGGCTTTTGATACTAATCTGTAAGATGTTGTTAGGAAAGAATCTCACCTCATCAGCTATTCTGAAGGAAATAAAAAATTCTGCACCTGATAAATCATCTATATTCTTAAAGTGACAATTTTCACTTGAAGAACTGATCTCCTCTGAATGCTTTCAAAATCAAAAATCAGAGGTATGTTGTAGAATAAAAAAAAATAAAATGAGTCTTCTTAAGAGAAGGGCTATAAAAATAGAAAATCAACCTGCCCTTTTCAAACTTACTTTGCTACTTTGACTATGACTTTTTGAAGTGTACTTTCTGTTTTTTACTGGCTTCAGAAACATCTGCTGATTTTTGTAAATGGACAATTCATTGCCCATCACAAAATCACTCAATTTTCTTAGCAAGCAATTTTGAAACTTCTGGGTAAGTTTCTTCACTTAAAAATAGTTACTCAAAATTTGGCAGATACCTTTTGTTTTTCACATTTGTACAGTATCTTCCTGCTAGGCCATGCATCCTTAAAGAACCATAATGTAGACAGAAAGAAGTATAAACCTGTACTCAGAGATGGCTGGGGGCAATGGTGTCTCCCATTCCCTTAGTGGAGTGACCCATCACAGTCAGTTACTTTTCTGCCTTTGTTAACTTTTCTGCCTCTCATTTTACTGATAAATAGGAACAGAGTCAATAAATCTTATTACAATATTTATTATTGTGGTGTATAAATGCGATGTATGTAAACATTGGGATATATAATTTATTGATAAATATTGGTTTCTTCTATGGCTTGAATGTGCCTCTCAAATTTTATGAATTGGAAATATCCTCAAATTCATATGTTGATGGTTTATGGGGGTGGGGCTTTCAGGAGGTAATTAGAATTAGATACATTCATCAAAATGGAACCCCCATGATAAGACTTGTAACTTTATAAGAAGAGGAAGGGAGACTGAGTTGGCATGGTCTTGCCTCTTGCCATGTGATGCCCTTTGCCATCTTATGAAACAGTAAGAAGGCCCTCACAAGATGCCAGCACCATGCTCCTGGACTTTCTAGCCTCTGAAAATGTGAGCTAAACGAACTTCTCTTCTCTATACATTACCCAGTCTGTGGTATTCTTTCATAGCAAGAGAAAACAAACTAAGACAGTTTCCATATTTTATGGCAGTTATTTTGGCTGTTTGAAAATTATATTTTACACAGTGATTAGCAAACTTTCCCTATAGAATTATCAATAAACTAATGAAAAGTAAATTACTAACATGGTTGATTAAAATAGAGGGGGAATATAATTTGAAGGCACTCCAGGCCCTCTGGACAATTACAGAGATGTCTGAAATATTAATTTTCAGGAGTGTCAGACTAGCAACACAGCTCAGAAAATTGCAGTGAGGCAACTGCCATTTGTATTACGTACCTATTTATCCTGCAGTTTTAGAGTTACATATAAAACCAGAAGTTCTTTATCATCTCTGCAACAGCACAAAAATGCTATTGTCTCCTAAATTATTCTGTCCGAAATAATTGTTTCCTATGTAAGCTATTTTGTCCTAAGTAATTAAGCATTCAATATTTTAAAGATTTTAAAGTGTGCATAACATGCAATTTTATATATATATATATTTAAGTGATATGTATGTATGCATATATGCATACAAAATGCAATATAAAATATTCTTTTTATCTATAAATTTATGGAAAACTGGGACGGAATAGAACTACAGAGTACCGATAAAACATCTGATGGAAAATTGGTTGCATTTCAAATCTCTCAACAATTAGTCCCTTCCTTCGACTTCAGGTCTTCTTTTAATCTATATTTCTATCCTTCTTTCTTTAATATTTTACGTGGGTATGGACAGGAACCAAGTTGGAAAGAAGCTTCCCACAAGAGTAGAGCACTGAAGAGATCACAGACATTGATCATATTTGTAGTATTTCCAGAAAAGCATGTACAAAATTACTAAGCTTAAAATGGTTAGCATCCATTTTTTAAGGGAGAGAAATGAGGAACTTGAAAAAAAAAGGAGTGAGATTCAAGAAGTTGAAGTATAGGAATTTTGAATAAAAACTGGACCTTTGAGAATTTTACAAGTTCATGTGTTTGTGTATGTGTCTGTGTGTGCTAAACATTACAGTCTTTCATAAGTCAGAATGAATATCCTTAAGAGCTACTATCTTCTCATCTTTATTTTTTTTTTTACTTTCTTCTACAACTTTTTCCCTAGTGCTACATTTGCTTTCCTTCTCTTTGCCCAACTGTTATATCTTTTTTCCCATCCCATTCTTCTAACAAGACTGATCTGAAATACCATTTTTCTGATAATGAGTTTTAGAATTGAAACATTAAAGAATATAAACAGAATTGCTGCTATTCACTTCTGCAAAACCCAAGTTTGCTGACCTTAATTTTATAGCATGAATCACAGCCATTCTGCTGATATTGGCAGTGATTGATAATAAGGGGGATGGGAGTAATTAAAGAACATATGATGTGTTTGTTTGCATTTTGAGTGACTGCTATAGAGTATATGCAATCAAAGGCATGGTACATTAAATAAATCAAATAGCCCCATAAATCAGCACAACCTGCCAAAAATGAGCAGAGGGAGTTTGCAATGCAGCAGGCCTGCATGTCAGGCCTTAGGAAAGCTGTTACCTCCAGGGTGAAGTCATCAAAAACAGAGCTCAAAGAACCAGAGAAGACTTGCTATTTGCAGGATTCAGAATCTCAGCAACAGAGCCTAAATGTAGTGACTTTTTTTTTTTTTTTAACATTTGTGCAGGAATGTGAAGTTTATGAGCTTTATTAAAATCTACTGTGTGCTCTATAAATATCTTCACTGGTTTGTACCAACACAGCTATGGGATAATTTCAGAATTGTTACCCGGTGTACATTCAATAGTTTCACCTTTTATTTACTAAAAGAAAATTCCTGAAATTTCTGCCAAAAGATAACATCAGTAAGAAAATATTTTACACGTTGATTCAGTCACCAGTGATATTGTTACCAAGGTTCTGGAATTAAGAAAATAAAATAATTTTAATAGACATTATTTTTAGAGCAGTTTCAGGCTCACAGTAACACTGAGAGACAGCTAGCAAGATTTTTGAGATACCCATCCCCACATATGCGTAGCCTCCCCCGTTATCAACATCCTCCCCTAGAACAGTACATTTGATTCCACTGAGGAAACTACATTGACACATTATTATCACCCAAAGTCCGTCGTTTACATTAGAGTTCACTCTTGGTTTTGGACATTGTATAGGTTTGGAAAAATGTATAATGATATGTATCTACCATTATATAGATTCTCTTTGACTTATGATAAACTCATCATAATGTTGAAAAAGTGTAATTGAAATGTGGTAAGATGAGGACTATCTTTGGTGTTATTCAGCTACTTCTCTTCCCCATACTCATCCCTCCTTCCCTACGAACTCCTGGCAACCACTGATCCTTTTCCCATCACCTTAGTTTTATCTTTTTCAAAACGTTATATAGCTGTAATCATACAGCATGTAGCCTTTTTATACTTATTTCACTTAGTAATATGTATTTCTGCTTTCTTTATGTCTTTTCATGGCTTGGTAGCTCATCTCTTTTTAATACCGAATAATATTCCATTATCTGTATTTATCACGGTTTATTTATCCTTTCTCCCACTAAAGGACATGATGGTTGCTTTGAAGATTTGGCAATTATGAAACAAGCCTCTATAAACATCCCTGTGCAGGTTTTTGTGTGTGGACAGAAATTTTCAACCCCTTAGGGTAAAATAATTTTTAAAACATGCAACTTTTGCTGTGGTTCATATTGATTTTGGGGTAATAAATACATGAAAATATGGACAAATGTTTCTCTATCAGAGAAAACACACATACTCATTCACAATTTCACTTTTTGCAGTTTCAGTAACCCTCAGTTAACTGCAGTTTGAAAATATCTGAGCACTGTAGTGCCATAAGCTAATTCTGAAAGAGAAAGACTTCAGTCACATCATTTTTATTATAGCATATTGTTACTGTTGTTCTAGTTTATCAGTTATTGTTGTTAATCTCTTACTGTGCCTAGGTTTTAAATTACAGTTTATCATAGGTATGTATGTATAAGAAAAAAACACATACACGGTTTAGTACAATCCAAGTTCAGGCAACCAGTGGGAGTCTTGGAATATATGCCCCAAGAATAAGGGATGACTAAAGTATTGCATAAAACTTTAGAACCTTGCTTGTTGACTCCTTAAGTTTGCAAGGACACCTGTTTTAAAACCTTGAACCTTGAAACAATAGTTTTGTTCCTTCTTACATATGTGAGTTTACTTTTGTCCCTACATCAACGTTAGGTTTCAACCTTATTAATCATACATTATATATTTTAGCAAGGAAATTAGGTTTAAAATAGTAAGCATATTGTGAAAATGAAGCATATTTCTTTTTTTTTCTTTTTCTTTTTTTTTTTTTTTTTTTTTTTGAGACGGAGTCTCACTGTGTCACCCAGACAGGAGTGCAGTGGTGTGATCTCATCTCACTGCAACCTCTGCCTCCTGAATCCAAGCGATTCTCCTGCTTCAGCCTCCTGAGTAGCTGGGATTACAGGTGTGAGCCACCATGCCTGGCTAATTTTTTGTATTTTTAGTACAGATGAAGTTTCACCATGTTGGCCAGGCTGGTCTCAAACTCCTGACCTCGGGTGATCTGCCCACCTTGGCCTCCCAAAGTGCTGGGATTACAGGCATCAACCACTATTCCCAGGCTGAAGCATATTTCTTACTACTAACACTTTGCAAATTTTAATGGGACATATATTTGGGACAAACAAAAAATTAGTAAGATCTTTGTTTAATGTCAAGGAACACTGACTTTGTGCAAATATACCCATATATAGATATATACCTATATATACATATATCTACACAGCTCCATATAACACATGTGGGTTAGGACACTATATTACAATAAATTATAGTATGCATTTCAGGAACTTACATATTTATTTAAAATGTATCCCAATCAAAGCAATCACTTATCATTTAGATTAAATAGTTGAAGCAGTTGGTTCCCAGTTTGACTAATCATCTGTCAGCAGACTTCTCCAAAACATTTGAAAAGCTAGTAAGGAGTGTGAGAATAGAAATTGTATTTTGTTCTAATATATTGCTCTGAAGCTGGCAAACTGTTGTTGTTAAAAGTCAACAATGGTTTGAAAAAGTCAGAAAGCTTCTTTTTTTATTTTTAGCTGACACTGAATTTATAGTGTAAACAAAATCACTTTTTGGAAATACAAAGAATTCACAGTGAATTCAAAGTAAAGTATTTGCAATGCTAATTACAATTGTGTGCTCTGTTGGAAATGTGTGTTTAGAAACCTGGATATTGGACATCTTTAATATATACGCTTACACATGAGAAAACATGTCCATCCTGTGTTTGGGTCATTTCTGTGAGGACAGCTTGCAGGATTCTGTATTGGTGAGTCTAGTGACTCCACTAGAGTCACTAGTAGCAGATATTACAACTGAGAGAAAACAAGCAACAATGGAGAAGTAGATAGTGTGTCTCACTAAGCTAAACTTGGAATAAACAACCTCCTAAAACCTGAAATCACAGAACATCATTCTTCTTTGCATCTAAGAGGAAGGTTGGGGGAGGAAGTGAATGAAAGGGGAAGGGGAAGGCCAACATTTACTTGCATGTAAATATAAAATAGTATATAGTTTTTCATTCTGTCCAACTAAAACTTTATATTCTTTTCCCACAATATCAAATAGTATATTTTAATTGCATGTTAGTGAAATTTCATGGGGAAAAGCAACCTTCTACCTGCATCAAAGCATTACGGTCACTGAGTTTAATCATTTATTTACTCATTCGAAAAATATTCATTGGGTGTTTCCAGTGCACCAGTTACAGTATTGGCCCTAAGAATAAAATGAAGACTAAGATTTAGTGCCTGCTCTACAAAATCTCAAAGTTTATTAGGAGACCAAAACATGTAATATGTGTTGATGTGTGTGTATGTGTGTATGTGTGTATACATACATATATAAATAAAGGGCATGAAGAGTATTGCATACAATAGTAGCAAAAGAAGAAAGTAATTACCTGAACCTAGGGGACCATCTCAAGGACATCCTTCTTACCCAGATGACCACTGAAACAAGTCATAATAAATAAACAGGAGATTGGCAGACATGAATAGAAAGTCTGAATACCCGAAAGAAAAAGTAAGCGCTTTAAGGGAGAGAGAGGAAGAAAATGACCTGATTTTGAAAACATTATACATTTCATTAGCTTGGAAAAATATGTATTAGGTATGCAGTATATCCATTGTAAATCTTCCTAGTGACATTACTGCAGTATCCAAAGAAGCATTGAACATTCTGAAGGGGAAGTGAGCTTTGTTTTACATTTCAGCACAATGCCATTAAAAGTAAAAAGCAACCCGAATATTTGTTCATTTGAAGAAGGAATCAGGATATTTAAAAAGCTGCTCAATCTTTCTATGCCTTAGTTTCCCCAAATTCATAATAGATGAAAATTAATAATACCACCTAACACTATTGTTGAGAATTAAATGAAATAATATTAAAAAAGAGGATAAGGGACATAGAAATTAGCAACAAATCTAGTTTTTACTATAGCCAATACAGTTACTATATTTTTGAATAATATGTTTCACTTTAAACAAGGTGATACTAAACACCGAGAGTATTATATGAACTAGAGCTAATTTTATTATTGAGGCCTTCAATGAAATATGAGGCATATACATTTCTAAGATCTACCTAATTAGAGTAGTTATATGCTTGATTTTCTAAAGAAGTCATACTCACACTTGTTTTCCTTTTTCTGAAAATAGCTGTTTCTGTGTCAGGGCATTTTAAGCATTAAATTCCTTCGTCACTTGACATGAGTGAAACCAAACTTTGTATCAACTTCTTTTTCTTAATTGTCTTGTAATTTCAAGGGGGTGGAGAAAAATAAGAGATCCTCAATCGCTGGAAATTTTTCATATCAGATGAAAACATAATTTTGCAGTAATACAATGATATCGTGCCACATTTTATCAAAGCTCTGTATAATGTGTAAGTGTGAAACACATTCTAGAAACAAGCAACACTGCAATTACTATTTTTAATAATATGAAATTCATAATTCTTTATAGCCTTATTCAGGAAATAGATCTGTTAATATCATTTAACATATTGGATTTCATTCTGGTGAGATGTATTGGTGATGGGAATGCAGAAAAAACAAAAGCAAATTCCATTAAGTCTACAACTTTCAAGCTGAGTAATTACAAGGTTCTGCTAATGAATATTTTCTGTTCCCTGAAGAGTTTTGAAATGTCATTATATGTAGAGGTTAAATGTGCTACAAATATTAAGAAACATATTTTCCATATATCAATTAGACTGTATTCTCAAGCATTATAACAAGTAAATGTGTTTGCACGTGCATGTGCATGTGCAGGCACACATGTTACGCATTTAGGGAAGAGAAGGAAGGAAGTATTACTGGTACTATTTTCCAAACATAAAATATTTGGTCACATGGGCGTTGCATATGCCAAAATCAAATCTCACAGTTTTTCCTATTTTCACCATTAGTATCTGGTTAACTTGCAAGTGCCAATAAGCTAGTTGATAAACATCAGGAAAAGAGGCCATTTTGATCAGCATGGTAAAACCACACAAAAAAATCATGCTTAAACATTAGGTATCTCAAAACTGTTATAATGTTTTTCTGCATTTTCTCCATATATTTCTATTTTTCAAAATTATGTAACAGCTTTAAATTACAAACACACTCTTGAAAATAAATGCCACTCAATTCCAGTGGATAGCTATAGTTACAATTTCATATATTAGCTTTGACCTAAAGTGAGAGATATTGCTATTTTCTCTGACAGCAGCTCACCCAGAATGAAGCTTGGCAGGTCTAATTGTTGGTTACTTCAAAGCATAACACTGTATAACAGCAGTAATAATATAATATTCTGATCCACCTATGTTTCCTTTTATGCACTAGGATTAAACTATGTACAGGGCTTGATGCTGTCTGTTAATAAAAGATGATGTTATCTGTAAATTATATTTGAACTTCAAAGTCCAGAAATATTGAGGGTGGGGTAGGGAATAGAAATTCAGACCTCAGCACTTCTCTACCTGGACAACAATAACGAAAATAGAAGACAGGAAAAGGCAAATGACAGCTCATGTATTGATATTGGGAAAACCATGTTCTAGATTAAGCATAACACATTCTAAATTCAATTAGATGCAATCTTAGGGTTTCACTAACATTTTAATCATTTGATCCCATAAGTGAAATGTGTTGATGTTTCCTTTCTGGAGCTATGATTCATACAGAGCATGAGGAGGTAAGTAAAGTGATATTTTGGGAATACTCTGGTGATTAATTGTCAACAGGGGAAATGCAGCTTCAAAGTCTGGGTTGACTTACCATTTGAACCACACAAAGTAAAAGCTGTAGAGAAAACTCACGGCAACTTATACCCTGTGAAAGCTATACAAATTCTGAATTACTCGGTTTTATGAAATTTAAAAATCATTCTTCTTTCAAGGTTTGTTATTTTAAGAAAAACATGGTAATATTTTAGTCATGGGGCATTGCTATTGGTGAGGAGTCAAAATGAAAAGAAAAAAATTTATAAGGTAATTTTATACATGAGTCTATTATGGTAATATGCCTAAGGACCAATGAATTCTACATTATAAAATATAGAAAAATGAATTATATAAGCTTACAGAAAAAAATAAAATTATAAAACATAAATCTTTAGAAAAAAATTTCTACAAGAGAGATTTTCCATAGACAATATTTTCCATAAATTTTGGTAGAAACTTCATAAATTTTACAATTAAAAAACTCACAATATTTTTCATTGTTATTTATTTATTGAGACAGGGTCTCACTCTGTTGCTCAGGCTGGAGTGCAGTGGTGCAATCTTGGCTCACTGCAGCCTCCCCCCGCTGAGCTCAAGTGATTCTCTCACCTCAGCCCTCCAAGTAGCTGGGACTACTTGTGCATGCCACCATACCCAGCTAATTTTTGTCTTTGTGGGTTATTTATTTATTTTTGTAGAAATGGGTTTTGTCATATTGCCCAGGCTAGTCTCGAACTCCTGAGCACAAGTGATCCTCCCACCTCAGCCTCCCAAAGCGCTAAGATTGGCAGGTGAGCCACTGCTCACAGTCATGAATCCTTTCTCAGTAGAAAACTTTTGTACAGTGAAGAGTACCCAATAAGCTAACGATCAGCAGTATAATTAGCTTAGTTAGTTGGCTGAGGAGTTCAGATCCAGCTCAACTTACTTATGTTCTATGAAAATAACATAAACTCCCACCCTTACCCATCATTTTAAATAAATTTGAAAATTGTGTCTAACTGTTCAGCCTACGCCAACTATATTTGTGCAAGTCATCCTTCTCCTACCTACTGAAACAGTGGTTTTAATATTTAAAACTCGGCCGGGCGTGGTGGCTCACGCCTGTAATCCCAGCACTTTGGGAGGCCGAGGCGGGCAGATCACGAGGTCAGGAGATCGAGACCATCCTGGCTAACACGGTGAAACCCCGCCTCTACTAAAAATACAAAAATTAGCCGGGCGTGGTGGTGGGTGTCTGTAGTCCCAGCTACTCGGGAGGCTGAGGCAGGACAATGGTGTTAACCCAGGAGGCGGAGCTTGCAGTGAGCCGAGATTGCGCCACTGCACTCCAGCCTGAGTGACAGACCGAGACTCCGTCAAAAAAAAAAAAAAAAAAAAAAAAGATTTAAAATTAATAGTAATTTTATCATTACCTTGCTTAGAAGAGCCCAAAGATTCCTCATTGTCCTAGACATCAAGCCAAACTCCTTCACAAGTTAACAATACTTTAGTATACTCGTTGAAAAAAACTCTCCAAAACATAGAAATAAAAAAAAGTTATTTCCTGCCCTTTCAATGATATAATAAACCATTGTCTAACAAACCCACCGAAAGAGTTATCTATGAAACAGAATATGGAATTTGTTTGACTTACTATTCCCTGTTAATACTATGAATAAAGATTCAGATTCTGGAAAGAGATGGAAACTATTAGAAAATTTCTAACTTGTCAGTATTTTTTACCCATAAAGACACAAATTATGTCTGGAAAAATATCATGCCTCTATTGCCAACATATGGCATTAAACAGTTTTATATTTAACTTTCCAATCTTATACTATTCTGCTACTTAGACAATAAATAGATTAAATAGATGGTAGATAGATGGATAGATAGATAGAGATATGTATTTAATTATTTGAAGATTTGATTTGGCACCCTCTATCTTCTTAAACATTTTACACATAGAAATACTCATAGTTCCCTATAAATGAACTTTTCTTCAAGGGTTTCCCATGAGTCTCTGTGCATCTTGTACCAGTTGCTTAGAATATTTATCTCCCATTCAGTTCATTTTCATTCTTAAATATATAACTCACTTCTACAAAACAGAGGTAAATGTATTAAGAAGCTTATTAAGATAAGTATTTATGCCTTGTCACATTCACAGAGCCTCTTCCAAGACCTTGGGAGACACCCTAGAAATACATTCTCATAGTCATATATATATATATATATATATATATATATATATATATATATATATATATATATGCATACACACACGTGTGTGTGCATGTGTGTATACATAAATTTATATTTCAGATTTATAAATCTGAAAAGGTAAGATATTTTATGCAGCACAGATTAATACTATTTTAATTTAATCAGATATGCCTTCACTTTTATTTTTTCTTTTCTTGAGACAGGCTCTCACTCTGTTGCCCAGGCTGGGAGTGCATTGGTGTAATCACAGCTCACTGCAGCCTCAAATTCCTGGGCTTAAGCAATCCTCCCATCTCAGCCTCCTGAGTAGCTGGGACTGCAGGTGCACATCACCACATCTGGCTAGTTTCTTCAAAAAATGTTTGTAGAGACAGGATCTCCCTATGTTGCCAGGCTGGTCTCCTGGACTCAAGTTATTCTCTCACCTTGGCCTCCCAAAGTGTTTGGATTACAGGTGTGAGCCACTAGACCTAGCCTACATTTCCTTGTTTGTTTGGTGATTCTGAAAATGGTACTTTTAGGACTTAAATAAGAAAAATACAAATTTCATAAATATTTAATTTGATTTATAGGGCTATTTTTATCTGATGTGCAGTTCCATCCATGAATAGTAATGTTATTGCTAGCCACCCTGATGATAGATTGATGTCCAAGAATATTTCTACCCACCCACTGGTCTGACTCATCCAACAATACAAAAAATGTAGCAGGGTCAGTGCTGATAAGAATGTATTTCAGTGTCCAGCAACTGGGTGGGTTGTTGAGGAAAGATAGGGTTTGAAAATGTGAAGCTAGGTATTATCCTTGGAAAAATTTTCAAGGATCCAATGCGTAAAACTGTGAAAGAAACATTTGGATTTCATTTGCTAGTTCAAAAATAGAGGTTCTCAATCTGTTGATAATGCAGATTATATAATCATAAGTATACTACATTTTCATTGCTTCAGAAATAGGAATTGTACAAAATAAAATTATCCAGATTTATATGATTTAAGTATGTCAACTTGTAACAGTACAATAAATAACAATCGTATCTATGTTTAAAATTGTACGTTTATGCCTGTCTACAACATATGCCTCCTCATGAAGCATCAATACTGATAAAAATAAAGAAAACTCATAATACTTCAGTACAATTAAGATATAAAAACCCCATATTGGTTAAAAATTATGAATTGTAAGAGTATGTAAGTTAGTTACGAACAATAAAAAAATGAGACTCCCTGAAATGTTACTGCTGTTAAACAAAAGAAACCTGATATAGTCTTCTCCAGTTGACAGCAGTACCAAAAATTTAGGTGGCATTAACAATGAGTTTTGAAATTAAAAGATAATTTTCTACACTGTCAGTAAAAATAATGATATTGAGAAAACTCGTAAGAAGACAGACAAAAATTTCTTTCTTTTTTCTGTATCGAAAATAATGCAATAATATTGTCAAAAAGATTTGTGCTAAAAACATGTGGTCAGACATGTAGATCTAGATAAAGAATAAAGCAATGGAGAAGCAATAAATCAAGTTAAATAAAATATTTTATTTTTTATTTTAATAAATCTAAAAAATAACTCTTTAATATAATTTTAGTACCAATTTATTTGATGATTGTATATGGATTAGTGGAAAGAATGGCAACAATTTCATGAGGGATGAGATGAAGAATTGGGTGTACTGTATTATAAGGTACCTTCACTACATGTGAAGTGGTAGTGATAGTACTTTTTGAAGGATGTATTTACATTAATAAATGTATATTGTAAACTCCAAAGCAACAATTAAAAATACTTTTTAAGGAAATATTAATGATACACTAAGAAAGGTGATAAAGTAAGAGCAAACAAAATGTTTGATTAAAATCAGAGAAGGATAAAAATGACAGGAAATAACCCAGTAATTGAAATGAATAAAGAAAAGTAACAAAGATAGTATATATTAATTCAACTAAGTGGATAATCATTTTATTTAAATGCCTTTAACACATCATTTAAAAGAAAAAAATTCAGAGTGAATTCAAAAGAAAAAAGATACAACAACATGTTGTCTACAAGAAATTCACTTTAAATATGAGGATTTGGTTATGTCAGAAGATAATTGATAGAGAAATATATACCACACTAACATCAAATGAAAGATACAGTAGCTACCTAAATTTCAGATGAAGTAGACTTTAGAACAAGGAATATTATCATGCATAAAGAGTGAAATAACATAAAGATGAAACGGTCAATTCTCCAAGCAAAGTGATAATTCTTTCTATTCCAAGAAAAAATAACATAAAAACTTCAAACATATATTTATGTAATAACAGAAGACCAAAATAATGAGCCAAAAACTTACAGAACTGCAAGGAGAAATAGAAAAAAATCATTATTATATCCGGACAGTTCAACACTCTCTATCAGTAATTGATAGATCAAAGGGAAGCACCTGAACAATGTCAGTCAACATGATCTAATTGCCACTTATAAAATACTCAATTCAGTAACAAAGGAATACTTATTATTCTCAAGTTTGCATGGAACTTTCTCAAAAATAGACCATATTATGACCATAAACCATAACTTCAAAAAATTTAAAAAAATCATACAATGCATATTCTCAGTCCACAGTAAAATTAAACAGAAATCAGTAAAAAGAACATAATTAGAAAATCTCCAGATATTTAGAAACCAATGACATATGTCTAAATAACACAAAGAAGAAATATTAAGAGTAATTATAGCCATATTCTGAATTAAGTGAAAATGTATACACACATTATGGAAATTTGCATACAGCAAATGTAGTGCTCAGAAGAAAACTGATGACCTTACATTTTATCAAATAAGAAATTTAAGCTTCTACCTTAACAAACTAGAAAAAGAAGAGAAAATTAAACCTGATAAATGAAAAAGAACAGTAATAACAAATATTGGACTAGAAATCAATGAAATTAGAAACAGGAAAATAATAGAGAATAACCAATGAACTTAAAAGCTGTCTCTAGGAAAATCAATAAAATTGATTAATATCTAGCCAGACTAAGCAAAAATCAGAAATGAAAGATGGGCTATAACTACTGATCTCATGAACATTAAAATTATAGTAAGACAAGAATATAAATAGTTCTTTGCCCATAATCATAACTTAGGTGAAATGGACCAATTCGTTAAAAACACAAAATATCAAAATCCATACATGTATTGTAAGCTGATTTTACTAATGGTGCAGAGACAAGTTAATGGAAAAGGATAGTCCTTGCTACAAATGACACCAAATAACTGGAAATCAACATACAAAAACTTGAACTAGATGCTGACCTTATGTGTTACAGAAAAATTGACTCAAAATAGATCACAAGCCTAAATGTGAAATACCAACCACTAAAAATTTCTTGATAATGTAGGAATATACCTGACTGTACATTTGGTAAGAGTTTGTATATGTAATACCAAAACATAACTCTTGAAAGAAAAAAAATTGATAAAATTGACTTCTTTAAAATTAAAAACCTGCACTACAAAGAACACTGTTATGAGAATGAATAGGCAAGCCATAGACTGGGAGGAAATATTTGCAAAATGCGTATCTGGTAAAGAACTTGCATCCAAAAATATACAAATAATTCATAAAATTAACAATGAGAAAAACAACCCGATTAAAAATAGGCAAAATGCCTGAACAGAGCTTTACCAAAGAAGATATAGATGGAAAATAAGTATATAAAAGATACCCCAAATCATTTGTCATAAGAGAAATGCAAATCAAAACAAGGAGACACCACCACACATCTATTAGAATGCATGAAATCCAAAAAACTAACAATACCAATTGATGGTGAGTATATGGAACAATAAGAATGCTCGTTCATTGTCAGTGGATATACATTATGGTACAGCCACTTTGGAAGAGAGTTGTGCAATCTTTTACAGGCTAAACATACTCTTCCCTTACAAACCAGTAATAGTGCTACTCATTTTCTGTGGTCAGTCTTCTTTGCAGGTCTGAAATTAAAGTGGCAGCTACTGCCACTGAACTGGAATTTCTAAATGCAATGGGGGTAATTAGATGCCAGGATGCCAACAGCTAAAGACAAGGTAGTTGTGGTTACTATGATAAATAGGAGAGTTAAAGCAGTAATCAGAGTAGCCTGACTGACAGAGACATATAGTATTGCCTAGTTGATATAGAATTTCAAGGAGGGGGAAAAGAAACAGATGAGCAGTCTACTAAATTCTTATTGTATCTGTATAAGTGAGAGAATTCCAGGTCTCATGAAAATAAATCTAATTTGAATCACCAAAACAGAGAGTCATGGCCTGGTTTGTACTGAATTATGTTATAATTCTAATTCCCAAATGTGACTATATTTGCCGATAAGGCCTATAAAGAGGTATAAAGGTTAGATGATGTTATGAAGGCGGGCCTTAATCCAATAGGACTGGTTTCCTTACAAGAAAAGGAAGAGACACAAGATCTCTCTCTCTGCACCTCCCACTTTCTGCATGTACTGTGTTTGTGCATGCACACACGTAGAGGAAAGACCATGTGAGGACACAGCAAGAAGGCAGCCATCTACAAGCCAGGAAGAGAGGTCTTACAGCAAACCAACCTGGGCATCATCTTGATCTTGGGCATCTAGCCTCCAAAGCTGTGAGAAAACAAACTTCTGCTATTTAAGCCACCTGTCTGTGGAACTTCATTGTGGCAGCCTTATCAAATTAATACATGTATATTTATAGGTTAATATCCATGCATATATTTCCTTGATTTGTCAGCCAAGAGGACCTAGAAACTGTGATGCCCCATATCACTAAGCACATGTAGCACACAGGGATTAATTTCTAATACATTCTGCAACAACAGCAAAAAAAAAAAAAATCAGAACTTTCTAAATGACGGATCCTAGAGCTATGGCAGGAAATAATTGAGATGAGCCTGAAACATTGTGTAGTTCCATAAAGTAAGGATTATGCAAAAATATCACAGTGATGCTGCTATGTCAGAGAGATATTGGAGCCAATGGAAATTATACCTTATGGACAAATTTGGTCAACAAAAAAGTAAAGAAGCATTGAACTATAAGATGGAGTAGAAAATAAATATTCACAAATTCATGTTGATGTAAATAAAAAAGTAAATTTTAAAAATTAATTTTTTTAATAAAAGAGACAAATATTCCATGCAGAAAAATTCAGTTAATCTATGTAGATATGCAGCCATCCACAGGTGAAGTACAAGTCTCACTCCTTACATGTGGGGTGTGCCTAGTGACTTTCTTCTAAAGAGTGCAATATGAGAAAAGGAGATAAAAAGAGTAAATATTCAGTGGAGCAATCAAGGCCAGCATAAACAGTGCTAAGTCATCTTAATAAAATGTACCCTTGGTAGGATGTGATTAAGAAAGCATTTTATCTCTGTGGTCTTCCTAAAACGCATAGTCCCAATCTAATAATGAGAAAAACATAAGATAAAACCCAACTGAAAAACCTTTTAAAAAATACGTGATCATGGATCTTCAAAAGTATCAGGGCCATTAGAAATGGAAAAATGGGTGAGAAATAGAAGATTCAAGGACTTTAAAGAGACTTAATGACTAAATAGTATTGTGGCATCTTGGATGAGATCCTGAAACAGAAAAAGTGATCATTAGGTTACAAACTAAGGAAATATGAATAAAGAGTGGATATTATTTAATAATGATGAATCGATATTGGTTTGTTAATTGTGACAAAAGTACCATACTAATGTAAGATGCTAACAATAAAGGAAACTGGGTGTATGGTGTATGAAAATTCTCTGTAATATCTTTGAAACTTTTCTATAATTCTAAATGTATTCTAAAATTAACATTTTATCAAAAATTATTTCTCAAATAATCTACAGCCAAAATGCATTGAAAAAATATATGGTCATGTCAGCCATGAATTAATAAATATAAATTTTTATTTACACAGGTAGACCAAATTTTACCTGGAAAATTCCATCTTTATTCCTAATTTCTACTGATACGGTTGAGTGGATCAATAAGTTACATGCTTATTCTCTTAAAAAATTTTTTTCTCTCTGTGAGAAAATACTTTAAACATTTTATACTTTAGAAGCCTTAGGCAATGGTAGTCCAGCCACAACACTGACTTTATTGGCAGAACAGGCTTTCCTAACAGTGGATCTCCTGATTTTAGGATCTTTTACAAACTGGAAAGGCTGAGAATTTTCCAAATCATCAAGTCTTGGTGTCATTTGTTTAAAAGTCTTCCCTCAATTTATCTCTTTCTTCTCATATTTTACTATACGCATCAAGGCAAAACCAATATGCACCTTCTAAACTTTGCCTAGAAATTTCCTTAGCTAAAGATATATAAATTCATTGCTCACAAATTCTGACTTCTGCACAACTGTGGGATACAATTTTGCTAAGTTTTCTGCCACTACACCACAAGGACTACCTTTCTTCCAGGTTTCAATACATGCTTCTCATTTCCTTCTGGGCCCTCACCAAATAAACAAATATTCATATTTCTACTAATATGGTAGAAATATATGTACATATACACAGTCTTAGACAAAACAGGCTTTCTCTACCATATTCCACCCTTCATTATGAGCCCTCACTAGTGCAGTCTTTAGCATCCATATTTCTACCAACAGTCTGTTAAAGTCAACAGACTTTTTCTGTCATGTAATTCAAAATTCCTTCAACCCCTACTCACTACTGTTATTAAAGGCACTTCCACCTTTTTAGGTATTTTTTACAGCAGTATCTCACTTCTTGGTATCAAATTTAGTTTAATTTTGCCACTGTAACAAATTACTACAAACTTAGTAGCTTAAAGCAACATAAATATATATTTCACAGTTTCAATGAGACAAAATCAATGTGTGAACACGGTCATACATCCTCTGGAATTTATAGGAGAATCTGTTTCTTGCCACTTCCAAATTTTGATGGCTACCACCAGCCCTTTGCTTGTAGATGTATCACTTTAATCTTTGCTTCTGTTTTTACATCTTCGTTTACTCCCAAATTAACAATTTAATTGCCCCTTTTTAGTGTAGTGGACATTTATACACTTTCTAACTCTTCTGAGTGGCTGTAAACTTTCTTGTTAGTTACATAGTCAGTCTCTCAGGTGTAATCTTTTTTCCCATACCCCTAAAACACAAGTAGTGTAAAGGGGTATCTTGGAGTTATGGCAAGAACACTTAGCCAGAATCCACAGGCTTAAGCTATGTCTATCATCTGTTATTTACTGAGTGTATATGTGTGTTCTCAGGGAAGTGGCAGTGTCCTTTAGAAAAAAATTTACCATCTGTAAAATGAAGATTATAATAGCTCTTTATATACCTCACAGGACATTTTGAGAAAAAAAAGTAAGACTCATGTTTATAAAAATGATTTTTTAATGTAAAAGTGATAGGCAGAGTTAGCATTAAAATATAAGTAATGTAAATTAAGCATTCATATATTAAAAGCTTCTGAGAATGTAGTAAAATTTAGATATTTTTAATCTTAGAAAGCAAAAAATATGGGTCATGCAGCCTGAGAAAAGTTCTGCAGTGAAGCAATCTGGCAAACCACCTTAAATTGTTCTTGAGCTTCAAGGAAGTTTCTTTTAATGTGTGTTATTAGAAAGCTGGATAATTGAGTTCATAACATCCAAGAGCATGACGATCAAGGAGAACAAATAATCCAACACATAAGAGTATACAAGATGACAGTCCATATAGGGAAATCCATCTCCCATTCAAACTTCTGCATCTCTTAAGTCTTATGTGGGACAACATCTGTATTTGTGGTCAGACTAGGTCATACTACGTCATATCTCAGATTCAATCCAAGTACAAATTATTTATCATGTTGTTAACATTCTCTCTGTTGTTTTCAAGACTTTCAAGTAAGCCCAAGTACTAAGTCCCACCTGTAACAATGTGAAGGGTGTTTTGAAAAATTTATCTATACGAAGATAGTCTTACAATACCCCCAAATCTACATTTTTCCCACTTTGGGCATGGCTTTCAATTCTTTACTCTTCCAAGGATGTGTGAAAAGTTTAAATGTGTGTTTATAAAATTTGTATTTGTGCAATACATATTCAGAGATTGGCCTGAACAAATTTATCTATTCTGAATGATATGTATATTTCAAATCTCATGACGGATTGTTGCTGAGATATTCAGATTAACAATCTAAATTAAGAGGTGGTTTTAAAAAATTATAAGTCTTCACTATATAAATAAAATGCAAGAAAGAACAAATATTTTGGACTAAAATGATATCCCCTCATACCCAGATTTTGTCATGTTATGCTCTGTAAATTATATGTCTAGCTATATCTTTTCTGAGGAAGTATTTCATTCAATGGATGACATTCATTGCTTCAATGAAAATGAGCCTTGATGAACACATGTATAGATATCTTGGAAGAAGCCAAAGAAATATAATGAAAATAAGTTGACATTGATAGATTTGTGCAAAGGCATGGCTAATTGGGAGAACAAAGTTGATATTTTCCAAAAGAAACACTTTCTCAGGATACTATAAACCTTTCTAAACAGTTTCTAAAGATATGGCAAGATACATGCAAGATACTTTCATGAGATGAGAATGATAATATATTTCATCCTTAGTTTTTACTTATTGTTTACAACTGATCTTAAGTTTCCTGTAGAGCTCATCTCCTTTAGAAAGACTATTTACAAAGAAAGTTGTAACAACCCTGGTTTAAATATGTGCTTCTAGGTGAGTGTGAGATGCGAGTAGGAGCTTCTCAAAGACCTTGTTGGGATTGGGTTCCTTGAATCCTAGTTAAAAATGGGAGGGGGTGGGATTGCCTGGTCAGTGGCTGAGTGCAGCTAGGGTAAAAAGTGAAATAAGTCTAAAAAGTTGGTATTTGGTTTCTTCATTGACTGACATTATTCAGACTTGATCTTTGCCTTCCTAAATTAGGACATTCAAGATATTTGGCTCAGAAGGCAGAACCTGGGAACAGAGTCTCTGAGGCAGAAATATACTAAAAGAGACTCATAGATTAATGGAAAAAGTAGGAAGGATATGCAAAATGAGAGGGACTCCCTGTTGTTTTTGCTGTCTACCAGTCTTTTGAACATACCACAGCATGGAATCTGAAACATCTGGAAACAAATTAGAAAACTGTATCAGTCATATGAATATTCATTTAAAAAATTTTAGTACTTTTCTCTGTAATTGGATGAATTCATTGAGCCTGCCTTCAGACATTTGACCTTGTTTGTGTTCAAATAATATTTAATTAATCAAGTTTAGTCCGAAAGAAATGGGAAATCTCCTTAATAATTTGACATCAGGTATCATTTCAATGAGGCCATCTATTCCAATTCACACTGAAAATTATGAATGCTCAGTCCTATTGTACTTTCATTAGCTGATCATTATTTTATGTAGTCTCACTGACAAATAAAAATCTTTACCTGTTTTATTTTACAGCCTCCAAATTTTCACTCTGCCCAATGGGTGCTTACCTAATTGCAAAGCAGATTGGGTCTGTGTGTACAAAAGCAAATTGAATTGGAGACTTGCACATTCATCTAGAGGCCATATATGTGTGTTGTCCTAAGTAAATATGACCATAGCACCTAACCATCATTAAGTTCTACTCAACTAACTATAGAGCTCTACTTGCACTGATTCATCTATACATCCGTATTTTTCTAAGTGTAAAGTTAGAGTAGCTATATCATAGTCATCAGTTGTCTATATTAAGTGCATTTTCCTGGGCTTTACTCAAGACCTACACTATTAGAATCTCTGAAATCCAACCATGGAAAATGTGTATTTCAGCCAATACCCCCAGAGATCATCTTGAATGAGAAACCTGAAAATGAAGTAGTCTCTAAAACAGCGGTTCAAAGAAAGGCTAAACATTGATGATTGTTGAAGCTGAGCAATGGATACATGAGGATTTGCTATACTATCCTCCCTATTTTTGTATGTGTGAAATATTCCATTATATAGAAAAAGGAAATTTTAAAATACAGTGATTCAGTGATTTCTCCACCAACAGGATATTTGGCAATGTCTCTAGACATGTTTGGTTGTCAAGACTTTGGCAGATGAGAAGGGATGCGTGCTGCTTGATTGAGGACAGATACAATGCTAAACATCCTACCGTGAACAGTACAGCCTTCCACAACAATGAATTATGCAGTCCAAATGCCAATACTGGTTGAGAAATCCTGTTTGCCAGTGACCAGTATATGTAATTGAAAAACGCACTGACATTTCTGACTCGTGGCTATGGAACACAGACCATTTATCTGAACGCAACAGGGAAACAAATTTTGGTTTCAATTTTACATGATTTTTCAAAATAACCACCTTCATATAAAGTCTTTTAACTTCTCCATTTTAATCATTATTCTATAGGTGATTGCATTGCCAGCTTCATGCTATGCAAACTGTGGAGCTTAGAAGGGCCCATGCTTTGCTTAATGGTGCACTACAGTTCTATCTGCTGTCTTAATAGTTATTTAACAAGGGGTCTTGCATGTCCATTTTGCAATGGGCCCTGTAGATTCTGTAGCTCATTCTGTGTGATGGTATACTTTTGCACAACTTTTTAAATTTGATTTTAAATCAACTGTTCCAAATAAAATTCCAAGGAAGTTCTAGGGAATTATTTTGCTAAGGTAAACTTAAAAAATCTCTGAAATGAAATACAGGCTAAAATTCAGGGGATCCCCCCCAAAATAAGATTTATCAGTTGTTAAGGAATTTTAATTCATTTTACAGAAAACACAACAAAGACAGCTCAAAAATAAAATTAAATCAAAGCTAGATGGGGAGAGATGAGAATAGTTAAGGAGGGAAGAGTCTTTCTCACTCTTGTTGAAAAAGTAATATAAACTAGAAAGGAAATTTTGGACTAAAATGTTTAAAAGACTGTCATCTTTAGCTGTGTGTATATCTATTATCTAGCTATCTATCTGACTTTCCATGCATAAAGAAAAGGCAAAAAAATGAGAATTTTGGCAGAAATTGTATCCAAGGAAAAAACGTATTGGCTTTTGTTTGGATTTGTCGCAGGCCCTTCTCTATCAGGTGATTGAGGGAGGCTATGAGTTACAATTTATAGACCTCTCTCTGTAGGAAAATGTGAGCACTTGGACCAACAACTTGGTACTTTAAGATTCAAAGAGTTTTGATGCAGATTAAAGTGTATGATGCAAACATCATGGAATAAGCAGGAAGAAGAGATGAAGATTAGAGACAAATTTATCAAAATATAACTTAGCTTGCATATATTAAATTAAAATTTACTCCATTATTTCATTACTTTTACACATACTTTATGGTAGCAATATTCAAGTGATGTCATACATTTTGTTTAAAAATATTTAAAATAAGTGACAATAATTTTACAACTCAGAAATTTACTGGTTTTGTAGTTCCACGTGCAATCACTATTTCCGATTCTATATTCACCTTCCTCAAGGCTCAAAGTGTGTATCCCTCATTACTGAATTCCAATCTAATTAATATTACTCTTTGCTCTTTTTGTTGTTTATTTTTTTTCTTGGAGGAATTCTGGCATATTTGTGAAACTGTCTTTGAGATACATTTAAAGGGCCTCTTCTAGTCCCATCTTGGCTTAGAGCTGCTCTCCATTCTATTTTAACTTTAAACCTTTTGACTCACCCCAACAGGCATAGACTATTTTCAGGGCATTGATATATTACAAACCCCCAGGCAATGAACCACAGCCACAGGAAAAAATCTTGATGGTTTTCTTGTTTTTTAAGGTCCCAGATTATTGCTCAAGGTCTTACACTCCTACTCAAAGGGATAACAGGTTGAACATTTTACTTAACATCCATAGGTAGCACTTACACCAGGTTTATATGTTATCACCTAAAGGGAGATTGCATGCCATTAAAGCCTTCTTGGCTACAGCTGCATCTGGTGCTCCACACTGTATTCTCCTTGTAAGGCCCCCCAGAACCAGTCTGCTCTTCTTGAAACTCTTGCCAAATGCCTTGATAATTAGAATCATTAGTAATACGCTAGTGAAATGAAATATTCAATGGGAAATTCCAACTCTTTAACTGAAAAAATATTTTTGTTGGCTTTTTGAAACTCCTGGGTGCAAACTGAACGTTATGTCGGTTTTAAAATACATTCTTTCCTCAGCAAACGCTCTGCCGAGATTCTTAGTATTTTGTCATCAGATACCTATGAAACATCTACTTTGCGCAAAACACAAGGGTTGGCTGGCTATGTTTGTCGAACTACATATCAGAATAGATGGTCTGAAAAGTTCCACGTTACTTCATATTAATGATGCAATAGAATAATAAAAGCAGTCAAACACTGCTAATTAAAATTTAATCTATATGGTCTCTCTGAGCAAAAAAAAAAAAAAAGATAGACATCAAATGCCTTAAAGCATGATTCTAATTTGACACAGTAAATTTATTTATAACTATATATTAATAAAATAATCACAAGTGTAGACAAAATTTGTTAGCTTTTGTGCATTTCAGCATTTTTAATAGAATTCAAAATAGAATATTCTTAAGTGCCCAATATGGAGAATGGTTAAACACCCCCAAATTATTAAATACAATTGTATATAATCATTAAAACATTTAATGATGGTATATAATTTAATATTAATAAATAAAACCAGAGTATTAAAAATACACACACACACACATACACACACACACACACACACACACACACACACACCCCAAATAACAGAAAAATGTATGCTCAGAATTTAATCAAGGAAACAGAAGGCACTCTATGAACTACAGATGTGAGAGATTTCACTTTAGGGTTTACATTCTCCACAAGGAGCTGTTGCATTTCTCAGTCTTGGAGAAACTCTAACCAATTATCTCAGTCAACAGCAGCCAAGTGGGTAGTTCTTCAGTGCCCACTGGGAAAGCCATTTTCAACCTTCCGTGTGCTCCAGAGTCTCTTTGCCACTTTCTCCAAGGAATAATGGCCTCTCATTTTCTTCTGCTGTTAGAAGCTCCTGTCAGTCCCTCTCACTTGTAAAACTCTAACCTGAATTCACAAAGAGGAGGGAATCTGGGGAAATGGATTCTTGGCTTCTCTGAGAAGAGTTAAGAAGGGGACAGAGGAACTTCTGAATTCATAGCTAACAATCATGCACAGAAATAGAACATGAGGTTTACAGAGTTTTTTCTAGATGATGAAATTGCCGCGGAGGTAGCTGGCTTGGTGGCTCATTGCCCGAGCTCAAGAGGTTGAGACCAGTCTGGGCAACATGGCAAAACCCCATCTCTATCAGAAATACAAAAAATTAGCCGGGCGTGGTGGTGAGTGTCTGTAGTCCCAGCTACTTGAAAGGCCGAAGTAGGAGGATTGCTTGAGCCCGAAAGGTTGAGGCTGCAGTGAGCCGAAATTGTGCCACTGTACTCCAGCCTGGGTAACAGAGGGACACCGTTTCAAAACAAAAACAAAAACAAACAAACAAAAAACAGTAGTAGAGAAGGCTGAGGCTGTTACAGTTTTCTTAATATTACATTTCTCTTTCTACAGCTACCACAGGTAGAGTTTGTTAATTTAGAATCAGAAAAAAAAAGTGTTAAGTTTTAAACTAAATATGGACAATGGAAATGAATATTTGAAATTAGGGCTTTTGAAGAAAACCCTGAATTTTTTTTCTGGTTAGAGTAAAGCATGTCAGCATCTTAAAAGTTTACTGAGTACTTCTTGAGAAATCTCATCTATCCCTGCCTCAAAACTCAAGCCATACTATTTCTTCAGTTATGAATGTCCTGCTTCTGTTCAAATATTAGTAGAAAATATTTTCTTTTGACCTGCAGAAATAAAGTCTCACCTACAAAATACAGCTCTGAGAGGTAAGCTTAGGCATCAGGTTTTCATTTCATGTCCCCATGTTGAAAATTTACAGTCACAACTGCCACAGTCAGAATCCGAGAGGAAGTTAATTTTCCAGACAGAACACAAGACTATGTCTCCATGTCAGGACTTGGGTTTGGGATTATGATCCCTGGGGAAATTTTTCTAAATGCTTTAACACCCAGTCATCTGGGCAGGGTTGCCTAGGAGCTTAGCGTCTCTGAATTCTTAACTAAACTTTACTTCTGCTGTGAGATTGACTTTGGGCAGCAGTGGCTGGAGCAGGGACGATTGCCACTCCAGCTGCTTCCATGGAAAGAAACAAGAAAATTTAAGGAATTTCAATGTAGTGGTTGAGAGTAAAATTCAGTAAGCATATACATGAAATTACATATGAATAATTATGCAGCTTTACACATTGTGAAGTGCTAACGCATTAGGTAAGTGCTGGTCCTCTGGGCTTCAAGAACTAATGATAAGAATCTAGCTGGGGGCACTTAGCGGAGCCATTTAGCTATTTGCAGGCTCAGGTTATTCATCTGTAAGGTAAAGGTGTTTGATTACATGTTTTCAAAATTCTCTTCCAGCTCTGGCAGTCTGTGTTTCTGTGAATCCATCACAGCCAGGGCCTGGATGAGATGCCAAACTTGGAAATGCAGTTCCCTCACCATGCATCTTACTCTCCTCTTTCTGCTCTATTGCCCTTAGGCGATATCCCAAAGCACCCTCTCTACTTGGGATTTTTCCAACCATCTTCTCTTAGTCAGAGTTCATCAGCTCAGTGTCTCTTCCATATCTAATATGATACATAATATGTCCTGCTGTGATGGTGAGAGCTAATGAGGTAAAAGCCTGCCAGATGGCGTATTTGCATTTTAACAGGGGCCTTCTGGAAACAATGGCTTTGTACAAAGGAGTGCTATAATTGGTGAAAATGTTATCAGACAAGGTAGTCCTTTTATGGAGAAAGACCATGTATAATGAAAGATAAGTCAATCAGAGCTTACCAAACTGAAACTATTCCTATTTTGAGCACACAGTACAATGACAGAGGTAAGATTTTTTAAATTGTTAAGGCATTTCAATTATACCTGAAATGAAAATGTTTTCTTTCTTTTGGTGGCAAATTTTCAGTTTTTAATGACACCAGTAGACACAGACAACTAAGCGAATATCACACTCTAATTAAATGGTAGGTAACCAGGATGCTAAACCACTGCTAACATAAAGGACAGCCAGTGGACATTTCACCTCGTATAAAAAGGCTTTCAATACACATGATGTTTCATTTTGATTCACAGGTTGGGGTTTGAATGTAATCTGAAATGTCACTTAAAGCTTCATGTAAAACTAACACAAGCACAAAGGAAATTTGTTTGGAATTCTGAGAGCATACAGTTAATTATACACTAAAATTAATTTTGCATGTACATAAAGACAATTTATTTAGTGGCGGATATCCTAAAGTTTATCCTAAAACTTACTTCTCAGTTATTTTAAGCAAAAATCCTTAAGATATGATTCTTAAGGGTACAGGAGTATTATGAGTCATTGTAAAAAAGATAAGCAGAATAAATTTGAGACACAACATGAAGGTTCTAAATAGCATCCTAATCCTCCATCACTGTTGTAAATTGCTTTCTGTAGGTCTTTATTTTCTCCCAGAAAGAATTCTTCTTACCCAATTCAGGGAACTTTTTATTTATTACATATATGAACTAGTTATCCCTCGTGATACAGAATAACACTATTTTTATGGATTATTACGGTACTGGAAAGTCCATTCTTCTTACAGAGACCATCTCAATTAAATATAAGGACTGAGACGGTCATGAGAGAGCTTGTCTGACTCAGTCTCAACTGCCCGAGCAGAAAATAGTACTGACTTAAGGATAATGATACTTCACTTCTAAGCCCTAATAAAGATGGTAGAGAATAGGTCATATCGACCTCCCCTGGCTTAAAATATATATCTTCAACCTTGCAAATTGCTTATTCCTTGTTACAATTTTTATGTCAGTTATTGACTATGCTTCTAAAAACACTGAATAGTTTTTAGCAAGACTTAAAAAAATGGGTATGAGGTTCCCATCAAACTCATAGACAGGGAATCTTTTCAGATAATATTTGTACACCTTTCTTAATATGTAAATTCTGTTTATTCATATATTTATTCACTGCATAAAATCATATTAATTTTCTAATTCATTCTATAATGTGTTGCAAATGTCCTAAGCAGAGCCAGACAAGTGAGTCTTAACCTTTCTAGCAATTTGTTTCAAAATTTCTCATTTCTTTTTAAAAAATCATTTAAGAAAATTATAAAAGGATAAAAATTATATTTAATTTTAAAATAACAGTAACAACAATAATAGGATATAAAAAGTGTGTGTCTTAAACATTTTTAAAGTTAACTGGCTCAGTGGCTTTTCTACTTTTGCATTGCTAAATATCATTAAAGAAGTGAAGGACTACTTTCAGAATTGCCATATGTATTTTATCACTTTTCTTTAGGTAGTTGCTAGTCTTTGTTTTGACATATAATGGTGATGATTCTCCTATTTCAAAGACAAACAGTATATTGTCCAATAAGGCAGAATATATTATTTTCCCTTCCTTCCCTCCTTCCTTCCTTCCTTCCTCCCTCCCTCCCTTTCTTTCCATCTTTCTTTTCTTTCCTTTTTTTTTTTTTTTAAATGAGACAATGTCTTACTCTGTATCCTCAGCTTGCAATGCAGTGGTGCCATCATAGTTCATTGAAGCCTCGACCTCCTGGGCTCAAGCGATCCTCTCACCTTAGCCTCTCAAGTAGTTGGCACTACAGGCACACAACACCAAGCCCAGCTATTTTTTGTATTTTTTTGTAAAGACAGGGTTTTGCTATGTTTCCCAGGCTGGTATCAAACCCCTAAGCTCAAGCAATCCTCCCACCTCGGCCTCACAAAGCTCTGGAATTACAGGCATGAGCCACCATTCCAAGCCATATTATTTTGTTTTTAAGAAAATTATCCACTAGCAGATTTTAAATTTCCCTGAAAAGGGGAGGGTTGGCATGACTAAGGAGCCCAGAGATCTTTTGATATGAAGGAATATTCATCCCAATTGCTCATCCCAAATATTCTAAATTATTAATATCCATCATAATGAACCAGGTGATCGAAACAAAGGGACAAAAAAAAAGGAAGCATGAAAAATGATCATAGAGTTAAAAAAGGACATAACAATTAGTTGATCCTGCATCCAGACTGGTAATGAAGAGAGGACATTTTTGTGTTCATGAAATTGCAAACTATGAATCATGCCCATTCCTAGCCTACCTGAGAACATGCTTGCTCTCTCACTCTCTCTCTCTCCCTTTCTTTCTTTCTCCCACATTCTAATAAATCTAACGTACTGTTAGGCAGGGAATCCAGGACAATTTTGTGGTATAAGGCAGTTGACAAATAATGGGTTTAGAACAAATGTTCCTTCCCAGAACCTGAAGGATCCACAGAAGCCTGAGAAGGAAATCGTTAATCCTTAACGTATGTACAATTGAAGAAAGTGGCTCAGCCCTACCAGCAATCCTGGGACATGAGCCTATGTCAGTGTGGTGAGATGAGCTCTTGGAAATTTTGGTATTTGGGCTGCTTCTCAATCAGGTAGATCTGTGTTACAACTCATACAGCAAACGTGTCACAATCAGTACTACTCTTTGACAAAATCAACAGTGCTGTGTTTCAGTAATAGTGAGATGAAAGTGGTGGCAGTCACAACAAAGGCTTGGGTAAGCTGAAGGTTTGCATGCACAGTGTGGGTTTCAGTAACAAATGGTACTTGCCCTTTGAATTTAAGAAGAGGGCTCCTGGGCTTGACATCTTAGGAAACAGAAATACTGAACTGCTTGGACAGATGGGTGAAGAATGCTTTATTTTGAGGACAGTAATTTGTACGTACATGCACTAAAATAGAGCATGCCGGCTTCCCATGTACATAGTTATTTTGCTAGTTATGAAAATAGAGCTAATAAACCAAACACTTGAGCTTTATTAATTCACAATTTATTCAGATTCCAGGATAGACTGGTATATCAATCACCATCACAGAGCAATTAAAATGAAATGGATCCAACAAATACTGTCACATCAAATACAATGAACAGTGCTTCCTTTCCTAGAAGAAATGCTTTTTCAAGAAAAAATAAAATCGAGCTAAAATATACTTTTGAAGTGTTTTATCAAAACAGATAGTTCTTTTTAAAATATAGTTTCCAATTTCTTTTTGTTTCCTAGTCTGTTCTTCCCAATAATTTGTATATATTTATTAACCTCACTTACGAAAAATATTCATTTACCATATTTTCTAGGAGAATAATCAGCTTTCTTTTTTGATAGGTCTTTAACTAAAATGTAATTTTTACTTGTTTCAAAAAAAATGTTAGTGATGATCTCACCACAGGAGAGCCACTTCACATTTGTTTTTCAAAGGATCATTAGTTTGGGTAACTGTTTCTTTGATAAAACCTCCAATGAGACAGTAATTCACAGTATACTTTAATATATATTGTTCCATGCACTATACAGTAGAAAATTCATATTTTGAATTCCTTAGCAAGTCAAATAGCATGTGCATGATGGTACAACACACATTTGTATGATCATGATACTTTCTTTCCCTAGACACAAAATATCCCAATTGCTTTTTGTAGCCAATTAAAAAGCAGCCTTGATTATCTAGGCTTCCTAGAGACATCCCTGACATAATTGAACACATTGACTCCTTTCAAATTAATCACATTTTTTCAAAGCAAAATAACTGCTCTGTGATCACTTTCTTCTTTACCTACTTCACACATATTAGTAACTAGAGTCATCAACATCAGTTGACTCATCAAGCACATTTTATGAGGATAAACTTTGATAACATAGCATCTTGTTTCACCTTATATAAGGAATAGGGAAACAAAAGAACAAATAATCCCACTAATAAAAACAAGGAATTTCGTTGAAGTGTCAGTTGTGCAAGTGATGTCATTGAAATTTCTAATTGCATCAAGTTTCACTGATTTTGTTGTATAAGATTCTGTCACGTTAGCAAAATATATTCATTTTGTCATCTCTATGTTAAGAATTATTCAAGCAACACAAACACAAATGTCCATAAGATTCTACTACTACAAAAACACTTCCCTTAGGCTGCAGTAGCAAAGCCATGCCCAGGTGCACTAAGGAGTTGTTTCTGGCCATTTTCTGGCGTGTTTGATGGCTGGAGATATATAATAACAGTCTGGTCATAGAGTGGTATCAATATTTGATAAAGAAGTTCACAAGTAATGAACACAGCTATAATTTAATTTTAATTCTTTGATATGGTTTACAAAGTATTCTGATGCTTTCCAGAAAGATTTCTGAATTTTGATGTGGAAGTACAATATAAGCAATGCTCTCATAGAAGTTAACTCATTAACTATGTATAATTCAGAAAATATCCCAAAACATGCTGGTACCGATATGTACTGTGACAGAACAACTCAACTCCAGCAATTCCCCACTGTGTACAATTTGATGATGTGTTTAACTCATTGACTTACATTTTTAATCAGAAGGTTATACATGAGGGAAATGAGGCATGGGAAGATTAAGCTTTTTAAAAAGAGTATGATTGGGATTCAGATACAGAAAGTTTAACCTCAGAACCACGACATTACACTGCCTCATAATGCACTGGCAACTTACATACTGTCAGGCTGAGAATTAGGAATTTATTTGCTTTGAGTCATGTTAACATGGTTTTACTTTTATGTTTGAAGACTTGCCTTTTGTACAAGTCTAGAATAACTCACATCCCAGGTGAAAATTTTGAGAATTGCTTTCAGTACACTAAGACTGATTCAAGGATGAGCAGATAAAGTCACTGTCTTTGCTGGATTAACATTTTAGCACAGATATAGACATATAAAGAAATAATAAACATACAATAAGAATCAGGAGGCACATGCTTCTGAGGACTTTTCGATAACAAACAATAAATCTAGGCTGGAATACATTCCTGACATCCTTTAAACACTCCCTCCCAAAAACTATTACTTTATTGTCCATATTGGCTTGTTTTTGTTTTTAATGAGCATAGAACCCTCCATATTGAGCACAGTTGTCCAATGTTCATCTGGAAAATCTCCCAATTTCTCCAGTCTACATTGTATTACCAGGGCTGTCCCAGGATTTGGTAAAATAGAGCAATTCCTTCATCTTTAATGCTTTGAAGTGTCTAAAATTACCACTAACAACAGAAGAAGCTACGAAGAGTTTCAGTCATTGGAAGATGTTTAGTCAAGTCAGGAATACATTGGGATAGAACTATAATTTGTCATTTTTCATTATAATAAAGGTTCTTGAAATTCTTCACACTATATTATATGAGGATTAGCCTTGATTAATAGTTGTATCTTTTCTTTTGCTCCTTAGGATTCAGTTGTTTTATACATATTTGCTTCATATTCTTATGACTCTAAGGAGATAATAAATTAATTAAAATTCATAAAATTTAACCCATAAAATAAAATTATAACAGAATATTTGAAAAATTATTCTTGAATTGAAATAGCATGCGTACACTCTCACATTCCACATAAAATAGATGCTTTATTCAGTTTTTGCTGATTTAGTAAAGAATTGCTATCTTTCCACCTCCTCCCTTTCTCGTATCCTCACAAAGTAAACAATTGTGACTGAATCGACAACCAAGAAGTGATGATTTAATGTATATTTTCTGAATTTAGTATGAATTTTATAGCCACATATCTACCTTCCAAATTAAATAAATAAAAACACTTTTTCTCTTTCTCATCAACTTTGCATATGTTGAATTTATTGAGCCATACATTGTATCACAAACACTACAGAATAATCAAATGCTTTTGGTCTTACACTCCCTGGCTCATATAAATAAAATATGCTTAAAAGGTAAAAATAAATTATAAAAATAAAACTTTTCATAGAAGTTGTTCAGTAACAGATTATAAATATAACCACAAATAGTCCGTAGATAGTCCACTTATTAATTTTTCTTCAAAGTTCAACTGAGTACAGAACCCTGGTTGCACCCAAGTGAAACCACTATAATCAAATGTGACCTCAAGAAGGAACTTAGAAACTGAAACTATTTTAGTTCTAGGTAAAAATAGCATACCACCTGCACTAATTTTTTATTGTTTACCCCCATGTTTTTTTTAAGGCAAAACAATCGTTATTTCAATAGAATAATTGTCTTTGTGCAAGAGCATTTGAGGTATCAGGATAAAAATATGTTTGGAAAAATTTAAAAAAGGTTTTTTCTTTTCTTCTTTTCCTTCCTTCTTTTTTCTTCCTTTCTTGCGTCATTCCTTCAATTTCCTTTCACGAGGTTAAATTACAATTAGAAATCAGTATGAATTCAAAGACACCAGAAATTGATGTCAACAAACTTATATTCATACTTGAAATTTTAATACTGGAAGTCATTCTTCTTTAAAATGGAGACAAATATACTTTCTAATCTTAAATATACTTTATAATATTAATGTAACTTTTAATCTATAACATAAATTATATAAATACTCAAATTTCTTTTACATGCATACATTTTTGTGTGACATTTCTATCTCACCATTTCAACCTGTAATTTGATTGTCCTCCAGTTCTTTGAGGAGAACAGTACTGTTTAGATTAACTACGGTTTATAGACAGATCATTGATTGGACAGGAATTAAATTTGTTATTTAACTAACATATGCTGCCTCTATCTCCCTTTGATTTATCTGTAAGTCTTAGATCAAGTTATTGCTATTTTCTTTTGAAAGTCTTTTTCAGAACTTCCTTCATTATGGCAGAGGGTAATGAAGGTTATTAGCCTGCTGTTGTGAAGAGTCAAGTCCTTGATGTACAGCAGGTTGGCGTACACATGCAGAATTGTTGGATGTATATTGCATGAGCTCTTGAAGCTTCTCTGAATCCATCCTATTTGACATTTTCAGTGCAGTTAACTCTGAAATGCTTGACACGTCATAAGAGACGAAATAAGTTGTATGAGAACTAGCAGTGGAATGAGCAACAATACTGGAAAATAAATGTAAGCATGTCACTGGCACATATTCTATTAATATACATTTTAGAGGCAAACATTTCTGGATGTTACCTTTATCCATTAAATTCTCTGTTTATTTATGTAAGAGATTTTGCAAAGCATCTTGAGACGCTCTATGTTTTGGCTCTTGGTATGTGTATTCATTTTGTATTGCTGCTTAGAACATTATTAGAAACTTTATGGCTTAAATCATTTCCCACTTATTATCTCACAGTTTTCAGGGGTCAGGGATGTGAGCACTGTTTACCTATGTTGTCTCGTCAGGGTCTCTGAGACTAAAATAGTAATTATAATGATAATAATGAGGCCTGCAGACTCATCTGAGGCTCAGGATTCACTTTGAAGCTCACATTGTTGTTGCAAAAATAAATGTCCTTGCAACTGTAGAACTCATAGTAGCTTGCTTCTTCCAAGTCAGCAGGAGAGGGAGTTTCTGACCTCTAGGCCCTCTTTAAAAGGTTTGCCTGATTAGGCCAGGCCTACCAGTGATAACATCACTTTTGATTAACACAAAGCCACCTGACTTAGAACCATAACTGAATCCGCAAGATCCCTTAACATTTGTTATATAACATACCAATCACATAGTCATACATCATAGTCATACATCCTACCACATTTAAAGGGAGAGGGCTATACAAGATAGGGTGTCTTTTAGGGGTTACCATAGAATTCTGCCTACTACACTGTTATTTTCAAATTCTACATTTTTTTATTCCAAGAAAAAGAAATATATATATATATATATAATTTTTAATATATGGACTAGTTATCCTCTAGATCACTACATTTCATGCTTTCATTGAAGTTTTCTGGAAATTTTAAATTTCTTAAAACTTATTATGTAGCTCAGCATTTTAAAATAATAAAAATAGTAGCCTTCTGTGTGCCATCACTGCTTCAAGAACTTTATATACATTAACTAATTTTATTCTTTCAAGAACCACATGACATATATATTATTATTATCCCATGTCGGACATGAAGAGACTGACATACAAAGAGTCTAATTAATTTGTAAAAGAAAATACTTTAAAATTAGAATACCAGAAATGTCAAAAAAAAATTAATATATTTAACTTCATGAAAATCCAAATATTTCACTTTGAAAGATGCCTTATCAGTAAAATAAGAAGTTACATCTCAAATTGATATACATAAATGTGTATATCCATATATACCCAACTCATAAAACATGCTAATATTATTGATATGAGTCCTTAAATAAAAAACAAAAATTTCAACAGAAAAAGGGAAAAATATATAAACAAATAGTTCTTAGAAAATAAATATAAATGACTACGTGAAAATGTGTTCAACCTTACTCATACCAAGAGAAATGCAAATTAAAGTTATATATTGTATTTTACACTTTAGATAATTATAACAAATTTAACAATATTTGTTATTATTGAAAATGTAGCAAAACAGGCACCTTGATATATTGCTGGTGACATTTTAAATAAGTCTAATGGAGGACAGTTTTATAAAATTTTAAAATAAAAATTATGAACCAATATTAAGGCTTAGAATAATCAAGCATGTCTTGTCTTGGCAGGACAGACCACAAATAAGTGGAAGAAAATGTATAATCCAGAAAATAGTCACAAGCAAATATAAAACTGAAACTAATTTTTGACAAACAGGTCAAGCAATCCAGTAGAAGAAAGATGGACTTTTGCACAAATGGTGCTGGAGCAACTGGATATCCATAGGCAAAATAATGAACCTTAATTTCAAAAACAAATGCTGGCAGGGATGTGGAATCTGTAAAATGGTACAACCACTATGGAAAGCAGTGTGGCTGTTTCTTAGAAAACTAACATGCAATTAGTATTCAAGCCAGTAATTGCACTCATGGGCATTTATTCTTGAAAAAAAAAAAAAAGGAAATGTATGTTGACAAGAAATCCTGTACATGAATTTTCTTAAAGCATTTATTGTAGTAACCAAAAACTAAAAATAACCCGGAAGCCTGTGTATAGTTGAATCGTTGAACAAACTGGTACATGTATACCATCCAATACTACTCAGCAATAAAAAAGAAACAACTATTCATGTGTGCAACAACTCACATGAATCTCAAGATAATTTTGCTGATGAAAAATGTCAATTCCAATAGGTTACGTACTCCATGATTCCATTTATATACCATTCTTGAAATGACAAAAGTATATAGATGGAGAACAAGTGTAGTAGTTGCAATGTGTTAAGATGGAGTAAGGGAGAGAAGTGAGTATAGATACAAAAGGACAACTCAAGAGATCTTTGTGGTGAAGGAGCTATTTAGTATCTTGAGACTAATGTGTTGAATACATGAATCTATAATCATAATAAAATTGCATAGAACTATGTGTAACACCCCCACCACATACATACATACCCATATGCCTACATAGACACAAACACGTAAATAGTACAAGCAAAACTAGAGGAATATGAATAAGGTAGATGGACTTTATCAATGTCAATATCCCAGTTGCTTTGTTTTACCTCAGTTTGGCAAATTGTTACTATTAGTGGAAATGGGGAAAATTTCTCTGTATTATTTCTTATAACCACATGGGAATCTACTATTATATACAAATAAAATGTTTGATTTTAAAATAAATGACCTGTGACCAGGTGATTCCATACCTAGGGACTTATCTTACAGATATATTCAAATAGGTACAAAAACCGTGAACAGATTAAAATTTATTTAACATTGTTCATAATAACAAAAGTTTGAAAAATAACTCAAAATTCATCAAAAGAAAAATGCCTTTTACACTTTATACAATGAAGTTATTCACAGCAAGTAAAAATAATAAAGCATATGTAATAAATTGATACAAAAATATCTGTAAGATATGTTAAGGAACAAAAATCTTGGAACACAAAAACAAGAAAAAATTATGAATACACCATCAGATACAGCAAGCTTTTTGTTTTTGCTTTTGGGGAAAAGATGACAAGTAAGATAATTAAGTGAATGTGGAACTGGGGAGAATTACATTCTTAGTTTTTCTTACTGTATAATGGTGGCAATCATGGAAATGTTTTGCTCAGATCTGCTCATACAGGGAGCAAAGTCAAATAACAGCCACCAGTACTGCCCTGCAGATCCACAACTACATTCATATAAAAACCATTTCTGAATTGCTCAGAGTCAATGTTGGAGCACCACAGTGGTGCTGGTTCCATCCTCTGTAGCAGGTAATTATTTAGTAACTCTTTAATAATTTTGGCTGGAAGATTCCCCATCAGCCTAGCTAAAACTTTCTTGAAATTCCTCTGCAGCCAGAATCTTTCAATTATCCTTCTACTTTCATAGGTGTGAGACCTGCATGGTGAACCAAAGGCTCTTAATGTTCACTCCTGCTCTTATCTCCTCTGTCCTTCGGGGATATTTCCCCTCATTCACCTTTTCAATTATAGTCATCTTCTTTTTGAAGGAGTCCAACTAACAGATTTGTTTTGTACCACGGTCATGTATTAGATATAATGCAACATGAGATATGGCAAGCTTTTTTATTTTGCTTTTTGGGAAAAGATGATATTAGATATAAGAATATTAAAGTTGCATATTTTAATTTAAAGTAAATGTATAGTTATTACAGTAACTTGGCTCAGGTACTTTTTCTAACATACATGTAAAAATACCTGGAAAATTCTCCAATATTCTTTGAGTAACTGCATATTCTGTACCTCATATAAACTTAGTGGGATTGTTAGTTAAAGTGCCCCAATCATATCTGGAACTGAATGGTTCAAAGATGGTACTTCAAAGAGGTTGACTTTTAGTTGCTGCTACTCAGATCTCTAAAGCTCTCCTGGTTCCTGAGCTTCTGAGGGCTCAGCTTTAAAATTACTTTTTAAGTTTATTAAGCTGCACTCAGAACATTCCAAGGACTTTATTTTTTACTATTAAAAAAAACAGTTTGGAGAGTAAAGATTCCTGAATACTAAAATAACACTTTTCTATAAAGAGTAAGATATTTGCTATAGTTTGAATGTATCTCCTCCACATTTCAGGTGTTTCCAGTATAACAGTATCAAGCAGTGGGACCTGTAATGGGCGATTAGACAGTGAGATTTCCTTCTGCCTGAATTAGATTAACGCCCTTACAAAAGAAGCCTTTACACGTTAGTCTAGCTTGACTTCTGCCTGACTTGGGAGCAGAGAGCAGCCCTGACCAGACAACCAAAGCTGCAGGCACCTTGATATTGAACTTCCCTGCCTCCAGGACTGTGAGAAAATAAATTTCTCTTTTTTATAAATTGCCCAGTTTGTGGTATTCTGTTACTGCAGCACAAATCAACTTAGACATTACTGATAATTTTCTAACCTACTTATCTCACCCATTATGCCTGTGTACATATTTATGGCCACTAGGAATGTTCTCATAACAAAGAATATAGAGCATAATTTGTAGGGAATCCTGCTTTAAAACTAAATATACCCTTCCTCCTGTTTATCCTCTAATGGGGGAATATTTTGCTGAACTTTATCTTATTTCTTCTGCTTTAAGAAGTCAAAAACACATAAAATGAGTTTTATTAAAATAAAATGCTTTATATCTCAAGATTCTCGTATACTCCACCTCGGGATTCCACACCATTCGCATAGTCAGTGGGGCGAATGTCAGTGCTGTTCTTCCCATATTGAGAAACACCTGGCTTAATCAATATTTCTCATAAGTTTTGTAACTGAATAAAATGTTTCTGTTAGAGATTTATTCCTTTAACCATTTTTTCTAACAAGTGCCTACTATATGCAATGATTAAGGCTATTTGCCTACATTATTGTAATGCTAACACTATATTACTTGTAACATTGGAAGTGAGATAGTCTTAGTCCCATTTCAAATATTCAAACACTTTGGCCGATAGAAGTTAAAGAACTTAACAAAGGTCACTAGAAGGTAAGTAGAAATACTGAGATTCAATTAATCTTCGATTCCAAATATCATTCTATTTCCACCCTGGTAGACTACCTTTCACAAAATGTAGATGTTCATGGGAAGGTTAACATTTTAATCCATTGAACTGACATTTATTGAGCACCAACACTATGGTCAGTTCTATACTGAGCACAGTGTAGGGACTCTATGAATCATTCCTCTTTTGATAGCACAGTCTCCAAAACCTACTAGGCACTCCAGAAAAGTGAACTGTAATGAATTGTAATTTAGTTAAGTAGATTGGAAGTCATAAATATTTTAAAAATAAATCAATTTTTATCTCATACTTTCTCCCCAATAATAGATGTGAGAATTGGAGTATAACTGGAGAGGGGAAATGGAACACTGGAGTTACCAGGCAGGACTTTGGTGGATAACACAAAGTCTCTAGGAGCTCGAGTGGGTAAGGCACAAGGGAGAAGTTGCCTACCAAGTTCCTGATGGATGAGGAGAGAAACAGTAACACGAGGAAGGAGGTGGATGAAAATGGTATTTTGTTAAAATTCTAAAAACTAAAATCCCTTAAACTAACATATGTAAGATATCAAGCACTCTCAGTTGGCTTTCTAGCTATAAACATAGGAATTTGGTTGCAGGTAAATCTCTCAAATCCTTTATGTAGTTCTAAAACCTCAAAATTTGCAGACCAGATAACAAACTCCATGAGGGCAGAAACCATGCTGCTTCACAGCTGTATCCCTAGCATTTACCACAATGTTTAGCACACAGAAGTCACTCAATGAATACTTACAATAAATAATGAATTTGACTCTCCTTCACAATTTGATAACATATTTCAAAAGCATTCTAATAACTTACTCTGGACATCTTAATCATATCTATGTAAATATTTATGAATTGTTGCCACTTTAAATTTTAAATCTATGTTTTTGATTGCTATTGCTAAATAATGTTGAGCATGAACATTATTGTATATATATGTATGCATATATATGCACCTATATTTATACTCATATGTATACATATATGTATGTGTATTATATGTATATATGTGTATTATATGTATATATGTATTTTAACTTACATGAATTATGTTTGTCTATTAAGTATTAGTAATGTACAACTTTCTTATTTTTAGTTAATAGTTTTAAATTTGTCTTCCTGATCACCTATATACCCTCCGATTAGCACAAAACTCCTGTTTTGGAACCACTTATATAAATTCTGGACACTAAGGTATCCAGAAAAGTTAATTTACATTTAGGATTAAACAAGTACACAACATGACTATAATGGTCCACTCAACATGACTATTTTGGTGCACTGTTTCGAGGGCACTGCTGCCAACATCAAAAAAAAAAAAAAAACTCCTGTGTTCCAACTCTGCAATGTTATTCCATTTAGTGATTGCTCCATTCCTGACAAACTGCACAGGGCAATTGAAAATATACTAGCCTGAGAATCAGGGGACTTGGACTTTAGTTATGACTGACTAGTTGAGAAAACTTCAGCAAGGTCCTTATAATCCTGAGCTCTGGTCTGTAATGACATAAGTGAAAGGAGCAACTCTCAATCCTTATGTACCTTAAGGAAATAAAAAGTATAGCACCCCGTGACATGCCTGCTGACAAAAGAACATAAAAACTATTTCAAGAGAGAACTTGGTGCTGGAATATGTAATTCAGTCATTGTTAAGATAGCCAAATAAATATAACTCGTCTCCTGGTACAACCACTTGGGTCAACTCTGTCTAAAAGATAATGATAAATAAATGACTGATAATTATTCATCCACATACAGTAGTCCTCTAGAAAGAAAACTGATGGTTTGGACATATAATAATTAACCTTAAACATTAAAGCTTTTCTCCCATAATTCAAGACTTGATAAAATTATAAGAATCTAGTCAATAGATTTCATACTTTCAATATATAGATTTCATTTCAAATGAAGTTTTTGTATATTAAAATCTATTAGGCAAAAAGATTTACAGTACAATATATTCTAGAAACTTAATTGAACTACCTTTACTACTCTTCATGTCTTACTATGACCTTAACTAAAATATACTTGCATTTATCATCATACAAAATTAATGCCTACTATAACAACTGCTTATATATATTTTTTTTTTTTTGAGACGAAGTCTCGCTCTGTCGCCCAGGCTGGAGTGCAGTGGCGCGATCTCGGCTCACTGCAAGCTCCGCCTCCCGGGTTCACGCCATTCTCCTGCCTCAGCCTCCCGAGTAGCTGGGACTACAGGCGCCCGCCACCACGCCGGGCTAATTTTTTGTATTTTTAGTAGAGGCGGGGTTTCACTGTGTTAGCCAGGATGGTCTCGATCTCCTGACCTCATGATCCGCCTGCCTCTGCCTCCCAAAGTGCTGGGATTACAGGCGTGAGCCACCGCGCCCGGCCAACTGCTTATATTTTTTCAAAGTAATTTCACACATTACGTTAGAGTTCTCCAGAGAGACAAACTAATATGATAGATGACAGATGGATAGATTAGATAGATACATACATACATACACAGATACACAGATAAATATAGTTACATAGATGTATGAGAAGGGATTTATTCATGGATTTGGCTCACACAATTATGGAGGCTGAAAAGTACCATGATAGACCACCTGCAAGCTAGAGAACCATGAGGCCAACAGCGTGACTTCCAAGACCAAAGGCCTCATAACCAGGGAAGTTGAACTCTCACTCTGAGGCCCAAAAGCCTGAGAACCTAAGGGCATATTGGTGCAAGTTTGAGAGTCCAAAAGCCAGAGAATCTGAAGTTCTAATGTGCAAAGGCAGAAGATGGAGTGTGGCTCAGCTATAGAACAGGTAAAAAACTTGTTTTCCTTCTTTTTGTTCTCTCCAGGCACTCAGCCAACTGGCTAGTGCACACCCCCACTGAGTGAGGGCAAATCTTCTTTACTCAATGTATTGATTCAAATGCCAGTCTCTTCCAGAAACATCCTCACAGATATATCTGGAAAGAATGCTTTACCAGCTATCTGGGTATCTCTTAATCCAGTTAAGTTGACACCAAAGGTTCAATCATCACACATATATTATACCAGTTTTAGTAATTTAAATAGAATCAAATAGCTAGTGTATGGTAGAATAGCAACCAGAAACTGGGTGTTTACCCTCTGTAAAAACTCAGCTTTCTCCTTTGAGCCCATTTTCATCTTGAAATGGTATACCATATTTCATAAAACTGCTGGGGGTTGAGAAACATTTCTCTCATCTCATTGTTTAATTTGAACTAATGAATGGCCAAAACATAACTGAAAACACAATTTTGGAGATTTTCTTTTTATGAATTCATATTTCCTATTTTGATTGCAGTGTTTTTCATACTAAAATCCTGTTGTTGAATCAATACCTTCTGCTTTATAAATTTTTTCACCCAAAAATTTCTTATCTCTAATTCTTTCCTTTCCATATGTACTTTATTTTTTCAAATCTTGGGTGACATATACACTGTTATTCTTCTTCGCTTTGTACCTTAATATCTGTTTCTGTTATTAGTTTTTGTAACCAGCCATTTTCACTTTTTTCAGCCACACCTCAATACTGGTGGCAATAACTTATACAGTAGTCCAGACTGCATTATTTTATCATGGGGAGGCCTTTTGTATGGGTGTAATAAAGTAGAATACAATCATATTATATCTGCCACAAAAAGGTGATAATTTTAACTCTATAGAGAAAATGTTAAAAGTATAAATGAAATAAGACTCTCTAATTCAGAATTTTCACACTACATACTCAATTATATACTTAGTGAGTTCGTACTGATTTTTCTCTGAGCTTCCTTTTTTATTACAATATTAGAATTTGTTTTCAAAAATTTAACTTCCTGATTGGTGGAGGTAAGGTTTGTACAGCTTTCAACCTACTAGAGCTGGACCAAGATCAATGAGAGAGAGGCTAGGACAATAAAACAATTACTAGCAAACTGAGAAAACTTCAGATCATCTGAATTCTTTTCCTACACAGTAAATTTTAACTTATTGCAGTCCACAGATTTTAAACAGGTTCATAAAATCAGGAAATTCTCACTGTCAGTTTTTATATAACTAGTATGAATTTTGTGTGTTATAAAATACTACATATTGTTGAAATATACAGAAAACATGGTAAAGCTCAAATAAGAGACGTCTCTAGTACAATCACCACTCAAAGAAAATATAAGCTGTCATATAACTCTACTTCCTAATTCCACTGAATATAAGCCATTAATAGGTGTATTCTCTGCTTTCTCAGATACTTCCTCCATATTCAGCTCTTACCCTTCTAGAATTTTTCTGAAATTTAAGATTTCTTTTTAAACCTGTTTTCCTTGAGCACCTATTGCTTTCTTAGAGCCCCTGGCATGTATTAACATCCTCCACTAGTTCCTTATCCTGCTGATGTAAGTTTGCCTTACTTTTTACCTCCTTTTAATCATTTCAATGAATTTAGAAAGAAAGAGCCAGAAATATGCTCATGTGACCGCCATCCTCAGGAATATCTAAGGATTCTATGTTTTATAAAATAATAATTAAATCAATAACTTCAGCATTAAAAAAATTGTGAACAAAATATGAACAAAAATATCCTAGTGAAAATAAGGATTGACATACTCAATAATTTTATCAAAGAAATAAACATATTTAGTCAAAAAATTTAAAAGGTGGTATCGTATTGTGGTTTTGATTTTCATTTCCCTGATTATTAGTGATATTGAGCATTTTCTTCATATGTTTGTTGGCCATTTGTATATCTTGTTTTGAGAATTGTCTATTTATGTCCTTAGCCCACTTTTTGATGGGATCATTTGTTTTTTATTTACTGATTTGAGTTCATTTAGACTCTGAATATGAATCCTTTGTTGGATGAATAGATTGTGAAGATTTTCTCAAACTCTGTGGGTTGTCTGTTTACTCTGCTGACTGTTCCTTTTGCCACGCAAAAGCTCTTCAGTTTAATTAGGTCCCAGCTATTTATCTTTGTTTTTACTGCATTTGCTTTTGGGTTCTTGATCATGAAATCCTTGCCTAAGCCAGTGTCTAGAAGAGTTTTTCCAATGTTATTTTTGAGAATTTTTTATAGTTTCAGGTCTTAGGTTTAAGTCCTTAATCCATCTTCAGGTGATTTTTGTACGAGTGAGAGATGAGGATCCAGTTACATTCTCCTACATGTGGCTAGCCAATTATCCCAGCACCATTTGTTATAAAGGGTGTCCTTTCCCCACCTTATGTTTTTGTTTGCTTTGTCAAAGATCAGTTGGCTGTAAATATTTGTAAATATTTGGGTTTATTTCTGGGTTCTCCCTTCTATTCTGTTGGTCTATGTGCCCATTTTTATAGTAGTACCATGCTGTTTTGGTGACTATGGCCTTATAGTATAGTTTGAAATCAGGTAGTGTGATGTCTGCAAATTTGTTCTTTTTGGTTAGCTTTGCTTTGGCTATGCAGGATCTTTTTTGGTTCCATATAATTTTTAGAATTGTTTTCTATAATTTTGTGAAGAATGATGATGGTATTTTGATGGGGATTGTGTTGAATTTGTAGATTGCTTTTGGCAGTATGGCCATTTTTACAATATTGTTTCTACCCATTGATGAGCATGGGATGCGTTTCCATTTGTTTGTTTCATCTATGATTTCTTTCAGCAGTGTTTTGTAGTTGTAGTTTTAGTTATAGAGGTCTTTCTGGAGCTATACACCTATTACTAATATTTTAAAATATAAAATATAACTAAAATTAATATCTGGAGCAATTTAAAATAATTTGAATTTTCCCTTCATCATTCCTACCTCTCCTTAGACTGTTACACAACTAGGTACTACAGTATGCCTTAGCAAGTACGTATTTGTTATTTGCTTATGTAAAATCATATTTCTGCTTTCTTAGTAAATAAAAAGATTTACACATGAGGAAGGGAAAGGTACTGCCATTTATGTAAATAGTTGTTCAGAGGGACTGAAAGGGGGCTTAGAGAAGGTGGGGGGAAGAGGGGAGGAGGAAAATGGAAGAGAGAGGTAATAACAAAAGAGAGGAGAGAAGAACCCTTAGGGGAGAAAAGAGAAAGAATAAAAGGTAGGGGAGAAAAAAATCAGAGAGAAAATGGAGAAAGGAGAGCAAAGAAAAAAGGATGAGTGGGAAAAAAAGAGGAATGATATAACCACTCAAATAGAAAATATTTGTCACTATAAAAATTTTCAAAGAGGCGGATGGAGGAATGATTAAGCCCAAGATCAGCAAGTTAGGATCTTCATTATATATAGTTTGGAGCAGACACCAGAAGCCAAAGAAATTGTAGTGCAGAGCTAAAGCTCTATAACCAATGAATATTAGATTCTTTATTCAACATTGAGTTGACTTTTTTTTTTTTTTTTGGACACATCTCTACTCACAGTAAAAGAATGAACCTGAAAAACATTAAAACCAACTGTTTTTCTTATTTTATTTTATTTTATTTTATTATTATAATACTTTAAGTTTTAGGGTACATGCGCACAATGTGCAGGTTAGTTACATATGTATACATGTGCCATGCTGGTATGCTGCACCCATTAACTCGTCGTTTAGCATTAGGTATATCTCCTAAAGCTATCCCTCCCCCCACCCCCACCCCACAACAGTCCCCAGAGTGTGATGTTCCCCTTCCTGCGTCCATGTGTTCTCATTGTTCAATTCCCACCTATGAGTGAGAATATGCGGGGTTTGGTTTTTTGTTCTTGCGATAGTTTACTGAGAATGATGATTTCCAATTTCATCCATGTCCCTACAAAGGACATGAACTCATCATTTTTTATGGCAGCATAGTATTCCATGGTGTATATGTGCCACATTTTCTTAATCTAGTCTATCATTGATGGACATTTGGGTTGGTTCCAAGTCTTTGCTATTGTGAATAGTGCCGCAATAAACATACATGTGCATGTGTCTTTATAGCAGCATGATTTATAGTCCTTTGGGTATATAGCCAGTAATGGGATGGCTGGGTCAAATGGTATTTCTAGTTCTAGATCCCTGAGGAATCGCCACACTGACCTCCACAAGGCTTATACTAGTTTACAGTCCCACCAACAGTGTAGAAGTGTTCCTATTTCTCCACATCCTCTCCAGCACCTGTTGTTTCCTGACTTTTTAATGACTGCCATTCTAACTGGTGTGAGATGGTATCTCATTGTGGTTTTGATTTGCATTTCTCTGATAGCCAGTGATGGTGAGCATTTTTTCATGTGTTTTTTGGCCGCATAAATGTCTTCTTTTGAGAAGTGTCTGTTCATGTCCTTCGCCCACTTTTTGATGATAAATGTAATCCAGCATACAAAGAGAACCAAAGACAAAAACCACATGATTATCTCAATAGATGCAGAAAAGGCCTTTGACCAAATTCAACAATGCTTCATGCTAAAAACTCTCAATAAATTAGGTATTGATGGGACGTATCTCAAAATAATAAGAGCTATCTATGACAAACCCACAGCCAATATCATACTGAATGGGCAAAAACTGGAAGCATTCCCTTTGAAAACTGGCACAAGACAGGGATGCCCTCTCTCACCACTCCTATTCAACATAGTGTTGGAAGTTCTGGCCAGGGCAATCAGGCAGGAGAAGGAAATAAAGGGCATTCAATTAGGAAAACAGGAAGTCAAATTGTCCCTGTTTGTAGATGACATGATTGTATATCTAGAAAACCCCATTGTCTCAGCCCAAAATCTCCTTAAGCTGATAAGCAACTTCAGCAAAGTCTCAGGATACAAAATCAATGTGCAAAAATCACAAGCATTCTTATACACCAATAACAGACAAACAGAGAGCCAAATCATGAGTGAACTCCCATTCACAACTGCTTCAAAGAGAATAAAATACCCAAGAATCCAACTTACAAGGGATGTGAAGGACCTCTTCAAGGAGAACTACAAACCACTGCTCAATGAAATAAAAGAGGATACAAATAAATGGAAGAACATTCCATGCTCATGGGTAGGAAGAATCAATTTCGTGAAAATGGCCATACTGCCCAAGGTAATTTATAGATTCAATGCCATCCCCATCAAGCTACCAATGACTTTCTTCACAGAATTGGAAAAACTACTTTAAAGTTCATATGGAACCAAAAAAGAGCCCGCATGGCCAAGTCAATCCTAAGCGAAAAGATCAAAGCTGGAGGCATCACGCTACCTGACTTCAAACTATACTACAAGGCTACAGTAACCAAAACAGGATGGTACTGGTACCAAAACAGAGATATGGATCAATGGAACAGAACAGAGCCCTCAGAAATAACGCCACATATCTACAGCTATCTGATCTTTGACAAACCTGAGAAAAACAAGCAATGGGGAAAGGATTCCCTATTTAATAAATGGTGCTGGGAAAACTGGCTAGCCATATGTAGAAAGCTGAAACTGGATCCCTTCCTTACACCTTATACAAAAATTAATTCAAGATGGATTAAAGACTTAAACGTTAGACCTAAAACCATAAAAACCCTAGAAGAAAACCTAGGCATTACCATTCAGGACGCAGGCATGGGCAAGGACTTCATGTCGAAAACACCAAAAGCAATGGCAACAAAAGCCAAAATTGACAAATGGGATCTAGTTAAACTAAAGAGCTTCTGCACAGCAAAAGAAACTACCATCAGAGTGAACAGGCAACCTACAAAATGGGAGAAAATTTTCGCAACCTACTCATCTGACAACGGGCTAATATCCAGAATCTACAATGAACTCAACCAAATTTACAAGAGAAAAAAACAACTGTTTTTCAAAGTGTGGTTCCTAGCATCTGAAGTATCACCATCACCAGAGAACTTATAAAAAATTCAAATGCTAAGTCTCACAGGATACTCTGGGAGTTAAGTCAAGGAATGTATATTTTGCCAAGTCCTCTAGGTGATTTTGACATGTGCTACAGTTTAGGAACCTCTGATTTAAACCTAGATAGAGTCAACTTGGGTTTCTTCAACATGAGATTTAAAAGGAGCTTTTGAGCTACTATTGAAACATTGTGCTGATGTCTCTTTTGATCACAGATAAATACTAGTAGTTTGCTAAAACAGGGCCAACATTTTCCTGCAGAGCTGATTGGGAAATATTAAATTTCATAAGCCAGTTGTTAAACACACAACCACTTATTAAAAATTAAATTTATAAACACATTATTAAAAACAAAAGTAACAAATACTGAGATATCATTACTTCTTAAGTATTTTACCTTATGTTCCTATTATCTAAGATTTAATGTTATATTATCTACAATTGTATATATATATATATTGTAACACTATGTAATGGTGTGTTACTGCATATTTCTAATCAACTCTATTCAGTGATGTCACATTTCTAGCCTTAAATCAGTCATGTAGGAGTATTTATACAATGACAATTGACAAACATGAAAGTCAGTTGTTAAATATATTCCTGCACATCACTGGATATGACTGAAGATTTCTAGAAGTCCTGTTAAAAATTACAGTTAACTAACTGAAGAAATCACAATGAAGAATAATAAACACTATTCAGAAAGTCCTATGAAGCTGAGGAAATGTCTTGCGGTTTATAAAAGTCAGTTATTCAATTAACAAATGTCTTATTTTACTGATTGTAAAACATAAAAAATTAGTATTGTTTCACTTTAATAAAAAGCATTGTGATAAAGAAAGGGTGAATGCCTAGAATGCAACTTTTAAAAAACTCTAGCATTTTTTCATATGTTTAATAAATCTCTACACAGAATTATATTTGCTTCCCTTCACAGATTTTCACCTACTAGTTTTCCCCTTGCTATGATGACACTTTCATTCACTTTAATCTCTACCTTTGCTCCCTTTTTCTGAAAATATGAAATGTCCTTTTGAAAATCAACCTTTATTAGTGAGTATGAAGTAACTGGTTTCTTTTGTCAACCTTTTAAATAGGAAAAATAAGAGGATAGAGCATAGTGAATTTATTGAGGCAATTTAAACTGCATGTTTCATACTTCAAATTAGTATTGTTAGGTGACTCTGTGAAGGTAAAATCTCTAGCTTTGAGAAATTTGTATTGTGAAATGGTTTCCTTATCAGTGAGGTTAATGAAGATGTCAGCAAATGGGATGAGGCTTTGCTAAATGGAATTACTTTCACCTCCAATCCAACTTAGAAAAGGTGTTAATCAGTATATTAATCTTATCAGCAGCTGAGAAGGAGGATTTAGATGTGGCCATTTTCTGCTCTTCATTAGAAAACCCTGAAAAGATAATTATTCTCAAAATCCATATTATCCATACTATAAAAAACTCTCTTTTGCTAAAGTAAAGACTTTTGTAAAGCAAAGACAAAGATGGATAGATGGGCCAAAAAAGAGTTTTGAAAGAAGAAATGAGAGTGGAAGATATTTACAACAGATTTAAGGTTTTTTGGAGTATTCAAGATGTAACAAAGTAAAGTATATCAACCAAACATAATCACAGAAGCAGATCTACCGCAACAAAAAAGTCATTAATTAAATACAACTAACACCACAACTGAAAATGATATGCACGTTTGAAAATGTCAAGATGTAAAAGAGAAGCAAAGTTTGTTGTTACAAAGTTTATTACCCTGGTCATACAGTGTGAACACAAAAAGTAGAGGAGAACCCCTACCTCACACTATTTACAAAAACAAATTTCATTAAGACTGCAGACCTCAGAGTTAAAAGTGAAATGATGAAGTTTATGGAAAATAAAGTAATAGAACATATTTCTCATATAAGGTAGTAAAAGATTTTAAATAACACACAGAATCATCCAAGAATAAAGAAAACAATTGATAATAGGAATTTTATCAAATTAAGAATCTTTGTTAAGAAACTTGACATGAAGAGACTAAAAAAGCAAGTCACAGAGTGGAGAAGATTAGGAAATGCACATAATAAATTAAGAACTAATACCAGAATATACAGTTTCTATAAATCAATAATAAATGACAAAAAACTCAATTTTAAAAGATTGATCAAAGTCTTCAACGAAGTCTTTAGAATAAAAATTATTCTGGCGGGGGACAGTGGCTCACATCTGTAATTCCAGCACTTTGGGAAGCTGAGGCCAGGAGTTTGAAACCAGCTTGGGCAACATAGTGAGATCCCGTCTCTTAAAAAAATAAAAAAATAGATATTATGGCATGCACCTGCAGTCCTATCCACTTGGGAGGCTGAGGTGGAACAATCTTTTGAACTCAGGTATTTGAGGTTACAGAGAACTATGAATGTGTCACTGCACTTCAGCCTGGGTGACAGAGCGAGACCCTGTCTTTACTATTAAAAATATATATGTACTTGATCTGCAATAAGTATGTGAAAAGACACTCAACATGATTAGTTATTAAGGAAATGTAAATTAACACCATAATCAGATACTATCACATATCAGAATAAATATTAAATGACTGGCAGTACCAACTGTAGATGAGGATGTGCAGTAACTGGAATTCACACACTTTCATATACTGTTTGTAATAATGATGAGAGTTTGAATTGGTACAACTATTTAGAAAAATGACAGTATTTATTGAAGTTGGAGATACAAATACCCCATAATGCTGCAATTCTACTCATAAATATATACTAATAGAAATGTGTACAAATATCCTGAAAAGGCATATACAAGGATGCCATTGGCATCATTAATTACATCAGCCCTCAAATGGAAACAATTCAAATGCCGATAAACATTAGAATGATTTTTCTTGATGGTGGTATATCCACACAATTGAATATATAAAACAGAATAAAAGAATATACTGATAAATACAATATGTATAGTTCATAAAAGCCAGACAATAAAGAGAGTTTTAAAGTCTTCTTAAATTTTACATATATCCAGTCAAGGAGAGGAAAAACTAATCTATGCTAAGTAGAGTCAAAATAGTGCTTATTCCTAGGGTGGGAGTTTGAAGCGGTAACTGGAAGGTAGATTAGGGGATTGCTGGTAATGTTCTGTATTTTTACCTGGGAGCTGCTTAAATAGGTATAGTCACAGAAAATTTCATTGAGTTATATAGTTAAGATTTTTGCACTATATGTATGCTGTAATTCAACATGAAATTGTCAGTTAAATAGAAAAAGAGTAGCTAAATTGCAGATAAGTTGCAGGATAGGTACAATGGACAAATCTGAAGACAAAGTTAAGAAAAATTATAAGAACATTGATATTTTCCATCTGAAATATTAAAAACAGGAATGAAATGTCAAAAAATCATAGAAATAAGTTAGAGTGTTTTAGTTTTCTTTAATATATATTGAAGTATAAAAACTTCAATATTTCTTTCTTTCAGAGGCTAAATCTAGAATGAATGTAAATAATATAGGCAACCAAGAGGAATTATTATCATCTCAGATAACAGGAAATCTTGAGGTAGGGATTTTTTAGTTACTTAATTTATTGATCCAATAACATTATCAAGAGCTCAGTTTTATTTCTTCTTTTCACATTCATATGTTGCATTATAACTGGAATAATTAAAACACCCTGATGAGCTAAAAACAATCAAGATTCACATTTGGGTTCTGGAGACATCCTTTCTCCTTTGGGGTTCATATTTCTAAGGGAAAGAGTGAACAAAATCAGAGTTCTCTTAACAGAAGAAACGTTTCCAGAAACACACTGGACACCACTTCCACACATAGAATGACCTGCAATATACTACAAATCTCCCCTGTTGACAGGGCAGGAGCCTTCTGAGCATCATTTTAGACCTCGATAAGCCTCTGGGGATTTTTGTTTCTTTTAGTAAGGTGGTTTTCTTCTTTAGGGAGTTTGTCGCTTTGCTAGAGATTAATTTATCCTTATAAGATAAATTAGACAATATTAGAAGCTGCTAGATGCATTTACACATTTATTTTCACAAAACCTTATGAGGTAAGGTAGGTAAAAGTGAAAAGTTGCTCAGAAGGGTTAAATGCCTTACCGAATATCACTTAGCTGATTATGGATAATCCAAAGCTTATTGTGTCAAAGATGAAATCCTCAAACCAGAGACCAGAAAACTTATCTATAAAGTCACAAATAGTAAATGTTTTACATTTTGTGGGCCATACAATCTCTGTTGTACCATGATAGAATCTCACTTAATTATATATCATGGTAGCATGAAAATAGCAACAGACAACATATAAATGAATAAGTGTAGCTGTGCCCAGTAAAACTCTATTTTTAAAACAAGTGGCAGGTTTTACCCAAATGTATTAATGAGAAAACAATAAGACAAATGTAGTCTGCAGAACATTCTACAATAACACTGGCCTGAACTCTGAAAAAAAAAGGTGTGTTGGGCAGAAAGACTGTTCTAAACTAAAGGACACTAAAGAGACATGATAACTAAAGGCAATGTGTAATCTCTGAATAATTTTTTTAACTTTTAAAATTTTGATTGAAGATGTAATATTTTAACGTGTTTAAAAATGTCAAAGAATACAAAATAAAACATAGCTAAAAATAAGTCTCCCTTCCACTATCAGACTCAAATTTCTCAGCTCTCCTGCTTCAGAGGTAGCCATCATGAACTAGTTTATTATGTTTGACCGAACTCTTCATGAAAGAATCTTTCTAAAAAATGCACCTACAAGGAACAGTACGTATAACTGGGGGATACCTAAATAGAAGCTGTATAAGAAATTATGTGATCTTCCTGATGTTAAAATTCTTAGGTGGGCTCACGGTATTATGACTATGTAGAATAATGCCCTTTTTCTTTTGAGATAGTATTTAGGACATAAAAGAAAAAAAAAAGGTAGCAGGTCATGTTTGTCTTGTACCTGTAATTTGCTGATCCTCACTTTAAATTTCAATAATATTCTTGGTTCCCACCACATATCTTAAAGGCAATACTGCTTCCAAAAGTTTTATGTATTTATTATCTAGCACTCATATATGTGATGATCAGAAAGAATCTAATCATGACCAACATTGCCTTAAAATTCCCCTCAGCTTCAATAAACTTTGGATAGATTTCTGACAGTAAGCCCCTGATCTCTCTTAGAGGATATACTTTAGAAAACTTGCAACTATAAATTCTTCCTCTGCCCCTTTGCAATGTACATCTTCTACAATCCAGGAATGTTTTTCTCAAGGATCTGTGAGTCATCCACTTGAAATGTAATCAACAGGAAAAATAGGGCTCCTATCTCCCAGTGGCTATGGGAGGGCAGCAGTCTAATTTCAGTAAATGCTAATTCACAAAAGGGAATGGCCTAATAACATTAAACAACCTCCCCACTTTTAGACCTTTCCACTAGCTCATCTTAGCCCTTAAAAACTCTGTGGCCTTTTGTTTCTCTGAATTGTGTTCAGCCTTGCTCCCCTGTTGCAACAGTTTTGAATGAAATATTTCTTGTCATTTTTAACAAGTTCTTAGTACAATTTACCATTTACTTTATACCCCAAACTATCTATGCAGTTCTTAGTACAATTTATCATTTACTTTATATCCCAAACTATCTATGCCTACTGGGTCTCAAACTACAAACTAATCAAACTAGATTGATTAGTAACTGTAATTCAAAATCAATCTAATTCAATTTACAGCATGCATATAACTATAGTTGATTTTTTTTCCATAAAACTAAGGTCTTAACACTGACATTAACAAAAGAAAAATAGATTCCAGTGAAGTCTATATATGCCCTCGATTTATGTCTATGCACCACAAAAGCTGAATTTTCTGAATAATTGTTTATTTATCAAAAATCATGTCGGTCACCTGCTTCCCAGATAAGGCATCTTCATTTTAAATAAGACCAACTTGAAAGTGACATTGCAGAAAATTCTGGTAAAACATGTTGGGATAGTCAGGTTTTCCTTTGTCCGCCATGTCACATGACATGTAGTCTTTCCTGTTGGTGAGTCCAACCTTTGAAAATGAACCAGAAACAAGCCCTATTCTACTAGTAGGCCTTATGATCACCAAACATGATCTAAATTCAGAAAAAAATAGATCTTTAAATCATTAACTTACTGAAATGCTTCAGTTTCAGCAAAAGTCAGACAACTGACTTTTCTGTCTTCACTTAACTCTTACACTAGCCCTGGAGTTGTTTTCCTTTCTCTGACATCTGAGAGATGTTTTTTTTAAAAAAAATAAGATGTCAAGGACAGGAAATGCATGGTAGAAGAGAACAAGCCCATCTGCTGACTGTGCATTGCACAAAATGTCAGCAAAAGGGTCAGCGGCAGCTGAAACCCACTACCCAAGCTTTGATCTTGGCCTATAGACCACATCTACCTGGTGGAAAATATGACTTCTTCTTCACACAAAGGCATCCTTCATTTTCCTAGCCATGTTCCCTGGAACTACAATTGTCTAAAAGTTTGTTTCTACTTTGTCCTTTTTCTAGAGAAATCTCTCTTCTTCTCACTCTCCATTTTAAACAACAACACATGTTAAGTATAGCCCTGGATTTGGATGAATAGCTGCCATCTCTAGACCCAGCTATAGCCCAATTTATGCTACGGAGTGCTTACGTACTATAAATGGGGGGAAAAATCTGAGCTCAGAAACCTGCATCCTTGTGCTTAGTTTTCCAGTAACCCTCCAAAGAACTTTATACTTGACTCTTAAACTTCTTCATGATAATGATGATGCCAGAGGTCTAACACAGTTTAAATTAGATAGAATGACAGATTTAAAAAAGTACTTTGAAAATGTTGCAAAAAAAAAAAAATCATTATTGCTAGGTGAAGGAGATTTTGGTTTTGGTTTGGTTTGGTTGGTTGGTTTTCTTTGACATATTTTTTGATTCTCAACTATTTCTATGTGCTTTATATCCTATCACCCCGCTCTCAACTCAGCATCAAAGTCAGTAACTGCAGTCACTTTTCCCATTAGTAGTCACAGTATGTTTAAGTTTGTTGTTGATTTTAATTTCAGTAGAATTTTAACAAAATAATTGCAACTTTATATAGTTTGCATGGTGATTGAGAGGATTATGTTTACTTTGAGGATATTTTTTAGTCTGCGGATAACAGACAATAAACAAGAATAAATAAAACTACCACAGCAACTTATTGAGAACAGTGAGAAGAGAAATGATTGGGAAATTTCAGTGAACCCCAATGTGTTGAGTTTCCTAAATATCCATATCAAAGCTATGCAGCCATTTATTCTCACAGTATAAGACAGGTAGGAAATCTCATGGTCCTGGCCATTTTGCTTTATCCACTCCATATTCCTCAAAACCACTGAGAAACGTTGAGTGCAATCTCTCAGATACTGTTTTTCTTCCCTTCGTGTTCTCTAATTCCCTTCTTTGGTTAGAGATTAATTAATTTTATGGTTGGTACATTTATTTGAATATTCTTTTGGGCTAGGAAGCATAAGTTAATTTAATATATATAATGATGATGAAGGTCAACACAGGTTTTTTTTATTTTTGTGGATTTTTAAAAAATAATAGATGCATGTACTGATCTCTCAATATCTGCCATGCACTGGGATGAGCCCTCTACCTACATGGTATCATTTAATTCTCACAACTATCCTCTAGGAAAAGAAGCATATTCTTTACTATTTTGTGTCAAAATGAGGCCAAGTGATGATAAGGAAGAGATCACCGGATGAAAATGTCTGTACTCTTTTGTACCACTCCATAGGGCAATTTGCACTCTCGCCTACCCCAGAATACAATACTGGAGGATAATCATTAGTCCATAAGGTAGAAATGCACGGGAGCACTGAGTTTTAGCCCAAATCTCTTACTTTAATCCTAGTTCCTTAAGCTTACTTTGCCTTGCAGGGCCCCAATCCTCACATGTCAACTAAAGAAATGGATTTTCATCTTTAATGTTTCATTCAGCTAGAACAGTCCATGAATCAATGGGAAGTGTGACTTTAACTTTATTAACAATTATTTTAAAATCTTTTATTTTCCTTTTTTAAGTATTCTACAAACTATACACAGAAGGTTAATAAAACAAACAAACAAACAAACAAACCTGTGTATACATTTTGAGAAATCTCCACAGACTTTATTTCCAAAACAACAACAACAAAAATCTGTATATGCATTTTGAGAAATCTCCACAGACTTTTCTTAGTTTTCATGGAAATTACAGTAGAAAGCAGCTCTTATTTGCAAGCTAGACTTCCAGTTACAGATTTTGTCATGGAAATTTAAAGTTTGGTTATGGAAAAGAAAAGTAAAAAAAGGAAAACCAAGTCCTTTAAATAAAGGATTCCATTTGAATTCATGAATGTAATGGATTCTAGAAAGTAAAATGAGTAACAGCATCTTGATTTATCTTCACCTCCACTTATCTGAATCCCATTTTTCTTTTTCTAACATGTTAAGGTTGGATGTAGAAAATTCATTTCTTTTGCATGTTTGGTTTCTAAGTAACACCAGAAAAAAAAAAGAGTAATGAAACTTTAGCTACTTGTTTTAAAAAGTTTATCTATGGCCGGGCACGGTGTCTCAAGCCTGTAATCTCAGCACTTTGGGAGGCCAAGGCTGGCGGATCACCTAAGGTCAGGAGTTTGAGACCAGCCTGGCCAACATGGTGAAACCCCGTCTCTACTAAAAAAAAAAAAAAAAAAAATAGGCATGGTGGCACACGCCTGTAATCCCAGCTACTCAAGAGGCTGAAGCAGGAGAATTGCTTGAGGCCAGGAGATGGAGGTTGCAGTGAGCCGAGATTGTGCCATTGCACTCCAGCCTGGCCAACAGAGCGAGACTCCATCTGAAAAAATAAAATAATAAAATAAAATAAAATAAAAACTTTATCTATATTGTTTTTATGGAGTAGCTATCTAAAGTGATTAACAGAGGATTAATAAAAATTGTTATGTATTAACCACTATGCTTTCTCAAAGACAAACTTACAGCAAATTTAGTTTACAGATCCTAAATGGCTTTTGTTTGCAATTCTAGAATCAGGCAACACTTCATTTTATAAAATACAATGAGTGTTCTGATGAGCTGTGCAGGGCAGACTGGCTTTATAGACAGAAAGGGCTGAGGAAAGCAGAAACAGAGAAAAAAAAAAGTAGGTTTATCATTTCAAAGTTATTTTTCTTATAATGGTTAGAGCAGAAGGGACTTTCTCATCATATTGGCTAAAACTGGCTGCAAGGGGTTTAAGCTGTTCTCTGTCTCATCCTCTTTCTCTCTCTCTCCTCATTTCTCAGAAGGTCAGACAGACAACATAGTTTTGGCTTGGTGGCATGGAACTTAAGCATGAGTAATTTCATTTTGGTTTGGCCTGTTGGGCATAATGGAGGAACTCAGTCCAAACGAATGGCCTCATATAAAATTTATTTAACAAAGTATAACAGTATTTAGAATGAGTGAAATCAATGCCCCTGGCTGTAAGACAGCAGGACACATTTCTGCCCTCTGCCTGTTTATTATTATTTCAGGTAGGACTTATGATTGACAGTTAGGAGGCAGTCTGTTCAGGCAAAAACACCTAACCCTTTCAACCCCACTGCCCTCCATATCCAAGGGTACTTTCCAAAGGATCAGCTCTGGGAAAATTCTGAAATGAGGAAAAATAAGGCTCTGACATGTGGGCCTCCTTTCACTTCTTCCTTGCTGTCCTTAACTCCTTTTTGTCTGGTGTCAAGAATGCAGGTGAGGTGTCAGAGCCCCAGCATCACAAAGTGGTCGGGTACTATGGTAATAATAATTTACCAATAACAGTATAGGTTTGAAAAGGAAAGTTTTAGTAGATAGAACACTGCAGAAGAGTGCAGTGTGGTGCCTCAGCAAGAGAGGACGGAGTGTGGTACAGTGGATTTGTTCTTAGGAATATTCATGGACCTTAAAGCGGGAATTTAAAGTAAATTTAAACATATTAGTCACATAGGTTATAATAAATGGCTATATTTGTAGATATTTTGGTGCCTTAACAAGGGTTGCACAATGAGTTGTCACATGCATGCATTCCAGAGATGTATAGCAATTCTGGATATACATATACATATATATATATATATATATTTATACAAACACACACACATATTTTTAAAGCCTGATACCAGATGCCAGCATTAGATAATAGGGAGTCTAATTAATTCTAAATTCCTCAGATAAAAATTTTTGCCTCTGGATGGTCTGCTTGATGGCAACCAGGTGATTTGTGCTGTCCTCAAAGAGCCTTCTCTAATTCCTAATATCAGAAAGAAAAAGTGAATTCTTCCTGTTCACACTTCTTTACTTTGACAACTCCCATTTATCATCCAAAATGTTGCTTATATATCACCTTTTCTTGGAAAAATTCCTGGAACCACCAACACAAAGTATTTTCTCTGCCTCCATGGCTTGCTTGTTCATGTTTCTATTATAGCAATAATGATCCTGTATTGTCATTTATCTGGTAAATATTTATTAAATGTACTAGGCACTGGGAATATAACTGGAAAAAAGAGAGAGTTCTTATCCTTGTGCTGCTTGAAACAAGCTCACAAAATATATATACGTACACATACACACACACACAAACACACACACACATATACATACACATAACACAATGACTTAAGAGACCAAAATAGACACCACTTAATCAACTAAGGTGAAACCAAAGGTTAAGGAAACAAAATTACCTAACACACTGGTGGAGGTTTCAGGCCTGGCTGGCATGGCAACTTTCTAAATTCCTACAACTAAACTCTAGGAGCTATCAGCTCCAGTCTATAACCCAGACAACTACAACTCTGTTTGGACAGAGAAGCTGCCTTATAAACCTTCTTTTCTGATAAACTGTTGCAAACCTTGTCAGTTTTAGTCAGCTTATGGAGTCTACACACAAATTGTCTCTGTGTCCTATAGTTCACCTTTTGACCTAAAAAGTCAAATTGCATCCATTTAATACTGAGAATACCCCTAAGTGAACATGGTATGTATGTTACATACATGTTTACCATTGAACATGTGCTGTGCTCCCCTCACAAGTATGTACACCTTTTTTTCCCCTCAAATCTGCTGACTATGTATGATATTGGCCCTGTGAGGCATAAAACCCAACCTGTCTTTCCCGTCTTTGAAGATAAAACATCTTTAATTCCCACTGGAAACTTTCTTTTCTTGGCTGCCTTACAATCTGGGCTAGCCTTTCTGCCAACTACCAAGCCTGGTAGCTATTATTTAACATCATGTTTCTGGAAACTGTGATACAAAGAACAATCTATAGCCGATCAACAGCTTACGTTATTTAAGTGTAAATTCCTGGTAGACAACTTAGGAATTGCTTTTCCTTTTCCTTTAAAAGTTCACTTGTAATGGCTGCTAATCAAAGTGTATATTCAAGGAAATTTGAATCCGTGCTCTCAGGTTTCAGTCTTCAACTTGGCCCAAATAAATCCTCTACTTAAGTTTGTCTCAGCGTCTTCCTTTTAAGCAGACTATATGTATGAAAAATAACACAAAGTGGGTGAATGATCTGACACCAAGAAACAAGGCTCATGGGCAATGAATCTTCTTTTGAAAGGAGAGTTCCTCTGAAGAGGTCAAGTGAGGAGGCAGGACTAGACTCTGAAGACGGGGCTCATACACCTGGACAAAATTGAGGACTTTCTAAAACAGGGACAGGGCAGAAGCAACTTTCCATAAGACAGGCCCACTAATGTGCCAGCTCAGTTTACCATTGCCATGGCAATACCTAGAAGTTACCACCCCTTTCTATGGTGATGACCTGAAGCTACCGCTGTTTTCTAGAAATTTCAGCATAATCCACCCCTTAATTTGCATGTAATTAAGAGTAGGTATAAATATGACTGCAGAAGTGACTTTGAGCTGCAACTATGGGCACACTGCCCATGTGGTAGTCTTTCTCTGGAAGTAGCAATACCTCTGCTGCTGTTGTACACTGCCACTTCAGGAAAAGTTGCTGTCTAACACTACTAGCTTGTCCTTGAATTCTTTTCTGGGTGAAGCCAAGAACCCTCTTGGTCTAAGCCCCAATTTGGGAGTTCACCTGCCCTTCATCAAAAATAATTCAGATATTTTTTCATTCTCTCATTAGTCTCAGAAGATGGAGAAATATTTGTATTGCTCTATTTCTACTTTTCATATTGCCCTAAATAAATATTGAATGATGAAATGACAGCATGATCTATTCAAACTTAATTATAAAACCTATGATGAATTATCTCTCCAACTAAATTATTTTTATGGGTATATGTGGAAGCTCAACTCAGTTATTTACCAGACAAAGAAACTTGCGGTAAGTGCTTTTCCTATCTGAGGCTCTTTCCCTTATTGTTTACAAAGGAATTATAATACATATATTGAAAAAATTATTTTGGAAATGGCACAGCATGTTGAAAGTACTTGACAGCTATTATATAATTTATTTTATGATGATGATGATGATTAATTTTAAGCAGCCACACTGAGAACAAGCCCTGTGTAGTTGGTGCATGTGGGAAGGTGCACTGCCTGTGTAACTAGAAGAGCTGAATGGGACGCCCCTTCACCATGCTGCTCCTGCTATGCCTATTAGCTTCCTGTAGACTTTATATGGAAAATGGGAATGTCAATTTGTGTAGCCACATGGTACTCTTTGACGTAGGTCTGGGGACTTTCCCCTAGACAGAAGAGTAAGGAACAAGTCACCAGTGTGTAGCTTAGAAAACAGGTCCTCAGCACAAGTTTCTTATGTATTTCAAAAGTTATTGTTTCTCTGTAATGGAGTTTCTAGCACACAGTTCCTAGCAGCACAGACACTTTGTGAGGTGGCAGCGCTGGTGTGGTGTCTTGCCTTTCCCCTGACTACATTGCTCCTGGCGTCATTGTTCCTTTCTGTATAGCATCCAAGACTGATTCTTTAGCATTCCTGCAGATTCCATGAGATATGTAATATTTGCATGCAATTAAAAACCCTATTCATTTCTCTTTAATCATTTCAACACTCTATGAATAAGTACTTTAATAGGTCTTCATTTTACAAATGAGGAAACAGGCTTAAAGATGTGAGGTAATATGCCCAGGGCCCACAATTATAATATTGCAAAAACTGTATATTAATATCAGTCTCTTGACCTCAGACCTTAGAGCCAGAACTTCCCACCACATAAACATACCATTCTTTTCCTCTCCATTCATCTTTTCCTACAGCTATGAATTATCGTGAAAAGTGGAAGCATAACATATTAACCTATCACTAATAAAATTTTTGGTAGGTATGAATCCACTCTTGCTGAAGCATTTCCAGTGACATGTTGCTCTTTTGCTCTTGGAGGGCCTTATCTATTTATAGATAGACAGATAGATAGATATTTACACACACAAACATAATATAAATCATATATACATACATATGCTCATAGTTGTTAAATTCTATCTATTGAGTATTATATAGTAATCCATTTAATATTATACTATACAATGTTAACGTTAATATTTATTATATAATAGTTTCGTATTTTAAAGCTAATAAAATTTATATTAAATATGAAGTTGACATTTTGAAAGTACCAAAGTTGATTCTCCCAACTGCATTCTGGGACAAAATGATGAAGAAATTCAGGTTAGAAGAACTGAGAAAACTTGAGAAATGCCTTTTAGCTAAGTATAAATAAATAAATAACATTTTTAGACCCAAAGTCCAGTGTTATTTTCATGTTGCATTAAACATTTCTCTTTTATATTGAGTGAAGATATTTCTCTTCATAATTCCTAACCTTTAATCCTAGTCCTCAACTTAAAAGCAATCTTCCATGTTTTTCTGCAATACAATAGGCCCTAGAAACATAAATATTGAATGAATATTGGCTACAAAGAAGCTGTTGGACAGACTAAAAATTCTCTGCTTCTTTATTTTTATATTCAGTTGAGCGTGGTATTTAGAATGTCATCATTCAGTGGTGTCTGAGCTGCTTCATAAGAGTGAAACTTGCAAAATATATTGGAGACAGAATTGACTTCAGGATATGAATGGAACTTTTTTTTTAACGTATCTAATATCAATATATTTTCTAGCATATGCCTCATCTTACAAAATTGGTGAAGGTGGCAAGGAAAAAAATCCTAGTTACAAAATACAACCTGCTTATATACCTAAGGAAAAAAAAAACTGCTTCTAAAAGAGTTCTCATTTGTGTCATCCTGGTTAAATCAAGTCTTCTTATGAATACAGAATAGAAGGGCAGGCATCCCAAAGGAAAGAACGGAGAGTCTTGTTCCATTTCAGAGAACTCTATGTTAAAGGCTATGTGTCTGCTCAAAAAATTAAAATAAAGTTCCCCAGTCCTGTGCAGCACATAAACAGCTCTGGCCATTTGTTTCATGGATGGGATTTCTAGTGGGTAAGGACAACGAAATATGTGTGAATCTAGAAATTTCTCCTTGAATTTTCTGGGCTCAGGGAGTAAGTACTATGTGAAGGTATATAAATGTACTCAGGTCTTGCCAATAGATAAAAGCCTTCCTTTCAAATTGCAGTTGCTTGTACAGCACTTTCCCTTACAATATAGTAAATCGACCAGTCAACGAAAGAAGTGGTGGTACCCCAAACGGCACAGGCCTCATGTTCAAATAAGTCTATTTCTCAGTTTTGTATCCTGGAGTTCCAATAGAGATTGTGACAACAGGATGATTTTGCGGACCTCACAGAAAACAAAATAACAAAAGGAAAATGATCAGACTCCTTGTGCAAGATGCTAGCAGATGCTGTGAGTAGAGGCAGAATAGCAGCAGCCAGCCATGTTCTGCTACTGGCGAAGTTTAGCTAATCAATATGGGTTTGTATCAGGGAGTTCCTGAGTCCAGGTGCGAATTTAGAAACCACATTAGGAAATGTTTTTCTTCATTATATTTGCCCTATTGCTGAAGCCAAAAAATAAAATACGGTCAAGAAGTAATACAATTAGGGGATTTTAAACATTTTCAACTTTATTTACTGCCTTATATAAAGTAAAACAGAAATAACCCTGATTTTCTCCCAAGTTTTTATTACAGAATGAGTAGTAAAATTTTATATTCAACACTTACATTGTAAAACATGCAATGAATATGTTTCAGCAAACAGTCTACATACTTCACTCCTCTAGGAAGAATGGAAATAATTTGATTTTCTCTAAATGTAATGTTAAATGCTTCTTAAAATACTTGAAAAACACTTAGAAGTTTAAACCTATATATATGGTGTTTTTTACCCATTGGCAGGAAGAAGAAGGCATTATAATTTAAGGCTAAGAATTGTGATTTTAGAATTTATCTACATAAATTGGCAATCGGTATTCCTTGGAAGCTTTTAAAAGTTATTTATATTACCCGCTTTTTGGAGACTCCAGTTGAGTGCATCCAATATGCTCCCCTGCCAAATGATGTCAAGTTCCCCAACTCTACTATTAGTGAGTACATGAAGCAATAAGAATCCTCAAGCATTCCTGCAGTGAGTGTAAATTGGTAAAGCACCTTGAAAAACAGTTTGGCATTAGCTAGTTAATTTGAAGATGCTCATTTTCTATGACCCAACAATTCAACTCCAGATATGTACCCTCAAGACATTCGTGATTATTGCACAAGGAGATGTGAGCAAAAATGCTCAGAGCAGCATTGTTCATAGAGCTTCAACTTGGAAGCTATTGAAATGGTCATCATTAAAATGAATAAATTGGAATGTAGTCATTAATGGAATACTACACAACAATGAACAGGAACAAACTACAACTACTATGTAACAAATGAATCCCAAAAACATGTTAAACAAAAGATATAGGCACAAAACAATACACACAGTGTAATTCCATTCACATAAGTTTCAACCTTAGAAAAAATCCATTATCTATCTATCTATGTATCTATGTTTTACACATTTATATATGTATAAATGGCCATTTGTTTTTTAGATGGGAATTCTAGGGGCTAGACTATAAAATCTTTGTGAATCTGGAAATGTCTACTTATATCATCTTTACATATACATTTATATATGTAAAACATGTATATATTTAAAATGCATATGCTTATAAAGAAAATAAGTAAATTATTATCACAAACATAGAATATGGTTAAACCAAAGAAAGACAATCTATTGTTCACTGTTTGGTTTTACCTTCTTTTATTTTAAGGACTTTGTTTTCCTTCCTTTAGCTACTTGCAGCCCCCTCTTTGGTTCCTATTTCCCACCATAAACTATATTCAACTGGTCAAAATACTATGTGGTACCTACATACTGTTCAATAGTAATGCCTTCTTTTCTCTGTATTATTACACACAGTCCAGTGCTTATTCACCTGCCGGGGAATGAAAAGTAATGTTGAATCCCACTATGTGAAATCACACCAAATAGCACTTTCAGATCAAATAAACAAAACACCCACAACTTCAGCTGGAATTTGTGCCAGCCTCCAAATAGCCTCTCTGAGTTTAGGTAGCTTCTGTCTGAGAAATGTTGCATCAATATAAAACATATCACATGTTTTGTTACCTTTCTGTTTTTAAGATCTCTATAAAGGTAGTAGGAAGAAGCCAGAGTAGTTTCCTTTATAAAGTGAGCAGGCATGGGGTATTTGATGTTATCTTCTTGCTGTGGCTGATTAACACACTAGGGAAGAAATGTGCAAAATGAGCAGTCAGGACTGTTTCCATGGTTGCCAAGCTCTTTGCATAGAACAAAAGTAAGGCAGCCTCAGAAGGTCCCTCAGTCCTGGAGTTCAGCATGATTGAGTGCTGGAAATGTACAAGGGGGTATTCCTTGCAAAAGACAGTTCACATATAATCTTACAACCTCATTAAAGCAAATTGGTTACAAAAATATTTTAAATGAAATATAACAATGTTAATGCAATGCTTTTGTGTAGCAAAATTTTATAGAGGACTTTATAGGGGGAGGAAACTAACCTTTACCATATGCATTCTACTTCCTTGGAACAAGCTAGACCATCTTTATACCAGGAGACATAATTATCCTTCCTCTTGTTTTAACAGATATGAAACCGAGACTCAAAAAGATCAAAGCACCTTTCCCAAACAAACACCTGAGGCTTTTTCTCTCCAAACTCAAAGCCAGGGCTGCATCTGCCACAGACTCAGATATGCAATTGGCCTCTGTGAGATAGGCCATGTGATATTCTGACAAAATGTGTTTCTGTACAGTATTATGATTAAGATGCTGTCCATAACATTTCTTATGTCCCCTCAATATTGATTCAACCTTGAAAGAAATTTTTGCACCAGTATCAGAAATAGTTGTGTATATTTAGAAAAATTAGTTGGTTTTCATGTTATAAATTCTGTAGATTTTATAAATGTCCTACACTTGTTTTTCAATGGCCTCAAGAAAGCTTAGAGCAAAATTTGGGACCTAGTTCAAGCTCTGAAGTTTATGGTTTACTCCCCAGCTCCCAACTAAAAACAACCCACCCTTACTTTCCTTTTATCTGGTTTTTCTCATCCGTATACTTTACATTTCTTTCTGCTGAATTGTATATATTTATGTCAGCAGAGACAAGACAGTATGAATAATATTTTCTTTAAAGACAAACTTCATGTTTCCTCTCTTTATACATTTTATAATCAGGTGGTTATTCTTAGAGAATAACTTTTCTCCTCATATGTCTTATTTTTTCTTCCACACTTCTTTAAAAAGGGTCTAATATGTTGCACTATAGAGATATCTGCTAGGGACAACTAAAAATCCATTCTGTCTTGTTATATCTTTGTCAGAAGAATGAATTCTGTTCTGTCTCAATCTGACCTCTCAAATGTTATGCTTTGACAGACTCTCTCTCCTTCACCTGTCAGACAGTCCTGGAAATAAGAGGAGAAAAACACTCAGTAAATCCCTCAGGATTCATCTATATTACAGAAGAAAAATCAAATGCAAGATTGAAATATAATGATTCTGTTTCCTTCCCTGGGAAATGTACAGAGCAGGGATTCACAAAATCTTGTTCTTTATGTTTTGGGGGACACATGAAGCTATCATATTGGTTATGTTTAAATTCTAATCCTCAGCAAAAGAAGCTCTGTCATCCTCTGGTTGCTCTCTTCTGTCACCCTCCTCATCACACACAATGGGTCATGCCAACAACAGGTCATATATATTACTGTGCCAACACATTTTTTTTTATGTAAGCAACCGTAACCCTATGGGATCCAGAACATTTAGGACCAGTTTCACTATAAAACGTTGGGAAATTTTATCTATATCTTTCATATCAGTTTGCCCGAACCATCATATGGGTCAGACATAGATGTCTTCTATGAAGAACAATGAAATACAGTCTATATAAGATTTATGTGTCATCAAAATTCCTCCTTTTTAACATTTCACAGTTTTTTTTCCACTTGTAGCACCCGCTACTCCTGTTCCCTTTTTTGGAGCAGCATATAACCAAGGACAAAATCAGAGAGCTGTACCGAGAGAGACAAGAGGAGTCATATTTAGGCTCTGCTTCGGTCTTTGAGAGCTTATACTTTTTTCCACTTCTAAGTTCTCAGCACCCACTCAGTGCACTAAAAATATTTCTACAGACTGGGTGCAGTGGCTCACGTCTGTAATCTCAGCACTTTGGGTGACTGAAGCAGGCAGATCACTTAAGGTCAGAAGTTCAAGAGCAGCCTACTATTTTTAGTAGAAACCCAGTCTCTACTAAAAATATAAAACTTAGCAGGGCATGGTGGCACATGCCTGTAATCCCAGCTACTTGGGAGGCTGAGGCAGGAGAATTAGTTGAACCCAGGAGGTGGAGGCTGCAGTGAGCGGAGACCACACCACTGTACTCCAGACTGGGCAACAAAGCAAGACTCCATCTCAAAAAAAATAAAAGTTTCTGCATAGAACTGAGTTTTACTCAATACCTTAACATCAGTGATAGCACTTGGAGTAATCCCTGTTTCAGCCCCAATATATGAGCTGATTTCCAAAATCATGTAATTAGTGCATGTCAGCTCAGAGAGGACAAAACGAAGCATTTGAGGTCAAAGACAGAATGCAGGATGGTAGAAGCCTGCAAACGTCTTGAATGCAGAAGATCAAGAAAGAGCAAGTATGCACATGTAACTTCTCCCATCTACTGCTCTTGGGAATGCAAAACTCTTCAGACCCATACGGAGAATACTCCTAGCTTATATCATTAGGATTTCTCAGGCTGTATCTAGAAAATGTCAGATTCAAAACACTGGGAATTCTGGAATTAGAAAAAAAAATGTATTAGTGCATAAGCACATGAGGACAGATTTTTCAATTTAATTGAGCACCAGCTATTTATTTCTCTCTCTCTGTCTTTCTCAATCTTTCTCCCTCCTTGCTCCTGCCCCTACCACATAGAAAGACACAGATTCTTAATTTGTAGATGAGGGAAAACTGAAGGGATTAAGGTTTTAATTAACTTATTCAAGGTCCCGTGACCTGAAAATTGTGGAACTGAGATTCAAATCACTCCAAAATAAGCTGGGTTTTTATAAATTTAACTATTGGGATTTTGGTCAAATCAAATTTAAGTGATCAGAGCATTAAAACTCGTTCACTGAATTGGATGCTTGAATCACCAGTGAAACCATCTTTACCCTAGATTACAATGAACCCACTCTTTTCTCCTTTCCTCTATTATTTTCAGAACACTTCCTCTCTTTCTTTCCTGGTGAAACCATATTTTTCTTATACTCCTAAAGTGTTTCCCCTACACTTTTGAAGCAGGAAAGTTTCCCTTGTTCCCCTCACAGGGCATGGGATAGGGGTATGGCTCACTTCTTCAGTGCCCCGCTGCTCAAACCTCTAGGAGAGCATACAGGCAGGCAGGCTGTGGGGTTTGGCAATGTCTAGAGGTGAATGTTGACAGCTCCTGAAGCCCCAGTGGGCATGTGTTACAGGGTGCTCTTTTAGTTTGCCTATAGGCAGCTTGTGTTATCCAGCTCGATTAGACCCTCTACCTTGTCGCAAGGACAGAGGGCTTTCTGTATCCCAGGTTCTTGCCTTGGTGTACCGCAAGAATCGGATCACACGTTGGCTTGGAGAATGAGAGCAAATTTTCATTGAGTGGAAGTATCTCTCAGCCAACGGGGGAGCCAGAAGGGAGATGATTTTCTCCTGGAGTTGGGCTGCCTGGTGGCACGGCTCTCCTATGACTACCGGGTCAAACTCCGCCTCGTCCTGCCAGTTGATGGCCTGCCGCTGTGCCTGTGCCTGTTGGTGTGCTATTCTGCAGGTGTGCTCCCTCGGTGTCCTCTCGATGTCCGACGGCTTGTGTCTTTCTTCTTCCGCTGATGTGCTTCTCTTGACATCTGGCCGCCTGTGTACCTGCCTGCTAGGGTCTCAGTGTTTTGTTGTTGTTGTTGTTGTCTGTTTGTTTGTTTTTTCAGATGGAGTCTCGCTCTGTCACCAGGCTGGAGTGCAGTGGCACAATCTTGGCTCACTGCAACCTCTGCCTCCCGGGTTCAAGCAATTCTCCTGCCTCAGCCTCCCAAGTAGCTGGCATTACAGGCACACGCTACCATGCCCGACTAATTTTTGTATTTTTAGTAGAGACGGGGTTTCACCATATTGGCCAGGATGGTCTGATCTCTTGACCTCATGATCCGCCCACCTTGGCATCCCAAAGTGCTGGGATTACAGGCGTGTGCCACTGCGCCCGGCCGGGTCTCGGGTTTTTATAGGCCCTGGATGGAGGCGTGGTGGGCCAAGGTGGTCTTGGAAAATGCAACATTTGGGCTTAAAAGCTCGAGTGCTTGTCCTCATCTAGGTCTGTGGGGGTGGAGCCCTAGTCATGGAGCACGCCTTTCTCTACTCAGCACTTCCATGTCTCCACTTCTGTATCATTTAAAGGGACCACGTTCTTCCCTTCCCAGCATTCCCATATCACTTTTATGGTGTTTTTTTTTTTTTTCCTTTTGATTTGCCTGAGCTTTCTCACTGCTAAGCATCCCTCCAAAATGTTAATAAAACCCAGATCTTCATCATTTAGCCTAACCCCCTCCAAGCTCTAGAGTGATATTCTTCTCTGCATGTTCAACCTGGATATCTCAGAGGCATTTGCTATGTGTTAATATTATTAGAGTGAAACATCAGTGTTACATGTTGCAATATTTGTCCTACCCTCTGGATGGTTAATTTTCTGAACTGAGGAAATGAATCTTACAGATCCAGTGCTTATTCATAATTGGTAGCCAGTATATGTTTGTTGAATGTGTTACTTAGGTAATGCATTAATAACGAACCTGATGCTGCCTGATACTGAAAACGTATGCCGTCTCCTCTTTTCAATACTAGTCCCCCAAATCCTATTATCTGCTCCACAGAAGAGGTATTAATAAAGCATCTAATAGTTATTTTTACTGCTAATTACCCATTCTCTATATAGTAAATATATATAAAATATGTAGCTATAGCTACTATATGTATACGTTATGCTTTAATACAAAATAAGTGTATATACTTTTTTTTTTTTTAGATGGAGTATCACTCTGTCATCCAGGCTGGAGTGTAGTGGTGCAATCTCGGCTCACTGCAACCTCCACCTCCCAGGTTCAAGCAATTCTCCTGCCTCAGCCACCTGAGTAGCTGGAACTACAGGTGCATGCCACCACATCCAGCTAATTTTTGTATTTTTAGTAGAGATGGGGTGTCACCATGTTGGCCATGCTGGGCTGGAACTCCTGACATCAAGTGATCCGCCCGCCTTGGCTACCCAAATTGCAGGGATTACAGGCATGAGCCACTGCGCCCAGCCTAAATAAGTGTATATGCTGTATGTAATATATACAACCGTTATGTTTACTATAAAATATTATATTTAATGTATAATTATATGTTCTTATGTATATCTAAATATAAATGCATATTAAATATAAACATATAAATATTTTAATATATAATCATATAATATAGATACCATAGTGCAAATAGATATAGTATAGAATGACAGATATATATTAAAACTATAATCATCTCTTGTTATCCATGAGGATTGGTTCCAGGACTCCCTGTGAATATACTTAAGTCCCTTATATAAAATGGCATAGTATCTGCATATAACCTATGTACATCTTCTCATATACTTTAAATCCTCCATAGGTTACTTTAATACCTAATGCAATGTAAATTCTATACAAATAATTGTTATACAGTGTGCTTTTTTAAAAAATGTGTTTTTTGTTGTTGTATTGATATATATTTTTTCTAGATGTTTTCGTTGTAGGCTAAATCTCAGGGATATGGAGAGTCACCTGTGTTTATAAAGGGTTAGAGAAGTATAATATTTTGCCTGAGTCATTTAACTAGTTACACACGAAGTTAGACATAAACACCCAAATTTATATTTTGGAGTTCAATGTTCTTATGTAAATTTATGCTAATCAGGTATGTGAGCAGGATTTACATTTTAAACATGTTTTGTAATTTTCTAAATAATTACTGCAGTATTATCATGCATAAAATAAGTGCTCAATAAGTATGTGATGAACGAATTATAAAGCTAACCTTTATCCTGATACTTTAACATACCTGAATGAATGAGATGTCTCATACTTGGGACATTCCAAGTAAATGACATCTTGAGTCAGCTTTAGCAACCCTATACGCTAAACCAATGGAAACAAGAAGAGAAGGAAGTATTTTTTAAAACAGAAGAAAATGGAGATAGATATTCCAGTAGAGTAAACATTTCATGTTTGAATCTCTCACTGATTGCTCTTGTGTAGAGCATTTATCTTTTTGAGTTTCAATATAGTCATCTGCATAACAGGTACAATACAGAGTTATTCTGAGAATTAAGTGAGAATCTATATATAATAAATATCAAGTGTATTGCTAATTGAAAGTCACTATATAAATGTAAAATTTACTTTTGTAATATATTTATTTATGTAAGTACTAGTATGAAGATTTATATATTGACATAACTATGCAGTTAGGATAATTTTCAAAGTATGTTACCAACAACAGAATCTTATGACTAGTTGAATTTACATGCTTTGCTCTTAGGCCTCAGGTTATTTAGGCCACTATCATTGTTATTATTATTATGATTATAGATTATACTGTAAGTTCTGGGGTACATAGGCAAAACGTGCAATTTGTTACATAGGTATTACACATGCCACGGTGGTTTGCTGCATCCATCAACCCATCACATACATTAGATATTTCTCCTAATGCTATCCAACCCCTAGCCCCCCACCCCATGACAGGCCCTGACGTGTGATGTTCCCCTCCTTGTGTCCAAGTATTTTCATTGTTCAACTCCCACTTATGAGTGAGAACATGCGGTGTTTGGTTTTCTGTTCTTGTGTTAGTTTTTTGAGAATGATGGTTTCCAGCTCCATCCATGTCCCTGCAAAGAACATGAACTCATTCTTTTTATGGCTGCATAGTATTCCATGGTGTATATGTGCCACATTTTCTTTATCCAGTCTATCATTGATGGACATTTGGGTTGGCTCCAAGTCTTTGCTATTGTGAATAGTGCCGCAATAAACATACATGTGCATGTGTCTTTATAGTAGAATGATTTATAATCCTTTGGGTATATACCCAGTAATGAGATTGCTGGGTCAAATGGTATTTCTGGTTCTAGATCCCTGAGGAATCGCCACACTGTCTTCCACAATGGTTGAACTAATTTATGCTCCCACCAATAGTGTAAAAGCATTCCTATTTCTCCACATCCTCTCCAGCATCTGTTGCCTCCTGACCTTTTTTTTTTGTGAGATGGAGTCTAGCTCTGTTGCCCAGGCTGGAGTGCAGTGGCACGATCTCAGCACACTGCAAGCTCTTCCTCCCAGGTTCACGCCATTCTCCTGCCTCATTCTCCTGAGTAGCTGGGACTACAGGCGCCCGCCACCGTGCCTGGCTATTTTTTTTTTTTTGTATTTTCAGTAGAGACAGGGTTTCACTGTGTTAGCCAGGATGGTCTTGATCTCCTGACCTCCTGATCTGCCCGCCTCGGCCTCCCAAAGTGCTGGGATTACAGGCGTGAGCCACCGCGCCCGGCCTGCTTCCTGACTTTTAATGATCACCATTCTAACTGGTGTGAGAAGGTATCTCACTGTGATTTTGATTTGCATTTCTCTAATGACCAGTGATGATGAGCTTTTTTTCATATGTTTGTTGGCTGCATAAACGTCATTTTGAGAAGTGTCTGTTCGTATCTTTTGCCCACTTTTTGATGGGGTTGTTTTTTCCTTGTACATTTAAGTCCTTTGTAGATTATGGATAGTAGCCTTTTGTCAGATAGAATGCAAAAATTTTCTCCCATTCTGTACGTTGCCTGTTCACTCTGATGCTAGTTTCTTTCACTGTGCAGAAGCTCTTTAGTTTAGTTAGATCCCATTTGTCAATTTTGGCTTTTGCTGCCGTTGCTTTTGGTGTTTTAGACATAAGGTCCTTGCCCATGCCTATGTCCTGAATGGTATTGCCTAGGTTTTCTTGTAGGGTTTTTATGGTTTTAGGTCTTACGTTTAAGTCTTTAATCCATCTTGAGTTAATTGTTGTATAAGGTGTAAGGAAGAGGTCCAGTTTCAATTTTCTGCATAAGTCTAGCCAGTTTTCCCAACACCATTTATTAAATAGGAAATCCTTTCCCCATTGCTTGTTTGTGTCAGGTTTGTCAAAGATCAGATGGTTGTAGATGTGTGTTGTTATTTCTCAGGCCTCTGTTCTGTTCCACTGGTCTATACAGCTGTTTTGGTACCAGACCATGCTGTTTTGGTTACTGTTGCCTTGTAGTGTAGTTTGAAGTCAGGTAGCATGATGCCTCCAACTTTGTTCTTTTTGCTTAGGATTGACCTGGCTATGCAGGCTCTTTTCTGGTTCCATATAAAGTTTAAAGTAGTTTATTCTAATTCTGTGAAGAAAGTCATTGCTAGTATGATGGACATAGCATTGAATCTATAAATTACCTTGGGCAGTATGGTCATTTTCACGATATTCATTCTTCCTATCCATGAGCATGGAATGATTTTCCATTTGTTTTTGTCCTCTCTTATTTCCTTGAGTACTGGTTTGTAGTTCTCCTTGAAGAGGTCTTTAAATTCCCTTGTAAGTTGTATTGTAGGTATTTTGATCTCTTAGTAGCAATTGTGAATGGGAGTCCATTCATGATTTGGCTCTCTGTGTATTATTGGTGTATAGGAAAGCTTCTAATTTTTGCACATTGATTTTGTATCCTGAAACTTTGCTGAAGTTGGTTATGAGCTTAAGGAGATTTGGGGCTGAGACAGTGGGGTTTTCTAAATGTACAATCATGTCATCTGCAGAGACAATTTGACTACTTCTTTTCCTATTTGAATATGGTTTATTTCTTTCTCTTGCCCTGGCCTGAACTTCCAATACTATGTTGAATAAGAGTGGTGAGAGGGGGCATCCATGACTTGTGCCAGTTTTCAAAGGGAATGCTTCCAGTTTTGTCCGTTTAGTATGATATTAGCTGTGGGCTTGTCATAAATAGCTGTTATTATTTGGAGATACCTTCCATCAATACCTAGTTTGAGAGTTTACAGCATGAAGCGCTGTTGAATTTGGTCATTTCTGCATCTATTGAGATAATCATGTGTTTTTTTGTCATTGGTTCTGCTTATGTGATGGATTACGTTTATTGATTTGCGTATGTTGAACCGGCCTTCCATCCCCGGGATGAAGCCAACTTGATCATGGTGGATGAGCTTTTTGATGTGCTGCTGGATTCTATTTGCCAGTATTTTATTGAGGATTTTTGCATCAATCTTCATTAGAGACATTGGACTGAAATTTTCTTTTTTGTTGTGTCTCTGCCAGGTTTTGGTATCAGGATGATGCTGGCCTCAGAAAATGAGTTAGGGAGGATTCCCTCTTTCTCTATTGTTTGGAATAGTTTCAGAAGGAATGGTGCCAGCTCCTCTTTGTACCTCTGGTAAAATTCGGCTGTTTATCCGTCTGGTTCTGGACTTTTTTTTTTGGTTGGTAGGCTATTAATTACTGCCTCAATTTCAGAACTTGTTATTAGTCTACTCAGTGATTCAACTTCTTCCTGGAATGTGTCCAGGAATTTATCCATTTCTTCTAGACGTTCTGGTTTATTTGCATAGAGGTGTTTATAGTATTATCTGATGGTAGTTTGTATTCCTGTGGGATCAGTGGTGATACCCCCTTTATCATTTTGGATTGTGTCTATTTCATTCTTCTTTTCTTATTAGTCTCACCTGCGGTCTATTTAGTTGTTCTTTTCATAAACCCAGCTCCCGGATTCATTGATTTTTTAAAGTGTTTTTCCTGTCTCTATCTCCTTCACTTCTGCTCCAATCTTAGTTATTTCTTGTCTTCTGCTAGCTTTTCAAGTTATTTGTTATTGCTTCTCTGGTTCCTTTAATTTTGATGTTAGGGTGTGTATTTTAAATCTTTCCTGCTTTCTCTTGTGGGCATTTAGTGCTATAAATTTCCCTCTACACACTGCTTTAAATGTGTCCCAGAGATTCTGGTACATAGTGTCTTTGTTCTCATTGGTTTCCAAGAATATCTTTATTTCTGCCTTCATTTTGATATTTACCCAGGAGTCATTCAGGAGCAGGTCGTTCAGTTTCCATGCAGTTGTGCAGTTTTGAGTGAGTTTCTTAATCCTGAGTTCTAATTTGATTGCACTGTGGTCTGATAGACTGTTTGTTATGATTTCCATTTTTTTGCATTTGCTGAGAAGCGTTTTACTTCCAATTATGTGGTCAATTTTACAACAAGTGTGATGTGGTGTTGAGAAGAATGTATATTCTGTTGACTTGGGGTGGAGAGTTCTGTAGATGTCTGTTAGGTCCACTTGGTCCAGAGCTGAGTTCAAGTTCTGAATATCCTTGTTAATTTTCTGTCTCGTTGATCTAATATTGACAGTGGGGTGTTAAAGTCTCCCACGATTATTGTGTGGGAGTGTAAGTCTCTTTGTAGCTCTCTAAGAACTTGCTTTATGAACCTGGGTGCTCCTGTATTTGGTGCATATATATTTAGGATAGTTGGCTCTTTTTGTTGCATTGATCCCTTTACCATTATGTAGTGGCCTTCTTTGTCTCTGTTGATCTTAGTTGGTTTAAAGTCTGTTTTATCGAGACTAGGATTGCAACTGTTACCTTTTTTTGCTTTCCATTTGCTTGATAAATATTCCTCCATCCCTTTGTTTTGAACTTTCGTGTCTTTGCATGTGAGATGGGTCTTCTGAATATGGCACACAATGGGTCTTCATGCTTTATCCATTTTGCCAGTCTGTGTCTTTTCATTGGGGCATTTAGCCCGTTTACATTTAAAGTTAATATTGTTAAGTGTGAATTTGATCCTGTCATTATGATGCTAGCTGGTTATTTTGTCTGTTGGCTAATGTGGTTTCTTCATAGTGTCAAGGGTCTTTACAATTTGGTACGCTTTTGCAGTGGCTGGTACTGGTTGTTCCTTTCCATATTTAGTCCTTCCTTCAGGAGCTCTTGTAAGGCAGGCCTGGTGGTGACAAAATCAGCATTTGCTTGTCTGTGAAGGATTTTATTTCTCCTTCGCTCATGAAGCTTAGTTTGGCTGGATATGAAATTATGGATTGAAAATTCTTTTCTTTGAGAATGTAGAATATTGGTCCCCACTCTCTTCTGGCTTGTATGGTTTCTGCAGAGATCCACTGTTAGTCTGATGGGCTTCCCTTTGTGGGTAACCGAACCTTTCTCTCTGACTGCCCTTAACATTTTTTCCTTCATTTCGACCTTGGTGAATCTGATGATTATGTGTCTTGGGGTTGCTCTTCTCAAGGAGTATCTTCATGGTGCTCTCTGCATATCCTGAATTTGAATGTTGGCCTGTCTTGCTAGGTTGCTGAAGTGCTCCTGGATAATATCCTGCAGAGAGTTTTCCACCTTGGTTCCATTCTTCCTGTCACTTTCAGGTACACCAATCAAATGTAGATTTGGTCTTTCACATAGTCCCATATTTCCTGGAGGCTTTGTTCATTCCTTTTCATTCTTTTTTCTCTAATCTTGTCTTCTCATTTTATTTCATTGAGTTGTTCTTCAATCTCTGATATCCTTTCCTCTGCTTGATCGATTTGCCTATTGATACTTGTGCATGCTTTACGAAATTATTGTGCTGTGTTTTTCAGCTCCATCAGGTCATTCATGTTCTTCTCTGAACTGGTTATTTTAGTTAGCAATTCCTCTAACCTTTTTTCGAGGTTCTTAGCTTCCTTGCATTGAGTTAGAAAATCCTCCTTTAGCTCGGAGGAGTTTGTTATTACCCACCTTCTGAAGCCTACTTCTGTCAATTCGTCAAACTCATTGTCCATCCAGTGTTGTTCCCTTGCTGGCGAGGAGTTGTGATCCTTTGGAGAAGAAAAGTCATTCTGGTTTTTGAAATTTTCAGCCTTTTTGTGCTGGTTTCTCCCCATCTTCGTGGATTTATCTACCTTTGGTCTTTGATGTTGGTGACATCTGTACGGGGTCTCTGAGTGAACGTGCTACTCCTTTCTGTTTGTTAGTTTTCCTTCTAACAGTCAGGCCCATCTGCTGCAAGTCTGCTGGAGTTTGCTTGAGGTTCACTCGAGACCCTGTTTGCCTGGATATCTCCAGCAGAGGCTACAGAACAGCAAAGATTGCTTCCTCTTCTTTCCTCTGGAAGCTTCATCCCAGAGGGGCACCTGCCAGATGCCAGCCAGAGCTCTCCTGTATGAGGTGTCTGTTGGCCCCTACTTGAAGGTGTCTCCCAGTCAGGATACATGGGGGTCAGGGACCCACTTGAGGAGGCAGTCTGATCCTTAGCAGAGCTCGAATGCTGTTCTGTGTGGTCCGTTGCTCTCTTCAGAGCCATCAGGCAGGGACATTAAAGTTTGCTGAAGCTGCACCCACAGCTGCCCCTTCCCCCAGGTGCTCTGTCCCAGGTTGATTGGTGTTTTATCTATAAGTCCCTGAGTGGGGCTGCTGCCTTTCTTTCAGAGATGCCCTGCCCAGAGAGGAGGAATCTAGAAAGGTAGTCTGGCCACAGCGGCCTTGCTGAGCTGTGGTGTGCTCTGCCCAGTTCGAACTTCCAGGTGGCTTTGTTTACACTGTGAGGGTAAAGCCGCCTAATCAAGCCTCAGCAATGGTGGACACCCCTCCCACAACTAAGCTCGAGCATCCCAGGTGGATCTGAGACTGCTGCTGTGCTGGCAGTGAGAATTTCAAGCCAATGGATCTCAGTTTGCTGGCCTCATAGGGGTGGGACCCACCAAGCTAGACCACTTGGCTCGCTGGCTTCAGCCCCCTTTCCAGGGGTGTGAATGGTTCTGTCTAACTTTTGTTCCAGGTGCCACTGGGGTGTGGGGAAAAAAATAAAAAAATTAAAAAATAAATAAAAACACTCCTGCAGCTAGTTCGGTGTCTGCCCGAACAGCTGCTCAGTTTTGTGCTTGAATCCCAGGATCCTGGTGGCTTAGGCACTGGAGGGAATTTCCTGGTCTGCGGTTTGCAAAAACCATGGGAAAAGCGCAGTTTCTGGGCTGGAGTGCACTGTTCCTCAGGCTCAGTCCTTAATGGCTTCCCTTGGGTAGGGGAGAGATTTCCCCGACCCCTGGAACTTCCCAGGTGAGGTGACACCCCACTCTGCTTCAGCTTGCCTTCTTTGGTCTGCACCTACTGTCCAACCAGTCCCAATGAGATGAACCAAGTACCTCAGTTGGAAATGCAGAAATCACCCGCCTGCTGCGTCCATCTCTCTGGGAGCCGCAGACTGGAGCTGTTACTATTCAGCTATCTCGCCAGCAATCTCGACCACTATTGCTATTATTATCATTAGTGATTGATTGATTGATTGATTGTGAGATGGAGTCTCCGTCTGTTGCCCAGGCTGGAGTGGCACAATCTTGGCTCACTGCAACCTCCACCTCCTGGTTTCAAGTGATTCTCCTGCCTCAGCCACCCCAAGTATCTGGGACTACAGGCGCATGCCACCACACCCAGCTACTTTTTGTATTTTTAGCAGAGATCGGATTTCACCATGTTGGTCAAGCTGGTCTCAAACTCTCGACCTCAGGTGATCCACCCACCTTGGCCTCCCAAAGGCCACTATTATTTGTTTGTTTTCTGCCATGAATACAAAATCTTTCTTTCTTCCAATTATATCCATCATTCCAACATTGTATGCATATTTAAACTTTTCTGTTAATTTTAAGCAATCTACATTACAGCAGTTTTTCCATCCTTCATCATTTCCATTTTGTTCTAAGATGTTAACCCATGTAAGCTTTTTTTTACTATAAACAGTCTAGATACAATTTACAAATATGTTGGCTTATAAACATTGGTTCATGAATCAAATTAGAATTCAGAGCATCCTTTATTTAGTTACAATGGCCTGGAAATGCGTAGGCCTAAATTTCAATTTTGTTTTGTCTCTGTCTAGTTTTGTAACAGGTGGTAATCTATGTAACCTCTTTGAATTTCTTGTTTTGTATCTGGTAAAATTAGTGCAGTGAACTTGGCTATCACTGCTATTTTTCTAATTTTATAAAATATATAAATCACAGGGTAATTTTTAAGGAAAATTATGATTTGGAATATTAAATAATTGTTACTTTTTAATACAAGTAAAAGATCAGTGTGGCTAGTCGTCAGTGGCAAAGTTCCTCTCACATACTCTTAATGTGACACTAAATTGTTATATTATTTGTGGAGCAATTTATCAATATATAAATCAAGAGCCCTAAAAATATTTATAGCCTTGATCTGCTAATTATTAATCTCAGAGACTATTAAAAGATTACCATTTTCACAATGGATAAATGTTTGTATAAATAATATATTTCTAGTGATATTATAGTAACAAAAATAAATAATTTGTTTATACAGCAATAGAAGCAATGGATTCATACAATGAACAATTATGTTGGCATTCAAATAATATAATTTTTTCACAAGATAAAATCTTTAATATCATTAATATTAATAAAAACAATGATTTTAAGGTTATATGATATCTAAATGACAACAATGTGCATAGAAAAAATAATGGATAGAAACATGCCAAAATATTAACAATGATATTCTTTAGAAGATGGGATTATAAATAAATGTTTCAAAAGTGGGTGTTATTTTGATATTCAGAAAAAGATTTTTAAAATAAAAATAAACATAGGATGCCACCTGCTAATAATTAGGACTCGTGCTATTTCTGTTTTAATATTTGGAAGCGTGTTTTAATAGTATTCAAATCTGTCAAGAGTTTTAGGTATAAAGATATTATAGATAGCAGTTTTCTTTATTTTGGAAGGCTTCATACACAGGATAGTTTTACTACTTTTTTGGAATATTTGAGGGGCTACTACAATTGCAAATGGCAGTTGTACTAGAACATTTTAGGGTACCTTCTAATTCTTAGAATCCAGGAAACTAGATAATTCTAAGAGCTCTTTTCATCTCAAAATTCCCTGTTTCCCACTGAAGTTAAGTTACCTGCCCAGTCCATTAAATTTTATTAAAAAGAAGTCACCTCATTTATCTTGTCTACAATTGTAATAATACAGAACTAAAACATTTATAAATTTTGTCCAATAATAATGGTTCAAATTTATTTGTCTGTGTGTGACATTTAATTCACTTTGCCAAGTACTTAGCATATCCTGACAACAACCTTGTCAGATAGGTTATATTATTCCATTATAGAGGTGGAAAACTGAGGCTTAGGGTGGCTACATGATTTTTGCCCCCACTCACAGAAGGAGTACACAGAATGGCTCAGCTTTCAATCTCATTCTCAGACATAATCCAATGTAGCCTTCTGCCTGGAACTACTAGGAACACATCTGCTCAAGCCAGGGATGGGGTAAAGGACTATTTTCAATATACTTTTTCAAGTGAAAAAAAAATGAGTTCAGGAACTTGTGACATAGCTTCAGCAATTTTCTAACAGTGAGAGGGAGCGCAACGTTTCTAGTGGGTAACTCTAGTAGGAGGGGTGACTACAACTCCTGCAGTTGTTTTCTTTGATGGAGCAGGGATTGTAACTCTCTGTACGAGGAAAAGGAAGGTATTTATGTTGGTGTCATCAGGTGTGTGTGTTACTCAGTTTTCTATTTTTAAACAATAAAATCTTTAAAAAATATAATGTACAATCTAATTCAATTTCTTTTTGTACAACTAAAAAAAATTCATCAGGTCTGAAAGCAACATTTTGGGTATGGTTACCCTAGAAACAATGTCCATATGACACCAATCTATCAAAGGAGGAGGATTTCTGGAGTAATAAACAAGAAGATAAAACTAACAAGTTGATTTCTTGATTCTGCCACTAACTAGTTATGTGAAATCAGAGAAAGTATTGAATTTTTTTTTTGAATTTCACAGTTCGAGAGATTCGTGACTTATAGTTCATACATAATTTCAGAGATCATATATATTTTTTCAGCTCTATTATAAGGCATAGAAATTTGAATGATTGTCTTGATACTTTAGAATAATCCAAATGTTTTATACTGCCTTGACAATATTTCTGAGTATTATGCTCACTATCGTTCTAATATTTGCAATTCAATATGGATGAGCACAGAACTAAAATGTCTTTGCTTAAGTTGTTACATTTATAAACATCATACATCCTACAATCAGCAAACACATTCAGGACAAAGATACTTTACAAATCTATAAAAAGTATTTTATAAATATTTAAATGTGTAAGTGTCTTACATTACAACCATCTCCCAGTGACAATTATTAACCTGTTTTCTGAAAATCTACATTTTACATGCTTATCAAGTAATTTGACACTCAAAATAAATACTACAGAATTGTTAATTTTCTTTATTTTGCTAGTATTCAGTTCTTCTGAGATATCATTTTAGCACATTAGTAATTTAGATGTATATTGTATAACTGATTGTTTTATAGATGAAGGTCATTATTGTCTCCGTTCCATGATAGCATGGACCACGGAGCAAAAATGTATTTTATTCACACTAAAATATTACAGTGTGCTCTATTTTAATTTTTTGCTATATGACAATGTGTACAAACTTATACATAGGAGAGTTTCAGAAGAATTATAAGTGTTGCATGGATTCTTCTCTTTACTGGGGGATATTTTCAGTTATACCCTAAGCCAGATGATCTCTCATTTGACTCTCTTCTCATACAACAATGGAGAAAGATGCTTAAGTCATCCATAAAAATGTAATAATCATCAGCCTGTTACCCTTTAAAGTCATGCCCTTGGATTTTATTGAGGACTGATGCAAAGAACAGCCATACGCAGACGGCTTCTGCATCAGCTACAAAATCATTTTTCAAGGCATTATCCATTTACATTATTCAATATTCCCTGTAAAGAAGACCCTGAGTTATATCCTTTGGAACATTACATCAAGGGAAAAATGTTTTCTGTGTAAAAATATTTTCATCCTCTTCCAATTAATAAAATCAAGTTTGTTTATTAATTTTTGCCCTGGGTGCCAGGGAGCTCAAAGTTGTATGTAATACTAAGTCACATAATTTAATACATTTTTATAACTAGCATATTTGCCTCATAAATTTTATTTTAATTTATTCTTGTCTACTTTATTGTAGGTAGATTTATATCATAAAATGTCTTAAAACATTCTTGGAAATGAAAAGAATTTGCTAGAGTAGAAGATAACACTGACATATTTTAGTCACCCGCTCTGTGAAGCATTGTGTTAAATGAGTTGCAAATATTACTTAATCAGTATAATATTATTAGTGAGCTCATAACCCATATTTTATGGACTTTTAAAGAATATAAGATATCTAAATATTAAGCTAATTACTCATAGTGACTTAAACTTGTAAACCAAGTTTGTCTCTAGCTTTAAAACTGAACAATGAGAACACATGGACACAGGAACGAGAACATCACACACCGGGGCCTGTTGTAGGGTCGGGGGTGTGGGGAGGGATAGCATTTGGAGATATACCTAATGTTAAATGATGAGTTACTGGGTGCAGCACACCAACATGGCACATATATACATATGTAACTAACCTGCGTGTTGTGCCCATGTACCCTAAAACTTAAAGTATAATAAAAATACATATATATATATAATTTTTAAAACAAATATTTATGCTTTTTCCTCTAAAACGTATATACCAATAATTATAAAGATGAAGAAAAGATACAAACTACTCCCACACAGGACCATGATGGAGATTATGTGGGCAAATCACTCAGGACATATCCATATAGGCATATGATCATTTTGGTTTGAGATTGCTTTAGTTTTTTCATTAACTGTATATGAAAACATAGACTTTATCACTCATCAGAACAACTTAACTGTTTCCTTCCATAATCTTTATGGCCCACCTATGCTCTACCAAGTGGAAAGGAAAGATGTGTGATATGTCAAGTAAAAAAAATCAGTTTATAGAAATATTTATTGATAATAGCAGCATGTAGTTTCCTTTATTCATGACTCATCTGGATACATACAGCAACCCTTCCCTTCCCTAGGCTCATGGCAATATATAACTAAAGGCAAGAAAATAAGGAGGCAGGATGTTCATTTTTAAGTCCTGTGCAATTTGGGGTCTACCCCAGTACTAGTTCTTTCTCCAAACATCTCTAATGGCATATCACCATCACTCATAATGCATGATTTCTCTATTTTTGCCTCAATTAAAAATACCTGATTTTTCAAAAATACCTCTATCTGCACTCCTGCTCAGAGATATTGATAAATTTGGTCTTGCATTAACAATTTTATAACTTCCCCAAGTGATTATCATATGCAACCAAGTTAGGAAAACAGTACTGTAAAACTGGTTTTAAGGTGATTAATGAGGAATTAACTCTATGACCACTCAAGACTCAGCTCCCACACACTTACAGAAACACATACACACTCACTTCTCCTTAATATTACTTGGTAGCATTTTTCAAACTCTTGATTCTTGTCTCTCAGACCACTCTGATCCTGACTTTGGTCTCTAAATGTAGTATTCATTTAAAATCCCTTCCTGGGATTAGATCTCAGTTCTCATTAGTGGATTCTGTTATAGCTTACTTCTCTGGCAACTAGTTTCTCCTGTTGACCCAGATAGAAATATCAGGTGAAGGCTACATTATAATTTAGTCATCTCCATTGGTCAGCTTCAGAACCCATTGTGGAGATGATGTAAGAAGGATGTTTAAGGCACTCAATGTCTCAATAAATATGACCTTTTTTTTACAAAATATATCTAACATATTAATGAGGAAGACAACAGACATCCAACTCCCTAGAAGTATTTTCTTATTTTAATGTTATGCAAATTCTGTCATAAAAATGGATTGAGGGATTGACTCAACCATATACAAAAGATCTCTAGCAGGAAATACAAAGAATTTTACCTCATGCCTTTATGCCACCATGTTATCATTAAAATTTAGTGCAAATAAATGTTTGGTTACTTTATTACAAACTATACCTAATGTATAAAAGGATTTTTGAAATCTAGTTTAATGTTTTTGGCAAATTATTGTAAAGCAAATAATTCCAAAAGCATAATATTGTATTTGGGAACAGTTCACTGATCAAAAATCATACAATGATTCCACATAACATCTCTGACTGAGTGTTTATGACAATTGCACTCAAAATAAATAGCTTCATATCAAAACTTGAACCACAGCTGGGAGCCAAATTAGTCTGAAAGACAGCTTGCAAGAATCTTTAAGGTATGTATTTTTCCCAATTTCCAACTAAAACTGCCTTTATCATTTAATCCACATAATAGTTTCCACCATTATAAATTTATCAACCAGATTATTATTCATATGCATAGCATGCATAATTATAATTAATTTGCTGAAGGCTCATTTTGCTGCTTCTATTAATTACAATCTTATGGCTTTAAATATATCAGTGAGAAAGGGGGAGAACCTAATCTACTGATATATAGTAAACTAGCCCAATAAAGTGCATCACTCAAATGACACTCCCTGATAATATCAGGGAGATAACTTACGGTTTGAACATCAGCACTGAATTTTAAATTGTAACTAGTGAATCTAATGCTGCATAATTTTGCCCTCCTCTCTCTTTCTTCCAAATCTATTTTCAGCAATAAATCACTAGATCACAAAAAGGAATACAGGGCTAAAATATGGCAATAAAAGCTGCAATCAGCAGTGTAAATTATGATTCCTAGGGAACTTAATTAGGTTTTTTAATTAAAACAAAATGAATTTTTATTTCCAATTAAACAATCCTGTCTCTTCTCTTCCCCCAAAACCCTGCCTTACAAAACAACAACAACAAAACATATCCCACGTTATTAAAATCCCATTCTGCTCATATGAAATGCAAAGATGTACAAGAAGAAAACTGAATAACTCATACATTTTTGCTATCGCTTCTGCATGCTCTCTTTGAAACGTAAAACTCTCAACTAAAATAATCATGGTGGGAAAAACCCAATATATCCTAAAGAAACTGCAGGGGAGATCTTTGATAATTTATTAAAGACACTTTTAAGAGGGGGTAGTCTTTGAGGATAAAAACCAATTTTCAAAAAATTTCTACCATTTTTCAAGGGAAAACAAAGTGAGGGCTGTTTGGGGATATTAAACAACACAGTGGTTTTGAACAACAATAGACTCTTTTGTTTCTCCGCAGGAACCTCAGGAGAGAACATTGCATTATAGCCCTGAGCCATGCCTAAGTAGTATTTTTACTGGTTGTTTGAATTGAAGAGTCACCTATAAAAAATGTTCCCAGCATTGAAAATCAAATATAAATGGTGCACGCTCCAAGTTCCTTGGAAAGGTCTAGGAATCCTCAGATAAGCATTTTTTTGGTATGTATATTGTCATAACTGGTTCAGAATCTTGAACATTCTTCTTTGCAATACTACGAACAAATATTCTTTATAGTGGAGATACTATCAATCCCTGTGTTTTCCCATTGCCTCAGAGTAAATAATAATATTCCCTTTCACTATCAGAAGTGGCCTGGTTTAGAGAATAAATTGTATGGTGACCCTATTTACAGGGATGTCTAATTTTTAAAACAAACAAAAATAAACAAAACCACTTTTATCATTCGTCTCTATGAGGCCAACATTTTCTTATTGCACAAAGTGGATTTTCACTTTTGGATCAGAAATTTCACTTTTGTTATGACACAAAACACATCAATATTTCATTACTGATCAAAGTAGATTTTCACTTTGGGGCCAGGATATTCTGACAAATTTTCAAGTAATTATAAACCACTCCAGTGATATCCTACGTACATTAGGGAAAGCTGACCTTAAAGTAATAGGTAAAATAAAAAGCGAAAATTTGACCAGCATTTTTTGAAGAGACATGTTTATATACATTTTACATTTCATAAAATAGATCCAACAATAGGTATAAAATATTTCCAAAAAATTAATACAGTACAAATAAATTGCACATTAGCACATATTTATATCATAAAAACTGGCCAATTTTGCACATTTCTAGGTTCCTAAAAGTTGTTGCATGGTGAATTTCAACTCACTACTCCAATAAGTTCCAAGTAGAACTTTTCTGCATGATAGAGTAACAACAGGAACTGAGAGTTAATACAATCGCTACAGGATATCTACCATAAAGATCATATATATGTAAATCCTTGGGAAAACATTACTATGAGTTCTGGAGAAAGACTTAGCTCTTGTCTACAATTTAATGTTTAAAAATTCAATATAGTATATATCAGGTGAATTAAAATAAAAATTGAAGCTGGCATATAGAAAAATAATTTTTAAAAATATTATTCTATGTAATATGAAAAAGCTGTGCTCAGCCATGTCCATCAGTATGACACACCAGATACACTGCTGACCCCCCTCCTATTGGATTATGTATGTAAACCATGTATATGTTTACACACATACAAGCACACACAGACATGCACATACTGAAATATAGCAGAAACAAACACATACGTATTTTCTTAAACGAAATTCTGAGTTGGCAAGAATAAAAAGATGACTAAAGCACACACACACACACACACACAGAGACACACACACACACACACACACACACCACTAAGCCAAGACAGGAATCCAGAAAGAAAAACTCTGTCATAAAGTTGGCCCTTTTCTTGAGATTACAGTTAAGCTTATCTTCAATTTTCAGCTTCTTATAGGACTTGGGAGATAAACAACAAGGTCTAGTTTCATTCAAGTGAGGCAGTTTAACAGAAGGACTTTTATTAAATAAGGGATATCTGCAGTCTAACCCCTTATTGTTTAGGTGCAGTAAGTTCCCTTTCTAATAACCATGGGGAAAAAGGTCATAGGGTAGTTTCTCAATTCTGATGGCTAATTTTATGTTTCAACTTGCCTGAGTCACAGTGTCAAATATTTGTTTAAACATTATTTTCGGTGTGTCTGTAAGGTTGTTCCTAAATGACATTAACATTTGAATCAGTAGACTGAGTAAAATAGGTGTATCAACCAATGTGGATGGTGTAGGGCTCACCCAATCTGTTGGAGGCCTAAACAGAACAAAAGGCTTAGTAAGAAGGAATTTGTTCTCTCTGCCTATTTCCCAGCTAGGACATCACTATTTTTCTGCACTCAGACTGGAATTTCTCATATCTCCTGGTTCTCAGAGCGTAGTACTCAGGTTAGAACTGCATCATTGGCTCTCCTGGGTCACTATATATAGATATGACATATATATATATATAGCAACTGTTCTGTGTTTTAGGAGAACACTGATTAATATACCAATAAATACAGAAATTAAGACTAAGAATAAAAAAAGTAGGTGCAAGTAGTTTAATTGGGAGATAATCTTGGAAGGACAAGTGATGAAAAGAGAAAAATGAAGCAGGGAAGAGAAAAAGCCATAAAAAAAATAAGGGGTCATTAACAAGCAATTGTGAGCAACTGCTGCTCAATTACAGTAGTAACCCAAGAAATTCTTTGGAACATGCTTCATTATTATCTTAATTGAAGAAAAGAATGGTGTGTAATTAATGCATTGACTCCCACCCCCACTGAGGATTGCTCTGGAATATTAACTTTCTCGCATTACTGGGTTTGCCTGCCTGAGGGCCAGCCAGCTCCTATAGTGTTGAAGAAAGGCTTCAGCCAGAGAAGAAGAGGTACTCAGGTACATTAGTTGGGAAACATCCAGCTTCTAGAAACTGTGTTTATGTGTAACTGTAGATGAACTTGGTTGGGACAAGGGGATATGTGGTGAACGATGAATATGAAATTTGTAAAGCACTTCCTACAAAATGAAACGGTTGCTATAAAAATTCTTTCTAGAGAAACTGAAACTCTTCCCAAATATCAAATATCCAAATACGCAGATTAAGTTAAAAGAAATTTGGTTTCCAATGAAAATGTCACAACAGAAGAACTCTAGAGATAGAATAAACAAGTGTCAGGAAAATAAAATATTTTTATAGCCAGAATATAAAAGCAATTGTGTTTGATGTGTTTTAAAAATACTGGAGGATGTCAAGCAGAACAAAATAATAATAGAGGCAATAAATTTCCAGAAAAATTTGAAAATTGACCAAATATTTCCAAGTATGAAAATAATAAAAATCACAATTTGAAGAACCTCACTTAGCTTCTGACCAGAATGGTGTAACAGAAACTAACTTTACCCTCTCACTCAAAGCAACCAAAAAACAAAATATGTATGAAACAGTTGTTAACAACGGATTGGACATGAGACAGTAAAGTACACTGATCCCTGAGTTAAGAGAAACAAACAAGGTATGCCTTGTAATTGCCCTAGATTGCTGCCTTAGGCCTCCAGTCATGGTGCATAGAGCAGTACATCAGGATAATTTTGGCATACTCGGAGGCAAAAATTACAGTTTGAAGAGACAGAGTAAATATCAGAACCAGATGCAGATATGAAAGAAATGTTGGGATTATCAGTCTGGAACTTTAAAATTACTATAATTAATATGCTGGTAACTCTTATGAATAAGGTTTACAGCATGGGAGAACATATGGGCAATACATACAGAGAGATGGAAATTCTAAGAAAGAACCAAAAAGTAATGCTAGAAATCCAAAACACTGTAACAGAAATGAAGAATGAATTTGATGGGTTTATTGGGATACTTGTTATGGCTAAGAAAAAAAAATCTTTCTTTGAGATAAAAAATATTTCAATAGAACCTTCCAAATCCAGAAGGTAAGAGAAAAAAGACTGGAAAAAAAACCCAGAACAGATTATTCAAGATGTGTGAACATCTATAAAGGTTTAACTTAATGCCAATGGGAATACCAGAAGAAAAAGAAAAGCAAAAGGAACAGAATAAATATTTGAAAGAATAATGACTAAAAATGTCCCTAAATTAATGTCAGATATCAAACCACAGATCCAGAAAACTGAGAAAACTCCAAGCAGGGTAAATGTCAAGAAGCAAACCAAGACAAAACTATTCCTAGGCACATTATTTTCAAACTCTAGAAAATTATAGATAAAAAATTCTGAAAGAAGCCAGGTAAGAAATACACCTTACCCAGCATTAAAGCAACAGTAAGAACTAGATCTGACTTCTGCTCAGAAGCCATGCAAACAAGAAGATAATGGAGTAAAAATAAATGTATTAAGACGAACAACTACCAACGTGGAATTCTGTACCCTGTGAAATTGTCCCTCAAAAGTGAAACAGAAATAAAGACTTGCAGACAAACAAAGTGAGGGAGTTTATTGCCAGTTGAACTGCCTTGCAAGAAAGTTTAAATGAGTTCTTTAAAGAGAAGGAAATGATATTGATTAGAAACTCAGATCTACAGAAAGAAATGAAGAGCCTCAGAGAAGAGATAAGAGAAGGTAAAATAAAAAATATTAATTTTTTTAATTTTTAATTGATCTAAGACATAAAAGTTTGTTCATAATAATAGCGACAATGTATTTTATTATGTATACTTATCATACACACATATATGCTTATTTATAAGTGAAATGAATAACATCAATAATGCAAAGAGGAAGAAATTAATATTATTTGGTTATTATAAAGATCCTGCAGTACCCATAATGTGAGGTACAGTGTTACTTGAAAGTAGACTTAGAGTAATTTTAATGGTATACTGCAAACTGTAGGGAAAATGCTAAAATTTTTTTAAAAAACTGTATATGCTAATATGCAAAATAACTGATATGCTAAGAAAGCAGAGAAAACTGAATCACATAAAATGTTCAATTAAAATAACAAAAGCCAGAACACAGAAGGAAAGAAAAAAATGGGAATAAAGAACAGAAGAGCAAGCAGAAAACAGAAACAAATATGTAAATATTAATCCAGCTGTATCAATAATTACTTTGAATATCAAGGGTCTAAATGCACCAATCAAAAGTCAGACATTGTCAGAGTGGATCCAGAACAAGATTCAACTGTATGTTGTCGATAAGAAACACACTTTAAATATAAAGAAACATATAGATTAAAAGTAAAGTGATGGAGAAAGATACACTATGCTAACACTAATCTAAAGATATTAAATTAAAATAGACTTCAGAACAAGAAAGTGATTATGGATAAAGGGTTCCATCCTTCAAAAATATTTAAAAATCCTTAATATGTATGCACCTAATAACAGAGCATCGAAATACATGAGATAAAAAGTGGTAGGACTGCAAGCAGAAATACATGAATCTACTATTATAGGTGAGGACTTCAACACTTCTTTATTGGAAATGGACAGATTCAACAAACAGAAACTAAGCAAGGATGCAGTGGAGCTCAAAAATATTAATGAGTCAACTGGATATAAAGGACATCTATATATTACCTTATTTAAGGATAGCAGAATACACATTCTTCTCAAGCTTGAATGGAACATTCTCCAGGAGAAAACACACTCTGGACAATAAAACACAATTTAAATTTAATTGTGTTATCCACAATTAAATTTAATTGGATATCCAGAATATCCAACACAATACTGTAGGAGAAAAACAGAGTGAGAGGACTGACACTAGTGGCCTCAGGATTTATGACAAAGCAACAGTAATCAAAACAGTGTAGTAACGGTGATAAAAGTAGTCAGATAGATCAATGGAACAGAATGGAGATCTCAGAATTAGTCACACAAAAATATAGTTAACTGAACTTTAACAGATACTCTAATTCATTGCTGGTGGGAATACAAAATGGTACAGTCACTTTGGAAGACCATTTTGCAATGGCAATAGAGAAAAAAAAATAGAATGGAGAAAACAGTCTTTTCAACAAATGGTGTTTGGACAACTCAACCTCCATGTACAAAAAGAAAGGAATCTAGACTTTACACAGTTCACAAAAATTAACTTGAAATGGATCACAGGCCTAAATGTAAAATGCAAAACTATAAAACTTCTGGAGGAAAACATAGAAGAAAATCTAGATAACTTTAGGTTTGGTGATTACCTTTTGGATATAACAGCAAAGCCACAAGCCATGAAGGAAAAGATTGAAAAACTGAACTTTGTTAAAATTAAAAAATTTCTGTTTTGTAAAAGATTTGATTGAGAAAATGAAAAGACAAGGTACAGATGGGAGAATATATTCACAAAATACATGTCTGACAAAGAAATATTATCCAAAATACAAAAATAACTCCTAAAAGTCAGTAATAAGAAAAAGAACAACCCAATTAAAAAATATACAAAAGTCATGAACAGACACTTCACCAAACGAGTTATACAGATGGCAAATAAGCATATGCAAATATGTTCTACATCAAATATCATCAGGAAAAACAAATTAAAACACTAAGGTAATACCACTTTATGCCATTAGTCAGGCTAAAGTCCAGAACACTTACAACACTAAATGCTGGCAAGGTTGTGAAGCAACAGGAGCTCTCATTCATTGCTGGTGGGAATGCAAAATAGAACAGCCACTTTGGAAGACAGTTTAGCAGTTTCTTACCTATATATATATACACATACAAACACACATATATACATATATACAAATACATACATATATACATATATATATTATATGATATAGTAATCACATTCCTTAATATTTATGAAAATGAACTAAAAATGAATGTCCATATAAAAACTTGCACAAGTATGTTTATAGCAGCTTTATGCATAATTATAAAACTTGGAAGCAATAAAAGTGTCCTTCGGTAGATGAATAGATAATAAAACTGTGGTATATCCAGACAACAGAATATTATCGACCACTAACTAAATAGAAATGAGCTGTCAAGCCATGAAAAGATATGGAAGAAATGCAAATGCATATTATAAGTGAAATAAGCCAGTCTGAAAAGGCTACATATTGTATGATTCCACCTACAGGACATTATAGAAAAGGCAAACCTATAGACACAATAAGAAAAAAATGAATTATTTTCCAGGCATTAGAGAGGAGGGATGGGGTGGATGAATGTGAGGAGCACAGAGAATACTTTAGGGCAGTGAGATTATTCTGTATGACACTATAATGGTGTATATATATATATCACTGTAAGATTTTCCAAACCCATAGAATGTGCATAAACAAGAGTGAACCCTAAGGAAAATTATGGACTTTGGGTGGTAATGATGTGTAAATGCGGATGTATCAATTATAACAAATGTATCATTCTGGTGGGGGATTTTAAAAATGTAGATGGCTATTCAAGTGAGGAGGCAGAATACACACGTAGGAAAACTCTGTACCTTCTGCTCAATTTTGCTGTGGACTGAAACTTCTCTAAAAATATAATCTATTTTTGAAAACTGAAAAGACCACAGCAAACATTCCACTCAATAAAGAAAATCTGAAATGGTTTCCCTTAAGATCAGAAACAATGTAAGAATGCTGACTCTCACCACTTCTACTCAACGTAGTACTGGAAGCCCTAACCAGAGCAATTAAGCAAGAAAAAGAAATAAAAGTCATCTAAGTTAGAAAAAAGAAACAAAAATGTCCCTATTCACAGATGACATGATCTTATACATAGAAAAATATAACAATTCCATAAAATAACTGTTAGAACTAATAAATTAATTCAGTAAAATTAGAAGATAAAAATCAACATACCAAAATCGTTGTTTTCTTATATGCTAACAATATGGTATCTGAAAAGAAAATTTGGAAACAATCCAAAAAACAACAGCAAAGAATAAAATACTTGGAAATAAAATTAACCAAAGAGGGTAAAGATGTATGTGGAAAGCTATAAAACATTGATGAAAGAAATCAAGACACAAACAAATAAAAAGACATCTTATGTTCATGAACTTGAAGACTTAATATTGTTAACATGTCCGTAATACCCAATGTGATCTATAGATTCAATGGAATACCTAATCAAGTGCAATGGCATTTCTTACAAAATTAGAAAAACAATTTTACAAGTAATAAAGAGCCACAAAAGACCATGAATAGTGAAATAAATCTTGAGAAAGATGAACAATGCTCCAGATATTACTCTTCTAGGTTTCAAAATATATTTTAAAATAACAATAATAAATATAGTGGTACTAGCATAATGACAGACAGTCCTATAGAGTAATGGAACAGATTACAGAGCCCAGAAATAAACCCACATACATAGGTCAACTAATCTTTAACAAGCATGCCAAGAATACACAATGGGGATAGAACAGTCTCTTCAACAAATGGTTGGGAAAACTGAATATCCACACGCAAAGGAATGAAATTGGACCCTTACCTTATATCATACAAAAAACTCAACTCAATGAATTAAAGACTTAAATGTAAGATCTGAAACTGTAAAACTCCTTAAGAAAACACAGGGGAAAATCTTCAGGACATTGGTTTGGCAATGATTTCATGGATATGACAACAAAAGACCAAGTTAAGAAAACAAAAATAAACAAATCAGACTGCATTAAAGTAAAAAGCTTCTATACAGCAAAGGAAACAATTAACAAAGTGATAAGGTAACCCAAAGAATGGGAGAAAATATTTGCAAACCATATACCTGGTAAGGTGTTAATATCCAAAATATATAATGAACTTTTCTACAACTCAATAACAACAAAGTAAATCACCTGATTAGAAAATTAGCCAATAACTTGAATAGACATTTCTGTCAAGAAGATACAGAAACGGCCAACAGGTATATAAAAATTGTTTAAAGTAACTAGTTATGAGGGAAGTGAAAATCCAAAAAAAATAAAATATTATCTCACACCTATCAGGATGGCTACTATCAAAAAAAAAAAAGTACTGGTGAGACTACTGAAAATTGAAACCCTTGTACATTCTGGGTGAAAATGCCAAATACAGCTGCTATGTAAAACAACGTGGAAGTGCTTCAAAAAATTAAAAAGAGAACTATCATGTTATCCAGCAATCCCACTTCTGAGTATTTACCCTAAAGAACAAAAATCAGGATATTTATGAGATATTAGAAATCCCATGTTCATTGAAGCATGATCATGATTGAGAATAGCGAAAGTATGGAAGCAACCTAAATGTACAACAGATAAGTGAATAAAGAAAAAGTGGTGTGTGTGTGTGTGTATGTATGTGTGTGTGTGTATATATATATATACACACACACACATACATACACACACACACACACACACATACACACACACACACAATGGAATACTAGGTAGCCTTTAAAAAGAAGGAAATTCTGCAATATGAGACAACATGGATGAATCTTGAGGACATTATGCTAAGTGAAATAAGATAGTCACATAAAGACAAAACTGTATGATCCCACATATATGAGGTATTTAACGTACTCAAATGCACAGAATGAAAGAGTAGAATGATGGTTTCCAGGAGTTAGAGGTAGGGAAAAATAGAGATTTACTCATCAAAAAGCATAACATTTAAGAAAGATAAATAAGCTCTAGAGATCTGCTGGACAACATTGTACCGAAAGTCTACAAAAATGTATTGTACACTTAAAATTTTGCACACAGTAGACCTTGTGTTAAGTGTTTTACTGTAATAAAATACAAAACTTAAAAAAAAGATATACAGTTTTAGAATATTGAACAAAAAACATTTACCTAAGCAATGATTTTTTAAAGAGAGTAAAGATAATTCTTAATTTCCTCTTGCTGAGATAATATAGCAAGAAAGACTTCAGGTAGACATTTCAATGTAAGAATTATATAAATTATGGAAAGTTTGATTAGATATACCTAGGAGGCAACAGGTAAAGAACAAACTTACTGAGCAGAAATACATGCCAGCATTTCTGGCTCCAGGGCACTGCTCAGAGCTCACCATCATCAGTGTTCATTCATTCACCAAACCTCAGGAGAATAAAAGAGTCTATCAGCTTTATGATGGTCTGATTGGTGTTTGTGTGAATCACTGACTAAGCCTCCTGTAGAGAGAAAAGAAGCAGGACTTTTTGGCTATATGTCATCATTCATTTGTCTTCACCTCTGGGTTTTCCTCCATCGAAGCCTTGGAAATGACTTAGCACAAAACATATCCAAATCTCATGGCTGGGCCACAAGTCTTGGCATCATTATCTCAGTACTTGTGTCTCTCATTGATTTTTCTGTCTCCCTTGCTTCGACCTGACTAAGTTAGTGTGAATATAAAGAAGTTTCATCTTTCTGTAAGTTTTTTTTAACATTAAGCAAAGGAAAAGGCAAAATGTTAATGTAATCAAAGTTTTTCTTAACAATCCCATAGTTTGCCCCTTTTAACATAGTATACCTGCTCTCAAAAAATGTAGCAAAATATTATTGCTCCAATGCTGGAATATACCATTTTTGTTTTTGAGTACCGGATATAATTGTTGACTTGTGTTTTGCTGCAATGTTGTACCAAAACAAACAAAAAACAAACTTCTCTTTCACCTGTAGACTCACTAAACTCTCAACCAAAAACATATTTTTTAATACAAGTTTCATAGGGGAAAAAGGCTGATCCTGAAAACAGGAGATTTATGCACCATCTCTCAAATACTCCGAAACACAGACTCATTGTATGAACATGAATAGTTACAGAATGGTCTTGATTGTCAAGCTGTTATTTTTTTTCTTTATTTTTGTTTCCAATAGAGCTGGTAAGGTTTAATTTTCAAAAGTTAAAATGCATGAGACATTGTTCCATTGTACCTGGTTCATATGAGCCTGCTTGGACTTTTGCCACATACCTTCTGTCTGCAACCTGCCCCCTACTTCAGTTTTCCTTTTTTTACTATGCCATTCACAGCTCATCACCAGGCCCTGACATACCGTATTCATTTTGGCGTTACTTCATATTTGCTGATCTCACTTCTCAGCCTCTATTTCACTCTGACATTCCATGTGTCAAATGTGGCAGATTCCTAATAGCCAATATCAAACACACAGCTGATCTAAATCAGTAGTTTCTGACCCCACTCATCACATAATTATCCTCCACCAAGTTAATCACACCTAACATTGTGGACTATGTTTTGGGTTTGTGTGTGTGTGTACGTGTGTGTGTTGGCTATTGTATTTTGTTGTTGTTGTTGTTGTTGTTGTTCTAATTGTGCTTCTGGTCCTATGCCTGAATTCCATTGTGGGGATAAAATAGTGTCCTTACATTGTCAGTAACCACACTGAGATTTATAATTACAGGATGGGGTGGGATCAGCAGAAGGCGGCATGACTAAGCTAAAAATGCACCTGATTTACCAATGAAGGTGTGAATAGTAGTGATTAGACAAAAGGATGAAGATCACCGGTTAAACGTGCAATCCCAAAGCCAAAGTCATCTTTATGAATATGACTCCAGAAAATACATCTGACTATAAAAAGGAACAGTCAAAAGAAAAAAAAATGCATTTCAGGCCTCTGGTTCCTCTGTTCCAATGTTCCCCTTGCCTCCCCTGGCCTCTGTGTTTTCTGATAGACTTTCTCTCATCCTTCAAAACTCCACTTAGTTGTCCCCACAATAATACCTTTCAGAGTCTCAAAGAGTAATCTTTACTTTCTGTTTTCTACTACCTTATGGAAATTTCTTCACTGTTCAGTTGAGGCACTTACTGCATGAGGTAACATGGACTTTTCCTTTTCTCCGTATTGAGAACTTTATATGCTTAGAAAAATACTCTCGATTGTAATGGGTAATTTCTTTCATATATTTTTAAAATCACTATTCTTGTTTGCCCATTAGGATTTTCGCACACATACACATAAACACTTCTCAAAAGAAGACATTTATGCAGCCAAAAAAACACATGAAAAAATGCTCATCATCACTGGCCATCAGAGAAATGCAAATCAAAACCACAATGAGATACCATCTCACACCAGTTAGAATGGCAATCATTAAAAAGTCAGGAAACAACAGGTGCTGGAGAGGATGTGGAGAAATAGGAACGCTTTTACACTGTTGGTGGGACTGTAAACTAGTTCAACCATTGTGGAAGTCAGTGTGGCGATTCCTCAGGGATCTAGAACTAGAAATACCATTTGACCCAGCCATCCCATTACTGGCTATATACCCAAATGACTATAAATCATGCTGCTATAAAGACACATGCACACGTATGTTTATTGCGGCATTATTCACAATAGCAAAGACTTGGAACCAACCCAGATGTCCAACAATGATAGACTGGATTAAGAAAATGTGGCACATATACACCATGGAATACTATGCAGCCATAAAAAATGATGAGTTCGTGTCCTTTGTAGGGACATGGAGGAAATTGGAAATCATCATTCTCAGTAAACTATCGCAAGAACAAAAAACCAAACACCGCATATTCTCACTCATAGGTGGGAATTGAACAATGAGATCACATGGACACAGGAAGGGGAATATCACACTCTGGGGACTGTGTTGGGGTGGGGGGAGGGGGGAGGGATAGCATTGGGAGATATACCTAATGCTAGATGACGAGTTAGTGGGTGCAGCGCACCAGCATGGCACATGTATACATATGTAACTAACCTGCACAATGTGCACATGTACCCTAAAACTTAAAGTATAATAAAACAAAACAAAACAAAACAAAACAAAAAAAAAACAAAAAAAAAATCCAATTTATAATCATACATGCAAAAATCTTAAAGAAACTCTAGTAAACAGAATGGTGAACACAAGTTTACATTTTAACTTTAAAAAATTTAAATTCCTCATTAATAAATTTAAAATGAAAAATAATATATTTCAAATTATATACAAAACTGAAAAAATAATAGCCATCCATTAAATAAGCTCTTAGCAAACAAAGAATTTTAAAAAAATACTCATAACTGAAAAAAGCAAACATCATACTTCCTTGTGAAATAATGATCATAGCCATCAAAGTCAGCTTGGATTGAAAAAACAAAAGCCACATTATAATTTTAACAGGTAATATGTTTGTCTATTAATAAAATAAAAAATAAACTACGTATTATTTTAATTAACAGTTCATTTTTACAGATTTTCTCAATAGTAATTTTGCTTGCAAAATAATTTGAATGTCTATATACTAGCAGGATAAAACTAAAATATGTTTTAAAATTATAATATTTAAATAACATCAAATGTTAAATACATTGGAATGCATCTAATAAATATGTAAATTATGCACAATATTAATGTTTTATTAAAAAAATTAAAGAAGATGTAAATAAGGAGATATACCACTTTAAGAAATTACAAGATTCAGGATTATGATGTCAAGTATTGCCAAATTAATCAACAGAGTCAATGTAATATTAATAAAACTCTAATTTTGGTGTGTTAGTTTTGCTTTTTAGAACTAGACAAGATTAAAGTACAAACTACTCCAAGATACTCTTGAAGAAGATCAAGGTGGATGAACTTGCCCTACAGTTTAGAAATTAAGATCTAAAGGTGTTAAAATAGAGATGAACAAAGAGACTAATAATGGAATAAAACAGAGAACACAGAAATAGATTTATGGAAACATGATTTACAACACAATTGGAATTACCCCGAATGGAGAATAGATGGTCATTTCTATTATATGGTGTTGAGAGAACTGCATATCCTTATGAAAGAAAAGATAAAATTGTACCCTTACGTCACATTAAGCATGTAATGCCATTCCAGGTGAATTAAAGACTTAAATAGTGATATAGTTTGAATACATGTCTCTGCCAAATCTCATGTTGAATTGTAATCCCCAGTGCTGGAGGTGGGGTCTAGTAGGAGGTGTCTGGTCTTGGGGGCAGATCCCTCATGGCTTGATGCTGATCTCGTGATAGTGACTGAGTTCTCCTTAGATCTTGTCTTTTAAAAGTGTGTGGCGCTCCCCCAAAACACCCTTGCTTCTACATTTACCATGTGAGATACCTGCTCCTCCTCATTTTTCCATCATTATTATAGACTTCTTGAGGCCTCACTGGAAGGCGATGCCAGCACTGTGCTTCCTGTACATCCTGCAGAACCATGAGGAAATTAAACCTCCGCTTAAATAAAGTATCCAGTCTCAGGTATTTCTTTATAGCAATGCAAGAATGGCTCAACACAAATATGGAAAAAATAAAATTAAAGATGAAATCCAATCTTCTTTTCTGCCTGTCAAGAACTCCAGAAATTGTCCATATCCTCTGGAAACAAACATATTGCCCACTTTTTTCCTAATATGAAAACTTTGTCTCACATTTTGATGAGCCTATCAATCTCATCATGCTTTCTGAATCATTTCCTATAATGCTCTATCCTCTCCTGTTTTAAATCCAATCCAGAATTTAATTACTAATTCTTCAAAAAATGTTGCCCACTTCCTTACCAAGATTCACTTTTCCCTTCTCTAAATTTAATTTGTATTTAATGCCTACATCAACATTTACCAATACATGTTTCATAAAAATTTTTGAGAGAAAACAAGGTTCTGCAGTCAAACAAGTTTGGGAACCACTGCAAACTTATGCTTCCTATTAGACATTCTATGTGTAAAGTGCTGAAAATCTCTACAATATTAAAATTTTTTTAAAGACTGATTAACTTTGCTGAAGCAAATACTTGCCTAACGTATTCAGCCACAGAACCCTTTATTTGAAGACCACCTAGACATCCTTCATGGAATAAATTTAACAACATATATCTGTACATCTAGGGGACAAGTTCTGACAAAATTGCCCAGTATTTTTAATTTTATCAGGTAATTATCACGCTTTGTGTATATTTTGACATTATATATAAATGTTTTATGATTTCCTCATCTTCGTTACAAATTTTCTTCACAGGGGCAAATATCACATAAAAAAATTAAAATTTGAGAGTTAAATTACATTTTCTAATTGAATCTTCACATCATGATTTATGCTATATTAAAAATCCATTTTACTGAAAAGGACATGAGGTTTATAAATTTTTAGGAGTACGATCCCCATGGCAATGCTGGGTTCTAAAAATTATTATTGAATTGAATAGCCTATTTGGTCATTACTCATCAGGCCTGTGTAAGTTAATTTCTGTAGTTACCTTATAATGAATAACACATATATAAACATGGAATCATAAATTGGTACAATTCTATTGCACTAATCATTACATAACTTTCTATATTATTTGGCTGCTCTGGAATCTTCTGTCAAATATTTCTTAAGATAGGCAATTGGTGTGCTGAATACAGTAACCACATATCAAAAAATCTTTGCCTTTGTGTTTACATGGAGAACTTTTTGAGAAGCAATACTTCCAGAAATGCAACTCAATATAGAAAGATATTGAGATATATATAAATATCAAAGATAAACATGATAACATTAATATAATGTAGAAGTTAAAATTAAATCATAATAGCACAAATAAGTTTTGAATTGCATCTCTGAAGGTTGAGGTAATATCTATAATTGTCAGAAAACAAAGTTCCCTTTCACATTTCTCATTTCTATTCTAGGCAATACCTAAATATTGTAAGTGTGGTTATATTCAGTGTGAATACCTGATGTCATTTTTCAGAGTTTGCAACTAGCAGATATTATATGGTATACTACTGAAACAAAAAGACTATCTGAATAGAAATAAAAAAAGATAAAAGTAGTCTGAGTATCTGGGCTTTTCTTCTGATTACTATATAATTCATAAATGCATAGGGTTGTAGTTAAGCAAAGCTTTCACTGCGGTGTAGAAATATTAAACTCATATCTATATATATATCTATGTAGTAATATATAGAGATACATAAATGTGTAGTTACATACATTTATGTAGAATTGAGAAATATTCACTTGCATATAATTTATTGGGAAAACCTGGTCTTCTGGAACCATGGAGGGACACAAGCAAATGCGTGATGACACTGTATATAGTACCATGTAAACAGTACATTCATTCATTCATTCATTCATTCGTTTATTTGAGACAGAGTCTTCCTGTGTCTCCCGGGATGGAGGGAAGTGGCACGATCTCGGCTCATGGCGACTTCTGCCTCCCAGGTTCAAGCGATTCTCCTGCCTCAGCCTCCTGAGTAGCTGGGATTATAGGCGTACGCCACCATGCTGGGCTAATTTTTGTATTTTTAGTAGAGACAGTGTTTCACCATGTTGGTCAGACTGGTCTCAAACTCCTGATCTCAAGTCATCCACCTGCCTTGGCCTCCCAAAGTTCTGGGATTACAGGTGTGAGCCACTGTGCCCAGCCAAAACAGTGTTTTTAATTATTAGAGTTGCAAATTACAAAGGTGTGAGTATCCCTTACTTTTATATAAGTCTTAACAATCTTAAGAATTTTATATACATTAACTAATTTGTTAGTTACAAATTTTTTGTAAGAACGTCAAATGCATTAACTAATTAACTAGAAGAATTTAGTCAACCAGGTAGAAAATATTTTCTCCTTTTAATTTTAGTTTTGTGAAGGAGAGGCACAGGAAGGTGAAATGGCTTGCACAAATGCACAGAGATACTTTGTAGTACAGTTCACCCAAGAGTAGATTTAGTTCATAACAACTGAACTGCAATTCCTCTACATTCTGAAAGACACATCTTGAAGAATGGAAATAAATTAATAGTAGCTAATATTCTAAAGCACAATGATAAGTATCTTAGCTCTCTGACTCACAGATCAAACATATTTAGTAAATTTTAAAAATTCCATTTCACAGGTAAGAAAATTAAAGCCCAGATATAGAAACAATTGGTTATCAATAGAAAATAAAATGGATCTTTCAAGAGGCAAACAAAAAAAGATTTGTTATGCAAGATATTTTCTGGGGGGAAATATTTGTGAGTGGGGAAAAGAGGGAACAAGCTGAGGAAGTGGGGACACATATAAGACTGTGAGGCAGATCTGAACCTGGGAAGAAAGTAGAAAGAAGACAGAGGTTGGTAGAAAGAGTCTTAAATTGCAGTTCATGTTTTTGTTTGTTTGTTTAATTTTAGCTAAATCAATGGTGTGTCCTTGAGCCAAAATCTCAAGTAATTAAACTTTTTATGCCAGGATATTTGAGTAGGACATATTCATGGTCACCATATACCACGGCCTCACACCATGCACTGAAACCATTTTGCAGAAGAGTGAAAAATTAGGAAAAACTACAAAAATTTTAAAAGGTGATATAGAAATATATCTTTTTTGGATTAGGTAAGATTTTTTTAACAAGACACATTAAATACTAACACGGTAGGAAACACTTTAAATCTCACTACATTAAAATTAAGAGTTTCTGACAGTAATAGATACTATAAATAAGTGAAATAACACGCCACAGGCTAAGCATGTTATTGGTGCTACATAACCAATAAAGATCTGGGATCCAGAACTAATTACATTGACAACAGCTAGGAGTATTGAATAGGAATTTCACAAAGGGGAGGCTTATATGGCCAATAGGTGCATATGATCAATAACCACTTTAATAATAAGGAAAACCCAACTCAAAAGATGATATGATGAATTAGAAACCCTACAGTTTGGCAAAAATATAATAACTGACAACAAAAAAATGTGACATGGGAGAAATGAGAAGTCCTGCTGTGAGAGGGTATATTGGTACAATGGAAAAAGGTAGGCATTAATTCACTAATGAAATTATAGATGCACACACTACATTGTCCAACATATTTACACCTAGTTATATATCTTCATGCCAAGAGACACATGTAGGAATGTTCAGAGTAGTTTGGTTTTTTTTGTTTTGTTTTGTTTTGTTTTTTTGTGAGACAGAGTGAGACTCTGTCTCCCAGGCTGGAGTGCAGTGGTGTGATCTCAGCTCACTGCAACTTCTGCCTCCTGGGTTCAAGCAATACTCATGCCTCAGCCTCCTGAATAGCTGGGATTACAAACATGCGCCACCATGCCCGGCTAATTTTTGTATTTTTAGTAGAGACCATGTTGGTCAGGCTGGTCTCAAATGCCTGACCTCAAGTGATCCACCCGCCTCGGCCTCTCAAAGTTCTGGGATTACAAGCATGAGCCACTGCACCTGGCCAGAGTAGATATTTCTTGAGAGAGGCTCATACTGGGAGATAAGGTAAAGGGAATTGCTCATGGACAGTAGATTAAATAATAAATAGTATAATCATGCCATTGAATGCTGCACAACATTAAAAGTAAAAGATCTAAAGCTGTAAATTCAGCACCTACCAATCCACAAACTAATATTGAGCAAAAGAAACAAGTTGCAGAACAAGAAATCAACCTGATTTTTATAGAAGCAAGCAAATCTACACTGTATTATTAAGGGAATTCATACATATTGGGTAAAATTGTAAGGTAAGGCAAGGAAATTATCACAGAAACATAGCATTACCTCTGGGGAAAGGGGCTGGAAAGAGGGAGATGCGAAGTGGAAGGAAGACATGCGGTTTTGTTTTAAAAGGTTAATGGACATATTTCAGTGCTTGGTTAATTTTTTTCTTCTACATGTATATGTTTTATATTCCTATTTGTTTGTATATTTGACACAATTAACAGACCATAAAAGAGAGTAAAACTCAAAGAAGATGAGTAACTTATTCAAGGTCACAGTTGATAAGGAGTAATAAAATTAAAATTCTATGGGATCTGATTCTAAAACTTACACTCTTTCTTCACAAATTGTCAATGAATTAATTTTCTCATATAGCTACATAATTGTTGTCCTCTTCAAAAGTACAGCCTCCATTTGGAATGTACATTTTAGTCATGTTTAGAGGAACAAACTTGTTTTAAAATCGTATTTACTTTTTCCCCATAGTCAGGAGGTATTCTCAATAGTCCTTCAGAGGGCAGCCATTACTTTTAATATCTCCAACTCTACTTTCTTGTTTTCAATTTATAAACACAGGTCCCTTCATCTCAGACAAATTATCAACTATTAATTTTTGGCTTAAGCCTCCTTTTTATAGACAAGCTTATGAAAAATTAAGGTAAAGAGAAAGAGAGAGAGCATGCCAGACCTTCTGCCTGTAACATTCTCTCCCTACCAACTCCTCTCCTTCCACCTTTCAAGTAGCCAACTCATAATTAACCTTCAATCATTTTTCTAACATTTATTGAACATAGAATTCTGTTCCAAATACTTTAGGTTAACTTTTTCATTATACTCTCATGGAAACAGTATGAGGCAGTTACCTTTGTACCTACTGTATTGATAGGACATTGAGAATTGAAGGCACTGAGAAGCAGAAACATGCAGATGATGGTATCGTCAGTAAATGGTGAAGTGTAGGCAGAAGAGAGAAGACATACAGCCTGCCTCTGAAACCTTAAAACCTTTTCCCAATCACTTGATCCAGGCTCCATCTCTCTAGGTTAGCATTTCTACTCATGGGGTACCATATAACCCAGTGAATATATCTGTCATAATGTCAAAGCATAAATGCTGACAGTGTGGACGTAGGATGTAGGAGTCAAACTACTGCAATAAAATACTTTCTTTACTATCTGCTTGATATAGTTACAAAGTTTTCAACTGGCAAAACTGTCTACCTCAGGGTTGTGTTGAGTTTTAAACGAAATATGAGAGAAGTACTTATGCTAGTGTTTAAAACATAGTGAATGTTCAATAAAAGTTATTTCTCCATTACATTTGCAAATAGGAAAGACAAACATCTTTCTGCTTGTCATTTGTTACCTTTACAAGGTATGAACAAACAAATATGGGTTACTTTAATAAGCGGGGGTATGTTTCTTTCATCAAGAATCTATTTATTATTTATTATTTCATCAGGTACTGAACTAGAGGGGAAATGGGGGCACTCAAGCTATCTCTGTTTTCTGGAGAATACAGGAGCTTGCAGGTCTACCATCTGCTTAAATTTACAGAAGGATTGAGAGAGTAAAGTATGCGAAAGGCAAGATAATCAAGATTGCCATTTATGTGCCTAACCAACACCCAGTTATTTATTTGTATTTATTTATTTATTATTACTTTTTATTATACTTTAATAACTCATCATTTACATTAGGTATTTCTCCTAATGCTATCCCTCCCACCTCCCCCCACCCCATGACAGGCCCCAACCAACACCCATTTATTAATATCTCTTTAACCTTGCAAATCCCACTGTTGAGACAGATGACATTCTGACCAGTGGAGAAGTAATTCCCAGAAGTCTATTTAATGATCTGCTGTTCTTCAAGATTCTAGAAAGTATATTTAAACTCTTCTTAGACTGAGTTAAAAATACAGTGGCTTATGCATGGTACAGCAGAGATTAATAATATAGAGAAACCCTAAAAGAACTGTGAAATGATAAAATTATAAATGCAGATAAATGTAAACCACCTTAACACATCTCTGCAACTTAAGACAAGCAGTTAAGTTATTTCAGAATATTAATTCAGGATTACAATAGAAAAATATCTTTCTGGAAAGCCTTTGCTAACAGAATTATTTAAATACTATTTGGTAAACTTTCCACTGTCTTAAAAACCAAACATTTTCCAAATTATTATTATGTAATGTTCTCCTACATTCAATCTTTCTTTCATCAGTATTATCATTTCATACTTTTAAACTCTGAACTTTGCTTAGAAGAGGAACAGCTTGTTTCCAACATATTTTACCACTTCTTAAGAATAATCCATGGTACCAGTCCATCCTTGTACCTCTGGTAGAATTCCGCTGTGAATCTGTCTGGTCCTGGATTTTTTTTGGTTGGTAGGCTATTAACTATTGTCTCAATTTCAGAGCCTGTTATTGGTCTATTCAGGGATTCAAATTCTTCCTGGTTTAGTCTTGGGAGGGTGTATGCGTCCAGGAATTTTTCCATTTCTTCTAGATTTTCTAGTTTATTTGCATAGGTGTGTTTATAGTATTCTCTGATGGTAGTTTGTATTTCTGTGGGATCGGTGGTGATATCCCCTTTATCATTTTTTATTGCATCTATTTGATTCTTCTCTCTTTTCTTCTTTATTAGTCTTGTTAGCAGTCTATCAATTTTGTTGATCTTTTCAAAAAAACAGCTCCTGGATTCATTGATTTTTTGAGGGGTTTTTTGTGTCTCTATCTCCTTCAGTACTACTCTGTTCTTAGTTATTTCTTGTCTTCTGCTAGCTTTTGAATGTGTTTGCTCTTGCTTATCTAGTTCTTTTAATTGTGATGTTAGGATGTCAGTTTTAGATCTTTCCTGCTTTCTCTTTTGGGCATTTAGTGCTATAAATTCCACTCTACACACTGCTTTAAATGTGTCCCAGAGATTCTGGTTTGTTGTGTCTTTGTTCTCGTTGGTTTCAAAGAACATCTTTATTTTTGCCTTCATTTTGTTATATACCCAATAGTCATTCAGGAGCAGGTTGTTCAGTTTCCATGTAGTTGAGCGGTTTTGAGTGAGTTTCTTAATCCTGACTTCTAGTTTGATTGCACTGTGGTCTGAGAGACAGTTTGTTATAATTTCTGTTCTTTTACATTTGCTGAGGAGTGCTTCACTTCCAACTATGTGGTCAATTTTGCAATAAGTACGATGTGGTGCTGAGAAGAATGTATATTCTTTTGATTTGGGGTGGAGAGTTCTGTAGATGTCTATTAGGTCTGCTTGCTGCAGAGCTGAGTTCAATTCCTGTATATCCTTGTTAACTTTCTGTCTCATTGATCTGTCTAATGTTGACAGTGGGGTGTTAAAGTCTCCCATTATTATTGTGTGGGAGTCTAAGTCTCTTTGTAGGTCTCTAAGGACTTGCTTTATGAATCTGGGTGCTCCTGTATTGGTGCATATATATTTAGGATAGTTAGCTCTTCTTGTTGAATTGATCCCTTTACCATTATGTAATGGCCTTCTTTGTCTCTTTTGCTCTTTGTTGGTTTAAAGTCTGTTTTATCAGAGACTAGGATTGCAACCCCTGCCTTTTTTTGTTTTCCATTTGCTTGGTAGATCTTCCTCCATCCCTTTATTTTCAGCTTATGTGTGTCTCTACATGTGAGATGGGTTTCCTGAATACAGCACACTGATGGGTCTTGACTCTTTATCCAATTTGCCAGTCTGTGTCTTTTAATTGGAGCACTTAGCCCATTTACATTTAAGGATAATATTGTTATGTGTGAATTTGTTCTTGTCTTGATGATGTTAGCTGGTTATTTTGCTCGTTAGTTGATGCAGTTTCTTCCTAGCATTGATGGTATTTAGAATTTGTCATGTTTTTGCACTGGCTGGTACCGGTTGTTCCTTTCCAGGTTTAGTGCTTCCTTCAGGAGCTCTTTTAGGGCAGGCCTGGTGTTGACAAAATCTCTCAGCGTTTGCTTGCCTGTAAAGTATTTTATTTCTCCTTCACTTATGAAGCTTAGTTTGGCTGGATATGAAATTCTGGATTGAAAATTCTTTTCTTTAAGAATATGAATATTGGCCCCCACTCTCTTCTGGCTTGTAGGGTTCCTGCTGAGAGATCAGCTGTTAGTCTGATGGGCTTCCCTTTGTGGATACCCCGACCTTTCTCTCTGGCTGCCCTTAACATTTTTTCCTTCATTTCAACTTTGGTGAACCTGACAATTATGTGTCTTGGAGCTGCTCTTCTTGAGGAGTATCTTTGTCGCATTCTCTGTATTTCCTGAATTTGAATGTTGGCCTGCCTTGCTAGGTTGGGGAAGTTCTCCTGGATAATATCCTGCAGAGTGTTTTCCAACTTGGTTCCACTCTCCCCGTCACTTTCAGGTACACCAATCAGATGTAGATTTGGTCTTTTCACATAGTCCCATATTTCTTGGAGGCTTTGTTTCTTTTTACTCTTTTTTCTCTAAACTTCCCTTCTCGCTTCATTTCATTCATTTGATCTTCAATCACTGATACTGTTTCTTTCAGTTGATCGAATCAGCTACTGAAGCTTGTGCATTCGTCACGTAGTTCTCGTGCCATGGTTTTCAGCTCCATCAGGTCATTTAAGGACTTCTCTACACTGGTTATTCACTTAGCCATTCATCTAATCTTTTTTCAAGGTTTTTACTTTCTTTGCCATGGGTTCGAACTTCCTCCTTTAGCTCGGAGAAGTTTGATCATCTGAAACCTTCTCTCAACTCGTCAAAGTCATTCCCCATCCAGCTTTGTTCTGTTGCTGGTGAGGAGCTGCATTCCTTTGGAGGGGGAGAGGTGCTCTGATTTTTAGAATTTTCAGCTTTTCTGCTCTGTTTTTTCCCCATCTTTGTGGTTTTATCTACTTTTGGTCTTTGATGATGGTGACGTACAGATGAGGTTTTGGTGTGGATGTCCTTTCTGTTTGTTAGTTTTCCTTCTAACAGTCAGGACCCTCAGCTGCAGGTCTGCTGGAGTTTGCTGGAGGTCCACACCAGACCCTGTTTGCTTGGGTATTAGTAGGGGAGGCTGCAGAACAGTGAATATTGCTGAACAGCAAATATTGCTGCCTGATTATTCCTCTGGAAGCTTTGTCTCAGAGGGCTACCTGGCCCTTTAAGGTGTCAGTCCACCCCTACTTCGGGTGCCTCCCAGTTAGGCTACTCAGGGGTCAGGGACCCACTTGATTTCAAAGAGAATAAAATACCTAGGAATCCAACTTACAAGGGATGTGAAGGACCTCTTCAAGGAGAACTACAAACCAGTGCTCAACAAAATAAAACAGGACACAAACAAATGGAAGAACATTCCATGCTCATGGACAGGAAGAATCAATATCATGAAAATGGCCATACTGCCCAAGGTAATTTATAGACTCAATGCCATCGCCATCAAGCTACCAATGACTTTCTTCACAGAATTGGAAAAAACTACTTTAAATTTCATATGGAACTAAAAAAAAGCCCGCATTGCCAAGTCAATCCTAAGCCAAAAGAACAAAGCTGGAGGTATCATGCTACCTGACTTCAAACTATACTACAAGGCTACAGTAACCAAAACAGCATGGTACTGGTACCAAAACAGAGATATAGGCCAATGGAACAGAACAGAGCCCTCAGAAATACTGCATATCTACAACTATCTGACCTTTGACAAACCTGAGAAAAAGAAGCAATGGGGAAAGGATTCCCTATTTAATAAATGGTGCTGGGAAAACTGGCTAGCCATATGGAGAAAGCTGAAAGTTGATCCCTTCCTTAAACCTTCATGTCAAGGACTTCATGTCTAAAACACCAAAAACAATGGAAACAAAAGCCAAAATTGACAAATGGGATCTAATTAAACTAAAGAGCTTCTGCACAACAAAAGAAACTACCATCAGCGTGAACAGGCAACCTACAGAATGGGAGAAAATTTTTGCAACCTACTCATCTGACAAAGGGCTAATATCCAGAATCTACAAAGAACTCTAACAAATTTACAAGGAAAAAAACAAACAACTCCATCAAAAAGTGGGTGAAGGATATGAACAGACACTTCTCAAAAGAAGATATTTATGCAGCCAAAAGACACATGAAAAAATGCTCATCATCACTGGCTATCAGAGAAATGCAAATCAAAACCACAATGTGATACCATCTCACACCAGTTAGGATGGCAATCATTAAAAAGTCAGGAAACAACAGGTGCTGGAGAGGATCTGGAGAAATAGGAACACTTTTACACTGCTGGTGGGACTGTAAACTAGTTCAACCATTGTGGAAGACAGTGTGGCGATTCTTTGAGGATCTAGAACTAGAAATACCATTTGACCCAGCCATCCCATTACTGGGTATATACCCAAAGGATTATAAATCATGCTGCTATTAAGGTACATGCACACGTATGTTTATCGTGGCACTAGTCACAATAGCAAAGACTTGGAACCAACCCAAATGTCCACCAATGATAGACTGGATTAAGAAAATGTGGCACATATACACCATGGAATACTATGCAGCCATAAAAAAGGATGAGTTCATGTCCTTTGTAGGGACATGAATGAAGCTGGAAACCATCATTCTCAGCAAACTATCACAAGGACACAAAACCAAACACTGCAGGTTCTCACTCATAGGTGGGAATTGAACAATGAGAACACTTGGACACAGGAAGGGGAACATCACACACCGGGGCGTGTCATGGTGTGGGGGGAGGTGGGAGGGAAAGCATTAGGAGATATACCTAATGTAAATGACGAGTTAATGGGTGCAGCACACCAACATGGCACATGTACACATGTGTAACAAACCTGCACATTGTGCACATGTACCCTAGAACTTAAAGTATAATTTAAAAATAAAAAATAAAGTAATAAAATAAAATAAGAATAATCCCTTTATATTAATTTTGAAAGAAGATATTTAAAATGTATTAAATGCTAAATATTTAAATAAAATAAACTCAAATTCACTTCTGTAAGAAGACATTTCAAAGGAAATTTGGATATAAATTACTACAGGATATAGCCATGTATTTAAAACAGCTTAATGTGTAGGATCATAGTACTTATTGGTGGTGTAGCTTAATTAGTATAAAATTAGCTTCCTCAGCCTAAGATTTATCATTTATAAAATAGAAGTTATACTATATACCTTATGGATATACAGTGGTGAATGAAACAACTGAGTGCATAAATCCACTAGCATATTTCTTAGGTTACAAAGGCACTCGATTCATATGGCATAAGAGCACGTTTTAACATTCTTCACATCCCCCTGCATCCACACCCTTTAACATTTTACTCTGTAGATCTGCCCCTTGACTTTGAGCTTGTCCATATAAACTTACTTCAAGCTATGGGATGTTACAACATATGAAACAATCAGAGGCTTAAAATGTGTCTGTGCCATTGGGCTTGATATCGCCATGGGAAAAGCTACCATGTCCTGTCAGTCTGGGATCAACACATGAAGCACATGTGAGCCTAATTCTAAGTGAGGAGCCACAGCTTGGAGCAGGCCCATTTAGCCAAATGACACAGGTGTATGATGGAGAATAAGTAAATAACTGTTGTTGGCCGCTGTGTTAATCTACCATATGCTGGAATTCTGTGTTATGCAGCATCAATATGGCAATAGCTAATTGATTCAATAGCTCCAAAATGTTTCCTATGTAGTTTTAAAAATAAACTTTTATTCTTTGAGAAATTAGTAGTACTTTTATGTAGAGTTTTTATGAGAATTAATGAGTTGATATTTGTGAAGCACTTAGGATGGCTTACATATACTTGCGCATAGGAGCATCTTAAGTGCTACCTGTTGTTCTTTCATTGTTGTTAATAAGCCTTAACTCCTATATTTTAAGGTGTTATTGATGCAGGGGAGGTTCCTGGCTTTGTTCAGGAAATAACTGAAGAGTGAGCCAGCTGTTGAATAAAGCAGCTTTATTGGAGCCAGAGTGTTACAGCTTCACGACTGCTCCTTGCAGAGCAGGGCTAGCCTAGCTCATAGGCAATGCACTCAGAGTACCAGCATATGGGCTGTTGGTTAGCTTTATTAATACCCACTTTAAATTATGTGCAAATTAAGGGGTGCATTAATCATAAATCACAAGAAAATGAGTGGTAACTTCCAGGTGTGGCCACGCCATTTGTAAGCTATCATGGTGGCTGGTGGAAGCGTCTTATGCCAATGGGTAGTGGAAGCAACTAGGGTTGCTTTTGGTGCCAGGCGCTAGTTTTAACTTGTTTTCTATCTGGTCTGGGAAAACAGGACCTGCTGGTTTCCTACCTTATTAGGTGCTTCCATCATTTAGTCCCTGTGCCTCCCCTCTCTGAAAAATCATTTAGATTAGGAAGTGTCCCTATCTAATTGGATATTTTCCAGTTACAAAATACGTCTCTGACTGGATCCAGCTGGGCACGGCCCCTAACTTAACAAATACATTATTAACATTGTTTTAGGTATAACTACAGTCAGATTGACTTTTAAATATGTAACCATCATCAGGAATAATGATTGAAAGGAAGGCACAGAGAATAGCTTAGGATCAGAGATCTCTGTGCAAGGGAGAGTTCTTTCTCTGTTGTATGCAGTATGACAGCTATTCCTGTCCCTTGAATTTCAAAGGCCGACCATTAAATGTCTTTATTGCATGAATCAGTAAAAATCATACACCTGGAAGAATAGAGCAACTTGTGATGATTAATTATATGTGTCAACTTTGCTAGACTATGGTGCCCAATTGTTTGGCCAAAATCAGTCTAGATGCTGCTGTGAAGATACACATTTAGATGTAACTCATATTTACATCAGTAGACATTAAATATATTGCCTCCCATAATGTCGGTGGGCCTCATCCAATCATTTGAAGACCTTAAGAGTAAAGACAGAAGTTTCCCGAAGAATTAATTCTGCTTTAATTCTGTACCATTAAAATTCTGCCTGAGTTTCCAGACTGCAGATTTTGGACCCTAGACTGCAATATTAATTCTTCCCTGAATTTGCAGCTTGCCAGCCTGCTGTACAGATTTCAACCTACCCAGCCCCCATAATAATGTAAGTCAATTCCTTAAAATAAATATTTATGGTTTAGATATAGATATAGATATAGGTATAGATATATAAATACAGAAATAGGTATAGATAGATGGAGATTTACTATTGCTTCTGTTTTGCTGGAGAACTCTAATAGAGAAGCATATGTAGAAATAATAGGGTAAATAGGCAATGGATGCTGTGCAGCAAATGGAAATGAATCTAAATTTTCAGGGGTCTATCTCCATTTATTAATTCAGTAGTTCAGTGAACATACAGTGATCCCTACCAAATAATAGAGATTAATGAGATTTAATCACACCCTCCTGGAATTTATAATTTAGGGGCAGAGTCAAACTGCTAATTACACAAAGGAGGGAAATCAGATGACAAGAATCACTGTAGCATAGAGAAGTCATGATCTAGAACCAGACAAATGTGTTTCAAAAAGAAGTCAAATTGGAAATATACCAAAAGTAATATTTATTAGACAGAGTAATGGAAATAGGACAATTGACAGGGAAGAAACTAATATAACAAAACCTTGGAGATGAGAAGCTATATGTTATAGTCTGAAACTTCAGGTACTGCAGATTTGCTTTTGTAACAATAGCTGTGTTGTAGCAATCAATAGCTATAGAAAAAGAAGGCAGATGAAGTCTGTTAAGCAGAACACCACGTACAGGTATCGATCTCCAGAAAGCAGAGCACCAGGCACCAACCCCAGGGGAGGACACTAACCAACCCCAGAGGAGGACTCTAACCAACCCCAGGGAAGGACTCTAGCCAGCCACAGGAGAGGACTCTAAACACTCTGCCTATTGAATCTTGGTATTAGAATCACCAAAGGAAATACGAAATTGTCAAGCACAGGACAGACAAAATAATGCTTTATTTACACAGAGAAGAGACAGAGCAAGATCAGCTAGAGTTTGAAATATTGAGACTTGTGGCAAGACCTGGGGGCAGGCCTCCATTGACATACAGTTTTAAGCATAGCAAAAGAACACTCACTGCATCTGAGACACAGAAAGGTATTTCAACACAAGATGGTAAGCCTGGTACAGGCTGTGTGGTTCCCTGTCTCTTGGTAAGGAAATGTTCCAGGCTCAAGGCCCATTCTTACGTGGCTAAGCAGCAGAGTCAAAAGACACTGCACATGAAACTGTTTTTCCCAATAAAGTCTGTAGTTAAAGAGTTATTGTTGATCAATTACAGAACCAAAAGATTCTGCAGTTAAGACAAAGTCCATTCTACTTGATTTTATTTGTCTTTCATCTTTGTTTCCTTGAAACCTAGCATAGATCCTAATATAAATTCTCAATAAACATTTATTTCAATGTGAATAAGTGAAATATGCAAAGGAACAAAACAGATTTTAGTGGAAGGGTATCATAAAAATTGCTAAAATATCACACCAAGAAAAATGCATGTATTGATTCAACAAGTATTTGCTAAGCCCTCGAAATGGTCCAGATACCTGGTAAAGCACTCTTTGAGAGGCTGGTAAGAAGGGCAACATTACCTCTGTTCTAAATCAGTTTAATTTCTAATAACAAAGAGAAGGAGAAATGAAAACTCTTAGGGAAGCATACACTTAATACAGTTTTCTACAGCGTCATCTGGGTAAGCATTTTCCAGTTCTTTTTCCTTAGAGAAAAGAGATTAGAGACATACATTATTTGTACAATGTGTTTAGCTACAGTTTGTTGTGCTTTTTACCTGCATGTTAAATTTTACACAGTTCATTCTCTATTGTGGTATAGCCAGGCCCAGATTGTCATTGTGTATAATTAGAGCTATCTGAAATGGATCACTTTCATATATTATATGGATAAATCAGGCCAGGTTAACCTTAGTTGGCAATTTCAGTCAAAAATCTGGTGCTCGAGTAGAGAGGCTTGACCAAGCATACTCCTTGTGTAATAAAGACTGGGTAAAACAGCATTCTATGTGAGCATGGCCCATATTTCGCACTATAGATTTGTCTTCTATCATGTCTTACATCATTATTAGCTGAACACCTAATGTAGACTCATGTTTCCATACCCACGCTTGAAATTGTATACTCTCTATGGTCAGCCTAGCTCAAAAGATATGTAAAAAAACATAGCTATATTTGTGTTCTTACAGTAGTTAATGCTTTTTTAAAAATATTAAATGTATTTCTGAACAAGCCAAAAAAATGGTTCTGTATTATTTTACCCCACAAACCTATTTTCATATTGCAACTTGTATAGAGAATGCTATAAGATATGATAAATAAACAAAATTATCCTCTTTCCCCACTAATTTAGTGAACAGATTCTCATTTTTATTTTTTTTCTATCATGGTTAAACAAACACCTCCCAATTTATCATCTCATTTTATCCCATAAACAGATGAAGAAACCGAGGTATACAGTAGCCAAATTACTTCTCAAGGTCAAACAAAGTAGTGTACCAAACGAGAAGGAAGAGAATATCAGTCAAGAAAAGGATGCAAAAACAAACACAGTTTTGCCTCACACAGGGCTAGCAACTAGAATCAATGATATTACTAATCTAACTGGTGAATTGCATCCTGAGCCTTAAAAAAATGAAATGTAAGATTGGACAAGTTCTATGAAAGATTAACGACTGCTTCAGAGCGCAAATGGGAAATTCTAGAAACAAGATTTCAGACATTATGCATTAGTGTAAGAAGCCCCGTGAAAGGCGACTTAAATAATCCATACATACATTTTCAATAATTAGAAAAAATTGAGGAACCCACAAGAAGAGAATAACCAACACTTATTTAACCATCTCGTATTAAAAATAGAACACAAATTTATATATAAAATTCAATTGCTCACAGCTTGTGAGAATTTAAAAAAAAACAAAATTTAATTGCGCATATATATCCTGATAAAAAATGAAAAATAAAATGTAAAAGTGCTTAAAATATAATACATATGAAATTTTAGAATAAATTTAATTAAAAATTTACACTTATACACTGAAAACTATAAAACAGCTTTAAGAAAAATGGAAGATGACCTAAATAAAGAGATGTACCATGTAATTGATTTGGAAGATTCAATATTTTTAAGATGCTTTTTCAACCAAAATTTCTGGTAGATTTAGAATTCCAATCAAATCTACAAATCCAATTCATGTAATTTGACAAGGTGATGGTAAAATTAATGTGGAAATGCCAGGAACCTAAAGGAGCCAAATGATTTTGGGCGGGTGGGGGTGGAACAGAACAAGATTAAGGGACCTTAACTACCAGATTTCAGGTTTAGCACAGAGCCACAGTGATTGAGACATTGTGGAATTTAAGTAAGGTTTGATACATAAATAAATGGGCTAGAAAAGACAGCATAGAAATAAATTCATTCATATACTGTCGATTGATTTTTGACAACGTTTCAGAATATTTCAGTGGAGAAACGGCTGAAAAACTTGATACGTATTTGGAAAAAAAAAACTCACCACTATTGCATGCAAAAATTTAACTCAAATTGCATCATAGACAAAAAAGTTGTTCATGACCTTGAAGTGGCCAAGATTTTCTAAATAAGACCAAAAAAAAAAAAACAAACACAAGTCATGAAGAAAAAATTACATACTGGATTTCATCAAAATGAAAAGTTTCTGTTTTTCAAAATATTTCCTGAAGAAACTGAATGAAGCCACAGACTATAAGAAAATTACATATCTATAGTATGTATACTACATATAACTTATCTAGAATATTTACATAAATAGAATATAATTAAAAACTTCTACAACCCCAAAATAAGACAATTTTAAAATGAATAAATAATTTGAACAAAAATATAAAAAATACGAATTGCTGGGAAACACATGAAAAGTACTCATCATCATTAGTTACATGGGAATGTAAATTAAAACCAAAGTGACATATTATATACCCATTAGAATGACTAAAATTAAAAATAATGTCAGTCCCAAGTGTCAGTGAAGAGCAGCTGGAATTTCATATATCACGATGAGAATATAAAATGTGTATAACAACTTCGGAAAACATATTGGCAGATTGTTACAGAGTTAAACATGAACTTATTGTAAGATGAGTCATTTTTATTCCTAGGTATTTACACAAGAGAAATTAAAATATGTGTCCACAAAAAGACTTGTACATAAGTGTTTATAAAATCTTTATTTATAATAGCTCTAAACTAGAAACAATCCAAATATCCTTAAAATTTAAAAATAAACCAATTGTGGCATATACAGATAATGGAATACTATGTGGGAATAAAAAGGAATGTACTGCAGAATTTCACAGCAACACTGATGAATCTCAAAATAATTATGCTTGTGGAAATGTGCCAGACACATGAGCATATCCTGAATATCTCTTTACGTGCAATTCCAGAACAGGCAACGTTAAAGTGATGTGAAGAGGATTCGTTGTTGCTAAGGTCCTGGTAAGGATGGAAGAATTCATCAGAAAAACTTTAGAGGTGATTAAAATTAGTACGCCCAGTGCATTTTATGATATATAAATTATTCTTCGATAAAGATTATTTACAAAAGAAATACCAGTTGGTTAATTTTTACTCTCTTTGCTTTGTGAAAAATGGTTTCCTCTCCACAGGAAAGACAGCATGAGGGAAGATAAAGTAATGGAATACATTGATGTAGGTAATTTCTAAAGAGACGGTGCTTAAAATTTTCCTCAGTGGTATTAGAGACTAAAATGACAGCATTCTACAGTATTTAAGAATGGAAATATATGACCAGGGGTTAATCACCGTTATGAGTTTTAGGAGAATGGTGAGGATGCATTGATATCTCTGGCCATGGTTGTATTCTCAGCACAAGAAAGAAGTAGTTTTCCTTCTGTTGGAATATCGCAAACTGACTATGTTTAATGAAGCCAGAGCAAGTTTATTACATCTCCTTGCATTAACATAAATGGGCTATTTAAGAAATATAATTGTATTTCCCATCACTATGAATCACCAAATATTTGACTTTTTCAAGGGAAAATTTCCACTTTGCAATGCTATGGGTAAGCTTTGCAAAACTGAAAACACGAATGCCTTTAGAAAAACCCACGAATGGACATTTTTCATTATTCCTAGGAAAACATCCAGAGAGGAGATTGTTGGGTATACAAAGGGTTATCACTAAGAATAGGGAACAATCTTTCTTGATATCATGAGCAATTAATAAAGAGAAATCATTTAAACTTCAACAGAAGAGTCACCCAAATTTAAAAAGAAAATCTACAATAGAAGTTTTTTTTTAATTAGGAAATACCTTACATACATGCCATTCTCATATCTTCAAGATTAAGTAAATTCTCAAGAAATTAAAATATTACGAATAATGTACTTAAACAGATCAACCTAGTAAATCCATCGTTAAAAGAGCTTGTTAAAAAATTACAAAAAATGGAATTTGTGTAAAGTATTTCTGATCGCTTCAAAAAGACATATATCTACAAGAAAAAGAATAGTTTGAGCCTTCATTTCAACTTTGAGAGTCAGCTCTGACTAAAATCCTTTAATATGTTTGAAGAAACCTCAGTGTCCTGGACTGCTTCTCTAAATAGAACCCTGAAAGAAAATATGGTCATGAAAAAGATGTTGAATTCAACAGCATCATGGAAATAGCCTTCTCAATTCCCGTATTTTGGAGAGGAATAAGATGAATAAAATAAGATGAATTTCTGTGGTATAGAACCATAAATGAAACTAATGCCATAGAATTGGTAAGTTACTGCATCACAGCATTGCCCAAAGTTGCAGTCAGGCCAGGGTGTACACAATATTTAGGGGACATAGATTTTTCAAGTTTTCAGTAGAGAGGGGACAGTCATTTATATTTTTTAAGGGGACTGGGCATCACAGATTTCATTTCTTTGCAGGTAAAAATCATAGGTGTAGTTGCTAATTAATCTGTCAGTAGGTGTAACTAATGCTCATCATGGCTGTTAGATGCTGATTACCTTCTGAGCCTCCCCTCAATGTCATGTCAATTAAAATTACAGTGGCAATGTAGCAAAACTAATTAGACCACACTGACCTTAGCAGTGGGCAGTTCTCATCGATCTCAGCCCAAGCTTGTTAGAATTTTGAAAAATGAAAACAAAGTAGAAAAATATTTTTATTTACTACTAGACCTTTCTAACCACCTATTTACTCCAAGTGACAAGAAATTAATGAATCATCTATCAGAGGGGGCAACAATCAGAAAACAAAGGGAAATCCTTTGAGATGCACTTCTAATTACATGTCGATCCTCCATTTAAATGTGCTTGCTGCATTATTGTTGTTAATGTTTTATTCATTTAAGTGAAATAATTTTAATGTAAATACTCATTTTAAAGGAGCAACAGGAAATATATCACAGTAAAATGACATAGAACCTCAATTTAAAATAGTGTGAAATTACATGCTTTTATCAAGATTCATTATTTCCTGAGGTCCGCCTGTTAAGAGAGTAAGAAATTCAAGATTTTGCTTCAGAACAATCATTGTCCTATGGATATACTGATGACAAAGAGTGTCATTCACCACCTTATGATTTCTGAGAGACATTCAAGTGACAGTTCTCTCAGTAACATTTGGGCAAGTAAATTAGCACTGTCATTTCTTTGCTTTTTGAAATGTGCTTTTCTTTACTTATATCATCACTAAAGCCAGATTCTGGAGCTCCTATGGTATTTGTTGACTTTCTTAAGTAAAGTGAACTCTCTAATTAACTCACATTTCACCCAATAGTGATTGTACATATATGGGAATTCTAATAGAAATATAAGAAATAAGATAGTAAAAATGGCAATCAACCTATTATTTATAATATGAATGTGTGTATGCAAGTATATGTGTGTGTATATATATATAAATCTATATATAGATATATAGATACATATATCTGTATATATATCTACAGAAAGATAGATAGATACATAGATAGATAGATAGATAGATATAATGACTGCTTCAAATGTAATCATCCAAATAATATCCTACAGTAGTGGAGCTTATCAGATTATATACTACGAATTTTTTGAACTATATAATATCAAAATAAAAACAAGATGCCATCAATAATACCGTAAGACAGATCATTAAAATTCTATTATACTGAGGGCAGAAACAGTATTTGTTTTTGGTTGTTGATTAACAGTATTAGATTCTGAGAGAAACTCATTGAGTTATCTACTGCTGAAGTCTAATCTCAAATAGAAAGAGAGTAAATTCCCTCCCTGGAATGCCTAATGGTGCTTAACCGAAGAATGTATTCCCACCAAATGAATGTAATTCATTAGGAGCGGCCACACACTGCGTATCAACAATTTTAAGAAGCAATCAACATGGGAGCAGTTAGGGAGAAAACCTGTTGCATGAACATGTATTTCGTAAGTATCCCACATAGAAAGAGTCACAACTTTTGCTACATAACGTTGATCATAAAAGAACAGAAGAATGATAAGGCTATTAGGGAGTATTTGAAGCTTCATGCAGCCATTAAGAGAGGTAATTATGGGCCAGGCACGGTGGCTCACGTCTGTAATCCCAGCACTTTGGGAGGCTGAGGCGGGCGGATCCCGAGGTCAAGAGATTGAGAACATCCCGGCCAACAAAGTGAAAACCCGCCTCTACTAAAAATACAAAAATTAGCTGGATGTGTTGGCAGGTGCCTGTAGTCCCACCTACTCGGGAGGCTGAGGCAGGAGAATCGCTTGAACCCGGGAAGTGGAGGTTGCAGTGAGCCGAGATTGTGCCACTGCACTCCAGCCTGGAGACAGAGCACAGGTTCATCGAAAACCTGAACAAAATTATGTCAAGTGAAATGTAGAATTCAAAATTATAGCTCTACTACTACAAATTATTAAAACTTATGTAGCTTTGTGTTTCCCACAGTTCTAATCATTGGTCACAAAGCCCTGAAGGTTGAGTTCTTAAAGTATCTTTTTCCTCTGACTACTGTTCTCGTTTTCACTAACAGTATCACTTCCTTAATTTGTGAGCTCTTTTTCTTTTTTCTTAGTTACCAAAAGATCTTTCTAAACCTTCCACTGGACAACACCCCACATCTCACTGCACTGTCATTTTGCAGCAACTCCCACCAAAAGGTGGAGTCTGTTTCCCCAACATTTATTTTGGCCTTGCCTTATGATTTATTTCATCCTAAAGAATAAAACTGATGTTTTCTAGCAGTTTCTAGCCTCAGGTACCCTTGCAGTTTTCTGCCCTCTTGGAGCCCTGCCCAGCCACCATAAGAAGACGTACATGCAAGCCTGATTGATGAAGAGAGCCATGGAGACCAATTGCCACCTTCAACCTGTTATCCCTAGCAAAATTCCACCAGCTCCCAAAAACAGATTACATGCTGAACCTGCAACTGATCACACAGGCAGATATGATGTCCCACAAATCCAGAACATGGGCCAACCCACAGATATTTGTAAACTAAGTAACTAGATTTAAAACTAGGTGTTTGTTTGTTTTGAGACAGTCTCACTCTGTTGTCCAGACTAGAGTGCAGTGACGCGATCTTGACTCACTGCAACCTCGGCCTCTGGGGTTCAAGCGATTCTCCTTCCTCAGCCTCCTGAGTAGCTGGGATTACAGGCGCATGCCACCATGCCCGATTAACTTTTGTACTTTCAGTAGAGACGGGTTTCACCATGTTGGTCAGGCTGGTCTCCAACTCCTGACCTCGTGATCCACCCGTCTTGGCCTCCTACAGTGCTGGGATTACAGGTGTGAGCCACCACGCCCAGCCTTAATATTACTTTTATGCTATTCAGTTTTGTTATCAACAGCTAACTGGTACAGTTACATTTTCCAACTTCAAAATTCTGTAATAAATGCCAATCACTTAATAAAATTACATGCAAACTTCTGTTCATTGGACAAAATTATTCCTTCCCTCTTGAGCCTATTCAGCCTTACAGCCCTCTCTTTTACCCCATATTTAAGTGACAAAGAGAATAATACTTTAACACGCAGAAGCCCAAAACTGAAAGACTTACCCTTAAAACATCCCAAAACGCTTATGCAACTTATGAGATTCCAACATTTATTACACAATAGGAATAATAGAGACTGAAGTCAAAAATGTTTTCCTCCAGAAAAAGAACACTATATTCAAGTTGCTGAGTCAATACATAGTGGAGCTGGGTCTGGGGTTGATGGAAAGATTTTTTTGGATACAGATTACTGCCAGGTTTGGGTGATTTGAGGGGAGCATGAAACTTTTTCTTGAGCAGAAATTGGAGTCCGCAGCTTAAGACTGTTGAGTTTCAAGTAATCTCTTATGCTTTATGAGCAACTCTCTAGCTTTTCAAACTGCTTTGATGCCTAACTGTCAGCTTTTTGGGGGTTCCTGGGGATTACTCTTTTCTCTCCAGACCTACCCCAGGTTTCTAAGCTTTTGGGAGATAGCTACCTTACTTGCTGCAAAGTCGTGGAATACCTCAGAGAATTTCTTTCAGCTCTCCTGCCCTGCCTCTGCAATTGGAGGGTCCTGCTTTCCTCTTGAAGAAAGACTTGAATATGCAGAAAAAAACATCACAAATTTTCCTGTATCCTCCAAGTCTTCAGCATAATAAATACTACATTACACTAGATGGAAGCCTATGGGAAAGAATAAGCTGGTGGATATTGACTCATGCTATGACTGGTCTCTTCAGATACAATATTTTATAAAGGTTCTGCTAGTTCCTTATTTCTACAGACCATGGTAAATTTCTCCTCTTCCTACTTCTTGATCAGGTATGAGAAGTTATCGTGGGTCTCTGCACTCCAGTTAAGGGTTCACGACTTTGTGTAATTCAGTTCATTACTGTTTTTTTTTTCTTTCATTCTCATCTCTCGTATAGATTACAAGCAACTGTAATTTCTGTAGTCATCCAGATTTTTATTTTAAGGCAAATGTGATATATCTTGCAACTTTCCAAATCCAAAGATAAACTGGAGTCAGCCTTTACAGATCTTTGCATCACCATTGATGTTCACTTAGCAGCTATATACTTGAAAATATACATATGAATATCACCCTCTGACAATTTTTTCCTTAGCCTGGTACGTAAACACGTCATGCAAGCTCCTAAATTCAGTGTTTTATACAGGTCAAGTTAAAAGCTGTCCATCTATACATTCAGGCACATAGGAGCTAGAAGTACTAGGCTCAAATGTTTAGTCAACACTTTTTATCCCAATTATTCAATACACTGACAAACATATTAATATGTTAATGCACTCATAGTCAAACTGCATAAGCTGAGGTTTCAGTATAACCAAGCAGAGTCAAGCCGAGCCTAGCAATGTGAGAGGATTTCTCACAGTTATATTAAGAGAATCAGTGTGTGGTTTTAAAATACTTAGTGGGAGAATAAACAGAAACACTATGGAATATTGCTGAAATTGGGACTAAGTCTCATAAGAAGCTTTGAAAATTCCCAGTAGATGAAGATGATCCATTAAAAATCGTCTCATGAATCCAGGCCTAAAAAATGTTGTACAACATCTATATCCTTATTATTCCTGTGACTGATTTCATTCCTACTATTCTCATCTTCGTTCATTCTGTTCCAGTCATACAAGCATTTTTTTTCTGTGTCTTAATCCAATTGTCCTACTACCTTAGGGAATTCTCATTGCTCTTTGTTTTACCTAGAGTGCTTTTCCTTCAGTTATAAGAACGACTCAACTACTTGCCTTTTTAGGTGTTCGCTGAAAAGACATCTAGTTTGTGGAGGCATTCTCTAACGACCATATTTAAAACTGGAATTGCCATAGCTGTATTTTTTATTATCTTGCTTTGTTTTTCTCCAGAGGACTTATCTAATATATTAGATAGATATTATATTAGATATTAGATAGATGTTATATTAGAGGACACTATCTATCATTTAATTTTCTGATTTATTTCCTTTGTGTGTTATCCTCCCCCACCCTGACCCTCCCACACAAACCACAGTTGCCTACACGCTGCAAAAGGTCTGTCTAAAAAATTATTTTTTTTTTCACTGCTGCCCCCTAGGGCTTAAAGCAATGTCTGACCAATAGGTAATTGAAAAGGATGTCAGGCACAGTGGCTCACGCCTGTAATCCCAGCACTTTGGGAGGCCAAGGTGGGCAGATCACCAGAGGTCAGGAGTTAGAGACCAGCCTGGTCAACATGGGGAAACCCCATCTCTACTACAAATACAAAATTTACCAGGGCATGGTGGCAGGCACCTGTAATCTCAGCTACTCAGGAGGCTGAGGCAGGAGAATAGCTTGAACCTGGGATGCAGAGGTTGCAGTGAGCTGCGATCGTGCCACTGCAGTCCAACCTGGGTGACAAGAGTGAGACTCCATTTCAAAAAAATTAAAAAAAAAAAAGGAAAGAAAGAGGGAAGACATAAAGGAATGAAGAAGAGAATGAAGGAAGGGAGAAAAGGTAAAATAAAAGAAGACAGAAATGTAAGAGTATGGGTTCAGATTAAATGAGATGAAAATCTCAGCTCTTCTGCTTCCTCTACATTTTCTTGACCCCTATGAATTATGAGTATTAATTCCAGAGTCTTTAATTTAAAAGGTTTTAACATCTACCTCATATTTTAAAATAATATTCAAGTGAGATAAAGCATATATTACAGTTGCTGGAAAATGGGAAACTTGTTTTTATTACATACATAATATTAATTGCGGTTTTTGCCATTACTTTTATTGCAAAAACTGCAATTACTTTTTCACCAACCTAAAAACTTAGGCCAACATAATATTGAAGGACATGAACAAAGTTGAAGGACTGATACTACCCAACTTCAAGACTTACTTTAAAGCTACAGTAATCTAGACAGTGGTATTGGTGGAAGAATAGATGAATAGATCAATGGAAAAGAATAGAAAGCTCAGAAATAGTTCAGTGCAAAATAGTTAACTGATCTTTGACAAAAGAGTAAATGCAATACAATGAAGAAAAGAAAAGACTTTTCAACAAATGGCGCTAGAACTAAAGGCCATCCACATGCAAAAAAAAAGAAGAAAAAGAAAAATGAATCTAGACACGGAACTTACACCATCACAATAATAAACTTAAAATGGATCATATATCTAAATGTAAAATGCCAAAATATATAACTCCTAGACAATAACATAGAACACCCAGAAGACACTGGATATAAAGATGGCATTTTGAATACAACAACACAGCCCTTATCCCTGAAATAAATGACTTATAACCTGGACTTCATTAAATTAAAAACTTCTGCTCTGCGAAAGACACAATCAAGAGAATGAGAAGACAAGCCACAGATTTGGAGGAAATATTTTCAAACAACATATATCATAAGGAACTGTTGTCTAATATACACAATCAACGAACAACCTTATTAAAAACCAAGCAAAAGATATGAACAAACACCTCAACAAAACAGATATACACATGGCAAGTAAGCATCTAAAAAGAGGTTCGACATCATATGTCACTAAGGAACTGAAAATTAAAACCGCAAAAGGATACCACTTCACACCTGTTAGAATGGCAAAAGTTCAGAACACTGACAACACTAAATGCTGACTAAATGCCGACAAACTTGTAGAACAACAAGAGCTCTCATTCATTGCTAGTGGGAATGCAAAATGGTACAGCCACTTTGGAAAACAGTTTGGGTTTCTTACAGAATTATACATATTCTTATCATATGATACAGCAATCACACTCCTTGGTATTTATCCAAATGATCTAAAAATTTGTGTTCACACAAAACCCTGCTCATTCATGTTTACAGCAGCTTTATGCGTAATTGCCAAAACTTGGAAGCAACCAAGATACCCTTCAGTAGGTAAATGAATAAATAAACAGTGAAACATTCAGACAATGGAATATTATTCCGCACTAAAAATAAATTATTAAAACATGAAAAGACATGGAAGAAACTTAAATACATATTGCTAACTGAAAGACGCCAACCTGAAAAGGTTACCTACTTGTATGATTCTAACTGTACCATGTTCTGGGAGAAGCAGAATTATCAGCTATAGAGATAATCAAAAGATCAGTGGTTGCCAGAAGTTAAGGGGAGAAAAGGATGAATAGGCAGAACACATAATATTTTTATAACAGTGAAAGTATTCTTTATGATACTAAATTGGTAGATACATATCATTATACTTTGTTCATATCCATAGAATGTACAGCAACAAGAGTGAATTCAAATGTAAACTACTATGGAATTTGGGTGAAAATGATGTGTCAAGTAGGTTCTCTGTTTGTAACAAATGTGTCACTTTGGCCTAGGACGTGGATAATGGGAGAGGCTGTGTAATATGGGGGCAGGAGATATATGGGAAATCTCTGTACCTTCTGATTAATTTCTCTGTAATCTTCAAACTGCTCTCAAATGTAACATCTGTTAAAAATGGACATTATTTTTTTAAAGAAACGGAAGACTTCTGCTACTGATAATGACAGACAAGATAATTTGAATTAACCTACACACCAAGGACAACTGAAAAAGCTAAAAAAAATAAAATATTTTTCTGTGTGAAGGCAGTGGAGATCAAACCCTAGAGTCAGGAATTATGGGGCCAAGTGTCTAGGGTAAAAGGGCACCCAATGTGAAAAGCGACACAGATAGGGTCATTTTCTTCCCAAGGGCAATTTTAGAAGAGAAACTGAGAAGGTGTGCATCATTATTGACAGCCCAATGTCTTGGGACAACAAATTTTAGGTTAAGTGTGAAAAATTACGAGTAGACCTTATAGGGATGAAAAAGCCCAATTTTGAAACTTAATCCTTGAAACTGAACAAAGTGAGCTTATATTGCTAATGCCCCTAGAATCCTACCAGAACCAGATTCTCTTTATTGAAAAATAATATGATCCTTGCTCACAAGTTCATGTTTAATATTTTTCCATTAATTATATTTGTCCAATACCCCCCAAATTTTCAAGCATATAAATGAACCAGACCACATAATTAAAAACTAGGAACAAATATAGATAGCAGAAATAGACCCATGGAGGCTCCTGATAATAGAGTTACAGCCACTACTTTTCCAGTAACTATGCTTGCTTAATATTCACTAGGAGATTAAAACTGAATATTATTTTTGGAAAAAGAGACAAAAATTCTAGAAATTAAAACATATAGAAGTTTTAAAATGTAAAAATTAATAGATGGCATCCGTGAAGATTTGCCATAGCTGAAAATAAACAGAGTGGAAGCAATATGTAAATAAAATATATACAATGAAATAGACAGAATGGAAATTAGCCATTTAGAATGATGAGCAACAGCATAGAGCATGGGTCAGTAGGCAAACATTAGCCCACATGCCAAAACTGACCCATGGTCTGTTTTTGACAGACACCTATGTGACCCACAAACCTAAAATTCTCTGGTCATTTATAGAAAATATTTTCCAACCCATAGAATAAAAAAAGTTAAGTCCGCCAAATTTTTAATTGGAATCCAAGAGAAGAACAATTAAGATAATAGGGAAGACATGATTTTTAGGAGATAATGGGTGAGAATTTTTGGAATATTGGTCAAATCACTACCAAGATACTGAAAAAGCAAGTCACCCTGTTGGAAAAGAGACTTGTAATACCTGTGTTCATATTCAGAGAAATATAAATAACTTTTGCATTAATAAGAAAAATACTGAAAATTGGAAAGAAATGTGCAATAGATTTAATTTTTTAAAACAAGATATCCAAATTAACTCATAAAAATTTGAAAAAGTAATCAAACTATTTAGTAACCAGGATATGTACAATCCCCTTACTGATCTGTCTAAAATGAAAATGACTAAAAATACTCTGTGGTCGAGAGGGTGTAGAGCAATTGGATTTCACAAACACTGCCGTTGGAGTGTAGGTTGGTTAAAATCTTTTGCAAAACTCTTTGTTATTATCTAGCAAGTGGAAAATATGCCGATCCAACAAGTATGTTAATAGGTATACACACATTCAAATACATACTTTCAACAGACAGGTCTAAGAAGGTTCACTGAAGTTTTAATCATAACAGTGGCAACTTAAATGTTCATCAGCAGAACAGATAAAGGCAAAATTAAATCAATTAAAATCAGTGAATTATAGGTACACATAATCATTGGTTTTGATTCTGTTATGTTTATCTCGATGCTTTTGTTGAATAAGTTAAATACATTGCAATTAAAGATTAGTCAAAGCTGAATCATAGGGTTAGAAGTTGGGATAGTATTTACTCTTAGGGAAGAAGAAAGGGCACGATGGTACAGGTGTAGCAAGAGGGAGCTTCTATACTACTGTTTACATGAGTTTAACATATGATAATCGAGGTGTACAATTATGGTTTTGCACTGTGGTGTGTTATACTACAGTTTTTGTTGTCGTTGTTGTTGTTGTACAATTATGGTTTTGCACTGTGGTGTGTTATACTACAGTTTTTGTTGTTGTTGTTGTTGTTGTTGTTGTTGTTGTTGAGACAGAGTGTCACTCTGTCACCCAGGCTGGAGTGCAGTGGCGCAATCTCGGCTCACTGGAAGCTCCAACCTCCCGGGTTCACGCCATTCTCCTGCCTCAACCTCCCAAGTAGCTGGGACTACAGGTGCCCACCACCACGCCCGGCTAATTTTGTTCTGTATTTTTAGTAGAGACAGGGTTTCACCATGTTAGCCAGGATGATCTCGACCCCCTGACTTTATGATCCACCTGCCTTGGCCTCCCAAAGTGCTGGGATTACAGGCATGAGCCACCACGCCCAGCCTTCAGTTTTTTTAATGTTAAAAGGAATGAGAAACTTAAGAAGATTAATGAGTAAAAATAACAGAGACCTCCTTTCCCTATTTTGTTTGGTAAAATGTATTGAACTTGATCAAGAGGGGAAAAAATTTTGCTAGCATCCATAACAGATACCAGAAATAACACAGTTTAAAGTATTGATAAGAAGGTAGGACAATTGAAACTCATATATTAAAGCAAGAAATGTAAAATCATACAACTACTTAGGCAAAATTAAACATATACCTACCTTTTGATCTAGTCATTTCACTTTAATATATAAAAATACATGCCTGCCCAAAAAAATTGTTTTAAAATGTCCATAGCAGCTTTATTCAAAATAATCCCAAATGAGAAACAAACCTAGTACATCAACAGAAACAATGGATAAACAATGGAATGCAACTAAGCAATAAATATAAAGCAAACCATCGACATATACAACATGGATAAATCTCACAGCATTGAACAAAAAAAGGCCAGCACAGAGGAATACACACAGTGTGAATCTGATTATATAAAGTTCTAGAATAGGCGAGTTTAGCCATATTGATAGGAATGAGAACAGTGTTTAGCTTCTTCAGGGTGGCAACAAAATGGAAAGTGAAAGAAGGAACATTTGATAGAAAGTGGGAAAGTTCTATATCTTTGTTAAGGTGCTAGTTACACACAGATATTGTCAGGACTCACTGAACTTTGTATTTTCACTATATAAGCTGTACATAAATTTAGAATGAGATATTAAAAAATATAATGGCTGACCACTCTCCTAGTCCCATATTTAAAACCTAGCAACTGAGATGTTAAATAAGAGAATGCAGGGTCCAAAGAGAACTATAACCAAAGTCTACATCATAATCCTAACTTTTTATTTTGTAAAAGATAGCAGAAATAGAATATAGAGTAAGGAATTTCAAACCATAAATAATTCAGTACCAAAAAGTATGACCAAAGTCCACCGCATGATCCTAACTTTTTTATTTTGTAAAAGATAGCAGAAATAGAAAATAGAGTAAGAGATTTCAAGCCATAAATAATTCAGTACCAAAAACATGAAGAAATATAAGTGGGGTATATCATGGTTCAATAAATGATTCTTGGTGATAACGGAATGAAAAAATGTGTTAAATAGTATATTAATCACAAATAATGTTAAAATAATGGTCTCACTAAAAATCTTATAAAAGTTGAAAGAAATAACATACAATTTGCATTATTCAAAAGCATATTTGAAAAGGGAAACTCATTAATTTTATTTGAAAACAAATAAGATGACAGTCCAACAGTAGTTTGTATAGTAATTATGGCCTAAATTTTCTAATGAACAAGAACATTAGCAAAGACAACAATTGAAAACTGACAAAAAATGTTAAAAAAATCATAATAACATGTAATTAATAATGCAGCCACCAAATATCATAAAAATACAAAAAGACTAAATGAGACATGATAAGCAGACTAATGTACAAAATTAACCAAAAATTAAATAGATTTAGCACTAATTTATGCTAAACGAAGTAAAATACCTATAATATTACTTATGAAAAGCAGATTTTTTTTAAAAAGCTTAGATGATAAGCCTAAATGTGCCAATTAGCTCCATAAAAATCACGAAGCCAAAACTAACAGCCACAGAAGAGGAAATTTTCAGAAAAAAAAAAACTTAAAGGAAGATTTTATCCAAGTATTAATTTGTAAAACTCATAATGAATAGAAATTGAACAAGGATATAGATGAAAATACAACTTACGATGAAATTAGATGTTTACTAAACTCTTCCCCCTAAACAGTGTACCATTGCTTAAAGGGTGTATGGCCTTCTCCTGAACATACCTTGTAATAGATCTCAAATAAAAAAATTATAAGAAACAACCAATTTATCTGCTTTGGTTCTTTACCTTTTACCTGATGAAGATACCTCCAAATACTCAATTTCCAAGATAAGTTTTGGTTAACACATAATGAGAATTCCAAAACCATAAGTTCAAAAGCATTACTTACATAGCTATTATCTGAGATGATTTCTCAATAATAAGAGAGAAATTGTCAAGGTAAATTCTATGCCATAACACCATGCACCATGATGAACTCCATATAAAATCAAACATTTGTTAGATATGCTTAAAAATACTCTTAAAATATAAGAAATATTAGCTATGTGGAGAAATAATAAATATTTTAGCTTTGAAATAACAGAATAAACCACAAAACACATACCTTACAAATTTAAACGTGGAAACTTTTCAACTTTTGTTTTATGAAATTAAAATTGAATGATGCTAAGTATTATAATGAATGCAATAGTTCAAACATTTATCCCAAAAATGCAGATTCCAATAGAAGTATAGCCAAGATTATGAAGGAATTTATATGAAAAGAAATAAAAGAGAGTAAATTGTATGACAATATTCTTTCTTGTATTTTATCAAAGAATCGTTAATAAAACCACCCTGAAATAAACAGCACAAAAAGTTTTAACAAAATATAAATGGTCATAATGAATAAAAATGGTTCTTACGAAATGGTCATCTTTTTTCAGAGCTAGTGACATTATAATTTTGTACAGACCTTTGGAAATTATTATGAAAACTTATAGAAAATGTCTTATAATCATACATTCTTATTCTAAGTCATTCTGATTGTACGCTTTTACCTCAAGAAAATAATTCAATAGAATTTCAAACTGTATGCATAAAAATATGGTTTCATTATTATAAGCAATAGTAAAAAAAGTCTAATCTTTGAAGACACATTGTAGCCTGATGTATCAAATTAGTAACATTACCTGTAGCCATTAAAATAGTAATTATGACCACTATTCATAATTATTAAGGGTGAAATTTTAATAGCAAAAAGAAATATATAACATGGTATCTATACTATGATTGTGATTATATTAAAAATATTATACATGTGTAAGAGGATATACAAAAATAAAAATAGTGATAGAATTACGGCTGATGTTTTAAAGTTGTTACCCTTTAAGAATTTGTCTTTAATACAATGTCTTTACATAAGAAAAAACCTAATGGGCCACTTTTTATTATTCTATATTACTGCAAGCTTACAAAGTGCATAATAATGAATAGGAAGGAAATCATTAGAATAGAGAACATCATTGACCTCCTGCTTATAGAAGAAACTGACCTTCAAGATAAAGAGGAATACAAAGAAAACTATCAGGTATTAACCAAGTAACTTTGCTCACATCTGCTAGAGAAATGAAATAGGAAATAGGCACAGTCCTCACTGACCTTCCAGGCGCCTATGACATAGTATAACTTTGAGACCTCAAATAAAAAATGCAGCCTATTGTACCTGACAGGAAACTTTGCACTTTCATTATGCGTATAGTAACTAATAGATCTTTTGAAATCATTACCTGTCAAGAGGGAAAAAAAAAAAAAGACAGAGGAAAATCCTTGAAGAATAGAGTTTGTCAAGGGTCAAAGTAAATGGTAATATACTTTAATAAGCAGTAAGCTCTACATTATCTCTGGGTGGCCTACACACTCAGTGGACTGTGGTACCACATATTAAATTGCAGAATAACTTCTTAGTGGCCCAGAATACCCTTCCAGGATGTCTCTGTATTCATCAGTTTATATGTAGCTTAAATAATGTGAAGTTAATGTTATTAGCACGTAACACATAACAGGGAAGGTACATTTTTGAGCTATCCAAACCTTAAAATGTATTGCATGTTTATTGTTGTTGTTGTTTTATGTTATCTACCTAACTGTTCCCCCATATTAGTAACATTGAAAAAACTTAGTGTTTTTCAGTTTTACAGCATTTAATATCTAAATAATGCATGCATGTCAATAATATATGTAGACATGATAATATATAAATTTTATTTGTTGACAATGGGGGGAAATCCCTTATTTTTCAGGTAAATTGCTCTTTTCCACTGCATGCCAGTGAAACAAAAGAAACCACCTTTCCACAAATAATCTTGGATCTAAGAACATGAAAGAGAGGCATTCCATACACTACCCAAATATCCCATGCATCACAACCTACTGCCAGAGTGACTGACACAGAAACAAATGAGTGGGAGTTAAATTATTCAGTTGCTAGTTTGTGCTCTATTGTAAAATAGCTTGTCATCCTCTCTGAGTCTTTGGTTCTCAATTTTCTCATTTTACAATAAGTAGCTAATTCTCAATGCATACATGAGATGTTCTCTACGGTTTCTGCCAGCTGTAGGTCCCTATTTCTATTGGGAATATAGAGTAATTTTTCTCCTTCTTTTCAACGAGGCATTTAAAAAAGAAGCAAAATCAAGGCCTTGGTATCTATTCCAATGTGCTTAAACAGTTTGGCAGATTGCTGAAGTCATATATTTACCAAAGTCTCAATGTTATTTACTACAGGAAAACAGTGTCCTTCTTCCCCTCACTATACCTCCCAAAGTCTAACGTGCAAAGTGCCCTTGCTGTTAGCTTGCAATAGGCTTAAGGAAAAAAAGTATGGAATTCACTACTACAAATATTCTTTAGCCTTAAAGAAGGTTAAAGTGACTTCCAGGATTTCACTGGGATTGTGTAGTTTTGCAAAACACTTCAAATTTCAGAGCATAGGGTGTGGCTATAGCAAGTTAGTTGTTTTCCTTTTGCTGAACTTTGTATAACTAAAGGTACTAATTTTGCTAGATGAATTCAGCTGTATTTCTCAAGATCCTGAGCAAAACATACTAGCCTCAGAAACAAAGAATCCTAATGTTCATTAGAATTCAAAATAATTTTACAGGAAAAAGGAGTTTCTGAGATACTTTAAAGATCTAAGCTTCATATATAACATTTTTATTTTCAGGTTTCAAAGATAAACTTTAAAAACACAGGTTTTACTTAAGAAGGGAAAACATTATAGTCTACTGAATTCAGGTGACAATTTTAGGTGGTGATACAAATGTCCTGTAATTCACCTTGGCATGATATGCACCAACTCAAATGCATATCAATACTCTAAGTATTCCTACAATTGTGTGTCTGTATCTTTAACTTTATTTTATCATAAAAATGAATAAATATGCAACTGCCAATTCTAAGTTTAAGTACTCTTAGACCTACATTTTAGATAAGGGTACCTGTCCAATACAGTATGAAGCTGATAGTTGTTTGACATTCAGTTACAAAGATATTCAATGGGATTTGGTAACTATTTTCTTATCTTTGTGTTTCTTTCTATCACAGATGTTCTAGCTTTCTACAGTCTCTTCCAGGGAGACTCTGAAACATTGCCATTTTCACTTATTAGTTTACTTATTATTTCAATATTAATGTAATTCATTTAACTTTATTAAATCAATATAATCAAACTAATATTTACTCTCAAACTAACTTAATAGCTAAGTAGCGCTTAAAGGATATAGAAAGAATTCTACTCATTAGGAATATATAGGCTGACAGATTCCCTCTGTAATCTTTGTGTAAATGAAACATGGAATGGCAAGATAAATAAAAAACATATTTTCATCGTTCTGCATTATGCAATTTTGGAAACACTACAGAAATTGCCTATAATTATTTGGAACTGCCATCTTACCAATATCCCTTACATTCAAATGTCTCCAGTTGTTTTCCAAAGATACTACACTTTGTTCTAGATTGTATGTTAGAGTACCACTGTCTATCATTAGGCAGTGACTCATATGTAATGTTATGTTCCGAGCTGACTCCCTATCTATTCATCTCAGCAAATTCCAAATAATAGCAAATAATTTAATCAGGAAAATCAACATTAATTGCCAACACAATACACTAAAAACTGGAACATTCCTGGAAATGGATTTATCTTAATGGTTATCTAAAACTAGAAAAAATATGTTATCTGCAAATTATAGAAAGATGTAGATGATAGATAGATGATTGATAGATAGATGTGTGTAGGTATAGATGTGTGTAAGGTTTTGCAAAAAAGAATATTATTGCCTTTTTTAAAATTTACACATGGAAAAAATTAACTCATTTGTGATGATGATGAAGCACTAACTTGTTTAAAGGTTAATTTTATGTGTCACAAAATGTTACGTGGTGTGGGTAGCTTTCTCACTGATTTCACATAGTTCAAATAAAACATTTTATGGGAATACTTTTCTAAGAAAAAAATCCAGTGTTAATTTGCACCTGAGAACTACTTACAATTGGTCTTTATTCCTAAAACAAATAAGCAGACAATTCTCTCAAAGTAGTACCTTTCAAAATCATAAATATCTAAAATATTCAATACAATCTTTATAAAATATTATTTAGATGATAGATGTGTTGCTGAATATTAATGTTGTGACATTCAGCTTCTGTTGGCTTTACCTTGGGAATATTTTATTTTGTTTTAGTAAGCACAGCTTCTTCTTATGGTCTACCATTCAAACGTCAGGGTGCATCCCCAGTTGCAGAAACATGTGGAAAGCACAAAGCCACGATCAGCCACCAGGTGGAGTTTTGAATATTGACAAAACTTTTTTATTTTACTGGCCACCAGCTGACAAACTCCATCTTCATTCATATATTATTAGAGCAGAGCAGAAAATATAAGACAGTCCTGAAAACTAAGGCAGTGGACTATCTACCAGGAAATTATAAATTCTAAGGAGGTGATAGTTTATTCAATGGGTGTTCATTTTTTTCCCCTTAATTAACCATATCTTAGACTTGTCGCAGTTGCTGTGTTTCTTGTTATTTGACACAAGGTTGAGAACAGTTAAACTCGGGTTGGGTAAACTAGGGTTTTTCCATCTTAAAAGAGTTGATTATTAATCTTCTGAGGAAATTGCTAAAATGACTTTGGCGCAGTTATTTATTACTATAACCTTTTATTCACTCATACGTAAAACTATGATTTAAAATATTTTACTTGCACAAGTGTTGTAAGGACTTGAAATCATATATAAAAAGTACCACAGTGCTTAAGCACATAGTGGGTTTACAATTTAATAGGAAGCTACTCATATTATTGCCATATTAATAAATTGTAGATCATTCCTTAACACGAAAAACTAAGAGAGAAATTGAAACACTTTTTGTAAAATGCAACATAGTAAGGAATTTAAGCTTCGTGGGTTAAGAGGCAAAAATAAAAATAAATAAATAAATAAATAAAATTATATAGGTACTTGTATAACCACTGCAAATATAATCTTTTTAAAAAGTAAAAATCATTCTTAGCTCATTGACTATAAGTAAAGAAATAAGTAAGGCAGAACAAATCAGGGTCACAGACTATGAGTAATTCACCCCTGAGTTAGAAGATTAAAGGTAAGGAATGAAGTGAAACAACTAGCGCATTCCCTACTATTTTGGTAGAAGAGTAGTTAGACTTAACTAAAATGAGAAATGATCTGAGAATTAACCTTTACTGTTATTATTCCTGTGAACATAATTTTGTTTTATGGAGCTAACATCAATTGTCTAAACCTTCTGTCATTCAACAAACCCAAAGAGATAAAGTGTGCAGGCATCCATGGTAAAACTTCATAACAAGGACATGAATGAAAACATTTTATAGAGAAAAACATGCCAAGAAAATTTTCTTCACCATTCAAAATCAAACTATGGCCTGGTAAATGGCAAAATCCCTAAGACTAAAATATTCACTTCTAGATATACAAAAGCTAATATTGACTTGGTTATTTGTTTATTCAAGTGCCATCTAATGTCAATGTTCTACATGCCATACACTGTTCTAGGACCAGTGGATATACAAACAAAACAAATATTCTCACCATTTTGAAAAAGACATTTGGGGCCAGGCACGGTGGCTCACGCCTGTAATCTCAACACTTTGGGAGGCCGAGACGGGCGGATCATCTGAAGTCGGGAGTTCGAGACTAGTCTGACCAACATGGAGAAACCCCGTCTGTACTAAAAATACAAAAATTAGCTGGGAGTGGTGGTGCCTGCCTGTAATCCCAGGCACTTGGGAGGCTGAGGCAGGAGAATCGCTTGAACCCGGGAGGCGGAGGTTGTGGTGAGCCGAGATTGCGCCACTGCACTCCAGCCTGGACAACAAGAGTGAAACTCTGCCAAAAAAAAAAAAAAAAAAAGAAAAGAAAAGAAAGAAAAATACATTTGGATAGAGGAATACAGAGAATAAATAATAAATATGGTACTTTAGAGGGTAATGAGCATTATGAAGTATTATGTTTTATGTACTATGAAAAATACGCATGTTTGTGGTATATAGGATAGGTCACTTGCAATTTTACATAGGTTAGTTAAGGAAGATCTCACTGATAAGGAAAGAAGCTGCAAGGAGTAAAGAAGCTAGCCCTGCAATTTTCTCGGGAAAGAATATTTTAGGAAGAGGTAAAAGAAAAGGCCCTGAGCCTAAAAGATGCCTGACATCAAGGAGAAAGTATAGTGAAAACTGTGACTGAAGCAGACTAAGAGATATCGAGGAAAGGGAGAATGCTGTATAAGGTGATGCTTTGGTAGGCATTGTAAAGAAAGGAAACACTTTTATCCCTGTCAGGGAATTGGGAAACTATTGGAGAGGTTATAACAGTAGATCAACGTAATCTAATTTTCATTTTAACAAAATTCCTTAATAATGATTTGTTTCTGTGATTATTTTTCATATTTAATTGACAATGATTGTAAGTAAAACATCACCATGGTGGGAGATTTTCTTCAGCCTATTATCATTTATTTATATCAATTTATTTTGTTTTATGGTCTTTTTTTCTTTCAAAACAAGAGTTCTCAAGAGCCAAATTAAACATTTATTCATTTATTACAAAGATCAGCAAAGAAATATTTAATATATATTAGGTGTCAGATTCTGTATGAGACACCTACAATATAAAGATGGTCCACATGTACTGCAAAAGCTTGTAGTCTATTGAGGAAGTATAATACAATATTGGAGAATATAGTAATAAAACAGTAGCAATGCAGAGTAATCCAATACATTTTCAATCTACAGTACCTGTTGTATTTTATCACTAATTCTACTACTAAGAATGCTAATCATAAACATAATAAACTCTCAACCAAAGAGAAAATGGGTGGTTTCTTGGAACAGTCATTGCTACCAACTATACATGTAATGCAATAGATTTCATCTTTCTATTTCTGTAAAATTAGAAAGCTATCTTCTACCTGCACTTTGCACATGGCTTTAGGTATTTGTAACTGTTACTGTTGGTTCCATTTCACAAGTGTCTACCTTCCTACAGGTTTGACAGTCTTTATCCTGAAACTATAAGTAATTCAAGGTCTTTATGTAATTTAATTATTTTTCTATGTTTACTTTTTTTTTCAACTTGTATTTTAGATTCAGGGTTTACATGTTCAGGATTGTTACCTGGATATATTCCGTGATGCTGAGGTTTTGGGGATGTATGATCCCATCCTCCAGGTACTAAGTATTAGTTAACAATTGTTAACATAGTTAATATAGTTAACAGATAACATAGTTTTATATATATATATATATATATATATATATATATATATATATAATTATATATAATATAGATAGTTAACAACTGTTATTCAACCCTTGAGCCTGCTCCCATTCTCCCTGCATTAATAGTCCTCAGTTTCTATTGAAGCTATATTTATGATCCTGAGTGCCCAATGTTTAGCTCCCACTTATAAATGAGAACATGTAGTATTTGGTTTTCTGTTTCTGCATTAATTCAGTTAGGATAACAACCTCCAGCTGCCTCCAAAGTGCTGCAAATGACACTATATCATTCTTTTTATGTCTACATACTATTCCATGGTGTGTATGTACCATGTTTTCTTTATCTAGTAAACTGTTGATAAGCAACTAGGTTGACTCCATGTCTTTGCTATTGTGAATAATGGGGATGCTGTGATGAACACGTGACTACAAGTGTCTCTCTGGTAGAACAATGTGTTTTCTTTTGGATATATACCCAGTAATGGGATTGCTGGGTTAAAAGGTAGTTCTGTTTTAAGTTATTTGTTAAATCTCCAATCTGCCTTCCACAGTGGCTGAACTAATTTACATTCCCACCAACAGTATATAAACATTCCTTCTTCTCTGCAGCCTTTCCAGCATCTGCTGTTTTTTGACTTTTTGATAATAGCCATTCTCACTGGTGTGAGATGGTATCTCAATGTGTTTTTAATTTGCATTTATCTGATGATTAGTGATGTGGAACATTTTTTCATGTTTCTTGGCCACATGTACGTGTTATTTTAAGAAATGTCTATTCATGTATTCTGTCCACTTTTAAATAGGACTATTTGGTTTTTGCTTCTTCAACTGTTTAAGTTCCTCCCGGAGTTTGGATATTAGATCTTTGTTGGATGTGTAGCTTGTGAATATTTTCCACCATTCTGTAAGTTGTCTGTTTATTCTGTTGATAGTTTCTTTTGCTGTGAAGAAGGTCTTTAATTGAATTACATTTCACTTGTCAATTTTCTTTTGGTTGCAATTGCTTTTGAGGGCTTAGTCATGAATTATTTCCCAAAGTGTCCTGAATTGTGTTTCCTAGGTTGTCTTATCATTTGAGGTCTTACATTTAAATCTTTAATCCAGTCAGGTGAGGTGTGTCACGCCTGTAATCTCAGCACTTTGAGCCAGTGAGGCGGGCGGATCATCTGAGGTCGGGAGTTCGAGACCAGCCTAACCAATATGGTGAAACCCCGTCTCTACTAAAAATACAAAAATTAGCCGGGCTGTGATGGTGCACATCTGTAATACCAGATAGTCAGGAGGCTGAGGTGGGAGAATCACTGGAAACTGGGAGGTGGAGGTTGCAGTAAGCTGAGATCGCGCCACTGCACTCCAGCCTGGGCGACAGAAGACTGTGCCGAAAGAAAAGAAAAGAAGAAAGAGCAGAGTGGAGCAGAGCGGAGTGGAGGGGAGGGGAAGGGAAAGGAGAGAAACCTTTAATTCTAAGCAAATCTTAGTCCTAATCGATCTTGAGTTAATTTTGTATATCAGGAAAGGTAGGAGTTCAGTTTCATTCTGCCTACAGGAAGCCCCGATCCCAGCATCTACTGAAGAGGAAGTCTTTTCCCCTTTGCTTGTTTTAGTTGGCTTTGTCGAAGATCAGATGGCTGTAGATCAGTGGCTTTATTTCTGGGTTTGCTATTCTGTTCTATTGGTCTATGTGTCTGTTTTTATCCCCCTGCCATGTTTTGCTTACTGTGGCCTTATATGATAGTTTGAAGTCAAATAATGTGATGCCTCCAGCTTTATTCTTTTTGCTTAAGATTGCTTTGGCTCTTTGGGCTCTTTTTTGGTTCCACATGAATTTTAGAATAGTTTTGTTTTTTTTTTCTAGTTCTGTGAAAAACGACATTGGTCATTTGATACCAATAGTATTGAATCTGTAGACTACTTTGGGCAGTGTAACCAGTTTAAAGACATTGATTCTTCCTATTCATGTGCATGGAATGTTTTTCCATTTGTTTGTGTTATTTATTATTTATTTCAGCAATGTTTTGCATGTCTCCTCGTAGAGATCTTCCACCTCCTTTTTTCCAGACAACAAAATCTTTATCTGTTGTGATAAAAACTTTAGGGTAATATATATGAAAGCATGAAGTAAAAAATTGAAGAGCAAACTATCTAAGAATATAAATATAGTCTCTCTTTATATGAATATTCAATACATTATTTGACACATTGGTTTGAGTGAAGCTCTACAAGTACAATTTTAAGCATCTTGACTTGGGCTGACGTCCAGTAAATTATACATTCCCAGCAATTATAAGAGCTCTCTCACTAAAAATACATGTTCATGATGTACTTAGATGTATTCCTAGGTATTTTATATTTTGTGTTCCTATTGTAAATGGATTGCATTTTGATTTGGCTCTTAGTTTTAATGTTATCAGTGTAGAAATGCTACTGCTGTTTGCACAATGATTTTGTATCCTGAAACTTTAATGAAGCTTATCAGTTCCAAGAGCCTTTTGGTGGAGTCTTCAAAGTTTTCCAGATATAGAATCAGATCATCTACAAGCAGATAGTTTGTCTCTTCCTTTTCTATTTGGATGCCTTTTTAGTTTTTCTGTTACCTGATTGCTCTGGCTAGCACTGCCAGTACTGTGTTGAGTAAGAGTGGTGAGAATAAGCATCCTTGTCGTGTTCCAGTTCTCAAGGAGAATGCTTCTGGTTTTTCCCCATTCAGTATGATGTTGGCTGTGGATGTGTCATAGATGGCTCTCATTACATTGAGGTATATTCCTTAACTGTCTAGTTTCTTGAAGGTTTTTATCATGAAAGGATGTTGCATTTTAACAAAAGCTTATTCTGCATCTATTGAGATGACCACATGGTTTTTGTTTTTAATTCTGTTTATGTTGTTAATCACATTTATTAATTTGTGTGTTGAACCAACCTTGCATCCTACACATGAAGCCTACTTGATCATTGTGAATTAATTTTTTGATGTGCTGTTGGATTCAGTTTGCTAGTATTTTGTTGAAGATATTTTTGTGTATGTTCATCAAGGAGATTTGGTTATAGTTTTCTTTTTTTCATTGTCTCTCTCCCAGACTTGGTATCAAGGTGATGATAGCTTAGTAGAATCTACTGGGGAGGAGTTCCCCTACTCGATTTTTTTGGAATAGTTTCAGTAGAACTGTTACTAGGTCTTCTTTGAATGTCTCAGAGAATTTGGCTTTAAATCCATCTGGTCTGGGGCTTTTTTACTTGGCAGTTTTTTATTACTGACAATTTTGTAACTTCATATTTTTCTGTTCAGCATTTCCTTTTCTTCCTGATTTAATCTTGGGATATTATGTGTTTCCAGGAATTCATCCATTTCCTCTAGATTTTCTAGTGTGTGTGGATAGTGCTGTTCGTAATAGCCTCTGAAGATCTTTGGTATTTCTGTGGAATAAGTTGTAATGTCACCTTTGTCATTACTGATTGTACTTATTAGGATTTCCTCTCTTTTCTTCTTTCTTAATCTAGCTAGTGGTCTACTGATCTTATTTTGATCCGAGTTATCTTTTTAAAGAGCAACTTTTCTTTGTGTTTATTCTTTGTATGGATTTTTACATCTCAACTTTCTTTAGTTCTGCTCTGATTTTAATTATTTCTATTCTAGTTTGGGAATTAGCTTGTTTATGTTTTTCTACTTTGTCTAGGTGTGATGTTAGATCCTTAATTTGAGATATTTCCAACTTTTTGAGGTAGGTATTTGGCATTATAAACGTTCCTCTTCATACTGCTTTTGTTGCATTCCAGCAACTCTGTCTACGTTTTCATTTATTTCAAATAATTTTGTGATTTCTGCCTTAATTTCATTGTTTACACAAAAGGCACACAAGAATAAGTTGTTTAATTTTCATGTAATTGTGTGGTTTTGAGAGATCTTCTTGGTATTTATTTCAATTTTTATTCCACTGTGGTCTGAAAGTATCTTTGGTAACATTTTAATTTTTCTGAACTTATTGAGGCCTATTTTATGGCCTTATTGGCTGGTCTTGGAGGACGTCCCATGTGCCATTCTAGAAATTTTTTTTTTCCTGTCTACAGTTGCAGCCCACCTTCTCCACCTCTCATTCTGCTATTGGCACTGCTTTCCTTCCCTGGATGCTGTATTCTTCACCATTGCAATTACCACCATATAATATATAATTTCTTTTTTTAATTTATTTTTATTATACTTTAAGTTCTAGAGTACATGTGTACAATGTGCAGGTTTGTGACATAGATATACATGTGCTATGTTTTTTTTTTTAATTATGATGGCCGCAAATGACTGCTAGAAACTAGAAATAATCGGGGTGCCACAAAATTAGAACTGATAATCAATAACATACCTCTCGTGAGGTATATAGGAAAGGACACAGGATTAGAAGTAAAGAAGGGCTTATTTCTAATTGAACTGACCATAAAGGAAGTCAGACCAACTGGGGCTTTGAATAATCAAGGAAATACTTGTAGCATTGGGTGATGTTTAACAATTTCTGCTCAGAAATACATACCATGAGTACTGGTAGATAAAAAATCAGAAAAGTGGTATAAGTAAGTGGTGAAGACAACCTGGGAACTGACAGGACCTAGAAATCATAATTAGACAGAGTGACAAGTTCAAACTTCATACAGGAGTTTGCACATGCACATAAAAATTATTTGAAGGAAAGATGTGGTTTCAAGTAACAGCAAGAGAAAGGACATTCCAAACCAAAGGAATGCAATGACTAGTGATCCTCATTGATAAGGCATGGGCATGCATGCACACAGCAGGGCAAGATGTTTGCTTCTAGCTACAGTAGAGGATTTTTTGTGTATAAAAATAAAATAGGCATAGAGAATGTATATATTCTCTATGCCTATTTTTATTTTGAAGCACTGTCCTTGAATATTTACTAACTTTGTGATTTACATTTTTTGGCAGAACCCAAAGATGAGGCTGGTAGACAATATTTTTCTGTTGTAGTTGGCTTAACTTCAACTATTTAGATTGATTGTGAGGATTTTCTTTAAATTTATCATATCAGTGAATTACATGTCACAGAAATACAGTATTTTTGATCTGTAAAATCAATCTATTCCTCTCATTTTACACATTAGGAAACAGTCATAAAAATCAAATGACTTAGGATTAAATAGTTGGAATATTTCTAAGTGAATCTACCTTGGGAGAGTATATAGAGTCCGTGTATATAGTCATTGCATTGTAACTCAAAAATTTTGTTCAAATCAGTCTTAATGGTTGATTGCAAGTTAATAATAAGAAAAAAAATACAACATATTTAGAAATTTGAACTCTCTTCCAAATGGATTCCTCGAGCTCAAAGGTCATAAGTATTGTATTATATAAAATACTGGTGATTTAGTAGAAAGTTTGTAAACATAAAAAATTAAGCATGTCAGGAGAATCTCTTGAGCCTGGGAGGCAGAGGTTGCAGAGGGCCAAGATTGCACCACTGCACTCCAGCCTGGGCGACAGACTTCTTCTCAAAAAATAAAAATAAAAATAAAATAAAAATTAAAAAAAATGAGCCTGTCATAATTCCTGGTTACCTTTTTATCTAATATATATAGATAAGATAAATACTTGGTGTAGTATATACTATACCAAGTCTATGTCATGAATTGAGCTTAGATTAAGATCAAAAAACCTGAACAGATATAACAGAATGAAAATATGTTTTTAAAAATCACAAAACAATGTTACTTCTATGGCACTAATAATGTTTCCTATTTGCCTTTCTTTTCTCTTTATATGGTCAAGACAACTTTCTGAAAATAGGATCTTTGTTTTCTAAAAGCCCATCTGCTGTTGATGTTTATATATCACTTAATGAATTGACTGTTTAACTTTCATCACACAATCCAGACTTACTGCAAGATGAAAGTTTCAGCTTCATTCTCACAAGATGGTCAAACTTGCCTGACCATCTCTAAACATAGTTAGCACCTATTAGAAAGCAAGATCATTTTTCTCTGCACATTCCCTAGACTCAGTGAGCAACAAAATAAAAAGTCCTTTAAAGTCCTTTAGCCAACTTCATATCAAAAAGGGAAAAGGTGAAATCAATGGAACAATAAAAACTGCAATCTCTTTTTGTCACATTTTATGACCTCATCACCAACAGGCTCCACAAGGTCATCATTCCTTGTATAAGTCTGTTAACGGTCTGGGCACAATCACTGCTACCTTTTGAACTTTTTTTTTTTTTTTTTTTTTAACAATGTTGCTTTTTGTTTGTCTGTTTTTTATTGTACGTTTCTATTGGTCCCCCCACCCCCCAGCTTTTGGTTAAAATGCTCCTCCAAGAAGAATGCTACCTTAGAATTCAATAAACCCATGCAAGAAATACTCATGTGGTCCTATGATATCATCATTTCCGATAGCTTCTGTTTCTGTCACATTGATTCTTTAGTTAGCAGTTTATTTAGATATCAAACCAAACCCTAGAAAAATAAATGTGCTCTCTATATAGCTGACTGCAATTTCTACTATGACTTCTTGAGATACAAATGAAAAAAAGAATGCTTCTCTATGTATAGAAAATACATGGTATAAAATATGAATAACATAGCATGGAAACAGACAACCTTACTTTCAATAAGTAATATAATTTTGAATGAATACTCGAAATATTCAGCATTTTGGCTAGCATTGTTGGTTGATCACAATCCCTGGTTCCTTTTTAATGTATCATAGCCAAGAAGATTTTATATTAATCCAGGATTAACAAATTGCCTGTAATTTTTTTTTAATACTTAGAAGATTTTATTTACTGTGGGACTGAGTTTGACAGAGTCTTTAGGAATTTGTTTTCATGAAATATTTGAAAGTTAGGCAAGGACTCTTAGCTATTCAGAACTATGAAGCTTTTTTAGCCGTAATTGCCTCTTTAGATTTGGGGTCAAGATATCTTCAGTACTTTCAATATTTTCCATGGGACTTTGCACTCCTTGTCCCTTAGCCTCCCTTCTACTTCTGATCAGAATAGTTACTCCTACCATCATGTTGTTACCCTCAGCCTTTTTACAGAAATCTATTTCCCCTTTGATATAACGGGATCCTGGCTCTCAAACATCGTTTTTATCTTTTAGACAATCTTGAAATTCACTTCTAGACTTCATTTTTAAATCAAGACACGGTTTTAAACAACTCGGACAATACCCTTGTAACAAGGCTTTGGCTCTTATTGTATGAGAATAAGCTTCCTTTTTTCCCCATCTTAGCTATTAGCTTTCAAGTCCAAAATGGATTCCATCAAAATTTGTAAACTGTACCCTTTGTGCAAAGTTTACCTCCTCCCTTCTGCCATACTGCCTTTGAGAAACAATCAGAAATTTTAAAAAAACAATGCAATCTTAATAGTGCAGCGAGAGGAATGAAGGAAAACACCACAATGTCACACAGGACTAGTTAAGGGGTGGGTTTTGTTAGAGAAGGCTGAAAGTCAAAGCCCAGCAAGAGAATACCCATGATTCACTATTTTGCCATTATCACAGGAAGACATTTGCAGTGGGATAATGTCCTCAAGGAGAAACACAGTCCCCGCACACTTTACCATTTTATAGTATAAATAAGGGAACATACTTTGGCAAGGATAGGCAGGGAGGAATTAGGCAGCAGGAAATCACCATGTCCATTTTTGGGGCAAAAAGAGTTCTCTGAATATTCTGAAGTTAACACTCTAGTTCCTTATGAAAATTCAGATTCAAGATTTTAGGGAGGAGCCACACTCTGGCTCTGTAGGAAACTGGGTTTCATGCATTCCTATTGTGGAAGAGGAAGCCTTCTCTCCTATCGCCCACTGCAGCATGGCAACTTGATATTCTGGAGCACGTCAGACTACAATACTTCTTACCACTTTACAAAAGGATGTTTGTTGTATATTGTTTATAAGCAAAAGAAATTGGAATTAGTCTTCATTTGAGTAATAGTTTAAATTACATTTGCTTAATAGAAAATTATAGAGCCACTAAAAAAACAAGTTTTCTACAGAAAATCTAAATTTTAAAAAATATATTTAACAATTCAGATTACTATCTTCACAAATAGTTTATAAAATATGACAAATATGAGAATCTGGTAGACAATGAAAATTTTGTAGAAATCAATGATTTTGCTTCTAAAGAAAGAGGAATAAAACACATAATTTTAAATTGATAGAAAAATAAACTGTAAGAATCATATAATGTTATGTAATTAATTTTATTTTATATTTATGTTGGTTAATATTATATAATCAATTAAGAGTATACAAAGTCTTCCTAAAGAGAATGTAAGTATCCATGATTAATATCAGTTCTAATTCAAAAAAGTTTTAATAAGTTTATGCCTATTAAAACTGAAATTTAGAGAAAAACTAGAAATATAATAATAAGGAGTCTAATTCCACTGTTAATCTTATAGACAATATAAGGCTTTGTGGCATTTTATTGAGTCATATGTGCGTTATTCTATAATATTTCAATTCTTAAAGCCAATCTCAAAAACCAGCACTACTAAGAGAGCCACACATACCAAAACCAAGCATCAGTAGGCGTGGTAGCAGCAACAACAATAAAAGTAGGGAAGAAAAAGCCATAAACATTAATTTAGTTCACTAGAAGCCCCATTATCATCACTGTAATATTCAAAGTTGGATCACTCTGTGGTAGCTTCAGATTTATTGCGAGAATATTTTGCAACTAAGTTGAAAAAATCAGTTGTTGTCATCTTCTGAGCAGGTAAATTTATTCTGTGTAATTTAATGTAAAAGAGCCTTTTATACTTGTGACCATTATGCCTTCCCACATTAGAGCAATAACAAGACACGTTGAAAAATGAAGGCAAGTTTTACTAGATTGCCTTATTGATGCTACAAAAAAATAGAGAAACTTGCAACCCAGAACACTACATGCTGATAATATTTGCAAAGACTTTTTTTCCCTGGTTTGTATATTGCTTTAAAGTTAGATTTTTATACATTGAACTCAAACTAATGATTATGCTGATAAGGGTCAACTTTAATGATAGATTAAAGTGTCTCCTTACTGTTTGTACTTTGAGTCTGACCTTGAGTGATTTTGACTGAAATCATCTACCATTCTTAAAGAAGTTTCAGCATACTTGTAATCCCTGCATTAAAGTTTAAAGGGTAGAATCCAGTATCCCTTTAAGCCTTATCTGCCATTCATCATGCTGAATGAGTCCTAATGTCTCCACATATGTTAAGTTTTATTCATATTAAGATAAAATCAACGTATGTAAAACATGGCCTATAAAATCTTGTAAAATCAGGTCCCTGTTTACATTAACCTGGGAGAAAAAGATGAATATTATCTACCTGCTATTATCCTGTCATTTTGTACGTGTTCTCTCAATCCAAACACTTTTACAGAACAGGCTCTCCTTAATAATCCCTGCCTCTTAAACAAACAGTGTTCATACTCCACCGTGGTTCTTCCCAGGGCAATATAAACTAAAAGTCTTTCATCTTCCTAAAAGTATTCAAATTTAGGCATACACAGACCCACCAACAGTTGATATGCTTTATTTTATGACCACTCTGGGGCCCTGTATTAGTTTGCACAGTTCTCACACTGCTATAAAGATACTACATGAGACTGGGTAATTTATAAAGAAAGGAGGTTTAATTGACTCACAGTTCTGCATGGCTGGGGAGGCCTCACGAAACTTACAATCATGGCAGAAGGCAAAGGGGAAGCAAAGCACGTCTTATTGGCAGCAAAAGAGACAGAGAGAGACAGCGAGCAAAGGAAGACCTGCCACTTTTAAACCATAAGATCGCAGGAGAACTCACTTACTACCACAAGAACAGCATGGGGGAAACCGTCCCCATGATCCAATCACCTCCTACCAGGTCCTTCCCTTGATATATGGGAATTGGAATTCAAGATGAGATTTGGGTGAGGTCACAGAGCCAAACCATATCAGGCTCCATGTCACTTATATATTAATAAATCAAGCCTGCCCAAGGAACAGCTCTGCATCTTAGGTTCCTAAAGAGTCAAAACCAACTATTTCTACTAATATGCTTGGTATCTTCAGAATGGGATGAAGCAGTGGCCTTATCAATATTCTTTCATTTTAGGCTTGAAAAAAAAAACTATTTTTCTCTACTCATATTCAAGAGACATAAGCAACTAAACTACATTATAGGTATACTACAATAAAAAATAAATTGCAACAGTTTTTATAATATGCTATGTTCTATAGTGACTCAATAGTACATTAATGACATTAAAAATGATCCATTATTTCAGACAAACATTTAGCTAATATACTTGCTACACTAGGCACTTATGCCTTTCAATTAAAAAGGGCATATATTTTATAATTTAAAAGACAAAATAGCTGAATTCAAGGCTGATAATATAAGGAGAGCTCGAGAATTTTAAATTTCAAAAGTACAATTTGGTCATTTCATGTACCATAAATCAATGTCCTGTGCAATCATAAAAGGAAAAATGAAAGTCTGTCTAAATTAATAACAGTGGAGGAGCCCATGTATATTAATCTAATCTAACAAGTTTTATTACTCTGCAGAAATTTTCTCAAGGCTTAATATTTCTCATATAAAAAAGAAAGGATGATTGGGAGTGATTAAAAATACAATTGAGGAAAATATTCATTTCAAATCTAAATGAAAACTTGTAATTAATGAGAAATGAATGTCCATGGGTTATGTCATTGCTCAGTAATCATATTTAACAGATATAGTTTAGATTAAAATATGCTGAAATAGAGCTGGAGAAAAGATTTTTTTTAAAAAAAAGCACCTACGTATTTTAATTTCTAATTAGGTACCCTGAAGCAGTGAGCAATTTCACTAAGACTAAATTGCCCTTGCAACATAAAGCCTTATAGCCAGTTGACGTGTTCTGAAATCCCTAATACTTTCACAATTGAAATGCATACATTTTCATATGCTTTAAAAGATTAGAAAAAAACCTTAAGTACATAATAATTGGTAATTATAAAAAGAGATTATGTATGTTAAGAAAGATATCAAAATATTGTCATATTTATATAAATGTAGACATGTATTTGGTATATATGTAAAGTATAAAAATAATACAACAAAACAAGATAAACGTTGAATAAGAAAGAAAAATTAGGCAAAGAGAAAAATGTTTGTAATAAAGGAACAGGAATTTTAAGTTTAAAACATATAATATTATACCAATTGTTAAAAAAGGATCTCAAAATAAATTGAATTTCTGTCTCTTAGTCAATAAGAAAAAGAAAAACATATTGTGTGATTAAAAGTGTGTCAAAATTAGTACTACATGTTTGGAAGAATAGGAAAGATTTGTATAACTCATTCGAGAAAATTTCCTCCAATTAGTTTTCATAGATAAGCACTGTCAAACAATGAACGATAACTTATAATGAATATGACACAGTTGAATTGATCAGACATGTGTTAAATACCCTGGGCTTGGCAACCTACTGGATGATAGGTATTTTAAAAGGTGAGCAAAATAAAAAAATCCTGCACTCGCTAGATTTTTCATTCCAACTGTGAATGGCATAAAACCAATTTTAACTCATTTTAGGGAAGTGTTAAATTGGGGAAGTCCCTGTTTGCTGTTGAAATATGGTTAATGTAATGCATTTCATGGAGTCTTTGCTCATAAAGGTATAAATGTACTTGGTCTAAGTCAATGGCGTCATAACAGAATGCATTTCAGTAGAAGCAAGTCTTGCCTGATTTAAAATAAAAGCATACTGTATCTGTGCATAGTTTTCTAACACTCTAATATAACCAAGGCATGCCAATCACGAAAATGACAGTTGGCATAACCTTCAGCCTATCATTCATGTTTTAGTCAGGATAGGTCAGCCTATAATGTGGCAATAAGATGTCTCCACGTTTTAATATTTTAAACAGAAATCATTGTTTTATCCACAATACACTGAGACCTTGGTGGTGTGGTGTACTCTACTATCTGGATGATTGCCATGGAAGGTAGAAGGGAACGTGGTAGTTCATATGTTAGCTCCTAAGCGCTGCTGACTTGAAATAACATATGCTGCACATTTCTTTGACCAAAACAAGTAACAATCACCACTAACTTCAAGGAAATGGAAGACATCAATCCTATCCTGGAAGGAAAACCAAAAATATTGATGAATGTTGCTAGTGATGACCATACCCCAAAAATGATGTCTCCAAGGTCTGGACCATGCTGAGAGAAGCTGTGAATGAGATTCTGATTCCCAATAAAGACTTGGAATATAACTAGGAACAGAACTGACATCTTTATGTATAATTTAAGGAGAAAACAAAGTCATCTGAAAGAAGAAAGTATCTGTCAAGTCAGACATTTTCTTTATAAATTTTGGAATGATGATGATGATAGTAATAATGATAGGCCCCAAAAATCTGAGCCATATTAGGTAGCTGCACTCCTCTCAGCCAATAATTTTTGTATAGTAGGTGATAAAAAAAAAAACACTGGATCAATAGAAAACTCTCAATAAAGCATATCTATGGAACTTTTGGGATGCTTGTGAAGATGAACTAGTTACAAAATCTATGCTGATAAAACTAAATGAAGAATCTCATTATATGGGTTTATTAGACACAGTTCATTTAAAAGTTTGGGAATATGTACTCCAAGTAATTTTAATTTGAGAATAGATTAAAAGTATTCTATAAAGTGCTTCTTTCTGGCAATAGATAGCATGGCCAGAATCACCTCAAAAATCAACACAGACAAATGACGTTTAGCCGATAAGTTAATAAGTAGCATTTCTTTGACATGTTTTTCACAAATCCAAGTGCACATGTATTATGCATACACATTGAAAACATGAACACACCAATTAAAATTAAAGAGATATACTTGCCATGCATAAATAAGTTGGTTAAAATATTTGTAGCAAAAATGACTGATTAATTAAAAACTAGGGAGATTTTAGGGAGTAATCTCAATTTTCCAGACTTACCTCTCAACAAGAGGCATATTTTCACGGAGCACAAGCTAGCTATCAGATACTAGTCAACCACATGCTATGTGGGGCTATGATTCTCACTTTACAGTATGTTACCTGATGATTTACTCAAGGGCATGAAGATCATGAAGTTCACACTGTGGTTTCAACCTGAGCCTAACTTTAAATCCTCCATTTATTCTATTGTACCTAGGTTAGAACTTGGCATATTATCCCATTCTGGGAACAACCATTAGCAAATTCATTAATTAAGGTCATGTTGACACTTCTCTTTTCAACTAAAACATCTGTTAATTTATACAGAGGTCTCCTTCGTTTAAACCAACTTGTCATTACTGCCTCTCAATGAGGGATAATGTGCTTGGGTTTTACAAGTAGTCTAAGTGTGAATTGAAAAGATTAACAGTTCTTGCCAGTGGGCTGTCTCTGTCCATATTTTTACATAATAATAGTTCTTAAGAAGACACTGGGTCTTAGGATAATAAATGATCATTCCTCACAACAGATCTATAAACAGGATCAGGATTAATGAATTTGCTGGCAGCTATTGGTGTTAATTAGCTCAAATTCAACTGCAACAGAATCATATCTATCCATAAGATTTGGATTGTGCTAATACAGCTCCAAAACAACTATTTCTATAATTTTTAAGTAAATCAATTGGTCAGATTCTTATTTGAAAACCAGCTGCACAAGTAACTTCACAAAAAAAAAATCTTTAAATTCTTCACCTTTTCTTCCTTACTTTACCCAGCTGCTGTTCACATCTTTAATTAAATCTCTTACATACCTGCCTAACTTTTTAACTACTTTCCATACTATCTCATTTATCTTGTACCTTTAATTTTATACATGGTTTTGTCTTGTGTGTTTACTTCTAGATGTGACTAGAATTTATTTACCCTCTTTCTGATCCTGGTCAATAATAATCGATTCTGAGTTTTCATCATGAATGTCACCTCCAAGAAGCCCTCTCTCAACACCACACCAGATTCTAACCTCGAATTATGTTTCTGGAATAGTGTTTTAGAAACCTCCTCACACTGCGCTGGAGTTGTCTGACTGCTCACAGTGCTTTTTCTAAATGGACCGTGACCCTCATGAGAGATTAATGGAACGTGCAGGAAAAGTACATTTCGTAGCCCACTCGATGAAGCAGTCATAGCTTGGCTATCAAGTTAAAAATCCTTTCATCTTTTGGCAATTACATGCTCCTCAATTGAGGCACAGAATATCTGAATGAATGAAAAAGTGTCCTCTGCTACTTGTGTACTGTTTTAAAATAGCTAGTGTGTGCTAACTTGATTTACTTACAATAACTTTACCCAATCTCAAATTTTCCTCCTTAATCTGAATAATAAAATATATAGAAAAATATTTGACAGACATCTCAGAAAATGTTCCTGAAGAAACACATTGCACCCTTGGAGGTGGAGACCCAAAAATTTTTTAAATGAGGTGAGGGAATAAAAATGCATTCTGAGGACTAGAGTTTTCATATACTAGATCAGATATGAGTACCAGATAATCCAAAGTGCCAGGTCAGGGTTGAGTACAATACAGACTAGCAGAACTGCACCAGATGGAAAACCTCTCGACAGTAGGCAATTAGAAGTATGCCAAAATAATCTTTCGTTTAGTTGTAGACTTGAGAAAAGGTTATAACTGGAAACTTTTTGGGGATTAGAATGGGAAGTTTCAGAGGGTAACAGAATAAGGGTGGGGAAAGTGTTGGTTTATATTTGGGCAATAATTGAGACCAGTTACTTGGAAAAGATGATTGGAAGTAGACAATGAGGCCTATCACACCACTTCAGAGATACTGAGATCTAACTCTTTACTTGCTCCTCAAACCCCATCCCCAGCCATTGCAATAAAAGGCCAGCACTACCTAAAATGGGATTCCAACACATTCTTTCCTGGATTGCTGGGCCTTATTAATATTATGCTCATCATACCGATGAGCTTTAATCCTCTAAGCAATTTATCACATTACTAATGTACTTATCCATGTTGCCAAAGACTTGATGCTTATTCCTGTCATTCCAGCTATAACATTAATTCCCCTTGACCACTATTTGTATGTCCCATCTCACTATATTGCCTAAACAATATTGCTCAGAGGAATCCCTGTGGGAAGTAGCTTTGCTTGAGAGACCTTGGTAATGAAAGTCTAGCTATGTTCCTTTGTTGTCATTTTCTTTTTTTTTTTTTTTTGTCTTTAAGAGATTAAGACTTCTAGCAAATGTTAAGCAAATTGGCATACATCCTCATTAGAATCTATTGACTCCAGGCCAAATTTGGAATTCATAATAGGCATAAAAATAGAGAACAGGTAAATTAACTTGTGAAAGATCTTAACCTGATTTGTATATTTCTGATACCAACTCTTCTATCCTTTCACCAGGCTGTTTTCTCCCCCTCCTTACCATGCAAGGTCATTGGAATTCAGATTTCCTTGACTCTTCATTTAAAGTGTAATTGTTAACCCATGTGTTAGTCCCAGTTAATTGTTATACCCCTCAAATTAATTTTTATTATGGTTATTTGATTAATTTAATCAAATATTATCTGGGTTATCAATGAGTCCATCAATTATTTTGTGCGTACCCCTATTTTCTTCTCGGTTTTTCTCCTTCCTTTAAAGGTGAGTCCATGGAAAGTAATATTTTGATTATAGATTTCTAAAATGACAATTATTTTTCATCATCACTTTGATGCTATTATTTCAAATTCTTCCAGCCTCCATTATTGCCAATGAGAAATAAGTTGTCTTTGTGGGTAATCACTCATTGCATATGGCTTCTTGTTTTCCTGAGACCTTCTCTGTTCGGTTGGACTCACACGTGTGTAGGTGTGACTCTAATGTTATCAAGCCAATGCACATCTCCTTTTGCTTTATCAATGTGCATATGTATGCATTTCTTTTATTCTGAAAAATTCTCAGTCACAAACTCTTAAACATTTCTTCTTTCCATCTCTAAATATTCTCCGGTGACAATCCTATTCAACATATGTTGGAGGGTCTCATTTAATTGTCTTAAATAAGAGAATTCTCAAATTTTAAAGTTTTAAAAATGTTTTTATGTATTAATAAACATATATAGTTACACATCTATAAATACATATACACATTTTAATATTTATTCTATTGCTTTCTGAGGACTTTTTCTCAAATTAATTTTTTTAGATAGTGGTCCTTGCTTCGGAGTTATAATGTACAGTTTAGCACACGTATTGAGCTTTTAACTATTCTCATTTTATATTCTTTTTCCTTAAACTGGATGTTTCTTTTATCATATCTTTTTCTTCCACAAATGTTTTATATGTAATTATGCAGATACAATTTCATACCATAAAACTTATCTTTTTAAGTGTACAATTTAGTGATTTTTAGTGTATTCAGAGTTGTGCAACATAACCATTATCTAAGTTTAGGATATTTCATTACTTAAAACAAAACAAAACAACTCTGTACCCATTAGCAGTATCCTTCTATTTTTTCCAACCCTTGACCCCTGGCAGCCACTGATCTACTTTCCATCCCTGTGGTTTTTCCTATTCTATACATTTTACATCACTGGAATCATGCAAAATATAGTCTTTTGTGACTGACTTCTTTCATTTAGCATGTTTGCAAGGATCATCCATATTGTAGCACATGTCATTACTGTAACCTTTATTGTCAAATAATATACCATCAAATCAATATACCACATTTTGTTTATTCTTTCATGTCGATGGACATTTGGGTTGTTTCTACTTTTTGGCTACTATAAATAATGCTGTTAGGAATATTCATAGATTCATTTTATGTGGACAGATGTTCCCACTTCTTATGGATATAGATTTAAGAGTAGAATTGCTGCTTCATATGGTATCTCTATGTTTAACAGTTAGAGGAACTACCAAACTGTGTGCCAAAGCACTTGCACAATTTCTCATATGTATCAGCAGTGAATGAGGGTTACAAGTCTTCCGCATGCTTGTCAACATTTGTTATTTTCTGTCATTTTTTATCAATATCCATTCTAGCTGTGCCTCATGGTTTAATTGCATTTCTCTAATGACTAATTAATTGCATTTCCCTAATAACTAATGATGTGGATCACCTTTCATATGCTTATTGGTTATTTGTATAGCTTCTTCAGGGAAATACCTATTCAAATCCTTTGCTCAGTTTTTAATTATTTGTCTTTTCATTGTCAAGCTGCAGTTCTCTATATATCTGGATGCTAGTTCCTTATCAGATATATGATTTGTGGGTACCTTCCATCACTTTCTTCAGAGTGTTCTTTGATATACAATGGTTTTAACTTGGAACAAGTCCAATATATCTATATGTTTTATTCTGTTGATCCGTTTTGGTGTCATAGCTGATAATCCATTGCCAAATCTAGGTCAAGGAGAACGCACCTCATGTTTTTTTCCAAATTTTTTATAGTTTTAGCTTAAATTTAATTTGTTAATCCATTTGACTTAATTTATATATATATGGTATGAGGTAAAAGTCTAAATTTATTCTATTGCATGTGAATATCCATTTGTTGAAGAGTTTGTATTTCCTCCATTGAATTGTCTTGAAACTGTCATCAAATACCAATGTATCTTAAATGTAAGAATTTATTCAAGAGCACTATATTTCATTACATTGATCTACACCTAGGCCAGTACCACACTGTCTTGATTACTGGTTATTTCTGGTAAGCTTTGAAGTTGGGAAGTGTAAGTCTTCCAATATTTTTCTTTAAGATTGTTTTAGCTATACTTGGCCCATTGTGTTTTTACATAATTTTTAAAAACACCTTGCAAAATGCTTGTACTGAATCTCTACATAAATTTGGAGAGTACTGACCTCTAAATAATATTACATCTTTGAATCCATGAATATGAAAGGTGGCTCCATTTATTTAGGTCTTTTTAAATTGTATTCAAGAAAGTTTATAGTTTTCAGTATACAAGTGTTTAACTTCTTTGTTAAATTATTCCTAAATATTTAATTCTTTTTGATGCTACTATAAATGGAATTGTTTTTCTAATTTCATTATTGAATTTTCTCTTGCTAGTGCATAGAAATACATTTGATATTTAATATTGATCTTGTATCCTGCCACTTTGCTTATTCATTAGTTCTAATAATTTTATGCATCCCTTAGGCTTTTCTAAATACCATATTATGTCATATGTAAATGTAAAATACTTTGACATCTTACTAAATCTGAATGCCTTTTATTTCATCTTCTTGCTCAATCATTCTGATTAGAACTTCCTGTATAATGTAGAATAGACATGGCAAGAGTGGACAGCCAAGTCTTGTTCCTGATGTTAAAAGAAAGTCATTATAGTTTTACTTTCTTCTTTTATGTAATTATCCAATTTAATCTTACTTATACAACAGTATTTGTAAAATTATTCTATCATCTGGACATCTTGGTGTGATAACATTTCTGTGTATTGCCTGCTGACTCACTAATGTTTGACGATTTGCTGTATGTTTTTTAGGTTCAAAATGTGCATTCACATTCAGTAGGCTTTTATCTGTGATAGTTTTATGTGTTTTAGGTTAAAGTTTTGCATTTCCAGATTTTTTTTTTCTTTGTGTCCACTAACTTCCCCTAGAATGTCATCAACTTGCCATCAGTTTACACTTTATTTCTCTGTTTGAAGTTCACAAACTATGCAAATAATGTAAATTCAAACCTGCAAAACACTCATGATGAAGAACCATGGTTATAAATTCTCAGAGGAGACATTTTCCCTAGAACCCAGTCAGGAAAAGACAAATCAGCATATTGTTTTCTAATAGGTATAACTTCTAAAATCTATTCTCTGTTAAGATTTAGCCCTTTTAATGTCCTAGCTGTAATTAAACGTTTTGATTCCAACACTCATTTTTATGAAGGAGTAAAACTTTGTTAGACCTGCGTTTGATCTAAAAAACATCTAGACCAGGTAGAAGGAGTTGTCCTTGGGGTTAAAATCAAACCAGAAATTACTCAGGTTAGGAATCTCCACACCCATTGTGTCTTCAAATAGCTTGTTTATGTATTTATCATTCTCAATATTTTAAAGATATTCTTTGAGCTCAGTGGCTCTGACACTTATCCTGTCTTTCTAGGTGCATACAGTGACAGTGTTTTCATATTATTTAGTCCATTTCTGTCTGATAGAAACTCTGTGATAGTAGAAATTTCCTTCGGTACTCTCAATGGGGTTAGCCAGTACTTGTATGGAACTTTGGAGCACCTGAAATACGGATAGTGTGAATAAATAACTGATTTAAAATATTAAGTATAATGAATTTAAATGTAAACAGCAAAATGGCTGATGGTTACTGTATTGGATAGCTCAGAATCCAATTCATCCTATTGAAGGAAATGAGAGCTTTACATTCAAAAGTTTTGAACCAAAACAATTAAAAATAAGTTATTAAGATATAGAATATAATTAGATTAAGAATCCAAAATTGGTATGTTTGACTTTCGGAGAATTTAATTGAACATTGCAGTATTTACATGCTTAACTAAATCCTCACACTTAATCTCACTGAAAATAAAAAACGTTTCTGTGTATTGGCCAAATCTGAACCTATGTAAATGGGTTATAATTCCAGGGGCTGAGACTTCCACATTGCCCAAACAATAAAAGGAAGTAGGTCTTTTATATGTAGGGGTCTCTGTCTCACTCTCTCTCTTCCTCTGCCCCATCTCTGTCCTCTTATTTCTATATTACTGTTGATATAAAACCAGTTGGAGGCTGTTCCCACTGCCCTACTGTCCTAGTTTTAGAATACATGCAATTATTTGCCTCCAATAATGGAGAAAATTATTCTGGTTTTGTGATCTCTTACTTCTTCTGGGCTGGCATGCGCTGGGGTCTAGACACACCTTTTCACACCTCTGAGTGCAAGTTGAGTGAGTAAAAATCAGAGTGACGTATGTTAGCTGAGAAATATTCAGCCCTACTAGGAGTTCTCCTTGGGTTGAAGTTCTGTTCGCTGAATTTAATATCATTATTTGGTGCCAAAGTTCAGTTGTCATCATGAAAGTTCATTTATCATTCTTTGTTTTCTTTTGAAAAAATATTCCTTCTGAGAAAAAGTGGTTATGATAGGTGTGGATTCCTAATTTCTGTCATGTGTTTATATATTTAGCTCTATCTCTAAATCTATTTCTACCTATTTTTTAATGGCAATACTCAATATTTGTCCTTTGATATAAATATTAATCTGTCCACCCTTGACTGTCTTTTGAACACAGTCCTTCCCCTACTTTTAGTTCATGTTATTCCAGTAGAGCTGTTCAACCTGCTCCAGGAGAGGGCATAGCACACAGACCAGAGGCAAACTCAATCATATCAAAACTCGATTTTGAAATTTTAGTTAGAAACTCATTTTCTCTTAGATTTCTGGTTGTAAATACTATGTAAGTTGGGATTTTTGAGGGACATAGACAAAAGAGAATAAAGCTGAGCCAAGAGATAAGAGAAATATTGAATTTCTGACGTCCCTGGATCCAGTCATTCCTAAAACCACTATAGCCATAGACTTTACACTTATATAAAGTGACAAATTTCCTTTTACACTTTAAGAAAGTTAGGTTTTTGACACCTAGGGAAAAATTTGAAACTAACAGAACTGCAGATACTTTAAAGCCAAGAAATAAGCACCATAGTAGGAAATTTGTCCGATATTACAACTCTTTCTTCAGAGTCACATTTCATTCTCAACAAACTTACTCATTTTGACTAGTTCCTCCCAAAGTTACTGGATTGTTTTCCTTTTTAAATTAATATTTGTCAATTATGAAACTGAACTAGAGCATAAATATGAATCTCATAATTTCTTTTTTACTTCATTCTATAGAAAGATCCATTTTCACATGTTATTTATGGAAAAGGCATTCTTTTAGTCTGGAGCCTAAACATAGAACAAAACATTTATTCTACAGAGTATTTCAACAATCCTCTTGATATTCCTTCTTTCTTGTTGGTCTAATATACTCTTTAAGGTTTCCCTATGGATGCATCTTACAAATTCTCATGACACAGAGACTCTTTAAAGTGCCTATTCACCAAGCATCTTTTAAGAAAATTACAGGAAGCATCATTTTATTTCATTTTACTACTCAAACTCTTTCCTTCCACTTCTGTTTTTACTATGAGCTGTTAGGAATTGAACAAAATAATTAATACTCTCAAAGAGACAACTCATTCCTTTAGTAGACACATGGTGTTATCTGTATTAATAGACCTTTAATATATAACAAACCGTTTCAAAATATTAAACCAAAAAATTAGAATTTCTGATAATTCTTTAGATTTTCTGGTTTGGGACAGCTTTGAGGGCACTAGATGGTCTAGGATGGCCTCACTCATTTTATGGAAGTTGTCACGCTGGTTGGTCTAGGCTCACCTAGGTTGGCTTGTCTCTGCTCTTCATGGCTTCTCACCCTTCAGAAGGCTACTCTAGGCTTCTTTGCCAAGCAGTCTCAGCATTTAATCAGTGCATAAGAAAGCAAACACCTATGTGCTAATATCCATTATCAAAACAAGTAACAAGACCAAACCCAGATTTAAGACTTAGAGAAATAGATTCCGTATCTTTTTAAAAAAATTGTGCAAATGTATGGCACATGAAAAAAATAATTATATGTATATAATGTCTAGTGACCAATCCAGCTTTTGAGCGGGTCCATAACCTGAATATGCTACATTTTTTAAATGTAGTCATCCTACTCTATCAAACTTTGAACCAACCCCCACCCCTTATTTTTTTTATTTTTTTTATTTTTTAAGATGGAGTCTTGCTCTGTCACCCAGGCTGGAATGCTGTGGTACAATCTCGGCTCGCTGCAACCTCCGGCTCCCAGGTTCAAGCAATCCTCCTTGCCTCAGCCTACTGAGTAGCTGGGATTACAGGCACTCACCACATGTCTAGCTTATTTTTGTATTTTCAGTAGAGATGGGGTTTCATTATGTTGACCAGGCTGTCCTTGAACTCCTGACCTCACGTGATCCACCTGCCTCTTCCTCCCAAAACACTGGGATTACAGGTGTTAGCTACCACGCCTGACCTGAACTTATTCCTTCCATCTTACCATATGTTTGTTACCCTTTTACCCATTTCTTTTTGTCCTCTCCCCATCCCAGTCTCTGTTATCTATTTTCACTACTTCCAAGTGTTTAAAATTTTTAGCTCCCTCATTTAAGTAGGAACATATGATACTTGCCTTTTTGTGCCTTGCTTATTTTACTTAAAATAATTACTTCCAGTTTCATCTATATTGCTACAAATGACATGATTTTCTTTTTTATGGTGGAATAGTATTCTTTTATATATACATACCACCTTTTCTTTATTCATCTGTCGATGGATACTTAGGTTGATTCCATATCTTTGCTATGATGAATAGTGCTCCAATAAACATGCAAGTACAAGTACCTCTTTGATATATTGATTTATTTTCTTTTGGGTAGATACCCAGTAGGTAGTGTAGCAAAATCTCAGTTAAATGGGATGTGATTGCAGGGATTGCAGAAATTTGTGACCTTTAAAAATTTTTAATCATACCATTTCAACATGCCATAGCCTGACATAATAACCCATAATAACTTACTAACTTTTCTTCCTTTTTTTTCCTGAGCTTTTCATTTTGGGTCCCCTGGTAGCAATAGAAAGCATTATGGAAGGCAAAAGAAAAGTTTTTAATAGGCATAATGGAACAAACATAATTTGGAAAACTGAATTGGTGAGTAGTGAAATCCCAGTCTACCAAATTGCTATGATATATTTAAAATCAAATATACACATAAAAATTCACTACTTGCATTTTAGTAGAAAATAAGAGGAACTCTTTGCATTTGTATAAAGTCTTTTATGGTTTGCAGCATGTTTTCAACAGCCATCATTTCATGTTAGATAGAAAAATCTTATAAAAATATGGGAAAATCAATAGAAAAATCAATGACTGATTAGAAAAGCCTATGCATATACCATTCTATGGCAATATTTTGATTCACTATAAGTCATTTAAAGATAATAATATTTTGAAAATAATACGCAAATCAATCATTGAGTATGAAATATATACCCATTATCCTGTTAGAAGGGAGGTACTCTCACATGTTATCAATAATTAATGCAAGGCTCAGATTAACCAGTTGATAACTAATTTAACCTTGTGATCAGAAACAATGTAAGCTACATTTTTCACTATTATTTCTAACTGAGAATACATTTATATCACGTGGTTCTAATGGCTCCGTCTACATTTTAAAATCAGAATCACAGCATTACCAAAATAAAAGTTGAAAATTACATGTTATGTTCTTCAATGTGTAATACTGTCCCAAATTATAAAGGCTGAACTGTAAAATTTTTCTTAAGTTATAGGTTATGTAAATAATTAGTAGTTTCACCATTGGTCATAGGTTGAAACACAAAACTAACATGCATACAGAAATATGAGATATCAGAGACACCTACCTATGCTGTGTTCTAGGCAATGGTACAACAGACTCCTCTCCAAAACCCTTTTAACTTCTAGGGAGAAAAATTAGGGAAGATCTATGTTTCTAGACACCAATGGGACTGTTGTAGCCTGAATTAAGTAGTCTACAAAGCAGACAGTAGAATTGCCATGTTGTCTTGCTCTTGTCCAGGTTTTAAAAGCTATGAGGACTGCAGATATGGACAAGTCCCTCTTAATCACTTTGTTATTTTTTCAAAGTATTCTTTTAGATTCCACTTGCACTCATAATAACATAAAGAACAGTCACTTTATCTTTTAAAAGCAGTCCTACCGGTAATGAGACTCTTTATCATACTTGCATCAGAATGCGCCCATTTCCATCACTTACTGTTATCTTGCTACTAACCTCTCTCGGCTTCATTTACAAAATTTACAAATTATCCTGTATTCTTCACTTTGTTCCTTCTATAAACTATCCTAACACCTGATATTTGATTGTGCCTTTATTCTTTCTTATGTTAACTGACGGTTTTCCAAGATTAATGGTTGCCACTTCAGCTATCAGAGCCCATCTAACCTTGTCTTACTTGAGGTTTACAACACCTGGTCTATGTGAAATTCTGTTTCTCCTGCTCACTGACTTTTCTGTAGTCACCCTTTTTGTATCCAACAAAGATTTCTATTTTTCCTTGATACATTGTTGAACAGTTTCAAACATATTTGGCCCCAAAATAACACCTTTGGAAAATATCCTAAAGGGTTTTTTGTTGTTTTGTTTATTACAAGCTACAAAGCACAGAAACCAAAACAAAACCAAACAGAAAACCACAGAGGCAAACACCTGTGCCTTGTTTCATGTAGTCTTTGTGGGAAGAACAAGAAAAATTTTGGAAAAAAGAAGGAACTGAACTTCATAGACTGCTTGGGCAAGGTACTATATTTAGCCCTTTTCTTACATTATTTTAGTTGATGCCACAATAGACCAGTGAGTTAGATATTATTATTATTCCTATCTTAAAGATAAGAAAACAGATTTTAAAAGGTTAAATCTTTTTACTAGGACTGTATAATTTGTGAGCCTATATCTCATCCCAGATTTTTCTGACTTCAAGACAATACTTCTTGTGTTGCACTATGTTTCACCATGCATTAATTTCACCCAGACATTTTACAGCTTCTTAGACAATACATTATAGGAAACAAAACCAAAAAAGGATTGTATCAACAGAAATGTGGAAAAAGCAAGTAAGGTTTTTTTTAAAAAAATAGATAGATAGGCTTCAAAGTGTATTAGACCATCTAACATAGAAATCATGACGGTGAAATGTCAAAATATATTATATAATATAACATCTTTTCCAAGGATGATTGACTTGAGTTTGTGAAAAGTCCTAGAGGTTCATATTATAATAACAACCTATTATTTTAAAAAACAATAACTTTTTCAAATCACATGTATAAATCAGAGAAATCTGAATGAAATAGGATTTTTGGCAAATTACAAGTATACTACAAATATTATGGGTAGGCACTCTCACTGATTTTAATTTATCTAAAAATGTATGGTGGAATAGTCCAGACCTTTAAAATCAAAGTCAACAATTTAAAGTTTTCTCAAAATAAGAGAGTTTGTACTACAGACAAATGAAATTTAGTGATAGATATTCTCTGTTTTTCTCTCTCTCTCTTTACGTATATATATATATATATATATATATATTCAAATATATACATACATTTGAATGTTTTTTTTATATATATATAAAACATTCAAAAACTGAGACTTACTTAACTAGTATATTTGTCCCTGAGGAAAAAAGAAAACTTGAATTTACACCTATAATGGGGACATAGCTATCAAATATTAATTATGATCTCTGTTTTATTGTCAAATACAAACATTTGTTTAAATAAGTTATTCATTATTACAGCCTGTTATTATTTCTCTCAGTAAGAGGGCTTGTGCTTATATTTTTAAAGTATGAAATGTTAGATATTAGATAATAACATTTTATGAATAAGGATCCAAAGCAGGCAATATTTTCATAGAAGTGAATTTTGACAGAGGTCTTACCTAAGTTTACACATGATTATTATTTGCTATAAACTTATAAATTTGATTCAAATGAATAATTGTACAAATACATATTAGCAAAGGGTTGGTACTTGAAAGACTGACATGGAGTTGATAATGCCTCAGTAGGCTTTATGTACACCACCCCAGATATGACAGAGAAAACATACTGAAAAATTAATAAATAAGCACAAAGGCAAAGACATAAGACATATCCATATTTCAATAAATTACCCTTTTTAAAGTTACCTTGGAATACATTCACTGCCTTAATCAGAACCCAATTTAACATAAATGGTGTTTGTAATAGATGGAGACTGGAAGAAATCAGCTACCATGTCTGGCAAGTTTATATCAGTGTCCTTTGTATGACCTAACGAGAATTTGTCATTATCAGATATCATTTTAAATCAAGATATTTGGAAAGGACATATGTCTCCTTGGATGAAGCATATGTCCAAATCTACAAGTTAAATATAAAATACATTTTGCAAGTGAGTATGAAATGTTTGTGACCTTTCTCTTGATGTCTTTAATGCATGTGAATGCAGTGAGATCCCAAGGTGAAAAAAGACCCTGCCTAATTTGAATAAGAACCTTTCTGCAGTGAAGGCAGAAATGTATTCTCTAATCCTGTTTAAGGTAGAAAATTCCATTCATCTCTGACTTTAATAGATTGTGGACCTCTCAGAGGGAAATCTACCCAACACAATATCATTTTAGGGAAGGTATGCATTAATTTAAGAAAGTACAAAATGAATTACAGTGTTTTCAGAAGGAAAAAAAATAGAACTTGGTTTAACAACTGCCCTTGAATAACTAAAAATGCATTCACAACAAAATCCCTTTGATAATACCCATGAAAATAGCAATGTAAACTCTGATTTTCATCAAATTCATGCAGATAAATTCTAGATTGGACAAACTCTTGGTCCACTGACAATTCAAGTAGAAAAATACTCTTAACTCGATGTCGAGTTGGAGAATTACAAATGTTATTGCAAAAGCATACATTCCTTATTTATTACAAATGTTGTCAAATTCTGATTCTCGTCTCAAACATATCAAAGTAAATGCATAGATAACTCAAGCCAATGGATAATTCCACCAATAAATTATATTTGGCTGTGAAATGCATTCTATGTTTTTATCTGTAGCATATATTTTTTAGTATACTTCACTTAGACAACTGCCTGTAGAATTCAGGTTCCACTCATAACTGTGTCACTAAGAAGCTTTGTTATATTTAATTCATATAGCTTTGGTTACAAATAATAAGACTTCCCCACACTAGATCAAGTACAGTATTATTATAAAAATTGAGTCAGGTGTCTTGTGGGATTTTAATAAGGTCTACTGTATAAAATCACCCCGAGGACACTAAGACTGGTTCCAAGGACCCTACAGCGTTCTCAGAATTTCCTTTCATTTTATTAGCATGACTCACAAAACTCTGAGATTTTATTTATTCACATTTTTCTTTCACAATATTTTACTAAGTGCCTATCATGCCACATATAGTGGCTAGAGGTACAGTAGTGTGCATGTATGCATGTGTGTGTGCATACATGTAGTAATAAGTACTATAAAGAAAATAAATATAAGTAAGGGGGATAGAAAGTGGTGCATTGGTGGTAAGGGTGGTAGTGGTGGGCTCTTATTTAACTTAAGGTATTCAAATATGGGCTATAGAAAAAATGTGGCATTTGAGCAGATAGTGCTGAAGGAAATAAGGGGATAAACTATGATGATATCTGGAGAAAGAGCAATCTTAGCAGAGGGAATAGCAAGAGTAAATTCTTTCATGTGTGAACATGTTTGTTGTCTCCTTCTATACCTAGTGACAACCAGATTTCTCACTTTCTGTGTGTTCCCCCTTCTACGTGATCTACTCATTTTAGTTGTTTTTCTCTCATTACTTTTGCCTGTTCATAATGGGATATGACCTCTTCTTTACCCCATAACCTCATTTCTCATTTCATCCTTTTAGCTTCAACTTCATTGCTTCAACTATGTGATCTTTTTTTGTCTATACTTCCTGACTCAAATTGTAAGAAGTAAATATATCTCATTAGCATAGCTTATTTTGCATTTTTTTATACTTGACCAGTGTTCAGAGTAGATGGGAGAGTTGATGGTTGAGTCACTGTATTAGTCCATTTTCACACTGTGATAAAGAACTACCTGAGACTGGGTAATTTATAAAGAAAAGAGGTTTAATTGACTCACAGTTCTGCATGGCTAGGGAGGCCTCAGGAAACTTACAGTCGTGGCAGAAGGTGAAGGGGAAGCAAGGCACATGTTACATGGCTGTAAAGAGAGAGAGAGTGAGGGGGAAAATGTCAAACACGTTTAAGCCATCAAATGTCATGAGAACTCTTTATCACAAGAACAGCAAGGGGAACCACACTCATGATTCAATCACCTCTAACAGGTTCCTCCCTCAATACGTGAGGATTACAATTAGAGATGAGATTTGGTTGGAAGCCAAACAATATGAGTCATGTAATACCAAATATGATTGTCAAGGATATAATTCACCAGCAAGAAGTATGGGTGAGCATTTATCCTTAAAAGAGGTTAAGTACATAGCCGAACTCAATCAGTAAAGTTGTCTGTCTTTTTTCTTTTCTTGCCTCATATTCAACACCAATCAAATCAGTGAACTGAGATTTCAGGTTTTAAAATATGTAATTATTTCATGTTCCCTACATATCTACATGTTATTAAAAGACAGATGCATTTAGATTTTTGTCCAGTTGTCTCACATGATGGAAATTCTAATGTAATGTGTTGAAGAGTACTCCTCAAAAGATATGCCCACCCAGATCCTCAGAAAGTGACCTATTTTGGAAAAAGGGTCTTGGCAGATATAATTTAAAGATACTGATCATGCTGTATTCAGAGTGGACCCTGAATCCAAAGACTGGTGGTGTTATAAGAGAAAGCAGGGAGAGAACTGAAACAGAGAGACACAGAGGGAAAATAAGAAAAAGACAGAAGTAGGGATTGAAGTGATGCATTTATAAATCAAGAAATGTCAACGACTGCCAAGCATCACCAGAGCCACCAGAAGCTAGGAGACAGGCATGGAACAGCTTCTCAGAGCCTCAAGAAGGAATCAAACTTGACAACATCTTGATTTCGGACTTGTAGCCTTCTGAGCTATGAGAAAATAAATTTGTGTTGTATTAAGCGTCTAGCTTTGTGGTAATTTGTTAAAGCAGGCCTAGGAAACTAATACATGTATCCATATCCTTGGATACCTGAATCAATGTAGATACAAAGAACTAACATCTTCAGAAAATAATAGAAGAAATCTACACACAGCAAGAATATGTTTTTAAACTTTCACTGCATACCTTGATTGCTGCTTACAAGTAACAATTCTTCATCTTTTTGTTCGCTTGCTTTTTTATTTTTTGTTAAGCATATGAGGCTCTATGCTTTCATAGTTATATATATAAGCACACATGCCTTATTTTAAAACTTTCTTTTTTCTAAATAATTTAAGGTCACTGAGATAACTATATAAGATATAACTATACTATAAAATTAAAAGTGGAATTAAATTATAAGAAAAAAGGCAAGGGAGTAGGAAAAGTGAAGACAAAAATGTAGCTAATGATGAATATAATAAGGATTTACATATTTTTATACCTGTAATTATGATCTATCTACTCTAATGCTCATTTTGTCCACTTGCATAAATATATTATTTGTATCAGAAAAGAATTTTTCTGTGCATACACATAAAGACAATAGTACATAAAATGGGCTAAATGATTTTCAATATTGTTTCAGTGGATATAGTGTTTCATATTTTTAAATAAAACTCAAAATAAAGGAAAGCAGAGTAAAGACAACTGTCTGAAGGGATATGTCAGAGAAATAGAAGGTGGTCTAAGAACTCAGTTCTCCAGTGATCTGAATTAATATGATAAATCTAGATTAAGAAAAATGGACTACATGCCTTTCTAGCAAACATCCTTAAGTGACATTATCTCAACTAAGCTTTTCATAAATATTGGGTAACAGTGCATTCAAAATTATGTCCCTGAATTATAACTGTATTTCTGATTTTTAATCCCAGTTTGAACAAAGGCTACACATCCTAGTAAATAAGTGTGCTGTGGGTTAATACGTTTTTGTGAAAAGTATGTTAATCAAACATAATGCCATTCTACCTCTGCTCTGAGTTGTACTTGATGGAAACAGGGTTCTTTCCTGACAACTTGTTTGGATCTGCTTTAAACACAAATGAGTACACAATCAACATACTAAAATTGTATGCTATATTTAATGGTTGATATAAAGTTTGGTGAAAGAAAAAAAGAGGCAAATACAATCAAATATGTACTTTGAACCAATTTAATAACATACTATTAAAATTGCATAGCTTTGAAGTGTGATATTTCCAGCGTGGTATAGGATATACATTCTTTTTTTTTTTTTTTTTTGAGACAGGGTCTCACTGTGTTGCCCAGGTTGTAGTATAGAGGTGTAATCACCACAGCCTGGATATGCTGGGTGCAGGTAATCCTCCTACCTCACCTCACTGAATAGCTGGAACAGAGTTGCACACCACCACACCTGGCTAATTTTGTATTTTTGGTAGAGATAGGATTTTGCCATGTTTCCCAAGCTGATCTCAAACTCCTGGGCTAAAGCTATCCTCCTGCCCCAGCCTCCCAAAGTGCTGGGATTACAGGGGCAACCCACTGTGCTAGGCCTAAGATATATATTCTTTATTAAGAGAAAAACAATGTAATTGAGATATCTTGTTTTATGAAATTATTACTTTAATAGTAATTTTAAAATGGATGGTGGTGATGTCTACCAAAATTAATAACATCAGTTTTAGAAAAGTTTATTTTTAGTGCTTTGTGACATTAGTTACCTTGTATGGTCAGTTGACTACTCAAATTATAAAAACATGCTATTCATATAAATAATATTTATTTTTCTGAACTTTAATGAGGAGAAGGTACACATCTACTTTAAAAAATGTAAAATCATGTTATACAGAAAAAATAGAATTTAAAAGAAGGATTCTTGTAGCAGTCATTGCCAGTGATTCACCTACATCTCTCTTGCATTCACTTCTACCCACCAGAGGCCACTTCTTGTAAACACTTGTAACACTGCTTGAGAAATTTTTTCCCAAAATCATACTAAGCCTGTGAGCAAGGAAAGCCATAAATGCCACTGATTTCAATGCCTGTAGAAATGATTCTCAATAATAAAATTATTGAGTAAGAGATACACACACAAGAAAGTGCAAAAAAAGGCAAAGTAACAATTAGTTATCGGCCCATGTACTGTGTTGAACAGTGTCCCCCCAAAATTCATGACCAGTTGGAACTTCAGACTGTGACTTTATATGAAAATAAGGTCTTTGCTGAGGTAATTAGTTAAGATGAAGTCATAATTGATTAGATTGAACAATAAATCCAAAGACTGATGTCTTTATAAAAAGGCTATGTGAAGACATACAAGGAATAAAGTCATGTAACAACACAGACAGAAATTGGAGAAACAAAGCTATAATCAACGAATGTCCTAGAGTCACCAGAAGTTAGGAAGAGGCAAGGAAGAATTCTTCCCTAGAGCCTTTGGAGGGAGCATAGGTCTGCTGATATCTTAATTTCAGACTTCTAGCATCCACAATGAATCAAAGAAAAAATTACTGTTGTTTAAAATAATCCAGTTTATGATATACTTGGTTACAGCAGCCCTAGGAAACTAAGACACTGGGCTAATCCAGAGAAGTGTGACTGTAGCCTGCAGCTTCAGATGTAACCTAAAAAGTCTCCTCACCTGTCAGCCCCATGAAATACCCCTACCCTTAATCCCTTCCTTGCTCAAATTTGAATCTAAGCACCTTCATCTGCATGGAAGGAGGTATTAAGGACAAGGGCAGGCTCTGGAAAAAGATGTCCTGAACTGGCCTGAGTAGCAGATCCTGGGTCTTCTTATTTTAATTAAAAAAAAAGGAGAGAAACTACATCCTCTTTAGACTTTGAATGCACATTGTTGTTATTTATAAGTGCATTCTTCTACTCAGTGTTTTGGAATTTAACTGGTTAAATTAATAACGTCTTCAAAGAAAGGGGGAAGAAGAAAAGAGAAAAGGAAAAGATAGGTATTTCCTGGGAAAGTCCTTTTCTCTGAGAGGACTATTGTTCCCTATTTTGCTCTCTTTAATGGAAACTTGAGTTTCCTATTCAAGACTTTGTTTAATCAGAGCATAACCAGACTATATAACCCAAGGGGAAAACTAGAGATACCAAAGCCCTACCAATCCTACTTTCATTTGACTATGTTCACCATTTTCTACAATGCGTACTTCCCAATAAGGGACTATTGGAGGAGAGTCAGTATAATATTGTTCCCAAACTCTTTAAAAATGGGTTATGATAATGCATTCTTTACTTGAATTTCAGAGTTACACTAACTAAGAAATCAAACCTATTTAGTTTCTGGAACAAATTATACCAAACTGCTGTTAATGGGTTACAAACTCATTGCAGGTTCTTAATCGATCTGTGAAAAATAAATTGGCCCAGTCACTAAGGAGATAATTTTATTCAGATGACAGGAATAGAGAGAATGTTTGCTAAAGAAGAATGTGTCAAAGAAATGGGAGAAAACCTGAGATTTTATAGATGCAAGTATACAAGACAGTCATGAGGACAGGGAGACAACTAGTCCCAAATAAAATATATCACGTGGAAAAAAAAATTCAAATCTTCAAATTTAAAATAATAGTAACTATGATCCCCTGTTATTATCAAAACAATTTCCTTTCCTTCTGTTCTCAAGTAATATGGAAAAATAGAGCCAATTTAAAAGTCTTAAAACATAAAAATTAAGACTAAATATTCTCCTCTCTAGACTAAATTCCTTCTTTTCTGGCCTAATTTGAGAGCAAGTGACAATGTTGAACCTTATCTAAGCTGTGTGTTCCCCAAAAGCAGCAAAGATTGTTGTGAAATCTACCACCACTCTGTAAATACTTTTTTTTATTCCAAGTAATAGCTAACCAAAAAATACTTCTTTAATCTTGTACATCCCAAAATAATCCCTTCACCCTTCTGAGTGGAGACTTGCTGTCCACCCTTTCAAGCGACCTCCTTATTTATCTGTCTCTATAAAGCCCCACATCTTCTCCCTCTTCTTTGACATGTTCCCTATGAATGTCATCCCTATTTCAGTGACCTGAATAAAAGTATCTCCTTATTGAGGGCATTTTGTCCTTTACAAAATTAATTAAGAGTCTACACTGAATTTGGATCCCACTAACAGCAGCTGTAGCTTGAGTCATCTCCACAGTCTGCTGTGCCTGATTCAACACTTTGAAAGCTGGATTCATTATGAGGTTATTAATGGGTTCTTTCATGGGTTTCTCTTTCCTCTTTCTAAATTTCCAATTGGTCACTGGCATACATAAAAATATCAGAGAATCAATTTCATAGACACAAAGTACAAGAAACAGAGGCAAGTCTACAAGCAACGAAATAGTCTATACCCTAAGCACCAACTCCCTTAAGAAATTCACAAAAAGTATGTTTTCTGAACATAATATGTGTCTCAATCTGTACCCATATAGTTCCAAAGCAACTCGGAAAATGACTAGAAAATTTCATGGAGTCAAAAAAATTCTGTAAACTGTGTACTTTTTTTCTTTTTAAATAAAATTAACACCTCTGGGTAAAACTGATAAACAAATAAAATACTGATATTTAACATATACAGTTTGATGAATTTGAACATATGCATGTGCCTGTGAAATCATCACCACAATCAAGGTAAGCATATCCATCACCTCCAAAAGTTTCCTTATATCTCTTTGGAGTTTTTAGTGTGTGAGTGTGGTTTTGTGGTTAAAAAAATAATAATAAAATAAAAAATTTAAAAAAAACCTTAATACCCGGTATACCCTATCAACAAGTGTTTTAAGTACACAAACAGTATTGTTAGTCTTAGGTATGTTGTGCATCAGATCTCTAGAACTTATTTATCTTTCACACTGAAACTTTATACCCATTGAACACAACTCCCCACTTCCCCCTTCACCCAGCCCCTGGTAACCAGCATTCTATTTTCTGCTTGCATGAATTTGACTATTTTAGATACTTCATGTAAGTGGAATCATGCAGTATTTGTCCTTTTATGACTGGTTTATTTCACTTAGCATAATATCCTCCGAGTTCATCCATTTCCTTGCATATGCCAGGATTCTCTTATTTTCTAAGGCTGAGTAGTATTTTGTTGTATGTGTATGTCATTTTCCTTTATCGATTTATCATCTGATGGGCATTTGTGTTGTTTTCATGTCTTAGCTATTATGAATAATGTTTCAGTGAACATGGGCATGCAGGTATCTCAAGATTCTGATTCTTTTGGATATAAACTCAGATGTAAGACTTCTGGATAAGATGGTAGTTCTATTTTAAATTTTTCAGGGACCTCCACAATGACTACATCAATTTATATTCTCAGAAACAGTGTAAAAAGTTTCCAGTTTCTTTACTTCCTTGCCAATACTTGTGCTCTTTTGATAATAGCTATCCTGTCAGGTAAGAAGTAATATTTCATTGTGGTTTTGATTTGCATTTCCCTGATCATTAGTGGTGTTGAACAATTTTTCAAATGCCTTCTGGTCATCTGTATGTCTGCTTTGGGAAAAAGTCGCTGTAAGGCCTTTGTCATTTTTTAATCTGATTATTTGGGGGATTTTTTTTGCTACAGAGTTGTAGGAATTCCTTATATATTTTTTATGTTAACCTCTTATTCAATATATGGTGTGTAAATCTATTTTCTCCCATTTCACAGGTTGTCTGTGTATTATTGATTGCTTCCTTTGCTGTGCAAAAGCTTTTTAGTTTGATGTGGTTCCACTAGTCTATTTTTGCTTTTGTTTCTGTGCTTTTGGTGTCATAAACAAGATCAATGCCAAGACCAATATCATGAAACTTTTCCCCCATGTTTTCTTATAGGAGTTTTACAGTTCGAGGTCTCACATTAAAGTCTATAATTCGTTTTTAGTTAATGTTGCGTATGGTGTAAGATAAGGGCCCAATATTATTATTTTGCATGTGCTCTTCAAGATTTTAGGAGCTGAAATGTGTCAACTGCTATCCAAGTCTTCAAAATCTTTCTTAGCAGGTTCAAGCCTCCAATGACTCTTTCTTAGAATCTATTGTCATTGCTATATTTAATGATCAGGAGGAGTTTGTCTTATAAGACTTTTATTTTGATCAACTCTTTTTCAAGGCAATAAAAGTTATAATTACCTTTGTATTTTATTTGATCTTGAGAAGCCACTTCCTCTTTTTATATGGAAAAACTATAACTTTAGTAAAGTTTTATTATTTACCTGTTCATTTATTGGCTATGTGGTCATACTCATCAAATTTAACTTTAAAGATGGATTTAGTATGTTTTGTGCTTCTGTAGCAGAGTAACTGAGACTGGGTAATTGATAAACAATAGATTTTTTTTCTTGCAGTTTTAGAAGCTGAGAAGTCGAAGGTCTTTGAACCTGCATCAGGTGAGGGCATTCTTGCTGTGTCATTCCAAGGCAGAAGGGCAAGAGAGGGTAAGAGCAAGAGCAAGATAGAAAGATTCAAACTCATTCTTTTATCAGGAACCCACTCCTGTGATAACTAGCCCACCTCCATGATAACACCATTAGTCCCCCTTTTAAAGGTACCACCTATCAACAGTGTTGCATTCGGTATTGAATTACTAACACATGAACTTTAGGGGACACAGTGAACCCAAAACAGGAATACAGTACCATATTTCTTTGGACATTTAAAGTTAAAGCTGATTTTAAGTTAAGCAAACTGTGTGTATGAAAAGATAAAAAAGGTTGAGTCACTCCTCAAATAATAAAAAGCAGATGAAATCAATCCAATTCATCTTATTTTCTTTGCCCTTTGACTTACTACATAAATAATGTATACAAAAAGTCCCTTGAGTAATTTGGTACTTGGCTAAAACAAGAGGGAAATGATACTTTCTAATACAAGTATTCCTAGGAAGAGGGTTGACAAGTATAAATACATTTTTTAAAAATGCAGTGTATAGTACTGACTCCAAAGAACAATGAGTCAAATTTCCCCAAGGATTACTCCACATTACGAGTAAATACCAACTAGTTTAGTTCATAAATGAATGTTTACACGACTTAATATGTCTACCTCTAAAATATGTTCTCTAGAAAAGACATCATAATATTTTTCCATTGATTGTGTCACCAAGCCTGGCATTCAAGTTGAGAAATTTGCCAAAGTATACTATAAATTATAACTCAAGGTAAATTGAAGGTTTATTTCTCTTTACAGATTAATACATTTAAGTTAAGAAGCAAATAATGAAGAGTAAAATAAGTATTTATGTGCATATTAATTTCCTCTGATATATTTTGAATTGAACATTAATCAGTTCCAGCCAGAAAAATGTATCTTTAGTACTTACTACTCCCTAGAAATTTGATTACTTAATTTTCAATATTAATATTGATATTTAATTTTCAATATTATTATTAATATCACTGACATATTAATTATGGGAACATACAGAGAAATACGGTGGATTCCTTGTTCCAATATTATGTCTTGTCCTCATGATTACAGGATTGTGAAATAAGTCATTCATCAACATTCTTGTGTCTTTGTGAAAATTATCTAACACGTTCTCAAAAATAAACTGCAATAAAGTGAAAAAAACATCACTAAGAGATGGAACAGAGATACAGACTGTAAACATTAGTTATTCCATAAGCAATTTAATTTTTTTATTATAACTTAAGTTCTGGGGTACATGTGTATAGCGTGGAAGTTTGTTACATAGGTATATACATGACCCATCAACCCGTCATCTACATTAGGTATTTCTCCTAATGCTATCCCTCCCTTAGCCCCCCAACCCCTGAAAGGCCAGGGTGTGTGATGTTCCCCTCCCTGTGTCCATGTGTTCTCATTGTTCAGCTCCCACTTATGGGTTAGAACATGTCGTGTTTGGTTTTCTGTTCTTGTGTTAGTTTGCTGAGAATGACGGTTTCTAGCTTCATCCACGTCCCTGCAAAGGACATGATATCATTCCTTTTTATGGTTGCATAGTATTCCATGGTGTATATGTGCCACATCTTCTTTATCCAGTCTATCATTGATGGGCATTTGGGTTGGTTGCAAGTCTTTGCTATTGTGAACAGTGCCACAATAAGCATACGTGTGCATGTGTCTTTGTAGTAGAATGATTTATAATCATTTGCGTATATACCCAGTAATGAGATTGCTGGGTCTAATGGTATTTCTGGTTCTAGATCCTTGAGAAAGAGCCACACTCTCTTCCACAATGGTTGAACTAATTTACACTCCCACCAACAGTGTACAAGAATTCCTATTTCTCCACATCCTCTCCAGTATCTGTTGTTTCCTGACTTTTTAATGATCAACTTTCTAACTAGTGTGAGATGGTATCTCATTGTGGTTTTGATTTGCATTTCTCTAAAGACCAGTGATGATAAGCTTTTATTCATACGTTTTTTGGCCACATAAGTGTCTTCTTTTGAAAAGTGTCTGTTCATATCATTCACCCACTTTTTGATGGGGTTGTTTTCTCATAAATTTGTTGAAGATCTTTGTAGATTCTGGATATTAGCCTTTGTCAGATAGATAGATTGCAAAACTTTTCTCCCATTCTGTAGGTTGCCTGTTCACTCTGATGATAGTTTATTTTGCTGTGCAGAAGCACTTTAGTTTAATTAGATCCCATTTGTCAATTTTGGCTTTTGTTGCCTTTGCTTTTGGTGTTTTAGTCATGAAGACTTTGACCATGCCTATGTCCTGAATGGTATTACCTAGGTTTCCTTCTAGGGTTTTTATGGTTTTAGGTCTTACACTGAAGTCTTTAATCCATCTTGAGTTAATTTTTTTTTTTTTTTTTTTGAGACGGAGTCTCGCTCTGTCGCCCAGGCCGGACTGCGGACTGGAGTGGCGCAATCTCGGCTCACTGCAAGCTCTGCTTCCCGGGTTCACGCCATTCTCCTGCCTCAGCCTCCCGAGTAGCTGGGACTACAGGCGCCTGCCACTGCGCCCGGCTAATTTTTTGTATTTTTAGTAGAGACGGGGTTTCACCTTGTTAGCCAGGATGGTCTCGATCTCCTGACCTCGTGATCCACCCGCCTCGGCCTCCCAAAGTGCTGGGATTACAGGCGTGAGCCACCGCGCCCGGCGAATTAATTTTTGTATAAGGTGTAAGGAAGGGGTCCAATTTCAGTTTTCTGCATATGGCTAGCTAGTTTTCCCAACACGATTTATTAAATAGGGAATCCTTTCCCCATTGCTTGTTTTTGTCAGGTTTGTCAAAGATCAGATGGTTGTAGATGTGTGGTGTTATTTCTGAGGCCTCTGCTCTGTTCCATTGGTCTATATATCTGTTTTGGTACCAGTATCATGCTGTTTTGGTTACTGTAGTCTTGTAGTATAGTTTGAAACCAGGTAGCGTAATACCTCCAGCTTTGTTCTTTTTGCTTAAGATTGTCTTGCCTATATGGGTTCCTCTTTTTTTCCACATGAAATTTAAAGTAGTTTTTTTTTTTTTAGTTCTGTGAAGAAAGTCAGTGATAACTTGTTGGGGATAGCATTGAATCTCTAAATTACTTTGGGCAGCATGGCCATTTTCACAATATTGATTCCTCCTATACATGAGCATGGAATATTTTTTCATTTGTGTCCTCTTTTATCTCCTTGAGCAGTGGTTTGTAGTTCCCCTTAAAGAGGTCTTTCACATCCCTTGTTAGCTGTATTCTTAGATATTTTATTCTCTTTGTAGCCATTGTGAATTGGAGTTCATTCATGATTTGGCTCTGTGTTTGTCTATTACTGGTATAGGAATGCTTGTGATTTTTGCACCTTCATTTTGTATCCTGAGACTTTGCTGAAGTTGCTTACCAGCTTAAGGAGATTTTGGACTGAGACAATGGGGTTGTCTAAATATACAATCATGTCATCTGCATGAAGACAATTTGACTTCATTTCTTCCTCTTTGAATACCTTTTATTTCTTTCTCTTCCCTGATTGCCCTGGCCAGAACTTCCAATACTATGTTGAATAGGAATGGTGAGAGGGCATCCTTGTGTTGTGGCGGATTTCAAAGGGAAGGCTTCTAGTTTTTGCCCATTCAGTATGATATTGGCTGAGGGTTTGTCATAAATATCTCTTATTGTATTGAGATATGTTCCATCAATACGTAGTTTATTGAGAGTTTTTAGTATGAAGGGCTGTTGAACTGTGTCAAAGGCCTTTTTCTGCATCTATTGAGATAATCAATTGGTTTTTGTCATTGGTTCTGTTTATGTGATGGATTACATTTATTGATTTGTGTATGTTGAACCAGCCTTGCATCTCAGGGATGAAGCCAACTTGATCGTGGTGGTTAAGCTTTTTGATATGCTGCTGGATTCGGTTTGCCAGCATTTTATTGAGGATTTTTGCATCAATGTTCATCAGGGATATTGGACTGATTTTTTTGGTTGTTGTTGTGTCTCTGCCAGATTTTGATATCAGGATGACGCTGGCATCATAAAATGAATTAGAGAGGATTCCCTCTTTCTCTATTGTTTGGAATAGTTTCAGAAGGAATGATACCAGCTCCGTTTCGTACTTCTGGTAGAATTTGGCTGTGAATCTGTCTGCTTCTGGGCTTTTTTTGGTTGGTAGGCTATTAATTACCGCCTCAATTTCAGAACTTATTATTGGTCTATTCAGGGATTCGATTTCTTCCTGGTTTAGACTTGGAAGGGTATATGTGTCCAGGAATTTATCCATTTCTTCTAGATTTTCTAGTTTATTTGCATAGAGGTGTTTATAGCATTCTCTGATGGTAGTTTGTATTTCTGCAGGATCAGTGGTGATATCCCCTTTATCATTTTTTATTGCGTCTATTTGATTCATCTCTCTTCTTTATTAGTCTGGCTAGTGGTCTATTTCGTTGATCTTTTCATAAAACCTGTTCCTGGATTCAGTGAATTTTGAGGAGTTTTTTGTGTCTCTACCTCTTTCAGTTCTGCTCTGATCTTAGGCATTACTTGTCTTCTTCTGGCTTTTGAATTTGTTTGCTCTTGCTTCTTTAGTTATTTTAATTGTGATGTTAGGGTGTCGATTTTTAGATCTTTCCTGATTTCTCTTGTGGGCATTTAGTGCTATAAATTTTGCTCTAAACACTGCTTTAGCTGTGTCCCAGAGATTCTGGTACGTTGTAACTTTGTTCTCATTGGTTTCAAAGAACATCTTTATTCCTGCCTTCATTTCATTATTTACCCAGTAGTCATTCAGGATCAGGTTGTTCAGTTTCCATGTAGTTGTGCGGTTTTGAGTGAGTTTCTTAATTGTGAGTTCTAATTTGATTGCACTGTGGTCTGAGAGAGTGTTTGTTATGATTCCTGTTCTTTTGCATTTGCTATGGAGTGCTTTACTTCCAATTAATTATGTGGTCAATTTTAAAATGAGAGTGATGTGTTGCTGAGAAGACTGTATATTCTGCTGATTTGGGGTGAAGAGTTCTGTAGATATCTATTAGGTCTCCTTGGTCCAGAGCTGAGTTCAAGTTCTGAATATCTTTGTTAATTTTCTGTCTCATTGATCTGTCTAATATTGACAGTGGGGTGTTAAAGTCTCCCGCTGTTATTGTGTGGGAGTCTAACTCTCTTTGTAGGTCTCTGAGAACTTGCTCTGTGATTATGGGTTCTCCTGTATTGGGTGCATATCTATTTAGGATAGTTAGCTCTTCTTGTTGCATTGATCCTTTTACCATTATGTAATGCCCTTTTTTGTCTCTTTTGGTCTTTGTTGGTTTAAAGTCTTTTTTATCAGAGACTCAGATTGCAACCCCTGTTTTTTTTTTTTTTTTTTGCTTTCCATTTGCTTGGTTAATATTCCTCCATCCCTTTATTTTGAGCCCATATGTGTCTTTAACGAAGATTAAAATAAGTAATTATGCCTGTATTAATTTCCTCTGATATATTTTGAATTGAATATCAGTCAATTCCAGCCAGAAAATGTATCTTTAGTACTTACTACTCCCTAGGAATTTGATTATTTAACATCATCACTGATATATTAATTATGGGAACATACAGAAAAATATGGTGGCTTCCTTGTTCCAATATTATGTCTTGTCCTTGTGGTTATAGGTTTGTGAAATAAGTCATTCTTTTCACAAATATTCTATTCAAATATCAATATTCTTGTGTCTTTCTGAAAATTGTTTGATGTGTTTTCAAGAATAAACTGCAATAAAGTGAAAAAAAAAAAACCCTAAGAGATGGAACAAAGATACAGACTGCAAACATTAGTTATTCCATAAATGATTTATTTTTTTAGGATGACTCTGTGATCATATGTAATTGCTTCCATTTTTTAAAAATTTCTCTCTTTTTTTCTGATCTGTGTGCAACACAAATTAGAGAATGAGTAAAAACACAAGTGGACAAAAATAATTCCCTTTCAAACATCAGAAATGAGAATATTGGAATCTTTGCTTTCTTATTGATTTTCTTTCAAGTACAGATTTAAGCAGGGATGGATATGGGAGCATAGATCAGAATTAGAAGTCTAGCGAAGTCAAATGATATTACTGCACAATAGACAAGAGATTAAGGGTCAGCATTTAGTGAATACAGGGAGAATCAAATAGAGCTCAGGGGAAGCAAAGCATGCATTAAATGATCAGTCAATTAAATGATCAGTCAAGTCTGGAAGGCGCATGTTACCAGTAGAAATGCAGTAGCACAACATGGGAGAATGCATTTCTTTTTCCAAGTGTAGATACACTCTTCACACTCTTTATATTCTACTTTTTTTTTTATGTCCCCTGATGGTGGTAGAGAGATCGTTTAGGTCCACAGCTATTGATTATAGCAGAAAAAATAGCATAAAGACATAAGAAGTCAACATGGAAATCCTGATGATATCATAACATCAGCATCATTACCATCAACATCATGGTTATCATGTCATCATCACTATCATTACTTATAAATTTTTACCATGGATATTGTGCTGAATACTTCGTATCCAATTCTTTTAATTTTTTACTTATGATAATTATTCAATCATTCCATAGTATTATCTTCATTTGACAGCTAAGAAAATTTCAATAACACCATAGTTTTTATATACCTAAAAAATGGCAGAACCAGGATGAGTTAAGTTTGAATTCAAGAGCTCAGCTCTTAAACTTTGCTGTCCTATCCTCTCTTACTTGACTTTCATACAAGTATAGTCAAGCAACATCTGTAGGCACATGATAAAGCTGATTGCTCCACCAGGTCAAAATATTAAGGTAAAGACGCTATACTCAGGACCCATGAAAGAGAGGTTCACCCTAAGGTCTTATACCTGTAAAGGCCCACTAAATTGCACTGCAGTTTGGAAGTGATTTTCTACATTTTGCAAAGCCTCAAAGTATACCTTCATTCAAATTAACATGGCACAGATTAAAATGCCAAATCTGGCTTTCATTTGAAGTTTGATCAACTACATATAATAATACTATTTTGCTCAGAGTGATCAGAAATAATAATGGACATTTCTAAGACTTTACTATCTCCTTAGTTTTATATGTTTTGATTAATAAAATTTGGAAGCAATCTTGCCTCAACCATTTTTATATTTTTTAGATGTTAAGTATCTATCCTCCAACCTAAGCTTATAGAAAAAAGTATAAAATTTGAAATATTATTATTCAAATAATATTATTTCCAGGGAAATAATCAAAAGACACCCTGCTTTTTACTGACTCATTCATTCATTTATTCATTCAACAAAAATATACTGAGTGTTATCTATGTGTCATGCACTAGTCTATTCTCTGACAGCAAAGCAGTGAATGCAACAAAGTCTTCATGAAGCTTGTAAAAAAACAAATACAGTTATATACATTATATAATGTCACGTTTGTGTGTTACTGAAAAAATCAGGGAAAGTGATAGGGAGAAGCAGAACTTATTATTTCATTAGATGGCCAGGGAAGGATTCTTTGAAGAGGAGACATGTGAACAGAGACCCAAAGAAAGTGCTGAGAAAGCCCTATAGGTATCTGAATGAGAGTATTTTAGGCAGAGAGAAAGCAAATACTAAGCCACTGAAGCAAGAGTGTCCTTGAAAGTCTGGAAGAAAATTAAGGACACCATGTGAGTTTGAGCTCAGTAAAGGAGGGGACTAATAAAAGAGATGAAAGAAGAGAAATAGCAGAAACATTCACACCAGGCTTTACGTCATGAAAGAAACTCAGTGGATAATCTTGAGCAGAAAAAAATGACATGATTAGGCTTACATTTTAAAGAATCACTGTCTTCTGTGTTGAGCACCAGGTGTGGAAGTGGGAAGGCCACTACAAATCTATTGCAGTAGTTCAATAAACATATTAACATACGTGTATAAGTTTTGAAGGTGGTAACTGTCACAGTGGTAATAAGAGTATAGATTTGTCATGTATTTTAAAGATACAATCTACAGGACTTGCTGTTACTTGGGGTATGGTGTATGAGAGAAGGACAAGTAAAGAATAATGCCAAGCTTTCTGCCAGGAGCAACTGAAGGAATAGAGGAAATTTTTCCTGGAATACTAGAGACAGAGGAAGAACTAGTATTGAAAAGTTTGGAGAAGACAACAAAGCTACTACGCTGATTTTTTTTTGACATGTCTCAAGGATAGTGACCTCCTCAGAAAGATGATGGTTTTGAAAAATATTATCAAGCCATAACACAAGAAAAGAGCAAAAAAAAGATGATAATAACAATAGTATTATTGGCTGACTACTTAAAATGAGCAAGTTATGCTAACTTATTTATATGCATTGTATCATAATTAATTGTATGTGCGCAAGTCTTCACTTTTGATTTGGAGCTTGCATATATGTTAGTATACTATTTGACCTTCATCACAGTTTGCTGAAATAGACACATATTGTTGTTATCCCTATTTTTCAAATGAGTAAACCAAGACAATGATATTTTTTCACTTTGTAAATATAGCAAAAGGTGCATCCTCTAATTTCTGAACCAAGCTTCTTTCACCATATCACATTGGCTCACATATTTGGGCAGGTGAATCTCCTTGTACTCAGGACATTCCTTATTTTTTTTAATACAGTTGGGGTAGGTTCCCTTTATTCCCATAAGCTTCCATTGTTTGGGTGACCGAAGACTCTTCGCTATGGGCTAGTGAAGTTGTTAGCTGTTGAAAGTTAAGGGGCTAAACTTCTACATTTCAAATATTCCTCCAAGTAGCCTATGTTATACTGGTATCATAAAGATGTAGAGGAAGCACTTAAAGAAAAGATTAAAGGAGGAAGAAAGGAGGAAAAATAGAATTATGGGGAATATTATAATAATGTATAATGACCACATAAAGTAAAATGAGGATGATGCATTGATCTATTTGTATCCTTCAAGTTTCATATCTGTACATGAATCAATAAAATTAAATTCACATTTTTCGTAGATCTTTTACATCCTCAGTTATGCTGAATGTAGTACTCTCATTTGTTTTCATCACAACAAAATGTTTAATTAGTTTTTATCTTTTGTTCTGGCATAGGATACTCATTTGAGGACAAGCTATGGTATGTGAAACTGTTGCTTCTTTTCGAATCAATATAAAAATGACCTGATAGTGATGATGACGACAATGGAGTACCAAAGAGGAGTAAATCAAACTCTTCCTAGTAGATTAAAAAAAGTCACAGAACAGGGAAATGTACAGCTATTTTCATAGAAACGTTAAAGAGCCACTAATATGCTTAATTGCAAATAAAAGGAAAAGAAATCTGGTTACCAAAGCAGAAAGATTATTTTGTAAGGATATTGGGGAGTTCAGTAAATCAAAGGTAAGCTGGAAGACAAAGCTCAGCATTCAGGCAGGAACCAATATAGTCTAGGAAGCTATGAACATAATTATGAGTAGAGTTTGGTTGTGAGAAAGACATTTCAGGTCCTGCCACCATGAGACATTATTGCCTAATGGATGCTGCTGGAGTTATAACTCCAATACCAATTCCACCATTCCCAGTAGGCACTGGACTCTGGATACTAAGATTAAAGTATATTTTAAAGGCCCCACAAGTTGCATCTAATTGACCAGGCCTTAATTATCTGCTTTCATTTAACCAAGGCAACCTTAATATTCTCAAGTTGACTAAACTTCAGACATGTTTCTTCCTGACATGGCTTCTGAAGTTCCTTTTCTTCGAATATTTACTTTAGAAAACGTGATTGTAAATTATTTCTTTGCCCCTTTGAGATATTCTCCTAGCCACTTGTCAGTTTTACAATGCAGAAATATTTTTTTCAATAACTTGGGAACTGTTGTTTTGAAATATAATCATCAAAAAAAGATTATACCAGCCTCTGTGGGAAGGTAGGATTTTAACTTAACTTTGATAAAGTAAGTGACAATTAGTAAACACATATTGTGTAATTTCATTTGTTAGTTGGTTCACCTCTCTCCAAACGTTCTCTAGTACTTTCTCACAAGTTCACCCTAGCACTTAACAATTTTTCCATTTTTCATTTCAAGGAAGTTGAGTTAAATCTCTCTGTCCTATTGCGAGAGGCCTGAATAAAGTCTTTCTTGCCTGTTTAACTTGTCAACTGGAATTTTTCTTTGACACACTCCAATTTCTATGGGTCGCAAAGTACAAATATTTGAACCTTTTACAATTTTCCTAAGTGGAGGCAGAATCACCTCTCACCAAGACTCAGGCTGCAAAAAAAAAAAAAAAATTCCCAAACACAGGGAGAAAGTTTTCAGGCTGAATGGCTAAAACCAGACTAATGCCCACTATTTACCTGCAATATAATGTCTAAGAGACTATTATTCTTTCTTGCTCACGCTGAAGACCAATACTCTCATAATAATGGTACTTTTCTGTTACAATGAATTTCATTGAAGATCCTTAGGCTAGGTTATTGGACAGTAAGCAGCTTCAAAACTATCATGACTAGCTTCAACAGATCTGTATGGTTGGAAATGGTGACTCCCATCATGATGATAGCTAGTATATGCTGAATAGCTTGCCAGGAACATTTTTTTGCCAATTCATTTAAAAAATGAACCGTTTTAAAGGTTAGAAACTTTTTAAATGTTATTTATTGGAGCTCCAAAAATAACCATGAAAGAAAAGATCCATCACTTACCACTGCTTCACAAGTTGCAAATTGACTCTAGGTCTACACACATAGCCAGCAATCTATAGAAATAATTTAAAAATCTAAACTCAAATTAGAATATACATCAAAATAAAGTAAACATTTGAACTTTGGTAGTCCCAACTCCAAAACTTTTACTCTTGCTGCAATAATTATAACCCTATTGAAAATATTAACACTAAAACAGTGAACTATAATAATTACAATGTGTTCATTTCTTAGCAAAAGGGTCTTGTGGCCATGCTTTTGTATTCAAAAGAAAATAGCACCAACGTACTCCTGTATGAGCACTTTCACTAGTTTTAATACAGTTCAATATATAGAACTTATTAAAAAATGCTTTGGATGACAAACACACTGAAAGCTATCTTTTTTCCAAAAACTAAATATAGTTTTCCCTTAGTCCTACAACTTGACTCCATTTCTCTCTTGCTTTTTATTTGTATTTTGTTTTTACAGCTAAACTTTTCATAATAGTTGCATATACTCCATGTATCTTCCATTCTTCCAATACACTTTTGAACTCACTCCAGCTGTTAGGATTTGTTTTCACCACTTCAAGCAAAATTGCTCTTTAACCTGATGACTCTTAGCCCTCATTTATTTGGTCTTTTGGCAGCATTTGGTAAACCTTTATTTTCATTAGCGTTTGTGACAACTTTTCTCTTGGTTCTTATTTGAATTCATTGGTTCCTCCTTGGGTTTCTTTGCTGGTTACTCTTCACCTTTCTTTATTATAAATTAATTTTATTGTCTCAGGGTTTAGTCCTCTGATATCTTTTAACCTCTGCTTATATTAAATTGACTTCATAGGAGTTCTCATCTCACCCTTGTCTTTAAATATTTTCTAAATACTGATAATCCTTAAATGTTTATTTATAGCTCAGATTTCTCCTCTGAACTCTAAATATGTGCATCCTCTTCCTTATTCAACATATCCACTTCAAAAGGGAGTTACGGTTGGATATAATTTATTATAGACACTATTTTCAAAAAGACATAAAATTGTATACCATGTTGGCTTCGAAACGTATGAATGAATTATCTCTTGCCTGCTGTACCAATAATCATGGCTACTCACAATTAGGGTCGGTCTTCAGTCCATCCCGTCACACTGTGCTAAACACAGTTATGTTCACTGGCTGAGAAGAGGTTACAAGTTGAAGCAGGATGCTTTCACAGTGATCCACTTGTTTTGAGCCTCCAAGTGACAAATTTATAACTTTTTTCATTGTTTTCTAAAGAAGGACATCTGAGCAGTATTTTTTAGGGTTAAAATAATGACCTGTGAAACACACTAGCGGTATATAATTGTAGTCAATATGTTTCACTACAAAAATTAACTTATCAATTTAGGGAGTTGATGTTAAAACAATTTGCGACTAGACCTAAAGTAAATTTGATTTATCTACTTCATTTATTTTTCCTTCAGATTGCACAGGCCAGGAATTATTTTAAGTACTCCTAATACCATGGTTGTCTTCCATTTCTGGTCCCTTAAGAAATATCAATAGTCAATTCACATGTAGGTTTAACTAGAGTTTTATCTTTATTGAAAATCACATATGAGGAGACCTGAATTAGTATCCTGTTTTAACAATTTTAGTGCACCCTATTTTCACTCTTGTAATAATTTTTAAAATGTCATTAATATTTGGAGCGCTAACTCTGCTTTTGAAGGTCACAAAAAAGCTGAAATGTGGATTATTATATGTCTAAATATTAAAAGACAAGAATATCCAAACATAAGTATTTTATGTTAATTATTCAGTTTTGGCATAAGTTAGTGGAGTTTACTAGGTATCAAAACACTATGGAAAAGAATTGTATAACCTTTACTTTATGACTTAAAGGATTCTTACTCAGTGGGGCATTTGGCTCTCAGCTCTCAAAATCTGACATATTAATGTTCCCAGTTTCTGTTTTCCAGAGCTGAGACCCTGGACTCGGAGCTTTGGACTAAGCATTCCCCAAGAATGTAGAACCCACTTGTTGTTAGTCAGGAGGGTTACAAGAACCTTCACCATCTATAGATGTTGATTCCCAAACTCCTGTGTACTGAGTTGAAATCAGGAATGCTGGGGAATGATTAGTCTAAAGCTCAGAGTCCTGGGTCTCAGCTCTGGGAAATATATATATATTTATATTTATATATAATTATATATTTATATATTATATATTATCATATATGTTCGATTATATAATTATATATAATTATATATAATGTAGTTTATATATATGTGTGTGTGTGTGTATATAAATATATAAAACACCACAGGAAATAGGTATTCCAGATCTGAGGGCAGAAGAATTTTCTTCCAAGCTTCTGTGACTAAGTCTAAGTCTCCACATATTACTTCATTTCTGGTAACTAAACTTCTACTTTGTTCCCTTATGTTTGAGTTCAGTTTTAATAACCTGTTTGCTAGCTTGGGCTTTCTCTTATTGGAGCTCTTTAATGTTCTTTCCATTCCCTTTATTCTCACCAAGAAATTAAGCCCTAATCCCTTATACAGGCAAAAACCTACTTATCTGTGGTAGATTTCCCATATCCCAACTGCCTTTCTGCCTCCCTGACCTAGTCTTGATCAATTAATCTGATTAAAAATAGTGGCTTTATTTTTACAATGACTGTGTCGGGGGTTTTTGTGACTGAGCTGGGCTGATCCTGTGCTCCAAGAATCTTTATGAAAGTGATTCAATATTGGATCAGAATTCTTAAAGAGGTTAACTGCACTCACCTTGTACAATAATAAGCGATTATCAGAAAGCTTCATAGAATAATGAATACACCAGGAATATAGCACAGGAATTCAAACCTAGCTGTCATATTAGAATTTGTCTTGGTATTTGATTGCTCTTGTGAGAGATGCTTTTAAAAGAGATTTTTTAAATTTAAAATTAAAATTTATTTGGCATGCTTCCTTATTAAAGTGTTAAGCCACTATATAGCTGAATATTTTTAAATGTCTTCATAGGGATTCCCAACTAAGGTTTTTAGACAACCATCCTATGTCCATAACATTTTCTTTTTTTTTTTTTTGAGATGCAGTCTCACTCTGTTGCCCAGCCTGGTGCGCAATGGCACTATCTTGGCTCACCTCAACCTCCCCCTCCTGGGTTCAGGCGATTCTCCTGCTTCAGCCTCCCGAGTAGCTGCGATTACAGGTATGCACCACCATGCCTGGCTAATTTTGTATTTTTAGTAGGGACAGGGTTTCTCCATATTGGTTAGGCTGGTCTCGAGCTCCCAACTTCAGGTGATCTGCCCACCTCTGCCTGCCAAAGTGCTGGGATTAGAGACGTGAGCCACCATACCCGGCCAGTCCATAACATTTTTACACACACACACACACACACACACACACACACACAATCATTTTAAAACATTTTTGTTAGGTCCACAGCAGAAAGTATTAATTGAATTTCAGTAGAAGCCATATATCTTAATAACATATCTTAAGAATTCATGGTAAAAAGTCACTGTTAAAACCAAACTTTGGAGAAGTGTATGGCAATAAGTGTTATACTCTCAAAAATTAGCAGGAAGTGAGTACTTCCTTCTTCGAGCATTTTTCTCATAACTTTTACCTACAAATGAAAAAGATAGGAACTTTTTTATGAGAGGCTCTTTGTCATTGAGGCTGCCTTCATGGCATGGTTCTATTACCTAAGAGATGTCAACTAGCTGTAATTGGTACTCACCAACCAACCGATTTTAAAATAATCATATATATATAAATCTGATTTCTTGCCCGCAATATCTCTCTCCTTCAGTCTTTCTTCATTTTCAAATTTTCCCATAATTTATCAAGTCATTCTGTCCACTCTCATCTTTCACTCCTCCCTTTCCCTCATTTCCACACCTTTAATCAAGTTTTTTCCCCATTATATCATTAAATGGATTGCATAGACAATTTAACTCTGAAGAAAGAGTAAAATCCTCTCCAAATAGTTCCAGAAATTCACCAACATCTAACTGTCCAAGGTGCCAAGAAGTTTCCAGGGATATCTAACCACACCCAATGGATATCATTCATGAGAAACAATCTAAGGGTCAAGTAAGAAAATCTGAATCAATGGGTTGTTGTTACAGAGTTAAACATATGGAAGAGGGAGCAACATCCTGGAGATGAATCGAATTATAGAGTCTGAAGAAATAAGTAGAGAAGGCACATTGGAGAGCAAGTATGTGGGAAGTCAGTAAGCTTCTACTGGGGCTGAAATCAATCACAAAGAAGAGATGGAAAGAGCCACAGATGCAAAGCTGAGCTTTGGTCATCTCTCATCTCTACGTGTCACCTTATATGTTTCTTTTATACCTGGAGTAAAGTCATGAGTAAAAACTCAAAACAGAATTTGCTAAAATCAAAAGCCATAATAACCTTGCGATCAAATAACTTACTTGCTAAACCAAATTAATAACAATATTTCTTATCCATCATTTTGCCTGTCATTCTATATCCTCTACCTTATACTCCTCTAAATATTCCTAGTTCTATTTTAAGTAGTTAAAATAGTATGAAGAGGTAAAACTATATATTAGCTGTGCCTGTGTTAGGCAGGAGTAGGGGAAAATAAACAGCTATTAAACCTTCACAGAAATTATCCTCTAAGGTAATGACTATTTATTAGTGAATTTGACCTCAGCATATCTTTCTCTGAACACGCTGTTGTTGACTTCCAAATGTTAGCATGAGATTTTTATCTTACCTGACCCAAACTAAGAGGTTTTGGTCTTCTTGATCTCCCCAATTTAAGCCTGATATTAGTCTAGTAATTGAACTCAGGAGCTCTTATATTTTGCATATTAGTGTTGATTTTTTTCTCAAACTATGATTAATCCTATGATAGTTCTTCAATATTGAATTATAGAGATGCCTAGTGAGAACACTGAGCAGAATGTTTTTAGTGACCTCAGACCAAGGTAATAGTTGTACATATCTTAATAGAAAAAACTGTTTTACTTCTGACCAATGTGCCAGAGCTAATACAGAAAGTCTAGGACATGGACACTACTTTAACAGATATGGATATAGATTGGATAAAATGACATATGTTTTCTATATTTTAACTTCCTTATAGCCAATTATTTTTTCATCCATGTGAAGTGAAACAGAGATTGTATCTCAGATTTTATTTTTCATATGTGAGATTTCTATTGAGTAAATATTGGAAGAGGCAGTTCATGACTTAACGAAAAAAGCTGTATTTTGCTCAAAAACTTTATTCTCTCATTAAACAAAATTTTCTTGGAAAGAGAGCTATGATGTTGAGAATTGGCCAGTTAATTCACATTCAGAATTTCAGGGTTTGAATCTCTGCTATGTCCCTTCATCTCCCTGAACTTGAATTTGCCTAAAATAATAAAAAAAAAAGCTACTTCAAAGAGTTCATGTCAGGGTAAAATGAGGTAATATTTCCAAAACTTGAGCAAATATTAGGTTCATATAAATATTTTGACTGTAGACAGAATGGTTTAGGTAGTGATGCTAATATTACATGTTCTTTAAAATTATTTTACCCCATTTATTTCATTTATTTACACACAGACATTTTATATATCCAAGTAGGATACAGGCTTTACCTATATCATGAGTAAATATCCTATACTCTCATTTTTTTCGAAGTTAAAAATATCATTACATCTCAGTTTTTATCATAGTGTATTTTTAATTAGAGAGTGGCATTTACTAACATTGAGATAGTTCATTTTCCCACAATATTATATGCACTTCTAGAAGGATGAGAATCACTGTTAAACTGCATCAACTTATTTGGGATATTTTGAAGCTGAAGCTAATGGACACATGTTGTTTTAGTGTCATTGCCTTGATAAAAGTTATTGCTAAATGTTTCTGTACTGCTTCTTTATTTGATCAAATTATTGGGACTTTTCCTTTTAGCCACCTGGAAGAATTTCCCATTGTAGGATTTTTCTGTCAATATCCAATATCAGTGCCACATCTGTCTGGCTTTATATTTGCTATTCCACAGGGGTGTCAAAAGCAATCTGAGGGCCGGCTAGCTATGAAGTCCACTGTGTGTAGTTATGAGTTCTTCATTTTCCATCCTGCCAAGTCTCTGTTTAGTTGTTTTTGCATTCTCTTATTGTTCTCCTGATATTTCCAGCTTTGTTTCAGTTTATCCCTCCATGAATCGTTTTAAAAGAGTTAGACATCAAATTAAGTGTTTTATATTTCATTGCATATAAAGTTTATCTCATTCTTTTAGCTATCTTTTCACATTTTAATTTTTATTGATATATATATTCCCAGAACTAGTTCAGCAATTTCAAACATTATTTTTAGATTTTTTAAAATTTTATTACCTTTGTATTGTTAAGAAAAATTTTTTTCAAACACTCTTTCTGTAACATATAAAGAGTGAGTTTGTAATGTGTATGTCTTTTTTATTATGTAACCTGTATTTTCCATATCTCACCACTATGGAGACAAAATTAAATTTATATTAACACTAGCAAAGATTTTTATTCAGTTCATTCTCATTCCTACTTACTCTTTAAATCATCCTCTTTTTAATAAATCTTCCATAATGTTTCAGTCTTCTTGGGTTGATTTGAGAAGAGGTCCTTTTGGCTGTCACCTGACAGCCAACATTTTTTTTTCTCTCCTACTACATTTAAGAGAATTATGCCTGGGGTGGTTACAAATGCTTATCTGGTCCAAGATAGAGAAGGCTCATATTGTTTCTGACCCTTTATTCCATGAGTAGTTAAGAATACTACTGAACCACAGTGATATTCCAGAAATAATATGATACCAACTGAAGACTCTACTAAAGTTTTCAACTTGAGGCCACTTGGGAGTAACAAAGAAATGGAAAAATCTGTGTACTTTCCCAAAGAGACCCATTCCCAGCATTATGTTTAACACTGCCTCCATTAGAATGGTGGTAAACTATCTTCCCAAAGAAGTAATACACTTATGACCCTGTCTCTAAAAGATAAATATTTTATAAAATAACTTCTACTAATTTAACTGGGAATATTTCTATTAGTGCAAACATCAAGTGAGGTTGCAAATGATAGTTTGAACCTTCATTTAATGGAGATAAGTATATATATATATATAATATCCACTAACCACTGAGCCAAAGTGCAGGCCAGTCAAATCACCAAGGCATTCAAAATAAGATCATACAAGCAGATTCATCCTAAATTGTGCATAAAATTATTCAATTTTAGGAATATTAGATACTGCTAAAGTCTCCTTTGGGAGTGAAAGTAGGCACCAAGAACCAAAACACATATGTTGGTGGTTATTTTGTTTTTATTTTTAGAATCCTGATGTTCAGCTCAATTTATTTCTTCACATTATGTAAGACCTGATTTCCCAAGGGAACAGATAGTTACTAGCATGCCAAAAAATAATATTCCATAATGAGTACTTGGTATTGTGTTTCTAAATATGAACTATATAAACAAATGTTCAGCATTTAAAGAAAAACCTGTAATTCTTTTAAAAAGTTCAGACTCTCATTTTTAAATGTAGAACAGTCTTTGTTTCCTATGTACAATAAAAGGAGGACCTTAACCTAATTGTGTAGTGGACTTCACATCCTTGAAATCATCTGATATTGTACTGACAGTGCAGAAATGGGTATTCTCTCTTCTTCAAATCTTCCTAAAAAAGACGATCATAAAATTTTCCTCTATACTGGGGCTAGAGTTGAAACTAAATGGCCGATATATATTGTTGTCCTAGTTTTATGGAAGTTTAGGCTATACAGAAAGAATGGCCAAATTACAGATTCTTAAATTGGAAGGGATAGCTTAAAGTTCCTTTGACACATGAGGAACCTGAGATTCTAAACTGCCAATGTACCTCTGTGGGGACTTTGGCAGGGCAACTTAAAGAAGTGAGTTTAAGTCTTGTCTTCATTAAATTTTATTAGATTTTGGAAGACTATATATTAATATTTGTTAGCCTCAGGTTTTATTCACATATGAAATTATGATGGTTAGTAGAAATGCTTCCCAATTATTTCTGGCCCATCTCCTCCTAGTCACATGGTAGGAATATGCTCCTCAGCCCAATTTGAAGTTACCTGAGGCCACATGACTTCCTTTAGTCAATACAGTGGGAGCATAAGTGGCACGTGCTACTTCCAAGAATAAAGTTTGACATCTAGTGAGTGCCTTGTCAGCTTTCTTTTACCCTTACTCAACAACTGTCAACATTTGGATGATGGCTATTCCATAGGCTTACCATGACTAAAAGTTTGAGAGTGAAACATTTATTGTTTTAAGATATGGAGACTAGAAGGTTGTTTCTGCAAAATAAGCTAGCTAATACTGAGTAATCCACTGTCTAACAGGATCAACATAAAGAAAAACTATATTACATCTGGTAAATTCTGGAACATCTTCTGTGCTGAAGAAATGTTAGATTAAATCTTATCATCAAAAATTAATTTTGTCAGCTGGACTCGGTGGCTCATGCCTATAATCCTAGCACCTTGAGAGGCCGAGGAAGGTGGATAACCTGAGGTCAGTAGTTCTAGACCAGCCTGGCCAACATGGTTAAACCCCATCTCTACTAAAAATACAAAATTAGCTGGGCATGGTGACACGCTCCTGTAATCCCAGCTACCCCAGAGGGTGAGGTATGAGAATCGCTTGAACCTGGGAGGCAGAGGTTGTAATGAGCCGAGATCACACCACTGCACTCCAGCCTTGGTGACAAAAGCAAAACTCCTTCTCCAATAAAAAAAGAAAAAGAAATTTGAAATTTGTATTTCCAGATGGCCACCATGCCTATATAGCAATATTTGCCAATATTCCCTGTTGTGGGAAGTCAGGGACCCCGAACAGAGGGACTGGCTGAAGCCATGGCAGAAGAACATAAATTGTGAAGATTTCATGGACATTTATCAGTTCCCCAAATTAATACTTTTATAATTTCTTATGCCTGTCTTTACTGCAGTCTCTGAACATACATTGTGAAGATTTCATGGACATTTATCACTTCCCGAATCAATACTCTTATAATTTCCTATGCCTGTCTTTAGTCTCTTAATTCCGTAATCTCCGTAAGCTGAGGATGTATGTTGCCTCAGAACCCTGTGATGATTGTGTTATATGCACAAATTGTTTGTAAAGCATGTGTGTTTGAACAATTTGAAATCTGGGCACCTTGAAAAGAACAGGATAATAGTGATTTTCAGGGAACAAGGGAGATAACCATAAGGTCTGACTGCCTGCGGGGCCAGGCAGAACAGAGTCATATTTCTCTTACAGAAAGCGAATAGGAGAAATAACGCTGAATTATTTTCTCAGCAAGGAATAGCACTGGGAAAGGAATGCATTCCCAGTGGGGAGGTCTCTAAAATGGCCGCTCTGGGAGTGTCTGTCTCATGCAGTCAAAGATAAGGGATGAAACATGCCCTGGTCTCCTGCAGCACCCTCAGGCTTGCTAGGACTAGGAAATTCCAGCCTGGTGAATTGTAGTCAGACCGGTTTTCTGCTCTCGAACCCTGTTTCCTGTTAAGATGTTTATCAAGACAATACGTGCCCAGTGGGACATGGAACCTCATCAGTAATTCTAATTTTGCCCTGGCCTTGTGATCTCGCTCTGCCCTTCTGCCCTTGTAATCTTTTATTGCCCCTTGAAACGTGATCTCTGTGATTTACTCCCTGTTCGTACCCCCCTCCCCTTTTGAAATCCCTAATACAAACTTGCTGGTTTTGTGGATCAGGGGGCATCATAGAACCTGCCAACATGTGATGTCACCCCCGGAGGACCAGCTGTAAAATTTCTCTCTTTTTACTCTTTCTTTTTTTTTCTCAGATGGGCCAACACTTAGGGAAAATAGAAAAGAACCTATGTTGAAATACTGGGGGCTGGTTCCCCCAGTAATTCCCAGTATAAGTATACTGCCTCTTCTTTAGGGACATTTTGATGTAATTTAAGTTAGGGCTCAAATAAGCAATTCAATATGCAACAAATTTTAAAACCCTATTGCTTGTTTCTGTGTTTCAAGCATAGGCGCTATGAAAATTGAGTGACAAAATTATTTTCTCCCTAGATTTTCAGATCTAAATATGCAACTACACACTCATCATCTAAATGCAGATGCCCTGTAAGAACTTCAACCACAATGTCCAGAAAAACACATAGATTTTCCTTTAGTGGGACAACATAGCTCTCACTCATGTAACATAAATTTTAATTAAAAAACAACTCTCAATTTCTTCAGCTAGAAACTATAGCAAAGTGATGTTGAGTTGACCTCCCTAATATCTCCAAAATTGGTACAATTTTTCTCTCTTCACAACCATTATCCAATATACATCCCCTGCATTTCTCAATTTAATTATCTCAAAATTAAAAGGTCTATCTCTAATCATGCCCATTATTAACCCTATCTATAAAATATAACCTGTGTGAGGTTTTAAAAATGCAAATGTAATTATCTCACTGTATTTTCCTTGGGTAGCGTCTGAACTCCCTAATAGAATTTACATACTGTTATAAACTGAATGTTTGTGTCCATCCCCCAATTCATATGTTGAATCCTGACTCCCCATTTTTACGGTATTAGGTGGTAGAGCTTTTAGGAGGCAATTAGGTTTAGATAAGGTGGTAAGATTGGAGTCTTCATAATAAAATTAGAGGAAAAGACAGCAGAACTGTGTCTCTCTTTTATGTGAGGACACAGCAACAAGTTACTATGTGAAAGCCAAGAGGAGTGCCCTTACCAGGAATCAAATCTGTCAAAACCTTCATCTTGACTTCCCAGTCTCCAAAACTTTGAGAAATAAATGTCTTTTAAGTGGCACAGTCTATGGTATGATGTTATAGCAGACTGAGCTAAGATAGGTATTTTATCATGTATGATTTGACTTCAAGTTATCTTTCCAGTCTACTACCTCACCACTATCCATGGTACTATATCAACTTGGCTAAGATGGAACTACATTCCCAGTATCCACTTCCCACCCAAACACAGGTCAATAACTTTCATAGACTTCTCCACTAGCTCTACTTTGTGGACACACTGGCAGCTTGACACACCCTGCTTCATAAAGGTTGGTTAGTAACATTTTTTTCTGATTTTCCAACTCATCTTTTCTTACTCCTTCAATTTTTTCACAATTGCATAATGTCTCGTTTAATAAATCCCTCATTCCTTTATATTCATAATAGTTCTTTCCCTAATTGCACAGGGTCTTATATGGTCATTGGAAGTCATTCCAGGGCAATAAAACTCTGAGTATAGAAATGGGAGATTTATTCCTTGTTCTGATTAGATTTAAAGACATTAATGACTCCATTGCCTGTAGAAATAGGAACATCGGTAGCCAATGGCATGCGATGGCAAAACAATTACTTAAGATGGCAAAACAATTACTTAAGTGTTACCTGTAGTCAATTTCAATCAAATATATATCAAGGGCAACACTGTAGTGACCATGTAGTTGCCACTATCAAACTTTATATTGGAAACAATGAGTATTAAGAGGTTGGTTGTTTCTGATAGCACTGAAGGACTTGGAGAAAGAAAATGATGACTTCAGCTACTGGAATTCTGAGCTCAAGTTTTTAGTAGAAAAACAATTAGCTTTACGACTTATCTAAAAAATCGTCTATTTTCTGTATTATCAGGGAAGATATATCTAGAAACCAAGGTCAAAGACAAATCGTGACAAGGTTGAATTATAATACAAATTGAATTTGCAACTCCACAGTGTCTATTATATTAAAGTATCGAGTGAAAACAAATGAGAACCTGAAATTCAGGAAGGATATATATGGGCAGATTTCAAGTGAACAACGTATTGAACCCCTAAATTCGGCCAAATTTCTTTGCCAGCAGGAACAGTCCATTCTCCTTTCATGAAAGAATCTGGGCTCCTTTTGACTAATGAAATTGTAATGGCCTTCACAAGATAATACTTTTCACGAAAATGATGATACATGTTAGGACCTAACCCCAACACTACTCATGACTTAAACACCTACAGATAGACTCAAGTCCTGGCAGATTACAGAGGTTGAGTTCCAAAGAGGAAGTAATATAGGAGGAAGTATCAAGTACATGAAAAGTCTAATGAAATTTTTCCAATTTGTATTAGAAAACTGGCTCCTAACAATATTGGATCAAGGTGAAAGAAACAGTTTTTAGATCATATTGAATTTACTTATTTCAATGCTGTAAACAAAGTTTTCGAAATTCAGTATTCCAACAAATTTAAGTTAGCTTGTGTGTCTGGAAATGGTTCTGAGCATTTTGTCAGTTGCTGGCAGAAAGCTGGGCCCAAAGGTGGCCTACACTAAATAAGACTGAGGTATATGACTTTGGGATATGGATATTTAAAGAGGTAATGAGGTCTGAATGCTAGATTTGGTATGTAAGACTTGCTCACTAACTTTCTAACTCATATCACTCAAAGCTTGAGAGACATATTGATGAGAGGAGTGTGGCATCTTTGCCAAGGCTGCAGTGGCTTTCTCTGTAGGCAGGATTAACAGTAAGACTGCTATATTCAGAATGGGCTCCCTGAGTTCAATGGGGATGATGGGATCCCAGAGTGGCATGGCCAAATGGTGGCACTTATCTTATAGAGAAATTTCTAGGGATAAAGTGGTTGGGTATGTTGAAATATTCTTTTCAGCATGAAGGGCAAGTTGATGCATTTGTACCATCCTACTATTGTGAAAAAATGCAGAATATATATTGGCTTCATTAAATCATGGAGACACGTAGTATCTCATTTGGTTATGCTCTTTTGACCCACCCAGTAACTTGAAAGGCTTCCAGCTTTGAATGGAGCCCAAAACAAGAGACAGCTCTGAAGCAAGTCCATGCTGCCATACAACTTGTTCTACCACATGGCCAGAAGATTTCATAGTTCTTCAAATGTTTATGGTAGGTTGAAATACTATGTGGAGTCTTTTGCAATCCTCTGTAGGTAAGCCACAGAAATTTAGGAATTGAAGAAAAACTGTCTCATTCTCTGTAGAAAATACTGTTCTTTTGAGAAACTGCTTCTGGCTTACTACTGCACACTAGTAGAACTGGAATGTTTGACTGCAAGCCACAAACTATAATGTGACCTGAACTCTTCACTAAGGCTTGGGTGTTATCTGAACATCCCCCCAACTCCCAACCAGCCAACAACAAGGCATAAATTTGGGCATGCAGATGAGTATTCTAATATGTTAGAATATTAGACATCAGGCTCAAACTAGCCCTGAAGGCACAAATAAATTACAGGAGTCAATGGATCAGATTTCCATGGCACCTACCCCCTCTATATGGCCTCTTTTCTCTCAACTTCTACCTATGGCCTCATGGAGAGCTTCTTACATCTAGTTGATTAAAAAAGATGTATTTTTGGCTCAGGTTTATAGATAAAACTGCTTAATATGTCGGAATCCTGGGCACGTGCAGCACAACAGCCTCAGTCTGGGGTAGCCCAGGAGTATAATAAAGAAAATGCTCCCAAAAGGCAGAACTTTGAAGAGAGTACCTAGCTGTTCATTTTTATCTAAAAGGAGAAATTACCAAAGGCACAGATCTACAATGATTTATGGCTGGTGGTTAAGGTTAGGCTGGATATTCAGGAATTTGGAATGAACATTATTGGAAAATTGGTGACAAAGAGGTCTTGCATTGCCCACACAGATTACTAACACAGCCTTCTAAGTGGTCTTCCTATTTCTAGTTTTGCCCTTTTCTAATCCATTCCCTAAAATGTAGCCTGAGGGAGCTTTTTAAATGTCTATCTGATTATTTCACTTCCCTGCTTGGAATCCTAAAAAGGCTATTTCTCTTTGATAAAATGCAAACTCTTAACATAGCTTACATATTGTAGACATTTATTACCTGACTCTAGTTTCTCTCTCTAGTCTATGTCCCATTATTCCCGAAGAAGAAAACTATATTTTAATCTCTATGTATTCATGTTATCCTTCTTCCTTGAATTCTCTTCACATACACCATCTTTAAATCACTTAAACAAAAGTTTAGACATTATTGTCTCTGGAAAAATTTTTTGACCCATCCTCTCCCCATCTTCAGATAGAAGATCCTATTACATATAGTTGTACTTGGCCATATTTCTAGGTAAAACTTTCAGGAACGGCTCATTCCTAAACCCAGAACCATTTAAAGTTTATTCATTTTACAGATTCCAGGCTTAATTCTTCAGGCAATAGAGAAGAAGGAAAATATGTGTTCCTACAGTTACTTCTTTTTGTTTTTTCCTGCCTGGGATTAACTTCTTTCAAGGATAATTCAGAATAGTATTGATAATTTCTTTCAGTGGAAACTTCATTTTAAAGTAAGACTCCATCATTTATTTCTAACAAGGAAATAATTAAGTAGGGTCCATCACTGAACATGTCACAAAATTAGATAAACCTTGGTTATCCATAGTCACCTCATTACACATGTATACTACCTTTATAAGTACATCGTGCATGTAAATTTATATTATAGATGTCATAAAATTTCAAAGCTGAAATGAATATCAAAAGGCACCCAGGTCTACTCTAGTCTCATTGAAATGCTTTCCAAGTGGTTATGCATTTATTCTTTAACATCTGCAACCACTTACAATGCACAATCTCACTAAGAGAATTTAATCCAACATAAGATATTTTTAACATACAGGTATCAGCGATTTATGAATTCAGAATTTTTCTCCCTGTAGTTTTAACCTAGTACTGTTCATTAAAGGCCATATGACAAAGTTTAATTCTTCTTAAAATTAATAGTCCTTTCAGTATTTAAAGTCTGTGATTGAGATTCCCAAAAAATGATTGAGATAATTTGGATGTTCATTCTCTTCAAATCTCATGTTGACATGTGAACCCGAGTGTTGGAGGTGGGCATAGTGGAGGGTGTTTGGGTCCTGACATTGGATCTTTCATGAACTATTTCGTTCTGTGCTGGCAGTAATCAGGGAGTTCTCATTCTAATAGTTCCCAGGAAACCTGATTGTTAAAAAGAGCCCAGCACCTTTGTTTTCCCTCTTGCTTCTCTCTCACCGTGTGATCTGCACACACCAGCTCCTTTCTCCTTCTGTCATGAGTGGAAGCTTCCTGAGGCTTTCACCTGAAGTGGGTCCCAGCATCATGCTTTGTATACAGCCTACAAGACTGTGAGCCAAAGAAATTACCCAACTGAAGGTATTCTTTTACAGCAACATAGACTAAGACAATCATAACTTAAATTCTATATGTCTTCATATTACATACAAAAAAAATTCTAGGTGTGTGTGAGAGACAGAAAAAGAGAGAATACAGGAGAGTTGGGATATTTATTTGAAAGAGAAGATTAAAATGTTTATTTCTGAAAAGAACAGTTTAAGGACTATTTGTTTTAATCATCACAAAGACACTATGGCCTATATAAAGATGCAAAAAATTTCCTTAAGAAGTTAAATAAATAGCTACATGTAAACCTTGTATAAGAAACCACTGCCTTATGTAGAAACAGGAAAAAAAATCATTATCAACTGAACAAATTTATTTACATAATAAATTTTTTTTCACTGTTTTTGGTTTTCTTTTATAATTTCCCTCACAAGCAATTACTATTAAACATCCTTAACATGCAACACTAGTAAATTTTAGAAAAGCAAAATCCAGCAGCCTTTGGATTATTTCACCTATCATTTTTGGATTTTGTTTGGGCAACTAAGGCAAACAGATGCTTCTTTGCATCATGTGAAGACTCAAGCAGATTCATAGCTCAGTGCAAATGGACCTGCATATTCATCATACTCTCCAGTTATAAATGGCAAAGGCAACAGTGGCCATGTTGATCAGCACTAGGCATCTGGTACTCATGATTATTGTGAGGTTCTGAAAACGTTCTGGTTGTCCTTGAGTCTAGAAAAATAAAAGATGGTGAAAACAGACACAAATAACCCACAAACAAAAAAAAAATGGTAAATTTTAATACCAGCATCCATATTTATAGTAATTTTATTCCACATACATCCATTACAGGTGACATAAATTAATACATTTACTAAGCTAATGTGTAACTGTTAATGTATTTTGGCACTATTATTATAAATCAATGTTCTTCTATTACAGGATCAACCAACAGAGCCTCGTTATGATATATAAGAATTGCTGTGCTATTGATTGCAATATCAAATGGTGATGTCTAAAGAGCAATCAATGAAGTTAACCATTACCAAAACATACTTTTGTCATCAGAATCAGACAGTGAGACTGTAAAGATTGTACAACTTTTGTACATTATAACTAGGCAAGGAAGAAAAAATTGATACCATTGTTGTTTTTAGTAGGAGACCCATACAACACCAAGAAGTCTCTGCTTTTCCACTGATTGGTGTATATAGCAAAGATATCAGATCGATTATGTATCTGAACAAGAAACTGAATATTCCTCATACCCCCACTATTCTAGACACTGAAATGACAATAAGCATTTGCAATTCAGTCTTTCAGAGAGAAGAAAATATAAGCCCTCATTGTATTAGAATGTTATACATTATCAATTTCTCTGCGTTTGATAGTGAAATAGAAAGAGGTAAGATCATTTCTTTGTGATTAATTCAACTAAAGACAGCGTAGAAACATAGAATGGGTGAGCAGCCCTCTAAGCTGAGGTCAGCCCTTTACAGAGATACTGAGGCCTGATCATGATGTCAATAGGCCAGCAGCTCTGTTTTGTCTCCATCCACACTCATTTTTGGTAACTAACTTAACCACCTAATTCTGAGCTCATCCCCAAGCTCTATTCATCCTCATGTTATCAGTACCCTAAAGATATTCATTGTCATTAAATTGCATAATACTATGGAAAACTATAAGTTATTGCATATGCTAAACACTGCGTTAACATGATTTATATAATCCTCACAAAATCTTTGTGACGTAAGTTTCATTAGCCCATTTTCCGCAGGAGGAAATAGAAGATCATAGATGTCAAATAACTTAATAAAGATCTCACAAATTCTAAACAGCAGGTCCTGGATCTAAATATGGAACTATATGACTCCCAGTTTCCATGATTTATCCACTAGAGATCAAAGCCAGCAATGCAACTTAAGAGTTTTACTGGGCCCAAAATATACGTTTTATACCATGAGTTAGCAAGTTTTTCTATGAAAGGAAAGATACTAAATATTTTTAACTTTTGGGGGCCAGATGGTCTTTGTTACAACCACTGAAACTTCCATTATAGAATGAAAGCAGCTACAAGAAAATGAGCATAGATGTGTTCCAATAAAACTTTATCTTTAAAAAAAACAAGGCTAGATTTCACCCTTGGGATGTAGTTTGCTACATCTCATCTCACACCATTTCATGTAATGATCAGCTTTATAAACAATCAATGGACTAAAAATTATTTCGTTCATTAGGATATTAATTCAGAATATTGTATAACATGGTTCAGCATCATGGCTCTACATGAAGTTCACAATGAATTCAATGCCATTTGAAAAACTAGTTCTGAAACTGAGGTCAGAAACCTACACTCTCAGCTTGGATAGGAGCATAGGGCAAAGGCCATCCTCAGTGTATCTGAGGGTAGCCTGGGAACCACAGTCAGGCTTTCTATTAGTATAGTCATGCTTTCTTATACATTTTGCATGGTATATTGAAATCAAACTTCTATGTTTTCAAATTTCAATATTTTAGTAACATGCCAGAATTGACTTTGTGCTACAAAAAAAATAGAGAGATACATATATAATACATATATGGATTGATAGCAGACATATCACATGTGACTACTGAACTATAAACTGGATAAAAAATTGATTTGAAAATTTTTAGCAATGGTTATTTTTGTCAAATAAAAGAGACATTTTCATTTGATGACATTGTTCAGAAGGTTTGCCTTCAGAGCTGAAGTATTTTGTGGAAGAAACAAGTTAACAGGCAAAGCAAGTGTTCAATTGAAAGGGAACTGACAGAATAGGGGGCTGGCAAGATGGCTGAATAGGAACATCTCTGGTCTGCATCTCACAGAGAGACTGACACAGAAGGCAGGTGATTTCTGGATTTCCAACTGAGGTACCTGGTTCATCTCATTGGGACTAGTTGGACAGTGGGTGCAACCAACAGAGGGTGAGCCAAAGCAGGGTGGGGTGTCACCTCACCCAGGAAGCACAAGGGGTTGGGGGATCTCCCTCCCCCAGCCAAGGGAAGCCATGAGAGACTGTACCGGGAGGAATGGTGCACTCTGGCTCAGATACTGTGCATCTCCCACAGGCTTCACAACCGGCAGACCAGGACATTCCCTCCGGTGCCTATGCCACCAGGGCCCTGGGTTTCAAGCACAAAACAGGGCAGCCATTTGGGCAGACACAAAGCTAGCTGCCGGAGTTTTGTTTTCTTTTCATACCCCAATGGCACCTGGAACACCAGCGAGAAAGAACTGTTCACTCCCCTGGACAGGGGGCTGAAGCCAGGAAGTCAAGTGGTCTGGCTCAGCAGTTTCCTTCCTCACAGAGCCCAGCAAGCTAAGATCCACTGGCTTGAAATTCTCACTGCTAGCACAGCAGTCTGAGGTCGACCTGGGATGCTAGAGCTTGGTGGGGGGAGAGGCATCTGCCACTGCTGAGGATTGAGTAGGCAGTTTTACCCTCACAGTGTAAACAAAGCCACCAGGAAGTTCAAACTGGGCAGGGCCCACCGCAACTCAGCAAGGCCTCTGTGGCCAGTCTGCCTCTCTAGATTACTCCTCTTTGGGAAGAGCATCTCTGAAAAAAAAGGTAGCAGCTCCAGCCAGAGGCTTATATATAAAAGCCTCATCTCCCTGGGACAGAGCACCTGGGGGAAGGGGTGGTTGTAGGCACATCTTCAGCAGACTTAAATGTCCCTGCCTGGCATCTCTGAAGAGAGCAGCAGTTCTCCTAGCACAGTGTTTGAGCTTGATAAGGGACACACTGCCTCCTCAAGTGTGTCCCTGACCCCTGTGTATCTTGACTTGGAGACACCACCCAGTAGGGGTCAACAGACACCTCACAGGGGAGAGCTCTGGATGGCATCTGGTGAGTGACCCTCTGGGACAAAGATTCCAGAGGAAGGAATAGGCAGCAATCTTTGCTGTTCTGCAGCCTCTGCTGGTGATACCCAGGCAAACAGAGTCTGGAGTGGACCTCCAGCAAACTCCAGCAGACCTGCAGCAGAGGGGCCTGACTGTTGGAAGGAAAACTAACAAACAGAAAGGAATAGTATCAACATCAACCAAAAGGACGTCCACTCAGAGACCCCATTTGAAGGTCACCAACATCAAAGACCAAAGGTAGATAAATCCACGAAGATGGGGCGAAACCAGCATAAAAAGGCTGAAAATTATGAAAACCAGAATGCTCCTTTTCCTCCAAAGGATCACAACTCCTTGCCATCAAGGGAACAAAACTGGACAGATAATGAGTTTGATGAATTGACAGAAATAGGCTTCAGAAGGTGGGTAATAACAAACTTCTCCGAGCTAAAAGAGCATGTTCTAACACAATGCAAGGAAGCTAAGAACCTTGAAAAAAGGTTAGAGGAATTGCTAACTAGAATAACCAGTTTAGAGAACAACATAAATGACCTGATGGAGCTGAAAAACACAGCATGAGAATTTTGTGAAGCATACACAAGTATCGATAGCCAAATCGATCAAGTGAAAGAAAGGATACCAAAGATTGAAGATCAACTCAATTAAATAAAGCAAGAAGACAAGATAAGAGAAAAAAGAGTGAAAATACATGAACAAAGCCTCCAAGAAACATGCAACTATGTGAAAAGACCAAATCTACGTCTGATTGGTGTACCCGAAAGTGATGGGGAGAATGGAACCAAGTTGGAAAACACTCTTCAGGATATTATCCAGGAAAACTTCACCAACCTAGCAAAACAGGCCAACATTCAAATTCAAGAAATTCAGAGGACACCACAAAGATACTCCTCGAGAACAGCAACCCCAAGACACATAATTGTCAGATTCGCCAAGGTTGAAATGAAGAAAAAAATGTTAAGGGCAGCCAGAAAGAAAGATCGGGTTACCCACAAAGAGAAGCCCATCAGACTAACAGTGGATATCTCAGCAGAAACCCTACAAGCCAGAAGAGAGTGGGGGCCAATATTCAACATTCTGAAGAAAAGAATATGTGGGCCAGGGCTGTGGCTCATGCCTGTAATCCCAGCACTCTGGGAGGCCAAGGCGGTGGATCACCTGGGGTCAGGAGTTTGAAACAAGCCTGGCCAGCATGGTGAAACCACATCTCTATTAAAAATACAAAAATTAGTCAGGTTTGGCAGTGAGCACTTGTAATCCCAGCTACTTGGGAGGCTGAGGCGAGAAAATTGCTTGAACCCAGGAGGTGGAAGTTGCAGTGAGCTGAGATCATGCCACTGTGCTTCAGCCTGGGTGACAAGAGTGAAACTCCATCTCAAAAGAAAAAAAAAAAAGAAAAGAAAAAAATTTCAACCCAGAATTTCATATCTAGCCAAACTAAGCTTCATAAGTGAAGGAGAAATAAAATCCTTTACAGACAAGCAAACGCTGAGAGATTTTGTAACCACCAGGCCTGCATTATAAGAGCTCCTGAAGGAAGCACTAAACAGGGAAAGAACAGCTAGTACCAGCCAGTGCAAAAACATAAGAAATTGTAAAGACCATCTACACTATGAAAAAACTATATCAACTAACAGGGAAAATAACCAGCTAGCATCGTAATAACAGGATCGAATTCACACATAACAACACTAACATTAAATGTAAATGGGCTAAATGCCCCAAATAAAAGACACAGACTGGCAAATTGGATAGTCAAGACCCATTGGTGCGCAGCACTCAAGAGACCCATCTCGTGCAAAGACACACACAGACTCACAATAAAGGAATGAGGAATATTTATCAAGTAAATGGACAACCAAAAAAGCAGGGATTGCAAACCTAGTCTCTAATAAAAAGACATTAAACCAACAAAGAACAAAAGAGACAAAGAAGGGCATTACATAATGGTAAACTGATCAATGCAACAAGAACAGCTAACTATGTTAAATATATATGCACCCAAGACACAAGACAGAAGCACCCAGATTCATATAGCAAGTTCTTAGGGACCTACAAGGAGACATAGACTCTCACACAATAATAGTGGGAGACTTTGACACCCCACTGTCAATATTAGACAGATCAACGAGATAGAAAATTAACATGGATATCCGGACTTGAACTCAACTCTGGACCAAGTGGACCTAAGAGAAATCTACAGAACTCTCCACCCCAAATCAACAGAATATACATTCTTCTCAGCACCACAATGTACTTATTTTAAAATTGACCACATAATTGGAAGTAAAACACTCCTCAGCAAATGCAAAAAAAAAAAAAAAAAAAAAAACCCAGAAATAATAACAGTCTCTCAGACCACAGTGCAATAAAATTAGAACTCAGGATTAAGAAACTCACTCAAAACCACACAACTATATGGAAAATGAACAACCTGCTCCTCAATGACTACTGGGTAAATAACGAAATGAAGGCAGAAATAAAGATGTTCTTTGAAATCAATGAGAACAAAGACACAATATACCAGAATCTCTGGGATACACTTAAAACAGTGTGTAGACACAAATTTGTAGCACTAAATGCCCACAAGAGAAAGCAGGGAAGATCTAAAACTGACACCCTAACATCACAATTAAAAGAACTAGAGAAGCAAGAGCAAACAAATTCAAAAGCTAGCAGAATACAAGTAATACCTAAGATCAGAGCAGAACTGAAGGAGACAGAGACACAAAAAATGCTACAAAAAAAACTATGAATCCAGAAACTGGTTTTTTTTTAAAAGATAAACAAAATAGATAGACAGATAGCAGACTAAGAATGAAGAAACGAGAGAAAAATCAAATAGATGCAATAAAAAATGTTAAAGGGGATATCGCCATTGATCCCACAGGAATACAAACTACCATCAGACAATACTATAAACAACTCAATGCAAATAAACTAGGAAATCTAGAAGAAATGGATAAATTCCTGGGCAAATACACCCTCCCAAGGCTAAATGAGGAAGAAGGCAAATCCCAGAATAGACCAGTAACAAGTTCTGAAATTAAGGAAGCAATTAATAGCCTACCAACAAAAAAAGTCCAGGGCAAGACAGATTCACAGCCAAATGCTACCAGAGGTAGAAAGAGGAACTGGTACCATTCCTTCTGAAACTCTTCCAAACAAAAGAAAAAGAGGGACTCCTCCCTAATTCATTTCAGGAGGACGGATTATCCTGATACCAAAAACTGGCACTGGCAAACAAAACAAATAAAATTTCAGGCCAATATCCATGATAAACACTGATGTGAAAACCCTCAATAACATAATGGCAAAGCAAATAGAGCAGCACATCAAAAACCTTATGCATCACGATCCAATCAGCTTCATCCCTGGGATGCAAGGCTGGTTTAACATATGCAAATCAATAAACGTAATCCATCACATAAATAGAACCAATGACAAAAAACACACGATTTTCTCAATAGATGCAGAAAAGGCCTTTGACAAAATTCAACACCCCTTCATGTTAAAAACTCTGAATAAATTAGGTATTGATGTAACATATCTCAATACAGTAAGAGCTATTTATGACAAACCCATAGCCAATATCATACTGAATGGGCAGAAACTGGAAACGTTCCTTTTGAAAACCACCACAAGACAAGGATGCCCTCTCTCACCACTCCTATTCAACATAGTATTGGAAGTTCTGGCCAGGGAAATCAGGGAAGAGAAAGAAATAAATGGTATTCAAATAGGAAAAGAGGAAGTTAAATTTCTCTGTTTGCAGATGGCATGATTGTGTATTTAGAAAACCCCATTGTCTCAGTCCAAAATCTCCTTAAGCTGATAAGCAAATTCAGCAAAATCTCAGCTTACAAAATCAATTCACAAAAATCACAAGCATTCTCATACACCAATAACAGACAAAGAGCCAAACCATGAATGAACTCCCATTCACAAGTGTTACTAAGAGAAGAAAATACCTAGGAATACAACTTACAAGGGATGTGAAGGACCTCTTCAAGGAGAACTACAAACCACCGCTCAAGGAAATAAGAGAGGACACAAACAAATGGAAAAACATTCTATGCTCATGGATAGGAAGAATCAATATCATGAAAATGGTCATAATGTCCAAAGTAAATTATAGATTCAATGCTATCCCCATGAAGCTACTTATTGACTTTCTTCACAGAATTGGAAAAAAACTACTTCAAATTTCATATGGAACCAAAAATGAGCCTGCAGAGCCAAGACAATCCTAAGCAAAAAGAACAAAGCTGGAGGCATCACTCCACTTTACTTCAAACTATACTACAAGGCTGCAGTAACCAAAACAGCACGGCACTGGTACCAAAACAGATATATAGACCAATGCAACAGAATAGACACCTCAAAAATCACACCACAAATCTACAACCATCTGATCTTTGACAAATATGACAAAAACAAGCGATAGGGAAAGGATTCCCTATTTAATAAATGCTGTTGGGAAAACTAGCTAGCCATATGCAGAAAGCTGAAACTGGATCCCTTCCTTATATCTTATATAAAAATTAACTCAAGATGGATTAAAGACTTGAAGGTAAGACCTAAAACCATAACAACACTAGAAGAAAACCTAGGCAATACCATCCTAGGACACAGGAATGGGCAAAGTCTTCATGACTAAAACACAAAAAGCAATGGCAACAAAAGCCAAAATTGACAAATGGGATCTAACTAAACAGCTCCTGCATAGAAAAAGAAACTATCATCAGAGTGTACCAGCAACTTAGAGAATGGGAGAAAATTTTTGCAATCTATCCACCTGACAAAGGGCTAATATGCAGAATCTAGAAAGAACTCAAATTGCCAAGAAAAACAAACAAACAAACAACCCCATCAAAAAGTGGACAAAGGATATGAACAGGCACTTATCAAAAGAAGACATTTATGTGGACAACAAACATATGAAAAAAAGCTCATCATCACTGTTCATTAGAGAAATCCAATTCAAAACCATAATGAGATATCATCTCACAATAGTTAGAATGGCAATCATTAAAAAGTCAGGAAACAGATGCTGGAGAGGATGTGGAGAAATAGGAACACTTTTACACTGTTGGTGGGAGTGTAAATTAGTTCAACCATTGTGGAAGACACTGTGACAATTCCTCAAGGAGCTAGAACTAGAAATACCACTTGACCCAGCAATCCCATTACTGGGTATATACCTAAAGGATTATAAATCATTCTACTATAAAGACACATGTACACGTATGTTTATTGTGGCTCTGTTGACAATAGCAAAGACTTTGAGCCAACCCAATTGCCCATCAATGATAGACTGGCAAAGGAAAATGTGGCACATATACACCATGGAATATCATGCAGCCATAAAAATGGATGAGTTCATGTCTTTTGCAAGGACAAGGATGAGGCTGGAAACCAACACAAGAACAGAAAACAAAACACCGCATGTTCTCACTCATAGGTGGAAGTTGAACAATGAGAAAACATGGACAAGGGGGTAGGGGGGCAACACACACCAGGGCCTGTCAGCGGATGGTGGTCTGGGACAGGGATAGATTTAGGAGAAATACCTAACGTAGGTAAGGGGTTGATGGGTGCAGCAAACCACCATGGCACATGTATACCTATGTAACAAACCTACATATTCCACATATGTACACCAGAACTTAAAGTAAATTTTTTTAAAAAAATGAAACTGACCACAAGAAGGCAAGAAGACCGCTTTTTCTCTCTAATGCTGTGACTTTATTTTCAACTCTGTCCATATATCATCTGAGATTGAGATATATATAGATGATACAAAAGTAATTGCAGTTTTAGCCATTACTTTTAATGGCAAAAACTGCAATTACTTTTACACCAACTATATATATATGATATATATACAAATATACTACATATATATTTGTATATATATGTGTGAATTATATATATGAGATATATATATGAGCAATATATATGAAATATATACACACACACACACACACACACAGATGCCCCTCAGCTTCCCATGTAGTCATATATGATAAACCCATCTAAATTAAAAATATTCTAAGGGAAACATGCACTTTCAATGAGTTTATTAGGATGTAACCCCATGCGAAGTTGAGGAGCCTACTGAATGTGTACTGTGTTTCCACCAATGTAAAGTTAATAAATTGTATGTGGAACCATAAGTGTAAGTTAGGGACCAGGCCCATTGCAAGTTGCCAACTATCCATGTACTCATTCCTCCTCATGTCTTTAGATGTGCAGATTCTACTAAAGTCATGGTTTATATTAACAAGTAAAGATATACATAACATAGAAATTATCGTATTTTATTTCAATAGTTTTTTTTTAAATTTATACAGTATCGTTTTTACAAAGTCATTAAAGTTCCAAAGTGGTAAGTTAAAAATTTTCTCCCATACTTTTCTGAATTTGGGGTAAAATTACATATATTTAAGTTGATTTCATGGATTTATAAATAATAATTTTAGACCATATTGCTCATGATTGTGAAAAGCCATGTGTTTGTGTTTGCACTGCTTATATAAAGTTTCCATTGTGCTTCTATTTATCTTGCCTCCTTACAACATTTTTTACTGATTTGTGACCTACTCAGTTACCTAATGAAACATGATGTGTTTAATTAACTTTTTAATTTTTTTCGATGATAGATCAGAAAATCCATGAAGGTAAGAAACATATTTCTTGTTCCTTGGTGCATTCCCAGACACTGCCACAATGTGTAAGACATAGGAACCACTAAATAGATAAGTAATTGTTAACCTAATAAATGATCTTTTTTTTTTCTTTTTGGTGAAAGGTGAAGAAAAAAAAATGCCACAAACAGTATTTACACAAATAATCATCAATTAGTAAGGTCTGTGGAGAGTTATTACCTCATATCATGTTTTAGACTGATTTTACATTTATTTCTGAAAAGTGTTGATAACCCATCCTCACGGGCATGCACCAGAGAGGACAGAATGTATTCATCTAGATTCTGCATTTTGTCAAAGAGGAGAATCAGTCTTCAGCTGCTGTCAGCTTAGATGCTTGCACTGAAACTGCTCAATTAAGCGTCTGATAGAGTATCAAGTAGACTGCCACACTGGGCTACAAGATCAATAATAATAATTCCTCATATTTGTATAGCAGGAACTTGTACTTCCAAATAATATTTTCCCATCTTTACTTACAAAACAGGGTCAGATAGAAGGGTCAGACTACCTTTTCTGCTTCACAAGTTATGACAGTTCAGGACCAGAGAAGCTAACTGGCAGAGATGGATAAAGTTTAAGATCCCAGGTTTCCTACATTTGAGCTTATTGCTCTTGGCTTGAATAACTGTGTCCCATGAAATAATCACCTTTGATAGTTACAAAAAGCTATATTTAACTTCAGCAGCAGAACTACAGGGAAACATTTATCTACCATTTCTAAGAAGATAGAAATGATAAGGATTAATTGCAGCTATTTAATGATCTACTATCAGATCTGAGACAGCATTTCAAGGAAGACAATGTAGGGCAGTGGAAAGGTCATAGGCCTTGGAGCAGACAAATGTTTACTCTACTTTCAGTGTTGGGAATGTACAAAATATCATGCCCACATCAAAAATAGCCTTATAATTTATGACATCTAGAGGTTTGTTTTATTTTGAGGATTAAACATGATAATATGTGTGGAGTAGGCAGTTTAGTACCAAACTTGTTTTTCTTTGTCTGATAATACTAAATATCTGTATGAACTCATTCTCACACTACTAATAAAGACATACCCAAGACTGGGTAATTTATAAAGAAAGGAATTTTAATTGACTCACAGTTCCGCATGGCTGGGGAGGCCTCAGGAAACTTACAATCATGGTGGAAGGGGAAACAAGTTCTTCACATGATGGCAGCAAGGAGAAGTGCAGATCAAAGGGGAAGGAAATCTCATAAAACCATCAGATCTTGTGAGAACTCACTCACTATCATGAGAACAGCATGGAAGTAACCATGTCCATGATTCAATTCCTCCTACTGGGTCCCTCTCATGACTTGTGGAGATTATGGGAACTACAGTTCAAGATGAGATTTGGGAAGGAACACAGCCAAACCATATCATTCTGCCCCTGGCCTGATCCAAATCTCATGTCCTTACAATTCAAAACACAATCATGCCCTTCCAACAGTTCCCCAGAGTCTTAACTCATTCACCATGAACTCAAAAGTCTAAGTCTAAAGTCTTATCTGGGACAAGGCAAGTCCCTTCCACCTATGAGCCTATAAAATCAAAAGCAAGTTAGTCACTCCCTAGATACAATGGGAGGACAGGCATTGGGTAAATACACTTATTAAAAATGGGAGAAGTTGGCCAAAACATAGGGGCTACAGACCCCATGCAAGTCTGAAATCCAGTAGGGAAATCATTAAACTTTAAAGTTCTAAAATGATCACCTTTGACTTTGTGTCTCACATTGAGGTCACACTGATGCAAGAGGTTGGCTCCCACAGCCTGAGGCTGCTTTGCCCCTGTGGCTTTGCAGGGTATAGCCCCCCTCCTGGCTGCTTCCATGGCTGGCATTGAGTGTCTGTGGCTTTTTCAGGTGCACGGTGCAAGCTGGCAGTGGATCTACCATTCTGGGGTCTGGAGAACAGTAGCCCCCTTCTCACAGCTCCACTATGCAGTTCCCCAGAGAGGAGGGGACTCTGTTTGGAGGCTCCAACCCCACAATTTCCTTCTGCACTGCAGTAGCAGAGATTCTCCATGAGGACCCTTCATTTGCAGCACACCTCAGCCTGGATATCCAGGTGTTTCCATATATCCTCTGAAATCTAGGCGGAGGTGCCCAAAACCCAGTTCTTGACTTCTGCACACCTACAGGACCAACAACACATGAAAGCTGCCAAGGCTTGGGACTTGTACCCTCTGAAGCCATGGTCTGAGCTCTACCTTGGCCCCTTTTAGCCATAGACAGAATGGCTTGGACACAGAACACCAAGTTCCTAGGCTACACAAAGCAGGGGGACACTGGTCGTGGCCCACAAAACTATTTTTTCCTCCTAGGCCTCTCCACCTGTGATGGGAGGAGCTGCCATGACGGTCTCTGACATGCTCTGGAGTCGTTTTCTACATTGTCTTGGCTATTAATATTTGGCTCCTGGTTACTTATGCCAATTTCTAGAGCCAGTTTTAATTTCTCCCCAGGAAATTGGTTTTTCTTTTCTACCACATTGTCAGGCTGCAAATTTTCCAAACTTCTGTGCCTGTCACCTCCTGAATTCCTTGCTGCTTAGAAATTTCTTCCACCAAATACCCTAAATAATCTCTCTTAAGTTGGAAGTTCCACAGGTCTCTAGGGCAGGGGAAAAATACCACCAGTCTCTTTGCATAGCAGGTGTGACCTTTACTCCACTTCCCAAAAAGTTCTCCATCTCCATCTGAGACCATCTCAGCCTGGACTTTATTGTCCATATCACTATCAGCATTTTGGTGAAAGCCATTCCTTAACTCTCTAGGAAATTTCAAACTCCCACATATTCCTGTCTTCTTCTGAGCTCTCTAAATGGTTCCAACCTCTGCCTATTGCCCAGTTCCAAAATTGCTTCCACATTTTCAGCTATCTTTACATCAGCACCCCAATCCAGTACCCACTACCAGTATACGGTATTAGTCCGTTCTCATGCTGCTAATAAAGATATACCTGAGACTGGGTAATTTATAAAGGAAAGAGGTTTAACTGAATCACAATTCAGCATCCTGGGAAGGCCTGAGGAAACTTATAATCAAGGCAAAAGGAGAAGCAAACATGTCCTTCTTGACATGGCAGCAGCAAGGATAAATGCAGAGCTAAGGGGGAGAAATGTTCCTTATAATCAGATCTCATGAGAACTCACTCTCAGGAGAACAGCATGGAGGTAACAACTTCCATGATTCAGTAATCTCCCACCAGGTCCCCTCCATGACATGTGGAGATTATGGGAACTACATACAGTTCAGGATGAGATTTGGGTGGGGACACAGCCAAACCATGTCAATATCTAATATCCATTTATTTCTTCTTTCATATCATTCATATCAACAACAATATCTGAATTTGTTGGGGTAGCATTGTATATTAAACACTAAATTTTTTTTCCCCACCTCCTGTTAGATAGCGGGTGACTGATATGATTCTGGCCAATGAGAGGTGAAGGAAAACTGTTGTTTAGGATTTAAATGCATGCCAGATGCAGCATGTGCCATTTTCCTTTGTCATTCCATTTCTCCCTGCCTGGCATCTGATCATAAGGTGGAACAGACAGCTGTGACAATTGTTGGGGCGGGGGGCACAACTTCATGCTAAGAATGGCTAAAAGATGTCACAATGATCCTAGTCTCCTGATTGCATCATGCAGCCACTGTCCTACCCTCAAGTACATACATTAAAGTCTTCACTTTGTGACAAAATGTAAAGATCTTAATAAGTAGCTGGGGAAATTTCCCTTATGGCCAAGCTTGAAATTCTCATCTCATAAAGTTAATTTATTTTATTCACATTTCTATAAAGGATTTCCTAAACTATCCTGAATAGCACTGCTAGATTAACATTTCTTTACTAAAAATAAATAAATAACATATTGAAGTGTTTTGGGTCAGTGACAATGCTAAGGAAATGCCTTAGTCACAGAGCTAGTTACTGATGGAGCTAGGGTTCAAATTAAGGCATTTGTGTCATTCCCAGAGAATGAGCCACTCTCTGTCATTTAGAGGCCATACTGTGTGAATTTTAATTTTCGGATTTTTCAGTTATGTGACCTTGACAGACTTGGATAAGAGAGCTTGATTTAAGAAGATATAATTAGGCCTGGCGCGGTGGCTCACGCCTGTAATCCCAGCACTTTGGGAGGCCGAGGCGGGCGGATCACGAGGTCAGGAGATCGAGACCATCCCGGCTAAAACGGTGAAACCCCGTCTCTACTAAAAATACAAAAAATTAGCCGGGCGTAGTGGCGGGCGCCTGTAGTCCCAGCTACTTGGGAGGCTGAGGCAGGAGAATGGCGTGAACCCGGGAGGCGGAGCTTGCAGTGAGCCGAGATCCCGCCACTGCACTCCAGCCTGGGCGACAGAGCGAGACTCCGTCTCAAAAAAAAAAAAAAAAAAAAAAAAGAAGATATAATTAAATCCTTAAAACACCTGTATCAGGTAGGCTCTACTATGATCACATTTTACAGATCAGGAAAGCAAGGTTTAGAGGGATTAAGATAATGCCCACAAGAGAAAGCAGGAAAGATCTAAAATTGACACCCTAACATCACAATTAAAAGAACTAGAAAAGCAAGAGCAAACACATTCAAAAGCTGGCAGAAGGCAAGAAATAACTAAGATCAGAGCAGAACTGAAGGAGATAGAGACACAAAAAACCCTTCAAAAATTAATGAATCCAGGAGCTGGTTTTTTGAAAAGATCAACAAAATTGATAGACTGCTAGCAAGACTAATAAAGAAGAAAAGAGAGAAGAATCAAATAGATGCAATAAAAAATGATAAAGGGGATATCACCACCGATCCCACAGAAATACAAACTACCATCAGAGAATACTATAAACACCTCTACACAAATAAACTAGAAAATCTAAAAGAAATGGATAAATTCCTCGACACATACATCCTCCCAAGACTAAACCAGGAAGAAGTTGAATCTCTGAATAGACCAATAACAGGCTCTGAAATTCAGGCAACAATCAATAGCTTGCCAACCAAAAAAAGTTCAGGACCAGATAGATTTACAGCCGAATTCTACCAGAGGTACAAAGAGGAGCTGGTACCATTGTTTCTGAAACTATTCCAATCAATAAAAAAAGAGGGAATCCTCCCTAACTCGTTTTATGAGGCCAGCATCATCCTGATACCAAAGCCGGGCAGAGACACAACCAAAAAGGAGAATTTTAGACCAATATCCTTGATGAACATTGATGCAAAAATCCTCAATAAAATACTGGCAAACCGAATCCAGCAGCACATCAAAAAGCTTATCCACCATGATCAAGTGGGCTTCATCCCTGGGATGCAAGGTTGGTTCAACATATGCAAATCAATAAATGTAATCCAGCATATAAACAGAACCAAAGACAAAAACCACATGATTATCTCAATAGATGCAGAAAAGGCCTTTGACAAAATTCAACAACACTTCATGCTAAAAACTCTCAATAAATTAGGTATTGATGGGACGTATCTCAAAATAATAAAAGCTATCTATGACAAACCCACAGCCAATATCATACTGAATGGGCAAAAACTGGAAGCATTCCCTTTGAAAACGGGCACAAGACAGGGATGCCCTCTCTCAAGACTCCTATTCAACATAGTGTTGGAAGTTCTGGCCAGGGCAATCAGGCAGGAGAAGAAAATAAAGGGTATTCAATTAGGAAAAGAGGAAGTCAAATTGTCCCTGTTTGCAGATGACATGATTGTATATCTAGAAAACCCAATCGTCTCAGCCCAAAATCTCCTTAAGCTGATAAGCAACTTCAACAAAGTCTCAGGATACAAAATCAATGTGTAAAAATCACAAGCATTCTTATACACCAATAAAAAACAAACAGAGAGCCAAATCATGAGTGAAATCCCATTCACAATTGCTTCAAAGAGAATAAAATACCTAGGAATCTAACTTACACAGGATGTGAAGGACCTCTTCATGGAGAACTACAAACCACTGCTCAATGAAATAAAAGAGGATACAAACAAATGGAAGAACATTCCATGCTCATGGGTAGGAAGAATCAATATCATGAAAATGGCCATACTGCCCAAGGTAATTTACAGATTCAATGCCATCCCCATCAAGCTACCAATGACTTTCTTCACAGAATTGGAAAAAACTACTTTAAAGTTCATATGGGACCAAAAAAGAGCCCACATCGCCAAGTCAATCCTAAGCGAAAAGAACAAAGCTGGAGGCATCACGCTACCTGACTTCAAACTACACTACAAGGCTACAGTAACCAAAACAGCATGGTACTGGTACCAAAACAGAGATAGAGACCAATGGAACAGAACAGAGCCCTCAGAAATAATGCCACATATCTACAACTATCTGATCTTTGACAAACCTGAGAAAAACAAGAAATGGGGGAAGGATTCCCTATTTAATAAATGGTGCTGGGAAAACTGGCTAGCCATATGTAGAAAGCTGAAACTGGATCCCTTCATTTCACCTTATACAAAAATTAATTGAAGATGGATTAAAGACTTACATGTTAGACCTAAAACCATAAAAACCCTAGCAGAAAGCCTAGGCAATACCATTCAGGACATAGGCATGGCCAAGGACTTCATGTGTAAAACACCAAAAGCAATGGCAACAAAAGCCAAAATTGACAAATGGGATCTAATTAAACTAAAGAGCTTCTGCACAGCAAAAGAAACTACTATCAGAGTGAACAGGCAACCTACAGAATGGGAGAAAATTTTTGCAACCTACTCATCTGACAAAGGGCTAATACCCAGAATCTACAATGAACTCAAACAAATTTACAAGAAAAAAACAAACAACCCCATCAAAAAGTGGGCGAAGGATATGAACAGACACTTCTCAAAAGAAAACATTTATGCAGCCAAGAAAAATTTAAAAATGTTCATCATCACTGGCCATCAGAGAAATGCAAATCAATACCACAATGAGATACCATCTCACACCAGTTAGAATGGCGATCATTAAAAAGTCAGGAAACAACAGGTGCTGGAGAGGATGTGGAGAAATAGGAACACTTTTACACTGTTGGTGGGACTGTAAACTAGTTCAACCATTGTGGAAGTCAATGTGGCGATTCCTCAGGGATCTAGAACTAGAAATACCATTTGACCCAGCCATCCCATTACTGGGTATATACCCAAAGGATTATAAATCATGCTGCTATAATGACACATGCACATGTATGTTTATAGTGGCACTATTCACAATAGCAAAGACTTGGAACCAACCCAAATGTCCAACAACGATAGACTGGATTAAGAAAATGTGGCACATATGAACCATGGAATACTATGCAGCCATAAAAAATGATGAGTTCATGTCCTTTGTAGGGACATGGATAAAACTGGAAACCATCATTCTCAGCAAACTATAACAAGGACAAAAAACCAAACACCGCATGTTCTCACTCATAGGTGGGAATTGAACAATGAGAACACATGGACACAGAAAGGGGAACATCACACACTGGGGACTGTTGTGGGGTGGGGGGAGGGTGGAGGGATAGCGTTAGGAGATATACCTAATGCTAAATGATGAGTTAATGGGTGCAGCACACCAACATGGCACATATATACATATGTAACAAACCTGCACGTTGTGCACATGTACCCTAAAACTTAAAGTATAATAATAATAAAATTAAATTTAAAAAAAGATACTTCCCAGGAATACACATCAAGCGAGGATCAGAGCTATGTGTTTTCAAATGCAGCTCCGTATTTCTAATGACTACATTATGCTGCCTGATTGCACATATAGAATGTCAATGTCCAATTTCTGCTAAAGAAAATTTGAGTACTAAGAACAGAACTAATCGTCAAGAAAGTCTAGACATTTATTTACATGTACAATGGAACCTTTTCTGATTCAGCCTAAGGACACAATACACTAGGTTTGCACTCCACTGAGCTATATGGCAGAGGACTCACAATGACTAATTCCATGAGATATTCTGCTGTTATGTCGCTAACAATGTGACAGGTTTCACACAGCTTAAAGTCTCAAATATATTCCTCAGCATATTCTGAGCAGTATTTTCAGTGGCAGATATCTATGTTTGTAGGAAAGCCGTCGTATTAACCATTTAACTTTTAGTGATAGGGATGAATCAATCCCTACTATCCAGTCCAAAATGATCAGACTTCTCATTTCATTAAAAAAAATTCTCTCACATTAAGCCAGACAGTAGCATTTCTATTTTCTTCTCCCTAGCATCTGGAATATCCATGATCTAGGATATATTTCTGTGGATTTAGAGTCTAAAATGTCACCACATGCTGCTGCTAATAATAACACATAATAATAACTGCTGTGAAAGTGCTTCAGCTGTCAACTCCATTTTTATTTCATTTAAAAAATAATAATTTTGGTACCCATTGCTGTGCCTCTGAATGCATTTACAAATCAAAACCATATTTTGCATTAAAAAAGCAAAAGAGTAACGTCTAGTTTATTCAGATCTTAAGCCTTAGGCAAGATAATTGCCCTGAATGCTATAAAAAAAAAAAGACTGATTTTTTAGTGGTCAAAAATTGAAGTAGGATGTCAACAGAGGATAGATTCATAGATTCAAAGAAGTCAATAACCTTTGAACTTATGTGGCTCAACTTTCATCTGTTGTATTAACATTTCCTCTTTCACAATTACAAAAAACATAAAATACCTTCCATGAAAAGATTGTATACCCTGGTATTTTTGTCTATCAATGAAATTAGATGATTACTCTAAGTCAGATTCACTTTAAGAGTCTTTAAGTCAATGGCAAGGTATTTTTATTTGCTTATTTTCTGCATTATTGTCATTTGTTTTTATGTTGGAAGTAAATCTTACTCCTGGAAGCTTTAATTGAGCAGCACTGTTTCTGAGCTCTGTAACCAATAGACTCTATGACAGATAATCTTTTGCTTATTTAAAAATGACAAGGATCTCTTTAAGTCCATGTTCATAAATAGGTAGAATTCTACATGAAGTTTGAGGACAGACATCACTGAAATGAAAGGGGCAGTTGTAGGTCCCTGACTTTTCAATGAAGCCCTTCCCTGCAGAAGGATTTGATGATAGTCTGAGTACCTTCATTACCACTCATCATATAAATGCTGTATCCTCTCTAAATTGTGTTCCACTTTTGACCCTACCTTTCCTCCTCCCTTTGCACCTTCTTTGTGGGGCTGCCATCAGTAGATTACTGCTTCAAATAACAAATCATTCACTACTTCTTTGACCCCTTAAGTCAAATTTTAATTTATATAATCTTAAAATACCACTGACTGCCTCATCCACGACTTGTAAAACACATCAGCCATTTTAATTTTGCCCTTATTCAGTAACATTTGTCTACTTATTTATGATAAATTCAATAAGAAAAATAGATTGGTTTTATTTTGCTTATGTATCCATAAAAATGAGCTCAAATCTTGATTAATAGTGAATGATCAGTAAATGTTTGTTGAAGTTAAGATTGAGTGGATGGTATGGTTTTGCTCTGTCCCCACCCAAATCTCATCATGAATTCCCATGTGTTGTGGGAGGGACCTGGTGGGAGGTAATTGAATCATAGGGGCAGGTCTTTCTCCTGCTGTTCTCTTCACAGTGAATAAGTCTCAAGAGATCTGATGGTTTTATAAGGAGGAGTTTCCCTCCACAAGCTCCCTTATCTGCTGCCATGTGAGACATGTCTTTCACCTTCCACCATAATTGTGAGGCCTCCACAGCCATGTGGAACTTTAAGTCCATTAAAACCTCTTTCTTTTGTAAATAGCCCAGTCTCGGGTATGTCTTCATTAGCAGTGTGAAAATGTACTAATACAGTAAATTAATACAGTGAATGACTAAAAACATAAATGAAATAAATATAATTTTCAGGGAGAGAAAGTGGGTGAATTGGTGGCAATAGATTTAGTAGAATGAATACAGCCAATAGAATGAGCTGAAACCTAACCTCCTCTGTGTATGTGTGCATGTACATTTGCACATGCACACATGTGCACCCATATTTATGTATGTTTATAAATTAAGAGGAGGTGGTTGAATGGGGATAGAGAAGAGCATTAGATATAAGCTGAATCTCAGTACATAAGGCAGTGTATGGGACAGATAAATTGATAGAATCTCTAAATTACATACTTTTAGATTCTTGGTCCTCTCTTGGCTCACATGGTAAAGCTACTTTCTTTTTTTCATTATTGTAGACAACTGGAAATTTTACTTTTTGAATAGCTGAACCAGGGATATACACACTTAAGACACACAAGACAGTGCGAGTGTGAAGGCAAGGGTGGCTGAAAGATGAAATGAGGCACCTTTCCTAGAGTATAGGCTGTCAGACTTTTGCTATTCAGGTTGGGAACTAGAAGATTTCCAAGTTCAAGTTATCAGAGATGCAGATGTCAAGACAGGATTAGACTGGTAGGATGAGATTCAAATTTGATTTTTTGTTCCTGTTTTGTTTTTTTTTTTTTGAGCTAAAGAGAAAATGGATCTTGAGCTACATAATTATTGTACCACTAAAATGTAAGACTAAAAGTCTTGCCACTACACAGGAAGAAGCAACCAGAAAATGAAGTTACCACAAAGGAGAGTTAAGCCTAGGAAAAAAGAAAATCTGGTGCCTGATGGTACTGCCTACATCTATTATACATCTAGGAGTGCCTGGACTTAAAGACTTGAAGCTATAAGCCAGGAACAGTCGACCCCTCTCTTTCTGAAATTAAACTAGCTTCAGAAAATAATTTACCAATGTTTTCAGTTACTAAATAGAAAGGAAATATTTTGAATCCTGTGTTGAAAAGACAGGATTAATTAATGTTAGTAGGGGAAGAAGAGTGTATTTATATTAATTTATTTATATTTTAATACAAAGGAGGAGTTAAAATGTAAAATAGGTTAATCAAGTAATAGAAGTATATTTGAAGACATAAACATGAATATAAGACAAATAATATAATATGGTAGAAGTGGAAGAAGAAGGAAGTAGAAATAGAACAAGTTAATCAATATTATTTTAAAAATACAGATGCAAAAGTAAATATAGTAGATTCGTTTATTACAGATGGGACTGGTTATAGCATTTATGGGGGCAATTTAGAATTTTTTTATCTATTGAAATTAAAAATGTGTATATTCTTAGGTTCAGAAATTCTATTTCTTAAAGTTCACTCTATGAATATAATGGAAGAAGTACATATTGAACTTTAAAAAATATATCTAATGAAGCACTCATGTAGGTAAAAAGAAAAGCAATCTAAATATAAATCTATAGGAAATTTAATAAATAAATTTTACTGTGAGGTAATTACAAAGGATGAGCTAGTTATAATGGAACTGGTAGGCAATAATATGCCAAATATATATTCTAAGTAAAAAAAAATCAAGGAACAAAATGGGACACACAATATACTACAATTAGTAGGAAAAAATTAAATATAGATAATTTTAAATTTATAAAGCCTCTCTGCAATGAATAGCAAAAAAGTGTTAATCATGGTTGCTCTGTCAAGACAGATTAGATTACTACAAGACATAGAATGAAGGGAGATTGATTTTACCAATTTATTCTTTCACCCTTTAAATTTTGTTTTATATATATATGTATGTATATATATGTATGTATATGTGTATATATGTATATATGTATGTATGTATATATGTATGTGTATATATGTATGTGTATATATATATGCGTGTGTATATATATGTATGTATTACCTATTCCAAAAATAAATAATTTTACAAAATGAGTAAAGTAGAAGTAGAGTCAAAAGACTCCATGAGTGTGACTGAAAAGCAGCAATCAACTGGATGAGGTAGAATCAGTAGAAAACGCTGCTGCAGAAGCCAGGAGAATTTTGAGGAAGAAGGCATGATAAACAATTGCAAAGAGGTCAAGTAAGACTTGAAATGGTTTTTTTAGTATTTCTTGTTTTACATTTGCCATTGTAAACAATGTCTAATAACACAAAATGGTTTTAGAATAAATTACAGTACACGAACAGGTAACAGAAAAGAGGCTGCATTACCAAAGCTTACACGGTGGATCTATGTCCATAAGGCAGGACTATAACATATAACCAGATTCTCAGGCGTACGATGAGAAGGGAGGATTTTCGAATGTTTGCACTGAGCGGAGTTCAGCTTAGATCTAAGCCTGGCAATCAATTAAATTTGATCTATACAAAAAAAAAAGTAATAATTTGGCCTTAGAACTAAATTGAATACTGTCTACATAATTTTACTGATATAAATACTGCCATGTAAAAGGCTTACAGTGAACTCAGAAAATGTCGTTTGTTTCATCTCTTCATTCTGAAATTTGGGAAATCCATAGATTTTCAAATTAAATCTATTATTTTTCATTTCCATCCTCTGAAATCAGGTTCTGTTTCACGTCTCACTCACTCATTACTAGGTTTTCTACACAAGCATTTATCAAATCCCTGACACCCAGATAACTCAGTAACAGTTTGTTCAAAAAAAAAAAAAAAAAAAAAGGTCTAGAAAAGACCTATTTTAGATCGTGGCTAAAAGAGCTGTGCTGCAAATGTACAAGTGCCTGTGGAGTACAGAAAGGTGAGTAAGCTCTCTGTCAGTCCACTCCTAAGCACGAGAGGAATCTTCCAGTTATGTAGAGGATGTAAATTTTTTTAATCTAAATTTATTCCTAATGCATTCTCTCAGGGTAACAGTAGTTATTAAATCTCTAGTTACATTTTGCAATTGAGCAAGATTTGAAGTGAATGAGCACAAGAATTGGGAATTAAAATTCCTTTCATTCTGAAAATGTAATTGCCTCCAGTGTGCTATGCTCTTCACACTTGAACCGTGGGTGAAGAATTATGGAATGTGTGTCAAACTTTCAGCTTAATATTGTTTTATTGGTTTTTACTATTAATGCATGTTCCTGGTTCTTAGTCACTTGCCAAAGTTTAAATTATAGATATAATAAATCTTTCACATCAGACATTCCATGAAAGTTTATTTTTCAAGACATCATGAAAGACACAAAGTGGCAGAGGGTGAAAGGACCAGGGGTTTATGTGTATGTGAGAAAATTATTTCTTCTTTGCCTTCTGTTCATAAACTTCTATTACAAGTACTTTTTTTCTTTTTTAAGTTCTGAGATACTTGTGCAGAATGTGCAGGTTTTTACATAGGTATACCTGTGCCATGGTGGTTTGCTGCACCTATTCACCCATCATCGAGGTTTTAAGCCCCACATGCATTAGGTATTTGTCCTAATGCTCTCCTTCTCCTTGTTCCCCAGCCCCCAAAACAGGCTCCAGTGTGTGATGTTTCCCTCCCTGTGTCTACGTGTTCTCACTGATCAACTCCCACTTATAAGTGAGAACATGCAGTGTTTGGTTGTCTTTTCCCATCTTAGTTTGCTGAGAATGATGGCTTCCAGCTTCATCCATGTCCCTGCAAAAGACATGAACTCATTCTTTTTTTAGGGCTACATATTACAAGTATTTTAAAGGTATCAAAATATTTAAAAGGCAGCTTTTATATTCTTCCCTATTCCCTTTTTGTTTGACTAACTCTAGAACACAAGACAGATACATCAAAATCCATGTCCCACATGTAAGGAAAAAAATTGCTGTTGAGAAAATATGATAGATTATTTCAAAAAAGAATATCTCTTCAAATATTTATGGATTATAGGCAATGATTTTTAGGCAATGATTTTTACAAAGATGTTGAGCTTATTAAATTGGAATAACTGATAGCGAAATGCACTGCTACCCAAACCAAACATGCGGTGTTTGGTTTTCTGTTCCTGTGTTAGTTTACTGAGAATGATGGCTTCTAGCTTCTTCCATGCCCCTGCAAAGGATATGAACTCATTGTTTTTTAGGGCTGCATATTACAAGTATTTTAAAGGTATCCAAATATTTAAAAGACTGGTTTTAAATTCTTCCCTATTCCCTTTTTGTTTGACTAACTCCAGAACGCAAGGCACATACATCAAAATCCATGTCCCACATGTAAGGAAAAAAAAAAATGCTGTTGAGAAAATATGATAAATTATTTCAAAAAAGAATATATCTTAAAATATTTACGGAGTATAGGCAATGATTTTTAGGCAATGATTTTTACAAAGATTTTGAGCTTATTGAATGGGAATATCTGACAGCGAAAGACACTGGCCCATAATCTGTCCTCTTGTTTTCTCCTCCATGGTCCAGTCCAGAGCTGCATTACCTATTTGAATTCTTCATCATTTTTCCACCTGCCAGTTCCTGTTATCCTCTCAGCTATTGAGTGAAAAGGAAGAGCTGTTGTATCTTATTCTCTTTCTCAGCCACCTGGAAATACTAAAATCCTGTCATACACACCCTTTCTTTGTTGATAAAAATGGACAGCAGACTCTGTTAGGGTGGCAGGATCCTTCAGGAGATTTGAGAGAAAAAAAATTATGTGTCATTGCCTAAATAGAATGACCCCATAGTGTGTATGCTACTGGAGAGAAAATAAATTGGATGGTACTTAAAATGCATAATAGCTAAGTTTCCCGTTCCTCCCTCCATGACTCAAAAGACGATTTGAAGAAAAGATACTTAATACACATCTCAGACTAAAACCATGATAGTTTGTTTGAGTAGAGACTCATCCAAACACTGGTATCTAGATAGCAGACATCAATAAAGGAGACTGAAAAAATTTTAACTTTGTAATATTCACACGTGTTAAATATTCTGAATTTCTACATATTTATGTGAGTCCATAATGTTTGAGGTTATTTGTTTTTATTATTGTTAAGAGCTTAGAATTTTTGACAAAATTAAATAAAATCCCAAAGTTATTATATTATAATGTGGTGCCAACCAATGAAAAAGGAAGGCAATTAAGAACAGAAAAGCCAATGTAATTCTAGGCAATGAATTGACATGATATTTAAACATACTTCTGCCCAAAACAAGATGTAGTTGAGACAATTTTCATTTAAAATAAGAAATGGTTTTCCCTCACAATTCTTTGGTTCTAAGTAACATTTAATCCATTCAACAAGTATTTTCAAGCCCCTATATGTTACCAAGAAACAAGAGTCAAATATTTCTACTGATAAAAATGTGCATGCACATCCTGGCTAGCCAGTTTGAATTAAATTTAAAAAATGACCTGTTCTTTGGTTCAGCATATATTCTAATCAAAAGAGTTATTTACCTTCAAGATCTCAATGTGCTGTACTTTATTCTGAATGTTTTTCTTCACTTGTTGTGATGTGGAGGGTCATTAAAAGTTTCACTTTCCCCAAAATTGGCTTCTTTTAGCTCTTGAGAGACTGTTTAAAAAATAAAAATAAAAAGTACAACAGCAAAGGACTCAAAATTTAATCTTGATATTTCCCATCTTAGTCATCTGCTTACAAAGCTTGATCAGAGAGAGAAAGGTACCCTGCTACCCTGAATAGTGGGAAAATATTATCTAAGTTAATTCTTGGTTTACACAATAGTGGATCCATTTTCAGCCAAATTCCACTCGAGCAATTAAATTTGTTAGGAAAATTTATCTAAAACTTGGAAATATGCAAAGAGATAATTGGGAGTATTTTTAAGATAGTATTGGGAATGGCCCATTCTTTGAAGGGATTATCTGATTTTCTAGGGTATGTTCTTTTGACTTCAAATTTACTATTTATTAGGATATTTTATAATTAATATTAGAAATTAATATATAGAAAACTGATAGAAATACATACAATCCTAAGCACATTACAAATAATCTGTCAATGAACATTGCAAATGATTCTTTATAGTAATGCAAATGATTTCTGGTCAGGAGGAAAAGTAAACCAAAGATTACCATTTCCTATCTAGATTAATCACTAATCAGTTACACATCTGTTAGCAAATTTATTTTTGCACTTTTATGGCAGGGAAACAATAAAAATCCAAATTCCTCAAATTCTTTTTTGAACCAGGTTTAACATCTTATTCCTACATTACAGTTAAGTTAAAACATTGGCCTGTTAATTTTATAGTTATGAGTGTCATGTTTTTAACTTTTTGAAAATTATATTTTATTTTAGTACTCCTTCTAACAAAAGCCTTCAATTAGTAAAACAGTCCTCCAGTGATGAGAGCAGAAACAAAAAGCAGATCACAGAAACACAGTATATGTTGGCAGGCGATACTCAAATTATCACAGAAAGCAAGAAGAAAGTTACAGAATTAAACAAAGACGGGAGAGTTTAGTTGTAAGTTATAAATGGTAAGAACTTTGCAGCTTTAAAAGAGACAGTAACACCTCTGGGAGATAATTGTTGATAAGTACCTAAAGTCAAAGTTGAGTTTGAGCAAGTAAATAAGCAGAAAGGAAGAACTTTCTTCTGTTCGGTTCACTTAAATAAACATCAGCTGAATACTCAATATATTTCAAGTATGGTACTCTGTCCAGGGAATTCTATAATGTAAGATCTCTAATTTCAAGAGATTAAAATGGACTAAATCGGTAGAAGTGTAATTTCAATACAATTAATGTAGCAAGAGTTCCCGCTGAATCTAAACTGAATTTTAGAGTTATCTGAACATGTGAGTTTGACAAAAATAAGCATTTATTTACAAAGCTATAAGGCAACAAAGTTTATAAGAGGGAATTCTAATTCACTAACACCTGAAGCCAGAAATAGAAATAATGGTGAGTAGTCTGCGGTATCTTTTGCACAAATTGCACCCATAAGTGTAGTAAAACTATTTCTGTGAGAATCAAGGCATTATTTTTTAAAAGTGAGGTTTCCAAAATACAATGATTAGTTTTTTTAAACGCTAATCGTTAAATACATGCCAAAATTTTATTTAACTTGTTACTGAGGAGAAAAACAGATGAGAAAGCTAGTTGAGAGATGATGGTAGAAACCGATACATACGTCCTCAAGAAAAGAGAAAAAAATGTCAAACAAACTGAGTGAATGTCTGAAGATACATGCTGTTTTAATTTCTTTTCTTAACAGAAGAACAAAGGGGACCTAGCATCTTAGGGCAACACAAGAGTCTTGGAGCTCTATGGCAACAAAATGGTGAGCAAGGCAGGCTTCTCAGTAAGGGCCCCGATACAATGTAGCAAGGTGGCTTACCATCTAACCTCAAGTGATTCTTCAAAAACAGACATAAAAAAGCAGAGCACCCAAGAGAAACAAGAAAGGGCTATTTGTAAGTAAATATGAAACATTTCCAGAAAATAGTATATTAAGAATTTAAGAGCATAAGCTTTAGTTTATAAAGAACTAGATTCAAAATCTAACGTCTCATTTAATAGAATTTTTATAAATTTAAACTAATGCTTAAATTTTCTTTGCTCTTGCTTTCTTATTTCTAAACAGAGGATAATTACACTGCCTACTTTTTAAACTTGTGAAAAACATTAAATTTGAAAATGTACATAACATGACTGGCATATAAGTTAATAAATGCTAGTCATTATTCTTAATGACACGAAAAAAATTCTCTCAAGATTTTGAAAAATGACAGAGAATCTACAGTGAATTGTGAAGGCAAGAAACTATCAAAGTATGAATGTTAATATTCTGATATTATTTGCAGGTAAAGGCTGTTAGATCCTGGGATTTCTGAGTTGTACTGATGCTAAAATGGATATGGACACTGGATGCCAAGTCTTCCCTGAATAAGGGCATTTAACAAAGAGTAATTATGGTCCAAATATAAAGACGCAGCACTCCAATGTACTCCAGATTGGATAAAAATAGTGTGAGACATATTGGAACAGATCCAGAAAAAAAATCTAAGAAGTAAAATTGAGCAAGACGAGAGTGAGACATTCAAGTTGACTAAGGATATTACTTCTACCCCTCATGGAAGTTTATATCTATTTTTTTCTAAATGTTATTTAACATTTTTACTATAATTGTGCTTATGTTTTCTGCATAGAAAGAACATGTCATAATGAAGTGGGAAAACTTCCCTTGTCCCACTTCAGTGGGGAAGTGGCTTGCTTCTTCAGTGCCCACTGCTCAAATCTCTAGGGGAGCATACAGATGGACAGGTTATGGGGCTCAGACCCCATGGCAGTGTCTAGTGGTGAATGTTTATAGCTCCAGAAGCCCCAGTAAGCGTGTATGACAGGTTGCTCTTTTAGTTTATCTGTATGTAGACGGCCTATGTTAACCAGCTCAATTAGACCCTTTGACTCGTCACAAGTGTGTCCGGAATTGGTGGGTTCTTGGTCTCACTGACTTCAGGAATGAAGCTGCGGACCCTCACCCTGAGTGTTACAGTTCTTAAAGATGATGTGTCCGGAATTTGTTCCTTCCGATGTTTGGATGTGTCTGGAGTTTCTTCCTTCTGGTGGGTTTGTGGTCTCGCTGGCTTCAGGAGTGAAGCTGCAGACCTTCGCAGTGAGTGTTACACCTCACAAAGGTGGCACGTCTGGAGTTGTTCGTTCCTTCCATCCACAGTTATTCGTACCTCCCAGTGGGTTCGTGATCTCGCTGGCTTCAGGAGTGAAGCTGCAGACCTTAACGGTGAGTGTTACAGCTCTTAAATGTGGTGTGGACCCAAACAGTGAGCAACAACAAGACTTATTGCAAAGAGCGAAAAAACAAAACTTCCACACTGTGGAAGGGGACCCTAGCAGGTTGCCTCCGCTGGCTCGGGCAGCCCGCTTTTATTCCCTTATCTCACCCCACCCACATACTGCTGATTGACCCATTTTACAGAGAGCTGATTGGTCCACTTTACAGAGAGCTGATTGGTCCATTTTGACAGGGTGCTGATTGGTGCGTTTAGAATCCCTGAGCTAGACACAGAGTGCTGATTGGTGTATTTACAATCCTCTAGATAGATGTAAAAGTTCTCCAAGTCCCCACTAGATTAGCTAGACACAGAGCACTGATTGGTGCATTTACAAACCTTGAGCTAGACACAGAGTGCTGATTGGTGCATTTACAATCCTTTAGCTAGACATAAAAGTTCTCCAAGTCCCCACCAGATTAGCTAGATACAGAGTGCTGAATGGTGCATCCACGAACCCTGAGCTAGACACAGAGTGCTGATTGGTGCATATACAATCCTCCAGCTAGACATAAAAGTTCTCCAAGTCCCCACCTGACTCAGGAGCCCAGGTGGCTTCACCGAGTGGATCCCGTGCCAGGACCACGGCTGGAGCTGCCCACCGGTCCCACGCCACGTGCCTGCATTCCTCAGCCCTTGGGCGGTCGATGGTACTGGGCACCGTGGAGCAGGGGCAGCACCCGTCGGGGAGGCTCGGGCCATGTGGGAGCCCATGGGGGGTAGGGGGAGCTGGGGCATGGTGGGCTGCTGGTCCGGAGTCCTGCCTTGCGGGGAGGGGGCTGAGGCCTGGTGAGAATTCAAGCCTGGTGCAGGCAGGCCGGCAGCAATGGGGAACCTGGAGCACCCTCCGCAGCTGCTGGCCCGGGTGCTAAGCCCCTCACTACCTGGAGCCGGCACGGCTGGAGGCACCGGCCAGCAGCTCCAACTGTGGGACCCACGGAGCCTGCGGCCACCCGGAACTTGCGCTGGCCTGCGAGCACCACGTGCAGCCCTGGTTCCCGCCCGCGTCTCTCCCTCCACACCTCCCTGCAAGCAGAGGGAGCTGACTCTGGCCTTGACCAGCCCAGAGATGGGCTCCCACAGTGCAGTGGCGGGCTGAAGGGCTCCTCAAGCGTGGCCAGAGTGGATGCTGAGGTCGAGGAGGCACTGAGAGTGAGCGAGGGCTGCTAACACATTGTCACCTCTCACAAGGACAGAGGATTTTCTGTATCCTGAGGATCTTGCCTTAGTGTACTGGAAGAATGGGATCACATATGGGCTTGGAAAATTAGTGCAAGGTTTTATTGAGTGATTTAGCACTCTCAGCAGATGGGAGAGCCAGAAGGAAATGGTTTTCCCCTGGAGACAGGCCTTTCAGTGGCCTGGGCTCTCCTCCAACTGCACCAGCCAGACTCCATGTCATTCTGTTGGTCGTTGGCCTGCTGACATGCGGGTACCTGTTTGTGCGTTCCTCTCCACATCCAGCCGCCTATGTGTTCCTCCACTGATATGCTCAATGTCCAGCCACCTGTGTGTCTGCCTGCTGGGGTCTCGGGTTTTTACAGGCACAGGATGAGGGTGTGGCAGGCCAGGGTGGTGTTGGGTAATGCAACATTTGGGCAGGAAAAGCCTTTCCTTGCCAAGGTCTGTGGGGGTGGAGCCCTAGCCAGGGGACCACGCCCTCCTCTCCCTTTCCATATAATTTAAAGGGACCACACTCTTCCCTTCCCAGCACTCCTGTATCAATATCAAGTCGCTATAAATTCAGTCACTTATTTCTAATACTTGTGATTGTGTTCAAAAACACCGATTCTGAACATTATCTGCTATCTCAGTAGTCAGATCAGTAGAACAAACTCATTACAGAAAAGCAATAGAATATTTGGGCATTATGGAACTTGGGAACTAGCAAGATTACAGAATATAAATTCCTATTTTCACCATGCATTCCATCTTTTTATAAATCACCAAATAAGAATTTTGGAAGCACCCCAATTGATTCTGTATTTTCAGTTGAAATCTGATCTCAAGAAAAACAGATGAAGATCAGCTGTTTATTTCACTTGAATGAGAGTTAGGATGAAGGAAATAGTAAAATCCTATGAAGATTCTCCCTGTTGGCCTGGCATAACCAGGATTTTCACAGCCTCTATTGTGCCAAAAATATCCACACAATACGCATATTTGAGCACTATGCTCCGAAGAGGTAAAACATATAACTTCCTGTCATTCTTAAGTATTCTGTTGATAACCAGTGGAAGCACCAAAAATATTAGATCAGATTCTCCCCCCAATCTCTTATCTTGCTTCAGATAAAGAAGAACACTTGTTAATACTGGAGATACTTAGTACATTAAAAAACAAAAAGATGTGTTACACATTGTGGAGAATGGGCTGAAGCTATAATAATCTATTTTCCTGAAAGCTAAGTGGCATAATTGTATTGCCATGGAATATGAGGAGATTCCTAGGAAACATTTTAAGAGATTTCTTTCTAAAGTCTTTCAGCATAAAACAGAAAGAAAATAGTGTCCCTGTCTAATTTTTTATTTATTATCTTTAAATATTTGGGTGTTTCTTTGACATTTTTATATTTTCTTTTATATATAGTTTTACAGTGTTCTATTCTTCTGATATTTTAAATATTTTAATGATAAAATAGGAATTAAAAAAGGTCTCTAAAGTAGAGTTAATGAAAAGCTATGGTAGGATAGTAAAACAGACATTTCTTTCTTAATATCAGAAACCCTCATAAGAAATAATAAAAGTCATATTATATAATCCAAGCTAGGTAGCACATTTACAAAATCAGCAATTCTGATCTCAGCAAAATTGAAAGAAAATATGTAAAAATAAAGACATTTAAAGGGAAGCAAATTAATAACCATAAAATTACACTGGTATGATACATTACATTAAATTTGCTATTTTAAAAATATTTCTTCACTTTATTGAAATATGAGCTTTCCCTTTCATCATGACAATTCTTGTAGAAGAAGGACTAAAACAACTCAATTAATAATGTTTTTATTCTGCAAGAGTTGACTTTGGAGTAGCTTTGAGAGTAAATTTTTAAAAAGACAAATAGAAAAACACACTATTTACAATAGGCCAGGAAAAGAAACACATGATAGGCTTTCTTGCCATTTTACTACATTTTAAACTATCAGGTCATTTTAAACTATCTGCTGATAGTTTCGGCACATTTTAAACTATCTGGTGAAACTATCAGCAGTAACACAGTTGAGTAAAAATATTTAAGTATATTGTTCATGCACAGCCACTTTTACCCATTATTTATGCAGCAGCACCCTGTGATGTTAGTAGATGAGGTTTCCTTTTGCTCTCTTAATGTATCTATTGAGCTCTTTACAGGATAAGAAGAAAAAAAAAATCAAGTATTTAAGAGGGAGAAAAAAACAAATACTAATATCCAGACAGCAGCTGCAGAAGATAATGGATGGGCTAACTTTGTTCATTTTTAATCACATGGACTAGATAAATAATTTAAAAAGTTTAAATATATAATGCTTTCAAAGAAGGGAAATGGACCAGGTTTCCAAAGATATTGACTTCCAAAGTGCTATATGGAGTGGCAAAGTATTAAATTTTTAAATATTCTGATTCTAATCTTTACATTATGGACTATCTGTGTATTGATTGGAGCAGTGTGTTTTCTTTCTTCTACTGAAGGCCATTTAGAGATATCACTAGCTGTCATTCTGGGAAATGCATTATTGCACTATCATTATCACCCCACATAATCAGAATCTTCCAGAGTTTGTTTTATAAGCTATTTTTAATACCTAAAGTTTGAAATGTGGTTCTAATTTCATAAAGAAAAGTTCTTTGTGTATTTATTTTTCACTGGGTTAAGTGTTATGATGACTATTCAATTCTAAATTAGAATATTAAAATTGGAAATCTGCTGTTGCCAAAACTTCCTTAAAAGTACAATGTAATATGTGTTAACTTTTATAAGGACAGAACAGTGACACTAAATCATTAGGTTAGCCTCCAAATGAAAAAGAGATTAGCAAATTCATAACAAGCTCTCTTTCTCTATGGTGTTATCAGAAAATGATGATATACTAAGAATGGTTTTATCCATAAAATAAACATTACAAACACATATACCTTCAGTTACTCAGCAACTTCATTCTTTAGGAAGGGTTCCAATTAATGTATCTCCCAACTATTTGTAGTGTTGATGACCATATCAGGTGTAAGCCTGCTTGACCAGAAAGTATGCCTACAAGAACGGTCAATGGTTCAATTTTTTCCTTTGACTGAAACACAAGCAACACAGAAAGTATCACTATAAGGCTGACATATTGCACAATAATCAATTAAAAATAGTACCACTACTTTGTCCTGGACTAGTACTGAGAAAAGTGGTGTTTCAATGAGCATCAACCCTTCAACATGCTAAAAAAAATTATCTATAATAAATAGATAAAACACAAAGGAGAAGGGCAATTTTTTGACTTATAGGACCATGGAAATATTTTCATAAACCTTATTTGGGACAAGTAATATCACAAGGAGTCTATAGTTGAGATTATACATTTGTTAATTTAGTCTTTCTAAACATTGTATCATTGTTAACCCAGATTTTGCTTTTCCCTATTCCAGTCCTGACTCTGGCCTTCTCAAGTTATTAACTCTGCCTCTGTACTCAGGTCTTAAATCTCAGTTCTGTCATGAGAACCTTCAGGGGAGCTTTCCTTGTTCTTAACCAGATCAGATGCACTCATCTAATCCTTCATTTTTATATTTCTCACAGTTGCAAGACCATATTAAATTGTCATTCTTTTATAATTGCCTGCCAAATGCAAACAAGACTCTAAGCTAAATGAGAGCCTGAAAATATCTCCTCCATCTTTTCCTGCCCTATCTCCCTTGACATTGAATCTTCAGAGCTAAGGAACAGTGCTTGACATCAATCAAGCAAACTTTACGGGATAAATGAACAAATGAATACACAAAGCAATGAAATTAGGAGTCTCAAAGACAGATAATGAAAAATTAAGTCTTTCTACGGGCTTTATAAAAGTAGATTAACATAACAGGTAAGATGAAAGCGGTACCTCTTGGCCAACCTTTGATATTACTGATAGGGAAATTGAAACCTAGAAAGTTTAACAAAATGGCTAGTGCCAAAGATTTTTGCACACTGACTTATGCACTGATTCCACTTTTTTCTTCAAAGATTTGAGATATCATACAAGGATTTATTAATTCCAGTAACAAACACTATATAAATGTATGCCCTCAATTATTCAAAAAGACTTCATGCGTTCAGAAGTACTCCAATGAACCTATCTCCCAAAAGTTTATTTAATGTTGATGACAGCGCATGTAAGCACATTCTGCCATAAAGTGTGCAGACAAAGTAGTGGTAAAGATACTTTTAATACTGCCCTACCTATTGATGCTAATTTGTATAAAATGCAAATGAGAATGTGTATTCATCAACGCCCTAAATGTTTGAAAGTTGTATTATCTTTACAACCTTCTTTCCTTTATGCTGCTGTGACACTTCAGAAGAGCAGAGTACTAGCCTGAACAGGTCTACAATTCCATGTAGTTAAATATGTGCTGCTACCTGACGCTGTGCCATATAATACATTTTAAATAAATGTTTCATCTGCTCTCTGTGCTAGGAGGTGATTTTACTCTGAAGGGCATTATTTTATGAATTCAATAGCAAATACTACAGTAGGCCTAGAAGTGGCCTCTTGGGCTTTTCTTGATCTATTCTTGAACCTTCAAACAGTTGGAATATTTTAACCATTACGTAAACAAGTATTGGCCCACATGCTGATACCTTAATGAATTCAGGACAGGATGATCAGAATTAAGCACTAAGACGTTAAAGTTTAATCATCTCTAACTCTTTACTTTGGTTTTTTCCCACCTAAGTTTTCTGTGGATGCTGAGTGTGGCAGAATGCTAAAGCAATCTTTGGAGACACTAGAGAATATAAAGAAACAGGAAAAGTTGTGATAGGAGCTTGGCAGTTCAGCAACCTCCCTTTGCCTTGGGAAGAGCAGAAAGTTTGCAGGCCTACAGGAGCCATTGCCACCTAGAGTGTTCTAGGTTCCAAACTTAAAACAAATAAAAAGGGAGGAAATATGACATCCTTTCCAAAATACCAATGATGCACAGACATAAGCCGCATGCCTAATGAAGAATCTTATATTGCACTTTAAGATCATTTTCCTCTGTCTGGTCTTTATCTGCATTTCCTGACTAACTTCTGCATTGATTTTTCTAATTTATATGATTTTGTGTCAAACTATGACAATGCATTTTAGATTGTATCTTCACTTTGCTTAGCTTTTAAATATATTACAATTCTTATTTATAAGTATACAAATTCTATCTCGGTTAAAGTGCTCTTAATTACAGTTCAGTATTATATACATATGTTATATATATGTTTTTTCATATATATATAAATTATTTAAAGAAATAGTTTTCTTTTTAAAAAATGTCTTTTGTGACTGAATCTTTGTCCAAAGGTCAATCCAGTTCACTCTCTACCCATTTAAATATAAACACTGGAATAAGAAAGAATGACCTTATCATCCACACAAACAGAAAAATCTTCACACCCCTGTACCTGGGGTAAGTTAGCTGCATGAGCTAGTGCATGCTATTATAGCTACTTGGAAGATAAATTAGAGTGGAAATAAAATCATACATGCATCATAAAATATAACCAGGACTGACTAAATAATCTATGAGGTCCAGTGCAAAATGAAAACATAGGGCCCCTTTTCAAAAATTAAGAATTTCAATATGGGAAAAGCCAAATATTAAATCATGTGTGGGGCTTATTTAAGCTTGGGTCGTGTGACTGAACAGGTCCCATACTCATGTAACTGGCCCTGATTTCCATTATTTTATCTTAATTTCTATAGATGATTTTCTTAATACTTTTTTTGAAGTGGTACAGTAATAACTCTAAAGGATGTTTTCTTCCTTGGTTAAACTTGGCCTTTGACATTTAAACTGTTTGAATGATACTAATTTAAGATAAAATCACTAGACTGGTTGATTGAAATATAAACTAGTGATATAAAAAAAAACCTTCATAAATAACAAGTTGAAGACTGTTCTCAGAGAAAGTAATAGAAATGCCAGAGAAGTTTTGGGCTTTACTGTGTTTAGAAATGTTTTACACTGAGAGATTAAAAACACCTGAAGAATGAATGAACAAAAATGGTGTAAATAAAATTTTTATCTGAACCTAAATAATTAATTTGGTGAGAGCTGAGATGTTGATTTGAAAAAGATTTGTGGTTAGCTGACAGTGGAAATAAGGGGGTGAGGCAAGGTGAGCTTAAGAAAGTTTTTTTAAGTACAAATAAAAGTTAAAAGCATTGTGTCAATTTGTACTTGCAAGTGGCTTTTCTGTTGTTCTTGCTGGAGTATTTTGTGCTTTACACTTAAATATGAAGCTTTATAGCTAATAGACTTGCTGCTTAAACAAACGTAATAGTGATGTGAGGATATTGAATGATACAGCCTAGCTTAATCTCCTGTTTAATGGTGATGCTAATGGATCTACCTTAATATGCTCCTCCAGTGAGTCACCACAAATCCTACTGTGGCTGACTTCAGAAGAGAACACATATTATTTCCAAAGTTAAAACTGTGCCAGGGTCCTTTCCTGAAAGCAGTATTTTATGCAGAGTCACAGTAATATCTCAAAGATAAAGCTTATTGTGGGATTTAGAATAAAAATTCATTTAGGAATGAAGCCTCTTAGAACTCTAGAAAGTCTGGCCTTAAAGCCTGTTGCCATTCATTTAGGATTTAAAAAAATAATTTTACATAATAGATTTGGCTTTTAATCAGCAGCATTTCAGAATTTATTAAAAAGGAAGTTACCTAATTTGCTTTAACATAGTCTCTATAGGTGGAACAAGTACAGAACATGTTCAGAAGGAGTTGATAGAGGCAGGAGGCAGAGAAATTCTAGGCAGATGGGGGTGGGTCCCCAGTGAAACCCCATCTTCCAGCAAAAAGCCGGCAATCTGCAGCCCAAAGTGAGAACTTTTTTTTTTTTTTTTTTCTTTCAGACAGAGTCTCGCTCTGTGACCCAGGCTGGAGTACAGAGGCACCATCTCGGCTCACTGCAACCTCTGCCTCCCGGTTTCAAGCAATTCTCTGCCTCAGCCTCCCAAATAGCTGGGATTACAGGTGCCTGTCACCACGCCTGGCTAATTTTTTGTATTTTTAGTAGAGATGGGGTCTCACCATCTTGGCCAGTCTGGTCTTGAACTCCTGACCTCGTGATCCACCCGCTTCAGCTTCCCAAAGTGCTGGGATTAAAGGCATGAGCCATCATGCCCGGCCCAAAGTGAGAACTTCTATCCCTGTGTCCCTGCTGCCTTCTGATTTGTTCTTTCTGAATAATGTATTTTTACCAATCAAATGTTGCCTTTTGCAAAACTACCCATGGTCTGCCCTGCCCCCCATCCTGTGCCTAAAAAGACCACAGACTCAGTTAATAGAGAGAGAAGTGGCTTGATTTGAGAGGTGACTTGACTTCAGATGGACGGCAGGACTTCGGAGAAGAGACGGCTTAACTTGGGAGAGACGGCTTGACTTCAGAGAAGAGCTGGCCAGAGGCGGCCAGACTTCAGGCGAAGATTACCTGCCCTCCAGTCCCCTCAGCAGCCACCCCTGCTCCACTGAGAGCCATTTCCATCGCTTAATAAAATTCTCTGCCTTCACCATCATTCAAGTGTTGCGTGACCTCATTTTTCTTGGATGCCTGACAAGAGCTCAGGACCCACGGAGTGCAAGTAATCAAAAAAGGGTGTCACACTGGCCCTTTGCTCTCGCTGGTGGAAGGCAGCCGCCTCTTGTGACGAGGCAAGGAGCCCACTGAGCTGATAACACACCGCTATCCATGGATGGCAGAGGTAAGAGAGCATTGTAACACACCCAGTGGGGCTTCAGGGGTCACAGGCACCCCAACCTGGGTGCTGACATGGGGCCCACCGGAGGCTTGCTCCTGCTGGGGCCCAAAACGGCTGTCTAGTTCCTGCCCTCTCTCACTCACTGGCTCCCTCCCACAAGGGATAAATCACAACAGGCCAAGTAAACGGGACAACTCCATCACAAGTCCAACGAAGGGGTGGAGAAAAATCCTGCATCAGAATGAATCAATATATTTCATCAATTTCTGGGAAGACTATCCTTGAAGGTATGGGAGGAAGAAAGAAGTCTTACAAATTGTAACTGACTCCTTGAAATCATTGAAAGTAACCAGTAATAACTGTATAATGGAGGTAAGGAAAAAAATATGTCAGGACTCCAGATGACTATCCTCATCAACTTAGTTATCTGACCTTAAAATTTATCAATAATATGTACCTAATAAATCCAAACTTACTGTACTTGGAAAGAAGCATTTTAATTTAGAGAACTAGTCAATATAAAAAATAATTTGACTTAAATTATAATAAACATCAGATATTCAAGATGAAAATTATTGATTATCTTTCATTAAATAATTACTAGATTCTTCAATGAAGGTTCTCTTTGAATATAGCTTTGAATAAAACTTTCCTGAAACACTGAGTTTTGTTTGTTTTTTACAAGAGCAACTACGTGTTAAGAGTAATTCTCCAATGGATTCTCACATTTTTATACACTTGCAAGTAGAGACCTTGATTGCCCTTGTTCCAGACTCTCTTTTGAAGAACGTGTGTATAGTGGTAAATGGCCTTGGAAGATATAGTCTTTCCCTCTAAAAAAACAGAACTGGTTTAATTACAGCATCCAGGGCAAAGGTAAGGCATCCTTATTCCATTATAAAATTCTGTTTCTCTTAGCTCAAGGTTCCCCTGCTATAATGCAACTCATGTATGTAACAGATATTTCTTGGCCCTCTTTGTCTCATTCTTTGGAAAATGGGTTCAGAGAACCAGGGTAAAAAAATATATACTAATAGTCTTTCTACTGTTATTTTTGTTAATGATAAAGGCCTTTCTCTGATCCAAAGATCTTTTGGCTTCTACCCTTATCCACAGAACAGTGTGTATTCAGTAACTTGTGTTGGCAAAAAGAGCCAAACTCCGTACAAATATTTTTAGAGATTTATTCTGAGCCAAATATGAGTGATCATGGCCCGTGACACGGCCCTCAGGAGGTCCTGAGAACGTGTGCCCAAGGTGGTCGGGGTACAGCTTGGTTTTACATATTTTAGGGAGGCATGAGATATCAATCAAATACATTTAAAAAATACATTAGTTTGGTTCAGAAACGCGGGACAACTCAAAGCAGGGGCTTCCAGCCTATGGGTAAATTTAAACATTTTTCTGGTTGACAATTGGTTGAGTTTATCTGAAGACCTGGGATCAACAGAAAGGAAATGTTCAGGTTAAGATAAAGGATTGTGGAGACCAGGTTTTATCATGCAGAGGAAGCTCTCAGATAGCCGACCTAAAAGGGTGCCTGGCTCTTAGTTGATTATCTCCTTCAATGGGAAAGGAAGGAAGAAAAACAAAGGGAAAAAGTGATTCTTTATGGAATGTGGATTTTTCCCACAAGAGACTTAGCAGGACAATTTCAAGGTATGGCAAGGAAATATATTTTGGGATTAAATATTTTGATTTTTTTCCTTGTCTCATAATGTTATGCCAGAGTCAGATTGAAAAGTAAGTCATGATACATAGGGTCAAACAAAACCCATCTGATGAAAATTTATAGTTTGTAGGGCATGATTCCCTAGACCCCTTAGATACGAATTTGGGCAAGATACAAAAATCAGAGCTTAATCCTCACTTGTTAGCCTGAAAATAGGGTGTATTATTCCACTAGGGTTGCCAAAATAAAATAGCAACAACAGAATGTTCAATAATGGAAATGTGTCTTCTTACAGTTCTGGAGGATAGAGGTACAAGATTAAGGTGTTGGCAGGGTTGGTTTCTGGTGAGGCCTTTCTCCTTGGCTTAGAGATAGCTGTCTTTTCCATGTGTCTTCATGTGGCCTTTTATCTGCATGTGGGCAATTCTGAGGTCTCATCTTATTTTTATAAGAACAACACTTCTAACAGATTGGGGCTGTACCCTGATGACCTCATTTAACCTTAATTACTGCCTTAAAGACCTTATATCAATATAAAGGCACATTGGGAGTTAGGGATTTGACATACAAATTGGGAGAACACAATTCAGTCTGTAGCATAGGGTTAAATCTCAGATCCTTCAATAGTCCTTGACACAATGTGAATATCTCAAAACATTCTAATAATTGTGTGATACCTCTCTGTTTTCATTAGGAGTTTTTTGTGTTATTATAGATACTTTACACATTAATATTGACTCTACCACACTAGGAATTGTAGCACTTTGGAAAGTGGTAAATATAAATTACAAATTAAACAAATAATTAAACTGTTACGGTATTCTTAACTTTCAGAACAAATGAAATTAACTACAAACTAGCAAATATTTACATTGATGGTTCGCAACTCACAACATATCCTTATTATCTGATGTGATATGCATTGCATCTATCTATACAGGGTTAATTAGTTATAAAGTCTCCAACATAAATAATCACAATAGCCTTACGAAAATCGTCAGGTGTAAATGTAAGGAATCACCGATATTGAGGCTGAGATTATATAATTTTCACAAGTTCAGATAGGAAGTCAGCTGTAAGTTTGTGAATTAAAACTCAATATACTGCAGCTAGTCAAGCAATTTATTCATTAAACTACTACTAAATTCAATAATATCCTGCCAACATTAGATCAATTCTCCAATACAATTGTAATAGAAGTAGTTTTAGAGCTTCAACGAATAGCATAACATTTCAATAGGTACTGCTATTGTATGCTGATCAAAAGCTTCATCTGAGACCACATTCTACCTTTCACAAAATGCTCTAACCATTTTTATTCTCCACACTCAGCTTACTTGCATTCTAGTGCCTTTGCATTTGCTGTTAATTTTGCCTAAAATACTTTTCTCCAGGCTTTTCAATAGCTGGCTTCTCACTAGCCACGTTTAAACCAAAATGTCAACTGAGAAAAGGCTCATTTGGAATTCACCTAAGACACATTCCTTCTCTAAAGCAGGGCGCCTTTATCATATCACCTTGGATCTATCACTCATCATATTTTTATCAATACAATCTGTAATTATGTTATGTGTTTGTTAACTTATTATCTGTCTTCTTCTTAAGGGTAGGGAACTTCTATTTTGTACACTGCTATGCAACTAGGACATACAACAATTTTAGATAGGTAGTTGTTGAATAAATAAATACATATTTTCATTAAATCCTAACAACAGCAATCTTTATTTTTACATGAGGAAATTGAGGTTCAAAGAAGTTGAGTAAGCTGCTCAAGTTCACACAAACAGTAAACGCTAGAGCTACAGTTAAAGGCCATATATGGTTAAACCCCTACGCTTTCAAAATCTTTCCTCCTTCTGTAAATCAGATATCAGCTTCCCATATGCAGTTGCTTTACTTCCTTGTTTACTCTGAGACTCTGAATCCGAACTCAGCTCCTTTACTCATTCATTCTCCAGCTTGGATCCATTCTCATTTCATACCAGTATTGAGAAATGTATGGGAATGGAAACAGAAGAGACTTTCTCTTACACATCGTGCAGCAAACTGGTGAAAAATCCTCACAAGCTATTGTCCTCATCTTCTGCACTTGATGCAATTTTATCACCTTATTATTATTAGTGGTATTCACATTAATTCAAGTCTTTCCAGCTTCTCCCTCCAAATTGATATAAATACCCACTGCGGCAATCAGCTAAGATTCCTCATGGAATCAGTATTTATTCCACCAATGCAAGTCCATGTGAGGATTATCAGGTCTGTCTTGCTTTGGCACCTGAATAAGTAAATCAACTAAACCTTTTCAGATTACCATTTCCATTCCAGAAAGTGTCACTAAAAGAAGAAAAGAGAAAATTATAAAGGAGCCCTACCTATAAAAATAGTCCCATAATATAGAAGTTTGGTGGGATAATATTTATCCAGTATACAAATTCTAGATATATTGAGAGGTTTTATGCTGATTACGTCCTAAAGTATGCATCTTTTGGCTTTTAATTACTTTTCACGAAATATTTCAGTATAAGGCCCTGGAGAAGTCATGGTAGTTGGTAAGTACAATATAGGTGACTTCAAAAAATTTTCTCTTGAATTGTATCATATTTCACGTTTTTTCCTTGTTCTCCAAAAGCCCAAAAAGAGAGTTCCAATTACGTGGCTGAAGGTATTAGAATTAATAGTCATAGTTCTGAATCTTGCCTCCACATATAAACACTACAGAATAAGATCCCTTTTAGAGAAAATGAAACTCAATAAGAAAAAAAAAAGATCAACAAAATGGTACATATATTTATAACTGCACAACCAGTCCTATGGTACAATGCATTGCAGTTTCACAAACAATCAATACAGATTATTGGATATAAAATTACTTTTTGATGACCACTGTGAAAATACAAGCTGTTGAAGTCATTCTTCACACTATTATTGATTTTACTCTATTTTTTTCTATTGCATTTTTAAAGCACTTGATGTCAATTCCTAAGTCTCTAGTCTATAGTAAAATACTAAGCAAATTCATGTAGACTGGAATCATCTAAGGGAAATCAAGGAAGACGGGGTTGTTCAGAAAACGCTTCCTTTAAATTTTTTATTCCAACGAACATTTCTTTATTAAAGATACAAAAATGTCTTTAAAGGAACATTTCAAACAACCATTTGATGTCGTATCAGCATTTTAAGTCTTATAGTGATTTTATTTCTGGAGTTCTTTTGTTTTACTATAGTATAACATTACTGGACAATTGGTTCTCAAAATAACAGTCACCCATGAAATCATAGACAATTGTCATGTTAAATGCAGAAATTTCATTAAAACTATTTTTTGATTACTTATTTAAGATTCATTTGGTCTCATTAGAATTAGATGCAGTGACTCACCCTGATAATAATAGTTTTTTTTCCCAACATGTTTTAGGTAGGGTTTCCCAGGAAACACTAGAGAATGGAGATTTGCATGCACAAATTTTATCAGGGAGGGCCGTTGTCTAAAACATCTGGAAAGGATCAAAAGAAACAGGATTGGACAAATTCAAAATTTGGACTGTTATGAAGTTGAAACCAAGGCCTCAACTGATCTCAGTGGGGGTTCTGACCCTTCAGACATGGCTCAAATGAAGGAAAGAGCTTCCATTAATCTGTTTTCATGCTGCTGATAAAGACATGCCTGAAACTGGGTAATTTATACAGGAAAAGGGTTTAATGGACTTACAGGTCCATGTGGCTGGGGAGGCCTCTCAATCATGGTGGAAGTCAAGGAGGAGCAAGCCACATCTTACATGGATGATAGAAGGCAAAGAGAAGAGAGAACTCATGCAGGAAAACTCCTCTTTATAAAACGATCCAATCTCGTGAGACTTACTGTCACAAGAACAGCAGGGGAAAGACTTGCCCCCATGATTCAATTATCTCCCACCAGGTCCCTCTCACATCACATGGGAATCAAGATGAGATTTGGGTGGGGACGCAGCCAAACCATATCAGAAAGGGTCATGCCTTTGTATCATTTCATCAATCAATCCTTCCCTACCCAGGGAACAAGGGGGTATGACCTAGGCAATGCAGTTTCCCTTCAGTCAAAGGCAATTTCCTAGAATGAGAGATGGTGGAATGAGTGCCTCTATCCTGAAAGGGTGACCTGCATGCTGTACCACAGCCTCCTGAGTTTCTGTTTCGGTATGAACTTCTGCCTGCTTTTCTACATATTTCACACCTATCTCAGCATTATAATTTGATTCTCACAGACTCAGTAAAACTAAAGAAAATGGTAGGCAAAAGAGTGGTCGTCATACTTTTTGTGTGGTTAAACGCAAAGAGAATTTTCAAAATAACCATGTGCCCTTCACACATTTTTAAGGTGGCTTTTATAATTTTTATCACCAATTTAAATTGTGTGAAGAATATAATGTCTGATGAGTTTTAAATATTTACAATTTTAAAAATTCCTTTTCTAAAAGAATTAAAGGTATTACATAGCAAATAATACAGACCTGGATACCTACCTCTTAATAATTGAAATTATACATTGTTCTTTTTGAACAATGGGCTCTTTGAATTCACTTATTGAACTTACTCTATAGAATATTATCTTGATGTAAGATACTGTTATGTTTTAAATTTTTCTTACACTATAATGCTTACCTGCCCCTAAAATATGTATATCAATTTAGGATAAATTTTTCTTTGTTTCCTGTTCTAAAATTTTTTGTTAAAAAAATCCTCTGATGTGAATTATTATTGCTATTAGTAGTGCACAGTTGATCAAAATGACATGAAATTATATTTAGGTTTTTTTTTTTTTTTTTTTTTGAGACGGAGTCTCACTCTGTTGCCCAGGCTGGAGTGCAGTGGCGCGATCTCGGCTCACTGCAAGCTCCGCCTCCCGGGTTCACGCCATTCTCCTGCCTCAGCCTCCCAAGTAGCTGGGACTACAGGCGCCCACCACCTCGCCCGGCTAATTTTTTGCATTTTTAGTAGAGACGGGGCTTCACCGTGTTAGCCAGGATGGTCTCCATCTCCTGACCTCGTGATCCGCCCGCCTCAGCCTCCCAAAGTGCTGGGATTACAGGCATGAGCCACCGCGCCCGGCCTATGTTTAGTTTTATACTTGTGAAACAAACGTAAAATTCTATTGAAAATGCATTTTAATGGAATGGTGTTGGGTATTTTTTCAATTTTTTTCAACTACAAATGGAAATGGATTAAAATTACTAATTGCTACAAGAAAACATGGTTCATTACCAACTATATCAATAATAGAGATACGTCCTAAGAAATACTGCTCACAAAATTAAGTGTTCAAAATGGAAATGGAATGTGCTTTGTTATAATAGCAAAGAAATATTTAGAATATCAGACCACATAATTTTTAACCAATTCAAGGAAAACAGTGCTGTGAAGAAATGTGAATATGCAGTATCATAGATATAAAACATATGATTTATGTATTCAACTTTTCTTCCAATAACTTATACAATATTTATACTCATCTGATATGATTACATTAAACTTACAAAATTTTGTGGTTCAGATCATGCCATTTCATCACTTGATCACCTGACTAGAGATTGGAAAATAAAAAATCGGAGGTTCTCCCCAAAGGACCAAGTCTATAGTGTGAGAGTGTGTGTGTGTGTGTGTGTGTGTTTGTATCTCTGCAAGTGACAGTGTAAGAGTTATTTTATATTTATGCCTTCTCTATAGCTGCTGATACAGGTAAGCATCTTGTATACTCATTTTTAATATGGTTCTGGCATGTAGTAAATGCTCTAAAATATTTTTAAAAGTTTTCTCTTTTTACATATTATTTTCATACTTCTTGATGCTTTTTAACAATCAAAAAACATTCCAGGAATGAAAAAAAAATAGGTTTTTTTTTTCACATTTGGCATTAAGTTTTTATGAATAATAAAATGGCTCCCTATTCTTATATTTTCTTTAATACACAGGAATAATTATTCTCCCCGTATCATTTTCACTTTGGCCCTTTTCCATGTTGAAAGCTAAATTTTCTATAATCTGGTAAGTCTTGTTAAGGTTTCTCCATTCGTTAGTCATTTTTGGAAAATAATCTCCATAACTATATGGTTTCACTGATTAGTCACTTCAGATATAAAGTGACTTCGCATTTAAGGTTGGCAGATATAAAACTTTTATATCTACAGTGGCTATAAGACTACCAGAATTGTTTTTTATTTTTGTCTATTCAAGGTGTTTTGGAGTAAAAAGAAATACGAGGCATACTTTTCGTCTATGGAACTCTAAATATTCTCGGATAATTGACATAAATACTTGAAAAATATTCTTACAATGTAAGAAAGAATATGATGCTGAAAAAATGGATTAGTGTGATTGTTCCCTCTACTGTAGGATGAGAAAGCCATTCTACTGCCTAAAGCCTGTCAGCTGCTCTCCCAGTGTCCTTAGGATAATTTTCTAACTTTCAGCCACTCCTACTGTACTGACTCTCTAACTTCTGCTCTTTTCTCCAGTATATTTCCTTACTATTCTAATAATAATATCTTTAGCTTCATTTGGCTTCTCAACATTAAGTTTGGGTTTTCAAAGTCATTTTCAGCCCCCGCTGCCATTTGTTTTTTCTTGAGTCTTTTTTTGCCATGACTTTATCCAACACACTCGAAGCTGTTAGATGCCTCTCCTCTCATTCATCAGTACCCCATATGTGTTCCTCTTTTGTGGTTCTTATCACACAATGTGAAATTATCTCTCTGTATTACATGTCTAATGCTAAGATTTATGAAGCCAAAGCCATCTAACCTACTTACTGTTTTACATCCAACAACCAGCACACTGCCTCATAAGAAGTTCAAGTATAATACGTAACTACTTAGTGAATTGAAGAATAAAGTTAAGAAAGGTGGCCTATTAGAGGGGCCACTGTTACCCTTTAAAGAGTGGATGGGAATTGAAATAGAAAAGGAAAAAAGGATTCCTCACTTCATTGTTTAAAAGGTGACTGTATGGCTATTTCTCTAGAAACACATCCTAAAGTCAACCACAATATTACCAGAACAATAACAAGTTATGCCTCTGAGAAATTTAAATGATTTACTGACAAAATATAAATATTACATCTTTATTCCCCATTTTCTTTTATTCCTCCCAGCCAAGAACTTCAAAATGAGAAAAATATGTTTGGCATCTGCAAGTACTAATTCAAAACAAATGCATAATAGGTTCAAAGTAGCACTAAGCAAATACCATATTAACTGAATACTCTCTACATCGAAACACAGCTTGTTTCAGACATTTATAGCATTAATTCTGTGAGGTTAAAAGTATATATATAAGGTTATAAATTTGCTACACTGTTTGGACTTTCTCTATAAAAAGTTAATATATCTGGTTGATTGAAGTGTCCAGATGTTTTGGTGTGACATAATAACATCCTTAGACTACCAAGTACTTCACAGTAATAACTGTACTTTAAATAGCTGATAGAATCATTTTATTATTGACAGCTCTTAAGCCTAATTTGGGTGGAATATCGTTCTCCTGAAATAAAACTACCTACAGATTTTTTTTTGGCAGAATATAATAAAATGCACTCATGCCTCCAGCTGCTTCTTGTTGAAACTCTGTAATGTCTGCAGATATAAAATTTCATATCTACACTGGCCATAAGACTACCTGAATTCTTTTTTATCTTTGCCACAGACCAGTTGAGTGACCCTAAACAAACCTTACCATGACTCTTGCCTCAGTTATTTCATCTGTGAAATTCCGACATTTTCTAGGTGATTATCAAGGATCTTTATAGTTCCCCTATTTCATGACCTTATAATTTGAAACCACACCTAAAAACAATATCATTGCCATAAACACTGCAGTATATAATGGCATTCTTAACTGAGCAAAACACTGATTTGTACATGGATTTTGATTCTCTTGACATGAAAGAAGGAATGACTGGCCTAATTCAAATCTTTTCTGGCCTTTGAAGTACAAAATAATCTGTACTAGTGCACCCAGACATTGCCTATCATCTTCAGTAGCTTCTTAAATTTCATTAAGTTAAAAGTAAAGAGAGAGTGGGTCACTCACATTGTTTACTTCTTTTCTGTACACCTTTCCTTACCCATTTTCATTCCAGGATATACCATTTTCTTACAAACATGTTTGGTAAGCAAGAATGTAGTCACTAGATGCATCTCTAGGCCATAATGTTGTAATAATAATAATAATATGGTAATTGCTGGCATTGGTGAAGCAATGGTTACGTGTCACACACTTTGTCATATAGAAATAATCCTGGAGTGTGAATATGAGTTGTTCATTTCTGCTGATATACAATCTACATTCCAGAGGGATTTGTAAACACTGGAAAATAAACAAGGTCATTAGTAGCAATTATTTGGAGCCGTATAATGTCTCTGGAATACTGCTTCTCAAGGGAGCAAAGAACCTAAGATTGACGAGCAAGGACATTTCTGTGCAAACTTCTTTAATCTGGCTCCACAGAAGTCAGGAGAGCAGAATCTAACAAGAGACAAAATCCTCCTTCAAGTGAACAATTTCTGTGTTATTGTCTGCAGAGCCTTTTACAACCTTTTACCATAGCTCTGCCTCTGGTACTGAAAACACATCTGGTATTTATGTTGTAACACTTTTTTTTTTTTCCAGTTGGAATGGTAAGAAAAAAAAACAGAGAGTAGGGTCAGAGAATTGGGAATTCCATCAACAAAATCATTACAATAGCAATAAAATTTCACCTCAAATCTCTACCAATCTACCTAATGTATTTTAATTTTCTAAAGCAAAATGTACAAAGATATCAAAAAAAGTGCTACCAGTTCTACTTCCTCACGGCAGTTTTACTTTAGAATGACGCCCAACTATAAGAAATGATTGTATAGGATCATTTGATAGGAATCACAAAGGAGGAATCTGCATTTGATAGGAATCACAAAGAAGAAAGAACGGGAGTAAACAGGTTCTAGACTAGGGCAGACTTTTAAAACTATCACTAAAACAAATAATAGCAAAACACCAGACATAAGTTAAACCAAGCAACCACCTTATACTCGAGTAATATTTATCAGAAACCCAGAAAACAAGGTGAAATATATCAATAGGTGGAAGAAAAACTGTCTTCGTGAGACTATGCTATTCAAAAAGAATCATAGCAGGACACAGGTTGACATATTGATAGCCCATTACGTGAGTGGATATAGTGAAAAAGATTTGTCATAACATTAGAGGGAGGCTTGAGGGATATTATTTTTTTTTCCAGACTCTTTCATCAGATGTTACTTTCCTTCAAAGTATCCTTTTCCCTTGGCATAGTTCTCAAGATTTCCTATATTTTAAAAATCTGGTTTGAAAGTAAGTTCTGAATAGAATCTTTGATATCTTCATTGATGGTTGTTTTGACTAAAAAACACAGCTTAGTGAAGACAGTCAAAAGTCGCACAAATTACTTGACCACGGATTGAGTCTGTTGATAAAACAACTTGCCCTTAATATACAAGATTCTGGTGGCATAGTATACAAAACATAATTTTCTAAGATAATCGTGAAGTCATGGATAAAACAGTTGGGAAAAGCAGGTATTACATAGTAGTTGATGTATACAGTACACTTTGGCCTGAATGCTTTTGTACCACATTTTAAGACCAACATTGGTTTTATTACCACAAATAAGCTGATGTGACATAGACACCAAGATAGCATGGTACATTTATAAAATAGGAATATAGGCCAAATGGAACAAAATAGAGAGCCCAGAAATAAAGCCAAATACTTACAGCCAACTGATCTTCAAAAAAGCAAACAAAAACATAAAGTGGGGATAGGAAACCTTATTCAACCAATGGTGCTGGGATAATTGGCAAGCCACAAGTAGGAGAATGAAACTAGATCTTCATCTCTCAACTTACACAAAAATCAGCTTAAGATGGATCAAGACTTAAATCTAAGACCTGAAACCATAAAATAATCTAGAAGATAAAGTTGAAAAAAACCCTTCTACACATTGCTTTAGGCAAAGATTTCATGACCAAGAACCCCAAAGGAAATGCAATAAAAACAAACATAAGTAGGTGAGACTTAATTAAACTAAAGAGCTTTTGCATGGTGAAAGGAACAGTTAGCAGAGTAAACAGATGACCCACAGAGTGGGAGAAAAATTTCATAATCTATATATCTGACAAAGGACTAATATCCAGAATCTACAAGGAACTCAAATCAGAAAGCAAAAAAACAAACAATCCCATCACATAGTGGGCAAAGGAGAGGAACAGACAATTCTCAAAAGAAGATATACAAATGGCCAACAAACATATGAAAAAAATGCTTGACATTACTCATTATCAGGGAAATGCAAATCAAAACCACAATGCAACACCTTACTACTGCATGAATAGCCATAATCAAAAAATCAAAAAATAATCGATGTTGGCATGGATGTGTTGAAAAGGGAAACTTGGACACTGTTGCTGGAAATGTAAACTAGTATAACCGCTATGGAAAACAGTGTGCAGATTCCTTAAAGAACTGAAGGGAGATCTACCATTTGATCCAGCAATCTCTCTGGGTATCTACCCAGAGGAAAAGAAGTCATTATACAAAAAAGATACTTGTACATGCATGTTTATAGCAGCACAATTTGCAGTTGCAAAAATATGGAACCATGCCAAATACCCATCAACCAACAAGTAGATAACGAAAATATGGTGTGTGTGTGTGTGTGTGTATACATATATATGTGTATATTATATACACATATGTATATTATATACACATATATATGTATTATACACACATATATATGTGTGTATTATACACACACATATGTATTATACATACACATATGTGTATATTATACATACGTATGTGTATATTATACATACGTATGTGTATATTATACATACGTATGTGTATATTATATACACATACGTATGTGTATATTATATACACATACGTATGTGTATATTATATACATACGTATGTGTATATTATATACACATACGTATGTGTATATTATATACATACGTATGTGTATATTATATATACATGTACATATACATACACACATATTTACATATACATATACACACACACACATATATATACACACACACACACACACACATATATACACACACACACACATCATGGAATACTACTCAGCCATAAAAAGGAATGAAGTAATGGCATTTGCAGCAACCTGGATGAAATTAGAGATATTATTCTAAGTGAAGTAACTCAGGAATGGAAAACCAAACATCATATATTATCACTCATAGGTGGCAGCTAAGCTATGAGGATGCCAAGGCATAAGAATTATATAACGAACTTTGGGGACTTGGGGAAAAGGGTGGGAGGGGGTGAGGGATAAAAGAGTACACGTTGGGTACAGTGTACACTGCTTGGGTGATAGATGCACCAAATATCAGAAATCACCACTAAAGATCTTATTCCTGTAACCAAACACCACCTGTTTCTCAAAATCTATTGAAATAGATTGTTCTATTCAATCTATTTCTGAACAATCTATAATAGATTGTTCCCCAATCTACTGAAACAGATTGTTCCCCAGCACCAAAGATCTTATTCCTGTAAGCAAACACCACCTGTTCCCCAAAATCTATTGAAATAGATTGTTCTATTCAATCTAATCTATAATAGATTGTTCCCCAATCTATTGAAATAGATTTCTCCCCAAAATCTATTGAAATTATTCCTGTAACCAAACATCACCTGTTCCCCAAAAATCTATTGAAATAAAATTTTAAAAATTAAAAAAGTTGAAATCCAAAAAACCATTGAATTTTTATCTTGTTTTATTACTCAATAATGTGCAAAATAGATAAAAGGTAAGGAATAGTGTAGGTGTCAGAAGTTTGTGATGTTAAGGGATGCAAGAAGATTAATAATTGAGTGAGAGTGAAAGTTCAGCCTAGGGCTAAATGAGATGGCCTTGGATGGACAACACGTGTCTGTTAAGCACATTACTTGGTCATGAAAAATAACAACATGAGGGATTAAGCACTTAATAATTTATAATTAACCACATGAACTGTGTCAAACAAGTTCCAACAAAACACACCAATTCAGGATAAAGAATGATCACTGGAATCAGAAAAAAAATATTTAAATCCTAGCTTTACTGGTTTCAATGTGTGTGACTTTTCACAAACCACTTCATCATTCTGAGCCTCAGGTTCCTATCTGCAAAATAGAGATAATCATATCTGAAATGGAAGGGAAACTTATTCTAAGGATTAAACATGATATTTGTAAATAACATAGTGTAATGTCTGACACCAAGTAAATCCCTAATTTGTGGTATGTACTTAGTGGATGATGTTTAATAGCTTCTGTGATGTGATTATCTTGAATAACTGGGCAAAGAATTGTGAAGCTAAGAAGAAGTTTCCTTCTAAGATTACTGTACAACTGATGAGAATCAAGACAGACAAACATTCGGTCAGCTTGACTGTTACAAAATGACATCACATTAATTAATATGTCTGCTTAGCTTACATTGAGAATTTTTGTCCTCATGGAATCTGGAAAATTCATTTGGGGCCAAGCAAAATCTACAATTTAAGCCATAGAATAATTTATACAATGATGGAGGTGCTGTTGGTGGTAGTGGGGGTGGTGATGGTAAAGATTATGTGCAAGGTAAAATTATCCAGTTTATTAATTTCTCATTATTTCCCAATTTCTAAGTTTTATGTATACTATTATCATTAATTTTCATAAGAACCATAAGTGTTAGGTATTAAAATTGTTCCTTATCTACATATGAATAAAGCAAAGCATCAGGTAGTAACTTGTACAGTCTTATAGCTAGTATGTGTTAAAAGTTGTGATTAAAACCCATTAGTTTAGCACCAGAATCTTCATTCTTAACATTTATATAGGGACTCCTAGAATTCTACCAAAGTTACCTGTTATTTGTCCTTTTCCCTCATCTACATATTTAACCATAAGCAAGTCCTGATAATTTTAACTGTCATTTTTATCTAAATCCAAATTTGTCGTCTCCTACAAAGACTCCTGAAATTGCCTTCTATTGATATTCTTACCTCTTCTCTTGCTACCTATAAAAGGGACTATAACAAGGATAATAACTAGAAATGAAATTCAGCTAGAGGAAGAGGAATCTCTTCTTTCCAGGAAACCTGGTGAGAGAAATTTCACTATAAATTTAGACATGAAGTCCATTAAAATTATATTGGGACATGATGGGGTTGCTAAAGTTGAATTAAATGAAGTGAATTATTTTTTTGAAGGCATTGTTTGTTCGAGCATCATCACGATCATTTTCACTCTGCTACTTTATTTACTTCTTCTTCACTGACTCTTCCAGGGTTAAACCCAGGGAAGAAAGGCATTAGGAGTTAAGAAGTAAAGTGCCTCATGGTTGGCACAGTTCTAATCTGTTATTGGATTCTTCTGGATATCACTAGTACTATTGTCATCACTTACTTTAGTCAAGTGTTTTCTTTTTTTTTTTTTTGCCTTCACTAAAAACTTACTACTGAATTCCCCTCAACGTACACCAGTGTCTCCTCTGAATGGTCACAAATGACTATTTCTTAGGCTCTGGATCTTACGTCCCACCAGTCTTTGGAGGATTCTTTATCCTTTCAGGCATTCATCTTTAGCAAAATTCATTTTAGGATAACCTAAAGCCAGATCCCTTTTGTGTGGTATAAATTCGCTGTAAGCGGAACTTTCCCTTGATAAAGTCACTACAGTATGTCTTTAGCCCACCAGACAGGAGTAGCCCTTTCTATTTAAATCATGAAGTCCTAAATACCAATGACTATGTCTTTCAAGGTTAGAGACATTTGAAAAGTTCTCTAAATTATCACCTTGAATCCCCACTAGCATAGCTTGGCATTAAAGGGGAAGAAACCTCTTTTACCTAAATTATTGTGAGAGGTAGGAGGAGAAGAATTATACCAAAAAAAAAAAATCTCCTAAAGACTATCTTCAATTGTCTTCTTCAGCTTCCTCCTTATATAAACTTTAGTTATCCACACGTGTAATGAACTAATGGTAAACAGTTAAAGAGCAGAAATTGTGCATTTGTACATTGTGGACAAGGTGTAGAAGAAACCAGCTATAAATATAAGGAAGATGTATTATTTCAGAGGGTGCACACCTCAAGCCTTGGCATCTTCCATGTGATGTTGAACTTGTGGGTACACAGAAGTCAAGAATTGAGGTTTGGGAACCTCTTCTGCCTAGATTTCAAAGGATGCATAGGAATGTCTGGATGTCCAGGCAGACGTTTGCTGCAGGGGTGGAAGCCTCACAGAGAAACTCTGCTAGGGCAGTGCAGAAGGGAAATGTGGGGTTGAATTCCCCACACAGAGTCCCCACTGGGGCACTGCCTAGTGGAGCTGGGAAAAGTGTGCCATTGTTCTCCAGACCCCAGAATGGTAGATCCACTGACAGCTTGCACCATGCTCCTGGAAAAGCCACAGACACTTAATGCCTGCCCATGAAAGCATGTGGGAGGGGGTCTGTACCCTGCAAAGCCACAGGGGCAGAGCTGCCCAAAACCATGGGAGTCTACCTCTTCCATCAGCAAGACCTGGACGTGAGATGTGGAGTCAAAGGAGATCTTTTGGAACTTAAAATTTTAATGATGGCGCTATAAGATTCTGGACTTGCATGGGGCCTGTAGCCGCTTTGTTTTGGCCTATTTCTCTCATTTGTAACAGGTGTATGTACCCATGTCTGTAACCCCCGTGTAACTAGGAAGTAGCTAACTTGCTTTTGATTTTACAGGCTCATAGGTAGAAGGGACTTGCTTTGTCTCAGATGGGACTTTGGACTTGGACTTTTGGGTTAATGCTGGGATGAGTTAAGACTTTAGGGGACTCTTGGAAAGGGATGATTGTATTTTGAAATGTGAAGATATTAGGTTTGGGAGGGTCAGTAGTGGAATGATATGGTTTGCCTGTGTGCCAATCCAAAATCTCATCTTGAATTATAATCTCCATAATCCCTACATGCCAAAGGTGGGACCAGGTGGAGGTAATTGGAACGCAGGGGTGGTTTGCCCCATGCTGTTCTCCTGATAGGGAGTGAGTTCTCATGAGATCTGATGGTTGTATGAGCATCTGACATTTTCCCTGCTTGCACTCACTCCATCCTGCTGCTCTGTGAAGAAAGTGCCTGCTAGTTCTTTGCCTTCTGCCATGCTTGTAAGTAAGGTGTAAAGGTGCAACTGTGATCATATTGCTATTTTACATAGATCTAGCTCTGCCTATAAACTTTTACCTCAACGACTACCCCAAATGCATCCTTTTTCAAGTCCTTATCACATGGTTTATGTTTTTGACCTCTTTTATTCCTTACTAAATTTTCACTAAGATAACTTCTGTTTTTCCTCCTGCTTTTATGATTCAGAAAAAAAATTATGAAAATAAAATGGATTCCAATTAAAAAATTTTCTTATATTATACTTTCTTTGAAAAAGTCATTTTAGTTCTCTTTCTTCAGGTTCTCCACGAATCAACACCTACGATGTTAATGGCCTCTTTCCAGACTCCAGTTGTCCTGTATCTTACTCCATTTCAGTCATTTTTCCAAGTCAAAATCAATAGAATATTACGGGCTACCAACACAATACTTTTTAAATGCCTAAATCTGTGGCAGGAATTGCAATGTTAACAAAATGAGAAAGGGGCAGACAGTGAAAGCTTTTTGAGATGATAGGATATGTGTCATTTCTCCAAAAATACGAAAAAATTGCTCATGGCCAGAAACAATAACAGAGAGCAGACTGGGGAACAAGCAAAACGATTAAAAACAAAATGATTTTAGCTAACTACATAATATTTATTTAACTTCTTGACTGAAACTCTCTTTTCAAAATGTCAACAGATAATTTCTATGTGACTGTTTTATTAGCATTACATTGAAATGTACAATACCATTTTATTCCAAGTTGAATTTTTTAATGGTTTAGATAAATGGTTTGCATAGAAGCATTGGGGACGTTAAATTTTACTTCAAAGTATATACTCCAAAAATTTTAAATATGACTTTTTGTAAATAAAGCAATATGTAATAGGAGTTGGGACTCCATTCTGTATTACCAACAATCATATATCTCTCTGAAATTTAATTAGTGTTACTTACCTTATAGTCACAGATTACTGAAGCAAGCAAATAACTAAAAAGCACATTTTTTATTTAGCTAGCTAAAGTATTTACTTTAAAATAAGCCCACCTCTCCTATTTGTGTAAAGTGCACAGAGGTATCTTTCTTGTTTTTGCTACCTATTCCATTTCATAAAGAGGTCTGATGTTTGCATCCTAATTTTCTAACCTTGAATGCTGGTGTCTTCCATATATTTAATGAAGTCTGGTAACAAATCTTCAGTTCTCCTCGAGTAAGCAATCCTACTGCAGACTTAGCTCTCTCTCCCTTAACATTCCTGAAGCCCAAATAAGATTTGTGCTCTGACAGGGTGAGCATTTACTTTATCAGAAAACACATTAGGGTGGGCATGTCTCAGGATAATGTGCACCAGAATCAGAGGGGATGACTAATTTGCTCTGCTATTAAGCGAATAATAAAATGATTTAGGCATGTAGATATGAAACAGCCAGCACTTTACAAATTATATGTAGCATATTTCATTTTAAATCTGGCCAAGTCCAAGAACCTTTTATGTATTAAGTGACATTTACAAGAAAGACAAGACTTTATCCAGAACTGAGAAATATTTACCTAAGATGAGGAAAGATGATAGCAACTAAGAATTATTTGAAGGTACTGTAAGTTATGTACATTTTGTAAATTGTGCTTTATAATAGTCAAGCTTTGCCAATTTCTTTCATACTTACAGGTTTTTTTAAATAGTAAAATGTCATGGAACACACATAAGACAAAGCAATATAGGAATGTTTATTAGAATTTTATTCTAAATAACTTGATCACCAAGATGATTTTTCATGTGTATGCATGCATGTGGGTGTATGTCCATTCCAGAAAACACTAATTATCTTTAAAACTGGCTAATGCTTATGAGACAGATGCTCTTTGCTAGGATTGTAAATTGGTGCACTATTTCTTGAAATAATTAGAAAATATATATCAAGCATCTTAAAAAATGCCAACATTCTTTGAAGGGACAAATCCACTTTGGATGTCCAAGCAAATATCTTGAAAAGTCATCAATGATCTATAAACTAAAATGTTTATCACAATATGGCACCTATATTTAGAATAATTCTGGAAATATCCAAAATTTTAAACAAAGAAGTGAGTAAATCTTAATACTATCACGCAATAAAACATTATGCTATCATTAAAAATCATATTTTCAAAGTTTTAGTTGCATGGAGAGAAATACATATACTAAAATTTTAAATGAAAAAGCCAGATAAAAAGTTTTATATGTCTTATAGGAGTAGCATAGAAGTCAATCACTTTAAATAATTACTTCATTTTCCCTGCTTGAGAAATTATTTTCTTCTTAAAGACTTTAGATTTTTTACATTTTACAATGCAAATGTCTCTCTCTTGCAATCTGAATAGCATACTAAAGATAATCATGACATAAGTTGATTTAAGTGGACAATAACACTTTACTGATCATATATCCCTAAATCAAAATATATATTAAAATTTCTAAAGGTCTTTTGAAAACTGATTAATCACGCAGACTATGGGAGCCATAACTCTAAAATTTTTTTTTGAAAATTGCAGGTAATTTTGCAGACCTACTTAAAATCTCCTTCACTTTAGATCTTTCTCTACCTATGCTGTTCATAAAAATGTTTTATAAGGAATTACCATTTAATGTTTCAAGGATGAAATATTTATACTTTTAAATTTTTCCAGCAAATTTTTTTATCTTTAGTTTTCATATGGTTATTCATCACTGCAAAGGTAATAGTTGTATTTTTTTTTTTTTTTTTTAGATGGAGTCTCGCTCTGTTGCCCAGGCTGGAGTGCAGTGGCGCGATCTCAGCTCACTGCAACCTCCACCTTCCGGCTTCAGGCAATTCTCCTGCTTCAGCCTCCTGAGTAGCTGGGACTATAGGCACCCGCCACCATGCCTGGCTAATTTTTTTGTATTTTTTTTAGTAGAGACGGGGTTTCACCGTGCTAGTTGCCTTTTTGTATGATAAACAAAGTACTTTCAAGGCAGTCTAAAGGGCTAAAATGCATAAGAATCAAACTTCATTGTAGGCCTTCTGAATTATGATTTTGGAAAAGGTAAAATCATGACTCTCATACAAACATAAAATGAACTATGTTAAACACTTCCTTCAATTTATTAATTAATGAGATTAATAAGCTGGCAACACTGGCTAAAATGAGAATTTGACTTGCAGAGGTTAATATTCTTCACTAGACAAAATTTATTTTTATTGCTAGAGGCAAGAAACATTTGCGTTGCCCTCGGTTTTCCACAGCTTACCTTGTACTCCAAAATCGTTTCAAAAAACTAGGCAATAAAAAGTCATTCAAAGATGCACACCACTAGAATCAGACAACCCCATGTAATATCCTTTGCCTATTTCCAAGATCCAATTTTTTTGACAGCTTTGCGTATCATTTCTCATGGATTGAGGTGGGACATTAAAAATTATCAGACAAGAAAAAATGTTCTTTATACCAGAACAAAAACTTTTCTCTCTTACAAAAGTATTTGAGTTTCATCTTTCACAGATCATGTACCTATTGGTTACCCAGCCTTTGTCTCTTGGTTGCTGTCTTCAACTTTCTTTCCCTTCTTTCTATAATTAAAGAGTACAAAGGGTCTGATTTAAATAAGCGCCTACCTAATATGGAGAAATCTTTCATAGGAAAGTAGAATAAGAGTTCAGGTTGTTGTTTTGAGGGTGTATGCTTTGTTTCCTGATGTTACTGTCTGCTCCAGTAAGTGGCATGTAGTACACACCAAATAAACATTTGTGGAATGAAAATGGGAGACCCAAAAATCCTCCTTTTGTTAGGATACTTTGATCCTTAAGGAGATATAATGGAGATTATACTACACTTCCTGGAAACTGAGAATAAATCTTTTAATCTAAATTGATGATTAAAATATTTTTTCTGAAAGATTATTCAATTATAGGGAAAGGTGCCACTAAGAAAACAGAAATTCTACTCCAAGGTAAAGAAAAATGAAAGAATGACTGGGATTTTTGTTAAAGAATAATTCCTGTTACAGGGAACATTTACACCAAATTCTCCTTCCTTCCTACCCACATTTTAGGCTGTGAGAAATTCGGAGCAATTTTCTCAAACTGGGGACCCTTAAATAACATTATTTGGAAGACTGAGGAGAGAAGTGCTTAAAAGTATATAATCACTTGAAGGCAACAATAGAATGACAGAAAGTGACAGAGGGAATAGCTTCCTTTCCACTGGGAGCAAAAGGAGCTGTGGTACTCAGGGAATAAATGGTGCACAATGCATGATCTTGTGGCCACTGTGGAACAAAAACAGGATTCATTAATGTAACATCAAACATGTCGCACTAGTGTAACAACAATAGTAAGTAGCAGGAACATTAGTAATATTAGCATGGGATAAGAGATAGTAACAGCAAACCCAGCAGTATTGGTATCCAGAAACCATGGGTGAGTAACATCTCTCTCCCTTTAAACGTTCTAAACAGAAAGGTAAGTACAAAACTAGACATATGGTGGATACTGGCTCAAAGAAAAGTGGATACTCCAATTTTAAAAATAATGGTTGGATTAAACACATATATCTCTATGATGAGGCCAAAATTTTTTATTTTCCCTATGCATAGAGATATAAGAGCTACATGCATCTTCTTAGATGCTCTCCTTGGCGTCCTCAGTTGAAATGACTGAGCTTGAGGATTTATACTGACAAGAGCAAAAATGCACAGCACATCAGTGTAGCTGGGTCACAGATGTTACATGAAGGCTCTAAGTGCTTGTGGTTATTTCTATTACAAAACCTAAAACTAGAGAGCCATGACCCCAGGGTCACTAAGCCTCCTATGCAGTGATAGAAGACAATCAGAAACTGAGAATCTGAGAAACTGCTAATAACAGTCATGTGGAAAGTGCATTAAAAACTGCATATGTTGATTGTTAAGTGCATTATATGTCAATTCACATTCTTTGCGTTCTGTCAGTTTCATGAATTATTTTGAATTTCCATTGAATTTGGGTTACATACTTTCTCCACATTAAGTCCTTCATATTGGCTTGTTTTTTCTTACATTTAAAAAACATGCTCTGGTAAAGAACTGTAAACCAGGATCATTTGTATTATCCACAAGCACACTAATATCTGGCTAAAACACTTGCTAATATGACAAGCTTTGTTCTCCATCAAGCGTACATAAGCTGCTTCTCTATAGAATAAAATTGCTGCTAAAGCAAAGACTTCTTAACGTTTAAGATTTTCACAAATTCCTAATAAATTAAGAATTACAAAGTTGTCTTTCACTGGAATTGTGAAGCAATTTCCCAAACATGTATGCACAAAGTCTATCAAATAAATCCTGGAGTGTTTGGGCCAATATTTAAAAAATCTTCTCAACTGGCCTTTTGTTTTTCATTATTAATCTGCAGTTGAGCAGTTTTATTCTAATAACGCTACCTGCCTTGGGATCTCCCCAGAAAACTCCTGACAAAGTATCTATTTCTCCACTTGCCTCATGCTTCTAACCCTATTTATTATTTTATCTCAGTGTGGCTTTATATTACTTCTTTCATATCTTTAAAAAGTTGGATTTGTATATCACATAGGAAACCTGCAATGACTAACCCCATTCCATTCTGATACATGATCTGTTTACTCATTATTGCTCCCTAAAGGTAAATTATATAATACCATACTTTTGCTTGTAGATTGCCTTACAATTATTCCCTAGACACTTCACTTAATCATAATTCTAGGTTTTCAATAACTATATATTTGGGGTTTTGAATAAGTTCTAAGGATAAAAGAGTGGAAGCAACAGAGGGAGAAATGGAAAAGAGAAAATAATGAAAAACTCGTTTGCTCTTTTCATGTCTGCAAAAGTCAAAGCACTGGTGATAATTTTTTTCCCCAAAAATTCACAAAAGATAGCACAGAATGCGATGACAAGGGCACACCCTCACATCAGTGTTATTTCTGCCAATAAAAGGCATAATCTAAGCCTAACTGTGAAGAATCATCAGAAAAAAACAAATTGAGAGGCATTCTCCAACATATTTGGCTTGTCTTTTTCATAAACTTCAAGGTTGAGAAATACAAAGTAAGGATGAGGAACTGATTTTGATTTAAAGAAACTAAAGGAATACAACAAGTAAATGTAATGTGTGACAACCATTACACAGTGTTACGATGTAATGTAATGTTACAATACATTCATCTGGACTAGGTCCTGGACTAGGAAAAATAAATCATAAAAATATTAGAATAACAAAATTTGAGTATTAACTATGAGTAAGATAATATTATTATATACATTCTAATTGTTCTGATTTTGTTAACTGTACTGTGATTACATAGGCTAATATCTGTGTTTCTATGAAATAAATAGCAAAATTCAGGGATAAAAATGCATGGTATCTTAAGCATAACCTCAAATGGTTCAAAAAAAAATAATAGAAAATGATAAGTAGGACCACATATAAATTCTAAATCTGGATATTGGGAGTTGCTTTCACCATGTTTCATGTTCTGTGAATTTAAAATTATGACAAAATTGAAAGTTTTAAAAAGTTGTCCTTCACAAATATGGTAAGAATTTTGGTTTAGTATAAACTGGAGGGAAAAACTTTTCTAATTTGCAAGTGCATCATCATGAAGAAATAATTTTGACAAGGCAAAGAAAAAAAAGTAAAACCTTTCTTATTGGAAAGAACTGGTAATTTACCAAAATGAATACAGTAAGAATAAATGAATATGAAGCTAATTTAAATATATATAAATTCGATAATTCAAAATAAGTAGGCCTTTAAAAAAATAGAAAAGGGCCAAACCCACAGTAGAGTTTTCAGTTAATTTAATGTCAAAGGAGGTTAGCATAATCCTCATTGAATCTCATTCTTTGTTCTTTATTTTATTCCATGTGAACAGTTTTATAATATCAAGAACATTTTCATATCAAGAAAATTTTCATAATTTCTTTCAAATACAATAAAATTATACTTTCTGCTAAGAAAAAGTGTCAAAAAATTCTTACTGCAACAAAAAATAATTACATCCATATAATGAAATGCAGTAATTTAAAATGATGCTTTCAAAAAGATATTATTTCTTAAGAATATGCTCATGAAATAATATTTTTTCTAAAGCAGTTATACAACTGTATAAAAGTATATATAAACTATGACTAGTCAGTACCTTACATGTGAGTAAATGCATGGGATTTGTGATGTGATGACTAAACATGAGTTTAAGCACTGGTTTTGTCACACGTATATCCTTTTAACTTCGAATAAGTAGCATAATTTCTTAGGACTTCAGGTTTCTCATCTATAAAATGGAAATATTAATAGTATCTAGCCCAAAGAGCATTGTAATGATCAAATAAAACAATTCATTTGAATCCCTTAGCATGGATCCTGGCAAATAGGTAGACTAAATGAAAGAAAGAAAGCAATAATTGTCTGAGTTGTATGTACATGTGAGACGTGAGATTATAGGATTTGTATCAGTTCACGTTTGTCATGTAAGAAGCCACTTAAAGAGTGACAAAAATAATTATCTCAGGATTTTGTAGATAAGTATTTTGGACTGGAATCTGCTGGAAGGTTCATCTGGTCTTTTTTTTTGAAACAGAGTTCCCTCTGTCGACCAGGCTGGAGTGCAGTGGCGAGATCTCGGCTCACTGGAACCTCCACCTCCCATGTTCAAGGGTTCAAGGGATTCTCCTGCCTCAGCCTCTGGATTAGCTGGGACTACAGGCACCTGCCGCCACACCCGGCTGATTTTTCGTATTTTAAGTAGAGATGGGGTTTCACCATGTTAGCCAGATGGTCTCCATCTCCTGACCTCATGACCCACCCGCCTTGGCCTCCCTAAGTGTTGGGATTACAGATGTGAGCCACTGCGCCTGGCCTCATCTGGTCTTTGATAGCCTCACTCATGAACCTGTGGTCAGCTACGTGGTCTCTGATATAATGAAAAATATAAAACAAGTTTATGTTCATTTTATGTGAATTTTTATAACACCTTTATTGAAATACAATTCATATAACATTCGCTTTATCCATTTAAAGTAACATTTAATGGACTGTAGCATAATTGATTGTAGTGCAATCATCACCATAATTTTTAAAAATTTTTGTAATTTCAAAAAGAAGCCTCATATAAATTTAGTAGTATCTTCCCATTTCCCCCCAATTCTCCAGCCAAAGCAACTATTTATCTATTCTTTATTTCAATAGATTTTTCTCTTTTGGATAATCTTTGTAAATGGGAATTACACAAGAAAATGCTGAGAGATTTTGTCACCACCAGGCCTGCCCTACAAGAGCTCCTAAAGGAAGCACTAAACATGGAAAGGAACAACCAGTACCAGCCACTACAAAAACATGCCAAATTGTAAAGACCATCAAGGCTAGAAAGAAACTGCATCAACTAATGAGCAAAATAACCAGATAACATCATAATAACAGGATCAAATTCACACATAACAATATTAACCTTAAATGTAAATGGGCTAAATGCTCCAATTAAAAGACACAGACTGGCAAATCGGATAAACAGTCAAGACCTATCAATGTGCTGTATTCAGGAAACCCATCTCACGTGCAGAGACACACATAGGCTCAAAATAAAGGGATGGAGGAAGATCCACCAAGCAAATGGAAAACAAAAAAATGCAGGGGTTGCAATCCTAGTCTCTGATAAAACAAACCTTAAGCCAACAAACATCAAAAGAGACAAAGAAGGCCATTACATAATGGTAAAGGGATCAATTCAACAAGAAGAGCTAACTATCCTAAATATATATGCACCCAATATGGGAATTATACAATATATGTTTTATGTGTGATCAGCTTATTTCACTTAGCATAATGTTTTCAAGGTTCATCCACGTTGAAGAATGAATTACTACTTTATATTTTTATTGCTGAATAAAATTGTACTATAATTATGTACCATATTTTATTCACCCATTCATCTGTTGATAGATATTTGGGTTTAATGTTACAATTAACATTCACGTACAAGTTTTTGTATAAATATATGTTTGCATTTCTTTGGGGTATATATCTAGAAATGAATTTACTGGGTGATATAATAAGTTTAAGTTTAAATTTTTGATGAACAGCTGGACTAATTTTAAAAATGGCTGCATAATTTTACATGCTGATCAGAAAAGTCCGAGGCTTACAATTTCTTCAAATTCTTGCCAACACTTTTTTTATTATTATTATAGCTACTTTAGTGGGTGTGAAGTTGTATCTTATGGTGGTTTTGATTTGCATTTTCCTGATGGATAAGGTTATTGATCCTCTTTTCATGGGCTTATTGGACACTTGTATGTCTTATTTGGAGAAACAGCTATTAAAACATTTTTCCATTATATAAACGAGTAATGTGTCTTTTTATTATTTAGAAATATTATCGATGTGTTCCAGATACAATTTTTGTATTAGATATGTGACTTGCAAATATTTTTTTTTCTATTCTGTGGATTGTCTTTTTACTTTCTTGTGCTCTTTGAAGCACAGTTTTCTAAATTTTGTGAGGTTCAATTTATGTTTTTTTTTTCTTCGCTTGTGCTTTAGGAGTCATAGCCAAGAAGTCTTTGCCTAATCCCAGATTAAGATTTATCCTTTCTCTTCTATGAGTTTTATAATTTTAGCTATTGAGCTATATGATCCATTTTGAATTAATTATTGTATACAGTGTAAGGAAATGATCCAACTTCATTTTTTGCATGTGAATATGCAGTTATCTCAGCATTATTTGTTGAAGATACCATTTTTCCTCATTGAATCACCTTGGCACCCATGTCAATAATTGATTGACTTTGACAGAGAAATAGTAGAGTGGAAAATTCCAAAATTCATTTATCTGCATAAGCAATAAGCTCACAAAAACTATAAGAATCGTTGTTTTTTGCTGTTGTTGTTGTTGTTGGAAGTCTGAAACTATGTCCAAATCCTTGGACATGTATACAGTGACCTTGTGATGACAGTGATTTTAGCAGGTCAGGTCTCAATTTGACTATCTCTTTCCCTGATTTCTCTGTTAAATTGTTTGCTTCTTGGTATTACAGTAAGCTGTTCACCTTCACTAACTGCTTGCTAATCACTGTATTGTTTTTTGACAATTCCCCAATAAATTGCTCCACAGTCTGATCCAATTAAATTTTAGTCCCTTTACAGACATAGTATTTGAAGCCAGTCTTAGAGATATGTTCTGCTGCCAGGAGGGCTCTTCTTAGCCTCTTTTATCCCTGGTTCTCTGTGGTAAGCTTCTAGCTCAGCCTGGGTTTAGTTTGCTGTATTCATTGAGAAACTTTCCTCTAACTGTTCACATATTTCCTCTCAGTTGCTTATCTTGAAATCTCCAGTTTTTTCTTTCCAGGAAGCCCTTAAGCTTGCACTTTCTCATACTCTGTTCCAAATAAAGTGAGTTGCCTTGGGAGAGGCTTCATAAATCTCTGTTGTTAATCTCTGTTAATCTCTGCCTCTCCCCCTGGGCAAAATCTCTGCCACTGCTCAAGGTTGGGGTAGGAAGAGTGGGCTACTTCTTTTGGAGTGGCATATATGCTTTACAAGCATGGCACTGGTTGGAGCAGAAGCCTTGAGTCTTCTCAGCTTGATTCTCCAGATGTGAAACATCCTCCCTACAAATAAGCTGGAGATCGGGTGATTGGGCCACTGGTCATTGTGGCCTATTGCACCTGTGGTAGAACTTTCACCCTACAAAACGGAGCTGAGTGGATCAAGGAAGAGAACCCCAGACCTCTCGGTAGCTCTTGTCTAGAATAGAGATTCTGCTACATGGAGCTGGGATGAAATGAGAAATGCTAGTTACCTGCTCTTCACAAGGAAATACCATAGCCCTCAACTTGAAATTTGGAAGAGAGGAGCACTATGTTCTTGGCTGCACCCACCCAGGATGGTGCTTCAGTCATGCTGAGCTGGGCAGGAGTGGGGTGAAGGTTGATGAGGAGAGTGGGTCCTGGCTCAAAAGCTCAGACTGTCACTGCTATTATCAATATCTATTACATTTTCTTGAATAAATGTTTCTTATTTACTGTATGCCCTTTAGAAAATTTCCAGAAACCTGAATTTTTTTAAAAAAAAATAATGTTCACCTGCATGGTAGTTTCACTGAGGAGAGGGTCCATGAAGCTACTCAGGCTTCCACTCAAGAAGTTATGTCTATACAAACATAAAATAATTGGCTTATAATAAGTTGGGTAGTGATTAATGAATCATGTTAATTAAGTCATAATGTGAGGAATCAAAGTCAATGTGAAAAACTATGCTTTCCCCACCGAATAGTGAGACCTTTTTGGAGTTAGATCTATGATCCCTGTTTTTAACAAACCCATTCATCTTACCGTTTATTTAGAAATATCATGTATACCAAAGAGAAATGGAATTTGCACTCTAAAAGAGCTAAAGATGAATAAAATCTTGCTGAGAAAAGCAGCTTTGGCAGTCTGATTTTCTTTTCTTCCTGTAATTGTGTCATTTATGTTTGAAATTTACTGTTTTTCTTCATCCATTTATTTTCTATTATCTTACATTATAGCCATTGCTTCTTTTACCTTTACATATGCATTATTTCACATTAATAATAATTTTGTCCCAAAGACTCCACTGAACTGCCTCCATTCTCCAAATCTTCCTATTTCATATATTTTTTACAAACCCATTTTGGTGGCAATGGTCAATTGTATTTCTAGGTTATTTATTATTTAAGAAAACAATACAAAATAAAAATATTTTTCCAAAATATACTTTCTCTTCAGAAATAAGCTTCATTTCTCACAATAGTCAAATTAATTTCATATGTGACCAGCTTTTTAAGGCTAATGAAAAATAGATATTACAGTAATAATACGAAACCATAAACAAAGTCAACAACAAATTGCATTATTCCAAAAACTTTCCTAACAGGAAGTTGAGCTCTCTGTGAAGTTAATAGTTCTACATTTGTAAATATACACAATTATACAGAATGAGCTATCATATTTTCACTAGCATCAATAGTCAACTGAATGAGTTTGTTTTGGATCTACCTTGTTAACTTCCAAGATTCCTGATAAGTCACAGAAACTGGCAAAAGATGCAGGTATTTAGGCTCTATCATTTATGCATTTAGGCTCTAGGAAATAGCTCAGCCATGTGACTTTTCACATTTGCAAATCTAGCCATTATTACCATCAAACAATTAAAAAAATTAGTAGACATTCACATCCCCCAAGCAAATAAATTATGTATACATATAAAAAATGCATGCACACATATATCCTCTAAGAAGAAACAGTCATTCTTCCAAAGAGCAAGTACCACTCTGACTAAAGTAAATAAAATAGTTTTAAACTGAGCATCTAAATAACTAATGAACCAATGCTTGTGGCCAGTGGCTAGATTTTTATGTATGTAGGCATATTATCAGCTAAAAACTTAATTTGCTTCTAAACCTCTCAAAGAAAATAAGCTAAATTTTAAACTATTTTCTGTACAATACTAGACAAATAATCATTTTTAATTTTTGTATTATGCTTTGCTTTGTTTTTCAAGTTGTCTATAATCATATAATACATTTTTACCATAAAACTATTAATGTAATAATTTAAATAAAACAAATTTTATTTTTCTATCATATAAATTATATTAACAGGAATACAGGCAATAAAAAAGATCTTGTACCTAATCACAAACAAGCTATCATACATGTTAATATATGTTATACATAATTTTCATTTAGAATTTCTTTTTCATTTAGAACTTCTTTTCCTTGGTTTATCTTTTTAGGAATACAAATACAAATATGCCCCCATATAAAGCTGAAATATTTAAATTAATTCTAGGTTAAAGTTTAGTAATATTCACAAGGTCACTTCATTTATTTCAAATATAATTTTAGTCAACAGTCAATGATTAATGAGAATCAGTTATGAAGATGACTCTGAAGAATAGATTAGTGAAATAATTATTAGTCATTTTTATAACTACAAAATCTTTTTAAAAATTCCATTTTGTAACTTATTTACAAATGAGAAGCAAAATCCTTAGCTAACCAAGAGAGCTGAGTCAAAACAAAAATATATTAAATTTTTTTAAATCCTAGAATATGTGATTTTATCATCTGTTTTTAAGTAATCAAAATTTTCATAATATTATGCTAACTATTTAGGGTATATATACTATTTTTTCCTGCATAATATCTGACTTCTGAGTGATTATAGTTTACTCTGTGAAGACATGGAGGAAAGCGTGCAGTTTGTAATGACAAATAACTGTGGGGACAAATTACTTACACAAATTTAATTTCATACATATTACAACAATCTGATCGTGTAAGTTCATTTCAGCTTCAAAGAAATATATGGTTCTGGACACTATGGTCTCTAGTCTTGATTTCATAATCGTGATACTCTTCTGACCAGTGGCTATTTGTTAGTGATTAGACTATTGATCAGAATGCTTTGGTGAATAATATAATGGTATTTCAGTGAGTAAAGATACTCAGTCTAATAATTTACATTTGCTTTCTATTTTCTGTCTGCTTTATATTGTATTGCTCTAATTTATTTCAAATATAGGTAAAACTAAAATTACTATGGATGTTTTCAAAAGTGTAGTTTTTCTGTCCAATAATGACTACAGTGATCTAATTTATAATACGTATATCAACTTATCTTAAGCAATTATTTGGTTATAAAAATATGACTGTATTTTCACATATAGTTTTTAAATTACTAAATGTTTTATTGTGCATTCTCATACTTATTTATATTGATTCTTAGGCATAAGATCATAAAGAAAAAATTTAAATGAGAAAAAAATTTAGACATGATATAAATTGCTTAAAGGATTCACATTAGACCTCCCATATGGTGGAATATCAAAAGCCTTAATGATTTATTTTCCTATGACATACAATATACGTAGTCATAAATCATCTGGAAATTGAATCCATGTATATGTAGATCAACATTTGCATGAATATTTTCTGCAAGGGCTAGCCAATTTATTTTCAAAATATCATAAATGTAAAAAATGATCTTACATGGGTTTACAGCATATGCTTGCTACACTGAATAAAGAAAGCAGAAATAATTGTGTGTATTAATGGAATATAAAGAATATTCACTTTAGTTAGAATATATAACCATCATTCCTTGAGCAATTATGATACTATGGATACTAAAAATTATAATTATTTTGTGATTGATTTCTTTTTAATTGTAAGGAATAGAGAAAATAAAAATAATATGAAAATTAAATCGTTTGATCCTTCAAAATGCATTGTATTCCACATAAAAGAAAATCTATTCTGGACTTTTAAACACAAGAAAAAATAGTTTGGCTCAAGGAACTGAAGAGTCAAGGAGCAGCTTTGCTTCAGTAGTTTTTAAATTCTGTGTGAAACACTGTCAATAGATCTTTTCATGACTTGTTTATTCTAGGTGTCACCTTGAGCCACAAGCTGATTAACTCTATGATAGCTAGATGGCAGTAGAAATGTTGAGGCTCACATTATCACAGCACTAAACACATTTAAAGTAAAAAGTATCGAGTTTATTTGGTTTTGAGTAGTTTAACAAGCTTGAATAAGTCATCACTTCTAACGACTATTTTTGGTTAGGGTTAGGTCCTCTTTCCAGGATCAATCACAGAGTCAAGAAATACACAGGCTATGCTTCTAAACAATACAATTAGCCATGAGGACCAATGAAAATGATGGGATATGTTTTCTTGCCACATAGCAAAAACTGAAAGTGAAAGGTAAAACCACGGGTTTATTTTTATTCATATAAGGCTGTCTACCCCTCACCCCAACCAAGTGCTGTAGAATTTATTATCCTTGAAATTCTAAAATGCCACCAGTATAAGTCTAGATGTGTATCTTTTTTTCATTATTTTTCCTTGTCATTTTGATCTGAGAAGTCTAATCTTGTAAGTTTAGGAAATTGCAGTTTATTATTTCACCTTCTCCATCTGCTCTGTTGTCAGGATTCATACAGCTATCGCTGTCCATGTATCTTTTTTATTGTACTTATCTCTTTATCATTTCTTATGAGTTCTGAGTAATATTTGGGGCCATTTTTCTGTTTTAATCAGTTACTGTATTTGGTAATCCATGGGTACTAGAACAACTATTTGGTAACTACTTCATTTAACAAATTTAGCAAATTAATTTTGTAACTGAAGGTAATCTTTAAAGGTTTCATTATGTCTCCTTTATTTGTACTCAACATCCTTATACATCTTACGCAGACTATAAAATAATTATGCATGCACATGTATGTGTAATTTTTAAAAAACATATAACCAAATTCACTTTTTAAAATTTTGTGTATAGAATTATAAAATTTTGAACTTTTAAGTTCAGGGGTACATATGCAGGTTCATTACATAGGTTTACTTGTGTCATGGGGGTTTGTTGTAGAGATTATTTCATCACCCAGGTATTAAGCCTAGTATCTATTAGTTATTTTTCCTATCCCCTCCCTCTTCCCACCCTTCACTCTCTGATAGGCTGCAGTGTGTATTGTTCCCTTCGATGTGTCCGTGTGTTCTCATCATTTAGCTCCTGCTTATGAGTGAGAACATGTGGTACTTTCAGTTCCTGCATTAGTTTGCTAAGACCAATGGTCTCCAGCAACATCCATGTTGCTGCAAAGGACATGATCTCTTTTTTATGGCTGCATAATATTCCATGATGTATATGTACCATGTTTTTGTTATGCAGTCTATCACTGATGAGCATTTAGGATGATTCCAAGTCTTTGCTATTGTGAATAGTGCTGCGATGAACATATGCGTTCATGTTTCTTTATTATCGAACAATTTATATTTCTTTGGGTATATCTCAGTAATGAAATTGCAAGGTCAAATTGTATTTGTCTTTAGGTCTTTGAGGAATCGCCACACTGCCTTCTACAATGGTTGAACTAATTTACACTCCCACCTACAGTGTATAAGGATTCCTTTTCCTCCACAAACTCGCCAGCATCTGTTATTTTTTGACTTTTTCATAATAGCCATTCTGACTGCTGTGAGAGATGGTATCTCATTGTGGTTTTGATTTACATTTCTCTAATGATCAGTGATACTGAGCTTCTTTTCATATGATTGTTGGCCGCATGTATGTCTTCCTTTGAAAAGTGTCCTTTGCCCATTTTTAAATGAGGTCCTTTGTTTCTTGTAAATTTGCTTAAGTTCCTTATGGATTCTGGATATTAGACCTTTGTCAGATGCATAGTTTCCAAAAGTTTTCTCCTACTCTGTAGGTTGTCTGTTTACTCTGCTGGTGGTTTCTTTTGCTGTGCAAAAGCTCTTTCATTTAATTACATCCCATTTGTCCATTATTTGCTTTTGTTGCAATTGCTTTTGGTATCTTTGTCATGAAATCTTTGCCCATTCCTATGTCCTAAGTGATATTGCCTAGGTTGTCTTCAAGGGTTTTTATAGTTTTGGGTTTTACATTTCAATCTTTAACCCATCTTGACTTAATTTTTGTACATGGTATAAGGGTCCAGTTTTAATCTTCTGCATGTCACTAGTCAGTTATCCCAGCACCATTTATTGAATAGGGAATCCTTTCCCCATTGCTTGTGTTTGTCAGGTTTGTTAATGACCAGATAGTTAGTTGGAGTTAGAGAGATTCATGTTGCCACCATAAGTCAAGATACAAAACTATTTCATTAACCGAAAACACTCCCTTCTGCAATCCTTTAATAGTCACATCCTCCCCAGAATCCCTATGTTGAGTGCCATTCATCTGTTCGTCATCACTACAATTTTGTATTTTCTAGAATGAATGTATTAAACATGTAAACTTTTGGTGTTTTTCACTCTGAAGAAAGATCTTAATGTCATAAAAATTGTTGTGTGTATCATTAGTTTCTTCCTTTGTGTTGTACGGATGTACCACAGTTTATCCATTCACCTGTTGAAGAACATCTGGGTGAGTTCTATTTGGCATAATTTTGCATACAGTTGCTAGTAATATAAACATTCATGTGTAGCTTTTGTGTGATCAAAAGTTTCATTTCTCTTGGAAGAACACCAAGGTTTTAATTTGCATTTTTCTAATGGCTAGTTATATTTTACCTTTTTTATGTACTTCTTTTCCATTCTTATATCTACTTTTTTGTGAAGTGTAGGTTCAAGTCCTTTAACCCATTTTTAAGTGTTATGTTTTTATTGTTGAGATTTGATCATTTCTTATTTAGTCTGGACTTAAGTCCTTTGTTGAATTTGTAAAATGCAAATATTGTATCCAAGTTCATAGATTGTCTCTTAATTCCCTCAATAGTGTTTTTCAGAGAGCAAAAGTTTTAATTCTGATGCTATTCAGTTATGACTTTTTTTCTTTTCTTATGAATTGTGCTTTCAATGTCACACCTAAAAGCTCTACCTAACACAAGATTTCTTGTACATTCTCTTTGAAAAGTTTTACAGTTCTGTATTTTTCATTTATATTTGTGATCCATTTTAAGTAAATTTTTGTATGAGAAGAAATATTTGAGTTTCTTTCTTTTCCTTTTTATTTTAAATATAATCATCTTGACGCCATCTTCCAATTTTCCATTAAATCTATTCAGCAACTTTGTCAAAGATCAAAGGCCATGTTTGTGTGGGTCTATTTCTAGATTCCATTTTGTTCTGTTATCTATGCATCTAACCCTTTGTTAAAACACACTTTTAATTATTGTAGCTTTATAGTAATACTTAAGTAGTTATTCCTCCAAATTTATTCTTTTTAAAAGTTTTTTATATTTATTTTCATTCCTTTGACCTTCTATATGCATTTTAGAATCAGTTCGTCTATATCTACCAAAGTTCCCTTGGGGTTTTTATGGGCTTTACATTAAATCTGTAGATCAATTTCAGGAGAATTAACATCTTTTTCATGTTGAGTCTCCAATTCATGAGAATGATAGGACGTTCCTTTTAATTAGATCTCTTTTGATGTCCATGATCAGAACTGTGTACCTTTTACCACGTTTTATTAGACACATTTTATTAGATATATAAGTATTTCATTTTGGTTGCAGTAAATAGTATTCTACTTTTTTTTTCAGTTGTACATTGCTAACATATAGAAATATGATTGTGTGTTGACCTGTATCCTATAACTTTGCTAAACTCACTTATCAGTTCATACAGGATTTTTTTTAATTTCTTAAGATTTTCTTCGTAGACATTTTGTTGTCTGTAAATGGGTACAGTTTTATTTCTTCCTTTTCAATATGTCTGACTCTAAAAATATTTTCTTCCTTCCTTCATTGCACTGACTAAAACTTTTAGTGTAGGAGTAGTGAGAGTTGATATTCTTGCCTTTTTTCTAATCTTAGGAGGAAATACCATCTATATTTTTAACAATTTTAGTATCCTGTTTTTGTTATAGGTCCACTTACCTTGAAGGTGTTTTTGGATAGTGATTGCTATGACTTTTCATGTGTGCTTTCTTCCTTTAAACAATCGAATGAACGTATCTATTTGTTATAATTAGAGAACCAGTTCATTAGCAGAATTCTAATGGACGTACGTTAAAAGGTTTTAGCGTCACACAAATGGTAGAAGGGAAAATGTGTGATTTCCTGTGGAATTTGTACTGCTGCTTAATGCTATGGCAGGCAAAAATTACCAAAAGTCAGCCCCAATTATCTAAGTCCATTGACGTACATAAACAATAACTACTTGATCCCAGTAAGAGAAAACAAGGCAGCCAATTGGAAGATAGAAGGAACTATGCCAAACTTGACTTATATCTATTTATCGCAAGACTATTTTAGAATATGTATGAAAGCTATTATCTGAAAGATTTTTTGATATTTGATTAGATATAGAGATTGAAGAAAAGTGAGAATAATGTCATTTTTGTATGAACATAGATTGGATATACACCATTTATCTGCCTGTAGAAATAAAACAGATTTTCCCCACCAAAGGCTCTTCATATTGAAAAAGAAAAAAATAAGTATATCTTCTAGACACAGATGGAGAGACTTATTTTTCCTCCTCATTTGGTTGCACATGAACTTTTTTTTTTTACCAGCTCAAGGAAGTAAGTGGGTTGAAAATTAGACACTAACTAGAGACACCTACAAATCATATGTTCAATATGTGTAGAAGATTAACTACATAATTCATAGGTACTCAAGGCCATAGAGCAGTTATTAGTTTGTGTTACTTTTCATCAGTGGTCAGCTCATCACTGTTAAATTAATTTTTACAGAGTTCCTAAAAGAAATAAAAAAGATACACTAATTAATTTTAAATACTTCTGGGCCATAGAGACTCTTCCTCTCTCTTTCTCTCTCTCTCTCTCTCTCTCTCTCTCTCTCTCTGTCACTTTCACTTTTTCCCCCTTTTGATAGATCGATAGATGAATGGATGGATGGACGGACAGACAGAAAATATATTTTTTATTACACATATTTATTAAAATATTCATGTCTTGGAAGAATGGCCAAGTGCCAATTAATTGTCATGCCTGTGTGTTATGTACAGAAAGCTTAATATTCTATTCTCTTTACTTTTATGCATATTTGATAATTTTCAGAATGAATTTAAAATATACTAATCTCCATGAAATCCCACTGTTCTTATAAAATTTTTCTATAGTTGCATATGAGTAGATTTTTTGAGAATTCTAATATGTTTGTATTAGTGAACTAATAAAATTTTACCTAAGAAATAACTAAGACTTGATAGAAACCAGAATTGAAATTAAGAAATGGACCCACAGCCTGAGAGACTTGGCTCAAAAATGGGGCAGATGGAAAATTAACCACCAGAAGAATAAGATAAATTAAAAATAAGATAGATGTAAAAGACAAAAAGGCAGTATTAAAATGGTGAAGGAAAAATGTTTTAATAATATAAGGAATATTTGAGTTATTGCAATATTTTCAAGTCAGGTGTTTTATTGTTCTATTGCATTCACTTCCCTTATAAAATTGCTTTGTATATGAGTAGTAGGGCCTAAATGAATTCACTCAAAATGGTTAGATTTTATTTTTAAGTCATGAAAGAAACTAATTACTGAGTAATCTATCAATGATTTATTTGTTAAATTTCAATTTTAACCAACTGCTTTATTGGCATAATTCAATGTAATGACCAAATCAATTTGTTTATAAGGGGATCTGACATGCCAATTGATGATCAACCTTCAAATAGCCAATCTAATAGACCTTACATATTATTGTCTATTATTACAGTCACTGTCTAGCAGTAATAGTAATAAAAACAAAAATGCATTGAATACTTGCCCTGAACCAGGAATTCTATGTGACAGGGACTAGAATTTCATTTAATCCTCACCACAAAACTATAATTTTAGTACTGTAATTATCTTTATTACATAAATGAGAAAACCAAGGTATACATATTTTGCCTTGCATATTAGTTTCAGAAGCTTACCTGTGTTTAAATATGGAAATCAAAGTACAAAAGACTGACAAAAGAATGTAATAATAGTTTTACACTCACTGGCAAAAATTTTAACATTTTCTCCTCCCTAAATTATACTGTAATCTTTGAAACCATCATAGTAAAAATGAAAACCCTAAGGAAGTTATTAAAAAATGTAGCACTCTCTGCTCATGTGGGAGTATAGATTCCACTTTCTGAAGAGATTATTATAGATACACCCAGAATAAAATGCAAATATCACACAGAGTGGGTTGGATATCTCAGTTGGGTTTCCCTAAAACTTATTACCTCAACATTTTAAATATAAGAGTAGGTGTATATTCAGGCAAATGCACCAGTCTAAAGGAATATCTTAACGCAAGTTAGCAGAATTATGAAACAAAATAGCTGTATATGGAAAACCAAACTAAGATGAGTGTGAGGTGGTGTGAAAGATAAATATGAAAGAATGGAAGAAGGCTAACTCATAAAGTGGGGAAAAGTCAATGTTGAGTACAAGATTAATCTGAAAAATGCTAACGTCTTCCATTCTGCAGGAAACATATTCATTCCGTTTAAATTTATATTTTAAATGCAAGAGTAGATCATTTCTAATTTCTTTCAACCCCAAACCCTACCTTCATTCAAGACCTACATTAATCTTTTAAATTCCATTGAGTGTCATACCTGGTATTTTTTTAAACATTTTTAAATTAATTTCTAATTCAGAAAATAATTTCAAAGATAAAAGTTAATGACACACATAAGTGACCTAAGAACAGCAATAACAACAATAATTTATACTTAATAATACTATCATTTTTATTAAAATGTTTTCATTTTCATGATTGTACTTCCAATAGTTAACCTACAGTTCAGAAAATATTAAATCATGTAAACCTTCCAGTATTAATCACACTAAAATGTAAGTTCCTCTGACATCTTGAAATGTGCATTTTAGCTCTGTATCTCCTTTCCTAGTACAGTTCCTGGCAGGAGAACTGCCCTGAGACCTAGCAAAAGGGAACCTGGCCCTGGGTCTGGAGCTTCTGAGGAATGAACTCAGCTTCCTCCTTCCTCATCTCCCCAGCTCCACTTCTTTCTCTCCACAGGATGAAGGTTACTGAGAACCAAGGGAACTTGCTCACTCAGAGCCCACATCCTCCAGCTGTTGGTTGGGGTTTCATGAATCCTAGATTTCTTTGGCGAAAAGGGCCTAAAATACACAAACAATGCTCAACCTTTCCTGGAGTTTTTTGCTGTTGTTGTTTTTCCAGAGAGAACTACACAGGTGATGCCAGCCACTCTATGTCTCAGGGGTGTACAAAATGCCCCACCATGTGTGTAAGAACCAGGGTGGAGCAGAAAAAGCCTAATGAGCTGCAGATAGGGGCTGGCAGCTGCCAAATACTAGTGTGGAATTTAAAGATATCACAAAGTTCTAAATTTGTACTGGGCTTTCTGGGAAGTTCAGAGAATATACAGTATGGTCATTCATAAAGATATCAATACATCAATTAAAATAGCAACCATGGTCATCATTTTAATCAGAACGGGCTATATAAAGTGTCCCCATACCCCAGAGGCTTAATACAATAAATGTTTCTTTTGCTGCTACTATTGTTGTTGATGATTACTTATGCATGGTACAAGTCCAACATGGGTCATCAGGGGCACCCCATGCCTATCATTTGCAGGACCCTAGACAAGAGTATAAATGGAGACTTACATACCCCGTGTAGCTAGGGGATGAGGGGAGGAGACAATAGGGAGATGTTGGCCAAAGTGCAAATTTAGTTATATGAGATGAAGAGGCTTTGGAGATGTGAGGTACAGCAAGGTGAATATAGTTAACAATACTGTATTGTATACTCGAATTTTCCAAACAGAATAGATCTTAAGTGTTTTCACCACAAAAATAAGGAAAATAATAACTATTTGAGGTGATGGGCTTCTTAATTAGCATGAATTGTAGTGATTATTTCACAATATATGTGCATATCAAAAGCTGTGCACCTTATATACAATTTTATTTATCAAACATACTTCAATAAACATAAAGAATACATAACAATAAAATTGAAAACCATGCTCACAATGTACTACAACTAAAATATTATTAATTTAAAAAGAAAAGTACAGGTAGAGATATGGTTTTATTTGATATGATTGATAAATATCTAAGAATAAATTTATTTACTATGACTCCAATCTGGAGGATCTGCTGATAAGTCTGTGATGTTTACATGAATACAATTAAAATGTAAATAATATTTTGGGTTTTTTTAAAATAAAAGTACTTGCATTATAGCAAAATCGTTAATATTAACATATAACCAAGATTTTCACAAAATTTGACACATTTTTACCTAGACAATACTTTTGAATATTATGTGATATTACAAATAAACTGTTATTTTCATAAACTATTTTAAAATATTTTAATGTTATCAATATAAGAATCACTATAACCTATTTCAACATATTTACTGTCTCCTGAAGAAACATCTAGTATATGCTGACAATATTAATTAATATCTCTCTCCATGTTTTCAAAGTGAAAATTATAAAGAAAATTAAAGATAGTGTTATACTGCAAGAATTATTTACATGTCTTCTCAATTGAAAGTATACCTATGATCTTCAATGGACAAAAAATATGTTATCATAGATTTATTTTTAACATTTATACCTGAATATTCTTCTTAATTATACAAACATTTTTGCTTTTGTTATAATTTCCTTATATAAATTGAAATTTATATTTTATATTTCATATAAAATTTGTTTTGATTCAACAGGTCTTGCTAAAATTTGTGCATTTAATCCTTTTTAAAAAGTGAAATTAAAAAAAAACTATGTTTGTTACCATTATTTTAAGGGTTTTTTCTCACAGCATTAATTGCAACAACAGCTCATACCAAAGACTATGGATATTGCAAATTCAAAATAATTCAATTTTTCTGTCAAAGAACATAATTTGCTTCTTTTTTGAGGATTTTCTTTTAATTCTTTTGGTACAGCATTTTATAAAGTGATTAATATAAAACTAAATTATTTGATAGTATTCATTTGAATTTCCATAGTGTGCCCAAGAGTAGTTGTAAGGTCAAATTTGATGTTTCATCAATACGTTTCATCTTTGGGAAGATACAGCAATTACTGAATATTATCTTTAAGTTGTTCCAAAGGATATAATTGCTATTGGCACAGTTGAGACCAGGATATCTCTTAGTAAAACTTCAATTTATTTTCTATGGAGGGCATAAAATTCTTATGGATTTTTTTGACAAAATTGTGTCTTGTACACTTTTTCTTTCTCAGCCTTCCACTGTATTTAAAAGTTTGAAAAATTTTGCTGTTACTGCCATCAATGCAAAAATATGTTTGGTGAAATATTGAGCACATAATATGATTTTTTAAAGAATGTATTACCAAAGTCCCATATCGGTACTTATGTCTTCATCGTATTGTGTATTGCTTGCCATTTATTCAACCTTTTTCCAAGACCCTATAATTAATGGTATGAATCCTATTTCCTGTGCAAGTAAAAACTAGTATTACACTTTGCACATTGCCTTTATGCCAATAAGTGTACAAATTCATAATGTAAAGTTTTTCAGATTGCAAAAGGTTCTTTAGCTCTCAATAAACACTATTACAAATATTATGCTAATTCACAAGTAGCTTTAGAACCAATAGCAAATAGAAATATGGAAAGAAGCAGGAATATGGCAATACTGGAAAATGATACTTCATATTATAATCTTAGAAGAAAGTGCACTTTGAAATGTACTTCCACAACGTAAACTACAGCAGCACAAGCTGATATTTTAGTGAAGTTGTCTTCGTGATACTTTAGTGAAGTTGTCTTTTGTTTTGAGGGCATTGAGCAAATGAGGTTGTGGAACCGTTTTACTAGTACCTGGACAACTGCTATCTTTAACAGAAAATTTGAGGTCATGAGAGGAGTTCTGACAGTGCTGACTGCAAGATGTTGAGTGATGGAGGTGCCTAGGTATAATTTACTAGACAAATAAAAAATTAAATTTGTTTTGTATTTTCGATATACAGGGCACTCTAGTGCTTCTTCAGTGATGCATGTATTGTTAAGAATTGTGCTATTTTGTTTACAAATATTTGGAAGATTTTCTTTCAAATAATGACTGCTATTTTGAGTCCACCGTGGTCAAAGAACATACTTGGGAACTGAATCATTTCTAATTCATTGATACTTGTTGTATAACACAAAATGTATCTTCTCTTGGAAAATGTGCTCTTCAAAATAATGTATATTCTGCTATATTTGGTTCCAGTGTTCTATAAATGTCAATTAGTTGATAGCATTCTTCAAATATTCTATATTCTCGTTTTCTTTCTAATTGTTTTCTCAATTATTGAGAGCAAAGAATTAAAATTTTGAACTAAAATTGTAGCTTTGTCTACTTCTTCCTGAAATTTTATTAGATTTTGTTTCATGTGCTTGAAGTTCATAAATGTTTATAATGTCTTATTGATAAACTTTTTGTCATTCTAAAATAGACTTCTCTATCCTTAGTAATATATTTGTTCCAAACTTTACTTTGTATAGTGTGTCAATTTTTTTAATAGTATTAGCATTGTATTTGGCTTTTATTATCATTTTAGTTTTAACTCAGTTCTCATTTACAGACTGTTTCTTGTGGGAAGCATATAATTCAGTCTTGCTTTTTATCTATTTACAACATTTGACTTTTTATTTACTTCTATATTTAATATGAAAATTGACATATTTTGGTTTATCTCACTATGTTGTATATTTTCCATTTGTTTTTTGTTTCCCTTTTTTGTTTTACTCTTTTTTCATTATTTTTACGATTCCATTATATCCTCTTGTTAGCAAATTGGCTATAATTTTTTATTGCTTGCTGTTTTATTGTTTGTTTTTGATGTATACTTTTTATTTATCACTATGTTTAAGTGATATTATATCGCTACACATATCGTATGAGAAACTTACAATAGTACACTTAAACATTTCTCCTCACCCAATCTTTATGCTTATTATTGTTCAGCATACTATTGCATGTTATAAAATAATATATTGTTACTAAGTTTAAGTAGTTATCTCTTAAGGAAATTTAAATTAGAAAAAGTAACATATTAACCAGTGTAACTACTACGTATTTCTTTCCTTTGTGTAGATCCTTATTTCTATTGGGTATTTCCATTTTTATCTTCCCTGAAAGATTTAACACTTCTTTCAGTGTAGATAGGCAGAAGAAAAATGTTTTAGACTGAAAATTAAATCCAGTTCAATTACTTCATCTTGGCTGAAAATGAAAGTAACTGATTTTAATTTTAAAAACTATATAATTTTCCACACTATTACCTGTTTTTAAAAATTATTTTACCATCATAAGGCATATAGATTATATAAAACCTACTATAAATGCTACAAAAGCAATTACCTCCCTTTATATATAGTACAAAAATACATTTGGATATATATTAAAAGTCTGTTAAAATCTGTTACTAGCATACCTTTTTTTTTTTTTTTTTTTGAGACGGAGTCTCGCTCTGTCGCCCAGGCTGAAGTGCAGTGGCGCGCTCTTGGCTCATTGCAAGCTCCGCCTTCCGGGTTCCCGCCATTCTCCTGCCTCAGCCTCCGGAGTAGCTGGGATTACAGGCGCCAGCCACCACGCCCGGCTAATTTTTGTATTTTTAGCAGAGACGGGGCTTCACCATCTTGGCCAGGCCGGTGCTGAACTCCTGACCTCATGATCCACCCACCTTGGCCTCCCAAAGTGCTGGAAATTACAGGCGTGAGCCACCGCGCTGGGCCACTAGAATACATTTTTATTATCAGAACGAGTAGATATAAGCTGTTTACTACATTGCATGATTAAAACTTAATATTGCCATATTGCTTTCTGGTGGTTTTTTACCGATTTTTAATACCACCAACTCTGAGTGAGACATATTTATTATTGAATCTATTTTATTTTTCACTTGATCATTCAGTTCCTTTTTACTTTTCACTTTGACTGAGATTTCATATATTTTCCATAACATTTAGGTGCAAATATGTTTCTTGCTTACTCTTCTTTTGATTGTTTTCTTACCTTTCATTCTAAAAATCATTTTAAGTATATATGCACAGTAATATTCTTTTTCATTATAGAAAATATGAGGATATTGTCATGGCTCCACAGATCTGATAAGTCTTCAATATTTTTCATTAGAAAACAAATGCGTATAATTACAAACTATACATAAATTATTTAAAAGTCTATTTGTATTTCTTTGTCTATTTTTCTAATTGTTATCCAGTTATTCCAACAAAATATTGATTAAATATATTTTCTCTGTACGTGTTTTTTGTTTTTGGCTTGGTGAAATTTTTGTCCCTCCAATCTATCAACCACCTAGCATTCTACCTAGGTTTTTTAAACCTTTCTTCCTATTTGCTCATGGCCTTCTGACATACTTTTTGCAAATTTTAATAAAGTTCACTACCATACTTATTAGTTACCGTACATAAAACGTGGAATGATTGATATAGTTTGGAGAGTAATTCAAACCTTAAAACCGATTTGTAGATAATTCAAAATTTGACTTTGTTGTGGTTTTGCAACACAAAAAGTGGAAAATTGAACCTCGCCATCTATAGGTATGGCAGCTTTGACTGCTCACAGAGTAAGTCTATTAAGGAAACCCAGGAAAATTTTAATTATTAAAATGTGGCTCTTAGTCTTGCTTCTTGAAATTGGAATCCCTGCATAATAGTATGTTAATAACAATTTGTATTTTTATTTCTGATGTTCAATAGCTTATCCCAAATTTTATGCTTTTATTTTCAAGTTGTCAAATGGTTCACACTTCCAAATTTAATATTCAGTTTTATTCAATGGCTTTTCTAAAGTTGACAAGTATGCAGAATGAAAAAGAGGAATACATACATATGCTCTAATTACAATTGCCATAATAGATTCCTTTTCATTCATTTATTTTGTTGGTCCTTGCCAAACTCTCAATAATTCTGAATAAATCGTTAACCCATCCAATCAAGAATATAATACAGGATAATCCACTCATTTTCAAAAATCTATGACAAAAATTTGTTGTCAGCTTACCAGGTATTAATTTCATTTTTTAAAAGGCTACAATACTGTAAGAATTTTAACTTGAGAAAAGTGTCAATTATAGTTATAACTTTGAAAAGATCATAAAAGCTTCAGATTTCAAGAGAAAACGCCTCTTAGGCAAGATAAAAATTTATCTGGTTTACTAAATAGATTATGGTCAAATTATTCTATATAGTTTGAAGCCAAGCCTCTATAAGAAAATGCAAAAATTTTAAACTACATAAATGGTATATTAATATGACATTTCATAAAATAAAAATGAAATAACAAAAATATATAAAGTATGAAAGCAAAGGCCAGATGTGGTGGCTCACACCTGTACTCCCAGCACTTCGGGATGCCAAGGTGGGCGGATCACTTGAGGTCAGGAGTTCAAGACCAGCCTGGCCAACATGGCGAAAACCTGTCTCCACTAAAAATACAAGAATTAGGCAGGAGTGGTGGCAGGCGCCTGTAGTTCCAGCTACTCAGGAGGCTGAGGCACGAGAATCACTAGAACCCAGGAAGCGGAGGCTGCAGTGAGCCGAGATTGCGCCACTGCACTCCAGCCTGGGTGACAGAGTGAGACTCCATCTTAAAAAAAAAAAAAAAAAAAGCAAATGTGGCAAAATATTAAAATCTATTAAATATTGGTGATATATACCTCTCTCCATTATATTGTTTCTAAAATTTGGTGTAGATAAGTATTTAAAATATAAAAACAAAAGAAATCTGTATTAAAAGAAAACTACTATTCAGAATCCCGAAAACACAAATTACTACAAAGCTCTTTGCCTTTTTAAAGACTTTTCATAGTGAGACTGGAGATGTTTGTTTTGGAAATTAACTTTACACCCATGAAACTGTTTTGTTGTGGTAGATGTGATATTAATTTTTCTGGTATTATAATAAAACAACCAATTAAAAATGATCAAATGATCAACAGCAGCAAAATAATTGACAAATTAGGAGCTACCCGATAGGGGAAGGTATATAATAATAATTGGGGCAAAGGAAGAGAAGTGATGATTCTTCCATTAGGCCTCTGGGTCCTAGAATGTAAAAGTACACTCTGCCCTAGACACATGCGTGGAATGTGCTCATCTCTCAATGTGTTTCCATAGACAGTGAACATGGTCATCTGTCAGTTCTCAGAAATGCTCTTTCAGTCAAATTATTCTTTACACTGAAATTCTGGGGTCCTGTCTTGTTCCTTGATTCCATGTCATATTTTAAGTATCTTGATCTACAGTGTTTTAAGTATTATATTCTATAACGGCTAGAAGGAAAATCATTTTTGTTCTGGATGCAAATTTGTAACGGTGAATTCTTGCAAACAGGGAGTTATGGTAAAGGAAAATGTGATTTTTCCAACATTTTAAGACAGGATATTTTGAGGTATTAGCAGTATAATGTGAAGATTGAATGGTTTTATAAAAAGGAATAAAAAGACAATGCTATATTTGTTTAAAACTGCAATATTATGAAATACATCACACATTTTAATTCATTCATTTTGTCCTGGAATCAAGATTATGAGATTGAAATAAAACATTTTACTTTTATTTTACCAAAGAGAAGCCTATAGCATAGAAAGGTTAAAGGACTTAATCTTAGGTTAGCAACATTCATACATGAGAAAAAAACTTGAATATGAAAATTCTGGCTCACTGATAGGGATGGAAATGATAGAATTGAGAAAATACAGAGGCAAAGTGGTGTTGCTTAGCTCTGATAAGCAAAGTGGACCCAAATGTAATGAGCAGCAAGTTTTGAATGATATTCAGCAAAGCCTAACCCGCAAACACCTATGGAGATGTTAAGAGAAGGTAGTGTTCTTAGGGGCAAGATTGATGGGCAGGCAATAGGGTGCTGCTCAATCTGTACAGTTAAAAGAAATCAAGGACAGACAATCAGAAGAATACAGTAGTAATCCCAAAAGAAATACAGTCCTTTCCAAGTTTCCATAATGGAGCCAGAACTCATTGACTGAAGGAAAAAATAATCTCACAGGAGCAACCCTGCAATTCAGCAGGTGTTGTTGATAATGACTCCCCATTTCTTTTCCAAAAGAACCTGTGGCCATTTCCTTGGTTAAATATGAACTGAGTAAAGGGGAATATACAAACACTTTGAGTATCTGCATGCCTTAATTCAAGAAAACTCAGAAAGACCACGCTAGCTCCTAAGTACTCTGCAGAACTATCTTATAACTGCATTTGTCAACCGCATTGAGTTTCTACAGTCTCTACCCAGACCAACCCAATCTCCTACAGTTATTGCTGCAGGCACTTCCCAATTAAATTCCTACTCTCAAATCTGCATTTCAGGGTCTGTTTCGCAAGGAACCCAACCTAAGATAGATGTTAATTTTGGGTATTATTTGAATAATTTCACTAAAATACAAAGTGGCTACCATTTGTATTTACTCTATTCGCGAGGTTACAAGAATAAGTTCTAGTATTGTTAAGGATGAGAAAACACAGCCATTCAGAAACTGTTCAGTGTAATTTTAACTGGTAAGAATATTTTAGGTGAGGCATTTAGAAAAAATATATCTAAATATATTGGATATATAATAGATATATATCCACTGATTCCAGCCATTCTTCTTTTAGGAATATGTATAGAAAATTATGAATAATAGTGCAGATATATGCATAAGTTTTTCAGCATTGTTCATAATAATAACCGATTATAACTCTATAGGAAAAGGAAGTTTGTTATATCTATATAGTTAATTATGCAGCAAGTATTGCACAGCTACATGATGTGTGTGCATATACAATATTTAAATAGCATAAACATCTTAAGTGACTGATTATATATGTTTGGATAAATTATGTACCCAATGTAATACATAAAACAAATCATTTTATGCATATCATTTGTAGTATGATTTCAGGAGATTTACATGTTTTTTACAGTTTATGCATTTCCTGTTTCCTTAGTAAAAATTAAGATTAAAGTTATTTTATTTAAAAAAGCACATGACAAATTTTGTTTTAAAAAGTGAATGACAGCATTTGATTTTAGGCTTCTTGATATAAGGGGCCAATTTAGAAGTTCATTCCCCAAAGTTTTTACGTGATATCTCTTAGCCTTGATGGAGCATATGAAAAAGCCGAGGCACATAAAAGTGGATTATGCTGACAGAGAACAAGAAATTAAAAGTTTTTTATTATGTTCTTATCCAGAATTTTATCTCCCGATTAAGTTTCATAAACTACAAGTAACACATCAGTACCCAAAGGGAATTATTTCTTTCATAATTTTTCTCTGGTCCAATCCTCTCTTCTCCTCCTAATTTCTTTTCTTCAATTGGGCCTTTTGCCTATTACTGTCAGATCAAAGTTTTTACATTGTTAAAATGAAAAATCAGCATAGCACAGTATTTGCTGCATCGTAAAGTTGTAATGTGTAGTATTTATGTGAATTATCAGCAATCATTGGCATTGTTTAACTTGCCTGTTAGAAAATAGTGTGGGTTTTTTTTCTGTAACATTTCCATGCACTGTCCAATAATTGCCCCTGAAATAGAAGTGCAATACAGGGCTTGGTGTTCTCAGGATAATGCTGTCTCAAATCTTCCTGGCACTAACAGCATAAATACTTACTATAAAAGTCCCAGTCACTGCCCACAGCAGTCCAGCAAGAAAATTGCTTATTGCAGAGATCCTTTGTGTATGTTGCTTGCCATGACAGACGGGAACAAGAAAGAAAGGGAATTTCAAGTACATCAAATTATGGCAGATATCGATACAGTAGAATACACACACATAGTTGGGGTGATGGAGGAAAAAAATGCCTCAGCAGTTTCGAAGGAAATCTACCCTAAGTCAGAGAAGTAATCAGAGAACGGGAGCTCCCAGAGGTTACAAGGCATGAGAAGAGATGGATAGCCTGAAGAGAAAAGTAAAATGACATAAGAAATCAAAGAATATTTTACTCACAGAAAGGAAATCAATGAAAATGATGAAGAGCTATTCAAAGGAAATAAATGGATTATTCCAGTTTCCACAAGAAGAGGGGTGCTGCGTATAACTCATCGGATGAATAGGATGTTCAAAGGTGAGGGAGGAAGCCCAGAGGTGATCATCTCAGTATCATTCTTATTCTAGTCCAAAAAATTTTTAAAGTATTATTTTGATGTTTGTAACATAATTTAAAATTAATTTATTTCCTGCAGTAAAACTCACTGGCATATTTATATATTCCAGTGCATTCATTTGTACTGTACAAATGATATACTCCAAAAATATTAAGAACACAATAATGTATTTGCACATTTTAAAGAATAACAAAACATACCACCCATAAACCTACCAAACATCTTCAGAAATAGAATTCTATCCATATCTTCAAAGCCCCTGGGTTCCCTGTCCTGATGTTAGTCCCCTTTTATCCCAATAGGAACTTACAAATCTTCTGATTTCTGATTTAATAATGTAATTTATTTAAATCTCTGTCAACTTAGAATATGTAAATAACCTGCAGGTCACTCCATTTGTTTTATTTTTAATGTTTTTATACATGTATCACACTGGGATCATGGATACATGCCAATTCACCTGTTGTGCATAGATTTGGGATGTGGTAGGAAACCAAAGTTTCAACTCAGACATGTCTTACTCCAAAGACTGTGCTGTTTCCATTTTCCACACTGATATTTTGGAAAGATCTGTAAAAGTAAGACAGTAATTGGCATTTTTGAAAGTACTATTGAATATTCACAACCACTCTTGCAAGAAGCTTCTGTTAGTTAAAGTGATGAGAAAACAGATTCTGTAAGTTTTCCAAGTGTATGTCAATGCCAAGCTTTTAATCACTCATTGTCTGGCTGTATATTCTGTACATGCACTCCCTATATACCTGCAAAAAATTGGGCAAGGTAATGTATTGAGATATGCACCTTCTTTTTTTCCTTTTCATAGAACATTTACCTCACCACACACCCTGTAAAGAGTTCTCAAAGTAGAGTTTCTCAAAGTAAGGACATCAGACCAGTTGCATTAGCTACACCTGACCACTTGTTAGAAATGTAAATTCTCCATCCCTGCGAATACCCTACACTTACAGAATCAGAAACTCTAGTGGTTGAGCCCAGCAATGTGTGCTTTATACAGCTCTCAGGTGATTCTGATACACACTAAAGATTATGGGCCACTAATTTAGAAAGGGGCTCATTATGTACTGAATCAAAGAGAAGTAGCCTACGGACAAATTGCATTCCTGGTTTTTCAGTTCCAGAAGTCTGGACTCTGTTAGAATAGAAATGTAATAGTTTAACTTTGCTTCCAAGGCTGTACAAAGATTACCAAATGTGGAAGAAAATTAGAAGAGCTACTAGGCTTTATAGCCATACAGGCTTGGCCAATGATAGCTGTTATCCTGAAGTATCTCTCCAAATGTAGAGATCACAATATTGCAAGTAGGGGAATGGGGAAGATTTTTAAAGACTGAAATTCAATGAAATTGAATGTGAAGGTGGGATTCAATTGGAATTAAATAAAGTATTATTATGTGGGAAAAGTTTGCATCTATTGTAAAATGAATTCTAAAAAGTACCCTGAAAGAAATAAAAGCTCAACTCATAATAATGAGAGCATTTTGAAATACCCTCTGCATCTTTCCTCTCACACTCAAATGCACTTTTGCAGTAATAAGAAGGAACACAATGCTTCCTCCTTTCTTTGCTAAAAATACAAAAATTAGCAAGTTACTTCTGTTTGAGTTATGAATATAGACAATAACATCCACAGAGAGCAAAGCAGAGGTTTAATCTTTTAGCTGCAAATGTAATTTAGGAGGCATACACATTTTTAAAAGATATTTCCAATTAAAAAGCTATATATTAGTTGCTGCTTTTTTAAAGAAGGCACAAAGATTTAGATTATGTCTAACATATATTTTAGATTGGAAGGTACCTTGCATTTGCAGAATTAAAGAACCTAATTCATTCATAGTATTTACCACCTATAAGATACACTTTGGACGCATATTTTCAAGGGCAGGTATCTTGGGTAGAGTGTATCTCTGAGGTTTGCCAACTGTAACTCTGGTAAAAATAAGGCTCGCTGTTCATTCCATTTAATCCCTCAAGTAATAATGATGACAGTAACAGCAGCAATAATTATAATAGCTAACAATCTTTGAGTAATTTCTATGTTTCTATATGTGTTGCTTTAAGTGCTTTACATTTATTAATTTGCTTAATCTTTACAACTAAAGGCTATTATATAGCAGAGTATGTTCTTTCTTATTGAAATCAAACACAAATGTTTCTGAGTTAAAAAAATACCTAAATGATACTTAAGAATAATTGTTTCCATGTTCCTGAGTCAATTATTTATTTATTTCCCCAGACTATAACCCATATAAATGGAAACTAAAAATTCAAAAATAGGAAAATAAACCTCTATCTCTGTGTATGCATATATATATGTAAGTTGTGTGTTATATGTATATATACATACAACTCTAGAAATTAGTATTAACCTACTTTGAGCAAAGTTTAAAATATCTATAAAAATATTCACATTTTAAGCCAAGATTAGAGTCAGGAGAGAGCTGGCCAACAGTTAAACATTTCAGGGCTGGGCGTGGTGGCTCACACCTGTAATACCAGCACTTTGGGAGGCCGAGGCCGACAGATGACAACGTCAGGAGATGGAGACCATCCTGGCCAACATGGTGAAACCCCGTCTCTACTAAAAATACAAAAATTAGCTGGGAGTGGTGGCATGTGCTTGTAATCCCAGCTACTTGGGAGGCTGAGGCAGGAACATCACTTGAAACCGGGAGGCTGAGGTTGAAGCGAGCCAAGATCACGCCACTGCACACCAGCCTGGTGACAAAGTGAGACTCAGTCTCAAAAAAAAAAAAAAAAAAAAAAATTCAGGCCCCACAAGTTTGTTATCAAACATGACTTATCCGTAGCAAAGATCCTAACCCACACATTCTATCTATTTATAGATGTAGTAACTGTTTTCTAAAAGCAAGTTTGAGGAAACCAGTAAAATAATTTCCATATTCTTTTAACAAATGAACTTTACTTGAAAAGAGTAGATTTATCTTTTAAAATAGAATTTTTTTTGGAAAATGAGTTGTATAGTAAATGTGATTATAACTCATGTTAATGAAGCACAATGATTTGGAATAAATCTTTAATTTTTACTAAGTTTGCTGTGATCATAAAAATATTTATAAAACAACAAGTCTGTGGGAGAAAGGGTGCCTAGTGAGTTGCTATTTTATGGGTATAGAATTATAGTTTGCTGGATGAAAAGCATTCTGGTGTTTGGTGGAAAACAACGTGGATGAATTTGACTCTACTGAACTGTACACTGAAAAATGCTTAAAATGGTAAGCTATATGTTATGTGTATTTTATCACAATTTAAAAAACATTAGTAAAAGTCTGCCTTTTCCCTGCATACCTCCTAGTAGTTAGTTTTCCTAATCTGCAATATAAGAAAAGTGAAAAAGAAGACTAGAGGCTGAGCGCCGTGGATCATGCCTGTAATCCCAGCACTTTGGGAGGCCGAGGCGGGCGGATCACAAGGTCAGGCGATCGAGACCATCCCGGCTAACAAGGTGAAACCCCATCTCTACTAAAAATACAAAAAGTTAGCCGGGTGTGGCAGCCCATGCCTGTAATGCCAGCTACTCACAGGCTGAGGCAGGAGAATCGCTTGAACCGGGGAGGCGGAGGTTGCAGTGAGCCGAGATCGTGCCACTGCACTCCAGCCTGGGCAACAAGAGCAAAACTCCATCTCAAAAAAAAGAAAAAGAAAAGAAAAGAAAAGAAAAAAGAAAAAAAAAAGAGTATAAGTGGGAAAATTTACAATATATTTGTTGATTAGCTATTCACAACCAGCTATGGCAGGTATTTTTAGCCTCTCATGTTCGATACAAATTTTAAATCAATACAATACAGTATTAAATTTGGCCAACCTAATGTAACTAATAAGTATGAGAATCTATATGCAAACATAAGTTTAGGGGAATCCAAGCACTTTTTCTTATGCTAGAGTACTTACCAAAATATCACACTGAATGCAATTTTTGTCAGACCAACAAAGGCTTATATTGAGTGGGTGCTCCAAAAGAAAATAGTGAGTATCACCTAGCTGAAAATTCAATGAACTTCAAATATCATTGATCTTACTCACACTAATTATAAATCTCATAAAGTTAAAATCTATCAAGAGCTGAAATAATAAGCATCTTCCCTTCATTCTTAAGGTTAGCAATTTAATTCAGGTAATCCTAGTAAGAATATATTCCACACCAAGAGATAGGAGACACATTATCACAAATTCAAACCATCACTTTAGTGTTTGACGGTAACTGAGATGATAGGTTCAAAAGCAAAAGTGAGTCTTCTCAGGGAAGACTGGTTTCATCTCAATATAAGTACATACAATGTTGTAAATAGCGCAGAAAACTGTGATAAATTTTACAATGAAATATAAATAGATGAAAAATATCTGGCAGAAATTATATACATATCCTAATACCAAGTTCCCTTTATAGCCGAGTCAAAGCCCAGAAAGAGCAATGATTAGAACAACTGCCATTGTTTAATGTTTTCTTAAAAATAAAAAAATAAAATAGAAACAAAACAAACAAACAAAAAAACCAAACCTCAAACCACAAGGAACAGAATGGCAACTTTGGGTTGAGGTAAATTGCATTCAACAAGAAGCCAGTTTTTATCCTGTCTCAGAATGGAACTAAAGAGGTAGACATGTGAATAATGAATGGAGAGTTAACTTACTCCTGGAACACTAGGGAGCTGTGAAGAATGTTCCTAAAACAGAGACTCCCACTTGTGCTGTGCTTGAAGGACTATGGGCTGAGCTTTGAGAGCAGTAGTATTCAGCTGGGTAACATTGTTTCTGGAATGAATGCCACTAGTCACTGGTTACAAATAACGTTGTTTGTTTGCAAATTGCCTTATTATTAAAAGTGTTTAGAGCAGATGGAAAGTTATTTGAATAATAATACATAAGCATCTGAAAGAGTAAAGGTGGATTTTCAGCTGGTGAGCTGAGTGTGGGATGTAGGCATGGTACATCCATGAGAGAGGAGAATGCATATGAACCTCAAAGATGAATATCCTCAAACTCTTATAGCCAAGGTTTTCTAGGAGAATAATCTAGAAATTGCCACACCCCAGATTTTCTCACATTTGAGTGCAAAAATAACTTGATAACAATAAAGTATCACTCTGTCAAAAAGCTTTTTGGATTAGGAATAAAGCTACTCTAGCCATGGAGTTATGAGTGATTTCTATTTGAGATAAAGTGTGTGTGTGTGTGTGTGTGTGTGTGTGTGTAAACACACATTTTTTTCTACTGGTTTAGAGTATTAATTTTAAGTACTATTATAGTAGCTTCAACCTTATCGATTAATACGTAAGTATCTGCATCAACAGTTTTTTTTTTAATACTTTAAATTCTGGGATACATGTGGAGAGTGTGCAGGTTTGTTACATAGGTATATACGTTCCATAGTGGTTTGCTGCACCCATCAACCCGTCATCTACATTAGGTATTTCTCCTAATGCTATCCCTCCCCTAGCTCCCCACCCCTGACAGGCCCTAGTGTGTGATGCTCCCCTCCCTGTGCCCATGTGTTCTCATTGTTCAACTCCCACTTATAAGTGATAACATGCAGTGTTTGGTTTTCTGCTCCTGTGTTAGTTTGCAGAGAATGATGGTTTCCAGCTTCATCCATGTCCCTGCAAAGGACATTAACTCATCCTTTTTCATGGCTGCATACAGGGTCTATCTTTGTCAACCAGGCTGGAGTGTAGTGGTATGATCATAGCTCATTGCTCACTGCAACCTTGGCCTCCTGGGCTCAAGCAATCCTCCCACTTAAGTCCCCAAGTAGCTAGGACTACAAGTGTGAGCCACCATACCTGGCTAATTTATTTGTTTGTTGAGGTGGAGTCTTGCTATGCTGTCCAGGCCAGTCTCAAACTCCTGGCTTCAAGCAATCCTCCTGCCTTGGCCTCCAAAAGCTCTGAAATTGCAGGTATGATCCACCATGCCCAGCCTGCATCAATAGTATTTTGATGTACAGTTTTAAGAATTATTTTTGATATATCTATATAGATGTAGATAATTAATGTATTAATGAGAAAATTTATATTGATATATGGAGATTTATATTTTTCTAAATTTTCTACATACACACATACATGCAGACACACTATCCCATTCCTAAATGTATGGTTTTCTTTAGAACACATAAATACATATATGTATATATCTCAAAAATAATTATTAAAACTGTGTATCAAAATAATGTTGGTGCAGGCTGGGCATGGTGGATCACACCTGTAATCTCAGAGCTTTGGGAGGCCAAGGCTTGGACCTGAAGGAGCTAGGAAGGAGCAGTTACCAGGAACCATCTGGAACTGTAGGTATGGGAGAGTGAACACCCAAAAACAGTTGTAGATATTGGTAGAGAAAAATATTAATAGCAGAGACCGTCAATGGCAAACTGCGACCTAGCAAAGAGGAAGCCAGTAGAAAACATGCCTTGAGTTCTCCATCCTTCCTCCTTCCCGCTTTCCGTTAGCGCTTCTCCCTGTCCAACTGAGAGCTAGAGGACAGGGAAGTCTTCTTTAAGCATAGGCTCAGTTCCTGGAGCACAGAGCAGGTTGGAGAAAGAGAGATTTTGAATCTTGAGCAGCAAAAGAATGTCTAGCACATTTGTATGGTGCTTTTAGATCCTCAGCCAATACACAAATCCATTTAACTCAAATAGGCTTGAAAGAAAAGTAGCAATAAAGAAATTTGAAGTTCAAGATTTTTAGAGTTTCTCAACATGGCCCATTTAATATTGTGATGGTTAATACTGAGTGTCAACTTGATTGGACTGAAGAATACAAAGTATTAATCTCCGGTGTATCTGTGAGGGTGTTGCCAAAGGGATTAATATTTGAGTCAGTGGGTTGGGGAAGACAGAACCACCCTTAATCTGGTGGGCACCCTCTAATCATCTTCCAGCGAACTTAAAGCAGGCAGAAAAATGTGAAAAGGCGAGACTGGCCTAGTCTCCCAGCCTACATCTTTCTCCTGTGCTGGATGCTTCCAGCCCTCGAATATTGGACTCCAAGTTCTTCAGTTTTGAAACTTGGACCAGCTCTCCTTGCTCCTCAGCTTGTAGTCAGCCTACTGTGGGACCTTGTGATTGTATATGTTAATACTTAATAAACTCCCCATCTTATATATATTCTATTAGTTGTGTCCCTCTAGAGAACCCTAATACAAACATGTAAGAGAGTGAGGAATTAAATTGTTCTCTAATTCCAAACACAGTACTTTTTAGGCTATTTGAAGAAATCTGGGTACAATAAAATCTACATAAATGGTATAGTAAGATGCTACTTCAGTACTCTCTTTTCTTCCAAGCTGAGTCTTGAAAATATTAACGTAGAACTGGAGTGTGTAAATGAGACATGCAGTTCAAATAAAACTCATCTGGTTGTGGGTCCATCTTTCAAAGGCCTTGCAGAATCAAACAGATTCTAGGACTTTCTGTGTCAACCTTTTAAGGGATAATTTAGTATAGAGCATGTTGGAGCACATGATAAAGAATATAGCAAGAAATCTAATACAAGATCCTCCGACAAGGAAATAAGCAAAGCTGCACTGGAAGTAAAACTCACATGTTGTGTTAATGACAGGTAATTGAAGAAACCTATAAAAGATTTCAAAACCAGAAGGCCTCTTTTTATGTACAGTGAGAATTCTGGTTAGCCCTTGTACAACCATGTGCCCTTACATGGTTTGAAAAGCTCTTTGATTCAAAAGAAGTCCCACTGCCTAAGAAAGAAGAGAAAATTTTCCAGATAAATGTGAATCAAAATCATAGGTACCATTAAATTAGGCTACGTTGTGTATGTTTTTAGCATAGCATTAAGAGGAAGAAAGGATAATCCCAGAAAGACAACAGAGTTAAAATTTCAAAAGCTCTTCAAAAAGTTGTGATTTGTTGTGATAGAGCATGTTGCGTGTGACGAACAATGTTTCGAGGTATGCATTTGAAGCACAAAGTGTGAGGAATTTGAGGCACGCTGACTGAGTTAGAGAGCTTGAATGATAAGTCAAGGATAGTTCATAAATAATAGGAAATGAGAATTACCCCTTCCTCATTTATTCTAGAACTGAATCCTAATAGTAAATCTCTTCGGGGACAGCTCTACAGGCATTTTGCAACCCTAGAAACACTGAGTAGCATATACATTGCATTAGCTGAGGTAGAGACTTGCTGTTTTTTAACTGTACAAACTGTATGCCATAAAGGTGCTGTATCATTCACACGATTTGTAACAAATCTTTTGTATTTTTTTCTCACAATAATTTATCTGAAATAGAAGCCAACACCTTCCAGGTTACTATGCCTAGCTATTGAATTAATTCATGAGCTGGACTAAAATAATGGGCCATTTTTCACCACCAGGATTGAGAATATTTCAGTGTCTGAATAAAGATAAGAATAAAGTTAAAGCAACTCAACTTTGTGGAGATGTCACCAGGAGGAAAACAGAATTAGATGCTCATATTAGCACTTTAATTCTTTTTATTATAACATAATTGAAATTATGGCTAAAAAAATAGAGATTGTTACAGGTAAAAACAAATACTAATATTAACACCCATTATGGTTATTTCATGGAAAAATTGGAGAATTACCATCCTTTCATGATATTGGCCATCCTAAAGAGAAATGAAGTCTATGTAGTAAGATCTGCATGACTACACTATTGAAGCATGCCATCTGTACTGATAAACCAAGAATTCTGTCAATGCAAGAACAAAAACACATTCAGAGCAATTCCCCAGAATGGAGTTGACTTCCTTAGTGTACAAAACCAGGACTGGATACTTGAAGGAAAATGTAAATAATCCCAGATAAAACAGTGACTTTTTGTAGGTTCTGAGCCTCTGCCAACCACAACAATTTGACAACTCAAAAAGGAAATTGGATAGTAGTTGACATAATTTTTCTCTATTCTCCAATAACTTTTTCAATTTATTTTTACCAAAATCAGAAAACGTATTTTTCCCCTTGAAAAAAAAAAACACAGAAGACTGATGAGAAAGATGTATGTGTGAAAATGTGTGCCAGATTTTAAGAAATTAATGCTTACCTCATTATTTTCCTCTATCAATGAAATTAATGGGAAATGGTATCCAACTCAGTTTAAACAAATTAGTAGACACTCCTCATTTCTGACAAACAGTATCAACAAATCTCCACCACCACTACCACTGGAAACTCAGTGATTAAGCTAATCGTCGAATTCTGTGGTTCGCAATGGTAGTTGCATATTAGAATTACCTGGGGTACATTAAATCAGTATTTCTGTGGGTGAGAACTAGTCATCAGCATTTTTTAAAGCTTCCAAATAATTCTAATATCTAGTTAAGATTCAGGACTGGTATTATCCTTGGAAAAGTTGCAGAAATGTGAATGTGAAATGTTTATTTGGTATACTTTCATGACTTGAAAATCATTGCAGGTAACCAAATTTCTCCTACCTCCTTTTATCATTAGAACAAATAATATTGTTCTTACACTTAAAGGTCTATAGGGAGAATTATTTAGCTAAAACCAAACATTAAATGAAAACTTTACCATGTTCAGGTAACTTAGTTTTATTCCTGTGGGTTCTTAAGCAAACTAATTCTTAGAGCTTATTCATTTGTAAAATGGGATGACTGTATCTACTTTACAGGGCTATCATGAAACAAAATGAGTCAGCCCATGAGAAAGTACCTAGTAAAATGCTTGCATGTAATAGACATTCATATGGTAGCCAAATAATTATAAACTGTAATTACAAGTATGCTATTGTGGTCATAATTGCAATAAGTTAAGAGGCTTGTTAATAATTTTTACTTAAGATGTATGCAAACAAATATTTATTAAACACTTATCATGGTGAGGCACTGTTCTATATGCTGAAAATATAGCAGCACAAAGCAAATGAAAATTCCCGCTCTTCATTAAATTTTAATTTTCCGGGAGACCCTGACAACATATTATGTGAACAAGGAGAAAAAAAAACATGCAGGTGGGGAGGCACTCACTATTTTTCAGTGTCCATAAAGTTTTATTGGGATACAGTCATGATAATTTGTTTACACATCTACAGAGACATTCATTTTAGATAAAACAACAAGGGGAGTTCCCCTTGAAACAGTCTCTTTTGAGTAAAGATCAGAGAGCAGGGAGGGAGTTAACCATGGAGATACCTAAAATAAGACATTTTAGGCAACAGTAAGAACATGCATGGGGTGTTCATGTAGCAGCAATGAAGCTATTGTGGCAGAATTGAAATCAAGTAAGGGCGAGAGTAATAGGAGATGAGATCTCAGAGGTAACATGGGCAGAGGCTGATGTGATCACATAAGGCCCCATGGGTACCTTTTCAAGTACCATTTCAGGTATATTTCTATTTCCTGCCCCCATGTTTCAGTGCAGTTATGTAAAAGGGCTCTGGACAAAGATTTGTGAGCAAAACATGACATGTAATTCTTGTAGGCCAGAGTCCAGAGTATATACTTGCCTCAGCATGGTGTCAAACATACTTGAGATATTGCCTGCTCTATCAGTCTTTATCCCTGGATGCCTATAAAGGAAAGAACTCACAACCGCCGCAATGAAAACATAGCAGAAGGCAGAAGTAAACTTGGGTTGTATTTGAAACCACTAAGACTCTGGGGGCTGCTTGTTACTGCTTATAAAGTATCTTGACTCATACATGGTTCATAATAAGTAATTTTGTTTTCATTCTGAGCCAAAAGGGAAACCAGTGGAGATTTTTAAGACAGGTTTGAGATAATTTGACTTAACTTTAGACAATGTCACTCTGTCTATGTTGTTGAGAATAGGCTGCACGGATTGAGGCGAGGCTCTTGATAAAAAGAGATACTACTGAGAATGTGCATGCTTGGGCAGGGTCAGTTAGCTCAGACACCTCTTTAATCAAAATGGTGGTGAAGGGAACAAACGTGTCTAGCCTCTGTACCTGCGTTGTTTCCACCAGCATACTGTCTATTTTCTCTTTTGTCCATCATCCTTAATTAAGACATTTTCTCTTTTTTTTCTGTTCAGCTGCTTATGGTTTAATTCTTATGCACAAATATTAATTATAATAACCATATATAAGTAACAGATTTAAAATGAAATCACACATATTCAGGTTCTACTATGTAACAGGTAATAGATACTGAACAAATTCAAATACTTTTCTTTTACCCTTGAAGTCTTTCAGTCTAGCTGGAATCTCAGGACAAATACAAGAGTGCATACAATAGCAACAGTGCCCACGGTAAGTTTGTTAGAGCAGCTTAGGAAAGAGGTAAGTCAGATAATTAGTATCAAATTCATGGAGCAGGTAACATGTGAGCTTTGGGGGTAATATGGAACTTTCATGGGTGAAGATGTGGCAAGGCATTTCAATAAAAATAAATGCATAGGCTGGGCATGGCGGCTCACGCCTGTAATCCCAGCACTTTGGGAGGCCAAGGCGGGCAGATCACCTGAGGTCAGGAGTTCAAGACCAGCCTGGTCAACATGGTGAAACTCTGTCTCTACTAAACATACAAAAATTAGCTGGGCGTGGTGGTGCATGCCTCTAATCCCAGCTACTTGGGAGGCTGAGGCGGAAGAATCGCTTAACCTGGGAGGCAGAGGTTGCAGTGAGCTGAGATTGTACCACTGCACTCTAGCCTGGGTGACAGAGTGAGACTCCTTCTCAAAAAAATAAAAATTAAATTAATAAATAAATAAATGCATAATATCAGTGAGGAAGTAATATTACATGGTAATCATCTTCAGACAAAGTAGTTAGACTTATTATGAAAGAACATAATATTTACTAAAAAGGAAGTAAAGAAAAAAAGAAAGTAATTTGGAAAAGTATTGAAGCAAAAAATTATAAATGTCCTTGAATAACAGACTGGAAAATAAAGAACAGCCAAAGAGAACGTTTTAGTATTATTGAAGTTTCAACATAATCGAAGGTTGTTTACAATTTCTTATGCAAAGATGAAACAGGCGATTTAAAACATGGTTTTGAAAACATACCTGATGTAACCATATACACAATTTTGTCCCGATTTCAATAAACAACACTAGTTTGCCTTTTTTATTATACACTATTTTATCCCAAATCTAAATTCAGGAATTATAGTGAATGCCTAAGGTAATAAAAGAAGATGAAAATAAGTTATTATATATTTGCTAGCTGGTGAGATAAAATTAAAGTAAAAACAAGCAATTGCATCAAGGGTTAAAAAAATACTTTTTAAAAATCTCAGAAACAATGCTTAATAATATTGCATTATTCATTTTGCTAAAAATATTTCTGTGTAAGAAAACAGCTTTTGAATATTTACTAACACTACTATCTTCAAGCAAATTTCTGAAGCATTAGAACAAATCTTATCATTTCTATTGGCATAATGTTCAGTTATAAGTCCAGTCTTCTGTAAAGGTCAAAGGGATTTCTAGAGAAAAAAATACACTTTATCCATTAAACAATTATTCAAAGGAAAACTAAATTAGGGGATATTCTAGAAAGGAACTTATATGACCTAGCAATGCACAAAAGGATGTTGATAAAAAGGTTTCATGTGTCCTTTGGAAAAAGTTACATTGCCATTCTGAAATACAAAATATTATAATTGTGTTAACATAATCAGCAATGATAAACTGTATGGAACACTGTGATTTTTAGGCATATTTCAGCCTGATGAAAGATACTGTCTGAATTTTTAAATTGTTTATGTTTGAGGCTACTTCATTCTGATGAAAAAAGAATGGATTTAATTTCCTTTAAGCATAAAAAATCAAGTTACTAATGATAAAATTGCTAGCTGAAATACAAATAGTTTAGCACTAACTAAAGCCTTTTTTAAAGATAGGTGGTGACTGGCCAGGTGCAGTGGCTCACGCCTATAATCCTAGCACTTTGGGAGACTGAGGTGGGCAGCTTGCCTGAGCTCAGGAGTTCAAAACCAGCCTGGGCAACACAGTGAAACCCCGTCTCTACTAAAATACAAAAATATTAGCAGGGTGTGGCGGCATGCACCTTTTGTCCCAGCTACTCAGGAGGCTAAGACTGGAGAATCGTTTGAACTCAGGAGGCAGAGGTTGCAGTGAGCTGAGATCATGCCACTGCACTCCTGCCTGGCTGACAGAGCAAGACTCTTTCCAAAAAAAAAAAAAAAAAAAGTGGAGGGTGGAGCAAAGATGGCCGAATAGGAACAGCTCCAGTCTACAGCTCCCAGTGTGAGCGGCGCAGAAGACCATTGATTTCTGCATTTCCAGCAGAGGTACCAGGTGCATCTCACTGGGGAGTGTTGGACTGGGGGCAGGACAGTGGATGCAGTGCACCGAGCCTGAGCCAATGCAGGGCGAGGCATCGCCTCACTCGGGAAGCACAAGGGGTCAGAGAATTCCCTTTCCTAGCCAAGGAAAGGGGTGACAAATGGCACCTGGAAAATCGGGTCACTCCCACTCTAATACTGCGCTTTTCCGATGGTCTTAGCAAATGGCACGCCAGAAGATTATATCCTGTGCCTGGCTCAGAGGGTCCTACGCCCACGGAGCCTCGCTCATTACTAGCACAGGAGTCTGAGATCAAACTGCAAGGTGGCAGCAAGGCTGGGGGACGGGTGCCCGCCATTGGCAAGGCTTGAGTAGGTAAACAAAGTGGCCAGGAAGCTCAAACTGGGTGGAGCCCACCGCAGCTCAAGGACGCCTGCCTGCCTCTGTAGACTCCACCTCTGGGGGCAGGGCATAGCCAAACAAAAGGCAGTAGAAACCTCTGTAAAGTTAAATGTCCCTGTCTGACAGCTTGGAAGAGAGTAGTGGTTCTCCCAGCATGCAGCTTGAGATCTGAGAAAGGACAGACTGCCACCTCAAGTTGGACCCTGACCCCTGAGTAGCCTTACTGGGAGGCACCCCCAAGTAGGGGCAGAATGACACCTCACATGGCTGGGTACTCCTCTGACACAAAAGTTCCAGAGGAATGATCAGGCAGCAACATTTGCTGTTCACCAATATCCGCTGTTCTGCAGACTCCGCTGCTGATACCCAGGCAAACAGGGTCTGGGGTGGACCTCTGATAAACTCCAACAGACCTGCAGCTGAGGGCCTGACTGTTAGAAGGAAAACTAACAAACAGAAAGGACATCCACAACAAAACCCCATCTATACGTCACCATCATCAGAGACCAAAGGTAGATAAAACCACAAAGATGAGTAAAAAACAGAGCAGAAAATGTGTTATTCTAAACACATGTAAAAAACAGAGCAGAAAATGTGAAAATTCTAAAAATCAGAGCGCTTCTTCTCCTACAAAGGAATGCAGCTCCTCACCAGCAACAGAACAAAGCTGGAAGGAGAATGACCTTGACGAGTTGAGAGAAGAAGGCTTCAGACAATCAAAATACTCCAAGCTAAAGGAGGAAGTTCGAACCCATGGCATACAAGTTAAAAACCTTGAAAAAAGATTATATGAATGGCTAACTAGAATAACCAATGCAGAAAAGTCCTTAAAGGACCTGATGGAGCTGAAAACCATGGCACAGGAACTACGTGATGAATGCACAAGCCTCAGTAGCCGATTCAATGAACTGGAAGAGAGGGTATCAGGGATGGAAGATCAAATGAATGAAATGAAGTAAGAACAGAAGTTTAGAGAAAAAAGAATAAAAAGAAAACAAAGTCTCCAAGAAATGTGGGACTATGTGAAAAGACCAAATCTACGACTCACTGGTGTACCTGAAAGTGACGGGGAGAATGGAACCAAGTTAGAAAACACTCTGCAGGAAATTATCCAGGAGAACTTCCCCAATCTAGCAAGGCAGGCCAACATTCAAATTCAGAAAATACAGAGAACGCTACAAAGATACTCCTCAAGAAGAGCAACTCCAAGAAACATAATTGTCAGATGCACCAAAGTTGAAATGAAGGAAAAAATGTTAAGGGCAGCCAGAGAGAAAGGTCAGGTTACCCACAAAGGGAAGCCCATCAGACTAACAGCTGATCTCTCGGCAGAAACTCTACAAGCCAGAAGAGAGTGAGGGCCAATATTCAACATTCCTAAAGAAAAGAATTTTCAACCCAGAATTTCATATCCAGCCAAACTAAGCTTCGTAAGTGAAGGAGAAATAAAATCCTTTACAGACAAGCAAATGCTGAGAGATTTTGTCACCACCAGGCCTGCCCTAAAAGAGCTCCTGAAGGAAGCACTAAACATGGAAAGGAACAACTGGTACCAGCCAATGCAAAAACATGCCAAATTGTAAAGATCATTGATGCTAGGAAGAAACTGCATCAACTAATGAGCAAAATAACCAGCTAACATCATAATGACAGGATCAAATTCACACATAACAATATTAAACTTAAATGTAAATGAGCTAAACGCTCCAATTAAAAGACAAAGACTGGCAAACTGGAAAAAGAATCAAGACCCATCAATGTGTTGTATTCAGGAAACCCATCTCATGGGCAGAGACACATATAGGCTCAAAATAAAGGGATGGAGGAAGATCTACCAAGCAAATGGAAAACAAAAAAAGGCAGGGGTTGCAATCCTAGTGTCTGATAAAACAGACTTTAAACCAACAAAGATCAAAAGAGACAAAGAAGGCCATTACATAATGGTAAAGGGATCAATTCAACAAGAGCAGCTAACTATCCTAAATATATGCGCACCCAATACAGGAGCACCCAGATTCATAAAGCAAGTCCTTAGAGACCTACAAAGAGACTTAAATTCCCACACAATAATAATGGGAGACTTTAACAGCCCACTATCAACATTAGACAGCTCAACGAGACAGAAAGTTAACAAGGGTATCCAGGAACTGAACCCAGCCCTGCACCAAGTGGACCTGATAGACATGTACAGAACTCTCCACCCCAAATCAACAGAATATACATTCTTTTCAGCACCACACCAAACCTATTGCAAAACTGACCACACAGGTGGAAGTAAAGCACTCCTCAGCAAATGTAAGAGAACAGAAATTATGACAACCTGTCTCTCAGACAACAGTGCAATCAAACTAGAAGTCAGGATTAAGAAAGTCATTCAAAACCGCTCAACTACATGAAAACTGAACAACCTGCTCCTGAATGACTACTGGGTACATAACGAAATGAAGGCAGAAATAAAGATGTTCTTTGAAACCAACGAGAACAAAGACACAACATACCAGAATCTCTGGGACACATTCAAAGCAGTGTGTAGAGGGAAGTTTATAGCACTAAATGCCCACAAGAGAAAGCAGGAAGATCTAAAATTGATACCCTAACATCACAATTAAAAGAACTAGAGAAGCAAGAGCAAACACTTTCAAAAGCTAGCAGAAGGCAAGAAATAACTAAGATCAGAGCAGAACTGAAGGAGATAGAGACAAAAAACCCTTCAAAAAAATCAATGAATCCAGGAGCTGGTTTTATGAAAAGATCAACAAAATTCATAGACCACTAGCAAGACTAATAAAGAAGAAAAGAGAGAAGAATCAAATAGACGCAATAAAAAATGATAAAGGGGTTATCATCACAGATCCCACAGAAATACAAACTACCATCAGAGAATACTATAAACACCTCTACACAAATAAACTAGAAAATCTGGAAAAAATGGATAAATTCCTCAACACATACACACTCCCAAGACTAAACCAGGAAGAAGTTGAATCTCTGAATAGACCAATAATAGGCTCTGAACTTTAGGCAATAATTAATAGCTTGCCAACCAAAAACAGTCCGGGACCACACTGATTCACAGCCGAATTCTACCAGAGGTACAAGGAGGAGCTGGTACCATTCCTTCTGAAACTACTCCAATCAATAGAAAAAGAGGGAATCTTCCCTAACTCAATTTATAAGGCCAACATCATCCTGCTATGAAAGCCTGGTAGAGGCACAACAAAAAAAGAGAATTTTAGACCAATATCCCTGATGAACACTGATGCAAAAATCCTCAATAAAATACTGGCAAACCAAATCCAGCAGCACATCAAAAACCTTATGCACCATGACCAAGTGGGCTTCATTCCTGGGATGCAAGGCAGGTTCAATATATGCAAATCAATAAATGTAATCCAGCATATAAAAAGAACCAATGACAAAAACCACAGAATTAATCTCAATAGATGCAGAAAAGGCCTTTGACAAAATTCAACAACCCCTCATGCTAAAAACTCTCAATAAATTAGGTATTGATGGGACGTATCTCAAAATAATAAGAGCTCTTTATGATAAACCCACAGCCAATATCATACTGAATGGGCAAAAACTGGAAGCATTCCCTTTGAAAACTGGCACAAGACAGGGATGCCCTCTCTCACCACTCCTATTCAACCTAGTGTTGGAAGTTCTGGCCAGGGCAATCAGGCAGGAGAAAGAAATAAAGGGTATTCAATTACGAAAAGAGGAAGTCAAATTGTCCCTGTTTGCAGATGACATGATTGTATATCTAGAAAACCCCATCATCTCAGCCCAAAATCTCCTTAAGCTGATAAGCAACTTCAGCAAAGTCTCAGGATACAAAATCAATGTGCAAAAAACACAAGCATTCTTATACACCAATAACAGACAAACAGAGAGCCAAATCATGAGTAAACTCTTATTCACAATTGCTTCAAAGAGAATAAAATACCTAGGAATCCAACTTACAAGGGATGTGAAGGACCTCTTCAAGGAGAACTACAAACCACTGCTCAAGGAAATAAAAGAGGATACAAACAAATGAAAGAACAATCCATGCTCATGGGCAGGAAGAATCAATATCATGAAAATGGCCATACTGCCCAAGGTAATTTATAGATTTAATGCCATCCCCATCAAGCTACCAATGACTTTCTTCACAGAATTGGAAAAAACTACTTTAAAGCTCATATGGATCCAAAAAAGAGCCCGCATGGCCAAGACAATCCTAAGCCAAAAGAACAAAGCTGGAGGCATCACGCTACCTGACTTTAAACTATACTACAAGGCTACAGTAACCAAAACAGCATGGTACTGGTACCAAAACAGAGATAGAGACGAATGGAACAGAACAGAGCCCTCAGAAATAACTCCACATATCTACAACTATCTGATCTTTGACGAATCTGACAAGAACAAGAAATGGGGAAAGGATTCCTTATTTAATAAATGGTGCTGGGAAAACTGACTAGCCATATGTAGAAAGCTGAAACTGGATCCCTTCCTTACACCTTATACTAAAATTAATTCAAGATGGATTAAAGATTTAACTGTTAGACCTAAAACTATAAAATCCCTAGAAGAAAACCTAGGCAATACCATTCAGGACATAGGCATGTCTAAGGACTTCATGTCTAAAACACCAAAAGCAACGGCAACAAAAGCCAAAATTGACAAATGGGATCTAATTAAACTAAAGAGCTTCTGCACAGCAAAAGAAACTCCCATCAGAGTGAACAGGCAACCTACAGAATGGGAGAAAATTTTTGCAATTTACTTATCTGACAAAGGGCTAATATCCAGAATCTACAATGAACTCAAACAAATTTACAGGAAAAAAATCAAACAACCCATCAACAAGTGGGCAAAGGATATGAACAGATACTTCTCAAAAGAAGACATTTATGCACCCAAAAGACACATGAAAAACTGCTCATCATCACTGGCCATCAGAGAAATGCAAATCAAAATCACAATGAGATACCATCTCACACCAGTTAGAATGGCGATCATTACAAAGTCAGGAAACAACAGGTGCTGGAGAGGATGTGGAGAGATAGGAACACTTTTACACTGTTGGTGGGACTGTAAACCAGTTCAACCATTGTGGACGTCAGTGTGGCGATTCCTCAGGGATCTAGAACTAGAAATACCATTTAACCCAGCCATCCCATTACTGGCTATATACCCAAAGGATTATAAATCATGCTACTATAAGGACACATGCATACGTATGTTTATTGCAGCACTATTTACAATAGCAAAGACTTGGAACCAACACAAATGTCCATCAATGATAGACCGGATTAAGAAAATGTGGCACATATACACCATGGAATACTATGCAGCCATAAAAAAGGATGAGTTCATGTCCTTTGTAGGGACATGGATGAAGCTGGAAACCATCATTCTCAGCAAACTATCACAAGGAGAAAAAATCAAGCACCACGTGTTCTCATTCACAGGTGGGAATTGAACAATGAGAACACATAGACACGGGAAGGGGAACATCACTGTGGGCCTGTTGTGGGGTGGGGGGAGGGGGGAGGGATAACATTAGAAGATATAACTAATGGTAAATGATGAGTTAATGGGTGCAGCACACCAACATGGCACATGTATACATATGTAACAAACCTGCACATTGTGTACATGTACCCTAAAACTTAAAGTATAATAATAAAAAAAGTGGTGATTGTAGTTTCACATGCAAATTATTTATAATAAGATTGTTTTACAATATAAAGTAAATAATGTCGCTCTGAGAATGCAAAATTTATAGTTTTGAATGTGAGTTTTAATTGGCAGTTATTTAGAAAAATGCTGACATTTAATAACAGGAGAGAGAAATTGTAAAAATACCATATGTACAAGCCCATGCTTATTATTGAGTGATTGATAAGGGAACTGTGTAGGTGGTTTTTGGTTTCTTTAACGATGGATGTTGGAGATAGGCAGGAAGGGCAGGTAAGGTGGAGAGTATAAAACATGGCCAATGTCAGAAGTTTAGGACTCCATGATAATTCATTTGGATCTCTGGATGGTATACAAGTGACATGAAATAGGCCAAACCAAAGCTAATTGAGTACCTAGATTTGTGAATGTTACTGTGTCAATATTGAGAATTAGCATTTGGTCTACAATGTCAGAGTGTGTGTTACCATTGTATAGTTCATCCAACTCTCATATTCCACTCATATAATTTATTCCTCCAGATTGGTGATTTTACTTTCTAATATAAATTCTTAAACTAAATTAGCCTGTCTTCCAACATCATGTGCAATCAAGAGACTTTGTTATCCTTCTGAGTTAGTGTATCCAATCCACAACAATTAAGCCCCCTTAGATACTATGAAAGAGTAAGGGCATGCACAAATCCCCAACTTTCCATGGCACTCATTTTATTTAGGTTTTGTCCAGCTATAGTCAATTTTCTCTTTACTCATGTATGTTGAAGGGATAATTGCTCAAATTTCTTCCAATCTCCCATGGCAAACCACAGGTTTTATATTATGCACAGAATACTCAACATGTTTTGTCTTTTTTAAAATATATATATGTGCTTGTTTTACTTTGTTTTCTCCTGCTGTTTTACTAGGTCAGATAAACTGAAGGACATATATGTCTACTACAATATTGTCAGTTGCAAAACTCACATTCCCGAATTGGATGAAGCTGGTTTTTAACCACATGTGCAACGTAAGTTGGAGGTCAGCAAAGATTTTCTATAAAGGGCCATATGTAGCCCTTTAAATAAAGCTTAAATATTTTAAGCTTTCCAGGCTACACAGGTCTCTTTAACACATTGTTTTTTTTAGTAACACTGTAATATGTAAAAAATATTCTTAGCATGCAGGCATTGTGAACATAGACCATGAGATGGATTTCAACTCTGGGTAGTAGTTTGACAACTCCTATTATAAGTTACTGAAACTCATTCACCATAATTTTCTTCATCTATGACAGTATGTGCGGATTGAATGCAGTATGTAAAAAGACTAGATCTCATCAAGGGCTTTAAAAGTTAGCTGTTATTGATGGCAATTTATTTATTAGGTTTCCCAGAAGTAATAAGAGCAGTCAGCAAACAGTAATTGATTTACTGCTATTTGATGCATTTAAATGCTGACAGACACGTAAAAACAGATATTATGAGAAGGGATTACTGACACTATAAAAGCAACATTTTCCATAAGTGAAATGCAAATTAAAACCACAATGAGATACCACTTTACACCCACTAGGGTTGCTTTAATCAAAAAGAGTAATGATTGCAAGTGTTGACAAAGATGTGGATCAATTGCAATCCTCATAAACAGCTTATGTGAATGAAAAATTGAAAAAACACTGTGCACTTCCTCAAAAGGTTAAACATTTAGTTACCATTTTATCCAGCACTTTCAATTCTAGCTATATACTCAAGAAAACTGAAAACATATTTTCATACAGTAACATGTACACAGATGTTCATAGGAGCATTATTCATAATAACCAAAATGTAGAAACAACCCAAATGTCCATTAAATAATGGAAAGGTAAATAAAACGGGGGCATAACTAAAGAGTTGAATATTATTGAGGAATAAAGTGCTGATACATACTGCAACACAGAAGAACCTTGAATACAAGATTGGCAAAGTGCAATAAGCCAATCACAAAAACCACATATTTTAGGATTTTATTTATACTAAAGGTCCAGAATAGGCATATCTATAGAGACACAAAGTAGGCTAATCATTACTTAGGGCTAAAGAGATTGGGAAAAAAATAGCACAGTGACGGCTAAAAAGGCATAGGGTTTGTTTTTTGGTTGATGAAAAATTTCTAAAATTGGTCACGGTGATTGTCGCATAACTTTGTAAATGTATTCAAACCAATGATTTCTATACTTTAAATGGATACATTGCATGGTATGTGAATTGTATTTCTCAATATACTTGTTACAAAAATAATGAAACAATAAAATTTATTATTAACAAATCTATCTTCTTAATTTACTAATTTTTTTATAATCTCAACTGAATGTCATTGAAATATTTTCCAAATGGACTTTTTAGTATTCAACTAACGCTTATTTTTAGAAAAGAAATTTAAATAGCTTAGGAAACGTCTGCATCTGACCAAGATAAAGTAACAAAGACCCAAAATACTATTTTACATGAAACAACTAAAAACTGAACAAAATATGAGTCAATACTTTTCAAGCCACTGAGCATTAGGAAACACAACACAATGATCTAGTCATTCCTATGAGATGAGATACAAACCAGGGACCCCAAAGATTACCTCGGCTTACTGCCTGGTGAGAGTTTCCAGGCTATGGCACTGGGAAAGTGTAGGAGATGGGTCAGGATGATGGGAAAAGTTATAAGAAAAGTTATAGGGAAAGACACAAACCTTCTTGGAAGGCCGGGAGGTTTTTCAAAGCTTCAGGAGAGAATAAAAACTGAAGGCAGGTAATTCTCTTACCCTGAGGCAGAGGGTGAGAAGTAGGTGCAAAAGAACGTGCAGAAGTTTATCTAGATAAGTTTATTTACTTATGTTGTCCAGAAACTGACCTTTGATCATCTTGATCATCGGCGCGCAAGACTGCTCCTTGCAAGGGGTGGAGGGGGCGGGGGTGGGAGGCGACAATGTTAATTATCCACAGGTTGTGTTGGCTCCAGGCCTTTGTCATTAAATCTCTACTGAATAAATACAAGTGGCTCTGGCTTATCAGACTGCTAACACTCTTTGGCCCCTAGTGCCATCAGTCCCCAAGCCCACTTTTTCACTGCATGTCTGCGTATGAGTACTCCTTTCATCTGTTGCTTGGCCAGGGTCTGTGGGACAGACCTGCCAGGAAAGAAGCCAGTTGCCCCCACACAGCCTCCCTGAGTTGAATTGTTAGAGTTGGAAGCTTGGAAAGACCAAAGTAAGAGTTCATAGGACAGACTGTCAGAGAGGAGAAAGTTGTACAATGAGAGAGCTCCAAATATATGTAGAGGATACTCTTGTGTCCTAAACTGGAATACTGTCCAGAATACGTACCTGAGAAAACCACTGAAAGACAGAGGGTGAAAAGAAACCACCCAAATGCATTAGAGGGAATACCGTCTGGAATGCACAAGCCAAAGTATGAAGTTTTAAAATATACTCATCATTTTATAGAGTACTTATATGTTTTTCTTTCAGTGGTGGGGGACTAAAAAAAAGCCTTAGAGAAACAATGTTCTGTTCAAGCCAAAGAAACATAAAAAGATCACACTATTTCCAAGGAAGTGAACCACATTCCACAAGGAAGCTCAGGAATATATGCAGCAACAGAAAAATAAGGACCTAAATAAACTAAAATCACAATATCTGACAACCAGTCAAAAATTATGAGACATGCACAGGAGGAGGATAAGGTGCAGAATGAAGATGAAAAGAAATCAATTTAACCCAATATAGAATCAATACAGATGATAACATTAATAAACAGAATACTAAAAGCATTTTTACAACAATTTAACATGTTAAAGAAACTAGAGAAAAAGATGAGGAACAACAGGAAACAAATAAATTATGGAAGTTAAAAATATTCAATTTGCCAAGATGAAAAAAATACAATGCCTGAAATGAAAATTATACTAAATGGAATTAGAAGCGGATTAGATATTGCTAAAAAAAAAGTAATGGACTTCAAGACTTAACAATAGAAACCATTCAAAATGAAATCGAAAGAGAGAGAAAAAATGGAGTAACTGTGGGGCAAATTCAAGTGGTCTAAGACATATGTAAGTGCAATCTAAAAGGAGAAGAGAGAGAGTAGAAAACAGAAAAAAGTTGAAGAAATAATGGCTGAATATTTTCAAAATTTGATAAAAACAGTAATCCACAGATACAAAAAGTTCAATGAAGACCAACATAAAATGAATTTAAAAAATGAAAAAAGCACATTATCAGTAATAATGAGCGTTAAAAACAAAATAATCCTAAAAACAGCCAGATTAAGAAGACACATTACATATATAGAAACAAAGATAACATATTTCTCATTGGAGACAATGTAAGCTAGAAGATAGTGGAGGAAGTTTTTAAAGTACTCAAATAAAAACTCTCTGAACTAGAGTTCTATATCTCAAAAAAAGTATTTCAAATATGAAGCTGACATAAAGACATTTGGGAGCACACAAAGCTGAAAGAATTTTTCACTAGGTGAACTAATACAGGAAATACTAACGTTATTATTTCAGGTAGAAGTTAATGCTGTCAGAAGAAAATCCATTTCTAAACGAAATACTGAAGAGCTCTGAAAATGGTAACTATGTGGTTAAATACAGAGTATTTCTTTTATTGTTAAATATCTTTGTTAAGACAATTGACATTGAAAACAAAATAAGAATATTAATAAAAATGTATTATGAGATTCATAACAAATATAAATTATTTTTTTTTGGAGGGGGGATAGAGTCACACTCTGTCACCAGGCGGGAGTGCGGTGGCACAATCTCAGCTCACTGCAACCTCCGCCTCCTGGATTCAAGTGATTCTCCTGCCTCAGCCTCCTGAGTAGCTGGGATTACAGGTGCACACCACCACGCCTGGCTCATTTTTGTATTTTTAGTAGAGACAGGGTTTCACCATGTTGGTCAGCTGGTCTCGAACTCCTGACCTCATGATCTGCCTGCCTCGTCCTCCCAAAGTGCTGGGAATACAGGTATGAGCCACCACGCCCAGCCATAAAAGTAAAATTTTAAAAAGCAGAACAGAGCCTCACAGGGAATAAGTGCAGCATATTATTATAAAGTTACTTTAACATATAAAAAGTGGCATAATATCATTTCAAGATAGATTGATAAGTTAAATGTGTATACTATAAATCCAAACCAACAACTAAATTAACAAAAAAAAGAAATATAAATGTTAAGCCGAAAGGAAAATAAAATGCAACGAGGGGAAAAAAAGAAAATACCCGACTCATCAAAATAGGGCAGAAAAAGAGAAAAAAGAAGAAATAGAAAAAGCATAAAATAAAAAAGAAGTACTAGATATAACCCAATCATATCAACAAATAAATAACAAGTGTAGATTGTTGGACTGGATAAATAAAACAAGACTCAACTATATACTTTCTATTACAAACTCACTTTAAAAATAAAGGTATAAACAGTTAAGAGAAAAAGAATGGGAACAATAAACTATGTTAACAGTGATTTCTTTTTAAAAATTTGGAGAAGCTCCATTAATATCAAAGAAGATTTTAAAGCAAAAATACTTATTGTACATATGAAGGTCATTTAGTCATTGCTATGGTTTGAATGTTTGTCTCTTCTAAAACTCATGTTGAAATTTAGTTGCCATTGTAACAGTGTTGGGAGGTGGGACCTTCAGGAGATGACTTGGCCGTGCGGGGTCTACCCTCATAGGCAGGATTACTGTCATTATAAAAAGGTGAATTCAGCTCCCTTTTGTTTCTTGGTCCTTCTGTCTTTTAGCATGGGATGACAGAGCAATAAGGCCTTCGCCAGTTGTCAGCATCTTAATATTGGGCTTTCTAATATCTATAATTCTGAGATCAAATAAATTTCTGATCATTATAAATTACTTACTTTTAGGTATTAAGTTATAGCAGCACAAACAAACTAGGACAATCATGAAAGACAATTCCTCGGAAGAGCATAACCATCATAATGTTTATGCACATGGTAGCAGTTTAAAGATACATGAAACGAATGTTATAGAGCAACAAGAAAAAATAGATAAAGTCTTACTTATATTTGGAAATTTCTTCATCTGCCATGATCTGAATGTGTAGTGTCCTCTAAATTCATATATGGAAATCTTGCCCAACAAAATGATAGGAGGTGGGGAATTCGGGAGCTGATTAGGTCACAGGGATAGAGCCCTCACAAATTACTGTCCTTGCTTTGATAAAAGAGACCTGAGAGAAACCCTTTATCCCGTCCACTGTGTGAGGACACAGCAAAAAATGTCATCTGTGAATTAGAAAATGCTCCCTTACCAGAGATGAAATATTCCATGATCTTGGACTTTCTAGCCACCAGAATTGTAAAAAATAAATTTCTGCTATATATAAACTACTCAGGTAAGGGTTTTTTGGTATAGCAGCCCAAACAGACTAAGACAGCATCCCTCTCTTAGTAACCAAGAGAATAAATAAACAAAATATTTGTAAGTAGAAAGAAATCTCAAACATTATTATCAACTAAATTTGCCTAGTTCTTATTCATGTGACACTCTACTCAGCGAAGTTGAGAACAATGGTTTTTTTTTTTTTTTTTTAATTATACTTTAAGTTTTAGGGTACATGTGCACAATGTGCAGGTTAGTTACATATGTATACATGTGCCATGTTGGTATGCTGCACCCATTAACTTGTCATTCAACATTAGGTATATCTCCTAATGCTATCCCTCCCCCTTCACCCCACCCCACAATAGACCCCGGTGTGTGATGTTCCCCTTCCTGTGTCCATGTGTTCTCATTGTTCAGTTCCCACCTATGAGTGAGAACATGTGGTGTTTGGTTTTTTGTCCTTGCGATAGTATGCTGAGAATGACCGTTTCCAGCTTCATCCATGTCCCTACAAAGGACATGAACTCATCCTTTTTTATGGCTGCATAGTATTCCATGGTGTATATGTGCCACATTTTCTTAATCCAGTCTATCATTGTTGGACATTTGGGTTGGTTCGAAGTCTTTGCTATTGTGAATAGTGTCGCAATAAACATACGTGTGCATGTGTCTTTATAGCAGCATGATTTATAATCCTTTGGGTATATACCCAGTAATGGGATGGCTGGGTCAAATGGTATTCCTAGTTCTAGATCCCTGAGGAATCGCCACCTGACTTCCACAATGGTTGAACTAGTTTACAGTCCCACCAACAGTGTAAAAGTGTTCCTATTTCTCCACATCCTCTCCAGCACCTGTTGTTTCCTGACTTTTTAATGATCCAAACTCATTCTATGAAACAAAACTTATCCTAATACCAAAAGCAGAAAAAAGCCATTACAAGTTAAGAAAATTACACACTAATATTCTTCATGAACAAAGATGCAAATATTCTAAATAAAATTTTAGCAAATAGAAACCAAGAATATATAACTTACAAATTGTCATATTAAAATTTAAAAATTTGTATTACATTCTCAGTAGATGGAGCAAAATAAAATGACATTCAACATCCATTTCTCAATAAATTTTAAAAGCACTCAGAAAATAATAACTAAAAAAGAACTGCATCAATTTAACTTTTAAAAAACAAGTATGAAAAATACTGATTTAATGTTGTACTGAACATAGAAAACTCAATTGTTTTCTCTTTAATATCAAGAATAATACAAAAATGCCCACTCTCATCAATACTATGCAACATCATACCGAACATCATAACCAGTGCAATAAGGCAAGAAAGAGAAATTTTAAAACATTTAGTTTGTAAAGGAATAATTAAAATTATATTTATTCACAAAAAATAAGATTGTCTATGTAGACAATCCTGTAGAATCTATTTAAAAAGCCCCGGAACTAATCGGCAAATTTTATAAAGTCAATTGTATTCCTGTACAATAGTAACGAACAAATAAAACTGATATTTTAAGGAATGCAAATGATGAGAATACACAAATATGTAATATTTAGAAATAAATCTACCAGATCTGAAAATTACAGAATACTTGTTAGAGAAATTCTAAGAGATCTAAATAAAAATAGAATATTAAGCATTCATGGGTTGGAAGATTTACTGTTACGTAGATGTCAATTCTTCCCACACTGACCTATATAGCTTTAATATAATTTCAACTCATATACTGACAGTTTTGGTAGAAATAAACTAGTTTATTATTAAGTTTATATGAAAATGCAATGGATCTAAAATAGCCAATAAAACTTTTAAAACAGAATTAAAGTACAGAGCTAAGCAACCTGATTTCAAGATTTATTTTAAAGCTCTAGGGGTCGAGATAATGTGGTCAGCATTAATACAGACAAATGGATCAATGGAACATAATAGACTCTAGAAATAAACCTATATGTATATGGCCAATTTATTTTTGCCAAAGCTGTATATCAATATATAAAATAATAACTTTGATCTATTATTCATAAAATATGGAAAAATTACCTCAAAATGAGTAAGTCTAAAATGCAAAATCTCAATTTTAAACAATTCTAGAAGAAAACAGAAGAAAATCTTTGTGATCTTGAGTCAGTCAAAGATTTCTTAAATATAACAATACCTAAAGAATGATCCATAAAAATGACAAACTGTACCTCAGAAAATGCAGTAAGTTTGGCTCTTGCAAATACACAAAGAATAAAAAGACAAAACACAAACAGGGTGAGATATTTGTAAATTATGTACCTGATAAATGGCTTATATCCAGAATATATAACTCTGTACCAGGATATAAAAACACATTTCAAAAAATTAATAAGAAAACAAACTACTCAATCTTTAAAATTATCCACAGATATTTTAGTCTGGGAATCTCAGATTAATTTTGGAGCTAAATTTGGATATAAAACTCTTGTGAGTGGTAAAGTTATCTTTTACACTTGCCTTAAAACATGTTACTAGTTGTTCTTTCTCCCTGCCCACTCCACTACAAACCTTGTGCCAGAATAAAATGGAAATTAAAGCCAAAGAGTAAAATATTATGACATATTTCTTAATTTTATTATATATGTACATGCACTTACTCATATTTTCCATTCTTACTGTATTACACTTGGATTTACCACAATGAAAGAAAAGAAAACATTTTTGTGCCTGGTATTTGGCATATGAAAATCAGAGGTTTCTAATTCTTAAAGAATTTAAGAGAGAAGTAAATTTCGAGTGGAAAATTGATAGATTTTTAAACAACATACAAGGAATAATAACAGAGAGAAGATTATTACCTTGGATAAGGTTTAATTTTTTTCCAGATTTTACTGGGTATATACTGAAGAGTATAGGTTATTCATTGAAAAAATTATGTGCGTGTATGGGTATGTATATATACACTTAATGCGTTACTTCTTTCTGATTTCTTGGATTTTTTTTGTAGCAAAGGAAGTAGCAGAAAGGACATATTTAGAACAATCATATCTAGGGTTGTAACTGAGATTTAAACGTTTTTAATCATGGGTAAATTTGTTTTTTTGTTTGTTTGTTTGTTTTTTTGAGACAGACTGTCTCACAAAGTCTCGGCTTACTTCAACCTCTCCCAGGTGCAAGAGATTCTCCTGCCCCAGCCTCCCAAGTAGCTGGAATTTCAGGTGCCCACCACCATGCCCAGCTAACTTTTGTATTTTTAGTAGAGGCAGGGTTTCACCATGTTGGCCTGGCTGGTCTTGAACTCCTGACCTCAGGTGATCTGCCCACCTTGGCCTCCCAAAGTGCTGGGATTATAGACGTGAACCACTGTGCCCAGCCAGTTTCTTCATCTGTATAAGTTTTCTCCGATTGTAGCATGGGAATATTAATTCCTAAGGTGTTTATAAAAATTAAATTAGGACATAGAAAGCATCTAACACATGCTTGATGCTCAGTAAAGGTCAATCATATCCCTTTTTTGACTCCTTACTTTAAGTGGTTGAGTTCTATGTTACATGTGTTAGAAACAACATAAAAGTGAATGCACAGTAATATTTATGAATAAAGTACTTTATGAAAATGTTCTTTTTGTGCCTTGACAATTAATCTAAAATTATTAGTTGATATAAGGACACTTAATATTCTTTCCACAGTATTTATCTCTTAAGATCATATATTAAAAAATAGACAAAGGACCATTCTAAAAGTTTTTCTGGTAGAGGTGAAAAAGAGAACGGTTGCTTTTACATCAAATATTTGGAAAAAATAGAAAATCAAATGTTCAAGGTAATTAATAAAGATCCAATTTGTTTTTAAGACAACGAATGGGAGCACTATTAATTAAAAATTACCTTCTAGTCTGCCAAGTGACTTTTATCCATGTCATTTTACTCATCCCACTGATCTCTTACCTCTATGCTGATTCAAGCAAAGTAAAATAAATGTAAAATAAAGTAACCAGGTTTTAGAGCAAGAAGATAGAATAGGAGATTCTCTGTTCATATCCTCTCACAGAAACAATAGTTTGGCAGCCATCCATGGGAAAAAAAGTGCCTTTGTGGGAGCTTTGAAATTTAGGTCAGAGGTTGTGAAACCTTAGTATGGCCCAAGACTAAGGAGGACTGTTTTGAAAGAACAAGTCCACACCCAGTTGGCAGGTTCACCACCTGTGGTCATGATTACAAACCTGGAAACAGCCTCAACTCCCTGTAGATTAGCTCCAGTTCCAATTGTCCTTGGTTCTGCCACCAGAACCATCAGCCAAGGGATGAGGGAAGAGTCATGCCCACCCATGCCTTCAGTGACAGGTCCACCAACCTCAGTCCCAGATATGAGCCTGCAAAGGCTCCAGCCCCTCTCAGCTACAGACTGATAGCAGTCCTATATGCTCAGGAACCCACAGGAAAACACACAGATTCATGTCCCTGAGACAAGGCTGCTGAGCTTTGGTCCCACAGCAGATTCTGAAACAGCTTGGTAACTAAGTTCCAGCCCCTTTTAGCTCTAGCCATAGATTAGTGCTGCTCTCACATGGACCTGCCAGGAGACACACCATTCCATGCTTCTCTTAGAGGAAGGCCCACCAGCCTGAATCTCACTGCAGATCCTGAAGCATCCTGTGGCCTGACTCTATTCAGCCACAGTCTAGGGGCAATTCTGTCCCCCAGGACCTATAAAAGCATATATGCCTGTGCCCCTAGAGAGAGGCTTGCAGACCTCAGTCTAAACTGTGAAGCCTGAAACACCCCTATGACTAGTTTTAGCCCCTCTCAGCTATGTTTCAGGGCCAGTCCTTCCTGTCCAGGAACTCATTCAGTGACCCAGTAGGAGCTCACTCAGGGACCCAGAAGGAAGGACATCTTCCTATGCACCTATTGCAGACACAACTGCGGATCCTGAAAAGTACCCATTTCCTAGTGCCAGCCTATTGACCAAAGACTTACAGTCAGTCCAGTTTTCCCAGAAAACAGACAAGATTCATGTCCGTTTGAGACTCTGGTAATAGGTTCATCATCCACAGCCCCCACTGTAGATTCTGCAGCACCCATGTGACCTAGCACCAATCCTACTCAACTGTGATTCTTGGGGGCAATCTCATTAGGCCAGAGACCCAAAGGAAGAGGTCTTTACTTGCCTAAATCAGTCTGTAAAAACAGGAGGAAGTGTTTGCTTCTTCAAATGCACAAATACCAAAGCAGAGCTGCACTGATAATGAACAAGTAGGCAAATATAACATCAAAAGAGACTAATAACGTTCCAATAACCAACCCCAGAGAAATGGAGATCTATGAATTGTATGACAAATAATTCACAATTATCTTAAAGAAGCTCAGCGTGATGCAAGAGAACCCAAATAAACAACAGTATCTGAGGGATTTAAGTGTATAAACAATATAAAAAGTTTAATAAAGAAATAGAAACCATAAAAATAGAACCAAACACAAATATTGGAGATGAAGAATACAATGACAGAACGGAAAATCTAATAGAGTGTTTCAACAGTAGACTCAAAAATGCAGAAAAAAGAATCAAGGAACTTGAAGAAAGGTTAGTCGAAATTAGGCTATTAGAAGAGCCAAACAAAAGGAACGTAAAATGCTGAAGAATGCAAAAGGACTTATGGGCCATGATCAAGAAAATGAATATATAAATTAAGAGAGTCTAAAAAGTAAAGAGAAAGGAGCAGAAAAATGTATTTAAATAACTGATGACTGAAAATTTTCCTAATCTTGGGGGAAAAATGGCATTCAAATTAAAATATAAGAGAGGATCTGGAAAGTAGCAAAAGAGACTAATCGCATACAAGCAAAAACTCCTAAGGCTATCAGTGGATTTCTCTACAGCAACTGTGAAGGTCATAAGTGAGTTGGATGCTATGTTCAAAGTGTTGTTAAGAAAAAAATGTCAACTAATAATATTATACATGGCAAAGCTGTCCTTCAGAAATAAAAGAGAGATGCAAACATTCTCAGAAAAGTAAAAGTTGAAGGACTATTATAAATATAGGATGTCCTAAAAACCATGCTAAAAAGCGTTTTCAAATTTAAATAAAGGGCATTATATAATACTATGAAAACATATGAAAGTATAAAACTCACTGGTAAGGTTAAATACATAGCAAATTTCAGAATTCTGTAATAAAGTAATTGTGGTGTGTACAGTAATCCCTTCTTATCTGCAGTTCTGCTATCCATAGTTTCAATTACCCATGGTATAGTACAATAATATATTTTAAGAGAGATAGAGGGAAGCCATATCTATAGAGTTTCTTAAACTGTTATAAATGTTCTCTTTTATTATTTTTGTTAATCTTTTATTGTGCCTTATTTATAAATTAAACTTTATCATAGGTATGTATGCTTAATTGTAAAAGGTATTGTCACAGTGTCCTTAGGGCTTCACTTGGCCAGCCAGAAACCTCTGTCTCCGGTGGCATCTTTGCTTGGGTTTTGCTCACTTCTACTGGGCTCCTTCTACTGACTAGGCTTGGCAGGCTGCACTCACCTCTTGCTACTGGCCTGAATCCCACATTTGCCAAGGGTGAACTAGGCACAGAGCAGTGACTGCTGTGTGAGCAATTGAGCATGGGGTTCAGCCACTGCACACAGCCAGGCACACAGCTGTGGCAGGGCAGGCAGCTCCAGGCACCAACACTGGTGCTGGCTTCATGTGAGGCTGTGGCTGGACCAGGTGTACTGCAAGTGGCTTCTGCTGTGGGCACTAGGGAATGTGGTGGTGCCCAAAAGCTTGGAGATACCAGGATCCACAGAGCCCCAAAGAGGGTGTCACAGTCCTGACTCAGGGATCACATAGGTCTGAATTCCTTGAAGGGCCGCAGCTGTTTTCTCCTTCTTGTCACCCACAACGTTGTGAGCAGGGGAGCACGTTTCAGCACTGTTTGTGTTATAGCTCTTTTAGTCCTAACATTTGGCAAGTCCCAAGTTCTTGTCCCATGTCCAGGAAGAATGAGGTATGTGGACAACTGAAGGATGAGCAAGGTGGACAGGAGCTTCACTGAGCAGCAGAACAGTTCTCAGGAGACCCAAAGTGAGTAGCTCCTTTCCTCAGGAAGGTCATCTGTCTTAGTGTCCACCTCTCGGGAAAGGGGAGACCAATAGTGGGTAGCACGTTTCTACACACAGGTCATCTTGATGAGTTGAGGAGATATAAAATGGATAGCTCCTTCCTGTAGCTGGTAGTCCTGATGTCTGTGTGAGTCTGGCTGAGTCAAGGGTATTTATGGGCTCAAAAGAGAGGAGGTGTGTGCTGATTGGTCAATGGGCAGCCATGGGCAGGCCTGGGAGAAGACCATAAGTTCTCACTCCTGGTCAGCAACTCTACTTGAAATTGGCAGCCTGGCCTCCAGGCTTCAGGCCATCCCTGGCTTGAAGGTGGGGTTTTACTGGAGACCTGCCTCTTTCCATGCAGGAACCTGTCTGCCTCACACCATCAACATGCTATCAATGATGCCCAGGTCATTTGTGCTGAGGGGAACCTGCAGGCCTCCCTCCTTTGCTCCCGGGCACCCAAAGTCCAGAGGAAGCTGAGGTGGCAGGGAGTTGGCATGTCAGTGCCATCTCAAGCACTCACACACCCAGTTGGGTCACAAGAGTGCCCAGGCTCGACCACAACTTTGCTCCACACCAGAGTAGGTGCCAAGAGTGGGGAGAGGTGAGACAGTGAAAGCAGGCACTTCCAAGCCTTCAGGGGCAGGGGCTTCCTGCGCCCCTGAGAGCAGAGGGATAACCAGATCCAGAGTCATGGCTAGGTCGCTGCAGCTGCACCTGGAGAGGGCATGGGGCTCCTGCCCCTCCAACTCCATAGTGGGTGGGGCTTTCCCCATTCCTGGTTCTTGCTGGCCCTTTTGAGCATGCAACCCCAGCCACACCTACACTGCTGCAGTCAGTGTCTTCACAGCAGCTGCTACAGATGAGCCGCATACTAAACATGTCAAATAATCCTGTTTACCTCTCTTTTGGATGCTCCAGGGGCTCTCTGTAGCATTCCAAAGTTAGGGGTCAGAAAAGACATTTTTGAAGCTGAAGTTTGATTTCGGGAAGCCTATCAAATATGTTAATGGTTTAAAACAATTGATATTATCAAATACAATTCCAGGTTACCATAAGTCATTTATTTAGGCAAAATGACTCAAAAAATTTTTATAAAGCAAAAACCTTTACTTATTAAGAGGGAAGACTTAGCCTTCCAAACAATCTTTCTCTGTATATATAGAGTTTGGCACTCTCTACTGCTTTAGACATCCACTGGAGATATTGAAATATGTCTCCCACAGGTAGGAAAAACTACTGGATGTTACTTTTTAACTGTGGTACAAAAACTAAAAGCAGAAATTTGAAAGTAACTATAATAACATGAATTTTTAATGGACACACAATATAAAGAGATGTAAGGAGTGACATTAATAGTATATAATTTGTAAGGGGGAGAAGTAAAATTATAGAGTTTAAATGGATAACTTGTTATCAGTTTAAAATAGAACATTATAACTATAACATGTTTCACTTAAGCCTCTTGGTAACTACACACACACACACACAAAACCTTCAGTGGATAGAAAAAACTGTAGAGAAAAAGGATTCAAAGCATAATACTAGAATAAAAACAACAAATTTCAAAGGAATACAACAAAAGATAAAGAATCAAAGGAAATACAAAACAATGAGAAAAAAATTAACAAAATGATAAAAAGTCTCTACCTGTCAATAATTACTTTAAGTGCAAATAAATTAAATTCTCTAATCAAAAGACACAGAGTAGCTGAATAGATTAAAAAACAAGATCCAAAATGGTGCTGCTATGAGCAACTCAGATTCACCTTTAAGGGCATACATATACTGAAAGTGAAGGGATGAGAAATATCTGCCATGTAAATGGTAACCAAAAGAGAGAGAGTGGTGATACTTATATCAGCCAAAATAGATTTTCAGGAAAAATCTGTTAAAAAAAGAAAAATAAGGCCAATCTATACTAAAAATATGTTAAGAGATTATAATAATTATGTGTGTGTGTATATATATATGTATATATGCACACAATATCAGAGAACATAAATATATAAGGCAAATATTAACTGAGCTGAAGGGAGACATGGCAATAAAATATAGTACAGGACCTTAATAGTCTACTTTCAACCATGGGTAGATCATGCAGATAGAAAATAAATGCAAAAAAAAGCAGACTTAAATACCGCTATGAACCTAACAGGCATATAGAGAACACTTCATTCAATAGCAGCAGAGGACATATTCTTCTCAAGCACACACTACCTTTCTCCAGGAGAAGTCATACGTTGGTCCAGGAAAGTTTTTACAAATTTAAGAAAATTAAAATCATATCAAGTATCTTTTCTGAGCACAATGGTATGAAACTAGAAATCAATAACAAGGAGTGGGGTGGGGCCAAGATGGACAACTAGAAGCAGTGGTAATCAGAGGCTCCCATTGAAAAGATCTAAAACAGCATGCAAATCCTGCACTGGAAGCCAAAGTATCCAGGTTCTGTCATTAGGACAGACTAGGCAGCTGGCATGACTTACAGAAAGGAAGGAAGGGCACTGTGGTGTGGCAGCCCACCTGAGAGCCACAAAGGGCACCCAAGTGAGGAGGTGAGTGAGTGTGCTACTCAGCCTGGGAAACTGTGCTTTTACCAAGGGACTGTGCAACCCATGGATTGGAAGATCCCACTCATGATCCTATGCCACCAAAGCCTTGGGTTGTAACCATGGAGCTGCAAAGATTCTCAACAGCCACTCAGCTAGAATCAGCCTAAGCCTGCAAATTACTTGTGGGGAGGGGCAGCCATCACCACTGCTGCAGCTGCCTGCTCTCTAAGCCATCTGAGCTCCTTGAAGGGAGGCCGTAGCCAACACTGTGGATGCAGGGCCTCTCTGCAGGAACTCCATCTCTAGCCAGGGGCTCAGGGAATGAATTCTGATCTCCCTGGGCCTGAGCCCCTAGGAGGAGGGGTGTGCACAGTCTCCACAGACCAGCAGATTTAGTCTTTCCTCCTGCTAGCTCTGAGGAAACCCAGCAGCCCAGACAAGTGGGTTTCCCACGTCTTCCACCAAGGAACAGCCAAAGTGCCTCATTAAATGGGTCTTGCTTCCCATGCCACCCAACTGGGTGAGGCACCCCAAACAGGGGTTGTCACACACCCTATACAGGAGTGTTCCTACTGAAACAGGTTGGTACCCCTCAAGGTCAGAGATCCAAGAGGAAGGAGCAGGAACCCATCTTTCCTGTTATCCAGCCTCCTCAAGTGATATCTCCAGGAGCAGGAGTGAACCAGATGAATAGTGCCTGAAGTGAACCCCAGCAAACCACAGCAGCCCTACAGAAGAGGGAACTGACTATTGAAAGAATGTCAAACAAACAGAAAGCAACAACAGCAGCAGCAAACAAACAAAAATAAAGCTCCCACAAAAACCTCATCAAAGGATCAGCAGCCTCAAAGATACAAACTAGACAAACTCATGAAGATGAGAAGGAATCAACAACAACAAAAAAACACTGAAAGCCGGAAAGGCCAGAGTGCCTCTTCTCCTTCGAACGACTGCAATATCTCTCCAGCAAGGGCACAGAACAGGACGGAGGATGAGATGGATGAATTGACAGAAGTAGGCTTCAGAAGGTGGGTAATATCGAACTTCACAGAGGTAACGGACCATGCTCTAATGCAATGCAAGGAAGCTAAGAACCTTGATAAAAGGTTAGAGGAGCTGCTAACTAGAACAACCCGTTTAGAGAGGAACATAAATGACCTGATGGAGCTGAAAAATGCAGCATGAGAACTTTGTGAAGCATACACAAGTATCAATAGCTAAATCAATCAAGCAAAAAAAGAGTATCAGAGGTGGAAGACTATCTTGTTGAAATAAGGCAGGCAGTCAACATGACAGAAAAAAGAATGAAAAGGAATGTACAAAAACTCTGAGAAACGTGGGACTATGTAAAAAGGCTAAACTAAAACTGACTGGAGTACCTGAAAAAGACATGGAGAATGGAACCAAGGTGGAAAACACACTTCAGGGTAATATCCAGGAGAACGTCCCCAACCTAGCAAGACAGGCCAACATGAAAATTCAGGAAATACAGAGAATCCAGAAAAGATACTCCATGATAAGATCAACACCAAGACACATAATCATCAAATTCTACAAGGTTGACATGAAGGAAAAAATGTTAAGGGAACCCAGAAAGAAAGGCCAGGTCTCCTACAAAGGGAAGCCCATCAGACTAACAGTGGATCTATCTGCAAAACCCTACAGTCCAGAAAAGAATGGGGGCCAGTATTTAACAATCTTAAAGAAAAGCATTTTCAACCCACAATTCATATCTGGCCAAACCAATCTTCGTAATTGAAGGAGAAATTAAATCAATTTCAGACATGCAAATGCTAAGGGAATTTGTCACCACCAGGCATGCCTTGCAAGAGCTCCTGAAGGAAGCACTAAGTATAGAAAGGAAAAACTGGTACCAGCTACTGCAAAACACATGACACTATAAAGACCAATGACACTATGAAGAAACAGCATCGGGGGGTGGAGCCAAGATGGCCGAATAGGAACAGCTCCAGTCTACAGCTTCCAGCATGAGCAACGCAGAAGATGGGTGATTTCTGCATTTCCAACTGAAGTACCGGGATCATCTCAGTGGGGAGTATTGGATAGTGGGTGCAGGACAGTGGGTGCAGTACACAGAGAGTGAGCCGAAGCAGAGTGAGGCATCGCCTTACCCAGGAAGCGCAAGGGGTCAGGGAATTCCCTTTCCTAGTCAAAGAAAGGGGTGACAGATGGCACCTGGGAAATCTGGTCACTCCCACCTTAATACTGCGCGTCTCCAATGGTCTTAGCAAACGGCACACCAGGAGATTATATCCTGCGCATGGCTCGGAGGATCCTACACCCATAGATCCTCACTCATTGCTAGCATAGGAGTCTGAGATCAAACTGCAAGGCGGCAGAGAGGCTGGGGGAAGGGCACCCGCCATTAATGAGGCTTGAGTAGGTAAACAAAGCGGCCAGGAAGCTCAAACTGGGTGGAGCCCACCGCAGCTCAAGGAGGCCTGCCTGCCTCTGTAGACTCCACCTCTGGGGGCAGGGCATAGCCAAACAAAAGGCAGCAGAAACCTCTGTAGACTTAAATGTCCCTGTCTGACAGCTTTGAAGAGAGTAGTGGTTCTCCCAGCATGCAGCTTGAGATCTGAGAAAGGACAGACTGCCTCCTCAAGTGGGTCCCTGACCCCCAAGTAGACTAACTGGGAGGCACACCCCAGTAGGGGCAGACTGACACCTCACACAGCTGGGTACTCCTCTGAGACAAAACTTCCAGAGGAATGATCACGCAGCAACATTTGCTGTTCACCAATATCCGCTGTTCTACAGCCTCCGCTGCTGATACCCAGGCAAACAGGGTTTGCAGTGGACCTCCAGCAAACTCCAGCAGACCTGCATCTGAGGGTTCTGACTGTTAAAAGGAAAACTAACAAATAGAAACGACACCTACAACAAAACCCCATCTGTACGTCACCATCATCAAAGACCAAAGCTAGATAAAACCACAAAGATGGGGACAAAACAGAGCAGAAAAACTGGAAACTCTAAAAATCAGAGTGCCTCTCCTCCTCCAAAGGAACGCAGTTCCCCACCAACAACAGAACAAAGCTGGATAGAGAATGACTTTGACGAGTTGAGAGAAGAAGGCTTCAGATGATCAAACTACTCTGAGCTAAAGGAGGAAGTTCGAACCCATGGCAAAGACGTTAAAAATCTTGAAAAAAGATTAGATGAATGGCTAACTAGAATAACCAATGCAGAGAAGTCCTTAAAGGACCTGATGGAGCTCAAAACCACGGCATAAGAAATACGTGACAAATGCACAAGCTTCAGGAGCCAATTAGATCAACTGGAAGAAAGGGTATCAGGGATGGAAGATCACATGAATGAAATTAAGTGAGAACAGAAGTTCAGAGAAAAAGAATAAAAAGAAATGAACAAAGCCTCCAAGAAATATGGGGCTAGGTGAAAAAAACCAAATCTACGTATGACTGGTGTACCTGAAAGTGATGGGGAGAATGGAACCAAGTTGGAAAAAACTCTGCAGGATATTATCCAGGAGAACTTCCCCAATCCAGAAAGGCAGGCCAACATTCAAATTAAGGAAATACAGAGAATGCCACAAAGATACTCCTCGAGAAGAGCAACTCCAAGAAACATAATTGTCAGATGCACCAAAGTTGAAATGAAGGAAAAAATGTTAAGGGCAGCCAGACAGAAAGGTCGGGTTACCGACAAAGGGAACCCCTAGAAGACTAACAACTGATCTCTCCGCAGAAACTCTACCAGCCAGAAGAGAGTGGGGGCCAATATTCAACATTCTTAAAGGAAAGAATTTTCAACCCAGAATTTCATATCCAGCCAAACTAAGCTTCATAAGTGAAGGAGAAATAAAATACTTTACAGACAAGCAAATGCTGAGAGATTTTGTCACCACCAGGCCTGCCCTACAAGAGCTCCTGAAGGAAGCACTAAACATGGAAAGGAACAACTGGTACCAGCCGCTGCAAAAACATGCCAAACTGTAAAGACCATCAAGGCTAAAAAGAAACTGCATCAACTAACGAGCAAAATAACCAGCTAACATCATAATGACAGGATCAAATTCACACATAACAATATTAACCTTAAATGTAAATGGGCTAAATGCTCCAAGTAAAAGACACAGACTGGCCAATTGGATAAAGAGTTAAGACCCATCAGTGTGCTGTATTCAGGAAACCCATCTCACATGCAGAGACACGCACAGGCTCAAAATAAAGGGATGGAGGAAAATCTATAAAGCAAATCAACAAATAAAACAAATAAATAAAGCAAATAAATAAAACAAAAAAAGGCAAGGGATGCAATCCTAGCCTCTGATAAAACAGACTTTAAACCAACAAAGATCAAAAGAGACAAAGAAGGCCATTACATAATGGTAAAGGGACCAATTCAACAAGAAGAGCTAACTATCCTAAATATATGTGCACCCAATACAGGAGCACCCACATTCATAAAGCAAGTCCTTAGAGACCTACAAAGAGACTTAGACTCCCACACAATAATAATGGGAGACTTTAACACCCCACTGTCAACATTAGACAGATCAACGAGATAGAAAGTTAACAAGGATATCCAGGAATTGAACTCAGCTCTGCACCAAGTGGACCTAATAGACATCTACAAAACTCTCCACCCCAAATCAACAGAATATACATTCTTCTCAGCAGAACTGACCATACAGTTGGAAGTAAAGCACTCCTCAGCAAATGTAAGAGAACAGAAATTATAACAAACTGTCTCTCAGAACACAGTGCAATCAAAGTAGAACTCAGGATTAAGAAACTCACTCAAAACCACTCAGCTACATGGAAACTGAACAACCTGCTCCTGAATGACTACTGGGTACCTAATGAAATGAAGGCAGAAATAAAGATGTTCTTTGAAACCAATGAGAAAAAAGACACAGCATACCAGAATCTCTGGGACACATTCAAAGCAGTGTGTAGAGGGAAATTTATAGCACTAAATGCCCACAAGAGAAAGCAGGAAAGATCTAAAATTGACACCCTAACATCACAATTAAAAGAACTAGAGAAGCAAGAGCAAACACATTCAAAAGCTAGCAGAAGGCAAGAAATAACTAAGATCAGAGCAGAACTGAAGGAGATAGAGACACAAAAAACCCTTCAAAAAATCATTGAATCCAGGAGCTGGTTTTTTGAAAAGATCAACAAAACTGATACACCACTAGCAAGATTAATAAAGAAGAAAAGAGAGAAGAATCAAATAGATGCAATAAAAAATGATAAAGGGGATATCACCTTCAATCCCACAGAAATACAAACTACCATCAGAGAATACTATAAACACCTCTATGCAAATAAGCTAGAAAATCTAGAAGTAATGGATAAATTCCTCGACACCGACACATACACCTTCCCAAGACTAAACCAGGAAGAAGTCGAATCTCTGAATAGACCAGTAACAGGCTCTGAAATTTAGACAAAAATTAATAGCTTACCAACCAAAAAAAGCCCAAGACCAGATGGATTCACAGCCAAATTGTACCAGAGGTACAAGGAGGAGCTGGTACCATTCCTTCTGAAACTATTCCAATCAATAGAAAAACAGGGAATCCTCCTTAACTCATTTTATGAGGCCAGCACCATCCTGATACCAAAGCCTGGCAGAGACACAAGAAAAAAAGAATTTTAGACCAACAGCTCTGATGAACATTGATGCAAAAATCCTCAATAAAATACTGGCAAACCAAATCCAGCAGCACATCAAAAAGCTTATCCACCATGATCAAGTGGGCTTCATCCCTGGGATGCAAGGTTGGTTCAACATATGCAAATCAGTAAACATAATCCAGCATATAAACGGAACCAAAGACAAAAACCACATGATTATCTCAACAGATGCAGAAAAGGCCTTTGACAAAATTCAACAACCCTTCATACTAAAATCTCTCAATAAATTAGGTATTGATGGGACGCATCTCAAAATAATCAGACCTATCTATGACAAACCCACAGCCAATATCATACTGAATGGGCAAAAACTGGAAGCATTCCCTTTGAAAACTGGCACAAGACAAGGATACCCTCTCTCATCACTCCTATTCAACATAGTGTTGGAAGTTCTGGCCAGGGCAATCAGGCAGGAGAAGGAAATAAAGGGTATTCAATTAGGAAAAGAGGAAGTCAAATTTTCCCTGTTTGCAGATGACATGATTGTATATCTAGAAAACCCCATTGTCTCAGCCCAAAATCTCCTTAAGCTGATAGGCAACCTCAGCAAAGTATCAGGATACAAAATCAATTTGCAAAAATCACAGGCGTTCTTATACACCAATAACAGATAAACAGAGAGCTGAATCATGAGTGAACTCTCTCATTCGCAATTGCTTCAAGGAGAATAAAATACCTAGGAATCCAACTTACAAGGGATGTGAAGGACCTATTCAAGGAGAACTATAAACCACTACTCAACGAAATAAAAGAGGATACAAACAAATGGAAGAATATTTCCTGCTCATGGGTAGGAATAATCAATATCATGAAAATGGCCATTCTGCCCAAGGTAATTTATAGATTCAATGCCATCCCCATCAAGCTACCAATGACTTTCTTCACAGAATTGGAAAAAACTACTTTAAAGTTCATATGGAACTAAAAAAGAGCCGACATTGCCAAGTCAATCCTAAGCCAAAAGAACAAAGCTGGAGGCATCACGCTACCTGACTTTAAACTATACTACAAGGCCACATTAACCAAAACAGCATGGTACTGGTACCAAAACAGAGATATAGACCAATGAAACAGAACAGAGCCCTCAGAAATAATGCCACGTATCTACAACTATCTGATCTCTGACAAATCTGACAAAAACAAGAAATGGAGAAAGGATTCCCTATTTAATAAATGGTGCTGGGAAAACTGGCTAGCCATATGTAGAAAGCTGAAACTGGATCCCTTCCTTACACCTTATACTAAAATTAATTCAAGATGGATTAAAGACTTAAATATTAGACCTAAAACCATAAAAACCCTAGACAAAATCCTAGGCAATACCATTCAGGCAAGGTCTTCATGTCGAAAACACCAAAAGCAATGGCAACAAATGCCAAAATTGACAAATGGGATCTAATTAAACTAAAAAGCTTCTGCACAGCAAAAGAAACTACCTTCATGGTGAACAGGCAACCTACAGAAATGGAGAAAATTTTTGCAATCTACTCATCTGACAAAGGGCTAATATCCAGAATCTACAATGAACTCAAACAAATTTACAAGAAAAAAATCAAACAACCCTATCAAAAAGTGAGCGAAGGACATGAACAGACACTTCTCAAAAGAAGACATTTATGCAGCCAAAAGACACATGAAAAAATGCTCATCATCACTGGCCATCAGAGAAATGCAAATCAAAACCACAATGAGATACCATCTCACACCAGTTAGAATGGCGATCATTACAAAGTCAGGAAACAACAGGTGCTGGAGAGGATGTGGAGAGATAGGAACACTTTTACACTGTTGGTGGGACTATAAACTAGTTCAACCATTGTGGAAGTCAGTGTGGCGATTCCTCATGGATCTAGAACTAGAAATACCATTTGACCCAGTCATCCCATTACTGGGTATATACCCAAAGGATTATAAATCATGCTGCTATAATGACACATGCATACGTATGTTTATTGCAGCACTATTCACAATAGCAAAGACTTGGAACCAACACAAATGTCCATCAATGATAGACCAGATTAAGAAAATGTGGCACATATACACCATGGAATACTATGCAGCCATAAAAGAGGATGAGTTCATGTCCTTTGTAGGAATATGGATGAGGCTGGAAACCATCATTCTCAGCAAACTATCACAAGGACAAAATACCAAACACCACGTGTTCTCACTCATAGGTGTGAACTGAAGAATGAGAACACATGGACACAGGAAGGGGAACATCACACACCGGGGCCTGTTGTGGGGTAGGCAGAGGGGGGAGGGATAGCATTAGGAGATATACCTAATGTTAAATGACGAGTTAATGGGTACAGCACACCAACATGGCACATGTATACATATGTAACAAACCCGCACGTTGTGCACATGTATCCTAAAACTTAAAGTATAATTTAAAAAAAGAAGAAACAGCATCAACTATTGTGCAAAATAACCAGCCAGCATCATGATGAGAGATCATATTCACCCATTAAAAATACTAACCTTAAATATAAATGGTCTAAATGCCTCAATTAAAAGACACAGACTGGCAAGTTGATTGAAGAGTCAGGTTTCAAGGTGTGCTCTATTCAAGAGACCTATCTCATGTGCAAAGACAAACACAGGCTCAAAATAACGTGATGGAGGAAAATTTACTAAGCAAGCGGAAAGCAGAAGACTCCCACAGAATAGTAGCGGGAGACTTTAACGCCCTACTGTCAACATTGGACACATCAACAAGACAGAAAATTAACAACGTTATTCAGGATGTAGACTCACCTCTGGATCATGTGGACCTAACAGATATCTATAGAACGCTTTACACCAAAACAACAGAATATACTTTCTTCTGAGTGCTACATGGCATTTACTCTACAATTGACCACATAATTGGAACTAAAACACTCCTCAGCAAATGCAAAATTACTGAAATTAGAAGTCTTTCAGACCACACTGCAATCAAATTAGAACCCAAGATTAAGAAACTCAAAACTACCCAACCACATGGAAATTGAACAACCTGCTCCTGAATGAACTCCTGAGTAAATAATAAAATTATGGCAGAAATCTAGAAGTTCTTTGAAACCAGTGAGAACAAAGAGACAACGTCCCAGAATCTCTGGGACATAGCTAAAGCAGTGTTAAGAGGGAAATGTCCACATTAAATGTCCACATCAGAAATCTAGAAAGACCTTAAATCACAATGAAAAGAACTACAGAAGCAAAAGCAAATAAATCCAAAAGCTGGCAGAAGACAAGAAATAACTAAGATCAGCATGGAAATGAAGGAGACAGAGACGTGAAAATCCCTTGAAAAAATTAATGAATCCAGGAGCTGTCTTTTTGAAAAGAAAATAAATAAAATAGATCACTAACTAGACTAATAAAGAAGAAAAGAGAGAAGAATTGACTGGGTGCGGTGGCTCACACCTGTCATACCAGCACTTTGGGAGGCAGAGGTGGATGGATCATGAGGTCAGGAGTTTAAGATGGTGAAACTCCGTCTCTACTGAAAATACAAAACCTAGCTGGGCATGGTGCTAGGTGCCTGCAATCCTAACTACTCGGGAGGCTGAGGCAAGAGAATTGCTTGAACTCGGTGGGTGGAGGTCCCAGTGAGCTGAGATCATACCACTGCACTCCAGCCTGGGTGACAGAGTGAGACTCCATCTCAAAAAAATTACCTAAAGATAAAAAAGAGAGAAGAATCAAATAGACACTATAAAAAATGATAAAGGGGATATTAACACTGACCCCACGGAAATACAAACTAGCATCAGAGGATACTATGAACACCTCTATGCAAATAAACTAGAAAATCTAGAAAAATGAATAAATTCCTGGACACATTCACCGTCCCAAGACTAAACCAGAAAGAAATGGAGTCCCTGAATAGACCAATAACAAGTTCTGAAAGTAAGGCAGCACTAAATAGCCTACCAATCAAAACAAACAAACAAAAAAGTTCAAGACCGGATGGATTCATAGCGAAATTTCACTAGAGGTACAAAGAGGAGCTGGTACCATTCCTGCTGAAACTATTCCAAACAACTGAAAAGTAGGGACTTCTCTCAAACTCATTTTATGAGGCTAGCATCATCGTGATACCAAAACCTGGCAGACACAACAAAAAAGAAAGCTTAAGGCCAATAGCCCTGATGAACTTTGATGCAAAAACCCTTAATAAAATATTGGTGTATCAAATCCAGCAGCATATCAAAAAGCTTATCCATTACGATCAAGTCGGCTCCATCCCTGGGATGCAAGGCTGGTTCCACATGGGCAAATCAATAAATGTAATCTATTACATAATCAGAACCATGACAAAAACCACATGATTATCTCAACAGATGCAGAAAAAGTCTTCAGTAAAATCCAACATCCTTTCCTGTTAAAAAGTCTCAAACTAGGTATTGATGGAACACAGCTAAAAAAACGTAAGATTTATTTATGACAAACCCACAGCCAATATTATACTGAATGATCAAAAGCTGGAATCATTCCACTTGAAAACTGGCACAAGACAAAGATGTCCTCTCTCACCATTCCTATTCAACATTGTATTGGAAGTTCTGGCCATGGCAATCAGGCAAGAGAGAGAAATAAAAGACATTCAAATAAGTAGAGAGGAAGTCAAATTTTCTCTGTTTGCAGACAACATGATCCTACATGTAGAAAACCCCATCTTCTTGGCCCCAAAACTCCTTAATCTGATAAGCAACTTCAGCAGTCTCAAGATACAAAATCAATGTGCAAAAATCTCAAGCATTCCTTTACAACCACAATAGACAAGCAGAGAGCTAAATCATGAATGAACTCCCATTCACAATTTCTACAGAGAATAAAACACGTAGGAATACAGCTAACAAGAGATGTGAAGGACCCCTTCAAAAAGAACTACAAACCACTGCTTGAGGAAATAAGAGAGGACACAAACAAATGGAAAAACATTCCATGCTCATGGAGAGGAAGAATCAATATTATGAAAATGGCCATACTGTCCAAAGTAATTTACAGATTCAATGCTATTCCCATCAAACTACCATTTACATTCTTCACAGAATCAGAAAAAACTACTTTAAAATTCATGTGGAACCAAAAAAGAGCCCACATAGCCAAGACAATCATAAGAAAAAAGAACAAAGCTGGAGGCATCACACTACCAGACTTCAAACTATACTACAAGGCTACAGTAACCAAAACAGCATGGTACTGGTAACAAAACAGACATATAAACCAATGGAACATAATAGAGACCTCAAAAATAAGACCACACATCTACAACCAACTGATCTTCAATGAATCTGACAAAAACAAGCAATGGGGAAAGAATTCCCTATTTAATAAATGGTGCTGGGAAAACTGGCTAGTGATATGCAGAAAACTGAAACTGGACCCCTTCCTTACACCTTATATAAAAATTATCTCCTGATGGATTAAAGACTTAAAAGTAAAACCCAAACCCATAAAAACCCTAGAAGAAAACCTAGCAGTGCCATTCAGAACATAGGTATGGACAAAGATTTTATGATGAAATCACCAAAAGCAACTGCAACAAAAGTTGAAATTGACAAACGTTATCTAATTAAACTAAACAGCTTCTGCACAGCAAAATAAACTATTATCAGAGTGAACTGGCAATCTACAGAATTGGAGAAAATTTTTGTAATCTATCCATCTGACAAAGGGCTAATATCCAGAATTTGCATCAGAAAGTGGGCAAAGGATATAAACAGGAACTTCTCAAAAGAAGACACTTATGCAGCCAAAAACATGAAAAAAAAAAAAACTCAACATCGCTGGTCATTAGAGAAATGCCAATCAAAACCACAATGAGATACCATCTCGCACCAGTCAGAATGGCATTTATTAAAAAGTCAAGAAACAACAGATGCTGGCGAGGCTGTGGAGAAACAGGAACACTTTTATATTGTTGGTGGAAATGTAAATTAGTTCAACCATTGTGGAAGACAGTGTGGCAATTCCTCAAGGATCTAGAACCAGAAATACCAATTGACCCAGCAATCCCATTCTGGGTATATACCTAAAGGAATATAAATAATTCTATTACAAAGATACATGCACACATACGTTTATGCAGCACTACTCACAATAGCAAAGACATGGAACCAACCCAAATGCCCATCAGTGATAGACTGGATAAAGAAAATATGGTTCATATACACCATGGAATATTATGCAGCCACAAAAAGGAATGAGAACATGTCTTTGCAGGCACATGGATGAAGCTGGAAGCCATCATCCTCAGCAAACTAACACAGGAACAGAAAACCAAACACCATATATTCTCACTCATAGGTGGGAGTCCAACAATGAGAACACATAGACACAGGGAGGGTAACAACACACACCAGGGCCTGTTGGGGTGTGGAGCCGGGGAGGGAGAGCATGAGGACAAATAGCTAATGCATGCAGGGCTTAAAACCTAGGTGATGGGTTGATAGGTGCAGCAAACCACTCTGCGCTTGTGTCCCGGAACTTAAAGCTAAAAAAAAAAAAAAAAAAAAAAAAAGGAATAACAAGAAGAAAATTAAAGAATTCAAAAATATGTGGAAAGAAAACATTAATGCTCCTGAACAACCAATGGGTTAAAGAAAAAATCAATAGAGAAATAAAAAAGCATCTTAAGAGAAAAGAAAATGGAAAAGGAACATATCAAAATGTATGGGATGCATTAAAAGCCATGTAAAGAGGGAAGCTTATAATAATAAATGCATACGTTAAAAAAAGAAAGATCTCAAGCCAAATTGACACCTCAAGGAACTAGAAAAAGAAGAACTAAGACTGAAGTCAGCACAAGGAAGAAAATAACAATCAGAGCAGAAATAAGTGAAATAGAGATGAGAAGTACAATAGAAAAGAGCAAGAAAACTAAGAATTGGTTTTTAGACAAGATGAACAAAATTGGCAAACATTAGCTAGACTAATGGAATGAAATAAATAACATAATAAGTAAAAGGGGAAACATTACAACCGATACTATAGAAATACAAAGAATCGTAAGAGACTACCATTAACAATTATATGCTAATAGGATAACTTAGAAAAAAGGTATCACTTCATAGAAATTTACAATTTACCAAGATTGAATCATGAAAAAATAGAAAATCTAAACAGACTAAAAACAAATAAGGAGATTGACTCGGTAATTTACAACTTTCCAACACCGAAAAGTTCAGGATCTGATGGCTTCACAGGTAAACTCTACCAAGCATTTAAAAAAGAATTAACACCAATCCTTACAAAGCTCTTCCAAAAAAAATTTAAGAGGAGGGAAAACTTCCAAACTACAAGGCCAGCATTACCCTGATATCTAAGCCATATAAAAAATGATATAGAAAAGAAAATTAGAGGCTATATTCCTGATGAACATAGATACAAACATTTTTAACAAAACACTGTCAAGCTAAATTCAACAGCATGTTAAAAGGATCATACACCATGACCAAGTGAGATTTTTTTTTTTTTTACTGGAAGGCAGGAATTGTTCCCCTAAGATCAGGAACAAGACAACGGTAACTACCCTTGCCACTTCTACTCAACATGGAGCTAGAAGTCCTATTCAGAAATTGGGTAAGAAAAGGAATAAAGGGCATGCAAATCAGAATATTTGTTAAATTGTGTGTGTTGGCAGATGACATGATCTCATATACAGAAAATCCTAGTCTCTCCCAAAAAACTGTTAGAATATATTCAGTAAATTTGCAGGATGCAAAATTTATATACAAAAATCAGTAGCATTTCTAACACTAATAACTATTTGAAAAAATAAGAGAAAAATCCCATTTGCAATAGCATGAAAAAATATTTAGGAATACATTTAACCAATGAGGTGAAAAATCTATATACTGAAAAATAGGAAACATTGATAAAAAAATTAAAGAAGATACAAGTAAATGGAAAGATACTCCATGCTTATGGACAGGGAGAACTGATATTATAAAATGACCACACTCTCTAAAGTAATCTGTAAGTCCAACAAAATTCCTATCACATTTCCAATGGCAATTTTCACAGAAATAGAAAGGAAGATCCTAAAATGTACATGGAACCATAAAAGATACTGAACAGCCAAAGCAATTTTGAAAAACATAAGAAGAAAGCTGAAGGCATCACTCTTCCTGATTTCAAACTATAGTATAAAGTTATTGTAATCATAACAGTATGGTACTGGCATAATAACTGACAAATAGACCAGTGACACAAAGTAGAGAGCCAAGAAGTAAACCCAACTATATTCAGTCAACTAATCTTTGATGACAGCACCAAGAATAAGCAAACAGCAGAGGACAATCTCTTCCATAAATGGTATTGGGACAAGTGAATATTCACAGGCAAAATAATAAAATTTGACCTTTATTTTACACCACGTATTTTAAAAATAAGCTCAAAATGGATTAAAGGCTTAAATGTAAGATCTGAAACTATAAAACTCCTAGAAGAAAACATAGGGAAAAAAATCTAATTGACATGGGTCTTGGCCATATTTATTTGGATATGACATAAAAAACACAGGCAGCAAATGCAAAAATAGACAAGTGGCATTACCTCAAACTGAAAACCTTCTACACAGCTAATGGAACAATCAACAGAGTGAAGAGACAAGCTATGTAATGGGATAATATATTTATCCGTCATATCTAATAAACCAATTTTTCAAAAATGAGCAATACTTGAACAGACATTTTTCCAGAGAAGACATAAAAATGCCCAACAACTTTATGAAAATGTGCTCAACATCACTAATCATTAGAGAAAAACATATCAAACCCATAATGAGATATCAACTCACACTTGCTGGCATGGCTATTATCAAAAAGATGAGATATGTGTTGGTGGGTATGTGGAGAAGAGGGAATCCTTGCACACTCTTGGTGCTTATGAAGGGTATGAAGTATGAAGGGCATGAAGTGTGAAGGTTCCTCAAAAAATTAAAAATAGAACTACCATATGATCCAGCATTTCCACTTCTATATGCATATACAAAAGAAGTAAAATCAGTATTTTGAAGAGATGTCAGCATTCCCATATTCACTGCAGGATTATGTATAATAATCAAGATATAGAAATAATCTAAGTCCATCAATAGCTGAATAAAGAAAATGTGATGTGTGTATACATGTGTATACACAATAGAATATTATTAAGCCATTAAAAAGAAGAAAGTCCATTTAAGACAACATGGATGAACCTAGAGGACATTATTTTTAGTGAAGTAAGCCAGATACAGAAAGATGAATACTGTAAAATCTCACTTATATGTGGAATCTAAAAAAGTAAAACTCATAGAAGCAGAAAGTAGAACAATGGCTGCCAGTGGCCTAGAGTAGGGGAAATGAAGAGATATTGGTTAAAGGGTACATAAAAACTTTCACTTATGAGATGAATACTTCTGAGGATCTAATATACAGCATGGTGACTATAATAATACTGTCATATTGCTAGGAAGATCATTCCTTATTACACTTGCATGCACACACACAAAAAAATGGCATCTATGTGAGGTGATGAATATACCAATTAATTTGTGATAATTTACAATGTATACATATACCAAATCATCACACTGCACATGTTGAATGTATCTATTTTGTCAATTAAACCTCGATAAAGCTGGGGATTAAAAAAATTAACAGGTTTTGATTAGAAAAGTTTTGAGAGCAAAGGTCAAGGTAATAAAGATAAAGAAGTCTAATGAGAAAAAATCAGTGTTTCTAAATTCTCAGTGCCATATCTGAGATGTATAACAAATCCCTAAATATTATTTATATAAGATAACCCTATACCTCATATTGTGAGACTTAAGCATTTGTATTTTTAGTAGTTACAAAAATTATTCAAAACTGGGTAAAACCAGGTTAACACTTCAGATGTGCATCCAGGGTAAAGATGCTTTTTAAAAACACCTCTGGAAGGTGGTAATAGCCCCCTTTCTCCTCTGTTTAGTAATAAGTATGGATTAGTAGGCTACAGAGTACAACCTAATTCCAGCTAACACTGAAGCATTGTAAGCAAGTAACACTTACCAACAGGATAGCAATTACAGCCCAGACGATTCATTACTCCTGTTAAGAGTTCTTTTGTTTTGTTGCATATAAGGAAAAAGAAACCATGAATTGATATCCAGTCTTGTATCACTGAAGCTGTAAATTCAGTAGAGTTTTATACCCAACTACCATTTGGTGCTACTACTGTTTATTTGTTTGCTGCTCTGTTTTGACTAAGGGAATAAGGAGTCTTCCAGAGAAACAGCTTGCCTGCTTCATTCTAAAGCGTACATTATTCTTTGAAACTACAAACTTATTTTTGTTTGGTCATGTTTTTAAAACCATGTCAATTCCGACTTTAAATTTGGAACTAAACATGAATTTCAGGCTTTTTTTTTCTTTTTATTCTTGGTGAAATAAAATGTTCCCTCTCTAAGAAAAATATAAATACAAGAGGCTTTCCCAATATCTAATTTTTGAAACATTTAAATAAATCAATACCATATGGATTTTCTTTCCCTTACAATATATGTTTTCAGAAATCTCTAAAAGAAAATGCCTCACATTTTTACCTAAAACAAAATCTGTCAAGAAATGTTCTCAGCTGCTCAATACATTGCACTTAACTTCACTCTCCAGGTGTCCAATAGCACTTTTTGCCTTGCTATGAATCACCTGTTAAGGATGGTTGACTATCTACTCCAGATTAGAGAAATTTGGCAGCTGTGAGAATAAAGAGGCTGCAACTACCAATTACTTTTTTTGAATAAAGCTTCTGAAATACTAAGGAGAGGACACTTGGATAAAAATCAATGGTCCAAACACTGTGTTTTGATGTTTTAAAGAATGGAGAAAGTGCTTTAATATATCATACTTCTCTTAGGTGTTCATCATAAAATTAAGCACGATGGAAAGTCAGGGAGATAGCGCTATAACTGACCTTTTAGACAGTGTTTTTAGATAGACTAGCAATAGGGGATCTTGATAAAGTTAATCTACCTTCTATTTCTTTATTTGATGTATAGAAAAAGATAAAGTGGATTGTGTTGATGGCATCTTTCTGGTTGTGCAAGAAGAAAAGCCATCTTACCTTACTGCTTCAATTTATGAATATGTATTTAAAAATCACAGCCTGTAATTATGTATTGCAATTACATTTCTTCCTTATTTCTGTTTTCTTCATTGCATTTTCCATTATAAGACAGGTAGGAACGCATCTCTCTATGGCAGAAAAAGGCAGTGTTTGTCATCAGGCAGGGTAATGATAAAAATTTCAAAAGGACTCGGGAGCTCTGAGTTCTAATTCTAACCCTCCCAGCCATGATCTTCACGACCATGTTCTCTACAATTTATTAAGAGAAGTGAATGAACCCTAACAATATTTAAGGTTTAAATCAAACAATTCATAAACTTTTTTTAACTTTTATTTTAGGCTTGGGGGTAAATGTGAAGGTTTATTTCACAGGTAAATATGTGGCACAGGTGTTTGTTGTACAGATTATTATACAGGTATTAAGCCCAGTACCCAATAGTTATCTTTTCTGTTCCACTCCCTCCGCCACCCCTCCCCCTTCAAGTCGACCCCAGTGTCTGTTTCCTTTTTTGTTTTCCTAAGTTCTTATCATTTAGCTCCCACTTGTAAGTGAGAACATGTGGTATTTGGTTTTCTATTCCTGCATTAGTTTGCAAAGGATAGTGGCCTCTAGCTCCATCCATGTTCCCACAAAATACAGGATCTCATTCTTTTTTATGGCTGCCTAGTTTTCCATGGTGTGTATGTACCACATTTTCTTTACCTAATCTGTCATTGATGGGCATTTAAGTTAATTCCATGTCTTCACTTTTGTGAATAATACTGCAATGAACATTCACATGAATGTGTCTTTATAGTAAAATGATTTCTATTCCTCTGGATATATATCCAGTAATGGGATTGCTGGGTTGAAAGCAGTTCTGTTTTTAGCTCTTTGAGGAATCACCATACTGCTTTCCACAATGGTTGAACTAATTTATGCTCCCATCAACAGTGAATAAGAATTCTGTTTTTTCTACAACCTCGCCAACATGTTATTTTTGGACTTCTTAAAAATAGCCATTCTGACTGGTGTGTGATGGTATCTCATTGTGGTTTTGATTTGCATTTCTCTAATGAGTGACATCGAGCTTTTTTTATTTGCTTGTTGGCCGCATACATGTCTTCTTTTGAGAAGTGTGTCTGTTCATGTCCTTTGCCCACTTTTTAGTGGAGTTGTTTTTCTCTTGTAAATTTGTTTAAGTTTCATATAGATGCTGGACATAAAACCTTTGTCAGATGCATAGTTTGCAAAAGTTTTCTACCATTCTTTATGTTGTCTGTGTACTCTGTTGATAGTTTCTTTTGCTGTGCAGAAGCTCTTAAGTTTAATTTGATCTCACTTGTCAATTTTTCCTTTTGCTGTGATTGCTTTTGGTGTCTTTGCCATGAAATTTTTGCTCATTTCCATTAATATGTCCAGGATGGTATTGCCTTGGTTGTCTTCCAGGGTTTTTGTAGTTTGGAGTTTTACATTTAACTCTTTAATCCATCTTGAATCGCTTTTTGTGTAGGGTATAAGGAAAGGGTTCAGATTCAATATTCTGCACATGACTAGTTGTCCCAGCACCATTTATTGAATAGGGAGTCTTTTCTTCATTTCCTTTTTTTGTCAGCTTTGTTGAAGATCAGATGATCATAGATGTGAAGCCTTATTTCTGGGCCATGTGCCTGTTTGTGTACCATTACTATGCTGGTTTGGTTATTGTCGTCTGGTAGTATAGTTTGAAGTCAGGTAATGTGGTGCCTCCAGCTTTGTTCTTTATGCTTAGGACTGCTTTGGCTTTTCAGGCTCTTTTTTTGGTTCCATGTGAATTTTAAAGTAGTTTTTTCTAGTTTTGTGAAGAATATCATTGGTAGTTTGATAAGAACACCATTGAATCTGTAAATTGCTTTGGACACTGTAGCCATTTTAATGATACTGATTCTTTCTATTCATGACCATGGGATGTTTTTCCATTTGTTTGTGTCTTCTCTGATTTCTTTAAACACTGCTCAAAGAAATCTCAGAAGATACATGATAATCCTTAGCATGACTACTGGCACATAGTAACCACTCATTATTAAATAGTCACTATTAGTTATTGTTATTAGTAATTTGTAGCTGAAGTTTTTATTATTTCACTTACAAAACTACTCTCTGCTGAATCAAAATATGTAGAGGACATATAATATTCCAGTAGAGGACATGTAATATTCCACTAAAAGTATCAGTATATAGTGCAAAGAATATTATGGTTGGAAAAAAACACAATTCACAGCATCTGGTGCAATTCTGCCATTTTACAGGTTAGGTAGCTGAGAATCAGAGTGATATAGTGTGTTGCCTGATGTCCCTCACATGTGGTACAAAACAGGGACACTCTAAATGGAATGCTGGTGTGCACATTTGCATGCATTTCTCCTGTGCATCATTCCATCTAAGGCTGCAGAATGCTAGGAGTCAGAAAGCTTTACTGGCTCACCTGATAGAGAACACATGGTTTTATAAGCATGCTAGTCCAAAAGAGCTCCAACAGTGTATTTTCCTAAATGCTCCCATATATGTACACAATAACATCAACACTAACAATATTATGTTTCCACCTTAATTCTGAACTTTCTATAGTTCAGAATTAAGCAGCATTTTGCCTGAGAATATTACCTGCTGCCATAGATACATTTTACAGGAGACCAGGCAGGAGAAGCAGGGCAATTACAGATTAAAACCAAATCACAGAATTTCTGAAGTCCTTCAGGCCCTATTTCTGCCTTGCTTTTGTTCCTATGTATAACTATATTTTCAACCTTATAACAGCCTGGGGCAAAATATAAACATGAAAATAAGAATTATAAATAGTATTATAAATAGACCCCAAATATCATCAATACTAAAACTTACCTGAAATACTTAAGGAATCCTTAAATACTTAATACTTAAATACTTTAAGGAATCCTTAAGTCTTTTAATCTATAAGTTAGTCTTCTAAGACACTTTTTTTTCTTTTTGTTTTAAGAGATAGTGTCTCACTTTGTCACCCAGGCTGGAGTACAGTGGCAACATCATAACTCACCGCAGTCTTGAAATCCCGGGCTCAAGTGATCCTCCTGCCTCAGTCTCCCCAGTAGCTATGATTACAGGAATGAGCCACTACACACAACCTTAGCGCACTTCTTGAAATTTATTTTCCTTCTGTCTTCTTCCAGCTGCTAACTCTTACTATAAGTTTCCATGCTTAGCAGAAATGAGCACTGCATTTGCTGCTCACCAGCAGTTCCTGATGTCTGAACTGAAGCTGGGAGGGTCTCTTGTGAGTAGAAATGAGTACCTGGAGAAGCAGGATAGCTATTACCTTGCAACTTCAAAGTTCTTATACCAAACAGCACATTAGTTCAGCCACAAGAAATTACCAATATCTGACCATTTATGGCCGATTATATAAGATTTGACCTAACAGATTTAATGAACACTGTGAAAAATTTACACTGGGATTCAGAAATAAATCCATGGAGGCTGGGGCAGAATATAACCTGAAAGCTGTCTTGAGGTCAGAACCAACTCTCCTTCTAACTTTGACCCATTGTGTAAATGCTGCCCTCAAAATCCCTTCCCATAGGAAGAATTTGCTTCACTTGCTTCCTCATGTGAACCATCGCTATCTAATACCACTGGACATATGTAAATGTAGATTTAATTATAGTTTGGAAATAAGATTTGTCCCTTACTACACATAGTGTCCAACATGATGGGTTCTTGCATAAAATGACAGCAGTTGAGCCACTCTTGACACAGATTAGTCAGAAATCAAAGGAAAATATCTTCATCAACATTATCAATGCTAACATCATCATCAAATGAACATTAACAGCATAAAGAACTGTTTAAATATGTCTTAAATATTTCAATCTGAATTCTTTTTTTATAGATGGAACTCTAATTAATTTATCTCCACTTTGACACCTCTATGTCCTTCTGTATTTTTTTTTCTTCTTTGGTACCATTGATACTTCTTAATTTAGTAAACCAGTGAATTTAATTAATGAGATTCTCACCGTTTCTTCCAGATCATTAGCAAAGGCATTAAATAAAAACAGTCCCAACACTTATCCCAGTATTTTCCCACTGGCTACCCCTTTCCAACTGTATACACTGTTGGACCTTATCACCATTAATTTAAAATTCTTTAGCCAAAAACAGTCACAGCTGAGATCATTTGTGGTTATTTATTTTAAGGAGATAACACATTAGCAAATTTTCATCATTTTGGTCTATCATCCTAGGACAGAATTTAAAACTGCAGGAAATATATCTTATACATAACATCTATTCTTCTCCTCAATACTTTCATACTGGCATACCCTTATGTCTTCCCATTAAAAATCCAACCTTGAGAAAAGATTTTCAAAACTCATTCATATTTATAAATTCAACAAATATTTGACTACTATTATATGCTAGCAATGTTCTAGGCATTGGACACACAAAAGTGAACAAAAGAGTCAAACAAAAGGGAAAAAAAGGTCGAAATATCTCTGCCAAAAGAAATTGTCTTCTAGAAACAAAATAAGCTAGTAAACAAATATGTAGTATTTCAGAGGGTAATATATTACACACTGAAAATCAAAGCAGGTTAAGAAGTACACGGAGTGTCAGGTTGGGAAGGGGGACTGTTATCAAATATTTTAGGGAAAAAAGCTCTTCATTGCTAAGATGACTCCTGAACAGAGCCAAAGGAAGTGAGAGCATAAACCCTATGGCTTTTGGGGAAAGAGCATTTTAGACTGAGGAAAAAAGGCAGTGACAAAGCCCTGAGTCAGAACATGGTTGAGTTCAAGGAAGAGCAAGTTGATCAACGGGGTAGGACAACAGAATCAGCAGATGAATGGTAGGAGGGGAAATCAGAGGGTTTTGCAGGAAGCCTAGGCTATGCAAGACATTCTAAGCCATGGTAAGGATTTAGGGTTTTACCCAGATTGAGAAGGAAACCTATTTTGAGTAAAGGAAGAAAATAATGTGACTTGAAATGTAAAAGAAGAATATTTCTCTTCACTATAAAGAAGAATACACTTTTTTTAATCTGTGTTTCTGAGACTGTCATGTTTAGAAGGATCACCTGGAAATCATGTTAGTATTCAGATTCTGATTCAGTGGGTCTGAAGTGGAGCCTAAAATTCTACATTTCCGAAAAGCTCAAGTCATGCTGATATGTTTGGTCAGTGGACCATACCATGAGTAGTGAAGCCCTACATGACTAATTCTCAATGGGTGGTCTCCAGAGCACTGACATTCAAATCACTCAGTAACTTTTTTTAAGTGCCAATTCTGTAGCCCAATTACTGAATCACAGACTCTGAGGATAGAGCCCAATAATCTGTTTTAACAAACTTCTGGGTAATTCTGATTCATGCTGACATTTGAGAACCACAGATCTGTATCATATATTGAGAATAATCTCTGTAATAGCAAGGGTGGAAGTAAGAATAACAGTCTGGAACTGCTGGGTTGGGATGAACACATAGTAGTTTTAGCCAGGATGTGCTTGGTTGATGTGATGAGAGGTGGCTGAATTGTGGATATATTTTGAAAACAGAGCCAATAGGAGATGTGGAGCATATGTGACTGAGAGAAATCAAGAGGAATTCTGGGGCCTTTGTTTCAGTAACTGGAAGAGTAGAGTTGCCATTTACTGACTGCAAAGAGGAAAATTGTAGGAGGAATGGAGTGAACACAGGAGAGAGTCAGGAATATTACTTAAACCTCTTAAGTCTGAGACGCATATGAGATGTATCCAAGCTGAAATGATGAATAGTATTAGAAACATGATTCTGGATATCATGAGAGAAGTGTATGCAAGAGATATAAAATTGATTATTGTATTTGAGTGTTTACAGCATTGCAGTCACAGCAATGACCACGAGCACCAAGGTAGTCAATGTAGACAGAAAAAGGACCTGAGTACTATGAGTTCTGGAGCTTCTCAATTTTAGATGTCTAACAGATAAGGAATAACCAATATAGGCGCCTCAGAAGGAGTAATTCACAAGGAAAGAGGAAAACCCAAAAGATAAATGAAGATGGAAATGCCTAAGCTAGAAGCCATTCTACTCTAAAGAGGACAAAATATTTTTAACTAAGGCAATACCTCTCAAAAGGTACCTTTCAAGTGAAAATGGAAGGGGCTCATGCCAGTGGACAGAGGTACTGAAGTGATACTACATATATCACTGCACAACACTATACTCTGAAATCTTTATTTTGATGAATTTTAACTTGTTACAGTTAAACATGATGAAAATGATGAGACCCATATATTTCTCCCCATTAATAAATAAGATCATCCATTCAGAGGGAGTATCAGTCCCATGCTTTCTTCTTTGAATGAAAAAATTAAGAAAAATTCTGGGATATGCCAGCCACAATGGACTCATAATGAATATCTACATCTTATCAAGCTTCACCATATACAACTCATTCACTCCATACATGCTCTTCATATGTCAACTGTGTGTGCTCTCTGTAATACTAGACACTCAATAAATACATTTGTAAAATGCTGAATCAATAAACTAAAATGCAATCTCCTACAATCTTTATTTCTGCCCATAGGAATATATTTCATGTTAGTTGTCTTTCAATTTATAAAAATATATCAATTATATTGAAAAATGCTTTAAGGTAATAAAATGTTTTCACATACATTGTTGCATGAACCATCAAACATCCCCGTGATAAATGCCAGGCAGGTAACATTATCGCTACCTTGTAGCTGAGAAAAATAAGTTTCAAGGTCAGACACGTAGTTAATAAAAAAACTAAGGCTAGAATCTAGGGTCCCTGAGGTCCTGGACCCATCATGCTCCACAACTTCAAATATGCTCCCCTCCACAAAAGGGAAAATCCAAAGCTAAAGTCTGTATGGAATTTCTCCTAAAGGATTACCAAACATGATTTGGAATCTGTTTTCATTTTACAACATTATTTTTTTAACTAAATGAATGTGAGATGATTTATATTATTTGAAGCTACAAACAAATTTACTTTAAGAAGTAAAATACTGTGATTTTAATATACATGCACATAATAATATCAGTATGGGAAAAACAGATCTGGCCAATTTGCCACCTCTCAGGGGCGTTGTAAAGATTAGAATTAATTAAGTGATTTGAAGACAAAAAGCATTATAAAAGTGCTAAGCATTGTTATTTTTTCCCTTCAAAATGAGCTTTGAGTTAAAATAGCCATCATTGATCAGTAATATATTCCTGAAAATAATTTACTCTATAGATGCTTACATTTCTGATTTTTACTCAAAGAAGATCGTAAACAGTTATCTCTTTGGTTATAACCATCTACAGTGAATGGAAACAAACTTGGTAAGACGTTAATAAAAGTATTAAAGATGACAATTTTATTTAATTGAAGGATGTATTTGCATACTATGTGTTTCATTATTCTCCTCTACCTCTAAAATGCATACATTTAATTCATACTATAATTCTTAATATTAATTTTTTCATAACATACTAAAAATGTCATTTGATAAAAATCTCTATCTGTAAGAGAAACAATATATTCACCACATTAGGCATCATTTAAAATGTTTAAGCATCTTTCTTGAATGTGGTTTTTGTTAAAATAACTTTCATTTCAAAATGTCAAAACTTATCAAAAAACATTTAGAATGATTGTGGATATTCCACCTAGAGATAAGGAAAGTTTCTTTTATATAACACATTTTTTAATGCGTGTCAGTACCATTTCAGGCAACTTCATGTAAATATTTTCACATATCTTCTTTCCTTTGGCTAAATTTGTTTTCAATTCTACTTACCTTACTTATCTGTGAGAATTCATTTTAAACATGTATTTGAAGAAAAGTAGATCAATGTTAGTGACTGTGAGATACTGACAACAACAAATTTTTAGGTAAATGTTTACGAATATCGGGGCTCTAAGATAATATTCAATTACTTTAAATATAAATTTAAAAAGTTAACCCCATACCATACTGACATGGAAGGCATAATAAATTTCATGGGGTAAAGCAAATTAAAAGAACTAGAATAAAGAACTTTTCATGGGCAAAGAGCTGTGCATCTCTCTGATATCCAGATCCTCTCTTTAGTTCAACAACTCATCATATATAAGAAAGTAATTGATGCTCACTTAATTTGTTTAAAATATTTTGAATAAATGATCTAATAACTGATGCCTTCCTTCTCTGATTATTTCTAAAATCAAAGCAGAGCAGTTTTATGGAATATTAAATGTATTCTCAACTTTCCTTATTTAAAAAAAATACTATAATCGGATTTTTCTGGAAAAGGCAGCACCAGTGTTTCCCTATAGAGTTCAACGTCACTTCCTAAGTTGGAACAATTGTCTGGCATTCCTTATACATTTTTTGTTATCAATTCCTTCCTTAACTTCCATAGTATAAGCCCACCATTACTGAAGTGTTTTTTCTGGAAGAAAGTGAAGCTCAAAAACAACAGTCTTACTCAAGTGTATTAGTTTCTGTTAATTGCTATTACAAAAATAGAGGAAAAGTAGAGTATGAAGGTTTACATGTAAACCCCTCTATGTGACGTAATTAGTTGATGTGGAAAGGGATAATTCCTCTTTCAGTGTTTTGTTTTCTAATCTTCCATATGTAGGAAGGATGAGGCAATGGAAAAATTACAGCCTGTAGAATCGTTCAACCACGTAATCAAAATTGAGCTCCGACTCTTACTGATTTTGTAACTTTAAACATTAACTCCCACAGTTTCAGTTTCTAGGTATTTAAAGGACAATAAAAAAAAATTACGTTACAAGGATGATTTGACAGATTCTACATGCTAAGTTTCTACTAAAGTATGGCACAGAGTAGGTGCTTAGCCCACATTACCCCAGTACTGTTATTATCCTCTTGAAATGAGAAAGGATACCAACTCAAGGTTCAGTTAGCTTGACAGCACACAAACATTTTCAAGCATGCCATTAATCAGTGGGCATCACTGAGTATTAAATTCCATATAAACACACAAGTGTGAGACAAAAGTGAATTGTTAAGAAGGAATACAGAATTACTGTAAATGAACTGAGCAAATGTTTAACAGGAAACACATTTACCACTTCCTATAATGGTGTCAGGCTGCTTCAAATAGATCACAGGATTATTTAAGTTCTGAGTGAATCATTACTCAACACCTCTTTTCTTGATTAATGTATTCATAAGCTTAATGTAGTATTTGTTGGCATGAACTCACAGAGAAGATTAAAAACATCTTCATCAGCTAACTTTCTTAAATTCTGCCTATTTCTCTTTGGGAGACTGTAGTTTCAGCATCATGGGCCCCTTGTCACAGGTAATATGGAAAACATTTAATATGTTGGTAATTTTATTTTTATTTACTTATCTTTTAGCTTTTTCTAAAACACGATCTATACTAGCAAAATATAGTGTACATTTTCAACATCTTGCTCTGCTTAGTACACTTAACAAAGTAGCTGGATCCCTACCAGTTGAAGAGTAAGTCACCTGCAGTCTCATCCATATCCTGGGAGCTTTTTATCACACAGTGACTTTGACATTTATATCTTTGCTGAGGCTTTTATTCTTTATTTCTTATGCTCTAAATCTCTATTTCTGGCTCCTATTGGAAAAAATGACCTAGAAGAACCCCAAATATTTCGAAGTCAACAGTTCAAAAGTGAACTCACATTCTTACTCTAACAATTTTTCTTCCAGACCTCCATTTGGCAAGTTATACCACCGTTTAACCAATCACTCAAGCCAGACCTGATATATGTGACTCCTTCTTTTTCACTGAATAATCACTAAATCAGATCAATTCTAAGCCCTATCATGGGCATTTCTTGAATCTATGCCATTTTGTGGCCTTAATTCCAACCCTCATCATTGCTTGCCTACACTATTTCAAGTTCCTCTAATCTAATCTATCGTTATTCTCGTTGTCCTTCCAAATTGGGTACAGTAAATCTTTCTTTTGGCTTTGAATATATATTTAGAATAGTTTCCCAATGTGAATTGTGAGTTCTATTTCTAGATATTATTAGTAGGTATAAAATGAAAGATGGGATTTTTGGCCAAATAAATTTGGGGAGACCCTTGGTAATAAAAAAGATTATTTACTCTTAGGCTTGACACGGCATTTAACAGGTTAATGTGAAATTTTAGAATTCAGATACAGCAGGAGTTTACAAGATAATTTTTAAGCAAAAAGGTTTGTGTGTGTGTGTGTGTAACTTGAAGATTTCAGAACAGCTCAAAGAATATTCCATAAAACATACCTTTACAATTTTGAAAAATATAGCCTTAGACCACACTAATTACATATTATAATAGCACTAGCATGATGTTTTTATTTTTTACTTTCATCACTTCACCATCATATTATTCCTACATTGGCTTCTCTATCCTTAGGCTAAAAGTAAGTAAATACGTAAGAGTTTTTCTTTATAGGTTCAAAGAAAGGTATCTTCCATTGAAGAATATAACTGTGTCCACAGAAATCTTAGAAACACATAAATGGCTGGGGAAAGAGAAGTCAAGTAAGAATATTGGCATTAAAAAAGAATTTACAATATTTTTTATAAAAAATTATTTGTAACTTAAAAAAAAAATTGTTTACACTGATACAGACAGGAGGCAGGAAAAAATACTGGGCAGAAGAGAGCAGTTCCCCAGCAAAGGCCCTGCCCTAAAGCCTGGAAACCCATGGCCCTAAATGGGAACAGGCATTCCTGTTTTCAAGCCCAAATGTTCCCTTTTGGCCCACCAAACCCTCATCCTGTACCCATATAAAACCCAAACCCCAGGCTCCATGAGCAGAAGAGCAGAGGAGCAGAGGAGCAGAAGAGCAGCATGGCAGAGGAGGAGAGAAGAGGAGCATCTGAACATCGAGAGGAGTTTGGCTGTGATTGGATGGAAAGAAGATTGGCTGCAGGATGGGTGAACTCCAGGCGAAGGTCATCTTCCCACTCCATCCCCTTTGCAGCTCCCCGTCCATTCCGCTGAGAATCACCTCCATCTGGCAATAAAATCCCTCGCATTTACCACCCTTCACTTTGTCCAGGTGACCTGATTCTTCCCAGATGCCAGACAAGAATCCAGGTACCAAGAGGGCACTGATCTGGTTAACTCTTAAGCTGTCTGCAGTTGGGAGAGCTAAAGGAGCACTGTAACATGCCCACTGGGGCTGCAGGAGTCAACAGACATCCACCCCTAGACGCTACTGTGGGGCCAGAGCCCAAAAGCTCTAGTCCTGGCTCCGGCACCTGTCCATCTACATGCTCCCTCTTCCATCAGGGGTTTGTAGTTCTCCAAATGAGCCACACTCTTGTTGCATGTACTGCGACCGGGGTCAGGGAACTCTCCCGTTTCAATACTACTGATATCAAAATTGACTCAAGGTAAAAAAGAGAATTAAATTAAACTTACAAATATGCAATCTTTTTAGAGCATGTTAGCTATTGAATTTGCATATTAACTAATAAAGTCTAAAGTGTACATAATTACTATTTCTCAAACTTTTAAATTTCTCTTTTATATTATTGAAACATATGCTTTTTGAGCCCCAGAAAAGGAAAACTGATGAAGTCCGGGATCAATTTTGCATCTCCACAAACACCCTGGAGTAATGAGAAAATGAAACTTCTAAAGCCAGGGTTCTCGGTTTAAATATCTGTTCTACCATTTCCCAAATATATGTTTTAGGTATGTCAGTGGATCTCTTTAGGCTCAGTTTCCTTAGTGCTAGGGAGAAAATAATGCTCATTTTGTCTGAGCTTAAATAAAGCAATAGATGAAAAACACCTGGCACATTCACTAGCACATAGTAAGTACTCAACAATGTTACTTCCCCTGTAAATGTTCTTATATTTTCACTTTTTAGAAAAAGAAAAATAAATGAAGAAGAGCAGAGAGCACAGGATAGCAGGAATCTTAACACATCTCTCAGAACCCTTCCTAAATTCCATTCCACCAAGAATCAAGTTAGCCTCTTTCTTGGTATTGGACATTTAAAAAAAAATTCTCATTTTTAAATAAATGTAATAACCAAAAACTCTTCTTTAATTATTAGGCTGTTTATAGGCAATGTGATTATACTTATATCTTATAAATAATATTATTCCAGCAAGTCTAATCTTGAAGAAAAATCTTATATTTGAACTTATTAGCCTCATGACATATTTATTCCAACAGAAACATTACATTTGTCTGATTTTGCAAAAAATAATTTTTTTCATTCTTGAACCAATTGATCGGAGTGTGAATTGGATTAAAGTCTCTTGGTTGTTTTGCTGATCAAAGAAAAAAATCTAATTTTACACAATTAACTTTCAACCTATTAACATTAGTGAAAAATTAAAGATTCAAACATATTAAACAAGTGCAAAACAAAACAGAGCAGTGGCTTAAAATATGTAAAATGATGAAGCTCATATTAGTTTGGTAGAAAAAGTGTGGACTTAAGTAGCAGAGAGAACTGTTTTAATTTCTGGCTATACCATATACTAGCTATGACAGCTAAAAATTTCATCAGCCTTTGTGAGGCTCAGCTTTCTCCATTATAAATTGTAGATGAGATTTACCTCATTTTTTTTGTGAGAATTAAGTGTGATGATGTACCTGAAGTTCCAATCACATTGCCACTTAATCACAAAGCCATTTAGTTACTATTCCACAAAAAATAAGGGAGGATCAAATATGAAATATACTTCTCCGTATTTTAGGTAAAATAAAGTGATATTCTTTATCATGCATTGAAATTGTTTTACACTTACTTTCCAAGTCCACCTTACTGTTAAATACTATAGTTTTGAAATATAGTATTTCAGTTCTGCTCTTCCAGTGTCCCAAATCCAAGATATGGCTGCCATTGAGATACAAGACTCTGGCTTCATGTCCCTAGGACAGATTTGACAAGTGGCTTGTTTTAACTCAGCTGTTTAAGTTCCACACTTGACCTTTCTGGCCAGAAATATAATTGATTCATGTTTTGACATTCCTTGTGCATGTGGACTCTAACTGTGTCTCCAGGCCTGTGGGAGGCACCGCTATATCACTTTACAGATTGAATAAGGGTAGGAGAGTATCCCTTTCCAGTGAGCACAATGGCTGATAGTTCAGTTACATATTAGTGCCCTTTGCAAGCACAGCTGATGCATCCTCTACCAATTAACATGACTGAATACAGCATTTTGTTTTGTATACATATGGTGAAATGTTTTCCTTTTTTCTCCTGGCTTTTATCTTTCTTCTCTTACATATTTCTCTTTCAAGGAGAGAAACAACCTTTTAATATATGATTTAATATTTGTTTTGTAACATAGTATATGGCAGCTGCCTTATATAAATGATTTTTGAATTTTTATTATATTGTTTTTTGTTTTAAATTTAAAAGGTTGGTAAGCGTTTTGGTATGCAAGTTACATTTGTATTGTATGTGTGTTAACTAACTTTTGTAGGCAAATATTTACCCCAGAAATCCTGAGAATATATGAACTTCAGAATAAGTGGTTCCTCCCTGAAAACACTGCATACTCTGAGTACTTGAATTTGTGATAAATCTTCTGTGGGTGAAGTAATACAAGTCTTAACCTCCTGACATGGGACCAGAAAAAAGAAAAGAAAAGACAATTACATTTCTTTCTGAAAAAGTCAGAGCCTTGGTCAATTGAGGCAACAACCTCTCTTAAAATATAAAGTTATGGATTTTTTTGGCTAAAATCTTGCTTTTCTATATTATTAGGAAGTGTTCAAAATTGTGTTTCTCGTTTTCTTGTTTGTTTTGTTTTCTGTGTTTTGTTGCCAAATGCCAGATAGAAAGTATTTGATTGGAAAAATCGGGGTGAACTTCATAGCATTTGTTTTGAAACAATGAGAAGGAACATTTATGTAAAAAATTATGTATGTGTAATGTTTGCTTGTGTGGAACTTAATACAAAATATCTAATCTACTGAAATGTTTTCATCAACCAACTTTCCAAATCAACTTTTTTTCTGTTTTTTATTTAGCTTGACCATCTGTCTCTCTTGCCTCGGAAGGCATCGGAGGCCATTTCTCATCCTGGTTTACCCAAGTTAGCCCATTCTCAGGGAGGCATAAATCTTCTAGGAATCCCAATGCTTTTCATTCCCTCTGCCAGGGCCCTAATATGGCTCTTTTTTTCATGAAGGAAGGAGGGAGATTGGATGCCAAAGGGAGCAGTAAATAGCCCCAGAAACTGATTTTTATTGTAAGTCAATGCGGCTTGCATCATTTACTAAAAGCACCAGGTCTCCCTCGGGGTTTCCTCAAGTTTTCATTATAAACTGTAGGATGACATTTACACAAGAGAAAGTGGGTCCTTTTAAATGAAGAGAGACAACTTGGATTTTCCACTTCCTTAGGCAATCACTCTCCCGTTCTGCATCATGGCAAGTTTTGTTCATTCATTCCAGGAAGTCAGCTTTGTTTTGTAGAACCATTGGGTCTAAGTTAGCCATGTTTAGAAAAGTATTCAATATGCTTCCAACTGTATTAACACTTTTTTGTCATGTCAACTTGGTTCATATAACTTGAAGGCTCTTAAATTTATATTGTCTATTGTATACAATATGAGTGAATAGTTTACCCATATATTTCAAGTGGGAGATAAAATGTTCAGAAAATAGGAAAAATATTAAATAGCTGTTTAAATGTTTTCCTTCATATATAATGATCTCTGTTAATAATAGATTTTGAAACTCTAATATGTCTCTTCTAAATATGGAATTTCCATTGTTTAATAATCCCCTTTCTAATTATTTTTCCTTTTACATGTTATCATAAAACCTCATTTCCCCTGAAGCATTCCTTAAGAGTAATAAAATTTCTTTGGTAAGTTCTTTATATCCCCTAAATTTCAATATAATATTCTTTATTTTCACATATTTTACATTGAAATTAATACATTTATAATAGGTTTACTTCTACAAGTCAATTCAGGGTCTGCAATATGTTTAGATTTTAGATTTATAATGCATTCGATTTATTTAACCCATTAGAAGTTGATCAAAACTTGGTTCCTAGCTCTGATCACAAACACAACACTTTACAGCCATCCCTTATTAAATAGAAACACAGAGAAGAGCAGATATGGGTTTTCAGTTCTTGGTATTTTAAGGAAGAGGTCTTTTGTTGATTTCCACAGTGCAGTTTTAAACAAACAGATGAATTAGGTATCTAGCAGGTGATAGTTCATCTCTCCTCCTCGTTGCTAGTTCAGTAGACTGATGACAGATAAATAACCAAGTGCGACAATTTCCACTGGGATGTCGTCTTGCTATCTACTTGAATTCATATTTGTTCTAATAAGAGATATGGTTACCAGAACATGACAGTACTTGGCTCAAAGGCACTGCCAACACATTGAGTCCCCAGCTCTAAATCTCATCAGAGGAAGAGGGAGACATCCAACTGACTGATTGCAGAAATGAAAGGTCAAGAAATTGTCTAGCTTGTGTGTTTTTTTTTTTTTGCAAAATTATTACCCTATTGAAGCTACATAATATTTTCCTTGTGTATTTGTTCTCACAAAAATAAATTTTGTTTTTCCTTTTTAAAAAAATAAAAAAGGTTTCTTCATGCAAACCAATGAATTATCTTCAGGAAGAGATATGAAAATATTTTTTACCGACTTTATGGAGTCATTTTCTTCCTAAATAAATTCTGGATATCTGAAAGCAACTTTTAAACAGATTCTACTAACTTCCCAAGGGTGATTGTTCAAGTTTACCTTCTCTATTTTCTGTTGAACTGTAGCTGAAGCTGGAATTCTTCTCTCTCTTGCCCTCTAGTGCAGCTTGTCAATATGACATTGCTAATCCCTCTTGCCTCCTTCAGAGAATTTGCCTGTTTGATCCAACTATTTTGTCTTTTGTTGAGGCTTGTTATTTATACTCCACCCGTAGCAGACAAGGGCCCTAAAGGTAGTAAAGTGAAGTAGGGAAAGACAGGAGATTGTACAGATTGTACTGAGGGCTCAGGGGGAAAGTGCTGATTGAAATGTGTGTGCCATCCCCTTTGTTTCTAAAAATACTGCTGCGTATTTTGGAAAAAAAAAAAAAAGTTGTAAATCAAGAACATTCTGTTTGGGTCCACATGTAGGTCTGTAGGCAACCAGAACCTTGTCTATCCTTGTTGGTATATATCCCATCATATCTACAACACACAAGTTTCAATTATAAAACATTATGTTTTTTCTCTATGGGAAAAAATAGTTTTGTTTATATAATACATGAATATCTTGAAGAGTGTTGAGTTTTGAATAAAGTTGAATAAGTAAATGATTTTCACAGATTCTTCTGTTTTTTTTTTCATGTCTGTTATCTCTGCTTTCTTGTATTTAAAGTCTGCAATCTTTGGGGCATTGACAAGGTATAGAAACTCAATGGCAACATAAAGACAGTTTTTATCAGTCTGTTAAAGAACAAAACCATCTTGCCAATTAAGATGATATTCGATCTTTGAATCATCTGCATACCAACCTAAATTAATCATTTATATTACCCTTGACTGCATTCCAAGTTGCATTGGTATGAATAAAATCTTTGAGTTTATATAGTAAATAGCATAAACTTAAAACTAATGTTAGTAAAGAAAGTTGTGCTAAGCTAAAGTAATTATGCTTTTAGTCATCCACTACAGCGTTGATTCTCCATAATCCCTCTCATTTCCTGAAAATAGCAAAGTCAAAAGGTAGCACAAAACACAGATCACAGAATAACTAATTCAGGTCAATGAGAGCTTCAGTTCTTAACTACTTAGCCAATTTGATCAGGAGGTAATTAAAATTCAGATAAAATATGTCTTAAATAACTGAAAAATTTCAGATATTTCTAAGTTATATGAAGGGCAGAACCCATTTCCTGTAGCCTAAGACCAAGTTAAACATAACAGATAGGATATTGCAGCCATTCAGTATAGATGCTTCCTAGCTTCAATTCTTGGAATCTGAAGCAGATAATTTGAATTACAACTTAAAATACATTTCTTTTTGTTTCAAGAGAGTGGTGTGATTCAAAATAATTTATATCAGTGTTTCTCAATCTAAGCACTATAGAAACTTTAAGCCAAATGTTTCCTTGTTGTGGGAGACTGTGCTGTGTGTTACAGGTTGTTGAGCAGCATCCCCGGACTCTACACACCATATTCCTGTAGTAACCTCCCCCCAATTCATGACAACCAAAAATATCTCTAAACATCAACAAATGTCTCTGGGAACTAGGGACCAGCAAAATCCCTCTCCTCTGCTAGAGAACGCTGATCTAAACCAACATTTTCACTTTGTTAATAAGAAGTGGTATAATAATAGTAACAAAAGACGAAGTTTTGAATGAATACAGTCAGGTACTGTACTACGCACTCTGTTTTTATTATGTCTAATCTTCTAAATGATCCAATGAGTTCATTGTGGTATTTTACAGATAAGCAAACTAGAGTATGAGAAACAGTTTCAAAATCATGTAGTAACTGAAAAATCCAAGAATTGAATCCAGTTCAGATAAATTTCAAAGCTAGTGTATTTCCACTTACCAATTCCCTGCTGCCAAACATTATGATGATTTCCAACTCTAAATGATAGGTCAGTACTTGCTATTGTCACTGTTATTTTAAAAGAGAACAAGGATCTAAGGAATTTCAAATAAGTTACCTGAAATCATATGTAAATACAAATGTAATACTCAATCCTGAATATATTCTAATATATCAGCAATTCCCGAGGGTTTGAAGCATAACATTAAACAGGAAAGATGGAATGCTTGCTATGTAATGATCCCATTCATTGCACTAATATCCAAATTCAGAAGCTAATGTAGGACATACACTGAGAATAAAATGATCACTATAGGAGGCATAAAATAAAACATGATCCCAACATCCCAACTTTTTTGTAAAAATATTCCATCACCTCTACTTCATGACCTAGAATTTGTGGTGTAAATAATTTACAATAATATAAGTGAGATATCACCTGGTGTGTGTGGACTTGAGATAAATTTGGGTTCAAAATGAGTGGCAAAACTCACAAGGAGTTGCAGAGAAGAAAAGTTAATATAACCATAGTAGAGCACATTTGATTTCTGAATCCTTTTCTCTCACTTTGTTTTCTGCCCATCCCTTTAAATGATGGTATCTGATTAATATTCGTACACAGGAAAGCAATCAGCCATGTTTGTAAGCATCAGCTTTTTTTTTTTTCAGTTGTTACAATCACATAAGGTAATATATAGATACGCAGTATATGCTGGTTTATTGATTTTTATTATGTTTCTTATAAACAATTCAGAGAATATAAACTCATCATTACATAGCATTTACCTTATCTTATGAACTGGCCCAAATATAGAATTATGTATATTATTGTTTATTCATCAATTTACTTATGTATTCATCAAATATTGACAAACATAGACTATAAATTAGAAAACATGTTAAGTGATGAGGCTTCAAAGACGAATAAGAGATGGCTCCCACCCATGAGGATGCTACTGCATTTATTCAAGACTTTATATTTTTCAGATGCATTCACTTGTTCTAATCCTCACAGCAACCAAAAGTGAGAAAGTCAGAAATTGGATAAATTACTGGGCAGCAATATATAAAAATGAGTATATTTTCTATCACATTAGCCTTTTTTTCTCTGTATACAGGATAAACATCTTTATTTGACTACTGAACCAGAAAGAAGAATCTACTCCTAGAAAATATCTGATTCTGGTAGGAACACAAATGAGATAAACATCAAATATCACTCTAATTAATACTTTTATTTTATTCATTGTTCTAAAAGTGGTAAACCTATCTTCATGTTTCTACCTAGCAACCTTCTATCTGCACTGACCTCAAGATAGTAAACTATAAATATATGGGGATGAAGGGACAGCCATGAAATAAAACAAACAAACGTAAGATCCATATTTACTTGAGCTTTAGAGATTCTGCCTGTTGTAAAAATAACTGCTATTCCTTAAAATCTAGAAACATAAAGTAATGTATATTTTAAATATTTAATCACAAATATACATTTAATGCAAAGGAGTTTACTTATGTTTATCCATGTATCATGCAGTATTTAAATCAACGGCATTTATTGGTTCTAAATGCCAGGTTTCATTCATTAAGAACATTAGAATTAGATCATATTAATTAGGAGGCATGCTGGTACATATATCATAGAATTTCTAGCTGAAAGGAACCTTAGCAATTATGCAATCTAATTATTTTTGAATGATTTTACCCAAGAAGACATACATTCACAAGATTGCTCCAAGTAAATCGTATATGAAACATATAAACGCAACAAATGATACCAAAATTCATCTGAGAATAGTGGCTTGTAGCACTATACTCTCATCCTTCGATCTCTCCCCAATCTACAGTGGGAGTCTGCAGAAATCCTACTCTTCAAGGCAGTACTATTAGAATATTACTCATTCTAGTTCTGATTCCTCACTTTGTAAAGGAAGATAATGATGCTCAGAAAAGTAGTAGGACTTACTAAGGTCATTCATCAGCTAAATGCAGATTGTGAGTTAAGCACTTTTGAAATTCATAATACTACTACTAATGTTAACTTTCTTTCATCTGTCACAAACCTACTATTGGGGTCTATATAGTTAACACGTAACTCCTAACAATGCTTCTTGTGTCACCGGAGCCCAAATAAGCATGTTCAGAATCATGAGAATTTTTCACTTTCCATTATACCCAATTTCAGGTATGTCCCAGGTCCTGAACTGCCCTAGGAGTTTTTGCCCAAATTATTCATCAGTAGGAGATTTAGGAATATAATACCATGAAGATCTGAAAATATGGCTGCTTTCTTTTAAATTATATCATTTCTTGAATGAGCTATTCTTTGTCTTATTTTAGCATTGGTTCATCCAACTGACATAAACACTAAGGTTACTCTCACCAATGGAGATAAATCACTGGAAAGAAACAGACATCTATATAGCTAAGGAAAGAATGTGTCAGTGTGCACACATGCACACCCACAAACATCCACGTGTGCATGCGTACACACACACACACACACAGAGCTAGCCAGCCAAGGCACAATTTCTACACATACTTCATGATTTTGATGTATTTGTTATTAACTCCAAATGTAATTTAAATTACTTTTTGTTTGCTCATTTATAGGCAAACCACCAAAAATGAAAATAGATGTGTAGGAACTTGCTGTGAAATTCATGCTACTCACTATAGCATTTTCTTAAAGGAAAGAAAAAGATAATTGCTGGGTGGTTACATTTCTGGCATATCATAATACTTTTACTTTAGAAATTGTTAATAATACCAGGTTATGAAATGGAAGAAAATGCAATCCTTTTCAATGCTACAGAATATGGTGAATTATTGCCATTGTGCAAAAAAAGAAAAAAGTCCTGTGCATGTGTGTGAATGGATATGTTTGTTTACATACGTACGTGTGTTATTGTGTATGTCCATCAGAAGCTCACATGAGTTTACACTTAATGAGAGCCCCCCTTTTTTTTTTTACAGATTTATTAAATTACATCAGAATCAGATAGGCATTTTCTTTCTCAACACAAATGTTAAGAAAAGTGTTTTAAAGCCCTTTAAAAGAGGCCAGGCACGGTGACTCACGCCTGTAATCCCAGCATTTTAGGAGGCCGAGGCGGGTGGATTAGGAGGTCAAGAGATCGAGACCATCCGGGCCAACATGGTGAAATCCCGTCTCTACTAAATATACAAAAATTAGCTGGGCGGGTATATTTTGTAAATATACAAAAATTAGCACGTGCCTGTCACCCCAGCTACTTGGGAGGCTGAGGCAGGAGAATCACTTGAACCCGGGAGGGGGAAGTTGCAGTGAGCCGAGATCACGCCACTTCACTCCAGCCTGACGACAGAGTGAGATTCCGTCAAAAAAAAAAAAAAAAAAAATTCTATACAAGCTAGGAAATACAGCTGTATTAGACGCAGCACTAAACTAGGTAGAAAAACAAATGTCAAATTGTTTCCTCACACCTAGAGGGAAAAAAATATGAGACAACAAGAAAGAGACAGTGAGAGGGTGAGAAAAAGGGAGAGACAGAGAAGGAGAGAAGGAGAGAAAGAGAAAGGGAGGGTAGAAGGGGGAGGGAGATGGAAAAAAGGCAATTAAGCTAATGCAAGTTGAGTGTCACAAGGTTATAGATATTTCAAGAGCTGAGCAATTTACCGTCTGGAAAAGGAGAAGAGCTCTTGCATAAAATGTCCCCCAGTTCAGATTTATTATGCTTTTAGTTGTGTTATATGTGATACAATTAGCAGGAGGTGCCAATAAGGCGTTCTCTCAAGGACGTGGTCATCCCGTGCCATCTGTTATTAATTGCATTGTCCTTTCCACATCCAGCTAGAGGGGAAAAAGTTCTCTGAGAAACACCTGCATATTCTCACTACACAATGACTAGAATTTAAAAATACACACGCAAAGACAGAAGAATGGGTCAGCTCTCTAAACCGCCCACCATAAGCTCAAAAAGAAAAAATATATAAATAATAGATCCTGATGCAATAGAATTCTCAGTTACTGGGATTGTCTTTTCTAACATATTCTGCTAGATTAGAAAGGAGCTTTTCAAGCAACAAGAAATACTATATAAAGGAAAAATACATAATTAGAACACTTGCCTAGAAATACAGCCATTCTCTATAGGGTTTAGCGAAGATTCAGATGTTTCAATAGTTTTTTAAATATATAAAATCAGACAACAAAGAATAAATATTGGGAAACTTGTTTTTTTCTTTTAGATTTTTGCATTTATGATGATTGTTATCAGTCTTAAAGACTGAGTTCTGAAAATTTATATTCCTATATATATATATACAAATGTTTTCTCACTTTGGGACTTATTTTCATAGACATAATCTCAAAATATAAATTGTTAAATTATGCTGTTAAAATACAAATAGCTATTAAAACAATTTGAACTAATTTCAGAAATTACTTTTAACCATCTGTTCTGCCTGTTCTTTTCTCTGATTTCCTCTGCACTTGAATCCTTGAAGCTGGCAACTGCTATAGCCAGTCCTGTTTTCCGTTCTCTTGTTCAAGTAAGAATGAATACTCCTGACACTACTGGGTGAAGCTCTAAAGCACTTCACAGGAATGTTTTAGAACTCCTTTATGACCAGTAATTCAAAATATTTTCAAAAATAGCATTGAAATTCTTTTGAGGGGCTGAGGTGAGGGAGTATTTTGAAGGAAATGATTGCTATTTAACTGACACTTGCTTGGAAGAAAAACAAAATCCATTGCGTACCTTAACTAACTATAGTTCATCTGACAGTTAAATTACCTACCTCATCTTATGCATCTGGTTGTATTAAATTCAACTAAATTATATTTACTGAAACTTAGCAAGGGAAAATAAAATCTTCCTCAAAAGAATGTTTTCATGGCCAATATAAGAAAAAAAACAAAAACAGAGAAACATTTTTTACACAAGCTTTCAATTACTAAATTAGGAAAAGTGCTCTATGACTATAACATATTGTTATATTAAAATCTGCAGTAAAAATAATTTCATGTATCAAAAAATCAAACAGTAAGAGATTACTTCATAATTTGGTTATAATTGATTCATTTTATTGAAAGAGGTAATTCCCTTGCACCAGAAACCTCAGAAACTGCTCACTGCTGTGTACTAAGCATACTTTTCTGTCTGAGTATGTTGATTATCTTTATCTTCTCTCATTCGTTGGTTCTTTTGATATGCGCTTCATTTTGCCCTCAGTTTTAAATATATCCATTTGCTGCCACAATTCCAGTAATTTCTTTTTTTAAATTTAAAACTTTACTAAATTACTATCTTTGCTAGATAATTATATTACTAGATTAAATAAAATATCTAGAATAATGTTTTGACAATGAATACAGCAGATGTGAAAGCTCCCATTCTCATTACATATTTTAGATATATTTACTCAAACTGCATGTCAAAACTCCTTTATCTTGTTATTTTCTTTCAGAGAAAGAGTATGTCCATTGTTTATCATTATTTTTAAAATGGTAAAGAATACCAAAATAAAATATTGCATGCATGAACATATTGCTTGAGTCAATAACTACATTAATGCTATCTAAATAATATTTTTTATTGGCATAGACCCTGCAACTATCAATCAAAATATCAAACTGTTAAATTTCCTTCTTTCCCTTTATTTTGCTTTCTTGCTTGTATCATATTATTATTTGATACTACTTTTATCTCACAGCAGAGCCAAGCAACTAACTTTAGGGTCCCAGAAGTGAATTACTATAGACTGAGTATGAATCTCTCTTAAGGGAAGATTTACACAAGAGCAATGATCTAATAAATTATTCTCTTAAGAATCTAGCCTTTAGGTCCTTAATCACATAGGTACCAGACATTAGACTGTTCACTGAATAGCGCATCTGGAACCGATGTGTTTTTATCAGCAACAGCTGAATTAGAGGTAATACTATGCCGTGACTACCAAAAATCCTAACCCAATCTTAAATAGCATTCATAAAGTTGGAGTAGAACTTTTGACATATGCAAATTCAATTTCTATGAATTAACAAGTCAATTCATGTGTGACTAGGAAGGTATATGATATGTATTAATTTAAATGGCAATAATAACTCCTATCTCATAATTGAGGATTAAATAAAATGTTATATTTAATGCCCCTAATCTGAATTGGAATTCCATTTAGTATACAGGAGCCTAATTAACCACAATAATTTTACTTCTTAAGGAGTGTTTTTTTTAACTTTTGGTGAATGTCTAAGGTCTCATACAGAGCTTTAAAGAATACAAGTGTTTACACTATGGTGTCCAGAATAAGGCAGAAGATAATAGCAACTAAATGGAAATGGGAAAGGTCATTTTTTCATAAATATCAGAAAAAACAAAGGTTTGAGAGCTGACTGTCTTTGTGACTAGATCTAAATAAAGTGATATAACCAAGGTAGATCTCAGTTTCTTTGATGAAGAAATGACAATAATGAAATCTGCCCTATAAGGGTTCTCGACAAAAGGAGAACTAAACAATCTACAACTTACATAGTGCCTGTAGTGGTTATTAATGTTCCCTTCAAGAGTAAGTCAGACCTTCCTGGAGTCTCTATTATGTCTTGGCCATGAGATATACAAGAAAACATTTACAAATCAGAATGACTGAATCATTACTTCCCAAGAAAACTAAGTAAATTGAGAACAAATGTTTTACTCAGACAGTAGTCTATGTAAGAGGGTGATAATTCTTACAATCCAATGTTTAGTGTTATTATATGAGGAAAGCATTGACAACTCTGTGGGAAAATGTGAACCCACTCTTGACATTCCTGGGGTTGAAGTGAGCACCAATGAGTAAATGCTAAATTCATTCAATTTCATTTTAATTAAGAAAAATATTTTGCAAGACAAAAACGTTAATCTCTTCTAAGAAATCCAGAAAAAAGGTGTGAATCCATTTAATCCCTTGTCATAAATTATGGTACTCTCATATTTGGTAAAAGTGTGAACTAAATAACTTCAAAGTTTAAGTTTCTATAATGTCCCTGAATCTTATTATTGTGAAGAAAATATATATTTTTTTCTTTATTCATTCATTAATTTGAGCACAAAAAAGGTCCAGAGCTAGCTGGCTATCATGCTAGATAATATTAGTACCCTTACTAATATTAAATAATATGTATTGTGTACTTACTACGTATCAGGTATGTCTAAACGTGTTACATACAATATTTCATTGATTATCCCTATTTTGCTAAACCCATTTTAAAGATATGGAGTCTTAGGCACAAAAAATTTAAGCAGCACTTTTCTCAGTCTACAAGTTGGCAAACTGGGATATCATTGTGAAATGAAAAAAACTCTGTCTAAAAATTAATAGTAATACAAGAATATACCACCCTAGCCCCCACTTACATTTAATAAGGAATATACATAGATAATTTCAATTTTCTTCTCATTTAGTTTTGCTTCCCCCCAACAGACAGGAAATGTGTACTAAATAAAAGATTTTTGATGCTGACAGAAACTTTTACATAAAAAACTATTTTTTGAAGTGTTTAATGAAAATCTTACAAGAGTTTGTAAAGGTTTCATTTTTCATTTACTGAACAAAATGTCTTGAAGCCATTGACATAATGGCTTAAAGAACTTCATTAAAAATATCAAACTATGTACATCAATATAGTAAGATCCTCGAATGTTCTTTAAAAGTTTTCTTGAATTTTCAAGGTTTTCATGATTTTCCACTTGATGTTTCAGTTAAAGAGAAATGGAAATAAAAGGAAAACAGACTTTAATTGTGCATTCATTCAATATCCTGAGAGGTCCTGGTGTTCTTTCCTTCTTAGGTTGATTGATTTTCTGAGTCTCTGTGGTTACCTCACTTCAGTAGTCTTTTGTTATACTAAATGTTCATTTCTTCCCTTTGCATAAGTTATAGGAAAACTATTTTTACCTCCTCTATACACTGATTAATACTAAAGCCCACTAGAGAAAAAATAAAACAAATAGCTGTGTTAGAAAAAAATTAAAGGACTAAGACTTTTTTGGCTTACAATTTTTCATTTATTAAAATTTTAATTTTGGGAGAGAAATCCATATATCAATAGCTTTCCCTCCCAAAACCAAAACACAGTTCCCTTTGATATGGTTTCAGTATTAAGATTAAGGTTAAGGTGGCACTGGAAAAGGATGAGGTAAAAATTAATTTCCCACTTTAAATCAGTTAAAGTGTCCACCTGTGACTCAAATAAACAATTGGAACAAAAAGAATGTTTCTATCCCAAAAGAAGAGATTCTTTAAGGACAAAGTAAGGACTAACACAGATAAGAAAATGAGATCAATCAGTCCATTAACACAGAATGGAGCACGTGAAATAATGTGCCACAGTGAATGTGCCACAAGGGAACAGAGGGGAAGACCTCTCTGTTAACACAGAATAGAGCAAGCAACTAGACACCAGAAATACATTGAGATGAACAGAAATGAGATAGAACATGTCCCTATTCCTAACCTTAACCATACACAAAACCCTAATCATAATTCCTTACACACTAACCCCTCATTCTAACCTCTACAGAAATGCCAGCTTCCTGAATGGGAACAATGATTTCCCAAACAGATGTCAGACATTAGCCACTGGCCTTAGCTGCCATCAATATTAATCAGCTAATCTTAACATTAGCAAAACATATGCATCTTAAGGATGAACTCTTACTACAATTGTGTAGAGGACAATTATTAGCAAATTCAAATATTTAGGATGATGTCAGCACATCTATTGTCAACTACAATCTTTTTTTTTTTAAATAACAGATATCTCTCACTGGTTTAACGGGGATATTATTGTCACTTAGAGTTTATATGCTTGAATTTCCTAAATACATGGTAATGACACATGAAGCATGAACAAGGACTTTCTTAAGCTATTAACTATCTTTTATTATCAAGAGGATCTCAGTTAGAAATTTACTAATGGTTATTACTTAGGTATAGGCATTTCTAAAAACTGTATGTATGTATGCATGCATGAATAAGAGTATGTTTGTATGCATGAAATGTGTTGATCACCTGTATGTTATTTGGATTTTTCTATTCTTTTGTTAATGAAAAATTAACTACACATAAAACTTCTGATTTTTTTCATAAAATTAGCTTACTTAAAAAAACCATTTGAGACACAAAAATAGGAAATCTTATTTTTCTTAATTTTACATAAAATGGCCTGAATTCTGCCTTTCTTATGTTCTATCATGTATGAGTCTACAACTGAGGTGCCTGTCAAACTCTGAAAATTTGGGGCTTTTCCTTTTATCATACATTACCACATATATCTCCATGGACAATTAGGCATTTACAAGCACTTTTGTGGTTAGTGCCGTTAAGGGCAACAATAATCATAGTAAATTATTTCCTCTCATGATGGAACATGACTCAGATCCTGATGCAATTCGCAGACAAATGCCTTAGTATCTGGACTAAAGGAATAGACCTTGGCATGTGGAAGTTCAAAATGTAATACAATCACAAACAATTGCATTTATTCACACAACAAATACGTAATGAATGCCTACTATGTACTACACACTACATTAGGTTCTGAGGATACATCATTTAGAGGATACACAAAGCTCCTGCAATTATAGGACTTAGAGTCTACAGACAGAGTACAAGGAAAACAAAGTGTGCCCCTGATATGTATCATATTGAATGGCAGGTCTACATACTTGAGCATCTGTATCCATTAGGAATAATATCTTGAAAAGGCTACTGCAGGAGGAGAGTGAATAAAGGTCGTATCATGGAAAACTAGAAAGGAGAAAGGGGCTAACAGTCCAGAATGGAAGGACAGATACACAGAAGATGATGGTAAATTAATGTACATTAATGGCAACTTTTCCAGGAACAGAGAAATTTGCTGAAATCAGAACAAGTTTTTGGAATGAAATGAAGATCAAGTTATAAGACAAAGGACAGAGTGAGAAGGCTTGGGGGTTCTGTGCCACAGTGAAGTTCTGGGCCTCCCATGGTGTTCGCTTATGCTAAAAATGCAGCCCCAATTACCAGAGTGATAATTGAGAACCAGTTTTATCCATAAGCATTACAAGAGTCATTAAGAATGGCCATAGTCACAGGGTGTTAGCCATACTAATTTCGGTTCTATGTATACAGCAAAAGCTAATAGGCAAACTATAGTGTCTTCTACGTCCTTGCACCTAAGTAGAATTTTTAGAAGTGAATTAGACACATCATGGCTTCGGCATTGCTTTTCATAAAAATAGGACTTCTGTTCTCTTTCTTTCATAGATGCGATTTGATTTCAAGCTGAATTGTATAGATGGAAATAGAAAGGGAATATCTGGATTTCCCAGGTAATAAGAAAGCATGGGTGTTTGTAATACTGTAGCAATTTATTATATACATGTAAATATATTTTCTATAGCCAAGGAATTTTCATTTTAAACCTATATGTTATACACACACACACACACACACACACACACACACACACACGTATATATGTACTTTTACTCTCAAACTAGTGACCTTCTCTGGAGGAAAATACTTAGGAAGGGTATGATTTATCTGAAGAATATTTGCCTGCTCATATAAATGTTTTGATATACAAACACATACTAATAAACACATGCCTATAATCACAGATTTTATAAGTCATGCTGGGTTATATGGACATTAGTTTAAAGGCCTAAACCAAATTAGGATTTAGAATTTCCTTAAAAACAATAGAGAGTTAAGTAATGTAACTTACCTTTTCTGATACATGCACGTTCATCATAGCAATATTCTCATATGTGCCAGATTAAAAATGCTGAGAAATTCTAATCTTACTAAAAGAATATTTAGATCTGTCTCTGCTTTATGCATTCTTTACCAAAGTATTTCACAATCACACGTGTGTTTTTCAAGAACACAAGGTACAAGGCTACTGGACAGTATATTTGTTCAAATAGAAGCTAACTATCTTTTAAGAATTAAGTGGATCATATTTTACATACCAGGTGATATGGAGCATAACCTCTCAATTTACCACGACAAAACACCACAAATATTTGAAAAAGAAAAATTATTTGTTTGACCTTCCATTTTTTTCAAAATAAAGAGAAGAATCACTTCATAATACTTCACAATGGCCCAGGAATGTGATCCATATATCTTTGAACTAGAGAAGGATGTTTTCCCTGGAAAAAAATTAAGTGTAAAGAGTGCCTGCAAAATATGTTAACTAAGAGCAAGGCTAATCGGACTGAATTTTTTAATAGTAATTATCTGTCTGTCCATGCCACTGTGCTGGGTAAAAATAATGGTCTGGCCTGCTTTCCACAACATCTCTGCATTTTCTCCTTTGAATTGGAAATCCGTGGACTCTGTCAAACAGATATCTAAATATTACATATTTCTTTTTGAAGCATTCATTCAACACGTATTAAATAAGTGCTAACTATGTGCCTGGCACTGTGCTAGATCATGGGTATAGAACTGTAAATAAGGTAGCTACACATCCGCTCTTCATGAAGATTATAGTTCAGCTAACACAGTTAACAAATTATACCTCTACTTGAACACGGGTGCTCATTTACCCCTCCCAATTCCTCTCAACTCCCACCCTTGAATTCACTAAAGTGATGATAAATTATTATAAACCCAAGGATAGAAAACAAGAGAACAGAAAATAGCAAGCAAGTTATTTCTGGTTGTTAGAAGGCAGAAAGCATGTGGGAAGACATGATTACAGGCTTAACAATCAAGGAAATAATAATATAAATGCCTTGCAGGGCAAAGGACAGCTAAGGCACTCTCCTCCTCCTCTTTGAGAAAATTGAGCTGGGGACACCCCAGACTCATACTCAGTTGACGGCATAATTGAGGAATAGAGCTGAAAATAGAGAAAGAAATTGAACAACTACATGTTGAACTGAAACATGTTAATGGATCTTTCTCTAACCTATTCCCAGAATCCTCGCAGCCAGGCATAAATTCTCGTCAATAATACCTGATCTGACCAACACATACCCAGGAGTTGGCCTGGAAGATTCCTTGACAAGAAACTAAGTGACACTAGGGAATTTAAAAAAAAAAAAAAGAAAAAGAAAAAAACAGACTCCTATTAATTTTGAGTGTTCTCAAACAAAACCCTAAGTTAACAACCTGCTCTCCTATAGCAAAGCTTCACTGCTACCAAGATGATATCGTCCAAATAAGCCCTCCAGTAAGAAAAATAACCAACTTATGAAAAAGGGGATCCCACAATAAATAAGCAAAAAATGGTGTAAAGAAACCCTCAAAACAAAAAGTAGAAAAAAAGTAAATATATAGATACTGTAGATAGATCCTCATTATTCTCAGAAAGAAGAGAGAAAATGCCCGTTGTGAGATGAAAATGCAGTTGTAAAATGAAAATATGACTTTATAAGAAACGTTCAAAGAAGAACCAGGAATGCTGAGAATTTAGGGATAAAACTGTCTATTATTTTTAATTAATTGGCAATTTTAGAAGATAAAGTCAAGGGAATATTCCAGAAATACTGATTCCAGAAATAGTGATTCCAGAAATATTCCAGAAATATGAAAGAAAAGATAACTCAATCTAGAATGTTTAACATCTAGATTATAGGAGTTCTAGGAAGAGCAAATAAAACATAATTGGGTGATCATGAAGAAAATATAATAGCAATATATGAAAATTCTGGGAGATAAGAATTTGTATCTCTAGAATAAAACGGCCAATCATGAAGTCAGCACAATAAATGAGAAAAGGTCCTTCACAGTGTTGATCATTGCAAAATTCAGAGAAATCATTTGAAGGGAATTCTCTAAAATGTTCCATAAGGGGAAAAATTGTAAGCTCTTAAACAAATGAACACTCTGAGAGAAAATTATTCTTTCCCAGGCTTTCTATTATTTAGCTACTTTCACACTGTTACACTACATGATAATTCAGTGGCTTATATAAACAAGCATATATTTTTCACCCATGCTCCTGCAGATTATCTGTGGTTAAGCTTCTACATGCTAGGCTCAGCTAGGTTTGCCTCAGATGTCTCTCATTTTTGAGATGACAACACTACCTAAGGCTTTTTTCTTTCTTACTTTCGTTGTCACTGTTGTTGTTGTTGTTGTTGAAGGGGAAAACATAAGAGAAACTCATCCTGCAAGCAAGTATAAATCATTTGCTTGAGTTCCATCTATTAAAACAGCATTGGCCCAAGCAAAGAACATTACCAAACCCCTCACCAGTAAAACAGGGAAGTGAACTCCACTTCTAGTAGAAAGAATTGCAGTTACACGACAAGCAAACAAACAAACAAAAACCCCAAAAGGCTTGGATACAAGTAGGCATGGGGGGTTTTAGGCAATAGCGCAATTTATCATACTAGCTAAACTAGAAAGACATGGAAGCTCTCAAAATCTTATGTCCCTTGTGCCCTGGAATAGTTTTTAAAGTGTATTGCCCAAATCAGCAGCAGCACCTGAGAATTTGTTGAAAAGGCAAATTCACTCTCCTCACCCCAGATACACTGAATCAGAAACTGGGGTTAAAACCTAGTAAACTGTTTTAAAAAGATATCCATGTGATTCTGATGCACGCTAAAGTTTCAAAAACACTATATTAGAAGATGTGTATGCAGAAAACCTTAAAAGGAAGACATGAGATCCAGAGAGTGGGATTACAAAAAATAAGAGAAGTGAGAGAAATACACAAATAACATCTTTGTTTCAAGCCTAGACTTCAACGATATAGACTGGGAAATAGGAAGGAAGAGGAATCCTTCCTATTGACAGATCAATGCATTTGGAGAAAAATGTTCATACACGTATAGGAAACTAACGTAAATTAAGCAATTATTAAGTCCAGTGTGTAGTGATGAAGGGAGGCAATGGGAAAAGAAAGGTAATCATAGCACAATACGTCCTTTAGAAGTGAATTGTATTTACATAGTCATCACCATGAAAATATCTTCTATTAATCTATTAATGAGTTTAAAGAAATCTTAGTCAAAAGGCTGAGAAAAGGGAAAGCAGGAATGTGAGGATGGGTGGAAAGCTAAATCTTCAACTACCATAACAGGAAATCAAGAGTTACTAAAATGAGTAAATGAAATATAATTTCATTATTTTAAAGAAAGTAATGTTTTAACATTTTTAAATGTAATTTTAAAAATATCATAGAAAAAATATCTTAAAAATAGTAGAAAAACTGTTACCATCTTGGGAGTAATCTTGTGGGATGAAGAGACAAAATGCTGGTGATTGACCTTTCTGACAAAGTCATGTAATATCATTTTAATTTAAAAATAAGATGTGCCTTTAATAAAACAACAACTTACTTTAAAAGACTGATAAGCAATAAAAAACACTGTGATATGTGCAGAGAAATAAAATTTGACACATAATAAAAAAGAAATTCCAACCTAACATGTGTCCAAAACTTCAGAGTCATCCTAGACTTTCTCTTATAGTCTTATATTCCTTACTGTATCCATCAGCAAATTCTACTGACTCGAAGTTTAAAATATATCCAAAATCTGACCATTTTTTAATAACTTCACTGCAGCCAGCAATCAATTCTCATCTAGAACTTTTTTCAATAGCCTTGGAACAATCCTAACTCTATCTCTGCTCTGCAGGTTCTCTCCTCTATGTACATGCTCTTCTCTCTCTTGTAATCCCCCTGTTTATTCCCCTCTGAGGATAGCAAAAAGCACTGGGCATATGTAGTTTTACTCCCTCCCTCTGGGGTTTACTCTTTGGGCTGCTCTTCTTGCCATTCTTCATTTTCCATTAACCTGGTTCTTCCTCAGGACTCAGGGTCTGGTTTGTAGAGTCAAATCTATGTTTTATTTCTCTGCCACTGTTCTTCAAGCTTAAAAATATGAGTTAGAAGTCCCACTGATACCTGAAGGGATGTTTCTGCTGCAAGTCCTATGTTTTCTCTTAGCTGGATTTTTCCAGTGTACATACTCAGTGAGGGTGGGGAAGGAAGACTATCTGGCCACGGTGCAAACTGACTTAGCAGTGTGCGTAACGTCATCCACATTTTAATTTTCATTTTTTTCTAACTCCATCAATCTCTGTTTTAAACCTGTGTGTGATGATTACCTTTAAACTCCAATAGATATTGTGATATTCGACATTAAAATATAATTTTTAAAATATTCTAAATAAGGTAGAAGCAACACAATTAACAAAGACAATGTTAACAAAGACAATTAACAAAGACCTCATAAACATGCAACTTTATGCAAGAGTTTATTTTATGTGGTAATTTCTTCTATTCAATAACCATATGTTTTGAAATAGGATATATATAATACATTTTATTCTCTGCCAAAAATGAGGTAAAGGTATATAAGCATAAAAACTAGTTATTTTATGAATAAATAACATTAGCTGAATAATCATAAATACTCCTAAAACACAAGAACAGTAGAAAATGAAGTGCAGGAAGGAACCTGATACTTATCTCTTCCTAGTGCTTTACATTTGCTAATGGAAATTTCTTAAACTTTAACCATGTATCACACTCCACTGTTATCTTTTGAAATTCTTACAACTCAATGAAGGATACATGTTACTACCTTGAACTGATGAAAAACCTCTATTCAAAGAGAATGAATGATCTGTTTAAAGTTCTAAAGTAGCTAATAAGTCTTAGTCACTGTAATATTTAGGAAAGAATAAGAGAATGCATAGAGTCATTGGGTCCTCAAGTGGAAGGGATATTTGAGAAGACCGGGTGAGGGGAAAATATCTAGAAAAGAAAACCAAGTGCTGGAGAAAGATTTTACCCTCATTACATTTTCTATTTGGCTAGCCCTAGCTGCTATTTCCTGTGTAAGTAATTATTGGAGGTCGGGGACAAAGGGACAGTGGGAAGAAAATATTTGTATAGAGGAGATTGCCAAATAATTAATGTGGAAGAAAAGGCAGAATTTTAAAATCACCACTTTGTAACCACTAATGTACTGATGGCTTAAATACATAATCAGCAAGGGCTTTTTTTTTTTTTCCACAGTGGTTTTATTTATTTATTTATTTATTTATTTATTTATTATACTTTAAGTTTTAGGGCTTTAAAACCATTTTATGAAATATTATGGGGGTGGAGAGGATCAGGACAAGATATTCACATTTCTTAACGTGAGACAGTTGAAGAGATTTGGTAATTATTATACTAACCAAGTGACTTAACATCATGTCTAATAAACATGACATTATTAATGACTAATAAGAAGCAATCACAACTATACAACATGGTTCATGTAGTGTTCTTATAGAGAAAACAATTTAATTAGAAATCAAAAGACCTGAACAAAATTTGGAACATTTTATGTCAACTAATCCGTATCCCTCAAAAAGTAAAGATCAGGAAAAACAAAGAGGGGGAGGGGGGACTCTCTTGGTTAGAAGAAACTACAGACAAAGAATTTGAAGCAACGTGTGAACCTTGACTAGACTCTGGAATAAAAAAAGTGGGGGAGGGCATTTAGAAAGATATGCATGCTGAATTAGGGAGGAAAGATTCTCAGTATCTGTAACTCAAAATATACGAAGATGGAGATAGAGAAATCAAAAGTGCCAAAATGTTAACAATTTGTAGTTCTGTATATTCAGGTTTTATATGAATTATTTTTTAAAGTTTACGTTTTAAAAGGTATTAAAAGTTAGGAAAATAATTTAGAAATCAGGTGATTAATCAACACAAATTTACTGACAACTTACTATTATAAAATCACCATTCTAAAAACATAGTTGAAGAAATTTCATGAAAATGCAGGCGATTCCACACTAAATATTTCACTCAATTTCCAGGGTCATAGGAACTTTCCACAGTAAGAATTAGAAGAAGAAAAAAAAAAGTATTTAAGAAGTTATTCGGCCACGTGCGGTGGCTCACGCCTGTAATCCCAGCACTTTGGGGGGCCAAGGCTTGTGAATCATGAGGTCAGGAGTTCGAGAGCAGCCTGGCCAATACGGTGAAACCACTTCTCTACTAAAAATACAAAATTTAGCCAGGCATGGTGGCACGCGCCTGTAGTCCCAGCTACTCAGGAGGCTGAGGCAGAAGAATTGCTTCAACCAGGGAGGCAAAGGTTGCAGTGAGCCAAGATCAGGCCATTGCACTCCAGCCTGGGTGACAGAGTGAGAGCGAGACTGTCTCAATAAACAAACAAACAAACAAACAAACAAACATAAAACCTTATTCAAAAATTGAAAGTAATTTAGGGCATGTATTTGTTTTTTTGACTTTGAAATTCACGACATTACAAAGAAACATATTCACTACACTATGCTAGCCAAACTCAGGATTTCCGGAGACGTTTTTTACTATCTTATCACTCCTCAAAAAAAAAAAAAAAAAAGAAAAGAAAAAAAAAGAAAACTCAGTTTAGGTCAGTCTATCTTCTGGATTTTCGAAAGTATTCAACTCAAAACTTCCTAAGGGTGATGAGGTAACTGAGTCTTGGTTTAAAAGCCTATTCCTGGAGCAAGAGAAGATTTTGGCTGAATTCTATTTTGGATTCTGATACACTTAAGAGACTTTGCTAGTGATTTTAACTCTGAATGTTGCATAGAACTAGAACTAGACAAATCAATTATTTTAATAGTGAAGACTTAAGATCATAGAACAAATACAAATACTTTAAGAAGCATCAAGGTCAGTTGTGTCTCTATTTTAACCCTACGCTGGTCCCCAAGTCTCAACAACCTTACTCTTCTCAACGCCGCCCGTGGCCGGGCTCTGCTTGGCTTTCCATTTTGTGATCCAGAGCTGTCATGCAGATTTTTCCTTTAATACAGTGTTTCTGAGGACATTTCCGTTCACACAGGTCAGTGGTTCAACACAAGCCCAGGCTAACTTCCTCAGCATTGATACCCTGTCTACAATCGACTATACCCTGTACCCTATCACTCCTCACTTTATGGCAGTTTGGCTTTTACTGTCTGAGTTCATAAAATATTGCTTTCCATAAATTCAAAAATACCTTTCAAGTTGCCAAAACTAATAGAAGTTTTTAACTCATAGTTTACTGTACTTTTGAAGTTGCCTAGTTCACTGGATCACACCCTTCTCATTGAGACGATCTAGTCTTTTAACTCCTATGGCACCACACCCTTCTGTCTTTGATGAAAATAGTTCAAAGCACTGCCGAAAATTTCCTGGCAATGAAGTGACAGTCAAGGGGCCCAAGCTGCAATACTAGATATAATCTTAAAGGACATGATACACAAATAAGAGGCTGGATTTTTTTCTCCTATCCTTATATTTTATAAGTGCATATCATAATTATATTTACAACTTATCTGCACTATTACATTTGAGATGGTGAGAATTTCTATTTGTGGTGGATCATGGAATAACTGAATGTGACAGGTTTGTAACAAATTATTTTAATCAAACTATAAGAAACCTCATAAATAAATAAAAACTTGGAATTGAAGCTAACAATATTTTCCTAAATAGACTAAAATGCATCATTTATATATATGTAGTGACATAAAATCAGAAAAAGTCTCCTTGGTTAGGACTGACATGCCTCTAACAATATAAACTTTCAGGTTGATTATTACCTAGGCTACGTATAGGCAAACATTTGTATAAAATATGAATAATTGGTGTTTGAATTACTATTTTTGTAGGTCTTTGTAGAGCTCATCAAGGAACGTGTTCCTTGTCAGCACAGGATTTGGTTAGAACTTACATCTTAGTATCGTAAAACATAATGCACAAGTGTTTTACTTTGAGCCACTAAATACGATTATTAAGCAATTAACCAATGGGCATTTATGAATGGTAATTATCTCTGTTCAAATAAAACACCTGTGTACATATATATGTGTATATATACACACATGCACACACAAACATGTATATGTGCAGAATGCTTACTGCATTGTGTGATATATTACAAACCACTGCATTAAACTGTAAGCTAGAGAAGATAAGAAGTTTGCCTGATTAAGGTTAATATCCCTAACCAGAAGTAATTCAATAAAAATTAACTTTTGTATTATTAATTTAGGAAAAAAACCTCTACCAAAGTGATGAATATTTTCTTGACTAGAATTATTATTCTTAGTAATGAGCAGTGTTCTATGAAAACGAGGATTTAATATGTAACCAATTAGTAAAAAAATTAAGTCAATTACCAAACACAATTTTCCATGTTAAACATTAATTAAATACTGGAGTATTTTTAATAAATTTAATATAGAAAAAGTTAATTAAAGGAAAAGGTCAATTTAACCAATTAATCAAAATAGTGTTTATCATTTTATAGAGATATATTTTTATCAGAAAAGTTTTATACATGATAAATTATTTATGCATTATTTTAAGGGCTAATTTACTATTTGGATTTCTAATTACATTTTATATACCAGAAACATAATTTTTAAAAAATTAGCATTTAGTTGACACATGACAATATTATATGGAGTACTATGGTGGAATGAAGATTACTGAAGGCTGGAGGAACATGAACACTAAATCAAAATTGTTTATTCAGGCTAGTGAAAGATATTGTAGAATTGTTGAAATTGAGGTAAGGGCCAAAGATTATGCTTTTGGAGTAATATACATGAATGTGGCCACAGTCTATAAGTACATAATAGGAATATACATACAAATTCACATATATGCAACCAGAATATAGATGGCCTATGGAAACAGGTATAAAATAACTATAATCTGCATTAATGGCTCTGAATCCTGACCATGAGAAAGAAGTGGGGAGTTACAGTGTAGTCCTCACCCTGTGATTCCTGCTTTAACTGATCTCTAGAAGGGCCTGATGAGTTGGTATGTTTTAAAAGTCCCCATCTCACATTTTCTAATTCACACCATAGAGATTGTGACTGATTAATTTTGACTCAGCTGCTCAACTCTAGTCCAATAAACTGGAGCCTAGGGCAGCCTCACACTTTCTACTGCCCACTCAGTTATGTTGTTGGAGAAAGTTTGGATGAGGCAGACATAAGGAGATCCGCTACATTATCCAAAAAAGCAGTTATTTGACCTAGATGTGAGAAAAGCAAATATACAAGAGAAAACAAGGAAAAACAAAGAGCTGACTGGAAATGGCACAGATTAGCTAGAATAAACCTTTATATCATTCTGCTTTTAAAGTAACTAGACAGTGGACCTCAAGTCAATTCTTATATGAATCTCAATGCCTTTATGCACAAAACAATGCTCACTCATTGCTAAGGTAATCTCCGTCTTGATAATCCCATTGATTCTAAGATCCTAGGGCAGAAAAAGATGCATCTGTTACTACACTGATGACTTTTGCCTGGAAGGAAACTGAAGCTCTGTGGTATGAAAATGAAACTACAAGATAAAGTGATTCCTATCAACTTGCTTTTCTACCACTTAAGAACTGTGACATAATGGGAAAACAATGACAACAACAAAAACAACAGTATTTTTTGAAGGAGAGGCTTTGGTTTGGGTAGCATACAATTTTTATTTTATGTCCCACTGATTTAAATCTTCGCAGCAAACTTAATGTTGTACGTCTGTGGGTCAATTTTGATTCAATTCCTAGTGGTGAGTTGGCTTTCAGTACATTTGAACCACTTTGGAAATATATAACTTCTACAGGGAGATGAATGAGAATTATGTTGTTCTCATTGAGACCAAATTAGTATGGAAAAATGACTGGTTTCTGTAAAATAAGAAAAGAATAATCTATCAAAATTTGGATTGACTTAATACACACTGGGAATGTTATTGGGAATAGTCTCTTAGATGCTAATCAGCAGCCCTCAAATACCGTGCAATACTTTGCTAATTAGAAATTTTAGGGCCAAGAATTAAAATGTGATAAGATCTACCCATAGTTGGCAAAAAGGCACCTTAGAAATCGGTGGGGGGTGGCTAGAAGACCTTTTGAATCAATTAAGATTGAATATTTAAATCTTACTGAAGTGCTAATATTTTCACTTTGTTGATTGAATAACAAAGATTTGCTTATTGAATAACAAATAATGAATGCATTTACAAAAGAATGACTTGGTTACTTAATTTTCAGAATTTAAGAAGTGAAATAAAGGTAAAAGAGAAAATGTTACATGGCAAAGATCATGTTGGTAATTTCCTGAAGATTATTAAATGTAAGATAAATATGGAATTACTAGAATTTATTGAATATTTCAATATGAAGACAAAATAGGAATATGATTCATTCTGACTAATGGCTTCATATTTTAATGCTTCTGTAACTGGCAACTTCAGACCATGTTATCATTTTTCATTTTTCAAATGTGTATGGTATATTACCTAAGGCATTTGTATTAAACACCCCCAGTTTATTGTGAGGTCAATAATTCAATTGTTTTATCTTTCATTTCTTTGTGTTGAATTTTCTAGTTTAACTATTTTTAGACATCTGAACTTGTAATATATATATTTTTTAAAATAAGAAAGCAATTAAAATTTCTATTTGAATTCCATACATATTTTTAATGATCAGACATATTTTAACTTAGGTAAACCTTTCTGCTACAATTAGAAACAAAATATAGATTTTGGTATTCAAATGTAATTAAGATTGACTCCAAAGAAAATTGATATAAATCCTACCAAAAGAATTACAGCATTATGCCAATTTACATTTCAGAAATTTTGAGGCATCTATATATGGAACATGAGTAGAAAAACAACTTTTAAATTGAACCAGATTAAATTTTCTTTCCAGAAGTTAATTAATGGAGTATAATTAGGAGCAAACCACTTGCTAACTGACATATTCTTAGAGTTAAATTTCAAAAAGCTAAGAGAAAAAAATAACCAAGTATTGAAGAGCAGACTCTAAAAACCTGTGGCCAGCCTATAGCTTATGAAGTAGCTATTGTTTATATAAATAGTTTGCCTCATCAACAAGATATGGCCAAGACAGGCTAAGACAGGTTAAACCAGGGGAAAATTAAGTATTATAAGGAAATGAGTTACATGTCTTAGGTGTCGGATTTCATTGTTTTTGTATAGAAATGCCAATGTACTGACATAATTTCTATAAAAGACTCATGTTTTTATATTGTTTTGCAGTGCCAACTCTATAAGCAATATTGTCCACAAAAATATGGGTCTTACCTGGATTTTTAATTTGTTGCTTCTGATCTATTTTTCAATATTGATGACAATCTCGGTGTCTTAATTGGAGTAATAATATAATAAATCAATAGCTGGTAGAACAAGTCCTTCCTACCTGGTTCTTCAAGTGTCTTTGCTATTTTTGAACCTTTCGTTTCTACATAAATTTTATGAATAATTTCTACAAGGGAAAAACAAAAACCTCTCAATATCTAATCTTCCAATTCATGAACATGACATTTATTACATTTACTAAGGCATATTTTACTTTCTCTAAACATTTTTTTTTACAATTTTCTTTGTAGAGGTCTTGCATATATTTCACTGAATTTATTCCAATACATTTAATATTATTTATCCTATTAAAACATATCCTTTTAATTTCCTTTTCCAATTTCTTGTTGTTGCTATGTGAAAATATATGTGTATGTAAAAATATATGTGTAAAAATATATGTCTAAAGTGTATGTGGAAAGGTTAATTATATATTCAGTTTCATTGTTATAGAATTATTTGGATTTTCTGTTTTTATGTAAGTCTCCGCAGTTTTAGTCTATTAAGAATTTTTTTCATTTCTGTAACACTTGCAAGAAATGGTCATAAAGTTGTCCATAATATCTTTTGGCTATCTTTTTTGAGTCTTCAGTTGTCTAGTAGTGTTATCTTTTAATGCTTAGGCTTTTTGTATTTTCTTTCCTTTTTCTTAATTTAGCTTGCCAGCAATTTACCAATTATATCAATACTTTAAAATATAGTTTTCTCTGCTGATCTTCTCCATTGTTTATGATTCTACTTTTTGTTCTATGTCCTCTATTCAACTTTCTTTAGATATATTATACTTTACTATTATTTTTCTAATTTCTTGAAGATGTTTAGTTACTAAAATTTTCAGCCTTTTTGTTCTTTAATATGTATACTTAAGCCTATGAGAAACTTTCTAAGCATGATTTTTCCTTTACCATGCAAATTTTTATTTGTGGAATTTTTATCATTCTTTAGTAAAAAATATCTTCTCCTAACCATTATGATTTCGTTTTTAACCTATGGGCTGCAAAGCATGGGGTTTATAAGACCATTTGAATGTATGGCTGAATGATTTCAAAAGTATGAGGAAATTTCCAAACATTACTTCTGTATATAGAATTTTCCCCCATTCTTTTTCTTCTCTATGAACGAGGTTTCAATTACATATATATATATATATATATATAATTGAGAACTTTATACTCAATTACATTCATTTATATTCTGATGATATTTACTCATTTATATTCTAAAAATGTCTTATCTATTTTTATATTTTTAATCTATTTTTGACTTGGCATCATTGTGGATAACTCATTTATTTTTTAGCAAACATCTACTTGTTAAATTCAACTATGTTTAATATTATAAACTATATTTTACATTTTCATGTTCTTTTTGTAGCTTTTAATTATCAAAATTATTTATCTTGTTCTTTTTAATATCCTTGAATATAATCTCCATGTATAGTCATGAATTGCTTAATGACAGGAATGCATTCTGAGAAATACATCACCATGCAATTCTGTTTTTGAGCAAACATCATGGAGTGTACTTACACAAACCTAAATGGAATATACTATACCCCTAGCTTTATTGTAGGGACTATATTTTATAGACTATATTGCAAATTACTGTACTGAATAGTGTAAGCAATTGTAACACAATGGTACGATTTTGTGACTCTAAACATAGAAAACCTACGCTAAAAATATGTCATAACAGATTTAAAAAGTAGTACCCTTGTACAGTGCACTTAACATGAATGGAGCTTGCAAGACTAGAAGTTGCTCTGGGTAAGTCAGTGAGAGGTGAGTGAATATGAAGGCCTAGGGCATGACTGTACACTTCTGTAAACTCTATAAACACCATACACTTAGGCTACACTAAACTGAAAAAGTACTTTTCTTTCTTCAGAAATAAATTAACCTTAGTAACTGTATTTTTTTTACTTTATAAACTTTTAATTTTTTTAAACGTTTGACTCTTACAGTAACACAAAACACAAACATGTTGTACAGCTGTACAAAATATTTTCTATGTATCTTATTCTGTAAACCTTTTTTCTATTTTTAATTTTTTAAAAATTTTATTCTTTTAAAAATGTTTTCTAAAAACTAAGACACAAACACACACATTAGCCTATGCCTACACAGGGCTAGAACCATCAATATCACTGAATTCTACCTCCACATCTTGTCTCACTGGAAGGTCGACAACACTAAGCAATAGAAATATTTTAGCTCTGTTATAATCTTATGGGACCACCATTGTATATGTGATCCACTGTTGACCAAAATGTCTTTATGTAGTACATGACTATATAGAATTTTTATGCTTGTGTCAGCATATCCACTGTCTGAAGCCCTATTTTCTCTCTTGCTTCCTCATTAGTCAAGTTGTTTTATCTACTTATATTTCTTGTCATATTTTATTGGATCTCAGAAATTATGCTTAAAAAATTATTTGCTGAAATAGTTTGAGGACCACGAGGATATCTTCTTCCTCTACACATGACTTACATTTGCAGTTGACAGGCTTCTGAGGACAACAAGAGTCTAGCTCACTTTAGTTGAATTTCAATCACAGAATCATTGGACTGTGTGAGGACTTGCCTTCTTGTCACTGAGACTTATTTCTGTGGAAAAATTCTTTGGAATTCCTCCTCAAAGCACAGATGTGTTAGAAGAACTACAGTAGGCCCTGAATTCCAGCTCTGTGCTTATATACTCATGGGTCTGTCAAAAGTACTGTTCAGACTCTCAAGCAGCATAACTTTTTGCAACAACATGAATGCATTTCCAAGACATGTTCCAGGCTCATCTCCCTGGATTTTTGTCTTCTCCCAAGGAAGGCTCAGTAATTCTTTAATACGTTGTTATCTCCCTGAGGTTCTCAAACATATATACCTTATATGTGGTCCAGGCACCCTAGATATGCTCTATGGGAAGGATCTCCTAAATTTTTAGAAGCATAAATTACCAGACAATTTTTGAACTGTCTTATGTACTGGACTGCAGAAATTAAAGCTAATCCTCCAAGCAATGAAAAGCCACAGTAAGTCTTATAGTTTGGGGAGATGTTTCTATGGATAAGTTATATGGAAAGGATGTTTTTAGTGAAAGTCCAGAGGTAGCAAGTATATGTTATAATCATCAACAACCATGTAGGCATTGCGTATAAAACAGAGGCCTGCAGTCAACATTCCAGAAATAGATACTATGGATTTTGGAAATAGAGTGAAATCAAACAAATTTTAGAAGAAATTTGTAACCAACAGAATAGGAAATGAGTATACAGAACAACAATGAGATGGGGTGGAGGGTATATTGACAGAACGTTTAATACATAGGTTTACCTTGTTCATTGAGCTTCACTATATTGCACTTTACTGATATTGAGGGCTTGTAACAACACTGCATGGAACAAGTCTATTGGGGGAATTTTTTCCAACATCATATGCCCACTTTATGTCTTTATGTCATATTTTGTTGATACTCACAATATTCCTAACTGTTTTATTACTACTAAATCTGTTATGGTGATCTGTAATCAGTGATTTTTTTTATTTAACTATTTTAATTGTTTTTAGGGCACCAGTAACCGTGCCCATGTAAGACAAAAAACTTAATTGATAAATATGTGTGTTCTTACTGCTCCACCAACCGAACAGTCCACCATCTATTCTTCTCCTTGAGCCTCCCTATTCTGTGATAAAAAACAATGTTGAAATTATGCCAATTTATAACCCTACAATGGTCTCTAATTTTTCAAGTGAAAAGAAGACTGTTACTTACGTATCTCTCACTTTAAATCAAAATCTAGAAATGATTAGCTTAGTGAGGAACGCCTGTCAAAGCTGAGATAGGCTGAAATCTAAGCTTCCAACATGAAAAATTAGCAATGCTCTGGATGGAATAAAGTTCTTGAATAAAATTAAAAGTGATTCTCCAGTGAATACACAGATCATAAAAAATATGAAACAGCCCTATTGCTCATGTTGAGAAAGTTTTTATTTTCTGGATTGAAGATCAAACCAGCCACAACATCCCCTTAAGCCAAGGCCTAATTAAGAGAAGGCCTTCACTTTTTAATTCTATGAAGGCTGATAGAGATGACGAAGCTGCATAAGACAATTTGAAGCTAGCAGAGTTTAGTTCATGAAGTTTAAGGAAAGATGCTCTCTTCATAACATAAAAGTTCAAGGCGAAGCAGCAAGTGCTGATGCAGAAGCTGCAGCAAGTTATCCGGAAGATCTAGATCATTGACAAAGGTGGCTACACTAAATAACAGATTTTTAATGTAGACAAAACAACCTTCTATTGGAAGATAATGCCATATAAAGCTTTCATAGCTAGAGAGAGAGAATCAATGCTTGGCTTCAAAAGTCTCTCTTGTTAGGAGCTAATGTATCTGCTGACTTAAAGTTGAAGCCAGTGCTCACTTACCATTCTGAAAATCATAGAGCCCTAAATAATTACACTAAATCTACTCTGCCTGTGCTCTATAGGTGAAACAACAAAGCCGTATTAGCACATCTATTTACTTCATGGTTTACTAAATATTTTAAGCCTACTTTTGAGACCTACTGCTCAGAAAATAATATATATTCCTTTCAAAATATCACTGCTCATTGACAAGGCACCTGGTTACTCAAGAGCTCTGATGAAAATGTACATGGAGAGTAATGTTTTTATGTGCTAACACAATATCCATTCTGTAGTTCATGGATCCAGGAGTAATTTTGAATTTCAAGTCTTATTATTTATGAGGTAAGTTTCACAAGGCTAGAGCTGCCACAGGTAACCATTCCTCTGACAGATCTGGGCAAACTAATTTGAAAACCTCCTGGAAAGGATTCACCATTCTAGACTCCATTAAGAGCATTAGTGATTTATGGGAGGAAGTCAAAATATAAACATTAAGAGTAGTTATCTCATGACAAAACTTTAACAAAGGAGGAGCTGCTTCTTACAGATGAGAAAATAAGTGGTTTCTTGAAATAGAATCAAGTCCTGATAAAGATGCTGTGAACATTGTTGAAATAACAACAAAGGATTTAGAATATTACATGAACTTAGTTGACAAAGCAGTGGCAGGATTTGAGAGGATTGATTCCAATTTTGAAAGAATTTCTGTGAGTAAAGTGTTCTCAAAAAGCATCATGTGCTACAGAGAAATATTTTGTGAAAGAGTCATAAATGCAGAAAACTTCATTGCTGTCTTATTTTAAGAAATTGTCACAGCCACACCAGCTTTCAACAACCACTCTATTCAGTCAGCAGCTATTAATGTTGTGGTAAGACCCTCCACTGGCAAAAAGATTACAACTCGGTGAAGGCTCAAATGATTGATAACATTTTCATAGTAATTAAGTATGTTCAAGTTAAGGTATGTACATTGTTTTTTATACATAATACTAGGGCACACTTAATAGAGCAGAGGGTAAACATAACTTTTATAAACACTGAGAAACCCAAAAATTTGTGTGACTTGCCTTATTGTGATAATTGTTTTAGCACAATTGTCTGGAAGTGAACCTGCAACATCTCCAAGATATGCCTGTATTGTGTTTAGCAGAAAAATCTCTGTAAAGGTATCAGCAAGCAATTGGAAAATAGACCCTAAAATTTGCAAGAGAATTTGAAACTGGATTCTTAAATCTGAAAAGTATTACCTTAAACGAAATAGTTTAAGACATGGAAATGGACAGGAACCTAGTTTCCACTTCAGCTCTGCCATTAAACAACCATGAAACAAGATATTCATAATAATGAGAATTTTCTAATTCCTACTGAGACACACAAAACAGAATTTGAAACTCTAATTCATACATAATATGCTTTCTTTGGCATAACTAACATAAAAAAACTTAATGTCCTTTTTATACAGATCTTCAGCAATAAGAAACATCTTCCACTTCAAGCCACATCATTATTAATTCTGTGCTGTGTTGTGAGATTACGCAGATTTGGCATCATGGATTCTATTATGACTTATAACATCTTTTCCATCTATATTTGGCTGTATAATTTTAACAGGATATATCAAACAAGAAATTTCCCTCTCCTCCAAAGAGCTTTTATTTCTCTTTAATAGAGTGGCACCTACTATTTCAACAAAATTACTCTCACTTTTAAATGAGGTAACTGAGTTTAACAGTGGTTAAGAGGCTTGTTCAATGCCATTAATTGACGGAAATTTCAGCCCCTTGACCTATAAATTAGTGTGCTTGCCAGAGTGTTAATTAAAGGTGATGAGAAGATAGTAAACATTTAATCAGATAATTAAAATTTGCTAGAGGTTTTGAGGATCTATTTTACCTTTTGAAATTAAAAAAAAAATGAGGTAGGCATTATTAACTTTTAATCTCTAGACAAAGAAAATAAAACTTTAAAAAGTTTACCAAAAGTAATATATGTAAGTTTTTATATTATAAAAGAGAAAAATCAGCATTTAAACTATGGTTTCAGTGAATAAAAAGTTTAATTTCTTCTAATGATTTATGTCAATGAAAATGTAAACTAATTTTAAAAAGGAAGAGTCTATACATTTCAAAACTATATAAATGGCGATGAATTTTTGAGAATATACTGTTTACATGCATTAACATTTTAAACTTATACACACATCACATAAACTATATAAATAGTGCCACAATGCACACTCCGTGGTAGACTTGCATATCCCTGCACCAGTTAACTGCTACATTTAAAAGAGCAAATACACAAGATTTCACCCTAAAACAATACTATTTACTGGCTACAAAAATATGAATTTTCATTAAAATTTTAATCTAATTTGACTAGCAACTACCAAAATTTTTTCCTTGCACTAGACATTCTACCAAGCCATGGGGAAATAAATATGAATAGGAATTACAGGTAAGCAGAGGTATATAAGCAGTGGGATAAGAACGACTTAAAGTACTCTGGGAGTACAATGGTACTGGGCTCCCAAGTGGAGGGGAGATCCAAGACACACTTTAAAGCTGGTAACAGATTTTCCATATCGAGTGGATGGAGTGGTCCTTTCAACAGAGGAGACCACATGAGCAAAGATGTGGATGCCTGCATGGGGACAGTATGCTCTGGGTGATGCTCAAGTGGCCAGGCTCATCAAACATGCAAGAAGGGAGCCTATAAGACTTCCCCTCACTGCCTGCCTTAAACTGTGGTCTGAAATATATGCTAATAAAAGTCAAGAAAATTATGAAAGCAGAATATGGGCTTTAACTATATGCTTCATTCTTCTCAATTATCTTAAACTTATATTTCAAATTCAACCTTTACCTATATGCCCAATCAAAAGCAAGAATGGGAGAAATTACTTATCTTCTTTAATTAACAGTTTTCATCCCGTAGCAGACTGTTTTTCATAATTCCTAAATTCTCCTCTCTTCCTGACATTTGATAGTCACTTATTGTTCTTAGAAGTTGATCAGTTACAGCGGTCGTCTATTTACTTCCGTCCTCCAACTCTTACTTTAAATTGCACAATGACACTGAGTAAATAAACTTTTCCTCAGCTTCTATTCTCATAGTTTCAGCTCTCCTCTCTTCTGTTTTTGATAGATCTGAAGTTATTTTGAGTCCTATGCAGTTCTCTTTCCTTTATCCTCTTTTGAGTTTACTTTGGAGAATAAATCACAGTTTCTCATGCCTTACGGCACTGTGTCATTATAAAATATTTCATACCTGATGACCTTTGAGCATTTCTTATTCAAAGATTCATGAAAGCTTAGCATGAGGTACATCTAATGATCCCTGTGTAAACATACTGAAAGCTCCCTCCTACAAAGGCACAGGCAGGTGGAAGACATATTTTCGACACTCTGTCTTCAATCTAAGCATCACTGGCAGTGCCTGACAGGTCTCATTTGCTAAATAAAGTACAATGTGTCAATCTGAAATAAATGTAAATTATCACCTTTCTTCCATGTTAATTAAGGTCTGATTAATGCAATACAAGCAGTTGTTGAGAGTACAGTAAAAGAATGGCTTTTGTTGCAAAAGCAAAGCAAAATTCCTCAAATATAAATCATTGTCTGCCTCATCCATTGAACTTTGGGTTAGAAAGGTTATTTGGAATGATTTGTTCTGTTGGAACATGGACAGATGTTCACATCTCAGCCTCTTAATAAATGAATCCCAAGGAGCAGATAGCAAAAGGCACTGATGCTTTAAAGGTAAGAATTAGTAGTGGAATGACCTAGACTTATCATAAATCATAAAAGGCTAAATTCTAGGCTTAGTTTTATTAAAAAAAATCTAAGAGGTGTAACTCAAAAATTATGCATGTTATTTATGCATAGGATAAAGTTGAGGAATATTTTATTAAGCTAAATCATGAATTTTTACCTGGGCCCCCTTTTTCTAGAACTTTAAGAAATGATCTATGGGTGAATATGAAAGGGCTACTGAGTAGAAATTAATAGAAGCAAATTTTAGAATGAATATCACTAACTGAGAAAACCTAATTCATTATACTTTCAAACTCCATTTGGTTAGTTGTATAATCCAAAGTAGCTCACAATGCATAGAGAAAGTGTTCTCTGAGTCATGGAAATTTTAGAAAATAAACAGGAATGCAAAAAATTACCTAACTCAATTTTCTGAGACTACAAAAGATAACAATTATGTTTATAAAAAGTACAGATAGTTAATGGCATAGTCAGGTATGTGATATGTGCTTCCAGGCTCACAAGCATAGTTTTCTAATTTATTTGTAATTTTGCTGTCCTTTTTTTCATAGATTTTCTTATATATGATGATTGTCTAAAATAACACTGTTGGAGAACTATGGGACCCTTCTCACATTTCAGCAAAATATGTTAATATATTAATAGATCATTTCTTTAAACATGAAGTTTTAAATGCAGTAGTTAATGGGTTTCTTCATTTGTTAATATTGTTTTCTGGGCTAGAAATCTAAATTTTTACACCAAAATACTATTATTTATAATTTCACATAGATATAATTCCTGGGAACTATGATAATATAATTATGATTATGAAAATAGCAGAGTCAGATCTATATTAACTCAAAACTGGTAGAACAAGTGGTCTCTCCTCAATTACAATTTATCATGCATTTGCAGAATGAGAAGCTATGCAATTTATTCACTCATTCCTTCATTCAACAAACAGGGCTGTAATATTAGAATAATGAAAAAGGTTCTAAAGTTGTAGAAAAAAATCAGTTGCAATGTTAGACATTCTTTAAGGTACAAATGTTATCACACTCCATAGCAATATTGAACTGACCTTTAACACGTTCCTTGTGTGCTTTCGCTTAAAACAGTCAGAGGTAGTGAACACAAGAAATAGTTATCACAGGTTACACGGAAATACAAGTATACAATGACAGTGACCTTATAATAAATCCTCCATTTAATTTGGTTGCCTTTTGTTAGGAGCATAGATATAAGATGCAAATAGTGGTCACAGATTCAAAATTTGTTAAACTTTGAAACTGACTCTTCTTTTATAATGGTACGAGGCTCGATGTGTTAAAAAGTTGATGAGTGTCTTTAGAGTGTCTATTAATAATGGTGTTTCGAATTATAGTGATTTTACCCAATGAAACTGAAAATCCTTTAACTCAATTGGAGTGACTACCAAACTATGTTTTCAATGACTCAGAGAATGATGGCCAAGAAAATTAATCCTATGCTTACAGTTAAGAATTACCTGAAAAATACCAGCCATCCCATTACTGGGTATATACCCAAAGGATTATAAATCACGCTGCTATAAAGACACATGCACATGTATGTTTATTGAGGCACTATTCACAAAAGCAAAGACTTGGAACCAACCCAAATGTCCATCAATGATAGACTGGATTAAGAAAATGTGACAGGGAGGAGCCAAGATGGCCAAATAGGAACAGCTCCGGTCTACACCTCCCAGCGTGAGCAACGCAGAAGATGGGTGATTTCTGCATTTCCTTCTGAGGTACCGGGTTTATCTCACTAGGGAGTGCCAGACAGTGGGTGCAGGCCAGTGGGTGCGCGCACCGTGCGCGAGCCGAAGCAGGGCGAGGCATTGCCGCACTTGGGAAGCGCAAGGGGTCAGGGAGTTCCCTTTCCGAGTCAAAGAAAGGGGTGACGGACGCACCTGGAAAATCGGGTCACTCCCACCCGAATATTGCGCTTTTCAGACCGGCTTAAAAAACCGCGAACCACGAGATTATATCCCACACCTGCCTCGGAGGGTCCTACACCCACGGAATCTCTCTGACTGCTAGCACAGCAGTCTGAGATCAAACTGCAAGGCAGCAGCGAGGCTGGGGGAGGGGCGCCAGCCATTGCCCAGGCTTGCTTAGGTAAACAAAGCAGCCAGGAAGCTCGAACTGCCTGGAGCCCACAACAGCTCAAGGAGGCCTGCCTGCCTCTGTAGGCTTCACCTCTGGGGGCAGGGCACAGACAAACAAAAAGACAGCAGTAACCTCTGCAGACTTAAGTGTCCCTGTCTGACAGCTTTGAAGAGAGCAGTGGTTCTCCCAGCACGCAGCTGGAGATCTGAGAACTTGCAGACTGCCTCCTCAAGTGGATCCCTGACCCGTGACCCCCGAGCAGCCTAACTGGGAGGCACCCCCCAGCAGGGGCACACTGACACCTCACATGGCAGGGTATTCCAACAGACCTGCAGCTGAGGGTCCTGTCTGTTAGAAGGAAAACTAACAAATAGAAAGGACATCCACACCAAAAACCCATCTGTACATCATCATCATCAAAGACCAAAAGTAGATAAAACCACAAAGATGGGGAAAAAACAGAACAGAAAAACTGGAAACTCTAAAACGCAGAGCGCCTCTCCTCCTCCAAAGGAACGCAGTTCCTCACCAGCAACGGAACAAAGCTGGATGGAGAATGACTTTGACGAGCTCAGAGAAGAAGGCTTCAGATGATCAAATTACTCTGAGCTACGGGAGGACATTCAAACCAAAGGCAAAGAAGTTGAAAACTTTGAAAAAAATTTAGAAGAATGTATAACTAGAATAACCAATACAGAGAAGTGCTTAAAGGAGCTGATGGAGCTGAAAACCAAGGCTCGAGAACTACGTGAAGAATGCAGAAGCCTCAGGAGCCCATGCGATCAACTGGAAGAAAGGGTATCAGCAATGGAAGATGAAATGAATGAAATGAAGCGAGAAGGGAAGGTTAGAGAAAAAAGAATAAAAAGAAATGAGCAAAGCCTCCAAGAAATATGGGACTATGTGAAAAGACCAAATCTACGTCTGATTGGTGTACCTGAAAGTGATGGGGAGAATGGAACCAACTTGGAAAACACTCTGCAGGATATTATCCAGGAGAACTTCCCCAATCTAGCAGGGCAGGCCAACGTTCAGATTCAGGAAATACAGAGAACGCCACAAAGATACTCCTCGAGAAGAGCAACTCCAAGACACATAATTGTCAGATTCACCAAAGTTGAAATGAAGGAAAAAATGTTAAGGGCAGCCAGAGAGAAAGGTCGGGTTACCCTCAAAGGTAAGCCCATCAGACTTACAGCGGATCTCTCAGCAGAAACCCTAAAGCCAGAAGAGAGTGGGGGCCAATATTCAACATTCTTAAAGAAAAGAATTTTCAACCCAGAATTTCATATCCAGACAAACTAAGCTTCATAAGTGAAGGAGAAATAAAATACTTTACAGACAAGCAGATGCTGAGAGATTTTGTCACCACCAGGCCTGCCTTACAAGAGCTACTGAAGGAAGCACTAAACATGGAAAGGAACAACCGGTACCAGCCGCTGCAAAATCATGCCAAAATGTAAAGACCATCAAGACTAGGAAGAAACTGCATCAACTAACGAGCAAAATCACCAGCTAACATCATAATGACAGGATCAAATTCACACATAACAATATTAACTTTAAATGTAAATGGACTAAATTCTCCAATTAAAAGACACAGACTGGCAAACTGGATAAAGAGTCAAGACCCATCAGTGTGCTGTATTCAGGAAACCCATCTCATGTGCAGAGACACACAAAGGCTCAAAATAAAAGGATGGAGGAAGATCTACCAAGCAAATGGAAAACAAAAAAAGGCAGGGGTTGCAATCCTAGTCTCTGATAAAACAGACTTTAAACCAACAAATATCAAAAGAGACAAAGAAGGCCATTACATAATGGTAAAGGGATCAATTCAACAAGAAGAGCTAACTATCCTAAATATATATGCACCCAATATAGGAGCACCCAGATTCATAAAGCAAGTCCTGAGTGACCTACAAAGAGACTTAGACTCCCACACATTAATAATGGGAGACTTTAACACCCCACTGTCAACATTAGACAGATCAACAAGACAGAAAGTCAACAAGGATACCCAGGAATTGAACTCAGCTCTGCACCAAGTGGACCTAATAGACATCTACAGAACTCTCCACCCCAAATCAACAGAATATACATTCTTTTCAGCACCACACCACACCTATTCCAAAATTGACCACATACTTGGAAGTAAAGCTCTCCTCAGCAAATGTAAAAGAACAGAAATTATAACTAACTATCTCTCAGACCACAGTGCAATCAAACTAGAACTCAGGATTAAGAAACTCACTCAAAGCCGCTCAACTACATGGAAACTGAACAACCTGCTCCTGAATGACTACTGGGTACATGACGAAATGAAGGCAGAAATAAAGATGTTCTTTGAAACCAATGAGAACAAAGACACAACATACCAGAATCTCTGGGACACATTCAAAGCAGTGTGTAGAGGGAAATTTATAGCACTAAATGCCCACAAGAGAAAGCAGGAAAGATACAAAATTGACACCCTAACATCACAATTAAAAGAACTAGAAAAGCAAGAGCAAACACATTCAAAAGCTAGCAGAAGGCAAGATATAACTAAGATCAGAGCAGAACTGAAGGAAATAGAGACACAAAAAACCCTTCAAAAAATCAATGAATCCAGGAGCTGGTTTTTTGAAAGGATCAACAAAATTGATATACCACTAGCAAGACTAATAAAGAAAAAAAGAGAGAAGAATCAAATAGACGCAATAAAAAATGATAAAGGGGATATCACCACCGATCCCACAGAAATACAAACTACCATCAGAGAATACTACAAACACCTCTATGGAAATAAACTAGAAAATCTAGAAGAAATGGATAAATTCCTCAACACATACACTCTCCCAAGACTAAACCAGGAAGAAGTTGAATCTCTGAATAGACCAATAACAGGAGCTGAAATTGTGGCAATAATCAATAGTTTACCAACCAAAAAGAGTCCAGGACCAGATGGATTCACAGCTGAATTCTACCAGAGGTACAAGGAGGAACTGGTACCATTCTTTCTGAAACTATTCCAATCAACAGAAAAAGAGGGAATCCTCCCTAACTCATTTTATGAGGCCAGCATCATTCTGATACCAAAGCCAGGCAGAGAAACAACCAAAAAAGAGAATTTTAGACCAATATCCTTGATGAACATTGATGCAAAAATCCTCAATAAAATACTGGCAAACCGAATCCAGCAGCACATCAAAAAGCTTATCCACCATGATCAAGTGGGCTTCATCCCTGGGATGCAAGGCTGGTTCAATATACGCAAATCAATAAATGTAATCCAGCATATAAACAGAGCCAAAGACAAAAACCACATGATTATCTCAATAGATGCAGAAAAAGCCTTTGACAAAATTCAACAACCCTTCATGCTAAAAACTCTCAATAAATTAGGTATTGATGGGACGTATTTCAAAATAATAAGAGCTATCTATGACAAACCCACAGCCAATATCATACTGAATGGGCAAAAACTGGAAGCATTCCCTTTGAAAACTGGCACAAGACAGGGATGCCCTCTCTCACCACTCCTATTCAACATAGTGTTGGAAGTTCTGGCCAGGGCAATTAGGCAGGAGAAGGAAATAAAGGGTATTCAATTAGGAAAAGAGGAAGTCAAATTGTCCCTGTTTGCAGATGACATGATTGTATATCTAGAAAACCCCATTGTCTCAGCCCAAAATCTCCTTAAGCTAATAGGCAACTTCAGCAAAGTATCAGGATACAAAATCAATGTACAAAAATCACAAGCATTCTTATACACCAACAACAGACAAACAGAGAGCCAAATCATGAGTGAACTCCCATTCACAATTGCTTCAAAGGAATAAAATACCTAGGAATCCAACTTACAAGGGATGTGAAGGACCTCTTCAAGGAGAACTACAAACCACTGCTCAAGGAAATAAAAGAGGATACAAACAAATGGAAGAACATTCCATGCTCATGGGTAGGAAGAATCAGTATCGTGAAAATGGCCATACTGCCCAAGGTAATTTACAGATTCAATGCCATCCCCATAAAGCTACCAATGATTTTCTTCACAGAATTGGAAAAAACTACTTTAAAGTTCATATGGAACCAAAAAAGAGCCTGCATCGCCAAGTCAATCCTAAGCCAAAAGAACATAGCTGGAGGCATCACACTACCTGACTTCAAACTATACTACAAGGCTACAGTAACCAAAACAGCATGGTACTGGTACCAAAACAGAGATATAGATCAATGGAACAGAACAGAGCCCTCAGAAATAATGCCACATATCTACAACTATCTGATCTTTGACAAACCTGAGAAAAACAAGCAATGGGGAAAGGATTCCCTTTTTAATAAATGGTGCTGGGAAAACTGGCTAGCCATATGTAGAAAGCTGAAACTGGATCCCTTCCTTACACCTTATACAAAAATCAATTCAAGATGGATTAAAGATTTAAACGTTAGACCTAAAACCATAAAAACCCTAGAAGAAAACCTAGGCATTACCATTCAGGACATAGGCATGGGCAAGGTCTTCATGTCAAAAACACCAAAAGCAATGGCAACAAAAGCCAAAATTGACAAATGGGATCTAATTAAACTAAAGAGCTTCTGCACAGCAAAAGAAACTACCATCAGAGTGAACAGGCAACCTACAAAATGGGAGAAAATTTTCGCAACCTACTCATCTGACAAAGGGCTAATATCCAGAATCTACAATGAACTCAAACAAATTTATAAGAAAAAAACAAACAACCCCATCAAAAAGTGGACGAAGGACATGAACAGACACGTCTCAAAAGAAGACATTTATGCAGCCAAAAAACACATGAAAAAATGCTCATCATCACTGGCCATCAGAGAAATGCAAATCAAAACCACAATGAGATACCATCTCACACCAGTTAGAATGGCAATCATTAAAAAGTCAGGAAACAACAGGTGCTGGAGAGGATGTGGAGAAATAGGAACACTTTTACACTGTTGGTGGGACTGTAAACTAGTTCAACCATTGTGGAAGTCAGTGTGGCGATTCCTCAGGGATCTGGAACTAGAAATACCATTTGACCCAGCCATCCCATTACTGGGTATATACCCAAATGACTATAAATCATGCTGCCAGAAAGACACATGCACACGTATGTTTATTGCGGCATTATTCACAATAGCAAAGACTTGGAACCAACCCAAATGTCCAACAATGATAGACTGGATTAAGAAAATGTGGCACATATACACCATGGAATACTATGCAGCCATAAAAAATGATGAGTTCATGTCCTTTGTAGGGACATGAATGAAATTGGAAATCATCATTCTCAGTAAACTATCGCAAGAACAAAAAACCAAACACCGCATATTCTCACTCATAGGTGGGAACTGAACAATGAGATCACATGGACACAGGAAGGGGAATATCACACTCTGGGGACTGTGGTGGGGTGGGGGGAGGGGGGGGGGATAGCATTGGGAGATATACCTAATGCTAGATGACGAGCTGGTGGGTGCAGTGCACCAGCATGGCACATGTATACATATGTAACTAACCTGCACAATGTGCACATGTTCCCTAAAACTTAAAGTATAATAAAAAAAAAAAAAAAGAAAAAAAAAAAGAAAATGTGACACATATACACCATGGAATATTATGCAGCCATAAAAATGGATGAGTTCATGTCCTTTGTAGGGATATGGATGAAGCTGGAAACCATCATTCTCAGCAAACTATCACAACGACAAAAAACCAAACACCGCATGTTCTCACTGACAGGTGGGAATTGAACAATGAGAACACTTGGACACAGGAAGGGGAACATCACACACCGGGGCCTGTTGTGGGGTGGGGGAAGTGGGGAGGGATAGCATTAGGAGATATACCTAATGTAAATGACGAGTTAATGGGTTCAGCACACCAACATGGCACATGTATACATGTGTGACAAACCAGCACATTGTGCACATGTACCCTAGAACTTAAAATATAATAATAATAATAGAAAAGAATTACCTGAAAAAAATTTTTTTAAGTGGTACCTTGCAAAGAGTGCAGGCTATAAAGTAAGAGGCACTGATGAAATACTGATTCAAATCTCACTCTAACTATGCATATACTGGGCGCTCAAGACAACTTTCTAGAGAGGAAGAAACTAATCAAATATCTGACTGAAACTTTGCACTTATAATGTTTAATGTTCTAAATCACCCTGTGAGGCTGGTAGTATTATTTATATTTTAAAAATAACATTACTAAAGTTCAGATGAAATTAAATCAGTTGAGGGGGTTGGGGAAGATAGGTTCTAACAGTTCAATATCTATATCCCAGGAAAATTATTTATTGTGATTGTCTTTGCAAAAGAGGAACAATACAACCTAACTGTCTATATTGTTATAGGACTAACAAAAAATGCAGGGGATAAATGTTAGTATTCTTATTCTCTCTGGTAATCCCCACTAAAATGTAGTTACCCTGAAAAAATGTACATTTCAGTAATCACTTGATATGCCAAGTGAAGAGTGCGTCTGTCCCTGTGGTGAGACATGTGGACTAAAGAGGTAAGTAAGAATATTATCCTAGAAATTGTCAAGATATTGAGGCAAGACGGAAAAAAACGAAGTAGTGTTTTATAGTAGCCAAGACTCCTAAGTGTCGTTTAAAAATCTGTATTGAGAAGCTAAAGCTCATGGGTGTGGGACAGTCTCTTGGACAAAGAACAGCAAAAGTTGTTTGACTTCTGTTTAATATGCTGGGCTTCTATTTATTAAGCACCTACTGTTTGGAAAATATTTTTTACATGTATCTAAAATACGTGCCCATTTGGTAAAAAGTTTATATTATAACTATGAAGCCAAAAGTAAATCACAATAAAACTGTAAGAAACCACGAAAGAACAATTCTAGCTATGATGAAATAACTTACACTGGATGTACACATCCACTAACTGTAAACATGAACACAGTGTATAAGACAACTCTTTTTTAGGTACTTCACATCAGACAGTACTGTCTGACTATTGAGAGACACAAAAGCAAACAGTCATTCTAGTTTTCTGACATCTTGCTTTTCTACAACAGAACAGGAATAGAGCCCCCCCAAATAATCACAATCTTCTTGAGCAAAAGAAGAAAATATTGAACTTACTGTAATTTGTACGCAAGGTATTAGAGAAGGGAAAGCTGCTAGAAGTAAACAGCATGGAAGACTTCACAGGAGTTAGTGACATGTCTTTTGCCAATGTCTGGGTTTCAAATATGTAAGTCAATACTATGAAAACTTGCAGAGTAATACTCAGAGATGAAGACTGAAAAAGACACCAGAGGTCTCACAATGTTAGAAAATACTGGAGTTTCAGCTCTGCAAGGGTAAAGAGACCCTAATGAGCACCTTGTGCATTTAGTTGGGACATGAAAAGGTTAGAATTTAGAAGTAAGGGTCATTTCCTAGGTCACAGGACACATTAGTAACAAAGACAAAAGAAAAATATACTTGCTCTTATAAAAAGTAAAACCAAGTTTGCCAGAATGAAAAAAAATAAAAAGCTCCTGGGATGTTAATTTCTTTTTCAGAACAAAGTTCAAAAACTTTTAAAAGAAGATGACATAATTCAGACTACTTACAACATAGCTTTGGCAATGGCCATTATATAACAGTTACCGCATGTGAGAAAAAGCAGAGAAAAGCAATGCCGAATCAAGAAGGAAAACAATAAATAAAAACAGAATATAGAAAAGAACTTTGAAACAGTTAATGTGAATATTTTCAAGGACTTAATAAAGAATACTAATTATGTGTAACATTATAGAATTGGTTCATTTTATGCATTTTTAGGCCTATATGTTTATAAATAAGTGAAAGTTGAGAAAGTCATTGCCAGCTGGCCTGCATTAAAAAATACAATAGTTCCTCAGTTCCTTTTAAAATAAAACTCAGAAAAAAATTTGAATTTATAGAGAAAAAGAAATGATAAATATGTGAGCATATATTCTCTTAATTGGAAGATTTGTTTAAAGCACAAAATAACTGCTGTGGTCTGCATGTCTGTTCCCCCAACCCCCCAAAAAATTATATGTTGAAATCTAATCCCGAGTGTAATAGCATTAAGAGGTGGGGCTTTTAGTAGGTGATTAGGTCATGAGGGTGGGGCCACCATTAACAGCATTAGTGTTTTACAAAAGAGGCCAGAGAGCTTGTTTGCCCCTTCCACCATGTGAGACACAATGGGAAGAGTGTCATATAGGAGAAGCAGGCCCTCACCAGACAGGAAATCTGCCAGTGCCTTGATCTTTGACTTCCCATCCTCCAGAAAAGGGAGAAATAAATTTCTGTTATTTATTAGCTACCTAGTTTAAGGTATTTTGTTATAGAAGTCCAAACAGACTAAGACAATAACATGTTATGGAAATTTCTAACACACATGGTAATATGACAATAGCATAAACGATAGTTGAATAATGGTATTACACTGTAGTAACACACACTGGGGTCTGTCTGGGTTGGGGTAGGGGGAGAGAGAGCATCAGGAAGAATAGCTAATTGATGCTGGGCTTAATACTAAAGTGATGGGATTATCTGCAGCAAACCACCATGGCACTTGTTTACTTATGTAACAAACCTGCATATCCTGCACATGTACCCCTGAACTAAGTTGAAAAAAAAAATACATAAAAAACAAATATTTGCCGGGCGCAGTGGCTCACGCCTGTAATCCCAGCACTTTGGGAGGCCGACGCGGGTGGATCACGAGGTCAAGAGATCGAGACCATCCTGGCCAACACGGTGAAACCACTTCTCTACTAAAAATACAAAAAATTAGCTGGGCGTGGTAGCGGGCGCCTGTAGTCCCAGCTACTCGGGAGGCTGAGGCAGGAGAATGGCGTGAACCCGGGAGGCGGAGCTTGCAGTGAGCTGAGATCGTGCCACTGCACTCCATCGTGGGCAACAGAGCCAGACTCCATCTCAAAAAAAAAAAAAAAATTAACAAACTAAGTAATAAATAAGGTCTACTAACACATGAAATGAGCTCTTTCTCAGATATGTAAAGTTGGAGCAACATTCAAAAATCAGCCAATTTATTTTACAACTTTAATAAAAATTTTAAAAGTAATTAAATACATTTAAAAAGGGAATTTGACAACATTTTTGCACCTTTATTTTTAAATTTTTAACAAACTAGGAATAAAGGAAACCCTCAACCTGAAAAAGCGCAGCAATAAATACAGGGCTAACATCAGACTTAATACTGAGATATTAAGAATGAAACAATTCAACAATTTCTGCTCTTGCCACTTCTAATAAACACTGTCTTGGAAATCCTAACCAGGAAAGTAAAGCAAGATAAATAAATAAAAGACAAGTAAATATGAAAGAAAATTAAAATAGTCTCCATAGCAGATTACATAATTAGCTACTTAGAACATCCTAAGAAATCTACAGAACAACTAAGAAAACTTAAAAGTAAACTTAACAAGACTGTAATCTATAAATTCACAATTTTAAAATATATTTTTACATATAATTAGCAAAAAATTGGATAAGTTTTTAAATATTATTTCCAATAATATCAGAAAACATGAGCCATTTATCAATAACTTATCAGGATTTCTGTCCAAAACCTACAAACTAACTCATAATTTTTTAAAAACTAAATAAATGGAAAGGCATGCTCTATTCATTGATTGGAAGACTCAACATTGTTAAAATGTCAATTATCTCTCAATTTATTCATATATTCAATATATTCCAAATAAAACTTAAAAAAGATGTTTTGCAGAAATAGACAAGCATGGTCTACAAACTAATATGAAGATGCAAAATGAATCCAAGATTCTTCAAAATGCACGAAGTTGGAGAACTCACTCTATCATATTTAAAGACTTCATGTAAAACCACACCTACCAAACAAGTATTTTATTGATTTTAAAATAGACAAATAGATCAATAAAGCATAATAGAAAATTCAGAAATGCACTCACATATATATTGTCAAATGATGTCCCTCAGTTGCCAAGACAATACGCTGAGAAAATCTTTTCAATAAATGATGCTGATGCATCAAAATAAATATGTGGAAAGAAATACATTTGACTACCTCACACCACACCCAAAAATTTATTTAAGAAGAAGAAAACCAAACATAAAGCTAAATGCATAGCTTCTAGAAAAAGACCTAGCTAGGTTTTCCTTGCCACCTTGAAATAGACAAATATTTCTTAAATGGGTAACAAAACACATGTGGAGAATGCTGGATTGGATTCTATTGACACTAAAACTTCTGGTAAGAAATTATGAGCATTAGTAAAACTAAAAATGCGGTGCATGGAATTGGGAAAAATACTTTCAATATGTACATCTGACAAGGGAGTTTTATCCAGATAATATAAGGAACTCTTACAATTCACTAAGAAAAAGACAAACAACTCAATAAGAAAACAGATGGAGATAAAGAATAGAAGAAAACAGATGGCTTGTATAGACACTTCATAAAAGAAAATATGTGAAAGTCCAATGAGTACTAGAAAAGGTGCTCAACATCATTAATTCCAGTGAAATGAAAAATTAAAACCACAATGAGACACTACTTTACTAGAATGGTTAATATTTAAAAGATCATTAATGCCAACATCAGATCTGTTAAGAAACTGATACAAATAGGATATTTTCCTGATAGATGTGCACAATTATACAAAAACTCTAGAATAAAATTTGCAGCTGGTGTCATGAATGTATCCCATGACCCAGAAATCTGCTTATTTAGATATTGACCCAACATAAGTAAAAATGTATGTCCAGAAAAATACATATACAAAAATATTTATATCAGCTTCATTCCTAATAGCTACAAACTATCAATCATCCAAATGCCCATCAATAGTATGAATATTCAACTTGTGGTACATTCATGCCATTAAATACTACTCAGAATTTTTAAAAAATAAACAGGCCAAAAAATAAACAACTGACATACACAATAACATGTATGAATCTCAAAAATATTTTGATCCACAAAAGAAACTAGGCATAGAAGAGCATGTAATCCATGATTGAATTTAAATAAAGTTCAGTTAACAGGCAAAACCAACCTATGGTGATGGAAGTCAGACCAGTGCTGCCTTGGTGTGGGAATGAAGATTGGAAGGGGTGCAAAGAAAATTTCCAAGTAGGTAAGTGCAAATGTTCTATGTCTTCACTGAGGCATAGTTACAAATCTATACACATTTGTCAAAAATCATAGAATTGCACACTTAAGATCTGTGCATTTCTATGTAAATTTTACCTCAATATTTCAAAAAGACACTGAAATACCAAAATATGTGATATGTACTATAAGAGAAATAGGAATTCAATAGTAAGTGCTAATATAATTAGGAAAGATTCAATGAGCGAAAGGAACTATGTTTTTCAAGCATACTTATAAGACCTAGAAGTTTTAAAAAGCCACACTAGAGTACGGTATGGACACAAATCTATTTTTACTGCACAAACAATAAAAATAGATGTCCAACACTCACTTTAACTATGGTAGATTACTTTATCAGTTTGTTTGTTGAAAAATACATTATTTATATGAAGAAGATTCAATATAAAATCTAGTGGAATAAAAATGAGTTGAAAATTGCTAGGTGAACATCTGTCTTTTACAGAGGCGGTTGTGGCATCAGGGGTGCACACCAAACAGCCGTATCTTCACCTAACTGTTGACCTGCTCCTTTAATAAAATGTTTTGCATCTGAACCCTGAACCAGACCATCTAGAATAGAGTCAGCAATAAGCTTAATCTAAATATTCCTGAGATTTAGGCAATGTAAACAGCTACAACACAGCTTATGTCCACACGGCTGAGCTTTTATCTAAATGCCCGTACCGAGCCATCTTGTCAGTTTTTGGAATTTAATCTGCTAAACTAGATCTCTGTTAGACACTGCAATTCTTCTGTGGTAGATCAAATTAGTAGCCTCATGATCATATGCACCCTTTCCATGGCACATTATTGGGCTTGGCCATGTAACTTGTCAATGGAGTAGAGTAGAAGGGAAAGCATGACACCTTTGAGATATGGCCTTAAGAAACCTTGCAGATTTCTGCTTAACTTTATGCACCTTTCTCATCACCCTAAAAATATGCCCCAACAATGCAGCAAATTCCATGTGAGGAGTAAGAAATACATGGAGCAAAGTTGCCTAGCAGAGACCAGCCAGGTGAGCTATCCTCCAGCCTCCACAGCCTAAAGCAGACCCATGATAATAAATTATTGTCATTTAAAATCACTTAGTTTTAGAGTGGTCTGTTATGCAGAAATATTACTGCAATAGTTAACTGAAATATTCTTCCTCAGAATAATGCATACAGCACTTATGCCCATCTGCTGAAAAAATGGAAATATACATCATCTTTCCCCTATTCTATAAGCTAAATTCAAATACAGAGGGATGATACATGATCCAGGAAACTGAGCACCTAAAACTCTGAGCTTTGTTGGTTTAAACTGAGCTTTGTTGGTATACTCTTATGGATATACATGGGTCCCATTTTTGATGTGCTATCTGTAAAGTTTTTGTGAAGTGACCTCCATTTCCATCATACAATTATCTATTTTTATTCTAAAATCACCTACTTCCTGGATTCTCACTTGTAAGATCTTATCTTCCCCAATAAATACTTTTGCAAGAGACCCTGTCCCAAATGAATTTTTCAAACTCTTTAGGAATGTTGTATTTGATTTTTCATAACTTTCTGGGAGGCATCACTATGAGTTTTTTGTCCTAACCTCAGCAGTACAATCTTGTATTTTCTCACCAGCTTTATGAGTGGAGTGCCAGGAACTTTATTCATGAACACATCTCCATTATGGCAACCTGAGCCTGGAAAAATTGAGTCTTCCAGTTATCTTTTGCTTTGGAACGAACCATGTCAAATGTAGTGAAATAAAACAACAATCATTTTATTAAGTTCATGAATTCTATGGTTCAGGAATCCAAAATAGGGCATAGGGGAGATTTTCCATTTCTGCTCTACAAGGTCTGTGGCCTTAGCTAGGAAAATTCATGCCTGGAAGTGATTCATAAAGAGCTCTGTGTTACATCCATCTGGTGTCTTCTTCACTCATGTGCCTGAAACTTTCTCTGTGGTTGGGGGTTGAGAGTGAGGGACTCATCTAGGATTACCAACCAGAGTTTCTATATCTGGCCATTCCGTGTGAGGAGGACTTCTTCACAACATGACAATCTCAGGGTAGTCAGACTTCTCATATGATTCTCAGGTTTGCAAGAATGCAGCAGAGAGCAGGACTTCAGTCCAAGTCTTTTATGACCTGGACTCAGAAGTCACATATTGTCACTTCCACTGAACTCTACTGGTCATTGTCAAAGTAGTCACAAGCACGTCCTGATTCCAACACATAATCTACCACTTTGTGAGAGCAGTTCAGAGCATTTGTGGCCGTGTTTTAAAAACCCCATAGACACTAGGAAAATTGATAGGAGAAAGAGGAAAGAAATTCCATGTAATAAGTCCATAATGGACAAATCACATGACCTGGAGAGGTAGTCCTATGGTTTTACACGTTCACAGGAAGTCCCTTCCCATCCTCAACCATCACTGCCCAGATCTGAGAACAGCACATTAGATTTCCTAGGAAGCTATTTTATATAAAATGATTATACTGCCCTAGTACATTTATTTTGTTAAGATAGGAAACCTTGACTAAAACTTGGTCAATTTATCTTTTGCCCAAGAGCCAGTGGTGTGCTGGCTCAGAGTGTTGATACAGGCTTGTGAGAGTGTACGGCATAAAATTTTCCCAGCTGCATGTTCTGTGCTGTCATTCTGGTAGCCTGAAGATTGGCCATGATAGAAGTATTTACACATGGAAATTTAGAAATGCCAAAAATCAGGCTTTTTTTTTTTTTCATCAACACACCACTGCCAAGATCCATCTCACTTGAGGTGACTGATGTTATAATGAGTCTGAGGCTACTGGAAGGCAGCTACCACATAGGCTAAGCAGAAGAAAAATTCTATCTGCAGTATGTGAGAGAAGATAAAAGAAACAGAGGCTGCTAGAGAATTAAGAATAAGAGACTGAACAAAATACTCAACAAAACTGAGAGGACAGTATCACTGATAGAAAGGAAACAATTAATGAATTCCAGTCTGATGACCTTAACTAGTTTCTGTCTTTCAGCTCACTAAAATATCTCTGAAGACTCACTAAAGATTAATTTCAGAAGACTATACTGGAAGAAGAAACAAGTTACAAAATGTCACTGACTATAAGACCAAAGGAGTTTATTTTATTCTAGTCATTTTATTTATAGCATCTATTATTACCTGACATGATATTATTTGCATATTTGTTCATTTTATTGCTGTCCCTCATTAGAATAAGGGAAAAAATGTTGTCAGACATATTCTCTAAAATAGCATCAGCACCTAGACCATGTCTAGCACACTGTAGTTGCACAATAAATATTACTAGAATTAATGCATAAATGAGAAAAAATTGATTTTTTAGATGGACGTTAGGGTAAATGTTCTGCTATCCAATAGGTCAGATCCTAGAAGAGGAGGAAGTCTGGTCATTGATAAGGGCTTCAATTTTGATCCTGCTGACTTTGAGATATAGAGAGGATAAGTGCTGGTGGAGATGTCACACAGAAGACAGTCAACTCTGTGGCTTAGAGTTTCTGGAGAATACCCAGAAACAGACACACAGATTTGTAGCATAAGTGATGATAGTTGTTGACTGAAAATGAATTTGCCCAACTATTTTGTTCTTTGTTATTTTATTTATTCTTTTATCCTTAAAGAGAATCTTTGGAGAGCCATATCCTATCAAGCCTAGGTTTTTTATCTTGTTTAATTAATACAGAAAAAATATTTTGAGTGTACATTAATTTTAAAAAGTAGTTACCAAATGATTCACTGAAGGAAGCTTTTAAAAACAAGAGAAGCAAGCACACAGATTCATGGAATTACTTGTTTTCAGTGAATTCTGGAGGAAAAAGACTACAATAGAATGCCAGTTATGCCAAAAGTGATTGATAAAATCCTGTTTTGAAACAGGCTGGTAATAATAGATGCTTTCTTTAGCCTCAACTGATATTGTTAACATTCATTCCAGACATAACTTCACTTCTTGACAAAGAGATAATCAAAATCTGAGAAAAAGGTAAAGTCCCCAAATTTCCCAACATTGTAGAATAAGCAATAGCTATTGCTTGTTGAACTTACTGAACTCAGCCTCTCCTGTTCCTCGCTTCCAACATAATCACCTCCATTGTGTATCCCTCAAGAAAAAAAATATTCTACCAAAAAAATTAACCTTATTGACCCCAAGATATGTTTTTGTTGTTGTTTGCTTTCAGTAAAGAGATGTTTATTTCTCCCTGAATAAATCTAAAAAAAAAAAAAAAAAAGACCTTAGAATGGGACCTTTTCATCTTGAAAAAATAAATTGTTAACTTAGACCTAAAATACCAAAATTTTTAGTTGGGAATGTGTGTTTTATTATTTATTGATGGGCTTGTACTTTTCATATAAATCCAATGAAGATGGTGTAAAAAAGTATATCTGGGCATTCATTTTTCCTCTGTATTCACAGTGGTTAAAAGAGAGGGAAACCCTCAATCTCTGTTTATTCTTTCCCTTTATCTTTCACAATGGGCTAGGTCAGAATGAATGCACATTACCAACCATATCCAAGACAATTTCCTAGGCCATTTCATATATGGTAACTCATCCACACCTCACAATAAGCACTGAGGTAATCATTTAGAGATCAAGTCAAAACGGTGGTGCCCACTGTTACATTAGGTTGGTGCAGCAATTACTTCTTCTGCACCAACCTGATATTTGATAAGGAGACAGATGGTACAGACACAGGAACCCTGAAGCAGGGGCCCTGAAACAGAGCCCCAGGCAGATTCCCCTGCTGTTGCCACTGGAAAAACATAGCATACAGTTAAATGGACAATAAAAGAACATGGTATTTCTATCTACACTTTAGCTCCACACTCCAGAATATTCCCAGGGGTGAGCTAAACTAGATCCATGGAGGAAGCCCTTTTGCTTAGAGTAGGTGCAGGAGAAGAGCAAGCCAGAAGGAAAGCTCTATACACATGGGTCATAACTGGATTTCCCTCCACTCCCACATTTTTAGAGCAGCACCAGTTGCCTTACCTACGTATTTAGAAAGGATGAGGCATGAAAAGATACAAAGACAGATAAAGATGGCTCAGCTAAAGAAGTGAACAAGAATTTATTGCCCACTTCTCAAGCAAGATCTTGCTCACTTCTCTACCTTCACAGAATTAAGTAGAGCATCAATGAAGAGGGTAATCATTGTGTCATTTCTAAGAGAGAGAGAGAGAGACATCTCTTACCTCCAGCTTCATTAAAAAAAAAAGCATTATATAGCAAAGACATGGAATCAACCTAAATGTCCATTGATGGAAGACTATATAACGAATATGTGGCACATATACACTATGGGATAATCAGCCATAATAAAGCATGAGATCATGTCCTTTGCAGGAACACAGAGTGAGCTAGAGGCCATTATCCTCAGCAAACTAACGCAGCAACTAAATACTGCATAATCTCACTTATATGTGGGAGCTAAATGATGACAACCCATAGACACAAAGAGAGGAACAACAAGCACTGGAGCCTAACAGAGGATGGACAGTGGGAGGAGGAAGAGGAGCAGAAAAATAACCATTGAATACAAGGCTTCGTACCTGGGTGAGAAAATAATTCATACATCAAACCCCTGTGACATGAGTTTACCTATGTAACAAACCTGCACATGTAGCCCCGAACCTAAAACACAGGTCTTAAAACAAAAGCATTAGAAAAGCTAGACTTATATATGAGCTGAATTCTAACTCTTTTCATTAGTACAATGATATATATAGAATGATTTCAAATTTATTTCACTGAAATATTTTGGGTTGTTTTTATTTTTACTACAAAGCAGCATAATCACTGGATTGTTGACATTAGGAACGGAACATATTAATTCATTGGAAGGACACTGGGTTTTCACACAAAACTAAGATCCATGAAAAGAAGAAATGTGAATTGCTTTTTAGTACCCTAAGACACGCAAGGCCCTTCACAGTCTTACTTTTCCACAGTCACACTTTCTCTCCAGATACCTGGAATTTCTTGAAGCCTGCAAATGCTCATTATGTACTTCCAGCCTTTGCACTAACCTTTGTCCTTTCCTCCTCTGCCTTTTCTGCCTTTCCTAATCCATATTCATCTTTCAAGTGTCAAGACATGTCCTGTTAATATTTCAGAAAGTCTTCTGGGATGTTTCATCTCCAGTGCTCTTTCCCTTGTCCAGTATCACTACGTGTATGCCATTCTTATACAAAAATAAACACCAATGTCAACAAAAATGCAGGCTGACATATTATATGCCAGGTACTGTGATAAACAGCTGAGTCATTTTATCTACTATTTACAGCATCTTTGGGTCTCAATTACTATTGGTATCCCACAGATGTTAAATGACTACCCAAGGCTATGTAGTCAAAAGTGATGGAATTTAGACTCCCAGCCTAGCTGTGTTGGACTCCAGAGCTTAGACTGCCAACTATTATGCTACATTCTCATTTATCACTATGTATTAAAACCTTTTATTTTCCTGTATGTACTAAATTGTAATAAATTTGAATACATGAAATGTGCCTTCGATATTTGAATTCCGAATAGCATGAAAATTACACATTGCCCAATAGGCGACCGTTAAAATGTGTGAAATGAAAAAGTAGATGAATAAATCATACTCTATTTCTGGAGATACCTATGGCTTCAACTATCCCATTACTAAGTGCTAGAGGGAGGTGGTGAGAATAAATGAGAAGAACTTAGGTAAAAGGCAGCAAGATCCAGCATCAAGACTCATATGTAGAAAATCAATATTTAGTGTTTCCTTTGTGCTCATCACTCTGTAATTATACGCTGACGTACTGGTACACTCAAGCAACTCACACATTGGATTTATGCTTACACAGTTATCACCCCCAATCTCTTCCCATTCTCCACTCACAATCGTTTAAGGTTGCTGAAGATCTAAAAATACATTATCAGTCCTAGTAGCATGAGATGGACTCCACTATACACTGGCTTCAGGATAACACATGACTTAAAACAGAAACTTACCCATTACTATTTAGAGAGCAGCAGCAGACAAACAAAAACTATTAAAAATATTTTTTCAGGATTTATCATTATGCCCATCTCAAAGCTGATTAACCCAAGACTGGTAAGAGGTCAGACTACCCGAATGGCACTTGGGGAATGGCATATAGTCCTGCGGAAAGACACATAGTCCTGGAAAGGGAACGGCATATAGTCCTGGGGAAAGACACGTAGTCCTGGAAGTATAACAAATGATACAAATCAATCATAAGTATATTCCAAACACCATGCAAGATGCTCCAATGTCACCTGTAAAATTAGGTATCACTTATCTGTAAACATTTGATAATGTGCTATGTAATTTGAGGAATTTAACACATTCATATTCAAAATATAGCATAATTCCTGCTGGGCAAATTCTGGGGAAAATTTTTCTAAAGTTCCTATATAGAGTGACATAGAATCACTCATAAAAGTGTACAAATTTGACCTACTGTGTGATCTTTAATTATTTATTCAAGCACTTAGATATACAGACATACATTTATCTTTCTGTCTCACCAAGGAGTAAGTTTCTTGAGGGCTTGGATTTTGTTTTGCTGTTGTTGTTGTTGTTCACTGCTGTATCCTAGTGCCTAGAAGACATTGAGTACACAGTAGACACTCTGTAAATATATAACAATAGATTGCCCATCTTTCAGGAAATGCCAAAGTATGAAACTAAATTACTAAATAATTTAGTTTAGTAATTTAGAAATAAATTACTAAAGGACCGGAGGTCCTGAAGGCCAAAAGAAATGAAGACTGAGTCATTGTTAACAATGGGGTATGAGGTCAAGATTAACCAATAAAGGAAGGGGTAGAAGAAAGTGGAAATTTATGAAGAAAGCAAGGAATCAGGGTTGTCATGTATACTTTTGTGTAAGGAATAAGGGTAGTCTAATGTACTTCTGGTGACTGGGATCTTGACCTATGAAGATGTTGGAATGTGACAGATGTGTGTATCTTGTCCTACTGTGTAATATCCAAAGGGATCACCATCTGACCAAATTGATAATGTAAGATCACTATTGAGATTCTGTCTTTTCGATATGGACACTCTGATGACCTATTTTACTCCTTAGTGACTGTCAATCCTTAATTTGTCTAATTGGAACTATATGTGGCCCATTAACCAAATAGAATCAATTTGAGGTTTTTCCCATTGTCTTAAAAGAAACTATCAGTTTTTTTCATTAGTAAAGTTCTTCCTCAATTCCACCTAAATAACCATTCTACTTCCCTCCTCTCCCTTCAATTAAACTTAAAAGAGCGATATCTTTTTGTTTTCATTTATTTACCTCAATATTATTTTTCAGTTTCCCCTGTTCTGGCATCTGATCCTATAACTCCATATAAACCACCATTGCTAAGGTCATTATTGACCTTAAATGATGATCGTCAAGTAACTAAAATCAATAGTCATATTGCAATGTTTGTCTTACATGATCTTACATTGGACAGTAGTAACCATTTCTCTTTTATTCACAATCTTCTTTCTCTTAGTGCGCATGATACAAGCTTCTTTGGTTTTCTTACTATCCATCTGGCCACTTTTTCTCAATCTTCTTAAAAGGCTCACCTTCTCCTACCCAGCTATTAAACAATAGTGTTCTTCAAAGCGGTTTTATTTCCTTTTCTGTTTTCACTATGTTTTCTCAGGGAGTCAATCTCATTTAGTCCCATTTCAATTACCATCTAAACACTATTGACTCCTCAGTTTATCTGCAGTCCAGACCTTTCCTCTGAACTCAGATGTATATATCTAAAAATTTACTCACCATGCCTTTTTGTATAATTAAAATGACCTAAAATTCAACATATCCAGAAATGGCTTATAATAGCAACTTACTAATTTCTTGCCATGGGCCATATAATGTTTCAGGTAAGTAGTTACCATCACAATCTTCTCCATTTTTATAGATGAGAGAAACGGGGAATAATAGGTATAAATAAATTGTCCACGTTCATACAGTTAATACATCTCAGACCCAGTAGTTAAACCCATGCATGCTGGGTCCAAAGACTCATTTATGAACCACTATATTACAGTGCTGCTGAGTCTGCCTTCCTAAACCTGGTCCTCTTTCAGTGTTATTTATCTCTGTGTGTGGCCCTTTACTGGTCACCTGTCATAGAGTACAATGAGAAGCAGCTTCCTTCTTTCTCCATCCCATTTGACTGCCAGTCAAATATACACAGTAGAGGCATTTTTTTCCTTGCTTTCCTGGAAAAATCTTCAGTGTAATCCGTACTTCATCAACTCACTTCAGACACAGAAGAGCCTAATTTCACTAGTTAAAGTACAAAGGCCCATGTAATAGTTCAAAATCCAAATTTTATTCATCTAGTCTCATGGCCACCACTTCCATACCTTGGGTCCCATATACCATTCTCTGGCCTTGACTACTGCTCAAAAGCCTACTGGTTTTTCTATATACACTCTGGTACCCTTAAATGTCTTGTATCCTGAAACTTGAGAAAATTTTTCAAACCTACATCTGATAATATCAGCTGCTGCAAAAACTCTTTCAATCAATTCTCTCTATTCTTAGGCCAAAGATCAAAATCTTTAACCTCTCCTGTGTGTAGTCTAGGGTTACTTTTTGTTCTCTGCCTCCACTCAATTCAAGTTTCTTTCAGTTTCTTGAATTAACTGTATTCCCTCTGGGCCTTTGCACATACTTCCTCCTTTATCTGGAATGTTCTGTCACAATTCTTTACCTTAGTTATGCCTAATTTTTCAGATCTCAGCTGAAATTTATTTCTATTATGAGAAACTTCCTTCTGTTTCCAGTATAAGCGAAGTTCTTGCGCTGTTCTAAAACCAGCTTCTTGTAACTTATGGCCTTTCTCTCAGTTATAATAATTCATTTTCTTGTGTAATTAGACTCTGAGCTCTGCCAGAACAGGGGCTTTGTTTCATTAACTGATATACCCCACCTAACTCAATGCTTACCATATTACAGAAACTAAATGAATATGCTCGTCCAGTGTGTGAATTAACTACGTTAATATGCTTTTTATGCTATAAAGCCTATTAGTATGCTAATATTCTATATATGAAAAACCTATCTTTAAAATGATCCTAGTATTATCTCAGCATGCTAATTATAAAGATAAAAATTATACATTTTCATAAATGCATTTAAGAAAAATATCTGAGTATACAAGTTATATTTTATTATGCTCATAAAATTTGTTAAACATAGACTGATTTTTCTTTTAGGTCATAACATCTTGATAATCCCCACGTGAATCAATCAGTATTATTCTTCAATGACCTCAGTTCACACCATCTGTCCCACTAACACGTGGTGTGGGCCATGGGGAAGATGGAGTTAGTCACTTTAAATGGATTAGCACAAAATTAACTTCCATAAGTTGAAAATCACCGGTTAGTGTTAAATCACATTGCATTATATAGAACCTTATAATAATGTTGCTTCACTCTGTAGAGAGGGAATAGGATGAGCATAGGAAAGTGGAAAGAACACAGGCTTGGGGCTCAGACAGATCTGGGTTTATATCTCACTTCTGCTGCTGACCAACACTGTGACATGAGCAAACATTGTAACATTCATAAACCTGGCTTTTTATCTTCATATACGAGAATTGGAAATACTATCTTCACAGAATTATGAAGATTAAATTAAATATAAGACCAAATGTTATAACTAAGGTTTTCAGCAACCAAAAAATTACACATGGAAATTTTATTGATTCCAAATCAACTAATAATTAGCTATGACTTTGGCTTTATCTCTTATCCTCAATTTTTCCCCATACTAATAATTTCCCAGTCTCCCATGCTTATTCCTTAAGCAATAAAGCTTATTTTCTATCTTTAATTTCCCTAGGTTTTTTGTTCATATTTTTTTTCAGTGGGTTCTTTTTAAAAAATAACCTATTTCTCTTTCTTTGCAGTATATTACCCATTGCTAACAGAAATTACAAGCAGTCTCAATGTCATATTCATATCGAAAATATAGAAATTCCACGTTTGTATTTTCTCAAGAATAAGCATTCTCGTTCATTTGGAATTCATAATTTGAATAAATCAGGTTGTTTGGCTTCTGTGAAGTGATTTCTATTGTCTTTTCTGGCTGGGGAGTTTTACAGCCTAAAATGAGGCACGTTTTTCTTATTTGTAAACCACCTTTTAATTCCTTAAATACATAAAATACTTATCTAGTGTATCAGAAAACAAAGACTGGCCAGTTATTTGTATATCAATCTAATTTTTCTGCATTTCTTATCTTACATAAAACTACCAGTTTCTAAGTAGAAAGGAATTAACTTCCAAAGAAGAATTATTTTCCAATTTAAAAGAAAATCTGTTCTTCAATTCAGGTTTATATATAATTTCCACCTGATGGAGTTAATTTTTTCTTTTTTCTTTCAGATTGATTTAAAATTAGAAGCAAGATTATCAAATGGAGTACTTATAAAGGGACTCAGTTTTCTAGTGTAATTCTCACTATAGTAAACCCCAAATTTAAAGCTAGTTCAAGGAACAGTTTCAATAATCTTCTTCATGCCCTATTATCATTTCTCCTCTTTCCTTATAAAAAAATCTTAGTATTCCGGACATAATTAGTGCTAAATAAATATTTTTTGAAGAAGCAAATGAATGAGGAAGAGAAAGATGCTATAAATTCCAGAATGATCTCTATCATAACTTAACTGGGCTGGATTTGCTTAGTTTGTCCTTAGAGGCTACTTATTTCTTACCAGAAACCTTCAGCCAAGAATGGTGATAAACACTCATTTTAATGTCATCTGATATTGCAGCTCAATTACTTCTATATCAATATCTAGTGGAATAATAGTGTTTCATATAGCTTTATAAAGTTTATCCAATATACTTTGAAGATCACTAATCATTTTGTCATTGTCAAGCCCCATTTGGGAAAACTCATTTTAAGATTAGAATAGTTGTAGTTCTAGGGCTAGGCGATAGATAGAGATTTAGACGTTAAAGTCATAGGAGTAGTTAAGATTCAGTAGAATGAGAAGAGGATTAAGAGGAGCCCTGTGGAACATTTAACAATTATGAGGTAAAAAGAGATATTGCATTCTGTAAAGAAAATGAAAAAGAGCTGGTCAGACAGGAACAGAGAGAAGTGCAGAAATGGCATTGAGAAAAAAGTGAATGATACTATTTTGCAAAAGGTAGTCTTCCTCTCTAATGCTACAGAGGCTAACGAGATGTGGAGTGAGATGACCCAGTGGATTTTTCTAGTGAGGATGTTAATATATCACTTCTTTTAATTTATTATATTTTCTAAAATACAGTAAGTCCTCACTTAACTTTGTTGATAGGTTCTTAGAAACTGACTTTAAGCAAAAGAAGCATAATAAAACCAGTATTTTTTCTGCTCAAGTTTAGAATGAAACAATTTTGAAACAAATAATATTATTCAAAGATTTTAAAGTATTTTCTAAGAACTTGTTGACAATATCAAGTGAGGACTTATTGTACTTTTATATGCATTTTACAGTTTAACCCTCAAAGCAACGTTAAAAGATTAACATGATACTATACGAGAGCCATCTTTATAAATAAACTAAGGCTTAAAGAGATCCAGTGAATTGTGCAATGTTTTATAATTACTAAATGAGAAAGGAAGAACACTTTTATTTGTAACAAAAATAACATCAATAACAACTAACATTTAATGAATGCTTACATTTAATAAATATAAGGTACTTTTTGGTAACATATTATCATCTCATTTAACCCTCACAAGAACCTTATAATGTGTATGTGTATATATTTTTTCCCATGTCTCAGTTGCAAAACCTTAGGTTTCTAAAGGGTAACTAACTTCCCCAAGGTTACACAGTTATTACTTTAAAAGACTAGCTATTTTGATGGGACAGACAAAGCTGTTTTTCCAAATTCCTTTGTCTCTCTAAGTCATTTGTTTGATGCTGTGAGATAGACATTGGTTATTTCACCTTAATAAAAAACTCAATTTTCCCACACCTGAAAGATTGGATGAGTCTCGACACATATTTAGGCCTTTCTCTAGCTTGCTAATATTCTCTAAGCACCTATTCAGGTCAGAGGAACAGCTTCCAGATTTATGCTAACCTTTATCATCAAATGCTGTTTTAGAACTCTACTTCGATATGTGTGAGAGTTAGTTCAACTGTCCCATGGCTTGCCCACTGATTCATGTTTTCTTTTATCTAAACAAAACTTAAAATATGTTTTTTCTTTAATTTTTATCTCACTTTGATTTGATTGGGCTAAGATGAAATATGCATCAAAATGTATAATTGATGTGATCTAATTCAGCAAAGTATAGGCATTAGAGTTGGACCCAAACTTTTGCCCTCATAGGACATATAAGCTTGAAAAAGTAACATTTCCTTCTGGAAGTTCAGTTTCCTACTTAATAAATGGAGTAGATCAGACCCTTGTCCATGGAGATTTCATGAAAATTAGAAAGCATAGTACTTACAAAGGTGCTCAAAACCTGTCAGGAGTTTATTAAATTATTAAGATCAAGCTTTCTTAATATTGTCAGTATATTTGTATAAAAATTAGCTTTAAAATGTGGACCAATATTTCTCCATTAATAATTTATGGTTGTATCATAATTTAAGTATAATTCCTTTCCTTTTGACATTGAATACATTAGATAAAATATTGTAGAATTTATTTCTTTGGTGTTAAGACCCACTACACTTTTATTTCTGCCTCAATAGCATTATATGCCTCCACTACTTCCCCGTTAATTAAAACAGAAATTCTAATTTGACCACACTGTTATTTTGGAATTTTCTTCTATTTTGTCTCTGTTCATAAGCTCAGTGGCTAGTTAGCTAGTTATTCCTGTAGAATGGCATATGTGGATTTACAAATTTTACTGGGGCAACACTTAATTTTACTGGAATGTACACTGCAAATTTGACTGGAGTAAATTTTATAATTGGAATCAGTGCACAGGTCAATACCACATTTTAACAACTTAACCTTTACCACTGTAGGCAACACATGCCTTCAACAACTAAACTGCTTTTTCCAAATTATCAACCCCCTAAGTGCCTGTCCACCAGATGTATCTTGAGAGGCAGATTTACATTTTCAAAACTGTCAATTGTTCTCTTAAGATTCCCAGTACACATACTGTCTTTTTCTGTAACCTCAATTTGCTTTTAAGAATTCTCTTGAAGTAATGCCAATTTTAGTATTCTACCTTCAAAAAATAATGTACATTGTTCATGAAACTGTTTATTTTTTGAAGAAGTTATATGCTCACATTAAATGAAAACTCCAGACCTAGGGCAGGTTTCTACTAAAGCTTGATCTGGTAGTTCAACTTACGGTATCAAGACCTAATTTCTCATGACTCTCTGCTGGTCTCACACTAAGTTTCCATATGACTCCACACTATGGACTCAGAGTAAGCTGGCTATCTGCACCTCCCTTAAAAAAAGGGAAGAAAAAACTTAAAGACCCTTTATTTGTATCATCTGCAATTTCTGAGATGTAAATTCTTCTACCATGGTCAGTTTCAAGCTACCACGTGCAGAATTGATTGTCAAATCAGCCGTCATAAACCACAGATAAGGGGAGCCCCAACATGCCTCTGGCAGTGGCGGCTTTAGTGTTCACATTTTCACATAAGGAGGTTTGGGAAAACAGTCAGAGTTTTCTCTGGTAACTCCTACAAAGGAGACAGTGTGGATTTTTGTTTGTTTTCCCGAAAGCTTCCATTAATATTTGCCAGTATCTCATGGGCTGTGATTGCCTTACATACCCATTCTTGATGCAGTTTCTGGAGAAATAGAATGTATTAACTGACTTAAGTCACCCTTTGATGTGTGGACCAACTCAGCCAAAACTTTCCCTATTTGTTTGGAATGGAGCAAAATTCCCATTCAGAAACATAAAGACTGTTAATTTTTTAAAATAAATATATGCATATATATGCATATACATAATCTGTGTGTGCGTGCGTGTGTGTGTGTGTGTGTGTGTGTGTGTGTAACAAAAATGAATGCTTGGGGGAAAAAGCCACCTCAATACATTAAAAAAAGTTTAGATTAAAATATCAGCCTTCCACTTGATTGCATGCCGTAGCAGAGGTATTTCTCTCCCATCTTCTTTCTATTGTTGCTACTTAGCATGGTTTCTGACAAATAATAAGTGCTCAATAAATACTTGTTGGATGTAAGTTAAATGTAGGCACTTACATACTTTTGACTGGATAAAGTCATACATTTTTAACAATAAGATATTGACTTCTCATTATTAAAATAATCCTTGGATTTTGATACATGGGCTAGTATCAGTGTCAATAGTTTTGTAAACAGCTCTGCTACTTAGGGTAATTCACTCCCCTAAAAATAATTCAGTGCCATCATATTAAATTCTAACCTACAGCAGGTTATACTGAAGTAGTGGTATATTTTTCTGGTTTTTACTCTGCGAATTGTTCCATTATCATTGCACTCAACAATGCTGTTGTTGTATAAGAATTTATTTTAGCATTTTAATAGGCATTTTTGCTCACTCTCACATCCAACCGTCTCATGCAGTTGGATTGTGCAGTTGTCAGCCATACATGTTGGAGAAAACAAAGATCAACCAGATAAAGACTCATTTCTGTGTCTATCACAGAGATGCTTCAACATCAGCAGGTCATTATTAAGAGTTTTTCTATCTTTGGGAGATTTGAAATAATAAAGGAGTGTTGCAATCAGACAAGCATCTTCTTTTTATTTCCTCTCCACATAGCATTTTGCAAATGTTAAAATAGCAACGTGATTGTTTTCTCCCTAGTGTCCTGTGTATTTTGTGAACTATGTGGAGATTAATAGCCGCCTACAATAATCTGTTGTCCCTTGCAGAAAAAAACTACGTTGCTGTTTCTGGAAAGAAATAATTGGTACGTAGCTTATAGAGTCAACGTCTGAACTTAATGGAGCATAAAGGGGTGGTATTTCTCATGAAGGAGGCATATTATCCGTTTAAACAGCTTTCAGTCTTGCACATAAATTAGACCTTCGACAAGCTTTGGAAAAAGAGAAACCACACAGTAATGAATTAACATGCTTGCATATTCCTAACAAAGAAACCTTCCCTTTTGAGAAGAAGAGAAAGCTCCCTTGTCTCTGTTACATTTGGAAATCTGAAATTAATTATTGACTTTTCCATATTGTTTGCAGCCGCTTTGTTTGCTCATTTATTGTAAAATGTGTATATGGTAATTGTTTTATGGGAGCTCATAAAACTCAGACTGCAAATGAGATAATGTATGACCAATTTATCGCATCTGCCCTTCAGACATAGAGCTAAACTTGGCAAAAATAAAAAGTGGTCAATGTATACTTTGTCAAGGTCTTAAATCATCACAGAGCAAAAGAATTTGATGAAGTATTTATGGTGAAATTCTTAAATAGCTACAATTGGAAACCATTTTATATTTTTCTAGAAAATATACCTCTTACCACTTAAAAAAACTGATTTGTAGTGTTTTTTAGAATCCATCTTGGTGAATGTGTTTAGGCAAAAAATGACTTGATAATGTGTAGAACTAGACAAATTCCTTTTTCATCTAGTGTATGTAGTACCAGAATTTTCATTTTTCAAAAAAATTATACATATATATAATATCTGCTGTTATACTTTCATTAAATTTAAAAAATAATATAAATCAGAAACTTCTCATGGTATCATTCTCTAAATACTCTAAATATTGTAACAGCTATGTCAGCTAGGAGGACTTCCAATTCAGTAAAGCCCAAACCTTGAGGGAGGACTGCCCAACACTGACTGCGGATTGAAAGAATGGAGATTCCACACCTTTTATAGCTTATTCCAAATATGGAAGTTAATGACATTTCATCAAGATTTTCTTTTCTCCACTGAACTGAAACCTTCCTGCCTCACCGTTGACCTTTTTGGTTTCCTCATTTATGTTAGTAAATAGGTAGATAGCAAATTTTGTTGAGGTCATTTTTCAGAAGACACTGCAAGATATAATGAAATTTGATTAAATTTCCAATGATCTTATAGATAAGCCAACACCTACAGGTGTAGTTTGAAGACAGGTTGTATTACACAGAAAATACTTACTTAGCATATTAGAAAGAATCAAGAGAAAACTATCCTAATTAATACTGCAAAACAAGATGACAAATACAAGTCTGCAAATAAAGGTCCAAATGCAAAATTTTATACTAAAGAAAAGTTGTATAATGTAAAAAAAAGTTAACAATAAAATTAGTTCTTGAAGGGTAGTAACCATTAAGTTCAAATTCCACTAAGAGTTCAACCCCTTGACTCTACACACTGCAAAGAGATCTTTTCCTACAAGGATCAGAATTAAAATTGAATCTAGTGCCATATATTAGTCCACAATGTCTCACCTACTAAGTATAAGTTTATCAGAAATAAGCCAGTTCATTACGTACAGGGAAAGGGTACATTTTTTCCTCTTGGCTACCAAAAACTGAGAATTTGATGGTTTAAAGAAAATAAATAGGGAATCATTCAAAACTATACAAATCCATGCTCTACTGCCAGAGAGCTCTATGGTCTGGTTGAAAATACTTAACCACTCAGTCTCAGTTCTCTCATCTCTAAATGGGTAAAATAGGACCAGCCTTTTAGAATAGAGATTTTTATAAGATCATGCATGTAAGAATTATAAAACACTATTTGACATAGACTTTTTGTTCAATGAAATTACTTCTTATTGGCTACTGGGTTCTCATTATTGGTTTTATTATTGTGTTTTTATTCCTTTTGAAGGTAGGAAAGGAGAAATTCTGCATGTACCTGGTATTTATTTATGGCGAACTAGGTTAACATCTGTATCTTTTATATGTGTCATTAAAGAAATTAGGTACTTTAATCAACAGGCAATTCCTCTATAGAAATAATTGGGAGGAATGGAGAAAAGAATTGGCTATGGGGAGAAAACTAAAAGATGGTTGAATTACAGACTCCATAATTTTTAAATAATTGAATGAAAAGAACACAACATCTTTCTATTTTTTTCAAATATAATTTCATAAGAGTACCTATTCTTGCTACTCTGAGGCAATGATGATGTGACCTTGGATTAACTCTCTTCAGAAAAGAAATTTTGGTGTTTTAGAAAGAACATGGATTTGAAGGCAGACAAATTTGTGTTACAACCCCCAAATCTTTATCCGACTAAGTGTGTGACCTTGGACAAGTCCTTTAATGGCTCCAAACATCAGGCTTGTATTTTATAAAATGGAAATAGTCATGCAAGCTTGTCTTGAGAATAAAATATGACATTTATGTTGCAAGGTCACACATTTTTTCACACTGCTCTCAGATACACGAAAGAGACATAGCTTCCTCATAGTCTATTGGTCTTAGCTTTCTCTGAACATCTTTTCACCTCCTTGGGTAAAAAATAAAAAGCAATATTAGCATAATATAATAAGCCTAATCTCACCAAATAATTTAAACACTTTTTTTAGATAACTCCATTTCTTTTGGAAGAATCATTCTTTCACATTTTTCCTCTTGTTTCTTTCCAAACAGGATGTAAGAATGGGGAGGTAGGAGCTGATGTTACCTCATGGCACTGTGTGGTTGAGGGGTCATTGTCTTGGATGTGTCTCATGTAGAAGAAAGTTTTTCACTTACAGTAGCGTTTGCCTACAACATATCAAAACTGTTATGTTTCATGCCAGCTAGCTTTAACCTCCCGAAATTGTTAAGAAACTATGAAGTCTGAGTAACTCTGGGACCCTAGACCTTCTTGAGCCAGGTTAAAACAAATTCATAATCACCAAAATCCAGGCTTGTTTTAACCAACTACAAGTCCAGTCATGGACTCAATCCTTCCTATCTAGCGTGTGAAAATGTAGTAAATATAACCACCATGGACTCCCTCTCCTTCTAGAGAGGGGTTTAAAAACTCCTGATTTTTTATCCTCTCAGTAAATTGTGCAGTAAATTTCTCCACTAACGTGTGTTTTAGTTTTTGACAGTGTGTTGGTATCTTCCAAGGTGAAGATGTAACTTTACCTAATACCATTCCTAAATCTATTTATAGTATTTGTTGAGAAACTCTGCACATGGGGCACTTTCAACCTGTTTTCTCTCAGTTGCATCAGTAACTGGTGGTCTTTCCTAATGATTTGGCCCAACAAGGCCCTGACGCTTGCTGCAGACTCCACTTCCTTTCCTGACCCTGGTACCAGGTCTGCTCTCCGGCTGTTACACAGGGTCCCTTTACCTGAAGCCTTGGTGATATGCCAGCAAAGGTGCCAGTCAGATCCTGAGTTGAGTTGTACATCCTTCCCCAGCACCCAGTGAAAGCATCTTAAGACATTCCATGCCACATAGGAACTGACATCGTCTCACGAGCCCTTTCTATTAACCTATTCTGTAAAAGCCCTTAAAGGGAACAGGGCAAAAGCTCATGGAATATGAGGATTTAACTCAACATTTCTAGTATAGAGAGAAAATAAGCTGTGACACATATCTTCTGCTTCCGCTACCCTCCTCCCCTCATTCTTCCCACAATCGCCTTGATGTGTTTAGCTTTTTAGTTCATTTCCTGTTAAAGATTCATTGTAAATCTTCTAGTCTACCCTATAATTTACCCACCCTTATGACTATTCCTAAAGGATAAGTGAAATATGAGGAAATAAATTAGCTTAATGACAATGGAATATAAATGGGGAGGTATATAGAAAATTAAACTTATTCTACATGTGGAATGTCTGGTATATAGTAATTATTTCAAATACGATTATTACACTACCTAGAAATATAGCTTATAACATGGCCAAATGTCAAGTAATGGCTTCTTGATCTCAGATTACAGTCAGGAATGTAGTTAACTGCATGTGACTATAAAAGGTATCTAAATTATTTGCCAAACTTTTAAGGAATCCTGTGAAGTGATAGGTAGGGATGGGTAATAGAGCAGAGCTCAATGGCATAAATAATCCATCAGAAAAATGGCTGTAAGAAGCTTGAGGATAAGGATTCATTATTTTTGTTAATAAATCTGAGAAATCAGATCTACCATGGGATGAGGGAGAATTTCTGTAAAAATCTTGCTCTTTATGAAACTTGTTCTTCAAATTTCAAACCTCAGTACCTTATGTGATTTGTAACAAAGGCCAAATGGTACCAAACAACTGATTCTAGCCCTTAAAGGAGGGACTCTCTAATTGCTAGTGTTTTAGTATAAAAACAACTACCCATGAATATCTATGTTACAACTACAAATGAGTCATTATGTAGTTGGTAAAAATATTATGAATGTATGTGCCATTATTTGTCTCATACTATTTTAAACAGAGTTTAGCTAGCTAGTCTGCAGATTTGTGCTGACTATAAATCATAGCTCTTCCTGCCAAGCCAAACCATATACTAACTTAATTATTCTAGGGTTTGGGTGTTAGCCTTTTGCTTTCCAGACACAGGCATTATTATTTTAATTAAGTAATGTGATCATTACATTATTAATCAATTTCCAGACAGCTCTTCTTTCCCAAAGCTCAAATATTTTACATTTACGAAATTCAAAGTGCTATCCCATGATAATTGTGGTTATTTTCTTATGTTATACATTTCACCATCAGTACTTTTAGAGTGTTCCCCCTAAAGGTTCCTGAACACTATTGGATTCTCACTCATCATGATATATTAATTACTGTCTCTAATCTCCTGGATCCAGCCTTTCTATAAAAATTTCTCTAAACTTAGCTAGTACTGCTCTGTTTTCTCATAAACCTCGATGTGTACCTCTGGGTTTACCATTAGCACATTGTGTTATCTTTCTACTGTTTACTCCATGAGACTGAGATTTCCTTCCTTGTTATTCCTTTTACATGGGATATATGTATTCTTTCAATTACAAGTTCTATCTGTCTTAATAAGTGACTTGCCTTTTTCCAGCCTTTCTAAGACTATCCAAAAGCCATTTTTTTTCTCTCATTCTAAAAACCTGATTGAAATTTAAGCTGGAAGGGTGAGACAATGATAAAAATGATAGATGGACCTCTAAGTCTGGGTTAAAGTAATGTGCCATTGAATTATTCAGTAATGTGTCAGAGGATACTCTTTGAACTGTCTAAGTGAAGGTATGGATCATTGACTGGAAAATATCTATAATGCATATCTTTTCTTGAAGCACAGTTTGTTCTCATACCTTGCCACTTCTCTGCCAAATTTTTTAGCCCCTTTAGTTTTCAACTTTACTATCTAGAGTTAATTTAATCCCATTAGCTCACTTGCCTTCAGACCTCAGCATGTGAAAATCTTTTGGGAAATCCTCTAAAAATGAGATCATCTAGCCAAGGGAATAAAAAAAAAATCTGAGCAGAGATATGCTAATTTAAACCATAAATCAAGTAATCTGTATTGGCCTTCATATTTTGACTTATCAAATTCCAAGAGATAATTTTCTGTGTTATCCCAGCAAGTTGTTGTTGAGAGGCAGTAAAATGTATAGGGTTTGGAACCACACAAGACATGAGCTTGAACCCTGAACTCATACTCTAAATTATTCTTCCAGCGAGGATTCTTTTACATCTCTGAGTCTCAATTTCTTACCAGTAACATAGAAATGACAATCTCCAAAGGATTGCGCGCCATGAGAATTTGTGACTACCTGAAATGTTTAGCACAATGTCTGTCACATGGACTTGGTAGACGTATAAGTAATGGTAATTCTTTTAACTTCCCGCACAACATTCCACTGTGATCACCCCATATCTTAAATATAAATTCTACCACTAACCCTGTAGATTGCCAGTGTTTCCTGGTTTCCAGAAGGTCACAGCCATACAGGCAATGTATTAGAAAAGAGGTAACCAGTGCTCTTAAGAGTCTGAAAAGCAACCTCAATTTATTCAAATAACACAGAATATTTTTATTCAAAGGGCCATTGAAAGGAGAACATGTTTATTTGGACATCTTCCTTGTAGGTGGTCTGAGAGGGAAGCCCATGATAACCACTATGTTTTTATATGTTACATACTTTGCCAGTATTTTAGAATGCACTTGTTAAAGGATCTGAACTTTATTGGATTCATCACTCAGTATTCCTCAACTATTGTTTCTAGTATCTGACTCCACACTCTCTATAAGAAGAATGCTATAAAAAGATTAGAAATCACCAGGCACAGTGGCTCATGCCTGTAATCCCAGCACTTTGGGAGGCCGAGGCGGGTGAATCACCTGAGGTCGGGAGTTCAAGACCAGCTTGACCAACATGGAGAAACCTCATCTCTACTAAAAATACAAAATAAGCCAGGCATGATGGCACATGCCTGTAATCCCAGCTACTCAGGAGGCTGATGCAGGAGAAACACTGGAACCCGGGAGCGGAGGTTGAAGTGAGCTGAGATCATGCCATTGCACTCCAGCCCGGGCAACAAGAGTGAAATCCCATCTCGAAAGAAGAAAAGAAAAGAAAAAAAAGAAAAGAAAAGAAAAGAAAAGAAAAGAAAAGAAAAGAAAAGAAAAGAAAAGAAAAGAAAAGGAGAAAGAAAGAAGGAAGGAAGGAAGGAAGGAAGGAAGGAAGGAAGGAAGGAAGGAAGGAAGGAAGGAAGGAAGGAAGGGAAAGAAAAGAGAAGAAAGCAAGAAGAAAAGGAAAAGATTACAAGTCATGTCTAGAAAATCATCCTAGTGATAAATGTAGCCTGAAATATGTTACTGTCTATTAAAATTGCCAAATATTATTCTAGATAAATGCTCACTCCTTTATTCTCAACAATACTGCCACCAGTATTTGTCAACAATACTGCCCCAGTAGGGACCGAGACCCGCAAGAAACTCAATATTCTTGGCTTTTCTTACCTCTAATGTAGAAGCAGAGTTTGAGTTAAGCAATCTCTCAGGTTCTATAGGATCACTTCCATAACCCATCTCTGATGATAAACATCTCTGAAGGTCAGGAGGGGGTTTAAGAGTCTCATGAGGATGCAAGTCAGGGAGAGGGCTAAAGAAACACTTTTTCTGAGACATCTCCCTGCACAGAACTCTGCTTGTGTGAGCTCAAGGCTTCTCTATCTCTTGGTGTTCTACACTCAGAACTCAGGTATCCGCTCCCCAGCTGGCAGTTCCCTCTCCTAGAATGAAGGATAATAGTCAGTAAACAACTAAAGATCATTAAACTAAACAACTAAAGATTGCCCGATAGTGGGATGGAAACAGCGGGAAAAGTGGAGTCAGACTATCCAGAACCAGGCTCTCATTCCCGGATTTTTGAAGGAAAAGGAACTAAGTGAACTAGTTGCCAGGACAACCTGCTGTCGGGGAGCGGGGGTGAAGAAAGAAATGGGTGACCTGTGGTTATTCCTGCTCCTGCCCCTCTCAGCCTTCCATGGAGTCAAAGGCTGTTTAGAATGTGACCCCAAATTTATAGAGGATGTTGGCTCCTTGCTGGGAAATCTGATACCTTCAGAAGTCCCCGGCCGAACTCAGCTGCTTGAACGGCAGATTAAGGAGATGATTCATTTAAGCTTCAAGGTCTCCCACAGTGACAAGAGGCTTCGGGTGTTGGGTGAGGGAAGCTTGAGTTCCTGAGAGTCCAGGGGCTTAAACGGAGAAGGGAGGCAAGGAAGAGAACACCTGGGTCTACATAACTTCCTGCATAGATGTAATTATTCCCCTACATGTACCTTTACTCTCCCTCTCTAGCTGTTCAGCAGGTTGTTAAGTTGAGAACATGGTTGAAGAATGAATTTTATAAACTGGGCAATGAAACATGGAAAGGTGAGGTACTGTTTCAATGTTAAAAGTTTGTATTGCTCAAGCAAGCCTCAGAAAATTTGGCTGGGGAAAACAAAGATAAAAACAGACATAATTAACTTCTGAAGGGAAGAGCTACTTCTATTTTTTGACACCCCTTCCACTCCCTCTTAGGTGTCTTTATCTATCAAGGCAAGCTTCTCGATGTCTGCCAAAACCTGGAATCCAAACTGAAAGAATTACTAAAGAACTTCTCTGAAATTGGTAAGTAAAACTTTCTATATAACAGCACTGAAGTTATATGAAGGGAATAGAAAATGCGGGATGAGGGAAGAAATGCAAGTTCATAATAGAGTTATTTAGAATGGGTGGAGAGGTAACTGGAACTTAAAGGGTAAACAAAGACTACTTGGGTATAAATATGGCAAACTGTAGCTGGTTTTAAACTCATTAGAACTTTCTGATTCTCTTCTAGCTTGTTCTGAAGATTGCAGTGAGTACAGTACATGTGACGCCTTGAGGTTTCAGCCCATATTTTCCCATCTCCTTTGCTCTATATGGCCCTATCTCTCCCACCTGTTACACTGGGAAACCAATTCCTAGAGCTGTGGTTACAAGGGGTAACGTCAACAATACCTGATAACGAAACCTAGCTCATGAAATCTCAGACACCCCACATATTTTTGAGGTACTAGGAGGCCTTCTAACATATGGTTTACAACCCATTGCCCCAGTATAAGCTGAGGCATCCTTTTCCCGCTTTTTCCTGGAGATCAGACTTACAGATTTTGATCCATCAAGAAACTTGATTTCTAGGAGAAGAAGAAATTCACAGCAATGCAAACTTGAGAGTCCTGGGAATGCTTGAGATCAAATCCTCCACACTTGATGTATGACTAAGGAACCCTCGTGCCATGCCCTCTTTCTGATTATCTTTCTTCTCCTCTTTATCAGTTGTGGTTGAAGGTCCCATTCTTGATTGTTGGACGTGTCTTCGCATGACTAACAGGTGCTTCAAAGGAGAATATTGTGGAGGTAACAAAGATCATGGTATGGAATTTTGAAGGGACAGGGATTAAGGAGCAGGGTTGCTCACTGATTTATTCTACATGTATTTGTTGGGTCACTACATGACCTTTAATGGAGGTCATGGTAGTGTTACAAAATGGAGCTAGGGTGTTGGGTGAAATTTTGACCAGTATAAATAATTTGGCACTGAATCAACTGAAAGGCTGAGAAATGAAGAGGCTAGGCTTGGAATGAAGAAATTAGGCTGGGAAGAATTTTGCTGACAGCTATCAGCAACAGTTTTGTAGAACCTAGGAGACTAAAAGTAATAAAGGTCAAAATAAGCATGGAACAGTGATGAAGTAGTAAACAGGGCAAACTGAGGTTAAAAGAGTTTTCTATTCTGAATAAATGTCACAAGCTATTTCTCTTCTCCAAAACTCACTTTCATATTTTCCTGTTTCTCCTTCCAGACGAGGATCCAAGAAAGGCTGAGAATCGAGAGATTGCTCTATTTCTCATATTGCTGGCAACAGCTGTAATACTGGGAAGTGCTGTGTTACTGTGAGTTTCTTCTCTCCAAATAAACACTGGGTCAAATATTCCTTTTGCCAAGAGACTGCCCAAATTCCCTCTTCCTCCAAATGGAAATAAAGCAAAAGAAGTCATTTTAAATTCTGGGATACTGAAAGGAATAAAATGCAAAGTTTGACGGGATAATAGTTGGAACAAAAGGAAATGGAGAAGTATCCAGCAAAAAAAAAAAAAAAAAAAAAAAAAAAAAAAAAACAATGTATAACTGGCTTAAAGAATGGGGCTACTGATATTGAAGTTGGAATTATTTTCTTTTCCTACTCTAGATTCCATTTTTGCATCTTTCATCGGAGGAAAATGAAGGCAATACGAAGGTCGCTAAAGGAATATGTGGAGAAGAAACTTGAAGAATTAATGGGGAAGATAGATGAGAAGGAGGAGAAAGACTTTAGACTCAGAAAATAAACACATCAACATGGACAAGAAGTCTTTCATGATTCTCTTAAGTGTTGACTCTAAGTACAAAACTGGGAGGTAAACCCTTTCTTGGTCATAAAGTCATAGTATTTTAAAACTGAAATAGAACTTAGAGTTTCTCTAATGAAAATGCTTATTGATATCCTGAGACAACGGAAGTAATGGGAGAGCAAATAATTTGGCCAGAGTTGTACAGAAAGTAATGCTGGTATGTTGCAATGCACAGGAAAGATAATATGCTGGATAGTAATAAATAATGCATCGTTAGTAACTCTGATTAATGGCTGTAACTAGGATAACTTTCACATTTCTAAGGCTGTTTTTTATTTTATTGTTTTGTTACTGTTTTCATATTTATCATTAGGTTCAAGGTGGACAATTTTCCTTGATAATACACAACACTTAATCTTCATTATTACACACACACAGAGGCAGAAAAAAAAAGGCCCAAAGTATTAGTCCTGGGTAGCTGAGGTTTGCCCCAGTTATTTCCCCCTAGACCTATGTTCCAAGGCCACGTTGGATACGATTTTTTTTTATTATTTTTGGTTGTTTCCACTGAATACTTTTTTAGTATGTGTAGCACTCTAAATAGTGCTTTACGTGTGTTATCCATCTGAATTCTCACAACAGCCCTATGGATAACATTGCTATTATATCTGCTTTGGGGATGAATAAACAGAAGAATCTCTAACTCAAGGTCACACAGGTAAGTAATCTAAGCTATGACAAACTCCTCTCCTCTAGTGGCTGACCTCTGATCATCCAAACCATTTGACTGGTATTGACAGTTATCAGCATATAGTTATGACACATTAATGGAGAGATAATTGTGGCTTTATTGTCTTTATATACCCTTCATTACACAGTTGGTATGTGGCAAAGCCTGAAATAAAGCTGATGCCCAGTTAACTGTAAAATTCATGACCTTTTCACCCTATGTTGTTTCCTTTTATTCCGGAACTTATTTTAGAAGATAAAAACCATCATTTAGCAGCAGGAAATAGTTTCGAGAGTCCTGCTTCAGGGGGGGGTACAGGTATTTGTAAATCTTTCACACATAGATCTCTGAGTGCTTGCTTACAGTTGCCGTTATAATAATGAGATAAATGAGAATGCATTTGATGAGGACCTGAACCCAAATATCTCTCAAGTGCTAAATTTAAAATTCATGTAAAATTCCCAGATAAGAGTGTTTGTCAGGCATCTACCATTTCCCAGTGATTTAACTTTAATCTCCTCAAATATCTTGTTGAGATATATTAACTTCATTCACAGTCTTAATTATTGCCTTTATATTGTTTTTTTCATTATAACTATATGTAAATGGAGTAACATACGTTCTAGATTTTTAAGATATTTTTGTTCCGTGGATTTTTATTTATATACTTTATTTTATATCTAATTTTATTACTTTGTTATACATATATTTTATTTTATATACTGAAGGTATTAACATATTGGCTTGTCGTTCCTTTTCCCCCCTACTGCTACTCCACACTCCTCACTCCTTTCTAGCAAATATTGGATAACAATTTAGGATAGATCTTTCATGGTTTTTGTTAAAGCCTAAATAATTAAAAGTAAATAGACATACATACATATGAAAACATTTATGGATGATTTTTTTTGCAATTAAAACAATTATAAACACTTTTTCATATGTTGATTTTCATACTTAAGTACTTTGTGGAAATTATTTAAGTGATGTAAGTCTAATTCACTGTTTTGGTAGTTATGTACAACACCATAGTGTGGGGGCACCGTAATTATTCCAATATTCCTCTACTGATAGGAAATCTCTTAATGTTCCTTTTTATTACTATGAATAATGCTGCAGTAAATATCTGTGTACATATATCTTTACTTACTAATAATTTTATTTATAAGAAATAATGTTACAGAATTGGGATATCAAAATGAAAGTTATATGTACTTTGAAATGTTATGACTGTGACAGAAATGATGTAATAATTTGCATGTATATCAGTAACAACCAATTGTTCACGTTTGCCACATCCCCACCAGCAACAGGTAATACAGCTCTTTTAAATTTTGCAGTCTGATAAATATGATAATGAATTTACTTATATTCTCTAGTGTGTCAGCATCTTTACATAGGATTCAGTGCCATTAGAATTAGTCCCACAGTGAGTTACCTATTCATACACTCTGCTAATTTTAATCTGAAAAATTTTTGTCAATTTAAAAGAGGTTCTTCCATAACATAAATATTAACTCTAGCATCTCTTTTGCAGATGTATTTTTCCCCAAAGCTATCACTGGACAGTTGAATATTTAAAGCGTTATTTTATCTATCTATACATGTAACCACTCCAGGTCTTTTTACCCATATTACATAAAATAAAAACCCATTTATTTTCACACATTCACTCTATAACCAACTTGTTAAACTTGTTTTTAAATTTTATTTTAAAGTCTCTTGCATTTTTTAGATATTCAGTCATATTTCTATCCAAAACAAATGTTTTCTATTTTCTTTTCTATGAGTACCAATCATTTTACTTTTTTAATTATAGTGTATTTGTAAGAATCTGAAGTCAGTCCTGAATAATAACATAGTTATTATTTTAAAAAGAATGAGAAGTCAATCATTATATAACTGTAAGTCTATAAACAGCAAATGCAGAGAAAGTTAAAACATTAACTCTTAAGCAAACTGTAAATTGTTATATTGGGATTATTTCATAAAACCTAAAATTATATTAGAACACCCATTATGGTTACTTTGAGGTTAAAAAATTCTAGTCCTATGGAGAAGAATTTTAATGTTCAAGTTTCTTTATATAATATCACTGCCTTGAGATGGTTGAATATTAAAACCCTTCATGAACTGGTTATATTTTATAATAAATTAGTTCAGTCCTTATCAGTAATATCATTTCTTTGTCTTCTTCATCTCCGAATATACAAAAGATTTTCCAGGAACCAGAAAAAGAAATACCTTAGAAAATAAGAAAGTACCTAGGAAACTGTCACAAGGAAGAAAAATGTTCTCTCCCTCAATCTTGCTTAGCTCTGTTAATAATCTCGTTATCTCTTTTCGTGACATGCGATTTTATGTAAAAGAACAGAAAGAGAAGCAAAATTGCCAAAATAAAACAAACCATATTATGATTAAATATTGACTATAAAATCAAACAAGTTTTGTGTCCAAAAATTAAGGGGAAATAATTACATGCCTTAAGAAAAAGGAAACTAAAAGTGGATGAAGGATAAGTAAGGGAGTTTAGACAAAAGCAGTAGATGCCAAGGTCCTCGTCAAACATACATGTACATGCATACATATGATACCTTTATTCTTTGTTATGAAATATTGGAGTGTGACTCTTTAGGGATGAAAATACAATATATGACATCCATAATTTCAAGAAGAAAAGGAGGGGATAAATCCTACTGATTCAATAAAAACAAGAAAGAGGAAACAAATCAACAGAGCAAAATGTAACACAATAAGCATAACAAACGTAAACGAAGTAAATATATTAATCAGAAGATCAACTATTAGATTGGATATTTTAAAATCTAATCATAGGCTACTTGTAAGATAGCAACCTAAAATAACATGAGAAGCTAAATGTGAAATGAAAGAATACCTAGCAAAACTTACCCAAAATAAAGCAGGTGTTTATTGATATTAGCCAGAAGAGAATTTAAGCCAAAGAACATTAACAAGAATAATGTGATAATATAATATGAAATCATATGAGCCTAACAATATAGTCTTCTGATTTTAAAAAAGGAAAAAGATTTTCACATTCATGATGGGAAAGTGTAGTCCTCTCATTTAGAATCTGATAAATCGAAAGAAAAAATGTTAATAAGACTATAATTCATAGAACACAATGAACAACTTTAAATGACATGATGCATTAAACCCCACAATCAACTAGTAAATAGATTTTTCTTCTTTCTAGTGAAGAAGGAACATATATAAAAATTAACAACATGTATGGCTTGAAAGACACCAGCTGGTTTTCTCCTAACTACATCCCTTTCCTTTTGGACACATGGTTAAACTACATTTCTCAGTCATCCCTACTGTTCGATGGGCTATGAAGCTGAATTCTGGCCAATGGACTGTGGGTAAAAGTGTATTAAACATTTTCAGGAGCATCTAAATTTAAGGGACAATCCTCCAGCCTCTTTCTTCCCTGATTAGTGGTAGGATGCCAATATACAGCAATATCTTAGAATCCTGAAGATGCCTCTTAGTTGGAGCATGTGTTTTAGATTTCATGAGTGAAAAATATTTATTTGATTAAGCTTCTGATATTTTTAGAACTAGCATTAACTGATCTAATACGTAGGCCAAAAAGGAAATTTTAACAAATTCCAAAGAACTCATAAAGAACAATCATTCAGACCATGAGCAACAAAATTAAAACCACAAAGGATATTCCCTTATTATATATATTGGAAACTGAAAAATTCTATCTCTAAATAATTCCTGAATTAAAAATGAATCTATAAAGCAAATTATAAAACACTTACAGCTAAATAACAATAAAAATATTGCCTATCGAATCTTGTGAAATGTGCTAACTATGCGTTTAACAATATAACATTCTAATCATATATAGCAAAAAGATTTTAAAATACATACATATTTATGTATTTATATATATATATGTATATGTATTGAACAGGGTGTTTAAATTAAGCAGATAGAACGGCTGGGTGCAATGGCTCACGTCTATAATCCCAGCACTTTGGGAGGCCGAGGTGGGTGAATCACTTGTGGTCAGGAGTTCAAGACCAGCCTGACCAACATGGTGAAAACCTGTCTCTACTAAAAATACAAAATTAGTTGGGGGTGGTGGTGCACACCTGTAACCCCAGCTACCTGGGACACTGAGGCAGGAGAATCGCTTGAACCCAGGCAGAGGAGGTTGCAGTGAGCCGAGGTTGCACCATTGCACTCCAGCCTGGGCAACAAGAGCAAAACTCCGACAAAAAAAAAGTAATAATAATTAAGCAGGTAGAAAAAGAACAAACTAAACTCAAAGCATGTAAAAAAGGGAACATTAGACTATATCAAAATGAAATGTTAAGCATAAAAAGGTAACTAACACTGAATGCTAATAAAAAAGTTTTCATCCACACTGAACAAAATTTTTAAAATAAAAGATAATTTTTATAAAACAGAAATTTTTAAGTAGCAAAACTTAAGATAGATTTGTTTTTATATCTTAACAGACTCTTTTAAGCTAAATTGCAAAAATATTTAAAACTTGGGTGAAAGGGCTATTTAAAATAAAAGTAAAAATTACCAATATCAACATTGTAAGATAAAAGAACCCCCCCACCAAAAAAATGTCAATATTCTTTAAATAAATTTTAAAATGAGTCAGGCATAGTGGCTTACACCTGCAGTCCTAGCACTTTGGGAGACTGAGATGGGAGGATTGCTTGAGCTCAGGAATTCAAGACAAGCCCAGGCAACATAGTGAGAACCCATATCTACAAAAATAATAATAAAAATAAAAATTTGGCCGGGCGCGGTGGCTCACGCCTGTAATCCCAGCACTTTGGGAGGCCGAGGCGGGCGGATCACGAGGTCAGGAGATCGAGACCATCCCGGCTAAAACGGTGAAACCCCGTCTCTACTAAAAATACAAAAAATTAGCCGGGCGTAGTGGCGGGCGCCTGTAGTCCCAGCTACTTGGGAGGCTGAGGCAGGAGAATGGCGTGAACCCGGGAGGCGGAGCTTGCAGTGAGCCGAGATCCCGCCACTGCACTCCAGCCTGGGCGACAGAGTGAGACTCCGTCTCAAAAAAAAAAAAATTTAAAAATTGTATTAACACAATTGAAAACAAATGCCATGCTTAGAGAAAAGCCCAGAGTAAAATAAAATATGTTGACTGATTTTACCTTGATGGTGGAACTATGGTTTTCTTCCAGTTTAACTCTTTTTATTTGGTTGTGTCCTTCAGTAGGAAATACAGGAGGACAAATAAGTTTCACAGAAAAGGTTCAAGTTCAGTTTTGAAATATTAAGTATGAATCCTGCTGGGATATTTAAAAAGATATGCCTTCAGCGTTTGGACTTACATACATGAACATAGCTAGTGAAACTCATTTCAAAGGCACTAGAACACAATAAATAGCAAAGCTGAAAATATGACTGAGGCCACCTAGCTAGAGGCTGGTGAAGAAGAGATACAGACCAAGGACAGAATACTAAAGATCATTACATCATGGTAAAATCAAAATAAAACTCTAAGTGAACTGTAAGGCAAAGCGAGCAAGATAATAACCATTAAGATACTTATAATATTAAGATAACCCAAAATCCAAGCTGTTCTATGCAAACTTATTCCTTTCAATGACTTTGAGATGATGCTGACTTTGAGTGAGAATAATGAAGAATTCCAATCAGCTTTGGACTATGTGGTTTTTTAAAATTTTTCATTTCCATAAGTTTGGGGGAAACAGTTGGTATTTGGTTACATTAGTAAGTTCTTCAGTGGTGATTTGTCAGGTTTTGGTGTACCCATCACCCAAGCAGAATAAACTAAACCCAATTTGTAGTCTTTTATCCCTCACCCCCCTCCCACTCTTTACCTCAAGTCCCCAAAGTCCATTGTATCATTAGTATGCCTTTGCATCTTCATAGTTTAGCTCCCACTTATAAGTGGGAACATACAATGTTTGGTTTTTCCATTCCTGAGTTACTTCACTTAGAATAATAATCTCAAGTTCCATCCAAGTTGTTATGAATGCCATTAATTTATTCCTTTTAATGGCTGAGCAGTGTTCCTTCATATATATATCACATTTTCTTTATCCACTCTGATGGAGATTTGTGCTGGTTTCATATTTTTGCAATTGTGAATTGTGCTGCTATAAATATGCATGTACAAAGTATCTTTTTCATATAATGACTTCTTTTCCTCTGGGTAGACACCCAGTAGTGGGATTCCTGGATCAAATTGTAGTTCTACTTTTAGTTATTTAAGGAATCTTCGCACTGTTTTCCATAGTGGTTGTATTAGTTTACATTCGCACCAGCAGTGTAGAAGTGTTCCCTTTACACCACATCCATGCCAGCAGGATATGATGCTATACTTAGAAAACCCAAAAGACTCCTCCAAAAAGCTTTAGAACTGATAAATGAATTCAGCCAAGTTTCAGTATGGAAAATTAATGTACACAAGTCAGTATCTCTGCTATACACCAACAGCGACCAACCTGAGAATCAAATCAAGAACTCAACCCCTTTTACAATAGCTGCCAAAATTTAAAAATAAAATACTTTTGGAATATACCAAACCAGGGAGGTGAAAGACCTCTACCAGGAAAACTACAAAACACTGCTGAAGGAAATCATAGACAACAAAAACACATGGAAATATATCCCATGCTCATGGATGGGTAGAATATTGTGAAAATGACCATATTGCCAAAAGCAATCACAAATTCAAGGCAATTCTCATCCAAATACCACCATCATTCTTTAAAGAACTAGACAAAGCAATCCTACAATTAATATGGAACCCCCAAAGAAGAGCCTGCATAGTCAAAGCAAGACTAAGCAAAAACAACAAATCTGGAGGCATCACATTACCTGACTTCAAACTATACTATAAGGGCACAGTCACCAAAACAGCATGGGACTGATATAAAAGTAGGCACATAGACCAATGGGACAGAAGAGAGAACCCAGAACTGATCTTTGACAAAGCAAACAAAAACAAAGTGGAGAAAGTACACCCTATTCAACAAATGGTGCTGGGATAATTGGCAGGCCACAGGTAGGAGAAAGAAACTGGATCCTCTTCTCTCTGCTTATACAAAAGTCAATTCAAAATGGATCAAGAACTTAAATCTAAGACCTGAAACTATAAAAATTCCAGAGGTTAACATCAGAAAAACCCTTCCAGACATTGGCTTAGGCAATGACTTCATGACCAAGAATCCAAAATCAAATACAACAAAAGCAAAGATAAATAGGTGGGACTTAATTAAACTAAAGAGCTTCTGCAGAGCTAAAGTAACAGTCAGCAGAATAAACCAACGATCCACAGAGTGGGAGAAATTATTCACAATCTATACGTCCAACAAAGGACTAATATCCACAATCTAGAAGGAACTCAAACAAATTAGAAAGAAAAAAACCAAATAATCCCACCAAAAAGTGGGCTAGGGACATGGATAGACAATTATTACAAGAAGACATACAAATGGTCAACAAACATGAAAAAATGTCCAACATCACTAATGATCAGTGAAATGCAAATCAAAACTACAATGCAATACCAACTTACTCCTGCAAGAATGGCCATAATCAAAAACTCAAAAAATAATGGACTCTTTTTTTCAAATGGGTGCTCTTCTATCTACACAATCTACTGCAATTGCTTCATCATATAAATCCAGAATCTGGACTTTATTATTTCAAAAATCACCAGAATTAGAAGAAGCCTTTTATGTTTATGTGCTTATCATACAATAAAGTCAAGATGATCTAATTAAACTATGTGTTCATTCACTAGGAAAGGTCTTGTGGTACTTCTGTTTTTTAAATGTAAACATGATACAAAATTAATTGCTTACAATTCTAATTTAAGCTTGAGCTAACAGTTAACATAACAAAGCATGGCTATGTAAAAACATCCTTCCAACAAGCAAATGCTCAAGCAAAACCTCATTTATATCAATAAATAATACAAATCATTTTATTCTGAAACAGCTATATTTAACACATACTCCAATGTCCTGATGTCAGTCCTTCATGAAGCTTAGTTCCAAGGTTTCTTGAAGAGCTACAAATCATTAGGGAAAGATATTTATCTGATAACATTCAACCCTAGCACTGATGGTATAGTCTCTGAGATCCTATTTTTCTTGGGGCTACTTTATTAACAATCAGTATTTTCCATGTATATATGTGTATATGTGTGTGTGTGTGTGTGTGTGTGTGTGTGTGTGTGTGTGTGTGTCTGTAGGAGGCAGCAGACAGAGATGAGGTTTCACTTAGCTTTTATTGGGTGATAACATAATAATTTATTTTATCTAAAGATAACATTAAAACATGATAGCAATTAAGGTACTTATGTTATTAGATAAAATATCAACACATAAAGTATCAGATAAAATATAAAAATAAAAGTGAATAGTATCAAACAACAGGTGAATTAATACTGGAAGCTTCTTAATTTCCATTTACTAATATTCTTTCTAAACTTGCTCCCTTACATTTTGACTCAAAAGAAGGTTTCACCTTCTTCCATCTTAGATTAATGCTTCCTGTTTTGTTTGTTTGTTTGTTTTTAGACGGAGTCTCGCTCTGTCGCCCAGGCTGGAGTGCAGTGGCGAGGTCTCAGCTCACTGCAACCTCCACCCCCGGGGTTCAAGCGATTCTCCTGCTTCATCCTCCTGAATAGCTGGGAATACAAGCGCCTGCCACCACGCCCAGCTAATTTTTTGTGTTTTTAGTAGAGACCGGGTTTTACCATGTTGGCCAGGCTGGTCTCAAACTCCTAACCTCGTGATCCGCCTCTTCCTCCCAAAGTGCTGGGATTACAAGCGTGAGCCACCGCGCCCTGCCTCCTTACATGTTTTTTACATCCTGAACTGCAGTCACTTCTAGAGCATTCCTTCATCATTTATCTCCAATCATTACCCCCTTTGCTCGATCCTAGGTCCTTATTATTATTATCTGTTACTAGGAATTCAAGCCTCTTTATCCTGTACCCAGCCCTGTATGACTAACTTCGTACAGGAGCACTGTATTTCTCTTGACTGTTTCTATATTTCTGTTCTCCCCTTAAATCACCCCAATCTGCACTCTTCTCCTAACCATCATATGGAGATTTCTCTCTCCAAGGCTGACAGTGATCTCTTTGTTGTTATATTCAGAGTTCTCTTCATTCCTCAAGCTACTTGTCAGCTATAAGATTTGCCAGAGTGCTAATGGTTCCTTCTTAAAATACCCCTTGTGGTACACTAGGCACATGTTCTTACTTTTGTTCTTGTTTTTTAGATTTTTCTATGTTTAAACCATGTTTTAGTTGATTTTTTGAGCTCTTCCTCTTCTTCTGCATACTTATTAGATACTGCAATAAGAGAACTCATTTCAAACCTTTTCCTGCGTTTTACCTGGAGCAATCACACCCACTGGTGTGATTTCCAAGATCACATAATAATAATATCTCCAAATTCTTAGGCTTCTGTTTGCACCCCCTTCTCAAGTCCTCAGTCCTTATTTCTGAATACCTACTGGACATATCCATCCAGAAAGACAATGCTAATTTAAAAATTGGCATGCCTAACACTGAACTTACCTTAAACCATTTGATTCTATATAATTTATCTTAATTGAGGATTCTTGAAGGATTTTTAGTTATCTTCCCAAGAATCTCTCAAAATTATTTTAAGCCACTTTTGTACAGATAAGAAAACTGAGGCTTGTCACATTTAAGTAACTCCTTCCAAGCCCCATAATTCACAAGTTGTAGAGGCAGGATTCAAACCCCAAATCTTAACCTTTTCACTAGCTAGCAGAGGTCTCATGGATAATATAAATAATCCAGAAGGTAGAAATCTCAGTATTTTCTAGAGTCCTCTCTCTCCTTCATCTGTCCTAGCCAGTCACTCTTCAATTAGCATTGATTTTTCACTCCTAAAAATCTCTTGAATCTCCCCAGCTACTGTTAAATTTGAGGTCCTTCATTCTTCTCTCATGGCTACTACAATGGTCTCCTACTCAGTTTCCCTGAGCCCAGCCTATCTAGGAGCCAAATTCTTCGTTCCTTTTGCACTCAGAAATATCAATCTTAAATCACAAATCAATGTCAAATCCTTGATTAAAATACTCCATTGCCTCTTCTACTTCAAAAAGAGAAGTGTAAACTCTTTCATACAACATTTCACATGTTTTATATTTTACCAACTTGCTTTACATATAATTTCACCTTTGGTCAATTGCCTTCCCAAACCTTAATCTCTACTTAGAGTTTGCCAAACATATTAGGCATTTTTTTTTTTATCTTACAGACAATACTTGCTATATTCTTCCTTGTCTTGATTGCCTGGTAATCTTTGTCAGCCTTCAACATTATTGTCTTTCAAAACTCACATTTAAAGTAATCTCTTTTCATAAGGTCTTTTCTGAGATGGCTAGAATTGATCACCCACAACCTTTGGAATCCACTACAATTCATATGCTTTTGTAGAGGCTTTTTAATAAATGACTGTGATTGGTTTTCAAGTCTCTTTCCTAGACATGAAATTCTCAGGGATAGGGACTATGCTATGCTTATCTTTATAGTCATAGCATCTAGCAATGTATCAGGGAACATTTCATCGCTTAAATGTCACCTACTCAAGGAAGATTTTTCCTGAATCTTCATATTATGCTAGCACTTCCAATTACACTGTGTCATTGCTTACTTTTCTCGCTCCGTAGGAATTAAGGAATATTATATAACTATAAATTAATGTCTTACTTCAAGAGGTCAGAAATCACATCTGCTGTTTGTTCATAGATGTACCTATCCCCAGAGCTCGTTAAAATACCTGGCACAGAAAAGATGAACATTGGATGAATAAAATTATGAAAATACAAATAAAATATTGATGAATTCTATCACTTGAAATTGAGTATAACCCAAATATTCTTAATAGCATCGTATATATCTTGTCTGCCACATTGTCCACTGTAGCAGTCCCACAGTAGACAATGTGGTGGTATTTCATTTTATGTCCTTTATTTAAAGGATGTTAAAAATCCTTTGCAGCTTGATGGCCAACATTGCCATGAAATAAAGGCTATATGTACCAAATTCGCAAATCAAGCACACAGATTTCTAGTGTTTAACCTAGTTCAGGGGCGCGCAAATGAAGTTTTCAGCACCTCCACTTACTTCTCAAGGTAGCTTGGTTGACTCTTCCCCTTCAGCCTGCCTTCCTGCCAAATGGACCAGAAACTCAAAGAAGCTGAGAACTTCCTAGGAGTTCTAAGAACTTTTGGCATTGATCTACACCTGGAGATTAACTCGGAGATAAAGAATCTGCAGCATATTCCCCAAAGTTACCCTTATTATAGGGATAGGGTGGGAGTTGGGTAAGGGACAGTAGAGACGTTGGTATTTATGTAACAAATTATCTCAAAATCAATAAACACAGAAGATTCTGGAACAGGACACCAAGCCATTGTTTTTCCTAACTTCAGGATGCATGTTTTTATTGTTCAACTGTCCTAAAAATAGTTGAATATCAAGACTGAGTGAAAGGACAATAGAGAGAATGAAAATCAGAGAGAATGGAGGCAACTATCTGAAGAATGGACGAAGGACACTTTGCACTCCACTTCATCTCAAGTGGTCTGCCAAACTTTAGGTCCTCAGGTTTGCATTCCCAGATACAGCACTGCTAAATTGTCTGTGTAGTTTCACACTTGGGTGTGCATCTTCCTCTTAAAGAGGAAACACAAACTCTCGCCAATCAAAGGTCAACATGGGCAGGTAGGCATGTTTGTCTAGCATTTGCTTAGGATGGTTATAAGGCTTTCTATGAGGGATTACTCTTGAAACATTTAAAGCCTTTACCTAATGAGGCTTCATGAATCTGCTGATGAGGTGACCCTTCATAATTTCTGCTGAAAGTACTAATAAGCACAGGCTCTTCAAGATTCAGAATTCTTCATTCTTCTTTCATCTTCACTCTCTCCATTGTACTAATAATGTCAGAAAATGTTCAACAAGATTTTCTAGTGAATAAAGAACTTCCTGGCTTTATGTTTGGTGCTTTGGAAATCTATATAAAGAGTACTTTCAAGCCAACAAGACATCATTTATTAAGTTGTTGTTCTACAACAGATAACCTCAGTCTGGGCTATGAAAACAGCCCAAAGAGAGTTCAAAGAAAAGGGTGAAAAGTATTAAATACAGAGTTTGTGATGCAGTGCTTATTAAGGCATACCAAACCCTGGCTAAAAACCAACAATGTTTCCTTGAAGAAAATGCAAGGAAAAATTACAGTCATTATCTCTGGGTGGTATGGGTTACAAGTGATTATTGTTTTCCTCTTTTTGCTTGTTAGTATTCTGATTTCTCTGCAGTGAGCTTGTATTTCACTTATGTAGAGAGAAAGGCTATTTTAATTCAACATGAAGGCAATAAGACTTCCATGGCAAACACAATGTAATACAATTTGTTCCAAACTGTCCAAAGGATTAATCTAATCCAGTTCTTAGCTATGGACTAGATTTGATATAACAAAGTGCCCCAAGTTAATGTTCCATTAGATTTCTACCCTGGGAAATGAAATTTGTTTTAACATTCTTTTTTCTGTCCTATAATTCTAGGAAATCACTTTTGTTTTAAAGGTTATTATGGTAAAATCCTTTATATGTCTCCATGTAAGGCATTTAATACCATATTGTAGGCTGAAAGAAGACTGAAATACAGTAATACTTTTAAAAAATAATTAAATTTGTTATTATTGGCCAGACTGAGTGGCTCAGGCCTATAATCCCAGAACTCTGGGCAGGCTGAGGTAGGAAGATTACTTAAGCCCAGCAGTTTGAGACAAATTTGGGCAGCACAGCAAGACTCCATCTCTATATATTAAAAAATGAATAAAAAATTTAAATTATAAAAATAATTGTGTTATTATTAAAGCAACATAATAATGTATTTGTCTGTCATTGATCATAAGACACTAAATGCTAAAAAGTCACGTTCTTGATCCTGAGCCCTATGACAGTTCAGGAATTACAAGCTACTGACCTGCCAACAGAGCAAGGAGCTGCTTCTCTTTTGGTCCATTTGCTACCCACTCTCACTCTGCTGGCACTAGTTCCTCATTCTGGTCACTATATCCCATCTGTAACCTTGTTACCTCAAATATATTTCCATGTATTTTCCTCTTCTGTTTCCATAGAAATTTAACTTAAACCACATATATAATTTTAAACGTTCTAGTAGCTGTATTAAGAAAATAAAAAGAAACAGGTAAAACTAATTTTAATATATTTTAACCCAAATATCCAAACCATTTCAACATCCAATCTATGTAAAATGACTTAGGAGTTATTTTGTTTATTTATTTTAGCACTAAGTCTTCAAAATCTGCTTTGGGCTTTATACTTTCAGCACATCTCAATTTGAAATTTTTTGGCTGCAAATACTCAATCTGTATTTAGATAACATAAAATGTATTCCTGAAAAAGTAAATCCAAAGTTGTTCCAAATATACTTAAAAGTTTTTCAAACACTGAATCCAGTGATGGTTTTTAAATTTACCTTAATTAACGTTAAATAAAATTTAAAATTTAGTTTGTCACATTAACTATAGTCCAAGTGATCTACACCCACATGTGGCTAGTGGCTACTGTATTGGACAGCAGAGGTTTAGAATTCACAGGCTAGTTTCTGCTTCAGACCTGCATATGCAGGATACTTATTTTTAACAGGAATTAACCTTCAGATCTGGCCCCCACATACAAGCCCAGCAGTGGCTCTTACAGACTTACAGACGACTTCTACGAAGGACATATATGTGAGAATAACCACATCCAACACATATGCATGTGAAAAACGTTTCAGAATACATTCCCTTCTGACAGTGATTCCTGGTATATAATGGCTCCATTTCTAGGGGAACAACAATTGTACTTTGAATTTATATGGAATAATTCCTGGAAGAACACAGTATTTTAAAAATATAAATGAAGAATCTTAGAAAATGTAAATGAAAACATAAATGACCTACTTGGAGATATGTATGCATTCTATCAGGTATTAAAGATTCATTTATTATGAACCCAAAGATAGTCTATTGTAGTACTCCAAAGCAATAAATCCTGAGAGTCACTTATTGTATTTTTCTTGCTTGTGACTGCACTGGGGGCTTTTTCTGTCTTTAACTCATTCCCCCTTTGAAAAACACATCTAAGAAAAGAAAACAGAAGGAGAGAAAAGGAGATGTTCCATGTAGTCTTTGTTGGAACAGACAGAGTACTGTTTTGTTTTGAATTTGCAGGGATAGATGGAAGGGACTTGGGCAAAGATTCTTGCATAAATGATTTGTATTGATTTCTGCATTTAAAATTCATCAGTGAGAAGATAAATTTCCACAAACGTTTAAACCATATAGGGGGAAGAGTTTCCTTTATAATCACAATGCCTCTAATAATATAATAGAAGAATAATGCAGCAATTACTGGTGGAACATATGCTTTATATAAGAACATGAACATACATGTTTCACCTAACAAATGGCTATTCTGCATTTCAGATTTTGCACTGTTATCTATCCACACATTTATGATTTTATATCATTTTTCTTATCGTTTTTAAAATGCATAATATATTTTGAATTATATGGTTTCTTTACAATGATTTATACATAAACTAAAACAAACATGCTTATGGCCACAATGTGAGTAATTTTAATGTGTTTCTGAGGAGGTCAAGATTATTTCTTCAGAATATTGTTTCCATCATCAGTCACTTTATTCATGTACCACAAAAAAACAGCACTGTTTGATAGAAACATAACAAATCACAAATGGAAGCCACATGAGTATAAATATTTTCCTCTCTCTGTTAAAAAGTTAAAAAGAAACCAGTGAAATTGACACATCTCATTAAAACTTATATATCCAAGTACAATATTTTACCTTTTTTTAAAGAAGATAAAGCATAAAAATAATACAGAAATATGGCCTGTATTTTACACTTATAGCCTAAATCAATTCAGATTAACCACATTTCAAGTACTTAGTAGCCACACATGACTAGTGGCTGCCATATTGGACAGAAGCAGAAACAATATTTATAGTGAAACTCGTCCAGTTTTCTGAATATGTTACTTTGTCAAGCAAACTGAACACAAGGCCAGGTCAAAATTAATTTTCAACAATCTCTTCATGGTAAAATTGTACATTTACGAAAACAAAATTTAAAGAAATCTTAATTCTTTCTTTAAAAAAAAAAAGTGTTCCCTGGTCTACAGAACATAACACTTTTCCATTCTTTTCTACTTCTGTTATCAGCAAATTTTCAGGTCCGGCTCACTAGATCCATATAGAACAGACAGTTAAATATCCTTGATCACAGTTTACATCAGTCCGTGCAATTAGTTCACATAATTACCTGTCAGTGGACTATGTCATTAGTTTCTTTTTTTTTCCAAAACATTTTTTAAAATCTAACATCTTCAAAGCTCCCTTAGAAAACTGAATGAAATATTAGAATGACATACTCTGAGTGAAAAATGTTAATTTCTATCTCACGCTTTCTTCTATTCAAATGCATGATTTTTTCCAGTGTTGAAAAATCTTCAGCATTAATGTCTGTGACTTAAAGAATAACCATATTTTACAGCACAGTTCAGTAAGACATAAGATATGCAGCAGACATATTTACAAAAAGAATATATCCACAAGCTATTACACTGTCATACACTAGAGCACTTGTCTGCCTATGTGATATTTTTTCTCCATGTTCAATGGTGCATATCAAGTTAACAACCACAATTTATTATCTAATGTACTGTGTGATTAATGAGATAGCTCATATTTTAATCAGCAATAGATTTCTTCTCAATGAGATCTACTTGCCTTAAGCACAATATAGTCATAGAATCTAAACTTTTTACAATACCTTTTTGCCTACTTTCCTATTTGTTTTTAACAAAAGAGATTTCATGTGAATGCTGTTAACAGATTTAATAAATCATTTCATGATATCCCTGTATTTTAAGAGACCTATTGGTTTAGCTCTACTAGGGTGCTTTGTATTTGGAATTAGCAACAACAATGGTAAAAATAATAACTACAGTTTATTGATTATCTTCCACTAAGTCGAAAGGTATCTCTCTTTTCTTCTTACCACTAGAGAATTTTTTCCTACTTGATTTTACCTATCGCAATTATAACTTATATTGCATTCACTAATGTATTATCAGTGTACCTCTTGCTTGATTAGAAGCTACTTAATAAAAAGAATGACATTATACCTATTTTTAATATTTTATAAAAACTAGCAGAGTAACTTACATAGTAGATGCTTCATAAAATATGTGGGCTTTGTATATGAATCACTGTAAGTAATCCAAACCAAAACACAGAGTTATAATAGCTATGTCAGCTATTGTATGTTATACTACAATAGGAATATGCAGTGGTTACTCTGTTCTAGATATTTTACACATTAGCTGAAGTGTTTCACTTAATTCTCCTGTATAGAGTATTAAACGCCATTAGCTAAGCACTGTGAATAGCCCTGCTGCGTAAATGAAGAAACTGAGTTTCCAACAGAAAAAGATACTTGTTTCAGAGAAAAGAGTGATAAGTCAGAGTTCAGAAATGAGTCTATCTGATAGCAAAACTGGAGTTTTGAGCTACTGTACAGCACTGTATCCTGAGGCCTCCAGTTCTGGAAACCTTAGAAGAGAATGCCTTTGACAATGGAGCTCCTAATTTGGGGGATGCTTCCACTAAATGATATGCATTAGACATGCTAAGCAAATAAAACAATAACATATATCATTCATAAGTGTAAGAACAATAATGGCAAATGTCTGTTTGTCTGTTACTGGTATATAAGAATGCTTGTGATTTTGGCACATTGATTTTGTATCCTGAGACTTTGCTGAAGTTGCTTATCAGCTTAAGGAGATTTTGGGCTGAGACAATGGGGTTTTCTAGATATACAATAATATCATCTGCAAACAGGGACAATTCAGATTCACCAAAGTTGAAATGAAGGAAAAAATGTTAAGGGCAGCCAGAGAGAAAAGTCGGGTTACCCACAAAGGGAAGCCCATCAGACTAACAGCTGATCTCTCGGCAGAAACCCTACAAGCCAGGAGAGAGTGGGGGCCAATATTCAACATTCTTAAAGAAAAGAATTTTCAACCCAGAATTTCATATCCAGCCAAGCTAAGCTTCATAAGTGAAGGAGAAATAAAATCCTTTACAGACAAGCAAATCCTGAGAGATTTTGTCACCACCAGGCCTACCCTAAAAGAGCTCCTGAAGGAAGCACTAAACATGGAAAGGAACAACCAGTACCAGGCACTGCAAAAACATGCCAAACTGTAAAGACCATCAATGCTAGGAAGAAACTTCATCAACTAATGAGCAAAATAACCAGTTAACATCATAATGACAGGATCAAATTCACACATAACAATATTAACCTTAAATGGGCTAAATGCTCCAATTAAAAGACACAGACTGGCAAATTGGATAAAGAGTCAAGACCCTTCAGTGTGCTGTATTCAGAAAACACATCTCATGTGCAGAGATACACACAGGCTCAAAATAAAGGGATGGAGGAAGATCTACCAAGCAAATGGAAAACAAAAAAAGGCAGGGGTTGCAATCCTAGTCTCTGATAAAACAGACCTTAAACCAACAAAGATCAAAATACACAAAGATGGCCATTACATAATGGTAAAGGGATCAATTCAACAAGAAGAGCAAACTATCCTAAATATATGTGCACCCAATACAGGAGCACCCAGATTCATAAAGCAAGTCCTTAGAGACCTACAAAGAGACTTAGACTCCCACACAATAACAATGGGAGATTTTAACACCTCATTATCAACATTAGACAGATCAATGAGACAGAAAGTTAACAAGGATATACAGGAATTGAACTCAGCTCTGCACCAAGCAGACCTAACAGACATCTACAGAACTGTCCACCCCAAATAAACAGAATATGCATTCTTCTCAGCATGTCGTACTTATTCCAAAATTGACCACATTGTTGGAAGTAAAGCACTCCTCAGCAAATGTAAAAGAACAGAAATTATGACAAACTGTCTCTCAGACCACAGTGCAATCAAACTAGAACTTAGGATTAAGAAACTCACTCAAAACCACTCAACTATGTGGAAACTGAACAACCTGCTCCTGAATGACTACTGGGTACATAACGAAATGAAGGCAGAAATAAAGTTGTTCTTTGAAACAGCGAGAACAAAGACACAACATACCAGAATCTCTGGGACACATTTAAATCAATGTGTAGAGGGAAATTTATAGTACTAAATGCCCACAAAAGAAAGCAGGAAATATCTAAAATTGACACCCTAACATCACAATTAAAAGAGCTAGAGAAGCAAGAGCAAACACATTCAAAAGCTAGCAGAAGGCAAGCAATAACTAAGATCAGAGCAGAACTGAAGGAGACAGAGACATAAAAAACCCTTCAAAAAAAATCAAGGAATCCAGGAAGCTCCTGGATAGACTGCTAGCAAGACTAATAAAGAAGAAAAGAGAAGAATCAAATAGATGCAATAAAAAATGATAAAGGGGATATCACCACTGATCCCACAGAAATACAAACTACCATCAGAGAATACTATAAACACCTCTATGCAAATAAACTAGAAAATCTAGAAGAAATGGATAAATTCCTCGACACATACACCCTCCCAAGACTAAACCAGGAAGAAGTCGAATCTCTGAATAGACCAATAACAGGCTCTGAAATTGAGGCAATAATTAATAGCTTACCAACCCAAAAAAGCCCAGGACCAGATGGATTCACAGCCGAATTCTACCAGAGGTACAAGGAGGAGCTGGTACCATTCCTTCTGAAACTATTCCAATCAATAGAAAAAGAGGGAATCCTCCCTAACTCATTTTATGAGGCCAGCATCATCCTGATACCAAAGCCTGGTAGAGACACAACAAAAAAAGAGAATTTTAGACCAATATCACTGATGAACATTGATGCAAAAATCCTCAGTAAAATACTGGCAAACCAAATCCAGCAGCACATCAAAAAGCTTATCCACCACGATCAAGTGGGCTTCATCCCTGGGATGCAAGGCTGGTTCAACATACACAAATCAATAAATGTAATCCAGCATATAAACAGAACCAAAGACAAAAACCACATGATTATCTCAATAGATGCAGAAAAGGCCTTTGACAAAATTCAACAGCGCTTCATGCTAAAAACTCTCAACAAATTAGGTACTGATGGGACGTATCTCAAAATAATAAGAGCTATTTATGACAAACCCACAGCCAATATCATACTCAATGGGCAAAAACTGGAAGCATTCCCTTTGAAAAGTGGCACAAGACAGGGATTCCCTCTCTCCCTACTCCTATTCAACATAGTGTTGTAAGTTCTGGCCAGGGCAATCAGGCAGGAGAAAGAAATAAAAGGTATTCAATTAGGAAAGAAGAAGTCAGATTGAAATAACTTCTGATCTTTCGGAATGTGGTCAAGTTTGTTAGTTTCTAACTGTAGTTGAATTTTGAGTGGCCACTATTGATTTTTTAAACTTGACTAGACAATTCCTGTCTCACTGACCAGAGGCTATTAAGAGTTTATTTGATTAGAGTTACTTGCATTCACTTTTGCTCTGGGTTGAAAGATCACTTACTATCAACCTGGCACAACATCTGTTGAAACATATTCCTGAGGAAAATAACAAACTAAATTAAACAATAATAAAAACACCCATATAGAAAGTAATTCTCCTATACTTTCCTTTTCACATATTTCTCAAACTTGTTTCCTTGGGAAATTGCAAAATGTGCTTCTTTTTCTACAGTCATGTGTGTTTGTGTATGTAATTTGAATTGTTGAACACCAGGTGAGTAATATTATAAAACTATCAGAACATAGGTTAAAAGTTAAAGATCACAGCAAAAGCATTCCCTACATATTATATAGTAATGCCTGGTCTTCATATTATAAGCTCCGCTGGTTTGTTCCAGAGATCCTAAAAGCATGATTCTTTTAAATGCCTCCATCTGGACTAAAAGGAAAACTACAACATCCATTTTCTGCTCTGCCTCTTGCAAGTTCCCAATTGAACAATGCTCTTGAAATCTGTATTCAGAGAGGTTTTTTGTTCCCAAGTACTTTGGTTTCCTTTCCATAATGTAGAGATAGAACTGAATATGGAAACATATTGGCAGCTCTTTGGTATTATCTTCTTAACAACTGACTGTAAGCAAATAAGTACTTTCAAGTGAGTTTATAAAGTGGTTTGCTTGCCAAAGTTCACATTTGTGTCAAATTGGGCTATTATATCAATTATTACCCATACTCTTGAATTGGTCGTCAAAAAATGAAGGAACAAGGGAAGGAAAAAAGGAGAGAAGGAATTAAGGAAGGAGGGAGAAAGGGAGGGAGGGAGAAAGGGAAAGAGGGAGGGAGGGGAGGGAGGGGAGGGAGGCAGGAAGAAAAGGAAGGAAGGAAGGAAGAAAAGGAAGGAAGGAAGGAAAGGCAGACAGGCAATTTGCATTTCTGATTAGAAAACTCCTATCTCTCCTTAAATAATGGCATCTTTAGAATGAAAGTGAAATGAGAAATGAAGGATGGAAGAACCAGTGTTTCCTTAGAACAATTATTTTACCAGAAATGTCATCCTTTCATTCTCAGAAGTCTTTCAGCCAGGTCCATGAATTAGTCCAGTTGCATGTCCCCCTTATTTCCTATTTAATGCTAAGTGATCTGAGTTTGACTACATTGCTCAGCACAAGGAAGCAAGTTCAAGAAGTATGTGAAAAGGAAAATACAGGAGAAATACTTTCTATTTTTGCGTGTGTGTATGTATTTTTACTGATTTAATTTAGTTTGCTGTTTTCCTCGGGAACATGTTTCAACAAATGTTCTGGCAAGTTGATAGTAAGTGATCTTTCAACCCAGAACAAAAATGAATGCAAGTAACTCTAATCAAATAATCTAATTATTTCCTGTACATTCATTTTCCTTTCTCACCGTTAATCCTTTCATAAGACATCATCAGCAACTCCTTTGCATGTAGAAGCATAATGAATTCTATAGAGAAACATGTTCCATATGTATTTATTTCAGCCCTCTTCTGGGGAGAATTTCTTCTCTGCCACTCCTCTTTTATTACACTGCCACTTGGAAGTGCACCACTACAATGCTCTTGGCTAGATATCTTATATGTATTGTCTTGAATATCCACCAAAAATCTGTACCATCGAGTTTATTACTCCAATTCTACATGTGAGAACTAAGTCTCATCCAATTTAAATAGCTAAATATCATGAAGCTCATAAATGAGCATTATACCCTAGTCAGATATGCCACTAAAATTTAGTATAAGTACATCTTTTACCCCCCTTTGTAATCAGGAGAGAAAATAAATGGAATGTACTAGTCTCTAGATGCTCTTCATTGTTTCAGACTGAGCCCCCTGCACAGGAGGGTTGGAATTTAACACAATTTGAGACACACTCCGCAATCACTGCAGTTGCTGAATTCAAAAGGTATCTCAGAAACACAAAACCCACCCTAAGTTACAGTTTATACTACTCTATTTCCCATGCCAACCGATACAACAAACCACCCATGATGTGTCCCATTTCCTAAAGGTGAGTTTAATTTGAATAGAGTAAAAACGAATCCTGAAGGGGAAAAATAATAACCACCACAAAAAACCATGCCACTTAATCTGAATTCAGAGGTGCAGGCTAGTTCAAACAACTAATAAAGAAAATGGGAAGAATACAATTTGCAGCAATTTTGCAAAGGGGGAAAAACCTTACTTTACAAATAGCTTTGGCTTCATATCTAGCCGAGCAAGTAGCAAGGCCGAGGCAGATAATAATGTGATTACTCTGGTAATGATATGCATTAGATACATTATGGGAAACAATAATGCTCCCTACTGAATGCAGTCAATCCAGTTATTGATTTTTCTTAATGTTAAAAGCGCTACTCTAAAACTGAAAAGAGATATCCTTTATTTATTCTCTTTCCCTTTCATTCTCCAAGTCCATAGATCCTTTGATGCAGAGTAGTCTACCAAGATAATGGAGTAATGTATATCTAATCTGACACCTACTGGGCCAGGCTAATGTTTCAGATAAAAACGTCTAGGTTACTGCTGCTCATGGAAAAAAGCAACGTATGATAAGAAAAAATATCTGAACTTTCATTTTTGTTTGGCTTTGTTTTCTAAGGAATCCTTGCAGACCAAGCGTATTTTCCTTTTATATCAGAATAACATATTGATTAGTCCACAGATGAAGTTCAGATGTACATTAAAATGGTCTTCTTCTGAGAATATATGTTTCCTTTATTTAAGCTTTTAATACATTATTATTAGAAACAAAACAGATGCATTACACATGCACCTGGATATAGTTCATTTCTTCTATCTTCTACACCTACTGTTCAAATCACATTTTTCTACATACACCCACCTCTGCCCACACACACACACACCTATCCTATCTTGCCCTGTTCTATACTTTATGCTTCCTCTTAATTACAGCTCGGCAGTAGCTGGAACCATGTATTTCTAATGAGCATCAGAAAAAAAAGATTTCAATAAATAAGAGGCAATTTGGCAAATCCTGACTTTTTTTTTCACTTCACACAATAGAGAAGTTTTTCAGAAATCTTTACTAAATATTATTTCATGCTGTCTTTGTCAAGCAAATAAGCAACATACATAGACTGATGTCAAAAATCTTTCATATGACTCATCAGTTCCATCAGAAAAAAATCAAACAATGTATTTGTACCAACCTTTTGGCTGATGTCTCATACCCATTTCCCTCATTCACCTTATGTCCCCACTAAATTTCTTTTTCTTTTTTTTTTATTAACTCTATAGGAGAATAAAAAGCATTTCTTCTTGTCATATTTACTTGGCCAATTTCATTTAAACTGCCCCCAGTGGATTTGAAACAGCATGTGCAAGGTAACAGACCTATAAACAGCTAGGCAGAATCAGTAACACAGAAACTAAAAAGCATTTCAATATCTTCCTCTATTTAATCAGATGAAATTATTTGTGCATTTCTAATGAAGCATTTGATTTATTTTTAAAGTTGCATGAGCCAACTAAACCTTATTTAAAAAAAGAGAGAAAAGCTAAAAAGTAATTCAATTTTATCAATGTGCTTAAGATGAGAACTCTGTATCTTAAAATTAATTATTAAGAATGAGAAAATTGCTTAATTTTTGAAGATCTTTCCACATAACAAACTTTTCATTTGGCATATTGCCTGCTTGGCCTAAAGTCTTTAGGTGAATAAAATAAAATATGTTCACCTGGTGAAGGAAAATAAACAGCAACAGGAATTAATTATCAGTTTTTCTAAATGGCCCTAGGCCCACTTAAGGTAATTTCTCCCAAATTTTAATAAGGAGATGCAAAGTATAAAACACTTAGGATAAAAAATAGTTTCTTTTTTCCCCAGTCCACTAACACCACTATTTTTCCCTTTCCAACTCTGAAAGTTGACAATACGAATTGGGTTATCCTCGTCATACCCAACTAAAGCAGAGTCAATAAATCAGGGACAAAAAGCACTTAGGACATATAATATTGCTCCACAAAGGTAGCTCTCTGAAGTCTAGCTGGTAAAAGTGCCTAGTGTAACATAAAACCAGTTGTATCCAATGGCTTCTGAAATAACCTGCCGAATCTTTAAGATTGTTTTTACCCACTGTCTTCACTCACCAATCAAAGAATGCCAGCTCAGCAAACTTTACTAGTGTCAATAAACTTTTTTCAAACAGCAATATACACAACCTCCAACCCTTCTGTGTTCTTCATATAAACCAAAGACCACCAGGTCTGTGTGTATGCTCCAAATTGTAATTCTGCCTTTCCCAGTAAAAGATTAAATTTAGATATCCATCTCTATATATTTTATTTGACGTTGACACACCTATAAGCCTTTGTGAATCAAAGACTGCTTCTTCAGCTATCTAGACATTCATTTAAATGGTTTTCTATGAAGACTTCATGTTTTGTCTCTTATTTTCATATGAAAATTCTCTACATAACAGATTTTGGGATCTCTTCTTTGAAAAAACAATGTTGAGACCTCTTATTTATGTACTTAAATTGGCCAAAAAGTCTTGGGTGTGAGAATCATTCTCCATCTTGTTTCTCGAACACTTGTCAAACCTTGTGCTACAAACATTGAAAGACCTTTGAGTTATTATAATAGGTCCATCAGTCAATATGCTTAGCAAGTGAACAAAGTAGAAATTAATTTGAAAGCACAGTCAAAATAGTGCTAACTGGTCCTAATAACTCTTTTTCTAAAAAAAAAAAAATTAAATTAAGTGGATCTACAAAAAGTTGTATTACAAAAAGCTTTAAATATTTAGGGAATTGTTGCTCTCAAGTTATAACAGATCTCTATAGAAAGTGGACACTATAAACTTTTCAGCAATCAGATAGTACCATTGGTAATGTACCCAAATGAATTGTTTTACTCAACTCTTATCCATGTCTAAAGTTATCATAAAAATAAACAAAGTGACCTAACTATACATTATTTCCACCTACCAAATTATAGACTGGCTTATAGCTATTTATTTATTGCTAGTTTATTATAAAAATATAACATATTTTAAAGAGTTTATAAAGAGTTTTATATTTCTAATATTTCTTACAATTTCATAGCACTGGATTTTATGAGTCACAATTTTAAAATTTTGAATTTTACATATTTATGGAGTACAAAGGTTAATTTTATTACATGCATAAATTGGGCAGTGGTAAAGTCTGGGCTTTTAGGCTATACGTCACCTAAATGTCATACACTTTACTCATCAAATAATTTATCATTATCCACCTGCCTCTCCTCCTTCTGAGTCTCCATGATTTATCATTCTACACTTTATACTCATGTGTACACATTATTTAGCTCCCACTTATAACTGAGAACATATAGTATTTGACTTTGTTTCTGAGTTGTTTCACTTAAGACAATAATCTCCAGCTCTATTCATGTCACTGCAAAAAATCCACATTATTTCACTCTTTTTTATGGCTGAATAGTATTTTATTTTGTATATATACCACATTCTCTTTATCCAGTCATCTGTTGATGGATACTTAGGTTGATTCCATAACTTTGCTATGGTGGATATTGCTGCAGTAAACGTTTAGGTGTTCACGTCTTTTTGGTATAATGACTTCTTTTCCTTTGGGTAGATACCAAACAGTGAGATTGCTGAATCAAATGGTAGTTGTATTTTTAGCTTTTTGAGGTAACTCCATTATGTTTTTAATAGAGGTTGTGCTAACTTACATTCCCACCAACAATGTATAAGAGTTTCCTTTTTTCCTTGCCTATGCCAAAATCTATTGTTTTTTGTCTTTATAAAAAGAGCCATTCTGGCAAACTCTTTAAACCGTGGTTTCTTAATCTGTAAAAATGGGAGGACCAATAGCCATCTCATCTTTTACTTACATGCAACAAACATGAAATGCAAAAATGATTGACTGACATGTCCATTTTAATATAGTGAGGAAAAAGTGTAACCCAAGTATTCTGCTCCTAGCACAATTTGCTCACTCATTTAATCCATAGACCATAACTCTTGAGGATGTAGCAATAAACAAAGAGAGAAAATCCCTGTTCTCATGAAGCTTGTGTTTTGGTGGGAAGACCATAAACAATTCAATGCATCATATGGTAGTAATGCAAAATAAAGCAGGGTAAAGGGATAAAAATTAATGTGACTGAGAACAGCAGGGCATTTTATATACAATTACGGGGGCGAGCCTCTGTGATGAAGTCATATTTACTCAGAGATATGAAGGAAATAGGGGAATGAGGCATTCTGGTATCCGGTAGATCATTCCAAGTATGACCAGTGTGTTCTAGAGAGAGCAAGGAGGCCAGTGGTCATAACTTCATAGGGTAAGGTATGAAGATGAGATCATAATAGTGGAGGTGGGGGTCAGAATTTTTAACAGCCCCCAGTCCCTTGTTTTTAACACATTGCTATCCTGCTCCTCAGACAATCAGTGTAGTTTGCCTTTTTCATTATATGAACTCTTCTAGTACTCTCCTTTTCACCCATTCATCAGTAGGTTTTATCAGTGTTCCAATTCTAATTATATAAATTACAAAGTTTATCATATTCTTCCAAATACATTACTTGTCCACCATCACAGTGAAGGTGTTGTCAGTAACATTTGACAGGTGAGGAAATAGAGATGCTGAAGCACAGGATGCTTTATCCAGAGCCATGATACCAGGAAACAACAGTTATTTTTGAAAACCCAGTACTGTTGCACCATGCAGCCTTTGCTACACCTCTTACCTGTCAGCATGTTCTTTGAATGAAAGCTCCAATTAGAGTCTTCTGTTAAAGTGAGAAGCCTTGGTTTATAAAGATGTCACACCACAATGTCACTAAGTGCAATTAAATATAAGGCATATGAAGTACTATGTATCAGGATGCTAAGAATAGGATTTTCTCAGAGGAGAAAACAAACTTTACTAGAGACAGATTTTTAGAAATCATTCCAGTGTTACTATCTTAACAAAAATCCACCTCGTTATATTGACTGAATGTGGTTCTTTTTCACATTTTCTTTAGAGAATATGATATCTAATTTTGGACACATAAATGTGCACAAACAGAAAGAGAAAAACAGACAGAGAAATACATTTAAAAAAATAAAACCCCATATAATTTTTATATATCAAGCCTGCTTAAAAATGAAGTATCTGTAAAAGTACATTTTATAATACATCTCCAGTAACCCTGACCATGCTGTACTACCACATCTGACTATTGTTAATAGACATGCAACATAACAGCAAGACAACACACATAATTTGTTCCTCAACTCTCATACCTAAAAGTTAGAAAAGTTACCTGAGTGACATAAATTGGCATGGACTTCCAAAAATATTTCGCCCGCAGTGAGAAAAAAACATTTAAATTTTGTCCATAGAAGGAATTATCTACATGCTGGCCAGCCATCACACTTAATTAAATTCGTAAGGGTCACATCAGAGGTAAAAAATATATTATCCATACAGGTAATGCTATAGGAGTACTAATTCACTCAAAGGGGTCTCAGTTGCCCTTTCAGCTTCACCCTTATAGAAATTCTTACTATTTGTCAGAATAAAAATACCAAGCTAAGCAGATCCACTAAGTCATAACTCTTGTCTAAGCCTAATTTGAAAGTCTCATAAAAGCATCCTTTGCTATGGGCAGTAAGTATATTGAGGCTTCATCCATCTGTTCTCATAGAGAGAATAGAGGAGGATACTGTTTGTATGTAAGGAAAAAATTGTATCCCAAAGAAATGTGTTTTTCAATTTGCTCACCACAATTAACACTCAAAGTACAATAGTTTTGGTGTGCTTTGTAGTTACCAGGCAGGAGCTACATATTTATATATTAAAGTTAGCAACTGTCAAAACTCTTAGGAAAATTCACCACCATACTCTGGTAATTCCTTAAGGCAGGTTGTCCTTTAAGGATACCTTTTTTCTTGTCAAGCTGCTACTACAGACAAGCTAGTTCTTCATGTACACAGCTCAGGTTCTACCACGGACTAAGGCTGATCATAATTTTCAAACGAATAGATTAAGATCATTTATATTTTGAAACTGTCAACATTTGCCAATAGATAATGAATGTACTAGAACTCCTCTTCACTGCTCGATTTCTTCAGCAGAGAGTCAATGAGAAAGAGTATGGAGCTTTGGAAATGTGCAGATTTCAGTTAAAATTTTGGATTCTAATATTTGTGTGAAATACATCCAACTTTCTTAATCTCACTGAGCCTCAATTTCTCTAATGTTAACATGTTAATATTCCCTCCCTAATGGAGCTGTTGTATCAAATGAGACAATGTCTATAACATGATTGATACTTATAAATATTATATATATATTTATAGATGTATATATTAACTTCTATTTCCCTAAGGTACATACAGCCTGTAAAATTACAAAAAAATTATAAGTCCATAAATACCAAATGAATTAATATAATCCAAAAATCATTAACCATAAGTCAAATAGTGAGTAGAAAAAGTTATTGCATCCAACAGATATGTCGACATTAAGTAACACATGCATTAGAAAATGTAGTTTTAAGTTTGGCTCTTTGTTTTTAACCTATATCACTTTAATCTATATCATAATATAAGTGATTTTCATCCATACTTTGCCATCCAAAAAATATTTTCTAAATCTGATTTAATTTTACTCAGTAAATATAAAATGGGAATCAGTTTTACACAACATAGTACTAACTGCTGAAGAATGAAGAAAAATTAGGAAAACATTTTCTGCTTAACTGCGAGTAACTGTCCTTTAGAATTGTACAGTCACCCTACTGTTTCACACACAAATATGAAAGGATTATGCATATAGACAAATACTTTTCTAATCACCCAAACCCCTTCACACTGATTTTAAAGCACTGCTTCAAGAATGAAACAATAAATATTATCATCAGTCTGATGAACTATATGTTGACAGAAAAGAATTTAGGCTCCGTCAGTTTACTGCTCTGGATCTCAATTCAACCATTTGAAAAATGATGAGTTTGGAACATCCAAGTTAGCTTCTTAGATTTTTAACTAGAATTATAACTGTTTTTCTCAAGGTGTTAAATATTTTGCCAATGAAAATGTAAATTTATTACTTTTGTCTAGTTAAATGGGAGAGTATTTCAATCAAACACTTTGACTAATTGTGATGTTTTGCGACTGAAAATATTTTTTCTAGTAGTAATCACATAAAAATTTTATTATAAAATTAGTGAATACTCATTAAAAATACACGAAGAGCAATTAAAACTGGAAACTACAGCACTATAAGATTTTTTTTCCAGATAATTATTCAATTTACCTATGTTGAAGTATTTTCTAACCAAATGTAATAGGAAACCTTTTTCTAAATGATTATAATCATAGATGCTTTATATAAAAGATTTCTTAAAATTTGCTTTGTGATTATCTAACATTGAAAGTTAGAATGGAAAATGTATGCTGAAAATTTTTCTACTTAAAATATGTGCAGGACTAAAAAATGAACACATTTTAAGTGTAAGTAAATAAGTTTACTAGAATTTGATTTGCATTGCTATTCAGATCAAAGATGTTCTAGAATTTCTCTCTCAGCACTCACAGTTCATTTTTAGAAAAGACAATACAAAATCCTAGTACAAAGTTAAAAGTGAAACTGCCAAGATTGACTTCTATTTAAAGTTACATTCTTCCCCAACTGCTAAATGTACCATACACAATAAAAAATTGTGAGTGGGATTGTGTGTGTTGTGGGAGTGGGTGTGCGTGTGTGTGTGTGTGTGTGTGTGTGTGTGTGTGTGTGTGTCTGACTGGTGGCTGATATTTTAAAAAAAGATAAACCTGCCAGGAAAAAAAGTCTTTACCCATAAGCTTTGAGTAAAGAGAGTGACTATTTCATTATACTTGCAACTGTCATTTCAAAGCCCTGTCTCTAGTTTCTTAAGGCTCTGCTAGCTCTGTGATATAACTAGATGGAGATCATTCTGCTGTGACCAAGTTACATCTCAATATAGAACTCTCATTTTTCATGTCTCCTGCTTAAAAACAAATAGTGTGCTTCAGAGAAAGACATGCAGTTAGCTGATATGAATCTAGACTAGAACAATGGAATGCTGAGAAATGAAATAAACAATTCTGAAAGGATTCACACCTTAAATATTTTTTTCTGCAGAGAGCTTTCTAAAATCTAGCTCTTTGAGGTACAAACAGTTATTATCTTCCAGAACAGGTCAACACTAAGCTGTTTGCGATCCTGGTTTAAATGGCAATCTGAAGGGCAACAATTATTTTCTACTGAATTCCTCGTCTATTAGCTATTTTTTTTTTTTTTTTTTGCTTTTCACGTGAACATCTGTGAACATCGAAACCAATGCATTATGTGAGCTAATAATTCACATGTACTCAGAACTTGCACAAGAATGACACCTGGAATGCAATCAAATTGAAACTTAAATTTTAAATGGACATTGGGAAGCAAAAACTATCTAGTGAGAAAAGCAATTCCCTTTACATTTTGATAATAAATAGTTATACAATAACTTTATGTTACAAAGCCCTGTCTTGATTCAGTAATTTGCTACATCCCATCAAAGTTATTAATTCATCACTTTAATCCCTTTGCTCTTATTTTCTTCCTCTGGAGCAAATCCTGTACTTGGTAACCTGCTGGTCTTCAGGGAGCGGATGTAATAAACTCCTACTCTCTTTCTCTGCTCAGCTTTTTCACCTTTTCCTCAAATTATCTGCCACTGTTTAAATCTCACCAAGGTCAAAGAGTACAAGAAAGAGATGCCAGGACAGGAAAGTACTTGCTTGTTCTCTGGGTGAGGAAGATGTTTATGCGACTTCCGGGAGCTCCACAGTAGTCTCTTGCTCAGCCTCTAGCACTGCAGCCTCCTGGCCACTCCTCCATCCTCAGCCCTAGTTCTCTAGTTGTCTACAACTCACACTGGCTATTGGAGTCCTCTGACCCTCCATAGGGTCCCCATTAACTAGATTAAACTCCTGTTCAAATTACTATGTATTGCATTCAGTGTAAGTGTGTTTACTTCTTGAGTGCAGCTTCCTACTTTCACATCTTTCTTCACCAAATTCAGCTTTAGTTTTCAGTGGTACATTCAGGAATCACAGCAGGGTTCCTCAACTGCAAAGAATGCATAGCAAGCCTTCTAGTAAGTCCAGTTGAAGCTCTCTACGTTTCAAGATGAAACAATGGTGTGCTATCAATGCTTCATTCACAGAAAACTCTACGCAAGAGCCATGAAAGCCATTCTCATATATCCCATTTCATGATATCCCATTCCAAGATATGCACACACTTTTAAGGATCTGACAATTTTGTTGTCTCAGTGACTGAGCTGAACTTTAAATTTATCTTGTTACAATTACACATATAAAATACATTTAACACATAGAATGTGATACAGTCTGATACAGCAAAAGCTTACTTAATGACAGTTACCATTATTATCATCATCATCAATATAATGCTTACTGTATTAGTCCATTCTCACACTGCTATAAAGGACTGCCCAAGACTGGGTAATTTACAAACAAAAGACATTTATTGATTGACACTTCTGCATGGCTAGGGAGACCTCAGGACACTTACAATCATTGCAGAAGGGGAAACAAACACGTCCTTCTTCACATAATGGCAGGAAGAAGTGTCAAGCAAAAGTGGAAAAGCCCCTTATGAAACCATCAGATCTCATAACTCACTCACTATCATGAGAAGAGTAGCATGGCGGTATTCTGCCCTCATGATTCAATTACCTCCCACTAGGTCCCTTTCATGACATATGGGGATTATGGGCACTAAAATTCATGATTAGCCAAAGCCAAACCGTATCGTCACACACCTGGCCCCTCCAAAATCTCATGTCCTCACATTTCATAGCACAATCATGCCTTTCCAATAATCCATCAAAGTCTTAACTCATTCCAGCATTAACTCAAAAGTCCAAGTCCAAAGGTTCATCTGAGACAAGACAAGTCCCTTCTGCCTATAAGCTTGTAAAACTGAAAACAAGTTAGTTACTTCCTAGATAAAATGAGGGAACAGGTGTTAGGTAAACACACTCATTCTAAATTGGAGAAATTGGACAAAACAAGGGACTACAGGCCCCATGCAAGTCTGTAATACAATAGGGCAGTCATTAAACTTTAAAGTTCCAAAATGATTTTCTTTGACTCCATGTCTCACATCCAGGGCACATTGATGCAAGAAGTGAGTTCTCATGGCTGTACGCAGCTCCACCCCTGTGGCTTTGCAGCATACAGTCCTCCTCCCAGCTGCTTTCATGGCCTGGCGTTTAGTGTCTACAACTTCTCCAAGCGCAAAGTACAAGCTGTTAGTGAATCTACCATTTTGGAGCCTGGACGACAATGGCCCTCTTCTCACAGCTCCACTAGGCAGTGCCCCAGTGAAGACTCTGTGTGGGGGCTCCAACCCCACATTTCCCTTCTACACTGCCCTAGCAGAGGTTCGCCATGAGGGCTCCACCCCCACAGCAAACTTCTGCCTGGACATGTAGGCATTTCCATACACTCTCTGAAATCTAGGTGGAAGTTCCCAAACCTCAGTTCTTGACTTCTGTGCACCCACAGGGCCAACACTACATGTATGCTGACAAGGTTTGGGGCCTGCACCCTGACAAGCAATGGCCCGAGCTGTACCTTCGCCCCTCTTAGCCATGGCTGGAGCTGAAGCTGCTGGGATGCAGGGCACCAAGTCTGAGGATGCACACAGCAGAAAGTCCCTGACCAAGCCAAGGAAACCAATTTTCCCCAATAAGTCTCTGAGCCTGTGATGGGAGGAGGTGCCTATAAGGTCTCTGACATGCACTGGAGACATTTTCCCCATTGTCTTGCTGATTAGCATTTGACTCCTGGTTACTTATGTAAATTTCTGTAGCCAGCTTGCATTTCTCCCTTGAAAATGAGTTTTTTCTTTTCTACCGCATCATAAGGCTGCAAATTTTTCAAATTTTTCAAATTTTTATGCTCTGCTTCCTTTTGAATACTGTGCTGCTTAGAAATTTCTCCTGCCAGATACCCTAAATCGTCTCTCTCAAGTTTAAAGTTCCACAGAACTCTAGGGCAGGGACAAAATGCCACCAGTCTCTTTGCATAGCAAGAGTGACCTTTACTTCAGTTCCCAACAATTTCTTCATCTCCATCTGAGACCACCTCAGCCTGGACTTCACTATCCATATCACTGTCAGCATTTTGGTCACAGTCATTCAACAAGTCTCTAGGAAGTTCCAAACTTTCCCACATTTTCCTATCTTCTTTTGAGCCCTCCAAACTGTTCCAACCTCTTCCTGTTATCTTGTTCCAAAGTCAATTCCATATTTTTGGAAATCTTTACAGCAGCTCCCTACTCTCTGCACTACCAATTTACTGTGTTAGTCTATTCTTATGCTGCCCAAAGCTGGGTTATTTATAAAGGAAAGAGGTTTAATTGACTCACAGTTTCACATGGCTCGGGAGGCCTCAGGAAACTTACACTCATGGCAGAAGTGGAAGCAAACTTGTCGTTCTTTACATAATGGCAGGAAGAAGTGTTGAGCAAAAGGGAAAAAAGCCCTTTATAAAACCATCAGATCTCATGAGAATTCACTCACTATCATGAGAAGAGCAGCATGGGGATAATCACCCCCATGATTAAATTACCTTTCACCAGGTCCCTCCCATGATATGTGTGGATTATGGGAACCTCAATTCAAGATGAGATTTGGGTGGGAACACAGCCAAACCATATAACTTACCACCTAGGGAGGAGTATATCCGATTCATGCCTTAACTTCTTATACACAAATGTTCATTGATGTTTATTTGTAATAGCCAAGAACTGGAAACAATCCAGTGGCCATTAGGTAACTGGATAAACAAATTGTGGCATATTTCCACAATGGAATACAAATCAACAATTTTAAAAATGACTGTTTATATACACAATATAGATTAATCTCAATTATGAATAGTGATAAGAGCTATATTCTTCTTTTTCTTGAGATAGAATCTCACTGTGACACCCAGGTTGGAGTGCAACAGCATGATCTTGGCTCACTACAACCTCTGCTTCCTAGGTTCAAGTGATTCTCCTGCCTTAGCCTCCCGAGTAGCTGGGACTACAGGAGAACACCTTCATGCCCAGCTAATTTTTGTATTTTTAGTACAAACGGGGTTTCACCATATTGGCCAGGCTGGTCTCAAACTCCTGACTTCAAGTTATCCACTCACCTTGGCCTCCAAAACTGCTGGGATTATAGGTGTGAGCCACCGTGCTTGGCAAAAGCCATATCAAAAAAGAGTTCATAGTGTATGATTCCATTTAAATAAAATTCTAGAAAAGGAAAACTAATCTACAGTGACAGAAAACAAATGAGAAGGTGCTTAAGAAAGTAGAAGCAGTCAAGAAGGGAATGGTTGCTAGTATTACAAAAGGCATGGGGAAACTTTTAGGGATAAATGTGTTTATCCTGACTCCAGTGATAGCATTATTGGTATATATTGGAAAACAAAATTGTACATATTAAACATGCCAATTTATTCATATCAATTATACACTAAGAAAGCTGTTTTTTAAAAAGTTAAGCTACAACAACATACAAGAGTAGGGAACCCAGTGAAAAATACCAAAATACTATGGTGATTTCATTAGTCTTCTCCAACTGGCTTATGATCATTGTATTTATAATACTTAATATCAGTGACTTGTCTGTTTCTCCACTGATCCAGAAAGTCAAGTTTCATATCACATGCAACGTTTTACTTCTTTTTTATTTAGTATATTTCTGAGCATTTTTATGTATTTTATTGCTAATTTGAATACAATAAGTTTCTTAAGACAGTTTCCATCTGATTATATAAACCAACAATGTTTAAATTTGCCATTTTGCTGGAATTTTACATAAATTCTTATATTTTTTCAGTGGACTCTCGGTTTTCAGGGACAGCTATTTAAAATGTTTACGTTCTAATAGTTTAATAGGTATTTTTATTAAAATATGAATAGAGGTGTTTCAGTCATTGCTGTTCTTCCAAAGTTTGGCTAAAATTTCTTTGCTGTTTTTCACATCATATTAACCTATTGAAAGCTCTAAGAAAGAAAATATATTTGCCCCATATGATAAATATTTATGATATTCTACATTATTTTTTAAGATCAAGTCTCTTGCATTCCTACATATACCTGTGTTAGATGAAAATTATAACATAAAGGTCCTTGCATTAAAGCTGTGAAATTTTCAATGCTACTTTTAAAAAGCAATGCATTGATTTTTAAAAATTTTTAAATAACTTTATCTGTTTCTCATTTACTTTTTAAATTATAGCCTACTGTGTCCAACAAAAAAGCTTGGCAAGAAATTGTTTTTTAAGGAAATAATAAATGAAACTATATCTATTTAGCTAGTATGAACATTTTCAAGGCACTTTTGCACATATTTGTCTATTTTTTTCTTAATATTCCTGTTTTGTGAGTCAAATAACAATATCTAAAATTATAATGCTGTTAAAATGAGGAACTGCCAATTCTGAATTTCATGTTTTCTCCACTAGTCTCTAGAAATGGCATAAGTTTGGTGTCTGTTCTCAAGTCACCTGCCTAATCTTAAGCCCACCTCTGGTTATGTAACTTTGGGCAAGTTTTCCAACCTGATCAACCATGTGTTTATTTTCTCTCTAATAGGCATTATCATAGAATCTTCCTCACAGGAGTGCAATGAGGAGGAAATGAGATAAGGAACACAAAGCTTTTAGCCTACGGCCTAGGATATGGTGTAATTATTACATATTTTACTATCATATTTTAAATGTATGGACAGTAATAATCATTGTGTAAGTTCTGAGTAAAATATGAGAAGAATGCAATGATAAATGCGTTCCTCATCTGCTCAGCTACAATTTGTTATTTTTTTTCTGGTAATCTTAGCAAGCATGTGAAGAATTTAAATGTATGATAAATCTACTACAAGATTAAGATTAATAGATAGTACGAAATAAATTTTATTTGTTGTTGCACAAAGCTTTTTTAAAAAACTATTCAGCATTTTATCGATTTTAGTAAACATCATTAAAATAGCAAAATCCTATCAGTTCAATGAGAACTTAAAATAGAATTGAAGGATATTATAATGTATTAAGAGAGATATTACTGCAAAAGCCAGTGAAATCTGTTATATAATAATGACACACATACCTACAGCTACACTACCCTACCCCCTACACATACACACTAAAAACACAAAAAGGTAAAATTATGTGTTTGATGTTTGAATTTTAGTAACTCAGATAATCTTTCAGAACCCTGCATTGAGAGGCAGACTGGCCAAATGAGCCTCAATTGCTTCATCAGGGAACTAAGGGAAGTATTACCTCTCGTAAGAGTTTTCAATCTGGCTTAAAAAATAATTGCTGATGCACATATACATGTCCTTAGACTTCTTCCTTACCTTTTTGAAGGCTTTAGCTCCACGCCTGCCTATTCACCAAGTACAAGCAACTGGTGCAAGACCACCTAGCATGTTCCAACTGAAGATTAAATTACCACAAAACTTTTAACTATTTGTATGGAAGACTGTGTATTTCTTTATAGGTAGATACAGCAAGCAACCCTAGGGTTTGGTGGTAGGGAAACTAAAGAAAACCCTTGGAAAAAATGTGCAGAATGCTAATTTGGTAGTTCCACAATTAGGCATAGAATTCAAAACAATAATCGACACTGTGACTTGACAGATTTCAGGTTTTAACTCGAAGAGAAGCATGCCATGATGAATTCTGCAGACTGATGACTGCATCCACCTTGGAGAGTAAGGGGTGGGGGGTGGAGAGGAGGAGAAGAAAGCATAGGGAACAGGCAAAGAAGTAGAGATTGAAGTATCTCAAGGACTCTGAAGTCAATATTGTTCCTGAGCTCAATAAAGTGATGGCAAAATTCTTCCAGGCTTTCTTTAATGCTGTGAAATATTCTGAATCTCAATATTCCCAATTGTGGCCTGTAACTGATGTGACAAGGAACTGGTGACAGATTTCTTTGCTCAAGGCTCCGTCGCTCAAAATTATGCCATATTAGAGAGAGAAAAATGTCCGATTATGCCACTTTGTAAAATGTCGTGCTCTAAAACGAATAGAGGTTACCCATTTTGATATTCCTCTAGGTCTGGCTTTCCAAATAAGCCAATAGCAAACATTTAGCATCAAGCTCCTTACCTCTAACACCATCTAAGCTCTCATCACCACATATAAAATAGCAGCCCTCTTACCCACAAGTCTGTCTCCACTGTGCTGCTTGGTATTCCTTCCTGGCACTTATCACTAGACATGTTATGCAATAATTTGGTTCAATTTATGTCTTCCCACAATAAAAGGCGAGTCCCAGTCCCCAGATGTACATCTGATGGACAGTAAAAGTAGGCATTCAATAGACATCTAGACATTAATGAACACTTTCATGAAATAGGAGAAAACGAACCCAATCTTTTTCTCTATAAGAAAGAAATTCCTTTATCAACTCAATGTTTCCTCTAAAGTGAGAAAATTCTACTAAGGAATCATTGTAGTATCAAGTAGAATAAAGCCAAGAGCAATGATAATACTTAGGAGAAGTTGTTAAATAATCCAAACCTCACAGTTAAAATGTATAACTCCCTATCAGTATCCACATTCAAATCATGAAAAGAATTTATAATTTCAGAAGAAAAGATTGAAAAAACTCTAGTCATCCTGTTTCCTTTTTTATAGGATCTGGAATAGCGAAATATTTATTAATAGAAACATCTGGAGAACTTATTGGCTCCATCATTTTTACCTGAATAAATGAGATTATGCAGAGACAATGACTAGAACTATTCGAAGAATATTTCTGTATTTTAAAAACTGCATTTTCTAAAACTAGTCATACTGGTAAAGCACCACCAAGAAGAACAGTTATATTTTTCCTCCATTTTTCCTTTCCCAGCAAATACCAGAGAGAAAAAAAGCTCAATTTGTCTTGTAAAAAGCTATAGATTTGCAAGAAGGAAGAGTTATTTTAGTGAGATCAGTCCCATCTTGCTTTTCACAGAAGTCTCACATTCAACACCAGAATCTGTCCTTTGTCAGGGCAGTGGGATTTAACATGTGTAGCTCCATTAGCATTAGTGGCTGTTCTGCAGGCATCGATCCCCCAGCTGTCAATGACAGAGCTGACCAATAGCAGACACTTGTGGAAAAGCCAACAGGATTGTGCCGAAGTTGTCCGCTATGGAATAACTGATACCCTTTCCTTTTTCTCCTTTGTACTCAGGAAGTCAAGGGCTGGAATCCAGTCTTATTGCAAAATACATGGAGTAGTAGAATCTGAACCCACCTGATCTCTCCCAAGACACATTATCCAGAACATTTGGCACAGTTCTGTCAGTACTTCTATAAACATTAAGTTCCCAAATCATGTAAGTTTCTGGCTACATGGAGCTTAGTAATGAGCTTTTGCCAAAGAGTCTTTAAGGCTTGTCCTTGATGCCTTCTTTGAGTATATAAATATTAAATATTTCTGTTTCAGATTTTTCTTGAGCTTTTGTTCAAACAAACATACAAAAAAAATGCCACCTGTCATTACAGAGAGCTACATCATATGAAGGTACTATATGGAAAAGAGATAAATTCTATTTTCAGAAGCTACTAACAATAATAAGAAAACAAAAACCTGGCATTAAAATTATGTTTCTGATATTAATCTTTTGAGGCTAAGCTTACAAAAAAAAAACCCATAAATGCGATCCATATATGGAAGAACAACTTTAGGCGACGTATGTCACTAAAGGAAACAAAGATATACATGATCTCTACCTTGTTTACAAAAACTGGATTGTAATTAACTATTCCTACATTAGATGTATGCCAGAAAAAACATATTCATTCAAGAAATGTTAAACATGCAAATTTTTAGCACATGTATATGTAATATTCACTTTACTACATATTGCAATGTACTTGAAGCTTTTATATTAACATATATGTTAACAAGAAAAGGTACATGTCAGATTAAAAGATTTAAGACCGAAGTTAAAATTCCTGACCCTGTAATGTATGAGCTGTGTGACCTTGGGAAATTACCAAACCTTACTGAGTCAGCTTTTTCACTTATAAAATGGGAATAATAGTACCATCAAAATTTCATATTTCAATGTCTATCATGAAAAATCCTTCATATAGGAAAGGTATTAGCATTCATTATTAAGTCTTCATTTAACACCTTAGAAATAAATTGTTGAATGTTTCGGAGGGAATAGTACATAGCGTGTTTTGCATATGTGTATATATATGTGTGTGTGTCTATACATATATGTATATATAGATACATACATACACAGCAAAAAGATATATGTGTATGCATCTATACTCATACATACATAAGCATGTACATAAGCAAGTAGCATGACAACTTCTTTTTTAAATATTTTAGGATTCCATTATATAATAGGACCAGGAATATCAAATATATTAAAAAATTACTGATACGTAAGTAAAAATCACAATTACTCTTTCAACAGCTAAATTACACAGCCAAAATATTGAAAGTAGAAAAAGACTTGTTTTTTTACAATAATTTTAAATAGAGTTTTTCATTCCACAATTAAGAAACATCACTGAGAATCATTAAAGATATATCTTATCCTCGCTTATTTTCTTCTATTCATTCTAGAAGACTTCAACATCGCTTTCTAGCAGCAACTTTCAAGGAAATAAATTTCTATTAAAACACCACTCCAAGTAATTTCTCACATTGTAAATCAGCCATTGAGCTCTTCGTAATTCTTCACCCTAAAAGTATTTCCTGTTTTCAACCCCCATTCTGGTAGTCATTTCATTCAAAGCCAATAGGCTCCCAGCACTGATGTCCTAGGGAGCAAAATCATGAAAACCATGACTTCCCAAGATGGCTTGAACTATGAGTACCAAAGTGCAAAATATGCTTGTGCACTTAAACCTCAAGACTGAAATCTGCAATCCTGATTATAGAACTGGTCACTCTGTAATTAACTCAGTGTTGGTTGATTTCCTGTATTTGTCTTTCAGCAGAAGGGGATATAATGCAATAGCTTGAAAAATGAAAAGACCTTCTCATTTACACATGAAAAACCATCTTATGTGGTAGCTCCATGGGGCTGTCTGCAGAGCTCTGTGTATACATTACATTCAAGGGCTTAGATCTCTCTGCACCTGCTGCGTCACTACAGACCCCTACTAGCTTGAAGCCTGTTAGAGCAGGAGACTTTTCAGGCTGTGTCTACAGGACACCAATACAGCTGGTCAATTCAATTCATTTGATGAAGGAAAAAAAAAAAGATTCACACTAGTAAGGAGAATACTCATCAAGCCATTTCTTTAGTGTTGTGTAGACAAATAAACAGGTTACCTTCACTTTCCATTTTGCCACCTGTTCTGTGGGGTGTATACACCCAGCTCCAGGCTCACCATTTGTTTTAATCACACTAAATGCAGCATTGAATCAAGTTTCCAATCAGGGAGCTGCCATCTGTTCAACTCTGGAGAAGAGATTAGAAGATGCTACCCAGTTGCAGCCCCACAGGAGCCTGAGGCAGCTTTTCCCAATGAAAAATATAGTGCTAGTTACTGTCTGTGAGACTGCCCTTAAGAGACAAAGCATTTTGTGTATTACTATATAAAGAGATTTATGTTACTGACCAGTTGTTTATAATGGGGATGTAGTGTTACTGAGCTGATAAAAGGACAGTAACCATTATCCAGTTAATAGAGTTATTAACTAGAGCTAAATTGGTTCAATGATCTGAAAGCAAGAGGGAGTAGCTTAGAAATTCTTTGACCACCCACACACTGCCAAAGACTTTAAAGGTAGTCACCTAAATGGTCTAAATAAAAGCAGAAATCACCAATGATACAACACGCAGCCTATTTACATTTTATGCATTGATTTGTCTGTGATCTACTTAGAGTATAAATCTCTCTTGAAGATGTCTTCTCAGTAGCATCATTATCAGCTACTGCTAGCAGGAAAGTTATCCTTGAAGGCTAACACATTAACAAAAATGTTTCATTATTTAATATAAAGGGTAAATACACATTATCTATGCTTCATAAATTGCTTGTATTATAGAAAGTTATTTAATATTTGTGTAATATAAGTATGTATTTTACTATATATTTAAATTTTATGTTAATAATATTTTCTACAAGAACCTGTGTTCAAAAGTTAACCATTTTTTTTTCAGGAAATCAGGTCTTTTAAGTCTTTCTATATATGCTTTTGTTTCTACTTACATAGGAGAGAAAATAAATCAACAGTGAATATTAAAATCATTTAACATTAAACTCAGTTTGACTGAGTGAGTGGTTAACAATATAGTCCCATAGACATGGCAATGACAACAGAATAGGAAGTTCCAGGAAGGTAGTTCATTCCAAGGGATAGAAAGCTAAATTAAATTAGTAAGACTTCCAAAGGTCAGTAAATAGCCAAATTCTCTTCATATTTACATTATTCAGAGAAACATTATGCTACAGAATTATGCATCAGAGGACTACAATTGGTGAAAGCCATGAGTTGCCCTAAATTAGCTTTCAGAGTATAGTCTCCTTCATTTTGTTTTAAAGATACCATGTCAAAACAGCAGCACACCAGCATGGCACATGTATACATATGTAACTAACCTGCACATTGTGCACATGTACCCTAAAACTTAAAGTATAATAATAATAAAATAAAATTAAAAAAAGAAAAAAAACAAACGAAAAATTTTCACTTTGAATTTGAAGCAAGCTTGATTAGAAAGGGAGAGAGAAACAGACAGGCAGAGAGACAGAGAGAGCGCACACACATGCAGGCATTGGTTAGTTGGTATCCATAACAAAGCACCAAAATGGAAAAAATAATAAATGCACTTAAGTAGCAATTTAAGAGATTTAACTGAGACATAACAAAGAAATTCTTAGCAGTGGGAAATTGTTAAGTGTTAGAATGGGTCATACAGGGAAGAAGGAATTTTCTTGTAAAAAGCAGATTTTAATATGTCTAGAACATTTAAGTGCAATTCTGACAGAGGTAAGAGGCTGAATTCTCAGGGTCTTGCTGGCTGGCGAATTAACAATTTGAACTGACAAGTAACTCAGCACTATTAACACCCAGTATTTATTAAATATGAGGTATCCTGGACTTTTAAAATAAGTAATCTGTAAACCAACCCTCTGATTTCAATAAGCAGTTATTCTTTCAAATACAGGTGGTAGAAGATGATGTTATGCCACTAATATTTTGTGATAGTAGCTTTCTAAGAAGGGGTGCATGGAAAGTAACTGTTTATCATCACGTATGTCTGCAAATGTCTTTATTCTGTCCTCAAATTAGTTGAAAGTTTGGCTGCATATAGAACTATTCACGGAAAATGTTTTATTCCAAATTTTGAAGAACAATCTTCTAGCTTCCAGTATTGCTGTAGGGAAGTTCTGTGCTTACATCATGATCCATATCATGATCTACATGCTCTGTAGCATGATCCATCATGTGTAACCACATTTTTAACTCTGAAAACATCAAAAACTCATTAGTTTTGACATTTGACCATGTTATGTTGCCTTGAAGTGGGTTTTTATCACCCATTTTTCTGAGAGCTTGGCGGGCTCTTTCATTATAGGAACTTCTAACTCCCACTTCCTGAAAAATTCTTCTCATTTCTTTGATGTTGGCATCACTTGATTTTTTTTCCTTCTTTTTCTCTTTCTGAAACTCTTATTAGTTGAGTACTGAACTTCATCTCTTTGTCTCTTTGTTCTACAGTCTAGAAGATTACATTAACTTTTTAACACTTTGATTTTTTAACTATTATATTTTCAATTTCAAATGAATCCTCCTTATTCCCCGAGAATTTCTTTGATTAATAGCATACTGTTTCTGTTTGATGAGCGCGACATTTTCCCTTATCTCCCTGAGAATATTAATCATGGCTTTATGATGCTTTCTCCCTTTCATAGTGTGGACTATTTTCACTGAGCTTCTTTTTGTTTTTGTCTCTATTTCCCACGTTGTAATTTTTACCCAGATTTCTAGTGGTCTTTATTCACTCAGAGTGAGTAATTTAAAAATTGATCTTGAATTTTGTACATGGGCTGGGTTCATGAATTCATATGCTACCCTGTAACTTAATGGAGTCCCTAGCTAGATTTTTATAGGGAGACTCACAGATGTCTGATTCTGACAATAATAATTTACCATTATAGGAGACAAAGTTAAAAGATGGGTATTCTTACCATTAGCTATGCAGACATTTGGGGAAGCTCCTGGCTTTTACGAAAAAAGCTAATCTCACCTCTGCTTTGCCTGGAATCCCAGTTCAAAGTCTCTTCCAGGTCAGTTTATCTGAAAAATGGATTTAATTTCTCTTTCAGGTTTGAGAAGGAAGTAGTTGTCTTGCTGTGAGAAGTGGGAAAAGGCATCTGACATTTCTAATCGCTTCTTTTACAAAAATAAACCAATTCTAATTTTTTTATCCTCCAAATTTTGCCTTTCACGGAATCTGATTCCTGTAATTCCTTAGAGCCTGAGGGACTTTCCAAGGCCCAGGGGGGACAAAGTGACCTTCTCCTCTCTGGTGTCCTTCTCTATAGGCACCCAGGGTTCCACTCTGCTCTGCCAATTCACTCATTACTCACCCATCTGCTTTCATCTGAAGTTTTGTGTCATTTCTCAGCTGCTGTTGTCTTCACTACTGATTGTTCCTGTAGATTTTTAGCTCTTTTATTTTTTTCTATTATTTTAGTCAGGTTTCTGGAGGAATGGCATGCTTTCAATGCACCAAATTTAACCAGAAACTTCAACTCTTTCTTCATCTGTGAAATGAAGAGAGATAATGTCTATAGACTTTCAGATGCCAAAGTCTAAATCTCAGAGGTAAGAGAATGCTGTATGTAAGAGAAGCTCGAGTAGTGTTTATAGATGGAAACAGAGGAAGGAAATCTATAGAAATGATCACTGTTGTCCGACCCCAAATAAAGGAGCAGCCAAAGTCAAAGAAGTTTGACCTCCAGGAATGTAAACTACTCAGACAGAGGCAGAGTGCCAGCAGGGAGAAAGCAAGGGGAAAGATTCAAGGAAAGACAGAGAGACAACTCTGAATTCATTAGCATTTACAGTGTTCTCTTTAGCCCAGGTTCAAGGACAAGAGAAGATCCAGGTGCAGAGGAAGTATATGATATGACTAAAGAAAATGATAAAAAATAATAGAAATAGAAAGGGTCAAGAGCAGAAAGGGCCTGCAGAAATAATTGCGGCAGGGCACTGGGATTCTAGAAAAACTATAAAAACAAAACTAAAGGAGATATCCATAAAGATTAGGAACAATCAATTCCAACCATGTTAAAGGTTAGAGAGGTGGCCATTCATTTTTGAGAAAAGTCATAGGATTTTTTTTTTTTTTTTTAGAATGTAAACATACAGTAAGAAGGAGATTTGAAAATACTCCAAGGGTCTGCATTTGGAAGAGTTCCATGTGCGTATTTTAAGGATACTATCTACTCTTTTGTATTACATGGCATAGTCACTTTTTGAAACTCTAGTTGAAAGCATAAAATATTCTATCTGGTCCATTTCTTTGTCAAAACACATGTGATAATTAACAAAGCTTTGGAGATGCAGAATTGTGTTATAAAAGAGTTTTTGCTGCAGATTGGGGGATTTTTTTTTGCTAATTTATTCATCCTACCACACAACTAATATTTTTGAGTGCCTACTACATGCTAGGCACTAGAGACTAAAACATTAACAAAAAAATTTCAAATTTCAAAAGAAGTCATCATTATTTTATTTTGACAGTAGTAAGAAAAACATCTCAAAAGTAAACCGTTCTATAAAATGAGTAGTTATCTACAAGGAAACGTACCAGTTGGGATATAATACTTCTTATACCTAAAAATCAGGAATTGCTATAAAATTCCTTATAACACAACTACAGTAGGTCCTTTGTAAAGACGTATCCTGAAGAAAATTCTTTGCAAACATTCTCCAAATGCAAATACAGGGCATCTTTGCATTTGAAAAGAGCCAAGATTTTAGCAGCTCCAGTATGAAAACAACTATATACACTAGCAAATTGAAAGAGAAACAGCCAGGGAAAAACAAACTCAGAAGATGAAACCGTGTGTGGCAAATGACAAACCTGTGGGCTTCAAAAATTAAATATTTGACAATTGCAAACAGGCAGAATGACTCTCTTTAATAGCACTTTATGTCTGATACAAAATATTGACCAACACTTAGCTGAGTGAAGAACTAGATTAAATATTTGTTGGATGAATAAATGAATTAAACAACAATTCAGTAGGAATTTGTGAAGACCAATAGGGGTTTAAGGAGTGCATAGGCCAGGCATGGTGGCTCACACCTGTAATCCCAGCACTTTGGGAGGCTGAGGCAGGTGGACTGCCTGAGGTCAGGAGTTTGAGACCAGTCTGGCCAACATGGTGAAACCCCATGTCTACTAAAAATACAAAAAAATTAGCTAGGTATGGTGGCAGTGCCTGTAATCCCAGCTACTCAGGAGGCTGAGGCAGGGTAATTGCTTGAACCAGGAAATTGGAGATTGCAGTGAGCTGAGATCATGCCACTGCACTCCAGCCTGGGTGATAGAGCAAGACTCCATCTCAAATTAAAAAAAAAAAAAAAAAAAGTGCATCAAGGAATTATGCAAAGCTGCACACAGTGATTCACACCTGTAATCCTACCACTTTGGGAGGCTGAGGTGGGAAGATGGCTTGAGCCTAGGAGTTCGAATCAAGCCTGGGAAACACAGTACAACTCCATCTCTACAAAAGAAATACAAAACAACTAGCTGGACGCAATGGTACATGCCTATAGTTCCGTCTGAGGCAGGAGGATTGATTAAGAATAGGAGGTGGAGGCTGAAGATGAAGAGAGCCATAGTTTTGCCACTGCATTCCAGCCTGGTTAACAGAGCAAGACGCTGTCTCAAAAAAAAAAAAAAAAAAGATAAAGAAAAATTAATAATGAAAATTCAAAAATATATATTACAGAGCTACCACTGCCACTTTTCTCTAAATTACTGTCACCATGACCTGGTGGCTAACATTAAACACACATTCTTTTTCCTTCCTGCATACATACTTATGCTTAACCAATTATCTAAATAATATATATTTAATAATATATTTGTTCCATAGTGTGGGATCTCTTTTTAATAAATTCTCACATCACCTTTATAAATGTACAAGACAAAATTATTCTTTAGGTTATTATTAAAGTACTTGTGAATGGGTAAGCTTGTAGACATTTGCTGTAAAAATTGGGTGAACCAGAAATTTTGATCTAGTCTGACTGCAAAGGGAAGGGGGAATTTGCCCTACACCAGCAAAATGGTCTGAGGACTAACTTTGAAAAACCTGCTTAATAGCAAGGGCAATCCATTTAGATGTCTCCCCTTTTAAACTTACAGACTCCTCAAATATTATTATTTAGCCAAAATACAAGTAAAATGGTTTAAAGATGAATTTAATTTCAAGTTTTTGTCATGCTAACATGAAGGTACAATTGGTCAATAAAGCAAATACTAGAATGTAAAATCACATCGCTTTGGTGAGGAATTGTGAGTATTCCACCTTTATGCAAAAGAAATTTACATTCTTCTTTCATCTCTCATTGTGATATCATTCCTACCCGTTTGTATGATGAGATACGAGGCACTCCTGGTGAGAAGGCATAGACAGGAAGTACTGGGTAGTTAGAACATAATATTTAAGATCATTTTCTTCTGGTAGGCTTGAGTTGCAGTTTGGCCATTCCAAGCTTTGTAATTTAATATTTCTTCTTTGTAAAAGAGGTATAGCATTAATTACAAGAGGAAGAATGTAAAATATTTAGCAAAGTACTAATAAAGGTTAGCTAAAAATACATTCACCATCCACCATGTACCACAATTAGTAGTAATAATAAGGCTTCTTATTCTATATAAATCATTGTGGCAGTTAATTTGTAACGAAGAGAGAGATGAATGCAACCTATAAACTTCTATTCATAAAAAGGCAATGATGATCATGGAACGTAAAGTAGGCTTTTCTGAACTCAAAATTTAAGAAGAGATTAACATTAAATGCAGAAAAGAGGATTTGGCTGGACAATAAAGATTTAGTATGTTTTTACTAAAAAAAAAAAAAAAAAAAAAAGTTGAAATAGCCAGTGTCAAGAATCTTCTAAGTCTCACTTCAGGAATTCCACAGGGTACAGTCAATTTTTTTAAAAAGGAGGAGTTTATCAAACGAAACTGAAGTGCCTCATTCCCATGTAATGATACCTCACCACCCACCTCATCCTTGCAACCGTTATATTAGGCTTTATTTATTGAGTTTTTTTGAAACTCAATAAATATTGAATACTTACAATTTCCAAATACTCTGCTGTTAACTGGGGATACAACAGAGAAACACATCTCTGCCTTTGTGTGAGCCTGTCTAGCAAGCAAGTATACAAAGGATTATCAAAATACTACAAATAATGACAAGTAGAAATATAAGCATTTAGGTTGGTGAGACAAGAATGGATGGGATTGGAAGAGAGCAAGGGACTATATAAGATGACTAAAGAAGTCCTGAAAAAATTCTGTCTACTTTCACGTTGAGAACTCAGAGAGAAGAATCTAGCAAAAAAAAATAAGATCAAGGAGAACACAGCATTCCAGGGTAAGGTCTGCAGTTAGGAAAGGGCAAGGGCAAAAGAAAAGATAATCATAGAAGTATCAATACAAATAGGCAGATTCAAGACATATGCTAGAGATAGAATCCATAGAATTTATGTTTTACTGGGAGAGTTAGGGAAAAAGAATGAGCAAGGATGCTTCATATAATTTTGATTTGATTAATGAGTAATTGTAGTGATACTACCGATATGAGAAACAGCGAGAGGGATAGTTTCAGGGAGGTAAAAGTTTAGCACTCATTTTGGACCCATACAATTTTATATGCTTGTTAGTGGAGATATCAGGTTGAATGCTGACTATGAGTCTGGAACTCATGGGAAAGCTCTGGGCTACTGATACACAGTTCAGGTTTATCATCATTTAAATAGTATTTAAAACCATGTGATGGATGAAAGCTCCTAATGAACAAGACTGAACAGAAATGAAGATCTGGGACTGAACCCTAGAAGAAGCCAACCATTAAAGAATGTGCAGAGGAGGAATAGCCAACAAAGAAGAGGAAGAAATGCTTGGTGTAAGCAAAAATCCAGGAGAAGAGAATTCACTGGTGACTAAGAGTCCTCTCTAGGACTTTTGCTTTGTTTCTATGGTTTAGATTTTCAGGTTCATTTTTCCATTCCGCAGAATTCCAAAATAGTCTCTTTTGTTATTGCTATCCTTTGGCAGTCTATTTAAGTTCTCTGAATTCTAAGTTCTTCATCTATAAAGTGGGAGGCAAATTTGCGTGGCTGTGAAGATTAAAATATATTAATATATGAAAAGTACTTAACACTGGAGTGTCTAGAATATAAGCACTCAGTAAATTATAGACGTGGTTATTTAAATTTCTGTTATTTCTCAAAACTTCTACCAACTAGTCCAAACTTGAGCACTGTCACAGAAAAAAAAATGCTAATCTTATGACAGTATAAAATAATCTACTCAAAGGATCAAGAAGTTATACATCAAAGTGTTATATATAAAAGAATATTGATTATATAAGAGTTATATATAAAAGAATATTGGTTATATAAAGAATATTGTGGGGCAGTTACTTATGGCTCATGCATAAACCTATTAAAATATTTCCTAAACAAAGGACCGACAAAAAAAGGAGGAGGTGGAATAGCAGAAGCACAAGAACAAATAATTTTACATCAATTTTGCTAGGAAACTAGGACTTTGTCTCAAAATTATAAGTGAAAATCTTTCTCTAATTTTTTGTGCAAAAAAAAGTACTAATTCGGAAAAGATATAAAAGTTTTACCTTTGAAACTCTATATAAAATAATTTTTAAAAGGTATGGCATAAGTGGCAATATAATAGAGACTGTAGAAAGACAGTACTCAAAGATTATGACCATTACTGGCACACATGAATTTATCACAGAATTTCAGGTTTTAAAGGAAGACTTTGGCAAGAGTTATCAATGTAATTCCATTAAAACATGTGACTTTGTGACACAGGGCTTATTGATTATTGTGTTTAAGAAGGAACAGGGCAAGACTTCAGAAATTGAAAGCTCTTAACACTATTGAATTCAGACCATAAAATATTTGTGGGGATTTTATTGCAAAGACAAACGGTTGTATCCAACAGAACGATATGTGGAATCTAAATTCTGTGCAATAAGAGAATAATAGCTGACTGCCTAATCTCCTGTATAGAATTAGTAGGACACACTAGAAGGGTAAGATGGATTGGTTTCCTCATAAGTCTACATTAGGAAAATGCTTTTGACTATATACAACATTCTATATGTTCAGTGATGATGTACACAAACGAGCATCCATTCTAATGTGTTAGATATATGAGAATAATATGGTTAGCAAATAAAAATAGGTGAAGTTGACAGGACAAGAAATAAATAGCATGTCTGTGACAGATGCAAGTGCATAGCTGTGAGTTTCCACTGTTTACAATGGCAATAGATGGAGACAGATAAATTTTAACTATGGATAATCCTTAAATGATTATGGAATACCACTAGTAAAGACATTAAATTCTTGAAATTCTTGATGGGCATTTGGTGGCCATTATTCTCATCGCATTGTAGAAACTTTGTTGTTGTTGTTGTTTGTTGTTGTTGTTGTTTTGAGACGGTATTTCACTCTTGTTGCCCAAACTGGAGTGAAATGGGGCAATATCGGCTCACTGCAACCTCTGCCTCCCGGGTTCCAGCAATTCTCCTGCCTCAGCCTCCCAAGTAGCTGGGATGACAGGGGCTCGCCACCATGCCTGGCTAATTTTTTGTATTCTTAGTAGAGATGGTTTGTTTATTTATTTATTTATTTATTTATTTATTTATTTATTTTATTTTTGAGGCGGAATCTCACTCTGTGCCCAGGCTGGAGTGCAGTGGTGTGATCTCGGCTCACTGCAAGCTTCGCCTCCTGGGTTCACGCCATTTTCCTGCCTCAGCCTCCTGAGTAAATGGGACTATAAGCACCTGCCACAACACCCGACTTATTTTTGTATTTTTAGTAGAGAGAGGGTTTCACCATGTTGGCCAGGCTGGTCTTGAACTCCTGATCTCAAGTGATCCACCCACCTAGGCCTTCCAAAGTGCTGGGATTACAGGCGTGAGCCACCACACCCAGCTTGAGAAGTTCTTTATAACCTCAATTGCCTACCCAGAGGTAGGTTATCAATCATTAATAGTATTTTTCTAAATGCTGGATGACTAACAGTCTAGAGGACAACGGTGAACACTGGCCTATAGTGGAAATTCCAATGTTTTTCTATATTTACAAGGGTCTTGGAAATTACAGTGTCCTCGCTCCATCTTTGGATTTTGGTCAGAGGTCCTAAAAGAGGACATACCTCACAGATTGCTTTTAAGTAAGAACTTTAATAGTTGCATTAAGGAATCCCAGATCTAGATCCCGGCATGGAACACAGCAAAGTATTACCAGGGTCCAGGATTCGGAGACACATCTGAACCCAGAGAAGAAAACTTGGGCAAGAATAGTCTGTTAGCCCAACTCATTCCAACTCTAAATCACGAGTCCACTTAATGAATGTTTACTAAACATCTAATATATGTCATATGCTTTGCTAAAAACTCAAGACAAAATGGTGAACAATACAGTTGTTATCTATAGTTTAATTCTAGTATTGTGAACGACACTGACACACAATGACAAATGCTCAGTACAATGTAACATGTTCAATGGTAGAGGTGATCGGAGTGTTTTGGATGCATATGGGTAAAGGTATTAGCCTACTTTTGTTGGTCAGAGAAGACTTTTCTCATGTACAAAATATCTAGGCTGAAAGCAAAAGGTTAAGGAGTGAATCAGACAAGACAAGTGAAGCAGAGAGAAGAATATTCCAGGCAGAGAGGGTAGCACGTGCAAAAACCTGAAAGTGAGAAAGAGCAGGCATAGAAAGAGAATTTGAGCTAGTTAAGTATGGCTTAAGCATAGTCCCTGAAAAGCCAAGAAACTCCTCCAAATTCAAGTGAGAGATAATTGATTTATATATATATACATATATATATATATGTATATGATAATTTGAGAGCCTAAGGTTCTTACATGCATTTACAATACTTAAAAATAGGTGCTGTCAATATTTTCCTATATGCCACCACAGGGTTTACGTCCTAACAATATACTCCAAAGTCAACTAAAACACAGGTCAGACAGCTATTCCAGAAATAGCTGTATATTTCTGGAAAAATGCAAAGCCATCACTCTCATTCACTCACAATGCACTAAAATGGTCATTTCTTAAAAGAAATTCTTACCATCAATTATCCTACTTTCTTGCATCATATTTGCACAGTTCAGAGTATATACAGAGGAGAAGAATTGAGAAGGGGCCAGAGATGGTATGACAAACGATAACAGGAACAGCTTACATCAAGGTAGGTATAAAATGTAAATGTTGCACAATAAACCTCTGTGAACCACTTCTAATCACTAGAATCAGCAGGTTTATGTTCTTTGACAGATTCTTGGAATTAAGAAAATTACACTCAAGATGGTCTTTTCTGTATAGTATTTTCTATTTTGAGGTTTATTGAAAATGTACATTTTAATCAGGTGAGTGAACAGACATCAATTTATAAATGACACTGCCAAATTATTTTCACTAGATACTTTCTAAATACTACATTTTCTGAGCAACGTCATGTACTGGGCCTATCAACTAGCAGACTGTGGCTAATCAATTCTAAGTTACTAAGCTTAGAGCATTAGCTTTCTTGCTTGGGCTTTTCAATCAGATATCATATACAGCTGAATTTATCTTTCCTTTGTTTTTTGTACGTAGAAACATCACTCTCTAGTTGACATTTGTACCCTAATTTTACTATACAAACTGTAACTTGAGTAGGAATCATAAGAGCTAACATTACTTAAGAGCATATTATATATAGCAGGAGCTCTTAGCAGAGATCTGCGTGTAATAACTTATTGAAATCTTAATTTTGCAGATAACAATTATTATCTGAAAGAGTCTGAAAGATCATCAAATCCCTGACTTAGATTTTTTTTCTATACTACTTTGGATCTGTTCAGTAGATTCAGCCAAGCAGTTTGAGATCAGAGGTACGGCATTTGCTCAACAGTTTCTGGCTAGCAATACAAATGTTGTGCTGTTTCTATGTTAGTCAGTTGAAACCCATGGAGCATACATGTGGCCAGATCAGCCACATCAAGTCATCAAATTCACTTTTCCAGTCTTGCTTGATTCAGGAGAAACATTTGTATCTTTTAAGGAAATGGAAAAATACCTCAAAATAGGCAAGTGAATGAAGAAAACGCATAGAATTTAGTTTTGTTCTAACCTCTTTACAGTTAATTGTGTTATTGAGTGTTGTTAGGTTTTACAAATCTCTACAAGGCAAAGGAACTCAGAGAGATAGAGTATGAGATTTATTAATAAATATACCTAACACTGATGCAGGTGGAGTTTTCGAACTATTAGCTAAGCACCCATCACAACTTTCAAACACTTCTAAAAATTTATTCTGTTTGCATTTTTTCATTGTAACTAATCTCTACCACAACCCTTCTTTATGTTCCTTTTTCTTGCTCAGATCAGAGTGAGCTTTATTGCCTCTGTTCTCCAATCAGAAAGTGCATATACCACAGACACGTTTCCTTTGCTTCTGTATGCACATACATCAAAACCTGTAGTTGACAGAAACAAACTTTTGAAAAATATCACTGATCCTAAAATAAAATGCCGTTGATTTCTGCCCCTATCTGACCCCTTAAAACTGTGATCTATCATTTCCCAGGTGCCAGTAACAGACTAAAGAAATAAAAACAAGTAATTGCATTTAAATGATGCCTTTTCAGATTTAATTAATTCACAGTGGCATGTAAAAACAAATGTATAGTTAAAAGATCAGTTTCGATAGATGTAACACTTTGCTTTTCAACCATAGTAAAGATACAAAAGCAAAACAAATGGCATATGTATAATAAATGCAGTTCTGATTTTTCTAGATACTAAGCTGTCAGGGAAATTCAGTTCACTCCATAAATTATAACACAACATATAATACCTATAACTTTTGGTTTCCTTTAAAGATTAAAACAAAAGAAACCAACATTAAAATATTGGGTGCTACACTAGAGGTGTTTACATACATTAGCTCACTTAATGCTCATATAAACCTTAGAAGGTTGACATTATAATCTCCATTTTATAAATGAGGAGAGTGAGATTCAAAGAAGTGAAGTGACTTGTTCAACACCATAAAGAAAGTTGGTAAGTGTTATAAACAGAATTTGTACCCAAATCTTCTGACTACATCTTTCCCCTTAGCCATTCTGTTAAAAAATAACTCTCTGCACCGCGTTTGCATATGTAAAGAGAGGATAGAAGAGGGAAGAGTTAGCAGAGAGTTAGACTGACATGCAGAGAACAGTAAAAAAAAGGGGGAATTGTACCCCTGAACAAACAATATATTCATTTTCCATTTTCTGCACTATTTAAGTACAAACTAGTCTCACTGGTGTCATGGGTAAAATTTAGTTTGGATGATTACCAAAATGTTTCTGTGGAGACTTAGTGGGACAGCTGCTTTAATTCTAAACTGTTTTCTACTGTTTTCACTGGGTGGCAGATATTAGAAAAGCTAAGTATATAGCAGTCTCTGACTTCAAATTAAGCAGTAATGAATGCAGATTTCCATGAAGATTCCACGAGTTAGTAATTACAGTTTTATTGCTATTCGAAATGGTGAAATAAACTCAGTCTCCACTGTCCCATACATGTAATTGATGAGTTAATTTGTCTTCAGCACTCTCGCTGTTCTAATATTTCTCCATCTATGCCATGAAAATTAATAGGATGCAAAATGTATAAAATTATATCCACTAAAAAAAATCACTGTACAGTACCAGGGAGGCATATTTATTTCATCTGTAGATAGTATGGGGTCACCATCTTTTTTCCCCTTTCCCAGTGACATTTTCAGATTTGACATTTTGTGACATTTTCAGTTTAATATTGCTAATACCCTGGCTGCAGAATTAAAAGTACACCCCAAGGAAGGGTTGAATGCAGACATATCAGGAGAATATAACTGTTTCTTACCCTTCTAACAACTGTTTTTATGTAAACAATGCACACATTAAGAAGAAAGAAACAACTCTTTTTGTCCTTATTTTTTTCTTGTGGGTGGGGGAATTTATTCCAGGCTCCCAGAAGGGTAACTCTTCATTAGAACCTTAATGTACAAAGAACCAATGTGAGATCTTACCAGTGTGTTACTAAGGGACCACATGACAAATGTCTAAAGTAGAGATTTGGTGAAAGGTACTTGAAATGCAGCAGGTGAAGCATCTGCACCTAGCTAAAAACAGCTGAAGAGACGGCTCTGCAATTATGATTCAGGAGCAACAGGAGTCCCTACACTATATATCCCTAACTGATGAATAAGCCACAATGTTAATTGAATGCTGATGCTCACTGACATTTATATAGGGTTCTGTTTGATGAATGAAAGGTTAGGTTCATTTTTCTTTAAGTGTAGTTGATAAGTTTCATCTGACTGTCCCTTGTGATACCTGTGGACTCCCATTGCATTCCAAGGATGCCACGCATCACCTCCCTAGCCCCCACTCACTGCTTACTTCAATTTGTCTGTGAGCAGTGCAATTTCTCACTAGGAAGGAGAATATCCTTACTAGATTCCATCATTACTATTGCATAAGAGATATATGGGTAATATCAAAGCTATGATTCTTGGCATTTTTTCAAGGCCAAATTAAATATCCACCCACAATTATTCCATTCTTCCTGTTCCCACTGTCACTACTCTACAATCTATTTGAAGAATTAAGCCCCTCTCCAACTTCCAAATATAGGCATTTATAGGAGTGATATTAGTACTTGAGATAGAGACAAAGGACCTGAGGTGAACTCACACAGAGGACAACTAGAATATACCAAATCAAGTGAAAAACTGAGACAGGTTTTAGGAAAAAAAAAAAAAAAAGCTTGCACCTAATCCATTTTGATGTTAGTTCTAGGAGCCGCTGGCTCATGTGAGTGTTCTCCTTTAGGCTCCTCAGTTTATACCTTGGTGCAGACACAAAGTCCTCTCAAGCAAAGTTAACATTTGCCAAATGCTAATCACTCTCTCACAGAACTTCTAGAGGCAAACAATACCACAGAAAAACTGCGGCCCTGGAGGGACCTGAGCCTGCTGTGGGATTCATTCTGTTGAAATTTCAGATTATAAAAGTCATATAAACAAAGCAATGACCTTTCAGTCTGCTAGATGCTGTGCCCTACTGGCCATAATGTTGCAACCAAAGGTTTATAGAGAACAGCTGTAATAGTGCAGCTGAGAATGTGCAGCTACTTGCCACTGTCGGTAAGCTTGAGTTTAGCATTACTAATGTTTCTTTATAAATAATATCAGGCATAAGCTCACTATTATTTTCCTTTGCTGCATAGTTTTTGTTTGTTTGTTGTTGTCATTGGTGGTGGCATTTCTAACGGTTAAGCTATGTGCTTTGCAGAGACTAGGTTTGAAAAGCTCCCGTTTTGTTGTGATTTTACTAAACATCCGAATGTAAATGATAGCAGGATTTTTTTTTTCCCTTCAGCATCAGTCTTTTGTTTACCTTACTTTTTATGTGTGGTTAGTATAATCAAACAATGCATATGCTTCCATCTATTTTCATTGTTTGGCAATAGTTTCTCTATTACACTTATTTAAGATGTACTCGATGTTAAGTTATATTGAAAATACATTTCTTAAAGATAGAAATTTTATAAAAAAATAATTTTGAGGCTTCTGTTTTTTCAAGTACTCTGATATGAAAGATAATTGGAGGATTCATATGTAACAGTGAGGAGTGACCATGTTAGGCCATAATAGCCTTCTTTTTTTTTCCTACACTGTGACAAAGAGATGATTGCTATGACTATTTATTCCAATCACACCGTAGTCATATATCACTACATTGTAGCCACAGACTTCTAAGAAGGAAATACATATTTATTAAAACATAAGCACAATATAATCATTAATATAGCAGATATTGGAACTAACAGTTATATAATCCAGGGAAGGATGTCCTATCAAATTAGTAAATCAGTAATATTTTTATAACCTATTCAAAAAAGAAGGTTCTTTTTGTTTACAGTACAGAGAAAAGTTACGAAGACAAGAATAATACTTGTTTGAAAGGGATTAACTAGCCATAGCATCCATAGACAGATATTGGATACGTAGATATTGGAGAAGGTAAATGAAGGAAACAGTTAATTTCACCAGTGCCTTGTGTGTAGCAACGTACTGTATTTGGCTCTGAAATATAAGTTATGTGAACAACTGAAATGTTTATTTTCTTTTCCTTAAGCAGGTTAATATGCTGAAGACAATGATGTATTTGCACAAAGCACATATGTAGGAATGAATAACTTTGTACCTAGATAGGAAAAATAAATTTATACCTTTTAATAATACATATGTGACTACACACACACATAGGTGTTTTATAAGCATGCTATATACATGAGAGAAACATGGCTCAAATATTAGAAATAATTAAGTTGACATGGACATCTGGATTTCTATAAACTCCACTTTCAATATTTTTTCCTTTTTCTTCCTTTGTGTTCCTGGGTCCTAGTTAGGCATTTTGTATGTTTTTGAATGGGGTTGCTATTATGAGACACTGGGGAATAAAAGATACATAAAATATAATTCTTCACCTCAAGAAATTTCTAGAATGAACATCTAAAATAAAACAATGTACAGTGTGCAGAAAGTTAACATAGAGGCACAAATGAAGGGCTAGGAAATTATGATACAGAATACAGATGGTATATAATCTGTGTGATAAGTAAGATTTATATAGGTAAAAAGGAAGTCAAGAGAAAATAAAAGCCATGAGGGCAAAAAATTTCCAATGTTTATAGCTTGGTAAGATAGATAACTGTTTTGTAAGCTGCCTGTAAATCTTTTTTGTAGAGTTATCATATAAATTGAAAAAAGAAAGAAAATGTAAATAAAGACTACAAACAGAATTTGGCCATTGTCTTAGGAAACAAGAGAGCAATATCAAAGTTATCTTGAGACAAGAACAAAAACTTATGAAGTAGGTGACAAGAAAGCACAAACAGAAAGAAATCCATAAAGGTAGAAGTTGAAAGGTAGATAATAAATGATAAAAGACAATACAGAATATGGTAGGTGTTAGGAAAATTTAAATTTTTAATCCTTTCTTTTTATGCTTTAGAAATAATTGAGTTTAAAAATGTATTCTCTCAGCAAAACCTATTACTAAATTTTTTTTTAAAGAAAGAGATATAGAAGTAATGAAATTGAGTGGATATCTAAATCATAGGGAGAAAATGAATTGCCAAAAGATAAAAATTATCATTAGGGTACACTGGTTCAAGAAGGCATAATAAAAATTTAAAAATAGTTATTAAACTACATTTTAACATTCTACATATCAAAACTTGCGACATGTGTATATGCTGATTTTATACAGAATTTTTGTAATTTAAATGCACATCTTTACAGAGAAGGTTAAAAATTAATTATCTAAACATTCGTCTTAAGAAAAGGAACAAAATTAATCCCAAAGATAGTAAAAAGAAGAAAATGATAAAGAAATGCACAGAAATTAACTAAATAGAAAAATACAACAGAAAGGATAGTCAAACACTTGTTTAATTGCTTGTTTAAAAAAAACGAATAAACTTGATAAACCATGGGGAAACTGATGAAGAAAAATGTAAAAAAAAAAACACACAAATACCAAGAATACAAAAAGGGAGACCATTATACATCCCAAAATATTAAAATAACCCTAACGGGACATTACATACTAAAAATTGGAAACTAGATGAAATGCACAAAGGCTGAAAAAAGGACAACGTAATAAAACAAACACAAAACAAAACAGACAAGATGAACAGTTCAGTATTTTAACAATATATTTAATCTAAAATTAAGAATCAGCTTATACAACAACAACAAAAAATATCTGCCTAATGGCTTCCGCAGCACATTCTGCCAAACATTTAAGGAAGAAGTCACATCAATCTTTCATACAGTCTCCCACTAAATAATAAAAAAGATTACCCAAATTATTTTATGAGTACAGCATGACTCTGATACCAAAAATAATTAGAAAGAAAAATTGATAAACAAATCTTTCATAAACATAAATGCAAAAATTTTAAACAAGTATTGGAAATTCTAGCCAATAATATATAAACAGGCCAAAATATCAGGAACAATTTGTGTTAATTCCAGGAATGCAAAGTGGATTCTTTTTTAAAATCAATCAGTGTAATTCACCACATAAATAGAACAAAGAAAAGAAATAACATATTATCACCATAATAAAGGCTGTAAGCCATTTGATAAAATTCAACCTCAATTCTCAACTTTTAAAAAGCATCCTTGCTTAGAAGCAAGGTTGTGAAGAAATTTAAACCCTTGTGCACCATTTTGTTGAGAATGTAAAATGTTGCCACCTCTCTGGAAAACAGTGTGGCAGTTTCTCAAAACAATATAAAGAGAATTCCCATTACCAGAAGCAGATCCACTTCTGGATATAGACCTGAAATAATTGAAAGCATGAAAACAGATATTTTTCCACTCATTTTCAAGGAAATATTATTTACAATGAATGGCCAAAAGTTAGAAGCAACTCAAAGGTCTATCAACGATGAATGCATAAACAAAATGCCATGCACACCTACAATGGAATATTTTTCAGCCTTGAAGGAAATTCTGATACATGCTACAACATGGATGGACATTGAGGGCATGTGAAGTGAAATAAAATAGACACAAAAGGGCAAATAATGTGTGATTCAACTTATATGAGGTATATAGATTAGTAGTTAAATTCACAGAGGCAGAAAGAAGGGGGGTGGTTGACAGGGGTTGTAAAAAGGGGTGAATGAAAAGTTATTGTTTGATCAGTACAGAATGTCAGTTTTGTTAAGAAGAAAAGAGTTCTTGAGATGGACGGTAGCAATGGTTGTACAACAATGAATATACTTAATGCCACTAAATTGTACACTTAAAATTCCTTAAGATAATACATTTCATGCTATGTGTATTTTACCACAATCAAAAATAATTAATGAATGAAAAAAAATTTTGCAAACTGTGAATGAAAATTTCTCCTTAATTAAAGGTTATTATAAAAAAAACCCATATAAGCATTTTATTTAATTTTAAAGTATTGGAACCATCATGAACAAAAACAAATCAAAAGTGTAAGAACTGGAAAAAAATAAAACTCTCAATATGCAAATATGTTATGTGTTTTCAAAAAAAAAGAAAAAACCGAAAATTTTACAACTAAATTACTGCCTAAATCATGGGTTTAATAAAGTTGCTTATACAACATCAATATATAAAAATTAATTGCATTTCTATGTATCAGCAAAAGTATTCAGAAGTAAAATATAAAAGGTGCCATTTATAATATCCTAAAAATACCAAATAATTAGGAATTAATCTATTAAAAAGATACGTATACCTCTTCTAGATAATTATAAAACATTATGGAGGAATAAGATCTAATCAACAAAATAATGAATCATGTTTATTGACAGAAGATTTAATATTGTAACGACATAAATTCTACTACTCATTTATAGATTCAATCTCAATCAAAATCTCAATAACTGTGCGAATGTTTATATACTGACAAGTGAATTCCTAAATATATTTGGGAATACCAAGGCACAAGATAGCCACAACACTCCTTAAGATGTCTAATGGACTTACTATACCAGATGTTGCTGTTTATTTTATAGCTACTGCAAATTTAAAAGTTTCTTTTCTTTTTGCGTTAGTTCTTATAACAGGTTTACATAAACACATTTAAAAGATAGATCTAAGCATGCTTTAAGAATTGATTATATGCTATTTTCTTTCAGTGAATGGAACTGTTTAACAAAGAAAGAAATTTAAAAGCAAGCATTTAAAAAAAAAAAAAGAAAAACCATAGTAATTGGGAAGAGATAGACAAATAGAAAAACAGACTGGAACAGAAAATCCAGAAACAAATCCATAAAAGCATAGAAATCCATTGTTGATGGGTGTGAAATTCCAGAAATAGCACTTTGGATAACTGTTTGATTCTATCAAATAAAGTTCAAGATATGCACACTCTTTCACTCAGCAGTTACACTCCTGGTTATATATACAACGAATAGAAATGTGAGCAATTGTGCACTACGAGACATAAACAAGAATTTTAATCATTGCATTGCTTGTAAGAACCCAAAACAGGCCACAACCCAAACATTAATCAACATTATAAATGATTTTTAATGTGCTATAATCATATGAAGGGATATTATATATCAATGACAATAAACAGTTACATGCAACATTATGGACAATTTCACAAAGATAACATGTAGCAAACTAAGCTAGACTTAAAAGAATACATGCTGTATGGTTCCATTTAAATTAAGCCCTAAAAATAATAAAGCTGAACTCTAGTGTTTAGCAGTACATGATTAGGTGATGAAATTATAAACAAAAGGAAGCAATTATTAGTGAGGTGGGACATGTACTAATGATTGATTAGAGGTGTGAGGGGTATTCTGCTATCTTACCAGTGTCTGATTACATGATACCGTTGGTGATAAAAGGTGACAGATTTGTAACAAACAAGGAGCTATTCATTTTGTTTAATTAATTTGTAGTATTTCATAATAAAATGGCTAAAAATTAATTGTAAAAAATATGGGCTACTCAAATAACAGATGTTAAAAGAATGCCTAAAATGTATCTTAATGATATGAGGAAATGTTACTTCTTTTACTAAATCCTTTTATTGTACTTTATTACTGGTCCTCCTGGCTATTAGAAAAACTGAGAGACACTAGCAGGGATTTATTGATACCTGGAAAACACTAAAGTCCTAAATGCCATCAATTTTCGCTCCAGGAATGGAGTTAGATTTCATAGTGAATGACTGGGAAAGAAGATTTAAACGTCTTCAGCTGCTGCTGCTGCTTCTTTTAAATCTCTTAATTATGAACAAGCATTTCTATTTCAAGGTCCAAACAGTGATTCTGAAACCACCTGACTCCTCTTCAGTATGATATAAATTTCATCTCTAAAACCACTTTGAGGTGGGCGACTCTTGTTCTTGGTTAGCAAATGAGTTCATAGGCTTGGAAGTACCCAGTGTAGGGAACTTAGCTTACAGAGTAGTATGTAATGTTTCAGTGTCTATACACAATTGACAGAGATGGTACAAGCCATGAATAGCGGAGACATAGAGAAATGGGGCATCAGGCTGCCACTTAACAAATTCACTTGATCACATCCCTCCCCATAATGTTTAGATTACAAAGCAGATATTCTGCCCCACTGACACTTCTCAGGTCTCATCCCTTCTGAGACTGCTTGTATGAGTTGTACTATCGGTCCGTCCTCACATTGCTATAAGGAAATACCCAAGACTGGGTAATTTATAAAGGAAAGAGTTTTAATTGACTCACATTTCAGCATGGCTGGGGAGGCCTCAGGAAACTTACAATCATGGCAGGAGATAAAAGGGAAGCAAAACACCTTCTTCACAAGATGGCAGGAAGGAGAATTGCTGAGCGGAGGGAAAGAACCACTTATAAAACCTCAGATCTCGTTAGAACTCACTCACTATCACGAGAACAGCATGGGAGAAACCACCCCAATGATTCAATTACCTGCACCTGGTCTCTCCCTTCACACATGGAGATGATGAGGATTATGTAGATTACAATTCAAGATGAGATTCAGGTGGGGAGAGAAAAACCTAAGTATATCAAGTCATGCACCGTTTAGTACAAGACTTAGCACTACCCCTCTTTTGCATCACAGATCTGTTCAGATGGATATCTGCATATCGTCATGCTCCTGCCCAGATGAAGACAGGCCAAAGACTTTTGTTCACAAACCATTGAATTGCCTCCAATGCAGAAAGATTCACTGATGATACCTTATGCTATGAAGAGAAGTATGAAGAGAAAACCACAGCCTTTTGTTAAAAAGAATAAATGTATAAAAACAAAAGACATCCATTATATGCAAAAGATGCTTGCAAACCTATGTTTAGAGCAGCACAATTTGCAATTGCAAAAATATGGAACCAGCCAAAATGCCCACCAACCACCTAGTGGGTAAAAAAAAAAATTGGCATATATACACCATAGAATGCTATTCAGCCACAAAAAAGGACAAAATAATGGCATTCGCAGCAACCTGGATGGAGTTGGAGATCATTATTCTAAGTGAAGTAACTCAGGAATAGAAAACCAAATATTGTATGTTCTCACTTATAAGTGGGAACTAAGCTATGAGGACACAAAGGTATAAGAATGATATAATGGACTTTGGGATCGGGGGAAGAGTGGGAGGGAGGTGAGGGATAACTGACTATATATTGGGTACAGTGTACACTGCTCAAGTGACAGGTGCACCAAAATCTCAGAAATTACCAGTGAGGAACTTATCCATGTAAGAAAACACCACTGTTCCCCAAAAACTATTGAAATAAAAATTTTTAAAAAGGACATCTCTCGTGGGCATATATGTTTTGATGTGTGGAAGGAAGCACAAAATCTGAAGTTGATCATGGGCAATTGATCATACAGAAGCTGGTGGGATATAAAAAAATAGAAATATTATTAGCCAAAGTGGAATGATATGTGGCTTAAATTTACAAACCCCCAGGTCCACACTGTATTCTGAAACAATAGGATGGTAAACTCAAGTTAAAAGTGCCTTCATTTGTTTAACAACCAGAAATATGTTCCTTTCTTTAGGGCAACCCTATGGAGGGTTAAGCTGATCTGCTGTGCTGAGTAAACAGAGGGCTGCTCACCGACAGCATCTGCTGGGGACTTGGGAAAGCTGTTTTCTCTTAATAGATACCATTTTCCATTTTTATTTCTTCTGGTGTGTAAACTCTTAAAGAAATGATGCATTGCATGGAAATTCATCCACAGCTGAGAGTGCAAATAAGGGAAGAAAAACAAAATCATAAAAGACATTAAAAGGTACATTTCAGAAAGCAAGTTTACTCAGTTTCTTAGGCAATGAAGCATTCATGTTTTCAATTTTAACAGAGAGGCAGAAAATATGAAAACAAAGTGATTCCTAGGGAAAAGACATGGCTGAAAAAAGTTGGTTATTTTTAAACTTTTCCCCTTAAGAGAAAGGAAAATAATGCAGCTGTGGATTTTAGTGGTCTCCTGAGAGTGTCGGCATTCTTGCGATTTGTGTGTAGGAGGCAAACGTTTGCTAAACTATTTGGGGAAGAATGTGCATATACGATAAAGCAGCAGGAAGCATGTATCGTATTTACCATCCCATAGCTGACAGTTCTTTGTTACACTGCAGTACATCAACTGTGATGTACTGGTCGATAATGGTGAGCTATATTTTGGGAAACCAGTGGCTGGTTCAAAACTAATTCTCTGAAAACCAGAATATATTGTTGAAAATGCACACCTTTTTGATATTTACATATATTTAGATGCCTGATATGTAATTTTACCATGTTGGTCTCAAGAACACTCATTTAAGCAATTCCTTTTGTGACAGAGAAATGAGATTGATGAAATTTCCAGACATTAAAGCATTTTCTCTGCACCTACTAACTGATGCATGATTTGGAATTCATTGATCTTAGCAAAGCTTAGACATAAAATGAAGAATAGTAAAATATCTCCTTCAATCTTTGGCTGCAGTCTTTCAAATACGTAGGTGACCTTTTTTCCTTTTCAGCTAAAAGCTCTTTAAACACACACACATTTATGGCATGTAGTGCTAATGAGACATCATTGATTTTCAAACTGGTTTTACTTATATTAGATATGAATACCTAGAAACATATACCAAGTCACACATTCACTGTAGGCAGCTTTTTAAAAAGCTGTATTTTCTAGGTAAATAAAGTTCTCTGTTATAAGAAAGTATATAGCTTTATTTATTTGAATAATCAGTAATGTCTTAAGGACTTTATTGGATCCACTTGGATAAACTGGGTTAATGTGGTCCTTTGTTTCACACAAGAGAAAGGTGTATTTAATAATAGCGATTAATAAATGAAAACTGATATTTAAAGCTTGCTATATGGCGGCTACTATACTAGGAATTTTACATGCCTTATCTCAACAAATCTGCACCTTAACCCAATAAGTATATTATCCCCACTTTAAAATTTAGTTTTCCAAGGTCAGCATATAGGCAGTGGTAGAGTTGAAATTAAACCTAGAATGCTTTGAATCTAGAGCTTGTGTTCCTATACTGCACTCCCTGTGAATAACTAAGTTAAAAGAATAGGGCTCTTAGCAGGGCAAAAACTTGACCTGTCATGAGAAGAAACTGCACTGGGGGCTGAGTGGCCCCAAGTGCCAATGTGACTAAAGCCATTGTCATTCAGACAACCCAAGTTCACTGAAGGTACCCTCCGCTCTAGGGAAGAAGAGTCAGTGGCATTTATCATGTGAGTGAATATGTATCTTGAGTGATCAACTATTTATTTGAGAAACATAAAATTTGTATTGTTCTAGCAACTAAGGCCAAGTGCCAAAGATGAGATATTGTACTAAGGGATTGGGCGAGGTGTCTCAAAAAATGTCAAGTCTTGGCACAAATTGTGAAACACTTGACACTTCAAAATTATTCCTAATTTCTTATGTGACACATATAAAATCTCAACAAAATCAAATACAAATTACCAGAGTGATTTGATATCCTCCTACTTTAGAAAAGACAATAGTAGGAAATCAAATGCATACCAAAGATACATGTTTGGCTCAATGTTTCATACATTGTGCATATTTTACTTTTATCATCTTTTTAAAATAAAAATTTCAAATCTTTAAAGTAACACTATATTACTTTTGTGTTTTGTATTTAGAGACAAGAAAGCGAAATCATTCATTTTAGAAAAAAATTACAAAGCCATTACAAAACTGTATGGATTTTATATCTTGCGGCAGCTATTCGTATTAACACTCTCATTATCAAGAGTATTTAGTTAACCAGAACATCTCCTTTCTCACAAATAATAGTTATTATATTTAACTTTTTATTGAAGTAAAAATACAGACAGTGAAGTAGACAATTCATAGGTGCACAACTCATTAAATAATTGCAAGGGAATATATGCCTGTAACTACCACACAGGCCAAGAAGTTGTTCATGTGTAACACTCTGGAGCCACTCTTAGACCACCATTATTTTGACTATTAAGTCATAGATCATTCTGGCTTATTTTTAAAATTTTTTACAAATGAACTCCTACAATATGTATTTATTTACTATGTCTGGCTTCCTTGGCTTAATACTGTGGAATAATTCAACATGGTATTACATTTTCCTCATTCATTTTTATTGCCATATGTTATTTTACTTTCATGAATATAACAAAATTATCTTATTTCTTCTGACACTGACTGAAATTTTAAAAATTTGAGTGGTTTCCAGTTTGGGGTTATTATGTATAATACTGACATAAATGTTATTGCACACATCTTTGGTACGTAAGTACACTCACTTAAGGCATGTATACAAAGAAGCAAAACTACTGTGCTATAGGAAAATTGTTTTTCCAACTTCAGTAGATAATACCACACAGTTTTCCAAAATGCTTGTACTAATTTACACTCCCAACGTTTATGAAAATTCCAGTTGTTTCATATTCTCACTTGGCATCATTAGTCTTTACAATGATGTTTAAAGTGTATGATATCTTATTTTTAATGAGTATAAATAAAAAGATAAATTTAGGATTTGCTCTTTAAATATTAATTTACAGAGACAATCACTATAATAAAGGAGCTAATCTTAGATCTTAGAAGTACAGATTTAAGGATCCAATGCCTTTGAGCCTCTTTCTGCTGCTTACTGTCTTCATGGTCATTAGCACGTTTTTGCCTTTCTAAGTCTCACTTTCCTTATCTTAAAAATGAGACTAATACCTAAAAGGGTTGTTGTGGATTAAAATAGTCAATGCTGTAGCCTGGGCACAGGGGCTTACGCCTGTAATCCCAGCACTTTGGGAGTCTGAGGCAGGTGGATCACAAGGTCAAGAATTCGAGACCATGCTGGCCAACATGATGAAACCCCATCCCACCAAAAATACAAAAATTAGCTGGGCATGGTGGCGTGTGCCTGTAGTCCCAGCTACTCAGGAGGCTGAGGCAGGAAAATTGCTTGGACCTGGGTGGAGGAGGTTGCAGTGAGCTGAGATTGCGCCACTGCACTCCAGCCTGGTGACAGAGTGAGACTCCATCATATATATATATATATATATATATATATATATATATATATACACACACACACATACACACACACACACATACATATATAGTAAAATAAAATAGTCAATGCTTATTAACTGCTTGGCATAGTAGCAAGAAAATAGAAATCATTCCAATCTTATTATTACTACTGAAAAGCATTCTGATATTGGCTGAAACCTCCAAGCGACCAATAGGAATCCAAATATTATTCTAATAAGTCCTCTATTTTCCTAATTTATAAAAATCAAGATAAGGAAGAATTGTAATCATTTTCTCATGCTAAGAAGTAACATTTATTAGCCACAGATTTAATCACATGTTCATAAATACACAATGGTATTCCACAAAGGTTAAGAGCAGACTCTGGAGCCAGAGTGCAATTGTTAGATCCTAACTTCAGCAGCACCTATAAACTGGGTGACCTTAAACTCACATTTGACCTCTCTTTGCTCCTGGTTCTCATCTACAGAATGAGATAAAAGTAGAGTCTCTCTTATAGGGGCTATGTGGGTTATATGCTATAAATATTGGTAAAACACTTGAATTCTAAAACATAGTGAGCACTAGCAATAGACAGAGCTAATGCTGTATGTCAGTAGCTTACTCATTTTTAACCACCTAATGCTGATACTCAAGTACAATCAATAGAATCTGATTCAATAACAGCTGACATCTCAAAACTCTCTTACACCTCTTGGGTGTCAAGATAAAATTTTCTACTCTGCCAATATGATTTTCATAGATTATTGTTTAGGAGATTGTGTACAACTTAAAATGGTACTAGTATGGTGTGGTGTACAATAAGACCCCCTCAAGAACGGCTAAAAATTGGCATAAATAAGTGGTTCCAACTTTTTGGCATAATGAGAAGATAGGTAAAGGAAGTTACCCTTCTTACATTATGGTACCAAAAATGTTTATGTCTTCCTTTTGCATCCTATACATGATGATTTTAAAACAAAATTAGAATTCAAACTTCTTTTGTCTTCCTCTGTTTAAAAATTTATAAAGTCAGAGCTCCACAGAATCTAAACAGACTCAAAATTTCTGGCCCATCTCCTTGCCTTTGAATAGACAAATATCTGTATCACACAAGATAGATAATAGTTTAATTCCCTTGTAACATTATCTATAAATATACCTATTGTCTCTACTAGACCATAATTTTATTGTTGATATTTCTCCCTCTACACAACATAGACACTTTGAAGGATCTTCCACATAACAAGCAATCAGGAAGTTAACTGAATCACATTCATTTATTCATATCACAAATGCCCAAGACCCCAGAATATAACAACCACAACACATACACATTACTTTGAAGCACAAGGCAAATACAGAATTTACTATAAATGCCAGTAAGAAGTACAGTAGTAGCAGCAGCAATCAAAATAAAAACTTTTAAGAACCACTAGACTGCTGAGTCTTTTACAAGTCTCTCAGTTTTCCAAACTCCTTTATTTTCCTAAAAGCTGGGAAATTGTGTTTTGCCTAAGATAAGCCAACATATTTGGGTCTGTTTCATAATTCTGAACACATGAATTCTAAGCAGCTCAAAACTGGCAGAACACATCCTTCTGTGTCTGATGCATCGCTCCCGTTCAATGAATGAAGATCCAAATAATCAATGGAGGTACTTGTGCTTTGCATAAAAGTAGAATGGGAAAGAAGTAAACCAACATGAAGAAGTTCCTCTTTCTTCAGTTTTATCTCTACCTACCTTTCTACAATGAATACTTTTTAATGTAACTATTAAATTATTCAGGCACTCAAGTATTTACTTATTGAGTATTTACTCTGTCCAAGGGAGTGATCCAGGTAAGTTCTATGGAGATGGATCAAATGCAGTCTATGCCATCAAAACAACAACAACAACAACAACAACAACAACAACAACAAAAACCCTCACATTGTAGAGGGAAGATAAGACAGGCATCTAAATAAATTTAATTCAAGAAATATACATGAGAGAGAACGAAAGATATTATGCTATGAAAAATCAAAAAGATCACCTTTCACTGAGGGACCAGGAAAAATTATCTAGGGAAAGTGTTCAACCTGTGCCAAGAATTATTGAGAAAAGCTTTTATATCCACCTCATACTCTTTCTCTAACAATGTAGATTACTCTAGGCTTTCCCATTCAAGTAAATAAGTCAGCATTTTGCTTTTCCAGCAATTATCATAAGTGATGCTATGATTCATGTGGGAATTTCGTTTGACCCTAATACCCACTTTTCCAGGAAAAGTGTATTTCACTTGGTAACTAGGCTTGTGTTTGGTGAATCTGGTCACGCACAGTAAATGCACAAATGAATGTATAAAACAAGACTATACTTGTAGAAAAATTACTCACTTAGCAATTAATGAGCCTATTTTCATTGATGCCTGAGGCACTTGAAAAAAATGATGGAAATAAATTGAGGCAATTTATTTAGAAAATGCAAAATTGTTCACATGGATGGTATTTGTTACCCATTGCCTTTTACAATGAGACTTTCTCAATATACTTTAGAATATAGTGAATTGGACAATATTTATAGAATAAAAACATAAGAAAAAATCAGGAAAAATTATGAAAAAAGTTGACCTAATATTCAAGATCCAGAAGCTATAATGTAATAAGTGTGAAAAAGAAGAGACCTGCCTGTGGTGATGCAATAGAGAAAAGACTCTGAAGAAATGGGAGAATTTCTAGGGAGAGATTTTCTACACAAATTAAAATGTGCAAGAATATACAGTATGGTGAAAAAGAATAAATAGTATTTAACAATGATATGATTAATTGTAGCTTAGAAATCTTCATGGATATTGGTGAGAGGGGTAAAAGAAAGATTGAGAAAATGGAACCAAGCCCATTTCTTTGCAAATTTCTTAATAACTTTTTATATACATTTTAAAAATAAAAATAATTTTAAGAGCATTATTCCTAGTATCTAATCTAAAATAGAATTTATATGTTGTTCCTCTTACATAGAGCATATTCTTCCCAAAAGTCATCCTGAGATAGGTAAATTACATAATCCAGTCCCACTCCACAGCAGCCTGAAACAGATGTTGTAGAATTCTTTTTAGGAGTGAGTCATGGCTTTTCATGTTTATGTTTCTGTTTTGATGTTTTGGGTAATGGGAAAAATGTCTTGACATATTACTTAATCTGGAGGTTGACATCTCCTTGCCAAATTCAAGGTATTGACAAAACCTACCTGACTGCAACAGCACAAATAGAACCCATTTCTGAATATTAGCGAAATATTTCACAGAATATATGTCAAAGAAGTATTTACCCCCTGAAAATTACATTTCTTAATTATTAGCATTCCATCAAATGGGCTCTAAGAAATCTGAGCAAAAATAACTAAAGCTCCAAAGACAGGGTAGAAAAAGTCTTTGAAATTTGAGACTACAAAGAGAGCACCTAGGAGTTCTCCTGGTCTTGATTCAAGAAAGTCTGTCCCAACATGGATTACCAAAAAACATGGGTACATTTGAAACACAGAAGTCGATAAACAAACTCCAAATGATGACGCTAAAAGCAGAAAATTAAGATAAGAATATTGAACCCGCTCGGACAGACACATTACTGTTTGTTACTTCTCGATAAGAGTTTACCAATTTCTAGGACATACCAGTGAAATAATGTCAGTATCACACTATTACAATATTGATATATGAATTATAGTTTATTTAGTATGCACGTACAAATATAAAGATACATCTGAGAGACAATGGTTTAGAAAGGTAATATTTTTTGTCCATTGACAACGCTCTCAAACACTATGTTGCTGCAAATCTGTCCGGAGGAAAATGCAATCCGTGGGTGCAAGGTTTACATGCAAAAAAATCTTGAGGAAAACTCAAGGGTTTTCCTCCCATATATGCAAATATCTTTTCTACTTCATCATCCCATTTGGTTAATGTTAAAATATTAAATCTGTATTTTGTGATAACTAAAGTAAATATTACTGTGTATGAACAAGTCAACTGAAAGATCCACAATTCCTAGAAATTTTTCCTTTCTCCAGGCACAATTACAAATCAAACACACTACTCTCATCTATGCAAAAATGAGCGAATTAACTAAAGACAGAGTCTAGGCAAGTAATCGGTGTCTATATTGCAGTGTTGCTTTGTTGCTATTGATTTATCATCACTGGACACAGTAGCAGGCATAGAGACAATGTCAAAAATTTAGTTATATTTTATTGTAATGTTGTAGGAGTCATATTCCACGGTGATATTTACAGATTTGTGTATTTGCAAATGCTTAAATGAAATATTGTTCAAAAATGTCAAGAATATTTGGAGTGGTATAAAGGTTATAAGTGTATAAAATGCAAGATTATATTTGTAGTCAAGATTCTGGTGCCTAAATCTGTCTGGCTAGGTGAACAGCAACCTTTAGAGGGATTTGGCTGAACCAGGATCACTTTTTAAACCTTGCTCTTTATGTTATACTCAGATTCTAAAACAGCCTGGAATACACACGCCACTCACTCAGGACTCAAAACAAAGAGTATATGACAATTCTACCCTTACTATGCTTTGTGCCTAAAAATTCTGCCACATATAATTTATCCTGTGCTACTTGTAGAAAATAGTCAAATAACATAATAAGTATAAAAACTGAAAGTGTATTAAAGTACATTTAACATCAGTAGTTTGGGTTCTTAGATCCAGAAACAAATGATATAGTAGAGGCATCAGGGCCAGACGTTTTCACTCTCCAACAGCTGGAGCATTTGAGGGTGCATTTGAGTTTTCCCCACAAGATTTTCATCCATACTTTCATTATTAAGGAGGCTGAGCAAAACTGCATCCGTACTTTGCCACAACTATGCCAAAAAGGAAAAATAATTAGCTAAGTTCTACAAAATTTAGAAGGATTAGTTTTAAAATAGGGGTGATCATTACTGTGGGTGCTGGTTAGTACTTCCTGCTTTTTCTTCAATAACTCTTCATTTCTTTTACCCACTTGATATGTTAGGAAAAAGAGGATACCTGGTGGTGGTGGTGGTGGTTTTGTGTGTGTGTGTGTTCTTTTTCATAAAGCGTTGCTCATGTACTATTTAATGGTCACAGAAGTGGGTCTTGGCAGGGCTACTTAGAGGCATATCTTTTTTTTTTTTTTTTGAGACACAGTCTCGCTCTGTCGCCCAGGCTGGAGTGCAGTGGCACGATCTCGGCTCACTGCAAGCTCTGCCTCCCGGGTTCACGCCATTCCCCTGCCTCAGCCTCCTGAGTAGCTGGGACTAGAGGCGGGTGCCACCATGTCCGGCTAATTTTTTTTTTTTTTTTTTTGTATTTTTAGTGGAGATGGGGCTTCACCCTGTTAGCCAGGATGGTCTCGATCTCCTGACCTCGTGATCCGCCCGCCTTGGCTTCCGAAAGTGCTGGGATTACAGGCGTGAGCCGCCGCGCCTGGCCAAGGCATATCTTATTTGTACCACTTCCTCTCCACTAATGGTGACTGGAACCGTAGAAACTGTCTGGTTTATTACTCAGATTATTTTTCATAACAACTAAAATAAATAGAATTCCAACAGATAGTACAAATAAGCAACCATCGAAATAGAAAGTTTTAACTAATAAGAGTCATTTTCATATATCTCCAGTAAGATGAAAAAATAGGAAAAGACATGAAACTTTTCTATATTAGCAATTTCATTTCAATATTTATCCAAAAATATTTCAAAATTACAGATCAAAATCATCGTAATTCATTTGGCAAGGCTCAGAAAATAATATCTGCATATTTATGAAAAACTCAACTCCATTTTCACATTGTCAATTGATTTTTTTCATATAAAGCATACAATTTTATCATGTTCAATATAAGGACAACTATTGCAATATTTAAGCAAGATATTAACTAAATCAATATTATATTGTAAAAATTATATTACTCTATTATCTAGGTTACTTAACATTTTACAAGCTGTGATAAAGAATTCTAATTCTTTATGAACATATTCTTGCAAGACAGTTTTTTATATATATCGCAAAACCTCAATTTGCTAGTATTCCCAATTAAATATCACTGGTATCAAAAGGTTATAAATACAAACTTGCTTCAGGTGCATGTTAATCCATCTTTCCATGTTTAACAGCATATTTATGTAGGGTCAAAATATCTATTTTCTGTCATCTGAAAAGACTTACAAATAATTCTAGCTTGAGTTTTAGTCTATAACCAAAATCCTGTATTAGTTTACTTTATCAAAATTATTAAGACAGAGCTGAATAATTTGTCAATTCATAGAGCATTTATATATAACAGGTAATAAGAAACTTAACTTTTTACATTCTAATTGACAGAGATATTTCAGAAATGCATACACGAAGATGTCCACATACACTATGGTTGCGGGTAAACTTTCCCTTTAAGCACAATTTTAAAGTGCAGTGAAAAATAAAATCCAATAATTTTTCTGGCAATGCAGTAGACTATACACAAAGAAACCACCTCTCCTAGTATATAACAAATGATTCTGGATAAAATATGGAAAATATTTTTCTGAAGTATGGGCTTAATGTGAATAAAGAAAGGAAAAATTTAAGGCCAGAAATTACACAGAAGTTTGTTTCTATGTAAATAAGCATTTGCTGAAGATAGTATTTGCCCTATGGACATTGGTCAATTTCTTGTGGCTGGGACATGATTTTTAACTAGCCACAGGCATAAAGGGTTAGGAAACAAGCCTAAGTTTACTGTTAGTCTGTAGATGGGAAACATACATACATACACACACACACTCACACACACACCCCAGATACACACATGCACACATACAAATTAAGTGAACTAGAGGGGGAAAGAAGTCCTCTCTTAGCTTTGGCTCTGCCTAGAATAGCAAAAACCAACACAGTCTTCCATAAGATTTTTTTAGAACCACAAGGAACATACTAATAAGAGTTTTTGGATCAGAACTTATACTTCTGATCCATTTTGACTGAAAAACTCTCAGCTGAGGTGTTAAGTTATTCCTAGGTTGGTACTGCACCCATTTGCCTGTCAAAAGTAAACACATTTCCTTGCTGAGATATGACACTTTTAAACACAGACCTCTACACGGACCTCTAGAATCCCTACAGAAATAGTTCCAAACAATGGGACTTCAAGTTTTTAAAACTCACAAAACTAGTGCTCTACAATCATCAATTAATAGAAGCAACATATTACAAAATCAGAGCCAGGAAAAATAATAAATAATAAAAATGCCAGATAAAAAATATAAAATAATTAATTTAAAAAATAAAGGAAGTTATTCAAATTATTGTAGAATGATAAATGTCTTTAGAAATTGACCAGGAATATTGAGAAGAAATAAATAGCAGTGAAAATATAATAACTGAAAATAAAATCTTAATCTGTGAGTTAAAATCAAAATTAGAAACAATTGAAAAGAGAAGTAGTGACTAGAAAGATAGGTCTGAAAAAGTTATCCAAAATGGAGAGTGAATCCATAGGGGGAAAGCAATGAAAAATATGGAAAACGGGTTAGGGCACCTGGAACAGTGTGAGGGGATCCCACATACATTTATCCAGAGTTTTAAAAAAATGAATATTTTATATCTAAGAAATTGGCAGAATTGCTGAAAGATCCCAATCCTCTGATTCAGGACAACCAACAAATTTTAATCAGGAGATAATTTTTAAACAAACTTAGACATATTACAGTTAAACTACTAGAAAGCAAATATAAAAATAAAATTCGTAAGAGCAGCCGGGGTTGGGGGGAAACTGCCTATTGCAAGGGAATGGTAATTTGACTTTTGCTGGCTTCTTAACATCAGAAATGGAATACGGGTGAGAGTAAAATATCTTCAAAACACTGGAGAAAATTTCTGTACTTAGTGTCGCTGTTTTCCAATACAAAGGTCTAATTAACAATTTCTAAATTTCTAAAAACAAGCCAAAACTTGTTTCAAGAAACAAGCCAAATTCTAAAAACAAGACCAAACTAAATAATTTTATAAATGTTTCTTAAAAATTTTATAATTAATAATTTCATAAATAAAAGACATGTAAAGCAACTTGCCCTACCTGTTATCAAAACTTATGAATACACTACATAATTTGGAGTATAATAATAGCACAGGGTTAAGCACGCAAATGGAACAAAGCTGACACAATAAAACCCATTTATGAAACAAGGATATTACATTTTTAAAAATGTAATTCACCACTACTTTGGGAAAAAGTGAAGAGTATCATAACACTGTCTTTTGAAGAGGTTTTGAAGCAAGAGGAATCCCTGTACACTGCTAGTGAAGAAGTCAATTGGTTCAATTGCAGTTGGCATTATTTAGTGAAGTTGCATATAATCAAGACCAAGCAATTCTATTCCTATATTCTTAGAGAAATTTGTGTACCCATTCATTCAGATATGTGCAAAAACATTCAAAGATGCATTGGTCATGATAATAACACCTCAAAAGAACCTAAATATCCTGTCACATGCAGAACAGGATATTCATAAATAAAATATTATCCATCCAGGGAGTGAAAATGAATGCACTATAGCTATAAGCATCAATGTAGAAAAATCTTAAATGTTGAATGAAAAAAGCAAATTGCAGAAAAATACAAGCATTATGAGATTAAGTAAAATTTTTAAAACAGAGAAAATTAAATAACATACTGCTTAAGAATACATGCATATATGGTTAATTACAAAGGAAAACAAATCATTATCATAAAATTAAGGAAGTTATTGTTTCTGCTGGGAAAACGGGGAAGATGATTAGGAAATTCACAAGGGATATCAAATTTTCTCATATCGTTTTGTGTCTTAAGCGAGGTAGGAGATACACAGAGGTTTAGTTTATTGTTACACATTAAATTGTATGTGTAGTGTTTATAATTTATATGTTATTATTCTAAAAGCATTTTTTAAAGAGTTTACTATTTGGTTTGAGTTGCCCATGTATTTTCTATTTCTTCTGTACTTCGAAATTGCAAATCATGATACAGCATATAAAAATAGATTAATTGTGTATTACTTCTCAAATATATGACTGTTATAATTTCCACTTAAAATCAAGATTCAATATTTGAAGGCATTTAAAATACAAACTTCTTAAAATTTTACTGACCCTTTAGCTGCATTGCATTACTAATGATGAAATATGCAGATACCTGTAATTGTATATTTCTAATTCTGAAACTTTGTCAGTTACATATAATAATGTACCATGTAGCTTGCTAAGACAAAAGCTCTACACATTACAATATATTTTTGTTCCTGAAATTAAAGATGAGGAGGATTTATTTGTAAAAATGATTATAGAATTAATATACCCTAAGGCAATCTAACAAAACTAGCAATTCTAAACTCTTCCCTCATAGTCCAGACTTTTCTGTTTTTCTTACCCATTACCTTGGAAAAATTGACAACCTCAGGGTTGTCTACAACCACTGGGTGGTTGTAGCCCAAAGAACTGTTTCCAAAAAGAGAATTTTAGTAATAATAGAGGATCCACTCACCACCAATCAGGATTTACATATTCATGTTTCAATTCATGAAAATTATTACTGAAGCAACGTTCTGTGTGTGTGCATGTGACTATGTGTATGAGTGCACTTTATATTAAACCACAAGGACGTTGATCAGGACTTGACTTTTACTGAGAAAAGGCAGCTGGTAAACATTGTAGGCTTTGGATCCATGGAGTCTCTTTCATTACTACTCAACTCTGCTGTTCTAAAACAAAAGCAACTATCAATAATTCATAAATGAATGAGTATGGCTGTATTCTAATAAAACTTTATTTACAAAACTAGACAATGGGCTAGAATGTAACCTATTACCCTAATCTAGATTATTATCTAAACTTATCACTTTGCTAAAAATGTAAATGGATTATGTGTGAATTATGCATTGATTGGCTGCTAAATAATTTCAACTAAACACTCTTGAGTTAATTGAGCCTTTCACTCACCCTATTCCAAAAATGATGTAATCTTTTAATTCCTCTGACACAGATAGTTCTTTCCTAATTCCTGGCTGTCACTCACGAGACTAAGTGTTCTTTCTAATGAAATGTTCTTTCCTAATTACTTTCTTAAATCTGGGTGCTCATTATTAAGCTTTTGGTTTGAATATTACCAACGACAGCTTCATAGTATCCTCTCATTCTTTAAAAGACATATGCATGAGTTTTTAATCGTCTAATCTTTTCCCCTACTAGACTATAAGCTCCATGAAAACTGCTTACAAGATCCAGATCTCCAAACATTTTGCAATGCAGAACACTTAATTTATGCTTTTTTAGCCCCTCTAAAAGATAAGGTCTTGGTTCCACGTTCTACTTCCCTACACTTTCCTTCTATCCCCCTGACAAAAACTTACTTATCTGTCAGAATTTAACTCCAAGAAGAGTTCTTTCATTTAGCTGACCTACTACCCAAAACCCTCTATTCAATTTCTTACTCTCTCCTTTGGAATCATTCCTGATGCCAACACAGGCTGTCTTTTACTGCTCTGACATACTTGCTTTTCTGTTAATTCAGATTATTTTCTAACTTCTTCCAGGGGCTCAGATCTTGATCCACTCATCTATGCAGCCCTAGCACTTGGCATACTCTCTGTCACGTGAACAAAAGAAAAATGGTCTCAAACCTCTCTCAAGGAAGAAGTAGGCATTCCTGATAACATGCTTCAGCAATTTTATAATAAACTTCAACAGAATTATAAATTATTTAACAGAATTAGCTTTCTGGGAGACTAATTACACAACCCAGCCAATCAGCTCTCAGACAAAAGCCTAATCTTTGACAGAACGTATGCTGGTTTTCGTATTTAGTGTAAATATTACTACGTAGTCATTCTACTTTCTTTGAAAATGTTCCTACCTAGAATGAGTCTTTGAATTGGCCCACTAGGGGCCTTTACCATTACAGTAAAATTGCAATGATGTGATTTTAACATATCTTAACTAAATGTTCTGAAGAATTTCTCAGCAGAAATTCTTGGTAAGATCTCAATAAATATTTGTTGAAAAAATTAGTAACATCCTTCTCATAAATACAACTATTCTGAATGTACCTATGTTCTCTCTTAAAAAAAAACTAGGAAACACATACAAAAAAAATGAGAAAAATCTGCTAAAGTTGCAGAGCTATGTACTGCATACTCTATGGCCATGATAAGAGATTATTCTTCATTATAGATAGAAGCATTAATTTACAAATGACCCATGCTCAGCAGCATAAAACCTCATGCCAGTGCTTACAGAAAACTCTAAATGTTCAACTTAAATTCAAAAAGCATACCAACTCCAATTCCTCTATTAACTTTACCACCTTGTGAAATTATTCTTATCAATATTTTAATTTCAATGGGTTTGAATGCGAGAGAAATGTGACTGCCTCAGCAGATGGTTGTCACAGACTGCATACCACAATTAAGAACTAGTATACAAGCAGAAGCATTCGGATATACTGTAAAGAGTTCGTGAATACCAATACCACCTAAGCTTAGCCTTAGAGAATACACTAGGCCAGTTAGAGAAATAATAGATAAGCCATTTCGACCTGAAAACCTTGTATAAGTAAATCAATGTGTAGATTCCAGATAAGGGGGAAAGGTTTGCTCTCTCTGATTTCATGTTTTGCCCGTCTGTGCTGCCTGTGTTGTCACTGGCTGTAAAACAGTGTGGGGGCCCCCAAGGGTTGCCAAATGTTCCAGCATATGCAGCAATTGGTATATCCAAGGAAGGGCATTCCATTGACACAGCATGGGCTCCAATCAATACAGACAAGTTCTCCAGAGGATACCCCTGAGCTAAATTGTAATCTAAGTAAAGTCCATTTTGTATATCACCTGAGTCACTATTCTTCACTCTTAGCTCCCCTTTAAAGGGCAGAACTACTGCTTTGCACACATCCTGTCTCCCTCTTCAATTAACATGCTTACAGGAAAAGGTCTGAGTCAGGGCTTCCCACAAGTCTCAGGCATTGTGTCATCTCCATCAGAGGACTTTGTTTTTAAGCCTTCTCTCTAATTTGGAATGAAAGAAGAGAAAATCCCTTCATGAACATATGGCATGATAATTAAGGAGGAGTAGAAGACATTTTTTCTCATGCCCCTGAAATTATATCATTCCACCTAAACTGTTCAGAATAAATCATAACAATTATTCTGAAATTTATTATATTTAAAATTAAAGTTGAAAAGACTCTCAGAAACTCCATTTTTCTTTAGAATTAGATTCAGAAATAAATCTATTCAAAACTTGTATACATAATAAAAATGTGTTTATATTAGAAGGCTTAAACTCTAGCACTTTTTTGGTTACCAAAAAAAACCTGAAAGCTTTGAACATTCAATTGTTTCTTTCTGGGGTCCTATTTTACTCATCTGTAAAATGGGAAGAAAAGTACCCATTTAATTACTTCATTGGGTTGTGTGGTAATCCTCAAACATGCATAATTCACAGGAGTAGATTTTGAAATGAATAATTACTAAGTGTGCACGAGATGCAATTACCATAGTGTCTCCTTTAAGAAAGAAAAAAAATTCACATTTGAAATTAAGCGGTCATGCCTCTGCTCTCACCTCCATCTTTCTGGAAAGTATGATTTTATTAAAAACCAAAGTAAAGAGATTTTTTCTCTTATTTTCTAGTGAGATCTATGCTTTTGAGGGGAAGGTGCATTTTTCTTGCTGTGATCTTATGCCATTATACTCACATCAGAACATAGCAACATGCCATTAGGAACATCTCAAGAAACCGAGAGGTGGTAGCAGTCTCTTGGCCCTTAAGAAAATGCTTGTGTCTGTATTACAGAGGTGGCGATTAGAGATATTTCCTTCTGGCTGTACCATTTTTAACCCTGTTAAGAATCTGAGCAAGTGAGGTGGGTTTAGAAGACAGAAAGAGAGAAAAAAAATAAGATTACTAAGGAAGTAACATTCTCTACAAATTGGAAAGAAAGGAGATCTTGACATTACAGGTTTAACAAATTGATAACCTTCAGACATGATCTGGCTGTATAAGCTTGCGTAACTCCACTGAAAATTGCAATAAGGCTCAATGCCTAAATTTGGAATTCTTGAAAGAAAATTATAACTTAAAGAATTAGAGGAGCTGGCAGAAACGACTTTCCCAGGACGTGCTGTTCATTTCCTCCTCCTAGACAGAATGATTTTGTATTTAATTCCAAAAAAAAAAATTTAATAGGTGATCTGTGGGGGGAAAGGGGAAGGATTTGAGACGACATAATCTTATTCTGTTATAAAACATGAGTCATATGGACCAGGTAATCATTTGCTAAGGTCTCTCTCTGCAGGAAATGCAATCACAAAACTGCTTAGGCCCTCCGATCCAAATATTCACTCTAATAGACAGCATTATCATCATTAGTTAGCATGTATAATGCTCATCACAATTACATATTGCCTAATCTTAGCAACACATCCCCAGTGAGCATTTCCATCTCTACTTGCAGATGAGAAGAACACACCACAGAAAGGTTAAGTGACTTACCCATCATGAAGCAACCATTCAGTGCTAAGCAAGAAACAGAGCTTAGGACTGTACTGTGAAACAACAGGCACTCCATCTACTAAATTGTAAACATAAGGCCCACTTCTTAAACACGTGAAGAGGAACTCAAGTTCACTTTTTAAAATGCTTTGTCTCAAGGATTTAAATCATTAAATCTTGACTTATCCTTTCCTCTTTTTCAAGATACCTCTTTGTATCCTGAGGAGAAGTGGAGTAGAATGCTTTCAAATCTGCCACACGGTCACCTGCCAGTTAAGATCAGACCTATTTCTAAAAGCAGAGTGTTTGCACATCCCCTGCAAAACCCATCACTCATGTGCCCCTTGCAAGACACATTCTTCTTTCAGTCCTTGCTCCACTAAATTGTAAATATCAGTCATCTCAAATTGCTTCTTTCAGGTTCCCATGAATATACTTCCATTTGTGTGTGTGTACGTGTGTGTGTTATCTGTTCCTTGCGGATAGAGGATAAGGAGTCCTTTTGCTCTTACTTACCTCTCCCATAAGACTATAGAATAATGACATAGGAATTTTATTTCTAATTCATGTTTAAAACCTTTGTGATTTTTAAAAGCAGACTATGAATATGTAAATGAATAAACTTTTTCCATTTCTATTCAAGCTATTTTAGGGCTTAGTTTAGGCTTCCCATTAAATAATCATTAATGGTGTCATTGACTAAGAGATATATTTGAATTCTACAATTAAGGCCACCACATATGATGGTTTTGAATTGATCAAATATATTTTCATAAGCTCTAATATTTAACAGTTTATTTTGTTTAGAAAAGTGATTTTCTCTAATCATAAGGTTAAAAGGAAATTCAGGGTCATCTAGTCTATCTAACAGCATTAAGGCAATACAAAGTTTGAATTAGACTACCTTTCGTTTATCTGTAAGCTAGCATAAATTTTAATCTGGAAACAGATAGTGTCCAGTCTCCCAAATAATCTGTCTAAAAGGAAATAGTTCCTTGAGTATGTCTAGACAATATATAGGTCAATACATTTTACAATATGTGTTTGTGGTTTGTATTTTTAAAATTCTGCCAACAGTTGCCATGATATTTTACATTATCTTTCTAAGTGGTTTCCCACAAATATATGGCTTTGTGATTTTCCATCAAACAATCCCAATGATAAAGGTGTCCTTTTGACAAAAAGCCTTATTCCAAATCTCAGACTCCATATATATGCTTTTAAATGGACCCATTAGATGGATAAGTATTAATCCCCATGAGAAATGGCCATGTCAATATCTATCTCTGAATTTCAGGTAACAGGAAGATAATGCTACTTTGGAAAAAGATACATTGCTCTTTGTTTTTTCATCAAGTGAAAGGCTCTTGAATTTTCAGTAGCCATACACAGTACTACACCTCTGATAGCATCAAAGAAAAAAGTTTTAGTTTGTAACTATTGATGGATTCAAAAATTAAGAGAAAAGCAACATAAATACTTTAGGACATTATTATTATAACAAGGCCACATTTTGTGCATCTGGGTGATAAAAACCTCTACAGTGAGAAAAACAAACAAACAAAAAACTTGCGTCTTCTTGCCTCAGTTCCTCATGTTTAATAAGAGCTGATTTACCTGATTTCAACATTTCAATTGCATCTTGATGAGCTTTGGAGCTGGTTTTGTGAAAGGCTGTTTTTCCTTTAGAAAAAAATAGACATACACCAATGGAGATTGGCCAGCAGACAGAAATGATCTGTTAAGTCTTACTGGCAATGCTCTCCCCGCTCCTTAATTTCATAAAGGTCAGAGACACTACTTTAAACATAGGCCTATTAAAATTCTGCAGGATAGCGCTTGCTCATCTCAAATACCTAGATGTTGGGTAAGGGAGGGGAAAGAAGAAAAAAAAATCTCACCACTTTGTACAAGGTTAGATTAGGCCCTGTGTACATATAGCTATCTGAGGGGAGGATCAAGCCCTAAAGATTTTAATTCCAGTGAAGTCATACAGAGCTAATGGAGCCACTGGCGATCAATAGCTCCCACTCTCCTGTGAGAGCGAGAGATTTATTGAGCTCTCCCCACTGATCCTGCATCAAGTACAGCCAGCAATGCTGATCGCTGTGGCCCCAAATTCCTGCAGTGTGCAAATGACTGACTCCATTCATGGTAGCAGCTCAGCTTTCATAGCCAATATAGAGTTCCCTGATAATCTCTTAATATGTCCATTGGAATCATAACTTTATGACTTAGGCTGAGGGATGAGGGAACCAATAAATCACTTACCTTTCTTTCTTCTAGTTCAGACCCAATTCAGGGGAAGATAGAGGAGTCGAGATCAAGGTGATCAAGGTAGCAGCTTTATTGCGAGTTCCCTAAACCTGTAATTTCAGGTAGGCTCCCTGCCCCTTCTCCAGTCCTTTGGACTCAGCTGGTGATAAGATTTGGTCTGTAACACACTTACCCAGCTAGCTGCCTCAAGCTCAAAAACAAAAGGTGGAACAACAGGTCCCAGACCCTCACTTTGCCAATCAGACAAAACAATTTTTGCGAGTAAGAGTGGAAAGAGTAATGGAAATATTTCTTAAGTGCTGCCTTTCCTAATAATGGAAAATTTCTCATAGAACAGTATTCTGCCAAATACTGAAATCAAACCTGTATATTTGGTCTTATTAGACACTTTTGAGACATTTATATTTGGAATTATGTATTCATTAAATGATAAATATAATAGCTTATAAGCACTAGAGAAAATAGTAAAGTTGGTTCCTAGCCAGTTAATTCAATGGTGATTATTTCTGCTGGCAGCATGCACAACTGTTGTTTTATCCATTGGCTTCCAAAATCAGGAATTCCCAGAGATAAGCATTAAATAATGGCAGATATTCAAGTGGGAGTTAGCAAGTGTTACACAGAGTTCATAAGTAACTGGGTAGTTTTCTACTCTTTGCACATGAAGAAGTCGGCTTGGGTGTTTGCCACCCAAATTAAATCAGATAAAATTTTTCAAGATCGAAGCTGAAATTTGACAGCCCCTGACCTGACTTAAAACACTATTGAAACTAGTGTTCATTGAACCACCAGAGAAGGACAACTAAATGTACATCAACAATCAGACAGCTTCCAGATCCAAATATGTTTGTTTTTATCTGTGTCCTTTCCTTTTATATAGTCCTTCCCACTGCTTCTGAATTCATATACTCATGCTGTGTAATCAATTAAATCAAACTTTCTAAGTAACTTCTATTTATTAACAAATTTCATTCCAGCTTTTGTCCACCTAAAATGCTTTCTTAACTTGAACTTAACTAATGAGCTTACTAAAATTGGTGTTTCTAATTTTCTGAGCCACAGATCTCTGAAACAAATGAAATAAGCACATTTTTAACTTGCATTTAAAATAAGTATTTTGATTATTTCTATACTTTTGCATGTATTAAATTTGCAAATTAAAATTGACATTTTGAAAGATCGAAGAAAGATTAGCCACTTGTGCTATTGCCAGCAATTAAAAATATTGGATCAATGTGGTATCTATTCCTGAAATGAAATCTTCAGGTCAAGGACATGTTCACTTGGCAGAGGACTCATCACATCCCAGGTGTGACAATGATGTTGCAATCAGGTACTTGAACAATGTATTTTATTGTTTCATTTACAGACAAATATATGACACACAAACATGAATTTGTTAGTAAAGCAGAAAGATACAAAACAGACTTAATTCTCAGTACTCTAAGAAAACAATTTTGTGTCTAATTTTTTGAAGTTTTCAGATTCTAAATCATTGAGAAATGCTTCATGATCCTGAATCTCATTTGTACATTTCTTAGCACAATGAAGAAAAAAAAAATCTAAAAAAGATGAGCTTGTTATTTTCTAAAAAACTACACTCCATTTAATGTGCCTCCTAGCTGAAACTCTAGTAAAGTATTTTCTCTCTTGCTTAGAAGAGACTTCCTTCCATTATGTAAAGTATGTTGGGTCATTATTTGAAAAGCAAAAGTAGAGAGTTTCAATGAAAAATTATTATTTAATGCACGTTTGTATTGTATATTGGGCACCTAGATAGGTATTATTATCCTTATTTTGTAGATTAGGACATCAAAATCCAAAGAGGTCACATAACCTGTCAATCTAGCAAGGAAGTGGTAGAGCCATAGTTGCTTCTACATTCTTTGATTTCAAAGCCCAGGTTATACTGACCATCACACAAGGTTAGCCATTATGAAGCTGTTGCACAGTTCATTAATAAGTCAGATTCTCTCTATTTAAATTACTCTAAAGGAGGAATAAATATACACACTCTTAGAAGTGGCATAAACTTTGAGAATTAAGATATATTTTAAATATAGATTGATGCATATTAAAATATAAAGTTATATATATTAAAGAAAGTAATTTCTAGAAACAAATTTCATATTTGATAAAGATATATTAATTATTTAATTTTCAATAAAGGAGAGAAAATCTATGGATGTAAATTATCATTTATTGAAGACCCACTTTGTGCCAAAAGCGTAAAGTCCATTATCATATTTAATCCTCATATAAATTTATGATACAATGCATTATAATTCTTATTTAATAAAATATAATTATGAGACTCAGAATTATTAAGTGGAATAAACAACACACGGCAAAGGGGTGGTGTAAGGGTACTCAAATCCATCTCTGTTGACTCCAGTGCCTAAGCATTTTTTGTGACTATACTCAATAAGCACCAAATGAAACATACACAAGCATACAAGTCAAAGTACTCTTTATCAGCTCAAAGGTTAAAAAAAATGTAGCAAACAGGTAGCTTTAAACTTGCCAACAATAACAAAAATACAATAGTTAAGACTTTTTACTGAGTGAAATTTTTAGTGATACAAATGAGATAGAAAGAACTATAATGTAATGTCTCTGCCATTTCAAAGAAAAGAAATAAGACAGATAATTGCATCTAATTTCAAAATTGTAAATAGCAGCCAAAGCAATATAACAAGACTAGACAATACATGATTAATTACTAATAACTGGTATAGATCTGAATTTCCCAACGTATGGAAGATATACATTTTATGGCAGCAAAAATTACTCTAGGTGGCACAATATTAACAAAGTTTTTGTTTAAATTATGTTTTTATTTCATGGTAAATATTCGCATTATGGTCTGGATACTAGTTTTCCTTTATGAAAGTATTTAAGTTTCCTTTCTAAAGAAATTTCTTTTTGATTAACCACCTTGGAATACTATTTAACAGGGTCACTAAACCTGAACATATGCATGAACATTTTATGACCTAGCAGTTCTATTCTATAAATGTATGCACAGGTATACCAAAAGATAGGCATAAGAATATATTCACTGCAACATTATTTTTAATAGACTGAACCTGAAAACTAACCAAATGGTTATCAACAGTTGAATGGATAAATAAATCCTGGTATATACATACAATAAAATATAATAAAGCACTGCAAATGACTATACAAAACATGGATGATTTTCATAGATATTGAAACAATGAAGCCAGACATGGAAGAATATATACTGTGTTATGCCAAAAGTACAAAAACAAGTAAACTAATCAATGTTTTCAAAGTCAGGGCAGTAACAAGAGCATAATGCCTAGAAGAACATAAAAAGGAGGCTTCTGGGTGCTGAAAAGTTTGTTGCTTAATTTAGTTGTGCTTGCTTTATGAAAATTCATCAAGCTGTATATTTAAGAGTTTTATGTTGTTGGTATGTCAATAAAAATTTAACAACATTGAAGTATAATTGAGTTGATATAATGGAAATATTTAAACAAAGAGGCTTTGATGTCCAGAAGAGCTGGAATTCAATCTTAATTCCTCCACTTATGAATTCTGACCTTCACCAAATTATTTAACTGTTTAAAGCCTTCATCATCTGTAAACTGGGAAAATAATACCTACGAAAATGTAAAGCTCCAGGATAATTGTAAGCATTTAATGCATGTTAGTTTGGTTTTTTGAGTAGTACTTGTAATGTTGTTACTTTTATTATTTTATCCCTCGGTGCTTACAGACAATCCCTTCCTTTACTTAGAAGCAGTATACTGTTATCCTATTGGGACACTACACTTCACTACAAATAGGGCTGCTGCTGTGTTGATAATTGATAGCTTTATGTCAAACATTCTGTTGGGAGGAATGACTAAATTAACTTAGCATATATGCTGCAATGGCCTTTTTCAAAAGAGCCTATCAGATGGCAAAATGGGCAGACAGACCTCTCCCTTTCTCTACTGTATCCTCCTCTACATCCCTTAAATTGGGGAAGTAAAAATCCAAGGTGCACATGGAAATTATGAAATATAAAATAGATAAATCCAAAGTAACTAGAAAAAAATAAATAGCATAAAACTGGCAAGCAAACAGAAAAAATTAACACAGCCAAACATTGTTTCTTGAAAAGATTAAAAAGATTTAATAACCCATAGAAAGGCAGGTCAAAAAAAGAGGAAACAAAATTTACCAAATTTGTAATGTTATAGAACATATCATTACAAAACCTACAGATACTTAAAAGGATAATATGGCAATATTATAAACAAATTTATGCAAAAATTCAAAAAAATAAAATGGACTAATGCCATGAAAATCACATTTCAAAATTAATAAAATAAATTGAAAAATTGTTTAGCCCTATACTTATTAAAGGAATTACATTTGTTATTGAAATTATCTATAAGGAAAACACCAAGCACACATAGTTTCAAGGATGAAAACAAAAACTTAAGGAAGAAATAATATAAATTCTGTACAAATCCAGAAAATTAAAGAGAAGGAAGTACTTCCAAATTAATTGTATAAAACCATAGAAACCCTGACACAACATCCTGGCTAACACAGTGAAACCCCGCCTCTACTAAAAATACAAAAAATTAGCCGGGCGTGGGGGCGGGCGCCTGTAGTCCCAGCTACTCGGGAGGCTGAGGCAGGAGAATGGCGTGAACCCGGGAGGCGGAGCTTGCAGTGAGCCGAGATCGTGCCACTGCACTCCAGCCTGGGCGACAGAGCGAGACTCTGTCTCAAAAAAAAAAAAAAAAGAAAGAAAAAGAAAAGAAACCCTGACACAAAAACCTGACAAGTATATTGGAAAAATAAAATTATAGACCAGTACTCTTCATGCACGTAGATTCAATGATACTTAACAAATAGCAAATTGAATACAGCAATGTATAAATTGGATAGTACATCATAATCAAGAGATTTTTATCCTAAAATGCAAGGTTGGTTTAATATCCAAAAGAAACTAAATCAGTATGATTTACATTATTCTAGCAATAGAATAATGTAAAAGAAAACTTTGTAGTCACCTTAATGAATAAAAGCATTTGATAAAACTTAACTCATATGCACAATAAAAACTCAGAAAATAAAAATAGAAGAATATTTCCACAATCTGATAAAGTATATCTACCAAATATAGCAAAAAATTGGATGTTTTCCACCTACAATTCGGAACAAGGCAAAAAATACACTCTCTACTTTTGTTCAGTACAATATTACAATTCCTATTCGGTGCATTAAACAATTTTTAAAAGGTGGCCGAGCATGGTATTTCATGCCTGTAATCCCAGCACTTTGGGAGGCCAAGGTGGGCGGATCACGAGGTCTAGAGATTGAGACCATCCTGGCCAATGTGGTGAAACCCCATCTCTATTAAAAATACAAAAAAAAAATTAGCTGGGCATGGTGGCATGTGCCTGTAGTCCCAGCTACTTGCGAGACTGAGGCAGGAGAATCACTTGAACCTGGGAGGCGGAGGTTACAGTGAGCTGAGATTGCGTCACTACATTCCAGCCTGGCAACAGAGTGAGACTCCATCTCAACAACAACAACAACAACAACAACAAAAGGCATAAATGTTGGAAAGGAAGATGTAAAACTACTATTTTCAACTAAAAGGTATAATAGTTTGCATAGAAATTCCTAAATAAAATACAAAGCAATTACTAGAGTTAAAAAGATAATGAAGGCTATAGAATACAAGGCATATATCCCAAAAGCAATTATATTTCAATATAGCAGTAACAATTGAAACAAAGACTTTTTAACATTTCATTTATAAGAGTGTTTAAGTCTTCTTAATAGTTTTAAGAATACTTAAAAGTAAGTTTAAAAGCACAGATGAAAGCCTTCAATGGTAAAAACTGCACATTACTAAAATAAATTCAAGAAAACATAAATAAATAAATAAAGAGATGTATCATGATTATAAATTAGAAGACTTCATATTATAAATATGTTCATGTTCCCCAAATGTGTCTATAGGTGTGTCTACTAGTCTGTTCACATGCTGCTAATAAAGACATACTCAAGACTGGGTAATTTATAAAGGAAAGAGGTTTAATGGACACACAGTTCCACAAGCCTTGGGAAGCCTCACAATCATGGTGGAAGGTGAAGGAGTAGCAAAGGCATGTCTTACATGGCAGCAGGCAAGAGAGCTTGTGCAGGGGAACTCCTATTTATAAAACCATCTAATCTCATCAGACTTACTCAATATCACAAGAACAATATAGGGGAAACCACCCTCCATGGTTCCGTTATCTCCACCTGGCCTTGCCCTTGACATGTGGTGGTTATTACAATTCAACGTGACATTTGGGTAGGGAAACAAAGCCAAACCATATGAATGTGTTACAGTGTAAATCAAAATCAACAGGCTTTTTTCAGAAAGGGGCAAGTTGCTTCTAAATTGTATATGGAGTAGCAAGAATCTGTATTTGCCCAAATAAATTTACTCAAAAAGAAATAATGTTGGAAAATTCACTGCTTGATTACATTATTCACTATAAAGTTACAGTAATCAAGACAATATGTTAGTGACATAAAAATAGACACATGGATCAATAAAATGCAGAGTCCAGAGAAAAACACTTGCAAGAATACTCAACTAATAGTCAACAAATGCACTGAGGCTATACAAAGAGGAAAAAAAGAGAGTCTTTTTCATGGTTCTTGAAAAACTTGATAAATACCTAGAAGAAAAATGAACCTTGATGCCTATCTCAGACCACACACAAATATTAATTCAAGATCAATTATAGTGCTAAATTAAAAAGGTAAAATTATAAATCTTCTAAATTAAGATATAGGAGATTATTTTTGCACTGTGTGATAGGCAGAGATTTCTTGAGAGGATATAAAAAAGCCAATAAGTATGAAAAAGAAAAGGGTTAAACTGGACTCCATCAAAATTGAAAATTTCTAGTCTTCAAAATACACCATTAAGGCAAGCTATAGATTAGAATGAAATACTTAAATCTTTCTAAGAAAAGAATTGAATCCAGAATATATAAATTTCCACAAAATCTATTGTAAAAACACACAACCCAACTAAAAAAAAAACTTGGACTAAAGTTTAAACAGACATTTTAGCAAATACTTGCTTGGGCAATAAGCTTATTAAAAGACATTCAATGTAATTTTTACCATAAATCTCAAAACCACAAAATGGTATTATTTTATGCCCATAAGAACGATTAAATTACAAAGACAAAGAAAGCCAAATGTTGACAAAGACTTGTAGCAGCGAGAACATTTTTTTTCTTTTGAGACAGAGACTCATTCTGTCACCCAGGCTGGTGTGCAATGGCATTATATCAGCTCACTGCAACCTCTGCCTCCTGGGTTCAAGCAATTCTCATGTCTCAGCCTCCGAATTTGCTGGGATTACAGGCGCCTACCACAATGCCCCACTAACTTTTGCATTTTTAGTAGAGACAGAGTTTCACTATGTTGGCCAGGCTGGTCTTGAACTCCTGGCCTCAAGTGATCTGCCTGCCTTGGAATCCCAAAGTGCTAGGATTACAGGTGTGAGCCACTGCACCTGGCCAAGAACTTTCTAATATTGCTAGTGAGGTTGGAAAATTGGTCAACTATGCAGAATTGTTTTTTTAGTTTCTTATAAAGTTAAAATGTACCTACCTTATGACCAAGCAATTTTTTCCCTCAATATTAACACCAGAGAAACCAAAATGCACGTCTTCAAAAAGACTTGTATTGTAATTTTTATGGCAACTTTACTCATTATATTATAATCTCAAACTTGAAACAACCCAAATGTTCATGAACATAGAATGGAAAAACAAATTGCAGTACAATTCACGCAACAGAATTTTACTCCGAAAAAGCAAAGAATGTCTACTGACCCATGCAACAACACAGATGAATCTCAAAAACATTAGGTTGAGAAAAGAAGCCCGACCCAGGAATATCATTCCTTTCTTATAAAGATTCAAGAATACTCAGAAATGGTCTAGAATGATAGAAATCAACAGTGGTTATCTGGGGTGCAGAATGAGTGGAACAGGCACAAGACAACTCTGAGGTGATGGAAAGTTGGTATATCTTAATTGAAGTTGTGATATGCAAATGTATACACTTGTCATTCTCTTTGAAGTCCATGCCTAATATCTGCATTTTCCGTCAATATTTTTAATTTAATGAGAAAAATATTAACCCGATTCTGATACATTACTCAAGGAACTGAAAACTGGTACTTTGACTCTGAAAAATAATTTGTCTCTATTGAATCTGACTCTACTCCTGTACTAAAATCTGGCAATTCCAATCCCAGATATATAACCTATTAAAATGAGTAAAAATGTTCACCAAATACACATACAAAATTTTCTCAACATGATTTATAAAGTAGAAGTAATCTACCAAAGGTAGAAGTAATCCCTACGTCCATCAGTAGAATGGATAAACTATGGTGTATTCACATAATGGTATTCTAGACATCAATGACAATAAATAAACTATTGTGGATGGGTCTCACAAACAGCATTGAATGAAAGAAGTCAGACATAAAAGAATACACATTGTATGATTCCCTTTCAAAAACAGACAAAAACCAATATCCAGTGTTACGAATCAAGATAGTGGTCATCTTTGAAAGAAATTAGTGACTAGAAGGGCCATAGAGAGTTTCTTGATGCCAGTAATATTCTGTTTCCTCATCTGGATCCTGGTTACATAGATACACTTGCTTGTGAAAATTAATTGAGCTATACACTGGGGCTTCATGCATTTTATATATGCTATACTTCAATAAAAACTTTATGTTACAAAATCTGTGGTAAATCAGAGAAATGCTCTATGCTTTGGTCATGAGATGTCATCCACAGCTGTCATGAAACAAGGTAGCATGAATTCATCAGCCTAATAGTGAGTAAAGGTTATAGCAGAGAGGTGTGATTTTTAAAACCTTGTTTGCTGTGCACTTCAGAAATGTTTATTTTTGTTTGAGCATCTGGCCATTTCAGGTACTCCTGGGGCAAGACCAAAATTTATAGTTCTGTGGTTATATAGGCCACTTGTTTATATAGAGAATTTTATGGCTTAGTTCCCCAGGCTTATGTCAGTAATGCTGTTGGAGTTTTCTCTCCTAATTATCCTCCAGGACTTCAGTATGCACACAGATGTCAATTCAGATGGGCCAGCATGTATCTTTGTGGAAGCGATGGACTCTGAGTTTGAACCAGATGGTTGAGGCAAGTTCCCTTAAGTCGAAGCTCATTCTGAACTTTGTCTATGGATTTAATTTGTAAAGTGGGTTCCATTTTCAATATCTAGTCTGATTTACCCAGTTGCTAGCTCCTTAAAGTTCTTCCTTATAATGTTTCTTTTTAATTTTCTGATAAATGCCTAGATATAAGAGCGGGCCTTTTTTAAGGAATTTACTCGGTGTCAACCACTGTCATAAATCTTTCACATGTAATTAATTTATCTAAACACTACAAATAATCTACATGATAGAAACTATTAGAATTTTCCCCATTTAAAATATGGAAAATAAAGCCTAAAGAAGTAAAAATCTTAGTCAAGGTCACACAGAAAATTAAAGATTTCATTCCAGGTTCTTAAGTATGCCCTTAACTATTATTCTATTAATACACTGTTCTCAAGCAAGAATTAGGCATTTGTGAATATGCCAAAAAAATATGCTCACAAACAACATTGCCACAGATCTGTGTTCCATCTTGATCAATTTACTTATTACCTGTAACTCTCAGATTCCTTATAGTGTGTATTATAATAGTACCTAAGTAATAGTGTCAGCTTTAAGATTAAATAATGTAATGCATGTAAAGCACTTCATAGAGACCTGGCGTATATTAAAAATTAATAAACATTAACCAGCATTATCATTATTCTCATTTATGGTATTAAATTCATGTCTTAGAACTAATACCTGAGCAAAATTATTTACAAAAGAGACAGCTAAAAAAATTGACTAGAACCCCAGTGAAATTTCCTGATTTACTGAACATAAATATGATGGTAGAGTTTCTCATTTTAATGTTCACCAATTGCCAGATCATGAGCTGCCAATAGGACCCCTGGAGTCTTTAGTTCTGTACATCCAATTCCACAGCCATGAACACCTGACACCATCACTGTGCCTACACATCAGCAAACATAAAAAACCTCAGGGAGGGTTCAAGAGTTCACACATTTTTTTTTTTGCTTTTGTACTTTGGATTATTTTCAACATCAGCAGAAATTAAAACTAATGAACACTTTTTTGTCAAAATGTAAATTCTACCTTCTGCAAATAGATAATTCAACATGTAAATTTATGTATAAACAAGATATCCTGAATCTTCTCTCCTATTAACTTTTACTTCTTGAAAAATAAATATACATGCAATCTTTTTTCTTTGGATTAAAAATAGGTTGACACTGTAGACTCATAACTATAAATTATGTGCTCTGGAAACTTCACAGATAATACAAACAGGACTATTAATAGTGCTTGTGTATTTCTAGACAGACCATGAAATGTACCTTGCTCAAAAGTCTACTGGACTTAAGATACGTGTATCAGCCACCAAGGTACACTGAAAATGATATAGGTCATTTCCATGTTTCTCTGGCTGCCTTTCCCTTCTTGCTATCTTAAGTTTGACTGACAAAGATAATAATGCAAATACATTTATTTTCTTTTAAGTATCTTCTTCAAGTAGATTCATGAATGGTGTCAAAATTTGTATCCTTTCTCTTCCTAAAGATTTGGGTATTAATGAAATACCTCACTGTTATTGCTGTTGTAATTATTACTAATGCCAGTTGTTGGGTATATATGATACCCCATAAATCATGTCATAGGTCTATGTTTTACACTTTTGTAATGTGATGTTCATAATAATCTTAATAAGTTCTGCATTAAATGTTTGAAATAACTAATACTCAGAAAAGATGTGTGATTTTCTCAGATTACATAGCAGCAACTGGAAGAGATGGGATATGAACCTAGATCTGCTTGATTTCAAAGAGAATGTTTACTTTTCCAACTAACCATCTTGCCTAAGATCCTTAAAACTAAATTCTGGATGAGTATCAGTGATTTTTTTCACATTAGAATAAAGGGCTCCTAATTTTGACCAATAAGGTAAGAAATAGATTCCTTTTTTTCCTCTCCTGCTCTATTTGTCATTGTCCTTTGTTCAAAATGCCACTAGTGCAATCCTTTCTTTCCACTATGACCATAAAAGAGGGTTAGCATCCTTAGGATACCAAGGCAGTACTGTATGCAGTCATAATGTGGGGAATCTCTTTTCTCTGACAATCTTTTTTCTGGCATTTTTTTTTTTTTTTGGCCGTAGGACTTAATGTGTTGTTATTCTATCCTTATCCCATACTTTGTGTCTTACAGAGCTCTTCATGAGCTCATGTACCCATCCTGCAGGTAATACCTCTAACCACTTATGATTAACTTTATCTCCTGTAGCTGCAGGGCTGAAGTTGCTGAAGATCAAATGCAGAACCTCATCTTATTACTAGCTAAATTAAAACACAAGCCGTATTCCACAGCTCACAGGGTGTCTACTCTTAAAGTGAGGGCATTAATTGGGAATAGAATCCTGTAAATTGGAATGGGGATATGTGGGATCATCATTATTAAGCTGGGGACAATAAACCTGTAAATCTGATGAGTGTTTTTTATTTTTTACCAGTGGAAGACGAGGTCTCCCTACACTCAGAGGAACTGGTCTCCTCAACCCAAGCAAAAGCAGCATCCCCATCCTCAGTGGAAGTGACATACTCACCTCCAGTGGTATCATCCTCTTCATTCACAGTGGCATTGTCCTTTCCATCTCTATTTGAGGGTATTAGCACTACAATGTCTGAGGAAACAGTAATGACCTTCCCTGAGGCAGTTGCCATGCAAGGCAATGCTGATTCTCCTCAGGACTCACCCCCATCATGCCTCTTTGCTTCTAGATGTACAACTAGATTCAAATCCCAGCAGGCCCCTCCAAGTGAGGTACAATGTGTGACACATGAAGAGGTGAGCCATACTTCAAAGGAACTACTTCAGTTTCCTGATTTATACAGAAAGAAATCCAGGGAATGTGTGGGGGAATGGATGCTAAGGGTGTGGGATGTTACTGGACGGAACATAAAGTTGGATCAGTCCGAATTCATCGACGTGGACACACTAAGTGGAGATTTTGCATGTAATGTTGCAGCTCAGGGAATTAGAAAGGGCTCTAACTGTTTGATTGGTTAGTTGGCTGAAACATGGACCAAAAGATGGCTCAGCATGAGCAAATTTGAAATATTTATGTGGATTTGTCACTTAAACCCTACTCACCCACATTGGAAGGATGCAGAAGACATATATTTCAACAATAAGAGCTCTGTGAGTATTCTTCTCTGTATGCCAGTCCTCCTAATATGAGCTACTGTCACTGAATTGGGAAACCTAAAAGAGTAACTGGATCCCAGGATGGCAGGGGTCAGGTTGCAGAACTCAACCACGAAGTCACAATGGGCAGGGTTACCAATGATGAAAAGCAGAATCAAAGCAACAGTCAGACTAGTTTAACTTATGTAGAATTATGGCATTAGTTAATTGATCATGATGTTTCTAAAAGTGAAACAGATAGAAAGTATACCAAATTGTTTGATATGTATGAGCAGAACATTTCCAGGTAAAAGTCTAATGTAAACTTTAAAAAAATACAGTTATGGCCCCTCAATCAATTCCAAATTTTAAACCAGTTTACAGACGTAGAATCCCTTGAATGCACGTGAGGACAGGACTCCTTGAGAAGAACATTGTCAAAGATATCACCAGTCTTTCTCCCAGCTTTCCCCAAAGGCATCTACAGCCTTTTACTAGAGTAAATGTACATTAGGGTAAATGAAATAATTAGATCATTTGGGAACTACTGGATACTGGTTCTGAACTGACACTAATTCAAGGAGACCCAAAACATCACTGAGGCCCACTAGTCAGTGTAAAGGCACATAGAGGTCAGATGATCAACTGAGTTTTAGCTCAGGTTCTTCTCACAATAGGTCTAGTGGGTCCCCAACCCTATTCTGTGGCATCTTTCCAGTTCCAGAATGCATAACTACAATAGACATACTTAGCTTCTGGAAGAATCCCCACACTAGTTCTCTGACCTCTGGAATGAGGTCTGTTATGGTGGGAAAGGCTAATTGGGATCCATTAGAACTATCTCTATCAGAAAAGTACTATGCTAAAAGCCATACTACATTCCTGGAGGGGACTGCCGAGATTAGTGCCATCATCAAGGATGTGAAAGATGCAGGGGTGGTGAGTCCCACCACATTCCCATTTAACTCTCCTATTTGTCCTATACAGAAGACAGATGGATTTGAAGAATGGTAGTGGATTATTATATACTCTACCAGGTGGTGACATCAATTGCAGCTGCTGTGCCAGATGTGGTTTCATTACTTGAGAAAATTAACACACCCCCTTGTATCTGTTACACAGCTATTGCTTTGGCAAATATCTTTTTCTCCATGCCTGTCCATAAGGCCCTCCAAAGTAGTTTGCTTCCAGCTGGCAAGGCTAGTAATATGCCTTCACTGTCCTACATCAGGGATATAACCACTCTCCAGCCCCATGTAATAGTTTAGTTTGCAAGGATCTTAATTGCCTTCTCTTTCCATAAGACATCACACTAATCCATCACATTGATGTCATTATACTAATTTGTCCTAGTTAGCAAGGAGTAGCTCCTACTCTAGACTTATTAATAAGACAATTGGATGTCAGAGAGTGGGAAATAAATCTAACTAAAATCAGAAGTCTTCTTCAGTAAAATTTCCAGGATATGGAGAATGTTGAGATATCCTAAGGTGAAGGATAAGTTTGGGCATTTGCCCCATCCTACAAGCAAGAAAGAGGCACAATGTCTAGTGGCCCTCTAGATTTTAGACACACATATGTCTTATGTGAGGGTGTTAACTCTGGCCCATTTACTGAATGACCCCCAAAGCTGCTAGTTTTAAATGGGACTTGGAAAAAAAGAAGGGTCTGCAATTGGCCCAGCCTGCTGCACAGACTGCTCTGCCACTTGGGCCATATGATCTAGCAGATCCAATGGTCCCTGAATCATCACTGCCAAATAGGAATGTTGTTTGAAGGATTGGGAAGGCACCTATAAGTAAAATTAAACACAGTCCTTTATTATTTTGGAGTAACACCCTGCTATCACCTGCAGCAGAAGAAGAGAGATAGCTCTTGGCCTGCTACTAGGCCCTAGTAAAGACTAAACACTTGACCATGGGCTACCATGTTACCATGCAACCTGATCTGCCTCTCATCAGCTGAGTTTTATTTGACCCAAAAAGCCATAAAGTTGGATGTGCACAGCAACACTCCATCATCAAATAGAAGTGGCACATATGTGATCAGGCTGAAGCAGGCCCTGAAGGCCAAGTAAGTTACAAGAAGAATTAGCCCAAATACCCAGAGTCCCCACTCCTGCTACACTGCCTTCTCCCTCCCAGACTGTGCCTATGACCTCATGGGAAGTTCCTAACAATTAGATGACAGAAGAAGAGAAGACTCAGACCTAGTTTACAGATGGTTCTCTGTAAGACACAAGCACCACCAAAAGTGGAAAGCTGCAGCATTATAGTCCCTCTCTGAGAAATCCCTGAAGGACAGTGATAAGAGAAAGTCTTCCAAGTGGACAGAATTTTGAGCAGTACACTTGGTTGTTCACTTTGCTTGAAAGGAAAAATGGCCAGACATGAAATTGCATACCAATTCATGGCCAGTAAAGCATAGTTTGACTGCATGGTCAGGTAATTGGAAGGAACATGATTAAAAAATTGGTGACAAAGAAATTTGGGGAAGAGATATATGGACAGTCTCTCTGAATGGGCAAAAAGAAACCTCTGAACATATTTGTGTTCTATAGGAATGCTCACCACAAGATGGCTTCTCCAGAGGAGGATTGTAATAATCAAGAGGATAGGATGACTCATTCTGTGTATACCAGTCAGCTTCTTTCCCCTGCCACCCCTGTCATTGCCCAATGGGCTCATAAAAAAAATAGCCATGGTAGCAGGAATGGAGACAATGCATGGACTCAGAAACGTGGATTTCCACTCACCATGGCCAATCTGGCTATGGCCACCACTGAATGCCCATCTGCCAACAACCAAGACCAACACTGAGTCTTTGGATTATATGAGAAATTTTAACCATGATGCCATTAAACAAGATTGGGAATTCAGGAAAATGATCAAGTGTGTTAAGTTGTAAATCATAGGATAGTGAGTTTAATTTTGAATATGCTGATTTTTGAGATATGTATGGAGTATTTAGGGTAGAAAGTCCAGAAGCCTAGGATATAAGTCAAGTCTAGAGAAATGAATTGGGAATCATTATCCCTTAGATGCTATTGGAAGTCTAGTGAATGGATAATATGGGAAGAAAAAATTAAAAAAAAAAAGTCAAAGGCAGCCTGAGTGAAACTAAAATCTAGATTTGTCTTCTGTTACAGTATACTTTCCACCAAGCCCTTCAAAGGGAACGTTTGTTCACGACTGAGGTAAAATAATATATAAGCATAAAATCATTAATGGTAGAATTTTAGACATCAGTAAGTAGCTGCCAGTCTTCAAAACACACTTCTCCTCTGTGTTAGTCCATTTTCATACTGCTATGAATAAATACCTGAGACTGAGGAATTTATAAATAAAAAGAGGTTTAATGAACTCACAGTTCCACCTACCTGGGGAGGCCTTACAATCATGGCAGAAGGTGAAGGAGGAACAAAGGCACATCTTGCACGGCAGCAGTCAAGAGAGCCTGTGTAGCGGAACTGCCCTTTAAAAACCACCAGGTCTCATGAAACTTATTCACTATCATGAGAACAGCACAGGAAAAAATTTCCCCCATGATTCAATTACCTCTCACCGGGTCCCTCGAAGAACACATGGGGATTATGGGAGTAACAATTCAAGATGAGATTTGGGTGGAGACACAGCGGAACCATTTCACCTCCAAGTCAAGTATTCTACTGAATTACAAGCCAGCTAATTATCCTTCCTGCTTCAGTTTCCTTCATAATACGATCACCTTACAATGTACTACATATTTTACTTAATGCTAGTGTACTCTATATCTCCCCATTAGAATAAGATCATGAGAGAATAAAATTTGGTCTACTTTGTTTACTGCTTATAACAATGTCTGAAACATTGTAGGTACTCATCAAATATTTGAATTTTTAAAAAAAGTATCAAAGGAAAACAATAAAAATTGCTCTTTACCATTAGGTAGCAGGTAGTACTAAAATGTTACATAAAATGTAACAAAACTAGTTTGTCCTGTCTCATTTCAACAAAGTGTTAGAAGAGAGATAAACTTGTAGAAGCAGTTAAACCTCATCTTATTAACATTGAAACACACAGTCAAAAGTCATTCTATTACACAGTTTCTTTATTCTAATAGAGAAGCTATCAGAACATAGATAAAGAGAATAGCTAGCTTGTAATTAGACTTCTGGGACACTAAAGGATAACTGTTTCAGTCGCAACAGACTATACTGAATGCATTAAATATGCTGTATTACATTGACAAAATGAAAAAAGTGGCATTAGCATGCACTTAAGCAGTACATGTTTGTTAAGAATTTCCGTGTTCTGTGGTGGTACAAGCTGTTTACATAGCACTTCTACAAAATATTCCATCATAATGCATAGCACGGATGGAAGACATTCCTTGAAGAAACTGGCTAGAATGAAGCAATGTTTCTAATTGGTGATTATCCACAATATTGACCCATGCCCTGAAATGATTAGAAGCTGTTTCAGGTAATTCTAATATACTGATTTGTTGTTGATGATGTTGTCTTTTAGCTCAATATGTTTTTCTTTGAAAGGGGCTGGGTGTGAGGATGATCAAACCATATTCTCTGACATCTTGTCACTCCCCAGAGTTCATTCACTAATCTCGACAGCCAGCCTCAGAGAACGAAGACCATTATTCCAGAAGCTTTAGCTATGTAGCTGATGGCATTTCCAGATACAGAGCCATTTTTCAAACAGCCAAGAAGAGCTCAGGACACTAGATTCCTCTCAGCTAACTAGGAAAATACAGTCATCTCTCATATCCCTGGGAGATTGGATACAGGACCTACCTTGGATAACAAAATCTGTGAAAACCATGTTCAAATAAGGCAAACACTGAGCTGTAACCAACTGAGCTGTTTCTGTACCCCATTTCCATTTCCAGATTCTACACATCACTTTTTCTTTCTGTCCATAAATTTCTTCCCACCATGTGGCAGTGATAGAGTCTCTCTGAATCTATTCTGGTTTGAGTGGTGGGGGGTGCTTTCTGATTCTCAAATCATTATTTTATCAATTAACCTCTGTTAAATTTATTTTTTCTAAAGTTTTGCTATTAAAAACTTCAAAAACTCCTGTTTTCTTATGAAATTTGTTATGAGTCCAGATAAGTCTAACTCAGATATATATCCTTAAGGAGTCTTTTTTGCCCTTACCTCTCTGGGAAACATAGCCCAACTTAGGAAGGACCTACAGATCTAGTTGCTAGGACAAAAGTCACAAAAATGTGCCATTCTTTACTCTCTCATAACTTTGATTCTACAATGCATTTTAGTGCCTTTTTAGGTTTTTATTTATATCAAAGTAATATACATATATAGTTTTAAAAATCAAATTCTACTTCATAGCTTATAATGAAAACCAACAGTCCCATTCTATAGATTGCTTACTCTGTTGATGGTTTCTTTTGCTGTTCAGAAGGTCTTTAGTTTAATTAGGTCCCACTGGTCAATATTTGTTTTTGTTGCAATTGCCTTTGGAGACTTTGTCATAAAATCTTTGCCAAGTCCTGTGTCCAGAATGGTATTTCCTAGATTTCCTTCTAGCGATTTTATAGTTTTGGGTTTTACATTTAAGTCTTTAATCCATCTTGAGTTGATTTTTTTTAATATGGTGAAAGGTAGGGATCCAGTTTCAATCTTTGGCATATAGCTAGTCAGTTATCCCAGCACTATTTATTAAATAGGAAATCCTTTCCCCATTGCTTGTTATCGTCAACTTTGTTGACGATCCGATAGTTGTAGGTGTGCAGCCTTATTTCTGGGTTCCCTGACCTATTCCATTGGTCTATGTGTCTGTTTTAGTACACATAGACTATGTGTATTTTACCATGCTATTTTGGTTATGGTAGCCTTGTAGTATAGTTTGAAGTCAAGTAGTGTGTTGCCTCTGGCCCTGTTCTTTTTACTTGGGATTGCTTTGGCTATTTGGTTGTCTTTCTTTTGTTTTGTTTTTAGTTCCATATGAATTTTAGAATAATTTTTCTAATTCTGTGAAAAATTACATTGGTAGTTTAATAGTAAATTGCCTTGGGCAGTATGGCCTCTTTAACAATATTAAGTCTTCCTATCCTGAGCATAGAATGTTTTTCCATTTGTTTGTGTCATCTTTGATTTTTTTCAGCAGTGTTTTGTAATTTTTGCTGTAGAGATCTTTAACCTTCTTGGTTATGACTTCCTCTCTTCCTATTGGATGCCTTTTATTTCTTTCTCTTGCCTCTGGCTAAAGAGTAATTGGCTTCCAGTTACTAAGTTGAATAGGAGTGGTGAGAGTAGGCATGCTTGTCTTGTTGGAATGAGGAATTTTTTCAGCTTTTGCCCATTTAGCATGATGTTAGGTATGGGATTGTAAACTATGCATCCAACAAAGATCTAACATCCAGAATGCATAAGGAACTTAAATCAACAAGCAAAAAAAACAAACAACCCTATTAAAAATGAGCAAAGGGCCAGGCACGGTGACCCACACCTGTAATCCCAGCACTTTGGGAGGCCGAGGTGGATAGATCACCTGAGGTCAGGAATTCAAGACCAGCCTAACAAACATGGAGAAACCTCGTCTCTACTAAAAATACAAAATTAGCCAGGCATGGTAGTGCATGCCTGTAATCCCAGCTACTCGGGAGGCTGAGGCAGGAGCATTGCTTGAACTGGGGAGGCGGAGGTTGTGGTGAGCCGAGATTGTGCCATTGCGCTCCAGCCTGGGCAAGAAGAGCAAAACTCTGTTTCAAAAAAAAAAAAAAAAAAATGAGCAAAGGACATGAACGTGAACAGACACTTCTCAAAAGAAGACACAGATGTGGCCAACAAGCATATGAAAAAAAAAACACTCAACATCACTAATCATTAGAGAAATTCAAATCAAAACCACAATGAGATACCATCTTACACCAGTCAGAATGGCTATTATGAAAACGTGAAAAAATAATAGATGTTGTCAAAGTTGCAGAGAAAAGGGAACACCTATACACTGCTAGTGGGAATGTACATTAGTTTGGTCACTGTGGAAAGCAGTTTGGAAATTTCTCAGAGAATTTAAAAGACAGCTACCATTTGACCCAGCAATCCCATTACAGGGTATATACCCAGAGGAATCGTACCATAAAGACAAATGCACACACATGTTCATCACTGCACTATTCACAAAAGCAAAGACATGGAATCAACCTAGATACCCGTCAATGGTGGACTGCATAAAGAAAATGTGGTACATGCACCATGGAACACTACACAGCCACAAAAAAAAAAGAAATTTGTCCTTTGCAGCAACATGAATGCAGCTGGAGATCATTATCCACAGCGAATTAATTCAGAAATAGAACACCAAATACTGCATGTTCTCATTTCCGAGTGGGAGCCAAACAGTGAGTACACATGGACACACAAATGGGAAAAATAGACACCAGGGCCTACCTGAGTGTAGAGTGTAGAGGGGAGTGGAGTGGGGAGGACTGAAAAACTACCTATTGGGTACTATGCTCACTACCTGCATGACAAAACCATTTGTATCCCAAACCCCAGTGACAACCAATTTATCCATGTAATATACCTGCACATGTACACCCTAAGCCTAAAATAAAAGTTGAGAAAAGAAAAAAAAACACCCTCATTGATAACTTCCAAGGTGTCTCCTCCTCTTCCAGTCTACCTCCTACCCCCCACCCACATCTCCCTGCCCACTTTGCCCACCAGGCCAATGGACAAGCTGGCTTCACAAGGTGGGAGTGATGTCATGATCCCTTTGCATTTATGCCCAGGTATCCTTGACAGTATAAATTGTATTTCCCACCTACTTAGGTTCTTAACCTTTTCCCTAGGTTATTTACCAAGGAGAGGAGCTGTGTGTTCTGGTAATCTAAAACTTTTAAGTACAGAAAAAGACATATAAAACAATGTATACAAATTATACCATTTTTATGCAAGATAAAAGTATATGAATGTATGATGCGAAAAAAAAACCCACAATCCTCACTCCTGTACCCTACTTACCCTTAAATCTCATTCTACAGGGAGAATAGCCTTCAACAGTTTTAACAGGTTTGTGTATTTGCGTGCGTGTGTGTGTGAGAGAAATCAATATTTTCATATTTTTAAAATTAAAAATAATTATGCATTAACTCATGCATTAAAATGTTAAGATTTAACTCCTGTACCTCCTCTAGCATACACACTTTTCATCCCCTACCTTCTCAATATACTTGTATAGCATTGCTTTTTTTTTTTTTTTTTTTTTGCTTTTAGGTAAAAACTTTTTAAAGGTTTTATTTTTCATTAACAAATAATTGTATTTATATATGGATACAATGTAATGTTTCAATTAGCATATCTATCACCTCAAATATTATTTTAAATCAGTGTTTGGTATCCATATTTATGTAACCAGGTGACTGAAAACTATTATGAGGCAAAATGTACACTAGATTTATATTTATGCTCTTAAAAAATTTCTCTCTATTTTTCTTGGATATAATAATTATCTCATTTTCTGTTTCCTTAGTTTTCTATGTATTTAGCTTCAGTTTATCCCCAAACTCTCATACAGAACACTAAGACTTATTTCCATTTGGCCAAACACCTGGAGATTTTTTTCCTTTTGAAACATCCACCCTGGACTCCTCCAATATCCTGTTGGAATAGCTCTCACTCTAGCCTTCCAAATAATCACTATCCTGGGAGTTCCCTTCAACATCATGCTGTAAATTCCCTTCCCTTCTCTCCTTTCTTTACCTCCCATTTTTTGGATGAGCTTCCAGAGGAAATTCATTAAAATTACAGATTTTCAAAATGTTGCTTCATTGTCTTCCACTCTCCAGTTTTGCCAATGAGAAATTCAATGCCATTGTGACCTTCATCCTTTACATAAAATCCAATTTTGTTTGTCTGATTGCTTGATTGACTTTTCTCCAGAATTCTTTAGGATCTTCTCTTTATTGTTGGTATTCTAAGAATTCACAAGAGTGAACATTTTTCTTCATTTTGCTAGGCATTTGGCTGGCTCTTATAATTCCAGAAATGCAAATCTTTTAGTTCTAGGAAAGGTTAAAATTTTTGCTGTGTATTTATTTTATGATATTTTATTCTAAACCAAATTCTTTTTATACACAATGCTGGAAAATTAATTCCTACTCTTTTCATAATTTGCCCTAATGAGAAGAAACAATGTGCTCCAACCTGAAGAACTTCATGGTTCCTGGCTTCTTTTTCAGTCCTCATAGCTTGAGATGCTTTCCATTTCGTGTCATCAATACAACACACAAGGCTTCATGCTGATGGACAGCAAACGGATATTCAGTTCAGTGCTCAGAGTTTTCCCTAATAACCTGCTTTCAGATGTTCTTAACCTCAGCCTTACAAGCCACCAAGCATTGTTGGGAAAGGGGCAGAAACAGCTTCACATATCACCCAACAACGTTACATTTGCTGACCTTAGCCTATCCTTCCTGAGTCCCTTATTTTACTTTTTTTTAAAATACTTCTTTTCTTCATCTTAGTTATACTTAGTTTGTATTTTAAGGTATTGATCTAACTGCATATTGATGACACTTAAATTCATATACAAAATAGTCTGATTTTAAAAAATTGTACTATGCTGCTTTTAATTAATATGACACACTTTATATTTTTAGTAGAATGTATTATTAAACATTTTTCTGAAATTCTTAGTTCTGCCACACTTTATGGTCCTCCCAGATAAACTAATCTAGAAAGCCTTTATTCAATTTCCAAAATAAATTTTATTTAAATATGTTAACCCCGTAATTCATTTGGGGATTTTTGAAATTTTTCAAGACTCAGTTTTTTTTAATCCAAAGTATGATATAATTTTTCTATGTCTTATTAGATGTCACTCAATAATAATTTTTTTGTAAATTTCCTCATATCAGTAACAAATATTTTAAGGTCTCTATGCTATTATGAATGGAATTTTATTTTTTATTTTATTTTTAGAATATTTGCAAATTTTTTTCACTTCGGTTACTTGTGTTCTAATAGCTTCTCAGTTTGCTGTCTTTTGTTTTGTATTATGCAATTTTATTATCTACCTTGAGAAACAGTGCAGTGCAAACCTTCCTAATAGTTTATTTCCATATGAACCAAAAATTTTCAGAGTGACATTTAATGAAAAGTATAATGATGGGAATCCATAGCTTGTTCCTGATTTGTGTCCCCCCAAATTCATATGTTGAAATGCTTGTCCTCAAGGTGAGGGTATTAGGAGATGATTAGGTCATGAGATTAGAGGCATCATAAATAGGGTCAGTGTCCTTATAGAAGAGGCCCAAAGAGCTTCCTCACCCCTTCCATTATGTGAGGACACAGCTAGGTGTGATTTATGAACCAGAAAGTAAGCCCTCACAAGACACCAAATCTGCCTCAATTTGGACTTCCCAGACTCCAGAACTATGAAATATAAATTTCTGTAAGTTATAAGTCACCCACTTATGGTATTTTGTTATAGCAGCCTGAATGGACTAGTATAATTTCTTTTACCATTTAATATTGTTAAAGTTTAATAGATTGAAGGATCTAGGATGTTACTGCATTTCTAACATACTCAAATGTCAATATACCAGTAAGTGTTATCTACAAATATATAACTTGGTAGTTTATGCCTTTTCAATCTGTAAAATTATTCCTTCCGTTCGTGAATGTTTAATTTATTGTTCCTTTTAATGATAGCAGTAAGCTATTGAAAGTAGTAATAAGCTATTGAAAGCTATCAGACATGAATCCATGTCTGATACAAAACTTTTAGATTTAACTAATATTTATATAAAAAGGTCTGTTTTGCCTGCTTTATCATTTATATTAACAAATCCTTATTTTGCCTTGTATTTAATCAAAATTTTGCCCACTCTTTTATTTTGAAGCTATCTTTGTCAGTTGGTTTTAGTACTGTCTCTTCCAGTCAGTGTGAAATTTGATCCAATCTGAACATCTTTCCAGTGAGAGAATTTAAATTATTGTCAAAATAAATTTAATTTTATCTTATTTTCCTTTTTAAAATGCTTTCTTGATTTCTATATTCTATTTTCTATGTTTTACTTTAGATTCCCCCAAGGTACCCTTGAGTTGTTTATTTGGGAGGTGATCACAGAAAGTACAAGGAAAGAAGGAACAAAGTGGGGCCGGGAACAGTCAGGTGAAAGCAGAAAGTACCTGTGTGAGCATCTGAGGCTCAATCCTAATTAAAATTCCCTGAGGAAGATAATGACTGTATCTCAGAATTGTTTCACTGAGGGACAAGGAAGTTGAGGATTTTATCCACTGATTTCTATTTCTCATTGAATAAGGATTGTTTCTGAGAGTGTTACATTCCTGGCATGCTCAGGATACCTTACGTGTAGACTCAGAAAGTTCCCATGGCTCCAGAGAAAACCATGGAGCAAGGGGGGCAAACATGAGAGACAAGGGTGTTGGTGGCAAAAAGTTATCAGCATGTGTGGAGGATGCCCTTTCATTTTACTGTAGTAATTTACAATGTAATTATCTTATTTTTAATTCTCCAGGTATTTACTATTAAATTTTAAAATACTTGACTGTATAAATTTTCCAATTGTCATAAACAATAGTACCACCAATGTTGGATTTAAAGGAATATAACCAGGCTAGGCATGGTGGCTCATGCCTATAATCCTAGCACTTTGGGAGGCCAAAGGAGAAGGATTCCTTCAAGCCAGGTGTTCTAGTCTTGTCTGGGGAACATGGTAAGAATCTATCTCTACAAAAAATTTCAAAATAGCCCTATGTAGTGGCATGCACCTGTAGCCCCAGCTACTCGGAACACTGAGATGGGAGGATCTCTTGAGTCCAGGAGTTCCAGGCTGCAGTAAGCTATGATGGTGCCACCGCACTCCAGCCCAGGTAACAAAGCAAGGCCCTGTCTCTAAAGATAGATAGATTAGATAGATAGATAGATAGATAGATAGATAGATAGATAGAATAAAATAATAGAACAGAAATACAAAGGGAGTATATTTGAACTTTGTCTACCTTGCTTTCTGCTACTTGTTGTGGTACTGATAGTAAATGGTTTACAATTCCAGGTTACACTCTCCCCTACCTCCAAAAAGAAAAATGTCTTTATATGCTTGCACATATAAGGACACTTTAATTATATATTGTGTTGTTGTTCACAGCATTATTCTTTCAAGTATTTATATATTACTTGATACCTCTCATATTTCCAAATAGGTATTAGACCAAACTTACAACTCCGATTTTTCTTCCTTGTTTTTTTTCTGCATAAATATTATACAATTTTTAAAACCCAGAAGTAAAAACAAATTAGTAAAATAGTTCAAGGCATAGGTAGCCTTTTAAAAAAAATCAATATTTACTACCATATGGTGAACTGCTTTCAAATTCATGATCTGGGTTTTTTTGTTTGTTTATCATTTTATTTTACTTTATTTTTTGTGAGTACATAGTAGGTAAATATATTTATGGGTTAGATGAGATATTTTGATACAGGCATGCAATGCATAATAATCACATCAGGGTAAGTGGGGTAATCATCACTTTAAACATTTGTGTTTAATAAAAATCTAATTATTCTCTTTATTTCTTTTTAAATGGACAATGAAATTATTTTTGACAGCCAGGCACCGTGGCTCACACCTGTAATCCCAGCACTTTGGGAGGCCGAGGTGGGTGGATCATGAGGTCAGGAGATCAAGACCATCCTGGCTAATATAGTGAAACCCCATCTCTACTAAAAATACAAAAAATTAGCCGGCCATGGTGGCACGTGCCTGTAGTCCCAGCTACTCGGGAGGCTTTGGCAGGACAATTGCTTGATCCCGGGAGGCGGAGGTTGCAGTGAGCCAAGACCACACCACTTCACTCCAGCCTGGGCGACAGAGCAAGACTTCCTCTCAAAAAAAAAAACAAAAAAAAAATTATTTTTGACAATAGTCACCTTGTTGTGCTAGTGAATAGTAGGTCTTATTCATTACTTCTATTGTTTTTTTTACACATTAACCATTCCCACTTCCCCATAACTCCCTCCCCCATTACCCTTCCCAGCCTGTAGAAACCATCCTTCTCCTCTCTAAGTTTGTTTTTTGTTTGTTTTAATCTCTGGAAATTTTTCTTTTAGTATTTCTTCCTATATTGTTTCTGTTCTTTTTACTTTGGCTTTTTCTTCAGAATGAAATAATTATTCATATTTTAGATCTTTATTCTCTGCTTCTTCCTCAGCCTCTCCTTTGTTTATTTCATCTCTTTATTTCTTTCCTTATACATTCTATGAAAGCCTCCTAAGCTTTTTCCATCCACATATAACTTGTCTGATTTTCTTAACCATTATTGTTTCTGTTTCAGTCTTTAATTCTGCTATTACAATTTTGTTTTTATTCTTTCCTGTAAAAAGCTATCTACTAGTGTATTTTTTCTTTTTCTTGATCTGAACCTGAGTTATTTCAGAGTCCATATTTTTAAAATTATTTTAAGAACACAACATGAAATTTCTTTTAAAATATTTCACTCTCGTAATTTTTTTTCCTCAAAACTACTCTTTCCTTACCTCATGTGTTACATTTATCTTTCATATAAAAGATTCTGTTCAGTGTTGTTTTGTTTACACATAATTGAAGAGAAGGCACATTCTAGACTAGCAGTTACAAAGATGAATTTTACTTTGATCCTCTTAGTGTTTTCTTAGAAGCTATTTAAAGCTCTTTTCAGATTTCTAGCTGAGAACTGGCTTAATGCAAGTTTATTCCTTTTGTGAGAAAACTGCTTGCCTCATTTAGAGCCATCATAGTCATATTGTCCTTTCTGATGGGTAAATTTTCTGTGATAGGAGCTAGCTTTTAAAATTATTTCACTCTGCTCTATTCTCCATTTTCCACATGGGGTGTCTGTCCAACTTCCTGGGTCTCTGTCTCCTACTCCTATTGCTTCCATGTCTGGAAATACCCTGTAATCACTCTGCTTGAAACAGACATGCCTGCTCTTGTTTTCTCTAAGTAACCTATTCTGAATACTGCTATTCTATAGTCATAAAGAATTTATATATTTCTCTCATGTTTAACAACCTGTTTTCAACTACAGTCTTAATATAACTGATTAGGAAAATATTAATTCGTTTGTGCCATGACCATCTTTGCTTAGTTCTTATCATCCCATATTACTTTCCCTAGAAAAGGCTTGTAAGGATCTCCCCATTGCCTTCATTTAATATAGCCCCATCCTTGGGGTTTCTGGCATATAGATGGCATCCTCCCATGTTTTCCATTAAAAATGCTGAATTTTACCAGCACAGCACACCAGCATGGCACACGTATACATATGTAACAAACCTGCACATTGTGCACATGTACCCTAAAACTTAAAGTATAATAATAATAAAATAAAATTTAAAAATGCTGAATTTTCCTTCTATTTTTATATTCTTTTGTTCATTCAATGGTGAATTTAAAACGAGAGGGAAGATTTATTCTCTGATGCTCAAGTTAATTCTCCTCCATGATTTATGTCTACTCCATGTTGTAGATCTTCCCCCATGCAGATGTCTCCTCAAGTCTCCACCTACTTCTCATAAAAAGTCATTTTTCAGATATTTGGGGTTTTTTTTTTGTCTTCAGGGAAATGTTGTTTTTCTCTCTTGTTAGCATATCCCCCTCCTTTTAAAGGTCTTATTTCCATCTCTTTGAGTGGGCAAAATCTGTATCAGCTTAGGGTCCGAGGACAAAAGTGTGAGTGAAGTGTCATTTGTTCACTTACTCTTCACATAGGAGACATTCTGACAGTTTCTGGATCTTATAATCTAATCTGAATGTCAAGTTGCTCTGTATAGCATCTAGTGCAGTTTATGAGACCTAACAAACATTCAACAACTCTTGGTCCACAAAACTATAAGTGGATTTTTTTTTTTTTGGCTCAGAATGGCAGTTTATGTAATGAAGCTAGAGAATAAAATGCAGTTGCTCTATCTCCTAGCCACGTAAAACATTCAAGACATATCCTGGCATATGTAATCCCAACACCTTGTGTTCTATCCCTGTTTCTGAAGCTTTTTTCTTCTAATGCTTTTAAAAAAGCATCCAAGTATACAGGCTCTCACTCATTCCCTTCTTTATCTTTTTTGTACTGGGAGGTTAGTCTTTAAATGAATACAGACAGAAATAAGCTGCTGCTAATAATGGACCAGAAATCTTGGTTCAAACCAAAGATAGTTTCCAGTGAATTGAAAGCTTGCTTAGTTTATCAGGTTATGGTTTCTTTGCATCTTGGGGTTTTTTATTTAGACCTCAGACCGGAGTGAAGAATCAACACAGTTTCCCCATTTTCTTTCTAGATAGTTATTTGAATTTACTTTAAAATACTGTGACCATTTTTGCATCTTTGTATACTTTAATGGAAAGCCATTGCTAATTGTATCAATCACATCCAGTCTGCTCTATGCAACCCAGAATTGTTAAACGTATTCTTTATTTTCTTTATTATTTCAATGTTTTCTCATTCAGCCATTGTATCAGTCACCTGAAGATTTAACTAAATAACTACACCATATCTTGCATGTGCTATGTTCTGGACATATTATAACGACAAAGATATTGCAACTTCCTTCAAGATATTTAGTCTAGTTGGGAAAAAGAAATAAGCTGTATGCACTCACTATTATACAGTTAATTATGTGCAGTTTCCAAAGGAAAGAATTAACACTTTTCCCAGGTAGAAGTCAGGAAAAAAAAAGGCAACACTTAAATTTAAAAGATAAATAAGTGCTAACAAACAGACACAATGGGGGCAATTGCAGGTAAAGTCAGAAAGGTTATTTGGAATAGTAAGAACAACGTCTGGCATGAAACCACCAGGTCTACTGGAGGAAGTGAGAGCAACTGGGCCTGGCTGAACTATGCAATGTAAGAGGCAGCAGCCATTGCTAAGGTTGGAAAAGAAATGGCTCATTAAAAATGTGAACTATGGATGGGGGCAGTGGCTAACTCTTGTAATTCCAGCAGTTTGGGAGGCCGAGGCAGGTGGATCATCTGAGGTCAGGGGTTCAAGACCAGACTAGCCAACATGGTGAAACCCCATCTCTACTAAAAATACAAAAACATTGGCTGGGTGAGGTGGCAGGCACCTGTAATCCCAGCTACTCAGGAGGCTGAGGCAGGAGAATCACTTGAAACCGGGAGGCGGAGGTTGCAGTGAGCAGAGATTGCACCACTGCACTTCAGCCTGGTGACAGAGCGAGACTGTCTAAAAAAAAAAAAAAAGAACTATAAGAATCGTCCAACATAGAATGATTAGAGTCTGTGTATGGTGCTATCAGAGTTTTTTTCTACTTCCCCTCCAGAGATTAATCAATTCTAATGTTCACCTTCATTTTAATAATCATTACCACTTAGAAAATATTTGCCATATAATTCATATTTATGAAATAATTAAAATATTCCCAATTTGTCATTTTAGTTTTAATTACTAAAATTTCCTGTTTTACAATGTTCTTCTCTTACTCTCCAAAAGTTTAGAAATATTAAAATACACTAAGTGGTTTTGCTCTAGGTAAAATAGGTCATAGATATTTGACTCAAATATATAGCTATATATTTTCTAGATTTAAAATAATGCAGAATTATAATTTTTTCTCTGCATTGAGAGACAAATGTTATTCATTTACTGAGGTGGCAAAGCATAAATGTATGGCATATGGCATGTGATTGAGAACATTACAAGTGCTTACATGGAGAGGAGGTCATAACCTAGCGGGCATAACCAGAACCTCGAGGGTTCATTCCATTATTGGAGTGTTAACAAAGAGAATGGCAGGAGAGTGTATTATATATCAAAAGTATTTACAATATCAGAGAGATACAATTTGACAATGAATAGTGGTATGGTAAAGCACTTCAGCTAATAATGTAAGGAATAAAAAAATGCCGAAAAAACTATGATGGCTATCGGCCAGCCATAGGAAAGGAACATCAGTATGAAAGGTGAGTAACAATGAAAACCTGTAAGTCAACATTTTCTATATTCTAAATTGTTCTGTCTCATATTCAAAGGAGATTTCCAACTCTCCTGTATTTTGACAGGGTGAGGATAATAGTGACAAACAAGCAATGTCAAAGCATTCCTAAATTACATAGAAGACAACTTCACAAATCAAGAAGCAAAAGATACAGAAAATAGAGATTGCATTATATCTCTTACATACCAAGAAAAAATAGTATTAGAGCTAATATCCAAAGGCTGCTGTATTTAAGAGTGGCTTTAACAAAAATCTGGTGGCATACCTTTGTTGAGTACCTCTTTGGAGCCAGACACCATCGTAGGCACTTGGTATATATCAATGACCAAGATAGATGAAGAATCTATCCAAATAGAATTTAATATTTAGCTGAGATAGGCAGAAAATTAGAAAGTATAATGAGTAACTAAATTAAATCTTGTATTAGCAGTGATAAACGCTATATAAAAAGAAAAAAAATTGACTAGTTGAAAGGGACATTCAAGTGTCAGCATTGGGACAGGGTAGGTAGCATTAGGTTTGCCAGAAAAGGTGTTATTAAGAAAATCAGATTTCTGTAAATGTGTAAAAGAGGTGGGGAAGTTAAACAAATAGATATTTTAAGAGAAATGAATATCAATTGACTCAAAAGCCACAAGGTAGCATGATTGAGGAACAGTAAAGAAGGAAATGACGTTGTAGCACAGAAGTAGGAGATGAGCGCAAAGAGATAAGTGAGGAAGCCTCACTATATGTAGGATCTTGTGGGCCATTGTAAGACTTTTAGCTTTATTTTAACAAAAAATGGAGATCAGTTGAGTTTTTAGTAAGGGAATGAGAGATGTATCTTATGTTTTTAAGGGTGAATATGGCTGTTGTGCTTATAATAAACTGCAGATAGACAAATTTGTAAGAATTGTCAGAATTCTGACAAGAGCCTACTAAAGTAACCTCAGGTGAAAAGATGGTGACTCCACCAAGAGCAGTGGTAGGGTGTGTGTTTGAATTCTAGACATATTTTTAAAGTTGAGTCAACACAATTTTCTAGCCATTTCAGATGTGAGAGAAAGGGAATAGTTATGATGACTAATCTAGACTTTTTGAATATAATGACAGAGGGGATAGAGCTTCCATCAAACAAAATGGAGAAGGCTGCAGATAGATCTGAGTTTGGAAAAATAGTCCAAATAGGGGTTTGGGATATGCTGATTTTGAGTTGATTGTTAGATATCCAAGTGGAGATGCTGAGTATGTAGTCTATATTTTGAGATATTCTGGGTTGGATATAAAATTTGGGGCATCATCTGTAAGTAGACAGGAAGGAAACAGAATTAGATCACGAAAGGAGTGAACCTTCACAGAGAAGATAAGAGGACCAAGGATTGATCCCTGAGGCACTCAACTATTAAGAGAGTGTGGAGAACAAAAGAAACTGGGAAAAAAGGCTGAGGAATAGTCAAGATAAGAGAAAAACCAAAAAAGTACAGTATTCTAGAAGACAAGTGAATAAAGTATGCCAAGGAGGATGGCGTAATCAACTTTGTCAAATGTTGCTGATAGTTCAAGTAACAGAAGGCATAAAATTGACCATTTGATTTAGAAATGTGGATATCATAATTGACCTTGATGCAACTATTTATGTGATACGATAGAAATGAAACATGAATCAGAATGGGTTAGGAGAGAATAAGAGATTTGGAGAAGGCAAGTATAAAAACAATTTTAAGGAATTTTGACCCAAGGAAAAGTAATGAAAGCTGGTGGTAACTGGCAGAGGAATTCAGCATTTCTCCCCATTAATACTAGAGCAACATAATTATATACTTCATCAATCGCGATTCACTCAGGGAAAGAAAACTACTAAGAATATTATATAATAAATGATTCTAGGAATAAAACTTTACATATTTATGAAGAATCTGAGGAAGGAGGCATCCAAAAGGGGAGTTGGAGGGTAAAATGAAAGTAACTAAATAACTAACCAGCCTTCCAAAATACTGGAGTGGTTGGACACTGAGAATTTGAGAGGAAATCTGGAAAGCCAGGCACATCCAGCCGTTTGAGTGGGACCACAAGAGAGAGCTAATGGAGAAGATTATGAAATCTACAGCTTTTGCACATGGTTTTGGGCCTGAGGCTACTGGTGGTCAACAGGGCTGGTAGCCAGAAAGAAGTGCTTAGAAGAGAAGATGTAGTCAAGCTGAAACCTACCAGAACCTCTGCATCTGTTTCACATAACAAGGAAGAGAAGAGGAAATCTGAAACCTACTGGTATCTATGCACATGTCTTTCACCACATTTATTCCCACTGACCTTCAGGTAATAACATCTTATGCATCACTTCAACCTTCCAAATCTCAAGCAAATTTCTCTTGATCAACACTAACCTGCAAACTTATTTACAGCTTAGCCAAATCAATCCAGTGCAAAACCACATATATGCTGATCAAGTAGAGAGGAAAAAAAATGATAATGTAGGCAAAAAAAGAGAGAATAGATCCGTAATGATGTCCTTGAGTAGGCAAGAGGGCATCATAGATAGTCCACGCATAGAGAAATTAGATTTAAAACAGAGCAAAGGTGTTTGAGTGTATGAAAACTTATTTCCAGGAACTGGCAATCATCTCTGCTGAATGCACTGATAACAAGTATTAAAATGAAACATTAAAATCACCAGGTTAGAAACATTTTGGTGTATTTTAGGAGATAATTACCACTTAGCTGAATACAAATCTTCATAGGAGAAGGTTAGTTACTAACAGCAAGAAATTTGGTGTTTGTTAGTGTAGCTCAATAATCTCATGGCATGTGAAAAGAAAATGAAGTTAAAAAATAAATAAAATTATTTATGTGTTTATTTTTAAATATTAAATAATCTCACACATGGTCCTGACTTAAACTGCCATTTGTATTCTAATGAATTCACTTGTTTTCATTTTTTTCTCTATTGAGAAAAAAATGGTCAATATATCTGATTGCCTATTTAATAACTTCACCCTGAATTCTTAAAGTCAGCTCTGATTCAACTTGGTCAAAAATTAAAGCACGGTTTTCTGCATGCCATACCCCCTCCAATCCCAGTACTTCTCTAATTCGAATCAATGCTTTTTCAAGCTAGAAATATAGTAGCACCCCACCTTTATCTTTCTTACTATTACTGTATATTTAATTACTTCACCCTGTTTCTTTTACCTCCTATACATCTCTAAAATCTATTCACTTATTTCAATTTATGTCACCTACACCTTATTCCACACAACCTGAAACTTTCTCCTGGATTATTAAAATAGCCTCATTTTTGACCTTCTTCATTTTTTTCCCTTAATTTTCACGCCAGACCATTCTCCTTACTGCATCTAATAACTTCTGCTTGGCATTTTGTTTGTTTTATTTTAATAATTGAATTATGCTCTTGTTAAAAATGGCAATTTTTAATGAATATTTATTGCTCTCAAAATAGTTACCTAATTCTTAATAAGAACTACCAGTTTACCATATGCAGTGTTGGTACGAATGTCAATTAGTACAACCATTATGGAGACCAGTTTGGAGGTTCCTCAAAAAACTAAAAATAGATTTGCCATATGATCTAGCAATCCCACTGCTGGGTAAATACCCTAAAGAAAGGAAATCAGTACATCAAAGAGATATCAGCACTCTTATGTTTATTGCAGCAATGTTCATAACAGCTAAGATTTGGAAGCAACCAAAATGTCCAAAACAGATGAATAGATAAAGAAATTGTGGTACATTTATGCAGTGGAATATTATTCAGCCATAAAAACAACGAAATCCTTCATTTGCTATAACATGGATAGAACTGGAGGTCATTATGTTAAGTGAAAATAAGTCAGTCACGGAAAGACAAACATTGCACATTCTCATTTATTTGTAGGATCTAAAAATCAAAACAATTGGATTCATGGAGACAGAGAGTAGAAGCATGGTTACCTGAGGCTAAGAAGGGTAACGAGGGCTGGAGATAAGGTGGGTATGGTTAATAGTTTTTTTTTTTTAAAGTTAGAAAAAATAAATAAGACTTACTACTTGATAGCACAACAGAGTGAGTTTCATCAATAATAACTGAACATTTTAAAATAACCAAAAGAATAAATGAATTGTTTGTAACTCAAAAGATAAATACTTGAAGAGATGGATACCCCATTATCCATGAAGTGGTTATTTCACATAGCGTGCCTGTATCAAAACATCTCATATACCTCATAAATATACACACCTACTATGTACCAACAGAAATTAAAAATTTAAAATTTAATTAAAAAGAACTACCAGTTTAGGTGTGATCTGCCAGAGGAGTTGACAACCCTTCCTATTCATTGGGAGAAAAGTGGAGTTGCTATGTTTATAACTATTTGGTAAAAGAGTCTGGTAAAAATCAAGTTGTAAGAAGAAAAGTATTTTTTATATTAAAATAATGTGAAAGACACTAACTTTTAACATAGATATGTGAAATAATCAATCTGATAATTAAGAAAAGTTTCTTTACCACACTCAAAATTAGCATATACCAAAGTCTACATAAGACATTATCAGATGCTTTAGAAAAAGAAAGGTTAAAAAAAACATAAAATGAAGATTGTTATAAAGTTAAGCTAGACTGATTTGTTGCAGGAAGTTTCAGATCCTATGCTAATATTTGTTATAAATGTCAAAGAAACGTATAAAGTATACAGCACTTGTCAAATTTAGCCTTGAAACTGTTTGCTACGAGACTGTATTATAGAACAACTATTCTATAGAACACTTTAAGGAATGCTGTCCTCAACATTTAAGGGGGAAATATAAGACCGAATAAGTTAAGGTTCAGGTGACACAAACAGTATATCAAGTGAAAGTGAAATTGCTCTGTGGATGTTAAGAGGAAGAATTCCATATGAACTCGGTGGTGAAGAAAAATGTGTTGAACAGGGATAGAATATGAAAAAGGAGAGAGGAAAACCTAAGATGTGCAATATCACTGTTCCAGTCATGTAAAGGAAAAAGAGTTAGAGGAGATCACTGATTACCAGCTTAGTCCTCATGAAAAGAAAATGAAGAGCTTTGTTTCCTAGCTATTTAAGTTTGACACTTGGTTTTATGACTTGCTCATCTGTATAAGTTCTAGCGCTTATGTTCATTACTTTACAACTAATAGGCTTGAGATAAACCCAGATTATCTCAAACTACCTGAAATACATAAATGTGTGTGTATAAATATATATATGTGTGTGTGTGTGTGTAAATATATAGTGTTTATAAATATATATATATAAAAGAGCAATGCATACATTTTTAAAGCAGACAAGCTCTGCAAAGAGCAAATTATAACAGATAAAATAGAAAAATAAAAAGAGAACTTAAATATTTGAGGAGCTTATTTTAATATATTAGAAAGGAAAAGATAAGAGGAGCAAAGCTACTGTTTAAGCAGAACATATCAAAACATTGTTAAAAAATAATTTGAGACCATCCACTTACATTTCCATGTATCTGGGGAAACAGAAATATAAGTAGCATTTCCAAAGAGAAGTATAAACCTTGTAAAATCCTAGTGACTCGCCGGGCGCGGTGGCTCACGCCTGTAATCCCAGCACTTTGGGAGGCCGAGATGGGCGGATCACGAGGTCAGGAGATCGAGACCATCCTGGCTAACACGGTGAAACCCCATCTCTGCTAAAAATACAAAAATTAGCCGGGCATGGTGGCGCGCGCCTGTAGTCCCAGCTACACGGGAGGCTGAGGCAGGAGAATGGCGTGAACCCGGGAGGCGGAGCTTGCAGTGAGTCGAGATCGCGCCACTGCACTCCAGCCTGGGCTACAGAGCAAAACTCCGTCTCAAAAAAAAAAAAAAAAAAAAATCCTAGTGACTCTTCTCAAGAAATGAGTTGCATGGATTTTTGGAATATTTTCTGTTCATTTTCCTAACATTTTCAATAAGGATGTGGTGCAACATTTTAGAATATTCAATTATAAAAAATGAACTTTAAAGGACAATGATGACTAAGAGAAAAATCTATATTACAACACAGCAGTGATTTCATAATTCAGAATCCAAACATGAAGAAAATAAATTTGCCCCATGTTTTTGTTTCCATGATTTACAGAGAAAAAGGTAGTCACTGCTTTATTCACTATTTCTTCTTAAATTATCTCATGAATCATAAACTACACCTACCATTCATGTTCAACTCCCATTTTTGCTAAATATAAAGGTCACCTCAATGATCATTTACATCAGACTATAAGAAAGAGACACAGGAATTCCCTCTCTCCAGTCAGAAGACAAAATGAATGAAGACACATGGATTTAATTATTATTTAAGCACATTCTTTATTTGTGTCCAAAATCAAAATTCACAACGTATTTTATCCATGCTAATTGCAGGAAGACATGAAAACTAAGTTATAATTGGGACTTTCAGAAGATGAAACATAGTTCCTTGGAGCAAAAGATAGCTTCTTTGGATAAAAATGTCAAGAATGGCAGCTCTGTTCAGTTCACCATTCTCTAACCAAATATTCCAAAGTGCAATAGAAAGTATGGGTTCTAGGATGGTCCTACCTATCACAAATATAGTATTTTTAAATGTACTAAATAGCACAAACTTAGTGTCACACATATTAAAGAACACACATCTATAGTGTGTCATTAAATTATTTTATGAAAAAAATAGGAGAGAGATTTTGTGTCTTTAAACAACTTTTACTATAAGCAAATTCTAAATATTCTAAGCTAATTGATGATATAAGATTGAAATATGACCCACATATAGAGAGCACAGTCCAGACTGTATCCCACTACTTTTCACTAATCACATTTCCCACAAAACCCTTTTATCACGGCTACTAACAAGTACAAAATGACCAACCTGTATTTCACCTTCCTTGCCTTCTCAAGTGTTTTTTTTTTTCCTCCAGACACTAATGAGCAGTGAAATGGTGCAAAGGTAGACATCAAGAAGAGGGGAAGAGGTAATGGCCTGTATAACCTGAAAACTACAGAATCAGTTCCAGGGTAATTGAGTGTTGGTGGCACTTGGGAAAAAAAGAGCCACTTGTGATAATTCGTTCCGACTTTAAAGAAACTCTTTTTCCATTATCAAAGCATAATGAACAACTGAGTGCAAAATGCATTACCTACTTATGATTATAGCATTCAGTGATCCATCCAAGGACTAATGTTGTCCAATAATGAATGTTAGAGAAGGACATATAATGGGTACAAAGAACTATTCTAAAGGCAGGTCTACAAGAGACAATCAATTACAGTCATATTTTATGGATTGGCACCAAACCCACTTTGGCTTCTTTTTTTTAATGATGAATCAATTCAGTAGAATCTGTCCTATTAAAGAGGGGTTGTGCTTTGGGGGTTCAAAGACACATTACTACCCTTGAGATTTTAAAATTTATGGGATATATGGACATACACTTAAATAACTTTGGTAAAGAGAACATTGCAAAATTTCATAAGAGTGAGTGATTAATGTGGAAAGCCCTGTACTAGCAGTGATGACTTAGTATATATTTTTCAGATGAGCTTGAAGGCCCAAATGGCATAATATAGGTAAAGAGCCTTGTATGAAGCAGGATAAGAACATGAATAGAAAAATTATTAATCCTTTTATTTAAAAGTCATTTTGGTTGGGTATCTACTGTGTGCCATGAATTCTGCTATATATTGGGATACAAAAAGAACAAGATAGTACACCTCATATTAAAGTAGTTTGTATATACTAGAAAAAATAAGACAGGTAGATATATATATACTGCCACACCAATAAAAAGATCGCAAATCCTATAGAACATCCCTTATAAAGTTTGTGATATTTAGTTGAATTTAAGTTTGTGATATTTAGTTGAATTTTCTATATAGATTTTTAGATATAGAATTCTCTTTTCTATAGATTGAGAGTTATATAAACTTATAATTCCAAAACTGTACAGACTAAGTGACCTGTGCAAAAAATTTCAGACATTTCTCAACTGGGGCTCAGAAATTTAGTCTGCAGTATGCAGAGAAGAGACTGTATGGTCAATGGTGCCCAAAAGTGGCTACAAATCAGGACTCTTCAGGAAACTCTTAAAAATTACACATACCTGCCACGGTCACTCTGTGAACCACTTTGCAAGCTACTGCCCTAGGCCATGTGGGAAGTCTAAATTTCAGCATGAACAGAGTCACTACTGATATGGGTATAGGTTTATGGATTACAGAGGGTCAAGAAACACAGGAGAAGGAAGAATGTCATAGCACATCATCATCTAAATTGTGTCGCTAAACTCTCTTACTACTGCTTCTAGTCCATTTCCTTCATCTCTCATATTTTCTTTCTCTTCTCTTTCTGTGGGAAATTTGAGAGCCACACTTCATCTGGAATTAAAAGAACAAAATGGCAGTCCAGGTTAACATAATTTCTATACACTAGGAACTCTCCCTTAGGGATCACTGAGTATAAAAATTTGCTAGGGATAAAAACAGACATAAGAGATTATTTTATACCTTCCAACTAACATACTTGGAAAAATCACAGACTTAATAAACATGAGAGAAAGAGATAGGTTAAAGAAAAAAAAACACAAATGTGATTCAAGAGTTTTAGATTTTAAAATTCAACAATTGAGTTTGACACTTTTTAGTAACTCTCTATGCCAAAAGAAATGTTATTCAACATTACAAAAATGGAAAGACATCTCAATGTTAGCATGATTCTGTTAATCATTCTGTATTTGAATTAATAATTAATTTCATTTAATTTTGTTTCATTAAACAAATAACGGGTAAGTATTGATCATGTGCCAGTATTGTGCCGGGGGTAAAATATTCAACGATTCAGGCCTATTCCTTGCTCTCTTAGATAATACTGTTTGGTACGGTACAAAGACAAATACAGAAACTATAATATACTGTGCTAAGAGTAGAGACTGCTATGGAGAATCATTGCAAGGACACACAAACCCAACTTCATGAAGGTGAGGGTGGCGGGATAATCCATGAAGAATTTCTGAAACTTTAACATAGAAACAGATTTGAAGCACATACAGCATCTATCTAGGTAAAAAGAAAACAAATGTTCAAGAAAACACACACACACATTTTGAGATGCAAGGTACTGTAATATAATACATTCAGACAATTGCTATTGCGGATGGCAGAGAAAGATGCAAACTAGAAGGGCCAGATTTTAAGTCATGTTAAGAAGATGAATTTTAACTTATGAGAGAAGGTTTTAATCATGAAGAGAGTAAATTAGGTTTGTCTTTCAGTAAGTTCACTCAGCTTTCCAGGTTGAGAATAAATTGTAGAGAATCATGAGCAGCATTAGGGAAACTAGCCAGCTAGGAGACTAGTCTGGTCATTCAGGTGAGTGATGACATTCAGGGTATGACTTGGCATACTGAAGACGGAGATGGAGGAAAGTGGTTGAAACTGAGTAATGTTAGAGATAGTACTAAAGGGAGTTGGTGACATTTTGGATGCCAGTTTCAAAGAAGGAAAGGTGATGGTTTTTGATAAAAGCATAAGAGGAAGAAGAGATTAGAGAAAATATTCTAAACATGTTGACTTTTCAGTGACCAGACAAATATCCAAGTTAAGATATCAAATAATCAGTGGAATTTGTGGGTCTAGGCTAATGTTCAGGAGAGACAACACACTCTAAGTAAAAGCTTGGGAAACATTAACTTTTAGATAGCAATTGAAGCCATGGGAAGGGACAACATTGCCCAGTTTTTGTTTGTAAAGGGTGTAAAATAGAAACAAATAAAAAATCCATCAAAGAAAGAAGATCTTCAAAATAACTAAGAAATAATAGCAATAGAGATTGGATAAAATTCAAGAATTTTGTGTAGGGGAAGCCAAGGAAAGTTATAAAGAAAGAGGAAGTATTCAACTGTGCCATATACTGCTGAAAGGTCAAATGGAAAGATAAACGCATATTCATCTGCTTAGCTTAACACTCTCCTTTTTTCCTGATACCTTAAAATGCATACTTATGCCTCCTCTGGACAGAAAATATTTTCTTGTTGTTGTTTTGTTTTGTTGTAAACTGTAAAAGTGAGTTATTTGTATGTGATATGGGTTGGCTGTGTCCCCACCCAAATCTCATCTTGATTTTTACCTCTCATAATTTCCATGTGTTGTATGAGGGATCCAGTGGGAGATAATTGAATCATGGGGGTGGTTTCCCCCATACTGTTAACATGGTAGTGAACAAGTTTCATGAGATCTGATGATTTCATAAGGGGAAACCCCTTTGACTTGGTTCTCATTCTTCTCTTTGCCTGCTGCCATGTAAGATGTCCCTTTGCTCTTCCTTCATCTTCTGCCATGATTGTGAGGCCTCTCCAACCATTAAACTTCTTTTTCTTTATAAATTACCCAGTCTCAGGTACTTATTAGCAGCATGAGAACAGATGAATACAGCATGCTTTCTTCTCCATAATGGAGGCATTCCTTTATACCAATTTGAAATTGGGCTTTACTCATGCCTATTCTACAACTGACTTAAGAGGAGAGACTATGGCCATAGGGACTAGACAATTATTTCTAAAAAAAAGTACATTTGTCATCAGTTATATAAAATCATGCTAAAACCCTGATATAAACTAAATGACACTAGACTATATGTTCTGAAAGGACAGAAAATAAATTTCATTTCTCCACCATTGTATGTCCCAGTACTGATATGATTAGCCCAAATTAGATGCTTGAAATATATTTCTGATTAAATGAGTGAATAAAGTATCTGTGGCAAAAACTAGAATTATCAGATATTTTTATTATAGTTGATAAAATGGAGATTTGAAAGGCTGGAGAGAAAATCAGCTGAGATGCAAAAATAAATATTAACTGATCTGAGAAAAAAATGAAGTAAAGTTTTACACTAATTAGCAAAAATTAAAATTCTTCTGTCCAACTCTCAGATGTGTTCATGCATATATTATCCAACAAAAGTATTTAGCTGACTAAACTCTATTAGGGATTATTAGAAAATTTAAGAGAACCAAAAATAACTGAACAAGTGACTAATGTGACAACAAACAAAATCAGCACCGACAAGGGCAAAGTAGTGCAATGTGGAAACAACAACTTAAATGACTCATTCATGATAATATGCTGTGAATTAATGGTAGGTCTTCAGTAAATCATTTTACTCACTTTCTTTAAGGCACTGGTTACTAATCACAGAGAATGTCATCTCTCATTTTCTCCGCTACAAAATATTACAGATAATAACACTATTGCTACAATTGTAATCATTGAGCTTTAGTTTTTGTTTATTTTATAGTATATCCAATTAAATGTTCTGAGTACAGGTATATGAACTTTCAGAGTGGCCAAAACCACTATTTCAGGCTACAACAGGGAGTAAAACTTGGAACTAAAAGGCCACCTCCACCTCCAACAAGTCACCCAGTTCTCCCAACCTAAAACAATCTTAGAGGAGTAAATATTGGATGTGCTCCATGGGAAAAAGTCAAACGATACCCAGAGTGAGCAAGTAGCTAGAGATAGAAGAATTAAACCCCTTTTAGCCGCAAGCAGCACAATAGTCAACTAGAATAGCTTAAAAAATAACTAAAATTATCTCCCACAACACAAAGCCAAAGGCAGGTCATTCAGGGACTACTTCAAATATCCAGGGATCCAGGCTTCTTATCTTCCTGCTCTGCCATTCCACTGGATTACCGTCTTAGTTCTTTGTTTTGTCTACTTACGCTGCAAGATGATTGCCACAATTTCAGAAATCTCACGTAGATAAAACATAACTTAAGAGAATTGTGTATCTGTTTCTCTCCCCCTCTCCCCTTCACTCTCTTCTTTCTCCTCCTTTCCTTCTCTCTTTTCAGGAGATAAATATTTCCCAAAAGCCCCCAGAAGCCTTTCTCAAGTTTTGTTATCAAAGGGTTGAGCTATTCACTAGCTGCATACTGCAGTCAAGCTCCACCAACAAGGAGAGAGGGCAGTGAGAAGAGATAGCCTGCACCAGTGCCAGTCTCATCTATTGAATAGACTGCTCACAGCTAACACACTTGGGTTTTTCTTTCCTTAACCTCATTTCTCCCTTTCAGTCTTTCTCATTTGGCTTCATTGAATTTTACATAAGCCTAAAGTAGTGTTTTTGTCTTACATTTATGTTTGACAAGTATTGAAATTTCCTTTGGTAAAGTATTCCGCCCCTTGGATTTTAGGCTTTCTATTGATTTCATTCACAAATAATGTATGAAAGTAAGAAGGTTCAATTTCACAAGCAAGATAGTCAGAGAAAAGCTATTCTTGTACATACAAAACTGATTTCTTTCATTGGCTAAATGAACCGTGAAAATTTTCAGTGTATTTAATAATATTTTATTTATAAAGTATGAAATATTTTTGGTAACAGGAAGTAAAAGCTTAATGTGTTTGAAGTATATAAAATACAAAATCTTATCTAGAGCCTTGCTATTTAAAACTAATGACAAGAAAATTTACTCCACACTTTTGGCACACTAGCATTGCTCTAGCTGCTAAAAACTGAGGCCTCCCTCATTCCTGTTCTGAAAAGGATACAGTCTCTATAAAGCAGTGACATTCAGTAACATAAGAAAAAAGATTATAAAAGTGGAGCACTTTTATCCAGAGTCTTATAATTTTAGAATTTGGAAGTAACTTCTAATCCTTCATTTCACAGACAAGAAAATAGAGACCTGAAGATAGGATATTGCTTGCCCAGAATCACTTGATAACTAAGACACAGAACTGAAATTTTAAGAAGTTGTCTTACGGGAATTTCTACTATTGTTGTACTTCAGCACTGACTTTTACACTAACATTTAAGCAAATGTTAAACCAACTAACATTTAAGTAAATTCTTAAATTGCAATATAAAAACAAAAATGCTTATAAACCAAGGAATCTAGTTAACTAGCAGTTAATCAGAATATCCTTTTTGTTTTAACCCTGACTACCAAATCTTAGTGAAATATATTCACTTCCTTACTTTTCTTGTTAAAGTTGGACCGAACATTATTTAACATTCTTGTGGATGATTTCTGATGTGGCAGCACCTTGATACATTCATAATGAGCATTATAATGGTTTTAGAACCATAAGAAATGGTTCTGGGCTGGGTGCAGTGGCTCACGCCTGTAATTGCAGCACTTTGGGAGGCCAAGGTGGGCAGATCACCTGAGGTCAGGAGTTCGAGACCAGTGTGACCAACACGGTGAAACCCCATCTCTACTAAAAATACAAAAATTAGCTGAGCCTGGTGGCATGTGCCTGTAATCCCAGCTACTCAGGAGGCTGAGGCAGAAGAATCGCTTGAACCTGGGAGATGGAAGTTGCAGTGAGTGGAGATCATGCCACTGCACTCCAGCCTGGGGGACAGAGCAAGAATCTGCCTCAAAAAAAAAAAAAAAAAAAAGTTCTAAAACAAATTTTGAGTTTATAAATTAAAACTGAATTTTCTTATTATTGGCCCTAGATCATTTCTTAGACAATGTTGACTTGATGAGTTTCATGTTTACATGGTTATTTCATTTCCAAAACCAAGATTTAAGCTCTTTTTGTCCATATGTGCAACTTTGTGTTAAATAAGATGTCAAGTACAGGAAAAGAACTTCTGACTAAAATCTTTGTATCTTTTTATTTTTACCTTTTTGTAATGTATAATATTTTGTAATTTATAATATCTGTTTATAAGAAATGGCAGGTCAGTGATTAATAATTTGAGGATATGAAAGATTTAGTCACCATTATAGCTCTCTCATCTGATGATCCAAGACCTGCATTAAGAAAGGCATCAGGGAGCATTCCAAGGGTTTGTTGAGGGTAAAAAGAGAGCCAAGATCACAAGCAGACATTTAATTCTTCTGCCTTCAAAATTAAGCCACTTAGATGAACCTTTTGGTCATTCTTCTAAAAATGGAACAATTGTTCTTTTTCATGCGCACCATCATTTTCTATGCTTCTTAGTGAGTCATTTGTGGAAAAATCTAGCTGATAGCTTCCAGGGCAGTGTGCAGATTCAGAAATAATTTTCCTTTCTAATTCAACTCAGGGTTGTGTAGCGTCAGGTTAAGTGGGACAGAACACACCAGAATATAAGAATATCTACATAGAGAAGCATTCCAAAAGCTATGTTCACCAAAAGCTTTGAAAAAAATATTTTCTCAAAATACAAATTTTTTTCAACAAATATTCAAAATTAGCATGAATATACTTATTTTAAAATATTAATTCCATGTTAAAATTTTGTCCTCCATAATTTTGCTATAGAACTAACCTATAAAAAAAGACTGCCTTAAAATTAATGATGTCCTCTTCTTATTTTGGTTTCAATACATAAATAAAGTATAAGATGTACTGGTTCACTAACTCCAGCATAAGATGAATAATGTTTCATTAACTATTCAGCATATCCCATCCTTTAGCCAAAAGGAAAGATGATCATACCTTCATTTTCAAGCTAGAGGTAATATGACTAAACACCAATGTTACTAAAACATCAACATCAACTTAGGTGATTGATTATCTAGTGAGCCCTTGATATTATTCAAGTTATAAGTTCTGCAAACTATGACGTTCCTTCTAAGATGGTGCCTCAAATAAACTCATCAGGATTCATTGATGTAGAACTTCCATTCGTTCTATTTTTTGGAAGTTTTGTTCTACTTCATAGTTTTAATTTTTGATTTCCAAAAACGTACTAACCTAGTAGTTTGCTGTGTGTATAGCAGTGGATTACATATATTGTCTAGCTGTATAGTTATATATTTATCTATCTATGCATATATTTGTGTCCTGTGTTTCCTGGGTGCTAAGACATCATTGATTACTAGATGTACTATTAATAGCAACCTTGGTCAACAAATAAATACTATCCTTAATTTTAAGATACTTCCCTTTTAAGAACCTATAAAATTCATTTTTAAAGTGAATCTTAGTAAAAGGCCATATGCATGACTGTATCTCCCCATTTCATCTCCCTCCCTGAAATAACTTACTTCTGAAACAACGCTGGAAGTGCCTGCCAAAGTAAATAAAAATGAGTCTCATTTGAAAATTCAAGTAACAACTCATTCCCTAGAAAAGAAATAGTTCTTCTCTCATAAAAAAAAAAAATCAATAGCTCTGAAGACCAAGATTGATAACCAGCTAGGTTAATAATACTTTTATGAACAATTTGATGAGATTAGAAGGTTTTGAAGCCAGTACTATGGGCATCTTAGGGTTGGTTTTCCATCTTTGTGCTTGCTCTGAACTGACAACTAATTGGTAGTTGTCTTAACTACTCTTTTACAGTGTAGGTAGGAGAATAAAAGAGAAAATAAAATCTCAGAAGCAGGAAAGTTTTATTTGCTACTGTCAATAATGTTCCCTCAGGCTTTTTTCCCCTCAAAAGGGAAAAGTCAGCCATATTGTTCCTGTAATCTGATGTAACTATGTTCTTACTGTTTCAAGCCATTGCTTCAAATGCATTTCCTCTGTGCTCTGCTGATCTAACAACATAGCACAAGAAAGTGCTGTAATTGTTGATATGGACCTAGTAAGGTGCTCATGTATATAAATACTTTTAGTTTATTCAGATAATATTTAATATTCTATTTTATACCATAAACATTTTCAGTAGTATTAGAGCTAGAATGAACTTCCAAAACCAAGAAGCCCAAATCACTTCTAACTTCAGTGGAAGCCAAGTTCTGACAAGCTCAGTGACTTTTACAAGGCTAAATTCAATCAATTCCTGGAACCACAACTTTCTCACCAAAATACTATCTTTGGACACTATTTCAGTTAGGGATTTTAATTGAAAGCAATAGAAACCAACTTTGCGTAAATGACCCACCCCCAACCACCAAAACAAAAACAAAAACAAAAACAAAACAAAAAAACAGGAGTTTTTTGGAATAATATGGTATAGCAAACATAGCAAACAGAAACAATGGAAGTCACTGAACTAGACACAAAAAGGAAAGGAACAAGTGCAGTTCTGGTGATCTGGATCAGATGCCCCCCTGGAGATATAAAAACATCTATCGGTTTTTTGTCTTGGTGCCTCAGTTCAAGTTTATAATTCCAGGCATACATTTCTTGAAACTTATTAAAAATTAAAAGTGTACTTTTTTTGACAATTGGCGTTACAACAGTATCTCCAAGTATAGGTGTTAACCACCACCGCCCCTCTCCACCAAAAAAAGAACAAAAAAAAAAACAAAAAAAAAAAAACAACACCCGATGCAGACAGCAGAAGGAGGAAGGTAGGCTGGTTAAGCCAAAACTTTTGTCTAAAAGTTAATCAGAAGCACAACAGTTAATCTTACATTATCCTCATAAAATATTTCAGATAGTTATTATTACCAAAGTTAAGGATAAGGGCTCTGAGGAAAAAGGGGTTAAGAAGCTAGAAAAAATTATCAGGAACAAAACAGTTATTCCAACTTTTTCTACAGATATTTACGGGGTACAAGTGCAGATTTCTTCCATGCATGTATTGAGTATGGTGAAGTTTTGGCCTTCAGTGTACCCATCACCCCAATAATTAACATTATACCTAATAGGTAATTTTCCAGTTTTCATTTTGATGCTCTTTCCAGCATACAATTGGGGTTATAAAACACAAAAATTGTGGGACAATTAGTAAGTGCAATTCAGATTTTTCCCATAAGAACAGTAACAGAGGGACGAATTTTTCATTAATCCAAGAAAATCTATATTAGTGAAATGCCTATTTTAGAATATTTATTTATATCACTGTAAATTGTATAAATTTGATTCACACCATTATAATTAATAGTGGTATAACTATAATTTTTCTCTGATGGTTGAACAAGGCCCAGAAAAAATGTCTTACATTACTAACAAAGAGTAATGAGCACCTTGCTAATAATAACTTTTTAAAACAGCTAAACTTTTGGAAGAATTGTATATTCTAGGTACTAAAGCGCTTTATGTATATTAACCCATTATCACACATAATAATTATATGATGCAGGCTCCATCAGTACCACAATTTCATGAATGAAGGTGTTGAAATACCAAGAAATTGGTATAATCATTATCACTGTTTTACAGAAAAGGAAATTAAGATCACCCAGCCAATAATTTAAAAGGTACAGGTAAAGATATTGATAATAATAATTTTCAACCAGATGTTTTAAGTGCCAGTATATTTTCTTTCTCAATCAAAATCTTTCCAAAACTCTTACTAAGACTGTTATTTTGTTCAGCAATCCATTTCTTTGAGTGATAAGAATTAGTAAACTTCAGTTAATTTCTTTTGGAAATTGTCCCAAATCAAGAATTAGTAAGGCCTGAGCTAATAAATTATCACTGCATTTGTAAGCATCACCTAAAGGACCAGCAGCACCAGAGCATACAAAGCAATTGGTCACAGATAATATATTGTTAGCCAATGTTATAAAACAGTTCAAAGAAGAAGTACTCTTGCCAACAAAATTGTTTCTGGTTAACATAACGAAATTTCTTTAAATACCACTGAGTCATCTCTTAAGAGATTGTTTCATGTGAGTCATCCGGAATAATAAATCACAACATCCTTAACAAAATTTTGAATCTAGTCTAAGGGCAATGTTGTGCTCTCCTGAAAACTTGCATCTAAGTAGGACAGAGAAAAAACAGCTCTGAACTGTCATTCACTGGGGCTGACAAGGGTTGAATTAGAAGAATATCATATTTTTTGGAAAACATTCAGGAAATAAACTGCCTTTGCATAATGTCTGTTTTTTTGTTTGTTTTTTGTTGTTTGTTTGTTTTTTGTTTGTTTGTTTTTGTTTTTGTTTTTTGGTAATGGGGAAAGTTGTAGAATTTAATGACCCCCAAGCTATGCTCTTGGAATAGTACCCTTTTAGTAGGATCTTCATGGTCAATAGTCTTGATTTGCAAATCATTAGCCAGCAAATAAAGGATTGAATACAAAGTATTTATTTATCATGGGGCTGGTGCTACTAGTCATGCAAAGAACATGATTGCTTGCCACAAATAGTTCTTCTCACTCATCAAAAGTTTCCAAGTATGTAACTGAGAAGGCTGAGTTTCACTTAGTATCACTACGGAATGAATATCATTATTTCCATGATATTATAACAACGCACTTTTTTCTTTTTTTAATAAGATTTCTTTTTTATTATTATTATTATACTTTAAGTTTTAGGGTACATGTGCACAATATGCAGCTTTGTTACATATGTATACATGTGCCATGTTGGTGTGCTGCACCCATTAACTCGTCATTTACATTAGGTATATCTCCTAATGCTATCCCTCCCCCCTCCCCCCTCCCCCCACCCCACAACAGGCCCCCGTGTGTGATGTTCCCCACCCTGTGTCCAAGTGTTCTCAGTATTCAATTCCCACATATGAGTGAGAACATGCAGTGTTTGGTTTTCTGTCCTTGCAACAGTTTGCTCAGAATGATGGTTTCCAGCTTCATCCATGTCCCTACAAAGGACATGAACTCATCCTTTTTCATCGCTGCATAGTATTCCATGGTGTATATGAGCCACATTTTCTTAATCCAGTCTACCATTGATGGACATTTGGGCTGGTTCCAAGTCTTTGCTATTGTGAATAGTGCCACAATAAACATACATGTGCTTGTGTTTTACAGCAGCATGATTTATAATCCTTTGGGTATATACCCAGTAATGGGATGACTGGGTCATGTCATCTGCAAACAGGGACAATTTGACTTCCTCTTTTCCAAATTGAATACCTTTATTTCTTTCTCCTGCCTGATTACCCTGGCCCGAACTTCCAACACTATGTTGAATAGGAGTGGTGAGAGAGTTCATCCATTTCTTGTGCCAGTTTTCAAAGGGAATGCTTGCAGTTTTTGCCCATTCAGTATGATATTGGCTGTGGATTTGTCATAAATAGCTCTTATTATTTTGAGATATGTCCCATCAATACCTAGTTTATTGAGAGTTTTAACATGAAGGGCTGTTGAATTGTGTTGAAGGCCTTTTTTGCATCTATTGAGATAATCATGTGGTTTTTGTCTTTGGTTCTGTTTATATGATGGATTACATTTATTGATTTGCATATGTTGAACCAGACTTGCATCCCAGGGATGAAGTCCACTTGATCATAGTGGATAAGCTTTTTGATGTGCTGCTGGATTCGGTTTGCCAGTATTTTATTGAGGATTTTTGCATTGATGTTCATCAGGGATATTGGTCTAAAATTCTCTTTTTCTGTTTTGTCTCGGCCAGGCTTGGGTATCAGGATGATGCTGGCCTCATAAAATGAGTTAGGGAGGATTCCCTCTTTTTCTATTGATTGGAATCTTTTCAGAAGGAATGGTACCAGCTCCTCTTTGAACCTCTGATAGAATTAGGCTGTGAATTCATCTGGTCCTGGACTTTTTTGGTTGGTAAGCTATTAATTATTGCCTCATCACAGCCTGTTATTGGTCTATTCAGGGATTCACAACTTCTACCTGGTTTAGTCTTGGGAGGGTGTATGTGTCCAGGAATTTACCCATTTCTTCTAGATTTTCTAGTTTATTTGTGTATAGGTGTTTATAGTATTCTCTGATGGTAGTTTGTATTTCTATGGGATTGGGATTGATGGTCATATCCCCTTTATCATTTTTTCTTGCATCTATTTGATTCTTCTCTCTTTTCTTATTTATTAGTCTGGCTAGTGGGCTATCAATTTTGTTGATCTTTTCAAAAAACCAGCTCCTGGATTCATTGATTTCTTGAAGGGTTTTCTGTGTCTCTATCTCCTTCAGTTCTGCTCTCATCTTAGTTATTTCTTGCCTTCTGCTAGCTTTTGAGTGTGTTTGCTCTTGCTTCTCTAGTTGTTTTAATTGTGATGTTAGGGTGTCAATTTTAGGTCTTTCCTGCTTTCTCTTCTGGGCCTTTAGTGCTATAAATTTCCGTCTACACACTGCTTTAAATGTGTCCCAGAGATTCTGGTATGTTGTGTCTTTGTTCTCATTGGTTTCAAAGAACATCTTTATTTCTGCCTTCATTTTGTCACACAACCAGTAGTCATTCAGGAGCAGGTTGTTCAGTTTCCATATAGTTGAGCTGTTTTGAGTGAGTTTCTCAATCCTGAGTTCTAGTTTGATTGCACTGTGGTCTGAGAGATAGTTTGTTATAATTTCTGTCCTAAGCACTTTTGCTTAGGAGTGCTTTACTTCCAACTATGTGGTCAATTTTGGAATAAGTGCAATGTGATGCTGAGAAGAATGTATATTCTGTTGATTTGGAGTGGAGAGTTCTGTAAACGTCTATTAGGTCCTCTTGGTGCAGAGCTGAGTTCAATACCTGGATATCCTTGTTAACTTTCTGTCTCATTGATCTAATGTTGACAGTGGGCTGTTAAAGTCTCCCAGTAGTACTGTGTGGGAATCTAAGTCTTGTTTTAGGTCTCTAAGGACTTGCTTTATGAATCTGGGTGCTTCTGTATTGGGTGCATATAGATTTAGGATAGTTAGCTCTTCTTGTTGAATTGATCCCTTTACCATTATGTAATGGCCTTCTTTGTCTCTTTTGATCTTTGTTCGTTTAAAGTCTGTTTTATCAGGGACTAGGATTGCAACCCCTGCTTTTTTTTGTTTTCCATTTGCTTGGTAGATCTTCCTCCATCCCTTTATTTTGAGCCCATGTGTGTATCTGCATGTGAGATGGGTCTCCTGAATACAGCACACTGAAGAGTCTTGACTGTTTATCCAGTTTCCCAGATTGTGTCTTTTAATTGGAGCATTAAGTCCATTTACATTTAAGGTTAATATTGTGTGTGAATTTGATCCTGTCATTATGATGTTAGCTGGTTATTTTACTCGTTAGTTGATGCAGTTTCTTCCTAGTATCGATGGTCTTTCCAAGTTGGCATGTTTTTGCAGTGGCTGGTACCAGTTGTTCCTTTCCATGTTTAGTGTTTCCTTCAGGAGCTCTTGTAAGGCAGGCCTGGTGGTGACAAAATCTCTCAGCATTTGCTTGTCTGTAAAGGATTTTATTTCACCTTCATTTATGAAGCTTAGTTTGGCTGGATATGAAATTTGGGGTTGAAAATTCTTTTCTTTAAGATTGTTTAGTATAGGCGCCCACTCTCTTCTGGCTTGTAGAGTTTCTGCCAAGAGATCCGCTGTTAGTCTGATGGGCTTCCCTTTGTGGATGACCTAACCTTTCTCTCTGGCTGCCCTTAACATTTTTTCCTTCATTTCAACTTTGGTGAATCTGACAATTATGTGTCTTGGAGTTGCTCTTCTCAAGGAGTATCTCTGTGGCATTCTCTGTATTTCCTGAATTTGAATGTTGGCCTACCTTGCTAGGTAGGGGAAATTCTCCTGGATAATATCCTGCAGAGTGTTTTCCAACTTGGTTCCATTCTCCCCGTCACTTTCAGGTACACCAATCAGACATAGATTTGGTCTTTTCACATAGTCCCATATTTCTTGGAGGCTTTGTTAGTTTCTTTTTACTCTTTTTTCTCTAAACTTCTCTTCTTGCTGCATTTCATTCATTTGATCTTCAGTCATGGAAACCCTTTCTTCTACTTGATCAAATCGACTACTGAAGCTTGTGCATGCATCATGTAGTTCTTGTGCCATGGTTTTCAGCTCCATCAGGTCATTTAAGGTCTTCTCTATGCTGTTTATTCTAGTTAGCCGTTCGTCTAATCTTTTTTCAAGGTTTCTAGCTTCTTTGTGATGGGTTCAAACATCCTCCTTTAGCTCAGAGAAGTTTGTTATTACCGATTGTCTGAAGCCTTCTTCTCTCACCTTGTCAAAGTCATTCTCCGTCCAGCTTTGTTCCATTGCTGCCGAGGAGCTGCGTTCCTTTACAGGAGAAGAGGTGCTCTGATTTTTAGAATTTTCAGGTTTTCTGCTCTAGTTTCTCCTCAACCTTGTGGTTTTATCTACCTTTAGTCTTTGATGATGGTGAAATAAAGATGGGGTTTTGGTGTGGATGTCCTTTCTGTTTGTTAGTTTTCCTTCTAACAGTCAGGACCCTCAGCTGCAGGTCTGTTGGAGTTTACTGGAGGTCCACTCCAGACCCTGTTTGCCTGGGTATCACCAGTGCAGGCTGCAGAACGTGTTGCTGCCTGATCCTTCCTCTGGAAGCTTCATCTCAGAGGGGCACCTGGCTGTATGAAATGTCAGTCAGCCCCTACTGGGAGGTGCCTCCCAGTTAGGCTACTCAGGAGTCAGGGATCCACTTGAGGAGGCAATCTGTCTGCTCTCAGATCTTAAACTCCATGCTGGGAGAATCACTACTCTCTTGAATGCAGTCAGACAGGGACGTTTAAGTCTGCAGAAGTTTCTCTGCCCTTTGTTCAGCTACGCCCTGCCCCCAGAGGTGGAGTCTACAGAGGCAGGCAAGCCTCCTTGAGAAGCAGTGGGCTCCACTGAGTTCAAGCTTCCCAGCCACTTTGTTTACCTACTCAAGCCTCAGCAATGGTGGAGGTCCCTCCCCAAGCCTCGCTGCTGCCTTGCAGTTTGATCTCAGACTGCTGTGCTAGTAGTGAGTGAGGCTCCAAGGGCATGGGGCCCTCTGAGCCAGGCACGGGATATAATCTCCTGGTATTCCATTTGCTAAGACCGTAGGAAAAGCACAGTATTAGGGTGGGAGTGTCCCAATTTTCCAGGTACCATCTGTCATGGCTTCCCTTGGCTAGTAAAGGGGAATTCCCTGACCCCTTGTGCTTCCCAGGTAAGGCGATGCCCCACCCTGCTTCGGCTGACACTCCATGGGCTGCACCCACTGTCCGACGAACCCCAGTGAGACGAACCCAGTACCTCAGTTGGAAATGCAGAAATCACCCATCTTCTGCATCGCTCACGCTGGGAGCTGTAGACTGGAGCTGTTCCTATTCGACCATCTTGGAACCTCCTCCCGCAAAGCACTTTTTTCTAATAATTCTAGCCAGCTTGAAAATAATGACTTCCTCTGCCAAAAGATGCTTTTCCTTCATAATTATAAATATTTTAATGTAAAATATATTTTGTAATTTCTCTAAGTGCCAAAAGCCTAGAAACTTATCTCTTTCTCTTTTTTTATTTAATCTTTAAGCCCTCATACTGGTCTCAATATACGGTACGTTTTTATAAATATATGTATGCTGAATCAACGAATAAAGATAGGACATATGGACAAAACTAATTATGCATAAGTAAAATATCTCAGCATTGCAAAATTGTTATGCCTAGGCAAGTATCTAGTGCAGGGAGGGAATGATTATTTTTTAACTCTCACCTACGCCATCTCAAGTAAATCTACTCTCTGACAGAGATTGTTGAATGGCTAGGAAGCTGCACATGTTACTGAAATCCTTCATTATACCACTTAAATATCCCTGTCTTTTTCCTCAACAACCAAAATTTATAGTAGGTAATAACACATTCATCTAGGATTGTAAACTCATGCTATGGAGAAAGAATCAGTGGAGACCACAACCATCTTTTCTTCTTTACCTGCAAGTTAGAGTCACAGAAATCAGGTATTTAAATTCATAGTTTTCAAATGACATTCCATGGACCCCTGCGGGCTGCCCTTAGCAAGTGAGGGAAAACCTGAGTAGATGGCAGTGGGTGTTTCACCATTAGCATCCCTCTCCACCAAATTAAAAAAAAATAAAATAAAATCTGTTTTTAATCTTTTATATATAACAGTCTAGGTAAAATTGCCTTTGGGGAAAAAAGTAAAAATTTGGATCACCTATCTAAATGAGTACTGTTTCCTTTAAGGTAGCAAAGTTCAATAATTATATATTTATTGCACTATTGAAGCTTCTCCAAATATTTTGGACACTTCTCTGGAAAGTGATGTTAGACAGGTTGGTCCAAACTTTTGAGTTTCTTCTTTGGTGGAAAACCTTCAACTCTTAAAGTTGACAGACTTACAAAACAGTCAGTTTATTCAGACTCATTCTGAAGTTAATGATAGGAGATTAAGACACATAATTAATAACCTGTTTGGTCAAATGTGACTACAAAGCAATGAGATGTGCAAGGTCCGTGTGGACAAGGGCAAAGGAAGTGTTGGAAAATGGAATGGGTGTCTTTCAGCTCCCTTATATATTTATGCATATCAAAATCCTGAAAGCACTGGAGAGTTTGGTTATAATGTTTATGTGTCCAAACTATTTGAAGTCTTCTGCTAATTTAACATGTTAGAGAGAAAAACAAAGACAGAGAGAAAATTCTCTATTTTTTTTCTAGAATCAGAAAGTACTTAGCTAGCTTTTGTTAGTCATCCTCTCACTATAAAGTTCATAAATTCATACACTTTCTTAAATGGCCCTTAAGATGCACCCACTTCCTGCCAATTGAATTTTTTAACTTTACTGTCCATACTTAAGACTGTGACTAATGACCTTCCAGTATAAAAACAAAATGAATAAGAAGGTTTATTACTTGTTTACTGCCAATCTTTCTGGAATTTCCGAAAAATTAGAAATAATTTTTAATAACAGGAAAGTTAGTTGATATGTACAAAAAGCATTTCAATTACTAGTTTTGATTTATTAATAATGTGTATTATTAGTAGCTCTGACTTCTTGACTTCTTACTCAGTGTCATGCAATGTGTCTTTACAAACAATGTCGCATTCACTCGACATGCAAACATTGCCCACAGTCTCGTGGCTTATAAATGGTAGAGACTGAGTGAACCCACTCACATACTCTCCTCATTCAGGTCTCTGCTCAAATCTTGCCTTCCTAGCCTCTGAGATTCTCTATTATATACTTGCTTTGTTTTCCTTAATACCACTTATCTCCCTAATAAATTATACATGGATTCCTCTACCCATACCTCCAAACTATAAAAGCAGTTTTAAAAAAAATGCTTCCTACCAAATTTATAGTGCAATGTAACAGTGCCTGGCCCACAATAGGTCCTCAGTAAGTATGCATTAAATAAATGAACAGATGCATGAATTAATGTTTGATAAATAAATGAATAAAAGAAGAAATAGGCATAGATTCCTCTCTTCTTTAATCTCAGGTGTTTTTACTACACCATACCACTTCACAATATCAGACATCTTATTGCTAAAGGCAACAAATTCCTTCCATCTACTATCCTGAAATCTCTATTCCCAAGTAATTGCCCATTTTATTAGTAACACAGGGCAGGAAACCTGGATCTCTAACTGGAGGCTGCAGGATAGGATTGAGGGCAGTAGTGAGGCTCAGTTGCTGTAGAAAGACAAAACAAGGATTGGGGAGCCAGCTGTCCCCTGAGGAACCCTCATATATCCTAGAAATGGAGAAATACCAAGGAAGGTTGCCACCCCAGATCAAGAGCAGTAGTCTGGGTAGAGAGACTGGAAAGTACTCCATGATAGGGAAGAAAGGCAGTGGTAAATGCAATCCTCAACTCACCATTAAGATTTAAATCCACCAAATAGATTGCAGGCCAGGTTATCCATTGTCTACTTTATTTCCAAGAAACAGAGATAGGCATATAAGGAAAAATTAAGAAACATTTAAATAGCACAAGAACTATTCTAGAAGACAACAAAGGGAAATACTTTTAATTGAGGAAAAATAACTAAAAGGTAGAAACAGTAAATAAATTTAAAACATTTTAAAAAAGTAAAATATACTTACACAGTAAAAGGAACATATTTATAGCATGCAGCAAGATGATCAGATAATATTTCTAAAATGGAAGTAAGATTTCAAAACAAATAACTCAGTGCAGCAAGACAATCAGATATTTCTAAAATTGAGGTAAGATTTTTGAAACAAATAATTCAATGGAGTAGCAGAATAAATATATCCAAAATTACATTACTTAACTGGAATACTGGGTTATGGAACTCTCCCAGAAGGCACGAGAAAAAGATAAAGTAGAAGAAAAACATAAAGAAAAAAAGAAGACAAGAATTTTTGAAAACAGAATTGTTGAAATCTATTCAACTGGAAAACGAAAAGAGAAAATAAAGAGTAAAGAAAGAGGATTAAAAAGTTGGTGAAATTGTAACCAAGAATCTTTCCAAAACTAAGGGAGGATTTACCCTCACTTTGAAAGGGCTCTGTGGCAGAGGAAATTTTCTGCTTGTACCAAACTCTTTCACTGACTACTTAGGCATACAGGAAGATTACATTTTTCATTGTTTCTTTGCATCAAGGTGGAGTTAAATGACTAATTCTAGACCTGAGGTGCCTAATTACCTGAATTATCATGTGAACAACTATAACACATCACTCTCAAATTGCTAGAATTAGCAGAAATTTTTTCAAAAATAGAAAATATTTAAATATCACAACCAATGAGCATATTCTTGTGAGCTTGTGTATGCGGAGATAGTATAAAGGGAGAGGGATAAAGAAATGTAAAGCAAAAGAAAAAACGGGCCCACTCTCACCCTGTGAGACAGCTGTTCCTCCCTTGCTTTATGCCATAATTTTAAGTTTCCTGAGGTCCTAACTGGAAGCAGTTGTCAATGCTATGCTTCCTGTAGAGTGTGCAGAACTGTCAGCCTTAAACCTCTTTTCTTAATTTTTTTTTTAAAAAACAAAAATATGGACCAATATTTCCTGAATAAAGTTTATTCTTATGTATACAAGAAGCATTCTTAAAAATCCATATATAACATGCACAAATAATGTGGCCAAAGAATCCACATCTTAAAGGTTATATATACTCAAACCACAGTGCAAAAACATTGGAGATAAGTTAAAAAAGAATAGCTTTAAAGCAACCAAATGCATAGAAATTTCTAAAATATATATACCACTAATGTACTGAGAAAAGAATCTAATTGTTTCTTGACAATGAAGTATTACATTTCAAAATACATGAGATACAACTAAAAAAAGAAAAAAGTTTTGCTGTAAATACATTCATCATAAAACAACAAAGATTGAAAATAAATGAGCAAAACAACAAACCCAAGATGCAAGAGAAATTAAATCAAACTCATGAAGCTGGAAAAAGGCAAAATAGTAAATGTAAGAAATTCAAGAAAAAGAACACAGTAAACTCAAAGAAACCAAAAAGAAGGAAATAATAATAACAAAACATCATGAATCAATAAAACAAAGAAAAAATAGAAATAATAAGCAGAAGCTTGGTCTTTGAAAATGTCTGACAGGTCAGATCAAAAAGAGATAGTAAAACTAGAAAAAAGTACAAAAAGCTAATGTAAAGGATATTTTTAAATTGAAGAATATTGTGAAAAACTATGCAACAAATTTGAAAATCAGTAAAAGGAAAAGTTTGTGGAAAAAAATGAAACATCAATATAGTACTCAATTATTAATAGAAAACTTAAAAAAAGTAACATAATTTAAGAAAATGAATTAGTGCTTTCCATTCAAGCCACCACCACCCCTAGCAAAAAGCCTGTACTCAGCAATTGAAAAGTAAATTCCACAAACATTTGAAGAACAGTGTCTCCTAATGTATATAAATTCTTTTATAAAATAATAAAAAAAACTTTTGAAACTAATATTATCTTCATTTTTCAACTTTTATTTTAGATTCAGGGGGTACATTTACAGATTTGTTATATGAGTATATTGTGTGACTCTGAGGTTTGCAGTGTGAATGATCCCATCACTCAGATAATAAGCAAAGTACATTGTCCCTGACATGGTTTGGCTCTGTTTTCCCACCCAAATCTCATCTCAAGTTGTAGTTTTTATAATCCCCATGTGTCGGATCAGGTGGGAGGTGATTGGATCAGGGGGGCAGTTTTCCCCATGCTGCTGTGAGCTCTCATGAGATCTGATGGTTTTACAAGGCAGTTTTCCCCGTTCTTGCTAGCTCTCTCTCTGACCTGCCACCATGTAAGATGTGCCTGCTTCCCCTTCCACCATGACTGTAAGTTTCCTGAGGCCTCCCCAGCCATGAGAGTCAATTAACTCTCTTTCTTTATAAATTACCCAGTTAACTGTGAGTAAATTAATCCTCTGTCTTTATAAATTACCCAGTCTCAGGGAAGTTTGAAATAGACTAATACAGTACCCAATAAGTGGTTTTTCAGCCCTGCTCCCCTACCTTCTGCCCCCTCATTGTCCCCAGTGTCTATAGTTCCCATCTTCATATCCATGAGTACCCAATGCTTAGCTCTCACGTAGAAGTCAGAACATGTGGTATTTAATGTTCTGTTCCTGCATTAATTTGCTTATGATAATGGTCTCCAGCTGCATACATATTGCTGCAAAGAACATAATTTCACTTTTTAATGGCTGCATAGTACTTCATAGTGTATATGTACCATGTTTTCTTTATCCAATCCACCATTGATGGGCATCTAGGTTGATTCTAGGTCTTTGCAATTGTGAATAGTGCTACAATAAACATACAAGTGCATGGGTCTTCTTGGTGTAACAATGCATATTTGTTTGGATGTAAATACAGTAATGGGATTGCTGGATCAATGGTAGTTCTGTTTTAAGTTCTTGGAGAAATCTCTAAACTGCTTTTCACAGGGGCTGAAGTAATTTACATTCCCATAAACAGCATATAAGTGTTCCCTTTTCTCCACAGCCTCATCTGTTGTGCTTTGGCTTTTTAATAATGTAATTCTGACATGTGAGATGATATCTTACTGTGGTTTTGATTTGCATTTAGCCGATTATTAGTGACATTGGGCATTTTTTCGTGTTTGTGGATTGCTTGTATGACTTCTTTTGCAAAGTGTCTGTTCATGTCTTTTGCCCATTTTTTAAATAAAATTTGGTATTTTTGTTTGTGGAATTAAATTTCTTATAGATTCTGGATATTAGATCTTTAATAGATATAAAGTTTTCAAATATTTTCACCTATTCCATTGGTTATCTGTTTACTCTGTTGATAGTTTATTTTCTATGTAGAAGCTCTTTAGTTTAATTAGATTCCACTTGTCATTTTTTCTTGTTGTTTTTTTTCTAATCACTTTTGAGGACTTAGTCATAAATTCTTTGACAAAGCTAATGTCCAGAATGATATTTTCTAGATTTTCTTCTAGGGTTCTTATAGTTTGAGGTCTTACATTTAAATCTTTAATTCATCTTGAGTTGATTTTTGTATATCATGAAAGGTAGAGGGTCCAGTTTTCTTCTTCTGCATGTGGCTAGCCAGCTATACCAGCACCATTTATTGAACAGGGAGTCCTTTCCCCATTGCTTATTTTTGTAAACTTCATCAAAGATCGCATAACTGTGGGTGTGCAACCTTAGTGCTGGGTTCTCTAACCTATTCCATTGGTCTATATGTCTGTTTTTGTACCAGTACCATGCTGTGGAACTAATATAATCTTGATACAAAAAATCAAAGAATATTAAAAGAATATTACATATCATTTCCACTTATGAAATAAGACCAAAAATAATACTAACTAAAATACTAGTTAACTGAATTCACAGTATATTAGAAAAACAAGGAGTCATGTCAAGGAATACCTGGCCCAAAATAGATTTCTCAAATATCTAAAAATGTTATTCATAATATTAATAGAGTATAGGAGAGGAAAAAGTTCATGGTAATCTTAGTAGATAGAGGAATCATATATTAATTTTATGTATTCATAACCAAAGCTCTCAGAAAATTTGGAGAAAAATGAAATTTGCAAAACCTGAATAAAGTAATCTACAAAGAAATCTCTAATAATTATCATATTTAATGGAAAAATTTATAATAATTTCCATTAAAATCAAGAAAAAAATCATTGCACCACTGAAAGTCCTGTCCAATGCATAAGAATAATACTCAAGACAGAAAGTGAAGAAACAATTTTGACATTATTTGTATACAATATGATTATTCACATAGAACATCTATCATGACCAAAAGAAAAATTATAAAAGCAGGACATGGATCACGCCTGTAATCCCAGCATTTTGGGAGGCTGAGGTGGGCAGATCACTTGAGCTCGGGAGTTCAAGACCAACCTGGGCAACATAGTGAAACCCTGTCTCTACAAAAAATACAAAAATTAATCAGGTGCATACCTGCAGTCCCAGCTATGCATGAGGCTGAGGTAAAATGTTCCTTTAAGTCTGGGAGGCAAAGGTCGCAGTGAGCCAAGATTGCACCACTGCCCTCCATCCTGGGTGACAGAGAGAGATCGTGTTTCAAAAAAAAAAAAAAAAGTCATAAAAATTTATAATGAGTTAGCAAGGATGCAAGATCCAAAATTTAAAAATCAGTAGCATTATTCTATAGCAGAAATTACCAATTATAAAATGTAATTTTTAATGTTTTTAATAATAAAAACTATAATAATAAAATAATAAAATAGTTTTAATAATGAAAAACTATAATAATAATAATATAATAATAATATAATTAACACTATCTTTTATAGGAAATATTTAAGGTATAGGATGACCTTCACTAAAGAATCTTTTTAAAAATACCTAAAGAGACCTAAGCAAATATACCATGTTCATTGATAAGAGAGCATTACATCATAAAGAGGTTAATTCTCCCCAAATTATACAATTTGTATAAGTGTAATAACATTTAAATAATGTTATTTAAATAACATAATTTTAAGAATATCTCAGCAATAATTCTCCCTAGAATTTAGGGAAGTATGAGGTCTGATAATACATAGGATAACATTTTTCAAGGACAAAGAGAGGTGAATCTCCCTGTTTAGAACATTTCAAAAGACAGTAACTGAAACAAATATACTAAGACAAGAACAGATAAAGAGAACAATGTTAAAACTTAATAAATGGTACAAGTGGCACAACAAATAACCTGGGAAAGAGTATTAAATGATGTTGGGGATATTTTAACACTTTATGAAGAGGAAAAAGAAAGATCCCCAGCTCCTACCATATAAAAAGTAAATTCTTATAAATAATGGTCTAAGTGTGAAAGGTAAAACTGTATAAGAAAACATAAGAACATTTGTATGACTTTGATAATGGGAATTTTCTTCTTTTTTTCTTTTTTTTTTTTTAGTGCAGTTTTGCTCTGTCGCCCACGCTAGAGTGCAGTGGTGCCATCTCGGCTCACTGTAACCTCCACCTCCTGGGTTCAAGTGGTTATCCCGCCTCAGCTTCCTGAGTAGCTGGGATTACAGGCCCACGTCACCATGCACAGCTAATTTTTGTATTTTTAGTAGAGAGGGGGTTTCACCATGTTTGCCAGGCTGGTCTTGACTCCTGACCTCAAGTGATCTGCCCACCTCGGCCTCCCGAAGTGCTAGGATTACAGGCGTGAGCCACCGCGCCAGGCTGGGAAATATTTTTTGAAAAGACTAGAAGCATGTATCAAAAGGAAATTAAAAAGTTGATGGGTTTACTAAATCACATTCAAAATTCCCTCGAGTAATGTACACTGTAGATAATGTAACCAGACAGATAAGTAAAAATCTTAACGAAGCTACCCGCCGTATGAATTACCCAAGTAAAGAACATAATACACATCATGTCCATAAATTAGCAGGAGCAAATCAGGAAATCCAATTGAAAACTGCTAACAAAACAATAAATATGTAAGACAGAGAAGGACAAAGCAACAAATGGCTACTAATTGTAACAAGAAATATTCAATTTTGCTAATAAGAGAAATGTAAAATAGAATAACAATGTCTCCTTTTATATCTCTAAATAGGTAGAAATTGCATATTAAATAGCATATAGAGAATATTTATGAAATCTTGCCTCTGCCCTGCTGATAGTACTGCAAATGTGTGTACATATTTTGAGTATAATCTGGTAGGGCTTAGTAAAATAATACATGTATTTAATTTCTTACATAGCAATCCAGTTTCTAGGTATGTATACCAGAGGAACACTTACATAAGTGCACAGGGAACAGGAAACCATGGGAGGAAGTTAATAAATAATATGTGTTATATTCATAAAGTAAAACCCAAAGAATCCATCAAAGGGAATATAATTGATCTACATACAGTAACTAATATTTCAGGAATGACTTTCTGAGAGAAAAAATGGAATAAAGTTTAGAGTACACTACTATTAATGTTTATTAATAGTAATATTATATAACTTTAAATAAATAATAAAGCTTCCAATAGTCAGACATTTACTGTGGCTGAAATATAAATTTTTCTATCAAAAGAATATTTAAAAATAGAAAGATTACTTCCAAGAGTCACATTTGTTTAAGAAATAAATGTCTAAGTGCTAGCTCATTGGAAATACAGGATGTCTTGAAGCATCATATCAAAGATTTCCTGATGCTTTCTATGCCAAGAACCTTGAATAATCATGACACCTAAACATCAGAATCACTAAAGAAAGTGCTATTTGCTGTGGTACAAATTTGCAGGTATCTGAAGGATAACTTTCTGTGTGACGAAGCTTTCTAATATATAATGAAAACAGGCATCAGACTCTGTCTAATAAAAACTGTCTTACTCTCTGCTTTCTTAAATAAAGGAAGGTCAATGTATGGAATTAAAAATCCACTATTAATTTGTACTCTATCATCCAGTAATATAGTAATAGATCCACTTACCACTGCTCAGTATAACCCTACCTCTTTCCCACAAATTTGGCTATCATTTTTTTAAAAATCTCTATTGCCATGGACATTCTGCTACCATTTATACTATTTAATAGAAACTTGTCTCCTTTTCTTTCTCACTTCTATTTTCTTTCCACTTTTCTTCTCTCTATGTTTCTTTCTCTTTGACCCCTGGATCTTATGACGCTTTTTCATTCTCTGAGTGTTCTCTTACGATCCTTAGCTTTTGTTTCAGATGAGTCAGCTTTCACAGCCACCAACAGTCAATTTGATCAGCAAACCACACAATCAGATTGTCCTGGGGAGAGTGGTATCACGTTTGGGCCTTCTCTAGGGAAGCAGCCGTTCAGAGTATCAGAACTGGAGTCAGAAAATAAATGGCCATTTCAATTCTGCAACTTAAGAGCTCAATAATAAACTCAAGCAAATTGATTAACTTTCTTAAAGTTTCAATATTGTTTCATCTTTAAAGAGGGACTAACAGGAAGGCAGAGCAAGATGGCAAAATAGAACTCTCCAGCTATCATCCCCCCAACAGAAACATCAATTTGAACATCCATCCATGCACAAAAATGCCTTCATAAGAGCTAACGAATTCAGGTGGAGATCATAGTACCTGGTTATAGCAAAATAATAAAAGATAAATTGAAGAGTGTAAGAAGGACAGTGTTACATTCCCACATCTAAAAGTCTGAAAATAGAACTACCACATGATCCAGCAATCCCACTACTGGATTTATACACTAAGGAAATGAAATTGATATGTCAAAGAGATAACTGCAACCCCATCTTTATTGCAGCACTATTCACAATAGCCAAGATATGGAACCAAACTAAGTGTCCATGAACAGATGAATGGATAAAGAAAATGTGGTATAAATATACAATAGAATACTATTTGACCATAAAATGAAGGAAATCCTGTCTTTTGCAACAACATGGATGAGCCTCGAGGACATTATGTTAAGTGAAATAAATCAGACAAATAAGGACAAATACCATATAATCTAACTCATATATAAAATCATAAAAAATTGATCTCATAGGAATATAGAGTAGAATGATAATTATCAGAGGCTGAAAAGGTTGGGGGTGGGAGGGAGGCATTTGCAAATATGTGAAAGGATACAAAATTACAGTTAGATAGGAAGAATACATTCACCAGTGCTATTGTATGGCATGATGACTATAGTTTAGGATGACATGTTGTATTATTGAAAAATGCTTCCCAGGCATGGTGGCTCACTCCTGTGATTCCAGCACCACTTTTGAAGACCAACATGGGAAAATTACTTGAGGCCAGGAGATAGAGATCAGCCTGGCTACATACCAAGACCCTATCTCTACAAAAAAATTAAACAATCAGCTGAGCGTGGTGGTATGTGCCTGTAGTCCCAGCTGCTCAGGAGGCTGAAGCAAGAGAATAGCTTGAGCCCAGGAGTTCAAGGCTGCAGTGAGCTGTGATCACACCACTGCACTCCAGCCTGGGTGACAGAATGAGACCCCACCTCCCCCCACAAAAAAAGTATTAAAAAAAAAAGAAAAACGCTAAGAGAGGCATACCTTAAGTGTTCATACCGGGAAAATAACTGTATGAGGTGATGCATATGTTAATGATCTAGATGTAACCGGTCCACAATATAGATACTTCAAAACATCATGTTGTACAAAATAAATACACACGATTTCATCTAGCAATTTCAAAAATAAATCTAAAATGTATCAAAAGAAAAAATAAAAGGAACTAATAATAACACCTCCCTATAAAGTGCTTATCTCAGTGCCTAGTTTATAAAATACTTAATATTAATTTTCAGTATTATTCTTCCCAATAGTTTTTATACTTATTTTCAAATGTTCTTTATAATCTACCAACTATGCTGTCATTTTCTGAGTTCTATAATGTTTTAAGTTTTTCAAATAGCCAGAAATCTGACCATATTAGTTGGGGTTCTCTGGAGGGACAGAACTAATAGGATATATGTATATATGAAAGGAAGTTTATTAAGGAGGATTGACTCACACAGTCACAAGGTAAAGTCCCACGATAGACTGCCTGCAAGTTGGGGAGCAAGGAAGCCAGTGGTAAATAAGTCCAAGTCCCAAAACCTCACAAGGAGGGAAGCCAACAGTGCAGCCTTCAGTCTGTGGCCAAAGGCCTGGGAGCACCTGGCAAACCACTGGTATAAGTCCAAGAGTCCAAAAGCCGAAAAACTTGGAGTCTGATGTTCAAGGAAAGGACGCATCCAGCATGAGAGAAAGATGAAGGCCAAAGAATCAGCAAGTTGGCTCTTCCATCTTACCCTGCCTGCTTTATTCCTGCTGCCCTGGCAGGAGATTAGATGATGTCCACCCAGACGGAGGGTGGGTCTGCCTTGCCCAGTCCACTGACTCAAATGTTAATCTCCTTTGGCAACACCCTCATAGACACACCCAGGAACAATACTTTGCATCCTTCAATCCAATCAAGCTAACACTTACTTTTTTTGTTTTTGTTTTGTGACAGAGTCTTGCTCTGTCACCCAGGCTGGAGTGCAGTGGTGCGACCTTGGCTCACTGTAACCTCCGCCTCCTGAGTTCAAGAGATTCTGTGCTTCAGCCTACCAAGTAGCTGGGATTACAGGCATGGGCCACTGTGCAGGGCTAACTTTTGTATTTTTAGTAGAGACAGGGTTTCACCATGTTGGCCAGACTGGTCTTGAAATCCTGGGCTCAAGTGATCTGCCTGCCTCGGCCTCCCAAAGTGCTGGGATTACAGGCATGAGCCACCACACCTAGCCAAGTTGACACTCAACCGTCACACTGATCAACCAATAAATTCAAATGTTCTAGGTGACTGAGATGTTGGTTTTCAGCCCTAAACTTCAAAATTCTCTTGTATCTCTCAATAAAATAAGAAACTATATAATTATCTTAAACTTCAAGTTGTCTGTTCTCTAAAATATATTTAATAACATGAAAAAGAAATTGTAAAACTATATAAATAAAGTGCTATACTACCCATATATCACTAGGGTGACCATTTTATAATTTGGAGGATTATATAAATACTTTAGCCTATGGCCTTTTAAAGCTTTACCGCAGTGAGTTATATATGTATTTATTCCAGATGTACATTCACGACTATTTTTATTCTTAGAATGATATCTTCTACATAACACTTGGAAAAAACTGAAATTACAGGATGCAGAATTGGGTTTGAGAAAGAAATTTTGGTGATTTGCAAAATTGGCAAGTCGAGCCATCTCCAACTTAAACCCTGGCTCAAACTAAAGTTTATTTCTTCTATGTATAATATTTAGGATTGCACAGAGAAGAAAATATGGTGTGATTTTCATCAGACAATGCCAATCTATTGTTTGGGGAGAAATTAAAATTAACTAAAATTTTAATTAAAAATTTCCAGACATCCAAAGTTCAAAATACCTTTCTCCAACATTTAACTTCATAAGCAAGCACTATTTCTCCAAAAGTTCTTGTTTGTGTGCCAATAGAACAAAGGTCATAGATATACCAGCTGAAAGAAGACTAAAACCAGATAAAGATAGATGGCACTCTGTGTGAACACCAAGTTTCATTTATTGTGATACTCCTGGTGCAATTTTGAGGAAACATGTCCTAATTAAATTCCAACACATTCCTGGTAATATAAGTGGCAGAAACAAGTTTTACAGGGCTTGTTTTAGAGCTGGTCCTCTCAAAAGCCGATCTAAGACAAGGGTTTATGTGTGAGTACTTTATTCATGAATGTAATCCCAGAAAGCAGGACTGAGGAACAAGAATAAAACAGTGAAGTAAAAAAATCAAGCCAATAAATGTATGTACTTGTTCTCTGCTATGGGAAACTGGTTGCTCCATCCCTCAGTGATCACCGGAAAGGGTTAAGAAACGTATCTAGCCACCATCCGTCCACTGGAAAAAAAACAAAAAACAAAAAAACAAAAAAAAAAGGGGGGCTTTTACCAATCAGCTCCCATCCCCAAATTTTTAGTTTACACACACACACAAATAGAACGTAGTCCCCATAGGTCACCCATGATGTCGTATCAGATAATTTGTAGGCCAGGAATGGAAGCACTCAGCTCAAATCCAAACAATGCGCCAAGATGCAGTGGGGTAGGATGCTGTCAGGTTCATGTGCATGAAAGTGCTGGAAACCTATGCAGAACTGGTTGGTGCAGCAGTGGTTGGAATAGAGAGTACAATTTTACTTTCAGATTTTAGATGAAGCACAAAAGGTGTCCCTTACTCATAATCCATAGAGAAAATAGATGACTTTTCCATAAGAGATAATTACTTTCCTGATCTGTTCAGTTTGCCAGTAGAATAGCTGCCAGGAAAACAGTGTTATAGATAGATTGGAGATTCTGTACTTGAGGCAGAGGAGACCTGGTTAGGATGTAACCTGTTGCTCTTACAACTTTAGTATTATTACTGCATTGAGAGATTATCAACAAAATGAACTTAGTTTCCCAGTCATTAATTCAACAAAACAAACTTCAAGAAACTTTGTTAAATTAGATTTTAGTCCGAGGTTTTTATTTCCACATGTTAATTTACTAAATGACATTACATTTTCATTTAAACACCCTTCTGTGTTGTTAATTCAAATCAACATATCTGATACTAAGGAGTCCGTGTCAATTTCATTTCTGAGCAACTCAGCAGCTTGGAGCAAAGTAATAATCAAATCTTACCAAGAATAAAAATTCAATATATAAAAAGTAAAACAAAACCAAATAGCAATCCCCAATGCTAGAGTTTCATAATTAATATAAACAAAAACATATTTAATCTGCTCTCAAATGTAAATAACACCAACAGCATATTCATATCTCACACATGCAATTTGTGAAATAATTTTAAAACAAAGAAAGAAGAAAGCAAGTTTGCCACTTTATATATTTCAGAAAGAATAACTTGTTCTATCTTTAAGAAAGGAAATCTAGAAGACTTAAGTTACAATGGGAGAAATGCAATCAATTCAGCTTCCAAGAAAAATTATAACAGTAACACTACTATGTTTTATGATGTCATTTAAAAATAGTTTCTTTTTTTATTATACTTTAAGTTCTGGGTTACATGATCAAAATGTGCAAGTTTGTTACATGCATATACAAATGCCATGGTGGTTTACTGTACCCATCAACCCATCATCTACATTAGGTATTTCTCCTAATGCTATCCCTCCCCTAGCTCCCCAGCCCTCAACAGGCCTCGGTGTATGATGTTCCCTTCCCTGTGTCCCCATGTTCTCATTGTTCAACTCCTACTTATGAGTGAGAACATGCGGTGTTTGGTTTTCTGTTCCTGTGTTAATTTGCTGAGAATGATGGTTTCCAGCTTCATCCATATCCCTGCAAAGGACATGAACTCATCCTTTTTTAAGGCTGCATAGCATTCCATGGTGTATACGTGCCACATTTTCTTTATCCAGTCTATCATTGATGGGCATTTGGGTTGGTTCCAAGTCTTTGCTATTGTGAATAGTGCTGCAATAAATATATGTGTGCATGTGTCTTTATAGCAGCATGATTTATAATCCTTTGGGTATATACCCAGTAATGGGATTGCTGGGTCAAATGGTATTTCTGATTCTAGATCCTTCAGGAATCACCACACTGTCTTCCACTATGGTTGAAATAATTTACACTCCCACCAACAGTGTAAAAACCTTTCCTATTTGTCCACATCCTTTCCAGCATCTATTCTTTTCTGACTTTTAGTGATCACCATTCTAACTGGTGTGTGATGGTATCTCATTGTGGTTTTGATTCGCATTTCTGTAATGACCAGTGATGATGAGGTTTTTTTCATATGTTTGTTGGCTGTATAAATGTCTTTTGTTTTTTTGTTTTATTTTATTTTATTATATTTATTTTTTAAGATAGGATCTCACTCTGTTGCTTAGGTTGGAGTGCAGTGACACGATCTCAGCTCACTGCAACCCTCACCTCCCAGGTTCAAGCAATTCTCCTGTCTCAGCCTCCCAAGTAGCTGGGACTACAGGCACCTGCCACCATGCCCTGGTAATTTTTTTTCTTTTTTTTTTTTTTTTTTTTTGTATTTTTAGTAGAGACGGGGTTTCACCGTGTTAGCCAGGATGGTCTCAATCTCCTGACCTTGTGATCTGCCCGCCTTGGTCTCCCAAAGTGCTAGGATTACAGGTGTGAGCCACCATGCCAGGCTCAAATGTCTTCTTCTGAGAAGTGTCTGTTCATATCCTTCACCCACTTTTTGATGGGTTGATTATTTCTTGTAAATTTGTTGAGGATCCTTGCAGATTCTGCATACCAGCCCTTTGTCAGATAGATAGATTGCAAAAATTTTCAACCATACTGTAGGTTGCCTGTTCCCTCTGATGATAGTTTCTTTTGCTGTGCAGAAGCTCTTTAGTTTAATTACATCTCATTTGTCAATTTTGGCTTTTGTTGCAATTGCTTTTGGTGTTTTAGTCATGAAGTCTTTGCTCATACCTAGGTATTGCCTAGGTTTTCTCCTAGGGTTTTTATGGTTTTAGGTCTTACATTTAAGTCTTTAATCCATCTTCAGTTAATTTTTTATATGGTGTAAGGAAGGGTCCAGTTTGAGTTTTCTGCATATGGTTGGCCAGTTTTCCCAACACCATTTATTAAATAGGGAATCCTTTCCCTATTGCTTATTTTTGTCAGGTTTGTCAAAGATCAGAGGGTTGTAGATGTGTGGTATTATTTCTGAGGCGTCCGTTCTATTCCATTCGTCTATATATCTGTTTTGGTACCAGTACTATCCTGTTTTGGTTATGGTAGTCTTGCAGTATAGTTTGAAGTCAGGTGGCGTGATGCCTCCAGCTTTGTTCTTTTTGCTTACGACTGTCTTGGCTATACAGGGTCTTTTTTGGCTCCATATAAAATTTAAAGTAGTTTTTTCTAATTCTGTGAAGAAAGTCAATGGTAGCTTGATGGAGATAGCATGGAATATATAAATTACTTTAGGCAGTATGGCCATTTTCATGAATGGCAAGATGGCCAAATAAGAACAGCTCTGGTCTGTAGTTCCCAGCGAGATCAATGCAGAAGGCAGGTGATTTCTGCATTTCCACCTGAGGTAGGCAGTTTGTCTCATTGGGACTGATTAGGCAGTAGGTGCAGCCCACAGAGGGCGAGCCGAAGCAGGGTGGGGTATTCCCTCACCCGGGAAGTGCAAGGGGTCAGGGAACTCCCTCCCCTAGTTAAGGGAAGCTGTGAGGGACTGTACTGTGAGGGACAATGCATTCTGGCCCAGATACTATGCTTTTCCCATGGTCTTCACAACCCTCAGACCAGGACATTCCCTCAGGCACCTACACCACTAGGGCCCTGGGTTTCAAGCACGAAGCTGGGCGGCAGTTTGGGCAGACATCAAGCTAGCTGCAGGAGTTTTTTTTCATACCCCAGTGGTGCCTGGAACGTCAGTGAGATAGAACTGTTCGCTCCCCTGGAAAGGGGGCTGAAGCCAGGGAGCCAAGTGGTCTAGCTTAGGGGATCCCACCCCCATGGAGTCCCGCAAGCTAAGTTCCACTGGCTTGAACTTCTCACTGCCAGTACAGCAGTCGGAAGCCAACCTAGGATGCTTGAGCTTGGTGCGGGGGAAGGGTGTCTGCCATTACTGAGGCATGAATAGGTGGTTTTCCCCTCAGGGTGTAAACAAAGCCACTAGGAAGTTTGAACTGGGTGGAGCACACCTCAAAGCCCCTGTAGCCAGACTACTTCTGTAAATTCCTCCTGTCTGGGCAGGGCATCACTGAAAGAAAGGCAGTAGCTCAAGTCATGGGCTTATAGATAAAACCCCCATCTCCCTGGAACAGAGCACTTGGGGGAAGGGTCAGCTGTGGGAGCAGCTTCAGTAGACTTAAACGTTCCTGCCTGCTGGCTCTAAAGAGAGCAGCGGGTCTACCGACACATGGCTCACGCTCTGCTAAGGGACAGACTGCCTCCTCAAGTGGGTCCTTGACGCCCATGCCTCCTGACTGGGAGACGACTCCCAGCAGGGTTCAACAGACGCCTCACACAGGAGAGCTCCAGCTGGCATCTGGCGGGTACCCCTCTGGGATGAAGCTTCCAGCGGAAGGAACAGGCAGCAAACTTTGCTGTTCTGCAGCCTCCGCTGGTGATGCCGAGGCAAATGGGGTCTGGAGTGGACCTCCAGCAAACTCCAGAAGACCTACAGCAGAGGGGCCTGACTGTTAGAAGGAAAACTAACAAACAGAAAGGAATAACATCAACATCAACAAAAAGGATGTCCACACACACAAAAAAAACCCATCCAAAGGTCATCAACATCAAAGACCAAAGGTAGATAAATCCACAAAGATGAGGAAAAACCAGAGCAAAAAGACTGAAAACTCCAAAAATGAGAACGCCTCTTCTCCTCCAAAGAATCACAACTCCTCGCCAGCAAGGGAACAAAACTGGATGGAGAATGAGTTTGACAAATTAACAGAAGTAGGCTTCAGAAGGTGGGCAATAACATACTCCTCTGAGCTAAAGGAGCATGTTGTAACCCATGCAAGGAAGCTAAGAACCTTGAAATAAGGTTAGAGGAATTGCTAACTAAAATAACCAGTTTAGAGAAGAACATAAATGACCTGATGGAGCTGAAAACCACAGCACGAGAACTTTGTGAAGCATGCACGAATATCAACAGCTGAATTGATCAAGCATAAGAAAGGATATCAGAGATTGAAGATCAACTTAATGAAATAAGGCATGAAGATAGGATTAGAGGAAAAAAGAATGAAAAGGAAGGAACGAAGCCTCCAAGAAAAATGGGACCATGTGAAAAGACCAAATCTATGTTTGATTGGTGTACCTGAAAGTGATGGGGAGAATGGAACCAAGTGGGAAAACATTCTTCAGGATATTATCCAGGAGAACTTACCCAACCTAGCAAGACAAGGCAACATTCAAATTCAGAAAATACAGAGAACACCACAACAATATTCCTTGAGAAGAGCAACCGCAAGACACAAGATTGTCAGATTCACCAAGGTTGAAATGCAGGGAAAAATGTTAAGAGCAGCCAGAGAGAAAAGCCTGGCTACCCACAAAGGGAAGCCCCTCAGACTAATAGCAGATCCCTCTGCAGAAACCCTACAAGCCAAAAGAGAGTGGGGGCCAATATTCAACAAGCTTCAAGAAAATAATTTTCAACCAGAATTTCATAACCAGCCAAACTAAGCTTCATAAGTGAAGGAGAAATAAAATCCTTACAGACAAGCAAATGCTAAGAGATGTTGTCAACACCAGGCCTGCCTTACAAAAACTCCTGAAGGAAGCACTAAATATGGAAAGGAAAAACTCGTTCCAGTCACTGCAAAAACATATCAAATTGTAAAGACTATCAACACTATGAAGAAACTGCATCAACTAATGGGCAAAATAATGAGCTAGCATCATAATAACAGGATCAAATTCACACATAACAATATTAACTTTAAATATTAATGGGCAAAATGCCCCAACTAAACAGACTGGCAAATTGGATAAAGAGTCAAGTCCCATTGGTGTGCTGTATTCAGGACACCCATTTCATGTGCAAAGACACACATAGGCTCAAAATAAGGGGATGGAGGAATATTCACCAAGCAAATGGAAAGCAAAAAATAAAAAGTAGAGGTTGCCAACCTAGTCGCTGATAAAACAGACATTAAACCAACAAAGATCAAAAAAGACAAAGAAGGGTATTACATAATGGTAAAGGGATCAATGCAACAAAAAGAGCTAACTATCCTAAATATATATGCACCCAATACAGGAGCACACAGATTCATAAAGCAAGTTCTTAGAGACCTACAAAGAAACTTAGACTCCCACACAATTATAGTGGGAGACTTTAACACCCCACTTTCAATATTAGACAGATCAACGAGACAGAAAATTAACAAGGATATTCAGAACTTGAACTCAGCTCTGGACCAAGTGGATCTAATAGACATCTACAGAACTCTCCACTCCAAATCAACAGAATATACATTCTTCTCAGCACCTCATCAGACTTATTCTAAAATCTACCACATAATTGAAAGTAAAACACTCCTCAGTAAATGCAAAAGAATGGAAATCATAACAAACAGTCTTTTAGACCACAGTGCAATCAAATTAAAATTCAGGATTAAGAAACTCATTCAAAACTGCACAACTACATGGAAACTGAACAACCTGCTCCTGAATGACTACTGGGTAAATAACAAAATTAAGGCAGAAATAAATAACTTCTTTGAAACCAATGAGAACAAAGACACAATGTACCAGCTAAAGCTGTGTCTGGGACACAGCTAAAGCAATGTTTAGAGGGAAATTTATAACACTAAATGCCCGTAGGAGAAAGTGGGAAAGATCTAAAATCGACACCCTAACATCACAGTTAAAAGAACTAGAGAAATAAGAGCGAAGAAATTCAAAAGCTAGCAAAAGACAACAAATAACTAAAATCAGAGCAGAACCAAAGGAGATAGAGACATGAAAAACCCTTTAAAAAATCAATGAATCCAGGAGGTGGTTTTTTGAAAAGATCAACAAATAAATACTGCTAACCAGATAAATAAAGAAGAAAAGACAGAACAATCAAATAGGCACAATAAAAAATGATAAAGGGGATATCACCACTGATCCCACAGAAATACAAACTACCATCAGAGAATACTATAAACACCTCTACACAAATAAACTAGAAAATCTGGAAGAAATTGATAAATTCCTGGACACTTACAGCCTTCCAAGTCTAAACCAGGAAGAAGGTGAATCCCTGAATAGACCAATAAAAAGTTATAAAATTGAGGCAGTGATTAATGGCCTACCAACCAAGAAATCCTAGAACCAGATGGATTCACAGCCGAATTCCACCAGAGGTACAAAGAGGAGCTGGTACCATTCCTTCTCAAACTATTCCAAACAATACACAAAGAGGGAATCCTCCCTAACTCATTTTATGAGGCCAGCATCATCCTCATACCAAAACCTGGCAGAGACACAACAAAAAAAGAACATTTCAGGCCAATATCCTGATGAACATTGATGTGAAAATCCTCAATAAAATACTGGCAAACCAAAGCAGCAGCACATCAAAAAGCTTATCCACCCTGATCAAGTTGGCTTCAGCCCTGGGATGCAAGGCTGGTTCAACATATGCAAATCAATAAACTTAATCCATCACATAAACAGAACCAATGACAAAAACCACAATTATCTCAGTAGATGCAGAAAAGTCCTTCGATAAAAATTCAACACGCTTTCATGCTAAAAACTCTCAAAAAATAAACTAGGTACTGATGGAACGTATCTCAAAATAATAAGAGCCATTTATGACAAACCCACAGCCAATATCACACTGAATGGACAAAAGCTGGAAGCATTCCCTGTGAAAACTGGCACAAGACAACAATGCCCTCTCTCACTACTCCTATTCAACATAGTATTAGAAGTTCTGGCCAGGGCAATTAGGCAAGAGAAAGAAATAAAGTGTATTCAGATAGGAAGAGAGGAAGTCAAATTGTCTCTGTTTGGAGTTGACATGATTGTATATTTAGAAAACCCCATCATCTCAGTCCAAAATCCGCTGATAAGCAACTCCGGCAAAATCTCAGGATACAAAATCAATGTGCAAAAATCACAAGCATTTCTATACACCAATAAAAGACAAACAGAGAGCCAAATCATGACTGAACTCCCATTCACAAATGCTACAAAGAGAATAAAATACCTAGGAATACAAATTACAAGGGATGTGAAGGACGTCTTCAAGGAGAACTACAAACCACTGCTAAAGGAAATAAGAGAGTACACAAACAAATTCAAAAACTTTCCATGCTCCTGGATAGGAAGAATCAATATCGTGATAACTTTTAAAAATCTAAAGGAATTTTTTTTTTTTTTAAGATAGGATCTCACTCTGTCATCCAGGCCAGAGTGCTGTAGCACAATTATAGCTCACTGCATCACTCTAGCCTTAAACTGCTTGGCCCTAGAGATCCTCCTCCCTCATCCTCCTGAGTAGCTAGGACTACAGGCGCATATTACCACACTCAGCTAGTTTCTTATTTTTTGAAGAAATATGGTTTCACCATGTTGCACTGGCTGGTCTGGAACATCTAGCCTCAAGTAATCCTCCAACTTAACCTCCCCAAAGTGCTGGGATTCCAGACATGAGCCACCATACCTGGCCTAAAAGACTGTTAATTAAACATTTCTCCTTTCTTTCCTTCTCAGTTAAAGATGTAGATTATTTCAATGGAAAGAATGCATATATTCATATTAACTTGAAAAAATGTCAGTTGAATTTATTAGTATAATTGTTGCTATCATGATTACTCGTGGTTGATAGCATTTACTTTCATACCTTTGGTGACAATTTAGCAAAGAATACCCACTTCCAATTCACAAATAACCTACAGACTCAAATTCTTTGCCATAGTATCCCAGTGGGCTATTACGATTAGAAAAGTCATAAATAATACTCTGCCTACGGTAAAATTATCCCCGGTGCACTTCCTTCTGTTTGTGTTTCCTTCGTCATCCTGTGCATCTTTTTCTAACAGAAAACACACCAGTCATCACTTTGCCTACCAGTGCCCTGTCTCGCTGGCTGTCTTCTTATGACTTCCAGATCTTGTAATTGTCCTTCTTATATGCCATTCTCTCAGGATTTAAAGATATAATTTACAATACTTTAAGATGTCATAGTAATGGATTAAAGATGGCCACAAATTCTTTAACTCTTCTCTCATTGAAAGATGGGGCCTATTTTCCCTCCCATCAAATCTGGGCTGCACTTTAACAGCTTTAACCAGTAGAGAACACTCAAAGTGTTACATACCAGATTCAAGCCTACACTTTAAGAGGATTGTTAACATGCGAGTGTCCTTAGCCACCACAGGACGCCAAGCAACCACATAAGATGTTCAACTCCCCTGCTGGCAAAACTACAAGCAGATGTTCAGAAACTATATAGAGAGGAAGAGCAGCTCAGCTGTCCCCACCAAGACACCAGGCATATGAGTGAAGCTATCTTGTATGCTCCAGATGAAACTAGCATCTAGTTAAATTCACCCTACTCCATGCCAGATGGCACTGAAGAATCACTCAGCAGAAACCTGCTTGAATTCATGACACAGAAAGTCATGAGATATAATAAAAATGGTGAGACACTGAGTGTTAGGATAGTTTGTCACTCAGCAATTGATAGCCAGAATAGCCATATAGTTCTTTTCCTTCCACGTCTTGTTGATCAACTTCAGCATTACCTAGAGGAGAGAGTTGTTCTTATTGTTATTACTGCTATTTTTAATGTATATGACTTGAACCCATTCTTAGGATATCCTTATTCAGTGGGTCTAGAGCAAAGCCCAGAAATACATACACATCTTATATTCTATCCTGAAAGCTTTCATTGAAGAAATCCCCTCCACAACAAAGTTGACAGCCATCAATTATCTGCTTGAACATTCAAATGACAAGGATATATCTATCTTGCAAAATAAACCAAGTCTTAATTATGAAAATGCTTTTGCTGAGGGTAAAAGGGAGTGATTCATAGGTCAAGTGTCTCTGAAAAACTCCACGGCAATAATTCATGAGCTACTAATGCTCTGCCATTAATCTGATTTAGCAGCATTGTATGCTTCTTTTGGTCCAGCTTTGAACTGGGACTCTTGGTTCAAAAATCACCGAAAAAGAATCCTTTTGGCTCAGTGGCTCAGCTCATCTATCTTTGGGCAGAGCACTTTATGTCAAACACTGTCAAAGACAATTGATCAGCCTGGAATCTGTTGTCCCTAAGTAATGTGCCCACTGTGGTCCAGTCAGCTGTGGCCATGATCACACATTCCAGAATATGACTATTAATGGTAGTAAAATATAAGGGCAGAGACTCTTCAAGAAGGAAATATAAAGAAGACAGCACAGTGAAATATATTTAATTTATTTTCTTTCACATTCAAGTGTTAGTATCTGAAAAGACCTATCAACTACCCATACACTATAGTCTACTCCTCTGTGATTGTAATCATCAGGGTCTAATCAGAAGACAGAAAATATTCAAGTGATTTTAATAGAGTGAATTTAACAAAAAGAACTGTTACCCGGGTATTTAAAAACTGAAAAGAAAAAAGAGAACACAAAGATATCACAGAAGCAGTAACTGAAGCTACCACCCTAAGATTGGGGAAACAAAGGAGAAGAATGGAACTATCAATATTTAGAAGCTTCTGAGGGGAACTTTACAAAGCTGGGACTTAGACCAAAGGGACACAGCTTCTCTGGTACTGATGCCTCAGATACTCAGAGGAGAGAACTTATGGTTCTTCTGAGAAGGAGACGCTCTGGGTATTGCCAGATTAGTGCAGCAAACAGAACTAAATAGAACTGAAACAAATAGAACTAAATAAATAAATAAATAAATAAATCTAAATAGAAGTTAAACAATTGAACCATTACTTCGTTTGTTCAGACAGCTGTAGTCCTATCATAGACATGGTAATAGTCCTATGATAGACATGATAATAACCATGCCACACCGTAAGTATACAGTGACCATTCAGTGAATAAATTTTGTGATGACCTTACCATATTTTCCATGCCTCACTTCCATCCTGTAAAAGCGGTTTACTGGATTGTACTCTCCTTTAGCCTTTACCCTTGACTAGACATCCTTACACTGATGTATCCTCTATTTATTATTGAAAACTGATTGTTTGTCTTAATATCACTCCAGAAAGGGTACAAGGACACTTATAACCAGGAAGGTAAGGGCTGGTTAATTTCAGCAAAGCTCTAAGGGTGGTGTGGTCAAGGGTTGGGAATTCAAAAAAGAGATATTTAACCAAAGGAATTAGATGAATGATCTGAGGTGTTTTTATTTTGTAGACTTGTCCACCAAATGTGTTCAGGAACACCACTGAAGACCCTTGTATAATTGATAAGGCTCTGGGTTATGTATTTTGGGAAATTTTAGAGTGTCTCAAATCAATCTTTATCGAAAATTATTATCTCCATATCTAATCTTAGAATCCTTTTACCTTAATAATCTATTAAAAAAAATTGATCTGGGCAAATACTTCTAAATAAACCTTTCTACCTAAATATTTAATAAGGCTTGTCACTAAGAATAATTTCCTATTACATAAAGTATTAAAATAGAAACATCTTTTTAAAATCAAAGTGACTACGTATTCTTGCTTATTTCTTTGGTTTAATAGTTGAAAAAATTAGTGAGTGCTCATTGCTCATCTATCCTAGGAACTGGGTGTTAGGTGATTTGAGTATTAGTTTTGTTCATCTGTAATAAAGAGAATAAAAAGTATTTCTTGGCCAGGTGCAGTGTTTCACACCTGTAATCCCAACACTTCAGGGGGCCAAGGTGGGATGATTGCTTGAGGCCAAGAGTTATAGACCAGCCTGGTTAACATAGTGAGACCCTGTCTCTACAAAAAAAAAAAAAAAATCCTAGCTGAGCGTGGCAGCATGTACATGTAGTCCTAGCTGCTAGTCTGGAGGCTAAGGAGGGAGGGCTTTATCCCAGGAGTTTGAGGCTGCAGTGAGCTATGATCACATCACTGCACTCCAATGTGGATGAGGGGGTAAAACCCTGTCTCTAAAACTTAAAATGAAAATTAAAAAATAAAAAAGTACTTTGAATAGTTTGGATATTAGATGAGAAATATTTAAGACAAAGCTAAATGTTTAGTAAAAAGTAATTTCCTGTGTTCTAAATATGTATAGATAAACTCAAATGAAATATATTTCTAATAGGTATAGAATTTCCTATTTTGATTATGTAATACTATGTCCGTATTACTATGTCCATATGTACTTCTATACAGTAACAGGCTAAGATGTGATTCTTGCCTCTAAGAATGCAGTCTCATATGAAATAGAGACAGTGAAGGACAAGCTCCTTCTCTGAGTCATGTGCTCATGAACTTCTTGGTAGTACTCGGTTCTGTCAGTGTAATTAGTATTGTCCTACCTGTAAATTAGCACAAATCACCCTCCATCTCTGGGACAAACAGAATAAATTTTCTTCCCAGTCATTTCTTTAGTCAGACTGACCACAACTGCTGTCTGATCCACATGTGTGAAATCATTGGCATGTTCCTGAGAGATGACTGGCCAAGGTTAGGATAGTTACAATGCAAGTAGGTAACTGGAGAGCTAATTTGAACATACCAGACTCACATCTGTTCTTTGCCTCACCAGAGCCTTAATAACAAAACATGAGCTCATAAGCCACAAACATTAACTCTAGGAATTACCTAAAGAAATCCTCAAGATGACTGGGAGATTTGTTAAAATGTGCACGCATGCACACACACACACGTATACGCACACACACACACATGCTGCTTGCTTTCTGGGAGAAGTTAGACAAAACAAGATAATAAGAATAACTATGGATAGTGCTTAAGCATTTATTTATTCCTCTGACTATTAACTCAATCTTTTAGTTCTCATAAAATGCTCATTGGTGGGAATTTAAAATGGTAAAGTCACTTCGGAAAACAGTTTGGCAGTTTCCCAAAATGTTAAACATAGAGTTACCATACGAATGCATAATTATCATGTGAAGCAATTTCACTCCTACGATTCCACTCCAGAGAAATGAAAACATATGTCCACATAAAAACCTATACACAACTGTTTAGAGTTGCATTATTCATTAGAGCTGAAAAATGGAAACAATCCAAATGTCCATCAACTGATGAACAAATTGTATCATATCCATTCAATGTATATTGGTTGGCTATAAAATGAATTACTGATGCATGCTATAACATGGAGTAACTCTGAAAACATTAGGCTATGTAAAAGAAACCAGTTAGAAAAGAAGAAAAATTATATGATTTTATCTATTCTGAAATGCACACAACAGACAAATATATTTCAAAAGATAGCAGATTGGTATTTACCTAGCACTGAGGATAAGGTGGGGTGGGGAAGGAAGCTGGGGGTGGTGAGTAGTGACTGCTAATGGCTACAGTGTTTCTTGTAGGGAGAATGAAAATGTTCTAAAATTAGATCATGGTGTTCTTTGCACAACACTGTAAATGATCCATAGTTGGTTGAATCTGTGGATACAGAGAACCTGGGAACATGGAGAGCCAACTGTGTACTAAAAAACATTGAACTGTATACTTTGAAATGTTGCACTTTATAATACACTAATAAACCTGTTTAAAAAGAAAAACCTTGTGCTGGCTTAGGTGCCATTTTCATCTGCAAATGAATAAAAGAGATGCAGAGACTAAGTGTCCTGTTCAGGTTTCAAATCCTGGAATTTGTCAGAACAAAACTCAATCTCAGCTAGAATTTCATGTTATTTTTATTTTATGAGAGCTTCCCTAAGACTAAGAACTAAAGTTTATTCACAGAGGATGCCAGGATATTGAAAGAGTTTGCAAACCATTATCTTCAAGGAAAACTCAAGGTAGTTAAAGATGATATGCATCAGAAAGACAAATATGGTATTACAGTACGTGCCTGGCTGACAGACAAAAGGGACTCCCCATGGCTAACTGAGGTGCTCAAATTTAACATAGAATCAGACAGCCCTACCTGGGTGAGGGGTGGTCATGTACTCTGTGTTCTCAGTAAGATGTTATAAAAGTGTCACAGGACTTTTCTTTCTACAATCAAGCCAAACAGTTCCTCTTGTGAGTGCTGAGATAGACTACAGCTGGAAATTTCCCCCAACATATCACCAACAGAGCACTTGGAGCCAACCAACCAACTACTTGGAACCAGCTGATTAAGGAAGACATGATTTGGGGTTTAAAGGTCATCCAATCAAGGCTGTGTCCCTCACTCCCCTGACTCCTCTTCTCTTCCCTGCAGTTTTTGCCTTTATAATCTCTAACTTTCCAAAACTCTTCAGAAAGCCCACTTTTATTTTGCACTGAAGGCTGCATCTCCCCGATCTGCAGATTGCTTTTTGAAAATAAAGTTCTCCTTTTGCCTCTGCAGGTCTCATTGATCTTTTGTTAACGTTTGTTGATGAGGAGGATGGGATCTGAAGTGGCCCCAAACCTCTTTCCCAATGCCAGTTGGACCAAGGCATAGGTGCCTACATGAGCCCCTTATGTTCAGTACTTCCTGGCTGCATCGGGGAGGAATTGGGCAAGGCTTTTCGAATCTAAGGTCTCCCATTTTTGGGCTGAAGTTTTGGAGACTTTATTTTCTTTAGGAAGTCTGCCCATCCAGCTCTATGGGGTAGCCATTAATAGAGTATGCCCACACTTCGGGGATATGCTTGCACTTTGTAAGGTACACTCACAATTCAGTTTTGTGAGGACACTTACACTTCAGCTGCATTCAAAGGGGCACTTTCATAAAGTGAGTGTTATGGGTGACCCAGATTCTAAAGGAACAGTCTCTGACTGGCCACCATCAGGCACTCTGGTGGTTTTTCAAACTTAAAACAAAGGTTGGATAATAATTGACCCGAGAAATGCATCTAAATTGTAGTATCTACAGACAAAACTAAAACAAAGAGAAGTCTGACTTCTCAAAAATGAGTCTTTTCTTTAATTTGAATATTTGAAAGCTCCAAACACAATTGGAACCTCTGTAAATTGTAAAAGGAGACAAATCTGAAGACTTAACCAACATCTGTGAAAACATGAAAGGCTCTCAGACCTTAAAACAAAGCACCCTGTGTCTCCCTGCTCCCCTACTTGCATCTCACCCCGCCCCCCGCCCATCACTTTCCCCTTCTCACCACCACCTTCTTCTTCTGGAACATTATGAGGACTCACAGTGGCTCCTCCACACTTAGAGGTGGCTGGGTGAGTCTTTCCTGAGTCTTGGTCCTCCCATTTGGTTGACAGTCCTGAGTTATTATATCCAGCTAGTTGTTCTACTTGACAGAAGGATTTTTCCTTGAGACTTTTCATTTATCAAGAAGTAGGTAATAACTCTGGGGTTATTCCCTGTGATCAAGTTAATAAATTTGTATGCCACTTCTCCTATGGATTCCCTTTGTGAGTTGATTATTACTTGAACCTTCAGTGGGCAAAGGGGAAGCTTTCCCTCTACTCCTACAGTTTTGACACTATGAGCAGCATGACCAAAGCCCCTCTGCTCTTCTGGGAGCTGCAGTGAAGGTAACCTGAGACCTGATAAGCCAGCAGAAAGGTAAGAATTGCTTACCAGTAGGGCTTCTGGCTTCTCTTTCTGTGAAATTCAGTCAAGCAGACAGACAGTAAAAATCACTGTCTCCTCCACAAAATCTTTTTTAATTGGAGAAAATGATTTGTATGACTAGTCTTGGATGTAGTGACTCTGGTGTGTTGTATGCTACTTTTTGATATGAATATTCATATTATTTAAAATCTTTTGTCTCCCAGATTGTCTTTTCTTTTGTCTTTGTGTTTTTGTGTTGTTCTGTAATAAAGCAGAGAACCATAGGGTACAACATGAGCCTAAAACTCCTAAAAGACCATTTGTTCAAGCCAGTCCTGCAGACTCTTCAGTTTGCAGTTCTTATTAACACACTTTTTAAAAACATTTTCTGAATGTGTCAAGCTCTCAGGAAAGCCCATCCCTATTGGGCTTTAGTCATCTAAACCCTTGTTGCCTGATTGGTACTGGGAAAGTCCAATTCCAGGAGGGCCTACCAAGTGTCATAGATTAATGGGTCTGTGACTAGTGGACCCAAAAAAATTGTGGGTTACCAGAGGCAACATACACACAACTATCTTTGAGATTGTCTCTTCTATGCCTGCTCCAGTAAACACCTCTTTCTTAACTCAGAAAGGTGTATCCTAAACCTGGAAAACTACATCCTGAAATTTCCATGAAAAGCCTATTGGGTTGAGTTGATATTGGAGTAAGCACACCGTTAGGAATTCTAACTGTGAATGGCCAGAAGATGGATCTTTTAAACTAGACTCCTAAATTTAAAAATAGAAAAAAAGTAGAAATATCTCATTTTAAGCAATTGCCTTATTTGCATTTATGAAAATATTTTTTTTTTGAAGACACACATAATAGTGTCAGAGTTGACTTAGAAATTCTCTTGACAAACCTAAAGAGGAAAACTATTACCTAAAGCAAAGTTAAAATTTTTTGTACACTCATACTGCCTGCTTTGGATCCCCAGCAGGATTTACAAAAAGCGTTTCACACTATAGTCTAATGGCTAAGATTCTGTGATTAATGGCTATGGTCCAGGATTGAGGCCCAGTCAGGAAACCAGTTCCATTTGTTTTAAATTACATACATGACTCTTGGCCTTTCAGGTTGCCCATTTTTATTGATCCTTTTCTCTCTCATGGACAGAATTTTATTTTGTCTTTTTCTGTCTGTGGGGCACACAGGGTTTATGGGCCTTTTTGCACAGGCACTCAGCTAAGAAGCTGTGAACCTAGAAAATATGGCCAGACAGAAATGTGAGTTGTATTTTATTTGTGGCTAATGAGACTTACCTTTGAGCTACCTTTGGGATGGTTTTGGATCTTGTGAAAACTGCTTTTCATCTCTTTGGAGATCCCTAGTTCATCTTCATTTCAGTCATAACCTTGGTTAAAACTTACTGGTTTTGTTGAGTTACCAGAAAAGGTACCTTTGGTTTAAAAGAAAGAAAGAAATACTAGATAAGGTATTTATAAACAGTAGGTCATCAGATAGAACTGCTTCTTTTTTAGAGCTATCCATGCTAAGACCAGGCATGGAAAATGTTTTGTTGTTGTTATTGTTATTGTTGTTTTGTATTTTGCCTTATTAAAGGGCTCTACCCTGAAGTCAGGTATCCAATCAAGAAATAAACTAAGGTTAAAAACAAACAAACCAACAAACAAAAATCACACACCTATTTAACTAGACTGGTCTCAAAAATACTTTCAGACATTTAGCTGGCTAGTTTGTGAAAGTCTTTGTAAAAGAAATCTGTTCTATAAAAAATTAACATTTATAAGGGCATCTTCCTTCTTGCACGTAAACAACTAGAAACTTTTACAATGGCGAAGACATTGGCTTAAATTTGTATAACAACCCTTACTTTTGTTTAAGATACTTTTCCTGGCAATCTTGTCTTGACTAGGCCTTACCTATTTCTTTGTCTCAGCAAATAATGGTGTTTAGATCTAAGCCTTTGTGATTTAAATTTTCATATAAGAAGTTACATCTTTGGAAGTACAAATTTTAAGTTGCCTTGCTAACAATCATTTAGGATATAATATTCTATAAGGAGGAGAAAAACTATTTGAATACTAGAAAATGAAGACTCTTATAAATCTATAAGGTCTGCTTCTATCTGTATGTCTGTGTGTCTATATGTTTATATGTGTTATGCGTATGTGATATTTTGCTACCAAAATATATGAAAGAGCTCTAATTAATATTTTAAAGTATCTAAAAATATTTTATCAGAAAAATAGAAACTAACTCAAATACATTTAGCTCATATGACTTTAGTAATATTTGGTAAACAAAACTAGTTTAAAATTATTGTCAAAATAAAATTAGAATATCTTCAGAATTATCAGTATTAAATATAATTCAGACATTTTTCCTGGGTGTACTGGTCAGACAGGTTTTGGCCGTTGCTGCTAGATGTTTAAAGGTCATAAAACTCTCACTTCTCTAGTATTTTTGATACTTTCTTGCTTTGTCTGTGAGCTAAAGCTATAAGGGTTGCCTTCTGGCCTCGCCCAAAGCATTGCACCCATTTTGCTGTGAGCTTGTGAAGACAGTCTCTGGATTCTGGAGAATCCAGAGGACAGGTGGCCATGATGAGGGCTGAAGACATGTCCTCAGTGCCTGGACCACCAGCTGCAAGGCAGAGCCAAGCCAAATATGGCCACATTCTCCCTGGCCCAACTTCCCCTCCTAGACCATGCTGAAAAAGTTGAATTTTCCAGGCAATATCTCCACAGTTCCGTACTCTGTCCTGAGCTCTACTCCTGGTTTGTAAATTCAGGACTTAGATGGGCCCTGCCCTTTGTATCTATCTTTCAGTGCCACATGGGTAGTTGGGACCCAGGCCAACTGGGGAAGACATTAGAAAGGGTACCTGTGTCACAGTTTCAAAATTATTTTTAATAACTTAAAATCTTAAGGTCATGTTATATTAAAATAAGTAATATAAAATGTATAAGTCATATCTAAGTTAAAATTCAGAAACATTAATTATTAAACATATTTGAGTTTATATACTTTGACAAGCTAAATATTTGTAGATGTGTTAATAAACAAAAAATTTTGAGAAAATATTTCATTCTAAAAGTTATGCAATTCTTTTCATCCACAAATTCTAACATAAAACAGTTCAAAATTACTTACTCCTTAGGTTTTTCTCTGAAAACTAGGTTTACTAAGAGTTAAAATTGTAGTTAATATATGTAATTAAAACTACTAGATAGAAGAGATATTTAAAAATATACAGAGTATATTTTCAAAAATATGTTTTTGGTAAAAAAAAAAAGTTCAAAAGCAAAAGTAATTTTCTTTTCTTTTTTTGACATGAGAAAGAACTGTGTCGTCAAAATAATGAGGAGGAAGGAAGGTAAATTTTTATCCTAAGATAGAATGCCAAAAATAAAAACAAAAACAAAAAATATAGGACAAACTAAAAGGACTAAACAAATTGTAAAAATTTGTTAATGATTAATCCCATGGAAGGAATTTTGTGTGATCAAATTGGTTAAAACTAGAAGACAATTATGAATATAAAAGCACACTGATGTAAGGCCAGAGTTGGGCTATAATGTCAGAAAAACAGGGTATTCCTAGGGGATTCATCTGTTCTTTAGTAGAAAATTATAAAACAGATTTTTCTTTACTTTTTACATAAATGACCTAGGAAAGAGATTCCAGTTAATGTTTTATCCAAATAATTTCTTGTGCTTTGTGCCTTTAAACTCTTTTGCTATATTTCCTAGTGATCTGTAATTCTACTTTGATCAACAATTTTAAACCTTTGATATTTAAACTTTCCAAAATTAAATGGAAAATTCTAAAATCAAGTTTTTTGTCCCGAACTAACTTGGACATAACAGGAACCCCAGGAAGTCCAAGAAAGACATATTAGGCTTGTTTGATATGTTAAAATCATATAAGACACAATGACAACTTTTTAAAATTGGTATTTAACTTTGATTTGTATTTGTATAAATGTGTTACCGGTATGTGTTCCAAAATTGTATAATATTCCTAAATTCTTATATTTATTGGTATATGTTATTAGTCATAATTATGGTTTTTATGTTAAATTGTTGTATGTCACAGAAGTAACCATATTATCTTATCAATTGCATCTTTAACTATGGTACTCTAAGTTCTTGTCATCCACAGTTCTGTCTTAGATCCTTCTCCTATGAAGCCTAGGCAGCTAGTTTCTTTTAAAAATTGTTCTTGTCTGTTTTACAAATGTTTTGCCAATTCTCCGACATGGATTTTTATCACATGACACTTCTAGGTTTTATTCATAGACTTAACTGATACCACCAAACATCCATAAGAGACACTGATAAAGAGCTAACAGATGCCTATCTGCCTTCTTGCCTTACTTGGCCCAACTTCTTTGAATTGGCCATAAGTTCCTCAGCCACATGGGTCCCAGGGAGGGACTACATGGACTCCAATCAGCTAGCTACACCACTCTGGCAATAATATGCAACAAGAACATAAGTTGGTCATCAATGCTGCCTATGGCAAGTTTCAACCAAAAGGGGGAAATCATAAAGTATGTCCCCAGCTGAAAGACAAAATGGATTCCTCATGTCTGAGGTGCTCAAAGTTAAAATAGAAGCAAGCAATCATAGCTGACTGAGAAGCAGTCACGTACTGTGTAAAAGTGTCACAGGCCCTTCCTTTCTACAATCAAGTCAAACCAGTTCCTCTTGTGAGTTCTGAGATAGGCTACTGCTGGAAATTTCCCCAGCGTACCTCCAAATGACCACCTGGAGCCAACCAACCAATCGCCTGGAACCAGCCAATTAAGAGAGATTGGTGATTTGGGCTTAATGGTCATCCGATCAAGACTCTGTTCCTCATTCTTCTGATTCTCCTCTCCTGCCCTGAAGTTTGCACCTTTATAATCTCCAACTTTCCAACCCCGTCCTCAGAGCCCACTTTCATTTTGCACCAAAGGCTGCATCTCCCCGATCTGCAGATTGCTGTTAGAAAATTAAGTTCTCTTTCTGCCTCTGCAGAGCTCATTAATCTTTGCTAACAATAAGATTCAGTTGTTTCTGGTGGTGCTCTGTGGAAGGACAAATAGAATTATTTTGTTTTACTGCAAAAGACAGAACTATAGTTAAATAGCATAAAGCCTGGGACTAGACAAGGGTGTTAGGTCAATTCCATGAGAATAAAAACTTGAACTTTGGAGAATCAAAGAACGTTTGAGGCATAGCCTCACTTAAAATTGGGAAATGGTGGGAAATGTACTTAACCTCTCTAATTCTCCATGTATTCATCTGATACAATCCAATGTTTAAATATAGTTCTTGCATAAATAGAAATGTTCCTTCAGTGATACTTTAGCAAGCACCTACGTAGGTGTGACAAGTGTTCAGTACAGGACAGCAAACATGCCCTTCCAGGAGTCTTAATAAAGAATACAGATTGGAGATACTGCTGATCCCAAATATTGATTTTTTTTCTTCAGGTAATATGCTCAGAGAGCACACAGGTGACTTTGACCAAAATAACAGCATGACTGTTAGCACTTACAGGAATCTATACAGCCCTCTCAATAAAAAAGAAAAGAGGCAGAGGGTCGAAATAGAAGAAACTAACGATAACACTTCAGTCGGTAAAGCTTCATTGGAAGACAGACACAAACATTGTTTAGAAATACCTCAAGAAATTCACAGAACCTAGAGATTCTTCAAAATACTTATTATTTATTTTACTACTATGAAAGAAAATAAATCTTGGGATCCCCAAATCACTAAGCCAAAGGGAAAAGTGAAGCTGGGAACTGTCATTGGGCAACCTGCCTCCCATTCTATTCGTAAATAAGATAGCTAGAAAATAAAACAGCTACAGATCTCCCACAAAATTTGCCCACAGGGAAATTCCTTGTGGACCAAGGACAGACAGAACTCAAAGTCATCCCTCTGCTCACATGAGACAAATGTATATCTGATTGGTTCCTTTGACCTATTGTTTCCCTAAGCCAGACTAAAGCATATATGACTATTCCTGTAAATTGTATATTCATTGGAAGGCTAACCGGAAACTCAAAGGAATGCAACCATTGCAACCATTTGTCTCTCTCTCTTTTTTTTTTTTTTTTTTTTGAGGCGGAGTCTCGCTCTGTCGCCCAGGCTGGAGTGCAGTGGCGCAATCTCTGCTCACTGCAAGCTCTGCCTCCTGGGTTCATGCCATTCTCCTGCCTCAGCCTCCTGAGTAGCTGGGACTACAGGCGCCCACTACCACTCCTGGCTAATTTTTTGTATTTTTAGTAGAGAGGGGGTTTCACCTTGTTAGCCAGGATGGTCTCGATCTCCTGACCTCATGATCCACCTGCCTCGGGCTCCCAAAGTGCTGGGATTACAGGTGTGAGCCACCGTGCCCAGCCACAACCTTATCTTATCTACCTATGACCTGGAAGCCCCCTTCTCATGTTTAGTTGTCCTGATTTTCTGGACCGAACCAACATACATCTTACACATATTGATTGACGTCGCATGTCTACCTAAAATGTATAAAACCACGCTGTGCCTGTCACTGGCGTGTACTTAACCTTGGCAAAATAAACTTTCTAAATTGATTGGGACATGTCTTAAATCCTTTTTGTTTACACAACATAATTTCTAGAAGGAGTTAGATAAAACATAATGGTGATGGAAAAAGAATAAAACCTTTAATACTCATGAAGATAACCTCACCTTCTACTTTATGAATAGAAACCATCAGATATGAACACAGTAAAATTTGTATTCCAGACACACACAATCTATCTCCATGTACCCCATTCTTTTCTCCCATGTACATAAATAGGACACTGTCCTCTTATTAAAAATTTATCCTTTTGTTCTGGTTCTATACAATTTTCACCTGAAAGGAATTATTTATTATATCATCTTTTTTAAATATCTGTCTTCCTCTGGTGACTCATTTCTCTTAGCATATAAAAGTACTAAAGTCTATCCTAAAGAGGAGGGAAAAAACCTCATTTGTATGCCCCTTCATAGTCAAGCTACTTGACAATAGTTTTCACTAATCTTCATTTTGTTCCCCTTACTTAATTCTTCTTAACTTTAGAATATATGCACTGAGATCACCAATTACCTTCTAATTTTAACAAATCTTTTATTTTTTATATATTTTTAATTATTGTGGCTACAGAGTAGGTATACATGTTTATGGGGTACATGAGATATTTTGATACAAGTATACGTTGTATAATAACCACATCCAGTTAAATTGGGTGTCCATCCTCTCAAACATTTGTACTTTGTGCTAGAAACAATATAATTATACTCTTTTTTTACAATTTTTAAATATACAATAAGCTATTGTTGACTGCAGTCATCCTGTTGGCTGTCAAATACTAGATCTTATTCTTCCTAACTATATTTTTGTACCTATTAACCAACTCTACTCCCTGCTCTCACATTCACTACCATTTCCAGCCTCTGGTAACCATCCTTCTACTCTCTATCTTCCTGAGTTCAATTGTTTTAATTTTTAGCTCCCACAAATAAGTGAGAATGTGCAAAGTTTGCCTTTCTTTGTCTGGGTTATTTCACTTAACATAATGTCCTCCAGTTGTTGCAGGTGACAGTATCTCATTTTTTTAATACCTGAATAGTACTCCATTGTGTATATGTACCACAATTTTCTTCATTTATTCATCTGTTTGTAGAAATTTAAGTTGCTTTCAAATCTTGACTATTGTGCATAGTGCTGCAATAAACATGAGAGTGCAGTTATCATCTCATTGATGTACGGATTTCCTTTGTTTTCTGTATATATCCAGCAGTGAGATTGTTCGATCATATGGTAGCTCTATTTTTAGATTTTTGAGGAACCTCCAAACTGTTCTCCATAGTGGTTGTACTAATTTACATTCCCATCAACAGGGTTTCAGAGTTTCCTTTTCTTCACATCCTCACAAGCATTTGTCATTGACTGTTTTTTTGGGGAAAACAGCCATTTTAACTGGGATGAGATGATATCTCATTGCAGTTTTGATTTGTATTTGTCTGATGATGAATGATATTAAGCACTTTTTCATATATGTGTTTGCCATTTGCATGTCTTCTTCTGAGGAAAGCCTATTTAGAACTTTTAACCAGTTTTTAATTAGATAATTAGGTGTTTTCCAATACTATTAGAAAACATCTAATAGTTTGGAAACTATCCATTAGAAAACATCTAATAATCTAATCTAGTTGTTTGAGCTCCTTAAATATTCTGGTTAATAATCCCTTGTCAGATGAATTGTTTGCAAATATTTTCTCCCATTCTATGGGTTGTTTCTTTAGTTTATTAATTATTTTTTTTGCCATACAGAAGTTTTTTAACTTGATGTGATATTGTCTGTTCATTTTTGCTTTGGTTGCCTGTGCTTGTGGTGTATTAGTCAAGAAATCTTTGCCTAGTCCAATGTCCTGGAGCATTTCCTCAATGTTTTCTTTTAAGTAGTTTCATAGTTTAAGGTCTTAGATTTAAGTCATTAAAACATTTTGATTTGATGTTTGTAAATGGTGAGAGATAGGAGTTTTTTTTTTTTTTTTTTTACCTCTGATATAATTCCTTTGGGTCTTCTCTCTTTTTTAATTAGTCTAAAGATTTGTCAGTTTTATCTTTTTAAAAAAACCAACTTTTTGTTTAGTTGATCATTTTAATTGTTTTTTCATTTCAATTTTATTTATTTATGCCTGATCTTTATTACTTCTTTCTTTGACTAGTTTGGGGCTTAGTTTGCTCTTGCTTTTCTAGTTCCTTAAGATGTATAATTAGGTTGTTTATTTGAAGTTTTTCTACTCTTTTGAGATATGGGCTTATTGCTATAAACTTTCCTTTTAGGACTGCTTTCACTATATCCCATAGGTTTTGGTATGTTGTGTTTCCATTATCATTTCTTTCAAGAATTTTTTCAATTTTATTCACAATTTCTTCATTGAAACCTTGGGCCAAGATGGCTGACTAGAGGCTGCTAGTGTGCATAGCTCTCATGGAGAGGAACAGAAGGGACAAGTAAATACACATCTTAAAATGAAACATGCAGGTACACACGTTGCGACTAATCAAGGCAACAACTTGAACCACAGAAAATGGAGAAAAGCAAGGCAGAATGACAGCCCACCACGGAGTGACATGAAGCCAGGAGAACCTCCTCAACACAAGGAAGTGGTGAGTAAATGTGTGGCCCCAGGAGTGCATGCTTCTCCCATGGATCTTTGCAACCGTTGGGTCAGGATATCCCCAGGTGAACCCACTCCACCAGGGCTTTCACATAGCTGACACACATAGCTATGCAGAGTCTCAGCAGAACAGCCACTCATGCACATGCGGATACCCAGGGGCCTTAGATATCCAGGCTTTCTGGGCCTTCCAGAAAAAGTAGCTGCAACTAAGGTAAAGTGGGATGTTAGACCCCCACACATACTCCTAGGAAAGGGGTGGAATCCAGGAGACTGAAGAGTAATAGTATGCAGGCCCCACTTTCATGGCACCTCACAAGATAAGACTCAATGGCTTGGAATTCTGGCCAGCCACTGGTAGCAGCATTGCACCTCCGGGAGACAGAGCTTCCAAGGGGAGGGACAGGCCACTGTCTTTGCTGTTTTAGCAACTTAGCTGTCCAGTCTTTGGGCTATGGAGAGTACAAACCAACCAGGAACAGAAGCGGTCCCCTAGCAGAGTACAGTTGCTCTATGAAAATGCTGCCAGATTGCTTTTTTAAATGGGTACCCAATTCCATTCCTCCTCACTTGTCAGGACCTTCCAGCTGGGGTCTCTAGCCTTCCCCCTGGTGTTTTCTGGCCAACAGAGATTTGAAACCTCCATGGATCAGAGCTCCCAGAGGGAGGGATGGGCTGATATCTTTGATGTTCTGGCAACTTAGGCATCCAGCCTTTGGGCTTTGAACAGTCCAAACCAGCCAGGGGTGGAAGCAGTATTCCATACAACACAGCTTCTCTACAAAAACGTGGCCAGACTGCTTTTTAAAGGTGCCCTATCTCATTCCTCATCACTAGGTAGGGCCTCCCAGCTGGAGTTTCCAGCCACCTCCTACAGTGTTTGGACCAGCAACAGGTCCGTAACTCTCTAGGACAGAGCTCCCAGAGATGTTCGTGGGCCAACATCTTCGCTGTTTCTCAGCTTTCACTCTTAATACCTTCAGGTACTGAAATATTTGCAATGACTAGGAACTGGAGTGGGCCCCCAGCATACGACAGCAGTCTTACGGAAAAATGGCCAGAATGTTATGTAGGTGCCCATTCCTATATCTCCTCACTGGGCAGATTCTCTAGGCCTGGGGCCCTAGCCACCCCCTGCCAGAGCTATCAAGTCAATAACAGTTCTGCAACCCCCTGGAAAGAACCCCCAGAGCAAATGAAAGCTTCTCTGCCACTACCTTAGCAGTGGAACTCTCCTTGCTACCTTTGGACTAACAAAGAAACAAAGACCCTAAGTGCCTTATTCATACCTCCAAGCTACAGTCAACCAGAGGAGAGGAGTCCATCCCCCATCAGTCCCACCTAGCCCCCCACCAACTGTTCATCACCAGACAGGAAACCCCTGGCTTGGGCCCATAGCACAGAACCTCCATCCTGGTCTGATTGCACTGGGCAATTGCTGACCTGCATCTCTCTGGGGTGGATCCCCCCAGAAGATAAGCAAAGACCCTTGGCTACAAACACTACTAAGATCTCATCCTCTGCTACCTCCAAGATGGGGAAGGAACATAAACAGTGAGATCACCCCAGAGCTGCAGTGGGCAGCTGAGGAGTGCCAAGTTGCAATCTGCAGCCAGCATTCAAGGGGAAGAGAAACTCACACTTTCAGAGCACTGAGAGGGAACATGGCTTCAACTGTGAGGAAACATAGGGGAGCCACACAACCAAGCAAGAGTCAACCAACTGACCAATACACCTAAGTACCATCTACTAGATCACACCCCAAAGCTTCAACACCAAAAATGCCTACTAACATATCCCACTCTGAAACCAAAGATAAGAAGTCAGCTTCAAATAAAGATCCTACACAAAGCCTTGGCCCGTGAAAACATCCAGAAAAGAAGTCGTTGACTGTACTAAATCTACATTGCAGTTAACGGATTATGCACATGCAGAGATGAGAAAGAACCAAAGCAAGAACTCCAGTAACTCAAATGGCCAGAGTGTTTTCTGTCGTCCAAATACTGCACCAGTTCTCCAACAAGAGTTTTTAACCAGGCTGAGCTGGCTGGAATGACAGAGAGAGAGTTCAGAATATGCATAGGAACAAAGATCATTGAGATTCTGGAGAACAGCAAACCCATTCCAAGGAAACTAAGAACCACAAGAAAATAATACAATAGCTGAAGGATGAAATAGCTGGTACAAAAAAGAACCTAATGGATCTAATGGAGTTGAATAACACAACACAAAAATTTCACAATGCAATCACAAATATTAAAAGTAGAATAAACCAAGCTGAGGAAAGAATCTCAGAACTTGAAGACTAGCTTTTTGAAATAAGACAGTCACACAAAAATAAAGAAGAAAGAATAAAAAGGAATAAACAAAACCTCTGATAAGTGTGGCATTGTGTAAAGAGGCCAAAACCACAAATCACTGGCATCCCTGAAAGGGATGGGGAGAAAGCAGGATATTATTCCTCAAAACTTCCCCAACCTTGCTAGAGAGGCCAAGAGTAAAATACAGAAAATACAGAGAACTCCTGCAAGAATCTACACAAGAAAATTTTCCCCAATGCATATAATTGTCAGATTTTCCAAAGTTGAAATATAAGAAAGAATGTTAATGACAGTTAGAGAAAAAGGGCAGGTCACCTACAAAAGGATCTCTATCAGGATAACAGCAGACTTCTCAGTTGAAACCCCACAAGCCAAAAGAGACTGGAGGCCTATATTCAACATTCCTTAAGAAAAAAAAATCTTCAATCAAAAATTTTATATCCAGCCAAACTAAGCTTCCTAAGAGAAGGAGAAATAAGATTATTTTCAGATAAGCAAATGTTGAGGGAGTTTGTTACCACCAGATCTGCCTTACAAGAGATCTTGAAAGGAGCATGAAATATAGAAAGGAAAGACTGCTTCCAGCTCATACGAAAACATAATTAAATACACAAACCAGTGATACTATAAAGCAACCACACAAACAAGCCAACATAATAACCAACTAACAAAACAATGACAGGATCCAATCCAAACATATCAATACTAACCTTAAATGTAAATGGGCTAACTGCCCCACTTAAAAGTGTAGAGTGGCAAGCTGGATAAAAAAGCAAGACCTAATAATATGTTGTCTTCAGGAGATGCATCTCACAGGTAATGACACTCATGGGTTCAAAATAAAGGAATGGAGGAAAATATACCAAGCAGATGGAAAACAGAAAAAAAGCAGGGTTGCAATCCCAGTTTCAGACAAAACAGACTTTAAACCAACAATGATCAAAAAAGACAAATGGCATTACATAATGGTAAAGGGTACAACACAACAAGAACACCTAATTATCCTAAATATAGATGCACCCAAAACAGGAGTATCCAGATTTATAAAGCAAGTTCTTAGAGACCTAAAAAGAGACATAGACTCCCACACAACAGTAGGAGACTTCAACATTCCGCTGACAGTATTAGACAGATCATTGTAACAGAAAATTGACAAAGATATTCAAGACCTGAACTTAACATTTGACCAAATGAATCCAATAGACCTCTACAGAATGCTCCACCCCAAAACAACAGAATGTACATTCTTCTCATTGCCACATGGCACGTATTCTAAAATCAGCCACATAATTGGACAAAAAACAATCTTCAGCAAATGCAAAAGAAATGAAATCATACCAACCGCTCTCTTAGACCACAGCACCATAAAAATAGAAGTCAAGACTAAGAAAAATCACTCAAAACCATGCAATTACATGAAAATTAAACATGTTTCGGAATGACTTTTGGATAAGTAATGAAATGAAGGCAGAAATCAGGAAGCTCTTTGAAACTAATGAAAATGAAGATACAACATAATAGAACCTATGGGAAACAGATAAGGCAGTGTTAAGAGGAAAATTCATACCACTAAACGTCCACATCAAAAAGTTAGAAAGATCTCAAATTAAGAACCTAACATCACAACTAAAAGAATGAAAGACTCAAGAACAAATCAACCCCAAAGCTAGCAGAAGACAAGAAATAACCAAAGTCAGAGCTGAACTAAAGGAAATTAAGTCACCAATGATTATAAAGATCAATAAATACTGTGGTTGGTTTTTTGAAAAAAATTAATGATAGATGGGCTGCAAGCTAGATTAAAAAAGAAGAAAAGAGAAAAAATCCAAATTAACACAATTAGATATGACAAAGGGGATGTTATCACTGACCCCACAGAAATAAAAATAGCCACCAGAAACCGCTATGAACACCTGTAGGCACACAAACTAAAAAACCCAGAAGAGATGGACAAATTCCTGGACACATACACCCTATCAATACTGAACTAGGAAGAACATAATTTCCTAAACAGACCGATAATGAATTCTGAAATTGAATCAGTAATAAATAGCCTACCAACCAAAGCAAAGCCAAGACCTGAGGGAGTCACAGCCAAATTCTACTATATGTACAAAGAAGATCTGGTACCATGCCTTCTGAAACTATTTCAAAAAACTGGGGAGAAGGCATTCCTCCCCAACTTGTTCTACAAGGCCAGCATCATCCTGATACCAAAATCTGGCAGAGACACAAGAACAAAAACACTTCAGGCCAGTAACCCTGATGAACGTTGATGAAAAAATCCTCAACAATATACTTACAATTCAAATCCAGCAGCACATCAAAAAGCTAATCCACCACAATCAACTATGCTTCATCCATGGTATGCAAGGTTGGTTCTACATATGCAAGTCAATAAATGTGATTCATAACATAAACAGAACTAAAGACAAAAATACATGATTGAGACATGATTATCTCAATAGATGCAGAAAAGACTTGACAAAATTCAACAGCCATTCATGTTTGAAACTCTCCATAAACTAGGTATTGAAGGGATATATCTCAAAATAATAGGAGCCATGCATGACAAACCCACCAGAACTATACTGAATGGGCAAAAGATAGAAGCATTCCCCATGAAAACTGGCACAAGACAAGGATGCCCTCTCTCACCATTCCTATTCAACATAGTATTGGAAGTCTTAGCCAGAACAATCAGGCAAGATTAAAAAAAAATTAAGGGCATCCAAATAGGAAGAGAGAAAGTCAAAGTATTCCTGCTTGCAGATGACATGATTCTAGATCTTGAAAAACCCATAGTCTTGGCGGAAAAGCTCCTTCAGCTGGCAAACAACTTCAGCAAAGTTTCAGGATACAAAATCAATGTACAAAAATTACTACTATTCCTATACACCAACAACAGCCAAGCCAAGAGCCAAATCAGGAAGACAATCCCATTCACAATTGCCACCAAAAGGAATAAATACCTAGAAATACAGTGAAATCAGAGAGGTGAACTCTACAATAAGATTAAAAAACACGGCTCATATAAATAAGAAAAGACACAAACAAATGAAAAAACACTTCACAGTCATGGATAGGAAGAATTAGTATTACTAAAATGGCCATACTGCCCAAAGTAATCTACAGATTCAATGCTATTTCTATCAAACTACCAATGACATTATTCACAGAACTAGAAAAAAACTCTTAAAATTTATATGGAACAAAAAAATGAGTCCAAATAGCCAAGGCAATCCTAAGCAAAAGGAATGAAGAGGAAGGCATTATGTTATCTGACTTCAAACTGTACTTCAGGGCTACAGTAACCAAAACACCATGGTACTAGTACAAAACAGGCACATAGATTAATGGGACATAATCATAATAGAGTCCAGAAATGAGACCATGCACCTACAACTCTCTGATCTGTGACAAAGCTGGCAAAAATAAGCAATGGGGGAAAGCTCTGTATTCAATACATTGTGCTGGGATAACTGGCTAGTCACATGCAGAAGATTGAAGCTGGACCCCTTTCTTACACCATATATTTACAAACATCAACCTTAATTGAATTAAAGACTTAAACATAAAATCCAAAACTATAAAAACCCTGGAAGACAACCTAGGCAATACCATCATGAACATAGAAATAGGCAAAGATTTCATGAAAAAGATGCCAAAAGTGATAGCAACAAAAGTAAAATTTGACAAATGTGGTTTAACTAAAATTAAGAACCTCTGCACAGCAAAGGCAACTACCAACAGAGTAAACAGACAACCCGCAGAATGGGAGAAAATATTTGCAAACTATGTATCTGACAAAGTTCTAATATCCAGCATCTATAAGGAACTCAAACAAATTTGTAACAGAAAAACAATCACATTATAAAAGGGAAAAAAGGACATGAACAGACACTTTTTAAAGAAGACGTACATGTGGCCAACAATTATATTTCAAAAAGCTCAATATCACTGATTACTAGAGAATTACAAATCAAAACCACAATGAGATACCATCTCACACCAGTCAGAATAGCTATTCTGTTTTCATTGTGTATTCAGAATGGCTATTCTGTTTGTCTGGGATAGTCTTTATTTCTCATTCATGTTTGAAGTATATTTTTGCTGAATATACTACTCCAAGGATAAAAGTTTTTGTTTGTTTTTTCCTTCAGCACCTTAACTATGTCATGCCACTCTCTCCTGGCCTGTAAGGTATCCACTGAGAAGGGTACTGCCAGAAGTATTGGATCTCCATTGTATGTTATTTATTTATTTTCTCTTGCTGCTTTTATGATCTTTTCTTTGTCCTTGATCTTTGGGGTTTGATTATTAAATGTCTTGACATAATGTACTTTGGGTTAACTCTGCTTGGTCTTCTATAACCTTCTTTACTTAAATATTGCTATCTGTCTCTGGAGTTGGGAAGTTTTCCGTTATGATCCCTTTAAATAGACTTTCTAGCCATATTGCTTTCTCTACCTATTCAAGGCCAAATAACTCCTAGATTTGCTCTTTTGAGGCTATTTCTTAGATCTCATATGTATGCTTCATTCTTTATTATTTTTGTCTTTTGTCTCCTCTGACTGTATTTTCTAATAGCCTGTCTTCAAGTTCAATAGTTCTTCCTTCTGTCTGATCACTTCTGCTGTCACAAAACTCTGATGTATTCTTCAGTATGTCAATTGCATTTTTCAGCTCCAAATTTTCTGCCTGATTCTTTTCAATTATTTCAATCTCTTGGTTGAGTTTATCTGATAGAATCCTAACTTCCTTCTCTGTGTAATCTTGTATTTCATTGGGCTTCCTCAAAATAGTTATTTCGAATTATCTGAAAGGTCGCATATCTCTATCTCTTCAGGATTGGTTACTGGTATATTATTTAGTTATTTTGGTGAGGCCATGTTTTCCTGGATTGTCTTTATGCTTCCAGATGTTTGTCAGTGTCTGGTCATTGAAGAGTCAGGTATTTATTGTAGTCATTGCAGTCTGGGTTTGTTTGCACCCACTCTTTTTGGGAAGGCTTTCCAGGCATTCAAAGGGACTTGGGTGTTATAATCTACATCTTTTGTCAATACAGCTATATCTGCATTAGGGCACACCCCAATTCCAGTAATATTTTGGCTGTTACAGACTCGAAGAGGTACTGCCTTGGTGGTCTTGGGTAAGATCTAAGAGAATTTTCTAGATTACCAGGCAGATATTGTTTTTCTCCTTTTTACTTTCCCTAAACAAAGTCCCTTTGCTGGGCCGCCTGGAGTTGGGATACTGGTGACACAAGCATCCCTGTGGCCCCCGCCACTCAGACCACACTGGATCAGACCTGAAGCCAGAGCAGCACTGGGTGTCTCCTAAGGCTCACAGTGACCCTTGCATGGTTACTGCTTATGTTCACTCAAGGCCCAAGGGCTCTACGTTGAGCAGGTAACAAATCTAGACAGGCTTGTTTCTTTCCTTTCAGGGTGGTGAGTTCCCCCTGTCCCGTGCAGATCCAGAGATGCCATCCAGGAGGCAGGGCCTGGAGTTGGAAACATTAGGAATCCATTTGGTGCTTTATTCTACTGCAACTCAGTTGATACTCAAGCAGCAACACAAAGTCCTTCCCACTCTTCCTTTCTCTTTCCTCAAGCAGAGGAGTCTCTCCTCATACCCACCATCACCCCAGGTTCATAACAAGTACTGCCTGGCTACTACCAAAGTTCACCCAGATCCCAGGGCTCTTCTGTCATCTTGTGGTGAATGCTGCCAGGCCTTGGTCTCCTCCTTCAATGAAATGGGCTCCCATCTAACCCAGGGCAGGTCCAGAAATGCCGTCTAGGAGCCAAGTCCTGGAATCAGGGACTGCAGGAACTCATTTTGTGTTCTACCCCACTGTGGCTAAGCTAGTACCAAAGCTGCAAGACAAACTCCTTTTTTCTCTTCCCTCTTCTTTCCTCAAGCAGAAGGAGTCTCTCCCTTTAGCTATCATAGTTGGAAATGTGCTGGGTCACACCTGAATCCAGCATGGCTCTGAATGTTGCTTAAGGCCTACAGCAAGTACCGCCTGGCTATCACTGCTGATTATTCGGTATCTGAGGGTTCGCTAGTCAGCAGGTGATGAATGTTGCCAGGACTAGATTCCTAGATCCCTCTCTTCCAGGCAATGGGTTCCTTTCTGGCCCAGTGCGTGTCTAGAGATGTTGTCTAGGGGCTAGGGCCTATGCATCACTGCCTGGGTTTGGGGGAGGGGGTGATGATGATGTAAGCACTCATTTGGCCATCCCAGCTGGTGCCTCACTGGGTTGCATGCACTCCAAGTCCACCAGTTCTGAGGCCAGCACAGCACCAGGACTTGCCTAGGAGTTCCAGTTCTTGTGGCCTAGACTGCCTTTCAAGTTTATTTACAACCCTAGAGCACTGTAGCCCACAGTGGCAAGGCTTGTTGGAACTCATCTCTGGCTAGAGTTGTTCTAAGTGGTCCCTTCATGGGTAACAGTTGAGTTCTGCCCCCATGTTGCTTTCTCTGTGATAGAACAGCACTAATTTCCAATACAAAGCCCCACAATCACTGTGCTCTCCCTCTCCCAAGAGCACAAATTCTCTCTCTGTACTACATGGCCACTGCTGGAGAATGGGGGAGGGGTGTTGTAGGTGATTCAAGACTGTTTCTCCTACCCTCCTCATTGCTTCTTTCTTTAATGTGATGTTAAATTCGGGTACTATGATCACTCACCTGATTTTTGGTTGTTTTGAATGTGCTTTTTTGTGTGTGGATAGTTGTTCAATTTGGTGTTCCTGTTGCGGGGGATAATTGCTGTAGGCTTCTACTTAGCCACCTTGCTCCATCTTTGTAACAAACATTTTTTAACATTTATTTCTCCCTTAGATTCTGTAACACTTGGTTCTTCTCTTACTTGTACATTTATTACATGTCTTCTTCTCTGTTCCTTCTTTCTCCACCAGCCCCTGAATTGATGATTGTCCAGAATTTCATCCCCAGCCAACCTCCCTTGTGTCTCTGGTCTGCCTTTCAAATCTGTGCTTTATTCCTGTCAAAAGTACTGTCATCCACCCAATTGTTCAAAACATCAACTTGAGTATCATTTTAGATGCCCCTCTTCTTCTATGTTCCCTTTTCATCCAAATGATCCTCCAGTACTGTCCATTCAGCTTCTCAAATGTGTCTTAAATGCATCCCAACTTTTCCATTTCCGTTGACAGAGTCTTATTTGACAACCTGATCAGCTCTCACATGACCAATCATAACAGCCTTCTATCCTCAAGTCTTACCTTCCTCCAGCTAGTGTTCTTTCTGATCCATCCTCTGTAATGGAGATAGGATCATCTGTCTATAATGTAAATCTGATTATATTAGTTCCATTTTTAAAAAAATCCTTTCGTGGCTTCCAATGTCAACATGATGAAGTCCTAAATTCTTAGTATATCACCCAGACCTTTTTGTGACCTTACCCTTTGCCCTATACTCTACTCCCCAATTATACACATGAGCTCAGTAATATTTTACTTAGTGGGACATGCTTTCTCAGCCTTCCTGACTCTTCAAATGCTATTTCTGCTGCCTAGAGTGTTATAACTTTTCTCATATGACTAGTGAAAATACGGTCTTCTTCAACTCATTTGTTTCATGTCTCCTAGGACAGCTTACAAAGGAGTTTTGTATTTTATCCTCTTGAAAAAATTTCTATCTTACACTCATTCATTATATAGTATTATAATCTTTAGCTGCTTGTTTCTTACATCACAACAATAGTACTAATGTCAATAATAATTATAATATCCAGGATTTGTTGGGATGTATGTGCCTGGTGTCATTGTAAATGCATATATTTATTAACTCATTTAATCCTCGCATAAGCCTTAAGATGATATTTATTATTACCTCAATTTTACAGATGATATCATTGAGAAATTGAATGTCCAGCACCTAACAAGTGGTAAAAAGAAAATTCAAACTGAGGCCTAAAGGTAACAAAATCTATGCAGTATTTCATGTTGTTTCCACAGATTTATGAAGACTGTGAGCTCTGGAAAGGTAGGGTCCATGTCCTACTCATTTTTGAAACCAGTGCCTAGAATATTGTCTGCCACATAGACAGTGCTCTATTGACATATGTTTACTCAAAGGCCATGCCCAAAGGGAATTACACTAAATTCCAAATATTTTTTCCAGTGAAATTTATATATATATATATATATATATATATCCAATGAAATCAAGGAAAATATGTTTTATATAAATAGATGTAAGCACCTGTAGAAATATTTTTTAAATAATTTACAGTTGCAGGAGACAAAAAATATATACATGTAGATATTAGTCACTATACATCAACACAGTAAAAGTGTACCACAAGATGGATGGCAACTAGGAAATGTCATGGAGATTATTGATCAGATAGGCACTGAAACAGAAATTCTGTTACGCCATTGGCCTTCAAGGACATGAAATAGGAGTTTGTGCCATGAAGCATTTCTGCAAATACACTATGAAATATGGTGTTCCTCTAAGTAGCAAGATGCTTCAATTCGGAATCATAGTCTTAAATCACTACTGGGTCTTTCCTCTCCTCTTTTTTTTCATCCCATAAGGCATTAAAATTTCAAAAATGAGAAACTGCTTCAATGGACACAACATGAGCATAGTGTTGCGCCTTATAGGAAGGAACAAATAATGTTAAAGAAAATAATGTTATGCCTTCAAAGACCAGCCAGTAAGAATTAAAGCAACTGTCACCCCTGGAAATCATTTATTTGAAAAATAAAATGGTATAAATTCTGTTATGTCTGTAAAAATGATACAAGAGAAGAATGCATCAATTGTGTAAATTGCAACTTATAAAATTTCAAGTCATTCTAGGGAGGCCACATGCGGAGTGAACAACCTGGCAACACTGGTTTTCGGGCACTGCAGCAAAAACTATGCATTCAGACTTGGTTAAAAAAAATGTATATATACATAGAAAGATTGATAAGCTTGCACGCATGCACTTTCTCTCTCATACGCACACATTTACAAACACGTATAGTGTACAAATAAAGGCAGCATATGATGGTGGAAAAGGACATATGGATTCTCATCTGTTTCTACCATTTGCTAAATTACATGGTAAGTTATTTTCTCCTTCTGTTTCAGATTTTTTCACTTTTAACATGAAAAAAATTTTCCCTACAGAATTATTGTGAGAATTAGAGATGTTTTTAAAATGTTTACCTCTTACTTGCATCTTACACTTCAATCATCAGTGTGTCATTATTAATAAAGAATATTAGGCTGGGTATGGTGGCTCACACCTGTAACCAGCACTTTGGAAGGCTGAGGTAGGCAGATCTCTTGAGCTTAGGAGTTCAAGACCAGCTGGAGCAATATGACAAAACTCCATCTCTACAAAAGAATACAAATTAGCTGGATGTGGGATGTGCACCTGTGGTCCCAGCTACTCAATATGCTGAGGTAGGAGGATTGTTTGAGCCTAGAAGATTGAGGATGTAGTGAGTCATGACTGTGCCACTGCACTTCAGCCTAGGTGACAAAGCAAGGCCCTATCTCGATTTAAAAAATTAAAAATCAATATTAGAAAGAATACTCCATAGGACAGAGAATAAAAGAAAGAAAGAAGGACAGCCAGAAAAATGAGGGCAGAGGTAGAGTGAGAATGTTTGATGGTTTTAGGCCCCTTGGCAAAGGGGTAAAGTAGGAAAGCTGGGCTTATACCCCAACCCAGGCATTTTCAGGGAGGACAGCTTTCTCCTACTTTCCAATATCCTTTATTTAGCACACTTCATGCACACAGAGATGTAAATAACTGATAAAGAGAACTTGTTTGCTCTTTGGTCTTCACATTTTATTGTGCATTAGAGCCTTGGAGCCTTGAGCTACCAGACAAAAGATCCTTTGAGTTGGCAGCAAAAAAAACAGGTAATATGGTTCATTCTGTGTCCCCACCAAAATCTCATCTTGAATTGTACTCCCATAATTCCCATGTGTTGTGGGAGGGACCCGGTGGGAGATAACTGAATCACTGCATCATGGGGGCAGTTCCCCCCATACTGTTCTTGTGGCAGTGAATAAATCTCACGAGATTTTATGGTTTGAAATGAGGAAACTTCTTTCATTTGGCTTTCATTCTCTCTTGCCACCGACATGGGATATGTGCCTTTCACCTTCTGCCATGATTGTGAGGCTTCCCCATCCATGTGGAACTGTAAGTCCAATAAACCTCTTCCTTTCGTAAATTACTCATTCTCGGTTATGTCTTTATCAGCAGCATAAAAATAGACTAATACAGTAAATTGGTACCAGGAGAGTAGGGCACTGCTGAGAAGATACCTAAAAATGTGGAAGTGACTTTGGAACTGGGTAACAGGCAGGGTTTGAAACAGTTTGGAGGGCTCAGAAGAAGATAGGAAAATATGGAAAGTTTGGCACTCTTTAGAGACTTGTTGAATGGCTTTGACCAAAATGCTGATAATGATATGGACACTGAAATCCAGGCTGAGGTGGTCTCCGATGGAGATGAGGAACTTTTTGGGAACTGGAGCAAAGGTGACCTTTGTTATGTTTTAGCAGAGACTGACGCCATTTTGCCCTTGCCCTAGAGATTTGTGGAACTTTGAACTTGAGAGAGATGATTTAGGGTATCTGGAAGAAGAAATTCCTAAGCAGCAAAGCATTCAAGAGGTGACTTGGGTGCTGTTAAAGGCATTCAATTTTAAAAGGGAAACAGAGGATAAAAGTTTGTAAAATGCACAGCCTGATAATGCAATAGAAAAGAAAATTCAATTTTCTGAGGAGAAATTCAAGCCTTCTGCAGAAATTTGCCTAAGTATTAAGGAGCTGAATGTTAATAACAAAGACAATGTGTAAAATGTCTCCAGGGCATATCTGAGGTCTCCATAACAGCCCCTCCCATCCTAGGCCCGGTAGACTAGGAGGAAAAGATGGTTTCATGGCCCGGGTTCAGGGTCCCCCTGCTCTGTGCAGCCTAGGGACTTGGTACCCTGTGTTTCAGTGGCTTCAGGGGCCAAGGTACAGCTCAGGCTGTTGTTTCAGAGGATGCAGGCCCCAAGCCTTGGGAGCTTCCATGTGGTGTTGAGTCTGAGAGTGCACAGAAGTCAAGAATTGAGGTTTGGGAACTTACACCTAGATTTCAGAGGATGTATGGAAACTCCTGGATATCCAGGCAGAAGTTTCTTGTAGGTGTGTGGCCCTCATGGAGAACCTCTGCTAGTGTAGTAGAGAAGGGAATTGTGGGGTCAGAGCCCCTACACAGAGTCCCTACTGGGGCACCAGCTACTGGAGCTGTGAGAAGAGGGATCCATCCTCTAAACTCCAGAATGGTAGATCCACCAACAGCTTGCACTGTGTACCTGGAAAAGCCATAGACTCTCAACGCCAGTTTGCAAAAGCAGCCAGGAGGGGGGCCATACTTTGCAAAGCCACAGGGGTGGAGCTTCCCAAGACCATGACAACCCACCTCTTGCATCAGCGCGACCTGGATGTGAGACATGGAGTCAAAAATAGATAATTTTAGAGCTTTAAGATTAGACTGCCCTGGCCGGGCGCGGTGGCTCACGCCTGTAATCCCAGCACTTTGGGAGGCCGAGGCGGGCGGATCACGAGGTCAGGAGATCGAGACCATCCCGGCTAAAACGGCGAAACCCCGTCTCTACTAAAAATACAAAAAATTAGCCGGGCGTAGTGGCGGGCGCCTGTAGTCCCAGCTACTTGGGAGGCTGAGGCAGGAGAATGGCGTGAACCCGGGAGGCGGAGCTTGCAGTGAGCCGAGATCCCGCCACTGCACTCCAGCCTGGGCGACAGAGCGAGACTCCGTCTCAAAAAAAAAAAAAAAAAAAAAAAGATTAGACTGCCCTGCTGGTTTTCAGACTTGCATGGGGCCTGTAGCCCCTTTGTTTTGGCCAATTCCTCCCATTTGGAATGGCTGTATTTACCCAATGCCTATACCCCCATTGTAGCTAGGAAGCAACTAACTTGCTTTAAATTTTACAGGCTCATGAGTGGAAGGAAATTGCCTTGTCTCAGATGAGACTTTGGACTGGACTTTTGAGTTAATGCTGAAATGAGTTAAGACTTTAGGAGACTGTTGGGAAGGCATGAGTGGTTTTGAAATGTGAGGACATGAGATTTGGGAGGGGTCATGGGTGGAATGATATGGTTTGGCTCTGTGTCCCCACCCAAATCTCATCTCGAATTGTACTCTCCTAATTCCCATGCATTATGGGAGGGACCCGGTGGGAGATAATTGAATCATGGGAGTGGTTTCCCCCATACTGTTCTCATGGTAGGGAATAAGCCTCACAAGATCTGATGGTTTGATAAGGGGAAACCCATTTCACTTGGCTCTCGTTCTCTCTTTTGCTGCCACCATGTGAGACATGACTTTCATCATCCACCCTGATTGAGACGCCTCCCCAGCCATGTGGAACTGCAATTTCAATTAACCTCTTTCTCTTGTAAATTGGCTAGTCTCAGGTATGGCTTTATCAGCAGCATGAAAATGGACTAATACAACAGGCAAGGAGCACATTACTATTGTGACATTAAAAACACTGCTGAGCTTACTCCAGCTACAAAACTTATATGTGCAACTGTAAGGACATGAAATCTTGATCAGGTATTTCTAAGGAAACAATATCTTAACCTCCAAAACCTACTGGAAACATTATACAGAATGACCTGAGTTCTAGACACAACCCTATGACATGTTTTGGAAAAATAAAATAACAAAATAGTCATTAAGTAACCAAAGAAACCTTGGAACTACCTGTTCCAAGAAACAGGTAGAGTCACATACAGAGCTTATGTGAAAAAAAAAAAGATAGAGAAAGTAAATCTTGATATTCAAGATAAGTAAAAGATGAAATGAATTACAATGTGTAAAAGCAAAAAAGTGCAGTCAAGGTAAGTGTTATACTGCAAATAAGTCAATAATCATGTATTATCAAAACTACCCTTGAGAATCCCTTAGAAAGGTGCCATATTGGAGAGAAACACACCATCTCTCGGTAAGTCTAACAAAGCCAGTTTTTCCTCCAGTGCTGGAACAGATCAGTGTTTATTTGAGTGATTTTGAGTTTGGGGCCATGTAGTATAAAAAACATGTGTCTTTAAAAACAATAGGAGCAAACTCAGCATGGATAATCAGTTTTGCCAATTAAATTCTTACAACTCATTTGTTCTCTCTCTCCCTTTCTCCATACCATTGTGTATTTGTGGTTGTATGGTACAGACTCCCATGATAGGAACTTGTTACATCTAAGACAAAACCTGGAAAGAGAAAAGGAATCAGGCAATCCACAATTCATCAAACCTTCCAAGAAATCAAAACATTTTGTTTGTCCCTGCATTAATGGGACTTATTTTAGCCAACGTTTCAGTATTACTAAAGTTTTTGCTCATTTACAAATGCATTAGATTGTAGGATCCTAGAAGAGGTGCTAAGAACAATCATTTATTGAGGGAGTCCTATAAGGTGTTGCCACTCTCTGGAAACTCATTTAACCACACTGTGAGGCAGGTATTCTCCTTTTACATATGAGGAATCTCTCTCAGAATCAGAGGTAGCTTGCCCCAGTTAGAACTTTCAAGGAGCAGAGTCAAAATCAGAATCCACATCTGCCTGACCCCCTGGTGGACAATCTTCCCACTCCCTGAGTTGGCACGGCAATCGGCCTTGAAACCCTGCTCATAGCGGACACACATAATTGAGATCATTCTTTCTTTTCATCATAGATGTTTCCTAAAGAAATCTCCAAACATCCTCTAATAGTGCACTCAAAAAGGCATTCAAGATGAAACCTGTGGGCCATGCCGATTACCATGCGGGGATGGTATCATTCTTTTTGGTGCCTCATCATGCTAGGGATGCCACAAATATTTGTTGAAAGAATGAATAAAGTGCTAATACTGAAAAAGAGAAAAACAAGTTTGGGAATAAAAATGGAATAGAAAACTAACAATGCATATGAATAGAAATGAAGTCTTTTGTTCATTTCATGCACATTGAGATTTGCATAAAATGAATAAGCTGAATAAACCAGCAAACTGAATTTTAGTAGAGTTTTGGCTGTTCAAAACAGAAGCATGATGAATATTTCAAACTAAAGTTTCACCACATTTACTTGGAAGATGGCTACTCTTAGATCACCTCACTTTCATGGTAAAAAATGGAAAGGTCATAGTATTTCTAGAAATATTTTCCACTAGGGATGCAACATTTTTTAAAATGACAGCCCAGCAAAACTACATAGCATCCCAAAAGTTTGGTGGCACCTGTAAGTCCCTGTTGGGCAATACATCATTAAAATTTGCTTCTAAACTATCTATAAATTTGCTTACTGAGTCAGGATAAATCTCCTTGAAAACTACTTAGTTCTTACACTCTCTCTAACCATTGCAATTCATGCCAGAGATTCTGGGGAAGGCAGTAGTCAGGTAGAGGTTGAGATAAAGGGTTAAGAACAGGTTAAATAGATATTGTGCATAACAAAATTTATATAATAATAAATTGTCAGGGCCACCATGGAAGGGTAATTACTAATCATGTAGCTGGTATGGTAAATGTTAATATTCATGATTTCCAGGCTCAAGGTACATAATGCATATCACAGCACAGGGAGTATACAGTAAAATTTCTTCTTTCTTTTGTTAAGCATTCTCTATTAAATAATTCCAGGAAAAATATGCATAGCTCAACCTTTTCTTTAGACCAGTTGTCTAATTATATCAATTAGGTGTTGATATATATAATGATCAATTATATCTAGCAGTTGTAATAATAATCATGAACTATTAATACATCCTCTAAAGAGCTTACTTTTCTCCAAGTCATGGTCAGATATGGAGGAAACACAAAATGCATGCCATTTTGTGACCACATGGTGGGGTTTTAATGTGTTTGAAGCTGTAGTAAACATATCATTGAATGCAATGAAATAAGAAAATACTATTCTCTGTGGTTACCTTCCCAAGATATGGAGGGGAAGAACAGGACACAGTAAGGTATAATATTCTGGCCCCCTCTCTCTGTTTGTAACCCACTTCTTCTCCACTCACCCTGCACAATTAGCCACAATAACACCTGTAACACAGCATTGTGCTTGCTTGCTTATAGAGCTTTCTTCCTCTGTTGTAAGCATTGCAAAGTCAAAAGCTTGTCTTAGACATCATTTTATTCCTGGCAGAGTCACTGGTTCATAATATATTCTCAAAAAGCATCCCTAAGTCACTTGTGAATGAAAAGACAATAAAAAAGACTTTTAGTCTCTGGATATTAGATATTAATATCGTACCAAGACCCCTAGGTTCTATTTTATCCCAGCATAATCCCCTCAAAGCTCATTTCTGCTCTAGAACCTCATGAAGGAGGAAGAAGAGCCCAGAAACAGTGAAGTGTAGGGTTCCTTTGGTGTCTAACTTACTTGACACAGAAAAGTCAGGGAAAAGAGAAGGAGCAAGCTGAGGGCTGCTTCAGGGATTGCCACTCAACCACACTATCAGGCCTTAACATTGACACCCTCCAATGATAGACAACTGTAACAGAAATAGTAAACATATTACTAAAGTCCTCTGTCCCCTGTCTCTACCTAAGAGCTGAACAATGCCCTCTACTCTGTTATTTATCTCTTTCTATGTGCCCATCCTACGCACACAGAGAGCAAAAAATTCAAAGGTCTCACAAATTATCATCCTATTTCCTTACTGCAGAATATTTTAACTGTGAAAGAGACAACATAGCCTGACTCTTATCCTATTTACTGAAAAAAAAAAATATTCTGTCATTAAATTTTCTTAAAACCCAAAGCATGCTATTTCCAGGGATCCATTCCGACTCGTAAATATCCCACATTCATTATATTACAAATATCATATTTATATTCCTGTATGCAATGGTATTTTTTTGAATGTGAGGAAATGCTTCTGCCTTTATGGTTTTGTTGTTTTTCTACAAGATGATTAGAAAACCAAAGTATGAGCTTTATAGATGTCTGAGGCAATCCTGTTCTGTCATTTTTTTATGCACATACTGACTCAATGTCATAGAATAACTGTGTTGCTTTCTGCTTTCCCTGACAGTCCAAAGCAAGAGTAATGCATACAAATCATTTTACTGTTTAAAAGTTTTGAATAAAACATGCTAACCTTGTCATGCTAAGTGACAGACAGAAATGTCACCATTGTTTGCCAGGGACAAATAATCCATATACTTCATGTATAATTCATCTGATCTTTAAGAATGTTTAACAATATTGAATTTAGATAAATTTCAATGTTATGATGCATCAAACTTCCTTTATCAATTTACACATGTGCCTCATCAATTTAAGTCTTCATTTGTATTACTCTATTTTTTTATTAACTATGACATATCTAAAAGAGATTCTTATTTTCAGAAAAAAATTTATGGGTGCATTGTCCATCTTAGAGCTGCCTCTCTATGTTCCTCTCTCCATCAGATCTTAACTTGGAAACCCTGAAATAACCCAATAGTTATAAATCTGCCGTAGAAACCCCAGTTGCAAGTACAGGTATCTATAATCCTTTTGACATAGAGCCTTTGGTCTCCAAACAGGGACTAAAGAATTCATTGAGATAAGATTTCAGTCCTTTCTAAATAAGATTTCAATGGTTTCCAAAGCCTATATCTGTCAATCAAAGGTAACCAAGGGCAGGTCTGAAAATGAGTCGGTTTGGAGGTAAAATAGAAAGACAGGAATATTTTGAACAGATTTCAGAAAGAGCTGGAATTCCCCATGCTGTGAAAGAGGAGAAATGATGTTCACAGTCTACTGCAAAGTCTGCTCTCCAGAGCAGCTGCCAGTACAGCCCATCTTGTGGTTTCTCTGAGCATAAAGTTTGAAAAGACTTCTTGTCATCATCATGTGAAACCAGTCCCTCAAAGAGGAGAGAAAACCTTCAGATTGATAGTTTCTTCAATACAGTTAGAAAACAAGGCACTACAGAAACTTTTAGGAAATATTCACTGAGCTTACGATCAAATTGAGCATTTACAGGTTCAAACAAATTGAAATTCCCCAAAGCATCTTCAGAAAGCCAATTTGCTGTTTTAGGGAATAGTAACTAATTGTTTCCATACATTTTAATTTTATCAGTGGCCAGCTCCTTGTCCTTTTCTTATCTAGCTCAGAATTTTTCCTCCTCTGTGAACTTTCATGAGTTCTTTCTACCCTTGGGGATCATTTTACTTCAATTAAGAACATCTGATAAAATAAGTTTTTTTTTATGATTCAGAGGATAAGAGTTTTGGGGTTTTCTCTTCCTGACAAGGAGCTAGGAGGCAAGAGCTAACATACACATACATATTTACATTTTATAAATTTAAAATTCATATATTAAAACTATCTTTTCTTCTCTCAAGCTTATAATCATATCTACATTATGCACATGCCAACTCATTTCCCTGAATTATGGGCGCATACAAATTATATATATATACACACACACACACACACACAGACACACATATATACACATATAATATATATATATATAATTTTGATTTTTTTTTCTCGGTACATGGGAAAAGGCAAACCATTTTTACTAGTTGAGCTATCTCCTTTGTGGCCCATTCACCAGGTAGTAAAAAATTATATGAGAAATTTGTTTATATCTTCAAAGGGGGAAATGCCAGTAATATAGAGTTGAGTAAATGAATCTATGGGAAATTATTTAAATTTACATGTTGAGCTTAAAAAAGAGTTTCCTTTTGAGAAATGTTAAATATATTTTTAAGGGACTCTATAAAATCCCTCTTTCAAAAACCTTTTTGGAATAGTGTTTTTTTAAATCTAACTGCTGAAGTTGCTTCTATTTTTTTATATAGCATCTTTTTTTCTGGGTTGAAAATCAATACTTCTCATTTGTTCTTCCAAGGGATTAATGACACTCATCACACATATTTAAGAATCACTATTTGATTACATGGGGCATCCTATTTTCTGGAATGGTTTGAATAACTTCTACCTGAAGTTAGGAAATTGCATGAACTCTAATATAGAACTCAGGCTTTACTGACCTACAAGAGTTAACAATGGCACTTAAATAAGTAATTTATATCAGATATCACTAACAAATTTTCACGTCTCAGTAACAGTATACACATGTCCATAGATTTCCATTATTTTCCAACAGTTCTAATTTCATTGTGGAACATTTACCAGATGGAAAAGGGCCATTTTATGGGCTTTTGGCAGACAGAGTAAAGTTGGCTCTGCTAAATGAAAATCTCATGTTTGAGGAGCCTGTAAAATTGGCAATAATTGACTTTTGAACACAGAGAGAATTTTAAACCTGCTTTTATTTGCAACAAAAAAGAGATTCCTTTGAAGAGATTTTTGTTAACCCTTTAATCATTTATTTCTGTTAAGTCTGAGCCTTGTACTGGTATCAATTAGAATAGATTTACCAAATGAGTTCCACTATTAATTCTCATCATTAATATTAATACTGTATTCATTATTTTATTTATACTATTATATAACTACTTAAAGATGGAAACTAATTCACTGAAAGATACTTTAGAATAGTTGCATGCTCTAGTCCCCTACTTTACAGAAAAAACTTTAAAGGAGTACTTGCTGAAGTTATTTATCCCTAATTAATAGGTAGAGCTATTATTTCTCCTAACCACAGTTGCTTTCCTTCCTTCGGGTTTTGGGGTCTCTTAAAAATTCTTTATTTTCAACTTACCTTTTTAACTATCATTATTTCATTTTGGTGATTCAAAAACATATCTGGCATTTCCTTAGGACAGATTGGATTTAATATTAAGACTGGTGTATTGCTCTTATGGAATTCACAAATTTTCTTATGAAAATTTCACAATTTTCTACCTAACACACTTCTGCTTTATTTGTCTGTTTCACTTAGAATTAACTATCTGGTCACCGAAAAGTAAGTCAAAAAAGAAATGTTTAACCCTAAATGGCAAAAAAAAAAAAAAAAAAAAAAATTTACCAGGCCAAAGTCAACAGTTCAGCCGGATGTTGGGTAATTTTGATTAAGTCTCTTTAGCCAGTACTGTGTGTAATCATCAAGGCAGTTTACACAAAAATGTATTGCAGTTATGATTCTGATAACTATAAACGAACAATAATTGTTAGGACATCAAACATGATAAAAAGTGATATCAGATGCTTCATAACATCCCATTTGTCATTTTAATGGTAAAATAAAGAAAACAGGGAAGCCCCTCCTTTCATCTGAAGGAATATTTCTTTTTAACCAAATTCTAAGAGAAATGTTCACAAGAGTGGTTATATCAAGAGCATGTTTTTGTCTACTATGATTAAAATATTTTTCAAAGCGATAAGCTTCATACACCTCAATAATTTTTTCCATATTAATGTTTCATTATTTAAACCCTATCATTGTTTATTCTTTCCCAACGGTGGTATGAAATCAATTCATTTAGTGTATTTCACAAAATAGTGTAGGTTGGTCAAGAAATTGAGCAGGCAGCAGGCACCTTGGGTGTTTTCCTCAATTCAATTTTGGAAGCCCAAATAAATGTTCAAGCTACATTGTCTCTACTCACATTTTTTGGGAGGTGGGGAAGTGGGGGAATAGGTTCAGCCAATGCGTCTCAAAATACTCTGAAGACTTCTGATCTTTCAGATGAAAATATTTAAATAGGGTAGGAAAGTGCTTTAAAAAAATGGCTACCAAAAGAATAATGAGGAGGAAAAGGAAGATATGTTATAACGAATGTAACAAAAAGTAGGCTCAGGAGGGAGACTGCAATTTCAAATGTAAAGGTGCAGTGCAGTGCATCATGACTCTGTAACATGGAGGGGTAAAATAGTTATTTATATTATAGAAAGTAGACATAGAATGAATCAAATGGTGAGAGGTGTTTTTTGTTTCACTAAACCTCTTGATGAATGATTATGAAGTGAAAAGAATAGCACAGAGAAAGGACTGGGAAGTAAGGAAGAAATAAGGGAGCTCTGAATTACTTTGCAAATGAAAGTTGGACTTGGACTTTGGGGCTTGGGGCAAGTTTTAGAAAGCTTTAGACAAATATCAGCGAAGATTTCTTGCCAAAGCCATAGATAATTAGTTGATTCTTTTCTTGAGGCATTGAGTAAAAGATTTACAACTCCAACACATAGATACCAGTCAGAAAGGTTTTTCAACAGTCTCGTTTCTTTTTTAAAAAATTATTATTATACTTTAAGCTCTGAGATACATGTGCAGAACATGCAGGTTTGTTACATAGGTATACACGTGCCGTGGTGGTTTGCTGCACCCATCAACTTGTCATCCACATTAGGTATTTCTCCTAATGCTATCCCTCCCCTAGCTCCTCAGCTCCCAACAGGCCCTGGTGTGTGATGTTGCCCTCCCTGTGTCCATGTGTTCTCATTGTTCAACTCCCACTTACGAGTGAGAACATGCAGTGTTTGGTTTTCTGTTCCCGTGTTAGTTTGCTGAGAATGATGATTTCCAGCTTCATCCACGTCCCTGCAAAGGATATGAACTCATCCTTTTTTATGGCTGCATAGTATCCCATTGTGTATATGTGCCACATTTTCTTTATCCAGTCTATCATTGATGGGCATTTGGGTTGGTTCCAAGTCTTTGCTATTGTGAATAGTGCTGCAATAAACATACGTGTGCATGTGTCTTTATGGTAGAATGATTTATAATCCTTTGAGTGTATACCCAGTAATGGGATTGCTGGGTCAAATGGTATTTCTGATTCTAGATCCTTGAGGAATCACCACACTGTCTTCCATAATGGTTGAACTAATTTACACTTCTACCAACAGTGTAAAAGCGTTCCTATTTCTCCACATCCTTTCCAGCATCTGTTGTTTCCTGACTTTTTAATGATTGCCATTCTGATTGGCATGAGATGATATCTCATTGTGGTTTTCATTTGCATTTCTGTAATGACCATGGATGAGCTTTTTTTCATATGTTTGTTGACCGCATAAATGTCTTCTTCTGAGAAGTGTCTGTTCATATCCTTCACCCACTTTTTGATGGGGTTGTTTTCTTTCTTGTGAATTTGTTTAAGTTCCTTGTAGATTCTGGATTAAAGAATAATCAGATATTACCTGTAAAGCTGTCCCAGCAATCTGCTGGTAAGATTTCTTTTTTTGCTTACAAAACTCAGAACAGCGAAGACCCTTGCCCTCTGGATTGAGTTGACTAGGCAAAGGGAGGTTACTTTATAGTCAAAACTCCGCAAACATAACCTTCCCCAGTAGGGAGGTGACTCAGTACTTTCTTTTATAACCAGGATAATTGTGCAGAGTAACTTCCAATTATAACTTCTTATTTCTCATGTGGGCCACTGAGAGACTTGCCTCCTCTATTCTCTAAAAGAAATAATTCAAAATAGCAAGCCTGCATATTTCCCATATCCTAGAGGAAGATGTGAACATTTTCCAGGACACCTCATGTTATCATTTTCTCATCTGTTGGAACTTATGTACAAGATCTTTTGGAAATGGAATAGTCCAGGCCATGAGATCTCTGTTCTAAGAGTACTGATAGTACTTCAAGTCCACCTCTTTGCAGATGAAGGAAAGGTTGTCATGTGGCAAATCCCCACAGCCTACTTTTCCAAGAACTCACAAATAAGACATGAAAAAATGACAGGAAAAATGAGAATTTGGGTAGCTGTGACACACCGTAAGAAGAAGAGAAGCTGCCTGTCAAGAAAGCAGGAGGATGAAGACCCTGAGTAAAAGATGGTTATTGTGAAATACCTTAGCGGTCACGCCTAGGGGCTTTAAAAACAGGGACATCTAAAATGTAAACATTGTCCATTTGCAGTACTAGGAGGCAACATAACCTACTTCTGATGCTCCTAAGCCCTCGGTAAAATCATGAGGTACAGAAATACCTTTGCTAATATTGCTTTGGGGAAAATGCAAGAATAGGTTCAATGCACATAAAACGAAAGGTTAGGAAATGAGGTACACAGGAGAGATTTTAAAAATTCGGAAGAAAACAGGAAATCAGGATAAGGGTGACTAAAAGAAACTGGAGCCATCTAAAAATTCCCAGGTCATAGGTGAAAGGTGGGATCTCCACCCAAGTGTGCACATTGGTTAGTTGCTGATGAAGATGGCAGGATTTTTGTTTGTTGGCTTGAATTTCTTACTTGTGTGTTCATACCATAAAAGATATAGGGTATCTAGCCAGCTGATGCATGTAAAACATGTCTACCTCTTACTCTTTGATGATTACAGCAAGCCCACAATGACATAGATAGATGACCAAATTGGAGATAGTGAAAATGAATGTATTATGTGCCATAAAAGAATAAAGATGGATATCTTCTGTTACATTGTTTTGACTTTACTGGATATCACACAGGGTGTTTATTTTTTGGTTTGACCTTTTGTATTTGTGCCTGAGGTGATAGGTAGAAAAATAGCACATGGAAAGGAAAAATTAAACTAAACAAGAGTCAAATGTCTAGAAAGGAGATTTGTGTGTGTGCTAAGAATGAAGGATATAGGAAAATAAATCATGTCACTGATAAATTTAAGAGAATGGCCTCACAATTAAATAATGCTCTTACAATCTATCCATAATGACTGCTTTCTTTGCCTATGTCTACGGTTTGTTTTAAGAAAAGAGCTTAGTTCAGAGGCACACTAATGAGTCATGTGATCACCATCAGTGTCCAGCCCTCCCATCAGCCAGAATTCTGTGTATTCCTCAGAAAGCGGTTCAATCTTTCTTTTATCCACCTATACACGAATTCTAGACTCATCAACTAAGTCCACTTATTGAAAGTGGTTAAAAGCAGAGAATCAGGATCTGGTCTGCCATTACTTGAATCTAAACTCTGCTACCATCTAGCTCTGTGATGTTAGAGCAAGTTACATACCTATTTGTGCTTCAGTTGCTTCATCTTTAAATAGGGAAATGTAATGGTTTCTACTTTGTAAAGTTTTTGTAAGTATTCAATTAGTACAGATAAAGTACTTAAGAACAGTGTCTGGCACATAAGCACCATAAAAGTGTTAGTTACTACTATGATTTTCATCAGTAGCACTTATTAAGTAGCAAAATACTTGGAACATAGCAGCTACTCAGTAAAAGTGAGTTTCATCCATTATCCCCCAACACCTCCACCCTCCCTGGTTTTGGACAAATATGGAAATCCCTTTGCATTCTCTTTCATCTCCAAAATGTCTGGCATATTCCCCATCTCTGACGACCATGCCGATATAGATATATAGCTTGATGGACATCAGTGATAAATGAAATGTTTTGTAGGATTATTGATCTTAATGCTACTTAAAGCCTTAGAGATTTAAAGAGGAAGGAGCTTTATACATTGCTGACTCCAAATCTACTACCTTCTCTCTCTGGTCTTTAGATACCTCTATTTAGTTTAGTCCAATACTCATGTTATACCACACTTTATCCCTACATTTAACTTTCCAACTCCTAAAACAGAAGCTCTCATTCCTAGCTGCATAGTAGAATCGTGTGACACTTTAAAGATACTAAGCTCATAACTGCAATGGTTTTAAATGTGCTTGATCATTAAAATCACTAGAAGAGCTTTCAAACTGTATATTGTACCCATGACCAACAGAATTAATATATTTGGGGTGAGGCCCTAGTATTTTTTTTCAGAAGCACCTAACGTAATTCTGATATTCATCTTAGCGTAGACACCACTGCTCTATTGAACCACACGACGCTCAATGTGTCTTACCTCATCAAGTCATACCTCACACTTCAACTTGGATTTAGGAAAATGAGGAGCAAAAATCGTAAAGCACATGATTTTTTTTGATGTGGTATTTTTCTGATGTCTTAAATATAAAGAAGATACACTTTTCTTTTTTTTGAGACAGAGCCTTGCTCTGTCACGCAGGCTAAAGTGCAGTGGTGCAATCATAGGTCACCACAGCCTCAAACTCCTGGCCTCAAGTGATCCTCCCACCTCAGCCTCCCTAGTATCTACGACTACAGGTGTACACCACATGCCTGACTAATTTTTTATTTTTTGTTAAGATGAAGTCTTTCTATGTTACCCAGGCTGGTCTTGAATTCTTGGTCTCAAGTGATCTTCCTGCCTCTGCCTCTCAAAGTGCTTGAATTATGGATGTGAGACACCACTCCTGGCAAGAAGACATACTTAAATAGAGATATTACACTCTTGTAAAGGGTTTCCACTCCTCCTGGGGTAGCTTTTGGAGTAATTCTGACTTGTTGAGACCTCTACTCCTGGAATATCACAAATGCTCAATCTATCACTGACTATGAGAAACCCATTAAACAGCAAGTAGAACTCCCCTCACTGTGACAGGGTGTCTACCTATATACTGAGAGAAATGTAAGAGGCTGAGTGTGAAAACTGCAAATCAATATGTAGAAACCATGATAAATATGCAAACTGGTGATATAAAAACAAAGCACATATGGCAAGCATCAAGAGATGGACAGGTTCCTATACTAAACAAGACCTTTTTTCTTCATTCTCTTCCCCATCTCACATTTTTCTTCAAGGTTTATTTCTAGACATATCACATTCTGAAAGAAAATGAGCTACGCTGACAAAACTGGTACTCTGTGGTTGGCTGGTTGCCAGATAATATTCTCTTTCTATATACAAGATTTTACTTTTAATTAGCCTGGATAATTACTATTGAAATATATACCTATTTCTGTGTATTTGCTTCCTGGTATCTTTCAGACACTTGATGAGGATAGAGTGGTGAAAAAAATAATCATAATATGAACCATTTTTGACATTAAATCCTGTTGCACAGAGCCTCATAGCTACATGGCTATTTCTCTTAACTCGTTTGATATTCTATTTATAACACAAGCTCAAAAAGCCAGATGTGTTCACCCACTATCTTGTTTCAGATATACAGCACTTTCCTTACTGGAGCCTGAATAGAAAAATATCAAAACTGTCTCCCCTCCAGTTTCATTTGATCTACAGATGACAATTCATTAAGTAGCCCATCTGATTTGAAAAAGTCGAAGAGCTAAATAACACAGACAAGGATAAAAATATGAAGCTTTGGAAATCGTAGACTATTTAGCACCTGGAGTCCTAAACCTCATGTGAAGACTGCTCTAAGTCACTTCATTTTTGTGGCCTCAGAAACAGAGAGAAGAAAGTCTTCTATAAAAGTAAAAACACCCTGAAAAGAAAAACCTTGCTGACTAGGAGATATGTTTGTTTTCTCATAGCACGTTGTGCATACTGCTGCCACAGGATTTGTCACACTGTTTACCTGCCCACTTCCCCCATGATTCTGAGACCTTGTTAGGGGCAGAGACCATATTCTACCTGGGTCACTGACATTCATTACAAGCACTTGATAAATGAGCCCCTTTCAATTTATTTTTAGATAAAAACTATTCTTAACTTATAAAGAAGGAAAGTAGACTACCAAGATGGAATGCTGAAACACATGCTTTCTATAGCCTGACTTCTTGAATTCAAATCTTAGTTCTTTCACTTACTATCAGTCCATTTTGTGCTCCTACACCAAAATATGTGACAGTGTGTAATTTATGAATAACAGAAATATATTTGTCACAATTCTAAAGGCTGGGAAATCCAAGATCAAGGTGCTGGCATTTGGTCTGCTGAGGGCCTTTTTGCTGTGTCCTCCGATGGCAGAAAGCAGAACAGCAAGCTGGCTGAATTTTGCAGGAAGACTTTTTAGAAAAGGGCATAATCCCATTAACAAGGAAACCAGCTTTCTTGGCCTAATCATCTTATAAAGGCCCAACTGCTTAACACTATCACAGTTACAACACCTGAATTTTGGAAGGGACACACTCAAACTACAGCAGTTACTTTGGGCAAGATACTTAATATCTCTCAACCTCAGTTTGTTCATTCTAAAGATAAGCTTATAATAGTATTTACTTCATAAGGCTATAACAAGGATTAAATGAATCAACAGGCAAAGTGCTTAGAACAGGGCCTACCATACATCACATGCTATAGTGTTCACTACTTTTATATGCTGTTGTATATACGACCTCAATCTTACCACTTATCATCTGAGATAGACACTACTGTCCCCATTTACAGATATAAAAGCAAAGGCCTAACTAAGCTGTTAAGTGGCAGATATATTATTATTATTGAGAGAGAAAGAGAAAGAGAGAGAGAGAGAGAGAGAGAATGAGAGACAAGGTCTCACTCCATTGCCCAGGCTGGAGTACAGTGGTATGATCACGGCTCACTGCAGCCTTGACCTGCCCAGGCTCAGGTGATCCTCCCACCTCAGTCTCTCAAGTAGCTGGACTACATGCGTGTGCCACCATACTCAGATAATTTTTGTATTTTTTTGTAGAGACAGCGTTTTGCCATGTTGCCCAGCCTGGTCTCAAACTCCTGGGTTCAAGCAATCTGCCCACCTCAGCCTTCCAAAGTGCTAGGATTATAGTCAAGAGCCAGGGCACCTGGCAGATGTATTATTGAAACCATTTCTGACTATTTCCAAAGCTTTTGCTCTTTTCCCTTTTCCAGAATGTCTCTTCTTTGAGCATCCATTTACTTAAATTCCATTTATTAAGATTATGCTAGATGTATGGTATTGTTCATAGTCCTGCAAAAAAATTAAAAAGATGAACAAGACATGATGTCTATCTTCAAGGGAGATAAACTTAACACTAGAGGAATATGTAGACATAACCAATTTTAGTATAAGAAAAACATTGTAAGTAATATAATAGAATTTCAAAGTTCTATGAATGGAAGTTAGAAGAAAGATTATGGCTAAGAACAGGAGAGGCTTCATGAAATAACTAGTTTTCAACTGGTTTTTTAAAACTTATGGGTAGAAATGGCAGGCAACATCAGGACTGGGGAGTGAAAGGGAAGACACATCAGATGAAAATAATAGTGTGAGAAATATTAGAGAAGCACACTCAGACATATGCATACACCTCTACTCTTTGCTCAAGGAGAGTGAGAGTAGTTAGTTTGCTCTTATGAATATAACTAAGCTTGGAACAGTCGTGCATGGTCACTTTTGGGAGGGCTCTAAAAGTGATGCTAAGACATTAAAACCTTCTTTGTAAGTAATGGGGAGTTAGTCTAGGTTTCTGAAAAGCCTTAAGAGAAGGAGGATTTGGAAGTAGTCATATGGCCAGAGCTATATATTAGAATATGGAGGATAACTTAGTAGAGGGAAAATGAGGGAAAGCTAGGAAGTAGGGCCACAAAAAATAATTCAAGGAAAAAGCAATATCCAGAATAAGGAAAACAATGAGAAATATAAGAGAAAACAATGCTAAAAGAGACATAAAAAGCAGAAATTAGCAAATGACTAGAAGTAGAATGAAGAAGGTTAAACAGGATACCAATATTTGCAGGTATTTGCTAAATGCCTGAAAATATACTAGATTATCTTACTAAATTCTCACAACATGCTTCCAAGATAAGAGGAATCTGATATTGACAGAAAGGAATATAGAAGGCTGAGTTTGAATATTGACTCTGGCATTTACTGCATGAAAATAAAAGAATTATATAGTTTCCTGAGACTCAGTTTCCTTAGATAAAATATACAGATGACAATATCTGCCTCATAGTGGTGTTATGAAAATTAATTGAGATGTTTATAATTTTCTAGAAAAGACCTACCGTGTATTTTTTCCTCACTAAATGATAGCAATAATGATGAGAGAAAAATTTTACTGAACAAGAATTGGTAAATTAACCAATATTACATCTCTGGTAAGAATCAAAGGCAAAATTGAACCTTATTTTCTTATAATTCCAAAGTCTATCTTTATTCTAACATTCCATGTTTTACCTTTCAATGTGGGGAAACAACTGTAATGTCTTTGGAATAAAGAACTAGAATCAAAATAACGGATAGGAAAATGGGATTATAGGAGTCCTCCACTGAGTCCAAAATTAGTGTTGAATTAGAGGATAGTTTGATCTTTTGATTCTATCATGGCAGACAGGAGGAAAGACTAGATTGCAGCTCTGACTCAGATGAACAGAGCAGCATGTGGAGACTCACATCACGAATTTTAGCTCCAGAATTACTGACTGCAGGAATAAATCAGGAAACCTGAGAGGACCCACAGACCCTCTGAAGGAAGTAGATTGCTCCTGCAGGACCCGAGAGACACCCCAAATACTGTGCTGGCATCCACGGCTGAGAGACCCATAAATGGTTCACATCACAGGACTCTGTGCAGAAAACCCTCAGTACCAGCAAGCCTACTTGCTGGGTGGCTAGACCCAAAAGAGAGATAGCAATAGCGACAGCTCAGTTCTCAGGAAGCCACATCCATAGGAAAAGGGGAAGAGTACCACATCAAGGAAACACCCCAGCAAAGTAAACAGACAACCCACAGAGTGGGAGAAAATCTTCATAATCTCTGCATCTGACAAAGGACTAATATCCAGCATCTACAATAAACTCAAACAAATCAGCAAGAAAAAAAAATCCCGTAAAAAACTGGGCTGAGGACATGAATAGACAATTCTCAAAGGAAGATATACAAATGTCCAGAAACTTATGAAAAAATGCTCATCACTAATGATCAGGGAAATGCAAATAAAAACCACAATGCAATACTACCTTACTCCTGCAAGAATGGCCATAAGAAAAAAATAGTAGATGTTGGCACGGATGCAGTGAAAAGGGAACACTTCTACACAGCTGGTGGGAATGTAAACTAGTACAACCACTATGGAAAACAGTGTGGAGATTCCTTAAAGAACTAAAAGTAGAACTACCATTTGATCCAGCAATCCCACTACTTGGTTTCTACCCAGAGGAAAAGGAAAATACTGGCTCACACATGCTTATAGCAGCACAATTCGCAATTGCAAAAATGTGGAACCAACCCAAATGTCCATCAATCAACGAGTCTACAAAGAAACTGTGTTTTTTGGCTGCATAAATGTCTTCTTTTGAGAAGTGTCTGTTCATGTCCTTCACCCACTTTTTGATGGGGTTGTTTGTTTTTCTCTTGTAAATTTGTTTGAGTTCATTGTAGATTCTGGATATCAGCCCTTTGTCAGATGAGTAGGTGCGAAAATTTTCTCCCATTTTGTAGGTTGCCTGTTCACTCTGATGGTAGTTTCTTTTGCTGTGCAGAAGCTCTTTAGTTTAATTAGATCCCATTTGTCAATTTTGGCTTTTGTTGCCATTGCTTTTGGTGTTTTAGACATGAAGTCCTGGCCCATGCCTACGTCCTGAATGGTAATGCCTAGGTTTTCTTCTAGGGTTTTTATGGTTTTAAGTCTAACGTTTAAGTCTTTAATCCATCTTGAATTGATTTTTGTATAAGGTGTAAGGAAGGGATCCAGTTTCAGCTTTCTACATATGGCTAGCCAGTTTTCCTAGTACCATTTATTAAATGGGGAGTCCTTTCCCCATAGCTTGTTTTTCTCAGGTTTGTCAAAGATCAGATAGTTGTAGATATGTGGCGTTATTTCTGAGGGCTCTGTTCTGTTCCATTGATGTATATCTCTGTTTTGGCACCAGTACCATGCTGTTTTGGTTACTGTAGCCTTGTAGTATAGTTTGAAGTCAGGTAACGTGATGCCTCCAGCTTTGTTCTTTTGGCTTAGGATTGACTTGGCGATGTGGGCTCTTTTTTGGTTCCATATGAACTTTAAAGTAGTTTTTTCCAATTCTGTGAAGAAAGTCATTGGTAGCTTGATGGGGATGGCATTGAATCTATAAATTACCTTGGGCAGTGTGGCCGTTTTCACGATATTGATTCTTCCTACCCATGAGCATGGAATGTTCTTCCATTTCTTTGTATCCTCTTTTATTTCAATGAGCAGTGGTTTGCAGTTCTCCTTGAAGAGGTCCTTCACATCCCTTGTAAGTTGGATTCCTAGTTATTTTATTCTCTTTGAAGCAATTGTGAATGGGCGTTCACTCATGATTTGGCTCTCTGTTTGTCTGTTATTGGTGTATAAGAATGCTTGTGATTTTTGCACATTGATTTTGTATCCTGAGACTTTGCTGAAGTTGCTTATCAGCTTAAGGAGATTTTGGGCTGAGACGATGGGGTTTTCTAGATATACAATCATGTCATCTACAAACAGGGACAATTTGACTTCCTCTTTTCCTAATTGAATACCCTTTACTGGCCATCATAGAAATGCAAATCAAAACCACAATGAGATACCATCTCACACCAGTTAGAATGGCAATCATTAAAAAGTCAGGAAACAACAGGTGCTGGAAAGGATGTGGAGAAATAGGAACACTTTTACACTGTTGGTGGGACTGTAAACTAGTTGAACCATTGTGGAAGTCAGTGTGGTGATTCCTCAGGGATCTAGAACTAGAAATACCATTTGACCCAGCCATCCCATTACTGGGTATATACCCAAAGGACTTTAAATCATGCTGCTGTAAAGACACATGCACACGTATGTTTATTGTGGCACTATTCACAATAGCAAAGACTTGGAACCAACCCAAATGTCCAACAATGATAGACTGGATTAAGAAAATGTGGCACATATACACCATGGAATACTATGCAGCCATAAAAAATGATGAGTTCATGTCCTTTGTAGGGACATGGATGAAATTGGAAATCATCATTCTCAGTAAACTATTGCAAGAAAAACCCAAACACCGCATATTCTCACTCATAGGTGGGAATTGAACAATGAGAACACATGGACACAGGAAGGGGAACATCACACTCTGGGGACTGTTGTGGGGTGGGGGGAGGGGGGAGGGATAGCATTGGGAGATATACCTAATGCTAAATGACGAGTTAATGGGTGCAGCACACCAGCATGGCACATGTATACATATGTAACTAACCTGCACATTGTGTATAATAATAATAAAAAAAAGAAACTGTGGTATATATATATACACACAATCATTATTGCAATTATCATTTTGACCCTATCTATTCTAAATGTTGTCACTACTTCTGTTTTTAAAGCACACACATATATATATCTAGATATATATATATAGAGAGATATACATAGATAGATATATAGAGAGATATATATATGTATGTATAGACACACACACATATATATATGATGGAATACTACTCAGCCATAAAAAGGAATGAATTAATGACATTCACAGGGGCCTGGATGAGATTGAAGACTATTATGCTAAGTGAAGTAACTCATGAATGGAAAAACAAACATCTTATGTTCTCACTGATATGTGGGAACTAAGCTGTGAGGACTCAAAGGTGTAAGAATGATACAATAGACTTTGGGGACTTGGGGGGATGGGTAGGAGGGGGCGAGAGACAAAAAAGACTACAAATATGGTGCAGTGTATACTGCTTTGATGATGGGTGCACCAAAGTCTCACAAATCACCACTAAAGAACTTACTCATGCAACCAAATACCACCTGTACCCCCAATAACCTATGGAAAAAAAGAATTAGAGGGTAGTTTGTTCTAAATCTCAGCCTAAACACTATTTACTAAATAGACTCTTTATAAATTATAAAATATTCCATATGTAAACATTATAATTCAAATACTATATTTGAAAATTAGGATTCACTGCTTAATATATAACTTGCCAATGAAAGTTTCATGAAACCTAGAGCCCTTTGGGGAAATCTTTTTAATTGGCAATATCCATTTATTAGAGATGGACTGGTTTTTCAACCCCATTAGCTGAATGAGGTTATGTGGAAATACTTGACAACATTTTTAACTTTTTATCCCAAGACATTATCAAAGTGTTATCAAAATATTAAATCTGGTACTCACTGTGTGTGGCAAGACTTGGGAAAGGAACAACTGTCCCTTACTGGATAAAATGGCATCTAAAATTTTCTTTATTATAGATATGCAATATTCAATCAGATTAATTTTTAATTTTGTAATTTATTAAACAGCAAATCTTAAAAATTGATTTTCTTGTTCACAATAGTGAACATGTAAAAATGTCAGAATCATTGATCAAACAGCCATAATTACAGACGAGTATAACTTCTCCTTTAAGTCTAAATAATTTCAGGTTGAGTAATTAATGTTTGGATAATAGAAAACCCCCTAACCACTCAGACACCAGAAAGTAAGGGCAACCATAGTTTTAGAAAATTTTGATTAAAAGGCATAATTTTTCTGCTTCACCTTATTTGGCCTCATTTCCATCGCAATGCTCAAAAATACAAAACGAAGCAAAAGTATAGCTGCTTGGAGTCGCAAATTAGGCTTTTTCTCAACAGCGTACCAAAGATTGCTATGTAGCAGAAAGGGTTCTACAAGCAACTTACCATATGTTCTGCATTGTCACAGCTGAGCTTTCTTCCTCCATATACGCACTAGGAATGAGGAAGATGTGTGTATATCTTCAAGTGGAAAATTGTTACTTCTTATCAGATAAAGCAAAACACCAAATAAGAATAAGAACAAAAAATATTCCTCTCCCACAAACATATCATCCAATTGATAAATCTGCCATCAGTGGATGAGAAAGTACAACAAATGAAGAAGAACCACCCAGGGGGGTGGTTTAATTAAGAATAATTAAAGCATATGTATATCAAAACATCATGTTGTACATCATAAATACATACAATTTTAATCTGTCAATTTCAAAATAAAATTTTTTAAAAAGGAATTAAGACCTTTTCTTCATACAGAGATGGTGTTAATGATGTTCTATCAGAAGTGCTAGTCACACAAGGATTCTATGTCAATGCAGTCCTACTCTCTAGTCTCTGGTTCCCACTGAGATCCACAGTACATATTTATAGGACGACAGGCCTGAGTCACAACCAGAGTCTCCAATTTCAGAAAAATAAAAGAAAAAAAAATGCCACAGCCAACATCAGTAACTAGCTAGTTGGATATGGAGCATGGGAGGAAGCATCTTCTATTAGGAGAGAGAGAAACCAATGCTGAGATCAAGAGTAGCCATAGAAAGGAAAACCAATCATTGAAGGCGATTTCTTAAAGTTCAAGCCAAAATAGAAAATGTTTTTGAAAGAAATATGTTCCCATTTTTAAATCTGTAAAATTATCTCCCATTTGTAAGTTAGGTATTTTGGTAATGAAGCACCATACCTATTCCCAAACAAGATACATAATTTATTTTCATTCTGACTACATTTTCCTGAAACCAAAGATTTCTGTACAGAATATAAATGAAAAAATTGGGTGGGGTAGTCTTTATGTAAAATATTGCTTAATTATTATTTACCCATAGCCTTCTGCTTCTCACATATTTCAACTATATAGTAGTACTCTTTGTTTCAGAACCAGGATTTTGTCAACAACACAAATGACCAGTCTCAAGAAGACCTGACACAGATGGTAGGATGCCCCCACCAGGGCAGACAGGACAGAGGAGAGGCTGTTAGGAAAGGCTAGTAACAAACTAAAGGAAGAATAGTGTGGGAATGGGGGGAAGCTGAGGCAGACAGGTGTCAAGTATTCCAGATGTCCAGAAGTAGGTGACAGGGAGATAGCCCTGCAGTTGAATAGAGTTTATTATCTGGTGACTCTGATGGCAGACAATAAGCAGAGATCAAATCAATCAGACAGACAGCTGGAGAACCAGGAACAAGCCCACAAGCAGAGCTGACTCAAGGCTGTCTATGAACTCTGGACCCAGATAGGCTAACATTTCCACCAATACAGCAAACTTTTCCAAAAGCTAAGGATGGGCATCAACATGATATCAGAATAAGGAGTTTCTAAATATCCAGATTGAAAAAATGTGTCATCAAGGAACCAGAAGAATATTGTATTTGAGAGAATGACACAATGAACTGTAGCTAGTCTGTCTTCACATGTAAAATTCCTATCAATCTGAAACTTCATCAAACCAGAAAAAGCAGTACCAAATACTACTTGGAAGCAAAAGCATCAAAATATCAGTGGTATTATTAAATAGCGAACATATTTCTTTTTCGATCAAGATTAATAATATATTAATTCAGGAGGTAGATTTAACATTTCTATAGTTTGAGAGTTAAGTTTGGTTGAGAAATAAGGGATTATTCTGTAATTTTCTCAGACAGTAGGCAAATTGTTTTAACAAGCTGAACAGTTGTGGGGAAGTGGAATATCAACAAAGATGCATGACCCAAATGACTTTTCCAGTCACCTTAAACTTAACTCATCAAATGTTTCTTGGAAAAGTCTTAATAGTTACACATAGTACAGACATGACTGTCTTATCCTGAGTTTTGCTAAAAGCAAAGTCTGAAACAAATGCTAATATGTGAGAAGTTATTTTGGGAATGTGATTTGAAAGAGCAGAAATGAGTGGCAGATAAATGGAAGGGAGGAAAGCCAATACAAAGATGAATTACTGAGTTGGGTCGTTTGGTCCTAAAGGGCCTTTTGAGGAGCTTTATGAAATATGTGTTCAAACCATCTGTGCAGGGTAAGAAACGAGAAGCATTTGTCTACAAGCTCCTCTTCCTGATTGGCCCAGACCCCCCAACATGTGGTTTGTACATGTTTCAGTACCAGGAAATTTCCAGCAGGTGTCCTATATAGCATCAAAGAAGCCCCAAACAGAAAGCAAGAGAGGTGCTTCTTGGTGAACTGTGTGAAGCTGGAGAAGTCTGCCTGATATTGGTTGCTACAATAACTGAAGTAAGAGGTAAGAGTGAGATTATGAGAAATGGTGCACATGAGGTGTCTAATACAATGTCTAAAGGATAGTCTCTAAGCAGAAAATAGTTTCAGGAAACTTAGATGCAGGTACATATTTGCTCAAATAAGAGAAAAAAAGGAAAAGTCTGTACTAGTTTATAAGTAGGATTTAACTGGAAGTGTAGGCCCGTATTTTTCCTTTAGGCTCACCAACCACTAATCTTCAACCAGCAGCAGCAAGACAGACTTACTAGAATCAGGCCTTCAACAGCCAGAGGAATGAGTGTAGGACTAATGAGTTTTTATTCAAACCAAGCGGCAGTGATATGTAGTGTATGACTTTGGCAGTCCTGGGAACTCTTAATATTGAAGGCATCACCCCACATCATTTGAAACAACAACAACAACAAAAAAATACACCTACTTACCACAATAAAATGTATCTATAATATTTTAAGAGTTGAGTGGAATTGCATTTGACTATACAGCGCTGTTATACTTTATATATTAATTTACATTTTCATTTTGATTCTACAGGATTTTAAATTTTTAAGCTTTTTTTCATATTTGCAAGTACATGTATAGGCTCTAGGACTGGTAACTTTTTTGTTTTACTATTAGCTTTGTTTTGTTTTTCTAAGTGACATATTTTGCAATCTGCAATAAGGTATTTTAATTTAATATGACGAAAGAGATTTAACAGATAAACAAGGACTCTGAGAAACTTACAAGTACTGTAATGGAGTTATTGGATAAAAAAAGGACTCTGAGAAATTTACTTGGTCAAGGCACAGTAAACAGATCAGATGCTAGGAGTGAATAAATTGCTTGGAAAGAATTAGTTAGCATTTAGAGTTGAGTATTTACTCATTCAACACACAATAAATATCCAGTCTGTGTTAATACTGTGCTTGAAATTAGTAATGTAGCAATGAATGCAAAAGACATGGTCTTTTTATGACACATTTTTCAATGTAGCCACGCAGATACCGAGAAAAATATAATCTATTACTTAATTACATCCAATATTCCTTGTTAAGATTACTGTATCTCCAGAGTTCTTACTCACCTGATGAAATAGCACTTACTAACTTCAACAAACAGTGGGATTAGCACTTGAAATGTAAAGAGCATGAAGCTTTCATACTTGTTATCAATATTGTGAAAAAGTATGTCCATTACATGCGTGATCAGTGAAGTGTATTACCAGACTAGGGTTTGATCCCAGTTCAGGAGCATTTACCTGGTATGACATTAGAAAGTTACCTAGCCATCTTGAATTTTCCTTTCTTCACCTGTAAAGTAGGTGTAATAATAATACCTATTCAGGTAATTTTTTGTAAGAACACCTAACATAATGTAAATGAAGGGCTTAGTGTATTGGCATAAGTACTCAGTGTGTAGTTGCTGCTGCTGTTGTTTCTCTTTCTACAGATGAAGATAATTCAGCAGGTTCCAAGAAAGGTGAAATACAAAAGATTGCTTAAAGGGCATTTGAAACTATCCAAATGAATGAAGCTTCTATAGAATTATCACAGAAACTCACAATTCTCTCCTTCTGGGATGCCATGACACTTCATGTAGAAGAGGAATGTTATTAATCTCAACCATTCAAAAGCCAAGCAGTGATAATACCACTTTGTCAATCTCTTTTAGGAAAATAAAGCAAAATACTTGCACAAAATTAGTTATTACAATGTTATTTAGAATATTGAAGGGGTTGCAAGCAGCCAAGATATCCAACAACAGGACATGTTTAGGCAAATTATGCCACATCTATTTGTTAGATAATCTAATTTGGTACTTTAAAAATTCTCAGTTGTAATGTGGAAGAATTTCTGAAATATCAAGGGGAAATAAATATGTAATATTGTGATTACCACTGTGTAAAAATACACAGGAAGAAAAACCTAAGAAGGGTCCACATCAAAATGATACCGGATGTGTTAGAGCGATGTTATAATATAAGTTTTTTCCTTGTTTTCTGCCATTCTCTAATGTCTCTGTTATTTCTGTACTTAAGACAATAAAATCAAAATTTACAAAAAAAGCACCTGCACATCTTCATCCTAACATTAAAGTTCAGCAGCCTACAAGAGGGCTGAAGAACCTTCTGAATATTTGAGAAACTAAAGAGGATGGTAATTATCTCTAACATCACTTTATCATGGTTATTGTGACTTCCCTGTGTGGATTATACTAATGCCAATAAGTAAACTGGGCTGGAAAAAATCAGGTTAACTATACAATGTAGAGATGTACTCAGTCTCCAGTAAGATTTCCATGCACACTGAGTCCTTATTAGCAGAAGTGCAACTGATTTTCCAGTACTCTGAAGATTAATTTGACTTCAGTTCACATTTTATTAATTATTAATTGACTGATAATATTCCTGCCAAATTTGTCTAATGAAATTCACCCTCAAAGAGAAGAGCAGAGATCTCTGAACTGGTCTCTTTCTACTCTGCTGGAAATTCATTTTTTCTCTGAGTTAAGTAGGGTGGCAAGAAGAGGATGAGGGAAGCAAATTCAGAGCAATTTGGAGCTGAAGGTGCCCAGCTGAGCAGATTTGAAAACCAAATGCATTTGTTAATTTCCAAAGTGATTTTAAGAGCAGGATCTTGGAAGGACTGCCAAATAAAATTAGTCCTTTAAAATGATAAAGCAAATTTTAAAATTACAATGGAGAGCTGTAAGTTCAAAGAGAACATTTTAATATCACACGTATCTTAACTTGAAGCTCAACAGTTCACCTATGGATGGCTTCTCCCATCATTTCTTATGGTTACAGGTTCAGATCAAGGGGTATATGTTTGTGTGCCAAGGAGTGGGGAGGAACATGGAAAGGGAGAGACAGGGAGAGAGAAACGGTAGAGAGAGAAGAAAAAGAAGAGAAGAAAGATTGAGATAATCCATAGTTAATATCATCCTAAAAAAGGAAGTTTTCATCTTTGTGTGTGTGTGCATATGAATCAATATGTAAACTTATAATGCTTTATCAAAAGATTAATTATAAATACCAGTAATTTGTAATAAACAATGCAGAAAACAGAAAGTAGTAATAATTAATTTCTAATTTTGATCAATGAAGGCAACTGGAAAATGCAAATATGAAATTGTTCTGTAGCTATAACATAATTAAGAATAGATTACTGCATATTTGCTGTCCTTTGCAGATATAAAATCCTTAAAAGTAAAAATAAGTTCTAAAGGGCAGTAGGGTACTACAGACAATATGAATTCTTAGTGCTCATGAAAAATTACCTATTCAGTTAGCCAAAAAATATGTATTAAGTTACTTTATGCCAAGCATGCTGTTGATGTCAAGAATTTCTGTCCTTACAGATATGGTTCCTACCCTCCTAGAGCTTTCAGTCTGGTGGGAGACAGATATTACATATACATTTAAAAGATCACTTCAAACTACAATGGGTGGGTGGAGAAACACACAGAAATATAAAATATATAACAGGTGGATTTTTCATCACCTGGTGCATCAGAGAAGGATTATCTGAGTCAGTTTGACTTGAGATATGAAGGACTAGCGGAAGTCAATGAGGCAAAGGAAGAAAAAAGAACATGGAGATGGTAGACGCAGAGATTCTGTGCCTAGATGGAACTGAGCTGTAAAAGATGCCTAATAAAAGTAGGTGACGTGAGAGTTGAGTTTGTGTTAAAATGAGCTGTTTTTAAAGAAAAAATAAAACATAGCTTATTTCTTCCCATCCTGATACAAGGAAAGGACGGCCAAGATTGTTCATCCAAAGGGGTAAGTAGTCATTTTATCTCCACCTCCTTTCCCCTTCCCAATTCCCCACTATTCCACCCCTCTTCTGATCCCCTACCCTCCAACATTCACCCAAGCAGGTCATTTATGTGGTATTAGACTGGCTTATTCCAGAAAAGGAGAGGAGGAGGGAAATTCTTGCCATGAAGAGGCAGATGCAGTCTGATCCAATCCACGAAGGCAGGCATACCCGAGACTAAGAGAAGGGATGAGGTTAGAGGTAGAGCTCAGGGGTGGGAAGGGGTGCACTGCGTAGTAGAATCCCAGGTCTCAATCGTTCAGAGTAGGATGCCTATGGAAGGTGGACTATATGAACCTTGAGCTGGAGAACCAATGTCAGAGTTCCTGTAGGTGTGACCAAGCATGAATGCTATAGGGTTGGGAGCAGACAGTGAGGGCTGCCCATGCAGCCCTGAGAATGGTCTTCACTACATCATGCCCAGCACTGCAGTAAAAGCTTTATTGGAATGATCTTAATTGATACTTACAAGTACCAGTAAATTAAGACTATTTTAAGAAATAAGTAATTTGCTTGATAACCCATAGCTTGTAAAGTCAGTATTTGAGCTCTGACAGTCTGACTCTGGCTTTCCTAACCTAACTCCACTGAGACTGAATTTCCCATACCCAAAGTTGCTGGGTCTTGTGGCAGAGTCAATTTGTTCATAGAAATAAAGGTGTTCTTATACTCAAGTGTTGTGGCAAAGAATCCACACCAGCTTCATTTGCAAAGCTTATTCTGTAGAATGAATAGGAAAGGGGCAACGATACTTGTTGGAAAATCAGAACAAAACTAAAAGTCCAGGAGAGATCAGTAGCTTGGTCTAAACTTAGTAAACCTAAGGAAATTAACTCTGCAGCCCAAGTGATATGGTGAGATTTTAGAAACATTAAGGAAGGAACATCATAAAATGTGGGTGATGGTTGGTTATAGGGTGTCAAGGAGAAGAAAGTGTCAGAGATGATATCCATCTTTCTGGCTTTCTCTACTCCAAATTTCCTTCTGTATTAAGATATATGCTTGGGACTTAAAGGAAGTGTCTGGGCAGGAGATACAAATTTGGAAGCCAACCATACAGTGATGGATTCTACTTCATGCTTTAAAGGTTCTTCCCAACTGTAAAAATGTAATAGAGCAATTTTTATTAAAATATCATTGCAAAAAACCTTCTGATGAAAGTAACAAAATAACAGATCATATAGCTCTAAACCTAATTTTCAGGCAAGAGTATGGAAATATCTTCTTTTATACTAGAAATATCTATGTATTTTTCAATGCCAAGATTGGAAATGGAACTGAATGACTCATCACCAAAGTGGGCCAATTGTCTGCAAACTGATGGGAAAATATCAGTATGGTCATGCACCCAGATATAGTCAGGATCAGAAATCATTTTAACTGTATGAGTCATATTATTTTCCTAAAAGCAAAAAAGACCTATCTTCTGATATGTCTCTTAAGATAGGATACTTCCTGTGGTTGACAGAATTAAATTATTTATCATAATATTAATGCTCTTCCAAAATAATTTATCCAGCAATCAATGCTGTCTACCAATATTAAGAACAGACTGTCACCTCCCTGATAGAATATCTGGAAACTCAGAAGATTCTCTGCCACATTACTTCTATTGCATGTTATCTCTCTTTCTTTCTCCTTCATTTTACCAATAAGTTTTTAGAAAGAAGTTTGTTACTCACTGCCTCTATATTTTGATTTTATACTCACATCAACTATTTTAAATGGAGTTCACCTAACCCAGACACCCAGCATGAAAACCAGCATGAGTTTTTAAAGGAGTTTTACATGAAAGTTTTTAAAGTTTTTAAAGGAGTTTTAAATGAAAAATCCAGCATAAGTTTTTAAAGGTGGAAGAGTTTTTGTGATAAGTAAATAAATAAATACAAGAGACTGACAAAAGGATCAAAGACATGTATAGTCATATGATAATCATCTGCCAACTTTCCAAATCAGAAATCAAGATAAAGGAGTAGTTCCACGAAATTCTTCCAGAACAAGTGACTATGTTTTGCATATCATAGCTAATTAGCAGATCCACTACTCACTCCTGGTACAAATTGTTCAGAGATACCTATTTTACTTGAATACTACAGAGGCAAACACATTATTCAAAACACTTTAAAAACACACATTATGGTGTACATTTGGGAATTGGAAGATATGTATTACTCATGACCCCATCTCTGCCCAAATACAGAGTGGCTATCACTAATCAATTCCTGCACCTTTTCCCTCAGATACTGGATATAGATTAAACATCCTGAGCACAGCACTGTAGGCAGCTGCCACTCACTGATCAGATATGGAATGTGTGAGTAAACTCGCTTGCCATCTCTGGAAATGTGGAAAACCACTGAGGATGTTTGCTCTAAACTACATACTGCCACTTAACAGTAGGATATTTTTTGACAAGTTACACAACCTTTCCGAGGTTTTTCCTGCTTCATAAGATTGTTGTGAGAAACAAATTAAATAATCTTTGTGAAAATGTTTTGTAAACAGTTTAAAGTGTGGTATAAAATTATTTCTTGTTATCACTTTCATCTAAAGCTATACAACAAAGAGGTATATAAGGCAGTCAAATTTAAATAACAAAAACCCTGAAGTGCTATTGTCACTCATTTCTGGGTGGTACTTACCTGTCTCTTTTTTTATATAAACGTACCAACAAACACACACAATGAAAACAGCTCATATTCTGTATTTTATTTAAGGTACCTGGGATACATTCTTTTTATTTGAAAATACATATTCTAAAATGTGGGTCCACCTGAGATGTCAGAGTTTCTGAGAGCCATCTGGGGGCTTGATGTGTTATGAACGTTCCTTTCACACTGTTTTGGGTTTTTTTCATATTTCCATTTATGTGATTGACCATGTGTGCACTTAAGTAAACAAATCTTTTTGCAAGTGTGTTTCTTGATTGGTGTATGCGAGCTCAAAAGGAAAAGGTACTGAGGAAATAGGCACCTTAGCTCAGGAAGGAATCAAGAAGAAAAATCTCTGCTTTGCAGAGATAAAGCCTATAATCAGAGTTATCCAGGCAAAGGCATTACCTATGGGAGGCTGCTCTACTTTGTACTCACGTAGTACTTTTCATCCAGAAAGCTCAAATCACATACTATTTATTAAGCCCCTTCATGTACACGAACCTCATTGATCCTCTTGGTAGGGTTGTAAAAGCACATTATGGACCCCACTATGTGGATATGAAAACTAAGGCACTTGGAAGTGAAGTTCCTCATCAAAATGCAAAAATGTAAACAAATGAAAAAAGTTAAGAATATAAGGATAATTATGGGTGTCATTGACTTTCTTGAGTGTGAGCCCTGATTTTTAGCTATTTATTTCCATTAAACTGCAAATACTTGCTGCAGCAGCCAAACATGCAACAGAGAATCTCCATGGGTAGGGGATACCTTTTATTAAAACAATCTGTCACCTAAAATACTCCTTCCCCTTCTTTTCATCCAAATGAGAGCACATAAAATGCCTAAAACTCTCACTCACGGAGAAAAGTCTTCCAGACCCTTCACAGAAATCCCAAGTTTACATTTATTTGTTTATATGAGCATGGAGGTAAAACAAGGACAAATGTCCACAAAACACACTTTAGTCAAATCGCAATTCACTCTTCTGGCATAATAAGCTTAAAAACCCAGTGGGTGCATTAAATCAAAACACAAACCAAGCAAGCACTGTCGTGGCTATATGTCAAACCTTTCCCACCTCAGAACTCTGCTTCTGTTGTTTCCCAAAACATTTCTGACACCTTCAATCAAATTGATATAGTTATTCTTCTTTCATAGCAAACAAGATCTATAACACTACATACTCCTATTCTTAAGCAAGAAGGAGACAAAAACATGTCTTCCTTCCTCTGGAAACTGTTAACAGAAGATAAATATAACCCCCCTCAATAATTCTTATCTTTCTTGGTCAAAGGCTAAAGGTCTCAGTGCTGCAAGCTGGATGATAATAAACTTTTGAGAAGAAAAGGGAATTCAAAATTAAGATTATTTCATCTCAACACTGTTGTCTTGAAGAGAAATTCATGTTTTCCCCCCATTTAGACTCCTATTGTGATCAATAACCTGAATGACAAATCCCTGAGCTAATTGTCTGTTCCTTGCACTTTAAAATCAGGGTGTACTAGAGTTTCTCATAAACATTTAATAAATCATTCTTTTTTTTTCTCTTTCTACATACATGATTTATAAAATAAACAACAAAAAAGCACATTTATAAAACAGACCACAAAGCCTGTTGATCCACACCAGGCAATTTTTCTTGTGATACCATTTCCAATTCTCCTGAAATGCTTTTTGACAAGATTTATAAAGTTTTCATAAATAATATATATGCAAAATAAAATTAAATATCAACAACAACAAAAACCCTGAAGTGCTATTGTCACTCATTTCTGGGTGGTACTTATCTGTCTCTTTTTTTGTATAAACATACCAACAAACACACAATGAAAACAGCTCATATCCCAGAGAGCAGCCTCCACCAAATGAAAAATAACACTACAATCACACACACACACACACACACACACACACACACACCCCTGGAAAAAAAATACAAGTTAAAAAAATATATAAAGTACATCTTTGGAACAAAATCTACTTATGTGAAAATGCTTTTCAAATTAAGTTAATGTATTTTAACAATAAGATGGGATATTTGGCTTTAAGAATGTTGCTTCCAGAAATTAATAAAAGCCAGAAAGTTGATTTTGGATTAGAAGATTCACCTGAATGGGCAAATGAAACTGTAGCAAACAGCTTTTTCCACTCAAATTTCAGATCTTAATTTTATAGAGACAGCTGAAAGAAAGGCAAAAGTGGAAGGAAAAAAACTAAACTCAATCTATTTCTAGCAATTCCTATGAGTTGCTTTATTTCTTCACCTGGATTTATCCACTCTTACTTGTTTCTACCTAGTTATGACTCAGCACCCTGTACTCTCCATACCTTAGCACCAAGAGAGTTAAAAGTTTAGTTCTTTAAATATCAAAACTAGAAATTATGTGCTTTAGCATGAATATGTTTTTGTACACTTGCACAGCCTTCTGTTTGGGAGACAGGTACATAGGTCAAGATTGGAGATCATAGGTTACTATCCATCTGGAAGTAGCAGGACTACTTAGAAATACACAAGTAAAGCCACCCACGGTCAAATGAAAGTTATGTGATGGGTAAACCAAGGTCTCCTTAACCCTCTAGGATTATAAGGATAAAGCTTGCACATATATAAATGTTAAACCATTTCCCCACTTCAGAAAAAAAAATGGAAATCACATGGCTTGACTTTCTTTAAAAAGAGAAAAAAAGTGAAGATATGTCAAGTCCTGTAGTCCAATTTCAGGGTATCAAGTCAATCTGTCTGAAAAGGAAGTATTCAGGAGACAGTGATCTCTTTGTGAATTACTAAAAACTTTTATTCTTTACACTGTCTCCATTTACCTTTTAATGCTTAATGCTTATTACCCAGCCTATACAAAGGGTAAAATCCTATTTTCTCTATTGTTACAAGTTTTTAAATACAATATTACATTAGTGAAGATAATGGAATGAAGACACAAAAATTAAACTTTAGAGTTGTACAGGAATTTATTTACTTGGTGTATGTATAATTTGCTGGTACATGTTTTCTTTAAAATTGTTTCGTTTTTCTACTAAATACCTATGCATCCATTATCAGACTTTCAACACCTGAATTCACGCTCACTCTCAGCTGTGGAACTTGCTTTCTATTTTGTTGAAGGAATTATGGCAATTTAAAAAGACCTTCCACAAGGTTTCACCACTGGATTTCAAACATACACATACTTGGACCTTTACCTGTTTTTCTTTACTTCCTGTTCTTACATGAACTTTCTACACATAACTTCTCTTTTGATGCACTAGATACCACTCCCTCTCTGTTATTCAAAAATATCGTACCAGCAATGGTTTCTCTCCCGATCATGTATTAACCCTCTCCAGTAGAGAATTCCAATTAACACATACACCAAAAAAAAAAAAAAAAAAAAAAAAACAACCCTCTGTTCTATCTCTGTTAGTCAGGATTCTCCAGAGAAACAGAACCAAAGCTGGGGGGGAGAGAGAGAGAGAGAGAGACATAGACAGACAGAAGAATTAGCTCACACAATTATGGAGGCTGAGAAGTCCCATCTTCAGTCAGCAAGCTGGAGACCTAGGAGAACTGATGACTGGTGATATAGTTCAGTCTGAGACTGAAGGCCTGAGAAGCAGAACAAATGGGCATGCTCTGGCTCAAGTCCTAAGGCAGAAAAAGACCATGTTCCAGCTCAAAGATAGTCAGTCAGGCAGAGAGAAAACAAATTTTCTATTACTTAGCCTTTTTGTTCTATTTAGGCCTTCAACAGATTGAGTGAGGCCCACACACACCAGGGAGGGCAATCTGCTTTTCTCAGTCCACCAATTCCAATGTTAATTTCATCCAGAAAAACCCTCACAGACACACCCAGTATAATGTTGAAACAAGTATCTGGGCACCCCATGGCTCAGTCAGGTGGACACATAAAATTAACTATCATGGTGTCCCATCTGAAATAAAATAAAATAAAGTCACCTGTGACCTCCGCATCCCCTGCAGCTACTTTTACATTTCACTCTATCTTTTTTGCAAAATTTCTGTAAAGATTTGTGGATCTCTTTTATGTCCAATCTTTCTCCTCCTATTCTTCTCTAAAGCCCATCCATTCAGCAGGCCAATATAAAATGCCAAACTCCCTCAAACCCCTTACTCTGTTTAATTTACCTTCATAGAAATTATCCCTATCTGACATATTTACCAGTTTTTTGCCACCATGCTAGAATTTAATACACATGATGAATGCTCAATGTTTTCAATGAATAAATGAATAAATATTAAAAGCATATAGAGGTGCTCATGCATATATTACAGCACATAGTTAATTTATAGCACATGGTAGGTGCTCAATGTTTTAAATGAATGAAAATACAAACTCTTGAACAAGCACTCATTTTTTACCTGTATGTTTACTCCTAAAATAAGCCAAAGAAGACTAGGGTGCTGCTACAGGTTCAAAAATGACAGGTGTGAGACATCTCTGATTGATAGTGCTTGAAGCAGTAAAAGGTTTAAAGCTATTCCAATTCACCAAGAAATTCAAGGGATCATTAGAATCTGGAGAAAGCAACATTTTTTTCCTCTCTGAAACTCAGGCATGGGAAAAAAAAACATACTAAAGTTGAAACAGAAGATGTGTGGAAATTGTTTTAAACTTTATCTCCCTCTAAATTCTCCAACAATCTAACTGTTCACAATGTAATCAACCGATGATGTCTCACATCAAACATTGTAGAGAATATAGATGCAAACAGAGAATCTACCTCACCTTCCCATTGCTACATTCACAACCTGTCCACCTGTTTCCCGTCTGTCTGTTCCTAAGAACAACATGCACACGCGAGCTTTGGATTTCATTTTCTCTTGCCTTCTTAAGAACTTTATTCCTTGTCTTCTCTGCATCATCAATTCAGTACTCTCTTTTCAATTATTTGCATCAACATACCAGCATTTTCTTATAACTCATCTTAAACAACATATCAAAGAAAACAAAACAATGACAATGCAACAACAGTGACAATGAAAAATTTTTCATTGTGTCAATATATCACAATTTATTTCTTCATTTTGGTGTCAATGAACATTTTGGGCCATTTCTAGATTTTGTTTCTTTTTAATTTTTTTTTTATTTTTTTAAATCTGCCTGGTAAAATTTGGATTTCCCCTCCAAATCTCATGTTGAGATGTGGTCCCCAATGCTGGACATGGGGCTTTGTGGGAGATATTTGGATTATGGGGGCAGATCCCTCATGGCTTGGTAATGTTGTGACAATTGTGAGTTATCATAAGATCTGGTTGTTTAAGGGTACACGGCACCTTCCCCACCCACTTTCTCTCTCTCTCTCTCTCTCTCTGGCACCCACCGTCACTATGTAATATATGAGGACCACTTTGTCTTCTGCCATGATTGTAAGCTTCTTCCTGAGGCCTCACCAGAAGCCAAGCAGATGCTGGTGCCATGCTTCGGTGAGCCAATGACACCTCTCTTCTTATAATTTATCCAGCCTTATGTGTTTCTTTATAGCATGCAAGAATGGCTTCATACAGAAAATTGGTATGGAAGAGTAGGGCATTGCTATAAAAATACCTGAAAATGTGGAAGCAACTTTGGAACAGAGTAACAGGGAGATGGTTTGAACTATTCAGAGGGCTTAGTGGAAGATAGAAAAATGAGGAAAAGTTTGAAGTTTTTTAGAGACTAGTTAAGTGGTTGTTATCAAAGTGCTGATAGTGATATGGACAGTGAAGTCCAGGATGATGAAGTCTCAGACGGAAATGAGGAACTTACTGAGAACTGAAGCAAACGTTATGCATGTTATGCCTTAGCAAAGAGCTTGGCTGCATTCTATCTGTGCCCTAGGTATCTTTGGAAAATTGAACTTAAGAGTAATGACTTGGGGTACCTGGTGGAACAAATTTCTAAGCAGCAAAGCATCCAAGAGGTGGCCAATTGCTTCTAACAACATAAGCTCAAATGTGGGAGCAATGAGATGACTTGAATTTGGAAGTTACATTTAAAGAAGAAGCAGAGCATAAAAGTTTAATAAATCTGCTGCCTAGCCATGTGGCAGAGAAAGAAACATCATTTTCAGGAGAGGAATACAAGCAGGCTGTGGAGAAACCACTTGCTAGAGAGATGTGCATGACTAAAAAAAGAGCTAGGTGCTGATCACCAAGATAATGGGAAAAAGATCTCAAAGACATTTCAAAGATTTCTGAGGCAGCCCCTTCCATCACAAGCCCAGAGGCCTAGGGAGAAAAATGGTTTCATGGGCCAGGCCTGAGTACTAAAGCCCTGTGCCACCTTGGGCGGTTACTCCCGATATCCCCACTGCTCCAGCTCCAGCTGTGGCTCAAAGGGCCCTGTTCAGACCACTGCTCCAGAGGGTGCAAGTCATAAGCCTGGGCAGTTTATATGTGGTGTTAAGACTATGCATGCACAAAATGTAAGAGTGAAGGAGGCTTGGCAACCTCCGCCTAGATTTCAGAGAATGTATGAGAAAGCCTGGGTACTCAGACAAAAGCCTGCGGCAGTGGTGGAGCCATCACAGAGAACCTCTACTAGGGCATTACTAATGGGAAATATGGGGTTGGATACCCCACTCTCCTCCAGACTCCCAAAATGGTAGATCTAATGGCAGCTTGCACCATGCACCTGGAAAACCCACAGGCACTCAATTCCAACCCATGATAAGAGTAGCCATAGGAGATAAATCCTGCAAAGCAACAGGGACAGAACTGCTCGAGGCTTTGGGAGCCCACCCCTTGCACTGGATTCAAGACAGGTGAATGTGTGTCCTGAATTCAGTGTGCCCTGGATTTAGAACAGAAATTCAAAGGATATTATTTTGGAGTTTTAAGATTTGATGACTTCCTTGCAGGGTTTCAGACTTGCATGGGGCCTATAGCCCCTTTCTTTTGTCCAATTTCTCCCTTTTGGAATGGGAATGTTTATCCAATGCCTGTACCCACATTGTATCTTGGGAGTAAATAACTTGTTTTGATTTTACAGGCTCATAGGTGGAAATGACTCATCTCCAGATGAGACTTTGTACTTGGACTTGGTCTTTGGGACTCTTGAGTTCATGTTGGAATGAGTTAAGACTTTGGAGGACTATTGGGAAGGCATGGTTGTACTTTGCAATGTGAGAAGGACATGAGATGTGGCTGGAGTGAAATGATATAGTTTGGTTGTCCCCTCCAAATCCCATGTTGAGATGGGGTCTCCAGTGTTGGAGGTGAGGCCTGGTGGAAAGTGTTCAGATCATGGGGGTAGATCCCTCATGTCTTGGTGCTGTCCTTATGATGGTGAGCTCTGGTGAGATCTGGTTGTTTTAGGGTGTGTGGCACACCCTCACTCCCTCTTTCTCTTGCTCCTGCTCTAGCCATGTGATATGTCGGCTGCCCCTTTGTCTTCTGCCATGATTGTAAGCTTCCTGAGGCCTCACCACAAGCCAAGCAGATGTTGGTGCCATGCTTTCTGTAGAGCCTGCAAAACCATTAGCCAATTAAACCTCTTTTCTTAAAAATTGCCCAGTCTCAGGTATTTTTTCACAGCCATGCAAGAATGACCTAACACACTGCTATAAACATGTTATACATGTCTTCTGGTAAACGTGCACAAGAGTTTTTCTAGATCAATTACTTAGCAGTGATATTCCTGAGGCCTTCCTTGTAAACATCTTCCATTTTACAAGATAATACTAAAATATTTTCCTAAGTAATTATGCCAACTTGCCTTCCATAAGCAATGTGAATTGTTTCGTATTCTCACCAAGTTTATGATTGTCTGATATTCTAACCTTTGCCAATCTGCTGAGTATCAAAGGATTACTTATTATTTTAACTGACATTTTTATAATCATTGAGTATCTTTTAATAAGTTGATAAACAACTTACATTTATTTGTGAAATACACCTGATCATGTCTTTGGCTCTATTTTTCTGGATAATTCTTTGTCTTTTACTATTTTTTTTTTTTTTTGAGATGGAGTTTCACTCTTGTTGCCCAGGCTGGAGTCTAATGGTGCAATCTCAGCTCACCGCAACCTCCGCCTCCTGGGTTCAAGTGATTCTCCTGCCTCAGCCTCCTGAGTAGCTGGGATTACAGGCATGTGCTACCACGCCCAGCTAAATTTGTATTTTTAGTAAAGATGGGGTTTATCCATGTTGGTCAGACTGGTCTCAAACTCCCAACCTCAGGTGATCTGCCTGCCTTGGCCTCCCAAGGTGCTGGGATTATAGGCATGAGCCACCGTGCCTGGCTGTCTTTCACTTATTAATCCTTTTAAGAGTTCTATATTTATTCTAGATACTAGTCATTTGTTGTTTATATGTGTTATTATACTTCCAGTTTGTGATTTGTCTCTTTTTTCCTATGATAACTCTTGATGAAGAGAGTTTAATTGAATGTACTCAAGGTAATTAATATTTTGCTTTATGGACTGTACATTTGTATCATGTTTAAGAGACTTGGTAAATTGTGCCGGCTAAGAGCATAGTTTCTACTGTCAGACTGCTTAGGTTGGGTCCCAGCTCTGCCTCTCACCAACTGTACAACCTTGGGGACTTAGCACTGTATGCTTCGGTTGCCTCATCTGTACAGTAGGAATAACTTGATGTATCAGGGTTTTGTAAAAATTAAATGTACTCAGATATTTAGCCTATCTAAATATCTAAATATATTTAGTACTGTACTGAATATTTTAAATACATAATAATTATTGGCTATATTTACTTAATAAATTGCATTATTTTAAATTGAATGTATATGCAGCCAAAGCAGGTGCTTTTACAACATTTGATACATTAATCTCTTATTTATTAACTTTAATGGAGGTGGAGCCTAGTGGGAGGTCATTAACTGGAATGACTTTTCTAGGCATGTACAACTCATCCTCACTTAGACTCTCTCACACCTCATTGACTGTCCCTTCTTAGTTATCTCACAGACTCTAGCTCCTGTGACGTGACTTCAAAATGTTAAATTGCATTAGAGCTGAATTCTAGTCCCTCTTTTTCCTTTATACTCCAGGGACTGTAAATTGGGGTCAGATTACCTAGGCTCAAATTTTGACTTTTTTATCGACTAAGTATGTAACTGAGCAAGTTATTTAACGTCTCTGTACCTCTAGTCCCCATCAGTAAAATCAAAATAACATTTTCTATCTTCTGCGGTGGTTATAAGCCATACAAGAAAAATTTAAAATGCAGTATTAAATTTAAAAATGTTTAGTAATTCATGTATTAAAAATTTTAAAACCATATATATCACTTGGAACACCTGATCTTCTATAGGTGCTAAAAATAATATTTTTCCTAAAGGATTTCCACTAACCTATGACTTTGAAAGTAATCTAATTGAAGAATATACAGTCAGCCTTTCATATATATGGGTTCCACAGCCACAGATTTAGCCACCTACAGATAGAAAATATTTAGGAAGAAACATTACACAACAATAAAAAATACAGGTTTTAAAAAACAATACAGTAATAACTATTTACATCACCTTTACATTGCATTAGGTATTATAACTATATGTAATCTAAAGTATATGGAAGAATGTGCATAGGTTATATGCAAATACTCTGCCATTTTATAAAGTACCTTGAGCATTGGCAGATTGTGGTTTTTGCAGGAGGTCCTGGAACCAATTCCCTGTGGATACTGAGACATGGCTATACAATCGGTCCTGAAATCTCCCTAAGTGAATTAGTCAACTGTTTAGTTGGCTGCTTCATGCTTTGATGTGTAACAAGTATCTTATCCTTAGCATGACCAAAGCATAACTGTTGGCCCAATCCAAGTTTTTTTCTCCTCAGAGAAAATGGCACCACCACATATTCATTTTGCTCAAGCCAAAACTCATGTCACCCTTGACATATTTTCCTCCCACATCCAGCCTAACAAATTCTACCACAAAAAGTACATCAGGTTTAACCATTACTCCCTACCTTACTCCAATAAGAAACATCTTCTCTTATCTTGACCACCATTGCAAATGCTCAGCTGTTCTCTCTGATTCCATTCTTAACTCTGTTATGGGCTGTCCTTGATATGGATTGGTTCTGTGTCCCCACCCAAACCTCATCTCAAATTGTAATCTCCAATTGTCCTGGGAAGGTCCGGGTGGGAGGTGATTGGATCATGGGGGCAGTTTCCCTCATGCTGTTCTCAGGATAGTAAGTTCTCATGATATCTGACGGTTTAAAAGTGTTTGGCAGTTCCCTCTTCACTCCCTTTCTCTACTGCCACCATGAGAAGAGGTGCTTTGTTTCCCCTTTGCCTTCCACCATGATTGTAAGTTTCCTGAGGCCTCCCCAGCCATGCAGAACTGTGAGTCAATTAAATCTCTTTCCTTAATAAATTACCCAGTCTCTGGTAGTTATTTATGCCAGTGTGAAAATGGACTAATACATTATTATGAATTTATTATTCATAATAATAAATTAGGGCTATGCAATCCAATCCAATATAAATCCAATTACTAACTCCCAACTTGCTTAAAAGCATTATGTGGCTCTGCACAGCAGTCACAATAAAATTCAAACTCCCTCCCATTGAGTACAAGGCCTTAGGTGATCTAGTGCCACTTGTTTCCCTATGCTCTTTTTCTAACCTCAGTCTACCCTCATTCCACACCTTCAGTCCACGTGCCTTCTTTCTGGGTCTTAAACAGGTCAGCTTATCCTTTCCTCAGGGCATTTGCACTACTGGCTTGGAATGACTTAACCCCAGGTTTTTGCATGGCTTCCTCCTGGTCTTCAGGTCCCAACTTGAGAAGTCACCTCATCCTTGACCACTCCAGTTAAAATTGCCCCACCTCTAATCAACTATCTTTTCTTTTCTTTTTTATCAGTATTTCAAATTTTTATATCTGTTTCTGTATGACATCTGTCTCCTACTAGAAGTAAGCTTTTTGAGGTCAGTAACATAGTATAATTTTAATTATCCCTGGGACAGTGCCTGATAATCACATAGTCAGTTCCTAACAGTAATAATTGACTGACTGTAAAATACTGTTCTAAGGGCCTTGTATGCAGTGTTTTACTGAGGTAGAAGAAACACAATGTGCATATATTACCCTTGAGATGGGGATATATAATTTATACTTTATAGATAAAAAACCTAGACAAAAAGAGTGGCAAAAGTAGAATTCAAAACTATTTCCTGTTTGGCATTTTATCCCCTATTGCTTAGTACATCATTAGATGAATAAATATTTGCTTTCATTTGGAGAGATGTGTAGAAACATCAAAGGAAAACGTTCAAAAAATGCAAAAAAGAAAAAAAGTCTAAAGATAACCATTTTGGAGCCTCCCACACCATTAAATGAACTTCAGAAGGTCAGAATTGGGTATCAAAATTCACATCCTAATAGAATCTATAGAAAAAGTTGTTGCTACTTCCTGTGAAGTGCATCAGGATTCAATGGTTGTGAAAAATGCTGTAAAAATGTAAAGTTGTTCTTCACACCTTTGCTTAGCACTATTGTCTCTGTTTGTCAAATTGCAGCCTACACAAGACCACAAATCTTTACATAATTCAAGCTTAGAGGAAAATAAATCTGACTCGTCAGAGAAAAATAAGGGAGACTTTCAGGTAGAAAACCAAAATTCAGAGATCTCATCTGTTGTGTCCTGTGCATTCATATGGCAGAATTCCACAGGGTACTTGGTACTTATCGGCTGTAGGTCACTTACCTTTCCGGGACTCACTTCTATCAGGATCACAAGTAACCCAGGTAGCAGCTGCTATGCAGTAAAGTCCTGGAAAATAGGCCTCCAAAGTGCACACAGGGGCATTACTGCCCTGAAGGACAGAGATCTGGGTAGTTTCTTAAGGAATTAGTTTCATTTTTATACTGTGTTAAATGTTTTTAATAAAGTTTTATAAAAGACGAGTTAGTGGGTGCAGCACACCAGCATGGCACATGTATACGTATGTAACCTGCACAATGTGCACATGTACCCTAAAACTTAAAGTATAATAATAATAAATAAATTAAAAAAAATCTTATAAATTATAATATGTAAAAACCACTTTCTTTTTTTTCCTTTTTTTTTTTTTTTTTTTTGAGACGGAGTCTCTCTCTGTTGCCCAGGCTGGAGTGCAGTGGTGCGATCTCAGCTCACCACTACCTGTGCCTTCCCGGTTCAAGCAATTCTCCTGCCTCAGCCTCCCGAGTAGCTGGGACTACAGGTGTGCACCACCATGCCCAGCTAATTTTTTTGTATTTTTAGTGGAGATGGGGTTTCACCATGTCGGCCAGGCTGGTCTCGAACTCGACCTTGTGATCCACCCGCCTCGGCCTCCCAAAGTGCTGGGATTACAGGCGTCAGCCACTGCGCCTGGCCCAAAACCACTTTCTTAAACCCCTGGCTCTGATTATAAATCTAGAAGGCTACTAGACCTTCTAGGAAATGGAGCTGGGTGTATTGATTCTCTCACTGCTTTAAGTGACATTTGTTCCCAAGCTGTAGGGTAACTTAGCCCTTAGGTCTGTGGGTGCTAATGCCAGGAGTAGTGGGAGGCTGACTAGTGCAAGGGAAACAGGAGGCAAAATAGGGTAATGGAAAAAGTACATAGGTGTTGGCATCAGAGGGATCTCTATCCGAAGCGTACCCTTCATTGCACCATGGCTCTGCCCCATTCCCTCAGATCCGTTTGCTGTTTTGGTACACCTCTCCCCAGTGCTGATGTTTGCCTCCAACTTGCCCATACATATGACTCTTCTTCAGGCTGCCCTCAGGTCATTGGAGACCCTTGCCTCCAAGCACATAGCTTCCTGAGTATTTGGGAACTTACATTCTCCCTTCCCAATCCCTGAGACAACCTTTTGTTATCGAACAGATAGCTGTAATTTCTCATGCTTACTTTACCTTATGTAAAATGTAGATTTACCGAGTACCAAATGAATTCGTAATTGACTGTTCCTCTGTCCCCTCCTTTCACATGTCAGATGTGGATTAAGAGGGCACTAATCAAAGCTTCACAAGACTGTGACCACTTGCCTCATTGCCTATCCTTACCACCTCCACCCTTTCCCCGTCTTTCCTATCCTGCTCACTTTTTCCCCTTTAGAGCAGTCCTCAAAACCCTGCTCAGAACAAAGCACAGGTCACAGAACCCACTGTAACTTGTGTTTTTCTTCTTCCTGGGTGCATCCTCAACTTTGGCGAAATAAACCTCAAAACCAATGCTTACCCTTTCTAAGTCTTAGGTTCTTCTTCTATAAAATGGAGAGAAAAAAATCCCACTGACTTTGCCAAGTAGTGATAATTATGTTATGTTTGTCAAATCAGAGACAGCTTAGTATATTAGTTAAGAGCAAGAATGCTAGAGTCAGATGGCCTGGACTCCAAGCTCTACCTCTTAATAGTTGTATTAGTTGGGGCTCTCCAGAGAAACATAAGAGAGAAAGGAAGAGAACATGATTATAAGAAATTTGGCTGATAAAATTATGCAGGCTAAGTCCAAACCCAGGAGAGCCAATGGCATAAGTTGCAGTCCAAGTCTAAGTCCAAGAATCAGGAGAGCCAGTGATACAAGTTCCAGTCTAAGGCCAACTCTGAAACCAGCAGAACATCTATGTTCCAGCTCATTCAGGTAGAGAGAACAAATATATCCTTACTCAGCCTTTTATTCTATTCAGGCCTTTGCTGGATTAGATGAGGTCCATCTATGTTAGGGAGGGCAATTTTCTTTACTCAGTCCACCTATTAAAATATCGATCTCATCTACCAACATCCTTATAAACACTCAGAAATAATATCTCACCAAATATCTGGGCATCCCATGGCCCAGTCAAGTTGACACAAAACTGTGTAAACGTGGGGAATTAACCCAACCTCTGTGATTTTTATTAAAAAAACTGCAGACAGAAGGTAGTTCTGGAAACCAAACAAATTCAAACATATAAAATGCCCATAATAGCCCTTGGCACTGACAAAAAATGTTAGTAAAGTTGTATATCTGGCAGAGAATAGGAATTCAGAAAATATTAGGTCCCTTCCCCTTGGAAGTGGAAATGAACATGGTAAATACAAATTTTAAAACTACTCTCTTATAGACACTTTGAAGAGAATATAGCCAGAAATTTTGTTTTCTTTGAGTACAAAATGAGAACAGAGTTTTTAATCTTAAGATTGTACATAGTATTGAACTTAAGAGACACAGAATTTCAGGCAGTAAGCATAACTACATATTGAAATGGAATATTGACCAAGTTCTGAAATCTCCTATTTCTAGAAGTCTTTAAACTAAGAAATAACATTATGTGTCTGGAATAGCTTGAGTCTGATTTTGCCTAAAGGTAGGAAAGAGAAGCAAATTACAACCCTGCCTTCCTGCATGTTTCCTTCTGTTAATTTCATCTCTTCAGCTTCCTGAGAATCTGAGTAAAAATATTAAAATTCTATTTTTCTAACCATGCTATTTCTTCTTCCTGGAATTAATACTTGTTAAAACAAGTAAGAAAATGTCTTTTACCATTATTTTTTTTAATCAGAGGTTTACCCCTGCCTACCACTTATGAATACAGCAAACAACACTTTAGGTTGCTTCTCCACCACTCACTATCACAGACACCTCCTGCAGGTGCTGCATCCTCTGCAACAATGTCCTTCAGGAGTTATAGAATAGTTTGGGTTCTTGCCAACCACTCTCTGGGTATCTATCCTGAGATATCTGAAAATGTCCTTAACTAAACCATACTTTTCCTTGATGTGCATATACTGATAACAATTTAAATACTTTTAAATTTTGAAACTGTAGTATTGCAAGGATATTAAGAAACTGGGCTTTCAATTTAAAGGGGTTTCTACTAGCAAATATGGGACAATTTGAAAATCAAAGTGGTGTATAATGAGAAAAACAAGTTACAGCCCATGAAATAAAATGGAAAATCATGAGTTTATAATTGACTTATAATTGATCCTTTAAAATAACCTTAAGTATTAATATCGCCAGTTTACACATGGGACACTGGAATGGTTCTTCTCTATCTCCCCATCCAAATTTTATGTTGAATTGTAATCCTCAGTGTTGGGGGAGGGGCCTGGTGAGAGGTGATTGAATCATGGGGGTGGACTTCCCCCTTGCTGTTTTTGTGATAGAGTTCTAGTGAGATCTTGTTGTTTGAATATGTGCAGCATTTCACCTTTGCTCTCTTCCTCCTGCTTCTGCCATGGAGACGTGCTTGCTTCCCCTTCATCTTCCACCACGATTGTACCTTTCCTGGGCTTCCCTAGAAGCAGAAGCCTGTACAGCCACAGAACTATGAGCCAATGAAATCTCTTTTCTTTATAAATCACCCAGTCTCATCCATGCCTTTATAGCAGTGCAAGAAAGAACTAATGCAGACACCAAGCTCACAAAGTTGAAGTGATTTGTCCAACTCAGCTACCAACTAAGTCTTTTTTCTCTTCTATTTTTTATTTTTATTTTTATTTATTTATTTATTTTCAAACAGAGTCTTGTTCTGTCACCAGGCTAGAGTGCAATGGCACGATCTTGGCTCCCTGCAACCTCCGACTCCCAGGTTCATGCGATTATCCTGTCTCAGCCTCCCAAGTAGCTGGGACTACAGGTGCGTGCCACCACACCCAGCTAACTTTTTGTATTTTTAGTAGAGGCAGAGTTTCACCACGTTGGCCAGGATGTTCTCGGTCTCCTGATCTCGTGATCTGCCCACCTCAGCCTCCCAGAGTGCTGGGATTACAGACGTGAGCCACCACGCCCAGTCTTTTCTTCTATTTTTTAACCATTTCAAATTCACAGAAAAAAATATAAATGTAGTACAAAAAACTAATTTCTTTCTGAACTTTCTGAAAGTAAGTAGATATCCTATCACATTCAAATATTTTACAAGGACCCTTTCTAACATAACGACAATAAAACATCAAAATCCGTGGTTCTATTAAGTAAGAAAAAGAAGCACCTTGCATATAACAAAAACTCAGCTAATATTTTCAAATTTCACCTAAACAAAAAATAGATTAAATGTAAATATATTTATCCCAAAGCTTAGGTATTATGAGTAATTATCCTAGGAAAAATGATGAAACAGTATCCTGCAAAGACTTGTTCATTAATACAGAAACATATATAAATGTAAGTATTTGTAGTAAATTTACATATATTTTATTTGTGAACCCTCAACATTAATTTCTAATTTGACAAATATAAAAATAAGTAAAGATTATAATCATGAGATATGTTTCCATTTATTTTATAAACTATTATTAGCATATATGTACATATATTGATAGTTTAAACATAAATACTTATAAATTGGGACTATAATTTTGTATAAAATACATAAGTAGAAGGTAAGAATCTTAACTTTCCTGGACATTTAACAGACACTTCCATGTTTACAAATCAACTAATAGCTTACATTTTTGGGGTTAGCAATATGATTTGCATTTTATATGTTTTTAAAAAATAAATGCATGAAAATTATTTTGTAATAATGGGAAGATTTTAATCCATAGAAAAAGTAAATAAAACATCAAAAAATTATCACCCAATCACACAACTGTCAATTAAGCTTTTATAGTGTTTCAAAGAAATGGCTGCAAAATTTCACGCTGATGAAAATTCCTACTGTGCATGAGGAAAAGCAATTTTTCAGACACTTACAACTTCATTATACTTTAATATTTAAATTTGTAGTCAGTGAGTTTTTGTATCAAAGTGTCAGCTTCATTCATGCCAACAGTGTTAGATGCTGCTTTATTTCAAACATAACAAGATTCTTGGCTGATATTTAACACAATCCCTACAGTATCTATCTGATAACTTATTCCTTAGTAAAGCTAATGGATTTTGGAGTTTTGTTTGGAGTTATTTTTTGATAACTGAGGTTGTTTTCATTCTTAAATATCATACATTCTGAAACTCCACAAAATCCAAAGTACACATACACATAAAGTACAACACAGAGGGAGAGGACATAGGCAGAGAAAGAATTGTGCTGCCCAAGGGATGACAATAAATAGAAAATAACTTAGCACTAGGAAACAGAGATCCACCTATAGAACTATATTTTCTCAATAGATCCTCAGGATCTATCATATGTAGTGCTATATATAACACCTTGAAACATGTCAGAGAGGTAGGTAATAAAATAAAAGTAAGGAGGAATGTTCTATTTTTTTCAAATTTATAAGCCCAATTTAGTAGAAAAGATGAGCAAAAAGAAAAACACAAAAAATGTGAGAAAATTTGTAAGAAATAAGATTCTACAGAGAACTCAGAAATAAGACTGCACACTACAGCCATCTTATCTTTGACAAACCTGACAAAAACAAGCAATTGAGAAAGGATTGCTATTTAATAACTAGTCCTGAGAAAACTCGCTAGCCATATGCAGAAAACTGAAACTGGAACACTTCATTACACCTTACACAAAAATTAACTCAAAATGGATTAAAGACTTAAATGTAAAACCCACAACTATAAAAACCCTAGAAGAAAATCTAGGCAATACCATTCAGGACATAGGTGTGGGCAAAGATTTCATGACCAGAACATCAAAAGCAATTGCAACAAAAGCAAAAATTGACAAATGGGATCTAATTAAACTAAAGAGCTTTGCACAGCAAACTAAACTATCATCAGAATGAACAGGCAACCTACAGAATAGGAGAAAAATGTTTGCAGTCTATCCATTTGACAGAGATCTAATATCCAGAATCTACAAGGAACTTAAACAAATTTACGAGAAAAAAAATGGGCAAAGGACATGAACAGACACTTTTATGTGGCCAAAAAACACATGAAAAAAAGCTCAACATCACTAATCACTAGAGAAATGCAAATCAAAACCACAATGAGATAGCATCTCATGCCAGTCAGAATGGCTATTTTAAAAAATAGCTAAGTCAGGAAACAACAGATGCTAGCAAGGCTGTGGAGAAATAGGAACATTTTTACACTGTTGGTGGGAATATAAATTAGTTCAAACCATTGTAGAAGACACTATGAAAATTCCACAAAGACCTAGAACCAAAAACACCATTTAACCCAGCAATCCCATTACAGGGTATATACCCAAAGGAGTATAAATCATTCTATTATAAAGATACATGCACGCATATGTTCATTGAACCACTATTTAGGATAGCAAAGACATGGAATCAACTCAAAAGCCGATCAATGATAAACTGGATAAAGAAAATGTGTACATATACACCATGGAGTACTAAGCAGCCATAAAAAAATGACATCATACCCTTTGTAGGGACATGAATGCAGCTGGAAGCTATTAACCTCAGCAAACTAATGCAGGAACAGAAAACCCAACACCGCATGTTCTCACATATAAGCGGAAGCTGAACAATGAGAACACATGGACACAGGGAGGGGAATAACACACACTGGGACCTGTTGGGGAAAGCGGGGAGGGAGAACATCAGGATGAATAGCTAATACACGTGGGGCTTAACACTTAGGTGATGGGTTGATAGGTGCAGCAAACCACCATGGCACACATTTACCTATGTAACAAATCTGCACATCCTGCACATGTATCCCAGGACTTTAAATTAAATTTTTTAAAAAAGAAGATTCTATCTCAGAATTTTATATTACATTTATAATATATTATAAACTGTAGATTATAAATATAATGTAAAATTGCTAGTTAGCCACATTAAAATAGTGATTTTAAATATAATATAAAATCATGTATTATAAATTATAATATTAAAGATAATTCTGTAATATCTATTTATGTGTATTTTAATTTCCTATATTAATTCCGACAATTATTATTTTGGGGGCAGAAGAGTGTAAAGCACTTCTGTCCAATGGCAATATAATCTGAGCTGCATTTGTAACTTTTTTCTAGTAGAAAGATAAATGTTTTGATTAGCTTCAATTTTTTAGATAGACCAAAAGCTGATATAATTAATGTATACAACTTGGTAAGTTTGAAAATGAGTATACACCCATGAAATCATCACTGTAATTTATGTCATAAATCCATGGATCACCTCCAAAACTTTCTCCTGCCTTCTTATTTATGATGATGACGATGATGATGATGATGTTGATGATGATGATGATGATGACACTGAATATGAGATCTACTCTCTTAGGAAAGGTTTAACTGTACAATACAGTATAATTAACCATAGGCACTACGTTGTACAGTAGATCTCTAGGATTTATCTCGTATGACAGAAACTTTGTATCCTTTACCTAATACCTACCTACTTCTTTCAGTCCCCAGCTCTTGGCAACCACTAGTTCACTCTCCACTTCTATGAGTTTGGCTGTTTTACATTCATCATATAAGTGTATAACACAATATTTGTCATTCTGTGTCAGGCTTATTTCACTTAACACAATATGATTTCATGATCATTATATAATAACATAATATGAACCTCCAGGTTCATCAATATTGTCACAAATGCAGGATATCATTCTTTTTAAGGCCGAATAATAGTCCATTGAGTTTATGTACATTTTCTTTTTCCACCCATTGACTAATGGACATTTAGATTACTTCCATATCTTGTCTATTGTGAATAATGTTGCCATGAACATGGGAGTGCACATATCTCATCAAGGTCCTGATTTTAATTTCTTTAGATATATATCCAGAAGTAGGATTGCTGGATCATATGATAGTTCTATTGTTAGTTTTCAGGGTCACCGCCTGTTTCACCCTATGAAAACCCACACTGTTTTCATAGTAGCTACACAAATTTAATTTCCCACCAACAGGTTACAGGGTTCGCTTTTCTCTGTATCCTTGCCAACATTTGTTATATTTTGGGTTTTAACAAAAGCCATGCTAACAGGTGTGAGGTGATATCTCATTATGGTTTTGATTTGCATTTCCCTGATAAATAGTGAAGTTCAGCATCTTTTCATATACCTCTTGGCTATTTGTATGTTTTCTTGGAAGAAATGCTTCTACATGTTCTTTGCCCAATTTTTTAAGTGTGTTTTTTTTTTAATTGAGTTGTGGGAGTTCCTTATAGGTTTTGAATATTAACCCCTTATGAAATATTTGGTTGCAAATATTTTCTCCCACTATGTAGGTATTTTCTTGTTGTTGTTGTTGTTTGTTTTCTGTTTCTTTGTTTTTTTGTTGTTGTTGTTGTTGTTTTTAGAAAGGGTCTCTATCACCCAGGCTGGAGTACAATGGTACAGTAGTGTGTTTACAGCTCACTGCAGCCTTGACCTCCGGGGCACAAGTGATCCAAGCTGAAGTGGGGAGGATCCTAAGTAACTAGGACTACAGGCATGCACTGCCATGCCTGGCTAATTTTTTTTTTTAATTTTTAGTAGAGATGAGGTCTCACTATGTAGCCTAGGCTGGTCTCAAACTTCTGGCCTCAGGTCTCAAGCAATCCTCCCACCTCAGCCTCCCAAAATGCTGGGATTGTATGCATAAGCCACCATGCCTAGCCTAGTTTGCCTTTTCATTTTGTTGTTTCCTTGGCTGTGAAGTAGTTTTTTATTTTGATATAATCCCACTTGTCTATTTATGATTTTATTGCCCGTGCTTTTAGTAACATATTCAAAAAATCATTCCCAAGGTCAATTTCTGGAATCTTTTTCCTGTGTTTTCTTCTAGGATTTTTACAGTTTCAGGTATATTTAAGTTTTTAATCCATATTGAGTCGATTTATATGTATGGTGTGAGATAATCATCCAACATTATTCTTTTGCATGAAGATATCCAATTTTCCCAATATTATTTAATAAAGAGACCATTATTTTCCCATTGTGTATTCTTGGCACCCTCGTTGTAGATCAGTTGACCATATATGCACAGGTTTGCTTCTGGGCTGTCTTACTCTATTCCATTGGTTATGTGTGTTATTGCATTTGAAAGTTTAAACTGCTAGTAACCACAGTAAAAGCAAGCAGGAGAAACCAGTAAAATTAGTTTTAATAATACATTTTATTTAATGCTATACATCCAGAATACCATTTCAACATGTAATCAACATAAATGTTAATGATATTTTACATTTTTATTATTATGAAGACTTCTAAATCCTGTGTGTGTTTTACGCTTAGCACATCTCAATTCACACTAGCCATATATCAAGTAGAAGAGAGGTAATATAGATTTTTGTTGTGAAGGACAAAAATCTTTTTTTTTGAAGTGGCAGAATTAATTGTAATTACTATTCACATACGGAGCCGACTCTAAAAGGAAAGACATAAAACCAGATAGTTATCTCACCACCTTTTTTTCAAAATTTGGACAATTTTTCCTCAGTGCTCTCATCTAAACATGATTTAAAAATTGATGGATAAATGAGTAAATGAATGACTAAATCAATGCATGAATATCAAAAAGATTGATGTTTCTTAAAGCAGGCCAACACTTTCCATTTCATGGCTACTATTCTGTATTAGGCAGCCCTGAGCTTTGGTGCATTATTTGCAATTTCATCTTCTTTCTAATCATTAAGAGATCTTCCTTTTTTTTTCCTGATCACAGTTACCAACCCACATGACAATATCGTATGCTTTATTTTCCCACTGCCATTCATTGTAAATACATTTTTCTCCCTTTCTCTCTTATTCTCTTTCCTTACTCCTACTGTAACTTTACCCACACCAGTGTAAACATTTAACTAAATGTTTATGTTTGAATTATAATTGTGGCAAACCACAATTACATTATTAACCACAATTAAGTCTTATTTTTAATAAAGTGGTGTCATAAAAATTCACTATTACAATTTATTAATTTAAATAAATGCTGAAGTTCAAATTAAACCAATTGTACAAATAAATCTATTGGGAAATTTTCAAGATGAATTCTTCTTGTACCAAATGGCAATTTTTAATACATTGAGGCAATACACTTCAGAAAATAAGCCAATAGAGAGGCAGAAATGCAGTCCATAATGCAAATTTAGGCCTTTGTACTACCTAATAGTAATATATATTATAATAATTTATTTTTATATTTTGAAAATAATATAGGTGGAAAGTACACATGTTGCCCAGGTATCTACCTATGATCTAGGTATAATAACACTATAAGATCACTTATAACAAAAGTCTATGTCTTCTTGGGATATAATTTAAAATATACTAAACTGGGACTTTATTTTATTTTAGTCACGTTCCAGACAAATTATATATGTGGAATTTAAAATTATTCTGCAAGTTCCTTCCTTAGATTGCAACTCAACTTGAAGATTTTTTTGGAGACCTATGAGAACTGCCATTTAAACTTAGAGTGATTATCTATCATTGGAAGGAGAGACCTCAATTCCCTTTTGTTGTTGTTGTCATTGGGGAAACATCTTGAATAAGCCATAATTCTACAAATAGAAAGCTATGACACATATTTGTGTGAAAAAAATGTAAAATGTTCACTGCCATGATTTCAATTTGTCAATGTAAATTGCCCTGCATAAAAACTGTATTTCAGCAAACTGTATTCCTGGACTGGGAGTGGATTAAGAAAATACTGTTGCTCATTGAAATTATTTGTGTTCTTAAGCAGCTGAGATGGTGTGTAAAGAGCTGTGATGGAGAGATCTATAGAAAGAATATACAGATATGTTTTTTACCTCAAGGTACTGTAGTGACATAAAAAGTATATAATCAGACTGTGACATTGATAATAATCCAAAATTTACTGATTATTATTATCTCAGTCAGACATTGAGCAAGACTACATTCATTTTGCTTAAGATAGACTTTCTTCAAAGGTGAATTGGTGAGAGGATTTTGGGAAGATGGGAGAGTGGGGAGCACCAGGAACCTATCTCTTCACCAAGGCAATAAAGGCACTGTCAGAAGTTGCCTGATGTAACTATTTTGAAACTCTGGAATCAATTGAAGGCTTGAAACATCCATGAGAAAGCTAGAACGATAAATTGCAGTTAAATTCAGTTCATTTAGCTCTTAGCATATTAGCTATTACCAATCCCCCATCCCTCAGCCCTGTGGCAGGCAGCTGTGCACATGTTCCTAGAGCAGCAAGCACATGACCTAGGGGAGCCAGGCCAGACACAAAGCACCCTTTCCTCCAAATGTCAGAAATCTCTGATCACTGATTGCCACTTTTCATCACAGAAGTGGAGACAGACAAGTGGGTGGCCATTGCTGCTGCTACTCTTTCCATTGTTGCAAGTGCTTCCCCACTCCCCCCTGAACTTCTGGTTGAAGTAAATTCCAGGAGATTTAAAATACTGGTCCCTTTTCTATTCCCCTTCCATCTTTCTCCTTTTTTACCGTTTGGGATCCATATGCTAAACACGGGGACATTTCAAAACCAATGGCACATTTAAAGAAAATTAGAAAGTGACCATGCATGCCAGGGAAAAATTCAGGCTCAGAAAAGACCTCAGAAAACCTTAAATTTTCACCTTAAGGTGATTATTCGCACAGAGGCAACCTACAACAATCTGGAAAACAAACAAACGAAAAATGAAACTCAGCAAACCTTGGGAAGAAAGGGAATCTGATTTCCAGAGTTACCACATTACCACTCATATGTCCAGTTTTTAACAAAAAATTACAGGGCATAAAAATACACAGGAAAATATGACCTATTCAAAGAAAAAAATAAATCAACAGAAACTATCCCTGATGTTCTAGTAGGTCTGATAGCAGATCTACCAGACAAAGACTTTAAAACAACAGTCTTACATATACACAAAAACTACAGAAAGATGTGGATAAAGTCAAGAAGACAATGTGTCAACAAAACAGAGATATCAACAAAGATATATAGAAAAACTCTAAAATTAAATCTATAAGAAATCCTGGAGCTAAAAATACAATAACTGAAATAAAAATTTCACTTGAGGTGTTCAAAGACAGATTTTGGGCAGTCACAAGAAAGAACTGACAATCTTGAAAATAGAACAATAGAAATTACTGAGTATGAGAAACAGAAGAAAAAAATTTTGAAGAGTGAAGAGTATAAGACACTTGTGGGATTCGATCAAGCCCACCAACATATACATTGTGGAAGTCCCAGAAGGAGAAAAATGAGAAAGGGTAGAGAGAACATGAGAAATAGTGCCTGAAACTTGAAAACACCAAATTTGATGAAAGACATGAATATAAACATACAAGAAACACAATAAACTTAAGATGAATGCAAAGAGCCCCACACTGACACACATTATAATCAAACTTGAGATAGCTGGAGACAAAGAAGGAATATTGAAAGCAGCAAGTGAAATTATTTATCACATACAAGGGATTCTCAATGAAATTATCAGCAGATTTGTCATCAGAAACTTTGGAAGCCCGAAGGCAATGAGCCAATATAGACACATTGCTAAAAATAAATAAATAAATAAATAAAATATCTGTCAACTAAGAATTCTACATCTAGCAAAAATTGTCCTTCAAAAAGCAAAGCATTCCCAGATCAACAAAAGCTGAGACAGTCTGTTACCACTAGACCTGTCCTTCAAGAAACGCTTAAGGGGGCCTTGCTTTGTGAAATGAAAGAATACTAGACTGCAAGTCAAAGTAATATGAATAAATAAAAATCTAAATAAAAGTAAGTACATGGAAAATAACAAAAGTATTATTTTAATCATGGTTTATAACTTAATTTTTGTTTTCTACATTATTTAGGAGAGTGATACATTTTTTAAAACTAATTATTACTCTTAAAATTAGTATCATTATAACAATGGTTTGTTATTCCACATTTTGTTTTCTATATAATTTAAGAGATTAATGCATTTAAAAGAATTACTACATTATATTTTAGGGTACACAATGTATAGGGATATATTTTTTGACATGAACAACAATAGGAATGGGGAAAAGTCATGAAAGAGCAGAGTTTTATGTTATTGAAGTTAATCTGATATTAATTCAAATTAGAGTATAACTTTTGAATATTACACGTACTCATGATAACCACAGAGAAACTACATATAGAAGATACACCAAAGGAAATGAGAAAGGAATTTAAACATTTCACCACTAAAAATCAACTAAACACTAAAAAAAATGCAGAAAATGAAGGATAAAAAAGCAATAATATAAAAAACAATAGGAAAATGATAGAAATAAATCCCTTCTTGTCAGTGATTACTCTAAATACAAACGAGTTTAACTCTGTCAAAAGACAGAGATTAGAATAGGTGAACTAACATGATCCAACTGTACACTGTCTACAAGAGGCTCATTTTAGATCCAAATACCCAAATAGATTGAAAGTGCTGACGTAAACTACAACATTGATGAATCTTGAGGACATTACGCTAAGCAAAATAAGCTGGTCACAAAAAGAAAATACAGTATGATTGACACTTACAGCAGTCAACATGATAGAAACAGAAAATAGAATGATAGTTGCCAGGGAATGGAGGAATAGAAAATGAGCTGTTATTGTTTAATGAATATAGGCTTGGCTTTACAACATGGAAAGAATCATGGATACAAATGGAGGTGATGTTTGTACAACGTTATGAATGTATTTAATTCCACTGGACAGTATGCTAAAAACGGTAAAGATGGTAAATTTTAAGTTATATGTATTTTACCACAATAGAAGTATATTAGAAATAAAAACACACCCATGAAAAGCAAATTACTACTATGAGTCAACTTGCGAGGAGGAAGATCCTGGAGACAGAAAATTGGGAGTTAGAAGACAAATCGTAGACATGGATGAGAATGGAGTAACTTCATCTTCATGGATCCTTGGCATAGTTGGTGCTTGGACATAGAGCAGTCACTTTCAAGGGCATTCTCTGGGGAAGTAAATTGGCCCTTGCTACCATATGGCATCCAGTTGATTTATAGGCATGAAAAAATGCTCCATTGAATTCCAAGAGTAGTTACATAAAATAATTTATTTATATCACCATTATTTTCTTCTACCATATCTAAAGCATCGGTAAATTTTGTTTAAAGTTGCAGCCTGTTCTTGCTCCATGGGTGGCTTAATAAAGTGCTTGTTTTATTCTTGGAATGAAGCAGCAAAGGGTATATATAGTCTTCTCATGGCTGGAGCAGGAGCAGCAGGAGCAGCAGCAGCAGCAGCAGCAGCAGCAGCAGCAGCAGCAGCAATTATCAGCAAAGCCTTTGTTAATGAGCAGTGTTTTTAGGAGGTCTTGCAGCAATAGGGGTAGAGGCCTCCCACCTCACCAGCAGGTCTCACTTTAAATTCACTTTATTTGCAAAATATACTAGCTTGGAAAGACTGGTGTATTTCCTCGTAAGCTCAAATTCCCTCTCCCCTCAGTGACTTTCACATTTTCTCTTCTCTCCATAATCCCCCAAAACCTCTTTTTCTCTATGTTTCCTCTTACATAATAACCTTACCTTGTACTCCACTGAGACAGTGGAAATAATCAGGTGAAATTGTCTTTAATTTCCCAAAAGATGCCCTGCTTTCTTTTCTACTACAATAGGATATTAGTCCCTTTTTCATCAAATGCCAGGCAAATCACCTGTGTTCTAGAGATATTGTCTCATACCCTCTTAAAGATTTCACTCTGGCAATGATTCCCTCCTTCTCTTGAATCATAAATGTATACTTCTGCAAGGGTTATTAATATTGACAAATACACAGTCTCTAGTATCTGCCATTAAAAAACAAATTTTACTGGACCTATCATATCCTTTCAGAAAGTCTTTTCTTTATTTTCCTCAACAGCCAAATATACTTTAAAAAGTTGTCTATATCCTCTTCTGCAACACCTATCCTATCTTCAACTCATTTCAACTGAGTTTTCACCCTCTAGACTCAAATGAAAAGCTCTTATCAAGACCTTGTCAATAATCTCCATGTTGCCAAATTTACAGTCTCTTCTGTCTCTCTTTTTGCTTCACTTCGCAGTCGTGTGTTACATAGTCAAACACTCTTGACTTACTGAAACACTTTTTTTCTGAATTTCAGAACATCATATATTCATAAATCATTTTCAAAAAGTACGTGGATTACCTGTTTAAAACATGTCAACATCTTCCAGTCTGATTGTCCTTTGAAGCTCTACAAGGCCAAACATAAGGTTCTTGCACAAATCTCAGACTACACTTGTACACCTTATCCCTTTCTCACTATATTTCAGCTATACTCTCCTTTCCTCGGTTGCTCTAAGTTAGTAAATCTTTCTCAGAATTTTGCACTTGTTGCTCCTTCAATCTGAAATGTTCTTCATCCACCTCCGATCTTCACTTAGTGAGTTCCATCTCCACCACCTAGGTATTAACTCAAATGTTACCTCCTCAGAGAACACTTTCCAGACTACTATCTCTAATGTTGCCAGTCAATTTCTACAGGATTGCTGTTTTATTTTCTTCAGAGTATTTGTCCTTCTACATAATTATTTATCTATCTTACTCAACTATCACACTCCCACCTGCCACCATCTATAAGCTTGATGAAAACAGGGACCTCATCTATCCTATTTATTACACAACCCACATGCTAGAAAAGATATTGGCACAAATTAGGCACTCTATAAAAATAGTTGCAACTGAAACATTTTGGGAGATTGTCCAAAGAGAACAGAATGAAGAAACTAAATGAGTCTGTTCTTAATGCATGTAACAGAGAATGTAGTGTCATTTCCAGAAATAATTGGGGCACAATTTAGGGGAATCTATCATGGCAGTATTAATTCACACCATCATAACATGGGTATTAAAGGATATGGGTCTTATTTTATATTCACTGATAGTCAAAACCTAGTCATACTAGTTACATTGTAACAAGTCAGGCAGTTGAACGCCATTATCTGCACTTTCAAATAGTAATATCAGGCCCAGAGAGATATAATAATTTGCCCAAATCCATGTAGCAAATAAATGGTGAAGCTGGGATTCTAACCACTGTGTGTTTGACTTCAAGTTCCATGCTCCTCACTGTACTCCAGAAATAATAGACTGCTGAGCATAATAGTGAAGCATCTTTTCTCCTGAAAGCATGTATTTTTATTCATGAGTCCAAATGGGAGTTAAGAGATGTGAATATGGGAGTTGGCCCCCAGGGTTAAAGGGAGGAGGAAAAGAAGAAAACTGTGTATATAAAAAATGCAGCTGATGGGTATCTTTTTCAAATACTACGGTGTTTCAGTAGGGCCTGTTGAATCACATACACATAATCAGTGTAATTCCAGGAGCAAGCCCGCTTGGCTCAGCAGTTTTAATATACAGATCAATTTTGCATTACCTCCTTCCGGCTGTGAGTGCTCATAGAGGGAGGTCATAAAACATTTATTGGGCCAAGGATGCAAATTGAGCAAAGAGTGAATCTTCAATGTGCGGACAGGACCTTGAAAGAGACTTGTCAGATGAGTCTGTGATGAGCATTTGCTCTGCCCTACACCCTGTGAAATTTTTATTTTCATTTCCTTTAAAGAATTCACCTCTTTGTGGGGTATAAAATGTATATATATACACACACATATATGTGTATATATATGTATATATATACACACACACACATATACATACATATATATGAATGAATGTGTGTATGTGTGTGTATGACTATAGCATAATTCATGTGCCATCCATACTTTAAAAATAAAAATACATGTGACAAAGGCTATTAGAAAATTAAACTTGAAATATTATTATAGAATTATGACATAAATTGTCCCAATTATATCTTTCAGGTAAAACAACATTTGGGGACACCAAGAAAAAGTGGAGCATGAGTGTAAATTTCCACCATGAACTAGGCATCAGGCTGAAAGGACATCTTGTGGCACAATATCCAGATGATTAGTTAGTTAATCATTGGTACAGGGCAAGTTCAAGGCCTGAATCAAATCTCAGAGACTTGAAGCAACCAGGATAATTTTTATACTTGCTGTGTTACATTTAATTACTCTCAGGGTGGCATGGCTGCTGGTGCCCATCTTAATCCATCTTAACCCTTATCCTAATGCAACTAATGAGAAATGAACAATGGTTCACTATAACGCAGTCATCATGACATAAAGAAGGCAAGAAATGAAAGAAAATGAGCAACACTGAAGAAAAGGGAAAAAGCGTATTTTATAAACTTGGCTGGTCTAGTTCAATCCTTAAAAATTTTGTACACATGTAGGGCTTTATTTCTCAGCATAGTCTGAGGCTTACCTCCATAAAACCTTGCCTGCCAGTTCCAGTATAAATGATTGTCTGCTCTCTTAATCTGCTGAAGAATTTAAATCTGTAACATTCTTTGGAACTAAGGCCACCTTGCATCACTGTTTTCTTATTTAGGACAATACCTTTGGTGACAAGCTAGAAAAGGGATACGGTATGCCTTAAAGTATTTCTATTTGCCTAATGGCTGGCAAATGTGCAACAGAGAGCAAAAACTTAAGCAATATTTGTTAGTGAAGATAAAAATGTATGCTTGTATTTTCTTTTAGCAGATAATGACAAGCTAATGACAATGGTCATATTACCCATAACTAGATGCATTTTTTCATGTCAGATAACATAGAATAAAAATTGAAGGAAGAGAAAGCTAAGAAAAACTGCTAGGTTATGTGTAAGATCACCACCACCCATGCCATAACCTTCTTGAAGGCAAGAGCAGAGTCTTATTTATTCAGTATCCCCAGTAATTAACATAGTGGTACACAAGTAGGTACTCGATATTTATTTGCTTAATGAATGTCATCCTGCCAGCTCAAACACACTCAGACACACACACACACACACACACACACACACACACAGCATCTTCAGAACATCTATACAGATTTTTTTATTTGAAGAAGGTACAGAATATATATAAGAATGTTTCTTTAATGACCAACCCAAATTTCCTTGGGGATTTTAATAGCTTTGTATATTTTCAAGTAGTTATTCTCCAGCTTCCAAAATGATTTTTGACTTCTCTCTTATTTATAAGTCTCACCTAAATTCCTACTGCTTTCCTAGTCACTATAGTTTTGCCTGAAGTCAGAAACCTTGCTCTACAGCCCCAGGGGAGGCAGAGTACCAGGAGTAGTTGCCCAAGCCCACTTTTTCTCAGCAAAGTTTTCAGCAAAAGATGTAAGACTTGGGTTACCTTAATCTTTCCTCTTATTTTGGTGTTCCAAAAATGCAAAGAGCTTCTATATGAAAACACAATTTTTGCTCTTGATGGTCACTCTTTCAAGTCATTTTATCATGATACACCTAAAAAATAATGTAATTGTCAACCAAGAAGTAATTGTCATAGGTTGTTTTGAAAGGAGCAGAGCTGAGTCTAACATATAACGGATAACACTCTCCCATACATCCTTTATGCTCTTGTCAAAAATATCTCCCAGATCACCTGTAATCACAAAGTCTGGGTCCGGTGGCTCATGCCTGTAATCTCAGCACTTTGGAAAGCCAAGGCAGGAGGATTGCTTGAGCCCAGGAGTTCAAGGCCAAACTGGGAAAAATAGGGAGACCCCATCTTTATAAAAAATTAGCCAAGTATAGTGGTACACATCTGTAGTCCCAGCTATTTGGGAAGCTGAGGTGGGAGGATCACTTGAGCCCAGGAGGCAGAGGTTGCAGTGAACCAACCTCACCTGTCAGAACAAGACCCTGTCTCAAAAAAGTAAATAAATAAAAGAATAATAGAAATAGCAAAATCTGAATAAAGCATTGAGTTTAGTTAATAGCAGTGTACCAAACTGGTTCCTTAGTTGTGAAAAATGTGCTATAGCAATATGAGATTTTAACAATGGGGAAACTGGGTGAGAAGTGTAAGAGAATTATGTACTATATTTTGCAACTTTTAGTAAATCTAAAACTATTCTAAAATAAAACACTTTTAAAGATTTTTTTTTAAAAAATCTATCACAGAATCCTGAAATAAATTTAATCAGACAACTAGATATCTCCTAAAGTTTTCCAAAGAAACAAACTTCTTAGGGAAAGTCCCAAGTCCTACTCACAATTATAGATCAAATGGAGACAGGACTGAGAGCCTGACTGAGAAAGGATGCCAGTGGCAGTCAGTCAAGTTCAGGGAGGCAACACAGCACCTGAAGGGGCAGCAACTGAGAGGTAAAGAATGAGACTCACCAGGTCTTAGCAGGGCTTTGAGCCAGAAGCCAGGTAAAATTATGCTTGAAGTTAAAACAAACTTCTTTCCCTATCCTCTCTTCAGCTGCTTATATATCTTTGACAGGTGAGAGCCACACCATAGAAACAATCGTATTTGAAAAAAACTGAGTAACAAAATTAAATCAGCTGCATTATTAAGAGCTCATAGATCCTGTGAAATGAGCTAAAGGGAAATATTTTCCAAGCAGCTTAAAAGAAAAAATAAATAATGGTGATCCTAAGATCAGTGGAGAGAGTGCCAGGCAGGGCAGTGGTACAAATGCACGATCCACTCTGAAGGAAAGTAGAGTGTGGGAGCAACTAAGAATCTCAGGTGTGAGAGGAAGCTGAAGAGGGCATGATACTAGAAGTGTGGAGTCATGGGAAATGGTAGGCAGGGGCAGTGTAGGGTGCCAGGAACAAACATCATTATGGTTACAGAGCACAAGGGTTGCTATTAGTCTTGATGAGAAGCTGCTAAAGAGGCCTTACCTAGAATTCTATTGCCAATGGGCCCTAGCGGATGTTGTGATTATTTTTTGATATTTCATGAGGGGGTTCTGAAACTCTCAGAACCTCAGCAGTGGAGGCAGCATTTGTCAGCAGTCATGGAATTTTATAAATAATGCTAATGGACATGTTGCCTCCACATACATTGACATTGGGCTATTCAAGTTCCAATATCTACCCAGACGAAGGTTTACCACAGCAGAACCACATCCAGTAGCCATTCCCATCAGCCTCAGGGAGTACTGAATTTTTACAGGCCTGCTGTAGCCCCAGTTCACCTGTAATAGAAGGATAAAATGGCTAATAATTTCTTATGAATTACATAATTAATTTCTATCACACTAACATTCTACAATAACAGAAGTGTTGGGTCCACTGAGATTAAGCTGAGCTATTCATGAATTTGACTTCAGGGACAAAAGAGATTCCAGAAGGAAACATAAGTGGATGAATTTTCCCCAAGTGAGATGTGGAGAAAATGGCATCCTATTGTGAGGATACCCTATCCTGTCACATAGTTAGAGGCTGAAACCTGAAATGAAGTATTGAGGCCAATTTCCCTTTCAGAAATTGCCATAAATTGTCAAACTATAAAGTACATTTTTAAAAGACTATCTTTGTATTCTCCTAAAAAATATAAGCTCTTTTATTCCAGTTTTACAATTAAGGCTTTTCCACAATGCTATTCTAGTCTACATATTAGAATTTTCAGCTTGGGATTCAGACAAAAACAGGTTCCAAACAGTAGAGAGTTGGTTAGCTGTTAAGCCCTGATGTAGCTCCAATTGCACAATTTAATAATATCGACTTTTAAAATGCCTACATTTTCTCACTTGCCAATGAATGCGTCTTTCCTTTTGGATAGACATCTACATTCTTGAAATACAAACCAAGCTTTGGGAAGTTTGGGATCACTGACTCCATCCATGTTCATGCCACTCACCATGACATCACCCATCAGGCAGTAAGTTACAAGGCTTCCCCCAACACATTCAGGTCAAACTGAAGTGGAGTTTTGGTTTGTCTGAAGCTAACACTTTGGGAAAACAAAGAGACAAAAGTATAAATCTCCCATGTAGAAGTAACAATAGAATCCCACTTCAAATTGTTTTGTGTTTTGCTTTTTTCATGTTAGTTGCCAAGAATTTGCTATCACCAGATCTGATTTTTTATTTTGAGACATTAATCAGCAGGCCATTGGAAGATTGGTTGCCATTTACTATTACAATAAGGGCTTATGGCTTCATGTTTTTGAGTCGTACCTCCTTCATGCCTCATCCTCCTTCCCTTCTCAGAAGAAGAAAAATAATTTGGTATGACATTTATCTCTATGAGGAAGCAGCACGGTGAATTAGAAAAAATAGAAAAATAGAAAATAGAAAAAATAGAAAAACATAGAATCTTTGAAGACAGGCTTAAATGTAAATATCAGTGCCTTTACTTATAGGTAGTTGATATTGGGCAAGTTATTAAATTCCCCAGGTCTCAGTTACTTTATTGGCAAATTGCAAGATTGTTAAAGAAAAAGAATTGTAGACCTATTGATACTTAATGTTTATGATCCAATATATGATTTTTTATTATTATGAGGCAATAATTACAACCAAAATAAATATGGTGAAATCATCCTAGAAGAGCAATCCTTAGCTGGCCCATGAAACATAAAATTCAGTGTAGTTTTTATATCACAAACACCGAGCTCTATAATTTCTTTTAAAATTCTATGGATACTCCCAGAAAGCAGAGGGAGACTTTAGAGAATTTGTGAGAACAATTTTTTACAATCTAGTGTTAAGATACAAACTTTTCTCACCTAAAAACAACTGGAAATATAGGTTATCTTATTAGAAACCTGTTCTATTTGTAAATTCACACAATTAAAAAAGTAATACAACTTCTTTTAACTACATCTAACACATTTTTCCTCCGTCAACCTGAGCAAGAACAAACAATGCTAACACAGTATCTGTTCTATGTTTAATAATGGATTCAGCAAAGGAAGAATACGTCCTAAAAGATTAATAAGAAGCAAATATTCAGGACAGTGAAAAGACAAACAGCAGAGTGGCTGTTTTGCTTAACCGCCTGTCAGTAAATATTCATGCCTGGCTTTGGTCTTTCACTGGGCCCACGCTGCTATGCTTGGCCTCAGTCTCAAATTTCAATAGCCTAAAAGCTGTATTCAAACAAACATTCAAATGCACATTACTCTAGCTCCTTCAGACATACTGACACAATGGGTTTCCATTTTAATTAGGGCGGTTTCTAAAATAGTGTACATCAGAACTGTGCAGGGTTCTGTAGCAATTGACAAAGATGGGGATTTCTTAATATATTTACATTAATTCTTAAGTTGTGAAGCAGCATGGTTTGAGGGAGTCAAAAAGAAAAGTCAGACCATAAAATTCTTAAAGTATTATGAAATCACCTAAAAACCCCAAATTATTAAATACAGACCAATCATCCAAAAGGTGAGGTTTTTTTAATCTGTATCTTTCAAATCTATCAGATTCATTAAATTCCTCAATTGTTGAACTTCTTCCAAGAGTGAAAAAAGCAAAGAGATGGTCTTTAATCAAAGGTGATATTTTTGGAATTCTTGAGTATCATGCCTTCTCAGATTGCTACGATCTATTTCAACAAGTTTTGCAGTCCATAGCTGTCCTATTTTCAATCCATTTTCTCAGGGTTTACAGAGTAATCTTACAAAATAACAGATATTTTCTCTGACATGCACATTCACATATACATTTCAGTGGCTCCCTTAGTCCCTACCAATTCGATTCTTAGCCAGTGTTAGGGCTCAGAGAACAATACCTCAAAGTATAGTGCTTTGGCATGCTGAGCACTTTTGAATTTTAAAAAGTTGGAAGACCTTAGAGGCTGCCTCAGAACCAAGGACTTTCTAACTTTCTCTTGCTTCTCCCCACCACTCACAAGCCCTGGGAAGTGCTTCTTCAGGAAGCTACCATATCTGACTGAGGATAACTTCTTCCAAAAGTAATACAATTGTCTTAAAGTTCCCCAACTAGGAATCTGATTAAGTAGCCAGGAATGGTTAACCATCAAAGAAGAGAAGGGATGAGGCTAAAAGTCATCATCATGCCCAGACAGACATAATCTATTCTAAAGACAACTCTGAGAGTTTTCCTAAGAGTCCTTATGCACATAAAGAGACAGCTTTTGTCCGCAGTGCAGTTCTCCCCGTAAGATTTCTGTAACTTTTCAGTCCCATTCAGTTTCCAAAGAAAATTATTTGCAAACAATTGTTTGTTCTTTGAGCCTGTTCAATTCCCCCAAAAATATTTACTACTCCTCAAAATTGGCTATATTCCCCTACGTGTGTTTCCCTTAATAAAGAGTGTGCTATTTAAGCTTCAGCCCTCTGGCTTTTCTTTGAGTCTCACTGATATGGTTTGGCTGTGTTCCTACCCAAATCTCATCCTGAATTGTAGCTCCCATAATTCCCATGTGTCATGAGAGGGATCTGGTGGGAGGTAATTGAATCACGGGCATGGGTCTGTCCCATGCTATTCTCATGACAGTGAATGAGTCTCATGAGATCTGATGATTTTATAAAGAGGAGTCCCCCTACACAACCTCTCTTGCCTGTTGCCATGTAAGAGGTGCCTTTGCTCCTCCTTTGCCTTCCACCATGATTGTGAGGCCTCCTCCGTCATGTGGAACTGTAAGTCAATTAAACCTCTTTCCTTTATAAATTACCCAGTCTCAGGTATGTCTTTATTAGCAGTGTAAGAGCAGACTAACACAGTAAATTGGTACTGGTAGAGTGGGTTGCTGCTGTAAAGATACCCGAAAATGTGGAAGCAACTTTGGAAATGGATAACAGGCAGAGGTTGGAACAGTTTGGAGGGCTCAGAAGAAGACAGGAAGAAGTGGGAAAATTTGGAACTGCCTAGATATTTGTCAAATGGCTTTGACCAAATGCTGCTCATCTCAGATGGAGATGAGGAACTTGTTTGGAACTGGAATAAAGGTGACTCTTGCTAAGTTTTAGCAAAGGGACTGGTGGCCTTTTGCCCTTGCCCTAGAGACTTGTGGATCTTTGAACTTGAGCAAGATGATTTAGGGCACCTGGCGGAAAAAATTTATAAGCAGCAAAGCATTCAAGAAGTGACTTGGGTACTGTTAAAAGCATTCAGTTTTATGTATTCACAAAGATATGGTTTGGAATTGGAACTTATATTTAGAAGAGAAGCAGAACATAAAAGTTCAGAAAATTTGCAGGCTGACAATGTGATAGAAAAGAAAAACCCATTTTCTGATGAGGAATTCAAGCCAGCTGCAGAAATAGGCATAAGTAATGAGGATCCAAATGTTAATCACAAAGACAATGGGGAAAATGTCTCTAAGGTATGTCAGAGGTATTCACAGCAGCCCCTCGCATCACAAGCCTAGAAGCCTGGGAGAAAAGTAATGGATTCGTGGTCCTGGCCCAAAGCCTTGATGCTTTGTGCAGTCTTGGGACTTGGTAGCCTGCATCCTAGCCATGGCTAAAAGGGTCCAATGTAGAGCTCAGACCATTGCTTCAGAGGGCACAAGCCCCAACCCTTGATGGTTTACACGTGGTGCTGGGCCTGCAGCTGCACAGAAGTCAAGAATTGAGGTTTAGGAACCTCTGCCTAGATTTCAGAGGATGGATGGAAACACCTGGATGTCCAGGCAGAGGTGTGCTGCAGGGCGGATCCCTCATGGAGAACCTCTGCTAAGGCAATATGAAAGCCCCCACACAGAGTCCCCACTGGAGCACTGCCTAGTGGAGCTGTGAGAAGAGGGCCACCAACCTTCAGACCCCAGAATGGTAGATCTACTGACAGCTTGCACCATGCACCTGGAAAAGCCACAGACACTCAATGCCAGCCCGTGAAATAAGCCAGGAGAGGGGCTGTACCCTGCAAAGCCACATGGGGAAGCTGCCCAAGGTGATGGGAGCCCATCTCTTGCATCAGCGATGACCTGAATGTGAGACCTGGAGTCAGGGAGATCATTTTGGAGCTTTAAGATTTCATGGCCCTGCTGGATTTCAGACTTGCATGGGGTCTTTAGCCTCTTTATTTTGGCCAATTTCTCTGATTTGAAACAGCTGTATCTACCCAATGCCCATACCCCCATTGTACCTAGGAAGTAACTAACTTGCTTTTGATTTTATAGACTCACAGGCAGAAGGGAATTGCCTTGTCTTATGTGATACTTTGGGCTGTGGGCCTGTGAGTTAATGCTGAAATGAGTTAAGACTTTGAGGGTTGTTGGGAAGGCACGATTGGTTTTGAAATGTGAGTACATGAGATTTGAGAGGGGCCAGAGATGGGATGATATGGTTTAGCTGTGTCCCCATCCAAATCTCATCTTGAATTTTAGCTCCTATAAATCCCACATGTTGTAGGAGGGACCCAGTGGGAGGTTATTGAATCATGGGGGCAGGTCTTTCTCATGCTGTTCTCATGATAGTGAATAAGTCTTATGAGAGCTGATGGTTTTATAAAGAGGAGTTCCCATACACAAGCTCTCTTGCCTCCTGCCATGTAAGACATGCCTTTGCTCCTCTATTGCCCTCCACCATGATTGTGAAGCCTCCCCAGCCATGTGGAACTGTGAGTCCATTAAACATATTTTTCTTTATAAATTACCCAGCCACAGGTATGTCTTTATTAGCAGCATCAGAACAGACTAATGCACTCATATTTTGTGTGGCTCCTGTTCTTATGCACAGTAAACTTGTACCTTTTCTCTTGCTAATCTCTCTGTTGTTTGTTCATTTTAGCAAACCTTCAGAGGGCAGAAGGGGGGGCTTTCCCTTTGCTCCAACATCAGACATCCTTCAATGTATGATGTGGGTATAATCAATTTTTTCCAACCCATTCTACATTTCTCTGTATTTTGTGTGTTTGTCATTTGCCAAGGATACTATACACATTTATGCCTCCATTCCCTTGTTTATATTGTTCCCTTGGCAAGGCCACAAGAACAAAATTAGAAACAATTTGTGTGACAAATGTGTTTGGCTGCTACTCTCTTCTGAGGTATTCAATCTTCATCAGTTTTGCACATATAGTGAACTTTATGCCCAAGTACTAGAAGTAAGTGTGATCTGTCCTATAAATACTAGCACATCCATCCTTCTACCTATCAGCACCAACTTGGAGCATTAATGAAATTTTACAATAGTACACTGAACAACTAAATTTACTTAGTATTATATAACAAATAACTCTCTTTTTCTCTATCCCTACACTATCCACATGTGCCATTAAATAGAATAATACTTAAAATAAAGGGCATCCTATCCATACCATACGTAGGTGTGTGGGATGACTGCTATGCACTGGAATTTTATTAATGTCATGGTCTTGTGGTGATTAGAAATTCTGTACCACATTTGAAACAAATCTTTTATTCGGCTGTGACTGAAAATCATTTACCTTGCTGATTATTCAGGGAAATGACAGACAATATGCATAATCTTTGATAAAATTTTAATAACACAACATGGAGGTTTCATTTAGCAATGCCTGGCCAATATTGGTTCCCTGAATACATGCTTTTATAGAGGCTGCCCATTTACTTTTAAATAGTTTGTATTTTTATGTCATTTTATTAATATCTAGTCTTCCCACAGAACTGTAGGTTTCATGAGGACAGGGACCCGCTGTATTTTGCTCACCACAGTATGCTTAGCACCTCGCACAATGTCTGGCACTGACTTACCACTCAATAAATATTTCCTGAATGAGTGAACAGCATATATACATTAAAATTCAGCTTAAATGATAAGTTCTTAAAGTGAATCCAGAGCACTGGGCAAAAAGAAATAAAATGGAAGAATTTTTAGGCTTATGAGGGCAATATTCATAGTATCAATGCTTCATTTGCAATTTAATTTTGAAATTAAAAAACATATTTATATACTTACATGAATGTATGTATATATATGTGTGTGTATATATATATGTGTATATATAATATGTGTATATATATGTGTGTATATATATGTGTGTATATATATATGTGTGTGTATATATATGTGTGTGTGTGTATATATATACATATATATACATATATATACATATATACATATATATACATATATACATATATACATATATACATACATATATATACATATATATATACATATACATACATATATATATATATATATACATATGTATGTATATATATATATATATGTATATATATGTATATATATAGTAACACTTAAAGGGCATCCTATCCACACATGTAGACATAGTTAGATAGACAGATAGATAGATAGCTACCTAGATAGATAGATAGACAGATAGATAATAGGTCTGTAGATGGTCCTCACATTCAATGATTCAACTTACAATTTTTCAACTTTTTGATGGTGTAACAGTGACATACATTCGGTAGGAACTGTACTTCAAATAGCCGTACAATCATTCTGTTTTTCACTTACAGTACAGTATTAAATGAACTCCATGAAATATTCAACACTTCATTATAAAAATAGGATTTATGTTAGATGATTTTGTTCCACTGTAAGCTAATAAGTGTTCTGAGCACATTTAAGGTAGACTAGACTAAAATATCATGTGTGGTAGGTGAGATATATTAAATGCATTTTATTTACAATATTTTCAACTTATAATGAGTTTATCAGAGCATAACCCCATCATAAGTCAATGAGTATATCCTTAGATTTTAAGAAGCTTCAAGGAAACTTTAAAGTTTTAAACATTTTTTAAGATCTTAAAACATACTGGAATATATAAAATATTACTCTTCAAATTGACAGCAAGATAAATACAAAAATACACTTTGGTTAAAAACTTCGACTTCCTTCTGTGAAGCTACTTCAATTTCTCTTTGGAATTACGCATTATGTATATAAAAACTGATATATACACTTATAGAAATTGGATTCAAGTAGTGGGAGAAATTTTTCTTAGCAACTAGATTAGAATTTCTCTTAAAAAGGGAACTGTCTGCACTTGGAAAATTAAGAGCTTGGAGTGTTAAGCAGATCCTGCCAGTTAGGATGACAACAGAGTTCAAAGCTTCAAAAAAAAGAGCAACAGTACTCCTCATAAGGCAAGCAGAGAAGTTTGTTATTGCCAAAGGATGAGAAAAATGACAAAATACAAAAAATAGAAAAGAGAAGGAAAGGCGGAGGCAAAAGATGGAAACAAGTTGAGACTAGATACCGACTAAGACCAATAAACTTCCAGACATGGAATAGTCAAAATATTAGTTTAAGAATAATTATGACTTCATTGCACCTGTAGTATGATTGGCAATCATGCATCAGATTAACCTTCCCTCTAAGATCAACAATAAAAGCTGATTTTATTTTGAATAGATACAAAAAAACCTGCTTGAAGATATCAAATCAAACAAAGAGTATAGAACTTAAAAGATCAATATCACAGACAGAAAGTAAGCTCACTGTGGTTAAACTTTAATTTACCTCTGCTTTTTCCCTGGAGCATTTGCCAATTTGCAGCATAAGGAACAGAGGCAGAAAGCAGTACTGGGATCTGGAGGCAGTTTAACTAGGTTGGGGAGGCGGAAGTTACAGTTTGGAGATGCCAAGGCTTGCAGGGCCAAGATCTCAGAGAGAAAGGAACTACATAGAAGTAAGTTAGAAATTGTATGTAAAATGGTCCCACGAGACATTAGCTGACACTTAAGCTGCATATGCAAGACACCAAGAACACAAGTAGAAAGGAAGACTAGAAATCTGAAAAGCTGACCAGATATGTCAAGTCTTGTGGTGCTAGGAAGACGAGATGACGTCAGGGTCTGCCAAGGTGAAGGTTTCTAGTAAACAATGCAGGATTTTAAACCAGTTCTTAAAGGGCTACCCAATAAAAATAAGGACAGGCTGGGCACAGTTATCCACACTTCTAATCCCAACATTTTGGGAGGCCACAACAAGCAGATAGCTTGAGCTCAGGAGTTAAGACCAGCCTGGGTAACAAAGTGAGACCCACCTTTACAAAAAATGCAAAAAATAGCTGAGTGTGGTGGTGTGCACCTGTAGTCCCAGCTACTCAGGAGGCTGAGGTGGGAGGATGGCTTGAGCCTGGGAGGCAGAGGTTGCAGTCAGCCAAGGTCACATCACTGCACTCCAGCCTGGGTGACAGAGCCAGAGCCTGTCTCAAAAAAAAAAAAAAAGAAAGAAAAAGAAAGAAAGGAAAGAAAAAAGGGAAGGGAGGGGAAAGGAGGGGAAGAGAGGGGAAGGGAGGGGAAGGGAGGGGAAGGGAGGGGAGGGGAGGGGAGGGGAAGGGAAGGGAGGGGAAGGGAGGGAAGGGGAGGGGAAGGGAGGGGAAGAGAGGGGAAGGGAAGGAAAGACTGCCCTAACAAAGGCTGTTACCAGGATTTGACTCTTGTAAGATAATTGGCCCGTGCTCTGTCTGTGAGATAAAATGTAATCCTTTTTTGGATAAAGATAACATCATCTAAGTATTCAGATACAATGTCCAGTATGCAATCAAAAGACATACTGAGACTGAAGATCATATGATCAAAAACAAACAAACAAAAAATAGAAACGGAGCAATGGGTAACACAGACCGAAGATATGAGACAGAGACTTAAAATTAATGATCATTAAAATATCAAGAAAATGCATGTAAGGTGGTAAATTCACCTGAGAATGAGAACCAATAAAAGGAATCAAATACATGTTCTAGAACTGAACAATAATAACTAAGATTAAGATTCAAAAGATGGATTTAATAAGCAAATCTACATAAAATGTGGATTTCAGTTAATAGTAATGTATCAATATAGGTTCACAAATTGTAAGCTATGTGCCATACTAATATAAAATGTTCATAGTAAGTGAAACTTGGTGCAGGATATATAGAAATTATCTGTATACGTTTTCAATAATTTTGTAAATCTAAAAACCCTCTAAAATAAAAATTTTGTTTAGAAAAGCATCTAGAAGTGAAAATAAAATGGAAAAAAATAAGATTATCTTCAAATGACAAATAATAAAACCAAGAGCTAACTTTTCTTCAGAAATGATGAGAGCAAAAAACAAAACAAAACCAAATTTTTGAAAAAAAATTTGAAACTATTTTTTAAAATATTGCCAATCTAGAATTCAATATCTAACAAAAATATCCTTCATAAATGATGGCAACATAAAGATATTTTTAGAGAGATAAATCTGAGAATAGCCTGAATAAAACAGCCAGAGTACATGCAGTAAACAAAAACTAACAGAAGCTATTTAGACAGAAGGAATTTTATCCCAGATGAAATCCTGGTGATGTACACGGTTATAAAGGACATCAGAAAGGCCAAGAGTAGTGAAGAAATATTTAAGAAAAAAATAAATTTGGAGGGCATACACTCCTAAGAATTAAGACTTCTTATGTAGCTATAGTAAGTAAAACATTATGGTACTGGCATAAGGTTTTGTTGTTTGTTTTTTGTTTTTTTTAAAAAAAGGTCTATTGTAACAAAAAAGAGATTCTAGAATCACACTTACACTTATACAATCACTTGCGTTTCTATACATATGCCAAAATAATGCTGCCAGGGAAAGAATATTTTTTTTCAGTAAAGGATGCTGAAACAACAAAAATAATTAAAATAATAAAACATCTAGAACAAAACAAAACAGAATATATGCATACCCTTGGGTTAAACAAAGATTATTCAAGTAGTAAAAAGTACTAACAATAAAGGAAAATGTTGATAAATTAGATTTCATTGAAATTGAAAAGTTTTGTGACTCAAAGACATCATTAAGAGAATGAAAAAGGAAGCCGTGCACAAGTTATAGATATGTGCAATACAAACAAAAGTATAGACAAAGAATATATCCTGAGAATCTCTACAAACCAATAAGGAAAAGATTTCTACAAATCAGTTAGAAAAAGACTTACTTTTTCTATTGGAAAAAAGTGTATTGAGTAGGCTCAGAAATTGAAAAATGACTTGAACATGTACTTCATCAACGAGGGTATCAAGATGACAAGCAAATGAAAATGTATTCTACATCGTTATTCACCAGGAAAAAGTGAATGAAACCCACAATTAAGTACCACTAAATCTATCAGAAGAGCTATTTTTTTAAATAACGATCATGACCTCACCAAATGTTGACAAAGATGTGGAGAATTAGTACTCTCATGTTACTGAGAATGACTTGATACAAACCCCCAGATAACTGCCAGCATCTACTACATGTGAACATGTACATTTATGTCTAATCAAGTAACTCTAACCTAGGTATAAGGCCAACAGGAATCAGATCACATGTGCACCAAAAGAATGTTAATAGTAGCATTACTCATAACAGACAAAACTAAAGACAACCCAACAGTACTGGCCTTAGACTCTAGCAAATAGGGCTTTACCTAGCAATGCCTCAAAAACCCCATGCTATAAAGCATCTCCCTTGTAATTTTCTATCACCTTTCCATAAGTGGGATCAACTGGCAGTGGCCATGTCACCAGTGTGGGGCACCTGAGCCAAGACTGGGACTTACACGGGTTCTGCTTCCTGTTTCCCTCCTTCTGGGTGCTTTCCAACCCTCTACAACACTCGTGAGGATCAACCAGATACCCCAAGAAGGTCTATGTCACCTTACCTGGTAAAATGTTTTTTTGCACAGTATTATATAAGATTAAGTCACCAGAATGGTGCTAATACACTGATTTTAGGTGACACAAGATAGACACAGGGAGCTAGGTTAGTAAAAAATTACTGCCAACCCTTGAAGTTGAGCTACCTTTGTAGGCCTTTACACCCACTCTCATACATCCATGTTCTTACCTTAGTGCCACCTCCAGTCTATAGTACCTAAGAACGGTGGAGTTGGCAGCAAATATTCTGCATGAGCACCCAGTGCAATCCCTCACCCTCTCCACAGACTGTACCTCCCATGTTAGCCAGTTCTTTGGGGCTGGCCATTCCTATCTCCTCCACATTGATGCTCTGCAATGCCAGTGGGTCCTCTTGAGCTATGCTTTTTGCTGCTTCTGAGAGATGGAGCAACATAATGCTCCCTGGGGATGGCTTTAAGCTTTGCTGACCAAGGCAGGGACTTTCCTTGTGGGAGTGGAGCCACCTCTTGTTCTCCTGATGGATACTGGCCTATCATTTCTACTGGTGAGAGATGGAAGGCAAGGGTATTATCAACACTGAAACGTATCAGGTTTTACTATTGCAGTGATTATAGTCAAAATAGTTCAAGAGCAGACATCGTTAGAAGATGCATTTTTTAAATTATTTTTATTATATTTTAAGTTCTAGGGTACATGAGCACAACGTGCAGGTTTGTTACATATGTATACATGTGCCATGTTGGTGTGCTGCACCCATTAACTTGTCATTTACATTAGGTGTATCTCCTAATGCTATCCTTCCCCCTCCCCTACACCACAACAGGCCCCAGTGTGTGATGTTCCGTACCCTGTGTACAAGTGTTCTCACTGTTCAGTTCCCACCTATGAGTGAGAACATGCGGTGTTTGGTTTTCTGTCTTTGAGATAGTTTGCTCAGAATGATGGTTTCTAGCTTCATCCATGTCCCTACAAAGGACATGAACTCATCCTTTTTTATGGCTGCATAGTATTCCATGGTGTATATGTGCCACATTTTCTTAATCCAGTCTATCATTGATGGACATTTGGGTTGGTTCCAAGTCTTTGCTATTGTGAATAGTGCCACAATAAACATACGTGTGCATGTGTCTTTATAGCAGCATGTTTTATAATCCTTTGGGTATATACCCAGTAATGGGATGGCTGGGTCAAATGGTATTTCTAGTTCTAGATCCTCGAGGAATCGCCACACTGTCTTCCACAATGGTTGAACTAGTTTACAGTCCCACCAACAGTGTAAAAGTGTTCCTATTTCTCCACATCCTCTCCAGCACCTTTTGTTTCCTGACTTTTTAATGATTGCCATTCTAACTGGCAATCAAGGAGATGGTATCTCATTGTGGTTTTGATTTGCATTTCTCTGATGGCCAGTGATGATGAGCATTTCTTCATGTGTCTGCTGGCTGCATAAATATCTTCTTTTGAGAAGTGTCTGTTCATATCCTTCACCTACTTTTTGATGGGGTTGTTCTTTTCTTGTAAATTTATTTGAGTTCTTTGTAGATTCTGGATATTAGCCCTTTGTCAGATGAGTAGATTGCAAAAATTTTCTCCCATTCTGTAGGTGGCCTGTTCACTCTGATGGTAGTTTCTTTTGCTGTGCAGAAGCCCTTTCGTTTAATTAGATCCCATTTGTCAATTTTGGCTTTTGTTGCCATTGCTTTTGGTGTTTTAGACATGAAGTCCTTGCCCATGCCTATGTCCTGAATGGTATTGTCTAGGTTTTCTTCTAGGGTTTTTACGGTTTTAGGTCTAACATTTAAGTCTTTAATCCATCTTGAATTAATTTTTGTATAAGGTGTAAGGAAGGGATCCAGTTTCAGCTTTCTACATATGGCTAGCCAGTTTTCCCAGCACCATTTATTAAATAAGGAATCCTTTCCCTGTTTCTTGTTTTTGTCAGGTTTATCAAAGATCAGATGGTTGTAGATGTGTGGTATTATTTCTGAGGGCTCTGTTCTGTTCCATTGGTCTCCGTCTCTGTTTTGGTACCAGTACCATGCTGTTTAGGTGACTGTAGCCTTGTAGTATAGTTTGAAGTCAGGTAGCGTGATGCCTCCAGCATTTTTCTTTTGGCTTAGGATTGACTTGGCAATGCAGACTCTTTTTTTGTTCCATATGAACTTTAATTTTTTCCAGTTCTGTGAAGAAAGTCATTGGTAGCTTGATGGGGATGGCATTAATCTATATATTACCTTGGGCACTATGGCCATTTTCACGATATTGATTCTTCCTATCCATGAACATGGAATGTTCTTCCATTTGTTTGTTTCCTCTTTTATTTCGTTGAGCAGTGGTTTGTAGTTCTCCTTGAAGAGGTCCTTCACATCCCTTGTAAGTTGGATTCCTAGGTATTTTATTCTCTTTGAAGCAATTGTGAATGGGAGTTGACTCATGATTTGGCTCTCTGTTTGTCTATTATTGGTGTATAACAATGCTTGTGATTTTTGCACATTTATTTTGTATCCTGAGACTTTGCTGAAGTTGCTTATCAGCTTAAGGAGATTTTGGGCTGAGATGATGGGGTTTTCTAAATATATAATCATGTCATCTGCAAACAGTGACATTTTGACTTCCTCTTTTCCTAGTTGAATACCCTTTATTTCCTTCTCCTGCCTGATTGCCCTGGCCAGAACTTATAACACTACGTTGAATAGGAGTAGTGAGAGAGGGCATCCCTGTCTTGTGTCAGTTTTCAAAGGGAATGCTTCCAGTTTTTGCCCATTCAGTATGATATTGGCTGTGGGTTTGTCATAAATAGCTCTTATTATTTTGAGATACATCCCATCATTATCTAATTTATTGAGAGTTTTTAGCATGAAGGGCTGTTGAATTTTGTTAAAGGCCTTTTCTGCATCTATTGAGATAATCATGTGGTTTTTGTCTTTGGTTCCGTTTATATGCTGGATTAGGTTTATTGATATGCATATGTTGAACTAGCATCCCAGGGATGAAGCCCACTTGATCATGGTGGATAAGCTTTTTGATGTGCTACTGGATTTGTTTTGCCAGTATTCTATTGAGGATTTTTGTGTCGATGTTCATCAGGGGTATTGGTCTAAAATTCTCTTTTTCTGCTGTGTCTCTGCCAGGCTTTGGTATCAGGATGATGCTGGCCTCATAAAATGAGTTAGGGAGGATTCCCTCTTTTTCTATTGATTGGAATAGTTTCAGAAGGAATGTTACCAGCTCTTCCTTGTACCTCTAGTAGAATTCGGCTGTGAATCTGTCTGGTCCTGGACTTTTTTTGGTTGGTAGGCTATTAATTATTGCCTCAATTTCAGAACCTGTTATTGGTCTATTCAGGGATTCAACTTCTTCCTGGTTTAGTCTTGGGAGGTTGTATGTGTCGAGGAATTTATCCATTTCTTCTAGATTTTCCAGTTTATTTGTGTAGATGTGTTTATGGTATTCTCTGATGGTAGTTTCTATTTCCGTGGGATTGGTGGTGATATCCCTTTATCATTTTTTATTGCGTCTATTTGATTTTTTCTCTTTTCTTCTTTATTAGTCTTGCTAGCGGTCTATCAATTTTGTTGATCTTTTCAAAACACCAGCTCCTGGATTCATTGATTTTTTGAAGGGTTTTTTAATGTCTCTATCTCCTTCAGTTCTGCTCTGATCTTAGTTATGTCTTGCCTTCTGCTAGCTTTTGAATGTGTTTGCTCTTGCTTCTCTAGTTCTTTTAATTGTGATGTTAGAGTGTCAATTTTAGATCTTTACTGCTTTTTCTTGTGGGCATTTAGTGCTATAAATTTCCCTCTACACACTGCTTTAAATGTGTCCCAGAGATTCTGGTATGTTGTGTCTTTGTTCTCTTTGGTTTCAAAGAACATCTTTATTTCTGCCTTCATTTTGTTATGTACCCAGTAGTCATTCAGGAGCAGGTTGTTCAGTTTCCATGTAGTTGAGTGGTTTTGAGTGAATTTCTTAATCCTGAGTTCTAGCAAATGGAAAGAAAAAAAGCAGGGGTTGCAATCCTAATCTCTGATAAAACAGACTTTAAACCAACAAAGATCAGAAGAAACAAAGAAGACCACTACATAATAGTAAAGGGATCAATTCAACAAGAAGAGCTAACTATCCTAAATATATATGCACCCAATACAGGAGCACCCAGATTCATAAAGCAAGTCCTTAGAGACCTACATAGAGACTTAGACTCCCACACAATAATAATGGGAGACTTTAACACCCCACTGTCAACATTAGAGAGATCAACGAGACAGAAAGTTAACAAGGATATCCAGGAACTGAACTCAGCTCTGCACCAAGCGGACCTAATAGACATCTACAGAATTCTCCACCCCAAATCAACAGAATATACATTCTTCTCAGCACCACATCACACTTATTCCAAAATTGACTACATAGTTGGAAGTAAAGCACTCCTCAGCAAATGTAAAAAACAGAAGTTATAACAAACTGTCTCTCAGACCACAGTGCAATCAAACTAGAACTAAGGATTAAGAAACTCACTCAGAAGATGCATTGTTATATTTTTATTCAACAAAATTCTGAATAGTAAATTTAGCATGAATAGAAAATAAATTATTGTTGGCATTTTCCTGCATACTATGGCTAAGACTGGTCTATGTGGCCATACTCAATGAAGTAAAGTCACAACCTTTGAGAGAGTCATTAGGAGCCATTATTCACAGATGTTCAACAGATGATGCTATATCATGCATAATGAGCATGCAATAAAAAGTATTAGGGAAATGCAAAGGTAAGATGATCTATATTGTTTCAATACCAATAGCCTGTGCAGAATGATGGCATGGTGAATAATAACAGTGTTGTTACCTTGTCCTAGGAGCAGAAACAAGGAAATTAGCCAGGAGCAGGGCTTTTGACAATAAAGAGTTGTTTCCTCGACCTGAACAGAAAGATACCTGGACATTATGAAGAATCTCTATGACTACTGATTGGATAGTAAACAAATAGATAAGCACTTCTTTTCTACTTACTACTCTAAATGGTTATTGATACATTTCTATATTGGTATGGGTCTATACATTTTAATAATATATTTCAATCAAATTGTTTGTACAAACAGGGACCCTGCCAAAATACAAATAACAAAAAAAAGTTTTCTCAGGATTCCACATATCCTAGGGATGGCCCTAGAAACCAAATATCTTTCAACAGTAAAATTAATACTGTATAGTATAGGCACACAATAAATATTACAAGTACATGAGAATGTACTAAAAATATGATGACATGGATGAATCTCATGGAAGCAGACACAAAAGAGTTGATACATGCTGTGTGATTCCATGTGTATACATTTCCAAAGTAAGTGAAACTAATACATGATGATGGAATTGTCAGGATAGTAGCTACCCTTGGTTAGTGGTATCTTTGTGTGCTAGGGTAGTTATTAACTGGAAGAGGGTTTGAAACTGAACAGATTATTGTAAACAAAGTTATGTGTCCTAATGTTCTTTGTTCCAATTTTTTTCTCCACCCTTAAGAACATGTAAGACAATTTCATTGTCATATCAAAAATACTCTAGAAGTCTCCTTGTTTTCTATCTGTCCTGCAGAAGAGACGTGAAAACAACCCACTCAAAATATTTTTCTATTTTTAAGCTTGTTAGACAATACTTTTATGTACATTAGTCCTTCCAGAGACAGTACATTTACTGTATGTTTGTTAAAAGATACATTATTAAAAACAGAGGTCAACCTCTCCTGCTACATGATGTTGAGATTACATCTTTGAATCTCCAAATGAATTGATTACCCAGTGATGATTTGATAGTTTTCCTTGTTAAAAAAGTAAACTTTTGCTTTGTTTAAGAGATATTTCTGCCTTTTCTATACTCTCCTTCCCTATATTTCTATATTTTCATGACTAATATATTGAGAAGTAGAAACCTGGGATGGTGAAGCAGAAAATGAGGAAAGAAAGATGAAATACTGTAACACTGGAAGTATTCTAGTGGTTTGGTAACCCACTCGGCTTATTTTTCACTTCAGACAAATTACAATGTATACACATACCTACTGATACAACATTACTTAGAATTATTTATGTATCTTTTACTTAATTACTTTTAAAAGCAAAAATATTTTAAATCTATTGCAATACTTAACAGCTGCTAAAGTTAAGTCTGTAAGACTTCTGCAACAACCCCATTTTCTATCACTTACCATTCAGTCAAAATGAAGTCCTCCTTCTGGGGCTAAATTAGTTCCCACTTGGTCTCAGACTCTGGGCAAATCTTTGTCAAAGTTAGATAAGTCCTAAGTACAAATATCTTGCTTGGAAAGCAACTGAGGACGTTAGAAAGGAATACAAACCTAAAAATCAATTGAATTTTAAGAGACAAAAAACTTCCCAGTTGTTAACTTCAGGGTAAGGAACAAATAGCCTCCTAGAAATTTAGAAAAAAAAAAAGTTTTATAAAGAATACACATAAAATACCACTTTTAAAAATGCAATTAGATGGTCCCAGAGCTTATCTGTAGTTTGTCTGAAGCCTCCAGACTTGTCCTCCACTCCTTTGATATTCATGAACATAATAAATACATAACAGAGTCATAATATACCTCAAAGACTTGCATTGATTCTGAAGCATAGCAAAGGATTCATGCAGCAGGTGCAAGCTGACTGCAGCGCTCTAGGCCAGGCTTAAACACTTCAGTCAGAAAGGCAATTTCAGTGGCTACTGTTGAGTTGTCAGGATCCCTTAGTCCAAATCAATCAGATTCCTCCTACTGTTTCTTAGAAGGAAATATTTCTGCCTATGCCATTTGATTTTTTTTTTCCTAGTATACAACTGAAACAAAAAGTCAGTGATGGAATTGTTACTATGTTTAACATGAACAAAATCTATCAGTGCTACACAGCCAAGTTGTCTAAGGAAGTACAGTAATTGGCCTCTTCCTGTCCTTCTGATGCTTTTAATCTAAAGTCTATCCAAATCCCAAGACTGCTACCTGCAAGCTCAAGATCACACTCAAGTTGCTTAAACTTTCTGGAAGTCAGTCTACCCATCTGTAAAATGAGAAGGATTATAACAAACTCAACGAAGACTGGAATTTGATTAGGATGATGCACTTAAAAATTCCTATCACAATATCAGCCACATCGTAGGTGCTAGATGTTATCAAAATAGTATTGAAATGGTTACGAGCCCATATTTACTTGTGTGCACATTTAATTAAGTCACTTAATCAGATTTTTAATCACTTTAAAGTTATAGTTTTACGTTTATCTCTATCAGTGGCAGTTTGATTAGTTTTTTTTTTCCAATAACCTAGACTACTTCTTTCTACTTACTTTCCTTCCAATTAACTTCAGTTTGAACGCTGAACATCTCATTAATATCACCATGATTAGATAGATCTGTAATAATAAGGAAAAGAAATTCAACCCAGTCAAGTTTACCACTAAAATTTAATTAGCTATTACAGATGAAGATGCTTCACATGAGTAAATTATACATATCTTAAATTGTCTTGTAGGAGGGACAGCTGGCTTCTAATAATGGTGGGCATGTATACCAGCATTCAGCAAACTTTTTCCACAAAGGGCTAGATAATAAATACTAAGACTTTGTGGACAAGACCATCTCTGTCACAACGACTCAACCTTGTGGTTGTTCATGAATGTAGCCATAGAAAGTATGTTAATAAATAGGTGTGGTTTTTTTCAATAACACTTTATTTATAAAAACATTGGGCTAGATTTGGTCCATGGGCTATCATTTGCCAATCCCTGTTCAATCCTCCTGCTGCAGACAAAATCATTAGATCCCTCTGCAAAATCCTAGTAAAAGCAAAGAGAATGAGTAATCACCAAGTGGAGATCAGAGAACATTAGAGATGAGCACTGCTTCTGCCCTGGAAATTTTACAGATTGACTGGAGGCAGCTGAAAGGTCATGCTTTGCTTTCAGCGGACTCAGTGAGCAGCAGGTGAAGTACAGTGCCCACCAAGATGGCACACTCTGGTGAGTCACCACCTCTCTGGGTCCTGAGCTAGAGGGATCCACCTAGACAATGAGTTGTTGGAGTATAACCCAATGGGTTACTGAGGCGTCCAAGAGAAACTCAAGCCTTGGCCTTAGCAAGGAGCTTAGAAGAAAAACATATCCACTGTACTTAATCTATATATTTCTGCCCTTCTCTTCTCTGCTCTTTGCTTTAGGTTCACTGACCCCTAATTGACTACATCATCCAGACTCCCATGTACTCTGGCTTCTGGTTGGTTTTGGACACAGGGAAGCATGATGAGGAGATCTGAGGGTGGCAGTATAAAGAAATTGGGGTATTTGTGCCACACCCCATTCCTGCTTTCATGCTACAGTTCTGGCAGTAGGTTGTATCTGTCTATAACTAAAGCTTCACAGGTGGGTAGCCTCTCCACTTGAGTGGGTGATTCAACTGCCCTTGTTTATTTCCTACCCAACAACAGTTTGTAAATAGTCCCTTAACCCAATTAATCCCTTTCGAGTGAATTCTGTTGCTGCTTTGGCTCCTATTATATCTTCCAAACAAAAAACAACACAATTTTAGGCCTTAAATTATTTCTAGAAGTAATTTTTTTATACAACATCCAACAAAGAAAGAAGAAGAGATGCAAAACAAGACAAGCCAAACCAGGAGGAACAACAGACAACAGAAAGAGTCACAGTGGGAATCCAGTTATTGGAATTATCAGGTATCGACAATAAAATAACCATTCTTACCACTTTCGTGGAGATTTAAGCTCAGAAATGCAGGAAGGCATGATGAGCAAAGAAAATAGTACACATTTTGTAAATATAAATAAACTTTGAGTATAGAAAACAAAAGCAAAAGTGTCCTGTAAGACTTCACATAAAGAGAGAATTAAAACACAGAATAATAGCATATATATTAAAATGGGTAATTGAATCACAAGTGTTCTAAGATTCTGGCATTTTTGGAAAGAAGAACTCAGATAAAGATAATTATTAATTTTTTGTAAATCAAGGGTGCCTATATTATCTCTAGAGTAACACTCATGAATAGGGAAAAAGTTTGTAACTTCCAAACTCTTAAATATATGTCTCTGTGTGATTTATGTGTGTATGTTTGTATGTGTGCGTCTTTGTATGCAGCAACAAGAAAAACATAATATAGAACAGGTAAAATAGTTACTAATCACATAAGTGATTATAATCATATAACCAATTTACATCATCATATAATCAATTTAAACCCAAATATTTCAGTAATAGTATTAAATGTAAATCAACCAAATGTTCCAGTTAAAAAGCAATGATTCATATACTGATTTTAAAAAATAAAAACTAGCTACAAATCTTTTACACAACTGTCACTCTGTATACAGGGGATTTGTTCCAGGACCACCTACTTATACATAAATATGTGTGTAATCAAGTTTTATAGTCAGCCCTGCATAACCCACATATGTGAAAAGTTAGCCCTCCAGGTACATGGGTTTCACATTGGGTGAATACTCTATTTTTATCTATATTTGGTTGAAAAAAAATCTACATATAAGTGGAGTTTTGTAATTCAAACCTCTGTTGTTCATAGGTCAACTGTACACATTTGAAACTGGAATTTACATAAATCTTGGATGTAAAATGATACAAAATAAAAGATAAGGTAAACACCAGAAAAAGCTAACATAAGTACAGTAATATTAAACAAAATATATATTAAGGCAAAGAGAATTATTACAGAAATAGTCATTGCATGAGGAAAAACTGTTAAGTTCACCGGAAATACAAATATACTACTATATTAACTACTGTAAGTGGTAAAATGAAGCTGAACTAACTAAGATCGTGGGATAGAATGGCAGAGAAAGAGAGTAGACAAATCATCAGACTAAAGAACCAAGAAAGGACCTCACATATAAATGACACCTGACTATGACAGAGAAAATACTTTTTGATAAATGATGTTGGGGCAATGAAGTAGGTATATAAACAAAAAGAAATTGATTCTCAATTTTATAACACATGCAGAAATCAATTTTAGGTGGATCATGGTTCATAATGTGAAAGAAAAAGTTTGGATATACTAAAATTAAGGATTACTCTTTTTGAAAATATGCCACTAAGTGTGAAAAAGCAAGCCATAAAATGGATACTCAGTCTTTTTATAATCACAGAGATATGAATTTAAATCACTGTGATATCAATACAATTTTACTAGATTTAAAATTTAGGAATTTGAAAATTAGTGCTGACCACAACATGGAGCAACAAGAATTTTTGTATGTCGCTGTAGGTATACACAATGTGGTATAACTCTGGCAAATTGTAGGTATTAACTACTAAACTGAACATATGCAGACTCTTGAGCTAACAGTTTCACAACTAGGAATATACTCTACCGTAGTGTTTCTCCCAGGTGAGGACCCCAGACCAGCAGCATCAGTATCACCTACGAAGATGTTAGAATGCAAATCCCGTAACAGACATTCTGGGACAGAAACCCCAGAACTGTGTCTCAGAAATCTAGGTTTTAACAAGCCCATCTGGTGATTCTTATGCTTGCTAAACTTTAAGAAGCACTGCCTCATACAAAAGTGAGGTTATGTGCATCAGGATAAAAACATAATTATCTTCATAATAGTATAGTTTTCAATCGCAAAACAAGTGGAAACAATCAAAACCAACAAGATGTCCAAAAATAGAATGAAAAAATAACTTATTGGTTTTTATTACACAGAAATAAAAATGAATAAATTGCAACCACCTGCAGCAATGCAGACAAATCTTAAAAATACCATAGTGATATTTAGAAAATCGGGTATGCGCATGAAAAAGAATGAGAGGAGAAAAAACAGACAAAATAAGCACATAGTGTATGATCTCAAATATATAAAATTCAATATGTATTCAATAGGCAAAACTAGTCTGAGTTGGCTAAGGATGTGTGATGGACAGATTTTTAAGGTAGCTCCCCAAATCCCTATCTCCTTTGTTGACAATCTCGTGTGATCTTAGAATCAGAGCCTGAGATGGGTTCTTGCTCAATTGATTCATTTCTTGGAGGAGCGGTATCAAGAGAGGAGCAATAAAGCCTGCAAGAGTAAGGTCTCATTTAAAAAACAGCTTTGTTTCAATTCCAAGGTGAAACATTGGAGCATCACACAGTTCATCCCACCTTGAGTTAAGGGACAGTCAATGTGCTACAGTCAATACTGAGGCTGCAGGGAGAGAGGAGGCATGACATGCCTGGTAGTGATTCCCATTTGGCCAAGGGTAATTCTCCAGATAAGTGGGCAACTGTGAGTTTTTGCCATGCAAACCCCACAGCATTTAGTAAAGCAGATGTGAAGAGGCAAAATAGAAGACTGACAGCATTTACTACAGACTACACAAGTGAGGTAAAGTTTAAAGGAATGCTAGGATGTGGATAACATAAAAATCAGCAGAGTTGGGATAGGTAATGCAGAGATTTTCTGGGATTCCTGCAATGTTCTATTTCTTCACCTAGGTAGTGGTCACATAAATGTACTTTATATACCAATATTATTTATTTTGTGCATTTCTTCATATGTCCATTATATTCACAATAAAATTGATTTTAACAATTCTGCCTAGGGAGAAATGGAATCTCTAAGCTAGAGAAATGTAGAGTATCTGAGGATTTCGTCTACTTCCTTGATACTGTATTATATTTCACTGCACTATGGTATGTCTAATAAATTTTAATTTTACCATCCTCACTAGTATACTCTGATTCTTTGCAGACCAAGAATTCAGAAAATTCTGTCACACTGACTATTAAGGAAACAAAATCAAGGCCACATCCATGAGGATCTAAATGGAGAGTTGGTTTTGGGGCGGACAGGTGGAAAAAATGCACAAAGTATAAATATGTTAGCTAGAAAACAAAAGATAATTTGTGATCATGGAAACTATGAACAAGGACAGAAGAATGAAATTGCTGGTATTCATCAGAAAGGTCTTCTGGAGAAAGAGATTCTTTGCATTCTAATTATTATAACTCTCTAATAAAAAAGAGGAAGCATAACAATAAAGAATAGGGAAAATAAAGCTTACATTTTCTGCAGACAGATTTTTACTATATAAAATTTAAATCACAAATCCCAGTCTTCATATTAAAAATGAAAAATATCAGACAGAATCTATAGTAAGCCACTTGGGTCATTTTACATTGAAATTTCTTAATAGTTTCTTACTATTTCTCACAGGTTTTTCAAATAGCACGATGGAACCCCATGAGACAGATTTTAATGTGATGACCAGCCATAATCCACATACTCCCTGGAAAATTCCAAGCAGTTACCATCAATTACAAGCAGATAATTATCTCTCAGTGACTTTCATACACTGCAATTTTTCTCTAAACACAGAAAAGAAATTTAAAAGGTGAAATATAATCAATCTACGGAAATGAACCTATAAGAAAGTTTCAACATATGTAGAAAACAATTAAGAAAGTTTGCCTTCCTTACAATTATTTTCACTTTGATTATCAAGTCAAGATGGGTAGGTAAAATACATAGGGGCAGAAAAATATTTTACATGAAAGAAGTAATATAAGTGTCAGAGGCAACGAATTCTCACAGAAAGGGTCTAAAACGTGGACTCAGAGAGCTCAGCTTGGTACACTGAAGAGCCGAGCCAATGAAGACAAGTCACTTCTTAAGGTCTCAGTTTTCTCATCTGTAATTTAGAAGCCATGCCATTGGCTGGTTCTCTTTCATGGGACCTCCATCCTATCAAATAAGATAGCATACATGAAAGCATTTTGCAAAATATTCTATTCTATAAAAGTCAAAGGCATTTATTATTATTATTATTATTATTATTATTATTATTTTGTAGAGACGGAGTCCCGCTGTCACCCAGGCTGGAGTGCTGGAGTGCAGTGGTGCGATCTCGGCTCACTGCAACCTCCGCCTCCCAAGTTCAAGCAATTCTCCTGCCTCAGCCTCCTGAGTAGCTGGGACTACAGGCGCACGCCGCCACGCCCAGCTAATTTCTTTTATATTTTAACAGAGACGGGGGTTTCACCATGTTGCCCAGGCTGGTCTCGAACTCCCGACTTCAGGCAGTCCGCCTGCCTCGGTCTCCACAAGTGCTAGGATTACAGGTGTGAGCCACCGCGCTGGGCCATCAAAGGCATTTTTGTAGACTTCTTAAATTCACTTTTAGGTCAATAACTTGGAGAAAAGGGAGAGATTTTTCCAGACTTACAAGCCATATTTCAGAGCATTTTAAATAAGGGTTAACAGAAAACAAAGAATGAAGTTGTTACGATAAACTAAAACTTAACAGTTTATCTGTGGCACTAGCTTTTCACACAAAGACATCACCCACTATCCTGGAAACATGAGAAAAATGTTTCCACTTGGGAATGTTTTTTGAAATTATTTCAAGCCACACCCCAGGACACAATGTTAGAGGAAATGATAACTCCCCCAGGTAAAAACTTTTTCCTTCTCCACTAAGTGGATCATGAATCAGTTTTAGCCTATGATGTTCTACTCCATTGAGCCCAGAACATCCAGCAGCTTCTGGAATCAGCCAAACCATCAAGCACAGCAGACAATTCCCTTTAAGCCGATTCAAGTGCCGAAAAGCAGTGGGCTAGAACTTTTCCCCAAAATCTGGAACTCAATGATGTGTGGGCTTCATTCTTCTTAAGAAAAATAACTCAAACTCCATAATACTTCTGAAGGATTATACTCAGTACTCATTATACTTCTGCAGCGTTTCTAATTTGGATAGTTTTTTCTTTGCTTTTGTTTTCTTTCTGGGTGAACATAAAATATACTGTTGGAATTCTGATGGTGACATTTGTTTCTGAGCTTTCTAAATACCTTTCAACTATATATTGGCAAAATAATTTCTGTGTTTTACTTGAACAGAGTAGCAGAAAATAGAAGAAAATTAAAAAGGTAATAGTGGAAAGGGTTCAATTGGGAAACTATGTCAAACTAGATGTCGTGTTGTTCAGTAATCAAACACCCAGTCATTGCACTAGTGCCATGCTATTTACATTCTGTCTCCCTCTCTTTATATATATAAAATGTGTGTGTGTGTGTGTGTGTGTGTGTGTGTGTGTGTGTGTGTGTGTATGTGTGTCTGTGTAGACATGGTCTATATATATGGTCTCTATATATGGTCTTTCTATATAAGGTCTATATTTATATATATATATATTATATAATATGTGGTCTCTATATATGGGGTCTATAGAGAGAGAGAATGCACACTCAATATATATTTATTGAAAGAGAGAATTTAATAAAATTCAAATAATACAGGAATATAAATGTAGCATAGCTATAATAGAAAATTATATCATAGAAAGAGATGGTCATTAGAGAGCTGAATGAAAAGAGTAATCCTAAGGGGCATTAGAACTTATTCTCTAGCTAGCTAAGTAAACAAAATGTTAGTGGACACACATGGGGTAACCAACTTTTTATTTTGCTGGTATACGATAATTACTATTATCCACAATCACCACTTTTTATTTTTATAATGGATATTTAAACATCAGAAATGAGAAAAGACATCTCAAATTTTTATAAAAATTAACTGTGGAAAATATACCACATTATTTTTATTTTTCCAGTTTCTTAGCCAACAAGAGAAGTTTGTCAGATTCTTCTACTTGGATTATAATGTTACTTTTGAAACCATCATAGACAATATGATATATAAGTTCTTGAAACATAAGAGATAAGCAACCTAGCTGAGATTCAAGTGCTGACTAATGACACAGTCCTGACCTTCCAAATGCATGTTTGAGTTGAAGGGACTCAACACATTGACAATTTGAAGGCAGAGAATTTGGAGTTGCCTATGAAAAGATTGATTTCATGTTTGTCATGTGCAATATAAACTCAATTATAATAAGTTTAGAATCTCATGTAGAATGCTCATTTTATTTGATATATTCCCAGTTGTTTAGAAAGGTGAGGTAGGTTAAAGTTCATGAAAGAAATCATTTAGGAAATTTAAGGATGCATCACCATGGGTGACATATACATGAGTTTCAAGGCAGTTTTAAATGAAATCCAACAAACAATGTAGCTTCTTCACATAGTAATGATATGGCTACAAAGTAGTAGCTGTTTTTTAAATTTTAAGATTAATTTGTAAATTTGTGTGGGTGCATAGTACATGTATATATTTTAGGAGCACATGAGCTGTTTTGATACATGCATGCAATGTGAAATAAGCACGTCATGGAGAATTCAGCATCCATCCCCTCAAGCATTCATCCTTTGAGTTACAAATAATCCAATTACATTCTTAATATATTAACACTCAAAGTTGCCATTTTGGCAACCAATACTAACTAAAATCCCAGAGAAATCTGTAAAAGCAAATGAAATTTTTCTGGTCTTATATCTAAAGAAAATCTTTGCTAACAAGCACTGAACTATTCAATAAAATATTATTTCCCCATTATACTATGAGTCAAAGCACTAATGAAATTTATAAAATTATTGCCTTCATTATAAGGAAAATCATCATAACAATTAATGTTTATTGAGCATTTACTATGTCCTTGGCACGGTACAAAGTTATACAAAGGATACTATGTACTTGGCCCGGTACCAAGTTGTATTGCCTGCATTGTCCAATATAATCCTCACAATAATCTTCTAAGATAAGTCCTAGAGCTGTTCCTTGACTTACAATGGAGTTATGATTCAATAAATCCATCATAAACCGAAAACATCATGATTCAAAAATTCATTTAACACACCCAACCTGCTGAATATCAGTTCAGCCTAACCTAGCTTAAACGTTCTCAGAGTACTTACCTTAGCCTACAGTTGGACAAAATCATCTAACACAAGGCTTATTTTATAATAAAGTGTTGTATAGCTCATGCAATTTATTAAATACTATATAATATTCCCCCCTTATCTATGATTTCCCCTTCCATGATTTCAGGTACCCATTGTTAACCACAGTCCAAACATATTAAATGGAAAATTCCAGAAATAAACAATTTATAAGTTTAAATTGCACACTGTTCTAAGCATGATCAAATTTCAAACTGTGCTGCTCAGTCCCCCTCAAGATTTGAATAATCCCTTAGTTCAGTACATCCACGCTGTGTACACGACCTGCCCATCAGTTACTTAGTAGACATCCCAGTTGTCAGATTAAAAAAAAGAAAAAAGAAAAAAACATAGTGGCGGGGCATGGTGGCTCATGCCTGTAATCCCAGCACTTTCGGAGGCTGAGGCAGGTGGATCATCTGAGGTCAGGAGTTTGAAACCAGCCTGGCCAACATGGCGAAACCCTGTCTCTACTAAAAATAAAAAAATTAGCCAGGTGTGGTGTCATGTGCCTGTAGTCCCAGCTACTTGGGAGGCTAAGGCAGGAGAATTGCTTGAACCCTGGAGTTGGAGGTTGCAGTGAGCAGAGATTGCACCACTGCACGCCAGCCTGGATGACAGAGCAAGACTCTGTCTCCGAAAAAAAAAAAAAAAAAAAAGTATGTATAGGGTGTGGTACTATCCACAGTTTCAGGCATCCACTGAGAGTCTTAGAACATAAGACTATTGCACTAAAAGTGAAAAACAAAGTGGTTGTATGGATACTTAAAGTACTGTTTCTACTGAAGGCATATCACTTTGACACCATCATAAAGTCAACAAATCTAAGTGGAACCATCTTAAGTCAGAGACCGTATTATTATCTACCTTTTATGCATGATAACACTGAGAACCAGAGCAGTTAAGCAGCTTGTCCAAAGCACTCCATGTCTTTATTTTATTTTGCTTTATTTAGTTATTTCATATATAACAAATATGTATTGACCACCTCATATGTATAAAGCTTTACAGTGCTATAGACACCTGTAATAATTTTTTTTTTTTTTTTGAGATGGAGTCTTGCTCTGTGGCCCCAGGCTGGAGTGCAGTGGAGCAATCTTGGCTCACTGCAAGCTCCGCCTCCTGGGTTCACGCCATTCTCCTGCCTCAGCCTCCAGAGTAGCTGGGACTACAGGCGTCCGCCACCACGCCCAGCTAATTTTTTGTATTTTTTAGTAGAGACGGGGTTTCACTGTGTTAGCCAGGATGTTCTCGATCTCCTGACCTCATGACCCACCCACCTCGGCCTCCCAAAGTGCTGGGATTACAGGAGTAAGCCACTGCACCCGGCCTGTAATAATTTTTAAGGAAGAATCTGCCTGACCTAAAAAACTTTATCTTCTGTAGACCACCCGCCCCCTCATCCTGTTAACATTAATTGAAGCATAAGTACACTTTTAAGTTTTAAAAGAAATGGCATTCTCTTTCTGAAGTTTTGCTCCCAAATCAAAGCCATATTGCAGAAGCGAATTTTGAGGGATTCTAGAAATCTCCTCGTAACAGAAACAAATCCTCCTGACCTTGACATTGAGAAGACATGAATGCCACAAAGCAATGAAAGAAATTTTGTGCAGCATTTCTGCTGAATGTAGTTTTTTAAATATACGGTTACTGCCATGTTGGTGTGCTGCACCCGGTAACTCATCATTTAACATTAGGTATATCTCCAAATGCTATCCCTCCCCCTCCCCCCACCCCACAACAGGCCCCTGTGTGTGATGTTCCCCTTCCTGTGTCCATGTGTTCTCATTGTTCAATTCCCACCTATGAGTGAGAACATGCAGTGTTTGGTTTTTTGTCCTTGAGATAGTTTGCTGAGAATGATGATTTCCAGCTTCATCCATGTCCCTACAAAGGACATGAACTCATCATTTTTTATGGCTCCATAGTATTCCATGGTGTATATGTGCCACATTTTCTTAATCCAGTCTAACCTGCACATTGTGCACATGTACCCTAAAACTTAAAGTAATAATAAAAAATATATAAATAAATATATGGTCACTATCTTTTTAAATACCATCTTCAATTTTTAAAACATTTAAAATATTTTTAGATATTTGAATTAGAAAGACATATATTTCCACCTAAATCTATCCAACACTTACTTATGCCAACAGGAATCATCAACGTATGTTCACTTTGTTAACCCAAAAATGTATCTTTGGGGTGTGTGTGTGTGTGTGTGTGTGTGTGTGTGTGTGATGTGAAATAAGGCATTCTGAATATTCTTGATGATATAAATGATAAAGACTGAGAATAATTTGGCATGTGCAAATATTCCCAGAAAAGAATAAAGAAGCACTTATGTCTGGGAGTAACAACTGTATAAATTTACTTCTTTGTTGACTACTAGCAACTTTTGCAGTAACCTCTTTGTAAATGCAAATAGTCGGGCTTCATTTCAAGAGCACAGTTTTGACACTTCAAATCTATGTTAGGTTGCTATTTATTTGAAATAGTCCTTAAGGTTGTTTTACTATAAAAATAGTAATGAGTAGTAACAAAAATACTAGCTTAATCTGAGAATGGGTATGGAAAGACTGGGTTAAAATTTGTATTGTTATTGATGAGGTTGTAGAGAAACTCAAAAGAGCTTGAAATTATACCAATAATCACTGCAAGAAAAAGTAGAGAGGGTAAATATAGATAATATAGATTAAGAATTTCAAATTTCTAGAAAGTACTCTATTTTTATGGATAGTATTTAATAACAAATATTACTAATATGACATATTTTAATAAATTTTGCTCTTTATAATGCAAAATAAGGAAAATAGATCTGGGATTCTATGAGTTAATGAGAATACGCAGTTTTAAAAATCAAAAATACTAGGAATAGAACAGTAGGTATATTAGCACATTACCAAGGACAATTTAGAACTTCTTATTCTTGCATCACTTTCACACTAACAGACATATGAGCTGATAAAGCGCTGCATTAGAGCTTAATTTGAACTTAACTTAGCGTGGATTTGTTTCCCTTAGCATTGATCATTTTCTTTTGCCTTGAATGAAAAACTCTTCTTTGTAGATTGGAAATCAAAAATAAGTTACTTTACTCTTATAACCAATTCTCCACTTGGTTCAATGAACAACAGAAACCTTTTCTTGCTCTTGGTAGAAGTCTGGACCTGAAGCTAAACGTAGTCACAGTATACAATCATTCTATCAGAGAATCAATTCTATTGTTACAAAAGTAGTAGGTACATAATTATGTGAGATAAATGGGTTCTTTTTTGCCATCTGGGGATTAGAAAGCCTGTCTATTTAAAGACTAGGTGATACATATTAATAGAAAAGAGGTTAACTGGGGCAAAGATCAAGACAGGGTACGGTTTACTGCCACATAAAACTACAAAACCACTATTTGCTATATTCTTCTGTTACACAATTCAGAGCATTAATTGTGAAAAATAAAAGATGAACTTAAATGCCTATATTTACCAAAAAATGAAAACACAACTTTATTACAAAAAAAAAAAAAATCAAGTTTAGAGGTGATAGCATTGATCACATGACTGACTTTTTTAAAGGCCCTGCAAAAAACTGTAGAATTTAGTTAGGAGGGCCGCCCATTTTCCCAGTAAATCCAAGGATCATGAACTAGAGTAAGACCACCTTAGAAAGGCACCCAAGTTAGGACCTATGACCAATACCAAGTCTTGGGGGGAAAAGCAAAAGAAAAGAAAACCCAATACTTGCAAAATAGCAATTAGCTTAAAGCCTCTAATAATGGAAAAATATTTGGACTCATTTATTCACTAAGCACCTTCTATGCAGAGGGGGCCTGAAAAAACTAGGGCAAAGGGATGGAAAAAATAATGACGAATTCAGGCAAAGTAAGAGTTAGGCTGGGAGGGAATTGATAATGGCAAGGAATATTTGGAAGAAGGATGCTTTCACTTCATGACTGGATAGGCAAGTAGCTGGCTGCTGGTCCCATTTACTGATAGAAGAAAGAAACCCAACAGAGAGAGCTCACTGAAAGACAATCATGGGAAGATGGTGAGTACAGTTTCGGACACATTAAGATTGGGTTCCGGTAGTATAGCTAGGTGAAAATATCAAGAAAATAGACATTAAAAGTCTGATGTTAGAGAGACACCTAGGTGCCAGTGTTATCTGGGAGTCATCTTCATTGGGTGGTAATTAAAATTATGAAAACAGATAAGATTACTCGAAAAGTATGCTTACAGAGAGGAAAAGGCCTAAGGCATAGTCATTATCTTCTCTTGCCAACATGTGTGGTCTTTAGTATGCACTACTGGGCTAAGGGTCATTTAATCAGGGTTTGAGTCAATTAGAGGAATCCTTTGTACAAAATCATATACCTCTGTGAAGCAGCAACAGACAGCTATATTGTTTTCAACCAGAGAGGTAACCGGTTACAGAAGGGAAACTTAAATTGCTCTCAGCGCTCAAGGTTAAATTATGGGAGGGCTTTTTCCAGTGTACCTTCTCTAGGAGGTGAAATTGAAAGATTTAACCTGAATAATTCACATGAAAATAAAACCATTTGGGGCTTGTCATTGCTTAATGTAGAAATCCATCATTATTTTAAACAATTGGATACACTCACTTCTTCAGTTTTACCACAGAAACTCAGGAGGCGTGTAACTACGTATTCATTCTCAGTAAAACTCTTTGTTGCCAAGATGAAATATAAAAGCTGAGAGGTCAGAAAAGGAGTCTGCATTCTCTCAGAGTGCTTCAGTTTTGAGATGATTCAACTAGATTGCAGAATATTTAACCCTGCTCTAACCTGGCCTTCTTCACAACAGTGAAGTGCAAGACTTTCGATACATTAAAATGATTTCCGCTCACGCCTGTAATCCCAGCACTTTGGGAGGCCGAGGCGGGCGGATCACGAGGTCAGGAGATCGAGACCATCCTGGCTAACACGGTGAAACCCTGTCTCTACTAAAAATACAAAAAATTAGCCGGGCAAGGTGGCAGGCGCCTGTAGTCCCAGCTACTCGGGAGGCTGAGGCAGGAGAATGGCGTGAACCCCAGGGGGCGGAGCCTGCAGTGAGCCGAGATTGCGCCACTGCACTTCAGCCTGGGCGACAGCGAGACTCCGTCTCAAAAAAAAAAAAAAAAAAAAAAAAAAGATTTCCCACAAGTATTCCCTAGTCCTCTGGGATTTGAAAGAAACCCAACTCTTGAATCAAATGAAACATCCTTGACCAGAAAATTAGCATTGTCATCAGGGGTGGCACTACACGAAAATGCAGTTTAAGAACTAGACTAAAGGGTACATTCAGTCCGGCTGGAAATGAAGATATGCCATTTTATTGGTAGCTGTTTCTGGGAAAATTCCCCTTCAAGATCAGAAAAGGTTACTTTAAGGGGATTTTTCCTTTGTTCACCAGATGGTCCCCCAATCCATAATAATTGAAGCCTACTGAGTATATATATTAATGAAATAAAAATTATTGAATTAGAGTAAAATAATTTGAATTTAGGCACAAATGATATGCTTCATTCATAAGAAGTTTAGACAGATGATTGATAGATAGATGATAGATAGATAGATGATAGATTATAGATATAGATATATAGAGAAAGATATAGATATATATGAACAGAATCCCTGGTTTACCTACATGCACATGTAGCCCATCTCTGAAATCCTTCTGTGATTCCAATAAGAGTCACAATTATACTCAGTCCCAGAGAGGAAAGAGCCCTCCCCCTACAGCAACTTAACATAGTGTGACACACAGTTATATCATTGCTATTGCTGTTGTACCTGCAATAATATGCTAATAGAAGAGCTGTCCCTGTCTTGCCTGAATATCACTCTGTTCAATATCAGCATGTACCCTTCCTTTCCTCTGCATGTAGAGAGATAGGAGGTGAAAGTAGCTTGCTGTTTTGCTCTCACAGTTTGAGTCTCTGTTCTTTCTCTCTTTAATTAAAGGAAAAGACCTGCTCCTAGTTGCATCCTCAGACTTAGGAAATTCTTCTTCAACCCGATCAAAGTAATAGTGCTATCACAGAAGCATGTATGAGGTTTTTTGTAGTAGAGAAGAGACAGATAACCTCTCTGCCTTGGAGTAGCACAGTAGAGTTCACCACAGAGTAGGTATACTTCATAGAGTAGGTGTACTTCATAGAATACTCCTTCATAGACTAGGTGACTCTTGAACTTTCCCTTAAAATAAAACAAGTATTTTCCATGAGGGCAAAGCAGAAAGAGTGCATCCAGCAAAGAAAAGAACATGTGCTAAGGCATAAATGAAATGGCAACACTTTCTTAGAGAACTATAAAAAATGATTAATGATGCCTAAGATGTAAAAAGCAGGAGGTAAGCCTAGTAGGTGAAGATTCTAATTGTGAGCAGCATGCAATGTAAATAATGTGATTTTTTTCTCTAAAGGTGATGATTTCTAATGAAAGGTTTTAAGCAGGAAAAGCCACAATCAGTTAGCATTGTAGATTGGCCATGAAGATTGTCTCAATCAAAAGACTTAGGAAGCAGCTTTCTCAGATCCTGGGGCCAAGAGTGTTAAACTACTTCCTGCTTTGTCACCTACTTTATACAGAAAAGTACAATGATTATATAACACTAAAAATATCAAAAATAGTCTAAACTTATATATATATATATATATATGTCCTTTGGTCTCACTTCAGCAGCTAGAATAAGAAGCAATTTACAAGAAATGCCAGCAAGCATATTTTTTGGATGGAGAGGGGTGACATTTGTGCACAAGAAAATGCCAAGGTAAATAAATTAGCACTCTCTCCCCTTCTCAGCAAAAAGGCACAGAATATGTATGCATTCTTCAGGGATTGAGAGTCGCAAGGCTTTAATTTTACACTAAGCACTCTTCTCTCCTTAGTTAATAACAATATTGTCACATATTTCTTAGATCTTTATACATAATAAATTATTCTCAAATTTAATATCTCATAGAATCAACATGACACCTCAGTAAGGACCTACAAAGGTAGGCAGAAACTACCTTTTCATCTCCCCATTTTATATATTATCTATCAGAGCTAAAGCCACACAGCTCGGAAGTAGCAGGATCTGAGTAGCAGTTCTAGAATCCACATCTTTCAACTTTGGGTTTATTGCTTTTTCTACTATTCAATACTACATGTGTAGAAAAATAACAGACTCATGCACATCCTTTACTATAGCAACTAAGGATTTCAAAAAGCCAGGCTAACTAGTTTTCAATTGATTGGGCAAACCCATCTTAAGGTCTTCATTCTATTCCTGCTATCATCAACTGAGGAAAGTCAACAAAAATAGTGTATATTAAAATAAATCTACTGGACACTCCCTATTATTCCAGTAATATTTTCCCCAACCTTCCTATTTCCATCCCATCATCTTCCATGGAATCACTACCCTTTCAACAGGCTAACTACGCTACAGTATACCTCCACGGTAATAACAAGAACCATGGATTTATATAGTACTTTTTTCTAGGCACCCAAAGTACTTTTGTAATAGCTTCAGGGGGATTGGTAGGGAGTTTTTGTAGTCATCCTGTGTTTCCCTTCATGCAAAGTTGTTTGACTCCATATTTTCCATTTCTGACTCCCTCACTTTACCAAAAGATGGAAGACGAAATGCAAGAAAAAGAAAATGGCATACAATTAACACATAATTAAAATCCCCATGGCTTTCTTCTATCATACATGGTTTATAAGGGAGGAATGCCTAAAGAGCTGTATATTAATTCAAAAATTTAGCAAAAGCAAGACACTGGGCAGTTCAGCTTTCTGAGTTTGCGTATGGGGTGGTAACCGTCGTTCTTCTGTCTGCCACTAAGACCATTGTGTACTATAAAAGAGCTGCAATAGCTAGGGTTTGAATTACACAGTAGTCAAGCTACATAATTAAATTTCCCTTTCAGAAAGAATATGTCCCTGCTGAGGAAACCTTATTGCATACTGCTCTTCATGGTGACCATTATTAAATTTGTAGGACATGTCCCTGTATTATAATGATTCATTTAAAAGTTATCATTACACAATCCAATATAGTTAGAAAAGGAAGCAAAAATTCCAGCATAGTTTGAAAAAGGATCTGAAATCCTCCCAAGATTTACTCAACAAAGCATGTCTTAGCTTGCATCAACAGCAAAGAGAGCAGTTGCCCAAAGAGTTCTTGCCTTTTCTTGCTGGATGGTAAATGTGGAACCTTCTGTTTCAGAAAAATTGCATCCAATCCCCTAGAAGGTTCTTTCCAACTGTTCCTTTGGGATATTTCAATGAATTGAGTTGACTTGGTAGAGGAAGAAGGTATAATGGCAACATACCAACATAAAAAAATCCATCCCGTTTATTTTGAAGATAATCAAATTCTTACAGAATTTCCAATTTGGGGCGTATATTATTACAAATTCTTTCCTCAAATATTAAGTGGGCACACTGATGTGCTGTATTTTTAAATGAAATGTAAGCATGCAATGCATATGGCATAAAAAAATTTCACTAGGTTCACAACGATCTCTCAAAAATATTTGCTATTGTGAATATTTCTCATATTTTCTTTATAGAGAAAAGAGAGACAGATATTACTACTATGCTATGTGACCTTAAAGTACATATGCCTCTCTGAGTTCTACTCCATTTGGGAGAAGTTTAACACCTAAGAGGCAGTGGTTATATTGTATATCATTTTCAGTCCTCCACAGCATCTAGTTCACCGTCAGTGCTAAAAAAAATCACAAATAAAGAAGAATTTGTCAATCACCAAGTAATTACAGAATATCTTCTGTGTGTCATGCACAATGCTACACACAGTGAGGGATAAACATATACAAAAACATGGCCTTGCCTCTAAGAATCCTACAATCTTGTTGGAGGGGCAAGATAAATACGGAAAAATATTAAGATTTTCAAATGTTCAGGTACTTTAATTGTCTCAGAACTCTTTATTGTAAGCCATAAACATATATGTAATACGGATCTATTAGAGACTTTACTTCTTCCTTTATCATATCAAATTTTTTATTTCTCACTCAACCTTTCTATATTCCTTAACACCCTTCTAAAAAGCAGATTTTTTCCATCAGTGACAGTGAACTAAATAGATGTAGAATAAAGTGAAAGATGAAAAGTTAGTTTGTTTACTTAATACAAGACCTTGATAAGATTTGTCGTCCCATGTATTTTTCTGCTCTGTATTCAAATATTATTTATTGATGGAAGAAAGTGTATAATATGGTTGAAGTGGTAATATATTCATTCTGCTGACAAATTGGGGGATGGGATTCCAGATACAATGTATTTTCAATCACTGAGGAATCCTTAATTGACTACTTCAAATAGCTGTTTTCTGGTTTTATCAGTGTAATTTTTTACTCCAACAAGAAATGAATTATATCACTCCCCTCTTAAAACCTTCTGGCTCCCTGTCACGTAGACAAGGATCCAAGCATTGTATCTTGGCAAAACAAGGCCTTTCATAAATGAGCTCTTATCTACCCTTCCAGTCTCATTTTGGGTGCCAGGTAGATGGCAATTTTCTAGGTTGACTTTGGGAAAGCAGCCAAAGAAGGTCACTCCTATTTTGGCTGTGAATGAAATCTCAACATTTTGGAAAATTTCACTTTAAGAGGAGCTTATATCCTTCTTGATTCAATAGAGAGTAGTTTAACAGCATAATGATAAGCAAGAAAACTTAGGTGTTATCAGGGAATCCAGAGAACAGAATTGAGCAAATTCTGCAGCTGATTGCTTTTTATTAGAATACAACATATATCAAAGAAGTGGAAGTTCCAGACAGCTCATTATTAAACAGGAAGATGAATAAAAGCAGACTGCATTTTATCTAACTTATCCAGCTGATCAATCAATTCAAATGAGACTTTCTATTATACGGATATCAGCCAAACTGGCACTCTGATCGCTGATTGATCGAGGAGAGTAGGATTAATTTGTGGTCATAAGAAAAGAATGAAACAATCATTCCCTTTTTTATTTATAAATGTCTTAAAGATATGATAGGTTCTTAGACAGTTAGATAAATAAGCAAGCATATCTAGGACACTGTTTTTGAAAATTGAATACAAAGCAATCACATAATTCCCTTTAGTCACTCATATGAGTTTACATTCCCAATGACCAACTCCAATCTCAGGATTTATAACCCATGACTAGAAAAAAAGTTTGAATGTCTCAAGTATTTGCCTTCACCTATCATACTTAATACTCACAAACCACTTAATGGTCTTTGGATTACTCATAGTTTTGGCTAGCTTTGTGCTTCCTTTTAAGTTCTTCTGCCCCTTTGACTAGCTTGAAGGTCCCAAGGATGTTATGTTGCTCTTAAATGGGCAGTCTGAAATGTGCTGCAAGTGACAGATTATGGTCAGGAGCCAGCTGTTCACATATTTGGTCAGCCAGCAGGAAATCTTTCAGCAGCTCTTAAATAAAAAATGCAGGATGATGTCAGTGTTTGGTGACACTGTTTTTAATCTTCACATTTCTCATTGACAGGAGGTAATGGTTATCCATGGGAGACCTGTCACATGACAGCAGCTTCTTTACCACCAGGAGAGTCGCAATATGGCCTACCAAACTACTTTAACAGTCATAGCATTTGGGGCTATTTTTTTCTGAAAATGCTATCTCAGGCCAGGGAGAAAAAAAAAAAAAGAGAGATCTGTATTGGCTCTAAAATTTCTTTTTTATTTCTAAATAATTACACGATGACTTCCCTAACGTTGCTGTTACTATCATCACATAACTTGAAGCAGAACATAAGGTTGCATTTCTATTCTAATACATTTAAAATTAGACCATAAAAATGAATAAACTTATTGATAGGTAAAACTGATCAAATAATTAATAGCACTAGACTAACTTCTACAATTCTAGTAACCATTCATGTAAATAAAAACCTTACTTCTGCTGTTGATCAAGATGGAAGAATGAGTTTCATTAGAAGGTCTTATTCTAGAGAATGTTTTTTTCTCTAATTCCAAAACTGTTTCAATAATATTTATTGCCAATTTATAGAAGATCCCGAGATGGCATCGTTGTATTCTGCAGTCAATCACTAAAATTCAACATGTATAATAATAACACAAACCACCCAGGCTTAACGCACTATAAAGATATAACTTGATAAGTAATTTTTTAAAAGTAAGCTTCAAAACAAAGCAAATCATTAACTTCAGACAACACCATAAAGCAATGATAGCTCTTTTCTTTGTGACCACAACCTTAACTTGAGCTTTGCTGGGTGTTTTGCACATAACAATGAGGGACTATTAGACATAACATAATTTTCATAGGTCATTGCCCTGTCAATGATAGAGAAGATAATTGCAAGAGAGTTTATTTCTGGTGTGTGTATATGTGCACAAATGTGCAGGGCCTCTACTTTGCAACTGGAATTTATAGACTAATGATAAAATATATCCCTTTAAATATACAAATGACAATTGACTTCAAACTTTCCCAAGCCCACATAGAAATTCCCTGAAAACATATAAAATATTGAGTTCTTCAACCTCAGCACTATTGACATTTTGGACCAGATAGTTCTGTATGTGAAAGGCTGTCTTTGCACTGTAGAATGTTTAGCAATATTCCAGGCCTCTATCCACCTGATACCGGGCCTGTATCCCCCTGATACTGGTAGTTCTTTTTTCCCCCATCACAAATTGTGACAACCAGAAATATCTCTTATACCTTTCCAGATGTTTCCTGGGGGACAAAAAGCACTCCCATTGAGAATCACTGGTCCAAATGGTTAAAAATTGGTTCCTTCCATTCTTTTACCAGGTATGGGCCAAGCCCCTTCCTTAATTTTCCTCAGAATGACTGAAACCAAACTGTAACTCTTAATGAAATATTGAAGGTTTGAAGCTTTAAAAAAAAAAAAAAAAGTACAGCTTGGCTGGGTGCAGTGGCTCAAGCCTGTAATCCTAGCACTTTCGGAGGCCAAGGTGGGCAGATTGCCTGAGCTCAGGAGTTCGACACCAGCGTGGGCAACATGGTGAAACTCTGTCTCTACTAAAATACAAAAAGTTAACCTGGCATGGTGGCAGGTGCCTGTAGTCCCAGCTACTAGGGAGGCTGAGGCAGGAGAATTGCTTGAACCCAGGAGGCAGAGGTTGCAGTGAGCCAAGATTGCCACTGCACTCCAGCCTGGGCAACAGAGCAAGACTCTGTCAAAAAAAAAAAGTATAGCTCAAGAATAACTTAGAGATCTGTATGTTATATGTAGCAGTTCACAGTCCTCTGATTCCTTTAGTGAGAGTCATCCTGCCTATCTCTTGTGTTTCTCATATTGAATCCAACTAATCCACCACCACTAACAGTGTTTTGGTTACATTTAATCTCAGAAACCAAGCTTCAAAGTACACAAAGAGAGGAGAAATTTCTTAACACACCGTTTGACCTCAACACCATTCAAGAGCTACCCTTTCTCATTGGGCCAGCCAATGGTCACTAGTGAGCATCAGGAATGACTGCTAAAGACAGGAATCATGGCTGGCAATACTCAAATTCTTTTATTAGCCTTTAATGGAATCCTGAGTTTGAAGCATAGGATATGAGGAATCTGACTTCTCATAAATTCGTGATTAAAGATAAATATACTATTCACCTTCTACCAACCCATTACTTAGTTATAGGTGTAGTTTATGTCTTCAAAATCATAATATGCAAACCATAGTCCATCATCACTCTGCTCTAAAATATTTATTATTCACTATTATAATCTGTATGTAGCCCATTGATAGTCCAATTCCTTTACTATAGTTTTCACTGCAGCATGAGTGAGTTGAACCTTCAGTTCTCATCATCTTCCACTAAAAATGACATACTCATTATCTGTACTCATCTTCCACTAATTTGGGACAAATGAAAATCATCCACAACTCTATTTGGACAAGCATGGTTTGCATATGGAAGAGTGCACTCTAAATACATAAAAAGCCAACAAGCCTTTTTTTTCCTTTCCACCAAAAGAAAGAAAGAAAGAAAGAAAGAATCCTGAGAATTAAACTCATAAATACCACATTTGCACTCCCAACCTCATAGCTCAACCTCTGAAATGGAGGTATTGGCTTATGGTACTTTCCACTCAGGATCAATTGCAGGCTTCAGTGCTGAAAGCTCCAAACTGCTTGTAGCTTTGAAAAGGCAGCTTTTAGATCCCTAACGTCTTAAGATTTCAAAAATCATAGAGGTCATTCTTTGCCAGGGACTCCACGTGTGTTTCAGTAGGACACCAGTCAGGCTTCACTCAAAGTATTTATCAACTATTCATCCACACTGTGAAGCAGCAAAAAAACTTTCAGAGTTTTAGTAATTGCGTAAATACCTTTGTTTTGGAGCAATAAAAAAAAAAAAAAACATAAAAATGGCATGCAATGAACAGAAAAAAAGCAATGAGCTTTTTAGAATATTACTATAAATAGATGTGATGAAAATGACAGTTTACCTTTCTGATCTTCCTCCTCAAAACACATAACCCTAGTCTAACTATTAGAAAAACCCCAGTTGAGACACATTCTATAAAATATTTTACCAGTACTCTTCAAAACTGTCAAGGTCATCAGAAATAAGGAAGTTCTGAGAAACTGTCACAATCAAGAGGAGTATAAGGAAACATGATGACTAAATATAATGGGTTCTCCCAGAAGGATTCCTGGAACAGAGAAAGGACATGCAATAAAAACTAAGAATATCTGAATAATAGACCTTATTTAATAATAGTATATTAACATTGGTTCATCAATTTTAGCAAATGTACCATAGGAATATGAGATGTCAATAACAGGGGCACCTAAGTACTATCTGTACTATTCTTGCAATTTTTCTGTAAGTCTAAAACTGTTCTGAAATAAAATGTCTGGGTGAATGACATCGGCAAGATGGCAGAGTAGAAAGCCCTAACTCTTCTTCCTCTACAGAAATACCAGTATAACAATGATATTGGTAACAAACACCTTGAAGTCCAATTCAGGATCCAGGTAAGTAGAAGTACCTCAGAGGAACATAATTGGAAAACAGTCACATTTATAGATAAGAAGAACAATTTCATTTTACCTGCATCAACCCTCCCCTAAACTGGCTTATCTCAGTGCCAAGAATATTGCCTCAGCTCATGATTTTTCCCACATGGGGAAAGTGGAATTAGAATGTGCACTTGGACAACTGTCCTCCTGGTATCTCAAAGCACACTCCATGGGGCTAGTTTCTAGCTCACTTCATATCAAGTATTGAACAACTGGCAAAGCTTGGTAATCTGGGACAGCTTGGAACAAATAAAGAGGAAAGCATTTCCTTATAGCTGGAGCTGCACTGTAAGAATTAGAATAGGTCCAAAATTGAGGTTTTTCCTCCAGGAGGAAAGGAACAAAGTGAAGGGGGCTTAGCCCCAACATTTCAGAGCACCCTCTATAGAGCCAGTTACTATCTTGCCTCATATTGATCACAAAATAGCCAGCAGAGCTTGATTCCCTGGGATAGCTAGGAACAAAGAAAAGGGATGGACATCCTTTTATAGTTAGCACTTCTCTGTGAGATTGGCACTAAGGCTTTTCCTCTAGGAGTGAGGAAAGATTGTGGAAGGGACTCTGTCCCCAGCCTTACAGTGTACTCCTCAAGGAGTTAGTCTCCATCACGACTCATATAAAGTACTCCTGAAAAGTGAAGGTATCTCACAGTCAAGGCCAGTTCATAAAGACTGGGAGAGGTAGCTGCTTTGTCAAATGTGCAAACAACAAAGCAAACATGCAAAGAACATGAAGAATCTATAAAATACAACATAATCAAAAATTAAGACAAATTTCCAATAAACAACCCAAAAGAGATGGATATCCGTGAATTTCTTAAGAATTCCAATTAATCATCTTTAAAAAGCTTAGTGAGTTACAAGAGAACAGAGATGTAAAACTATGTGAAACCAGGAAAACAGTATGTGAACAAAATGGGTACAAAAACATATAGAAATGATTTTTAAAAAAACTAACCAGATATACCATAACCAAAGAATACAAAATTTGCACTGAAAAATTTACTAGAGGAATTCAATAGCAGTCTTGATTACCCATATGAGAAAATCAGTGATTGTGAAGACAGGTCATTTGGAATTATCCAGTCAGAGAAGAAAAAAGAATGAAAAATAGTGAAGAAGGTCTAAGGGACTCATGTGACTCCATCAAGCAACCCATATACACATCTTTGGAGTCTCAGAAGGAGAAGAGAAAGGGAAATAAGGAGGAAGATTATTTAAGAGAATAATGGCTAAAAATTTCCAAATCTGGGGAGCAAAATAGACATCCACATTCGTGAAGCCAAGTGGACCTCAACTAGGTTGAATTTAAAGAGATCTACAGTGAGACTTATTATACTCAAATTGCCAAAAGTCAAAAAAAAATTTAAGGAATTTTGAAAGCAGCAACAGAAAAGTGACTCATTACATACAACTGAGACCTTCCTGAGATCTCAGTGAATTTCCCAGTAGAAACTCTGTAGGCGGAGAGCAATGATACATTCGAAGTCCTACAGGAGAAAAACTACCAACTAAGAGTACTATACAAGGCAGAGCTGTCCTTCAGAAATAAAGAAAAGATAAATGCTTCCCAACAAACAATGAAGTACTTCATTGACGTTCATCACCACTTGCTATGGTCTAATGTTCATATGGCTTGAAAATTTGTATGTTGAAAACTAATCTCCATTGGGGTGTTATTAAAAATTAGGGACTTTGGGAAGCAATTAGGTCATGAGATCAGAGCCCTGAAGGATGACATTAGTTCTTTTATACTAATAAAAAAGGCCCAAGGGAGCTTGTTTGCCCCTTCCACCAAGTAAGAACATAGCAAGAAGATGCCTTCAGTGAAGTGGAAAGCAAGACCTCACTGAATGACAAATGTGCTGTCACCTTGATCTTTGGCTTCCTCACTTCTAAATCTATAAGAAATAAAATTCTGTGGTTTATAAGCCACTTGGTTTATGGTAGTCTTGTTATAACAGCCTGAATGAACTGACACCACTAAACCTGCCCTACAAAACATGCTAAAAGAAGTTCTTTAACCTGAAATAAAAAGAAACGAATAGGCAGCATGAACAGATATGAAATATAAAACTCGCAAAAATGTACATATATAATCAAATACAGAATACTCTACTACTGTAATAATGGTGCATAAATTAATTTTAACTATATTATAAAAGTTGAAAGACAAAAGTAGTAAACGTAACTATAACTATAATAATTTGTTAATAGATCCAGAATATAAAAAGTTGTAAGTTGTGATATCAATGACATAAATTGGGCAGGGGGAAAAAGCAAAAATGAAGAGTTTTTATATGCAAGCAAAATTAAGATATCAGCTTAAAATTGATTGTTCTAATTTTTTAAATGTTCCATGTAAACCCCATGGTAACCAAAAGTTAAAAACCTATAAAAATATGCACAACATAAAGGGAAACGAATCAAAGCACACCACCACAAAAAAATGGTCAAATCACAAAATTAAACAGCAAGAGAGGAAAAAAGCAAAAAAAGTACTATAAAACAGTCATGAAACAATTTTAAAAACAGCAAGAGTAACTTCTTACCTACCAATAATTATTTTAAAAGTAAGTGGATTAAATTCTACAATCAGCAAATATGGAGTTGTCGAATACATTAAAAAATATGATCCAAAAATATGCTTCCTAGAAGAGATTCACTTTAGCTTTAAGGACACACATAGAATATAAATGAAGGGTTGGAAAAAGACATGCAATTCAAATGATAACTGAAGAAGAGCAGGAGTGGCTATTCTGATATCAGACAATACACACTTTAAGTAAAAAAATTGCCGCAAGAGACAAAAAAAGATTATATGATAATAAAGGGGTTAATATATCGAGAGGACATAGCAAGTATAAATGTATGTGCATCTAATATCAAAACCCTAAAATACATAAAGAAAATATTAAATCACATGAAGGGATAAATTTGACTTGATTATGATGCACAATACTTTTAATGTGCCACTGAATTCCATTTGCTAGTATTTCCTTCAGAATTTTTTCATCCATGTTTATCATGCAAGGATGGTTTAATATATGTAAATCAATAAATGTGAAACACCACATTAACACAATGAAAGATAAAAACATATGACCATCTCAACAGAGGATGAAAAAGAATTTGACATAATACAACATCCTTTCAAAGTAAAAACTCCCAATAAGTTAACAGTAGAAAGAATGTACCTTAACATCATTAGTACTCTGTATGTCAGGTACATAACTAAAAACTGTACTCAGTGGTGAAGGATTGAATTTTTTTTCTCTAAAATCAGAAATAAGACAAAGAGGTCAACTCTCACCACTTGTATTCAACACAGTACTAGAAATCCTAGCCAGAGAAATTGGTCAACAACAACAACAAAATGGGCATCCAAATTGGAAAATAATATTTAAAAATAGGAAAAGAACCTCGATAGACTTTTTCTAAACAAGACATACAAATGGCAAAGGTATATAAAAAGCTGCTCAACATCATTAACCATCAGGGAAATGCAAATTAAAACCACAATGAGATATCACCTCACACCTGTTAGATTGGCTATTATTAAAAAGACAAAAGATAACATGTGAGGTAATAGATATGTTAATTAGCTTGATTGAGGTAATCACTTCACAATGTTTACATATATCAAAACATGATGTTGTGCACCTTAAACAAATACAATATTTAGCTGTCAATACCTCAGTAAAGCTGGGAAAATATAAATAAAATAAAACAAAAATGTATTTTTTATAAAAAAATACACATAATTTCAATTCCTTGTTATTTTCCTAGTACTCTATAGCAGAATGCTAAGCAAAACTACAATACTAGTTTTGAATATACCTCAAAAATCATCTTGCCATATTTTGTTTGTCAAAGTAATTAGTGGGACTGGTAGAAGGTAACTGCCCATTGAATTAACACACTTATATGATTAGGCTTTGTTTCCCCACCCAAATCTCCTCTGAATTCTAATTCCCATAATTCTCCTGGGTCAAGGGAGAGACCAGGCGGAGATAATTGAATCATAGGGATGGTTTCCCAAATGCTGTTCTTGTGATAGTGATTGAATTCTCACAAGATCTGATAGTTTTATAAGGGGCTCTTCCCTTTTGCTCAGCACTTCTCCTTCCTGCCACCTCGTGAAGTAGGTACCTTGCTTCCCCTTCACCTTTCACCATGAGTATAAGTTTCCTGAGGCCTCCCAAGCCATGCTGAACTGAGTCAATTAAACCTCTTTCCGTTACAGATTACCCTGTCTGGGGCAGTTTTGTATAGCAGTATGAAAACACATTAATAAACACACCACCTCACCGAGATCACATTAAGGGGAGACTAGTTCTTCCCAAAATATGTTTCCATATTTTTGGTTAATGCTTTACTACCAAGGCCAAACAAAAGCTAATGGTAAGCAATAGTGTCTGGAGAAGTCACTTGGCAGTTGACTTATTAAAATTAAAAGAGATAGACTAGATTGGAAACCTATACATTACAGGTGGAATTTTTTCAAAATCCAGTTTTACACTTGGACAACTCAGCTGCTTTTGCCCACCAAATTTACAAAATAATCTGTTTGTTTCATTACTGTGTATATTACACACACACACACACACACACACATAAATAAAACCAGTCATTCATGTAGATTGTCTCTCTAACTGCTCCAGTAAGCAATTTCTGAGAAAATATCATTCTCTCCTCTTTTCTCACACTTTGAAAGCCTCATAAATTGTATTTTTCTCAAGCTATTCTATATATGGCTGCCAAAGTAATCCTTAAAGTGAAATTCTAATCTTTGTGTCAGTCCACTCTTTTCCCTCTTTCATATCACACAATTGAATGCACATTCACAAATACATACAAACATACATACATACAAGTGCCACATGGACTTCTGGCTTCTCATTGCCCACAATTTCAATCCAAATTCTTCACATAGTATTCAAAGTCCTCCACGTTTTAGTTCAAGATTCAGTTCCCAACAGATTCTGTCTGCTACAGCTGGGGCCTCCTCAAAGACAGTCAATTCTCTCCTCTGTAACTTTACTTGAACATTGTCCCCTCTGCTCAGAATGTCCTTCCTTGTACTCTCCATGCTTAAAAATTCTGCCCTTTCTTTTCAGTTTCTGCCATCTCTGCTGTGCTACTCAGTCTTTTGACCTCTGAATTTCCTCACAAATAACAGAAAATATAATACTTGCTTCCAGGGTTGTTTTAAAAAGTAAAATAAATTAAATGAGATTCATGTTTACTGGTTATCAAAACTTACCTAGAAGAGTCTCGTAACGCAAAAGAGAGTGAATCAAGTCTAAGGGCATATGCATCCACTGGGGACCCAGGATAGCTGGAAATTGCATATGATCTACACTCAGGAGTGGACAGACCAACACCAAGCTTCTGCCAATTGTTGCAGAATTTCTGGCCCAATAGTATTGTGTATTATTTCAAGAGTAGCTGCATTTATGAACCATATCCAGCCCTCTGTCTTTCAGTTTATAAATACTGATACATCTGGCAGTACATCAGACAGGAAATACTCTCGGCTAACGTCAATCTAAACATTTTAATGTACTGAGGCTTCATTTTCTACCTTAAAGGTTGTTGATTTTTAGCCCATGGAGTACAATCAGGAATTCCATTTTCTCTCATGCTTAAGGATTTTATATCCCATTTTTTCAGTTCATAGTTCTCTGTACCTCTCAGATAAACATCCATATTGTGGGTTTAAAACCCCTTTGGTCTTTGTAATAGTTTCCTAGGGATGTCATGGCAAAGTACCACAAATTGAATACCTTGAAACAAAAGAAATTTATTCTCTCATATTATAGAGGCTAGAAGTCTGGAATCAAACTGTCAGCAGGGTTGATTCCTCTCAGAGGTTCTAAGGGAAAATCCGTTCCATGCCTCTCTCCTAGCTTCTGATAGTCACCAGCAATCCTGGGTGGTCCTTGGCTTGTAGATGCATCACTAAAATCTTTCTCCATCTTCACTTGGTGTTCTCCTCTGGGTGTCTTTGTGTCTTTGTGTATTTATATGGACTTCTTATAAAAACATCAGTTATTGGATTCAGGGCCCACCCTAATCCACTATGACCTTATCTTTATTACATGTGCAAACATCCCATTTGCAAGTAAGGTCAGATTCATGTGTTCCGGGGGCTAGGACCTCAAAATACTTATTTTGGGGTTGTGGGGTGGTGCACAAGCCAACCCACAACAGTCCTATCTCTGCTCGAGTATCTATAAGAGGACTGAAGAGAATAGTTAGTCCTCCTGGGCCCCATTGTTTGGCAGTTTCTCCCAGATAAAACACACAAGACCACCATGGTTGGATATGAGTTTCTTGGCTGAATGCTCAGAATTGTAGTCCATCCTGAGAGGAAGCTTAGTATTTAACATAACCCCCTGAATCACACAAGTGAGGGCGCTTTTACACTTAGATCTTGAAAAGAAAGGTGTCCTCTATAGGCACTCTGTTTCCTTTTCTCTTTAATTTTTTTTTTTTTTTTTTTGAGACAGAGTCTTGCTCTGTCACCCAGGATGGAGTGCAGTAGCACAATCTCAGCTCACTGCTGCCTCAGCCTCCCGAGTAGCTGGGACTACAGGTGTGTGCCACCACACTTGGCTAACTGTTCTATTTTTAATAGAGACAGAGTTTCATCATATTTGCCACGCTGGTCTCAAACTCCTGACCTCAAGTGAACCACTCACCTCAGCCTCCCAAAGTGCTGGGATTACATGTATGAGCCACAATGCCCAGCCCTTTTCATTTTCTTCTCTACACGCAGCCTTACCTTCTGAGTCTCTTAGTCCAACATCCTATCCCTCTTTAAGGGTAAACTCCAATGAGGCTCACAATTCAACCCCTTATGAGCTGTGTCTGGCTATAGAGATGGAAGAGATGAAATGCGGTGGTGCCAGTGGGCAAGAAGGTGAACACTCCAACTCCCAATTTTCCACCAGCAAGAAGATAGAGTAGGTCTCTTGTTGGTAATCTGAGAAGTAAGCCCATCTCTCTAAAACAGATGTGAAATTCTCTTCAAGGAACAAAATCTGATTCTCATATCAAGAAAAGGGTAAATTTCTGCTGAGCAGGATCTCATTTCATTTTGCAAAAAAATCAAAGCCCTTAAAGTGAACTCCAAGACCAAATATGAACTCTCCTCCTGGTATCCTCAACTTCCTCTCCTTTCAGTCAGCCCCTCCCTAACTCTACCACAGCCACATAGGCCTCTTTTACTTAAATAATCTAGGCACATTCCAACCTTGGGGCCTTTGCACTTGCTGTCTCTTCTTTGTGGACACTCTACCTCAAAATGTCCAGAGGGTCTGTTTCTTTATCACCTTGAAGTTTTTGTTACATGGAATCTAATATCCACTCAAAATATCAACATTCCTATACCTCTACTATCTGTAATTATCCCCTTTATGCGCTTTTTTTCCCTTAGCACTTAAGTCTATGTGGCATATTATACATTTTATTTGTCATTTTCTGTCTCCCCTCACTGGGAAACTTCATAATGATAGGAGTTTTCATACATTTTTTTTACTGTTGAATCTTCAGTAGAACAGAGCCTCACCATAATAGGTGCTCAGTCTATAATTGTTGAATAGATAAATGGATGTATTGTGCAAAAAAAGTTGACTTTTTTCTAAACCTGGCTTACATTAAAAAGAGCTAACTCAAGAGCTATCAATGACTCTTTTTTCTTTAGGAGGGAAGAGACCAAATTCTATAGCAGAATTAATTCCAAATTTTCTCCTGAAAAAATAGTTAATGTGAATGTGCATGTACATATGTCAGTGGGGGACAGAAGCAGAGAGAGGGGAGGTGCAGTTCATCATCCCATTGTCATCTCAATACTTTTTTCATTTAAATTATTCATGTACCATTCAATTATATACTTTCTTTATATATAATAGTATTACCTTATATCACCCTTTAAATTTCAGTATGTTATAATCTGTTATTAAATATGATGCTACATATAAATGTATAGCACAGGTTCCAGGCATTAATAATTTCTCAATAAATGTTAGTTATAAGTATGTACCCAGGGAGCATGTGTCTGCTATTTCTGTAAATAGTCACCAGATGGCGATCTGACTCACTTTGAGTGCCTTCACGATTCATGAATTTCTTCCCAAGAAGATCTAGAAAATTAAGAAATCCTTACCACCATCTTTTTCTAGGCAAGTTCTCTGTTACCAAACTTTAAACTTCAAAAATAACATAAGTAATCCTTTACATATGCTAGAAACAAAATCCATGACCATCACAACTGCCTCAAATGGGCACATAAAATCCTACATTGTTCAACACCAATCAATTCACTCTGAGTCTTAAAGTTATCTAACTTGGTGAACTTATCTATCCCTACCTTTTCAAGTCAAATATCTGGAAATCATACCTGATCTCATACTTGACACCTCTCTCTCTCTCTCTTTCTGGTGATAAATCTTATCATCAAATTCTATTACATTTATTTTTTAAATATTTATCAAACCCATTCACTTCTTTTCCCACTCTGTTGCTCTTGCCATAGCAAACTAGCATCAACTTTCCCATGGACTAAATCTGATCACAAATCTGATCATATTAGGCCCCTGATGAAAACCTTTCTCTTGAATGTCATTATTCTTATAATACGAACAATAATTTTTAACCAGGCAATCAAGACTCTCCATACTAACTTTCTGCTCTTTCCCAGCTCTCAGTATTTAGGCACACTGGAATACTGCACCACGCTGCCCTCTTGCATTCTAGGGCTTCTGACGTGCTGTTTCCTCTCCCTGAAATGTCTTCTCTCAACCACGTGTATCACTTCCACTTACGTAATGTGCTTTCTAAACAATAAATGTAGAAAAAAAGTAAATTTTACTACTTCCCAATCTTTGCCTGTTTTAGATTCTATTATTATTTATTATCATAGAACTACATTCCATTTTTTTATTTATATCAGTTTATAGTTTTAGTTTTATGAGTGTTTTATTACCGTTTTCCCCTCTAGTAACCTATAAATTCCTTGAGAACATAGATTATGTCTACTTTTACTGTCATTTAATTCCCAGGCCCTGCTTGGTGCCTGGAACACACAAGGCATTTAATACATATTGTTGAGTGAATGAATACAGGTGACCTTCCCATTGACTGTCATTAATATGACTCAGCTCCAAAAATTCCCAGTCTCTCTGTCTCTTTCCCAAATTTCCACATCTTGGAAGATTAAATCTGATTAATCTCTGCTTGGATCATATCCAAACCATGGATCCACAAGCTATGGCCAGAAATTTAAAGTTCAACTTAGAAATGTAGTCATCAAGATCTCGCAAGTTTTTTTCCCAGAAAAGGGGAAACTACTTTGAGCCAGCAGCTCACCAAAAAAGTACTACAAATACCTACTGCACTAGATTTTTATGATGAGTAAATTAGATGTCATATGTATCATATAGTGTTTTATACAATGTGGAGCATATGTTTAGTATTTTGTAGATACCTGCTTTTTTATCACAGTTACCCACATTTTCAAGTATTTTACATACACACACAGTGATTGTATGCCTACCTGAAAATGTTTCAACATGGACCTTTTTTTCACTGCCCTATTCTAAGGCTATAAATTCTTTAAGTTGGAAAATGATGTACAGCATGTAACCTTACTGCTTAATTATCTGGCATAGATTATAGAATGACATCCATTTATTAAAAATTATATATTAAAAAACAAGAATTCACAAAGCACTGGCTTAATAAATAGTGAATCGACCCAAGGAGCTCATAACAAGGGTGACAGAAGATATTCAAACAATCATGATGCCATGAAAAGCCTTAGAGCTATATACCAAATACCACAGAGGTACAAAGTGGGAAGATGCTATAAGGTATATGCAAGCAGATTTTTGCATGGACATTAACATGTATATATGAAATATTCTCCAGCCTAAACAGCTACTGATCTTGTGTTTTATTCATTCACAGGATAAATATGGAAGTGCTCTTCTTTTCATTTGAAGAGCCTTACAGACGTCTTTCAAATTTGCATTGCTGGCTGTCATTAGGCACAAAAAACCCAAACTCCAATGAACATCTCTCTTTCCCCTAAAAAGTCTATTTTCCTACACTTTAATGGTGAAAAGAGCTTCACAGGCAGTTTAAATCCAGTGTTTCAAGCGTCTACTGTCTCTTGGATTCCTTGATTCCTGGGACTCCATAATTAAAATTAAGTCTTTTCTTCCAAGCGACTAATATTCTGATTTCCTCAGTTTAGAAGAATCAAACTAACAAAACAGTTCAAATATTTAAAACTCAACAACTTAAAAGCAATTGTTAAAATCACAGGGTAGAGGGAGAATATGAATCTTAGAATGATACGGTTCCAAATCAGTTGATTGGACATAAAATATTTTATGCAATTACAGGATTCCTAGGGTTAGACATTTTTATACATTCTCTTTTCTTCCACCAATTATGAGTTGGATCAAAACCTTAGAAAAGCTATAGCTAGTTCCTCTGAGAGAGTATCTCCAATTCCCAAGCAAGAGAATTTCTTCTATCTTTTAGTAAGTTGAAGCTCCCTCGTGTACTCTGTTATTTTAGGTTATGCGAGAATCAATTGTAAATGTTAAATGGTTACTTCTGAGGCTAATATTGTGTATACCATTATCAAGCCAAGTCCTATTTGTTTTTTATTATCCGTACCCTTCCATGTTTATCCTCATCTTTTATTTATTTTTTCGTTAAACCATTGCTTAATTAGCTTTTTTTTCAAGCAATCAGTTTGTTTTAGAATAAACTTCTTTTGCTTTCTTTGTTAATCCATCACCCAAGTGTAGGAAAGATAAAGTGTATTCTACTTCAAAATGTTGTTGACAATAGAAATACACTAAACTGAGAAAAAAAAATAAACCTCTCATCCAGTAGACTATATTAAAACAAATATGAAGAGCACATAGTAAAAATCAAGCCTATAAGTGAACATACTATCCTCACATAATCAAAAGCACACACTCTTGCTCTGTTCTCTGACTGAGTGCACACATGTTGAGACCAAACACTCATAAATTTGCATTCACTTCTGTTACACCATTGATCTGGCCTTCCGAAAATGCTTGCATCAGAGACAAAGCAACTCGACCATATTCAGAATCGGCAAGAAGAAATAAATGAACCACAATTATGCATTCCTGGGAGAAAAAAAAAGATCTGATATGATTAAAACAATGAAGTGGACAAAGAAGTGTACATAGAAAGACCCAGAATAGCACACAAGACAAAGTCTAACACTGAATGCACAAGTGACACCAATAACAGGAGCAAAGGAGATGTTCTGACAACTACATCTGCTACTAAAATAGATACCGTGACAAATAAAAATAGCAAGAACAAACCCTGTAATGGGATTAAGACAGAGCATAAGAAACTAATGACTGAGGATAAAGACAAACGTGTTGACAATGGCAGGTAGTGTGACAAATGAAATGCTTAGATAAGCAAAATCCCAGAAACCAGACAGCTGAAAGACCTAAGACCAAGACTGAGACACATCTGTCAGCAATACAGATCGCATCACACTGTGCCAGAAGACAATGCTAAATTATAAATGTTAATGATAGATGGATTCAGCAAAGCCACAAGCAGAACAAAAGAAATGAAATGGAAAAGTACCCCTGCTGCAGTGTTTGATGTAGGTTTTCATTTTAAGGAAGATGTAACAGTCATGCTCTCTTATGAAGGGGATCTTTGATTTCAGATAGAACGGCAGCATGCTATTAAACGCCACCAACTCCTTTCTATCATCATCCTTTAGTCATTAGGAAATGTTCACTTCCATATGGAATCTCAAATTCAGCGGTAAAAGAGTCTTCAGAAAGTAAGATAAAAGAAGAAAGAATTGAGGAAGAAAGAAAGAGAGCAGAGAGAAAAAAAAGAAAAGAGAAATAAAAGGTGAAAGTAAAGCAGGAAAAAAAGGGAGTTCATTTTTTTGTAATCAACTATTGAAATATGTACTGAGCAACTACTGTGTGACAGATACCATACAAGGTGTTAGAGATAATGTGGTGGAAAAAATACTCATGGTTTCTAGCCTTGTGCCTCTTATAATTTGGCAGCAGGAAAAGACATTAATTAAATAACCACATAAAGAAAAGCAACACTGAAATGTTGATAAGTTTCATGAAGAAAGGGTGCATGATACCATGAGTGCACCTAACAGAGATTATAGGAAGGCCATGGAAGCCTTCTCTAAGGAACTGGTAATGAAGCTGAGATGCAAAGGAGCAAAGGTTGGGAGTGTAGGTGAAGAGTTCTCCAGGCAGTGGGACTGGCACATACAAAGGCCCTGCGGTGACAAGAATAGTAAAAGAGAAGAACCAAAAGAAGCCACAGGAGAGTGTGGGGGCTGGAACAGAGAACTTGGGAGAGTACAGCATGCCTGATGAGGCTTGAGAATTAAGTAGAGGTCAGGCCATGCAAGCTTTTGCATCTTCATCCTAAGAGCAATAAAAGCCACTGAAATTGTAAAACAGAAGAGTATCATGATTTTTACTGAGCAGCCACTTATAGGTACAGGCTAGCCTCCTGTCTGAACTCATCTCTTCACTCACCTCACTTACTCCATCTGCCACATAAGCCTCCTGCTTTTCATCCAGCATTCCAGAATCATTCTCAACCCAGGGGTTTCGCACTTGCTGCTCCCCATGTCTGGAACCTTTTTTTCCAGTGCCCATATGTCTCACCCCTTACTTCACCTCAGGTGTCTGCTCGAATGTCTTCTTAAACAAACCTTTCCTAAAAGCCAAAATTTAAGGCCCATACTATTCCTTCTCCCATTTATCCTCCTAATCTGCTTCCTATAGTTTCACTATTTTTATCCCTAATAGGAACTATGTTCTAAATTTAATTGTTAACTTCATAAAACACACATGTGCATATACACATGCACACACACATGCGCAAATAGAATTTGACTCCAGGAAGGAAGGGATGCTACTGCTAACTATGCCTGGAACATACTGGTACTCAATAAGTATTGAGCAGGAATAAAAGATTTATAAAGAATGAATGCTGTCTTTCACGTAGATTAGAAGCACACAAAAGATCTCTATTCTGGCCTGGCAATTTCATTATCCACATCCTCCCCACGACTTCATTCAAAGAAGAGGCTCAAATTTAGAAGGAATTATCAGAACCACCTACTCATTTTTCCTAGTTGCATCCAAACACAATGCCCAAAGAGAAAAAGCAGGTGCATAAGATTATTCTACATTAGGCATGCCAAGGAGATGATATTTGCAACTTCACATGTAGGAATTGTAGGATTAAGGGGGTATTATTTGCATGGGAATAAAAGTGTTGCTGTCCTAATTGAAAAGTACTTAAATATATAAATAACAGAGAATACCTGCATCAGTAGCATCTAGGAGGGGCAAACAAATAACCCACAGGTATTTTCCGTATGTCATTGAAAACCAGCATGGGGGAGAGTTGCCCTAAAGAACCAAGTCAATTAAATACCATGAACATTTATTGTGTATTCATTTACTGAGACTTATTTGTGCATATTAATATACAAAGCACCATAATAGATGTTGGGGCAAAATTAAGCCATACTGGTAGGCACATTCTAAAACATTGGAGGAAGGAGAAAAGTGCTGAATCTGGTTTTGAAAACACAATTACAGAGAAAAAAGAAAAATAAAGTACAAGATATGTGTTAGAAGAGTAGATTGCCATGGGGGCTAGAGGGATAAAGAGAAAGAAAACTAATCTCCTCCCAAATTAAAATTAGAACCCACTGTTCCTACCAACTAAGAAATAATGAACATTCAATAAATATTTCTAAAGTTTTTCCTTTGGAAGGCAGATAAAACAAAACCAGAATCTTGTACACGGGAAGCTCTAAAAATTTATTTGTAAAGGAAGGAGGAAGACAGGAAAGTACTAGAAGAGTGAGAATAAATCATCAGCTTATGGTTGAAATTTGTCATCAGTAAAGAAAAATTTGTCCAATCTTCTGTACTCTTCCATATAATGAGCTCAAAAGGGCTTTCCCAAATGGATCTGATACAGAGATATAATAACCACCTGACTATATGTAGTGATACAAAGATTGTCAAAAACACTTCTGCTTGAAATTCTCATGTTGTCATTTTTAGTTCAAAATATTGATGCCCTCTTTTGAAATGCAAGTATTTTAACTATTATAGCAATTGCCTTATTGTTCAGAGTATGGTCAATGTACCAAGAGCTTCAGCATCACCTGAGAAACAACTTAGAAATGCAGAATCCCAGAGCCCACCCAGACTTGCTGAATCAGAATCTGCATTTTAATAAGTGTTGCGGGAAGTCAGGAACCCCGAACGGAGAGACTGGCTGAAGCCATGGCAGAAGAACCTAAATTGTGAAGATTTCATGGACATTTATTAGTTCCCCAAATTAATACTTTTATTATTTCTTACATGTGTCTTTACAGCAATCTCTGAACATAAATTGTGAAGATTTCATGGACACTTATCACTTCTCCAATCAATACCCTTGTGATTTCCTATGCCTGTCTTTACTTTAATCTCTTAATCCTGTCATCTTCATAAGCTGAGGAGGATGTATGTTGCCTCAGGACCCTGTGATGATTGCGTTAACTGCACAAATTGTTTGTAGAGCATGTGTGTTTGAACAATATGAAATCTGGGCACCTTGAAAAAAGAACAGGATAACAGGATAATGTTCAGGGAACAAGAGAGATAACCTTAACTCTGACCACTGGTGAGCTGGGAGGAACAAAGCCATATTTCTCTTCTTTCAAAAGCAAATGGGAGAAATATCGCTGAATTCTTTTTCTCAGCAAGGAACACCCCTGAGAAAGAGAATGCATCCCTGAGGGTAGGCCTCTAAAATGGCCACTTCAGGGGGTGGCCATCTTTTATGGTCAAAGCTGTAGGGATGAAATAAGCCCCAGTCTCCCATAGCGCTCCCAGGCTTATTAGGACGAGGAAATTCCCACCTAATAAATTTTGGTCAGACCAGTTGTCTGCTCTCAAACCCTGTCTCCTGATAAGATGTTATCAATGACAATGAGTGCCTGAAACTTCATTAGCAATTTTAATTTTGCCCCAGTCCTGTGGTCCTGTGATCTCGCCCTGCCTCCATTTGCGTTGTGATAGTCTATTACCTTGTGAAGCACGTGATCTCTGTGACCCACACCCTATTCATACACTCCCTCCCCGTTTGAAAATCACTAATAAAACTTGTTGGTTTTACGGCTCAGGGGGCATCACGGAACCTGCCGACATGTGATGTCTCCCCCGGACACCCAGCTTTAAAATTTCTCTCTTTTGTACTCTTTCCTTTTATTTCTCAGACCAGCTGACACTTAGGGAAAATAGAAAAGAACCTATGTGACTATCGGGGGCAGGTTCCCCCAGTAAATAAGGTCTTTGAGTGACTTACATGGAGATTAAGGTTTAAGACACACTGGTATATTATAACACTGTGCCCCTGGAAGGTAATTCATTACATATTTGCTTGTCTTTAATGACTTAGACATTTTCACACTATCTTGAGAAGAGTACAGAATGCCAGAATAAATTTACAAAAAACAAATACAGTATTTTTGGATCAAGAGCAACGGGAAAGTTATGATCTTAAGATAAAGCCAAAACAGTACGCTTGAGTCTAAGACACTAGTCAGAGTATGTATAGAACAGGGGCCTAAAAGTGAGCATAGGCTCCTGTACCACAACGTTTGAGATAAAATGTGAAAGAAGGGAAGGAAGAGGAATGAAAGAGAAATCAAAGAACATTATTTTATTATTTTCTTTAAGGATGTCCCTGGGTTTTATGCTATTTACCAACAGGTTGTGCTTTGGCATACCATTTTACAATAAATCAACAATGCCCAAATTTGCTCACACATTTTAAAGAGGGTGACTAAGTCACCCTCTTAAGAGGTGACTAAGTCAATAACCCTGACTTAGTGGTTCTCAGGCTTCTAGGCCTCTTTGGGCTACTAACTATCTCAGTTGTCTAAAATAAGGCATGTAGCTTTCTGTGCCTCTGTTTTCTCATCCATATAGAGAAAGTTTGCACTGCAAGCCCTCTACAATGGTTTCCAGCCGCAGTTTTCCACAATTCTACTGGCATCCTACCAGTATATGCCAGATCATGTTAAAAACACAATTTCTATCCAAACAATGTCTTCAACTGCCACTGAGGAAACTGTTCTCTTTCAAAAAGCAGTGTGACTATGTACCTTAAAGAAATGCTAGTCTGTGGGAGGGGCTGCTTTTAAATAGTGCAATTCTTTTTGTTTTGTAGCCATCTATCCCTCTCTCTTCTCCCCTTCAGAATGTTATCCTTATTACCAACATGGATTCCCTCAGAGCAGGTATCTGGGTGAAAGAATGGCATAAAGGAGCTGGAACTGAAATACTAGAGGAGAAATGAAGTATGTATGTACACATCCACAAACTCAACATACACATACACACATACATAGACATATATTATATAGAAGCTGTAACACTTTTCTTATGTTATCCCTAATATTTCATTAACCTTTTACTTAAATTTCAGCTTCATATCAGCTATCACTGAAAGAAATTAATGGAAAGTATGTTTCTACATACAAATAATATACTAGCCTAAGGGAAATCTCTTACCCAGAAATTGTACAAGAAGACTTGTAGAAGAGGTTTGGTTCATGAGTAGAATTGAACATTATACCAAGAACAGATTTGTATAATGCATAAGCATCCTCTAAGAAGTCCCCAAATTTTGGGGAGACAATCCTGTCAAAAACTAGATCCTCCTGTACCCTGACATGATGGAGGCTTCAAACAATTGAATTTGTAGGGTTAATTATAGAAGGCTTCGTTTTATTATTTTAATTTTTTTCATCGACTTTTAAGTTCCAGGATACATGTGCGGGATGTGCAGTCTGTTACATAGGTAAACATGTGCCACAGTGGTTTGCTACACAGGTCAACCCATCACCTAGGTATTAAGCCCAGCTTCCATTAGCTATTATTCCTGATGCTCTTCCTTGCCTCACCCCCACAACAGTCCCCACTGTGTGTTGTTCCCCACCACATGTCTATGTGTTCCCATCGTTCAATCGTTCAGCTCCCACTTATAAGTGAAAACATGCGGTGTTTGGTTTTTGCTTCTTGCGTTAGCTTCCTAAGGATAATGGTAATGCTGGCGAGGTTGGGGAGAAAAAAGAACGGTTTTACACTGTTGGTGGGTATGTAAAGTAGTTCAACCATTGTAAAAGACAGTGTGGTGATTCCTCAAAGATCTAGAAACAGAAATACTATTTGACCCATCAATCCCATTACTGGGTATATACCCAAAGGAATATAAATCATTCTATTATAAAGATACCTGCATGTGTATGTTCATTGCAGTAGTATTCACAATAGCAAAGACATGGAATCAACCCGTGTGCCTATCAATGAGAGACTGGATAAAGAAAATGTGGTACCTATACACCGTGGAATACTACACAGCCATAAAAAGGAACAAGATCATGTCCTTTGCAGCAACATGGATAGAGCAGAAAGCTTATTTTTTAAAGTGCAGTTGTTGTTTGTTTAATACTCGAAAGAAGTAGTTTTTGTTTAATTAATTTCATGTTTTATGGGTGTAAGATTACCAACAATTGTAAAAATGATATGCAACACTGATAAAATGGGAGAGGATAATGATGCCCATATTATAAGAGAATCTGTTGAATTGGAACCCATTTTTAACAAATGATATCTGGTTATACTTGCAGTAGATACAGAAATTAATAAGACCCTGATAAAGCCAGTCTCAGTCCTTTCTGCAAGGACCTGCCCATGCTAGAAGAAGCGAATGAAACAAAGGTACAGCCTACAAAATTCTCCTTTGGGAAATAGTTTTCATTTCTCTCCAAGCAGTATTCCTACAGTTCTAAAGTTATTTAGTATTCAGTATTCTAAAGTTCTCAGCTGTGACTTCTGAAAATCTCTTGTCCTACCATTTGACCATCTGGAAAAAACCTGCTTGAATACGTATTCCACTATATTCTTTCCACATTTCCATTCTTTCATTAATGTATTTATTAAAATGGCCACTGATGAGTCTTCTCTTATTCATTTATTATTGGCAGAAGCATCAAGCTCCTGATCCACATATTTGCACTTGGTGAACCAATCATGTTATTTCATAAGCTATGCTCTCTTTTTCTTTGCTGCTCAGCCCAATTCTACAAGAACAAAACAGCTGGGTAGTTGCAGAACCTGCTGATCTGAGCACAAGTCTGGCAGTCAGTAACTTTGAGTTCAAATTCCAACTCCACCACACGTTTGTTCTAAAGATGTGAGGCTGCCTTATAAAAGCGCTCACCATGGCATTCAAATAAGCCCAGAAGCTACTGTGCTGATGTGCAAACACAAAGAAATCTTTCTTGCAGCTGTGCTTATGGCATTTTTCAATAGTCTTCTAATGGAGGTTTGGTCTGCCACAAAAAGTGTAATAAAAGGCAAAGAGCAAACGGCCCAGCTTGCCCTTCAGTCAGAATGACTTTGACTGCTCAGAGTCCAGTAGATGGCAAAGGGAAGATTTCAAGGTCAATTTCCTCACCTTTCAAACCTGTGATTTCATATTAGAAGATCAGGCTGTCAGCTTTCCTGTGTCGACAATTCTCTCTGGGAAGGTTAATGTCACTTCTCAGCTTAATAATGGCCCCAAAGTTAGGAAAGTACTGTAAACATCATGAATGTGATGAATGAGTCAAAATAAACAAGGATGATAAATGCAAACTGTGCCTGAAATGTTTTAAAACTAATACTGGTTACAAAAAATAGGAAAACATAAGCTATGGTTTGTATCCATTGAGGGTCAAGTTTGTGTATAAAAAGGAAAGCATCCTAATGCTATGAAATTGAATGTATCACCTTCATGTTATGAAATGGAAATCTCCCAGTCCAGTGTTTAGCAACATATATGTTACTGATAAATAATAAATAAATCTTCATAAAATTACTTAAGTACCTAATTAAGTTTACAAAATTGATATAAATTCTTAGCCTTCTTTTCTGTAAAATGAATATACTATCATCTCCCTTGCTCATGTCACAAGATCAGGGTGGGTTTAAATATTTTTATATTTAAAAGATGAAGTGAATTGTAAATCACTAGAGGATAATAAGATTTGGCTGCTGGATTTAAAAACTTGTCAAAATGTGTTTGTTCAGTTATTCCAAGTTATCGTGAATTTTGTTTTTCTCTCGTGCAGTCATCCTCAAGCTGGTTGCACATTAAAACCACCTAGAAAGCTTTTTAAGTTTAATTTCTAGTCCATTACTGTGGTCTGAATGTTTGTGTCCCTCCAAATTCATAATCACCAATGTGATAGTATTACAAGTTGGAGCCATTGGTAGGTAATTAGGCCATGAGGGCAAGCCCCTCATGAAAGTGACTAGCGCCCTTACAAAAGAGGTCCCAGAGAGCTAGCTACCTTGTCCCTTTCACCATGTGAGAATACAGCAAGAAGGTGTGATCTATGAATCAGGAAGTGGGCCTTCATTAGGTAGAGAATCTCCTGGCACCTCAATCTTGGACTTCCCAGCTATTAGAACTGTGAGGAATTTCTGCTGTTTATAAGCTATTCAGTCTCTGGTATTTTGTCACTTTGATAGCAGCACAAACGGACTACGACACACATCCTAGACAAATATCTAGAGGTGGGAGTGAGAAATTACTATTTTCAAAGGAGGCTTTTAATGTGCACTTAAGATAAGGAACCACTGACGGAGTTTAAATCTACTTACATGATCAACTGGAAAGACGAGAGCTAAAAAATGAAAGGTAGACATGCTCCAAGCTGTGATGCAAACATCTTAACCTTTACACTATTCTTGTGTGAACATTTTTTTCACTAAACTTCTAATTATTATCTCAACTAACAGAGCCTGGAGGACTGAAGGATTAGTGAAGAAAGAAAAGCTTCCACAATTTGGATTAATTGAAAAAATCAGTATAAATCAGTGAAAATTTATAATGTTAAAATACTTTTAAAAGAAATGTAAAAAGTAAATGAAATGTAAAACGTGCCTTTATCAAAACAAAAGCTTACAAGTTCAAGCAATTCATCTTTCATTCGTGGAGTAAGATACTTGTAGAGTCCCTAGAGTGATTTTTTAAATGAATAAATTTTAAAAATATGTGTAATTAGCAAGTGAGCTGTATTACTATATCATTAGTATATCATATGCGCAGAAGATTTTAATACATTTTTGCTAATTATCAGATGACTATGACCTTATAAGGAACAAATATAATATTGTAGCAACCCCTACTTTTTCTAATTCTTCCCAGGTAGTTTCTGATACTTTCTTCTACCTATAGATTCAGCTGTACACTTCTACTTCTTTTTCTAGCTTACTCTCTCTCTGTTCCCCCTAACAATTCTTACACACATACACACACACACTCTCTCTCTCAGAAAATGTAGGTATTACTGGGTTCCATCCTAGAGTTTTTGATTTAGTATGTCTTTGGCAAGTCTTGAGGATATGCACATCCAACAAGATCTCAAGAGACATTGACGTTGCAGGTCTGAGTATCTCACTTTGAGAACCACTTATCTAATTTTCGAAAGAAAATCTATTCAGCTCAATTTCCTAACCAACAGAGCATAAAATCAGTCTTGTTTTCTATGCCTGCAATATCCTTTGGGCTGGGGATAAGAACTGGCATCTTTGTTACCACTGGAACTCTGTATTTTCCAATTTATTCTACATCATGTGACTAAACTCAGTATTGGATTGAGGAACTAGCTAATCAAGGACAATAAAATATCACTAGGATCATAATTGTTCTGAAAATTTAATTGAATACTGATGAATGAGAATTCTTTTCAGGAAGAGTACTGCATGCCACCAGTAGGAATAAGCCACCCAAGGAAAAAGGAATAATACCATCAAGGAAACCAAACTGCCTTCCAAAGAGTAAGGGTCTGGCTAACTGCAGAACCTTTGAGACAGTACATTTGGGGCTATAGCTGACTTGCTCACAACCATATTAGGGAAGTTGGGCACAGCTATCATTAGCAAGGGGCATCAAAAACAACGGGCAGTCTCCACCATCCCTGCCTGCTCCTTGCTTTTTCCGTAAATAAGTGGTTCTCAAATTGAGACATTCAGATCTGCAGCACCAACATCTTTGGAGATTTTCTTAGACATATATTATTCTCAAGCCTTGACACAGACATACTGAATCAAAAACTCTGGGATGGAACCCAGTAATGTCTTTTAACAAGCCCAGGTGATGCTGATGCATAAACCTCAGAACCACTGTTTTCAGGGTTGGACAAAAATTAAAGTGTGAAACTATTGAAATAAAAATATTAAAGTGTGATAAACAATATTAATGGGTATTAAGTTATTAATCTTGCCAAGACACCATTCTCCAGATAATATTACATCCCTGACTAATATTCTTCACAATGTCCCTGTCTAGATTTCCAATTCCTCATTAGGAATGGAACCCTGTCCTTATCTCTAACCTATGTGGCTAAAGTCTTGTGATTATCTAGCCATTACCTTGCCTCCATTTTCAGGAATGTGAATCCTAGACCTTTGTTCATTCAATTACCAACTGGAAAAGATACAAGAATGTACTGGCTGCCTCTAATAATGGCTACCAATCCTTCTTTTCCTCCTTCCTGTCTCATGACTATTTGAATTTCCTTTTACAATGCAGATTCTCCTGGTTGGTTCACCTCCCATAATTTCCTTTACCATGACTGGCTAAATAAAATCCCTGACCTTCATGCAGGAAAGTACATGGCTATAGCTTACCCAACAGCCAAAGGTGTTTTAAATGTGTTAAAACCCAGTCTCTCAGAAAATAATCCCCAATGTGTAGTGTTTGCCAGTTTCCGAGGTGTAAATACTCTCATGATGGCTGATTTCAAGCTACCAACATAATGTCCCTCAATGAAGAGTTGGTAGCAATGGACCTTAAGAGAAATGGTCAGATTCTGAACATATTTTGAAAATAGGGGCAACAGATTTGCTAATGAATTGGACGTGGGTATAAAAGAAACAATGATGACTCCAGTGTCTTTGGTTTGAGCAATTGGAGAAATTCAGGTGGCATTAAGCAAGGTGGGGAAACTGTTAGGAGCAAACTAAAGAATTTCATTTGGATGTATTATGTTTGAAGTAACTATTAAATACCAACAAAAGATGTCATTTAAGTAGTGCATATAGGAGTTTGGAGTCCAAGGGAGAGTTACAGGCTAGAACTGTACAGTTGTAAATAGTCATCATATAGATGATATTTAAAGCCATGAGATGGGATGAGACTACCAATAGATAGTTCAGGTACAGAATGGAAGTCCAAAGACAGAGCCACAGGGGGAAAAAAAAGGAAAGTTGATCAAGGCAGGAACCAGAAAAGTAGAAGCTCTTGGTTTAAAGATTACTGTGACTATAACTTGATATACAGTCAGTCGAATAATAAACATTAACCCCTTACAACATGCCATGCACTATTCCGTAAAAAGTGTGAAAGTCTTATAACACTAAATTGGGTTAATAATGAAGATGACATTCGATAAAGAAATCCTACCTTTGCTAAGGAAGGATAATTTTATTTGAATTAACCCAGTTTTCAAATAAAAGAATCAAAATTAAAGAAGAGTCAGTGTTCTCATTGCAATTTGTAGAAAGGATAGCAAAAAAAGAAATCTGATGTTATTTTAAACTGTTGTTATACTTACCTCAAGTGCCAGCTCCTCCATGAAATATGTCTTGATTGTAATCCTTCAAAATGCATCTTACATTTGATCTGCTATTCTCATAAATTCTCCTGTTGTTCCCCCCAACTACGTGTTAGCTCTCTTTCTTCTTATCCGTCCACAAGTGTAGGGTTGGCCTACTCTTAAGTGTTCCATTTAGTTCAACTTGTAATAGTAATTTACAATTATTTTCTATCTGTAATTCATTAATTTATTCATTCATTCATATAATTACCATTCATTCCATCAGCAAATAAGTACATACAAGGTATTGTCCTCCGGATATGGTAAGCTTCACACTTCATTTATATCTCTAACCTGACTGGGAACGTTGAAAATTTCAGACATCAATAAACACCAGGTAACTTAAACAGTAAATTTCCCAACAATTATTATTTAATGGGTTTTCCTTGTCTTCTCTCTCAAGTTAAATATCTGTAACCAATCCATAAGAAGAACCTAAGTAATAGAACAATAAGAGAGAGTTTGGTAGTGTGGAAAGAACACTTGCACCAGGGCTTAGTAGCTGCTGGGCTTCTCATTTCAATACTGATCTGTCAAAGAGAAAGATAAAGAGTTGACGTGGGTCTCAAAGCAGCATGCACAAATGCTGTCCTAGAAATACAACCAGAATTCAATCTGTATATAAATTTTATCCCCTTGCTTCTGTCATCAAAAATCAGAGTTTAACCTGTTTCTCCACACTGCATTTTCAAAAGAAGTTCATTCCCAGTGGGCTGATTTACTTCTAAGACTAATTCATTAGAACTATATCTGCCTTTTGGTTTCTTTTTTCCTTTTAATCTTTTCTCTTTTTAAAATAAACTAAACCGCTGAATGTGGAGCCAAGATGGCCGAATAGGAACAGCTCCGGTCAACAGCTCCCAGCGTGACTGACGCAGAAGACGGGTGATTTCTGCATTTCCATCTCAGTACCAGGTTCATCTTACTAGGGAGTGCCAGACAGTGGGCGCAGGTCAGTGGGTGCACGCACCGTGCGCGAGCCGAAGCAGGGTGAGGCATTGCCTCACTCGGGAAGCGCAAGGGGTCAGGGAGTTCCCTTTCCTAGTCAAAGAAAGGGGTGACAGACGACACCTGGAAAATTGGGTCACTCCCACCGGAATACTGCGCTTTTCCGACAGGCTTAAAAAACGCCGCACCAGATTATATCCCACACCTGGCTCGGAGGGTCCTACGCCCACGGAGTCTCGCTGATTGCTAGCACAGCAGTCTGAGATCAAACTGCAAGGCGGCAGCGAGGCTGGGGGAGGGGCGCCCGCCATTGCCCAGGATTGCTTAGGTAAACAAAGCAGCCCAGCCGGGAAGCTCCAACCGGGTGGAGCCCACCACTGCTCAAGGAGGCCTGCCTGCCTCTGTAGGCTCCACCTCTGGGTGCAGGGCACAGATAAACAAAAAGACAGCAGTAACCTCTGCAGATTTAAATGTCCCTGTCTGACAGCTTTGAAGAGAGCAGTGGTTCTCCCAGCACGCAGCTGGAGATCTGAGAACCGGCAGACTGCCTCCTCAAGTGGATCCCTGACCCCTGACCCCCGAGCAGCTTAACTGAGAGGCACCCCCCAGCAGGGGCACACTGACACCTCACACGGCAGGGTACTCCAACAGACCTGCAGCTGAGGGTCCTGTCTGTTAGAAGGAAAACTAACAAACAGAAAGGACATCCACACCAAAAACCCATCTGTACATCACCATCATCAAAGACCAAAAGTAGATAAAACCACAAAGATGGGGAAAAAACAGAGCAGAAAGACCGGAAACTCTAAAAAGCAGAGCGCCTCTCCTCCTCCAAAGGAAGGCAGTTCCTCACCAGCAACGGAACAAAGCTGGATGGAGAATGACTTTGACGAGCTGAGAGAAGAAGGCTTCAGACGATCAAATTACTCCGAGCTATGGGAGGACATTCAAACCAAAGGCAAATAAGTTGAAAACTTTGAAAAAAGTTTAGAAGAATGTATAACTAGAATAACCAATACAGAGAAGTGCTTAAAGGAGCTGATGGAGCTGAAAACCAAGACTCGAGAACTACGTGAAGAATGCAGAAGCCTCAGGAGCCAATGTGATCAAGTGGAAGAAAGGGTATCAGCAATGGAAGATGAAGTGAATGAAATGAAGCGAGAAGGGAAGGTTAGAGAAAAAAGAATAAAAAGAAATGAGCAAAGCCTCCAAGAAATATGGGACTATGTGAAAAGACCAAATCTACGTCTGATTGGTGTGGCTGAAAGTGACGGGGAGAATGGAACCAAGTTGGAAAACACTCTGCAGGATATCATCCAGGAGAAATTCCCCAATCTAGCAAGGCAGGCCAACATTCAGATTCAGGAAATACAGAGAACGCCACAAAGATACTCCTCGAGAAGAGCAACTCCAAGACACATAATTGTCAGATTCACCAAAGTTGAAATGAAGGAAAAAATGTTAAGGGCAGCCAGAAAGAAAGGTCGGGTCACCCACAAAGGGAAGCCCATCAGACTAACAGCTGATCTCTCGGCAGAAACTCTACAAGCCAGAAGAGAGTGGGGGCCAGTATTCAACATTCTTAAAGAAAAGAATTTTCAACCCAGAATTTCATATCCAGCCAAACTAAGCTTCATAAGTGAAGGAGAAATAAAATACTTACAGACAAGCAAATGCTGAGAGATTATGTCACCACCAGGCCTGCCTTAAAAGAGCTCCTGAAGGAAGTGCTAAACATGGAAAGGAACAACTGGTACCAGCTGCTGCAAAATCATGCCAAAATGTAAAGACCATTGAGACTAGGTAGAAACTGCATCAACTAACGAGCAAAATAACCAGCTAACATCATAATGACAGGATCAAATTCACATATAACAATATTAACTTTAAATGTAAATGGACTAAATGCTCCAATTCAAAGACACAGACTGGCAAACTGGATAAAGAGTCAAGACCCATCAGTGTGCTCTATTCAGGAAACCCATCTCACATGCAGAGACACACATAGGCTCAAAATAAAAGGATGGAGGAAGATCTACCAAGCAAATGGAAAACCAAAAAAGGCAGGGGTTGCAATCCTAGTCTCTGATAAAACAGACTTTAAACCAACAAAGATCAAAAGAGACAAAGAAAGCCATTACATAATGGTAAAGGGATCAATTCAACAAGAAGAGCTAACTATCCTAAATATATATGCACCCAATACAGGAGCACCCAGATTCATAAAGCAAGTCCTGAGCGACCTACAAAGAGACTTAGACTCCCACAAAATAATAATGGGAGACTTTGACAGCCCACTGTCAACATTAGACAGATCAACGAGACAGAAAGTCAACAAGGATACCCAGGAATTGAACTCAGCTCTGCACCAAGTGGACCTAATAGACATCTACAGAATTCTCCACCCCAAATCAACAGAATATACATTTTTTTCAGCACTACACCACACCTATTCCAAAATTGACCACATACTTGGAAGTAAAGCTCTCCTCAGCAAATGTAAAAGAACAGAAATTATAACTAACTATCTCTCAGACCACAGTGCAATCAAACTAGAACTCAGGATTAAGAATCTCACTCAAAACCGCTCAACTACATGGAAACTGAACAACCTGCTCCTGAATGACTACTGGGTCCATAACGAAATGAAGGCAGAAATAAAGATGTTCTTTGAAACCAACGAGAACAAAGACACAACATACCAGAATCTCTGGCACGCATTTGAAGCAGTGTGTAGAGGGAAATTTATAGCACTAAATGCCCACAAGAGAAAGCAGGAAAGATCCAAAATTGACACCCTAACATCACAATTAAAAGAACTAGAAAAGCAAGAGCAAACACATTCAAAAGCTAGCAGAAGGCAAGAAATAACTAAAATCCGAGCAGAACTGAAGGAAATAGAGATACAAAAAACCCTCCAAAAAATTAATGAATCCAGGAGCTGGTTTTTTGAAAGGATCAACAAAATTGATAGACTGCTAGCAAGACTAATAAAGAAAAAAAGAAGAATCAAATAGACTCAATAAAAAATGATAAAAGGGATATCACCACTGATCCCACAGAAATACAAACTACCATCAGAGAATACTACAAGCACCTCTACACAAATAAACTAGAAAATCTAGAAGAAATGTATAAATTCCTCAACACATACACTCTCCCAAGACTAAACCAGGAAGAAGTTGAATCTCTGAATAGACCAATAACAGGAGCTGAAATTGTGGCAATAATCAATAGCTTACCAACCAAAAAGAGTCCAGGACCAGATGGATTCACAGCCAAATTCTACCGGAGGTACAAGGAGGAACTGGTACCATTCCTTCTGAAACTATTCCAATCAATAGAAAAAGAGGGAATCCTCCCTAACTCATTTTATGAGGCCAGCATCATCCTGATAACAAAGCCGGGCAGAGACACAACCAAAAAAGAGAATTTTAGACCAATACCCTTGACGAACGTTGATGCAAAAATCCTCAGTAAGATACTGGCAAACCGAATCCAGCAGCACATCAAAAAGCTTATCCACCATGATCAAGTGGGCTTCATCCCTGAGATGCAAGGCTGGTTCAATATACGCAAATCAATAACTGTAATCCAGCATATAAACACAACCAAAGACAAAAACCACATGATTATCTCAATAGATGCAGAAAAGGCCTTTGACAAAATTCAACAATGCTTCATGCTAAAAACTCTCAATAAATTAGGTATTGATGGGACGTATCTCAAAATAATAAGAGCTATCTATGACAAACCCACAGTCAATATCATACTGAATGGGCAAAAACTGGAAGCATTCCCTTTGAAAACTGACACAAGACAGGGATGCCCTCTCTCACCACTCCTATTCAACATAGTGTTGGAAGTTCTGGCCAGGGCAATTAAGCAGGAGAAGGAAATAAAGGGTATTCAATTAGGAAAAGAGGAAGTCAAATTGTCCCTGTTTGCAGATGACATGATTGTATATCTAGAACACCCCATCGTCTCAGCCCAAAATCTCCTTCAGCTGATAAGCAACTTCAGCAAAGTCTCAGGATACAAAATCAATGTGCAAAAATCACAAGCATTCTTATACACCAACAACAGACAAACAGAGAGCCAAATCATGAGTGAACTCCCATTCACAATTGCTTCAAAGAGAATAAAATACCTAGGAATCCAACTTACAAGGGATGTGAAGGACCTCTTCAAGGAGAACTACAAACCACTGCTCAATGAAATAAAAGAGGATACAAACAAATGGAAGAACATTCCATGCTCATGGGTAGGAAGAATCAATATCGTGAAAATGGCCATACTGCCCAAGGTAATTTACAGATTCAATGCCATCCCCATCAAGCTACCAATGCCTTTCTTCACAGAATTGGAAAAAACTACTTTAAAATTCATATGGAACCAAAAAAGAGACTGCATCGCCAAGTCAATCCTAAGCCAAAAGAACAAAGCTGGAGGCATCACACTACCTGACTTCAAACTGTGCTACAAGGCTACAGTAACCAAAACAGCATGGTACTGGTACCAAAACAGAGATATGGATCAATGGAACAGAACAGAGCCCTCAGAAATAACGCCGCATATCTACAACTATCTGATCTTTGACAAACCTGAGAAAAACAAGCTATGGGGAAAGGATTCCCCATTTAATAAATGGTGCTGGGAAAACTGGCTAGCCGTATGTAGAAAGCTGAAACTGGATCCCTTCCTTTCACCTTATACAAAAATCATTTCAAGATGGATTAAAGACTTAAATGTTAGATCTAAAACCATAAAAACCCTAGAAGAAAACCTAGGCATTACCATTCAGGACATAGGCGTGGGCAAGGACTTCATGTCTAAAACACCAAAAGCAATGGCAACCAAAGCCAAAATTGACAAATGAGATCTAATTAAACTAAAGAGCTTCTACACAGCAAAAGAAACTACCATCAGAGTGAACAGGCAACCTACAAAATGGGAGAAAGTTTTCGCAACCTACGCATCTGACAAAGGGCTAATATCCAGAATCTACAATGAACTGAAACAAATTTACAAGAAAAAAACAAACAACCCCATCACAAAGTGGGCGAAGGACATGAACAGACACTTCTTAAAAGAAGACATTTATGCAGCCAAAACACACATGAAAAAATGCTCACCATCACTGGCCATCAGAGAAATGCAAATCAAAGCCACAATGAGATACCATCTCACACCAGTTAGAATGGCAATCATTAAAAAGTCAGGAAACAACAGGTGCTGGAGAGGATGTGGAGAAATAGGAACACTTTTACACTGTTGGTGGGACTGTAAACTAGTTCAACCATTGTGGAAGTCAGTGTGGCGATTCCTCAGGGATCTAGAACTAGAAATACCATTTGACCCAGCCATCCCATTACTGGGTATATATCCAAAGGACTTTAAATCATGCTGCTATAAAGACACATGCACACGTATGTTTATTGCGGCACTATTCACAATAGCAAAGACTTGGAACCAACCCAAATGTCCAACAATGATAGACTGGATTAAGAAAATGTGGCACATATACACCATGGAATACTATGCAGCCATAAAAAAGGATGATTTCACGTCCTTTGTAGGGACATGGATGAAATTGGAAATCATCATTCTCAGTAAACTATCGCAAGATCAAAAAACCAAACACCGCATATTCTCACTCATAGGTGGGAATTGAACAATGAGAACACATGGACACAGGAAAGGGAACATCACACTCTGGGCACTGTTGTGGGGTGGAGGGAGCGGGGGAGGGATAGCATTGGGAGATATACCTAATGCTAGATGATGAGTCATGGCACATGTATACATATGTAACTAACTTGCACATTGTGCACATGTATCCTAAAACTTAAAGTATAATAATAATAAATTAAAAAAATAAATAAATAAATAAAATAAAAAATAAAATAAACTAAACCTTAATTATTCTACAACAAAAGAAACAAACATCTATTGTTGTATTATGATCAAAAGATTACATTCTGAGTCAAACGTTTTTTAACTTATTTATGGGCTTTACTTTCCCTTTTAACAAGGAGAATTAATTTAAAAAAATTGGGGGAAAACCTTCTATAGTCTCACATTCCAATGACTATAAATCAGTATTTTATTTACAGGTAGAATTACATTTGTGCAAAAATACCCTATCAGATGGGAAATAAAATAACTATATATAGTATATTGTCTTCGCACTGGATATTACAAATAATGTAATGATGTTATTATGGGTTTTTAAATTTCACCATTTAAAATATTAGTTTTTCTACAAAATATACTCTGTTCATATTTGAATTTGAAATCCATGAATATCAATATCCATAAAGCAATAAATCCATAATTAAATTAGGGTGTGGTGGGGATAGGCATGTTGTTTCTTTTCTGTTGGCGGAATGACCTAAACAAAATTATATTCTGTTGAGAAATATGTGATAAACACATCTGTTCTAAAGGATAAAAGAGCAAAAGTTTATCCAAGATATGTTTCATCTACTAGAGGCTATATTAAGTTTTTAATTACACACCTCTATGTGTAATCTACAGACAACAGAAGAAAAGTACTTGAAAGTATTTGAAATTACCTTGTCCTTTAGAAATTTTACTAAAATTGACTTGATTACTTATGCCAGAAGAGTCAAAAAATAAAACAGGCAATTCTCATCCTTAATGTTCTTTATATAATTCAATGCATGTCTAATAAAAAATAAATTTTAAGTGGAATAAATCACTTATATGCATTGTCTATTAGAGACTTATTCATAAATAAATTGGAACACAAATAGAAAGTTCCATACTCTGAAACTTTTATAAATTTCTGAGAATCAGAAATAATGATACATACAAATGTTTCATTAAATTTAAATCCATTCTAGATGGAAACATATGGACTATATAACTTTGCTTTTAATTTTTTTAATTTTTATTAACTATGTATGCAGATCAGTACATGAAACACACAGTTATATGGTTTATAATTAGTATAACTGCCAGTAATTATAAAGCTAATTCCTGTGTAACCACCACACAGGTGAAGAACAGGGCATTGCCAGACACTCCACCAAGTAGAGAATTGCTGAGTCATGGAAGAAGGACAGGAAAACAGAAGAAAAGAAGGGGCCGGGCGCGGTGGCTCACGCCTGTAATCCCAGCACTTTGGGAGGCCGAGGCGGGCGGATCACGAGGTCAGGAGATCGAGACCATCCTGGCGAACACAGTGAAACCCCGTCTCTACTAAAAATACAAAAAAATTAGCCGGGCGTGGTGGCGGTCGCCTGTAGACCCAGCTACGCTGGAGGCTGAGGCAGGAGAATGACTTGAACCCGGGAGGTGGAGCTTGCAGTTAGCCGATACTGCGCCACTGCACTCCAGCCTGGGGCACAGAGCAAGACTCCCACTCAAAAAAAAAAGAAAAAGAAAGGAGAGAGTGAGAAAAATTTAAACACAATTCAGTCTACCAAAAACAATTACTTTTTACTACTAAAGTATAAGAGAATGTAAAATTAATCCCTTTAAAATAAAAATATGACTATCTGAGCAAAATATTAGTACACAAATAAAATTTATAAAGATTTACAACCAAAAATAATTCATAAGAATACTATGAAGTGATTTCTTGAATTACTATTGCAATTATTTTATTCATCTAATAAAAGAATGTTACCAAATTTCTATGTAACAGATTTTAAAAAGTAAGTTTCACGTTTATAAGATTTATTCAATGTACTAAAATGTGAGAAAAAATCTCAGACAATTCAAAAACTATAATGTCAACAGATTACAAATAATATTAAAACAAGGATTCACCATCAGACAGAACTTATCTTAGTCCTGGCATATAATTAGTCTAAAATTCCAAATGCCTTTTTAGTAAACATGTGCAATTACACCAGATAAAAGACACAGAGGTATATTTTGCTGGTTTCAGAATTAGGATACAGAATTATATTTCTAGTCTATCTATGAGTTCGTTATAACACTTTTTGGTAAACCACTTAACCTCACCTGACTCAATTTCTTTCCCTTAAAATGAAGATGTGTTTATTTATTAATACCCTGAGACATTCATATAGCAAACATTTATTGAAAATCTACTATGTGCCCAGCCCTATTTTAGCCCAGCAATGCAACAATAAACATGTATCTTACCTTCCTGTGAATAGGCAGAGAGGATGGGAATAGATATAAGCAAGTAGCAAATAAGAAAAATGTGAGAGGTGCCATAAAGAGAATCGGCCTAATAATCCAATTTCTAAGTAAGTAGAATGTTTCACTTTAAGATTTCAAAGTTTTACACTAGGGTGAGATTTGTTTCTGACTATGATGTTCATTGAAGTTGATGCTCACCCATTACCAGAGAAACATGATATCTCATACATGATGTGTCATTCACTTACCAATGATCTACATAATCCTCAGGACAAGAAGTGATGAGTTGAACTGTATTTGTTTAGAAAACTGTACAGTGCCCGAGTTTTCCAGGGTGAAAATCTCACTCTGCTAGAACATGAACAGTAAAAGTCAGTAACCACATTCAAGAGGGGTTGCTTTTAAGAGCTCTTGCATCTTTCCTTGCAAAGGCTGAGTTAGAAAATCCAACCTTCTCTTCCCCTACGTGATCTCCTTCAAACTTTGTATCAGGATATTTATCAATAATTCTCAAAGTATAATTTCCACAAATTAGGAATATATAGTAAACATTTCTTGTGGAAACTAGCCAGTTTTCAGACAACCAATCTACTTTCAATAGCTAAATCATCACAGACCACATGGAAAAATCCTTTTAGGAAATTGAAAACGGTAAATGGGGAAAGGCAAGTGAATAAGGCAATGCCACTTGATCTTGGAAAAACAAGCAAACATATAAAGAGACTTCCACCACCACAACCACAATGTAACTGGTCCTTGGGCAAAGAAAGGCCCTGCCAGAGAACTACTAGCACTCTACAAATAGATCACAGAATTCAATAATCCCATTGGTGTTCCACAATTAGCTATCTGATTCATAAAGATGACTTTATAAAAGACAAAGAGAAAGCAGTCAAAGTATGAAAAAGTATATAGAAGCATGAGAATGAGGGAAAAAAGAGAAGGGAAGGGAAGAGAAGAGAAAAGAAGAGAAGAGAAGAGAAAGAAAGAGAAAGAGAAAGAGAAAGAGAACTAATTTGAGAACCATTAATATAACTCCAACTGCTCCTTCATTTTCAAATTTCTTATTCATGAAGATGGCCAGTGTTTCCCTATAGCCAGTCCTCCCTTCCAAGGTTCACGTTCACATGTGTAACCATCTTTTGAATATTTCTGTGTCTGAAGAAAAATATTTATATATTTCTTTAAAATGTACTCATTTTGGACATTCAACTTTTCATGACTGCTCTGTTGGAAAGTCCACCCTTATTTCTTAAAAGCCTTCTCTCTTTTCATCGAAACTGGGAATAGGTTTTTCTTCCTTTCTCTATTGTTTCTTAATGATATAAGCCTTAGTATTTAATGAGTGGGCCCTATTTTTGATAAATGTAGCCTTTCATTAAAAGCTTCAGAACTTCTCTAAATTTTAGTTAAACCAGAGTCCCATTCAAAGAAGAGGGGCTCAATCCAAGCCACAGCTCACTCTTTAACTAAAAACAGATACTATATATTTTTTTAACCTGGAAGGCAATACTCAGCAGAATGGGAGAAAGAAGTTTAAAGTTCAAATTCTGACATGTAGTGTTCATGTTGTGTGACTTTGAGAGGCTTATCACCTTTCTTCATCTCATTTTACCTTCTGCAAAAGATAATCCCTATCTTATAGATGGAAAAATTAATTTGTGGATTTAAGCCAGGGAAGGGCACAAGTTCCACCTAAATTCAGTCATTAGAGCCATGAGTACTAACGGCAGGAGCCATGAGGTGCCTACAGGCCACCTGTCAGCTAGTCTCATAGCAAGGTCAATAATAGCTTTATCAAACAAAAGGGCTAGATCAGTGTTTCCCAAAGTTTGCTCCTTGGACCTGAGTCCCAAAAGAGGATAAGTCTCAACAAACAAACAAAAATTTCCATAGCCAAGTAAATTTGGGAAACACTATAGAATGATTTGAAAAACACATTAGTGTAATAAAGACTCAATAAAAAGACTTGTTATTGTTTGACCCAAATTTATTTGACCTAGAACCCTTTTTGTCAGAAATTATCTAGTTTTCTGAAATCAATAGTTTCTGTCAGAAATTAATAGGTTCTGGCTTAAGTATTAACAATGTTTTTTTTTTTAATTTCCCCAAGCCAGTGACACATTATCTTGCTCATCTTTGCTTTTATCCTATGGCAGCTTGAAATTAACTTCAGTTGTTTTTTTCCCCCACTAATAAGCACAGTTTCACTTTTACATTTTTATCATTTCCTATTTAAATATTTTAAGAAGTGCTTTCATTTACCTTCTTGCTTTTTCCATTTCTTATCTTTTTACCCAGATTACATATTAGAAACATCTAAGGACTTTTGAAGTGTTTTATTTTATAACACTCAGGTATTTGGAAGAAATATTTCCTTCTTCCTATGAGTTTATTTTGCTTTGCTAACACTATCTGACAGAACTTTACCTTTGCATTTGATGAGGCTTCTTTCAAGGTGTGTTGACATGTCAGTTGATGGTCTAGCAACTCCATTAAAGATTTGTAGCTGTTAAAGTGCTGCTTTTCTAAAAATGTATACAGCACTTGAAAAATCAATCTAGAGCGTTCTATAGTTCAACCCTCACATCTGTGCTCTAATATCAGTTTTGCTGTCAAAATGAAGTAATTGGAGACTTGGTTGACCGGAATACACCATTCCCCAACGAGACTGGGATACAAAGGTGTTACCTCACTCTCCAAAGCTGTGATTTTTCTGTTCTACTCAGACCTCAAGCTCTCAATTATTTTATACTCATGATTACACCCTCCTCTACTCTTATTTAAAAATGCAAGAGAGTTAAACAATACACCTAAAGGCAAATTTAAATAATCATAAATTTAAATATGTGTATTTCCAACACTTTGTTATGCTTCTCCTGGAAACTCTGATAAACACCCTGGAACCATATAGGAGGGATAGAGCTATTCATAATAATTGACCTATATTATCTATAATAGTCCTTAATTGCTGCTAATCCCTTTTTCTCTGATCTTATCTCCTACAATTCTTCTTCACATTTATCAATCATTCATTCCTTAGAGTTTTTAAGGCCATCATTTAGGTTCCTGTATACTTAATAATTTCAAAGAGTGTATATAAATGAAAGAAAAAATAAAGTAAGCTCTTTGAATTTTGCTAATTACTAATAGTTACTTATTACTACTTGGCTAATTATGAACATTTTCTAATTACTACTCTCTCTAGATCAATAAGCATTTTCTAAACCAGTAGTACAAGACATTAGATATTAAAAAGCGTATTCTCTAGAGTGTTGCATGGTCACATGATCTGGGTATAGTCAAAAGAGTTCAGAAACACTGAATGAAACAGAGTCAAACAGATTTCCTTATACTAGGACTTCTCAGATTATTAAATATGCTAACATTAATTATGACTCTCTAAGAAGAGCATTTAAAATATGTTTCCCAATTCTTTGACCATGGAATTCTTTTATTTTATCATGTATATTAACATATGCCAGAAGAGAGTCCAGTGGAAAAGTGACTCAAGCCAAGAACAATGCCTTCAAGAAACCTGGGCTACATCCAGCCTCCATGGCGATTGCCTCAGGCACAATGAAAGTAAAAAGCAGAACACTATAGGAATTTATATTTACTGGAAACGGAAAAGGAACTAAAAGTAACATTGAGATACTTTTCAAATGGGCTCACAATATGCTAAAATGAGTCACTGAATTTATCATTTAGTGATTTCAAACTTTGAAAGGGTAGAGAAAGTAAAGTAAATTAGGAGTTTCTTAGATTAAATTAAATATAGCATTATATATTACTCATAAATGGTAAATACAAAACTTATTGTATTATAGTTTTTAAAATAAAATATACTCTTCAGGATACAAAATTTATTCCATTTACTCTTTTTCTGTAAAAAATTACACCAACACTTAGAGGCATAAAACAAACATTTTTATTATGCTCACAGAGACTGTGGGTCAGGAATTCAGACAAAGCATAGCTTATTTCTTCTCCTTGATGTTTAGGGGGTGACTCAAATAGCTGGGAGCTAGAAGAGCTGGGGCTTAGGACCCACTTACCAAGATGGTTCTTCACAGCTGGACTTTGATGGAATGATCAAAGACCTGAGGATAGTCAGACTTACCAGGTCACCATTCAGTGTTTCAGCAAACAAATCAGAAAACCCATGGCCTTTCATGACCTGGTCTCAGAAGTCACCAAGTACAAATTCTGTCATATTTTCCTGGTGTTAGAAACAGACCCTACATCTCGATGGGAGAATTTCAAAGAATTTCTTTAAACTAGCACAGAAATACTTTAAAAGAGATTCCTAACATTTTCTTCACCAAAAGAACTTCTGGATTTCATTGCTCAGATCCTTCTAAGATAAAGTACAGTGGCCTGTTGGGATGTTTTTGGGCAACTCATAATAAACTTTAAAAAAAAACTAACAGTGCTTAGGCGTTGGAGCTTGACAGAAATTGAGTATGTTGGGCTGGGTGACTATGTTCATTTTTGCATAAGAGAGAAAATAAATATAAAATATAAGATTTGGTTGAAAAATTAAGGATAGATTTCATAATTTGTATGAGATTTTTATCTAAATATCCCCTATTGTTGACATTAATCAGACTGGTTACCACAATATATTAGTAAAAAGCACATATTGTACTGGATTAAAAATTCATATCTGGATCTAACAAATGAATCTTTCATGAGATATGAATGAATCAACTCTGCAGGTGGATATATGCATTTGGGTCTTAATTCCATACTAGTCTATTCATCTATTCATGCAGTACTTGTTGACAATCAAGTATTGAGCACTTCCTAGTTGCCTGAACTGTGCTGTGCTGAAAACACATGGATAAAATGGTATTCTTAGTTCCTGCCCTTAGACAACTCACTCTAGAGGAATATCCATATATTCACTTACTCAACTTTTTTTTAGACAATTCCTACCATGGTAGAAGTTTAAAATTTAGATCTGTTAATAAAGTATATGAGTTTTATGATAGGAGACAACCAAAGAAATGTCTCACAGAAGTATATCAATGAGCCACAAAATAAGTGGTGTAGATAGTAAGTAATTTAAGTTGACAATAGAGATCCCTATGTAAATGGTAAACTAAGAAGACTTCACAGAAGCATTTTAGATATTTTTCACTAAAAAGAAATAACTCACTAATGACCAAATATTGGGCGTTATTTGTACCAATTTTATATTTTTAAAAGTGTGTGACAACTAAGAATTGTGCCACAACACAGAAAGTACAGAAAAATGTTAAATGCCTTTAATTTATCTAAACCAAATTATATTTAGTTCCCAGTCTCTACTGGCCAAATTTGGTGAAAATACCACATCAATCGTTTTCTGTTTCACTACTACATTCTATTCCCCTATTCCCGCTACCTCCCATATCGCGTGTGCTCGCTCTTGCTCTCACTCTCTCTCTCCCCAACTACCCGCCTTTTCTTACACACTCTATTTCCCTCTCCTCACCTGACCCATTCTCCTTACTCACTTTATATTGTACCAGGACATCAGAATCTACAGTCTGGAAAAAAAGAAGGAAGTTGGGATGTTCTCAACAAGCAGTCACTCATGATCATTGGTAAAAGAACTCATTGTCTTTGTTACCATGGTTCATTGAGAAGTGGTCAATGCCGCTGCTGGCTCCATTCCACATTGTCAAAATCTAGCCTGTCAATGTTGGGGCATATTATCTAACCCCTCAGGACACTTCCACATGAAAAGGCTAGTGTGAATTTTTCTCTAGGGTAAGGAGACCAGAATACAAAAACACAAAAGACCGACTGACCTTTCTGTCCAGAAAATGTGTAAATTTTTTTTTGTTCCGTTTTTGGTAAATCTATCCCAGAAAAAAAAAAAAAGCCTAAAGAATAGGTAGTAAAATTGTTAATATATTGTCTTGCCTCAAGTGATAACAGCACTTTTTCTTTTATTTAAATGTTACCAACTTTCAGAAAAGAACTACCCTGTTAAAAAGTGGAGATTAAAGCACATGAATCTTGAATGCTCATTAGCTGCACAAATATGAGAAAAAATATGTAAGTGGCCTTGGTAATAAAATGAAAAGTCATTTCTGTTTAGTTATGCATCTAAAATACTTAATATCAATCATTTTATTCCAACTGTGTTATCATTTTTAAACTATTTAGTATTCACTATAATTTATCCAATCATAATAAATTCATTTGACATTTGCAGATTGTTGCACGAATAATGTCATCCAATTTTTATATGTTCCAAGATCAATTGCTTACCAATGCTGTAAATTTTTGTTTCCTAATTTGAAAACTGTGAAACAATAGTTTTTAATAATGGACAATATGCACACTGCAGTAATTCTGGGTTTTGTTTGTTTTTAACATTTTTGATGCAGGGACTTTTAACTTACACTATATAAGTATCAGAGATTTTCATTGTTAGCAACATGTTACTTCAATATGCCTAAAATCTATACCATCAACTAAGGAATATTAACCATATCTTATATTTCCGTAGTCAACCTGCCTTTTCTATTTGTTTTATGAATAAAATATTTAGGCATAATTCTTGGCTAATTAGATTAACAAACGATATTATTTGTATAAAAATAACATTGCATTTAAATTTAATTTCCCATTTGAGAACTTCATTTTACAGGAAGTTAAAATCATTCCCATCAGGGATATAACAAAGTGTTTGCTCAAAACACAGAGCTACTAGGATTTTTTTAAAAAACCATTTTCCAGATTCCATCTTTATGTCTACCTTCATCCCTCATCCTCACTTTATACTGGACTCTGTGCACATGTTAACGACATCTAGCAAAACATGCTGCACAGACTCATGGACTTGGGGAACGTTATTGCTCACAAATTCTCTAGCGGTTTTAAAACCTGGTTGCACATTAGAATCACCTAGAAGGGTTTTAAAAAATACGGCTGCCTGGGTCATGCCCCAGAGATTCTAATTTAATTGGTATAGAGTGAGGCCTAAGCATCAGGATTTTTTTAAAACTCCCCAGGTGATGCTAATACGCAGCCCAAATTGAGAACCACTGTTCTAAACCGCTTGTTTTACAGATGAAACAATTAACCCTATCAGTGACACAAACAAATTTGATGGTAGAACTAATGCTAAAAATCAAGTCTCAAGAATTCCAGTTCTTTTTTCACTAACATGGAGGTTTTAAAATGTATTTCCTGAAACCTGTAGTTCCTGGGAGGTACTGCAGAAGCTGTGGAGATGATAGGGATGAAAAATCAGAGCTCTGGACCTACCTCTTCCTCAAAAATAGCAGCAAAGATTTATATATTCTTTTTAATTACACTTTAAGTTTTAGGGTACATGTGCACAATGTGCAGGTTTGTTACATATGTATACATGTGCCATGTTGGTGTGCTGCACCCATTAACTCGTCATTTAACATTAGGTATATCTCCTAATGCTATCCCTCCCCCCTTCCCCCTCCCCACAAAAGGCCCTGGTGTGTGATGTTCCCCTTCATGTGTCCATGTGTTCTCATTCTTCAATTCCCACCTATGAGTGAGAACATGCAGTGTTTGGTTTTTTTGTCCTAGTGACAGTTTGCTGAGAATGATGGTTTCCAGCTTCATCCATGTCCCTACAAAGGACATGAACTCATCATTTTTATGGCTGCATAGTATTCCATGGTATATATGTGCCACATTTTCTTAATCCAGTCTATCATTGTTGGACATATGGGTTGGTTCCAAGTCTTTGCTATTGTGAATGGTGCCGTAATAAACATACATGTGCATGTGTCTTTATAGCAGCATGTTTTATAATCCTTTGGGTATATACCCAGTAATGGGATGGCTGGGTCAAATGGTATTTCTAGTTCTAGATCCCTGAGGAATCGCATCATGCTACCTGACTTCAAACTATACTACAAGGCTACAGTAACCAAAACAGCATGGTACTGGTACCAAAACAGAGATATAGACCAATGGAACAGAACAGAGCCCTCAGAAATAATGCCGCATATCTACAACTATCTGATCTTTGACAAACCTGACAAAAACAAGAAATAGGGAAAGGATTCCCTATTTAATAAATGGTGCTGGGAAAACTGGCTAGCCATATGTAGAAAGCTGAAACTGGATCCCTTCCTTACACCTTATACAAAAATTCATTCAAGATGGATTAAAGACTTAAATGTTAGATCTAAAACCATGAAATCTCTAGAAGAAAACCTAGGCAATACCATTCAGGACATAGGCATGGGCAAGGACTTCATGACTAAAACACCAAAAGCAACGGCAACAAAAGCCAAAATTGACAAATGGGATCTAATTAAACTAAAGAGCTTCTGCACAGCAAAAGAAACTACCATCAGAGTGAACAGGCCACCTACAGAATGGGAGAAAATTTTTGCAGTCTACTCATCTGACAAAGGGCTAATATCCAGAATTATAATGAACTCAAACAAATTTACAAGAAAAAAATCAAACAACCCCATCAAAAAGTGGGCAAAGGATATGAACAGACACTTCTCAAAAGAAGACATTTATGCAGCCAAAAGACACATGAAAAAATGCTCATCATCACTGGCCATCAGAGAAATGCAAATCAAAACCACAATGAGATACCATCTCACACCAGTAGAATGGCGATCATTAAAAAGTCAGGAAACAACAGGTGCTGGAGAGGATGTGGAGAAATAGGAACACTTTTACACTGTTGGTGGGACTGTAAACTAGATTTATATTTTTTAAATGCCAGACTGCTTTGAAAAGTTTCTTATGAGGAAAAAAAGTAAAAAAAAAAAAAAAAAGAAAGAAAGAAAAAAACAGAAAAGAAGGAATATCTGACTAAAGTTAAAAAAAGTTTCAAACTCTTGTAAATAAACCATTTATATAGTAATCTTTTTCTCAAAAAGGAAGGAAAAGAGACAAAGAAAATAAAACGTTGTGACCTTCTAAGGATAATCTTGGACCAATGGATAAACTCATATATGCTAAAATCTAAATTTGGGGATTTGATCAGCTTAAATCTAAACGAATAAAAAGTCCTTAAAACCAGTAAGTAACTACTTTTAACATCCCAATATGTATTTTGCAGCTCTTAAGGAAGGCTTCATCCTTCCATGGTGTGAAGTAGATTGAGAATGCCCCTGAGGAACCTAGTTTTGTGAAGGTAAAGAAGCTTTTCAGTGAACTAAGAAGAAAGGAAAACTGGGCAGACTAACGCTTCCTTTACATGCTAAATAAAAAGGGCATATAGCCTGAGAAGAAGAGAAAGCATGGAACGCTGGCTTCATTGTCATAATCCCTGTCTGGTCAACATTGATCCATGTATCACTGGACTGGGCGGGGGCAATGAAATTATTAAGCCACAGTGCTGAACACAACTATTCATTAGTGATGACATCAGCTAAGACTCTATCAGTATTTATCAAAATCTTGCAAGTTGCTACTTAACATTTTGTGTCAACAGTTTTATTTATTCATACTTATCTATCTTAGATCTCCTACCATATGCCAAAAAATTTCTCTCTCTGTAAATATTATCTTTAATCCTCACAAGACACTATAATTGTTATCTTCTTTCTACTCACAGGGAACCTTGGGCTCAAAAAGGTTAATTTGTTCAAGGTCACATAGCTTTAATCTGTTTGTATGTTCTTTCCTCTACTATACAATGCTGTTTTATTTTCTCCATAAGACCCTTGAATCAAGTGGAAGTCCCCCATGCTTTTGAAATGTGTAGACCAGCAGTGTTAAACATATATGAAGCTACTTTATGTCTATTAATGGGATTTCATTTTCCTTTGTATCCAGAGACCCACAGGTAACTACCATTTTACCATGAGGTAAGAATTAAAGTTAGGAAAAAATGTAATTACAAACAGCATTTTATGACATAGAAAGGCATTTGTTCCTGAATGAGTCTATAAAATTCTATCAAATTTTATCATCTTTAAGTATTGTAAAGACTCAAGAAGTCCTTTTCCATCTAGCTATGTAATAATCTTCTGCATATCTACCTCCTAGCAGACAATTAAATGTACTTTTTTAATCCACTTTTTTCCTCATGCAGAATATCTAATAAAATCCAACACTATAATTATCACTCAAAGTTTTTAAACTCTAAGTCCTTTCTTGTTAAAAATTTTTTAAGTATAACGTAGAGGTCTTTTTTTCCCTCCTGTCTACCAAAGATTCAAGTCTTAACTAATCTCTAAAATAAACCTATCATTGTGTAAATCTAACCTGTGCAACACTAAAATTTTGCTGGATTATATATTGTATGTTAAATTACGTTTGTGGGCATTTTTTTGATAGTTGGTGTTGATTTGCAATACAATAAATATTCAGATACCCAGGGTGACTTTGCTTCCAATTCTCTTTTCCTTAATATTTAAATCATGTTCTGCCCATCTTTGCTTCCTGAAATAAAAATAGCCAATAGTTACTGAGCACTTAACATATCCTAGGCATTTAACTCATTTTAAATAGAATATCTTGACTTATCCTCACAGAAAATCTATCAAGAACGTAACAATATTATTCCTTTGTTACAGATAAGGAAACTGGGTTTAAGTAATATATCCAAGATCAAACAGTTCACAAGAATAGAGCACTGATTCAAACTCAGGTAGTCTAACTCTAGTGCCCTTTCATGGCTTAGCTATTTTTCAATGTACAATTTTCACTTCCTTTAGCCCCTTCTCTTAATCTACCTTACATTTTTCTTATAACTCAAAGCTTGCATAACATCATCAACTAGAGGACAAAGTCTCTTACTCTTTTTATTATTTTACTCTCTCCTAAGATAGGACTTCACACAAAACAGGGGCCCAATAAATTGGACTAGTTAGATTATTTGTTCATTCATGAATATTTATTAAACATGTTGTAGTAACTTCTAAAATTATATCCTGTCTTGGCATTCATTCTGGATCTAGGTTTAACTTGCTCATACCAGAAACAGGGTTTATTCACCCTTGACACAGTTTCTACTTCTCTGTCTCCTCCCATCTTCTCAATATGGTTTATCTGGATATCTGCTTTATCCAACCATCTCCTGGTGACCATCATCCTATACTATATACAGATACAAAATACTTAACTTCCCCTACTGAGCCCCACAACCTGCATAAACTGTGCAGATATGCTTCAGTGACCACTGTCAGTCACAGCATAGTTCCATGAAACTTGTACCTGCTTACCTTAACCTCACCAACTCATTAGCACTCCCCACAGGAAACATAGTTAGGTAATGTCCTAGACCCCAGTAAATGCCTCAGCCGGTAGATTCATCTCTCTCTGGCTCCCAACCTGTTGGTTGAGCTTATTTCTTCAGGAACATTCCCATTACCTTCATAAGTACACCTTTTCTCTCATGGATCTGCGAGTAATAAACCACTTGTGTTATTAATATTTCATGTGTTTTTATTATGTTGCCTCCTCTGTGTCTCCTCAGACCGACACACCCAGACCTAACTTGCCTCCTAGTCAATGCTCTCCTAGATAGTGGCTGTTTTGGCAGGAATAAACTGGACACAGCTCAGACAAGAGCCACAAGGACATTTGCCAGTTTATCCCCATAAATTGTTATATTTGCCCTCATAAACAAGTTTACTATGAGAGGGACATGGGGCCATGGGTTGGACACTTAGGCATTAGGCTGTTTGCTAAGATAAAGGAGAATCCTATGAAAGACACATTGTAAAACCCACAACCACATCCCCTGGAGCCTTGTAAGGGTAGGGCTAGAGCTTATAGCCACTCTGTAGAGAGAGACCTCAAGATCAAATTGGGGAGTAATATGATATATGTCTATGTGCAGTCACCATGATATATGATAGAGATAGAATGGTGAGTAATATAGAAATGACCCTTTCTTACCCTTCTAAATGAATATTTTTATTTTACGACATTATATATAGATCTAGACATAGATGTAGATAGATATCTATATAGACATAGATATAGATAGATGACTACATCTATAGATACATATTAATATATATATATAATCTAGGTAGTCTACTGGTTCAGTTGGGGCACTTTTAGTAGTATGTGAAAGAAACTGAAGCAAAACTAGCTGAAATTACGATGTAACTTAATGAATTACTTTTCCGAGAAATCTGATAGGTGACTAACTTCAGACACAACTAGATACAGGGCTTCAAAAATGCCATCAAGAAATTTTCTTTCTATCTCTCCCTTTTGCAGCTGTTTTCCTCATTCTGTTTGTTTGTTTGTTTTGTTTTGTTTCAATAGTTTTTGGGGAACAGGTGGTTTTTGGTTACATGGATACGTTCTTTAGTGGTGATTTCTGAGATTTTGGTAGACCCATCACCTGAGCAGTGTACGCTGTACCCGTTATGTAGTCTTTTATCCCTCACCTGCCTCCCACACTTCCCCCTGTTTTGTCCTTAGAAAGGGGATCACTGGGTGATGGTAGTAAGAACTTCCAGCAGCTCCCCAACTTACATGGTCCCTACTGCAACTCTAGAGGGGGTTAGGAGTATGAGAGGGAAAGTAATTTTCTCTGAAAATTTCAGGCATCATGGTAACTCTAATAGGCCATGCCTGGATTATACATTTCTCTATAAAACAATCAAAATGGCCAAACTAATTGGCCATACCTTGGTAATGTGCTCATCACCCATCCCTGTGGTGGCGGGGAGGGACAATTCCTAGAACACTGGAGACAGGAAAGCTTACATACCTATTACTGTCAAGAATACAAAAGTGTTAACTACTCCACAAATTTACTAAGCAAGAAACAGTTCTCCATCCATATCCTTCAAAGAGAGTATTCATTATACAATGATAATTGCCAACAAAAACGTTTGTTTTTTAAACATATTTCCTCCTACCTCAAAAGTAAAAGTTTGGATTTTATTGCATTGGTAACTCTAATAAGCTCACCCATATTAACCCATTAGCTAAAAAAGAGACTAACCCATCAGAAATAGCAACAGACCAGTAGCTAGCCTCTAAACTAATCTATTTATTAAAATTGCTGCATTTGAAAAATATTTTATATCAATCCAAATTTGAATAAAACATTTTATTGTTTTTCCTAGATTATTTGAATTATACTCTCCTCAAACCATACTATAGTTACAGAAAACCCTTCCTGAACTCAGTTTATGCAACCTTAATTTATTATATAATTTAAGGAGTAGCATTGCTGATTCCAAAACTTCTTTATAAAGACTGTCACATGACAACAAAACAAAAGATGAATTCAAAGACTGATTCACATATTAAAATGCTGAAAAGTAAAGTTGTACAAAATACAACTATAATGTGTACAACACACTGGGAGACTAAAATTAACAGGAAGGTCAGGGAATGCGGAGCAAATGGAAGGAACTGAAGTACTCATTAACTTTTTTCACTTTAAGGGACTAAATGTATAAGCAGTAAAAAACAACCATCCAGCTGATTATAGAAACATGAGGAGCAATCAAAGTTTAAAAAAAAACAGTGATAAGTCAAGGTAGCTAAAGGGAATAACTTGAAAACCAATATGAAATAAAAATAAAGAAAGTAGCTGACAAGCTGGAAACGATGAGTAGGGAATCCTAAGGGAACAATGAAGAAAAGTGGGGTTTCACAAAATGTAGGGACAGATTTTCTGCTGCAGTCAACAAGCTCCAGAGACATTGACCTAACATTGATCCTAGTGGTTAAAATCAGAATTAAAAGCATCTAGTATCACGTTAGAGTACAGTAGATAAGATCAACCCATGAGAAGAAAATTCCTCAAGTATTATTAGTAAAAATTTTTAAATAGTAAATTATATATGCACATTGTACGAACTTGACTAAGTATAGATGTAATAAACAGGGCAGTACATGTCACTAAAATAAACAGAAAATGAAACAAAAAACCATAATTAATAGGAGCCTCTTCTCCTTTAAGGGTTGGGATTATCATCTCAGACAGGAAGGCCTACGTAAGATGAAAAACTCATGTACAAGAAAAAAAGTTTACTAAAATTCCAGTAAAATAAAGTATAATTCAGATCAGGCTTTTATTTTGCAAATCAACCTAGTATTTTTTTAAGTGTGGCAGAAAGAATTCTATACATTCATCAAAGAGTATTTCATTTCACCTCTCTTGCAGTTAAGTGGGGACATATGAATGAGTTCTGGACAGTGAAATGTAAGAGGATCTGATAAATGATACTTTCAGGCTCAGTCCAGTAATTTCCTGGGCTACCCTTCAAGTATTTTTTTACCTTTGTTCAGGCACCCTGAATGACTACACGAAACGAAGCCTCTCTATGAACCCACAGCAAACTATAAATATTAAATATTTATTTTATTAAACCAATGATATCAGCCTACTCTGGCTAATACACAAACATGGGCCCAGAATTTATTGAAGAAAATTGAATTGTTCTACATAAGAGACCCAGATAATTTTTGAAGAACTAAAAAGAAACAGAAGGAAGAGTCCTGCAGTAAAATTGAAGTCCAGGGACTGATGAGGTGAACCAATCAGTGAGAAGGTAACATTGTTTGAAATGGCAAAGGGGTATTTAACAAAAAGGATATCTAACATAAATTTGAGTTGTATGCTCTGCTGTGTTGCATGGCATGTTAATCCCTCTCTTGGGTATCAGATAATCTTCAGTAAAGTATATCCAGTGGAAAGACTTTAAAAAATATTAACTTGGGAGTGAAGGAATCTAATCAGGGTGGTGTCTAACAGGCAATATAAGGAAATAAAGGAGCAGTGTGCACAGGAGGTGAAATGTATAATGACGATTAAGAATTTAGTAACAGCAGGAATCTACCACCTGGGGAAATGAAGAAAAATCTTACTTTTCACTTAGTTCATTATATTATAGTTGTACATTTAGAAGTCTTTAATATATTTTAGATGTGATATACTCTTTATTTCTATCCCCTAATCCTTAAACAATACTTGGCTTATAGTAGGAAATCAATACATGTTTGATGAATGAATGAAAGATTTATTTCAGTAGATAATGTTTAAGGAGATATCTGAATGATGATACATTTGTCCTGATAATGGCAACATTAAATTAACAAAAACATCTCTGCTGGGCAATACAAATGTAGATAATCTTTAAAACAAGGTATATCATGTCCATATAAAATTATATTCATCACTCTTCTTAATCATCTTAGCTTCTACCAGTTCTTAATATATAATTATTCCTGGAATATTCCTACATGACATTTAAAATATTGATTATAATGGTTAAATTATTTTGACATAATTTGAAATTACCTTCCAAGTAAAGACAAATGATTAAAAATGAACATCAACTTTCACTACTTTCCTAAACCCCATTAAAATTACAATAAAGGGACTTTTAAGATATAAACCCAGAGGACTTGGGGAGAATAGGAAAGGAGACAATAGAAACAAAGCGTTAGAAGCTAAAAAGCAGACGTCTGAGAAAGAACTGAGAAAACTGAGTGCTAAGCAAGTGTTGGAGGGCAAAATCAATAATCAACCTGATTCACACTGAAAAATTACCAATCAAGTGTTGGGGGCATCAAGAATCTATAGAAACGGAAGTAAAGATATAGTGACTAAAGTAAGAAAACCTGGTTTAATATCTGTTTAAAAGAGAGAACAGTCTTGCTGAATTCAGAAAGTTAACTATCTCTACCCATATATCATGGCAAACACTGATACATTATCTGGAAATGGCAATTCAAAGGGCTCTCTGGACAGGAAGATGCAACTCCTCTTGATGAGAAAGCAGGGCAGTTAAGTGAAAAGTGAATACTGTATTCCAGGATCCTTCAGTCCATTTTTGTCAGTCAGCTCCCAAAATATTGGGATACAGGCTTTTAGTCTCTATGCTGGAGGTTGGAAGAGTCTTCTCTGGAAAATATGATTAGATTAAAAAATACTAGTAAGGCCTACAGTTTCTTATCTGGCATGTCAGGAACATAGAAGTCAGCATTCTATCCTAACAAGAAAAAAAATTCAGAACAAATTGAAAAATCAACAATTCTTCTTAGGTGTGTTAGAAAAGTGAAGTCACAGTTCACACCACTGCCCCCAAAATTGGAGAGACAAGTTGATGAATACAGAGAATCACAACTTACCAGAGCAGAAACCCACCTTCATAGGAACCAGTACCAATGCAGGAAAAGCTGAACTGTAGTTCACAAATTGCTGGAGGCTCAGAATAGACAAGTATGAGAGATGAAAACTCCAGGTGGACCCATTTATAGGACAACCCTAACAGTTTTGTGAGTTCTACCTCCAAGACCTCTACCAGGTTCTCACAGTGAAGATCAGAGAAAAATCTACTTTGGCTTCCTGCAAGAGGAGGAGGAAAGAAATCATTTTGAAATGCACCATGGCAACCTGTTCCTGTTAACAAAGCCTGCCTTCAAAAAAATTATTTTACCAGAGCCCAACCTATTGGGTTTTTATCAGAGCCTGATTCACCTGAAAGAAGAAAAATATTCAACTGCAGCTATTCTAGCTTTTCCTGTGGAGGCAGAGATTTACCCCACTCCAGTCCCCTATGGCCATCCTGTACCATCTAATGAGGTGAAAAAAGAACAAACTGAGAAGCATTTGTGAAGTTCACAGCCTATTAGCACAGACTCTATAAAAATCTGAAACCTAATCATAGGACTGCAGAGCAATTCCCCTACCTCACACTTTACTACCACATCACTAAAGGCCTAGTGACTGCAGTTCCTTTTATCCAGTACATCATGTCCACCTTTCAAGGAAAAGTTACAAGACATACTAAAATGCAAAAACACAGTTTGAAGAGATAGAACAACGTGAGAACCAGACACAAATACAGCAGTGATGTTAGAATTATCACATCATGAATTTAAAAGAAGTATGATTACCATGCAATGAAATCTAGTAGAAGAAGTAGACAACATACAAAATCTAATAGATAATGCAAGTAGAGAGATGAGAATTATAAAAAAGAATATTAAAAATGCTAGAGTGTACAAAAAAACCATTGTAACAAAAATGAAAAATACCTTTGATGGGCTTATTAGTAGAAGATATAACTGAGGAAAGAGTATCTGAGTTTCGCTTGGAAATACATAGATAGAAACTTCCAAAACTATGAAACAAAGAGAAAAGTCTTAAAAGAAATGGAACAGACTATCCAAGAACTGTGCAACAACTACAAAAGATGTAACTTACATGTTATGGGAATGCCAGAATGATAAGAAACAGTGAAGGTAATAGAAGCAATATTTGAAGCACTAATAAATGAGCATTTCCCCCAATATGGCATCAAACTATAAACCACAGATCCAAGAACTTGAGAGAAAAAAAAACTAAGCAAGATAAATAACAACAAAAAACTACATCCACTCATATCATATTCAAACTTTGGAAACTCAAACATAAATAAAAATATTAAAAGAATCCTGAAGAAATAACTAACTTTCCCATAGAGTAACAAAGATAAGAATTACACCCAACTTCTTCTTTGAAAACATGCAAGCTAGAGGAGAGTGGAGTGAAATGTTTAAATTGTTGAGAGAAAAAAGAAACAAACTTAGAATTCTGTATTCTCAAAAAAAATTTCTTCAAATGTAAAGAAGAAATAAAGACTTTCTCAGAGAAGTAAAAATTGGGGAATCCAGAGTGACATGAACAGAATAGCAGAGTAGGAGTCTCTATCTTCTTTCCCCTGTAAAAACATCAATATTGATAACAATCCACAGAGGGTAGTATCTTTGTGGGATCCTAAACATCTAGAGAGATATCCCAGCACCCTGTTAAAGCAAATTTTCAAGAATGAATACATTTAATAGAGTAAGAAGAATAGTTTCAGTTTGCTTGCATTACTCCTTCCCCCAGGCATCACAGCTCAGTGCCAAGAGAGAATTTGTATTAATCCATTTTCACACTGCTGATTAAGACATACCTGAGACTGAGCAATTTGTAAAAGTAAGAGGTTTAATTGGACTTATAGTTCTAGCTGGCTGGGAAAGCCTCACAATCATGGCAGAATGCAAGGAGAAGCAAATCACATGTTACATGGATGGCAGCAGGCAGACAGAAAACTTGTTTTTCTTCTTTTTAAAGCCATCAGATCTCATGAGACTCATTCACTATCACAAGACCAGCACAGAAAATACTTGCCCCCATAATTCAATCACCTCCCACCAGGTTTCTCCCATGACATGTGGGAATTGTGGGAGTTATAATTCAAGAAGAAATTTGGGTGGGACACAACCAAACGATATCATTGTGCCCCTGGCCCCTCCAGAATATCATGTCCTCACATTTCAAAACCAATCATGCCTTCCCAACAGTCCCCCAAAGTCTTAACTCATTTCACTGTTAACTCAAAAGTCCACAGTCCAAAGTCCATAGTCTCATCTGAGACAAGTCAAGTCCCTTCTGCCTATGAGGCTATAAAATCAAAAGCAAGTTAGTTACTTCCTAGATCCAATGGGGATACAGGCATTGGGTCAATACAGCCATTCCAAATGGGAGAAATTGGCCAAAATGAAGAGGCTGCAGGCCCCATGCAAGTCCAAAATCCAATGGGCAATCAAATATTAAAGCTTCAAAGTGATCTCCTTTTACTCCGTGTCTCACATCCAGGTCACACTGATGCAAGAGGTAGGTTCCCATGGTCTTGGACAGCTCTGTCCCTGTGGCTTTGCAGGGTATAGTTCCCCTCCTGGCTGCTTTCATGGGCTGGCATTGAGTATCTGCACCTTTTCCAGTGCAAGCTGCCAGTGGATCTACCATTCTGAGGTCCTGAGGATGGTGGCCCTCTTCACATTTCCACTAGGTAGTGCCCCAGGGGGCACTCTGGGTGGGGGCTCCCACCCCACATTTCTGTTCTGCACTGCCCCAGCGGAGGTTTTCCATGAGAGCCCCACTCCTGTAGCAAACTTCTGCCTGGACATCCAGGTGTTTCCATACATCCTCTGAAATCTAGGTGGAGGTTCCCAAACCTCAATTCTTACTTCTGTGCACCTGCAGGCTCAACACCATGTGAAAGCTGCCAAGGCCTGCGGTTGCACCCTCTGAAGCCACAGCTTGAGTTGTATCTTGGCCCCTTTTAGTCACAGCTGGAGTGGCTGGGACAAAGGGAACAAAGTCCCTAGACTGCAGACAGCATGAGGACCCTGAGCCTGGCCCATGAAACTATTTTTTCCTCTTAGGCCTCCGGGACTGTGATGGGTGGGACTGCTGTGAAGATTTCTAAGAGGCTCTGGAGACATTTTCCCCATTGTCTTGTGGATTAACATTACTCGTTATTTATGCAAATTTCTGCAGCTGGCTTGAATTTCTCCTCAGAAAATGGGATTTTCTTTTCTACTGGATTGTCAGGCTGCAAATTTTCTGAATATTTATGCTCTGCTTCCCTTATAAAACTGAATGCTTTTAACAGCACCCAAGTCACCTCTTGAATGCTTTGCCGCTTAGAAATTTCTTCCGTCAGATACCCTAAATCATCCCTCAAGTTCAAAGTTCCACAAATCTTTAGGGCAGGGGCAAAGTGCCACCAGTCTCTTTGCTAAAACATAATAAGAAACACCTTGCTCCAGATCCCAACAAGTTTCTCATCTCCATCTGAGACCACCTCAGCCTGGATTTCATTGTCCATATCATTATCAGTGTTTCATTCAAAGCCATTCAACAAGTCTCTAGGGAGTTCCAAACTTCCCCACATTTTCCTGCCTTCCTCTTATCCCTCCAAACTGTTCCAATCTCTGCCTGTTACCCAGTTCCAAAGTCACTTCCACATTTTTGTGTATCTTTTCAGTGGCACCCCACTCTGACAGTACCAAATTACTGTATTAATCTGTGTTCATGCTGCTGATAAAGACATATCCGAGACTGAGCAATTTACAAAAGAAAGAGGTTTAACTGGACTTATAGTTCTTCATGGCTCAGGAAGCCTCACAATCATGGTAGAAGGCAAGGAGGAGCTAGTCACATCTTACATGGATGGCAGCAGGCAAAGAGAGCTTGTGAAGGCAAACTCTTGTTTTTAAAGCCATCAGATCCCATGAGACTCACTCACTCACAAGAACAGTGCAGGAAAGACCTGCCCTCATAACTCAATCACCCCCCACCGGGTTCCTCCCACAACACGTGGGAATTGTGGGAGTTACAATTCAAGATGAGATTTCGGTGGGGACACAGGCAAATCATATCAGAATTCGTTGGCCCATTTTTCCCACAGAAGAAAGTGAGAGCATGGTGAGGACTCACTTGCCTTCCTCAACCATGAGCAACAGTACCCAAAAGGTTCACTTCTTGCTTGACCCACTCTGAAGACTGAGGAGATCATAATGACTGAATACTCTGGGACAGTTAGTAGCAGGAAAAGGGACAAAGACTCAAAACAATCAGGGTGTGGATCTTAACAAAGGCCTGAGTTTTTTATTAGCTAATTGTGGACTCTACCAAGACACTTGCCCACAGTCCTCATAGAACACACCACCTGAGGTCTCCCCCAACAAGCCTAAGTATATCTCCTGTTCCAGTCACATCCTCCCCTTCTCTCCTATAGTCAACACACTGTGTATGTCTTCATGGACAACATGTGAAACAGTGCATGTCATGCTTGAGCACACACAGACAGCTGACTCAACTCTGCTGGATTGGTATAAGTGCTTAACCTTCAACACTTGGGATTGCACTATGGAAAATAAATGAGAGCCTCTCAGCACCTGGCCTGGCTTTGTGGGATCAAGAAAAGGTGCAGAATCATAAGACTTCCTCCAAAAGAGGGAACAAAAAGAGTGAAATGGGTTCATCTATGGCAAATGTCCGAGAGACAAAAAAGAAAATAGGAGATATAAGAGATAAAAAAGAAAACTGTTTTTAAAAACTATCGCTGCAATAATTTCTTTATGAATGCAAACTATGAAATGATGTAAATTATGATATCAATAACATAAAACATGAAAGACAGGAGAAGTAAAAGGGTAGAGCTTTTGTATTTCATTACAGTTAAATTGTGACTAGCTTATAATAAACTGTTATAATTACAAAATGTCTTATGTAAACCTTATAATAAAAAAAAACTCTAGTGGATACGTAAAACAGGAATAAAACCATGCTAATAAAAAATTATCAAATCACCAGAGAAGATAGCAAGAAACAAAGAAAGAAACAGAGAAATTATAAAATGGTAAGAAAACAGTTGTAGTGGCAATAGTAGGTTCTGATCAATTAATAATCATTTTAAATATAAATAGATTAAATTATCCAATCAAAAGACATAGAGTAGCTAAATGAATTTTTAAAAGAAGGCACAACTATCTGTTGCCAACAAGAGACTCACTTTACCTGTAAAAAGACACATAGGCTAAAAATAAAGGGATGGAAAGAGATATCTCATACAAATGAAAGAGAGCAGGGGAGGCTAAACTTATATAACACACAATAGACTGGGTCAAAACATTTCACAAGACAAAAGGTCACAAAAGGTCATGATAAAGAGTGTAAATTCATCAGGAGGATCTAACAGTTGTAAATATATAGGGACTCAACATTGGAACATATATATATAAAGCAAAAATAAACAGAATTGAAATGAGCAATAGGCAGCAATACGATAACTGTCAAATTCCACCAAATATTTAAAGAAGAGTTAATACCATTCCTTCTCAGTCTCTTTGAAGAGGATGAAATACTTCAAGGCTCATTTTATGAAACCAGCTGTGATGGTTAATACTGAGTGTCAACTCGATTGGACTGAAGGATGCAAAGTATTGATCCTGGCTGTTTCTCTGAGGGTGTTGCCAAAATAATCAACATTTGAGTTAGTGGGCTGGGAAAGGCAGACCCACCCTTAATCTGGGTGGGTACCATCTAATCAGCTGCCAGTGTGGCCAGGATATAAAGGAGGCAGAAAAACATGAAAAGGCTAGACTGGCTTAGCCTCCCAGCCTACATTTTTCTCCCATGCTGGATGCTTCCTGCCCTCAAACATCAAACTCCGAGTTCTTCAGTTTTGAAACTCAAACTGGCTTCCTTCTCCCCAGCTTGCAAATGGCCTATTGTGAGACCTTGTGATCATGTGAGTTCCTTAATAAACTTATATATATCCTATTAGTTCTGTCCCTCTAGAGAACCCTGACTAATATACCAGCATTACCTTGATACCAAAGCCAGACAAGGACACTACAAGAAAAGAAAAGTATAGGCCAATCCCTGAGGAACACAGATTTAAAAGTCTTCAACAAAATACTAGCAAACTGAATCCAGCAGCCCATTCAAGTTTATATGACACGATCAAGTGGGACTTATCCCTGAGGTAAAAGAATGGTTTATAAATATGCAAATCTATAAACATGATACACCATGTTAACAGAATAAAGGGTAAAATGCATAAGACATTATAATAAATGCAGAAAAAGCATGTTTAAAAATTCAACATCATTTCATGATAAAAAAAAATGCTCAACAAATCAGTATACAAGTGTTTTATCTCAATATAAAAAAGACCAAATATGACATGCCAACAGTTAACATAATACTCAATGATGAAGGGCTGAAAGCTTTTTCCCTAAAATCATGAACAAGACAAGGATACCCACTTTCACCACTTCTATTTAACATAGTACTGGAATGGCCAGCCAGAGCAATTAGTCAAGAAATAGTTAAAAGGCATCCAAATAAAAAAGGAAGAAGTAAAATTTTCTCTGTTTGCAGATCACATGATCTTATATATTAAGATAAGCTAAAGACTCGACCAAAAAAACTGTTAGAACTAAAAAATAATTCAGTAAAATTGCAGGATACAGAATCAATGTATAAAAATCAGTGTATTTCTATACACTAACGATGAAGTTTCTGAAAAAGAAATTAAGAAAACTTGTCAATCTAAAATAGCATTAAAGTGTAGAGTTTTTATTAGTTTTCTTTTCCCTTACTAGTCTGTTTATGATATCTGTATTAAATTGTCATCACTTTAAAATAATGGATTACAAGATACTTGCAAGATTTGTGGTAACCTCAAATCAAAAAACAAACAACAAATATACGTATTTTTTTCTTGCCTATGTATAGGCAAGGAAAAAATGATATCCATATGCAGAAGAATAAAACTAGACTCCTATTTCCCTCTCTCTCTCTTGCTATATACAAACATCAAATCAAAATAGATTAAAGACTTAAATCTAAGACCTCAAACTTGAAACTACTAAAAGAAGACATTGGGGAAACTCTCCAGGACATTGGTCTGTGGAATGATTTCTCGATTAATATCCCACAAACACAGGCAACCAAAGGAAAAATGGACAAACGGGATCACATCAACCTAAAAAGCTTCCGTACAGCAAAGGAAACAATCAACAAAGTGAAGAGACAGCCGAAAGAATAAGAAAAAATATTGGCCAGGTGCAGTGGCTCACACCTGTAATCCCAGCACTTGGGAGGCTGAAGTGGGCAGATCACGAGGTCAGGAGATCGAGACCATCCTGGCTAACATGGTGAAACCCCATCTCTACTAAAACAAATACAAAAAATTAGCCAGGGTTGGTGGCAGGCACCTGTAGTCCCAGCTACTGGGGATGGTGAGGCAGGAGAATGGTGTGAACCCGGGAGGCGGAGCTTGTAGTGAGCTGAGATCATGCCACTGCACTCCAGCCTGGGTGACAGAGTGAGACTCCGTCTCAAAAAATAAAAAAAGAAAGAAAAAAGAAAATATTTGCAAACTATCCATCTGACAAGAGATTAATAGACAGAATACTTCAGGAGCTCAAACAACTCAACAGCAAAAAAAAATCTAATAAAATGATGAGCAAAAGGTCTGCCATTTCTCAAAAAAAGACAAACGGCAAACACGTATTTGGAAAGGTGCTCAAGATTACTGACCATCAAACAAATGTAGATCAAAACTACAATACATATCATCTCACCCCAGTTAAAATGGCTTTTATACAAAAGACAGACAATAACAAATGCTAACAAGGATGTGGAGGAAAAGGAACTCTGGTCCTCTGTTGGTGGGAATGTAAATTAATATAACTGCTATGGAGAACAGTTTGGAGGTTCATCAAAAAAACTGAAAATAGAAGTACCATATGATCCAGCAATCCCACTACCAACTATATGCCTACAAGAAAGGAAATCACTATATTGAAGTAATGTCTGCACTCACATGTTTACTCTAGCATTATTCACAATAGCCAATAGTATTAGTCTGTTCTCACACTGCTAATAAAGATATACTCAAAACTGGGTAATTTATTAAAGAAAAAGAGGTTTATTGGACTCACAGTTCCACATGGCTGGGGAGGCCTCACAATCATGGTGGAAGGCATATGAGGAGAAAAGGCACATCTTACATGGCAGCAGGCAAGAGAGCTTGTGTAGGGGAACTCACCTTTACAAAATCATCAGATCTTGTGAGACTTATTCACTATCATGAGAACAGCAGAGGAAAGCCCCACCCCATGATTAAATTACCTCCCACGACATATGGAAATTATGGGAGCTACAATTAAAGATGAAATTTGGGTGGAGACACAGCCAAACCGTATCACCAAGATTTGAAAACAACCTAAGTGTCTATCAATAGATGAATGGATAAAGAAAATATGGTACATATTTAATGGAGTACTATTCACTTATAAAAAAAGAATGAGATTCTGTCATTTGCAACATAATAGATGCAGGACACTATGTTAAATGAAATAAGCCAGGCACAGAAAGACAAACTTCACGTGTTCTCCTTTATTTGTGGGAGCTAAAAAATAAAACAATTGAACCCATGGACAGAGAAAGTAGAATGATGGTTACCAGAGGTCGGGAAGGGTAGTTGGGCTGGAGGGATGGACACAGGGTTGGCTAATGGATACAAAAACATAGTTACATTGAATGAATAAAATCTAGTATTTGATAACACAACAGGATGACTACAGTGAACAGTAATTTATTGTGCACATTAAAATAACTAAAAGAGTTTTATTAGAGTATTTGTAACACATAGAAAGGATACATGCTTCAGATGATGGATACCTCATTCACCTTTATGTGATTATTATGAATTGTATGCCTGTATCAAAATATCTCATGTACATCATGAATTTATATACCTACTACATACCTACCAAAATTAAAAATAAAAAATTAAGAAATAAAAAATAAAATGATACAGCATCAAAAATATTTTGAAATGAATTTAAACAAGGAGGTAAAAGCTTTGTACACTGAAAGCTATAAAATATTGATGAAGAAAACTTTAAGAGACCCAAACACATGAAAAAAATCCTGTGTTCATAGATTGGAAAATTAATATTGTTAAAATATCTATATGACCTTCTTCAGATTCAATGTAATTTCTATAAAATTCTAATGACATTTTTATGGAAATAGAAATATCCTAAAATCCATATGAAACCATAAAAGACTTTGAATACCCAAAACAATTTTGAGAAAAATAACTGAAAGCATTAATCTACCTGATTTCAAAATATAATATAATGTTATTATAATCCAAACAGTATGGCACTGGCATAAAAACAGACACATAAACTTATGAAACAAAACAGAAAGCCCAGAAATAAATCCACACTTTTAAGGCCAATTGAACTTTGATAAAAATGGCAAGAACACACAAAGGGGAAAGAGGACAGTCTCTTCAATATATTATGTGGAGAAAACTGGATATCCACAAGCAAAAGAATAAAATTAGATGCTTATCTCACAGCATATACAAAAATAAATTCAAAATGGACTAAACGCTTAAATGTAAGACGTGAAACTGTAAAACTACTAGAAGAAAACATAAGGTAAAAGCTTCCTGACGTTGGTCTGAGCAACGAGTTTTTGAATATGATCCCAAAAGCACAGGCAACAAAAACAAAATAGACCAAGGGAGTGCATCAAACTAAAAAGATTCTGTACAACAAAGGAAACAATCCACAGAGTAAAGAGAACCTATGGAATGGGAGAATATATTTGCAAACCATATATCTGATAAGGGGTTAATATTTATATTTAAAATATATAAAGAACCCAAACAACTTAATAGCAAGAAAACAAATGACCTGATGTTAAAATGAGCAGAAGAAATTGTAGAGACATTCCTCAAAAGAAGATATACAAATGGCCAACAGGTAGATGAGAAGGTACTCAACATCACTAACCACCAGGAAAATGCAAATCAAAAACACAATAAAATATCACTGCATATCTGTTAGAACGGCTATTACCAGAAATAGAAAAGAGAACAAGTACTGGCAAGGATGTGCAGAAGAGTGAATTCTTGTACATTGTTGGTAGGAATGTAAATCAGTATAGCCATTTTGGAAAACAGTGTTGAAGTTTCTCAGAAAATTAAAGATAGAACTACAATATGATCCAGTGATTTCACTTCTGGTTATACAGCTAAAGGAAATGAAATCAAGACCTCAAAGAGATACATGCATTTCTATGCTCATTGTCATGTTATTCACAATAACCAAGACATAGAAACAACCTAAGTTTTTATTGCCTGATGAATTGATAAAGAAAATATAATAAATACATTTACATATATACATACACACACGCATACATACATAAATACACAAACAGAAACACAGAGGCTAGAACATTATTCAATCTTTAAAAAGAAGGAAATCCTGCCATTCAACACAATATTCATAATTTTGTTTGGAAGGTATTATGCTAAGTAAATTAGCCACACACAGAAACAGGAATACTGTATGTTCTTTTACATGAAATCTCAAAAACTCAAATCTGTAAAAGCAGAGACTATAATGGTGATTGCCAGGGTCTTGGAGGTGTGGGAAACACATATGTTGTTTGTTCAAAGAATTCAAAGTTTCAATTACAAAGGATGAGTAAATTCTAGGGATATAATGTACATCATGGTGACTCTAGTTAATAATGATATATTGTATACTCAAAATTTGCTGAGAGTAAATTTTAAGTATTCTCACTGAACACATACACACATACACAGTAACTATGTGAGATGATGAATATATGTGAATTTGTGTGATAGTGGTAGTCATTTCACAATGTGTATGTATATCCAAACATCATGTTGTACACCTTAAATATGTATAATTTATATTTGCCAAAAAAGGAAAATATTTGTTAAATAAATAGATGAGAAATACTTAGCAGATAATGACATATTCCCAACCACCTTCTTTAAGATGCAGAAACCTTGCCACTATGCTTTACAAAGTGTGACATTCTGAAGTATCCATATATGATCTTTCTAGGGATATCTGAAACATTAAAGGTAGACTAAACTACTTTCAGTAGTGTTTCAGTGTTAGTTTCATCAGATGACAAAGTTCCTGGATTTTGAGTCAGAAGACTCAGGTTCAGGACTAGATTTTAATGTTTTTGATCATCTGATCTTAAACAAGTTATGGATTTTTTTCTGAGACTCAGTTTTCCTAATCTATGAATGAAGATAATACTAGCCTGTTGGGCTGTTGGAATATAATGTAATATGTAGAATGTTTCCAAAACTTATTTTAATTAATTGGAAATAATGTTGTTAATCATTGCTCTCACTATAGGGTAAATATCTCTTAGAAACAAATGTGAATAGCCTAAATTCTCATTCTACATATATGGGAAAATTCCTAGTTTATTTTGGTTTTAGTTTTGATGAAGACATTTTATTAAACTAGAAATATAAAAATGCATATTTTTTCTGTTGATGGAGAATAACAAATGGACTTTTTCATTTTTGTCAAATCTTTCAATCTTTCCCTAATCAAAAAACTCCTGAAGAATATCTTCATATTTTAGCTTCAGACACTGCACTTGCAGGTTCTCTGCCTGGAATGCTCTTGTACACATCATGACTTGAGCCTTCCCCATCATATTTTAGCTCTCACAGGCAACTTACTACTTACTTCCCTGACCACCTAAAAACTACCCCTGCATGTATTTATCTATCTCATTAGCCTTTCTTACCTTTACTTTATAATTCTTATCACTACCAAACTTTTCATCACAAATATCATTTGTGAGGTGAAAGGAAGATCACATTGTAGGGATATTAGTAAGTTAGTGCAATACTTTATAATTCTGAATTTTAACAAAATTTCTTTTGAACAAATTTTTATTTGCTCATATAGTTCTCTACATCCATGATTTTAGCACTTCAAAACTAATAAAGTTGCTAAAGATATATTAATAGTCCTACCCTTGTAAAATTCTCTTACAGAATTTGTGTCAAAATACATGTGTTCTTGCTACCCTTTCTATAGGGCTATGTCTTCACCCACATCAGGGAAACTATGGTTAAAATGTTGTAAATTTTCACTAGCCAGTAATATTAATCAAATAAACAATGAGAAAATATTTCTCTCAAAAGGTTGAGTAGGTAGCAATAGGAAATAATAAAACTCCTTATTTGAAAATTATATCAACAACTTCATTAAAATATTTGGTGGTAGAAATCAGACTCTTTATGTATTAGCATCCACTCAAATTATAATAACTAATCCTGTAAAGTTAGTAATATTTGAAGATATAGAAAATTTGGTTTTGCACTGTATCTATTAAAATGCTTGGGAATTTTTCATTTTCTGTTTTATTTGTGGGGGGGGGTCAGTGATACTTGTATACCATGCAGATTATCATTTTCTTTATCAGTAATTTTTTAATATTTTAGGTAAAACAAAGAAAGTCTTCCTTTAAAGAGGTTAGAGTTAACATTAAGATTTTGTAAGATAAATCATGATTTAATTTTATGTAGCTTTATGACATAGACTTCTGCAATAATTACAAAACATATTCATATTTTTTCAGTCAAAAGAGCTGTCTGGAAAGAGTTTTAGAGTTTTCTTAGGTTTTTCATGATATTCAAATTTTCTTTTCTGTTGAGATATTTTTATCTTCCTCTGGAAGTTCTCTTTGAGCTGCTGTAAACAATTCCCTTCTAAAACTACACATACTTCATCTGCTCACCATTTTGCCCACACCTTCCAGTTTAGTTCCAGGAATGTGACTGGATCAGGTGGTTTATAGACAATTCCAAGGGCACAATTTCTTGGTGGATTTTTGCTGATTACAGCTGCTAGCTACCAAGTTTATCTTTTGGAGAAATGGGTGCTGATATCACTTTAACACATTAATCTAAGAATAGATAGCGCATGCTGTAATGGAGACAATGTTGTCATGTATAAAGGGTCTTTACTGAATACCGCAGGGTAACAAAGGGAGGAAAACGCGGAGTGTAATTGTGAATCATTGCTTTAGGTTATTTTCACTTTAAAGCTATGAAATCTTCATTTTAATAGTTGGAACTACTGTTGCTTGCTTATGAGTGGCTCTTTGCATTGAAAAAGAGGTTTCCTCATGTAAGCATATGTGGCCTCCGGGCTAACAAATTACAAAGAGGTGCCCCTTCTAGGCACATCAGTTTCCAAAAGTTGCTATGCTTCTTTCTCCAGAATGAATCACACCCAAGCCAGAGTGCATGGTTCTAGGGTACAATTTCATCTCCAATTCATGTTCACAACCCGGGCACTTTTGTGCAGGGTATGCATGTTTTGTGGCCCTGCATTGAGGTTATCTGTCCAAGTTTCTCTCTAGCTCTCTTCTTATCTTCACAAGGCATAGACCACCTTTAAACCCCCAACTGAGATTCCTCTTAGGAGATTCCTCGTCTCCTCAAAGAGAAGAGATAGGCTGATGGTCTCCTCTCCACTTTTATTTCAGGGGCTCACCTTTGTGGTATATGTTATGGTTTAAATGTATATCATGTCCAAAATTCATGTTGAAATTTAATTGCCATTGGTTGTGGTATTGGGAGATGGAATCTTTAAGATGTGTTTAAGTCATGAGGACTCTGTCCTTGTGAATGGACTAACACAAGAGTGGATTCATTATCAAGATAATGGGTTTGCCCCCCTCTTGCCCTCTCTTTGCCCTTCCACTATGTTATGACACAGCAAGAAGGACCTCACAAAATGGTGGCCCCTCAATCTTGGACTTCACAGTCTCCCGAGCCATAAGCCAATAAATTTATATTTAGAATAAACTACCTAGCCTCAGGAATTCACATCTGAATTCCTCTCTTTGAGAAACAGCACCAGGAATGAGATCATTCTTCTGCTAAGACTGTTTTTCATCCATATTAGAATTTAACAACCTCCAACATCATGCAAGAGCCTGCTAAAACTGTTTTCTATCCATATTAGAAGACCATTTAACAACCTCCAATATCATCCAAGAGCTGCATAAGCCAGTCTCAGTGGAGGTTGTATCCTATACCAGGTCTCAATGTTTTGAAGATAAATGTTGGTCCCCATTTCATATTTGTGTTTGCAAAAATATTTTGTTTAAAAGAATTCTGGAGGTAAGTGGTGGTGATGGTTGCCCAACAATGTGAACATAATTACCATCAGTATCATTTTAAGTACACTTAAAAATTTAAGACAGTAAATTTTATGTCATGTGGATTTTACCACAAGAAATAAATGGAAAACTCTTTTTAAAAATCAGGAAATTTGTTGACCTATCTTGCAAGAAATGTTAAAAAGAATTGTGTCAGAGAGAAAGAAAATGATATAGGTTATAAAGTCAGATCTATGTGAAGTTCATATCCGAAGGATGAATATTAGAGAAGAAATAAGCAAAGGTAAAATAAAATATTTTTTCCTGTTTTCAATTGATCTAATAAATAATAGTTGGTTCAAAATAATAATAGCAACAGGTGTAGGTATAATCAAAGAAGATATACAGACATCAAGTCATGATATGAAAAGATATTAAACATCATATGGCATTAGGGGATTGCAAACTAAAACAACAATGAGATACCACTATATACCTATGAATATTAGAATGGTCAAGATCCAGAACTTTGACAACACTAAGTACTGGTGAGGATGTGAAGCAACAGGAATTCTTATTCATTGCTGATGGGAAAGCAAAAATGGTACAATCACTTACAAAGATAGTCTGGCAGTTTATTACAAAATTAAACATATTTGTAGCAAATAAGTAATTATACTTATTGGTATTTATTTAAATAAGTTGAAAAGTATAGCTCCAAAAAAATCTACTCATGGATGTTTATATGGCTTTACTCATATTTGCCACAACTTGGAAGCAACCAAGATGTCTTTCAGTAAGTTAATGCATAATAAAATGTGTGCATCCAGAAAATGGGATCTTATTTATTGTTTCTTTAAAAAGTATGCTACCAAGCCATGAAATACATGGAGGAAATAAATGCATACATCTAAGTTAAAAATGCCAATGTATAAAGGTTTCATACTGTATGATTCTAACTATATGGCATATTGGAAAAGTTTAAACCATGGAGACAGTAAAAAATTCAGTGGTTTCCAGGAGTTAGAGGACAGGGAGAGATGAATAGGTTGAGCGCAGAGGATTTTTAAGTCAATGAAACTTTCCATATACTTTAATAGTGGATACCTGTGATTACATGTTTATCAAAACTCAGAATGAACAACGCTAAGAGTGAATCCCAAATGTAAACGATCAACTTTGGGTGATAATGATGTGTCAATGTGTTTATTCACTGTGACAAAAGTAGCACACTTGTACAAGATGCTGAGAGCAGGTGAGTTGTATAGGTGGGTATATGGGAATTCTCCATATTTTCTCTGTGTTTTGCTGGGAGCCTAAAACTGCTCTTAAAAATAAAGTCTATTTTTAAATGTATTAAGTGACAAAAGGCTTATGGTGGTGGTTCTACACACTGTACCAGCAGCTGTAGCACCAGAAATACCTGAGTGAAGATATTAGCATTCAAGTGTCTCTCTTCTTTGCCAATCAAGAAGAACTACAAATCTGAAATTCCGTTTTTGGTAGCTTCATAAAAATTGGACATAAAAGTCAAAGCCCAATGAAGTCAGACAGTCTGAAAATCACCTTTACACACAAATAATAAGCCCAGATTTCAAAAGGTAAAAATAAATCAAAGGTAAATCAGATATAAATAGTCCATATTTCTAAATCTGATAATCCATAGAACCTCAAACATTGAACTTGGTCTCAGAATGACAATACCCCCAGGTTCCTAGCAGAAGAATGTGAAATTCCCTTTGCAGAAAAATATTATCATCCTAGCCTTCAAATATTACATAGAAACAATTTTTTAAATTCAAGGATCAGCACATAGTCAAAAACATCAGCCCTTCTATTTTAATCGTAAAACTTTTGCTCTCCCTACATAAAAACAAACAAGATATTTTGGGATCTCACATGCCTAGCATAGTTAACATACCCACCAGCCAGAATGAAGAGTCTCACAATATTTGAGGCATATGATGGAGTCATTCAAAAGTGAGTCATTACTTAGTGAGAAAGAGGGGACTAAATTAGTCCTACAATAAAGCTTGCTCAACACTCATGTTAATAAAGCTTAAGAGGAAACCTCAAAAGTATCAAACTGATCTACAAGTATCTTAACTGACTGCCAGAAAAAATACCAACTCTTTAAATTAACACATTCAAATCCAACACTGAACAACATAAAATTCACATTGGCTGGCTTCCAATACAAATTATCAGGTATGCAAGGAGGCAGAAATGCATGACAAATAACCTGGAGAAAAATCAATGATAGACTCGAAAACAAGAGATGCTGGAATTAGCAGACAAAAACCTTAAAAAAGGTTTTGCAAATACTATAAATACAAATGTGTCTTCACGTACGATGGGGTTACGTCCAAAACAAACCCTTTGTAATTTGAATGTATGATAAGTCAAAATGCATTGAATACATCTGAGCTACCAAACATTGTTTGGCCTAGCCTACCAGAAACATGCTTAGAACACTCACATTAGCCTACAGTGGGCAAAATAACCTACCATGAAGCCAATATTATAATAAAGTGTTGAGTCATGTAATTCATGTAATTTAATGAGATACTACTGAATTCATATCACTTTCATGTGATTGTGAAGTTGAAAAATCATAAGTTGAACCATCATAGTCAGGGACTGCCTGTGCCTTCAAGGCTATAAAGAAAAACAAGTAAACATAAAGAAGAAACAAATTTAAGAGATAAAACAACCCAAATGAAATTTCTAAAAATGAGAAAAAAAATTGTCTAAATATAAAAAATGCTCTGGAAAGGATTACATCAAATTAGACACTGCGGAAGTAAAGATCATTGAAATTGAAGACATGACAATTGAAACTATTCAAAATGAAATACAAAAAGAAAACAGGAATTTTAAAAATAAGGAGTGTAATCAACTTTTAGGACAATATCAAATGATCCAACAAAAGTATTATTGGATAACAGAATGAGGGAGGAGAAAAATATTGAGGAAATAATGAGATGAAATTTTTCATATTTGATAGAATTATAATTCCACTAAACATCAAAAAAAGCAGAATAAATATCAAGGCACACCAAGACATAATCTAAATACTGAAAAATGGTGTTTTATACAGCTGCCAATAAAAAGACATTATTATTTATTATTTATTTATTTTTTTGAGACAGAGTCTCACTCTGTCATCCTGGCTGGAGTGCAGTGGCACCGTGTCAGCTCACTGCAACCTCTGCCTCCTGGGTTAAAGCAATTCTCCTGCCTCAGCCTCCCAAGTAGCTGGAATTACAGGCACCCACCACCACACCTGGCTAATTTTTATATTTTTAGTAGAGACAGGATTTCACCATATTGGCCAGGCTGGTCTCGAACTCCTGACCTCAGGTGATGACCTGCCTCGGCCTCCCAAAGTGCTGGGATTACAGGCATGAGCCACCGCATCTGGCCGAAAAAAGACATTATTTTAAGCAACTATGAAGGGTCTGAGATTTTATCCTTTTTATAACCTAAGAAGTTATCCTTCCACAGTTTCCTAGATGTCGAAAGAAGACATATACCTCTGTGTCATAAAACACTTTCTTACCACACTGCAGGCAGCATGACCTTCCTGTTTACATAACTTCTTTTTGACCCCAAGTCCCAAAAGATGATTCAAAGGTGAGCTCTGGTAGATGTTGCACATATAGTAGGTTTTATGTCACAGCTAAGGAACCATGATTTCAGGAAATCCCATCTCATAAGGAGATTGCTAACAAAACTACCCCACTTTTGCATCAAAGGGGAACATTACATTTATTATTTTGGATAGCAAAAAAATCTGCCTTCCACCCAGATAGGTACTATTTTTCAAATCTGTATTCCAAGATAGTTTGAAACAAAAACTGTTATATATGTGCAGAAATAGAAACATGAGAGACCCAAGGAAAATTATCTCCCAACTATATCCCCCACAACCCCACATTTCTCACTGTTTTGATTTTAGAGAATTTCCTCATAAATATGCCACTCATGAAAAGCAGCAGTCTACAGGTTCAAGGACCCCAAAGGATCTGAAACACACAAATGAATGAATAAACAATTAATACATATATACATACATACATACACTAAAAATCCATATACAGGAACATCAAAGCAAGACTGCCAAAAACCAAAGTCAAAGGCGTAGTCTTTTTTTAAAATAAATATTTTTTATTATACTTTAAGTTCTAGGGTACATGTGCACGATGTGCAGCCTTGTTACATATGTATACATGTGCCATGTTGGTGTGCTACACCCATTAACTCGTAATTTACATTAGGTATATCTCCTAATGCTATCCCTTCCCCATCCCACGACAGGCCCCAGTGTGTGATGTTCCCCACCCTGTGTCCAGGTGTTCTCATTGTTCAATTCCCACTTATGAGTGAGAACATACAGTGTTTGGTTTTCTGTCCTTGATATAGTTTGCTGAGAATGATGGTTTCCAGCTTCATCCATGTCCCTACAAAGGACAGGAACTCATCCTTTTTTATGGCTTCATAGTATTCCATGGTGTATATGTGCCACATTTTCTTAATCCAGTCTATCACTGATGGACATTTGGGTTGGTTCCAAGTCTTTGCTATTGTGAAGAGTGCCGCAATAAACATACGTGTGTATATTTCTTCATAGCAGCATGATTTATACTCCTTTGGGTATATACCCAGTAATGGGATGGCTGGGTCAAATGGTATTTCTAGTTCTAGATCCTTGAGGAATTTCCACACTGTCTTCCACAATGGTTGAACTAGTTTACAGTCCCACCAACAGTGTAAAAGTGTTCCTATTTCTCCACATCCTCTCCATTACCTGTTGTTTCCTGACTTCTTAATGATCGCCATTCTAACTGGTGTGAGATGGTATCTCATTGCGGTTTTGATTTGCATTTCTCTGATGGCCAGTGATGATGAGCATTTTTTCATGTGTCTGTTGGCTGCATAAATGTCTTCTTTTGAGAAGTGTCTGTTCATATCCTCGGCCCACTTTTTGATGGGGTTGTTTGATTTTTTTCTTGTAAATTTGTTTGAGTTCTTTGTAGATTCTGGATATTAGCCCTTTGTCAGATGGGTAGATTGTAAAAATTTTCTCCCATTCTGTAGGTTGCCTGTTCATTCTGATGGTAGTTTCTTTTGCTGTGCAGAAGCTCTTTAGTTTAATTAGATCCCATTTGTCAATTCTGGCTTTTGTTGCCATTGCTTTTGGTGTTTTAGTCATGAAGTCCTTGCCCTTGCCTATGCCCTGAATGGTATTGCCTAGGTTTTCTTCTAGGGTTTTTACGGTTTTAGGTCTGACATTGAAGTCTTTAATCCATCTTGAATTAATTTTTGTATAAGGTGTAAGGAAGATCAGGCAGGAGAAAGAAATAAAGGCATAGTCTTAAAAGAAGCCAGAAAAAATAAAATCGCCCAAAGAGTTTCCAATTAACAGTTAATTTCTCAATCACAACAATGGAGACCAGGAGGTAGTTGAACAATATCATCAATATTCTAAAAGACATATCTGACAAGCTTGTATTCCATACACAGAAAAAACAGTATTCAAGAATATAAATGAAATACAAACAATTGTGGACAAAAATGAGAGTTTTCAACCAGCATATCCATATTTAAAGGTGTACTCCAATCAGAAGAAAATGATCCCAGGTAGAAGTTAGGAGATGTAAGAAAAAATAAAAATCAACATAAATATTAAACATATAGGTAAATCTAAATAAACATTAATTCATTGTTATATTGAATTGTGTTCCCTCAAAACATATGTTGGAGAACTAACCCCACAGTACCTCAAATGTTACCTTATTTGGAAATAAGGTCATGACCAATGTAATTAATTGAGATTAGGTAATGCTGGAGAAGAGTGGGCCCCTAATCCAATATGACCGAAATCCTTATAGGAAAAGAGGAGACACAAAGAGATAGATTCACACAAACAGAAGAAAGACAGCTATGTGAAGTTGGAGGCAAATATTGGAGCTCTGCCACCACAAGCCAAGAAATGCCTGGGGATACCAGAAGCTACAAGAGGCAAGAAAAAATCCTCCCATAGAGGCTTCAGAGAGAACATGGCCCTAATAACATCTTAATTTCAGATTTCTAGCTTCTAGAACTATGAAATAATAAATTTCTTTCATCTTAAGCCATCCAGTTTGTGGTACTTTCTTACAGCAGCCCTAAGAACTAATATATTTATTAAAGCAAATCCAAAGAAAAGTACCTTGTGGTGTTAGGAAAATAATGGCATAAAAACTGAAAGAGGAAGGGGTGAATGGACTTACATACCTATGTATTTTTATTATCCAGTAGAAGAAAAATATGTTATTATTTTATAAGGGTTATTAACCACTAAATGAATAAAAATAGAATGATAAATGCCATACTTGAAAAGATATAAATAAATAGTATACACACTCAATACAAAAAAAGGCATGAAAGAACTAAAAAATAAACACCATACAGGCAGGACAATTAGAAAAGATAAAATAAGACAATTTCAACCCAAATGGATCTGCACATACATTAATTGTAATGGATTAAATGTTCAGGTTAATGAACAAAAGATGTCAGACTAGATTTTTAAAACTCGATTACATGCAGTTTAAAGGAAGCACTTCTAAAATATAGTGGTAAAGAAAGGTTGAAAGGTAAAGCATGAGAAAGTATATAACATGAAAATACTAATCCAATAAAACAAGCCCTTTAAATACGATTAGAGAGAGCAGAGAACTTTCATATCTAGAGGTTTGTGCCTGAGCTGTGTAGAGGTATAGCATGGAGCAGAACTTCAGTCTTTGGAGAGACAATGAGAAATCAGGCAAGCTTTAGAAAAAAAGAGTGGGTTCATGAAATAAACCACTGTTAGGAATTAGGAAGAGGCTCAAACACAAAAACACATTATTCAGGTTGAAAGTTCTCTCTCCAGCTGCAATGTTGATCTTATCTAGACATAATACAAGAATGTGACATTAGAAATGGATTAAAATTGAGAGAGAATTTACTTTATAATGCAAAAATTTTGTGGTGCTTGACTTTTAAGATGTTACTAGAGTTGACTACAAATATGAACCCAAACACTTGAAAGTACATCCCAACATATTTGAGCTAAATATTGACAAGAGTAAAAAGACAGTGACAGGAATTTGGGATTTGGGCCAATCGTAACTGAAGTAAATCTATTTGAAATTACATCTCAGCTCCAAATCAATTTAACTCTAAAAGAAATATGAGTGATCAGCCCCTCATCCTAACCACCCAACAGAAAAGAGGTTTTGTACTCTCTGAGAAATAAAGAGAACAAAATTCATACTTTAATCTCTGCATTCATTTGTACATAGTATCAAGACTAGCATATTAAGAAAATGAAGAATAGCCCAGATATGACCTATAATCAAGATAAAAGAGAGTCAATAAAAGCAAACACAGAGATGACACAGTTATGAAAATTAGTAATCAAAGGCTTTAAAAAAACTATTATAAGTATGTTTATAGGAAAAGACATATATAATGAATGAGGCCATGGCATATTTCAGGAGAGTAATAAATATTCTTAAAGAGCAAATGGAAATTATAGAACTGAAAATTGCAATGCATGATGTAAAAAATTCATTGGAGGATCTTAACAAAACATAATCTGTAAAAGTAATAACCAATGACAAGAAGAAATTAATAGGACTTACTCAAATTGAAGAAGATATAGTAAAAAAATTAGCATCAGTGATCTAAGAGAAAATATTAAGTAGATGAGATTCCTTGGATACAACTTCTCAACTGCTGTTTCTCCCAATCCATTGTATCTCTTACATAGAATGGCTAAACTTAAAACAGCCAACAATGCCAAAGATGTGATAAAAGTGGAACAACTAGAACTCAAGGAAGTGGACCAACTAGAACTCTTATACATTGCTGATGAAAATAGAAATTGGTACAGCCACTTTGAGAAAGCATTTTGATCTACTGAAAATATGTGTTTATTAATATAGAGCATGCACAACAATTAAAATGAAAAAGCTGTTATTACATGCAACAGTAAAGATGGCTCTTTAAAACATAATGTTTAATGAAAAACCAAGATACAAAAGAATACATATTACATTTTTCAATTTATATGAAGTTCAAATATGCATATATGATCAATCATGAATTGTAGAGAAATTAAGTTAAAATAGTGGTTAGTTACATATAGCAGTATTGATTGGAATGAGGCATGAGAGAGCATTATGGGGCAGTGGAAATGTTCTATTATACTAATCTGAATAGTAGTTACATAGATGTTTATCCATATAAAATATCTTAATAATTTTCACTTATTTATATTTTTATATTCAACTTGTACCTCAGTAAAAAGATATATTAAAGAAAATTAATGGATGATATTAGAAATGCTAGATTAAAGTCAAGAGAAAGTGTTGTAAACATATTTTAAAAGCAATTGCATTTTTGCATACTTTGTAAAAAATTCACAAAAGCCACAAAGATTAGAGAAGCCTAATAAGCAACTACCCATAATCCCAGCTCTCAGAGAACCCCTTCTAACATTTTTACAGTACAATGTAATGTTAATAGCTGAGACTACCCTCCATAGCCTTAGTTTTTAATACCTGACTTTTCATCAACAGCATAATCCCACACCATAAAACCTCCTTGTAAGCATTATTTTAAGACAAATGTTCCATACCTGTAAATACTATGTTATATAAAAATTCCCCTAAATGGGAGCATTTCAGTTATTTTCAATTTAGTTAATTCTTAAGTAGTATGACAATAAAAATTGCATATATACATTTTTTTCTATAGTTTGCATTATTTCCTGGGAATAAATTCCCAAAGATAAATTAAGTCGGGGTGAATCATATGAACTAAAGGCAGAAAGCACATACATACTCTAGGTGCTTACTTTTCAGAGATATTTTTTCTAGCCGTAGTTACAGCACTCTTTGAAAAGCTATATAAATACTGCTAAAAATTAGCAATGGACCAAAAATATTGTCATATCACAAATTAGATTGGAGTTATTTCTTGAATTCAGTAAAAGGAATCAGAAATGTTAATTATTTATCTTGTCAAATAGATTTTTTGAGCCCCTCGAGTATTTGAAATAATCTATTTTGAGTACCTGGCACAATACACCTACACACACAAAGTTGGCATGTCATTCCAAATGTCTAAGATGGCACAATCACTAGGTTTTTCTATTTGAGAAAACAGCATATTTCTCAGTCCAAAGAGATACTGGGAAGATGTCTCAGCAAAACATACAGAACAAAGATATATGTTTCTCCTAAATGCCTTGTGCTACACTGCTTGCCTATGATAACCAGTTTTTTATAGTGAAATTGCCAGTCCCAGATTATTCCTCCTTGAAATACAACTGCATCCTAGAATGCTAATAGTTGAGACACCAATTGAATCATAGGCTTGCCTAAATGTCATTTCAAGAGGCACCCTTCCAAAATAGCAAAAGCTGTGATATTGATTTAAAAAAACTGAAGTTATTGTAATAAAAAATGATAAATATATGTGTAATCTCTCCAACAGAGAACCACCTCCTGAGTTCACTTTTATGCTGTATTATGGGAACAAAGAGATGGTATTTTACTAACCATATTTTAAAATACATAACATAGCAACCTAATTTTAAAATGTGGTGCTCTCTGAAAAAATAAATGGAATCTTGACACAAATTAGAAGCCAAGAAATAAATGCAAATGCATGTAGAAACTTAGAATATGATAAAGATGAGGCAATCACGGATTATTCCATAAATGGTATTATAAGACTGGAGAGTCATCTGGGGGAAAATAATTTCTCACACCTCAACCTTTACACCAGTAAACATTCTAAAATATAAATATTTAAATGTAAAAATAAAACCATAATAGCTCAGAAGAAAAAATGCAGAAAACTTTTATAACCTGGAAGTGGAGGCCTTTCTCAGTATAAAAAACAAAGAAGTTCAAAGAAAAGATAAATAAATTGAACCTAATTTTAAAAATAAAGTCTCTATTTCCAAAAATGTTCTATCAAGACTATCAACAAAATCAAGAAGTGAGAAGATATTTGTAATTCACATTACAGAAAATAAAGTCATTTTTCTAATATACAAAAAGCTTTTACATGTTAACAATAATGTCAAAAAACAGAAAACACAGGCAAAGACAATGAACATACATTTGACAGAATCATAACTACAGATGGCTTTTAAACAAGTGAAAAGACACTAATGAAGGAAAAGATGTTAGAACTTTTCACCTTACTTCCAGGGCTTATCATTATTCACAAATAATGGAAAAGATGGGGTTTTAGGGTCACATATAATATTTGTAATTCGCCCTTCCATTAATGTTCAAGGCATGAAGTGAGTCTCTTGGATCACTCATACTGAATGTAACTGAAAAGAAGACATTAGAAAACTTTGTCAGAATTAGAGAAGAAGAAACTTTTGGCTAGGTTAGGCTTTTGTTTGTGCCCATTTTTAGTATTTGGGTTTTGTTTTTTGGCAGCGGGAGAGGGGGTTGAGTTTTTAAAAAACACATTATTAATAAATTCTAAAATGTACAAAAAACATGATAATAATAATCACTGGAAATCATACCCAAAAGTGATTAGAGTGAATATTTTAATATAATTTTTCCTTTCCAATTCCTGAATAACTTTTGGGTAAATAATGAAATTAAGACAGAAAACAATATGTTCTTTCAAACTAATGAGAACAAAGATACAACATACCAGAATCTCTGGAACACAGAAAAAGCAGTGATAGCATTTGGCTGTGTCCCCGTCCAAATCTCATTTTGAATTATAGAATGTGGGAATGTTTGGAATTTGAGGCTTGTTGAATGGTTTTGACCAAAATGCTCATATGGACAATGAAGTCCAGGTTGAGGTAGTCTCAGATGGAGATTGAAAACTTGTTGGGAACTAGAGTAAAGGTGACTCTTGCTATGTTTCAGCAAAGAGACTTGCAGCATTTTTCCCCTGCCCTAGATATTTATAGAACTTTGAACTTGAGAGAGATGATTTAGGCCATCTGGTGGAAGAAATTTCTAAGCAGCAAAACGTTCAAGAGGTGACTTCCGTATTATTAAAAGCATCCAGTTTTATTCATTCACAAAGATATGGTTTGGAATTGGAACTTAAGTTTAAAGGGGAAGCAGAACATAAAGGTTCAAAAAATTTGCAGCCTGACAATGCAACAAAAAGGAAAAAACTATTTTCTGAGGAGAAATTCAAGCCAGTTCCTTATTACCCATATAAGTATCGAGGAGCCAAATGTTAATCACCAAGACAATGGGGAAAATATCTCCAGGGCATGTCAGAAACCTTCACTGCAATTCCTCCCATCACAGGCCTGGAGGCCTAGGAGGAAAAAATGGTTTCTTGGGCCAGGCCCAGGTCCCCCTGATGTGTGAAGCCTAGGGGCTGGATGCCCTGCATCTGAGATGCCCTAGCCATGACTAAAATGGACCAAAGTACAGCTCAGGCCATGGCTTCAGAGGGTGCAAGCCCCAAGCCTTGGCAGCTTCCATGTGGTGTTGAATATGCAGGTGCACAGAAGTCAACAACTGAGGTTTGGGAACCTTTGCCTTGATTTCAGAGGATGTATGGAAATGCCTAGATGTCCAGGCAGGAGTTTGCTGTAGGGGCAGGGCCTCATGGAGAACCTCTCCTAGGGCAGTGCAGAATGGAAGTGTGCAGTTGAAGCCCCTACACAGAGTTCCCGCTGGGGCACTGCCTAATGAAGTTGTGAGAAGAGGGCCATCATCCTCCAGACCCCAGAATGGTAAATCCACTGATAGCTTGCGCCGCACACCTGGAAAAGCCATGGACACTCAACACCAGCCTGTGAAAGTGGCCAGGAGAGGGGCTGTACCCTGCAAAGCCACAGGGGCAGAGCAGACCAAGACCGTGGGAACCCACCACTTGCATCTGCATAACCTGAATGTGAGACATGGGGTAAAAGAAAATTATTTTGGAGTTTTAAGATTTGATTGCCCTGCTGGATTTTGGAATTGCATAGGGCCTGTGGCCCCTTAGTTTTGGCCAGTTTCTCCAATTTGGAATGGCTGTATTTACCCATTGCCTGTACTCCAATTATATCTAGGAAGTAACTAACTTGCTTTTGATTTTAAAGGCTCATAGGCCGAAGGGACTTGCCTTGTCTCAGATGAGACTTTGGACAGTGAACTTTTGAGTTAATGCTGAAATGAGCTAAGACTTTGGGGGACTGTTGAGAAGGCATGACTGGTTTTGAAATGTGAGGACATGAGATTTGGGAGGAGTCAGGGAAAGAATGATACAGTTTGACTGTGTCCCCACCCAAATCTCATCTTGAATTGTAGCTCCTATAATTCCCAAGTGTTGTGAGAGGTAACTGGTGGGAGATAATTGAATCATAGGGGCAGTTCCCCCATACTATTCTCAAGGTAGTGAATAAGTCTCACAAGATCTGAAGCTTTTATAAGGGGAAACCACTTTCACTTGGTTCTCATTCTCTCTTGCCTGCCACCATATAAGACATGCCTTTCACCTTCCACCATGATTGTGAAGCCTCCCCAGCCACACAGAATTGTGAGTCCCTTAAACCTCTTTTTCTTTATAAATTACCCAGTCTTAGGTATGTCTTTCTCAGCAACATGAAAATGGACTAATACAGGCAGGGTTAAGAGGGAAATTTATGGCACTGCACTAAATGACCACATCAAAAAGTTAGAAAGATCTCAAATTAACAACCTAACATTATAACCAAAAGAACTAGAGAACCAAGAACAAACAAATCCCTAAGTTAGCAGAAGACAAGAAATAACCAAAATCAGAGCTGAACTAAAGGAAATTGAGACACACAAAAAAAACCACTTAAAAGATCAACGAATCCAGGAGCTAGTTTTTTGAAAAAACTAATAAGATAGATAGACTGCTTCCTATACTAATAAAGAAGAAAAAAGAGAAGATTCAGAAAAACACAATCAGAAACAAGAGGGATATTGCTTCTGACGCCACAGAAATACAAACAACCATCAGAGAATATTATAAATATCAGTATGCATATAAACTAGAAAACCTAAAGGAAATGGATAAATTACTGGACACATACACCCTCCTAAGACTAAATTAGGAAGAAACTGAATCCCTGAATAGACCAGTAACAAGCTCTGAAATTGCTGTAATAATAAACAGCCTACCGACCAAAAAAACCTCAGGACCAGACAGATTCACAGCTGAATTTTATCAGATGTACAAAGAAAAGCTGATACCATTCTGACTGAAAACTATTCCAAAAAATTGAGGAGGAGGGACTTCTCCCTAACTTATTCTATGAGGCCAGCATCATCCTGATACAAAAACCTGGCATAGATACAACCAAAGAAAAGAAAACTTTAGGCCAATATCCTAGATGAACATAGATGCAAAAATCCTCAACAAAATACTGGCAAACCAAATCCAGCAGCACATCAAAAAGTTTATCCACCATGATCGAGTAGGCTTCATCCCGGGGATGCAAGGTTGGTTCAACATATGCAAATCAATTAATGTGAATCATCACATAAACAGAACTAAAGGGAAAAACCACATGATTATCTCAATAGGTGCAAAAAAGGCTTTCAATAAAATTCAACATCCATTTGTGTTAAAAACATTCAATAAACTAGGTATTGAATGATCATACTTCAAAACAGTAAGAGCTATCTACAACAAATGCACAGTCAACATCATATTGAATGGGCAAAAGCTGGAAGCCTTCCCCTTGAAAATTGGCACAAGAGAAGGCTGCTTTCTCTCACCACTCCTGTTCTAATACTATTGTAAGTTCTATCCAGGGCAATCAAGCAAGCTAAAGAAATAAAAGGCATCCAAACAGAAAGACCAGAAATGAAATTATCCCTGTTTGCAGCCGACATGATCCTTTATGTAGAAAACCCTATAGTCCTAGCCCAAAAGCTACTTAAGCTGATAAACAACTTCAGCAATGTCTCAGGATACAAAATCAATGTGCAAAAATCACTAGCCCTATACACCAACAACAGTCAAGCCAAGAGCCAAATCAGGATCAAACTCCCATTAACAACTGCTGCAAAAAGAATAAAATACCTAAAAATATAGCTAACTAGGGAGGTGAAAGATCTCTACAAGAAGAATTACAAACCACTGCTCAAAGAAATCAGAGATGACACAAACAAATGTAAAAACATTCCATGCTCATGGATAGGAAGAATCAACATCATTAAAACGGCCATACTGTCCAAAGCAATTTATAGTTTCAATGCTATGTCTATAAAACTACCATCAAGATTCTTCACAGAACTAGAAAAAAAAATTTTAAATTCATATGGAACAAAAAAAAAGAGCCAGAATAGCCAATCCTAAGCATAAAGAACAAAGCTAAAGGCATCATGCTACCCAACTTCAAACCATACTACAGGACTACAGTAATCAAAACAGCATGGTATTGATAGAAAAAAACAGACACATAGGTCATTGGAACAGAATAGAGAACCAAAAAATAAGATTGAACACCCATAACTATCTGAGCTTTGACAAACCTGACAAAAACCAGCAATGGGGAAAGGATTACTTATTCAATAAATGGTGCTGGGATAACTGGTTAGCCAAATGCAGAAGATTAAAACTGGACCCCTTTCTTACACCATATATACAAGTTAACTCAAGGTGAATTAAAGACTTAAATGTAAAACCTATAACTATAAAAACCCTGGAAGACAACCTAGGCACAAGCACAAGCAAAGATTTGATGACAAATATACTGAAAGCAATTGCAACAAAAGCAAAAACTGACAAATGGGGGCCAGGCATGGTGGCTCACACCTGTAATCCCAGCACTTTGGCAGTCCAAAGCGGGTGGATCACAAGGTCAAGAGATGAAGACCATCCTAGCCAATATGGTGAAACCCCGTCTCTACTAAAAATACAAACATTAGCTGGGTATGGTGGCGTGCGCCTGTAGTTCTACCTACTCAGGAGACTGAGGCAGGAGAATTGCTTGAACATGGGAGGCGGAGGTTGCAGTGAGCCAAGATCATGACACTGCACTCCAGCCTGATGACAGAGCGAGACTCTGTCTCAAAAAAAAAAAAAAATTGACAAATGGGATCTAATTAAAGAGCTTCTGCACAGCAAAAGAAATTATCAACAGAGTAAAAAGACAACCTAAAGAATTTTTGCAAACTATGCATCCAATGGTCTAATATCCAGCATCTATAAGGAACTTAAAAAAAAAAGTTATAAGGAAAAAAAATAACACCGTTAAAAAGTGGGCAAAGGACATAAACAGACACTTTTCAAAAGAAGACATGCATGCAGCCAACAATCGTATGAAAAAAAAGCTCAACATCACTGAGAGAAATGCAAATGAAAACCACAATGAGATATACCATCTCACACCAGTCACAGTGGGTACTATCAAAAAGTCAAAAAATAACATGCTGGCAAGGTTGTGGAGAAAAAAAAGAACACTTACACATTGTTGGTGGGAATGTAAATTAGTTCAACCATTGTGGAAGACAGTGTGGTGATTCTTCAAAGACCTAAAGACAGAACTACCATTCAACCCAGCAATCCCATTACCGGGTATATACCCAAAGGAATATAATTGTTCTCTTATGAAGATTCATGCACAGGTATGTTAATTGCAGCAGTATTCATAATAGCAAAGACATGGAATCAACCTAAATATCCATCAATGATAGACTCAATAAAGAAAATGTGGCAAATGCACACAGGGGAATACTATGCAGCCATTAAAAAGAATGAGATCAGGTCCTTTGCAGGGACATTAGTGGAGCTGGAGTCTCCTTAGCAAACTAATACAAGAACAGAAAACCAAAAATCACATGTTCTCACTCACAATTGACAGCTAAATGATGAGAACACATGAACACATAAAGGGGAACAATACATACTGAGGATTATCAGAGGGTGGAGGATGGGAGGAGGGAGAGGATCAGGAAAAATAACTAATGGGTGCTAGGCCTTATACATGGGGGATGAAATTATCTGTACAACTAATCTCCATAACACAAGTTTCCCTATGTAACAAACCTGCACATGTAACCCTGAATTTAAAATAGAAGTTAAAAAAAAAAGAATGAGAAGTTGGAGGAAGGAGGCTGATTTGAGGTTTTTTCACAGGAATATGTATGTATCTGTTGGAGAAACATATATTTTTTTGGCCTTCTATTTCCTTTCCATGCAGAGAAGTTTTCAAAAATTAGCATTTGCAGTTTCTCTTCCACATGAGGTCAAGCAATTTACTTGATAGGTGAGTTTGAAAACAGAATTAGCCATGGGTAGCTCTACCCCTTCACAGCTTCTCCACTTCCCTGCAGAAAACATTTATTCTCTTTGCTCTCTGCCTTGAAATAAATTACCTGTTCCAGTGGGTAAAACTTGTAGCTATTCCAGTATGCCTGTGCCTGAGCAGGGAAGTTGCACTCTGAAGTAAAGGAATGGGAAGCACATCAAAATCAACTTCTAAACCAGCTTTTATCAGTAACTAAATAGCTACTTTAATCCTGAGGTGTCTTCCTCTTCTCATTAGAATTGAACTTGAAAGGTGAGGAAAGTTGTAGACCCTCTAAAACTCCAACTTCATCTGTAACTATAACATATGCTTCCAATTCACAACACAATTTTATATCCATTATCTTACTTGATTTTCACAATAATCCTTAGAAGTTAGAGGGAAGATATTAACGTTTATTGAGCGAATGCCTGCTGTTTGTCAGAAATGTGCCAGAAGATTTACATTTTTATACATTAATTAATTCTTAGGACTTTAAAAAATTGAATTTACCCTTATTTTAAAGATCAGAGAATGGGGTATCAGAGAGGCAAAATGATTTGTCTGAGATATACAAGTGATAAGTTGCAAGATTCAAGTCCAAATAGACTGTAAAAACCAGGATAACGTCCTTCACTCACTTTTGTATTCCTAGGTCCTGGTCACATTCTTGGCATAGAGAAGGCATTCAATAAATATAGTTGAGTGAATTATTCCAATTCCATGCTCTTTCCACTGCATCATGGAGGGAGAAGAGAGATTGTTTCAGACTACCAAACTCAGGAAACCTTCATGCTACGATATCATGTGGGGGCTGACAGGGAGAGGATGACATAAGGCTCATTTCTGAAGATGGTTATTGAAATGTTATGAGGCTGTGTGTGGTACAGCAGAAAAACGGAATGGGCCATGAAATTCTACACCTAGTATTTCATAGGGGTCTTGTCACTACCAAAGCAGTGGGATCTTTCTTTTTTTTTTTTCTTTTTCCTTTTTTATTTTATTTTATTTATTATTATTATACTTAAAGTTTTAGGGTACATGTGCACAATGTGGAGGTTAGTTACATATGTATACATGTGCCATGCTGGTGCGCTGCACCCACTTACTCGTCATCTAGCATTAGGTATATCTCCCAATCCTATCCCTCCCCCCTCCCCCCACCCCACAACAGTCCCCAGAGTGTGATGTTCCCCTTCCTGTGTCCATGTGTTCTCATTGTTCAATTCCCACCTACGAGTGAGAATATGTGGTGTTCGGTTTTTTGTTCTTGCGATAGTTTACTGAGAATGATGATTCCAATTTCATCCATGTCCCTATAAAGGACATGAACTCATCATTTTTTAAGGCTGCATAGTATTCCATGGTGTATATGTGCCACATTTTCTTAATCCAGTCTATCATTGTTGGACATTTGGGTTGGTTCCAAGTCTTTGCTACTGTGAATTATGCCGCAATAAACATACGTGTGCATGTGTCTTTATAGCAGCATGATTTACAGTCCTTTGGGTATATACTCAGTAATGGGATGGCTGCATCAAACCAGGAAGAAGTTGAATCTCTGAATAGACCAATAACAGGAGCTGAAATTGTGGCAATAATCAATAGCTTACTAACCAAAAAGAGTCCAGGACCAGATGGATTCACAGCCGAATTCTACCAGAGGTATAAGGAGGAACTGGTACCATTCCTTCTGAAACTATTCCAATCAATAGAAAAAGAGGGAATCCTCCCTAACTCATTTTATGAGGCCAGCATCATCCTGATACCAAAGCCAGGCAGTGATACAACCAAAAAAGAGAATTTTAGACCAGTATCCTTGATGAACATCGATGCAAAAATCCTCAATAAAACACTGGCAAACCGAATCCAGCAGCACATCAAAAAGCTTATCCACCATGATCAAGTGGGCTTCATCTCTGGGATGCAAGGCTGGTTCAATATACACAAATCAATAAATGTAATCCAGCATATAAACAGAACCAAAGACAAAAACCACATGATTATCTCAATAGATGCAGAAAAGGCCTTTGACAAAATTCAACAACGCTTCATGCTAAAAACTCTCCATAAATTAGGTATTGATGGGACGTATCTCAAAATAATAAGAGCTATCCATGACAAACCAACAGCCAATATCATACTGAATGGGCAGAAACTGGAAGCATTCCCTTTGAAAATGGGCACAAGACAGGGATGCCCTGTCTCACCACTCCTATTCAACATAGTGTTGGAAGTTCTGGCCAGGGCAATTAGGAAGGACAAGGAAATAAAGGGTATTCAATTAGGAAAAGAGGAAGTCAAATTGTCCCTGTTTGCAGATGACATGATTGTATATCTAGAAAACCCCATTGTCTCAGCCCAAAATCTCCTTAAGCTGATAAGCAACTTCAGCAAAATCTCAGGATACAAAATCAATGTACAAAAATCACATGCATTCTTATACACCAAAAACAGACAAACAGAGAGCCAAATCATGAGTGAACGCCCATTCACAATTGCTTCAAAGAGAATAAAATACCTAGGAATCCAACTTACAAGGGATGTGAAGGACCTCTTCAAGGAGAACTACAAACCACTGCTCAACGAAATAAAAGAGGATACAAACAAATGGAAGAACATTCCATGCTCATGGGTAGGAAGAATCAATATCGTGAAAATGGCCATACTGCCCAAGGTAATTTACAGATTCAATGCCATCCCCATCAAGCTACCAATGACTTTCTTCACAGAATTGGAAAAAACTACTTTAAAGTTCACATGGAACCAAAAAATAGCCCGCATTGCCAAGTCAATCCTAAGCCAAAAGAACAAAGCTAGAGGCATCACGCTACCTGACTTCAAACTATACTACAAGGCTACAGTAACCAAAACAGCATGGTACTGGTACCAAAACAGAGATATGGATCAATGGAACAGAACAGAGCCCTCAGAAATAACGCCGCATATCTACAACTATCTGATCTTTGACAAACCTGAGAAAAACAAGAAATGGGGAAAGGATTCCCTATTTAATAAATGGTGCTGGGAAAACTGGCTAGCCATATGTAGAAAGCTGAAACTGGATCCCTTCCTTACACCTTATACAAAAATCATTTCAAGATGGATTAAAGACTTAAATGTTAGACCTAAAACCATAAAAACCCTAGAAGAAAACCTAGGCATTACCATTCAGGACATAGGCGTGGGCAAGGACTTCATGTCTAAAACACCAAAAGCAATGGCAACCAAAGCCAAAATTGACAAATGGGATCTAATTAAACTAAAGGGCTCCTGCACAGCAAAAGAAACTACCATCAGAGTGAACAGGCAACCTACAAAATGGGAGAAAATTTTCGCAACCTACTCATCTGACAAAGAGCAGTGGGATCTTTAACAATCATTCACTTGCTATCATCCCAAATTCTCTGATCTGTAAAAGCAAAGTGCTACACAAATTATCTTGGAAGTCATTACCACTCTAATATTCTATCAAAATGTGAGGCTCAAAGTTCAAACTGCAAAAGAACAATTGTTGTTTTCTAAAGAACAAAGATTATATTTATTGTACAGTTGTATGCAGGAATAAAAACTGAACACATAGATAGAAGCACCTGTGGTTTTGCATATAACAGTTTCCACGTGTCCAAAAGTCTACAAGCCCAGAAACTCCTGAAGACAGAAAGACAGAAGACATTAGTCCATAAAATCAGAACAGTCTAACAGGATGTTCTAGCGTACATTCTGATTGAAAATGTCTTCCAAAGGAAGGCATGACTTAGAGCTGGCAGTTAACACTAAGCCGAACTAAGACCAAATAGAAAAACAATTTTTGCCTGAGGAAAGTAAAAGACATATTATGTACTTTTTGATTTTATCTCTTCTTTGTGCCTCTTATACATGCCTCCCCACTCCCCTCCCCCTGCCACACACACACAAACACACACACACACACACACACACACACACACACCCCACAAAAAACATTTTGTCCTGGACACACACCAGGCAGTCAGAACATTTAAAAAGACAGGAAACAAAGAAAAGAGAAAAGAAGAAATCATTTTCTCTTTCACATGTGACGATGCCCAAGCAACAGGTGACAATGAAGGAAATCTGCAATGACATGCATTTTGCTAGATCTTTGCTGACCTGAATCTTTCACAGTCAAAAAGAAAATAGGTAATGTCCCCCATTAACAGAAAACAAGCTTTAAAAATTGCTTCAGGTTACCACTATCATTATTATGCTATATCATTTTTTAAGATGTAGATTTAAGATCCAAAATGACAGCAGAACTTACATGTCATAAAATATTCTATTTACTGGTCTGACGTTTTAGAAAATAAAGAAGCCTGAGAATTAACTTGGTCTATCTGCAATAGGTTTAAAACCACAATGTTCTAGAACAAATGACCCACATACATGCATTATTTAAGCTCATTATTACCCACACTCAGTGGTATATAAATAAGTGTTTGTTTACTGGATACCAATTTTGGCCACACCATTTCAAAAATGTAGCAGCAAGGGAGTATTTCTTACTAGGTAGGAGCCAACTATATAGCCTTACTAATATTCAAAAGGAAATTGGGAGGAAAGGCTCAATGTATTATAATTGTTAGATACAGGTGCCAAGTATATCTTAAAAGTATTATGCAAGCACTTATAGAATAAACTGAAAACTCAGGGGATGCCAGTGGCCCATCTAATATTGATATGTAATAATTATCATTTAGTCCAGCAGAACTTTATAGTCCATACTCTGTCTACTCCCTATTGAAGAATCCAAGCCTGCCACCAGTTATCTGGCAATAATATCAAAAATGTCTTACTTCTGCTTTAGCAGCTTTACAATTATGTAACCAGGATTTTAAAAATAATTTCTTACAATTGTACTGTTCAATCTTCAAAGCACTTTTACATATATTACCTAGAATTACAGAATATATAACTTAAAGAGACATTACGTATAATCTTCTAAAATCCCCTTATTTGGCAAAGCATTTAATTCAATAATTACCATTTGCATACTTACTATATAGGTGCTATTCTGTGGATAGAGAGAAAAACAAAATATATGCAGATGCTGTCTTCATGATATTTACCAACTTGTCCAAGCTCTAGTTTATAAGGGTGAGATCCAGGACTTGTAACCAGGATCCTTTACTCATAACTCTCTTCATTATTTAGCATGCCCTTCTACTCTTATTTGGTTCTTGCTATGGTCTGAAAGTTCGTGTCCCCACAAAATTCATACATTGAAACCTAATCACCACTGCAATTAATTAACAGGTGGGTCATTTAGGAGGTGATTAGGTTATGATGGCAGAATCCTCATGAATGTGATTTGTGCCCTTATAAAGGAACCTTAAGAGAGCTTGTTTGCCCCTTCCATCATGAGAGGAAACAACAAAAAGGCACCATCGATAAAGTAGGGAATAAAACCTCGGCAGACACCAATTCTGATAGCACCTTGACTTCTCAGCCTCCGGAAATGTGAGAAGTAAATTTCTGTTGTTTATAAGCCACCCAATCTAAAGTATTTGCTATAGCAGCCCCAATAGATTAAGACAGTTTTCTAAACCACATAGCCACGATTATTTTCATTCTACAGGTAAGGAAACAAAGGTCTACAAAATTTACATAATAAGTTCAAAATTATGATCTGTCAAAGCCTTATTTTATCCCATGTTTTTAGATACCTAGTTCAGTGGGCTTTTTTTTTTTTTTTAACTACACTGGAGTGGCGAGTAATACTCTATGACAAGGCAAACTCAAATAGCTTGGCAGTAGCTGCATGAACTGTATAAAGAAGCAATTGGCAGCTATATCCAATGTTATCAAATTAGGATAAAAAGGGAACATTATGAAAAATTGTTAATAAATAAGAAAATATAATAAAAAATATCATGCAAATAAATGTGAAAATTGGATGAAATGGAAGAACTCCTTGAAACTTATAAAATAGCAGCTGACATAAGGAAAACATCTCTGAATAGTCATTTATCAATTAAATTTAATGTGCTACATGAAAATTAAACAACATAATTCAGACCAACCAATGGGTCAAAGAAAAAAATAAAAAATATCTTGATATAAGTGAAAATGGATACACAATATAATGAAACTTATAGAATGCAGAAAAAGTAGTTCTGAGAGGAAAGTTTATAGCAATAAACATCTACATCAAAAAAGAAGAAAGACTGAATAAATCACCCAAGATTACACTTCAAACAACTAGAAAAAGAACAAACTAAAAGAAAAAATCAGTAGAAAGAAAGAAATAATAAAGATCAGAGAGAAATATATGAGGTAGAGACTAGAAAAACAATAGAAAAGATTAATAAAACTAAGAGTTGGATTTTTGAAAAGATAAAACTGGCAAGCCTTTAACTAGACTAAGAAAGAGAGAAGACTCAAATAAATGTAATCAGAAATGAAAGAAGAGACATTTCAAGCAATACCACAGAGATACAAAGGATTATAAAAGAATATTATGAATAATTATACACCAAGAATTGAATAACATAGAAGAAATACATAAATTTCTAGACACATACCACCTATAAAGACTGAATTATGAATAAATAAAAATCTGAACAGACCAATAATGGGTAAGAAGATTGAACCAACAAGAAAAGTCACTCATAAAGAAAAGCTCAGGGACTGAAAGCTTCTTTACAAAAATCCACCAACATTGAAAGAACTAATACCAATCTTTCTCACTCTTTCAAAATATTCAAGAAGACTGGGCGGGATGGCTCACGCCTGTAATCCCAGCACTTTGGGAGGCCAAGAATGGCGGATCACCTGAGGACATGAGTTCTAAACCAGCCTGGCCAACATGGTGAAATCCCATCTCTACTAAAAATACAAAAATTAGCTGGGCATGGTGGTGCACACCTGTAATCCTAGCTACTCAGGAGGCTGAGGAAGGAGAATCACTTGAACCCAGAAGGTGGAGGTTGTAGTGAGTCAAGATCACACCACTGCACTCCAGCCTCGGTGGCAGAGTGAAACTCTGTCTCAAACAGCAGCAACAACAACAACAAAAATTCAAGAAAAGGGAGCATTTCCAAACTCATTTTAAAAGGCCAGCATTATCCTGATATCAAAGCCAGGCGAAAATACAAGAAAAGAAAATTACAGGCCAATACACTTAATTAACATATTTGTAAAACTTCTCAACAAAATGCTAGCATACCAAGTTCAACAGCATATTAAAAGTATCATTCACCATGATCAATGGAGATGTATCCCCTGGAATATGAAGATGGATGAAAATACCCAGTCCTATAAATGTAACACACCATGTTGACAGAATGAAAGATAAAAATCATATGATCATCTCAACAGATGCAGAAAAGGCATTTGATGAAATTCAACATGCTTTCATGATAAAAACTCTCAACAAAGTAGGTATAGAAAAAAAGTACCTAAACACAATAAAAGCCATATATGACAAACCCATGGCAAACATAATATTCAACACAGTTGAAAAATTGTCGTCTAAGATCAGGAACAATACAACAATGACCACTCTTGTCACTTTTATTCAATATAACACTGAAAGTTCTAGCCAGAGCAATTAGGCAAAAGAAAATAAAAGGCATTCAAGTTGGAAAGAAAGAAGTTAAATTAGCCGTGTTTACAAACAGCATGATCTTATATATGGAAAACTCAAAAAGTCCACCAAAAACCTGTTAGAACTATTAAACAAATTCAGTGAAGTTTCAGCATACAAAATCCACATACAAAAATTAGTAGCATTTCTATATGCTAACAGAGAACCTCCTGAAAAAAGAAATTAAGAAAACAATGCCATTTATACTAGCTATAAAAAAATACTTAGAAATAAGTTTAATCAAGGACATGAAAGATTTGTGCACTGGAAACTATAAAATACTGATGAAATAAATTGAAAACAAACACAAACAAATTGAAATCTAGGGTTAATAAATTGAAATCTAGGGCTTATAAATTGAAATAATTAATATTGCTAAAATTTTTATTCTGGCCCAAAGTGACCTACAGATTTAATACAATCTTTATCAAAATTTCAGTGACATTTTCCACAGAAATAGAAAAAACTATCTAAAATTCATATGGAACTACAAAAGATCCCAAATAGGCAAAGCAATGTTGAGCAGAAAGAAAAAAGCTGTAGACATCAAACTACCTGACCTTAAAATATACCACAAAGCTATTACAATCAAAAGAGCATAAAGAGTGCTGGAATCAGAACAGACACATAGACCAATGGAATGGAATAGAAAGCCCAGACACATTTACAGTCAACTGATTTTCAAAAAAAGGTGCCAAGAACGCACAATGGAGAAAAGACAATCTCTTCAATAAATGGTGTCGGGACAACTGGATATTCACACGCAGAAAAATGAAACTGCACCCGTACCCCCACACCATATAAAAAATCAACTCAAAGTAGATTAAAGATTTTAAGACCTGAAACTAGAACTACTAGAAGAAAATATAAGGGAAAACCTCCATGACATTGGTCTAAGCAATTATTTTTTGGATATGACCCTAAAAGCACAGGCAACAAAAGCAAAATAGACAAATAGGATTGCATCAAACTTAAAAGCTTCTGCACAGCAAAGGAAACAAACAGAGTAAGGAGATGACCTAGAATGGGAGAAAAAAAATTTCAAACCATACATCTGATAAGGGGGTAATAACTAAGATATATAAGGAACGTAATTCAATAGCAAGAAAACAAATAACCTGATTTAATAATAGGTGAATAAATTTTACAGACATTTCTCAGAAGGAAACATATGACCAACCAGTATACACTCAACATCACTAATCGTCAGGGAAATGCAAATCAAAACCACATGAGATATCATCTCACACCTATTAGAATGGCTGTTATCAAAAAGACAAATAATAAGAGTTGGCAAGGATGTGGATAAAAGAGAACTCTTGCACACTGTTGGTAGGAATATAAGAGACATTATGGGAAGTAGTATCGTGGTTCCTCAAAAAGTTAAAAATAAAACTATCATGTGATCCAACAATTAGCTTCTGGGTATACATCTAAAGAAAATGAAATCAATATGTAAAACAGATATCTGCATTCCCATGTTCATTGCAGCATTATTCACAATAGCCAAGACACAGAAGCAACCTAAATGTTCATTGACTGATGAATAGATAAATAAAATGTGGTATGTACACACAATGGAATATTTTTCAGCCATTAAAAAGAGGGAAATCCTGTCAGTTGTGACAACATGGATAACCTGGAAGGCATTATGTTAAGCCAAATAAGCCAGGGACAGAAAGACAAATACCACATGATCTCACTTACGTGTGGAATTTTTAAAAGTTGAATTCAAAAAAGCGACAGTAGAATGATGGTTAACAGGGACAGAGAGTGGGGGTAGGGGGTTGGATAGATGATGGTCAAAGGGCAAAAAATTTCAGCTAAATCAAAGGAATAATTTCAAGTGATCTACTGAACCATATGGTGACTACCATTAATAACAATGTATTGTATTCTTGAAAATCATTAAGAGTAAATATGAAGTGTTTTCACCACAAAAAGTATAGAAAATAATGCATGTTAATTACCTCAATTTAGCCATTTTACAATGTATACACATATTTCAAAACATCATATGGTATACAATATATATAATTTTTGTCAATTAAAATTAATTTTCAAAAATAAAAATAAATATTTTTAAAACTAAGACAAACTAAATTTAGCTTGTAATTAAAACCTTTTTCACAGACGACCATTACCTACTCTATTAGTCTGTTTTCACACTGCTATAAAGAACTGCCCAAGACTGGGCAATTTATAAAGGAAAGAGATGTAATTGACTCACAGTTCAGCATGGCTGGGTAGCGGGTGGCTCAGGAAACTTACAATCACGATGGAAGGCAAAGGGGAAGCAAGGCACCTTCTTCACTAGGCTACAGGAAGGAGAATGAACACAGGAAGAACTACCAAACACTTATAAAATCATCAGATCTTGTGAGAACCCACTCACTACCACGAGAACAGCATGGGGGGAAACCACTCTATGATTCAATTACCTCCACCTGATCTCTCTCGACTCGCGGCGATTATAAAGGTTACAACTCAAGATGAGATTTTGGGTGGGGACACAGCCAAACCATATCACTTACCTTCCACTTTAATCAACCAATAAAATAACATAATATTTGGAACAAGAGTTTTATTCAAAAATGAAACTTGACATGAGGCCTGACATCAAAACATTTGTTTTGCACTGGGAGATACAAAACAAATGGGATGAGACCCACTCTTGCCCCAGCTTACTACCTTTAGAGAGTTTCCAGGCAGCAGTGCAGAGGGGAAATCCTGGCAGAGCCCAGGGGACTCCTTGAGTTGAGGAGACAGTGCTGAAAGTCTGGGGACACCAAAGCAACTAGAGTTTTCTAGAAAGAGTACCAGAGTGTAGAAAGCAACAGAGAAGGAAATTCGGAGAACTTCAGAGTACTCAGCTGAGTCTGATCAGGAAATTGATTGAAGAAATTGCCTGAGGCCAAGGAGAAAAGCTAAAAGGGTTAGAGATAACAATGTCTGATGCTTACATAGGACCCGGAATAGTGTCTCTTTTCTCCAGCAAAACTGGAAAAAATCATGATTCGTGGACAATGAGTAGAGCACACTCAAGTGTTTTATCTCAGTAGTGAGAAATAATTAACCCTAAATGAGTATGGTTCTGGTCCAAACTAACAAATCTTGAAAGTAATAGCCAGAAGAATCAAACTGTTTCCAGGTAATTTAACTGCATCTGGGACAAAAGCTCAAGAATATTTATAATAGAAAAATAGTACCAATAAAGGTAAAATTTGCAATATCTGACATCCAATGAAAGATAACCAGTTATGCAAAAAAGCAGGGTAATATAATCCATAACAAAGAACAAAGCAATAAATGGAAACCAAAAAACAATCAATTGAAACCAAACTAAAACTGACAGATGTTAAAATTAACAGATGAAATTAAAACATTAAGGATAACTGTATTCCATATATTCAAAAAGTTAATTAGCGATATAGAACATATAAAAAAGAATCAAATTGAAACTTCCAGAGATGAAAACCATAATTTTATAGAATTTAAAAATGCAATAGATGAAATTATGGGAAGGTTTTAAAGTATAGCAATAGAAAATATCAAAAACAAAACAGAAAGAACAGAGGATTTTTAAGAAAATGAACAGAGAGAATCACCAAACTCCTTTACAACTTCCAGCAGCACAATATATGTACAATGAGCAGAAAAGTCAGACTAGTAGGAAAAAAATAGCAAATTAAATAGATAGATACATACATATATACATAAGTATGACAAAGGCTACAGAGCACATGACAAGATTCTTAACATCATTAGATATCAGGGAAACACAAAATCAGGATGAGATACTATAATATCACTATTAGAAGGGCTAAAATTTAAAAGACTGATCATACCAGGTGTTGATAAGGATGTGGAAGAACTGAAACTCTTATATACAGCTGGTAAGAATATAAAATGGTACAACATTTTCAGAAAACAGTTTACACTTTCTTAAAGTTTATATATACACCAACCATTTGATCTAGTCATGCTCACCCAAGAAAAAATGAAAGCAAATGACCATTCAAATACTTGTACATGAATATTCATAGCAGATTTATTTGTAATAGGCAAAAACTGGAGTCAACCCAAAAAGAGGTAAATAGGTAAAAAAACAGTGTTTAAAGAAACAATGCAAAGGAGGTAAATAGATAAACTGTGTTATACCTGTACAATGGAATACTACTCATTGACAAAAAGGAAAAAACTACTGATACTGATACACACAACCTGAATGAATATTTAAATGGTTATGTTGGATGAAAGAAGCCAGGAATAAAGAGTATGTACTGTGTAATTTCACTTACAAAAAAATTATAAAAATGCATATTAATATATAGTGACAGAATAAATGTCTTTACTGGGATCAGAGAAGTGGAGGGAGGAATTTTAAAGATGATGGGTATGTTCATTATCTGGATTGTAGTGATAGCTCCACAAGTATGTATGTATCTCAAAACTTAAAAAATTGTTTTGCAATTTCTGTAATGTATTAAATGTCAATTATAGCTCAATAAAGCTTTTTAAAAATTCTCACAAAGAATACTCCAGGCCCAGATGGCTTCCATAGTAAATTCTATCAAACATTTAAAGAAAAAAATACAAATTTCACACACACTCTTCCAAAGAATATAAAAAGAGAAAACACTTCCCACTGCCCATAATATCAATATATCTCTGATATCAAAATCTGGAAACAACATTACATAAAAGGAAAATCACAAGCCAATACCTCTTAAAACCATAGACGTAAAACCCTAAATGGATATTTATGAGTTGAATTCAACAATATATAAAGTATATATCATTACCAAGAAGGAGTGCAAGGTTGAATTAACATGTGAAAATCAATCAGTGTAATTCATTATTTTAACAGAATTTTAAAGTTTATCATCTCGATATATGCACAAAATCATTTCAGAAAATCTAAAATCTGCTCATGATAAAAGCTCTTAGCATACTAGTAATGGAAAGGAACTATCTAAATCTGATAAATTTAGCCACAAAAATTTTACAATTAGCACCTTACTGGTAAGAAGAAAATATTCTATTTTATCAGTAATTTATGTTTATAAATTACATCTATGTTTTTAAGATGTATTGGCTTGTGATCTTCCTTTTAGGTTTGAAAACAGAAAAGAAAGAAAAATGATGGTATATGTAAAAAATATTTAAAAACCTACAATAAGGATTAAAAGTAAATTAATAGACACAGTGAATTAATGGTTTATGGATACAAAAATATTTTTATACACTAGCAAGAAAAAAATGGAAACTATAATTTTAAAAAGAATGGTAATTACCTAGCATCAAAAATATCAAATATAACAGTAAATCTAATAAAATCTATATGAAGCCTCTACAAAGGAAAGCAATAAAATATTATCGAAAGAAATTTTAAGAGACTTAAGTAAATGCAGATATATGCAATATTTGTGGACAAAAATATTGGATGTTGTTAAAATGTCAATTCTCTTCAAACTGATCTGCAGTGTCAGTGCAATCCTAATCAAAATATCAGCATGTTTATTGTGTGACAGTAAAATGACAAGTTGATTCTAAAATTGATATAAAAATTTAAAGGACTTAAAATAGCCAAGGTAATCCTGAAAGAATAGAAACTGAGATCTTACATTAGCAGAATTCAAGACTTATATTAAGTGACTGTTATTAAGATAATATGGTATTTTCAAAAAGATAGACAAATATACCAATTAAACAGATTAAAGTCTAGAAACAGATTCACATATAATTGGTTGCCTGATTTACTTTAAAGATACCTGTATGTTTTAATAAAGAAAGGACAGTCTTTTCAATAAATGGTTTCAGAACAATTGGATATATAAATTGAGAAGCATGAACCATTGCTACTTCACACCATAGACAGAAATTAATTTTATATGGATCATAGACCTAAATGTTAAATAATAAATTTTCTAAGAAAACAGGAAACTATCTTCATGACTATGGGAATGATCAAGAGGCTGGTGCGGTGGCTCACACCTATAATCCCAGGACTTTGTGAGGCCAAGGCAGGTGAGTCACCTGAGCTCAAGAGTTTGAGACCAGCCTGGCTAACATGGCAAAACCCTATCTGTACTAAAAATACAATAATTAGCCAGGCATTGTGGCGGTGCCTGTAATCCCAGCTACTCTGAAGGCTGAGGCAGGAGAATCGCTTGAGCCGGGGAGGCAGAGGCTGCAGTGAGACAAGATCGCACCATTGCACTCCAGCCTGGGTGGCAGAGTGAGACCTTGTCTCAAAATATATATATATATATATATATATTTAAATTTTAAAAAAATGGGAAATTCAGTTTCATTAAAGACATTCTGACCATCCAAAACATAATTAAGAATAAAAATGAAAGTCACACAAAGAAAGAAAACTGATAAAAGGGCTCACATCAGGAGAACGTAAAAAACTACTACAAATCATGAAAAGATGGGCACCCCAATTTTTTAATGAGCAAAAGTGATAAAGTGATACTGTGTATGTGTGTATTTTGTGTGTGATATGGTTTGGCTCTGTGTCCCAACCCAAATCTCATCTCAAATTATAATCCCTGCATGTCGAGGGAGGAACCTGTAATCTCCACGTGTGAAGGGAGGAAGGTAATTGGATCATGGGGGCAGTTTCTCCCATGCTGTTCTCCTAAGAGTGAGTGAATTCTCACTAGGTCTGATGGTTTTAAAAGTGGCAGGTTTTTGGTTTTTTTTTTCCTGTGCTCTCACTTCTCCCTCCTGCCAACTTGTGAGGAAGGTGCCTGCTTCCCCTTCGCCTTCTGCCATGAGTATAAGTTTCCTAAGGTCTTTCCGCCACGCGGGACTGTGAGTCAAACCTCTTTCCATTATAAATTACCCACTCTTGGGTATTTCTTTACAGCAGTGTGAAAATGGACTAATACAGTGTGATAAAAACATCAATGTAATCATTAAAGAAATGAAGTTAAAACAAGATCTTTCCTGCACATCAATCACAATGACTAACATGAAAAATTATTTAACATAATAAATGTTGGGAAAAATATAGAGCAACTGAAATTTTTATATGCTGCAAATTGGAGTGTAGTTTGATAAAACTACCTTGTAAACCTAGAGTATTGACCAAAGTTAAACATATGCTATTTTATGACCCAGCAATTCCACTCCTAGGTCCAGTCAAGAAAAATTAGTGTATTTGTACACCAAAAGAAATGGTCAAGAATGTTCAAAACTACTTTATTTATTACAACCAAATGCTATAAACAACAAAAATAACTATTAACAGTAAAATGAAAACATAGATTGTGATATGTTAAGACACGGGATAATACATATAAATAATTTAAAAAAGAACTGTCACTACATGCAACAAGGCAGATACAAAAGAGGCAATAATGCATGATTCTATAGAAAGTTCAAGAATAGAAAAATAAATTAATGGTGATAGATGCTAAAAGGGTGTTTACCTCCACAGATGAGAGGGGATGTTATTGACTAGAAAAATGTCCTAGGGAGCTGTATGTGATGCTCTAAGTGTTCCATATCCTGACATGGAAGACAGTTAGTTGTATTTGTTTATACATATGCAAAAAGTCATTGAGTTACATCCTTAAAGTTTAGAACTTTATATGAGTTATGCCTGAATAAAAATTAACTAAAATAATAATTTTAATAATGTAAATAATTGTATTTTTTTAAGTTAAAAATTAAAGCAAGGTTCAGAAGGTTCCATCTCTGTTAAGCTAAAGGGTGCACTTAGTAAAAGTCTGTGAAATCCTGGCACAGAAACAACCAGATCAACTCGAACCCTGGTAATCTGAGAAGGCAATTTCTCCAGCAGTTAAATGGAGCTCCAAAAGCAGCTGACAAGTTCCCTACCCATTTGCCAGCAAATACTAGATCAGAATAGGCTGTCTCATCACCTAAAGATCAATAAACAGAAGAACATGGAAAAGAAAATTTCAAAAATACTGCACTATATAAAGGGAACCTCACCCAAGACTGTCAGAGGAAAGGCATGTTACTATTTGATTTATTACAGGAAACTTTGAGCAATCCTTTGGGCAGCATGTAAGAAGATACAACTTTCATGAATATAAGAGAAAGCTATGAAATTAGAATAGGTTAAATGATTAAGCAGGATGAGATAAAGGAAGATATGTGCTCGATTCAAAAATACGCCCTGGGAAGCATGCGGTGGCTCACTCCTGTAATCCCAACACTTTGGGAGGCTGAGGTGGGAGGATCATTTGAGCCAAGAGTTCAAGACTAGCCTGGGCAACACAACAAGACTCTGTCTCTATAAAAGGATTTTAAAATTAGTTGGGCATGGTGGTGCATGCCTGTAGTCTCAGCTACTCAGGACACTGAGGCAGAAGGATCTCTTGAGCCCAGGAGTTGGAGGCTGCAATGAGTTATGATGTCACCATGGCACTCCACACTGCATGACAGAGTGAGAACCTCTCTTTCTACGTGTGTGTGTGTGTGTGTGTGTGTGTGTGTGTGTATGATAAGCATAGGAAGTTCCAAAATTATTTATACAAAAATAGTATTAATTGGGTTTTTATTGGGTTAGAAAGGATAGTTGGACTAGAGAAATAATAGATTATAGGGAAGAGTGCAAATACTTGGAGATCTTTGAAAGCAAAATTTTGAAAACTATGTAAGGTTATGAGTGAAGACAGGACATGATCAGAAAATATTAAAGTTAATTCAGTCATCAACCATTATTATCCCTCTAGTTTAAGTAACATTGGAGATGATTCCGGGTCCTGGAGACTGCCTACGACTTCCAGGACAGGGACAATTATTCCAGGAATCTCCCACTTTGTTGCTGCCCTTTTGTCAGCTTTACCAGGAAGATTGGGACAAAAGAATTCTAGATCTGGAGGGGACTCATCCCCTGTTCTCCCACTACCCTAAATATGTTGCCTGAAGCTCGCCCTCTTGACCTACAAACACCACCCCCACCTCTACCCCATTTGGAAAGATATGACTTTGCCCCATACTCATAGATAGAGGAGGTGGAGGGCTGGGGGGAAGATGGTAGGCAATCAACAACTCTGTTATATCTGGATTTGCATTATAAAGGATGACATAAACCACTTCACTGTGCCTCTGTAGTGCTTTAGGCCTGAACCAGTATTGTTACCGTAGAAATAGCCTGGAAATAAATCATATGAAGGTTATAAGGAAAAGTATGTGAGTACAGAAACAAGATAGCAAAAAGAATGGGAGAGATTGCTAAACAGAAGAAAAATAAAGGTGGACTTAAGAGATTTAAGAAACAAAGGGCATGTGTGAAAAAGGGAAATGGTCTGAAAGAGATGAGAAAGAAAATTAAAAGGGAAAGTGAGGAAAGAAGGCAGGAAGGCAGGAAGGAAAGAAGGAAGAAAATATAAAGAGGGAGAGGAAAAGAAATAAGGAGGGAGAGAGAAAGGAGGAAGGAAGAAGAAGGAAAGGAGAGCAGGAGGGGAGGAGGGAGAGGGGAAGAGAGGAAGAAGAAAAGGAGAAAGGAAGGAAGAGAGAAAGGGAAGGAGGGGGAAATTTACAGCACTATTCTACGCTCTACAGGAATTTTCACCGAATAAAAGAAGCAGTCGTCTTAATTTCATGTTAGAGCACTTACCAAATAATGTTTCTCAACTATCTTCTTTAAAAATATTGTCCCCATTCTCCAACTTACTATGAGTAAAATTAGGAAAATACTAGGAGTGGTCTTTTCAAGTTTCCTTCTTTTCATTTTCTGGTAATACAGAACAAAATATTCTCTCCTTCAGTAAAAAGAAAGTCATGAGATTTCATTGTGCCCTTTTTCCTCATTGGAAAAAATTGCCTGTGTCCTCAACAGGATCAGATAAAGAACCCGCTGAGTATTATAATATGAAGGCTCAGACATATATATTCATAGCAAAAGGCAAAGATTAAGAGGTAAATACTTAGAGACTTAAAAAAATGCCAGATGTCAAGCAAATGTTTAAGGTTAACAGGGTCCACAAGAGTACATTAAGATGAAAACATAAATAAACTTATCCTGAAAGCAATTTAAAATACATTTGGTTACGGGAAAGATAATTATGGAAGAAACTACCAATTGTTTACAACCCAAAATTTCTTGAAAATTATTCAAGTAGAAGACTTGGATGGCAGAGAGTTGAAGGAAGAAAAACAAAGTGGTATTGGAAATATAAAGTATTATGGGAAATAAAGCATAACCAGAAATTAGATGTTAGTGCCTAAGCAATATGTGGTGGACCATTAGCTATATTTGGCGTTCACAAAGACAGGAGTTGCAGCAGAACGGAAAGAACCAATTTGTGAACATCTTTATCGTTCTTTTTTCTTTCCTAAGAAAACTATCCATGTTTCTTGACAGCAGTTAATAGCTTTATCATATCTGCCCCTAATGATGAATATTTTGTAGCCGAACGTAATTGTAGAAATATGCTAAATAAAATAATAATAATTTGCCACATAAGAAAATTGTTGATCCCTTCGGAGACCAAAGCAAGCTGTGGCACTGAACATTTAACAGTGTAAGGATGTAATCATAACTGCTATTTGTCTGGACACTATCCAAAGTATCCACAAGATTTCAAACACCCCAGGCATTGGATGTTCCACAGGGCCAGCTGGTCATCTTACTCCAACTTCTAGCTGTCACTATGAAGCCCCTATAAATTGGAGATTAATAAGAAAATGACATTGTGCAAGCTGATGTAATAGGAAAGAAAACATAAGATTTATATGATGAAGTTGTATTTTTTTAAGTAATAAAGTGTTACAGAAACAAATGAACTCCTATTAGTTTTCTATTGTTGCTGTAACGAATTATCTAAAACTTCATGGCCCAAAATAACACAGAAATCAGAGAAGCATCTAACTTGCCTAAAATCAAGGTCTCCGTGCGGCTGTGTTCCTTCTGAAGACTCCAGGGGATAATCTGTTTTCTTACCTTACCCAACTTCCAGAGACTGCCTGCATTCCCTGGCTCAAGGCCCCTTTCCTTTTCAAAGCCAGCAATGGCCAGTCAAGTCTTTTACACATTGTGTCACTCTGATTGATGCTGACTCTTCTGCCTCCCCCTTTCACTTTTAAGGACCTTTGTTAATTATGTTATGCCTACTGAAATACTCCAGGATAATCTCTTCATCTTAAGGTCAGTTAATTAGCAACCTTAATTTCATTTGCCAACTTTATTTCCCTTTGCTATGTAACGTGACAGCCACAGGTTCTGGCGGTTAGAATGGGCACATAGTTGATATATGGGAGTCCATTATTCTCCCTACCACAACTGGTATTCATCCATGATTCAAATTCCCTCACCTCTTTCATCTTAGGATGCAAATAATACCTTGAACTTAGTATTTGCAAAAGTATGCATATTTTGAGCTATTCTACATACTTGTAGAATAACAATAGAGAAAGTAACATATTTTTAATTTTTTTTTAATACGGTCTCACTCTTGTCACCCAGGCTAGAGTGCAGTGGTGTGATCATGGCTCACTGCAGCCTCAACCTCTCAGGCTCAAGCTATCCTCCAACCTCAGCCTCCCAGGTAGCCAGGACTACAGGTGTGCACCATCATGCCTGGCTAAATTTTTTTTTTTAATTTTTACTGTAGGTGAAGTCTTGCTATATTGCCCAGGCTGGTCTCGAACTCCTGGGCTCAAGCAATCCTCGTGCTTTGCCCTCCCAAAGTGTTAGCATTACAGGCATGAACCACTGTGCCTTGTCATGTTTTAAAATTTGTTATATGGATATTATAATATGTTTATAACACTGCAACTTACCTTTTCAGCTAGCATTATGTTTTTGTATAACAGCTTTGTTTTTGTTGAGTGATGTAGTATATCCCTCCATCTTAAAGAACATTCTTATACATACTAACTTGTGCCCATGTGCAAAACTTTTTATAAATATCTAAAAGTAGAATTACTGGATGAAAGATAAATACATCATTAAATTTACATATTATTTTCAAATTGCTCTCCAACATGGCTTTGCCAGTTAGCATTTCTAATGACCACTGTACTAAAAATTCTCATTTCTGTGTATCCTTACAGCATTTTAAATATTTTCCATGCTGTTATAGGCTGAATTGTGTCTCCCAAAAATTCATGTTAAAATCCACAACCCTAGTACCTGAGAACTATATTTGGAGATAGGGAGGGTTTTTACAGTAGTAATGAAGTTAAAGCAAGGTCATTAGGGTGACCCTAATCCAATATGACAGCGTTTGTACAGCGTTTTTTCAAACTTTCCACTACTTGTTTTTCTCCTGAATTCTGAATGTTTTCCTCAGTACCACTTTCAATTCACTAAATATATATATATATATAGACATTTTTGAATTTATCCCATCTATTAAATTTTTTAATTAATATTTTACTGATTTTTTAATACCCAAGATTTGTAATTGGTTCTTTCTAATATTCACCTATTTTTGTTTTTATTTCTACATTTTGCTTTATAATTTAGTACCCTTTTAAAATGGAAGGTGTTTTGAGCTCATTGTCATTTTACGTCTATTTTAAACTTTTCCTCAGACTGTTCCATAAAATTAATTTCATGTAGAACAAATTCAACATTTAATTCTGATTGTGTTTTAGCATTAGCCATCTTCATGTGATCTGGACTATTGTGGGAGACTTGTGAATGCATTCTCAATAATCTATCCATCTATCTCTTCCTTTGCCCTCTGTGTTCATCCCTTCCTCTCCAGTAACTTTGTAATTGCTTCTTCCCAGCCCCAACCTCAGGTCTGAAACCAGGTCTTATAATGACATTTAACAACATCCTTCTGTCCCTGGTGAGCTGAGAATATCACAGATTCAGTCATCCACCTTTGGAATTGTTTTTAGTTTCTCATCTTGAAGTGGTATGTACATAAATCCTCCCTACCGGAAAAACAGCTTGCTAAATGCTGTAGCTGCAAGCAATGATCTGACATGAGCTTTGCTTTGTTTTAGTTTCCTTTACCTGAAAGAAATTCCCATCCCAGGCCTTAATTTCAAGCAGTAAACTTATTTCTCATGTGCCTCTTTTCTTCCTTCCTTCCTGTGTAGAGAACTTTTAGTCCCCTTTACCCTAAATGTATCACACTTCCTACTGCCACTGTCTATATGGGATCAAGAGACCAGAATCTCTATGGCTTTGGCCCCATTCATGTTGTAACTCTTCTATTTTTTTTTTTCTTGTTCTCAGCAATATTTATCTTAAGTTTGAAATCTTCTAGGTCCACTTGCTTTTCCATTGTTATTCATTATTTTCATGGCTACAGTTTTGAGCAGGTAGGAACATATGATAACTTGAATTTATGCATCTATTTGATGTTCACACACAAAAATTCTAGTAAAAGTTCTCCGTGTTCTCATTATATAAAAGCATTCAAGAATTAAATATAAAACATAAAAGACCTCATTATCCTGTGTAAAATAAAACCAATAAGATTTTTTCCTTAAGAAAAAATAATCCATTTAAATCAGTGGTTTTTAAAATTTCTGAGTTTTTTAATATACTGAGGATGATGTTAAAAATCCTGGGACCTAATTTTCAAGGATTCGGATTTTGTAAGTCTAGCATTAAACCATTGAGGGGGGAAACAACTGAAGTGCACTTTAGCTGATATAGCCTGTAAAGATGATTTTAAAATGACTACAGGTTGATCTTCATCTGTAACAACTGCTTTTTAAAAACCAACCTGTTCCAAACCTAAATGTCTTATGGCAACATGAGAGCAAAAGATCATTTCTACTGGAAGAATCTTTTTTTTTTCCTTTCCTCTCAGAGTTTTCATTTTTTCTTTTAGTTTATTTGACCATCCGCCCAAAAACTTTGGTTAAATAATAAATTATATCTAACTAAATGTATAATAAATGAGTTTTTTACTCTCGCCTTGATCATAAATGTCACATTTGATTTCTTAAGTTAAATGAGGCACACATTTTATCATAATGACTACTTCTTGATGTTTCAGTAAAGTTAAAAACAGCCCCTCTTCCATGGATGGGCGTCTTCCATATTTTGAGTCACTTAATTTAAAAAAAAATTATGTATAATAATCATAGAAAGGGTAGGGGTTATACCAGACTCAATGAAATATATTTCATTTTAAAGGTCATTGATTTAGGTCAGAGCAATGAGAGAAACAGTAATAAATGCTAAGCTATGTGAAAAAAAGTCAAAGTAACTAATTACTGCATACCCTTCTCATTCCAGCCTCACATTTAGTGAAGCTATGTAGTTTAGTATCTTAGTACCACAAAAGTCAATTACCAAAGCTAACTTCATGCATGGACAGCACTGAGTTTTACCCTCTTTTCTTCTTCCTCCCTGTTTAAGCCAGAGAAAATATATTCCTAATTTAAATTTATAAAGGATAAATTTATAGGCTCCATTTTAATATATATAGGCTCCAATTTATATAGCCTATAAATTTATAGGCTCCATTTTTAGCGAGTTTTGCTATAACCGTGACTCATGTTTCACGAAGCCAATGTGGATATAAGGTATGTTTGCTTACTGTGGGCATCTCACATTGAGGACAGAGAGATTTTATAAAGGAAATTTAAAATTTCCCCCTCCCTAATAAAAAAGCCTGTATTAGGAAAAAAGATGCTATAATAATGCAAATGTCAAAAAGCATTTGTAACTAAGATAACTTTATAGAAAAGAAACTGGGAGAACCTCCTTTAACGTATTTATTACATCACGATTACATCCAACTATGCAGGATTAATAAGGCAGAAAATAATTATTTCTCTAATCCCCAGTAAAATATATGATCATCTTGTAATAATACAGGAGACATTAAAAAATAGAGGGGTTCTCATTACAAAAATTTGACAGCTTTATTAATTTTTTAATTACCTTTATTCCTCTCCAAGATTAAGGCAACTACTTGGTAATGTTTAACCACATAAGATATATCATTGTCATCTATAAAGAAGGTAGTGATGTTTCTAGCTTTTCTAAACAGAAAGCAAGATGATTACTAAATCAAACTTAGAAATAAAGGTTTTTACAGTTTTTTAAAACACTACATTATACTTAGAGTTTATAGGTTCTTCCTTCTAAAGATTCTCATTGATTTTAGATGTAAAGAAATAATGTGGAACGATAGGATTAAGTGATGGTGATTTAAGACGTGTTCTTAAAATCTGAGTCAAATAATGACTGCCAGCTGGTTAATGACACCAAGACTTTGGCAAGGCATCTTTCTGATTCTGAAGCATATCCTTTATTATTCCACCATGTTGTCTAGAATGTCCTGCCTTCCATCCCTCATATCCAATTTTTAAAATTTTCAACACAAAGTAAAATGCTGCTTTTCTGATAAAAGTCATCTCTGATGCATATAGCTGGAAGTAATCTCTCCTTCATGTAAAAGGCAACAGCAGCTTTTCTATATCTTTATGTCTTTTCATAGACTCAAAACTTATTAATCTGCTATTATATGTATTTTGAGTGAGGTATAGTAGCTCCTGCTAGAAAGTAATTTTGTTTAGGATAGGCTGTTTGTCATATCTTTAAAGCATTCAAGGACTTAAAGACTTTATTTTGTCCCTACCAGGTGCCTAATTAATATTTTTGAAAAACTGAAGAAATTAATGAGATTCAAATTATCTATAAAATAATGGAATTAATAATGCACTGATCTAAACACTATAAAGTTGACTACATATATTGAGAAATGGACTCACAATTCTGGCCCTTACATTAAACAATGTTGTAGGCCAATAAAATGTTCATAATTTTTTAGGTAAAATGTTGCCATGCTAATTCTTCTGAAAAATCAGGATTATGTTTATTGCCATTACATTTGAGGCTGCTATTTTCATCCAATCATCACAAACCATTGTTATATTTCTTTATCTTGATTCAATGATTCAGTGCATTAATTAACTTCCTTGTTTGAGCAATCTATATCTGGTAAAATTTTATATATAAGTGACCTTAAACACCCCTCCCTGAGAAATGGATGGATCCAGCAGGAAGGATATCAGTAAGAACATAGCTGAAATTAACAACATTATAAATCAACTGCGTATAATTGACACCTATAGACTACTTCATACAACAATAGAATATATATTTTTCTGAGGCTTACACGGAACGTTCACCAAAATAAACCATGTTCTGGGCCTTAAAACACACTTTAAGAAATTAAGAAGAATAAATAAAATAATACAATGCCTTCTCTCAGATCACAATGGAATTAACTAGAAATCAATAACAGAAAGATAGCTGAAAAATCCCAAAATACTCAGAGATTAAACAACATGCTTCTAAGTAACATATGGACCAAAGAAGAAATAACAAGGGAGAATTTTAAATGCACCTAACTGAAAACAAACAAACAAAAAAAACAAATGCAGCTTATCAAAATTTCTAGCATACAAGAAAAGCAGTGATTAGATGAAATCTTTTTTTTTTTTCTTGAGATGGTCTCACCCTGTCAGCCAAGGTAGGTTGCAGTGGCCTGATCATAACTCACTGCAACATTCATCTCCTGGGCTTAAGGGATCCTCCCATCTCACCCTCCTGAGTAGCAGGAACACTAGAGATGTGCACCACCATGCCAGGAATGGCTAATTTTTATTATTATTTTTTTTTTCTTTGTAGAGATGGTGTGTTGCTTTGTTACCAAGGCTGCTCTTGAATTCCTGTCTTCAAGTAATCCTCCTGCCTCACCCTCTCAAAATGGTAGGATTACACGCATGAGCCACCAGTGCTTCGTTAGAGAGAAATGTATAGCACCAAAAGCATACAATAGGAAGAATATAAAACCAGTCACCTGAGCTTCCACTTTAGAAACTAGAAAAAGAAGAGCAAATTAAATCCAAAGCAAACGGAATAAGAGAAATAATGAAAATTAGAACAGAAATAAATATAATTAAAAACAGAAAATCAAAAAAATCAACAAAACTCAAAAAGTTTGGTCTTTTTAAAAGATCAGTAAAATGGATAAGCCTCTACCTAGGCTAACTAACAAAAGAAAAAGAGAGGACGAAAATTACTATTATAATAATGTCAGAAATGAAAGAAGAGACATCATTACACATCCCATGGACATCAAAAGGATAATAACGGAATACTATGAAAAATTCTACACCCACAAACTTGATAACCTAGATGAAATGAGTCAATTTCTTGAAAGAGACAATCTGCCAAAACTCCCACAAGAAGAGATAGGCAATCCGAATAGGTCTATCTTTATAAAGAAAACTCAGCCAGGCACAGTGGCTCACACTTGTAATCCCAGCACTTTGAGAGACCGAGGCAGGCAGATCACTTGAGGCCAGCAGTTCTAGACCAGCCTGGTCAACATGGTGAAACCCCATCTCTACCAAAAAAAAAATTACAAAAATTAGCCAGGCATGGTGGTGGGCACCTGTAGTCCCAGCTACTCTGGAGGCTAAGGCAGGAGAATCGCTTAAACCTGGGAGGTGGAAGTTGAGGTGAGCAGAGATTGCACCATTGCACTCCAGCCTGGCCTACAAGAGTGAAACTCCAGCTCAAAAAAAAAAAAAAAAATAGAAAGAAAGAAAGAAAGAAAGAAAGAAAGAAAGAAAGAAAGAAAGAAAGAAAGAAAGAGAAAGAAAGAAAGAAATTAAATCAATAATTAATATCCTTCCAATAGATAGCCCCCGACCCAGATGGGTCCACGGTGAATTCAGCCAAGGATTTAAGGAAAAAATTATGTCAGTTCTCTACAATCTCTTTCAGAAGATATAACCAGAGAGAATACTTTCTAACTCATTCCATTAAGCCAATATTACCCTAATAGCAGATGAGGACAGTACAAGAAAACTACAGACCAAGATCTTTCATGAAAAAAGATGCAAAAATTCTCAACAAAATATTACCAAATGTAATCCAACAATGTACAAAAATAATTACACACTACCACCACTTTGCAGGTATTCAAGACTGCTTACATTTGGAAATCAATTAATACAATCTGTCATATCAACAGGTTAAAAAAGAAAAATCACCTGATCAAATTAATAGATACAGAAAAAGCATCTGACACCTATTTCTACATTACACACTAACATCACATTTAACAGTGAGAAACTCCTTTCTCACTAACATCAGAGATAAGGCAAGGATTTCTCCTCTCATCACCACTTTTCAGCAAGGTACTGGAAGTCCTATCTTATGCAATAAGACAGGAAAAGGAAAAAAAGGTACACAGATTGAAAAAAAAGAAAGAAAACTGTCTTTAATCATAGATAACATAACCATCTATGTAGAAAAATTGAAAGAATCCAGAAAGAAAATACTGGAACTGACAAAGTGACTATAACAAGGTTGCAGGATAAACAGGTTAATACATAAAGGCCAAGCATTTTTCTATATACTAGCAATGAGCAAGTGGAATTTTAAATAAAAAACTGAATACTACTTACACTATCATCCCAGAAAATAAAATATGTAGGAATAAATCAACAAAATATTTATAAGATCTATGTGAGGAAAACCACAAATTCTTATTAAAGAGATCAAAGAATTAAATAAATGAAGAGATATTCCATGTCCATTGACAGAAAGACTCAATATTGTGAAGATATCAACTCAATCTTATCTATAGATTCAATACAATTCAAATAAAAATCACAGAAAGTCATTTTTGTATATTGACAAACTGGTTCTATAGTTTCTATGGAAAGACAAAATGCCCAGAATAGCCAATACAATGTTGAAGGAAAATAACAAAGTTGAAAGACTAACACTACCTGACTTTGAGATGTACTAGAAAGTTTCAATAATCAAAAAAGTATGGCAATGGCAAAAGAATAGATAAATAGATCCACAGAACATTATAGAGAGTCCAGAAATAAATCCACATAAACATAGTCAAATGATCTTTGACAAAGGAGGAAAGGCAATACAATGGATTATCTTTTCAACAAATGGTGCTGGACAGGACATCCACATGTAAAAACAATAAAACTAGACAGAAACTTTACACCTTTCACAGAAATTAAGTCAAAATAGATCCTCTACCTACATGTAAACTGAAAAACTATAAAACTTCCAGAACACAGGAGAAAATGTAGATGACCTTGGGTTTGGCATTGATTTTTTTAGTTGCAACACTAAAGGCATGATCTATGAAAAAAAAACTGATAAGCTGAACTTCATTAAAGTATAAATTTGTGAAAGACACTGTCAAGGGAATGGAAAGATAAGCCATTGACTGGGAGAAATATTTGCAAAACACTTATCAAACAAAGGATTGTTATCGAAAATATACAAATAATCTTAACACTCAACAATAAGGACACAAACAATCTGATTTTAAAATGTGCCAAAAACCTTAGGAGACACCTCACTAAAATAAGATATACAGATAACAAATAAGCATATAAAAGGATGCTCCACATCATATGTCATCAGGAAAATGAAAATTAAAACAACAATGAATGCTCAGATACTTTTAATTTCTCTATAGATTGGTGAACATTGCCATATTTCTGGATTATGACAGCTGAAGAAACACTTTTACTGGAAGCAGACAGACAATCAGAATTTTAAAAGTTTGAATTAAATATATAGATAATCTGAATTTTTGTATACTTTAAATCAAATTACAGAATATACATTCTGAAGAATTTCTATAAGCATAAATTTTTGGAAAGATTTGGTTTCATTTAAAACAGAAAAAGTGGACTTTGGAGAATAATAAAGATCTATGACATGGAAAATAATTATGACTTTAGCGATAAAGCACGGCAAATGCTTTGTTGTAATCTGAAGAAAAAGGTGAGGCAATTACATAAAGTAATGTGACTACACGGGATGCCCTCTCAGATAGCTCATATTATTGAAGGACATGAAGGAAAGTATGACAAGTAAGTGAGAATGAACTTGAGAGAATAGCACCATGGCCAAGTAGTATTTCATCATAGATAAAAAATGGTTTAATACCAAAATGTCTGACAATACAATAAGCATTCCAGTATACCGAAAGTTCCACTTAGTTTGGTACATCTATTTGATTACATTAATGTAGAAATTGCATCAGCATCAGAATCAGATAGTTCAGTCATAACAATTAGAGAATACCCTACTTATAATTATTATATCAGGAAAAATGAAAAGAAACATGTATCTGATAACATATTGAATTCACTCATGGATTCAAATTAAATTATTTTTATAATTTCTAAAGTATAAATGTTAATTTTTATAATTATATAAAAAATTTATTTATAGAATCTAGCCTAATCTTCTACTATCATGAACTTCTGGAGAGGACTAGTCTTAAATTAATCTTTCAAAGCACTACCCATAACTAGAATAAAGAATCATCCAACAGTTATACTGCACTAAAACTCATGTAATAATTCATACCTTTTCTCTGTGAATCCTTTCTTTTTTGTCCACCTGATGCACTATAAAGAATAATTCTACAAGAGTCAAATATCCACTGGCAGTAGCTTTTCAGTCAATTTGAGCAGAGAGTAAGCTTTCTCCTATTTTATAGAAAATAGACTCCATGGTTACACACTCTGGTACCAAATGACCTAATGTGTTCTGCTGAAAAGCAATACTACTGAAAAAATGATCCACATGGCATTGAACACAAAGTAGATACTCAAATATTTACTGTTTTATATTTATTATTAGCACCTGTTATTTTTAGTAATGAAATTTCAAAAACATCTTTCTCAGACATTGCTAAGATAATTGCTTTTTCTATCTGAACTACTCAGATCCAAAGATACCAGCCATCAAGTACTGTCAGGCATTTCTACTGCACTAGGATAGTTTATGGGAAAATACAAGCCACTCCTGATAGTCCCAACATTGCTTGCAAATGACTGGGCAGTGTTCACTCTAACCAGTACTTTACCTTGAATAAAGTAAAAGAAGCAAAACCTTATTAGCCCATCTTAGCATCTTGTTATCTGTGAGATTTGGTCGTAATTATAGATCTTGAATTGAGTAATAAAATCATCAGAGAGGAATTCTTAGGTGATAAAAATTTTAGAATGTAATATTGTAAAAAAGAAAACACATAAAATAAGTTCAGTAGTTGGGAGTAACCAGTAAAGTGACCCCAGCAAGAAAGAAATGAGCTGAGTCAATTTCAGATGTGTGTTTATACCCAAGAGGCAGAATTCTAAGTAAGCCAAAGCTAGCATAGGATATTGTCAGCTGAGGTTAATATAATACAATCATAACTCAGGGCAAATGCATGGGTTTGCATAATTTTTCTCATCACTTGGATAAAAAAATAGTGATCTGGATAGAAATTCATATTTTTTTCTTTTTATTATTTTTAATCACAGTCTCTTCTGAGACCTCAATGTTAACAGAATTTTCTAAAGCTTTTTCACATATTTCCATGGGGAAAGCCAAATATTGTTTTCTTCTAAATGAAATCTAATTTTCTTCTCTGCTTTAGCAGCTTATTAACTAGCCATATGCAATTTATTGGACCATCTCTATGAATATAAATTATTTTAATGCACATTACACAGCAAAAAAAAAATGTGAGAGTAAGCAGTCCAACTTCTGACACCTTGGAGGCTCACAGGAGTAAGCATTAATGAAGCATCTCACCCTAGGTCACTAATTTGCATCACAAGCAAGTTAGGTTCATAACTTCAGAAGTTCTTTGCCATCTGGAGATGGTTTGATGACCTGGAAGAGCTAAATTTCTCTGTCTTGTTTCCAGGCACAGGTGCCCAATCAGCCCTGATTGACACTTGGCTGGCTCTTTAGGGCAGGCCAAAGGTTAAATGGACGCAGAAAGCAGAGTAGCCTTTCACACTTCAACAGTGGCTTCTTCCAACAGGGTAGAAATCTTTGACCCCTGAAGAGTTGAATGAAAGGGAGAAGAATGACTGTAAATTCACAAATTCAACAGAGGGAAATTAGAGTTCATGTTAAATGGGCGTATAGGTCTCATCACTTTCACCACTTTTAAAGTAACCTCTTTCAATTAGTCAATTTAGATCTTCATGTGAAATTGTAAAATGCTTATCTACTATAATTATGAGCTTACAGGAATTCCTCAAACAGTGCAATTTGCTCCAGAGAAAGTAGAACGATAGCCTATGGTCACATACCAAACTCATCTAATCCTTATATTTAGTCAAAGGCTATTATTATAAACTCATCACCCCTTCTTCCAGACAATGCTTTACATAGGCTATTCTTTCATTGTGTGACTAAACACACACAGGACACATAAATATATTGAAATTGAGATACACGGTCCAGGATATATATTTTTTCCCAGAAAGTTCTAATGCTATTCCATAAACAAATGATGAAAACTTAATATGAGTATATAGTCCCTGTATAAACTGAGAGAGAACTATATGGCATCACTTTAAAAATGTACTTAATTTTTTAAAATTTTGTTCCAAAATAATCAGAATAGGCTTTTAAGAGCTTTCACTAAGTAAACAGAAAGATCCAAATCAAATGAAATTAATGTAATATTTTTTGCTGTCCAGAAAGAATATTTTTATTGGGTTTTCAAACTTAATTTTCAAATAACAAAGGACTTTAGGCTCTAGTCCAGATATCCCTGAATTTCAGAAGAGCAGCAGGAGGAATCTTGTTGCTTACCTAAAGTATACACACAGAGTAGGACCTTTATTCTAATACTGATGTTACGAGACAAGGTAACAACTGTATTATAGAGGTTCTAGCTTAGAAACATGTATTAAAAATCACAGTACAAGGTGGATGTAACTGGTCCTCAAAACAGCCCATTCATTCATACAATAAGGTGTATTACCAGACGATTTTATTTTGTAGATATAGATCCACAATAGGAATCCAAAATCACTGATTTTTTTTTCTGTTTTACAAAATTTCCACTGTCCAATCAAAAGGTGATTTTATAAAATTTTACTAAGAGTACCCTTGTCCAATCTGGATTCATATGGATTGAATCTTCTATTTAGTTTTACATTTTTCTCCTTAAAATATATAAACCCGATTACAAATCACTGCTGAGTGACATTCAGAAGATATTGCAAGGGCGTCTACTCTACCTCTCTTGTCAAGTGTGTTTCAGTGGAAGGATTATTGATGGAAGCCTGAGACACAGAAGAAGAAAAATTAGAGCTGTGAGGTATAGAATTGCAGAAATTGCATCTATACAAACAGCTGAAAGCAAGATGATATTCTGTTCAAATGTTTCCTATTTCAAAGAACTCTCTAGAGTCCCATTTACTCCTGACAAGTACTAACAGTGCTTACAAGTTTTCTTCAACCTGGCGAATTGCTCAAATTAAGGAAATAGTTTTACTTAAGAAGAAAGCTGCATCAGGACTTGGAAACTGTAGAACAAAACTTGAAAAGGATTTCGTCAGACAGTAAGATTTATCTCCTGTGCCTTAATGTGCAAAATAAAACTATGAAATAACTGGTTCTTGCTTAATGTGATAGTACAAAAATTTTTTTTCAGCTAGTCGTAAGCTAGAACCAAAAGATTCCACTACATCCTTCACAGCATAAGGTGTACATTTTAGGAGATATAAAATTATAAATGTTCATCTCCCCAAAACAGCTCACTGTATATTACCATATGTATAATTCTATATTTTTTCCTGGTTGCCAAATTCAGGATTTTTCAAAGTGTGCTTTCTAGGTCACTAGCTCAAAAAGATGTTTGTAAAAGTTTCTTGATAAAGGGATACAGTGTTACAATTAGGAAATCATCAAACTATTTGTTAAAGGCCAGGCCCAGTGGCTCACACTTGTAATACCAGCATTTTGGGAGGCTAAGGTGGAAGGATTGCTCGAGGCCAGGAATTCAAGACCAGCCAACCTGGGCAATATGGTAAGATCCCCATCTCTACAAATAAAAAATTATCCATGTATGGTGGTGTGCACCTGTAATCTTGACTACTCAGGAGGCTGAGGTGGGAGGATTACTTTAGACTGGGAGGTCAAGGCTGCAGTGAGCCACGATCATGCCATTATACACCAGCCAGGGCAACAGAGCTAGACCCTGTCTCAGAAGAAAAAAAATGAAAAACTATTCGCTAATTAGTTCCTTTCTATGGCAGGACTTCTCAGAGTGTTTAATATGCCAACATGTAGTGTGTTGAGACATAATATTCAGCATTTCCAAACTTATTGGCAATGGGAGCCCCTTTTATTCATGGAATGACTTTGATGGCTGTTCCAAGGACTACATACAATTTTGTAAGCCTGAAGTTGGGATTGTTGGCTTAGAAAGTCACTGGTTCTTTTTCCAGAGTCCAATATCACCAGTTATTTGACTTTGTGGAAATGTACAGCAGGATAAAAACATATTGTCTCGGAGGCTGCAATTTCATCCCCCACCTCTCCACACCAGCACTCTCCACTCCCATCAACTGCATTAGCAGGCTTACTATCAGTCAGGTAATCACAGCATACTCATATAATCACAGATATTCATGCTGAACACTCATACCAACATGTTCCCCTAAAAACATGCCCCAGACATGAAAAGTAACATCCTTTTCCATTTTTGTAATGGCTTCTCTTATTTGTGTTTGTAACATACTATTACTGTTCTGAAAGATTGTTACTTATGTCTTATAAATCTTCCTGCCTTCTCTTAGTAGTTACCTTTCATATAACAACCAAAAACTTTTGCCACATTCTGTTTTACTGAAAAAAAAATCCTTTCACAGATATTTTTTCTAAAAAAGTCAAGTTTTGCTCTACTTTTACTGTCAATTTAACACACAGGATTGAGAGTTGAAATGCCACCCATTTGGAAATGAGAATTTGACTCCCCAGAAAGTATGCTACATTCATTTGCTTGGGAAACAGAACATTCACTGATGTGACTGGAACTTTGTGTGTGACATTTTGCTCCCACTTTTTTATTTTTATGATAGCCTCCATTTAATGAGCATGTATTTTGTGCAACAGATATTGTTCAGCTCTTTACACACACATATTATTTCAGTGTATCTTCACAACATCCTGCCCTGAGGTTATTCTTAGTCTCATCTTATAGATGGGAAAACCAAGTATCAGAGAAAGTAATCTTTTTTTTCTTTTTTTTTTTTTTTTTTTTTTTGAGACGGAGTCTCCCTCTGTCGCCCAGGCTGGAGTGCAGTGGCATGATCTCAGCTCACTGCAAGCTCCACCTCCCAGGTTCACACCATTCTCCTGCCTCAGCCTCCCTAGTAGCTGGGACTACAGGTACCCTCCACCAGGCCTGGCTAATTTTTGTATTTTTAGTAGAGACGGGGTTTCACCATGTTCGCCAGGATGGTCTCAATCTCCCGACCTTGTGATCGGCCCGCCTCGGCCTCCCAAAGTGCTGGGATTACAGGCTTGAGCCACTGTGCCAGGCCCAGAGAAAGTAACCTTATCACCCAAAGTCACAGCTATTGAGTGACGAGCTGAGCTTTAAATCTATATGTGTCCAATTTTTAATTTCCCAATCTTCCTAGGATATCAATCAGACATCTGTATCATCATTTCTAACAATCCCTTAATAAAGTAATAATCATATGTCATCAAATAAAATGGAAAGGTCCTTCCCCATGCCAGCCAGAGGTGCCCTTTCTTGTATCTTTTACTGAAAAGTGAAGGATTTTAAGCTTTTGTGAAACTGACCCTGAATTGATGGATAAAGAGAATGAAATAAAGGCAGAAAACCTCTAGGTTGTACTGAGTGTGGTGGAGCGACATATATCTTAGATCATACAGACTCTGCACTCAGCTTATTTTAGAGCCACCTGAGCTGTACTGCCTCTTGTAATATTATTTATAGTACTTTTTTTTATAAATGTAGTACAGTATGTCCTTATAAAAGCATTGAAGTCTTCATATGAGACTCCTCCCTAAAGACGCTGGTTAATAAATCTTGGCCTGTGAAGTGAAATGCAAAAAAAAAAAAAAATGTGTAAGAAATGCACCTTTATCAGCAAGTGTGCTGACTAGTCAGGTAGCACTGTGTCAGTGCTAATAATTAGGCAGAATTGAAAGGTCATGAAAGAGAGAAAAGCAGCTGAGGCTAAAACATGAGATTTTTAAATGACTTCTCTTTGAAAAAACTACACCGCTATATCAAATATCAAGTATCTTGGCTATGTGATACCTTAATCCATTTCTTTACTTCGCTTGATCTAGTACGTGTTTGCCATGGTATGGATGAAACAATGTGTGCACCTGAAAATAATCAGTGAATAAGTAACTGTATTAAAATAGCCAAGATTAGTATCATGTGCATACGAGTCTATCCATCACCATGGAGGAGTGTATTCAGTGTTCTTCCCTTTGTCTAAACTTGACCACACCCTAAAACTCAGCACATTTTTGGTCATCTTTCAAAATCGTATTTGTGTATAATTTCTAATTTCTTTCAGGAAACATTTGTTGAGATGCCCTTCACCATAGTGCCCTGTATGGTAGACACACCTGATAGCAATAACTAAATTTAAGCATACCCTGAGAATGACCCTGTATGGGAGATATACCTGAATGTGTGTTCAGAGTTCCTAGCTAAGGAGTTCAGGAGTGGCCAACCCAAAACCCATTCCTTATCTATGAGGAACACCTGAACCCCTGAACCATCCCATGGAACACAGGCTGTACAGGAGAGTGACGCCTTTTGTTTTGGGTTAAATGAAGGTTGCTAAATGTAGGTTGTTAGGAGGAGGATGCTAAGTGAAAACGCTGTATAAACCGCATGCCTTTCGCAAGCAGCTGTGGTTCTCCTGCCCAGCCCCTGCCACTGGACCATTTCTGGATGCAATGCAGTTCTTCTGTCTAGCCTGCCATCACTGGTTACCACGTTGTATGTAATTTCACTTCAACTCTATGTCCCATTTGCTGGCTCTGGGTCTCTTCTTCAGCCTCTTGAACCTGGTGTCATCCCTACTGAAGTTAATAGAGGTCCACCGTGGCATTTTTCCCCCTTAAAAAAATTAATTACTTCATACACTGGTTACTTCAGCATTGTGTAGATAATTCTATTATTCTACTTATTAAACCACATTCAGTTTATTTTATTTGTTTGCTTACGCTGCTTGTTAGATTGCAGACATCAAATGTATTTTATTCGTCTCCATATACTGAGAACATAACACAGTATTTGGCCATGCAGGTGCTCAATAGGTGTGTATTGAATTGAGTTTAATTGAACCAAATTGGCCTGACTTGAACTGAACTGCATTTATTTAAATTGAACTGGTAGCTGGTACCCTCTGATCAACCAAGTTACATGGCCAGCATTCCAGGCACTTCAAGTCTTGCTAAGTTAATACAACATTTAGAATTAAGTTTTCAGAATTACTTTACTGAGAAAACATTTATCGACTTCTGTTTAGAATGTCAGGAATGCATGGGTGAATGGTAGGATGACGGTGACTGGCACAGAGGGTCCTCATACAGCTGCAAGTTGGCTTACTCAGGACAGAATGTTTTCTCCACACTTCGGCCTGACACTTTAGCTGGATTACGATAAGCACTAGAAGAACAGTGAGGCATGGAAGCAGAAAATTAGACATGCCACACATCTAAATATAGCACAGGAGAGAAAACCTCAGGTTCCCAAGAAACTTATGTAGAGGAATTCTTTACTTCGGTCTCTCCCAAAGTATACTGTCAAACATTCTTGTCAAATATCTTCATGGAACTCTTCTAAAATCTCTTTTAATAAATTTTAATGATTCCTATTTCAATATATAGTACTTTTAAAAGATATCTTTTATGATAAAAATATATACGTTGTTCAGCTAAACCATAGGCAAGTGTTGTCAGTTTCTGGTGAAACTCCATGGCAAAAGGGACTCATTTTATGTAGATGAAAAGCACTTACCTCATGGAGAGATGCCAGTGTGACATACTACATAAGGAAATAGAATACATAATCAACCATACTGAGGTAGAGAGGAACCATGTAATTAGGCAAAAATAAGTCCAGAGTCTTGAATGCTTACAGTATAGAAATGGCAATGGAGATGATCTCCTTTCTATAGCTGTAGAAGAAGAAATGCATATCTAGATAATCTAAGGCCAAAAAGACAAACTCAGCTCCTCCCTTTGCCACCATTACTACCATGGTAAGGAAGGATTGATAGCCGTGGTGGAGAAAATCACCTTGTAAGTGAGAAAGTCCCTCCAGAAGGACATTATTCCCTGCAGAAGTAAAGTTTCAACACCATGGATCATATACCTTTCAAATATTTTTATAACATAGATGGGTGTAAATTAAATATATTTCAAACTCATTTAAATCTAGGATTTGGGCAGGTAAAGGAAATATCTCAGCAAGACTTGATATAAAACCAGAATGACTAAGTTGCAGTTTATAAAAGTTAAGAATTTCTGAGACATATATACACAAATATTTAAGAATTTCTGAAACATATAAATAATGCCTAGATATACTTGATCAAAAACATGCTTCTTGGATATAAACTTCACGTGTATTATGGAAAAGTCTTAGTAAACAACTAGTCTTTCACATTTTAAAATAATTTTTTCAGCTGCAATAAACTCTCTGTCTTAAATCTGACTGTAGGAACCATATGATTACGAAGATGAGGATGCAAAGTTCCTGATGTTAGTACAAGCTATTTTCAGAGTCGAATTCAAGGAGAGAATAAATCTCTTCAATATGACTCTGCAGTCTCAACATTAAAGTGATGTACATGCCACACTTACTCAGTGCTTTTATTTAGGAAATAAAAAAAGAAAGCCAGCAAGTTGCTCTGACACTCCCTACTTCTAAAAAAACAAAAAAGTTTGATCTTTTGCAACACATCTGCTAAGAAGAAAAATATAAAAGTCCAGTTCATTAAGTTTAATAATTTACTTTTTGAGAAAAAAATGAAATATTGTATATAATTTTGACTCTTTTAAAGTCTGCACCTATACGTCAAAATAGGCAATATATAAAAATAAAAATTGTTTAGTTGGAATGCAGGACAGTGACGACAAGGGCTGAGGAAGATGTGACTTGAAACACAGATTTGGGAAGACACCTGCATAGAGGTAATAATAGTTCAAGGCATGAGTAAGGACGAGAGCTCCAAGGGTGAGACCTAACAGAAATGTCCTTTGATTCCCAAACCAAGGTAGGGTGAGAAACGAAGCACACAGATTCATAATGAAATACTGTAGCCTCTATTTTTCACAAGGGCAGGGGGTAAAGAAAGAGCCTCATTAGGCAGCTGATTTCCTTTTTATCCCTCTTGAGTCAGAATGCCTGGCTGGTTCCCATTCTGATTATTGTACTTGCATAGCTTTTCAGCTATCTCAGGCTCCTAAGTTACAGAAAGCGTGCACCACACTCAGACATGCACAGAAATGTTGTGATAATTACCTGAGGGGAAGGCCATTGCTAAGCTACCCTCTAGAAGAACCATGTCTGAGGCAACTCATACTGAGGATAATTCTGTTGTCTTCAATTCTTATTTTCCATATGGCTAAAATTTACAATATACCCTTTTGAAATCAAGCTTTTTAAAAGAATGGCTAGAAATTTGAGCAGTTTAAATTTTGGCCTTTTTTTCTCATGAACATTCTCACTATAACTTGACCAAGAAAATAATGAGACACAAAGAGTTCTTGTTTTTTGAAAAAAAAAATGGAAATTACAGTATATCTCTCTTGATGTATTATAAATGTACATACATACATGACTCCCTTCCTTCCAGGCTACCCTTCCCCATTACTAGTAAAAAGTGAGCCAGACATTATTTTATCTTTCTGTGGTTATAAATGTTACCATTCATTCATTAAACAAATATCTTTTAGTATCATCATTGCTAGGCAATGTCCTAGGTGTATTCAAAAGACAGCCAGTGCCTCTGCCTTCATAGAGTTTACATTCAGACAATACATACTTTCCCTAGCAACAGTAGAGTTGGGTAAAAATAAGAGAAGAAAATAGAAGATATGAAGGAAGAAATTGAAAGACAAGACAAAGTTTTCTGGTTTTCTATATGAGAGGAACACCACAAAAGATTCTTTAAAATGTTGCTGATGTTTCAGATCATTTAGTTTAGTTTAGCAGCAACAAGTGATCATGTTTCTCTAATTCTCTAGCTCTCTAGCGAAATATAATTGACTAGACATATGTAAACATGACCCTTAAAAATATGGGAAATTACACCACAATAGAGTATAACAATCCAAAAAGCACTCGAAATATTAATCTGTTCCTTTATCCGACAAATGTATTGGATGTCTTCCGTGTTGCAAGTATTCTTCTAGTCCTGAAGATTCAGCAGGAAATAGAACTCCCACCATTTGAAGGATAGGTTTGGTGTTCAAACTCATAAGTTAGTCACTGCCCCTTCTGCAGAGATTGTCATTAAGGTGCCAGCAGAATGTGTGTGACAAGTAGCCTCCCTAAGTGACACTGCATCTGTTGTCCTCTTTTATTCATAACCCTGGATACAATAAAACTATAAAATTCTAGAGTTAGAAGGTATGTTGAAGATTATTTAATATCTTTTATTTATAGATGTGTGAATGAGATTCTGAGGTTTTAATTAACATTCAAAGGTTATTCAGCAAGTTAAGATAATGAGACATTAGAAAAATATTCCTTGTATATATGCATATATACGTACCTGCATTGTTGAAAGGATATACAAACAACATTTCTGCTCAGAAAGAAGTAGCCTTCTCACTTATTTAAGCACTATTTTCTGCATTTTTCTCATTAATAAACTTGATAACCTACTGTTCAGAGCATTTCTCATTTACGCTAACTTTGCATTTGAGCTTTAGGCTTGGCAAATGTTGAAAACCTTGCAAAACTTTTTCATCTCTTGATGTCCCTTCCATAAATTAATTAAGATAACTCAGTTTTTCCCACATTTCCCACAATTCAAAAAATGAGAATCAAATGCAATTTTTAAAGCTCAGTAAAAAAATCCTTTGACTTTATCGTTTTATGATTGCCTATTTTTGATCCTCTGAAAAATACAAGACAAACTTCCAACATAGACAAGTTAATCTTGTATCCTGACTACATTTAAAATAACTCAATCATAGTCATTAATACAAAGATATTGAGAAGCCCTAACATTTAGCCTCAGACAACATGAGGTCATCAGCATATGAGGGAATCATACATTCCTGGTCATTAATCTTAATTTTAGAAATTACATTTACAGATTTAATTATCTCTACCTATGTCTGTACAGGCAATAAGGAATAATCTTTTCAGCTCTAAATGAATTTACTCCTATGACTTCATAAAAAGCACAATTCTACTCACTTTTTGCAAAAGGAAAAAAAAAGATTACTGATAATCCTCATTATCACATTATAGTTGCCAATAACCTCAATAGCTAGGTCTCCATGGGAGAACTCAAAGAAATATAAAACAATGTTTCCACACTTAATAAAAATCAGTTTTTTCAGGAAATTATTGATCATTTGCTATCATTACAAATGAGTATAATGCAGTATTTTCCTTTAAGCAGTCTAACTTTTATTTAAAGATGAAAGGTGTATTAGTTTGCCTGGGCTGCCATTACAAAAATACCATGAACTGGGTGGCTTAAACACCAAAACTTTATTTTTCAGCTCTGAAGGCTGGAAGTCCAAGATGAGGGTGTCAGTAGGTCTAGTTTCTCCTGAGAAATCTCTTTTTGGACCCCTTCTCACTGTGGTCTCCTATAGTCTCTGCTCTGTGCATACTACCTGGTATCTCTCCCTGTGACCAAATTTTCTGCTTTTATAAGGGCACCAGTCAGAATGTATTAGTGTCCACCCTAATGCCTTCATTTTAACCTAATCACCTTTTATTTTATTTTTTAATATTTTACTTTATTTTATTTTTGAGATGGAGTCTCACTCTGGAAAGCAGTGGCACAATCTCGGTTCACCGCAACCTCCGCCTCCCCAGTTCAAGGGATTCTTGTGCCTCAGCCTCCCGAGTAGCTGGGACTACAGAGGTGCACCACCATGCCTGGTTAATTCCATATTTTTAGTAGAGACAGTGTGTCCGGAATTGGGGGGTTCTTGGTCTCACTGACTTCAAGAATGAAGCCGAGGACCCTCGCGGTGAGTGTTACAGTTCTTGAAGACGGCGTGTCCGGAGTTTGTTCCTCCTGATGTTCAGATGCGATCAGAGTTTCTTCCTTCTGGTGGGTTCGTGGTCTCGCTGGCTCAGGAGTGAAGGTGCAGACCTTCGCGGTGAGTGTTACAGCTCTTAAGGTGGCGCGTCTGGAATTGTTCGTTCCTCCCGGTGGGCTCCTGGTCTCCCTGGCTTCAGGAGTGAAGCTGCAGACCTTCGCGGTGCGTGTTACAGCTCATAAAGGCAGTGTGGACCCAAAGAGTGAGCAGCAGCAAGATTTATTGCAAAGAGAGAAAGAACAAAGCTTCCACAGTCTGGAAGGAGACCCAAGCGGGTTGCCACTGCTGGCTCGGGCAGCCTGATTTTATTCTCTTATCTGGCCCCACCCACATCCTGCTGATTGGTAGAGCCCAGAGGTCTGTTTTGACAGGGCGCTGATTGGTGCGTTTACAATCCCTGAGCTAGACACAAAGGTTCTCCACCTCCCCACCAGATTAGCTAGATACAGAGTGTCCACACAAAGGTACTCCAAGGCCCCACCAGAGTAGCTAGATACAGAGTGTGGATTGGTGCATTCACAAACCCTGAGCTAGACACAGGGTTCTGATTGGTGTGTTTACAAACCTTGAGCTAGATACAGAGTGCCCACTGGTGTATTTACAATCCCTGAGCTATACATAAAGGTCCTCCACCTCCCCACCAGACTCAGGAGTCCAGCTGGCTTCACCCAGTGGGTCCTGCACCGGGGCTGCAGGTGGAGCTGCCTGCCAGTCCCGTGCCATGCGCCCATACTCCTCAGCCCCTGGGTGGTCGATGGGACTGGGCGCTGTGGAGCAGGGGGCGGTGCTCATCGTGGAGGCTCGGGCCACACACAGCTCATGGAGGGGGTGGGAGGCTCAAGCATGGCGGGCTGCAGGTCCCGAGCCCTACCCGCGGGAAGGCAGCTAAGGCCCGGTGAGAAATCGAGCGCAGCACCGGTGGGCCGGCACTGCTGGGGGACCCAGTACATCCTCCGCAGCCGGTGGCCCGGGTGCTAAGCCCCTAGTTGCGGCCCGCTGCTCTGAGTGCGGGCCCGCCAAGCCCACGCCCATCTGGAACTCCAGCTGGCCCACAAGCGCTGCACGCAGCCCCGGTTCCTGCTCGCGCCTCCCCCTCCACACCTCCCTGCAAGCTGAGGGAGCCGGCTTCGGCCTTGGCCAGCCCAGAAAGGGGCTCCCACAGTGCAGCGGTGGGCTGAAGGGCTCCTCAAGTGCCGCCAAAGTGGGAGCCCAGGCAGAGGAGGTGCCGAGAGCGAGCGAGGGCTGTGAGGACTGCCAGCAGGCTGTCACCTCTCAACAGGACTTCACCACGTTGGCAAGGCTTGTCTTGAACTCTTGCTTCCAGAGATCCGCCCACCTCGGCCTCCCAAAGTGCAGGGATTACAGGCATGAGCCACCATGTCAGGCCCCTCATTACCTTTTAAAGGCCTTACCTCCAATGTCACATTCTGAGGTACTGGGAGTTAGGGCTTGAATATATAAATTTTGGGTGGATACAATTTAGCCCATAACAGAAGACACTGTATATAAGTTTAATAAAGCAGAGTAATTACAGTGACTCAAGAGGGGATTCTTGCTGGTATGCTGGTAAGGCTCTGCACCAGGAATTTATACAACCAGGAGGGAAGGGAAATAGCATGTATCCATTACCCATTATGTGACAGAATTGGTGCTAAACACTTTACATGTGCCATATCATGGGTAAACTGCATAGAAACCACAACCTAACCAGTTAGCCTCATTTCGTAAATGAGAAAACTGAGGTGCGGAAAGGAAAACAGAGTTCTCTATGTAATAAAGCTAGAAAATGGTGGAGCTGTTTTAAGAATTTAGGTTTTGTCATCAACACTTACCTTGGATACCTCTTTTAATTGACCTGGAATTCAACTTCCTTATCAATAAAAAAAAAAAAGTTTTTTCATTCTCTAAGTTTCCATAATTTCCTCTTGCATGTTTTTCTTTGACGTGAAAGTAATATAAAACATAAATACACTTTGGAAATCAGGGAAAAATGGAAAAATGAAATGCAATTTGCTATCTAATAAAAGTACTATAAATATTCTGGTAAGATTCCTTTCTGATCCCACCCCTACTAAATATGGGAAGATGGGGCTTCCTTCTTATCTCATTAGTTTTTGTAGAAATGTAAGGGTCCATAAAGACCCCAACCACGTTAGCAAAATAGAAGCAAAACAAAGAGAACAATGACATTCTAAGAAGTTGATTATCTTAGTATTTAAAAATGTGTTTGTATTATGGATGCTTGTCCATAAGGCAGGAGTGAGATGTGTCTTTGAGATAAACACACACACACACACACACACACACATACGTGCACCAGCTTTTAGAAAAATGGCAAACTAAACAGCACTTCAGTGAGCCAAGAGGAACAAGAAGTTTAACCCTGAATAGCCAAAGAGTGAAGATAATGGGACATTAAGGGAACAGGAAAACAGAGCAGCCCAAGACAGAAAAGACTTCTTGATCTCCATCCAAACGGACTCATAATGGACCTAAAAGTGATTTGAGGTGAAAAGCCAGGAACTGTATTACGTCATTCTCTAGATTTTGTGTGTGCATTTGATCAATCCAGGACTTTCTAGTAATGGACTTCCAAAAATTAAAAATACGTCAAAGTGGTTACATTATGTATCTTGGAATAGATAGTGAAATGTATACAGATTTGTGACTTAACCTCTGCTTCTATCACTTAGTAACTCATAGCATTTTTAATATCATTATAAAGTCTTCATAACTTTAATTTTAATGCTTGCATAATATCAAATTGAATAAGTGTACCAACCACTTTACATGCTTAAGATCCTATTTTTGGACCTTTGAATTGTTTCCATTTTGTATACTAGTGTAGCAATGTCCCAAGTGAGGCTACCTACAACATTTCAGTGAGGAAAATATTGTGTAAAAGTTGTTAGTAGTTTCCTGGTAAAGATATCAGTTACCTTGGAAAGAACCTTGGTTTGGAGAGGGTAAAATGAATGACGCTTCAGTTTACAACATAAAGCAGCATGCATCTATCTAAGACTATTGCAGATTTTTTTTAATATATAAGTGTCTAGGACCTAAAATACAGGTAGTTGATGGAATTAAGCAATGCTCCTCTCCCACAAAGCCAGCTGCCCTAAAGAGTTATATACAGTCAAGGAAATTTCTAAAAGAAGAAGAGCCTTTTCCTTAGGATGCTTAACTCTATCAGAATCTATGTGAAGCCAGATCATGGGAAAGAAACAGGCGCCCCTAAGAGAAAACTCATTTGAAAAAATATGTAAACTTTGGACCAACCTCGAGCTCTAGAATTTTGTAAGAAAGAGCTGTTTATGCAACATTTGGCTGAGGCTGAAGCCCCTCAGTATGCAGCCACTATGGTGTGCCTTGGGAAAAAGAGCCAGGTGCATGCACTGAATGAGCTAGTCACTAACAATTGTAACATTTGGGAGCCCATGTATATTTTGGTATGAAGCAAGCATACAATAATGTCACCTGGGAAGGAAAAGTATCTTCTGGCCCTGCACACAAAGAAACAATTGCCAAGTTGGTAACAGCTGGGTTCCTTGTTTACCATGGTGATTCCAGCAATGGTCAAGGCCATAATTTTGAACTTCCTTTTTTCAGAAGTAATTCCGTATCATGGTGACAACACTAACAGCTACAGAGAACAAGTCTTTTGATGAAGTGAATAGATTTTACAGATCTTTTTCCATGAAGTTATAATAACAACTTTTATGGGCTCAATAAATATGCCTGGACACCTTGTCCTCAACTTGGAAGAGGAACTCTGGGAAGAGAAAGCAGGATAGCAGCTCAGATGCGTTGGATGTGAAGTTAAAAGATTTTATCTTACTTTGTACTCTTAAGCTATTGAAGCAAGGTATAGCAGCTTCACTCTTAAAAATAACAATGCAATAAACATCTTTCAAAAGAACTTGCCCAGTATTTTAAAATTTGCCTTAATGATAAATTCCCAGAAGCAGAAAAGGTAAATCACCGTCATTTCTAGATGCCAATAAAAAATATAAAAAAGATAGTTTACACAAGGTCCAAGGGAAGGAGAACCACTGTGTTAAAGAATGAGATGAGGTGAGCCTTCATAGAAAATAAGGGACTTAAATATAAATAATAGGTCAGGATTTAGAGTGTAGGGATTGGAAATGATGAAAGTGTCTACTTTCACCAGAGCATTCATCTATTTATGCAAGCAATTAGCACTATTATATGCCAACAATTGTTCAAGATACTGAGAGGACAAGGAGTCATACTAATTTCAATTAATTAAAAAGTTGGCAAACAAAGAGAACTTCAATTAGTGATTGTATTCATTGGTCTTTTCTGCTGAAGGAGGTAAAAAAAGCTAATCTTATTTATACATGGAATTTAAAGGGGCTTAGATCAAATCAGGCTTCATTCATTCATTCATTTATTCTTTCTTTCATACTTTTATCATACATTTACTGAACACTGCTATGGGCCAGGCACTTTGCCAAACACTGGTGATAAAGAGAGATATGACAAAGTTCCCATCCTTCTCATTTTCTTTCCTTTTTTTTTTTTTTTTTTGAAACAGAGTATCACTCTGGTGCCCAGGCTGGAGTGCAGTGGTGCAATCTTGGCTCACTGCGACCTCCACCTCCCAGATTCAAGCAATTCTCCTGCCTCAGCCTCCTGAGAAGCTGGGATTACAGGCACCTGCCACCATGCCTGTCTAATTTTTGTATTTTTAGTAGAGATGAGGTTTCACCATGTTGGCTAGGCTGGTCTCGAACTCCTGACCTTAGGAGACCCACCTGCCTAGGCCTCCCAAAGTGCTGGGATTATAGGCGTTAGCCACTGCACCCAGCCCCTTCTCATTTTCATACTCAGGTGGTTAGAGATGTTTAACCTTGTTTAATGTAGTTATCGAAAGCATAAGAAGAACAAAATTCAAAAGATTAAGCAAATTGGGTAGTTTCAGTTGATCAGTCAACTTCTTCCTCTAGAAATTGTGAAAGCAAACACCTTTGCATCTGGGTTTCCTACGAAGCATTTCTCTATCTCCACGTTCAGTCACAGTGGCAGGATTTAGTATGCTGTTTCCTGTCGCCAGGCTATGTTGGCCCCAGAGAAAAGTTGACAATGGTTTGAAAAAGAAGGAATCATCACATCAAGCAGAAGGACCTCTCTGTGTAACATTGCTGACTATTGGACTGATCAGAATGTGCTCCCCAGTATTTTGGAGGTATATGTTAGCCCACACAAACCCAACTAACCTATCATAGGAACACTGAGCAAAATCTCCATTTACTATCCTCCTCTCTGGCAGCCAGAAAGCCAGTCATACTCCATTTATTTGAAAAAAAAAAAAAAAAAAAAAAAAGGCTTTCCTAGAGTCCTCTCCTTGAAGTAAGATTTATCCAGCTTGTTTACTTAAATAATAATGCCTAAGATCAGACACTAAGTTTTCTTTATTTTGATTACCTTCAATATGCCTGGTACACAGCAATGCTCAATTATTGCTCTTTGAACTGATTTATATAGCTAAAAATATCTGTTATTAGTGATTAAATTTTCCCATTACATGCAGATTTTTTTATCACAGCAAGGTAGAAATGTGATTTAAAGTGATTGGTTTCTGAAGGTCACCTGAACTAATTCAGATTTTAATACAAGTTGCTTCACTTTTCAAAGTTTTTTAGCACCTTTTAAATAACCTATGAGTGACAGCAATGAAAATGTCCTAGTCCTAGAATTGGTTGTGACATATCTTTTACTCTAAATTAATAAGCTGCTCATCTAAGACAAATTCATCTATGCATTCCACTTTCTTCCAAATGGAGAGGTTGACCAATACTATAATCCTTACTAAATGTGTTAATTGAGGAATAGAAAGGTCATTAGGCCAAGAATTCACTGAGATAAACATAACTTAGATACAAGATCAAAACAATTGGGGTCTCCTTATGCATAAATTATTGCTTTTCAATAACGAACCCAAATTTTTTCCCTACTGCCCACATCATTCTCAAGGAGTATTTTCTTTTTTTATTTTTTATCTTTAACTTTTATTTTAGCTTCAGGGGTACATGTGCAGGTTTGTTACACAGGTAAGTTGCATGTCTCAGGGGTTTGAGGTAAAGATTATTTCGTCACCCAGGTAATAAACCCAGTAACTGATAAGGCAGTTTTTCCGTCCTCATCCTCCTCCCACCCTCCACCACCAGGTAGGCCTTGATGTCTCTTGTTCCCTTCTTTGCATGCATATGTACTCAATGTTTAGCTCCCACATACAAGTGAGGACATGCAGTAGTTGGTTTTCTTTTTCAATGTTAGTTCACTTAGGATAATGACTTCAAGCTCCATCCACATTCCTGCAAAGAACATGATCTTATTCATTTTTTATGGCTGCATAGTGTTTCACGGTGTATGTGTACCGTATTTTCTTTATCCAGTCTATCAACTATGGGCATTTAAGTTGATCCACGTCTTTGCTATTGTGGATAATGCTGCAGTGAACACATGCATGCATGTGTCTTTAAGGTAGAACATTTTATATTTCTTTGGGTATATACTGAGTCATGGGATAACTGGATCAAATGGTAATTCTGTTTTAAGTTCTTTCAAAAATTGCCAAACTGCTTTCCACAAGGGCTGAACTAACTTATATTCCTACCAGCAGCGTATAAGCATTCCATTTTCTCTGTAACTGCACCAGCATCTGCTATTTTCTGACTTTTCAGTAATAGCCATTTTGACTGGTGTGAGATGATATCTCACTGTGGTTTTGGTTTGCATTTATCTAATGCTTAGTGATGTTGAGCATTATTGCATATGCTTATGGACCATGTGTATGTCTTCTTCTGAAAAGTGTCTGTTCATGTCATTTGCCCAGTTTTTAATTGGGTTGTTTATGTTTTGCTTGTGAATTTGTTTAAATTCCTTATAGATTCTGGATATTAGACGTTTGTTGTATGCATAATTTGCAAATATTTTCTCCCATTTGGTAGACTGTTTACTCTGTTGATAGTTTCTTTCGCTGTGCCGAAGTCCCTTAGTTTAATTAGGTCCCATTTGTCAAGCTTTGTTTTTGTCTTTGACATGAAATTTTTGCCCAGTCCTACAGCTAAGGCAGTGTTAAGAAGGAAGTTTATAACACTAAACCCCCACATCAAAAAGTTAGAAAGATCTCAAATTACCGCTGTAACATCACAACGACAGGAATTAGAGAAACAAGAGCAAACCAACCCCAAAGCTAGCAGAAGACAAGAAGTAACCAAAATCAAAGCTGAAATGAAGGAAATTGAGAAGTGAAAACCATACAAAAGATCAGCAAATCCTGGAGTTTGTTTTCTGAAAAAAATTATTAAGATAGATAGACCACTAGCTATACTAATAAAGAAAACAGAAGATCCAAAATAAACGCAATCAAAAATGACAAACGGGATGTTACCACTGACCCCACAGGAAAAAAAAAAACCCCTCAGAAACTACTATGAACACCACTATGGACACAAGCTAGAAACCTAGAAGAATTGATTAATTCCTGGACACATATAACCTCCCAAGACTGAACCAGGAAGCAATGGAATCCCTGAACTGGCCAATAATGAGTACTGAAATTGAATCAGTAATAAAAAGCCTGCCAAACAAAAAAAAGCCTGGGACCAGATGGATTCAGAACTTAATTTTATCATCTGTATAAAGAAGAGCTAATACCATTCCTACTGAAAGCACTGCAAAAAATTCAGGAGAAACTCCTCCCTAACTCATTCTGTGAGGCCAGCATCATCTTGATTCCAAAACTTGGCAGAGACACAACAACAACAACAACAGCAACAACAACAACAAAAAAAAAAAAGAAAAAGAAAAGTTCAGGGAGTATTTTAAATTTTAGGGATTCACCACACGTATAACGTTAAGAGGACTGCTACTGGGTTCTGGAGAACGGTACTCTGTTACTCCCTAAACACATTTTCACTGCCATAATAGAGTGAAATGAGAAGTAAACCCTCTGGAAGAATTACAATTATTAACAACATTTTTGTTCTACCATTGTTGTAAATTAGTATCACTACTGGAAGCTTTATTGCATGTTAATTTATCTGTATTGCGTTAAATAACAGGCACTCTGAAATGCTGCAGAATAGTGAAACAGCCTTGTATATATGCCTTGGAGGCTCCTGTCACTCTGCTTAGGAAGATTACTGACTCAAATCTTCAAATACATTATTTAGCATGAAAGCAGAACTATAAGTATTAGAGAAAGAATTGTTTATAATCATATTATAAACAGTTCCATGGCTTGCGCTTCCTTTTGTGACAATATCTTTGATTCTAAAAGCACTGATGTTCTCAAAGCTATAACTAGAAGAAAGTGACTTATGAAGATACACTTTTAGATATTCATAGTGAAAGAACAATAGTCATAATAGGAAGGTCTTATTCTGCTGTCCAGTCATCCCCCATCTCACATGCTGTTTCCATGGTTTCAAAGAAGTTTCCAATATTTTGAGAGTACATAATTTCAACTTCAAGACACCATGTGACTAAAACTGTGTAAAAACTTTGAAAAGGTCACTGCTAGGTTCTACTTCAGGGTACCATCCAATCCTTTTCACCCCAGTACACACAGATGTATGAAAAATGTATTTACTTATGCTCCTGATACTTTAGAATAAGTTAGCTGAGGAATTTACAACCCAAAATTGGTAGATCCTCAGGGATCCAAGCCCAGATGATTGCCTCCTTTTAGAATGCATCTAATTTCAATGTGAGGGTAAATTAATTATCTTCCCCCTCCACGTTCCTCCTCCACTTGACACAGGCCAATTTGTACTGGAAGGTGAAAGTGGCAAAGCAGAAGGGGTGATCAATAGCATGTTATACTGGGCTACGGGAAATCTGATCCCCACGGGACTCAGATAGCCAAAGAGGGCAAGAAGTTAATGGGGGCAAGATAGCAAATCTACACTATAATTTAATTTGCAAGTTAAAAAACTGACTGTTTTGCCAAGAAGTCTTTTATTCCATTTTCTTCAATAGCAGAAATCCATGATCATCAGTCTTTCATCCAATTTGAATTAAATACACATAGAGAACAGAGAACTAAAACCCAAGAGGGATTTTATTTTAATTTGACAAATATTTTAGTGGATTTAATAAAATAAATTATTGTTCCAGAAATGTTGTGGCTTTGCATAGGAAGCAAAGTGTCACTCTATTTTTAAATGATCATATAAAATCTATGTCTAGAAATTAAATCAAAATAGACTAAACCAACATTCATTCAAATATTTGGAGTATAACTCCATGTACTGATCACTATTCTTAAGGCCAGGGATATAAAGATACAAGATAAAGGATGTACTGAAGGCCTCAATGAACTTACTGTTGAGAGAGGAAGATGAGTCGAACAGATTATAAACAGTATGCAATGTGTATCTCTAAATCAGGAATACTTATAATATCTACTTCATTGTAAAAATTAAATGAGATAACTCATATAAATTATTTAGCCAAATACCTGGTACATAGTAATTTGAACAAATATCAGCCTCTGATGGTGATCACAACTGTGATGATGATGAGGAGGATGATGATATGGTGATGCCACCAGCCCAAGAATTTATAGGAACACTGAGGACATAGACTGCAGATTGAGAAAGAATTTGTAAAAGAAAAGATTAAGTGGTATAAACATAAGCTAAATTTTTAAAGGTGGATAAGAGAGATAATTCAATAAGATAAGGAGTTGAGGGGAGTAATAGAAATGACCTAGATAGATAAAACAGAAGCTTTGAAGGCATCCCCCTTCCCCTGAGAAGTTCAGAATCCCTTCTGCATCTTGGAGCAGTCCTGTACTAGACACCTAGTACCTGAATTCTCTCTGGAGCTGATACTGGCAGAAGTGCCCAGACACCTTGAGGTACCCTTGTATCTGGATATGAAATCCAATTTACATGTGTCCCCTTTTACATTCTGGTAAGAATCTTTTATATGATGTATTTAATAATATCAAGTGTATCAGTAAACACTTTGTTTGGTCTTTCCTATTTACATGAGAACCATTCATCCTGTTATTTCCGTGTATAAATCTGTCTTTATTTAAGTAAATGTCATGTAATGTCTTCCAATCTTAACTGTAGTATACATTGCTTTATTCTAGTATTTTTGAACATATATACTTCAATATATTCTTAAATAAATGTATATTCATTTATTCAGCCATACTTTACTGTTTACCTATGCCTATAACACACTAGATACAATGCTCCACATATTTGTAAAAGTACAACACACAGCAGAGAAACAAGTTATTTTTTTATATAGTTTGAAAACACTTAATCATCTAGATCTATATTAAATGCTAAAAGAAACTCTTAAATCTGGAAAAAAATATAGGAAAGTCTTATCCAATCAAATAAGCATTTTATAAAACTACTACAAAACAGTGAAAAACATATCCCAGACCACATACTCCAGAACATACTCTATTATGCATAATAATTTCGAAGGGGTTCAGAAAGTAATATGGAAAGTCAAGCTCAACAGATAGTGTTGTAAGTATTGATTTGGAACTTGGAAATATGTGAAATTAATCTTCATCCTATATGAATCCTAAAAACATAAATTCAAGATACATCAGAGTGTGCAGGATATTTTCTTTTCTCCCTCCAAATTTTCTCTATCCTTAGTTACCCAGCTTTGAACCTCAAGAGCTTAACAGCCCTTATTAATGCGGCTACCTTCCCCTTTAGCTTCCAGTTGGGTTTGACCAACAGAAGACTCCAGCAGAAGACCATAGAGTAGAAAGAGAACAGGAGCAAGGATTGATTCCTATGGCTCTCTCTGCCACGTCACCGCAGGTTAGTTAAGCACCTATACTAAAGGGATGGTCCCTGTCAGGTGGCCTGGCCTTCAACTTCCAGTAACTTCTCTCTCTCCTGATTCTCTCAGGTTTGGGGCTGGTAACAGGACCCCATCAGTACCAACTCTGGAGCACTGCACCATCTCTTATTCATTTCTTTTTCCCCTCCCCACACCATTGTCTGTCATCTCCTATAAAACACTCTTCAGTTACACTGTTTGAGGTGCTATTTGCTGCCAGAACCTTCACTTATACAGCAATATATAGGAGCTTGAGACAGACGGTACCCCTAGGTGGAAAAGGTCTATAATTTTATGTAAAACTTACATACAGTGTTATTTTTGCTCTTGAACAGGCCTATAGTTAATGCAATAAGATTAGACATCGAAATTATTTGTTAATTATTTGTAAGCCATACACTTAAAAGTTCCATTAAATTTCATACTTACACCACACACAACATAGTGTACAATCAATGTCTCCAGGGTTTCTAAAGAAAACTTTGATATTCATCATTTTTTATTTACATGATGAGAAACATGTGATGTCAGTGGAGAACTGATTCATCTATGGGTCAGATATGGAAAAAAATTCAAAATTCTCCAAGTCAAGTTCTTCCTTTCCATGTGACCTCACATGTCCTTAAGTTATTTATACTTAAGAATGTCTTCATGACTACATGGAATCAGTAATGACTTCTCTCTCTTTACATAACAGATCAAAGTCATATGGGAGCAAGAGTTTATCTGGATACACTCAACTCTTTCAGGCAAATGGAAAAATATTTGTGAAACTTCCATTTGTGAAGGTCCAGAGGTCCTAAGATACTTTACATTTTCAGAAAATTAAAGCAGCTGAGAAGCAGAGAAGGAGGGATACATCTAGAAAGACAGACAGTGGCTAAATCATGCAGGGCTTTAGAGATCATGTTAGAGATTTTCTATTGTATTCTAAGAGTCACAGAAAGACTTTAAAGGAACAAGACACGCCTCAATTTTAAAAGCTAATTCTGCTACCAGATACCAGGAAAAATTACAAAGCCGTAGTGGTTAAAATATCATGGCATTGTTGCAGGAATAAATGCGTAGCTCAATAAAACAAAACAGAATCTAGAATCACTCCTAAAATTATGAAAATATAGAATATGCTAAAAGTAGAATTTCAAATTACAGAGTATATGGCAAGCTATTAAATAAAGTGTGTTACGACAATTGACCTGACAGTTGGAAAAAGTTAAGTCACAATCTTACTCTGTGTATTGATTATGTAAATGCTATGAAAGATAAACCCTAAAATCTCAGTGGCTTAAAGCTATTGAAAGAAGTTTCTCTCTTGCTCACATAGAGTCAAAAATGGATATTCCTGATTGGTGTATGACTCTTCTCTAAGTGGTAATTCTGGGATCTAAACTCTTTCAAATTTGACTCTATCATCTTCAACACCTGGCCTCCAAGACCATTTGGGAAGAGGATAGACACAGAGGATCTCTCTTGAAAGATTTTTATGAGCCAAGACTAGAAGTGGTATACATTACTTCTATTCTCATTCCATGGTACAGTTTAGTCATAGGGCCTCACCCAACTGCACAGAAGACTGGGAAATAAAATCTAACTATGTACATACAAAGAAAATGAGATCGATGTGGTGATTACCTAGATCTCAGCCATACCCTATGTTATATACAAATTAAAATTAAATTCCATGTGAATTCAAACCTAAAGTAAAAAAAAAACCTATGAAAATACAAAAAAAAATTTAAGAATATTTTTATAATCTTGATCTGAAAAAGTCCTTCTTAGGCAAGAGACATAAAAGAAATAATACAGAAAAAATTAAGGAAAAAAATGACAGATTTGACTAGATCAAAATTAAAAATTTCTCTACCACAAAAAAAAATATAGAAAATAAACATTTCTTAAAGGACATATTTGCAAAACATACAGCAGAAAAAAATTATAATAGCCAAACTGAATAAAGATGTTCTAAAAATCATTTTTAAAATAATTTAGTGTAAAAATCAACAAGAAAAATTAAGGAAATTCACTGGGCCAAAATACATGTGAAAAGATGTTCAAATTCAAATTCACCATTTTAGGAGAAACAACAAAAAGATTTAAATACTATTTATCATTTTTTCCCATCGAAAACGCAAAGATATCCATGATTAATGATGAAATAAACCCGACCAAATTTTGATGGAAGTGTAAGCTGGTACAGAGTTTTCGGAAGGGAAATTCAGGAATACATATCAATATTTAAATTGTTCTAGCAATTCCACTTCCAGGATCCATTCTACAGAAATACAAATGTGCACAAAGATTTTGTTTAGATAAATGTGAGAGTGTGATGGAGAGAGTGAGTGAAGATAGAGAAGGAAAAAAGAGGGAAAGGAAAGAAAAATAGAGGAATAAATTAGGAGATAATTATGGATATAGAAGTTCATTGCAGAATTATTTGTAATATAGAAAAAGAGTTGTCTTATTTCATTCAGGCTGCTATAACAAAATACCATAAATGGCATAGCTTATAAGCAGCATAAATTTACTTCTCACAGTACGGAAAGGTAATTCCAGGATCAAGGCACCCGCAGATTCACTATCTGGTGAGGGCCCCCTTCCTGGTTCATAGAGAGCCTTCTTTTCACAGTGTCCTCACATGGCAGAAAGGGTAAATGACTCCCTTGGTCCTCTTTTTTTTTTATTTTATTATTATTATACTTTAAGTTTTAGGGTACATGTGCACAATGTGCAGGTTAGTTACATATGTATACATGTGCCATGTTGGTGTGCTGCACCCATTAACTCGTCATTTAGCATTAGGTATCTCTCCTAATGCTATCCCTCCCCCCTCCCCCAACCCCACAACAGGCCCCGGTGTGTGATGTTCCCCTTCCTGTGTCCATGTGTTCTCATTGTTCAATTCCCATCTATGAGTGAGAACATGCAGTGTTTGGTTTTTTGTCCGTGCGATAGTTTGCTGAGAATGATGGTTTCCAGCTTCATCCATGTCCCTACAAAGGACATGAACTCATCATTCTTTATGGCTGCATAGTATTCCATGGTGTATATGTGCCACATTTTCTTAATCCAGTCTATCATTGTTGGACATTCAGGTTGGTTCCAAGTCTTTGCTAGAGTAAATAGTGCCACAATAAACATACGTGTGCATGTGTCTTTATAGCAGCATGATTTATAATCCTTTGGGTATATACCCAGTAATAGGATGGCTGGGTCAAATGGTATTTCTAGTTCTAGATCCCTGAGGAATCGCCACACTGACTTCCACAACGGTTGAACTAGTTTACAGTCACACCAACAGTGTAAAAGTGTTCCTATTTCTCCACATCCTCTCCAGCACCTGTTGTTTCCTGACTTTTTAATGATCGCCATTCTAACCGGTGTGAGATGGTATCTCATTGTGGTTTTGATTTGCATTTCTCTGATGGCCAGTGATGATGAGCATTTTTTCATATTCTTTTGGTTCCATAAATGTCTTCTTTTCAGAAGTGTCTGTTCATATCCTTTGCCAACTTTTTGATAAGGGCACCAATCCCATTCAGCAGGGCTCCAGTTTCATGACCTGATCTCCTCCCAAAGGTCCCACCTCCTAATACTATCACCCTGGGGGTTAAGATTTCAACATAAAAATTACAGACGGGGTGATTTTCAGTCCATAGCAATTGTAAACACCTTATATATGGCTATGGTTAAATAAATTATGGTATATTTATACCATGTTGATAGGTAGTTCTTAAAATGTATAGAGTAGACTGAAATGCACTAACAGGAAATGGTCGATAAGGCATATTGAGTGATGCAAGTTACATAACAATGAAACTAATTACATACACACATGCATGCACACACACAGATATGTAAATGAGTAAACTCATAGGAAAAGCTCTCAGAGAATCGACACTAAACATGTGGAGAGAGGCATGAATAGAGGCTGGGGATAGGGAGGGCAACAACATAAAGTAGATATTTCCTCTTTACATTACATATGTCTGTATTGTTTCAGTTTGCTAAAGTGTGTGGATTTCTTTTAGAACTAAAATTAAAATTTACTCTAACTAAAAAAATTATAATATGAATTGTTGCCTCTAAATTTTTGCTCCAGCCTTTTTCCATCTTCTGTGGTAGGTAAATTCCTATTTATCTTTCAGGGCTCAAATCATTTATCACAATATTTCTTGATATTTAAGTCATAGCTGCTCCAAAATTCAAATGTGAATATTAAGCTTCCTTAAATATGGGACACCTGGACACCTGGAAACCTCCCACCCATTCTACAAATACCCGGTATTAGCATCTCATCTCTGCTTCTATACTACTATGACATCACAGCACCTAACATTGTATTGCAGTCATTCCTTAGACCCATCAATGAACTTATTTTCTAGTCCTCTTAATAAAGAGAAATTTTCCTGCAGAAATGCAACTAAGAATAAAATGCAACTAAGAGAAGTCATCTCTGGCTTTCACCCTCTTTACCCAATAAGTGCCCCGGGAATGTGAGCCATTTCCATAATCCATAGGCACCTTGTGACATGTAAGGTTATTTTTAAATTTGTTTTCTCCTGTAAGAAAAGATTTTCATCCTAAAATTAGATTATGAATCTACTTCTAAAACCACTAATCAAACATAAGTTAAAGCTACTTAAATAAGGGAGAGAAAATGTTAGAGCTCTAAAACCGTTAGAAATAGGTCACCCAGAGCTTCAATAAAACTTCAGAAAAGGTTTCAGAAAAAAAAAGATATTCTCATTAAGGAGCTGTAAAGTAATCTTGCTATCAAACAGGGGAAAAGATCACATGTGCAAAAGCAGCAAAATATAGTCCATAAAGTCATTTAATGAAGCAGAAATTTGTATCTATGCCATATCTAATGCATTTCTTGAAAAAGCTCAGCATATTCACTAATTATGAGCCATATATTATACACAGTTATTATGGGTATTATTCAGCAACAGAAGATTTAAAGTTGGTTGTCTTCTCTACCATAGTTAGCAGAGAAATATTGGTACATATATGATCTGCTTAAATAGGTTAGAAAATAGGAGGGAATTTATTAACTAGCCTTTTAATTATGCAAACAGAGTTTCCATAATTTTAAACTGAATTCCATGACACCCACAGATTTCCCTATAATCTAGCTGTAAATAGTAATTACAGTGTTCATAGTAGAAAATACTATATTTTAGGTTGCAAAACAGACTCTATTATTATCTCCTATATTAAGTCATTTGATGACAGTCTAAAACTTTCCTGGTGGGGAGATTTTTATATTCGTTGGTAGTCATATCTGTCTTCACTTTCATAAAAACTGTAAGAAAAATTTGTCAGCCATTTTCAAATCAAAGGACAACGGAGAAGGAAATTTGCTGCTGAACTTTAAAACATTATATTTATCAGGTCCTCCGTGGGTTGCATAATCAGTTGAAGACTATGGATTAACAATCAAAGGGAGCTCAGACACTGACCTACATTACAGAAACCCTACACATACAACCAAAAATTCATCCTCCCCAATGAACTAAAAGCCTTCAGGGTAACCTGCTAGCTAAGCAGCACATGTCCCAGTATTACAGTGCAACATGACCAGGAAAAAAAATCATCCTGAAAGGCACCACAGTAAGGGTGAGAAAAACAGTAAGAGTCCTACATAACCCAGCATTAGTTTTCAGACCTAGGCAATAGGGCTTCAAGGCAATAATCACTGAACTACGGATTATGCAAAATTTAAATCTACACCTACTTTGGGAGCCACACTTGATGGGGCATTACATTCATCCTCAGGATGCTGAACACCCAAGTTGCCAAAATTAATTGAGCCTCATCAGAAGTAGGATAATTTCACTATCTTGAGCTTCACACCTGAATATTTCACAATCACTTCTACTTTGCCTGGGTGCAAAACTTCACTTCCCATATTGCCACCAAAATCTACTCTGCCTCCTGTGTTTCCTGTCTCAATGAACAGACCCTTCCTTCATCGAGCCAATTGATTGCACAAGACAGAAAACTAAGCATGGTCCTTGATAGTTCTCTCCCCTCACCTTGCACATCCAATCACCAAGTTCCTTTTCAGATTTCCTTTCATTCATCTTTCTTCATTCCTACTGCCCCCACCATAGTTCAGACCACGTAAACTACTTCACTGGATCTAAAGGTGGATGTAGAATAAAACTCATGAGTCTTAAGACCCCTTCTAGAGCTTCACATCTAATTTTGCATTCAAAATTTTGTATTTTTTTAAAAGGCCCCAAAATATGTAACCTATGAAACGTACACGATCTGTAACCTTTGCTGTCTAAATTGTTGCAACAGCCCCTATCTCCCAGCTTCCAATCTTGCCTGATTTTTATCTCTGTCTGTACTACAGACAAAGTGCTCCATCTAAAACATAAATATGACCATGTCCTCCTCTTGCTTAAAAACTTCTAATAGCTCCGTATTTCTCCTAGGATTTAGTCTCAACTCTTTATTATTGTTTACTTTTCATGTAGTCAACACACACTTTATGATCTACACACAACTTGAAGCCGCCGTTACAAAATTGTAACTGAAGCAGTGAAAGAGATCTGACCTAACCAATTCCATCTTGCCTCTAACCTCCAAGCTGTCCTGGGCGTAGGCTGAACTAACTTTGGGAGGAACTTAGTTTATAGTTTATAGTATAAAACAAAAATGATAATAGCCCTTTCCTAAAACAAACCTCCTTTTTGCCTGGGGATTAGACTGCCTTTGCAGGACTAACAAATTCTCCACAAGATTAGAAACTATGGTGCAGGAGTCATACAGCTGGAGGCTACAAGATTCTGACCCTCCCTAAACTGCTCCTAAGATAAGTGTGTGAAACATTTTGCAGACCCTGCACTTGAGAGATCAGCTGGTGCCACCCAGATCCATAAACTGGCTCATCTGCTCTTAGGAACTGACTCAGCACATAAAGACAGCTTCCACTCCCTATGACTTCATCTCTGACCTGAACCAATCAGCACTCCTGGCACTCCAGCACTCACTGGGACTTCCTGCCCACCAAGTTGTCCTTAAAAACTGATCCGTCTGGGCCAGGCGGCTCATACCTGTAATCCTAGCACTTTGGGAGGCAGAGGCGGGCGGATTGCCTGAGCTCAGGAGTTCGAGATCAGCCTGGGCAACACGGTGAAACCCCGTCTCTACTAAAATACAAAAAATTAGTCAGGCGTGGCAGCGTGCGCCTGTAGTACCAGCTACTCGGGAGGATGAGGCAAGAGAATTGCTTGAACCCGGGAGGCAGAGGTTGCAGTGAGCCGAGATTGCATCACTGCACTCCAGCCTGTGCGACGGCAAGACTCCGTCTCCCAAAAAAATAAAATAAAATAAAATAAACTCTGATCCCCAAATGTTCGGGATACTGACTTGAGTAATAATAAAACTCTGGTCTCCTGCACAGCCAGCTCTGCGTGAATTACTCTTTCTCTATTGTATTTCCCCTTTCTTGATAACTTGTCTCTGTCTAGGCAGCAGGTAAGGTGAACCCATTTGGGCAGTTACAAATTTAGCCAGCTACTCTACAGACCCTACATCACATTCTTTGGACACACAAATTTGTGTCCCCTGCCTTCCCCCATACTTCCCATTCTCTTAGCTCAAGAGACTGGAAGCCATGTGCTGTTTCCTATTAAATCGGCAGCCATACCACCACCATGTTGTCACTGAGTAGGCATTTCACAAATATTTATTGAAGGAATAAGTGAATGAATAATGAATGCACTCTGCATCACTGGTCCAAATCCAGGAATAGTGATCAGCAGCCCACAAGGGATCGATCTAGCAAGAAAAGGCACTGATTGATTCCTGGGAGTAAATTGCAGTTGATTTCCCATATTTATGAGTAATTATACTGGAAAGAATTTTAATAAATCATATCTCAGAGAGAACAGTCATTAAGTCCCACTCTAAGTTTCTCTCTTCCTTAGAAATATGCATGTCTTCCCAATATCCTATTGCTTTGAATATAATACCTGACATGCCAGATGTTTCTAAGCTGACATTGCCCTATCTATCAGACAAAGAGTATCTAATTCAGGGCCTAAATATAGGCGATTGCTTCTCTTTCTCCAACATACTATTTTTGGATAAGTATTTTTCTACTCATCCTGTTTCACCATGTAATCTGGCAAACTTCAAAGTTTTTTTTCTGTTCCTGTTAATTCTGGTGGTTAATTTTATGTGTCAATTTGACTGTGACATGGGGTGCCCAGAATAACCATTACTTCTGGGTGTGTCTGTAAGGGTGTTTGTAGATGAGATTAGCATTTGAATTGGTGGACTCAGTAAAGCACCCTGCACCCAATCATCCAATCTACTGAGGGCGAAACAGAATAAAAATGTGGAGAAGGGTGAATTCAGTCTCTGCCTGACTGAGTCTTCTCCTGCCCTCAACTGAGACTTATACTACAAGCACTCTGGTTCTCAGAACTACATCCCCAGCTCTCCTGGATCTTCCTCTTGCTGACACCCAATTGTGGGACTTCTCAGCCTCCCTAATTACATAAGCCAGTTCCTTAAGATAAATCATTTATCACACACACACACACACACACACACACATACACACATCCCCTATTGATTCTGTTTCTCTGCAAACTCCTAACTAATATACCTACCTCCTTCATATATATTCTTATCAGGTACCTAGGACAATATGTTTTTTTCCAAATTACCCCGACAATTACTTTCTATGTATCAATACTTACTTAGATTTTATTTCATGCTGAAATAAGCCTTCCAATAATTACAAAACAATACAAACTTTTTATATTCATTTATTTAAGAAATAGTCATTGAATACTTACTTTATGTACTGAACAGTATACTACAGGGTATATAAGATAATTTATATTGTACATTTATATTATCCTATATGTCTTTTTAATCTAGGGACATAATAAAATAATTTTATATCACTCAATAAATGATGTAGATCTTTTATATGGTCCTTGCATATTTCCTTATTAAATGTTCTAAATATACATAGATGAAAGATAGACTTTCAGATAGATACTTGAAGACTAGGATTTAGTTAGATTTGAATATTTTTTCATATACATGTTATTGAGATTTCACATACCTATACATACATTAAATTGACAGTTAAAATACAGTTTTTCATCACTGAATTGTTCTAGTTTTTAACAGTTCATAGGACAAGGCTTCCATCCATTACTTTTTTTGTCAATATTTTCTTAGCTCTTCTTGCTTTTTCTCTCTTCTAGGTGAATTTTAATAAGATTTCCTCAAGTTCCAGATAATCATATAATCTTGTGCAGAATTGCATCAAGCCCATAAGTTAATTTGTGAAGAATTGACATCTTGACCTTATATAGTAATCCACGATGATTATATTAATAATGATGATCTGGGACAATCTGCTGTTGTCTATGCTTATTCTTAGTTTATAGAAATATCTAGATATTACAAAATATTAGCATGAGTAATCTATCCATTTGATCATTGCTCAGTCAAAAACAAAGAAAAAATTATACTTTGTCAAAATTATTAATTATTAATTTTATATTCCTACCTCAAAAAACCATACCAGATATGCAATGGTGTCAAAATGTAATACAGTTCACTAGCTGGACAAAGACATCCTTATACAAAATTCAACAGAAGCAAGAACTTTCTGCTTTGCATTCTTTTCATGAAAGAGTGACTATCTTTTAGTACTCCACTCCCTAATCTAATAAAGGTCATCTACTTGCTCAATACCAGAATATAAAATATTTAAAGTTATGGATACAATAGTGTTTTAATTCAGAGAAATTATGAAAGAAAAGAATAAGCTTTGGACACAGAGAGGGGAACAACACACACTGGGGGCCTGTCCGGGGATGGGGGTCAAGTGGAGGGAGAGGTTTAGGACAAATATCTAATGCATGTGGGGCTTAAAACCTAGATGATGGCTGGGCACGGTGGCTCATGCCTGTAATCCCAGCACTTTGGGAGGCCGAGGCAGGTGGATCACCTGAGGTCAGAAGTTCAAGACCAGCCTGATTAACATGGTGAAACCCCGTCTCTACTAAATATATAAAACTTAGCTTGGCGTGGTTGCAGGTGCCTGTAATCCCAGCTACTCGGGAGGCTGAGGCAGGAGAATCGCGTGAACCCAGGAGGCAGAGGTTGCAGTGAGTCGAGATCACACCATTGCACTCCAGCCTGGACAACAAGAGTGAAATGTCGTCTCAAAAAAAAAAAAAAAAAAAAAAAACCTAGATGACAGTTTGATAGGTGCAGCAAACAACCGTGGCACATGTATACCTATGTAACAAACCTGCACGTTCTGCACATGTATCCCGGAACTTAAAATAAAATAAAATAAAACAAAGCAAAAAAAAAAATAAGCCATCCAGTGATATTAAGCAAAACCAGATAACAATAACAATTGTCTGCACTGCTGTAGTATCTTCCTGATTTTGAATCTATGCAAAGTGAGAAAGTGTAGCATATTGGTTTGTAAGTACCTTCACAGCAGAGATCTTCTCTTTATTTACCTCTTCTCTTTGCTTACATCTAGCACATGGCCAACAGTCAGAACTGGGGAATTTTTCAAAATAGGCTAGCTATAATTTTTAGGTCCTAAGTGGTATTTTTCTGAATATTCAAAGTGAAAAATATTGTAGTCCATAGCTTAATTTTTGATCAGTATACATATTCTACCGTAAGAATCTCTTTAAGGTCAGAATCTGTATCTTATTTATCTTTTTACCATCAACATGTAACACTGACCAAGCTTGCACACATTAAATTAAAATAGTGAGAACAATGGCATCATCTCTGAGAATGAAAGTAATAAGTAAATGTGTGTGTGTCTGTGTGTGTGTGTTTTATTGTATCCCAATACAGAGATACACATGACCAGTGTGATATCATGCTTTGGAAAGTGTGAAAATAATTGGCTTGGAATTAACAAAGTTACTGGCATTTTAAAAGGCCATGTGCTAGAGAAAAAGCGCAAAACTTTTACTAAGTTGTAGGATAAGCCCTTAATAATTATATCTACGCAAATTATCACATAGCTGTAGAAGCCAGAAGTTTTCTAAAACTAGTTGAGAAGCACTAGTTGACCTTTCCTATCTTCCTTAGAAGTGTGCCTTTATTAGCGTGTCCTTCAAAAACTGCAAACTGCACAGAGACAGGAAAACAGTGTTCTCCCAAGGAGTTAGAAAGGAAAGTAAATCACAGATGAGTCTAGCCTCTGACAGACTCACATAGGCCTTGTCCCTTGGAAACCTCTTCATTTTCTGCAGTCAACTCTAGAAAGCAGACAAAGAAAAAGATATTTGTAATTTTGACCTACACTTAAAAAATATGCTTAACAAACAGAAAGATGCTACAGTTCAGAGGAACATAAAAGTGTTAGCTTTGTAATCACCATACCAGAGGCACACGAGATTGCAAAAATGCCAATTTTGTCCATGAGAAACATGTGCAAGACCTTGCTGCAAGCCACCATCTGTATGTTCCTTACTGCAGCCTTTTCATGCTAAACCAATGGTTTGTGTTTGTAACAGTGTTTGGTATGGAAAGTAAAATAGCAAGACAAAAGAAACATGAAGGATGTCTGTTCCATGATGGAGCATCTCTCAGCTTTAGTCATGATTATATGTTAGCTAGCCATGTACAAGCTTTTCACAAAATTAATTATGCCAACAGGCACTGAAGTAGCCATGCTTTTCCATACAGACTAGAATCATTCTTGTGTTTTCGCAATGCCCATCAAGTTCTGCTATAAAATGAGGAAGCCTCTTTCCCGGGAAGCCTCCTTTCTTCATTCATATCACTCACTATCAAATGGAAGAGATGTCATTGTTGATTAAGTGCAGGTATTGAGAGCGATGCTAGGATAGAACCTTCTAGTCCATGGCATGGCAGAGAATGGTGGGAAGAACTATGAAAAGTAAGAATAACCTGCATCTCTCTGAATAAACCGCTTGATATATCTGCATTTACTTCTTTGTTTTCATCAAGGGTGTTTCATAATGTTTTTGTCCTAATCTCCTTAAGAAACAACAGTACTAAAATATTATTTAAGAAATTCATTCTATGTCTCGAATATGCTTAATAAAGTGGGGGAGAGGGAGTTATGTTCAGGAAATGTGACAATGTATAAAAAGATAGTCATAAAGAGTACAGATATATAGAAAAAGAGTCACATCTTCCTCAAGCCATAGTCTCACTTTTTTCCATAAAGCAAAGAGGACACAGGTGAATGAAAACATAGAAAAAAATGTAGTAGCCAGACAACTATCACCTGTCCAAGAGGATTATAGCTCTAAATGTGAAAATAAAAACAACAAAACTCCTGAGAGACCATGCAAGTCAGTATCTTCTAAATGATTTTGAGGTTAAGAAATATTTTCCAAACAAACAACAAAAAGCACTAATCAAAGGAGAAACTAATAAATTAGACTACATTAAAATTAAGAAGTTCCTTTCATTAAAAAAACAAGAGAGTGAAAAGGGAAGCCACAGTATTTGCAACACATATAATCAACAAAGGACTAATATGGAATAAAGTACTTCAAACTACCAATAAGAAAAATCCAGAACTCATTTGCAAAAGGTGGCAAGAGACTGAAAAAGGATTTTACAAAGCAGGATATCCAAATTTCCAACAAATATATTAAAGGGGGTTAAACTGGCTGGGCACAGTACCTCACATCTGTAATCCCAGCACTTTGGGAGGCCCAGGCAAGTGGATCACTTGAGGCCAGGAGTTCGAGACCAGCTTGGCCAAAATAGCAAAACCCCGTCTCTACTAAAAATACAAAAATTAACCAGGCATGGTTGCTCACACCTGTAATCCCAGCTACTCAGGAGGCTGAGGCAGGAGAATCACTTAAACTTGGGAGGTGGAGGTTGCAGTGAGCCGAGATTGCACCACTGCACACCAGCCTTGGTGAAAAAGCAAGACTTCATCTAAAAAAAAAAAAAAAGTGGTGTGATTAAACCTCGTTAGTAGCCGAGGAAAGATAAAGACATACCACTACAAACCCATCAGAATTCAAATAACTGAAAATACTAAGATTTGGCTAGTCTTAGGAACAACAAGCAGTCACACACTATTGACAGAATGGAAAAGTATTTGGGATATCTGCTTTGTATTGTCTCCTCAAGTTAAAGATACCACATCTAGTGACCCAGCAACTTCATACCTAGTATAGACTAAATATGTATACATACTAACCAAAAGACAAGGTCAAGAATATTCATAGAAACATTATTAGTAATAGGTGAAAACTGAAAGCAATTGAAATGTCCATCAACTGTAAAATAAATAAATTGTGGTACATTCGTATAATGAAACACACTACTGCCGTTAATATGAACTACACCCACGTGCAATAACATCCATGAATCTCACAAACATAATTTCGCAAAAGAAGCCAGGCACAAGGGAATACATTTCATATAACTCCATTTACATAAAGCTTTAAAAAGTAGGCAAAACAGTTCTATAGTGTTAGAAATCCAAACAGTGGTTACTTCTGGGGAAAAAGGAGGGTTTAGTGATTAGGCGTGGACATAAATGGCTTCCAGGGTGCTGGCCCCATGTTCTATTTCTTGAGTAAGAAAGTGGTTTCACAAGTGAGTTTATTTTGAGATAGTTAATTCAGTTGAACATTTATTTCTGCACTTTTCTGTGTGTGTTACACTTCAATTGAGAGGTTTTCTCTTTATTAAGCAGCCAGATATAGTCTTTCTTTGGAGAATTAAAAACGAAAAAACAAACAAACAAAAAAAGTTACTAGTATACTCAATTTCTATCAAATGCCAAGCCCTTTATCAAAATAAGCTAATCTTTTTTTAGAAGATTAAGTCCATATGATTGTCCTTTTAAAATTAAGATTGACCCAGTTATTAAGATGAGTAAAGTAAGACATTGAGTGATGTATCCAAAATTTAAAGGTCAATAAATTCCAGGCCTAGGGTACAAGTACTAGGTCCTACTATTACAAGCCCACTACCATTTCTGTCATTACACAAGTGCTTTGAAGTTTAAAGCATAGTTTTGCTTCACATCTTCAATCCACCAAGAAATTGTATGTAACAGGATAGATATGCTAGCCTCATTGTGCTGCCAGGAAATTATCTGTGCTAGAAGGCGTCTGTTGCTGAAATCACCCCTCCTGAAAAGCCTCGGGGCATCTACCATGCCTACAGGCCCCTTCTGAGGGCAGCCATGTTCAAAGGACTCTGGGCTGTGGATAACATGACCCTGTGACCTGGTCTCTGCCATATTACAGTGGTTAAAGGCAAGGGATTTGAAGTTAAACAGAGCTAAGTTTGAGTCCCAGCTCTGCCAGTATTTAGCTTCTCTGAGTCTTTGTTTCCGTATCTTTAAAACAGGGATAAGAATAATAACTGCTTCCCAGGGCTGAGATGAGCAGTAATCTGAATTCTAGACATTGAGTTAAATGACAGATACCGTTCTTGGTAGAGTTTTTGGTTTTTGTCATTGTTCTAATGCACATACACAACAGTGGCCTCTGAGGTAAGCCTGACATGAGATTGCAGTGGCACTCTCTCCTACCTGAAGACCCATCAGTGCAACCACACATTCTCTGTGGCAGAGGTGATAGTGAGATGTGGAGACAGCTAGAAGTCAGTGAGAGTACAAATTGAAAATCCATATTAAGGAGGAAGAGTCCCTAAAGTGATAGGAGCCAAGTAGGCAGAGGCCAAGGTCAATAGAGGACAGTTTGCTGGCAGCATGAGCAAGAAACTGAGAGACTTAGGTAACAGGCAGGGTGCAAAAATAGTGAGCAATGGGCAGTGTTTCTGAAGGAGACATTTTCAGACTCACTGTAATCAGAGCTGCTGGGTGGAAAGTGTAGCTTACTAACGGACAGGGAATGAAGCTGAGGTTCTCTTTGAAGCCTCTTCTGTAGCTACTTAAAGCAACCTCAGCCCTCTTCCCATAACATGACCAAGCTGAGCACATCACTGTTCCCCGTGCCCAAAAGCTCTTTAACATCTGAAATACCCATTAGGAGAGAAAGTTAAAGGGTCTGTCCCAAAACCAAATAAGTAGACAAGAGCTAGATTAAGCCAATGGATAAAGGTTCAAGCTGATTCAAGAAAACACTTAACTTTTACTTAATGAGTGTTATTTGTAATCTTCTTAAACTTGTCCATCACAGACTGATTATTCAGTGAACAAATTATTTCTAAATCTAAAGAATAGTTAATAGAATCTTCTTAGTGATTCACACAGAGAAAACGTCTCAAACTGATCCACTCCACCAGAAACCAAGGCATTGCTTACAAGTCCCCAAATGGAAAACACAACCACAAGAGGAAATAGTCTTCAAACTCTACTCAAAGACAAACCAATTTGAAAAGTGGCAATATGTATCCCACATGCTAAAAGATCTAGACTTAGACCACGAATTTGGCTTCAAGCATAATATGATTACCACATTAATTATTTATGTTTTGTTTATACTAGAAAAACTCATGAAAAATAGAGATAAACAGTTTTATACATAAGGAAAACACCAGAATATCTAGAAGCCATTACTACCACATAAGGTAATGTTTAACTCTTAGGGGCTAAAGTTTTGAATAGATATTTCCTTAGGCTCCTATTTAAGTTAATATTTAAACTATTTGAGTTCCTTTGGCTTTCTTCCTCATCAAATAGAAGTTGAGGACATCTAGTAGGTAGACATCCAGAAAAAGGTGATCTGCAAGGTTATTTGAATAACTGGAGGTTAAATGTATATTGTGTCACTATTTTCAAAGTGAATATTATAAATTCCTTTCTAGGTGTTTTCTTAGATGCATTTTACCATTATGAACACTATTTGACTACTAATAATTTGAAGTTCACATGAAAAAAACTTTATCTGCTATGATTCAAAAAGAAATAGCAACTAGGTTGTAAACAAGGGCCATGTTCATCTTGCTGCATTTAGAATAATGTAGCAGTGCCTATAACAAGTAAACAGTGGACAGCCTTGGTTCTGCTGGATTTAGATTAACCTTTACAAGCAATACAGAATTAGATTATGAAAATAAATTGAAAATGGCATCTCCTTAGACTCACTTTGTACTCTGCATTTTCTTAAGCTTTTATGTCACTGTCAAATATTAGTTCAGGGCTCCATTCATATTTATAACATTTTATCTTTTTTTTTTCCTGAAAAGATAAGCACCAGTCTTCAGAGAAATATTCTGACTACTGGATACAAAAAAAAAATCTTTCTTGAATGGTTAATGTTTCAAATATGAGCACAGATACCAGATGGCAAAAAGGGCAAAAAAGAATTCAAGTTGTTTCATTGTTCAATGATAAGGATTCCTCCATCTGCTGACTCAGTACTAACTTGGTTTGCACTCTCTCAGAGCCAATACAATTAAAATTCTATTTGAAGTGAAAAGTTTCAGAAAAAAATTAGAAACCTCAGAAATCACAGAAATACAAACTACCATCAGAGAATACTACAAACACCTTTACACAAATAAACTAGAAAATCTAGAAGAAATGGATAGATTCCTCGACACATACACTCTCCCAAGACTAAACAAGGAAGAAGTTGAATCTCTGAATAGACCAATAACAGGATCTGAAATTGTGGCAATAATCAATAGCTTACCAACCAAAAAGAGTCCAGGACCAGATGGATTCACAGCCGAATTCTACCAGAGGTACAAGGAGGAACTGGTACCATTCCTTCTGAAACTATTCCAATCAATAGAAAAAGAGGGAATCCTCCCTAACTCATTTTATGAGGCCAGCATCATCCTGATACCAAAGCCGGGCAGAGACACAACCAAAAAAGACAATTTTAGACCAATATCCTTGATGAACATTGATGCAAAAATCCTCAATAAAATACTGGTAAACCAAATCCAGCAGCACATCAAAAAGCTTATCCACCATGATCAAGTGGGCTTCATCCCTGGGATGCAAGGCTGGTTCAATATATGCAAATCAATAAATGTAATCCAGCATAAAAACAGAACCAAAGACAAAAACCACACGATTATCTCAACAGATGCAGAAAAGGCCTTTGACAAAATTCAACAACGCTTCATGCTAAAAACTCTCAATAAATTACGTATTGATGGGATGTATCTCAAAATAATAAGAGCTATCTGTGACAAACCCACAGCCAATATCATACTGAATGGGCAAAAACTGGAAGCATTCCCTTTGAAAACGGGCACAAGACAGGGATGCCCTCTCTCACCACTCCTATTCAACATAGTGTTGGAAGTTCTGGCCAGGGCAATTAGGCAGGAGAAGGAAATAAAGGGTATTCAATTAGGAAAAGAGGAAGTCAAATTGTCCCTGTTTGCAGACGACATGATTGTATATCTAGAAAACCCCATTGTCTCAGCCCAAAATCTCCTTAAGCTGATAACTTCAGCAAAGTCTCAGGATACAAAATCAATGTGCAAAAATCACAAGCATTCTTATACACCAATAACAGACAAACAGAGAGCCAAATCATGAGTGAACTCCCATTCACAATTGCTTCAAAGAGAATAAAATACCTAGGAATCCAACTAACAAGGGATGTGAAGGACCTCTTCAAGGAGAACTACAAACCACTGCTCAATCAAATAAAAGAGGATACAAACAAATGGAAGAACATTCCATGCTCTTGGGTAGGAAGAATCAATATCATGAAAATGGCCATACTGCCCAAGGTAATTTATAGATTCAATGCCATCCCCATCAAGCTACCAATGCCTTTCTTCACAGAATTAGAAAAAACTACTTTAAAGTTCATATGGAACCAAAAAATAGCCCGCATTGCCAAGTCAATCCTAAGCCAAAAGAACAAAGCTGGAGGCATCACGCTACCTGACTTCAAACTATACTACAAGGCTACAGTAACCAAAACAGCATGGTACTGGTGCCAAAACAGAGATATACATCAATGGAACAGAACAGAGCCCTCAGAAATAACGCCACATATCTACAACTATCTGATCTTTGACAAACCTGAGAAAAACAAGCTATGGGGAAAGGACTCCCCATTTAATAAATGGTACTAGGAAAACTGGCTAGCCATATGTAGAAAGCTGAAACTGGATCCCTTCCTTACACCTTATACAAAAATTAATTCAAGATGGATTAAATACTTAAACGTTAGACCTAAAACCATAAAAACCCTAGAAGAAAACCTAGGCATTACCATTCAGGACATAGGCATGGGCAAGGACTTCATGTCTAAAACACCAAAAGCAATGGGAACAAAACCCAAAATTGACAAATGGGATCTAATTAAACTAAAGAGCTTCTGCACAGCAAAAGAAACTACCATCAGAGTGAACAGGCAACCTACAAAATGGGAGAACATTTTCGCAACCTACTCATCTGACAAAGGGCTAATATCCAGAATCTACAAAGAACTCAAACAAATTTACAAGAAAAAAATTAAACAACCACATCAAAAAGTGGGCCAAGGATATGAACAGACACTTCTCAAAAGAAGACATTTATGCAGCCGAAAGACACATGAAAAAATGCTCATCATCACTGGCCATCAGAGAAATGCAAATCAAAACCACAATGAGATACCATCTCACACCAGTTAGAATGGCGATCATTAAAAAGTCAGGAAACAACAGGTGCTGGAGAGGATGTGGAGAAATAGGAACACTTTTACACTGTTGGCAGGACTATAAACTAGTTCAACCATTGTGGAAGTCAGTGTGGCGATTCCTCAGGGATCTAGAACTAGAAATACCATTTGACCCAGCCATCCCATTACTGGGTATATATCCAAACGACTATAAATCATGCTGCTATAAAGACACATGCACACGTATGTTTATTGTGACACTATTCACAATAGCAAAGACTTGGAACCAACCCAAATGTCCAACAATGATAGACTGGATTAAGAAAATGTGGCACATATACACCATGGAATACTATGCAGCCATAAAAAAGGATGATTTCACGTCCTTTGTAGGGACATGGATGAAATTGGAAATCATCATTCTCAGTAAACTATCGCAAGGACAAAAAACCAAACACCGCATGTTCTCACTCATAGATGGGAATTGAACAATGAGAACACATGGACACAGGAAGGGGACCATCACACTCTGGGGACTGTTGTGGTGTGGGGGGACGGGGGAGGGATAGCATTAGGAGAGATACCTAATGCTAAATGACGAGTTAATGGGTGCAGCACACCAGCATGGCACATGTATACATATGTAACTAACCGGCACATTGTGCACATGTACCCTAAAATTTAAAGTATAATAAAAAAAAAAAAGAAACCTGAGAAATCTTTTCATAGGTTATACCCATCCCTTAAATAGCTAAGGTTTTATGTGTACAAATCCAAGTGCATGACAACATTAAGATAGAAAATACCTTTTGAAAAATTCTAAAGACACATTTATTTAAGTAATAATGAAGACTATTTTATGTGATTAAAATATAAGTGAACATCCGCAAGAAGTTAGAGTCATGGTGAAATAAAATGTATCTAAAGTAATGATATACTGGGGTAACCATCACAAAGGGTGAAATGGGAGACTACTGGTAAGTGAATAATATGGCAGCCATTGACAAAGGAAAAAGTTTAAATGGCTGATACACTGAGATCAAATGGCAAGTAATGAGGAGAATGGAAGAGCAATGACTAGCAACCACAGCTTAGAGGACAGCAGAAGGCTTATACACTAAATTAGGCCTAAAGAGGAGAAGTAGCTAGAAACAAATAGAATTCATGAGAACAAGACTCAAGTAAGAATCATGAACAAGAGAGTCCTAGGATCCCTCCAAGCAAGTTGACGCCTAATACAACACTTTCCCCATGATACTTTCACAGAAAGAGTTCCTACTCAAAATAAAATATGCATAATATTAAAAAGGAATTTTCCACGGTTACCTTCCCTTTTTTTTTTTTTTTTTTTGAAAACACTACCCAGTTTAGGGCATCTCTTTAATATTTAAAAGTTCCTCAAAAGATCATAACTTCTGTATTCCTGATGCCTACTACCTAGTATATGATTAATGTTCTACAAATATTTCTGGGTTTTTTCCCCAGCTTTATTGAAGTATAACTGGCAAATTAAAATTATTTCTGTCTATATATATGTAAGGTATATATGATGTTTTGATAGACATATGTAATTTGTGATATGCATTACCACAATCAAGCTAAAGAACATATCCGTCACCTCGCATAATTACTGGTTTTTGTTTGTTTTTTTTTTTTTTTTTTTTTTTTTTTTGTGTGTGTGTGTGTGTGTGTGTGTGTGTGTGTTGAGAACATTGAAGATCTACTCTCTTAACAGGTAAAAGATAAAGGCGGCCAGGCGTGGTGGCTCACACCTGTAATCCCAGCACTTTGGGAGGCCGAGGTGGGTGGATCACCTGAGGTCAGGAGTTTGAGACCAACCTGGCCAACATGGTGAAACCCCATCTCTACCAGAATACAAAAATTAACCAGGCATGGTGGCGGGCACCTGAAATCCAAGCTACTCAGGAGGCTGAGGCACGAGAATCACTTGAACCCCGGGGGCAGAGGTTGCAGTGAGCCAAGATCACACCACTGCACTCCAGCCTTGATGACAGAGTGAGACTCTGTCTCAGAAAAAAAAAAAAAAAAGATAAAGACAAGGTAAAGCGATAAAGGGTTATTTACTGGGTACTTTTTAGGTGGTCAGGAAAGTGGAAAGTTGACTGTAAAAGCTGAAATATGATGGAAGGCAAGCAGCAAGTCACTATATGTGGACAAACATCTCACAGGGTCCAGCAAGGGAAGAGGCTCTGAGGCTAACACGTGAAGATACTCTTCAGGAGTCTTTTGATTAGGAAAAAATAGAAAGATTTTAAATAAGATGAATGTTTAATGTCTATTCATTATTCTTCATCAACAGGAAAAATATACACACTTATATATTCATACTTTAATAAAAAGAGTGTCTGTCTCAAAATAAACCAAAGTAAAATAGGAGTTCTCTCTTTCCCTCTCTCTCTCTCAATCTCCCTCCCTCTCTCCCCCTCTGACAGACATTTTGATTTTCAGTCTGGATGATCTGTTAATTGTTGAATGTGTGTGTGTGTATACATATATATATAGAGAGAGAGAGAGAGAAAGATACACACACACATATATAATGTAGGTTAATCACATTTGTTTTTTGATAGAGGTTTACCTCCCATGCTTGGGATCTATAACATATGCCTTAACAACATTATTTCTAGTCAAGTAAAATAAGTTTCTGATACATTTCATATATTAGATTATATTCCAACAATGCAACAAAGTAATATTATCTTCATTCATAGATGAGAAAAACTGAAACTCAGAGGAAATGTGTTACTTGCTTAAGATCACATGATGGGAAATGATAGAATTCAGGTCTGAACCTGGGTGTCTTGACCCAAAATCTTAGGCTTTTCCCCATTGACACACTTAATACTAAAATGGTGCTATCTTTGATGTTTAGGGTATTTCCACCCAAAATTATTTTCTATATTTAAATAAATCAATTAATATTATTAAAATAATTTTATATATTTAAAATATATAGGTTTTTAATGTTCTTTTGATTTTATCTTTGACCCATTGATTGTTCAGGAATGTATTATTTAATTTACAAATATTTGTGAATTTTTCCATTTTCCTACCACTGTTGATTTTAAATTGCACACTGTTGTGGTCAGAAAAGATATTTGATAGGATTTCAATCTTCTTAAATTTATTAAGACTTGGTTCATAGCCTCACATGTGATCTGTCCTGGAAAATGATCTGTGTGCACTTGAAAAAAAATGTGTATTCTGCTGCTATTGGTTGGTATGTTCTATAAATACTTGTTAGGTCCATTTGGTCTATAGTGTTGTTCAAGTCTGTTGTTTCCTTACTGATTTTCAGTCTAGGCAACCTGTACACTGTTGAAAGTAGTACATTAAAGTCCCCTACTATTATTTTATTGTCTATCTCTCCCTTCAGATCTATTAATATTTGTTTTATATATTTAGGTGCTCTGATGTTGGGTGAATATTATTTATAATTGCTATATCCTATTGTTTAATTGACCCTTTTATTTTTAAATAATAACCTTCTTTGTTTATTTTGACAGTTTTGACTTACAGTCCATTTTGTTCAACATAAGTATAGCCACTCCTGCTCTTTTTTGGTTACTATTTGCCTAGAATATCTTTTCTCATCTCTTCACTTTAATTCTGTATGTGTTTCTAAAGTAAAACTGACTCCATTCTAGGCAGTATAGAATTACATCAAGGTTTATTTTTTTTAAGCTGTTCAACCACTTTATGTCATTTACTGGAAAACTTAATGCACTTACGTTTTAAGTGATTATTGATAATAAGGACTTATTATTGCCATTTTATTCATTGTTTCCTTACTGTTTTGTAGTTTCTTTATTCCTTTCTTCCTCTCATAGTCTTCCTTTGTAACTTGATGATTTTTTGGTAGTGGTATGCTTTGATTCCTTTTTCTTTATCTTTTCTGGACCTGTAACAGGTAATTTTCTCTGTGGTTACCACAGGGCTTACATAAAATATCTTTTTCAGTTATAATAGTCTATTTAATCTAACAACTTAACTTCAATTACATACAAAAATTCTACACTTTTACTTTTCCTCTCCTCACTTTTTATGTTATTAAGATCACAGGTTATCTTTTTTATATTGTGCTTTCTTTAACAAATTGTTATGGCTAAAGTTATTTTTGATAATTTTGTATCTTAACTCTTATGCTAGTGTTAAAGGTAATTTATATGCCACCATAATAGTACTAGGGTCTTCTGACCCTAGTACTATTGATAGTACTAGAGTCTGACCCTTTGATGATATTCTTACCTTTACAGTGATTTCTATACTTTCATATGTTTTTATGTTCTTAGCTAGTGTACTGTTTTTCAATTGAAGGAACTCCCTTTACCGTTTCTTGTAAGGCTCATCTAGTGACGATGAACTCCCTTAGCTTTCGTTTGTCTGGGAAGATCTTTATAATTCCCACATTTCTGAAGGATAACTTTGCCACGTATAATATTCTTGATTGAAAGGTTTTTTGTTGTTTTCTTTCCAACACTGTGTATATTATGTCCCACTCCCCCTTGGTCTGCGAGGTTTCTGCAAAAAAAAAGTCTGCTGATAGTCTTATAAGGGAAGGTAGTTTCCCTTGTATGTGATAAAAGGCTTTTCTCTTGCTGCTTTCAAAATTCTCTTTGACTTCTTTTTTTATTTTATTGAATATTGATAAATTACAATTGTAGGTATTTATGGGCTCCAATGTGATGCTATGATATATGTATGGAATGTGGAATGATTAAATCAAGTTAATTAACATATTCAACACCTTAAATATTTATCATTTATTCATACTGTCTAACTGAAACATTATGCCTTTTGACCAATATCTCCCCAGTCCCCCTTCCTCGGCCTCTGAAAACCACAATTCTGCTTCTTCCATTAGTCTGGTTGTTTTAGATTTCATATAGAAGTGAGAATATATGGTATTTGTTTTTCTGTGCCCAGCTTGTTTCACTTAGATGAATGCCCTCCAGGTTTATCCATGTTGCTGCAAACATACATACAAATGGCCAACAGATATATGAAAATATGTTCAACATCACTAATCATTAGAGTAGTGCAAATTAAAATCAGAATTAGATATCACTGCATACCTTGTAGAACGACTATTATAAAAGAGATGAAAGATAACCAGTGTTTGCAAAGATAGGCAGAAAAAGGAATCCCTTGTATATTGTTGGTGGAAATGTAAATTAGTACAGCCATTATGGAAAACTGTATGAAGGCTTCTCAAAAACTAAAAATAGAATTACCATATGATCCAGCAATCCCACTTCTGGGATTTCCAAAGGATCTGAAATCAGTATGTCAAAGAAGTATCTGCACTCTCAGATTGCAGATATCTCATATTACAGCAGTATTCACAACTGTCAAGTTATGGAATCAATGTAAATGCCCATCAACAAATAAAGAAAATGTGGTATATATATATATATATATATATGTGTGTGTACACACACAATAGAAACTATTCTGCCTTGTAAAAAATAGAGATTCTGTCTTTAATTTAATAATTTGATTATAATGTGTTTAAGTGAATATCTTTTTACGTCTAATCTAAATATACGTTTATGTTCCATGTTTACTTTTGGGCTTCATGGATCTGGATGTTCATTTTCCTCTCCAGCTTTGGAAAGTTTTCTATCATTATTTCCTTAAATAAGCTTTCCTCTCTTTCATCCTTGTCTTCTCCTTCTGAAAATTTCATAATGTATATGTTTGCTTAATGGTGCCCCATAGTCCCATTGTCTTTCTTGTTTTAAAATTGTTCCTCTGACTAGATATTCTCAAATGACCTATCTTTAAGCTCACCAATTCTTTCTTCTGCTTGATCAAGTCTGCTGTTTAGGCTCTCTGTAGAAATTTGCAGTTCAATTATGTGTTCTTCAACCCTAGTATTTCTGTTTGGTTCTTTTCTATGGTTTCTATTTTTCTATTGAACTTCCCATTTTGTTCATATATTTTTAATCTGATTTTTGTTTAGTTGCCTATCTGTGTTCTCTTGTAGTTCACTGAGCTTCTCCAAGATAATCATTTTGAATTCTTTATCTAGCAGTTCATATACTTCTATTTATTTAGGGTCAGTTACTGGCAATTTATTTTGTGCCTTTGGTGGTGTCATGTTTCCCTGATTATTCATGATCGTTTTGGCCTTGTGTTGGTGTCTATGCAGTTAAAGAAATAGGCACTGTTTCTAGTCTTTACAGACTGGCTTTAAAAGGAAAAACACTTCACCAGTTGGCTCAACCAGAAATTCTGGGCAGCTCCGCTCTGAGGTTCCATAGACAGGCTGGCTACTGAAGTCACCAGAACAGCTGGCTTGATGCTTCAGTCAGAGGGCAGACAGGTGTGGCACCTGGGTTTGTGACATTTGGCCTGGAATCTGGGATGACAGAGCCTGGTCTGGCACTGGGGCAGGGCTGGCGCTTAGATTTGCAGGAGCCAGCCTGAAGCCTAGGTCCATGGGTACTGGTCCAGTGCCTGGAGCCATGGTAGCTATCATACAGCATGAGTCCATAGGGGCAGGCCTGAAGACTGAGGCTTTGAGAGCCAGCTTAGCACTGGGACAAGCCTAAAACCTGGGTCTGTGGGGGCAAGTCTGGTGCTGAGGTTCACTGGGGCTGACCTGGTGCTGTAGCCTATGATGAAGTCTTGTGCTTATGTAACTGTTTTCCCAACCTGAAGATTATCTCTCTCTCTCTCTCTCTCTCTCTCTCTCTCTATATATATATATATATTATATATATAAAATATATATATAATATATATGTATATATATAAAATATATATTATATATAAAATATATATATATTATATATAAAATATATATATTATATATAAAATATATATATATTATATATAAAATATATATATATTATATATAAAATATATATATACTGTGCTGTGTGGGCTTGGGAGAGAAGTGATGCAAGCAATATGCAACAATCCTTTCTACCTTCTTCAAAGTGCCTTTTCTTATTTCTGTGTTCCACCCAGGTACTGTAATTCTCACTTTGATTCCTTAGCTCTTGCAAAGGTATTTGTGCATGAATGGTTATTAAAATTGATGTTTCTGTGAATGAGCAAGCACTGGAGACTCCTATCGCACCATTTTCAATGAGTGTCTTCTTCAGTCAATATTTCTCTGTTATTATATATTTCCTTCAATCAGGATAAGCTTATTAAGATCAAAAAATTATTTCTTTATCCTTTTTTGTGAACAGTTTACAATAGTGTCAAACCTCAATTTTCTCCATAATAAGTGATGACAAATATGATGAATGAAAGACAATATTTCCTCCAAGTATATAGCAGTTATCTCTGTTTCCTTCTTTGCTTCTTTACTACTAGTACAATGGTCTCCAAAGAGAGAAGTATGTGGCCTAGAGGTTGGCAAGGTGAACCATCAAAGCCCAGGAAGAAAATATTAGAATTTCTATTTCTATTTATTTTTTCATCTAATCCCTTCGAACATCTAAATTTTGCACATGCTTACATTATATATTAACCCATTAATATGCAAATACAATTTATAAATAAATAAGTATATTTGCCCTGTGAAGAACTGAGGACACAATTTAGAAAGTTTGGAAACCATTGTACTAAACAGCTAACATACTAAATCCTTGCCACAAAATAAGAATGAAAAAATCATTTACCAAATTTACCATGTTACTATACTTTTTAAGTTCTAATTACTTTTTACATATTAAATTATAATGTGTTAAATAATATGGTTTGAAGTGCCAAGTGCCACTTAGACACAAAGCACTCAATCAATAAATGCTGTAAGCCAACAATATTTTTTTAAATAAATGAATGAACATTCTACCAAGACTGGAAAACACTGTGGTAAACTGAGCTCTCAATAACTTGGTATGTTGAGGAGCTCCATGGAAAAAGGGATCCAAGTTCAATTACTTATTTTGTAAATGCTGCATACTATATTACACTCTTTCAGATTCACAGTAAAGATGAGTATGCTAAAGGCTCTGGGAAATCCTGCAAGTTACAGGTAACTTTAACTTTGTTTATTCCAACATTTCCCATTTCCACATTGTTTTGTTTTGTTTGTTTGTTTGTTTGTTTGTTTTTGTCCGCAGCACTTCTTCCCCATTCATAATGTCCACTAACTACTTACAGGGAACAGTGTTCCTAAGAATGCACTTGGTGAAATTCTGTTTTAATGAGATTTCATCTAAAAACTGAAGGCTCAGCTGAACATAGAAGCATTCTTATTGGTTGCATATGAAGCTAAGGGATAACTGAAGCCATTGTACATAGATTTCTGTATTATGCAATGTCATTAGCAATGACCTAGATTGTGGGTATAGCAAGGATGCACCTTAAGCTTCCTACTGAAATCTAAGTCTGAACTTTACAAACATGTTATTTCGTTGGGTATATTTTTATCTCAGATATTTAGCTAATTTATGTATACAGAGACTACCTGATTTGAAGGGAGGAATTATCATTTTTATAAAAAGGGGACAAGAAAAGAGGAAAAGGCCTATTTAACTAAAGTCTTTGCTTTGTGTCAAGCTTCATGCTAAAAATTTTAACTTTTTAAAATATTTAAATCTCCCAGCAATTGTATTGGCTATATATTTTGTTCCCTCTTACCAAGGAGGAAGCTGAGATTCAGAGAAGCATAAACTCATAATTACAAGAGCCTAAAGTGATAATGCAGGTTATCATCCAAATTAGGATACTTTTGAGAATGTCCCATAATTATTCTGGGACTTTTTTAGCTTAAATTGCTCTATTCCAACCTTTCTTAAAGAGACATGGTTTGAACTCGGGTCTCCCAAACATCTCCTCATTTCATTATAGCTTGTTGCTTGAGATATGAATGGAATTTAAGATGTCAAGAGAAATCACCCATCAATGATAAGAAAAAACTTTACAAGACTGCTTTTAAAATGTTTTTAACTGCAAAATAGAAAAGAAAAAAGAATGGTCAAAACATAAATTGTATCTTTCACCAATGCAGAGCTGCCTTTAAAAAATTCTAACATAATACTAGGTATATCCTAACAGATGTATGATAAGAAATGGCTGGGAATAATCCTTTATCTTAGATCTAACATCACCCAGAATCTTTTTAAAATATTATATTGCTTGGTGCTTATTTTACCACTTACAAGGAATATATCAAGAAACTAGGAGAAAAATCCAGAAAATAGCAACTGAAATGGTTTAAAGCATTGTAACATAGAAGTTATGAAAAAAATGAGATAGGATTATTTAGTCCAAAATGAAAAGTCAAAGGAGTAACTTTAAAATTGCCTTCAAGTGAATTAAAAATTGCCAAAAGAGGTCTTCATGTCCCTAAGGATAAAACAAGAGTCTAAGATTTAATTACACACTGTGAGATTCAGCGTGTGGAATTAAGTCTTGTTGATAAAAACTATTCAATAACACAACAAGTAACAAGGGGGCATCCCCCAGACTCTTTTACATAAAAGAACAAGTCACCCGCAAACATACCTTGACAATTGCTTTTCTTGAAGGCAGAGAAATAGAAATATTAATCACCTCTTGTCATACAAGTCCTATGATTCATTGCTCTGATTTTCCTGTTCTTAATATTTATGCCTGATATAAATAATTGATCATTCAACATTCCCCACTAATAAAGTTCAAACTTCTTATGATGTCACAGAAATGTTTTATCATATCTCTGTCTACTCTACCAGCATAATAACTTTTCACTCCCTCAGCATATCATGCCTTCTGTCATACTAGAGAAAAAAAACCGCAAGGAGCACTCCAAAACCACAATGTCCTAACAGTTCTTTGTCTTTACACATGCTATTTCCTCTGAACAGGATGCACTTCTTTCCTCCTGACCACTCAGTCCATCCTCCCACCTCTTCCCAAGCCCTCAATTCATTCTACAAACCAGTATCATTCTTGAAAATAAAACTCAAATGTCTCCTCAGCTGTTTAAACAGGTGAGTCTTTCCTGTCTGTCTTTAGTCTCAACAGACAAATTTAACTTCTTTCTGTGCTTTCAAAGTACATTTTTCCCACCTTCATTATGGCACATATCACATTATTATTAAAACTCTTTATTTGCCTGGCATCCTGAGTAGACTGTGAACTCTCTATTGGCTACCGGATGGGAGAGAAGGGGCAAAAACAAGATGCCATTTGGCTTTATTCTTTTTGCTTCTCAGTTACCTAGCACATAGTAGGTTGCAAAATTTTTGCATTGAATTAATGAAGCAATTAATTACCTTTTGAGTGCAAAGAAATATTAAACATTCAAATTGTTGCTGTGGAAACCATATCTAGGGATTTCTATTGGTCTTTAAATTCAATTGATTTAGACTTGTTTTCCAAGTTTCTTCTGAAAGCATTTTTACCTTCAAACGATAGAATCAATAATGTATGTTTAAACTCTCTGGAGCAAACATGTGTGTCTGATCCACTTTATCAAACCCAGCAAAATACCCAGGACTCCAAAGGTAAAAATAGTGAAGAGCCTATCTGTATAAAAGGATGGTTAGAAAGTGTAAATCATCTCATCAAATCAGTTCCAGAAAAAGCTTCTGGGAGGTACACAGGCATCCAGATCCCCCTTCAGCTTGATTTGTATATGAATAAGGACAGCAGGGTTTTCCATGAGGAAAAATAGTACAGTGAAATATTTTATTTATTATTAATATAGACATAAAGGAATATCAGACATCTTAAATACAACTGCTCTCTTGTTGCCATTTGTGAGATGTTTGCTCTTTGATGTAAAGTTAATTTATTTCTCTACATTTGCAACATTTGTTAAAGCATTTACATCTTGAAGAAAATGAATAAATATGTCAAATGCAAGGATGCATATTTTAAATATACTATTTACTTTCATAAGACAATATACTTTCAAAATATTTCCTCTTACTTTAAACATTTTTACTTTTAAATGGATTCATTTTAGATTAAATCATTCTTAACTGGGCACTTCAAAAAGCAAAGTGAAATTACATATTTATACATTTTAATGGATTTTACTCCTTTTGATTCCAAGTAAATTGTCTTTTTAGAAAATTAAAATGAATGAAAATAATAGCTTAAGGTAACAAAATCTTGTTCTGCACAGTTAAACTGATTTTAATTTCTGCTAAACTAGAACTAGAAACTAGAACTCATTTCCTTAATATTTGTTTCTCAAATACCTTCAACCTTTCCCTTTTTGTCTCCACCTTCCTCTCAGCATTTTGACTGGTCCAAATTCCTCCTGTATATACAAACTAACAAACTAAAATAGAAACATGTCAAATTCTGGCTATTTCCCCAGTTCTCTCTGCCCTTTTACAGGCAACCTTCTCTCTCCCTGTGCTTCCTTCCTTCAACCTTCTGCAATCTGGCTTCAGCTCCTTCTGCTCCACTGAATCTCTTCCTGTCGAAGTCACCAATAACTGCTTGTTATTAAATCTGAAGGTGTGTTTCATTATTATGTTCTTACTTTGGCAGTAACAAACCGTTCTATTTTTCTAGAAGTGGAATTTTTAATTGCTATAATATCATTCTTACTTGCTTTTCCTCCTGTATCTCTGGTCACCCTTCAGTCACATAATGGGCTTCTTTTTCTTTTTTTTCTTCTTTTTTTTTCCATTTAGTTTTCTGAATGACCTAGAATTTTATTCTTTATTTTTTAATTTTTTTTTTATTATACTTTAAGTTTTAGGGTACATGTGCACATTGTGCAGGTTAGTTACATATGTATACATGTGCCATGCTGGTGCGCTGCACCCACTAACTCGTCATCTAGCATTAAGTATATCTCCCAATGCTATCCCTCCCCCCTCCCCCCACCCCACCACAGTCTAAAGTTCATATGGAACCAAAAAAGAGCTCGCATCGCCAAGGCAATCCTAAGCCAAAAGAACAAAGCTGGAGGCATCTCACTACCTGACTTCAAACTATACTACAAAGCTACAGTAACCAAAACAGCATGGTACTGGTACAAAAACAGAGATATAGCTCAATGGAACAGAACAGAGCCCTCAGAAATAACACCGCATATCTACAACTATCTGATCTTTGACAAACCTGAGAAAAACAAGCAATGGGGAAAGGATTCCCTATTTAATAAATGGTGCTGGGAAAACTGGCTAGCCATATGTAGAAAGCTCAAACTGGATCCCTTCCTTACACCTTATACAAAAATCAATTCAAGATGGATTAAAGACTTACATGTTAGACCTAAAACCATAAAAACCCTAGAAGAAAACCTAGGCATCACCATTCAGGACATAGGCATAGGCAAAGACTTCATGTCTAAAACACCAAAAGCAATGGCAACAAAAGCCAAAATTGACAAATGGGATCTAATAAAACTAAAGAGCTTCTGCACAGCAAAAGAAACTACCATCAGAGTGAACAGGCAACCTACAAAATGGGAGAAAATTTTCGCAACCTACTCATCTGACAAAGGCCTAATATCCAGAATCTACAATGAACTCAAACAAATTTACAAGAAAAAAACAAACAACCCCATCAAAAAGTGGGCGAAGGACGTGAACAGACACTTCTCAAAAGAAGACATTTATGCAGCCGAAAAACACATGAAAAAATGCTCATCATCACTGGCCATCAGAGAAATGCAAATCAAAACCACAATGAGATACCATCTCAAACCAGTTAGAATGGCGATCATTACAAAGTCAGGAAACAACAGGTGCTGGAGAGGATGTGGAGAAATAGGAACACTTTTACACTGTTGGCGGGACTGTAAACTAGTTCAACCATTGTGGAAGTCAGTGTGGCGATTCCTCAGGGATCTAGAACTAGAAATACCATTTGACCCAGCCATCCCATTACTGGGTATATACCCAAAGGACTATAAATCTTGCTGCTATAAAGACACATGCATACGTATGTTTATTGCGGCATTATTCACAATAGCAAAGACTTGGAACCAACCCAAATGTCCAACAATGATAGACTGGATTAAGAAAATGTGGCACATATACACCATGGAATACTATGCAGCCATAAAAAATGATGAGTTCATGTCCTTTGTAGGGACATGGATGAAATTGGAAATCATCATTCTCAGTAAACTATCGCAAGAGCAAAAAACCAAACACCGCATATTCTCACTCATAGGTGGGAATTGAACAATGAGATCACATGGACACAGGAAGGGGAATATCACACAATGGGCTTCTTTTTCTACACTCACTCTTTAGATGTCGTGCTCTTCCAAGCATTAGATTATTCTCATTCCCATATCCTTTTTGACTGATGGTTAGATAACAGCCTTAGTGAATCACTGAATTCACATTCAATTCCCCTCCCACACTCACTGGGCTGGCCTTTTGCTTGAACCAATAGAATGAAGGGAAATGACACTATACAAATTCTGAGCTGGGCTTTAAGACATCTGCTTTCACCTTTTTGCCACCCAGAGATGCCATGTAAGAAAGTTTGGGGTATCCTTCTTGAAGATACAGGCCTATGTATAGAGACAGACCCTGGAAGATGAGAGACCATGGGGAAGAGAAAGATCTGACCGGCTCCCATCCATTCCAACAATCCTATCTCAGGTGACAGACATGTGGATAAGGCCACATTGCATCCTCCGGCTCCAGTTGTGCCATCAACTGACTGCAAATGCATGAACGACCTCAGCCAATACCATGTGGAACAGGGACAAGCTACCCCACTGAGCCCAACTCAGGTTTCAGAATTATGAATAAATATTTATTAGTGTTGTTTTAAACCACTAAGTTTTGAGATGGCTTGTGATGTGGCAATGGTTAACTGATACACTCTCGTTAGGCAATCACAATCACTCCCATAGTTTCAATTTTCATCATTGCTTGATGACCTTTAAATCCAGACCTCCACTTTAGCCTCTTCCTGAGAGGCAAGTCCATATACATAATTGCCAAGTAAATTTTCATGCTGGGATGTCAATAGGACTTCCAAACCCTGGCACCTGAGTTGGGAGACTGGAAATCTAGAACTACTTTTAGGGTGCTTATTATATGTGGCCTTTCCATGTGGCTTGGTACATGCATTCTGGTATTGTGGTCTTAGGACACCCAAATTTCTTATATGGCAGTTCATGGCACCGAACGTGAATGTTCTGGAAAACAAGGTGGAGGCTGCATTGCTTTTCCTTATTCAGCCTCATCAGTCATGCCACATCACTTTGGTTGCATTCTATTGGTTACAAGCAAGTTACAAGCCCACCCAGAGTCAAGTGTTGTGGGGAGAGCCTCACCGCTTGATGAGAGGAATGTCAAGGTCACATAAGCAAAGATCACGTAGAATGAAGATATTCTTATGGCCATCATTAGAATATGGAATCTGCCACACTAACACACTCATACATGGCAAACAGCATTGTAAATTGTTACAGCCATTCTGGAAAACAGCACAACTTCTTTCATTTTAACTCAGTAATCTCACTCCAGGAACTTCATAATGAGGGAAAAATCAAGAAAAGCAAAAAGATCATAATTAAATGCTGATAATCCATTAGCAAAAATAAATAAATAAATAGAAATAAAAAATTGAAGCAACTATCCAAACAACTACGACAAGCGAATGACTAAGAGGTACTTTCACACAAGAGAAAATAGTCACAAAGGCAACATAAAATATGGGAATTAAGTGATATAGCAATGAATAAAATTAAAAATGCAATACAAAATAGATTAGAATGATTGGCAGAAACCATTCTAAAAGATAACTGACTGTGCACTGGTGCTATTTTCTTTGATGAGTTTGGATGGTGACCTCAGGTCTCAAGTTGCCCACATGTTTCTACCCTTCCATACAAGACTGATACCAAAGGTGTGGCTTCCTAGTGTTCTGGGAAGATTTTCTTTTGTTTGTTTGAGTAATGCGGCTGCACAAAGAGAGAGCACTAGGGTAGCAGAAAATAGAGACATCTTCAACTATTTAGCCCGCATGTAGTAAGACCTGTGTGTCTATCCTTAGCAAAATCACTTCAAATAATATATTAACCTGAGTGAGATTGAGGCCTAAGTGAATATAAACCTGGGGAATTTGCATCCAGGAGTCTATCTAGAAAAAAAGGGCTTCCTGTTGTGCATGTGCCCTTAAAATGGGATTTCTTTCCTACTTATTGCCACTTTTCCAAGTTTGGAGAACAGTGCATAGCTGGCCCAGGAGTATTCTCTCTCTAGACAGAATCCGGCCAGATTCAAGAATCAAGTCATCTTCAGCTGGAGGTAATTCCAGGCCAGTTTTATTTCATCCTGATCGAGTTGTTACCTCACCCCTGAGTGCTGCTTAGTAGGCAGTATGTTATATACTGTTTAATTATATAATAATCTGCATTCTGTAACTTGTATGTATTCGTGGTTTTGTGTGTCATGGATGTATGTGTCCTGCTACTCTAGTAGATGCAATGCTCCATGTGGATTTATATCATGCCTTACAAATTTCTCATACCCCCGTCCATACCACACACTTTTGTGTTAAGGATATAGCAGGTATATAATAATTCCTCTATCATTAAAATACTTAGTGGGTTTAAAAAAAAATTTTTTTGTACAGACAGGGTCTTGCTACATTGTCCAGACTGGTCTCAAATTCCTGAGCTCAAGCAATTCTCCCACCTCAGCCTCCCAAAGTGCTGGGATTACAGGCGTGAGCCACCACACCCGGCCGTATTATTAGAATACTTAGTTTTATGTCAAGATCAGCTCTATTCAGAATGTATCACTCTATTAAAATACTTGATTATTTATATCAGGTCCTACATGATTCCCCAATCATACAAAGGTAAAATATAATCAGGAATAGGCAAGTCAAAACAAAACAAAACAAAACAAAAAACAGCCACGTCACAGCAGAAAGATTCCAGAACAACTTAACAAATGCACAAAAGCCCTCAAAAACGCTAGGAAGAAACTCACATTTTCTGACAAGAAAACAAATTCATGAAAACATTAGCCAATATTAATGTGCAGACTGACAGACTGATATTTAGGCATCAAGCGGTAGTCACAATGACTGGCATATACTGCCACCCTTCGACTTCATTAAATATGACTGTACATGGATAGGTATACTCCTTAAAGGGTCACATTCTGTAAGAGATGCAGTTTGGGTACCCGCATCTGTTCTAAGCTTTAGAATTTGACCTCAATTTTCAGCTAAGACTTGTGCATCCACCTTGGCTACTTTCGTCAGAATTCTCTTGTAAAATATTAGTAAATGAGTTTTTCCTGTACTATTCCTTTCCACAGCGACTCTCTCCCATTCTTGTCATGAAGGAACCCAAGAATAAAGATAGCAAATTCTAGACTTTCATACCTGCCAGATGCCAAATAAAAAATTCAGGGATAAATACATATAGACCAGGCTGTGGAAGCAGTTGTTTTCTGTTTACCTAGTCTAGATAAAAATCCCACAAAAATCCCAAGTTTGAGAGGATATGGATATGAGAGGTGTGATAGGTAAAGAAGGGGAAGGTTTAGCAAAAAGAGCAGCAGGAAAACATACTGCTATGGGACTCGTGTAGAGACTGCCCTGTGCCCACACCCATAAGAGAGCTCTAAGTCATAAGAGTATAGGACCCCCAGAAGGGTTTCAGGATCGAAGAACAGAAAGTACTGAAGCCTTGTCTCTGTCTTGTTGTCCTGGAAGCTGGCAAGCACTACAGGCAGTATCCAAGCTACCCTGGCCCCTGAGTAAAGCAGAGTTTTTAAGTGCTCTAGCAGATGGGCAGTTTGACAGGACACTGGAAATGGCCATTTTCCCAAGTGATCCAGAATGGAGTGGATGCCTGGAACTCTAGGCTAAGAGGACACTCTAGAAGTGGCTTGAGTTTGGATGCTGTATTAGTTTCCTAGGGCTGCTATAACAAGGTACTACAATCTTCATGGCTTAATACAACAGAAATTTATTATTTCACTGTTCTGGAGGCTGTGGGACTTGTGTAGAGCCTGCCCTGTGCCCACACCCATAAGAGAGCTCTAAGTCCAAAATCCAGATGTCAGCAGGGCCAGGTTCTTTCAAAGGCTCTGGGAGATAATCTGTTCCATGCTTTTCTCTTGGCTTCTGATGTCACCAGCAATCCTTGGCACTCCTGGGCTTACAGATGCATAACTCTAACCTCTGCTTCTCTCAGAGCATGGCCTTCTCCTCTCGTACGTTCATATATTGTCTTCTTATAAGAAGATACTGTTCTTATTGTCTAGAGGCCCATCACGCTCCAGTATGACCTCATCTTAACTAATTACATCTGCAAAGACCCTGTTTCCAAATAAGGTCACATTCTGAGATATGGGGGGGTACTTTCATATTTATCGTCAATATATAATTGATAAACTTCAATACATATTTTTGAGGAAGACAATTCAATTCAAAACAGATGCCCCATAAGATTCCATGAGAAGTATGGTCATGTCCAAAGACCAGAAAGGATTGTATCATCTTGTGGATACTCACTTGTAAGAAAAATGGCCCTGAGCCAGATCACCTTCCCAACTCCCATGGTCCAAAGCTCCTAGAAAATTATTGGAAAAAGGAAAGAATAACTAAGAGAATTAAATGAGCTTAAAACAGACGCCTGAGTTTATCTTAAGTTGACTAAGATATTTTATTTTTAATTTTTGCAATCAGGCAAACTCAGGGTTCCAAAATTGAAACTAAACAGAGGTATTGAGAAAAATATAAGTTGTGCTTCTGGAACATCCAAAGTTTTTAAAATAAATATCATAAGAGTTATAAATCTATCTGTTCTGTAGCAATCCTCGGGGAAAAGGAAGGCCCAGATGCCAGTTTTCTTTAACGGAGAACTTTATAAAGACCACAAAGGGATTAATTCAGAGTAGCTAAAGGAATGAAAACTACATACAATTTACTTAAACTACAAATAACAAAGAAGGTAGTAGTGACATTATTTTTGCAGTCTCCCTGCGTTAAAGAATTTATGACCTCCAATGCATCGTGCAACTAAGGTTTTCCTCTCTGCTCCTTTGCTTTCACTGTTCAGTTTCTGCCTCATCGGCTTTCCCAACGTCCCCCACAGTTCACTTTCAACAACAATCTACGGTGTCAAGAATTCACTTCGAAATGGTAAGTTTTGTATTTTTTCTTAAGAGAAGTATCATTCTTATCAGACTTTAGACATAAATATTTGTCTTCCAATATGCTCTGAAATATGCCTGCCATGGCTCCTCTGCACCCAGTGATGGTATATCTCTTTGTTCTCAGTACACACGCCAAATCTTCCCTTCCAGCTGATCGGAACATAGCGCAGGGGTTAGGACATGAGTTTACATCCCGACAGCCTCAGGTTGAACACCAGCTCTGCCACTTACTAGCGGTATGATCTTGGGCATATTATTTAACCTTTCTCTGCCTTAGTTTCCTTACCTATAAAATTGTATCTACCTCATAAGGCTGTTGTGAGGATTAATTAAACGTATTCATTCTTATAAAGTACTGAGAGTCAGAGTCAGGTTAAAGAGTAAGCACTCATTGTTTATTATTTCTAATAAAGAGTTCTTTCACACCAATTAGAAAAAGACAGTCTAAACTGAGTCAAAGATAAGAGCTGGCAGTTTACAAAAGAGGAAATGCAAATGATCAATAAAAAATGAAAATATACCATGATCAGTAAACATAAAATTGCAAATTAAAACAACACAATGTTTTTTTGCCTATTACGTGACCATGTAAAAGTCTGAGAACATTCAGTGCTAATGAAAACCTACAGAAAAAGGCAGTCTCATTTATTATTGATGAATGTACATTTTTATAATATTTTGGAAAATAAAGCTAGCAATATAAAATTTATAGTACGCACACTCCCTCACTGAGTATCTTCATTTTTAGGATTCCATCAGGGGGAAAGAAAAAAGAAAAATCAGCAATGTCTGATACTGTCAACAGTCTTACCCAAAAAGATATCTAAAAGATTTATAATAAAAATATCTGTAAATAACTGGACTATCCACTGCTATAGTCTGCATATTTGTGTTCCCTCAAAATTTATATGTTGAATCCTAATCCTCAGTGCAATAGTAGCAAGAGATGAGGCCTTTAGAGAATGAAAGGGATTTGTGCCCTTACAAAAGAGGCCCAAAGGAGTTTGTCTGCCCTTTCTGCCATGTGAGGATACAGCAAGAAGACACTGTCTATGAGGAACAAGCCCTCACCAGACATCAAATCTGGTGATACCTTAATCTTGGAACTCCCAGACCCATAACTGTGAGAAATAAATTTCTGTTATTTATAAGATACCCAGTTTATGACATTTTGTTACTGCAGCTGGAATAGACTTAGATATCCATATATAGGGAAATGGTTTCCTAAACCATGATATATTAATTCTATGAAACAATAAGCAGCTATTTAAAAATGTGGATCATTATGCATCGACTTCAAAATAGGTCCGCAACAGACCATTAGGGAAGAATAGCAGCTCCATGTTAGGTCCTCATGTTTGTTTGTTTTTTAATCTTCAATGGGTATATATGTATATATGTGCGCATGTGTGTGTGGCATTTGTTTCTATCAGCAAAGGAAATCATAGTTTACAGTAGTTACATTAGAAAATGGGATTAGAAAGAGAAAGTGAGAGACTATCAATTTCGCTTTTGACTATATATTGTTTGGATTGGTAGACGATGCAGGTATTATCATTACATTTCAATGGAAAAATTGTGAAGAATGGAGAACAAAAAACATTTTCAATAAAAGTCAAAAATCAGCTACTGCATACTTTCCTCAGGGCACAACAAAGTATTCAAAGTTATATATGAAAATGTTTCCAAAGGACATGTTTAATAATAGAAAATAATTCTTTTGTAACTTTTATTTTAGGTTCAGAAGTACATGTGAAGGTTTGTTACATCAGTAAACTCATGTCACGGGGATTTGTTGTACAGATTATTTTATCACCCAGGAATTAAGCCCATATCCAATAGTTACCTTTTGTGCTCCTCTCCCTCCTCCCACCCTCCACCCTCAAGTAGACCCCAGTGTCTGTTGTTTCTTTCTTTGTGTTCGTACGTTCTTATCATTTAGCTCCCACTTGCAAGTGAGAACATGTGGTCTTTGGTTTTCCTTTCCTCAGTTATTATCCATGCTCCAGCTCCATCCATGTTCCTGCAAAAGACATGATCTCATTCTTTTCATGGCTGCATAGTATTCCATGGTGTACATGTATCACATTTGCTTTATCCAATCTGTCATTGTTGGGCATTTATGTTGATGCTATGTCTTTGCTATTGTGACTACTGCCGTAATGAGCATTCACGTACGTATGTCTTTACAGTAAAATGATCTATATTGCTCTGGGTATATGTCCAGTAATGGGATTGCTGGATAGAATGGTAGTTCTGCTTCTAACTCTTTGAAGAATCGCCATACTGCTTTCTGCAGTTGTTGAACTAAATTACACTCACACCAACAGTGTGTAAGTGTTCCATTTCCTCTGCAATATCGCCAGCATTTGTTATTTTTTGACTTTTTAATAATGGCCATTCTGACTAGGTGTGAGATGCTTTCTCACTGTGGTTTTTATTTACAGTTCTCTAATGATCAGTGATATTGAGCTTTCTTTCATATGCTTGTTGACTGCATATATGTCTTCTTTTGAAGTATCTGTTCATGCCCTTTGCCCACTTTTTAATGGAGTTGTTGTTTTCTTGTTAATTTGTTTAAGTTCATTATAGATGCTGGATATTAGATCTTTGTCGGATGCATGGTTTGCAAATACTTGGATACAGAATCAATGTACAAAAAGTACTAGCATTCCCATGCACCAACAACAGCCAAGCCAAAAGCCAAACTAGAAAAGCAATCTCATTCACATTTGCCAAAAAAAAAGAATAAAATACCTAGGAATACAGCTAACCAGGGAGGTGAAAGATCTCTACAATGAGAATTGCAAAACACTTTTCAAAGAAATCAGAGAAGACACAAACAATTCAAAAAACATCCCATGCCCATGGATAGGAAGAATTCATATCATTGAGAGGGTCATACTGCCCAAAGCAATTTACAGATTCAATGCTATTCCTATCAAACTACCAATGACATTCTTCACAGAACTAGAAAAAAACTATTTTAAAATTCCTATTGAATCAATAAAGAACCTGAATAGCCAAGGCAATACTAAGCAAAGAGTACAAAGCTGTAGGCATCATGTTACCCAACTTCAAACTATACTATAGGGCTACAGTAAACAAAACAGCATGGTACTGGCACAAAAACAGAAAAATGGACCACCCAATGGAACAGAATACAGAGCTCATAAATAAGGCTGCACACCTATGACCACCTAATCTTTGACAAAGCTAACAAGAGCAAGCAATGGGGAAAACTCCCTGTATAATAAATGGTGCTGGGATAACTGGCTAGCCATATGCAGAAAACTGAAGCTAGGTCCCTTCCTTACCCCATAAACAAAAATCAACTCAAGATGGTTTAAAAACTTATATGTAAAACACAAATCTATAAAAATCCTGGAAGACAACCTAGACAAGATGATTCTGGACATAGGAAAGGGCAAAGATTTCATGATGAAGATATCAAATGCAATCACAAAAAAAGCAAAAATTGTTAAGTGGGATCTAATTAAACTTTAGAGCCTCTACACAGCAAAATAAACTATCAACAGAGTAAACAGACAACTTACAGAAAATAATTCTTATATACAAACTATCAAGTTGTTTAAAAAGTTTAGTGACGAGTTCAATCAAGCAGTGAAAATTAAATCCCTTTACACTCACCCTGTCTATCAGCAAAGGGCTACACATGACCATGATACAATGAAAACGTGGAAAATACACTGTTATAAGTTGGAAATATAGTTAGGTTTTCTCTTCCTAAGAGGAAAAAGAAAAATTTAATTTTCTGTCCATTTGTAACAGGCCTTGGGGTAAATGCTAAAATGCAGCCTAGAGTAGATGAAGAAACCTTTCTTGCTGGAAAGAGGCACAGCGTACAGCAGTATTTCTCTGCAGGATGAGAGGTATAGGGGACAGGGGTGCTTCGAGAATAGAAGAGCTGGGACCCGATCAGAATCTGAAATGTAGAAAAGAGAGGCCATCAAAAAGCATATTTAATATTTACTTATTTCATTGATTCTAAGAAGTATAGTTTTTCACATTTTAATACCTCTGAAATTAGGAAGAGTCTTAGATTTAATGGCATATTATAATCACTGCTGGCCAGGTGGCAGTTTTGATGTGGATGACATTGCTTTCAGTATAAATATTCACATTGTCGTCACTTCCATTGAGTTTTGAATATTCTTGGTGCTACAAGTGTTGAGTTTAATTGCCATTTAAAGTGTCTTCTAAAAGATTGCAACATGATTCGGCATTGAGGCAGAAGTCATTATATACACAAAAATATACAGAAATAGAGCAGTGGGGAATGTGTTTCCTTTTAGTGAGGCAAATATTCATCATTTTAGGGATGACTAGAGCCCCTTATTTCCTCACAAAACAACAATGTGTTTTACAGAACCTAAGAAAAAAATACCCAGAAGTAGATGAAGCTGTGTTAGGTTTTGTTATTAAATGCATACAAAAGGGATTGCCTATCACCTGCCATGCAGAGGAATTAAAAACAAAAGAAATTGCTAAATTTCTTAGAATTGATGAAAGACAATGAGTGGTGATGTGACTCATTCATGCATCATGCAGGACTGTTTTATAAGGCATTATGTCATAGTTTTGTTGATAGCATTTGTTTTTCTTAGTAGAACATACATAATCCCATGGTATGTCTTTCAATCAATGGCATCACAGATCAATAAAATATCGGTAAAATATATTTTTCAATATTGAAAATTATTTTAGAAACCCATTGGCTTTCTGATTTAAAAATTCAGAAAGAAAAAAGCCAGGAATAATATTTTAGGTTGGTAGAAATAACAAGCAACATTTCACAACTAGGCAGGGAAAGAAAAGTGGGCCCGTGGCCATTGCACTCTCTTGAGTTTCAAAAAAAAAAGAAAGAAAAAGTTTGAGAGGCATTGGTTTAGGATAATCTGCATCCCATTTTGGCTCTTCTATTTATGTTTTACAGCTCCCTAGACAAGGTAGTGAATTTCAGCCTTAGTTTTTTCCTCTGCAAAATAGGTATAACAATACCTCCTCAACGACTTGTGACGATTTAAAAAGCAGCACAAACACGTAGTTCATCAGGCACTTGGCTTGCAAATGCTCATTAAAATACCAGCCCCTGTGTTTTTCCAAAGGAGGGTGCCATCTTTAGGTGAAATTCTGGTTTGTAGAGGTTATGTCATCTATCTATAAGGAGCATAAACTGTTAAAACTCTAAGCTTTAAAACATACAGACTTAACATTTAAAACAGGATATGGGTTTATTTGAATAATACCTTGATTTGATGAGATGCATCTTTTCTAATGTGATTTAATCTCAAATATTTTCCCAAATATAATTCTTCTTTTGGAAGCTGCTACTAGCTGAGAAATAGTCACCTTCCCCTGCTATTTCCTCTAAAGAAAGGAATTCAGAAACAGCCTGGGAAAAATACTTCCCCTGTCAAAAGTAATAAATCAGAGTTTTTTTTCATTGCTATCTTAATTTTCATCTCTAATTGTAGCTTGGAAAAAATATTGGGGTGCAAAATCAAACCAATAAAAAGTTTACTTTTGTAGATTTAAGATGGAGAGATTAATCTCCAGGAAAATTAAAAGACATCTTTGTTATGCCTGAGTCCTCTTAGTCTATGTGTAATTTCAGCCATCACCAGAGGTGCTCATCACATAAATGTCAAGGGGGAGAACAAATAAAAGTCACAACGATACAATAAACTGGTTACTTTAAAGAATATGAGGTCGTAAAGTTTCTAGCAGTTTTCTAACTGTTCTGATGAATTACTGAATTCTTCTTTCCAAACTGATATTGCAGAAGGATATCTATACAGCATTATAGGCAAGGATTATGACTCTCTCTAGGGACTATAACAGAGTATTGCTTCCATTGCCCTGTGGTTCATCTTCCTTTTCCCATCAGGATTATTACAACCCGGAAACAGGTATATAAGAATGTGCTTCTTTCACCTTTATGCACTGGACTAAGAAGCAAAGAAGAGCTCTAGAGATCCCATATTTTGGTTCCAATTAGAAACATTAATAGATGTTAAAATTTGAAGAAACTTTACATTTGGAAAACAAAATGGAAATAAACTTAGAGTCAAAGAGGGATGAAGTGCAAATCCTTTCTCTTTAGTTTTATAGATATATATTGAAAATCTACTACATACTACACTTTGCCAAGAGCACAGAGACCACTGGGAGAAGCAGATATATTAGTAGAGTTTTAGTGTCTAATATTGTTAGTGCTAAAACAGATATGTGAAGATGGCTATGCTCTTCTACAAGCATGTTTTCACGGTTTTCTGGCATGACTCCATTCTATATTCTTACTTGAAACCTTGCAGCGTACTTGCCTAAATCCATCACTTTCTGAATCCCTGTCCACCTCCACATAGTTGGTATCATTTCATGTGCAACATTAGCAATCCCACTCTTAGACACTTATTTCTTTGCAGCCAATATTAAGGCCCTATTTCTATTCCAGTTCCTTACTTCATGGAGAAGTGATACTGTATACTTCATGTATTCGTCCATTTTCATGCTGCAGATAAAGACATACCCCAGACTGAGAAAAAAATGAGAGTGAATTTGACTTATAATTCCACATGGCTGGGGAGGTCTCACAATCATAACAGAAGGCTAAAGGCACTTCTTACATGGCAGCTGCAAGACAGAATGAGAAAGGAGCAAAAGTGGAAACCCCTGATAAACCCATTAGATCTCATGAGACTTACTCACTATCACAAGAATAGCATAGGAAAGACCAGCCCCCATGATTCATCTACTTCCCACTGGGTCCCTTCAGCAACATGTGGGAATTCTGGGAGATACAATTCAAGTTGAAATTTGAGTGGGGACACAGCCAAACCATATCATTCCACCCCTGGTCCCTCTCAAATTTCATGTCCTCACATTTCAAAACAAAAATGCCTTCCCAACAGACTCCCAAAGTTTGAACTCATTTCAGCATTAATTCAAAAGTCCACTGTCCAAAGTCTCATCTGAGACAAGGCAAGTCCCTTCTGCCTATGAGCATGTAAAATCAAAAGCAAGTTAGTTACTTCCTGGATACAATTGGGGTATAGGCATTGGGTAAATACAGCCATTCCAAATGGGAGAAATTGGCCAAAACAAAGGGGCCAACAGTCCCTATGCAAGTCTGAAATCTAGCAGGGCAGCCAAATCTTAAAGCTCCAAAATGATCTCCTTTGACTCCATGTCTCACATTCAGGTCACTCTGATGCAAGAGGTGGGTTCCAATGGTCTTGGGCTGCTCTGCGCCTGTGACTTTGCAGGGTACAGCCTTGTCTCCCAGCTGCTGTCACAGACTGGCATTGAGTGTCTGTGGCTTTTCCAGGCACACAGTGCAAGCTGTCGGTGGATCTACCATTCTGGGGTATGAAAGACAGTGGTCCTCTTCTCACATCTCCACTAAGTGGTGCACCAGTAGGGACTCTGTGCAGGGGCTCTGACCTCACATTTCCCTTCCACCTTCCCTAGCAGAGGTTCTCCATGAGAGCCTTGCCCCTGCAGCAAACTTCTGCCTGGACATCCAGGCATTTCCATACATCTTCTGAAATTTAGGCAAAGGTTCCCAAACCTCAATTCTTGACTTCTGTGCACCCACAGGCTCAACACCACACGGAAGCTGCCAAGGCTTGGGGCTTGCACCCTCTGAAGCCACAGCCTAAGCTGTACCTTGCCCCCTTGTAGTCATGGCTATAGCAGCTGGGACACAGGACACCAACTCCCTAGACTGCACACAACACCAGGACCCTGTGCTGGGCCCGTGAAACCATTTTTGCCTCCAGGCCTGTGATGAGAGGGGCTGCCATGAAGACTTCTGACATGCCCTAGAGACATTTTCCCCATTGTCTTGGGAATATATTCGGCTTCCCGTTACTTACGCAAATTTCTGCAGCTGACTTAAATTTCTCCTCAGAAAATAGGATGTTCTTTTTCATCGCATTGACAGGTTGCAAATTTTCCAAACTTTTATGCTCTGCTTCCCTTATAAAATGGAATGCCTTTAACAGCATGCAAGTCACCTCTTGAATGCTGAGCTGCTTACAAATTTCTTCCACCAGATACCCTAAATCATCTCTCTCAACTTTAAAGTTCCACAAATCTCTAGAGCAGGGGCAAAATGTCGCCAGTCTCTTTGCTAAAACATAGCAAAAGTCGCCTTTACTCCAGTTCCCAACTAGTTCTTTTCCATCTGAGACCGCCTCAGCCTGGACTTTATTGTCCATATTGCTATCAGCATTTTGGGCAAAGCCATTCAACAATTCTCCAGGGAGTTCCAAACTTTCCCACATTTTCCTGTCTTTTTCTAAGCCCTTCACAACTGTTCCAACCTCTGCCTGTTACCCAGTTCCAAAGTCATGTCCACATTTTTGGGTAACTTTTCAGCAGTGCCCCACTCTACTGGTACCAATTTACTATATTAGTTCATTTTCACACTGCTGCTAAAGACACACCTAAGACTGTGAAGAAAAGGAGGTTTAATTTGACTTAGAGTTCCACATGGCTGGGGAGGTCTCACAATCATGGCAGAGGGCAAAAGGCACTTCTTGCATGGAAGCTGCAAGAGAGAATGAGGAAGGAGCAACAGTTGAAACCTTGATAAACCCATCAGATCTCATGAGACTTACTCTCCGTCACAAGAATATCATGGGAAAGACCAGCCCCCATGATTCAATTACCTCCCACTGGGTCCCTCCCACAACACGTTGGAATTCTGGGAGATACAATTCAAGTTGAGATTTGGTTGGGGACACAGCCAAACCATATCACCTCATGAAGAGGTGATACATTCTAGCTCATGAAGAGGTGATACAATACATCTCGTGAAGGGGAGGAAGAACACAGTTCTAGAACTGAATTCAGGTTTCATTAATTAACAATGTCACCTTAGGCAAATTACATCACTTCTCTGAACTTCAATTTTATCCTTCATAAATGGGGCTAATAATACTCTCTTCAGGTTTATTTGTGAGGATTAAACAAGATCATGGATAAAAATAATTTACTGAGTTTAGTACATGAGAAGCTGTCAATAAGAGTTTGCAATTATTATGTTACTTTGTCCAAGTTAATTAATATAAAAGCAACCTCATCATACACGTAAGATCTTGTTCCCCCTTCTTAGAGAAGAAAATTGTCTGTAGTCTTGTGTAATAGAACCAAATAGTAATTATATCATTCACTTAATGAGAGCTACACAACCACCTTTTCAAGGTTGTTACTGAACACACAGAAAACATACCAGGCAGTTACTAAAAATATTCACTGTATTTCAGAGGGAACTAGTTTACTTGGAGACACTTAAACTCATATAATGATAATAATAGCAAGCACTTATTGAAAAACTCCTGTGTGTCACTCTTACATGGTCTTTTATAGCCTTGCTATCTCCCATCAAGAGGTGGAGGTCTCATTTTCCATTCCCTTAAAACTAGCTGTGCTTTTGTGATTGATTCAACAAATAGAATGTAGTGAAAAAGACATCATATGATTCTCAAGGCCAGGTTGTACAAGGCAATGTGCTTTTCATCTGTCTATCTCTCTTGGACTCTTACTTTTAGAATCCAGCCAGCATACGGTAATAAAACCAAGCAGCCACATGTAAAGAATCTGCATAAGTGTTCTCTCCACAGCCTCACTGAAGGTTCTAGTAACATCCAATATCAATCCCCAAACATGTAAGTTAACCCTCAGTTGATTCCAGTCAGAGCTTGTAAGCCAATTCAGCTGATGCGATACTACCAGAGATGCACTGTCCCCACTGTCCTCCCTTTCACCTGTCTTCCCTTCCCATGCTGGCCACTTCTGTCCTAACTCTGGTCCCTTATTACTTCATACATACTTCATTTCAAGAAGCTCCTAGGTCTCACCTCTGCTGCCCTCTATTCCCTTAAAACCACTCAGCATATAAATAATAAAAGGCCTATCTTCCTAAAACATTAATTCTATCCTGTCATTCCTCTATTAAAAGTACTCAAGACCTTCCCACATCCTAAAGAATAAACCCCAAGTGCACAGCAAAAACCTCCAAATTCTGTCCCAAATTAACTCTTACATCTTGCCATCATTTCCCAATATGAACCTCCAGATGCAGACAGTCAGGACTGTTTTCTGTTCCTTAGTGGGACCTCACAAATCTGAACTCTTACTCATAGTATCACATTCGTATAAAGACTTCATCCAGTGGTATGCTAAACCCAGCTCAAACAGGCTCATGACAGCTAATTTTTAAATATTCAGGAACTTTGCAAGCATGTGGTTAAATTACTGATAGCTTCAAATTGGCCATAGCAGAAGTATTTACACCATGGAAACTGGCAAACACTGCAAAGCAGGGCTTTGCTGAAGTGGAAGGGGAAACCAGTTTACCAGTACGCCATTACACTCATTTGTGTGCTTCATGTACTCAAATCTATACACAGTTTGAATCCCAGATCAAGCGAAATCTTCTCCACAAAGCCTTCCCTCATTACTCAATTTGTACGTTTCCTAGCCTCCTATAGTTTGTTTCAACTTCTCAATTGTCCTTAAAAACCTACTACTTTGTAGAAGATTGTGCCCCAGCAATAAAGCAGCAGAACTGAGGAAAGGGGCTATGTTTTGTTTGTTTTGGTTTGTGCATGACTTATAGCATCTAGTGGCATGCCACGTACATTGTAAGTACTCAAAGAGTTAGAATGAGACTTATATTATGAAATATTTCAAGGATGCTCTGAGACTCTAAGAGTAGGTCTCTAAGGACTTTATCACATCTTTCCCAAGCAAAAAAGAGGATTGTTCAGGGAAAGTATTATAAGTCAATATAGTATCCTGACTCTAAAAAGTAAATTTGAGATTATTGGTACTATGGTTTGGATATGGTTTTTTTATTTTGTTTTGTTTTGTTTTGGTTTTGTCTCTACCAAAACTCATTTTGGAATTTGATCCTCAGAAGGGTGGTATTGGGAGGTGGGGCCCGTTGGGAGGTGTTTGGGACATGGGGGTACATCTCTTATGAATAGCTTGGTGCCATTCTCCTGACAATGAGTGAGTTCTTGCTGTAGCAAGACTGGATTAGCTCTTTAGGGAATGGATTTTTTCCCTTGTGAATGGGTTGTTATAAAGCCAGGATGCTCCTCGGGTTCTCTCTCTTTGTATGTTTTCACTTCCCCTTTGACCTTCTCTACCTTGTTATGACACAGCACAGAAGAACTCACCAGAAGCCAGGGCCATGCCCTTGAACTTTTCATCCTGCATAACCATGAGCTAAATAAACCTCTTTTCTTTATAAATTACCCAGTCTCAAATATTCTGTTACAGCAACACAAAACAGACTAAGACAATGAGCACACAGACAAAAAAAAAACCTAATAAGATATAAATATAAAACCCAGATAAAGGGAAAATGCATTTGTACTAACTAGAATATCAAATGCTACATTTAACCATTACATTTTGTTCTGAGCTTCCTGGCAACTGGAGCAAAATAAATGGGAACGTAATGAGTTACATTGTTGGCAATGTAAATTTATTATTATTAAAAGGAGAAAGCATATGTGGGAAGAGATAGCATTTTCCCCTGTTAAATACTAAAAGGCATGTTTCCGAAGGTTTATGTATAACATAGTGTATGATATGGTGGACAATATCCTCAATAATCTGTTAACAAAACAAGTTCAATATAGGCTGTTTCTTCTAGTGAACCTCGAAAAAAACTGACTGCACAATCTTAAAGCATAACTCATTCAAGATAACTATATAGACAAGTGTATACTCCAAGTATATAGATACCTAGTATTCTAATAATATAAGAGAAATAAAAGTAAATCATATATAGTAGTATAGTAGACAATAGTATAATCTTTATACAACATTCCTATATATCACGCCTTTCAAGAAGGCATCTGGTAAGAAATGAAGTATTCTCAAGCCAGTAGTGATGGCATTCTGAAACAGATTCTGCAACAGATTGAGGTTCTATCTGTCAAATTCCTTTCTCTGGCAAGGACAGTAAGTAGGCATGTCCCTTATAAGTGATTCCAATACAGAGAACCAAAAGTCAAACAGCAGAATGATCTCAGAGACAAAGAGCTAAAGCAGAAACTTGTTCAAAAGGGGATACGAGAAAAATGAGACCTGAGGCAAGAAAGATAAGAATTCTGTATTCTGAAAGATCAGAATATAGAAAGGAGGAGAGTAAGCAGAAGAAGTTTGTCAAAACTTACACGAGAAAATAGAAATGAACATCAGAGAGTGGAGGCTACAAATTGCTGGAATTTTGCATGCCACTGACATTTGTTTGAGTAGACAAGGCAAATGCATTTAAAGATATTGGATATGATGAAAAAATGCACATGCTTTGGAAAATAAGAAGGTAGTGTGGTTGATATCTTCCCTGTTTAAAAAGTTTAGTCATTTAATCAGTATTTCCTCTAGAACAAAGGGCCATCCACTTCTCAGAGAAGATAGAAAGAGCATATGTTTAAGCTTTTTGTGAAAATTTTTCTCATCTTTGGACTGTTGAAGCCAAGCATTTGAACGACTGCTTGATACAGTCTCAAGAATACCCACCACAGACCATGAGATAGATGGACTTCCTTTTGGAGGAGAGTGGAGTTGTGCAGTTGAGGAGGAGTCTAAAATACTTTCTTATGAGGTTTACCAGCCACCTACTGTGGCCATAAAAAATGCTCAGTTATGCTCCAACAAAACAGCTGTCTCTAAACAAAATGCACAACCACGGCACCTGCCAGGATAAGTTAACTGAAAAAGTCATCCCCTGATGACTGAAGGACTTGACTTGTTATTTAATATTGACCAAGCAAATTGGTGAATGTCTGCCAAAGACAAGGATTTTAACCTAGTGAATATGGAGCTGTATTTTCTGAGGCAGATACCAGAACCAGTTTCCTTTTAAGGCCACTCCCAATATTTACAATGAAATTATGCCATCTGTGCTTAGGATAATATTCATCCTTCTAGGTACTATGGCAGAAGAAAGTATCATGTTATGTCCCTCTCAGCCATGAGATTCCATGGCTCAGCTATATCACAGTTAGTGATAAATATCATAGAGATTAATCAAAAGAAATTGATTTGACTCAAAATAAAGCAGAATAGTTAGAGAGGTCCAAAGACAGAATGAACAAAGTAAGATAATACATAGTGAGGGCTGGGCCTCTGAGAAAAAGGTAGATACTACACAGAGCTGATATAGTACAGTGACAATATTTAAGACATGATACAAATAATGAATGTATGTTTAGACTTGATGACATACAGGATATCTTACCATCTTAATGTTCTATGCCTCTGTATGCCTTTTATCCAAGTTTCTTCCCTGGATTTCTGACCTATATTTTCTTGCTTGGATTACTGGTATCTACAACCTACTTTATTTCCATACTTATCCTCATTGTATCCTTCCCACACACACAGACATCTTCATTCCTTGCTTCTGCTTTCAAACCCTCACTGCTAGTACTAATCTTGCTGCTTACCTGGATGTAAAGAGGCTGTGGCCTTCTGGCTTCCATCTTACACTTAACCTCCTGTCACTGCCCTCATCCCACCATGGTCATTGTTCAAACATAAGCCTAATTAATGTTTCCAATGATGACTGACTCTAAGTAACATAAAGTGATCTACTGTTCTTTAGTAAGCAGAAGTGAAATTTTCAAAGATTAATATATTTGGAGTAGAGCTAAGATTTCTCCTCACTCTCAAATTCTATGCATTGAGCTAAGTTCACCCAATAAACACGTCCCTCTTCTCCACCTGCATTCTGAAACAAATACAAAATACAACAAAACAAAAGAGTAAGACAGTTAGAATAGCAAAATATCACCTTTTATATTGATAAATCTAATCCTGGAGAATGTGGTTTGTATATTTGGCAAATTTAAATCCCTGTTATTGAGCACCAGAAGTAGTGTCCTCCTCATCCAGTCACTGGCAGCACCAGACTTCCCTGTGTGAGGGCCTGTTATGTAAAATTTAAGACATGGGGTAGCAGAGCAGAATGCATGCTCCTGTGTGTAGCTACGCTCCAAGAGAAAAAGGAGGGTAAAGAGATACACGATGCATCCTTAAGTCAATTCCCAAACTAACCAGTCGTCTTTCTCACTCCAAGGGGAATTGTAAGGGATGAGGCAAAAAAAAAAAAGAAAAGAAAAGAAAAGAAAAAAAGCCCAGGAATAATTAGAAGACATTTCCCTCTTGGAAATCAGAGAAAGAAGGAAGAAGGGCCTTCCTCTCCCAACCAACACTAAAGATTATAATTGATTCAAGAAGGTGGAATACAAAGATTTATATGATTTAACCCAGGTCAATTTCAAGTGATCATGTCAGGATTGGTGTAGGTGAGGGATGAGAGAGGTCCAGGGAGGAGAGTTATGAGAATGAATGTATGTCACCAACCATCTCCTAAATGAATGCTCTCTTTTACTGACCAACTACCAGGACTACTGTCTGTCATGTACTATTCTACTCTAAAATTCATGTTATTTTGTTAGTTAATTTAAGAAACTCTTATTTTGTAACTACTCTTTGCCCAGCTCTGGTATACGAAACAAAATATAACGGTCTCTCACCTCAAGGAGCTTATGTTCCGGAAGGCAGGAGTTGTCAAGAGACCATTGTAATAAATCAGGAGAAGAACTATAACCAAAACAAGCACGTGGTACCATGACACCCCAAAGGAGGACTTTTAAATCAGACTTGTAAAGGCTTCCAGGGAGATGATACGTAGCTGTGGGATTTAAATATAGGACATGGAGAGAGAGAGTTATGTAGAATGACAGGAGGGGCAAGACATGGTGTGTGTGAAAATAGCACGCAGGTCAGAAAGGCATGGCAGATTTGCATTATTTTCAAAATTACACAGAAGGATCGGACAGGCAGCTTCCAATAATCTGGCAATTAATCTAGGCAAGATGTGAGAGCACCTAAGGCCATGAAAAAGCAGATGGAGCGGAAACAATTGATCTGGGGGATGTTTACATTTTGAATCAATAGAGGCTATGTGGAGGTAGGGGAGTCAAGAATGGCTTCTCAACTGCTAAATTCAGATGCCAGACTGGCAACATTTCATCTCCTACTGCAAGGTCTTTCTGCCAAAGCTGCCTTACCCTGTTTGAAACACGTATTCCCTGTAATCCAAAACCTTCATGGTGATGAGGCATTCCAGACAGAGATCAGCATATGCAGAGCTGCATCCAGGCCTGTGTGATGCTGAAGAGTTGCAGCCTTGGGCTTCCAAGAACATCAAGAGTTAACTTTATTTACAAGGTTGGTATGTACCATGTCCATCCTCCTCCCTCTTTGTGTCATAATCACTCAGCTCTTGATAATTAACATGACAACTGACCCTTTGACAATCACATTAAACCGCACAGCTCCTTTCACCTTCGGTACTCCACGGCAATCACATGCATGATAGGGACTGGGAGACTTTCTCCTTTAATACACTGCCTAGGGTTAAAATATTCAGGGTGTCAAAACAGATGGCAGCAGGCACTATATTCTGTATACAGCTCAACCTATTCCATATCCGCAGTGCAAAGAATGGCTGACAGAAAATCTATGGCTCAGGCTCCAGCATAGAAAACATTAATGCAGACATTCTCTGCCCAAAGGACTTGGCATTTACCACACTTTCTACTGGAAGCACAAGGTTCCTGTGCCAAAGGTCAGGGGCAGAGGGATTAACTTTTCCCATATATTTAAGCAAACTGTCCATCACACCAAAAGTGCAGGCACGCACACATACACACACACTCCGTTTATTGTAGTTGATTATGAAAAAGGTCAGCTGAGTGATTTGCTGCCAGACACACACACACACACACACACACACACACACACACACACACACAAATACACATGAAACACCTGCTAACATGAGCAAACTAGAAAAAGAATGACCAGATCAACAATTTCAAACAACAAAGAAAATCTGGTCATTCCTATCGATAGAATCTATTGCTTTCAAAGATTGAAACGCAATGATGTTCACTTTTCAGTTCAACAGGTCATTTATTCCCTAAAGATTTTTGCAAAGCAAGAAAATAAAACAAACAACTGTGTGTGCCAAAATGTCAATAAGCATACATTTGATGGGTTTCCCACCTTAATAAATAAATAATTTCCTAAATAACGCGGAAAGAACACTTCACCTCTTCAAATGTAACATTACAATATATTTTTTTAAAAATCAAGTATAACATTACAATATATTTATAAAAAGTCAAATAATGAATGTGTAGTTATACTACTTAGGTAATCTGAATATGCCACTTAGCAAAAAATATGTCACTTATCAAAAATAAAATTTTGTCCTAGTTTTTTGATTTTCATGGGGATCTAGAACACTACATATATGTGATATACAGTGAACATATATATTGCAAATTGCATATATTTTACAAATTACACATCACATACATTTACATATTTTGTGCTATATATTAGAAAGCATACGAAATATAATATGGCAAATATATGCATATTTTTGTTTGTATTCCCTCAAAACTAAAATTTAAGGCTTTTATATCAATATTCTTTCATTTTGTACACTCATATTCTCTCCTGAAATCTATCTAGAGTAGTAAAAATATGCACCCAGGTGGAATGTATAAGAATGTTGTCAGTGTCACCCACTCCTTCTTCCCATTTTCTTCTGAACACATCTTGTGAGTCCCAGGGAAGTATTTAATCATGAGCCATGAGTGATGTCATCCACTTATGTGTCATCTTGCACATCCGTCTCAGGGCAACGTTGGGAATGGACAGCATCTCCCATGGGGTCAGATACAAAGGAAAAGCTTCTTTCCTCCACAGATAGGTTTGAATGATGCAAAGCAGGTCAGGGCTTTTTTTTTTTTTTTTTTTTTTTTTTTTTAGGCTGCTCTGTAAAATTCAAAGCCAAAAAAGAGTTCAAATTGAATCTTTGACAGAAACTGCTTTTAAAGAGAGCTCCTATCAGTAAAAAGTGTTGTTCTCCAGGTGATTTCGCATATATTTTTAATGCCAATTTGTGTCAGTATTGACACTATGTTTTGACGGTAAGAGGAATTAAAATGATTCTGAGTATCTGAGGTGACTCTATTGACACATCAGATTACGCTTAATGTTTCAACAGCAAAGCAAAGTAGAGCCAAGCAGTCACCCTACCATGCCTGGCTTATTAAAGCCTTTTTCCAGCCAGAACTATGCACCTCGCAAGGAAGAGCTATTTCAAATAGAATCAGTTGGCTTTGAATATACTTTTTTAATCATAGAATAAGAGATTCTTTACCCTTTAAAGGTTATGTTCAGTTTTTCAGTGGGAATATACAAAAACTGGCTCTTTGTTGAAGACTCAGAATTTCCTCCCTCAGGAATTCCCTGATTCCAGAAGCCTAGGCGGGAGGAGTATAAGCACAGCAGCTGCAGCAAGGCCTGGGCTCCAGGTCTGAAGGCTCCCATGGTCCACCCGGAGAATGCAGCAAGGATCTCAGGTCTGTGTTTCAACAACTTATATTAGAGCAAGGAGTCTAAGGTGTCTAGGGCTTCGTGAATCATCACATTCTCATGCAACACTCAATCTTTTAATCATACAGGAGGAGCTGGCTTATAGAAGGTCAACTGTACAATTTGTTAAGAATTACTCCCATAGCTGAAGTATGCATGGACAAAGCGCAAAGGACACTAAAGATTAAGCTCTCATCAGGCCAAGGGAGGTGCCAATTCGAACATCTTCTTTCTCTCTTCAAAGATAAAAATATCATCCAAGTAGACCCTACAAAGAGGGGCTAGGTATGCTTTTAGTCATTTTTGTTTTTGTTTATTTATTTCAATTGAGGATAAAAACTATATCATTTATCATGTAAGGCATGATGTTTTGAAATATGTACACAATGTGGAGTGCCACTTTTTTTTTAAGTTAGAAAGAGCTATTAGCCTTTCTATTCTTTTCTATTTTTTCTATTTCTATTTTTCTATTCTTTCTATTCTATTCTTATTTTCTCAAGGTCTTAAAAAATATTTGTCTCACTGGTAGGGACCACCTGATATTTCATACCAATGGAATTACATCTTGGGTTTCCTACTCTTAACAACAATTACCATAAGGCAGAAATTTGTCACCGGGGTAGGTTTGGGGATTTTGTTTATTTACAACTGAATATTTACTTTTTTGTTTTTCAGTGTTTACTTGCTTTTTTCACCTGATTCAGTGCAACCTGGAATAGAAACTATCTGCTCGCCAGACACAGTGGCTCATGCCTGTAAACCCAGCACTTTGGGAGGCCAAGGTGGGCTGATCACAAGGTCAGGAGTTCAAGACCAGCCTGGCCAATGTGGTGAAACCCTGTCTCTACTAAAAATGCACAGATTAGCTGGGCATGGTGGCAGGAGCCTGTAATCCCAGCTACTCGGGAGGCTGAGATAGAAGAATTGCTTGAACCCAGGAGACGAAAGTTGCACTGAGCCAAGATCGCGCCACTGCACTCCAGCCTGGGTGACAGAGCGAGACTCCATCTCAAAAAAAAAAAAAAAGTAAAAGAAAAAGAAAAAAAGAAAGCAACTATCTGCTCATACCTAGCACTATGGGAATCCAAAACATATTTCTTCATCGGTGTGTTTGTATATGAATCTAAGTGGAAGAAAGCAGATAATTCTCCCTAAAAGACATATTTTGCAGCTATCTGTGAAAAACAGGCAAGCCATTGCTCGGCTAGTGCTGGTAATCACAAAGCACTTTCCTGAAAGCTTCGTAAATGCTTTTCGCCTTACAGATAAGAGATTTAAAGTAGACAGAAATAAATGACAGAGCTCACAGGGACTTACCTCTATGGCACCGCCGCTTGCCTAGCAGGCTGAAAACTCCAGGCTTTTCACGGTCCCTGTCAGGTTTGACTCTCCTGCTGCCAGCCAAGATGTGACAGCAAATAGGCAGAGTGGAGAAAAGAATGTGAACAGGATTCAAGTCAGCCAGACCCCGGGTTGAACCCAGCTCTGCCACTGACTATCTGCGAAGTCCAGCTTCTCCTATTGTAAAATCAGGATGATAAACTAATACCAGAGTGCAGTTAGGAGGAGTAAATTAAAGTGCCTGGGCTAGTGGTTAGAAATAGGAATTGGTTGTTTTTCCTGCCTGAAGCACATACATTACTTTTTAGCCACATCTTGAAAGCAATCTTAATATAACAACTTCCTTTTACACAACAAAGTAAGAAGCACCCTACAAATGATATCCTACTCAGCCCTTTACCCAGCCCTTTACATGCCTTCAAATCCCTAGCAGTGTCAGTTGGGTTTTCATGAACCCGGCATCACAGAAGGCATTGGATACATTTTCTTCCCTAGATGTATGCTCTCCAATTTAAGAGAGCACCCAAGAAGCTGAGTTTACAAGAGAAGGGATATCTAGCATGTTGACCGCTCATTCTCAGTACTACCAGAGCTCTAGAGTATCAGCAGAGCATAGGTGAGATAGAAAAAGCTTTTGGGAATTCTTATGTTAATAATTAGTTCGGTATGGCTAAAAAGACATTCCCCATGTGTACCCAATGGTAGTTTTTTTCACGGTGTTTCCTATTTTTTATTTTATTTTATTATTATACTTTAAGTTTTAGGGTACATGTGCACAATGTGCAGGTTAGTTACATATGTATACATGTGCCATTCTGGTGTGCTGCACCCACTAACTTGTCATTTAGCATTAGGTATATCTCCCAATGCTATCCCTCCCCTGCCCCCAACCCCACAACAGTCCCCAGAGTGTGATGTTCCCCTTCCTGTGTCCATGTGTTCTCATTGTTCAATTCCCACCTATGAGTGAGAATATGTGGTGTTTGGTTTTTTGTTCTTGCGATAGTTTACTGAGAATGATGATTTCCAATTTCATCCATGTCCCTACAAAGGACGTGAAATCATCCTTTTTTTATGGCTGCATAGTATTCCATGGTGTATATGTGCCACATTTTCTTAATCCAGTCTATCATTGTTGGACATTTGGGTTGGTTCCAAGTCTTTGCTATTGTGAATAGTGCCACAATAAACATACGTGTGCATGTGTCTTTATAGCAGCATGATTCATAGTCCTTTGGATATATACCCAGTAATGGGATGGCTGGGTCAAATGGTATTTCTAGTTCTAGATCCCTGAGGAATCGCCACACTGACTTCCACAATGGTTGAACTAGTTTACAGTCCCACCAACAGTGTAAAAGTGTTCCTATTTCTCCACATCCTCTCCAGCACCTGTTGTTTCCTGACTTTTTAATGATTGCCATTCTAAATGGTGTGAGATGATATCTCATTGTGGTTTTGATTTGCATTTCTCTGATGGCCAGTGATGGTGAGCATTTTTTCATGTGTTTTTTGGCTGCATAAATGTCTTCTTTTGAGAAGTGTCTGTTCATATCCTTCGCCCACTTTTTGATGGGGTTGTTTGTTTTTTTCTTGTAAATTTGTTTGAGTTCATTATAGATTCTGGACATTAGCCCTTTGTCAGATAAGTAGGTTGCGAAAAATTTTCTCCCATTTTGTGGGTTGCCTGTTCACTCTGATGGTAGTTTCTTTTGCTGTGCAGAAGCTCTTTAGTTTAATTAGATCCCATTTGTCAATTTTGGCTTTTGTTGCCATTGCTTTTGGTGTTTTAGACATGAAGTCCTTGCCCATGCTTATGTCCTGAATGGTGATGCCTAGGTTTTCTTCTAGGGTCTTTATGGTTTTAGGTCTAACGTTTAAGTCTTTAATCCTTCTTGAATTGATTTTTGTATAAGATGTAAGGAAAGGATCCAGTTTGAGCTTTCTACATATGGCTAGCCAGTTTTCCCAGCACCATTTATTAAATAGGGAATCCTTTCCCCATTGCTTGTTTTTCTCAAGTTTGTCAAAGATCAGATAGTTGTAGACATATGGCGTTATTTCTGAGGGCTCTGTTCTGTTCCATTGGTCTATATCTCTGTTTTTGTACCAGTACCATGCTGTTTTGGTTACTGTAGCCTTGTAGTACAGCTTGAAGTCAGGTAGCATGATGCCTCCAGCTTTGTTTTTTTGGCTTAGGATTGACTTGGCAATGCGGGCTCTTTTTGGGTTCCATATGAACTTTGAAGTAGTTTTTTCCAATTCTGTGAAGAAAGTCATTGGTAGCTTGATGGGGATGGCATTGAATCTATAAATTACCTTGGGCAGTATGGCCATTTTCACGATATTGATTCTTCCTACCCATGAGCATGGAATGTTCTTCCGTTTGTTTGTATCCTCTTTTATTTGATTGAGCAGTGGTTTGTAGTTCTCCTTGAAGAGGTCCTTCACGTCCCTTGTTTCCTAATCCACAAAGGAAGCCGGCCTTACCTCTGTCCATGGTATCTCCAGGCTGAACACATAGGAACCCTGTGTACCACTCAGCCCTGGCTCTTTCTGCCCTTGCACTAGCCAAATCCCCCTTGACAGGCAGAGGAATGAAGTTCTATGGCCCTGTGCATTCTGCCTCCCCCATGCACTTTACCTCTGCTTCATCCACTTCCCCTAAGACTGGCTCTCAAAATACATATTCTGGCTTTGCCATTACGTGACTTCCTTTCTCCCTCTCCAGTTCCAGACTCCTTTTCTGATCCTTACCAACATCAGCATAGAATTATATGTAATTACATAGAATTACAATACATTCTAATTCTTTAAAATTTTATACATATACATACATATTAACAGAGTCAACTTAAGACTAAATATGTATTTATTCATATATTTATATATAAATAATTTTAAAATAAACCTATATGTTCTAATACAACTATTTTATACTTCTTTTGGAAGAAGCTATAGAGGGTGGGAGAGAGGGAAGAAGGTAGAAAGGAAAAGAGCGAGGGAAATTTAAGTGTATCAATACATCAAAGACTGAAAGGACAAAATAAAATCTCTCTTCAGTTTTTCACGTGAGTGTCATTTTTTTCTATATTCCCTTACAGTAGTCACCAATTGCTATGGGCTTCTTCAAGATCAATATGCCCCAGAAGTGCAAATCAAATGTGAATTAAGATCAAATCTTCTTTCAGCTCTTAAGTCTATGCATTGCCAAATGCCCCCAAACAATAGAGATGTTTTCTCCAAACTGGGAGTTATTCATCCATCATCGCAATGAACCTGTGCTTTTATCATTGCATTTGTATATTCATTCAATAAATATACATTGAGTATTCATCATATACCAGAAACTATACTGCACCAGAGCCTCAAAAATGTTAAAAGCACTGTTCTCAACCCAAAGAGCTTAGAATAAATGAGGGACACAGAAAAACCAGCAATTAAACTAACATGGATGGACACAATGTTAGGATTATGTACATGATTCTAGGAGCAGTAGAGTAAAAGCATAACTTAAACTAATAAGTCCAGGAGGGGCTTCGCAGATGAAGAAATGTGACTTCACTATGGATAACTGTGCAACCCCCAACCAAGTGCCAAACAAACAACACAAAAAGGCATTCCCAACAATGAAAATCAAATATGCAATGACATGGAAACATGAAACAGCACCATATTTATTGAAAACTGCTTTTCATATAATAAATAGACCCCAGATTGTAGTGTTAGGAAATCAGATTAGAGAAGCATGTACAGCTAGATCATAAAGAATATTGGGTGCTAAATTTATCCTGTGGGCTAAAAGGACTGTTAAAGAATTTTAATCAGTGGAGTGATGAAATCAAATTTGCATTTAAAAAGCTATGGCTGCAGAGTAAAGGCTAAATTAAAGTAGTGGGGTGGTGGAGTCAGCAAGTCCATTCACCTAGTAATCCAGTGAGAACTGCTAAGGCAGGAAACTTGGCTATAAAAGTGCAGGGAATTTTGGAGATGAACTCTACAACTGCTTATAACTATTAAGTGACAAAGAAGGTGGGCAAAGTCATCTGAGATGACTCCTGGGTAGAATAGTAGTGCCATTCCTCAAGACAGGAACTATGTAGGGATGACATATTTGTACGAAAATGAATAGTTCAGTCTGGACATTGAATTTGAGGCACCTGTGGAACATACTAAAAGAGTAGCCCATGGACAATTAGATGTTAAGTTCTAGAGATCAGGAGAAAATCTGGGCAGGAGAAAAGAAGGCCACTAAAAAGGTAGTTGATATTGAATTACCTGGATACTTGCCTACTAACACACATCTCCCTTTTGTTTTCCTTTCTCCTTTCTCTTCCACCTCAATATTTCCTATTCTCTTTAACTCACAGTCACTTTCAATCATAGTACAATTAATCATATATGTTTTCTATGGGTCCTACTATATACTAAGGAAAAGAGAATATGAAAGTAAACTAATGACATCAACCAAGTTTAATATAATCAATTCTGTAAAATTTTATCATATATAAAACAGCAGGTGCTACACACAAGTGAAAGAAACACTGAATTTTAAGTTCTGAAGAACAAAATTGGTTTTATGCCTTCTACCTCGCAGCATTACTACTAGAGAGGATACTATATTATTTTATAATTGTTTGCCAAATGCCCACACATAATTATAAAATAAGACTGCATGTCCTACAAACTACTTCTTATCTTTCCCAGGTAACTATCAAGAATAGTCACTTATATTTAAACTCACTTACAGAAACAGTGAGGACAGGACATTTGGGGTCCCTGAAACATCAGTTTGGGGCTTTACATAACACCTATCTTTAGAAAAAAATATGCATAGCTCTTTCCAGTCTTTCAGTTTCAGAGCTGACGGTGTGGAGAATCTACACCGAACTGCAAATTATTTTGAATTGGACACACATGGCACACATTTGTGGCAGCCTAGCATTTGGCACCAATCACATGTCCAGTCAACAAATGCAGGAGAAAATGATTTTTCCCCCCTCAGGTACTATGCTACAGAAAAACCATGATGACAGTCCTTCTCTGATATTGTGTTTTCTGGGAGGGGAGAAGTTCATTTCAAATTAATTTATGATCTGTGGAAAGTGCTAGAAACACGCTTCACCGCACCTAGAAGCGTAATATCCACCACTCCCTTGTAAAATCCATTTGAGGGGCTCTCAGGGCAGGACGACGCTCCCTGCTCCTGGGTCAAACTGTCAGCATTAGCTACTGGTATTCAGAACCATGGAATCAATTTAAGGAGTCAAAGAGGCCTGTCACTTGGAGAGACTTGGAAAGATTTCACTAAATGCCACTGTAGTATCTGAAGGCTGAGCTTAGAGGAATTTCAGTCCACCAGAGGTATCACCTGGGCCAGTGCACATATGTTTTTAGAAAACAAACTAAGTCCCTTTCCGTACAAGAACCTCATTTCTTATTATTGGAGTCTGTGCAGGGCAACGGCCAGTTTTTCATCCAGTTTTGCACTAATGGAACGCTTGTCAATAGCCAATTGGTGCCATTTGATCCAGGGCTTACACATACCAAGAGACTTCGTTACAATCACCAAATGTGTCAGGCCCTGATTAAAGTTGTTTTTCCTGCAGGGCTTATGGATCCATATCTATTTTGCTGCTCCCCAGCTGTCTCATAACTCAACCATGAAGCTTTCTTTCAAAGCTAGGCTTTTTGGTTGGCACCTGTTTTTCTGCAGCAATATCACTACTATACAAAATTATAACACAATTTTTTTCAGAGATTTATCAGCTTTTCCTCAGACTCAGCACAGTTCCCACACACCATGTCTGAAGCAAAGTTTTATTAATTAGAAGAAACAAAATAGAAGACTGTAGCATCAAACCCAAACATTTACCCTTTGGGACTTATCTTTTATAATAAATATGATTGTATTGACAGTCAGACTTCGACCAGCTATAAGACAAAGAAAAATTTGTTCAAGGCTTCTTGATAAGGAGGAAAGCAGTGTTCTTATGGAACCCAGAAGTCCTTTCCATACGTATTCATAAATGTTTGTTCTGAAACTCTAGGAGGCAAATAGAACTCAGAGAGAAGGTAACGAACAGAGACCAAGTAACATATGGTAAGAGCTAGAGCTTGAGACAGAATATCAGAGCAGAATAATACCTGGAAGTTATTAGTTGAGGTAGAACCCAGGCACTCAACAGCTAGGTATGTTATATGTGGAGAGAAAAATAAAGTATTGAAAAACCACATCAGGAATCAGGACACAACTGTATCAGAGTTTAAGGTAAGGTTGTGGAATAAAACAGGTAAGCAGTATTAATGGAGAAGCAAGCATCCAGGCCAGAGACACACATCAGCTTGGTAACCAAGTATACAGAGCAGCATTCCAAAATTCAAAGATAAGGAAAGCAGGTTAGAAAAGAAAGCATTGTAGTAGCCACAGACTGCTACCAATAGAGACCTTGTAGAGAGGATATCATTTGCCTCACCCAAAAATCTTAGCATTTCTACAAGAGCACTGACCATGTCCATAGCAGAATAACCTATGAGAAATAAATAACTGATGTGGACCAACTAAGGGAAATACTTCATGACCGGCAAATCCAAACAAACGTGTCTCACATGCCAAGACCTATCCCTTCTCGGCTTAACCCTTTCCTTTTTGGAGCTGAACTGATTTTAAATTAAAATTGTTCTCTAATTTTTTCATCCATTCTATGGGCTCCATATAAGATGTCTGCACGTTTCTTCCCTAACTTGACCATTTTTCCTGTCTTCCCTAAGATTTGAGGGAAATTAGGAATGTGATACAACCAAGTAAATTAGAATAGACAAGGAAAAGAATAGAGATTAAGGAGTCCATGTTCTATTCTCTGTCACACAATCCATTCAGAGTTTGAATCTGGAGAAGTTCTTAATTTAGAGTTGATACAGAATGTTCATTTTAAAGGGAAGTCTTTGTTCATGGGACTGAACTATGAAGATTTTTTGTTTAATCAGGATATTAATACTCAAAAGAAGACTATTGAACGAAATCTGTTACTTTCTTAGGAGCCAATTACTTTTTAAAATAATACATATGCTAACAGGTCTTAAAAAAACATAGTGCCAAGGGTGAGAAATCAATTTTTACTAGTATATTTTATATAATACATATCTTCCATGTGAAAAGCCCTAAAGAGCCCCAACAAAATATTCGATGACGTGGTCCTTCCATTCTTCTCTTTGATTATAAACAATTTCAACTATTACTACTGCAATGAATCAGACTGATGATAACGCTACAATAATAACACTTGACTTCTAAGAGCTTCCTGTTGGCTTTGAACTTTTTTTCCTATCATTTCTTTTCCAATCTTGATAGCCAAAGCAAAATTTGATTTGAGGATCTCTTGATGATTTTCTGTGTTGTATCTTTGGTGCTAAGAAACAGATTTAGTGTCTCATAGCTTTGTTTATGGTCAGATTAATATCAAGGAAAGCAGTATTCTAAGGAGAAGAAAGGGAAATTTGCTTTTAATCATATGCATTTTCTAGAAGAAAATAACGGTGGTAGAAAAAAGCATTACTGGTATTCTAACTTTGGGTTTTTATTAATAAATACAAATTTAAAATATCTTTACAAAAGTATCTTGAAGACACATAAAAATAATTTTCTATTTGTTTTTAACCAGCCAGACATGTTCATGACAAATAGGATGTTGTTGTCATTTCAAAACTTTGAAAGGAAACTTATTTTCCAGTTATTTTATTGATAAACACATTTTAAAAGAAACCCTATTCTTTGACTCACTGAGATTTCTGTTCAGAGCCATAGTAGGCTTATACAAATGTAAATGCCACACAATGCTAAGATGTAAGATCATTCCCTTGAAAACTTCCCAGAAATTTTTTCAGAATCTTGTTTAGAAAATTAAAGATGGAACAAACTGCATTTAAAAAAACACAACTCTACTGTGGTCAAAACAACGATGTGCTACACTTTATTGCGGAATCTATGCCTCAAAATGAAAACCTCCGAAAATCACTTTAAAACATGAGATGAGAAATAAGAGTACATCTCCATGCTGAGAAAAATGGTCTCCAATCCTCCAATTGTGCTTATTATTTTGGACATCAGTGAGGGCTTGGAATTTCCAGGATGAGAGCCCACTGTTTATAAAGAGAACTAGAAAGTATTTTATCATTAGAACAGTCTCACAATTTATCAAAGTAGCAGCAGTGATTCCTGGTGTTCTCATTTAGCTGAATACAATTTTAATTTTGCCCCACTGGAAGAGGGGACTGTTTTGTGAATGGCAGTGTTCATTAATGAAATCTACTGCTAATATTATATTCAAAGGAGATCAAACAGCAGATCTCTAAAAATAGCAAGAATTACATAAAATTTGTTTGATTCTATAGATTTATATATCAGTGGCCAGGATTCTCAAATGTTCTAAGAGATGTAAGTAAAAAACAAATGTCATGGATTAAAAATATTTTTTCAAGCAAGAAAATCCTCTTTCAGACCAAAAGTAAGACAAAGATCTTATGACTTGGCCACATATTCTGACATAAATTCCCTTTTCACCTGCTTTTCTCTTTACTTAACTTTTCTTTTGCCTTTCATTTTCCCTTATATATTTTTCCAGTTTTTGCATCATTTTCTTTCTAAAGCTGCTCCTTTTATTCCCTCCTCATTTCTTGACATTTTAAAGTCTTATCTCTTTGTCTTTTTCTTATTTTTGTTCATACCTCCTGTGGTTCTTCTCTTCCTATAGCACCAGGCTAGGTTCAATATCTTCATGCTTTCATTTAGAAATAGTATCAAGAAAGATACATCTCAGTTTTAGGTAAGAATATGTGATACATTTTTTTAATGAGTTCTCAACCAGAGAGACAGCTTCCAAAAAGAAAATAATATAAAAATTTTGAATCCTAACCAAGTTATGAAATGTTTTTCAGTGGAGCTATGATCAAGAAATATGACTAACTAAAATATCAACATGTCCTACAGAAAGAATTCAAAGAGTATTTTATAGAGAAATGAACTGTTGTCCTTTTGCAAAATAGTTAACAGTTCAGTAGCTTCATGTCTTGATCATTCCACCAACTTTTGAATTCAGGGTTTGTTTATGTACCTCCCAATGCAAGGACAATGATTTTCCCATAATTGGCACTTTAAAAACGTGCATTGTATTGTATTCAAGTAAGAGTTAACTTAAGCCGTGTTGTCAACCACCATTAAAACTGTATGTTTAGTCAGATGCCTATATTTCTTGTAGTAAGTTTATTGTACTCATGTATGGGTAAGAATAACGAAAAGCAATCATCTTAATATTGGCTAATTATAATACCTAATGATTATTGATCATCTACTACATTCAAGTTCTTCCTGTGATAATCATTAGATTGTCTCCAAATTTTCCAACAACCCTTTAAAGTAGGTATTATGATGCCCATTTAATAGATGAGGAAACAATCGCAAGAGGTTTTGACAAGTTCATGTAAACCCAGGTAGTAAGTAAAGTGAGGATTTGAATGTAAATCAGTCTGGTGCCAAAGCCCATGCTTTTTCCTTAACGCGCCCTGCAATTGGAGCCTTAGAGGCAATAGATATGACTGGGATGATACTACAAAGGGAGGCTCTGAGAGTTAAAATGATTAATACAAACTTTACAAATACTTTTGTTGATTTTCATCCACAAGTTAGGTGTTCTTGTCATTTATGTTTTCATATTTGAGACTGCATTCAATAGGAGGTGTGTTTCCAGTGTGCCTTCCCGCTGTCATTGCTCATGATTACAGAAAAACTATTTCCATGCAGCTAAGTATGCAGGCTTACCAAGATGGGTTACAGCTTTCTCCTTATTTACTGCTTAAAACTATGTCCTTTTCTTTGGCAAACCATATATTCGTTTAAGAATAACTCCATGATCTTTCTGTAAACAAGACTACTGCAGAGGTGACACTCAATTTCTGCAGCAGATGGTTCTTCATGGCTCCCCACTGGCCAGGCCACAGAGTGACTTTGATAGCAGCCAGTTGCCTGCCCTCTCAGGATGAGACACACAAATACAGCTGCTTTTTGGGGAGAAAGTTGGGCAAGAAGGACAGGAAAATGACTGTCTAAGCGGGGAAGAAGCAAAAGGGATGAGGCCAAGACCAGAGGCTCACTTAGAATTGGCTCATTTTACCAAATAATTACTGCAGAGTAATAAAGACCATCAACATACACTTTCGGTTATGTCATGGGACAAAGCAAACACTATCTGACACCTGGGCTTCTTGCCCATAATAAAATGTATCATATAAATGAGACTGATTTCCTGCATTTATAAAAAGGTGAATAATCTTCATTTCCAGTGTAAATCATTACCATTAGTTCACAAAACATTTTCCTTGTTCAGGAATTATAGGAAGGAAGTGATGTCAAAAGAGAATGTAAAAGAGAAGCAAATTAAATGTATTACTTGATGATTTTTTATGGAATATGCTATGGTTTAGATATGATTTGTTTGTTTCCATCAAAACGCATGTTAAAATTTTATCCTCAGTGTGGTGATGTTGGAAGGAAAGGCCTAGTGGAAGTTTTTTGGATGATGAGGACAGGTTTCTTATAAATAACTCGGTGCCATTCTAGCAGTAGTGAGTGAGTTATTGCAAAACTGGACTAGTTCCTGCAAGAGTAGGTTGTTATAAAGCCAGGACTCCACTTGGGTCTTCACACGTGTTCCTGTCCCCTTTGACCTTCTCCATCATGCTTTGACCCAGCATGTGGCTCTCACCAGAAGCCTAGCAGATGCCAGCACTTTCCCCCAGCAGAATCGTGAGATAAATAAACCTCTTTTCTTTATATATTATCCAGTCTCAGGCATTCTGTTATAGCAACACAAAATGGACTACGAGAGAATCCTGTATTTTACCCAACATTTTTTACCATTATTTGGCAAAATTGGACCAAAACCAAACCTTATAAGACATGGTTCACTATCGTCTTGTTACAAATGAGAAATTTGTAACCAGTTGGTTTCACTGGTAGAAAGCAAAGAAGCTGGGATTTTAACTGAGATTTTAAATCTAAACCACAGAAACACACTTTCCACAAGACTACCCAGCTTCTGAACACACATTTTACCTTTGAAGAAGCATGTATGTAAATCCAGATTTTTCTCTTATGTTTCCACAGCCAGGGCATGTGGCCTGTGCAGTTGCACAGAGCTCTGAGATGAGAATGATCCTATATTTGGTTTAATACCCTGATGTCACCATCTTCACATCTCAACAAGATGCCCCACATTTTTATTTTGCACTGGGCCCTACAAATTAGGTAGCCAGTCCTGTCCACAACACCCCGCACGGCCCTACACTAGCATATAAGACACTGAGCCTTGATTGTGGGTTTAGGAATCTATTGTCTCCGGCAGATTGTTACCCTTTCCTAGCAGGCCTCTACAACTTTCCATGATGATCACCAGTTACCCCTCTGCTCTCATCTCTGTCCTGACACTTTCCTCTCCAGCCATATCAGCCTCTAGGCTCTTTTCTACTACACTGAACACAATGCCCTCTGCCTAAAACACTTTTCCCCCAAATATTCCCATTCTTCTTTCCTTCTCTTCATTTCTCTGTTCAAATGCTATTTCAATAGACAGGATTTTCTTGACTGTCCTGTTTAAAACAATTTCCCCAGCATTCTACCCAATCATTTACCCTGCCTTATTTTTATTTATAGTTTTGGGGTACCAGCTTAAGTGATACATACTCACTGGTTTAATTTACATTATTATGAGATTATTTATGCACCCCCACAGAGATGTATACGTTGAAGCACTGACTCTCAGTACCTCAGAATGTGACACTGGAGGTGGGGCCTTTAAAGAGGTGATTAAGTCAAAATGAAGCCACTAAGGTGAGCACTAATCCATTCTAACTGATATCCTTATAAGAGGAAATTTGGACATACAGAGAGAGAGCAGGGAATGTGCACACAGGCCGTGTGAGGACGCAGTGAGAAGGTGGCCATCTGCATGTCAAGGAAAGAGGCCTCAGGAGAACAAACCCTGTCAACACCTTGAATTTGAATTTCTAGCTTCCTGAACTGTGAGAAATAAATTTCTGTTGTTTCATCCACCCAGACTGCGGCATTTTGTTGTGGCAGTCTCAGTAAACTAATCCAATTGTCTTTGCCATCCTAAAGAATATTATGTCTCTCAGAGAAGAGATGTTTCGTTCATTGCCATGAACCCCAGTGGCAAGCAGTAGACACAGTAGATATTTTAAATTATTGAATAAGCAATGAATGATTTCATAATTACTTAAGAGCAATTCAAAGAGAAAATCCAAACCGTTTATGATACCAAAATACTTTATTTCATGCTGCCTGAATTAATTCTGCCACAGAAGGACTTGGGAACCATTTTGTTAAACAAAAGTTTTTATTGTAATGGGACTTGACCTGCTCTGTGTTTCTATCCAGGCTTGTGATGTAGCCACTAATGGATTATGTCAGGACCAAGAAACGAAAGATCACAATACATGCTTGAAGAAAAGCTATTGTCACCCAGTGTTTGTTATTAGAAAAATTACAAAAAATAACCTACAGCAAAAATCAATCAGGAATTAAAAGGATACCACACCACACAACCAGCCTCCCATGCATTTCTTTGATAGTCAAGATCAGTTACAACTAATTGCTTTTAGCACTTGTAAGGCTACATAGCTATGGCTTCATTCCGACGAACGACACATTGAAATTGCTGTGCGTTCCTCAGGTTGTATCAATACTACCACAGCTTTTGTCCTCACATTAACAGGACAAAACAGGAGAGTAGCAGATTACTAATCAACACATTGACTGATAGTCCCACAGTCCTCTTGACTTTTATGCCCGGGGTGGCGAATATTCTGTGGGAGGTAACAGGTATTGAGCACCTTCGGGCATTTTTATCCCTGATGACAGTTAGGTTTAGACATCTTCTACCAGGAAGATAAATAGAGTTATTTGACTGTTCCTAACGGACTACAAGAGCTGAATTATCCACCTTATCCCCAGGTTATATTTGCTTGCTGCATTAACGTAGCCTAGACCTACAGGAAATATTATACGGATTTTCATGATTTCCATGTATAAATGTATGAGATCAAAAGGAAAGTGATCCTGTGGTAGGAATTTCAGAGCAGCTCCTATTTTACACTCGGCTTCCTCACGAAATCTTATTTCCATGCTACTGAAAGCAAGGAAAGATGTAATAAGGGTACCTACCAGCTGGGTATATGCCAGCAACTCTAGGACACTCTCTAATACCTTAGGCCATTGAATTATCAACCTAAACCTCTGGAGTAACTCTTCCTATCAATAGGAAGTGATGAAGCTAAAGCTGAAGAAAGATTGATAACTTGTCCAAGATCATGCACTCAGCAAGTGAGAGATATGAGTATCTTCACAGCATTCTAATTTCTTGTTGTGCCAGAAGCTAACTTCTCCTTTTGCAAGGCCGGCCCTTACTCTGTTCTAAGTCTTTGAAATTTGGTTGGGGCAGGCCTACCAACTGGTTTTGAGGAATGGACATGTGAACTAGGTCTCCTTGTCCATAGCAGTAGGAGGATGAGGATGATAACCAGGGACTTCTGTAGGAACTGCTAGATAGGTGGGATGTTATCCTGGACTTACCACACGTCATTATAGGAAGAAAACCTAGGTAAGAATAAAGCTACTACAGAGAAAAGTCAAGCAATAAATAGAAAGCCAAGCAAAGAAATGAAAAAGGAAAGGAGAAAAAGAGAGAAAGATGATAAAAGTGCTTTTTGACCCCTGTATCTAACCATGCCACAGAGCCCTCACAGACCTATACCCTAGGTGTTTTTTAGCTTATCTGCCATTGAATTTTTTTTCTAAAACCAAGTTTAGTATTTTTGTTTGTTTTTTGTCATAAGCAATCAAGAGTCTTCTATTATACCTGGGGTACTGACATGTGCTATTTTTGATCAATCACGTATTCATTTTATAATGTTCTTTTCCTGTTATAGACTCAATAGTTTAGGCTTTAAAAACAAATACAAAAAAAACCTATTTGACTCCACTTTTTTCAATCTGCAGTTAAAATCATCAAAACCTCTACATGTGCTATAAATCATAAGTGTAGTGTCAAATCCATTATGAAATTAGATAATAAGTGTTTACTAAGAAACCACTATCTTCTGATCCTCACACCACCTGCTAAGGTATTGCCATAAGAAAGAAATGATTGGAGAGTTGAAGGGAATTCACCAAGGTCCCTTAGCAGTTCGTGGTAGGGATAACTTGACTACTTACCACTCCTCTATTACAAATACCTTTTGGTATTTTAAGAGTAGATAACCAGAATGATAGGTGCCTTTTTCTTAAGTAAATTGTGAAGCATTTCAATAGGTTTAAGATACAAAAAAAAAAAAAAAACACTCCAGCACTAAACAAAGATCTTAAGAAAGAGGGCCTTATTTTTTATTCTTTTACACTTTAAGTTCTGGGATACATGTGCAGAACGTGCAGGTTTATTACACAGGTATACAAGTGCTATGATGTTTTGCTGTACCCATCAGCCTGTCATCTACATTAGGTATTCCTCCGAATGCTATCCCTCCCCTAGCCCCCCACCCCCTGACAGGCCCCGGTGTGTGATGTTCCCCTCCCTGTGCCCACATGTTCTCATTGTTCAACTCCCGCTTATGAGTGAGAACATGTGGTGTTTGGTTTTCTGTTCATGTGTTAGTTTGCCGAGAATAATGGTTTCCAGCTTCATCCACGTCCTGGCAAAGGACATGAACTCATCATTTTTTATGGCTGCACAGTACTCCATGGTGTATATGTGCCACGTTTTTTTGTGCAGTGTATCATTGATGGGCATTTGGGTTGGTTCTGAGTCTTCCCTATTGTAAATAGTGCTGTAAACATATGTGTGCATGTGTCTTTATAGTAGAATGATTCATGATCCTTTGGGTGTATACCCAGCAATCGAATTGCTAGGTCAAATGGTATTTCTAGTTCTAGAGCCTTGAGGAATCACCACACTGTCTTCCACAATGGTTGAACTAATTTACATGTCCAACAACAGTGTAAAAGCGTTCCTATTTCTCCACATCCTCTCCACCATCTGTAGTTTCCTGGATTTTTAATGATCACCATTTTAACTGGCATGACATGATATCTCACGGTGGTTTTGATTTGCATGTCTCTAATGACCAGTGATGATGAGCTTTTTTTCAAATGTTCGTTGGCCACATAAATGTCCTCTTTTGAGAAGTGTCTGTTCATATCTTTTGCCCACTTTTTGATGGGGTTTTTTGTTTTTTTCTTGTAAATGTGTTGAAGTTCCTTTTAGATTCTGCATATTATCCCTTTGTCAGATGGATAGATTGCAAAATTTTCTCCCATTCTGTAGGCTGCCTGTTCACTCTGATGATAGTTTCTTTTGCTGTGCAGAAGCTCTTTCGTTTAACTAGATCCCATTTGTCAATTTTGGCTTTTGTTGCCACAGCTTTTGATATTTTAGTCATGAAGTCTTTGCCCATGTTTATGTCCTGAATGGTATTGCCTAGGTTTTCTTCTAGGGTTTTATGGGTTTAGGTCTTATGTTTAAGTCTTTAATCCACCTTGAGTTAATTTTTGTATAAGGTGTAAGGAAGGAGTCCAGTTTCAGTTTTCTGCATATGTCTAGCAAGTTTTCCCAACACCATTTATTAAATAGGGAATCCTTTCCCCATTTCTTGTTTTTGTCAGGTTTGTCAAAGACCGGATGTGTAGATGTGTGGTGTTATTTTTTAGGCCTCTGTTCTGTTCCGTTGGTCTATATCTCTGTTTTGGTACCAGTACCATGCTGTTTTGGTTAATGTGGCCTTGTAGTTTAGTTGGAACTCAAGTAGCGTGATGCCTCCAGCTTTGTTCTTTTTGCTTAGGATTGTCTTGGCTATATGGGCTCTTTTTTGGTTCCAGATGAACTTTAAAGTAGTTTTTTCTAATTCTGTGTAGAAAGTCAGTGGTAACTTAATGGGAATAGCATTGAATCTATAAATTACTTTGGGCAGTAGGGCCCTTTTCACGATATTGATTCTTCCTATCCATGAGCATGGAATGTTTTTCCATTTGTTTGTGTCCTCTCTTATTTCCTTGAGCAGTGATTTGTAGTTCTCCTTGAAGAGGTCCTTCATATAAGAGGGCCTCATTTCAAAGTTAAAGATTTCAAAGTTAAACAGGCAGCTAAAATATTTCTACATCCTTGGTTTTCAACTGTGTTTTGAGGAATGGAATTTGTTTCAATTTTTTTCAAGTACAATATTGCTTGGTGTCCTATAATGTAAAATAGATGACTATTTTAAAGTGTAAATACAAGTTAATGTATGTAGTATTTCCTTATAAAATACTCATTATAATGTTATGCATTATAACCACTTTTATAATGAATGGCGAAAGTGAAAGTATTTTAGTGAACATTCATTTTGAAATCAGAAGTACATATGACAGGTGCAGCCCTAGATAAGCTTTACATACAATTTCTTTCTAATTTTTTTCGGTTCGGTTTTATGGTATAAATAAAAGTCTCAATTCCCACATATGAATGTCTGCAAAGTGGGAACAGAATTTTTTGTTTATTATGAACTATTTTTCTCACCATCTCAGGATACTCTTCAAATAAGAGGAGATGGCAGAAGATTTATCTAGAACTGGGAAAAAGAAAGTTACTCCATTGCACGTGTGTTTTTTACTAGAACAATAATAGTTAATATTTATTAAAAGTTTTCAATGTATCCATTATGATGCTTTCAACCTCAAACAGAAGACAATATAATTAACATTGATTTAAGCAAGGTGTCCACAACTCTTTCTGCAAAAGGCCAAATTGTAGATATTTTACTCATTGTGGGCTATGCATTCTGTGTTGCCATTAAACAACTCTGCCATTGAAGCATGAAAGCTGCCACAGAGAACATGTAAATGAATGGGCATGGCTGTGTTGCAATAAAATTTTATTTAACAAACAAACAAACAAACAAAAAAACAGCCAGATTTGGCCCACAAGCCATAGTTTGCCAATGCCTGGTTTAGGCTATAATAACTTTTGTAAATTTAACTAAATGTCCACAATTTGGATGTCTTTAATTGGCTCAGTGGCTCAACAATGACATCATAGAGAAAGGCTTTTCCCATCCTTCCACTATCCTCAACACATTGATGTTCATTCTCCATCTTGGTGCTTCAGGGTTGCAAGATGGATGCTGTAGCTCTACTTGGCAAGTTTTCCAATGACAGAATTTGAAGCAGAAAGATAGAGGGCAGAGCAAAATTAGGAAGGTCTTTCCTCTTCACATTTTATTAGTGAGTAATGCTTTTCCCCAAAACTCCTGAAAAGAAGACTTTTCCTTATGTTCATTGTTCATACACTCAACCCTAGATCCCCCACTGAAGAAGTGAAGTGGCATCCTATCTCAGCTCAATCAAATCCTGACTTAACTCCTGGGGCTGTTGCAGCCAGAACAACATTGGGTTCTCTTTGCAAGGAAAAAGTAAGAGTGGTTATTAGGTGGGAAATAACAATATTTGCGACACAATGTTTCAAGCACTGTGATGAGTTCTTCACATAAATAATCTTATTTTACCCCACAATAAATTATTTAATTACAACAACTTCACAGATTAGGAAACTAAAATAATGAAAAGTTAATCAACTTCTGTAAAGCCACTCAAGTGAGTGATGTTGGAGCTGGGACTTAAACCCTGGAAGCTTGACTTCAGAATCTGTGCTTTATTGCCATAGGGTTGACACTTTGGGGTGGGCTCATAATAATTAAAAATACAGTTAAGTAAAATTTTATTAAATATAAACATAGACTACTTGAACCATTTCCACAGATTTTGGGGAAAATTGAAAACCATTATTTTAGCATAAATATAGGAGATTGTGGTCTGTTAGGGTTTGAAATCAGAGAACAGTCTGCAAATGGACAGAACAAGTCAAAAGAGACCAGCAATAAGATCCAGCTACTAGTATAGAATAGATGTGAATCTCCCAGTAGACAGTGTACAGAGTAGGGTGACACCTGGAGGCCGCTGATTCAAGGACAAAGGTAGTTGGATTGTCAGAGAGTCGTAGTAACAGATAGCATGGCCCCAGATTTTGAGGACTTCAGTTCTAGATAGACATAAAGTATGAGTTATAATCTCAAGTAGCAGGAATACTAGATGAATTATCAAAGCAGGGTTAAGACATAGGACAAAAATTAAAACACGTCACTGAAACTGAGACACAAGTTAGAGTTTGGTATCAGGATTCCAATTCACAAATCAAGAACACTAGATCAGACTATACCTGTCCAAAGACACTTAATATAGGTCCTCCCAAGCTATCTTCCTCAGGTTTCTTAACTTTCTCCGATCAGAAACAGGACTGTCTCCAGAATCTAAGTTTGAACTAAACATTCAGTTGAAGAACTTGATTGATCCGAGAGTGGAAATATTACAGAAATAGAGCTAAGAAGGTCACAATACTGTCATAGTTTGGCTTTCCCATATAATATGTCAATTATTCCAAAATTTTTAAGTGCATATTTATATTTTAAATCACATTTTGACATTGAAAATTTTTCCCTAGTTGTATAATAACACAACCTTAAGAATCTGAATGCTTACATAAATTCTGACAAAGGGCAGCCTATTTGAACGCTTTCATTCATTCTCTTAAAAAATCAGATTGTCCAGGAAACAACAGGTGCTGGAGAGGATGTGGAGAAATAGGAACACTTCTACACTGTTGGTGGGACTGTAAACTAGTTCAGCCATTGTGGAAGAGAGTATGGCGATTCCTCAAGGATCTAGAACTAAAAATACCATTTGACCCAGCCATCCCATTACTGGGTGTATAGCCAAAGGAGTATAAATCATGCTGCTATAAAGACACATGCACTTGTATGTTTATTGTGGCACTATTCACAATAGCAAAGACTTGGAACCAACCCAAATGTCCATCAATGATAGACTGGATTAAGGAAATGTGGCACATATACACCATGGAATACTATGCAGCCATAAAAAAGGATGAGTTCATGTCCTTTGTAGGGACATGGATGAAGCTAGAAACCATCATTCTGTGCAAACTGTCTCAAGGACAGAAAACCAAACACCGCATGTTCTCACTCATAGGTGGGAACTGAACAATGAGAACACTTGGACACAGGATGGGAAATATCACACACCAGGGCCGGTCATGGGATGGGGGGAGGGGGGAGGGATAGCATTAGGAGATATACCTAATGTAAATGACGAGTTAATGGGTGCAGCACACCAACATGGTACATGTATACATATGTAACTAACCTGCACGTTGTACACATGTACCCTAGAACTTAAAGTATAATAAATAAATAAATAAATAAATAAATAAATAAATAAATAAATCAGACTGTCAATTACTCTGTATCTTCTTGGCATATTCAAATAAAAACCATGCTATATTAAAATACAGTAGACTACTAATTTCCTTTTTCACATTCATTCTCTCTCCTTTCATATAATTTGAAATAAACTCAAGAGCAAACCCCAACAGAAAGTATTGCTATTTGATGAATATTTAGCCACCATCTACTAAGACAATTTGAGTCCTTTGCTATAACACATCCAACCATCTAAAGTATAAAACTATGTTAAAGTACATATAATAAAAATTAGGTAAATAGAAATATACAGTGTCTTATCTGATTTATGAATACACAATTCATCAGTCTTTCTCAAAAATGCACCACTTCCTCTCAGCTCCCCATCACTGACCAAATCAAAGTCTTCATCATTTCTTGCTTGGAGTTTGACCTTGCTAGCCTTGCTTATGAATGACAGGCTTAACTAGTCTTTTCTCCTCTTCTCTATCTCCAGACCTCCAAAATTATGTCAAAGCAATCTTTCTGAGACAAAGATCAAATTATGTCATTCTTCAATTTAAATCATTTTGTGACTCCTAACGTCTAACAAGATAAAATTTAAACTCATAAGCAAGATATAAAAGATTACACATTGTTCCAAACATGGGATTATTGATGTGTTTGCATTTCTGTTTCCTCCAACTTGGATGGTCTTTCCTCATTATCTCTATATCTAGTCAACTTCAAATCATCTTTCAAAGCCAAATTCAAATGTCTTCTTCTGTGAACTTGCCTATTTCCATTTATTCCTCTATGTTACACTTTAAGCATACTTTTATTACAGCCCACTATTCTGTAATCTCAACATTTTATTATTTTATGTCTTCTGGCCTACCACTATGCTAATTAAGCTCCCTTAGTTTCCTTAATAAATTTGAAAATAGAGCAGTTCAGAGAGAAGTGCATTTGATCATCTTCTGTGTGGGATCATTTACAAGGCCAGACATCTCTGACATAGCCTCCCAAAAATCCATTAGATAATTATGGCCATCTTCTTTTAAATTGCAGATTATGTAATCAGTATATTTGAGAAATAATGGTGTCTACTTCCAACATGTCCCTGGATGTTATTACAGTTTTTAATGCACCAGTCCAAAAATCAGACTTTTTAAGGTTAATCCTTCTTAAGTCCAGTCCACTCCACAGCCCCTTGTATTAATAAAGGACAAATAAGATATTCCAATAGTACTGGAAATTACTGAACTATACCAAACTATATGTAACTCAAATGTCCCTCTTATTTGTAAAAACCTACATTTTATGGTACTGACCATCACTTTCCCATTCTAAAAAAGCAATGGTCCCACGTGTTCTCGAAGGAACCCAAAGAATATCATCCACAACTTCATAAATAAATACTCTCTCTCTACCCTAAACTTATGCCTGTTAGGAGTTTACTGGGAGCTATTTTTTCCCACCATATCCCAGACACTGTAGTTCTCAAGATACCAAAGCCATCCGACTATTCAGCAGCAAAGTGAGAGAATGTTTCTCTCTCCTTCGGGTTTCTCTCTGCAGAAGGAGGTTGCAGTGCAGTGTTACCATTTGTCTTACAGCTCCTTCAATATTGACTTCTAATCCCACTGCCTTCCCTGGGGTTCATACACAAATCAAGGCTAACTGGGCTAGGGAATTGATCTGAATGGGAGACACCATGCTGCACTTGCCTCTCTCCTCCAACTTCAAAGACTTTCACCTTCCCTCAAATGTACTTCCCAAGAGGCTCTGAGGTCCTCATACAATTGTTTTTTACTAACTCACACCACACCTCTGCCAGACCTGCCCAGACAATTCTAATTCTCACTTAAACTAAAATTACAATCCTAGCCAAACATGTAAAATTCCATTCCTGGCACATATTAGATGTTTAACAACTAAGTGTCAAATAAATACATAAGACTGAAGTCAGATTGATATATAACTTATTAAATCAATCAACAAGCATAGGCTCTCAATTTCTTCCCTGTAGCATTGATCCTTGGGGATTTCAGTCTTTTCTGGGTGACCTCCAAAGCCATCCTGTCTATCATAGCCAGAAAGTGCTCTTTCGTCAGGGACCCAGTGCCCACATCAATTCGTCAGTATTATATTTCCACAGTTTCTGTGAAAGGCATTCTCTGCATATACCAATTACACACATCATGCCTCTTGATTCATGAGAGTAGATGAGGCCAACCCCAACCTCCAGCCCTCCGGATGTTACATGGTTCAAGCTTTACTAATCAAAGTCATAAACACTCAAAGATTGGTATAATCATAATCACCTTTTCAGAGTCTACCCAGTCTCAATACTCCAAACAATTGCTGGAATTATTGAAAAAGAGACAATTTTTTAATGGGAGTTGCTAAGCTGGTAAAATATAAACCTAGAATTGCTGCTGGCTTCTTTTTTCAAGATTGAGAAAAGCCTGCCTAAGCAATAAAAACTGAAAAGCAAAGCTAAGATACGGAGAGATACTGATTCCTGCTGCCAACATCATTTGAGGTCTTTATCCACTTGTACTCTCAGCTAGCATTGTCCCCCAAATTTTCAGTTATACAAGTTAATAAATTCACTCTTTTTGATTGAACCAATTTGAGTTCAATTTTTGTCACCTGCAATAAAAACATGCCATGAATATAACAAAACATTTTGCTTATATTTTCTGAATTATCTGAAAGATATTTTAATTAATACCATCCCCCTGGAGTCAACATCCTTGGCTATGCTCAGTACTACCAATCATATTCATTATTCAGACCACAGATCAAAAATTTCGTATAATTATTTTTTGAAACCCTAGCAAGATTTCATGATCACACACAATGTGATCATGATTACTCCTGCTCCATGGGTGCAGATTATATTTTCCAAAACTGGCCATAATATTTCTAATTCCATATGCATTTCCAGCACTTCGTCACTCTCCGTCAAGAAACTGATTCTATTTCCTCATCCCCAGAACTGAGCTGGCCTTTATGAATGCCTACATGGTTAGAATGCAGCAGAAGTGATAATGCATGACTTCCAAAGCTAGGTCATAAATAACAATACAGCTTCTCTCTCTCTCTCTCTCTCTCTCTCTCTCTCTCTCTCTCACACACACACACACACAAACACACACACACACACACACACACACACACACACCCTTTATCTCTCTCTCTTTCTCTTTGTCCTTGAAATCCAACCACCATTTTGTGAGAAAGCCCAGGCCACAGGAAGAGGCTGTGTAGGGTGTAGGAGTGTTCTGACCAACAAGTCCAAAGAGATCCTCTGGCATCAACCACATGAATGAATAAGACTTCAGTTATTCCCAGCCCCGACTCTTAATTCTTTCAGCTGAGGCTCCAGCCACTATAGAGCACAGACAAGTCATCCCATTATGCTTTGTCTAAATACCTGACACATAAAAATCATGTAGGATAATAAATGCTTATTGTTGTTTTAAGTCACTAAATTTTGGGATAATATTTTTTAAATAACAGTAGATTATAAATACACCCGTCCCCATTATAACTATCTTAATTGCATAATTCTCATAAGACCTATTACTTACAACCATATTGACCACCCAGATGTTAAGGAACTTAATACAGACTTTAGTCTCTCAGCTTTCACCAGTAAACTCCTCTTACTATTTCTTTCCATGGGCTTCATGCTTCGAAAGAGTTGATCTACTTAATAAGCTACAATATATACACATCAATCTGCTTTTCTTTTTCTCATTAATCAGATATTCCATAACTTTGATCAGGACGAAATAATCCAAATTGACACACTGTAATTCTAGTCAATAAAATTCTAGTCAAACACAAAGAAGTTGGGAATATTGGATTGTCTATGCAGCCTTATCAAAAATATTTTTTGATTACCTCCCCGACTCTGAGAACAAAATATTTTGAATATTTACATACTCTTAATTTGAAAACTACTGCCACAGATGATAAAACATAAATAAAACTAGATTGAATACTGAAAGTAAAAGTGTTACTGACATTAATAAGTTAATGTTTATTGCTTGACTCACTAATCCATTGGTAACAATGAGGAATTTAACCACCTAATACACTTTTGGAACCTATCAACAATAATCTTAAAAAAAAATTATCTTACCGTGGGCAACTTGACTTTGGTGAACTACAGGCAAAGTTGGCAACAGGAGCAGTCCCATGATTACTGAACAAGAGACGTCACAGCTGCGCTTTATTGAGCATCTAATGTGAACCAGCAATATGAACGTGTGATGTTGATTGGCATACTATACTTGTATTTTATCTACACACCCACAATTTATCCAATCTTTTTGACCAAACAGGTAGTGAGTTCAGGCAAACAACTAATAATGTAATTTTTAAAAATCAAATGGTTTAGTATGCTTGGATTGAGGCTTTGTTTAAATAACTAAACCAGTTGAAAATTGTCAATACAGCATGAGTCTTTCCATTTTATTTTCTACTTGCCTTTTCCACAATCTCTTTCCCTGAAAGTGTTTTTATATTCATTTCAATTCAACTAATATTTATGTAACAGTGGGAAAAGTGCTAAATATATAGAAAAATATAAACCAGCCATGGCCCTTGCCTCAGGGAGCTTATAGCTTACAGGGTGATACAAATAAAGAAAGGTTACCCAAAGGCTCAGAGGAAAGCTATTTGGGCAGACTGTTTGCACAGATGGCCATAATAATTCTTCCCATCCTGTATCTCTCCCTTTTGCAATGTGACTTTGCCAATGCTCCCATCAGGAAGTGACATCAATTTCTCAATCTCTTGACTCTGGGTTTGCCCATGTGACTTCCCTTAGTCAATGGAATATTTGCTAGCATAATACAAGCAGAGAATTGAAATGTGTTTACACTCTGGGGTTTGCCTCTTCCAGATGCGATTGCAACTCTAAGACCACTATGAGAATGAGCTCCAGCTCACCTGCTGGAGAGGCCACATAATGAAGAATCAAGGAGTTGACAACCTGCCAAACACCAGACATATGAGTGAGGTCATCTTAGATCATCTAGCTCCATCCGAACTGTCAGATGACTTGGGTTATATGATTGACCCCAGGCAAGACAGATGGTCACAGTACCACTCAACTTAGCCCAGCACAAATTGCTGACCCACATGATTATAAGCAGACAAGCAATTGTGGTTTTAAACCACTAAGGTTTGGTGTGGTTTGTTCTGCAGCAACAAATAATTAACGCAGTCATCAAATCCAGACTCAGAGTGAAGAGATGAAAAGGAGTTAAAAAGACTTCTAAAAACCTATGCATTTAAGAAAGAGAAAATACGTAACACAACACAGACAGTAAAGGAACTTAAATTCTGAAAGAGAAGACAGACAGCTATCATTACAATAACAAATTTTGATCATTGCCATGATCCCAGGTGGACAAAGCAGGGGTTTGTGGTAGCCAGGTTCTAAGACAGTCCCCTCCTGATCCTTGCTCCTTTTGATCCTAGGTGACCAATAGAATATGCTAGAAATGATGGTGCATAACTTCTCAGGCTAGATCAATGTACTGCAACTTCTACACTGGATTCTTGAATATAAGCCAGCTGTAACGCCACGAGGACACTCAAGCAGCCCTTTAGAAAGGCCCAAGTAGAGAGGAACTGAAGCCTCCCACCCGCAATCAGCACCACCAGCCAGTTACGTGAGAAAACCACCTTGCAAGTAGATCTCCCAGTCCCAGTCAATGCTTCAAATGACTCACCCCAGTCAACATCTGACAGCAATCTCATGAGGGACCCTAAGCCAGAATAGCTTAGCCAAGCCGCAACCAAATTCTTGAACCACAGAAACCAGGAAAGACAGTAAATAAATATTGTTGTTATAAGCCACTAAGTTGGGGTAATTTGTTACACAGCCATAGTAACTAATACAAGGAACCTGGACATCACATAAACAAGTCCTGAGAAAAGAGGGTATCTGTATATATAGCAATTATTCTCTTGTTCAGCATTATACCACTTCAATTCTCAAGAAAATATGATCACGAATCATTCTCTGGAAATTCTCCAGGAGAGCTGGTATTTCTGTTAATTCAACAGATAGAAACTGGTTAAATAAATTATTTCTAATGTGATGTTAATAACCAAGCCTAAAACACAGTGTATTTTTTCAGTTATGAGTAATTCAGAAAGTGTCAAGTAAGTAGCTAGGGGAGACAGCATGAAGTTAGAGAAGTTCTGGGACTTATATCTTCAGCAATGTTGTCATGTCATTAAAAGTCATTTCTGTTCTTTCCTATTGCTTAAAAGCTCTGCATCTTAGCAGGAGGGTATATTGGTAGAGTCTCTAAGGAAAATAAAATTCTTATAACAATGATAATCATAATGTGATGTGATGAAATATCTTTCCCTAGAGTTTTTGAAAATCAAATAGGTTAATCCCTGACTGAGAAAGAGGAAGGTTTTTCTCAGGGCGGGAATGGAGTAGGGGGAATTTTGAAGTCCATGTGGACACAACAATTTTCCATGGGGTTTCCTGGCATATGATTCCTAACCCTCAAATTTATGACATTGGTGAGGCAGTAAAAGACAAAGCATAAACTGTGGAGAACTATAGAGTTAAACAGAGCCATGGAGTTAAATCCTGTTTCTTGCTCTGCCACTTTGTCTTAGCTCTGCCACTGTACTAGATGGCAGGATCTAAGTTACTGAGTTAATCAGCCTGCACCTCTGTTTTGCCACCTTAAACAGACAAGAAACCCCCTTATCAGGAATCATCAGGCAATCAGAAAATTATAAGTATATAACTTAAATATTTTATTTTAAGCTAACATGTATATCCATTCATTGGCCAATAGTTTGATTTAGAACCAAGGTCTTTTATTCAAGAACTTGGGATTCTTTTAAGTGGAATCAAAATTTAAATAAAATTGGGAAGCCGTTGTGAATGAAGAATTTGTCTCAGATTTTATTATTTTCTCTCAATCTTTTACAATTGCATCACTCATACTTAATTTGGCTGAATATCTTTGTACCTTCCCTTTATTGTCTTTTCATCCAGTTTAGGTTTCATGGAAATAACAGTTCTATTTCCACATTTATATTTACCATTGGCTTATGTGACAATTAACATAATTATATAACTACAGTAACATGTTCAATTGGTATAAAGAGGTTTGGAAACTACACATCTCTAAACACAAAACTCAGTGATTAGGAGCAGAAGTGTGCAAGCATAACAGAAAGTAGCCCACTAGCCATGAATACTGATGATGCAGTGAGTAACAATTTGTACCTTTTACAGAAACAATGGAGAACATCAGTTACTTTTCTAGGGTGTTTGAATGTAGCTCTATTGAGAGAGCAACTGCCATATCTAGTGTGGGCTTTAAAGTCAGAAAAAAAAACCTGAGTTTGGATGTGCCCTCTGCCTCCTGCTAGTAGTGTGACTTTGGGCAGACGCAACATCTCTGAATTTCTGTTTATTACTAATATAGTAGAGATAATAATACATAGAATAGTGTAAGAACTTGTGCCTGGGTTTCAATCTATGTCTGCCATTTATCAAGTGTATGATCTTGAAGTAAATAACTTGTTCAATCTCGCTAAACCTCAGTTTTCTCACATATGAAAGGACACTAATGATTGTACCTACTTTCCAGGGTTGTTTTGAGGACTTAATGAGATAACATATATAAACCGATAAACCCAGCAATTGGTAATTTGTAAACTCTCTTGCTGTCGTTTTGGCTAAAGTTGGAAAAATTAAATTAGGCATGGATATAAAGTATCTCATAAAGTAGCTCATAAAGTTTCTCGTGCATAGTTGACATCCAATAACTGGAGGTTATTATTAATATTATTAAATGTTAATTTGGTAATTCTTGAAAAGTAACTATTACTGCCAATCTCTTCACAGGTGATCTATCACAGAATCTTGGTAACTTATTAAGGACACACATTCAGCCCTATAAATAACCTCTCCATTAGGAATTCCAATTTAACTCTATTTTATACCATATCCCAGCTAGAGAATTCACTTTACCACACACAAAAAATAAGTTCTTACGCTTGGCAATTAGGAGAGACACTTTATCTTGAAAGTCAAATATGATAGTACTTAACCCAGAAAGAGTTTTAGGAACATGGATATGTTTCAATGCACTGAACAGGAAAAATTCAAAAATTTTTCCCTCTTTAAATTATTTTAAAAATATATTAGGATACTGTGTATAAATCCAGTGCATTTTACAGACATGTTATGCCATCATCATCTGAAAAAGAGAGGTAATAGTGCCTACCTATGCCAGATTATCTGTAAGGAGTAACTACTATTTCTAATGTTCTTTCTAAAATACACAGCCTGTAAAATGGCTAATGAACATTTTCTTAAATTACTTTTGAAAACAGCAACATTAAAAAGACACATCCTCGTGCTTAAGATATTTACAGTAACTCCTCAAATGCTCATATATCTGGATTTACGCAGCACCATACTAGACAAGGAAAAAAATGGAAGATCTCATCTAAAAGCTTCCTTGGAGGTTACTAGAGCCTTGTTAGGGTTCTAGTGTATTTTAGACAATGGCATCCTTTAGGCCTCAACTTTCAACAATAGCCCCTAGAAAAGATAAGGAATCTAAATTACCTGTGTAATTTTTGGGCCAGAGCTTAGAATACTCATTCACACACAAACTATTCACCTTGCTGCTCTTTGCTGAGTACAAGAGTGATCCATCTGTCCTCTTTGTTTTCTTATCGTTTCTCATAAATTGCTTACGTTCAAATTAGCCAATAGACACTGTACCTAAAACCATTAGGCCCTGAAAGCAAAATATGTAATTAAGGTCTACCTTTCCCACCTCCATTTCCACTGTGAAAGCACTCCAGAGCATTTGGTGAAATTGTTGCTTTTAAGTTTGCTTTGTGAAGAAGGATTTGGTGACTCCTGACCCTCGAGCATTGTTCTTTGACCCATCACTTTTCTCCACCATCTGGCATGTTTACTTGAAGTAAACGCCTTGGGTCAGAGGGCACAGCAGACATGTGGAGGGACAGCTTTGTCATAAAAGCAATAAAGAATGAGTGGGCGCCTCAGAATATAGCACTGTGCATTTTGTTCAGCTGCTGAGCACAATGAGGTAGAGTTAGTCATATGGCTAAAAACAAAATAAATAAAAAGTGAGTTACCGCACAGCCCAGCAGATGGGTAAAATGCAAGATACTCAAGTTCAAAATCTGAGTGCCGTTTCCTTTTCTATTCCTGGGAGTTACTTTTTCTGCTTTACTGGGCACATTACTAAACAATATGTTACACCAGACACAAGGGGAAAAGTGGTTTATAGGCTAAATTAACCAGATTGATTATTCAGGAAGAGTGTTGATAGACCAATAATCCCCAAGCAACAAAATTAGAGATAGAATGGAGTTGGGAACTAAAGATCAGGTAATCAATTTTTTTTCATATCCAGGGCCTATATTGTAATGAGATAATAATGATGATTTTATTTTTTAATAAATGAAGCTTTTTTGAAAGTAACAACTCAAAAGCGAACCTTGGCATCAATGTGTGCACCCATATTAGACTCCCAGACAGGAAGCTATGTGCAATAATCCTCCGCCCCTTATTTTGGCTTTTGTCCTAAAAACTAGGACACATTGAATGAAGCTGTGCAATCTCTAGCACATAAGCCCCTTACCAAAAACCTCGAGTTTCATTTATAAATAACTACTTCTGGTTCCCTTTATAGAACTTCCCTGGAATCTAAAGATCGTTCAAGCCTATTTCTTCTCTCCAGTTTATAAAAACTATAAATGATCTTTGATTGATTCAAACTGCTTTCCTGTTGCCACAAGAAACATTTTTCTCCATAACTCTGGCATGCACAGAGCAAAGAGGGAAGATGGAAACTTCTGATCCTGCTGAAGTCTTAGTGCTATGCTCACTCCAACTTTCTGTTGCTTACCTCTGAACATTTGAGGAGAGAAACAAGGCCCTGAAATAGAAACTCAAACGTGATTTGTGTTTATATTCATTCTTAATGTAAAGAGGGAAAATTGCCATGAGTCGTGAGATGAAAATGACTAAAGGGAAGAGTTAGTCAGCAAGAGAAAATAAAAAAGAGAATTTTTCCCCTCAGAAAAAAAAAGTAATAAAACAAAGGGAAAAGATTAAAGGATACCTCCTTCTTCCAGCCTGATTGTCAGGGGATAGTTCTTCGCATCACGAATACGCTTTGATCCTGGATGCTCTGTATTTTTAGTCTTTGCCAAGTTGGTAAAAGGGATGTCCCTCGTGGAAGATTTTCTCATACGGAGCTTTTCAAAACAAAATTCATATCTATCAAGATTTCTATTCCTTGCAACATTTCTCTTGAAAACTTCATGGCACAGAGCATAGTCATTCTCTTTCCAATTAGACTTTCTGTAAAGAGCAGCTATTTGCCCAAGTTTGTCCTTCCCAATTTCAGAATTGATCATACTATAGATAATTTATAGATGGACATGGAGATCATACTAATGTGTCCACTTACAAGCAGAGAAGGGATTCCTAGGCTTCTTTTGAGGAAAAAGCCTTCTAGTGAACTTCCCCCATTCATATTTAATAAACCAATTCATGCAAGAAAGAGCAAAAAGAGCAGAGGCTTTGGAAAGAGACAAACTAGAGCATGAGCCTTACCAGTGCCTGCACTTACTAGTACCTGACCCTGGGCGAAGTATTCAACCACTTTGAGCCCCAGTTCTCTTTTTGTAAAAGCAAGGATAATAATATTCATCTTTTAGTATTATTGTGAAGATGAATTGAGGTAATGTGGGTCAAAACATCAAGTACAGTGCACTCAACAAATGTTGCTTTCATGTATATTAGTTTTATGTAAGAATCTGTACCTGTTCCAAATGATGACTAAACTCAAGTTGTCCCTTGAGAAAATGGCCTTTTCCACAAGAAAGACAATCACAAGCACAAGACAATTCATTCTGCAAACTGGTCTTTTACTCTGATGCCCTTTTAAGCCAATTCTCTGTACTCTCAGAGCAGATGCATCACCAAACTTTCCCCTAAACCGTGTCTAATCCTTTCTACATATTATGCTTCCTTAGACAATACTGCACTGCTTTCGAGTTCGAGGGTGAAAAAAAAGGACAGGGATACACTGCTTTCAAAGTTGAGGGTGACAGGAGGACAGGGATAGAAGAGACTAATGGGGTCTGAGAATGGTGATAGTGGTGCAGGGAGACATGACCTCAAACATCTAATTAGAGGAAGTGGAAAAATAAAACACAGCCATAGCATTCTGAAGCATGAGAACCTGATCACAAGCTATGTGATTCTATCTTAAAAAACAAAAAAAGTACTTTAAAAATCTCAACCTTAGTTCAAAAAGAAAAAGTGATAGAAAAACACTCTTCTTAAATAAACAAACAAACAAAAAAATCAACAACAACAAAAAGAAAATAGCACCCTCATGTCAGCTTCCAAGACATTATTTCTACAACCTGTGTAAGATTCTGTACTGCTCGGTTCAAGGCATCATTCTGCTGTCCTTTAGTGACCTCCTTGACACTGGCCCACTCTTACAGAAGGATCTGAGTCCATGCTCTCTACCCCAGGTCCTGTCATAATTATCAGAGTCATGTCTTGAGAGAGTATGAACTTCAGATGTGGTTTGAAATGCGGTGCCTGCCTTTCTTCTTGCTAGCTGTGTGATCCTGTGCAAGTTGCTGAAACTCTCTAAGCCTCAGTGTTCACATCACAAAATGGGGAAAATATCTCAGTATTTTTTGTACATATGAACCCACTTAAACCTAACAAAAACCCATGAGGAAGGAAAAAGTATGTCCTGTGTTATAACTGAAGGTACTGAGACATGGATTAGTGAAGTCACTTGCCCAAGGTTTCACACAAAGACAGTGAAGGTTAGAAAAGTATCTGGGACTATCTGCTAAGAGTCATAGAAAATCAATTTAAAAACACTTCTGTCTATGCCCAAGTATGTAACAAACTGAGAAATATATATCAGAGTTAAACATATGATTATTGGTAAAGGGCTAAACAGAAAGAGATAACTTAAGTACAAAGAAATAGGGTGACATGCCTCCCTGAATTGAATTTACCCTCCTCTCCAAAACACTATTGGTCAGACCCACACAGCCCGCACTGCCAAGGAGCAGCTGAGAATGCACCTTCTCTTCACACAGGCAGACCTCAAATAAAGAGAAGAGCAGAAAGGGCTAAGGCAATGGCACCCAGTTTAAACCTCCTTACTCACAAATGGGATGTCAGTCTTCTTGACATGAAGAGAAGAGAATGAAGGCACAGGAAGTGACTGGATAGGAAAGTCCCTCCACATGAAAAGACACATGAAGAGTGGAGAATCAACAACACCCACAACATATCTCATTCCAAAATCTGGGCTGCTGCCACCATACTAAAGAGAAGCAGAATATCCCAGTGTACATTACGGAATCAAATACCCCTAATTTTTAATTTAATCACAGCTGTACCATGTATTAACCATGGGCCCTCGGGCATATTCCTTAATATCAAATGTTCTCATTTTCACGTTTGTAGATAATGGTGCCAAATACATGAAGCTGTTGTGCGTTTCATATTGATTAATATATATGAAGCCTTAATATAGCAACTGGTACATAGTAATTACTCAGAAAAGGTTAGTGATTATTAATAATAATATTGAAGAAGAATATTCAGAGTGATTGTGAGGTCAGAAACTGTGATTACAAACCATGCTTTGGATAAATCTATTACTCAATTTAACTTTTATGAGAGCAGAAAAGCTTTTAATAAATTAATCTTATTACTGGTGCTTTCTCAGTGTGGTGACATAAGATCTATACTGGTCTTATGTCTCTGGGTTTTAAATTATAAATTATTTTTCTATTCTTCCTTATGTTTTATGTATTTCCAAATTTCCTACAATGAATGAATACTATTTTTAAATCAAAAAAGGGAAGAAAACAAAATATGAGATGGCCAGCAGTCAATAAATATCTACATTAGGCAATGGGTTGAATGATATTCAATTCAGTAAGACTCTCTTCCTGGTACCTGTTATAAATGGTTCTGGGAAAGGCATCTTTACAATAACATAAAGAGGCTATAGACATTTTATTCATAATTATGTTAACTGCCCCTTTTATTTTTGAGGCTTTCTTACTCATGAACACAGGCACACTCTCCATTTTTAATTTTTTATGAATGGATGTTTATTTCAAAATGAGAATTTTTATAAATAATAAAATGCATTAACATTGACTAAGCATTACAGTATTTGAGGGGCTTATAATATCTTCAACTGATACTATCCCTAATTTTCACAAGAGACCTGAACAGTAGATTAATAATGTAGGCATTACTATTCCCATTTCAGAGAGGAGGAAACTAAGGCCCAGAGAGGTTATGACTCTCTCAAGATTTTTGTAATGTCAAGCACCCAAGGTGCATTTTAAAGTATATTTCAACTTACACAAACGTTAAGGTACCCATTGATTTCTTAAAGCAAGGTACACCTATAAAACCATACATGCTGTTTTGTAGACCACAAGGTTTTTTAACAGCATCCCATATTTCTGTTTTGAGTCTCTTGCCGCTTGGGTAAACATTGTACTTTTCATCGGATATACTGTAAGTCATTAAAGTCAGTAAATAGCAGAAATGAATAAAACAGCAACTTAGATATTTTTAACACCTCTGAGTTAAAACCACTTTGCAGTGGGGAAGAAGAACAGATGCCCGCTTCTAAATGTGAGAGCCACCAACTGGGAATTTGCTAGTTGTAACTGCTGCCATCTGTTTTCCACTGTTCTTTTTACCTGCCTCTCTTAGATTTAGTATTTGAATTCTGGGCCATGGATTCTTAGTATAGGCAGGGGAAGTGTGGGAGGGACTCCAATTTGAAATTTTCCCAGGTGCTCTCTCCTGCATTAAATCAAAGGTAACTTCTCGGGGGGAAGAAATATTATCAGGGTGATTATTTAACAACTGCATTTTATTCTTCTATGCATTCTTTGTACTCCTATTTTCATGTGCATTTTTTTCCTATTTAATCAACTTCCTGCTTTTCCTAAGGGCTTTACGGAAACACCTCTCTGATGCCAATTAGGGCACTGCTGTGTGAATTAGTTTCTTCCCCGACTGCATAAATAATTTTAGTCAAGCCATATATCCCTTCAGAACTCACTAAATCAGCACTTAACTAGTTTTGGGCACTAGCTGAGTGGCTTTTTCTCCTAGAATAATCATGTTGGGTGAGATACTATTTGTGCCAAAAAGAAGCAGATAAAATAGACAGGTTAGTAGGACAATAAAGGATAATTAGAGATTGTTCCAGTTCATCCTTCTGCCTTCCAGTAGAACTGCTTTTAAACCACACTAGAAAGAGAAAATCTGCCCTTTTCTTTTAGGAACATCTGTAGTGGAGGCTTCTCAACATTTGATTATAATTCTGAGTGACATATGTGCATGTGCAAATAACTTCTGGCTAAAGGCCAACAAAGAACAAGAATAATCACCCAACCTGTAAATGAGCTTTCTCTTTAAATCTACATGTGAAAGGTGGACTTCTCCTTTTTACAGAAGAAAAACAAGTTCAGAGAAGTTACATATTTTGGTCAGAATAACACAGCTAGTTTGTAACATAACAAGATTTAGTGCCAAATCTGCCTAATTATGTCTTTTGTCCAAATTAAGAGAGGAGTGCTTCAGAAGACAGGGCCCTGTCTTCTATTAGTAATTTCTTCTGCTGCTTTCTTTTCAGATTCTGAGTCATTCGGAATGGTATAAGAAATACAAAAGGTTATAGCCAACTGCTCAAAGAGCATGATCAAATGAGACAAACACCAGGCTATGTCTAATCCAGCTGCTTCCGTACCTCACTTCGATTTTCTGTACATCAATTTCCTCTTTTCTGTCCATAAATCTTCCACTAAGAAAAGGAAGAAGAAACAAATAGAGAAGTGGCCAAGCACGGTGGCTTGTTCCTGTAATCCTGGCTACTTGGGAGGCTGAGGCGGGAACACTGTCCTGTCACCCAGGCTGCAGTGCAGCGGTGCAATCATAACTCACTATAGTCTTAAACTCCTGGACTTAAGTTTAAGACTATAGCTAGCTATGATTGCACTACTGTACTGCAGTCTGGGTAACAGGACAAGATCCCATCTCTCAAGAAAAAGAAAGAAGGTGGAAAGATCTCTCAAATTGTATACTCAACTGAAATGCCAAGTCAAAAGTCAAACCTAACCAGGTCTCTCCAAACGAAACCAGGACACTAATCCCTATAGTGTTGTTATATTGCAGACAGAGAAACCTTCTGAGGAAAAGTGACTCTTTTTAAAGAGCAAAATACAATCAGTAACATGACCTTGATGTATTTGAAAGTCATCTTCAAAACGCCTGTAGAAAAATGAGGGATTTCAACAATGATACAAGTTAGAGAAGACCATGACCACCTTGAGATAGTTTGATGGGCCACCTGATTCCCAACCAGGGCAGCAGTATATGTCTGCATTTAGAAGCTCTTCGTTTAAGGTACAAATATCACTAGGAGACTTAGGTGAGTGTTCCAGCGTAATTCTTTTCACCAAATATGCATTGTTCAACATTGGTGCTAATGTGTTGAGCCAATCTCCAGGACTGAATTGTCAAATCAGGTCTACACAAATCAGAGATCCCCTTTGGAATTAAGCTTTATTAATGATTGTGAGGATGCAGGCAATCAAGGAGAGACAGAATAGTGAGAGATGCAGGCCCTCCAGTGTGGTTCCTCCAACCCTTCCTCCCTCCCTGGACATAGGTTTCTGCCCAGAACAATAGTTGAGTTCTCCAAGTGAAGCTTTACAATTATGATTACCCCACACAGCAGGTGGATTTAAGTTCTGAAGCATCTCTATTTTATACCTTAGATCAGGGGTTGGTAAACTATGACCCACAAGCCAACCACCATTTTTATTTCACTGGAACACTGACAGGTTTACTTGTTATGTTTTGTCTATGTCTGTTTTTTCACTCCAATCCGAGTTGAGTAGTTGCAATCGAGGCCATGTGGCTCACATGCCTAAAATTTTTATTCTCCGACATTTTAAGAAAAAAAATTAATCAATCCCTGCCCTTGAATGTTATATAGCCCAGATGACATTCTCCAGGGAGCTAAGTTTCATTTTGCGGGTCCTATTTACTATAGGTCTTTTCCAGGGACATCCTACTAAGGACTATGTGCAAATAAGTTCTCTTTCTCCCCAAAAATATCATCATCCTGGAAATGAGACCAGGTTACCTGCCTCGTCTTTTTTCCAGGGGAATCTCTTACCCCTGCCCTCAGTAAAGGGAGTAAGAAATTGGATCTCAGGTCAGATGCTGTAATTCCTTCCTCCCCAGTGCTGAAATGCCAGTAAAACCCAGTTACTCTCAAGGAAGGGAGGCAGATTATACATGATGATATCATAGAGTAAATGTTGTATCACAGACAGGTACTGAATGCTTCAGAATAAAGAAGGAATCAATAATCCAAAACTGGGAGAGGGAAGATAATAGAGAAGAGAAAGTAGGGGTTAGGAAATTAAAAGTGAGCTTAAAGAATAAGTAGGATTTGACAGCAGGAACTAAGAAAGGAACAGCGAAGGGAAAAGCAAATTGAAAAAATATATACGCATTTAATGGGTAGGGAAGATTGAGCCTGAAAAGCCATTTGCAGAACACAGGGTTCCTCAGCTCTGAAGGATGGGAAGCAGGACCAAGAAGGCAAAAACAAAAAGCACCTCAGGTAGTGAGTTCTGAGTTCAAGTTGAGAAGAAAATTTCTGGTGGCAAATTTAGTTTGAGAAGTTTTTGCCTTCTTAAAAAACTTTTCATGTCTTACATTCGCTTACTCTTGGTCACTGCATGACTCCAGTGAAAAGTGACATAATACTTAAAGGTTAAGTGCCACAAACAAATTTGCCTCATGATGAGAGAAATGTCAGGAAAAGAAATTAATTAAAAGAGAAAACGACGTCCCTCAGTAACCGAAGTCTTCACCTGCAGTTAAAACAAGATCGTACCATTCTAAAATGTCAAATTTATCTCTTTTGACTCACTACATTTTTTAGGCATTATAATCTTGATATAAATTAATAACAAATTTTCTATAACAAGTGATCTTTACCTTTTTAAGTCAAAAAAGGAGTTTCTACCACAAGCTGAATATCACATGGGATAGTTGGATTCATTTATTTGTACATATATAAAGCAAAAACTTAACTCCCAAAGCTTACGTCTATGAACAGAAACCAAACAATATCACTTTTTTTTTTTCTTTTTAGCTCTATAGCATCTTTGAAGAAGAAAAGTTCTGTTTTGTTTTGTTTTTAAGTCCAAATTCAGTTAGTGTTTTTGGCTTAAAAATGACCAGCTTTATGTCACTGAGTTCAAATCGAATTTTTTTATCCAAACTAATTTGACTCTAAAGCAGCAAAAAGTAAAATATTTAAATCAACAAAGAAAATGTATTCCAAGGACACCGATTCTATTGTCAGAAATAACTGTTAAGGAATTTCCTTTCTAACAAACAGTGTCTTTCTCTAACCAAGGCTCTACCGACTCCAGGTCTCTAGTCCCTTCTCTCTCCACGGTGACCGCTCAGGTGCCTCAGGGGTGGAGAACACATCAGGGCATCCCTCCTTATTCTGTTTCCAAGACAACTTCTGTTAAGACAAAGTTTTAATCCCACAGTTTATTAATCAAGTCTCCCCTTGATCCTTATTTCAATGAGAAAAAGTTATGTCAAAGGCCAAAGGCAAACCAGAATTCCCCATTAAGATTCTTCAACAATCATTTCAATGCACGTCAGACAAATACCACATTTAGAGGGAAAATCACTTAGTTGATAAAAGCAAATTATAGGATGTGTTATTGCCATAATAGTGCATGTCGTTTGAAGCTTAGGGAGCTAAATCAAAAATTTTCTGCCCCATCCACTAAAATTCCAGCTGGGATGCAAAGGCACAAGATGACAACATCAGAAGCAGTTGAATTTCTATGACCTTTTATATGGTGGCCAGAAAACCACAGAGAGACTCTTGACAAATTCCTTCTCAACTTAGAGAAAAAACAGATTTCCAAACTCTTCCCCCTGGAAGAACTTTAGGGCAAGAGATAGCATAAAGTTTTTGCTAATGGTTTTTCTTTATTCCAAGGTGAGCCAAAGCAAACTTTTATTTGTAATAGAAGACAGTTTAGCAATAGGAACAAAGCCAGTAAATACAGGGACTCCAGCTATATCATTTGGGACCCAAGAAATGCTATCTTTGGCATAAATATTACAGGTCTGTCATTTCTTACGATGGCAGCAAGATTTTCTGTAGGTGGCAGAAAGTTGTTCTTGTTCACTGATTTGGAAGGTCCCTGTTTTAATCTTCAAGGTAGAAGGTGGTTATATAACCCCAAAAGATCTGAATACATTAATATAGATCTCTTTATAAAACATGGAAAATGAATATTTAAGAGAATAATTTAACTATAAGAAAATATTACATCAACATAACATGACATCTTTTTTTAGGCATTGTCCCATGCTTGCTGTTTTGTAATTGTTTTGGATTTTGTTTATTTGTTTTACTTTGTATGGTCTGTTTTTCCAGAAGCAGTCACGATGAACTTGGCAGTCCCACTTCTGCCACATTCCTGTCACGAGTAAATCTCTAAAAGGGGACTCCCAAGACCGTAAGATGAGTTGGTGGGAAGATACTGAGGGAGCCCTAGTTTCACACTTCAGATGATTCTTTAAAGAACTAAATTGGTTCTCCATTCTAGTGATTGCTTCATTTCCAAGACCTGGTGTGCAACTTACTCCCCAGTAAGACCGAATTATGTCTCTTTTTTTTTCTTGTTGTCATATCTTATTATTCATTCATCAAATATTGGGTTTCTCCTCTATGCCAGGCAATAGGTTAAACAATGGAGGTCACAGTGATAAAAGAGAAAGATTCTGCCGGGTAGAAATTTACTAATGAGTAGTTCCATTCAATGAACTACTTTCCACAATCCTTATTCTTTGGGGACTGGAATGTGACTTCTTAACAGAGCCTTCCTCAAGCAGCTTGAATCTAATCCCTAAACCCAAGCACTTTAGCAAAACCCTTTCTAATTCCTCTTTAAATTCCTTCTAAGATGAGATTTAGATCCAGAATCTAGAAAAGAACTGATCTTCTTGAGCATCAAGTGGTTCTCAGGAAAGACCGAGAAGTAGTGCGCCCACAGAGTTGCATAGATCACTATGTTCAGGAGTAACCCTGGATGCTAACTTAGATCCCACTGAGATCCCTGGTCCCCTAGTCAACCAGGATCCTTTCAATTCTGTTTCCCACATGAACTCAGGTCTCTAGCAGCAAACAAGTGAAAAATAATGTAGGGAACCAGAAGCATTGCCCAGTCAGGGACATCTGTCTTTCCAAGGCAGGCGAGACACATTTGAGCCATCCCTAGCATTCTGGGAAGGCTAATCATCTCCAACGGGCCTTACACCTCTAAAATGCTACAATACTAGATTTCAGGTACAAGGTCTTTTTCACTTACAATGTAAAAATTTACTTCACAAAATTATTTTGATGTAAAAGAGAATGTACTTTTAATTGATGATAGCTGTTCTTAATTTAATTCAAGAACAGAGCTAAATAGTTCATTGTAGACTATTTAACTCTGAAAAAGTACCAAGAGACTGAAAAAAAAACAGATAATTCGCATTAGCTGTATTATTTTAAACCCAAGAATAGGCTCGTGGTGGATAAAATGAATTTGAGTCATACCTATCAATGTATTTCTGATTTTTCTTCAGGAGAGCACATTTCTGAAAAAAAAAAAAAAAAAGAAACAGTAAAAGGGTGTACAATATTATGTTTTCCAAAGTTTGCTTATAAAACCCAGACAGCTAGTGCAATCCTGGCCTCAAATCCTCCTGCTAGGACCTGGGTGACATAGAAGTTGAGCCCTATAGCAGCTGCTTAAGGCACAAAGTTTGATTTGAAAGAAGATCCTAGAAAATGAAATAATTTTAGTACTGTAAGGAACTCACAGGAATTTAGAAGAAGTAATTTTCTGCATTTAATGCATTGATTTATAATGGTAAAAATTAAATCAGAAAGATCAGGTTGTTTTAGGTAAGTCCTCTCAAACGCTAAGTTTTTTAATTGGAAAATATATATATGTGTGTGTATGTGCGTGCAAACAGGTGTAGTACAGATGTATAATATAATATATACATTTTGTAATTTTAAATAAGTATGATCCAATCTGGTCTGCTATTCTGTCTCACTCTCTCTGTCCGTCTATGCTTCTATTGGTGCATTACAGGGATATATATATTCTGAAATAATTATGTAAACAAAATGCTGCTTTGTGATAGTCTCAAAAAATAAAATAAACAAATGATGCAACCAGGTTCTAAAACACATATAACATTAGCTTATTTATTAACACAGAATAATAGCTACAGAATCCCCTGAAAAAATATGTGATTATTTCAAATATACTTACAAAATATCTTAAAAATTGTTTTGAGGTTTGAAATGGAAGCATTTAGCAAGTCAGATCTGAAACAGTCAACAAATGCATCAGAACTAGAAAGTTTTCTGTAAAATACTATTGTTTAAATAACTTGCCCTCCATAGTTTAAAATGTGCTGACTTCCAATCTGTGAACTAAGAGAGCCAAGAAGATTAAAAACTTTCTGATGGTTAATTCTCCACTCCCAACTTACACCCACTTCTAGCTCCATTTCCAGGGATGACTTTCAACTGTTTCTTTTCTTCAGTTCCTGGTAGTTTTCTCCATATACTACCATTTATGATTAACAGTAAGAAACTGACCACATTAGCAATACTGCCCAACCCCCAAAGGCAACCCTTGTTACTATCATCAGGAGACTGTCACTCCAGGAGCCACTCCCACTTATACACAGAGACGAGCAGAGAGTAACACATAAAGAACAGCAGTTCAAATGAGATCATACTTATTTTCAATTTCTAAATTACTTAAATTCATTTGAATTTCAACATAAGAAAATAAAACGAAATGAAGAAACGGTAGTTTGGACACCTATTCATAATAATGGTACCTAAAAGAATTCTTTAAAGTTAAGAAAATAATTTTAAACATTAAAAGATAGGAATTGTCACTTCAGAGGGGAAAAAAAAACCTCATGATTTAAATTTAGAGCATCATTTTGAACCTCTACTATAAAAGATAAGAAAATTAAATAGGAATAATAAACCTTTCTCTTCTCTCCCCACCTTGTAGTATTTAATTGTTCATTATAAGGTTTATAGCATGTATATTCTGTTCTGCAAACAAAATTCCCACAGTAGTTTAATATTTCTATACTTAAGTATATTCAGTGAAGAGTATGGGTCCTCTATCCTGTGTTTTTTAATTTGCTTTGTGTCTTTTTTGGCTGGATGTCATTGTCCAGTTTTGAGGTCATTTTCAACTAAGGTGCATGGGTACAGTACTTCTTCACTTGTTATTTACTTGAGAATATCTATTCATTGCCTTGGTATTTGAAGGAAATGTTGGTTGGGTGTCAAAATTATTGGGACACATTTGATTTTCTCAAAGTTTTGATGCTATTGATCCTCTGTGTTCTCACTGATAATTATTATAGAGAAGACAGAGGCCAACATTATTCTCCACCCACACAAATAAATTGCATTCATTGACTAAACATCCATAAAATTCTTTATCTTGATGTTTAATAACTTCATGAGGGTGTGTCTTCTTGATGCTTCATTTAAATTTTTCCTGGGACATGGTATAAGTATTAGTCCTATAAAATATAAATTCCATGAGAACAGTCAATCTTTTCTTTTTCAATGTTCTGTTCCCAACGCCTAAAATAGCACCTGAAAAATACTAGCCACATAATGAATATTTTTGAATAAAACAATAATACAAGCTTTTATTTCAGAAAAGTTTTCTTCTAGTATATCATTATTAATATTTTATATATCCTTTTTTCTTCAGAACCAGTTATGCATACATATAAACTTTCTAGTACGTCTTTCATACTTATTATAATTTTAATATTTATACTTAAGTTTTACATATGCTTACCTATCACATTCTTGATTGTATATATTTTCAGTTGTATTATTCTTTCTGTGTGGATTTTAATGTGGTTCTTAAAATATTTCTGAGTTCTTTTCCTCCTATTTCTTTTCTGAATGCTGCTACCTGTTTAATTGTCTATTCAATCATTCTACCTAGATACCTAAAAGGAACTCAAAACTCCGCATACTCTAAACCTAACTCATAATCTACTCCAGAATCATAGTCCTCCTTCAGTCATTCCTATCTCAGTAAATAACATCACCATCTACCCAACTCTATGAGGCTGAAAATGTAAAGTTATTTTAGTATAACCTTTTTTCATCACTTCATCCGAATCACCAAGTTAATGCCCATTCTGTAAATCCTTCCTATAAAACATGTCTTAAATACATCTGCTTCCTTCCATCTGTTCTGCCACCAAATAATCTTTACCACCAATATTGCTTGCCTGGAGGTAGGAAGCAGCCAGATGGTATAGAGTATTATAGCATTATGATAAGGAGATTAAATTTTACTAAAATAAAACAATTGGGAATCTCAATGGCTAAGCCTTTTACATACCTTATCCCATTTAACTCTTCAAACCCTCTGAGGTAAGCAGGGGTAAATCAATTTGGTACATGTATAAATGAAGTAGTTTTTCAAAACCACAGAAATGTTGGAGCTAGGATTCAAACTCAATTTAATATGAATCCAGAGGCCATGGTTTTAACCCCTGTACCATATTGCTTCTCACCTAGATGGAGGTGATAATTGAAATCATAAACACTAAATGGAAGATACAATATGCCAATAGAAGAGGTGAAAGTCAAGGATGTATCTTTAGTATACATATACAACTCTACTTGAAAGATAGGAAAAGTATTCAATGAAGGTAACAAAGGAGAGGAAAGAACAACTTTCGGTAATATGGAAACAAAGAGATGAACTTTTCTTAAAATATGTAATATGTTTAGGAGAGATGGTGAACAATGATATCTGAAACCTTTGATCTGTGATAATGCCAGTGGATGCTGTAGTGACAAGGATTTCTGGTGAACTGTGATAGCACCGCCCTTTTGTAGTGATGAAAACAGACCAGATTGCAAAACATTCACAAGTGGTGGTTACATAATTTGAAAATGAGTGGAGCAAATTAGGTTTTTTTCTGGAGAAATTTGCCTCTGAAGGGGAGAACAAAACATTTTATCTCAGAAGGGTGGCAATAGAGAAGAAATTGCTCAAGGAGGAGAAAACATTAATATGTTCATGTCAGTGTAGTTAAAACAGCATTGGTGTATTAGTTCATTCTCACACTGCAATGAAGAAATACCCGATACTGGGTAAATTATACAGAAAAGACGTTTAATTGACTCGCAGTTCCGCAGGGTTGGGGAGGCATCTGGAAACTTAACAATCATGGCAGATGGGGAAGCAAACACTTCTTTCTTCACATGGTGGCAGCCAGGAGAACTGCCAAGCAAAAGGGGGAAAGCACCTTATAAAAACATCAGATCTCATGAGAATTCACTCACTATCAAAGGAGGGAAACTGCCCCCAGGATTAAATTACCCCCAACCAGGTCCCTCTCACAACATGTGGGGATTAAGGAAACTACAATTCAAGATGAGATTTGGGTGGGGACACAGCCTCACCATGTCAATTGATCAGACAGACTCTTACCTCAGTCATCTGAACAAATCACTTAGCCTGATACTCTATTTACTTGTCTAGAAAATGAAATTAATAACACCACCTCAGTTATCTCACAATTATGATAAAAATTATATGAGATAATATTTGTGAAAACTCACCAGTGCTATACAAATATAAAATATTTTATTACAAAATATATATAAATATCAAAGTTGTTTCACATACATAAAAGTAGCAATTTAATATACAGTTTTTCTGCTTTGTAAAAGCTTTCTAACATAAGACTACATCTGTATGTGCCTGGAAAACAAAGGAATTTTCAGATGAATTTTTTAACTAAATTAACAGTCAATCTCTTCTCAGTAGACAAGATCAGTCATGTCATGTAGCTAGTACAATTAGCTTGGAAATACATTTAAAAAAACAATCTGTATTTTGATCTTGCCTTTTATTATGTCACAAATTATAGATGGAATGCCAATTAATGTCTACAATAGTGACAAACAATTAATTGGAATTTCACTAGCACATCAGTGATTGGTTCTAACAAAAAATCAACATTTATTAATGTCAGTAAGTAGGCTTGAATTTCCTCACATGAAATTAATTTTCACATTCCTTCATTTGCATCAGAGATAAAAATACAATAATATCCGACATCTAAATACAGTACTCTGTTTATAACTTAAAAATAATAATAATTTTTAACCCCCCCAAAAAATTATGTCTTCTCACAATATAAATATAGAGCAAAATTTAATTTTCAAAATATACCCACTGGTCTTCACTGACAAAAACATTAAATTGTACTCTATCCCAAAATGCCCTTTCAGGCATTCAATACAGGTCCTCAAGATGCAGGAGGTAGTGTAATTTAGTCATTAAAAGCATCATCTCTGGAATGTAGCAGACATAGTTTCAGATCTTGGCTTTACAATCTAGTAGCTGTAGAATTTGGATAAATTATATAATTTCTCTAAGGTGAGTTTACTCATTTGTAAAATAGAGATTTTAATAATCATTTCCATCTCATATTGGTGTGAGGTTTAGATGACTTAATGAATCTGAAGTTCTCAGCACAATGCTTGGGAAATAGTAATAGCTGTTTAAATATTAGCCATTTTTGCATTTTTTTCGTTGTTACACAGTAAATGTCAGGACTGCAGCAATTTTATTTAGGAGTGCCCTCACGAACAATACCTATGGGGTTGTAAAGGAAGTAGGTAAGCAAAGGAAAAAGTTGAGCTGCAGCGACGTCACGACAAAGGCCCGAGCCAATCCTTTGGTGAGCTGTGGAACTGGGATAACATATCAGAGCTGTCTCAATCAAGGCAAGAAAATAAGGTCTTTATAATTCCACCAAAGTAGGCACTGGGTGCAGACTGTTCTCAAAGATAGGATATGACTTTGGTTGATATGACACTCTTTAGTTGAGGGCTATCCTCAGTGAGGGACTCAGCTGACGCTCTTCAGCCACCATTTCTAACGGTGTGGGAATGAGTGCCTTGGTCCTAAAGGAAAAACTGGGAATCGTCTACAGTAAGTTATCTAAAGTTTTCACTACTGAATAAATACAGTATAATAAAGCACTTTTCAAATCAAAGGAAGGTCCTTTTAAATTGCACAAAATATGCTGAAACAGTCTTTTATATATTTGATTATTTTAATAGATGTTCTCATTTAAATTAGAAACCAGAGTTCATAATCTTAACTTTTTAAATTTTGGGATGTGTGTGTGTATATGTTCTACCGTCTTAATTATGCTTCTTTCTCTGTTAAACCTCTTTTTAAAGATAGCATAGTCAAACTTCTGCTCAGTGTAGACAAAATTAATACAAACTCAGCCTCACTAGAATCCATTTCAAAAAGTTCTATTGTTTTCTCATTATAGACAAAGTGCAAGTACTTTGTCTGCAATGATAAAAGAAAAGAGGACATTTTATCCCCAGTTAGTAGGAAAAAATTTCCTGAAGAAGGTTACACTTTAACAATGGAAAAAGTGGAACTTGTAGAGATGTAGAAGTTTTTAACATAGTTGCAAATTGAGTGCATTTCAAACATTCTGAGAGAGATAATCAGGCACATGGGAGAGTGAGTCAGTTTGCCTCAGTGACTATTCTGAGGAAGCCTGATTAAGAGATTTAAACCAAGAATTTTGTTCTTGTGCCTAAGGTAATTAGAGTTTCCCAAAGAAATGTAAAAAATCTTATTATGGTGAAAGTAGTGTTCAGACAAAATAAATGTGACTATAGCATTCAATAGTGACTATGGGAAAGTATGCTGGGACTTACAAATTGATGAGAATAGGGATAGAAACAGTACTTAAGAAATGATCAATACATAGGCAATGGATACACACTAAAGAAAATAAAAAAAGACAGGATATAAGAAATGATATTCTATATTTAAATTCAATCTAACTCTGAAGGATAATAAATAATGAGAAGTCACATATTTTTAACCTCTCTCTTTAAAAATGTAGTTGAGACTAAAGCATTTGTAATTCAAAAGAGAAGCCTAAGATAAGGGATTAAAGGAAGAAACAGCTCGCTCTTTGTTACTTTTCATCTAAATAAGTGAGTTTATTTTTGCATTGACTGTAGAAGGGGAAAAACGTAGGAGCCATAATTGGAGTTCGAATACTGAAAAATCTAGCAATTTGGAAGTATGTACAAAATCATAAGAAAACTTTAGAACTAGGAGTGACTTTAGATCTACCTAGGGAAAGAGATTTTAAACTACTTTTAACAGCAGAACCTTATTTTCCCCAAATGGAATAATCTTCAGTACTTCTGATACAAAAAAGATAAAAGTGCAGCTGTCTTGCTTGAAGTAGGGACAGGAATTTCAAAGCACCACCCATTGGGTTCATTTTCCCATCCTTGGAATAAAATTTAATAACCCTTGTTCTAGTTCAACATCTGTAGTTCATGTATAAAGCTACAAAGAATGAAGAAGGCAAGCTAACTTATGAAAGTCAAAAAGCAAACACAGGGCAAATCTGAAACTAGGACCTAGGTAATAAGTATAGTATCTTCTGCACAATTTGCCTTCTTAGACAATGCTCCATATGAACAAGATTTTACTGCCATCAAAGGGTAAATGTTGATCATTAGGAAATAATATATCATAATTTGTAAAACAGGTAAGTATTATTAAATACAAAAGTCTAGAAACATTTTTATATTTTCTAGCAACATTTAAATTTGTCTGAAAATATGTATCAAAAACTCTCAAAATGCCTTTAACCCAGCAATTCCACTTTCAGAAGTGTATTCTACAAGTATATGTTGATACAAGTTTATGAAAATTCAGCACAATTATGCTGACTGCATATCACATGAAATAGCTCATAACTGTGAATAGTCTTTATGCCTACAAATAGAGGTATCATTCTCAAAATGTTACACCCTTAAAATCTAATACTATGCAAACATTGGAAAGGTGGAGGTATATCTATGTAAGTGGAATGGAAAGACATTACAAAAATTTATTATCAGACACTTCTGCTTTTTGAGATTTGATGGACTAAATATTCTGGAAGGTTCACATATTACCAAAGAACTAGATCCTGCATCAAACTAATTACATTAATGGGCTCCCAAGAAGTAAGAGAAATCTCCAAAAGGAAGAAATAACCCTGTGAGCTGAAATCTGATTGGTGATTGGTAAAGACACATAATAGGCAGGCATACCTGATAGATACATGCCATTATTAAAACCACAATCAGGAGATAAATACCTTAACCAGTGGGTTATAGGTACAAACTAGAGACTGTTAGATTAATCTGGTGATCCTGGAAAGGAAAGGGCTAAGGTAAAACTACTTTGGTAGTAGCACTTGGCTTCTAAAAGAAATATATGCAAATCATTTATGAAGCATAGCATTTGTCAATTCAACCTCTAGATTATCCACAAGTTAAAAGCAATTAAATATGATTTCACAAAGATCACAAACACATTTTAAAGGTATTATAAATAATGATCAGGCAGATTTGAATAAGAAAATAGTAGAACTTTTTAGTAAGAAAATAGATAAAAGAACTTTTTTGTAAAAGTCCTATTCATTTTCAGACCCTCTACATTTGGGCGAAGGGCAAAAAAAAAAACCTAGGCCCTACTACGCTCAATTAGCTTGGGGTTGTGTCCTCTGTTATAAGCTTATTTGTGTGTCTCTTTCCCCTCCATCCCAATTCATATGTTGAAGCTCTAAACCCCACTACCTCAAAATGTGTATTAAAAGATAGAGCTTTTACAGAAGTAATTAAGTTAAAATGGGGTCATTGGTGTCCTTATAAAGAGAGGAAATTTGGACACACATAGAGACACCAGGAATATGGACATATAAAGAAAAGACCGTGAGAGGGCACAATAATAAGATGACCATCTGCAAGCCAAGAAAATAGGTTTAAGGATAAACCAAAGCTGCTGAAAACTTGATCATGGGTTTCTAGCCTCCAGAATTGTGAGAAAATAAATTCTGTTGTTTACACCATCCAACCTGTGGTATTTTTGTTATAACAGCCCTAGCAAACTAACACATTCTCAAGAAAAGACATGCTGAAGTCCTAATTCCTGGTACCCGTGAATGTGATCTTAATTAGAAATAGGTTCTTGGCAGATGTAATCAAGTTAAGATGAGATCATAGTGGATTAGGGTAGGCATTAAATATCATCACAGATGTCCTTGAAACAAGACCATGTGAAGACACAGAAACACAAAGAAAAGAACACTATATGAAGATGGAGGCAGAGATTGGAGTGATTTATCTACAACCCGAGGAAGACCAAGGATTCTGGGAACCACCAGTAGCCAAGAGAGAGGCATAGAACATATCTTTCTTCAGCGTCTCCAAAAGGAATCAACACTGCTAACAGCTTTATTTCTAATTTATAGTCTTCAGGATTTTGAGAGAATAAATTTCTGTTGTTTAAGCCAGTGAATGGTAATTTGTTTCAGCAGCCCTAGAAAACTGAGACTTCCCTGCTCAGCTAAGCTGCTCAGAAGCAGGCTTACTAAGACTCCACAATCAAGACCCGGGCACACAACACATGCCTAGGACTCAAACTAAAACAGAACCTCAGAAAGCACTCTGTCACCTCCCCCGCCAACCAGGAAAGCAAGTACCAAGTAAATAATAACAGTAATCTACTACTAGAAAAAAGGAGAAAACAGAGAGAGAAATTCTCTAAGGTACAAGTTTAACAGAGAATGTCAAAAGCTAAGTATAGAGTAAGTATATTCAGAAAAACCCTCCATTATCTCAACTCCCATCCTAAGCACAAAGTAATGCTGGAGGAGTTTGAAAACTTTGGAGCATTATATAAATTACAGCAAGAAGAAAACACAGAATTGGTTCACCTCTCAAATGGATTGCTTTACAACCTAGAAAAGAATGAGGCATGCCTATTTACAAGCATTACTACTATGAACCTCAGTCCTACACAATGTGTCCAATTTGCGGCTAAAATTACAAAATACACAAAGAAGAAGGTATAAAGAAAAAGGAAAGGCCAGGCGCGATGGCTCACGCCTGTAATCTCAGCACTTTGGGAGGCCGAGGCAGGTGGATCTCCTGAGGTCAGGAGTTCAAGACCAGCCTGACCAATGTGGAGGAACCCCATCTCTACTAAAAATACAAAATTAACCAGGCATGGTAGCGCATGCCTGTAATCCCAGCTACTAGAGAGGCTGAGGCAGGAGAATTGCTTGAACCCAGGAGGCAGAGGTTGCACTGAGCCAAGATCGCACCATTGCACTCCAGCCTGGGCAACAAGAGCAAAACTCTGTCAAAAAAAGAAAAGAAAAAGGAAAAAACAATGTGAAGAGGAAAAGCAATTAAGAGTACCAGACTCAAATATAATAGATGTTGCAATTATCAGAAAAGGAATTTGATATAACTATTATTTATATTTTAAAAGTCCTGCTAGCAAAAGTTGACAACTTGCATAAACAGATAAAAATTTTTAGCAAAGAGGTAAAAAATAATAGAATAAAAGTTCAAATTGTAATGGTAGAAATGAAAAATAGTAGTAGAGATGAAGAATTCTTTGATAGGCTCATCAATAGACTTGAACACGCTAAAGACAAAGAATTGGTGATCTTGACTAAAAGTCAATAGAACTGGAATCCAAAAAAATAAGAAGAAAGAAAGAAGGTGAGAGGGTGAACAAAACATTGAAGAGCTGTGGACCAACAAAAAATGGCCTAACATGTCTGTAACTGGAATACCAAGAGAAAAGATAAAAAGTAAATGGAAATTCTAACATTAAGGAAGAGCAGCAAATTCCAGATCTAAGAAACTCAAGTATTGCCATGGAGAATAAATGCCAAAAAACCCACACTTATATTATAATATTATATTATATTTATTATATTATATTATATTAAAATTTTAAAACCAAAGGAGATCAAAAATTTTGAAGGAAGCCAGGGGAAAAACAAGTTACATACAAAGGAACAAAGATTTAAAAGTTACAGCAGACTTTTGTCAGAAATTATACATGCCTGAAAGCAATGGAAGAATATCATTAAATTACTGCAGAAAAAAATTTAAATATGGAATTCTATACCCAATGAAAACACCTTTCAAAATGAAGGTAAAATATAGACTTTTTTGGACAAACAAAACTTGAGAGAATTCATTACTAGCACACTTGCACTACAAGATATGTTAAAGGAAATTCCCCAGTTAGAAAGAATATGACATCACACAGAAATTTAGATCTATACAAAGAAATGAATAGTCCTGGAAATAATATTTATGAACAAATATATAATGTTACTCTAAAAGATAGTGGATTATCACATCAAAAAATAGTACCAATTTATTGTGTATTTATAGCACATGTGAATATAAAATTATAAAAAGATCCCAAAAGAAGGGAGGGAGGAATTGGGAGTATAACATTATAAGGCTCTATGAAGCACTATATGTGATGTGAACATAAAATATATGATTAATTAAAATATGAACCCAATAACAACTATAAAAATATATACTAACTAAAAATAATAAGTGAATGGTATAGATAAAACGGAATCATCATAAAATAAATACTCAATACAAAAGAAAACAACAAAAGAATCAGAAAACAGATGAGTGCATACAAAAAATAACTGGCAAGATGGTAGAATAATCCAAAAATGTCAGTACTTACATAAAATGCCAAAATACACATTCATTTAAAACTAAGATTGTTAGATTAATTAGAAAGGCAACATCCAATTGCATTATGTATTCAAGAAACTTACATTAGACATAAATATGCAGACAAATTAAAAATAAAAGGACGAGAGTGTATATATCATGCAAACAACCACAAAAAAAAATGCTGTAGTGGCTATCTAAATAGTAGACAAAGTAGACTTCAGGAAAATTAATATAATAAAGAGAAGCAGCTTAGTAGAATGACAATAATTCCAAACATGCATTCATCTAATTGTACATCAAAATATACAAAGAAGAAAACTAATAAAATTGAAGGGAAAATAGACAAACCACTTATTGTTAGAGACTTAAATATCCTTCTCTCACTAATCAATAAAATAACTGGACATAAATTCAGTAAGAATATAAAAGACTTCAACAACACAATCAATCCTCTTAACCTAATTGACATTTATAAAACAATGACTGACTATACATTCTTTTCAAATGTATGTGGAACATACACTAAAATAGATCACATTCTGGATCATAAAACAAAGAGGAAGTCAAATTTTCCCTGTTTGCAGATGACATTATTGTATATTTAGAAAACCCCATCGTCTTAGCCCAAAACTTCCTTAAGCTGATAAGCAACTTAAGAAAAGTCTCAGGATACAAAATCAATGTGCAAAAATCACAAACAATCCTATACAACAATAACAGACAAAGAGAGAGCCAAATCATGAGTAAACTCCCATTCACAATTGCTACAAAGAGAATAAAATATCTAGGAATCCAACTTGCAAGGGATGTGAAGGACCTCTTCAAAGAGAACTACAAACCACTCCTCAATGAAATAAAAGCGGATACAAACAAATGGAAGAACATTCCATGCTCATGGATAGGAAGAATCAATATTGTGAAAATGGCCATACTGCCCAAGGTAATTTATAGATTCAATGACATCCCTATCAAGCTACCAATGACTCTCTGCATAGAATTGGAAAAAACTACTTTAAAGTTCATATGGAACCAAAAAAGAGCCTGCATCGCCAAGACAATCCTAAGTCAAAAGAACAAAGCTGGAGGCATTGTGCTAACTGACTTCAATGTATACTACAAAGCTACAGTAACCAAAAGGGCATGGTACTGGTACCAAAACAGAGATATAGACCAATGGAACAGAACGTAAGCCTCAAAAATAACACCACACATCTACAACCATCTGATCTTTGACAAACCTGACAAAAACAAGAAATGGGGAAAGGATTCCCTATTTAATAAGTGGTGCTGGGAAAACTGGCTAGCCATATGTAGAAAGCTGAAACTGGATCCCTTCTTTCCATCTTACACAAAAATTAATTCAGGATGGATAAAAGACTTAAATGTTAGACCTAAAACCATAAAAACCCTAGAAGAAAACCTAGGCATTACCCTTTGGGACATAAGCATGGGCAAAGACTTCATGACTAAAACACCAAAAGCAATGGCAAAAAAAGGCAAAATTGACAAATAGGATCTAATTAAACTAAACAGCTTCTCCACGGCAAAAGAAACTACCATCAGAGTGAAAAGGCAACCTATAGAGTGGGAGAAAATTTTTGCAATCTACCCACCTGACAAAGGGCTAATTTCCAGAATCTACAAAGAACTTAAGCAAATTTGCAAGAAAAAAACAACCCCATCAAAAAGTGGGCAAAGGATATGAACAGAAACTTTTCAAAAGAAGACAGTTATGCAGCCAATAGGCCCATGAAAAAATGCTCATAATCACTGTTCATCAGAGAAATGCAAATCAAAACCACAATGAGATACCATCTCACACCAGTTAGAATGGCGATCATTAAAAAGTCAGGAAACAACAGATGCTGGAGAGGATGTGGAGAAATAGGAATGCTTTTACACTGTTGATGGGAGTGGAAATTAGTTCGACCATTGTGGAAGACAGTGTGGCGATTCCTCAAGGATCTAGAACTAGAAATACCATTTTACCCAGTGATCCCATTACTGGTGTATATACCCAAAGGATTATAAACCCTGCTACTATAAAGACACATGCACATGTATGTTTATTGCGGCACTATTCACAATAGCAAAGACTTGGAACCAACCCAAATGTTCATCAGTGATAGAATGGACAAAGAAAATGTGGCACATATACACCATAGAATACTATGCAGCCAGAAAAAAGGATGAGTTCATGTCCTTTGCAGGGACATGGATGAAGCTGGAAACCATCATTCTCAGCAAACTATCAGAAGGACAGAAAACCAAATACCCCATGTTCTCACTCATAGATGAGAATTGAACGCTTGGACACAGGGAGGGGAACATCACACACTGAGCCCTATCGGGGGATTGGGGGATGGGGGAGGGATAGCATTAGGAGAAATGCCTAATGTAAATGATGAGTTAATGGGTGCAGCAAACCAACATGGCACATGTATAGCTATGTAACAAATCTGTATGTTGTGCACATGTACCCTAGTACTTAAAGTATAATAAAAAAAAATAAAAATTTAAAAACATTTAAAATTTGTAGAAATTTAAATCATACAAAGTATGTTCTGTAGCCATAATGGAATTAAACTACAAATTAGTAAGAGAAATATACTTGGAAAATCCCAAAATAATTGGTTAGCAAACAAAACATTTCTAAATAACCCAAAGATGAAAGTGAAAGTCATAGAGGAAATTAGAAAATATTTTAATTGAATGAAAATGAAACCATAACCTGTCAAAATACGTGAGATGCAGCTAGAGCGATACTTGAAAAGCAACTTTCTAAGAATCCACCTTAAAAACTGGAAAAATAAAATTATATTATACCCAAACAGAATGAATAAAACATATAGAAATTAAACTGAGAACAAAAAAATAGAGAAAAGTAATAAAACCACAGCGATTTTTTGAAAAAAAAAAAAACAAAAAACATTGTACTCGTCCAGCCAAATTGACCAACAAAGTAAGAGAGAAGATATGAAGTACAAATATTAAGAATTTTTACAGGGAGACATCACTATAAATACTACAGACATTTAAAGGATAATAATAATATTACAAACAACTGTATGCCCAGAAATGAACAACTTAGGTAAAATGGGCAAATGATTCAAAAGACCCAGACTAGGAAATCTCAATCATGTAACAGATAATCCAAATAATTCTATATCTATTAATTAAAGTGTACTTCTAGATTAAAGTTTCCAACCAAAAACTCTTTAAGCCAGAGGGCCACACTGGCAAACTCTCCCAAATATTTGAAAAAGAAATAATACAAATTTGACACAATCTTTTCCAGAATAGAAAATAGGGGCCAGTTCCCAACTCATTTGGTAAATCCAAAAATACTCTAATACCAAAATCAGAAAAAAACAACACAAGACGGAGGTGCGGGGCGGGTGGAGAGAAAAAATTACACAGCAACGTCCCTCATGAATAAAGAGACAAAAGTCCTCAACAAAATACCGGTAAATTTCGTGAGATTTTTTTTTTTTTTTTTTTTGTCTTTTGTTTTTTGTTTTTGAGAGGGAGTTTCACTCTATTGCCCGAGCTAAAGTGCAGTGGTGTGATCTCGGCTCACTGCAACCTCGGCATCCCAGCTCAAGCAATTCTCCTGCCTCAGCCTCTCTAGTAGCTTGGATTAGAGGCGCACGCCACCATGCCTGGCTAATTTTGTGTATTTTAGTGGAGACAGGGTTTCACCATGTTGCCTAAGGTGGTCTCAAACTCCTGAGCTCAGGCAATCCGCCCGCCTTGGCCTCTCAGAGTGCTGGGATCACAGGCGTGAGCCACCACGCTTGTCCAAAATACCAGTAAATTTGAATACAACAATATGTAAAAAAAACAATAATAATACATCATGACCAAGGGGTTTTTTTTTTTTTTTTTTTTGACGGAGTCTTGCTCTGTCGCCCAGGCTGGAGTGCAGTGGCGTGATCTCAGCTCACTGCAAGCTCCACCTCCACGGTTCATGCCATTCTCCTGCCTCAGCCTCCCGAGTAGCTGGGACTACAGGCGACCGCCACCATGCCCGGCTAATTTTTTTTTTTTTTTTTTTTTTTTTTTTTGTATTTTCAGTAGAGACGGGGTTTCACATTGTTAGCCAGGATGGTCTCGATCTCGTGACCTCGCGATCCACCCGCCTCGGCCTCCCAAAGTGCTGGGACTACAGGCGTCAACCACCGCACTCAGCCACCGTGGGGTTTATTTTTAAAATGCTGAGTTTGTTCAACATTTGAAAAGCAATCAATGTATCCACTATATAAATGTAATAGAGAAGAAAAAAAAATCACCATCTCGAAAGATAAGAGAAAAATTTAAGAGATTTGAACACTGATTTGTAATTTATAGAAAATGTTCGGCAAATTATAAAGAAACTTCCAAAACCTGATAAAGAACACATACCAAAAAAGCCTACAGCTTACATCATATTTATTGATGAAAGATTAAATGCTTTCCCCATACAATGAGAACAAGGTAAAGATGTCTGCTTTCCTGTTTATCATACCAGATGTCCAAGACAGTGCAGTAAGGCAATCACAAGAAATAAAAGAAATACAGATTGAAAAGGAAGAAATAGAACTGTCTCTATTCTTGGGCAATAAGATTGTATAAAATCCTGAAATCTATTTTTAGAAAGCTAAAAGTACTAATAAGTGATTTAAGTTTTCAGATAGAAGTTCTATATTTAAAACTCTCTAATATTTCTATACAATAAGGATGAACAATTGAAAATCAAAATTTTTAAAGTACTATTATAACAGTACCAAAACATTAAATACTTAGTTATAAATCTAACAAAATATGTACAAGATCTGTGTGCTGAAAACTACATAACATTGAGTTTAAACATCAAAAAAGTGACTTTTATGAACTGGAAGAGTTGGTGTGGTTAAGATATCATTTCTCCACATTCTGATCTATAGATTTAATATAATTTCATCAAAATCTCAGCAAGTTTTACATAGAAATGGACAAGCTGATTCAAAAATTTATATGGACAGTTAAAAGAATTAAGTAGTCCAAAATAATCTTTGTTTTAAAGTACCTGATTTTACAATACCTGATTCAAGATTTACATTAAAGCTACAGTCATCAAGACAATATGGCATTGGTAAAATAATAGACACCTAAATCAAGTTTTTTAAGTAGACAATCCAGAAGTAGATCACACATGTTTACTTGATTTAACAGATAAAAAGTCTGTTCAATTGAGAATAATCTTTCTAACAAATGATGCTGAAGCAATTAGCTATCCATATGCAAAAAATGTATAAATGTTGATCCCTACCTCACATAATATACTAAAAGTAACTGAAAGTGAGTAACTACTCTAAATGTAAAACATACAACTATAAACTGCTAGGAGAAATCAGAGATACTCTCTGTGACTTCGGGTTAGGTGAAAAATTCTTAGGTACCAAAAGCATAATGCATAAAACAAATTCATAAATTATGTGTTAACAAAATTAAGAATTTCTGATCCTCAAAAACTGTTAAAGGAATGAAAAGACAAAGCACAGACTGGAAGAAAATATTTGTTAATCACACATCTAATTAAAACAAATTTGTATCTGTGCATAAAAATTCTCGAAACTCAATAAGAAAATAGACAACATATGTTTTAAAATTGGCAAAAAAAGTGAACACTTCACTAAACAAGCCATATAGATCATAAACAAGCATACAAAGTTGCTCAAAATAATTAGTCATTGAGAAAGTTTAAATTATAACTCAGTGAGATACCATTAATTTAAAATGGCTAGATTTGGAAAAAAATAGGCAACTGACAATATTAAATGCTAATAAGGGTGCAGAGCAACTGAAACTTTGACAAATTGCTTGTGAGAATGCAAAATGATACAGCCCCTTTGGAAATGCGTGCTACATCTTATAGTTTTTTATGAAGTTTAACATACATTTATCATATGACCCAGAAATTTCACTTCTAAGTAGGTACCCAGATGAAATGAAAATTTATATTTATACAAAAATGTGTATACAAATATTGATAGCCGATACATTTACAATTGCAAAAAACTGGAAACCAATTGCTCTTCAGCTAGCCAATCAATAAACAAGCTGCAATACATTCCTATAATAGAATACTACTACTCATAAAAGGAAATGAACTACTGATATGTACAAAAACATGAATGAATCTCAAATGCGTTATGCAGAAGGAAAGAAGGCTCAAAAGGGTATATAATATATGATTCTATCTAAATGACACTCTGGAAAAGGCTAAACTCTTGGGGCAGAAAACAGATTAGAGGTTGCCAAGAGTGGGGAAAAAGGGGAGGGACTGATTTACAAAGTGGCATGGGATGATTTTGAGAGGTAATAGAACTGCTCTATATCTTAATTTTGATGGGTAGGTGTTTGTAAAAAGCCAAAGAATTGTAAATCACAATGAATAAAATTTACTGTATGTAAATGATACCTTAATTTTGAAAAATGAGATTATGAAAAGAATATGTACTTATATGATAAAACCATTTTGGGAAAACAAATGATAAAATTCAGTTTACTGAGTATCTATAGGAAGTAGAAAATAGGATGAAATAGAAGTGTAACACAATTACATAAATAATGTTCCAGATCCTAATTGCATGGTAGATTCACTAGTGTTCAGTAATTATCATGCTTCATTGCTTACGTGTCAATTACATGTATTCTTTTGTATTTTTCAAATACACAATTTTTACACAGAAGAAAAGGAAGTGCCCTTCAATTGCAAAACCAAACAACAAAGAAGAGACATTATTTAAGTGAAAAGGGCAGGTGAAGAATACCTATTCCTGGATGTGGAAATCTGAGATATAAGAGTATGCACATTTTAAGTGGATATATACTAACAGATATACTTGTGTATGCGTCTGTGTGTGTATATATAAACTAGTTTCCTTTCTATAAAAAGTAATGTATTTACACATTTTACTATCTTTAGTGACACAATACTTTATTCTAACCCACTAATTTAGAAAGCTTTAATCCCTGAAAACAAAACATTCTCTTTCCAGTTCTTTTTTTTTCTTTTCTGATTTCATTACCTCCATTTTGAATTATAACAAACCCATCCCAATTTCAGTGTCATGTACTACTATTGCAATTCTAAAACTTGACAGTCTTCCTCTGAGGTATATATGTGACTTGCATATGTAATGTTCAATATCTTTACACAGGCACACCAATGCAAGAATTATCATAATTCACTGATCAAGTGTATATTTTAAAAGAACCCTGCTCAGTCATGCAAAAATTCACATGGGATCTCTAAACCCTCCAACTCTTTGACTAAATATTTCACATACTCTTTAATAAGGGTAATACAAATGTGAAACACTTTCTCTTTAATTGTCAATATATGACTGCTAAATATGCACATGCAATTGACATGCTGCTCTGCCACTTGCTGCCCAGAGGGTTGGAAAAGCAGCTGTCACCCCGATACTAGTGATCAGATCAGGGGAGCAATCAGGCCGGGCACGCACAGATTCCATTATCTTATCAGCCTTAACCCTGATCCTGCCATCCCACTGAGAAGGGCTGTTAGAGGCGAATCCAGCAAGGGCCCCAGGTGCAAGTTTTTCGTTAGTTTTCTGTTAGTTGCCATCAGCGACAATCCACTATGGAGTCTCATGGGAAGTACTGATCCACAGCTTCCATCTACAGACATTAAATCAAGCAGTTTTTTTTTAAGTGTTTGCAAATTTTTTCTTTCTCCCTTTTCCACTCGTATATCCTTAATGTAATTTATTTATATTTATTATATCTTTGCAGATACTCTTTCCAGATTTTAACATGGACTAAAGTTCATCTGAGTTAAAATAGTTCAAGACTATGCGCAACGGGGAAAAGGAAATGTGAAAATTAATGTATTTATTCCAGATTGCATTTAGCTAACATCTTTCTTGAGTTTAACAGCTCAAAGGATTGCAAAATTATTGCATCAGCTTGACTGTGATGCTTTGTTCATTTTTTAAAAAATAAATCTTTAGGCTCCAGTACTACCCTACCTTAAAACGCTATTATAGTTTCCTAGTGGCTACAGAGTCAAAGGAACTGTGTAGTCTCCTTTAATCTCTTTGACTCTTCAGAGATCTGCATACCTGACCCGTCTCCATTACCTCAGGAATTATGATCGGATTTAACCTTCTGCTCATTGAATTAGTGTCAGCTATCATTCTTAGTGTACATTTGTTAAATTCAATCTCTCCTATAGGGGAATGCCAGGCAGAGAAACGATAAGTGTATTAAATAGTCAGAGAGGGAAGACGGCAGAAACTGAGACTTAGAATCACTGTGCAGATAAAGGGAACTAAGTTCATGTTGCTGCTTCATTTCTTTCAAGAAGGATACAATCACAGCAGGAAGTGTAAGCCTTTATAGTCAGCCTTCCTGAGTGTAAGGAATACTAAGTGACTCAGGACTTTTCTTTTCCTTAAAGTGAAGAGGTGGATTTTTTTTTAAGTCAATGTTAGTCCTACTAGGAAAGCAACCATATGGAAAACTCTAAAAATTCAGGTCTTCTGTTAATTCTCAAAAAAAAAAAAAAATTACAACACAGGCAGTAGCTGTGAACACTTCCCTCCAGCAAAGCACAGCATCTTTGACTGCTGGGTCAGAAACGAGGCAATCATATCCTGCTTAGCCACATGGCTCACAATATGGAAGCACCCCTAATCTGCAAAGGTCCACAAATGGGTTAGAGTGTGTTTTCATCATGCTTTCCTAGGAAATCTAATGTCTCTTTCAAGGCTGTACTAAAAATAAATAAATAAATAAACAAACAAACAAAATTACTCAGAAAATATGGCAAAACAATCCGAGTACAAATGAATAATCAAAACTTTAAAAATTGGTCAACAGAAGCAAGACATCACATTATTAAACTCACAAAGAAGAAAGCCAATAGGTTTAATGGAAAAAATATATAAACCAACATGCCTGCTAAAACATATCCCACTCCACCTACCAACTCTCCCAAAAAGAGAGCCGACTGATTTCAGAAGCCTCCAGAACAGAAATATCCATAAGGCCCAAAGATAGGATAAAATATGAAGGAGTGACCAAGCACACGGAAACAGTATCTTGCATGCCTAGGGCCTAAAAGGAATCGAGTAGCCCAGAACATAAATTAAACAATAGGACTAAATGAAATTTAATGTAGGCCGCCTTTCATTTCATTTCCGTTTTAGCTCAGTTTTCTAAAGAATTGGTTCCTTAGAGTGAAACTGTATGTGTTTTAGCTTTAGGGAGAGAAAAAGATTTTGGCATCCTAAAATAATGTTTCTCTAACATGTTTCTCCGCAGCATTCCTTAATAAGGCAAAACATCCTGAACCTTTAAAAATAAAAAATCGGAGAGGGGCTCTGGGATCAGACTGCTAGAGAGATGCAAAACCATATTCACAACATGTAAATGTGGAAAACAACTGGCCCGGACTACAGAAAGAGGACTAAACAATAGGACTAACTGGAATTTAATGCAGGGAAAAGGCATCAGCGTTCTATGAGGAAACAAGCTAAGGAGAGGGGCAGGGATAAGCCAGTTCTGCTCATTCCACTATGGTAATAATAAGAAAATGAAATTTTTAAAAAATTTTATAAAGAAAAGCATCTGGGGGGATTTACATAAAACCGAGAGCAATGTTTCCCTCCCATGAGAGGATAAAGATTGGGAATGACAAGCAGATATTGTCCAGCCCAGGGTCTCTCCATCAACACTGCACAACTAACTGTGTAAGGTGGTCTGTAGATTTTTTTTTCTTTTATTTATTTATTTATTTTTTTGGAGACAGGATTTCACTCTGTCACCTAAGCGGGAGTGCAATGGTATGATCGGGGCTCACTGCACCCTTGACCTCTCAGGTTCGGGTGATCCTCCCACCTCAGCCTCCTAAGTAGCTGGGACTACAGACGTGTGCCACCAAGCCTGGCTACTTTTTGTAGAGATGGGGTTTTGCCATGTTGCCCAGGCTGGTCACAAATAGTCTGTGAATTTGTGCAACATTGTGGTCTTGGTCAAGGGATGCTTTAGCTTTATTTGCAATGTTTAGTTTATGCAATATAAGCATATTATTTTGCAAGAAAAATAAACTTTGAAAAAAAGAGATATCAGCTTTTTTCTGATTTTCTCCCAATTTTTAAAAGGCAGGGTGGCTAGGGAAGTGGAGACATTAGAAATGATACAACCTCTGTAGAAATGTTTCAGTGTTTTCTTCTGCCATACTTTTGCCAGGAGATCATGCCTGTAAGAGTGAGTGGTCTACAAAAGGACGTGAAGGAGATACCATACTTCACGATGGAGGAATTAGAATTAGAAAACAAACACATATAAAAATGCCCATCACCATTAATCACAGTAATCTACATTTAACGAAGTACAAGCATTGTGGTAAATCCCTAGCAGGAGTAAAAACTGGTATGTCTCCTTTGAAAGCAATTTGTCAACAAGAATCAAGAGACTTAAAATGTCTGAGATGCTTTTACCCAGTAATGTTCTTCGGGGAATGTATCCTAAGGACATAACCTTGAAAAATGAGAAAAGTTTTATTCAAAAAGATGTTCATCACAGTATTTATTATAAATGAAATTGTGTCCAAAAATGGAGTAAGCATTAAATAAATCCATGTGGTAATACACTCTGCAGCCATAAAAATGTCCAGGCAGAATGTAACATGAAAAAAAATGTTTGCAATATAATATTACATAAAAAGCAAGATGTAAAATTTTATATATGGTTGGAATCTGCCAGTATTTTTTAAAGTTGTACATTTAGAAAAGACCAGAAAAGAAGTGGAAAACTATTTACATTGACTATCTTCAATGTGTATAATTCTTTCTTCATTTTATTGTTTCTATATTTTCAATTTCCTCTAGTAAACAAAAATACTATATTTTTAAAATTGAGCTAAGTAAGAGCAATGTAAAGGTAAAAATTTAACTAAGAAGTTGTAAATGTGAGCCACACCAATGTATATTTTTCTGCCTGATATTTAAATTTGTACAACTGATGCATAAAATTTGATGGCAGAAAAAGGTAAATGGCTGCCCACCTAAGATGGAAACTTTTAGGATGGCTGTTTTTTATGTCAGCATTTTACTGTGAAAAAAGCAGGCATCAAACTTTCTACACAAAATCAACGAAGTCACCTTTGCTCCAGTTCCCAACGAGTTTCTTATTTCCATCTGAGACCACCTCAGCCTGGACTTTATTGTCCATGTCGTTATTAGCATTTTGGGCAAAGCCATTCAACAAGTCTCTAGGGAGTTCCAAAGTTTCCAACATTTTCTTGTCCTCTTCTGAGCCCTCCAAACTTTTCCAACCTCTGTCTGTTACCCAGTTCCAAAGTCGCTTCCACATTTTCGAGTATCTTTTTAGCAGCACCCCGACTCAACTGGTACCAGTTTACTATGAGCTACCAAATATGAATTGCGTAATTTTGGTGATTTCATATATGAGTAAAATGTTCCCCTGTGTGCATTTAAAACTGACAATACACAATATAAAGGTGATTATTAATTTATGCTAATAATTTAAATTGTCAATTTTTTTCTTAGAATGATATTAAATAGTAAATAAAAACACCATAACAAGTTAATAGAGAAACAATGAAGAAATGAAAAAAGCTTTATATCTTAGTAGCTTTAGTGGTTGTTTCTACTTTAGGAACAAAGAGTGCTTTTCTTTTTTTCACAGTGGGCTCTTCAAGTTACGTATCTGACCCTGCCTTACACCATTGCCTTGAAATTCTGGGAAAGAGTTACATATAGGGAAATGAGGAAATCATTTGGGGCTGCAGCTATAAAAAATGGATCGTTCTATTTAAAGTAAAGCTGTTCCAGTCCTAGTGCCCTGTGCTTTAGCAAATAGAACACAGAGATTCACAGTAGCAAGAGTTCACTTATTTGTTTTCTTAGCCATGCCTGCAGGGATGAACAAAAATAGCCTTTAAAATTTTGAATGCAAAGGACAAGTGTTTTATCATGGTAAAGGCCATTTAAAATTCATACACTGCCCTACAATGTGCAAGCTACCCTTGCAGTATAATGTCTTTCCTAATGTTAATTAATGGACCTGCTGTATCTTTTCCATTATCTTGATCATTGATGAAGATGTTAAATAGATTCATTCTTGTACTGACCCCTTGAAGATGAGCATCTGCGATGTCAACCCAAGCTAATGCAGCTTAGGAGTCCTTTTTCAGCACAACACACTAATAATCTGAGCAATTACTTAACTGGAGTGTCTCTCCATTTGTTGAGCAGTATGTCATGCAAAAAGGAAAAGTCTTACTAAGTCAAGATAAATTACAACTGATGTCTTCCCACAGTTACCATTTCTCCTCTTTGCCCACCCCCATACTGTCTATTAAGCCCACCTGCCTTGTCTCAGAATGAAATTAGATCTGTTTGCTTTCACTCGGAAAGAAAACAAATGAGTCTCAATGGTCTGACTTGTTTTGGTCTTGATTACAATTTGAAAAATAAAGCTGAGGCAAGAAGACATTCACCTTTGCAGAAGGGAGAGCAGTGAGGAAGGAAGAAAAAGCAACATCACCTACTTCCATCCATTCTCTACTCTCGGGTTCTTTAAGGTTTCCCTCTAGGGCCCTTCTGCTCTTATTCTTTCCTCACTTATCCTCACCCGTGAAAAGTGTGAACATTTCCACAGGCACCTGGGATCAAGGGATTCCATTCCCAAGATGGTATGGAATATCATTATCTTTTATTCATGTAAGAAAATACTCTAGGTACGAAAATAAAATATAATAAATAACACCTATTATTTGATAGCACAACACGGTGACTATAGTTAATAATAATTGTACATTTAAAAATAACTACAGGACTGTTATTGGATTGTTTGTAACACAAAGGATAAACGCTTGAGGGAATTAATATCCCATTCTCCATGATGTGTTTATTTCACATTGCATGCCTGTATCACAACATTTCATGTATCCCATAAATATATACACCTACTATGTACCTACAAAAATTAAAAATTAAAAGTTTTTTTAAAACTCATTCTCTCATATGGTCAATATCTAAAATAGCAGACACTTAGGATGAGAAAATAATCTGTTAATCTTCTCTCAGGTTACCGTACCATATTTTTCAGGGAAACTTGAATTTATTGTAAATAAATTCTTGTGTTATCTCCTGTGATGTGGGTGTCAGGGGGTGAAATTCTCTAGAGAAAGTAGAAGTAGAAATTGTTTATAAACATCCAGAATTAGTATTTTCACTAAAGTTACAACAGGACACCAAAGCTGCTGCATTTCAATCACTTTTTTAAGCCATTATTAGACTAATTTAAGACTCCGAAGGATCCATTTTATAAAAAGTTCCAATGCTCAGTATACTTGAGCAATCTAACTGTATATTTGAACAGGAAATTTTATTAATTTATCTTTGACCAATATGTTGAAGAATTTCCCTGGTTGTATTCCTATAAATATGATTGTTAACATTACAGCAACATTATTCTTTAACTCTTCGTGTAATCTTACCTGCTTCTCTGATACCCCTTTTCCTACAAACCTGCTACTTTAAATAGATCTGACTTGCATTGGAAGAACTGTCCAGGTAAATACAAGGAATTGTTGTTTCATTACAAAATTGATAGGCAAGAACAGGGACCCACTGCTTCTCGAATTCTTTTAAAATGTTTCATTTTTCCATATCACTCATAGATGATCTTGGTGTACACGGTAACAATAACTAGTCATTTCTAGACCTGACAGATGAACCCTGGACAAGAATTTAATAAAAGATTTGCTTTCTGACTTCCAAAGCTTTTCACTATAAGCATAGAGATAACATCTTTCCTTTGACTGTTATGAATAAGCTGAAAAATTGGCAGATTCTAAGATAGTATACACATATCCCCTGTGATAATGGCTTAAAATGAAATTAAACTTGTCAACAGTTGCTCCTTTCCCATCCACCAACATTCTCAAACTTTTTCTTTAGTTAGTTCATCATTTATAAAATAATGTAGAGGGTAATATTTTAGACAGAAATGTTCCCAAATAGGAATATCCCCTCTCAGTGCTAATATCTGACATGCAGGTGAACTTCACCTCTGGGATATTAGAGAAGTATTTGTGTGTCCTCATCTTCTAGATCGGTTTATGGTTTTGGGCTTGTGCAGGCAAACATATCATTCATTGAAAAAGAAAAAATAAGTCCAAGGGATTCCAGTACCCTCTAATTGATATATTTCTTCCTATTAAGTAAATTCAAGGTATAAAAATAACACCAAATTATTATTATTATTTATTTTTATTATTATTTTGAGACACAGTCTCATTCTGTCACCTATGCTGGGGTACAGTGTCACAGTTACCACTGACTGCAACCTCCACCTCCTGGGCTCAAGCAATCCTCCCACCACTTCAGCCTTCTGAGTAGCTGGGACTACAGGTGCACAACAACACGCCCAGCCAATTTTTTACTTTTTTTTAGAGAGAGGGGCTCACCATGTTGCCCAGGGTGGTCTTGAACACCTGGCCTCAAGCGATCCTCCCACCTCAGCCTTTTAAAGGGCTGGGATTACAGGAGTGAGCCACCAGGGCCAGCCTATAACAAATTATTAATATCATCTTCTTTGCAAAGAAAAAAGAAGGCATCAAGTTCTCGTATCTCTTGAAAATCAAAATCTTCAAGTATCTTAAATTGAAAAAATGAAAAATGCATTCATTCAATATAATAATTAGTGGGATATTATTATAGACCATGCATTATATAAGCTTCCAACTCCAATGCATTTTTTCATTGTTTTTCCTTAGGTTTCACTATTACTTTCCAATTATTTCTTTTGATTTTTATTATTACATAAAATATTATATTTTAATATAAAAACATTAAGCATAGGGATGAAAAGGTGGTCTGGGCCCTACTGTTCAATAGAACTTACTGAGATGATAAAAATGTTCAGATAACTTAGATACTATCCACATGTGGCTACAGAACAATTGAAATGTGGCTAGTGCAACTCAGGAACTTAATTTCCAATTTTATTAAGTGTTCACTAATTTAATTTAAATAGCCTCATTTTTCTAGTGGCTACCATACTGGATAGCATAGATCCTGACTGATCAAACCTCAGATGGTTGGAAACACTCTGCCACATCCTTCCTATGCTTCTGTCTTCAAAAGATCATTAGTAACATTTTAGATTTTATTAAATAATTTCAAAACCAAACAAAGCTCAGATTTCATTAAATGAAAACATCAATGGTACAGGTGTGTGTGTGTGTGTGTGTGTGTGTGCACGCACATGCGTCTATGTGCATATTCTAAGTTTTTCATTTGCTCAGACTTGTATTTCCTGTAATGAGTGCTGTAAGAAGAATAAACCTGTGCCTATTTCTTGCCAAACAACTTAAGGCAAACACATGCAAAAACAACCCTGAATAAAACAGAGCAATACATAATTATGTGTCTGTGTCTGTAGAAACTAAAAGACTTGGAAGAAAGAAGATTGAGAAGCCTTCTTTCACTAACTCTAGCCACTATGGCTTCCTAAAGAAGATAATAACGACATGTGTAGTGACAACTCTCTGCTAAGGAAACACCATTTCCAGGCATGTATCATCTTTTTGATGCCCTAATCTAAAGGCCTCAGGTAAAATTATTAAAATTTTACTAAAGAGAAACATAATAGGTGCATGTCTTTTCTGAATTAAATACCTTTGCTATATAAACTGTAAGTAAAGGTTTTTGATGACATGTCTTAACTGCATTTTGATTTACTCTATTCTGGATGACTCTCTCTTTTCTCTTCATTATTCTCCCCCCCCTTTTCTTCCCTAGCCTTACTTTTCATAGGCATATCTGCAATGTACTGTGTCTTTTTCCATTAAAAACTCCTTACTTGAATACGGTAGTCATAGCATGGAAGGAACACAAATCTTGGTTAAATTTTTCATTCTCTAGGTTGTTGCCAATTACTTTCAAAAGCAGTGGTGACTTTTTGTAAGGTGGATGCTTGTTCATTAGAAAGTGGCCTGAAACACTGAATTTCCTTCATATAAACCACTGAACTATCATGAGATGGTAACGACTTTCTGTCACTCCCAACCTAGGTCTAAGCCAAACTCCTGACCTAGAGGTGTAAAGGCTTTGTAGCTCATTAGTGATTCCCCTGCAGCCATCAAGTGCCAAGTCTCTAGTCACAGGGCACCTAAAATGAAAAAGTATTGTGCACCTTTTAGCATTACTGGAAAACATGATAGGATTTACTAAACTAAAGTGTTTAACATTTTCTAAAAATTAAACATTCTCTGTATTTTCAATGTGAGTCTAAGGTAATCATATTAATATGATTTAAAATACCTTATTGTAATTGCATTTTTATTGAAACTGTTTCATGAACTCCTAGTGAGGACACTAGTCCAATGCAGTAGGGCAGAAATAATTTTTTTCATTTATTCTGGTATATAAAATGACCTTTCCTGAACTAGGAACCAGATTGAGGGAAAAAGGGTGGTTCTAAACGCTAATCTCAAAGTAGTTTTGCTTACGTGATCAGGACAATTGAGTTTCCTTATCCTTTTTCTGAATTACTCTTTTAAAAAATATTTTAAAATCATATATATATATATATATATATATATATATATATATATATATATGATTTAAAGGAGAATGAAGAATAAAATCTTTGAACCCAGTTTTTCTGGTACAAAATTAGCAAAAGTTTATAGTCTAAAAGGACTCTTTCAGCTAAGTAAGCCTGGTCAAATTTTCAAGCCAATGTAAGCTTTGGATTTCAGGTTACAATGCAATGCTTTGTAGCCCCATTGAAAATAATTTGATTAGTTTTTTTTTCTTTCTGTTCACTGGTAAGCTTGAAACAAAACTATGTAAAACAATAGGTTAGTTATCCCAAATGACTGTAATTTCAGTTTCAGTTTTGGGGTCTATCAAACCAAGGCATTATCTATTTCATGCTTTCAAACATATTATTTATGGAACTATGTACTTCTGAAATACATATTCCTTTATAAAATGATTTGCTTTAATTTAAGAGAGGAAAGATCAATTGAACTATTCACTGAATACAATAACATATTGACATATTTAACTCGAACGCTACATAATATACATAATGGAAGCATTAATCATTTTATCTGGAAGTAAGGATCTATTAATCATTCTATTACGGCACCCAATTTTAAGTCTTTATTTGTTGCAAATATTTCATCTGAAAAATAAATTTGATGGCAAAATGTGATTGAATATGAATAATTTCTTATCTTCTTTTTTTTCCTTGAAAATTGGTGATTTTAGGCTCTAGGGACTTATATGTTTATAATTATTCAATTTTAATTGAATTTAATGACAGAAAGAGTATATTCAAACACATTAATATATTATACATTTATGGTTAACAGCCAATAAATAGCTCATGTTGACATGCAATTGCTGTAGCAATTTAAAATTCCTATTAGCTTCTAAAGACAAATCTTTTTGAAAGTGGCAGACATCTTAACAATGATCTCCAGTTATCGCATCTCCATCGTAGCTAGCACTTTGTAAGTTGATATTCTCTTTGCCAAACTGACCAAAGTCAATATATACTCCAATTATAGCTGGATGAACCTGACAGCGAGTATCTTCCTTCTGAAGGTTGTCTGCCTTGTTGAGTAGCCTGCACAGACAAGCTGCCAGAACTTCGTTAACACCTAGGTTGCTTTTTTATTGTTTAGGGGAAGCGGCGTTTGTCTGTTAGATCATTCAAACTGTTGTATACTTTCTTGTGCAGGGTAACTTTTTTATTTTGAGTTCCATTTCTTTTCCTCTAGAATTCTGAAAATTTAGCCGGTAGCCAAACATTTTTGCTTTGTAGTTTGTTGTATTATTTTCTTCCTAGGTTGTAATCCCTAAAACAGTATACTGTGCTTACATTACACATTTAACATCAGAAATATTTACAGATATGTTTACCCTCATAATAAACTTGAAGTTAAATTAAAAAGATGATATTATTATAATCATTTAACCAATAAAACATTTGAAATGCTATACTTGGAAGTTAATAATTTGCTGAATATCCACCTGATGATTGCTGAATATTTTTTATAATATTCTGTATTTAAAATAACCAATCTATTTTTTAATATAAAAGCTGGGCCCTCTTCAGAGGAGAAATGGCTAATTTTGCACAGAGTGCAACGTAAGTGTCTTGTCGTCTTCTTTAGGAAGCCACTCTAACAGTGGCTAGAGTTAGTGAAAGAAGTATTCTCAATCTTTATCCTTCTGTCTCTTAGCTTTTAAAGACAGATACATAATTATGTATTGCTCTGTATTTCTCAGGTTTGTTTTTGTATGTGTTTATCTTAAGTTGTTTGGCAATGAATAGGTACATGCTTATCTTCTTATAGAACCAATTACAGGAAATACAAATGTGAGCAAATTGAAAACTTTGAATACACACATACACACACACACACCTGTGCAACTGACACTTCGGTCTAATTAAACTAGAGCTTCATTTGGTTTTGGAATAACTTACTGAAATCCAAAACAGAATTCAGAAGAGTTATTAGTGATCATTTGAAGACGAAGCTTAGGAGGGATGGTACAGATTGATCCCAACCATCTGAAGTTTGATCGGTCTAGATCTGTACTATCCAGTATGGTAGCCACTAGACATATGAAGCTATTTAACTTTTAATTAATAAAAATTAAATAAGGCCAGACAATTAGGGAAGAGAAATAAATAAAGGGCACCTAAATTGGAAACAAAGAAGTCAAATTAGCCTTGTTTACAGATAACATAATCTTATACTTAGAAAAATGTAAAGACAACACCAAAAAAAACTGTTAGAATTGGTAAACAAATTTAGTAAAGTTGCAGGATAGAAAATCAATAGACAAAAATCAGCATTTATAAATACCAAGGGCAAACAATCTGAAAAAGAAATCAAGAAAGCCATACCATTTACAATACCCACAAAAAATATAAAATACCTAGCAATCAATTTAACTGAAGAACTATAAGGCCTATACAAGGAAAACTATAAAACACTGATGAATGAAATTGAAGAGGACACAAAAAAATTGAAAAATATTACATGCTAATAGATTGGAAGAAATAATATTGTTAAAATGACAATTCTACCTAAAGCAAATTACAGATTCAATGCAATCTCTATTAAAACACCAATATGGGCTGGGCACAGTGGCTCACATCTGTAATCCCAGCACTTTGGGAGGCTGAGGTGGGCAGATCACCTGAGGCTGGGAGTTTGAGACCAGCCTGACCAACATGGAGAAACCCTGTCTCTACTAAAAACACAAAATTAGCCGGGTGTGGTGGCGCATGCCTGTAATCCAAGCTACTTGGGAGGCTGAGCCAGGAGAATCACTTGAACCCGGGAGGCAGAGGTTGTGGTGAGCCAAAATCATGCCATTGCACTCCAGCCTCGGAAACAAGAGCGAAACTCCATTTCAAAAACAAAACAATAACAACAAAAATAAGTAACCACAAAAGTAGAAAAAATAATGCCAAGATGTACATGAAACCATAAAGACTCCAAATAGCCAAAACAATCATAAGCAAAAGGAACAGAGCTGGAGATATCACACTGCTTGACTTCACAATATACTACAAAGCTATAGTAAACACATCAGCAGGGTATTGGCATAAAAACAGACACAGAGACGAATGGAAGAGAACAGAGAACACGGAAATAAATTTACACGTATACAGCCAACTCATTTTCTTTTTTTCTTTTTCTTATTTTTAATTTTTATGGGTATATAGTAGGTATATATATTTATGGGGTATATGAGATGTTTTAATACAGGCATGCAAAGTAAAATAAGCACATCACGGAGAATTGGGTATCCATCTTCTCAAGCATTTATCCTCTGAGTTACAAACAACCCAATTACACCCTTTAAGTTATTTTAAAATGTACAATTAAGCTATTATTAACTATAGTCACTCTATTATGCTATTACATAGTAGGTCTTACTCATTCTTTCTAACTACCTTTTGCACCAATTAACTATCCCCACCTCCTCCACCACCACTACTACCCTTCCCAGGCTCTGGTAGCTGTCCTTCTATTCTCTATGTCCATGAGTTCAATTGTTTTGATTTTTTGATCCTATAAATAAGTGAGAACATAAGATGTTTGTCCTGTGTCTCCCTTATTTCACTAAATACATTGATCTCCAGTTCCATCCATGTTGTTGCAAATGACTGGATCTCATTCTTTTTTATGGCTGAATAGTACTCCATTGTGTATATGTACCACATTTTCTTTATCCATTCATCTGTTGATGGACACTTAGGCTGCTTCCATATCTTAGCTATTGTAAACAGTGCTGCAACAAACACAGGAGTGCAGCTATCTCATTGATACACTAACTTTCTTTGGTATATACCCAGCAGTGGGATTGCTGAATTATAATAGCTCAATTTTTAGTTTTTTGAGGAACCTCCAAACTGTTCTCTATAATAGTTGTACTAATTTACATTTTCACCAACAATGAGTTGTGGAAAAAGGGTTCCCTTTTCTCCACATCCTCACCAGCATTCATTAGTGCCTGTGTTTTGGATATAAGCCATTTTAACTGGGGTGAGATGATATCTCACTGTAATTTTGATCTGCATTTCTCTGATGATCAATGATATTGAGCACCTTTAACATGCCTGTTTGCCATTTGTATGTCTTCTTTTGAGAAATATCCATTCAAATCTTTTTCCCATTTTTGACTGGATTATTAGATTTTTTCCTATAAAGTTGTTTAAGCTCCTTATATATGGGCTATTAAGCCCTTGTCAGATGGATAGTTTGCAAATATTGTCTCCCATTCTGTGGGTTGTCTCTTCAAATTGTTGATTGTTTCCTTTGCTGTGCAGAAGCTTTTCAATTTGATGTGATCCTATTTTCCATTTTTGCTTTGGTTGCATGTGCTTGTGGGGTATTCCTTGAGAAATATTTGCCCAGACCAATGTCCTTGAGATTTTCCCTTATGTTTTCATGTAGTAGTTTCATAGTTAGAGATCTTAGATTTAAGTCTTTAAACTATTTTCATTTGATTTTGTTGTACCTGATGAGAGATAGGGATCTAGTTTCATTCTTCTGCAAATGGATATCCAGTTTTCCCAGCACCAGTTTCATTCTTCTGCAAATGGATATCCAGTTTTCTGTTATTGAAGAGACTGTCTTGTCCCCAGTGTATGTTCTTGGCACATTTGTCAAAAATGAGTGCACTATAGGTGTGTGGATTCTATTCCACTGGTTGGTCTATGTGTCTGTTTTTATGCCGGTACCATGTTGTTTGGGTACTGTGCATAATTTGAAGTCAAGTAGTGTGATAACTCCAGTTTTGTTCTTTTTGCTTAGGATAGCTTATGCTATTCTAGATATTCTGTGATTCTCTATAAATTTTAGGATTTTTTTTTCTATTTCTGTGAGGAATTTCATTGGTGTTTTGACAGAATTGAAATATATAGATATAGATTTGATGCAATCTGCTTTGGGTAGTATGGATATTTTAACATATTTATTCTTACAATTCATAAACATGAAATACTTTTCATTTTGGGGTGTCCTCTTCAATTTCTTTCATTAGTGTTTTATAGTATGCATATAGAAATCTTTCACTTCTCTAGTTGAGTTAATTCCTAGGTATTTAATTTCATGTGTGGCTATTATAAATGGGATTACTTTTTTATTTCTTTTTTAGATTTTTCATTATTGGCATACAGAAATACTACTTTTTTTATACTTTAAGTTCTAGGGTACATATGCACAACATGCAGGTTTGTTACATAGGTATACATGTGCCATGTTTGTTTGCTGCACCCATCAACTCATCATTTACATTAGGTATTTCTTCTAATTCTCCTAATGCTATCCCTACCCCAGCCCCCCAACCCCCAACTGACCCTGGTGTGTGATGTTCCCTGCCTTGTTCTCATTGTTCAATTCCCACCTATGAGTGAGAATGTGCGGTATTTGGTTTTCTGTCCTTCTGATAGTTTGCTGAGAATGATGGTTTCCAGCTTCAACCATGTCCATGCAAAGGACATGAACTCATCCTTTTTTATAGCTGCATAGTATTCCATAGTATATATGTGCCATACTTTCTTAATCCAGTCTATCATTGATGGAGATTTGGGTTGGCTCCAAGTCTTTGCTATTGTGAATAGTGCCCAACATACATGTGCATGTGTCTTTATAGTAGCAGGATTTATAATCCTTTCGGTATATACTCAGTAAAGGGATCACAAGGTCAACTGGTATTTCTAGTTCTAGATCCTTGAGGAATCACCACACTGTCTTCCACAATGGTTGAACTAATTTACACCCCCACCAACAGTGTAAAAGCATTCCTATTTCTCCACATCCTCTCCAGCATCTGTTGTTTCCTGACTTTTTAATGATTGCCATTCTAACTGGCATGAGATGGTATCTCATTGTGGTTTTGATTTGCATTTCTCTTATGAACAGTGATGATGAGCATTTTTTCATGTGTCTGTTGGCTGCATAAATGTCTTCTTTTGAGAAGTGTCTGTTCATATCTTTTGCCCACTTTTTGATGGGTTTTTTTTTCTTGTAAATTTGTTTAAGTTCTTTGTGGATTCTAGATATTAGCCCTTTGTCAGATGGGTAGATTACAAAAATTTTCTCCCATTCTGTAGGTTGCCAGTTCACTCTGCTGGTAGTTTCTTTTGCTGTGCAGAAGTTCTTTAGTTTAATTAGATCCCATTTGTCAATTTTGGCTTTTGTTGCCATTGCTTTTGGTGTTTTAGTCATGAAGTCCTTGCCCATGCCTATGTCCTGAATGGTATTGCCTAGGTTTTCTTCTAGGGTTTCTATCATTTTAGGTCTATCATTTAAGTCTTTAATCCATCTTGAATTAATTTTTGTATAGGGTGTAAGAAAGGGATCCAGTTTCAGTTTTCTACATATGGCTAGCCTGTTTTCCAAGCATCATAAATAGGGAATCCTTTCCCCATATCTTATTTTTGTCATGTTTGTCAAAGATCAGATGGTTGTAGATGTGTGGTGTTATTTCTGAGGCCACTGTTCTGTTCCATTGGTCTATATATATATATATCTGTTTTGGTACCACTACCATGCTGTTTTGGTTACTGCAGCCTTGTAGTATACTTTGAAGTCAGATAGCATGATGCCTCCAGCTTTGTTCTTTTGGCTTAGGCTTGTCTTGGCAATGCAGGCTCTTTTTCGGATCCATGTGAACTTTAAAGTAGTTTTTTCCAATTCTGAGAAGAAACTCATTGGTAGCAATGATGGGGATGACATTGAATCTATAAATTACCTTGGGAAGTATGGCCATTTTCATGATATTGATTCTTCCTGTCCATGAGCATGGAATGTTCTTCCATTTGTGTCCTCTTTTATTTCATTGAGCAGAGGTTTGTAGTTCTCTTTGAAGAGGAACTTCACATCCCTTGTAAGTTGGATTCCTAGGTATTTTATTCCCTTTGTAGAAATTGTGAATGGGAGTTCACTCATGATTTTGCTCTTTGTCTGCTATTAGTGTATAGGAATGCTTGTGATTTTTGCACATTGATTTTGTATCCTGAGTCTTTGCTGAAGTTGCTTATCAGGTTAAGGAGATTTTGGGCTGAGATGATGGGGCTTTCTAAACATACAATCATGTCTTCTGCAAACAGGGACAATTTGACTTTCTCTTTTCCTAATTGAATACTCTTTATTTCTTTCTCTTGCCTGATTGTCCTTGCCAGAACTTTCAACACTATGTTAAATACGAGTGGTGAGAGAGGGCATCCTTGTCTTGTGCTGGCTTTCAAAGGGAATGCTTCCAGTTTTTGCCCATTCAGTGTGATATTGGCTGTGAGTTTGTCATAAATAGCTCTTATTATTTTGAGATACGTTCCATCAATCCTTAGTTTATTGAGAGTTTTTAGCATAAAGGGCTGTTGAATTTTGTTGAAGGTCTTTTCTGCATCTATTGAGATAGTCATGGGGTTTTTGTCATTGGTTCAGTTTATGTGATGGATTATATTTATTGATTTGGGTATGTTGAACCAGCCTTGCTTCCTAGGGATGAAGCCAACTTGATCGTGGTGGATAGGCTTTTTGATGTGTTGCTGTGTTTGGTTTACCAGTATTTTATTGAGGATTTTCACATCAATGTTCATCAGGGATATTGGTCTAAAATTCTCTTTTCTGTTGTGTCTCTGCCAGGCTTTGGTATCAGGATGATGCTGGCCTCATAAAATGAGTTAGGGAGGATTCCCTCTTTTTCTATTGATTGGAATAGTTTCAGAAGGAATTGTACCAGCTCCTCCTTGTACCTCTAGTAGAATTCGGCTGTGAATCCATCTCGTCCCGGACTTTTTTTGGTTGGTAGGCTATTAATTATTGCCTCAATTTCAGAGCCTGTTATTGGTCTATTCAGAGATTCAACTTCTTCCTGGTTTAGTCTTGGGACGGTGTACATTTCCAGAAATTTATCCATTTCTTCTAGATTTTCTAGCTTATTTGCATAGAGGTGTTTATAGTATTCTCTGATGGTAGTTTGTATTTTTGTGGGATTGGTGGTGATATCCCCTTTATCATTTTTTATTGCATCTATTTGATTCTTCTCTCTTTTCTTCTTTATTAGTCTTGCTAGCAGTCTATCAATTTTGTCGATCTTTTCAAAAAACCAGCTCCTGGATTCATTGATTTTTTGAAGGGTTTTTTGTCTCTATCTCCTTCAGTTCTTTTCTGATCTTAGTTATTTCTTGCCTTCTGCTAGCTTTTGAATGTGTTTACTCTTGCTTCTCTAGTTCTTTTAATTGTGATGTTAGGACATCAATTTTAGATCTTTCCTGCTTTCTCTGGTGGGCATTTAGTGCTATAAATTTCCCTCTACACACTGCTTTAAATGTGTCCCAGAGATTCTGGTGTGTTGTGTCTTTGTTCTCGTTGGTTTCAAAGAACATCTTTACTTCTGCCTTCATTTCGTTATTTACCCAGTAGTTATTCAGGAGCAGGTTGCTCAGTTTCCATGTAGTTGTGTGGTTTTGAATGAGTTTCTTAATCCTGAGTTATAATTTGATTGCACTGTGGTCTGAGAGACAGTTTGTTGTGATTTCTGTTCTTTTACATTTGCTGAGGAGTGCTTTACTTCCAATTATGTGGTCAATTTTAGAATAAGTGTGATGTGGTGCTGAGAAGAATGTATATTTTGTTGATTTGGGGTGGAGAGTTCCGTAGATGTCTATTAGGTCCGCTTGGTGCAGAGCTGAGTTCAAGTACTGGATATCCTTGTTAAACTTCTGTCTTGTTGATCTGTCTAACATTGACAGTGGGGTGTTAAAGTCTCCCATTATTATTGTGTGGGAGTCTAAGTCTCTTTGTAGGTCTCTAAGGACTTGCTTTCTGAATCTGGGTGCTCCTGTATTGGGTGCATATATATTTAGGATAGTTAGCTCTTCTTGTTGAATTGATCCCTTTATCATTATGTAATGGCCTTCTTTGTCTCTTTTGATCTTTGTTGGTTGAAAGTCTGTTTTATCAGAGACTAGGATTGCGAGCCCTGCTTTTTTTTGCTTTCCATTTGCTTGATAGATCTTCCTCCATCCCTTTATTTTGAGCCTATGTGTGTCTCTGCACGTGAGATGGGTTTCCTGAATACAGCACACCAATGGGTCTTGACTCTTTATCCAATTTTCCAGTCTGTGTCTTTTAACTGGGGCATTTAGCCCATTTACATTTAAGGTTAATATTATTATGTATGAATTTGATCCTGTCATTATGATGTTAGCTGGTTATTTTGTCTGTTAATTGATGCAGTTTCTTCCTAGCATCAAAGGTCTTTACAATTTGGCATGTTTTTGCAGTGGCTGGTACCGATTGTTCCTTTCCATGTTTAGTGCTTCCTTCAGGAGCTCTTGTAAGGCAGGCCTGGTGGTGACAAAATGTCTCAGCATTTGCTTGTCTGTAAAGGATTTTATTTCTCCTTCACTTATGAAGCTTAGTTTGGCTGGATATGAAATTCTGGGTTGAAAATTCTTTTCTTTAAGAATGTTGAATATTGGCCCTCACTCTCCTCTGGCTTGCAGGGTTTCTGCTGAGAGATCTGCTGTTAGTCTGATGGGTTTCCCTTTGTGGGTAACCCAACCTTTCTCTCTGGCTGCACTTAACATTTTTTCCTTCATTTCAACCTTGGTGAATCTGACAGTTATGTTCTTGGGGTTGCTCTTCTCGAGGCGTATCTTTGTGGTGTTCTCTGTATTTCCTGAATTTGAATGTTGGCCTGCCTTGTTACATTGGGGAAGTTCTCCTGGATAATATCCTGAAGAGTGTTTTCCAACTGGGTTCCATTCTCCCTATCACTTTCAGATACACCAATCAAATGTAGATTTGGTCTTTTCATATAGTCCCATATTTCTTGAAGGCTTTGTTTGTTTCTTTTTACTCTTTTTTCTCTAAACTTGTCTTCTCACTTTATTTCATTAATTTGAACTTCAATCACTGATACCCTTTCTTCCACTTCATCAAATCGGCTATTGAAACTTCTGCATGTGTCCCAAAGTTCTCGTGCCATGGTTTTCAGCTCCACCAGGTCATTTAAGGTCTTCTTTACTCTGTTTATTCTATTTAGCTGTTTGTCTAACCTTTTTGCAAGGTTTTAAGCCTCCTTGCGATGGGTTAGAACATGCTCCTTTAGCTCGGAGAAGTTTGTTATTGCTGACCTTCTGAAGCATACTTCTGTCAACTCATCAAAGTCATTCTCTGTCCAGCTTTGTTCTGTTGCTGGAGAGGAGCTGCAATCCTTTGGAGGAGAAGAGGCGCTCTGTTTTTTAGAATTTTCGGCTTTTCTGCTCTGGTTTCTCCATCTTTGTGGTACCATCTACCTTTTGTCTTTGATGTTGGTGACCTACAGATGGGGTTTTGTGTAGATGTCCTTTTTGTTGACGTTGATGCTGTTCCTTTCTATTTGTTAGTTTTTCTTCTAACAGTCAGGTCCCTCAGCTGCAGGTCTTTTGGAGTGTGCTGGAGGTCCATTCCAGACCCTGTTTGCCTGGGTATCACCAGCAGAGGCTGCAGAACAGCAAATATTGCAGAACAGCAAATATTGCTGCCTGATCCTTCCTCTGGAAGCTTTGTCCCAGAGGGGCACCCACCTGTATGAGGTGTCTGTAGGCCTCTGCTGGGAAGTGTCTCCCAGTTAGGCTAGACGGGGTTCAGGGACCCACTTGAGGAGGCTGTCTCTCTGTTCTCAGAACTCAAACACTGTGCTGGGAGAACCACTGCCCTCTTTAGAGCTGTCAGACAGGGATATTTAAGTCTACAGAAGTTTCTGCGATGCCTTTTGTTCAGCTATGCCCTGCCCACACAGGTGGAGTCTATAGAAGCAGTAAGCCTTGCTGAGCTGTGGTGGGCTCTGCCCAGTTTGAGCTTCCTGGCCATTTTGTTCACCTATTTAAGCATCAACAATGGCGGATGCCCCTCCCCCAGCCAGGCTGCAGCCTCGCAAGTTGATCTCAGACTACTGTGCTAGCAGTGAGCAAGGCTCTGTGGGCATGGGACCCGACGAGCCAGGCATGGGAGAAAATCTCCTGGTCTGCTGGTTGCTAAGACCATGGGAAAAGCACAGTATTTGGGCAGAAGTGTCCCATTTTTCCAGGTACAGTCTGTCACGGCTTCCTTGGCTAGGAAAGGGAAATATCCCGGCCCCTTGCATTTCCCAGGTGAGGTGATGCCCTGCCCTGCTTTGGCCCACCCTTGTGGGCTGCTCCCAGTGTCCAACCAGTCCCAATGAGATGAACTAGGTACCTCAGTTGGAAATGCCAAAATCACCCATCTTCTGCACCGATCACGCTGAGAGCTGCAGACCAGAGCTCTTTGTATTCAGCCATCTTGGACGGAAACTGCTACTGATTTTTGTATGTTGAGTTTGCATCCTGCAACTTTACTGAATTTATAATTTGTAATAGTTTTATTGTGGAGTCTTTAGGTTTTTCCAAATATAAGATCATATCATCAGCAAACAAGGATAATTTGACTCCTTCCTTTCTAATTTGGATGCCCTTTACGTATTTCTGTTGTCTGACTGCTCTACCTATGACTTCCAATACAGTGTTAAGCAACAGTGGTGATGGTGGGCATCCATCAAGGCCTTCAGTTTTTCCTCATTCAGTACAGTACTAGCTGTGGGTCTGTCATGTATGGCTTTTATTATGTTGAGGTATGTTTCTTCATTGCCCAATTTTTTAGGGTTTTTATCATGAAGAGATATTGAAATTTATCAAATGCTTTTCCAGTATCAATAGAAATGATCATATGTTTTTTATCCTTCATTCTGTTGATAGGATGTATTACATTGATTGATTTGCATATGTTGAACCATTCTTGCATCCCAGGGATAAATCCCACTTGGTCATGATGAATGATCTTCCTTATGTATTGCTGAATTTGATGTGTTAGTATTTTGTTGAAGATGTTTGCATCAATATTCATCAGAGATTCTGGCATATAGTTTTCTTTTTCCTTTCTTTTTTTTCTGTCTGTCTTGTTTTGGTATCAGGGTAATAATGCCTTGTAGAATGAGTTTGGAAGTGTCCCCTCCTCCTGTATTTTTCAGAAGAGTTTGAGTAGGATTGGTAGTAGTTCTTCTTTAAATGTTTGGTACAATTCATCAGTGAAGCTATTGGGTCCCAGGCGTGTCTTTACTGGAGACTTTATTATGGCTTCAATCTCATTAATAGTTATTGGCCTGTTTAGGTTTTGGATTTCTTCCTGGTTCAATCTTGGTAGGTTTTATGTGTCTAAAAATTTGTCCATTTCTTCTAGATTTTCCAATTTATTGGCATATGGTTGCTCATAGTAGCCACTAATGATCCTTTGAATTTCTGCAGTATCAGTTTGTAATGTCTCCTTTTTGATTTCTGATTTTATATATTTGGGTCTTCTCTCTTTTGTCCATGTTAGTCTGGCAAAAGGTTTGTCAATTTTGTTTAGCATTTCAAAAAACTGACGTTTTGTTTAATTGATCTTTTGTATTGTTTCTTTCATTTCAATTTCATCGATTTCTGCTCTGATCTTTTTTATTTATTTTCTTCTACTAAATTTCAGTTTGGTTTGGGTTGCTCTTGCTTTTCTAGTTCTTTAAGTTTCACTGCTAGACTGTTTGTTTAAAATGTTTCCTCTTTTTTGATATAGGCACTTACAGCCATAAACTTCCCTTTTAGTACTGCTTTTGCTGTATCCCATAGGATTGGGTATGTTGTGTTTCCATTATCATTTGTTTAAAAATTTTTTCACTTTGCTTCTTAATTCCTTCATTGTCCCACTGGTCATCCAGGAGCATATTGTTGAATTTCCATGTATTTGTATAGTTTCCAAAATTCCTCTTGTTATTAATTTCTAGTTACTTTCCACTGTGGCCAGAGAAGACGCTTGATATTACTTCAATTTTGTTGAATGTTTTAAGATTTGTTTTGTTACCTAACATATGGTCTATCCTTGAGAATGATCCATGTGCTGTGGAAAAGAATTTGTATTTTGCAGCCATCGGATACAATATTCTGTAAATATCGATTAGATCCATTTGATCTATAGTGCAGAATAAGTTGGATATTTCTTGATGATTTTCCACCTGGAAGATCTGTCCAATGCTGAAAGTAGGGAATCAAAGTCTCCAGATATTATTGTATTGGGGCCTATTTCTCTCTTTAGATTTAATAATATTTGCTTCCTATATCTGGGTGCTTGTGTTGGGTGCATATGTATTTTAAATTGTTATATCCCCTTGCTGAATTGACCCCTTTATCATTGTATAGTGACTTCTCCTTTTTATAGTCCTCTTTTTATAGTTTTGGTCTTGAAATCTATTTTGTCTAATATAAGTATAGTGACTCCTGCTCTTTTTTGGTTTTCATTGAAATGGAATATCTTTTTCCATCCCTTTATTTTCAGTCAGTGTGTGTTTTTATAGGTGAAGTGTGTTTCTCATAGGGAACAGATCAATGGGTCTTGTTTTTTCAATCATTCAGCTATTCTATGTCTTTTGATTCAAACCTTTAGTCCATTTACATTCAATGTTACTATTAATAAGTAAGGACTTACTCCTGCCATTTTATGATTTTTTTTCTGGTTGTTTTGTGGTCTTCTCTTCTTTCTTTCTTTCCTTCCTGTTTTCCTTTAGTAAAGGTGATTTTCTGTGGTGATGTAATTTAGTTTCTTGCCTTTTATTTTTTGTGTCTTCATTGTGTTTTTTGGTTTGAGGTGATTATAAGGCTTGTGAATACTATCTTATAACCTATTATTTTAACCTGATAACAGCACTATTTACATAAACAAACAAGCAAAAAGAAAACTAGTAAAACTTCTATGCCTTAATTTCATTCCTCTTCTTTTAATCTTTTTGGTTTTTTAATTGATACCCTTTGTACTTTGTCTTGAAAAGTTGTTCTAGTTATTATTTTTATTGGTTCATCATTTAGTCTTTCTACACAGTTACAGTGTTATAATATTCTGTTTTTCTCTGTACTTACTATTCCCAGTGAGTTTTGTACCTTCAGGTGATTACTTATTGCTCATTAATGTTCTTCTTTTTGTCTGATTAAAGTACTCCCTTAGGCATTTCTTGTAGGACAGGTCTGGTGTTGATGTAATCCCTCAGCATTTGTTTGTCTGGAAATGTCTTTATTTCTCTTTCATGTATGAAGGATATTTTTTACCAAATATACTATTCTAGGGTGAAAGTCTTGTTTCCTTCAGCACTTTAAATATGTCATAACTTTCTCTCCCGGCATGTAAAGGTTCCACTGAAAAGTCTGCTGCCAGACATACTGGAGCTCCATTTTATGTTATTTGTTTCTTTTCTCTTGCTGCTTTAAGTATCCTTTCTTTATCCTTGACCTTTGAGAGTTTGATTATTAAATGCCTTGAGGTAGTCTTTTTTGAGGTTGAACTTTGATATTGATATCTTTCTCTAGGTTTGGGAAGTTCTCTGCTATATTATCCCTCTGAATAAACTTTCTACCCCTATCTGTTTCTCTACCTCCTCTTTAAGGCCAATAATTCAGATTTGCCCTTTTGAGGCTATTTTCTAGATCCTGTAGGAGTGCATCATTGATTTTTATTATTTTACCTTTTGTCTCCTCTGACTGTATTTTCCAATAGCTTATCTTCAAGCTCACTAATTCTCTCTTCTGCTTGATCCATTCTACTCTTAAAGGATTCTGAAGCATTATTCAGCATGCCAGTTGCATTGTTTAGCTCCAGAATTTCTGCTTAATTCTGCTTAACTATTTCAATCTCTTTGTTACATTTATCTAATAGAATTCTGAATTCCTTCTCTGTGTTATCTTGAATTTATCTTTGAGATTCATCCATAACACTACTTGAATTTTTTGTCTGAAAATTCACATATCTGTTTCTCCAAGATTGGTCCCTAGTCTCTTATTTAGTTCATCTCATAAGGTCATGTTTTCCTGGATGGTGTTGATGCTTGTAAATGTTCTTTGGTGTCTGGGCATTGAAGAGTTAGGTATTTATTGTAGTCTTCACTGTCTGGGTTTATTTGTATCCATCCTTCTTGGAATGGCTTTCCAGATATTTGAAATGACTTAGGTGTTGTGATCCAAACTATAATTGCTCTAGGGGATACCCCAAGCCCAGTAGCACTGTGGTTCTTGCAGACTAGTAGAGGCGCCACCTTGATAGTCTTGGACAAGATCCAGAAGAACTATCTTGATAATCAGGCAGAAACTCTTGTTTTCTTCCCTTACTTTCTCCCAAACATAGAGTCAGTCTCTCTCTCTCTCTCTCTCTCTCTCTCTCTCTCTCTCTCTGTTTTGAGCCACCTAAATCTGAGGGTGGAGTAACAAGTATCCCTGTGGCCAACACCACTATGATTCCACTGGGTAAGACCTGAAGCAAGCACAGCGCTGGGTCTTGCCCAAAGCTTGCTGTAACCACTCCCTGGCTACTTTCCATGTTTGCTCAAGGCCCTGGGGCCCCACAATTAGCTGTTGGCAAAGCCAGGCAGGCCTGTGTCTTTCCCTTCAGGATGGTGAGGTCTCCCAGGCCCCAGGGAGGTCCAGAGGTACCATCCAGGAGTCGGGGACTAGAGTCAAAAACCTTAGAACTCTACCTGGTGTTCTGTTATACTGCCACTGAGCTGACACTCAAGCTAAAAGATGTAGTCCTTCCCATTCTTCCCTCCCCTTTCCAAAGGCAGAGGAGCCTCATTCCATAGTGAACACCACCTTAGGCCACAGAAGAACTGCCAGACTACCTCCCTCTGATGTTCCTTAAGGCCCAAAGACTCTTAAGTCAGCTTGTGGTAAATGCTGCCTGGCCTGGGACTCACCCTTCAGGGCAGTGGGCTTCCCTCCGGCCCAGGGCAAGTCCAGAACTGTCATCCAAGAGTCAAGTCCTGGGATTGGGGACCCCAAGAGCTACTCCCTGTGCCCATGATGGTATCTAAGATGCAAGACAAAGTCCCTTTCACTTTTCCCTCTGCTTTTCCAAAGCAGGAGTTTTGCCCCATAGCCACCATAGCTGGTAATGTGCTGAGTCTCACCTGAAGCCAGCAAGTCTCAGAGGCTCACCCAAGGCCCTTGATGTAGTACCTGGGTATTGATGCTTGTTATTCAGGGCACAAGGATTCTTTAGCAAGCAGGTGATGAATGTTGCCATGACTGGGTCCTTTCCTTCAAGACAGCATGTTCCCTTCTGGCCTAGGGTGTGTCTACAAATGTCACCCAAGAGCAAGGCCTTGGAACACAGGCCTCGCAACTCTAACTGGTGCCCTATCCAGCTGTAGCTGAGCTGGTATCCAAGACTCGAGACAAAGTCCTCCCCAGTATTCTCGCTCCTCTCCTCAAGCAAAAAGAAGAGGTCGCTTTTGGAGCCCTGAACTGTGCAGCCTGAGGTTAGGGGAGGTGACAACAGCACCCCCTTAGCCGCCTCAGCTACTGTCTCAGTATGTCACTGTCCACTGGCTCTGGGCCTAGTTCAGGACTAGGACTCACCTAAGTTTTGCAGATTTAATGTCCTAGACTGCCTTTCAAATTCATTTACAGACAGAGAGGACTGTATCCCTCAGTGGCAAGGTTTGCAGGAACTCAAGTTCCAACTGCTGGGATTCCCCTCTGGCTAGGAATTGTTACAATGCTCTCTCCATGGGCAGACGTCAGCTGAGTTTGGTCCAGGTTTTTCTTTCTGCTCTAACAGGATAGCACTGAGTTCATGGCCTCACAATTTCTGTGCTCTCTGCACCATACTGCTGCTGCAGGGGTCGGGGAGGGGTGGCAGTTCAGGTCTGTTTTTCTTATCTCTTCAGTGCCTCTCTCAGTGATACAAAGATAAAACTAGCTACTGTGAGGGCTCATCTAACTTCTGGTTCTTCTAAAGGTGTTTTTTTGTTTGTCTGTCTGTTTTGTTTGTTTTGTTTTTCGTGTAGATAAATTGTTGTCCTTGTGTAGGGAACGATCAGTGGAGCATTCTTTTCCTCCATCTTGCTCTGCCTCTCTCCACTACAGCCAACTCATTTTCAACAAAAGTGCCAAGAACATACAATGGGGAAAGGACAGTCTCTTCACTAAATGTAATGAGAAACTGCATAACAATATGTAGAAGAATGAAACTAAATCCCTATCTCTCACCATACACAAAAATCAAATCAAAATGGATTAAACACTTAAATCCAATACCTTAAACTATAAAACTACTAGGAGAAACATTAAGAAGTGCTCCAGGACATTGATATAGGCAAAGACTGTTTGGGCAAGATCTCAAAGCACAGGCAACCAAAGCAAACATAGATAAATGGGATCATATCAAGCTTAAAGGCTTCTGCACAGCAATGGACACAATCAGCAAAGTAAAGAAACCACCACAGAATGCAAGAAAACATTTTCAAACTATTCATATGACAAGGGATTAATAACCAGAATGTATAAGGAACCCAAACAACTCAATAGCAAAAGATAATAAAAATTATATATATATAAATATATATATATTTTTTGTTTGTTTGTTTGTTTGTTTGAGACTCTGTCGCCAGGCTGGAGGGCAGTGGCATGATCTCAGCTCACTGCAACCTCCGCCTCCTGGGTTCAAGCAATTCTCCTGCCTCAACCTCCTGAGTAGCTGGGACTACAGGCACATGCCACCACGCCCAGCTAATTTTTTGTATTTTTAGTAGAGACAGAGTTTCACCATGTTGGCCAGGATGGTCTCGATCTCTTGACCTCATGATCTTCCCACCTCAGCCTCCCAAAGTGTTGGGATTACAGGCGTGAGCCCCTATGTCTGTCCAATCTATTTTAAAAATAAGCAAAAGGGATGAATAGATAGTTCTCAAAGAGAAGACATGAAAAATACTCAACATCACTAACCGTCAGTGAAATGAAAACCAAAACCATTATGAGATATCAACTCAACCAGTTAAAATAGTATGTATCAAAAAGGCAGGGAATAACAGATGCTGGTGAGAATGTGGAAAAAAGGGAACCCTTGTACACTGTTGGTGGGAATGTAAATTACTACAACTATGAAGAATAGTACAGAGGTTTCTCAAAAACCTAAAAATTGATCTACATATGATCTAGCAATTCCACTACCACTTATATATCTAAAAGAAAGGAAATCAGTGTATCTAAGAGATATCTGCACTCCCACAGTTAATGCAGAATTATTCACAACAGTCAAAATATAGAATCAACCTAAGTGTCCATTGATGGACTAATGGATAAAGAATATGTGGTATATGTACACAACGGAATATTATTTAGCCATAAAAAGTATGGAATTCTGTCACTGACAGTAACATGGAAGGAAATGGTGGTTGTAAAGCGAAATAAGCCAGACACAGAAAGACAAATATTGCACATTCCCAATGATACAGGAAAGCTAAAATATCAAATCTCATGAAGATAGGAGTAAATTGGTGGTTATCAGAGGTTAGAAAGGGTAGAGGAGAGGAGGGGTGAGGAGAGGTTGATTAATAGGTACAAACATATAGTTTGATAGAAGAAATAAGACAGTATTTGATAGATCAGTAGGATAAGCATAGTTTACAGTAATCTATTGTATATTTCAAAACAGCTAGAAGAGAGTAATTGAAATGTTTCTAGCATAAAGACAAATATTTAAGGTGATACTATCCAATTACACTGATTTGATCTTTACAAACTACATGAATGTATTAAATATTCACATGTATCCAAAAATATGTACATCTATTATGTATCAACAAAAAATAAAATTAATAAAATGGGAAGAACTAAATAAAATTAGAAATTTAGTTCCTGAATTGTACTAGCCACTTTTTAATTGTTCTATAGCTACATTTGAATAGTGTCTACACTTATACGGAACATTTATATCATCTCAGAAAGTAGTATTGGACAGTACTGATCTAGATCACATTTTTATCTCTAGGGAAAAACCTCAGTTTTAAAATTGTATATCATGTTAAGAAGCTTTTAGATGCATATATTACAAACCCTGACTCAAACTGACTGAAATAACAAGGCTTAGGCTCTCTTAAGTGCAAGCCATGAGGCACGTTAGGCCTCAGGTTAGGCTGAACCCAGTATTTCAGTTTTATTTCTCTGGACTCCCCTTCACTATTCCCTCCTCTGAGTTGGTTCAAAATAGCTTCCTTGGTGACAGAAAAAAATGGCTATGACATTTTTCAGCTTTATTTCACACAACTTGAAATCTAAAAGAAGACCCAGATCTCTTCTGGGTCAGAAAACTAATTCCTTAAAGTTCCAAACAACCCTGCTCCATTGCATTCACCAACCCCATATATATCCCATATCCCTGCCTGACGGAGGAACTGATTCAGGCTGCCTGGCTAGGCCTATATTCCTGAACAATTCTTTTTAAAAGGGTGAGCTTGACGAGCCTTAGACCAAACACAACCTTCTCCGAGGAGTCTGGTTGTAGTACCCTGTCTCAAGCACTCGGACAACGTGATATGATATGGTTTGGCTGTGTCCCCACCCAAATGTCATCTTGAATGGTAGCTCCCATATTTCCCATGTGTCATGGGAGGGACCCAGTGGGAGGTAATTAAATCATGCGGGTCGGTCTTTTCCATGCTGTGCTTGTGATAGTGAATAAGTCTCACGAGATCTGATGGTTTTATACAGCAGAGTTCCCCCGCACATGCTCTCTCTTGCCTGCTGCCATGTAAGATGCCCTTTTGCTCTTTATTTGTCTTCTGCCATGATGTGAGGCCTCGCCAGCCATGTGGAACCGTGAGTCCATTAAACCTCTTTCCTTTATAAATTACCCAGTCCCAGGAATGTCTTTATTAGCAGCATGAGAACAGACTAATATGTGATGGAAGGGCAGCTACCTGAAAATTTGAGGGTATCCTTATGGAAAAGGAAAGGGGACAATGAATGCCGGATAGGCAATCATAGTGTCCACTACAGGAAAATAAAAACTTTATTTTACAACTTGTATACATTCACTAAGACTTTCTTTGAAATGTGACAATTTAGGATGCAGTGTTCCCACCCACTTGCCCCTAAAACACACAAGCATAAAAATAAACAGCCCCAACATCTCTATTTTTAAATTGTGTGAGGTGCTGACACTTGAGTGGGTAGAAAAAAGTGAGGCAAGTGACAAGGGTTATGCTACCATGGAAGAAAATTAAAATATAATATAAAAAGAAAGATCTACTCTGGGGAGGAGGTTACAGAGAGGAATCCAAATTAACATATGTAAGAAAATACTCTGTCCCAAGGCAGATCTTTAACAATTCTCTCAACCATAATCTAATTTGTGTCCTCTGGAGTTAAAAAAAAAAATCTGAGATATTAAGCAAGTCCCCAGAGACGGTCAATGTCAGTGCCAGAACTCAAACCAGATTGAACTCTCAAGTTCATTCCAAGTCCCTCATGACGGCCAGTATATCCAAGCCAAAGTCTATGGACCATATATTTTCTGTTGAATCCCAGTATCAACATGCAGTAAGGAGCAAAGCATCATGAGCAACATACTGTGTTAAGTGCTGGCTGGGGAGAAAAGATACACACTTAAACATATACATCTGTGCATGGAAACAAATACAGAGTGCTCAAGCAGAATTCAGACAAGGAGCTCCACCGGGGTGCCGAGGTGGGGAGAAAAGAAGAGGAGAAGTCAGTAACTACAGTTCCAAAATAAATGAAAGGAAAGGGGACAAGATTATGGATCTTGGTAAATGCCAAGCAGTTTGGTGCTTCAGGCATATGAATCTGAGAAGAATCGAGATGGAAAGTTTTCAGAAGAAGGAGAGTCTTAACTCCTCACTTATAAAGCACTTGGTAAATTATAAAATACTTTCATATTCATAAATTCCAATAGTAGCTACCATATCATGTGTCAGATATTCTGCATGCACTGTCAATCCTCACTGTAGATGGTATCACAATCTGCCCTTTGCAGATGAGGAAACTGAGGCTCAGGTGGGTCATATGATTTGACCACAGTCATACAGTGAACAAGAGAGGTAACTCAGACCCAGATCTGTCTGACCCTAAAGCCTGTGCTCTTTTCACTACATTGTGATTCTTTCATTATTTTCCTTTACCCTCAAATTGATATTTAGAGGTAGTTAGAGTGTGAAACTCTGTAATATTTCAACTGAATTGAGTTGAGCATTACACAGTAAGGAGATCAATGCTTTGAAAAAGCATAACCAATAAAACGTTATTTGTAGGAAATGTGGGACAAAACTTTGTTTTTATTTTTGTAAATCACTAGCAAACACAGGCTATACATTCCTGGGTGAACAAGATGCCAAAGAAGTAGCATTGATCCTCTGTGGAAAATCCAGAATCCCTCTGGAAAAAATGAAGGACATTTGATTTTATGTGTATGATTGCCTGGGATTGCCCTTCCTCTATCCAGAGTGACGTTCATCCACATGAATGGATAGACTACTGCAAAAGAACAAATTGAGAAACAAATACAGGAGGAATTATACTAGGATTCCAGAGGCATAGGATTGAGCCTTAAAAGTGAAAAGAAAGAGGAAAATAATATTCAGAGAAATAAAGTGCATCTGTATGTCTTAGGTTACCTAAACTAGCCTATCAGTTCTTATCAATGGACAGACAGCAAGGGTTTGAGTTTCTGAAGAAAGAAACTTACTATGAACACAGAACTTCCTCCACTGAATTGTGGTAGTAGCATACATCTGCCCTAGTATTATATTATGGTTTGCATTTACCCTATATACATGTGCTAAGTGACCACATCCCTGTAAACATAAATAAAACCAAGGGGAGACATTAATGGCAAACTTCTTTCAAATGGAGTTCGGTTGTTTTAAAAGCTGAAGTTCTTCCCCTCAAATCCCAAGCTTAATACTAACCTAAGTACATATTTGCAAAGGAGTTGAAAGTAGGAGATACGAAGAAGATAGGTCGAATCTAACATCAGTGCTCCAAAGATAGGAGCACCTGAAATCAAAATCCTCAAAAGTAAACATCCTAACACCAGAGCATAGCAAAATACTATTCTAGGTGCTATTTTAAATACTTTTCTTGTTTCAGTGATTAAAATTGTTTTGCTCATTAAAAAACAGAAAATATATGCTAATAACCACTGTTAATAATTTATTATATACTCCTCCCAAATATTTGCAATACATTTTAAACAAAAATGGCATACTAGTATATAATACCTACAAACTGCTTTCCTGTGCCACATTATGTTTTGATTACACTTCCATGTTAATAATTAAAGTTTTATATTAAAACTTATCACAATTTAAATACAAGTTTGGGAACAACTGCAGTAAATGGTCATAACTAAAATTAAAGTCGAGGGGCAGTTCCATCTGTCGTAAACATTTTAAAATACTATTTGAATATTAAGAAAATTGAAGAGAGTTTTTCTGAAAAAGAAACTGACATCAGGAAGGACAGAAATCAAAGATCTACTAGAAAAAAGAATTGGTGAAAATGCGTTTATGTTTGTATTTACAAACTAAACTTTTAAATTTTTATTGGCAATCTGATTAAAATCTTTTTAATATGGTAGCATATGTCAATCTTTAACCCTTTCAAAATAATATTTTAATTTTCAAGATATTTGTATTCAGAGTATTAATAAAATCTATTTTCTTTTAAAATGGAAAGTATAATTGTACATTAGCATTGGGATTTCAAATACAAATGCAGAGGTTATGTGTTTTTTCCCTCCTCAGGACTCCAATGTCCTTATTTTCTGTCTGGTCAGTTTTCAATTAATCACTGACTAATGATTATCTCCAATAGCTAAATTGACATTTTAAGAAAAGTTAAGTAACCACTTATAAATTTTGTTCATCTTCCTTAAGTGTCAATTTTACTCAAGGACTTTTAGTAGGAATAATAGGAATTCCTTACCTTTAATACTATTACAGCAAGAATTTAAGATTATGTTTACATAGTTTAAAGTTCAATGAAAAATCACACGTAAGATAAAGCAAAAAACTTCAAATAATGTTATGTCTGTGGGTTGTTTGGGAGTTCTATCCCCAAAACCTTGAGGGTAAGAGGTTTTATTCTCTGCATTTGGGATTTTTAGGTAAAAAAGTTTTGAGAAGTAAAGTCTTAAAATTGACACAATGGGTCTTGCATATAAGGGAAACTCAGTAAATAATTATGTTGAATTGATTAGAGTTGCCATTATATGTAACTTGAAAATCTTGGAAAGTTTGCTTTTGACACAGTAGATAGCACATCAGTGGGAAAAAAAAAAAGGAGGGGAGAAAAAAACAAGGGAAAAAAGTATAAATTTTGTTAAATGACTTCTTAACACCTCTCGCAAGACTATTGAAATTCCTTGTGGTACACTGAGTTCTCCAGTGGCTGCATTAGTGCCAATTGGTTTCTCAACTGCCTGTGGAATAAAAGCCAAATTCCTTAGCCTGTCACACACTCCATCCAGAATTTCAACACTTCCCAAGTGTCCCACCTTATTTTCCCATTTTATTATCCTGTTTCAAGCCAAATCACACTACTCCCCATTCTCCATACATACCCAAAAGCTATCTATGTTGTCAGTCAGTCTGTTCCCTCCTACTTGAATACCCTTCCCTGTTCCACCATTATCATCTGTTAGGCATAGTCCAAATGCGACTTCTTCCAGAAAGCCTTCCGTAGTCTCTACCCTGAGAAGTTATGCTTCTTTCTGACTTAACAAATTTATGGATGCCTCTTTCACTGAACTATTCTTCTGCCTTTTATTTTCATTTATGTCTTACTCTCACCATTAAATTACAAACTCTTTGAAGGAAGATAAAATATGTGTGTGAATGCTTAATAATGAATGAATGAATGAATGAATATATTCAAACTCTTCCAAATAGCCAGAAGTGTCATTAATTTATTTTTGAGACTATCCTTCAAACATATTTAACCCTACGTGTAATCAGAAGCCCATAAATCAAAGGACTACTTAGGTAGTCCGTGGATCAATCTCCATCTCTCCTGTAACAATTATATCATTGACTGGAGAAAGAAAGAAGGGAGGGAAGTGCCCTTTAATAAAATCTGCCAAGATTATATCTTCCTGCCAAGTTCCTTTTGGATTCTGTCAGCAGGCTTTCAACCACTTTAAATGATCATCCAAAAAATCTATGGCATTTAATACACCCACTTCTCAGTGATATGAAATTCAGTTTTTCTTTATGTAATTTAGTAGATAGTGCCAGATAACATCAAAAATATTCTGATTAATAGATGTTTCTGGTTTTGCAGAAATAACCAAAATAGATTGGGTGCTGTGGTTCATGCCTATAATTCCAGCACTTTGGGAGGCAGAGGTGGGGAGATCACTTGAGCCCAGAAGTTGGGACCAACCTGGGCAACATGGCAAAACCCCACCTTTACAAAAAAATACAAAAATTGGCCAGGGGTGGTGGCACATACCTGTAGTCTCAGCTACTTGGGAAGCTGAGGTAGGAGGATCACCTCAGTCTGGGAGGTGGAGGCTGCAGTGAGCAGAGATCATGCCACTGCACTTCAACCTGGGCAACAGAGTGAGACCCTCTCTCAAAAAACAAACAAAAAAAAAAAAAAAAGAAAGAACCAAAACAAAAGTTGGATACATTACTTTTCATAGAAATATTTGGTGTAAATGTAGAACTAGACTCAGTAAGTAATAGTTATAGGACCTGATCAGACTACCTATAACCATCACAGACTAGAAAAGGCACTTCAAACTGATATAAGTGAGAATATGACTACAGCAAAATACATATTTGTAATTTCCCTGATCATATACAAGCATAACAACATGTTTGCTATTGTTTCAAAAAGGCTGGAAGCATATAAGAAAACAACATAAAAATCAAAAATAAAAATCACAACATCTTTTTGGACACAGAGAGATTACCAACAGGAAAATCTTGTTTTAATTCAGCTGCAACTTTGAAACTAATTATCCACTAAAAAGTCTCCAGAACTTCTTACTTTACGAAACGTTGTTTCTTCTATCCATTGAAGCGGGTATGATATAAGGTAAAAACAAATGGGTACGAAGGTATGTGATTTTAATTTCTTTTAAAAGTTTTTATGGAATCCTGGAAGAGTAACAACCCAGGAAACTTAAATTTCATATAGTCTTCTTTTACTTTGAAAATTTCCCTTTTTCTTTTCTATTTTCTGTAGGATATAGTTGAAAATGCCTTGTGTTTAAAGTCTGATAGGGGTGGGTTCAACGTTACCTCTGTTCCTAAGTTATGTAAATTTGGGCTAGTCACTTTACATGTCAACCTTAGATTTCTCTACCTATCTCATATAATTTTGAGGAAGATCAAGAAACACAGGGGAAGTGCCAATATGTGAGCAACAGTAGGCATTCAAAACACAGGAGTTCTCGTTCATAAAATGTAATCTTCATTTGCATGTGAAACACTAATGCTTAGAACTTCTAAAATAATGCTAGCATTTGAAAAGCAAGAGTACTATCACATTTGACTGTGGGGATATGTTTTAGATCACAACCAACTACTCTTGACTGAGAAAACTGGCTCCTTAAAAACTCCTTGAATGCCCAGGGAGACACTACCCCTTTTTGGAGCGCACAGAGTTCACACAAAATTTAAGAACATTTGTTTTAATGCCACCACAGAGAGAACCCACAGATAGAGTATATGGAGTACAAAAATAAGATAATTTAATATTTCTAAGAAATGAGATCAGACACCAAAATACTCATTATGCATTTGAAACAAATGTATAACTCGCTAGCCGCAAAACAAACAGCCTGGAAGACGATAAAATACAAGCAACAAATTTATGCAAGAAATACCAAGTCAGATAACGAGGGGGGAAATGACAGTCTTTAAGTAAAACACTAAAGTAAAATATAAAAATGAACTATTCAGGATTGATTTTAGGTAGTAATAAGGTCACAATGGCATTGTGAGATACAAGTCAGGAATGCAGAAAGGTTATCTTTTTTTTTTTTTTTTACTTTTCTTTTTTTTTTTTTTTATTATACTTTAAGTTTTAGGGTACACGTGCACGTTGTGCAGGTTATCTTTTTAAAATTGTGATGTTTCCTTTCTTCAAAATTTCCACTGTTTAAAAAATATCCTTAGAAGGATTTCTTTGATATTTTGATATTAATTCCTCCAACACCATTAAGAAAAAAAAGGTAGTTTTAGTTACCTCTGATTGTATGGAGTATGGAGGACAAATACAAATTTAATCTGGTCATCGTGAGGGTGCCTTCCGAGCCCTTCCAGGTAACTCCAAAAGGAACTCTTAAGTCTGATTGGCCTAAATTTATGCAAAATGGTCTTTGTTGGATATAGTTGTTTGAATTGCTTATTTTCCTTAATTGGAAATTACCATTTTCATGGACCCTTGACTCAGTCTTTGGTCCTCTCTTAGAATTTCTCTACTTCATCTTAATCCATCATTCATAATATACACAGGTATTTTCATTGCATAAGAGCAAATAAGTAAGGTTTTTAGCAAAAGAAATAAACTCTATTCACATACTGTACTTTTCCAATAACATACCATTTAGAGTGTAAATAATCTTATCTCCTTCAGTGCTTCAAATTTCAAATAAGCTGAATTGCACTGAAATATGCCCAATATCAAAATATACCATCAACAACTTCAGAGAGGAACTGAACACTTACCTACTATCATAGAGTAAACTGACTAACTTTCTACCTTTTTTTGGTCACGTTTATTGAAGTATAATTACATACAATAAGGCCCACTATTTTAAATGTACAGTTTGATGAGTTTTGATAAATATATACAGTCATGTAACCACCATCATCAAGAATCAGAACATTTTTATCATCTAGAAAAGTTCCTTTATTTTCCTTTGTGGTCAACACCTGCTCCCCCAACTCCCTAGCCTCTGGTAATCACTAATTTGTTTGCTTTCCCTATAAGTTTGTCTTTATAGAATGTAATATAAATGGAATCATACAGTATGTGATGTCTTATACCTGACTTTATTCACTTAGCATCATACTTTTGAAATTTATGATGTTGTCTCCGGTATTTGCAGTACACTCCTTTTTACCGCTGGGTAGCATTCCATTATATGAATATTAAAGTATTTATCCATTCGTTATTTGATGAACATTACGTTTGTTTCCAGGTTTGGGTTGTTATGAATAAAGCTTCTCTGAACATTTGAGTTCAGGTCTTTGTTTAAACCTGTTTGTATTTATTTTGGTAAATACTTAGAAGTGGAATTGTTAAATCATATGATAAATATGTTTATCTTTATAAGAAAAAAGACTGCCAATGCTGTTTTTCAAAGTGGCTGTATCATTTTAGCATTCTTGGACACCAACATAAGAGGCTTTCAGTTGTATCACAACCTCACGATCACTTGTTATTCTCAATCTTTTTAATTTTACCCATTCTAGCAGGTCTATGGCGGTATCTCAATATGGCTTTAATTTGCATTTTTCTAATAACCAATGATGTTGAGCATCTTTTCATGTCCCTGTTTGCATTGGTACACCTTTGGCAAACTATTTAACTTGTTGTCTATGTTTTAAATTGGATTGTATATCTTATTATTTTAAATTTCTTTATAAACTCGGAGTTCAAGTGCTTTTTTAGATTTGAGCTGTGACTTTGTCATATATTGTAATGCATATCCCATTTAAAATTCATCCAGTGACTTTACAGGTCAAATTAGACAAGAACTGTACCACTCAGGGTCAAATTCCCGAAGAACGCACCACCCAAAGGTTAAATTCTATAAAGGCTGTATCGCCCAGAATTAAACTTCCAAAGCAGAGTACCACTCAAAGGTCAAGTTCCATGAAAGCTATACCACCCAAATAGCAAATTCCGTGAGTATCATATCACTCAGTATCTCAGGGAGAGAAATAACTCCCATGTATTATACTCTAAGAGCAATTACTGAACGCTTATATCAAAGCTGATCCAATTCTGTCATTCTTTTCAGGGAATGTCTTATATCTTGAGAACCAAATTGCTTAGAATGTACACTGAGGGCAATATTTCGTTGTTGTTGTTGTTGTTGTTGTTGTTGTTGTTTTCGAGACAGAGTCGCACTCTGTCGCCCAGACTGGAGTGTAGTGGTGCAATCTCAGCTCACCCCAAGCTCTGCCTCCCGGGTTCACACCATTCTCCTGCCTCAGCCTCCCGAGTAGCTGGGACTACAGGTGCCCGCCACCACGCCCGGCTGATTTTTTTGCATTTTTAGTAGAGATGGGGTTTCACCGTGTTAGCCAGGATGGTCTCCATCTCCTGACCTCGTGATCCGCCCGCCTCGGCCTCCCAAAGTGCTGGGATTACAGGCGTGAGCCACCACGCCTGGCCAATATTTTTTAATATTTAGCTTTACTCTACCAATATTTAGTTTTACTCTACCAAATGTGTACTTTTGAAGATTCAATAAATCTCACTAACTCCAGTTTTTCTTTTTTCCATCTCCACAGTCAATTGTTGGAACTGTTGGCCATGTTAATTTGTATGGTATGTTTCATTGCGTATGCCTGGTATCTGTTCTTTGCTTTTTAGTAATGTCTCTCCCCTAAGAATTACCCCTCTGTTCTGTCTAGAGTACAGAGGCTAATACATTTTTCAGTATGTAGCTGTGTACCAGTCAGGCTTCTGGTAGGAAACAGATTGTGCACTCAAATTGGATAATAAAAGGACGATTTACAAAAGTATGGACAGTTGTAAGGGAAACCTACAAGTTATAATTGCTATTATGCAATTATGCATAAAAAGGTGGAGGGAGAAGTTTCTGGAATCTTAATAGAGTAACTATAGCTCTAGGAGCAGTGGTCTGTTATAGGCAAGATTCAAACAACCCTGTGGAGCCATGACAAAAAACAAATCAAATAAAAAAATACCCCAATCTTACTCTTCTCTAGGCCTCCATTCTCCTGATAGTGACTGCCACTGGGAAATTCCCACAAGAAGCCACAGAGCAGGAGATCCTACTGATGCACTTTATAAAAAGGTTAGCCTCCCAGGACACAGAACAAGAGAGAGAAGAGTGTAGAGCGGATCTGGATGAGACAAATAAATTATCAAGCATAAGCAGATACTCGATAAATGTACTATACTTGTTCAATAGTTACTCCAAGAGAACTCTGGATCTGTAGGGGAAATGAACTGTAAAATCATGAGAATTATAAATGTCCTCATGAAGAAAAAAATTTCTTCTTATTAAGTTAGATGTTCAATAGGCTCTTTACATTTGGAAACACAGGCATTCTACATAGCAGAAATAGAACATATATTTAGGGATTTTTGTTTTATAGCCAACTAAATATTACATCAAATTCTTTACATTTGAAGACTGGAGGAAGTAGAATTAGGGAAAAGCAGCACTGTTTGAATTTTATTTCCTTACCTATGAACATTTGGTAAAAATATCACTGTCGCTATCTGAACCACATACTTGTATGCTAAAAAATGCATAAGTATTCTTAACATTTTTCATTTTATAAAAGTGTTAATTTACCTCCTTAATCTGACATTAATTACACTACTCTCAAGAAAATATATCAAAAATGGGCTGGGTGCAGTGGCTCACACCTGTAATCCCAGCACTTTGGGAGGCTGAGGCAAGTGGATCATCTGAGATCTGGAGTTCAAGACCAGCCTGGCCAACATGGTGAAACCCCATCTCCACTAAAAATACAAAAATTAGCCAGGTATAGTAGCCTGCCTGTAGTCCCAGCTACTCAGGAGGCCGAGGCAGGAGAATCGCTTGAATTCAGGAGGCAGACGTTGCAGTGAGCCGAGATTGTGCCACTGCACTCCAGCCTGGGCGACAGACCAAGACTCCATACCACAAAAAAAAAAAGAAAGAAAGAAAGAAAGAGAAAATATATCAAAAATGACACGGAATTAGGTATTTGGTAGACCTAGGTTGGCTCTATCCTTACTAGTGATATGACTTATGAGAAAATATTTAACCTCTCTAAGAAAAAAAATGTTCTCGTCTGAAAAAAAAAGAAAAATAGTAATGGCTGAGTCTCAGGAGTGGAGTAAAATTTAAGTAACATGTGAAGAACTTTTCCTCAATATATCTGAACTACTGTAGTCCCTATACAAATATTACCCTCACTCCCATTTACATTTGGGGGCAAAATCTCTTTGGTTCCTAGTGAAAGCACTGTAGATGCCACTTGCCAAATAATTATAGACCCAGATATGTGAGCATTCTGGCCTACGATATTTGAGTCTGGTGCTCTACTCCAATTAGCTTCTTTTCTACACATATTCTGGGCTCACATTCTAATTTCTTCAGCCTTGGGGGAAGAAACAGTAACATTTTGGATCTTATAAAATTCTTCAAATCGGCCATAAAAAATATGATAGAAAATAACTCTTTCTTTAAATCACTAACTAAATGGAGATGGGGAGTAAAGTAAGAACACAGGGAAATTGATAACTTCTAAAAATGGCCACTGGACCAAGGAATCAAATCACACATATATATATAACATGAATGATCATCACCAGAACCCACAGGGCTAGACTAAGGAGATGCCCTCATCATTGGGAAGAAAAATAACATTTAGACTAACAAAATCCACACACTTTCTTACTTTCTTTAAAAATAGATATTCTCTGTGTATCCTACTCCACCCAAATTTTGCACGTGGCAATTTAAAGATGAGTAGCAAAGATTGTGATTTTATCATAAATATTTGCTCAAGTACACAGAAAGGATTTCAAAAATAGCTAAGTAAAATATCTGAGCATTTATTTATTGTGAATCCCAAAGCAAGATCACGTGAAATGTTTTAAATTCTATTTGCGAAAGTGATTTAAATGTTTGCATGTACATTTTGCTTAATTTAATTTTTGTTATTCATTATTTCTGTAAGCACCCCTTGAAATATAACATCAATATCTTTTTCATTTTATCTACCAGATAAATTTAACACCAATTACTAAGTAACTGCACAGTCTGATGTTGGGGAATAAAAAAGCAATTAATATTTTGACATTTGATGTTACTGCTATCTATTAGTGGTTACAGAAACTTAGGGAAAGATACATAACATTCTGTGAAACACCTATGTTTATCCCTGACATGCAAGGTAAATTTGTAAAATTGATATGTTACACGAAGTAGTAAGCCCACTACTGCTCAAGTTGGATTAAGAAGTAACCTACCCAAGGCTTCCTGGCCCTAGGAAAGAAGTAGACTGTGCAATTGATTGAAGATGCTGTCAACAGGATATTTTCCTGTGCTTTGGAACTGAAATATATAAATAAATGATGCCCCCTCAAAAGAATCACAGCTGAAGAGGAAGTATGGAAAATTTCAAAGTAACCAACTGAAAGAGGTGGGAGGATGTTAAATTTCTGACATGAATAAACCGTCTCACCTGCTAATTTCCTCCAACTGAAATTATATCCAAACTACTGCTTCAATTTTAAATAATTATAGGCACTATGTATTGAAGAAAGAGCATTACATACATTGTGTCATTTAATCTTCAACATAACCCTATGAGGTGTATGTTATGGTTGCTATTTTATAAATTAGAAGATTGAAAGTCAGGGACATTAAAAACATGTAGCTGGGATTACAGGCGCCCACCACCACGCCAGGCTAGTTTTTGTATTTTTAGTAAAGACTGGGTTTCACCATCTTGGCCAGGCTGATCTTGAACTCCTGACCTCGTGATCTACCTGCCTCAGCCTCCCAAAGCATTCAGATTATAGGCATGAGCCACTACGCCTGATCCAAGTGCTTCTTAAGATAGGTAACTTTTTAGGACAGAAACAACCAAATAATTGAATCATGACAACCTTGTATTATTAGTAGATTTCAACAGAGTACAACAATGATAAGAAGATTAACATTGGTTAATTATAAAAGCTAGGTATATTGATGTCTCTCATATTTATTTATGTCAATCTCTATTATCTTCATTGTTAATTGTTTTCAAAATTAAGAGTATAACAAAAACAACAAATTTAAAAATACATCAACATTTAGTATATCAGATACTCTGTCATCAGAATGATAGAGTAAGGAACTCTGAAAATCCATCTCTTCATAAAAGCAATGAGAAAGAACACTTGCAAAAATTATCAAAATCAACTTTTTCAAAATGCTGTAAATTAAAAACCGCAGCAATTCAATGAATGTTCATTCAAGGAAAGCAGCTAAAATTCAGTAAGAAGAGCAAATTTTGTGGCACTTTAACTTGCCCTAATCCTATCTCCTTTTTCTAGCATTGCAGTAGCTTTAAAAACCAACAGCCTCACAATGATGGTAACTGTGAAAACCTTCAGCCTAGTAGCCATTAGAGAAGGGAGAATAGGTTTGGAGCTCCCTAAAGATCTAACCCTAAAGAATATATTTGACCTGACCAGCAGCATTTGAAAAGCACCATTTTCAGGGTTTATCATTATTTCACTTAACTCAGAGGTCAGTCTTTGCAAACTGACCTATCCCACGGTATTTGTCAAAAAAAAAAAAAAATCACTGGCAATTATTCAACTTCATGGCTAACTAAGGCAGGGTTACCAGTTGGGCTAACAAGAGGATGACCAAAAAATTGAAAAGGAATAAAAAATGGGAAACAAAGTATTCATAGGGAGCTTTAAAAGTTCTGACATATTACTGGGATCTAGAAAACCACATATATTTGCAGGGTTCTGTACATGCCCAAGAAAGACCTAAGAACATGTAATTTCTCACCTCTGGCTCACTTTGAGTCCCTGCACAAGAAGAAAGATAAAGCTAAGCCAGAATTGTAGACTGCAAATTGGAGCATTCAAGACATTTTGCAACACACACACACAAACACACACACACACAGCCCATCAGCAAAGGCTGGGAGACTTCTGATACAGGACATTTTAGGAAATCTCTATTCAATCATGAGCTGACCATCAGTCTTACCAGGCAGAGACACCAGTGGTCAGTTAAAAGAAAAAACACAGGCTACAGAATTAGTGCAGGAATGTCACTAAACTAACAGCAACAAATACCAATAAGAACAAGCCCTGGAAATGGGGGGCTATCATTTCCAGACTTACCACATTATTTATTTTAGATGTTCAGTTTCACCAAAAAAATTTAAGGCACCCAAAGAAGCAGGAAAGTATGAGCAATACACAGGGGGGAAAATAATTAACAGAAACTATTTCTACAAAAGCCCAGATTGTAGACATATTAGAAACAGATTTTAAATCAGCTATTATGTTAAAATAATTTTTTAAAATTTATCTAAAGAGTTAAAGTATGATAAAAATTGTTCCTACTTCACACCAGATATAAAAATTAACTCAGTATACATCATAGAACTTTATATTTCTTATAAATATAGGAAATAAAGCTATAAAACTCTTAGAAGAAAGCACAGGAGTAAATCTTTGTGATCTTGGCTTAGGCAATAGTGTATTTGATATGACACCAAAAGAACAAACAACCTAATAAAAATAGGTAAGTGGACTCCATCAATATTAAAATTTTTTATACTACAAAGAATGTGATCAAGAAAGTAAAAAAAAAAGCCATAGAATGGGAGAAGACATTTGCAAATCATATATATATATATATATATATGTCTATATGTGTGCATTTATGTGTTATATACAACTATATATTATAGCTGTTATATATCTATACAGTTATATATATTATGTATATCTATATGTAGATATGTTATGTATATCTATATATACATATAGATGTTATATATATATCTATATATACATATAGATGTTATATATATATCTATATATACTCAAAAGATACTCAAAATTAGTCATCAAGTAAACACAAATTAAAACCACAATGATGTACCACTTCCCACTCACTAGAATGACTATGATCTAAAAGAAGATAACAATAAATGTTGACAACCATGTGGAGAAATTAAAAGCCTCATACGTAGCTGGTAGGAGTGCAAAATGGTGCAGCTGCTTAGGAAACAGTTTGGCGGTTTCTCAAAGTTAAACATAGTTAAGCCATATGGACCAGCAATTTCTTACCTGTGTATATTCTCAAGAGAACTGGACACATGTGTCTGCACAAAAACTTCTATGTGACGGTCTACAGCAGTTATTATTAATATTTTATACAGACCATTTTAATTAAATATGACCTAAATAGAGATATCATATTCCATAATAGGATAGCATGACTCAATGTCATCAAGATGTCAATTCTCTACAGAGTTATCTATTGATTCAATGCAATTTCAGTCAAGTTCCAGGAAGATTTTTTAAATTTTTAAAGGAATTTGAAAAGCTCTTGAAATAGAGTTTAAAATTTACATGAAAATATTAAAACCTAAGAATAACCAAAAAAAAATGAAAAGGAGGACAAGAAAGAGGACAAGGACAAAGACTGAAGGAAAAAGAAGGAAGCAGAGAGTGTTGCCCTAGTATATATTAGAACTTATATTGAAACTAGAATAATTAATACAGAGTGGCATAGGAACTCTGATGGGCAAATAGACAGTCTAATAGAATACATTGTCCAGAAGCAGACCCTCAAAAAATGAAAACTTGATATTTGACAGAAGTGTCTTTGCAGTCACCTGGAAAAAACTAACTGTTCAAAAAGTGGTACTGAAAAAATGATTGTCCATATCAAAAAATAAATGAAATAGGATTAAACCATTTGCAAAAATTAATTATCAATGTTTGATGGGGGGAAATAAAGCAGAATACTTTTATGATCTGGAGGTAGGGAATGATTATTGAAATAAGACTTTAAAAAGTAAATTATAAAAGATGAATAAATTAAACAAAAAACAAAGTCCAAATCACAAACTGGGAAAGAGATTTGCCACACTTAAGAGAAACAAAATATTAAATATGGAGACCAGCTGTGAACAGTGGCTCACTCCTATATTCCAGCACTTTGGGAGGCCATGGTGGGAGTATTGCTTGAGCCCAGCAGTTTGAGGCTAGCCTAGGCAACATAGCAAGACCCCATCTCTACAAAAATAAAATTAAAAAATTAGCCACGTGTCGTGGCACGTTCCTGTAGTCCCAGCTACTTAGGAGATTGAGGCAAGAGGATGGCTTCAACCCAGGAGATCAAGGCTGCAGGGAGCCATCATCACACCACTGTACTCCAGCCTGGGCAACAGAGCAAAAAATACATACAGAGAGAAAAAAAAAATACATAAATAATACCTTAAATTCTGTAAGAAAATAACATACATAATGCAGTACTATTCGGTCAAAAAAAAGAATGAAATTATGACTTCAGCAGCAACGTGGATGAAACTGGAGGCCATTATCTTAAGTGAGACAACTCAGAAATGAAAAGTCAAATACCGTGTGTCACTTAGAAGTGGGAGCTAAATAATGAGTACACATGGCCATAGAGTGTTGAATAATAGACACTGGAGACTCAGAGGATGGGAGGTTGGGGTGGTGGGTAATGAGAGATTACTTAATGAGTACAATATACATTATTCCACTAATAGAAACGCTCAAAGCCCAGAATTAAACACTATGCAATATATCCATGTAACAAAACTGCAATTGTACCCTTTAAATTTATATAAATAAAAAAAGAAAGAAAGACAATGACCAAAATCCCAACAGGAAATTGGAAAAAATGCATAAAACACATTTCGCAGAAAGGAAATATCAATGGCCAATAAACAAGAAAAGATTCTCAGCTCATTAACAATCAAGAAAATAAAGAGCTGGGCATGGCGGCTCACGCCTGTAATCCCAGCACTTTGGGAGGCTGAGGCGGGTGGATCAGGAGGTCAGGAGTTCAAGACCAGCCTGGCCAACATGGTGAAACCCTATCTCTACTAAAAATACCAAAAAATTAGCTGGGCGTGGTGGTACGTGCCTGTAGTCCCAGCTACTTGGGCGGCTGAGGCAGGAGAATCGCTTGAACCCAGGAAGCGGAGGTTGCAGTGAGCTGAGATCATGCCATAGCACTCCAGCCTGGGCAACAGGGCAAGACTGTGTCTTAAGAATGAAAAAAAGAAAGAAAAGGAAACGCAAGAAAATAATAAGATAGGGGGTGGCTGGCAAGATGGCCAAATAGGAAGAGCTCCAGTCTGTAACCCCCAGCAAGATCAACGAAGAAGGTGGGTGATTTCTGCATTTCCAACTGAGGTACCCGGCTCATCTCATTGGGACTGGTTAGACAGTGGGTGCAGCCCACAGAGGGCAAGCCAAAGCAGACTAAGGCATCACCTGACCTGGGAAGCGCAAGGCGTCAGGAAAATCCCTCCCCTGGCCAAGGGAATCCCTGAGGGACTGTGCCATGAGGAACAGTGCATTCCGGCCAAGATACTATGCTTTCCTCATGGTCTTCGCAACCCGCAGACCAGGAGATTCCCTCAGATGCCTATGCCACCAGGGCACTGGGTTTCAAGCACAAAACTGGTCAACCAACTGAGCAGATACCGAGCTAGCTGCAGTTTTTATTTTCATACCCCAGTGGCACTTGGAGTGCCAGTGAGACAGAACCGTTCACTTTCCTATGAAGGGGGCTGAAGCCAGGGAGCCAAGTGGTCTAGCTCAGTGGATCCCACCCCCACAGAGCTCAACAAGCTAACATCTACGGGCTTGAAATTCTCGCTGCCAGCTCAGCAATCTGAAGTCACCCTGGGATGCTCAACCTTGGTGGGGGGAGGGGCATCTGCCATTACTGAGGCTTGAGTAGGCGGTTTTCCCCTCACAGTGTAAACAAAGCCACATAGAAGTTCAAACTGGGCAGCAAACCACAGCTCAGCAAAGCTGCTGTAGCCAGACTAATTCTCGAGATTCCTCCTCTTGGGCAGGGCATCTCTGAGAGAAAGGCAGCAGCCCCAGTCAGGGGCTTATAGATAAAACTCCCATCTCCCTGGGACAGAACACCTGGGGGAAGGGTAGGCTGTGGGTGAAGTTTGAGCAGACTTAAATGTTCCTGCCTGCCTGCTCTGAAGAGATATCCCAGCAAAGCGCTTGAGCTTTGCTAAAGGAAAGACTGACTCCTCAAGTGGGTCACCGACCCCCATGCCACCTGACTGGGAGACATTTCCCAGCAGAAGTCAACAGGCACCTCATACAAGAGAGCTCCAGCTGGCATCTGGCGGGTGCCCCTCTGGGACAAAGCTCCCAGAGGAAGGAACAGGTAGCAATCTTGCTGTTCTGCAGCCTCCACGGGTAATACCAGACAGACAGGGTCTGCAGTGGACCACCAGCAAACTGCAGCAGATCTACAGCAGAGGGGCCTGACTGTTAGAAGGAAAACTAACAAACAGAAAGGAATAGCATCAACATCAACAAAAAGGATGTCCACACAAAAACCCATCTGAAGGTCACCAACATCAAAGAACAAAGGTAGATAAATCCACAAAGATGAGGAAAAGCCAGCACAAAAAGGCTGAAAATTCTAACAACCAGAAAACCTCTTCTCCTCCAAATTATCACAACTCCTCCCAGCAAGGGAACAAAACTGGATGGAGAATGAGTTTGACAAACTGACAGAAGGTGGGTAATAACAAACTCCTCTGAGCTAAAGGAGCATGTTCTAACCCAATGTAAAGAAGCTAAGAACCTTGAAAAAAGGTTAGAGGAATTGCTAACTAGAATAACCAGTTTAGAGAAGAACATAAATGACCTGATGGAGCTGAAAAACACAGCACGAGAACTTCGTGAAGCATAACAGAATCAATAGCCCCAGAAGAAAGGATATCAGAGATTGAAGATCAACTTAACAAAATAAAGCATAAAGAAAACATGAGAGGAGAAAGAATGAAAAGGAACAAACAAAGTCTCCAAGAAATAGGGAACTATGTTAAAAGGCCAAACCTATATTTGATTGGTGTTCTTGAAAATGAGGGGGAGAATGGAAACAAATTAGAAAACACTCTTCAGGATGATATCCAGGAGAACTTCCCCAACCTAGCAAGGCAGGCCAGTGTTCAAATTCAGGAGATACAGAGAACACCACAAAGATACTCCTTGAGAACAGCAACCCCAAGACACATAATCGTCAGATTCACCAAGGTTGATATAAAGGAAAAAATGTTAAGGGCAGCCAGAGAGAAAGGTCGGGTTACCCACAAAGGGAAGCCCATCAGACTAACAGTGGATCTCTTGGCAGAAACCCTACAAGACAGAAGAGAGTGGGGGCCAATATTCACCATTCTTAAAGAATTTTCAACCCAGAATTTCATATCCAGCAAAACTAAGCTTCATAAGTGAAGGACAAATAAAATCCTTTACAGACAAGCAAATGCTGAGAGATTTTGTCACCACCAGGCCTGCCTTACAAGAGCTCCTGAAGGAAGCACTAAACATGGAAAGGAACAACCAGTATCTGTCACTGCAAAAATGTACCAAATTATAAAGACCATTGACACTATGAAGAAACTACATCAACTAACAGGCAAAATAACCAGCTAGCATCATAATGACAGAATCAAATTCACACATAACAATATTAACCTTAAATATAAATGGGCTAAATGTCCCAATTAAAAGACACAGACTGGAAAATTGGATAGAGTCAAGACCCATTGATGTGGTATTCAGGAGACCCATCTCACATACAAGGACATATATAGGCTCAAAATAAAAGAATGGAGGAGTATTTACCAAGCAAATGGAAAGCCAAATAAAGCAGGGGTTGCAATCCTTGTCTCTGATAAAACAGACTTTAAACCAGCAAAGATCAAAAGAGACAAAGCAGGCCATTATATAATGGTAAAGGGATCGATTCAACAAGAAGAGCTAACTATCCTAAATATTTATGCGCCCAATACAGGAGCACCCAGATTCATAAAGCAAGGTCATGGAGACCTACAAAGAGACATAGACTCCCGCACAATAACACTGAGAGACTTTAACAAACCACTGTCAATATTAGACAGATCGATGAGAGAAAATTAACAAGAATATTCAGGACTTGAACTCAGCTCTGGACCTAGTGGACATAGTAGGTATCTGCAGACCTCTCCACCCCAATCAACGAAATGTACATTCTTCTCAGCACCACACTGCACTTATTCTAAAATTGACCAAATAACTGGAAGTAAAACACTCCTCAGCAAATGCAAAAGAACAGAAATCATAACAAACAGTCTCTCAGGCCCCAGTGCAATCAAATTACAATTCAGGATTAGGAAACTCACTCAAAACCCCACAACTACACGGAAACTGAACAACGTGCTCCTGAATGACTACTGGGTAAATAAAGAAATTACGGCAGAAATAAATATGTTCTTTGAAACCAATGAGAACAAAGATACAACATATGAAAATCTCTTGGATACAGCTAAAGCAGTGTTTAGAGGGAAATTTATAGCACTGAATGCCCACAGGAGAAAGCAGAAAAGACCTAAAATTGACACCCTAACATCACAATTAAAAGAACTAGAGAAGCAAGAGCAAACAAACTCAAAAGCTAGCAGAAGACAAGAAATAACTAAGATCAGAGCCGAACTGAAGGAGCTAGAGACATGAAAACCCTTCTAAAAATCAATAAATCCAGAAGCTGGTTTTTTGAAAAGATCAACAAAATAGATTGCTAGCCAGACTAATAAAGAAGAAAAGAGAAAAGAATCAAATAAACACAATAAAAAATGATAAAGGGGATATCACCACTGATCCCACAGAAATACAAACTACCATCAGAGAATACTATAAACACCTCTATGCAAGTAAACTACAAAATCTAGAAGAAATGGATAAATTCCTGGACAAATCCACCCTCCCAAGACTAAACCAGGAAGAAGTTGAATCCCTGAATAGAACAATAACAAGTTCCTAAATTGAGGCAGTAATTATTAGACTACCAACAAAAAAGAAGCCCAGGACCAGATGGATCACAGCTGAATTCTACCAGAGGTACAAAGAGAAGCTGGTACCATTCCTTCTGAAACTATTCCAAACAGTGGGAAAAGAGGGACTCCTCACTAACTCATTTTATGAGGCCAGCATCATCCTGATACAAAAACCTGACAAAGACACAACAAAAAAAGAAAATTTCAGGCCAATATCCCTGATGAAAATTGATGTGAAAATCTTCAATAAAATACTGGCAAACCAAATCTAGCGGCACATCAAAAAGGTTATCCACCACGATCAAGTCAGCTTCATCCCTGGGATGCAAGGCTGGTTCAACATACAACAATCAATAAACATAATCCATCACATAAACAGAACCAATGACAAAAACCACATGATCATCTCAATGGATGCAGAAAGGACCTTTGATAAAATCCAATGCCCCTTCATGCTAAAAAGTCTCAATAAACTAGGTATTGATGGAAAGTATCTCAAAATAATAACAGCTATTTATAAGAAACCCACAGCCAATATCACACTAAATGGGCAAAAGCTGGAAGCATTCCCTTTGAAAACTGGCACAAGACAAGGAGGCCCTTTCTCGGCACTATCGGGGGAACCAGCCACCAATATTTCAATGTAGGTTCTTTTCTATTTTCCCTAAGTGTCGGCCAGTCTGAGAAATAAAGAGTACAAGAGAGAGAAATTTTACAGCTGGGCCCCCAGGGGTGACATCACCTATTGGTAGGTTCTGTGATGCCCCTTGAGCTGCAAAACTAGCAAGTTTTTATTAGGGATTTCAAAAGGGGAGGGGGGTATGAACAGGGAGTAAGTCACAAAGATCACATGCTTGAAAGGGCAATAAAAGACCACAAGGGCAGAGAGGCAGAGCAAGATCTCAAGGCCAGGGCAAAATTAGAATTACTGATGAGGTCCATGTCCCACTGGGCATGCATTGTCATTGATAAACATCTTAACAGGAAACAGTGTTTGAGAGCAGACAACTGGTCTGACTAGAATTCACCAGGCTGGAATTTCCCAATCCTAGTAAGCCTGAGGGCACTGCAGGAGACCAGGGTGCATTTCATCCCTAATCCTCAACCACATAAGACAGACACTCCCAGAGCAGACATCCATAGACCCACCGCTGGGAATGCATTCCTTTCCTAGGGTTATTCCTTGGAAAAGAATTCAGCGATATTTCTCCTATTTGTTTTCTGCAATAAGAGAAATATGACTCTGTTCTGCCTGGCCCCGCAGGCAGTCAGACCTTATGGTTATCTCCCTCGTTCCCTGAAAATCACTGTTATCCTGTTCTTTTTTTAGGATGCCCAGATTTCATATTGTTCAAACACACACGTTTTACAAACAATTTGTACAGATAACACAATCATCACATGGTCCTGAGGTGACATACATCCTCAGTTTACGAAGATGACGGGATTAAGAGATTAAAGTAAAGACAGGCGTAGGGAATTATAAGATTATTGATTGGGGAAGTAATAAATGTCCATGAAATCTTCATAATTTATGTTCAGAGACTGCAGTAAAGACAGGCATAAGAAATTATAAAAGTATTAATTTGGGGAACTAATAAACGTCCGTCAAATCTTCACGATTTATGTACTTCTGCCGCGGCTTCAGCCAGTCCCTCTGTTTGGGGTCCCTGACTTCCTGCAACACACCACTCCTATTCAACATAGTGTTGGAAGTTCTGGCCAGGGCAATCCAGCAAGAGAAAGAAATAAAGTGATTCACATAGGAAAAGAAGAAGTCAAATTGTCTCTGTTTGCCAATGACTGATTGTATATTTATAAAACCCCATTGTCTCAGCCCAAAATCTCCTTAAGCTGATAAACAACTTCAGAAAAGTCTCAGGATACAAAATCAATGTGCAAAAACCACAAGCATTCCTATACACCAATAATAGACAAAAAGAGAGCCAAATCATGAGTGAACTCCCTTTCACAATTGCTGCAAAGAGAATAAAATACCTAGGAAGCAACTTAAAAGGGATGTGATGGACCTCTTCAAGAAGAATTACAAACCACTGCTCAAAAAATAAGAGAGGACACAAACAAATGAGAAAACATTCCATGCTCATGGGTAGGAAAAATCAATATTGTGAAAATGGCCATATTGCCCAAAGTAATTTATAGATTCAATGCTATCCCCATCAAGCTACCATTGACTTTCTTCACAGAATTGGAAAAAACTACTTTAAAGTTCATATGGAACCAAAAAAGAGCCCGCATAGCCAAGACAATCCTAAGCAAAAAGAACAAAGCTGGAGGCATCATGCTACCTGACTTCAAACTATACTACAAGGTTACAGTAGCCAAAACAGCATGGTACTGGTACCAAAAAAAGATATATAGGTCAATGGAACAGAACAGAGGCCTCAGAAATAACACCACACATCTACAACCATCTGACCTTTGACAAACCTGACAAAAACAGCCAATGGGGAAAGGATTCTCTATTTAATAAATGGTGTTTGGAAAACTGGCTAGCCATATGTAGAAAACTGAAACTGGACCCCTTCCTTACACCTTATACAAAAATTAGCTCAAGATGGATTAAAGACTTAAATGTAAGGCCTAAAACCATAAGAACCCTAGAAGAAAGCCTCAGCAATACCATTCAGGACACTGAATGTTAAGAAAGTGAACTGACAGAAATATATTGTTAGACAACTGCTGTTAAAGAGGTAAATTACAACCACTTCAGAAACAACTGAACAACAGGTTTTAACTGTGCAGGTCCCCTCCTCATCCTTAGCTTTCCTCCTTAGCTTTCTCCTCCTCCTCCTTAGCTTTCTCAATGTGAAGATGATAAGAATGAAGAACAATACAACAATCCAGTTCCACTTAATGAATAGTCAATACATATTCTCTTCTTATAATTTTCTTAATAAAACTTTCTTTTCTCTAGCTTACTTTATAATAAGATATACTATATAATACATATAACATACATAACATATGTTCATTGACTGTCTATGTTTTCAGTAAGGCTCTGATAAATGTTAGGCTATTAGTAGTCAATTTTTTTTTTTTATTTTGGAGGGGAAGTCTCACTCTGTCGCCCATGCTGGAGTTCAGGGGCACAATCTCAGCTCACTGCAACCTCCACCTCCCAGGTTCAAGAGATTCCCCTGCCTCAGCCTTCCAAGTAGCTGGAACTACAGGCATGTGCCACCATGCCCAGCTAATTTTTTGTATTTTTAGTAGAGAGGGGGTTTCACCATGTTAGCCAGGATGGTCTCGATCTCCTGACCTTGTGATCTGCCCACCTCAGCCTCCCAAAGTGCTGGGATTACAGGCATGAGCCACTGCACCTAGCCCAAATTTTTCAAAGTCAAAAGTTATGTGTGGATTTTCAACTGCATGGGGAGTTATATGTGGCTTCTTCAAGGGTCAACTGTATATCCTATTGGTTCTGTTTTTCTGGAGAAACGACTATACAACAGTTTTTAAAGCTCAAAGGCAAACAAAACTTGAGTAATATATTGTCTAGGAATAGAAATGCATATATGATAGAATTTTTTTTAAGCAAGGAAATGATGAAAACTAAATTCAGAATAGTTGATTAACTCTTAAGGAAAGAAGACGAATAAGATACAGGAAGTCACAGAGGTGTTGCAAAGTATTGGTATATTAGTCCGTTTTCATGCTGCTGATAAAGACATACCTGAGACTGGGCAATTTACAAAAGAATGAGGTTTATAGATTTACAGCTACACGTGGCTGAAGAGGGCTCACAATCATGTTGCAAAGTGAAAGGCATGACTCACATGGCAACAGACAAGAGAAGAGAGCTTGTGCAGGGAAACTCCCTTTTTTAAAACCATCAGATCTTGTGAGACTTGTTCACTATCATGAGAACAGCAAGGGAAACACCTGCCCCCATGATTCAATTACCTCCCACTTGGTCCCTCCCAAAACACATGGGAATTCAAGATGAGATTTGGGTGGGGACACAACCAAAGCCTATCAGTTGGTAATGTTCTAGTTCATAAGATCAACCAACAGTCATAGCTATTCATTTATATGCTTTGAAATTTTCATTAGCATCAAATATTTCATCATTTCAATTAGAAAAAACACAATGATAAATTTTCAAATTTGCAATCATTATAGAAGAATTTAGAAAATCTTTCAGAATTTAAGAGATCAGGTGATTGAAAAAAATTAAGTAAAAATATAAAGGATTTAAATAACTAAGTTTTATTTAATAGTTCCACATAGCAACGTTGCATTTTATACCCGATAAATGGTGAATGTGTATTATTTTCAAATAAAAATTGAGATATTTACATACACTAGAATGTTAATCAGGGTCCTGTCAGGAGATAAAAACTACATTAGCATATTAGGGCCCATAGGAAATATTGATAAAATTTAAAAACAAAAACAAACAGATCACATTTTCTAATCACAATTCAATAACACTGTAAATAAAAAATTAAATGCTCCAATTTACTTCTTATCTTGGAAAGAAAATTAAAGCATCAATGTATTCATTTTCCATTGCTAGCATAACAAATCATCACATTTTAGTAGCTTACAATAACACAAATATATTACCTTACAGTTCTGTAGATCAGAAGTCTGAAATGGGTCTCAATATACTCTCAAGATGATGGCAGGCTGCCTTCCTTTCTGGAGGCTCTAGGGAAGCATGTTTCCTGTTTATTCTAGGGAAGCATGTTTTGTCTTTATTCAGGCTGTTGGCAGATTTCAGTTTCTCGTAGTTATAGGACTGGGGTCTTGATTTTCTCACTCACTGTAAGCCAGGGGTCATTCCCAGCTTCTAGAAGCCAGCACATCCCTTGGCTCATAGCCTCTTTCTTCCATCTTTAAAACCTGCAATTGTGGGTCAAGTCTTCTTATGCTGTATTTCTCTCACCCCTTCTTCTGACTCTCTCTTCTGCTTCTAAGAGCTTGTGTGATTATTTTGGGCCCTACTGGATAGGATAATGAGGACAATCTCCCATCTAAAGGTCCATATCTTAATCATATCAACAAAGTCCCATTTGCCATGTTCCCAGAACTAGGGCATGGACATCTTTGGGGACCATTGTTCTCCATACCATAATTTGATTGGCACAAAGAAAATTAGAAGTTTGACCACACCTACTTATGATGAGGATGAAAGGAAACAGTATTGTTGTTGGTACATATGTAAAAGTCTTTGAAACCCAATTGAGTGGTATCTGTCTAATGTAAAATATACATAAGTTTTTGACCCTATGATTTCAATTCTAGGGTGCTTTCCTGAAGAAATACCTGCACATAAGCGTTGATAAAAATATTTTGTAGCACTCTTTGTACAAGCTAAAATTCTAAAGGCTCTAAATCTCTACCTATATGATACTGGTTTAATAAATTACGATACATCTATAAAACTTAATGCAATGCAACTTTTAAGAAAACGAGGCAGAACTTAATGTACTGACTTGGGAGAAAAATAGAATCATATTATAAATCAAATAACAAGTTACTCAATACATCAAATGAAAATCTGTCTCTTTAAAGATTAAAAATACCCTCCTAAATTACTTACATTAAAGAGGAAATCAAAAAGGAAATTAGAATTATTAAGGAATTACTGACAAAGTCTATGTGATGAGCAAAGAAGCACTTAGCAAAAAAATCAACTTAAATACAGGTATTAACTGAAAAGAAAGAGTTGAAAATAAATAAACCAAGCATTTAATACAAGAAGCCTGCGATGCTGTTTGATAGCATTTCACTCATATAACTTTTTTCAAATTTGTAGTCAATTCTCTTAAACACTGCCAATGAATTATCAAATAAGTTAGGTAACCTTCTAAGCTCTTTGTCATCGTTTCAACAATGTTCATAGTATCTTCACCAGCTTCAGATTCCATCACAAGAAACTACTTTATTTGGTCATCCATAAGAAGCAACTCCTCATTCATGCAAACTTTATAATGAAATTGTAGCAATTCAGTCACAGTCACATCTCCAGGCTTCAACATTGAACTCTAGTTCTCTTGTTATTTCCAGAACATCTGCATTTACTTCCTCCACTGAAGCATTGAGCCCCTCAAAGGTATCCATGAGAGCTGGAATCAACCTGTTCCAAACTCCTATTAATGTGCATATTTTTACCTCTTCCCATGAATCACTAGTGTTCTTTTTTTTTTTGAAAATTGATCACAACTCTTTATTAGCAAAGAAAATTGAAGAAACATCCTTTACGGCCAAAAAATAGTCTTTCCCATTAAAATGGTGGGATATATATATCATATATATGATATATAGAATTATATATATAAATCAAATCTATAAATATATAATTATATATTATATATAATGTATATTATATATATATAATGGGTAAGTACTAGCTAAAACTTGACACATAAAACCACTAAGAAAATTCAAACAATTAACAAGAACTCATTTTTCCATGGCCCATTAATTACAGAACAATTAAACAACTACGTGAAAATTAAAGACGCCTACATATTAGAAATGCATTTCAACTCACCTAGGGGTCTAACACACTTTTAAGTGGATACACAAACATTTTATTAACTGATGAGAATAAAACCACTGCCTATTAAATTCATGTACTATGGCTTATAGAGTATCTACAGAATTCTCACCTCCATGATTCCTTGCAAAACAAGTGAAAATCAAAAGTATAGAGTCCCTCTTCAACAATGAACCACTGACAAATACGATACATTTGTGATGAGTATAGAATTTATGTGCATTTTTAGCATTATGCAGTAATTACTTTGCATCACAAGTTCCAATTAACCTATATTTATGAGATTCCATTCCCGTGGGAGTTTTCACATAACTTTTAAAGTAATTGTTACAATTGAAAACTTCCCTGTATTTTCCAAACTACTGGGGTTTTATCTCAGCATGCTTTTATTTGTAAGGTCAATCTCCAGTATATGTTATCATGCACCTTTGAATAAATATCAGAGAAATAAAAGCATTCCCACACTGTATACATTTATAGGGTTAGTCTCAGAAATGAGTTCTTTCATATCTTCAAATGGAACAGGAACAACTAAAGGACTTACCAAATGTTTACATTCATACGGCTTTTCTCCACTAAGTCCTTCCATGATTTCAAGAAAAATAAAAAAACTAAAGGCTTTACCACATTTCTGAAAATTACAAGGTATATCTCTATTGTGAATTCTTGTATGTACCTGAAAGCAACAGGGAAAATGGAATGCTTTACCACTTTTGTGCATTTATGAGGTTTTCTTCCTAGTATAGGTTCTTCTGTTTTTAAAGGGAACTGGGGAAATTGCATACATTCTCATATTCCTTATATTTGTTGGGTTTTTCTCCAGTGTGAGTTTTTTCATGTGTTCTAGTGAAATTAGAACATCTGAAAGCTTTAACACATTTCTTACATTCATAGGGTTTTTTAAAACCACATATAAGAAATTTCATGCTTTCAAAGGGAACTGGAACAACCGAAGGCTTCACCACATTTCTTACATTCCTCAGGTTCTTCAGTATGAGTCCTTTCATGGCCTTGAAGGACACTGGAAGAAGTAAATGACTTGCCACATTCCTAACACAAATGTTCTTAATGGAATCTAGAATTATGAATCCTTTCCAGCAGGTTTTCAATTTACTTTGCCCAGATCCATCAGAGGAATCACTATCTATGGCAGCTATAGCCTTATGAAATGTATTTCTTAAATCAAAAGACTTAAAAGTTGAAATTACTCCTTAATTCACGGGCTGCAAAATGGATGTTGTGTTATCAGGTAGGAAAACATCAGTCTCCTTACACATTTTCATCAGAGTACTTGGGTGACCAAGCACATTCAAATGAGCAGTAATACTTTAAAAGGAATCCTATTTTCTGAGCATCAGGTCTCAACAGTGGACTTTATTAAATAAACAAGTCATGGTAAACAGATGTGCTGTCATCCAGGCTTTGTTGTTCCATTTATAGGGCACAGTAGAGTAGATTTAGCATAATTCTTAAGGGCTTTAGGATTTTCAGAATGGTCAGTTAGCAATGGCTTCAACTTGATGTCACCAGCTACATTATCCCCTAACAAGAGAGTCAGCCTATCCTTTGAAGCTTTGAAGCCACACATTGACTTCTCCTCTCTAGCTATCAAAGTGCTGGATAGCATCTTCTTCCAATAGAAGGCTGTTTCGTCTACTTTGAAATTCTGTTGTTTAGTGTATGCAGCCACCTTCATCAATGATCTTAGCTAAATCTTCTGGATAACTTATGGCAGCTTCTACAAAAAAGCACTTGCTGTTTCTCCTTGCACTTTTATGTTATGGACATGGCTTCTTTCCTTAAACCTCATGAGCCAACCTCTGCTAACTTCAAACTTTTCCTCTACAGCTTCCTTACCCTCTCAGTCTTCACAGAATTGAAGAGACTTAGGTTCCTGCTCTGGATTAGACTTTGGCTTAAGTGAATGCTGTGCTGATTTGATCTTCTATCCAGACCACTAAAACTTTCTCCATATTAGCAACAAGGTTGTTTCACTTTCTTATCATTCATCTGTTCATTAGACTAGCACTTTTAATTTTCATCTAAGAATTTTCCTTTGCATTTACAACTTAGCTAACTCTTTGGCATGAGTGACCTAGCTTTCAGCCTATCTCAGCCATTTAACATGCCTTCCTCACCAAGGTTCATTATTTCCAGCTTTCAATATCAAGGGAGAGATGTATAACTCTTCCTTTCTCTTGAACACCGAGAGGCCATTGCAGGGTTATTAATTGGTCTAATTTCAATATTATTGTGTCTCAAGGAATAGAAAGGCCCAAGGGGAGGAAGAGAAACAGAGAAACAGCCAGTTAGTGGAGCAGTCAGAACACACACATTTATTAATTAAGTTCACCATACTACATGGGAATGGTTCATGGCACCCCAAAATAATTGCAATAACATCAAAGATCACTGATCACAGATCACCATAGCATACCAAATGTGACACAGAGACACAAGTGAGTACACGCTGTTGCAGAAATGATGCCAATAGACCTGCTAGATGCAGAAGTGCCTCAATCCTTCACTGTATAAAAAACGCAACATCTACGAAATTCAACAAAATAAAGCATGCCTATAAAAACAAATTCCTAAACTAGTTCTTTAGAAACAGAAACTTTGGAAAGTCTTTTTATACAAAAGCTATTAATAATAAATTCAGAACAAGAAAGGGAATATTGGGTCATATTTTTTAAAGTTAAAGACAATAACATAAAAATTTATTCTAGTGGCTCACGCCTGTAATCCCAGCACTTTGGGAGGCCGAGGTGGGCAGATCACCAGGTCAGGAGATCAAGACCATCCTGGCTAACATGGTGAAACCCCATCTCTACTAAAAATACAAAAAACTAGCCGGGCGTGGTGGCCGGCACCTATAGTCCCAGCTACTTGGGAGGCTGAGGCAGGAGAATGGCATGAACCCAGGAGGCGGAGCTTGCAGAGAGCCGAGATTGTGCCACTGCACTCCAACCTGGGCAACTGAGCGAGACTCCTTCTCAAAAAAAAAAAAATATATATATTGTAATGGGTTGGGGGAAGGGGAAATTAGATGAAGTGGATAATTATAGAAAATTTCCCAGGAAAGCTTAAACTACTAATTTTGAGTTTAAAAATAGGAAGCCTAAATTAGACAGTAGTGAAAAAACATATTGAAAGCATATCAATATCTACCCTCTCTACAAAATGCACATACCCAGTTTTACTAGTCAGTTTTGCTAAATTCAAAAAGAACAGATAACTCCTTGTTATTTAAATTTATTCGGAGCACAGAAATAAAGATGAAAAGCCTCCCCAAAATTGTGTCAAAATTATTTACAAAAAAAACTATAAAGTCCTCCTACTCATTAATAGAGATTTTTATAATGATAAATAAATACTGGTGAATCAGACTAGCATTAAATCATGTTAGCGTTTATCACAAGAAAGAAAAGTTAAGCAGTAATATATCTATTAATATAATGCAATTCATTAACAAATTGGCTTTAAAATGTGATAATCATGACAGATGCTATTCATGTAATTTCCCCAGCTGGTGGCTCTAACCTGAGTGAGTACCATCTCTACGCACAAAGTATCAGATGAATTCTACAATGTTACACCTATTGAAGAATACACTTTTTGGGAAAGGGAGAATTTATAAATGCCAGGAACCAGAAATGAAGAGACGGCGTAAGTGGTAACCCCTAATCCTTTCAACATGACACAGGAAGACAAACCAAGCCAGAGCATTGCTAACCCAGTAGACCCAGAGGTCTACTGCCAGCCTCTACTATCACCTCCACACCCTCATCTCTCCTCCTGATAATTCAATCATGAGAGTCAATCTTGTGGGTGGGGAGAGCACTCAGGCTGCCTAGCATCCGGTTTTCTGGATTTGGAGCAAAAGCAGTTTAGAGGAATTGCCTGAGTAGGTCAGCTACCTGTCTTAGTAAAGATATTAGTGAGGTGAGATGTTTTAGTTTCTCCTTCAAAGGTGGGGCAGAGAGAGGGTGAAAGCTGAATTTCAGTGAATTTTCTCCTACTGTTGTAGGAGAAATGTTGTTGTCCCAGCTAGCCTGATGTTCAAGCAAGCCAGCCTGAGCCTATAAGGTCACCTTCAGGCAATTCTGATTGTTGCCTTACAAAAATTCAGCTCCTATGCATGTTTTTTTATCTTTATAAATTTGGAATACAAAAACATTTTTCTGTACTTTATTGGGGAGAATCTACCAAGAACCTACAGGAAATCTCATGTTTAATAATAAAAGATCAAAAGCATTCCCCATTTAAAGCAGGAACAAGAGAAAGAGGTCCTTGTATATTTCTGGAGACCTTCCTAACATAGTAGGAGCAAAATTAAAATATATTTCTAAAAGACAGAATTATCAATATTTGAAGATACAATGGACTACCTACAGAATACAGTTTTCTGAGATAGTAATAATTTCATTCCTTGACATAGCTGATAGTTACATGGTGTGTTTGCTTTGTAAATTAATCAAGTTTTTGTTCACAATTTGTGTACTTTTGTATTTATTCCGTTCTTTAATTTTAATTTTTTTACTTAAAAAAATATAATCAAGGAATAACTGCATATGTTTTTAGATGTTAACATTTCAAATAAGTAGTTTTTAAAAAATGGCAACTCAGTAAATAATATTGCGGCAGATAACTATTAAGGGAAAATTTAATTTAGATCAATTACATTAGGCAAAATTGGATAGATGAAAGAGCTGAACATTAAAAATTTATAAAATTACTAGAAGAAAATATGGAGAAATATTTTTATAATTTTTGAGTGAAGAAGTTCTTCAAGGCTTAAAATCTAACAGCCACAAAGAAAAAGCTGATAGATTTGGCTACAAGACACCAGAAGCAAAACTCAAAGATAATTAATAGACAAATGGGAAATATTTAAAACATACATGAGATTAAAAAGAAATAATGTCAAAATTTTTTAAAGAACTCATAAAAATCAATTTTAACAAAGGACAATTCAACATTTTTGAGGAGTAATGATATGAATGGTAATTTACAGAAAAAGGAATACAAATGACCACCACACCTAAGCAAATATGTCCAGTCATATATATTCAATGAAAAAATTAAAATAGTAATGCAGTATCACATTTTACATACCAGATTGGCCTGAAATGAAAAATCTTTACAATATCCAGTGTTAGTTAAGATATGGGGAAGAGGTGCTGTTAAGGAGCATAAAAATTCACACAGCTCTTTAGAAAGCAATTTTTCAACATCTATAAACTTTAAAATAGGCATATTTCTTGAGATAATATTTACATATAATACTATTCTGCAGAAATACTTGCACAAATGAACAAAATAACAAAATACTCATTGTATCACTGTTTGTAATAATAAATTATTACAAATTTCCATCCAAATGATAATAGTTAAACTAATTTTATCTATATATTGGAGTTATTAAAATAATAGGAAGTTCCAGCCTGCGTAACATGGTGAAACCCTGTCTCTACAAAAAATACAAAAATTAGTGGGGAACAGTGGCACATACCTGTAATCCTAGCTACTGGAGAGGCTAACGTGGGAGGATCACTTGAGCCAGGAGGTAGAGGCTATAGTGAATTGTGATTGTGCCTCTGCACTCCAGCCTGAGTGACAGAGTGAGATTCTGTGTCAAAAAAAAAAAAAAAAAAATAGGGAGTTATATGTACAAACAAGGTAAAATAAAGAGAGAAAATAAAGTCAAATAAGATCTAGAGTATAGTCCCATTCTTCAAAAGAAACAATCTATACATGTTTCTAGAGATTTTGAGCAGAATCTATCAACAACACCTCTTTACCATTCAGAGTTCATAGGAAACTGAGAAATAAGACCAAAGACATATAGGCAAAACATAAATATATCCTAAAACTCTAACTGACAAGATGTCAGATGGATTTTTTACACAAGCAGAGCATTTCATCAAGTGGGAAGGAAACTGATAAACAAGCACAAAATAAATAGGATAATTTCAGACACTAGTGAGTGCATTGATGAAAATAAAACATAGCAATGGAAAGAAATTAAGAGGTGAGATTGGGATGGAAGGAACTACTTTAGATTAGGTGGTATAGGCAGACCTCTTTGCAGACTTGAAAGGGCAAGACATATGCAAAGAAAAGGGAACTCTTATACACTGTTGATGTGATGTAAACTAGTACAACCACTATGAAGAAACATATGGAGGTTTCTTAAGAAACTACAAGTTGAACTACCATATGATCTAACAATCCCACTACTGGGCATTTATCCGAAAGAAAGGAGATCAGTATATCCAAGAGATATACACACTCCCATGTTTATTCCAGCACTATTCACAATAATCAAGATATGGAATCAGCCTTGAGGTAGGTGTCCAACCACAGATGAATGGACAAAGAAAAGGTGGTATATAAACACAATGGAATTCTATTTAGCCATAAAAAAGAATGAAATCCTGTCATTTGTGGCAACTTGTATGGTACTGGGAGGCATTTTGTTAAGTAAAATAAGCCAGGAACAGAAATTTAAACACTATATGTTCTCATTCACATGTGGGAGCTAAAAAAAAATGTTGATCTCAAAGGGGTAAAAAGTAGAACAAAGGATACTAGAGGCTGGGAAGGGTGGTGGGAGTTGGGGATAGGAAGAGATTTGTTGAAGAATACAAATTTACAGACAAGTAGGAGGAATAATTTATAGTGTTCTATAGCACTATAGGACAATTATAGTTAACAATAATATATAGTTTTAAATAGCTAGAAGGAGGATATTGAATTATCCCAACACAAAGAAACAATAAATGTTTGAGATGATGGATACGCCAGTTACCCTGATCTGATCACTGTGCGTGGTACATATCACAACATAACTAGGTACCCCCAAAATATGTAAAATTATTATATGCTTATTAAAAATAAAATAATATAAAAATAAATGAAATAAAAAGAAACAACACATAGCTTGGGCAGCAAAGTTGAGCACTTCTATCCAGAGTAGGGATCAGTAAAATTTTTCTGTAAAGGGTCAGTTAGCAAATTTTCAGCTTTGCCAGCTATATGGTCTCTGTTATAACTCCTCAATTTTGCTGTTGTAGCATAAAACAGCTTTAGACAAACATAAATGAATGAGAATGACTGTGTTCCAATAAAACTTTATTTATGGACAATGATATTTGAAGTCCACATAATGTTCTTTTGGTTTTTCCAACCATTTAAAATGTAAAAACCATTCTTAGCTCGCATGTTTTACAAAAACAGACAGCAGACCGGCTATGGCCTGAGGGCAATAGTTTGCTGACCCCTGATCTAGAGTCAAGGCTTGTCAGACGCCTATGCCAAACACTAAATTGATTTATACAGATCATCTTACAATTGTCACAACTCTATGGGGTCACTATTACTATTATCCCCATCTTAATAATTAGGTGACTGAGGCTTAGAGAAAGTAAGCAATTTTGTCAAGACCTGTTGCTGAACTAGTAATATTTGACTTGGATTAAATATAACACCCCTCTCTACTAGGCAGGTAACTTCAACTCCCTTGCCCTCTCTTAACTGTAGTTTCCACAAGATTAAGAATGATAATAATATATATCTAGCTTCCTACAGTTGTTGTAGAACTCAAATAAAATAATACACTTTGTAATGCATTTTATAAATTGTAATTTACATTTTCCCCAACATAGCCACCTCATTGCATTTTGGTGTTTGCTTAATTTTCACCAAATTAAAGAGATTTTTCCTGATCATCCTGTCTAAAATAGCAACCCCAGTACTATCTACCAACTCTGTCTTTTTTCTCCAAAACTCTCTTCACACTCTGACACATATTCACTCTTTTGTATTATTATTGTCTGTCTTCCCACACCGGAACACCATGAGAAAAGTTAATATCCATTTAGGTTACTTCTGTATCTTCAATGCCTAGAACAGTGCCTGGAAGAAATAGTTATTTAATAAATCATTGTTGAAGAAATGAATATATACATATAATCCTTAACTTGTATAATATTTTTCTATTTTTCACCTTTGGCATTTCTAGCACAAAATCTAACTCACTGCACACATTCTTTCAAAAGAGAGTAGACATAGCAGGAATGCAGTTGTGGAAATAAGCACTAGATCTCTCCTGCTTCCTTAAAGAATACATCTATAATCTATTTTATTTTTAAGAAGAAGCCTGTCGACTGTATTTTGAAGAGTGTTTAAAAAACACCTCTTAGGCTAGGGGTGGTGGCTCACACCTCTAATCTCAGTATTTTGGGAGGCCGAGGTGGGAGGATCACTTCAGCTCAGGAGTTTGGGACCAGCCTGGCCAACATAGCAAAACCCAGTCTCTAATAAAAATACAAAAATTAGGCTGGCATGGTGGTGCATGCCTGTAATCCCAGCTACTCAGGAGGCTGAGGCACAGGAAGTGCTTGAATCCAGGAGGTGGAGATTGCAGAGAGCTGAGATCATGCCACTGCACTCCAGCCTGGGTGACAGAGCGAGACTCTGTCTCAAAAACAAAAACAACACAAAAACCTCTTGAGTTCTACAGAACTGTGTCAGATTTATTCATAATAACACACGACATTCAGTGAACAAGGACCTTTATAGTATTTAAAAAAAATAGCTATTGGTTGAATTGGAAGATATCTCTAGAGGTTAATTACTCCATACCTTGACATCTTGTCAGTTATTAGTTGCAGCTACCTTCTAATTTTGACTTTCTGAGTTTAAGTCCTTCAAGTCATCCTGCTTTGGTATAATTCTTATACATGTCTCATTTTTCAAGGTTTTAAAATTTTGATTCAACTAGCAGTACCCCTGAATGTCTCCTATGCAACCTCATATATTTGTGTATGTGTGTGATTTTCTAAATGTTCCTTGAAATTCTTTTTACCTAATACTATCTATTACTTCCCATTTGTTGACATTTTATTGAAATTTTTATTTTCATTATTTGTTATTCTTTCCATCCCTTAGAATTCCAAATTCCAACATTTATTTTATTTATAAATCTTTTTGAAATTTTACATTTTATTCATGACTACAGTCTCATTCACTTGCTCTTGAGATAAAGATCATTTTTTAAAATCATAAAGATGCTTTCTCTTACTTTTGTTTTTCAACTGAACCTCAGAGATTCATTACATAATTATTTCTCTCTGCTTCAATATTCCTGGAAAAACTACTTGAAAATATAAATACACAAACAGTATAAATATATAAACATATAGTTAGATATTTGAGAATAGATCTTGATCTGTAAACTAGTGCTGTCTAAAAGAGGCCAGGTGCAGTGGCTAATGCCTGTAATCCCAGCACTTTGGGAAGCCAAGGTGGGCAGATCATGAGGTCAAGAAATAGAGACCATCCTGGCTAACATGGTGAAACCCCGTCTCTACTAAAAATACAAAAATTAGCTGGGTGTGGTGGCAGGTGCCTGTAATCCCAGCTGCTTGGGAGACTGAGGCAGGAGAATCATTTGACCCAGGGAGTCAGAGATTTCAGTGAGTCAAGATCGTGCCACTGCACTCCAGCCTAGCAACAGAGCAAGACTTCGTCTCAAAAAAAAAAAAAAAAAAAAAAAAGACAGAGAAAATAAATAGCAGTAAATTTATCTCCTGTTTAAAATTCTTGAGTGGTACCCACTCAATGATAGCAATATAACAAAAATGTTATATTTTGAAACATTAGCTGATAAGCTGCATTATGTAAAATTTACTGAAAACAGCATTCTGTGAAAATATTAACCAAGATAGAACATTCATTAAAAGTATTAGGCTCAAAATTGAAATGCATGAAAGGCCATAATGGCTGAAATAAAATTAAGAAAACTTCCCCCAGTCAAGGAAATAAAGAGCAACAGAAGTGTGAACATGGCCCAGATTAATAATTTTTATTTTTATAATATCCATTCCTTGAATATATGCATCATCTCAAGTCATCGTGTGTGCTTGCGAGAGAGACGGGAGACAGCCAAATGCCAACCAGGGCACTGTGCACAGGAGGCTTGCTTAAACATACCCAAGGTGAAAAATTTCATTTCCTAACACATATGCAGTAAGGGAAATAAATCAATGTGGAATGGCTCAGACTAAGGACCCACCTGTATGTACACTGGGAGAACAGGGTGGAGACACCAGGAATTCACTCTTTATGCAGGGAGAAGCCTGTCCTCTTCAGCTCCTGTGTGGTGGTCTGATATTCAATATGTGAGGTGAGAGCCTGTTGGCAGGACCCCCTTTCTTTGCTGAGAGCTTTCTTTTAATAAATTCTACTCTCCTCAACTTTCAATTTGTCTGTGTGCCTAATTTTTCCTGGTCATGAGACAGGAACTCAGATTTTAGCTGAGCTGAGAAGCAAAAAAAAAAAAATCCTGCATCATTTTGGTAGCCTGTTTGGGGAACGAGGAAAGGTGAGTAAAATGCAGACCAAAAAATCTTTATCCCTCGTTTCTGAGCCTTCCTGTCCTCAGACTTCTTCTGAGGGTAGAGGAAACTGCACCCCACCCCACCAACCCCCTACTGTCACTCTTCGGATTCAGGAATGTCGGCCTCAATCCAACCCAGTCTTTTCTGTGGCATTTTCTATCTTTCCTGTTGGGACTGTATGGCATCTATTTTTTCCTTTACAATATTGGGGGTGTTCTAACCCCACCCCAGTGGCTGCAGTCACGCACACTGGATAGACAGGCGAGTGGTGACTCCCACCCCCCTACCCTCCTACCTGGGGCTATGGCGCATGGCCCAAGTCCCCGCTTGGCTGGCTGGCCAGCATTCCCTGCCACGCATGCATGGTGCCTTCCCCTCCTCCAGCCGAGGAGTCCATCTCCATCCAATGGCAATTAAAAGTTTCTCTCCCTGTTGGAAAAACCCATTTGCATAAGAATAAGAGGTTCTTCCCCAAGGTATCTTTCTAGCCCTGCATTTAAGCTGTTTTTCTTTTCCTTTTCTCCATTAGGTCAGGAGCTAACTTTTATGCAAGAGGCTATTCTTTCCTTTTCAAGGACGTTTTACTAGGCCAGGAACCCAACTATCACTGTTTACATTCTTTGTAAAGTTTTACTTACAAAAATGGATTTGTGAGATTGGTCTTAAGCTGTAGCCAATCTGGCGATGCTTTGGATGGCTTTAGTATGGTTCTGTCAGAAAGAGGGGTATCTAAGGATGGGATGTGGGCCTAGGACTCCATAGACCCACTGTTCAAGCCAGCCTGGCTAACTGGTCAGTAGCAAACTTTGCTGCAAGCTTCTATCTTGTTTTACGTCCTTGGGAGAACCATGTGGCAATGCTTTGTTTTAGCCTCCACTATTTTACAATGGTGGCCTGGGTTCAATCCTGGCTTAGGGAATGAGTCCTTTGTGGTTTGATATCTGTGTGACCTTTGCCATTTGTTTATTCTCTTCTACTCCATGAACTGCCTTGAATTTTCCTTTCTCTGAGTACCTGGGTGGTTACCTTCAGTAAAGTTTGAAAGCCAGAAATACTGGCTGCTTGGTGCAGCTAAAGTCATGTAACAAGGGATTTAAAAGAATTTTCTTAAAGAGTGTTCAGCTTAATTAAAAGTGGATATCCAAGTTATAGGTATATTTAAAAGGCCTTTATGTTTTCCCTTCTTGGATCTTGTTTTGCTGGAAGAAGGATTTTTTTCTCAGTCAACTGAATTATTTTTCTCCATTTCATCTTGTCACTCTAAATGCAAGCATAAGGGGCCCTAAGATAATTTCTGATGGCTTGGGACTCCTTGAAAAAAAACAGAAAAGCCACCACAGATTCCATTTTGAGAGAGACCTCTGTTTTCCTCAGGGAGTCCCACGAATTGGAGGCAGATGGATCCCTCTCAAAATCTGTTTTTGTGTTTCAGCTATACCTGTTTAGCAGGCCCTAGAGAGTGCATGCTTTCCTAGATTTGCTCTTACAGGTCTCCACCCAGAGGCCAATAGTCCAGTTAGGAGATTAGCAAATAAAAAAACTCTTATAGCTCTTCGATCTTCTTCTGTGAGTTTGTGTAGTTATATATGTGTTGTGTGTGATGTCTACAAAAAAGAGCTCTAATTAACTGGCTTGAAAGAAAAATAAATGCTTAAATCAAATATTTTTTAAAGAGAACATAAAAGCTGTGATATCTTTTGGTTTACAAGATTTTAATCTCTGAGAAATAAAAAGCCTTAAAGATTATTAGTAAAATGCAGATGTAGTCAAAATATAAATTTTTGCCTAGGGTTAAAGGATTGGTTTGAATTAGATAAGATAAAGCCAAACGCTCAAAGAAGTTGTGGAAGGTTTCTAAATAATTAACCTTGCCAAAGAAATTCTGTGTGTGAACATTGACTAAATTCAAAAGTGTTATAAAAGCTTTTTGCTTTTTTAAATTTTTGAGTTATCATTTTGGCAAAATAACTTATGGTAATCTGGGATTCTATTTCATAACATCAAGTGTTTTAAACCTCTAACATTTAACAGGCTTCCCAAAATTACATTTTAGCTTCGAGGTTGTCTTTCCTGAACCCTAGCTTTTGGATGCTTCAGAGGGCCTCTGGAGCATCCAGAAGAGAGGTAAACAGGACTGTCTGACGTGTTTAGGTACATGGGATTGCCAAAATGATGTTTAATCTTCATCAGGTTATATTTTAGGGAATAATAATGTATGTTCCAAAATTGTATGGGATTTCTAAAATTCTTATGGCTGAATATATGCTATCAATCACAATTAGGGTTGTTATGTTATTTTAAACCATACAGATAACCAACTTTCTTTGTCAATCATGTCTCTGACTGTAACTACCCCAGACATTTTGTTATTCACAATTGTATTGTTTTGATCCTCTTCAAAAGATGGTTTATAACCAGCTATAGAACTTTGACAAGTGCTCTCAAATGCAGGTTTCTGATAACTTTGGAGACTGTGACATTGGAATAGAGAAAAAAATGTACAGGACTCATGAAGAGCTGATATGTTCATAAATATTAAGCAAAACAACAGTTAACTAAACAGACTGAACTAATAGAAAGCTGAAGTAATTTTTTGATTTTTGCTTGGAACATTGCTGATCCTTGTTCTGTTTTTCAGAGTCAAGGAAATTTATTTTGAGCTATTTACAGCCTTTAATAATTGAGTAAGATATACTTCTGTGAACAAAATTTGGAACATTTTTTTTTCTCTCTCTCTCCCTGGCTTCTGCAGAATTTAGAAACTAGTTGAGTATTCTTAACTTATGGCAATATAGTTGCTTGCATCAGTGCAATAACAACCCATTTTCTTTTGCAAAAGGATGCAGTTGGAGAAACTGGTTGTTTTACCAAGGCTTTGATGAAAAGGTATGCTTCCCTTTAAGGAGTCAAGCTCAACTTGCAGAGCCAATAAAAGTCCCTTGGGAAAACTGGCCTCATACCTTGTCTACACAGTCTTCATACTGGGTTCCTAACCTGTGGTAAGTAAAGAATGTCACTTTCTAACAGGCCCAAGAACCCCATGCTCTTGGGACCTCAAGAAAAGAGTTTACCCACTCACAGATGTTTGAGGGTACAAACCCATGGGTGGGCTCGGCTTTAGAAAGTCCTATCTGAGACTCCTTGTGGAACAGAGTTCCATCAAAGCCAATCTAAAAGGCATATGTAAAACTAATTATTCTTGCTGCACTTTATGTAAATAATCAGGCTAAGTATAAGACTAAAGTCTATTTTGCAAGCAACTCAGTCCTATCATGATTTTTTTAACAAAAATGACTAGAGAAATTATGTTTCAAAACTTATTATCATTAAATTCTAGACTGCTTAGTTGTTTTTAAGTTTTTGCCTACATTATAGACTAACCCTGCTTATTCCTATGAACCAATCTGCGATCTCTGTCTACAGCTCAGAAGGAACAAAAGGGAGGGCTGGGCACAGTGGTTCATGCCTGTAATCCCAACACTTTGGGAGGCCAAGGCAGGTGGATCACCTGAGAGGTCAAGAGTTCAAGACCAGCCTGGCCAACTTGGTGAAATCCCTTCTCTACTAAAAATACAAAAATTAGATGGGTGTGGAGGTGCATGCCTGTAACCTCAGCTACTTGGGAGGCTGAGGCATGAGAATTGCTTGAACTCGGGAGGCAGAGGTTGCAGTGAGCTGAGATGGTGCCACTGCACTCCAGCCTGGGTGACAGAGTGAGAATTCATCTCAAAAAAAAAAAAAAAAAAAAAAGAGTAAGAGGGGATGGAAAATGAAAAACTCTGGATCAATATTCTAGTTCTGGGCAATTATCCTGCAAATCCTCCTGGGTGATGGAAATAAATAGGATGCCCAAATGTTTCCTTTTTGGGTCCCTTGTTGGAGGAGGACTTAATTCCACAGCTTCACTTTAGCATTCAGCTTATGATAAGGAGTCCAAGAAACCTCCCCAAGACAGATTTTTGGTCCCAAACTCAATTCCAAGCTTTTAGTTGAAGCCCTAGGAAAGAAAACTGGATCTGAGGGATGCAGAGGCAGACAATAATGAAGTTAAAAGGCACAGTGCAGGTGAGCATCACTAATTCCTGCCGATTAAGCCAAGCCTCTCATTTCATGGATAAAGGTCATGCTAGTATCCATGGTAAAAATGAGTTCTAGGGAACTCAAAGGCTACTGACAGCAGGAGAGATAGGGCATAAATGAGTAAGAGTGGATATTCCCACCCCCTATGCCCCCTTGTTGACATGGGTGAAAGCTGCTTTGACACCCATGGGTGGTACCCTGTTGTGGTTGCTGGGACTCAGGGATATAAGGATGGAAGAAAGAAAGAGGGATGCCTCACTTTCTCTCCCTCATGTACCTTGGGTATTTGCTAGGAAGAGAAGGGAACCTGGGATGCCCCGCCACCCCCTTTCTAGATGAGTAGCCATTCATCTTCAGTCTGTACCCCTTTTGAATGCATCCTGAACCACTGTGATGCCTTTGAAAATAATGCCTTCTTTTTTCCTTTTTCCTCCTCTTTCCTCTCTTCACAGATAGGTAGTTGTGTCTCTGTACTACAGGACACTCCCATCAGATGCATCCTTCAAACTGGGAAAAGTTAATTTCCCAAACCTTAAACTGGTTGTCTTAGGATTGGGCTCGGGGCCAGAAGCCCAACATGCTGTCAAAAGGGCAAAGTTTTTGTTGTTGTTGTTGTTGTTGTTGTTGTTGTTTGTTTGTTTGTTTTTACCAGTCAGGCTTTTGGCCTCCCTCTCTCCATGCAAACTAGTAAAAGGCTTTAGGATTTTTGATACATGTTTTCTAATAACCCAATTTATCTCTTCTTGCCTTCAGACCATCAAACTCCAAACAGTCATGCAACGGAGTCTCAGACAGTGGCTCCTTTTGCTGGGAACCCTTAAATAGGCTTCTGAAGGAGATCTGACTACTGTTTTCACAAAACAGCATCCCTGTCAGCAGGAATCAGTTACGATTGGTATTTGCCCTTATAACCTTATCCTTGTTCTAATGGCAGTTAGATGTACTTATTTAGAGAGGGGAATGATAGAGGCAGGAGACAGCCAAATGCCACACGGGGTCATTCTGCACAGGGGGCTTGCCTAAACATGCCCAAGGTGAAAAATTCCATCCCTTAACACATGTGCAGTAAGAGAAGTAAACCAGTGTGGAGTGACTCAGAATAAGGGCCTGCCTGTGCACTGGGAGAATGGGGTGGAGCCACAGGGAACTTGTGCCTTATGCAGCAGGAGGATCCCAGCCGCTTCAGCTCATGTGTGGTGGTCTGGTATTCTATCTGTGAGGTGGGAGCTTGCTGGCAGGATGCCGTTTTTTTCACAGACAGCTTTATTTTAATAAATTCTGCTCTCCTCACCCTTCAGTGCGTCCATGTGCCTAACTTTTCCTGGTCATGAGACAAGAACCCAGATTTTAGCTGAACTAAGGAGCAAAAAATCCTTTGTATGTGTTCCTATGTGTTTGTTTTGTTATAAAACAACAGTTACAAAATGAACATACTCTAATAACTTCACAATGAAAGAAACTTAGCAAATGTATTAACCTTCGTTCCACTTATAGCTACGTTGGAAAAAGTAATAATATACTGATTTCAGCGAAATCTTACAGCTTTATTTCTATTATCAAGATGGACAATAATGGCAAACAATGGGTGCTTGCCAGAAATCCAAGTTTTATCATTTTGAGGATTTTATCATTTGCTGAGAGGGTACCAGCATGACAAAAGACATGAATTTCAACAGCATGCTACAGGACATCAACATTTGTTTCTTGTCCACTTTTGATTCTTCTCAGCAATGTGAAAACTCTTCATTATACTTGTCTCTAGGCTCACTTCACTCAGTTACCTGGGGCCATCATTGGTTAATATAGCTCTTTTAAAAAATGAAAATGAGATAATACTGGTTGTTTCAGCAATAGCTCATCTATGTCAGTACCTTTTCTAAATCTTATGAGCTCAAGTATTTTATTTTAATTCTTGCTTATGTAATTTTGTGACTGTTCTTTCTGGTCCAATTAAAATTATTCATTAATTCACACGTGTAGTCAAAAAAATACTTATTGGGAGGGGACTATAAGCTAAGTTCCAAAAATATACAAATGAATTTTACCATTGCTGACCACAAGCATTTTAAAGTGAGAGTTACAAATATTTTTATGTGTGTGTACATTATAATAGCAATATAGTATGGCAAATGCCATAACAACAGTAGAGAACAAAAGATGTTTTTAGCTACCTTGACAGAACTGGGAAAGCCTCTTCACGGAGAAGGAAGCATTTCATATTGCCAGGCAAATAATATTTTGGAAATTGCAGGGGAGGAAAGAAGTCCAGACAGGAGAAACAGTAGGCCAAAGGCATAGAAATGTGTTGGCAATAGAGAAATCCAATGGGTTTCATGGCTGGAGGTGGCAAAAAAAAAAAAAACATAGCTGACAGCAAAAATATTAAATGACTATTTATCAAGGATGTTGGATAAAGAATTCAAAAATTGGAAGAAAGGTTGAATTCAAAGATCCCTTTGCATTCAATAATAATATTAGTCTATATTTTTCACTGGCAATCATGTATGTGGCAATAATATATTATTTCTCCCCAATTAGATATTTGTAAAGTGACTCATCAACTTCTAATTTACTATTAGTAATTCACAAGTTCACATAAAGAATTTGCTTATACTTTATGTGCCTTTATACTCCCAATAATAATTGAAAACCCAAAACTATCTATTGATGAATCATTCTTGCAAACTTTTGTAAGCCGTTTCATTTTATGTTTTCAGAACGGTCAGTACATATCTTGTTTCTCATTTGCCTTAACAAAGTGTCTCATGGATAATTGTGTTGAAAATCTCTATAATGGCTATATTAACGGCAGATTCTCCTAGAAAAAAAGTGTAATCATGATTGTAAGAAGCCAAATATTTTACTTATGCATTTTCAATTTTAAATTATTTTATACACAAAAATTGTTTCCATGCAAACACCCAAATATTTACAAACCTATGAATTAATGGTATCATAGAATTCTACATCTCTAAGTATTAGTGTTTGTAATATTCAATAACCATATTGTGAAAGTAACTTCCTTATATACTACTTAGTTCATACAAAAATTATATTTATGACATTATATATTATTTTGGTAAATTTAATTGCTTAGTATCTGATCCTTGTATCTTGGAAGAAGAAACTATGAGTAACAGTGGTCCTGCCAGAGCTTTGCCAGTCTGGCCAGATCTCCAAGACCTGCCAAGTTCTAAGTGTAGTTGAATAAACACAGACACACTTTCATGGAGAGAGTGTGCCAGTTTTTAATCATCCCTTTAATCACCGCCAACATCTGCCAGCTTTTCTCTTTCTGAAAGTGCTGCTACTTTTAGCATGCCACCCAAGAGACAGGTGCAATATACAAAAAGCATGGTGCACTGCTTTCCAATTGTGTCCCTCTTGGCTTTCAGTTGAATGATGTCCCATCCTGATTTGGCTGAGATCAGATGGGTAACACCCCCCACCCCCGCCCTGACAATTCGATATGACAACACCACAGGGGTACTGGAGTCCTGAAGGAATTCTAGCAGTTTCTGAAATAAAATAATATAAAGAAGAAACATCTCAAGAGAAGGGTCAGAAGTCAAAAGGAAAAAAAGTAATGGGACATAGGTAGACACTGACACATATATGAACAAAAATAAATAAATTACAGGAACTATATAACATTCACCAATACATTAGATGCCCTAGTTTAAAACAGCAATTCTGATTGCAAATTAACTATATAGGAAAAAGTATTGGAGACAGTTTACAAATCAGATAGATTCAAAGAGTGTTCCTACTGGGGCTTGGCTTAGAATAAATCCTGCCTGAGTACCCTGAAATTCCGAGTTTAAATAATCAATTGCTATTGATTTTTCACTTTTGTTCTGCCAACACTTGGTTATTCCCTGAGTCACATAGCCTTGCCACTTGAGCCAAAGTCAATAAAGAATTTATTCATTCATTAGAATCTGTAGAGGTAGAATATAATGCTGAAAAATCACATTTAAGATTTTCCATAGTAAGTATCAAACATTTTGTGTGGGATTTTAATGTCCATGACAAATCTGTATTAAGAACACCAGCAAGATAAACTTAGATCTTGTGAGGGACTGTTTTGGATGACCTGAATTACATTAGGGAAACACTTTTTTTTTTTTTTTTTTTTAAGTTTTAGGGTACACGTGCACATTGTGCAGGTTAGTTACATATGTATACATGTGCCATGCTGGTGCGCTGCACCCACTAACTCGTCATCTAGCATTAGGTATCTCTCCCGATGCTATCCCTCCCCCCTGCCCCCACCCCACAACAGTCCCCAGAGTGTGATATTCCCCTTCCTGTGTCCATGTGATCTCATTGTTCAATTCCCACCTATAAGTGAGAATATGCGGTGTTTGGTTTTTTGTTCTTGCGATAGTTTACTGAGAATGATGATTTCCAATTTCATCCATGTCCCTACAAAGGACATGAACTCATCATTTTTTATGGCTGCATAGTATTCCATGGTGTATATGTGCCACATTTTCTTAATCCAGTCTATCATTGTTGGACATTTGGGTTGGTTCCAAGTCTTTGCTATTGTGAATAGGGAAACACTTTTTAAAAACTCAATATTTGGATTTGCAGGATTGTGAATATTAATTTGCCCACATAATTAACAATCATAAAGTATTGTTTTTATTTTCTTAATAATTTTTGGAAGCACCAAATGTAAGTCTATATTGTGATCTGAGCTCTATTGGACAAGCTCATTAAAATGATAAACTGTTGGTAAGCACATAGAAGGGCAGATTTCTGTAGCAATATCAAGGTATATAGTTCTCAAGACATCTAATCATTGCAATTAGTGTTTGTGCAAACATCTCAATTAATTAGAAAAAGTTAATTCATATCTTACTTATTACATTTGCTCTAAGTATTCTCTTTAGTTTTTATGCAAAAACACCAAAATGCCTTGCAGTGCTTTTCAGTGACCAGAAAGTTTTATTGATCACTTCTGCTAAAGAACAGAAATTATAACAAACTATCTCTCAGACCACAGTGCAATCAAACTAGAACTCAGGATTAAGAATCTCACTCAAAGCCGCTCAACTACATGGAAACTGAACAACCTGCTCCTGAATGACTACTGGGTACATAACGAAATGAAGGCAGAAATAAAGATGTTCTTTGAAACCAACGAGAACAAAGACACCACATACCAGAATCTCTGGGACGCATTCAAAGCAGTGTGTAGAGGGCAATTTATAGCACTAAATGCCTACAAGAGAAAGCAGGAAAGATCCAAAATTGACACCCTAACATCACAATTAAAAGAACTAGAAAAGCAAGAGCAAACACATTCAAAAGCTAGCAGAAGGCAAGAAATAACTAAAATCAGAGCAGAACTGAAGGAAATAGAGACACAAAAAACCCTTCAAAAAATCAATGAATCCAGGAGCTGGTTTTTTGAAAGGATCAACAAAATTGATAGACCGCTAGCAAGACTAATAAAGAAAAAAAGAGAGAAGAATCAAGTAGACACAATAAAAAATGATAAAGGGGATATCACCACCGATCCCACAGAAATACAAACTACCATCAGAGAATACTACAAACACCTCTACGCAAATAAACTAGAAAATCTAGAGGAAATGGATACATTCCTCGACACATACACTCTCCCAAGACTAAACCAGGAAGAAGTTGAATCTCTGAATAGACCAATAACAGGCTCTGAAATTGTGGCAATAATCAATAGTTTACCAACCAAAAAGAGTCCAGGACCAGATGGATTCACAGCCGAATTCTACCAGAGGTACAAGGAGGAACTGGTACCATTCCTTCTGAAACGATTCCAATCAATAGAAAAAGAGGGAATCCTCCCTAACTCATTTTATGAGGCCAGCATCATTCTGATACCAAAGCCGGGCAGAGACACAACCAAAAAAGAGAATTTTAGACCAATATCCTTGATGAACATTGATGCAAAAATCCTCAATAAAATACTGGCAAACCGAATCCAGCAGCACATCAAAAAGCTTATCCACCATGATCAAGTGGGCTTCATCCCTGGGATGCAAGGCTGGTTCAATGTACGCAAATCAATAAATGTAATCCAGCATATAAACAGAGCCAAAGACAAAAACCACATGATTATCTCAATAGATGCAGAAAAAGCCTTTGACAAAATTCAACAACCCTTCATGCTAAAAACTCTCAATAAATTAGGTATTGATGGGACGTATTTCAAAATAATAAGAGCTATCTATGACAAACCCACAGCCAATATCATACTGAATGGGCAAAAACTGGAAGCATTCCCTTTGAAAACTGGCACAAGACAGGGATGCCCTCTCTCACCACTCCTATTCAACATAGTGTTGGAAGTTCTGGCCAGGGCGATCACTTCTGCTAGTAATATCAAATTAACTTTTTAAAAGTGTTTAAAAATGGTAAATGCTGCTCAGAATAATTAAGTTCTATTTCATCATATAATTTAACAATTATTTTCTAAGACATTAGAAAATTTTAGAGTCATTTTTTTATTTCTGTCTCTTTGAGAGTAACCATTGGTGTACAATCTTATTCTCCTTCTTATTTATTTCCATGATTCAGTAGGTGAATCTCCCAAATTTGTGAATATAGGACCTTCCAGGATCTTCTATATCTATCCTAATATTATAGGACCTTAGTGTAGCGCTTTTATATATGCAGGAATTTTCTTATTAGTTTTCTATTCTATCCTCACATCAGACATTTCCCCTGTTTTACTCTTGAGGAAATAGATACAAAAAGATTAAATGAAACCAAGATGTAAAATTTACTTGTAGGATCAAGATTAGAACTCAATTCTTTCTTCATTAGATCAGTCTCCATTTGTCCTGCTTGAGTTAGCATTTAAGGATAATTACCTCTATAAACTCATTAGTTTCAAACAATGAACTGTAAGTTAAATGAAGTTTTAGCTAATGAATTTCAACTTGGGAAAATTAAAATAGGTGCCATTATATCCAATTTTTTAAAATAAATATATGAATAATAATTTATAAAATTAACAAAATGCTAGCTCATATAAACATGATTTCCTTCTCACAAACTGATACATTAATGTAAAATTGCATTTTCTAAACATAACCATATAGCTTATATTTCTATAGTAATATATTTTATGGAATTTTAAGTTGTGAGGGGGAAGGACAAGCCTTTAAGAAAATAAATAAAATAATTACATTCATTTTAAGTTTCTCTTCATTAGCAACCATTAGAAACTAACACATGGATTTTCCATTTTCACATCCCACATCATCCAAAGCACTTATTTTGAAACAAGTCTTTAGATTCTTATGGATTTTTGTTCTTTTTATACCAAGTAATTCATTTCTATATTAAGACTGACATTTTGAATCATTAGATATTTTTACCAAATAAAAAATTAAATGATTGACTATCTCAACATTTTAATCTTACAAATACAAAATGCAGATTTCAAAGATAGATTCAACAGTGTTTTTTGTGACCTAAATGGTATTTTCTTTCTGCTTTTTCAAAACAGGCAAAAAAAAATTAAGTGAGGGTTTGTGTGGCATGCAAGTGAACACAATTAAGGAAACCCTCATTGTTGTCTTCTGAATAGACTTGTCACATTACTATTCACAGCTTTGTCTAGTGACAGTGGAATATCAAAAAGATACTGAATAATATAGCAAAAATCTATTGTGCCACTGAGATCTAATCTTTGTCTGAATGTAATTGCCTTATTAAAAGATTTGCAAGCTTACTCTTTCTGTGATTCTAAAATAAGCCAAGAAAAACCATGCTGTAAAACTGCAACTGTAGTCTCCATGATATGACAACAGCATGTAAGTCAAACTGAAAATTAAAACCCCATTCTCTGTTTCCCCAGCAATGGCATGGATGCTTCTTTCTAGTGCTGCAATTATCCCTGGTGGTATGAATGGCATTTGGAAAACTTTCTTCCCATGAACTTAGCTTAGAGCGCCTAAGGAACTGCTTATGTAAATATGGATATCTCATTTAGATTGTAATTTATGTTATGTGGCAGTGTCTGCTTCTTAGTACCTGTTCATTAGAGCTAATAGATTCAGGATAAGCTCTTTTGTCTTTTTTTCACCACTTCCACTCCCCCACCCTGAAACACCTTCCTCTAAACCTTCCTGTGGGGGGAATAGTTTCAGTTTGGTGGAAGTAAAGAAGTAATTGCACATACTAATGCCAATACCCATTACAAATTGTCAGCTTAGTAAGTCATATAAATGAATGAATCTTTGTGATTTTTTTTTTGGTTTGCCCCTCAGCCTATTCTTTTTTTTACATATAGTCACATTTTACTTTTATGCTTTTGTGAAAGGCATTGCTTCCCACTTTCCTCACTCAGACTTAGCAATAAGAAGTAATGCAAGCTCCACAATAATAACAGCATTAATTCACTTCAGTTGTGGCCTCAAGTTACTTTTCTCAATAGAGAAATGAACAACAACCAATTTCATTTCTTTACAATATACCTTTCTCTTTAGGAAACAGAAGCCAGTTTAATATAATCCCTTCAATGCCCCTTTTATTGAAGGGGTAGAGGAAGAATATGGAAGCTGCTGATAAATTTATGTATATTTTAACAAAGTGTAAGTCAGAAGAATTTTTTGATATTCATCCAGCCTTGATGGGTTTTTTATATATATTAGATATGTATAAAATATTACATATATAAATTAGGCAAAGATTTTCTTCAAGTATTACTCCCTTTGCACTTAGCATGAGAACAATCTATTCACATAACTGTAAATCTATAACCATTTGTTTGCCAAAATGAAAGTAAAAGTTAAGTCTACTCAGAAACTATGACTCATTACTATGACCACCATGAAACACCAATTTTAACACCAAAAATCGCATTGAGTTTATCATCAAAACACAAACATTTCACATATCAACTACATAAGATGCAACTTGTTTAGTGCAAACTTTAGCAAAATCCCAAGTATGGAATTTTGTTTATAACGCTAAGTTTCTCCTTACAGAATCCAAATTTTGGTTTGCTGTTACAGAACATTAGGACTACACAATCGTCTTTAAAAGAACATTTTAATTCAAATTATGGGACCTTAAATTGAGAAGACAAAATGTGTTTGCATATAATTTGCATGTGCCAATTTATTTGTACCTCCCCTTCTAAACAGTAACTTAAACACAGTAATTTAAATTATTGCTTCCCAGTAGAAAGTCATTTCTTGATTTTTTTTCTTCTTTTTTCCTCAATGCCTGACCAGATCTTCTAAGTTCATAGCTTATAATGGAAAGAAGATAGAAGCAAAGACTAAAATATATTAACATTCTCAGAATAAGTACGTGTCCAATTATTAGTGTTCTTGAGCAGGAAAGCCAAACACTGGCTTACAACAAGATTAACCCAATCCTAGGAAACATGGTGAGACCTTGTTGCTACAAAAAAAAAATTTTTTTCTTTTAATTAGCCAGGCACAGTGGTGCTCGCCTGAAGTCCCAGCTACTTAAGAGGCTGAGGTAAGAGGATTGCTTGAGCCATGATAGTGCCACTGCACTGCACTCCAACCTGAGCAATGGAATGAGACTTAACCCAAGTCTGTCAATTATGCAGTATAATACACAATTGTTCAATTGAAATAAAAATTAATGTGATAAAACATTGGGCTTCTAACTTTATGCAATCCTGGGAAAGCCGTTCAATCATTCTCTTTCCAAATATCTCTTGGAGCTCACTGCAGAGGCACACACCTGTAATCCTCAGCTGTGGAGGCTGAAGCAAGAGGATTGCTTGAGACCAGGAGTTGGAGGCTGCAGTGAGCTCCTGCAGTGAGGACCTGCCACAGCTCTCCAGCCTGGGTGACCCAATGAGACCCTGTCTGTAAAAAATTTCTTGGACTAGCTGGAAGAATGTAAGCAAAAGAAAACAGCCACTCCACCTTTTCCCATTTCTGCTTCACTTTACCCCATCAGCATAGTTTAACCAAATTAAAAACTCAATACACCCAATAACTTAGGGTGTCCAAACCAAGAGTGATAGATTTGAGTATGAAAGAGAGAGCTGTTAATAACTACACCAAGATAATAGGTATAAAAAGAAGTGTCACATAAAAACTAGGAAGTATGGATACCATATCCTTTTCTCCTAACCATCCACTATTTTCTCTTAGGAAAGAGAATCTGGGTAATAGATACAATGTTAACGATGTACCTTTGATAAAGATTTTGACTGTTCATGGAGACACCCCTTTGTAGTAAAAGGGGTGCACTGTAAAACATTAATCTTTTAGGATCTCAAATTTTCATGCAGACAATGAAGATGCTGGGATAGATAATTTCAACAGTACAACTTTATGAACATCCATGCTAGGTTTTCTATTTATTGACATCAGTTGGTTACATTCTTTACCTTTTGTTTTTAACTTTATGGTATGTAATAAAAATTAGCCTAAATCTACTTAGAATTTGTGCAGAAGATATAAAATACCTAGTAGCTCTATAAAATATTTAAAACTATTTTCTGAATCTATCCATGATTCTTGGCTACAAAGAATTAGAAAATGTATTATACTTGTGGACTTAATTTTAATGTAAATATTTTTTGGAAAAGATATTTTCATTTCTGTGTTATGTTCATTATGATACTTAGTCTTGATTTCAAATCGGAAGATATTTCACTCAACATTTGCATTATTGTAATAGCCAATATCATTATCCCATTGAGAAATTCCAGTTCTCATGTAATGTATTTAATGTATCTATAACAACTGTAGGTTTTTTAAGTTAAAATTTCTTTTAAAATGTAATTTACTAACTTTTACATCTAAAAATGTATATTCTTTAAAATTCTGGGAACACCATCTTTTTTATACCGCATTTTTCTACTACATTTATACTATACCATAATTTACATTTACTTTGTTTTTGTTTTATCAGAAACAAGTCTTTCAAATTATATGTTTATTTTGATTATAGTACAGTGCAGATAAAAACAGAGAAAATCTACTATTTAAGCTTATCTAGGCATCAAATATTCTCAGACCAATTATTATAATGTACGTTGCTGTTGTTATAAAAATATATTAATTTTTTGTCTTCAGAAATCAATTAGGATTAAATATAAACACCAACTACACATTTCTTAATTAATCTGCTGATACTTACAAAAATGTTTTTAACTTTATGGTATTTCAAATAAAAACTATGTCTAGACTTCTACTAAAATCATTTCTACTATAGCTTTTCCTTATTAAATGTTTACTTTGGGAGGTCAAGGTGGGTGGATCACTTGAGGTCAGTTTGAGACCAGCCTGGCCAACATGGAGAAACCCCATCTCTACCAAAAATATTATTAAAAAAAAAATTAGCCGGGCGCGGTGGCATGCGCCTGTAATCCCAGCTACTTGGGAGGCTGAGGCAGGAGAATCGCTTGAACCCAGGGGGCAGAGGTTGCAGTGAGCCGAGACCATGCCACTGCACTCCAACCTGGTTGACAGAGTGAGACTCCATCTCAAAAAAAAAAAAAGTTTTTATTTTATTATATTTTAGTATCAAATTAGCACATAACTATTGCCTAAAATGTTACATTTAACACCCTGCAATGTTTTTCATAATAAAATAAACTGTTAATGAATGTCAATTTGAAGACTGTTACAAGAACTACATGAGATAGGCTTGAAAAGGACATAGTATAGCTCATGATACACAGTAACTATATGTCAGCATATGGTAGCTACCATCTTCATCATTATATTTAGTATTATATAATACCCAATCATAAGGCTCTACCATAATAGATATAATCATCTGATTACTGAAAGACAATGAGGTTCCTTACATATTTCAGCTTTATAAATAATACTAGATTTGACATGTTTTGTACAGGAAGCTATTTTATGTTATTTCCTTAGGAGATTTCCAGATAAATGAAATGAATATGAAATAAATGAAATGAATCAAATAAAATGAAATGAACATTGTCAAAGAATTTAAATATACATCATCAAATATTTTGCAAAGGGTTGTCCCAACTTCTACTTCTACTAGCAGTATGTAACATTGACTCTTTCATGGCATCCTCACTGATAGTCAAAATTTTGTATTTTTTTCTTAGTACTTACTCATTGACTTTAATCATTTTCTTAACTATATATATCTCTAATGCCATATTATCTTTTTCTTATTTTTGGAGAATGTATTTATTGACGTAATGTAAGAGTAACATGAAAGAAACAAGAATAACACAAAGAATTCCCCCAATACCCTTCACCCGATTCCCTGAATGTTAGCATTTTATTACATTTGCCTTCACTTTATCTCTTTTTCTCTCTCTGTGAATATAGATATAATTTTTTTCTGAAATGTTTAAGAGTACATTGCATAAATTACACTATATGTATTGTATTTCATGGCATTAACATTTTAAAACCTCCTTTATTCAGAATCTCAGATAATTTGGTACAGGAAAAAATAGTATTTTGTTTTAATTTGCATTTCTCTGTTGATGAAAGTTAAAGATGTTTTCATAAATTAACTAACTATATTTGTTCTTTGGTTACTCATCTGTTGATGATGTTTGCCCATTATGTATTATTTTTACTTATGTATTTACTTGCCTCCCATGTGAAAGCAAGATACTAATCACTTCTCAAGAGTAGAGAAGTTCTCTCTGCTCACAGTAAATTTACAACCTACTTTGACAGCAAGGGTGTAAGAAGGTAGCTTCTTAAAAAAATGATGTTTTGCCATGGAAACTATCTTCAAACACAATTTTACACGCAAGTACAATGAGAGAAAATAGATAAAAGCGCAGCATCTCTGGTTGAAGTAAAGATAGAAGACTTGGATCCTCCTGGATTCTCTCCTCTTTTCCTCTCAGCCTCTCTAAGTAACAAAGACCTCCAACTCATGCCCACTAGGAGCTCTTAAAAACTATAGACAGATAGGGTTTCTTTCCAACATAGGCAAGAATTTTTATATCCTTTGTATCTCAATCACTATACTGTACTTATTTTTATCAAAAAGTAATTACATAAGATATCTTTCCAAATGTATGTCTGTCTTCTCCTCCTTCTTTTTTCTTTTTAGTCTCTTTTGCTCACAATCCTTCTATGGATGAAGCTTACGGTAAATGTTGACATATTTGAGAGGTTCATTATATAACATTCTGCCCACCAAAAGATCAGAAGCATTTCCTTTTTTTTATGTTCTTCCATCATAAATATCTATGGCATCACCTGAAGTGAATTCATTAGTATGCAAATCTCCACACTTTACTATTCTCTCAGCTCATCTTCCAAAGTTAATGAAGCATAAGTAAATGTGTTTGATTAAATCATCCAGACTTCTTCCCAAGGCTGCTAAGATTGGGCATTCACCCCAAGGTTGGGAAAGTGGGGAAGGGGGACATTCAAGTATCCCTCAAGCAAAGGCAGACAAGTTAAAAAATATTGTACTGACATGTAAAGTAGTCATGGTCCCCTTTTGGGCCCAGACACACTATAATTTGTACCTTCTCCCTATCCTTTTTCTCATCCTTATTCCTTCCTGAAATAATTTTGCCTTCCTAATAAGATTGTTTATTCAAGAGAACCTTACTAGTATGTTTTCAGATTGTGCACAGGATATATATCTAAGAGAATATAGCATTAAGAAATTTCCTTTCAATTAGTATATTTGTCTCTCCTAATACCACATACACACTTTTTCTGGGGCCACATAAGTTTCTCTTAAAAGTTTTCTTGTAACAAACTGTCCTCCAGTTCCATACATGTTGTTGCAAATGACAGGATCTCATTCTTTGTTATGACTGAATCATACTCCATTGTGCATGTGTACCACATTTTCTTAAGTGAAATAAGGCACTTTGTCCTTTCTTCTTATATTCTCACCCATTTGTAGGAAAAACAAACTTCACATGTTCTCACTCATGAATGCAGGCTAAAAATCCAAACAACTGAACTCATGGTGATAGATGGTAGAATGATGACTATCAGAGGCTGGGAAGGGTAGTCAGGGAAGGGGAGAGTGGGCAGGGTTAAAGAGTACAAAAATATAGTTAGAATGAATAGAATGAGTAAGATCTAGTATTTGATAGCACAATATGGTGACTACAGTCAATTATAATTTTGTTGGGTATATTTTAAAATAACTAAAGGAGTATAACTGGAATGTTTATAACACAAAGAAAGGATAAATGCTTGAGGTGACAGATACCCCATTTACCCAATTGTGATTATTGAGCATTGTATGCCTTTATCAAAGTATCTCATGTACCCCATAAATATATACACATACTGTGTACCTATAAAAATAAAAAAATTAAATAAATAAAAGATAAAATAAAGTTCTCTTGTAACAGTCCTAGAAATCACCCATAGTATTTTCCTGCCTGATCTGCCTGACATTTTTTATGCAGTTTCTTCTTTGTCAGGTCTGTATCCAAGTAGCACATAAAAGTAGCCTCTTTTATATTTATTTTAATTTTATTAAATTAAACTTTGAAATTAAATTTAATTTTTGCCTTTCTATGAGTTTGAAATATATTAACATCTCATTGTGCCAGACACAGTGGCTCACACCTGTTAATCCCAACACTTTGGGAGGCTGAGGTGGGTGGATTGCTTGAGGTCAGGAGTTCAAGACCAGCCTGACCAACATGGCAAAACCCCATCTCTACTAAAAATAGAAAAAATAGCCAGGCATGGTAGTGCATGTCTGTAGTCTCAGCTTCTCAGAAGCCTGAGGCACAAGAATTGCTTGAACCTGAGAGGCAGAGGTTGCAGTGAGCTGAGATTACACCACTGCACTTTAGCCTAGGCAATAGAGTGAGACCCCATCTCTAAAAGAAAGAAAAAAAAACTCATTGCAATTTTAATTTGCATTTCCCTAATGACTAACAATATTTGATGTTATTGTCCATTCATTTATATATCTTATTTTATGAAATGCCTGTTCAAGTCTTCTGCCCATTTTTATGTTGGGTTATGTGTTTTTTGGTTGGTATACATTTTTGTAAATTCTTACTGTAATACCTTTATCAGATATATTTCCTGAACTTTTTCTTTCCATCTGTAACTTGTCTTTTCATTTTTTAAGAGTGTCTTTTGATGAACAAAACTTAATTTTTATTATTTCAACTTATTTTATTTTGTGATTAGTAAATTTTTATCCTTTTTAAGAAGCTTTCCCTTCCACAAGTTCACAAAGATATTTTCCCACATTACATTCTAGAAGCTTTATATGCTTATCTTTTACATTTCCATCTATGAGCTATCTGAAATTCATTTTAGGGAACAGTGTAGACTTAGGCAGTAAAGTTTATTTATTCCACTTGTTTATCTAGTTGTTCCAGGATCATTTGTTGAGAAGGCTTTTCTCTTTCCCATTTAATTGCCTGGTACATGTCATGCAGGAAATTACCTCGATGTAATGATAGCCTCCAGATACCCTACCAGCAAAGCCACCTTCCAGGTCAGAAAAACAGAAATGTCCACAGACTAAATTAAGGTTGTACTAAAAACACATGGCTTAAGGAATAAGTGTAAAATAAAGACACAAAAAGAAAGAGGTGAGTATATTAATACACTTAGAATACCTGAATCTCAGCTTATACTGTATTTATATGTCCTATAGCTCAATCTCTCTGCCTTATCAGAGTTTTCAGCTGATGGTTTGTTTGAGATTTGAAAAACAGGACTCAGCAGATGGAAGGTGTCTAGAGCCAGCTACATACACAGTTATGCTAGAGAGACTTTGGGGAAAGTACAACTGACCACAGTCAGGGTTCACCAGTTAAGGTGATGAGCAGCTACAAATTTAACTTGTGTTACTGGGTAAGAACATTGAGGCTAGAGGAGGCATCATCAATAAGTGACCTATTTAAATCCTCATGAATATTGGGAGACTCATGTGGCTCATGTTTATTTAGTGTGCTACTAAGAGGTGAAGCTGGCTGGGCTTCTGGGTTGGGTAGGGGACTTGGAGAACTTTTCTGGCTAGCTAAAGGATTGTAAATGCACCAGTCAGTGCTCTCTGTCTAGCTAAAGGTTTGCAAATGCACCAATCAGTGCTCTGTGTCTAGCTAATTGGGTAGTGGACTTGGAGAAGTTTTCTGTCTAGCTAAAGGATTGTAAATTCACCAGTCAGTGCTCTGTGTCTAGCTAAAGGTTTGTAAATGCACCAATCAGTGCTCTGTGTCTAGCTAATTGGGTAGGGGACTTGGAGAACTATTCTATCTAGCTAAAGGATTGTAAATGCACCAATCAGCACTCTGTGTCTAGCTAAAGGTTTGTAAACGCACAAATCAGCACTCTGTAAAAACAGACCAATCAGCACTCCATAAAACGGACCAGTGAGCACTCTGTAAAATGGACCAATCAGCTTTCTATAAAATGGACCAATCAGCAGGATGTGAGTGGGGCCAAACAAGGGAATAAAAGCAGGTCACCCGAGCCAGCAGTGGCAACCCTCTGGGGTCCCCTTCCATGCTGTGGAAGCTTTGTTCTTTTGCAATAAATCTTGCTGCTGCTCACTCTTTGGGTCCACACTACCTTTATGAGCTGTAACACTCACTGCGAAGGTCTGCAGCTTCACTCCTGAAGTTAGCGAGACCACGAACCCACGAGGAGGAACAAACAACCCTGGATGTGCCACCTTTAAGAGCTATAACACTCACTGCAAAGGCTTGCAGCTTCACTCCTGAAGTCAGCAAGACCAAGAACCCACCAGGAAGAATGAACAACTCTGGACATGCCACCTTTAAGAGCTGTAACACTCACTGTGAAGGTCTGCAGCTTCACTCCTGAAGTCAGCGAGACTACAAACATCTGAAGGAACAAATTCTGAACACCCATCTTTAAGAACTGTAACACTCACCATGAGGGTCCGCGGCTTCATTCTTGAAGTCAGCAAGACCAAGAACCCACCGGAAGGAACCAATTCCAGACACATTTCGGTGCCCCAGATGGGATACTTGATTATCACCAAGTGTTGAGTACCATTGGACCCCTTTCGCTTGCTATTCTGTCCTATTTTTCCTTAGAATTCAGGGGCCAAATACCGGGCACCTGTTGGCCAGTTAAAAGCAACTAGCACAGCCACTGGACTAAAGACTCGGGTGTCAGGCTTTCTGGGAAAGGGCTAACAACCCCCAACTCTTTGGACTTGGGAGCGTTGGTTTGCCTGGAACCAGCTTCTGCTTTTCCTGTAAATCCAGGCCGAGCTTAGGATCGACAGAGAGGAAAGCCATTCAGATACGGGGTCCCGACAACAAGTTGGTTGACCCTGTGGCCATGAGCAGAACTCTCAACGTCATGTTACCCAAGCAAGACTCGCCCATCTATCCTATCCATCCTGACCTTTGCCTCCTGGGTTCGAATGCCTGTCATACAAACTTCCTCTCACCTCTCTTCTCCAAGGCTAGTCCCGCTTCTAAAAACCACTCCTTGTCTCTGGTGCTTTTCTAGTTTCTCCTGTAAGAATGATTTCTAGTATAAACTCTAGGACTCTGTTACCTTCTGTAGGCACCCGGTCTCACCAATCAGAAAGACATAATTTTTGCCCAAAGCCCCGTTGTAGGGGGGTACTATCTGGAATTTTAGGATCCCTCCTCAGACAAGCAGGCCTAACAAAAGCTATTCCTGAAGCTAGGATATGGGGAGCCTCAGAAATTGTAGCCTTCCTATTCACATAAGTGAGGACAAAAGACATCATTCTTCCAACTCTGGAGATCCCTTCCCTCCCTCAGGGTATGGCCCTCTACTTCATTTTTGGGGAATAACATCTTTATAGGATGGGGGTAACGTCCCAGTATTAACAGAAGAACACTTAGGACTCTAACAGGTTTTCAAGAATGCATCGGTAAGGGCCAAATAAATCCGATTTTTCTCGGTCCTCTTTGTGGTCTAGGAGGACAGGCAAGGGTGCAGGTTTTCTAGAATGTGTCGGTAAGGGCCACTAAATCTGACCTTCCTTGGTCCTCCTTGTGGTCTAGGAGGAAAATTAGCATTTCTGCTGCTACGTTGGTGAGCACAACTATTCCAATCAGCAGGGTCCAGGGACACTGTGGGTTCTTGGGCAGGGGGTGTTTCTGCTACCGCGTCAATGAGCACAACTATTCTGATCAGCAGGGTCCAGGGACTCTTGCAGGTTCTTGGGCAGGGGTAGAAACAAACAAACAAAAACCGTGGGTGGTTTTGTCTTTCAGATGGGAAACACTCAGGCATCAACAGGCTCACCCTTGAGAAATGCATCCTAAGGCATTGAGACCAATTTGACCCAAAAAACCTGAAAAAGAGGCAGCTCATTTTTTTCTGCACTATGGCTTGGCCCCAATATTCTCTCCCTGATGGGGAAAAATGGCCACCTGAGGGAAGTATAAATTATAATACTATCCTGCAGCTTGACCTTTTCTGTAAGAGGGAAGGCAAATGGAGAGAAATACCTTATGTCCAAGCTTTCTTTTCATTGAAGGAGAATACACAATGAGGCAAAGCTTGCAATTTACATCCCCCAGGAGGACCTCTCAGCTTACCCCTGTATCCTATCCTCCCTATAGCTCCCCTTCCTAGTAATGATAAGCCTCCTCTAATCTCCCCTGCCCAGAAGGAAATAATCAAAGACATCTTCAAAGGACCACAAAAACCCCAAGGCTATTAGTTATGTCCCCTTCAAGCTTTAGGGGGAGGGGAATTTGGCCCAACCCAGGTACATGTCCCTTTTCCCTTCTCTGATTTAAAGAAGATCAAGGCAGACCTGGGGAAGTTTTCAGATGATCCAGATAGGCACACAGATGTCCAACAGAGTCTAGGGGAAACCTTCTATCTCACTTGGAGAGATGTCATGCTATTGGTAGACCAAACCCTGGCCTTTAATGAAAAGAATGTGGCTTTAGCTGCAGCCTGAGAGTTTGGAGATACCTGGTATCTTAGTCAAGTAAATGATAGAATGACAGCTGAAGAAAGGGACAAATTCCCTTCCAGTCAGCAAGCCGTCCCCAGTATGAATCCCCCCTGAGACCTCAAATCAGATCATGGGGACTGGAGTCGTAAATATCTGTTGACCTCTGTTCTAGAAGTACTAAGGAGAATTAGGAAAAAGCCCATGAATTATTCAATGATGTCCACCATAACTCAGGGAAAGGAAGAAAATCCTTCTGCCTTCCTTGAGTAGCTACAGGAGGCCTTAAGAAAATACACTCTCCTTTCACCCAAATCACTCAAGGGTCAATTGATTTCAAAGATACGTTTATAACCCAATCAGCTGCAGATATCAGGAGAAAGTTCCAAAAGCAAGCCCTGGGCCCTGAACACAATCTGGAGGCATTATTAAACCTAGCAATCTTGGTGTTCTATAACAGGGACCAAGAGGAGCAGGCCCAAAAGGAAAAGCGAGATCAGAGAAAGGCTGCACCCTTAATCATGGCCCTCAGACAAACTTTGGTGGTTCAGAGAGGACAGAAAATGGAGCAGGCCAATCACCTGGTAGGGTTTTTTATCAGTGTGGTTTACAAGGACATTTTAAAAAAGATTGTCCAACAAGAAACAAGCTGCCCCCTCGTCCATGTCTGCTATGCTGAGGCAATCACTGGAAGGTGCACTGCCCCAGAGGACAAAGGTTCTCTGGGTCAGAAGTCCCCAACCAGACAATTCAACAACAGGACTGAGGGTGCCCGGGGCAAGCACCAGCTCATGTCATCACCCTCACTGAGCCCTGGGTACATTTAACCATTGAGGGCCAGGAAATTGACTTCCTCCTGGACACTGGTGCGGCCTTCTCAGTGTTAATCTCCTGTCCTGGATGACTGTCCTCAAGGTCCATTACCATGTAAGGAATCCTGGGACAGCCTGTAACCAGGTATTTCTCCCACCTCCTCAGTTGTAATTGGGAGACTTTGCTCTTTTCACATGCTTTTCTTGTCATGCCTGAAAGTCTCACACCCTTCTTAGGGAGGGATATATTAGCCAAAGCTGGAGCTATTATCTACATGAATATGGGGAACAAGTTACCCATTTGTTGTCCCCTACTTGAAGAGGGAACCAACCCTGAAGTCTGGGCATTGGAAGGACAATTTGGAAGGGCAAAAAGTGCCTGCCCAGTCCAAATCAGGCTAAAAGATCCCACCACTTTTCCTTATCAAAGGCAATATCCCTTAAGGCCTGAAGCTCATAAAGGATTACAGGATATTGTTAAACATTTAAAAGCTCAAGGCTTAGTAAGGAAATGCAGCAGTCCCTGCAACACCCCAATTCTAGGAGTACAAAAACTGAACGGTCAGTGGAGACTAGTGCAAGATCTTAGACTCACAGCGATGAGGCAGTAATTCCTCTATATCCAGTTGTACCCAACCCCTATACCCTGCTCTCTCAAATACCAGAGAAAGCATAGTGGTTCACTGTTCTGGACCTCAAGGATGCCTTCTTCTTTATTCCCCTGCACTCTGACTCCCAGTTTCTCTTTGACTTTGAGGATCCCACAGACCACATGTCCCAACTTATGTGGACCGTCTTGCCCCAGGGGTGTAGGGATAGCCCTCATCTCTTTGGTCAGGCACTAGCCCAAGATCTAGGCCACTTCTCAAGTCCAGGCACTCTGGTACTTCAGTATGTGGATGATTTACTTTTGGCTACCAGTTCAGAAGCCTCATGCCAGCAGGCTACTCTAGATCTCTTGAACTTTCTAGCTAATCAAGGGTAAAAACCGTCTACGTCGAAGGCCCAGCTTTGCCTACAGCAGGTCAAATATCTAGGCTTAATCATAGCCAGAGGGACCAGGACCCTCAGCAAGGAAAAAATACAGCCTATACTGGCTTATCCTCACCCTAAGACATTAAAACAGCTGTGAGGGTTCCTTGGAATCACCGGCTTTTGCCAACTACAGATCCCCGGATACAGTGAGATAGCCAGGCCCCTCTATACTCTAATCAAGGAGATTCAGAGGGCAAATACTCATCAAGTAGAATGGGAACCAGAGGCAGAAACAGCCTTCAAACCCTTAAAGCAGGCCCTAGTACAAGCTCCAGCTTTAAGTCTTCCCACAGGACAAAACTTCTCTTTATACATCACAGAGAGAGCAGGGATAGCTCTTGGAGTCCTTACTCAGACTCATGGGACAACCCCACAACTAGTGGCATACCTAAGTAAGGAAATTGATGTAGTAGCAAAAGGCTGGCCTCACTGTTTAAGAGTAGTTGTGGTGGCAGCTAACTTAGTGTCAGAGGCTATCAAAATAATACAAGGAAACGATCTCACTGTCTGGACTACTCATGATGTAAATGGCATACTAGGTGCCAAAGGAAGTTTATGGCTATCAGACAACTGCCTACTTAGATACCAGGAGCTACTCCTTGAGGGACTGGTTCTTCAAATACATATGTGTGTGGCCCTCAACCCTGCCATTTTCTCCAAGAGGATGGGGAACCAATCGAGCATGACTGCCAACAAATTATAGTCCTGACTTATGCTGCCCGAGATGATCTCTTAGAAGTCCCTTTAGCTAATCCTGACCTTAATCTATATACCAGTGGAAGTTCATTTGTGGAGAATGGGATACAAAGGGCATGTTATGCCATAGTTAGTGATATAACCATACTTGAAAGTAAGCCTCTTCCCCCAGGGACCAGCATCCAGTTAGCAGAACTAGTGGCACTTACCCAAGCCTTAGAACTGGGAAAGGGAAAAAGAATAAATGTGTATACAGATAGCAAGTATACTTATCTAATCCTACATGCCCATGCTGCAATATGGAAAGAAAGGGAGTTCCTAACCTCTGGGGGAACCCCCATTAAATACCACAAGGAAATTACGGAGTTATTGCATGCAATGCAAAAACCCAAGGAGGTGGCAGTCTTACACTGCCAAAGCCATCAGAAAGGTGAAGGAGAAAAGGCAGAAGGAAACCGCTGGGCAGATGCTGAGGCCAAAACTGCTGCCAGGCAGAAGCTCCCATTAGAAATACCTATGGAAGGACCCTTGGTATGGAACAACCCCCTCCAAGAGATTAAGCCCCAGTATTCCCCAACTGAAACAGAATGGGGACTTTCATGGGGGCAGAGTTTTCTCTCCTCAGGGTGGTTAATGACAGAAGAAGGAAAGGTACTTATACCCGAAGCCAGCCAGTGGAAAATACTTAAAACCCTCCACCAAACTTTCCATATGGGTATTGAAAACACTCATCAAATGGCCAAATCCCTATTTACAGGGCCAAATCTTCTCCAGACCATCCAACAGGTAGTCAAAGCCTGTGAGGTGTGCCAAAGGAATATTCCCTCGGTCCATCATAAGGCCCCTTTGGGGTAACAAAGAATAGGTCACTATCCTGGTGAGGACTGGCAGTTAGACTTCACTCATATGCCTAAGTCAAAGGGATTTCAATACTTGTTGGTCTGTGTTGATACCTTTACAAATTGGTTAGAAGCTTCCCCCTGCAAGACAGAGAAGGCTCAGGAAGTGATTGAAGCCCTAATTCATGAAATAATTCCTAGATTTGGGCTTCCTCAAAGCTTACAGAGTGACAATGGTCCGGCTTTTAAAGCCACGATAACTCAGGGAATTTCCAGGGCTCTAGGGATACAATATCACCTTCATGTGCCTGGCGGCCACAATCCACATGGAAGGTTGAGCAGGCAAATGAAACACTCAAGAGGCACTTTAGGAAACTAACACAAGAAACTCATCTCCCATGGCCTACTCTTTTGCCCATGGCCTTGTTGAGAATCTGAAATTCTCCTCACAAAACAGAGCTCGGTCCATATGAAATGATGTATGGATGACCTTTTCTCAGAAATGACCTCCTACTTGATCAGGAAATAGCCAACTTGGTCAAAGATATAACTTCTTTGGCAAAATATCAACTAAACCTTAAAAACCTACCTGAAGGATGTCACAGAGAAAAGGGAACAGAGTTGTTTCAACCAGGAGATCTAGTGTTGGTCAAATCTCTCCCCTTTTCCTCCCCACCTATGGACTCTGTGGAAAGGGCCATACTCAATATTCCTCTCTATCCCCACTGCAGTTAAGGTGGCAGGAGTAGAATCTTGGATTCACCACACCTGAGTTAAATTTTGGACATCCCCTAAGGAACCTGCGGGACCATCAGTTCAGGAGTCCCAAGATCAGTCAGACCAGCCTCGATACTCCTGCAAACCATTGGAGGACTTGCATCTCCTATTTCAGAAGGAAACATCCCAGACTAAAAAGGCTCGTAACACTGATCCTGAAGAAAAACCCCTTACTCCTTAAAAAAGATAAGTGAAAACCTACATAATCTTTATCTTTAACACCTCTGCTTGCCCCTTTAATGGAATCCTTTTACTATTTCATCGTATTATTAAGCAGCATACTAACTATACTCTTTGTGATAGGACTATATACTGTAGCTCCTGCTGCGATGAAAATCCTAATCACATCAACCTTCTTTCTATCTTCCTTCCTTCTGACAGCAATTTACTCCTACCTTTAACTCAGCCTGTATAAAATGATCTCGTCTTCCAGAGTACCCTCTTTACCTTCCTATTTACTCTTTGCCTATCTACCCCTCCTGCTTCCTTGGATACTTCATACAATCACCTCTCGCCTTCCCCTAGCTCCTTATTACCTCTACAAGACTCTCAACTTAACCCACTCTCTGTTAAACCAGTCCAATCCTTCCCTGGCAAATGACTGTTGGCTTTTTATCTCTCTATCAACCTCTGCTTACGTTGCCACTCCCATTCCCACAAAAAACTGGATCTTTACCAATTTAACCTACTATCCTCGTTAGAAGGAAAAGACCCTTTCCAACTTCTAAATATGCAATCATTAGCCAACTTCCCCATCTCTGATAGGACCAAAATTACCCTAACGGGATGTGCAATCCAACTTTTACGTTCTTACATTTCCAACCTCACCTATTACAAAAGCAATGAAAAGCCCATACACGGTCCTGTAACTACGAATACCATCTTAACTTTCCAAGCCCCTTTATGCATCCAATGCAACCTGTTATCAGGCCTGCCCCTGGGGCACCTACTACCCCATCAGTGTAACTACACCCTACAACTTCAAACCCCAGCTGATCATAGTAACTTCTGAGTCACCCAAACAGCTCCATTCAGATGGCTTGTCTGCTTCTCAGGGTCCCCAAAAATCATCATCTCCTCCCTGCTTAACAAACAGTCCAGGTTTTAAAATGGCAAACATACTCCCTGCATGACCATTCACCCCTGGATCCCCTGCAGCAGCACCTCCATCATTAGTGAATGCCTTCTCATCCCCTCTTTCAATCACTCTCTCGAATGGTTCCTACTAGATACAAAACAGTTTTTTCTCCAATGGGAAAACAGAACACAGGGAGCCACTCAGTTCACTCCCAACACCCCTTTCCAGCCATTCACTGGAGCTACCTTAGCAAGTACTCTAAGGTATGGGAAAATGAAAACAACAAATTCACACACCTTTTCATCTTTTTAACATACACAACCCGTTCAAGGTATATACCAGTCAAGGTATATTCTTCTTATGTGGAACATCGACCTATATATGCCTCCCCACTAACTGGACAGGCACTTGCACCTTAGTCTTTCTAAGTGCCAACATTAACATTGCCCCAGGAAATCAGACCTTATTAGTACCCCTCAAAGCTCAAGTCCGTCAGCACAGAGCCATACAACTAATGCCCCTACTTACAGGGTTAGGAATGGCTACTGCTACAGGAACCAGAATAGCCAGTTTATCCACTTCATTATCCTATTACCACACACTCTCAAAGGATTTCTCAGACAGTTTGCAAGAAATAACGAAACCTATCCTTACTTTACAGTCCCAAACAGACTCTTTGTCAGCAGTGATGCTCCAAAACCGCTGAGGCCTAGACCTCCTCACTGCTGAGACAGGAGGACTCTGCACCTTCTTAGGGGAAGAGTGTTGTTTCTACACTAACTAGTCAGGGATAGTAAGAGATGCCACCTGGCATTTACAGGAAAAGGCTTCTGAAATCAGACAACGCCTTTCAAACTATTATACCAACCTCTGGAGTTGGGCAACATGGCTTCTCCCCTTTCTAGGTCCCGTGGCAGCCATCTTGTTATTACTCGCCTTTGGGCCCTTTATTTTTAACCTTGTTGTCAAATTTGTTTCCTCTAGAATGGAGGCCATCAAGCTACAGACGATCTTACAAATGGAACCCCAAATGAGTTCAACTAACAACTTCTACTGAGGACCCCTGGACCGACCCACTGGCCCTTCCACTGGCCTAAAGAGTTCCCCTCTGGAGGACACTACAACTGCAGGGCCGCTACTTCGCCCCTATCCAGCAGGAAGTAGCTAGAGCGGTCACTGGGCAAATTCCCAACAGCAGTTGGGGTGTCCTGTTTAGAGGGGGGATTGAGAGGTGAAGCCTGCTGGGCTTCTGCATCGGGTAGGGGACTTGGAGAACTTTTCTGGCTAGCTATGTAGGATTGTAAATGCACCAATCAGCGCTCTGTGTCTAGCTAATAAGGTAGGAGACATGGAGAACTTTTCTGTCTAGCTAAAGGATTGTAAATGCACCACAGTGTTCTGTGTCCAGCTAAAGGTTTGTAAATGTACCAATCAGTACTCTGTAAAAATGGACCAATCAGCACTCTGTAAAACGGACCAATCAGCACTCTGTAAAACGGACTAAGCAGGATGTGAGTGGGGCCAAATAAGGGAATAAAAGCAGGCCCCCGAGCCAGCAGCAGCAACCCACTTGGGTCCCCTTCCACCCTGTGGAAGCTTTGTTGTTTTGCTCTTTGCAATAAATCTTGCTGCTGCTCACTCTTTAGGTCCGCACTAACTTTATGTGCTGTAACACTCACCACGAAGGTCTGCAGCTTCACTCCTGAAGTCAGCAAAACTATGAACTCACCAGGAGGAATGAACGACTCCGGACGTGCCACCTTTAAGAGCTGTAACACTCACTGTGAAGGTCTGCAGCTTAACTCCTGAAGTCAGCAAGACTACAAACATCTGAAGGAACAAACTCTGGACACACCATCTTTAAGAACTGTAACACTCACTGCGAGGGTCCGTGGCTTCATTCTTGAAATCAGCCAGACCAAGAACCCACTGGAAGGAACCAATTCCAGACACATTACGAATATTCAGTACCCATGTGGTCCTTCTGAGCTCTTCTATCCTTTTATGTATAAACAAAACACAGATGTTCCAGTCCACTTACTTTATTTGTGTTAACATGTCTCACAAGCCACTTGCTTTGTCATCCCTCAGTACCTGTGGAAGATTGGATCTAAGAAACTCCTGCAGACACCAAAACCCAAAGATGCTCAAGTCCTAGATATAAAATGGCATAGTACTTGCATATAAGCTATGCACTTCCTCCCCTGTACTTTAAATCATCTCTAGATTAGTTATTAAATAGTTGTTATGCTATATTGTTTAGGGAATAATAACAAGGAAAAATGTCTGAACATGTTCAGTACTGATGCAGTATTTTTCCTAATATTTTCAATCCAAAGTTGATTGAACCCATGGACACATAGGGTTATTACCATATTTAGCTTCATTTATCCACTGTATTTGTTTTTCCCATGTTCTATAGCAGAGATAAGCAAACTATGACCTGCAGGCTCACTATCGGTTTTTATAAATAATGTTTTGTTTAACACACCTGTAACCTTTCATGGACATATTATCTATAGCTGCATTCCTGCTACAAAGGCTGAACTGAGTATAATAGTTGCAGCAGAGACAGTATAGCCAGCAAGTCTTGAATATTTACTCTGTGGCCCTTTAACAAAAAGATTCCCATTCCCCGTTCTACAGAAGATTTAATATTCTTGAATGAGTAAGCACACATTACTGAATCTTTGTTGAAAATCAACTAACTGTACATATGTGGATCTATTTTTAGACTATTTTGATTTATAATGTCTATTATTACGCTAATACTATATTGGTTTGACTACTATAGTTTTAAAGTAGATTATTAAACCAAGTAATGTAAATTCCCTACCTGTTTTATTTTTTTAAAAAATTGTTTTGGCCATTCTAGATCTTTTGAATTTGTATGTCAATTTTAGAATCAATTTGTCAGTGTCTCAAAATAGACAAGATTTTTATTGGTAAGGCGTTAAATCTATAGATAATTTGTGTAGAATTGTAATTTTAGCAATAGCGAGTCTTTAAACTATTTATTTAGGTCTTTATTTTTTCCCAGCACTGTTTCCTAAGTTGTCAGCATAGAGGTCCTACATATATTTTATTAAATTTGTTCCTAAGTATATTATGTTTTCTGGTGCTTTTGCAAACTGAATTTTTTTTAAAAAAATGGTTTATATTAATACAGAAATACAATTCATTTTTGTATATTGAACTTAACTCTTGTGACTGTTCTATTCATTTATTAGTTCTACCAGTTGCTGTGTAGATGGTGTTGAGAGGTGACAGCGTGCTGGCAGCCCTCGCAGCCTTCGCTCGCTCTCAGTGCCTCCTCTGCCTGGGCTCCCACTATGGCAGCACTTAAGGAGCCCTTCAGCCCACCACTGCACTGTGGGAGCCCCTTCTTGGGCTGGCCGAGGCCGGAGCCGGCTCCCTCAGCTTGTGGGGAGGTGTAGACAGAGAGGCGCAGGTGGGAACCGGGGCTGCACACGGTGCTTGCAGGCCAGCACAAGTTCCAGGTGGACATGGGCTTGGTGGGCCCACCCTCGGAGCAGCCAGCCAGCCCTGCTGGCCTCGGGCAGTGAGGGACTTAGCACCTGGGCCAGCAGCTGCTGTGCTCTACTTCTCACTGGGCCTTAGCTGTCTCCCCACGGGGCAGGGTTCGGGACCTGCAGCCCACCATGCCTGACCCTCTCCCCAACCATGGGCTCCTGTGCAGCCCGAGCCTCCCTGATGAGCACCTCCCCCTGCTCCACAGCACCCAGTCCCATCGACCACCCAAGGGCTGAGGAGTGCAGGTGCATGGTGCGGGACTGGCAGGCAGCTCCACCTGCGGCCCCAGTGCGGGATCCACTGGGTGAAGCCAGCTGGGCTCCTGAGTCTGTTGGGGACTTGGAGAACCTTTATGTCTAGCTAAGGGATTGTAAATACACCAATCGGCACTCTCTATCAATCTCAAGGTTTGTAAACACACAAATCAGCACCCTGTGTCTAGCTCAGGGTTTGTGAATGCACCAATCGACACTCTGTTTCTAGCTACTCTGGTGGGGACTTGGAGAACCTTTGTGTCGACACTCTGTATTTAGCTAATCTAGTGGGGACATGGAGAACTTTTGTGTCTAGCTCAGGGATTGTAAACGCACCAATCAGCACCCTGTCAAAACGGACCAATCAGCTCTCTGTAAAATGGACCAATCAGCAGGATGTGGGTGGGGCCAGATAAGAGAATAAAAGCAGGCTGCCCAAGCCAGCAGTGGCAACCTGCTCCGGTCCCCTTCCACACTGTGGAAGCTTTGTTCTTCAGCTCTTTGCAATAAATCTTGCTACTGCTCACTCTTTGGGTCCACACTGCATTTATGAACTGTAAAACTCACCACGAAGGTCTGCAGCTTCACTCCTGAAGCCAGCGAGACCACGAACCCACCGGGAGGAACGAACAACTCCAGACGTGCCGCCTTAAGAGCTGTAACACTCACCGCGAAGGTCTGCAGCTTCACTCCTGAGCCAGCGAGACCACGAACCCACCGGGAGGAACGAACAACTCCAGACGTGCCGCCTTAAGAGCTGTAACACTCACCGCGAGGGTCTGCAGCTTCACTCCTGAGCCAGCAAGACCACAAACCCACCAGAAGGAAGAAACTCCGAACACAACCGAACATCAGAAGGAACAAACTCTGGACAAGCCGCCTTTAAGAATGGTAACACTCACCGCGAGGGTCCGCGGCTTTATTCTAGAAGTCAGTGAGACCAAGAACCCACCAATTCCGGACACAGTGTCATTTGGATCTTCTGGATTCTTACTGATTTTGTATTTGTTCTATCAATTTCTGAGAGTTCTGTATTAAAATCCCTATCTATGTTTGTGATATTGCCTATTTCTATCTTGGCTTTGATTTTGTTTCATTTATCTTGAGTCTCTGTTTTAGGTATATATATTTATGATTATATCTTAGGTTGAATTGACCTTTTATCTAGAAATTTCTGTTTACCTCTAATAATTACTTTTTTGATGTTTTCTTTGTCTGACATTAACCTAGCTATGCCAATATTTCTTATATTTATTGTTTGCATTGTATACCTTTTTCCAGTTTTTTACTTTTTTTCTTTTTTAAAATTCTATTTATTTATTTATTTTTGAGATAGGATCCTGCTCTTTCACCCAGGCAGGAATGCAGTGGCTGGATCTCGAATCACTGTAGCCTCAGCCTCCCAGGTTCAAGTGATCCTTCTACCTCAGTCTCCTGAGTAACTAGGACTACAGGCTCACACCACAACACCTGGCTTATTTTTGTTTATTTTTTGTAGAGATGGGAGTCTCATTATGTTGCACAGGCTGGTCTCAAACTCCTGGGCTCAAGTGATCCACTCACCTTGGCCTCCTAAAGTGCTTGGATTACAGGCATGAGCCACTGCACCTAGCCACAGTTTCTTACTTTCAATTTATGCCTTTATATTTAAAGTGCATCTATTGTTGACTGAATGTAGTTGTGCTTTTTATCCAGTCTGAGAATCTCTGTCTTTTAATTAAAGCATGAAAAGCTTTGTACTATCTCAGGTTCGGTTTTCATTTGTTACTTTTTTTTTTCCCCTGAACTAGAAGGTCACATTTTCCCGTTTTTGTTTTTTTGTTTGTTTGTTTTGCATGATTAGAAAAGGTAGTATTGTATATTGGACATTGTGAATGACAAATTTTAGACACGGAATTTTGTTCCTTTCCTCTGAAGAGCTTTGAGTTTGTTGTTCTAGCATAAAGTAACTTGGTAGGACCCAAACTCCAAACTGTCTCTCCCTCCCTTGTGATGGGCAGCAGCTGAAATCTCTGCTCATCTTTTTTCAGGTTTCCAACTTGATATCCACTTAACTGTTTACAGTCTTTCTCATGCATGCCCAGTTCAAAGGCTAGTCAAGGATTTGAGGAGAGATTATATATAAAGTTGGGGGCTCTCCACACTGTGGCACTCCAGTTTATGAGATTTATGCCTATTATTTTCAAGCTGTTCTGGTAGCCCTGAACTCCGTCCTCTGACATCTCAAGCCAATAATTCTGTGGCTCTTCATTCAAGTCTAGCTGCCCTGCACTGCACCAACTTAGGAAATGTATCCGGGGAAAAGTCTGTATCAAGGTGAATCTCACTCAGGGCAGTCTCTCCTTTCAAGAATCAAGTTTTTTTCAGGTGCTGTTGTTGTTCTTACTATTATTTTCCCTGCTTTTGATTAAACTCCATGACTTCAAGTGTGTGCAGTTTTAACCAAATCCACAGTTTACAATTGTTATATGCAGGATGATTATTCTAATACAAGATCCTTGGCAATTACTAGAACCAGAATTTAATGATTTTGTAGTCCACATCAAAACCTAACAAATTTAAAGCATCATTTACCAACATGTGTTCTGGAGAACACAAGTAGTAGCATCTTCAAATGAGCAATCAACAGGGATTGTTATATAATCAAATATTTATAAAAGACACTTATCACTTCAGAGATTCCAAGGATTTTAGGAGCCCTCATTCCTCTTAAGACATGAACCAGTACTGGCCAGGGGCCCCCCTGCCATACACTATGTGTCAATGCACTCACTGTCCAAACCAGATTTGAAATGTTAACACAAGACCATGAAATCTGTGGAGGAAAATGGGAGAGTCTTATTTTCTATTTTTTAAAAAATCTATAGATGGGAAGACATAGCCTCCAATGTAAAATGAAAGTATGGTCAAAGAAGGAGAGAGGAAAAGAGGCATTTACATCTTTCAGTCTGTCTAAGGTGCATATTTAGCAGGCTTGGGGAAAGTTTGTGAATATTTACAAGGAAAGTCAAGCATATATGCAATGAGTAAACATATTTGTAATATATATTTTAGGCTCATTTTAGGGTGAAATTTTAATGTTAAAATGAGGTAAAATTTGGCTCTTTACACCAAAAGGTGAACTGAAGGGCATAAAAATGTTCTGTGGGGCACAAAAACATTCCGTGAACAGGTTCTGTAAACCTGGTGAAACTGGCTTAAGGTCTGTGGGTGTTTATCAGGAAACACAGTTCACACAGTAGGTCTATTGTCAACTCAGAGCTGCTGGTGGGAGGTGGGGAGGGGGCAGAGGGGCTGTGTAGTGAGTCCAGTTGCCAGTGACTGGTGTTAGGCAATCCAGTAGGATCGGGCAGCTGGGAAACTCCCAGCAGCTGTTTTAACAATGTTTTTTTGAGGGTTAGTTTCTGTTCAATTACAGGACAGAAGATGTTATGGCAGCTAGTAATATAGGGGTATATGCCCAACCCTTCTCCCTGATATGGCCACTTGATTCTATTTCTGGTGTGCCTCATTTTGGCCCCAAGAGTTCATTTCATCTGTCAGCTCGGGGCATATTTTAACAAAGATGGGGGGAGCTAGACCCCTCACTTCATGGGAGAAATATCAAGAAATGTATGGTCATCTTTTTTTTTTAAGAGATGGGGTCTCAGTCAGCTCCCCAGGCTAGAATGCAGTGGCTATTCACAAGCATGATGGTAGGACAATACAGCCTTGAACTCACGGGCTCAAGCAAGCCTCCTGTCTCAGCCTTCCAAGTAGCTGGGACTACAGGCACATGCCACTGCACCTGGCAATATGTTCATCTTTAATCCACCATGCCATTCTCAGGGTAAAAGGCAGTAGACATTTTACAGAGTGGTATGAAAGAAAGAAAGGAAATTCTGTTCCCTTTTTTTTTTTAAGATGACTATATATATATATATGCCTTAAGTTCTAGGGTACATGTGCACAACGTGCAGGTTTGTTACATATGTATACATGTGCCATGTTGGTGTGCTGCACCCATTAACTCATCATTACATTAGGTATATCTCCTAATGCTATCCCTCCCCCCTCCTCCCACCCCATGACAGGCCCCAGTGTGTGATGTTTCCCATACTGTGTTCAAGTGTTCTCATTGTTCAATTCCCACCTATGAGTGAGAACATGCAGTGTTTGGTTTTCTGTCCTTGTGACAGTTTGCTGAGAATGATGGTTTCCAGCTTCATCCATGTCCTTACAAAGGACATGAACTCATCATTTTTTATGGCTGCATAGAATTCCATGGTGTATATGTACCACATTTCCTTAATCCAGTCTATCATTGATGGACATTAGGGTTGGTTCCAAGTCTTTGCTATTGTGAATAGTGCCACAATAAACATACGTGTGCATGTGTCTTTATAGCAGCATGATTTATAATCCTTTGGGTATATACCCAGTAATGGGATGCCTGGGTCAAATGGTATTTCTAGTTCTAGATCCTTGAGGAATCACCACACTGTCTTCCACAATGGTTGAACTAGTTTACAGTCCCACCAACAGTGTAAAAGTGTTTCTATTTCTCCACATCCTCTCTAGCACCTGTTGTTTTCTGACTTTTTAATGATCACCATTCTAACTGGTGTGAGATGGTATCTCATTGTGGTTTTGATTTGTATTTCTCTGATGGCCAGTGATGATGAGCATTTTTTCATGTGTCTTTTGGCTGCATAAATGTCTTCTTTTGAGAAGTGTCTGTTCATATCCTTCACCCACTTTTTGATGGGGTTGTTTTTTTCTTGTAAATTTGTTTGAGTTCTTTGTAGATTCTGGATACTAGCCCTTTGTCAGATGAGTAGATTGCAAAAATTTTCTCCCATTCTGTAGGTTGCCTGTTCACTCTGATGGGAGTTTCTTTTGCCATGCAGAAGTTCTTGAGTTTAATTAGATCCCATTTGTCAATTTTGGCTTTTGTTGCCATTGCTTTTGGTGTTTTAGACATGAAGTCCTTGCCCATGCCTATGTCCTGAATGGTATTGCCTAGGTTTTCTTCTAGGGTTTTTATGGTTTTAGGTCTAACATTTAAGTCTTTAAGCCATCTTGAATTAATTTTTGTATAAGGTGTAAACAAGGGATCCAATTTTAGCTTTCTACATATGGCTAGCCAGTTTTCCCAGCACCATTTATTAAATAGGGAATCCTTTCCCCATTTCTTGTTTTTGTCAGGTTTGTCAAAGATGAGATGGTTGTAGATGTGTGGTATTAATTCTGAGGGCTCTGTTCTGTTCCATTGGTCTATATCTCTGTTTTGGTACCAGTACCATGCTGTTTTGGTTACTGTAGCCTTGTAGTATAGTTTGAAGTCAGGTAGTGTGATGCCTCCAGCAAAAACTGGAAGCATTCCCTTTGAAAACTGGCACAAGACAGGGCTGCCCTCTCTCACCACTCCTATTCAATATAGTGTTAGAAGTTATGGCCAGGGTAATCAGTCAGGAGAAAGAAATAAAGGGTATTCAGTTAGGAAAAGAGGAAGTCAAATTGTCCCTGTTTGCAGATGACATGATTGTATCTTTAGAAAACTCCATCATCTCAGCCCAAAATCTCCTTAAGCTGATAAGCAATTCAGCGAAGTCTCATGATACAAAATCAATGTGCAAACATCACAAACATTCTTACACACCAGTAACAGACAAACAGAGAGCCAAATCATGAGTGAATTCCCATTCACAATTGCTTCAAAGAGAATAAAATACCTAGGAATCCAACTTACAAGGGATGTGAAGGACCTCTTCAAGGAGAACTACAAACCACTGCTCAATGAAATAAAAGAGGACACAAACAAATAGAAGAACATTCCATGCTCATGGATAGGAAGAATCAATATCGTGAAAATGGCCGTACTGCCCAAGGTAATTTATAGATTCAATGCCATTCCCATCAAGCTACCAATGACTTTCTTCACAGAATTGGAAAAAACTAAAGTTCGTATGGAAGCAAAAAAGAGCCCGCATTGCAAAGTCAATCCTAAGCCAAAAGAACAAAGCTGGAGGCATCATGCTACCTGAATTCTGTTCCCTTTCTATTCCAGAATTAAATAGATAGGAACAATAAACTAGTAGAAATTGCTACTATTAAGACACAGTTAAGGGAATTATTAAAGATAATGCAGATTCCAAAAACTTATGAGTATATTATAAACAACTTCATGCCAAAACATTTGAAAATTTAGATGAGTATGAAAATTTTCTAGAAAGTACAAATTATAAGACTGATTTAGGCAAAAATAAAATGACCTGCGTAGTCTTATGCTATGAAAGAAATTGAATCCGAAATGAAACATCTTGCCACATGGAAAACTCCAGACCCAAATAACATCACGAATGAAGACTTCCAGTCATTCAAGGAATAAATCATTCCAATCATATCCAAGTCTTCCAGAGAATAGAAATAGAGGTTATAATCCCTATATTATTTAATGAGGCTAGCATAATCTCATATATGATATATGTGTATTAGAGAAATTGTCCTGTAATTGCTTTTTCTTATGCTGTCCTTCTTAGCATATTAATGGCCCAATTTTGTTAGTATCCTTTAAGATTTTAGTATCTTAAAATATGGCTTACATTATATATTTAATATTAACATACTATCAAACAATGATTAACATTAATCCATGTTAATGCGTGAAGCTCAGACCCTCTCAAGAAACTTAAAATACATAGGTGATTAGATTCCAGGTGATTCTTTTTCTTTTACATTTTTTGATATCACCAGGAAAAAAAGGGTTTTTTATGTGAGAGTGTATTCTGTTTTTCTCTCCTTTTCTCTTTTCCTACGAAAGATAGTTTTGTCATTGCCCATTTGGATTCTCCATTCCTACTTTCTCATGAGGATTCCTTCCTTGCTGGACCTGTTCTTTTGTGATGCAAAAGTGTAAGAATGAGAGAATGGAGAGCTTCCTTAGCTATAGAGGCTATGCTACTTACTTGCCATTGAAAGTAATGACAAAAACCACAATTACTTTTGCACCAACCTAACACATAACAAAGACCTGGGAGGGGGAGATAAGTGATCCAAAGATCTGGGTTTCTGGGAAGGTTTTGGGAGTTTCCTAAGAGTCTTCAGAGAAATAACAAGGTCAATAAGAGGTGCAGCAAACCACCATGGCACATGTGTACCTATTTGGCACGTTCTGCACATGTATCCCAGAACTTAAAGTAAAATTTAAAAAAAAGGTATTTTAGAAAGTATAGTTTGGGAATATAAATTTGATCCTCATTTTTGGTCTATAGATGCAAGTAAATATTAAAATTACTTTTTAGTGACTGTTGCAGTAGTAGCTAACCTTACAGTGCTAGTCTTTGCTAATTTATGACACCCTTCGAAGACTAATATGGAGCACTACAAGGAGCATGTCCTATTTTTACGATAACAATTTTAAAAATATGAATTTAACCAAGATATTATCTGGGGGTCCCCCGTCCTGAACTGAGCAAACTTGGCTTGATCTTGTTACCCAAAAAGAACCAAGGTTCTTTCTCCTGTTAACAAGTGACTCATCACAAGAACATGGGTTTTGATGAATAGTTTTATTAGTTGTCAAAAGTAAGGAGAGCACTGGAACTATTCTCCAAAGCAGTGTCTCTCTGAGGGGAAGTGACAGGAGGGTTTTATGGGACAATGGAGCGGGAAAGAGGGTGCATCGTTGCATAGAGAGGAGGGGTCCCACTTGCACAGGTGCATTGAGTCATCATGCCAGCACATAGGTCACATGTTATGGTAATGAAGCCACAGCTGGTCCTGGGATGGAAACTTTAGCATGGCAATGAGGAAAGTTCACTCAGGTTCATGTATAAATGGGTCTGTCAGGAACTGGTTTCAACTGACTAGGTGGACACATACCACACAGGGCTTGAAAACCGACAGCCTGTAGGATAGGATGCTATAAAGCAGGTAGATTGCTCAAGGTGGATGAATTCCTACAGTCAGCTGAAGAACCTCCGTATCTGCTTACAATCTGATTTCTAACCCATAAAAACACTTCCAAAAATTACAACAAATTCTTGAAGGGTTGATGTTCTCAGAACCACTTTTGCCATCCTGGTTGCACTGCCATGTATACAATATTACACAAAGCTTGAATCTAGATATGAAACTCATCACTCTCTTCAATGTACACATACACACGCACAGATGGCATAAAGCATTCATGAGTTTAGTAGACTTTGAAGGAGGAGATAGGAAATAGCTTCTATCTCAGCTATTCAATTTCCCAAAGAATATTAAGCCTGAACTATTTTTGAGTGCTCTTTTGCCACTTTACTATTGTAATATAATTACAGGTTTTCCCCAACTCTCCAGAATCCCTGCCTTCCTCTCCCCTTCTCTTCTCTGTCTTGTGCAGAGCAACTTTCCCTCTTCTGATAATGAAAAAAATAATAGCTAACATTTATTGAGTACTTCATGTGCTTCCGACACTGTGTTGTTTTACAAGTATTATCATATTTATTTTTCACAACAACCCTAGGAAGTAACTGTTAATATTATTGTGTTTATTACTGATGAGGAAACTAGAAGATCTAGTGATTCTTCCACATTCACACAGCTAATTAGTGGCAGAGCTGAGATTTGAACCCATACGGTCTGATTCTAGAGCCTGTCCTTTGAGCCACTATGTAATACTGCCTACCACTATAACATATGGTTTTGGCAACTGCCAAATCCTTGCCACAAAGTACAATTTGTCACAAATGAGCTTTTTACCCTGAAACTCTTCTCACTGTGAGAAGAATTCTGAGGCCAATAATTGTTAAGATAAAATGTTTTCTCATCTCACTATCTCATCTCATTACATTTAATTTTTTTTAAAACTTGAGACATAAATTTGACATGGAACAAGGTAATAATAAACATACAAATAAATAATAACAATATAACTATTTGATCACACTAAGGATATTTATATTGATAAATCAGTGCTCAGAGTCAAGGCATAATGATCTGCTTGGGAAAATCAGAGAAGACAAGGGAAAAGGGTGGGGAGCAGAGAGAATCTGAAATACCTGTATTCTAAAATAACTAAGGTCCTGGGGATACTACCTTCATTATAAAGGTAGAGTCAAGTGAATAATGCCATTTCCTACATGTACAGCTTTGGTGATCTCAATCTATTAAACGGAGATCAGAATGAAGTAGTACAGGTAGCAAACAATAATTAGCAATTAGATGAACTGGAAGGAATTCATTGTTCTCCATAAGGCTTTGTGTTAGAGACCAGCTGAGGGGAGGCAACCAATAATTTAAGATTCAAGACAGAAGACAGATCTATTGGTTATATAAACACATACTGAGGGACCTGCAAAGGAGTTCTTGAGGATATGGGCTCCTAAATATGAGCGTCACATGGACAACTGAAAGTATTTGTACCAACCAAGGTTTTCTAGTGAAAGAAAGAAAGAGAGATGGAGCTTAAGGAATTGCCTTACAGATGGGTGCAATGGCTTGCCTGTAATCCCAGCACTTTGGGAGGCCAAAGAGGGAGGATCACTTGTAGCCCAGAGTTCAAGACCAGCCTGGGCAACATAGAAAGGGAATTCGAGAACAGCCTGAGCAACATAGAAAGACCCAATCTCTATTTTAAAAAAATAAAAAGGAATTGCTTTACCTTATGTGACTGACTGGCAAGTCTGAAATTTGAAATCCATAGGGCAGGCTAGAAACCCAGCCAAGATTTCTATGTCCATCGTGAGGCAGAATTTCTTCTTCTCTGGGAAACCTCAGGTTTTGCTTTCAAGGCAACTAATTGGATGAGGCACACCCACATTATCTAGGTCAATCTACTGAAAGTCACCTGATTATAGATCTTCAGCACATCTACAAAATACTTCCATTGACTAATATCTAGACTAATGTTTGAGCAAACAATTGGGTGCCATAGCCTAGCCAAGTTGATCAATAATTGTAACCATCAAAGTATTCTTTTGAGACATTAGATTCTAGACCTGGCAACTAGGAGGAAAGATTTATGGTGCAACAAGGGGACTTGCCTCAGTGAGGAAAACCTGTGACTGAGGGAAAGGAGCCAGGCTATGTAAAAGTAGTGGACCTTTCTTTGAGAAACTAGTGAAATTGGGAGAATATATGTAATAAGTTAGAAGAACAAGGTTTTAAATGTTAGGTTAAATAAGAATTACCTGGGCAATTAGTTAAAAATCAAGATATCTGCATTTTTTATTCCATATGTCTGTTTTGAAATCTGTATTATAACAATGATCCCAGGTGATGCTGATGCAGGTCACACAAAGATGAAAATTGAGGAAAAACTGATGTTAATGACAGACATTCATCCCATAGCTAAAGAGAAAATGAGTTCCTAAACATAATAAAATCTCCATGAGGAAAAGCTTCACCAACTGAAATGATAGAGTGACCAACTAGACCTGAATTATATCATCCCACAGAACGAAGATAAGCTCCATAAAACAAAAGAAAATGATAGCCTAGATATGCCAAGCAAATTTAATTTCAGAATAGCCATTCTTGAATGTACGAATGGATTCAGAACAAGTCACAATTGAAAGCCAATTCAGGATATGGCCTGTACTCCACTTTCTATCCCTATGCCTATCATTTGTTTATGGTAATAAAATTAGAGCATATCACAGAGAAATAGAACAAAGTAACTGCAATGCTAAGTGAACAGTTTGTTCTCTGTACCCAGTTTTCCAAACTGCTGTTTATGAAAAACACAACTGCATTCTTTTTGCCAAATGAGATGCTCACCAGTTTGAATGACTTATATAGGATATATTAGAATGCAAGCATACCAAAGACAAAACTCTGATAGAAGATGAGCTTGAAATAAAATTTTAATTGAATTACTCTTGATAATAGAGAATGGAGAGTAGAATCAAACTTTCATCTTGTAAGACAAAGAACTGTTATTATCATGTGTTTGAAACTGCTCTTGTAGCCATGCAAGAAGAAAAATAAAAACCTTCCCTCTTTGAACTTAATCTAATTCATAATTGCCAGCCAAAGACCTCTAAGTAGTTTCCTATCATTTAGAATCATGAATTCCTAGACTCTTACATGTGTAAGTGGCCTTGATATTAAATCCAAATATCCAAATCCCCTACACAATATATTGAGCAAAGTTCTTTAGGCTTTCAAGTTTCTGATGATGGGAAAGTTTTACCTCAGAAGAAGTACCTCTGTACACTTAGCAACACTAATTTGAAAGTTCCTGTCTTTGATGTATTCTGTTTTTCTCTCACTTCTTTCCCACAAAAACACTCTGTATTAGTCAGGGTTCTCCAGAGAGACAGAACCAATATGATATATGTTTAAATAAATAGATAGATGATAGATAGGTAGAGGATTTATTAGGGGAATTGCCTCACACAACTATGGAGATTGAGAAGTCCCACAAGAGGCCGTCTGCAAGGTAGAGAGCCTGGGGTGCTGGGTACATGGCTCACCCCAAGTTCTAAAGCACCACAATCAGGGAAGACAAGAGTATGTTTCTCAGCCTGAGACCAAAGATCTGAGAACCCAGTGGGTGCTGGTGTAAGGCCTGAAGTCCCAATGCTGGAGTCTGGAGCTTCAATGTCCAGAGGTAGGAGGGGGAGAGTGTTTAAACTCCAGGAGAGAGAGAGAGGCAGAAAGGGAGAGGAAATTCTTTCTCATCCCATTTGTTCTGTCCAGGCCCCCAGCCAATTGGATGGTATCTGCTCACATTGAGGGCAGATTTTCCAGACTTGGTCCACTGATTCATGTGCCAATGTCCTCTGGAAACACCCTCACAGACACACCCAGAAGTAATGCTTCATCAGTTCTCTAGATATTTCTTAATGCAGTCAAGTTAAAATTAACAGCCACTTCAAATTATCACATCCTCATCCCCACTCCATCCTACCCCTTACCTCCCACAAACAAAAATAGTCACACACACATCCCTCACACCACACACACAACACACACAGTCCAACCTCTTGGGGACCTTTGAAAGCACTGACCATGGCAAGGAAGCAGACAAGCAGGGCTAGAAAACATTAATTGTTCCTCCAAGAAATAATATGGTTTCCACATGGTAATCTTTATTAAGTTTAGAATACTAATATTTTATTGAACACATGAGAAGTAAGTAATTTTCAGTTTATTGTTTTTTTCTTTGTTGAGGGACTTTTGCTATGTTGCCCAGGCTGGTCTTGAACTTCCCATCTCAGCCTCCTGAGTAGCTGGGATTAGATACTGGTGCCACTGTGTTTAGCTATAAACTCAATATTTAATCAGAAAAGAGACTAGAGCTATAATTATAATGTATAAGGCAAAGTGGCAACTGTTTTCAAGCATTTTGAGTTGTTCCATCATTCTTTATATTGAATGCATCTAAGAAAGTGGGAAGGATGAAATATAATTTGATATTAGACTGATGAGAATATAGATAAATAACAATGTGATTTCTGAATAGGCAGATCACATGACTCCTCATTACGTAAGCAGACATTTTGCAACAGAGCCTTTAATGATACTTTTCTTTAAAATGAATGCTAAGATCCTGTACATTGATAACTCCATATAAAATGTGGCATAGCAGTTAGTCAAGGTTCTTGACGCCTTCTGTGCATCTAATTAATGCCCCAATGTATCACAAAAGATGAATCAAGTTAGTTAATATTAAACCAATTATTTTGTAGCTATATTTTAAAGCTATTACCTTGTAAAAATAATTTCCTGAAAATATACACATTTTATATTTAATATAAAATTTTTCTAAATTGTTTAGGCTCTCTTTACAAACATTAATAGGAAGAATATTAATTTTTTACAATCTGAAACTACTCACGGAGTGAAATGGCACTGTTGGTAAAATGCTGTTGGTAAAACAGCATTATTTACTGGCATTTCTTTAAAAATTTACTGAAAGTTAACATAACTACATCATAGAGCTTATAATTCTATTTGCAAAGATAATAGTGAAAAGTGAATTTACTTTGTATAAAAGAAATCTTGACCTAGTCAAATAAAAGTAAAAGGAATTGGAAACTGCTTCTGCTATTTACCAGCTATGTGACAATGAAAAAATTATTTATATTCTCTAAGCCTTGGTGTCTTCATTTGTAATCAAGGTATAAGTTACTATTATTAATTATTGCCATACCATTTACAGCATTGTTGTGAAAATTATAAATATTTTACACAAAATAATGAATATAGTACTTGGTATATAGTGAGCTTCAGTAAATCATAGCTGTTGTTGTCATTGCTTCTGTTGTTTTGAGTGACCAAAAGTCCAAGAAAAAAGATTCAAACCGAAAGCAGAAAGTTTGACTAGTCCTTCTGTAGTTTTGCTATTCTTTTGATTTTTGAAATTGTAGCTATTAAAGTATCATGCTAAGAATTCTTATGCTGACAAGCCTGGGCAACAAAGTGAGATCCGGCATCTTAAAAAAAAAAAAATTGTTTAAACTAGCCAGGCTTAGTGCCTGTAGTCACAGCTACTCTGGAGGCTGAAGTGGGAGGATTCTTTGGCTATGATTTTGCCATTGCACTCCAGCCTGGGTGACATAGTGAGACCATCTAAAAAAAAAAAAAAGAAAGAAAAAAGAATTCTTATACACATTGTGAGCCTCTAGAAGAAACTTCTTAATATATAGTAAAACATTTATAAATAAATATGCAAAAAACAGAGGAAGGAATTATCACCATATGATTTAGATAAGGAAATTGGGCCTCAGAGAAGTTGCTGCTTGATCTTGATCACAGAGCTAGTACGCTGGAAAATCAGAACTTAAGGCCAGGTCTGTGAGACAATTTTCAGTGTTTAGAATAAAAAATTATGTAGAAAATTGGAGGCAAAAAAACTGTTTTCTATTAACAAAAGAGTTGTCCCATCTGAGAACGTAAACCAAGAGAATACAAGCAAAGATATTTCAAATTATTTGATTCGTCATAGATCCCAAGCGAAAAAATCACCTCTTACAATTGATATTATGTTCATAAAATAAAATCAAACGCAGGATCTGCATAAGAAAACCCCTTAAATGTTTTCATTATTAATTATTTAATTATAATAACATATTAACTTTAATTTATACTTAAATTAATATTGTTATATTTATACATCTTATGTAATATAATATCTAATTATTCTAAATATTTGCCAGGAATCATATAGCTATAACATTCACTACAGGAAAAATGTCACTTAAGTCACTCTTCATTAAAGTCACTCTTTATTAAAATATGCTCCACAGTCCATTTTCTTTATGAGTTGAATTATTATTTTGTAGTACCTAATATAAACAATTATATGACTAACAATTTATCAAAAGGAATGGTTTTCTCCGCTTAAATTCCATTTGGTCTGTCAGTGTATTGAGGAGTGTGAATAGAGCTAAGAACATGACTTAGTTGATCCACCAAAAAGGAGCTCAATAAATACTTGTTGATTATTTGACTGACCTGTCTATCAAAGCTAAAGAAAACTACTGTCAGCTTCGGAGTATTTCAACTTCAATATTTTCAGCTTGCTATATTCAAAAGCTATGCTGAAGAAAAGAGATTTCCCCATTTAATAGTGCATTTTAAATAATAAAGGACAAGGCATCAGATGGTAACAAGCAATTATGGTTATGTGAGAAGATGTCATACTTCTTGGATGCATACTAAAATATGCTCATGTGTAAGAATAAAATAACAATGTCTGGAACTTGCTGTAAGCTACTTTAGCAAATGAATACAGACCAGAAATGCATACATATTTTCACCAAAGACACACACAAGAATGTTAACGGCAGCACAATTTCTAATACCAAAGACAGGAAATAATCCAAATGTTCAACAGATTTAAAATGGATCAACGGTGGTCTATATATTCAATTGAATACTATACTACAACAGAATGAACAAACTACAGCTGAGTGAGTCTCATAAACATAATGTTGAGCGAATCAAGACAGATGCAAAATTATATACTATATAATTTAATTTATATACAATTTCCAAAACAGGTAAAACTAATCTGCTTTGATAGAGGTCATAATACTGGTTACTCCTGAAGTTGGGAATAGTGATGGAGGTATCTGGATGGAGTTAAATGGTGAGGGGGGTGTAAGGATGGAGAGAAAGCTTCTTCTCCACCCACTGAAGATCTGTTACAATTACTGACAATAGACAGATTTTAAAAAGAAAAAGGCATACAAATTTATTAACATACATATGGACATGGATTCCTGCAAAGATGAGACTCCAAGAAGGGCCAGATGGTTGAGGCTTACATACACTCTTCGTAGAGGAGACAGAAATGGAGAGTTTAGGCAATTGGGAGAGGTAGTAAATGATTTTCAGGGAAAATGAACGAGCCCAATGCTCAAACAATTTTAAGTAAGTGATTCTCTTTGGAAATTGAATGGGACCAGAGAACAGGTAATAGTTTTGGACAAAGTTTGTGTGGGCCCTGGGTGTGCTGTTTAATGCTTAGTCTCTTCCTCTGAAATATGAGTTTTATTCTTCTCCATCTAATGAAATTTCAGGGAGGGGATCGAAGGCAAATGCGTTGCTATTTGGTGGGTCCAGTTTTTAGGTAGATAAGGGAATTTCAGAGAAGGGTTTCGTCCTGTGGTTTGGGAAGGAGAAAATTGAGAGACAGAAGATCGGGGCAAGGTCATAGAGACATTGAGGCTGCCGCTTTAGTTCAGCATGTAAAAGTGCCATGTTTTTATGTATTGTTTTCTGAGCCTGTTAAATTAAGTTTAACATAAAGCTGTCTCTTTCATTTAAAGGTTTCTATAACCTAACTGCACGTGTAAACAGACTGTAACCTACTCTTGTGCCAATCACCGAGTTTCAGCCAATCAAAGGTAGCCAACTCTTCAAGCTAGGTTCAAATAAGGCAAACTCTGATCTGTAACCAATCTGACTGTTTCTGTACCTTACTTCTATTTTCTGTATGTCTCTTTCCTTTTTCTAGCCATAAATCTTCTTTGACCACACACGATAGCACCGGAATCTCTCTGAAGTGAAAACAGGTTCGGGGGGCTGCCCAATCCACGAGTCATTCTTTGTTCAATGAAGGTCTGTTAAATTTAGTTTCTCTAAGGTGTTTTTTTGTTTTTGGTTTTTTTTTTTTTCGAGACGGAATCTCGCCCTGTTGCCCAGGCTGGAGTGCAGTGGTGCGATCTCTGCTCACTGCAAGCTCCACCTCCCTGTTCTCCTGCCTCAGCCTCCCGAGTAGCTGGGACCACAGGCACCCGCCACCACGCCGGGCTAATTTTTTTTTTTTTTTTTTTAAGTAGAGATGGGGTTTCACTGTGTTAGCCAGGATGGTCTCGATCTCCTGCCTCGTGATCCATCCACCTTGGCCTCCCAAAGTGCTGGGATTACAGGCGTGAGCCTCTGTGCCCGGAGTCTGTCTAACGTTTTTAACAGTCCCAAAAGGGGCATTAGAAATCCTGGCGTTTTGCTGATGTTCTGCTTCTTGATGTAGATGCTTATACTGGTATGTTCTTATGGTATATGGGACTTTTCCTATATTTGTTATTCTTCAGAAAAAAAAAAAAAGAAAAGAAAAGTTTATGTAAAATACTTCTACCAAGTAAAATGTTGAAGCAATCTCGGGAAAGTCTCAGTAACTGTTAAAATTGAGTGATAAATATGTGAGGATTTATTTTACTCTTCTACTTTTTTGTGTTTGAAATTTTTCATATTAAAAACTTAAATATAATCTGAAAAATACTATATCATTAGGTGAGGATCTGAGAATGTAAAATTTATGAATCCTTCAGATATACAAATTTAAGAATTTAAGTTATAGGTTTATAAATATATATTACATTGACTTTTGTGAAAAATCATCAAGAGTCTGTCCCAAATGCCCTTCCCCTATACACACAACAACTTATTTTTAAATTAAATTAAGCCACACACCTCAGAGTGATTACCAGGCTAACACAAGTATAATCACATTTGATTCCAACATTTCCTTATTGAAGAGGCTGAAGAAGTTAAACCAAATTGTCAACACTGTAACAAAGGTGGACACCTTTCCTGACACCTGAATAAAATAGCTATGCCTAAGTGAGTTTTATTAATGTTTATGGTGTGTATTCTAAAAACTAATAATAAAAGATTTGGATGAGGTTGTGATGAGAAGGAAAAGGAAAAGTTTAGTGGCTTCAGAACAGTACATCTACAATTTTCAGCAAAGTAATTTCAAATTTAGACGCAGGTACAGTTGAACAAAATATTATTAGGCTACGGATTGTAAAAGGTAAAGAAAAATTTAGCCTACAAGGAACAGTACAATATTTCATTATGTTACCATGAAACCTCAAGAGTTTGCTGAACAGTACAATATTTTATTATGTTAACATGAAACCTCAAGAGTTTGCTGAATACCTACTGGGTATGCATGCCAGATACATTGTCTCTCAAATTAGGCCATTTTTATACCCATTATGAAGAATGCTCTTTCTGAGTGTGTCATTAGTTAAGCTTGCAAGATTAAAAAGGTATATGAAGAAATAATTGATTTCCCCCTCCTCTTTGTTTTATTTCTATGAATATGCTTTTTGCATTACATATAATCAGAAAACTTGATGTCTGAGGTGAGGCTGAACATTAACAGCTCTAAGTATTGGTACTTTTTTCTCCTTTTGAAACCATTTGCTAGATTATTCCTACTTTTTTTGCCTAACTGGAAAAAAAAATGTTTTACAGCAGCGAGTTACAACAGAAGTCAGTTTCTTTTCAAGCAAACTAGCACTGCTTGTTGCTTTTTTTATGTCAAAGCTCAAAAGGAAATCACATCTAGTCTCAGGATATATGAATTGTAGTTAATAAACCATTACTCTCTGTGAACATTATGATTCTGGGCTCCTACTATTACATATTCCTTAAATTAAAATTTTTTTAAATCTCTCTCCATTCAGTACAAGTAGAATAGGCTTAACAGTAAGTAATTGCTGATCATTTTTGCCAGATATTTTTATCAGAATTACATAGTAACTGTTAAAATTGGTTTGCATTTTCTTCAGGAACATTAATTTTTGGATTAAATAAAATACATGGTCTTATTTTAAATCGGGTTCATTTTATACAATACACCAATTTTTAAATGAGCTACCCTACACTTAATGTCATTAGTAAACAATGCACTTAGTCACACAGGAATACCAGGCTCATGCATTTAAAACACTTCAGCATCTTGTTATGCCAGCCAAACCCCTGCACAGTGATGTAAACTAACAATAGCTACTTACATAACTGAATGGATATAGAAAAACAGGTTTTCTAGAACAGACACTGCCTCTTACCTAGCCTCTCTAGGACAATGTCAAAATAGGAAACATTATCTTTACATGTTTAATCTATTTGGCATTTTCCTGGGAAAAGTGAGAAACTGATTGTTACCCACGTTTTTACAGAATTCCATGGAAAGTCTATTGAATGAGATTTTCCGGATGGTTCTTAGCTCTAGACCTTTATTAAGGTATGTTATATGACTTATCATAGGTCACATCTGTTATGCATGGGGCTGACTGTCTACAATGTTAACATCATCCTATTATTAATGGCCAATGATAATTAAGCATTTACAAGGCAATGTGGTAAATCCTTCACATGCTTAATCTCATTAAATATTCATAAAAGCCCTTCAGTAGATTCTACTTCTACTTCATTTCTTCGTTTTACAGAAAAAGAACCTGAGACTGAAAAAAGGATAAACAATGTGCTAACGGTAATACAACTGGAAAATAGCAAACTTGGGATTCAAACTAGGTTTAACCAACTCTAAACAGAAAATCACCCTAGTTAATTTTCTAGCTTTTAAAATACTGACTTTTTCTTTTTTATTTTGTGCCTTCTGTTTAAAAGTAGAGCACATCTCTTCAAGGAGAACTACAAACCACTGCTCAACGAAATAAAAGAGGACACAAACAAATGGAAGAACATTTCATGCTCATGGACAGAAAGAATCAATATCGTGAAAATGGCCATACTACCCTAGGTAATTTATAGATTCAATGCCATCCCCATCAAGCTACCAATGACTTTCTTCACAGAATAGGAAAAAACTACTTTAAAGTTCATATGGAATCAAAAAAGAGCCCGCATTGCCAAGATAATCCTAAGCCAAAAGAACAAAGCTGGAGGCATCATGCTACCTGACCTCGAACTATACTACAAGGCTACAGTAACCAAAACAGCATGGTACTGGTACCAAAACAGAGATATAGACCAATGGAACTCAACAGAGCCCTCAGAAGTAATACCACACATCTACAACCATCTCATCTTTGACAAACCTGACAAAAACAAGAAATGGGGAAAGGATTCCCTATTTAATAAATGGTGCTGGGAAAACTGGCTAGCCATACGTAGAAATCTAAAATTGGATGCCTTGCTTACACCTTATACAAAAATTAATTCAAGATGGCTTAAAGACTTAAATGTTAGACCTAAAACCATAAAAACCCTAGAAGAAAACCTAGGCAATACCATTCAGGACATAGGCATGAGCAAGGACCTCATGTCTAAAACACCAAAAGCAATGGCAACAAAAGCCAAAATAGACAAATGGGATCTAATTAAACTAAAGAGCTTCCACACAGCAAAAGAAACTCCCATCAGAGTGAACACGCAACTACAGAATGGGAGAAAATTTTTGCAATCTACTCATCTGACAAAGGGCTAATATCCAGAATCTACAATGAACTCAAACAAATTTACAAGAAAAAAAAAAAAACCCCATCAAAAAGTGGGTGAAGGATATGAACAGACACTTCTCAAAAGAAGACATTTATGCAGCCAAAAGACACATGAAAAAATGTTCATCATCACTGGCCATCAGAGAAATGCAAATCAAAACCACAATGAGATACCATCTCACACCAGTTAGAATGGTGATCATTAAAAAGTCAGGAAACAACAGGTGCTAGAGAGGATGTGGAGAAATAGAAACACTTTTACACTGTTGGTGGGACTGTAAACTAGTTCAACCATTGTGGAACACAGTGTGGCAATTCCTCAGGGATCTAGAACTAGAAATACCATTTGACCCAGCCGTCCCATTACTGGGTATATACCCAAAGGATTATAAATCATGCTGCTATAAAGACACATGCACATGTATGTTTATTGTGGCACTATTCACAATAGCAAAGACTTGGAACCAACCCAAATGTCCATCAATGATAGACTGGATTAAGAAAATGTGGCACATATACACCATGGAATACTATGCAGCCATAAAAAATGATGAGTTCGTGTCCTTTGTAGGGACATGGATGAAGCTGGAAACCATCATTCTCAGCAAACTGTCACAAGGACAGAAAACCAAACACCACATGTTCTCACTCACAGGTAGGAATTGAACAATGAGAACACATGGACACAGGAAGGGGAGCATCACACACTAGGGCCTGTTGTGAGGTGGGGGGAGGGGGAAGGGATAGCATTAGAGATATACCTAATGTAAATGACAAGTTAATGGGTGCGGCACACCAACATGGCACGTGTATACATATGTAACAAACCTGCACGTTGTGCACATGTACCCTAGAACTTAAAGTATAATAAAAAAAAATTGCAAAAAGTAAAATAAAAAAATAAAAGTACAGCACAAGCATTTGCTAGTAAACTGAAAGCTGCAGCACTAAATCCAACACAATTCAAGTACCTATGTAAGTTAATTGAAAGTGTCTTGTTTTCATTTGAAACAATCATCAAATTGTACTGCTTCTATAAGAGACAAAATAATAAATAAAAAATAGTAGTTACTCAAAATTTTTCTTAAATTTCCTAGTTGCTATTAATTATCATAAAGATGATAGTTCAGATTTTTAAAATAATAACACCACAGAATATACTAGGTTTGTAAATAAGAAAGGGGTTGTAAAGTTTTTGAATCACAGATACTCAATGGGATAAAAAGGTACAACATCATCTGGTCCCTCAAAACCCCCAGCTCCAATCCATGCTCCATAACATACACACACAAACACAAATACTAATCGAATGCCCTGTAAACAGCATTTGCATAAGTGAAGATTCCATCTCTGATTAATTGCTGAGGAATAACGGGAAAAGGAAACTATGTGTTAGGTGGAAGCTTATTCCATTTTGCAGGTAGTTCCAACCGCTTAAATTCATCCAAAAATAATGCTTGTCTCCCAGTCTCACTAAGTATGGCAACTCTAAATTTAAAACAAAAATGCCCAAAATAACAATTGCAACATTAATAAATAAGTTGTCTCCCTCTCATTCTATTTTTCCTTGTGAATTTTTATCTCTAAATTCTTGTCTATGATTTTAATGTAATCTTAGGAGAGTACACAGACAAATATGCTTTCAATGGGTTTATTTAAATGAAAGCTTCTCAAAATTTCTCACCTCAATAGCTGTATTAAGAAAGGCCTCTTGTGGCAGAGCTTGCAGTGAGCCAAGATTGCGCCACTGCACTCCAGACTGGGCGATAGAGCAAGATTCCACCTCAAAAAAAAAAAAAGAAAGAAAGAAAAAAAGAAAGGCGTCTTGTGATTTATCCACTCCAAAGAGATTTAACTAGAATATGTATAGTGTTTAATTTTTGCACGTGAAACATTTCACAGCTAGTTTTCCTACGAAATACTTACATTTACATATATGTATTTGTATAAAAGCATAGATTTATACACACAATTAAAACACTTTAGTGCACACTGAAAAATTATTTTGTTTTATGATGAGCAAAAGGAAAAATAACTGTTTATAATTTTTAAGTTAATAATTTAAATTATATATATCTTTTTAAAGAATTAATTTAGTTTATAGATTTATGTTATGACTCAATAAGAAAGAAATTTTCAAGTTATTTTATCTGTGTTGTAACATCAAAATAAATCAACCAATAGTAGTGACATCTAAAAGACTAATTTAGGCTGGGTACTGTGGCTCACGCCTATAATCCCAGCAGTTTGGGAGGCCATGGAGGGGTGGATCACCTGAGGTCAGGAGTTCAAGATCAGCCTGGCCAACATGGTGAAACCCTGTCTCTGCTAAATATATAAAAATTAGCCAGGCGTGGTGGTGGGTGCCTATAATCCCAGCTAGGGAAGCTGAGGCAGGAAAGTCGAATGAACCTGAGAGGCGGAGGTTGCAGTGAGCTGAGATCGCACCACTGCACTCCAGCCTGAGCAACAGAACAAAACTCCAATTCAAAAAATTAAAAGAAAATAAAAATAAATAAAAGACTGATTTGGTTCATAGGTATAAGAGTACATTTACACAGATAGATTAGGTTCTAGTATTCAATAGAACAGTAGGGAATTTATATTTAACAATAATTTATTGTATATTTCAAAATAGCTAGAAGAGAAGAATTGTAATATGTTCAACACAAAGAATAAACGTTTGAGGTGATGGATACCCCAATTACCCTAATCTAGTCATTTTACATTGTATACATGTGTTGAAATATCACATGTACCCAAAAAATACGCACAACTATTATATATAAGAAAAAATACCAACAAAACAAAGCAAAATGAAGAAATAAAATATTATAGAATTTAAAAAAAAATCAAAGATCAACTCTCCTTCCCGAAAAGCAGTTTGTTTTCTCATTTCAAAATATAGTATTATAAAAAATATTGCTTTGTCATTTACTTTTGAATATTCTTCAGGTGTGCAGATGGTGAATAACTTTGTTTCTATTTGTTTTTGAAACACACTTTATAACTAAGTTGTAGATTAATGTAAATGCTATTGCTCTGAGAGTCCATTTGCTATTTAAGAGAGGACTGATTTTCTTATCTTTGTTTATTTGAGATACTAGAGAATCTTCCCTGCATATTATTGACAGGTTAAACTTAAGAACAACCCCAATTAAATTACTTCAAAACCTGGCACCAACCAAATAGGGCTAGCAGTTTTCTATCCATTTGCTACAGAAAATTACTCCAGCAAATTTTTGTCAGAGAGAACTCTCATTTTTAAAGCAAAATTGAGTGATGCTATTAGTAGAATAAGTAGGTTAATTAAAATGTTTGTTGTAGATAAGTATTGTTAATATCTAAATTTAGATTAACACTTCAAGTTATTCCTGCTGCTAAAAGAGAGCAATATTAAAATTGATCAGAAAATTTGAGATAATATTTGAAGTTAGTGCCACTCTCATAGTAACAAATGTATTTTGAGTTATTTATTTTCAGTTTAAGCATCAATGAAAAAATAAGATATGCCCCTAGAGGAATAACTTATGTGACTCAAAGCTTTAAATATCTAATTATACATATCTAAGTAAGATAGTTTTACTTTCTAAATTGCTTTTAATTCTCCTAAATCATCAGAAATATTTTTATTAAAAACTATGGTGGGGGCAGGGCACAGTGGCTCAGATCTGTAATCCCAGAACTTTGGGAGGCTGAGGCAGGATAAAACTTGAGGCCAGGAGTTCAAGACCAGCCTGGCCAACATAGAGAAACCCCATCTTTACTAAAAAATATAAAAATTAGGCAGACATAGTGGCACACACCTGTAATCCCAGCTACTCAGGAGGCAGAGGCAGGAGACTTGCTTGAACCCGGAAGGCGGAGGCTGCAATGAGATGAGATTGCACCACTGCACTCCATTATGGCCAAAAGAGTGAGACTCCTTCTCAAAAAAAACCAAACACACAACTTTGGTGAGCAAACTTAGAAGAATGAAGCTAAAAAGAGCTAACCCGTGTCACTCAAAAATAAAGTCATAGAAAAACAAACACCATTTTAAATCTAAGATATTCCTGTGAAAAAATTCTCAGTAAATTAAAAAAATGAAAATTAACAGTTTATTTATATACTACTTTAGACTGTGATTGCTGTGATTTCTCCTTCTTCATAATATTATGTGTTCAATTTTTCTGAGTGAGGTGGCGGGATTTGTGGAGAAGAAAATGGAACAAGGACAGGGTGATTAAGAGCAGAAAGGCTAAGGATATTTTAAACGGGCCTTGAAAAGTTAATAATAAAAGAAAAGTAAGAAGCAATAATTAGAGTGAACAGGGGGAAAAAGCCAGAAAACTCTCTAAGGGGAAAGGAAAAAGGAACTAACAGCAAGTAAGAATTATCCCTGTTGAAGGTGTAGGGAGAGGGGTTTGGTAATTCTGGAAGTAGCCTATTCCCACGATGCAATATCGTAATACAACCATAAAAATGAAGAAACTAGAGCAATAAGTAAAAACATGAATAAATTTTATAAAGAATTGCATCATCTTGAGTAAAAGAACACAGTGCAAAAATACATATTGTATGGTTTTATTTCTATAAAGTTCTAAAACAAATATAACTAAATTACAGCATTGGAAATCAAGACAGTGTGCAGAGGCAGTAATGATTGGGAAGGGATATAATCCATACTGGTAGCATTTTGGCAGTGCTCTATTTTTTTGACCTGGACAGTGGTTTTATGAGTTTTGTTTTGTGTTCAGTCATTGAGCTATACATTTATACCTTGTGCACTTCTCTTTACATGTGTTACATTCAAAATGGAGCAAAACAAAAAAGTATTGATAAAAAAGGTTAAGCTCACAAAGCAATGATATACTAGTAAGACTCAAAGCCAAACCGCAAACTTCAATTATCAAATTTTTAAGGCTCACATACTAATATCAGTCTGTGAACGTGGGTAAGTGGGACTAAATGCCAGGAAAAAAAAAAGTTTAATTTAAAAAATAAACCAGTGAATTTAAAATGAAGGTCAATTTTGAGAATTTTTTACTGAGATTAAAGAAAATATGTTTTATATAAACATTAAATATGAACTACTAGCGTTGGACTCAATAGAGAAACAACAGACACATTCCCATTAATCCAGGAATAAGTAAAAGATATTCTTTACCACCATTATTGTTTAACACTCAGGCATTCATTCACCAAATATTTATTTAGAACCAACTGGTGCTAACCATCATGTTAGTCAGAGAAGACAAATCTTTGTATAAAAACAATTACCCCACATTCATAGAGACTACAGTATTAAGAAAAAACCAATAAATACATAAACAAATACTAGATGGGAAAAACAGCTATGGACGAAAAATAAAGCAGGGTAATAGAGATGGAATGAGATAAATTGGAGTAAAGGGTGTAACATCGTTATTTTATATACAGTGATCGGGAGTATCGTCTCTGTTAAGATAACATTTGGGTAGAGACTTAAAGCAAGTAAGAGAGCAAATCATGGCAACATATGGAGGGGAATCATTATTGTGAAGACATTAGCCAATGCAAACACATTATCAGAAAGAGTAAGCACTATAAAAATTGGAATGGAAAAAATAGATTATCATTATTAGTAGATACTAAAATTGTTTATCTAGAAAATGCAAGAGAATCAGCTAAAAAGCTATTTCAGACACCAGCAAGACAACCAGTATAATACTAATATACAAATAAATAGGCTTTATATATTCAAACAACAGTTTAGCAGATGTAATGAAAAAATATCCAATTTAAAATAACAATTTAAAATAATAACAAATATCAGGAATAAATATAATACAAAATATATTAGCTTGATATGAGTAAAACCTTAAAATGCCACTGATGGATACAAAACAGGAGGCAATTATGTAGAAAGACATATCATGTCCCTGGAAAGAAAAATTAAAGTTTGTAAATAGTTTAATATTCTTTAATTTTTAAATTTTAACTTTATCCCAATAAAAATAGTTAGACAATATTTTTTGAATTTCAGAAGCTGCTTCTAAATTTCATATAAAAATAATCAAAAAAGAGTAGCCAGGAAATTCTGAAAAATAAAGGTACTGAAGTAGGAGTAGAGAATGTTTCCAATTCCAGGTATTACGACATTGAAAAACTACAATAGTTAAATTAGAATGAGAGAGAGAGAGAGAGAGACATCATCAAGGTGGCAGAATACGTGGCTTCATACTTTCCCTCAACCTACAGACATATTGAATAAACAGTACACATAGATCAATTTCCTCTGTGAAATATACAGAAACTAATTGAGAGACTCCTGCACATGGGGTGACTGAGAGGACAGTGATATCAAAACAGATGGGAAAAGCTGAGTCACACTCTTGCCATAAACCCCATCCATAGCACAGTGCCATACAATTAGGAGGGAACTACTAAATTCCAACTGAAGAGGAATGAGTTTGCAAGTCACATCTCGTGCCCCAACTTTTCCAGCTGAGGCCTGAGCAACTGGTTCCTAACTCACCTGTCTCTGTGACCTAGCAGCCTAGCATTCATTAGTCCCCTCAACCAACAAAGAAAAAAGAGGTAGTTTAGAATGGATGCACGAACACTTCTTGTAGCACTTCCTCCTGGCTCAATGCAGAGCAAATAGACAATAAATTCCAGCTCCCAGCTTCTTCCTCAAAGAAATTAGACTACACATCTAATGTATTAACTTTTCTGGCTGCTGCCCAAAGTTGGTTTCTAACTAGCCTGTCTTTATCTTTAGTAGCTATAGGGAAGGCAATCGCTAATCCTCTTAAGAGTGTGAATGAGTATGTAAGCACTCTGTGGCTCATCCCCCTGGATTGCTCCAACAATAAAACAGAAGTCTTCAGCTTCTACTTAGAAAGATTTGAAATACTACCCATCTGGCCTCTCCCCACCTTAACTTTTCCAACTGCTGCCTGACAGTGTGGCTTGCAACTCATCTGTTTTAGGCCACTGACAGGACATAGCATGCTCTAGTTTCCTGGGGGTTGATAAGAACAAATATCGTGGGTTTGGGAGAGCAAAAAGCTTCAGTAAGTACTGAGCATCTCTGGTCAGGCTGAAGAGGGTCATCTCCCCTATTAGGCCAGTATGTGAAGATGCAGTGATGTGGTTTGGATATCTGTCCCCCAAAAGATCTCCTGTCAAATTGTAGTCCCCAATATTGGAGGTGGGAACTGGTGGGAGGTGGTTGCATCGTTGGGGTGGATTTCTCCTGAATGGTAAAGCACCATACCCTTGATGCTGTTCTCATGATAGTGAGTTCTCATGAAAGCAGGCTGTTTAAAAGTATGAAGCACCTCCCCCTTCAATTACTCTTGCTCCTGCTCCTGACATATGAGACACCTTGCTCTCCCTTTGCTTTCCCTCATGATTGGAAACTTCTTGAGATCTCTCCAGAAACAGAAACTGCTAATTTTTCTCTACAGTCGGTAGAACCATGAGCCAATTAAACCTCTTTTCTTTATAAATTACCCAGTCTCAGGAACTTCTTTACGGCAGTGAAAGAATGGACTAATACACTGAGAAAGGTGGCTGATTTATCTAATACCCAGAAGCCAACATGAGAGTCAAAGAAAATGAAAAAAACAAGGAAACATCCTTCAAATAAAAGTTAAAATAAATCTACAGAAACCAACTCTAATGAAATAGAGGTGTATGATTAATCTGATGGAGAATTTTTTTAAATTCTCATAAAGAGGCTTGCCAAGGCTAGGAGAGCAAGGGTTTAACACAGTGAGAATTTCAACAAAGAGACAGAAAATAATTTAAAGTACCAAACAAAAATCATACAGCTGAAGGATACAATAACCAAACTGAAAAATTCAATACAGAGGTTTCAAAAGAACATTAGATGATGCAGAAGGAAGGATCAGCAAACTAAAACACAGGTTATTGGAAATCACTGACTGACAGAAGCAAAAAGAGAAAAGAATAAAAAGGAGTGAAGATAGCTTAAGGACCTTAAAGGATACAAGAAAGCAGGCTACTGTACATAGTATGGGAGTTCCTGAAGGAGAAGACAAAGAGAAAGGGGAAAACAATTATTCAAAGAAATATTGGCTGAAAACATCCCAAACCCAGAGAAAGAAATAGACATCCAAATCCAGGAAACATAAAGAACATCAAGTCAGATGAACCTAAAATGACCCAAGCAGAGACAAATCATAATCAAATTGTCAAAAATTAAAGACAAAGAAAATTTTGAAAGCATCAAGAAAAAAATGACATGTATAGGAGAATCTTTGTAAAACTACTAGCAGAATTTTCAGCAGAAACCTTGCAGAACAGAAGGGAATAAGATGATATACTTAAGTGCTGAAAGAAAAAAAAAATCTGCCAACTAAAAATGCCATACTTAGCAAAACTCTCTTTAGAAACGAAGGAGACATAAAGATTTTTCCAGGCAAACAAAAGCTGGGGGAGTTCATCACAAGACCTGCCTTACAAGAAATGCTAAAAGATGTTCTTCAAATTAAAGTGAAAGGACACTAAGTGGCAGCATGAGATCATAGGATAGTATAAAACTCATTGGTAAAGATAAATCTATAGGCAAAATCAGAATATTATATCATCGTAATGGTGATGGAAAAACACTTTTAATAATAGCATAAAAATTAAAAAAATATTAAAAATAACTATAACTAAATTATATGAATGGATACACAATATAAATAGACGTAAATTGTGACATTAATAGTACACAATGAGCCATCAAGGTGAAGAGGCAAAAATGTACAGTTTTTATATGCAAATGATGCTGAGTTGTTAATGTCTTAAAATACACAGTAAAACCATTATATATACAAATATATATATGTATATATATTTTTGCGGGGGTGGGGGAGATGGAGCTTTGCTGTGTTGCCTAGTCTAGAGTGCAGTGGCATGATCTTGGCTCACTGCGACCTCTGCCTCCCAGGTTCAAGCAATTCTCCAACTTTAGCCTCCTGAGTAGCTGGGATCACAGGCGAGTACCACCATGCCTGGCTAATTTTTGTATTATTAGTAGAGATCGGGTTTTACCATGTTGGCCAGGCTGTACTCAAACTCCTGACCACAAGTGATCCACCCACCTTGGCCTCCCAAAGCGCTGGGATTATAGGCATGAGCCACAGCACCCGGCCTATGTAAATATTTTAATAGAGATGGGTTCTTGCTCTGTCACCCAGGCTGTAATATGGTAGCATCAATGGCATCATCATAGGTCACTGCAGCCTCAAATTCCTGGAGTCAAGCAATTATTCTTCAGCCTCCCAAGCAGCTAATAAAACAGCCACACATGATCATGATCAGCTATTTTTAAAATATATATATATATATATATCTAATATATATATATATATTTGTGTAGACAAGGTCTCACTACGTTACACTGGCTTACTTTTCTTTTCTGTAGAGATGGATGTATCAAACTCTTAGCCTCATGCACTCCTCCCACTTTGGCTTCCCAAAATGCTGAGATTACAGGTGTAAAGCACCACAGCCAGCCAAAACTATAATATATTTTGTGTAAGCATACCAAAGAAAATATCTATAAAAGTTACAGAAAAGAAAAGAGAGACACGAATCAAAGCCTATCAAGTAAGAGAAAAATAAAACAACAGCTGGGCACAGTGGCTCACACCTGTAATTCCACCACTTTGGGACACAAAGGTGGGAGGAACACTTGAAACCAGGAGTTTGAGACCAGCCTGCAAAACATGGTAATACTCTGTCTCTATAAAAATTAAAATTAAAAATTAACCAGGTGTGGTGGCACATGCCTGTTGTCCTAGCTGCCTTGGAGGCTGAGGCAAGAGAATTACTTGAGCCCAGATCTTGAAGGCTGCAGTGAGCATGATCATGCCAATGCTGCGCTCCAGCCAGGATGACAGAGTGAGACCCTGTCTCAAAAAAAAAAAAAAGGCAGAACATACACTATGACAGCAAGAGAGAAAAAGAGGGATAAAAGAATTAGAAGAAAAACAAAACAGTCAACAAATTAGTAAATCTGTCCTTATAAATAATAATTAGTTAAATGTAAATGGAATAAACTCCTGCATTAATCAAAATTCTCTAGAGAAACAGAACCTATAGGATATATAGAGAGAAAGGGAAAGAGATTTTTTATGAGGGATTGGTTCATGCAATTATGGAAGCTAAAAAATTCCATAATCTGCTGTCTGTAGACTGGAGGCTAAGGAAAGCTGGTGGTGTAATCCAGTTAAATCACAGAGACCTGAGACACAGAGAAGCCAATAGTGTAAGACCCAGTACAAGGACAAAGGCTTCAAAATCAGAAATGCTGATGGTTTAGGGCAAGAGAAGATGGATGTCTTAGCTATAGAAGAGATAAGAAATTTGCCCTTCCTCCACCTTTTGACCTATATGGGCTTTCAATAAAATGGATGATGCCCACCCATGTTTGCGAAGTCGATCTTACTCACTTCAATTTAAATGCTAATTTCTTCTGAAAACACCCACACATACACACAGAAATAATGTTTTCAAGCTACCTGGACATCCCTTGGGACAGTCAAGATGACACATCAAATGTGAGACTACATTAAGCAAACTAACATCTGCATAATAGTAAATTTCAAAGGACAGGAGAGAGAAAAATATTTAAGAAAATAATGGCTGAAAATTTCCCAAATCTGGAAAACAACACCCCCATTCAGGTATAGGAAGCTTGGATATCATCAATCAAATTCAATCCAAAGAAGAAATCTTCAAGAAAAACAATCATAATCAAATTAGCAAAAATCAAACACAAAGAGGGATTACTCAAGCAGTAGAAAAAGAAATATATCACATTCAATGACACCCAAATATGGCTTTCAGCAGGTTTCTCAGCAGAAACCCTGCAGGCCAGGAGACAGTGGGATGCTATATTCAAAGCCAAGGGGAAAAAAGAAAGAACTACTCACCAAGAATACTACACCTAGCAAAGCTAACCTTTAAACATGAAGAAGAAATAAAGAGTCTCCAAGACAAACAAAAGCTGAGGAAATTCCCCAATACCAGGCTTGTCTTACAAAAAATTACAAGGGCATTCTTTAAACTTAAAGAAATGGACACTAAAATGTAACAAGGAAACATCCGAAGATATTAAACTCATTGGTTTAAAAAAAAGGAAAAAGAAAACCTCTTTTTCTTTATAAATTACCCAGCCTCGGGTATATCTTTATCAGCGGTGTGAGAACGAACTAATACAGTAAATTGGTACTGGGTAGTGGAGTGCTGCTGTAAAGATACCCAAAAATGTGGAAGCGATTTTGGAACTGGGTAACAGGCAGAGATTGGAACAGTTTGGAGGGCTCAGAAGATTAAAATGTGGGAAAGTTTGGAACTTCCCAGAGACTTGGAGGGCTCAGAAGACAGGAAGATGTAGGAAAGTTTGGAACTTCCTAGGGTCCTGCTGAATGGCTTTGATTAATATGCATATAGTGATATGGACAATAAGATCCAGGCTGAGGTGGTCTCAGATAAAGATAAGAAACTTGTTGGGAACTGGAGTAAAGGTCACTCTTGCTATGCAAAGAGACTGGTGGCATTTTGCCCCTGCACTAGAGATCTGTGAAACTTTGAACTTGAGAATGATGATTTAGGGTATTTGGCAGAAGAAATTCCTAAGCATCAAAGCATTCAAGAGGAAGTAGAGCATAAAAGTTGTGAAAATTTGCAGCCTGACAATGCAATAGAAAATAAAAACCCATTTTCTGGGAAGAAATTCAAGCCTGCTGCAGAAATTTTCATAAGTAACAAGGAGTTGAATGTTAATCACCAAGACAATGGGGAAAATTTCTCCAGGACATGTCAGAGACCTTCATGGCAGCCCCTCCCATCATAGGCCCAGAGGCCTAGAAGGGAAAAAATGGTTTCCCGGACCAGGTCCAGGGCCCCCCTGCTATGTGCAGCCTAGGGACTTGGTGCCCTGCATCCCAGCTGCTCCAGCCATGGCTAAAAGGTGGCAAGGTACAGCTCAGGCCATGGCTTCAGAGGATGCAAGCCCCAAACCTTGGCAGCTTCAATGTGATATTGAGCCTGCAGGTGCACAGAAGTCATGAATTGAGGTTTGGGAACTTCTGGCTAGATTTCAGAGGATGGATAGAAATGCCTAGATGTCCAGGCAGAAGTTTGCTGCAGGGGTGGGGCCCTCATAGAGAACCTCTGCTAGGACAGTGCAGAAGTGAAATGTGGGGTTGGAGCTGCCACAGAGTCCCCACTGGGGCACTTCCTAGTGGAGCTGTGAGAAGAGGGCCATCATCCTCCAGACCCCAGAATGTTAGATCCATCAACATCTCGCACTGCGCACCTGGAAAAGCTGCAAACACTCAACATCAACCCATGAAAGCAGCTGGGATGGGGGATATACCATGCAAAGCCAACGGGACAGAGCTGCCCAAGGCCATAGGGGCCCACTTCTTGCATCATCGTGACCTGGACGTGAGACATGGAGTCAAAGGAGATCATTTTGGAAGTTTAAGGTTTAATAACTGCCCTACTGGATTTCAGACTTGCATGGATCCTGTAGCCCCTTTTTTGGCCAGTCTCTCCCATTTGGAATGGCTGTATTTACCTGATGCCTGCACCCCCATTGTATCTAGGAAGTAACTAACTTGCTTTTGATTTTACAGGCTCATGGGTGGAAGGGGCTTGCCTTGTCTCAGATGAGACTTTGGACTGTGGACTTTTGACTTAATGCTGAAATGAGTTAAGACTTTAGGGAACTGCAGGAAGGCATGATTGGTTTTGAAATGTGAGGACAAAAATGATTTGGGAGGAGCCAGGAGTGGAATGATATGGATTGGCCGTGTCCCCAACCAAATCTCAACTTGAACTGCAGCTCCCATAATCCCCAAGTGTCATCAGGGGGACCCAATGGGAGGTAATTAAATCATGGGGTGGGCTTTTCCTATGCTATTCTCATGGTAGTGAATAAATGTCATCAGACTTGATGGTTTTATAAAGAGCAGTTCCCTGCACATGCTCTCTTGCCTGCTGCCATGTAAGACATGCCCTGCTCCTCCTTTGCCTTCTGCAATGATTGTGAGGCCTCCCCAGCCATATGGAAATGTGAGTTCATTAAACCTCTTTTTCTTTGTAAATTACCCCATCTGTGGTATGTCTTTATTAGAAGTGTGAGAATGGACTAATACACATGCATACACAAAAACAAACAAACAAAGCAAACAAGAAACAGACCTCAAAACAATAAAGGCCATATACAACAAAACCACAACTAACAGAATACTAAATGGAAAAATAATTGAAAGTCTTTTGTCTAAGATCTGGAACAAGACAAGGATGCCCACGTTCACCACTTTTATTCAACAAAATCCTGGAAGTCCCAGCCAGAGCAGTCAGACAAGAGAAGGAAATAAAGGGCATGCAAATTGGAAAGGTATGAGTCAAATTAGCCTTGCTCACAGATGATATGATCTTATATTTAGAAAAACTTGAAGACTCTACCAAAAAACTCTTAGAATTGATCAGTGAATTTGGTAAATTTACAGGATACAAAATCAACAAAAAATCAGTAGCATTTCTATATGCTAATAGTAAAAAATTGGAAAAATAAATCAAGAAATCAATCCCTTTTATTACAAGAGCAATAGACCTAGGAATCAATTCCTAGCAAAAACCTAGGAATCAATTTAGCCAATAAAGTAAAAGATCTCTATGAGGAAAACTATAAAACACTGATGAAAGAAATTGAAGAGAACACACAAAAATTGGAAAGATATTTCATTCTCATGGATTGGAAGAATTAATATTTTTAAAATGTCCATAAAATCCAAAGAGATATACAGGTTCAACGTAATCCCTATCAAAATACCAACAACATTCTTTACAGAAATAGAAAAAAAAATCCCAAGATTTGTATGGAATCACAGAAGACTCCAAAGAACCAAAGCAATCCTGAGCAAAAAGAAGAAAGCTGCAGATATCACACTACCAAACTTCAAAATATACTCTAAAACTATAGTAGTCAAAATAGTATTGTAATAGCATAAAAACAGACACAGAGACCAATGGAACAGAAAAGGGAACCCAGAAATGAATCTACACATATACAGCCAACCCATTTTGAACAAAGGTGCCAAGACATATATTGGGTGAAGAATAGTCTCTTTAATAAATGGTGGTGGGAAAATGGGATATCTACATGCAAAAGAATGCACCTAGACCACTATCTTTTGCCGTATACAAAGCCAAATCAAAATGGATTAAAGACTTAAATGTAAGACCTGAAATTATGAAACTACCAGAAAAATTCTTTGAGGAAATGCCTCAGGACATTGTTCTGGGCATATTTTTTGTGTAAGATTTCAAAAGGACAGGCCACAGCAGCAAAAATAGACAAATGGGATTACATTAAGCTGAAAAGCTTCTGCACAGCAAAGGAAACAATCAACAGAGGGAAGACACAATTTACAGAATGGGAGAAAATATTTCCAAATTATCTGTCTGACAAGGGATTAAAAACTAGAAGATATAAGGAACTCAAACACCTCAAAAGCAAAAAACAAAAAAAATCTGACTTTAAACGGGCAAATTAGCTTAATAGACATTTCATAAAAGAAGACATAAAAAAATGGCCAACAAATATATGAAAAAGTGCTCAACATCACTAATCGTCGGAGAAATGCAACAAATATATGAAAAAATACTCAATATCACTAATAATCAGAAAAATGCAAATCAAAACCACAATGAGATATCATCTCACCCCAATTAAGGGGTTATTATCAAAAAGACAAAAAATAACAAATGCTGGTGAGAATGCAGAGAAAGGAGAATGTTAGTACGCTGTCGGTTGGAATGTAAATTAGTACAGCCATTATGGGAAACAGCATGGAGATGCCTCAAAAAAACTACAAATAGAACTATCATATGATCCAGCAATCCACTGCTGGGCATTTATCCAAAGGAAAGGAAATCAATATATCGAAGACACATCTCCACCCTCATGTTTATTGCAGCACTATTCACAATAGCCAAGATATGGAATCACCCTTGGTGTCCCACAGCAGATGAATGGATAAAGAAAATATGGTATATATACACAATGAAATACTATTCAGTCATAAAAAAGAACAAAATCCTGTCATTTATAGCAACATGAATGGAACTGGGAGACATTATGTTGAGTAAAATAAACCAGGAACAGAAAATTAAACACTGTATATTTTCATTCATATGTGAAAGCTTAAAAAAGTTTATCTTAAAGAAGTAAAAAGTAGAACAAAGGATATTAGAGGGTGGGAAGGTCAGGGAAAGGAGGGAATAGGGATAGATTTGTTAAAGGATACAAAATTCTATCCAGATACAGGAATAAGTTCTTGTTTTCTATAGCACTGTAGGATAATTATAGTTAACAATAATATAGTGTATAGTTTCAAATAACTAAAAGAAGGATATTGAATGTTCCCAATACAAATAAATCATAAATGTTCAAGATGATAGATGTAGTAATTATCTTGATCTGATCACTATACATTATATGTATTGAAACATCACTATGTACCACATAAATATGTACAAATAATATATGTCAACTTTTTTAAAGTATACTATACTAAATATAAAGAAGAAAAGATATACCTTCAATATATACAATTCTTATTTATCAATTATACTTCAATAAGATAAAAAGAATTTTTAGAGAGTATAGAATTTTGGTGTATGAACATATGTATGCATATGGGTGTGTACATATGAATATAATTCAAAAATGTATATACCAATGAAATATTAATAGACCAAAATATATATGGTAACACAACAAATGATAAAGAAAGCATTAAACATTGGGGTAGGGGGGTGGTGAAGATTGGCTTCTTTCATAAGTAGTGTGCAAATACATACCTGGACAACACAGCTTTGGATCTGTGTTGCATACTTCATACTGAAGTAAATACTAGTTGGATAAAAAAATGTATTGTGAAAACAGAAGGTCATAAAAGATCTTAAAGTGAGGAAAGCCTTTCTATGTATGATTTTTACAAAGAGGTTCGTTAAGAATATGTAAATTAACTAACAAACTCAAAATTTTCTAAATAATTATCAATAGCCTAGAACAAGTCAAAGATAAACACATTTAGAAAACATTATTACCACTCATGCTATAATCAGTTGATTTCTTTAATACAGAAAAAAAAATATTTTTTAATTTTTTAGAAAGCTAATCTCCAAAAATAGACAAAAGACATATAAGCACTTTATAGAAAAAAAATGGCCCTCAAATTCTGAAATGATTTCACTTTCCCTTGGAATGTGAGAAATGCAATTGAAAAGGAAAATGAGATACAATTCCAACAATATGATACAATTTTTTATTTACCTGGTTGGCAAATCAGGATGTTTGCTTACACACTGTATTATATTTTTCTGTTTGTCAGAAAATAAGCATTTTCATAATTTGTCAGTAGGAATGTAAATTGACATATGTTGTCAACATTTTAAAATATAAATCATTTTATTAAGCAATTCTACCTCTAGGTATTTTTCCTACAGATGTTGTCATACAAATGAAAAATGGCACATGTAAAGAGAAGTACTGAAATGTTGGTGATAGCAAAATATTAGAAAATCTTAAATGCCTGTCAGTAAGGAACCAACTATACATATATTACAGGGCATTAAGTTAGAAGTTTCTCCTGAGACATACATGAAGTTCCAAAGATAGACTGTTATACATAGAATTTACAGAGCACATTTTAAAAATAATCACTATATCAAACTTTAAAACTTCTGTTCAACAACAAAAAAAATCAACAAAGTAAAAAAAATCCCATGTAATGGGAGAAAGTATTTGCAAATCATATATCAGTTATTACATAAGTTCTTAATATCCAGAATTCATATAGAACTACAATGCAGCAATAAGAAATCAAATAACCTAATTGTAAAATGGGCAAATCGCAGCAATCAGACAAGAGAAAGAAAGAAAGGGCATCCAAACTGGAAAACAGGAAGTATAAAATAAAATTGTTGCTGTTTGCCAATGATATGATCATATACCTAGAAAACTCTAAAGACTCATCCAAAAAGCTCCTAGAGCTGATAAACAAATTCAATAAAGTCTCAGGATACAAAATCAATGTACATAAATCAGGAGTACTGCTATACACCAGCAACAACCAAGATGAGAATCAAATCAAGAACTCAATCCTTTTTACTACAGCTGCAAAAAAAAAAAAAAAAGTGAAAACACATCTGATGCTCATGGATGGGAAGAATCAACATTGTGAAGATAACCATACTGTCAAAAGCAATCTATAAATCCAATGCAATTCCCTTCAAAATACCATTATCATTCTTCACAGAACTGGAAAAAAGAATCCTAAAATTAATATGGAACCCCAAAAGAACATGCATAGACAAAGCAATAGTAAGCAAAATGAAAAATATCTGGAGGCATCACGTTACCTGACTTAAAATTATACTACAAGGTTATAGTTACCAAAACAGCAAGGTACTACTATAAAAATAGGCACATAGACCAATAAAACATAACAATGAACCCAGAAATAAACCCAAATACTTACAGCCAACTGATCTTCAACAAAGCATAACATAAATAACAAAGCAAAACATAAATTGGGGAAAGGACACCCTATTCAATAAACAGTGCTGGGAAAACTGGCAAGCCACGTGTAGGAGAATGTATCTGGATCCTCATCTCTCACCTTATACAAAAATCAACTCAAGATAGATCAAAGACTTAAATCTAAGACCTGAATCCATAAAATTTCTAGAATACTGGAAAAACTCTTCCAGACATGGGCTAAGGCAAAGAATTAATGACCAAAAACCCAAAAGTAAATGCAACAAAACCAGAAATAAATGGAGCTAATTAAACTAAAAAGCTTCTGCACAGCAAAATAATCAGGACAATAAACAGATAACAAGAAAATATTGGCAAACTATGCGTCCCGCAAAGACTAAGATTCAGAATCTGCAAGGAACTCAAATCAGCAAGAAACAATCACATCAAAAAATGGTCTAAGGGCATAAATAGACAATTAACCATAAGAAGCTATACAAGCAGCCAACAAACTTAGGAAAAAATGCTCAACATCACTAATTATCAGGGACATGCAAATCAAAACCACAATGCGGTACCACCTTACTCCTGCAAGAATGGCCATAATTTAAAAGTCAAAAAACAATAGATGCTGGCATAGATGTGATGAAAAGGGAACACTTTTACTCTGCTGGTGGGAATGTAAACCAGTACAACCACTATGGAAAACAGTATGGAGATTTCTTAAAGAACTAAAAGTACAACTACCATTCAATCCAGCAATCCCACTACTGAGTATCTACCCAAACAAAAAGAAGTCATTATATGAAACAGACACATGCAAATGCATGATTATAGCAACACAATTCACAATTGCAAAGATATGAAAACAACCTAAGTGCCCATCACCCAATGAGTGGATAAAGAAATTGTGATATATATATCACAGGGTGTGTATATATATCTATAGATATATATCTACAAAGTAATGTTTTTTGCAGCGACTTGGATGGAGCTGGAGGCCATTATTCTAAGTGAAGTAACTCAGGAATGGAAAACCAAATATTGTATGCTCTCACTTATAAGTGGGAGCTAAACTGTGAGGACACAGAGGTATAAGAATGATATAATTGTCTTTGGGGAATGTAGTGGGGGAAGCTTGGGAGGTAGTGAGACATAAAAGACTACATATTCGGTACAGTGTACACTGTATAGGTGATGGGTGCACTAAAATCTCAGAAATCACCACTAAAGAACTTACCCATGTAACCAAAAACCTCTTGTACCCCAGAAAGTATTGAAATAAAATTTAAAAATAAAAAATAAAAATGGGCAAAAGACTTAAGGAGACATTTCTCCAAAGATGATGTACAAATGGCCAATAAGAAAAGATGCTCAACATCACTAATCATAAGAGAAATGCAAATCAAACCACAATGAGGTATTTCCTCATACCCATTAGGGTGACTACAATTTAAAAACAGAAAATAACCGGTATTAGCAGAGATGTAGGGAAGGCGGAACCCTTGTACACTGTTGGTGAGATTGTAACATGGTGCAACATCTACGGAAAAAAGTATGATTCTTAAAAAACTTACAAATAGAACAACCATATGATGATCTAGCAATCCCACTTCTGGGTATGTATTCCAAAAATTTGAAAGCAAGGACTTTAAGAGGTATTTGCACAACCATGTTTATAGCAGCACTATTTACAATAGCCAAGAGGTGAAAATAACCCGTATGTCCATTGACAGTTTAATGGATAAACAGAATGTGGTATAAAGATAAAATGGAATTCTATGCAGACTTTAAAAGGCAGGAAATTCTGTTACATGGTACAATATGGATAAATCTTAAGAACATTATGCTAAGTTAAATAAGGCATCCAAAAAGGACAAATATGATTCCATTTATATGAATTATCCAAAGTAGTCAAATTCCTAGATGTCAAAAGTAAAATGGTGATTATCAGGTACTGAGGAAAGGGGACTATGGGGTTATAGTTGTTTTAAGAAGTTTCAGTTCTGAGGGACAAAAAAGTTCTAGAGATTTATATTGCAACAGTATAAACGTAAACACTACTGAACTGTACATGTAAAAATGGTTAAGATGGTAACTGTTATGATATGTGCTTTTTACACAACACAAAAATTAAAAATATAAAATCACTAACACATTTTACTTTTTGAATATTTGGTATCACTACAAGCACTTTACATGAATTGATTCATTTAAATGTTACAAATCTATGAGAACATTATGCTATTATCAGTTTTACAGAAGAGAAAACGGAATTTCAGAAAGCTTAAGTAATTTCTCTTGTAACTGGCAAAGGTGGAGTATTAGTGTATTCTCACATCGTTATAAAGAACTGCCTGAGACTGGGTGATTTATAAAGAAAAGAGGTTTAATTGACTCACAGTTCTGCATAGCTGGGAAGACCTCAGGAAACTTACAATCATGGTAAAAGGGGAAGCAAGCACATTTTCACAAGGCAGCAGGAGAGAGAGAAGGGAACAAGAGCAGGGAAAACTGCATTATAAAACCACCAGATTTTGTAAGAACTCACTCACTAACATGAGAACAACATGCAGGAAACTGCCCCCATGATCCAATCACCTCCTACCTTTGACACATGGGGATTACAATTCAAGATGAGATTTGGGTGGGGACAACAAAGTCTAACCATATCAGGCAGAATGTGAATGGGCTCGTTTATTTCTTGAATCCATGTCTCAAAATGCTAACCTATACTACCTTCTCTTTGCCTATTTGGAACCAGTTTCAAGACTAGTGAATGTCTCAGCTGGATCAAGGATATAAAAATAGCTCAGAGTATGCAAAGAGGGAGGATTTTGTGAAGCAATTTCCTTGGAGAGAAATGCTGCACTGACATAAAGGAAAAGAATGAGGAATGTTCCTTCTTGAAGCTCAAGGAAGAAACAGGTACAATGGCAAAACTTAAGGGGACTATCTTTGATTATTATGTATAGTGCTGCTATAAACATTCATGTAGAAATTTTTCTTGGCTATATCAATAGTGACAGAAAATAGAGTACAGGTTGCCTAGGCTGGGGGTGAGATAAGAAAAAAGGGGAGTGGTTGCTGATATGCTTTTTAATGGGGTGATTAAAATGTTCTAAAATTCTGATGGCTGAAAACTCTTAGAAAATACTAAAACTATTCAACCGTATTCTTTTAATAAATGAATTACCTTTTTTTGGCTTTTACCACAAATTGCTTTATAGAAGAATAAAACATTGTCGATACTATCAGCAGTACATATATGGTATGCCAATTCCTCTCTGCAATCTTGCTAGTTTGGGATGGGCACTCTTTCTTTTTTTTTTTTTATTTCCATAGCTTTTGCGGGAACAAGTGCTGTTTGGTTACATGAATAAGTTATTCAGTGCTGATCTCTGATACCTTGGTACACCCATCACTCAAGCAATGTACACTGAACACAATATATAGTTTTTTAATCCCTCACCATCTCACAAACTTCCCCCTGAGTCCCCAGAGACCATTATATACTTATTATGCCTTTGTGTATCTTAGCTCCCACTTATAAGTGAGAACATATGATGTTTGGTTATCCATTCCTGAGTTAACTTCACTTAAAATAATCGTCTCCAACTCCATCCAGGTTGATGCAAAAAACATTATTTTGTTCCTTTTTATGGCTTAGTATTCTAGGGTGTGTGTGTGTGTATCACATTTTCTTTATCCACTCATTCGGTGATGGGCACTTAGGCTGGTTCCATATATTTACAATTGCAAATTATGCTGCTATAAACGTGTGTGCATGTGTCTTTTTCATATAATGACTTCTTTTTCTCTAAGTAGATAACCAGGAGTGGGATTGCTGCATTCAATGGTAGTTGTACTTTCAGTTCTTTTAAGGAATCTCTATACTATTTTCCATAGCAGTTATACTAGTTTATGTTCCCACCAGCAGTGTAAAAGTGTTCCCTTTTCACCACATCCATGCCAATATCTATTATTATTTGATTTTTAAATTATGGCCATTCTTGCAGGAGTAAGGTGGTATTGCATTCTGGTTTTGATTTGAATTTCCCTGATAATTAGTGATGTTGAACATTTTTTCATAGGTCTGTTGGCCATTTGTATATCTTCTTATGGGAATTGTCTGTTCATGTCTTTAGACCACTTTTGATGGGATTATTCTAATTTTTCTTGCTGATTTGTTTTAGTTCCCTGTAGATTCCGGATATTAGTCTTTTGTTGAATGCATAGTTTGCAAAGATTTGCTCCCACTTTGTGGGCTGTCTGTTTACTCCACTGATTATGTATTTTGCAGTGCATATGTTTTTTAGTTTAAGTCCCATCTATTTATCTTTGTTTTTGTTGCATTTGCTTTTGGTTGCTTGGCCATGAAATCTTTGCCTAAGCCAATGCCTAGAAGAGTTTTTCCAATGTTATCTTCTATAATTTTTATGGACTCAGGTCTTAGATTTAAGTCTTTGATCCATCTTGAGTTGATTTTTGTTTAAGGTGAGAGATGAGGATCCAGTTTCATTCTTCCACATGTGACTTCCCAGCACTATTTATTGAATAGGGTGTCCTTTCCCCAATTTATGTTTTTGTATGTTTTGTTGAAGATCAGTTGGCTGTAAGTATTTGGGTTTATTTCTGGTTCTCTATTGTGTTCCGTTGTTCTATGTGCCTGTTTTTATACCGGTATCATGTTGTTTACTATAGTCTTGTAGTATATTTGAAGTCAGGTAATGTGATACCTCTAGTGGTTTTTTTTGTTTTTGTTTTTGTTTTTTTCTTACTATTGCTTTGTCTATGCATGCTCTTTTTGGGATCCATATGAATTTTAGGATTGTTATTTCTAGTTCTATGAAGAATGATGGTCATATTTTGATGGGAATTGTACTGAATTTGTAGATTGCTTTTGGCATTTTCACAATGTTAATTCTTCATTAATGCAATTTTACAATATTAATTCTATTTATGAGCATGAGATGTGTTTCCATTTATTTGTGTCATCTGTAATTTCTTTCAACAGTTATCTAGTTTTCTTTGTAGAGATCTTTCACCTTCTTGATTAGGTATATTTCTAAGTTTTTGTTTTTTGTAGCTCTCATAAAAATTGAGTTCTTTATTTGATTCTCAGTTTGGTCGCTGTTGGTGTATAGCAGTGCTCCTCATTTGTGTACATTGATTTTGTATCCTGAAACTTTAATGAATTCATTTATCCAACCTAGAAGCTTTTTCAATGAGTCTTTAGGGTTTTCTAGGTAAATTATCATATCATTGGTGAACAGTGATAGATAGATTACCAATTTGGATGCCCTTTATTTCTTTCTCTTGTCTGATTGCTCTGGCTCGGACTTCCAGTACTATGTTGACTAGAAGTGGTAAAAGTGAACATCCCTGTCTTCTTTCAATTCTCAGGGGATTGCTTTCAAATTTTCCCTGTTCAGCATAATGTTGGCTGTGGGTTTGTCATAGATGGCTTTTATTACCTTAAAGTATGTCCCTTTTATGCCAATTTTGCTGAGGGTTTTAATCAAAAAGGGATGCTGGATTTTGTTAAATGCTTTTTCAGTGTCTCGAGACGATTATATGATTTTCATTTTTAATTCTGTTTATGTGGTGTATCACATTTATGGACTTGCCCATGTTAAACCAACCCTGCATCCCTGGTATGAAACCCACTTGAACATGTGTATTATCTTTTTGATATGCTGTTTGATCCAGTTAACTAGTATTTTATTGAGTATTTTTGTATCTCTGTTAATCAGGAATATTGTTCTTTAGTTTTCATTTTGTTATATTCTTTCCAGATTTTGGTATTAGGATAATAATGGCTTCATAGAATGATTTAGGGAGAATTCCTTCTTTATCTTTTGAAATCATTTCAGTAGGGTTGATACCAATTCTTCTTTGAATGTCTAATAAAATTAAGTTGTGAATCTATCTGGTCCTGGAGTTTTTTTGTTGTTGGCAATATTTTATTACTGTTTCAACCACACTTCTTGTTATCAGTCCATTCAGAATTTCTACTTCTTCCTGGTTTAATCTAGGAGGTTTGTATATTTCCAGGAATGTATCCATCTCCTCTAGGTTTTCTAGTTTGTGTACATAAAGGTGCTCATAGTGGCCTTAAATGATCTTTTACATTTCTGTGGTATTGGCTGTAATATCTTCCATTTCTTTTCTAATTGAGCTTTGGATGTTCTATCTTCTTTTCTTAGTTAATCTTGCTAATGCTTTATCAATTTTGTTTTTCTTTTCAAAGAACAAGATTTGATTCATTTGTTTTTTGTATTTTTTTGTTTCAATTTCATTTACTTCTGCTCTTTGTTATTTCTTTTCTTCTGCTGCGTTTCATTTTGGTTTGTTCTCGTTTCTCTAGTTCCCTGAGGTGTGAGCTTCAATTGTCTATTTGTGTTCTTTCAGACTTTTTCATGCAGGCATTTAATGTTATGAACTTTCCTTTTAGCACTGTTTTTGCTGTAGCACAGAGATTTTGATAGGTTGTGTCACTATTATCATTCAGTTTAAATAATTTTTAAATTTCCAACTTGATTTCATTGTTGACCCAACATCATTCAGGAGCGATTATTTAATTTCCATGTATTTGTATAGTTTTGATGATTCTTTGATTTCCAATTTTATTCCACTGTGTTCTGAGAGAGTACTTGATATAATTTCGATTTTCTTAAAATTTGTTGAGACTTGTTTTGTAGTTTATCATATAGTCTATCTTGAAGAATGTTCCATAATTTAAAAATCAAAAAATAATAGAATGTATTTTCTGCAGTTGTTGGGTAGAATGTTCTGTAAATATCTGTTAAGTCAATTTGTTTTATAGTATAGTATAAGTCCATTGTTTTGATCTTGATGACTTGTCTAGTTCTGTCAGTGGAGTACTGAAGTCCCCCACTATTATCGTGTTGCCATCTATCTCATTTCATAGGTCCAGTGGTAAATGTTTTATAAATTTGGGAACTCCACTGTTAGGTGCATATATACTTAGGACTATGACATTTTCCTGTTGGACTACTCCTTGTATCATTATATAATGTCCCTCTTTGTCTTTTTAAACTGTTCTTACTTTAAAGTCTGTTTTGTCTGATATAAGAATAGCTACTCCTGATCACTTTTGGTTTCCATTTGAATGGAATATCTTTTTCCACCCCATTACCATAAGTTTATGTAAGCCCATGTGTGCTAGGTGACTCTCTTGAAGACTGCAGATACTTGGTTGGTAGATATTTATCCACTCTGCCACTCTATCTTTTAAGTGGAACACTTAGGCCATTTACATTCAACATCAGTATTGAGGTGTGAGGTAATGTTGTATTCATCTGGCTAGTTGTTGCCTGAATACCTTGTTTTATTTTTTCATTGTGTTATTGTTTTATACATCTTGTGAGATTTCTATTTTAAGGAGGTTCTATTTTGGTGTATTTTGAGGTTTTGTTTCAAGATTTAGAACTCCCTTTAGCATTTCTTGTCATGCTGGTTTGGTAGTGGCAAATTCTGTCAGCATTTGTTTGTCTGAAAAAGACTTTAACTCTCCTTCATTTACGAAGCTTAATGAATTTAAAAACAGAAGAATGGAGAAAAGAGGGATTGCAAACTTAAGGAAATATGAGATGGAAACAATATCATTAAAGAACTAATAATAAATTTCAAAAGCAAGGAAGAATTGAGATAGTAATAGCAAATACAGATTTTTTTTTTTAAAAAAAGGATGAAATTAAACAACCAGCAAAAAGCTCACAGAACTGGAAAACTGACAAATTCTGTGCCACACAGCAATGTATCTTAGGTTAAAAAAAAACAAAACCACACAGAGGAACAAATCAATGTATCCAAAGAGATAATTTAAAAAACAAAACTAATGAAGAAACTTTCTCTGAAACGAAGCAAAAATCTAATCTTCAGATTGAAAAGGAACATATATTCCAAGGAAACTTGACACAAACTCTCAACCCTGAGATAAGTCATTAATTGGTTTCATATCATCCCACAGTAACATTCATAACAGTAGCCACTGGAAAATATCTAAGAAATTTTGAAGGAAAAGAAATATAATGCAACATCACAAACCTTCAAGGTATACAAAATATCCATGTATATAAGATATAAAACTGCAATAGATAGAGCTTATAGATGTCTGCAAACATGCACCCTTCTCCACTAAAACCAACCAAACTAAAAATCAGATAAGTACACATTACTTGATAATGAAATCCAGCTACTTAAGAAATTCCTGAAAGGTAAGAAAATGAGGAAATGCATAAAAGGTCTTGAGTGAACATCAAATCCATTGAGAATATATTTAAATAATTATAGAACAGAATATAAATGTGTAAACCTTGGCAATATATAAATAAATATTATAAATAACAAGATCAAGAGGTGGAAGAGGGGAAAAGGAAAAGGCCAATGTCTTTTTTCTTTCAGAACAGGAAAACAATTGATGCCATAGCAATTAACATATGTAAATTTTAGAGCTATAATTTCAATATTTTAATGTTTTCAATAATCTCTTCTTAACTTTTAGAGGGATCGCTTAGAAAATACTACATTCTGTACTAAATAAAACATTTATTTGAAGTACAGAATTCCATTCCAATTCATTTCAGCTTCATTTGGCTTCTTTCTACTTCAATACTTATTTATAAAAATAGCATGTATTATATGTTAATAATGGTAAAAAAATCAGATTTGGAGTGATTTTTTTAAACCCCTTTTTACTTTTCTGCATGACTTGAACTCATTATAATGAGCAAGTGTTATATTTACAAAATCAATAGTAATTTTTGTTTTAAAAATGAACAAGAAAGATAAAATCAGAGAGACATTTTTCAACAAACTGATTGTGAGCTTAATAAAAACAGTGTTGTAATTTAATTATTTCTCAGACTTAAGATTTTTCTCTGCACTTGGATAGATCTCATCTCCAAATTCCAGATAAGCCCTTCCATTTGAAAATCCTTTGATTCTGTAAACATAATTTAGCATGCAGAATAAGTCCTAGTACTTAAATTACTGACTTGGCTGCTAAATCAGCAGCATAGATGTTATCCAGGGTTGGAGCCAGAGGAAATGATGAAGGTTTGAGACTAAAAATTATTACATGATAATAAGAATGCAAAAACCTGCTTTTACTTTTCATAAAGGCATCTTTTGATCAGTTCCTTGTGTTTATACCTGTACCCATTTCATTTGAGTTGATCACCATTTCTTCATTTGGGGTATGGAGGTCGGGTTTTTATTAATGCTTTCCTCATACACATTAAGCGTGAAAACCAATAGATACAGAACATGAACTACAGAACCACATACACTTTTTAAAAGGTATATTCATACAGGCTACTGCATAGTAATTCCCTCCTCAATCTACTTAGAATTTTCACTACATTATATGAATTCCCTAAGGTCAAAGAGCCTGACACATTTTTATTTGTATTTTGTCTTTGTGAATCCTAGAGAATAGATATTTTTACAAATACATGTTTACCATGAGAATTTGTTTCCTCACTACATAGATGTGGAAGGAAGAATAACGCTCCCACACAAGATGTCCACATTCTAACCCTCAGAATTTGTAAATTTTTATATGGCATAGGAGAATTAAGGTTGTAGATGGAATTATTGTAGTTAATCAGATCAGCTATAGATAGGGAGATTATCCTGAATTATCTGTGCAGACTCAAGGTAACCATGAGGGTCCTTATAAGTGCAAGAGGAAGGCAGGAGAGTCAGTGTCAGAGTGATGCAATATAAGAAAGATTCAACCTGCCACTTCTGGTGTTGAAGATGAAAAGGGGCCAGAAGCCAAGGAATGCGACTGCCCTCTAGAAGCTGGAAAAGGCAAGGAAACAGATTCTTCTCTATTGTTAACAGAAGACTCTTAGCCTAGTAAGACCAAATTTGAATTTCTGGCCTTCAAAACTTTGTGTTGCTGAATTGTATTGTTTTAAGCCAGAAAGTTTATGGTAGTTTGTTAGATCAGCAATAGACAATACAGTAAAGGTTAAAACGAGGCACAGTGTTCCTCCTTGGACCATGTTTCTGGATGTGCATAAATACAGGGTATCGCTTAGGAAAAACTTAAAGTTGCTGTCTTGGGCCACTTGTTCCCTGTCAACACCTTACTGCTCCTTCTGGGTAGCTTTGCTTCATAGAAACCACAGAATTCTATGGCAAGATGGCTGAATAGGAATAGTTCCAGTCTGCAGCTCCCAGCCATATCAATGCAGAAGGCAGGTGATTTCTGCAGTTCCAACTGAGGAACCCGGCTCATCTCATTGGGACTGGTTAGACAGTGAGTGTAGCCCACAGAGGGTAAGCCAAAGCAGGGTGGGGCATTGCCTCACCTGTGAAGCACAGGGGGTCAGGGAACTGGCTAGCCATGGGAAGCCATGAGGGACTGTGCCGTGAGGAATGGTGCATTCTGGCCCACATACTATACTTTCCCCATAGCCTTCACAACCCACAGACCAGGAGATTCCCTCAGGTGCCTACACCAACAGGGTACTGGGTTTCAAGGAAAAAATTGGGCGGCTGTTTGGGCAGACACTGAGCTAGCTGCAGGAGTTTTTTTTTCATACCCCAGTGGTGCCTGGAATGCCAATGACACAACCCTTCACTGCCATGCAGAGGGGGCTGAATACAGGGAACCAAGTGGTCTAGCTCAGCGGATCCCACCCCCATGGAGCCCAGCAAGCTAAGATCCACTGGCTTAAAATTCGTTTACCCAGCACAGCAGTCTAAAATTGACTGGAGATGCTGGAGCTTGATGGGGGTAAGGGTGTCCACCATTACTAAGGCTTGAGTAGGCAGTTTTCCCCTCACAGCGTAAACAAAGTCACTGGGAAGTTGAAACTGGGCTGAGCCCACCGCCGCTCTGCAAATCTGCTGTAGTCAGACTGCCTCTCTAGATTCCTCCTCTCTGGGCAGGGTATCTCTGACAGAAACGCAGCAGCCTCAGTCAGGGGCTTACAGATAAAACTCCCATCTCCCTGGGACAGAGCACCTGGGGGAACGGGCGGCTGTGGACGCAACTTTAGCAGACTTACATGTTCCTGCCTGCAGCTCTGAAGAGAGCAGCGGATCTTTCAGCAAAGCACTTGAGCTCTGCTAAGGGAGAGACTGCCCCCTCAAGTGGGTCCCTGACCCCCATGCCCCCTGACTGGGAGACACCTCCCAGCAGGGGTTGACAGACAACTCATATAGGAGAACTCTGGCTGGCATCTGGCAGGTGCCCCTCTGGGACAAAACTTCCCGAGGAAGGAACAGGCAGCAATCTTTGCTGTTCTGCAGCCTCCACTGGTGATACCCAGGCAAACGGGGTCTGAAGTGGACCTCCAGCAAACTCCAGCAGACCTACAGCAGAGGGGCGTGACTGTTAAAAGGAAAACCCACAGAAAGTGATATCATCAACATCAACGAAAAGGACGTCCACACAAAAACCCCATCCAAAGGTCACCAACATCAAAGACCAAAGGTAGATAAATTCACGAAGATGAGGAAAAACCAGTGCAAAAAGGCTGAAAATTCCAAAAACCAGACTGCCTCTTCTCCAAAGGATCACAATTTCTTGCCAGGAAGGGAACAAAACTGGATGGAGAATGAGTTTGATGAACTGACAGAAATAGGCTTCAGAAGGTGGGTAATAACAAACTCCTTTGAGCTAAAGCAGCTTGTTATAACCCAATGTAAGGAAGCTAAGCACCTTGATAAAAGGTTAGACTAATTGCTAACTAGAATAACCAGTTTAGAGAAGAACATAAATGACCTGATGGAGCTGAAAAAGAAAGCATGAGAACTTCGTGAAGCATACCCAAGTATCAATAGGCAAATCGATCAAGTGGAAGAAAGGATATCAGAGACTGTAGATTAAGTTAATGAAATAAAGCGTGAAGACAAGATTAGAGAAAAAAGAATAAAAACAATGAACAAAACCTCCAAGAAATATGGGACTATGTGAAAAGACCAAACCTGCGTTTGATTGGTGTACCTGAAAGTGATGGGGAGAATGGAACCAAGGTGGAAAACACTCTTCAGGATATTATCCAGGAGAATTTCCCCAACCCAGCAAAACAGGCCAACATTCAAATTCAGGAAATACAGAGAACACCACAAAGATACTCCTTGAGAACAGCAACCCCAAGACACATAATTGTCAGATTCACCAAGGTTGAAATGAAGGAAAAAATGTTAAGGGCAGCCAGAAAGAAAGGTCTGGTTACCCACAAAATGAAGCCCATCAGACTAACGGCGGATCTCTCTGCAGAAACCCTACAAGCCAGAAGTGAGTGGGGGCCAACATTCAACAATCTTAAAAAAATGAATTTTCAACCCAAAATTTCATATCCAGCCAAACTAATCTTCATAAGCAAAGGAGAAATAAAATCCTTTACAGACAAGCAAATGCTGAGAGATTTTGTCACCACCAGGCCTGCCTTACAAGAGCTCCTGAAGGAAGCACTAAATATGGAAAGGAAAAACCTGTTCCAGCCACTGCAAAAACGTGACAAATTGTAAAGACCATCAACACTATTAAAAAACTGCATCAACTAACAGGCAAAGTAACCAGCAAGCATCATAATGACAGGATCAAATTCACACATAACAATATTAACCTTAAATATAAATGTGCTAAATGCCCCAATTAAAACACACAGACTGGAAAATTGGATAAAGAGTCAGGACCCAATATGCTGTATTCAGGAGACCTATCTCACATGCAAAGACACACATAGGCTTAAAATAAAAGGATGGAGCAGTATTTATCAAGCAAATGGAAAGGAAATAAAAAGCAGGGGTTGCAATCCTAGTCTCTGATAAAACAGACTTTAAATTAACAAAGATCAAAAAAGACAAAGGAGGGCATTACATAATGGTAAAGAAATAAATGCAACAAGAAGAGCTAACTATCCTAAATATATATGAACCAAATACAGGAGCAACCAGATTCATAAAGCAAGTTCTTAGAGACCTACAAAGAGACTTAGACTCCCACACAATAATAGTGGGAGACTTTAACACCCTACTGTCAATATTAGACAGATCAACGAGACAGAAAATTAACAAGGATATTCAGGAGTTGAACTCAGCTCTGGACAAAGTAGACCTAATAGACATCTACAGAACTCTCCACCCCAAATAAACAGAATATACATTCTTCTCAGTACCACATAGCACTTATTCTAAAATTGACTGCATAATTGGAAGTAAAACACTCCTCAGCAAATGCCAAACAATGGAAATCATATCAAACAGTCTCTCAGACCACAGTGCAATCGAATTAGCACTCAGAATTATGAAACTCACTCAAAACTGCACAACCATGTGGAAACAGAACAACCTGCTCCTAAATGACTACTGGATAAATAAAGAAATTAAGGCAGAAATAATAAGTTCTTTGAAACCAATGACAACAAAGACAAAATGTACCGGAATCTCTGGGACACAGCTAATGCAGTGTTTAGAGGGAAATTTATAGCATTAAATTCCCAGAGGAGAAAGTGTGAAAGATCTAAAATTGACACCCTAACATCACAATTGAAAGAACTAGAAAAGCAAGAGCAAACAAATTCAAAAGCTAGCAGAAGACAAGACGTAACTAAGATCAGAGCAGAAATGGAGGAGGTAGAGACACGAAAAACCCTTCAAAAAACAAATCAATGAATCCAGGAGCTGATTTTTTGGAAAGGTTAACAAAATAGATAGACTGCTAGCCAGACTAATGAAGAAAGGAGAGATGAAACAAATAGACACAATAAAAAAAGTGATAAAGGGGATATCACCACTGATTCCACAGAAGTTCAAACTACCATCAGAGAATACTGTAAACACCTCTATGCAAATAAACTACAAAAATCTAGAAGAAATGAATAAATTCTTGGACATACACACCTTCCCAAGACTAAGCCAGGAAGAAGTCAAATCCCTGAACAGAACAATAACAAGTTCTGAAATTGAGGCAGTAATTAATAGCCTACCAACCAAAAACAGCCCAGGACCAGACGGACTCACAGCTGAATTCTATCAGAGGTACAAAGAGGAGCTGGTACCATTCCTTCTGAAACTATTCCAATCAACAGAAAAAGAGGGACTCCTCCCTAACTCATTTTATGAGGCCAGCGTCATTCTGATACCAAAGCCTGGCAGAGACACAGCAAAAAAAGAAAATTTCAGGCCAATATCCTTGATGAATATTGATGCAAAAATCCTCAAAAAATACTGGCAAACCAAATCCAGCAGCATATCAAAAAGGTTATCCACCACGATCAAGTGGGCTTCATCCCTGGGATGCAAGGCTGGTTCAACATATGAAAATCAATAAACATAATCCATCACATAAACAGAACCAACGACAAAACCACATGATTATCTCAATAGATGCAGAAAAGGTCTTCGATAAAATTCAACAACCCTTCATGCTAAAAACTCTCAATAAACTAGGTACTGATACAACGTATCTCAAAATAATAAGAGCTATTTATGACAAACCCACAGCCAATATCTTACTGAATGGGCAAAAACTGGAAGAATTCCCTTTGAAAACCGGCACAAGACAAGGATGCCCTCTCTCACCACTCCTATTCAACAAAGTATAGGAAGTTCTAGCCAGGGCAATCAGGCAAGAGAAAGAAATAAAGCGTATTCATATAGGAAGAGAGGAAGTCAAATTGTCTCTATATGCAGATGACGTGATTGTATATTTAGAAAGCCCCATCATCTCAGCCAAAAATCTCCTTAAGCTGATAAACAACTTCAGCAAATTCTCAGGACACAAAATCAATGTGCAAAAATCACAAGCATTCCTATACACCAATAACACACAAACAGAGAGCCAAATCATGAGTGAACTCCCATTCACAATTGCTACAAAGAGAATACAATACCTAGGAATAAAACTTACAAGGGATGTGATGGACCTCTTCAAGGAGAACTACAAACCACTGCTCAAGCAAATAAGAAAGGACACAAAGAAATGAAAAAACATTCCATGCTCATGGATAGGAAGAATCAATATGGTGAAAATGGCCATACTGCCCAAAATAATTTATAGATTCAATGCTATCCCCATCAAGCTACCAATGACTTTCTCCCCAGAATTAGAAAAAACTACTTTAAATTTCAAATGGAATCAAAAAAGAGCCATATAGCCATGACAATTCTAAGCAAAAAGAACAAAGCTGGAGGCATCATGCTACCTGACTTCAAGCTATACTACAAGGCTACAGTAACCAAAACAGCATGATACTGGTACCAAAACAGCTATATACACCAGTGGAACAGAACAGAGTCCTCAGAAATAACACCACACATCGACAACCAGTTGATCTTTGACAAACCTGACAAAAACCATCAATGGGGAAAGGATTCCATATTTAATAAATGGTGTCGGGAAAACTGGCTAGCCATATGCAGAAAACAAAAACTGAACTCCTTCCTTACACCTTACAGACAAATTAACTCAAGATGGATTAAAAACTTAAATGTAAGACCTAAAACCATAAAAACCCTAGAAGAAAACCTAGGCAATGCCATTCACAACATAGGCATGGGCAAAGGCTTCATGACTAAAACACCAAAAGCAATGGGAACAAAAGCCAAAATTGACAAATGAGATCTAATTAAACTAAAGAGCTTCCACACAGCAAAAGCAACTATCATCAGAGTGAACAGGCAACCTACAGAATGGGAGAAAATTTTTGCAATCTCTCCATCTGACAAAGGGCTAATATCCAGAATCTACAAGGCACTTCAACAAATTCACAAGAAAAAAACAACCCCATCAAAAAGTGGGCAAAGGATATGAACAGACACTTCTCAAAAGACATTTATGCGGCCAATAAACACATGATAAAAAGCTCATTATCGCTGGTCATTAGAGAAATGCAAATCAAAACCACAGTGAGATACCATCTCATGCCAGTTAGATGACAATCATTAAAAAGTCAGGAAACAACAGATGCTGGAGAGGATGTGGAGAAACAGGAATTCTTTTACAGTGTTGGTGAGAGTGTAAATTAGTTCAACCATTGTGGACAACAGTGTGTCAATTCCTCAAGGATCTAGAACCAGAAATACCATTTGACCCAGCAATCCCATTACTGGGTATATACCCAAAGGATTATAAATCATTCTACTAGAAAGACACATGCACACAAATGTTTATTGCAGCACTATTCACAAAAGCATAGACTTGGAACCCACCCAAATGCCTATCAATGATAGACTGGATAAAGAAAATGTGGCACATATACACCATGGAATACTATGCAGCCATAAAAAAAGGATGAGTTCATGTCCTTTGTAGGGACATGGATGAAGCTGGAAATCATCATTCTCAGCAAACTAACACAGGAACAGAAAACCAAGCAACGCATGTTCTCACTCATAAGTGGGAGTTGAACAATGAGAACACATGGACACAGGGAGGGGAACAACACACACCAGGGCCTGTCAGGGGTTGGGAGGTCAGGGGAGGGATAGCATTAGGAGAAATACCTAAATCAGATGATGGGTTGATGGGTGCAGCAAACCACCATGGCACGTGTATACCTATGTAACAAACCTGTACGTTCTGCACATGTATCCCAGAACTTAAAGTGCAATTTTAAAAAAGAAAAAAAAAGCCATAGAATTCCAAAACTGAAAAAGCCGCTGCCCTCAGGATACCTGCATTGCCCTGTCTTCCAAGGACCATGCACATGGCCATGTTTCCATCATTTCCCATCTGTTGCCATTCATTTCTGAGGCCTCAGTGGTGTGGGTGACAGCCACAATGAGACAGCCTATAGTATACAATAAAGACAGGATGTCTGAACATAGAAACCATGCAAGAGGGCAAGAGGTTCATTATCCAAAGGATAGAACATTCCAGGGAAGGTTTCAATCTTTTTTCCTGGTGAGTGGGAAGGATGTCGGGGGGAAAGGAAGAGGAGCAGACTAGATACAAACACAGCTGGCAAGTAAATCCTGTAGCAAAAAATTAGCAGATATCCAGACATATAGATGGTGGTTTAATATCAGATAAACTGAAAGGCAGTATTGAGCTGTAGGACAGGTGATGAATAATATCTGTGCATGGGGATACCAGTAGGTTAATGTACACGAATCAAATACTCATTAGCAAACCAAAAGGAGAAAAAGGCAGGAGACTGCACACCAGAAAATTATGGTCAAAGCAGAAAAACCTTTAGGCTGAGTCAATGCTAGGCTGAAAACTTCCAACATAAAGATTCATATATTGTTATTACCCAGAGATAGGTGTCATCTAAATGTAGGGTTGCAGTTAAATGCCCCATTAGGGAATGGTATAAAGCTATATAAGCAGGATCCAAGCTAGTCATTATATAATTACTGTTGTCAAAACATAATACTTCTGAGTCCCATTCTCACTGAAGCCTTTATTTATTAGATAATACTGGGTGAGAGTAAATTTATCCAGATAAACAAATTGAGGAAGCACCACTCAGTACAGAAGTAACTTCTCAACCTTCCTTGGGCTGCTCTTGGTTTTTTGTCTGTTTGTTTGAGACGGAATCTCACTGTGTCGCCCAGGCTGGAGTGCAGTGGCGCGATCTCCGCTTACTGCAAGCTCCGCCTCCTGGGTTCACGCCATTCTCTTGCCTCAGCCTCCCGAGTAGCTGGGACTACAGGGGCCCGCCACCACGCCCGGCTAATTTTTTGTATTTTTAGTAGAGATGGGGTTTCACCGTGTTAGCCAGGATGGTCTCGATCTCCTGACCTCATGATCTGCCTGCCTCCGCTTCCCAAAGTACTGGGATTACAGGCGTGAGCCACCACACCTGGCCGGACTGCTCTTGTTTTTAACCCCTGAATACCTGAAGGCTGGAGAAGATAACATAAACCCATCAGTAATAGTAGTTTACCATAGCAAGGGTTCCCATTTGAGGGGACTTTGAAAGGGGTTCTCGGACAATGAAGGGGTGGTTTGAAAAAGCTCCTTAGGGTGATTCTGTTACATGCCACCTCCTGCCAATCCTGCATCACCAGAGGGAATCCATCTACCTACCCTGATGAAATCATTGGTGTAGTTTAAAGCTAGCCTCACTGGGAATCAGAAGACCAGATTTTGAGCCCTGGCTCCACAACTAATTTGACTTAGACATTCCGGGATAATTTATGACCCATCTGGAGCAGAATCACCTATTACACTCATTTAAAAATGAAAATTATCTACCCAGGTCAAAACAACTCTGACATTGTTGCTCAGGGTCTCCATTTTCATAATCAGAGGTGAGAATTTGGCATTACAAAGATTGAAAACTTCACATTGTAAATGAGTTTAGACAAGTTATTACTACACTTCTTTGGTTTCATTACCTGAGAAATAAGAGGTTTACATTGAAAGGTATTTATAGTCCTCCCAGTTCCTCAGTGTGGGAGAGTAGTAACAGGGACTTTGGAACCAAAAGGATATAGGTTCCAATATCAACTGCACCAGTGGCTTAAATCAATAAACATTTACTATTGCTCATGGGCCTATGGGTCAGCTCTCCTGATTTGGCTGGGCTGTCTCACATGTTTAGGAATTGGCTAGCTCTAGGCTGGTTTGGTTGGCTGCAGCTAGGACAACTGGACTCTTCTCCGTATGATCTCTCATGTTTTACCAGGCTACTTTAGGACCATTTACATGGTGGTACCAGGGTACCAAGGGAGAGGAAAAGTGAAGGACTCTTGAGGCCAAGGTTCCAGACTGGCATGTCATTACCACTACAACATTCTGTTGGTCAAAGCACTTTACAAAACGAGGCCAGATTCCAGGAATGCAGATAGAGACTCCTTCTCTGGATGGGAGAAACTGCAATCTCAATTACAAAAGACGTACTCCTTTGCTGAAGCCTACAGCAGTGGTTTTCAAATCTTAGCTTGCATCAGTATAACCTGAAGGTCTTGCTATTGATAAAACATAGGTTGATGGGTCCACCTGAGTTTCTTATTCAGTAAGTCTTGGATGAAGCCCAGTAATGTGCATTTCTAACAATTTCCCAGGTGACAATGGTGCCAGCTGTGGATCACACTTTGAGAACCATTGCTCTACAATAGACTCTTCTACTGTATGTAAAAAGATTAAATTAAACTTTAACATATAAGGCTGTGTTCCATGGCTCACACCTGTAATCCCAGAACTTTGGGAGGATGAGGCAGGAGGATGAGCACTTTTGTATTTCTCTACAAAAAAATTAAAAACAATTATCCAGGTATGGTGGCATGCTACTTGGGAGGCTGAGGTGGGAGGATTAGCTGAGCCCAGGAAGTCAAAGCTATAGTGGGCTGTGATTTCACCAGTGCACTCCAGCCTGGGCAACAGAGACCCTGTCTCTTACAAAAAGAAAAAAACTAACATACATAATTTTATTTCTAGGTTAACTTTATTTCTGGCATAGCTTAACATATATTATTCATGATATATTTCTCTCCTAGTAAAATATGAAATTTTAAAAATCTAAATACTTTTTAGAGGACTTTGACTTTCCCTTTTTCCTGAAAAAAATATTCTTTTTAATATTCTACCTTAAACACATAATCAACTCTAATCAATCAGAAACCACTGAATGATTTTATTTCATCTCTCCCCATGCCTACATTCTATCCCCCTCCATGATTAATACAATTAGGCCAGTAAGGGGAAGGTATTGTTGAATCAAATGAGAAAATTGTCTTTTATATTTTGTTAAAATTAACTAGAAACAAATTAACTAGAAATAATTGAACAACTGAAAGCTACATTCATAGTCTACTTACTCATTGCATAGATGAAGTAACAGGCTCAGAGGAGTTGAGTAACTTGCACCAAAATACTAATTTTTTGTTTAATCATCTGGTTGATACATCATAAACATATATGACCTAAATCAATAGTAATCTACCTTCTACTCTGATCTTAGTTCTCCAAGTAATGAAATATCTCTGGAGATCTTTTGTAAACTCAAAGTTAATTGTGATTTCCTGGTTCTTAGAAAATACATCCGGGTTTCTATTCTTTACTAGCAAGAGAGAGAGAGAGAAGTAATTACCAGGTTCTTACCTATTTTTTAAGAACATTTCCCTGGGAAAACGGTCCTTAGTTACATTATACTGTGGAAAATGAGACTTAGATAGGCAGAGATTTACCTATTATCACACACTGGAATTAGGCCTATTTATTTTAAAGGACCAAATTTTTTCTACTGCATCAAACAAAATGATAGATAAATATCCGGATCAGCCTATGTTAACTATCCATGATTAACTCATAATTAGCTGAATTATTTTTAGACTTGCAGTTACTGGTAGCAACGCCTATAAATGGTCTAATATTCTTTACATTTTAAGTATTTCAAAGACCTTGCTATTTGCCTAACATGGTTTTATCATAAGTAATGCTTATTAATCACTTACTACATACACAGCATTATACACAAACCCCATATTTATTATCCTATTTAATATTCATGACAACTCTCTAAGATACACACTATTTTTATCTTCATTTTACAGATAAAAAACAGACTGAAATGATTAAATAACCGCTCAAATCACACAGCTAGTAAGAAGTAAGTTTGGAGCTCAAATAAAATTCAGTTTGATTCAAAGTCTTAATATCGTATCCGTGGCACTGTTCTGTCTTGCTACTTGTACATTTTTTTTTTAATCAACTAAAGTGATGGTACTACAAAAATAGCTTTGAATCAATTGAACACTGAGTCTGTTTCAGAATAAGAAATTTATGACAGAATGGAAGGGGAAAGGTGAAAAGGAAACATCTGGCTTATTCAAAGAAATTACAACTGAAAATAGCTATGAGACTGACGTGTTTAGCTAACACATGTGACCAAGTGTGTGGGCCTCCAAAGCTGTCCCTTAGGAAGATAGATGCTTATGTGAAGGATGCCTTCCTTGCTATAACACATTTTAGACATGTTTTAGATCTTATTATTTTGTGTATATACCTAGTTTTTTTGTAACAGCAATGAAAAATCCTGTATTATCCAGTTTTTAAGTGATTCCTCACTTAATTTACTTGATTTGATTCTGAACAACATTTTAGGTATTTTCCTAGATTAAATCCAACCTTCAGAGAACATACTATTGTCACATTGCTGACATTCTCCTGAATTGTGACTCACATTGTAAACATGACTCCTAAAGAGGACATTTTAAATTATGTAGAAACCACTCATGGTGGGTCGGGTCATGCCTATAATCCCAGCAGTTTGGGAGGCTGAGAATAGACGATAGATTGAGGCTGGGAGTCTGGAGTTACAGTGAGCTATGATCGCACCGTTGCACTCTAGTTTGAACAACAGAGCAAGACCTTGTATTAAAAAAAAAAATGTGTGGAGCTATGGCAGCAAACTAGGATCATCAATTAAATAAGTATTTATCGTTTTCCAAAGTGAATATTCTGAATATTTCAATATAAACATATTCAAAAATAAACACATCCCAGTATGTTTATTTGAAAACAAAAGCAACAATACATTATGAAAGGAAAGAGAAAAGGTATTTAGACAATATAAATGTTAGATTCTGTCTCTTTTAGTACAATGATGGGGCTTCCCCAAAAAGAATTGTCAGTTGTGGGACTTTAAAAAAAAAAAAAGGTCCTTACAAACCCACTCCAGGTTCAATACTTTGAGCAGATCATCCAAACCCAAAACGGTGACCTAGTCATAGGTGCATGGGTGGAGTCTCAGAAAAGTTTTTTACCTGAAATTCTTCAACATGGCTGACATTCAGAGTCATATAATCAAGGCAGATTTTATTTAAAAGCAGAAAACCACAACAATCGTGGCAGATATTTCAGTATCATAATATTCAGAACATTCAGCTAAATATGGCTTAACTAAAGAGCAGTTTATTTTTTCATATACAACAAGATGTCTAAAAGTCAACAGTCCAGGACTAATTGAGCAAGTCAAGTTTCCTATCAGAAACCCGGGTTCTTCCTATCTTCCTTCACCATCTTTCAGAGATTGGTCTTCAAGTGGTTCATAACTGCAAGATGGCTGCTCTAGCTCCAGAAATCACATATACCACATAGGAAGAAGCAGGTAGGACAAATGGGGCAAAAAGTTGTGGCAGTGGTCACTATTAGTCTTTCATCAGGAAAACAAAAGCATTTTCAGAAGGTTTCTCAGCCAATATGTATTTACATTTTTTCTTTCTTTGAGACAGAGTCTCATGCTGTCGTCCAGGCTGGGGTGCAGAGGCGTGATCTCGGGTCACTACAACCTCTGCCTCCTGGGTTCAGGTGATTCTCCTGTCTCAGCCTCCTGAGTAGTTGGGATTACAGGTATGTGCCACTGTGCCTGGTTAATTTTTGTATTTTTTAGTAGAGATGGGTTTTTGCCATGTTGGCCAGGCTGGTCTTGAACTTCCGACCTCAGGTGATCTGCTTGCCTCAGCCTCCCAAAATGCTGGGATTACAGGCGTGAGCCACGGCGCCCAGCCGTATTTACATTTAGTTTGCCATAACTATGTCAAACAGCCACTACTAGATGCAAAGAAAACTGGGAAATGAAATATTGAAATTTCCAGTCTCTAAGTTAGAGTAAGACAAGGAGGGTGGAGGTTAAGAATTCATGTTGAGTGAGGCAAATTACAATGTCTGTTTCAATAGGACTGACATTTTACTAGGCAGCATGTTTTTACACTTTGTATCATTAAATCATCACAACTGTAGGAGTTGGTCCTTGTTCTTTTAATTTTACTAAAGAAGGAAGTATGATCCAGAGTAATTAAGAGAATTGTACAAGTCACCCAGTTTATAAGCATCGGAACCAATTTCTATATGACTTTAGAAACTCCACTGTCTAACTTGGGTAAAGAAATCTTAACAGCATGCAAATAAATGCTTTCTGAAAAACTGAGTACTGAACTTGCTTTTCAAAGGTAGCATGCAAGACAATCTTTAAAATCCTTACTGGATTCTTAGACATGATCTTGTTCTTACATGCAGCAGAACTTGTTGAGAAGTTTCTAAAAGGATAGCCAAGGTTGCTTGGGATGAGCAACTGTATTCCATTAGTCACTGAAGCCCTTATATGACTCTCAACATTCACCCACTGGTAGGAGATTTATAGACAGTGAATTACTTATTTAATACCTTGCTTATATATTTTCCAGACTTGGTTTGCTTGTATTGATTACAATGTAGTTCTTGATGTATGCCAAAGAAACTCTTTTGCCCTCAATTTTTTCCTGCCATAGATAACACAGAGCCTGAAATACATCACATCTACAATCCCATTAACAAAAATAGGAAATAGAACATATTACCTTGTTCAGATATTAAACATCTTTTCCAAGTCGTACTAACTGTCATATAGGTTATTGTGAAATAGGCTAGAAACTTTTGGTAGGACAAACATTTTTGCAGGACAGTTTTCAAAAAATATATCTAAGGTGTTTTGGGGGGCTTAATAGCTTTACCTCGCAGAAAAAAATGTATTTACATTTAAGTGTATAATTCTTGCCAATTTGGTACAAGTGTGTTCCGCACTTGGCTCAAGTTCTGCTTATTAAAGCTGAATGAGTTGGTAAGTCTTAATAATCTCCAACGGTGTTAACTTTTCCTAGGTGCAATCTTATATATCACAAGGTTAATACATTTGGTGCATATACTTATGGGAGCTGTTTTTATACATCTTAAAATTTTCATTTGTTAAAAGCCCGGTTTCTAAATTTATGGTTCAATTACTTAAGTCTGTTTTTCAAAGGTCAAAGAAAATATCTTTCTTCCATTAGTTAGCATTCCCATTCCTTCCATTTTCCCTGACTAAATAAAGTTCAAGGTTAGAGGAGCAGCCAAGAACAGAGAAAAATGAACTTAGTACAGTGGCTATCTTCCAGGATGCCTACCACCATCATTGAAAAGTCCATTGTAAACAAACAAACTTACCCAGCCAGCTAATGAGCTATTTTTTCAAAAATATCCTAGTAGTTTTCAATCAAGATGATGTATTCCAAGAAAAGTATTTGGTATCTTGCCCATCTAGGTCTTAAAGAAATGGAGAACTTTAATAATAAACTTTTGTTATGATCACAATTAATAACGTACTACAAAATCAATTAACTTTCTCAACTCCCAACTATTTTATACTTATCTTTTTCATTATGCAAGTTTATTACTAAAACAATGTAAGAGGAAATGTCTGAACAGTTTTCAGATGCCCTTACAAAGAACTATTTACATAAAAACAATTATTTTGCTAATTTTATACAATTATACATCATATATAATTATCTATAATTTTTATTTTTACTCATTAAGTTATATCACTAATGACTTCTTTTAGGCAAGCTTACGTTGGTGTTACAGTTAGTAAATTAATTAATTAGTCAATTAATTTAGATTTCTCACTAATTCCCACTGGCCTTCTCTTGCCCCCTACCCTTGCCTTTATATTTAATTCTAGGAAATATGTGAACAGAAGTCTGGTACTACCTTCAAAACATACAATTGTAAAAAGGTGGGAAAAGCGGCCCAGTGCGGTGGCTCACGCCTGCAATAACAGCACTTTGGGAGGCCGAGGCCGGTGGATCACAAAGGTCAGGAGATTGAGACCATCCTGGCTAACACAGTGAAACCCCATCTCCACTAAAAATACATAAAAAATTAGCCAGGCATGGTGGCAGGCACCTATAATCTCAGCTACTCGGGAGGCTGAGTCAGGAGAATGGTGTGAACCCGGGAGGCGGAGCTTGCAGTGAGCCGAGATCGGGCCACTGCACTCCAGCCTGGGCAACAGTGAGAATCCGTCTCAAAAAAAAAAAAAAGGTGGTGGGGGGAAAGCAATTGCTTCAACAAAAAATAAAAATAAAAAATGAAGGGGAGACTTCTGAGGCCTTGCAGGTTTATGACCTGAAAGAACCACTGAGGTCAACACCATAGTGTTCCTTTACTTTGCTGAAAGCTTTCTGACAAGGTCTCTCCTTCCCATCAATTAAAAGTGGTTTTTTGTTAGAAGCAATTAAGAGCTGAAGGTTATTTTGCCTTCCCCGTGGATCAGAAGCTCTTTGAGGAGTGGCATAAAATCTTTAGTGCTATCCCACGGCGTAGAGCAGGCTGCACAACCTACACAAATTTTAACTAATTAATAAATAAATGGCTGACATAAAAATGGAGAGATGCTTCATTGCCATAAATACCCTGTTTTCTCTATGCTTCTTGCTTTCTCTTAGCTGCTATAAGACATCAATGATAAAAACATAGAAGTCTATTACACAGAGTCAGAGAAATGGTGCTCCATAAACTCTAATAAATATAAATAAATAGCATCCGCACGGTTCTAGAGAAATCGCTCAGGATGTCTGGAAGGTGCTTTGTAGCCACATGAAGAGTGTACAGCATCACAGTTAAGTTGGAAACGGGAGGCTGAGTGTAAAATAAGTGTACTTGTCCACACAGGGCAATAAAAATCATTCTGTAAGGCTTTCCTATAGAAGAAAAACCGGTGCCTGGGAACTGGGTTCTTGGGACCATTAACAAAACTGAAAGGGGGTAAAAATATCAATGGGATGGTGTCAGTGGTGTGGTAGTGAAACAAAGATCCAAGGCTCCCCTTAAAGGGGGAGAAAGGAGAGATATTTTCTTTTCTTTTTTTGCCTCCCTGGGGCAGCCTGGCCAGCACAGGCAAGACTCAGAGTGGAGTGAGAAGTGAAGAGGATGAAGGGTCGGGAGAGAAAGGGAAGAGAGAGAGGCGGGGGCTAGTCCCCAACGTGGTGACTTCGCTGCGCACCTGTGGGGCCGACGCTCTGAAGCGGGACGGGGGTGTTGGTCGGAGGGGGGTACCCAATGGCCAGGGGCAGGAGCCCTCGCCCGACTTGGGAGTCTCGGACCCTGACACTCGCTCCAGCATCCTGGCAGCCCTCCCGAGAGGGTCGGACTTTCTTTCGGTCAGGTTGCAGAGTTCTTCCCCGACTGGCTGCGCGCTGCCTCGGTGCAGAAGTTACTCCTGCAGTCTCAACCCCAGCCAGGGCCTCTCGGGCTGGTTTTATTTTGCCCTTCTCGCCGTGCAGCCCGCCCCCGACACCGTCCCGGGCACTGGGAGGAGCGCGGCTCACGTGGAGGCGGCGTCCCGCGCCTCCGGAGCAGCGCTGAGTAGGCTGCGCGTGTTGACCGGCAGTTGCAAACTATTGGCCAGTTAACGTCCCACTCGCTCCGCCACCCAACTCCACCCCGTTCTTCTCGCCCCTTCCGCCTTCGTTTTTCGATTTTAGGATCCTCTCCTTGCTTAAGTGTTTGGATAAATTCGCCGTCCGTAATCGGTTCAGTTGGAAATTACCCGATGGTTTTCGTACTTTTTTTGAACGCTGACTGCAGAAAATGGCATAGGGAGGTGGGGGAAGAGGGAGGAAAGTGTGTGTGCGTGTGTGTGTGTGTGCGCGCGAGTGACAGGGGACAGAGACGAGAGATAGGAGAGAGAGGGAGAGGAAGAGAGGGAGAGAGAGAGAGAGAGAGAGAGAGAGAGAGCGAGAGAGAGAGAGAGAGAGAGAAAGCGAGCCCAAGACCTGAGGGGAGGGCAGGGGGCTTCCCTCCCCTCTCCTGGAGGACGGACAGAATGATACATACTGTCATTAACAGTGTTGACCCACCCAGACCCCACCCTTCGGTTGCATCCATCATACAGTCATTACAAAGAGGTAGCGCTGTCACACGGCTTGCCCTGCTCCTGGGGCTCTCGGCTGGCTTAATGAGGTGCACCCAGCCGGGGCTATTGTGCAGCTCGAAAGAGGCAGGAACGAGACGGCAAGGATCCTAGCAGCTGCTCGCGGGAGCCTCGGCTGCAGCAGCCTCGCAGCAGCAGCCAACCCCAGACCTCAAGTGGATGAATGCCTCTGGAAGTGTTTTCCTGAAGGAACCCATCAGGCAGTGGAAGACTGTGGCAGGGCTAGTGAACTTAGATGGGGCTTTCCTCTCCTGCAGTTGAGCTGGCTGGAGGCAAGTGCAGTCACTCGGGTAATCGCGGGGGTGCTGGGGGCGGGGGGGGTGGTGGTGGTGGTGGTTTTAAGCCAGTCCACGGTCAAAAGGCGGCTTGGATCAATTTCCCCTCCAACCACTCAACTCTCCCCTTTACCTTTTGTTTTGTTAGTTTGGCTTTTTCCACCCCCACCCCCTCCCCGGTATGTTCTGAACCGTGCGTCTTGCTCTGGGGTTTGATTGTATATTTAAATGTAATTCTGATTGGTGAATGTTCTCTCCTTTTTGTTGTGATTACTAGAGATACTTTAGCCCTGCCTTCCCAGTTCTGCGCCCAGCACAAGCAGTTTTGAAAATTTAAGTGCAAAAAGCATGACAAAGCAATATGAGGTTGCCGTGGTAAGTGAACTTTTAAACCGAAAATTACCATTTCTTCTCGTCTGCTCGGTCTGTGGGTGGTTTGAAGGGGAATCCTCACACACAAAGGGTTGGGGGCTGGGAGGAGGGGGTCGTTAAACAACAACAAAAAGAAACCCGTACAAACCAGTAGTGCTAATTTTGTTTTTCTCTCTACTATGGTCAGTGGACAAGTTCTGTATTTATATGTTTGATACTCTTGGGATGGTAATAGGCTTGATGCATTTAAAGTGGGTGGGAGTTGGCAGTAAGCAGGGGAGAGGTGCAGGGAAGGGAGGCGAAGGGAACTACGTTATTGTCTGGTTTCAAAAGAACCTTGCAGCTCTGACTTCCTGAACTCGGCACATTAGCCGGGTCACTCCTGATCAAAATCCTGAAGAAGAAAAGAAACAATGGGGTCATCCTCAGCTACTACAACTATCTCTGTGTCCTCTCCTGCAGTTAGACCATTCTTCCTCACACTTCCTCAGGTAGCAACATTTGAAGCCATCATTCTTAGACAAATTTTAAATACTAAATGATGATGAAATAATACATTTGCAAAGTTGTGGTCTTAAAAGGTTTGAGGCTGGAGAAAGGAATTGCTTATTAACCCTCCTTCCCACTGCCCTCTCCTCTCCTCCCTCTTCCCATTCATCCCACTTTTTAAAGTGTTACAGATTCATTCATTTAAGAGTCCTTCTTCAGCATCCTTTCCTAATCCCTTTTGTTTTTAAATAGGAGGTATATTCCATGGATGGACTTCCGGGTTTTGCCCCTTTTTCTCATTCATTTTCCAAGAATAGGTATCAACACAGTATTTGTGACAATGTAAACAGTTCTAAGTTTGGTAAAAGACAGCCTTTGCTCTGGAGAATTCTACATTGTTTGGCCTGTTTTGCACTTTTAAAAAAAGGATTAATAGTGCTCAGTAGTCTTAAAAACTTTCAGTTGCCTTTTAGCTTATCCAGGGCTGTTGCCATGGAGAGAACTGGGATGCCCTAAATTGGAATGGACCTGCCCATTTTCTGATGAGGCAAGGCCATCTAAGTTTTCTCATTTGAAGGTTGGGATGGAAACAGAAATACCCACTGAAAGGAATTGTTTTGTTGAGTCCATTCTTAATTTTCATTTATATGTGTGTAGATATAATTGCATGTGCCTACATTTCTCAAGACCTATTCTGAAATAAAGATTTTTAAATTATAAACTTCCTGTGATCATAGGAAACACAGAAAATAACTTAAAAAATGATTGTATTGCAATAAAGCTTAATGTATTTTAGCGGGCATATATTTTAATAACTTATTTTTAACAACTGACTTATTTTTTGCCTATTCTACATGAAGTTACTGTAGTTCAACAGTAACTACCACAGGAAAGTGATACCTTATGCAGTCAGCTTCCAAAGTCATCAATATTGATTTTAGTCTAGCTGTTTGCAATAACCATCCTTAAAACAGTTTTCATTTGAGAGCTAAAACACCAAAATGGTTAAACTACTAATTTGTTGGTACAAGAGGAATCAATTTAGTAACATTTGTGAAAAAAGAAGAGTTTAGATTAGAATATAGTATTTTATGTCTTTGTATTAGCAAGAATTTCAGTTGAGAAATCTCCTTCTTCTACCCACTAATATCCATAGACCACAGGTAGTAAGCTAGCAATGTTCTTAACTATATAATTAATTTTAGATCATATTACTCAACTATCATAGGATTTAAATTTATAATTAATCCTGAACTATACTAACACTACCTGGGGTTTTAAAATAAACACTTTGAACTATATGTATACAGTGCTAAACAAAGAAATAATTCATTATCTACTACTGAGGTATAGATATTTATAAATAAATATATGTCCTGTATATATGTAAAATTAAATTACTTTGACATGTGGAGAAAAACAACTTTATTCAGAGTTATTTTAATCATAGTCATAATCTCAAAGAAGCCATCAGATTTACTTAGTTTTTACCTAAACACTGAAAATACTGTTTTAGTTGAAGTAATTCATTAAAAATTATTATTTAAAATAAGCTGGGTAATTGAAAATTATCTTCTAAATGATAATTAATAGTGCATGTAGTTTAACTGCCTTTAAAATATTTAAACTCTTTAATGCTATATATTTAATGCTATATATTCCTCATACTTTCCCTCACCATAATTCTGTGCCAATTTTAGGTTTGCTAAATATTCTTAATGTGCAAATTTAAAATGTAAAAGTACACTTACCAATTTTTTTCTACAAAATACAAACATTTTTATTTTCAGTATAATTGCCTTTATACCAAAATTATAAGTGTTCTATTTATGTTATTGGCACATTGGAAATACAGTGGTCATGTTCCGATATTTTTCTTGAACCTCAGTTTATTAGAATAAGTTTTACAAATAGCAGAAAGCTTATAATGTTCATAAGCACAAAATTCTTAAGTTTTGTGAACTAAGCAATACTCTCATAGAAAGTCATTGATTCCAATGACAGTGACTCACTTTAAGTGAAAAAGTATTCATGCATAAAAGAGAAAAGTGAGATGTAGGAAGTGGCGGTGGATGGCAGCCAGGTTATCTAATGGGTACATTGCAGGTTTTGTCCTTTGTACCATATCCAGGGCATGCAATGTACCTGCAAGCATAAAGGCAAAAAAGAATGGCTGAAGTGACATTAGAGTTTTAAAAATGCAAAAATAATCTTCATTTATTGTTTCTAATTGGTATTAAATGTAGTATGTATCCTATGTCAAATATACAATCTAAAATCTCAAAGAAGTTAACTTTTAATAGTTAACATGTATTGTCTACCTGCTATGACTCAGTCATGGATTTAATCATATATGTAAGTGCCTTATATGCAGTATCTCAGTTAATCTTCAAAACACTTTAGGTGGTAGCTTTTATTTCACCTAGAAACTGAGTACCTAAGGCAAGACAGCTTATGAACCATAAAGTGAGGATGTGAATCAAAAATCTATCTGACTCCAAAATTGGATCCAAAATCAAACAAAATGACAATCAAATAATAGAAAGATACTAGATTTTAAAAGGCCTTCATATAAAGCTCATGTAATTGCCACATATTCTGAGGGTAGGGATTGCCTGTCAATCTTGGCACTTTTGCAATACAACATTTTTGAAGAAAAAAGTTTCACTGAAATATTTTTAACTGTACCCACATTGGGTTTGGATACATTAGCCTGGTTTGTCTGGTTATTTCTCTTTTGGGATATTAATTATGGAGAATTTATTATATTCTCAATTCTGTTCCAAAAACAAAAGGAGAGAAAAATTAACTCAGTTATAGTGACAAAAGTATTTTAAAATAAATAGCAAAAATACCTACTAAATAAGAGGAAGACCTAACTGTACCCAATTTTCCTTAAAAGGGAACTTAAATAAGCAGAGTGATTTTAAAAATCTTAATGACTAAAATGGGATTTAATTTTTCATTTTCAAGACTTTTAAAATTTTGATTACACTTACATTTGGTAATGTCATAAAATGTTATATGATTTTTATAGGTAGCAAATCATTTGATTTTTTTACGATAATATGTATTTTCTAAGCTAGAGTTTACTTTGATATACTTAATCAATTAACTTCTAATCACAGTGATTAAGGGGGATTTTTTAAACTGCCCTCATTTTGTGAACTAAAGAAACCTGTAAGTGATATAGAAAATTAAAAGTTTTAAATAGGGCCCTACTATATGATTCCTTTTGAAGTATTAAAGATGATAGACTCTCTAATAAATGCAGAGAAAACATCCTTTCCCATCAAAATGCTCTAATTTTGATCTTTTTTGTTTATAAAATCTTTGGACTTGAGAGATTGGGACATAAATATTGCCTATTCTTGGGTTTATTAGCTTAGATGTGGAGTAGAGATGTTAAGATTTTATCAAGGTAATTCATTCAAGCCTCTTTAAGTAACAATGAAAAAATGTTTAAGGACATCATTGACATTCAACAGAAAACTGCTCAATATTTCACTTTTCACCTGAGAAGAAATGATAGCACTCAGAATAACTCTATCTGCACTTTATGCAATAAATGGTCTCCTGAGTTGTTTTGTGTAAATCTTTTTTTTAAAAAATTGCCTTACTTTTTTTTTAAATGCAGAGAGCTCACACATTAAAATAGTATTTGAATTAATGATCTTGTTAAGTGAATAACTTAAAAAAATTGATACATCCATTTTGTAAGTTTCAATTTTTTATAAAGTGAAACCATCGAAATTAATCATGTTTAAACCTCATTACTATGAGAGTACTAGTAGATTTTTTTTTTAAGTCAGATAATTTTGGAATTTTAAGAACCAGGTTATTAAGGGGAGAATTATGAGGCTTGAGCATTTCAACCCACAGTATTCTAGCATTCAACCACTCAACTCTGTTTCACTTTGATTTTGGAAAAACCCCTGAATTTTTACCCCTCTCAAAACTAATTTTAGTTACTGGTCTAATTTTAAATAAAATTCAGGCCAAGTTTTTTTAGTAGCTAATAAAATGTTTATATAATTTTCTGTTTCATCCCTTGATGTGGAAATTTATATTACATGATTATGTACTAAAATCATACAACCGTCTATACAATTTTTCTTTCCATTCAAATTCATTGAAGTGCACAAATCTGTCTATATAAATAATGAATATATGTAATTATACATATAAAAGTTATGGTTATAGCAATATGAAGCTAAAAGGGAAAGTTATTAGTTGTTTCAGTTTTAAATTTATGGTATAATTAACTCCTCAAAACATAATTTTATCTAATGATAATAATATTAACTATTACTAACTAAAAATCCAGGAGTATTTTAGGATAAATTCTGGAGTCTATTTTCTTTTACCTCTCCATTATTGTTTTGTCATAACTGTACAAAATGATCATTTCACTTGGAAAACTGGTAGGAAAAATGTGAACTATGTTTAAAGTAAGAAAAAAACAAAGGATCTTAAGAAAGTTCCTGCATAGGTCCTGGAATCCTTCAAGCTATGCACCACAATTATCCCTGTAAATCCTTTTGAATATGAAGTCATCACATTTTGTGTTCAAAGTAAAGTTATCTGTTGTAGATTTTCAAAGCCTCTCAGAGCATTATAGAAAGGGCAGAGTAATATAAGCTACATACCGCCTCGCTTGACAGACATTGACAAAGGCTGAGAAGGCAATGTTAATGCTTTTAATTTTTTAAAAATAGAGATTATAAAGTTAATGAAACCTGAGGTCATTACCATTAAGAACTAAGAACTCAGCTTTTTAGGTGTTTTCAGTAAAAATAATTAACTATGGGATAGGTAGTTTAAAGAGCTGATTAACATTATAAATATTTAACAAAATCTAAAATACTACCACGATCCTTTGTTAAAGATAATTAGAGCTAAGATTGCTACAGAAATCTAGACTTTTGAATTTCTAATTTCTTAGTGCTTAATTTATCATTAAATCTGATATTGTTGCAGAGATGATATTAATATATGTTTGATTCCTACCATGAATACCACAACATTTTGATGTCTTAGAATGCAGTGAATGATACACTTCACTCAACAGACATCATTACATGCTTACTGGGTTAGGCACCGTGCTAGAACCTGATAATACTTGGCTGGAAAAAATGGCTGTGCTGTCAAGTAATGCATACTCTGTGTAAGAGATAGAGATGTCAACAGATGGTTATAACGTAGTGAGATAATTGGTATCAGAGATATGTAAAAAGTACTTTTAGGAGCACAGAGGAAGCTATCGCTAATATGCCTGTGGTTGACTTTAGTGTGGTATTCAGGAAGGCTTCTCAGTGGAGGTGGAATTTTGCTTACTGACTTTTTTTCCATTTTAAAGAAATGTAACAGTGGCTTTTCAAATAATATATAGAAAGATGAAGTATATATTTTTCTTGTCTTTACATATTGATATGTACTTATGATGAGAGAGAACAAGTTTTCTGTGTAGGATGCTGAGTTGTTCAAGATTCATTAGTGTAATTTCTCAGATACACTGCCTTTGACAAATGTGCACAGCCGGGAAAGCCTTTAATATATTGATTATGTTAGTGTTTTGTTGCTAGTAGCATAATGGATAAAGCAAAGGCCCCATTTTCATTCTTCTGTGCTCTACCAAAAAAGAAAAAAAAGTATCTTGTAAACTGTGAAAGGCACACAAAAGCAGAAGTAATTAAATAATGTAAATGATGAGGGAGATTGCCTGTGATCTGGGCTACAATTAGAAAGGGGGGTGTAAGAAAGAGATTGTTTGAGAGGAAATGATATGAAAATATTTTAAAATAGGAAACAGAGTTCTGTTTTATAATAATAGATTATCAATTTAAGCAATTTCACTTTCCTTTGTATTACTTTCACATTTGCAATGGAGGAGAAGGGAAGTACTATTAATCTGAAATTTTCCTTATTAGTAAGTAGTACCAGTGATCAGAACAAAATTTGTTTCTTAAACTCCTAAATGTGTGTAGTTTTACTGTAAAAAGTCTTCACTTCAGAGTGATTAGTACTTTGTGTGAATATCATTATGCATTTTGCTCTGTGATATCTTGACAATACAGTTTAGCTTATTCCCTCTGGGATTCTCTCCTGGCAACAATTTTTTATTTCCCTGTGTTCATTTTTAGGAAAATCCTCTCAACATTGTTATAAGTATTATTTTATAGGAAGGAAGTATGTAAAATACTCTTGAACTCATTTTACTTGTGAGTTTGAATAGCATTCAGATTAGAATGATTTCCCCAGAATTTTGTAGGCTTGCCCAATCCAGCTGTATATTTTATATGCTAATGTAAATTCTATTTTTGTTCCCCTTGGGGGTTTAAGTGATTATAATTGTTGCTCTTCAAAAGCCAAACAGATGATGATTGCTGCTTCAGGAGTATACCAAAAGAAACTGGCTTTCATTAAACCTGCTCATCCACTTCCTAATTATCTCCATTTTATCTAGCTAAGAAGCAGGAAAAAATGGCAAGTACAGTTCATTGAAGCCAGTTCAGTTATTTAAACATCGCTTTATTGAACTAGCAGGAGGTGTTAAAGTAGGGGGAATGTTTTCATTCTAACACTGATATGTAGCCAGTGGCCCAACTCAAGAGTCAGTTGAGCATCAAATGCCAGAGGCCATAGAGAATGAGAAGGGAGAGATTTTGAGTTATTCTGAGAGGAGTCCTCTAGTGGATACAATAAATAGTGCTGCAGTGACAGCTATTCTGAAATATTCTTTTTGTTTGTTTTTCTTCCTATAAAATCAAAATGGAGTTAGCTATTTAGTATCCACTAAGAAGCACTCAGAAATGCACTTTGAGTGAAAAGGAAATTTCCTATATATATGAAAAAAAGAGATATATATTGATAAATTCTAAAAGGACACCAAATTCCTAAGACTGGCCAGTATCAAGGGTGCTTCAGGTCACTTAAGCCTTGAGATCTGGCCATGAGTCAGAAAGTAGATTCTCAGGGAGGCTGGTTTTCTGCAACAGGGAGACTATCTCTACCATTTGGGCAACAGTGGCTCTGAGTTATCTGTTCTCCAGTCCTCTAGGGTGGCCTTGGAGTTGAGTTGCACTGGAACATGTTTCTGACCCCTTTACTGGCTGTCCTCCTGATGGCAGAGAGGGTCCTTGAACTCTCACTCAGGGGAACAGAAAAATGTCAGAGTCAACAGCTGTTCAGCTTCCAGCTGTGAGAATGCAATTCTCTGCTGGTTAAACGAAAAACTCTGAAGGGGCTCTCTCCTCTCTGAAATTTCAAAGAGCCACGTTTTGGAAACCAATTGTCTAAGGTGAGACTTAGATAAAACATTATATTCATAAACAAAAAACGAAATGGAAGGTTCTGCATTTTCTGTAGATTTTCATTTTCATGTTCCATGATATTTCAGCAAGTGTCAGGCAATTTCACTTTTTGAAGTTTTAACATAGAGTTGTTATCTGATGAGTTGATTTTGAAACTTTCGAGAATCATATTGAAAAAGAAAAAGTTTACTTAATTTTAAAAAAGGAAATATGTTCCTGACAGGCATTTGTATAATTTACTAGAAAGTTAAATACATTAAAAATTATTTTCCTCTAGTTTCTCATGCCAATAGAAAATTTTCCAGTGTTCATAGATTTACTTTTCTTTTAGCTTTACAATAACCCTACAAAGTAAAACAAGCAAACACTATCATTCACTTTATACATAGATACATAGTGATTCTCAAAAAGTTTAAAAACTAGAATCTGGGCATTCCAACTCTCTCATTGACATCTTGATCAACATCTCCTTGATCTACCAACAGCTTGCCAATACATGATGTTGAATTATATTTACATTGCAGAGTCATTTCTAAACCCCGAGGGTAGGGAGTCCTCAGAGAGTAAGTATTGTCTCAATGAGCCCTTAGGTAATCTATGCGGTTTGCATTCTTAAACCTAGAGAGAGGGTATAACAATTCTTAAACCTAGAGAGAGAGTTTCTCTAGAAACTCTAAAGTAAAAACTCTGTCTGGTGGTGTAGCAGCATTGGAATTTCTCTGAATTCCTGTATAGAGATATGCCAGGGTATAAATCACTCTGGTTTCCTACCAAGAAGGCCTATAAAAGCTGTAAGTCTGAGAATGTACCAGCTGCACCCAGACTTGCCCTAGGCACAAATGGTGGAAACTATCTTGATTGGTTTCCTCACCTCCTCATCATCTTCTCTTGATACTTTTAGGACCTGGCTGTCCTTTGTTCCCCTAGGCTTACGCTGCCACCTCTACTGACATTGCTAATACCCCAGATCTACTAGGACATATCTCTTTCCCTTTCAAGGTAACAGGTTGTTCATCTAATAAATTAATCTCCACTAATGGGAAGATATTAAGGAGAGTCCTGATTTCTGTTAATATTTAAAATTGACTCTCAGGGAAAATGCACGTGTTTCTGTTAGACAATCATGGTGAGTAACTTGTGGGGTGGTCATGTCAGTCCAACGTGTATATTTTTCTGATAGTTTTTTTTCTTAACAGCATGGCACCACCTGATCTCTGTCATTGAGGAGAGTGCATACTTGAAGTAGGACAGTTAGAAATGAACTAACTCAAAAGGAAAATATAACTCTGAAAAAACTGATTAAGTAATTTTGGCTTATTTGCCTATGTTTATTAAATAGAAGTAACAAACATAACAAACACTAAAATATATCTATGCCAGTGGAATGACTGCAATTTCCCGGGGTTATCTCACATGTTGTTTCATTTTACTAACGGGAAGTTGTAGAAAATCACACTTATTCTGTGACCTCATAGCAATATGAATGTAAGTAAAATCTTTTAAAGATATCCTAGTTAAATCTTTTTCAGTATAACACAAAGTATAAAATTGGCAATTAGTCCAATTAATCTGCTCAGCAGAGATAACGGAACCAAAATAGCTCAAGCCACTGTTTAACTCCATGTTAACTGCACCACTGAAAAACCTGTACTGATTTTTGCTCTAAATCAGTTGTTCATCAGAATCACCTGTGGAGCTTTTCATACACATATGTGCTTAGATTACACCTCAGAATTACAGTGAAATCTCTTGAGGTAAAGGGGAGGCATCTGTACTTGAAAAGAAAAAAACCTCACAGGTAGATTGTGTTGCACAGCCATGTGTGAGAATCACTGGGCTTTCCTTTATCCAGTTCTGTCGTCTAATGAAGATTGACTCTGTGCCAGGCACTTGACAAATACTTTAGTCACTTAATGCTCACAACAGCCCTAAAAGGTAGGTTATTTTTAATGCCCATTTTAAGAATGAGAAAGTTGAGGCTTAGAGAGGTTGGGCAACTTGCCCAAAGTCATATACCAAGGACACAGGAGAGGCAGAACCAGAATTCAGGTCTGCGTGAATACTTTTAACCAAGACAACCCTGAACTTGAAAGGCCTTTTTAATATACAGATTGAAAATGTATAGCTGTATTTTATAGCTGTAATTTCCAACCTAGAAGCTTCAATTTTGCTGCTTTGATTACCCTAAGAATATCTGGAGCATACAGGGATTGTTTCATTTTATGGCCTTAAAAGAGAGCCACTATATTCATGTGAAAGAAGACATGGTCTAATAGGTAAAAGATACTTTAAAATTATAGGTAAAATGTTTTGCTTTCTTTATATAAAGGTCACAGATGACTTTCTACCTCAGTTTTTAATTCAGAAACTCAAGGAGCTGCTATAAACTACCTATTAATTTCATTGCAAAAATGATTCAGATATGAGACAGAAGAGCATGATTTTCCTTTCAGGTCAGTTTCTTATAAAAAATTAATAATTGTGTAAAATCATTGCTGATAAATGCAGTTTCCAGTGTGGACTGTGCAATTTTAGGATTTGTTCTTGTTGATTTGGGACTGACACCAATATTTAGAATAGTGATGACTCATGTCTAGGACTGAAATTTGTTTTTCATGGGTTTATACAGTTTTCCTCTTGAATTGCACCAAAAATGGTTTTTTAATTGGCTTTAACTCATGCCCAATAAATTGGACGAAAATTGATTGCCGCAGTCATGTTTGGTTTAAAATTATTCAGGACTGCGCCATGAGTCAAATGAGTGCATGAGTGAGGGCAGCGGCACTTTATGTCCTCTATATATGACAAATAAGTTTTTTTTTTTCAAAACAGTCGTCATTCATATCTGAAAATTAATATATGTCTGTGGTTTATAAAACTTAAAAGATAACAGAACACATTAAAATACATCATATTAAAAAATAAGTTTCTGTTATTTTGGTATTTTTTCTTAGTACCTTCTTTTCCAGTTCTACCAATGTCATAAATCTAATAAGATAAATAATACTTGTTAGATAGCTCTTGTTAGATTCTTGGTCATGGTATTAGACTATTTCTAAATAGCAAAACAAAATAAGTAAGAATGTTCAGAGACTGCCATCAGTCACAGTTGAGACATTGAGCCAGTTTTCCATTCTCTGAATAGTGATTTTAAAGACAAAAATTAAAGAATATGAAAATTGAATTAACTCAGGTGACTGTTTAGGACACTGAAATAGCAATTCACTAATGGTACCTGTCCGGAAGCCAGTTTTTGTTCAATCTCATTATAATTATTTACTGTATTATGGTTTTCACTTACTTATATGCCATAGAAATATAAGCAAATCACTTTAAGGGTTTTGCTGGCTGGGAATGAAGATTCATTTTATGAGATTCTTGAGCAATTTGAGAAAGGATTTAATAGGGAAAAAGAAATGATTAATTCATCGAAAAGAAGAACATTCCTTGGCCATAATACAGATAGTCAGTAAGGGAAGGAAACACTTTATGTTATTGTATATAATTAATATTAGGCAATTTTAATTGGACAGGATAGTTATACCTGATATTGTTGTCTAAAAAAATGGTAGAGCAATTTCTGAGATTTTTGTCATATCTATTTTTCATGTGTATTAAATCTCAATTTTTTAGAAGTGAATATTATTTTGTTTATAAACTGAAAAGCTCAAGGGGTATTATTCTGACCTCTCTCTTTATCTAAGTTGTCTTTTAAGAGGTCACTGGTCCTTACCATCCAGCATCTAGCACCTGTTCCCACCTGGTGGCTATAGGCCCTCAAGCTTGAGCTGTAGAGTTTTTTCTTTCTGAAACAATAAACTACCTGTTTTTCTGACTTATGAAAAAGAATGCGTGCTCAAAATTTTTACAAACCCAATAATGCAGAAAATGTAAAAAAAAAAGTAACTATAAATCCAACTCCCATTACCTCAAAATAGCCATTGTTTAATGTTCTAGTAAACATCCTTTATGTGATGTTTAATATGCTTAATAATATTTCATAAATATCTTCACATTTCATTAAATAATAAACACTATTTTTAATGGCTTTATAACTGTTTACTATATGTTTATGGAGGAGACTGCTTAAAATATGTAAAAGCTAAATAATTAAACTGCAAAACAATGTTACCCGCTGGTTGGAACAGCCAAGGACATCTTATATAAAATATTTCTCAAAATCCTATTATATTTGACCTGAATCTTTTTAAAGGAATAAATCATCCAACTATAAATTTTCTCTCTCTTCTATTTGTCAGCAGTAGAGAGCACGGCAAGGTATAAGAGTATGATTATTTCTGAAATGAAAAGTAGAGCTTTATCTGTTTATGTTCATCGTAATATCTGTTTTCTAGAGGCTTTTGTTCTCTTGCAAGTGTTATGTCATCTGTAATTTCTGTTGTATTTCTTTAAAATTACAAAATTGTACATCTGGAAGTACCTTAAAGGTACTCCAATAAATAGTGGCTAAGGACTTGGGCTCTAGAAACAGCCTATTTAGGGCGAAATCCCAGCTCTTTTAATTTCTAGCTGTGTTATCTTGGGCAAATTACTTAACTTCCTCAGTTTCCTTATCTGTAAAATGATGAGATTCTTGTGAGAGTTAACTGATTTAATGCATGTAGAGGATTAGAATGCCACCTAGCATACACTATTATTACTAATCTAGTCTTCTCCTGGGAATCATGAAGTTTAGTCAGAGTGACTTTCTGAAGAGAATCAGCTAGTTAGCGGGATAAATAATACTAGGACTCATGCCTCCTTGCTCCACATCTAGAGATCTTTGCTTAGTGCCACAGTGCGTACTTTCCCAGCAGTGTTTTTAAAGCCCTCCCTTAGGCACAAAGGTATCTTAGAGGCGTCCTGGGCTACGCAGAGCAGCAGCCTGACAGGCTCTTGTCTCTGGTTTCTCTCCCTCACAGCTTCCGTGGGCTCATTGGCTCAGAAACATTATATGCTGAGAGCCCTATCTCTTTCCCAGTGCTGATGGAAATATTTTGGCCATCAAAACACTTTCATTATTGTCAGTGTCATGAACTCTTCTTCTATACCTGTCAGTCTTGTCCTCATATATATTATAGTCTGACCCTGCCTCCTCATTGCAAGGAGTCTTGAATTTTCGACGAAAGCTTCTTAACCCTGCTTATGTGTTGGTTCTAATTCCTCTACCTTTGGGTATCTTTCTGTCTGGCATTTTCTAAAATTCACAGTTGTCAATAGGTGTATCCTGTTTCTAATAGTTGTATATCTGTACTTCCCTCTACTGGCTTTCAAAGCCAGCATAATGTGGTACCACAATACCCAACCAACCTGATTTCCTATGCTTTGTAGCCCACTTCCTCTATTATAGACAGGCTGGTATACTCCAACAAATTCCTGTAATTTTCACCTCTCAACCTCCTTTTATTTGCTCTAAACCACACCCACACAAACACACACACACACATGCATGCACACACACCCAATTGAGATTTATATAAAGATCTTTTAAAAGCGAGGACTGAACACTGTAATATATATGAATATTTTCCTCTTTTATACAAACCTTACAAAGAGGCTCAAACTTTCATGTATCCTTTTGATATGACTAATATGGAGACACATGTATCTTCACATTCATTTTATATCTAGAAATATTAGTATTCTAGAATACATCAGTACTCTATAAGTTAAATAATAAGCACTGACATAAAAGAAAGTTTTTTATTGTTTGCACAAGGAACCTAGAAATATCATCTACAGGAAAAAATTCACAGTAAATTGTGTGAAAATAATTCAAGGAAATGTCTATTTGTTACTCATACAGCTTAAACAGTCTGTAATGCCATTCATTTATGTGACATCTTCCAACTCATGTTTACAAAAACTGACATTTCAAGCAACCATATTCTCTAATTTCTCATACTAGAATGACAATGACCAAAGGTATAAAATATTATTTCTATTACGACAGTATCTTCAGCCTTAAAATACACATACATAATGCTCCATCAGAGAAATGGATTTTGTATTTAATCACATCAACATGAAGAGTTAAGAGGGGTTAGTGTGAAATGGCAATAAACAGCAGCACTGGCTGTTCTGTGTTTATGCATATGTGTTTCTTCTTGGTGCTAATTACACTTGCTCATAGAAGTCTGGCAGTCAGATGACTGGGCTTGACCTTGAGTGGGTCAATTTTATCAAATTATATGATACATTTAAGATGCAGACAGACGCCTATTGAAGCTTGAAATAAAAACATTAAGTCTGTTTTCTATTGTTACCTACAATGAATTTAGATCTCTAAAAGTTTAAGGTTCATTCTTTTATCAGACTGCAAAATGTTGTTTCCTTCCATTTCACTTACTCACTGAAAGACCACAGCTATAGCTCCATCTATATGAATTCATAGCAATGTAAGCCCAGGAGGGAACTGCAAAACTATAAACCATAAGCAAGTTTTAGTGTTCTTCTGATATTCTATGTTTTATAATGTCAAGTAGACATTAGTTATACATTTTGTTTTATTCAAAACAATACATTATAAAAAGCCCTTTATATAGTCTACCTCTATATTCCTTTAGATATTTATTTTGATAGATTTTTCAAGCACAATCTAAATAGAAAACTAGAGCAGAAAATACTGTTAGCCTATGTAAATGGAATAAAGATAATAGCCTATAAAAATATAAGTGGAGATGGAAGAATGAGCCTAGGGAGAGGTGAGTGATAAGTAGATTGGAACTGGTTCCTTTCAAGGCCATAAATGAGTAATAACCTTTAAAATCTTCCCTTAGAAATTAACACAGAATGATAAATAAGAATAATGTATGCATATATAAAATTGAATAATAAAAGTGTCTCAACATAAAATCAAAATATTTTCATTTGATTAGACTGTGATGGTATATATTTGACTCATTGATTTCATCAAGTGATTAACTGAATTATAAGCTATACTTAATGCCAAACACTAATGTTTGAGCCTAACTAAAGTAACAATAGCCATAATTAATGCCAGAGAGAGTAACAGATTGCAGAAAGACTGACATCCGGGAAAACTATCTCTATGAACCTTAGAAATGTTACCTAAATTCCTAATGCCTCTGTTATGCCCCCTGAAAATGAGAAATACTTTATGTCCTTCTATACCTCCTGGGGTTACAATGATAAATATGTAAAAGTACATTGAGCTTTTTGTGATAAAAGGTACTATAAAAATCTAAGGTGTTTTTATTATTATATCAGTCAAATGGGATCTCAGACTCAGTTCCATTTTGAAGACCCACAACTTTTTATGGGTGAATCATGAAATTGTATTGGGAAATATATTGAAGTCACATAACAGGGCAGATAGATGATTTTATGCCTTTTGGCGCCTTTTAAACTTGGTTGCAATTAGAAATGTGAGAGAATATTTATCATGAAATATGTCAGTTGGGACATTAATGAGAGCTAATGAAAATATTTAAGAGACAGTATGCAAAGGCAGGAATTCTAATTCTGGCTCCATCAAATAAATGTGATAGGTTACCATTTTTGTTCTCATAATTGTAGTTACCATCTATTGACTGCTTCCTCCATGTCAGGAAGTTTTGAGTATTTTATACTTATGATTACATCTAACCTCACAGTGATTCTAAATTAGGCATTATTATCACAATTTTATAGATTAGAAAATCAAGGTTTAGAAGCAATAAAGTAACTTGTCCAAGGACCCGTGAAATCAGGTTCAAATCCATGTGTCTGAAGTCAAAACCCAAGCCATTAACAATTTGCAAAACTGTAGCTCCTAGAAGGATAATATCCCTTCTATGATGTTCCTATATAAAGGAGTAATTTTTTGACAAGTTATATTATTTTAAAAAGTGATATTGTACAAAAATTTATAAGGATAAACAATAACAACAACATAAACCAGACACATTGTGAATATGTATTATGCAACATATTAACTGAGTTATTTAAACCCCTCAAGTTTTCCATTTACTATCATTTCGTAAAATATAATCTGATTTCCTTCAAGCATTTATTGTCTCTAATCTAATTTTGTTATTCTGGCACATGCTAGGCACTCAAAGGATGCTGAACCAAATTGAAATGGGCCTTTTGTCAAAGATTAGGAAAAATATTTAGAAATAGGAAGTGATTATGTATTGCTCATTTCACTCTTACCTGATGATAAATGTTATATCTGGAAGGACATAATTAGTTATGTGTGATATTTTTGGTAATAGAATTATAATCAGTCATTAAACAAAAACATGAAGACTTTTGGATATTTCAAAAGCTTCCAACATTTTTGCCTTAATACATCATAGGAAGATTGTTTGCTTTAAAAATATAATATGCCATTTCTCACAGAGGGGGATTAATAATTGAAAATCATTTAAAAAACTAACTTCACATTTTTGGTTATTTTTTATTTTTCATCATTTATAATGAATTGCTATGCCTTTAGAAACCATATGTAGCATTCATTTTGTGACAAAAATTTATAAAAAAACAAGATTATTTTTATACTAATTTCATGCTAAAAGATTTTATGTTCATAATGAAAATGTCACTTCTTAAAATTATCTTAGTTTTGAAATGCTATAATTTAAATTTATAAAATATCTTTTTTCACATTTCAAACTTGGTGACAGTGTATCTTTTCATCTGTATGCAAATTAACATCTTAAAAAAGTCTTATCTGTATTAAAGAACAGTTTAAGCTGTCCATTGTGTGCATATTTTCAATTTGATTAAGAAAAAAATAAAAATCATAGCTTAAGGGGCTTATTAAAGCTGGTAATTCAAACTTGTTTTCTAACAAGCAGAAAAATATCTTGTTATGGGATTATTGGAGATAATATAATACTGCCTAAAATGCTGGAATTCATTAAAATAATATTTCTTAATATACATATATAGTAGCCATTATTTAAACCAATATAACTTTATGGAAAATAATGGTATGGAAAGGAAAAGTTAGCTTACATAACCATAAATTTCTCTCTCATTAAAGGATACACAAAGCACTAATTCATCCATACACTTAAATTTAAAAGAATAAAAAAAACGCAAACACCTCTTTTTTTGTTAGATATGAAGGATTTTTGCATGTAACAATTCAACAGAAATGTCTTTGAGATTTCATGACCTATATTTATTTGCTTACTAACCTATGAATAATCAAATAACAATTTCCAAGTTTATAATTGTTTTTAATTCAAGTAGTTTAATAGTTGCTAAAATTTATGATAGCATGTTAAAATTTTTCTCACTTTTTCCAACAAGTTCATTTTTTATTTTTGCTTATCCTAAAGTGATATAAGCCTTTATATTGTCAGTTAAATGCATTCTGAGATCGATCACATTTTTGAAGTTAAACAAAATAAAAATTGATTCATTTTCTAAAGCTGTATTAACTATGTGTTGTCGGCTGAAGGTAACTTTTTATAAATGTTTCTAAGACTTAAAATGTAAATGCCCTTGTGGAAAATGCCATGTATCTTCTCATACTTGCTATCCACCTCATAAATGGACACCAACGAACTTGCAATTCACTTAAGACACAAAGAACAAGGTACAACACTAAGACATTAGTGAATCAAGATGACAGTGTCACTGGCTATATGCTGGTCATTACATATATTAAATATTTGTGAAAAAAATCTATTTAAATAATGCATAAAATTTCAAACCTCATATCCAAAAGAGCAGACAGAAAAATGTAGATATAAAGTGTGCGGTAAGAATCAGGTATGTGTTAGAGTACATACCTGGGATTTTTTTTTGTTTCCTGTATTATCCTATAGTAATTACCTGGGTAAAGGGAGGAGGGAGTTGAAAAATAACTGTTATTCCTGTAAGTAGCTATGTAGATTCTTTCCTGTGGATGACAACTTCTTAGGCTATTCTAAAAATCATTCTGGAATCTCTCCCGTGGCCCTATCACTTCAGCCAAAAGGCCAGGTTAACTTCAATTTATGGTAACTCCTCTGTATCCGGTTGATCTGCTTTTCTTACAATGAAAGGAAAACTTTACAGTCCATTTGATATCCACTTCCTCTCACCCCTGCTCAGATAAAGACGGAATTCCCTTTTATACCAGATTGGTTTAAATTGTTCCTTGATCTCTTATCACACCAAACTTTACACAACTCCATACTGTACTTTTCAAATTGTTTATTCATAGTAGCTATGATTAGGAATCATGGCCAGATGCTGTGTCCCTTTTCCACTTCTCCTCACAGCTTCCCTTCCCCAAATAATTTTTAAGCCCCGTGGGCTTTTTCTTCTCTCTCACTGCCCCCTCCCACTACATTTTTTTTTTTTAAACAATATTCCATTCCAGGCGCCCCCTCTGCCTGCCGAAAGCATTTTAATGCAGTTTACTTCAGCGGTCTATCAGCAGACTGCTGCCTCTGCCACCTGAATTTCAATTTCTTAATTTACAGCCCAGATAGAATGGAGCAGGATCTGGGCTTCTCTCTACATTGGGTTGGCCTTATCAAGCGTGAAGTTTGGCGCATTGCAAACCTATTCAAGTGATTATCTGTTGAGGACCTCTCAAGCCATCTCCATCTCTGCAGCGGGCTGATAAGACAGCTGTTTCTCTAGCCGCTGTGTCTCCCCGGGCCTCAGTCTTCTTCTGATACAAACTCCGCCTTTGTCACCGTGGCCCGGTGCCGGCACTTGCTCTGTGGGACAAGGGTTTGATCTGAACACACGTGGGGGTAAAAGTGTGAGCGCGTGTGAGAGCCGAGGAGGGAGGAAGGAAGACGGGGAGGGCCAGGAGAGTGAGAGGGGGAGGAGGAGGGAAAGAGTTAGAGACCGGAGGGAGGTGGGGGGCAGGGCGGCGTGCGGAGCGCCCTGGATGGCTCTGATTGACTGGTTGCTCAGCCCGGTTTTATTATTTCAAATTAGACGTGCATCGCACACAAGTGGAAACATAAATCTTCAATATAAGAAAGAGCCTCCGAGCATCGGAAGCATAAAAACCGTTTCTTCCCAGGTCCCGGTAAAGGGGCCAGAGAAAAGACTGATTACTATCAGCTGAGACAGATGGTTTCCTTTAACTTTGGAAACTGTTATTTTTAATTGCTTGTATTAATTTTGCATGAGATGTATCGGCTCCAGGGGGAAGCTTAAAGAAGGCTGTTAGTATCCCTGAAAGAAACGGACATAAGTCTCTGATTTGCCCTTTTTCACCTCCGGGTTTTTTGGGGTTTTTTTTCCTTCACCCTCGCCTAGTCGCCTAGATTTTCCCTTTTTATGCTCAGGAAAAACGTGAGTTTATCCTCCTAAAAGTTGCTATTGAGTAAAAGAGGGGAAGGAAATCTGGGGACATTTGTGGGAGCGTCTACATAAAATAATCGTCGATCTGAGGCTGCAAATATATTTTCCTAGACACTCTGGGACATGTGCAACAGATCTTAGTCTGAATATCTGCAGGCAAATCATCTAAAGGAGAATGAACCTCATACATTGGTCCAGGAAAAAAAAAAAAAAGGTGTGTGTGTGTGTGTGTGTGTGTAAGTGGGGGGCTGGGAAGGGAGAACCAACCTAGGCTGGTCTCAAAGATTTACCGCGACACTAGTTACATTTTTTAAAAGAACATTTAAATGAACAATTCATGTGTCTTTAAGTGTAAACAGCAACCTCAGGATTCGGGGGGAATATTCCTTGAGTGTGCTCTCTTACTTTACAGTCTTTCCCCCTTGAACAGGAGTTTACAGACACAATGTAAAGAGAAAGTAAAGGATGTTTGAGATCCCGCTCACTGCCGCCCCTGGCACTGTCCCTAACGAAAGTGTTTGCAATGTAAAGAATCTTTCGCAAAATAGTCTTGGGAGTCACTCACCTTCCAGTAAAAGGCTTTACCCCTTTGCTAGGGGGTGGAGGGAGCAGGGAGAAGAACGGGGGGAGGGAGCAAGGGTGAGCAGGCAGGCATTTTTGCTGCAATTCCAGCTGGGATATTCGAGGATTAAAAACTCTGGAGCAGGTTTACCAGACTTTTCGAAGACTACCTGGATTTGCATTTATTTTTCATGAACACTCTGAAGAAAGGCGAGCTCACGCCGGCAAGGGAGTGTATGTAAAACAGGACAGTGGAAGGTGCACAGCGAGTTCGGGGCTCTAAGTCTCCTGACAGTTTGTCATGATGGCTGAGTCCTAAGAAATGCCAGCCTAATTCAAAATAAATGAGTTTCTGTGGAGTAGGACAGTCTTTTCCGCAAAGTCCCGTGGAATAAAACATTCCCAAGACACGCAGTTTCCGTGTCTCACAGAAAGGGACAGAAAACACCGTCTCAAGCTTTGCAAATCTTAATTTGAGGGCTGCTCGTCTCTGTCCATGGTGCTAATTCCTGCCTCTTTCTCTTGCGTGGTTGCCACGGTATAAATTCACACTGGTGTCAATTTTCACAACTTTTCCCCCCTTTCGGTGAAAGGCAAGTCCACATACTACTTTAGGAAGAATAAATAAAAGAGTAATCAGCAAGATATATGATATCTGTATTTCTCATGCAGACATTAAACTATCATATTTCCAATAGTATGAACCATAACCCCCTACTCCACCATACTAACACATAACATTTTTATTCATCTAAGAAGGTTTACTGTTGGAAATTACTGCCTTAAGCCAAACATTGTAAACTAATTTTAATAGTTTAACTTCTTTATTTACTTACAAAACGTTACAAGTAGTTTACAGTAACTTTTATTACAAAATGTAAAATCACTCCTTCCCTTGCTCCCAGGACCTCTAGTGTAAGGGAGTTATTTATCCTAAAAGACATTTTCCACAACAGCTTTGCATATTCTTATGAATAAATGTTCTCTTATATAGAAACTTCAGTAAAATAATTAAATTCATGACTTTTTCGGTTTTGAGAACTATTCTTTTGCAACTTTATCCACCTCACACTTTTGCTCCAAGTTCGCAGTCATTCCCTTCATCTCTCCCTTTTCTGCTGCAATTCAAAATAATGCCAGGAACTTGGAAGATATGTCAGAGTTCATATAACTTAATCATATTCAAATGTCTTTTAAATACTTTCTAATGCAAATTCAGATGTTGTGGATAATTCTTTTACCAAACTATGAGTGAAAAGGGGTTGATTGCATTTTTTGCTTATTCTTAAGTGAGATGTTTGCACATAGGCTTCATTAATTAATCATAGGATAGTATGTATTTGTTAATGTTTCAAGCTATGAGACATGAATTTCAAAGTGAAATCTACATCCAGATATCACTTGTTTTAAAGAGGCTGTAATCAATATTTTTTATTTTTAAAAGTTGAAAAAGTACATGTTGCTTATAATACATCTATCCATTTAAAAGTTTTAAAATGTAAAAACATCTGTTTTAATGAGGAAGTAAAATAATATTTTAAGATACTTTCACTTTTTAAATAATTTAAGTCCATCTCACCTACATAAAAAGACAACATGTTAGGGATGACAATACTTTGAATAATATTTTGTCACTATGCCCAAGCTGAAAAAAAACCATAAATACTGAATCTACAGAATTTAGCATTTTTCATTTGAATGAACAAGTTTACTATTTTCCATGTAATTTCTTTACATAATACACATGCTAGATTTTTATTACTCCATATCACTCCCAGCTTTTCACACCTGTCCCTATCATTTTGGGTTATCTACAGATATCACAGTTATCTACAAGTCTTTTTTTGTGGATATAAACATGCACCAAAAAAAGTATTAGTTTCCACCTAGTTAGAAGGCACTTATATAATTATAATGGTAAAGATTTACTTCAATGTACTGAAATTATATGGGCATATGCAACTAATTCAATATTAACCTACGAGCATGGTAAAAAGGAGGAAAGACAATTCACTGCCTAGGTAAGTCTGATGAAATCAAACAGTATTATACTTTCCCCAAATTGTATTCATTTAAAGGTTATTTCTCTGTATGGAGCTGGGGACAAGGGGAGGGGTTGAAGGAAGATGACTACAAACCCAATCTTCTGTTATTCATACATCTAGTCTAGATGGGGTGGAGTCTTCCTTTTCCCCCTTGACTCCATTTCTTCAAAGTGCTTTTCTTTCTTCTTGCTGTGAGTTTCACCCAGGTCTAGAGAATAGTTTTAAGTTGAAATTAAGACTCCAGAGGTTGTTATACAAAAACTGGGGGTGGAGGTTAAGGCATGATTTTATAAACACTAATTATAAGATAACATAGATTCAGGCCTTCTTTCTCAAGCCCCAGGTATTGTCATGCAAAGTAACAGAACTCGTATATTGTTATACAGGCTACACGGGAGATAAACAGGTCTGTTTTTCACCATTAATCATTTATCAACACTCAAGGACACTCTCAAAGAACACTGATTTACTGTATTCCTCACTTCAAAGTCATTTTGCTTTGGGATCTTCTGTCCCATTCCCCTCCATGACACCCTACCCTTTTGCAATCTCTAACTCTTACCTGTGTCTTCTTTTTCCGGCATTCTCAAAGATAGCGACTAGTTGTAAATATGTAAAGGAATCCCTTTCAAAAAGGCATGTGCCTCTGGTTAAGACACATTACATGTGTAATGTAATGTGTACATTACATTTACACATTCTGGTAAGAATGGTAAAAACTGTCTAGGAAGTTGGTGCTATCTTTCAAGATTGAAAAGAGAAATGCTGGCTGGAAAAGAACGTAGGTCAAATGAATATTGTGTCTACTTATACATCCAGACGATCCTGAGGACCTCACTTTCACTTAGAGGAAGAAACAATTATCATGCATAAAACTGTATTTTGGTCTCCTGAATGCTGTTAAAATATGGGGTTGTAATAAAGTAGTCTTCCTCTATGAAGCAGAAGCATTGATAGCACTTGGTCTTCTGGTTAAACTTCTTAAATCCTCACAGAAAGAGCCCTGATAAAGGTTCAACTATCTTTGCTGTCAGCAATACATGTGTGGTCCAAGGACTGTACCTGTCTGCAAATGCAGAGGAGTGGCTTGTTCCAGTTTTATATACAGCTGCTCTTTTTGAGAATCATTAGACACCTCGAAGTGAAGGACCTTAGCTCTACTCAATACCTCTTTTTCTGGATAGGATATTTATCCTACACTTTTCTATTCTAACATGAAGTGAAAGCCAATTCAAACCGTGCAGCTTTATTTGAGAGCATTTCTGACTTCATCTTTATCTTAAAAGGATGCTTTAAAAAGGGGTTCATGGGGACACATAAATCTGAAATATGCGTATATTAAAATAAAGACATACAATTACCTAACATCTAATACAAAATACAGTACTGAACACAAATCGAAAAAAGGCATGCGGGCAAATAATGGATGTACATTCATCCCTTTCACTCAGATCAAAGAGAGGGAGCTCTCAATGACTCATACATACCGGACAGAGTTAAATGTTATAAAGAAATATGCCACAGATGCAGCAGTGATGGCAAAGGAAATGAATCTTTCTGAAGCAGAAAGATTTAAGAGGAAAGGAGATCGTGCCATATCGCAAACTCTGATAGTACAGTTCCAACCCTCCCACGTTGCTCTCTCCACATTTCTTTTTGCTTCTTGCATTTCCCTTCGCCGCCAGTGTTAAGAGTGTACCTCCCCGCACAACTTACCTTGAAACGGGACTCCATTGAGCTCTCGAGAGTGACACAAGCCCATAGCCAATCGTCTCACGCGGCCCCGCCTGGGCGGCCTCAATGGAAGCGTGTGGACCAATCAGGATCCTGGGGCGATGAGCAAGTTACGTTGTGGCGCGATTCGGCGTATACTTCCGCGCGTGCTGCCCGGGATAGGAGCCTGGCAGAGCAGCTGCACACACGGCAGTGCGGAGGCAGAGAAGGGGTTGGTGATACGGTGCTATAAATCTGTGGTCCAGTCCACCTCCCTTTTAAGACGTCCTCCCCCCTATTTCTGTTCTTAGTTAGAGATGCAGCAGCTTACTCCTGTAGCGACCTACTAAAAAGCAACAAGGAGAAAGACATCGTCTTTTTGAAAAAACGTTCTTTCGTCTCTTTTCTTTGTTCCTTGGTTTGTTTTTCTTGCCCCTTTTTGTTTAGTTGAACGGCAATAGGAGGGTAGTCTCTCCGTCTTTTTAAACTCTTTTTTAAGTTTCCCCTCCCCTTTCATATTTTTTTTCGCCATTTCTTTTAGCATTGGACTTTGGGGTCGAAAGCGTTTCTTTTTATTTGCTTCTTTTAAGCCGAGCACAGTTTAGGTTTCGTGCTGTCTTAAGAGAACTATCCAGCAGCTTCTTGCTCATCCTTATTGGGAGAACTGCACCGTTACTTTAAAAACACACATACACAAAAACCTTAAGGGAGAAAGGTAAGTTTCGGTTTGGTTTCTTTAATCATTAGTTGCAGCGATGCGCTGGCAAACCCAGAAAACCTGTAAGTGAGCGGAATACAGAATATGAAGTTAATTGCACATGTTTGTCTCATTTCAAAGCTACTGTTCTGCTTTTTTAATTTTAAAGAGCTAGACTAAAAGACGGTGGACGCATGCTTAGCGTACTGAATATTCGTAAATGTCCATGGCAGAAACTTAAGTGGTAAATGTGGCCAGGGGGGAGTAGGGGTACAATGGGAGGTTAGATGTGGAGTGAGCTTCAAGATTGAGATCGGAAGTTCATTTCGTGGGGAGAGAGTGATAACTTGGGTGTTGGGGATGCATGCCTCTACTTTGGCTCAGCAACGGAAGGACGGGAGAGGCTTTACAATCATTAAGGGGAATCAGAAGCCTGGACTGGCAGATTAGACCAGCGAAAACCACAGGCTTAATTGCATTAACCAGATAGCATGTGCTGGGGAGATGGGATTGCCAGATGGAATTTAGATGCTGCACCAGGCAGCGAGTTGTAGTTGACTGAAAAAAGTACATGCCGCCTGAGGGCTGGGGCTGGGGCTGGGCTGAGGCTAGGGTTGTTAGAAGCTGTCAGAACTCATCATTGTATGCGGGCTCTGATTCACGGACTCCAATTATCATAATTCAGTTTTAAAAGAAGATAGCCAATTTGGGGCTGAATTCTTAAGCCTGTACCGGATATGAGATTCCCTTTGTTCAGAAAAGCGTAAATAAGATCCTTGGAGCTGTGTCTATGAAGTGCCGGCTGCTTGGGAGCCTCGCTGTGCTGGGCGCTGGGAAGTGGATTCCAAGCCCTGTCCTTGGTCCTACGCGGCTGACTTCGCCTTCGGGGAGAGGGGGAACCCCTCTGCAGCCGCGAGGCTTCGCAGCCACCCCAGGAGCCAACTCGGCCACGTAGCCCTCACCCCCTCCTTACCGCCCCCACTTCCTCGAATAGCTATTGTTAAATTGACGCCAGGAGAAAGATGGTTGGGGATGACAAGCTGGGCAGATAGGCACACGCTTCATTTTAACTTTTGTGATTTCTCAGGGTTTAGGAGAAATCATTTGGCTTTCTACTGCCAAAGAGAGGATCCAGGGTAGATGTGGGAAAGGGGGAGGATGTTCGTGGGCCGGGGAGGGCGGAAGGGGTGGTGGTGGTGGAACAAGCTGCTGGCTTTCCTAAGAGAAGTTTAAATTATTGGCACGAGGGGGTGTGGGTGAGTGTGTGCGTGAGAGCGCTCATGTGGTGCTCGAGAGGCAGAGGATGGGAAAAAGCTACAAAGCCGGCTGGGGTTAACGTCTCGTTGCTCCTCACCCCACCCACTCTACCGGCTGGGAAAGCCAGCGCACCGTCAGCCTCCCGGACTGGACTCTGCGAAGGGCGGTGGGGGCTAGGGATGGCAAGGTGGCAGTGCCCACCACTGGAGCTCCGCGGCGGACGAGACCTCGCGTGGCCATTGTTGCTTAATTTATGCCCAGCACGTTGCTACGTACCCACCTATTTCACGTCTGTACAGAATTAATACGAAAGCTATACAACTGTGACAAATTGGAGGTTGGATAAGTTCCCCGTTTCCCATTTTCAAGTACCGGTTAGCAAAACTGATGGCGAGACTGGGTATTTTCTCGTAATTACCGGCTGCAGGTCTGGTTTTATTATGGCGAGGGTGAGAGAAATAGCCAACCATTTAGTATTTACTGTTAACACTGCTGGACAGGGATGGAGGTCTCTGTACTTTCTCCCCGAAATGCACGGATTCTGTCCCTTCCCCCTCTCATGTACAAACACTCCAGTTGGTTAAGATTCTAAACCTTCAGCCGTTCTCCGCACCCCTATTTATTATACCCATCCTCTGGGGGTGGGAGGGAGATTAATGTTTTATTTCCCAGGCCTACACTATTAACTGCAACCTATAAAACGTAGACTTACAATGAAAATTTTTAGAAAGTACACAGCAGACAATAGTAACTAAAGAAATTATTTTCCAAATTGAAAATCAGTTTCTAAAGGTCAGAAAAAGGGTGTTCGTGTTTTGGGGAACAGAAGGGTAGGAAATGTGTTTGGGCCTTAAGACTTCCTTGTAAAATGGCTTCTTAAATGGGACATCTGAAAGATTTGTCAGACTATGAACAGATAAGCCCGCAAAAAAATATGTTGAGAGTTTCGAAGTTGTTATGGGGTTAACATTTTATTTTTTAACTCTCGCCCTTACTTATTGCTGTCATTGCCTGAATGTGTCTTACAGCAGGCACTTCTTCCCCGTTCCCTCTTTTAACCAAGTGCTTGGGCACCCCGCTTCATAAAGCTAACCTGTTCTGGAGCTCTTCACAAAAAACGCTACGGTTGTAGGAAGAAGTGGTTTGGAAGACTTGGGGAACTCTTCTGAGAGCTCTCCCATAATTTAGTCAGCGTCAGGAAGTAGGGCGTAGGGCATTCTAAGAGTTTTAGGTTTGGATTGACAAATTAAGTAGGCCCATTTTCGCCTAACGTTTTGGAAATAGGCATTTTTAGCAATCCCGCGTGCCTGGGATGAGAATATTATAATTAACTATTTACTGAGAGGTCAAAGAGGCGCAGGCGCTTTGAGCAGTTTTCCCAGGAACCCACACAAAGTCAATTAAGGTCATTTAATTGCAAATCGGATTTGGGGTGACACGGAAATGCTGATATAGAATCAGTTAGCTGTATCCGGTGTCCCCAGACTGGGTCGCACAAATTAAGGGATGGCCTATCTCGCTTTTGACCTTGGTTGAGCCCCCTACTTCACTATGCTGATTAGACTTCGCCCAAGAGGGCAAATTTGCCTCTCCCACACCCGCCCTGGGTTAGACGAGTCCCCTCCCTTCCCCCCAACCCCGCTCCGCCCGTCGCATGGGGGCGGGGAGCGCTGGACGCCCTTAGCGGACCTTGCTGCATCAAACCTGCATCATGCCCTTGAAGCTGTAACCTCGGTCACGTTCTTGCGGCGACTGGGTCGCCCACTGCTCGGTTCCTTTCTCTTACCTCCTACAATTTCAGGTAGGTATGACAGGTGATTTTTTAAATGTAGTATTTTAGGAGAAGGGCTAAAATCGATGCCTTTGCAATGAAAAAAATCCCAACTACAGGTGCTCTCGTAATTAAGCGGCCGAGCAGGTGTAAAAACGTGCTCCAGCCGCGTGGCTCCGGGGTGGGTTTTGACTTCCAGCCGTGGGGCCGGGTCTGAGGACAGGCACAGGTTTTTCTGGGGAAAAGGGATTGAGCTTGGCGAAGGGGCGGGCCAAGGCAAGGCAGCGATGGGACGCCCCCTCGGTGAAGAGTTGGCCATTTCGGGTCTTGAGTTGGGGGGCGATAGAAGGATGCGGCTAGCGGCAAGCGTTTGCATAGTCGAGTGCAGGATTTCCTACTTTGCGTTTGAAGCAGAGTACAGCACCCCGCACAGGTACTCTGGGCTTATTTAAACGTCAGGTTCTCTCTAGAGAGGCAGGGAGGGGCAGCAGGGGGCTAAGCCTTTATTTTCTGTCCAGGGACAGGACCCCTTGGCTGCGAAGTAGGGGGAAAAAGAGAATTTTTAAAAGAGACACACATATGTGTGTATACTTATATATATTTATAAATACATTTATGAACACATAAAGTAACCCCCACGTTAGCTGCTCTGACTCCCCGTTAGCGCCCCGGGCCTCGGGATTTGCAAACTTGCACCTGGAATCAGCCTCCTCTGGGCGCTCAACGCTCTCCACCGAGTCCAGAGAAACCTTGTCGGGGAAGCCTGGTGAGACTCGGAAGTCCGGAGGGACGGAGCTGAGCTGCTGAAGCCCGGCATCTCCCTGCCGGCACGGACCCGAAGGGCGGTCGGGCAGGGCACGCGCCGGCGGCGGCCGCGGCGCCGCGAACTCGCCGCCGGCCCCGCCTCCTGGCGCTCTTCCAAGCAAGCCCCTCCTTCCCGCCCCGCTACAAACGGCGGGACCGCGGCGCCTGGGCGTCACTGAGGCAGTAGCCGGCCGGGTGAGGAGGGCGGTTGCCGGCGCGGCGCGGCGCGGCGCGGGTGGGGCGGGGGTTCCGCCGGCTTCCAGTCCCCTTTCCCGCCGCCGCCGCCGCCACCGCCTCTCCGCGGAGCTCGCCCCGAGCGACTCCTCCGCGGCAGTGCTGACGGCCAGCGGCACGAGCCGTAGTAGCTGCAGCTTCGAGTCACAGCAGGCAAGTGCTGGGGGCGTGGGGGCGGGGACGGCGTCCGCGCCTTGCCCCTGGTCCATTTTGGACGCCGAGGCTAAGGTCTGTGCGCGCCCCCGCTGCGTCTAGCAGGGTAGGGGTGGTGCGCCCTAGTCCGAACTCTGGGCGGGAACACTGGTGGGGGCGGCGGAGGTTGTGCCCGCGAAGTTCCTAGAGCTCAGCCCGTTGCGGCGGGAGTAGAGAGAATTGGGCGCCTCGGGAGGTGGCACCGCCCCTCCCGTGGGCACAAGCAGGTTGGGGGCGGCGGGAGCCGAGCGGGGACAGTCGCGCCTGGCAGCGTGCACGGGCGTGGACGTGCCCGGGTGCGGCCGCGTGTAGCGCAAGAAGGAAACTGTTGAGACGCAGGTGAGTGTATTGGAGGGAAAGTGGGGGAGGGGGCTTTTCTAGAAAAAGGGCAGGATTCCTGTGTTGCACTGGCAACCCCGCCTTGCGGGAGGATGTGTGCACTGGCTTCTCCCGCGGAACACGCCGGGGTGGTGTCTGGTGTGTGCCCACTTGCTACGGCGCCTTCGCGCGCGCGGTCCTTGGAGCTCTCGGGGCGTTTGGAGACTTAACACCGGCCGCGTTGTGTGCGGAGGTGGTGTAGGGCCGCGGGCGCCCAGGGCAGGAGCAATGATGATCCCCTCGTGCGCGTTAGGTGAGGCCCGTCGCAGCCGCGCGAGGTCGCAGCTCGCGGTCACATCTCGGGTTTGCGCGCGAGGCGTGCGCTGCGCGGGAAGCGCGGGCGCTCTGCCGGGCGAGGCCGGCTCTGGGATTTCAGTTCGCTTGCCGTGGTTGCGGCAGCTGCTCCTCCAGCTTGGCTGGTAGGGCCTGCCAGCGGCGGCCGGGGTGCACGGACTAGTGTGCGTGCACTGGTGAGACTGGGGGAGCCAGCGTCGGTTCACTGGCAGGTGCTCCTCCAGTGGCCGTGACAATGCTTAGCCAGCAGTCTTTCTCACGGCATTTCCTTAAAAGCCTCCTTGTTATCCTTCAGGGCCAGAGCGTAAAACCATGCCTCTAGATGCGAGCTATGAGCATGCAGTTGTAGCTGCCCAGATGGTCATTTAGAATTGTGTGCATTTTTAAAGACCATCTTTATGACAAAGATTTTCAAGTCCTATCGTCTCTACATTTTCTGAAAACATGGGAAAAGGATTTGCTACGAGTTGTCCACTCTCCTTTATTCCCTCCCTCAAAGAACGGTTCTTAGAAGTGCCAAAATGTAATACCTTCGGCAAGGACAAAAGCGCTTTTAAAACTTAATTTTCTAGTGGCCCTATTCCTAATAATTCTTCATAAAAATTTAGCTCAGCCTCAAAACTTACGGCGAATCAGTCCATTTAAAACCATTCGAATATCAATTGCTGTGTAATGTCCCCATTCCCTCAAGTAAAATCTGTTTGTTTGAAATATTGTTTTGTTGCCCTTGAAGAGTTTTCTCAAGAATCGTTTCGCCAGAGTCGCTTGAATTTCCCATTTCTTGTGGAAGCTGACCTGGAGTTTCCATTTTGGTGAGCGGGTGGAAAAGCTGTCCTGCATCTACCTTGTCTTAGTAACCTTTGGGTATATATAAATGGTGACTGTATTGCTGAGTGGACCCGAATGTTACTGCATTTGTGGTAGGGGCCTTCTTTATAGGAGGTTTGTAGGGATGCTAAGGTAACAACACTTAAGGTTGTGGGGAGGATATACTTACGGGAAGTTCGCTTGCAAACTATGGGGAGAGAAAGAAGAGGAAGAAAACATCTGGAAGATAAAGGCCAGAATGGGGTAGGAAAAATTAGAATATGAAGAAACATGTTACATTAAATTTTCTGTGATTCCTCCTTTGTAATTTTCCTTTTTGAGAGAGTATTTTTATTTTTGTGTGGTTAAAACCAGCCCCTTGTTGCCTGTTATTTGGGTAACTTTGTGCTGCCACCTTTCAGGGAGTTAGTTGTTTTTTTCTTCCTTTGAAAGACAACTTTAGGTGTTAAGCCCCTCCCTCTTCCTTATCTGTAGGTGTTTCCTTCATTGTGTAGTGTCTTCTTTCAGGAACAATCAAGTCAGCTATATTCAGTGCTCACACACTTTCCCTGTGGTTCAAGATAATTTTAGTTATAGGATATGCTTCTTGTTTAGAGCAAGTACCCACTGCTGGTCAGTGTCTACCACTCTTTTGACACTCAGTGTCAAAAGGTTACTATGGAACCTTTTTTCTTTTCTAGGCCTAAGATGTGTTTTTATAGATCCTCTCTGATTTAGTTTTTTTGGTTGATTTGTTCTGGTTACCGCCTCTTCACAAGAGAAAAACAAAGCCTTTCTGTCCCAGTTTCAGTGGTTTTAGTTAAGACTCAGCTCCTGGTAGGTTAAGGGAGAATGATGCTGTGAGTGTCATATACCATCATTCCTTGAATCAACCTTTTGATTATTTATACACAGACAGATGCTGCTAGCTGAATCCTTGTAACCAACCGCTCTTGGCTCTTCCAGCCTTCCCTGCTTATCTTTTAAAAATAATGTGCCTCCCCTCCTGCCACCCCACTTCTATTCTAGAAGCAAGTCTTAGGTTCTCTTTAAGGACACAGCAAAGCCTTCCAGAATATCCTGACTTTTAAGCTGGGATCAACCTTTTCCTCTTTCTTTGCTGAAAGACATTTTTTTAAAAAACCTGTGACGCTTTTCAGGCATTATTGGCATTGCACAAGAGCACCACAGTGGCAAATTAGCCTTCATGTTCTTTTTCCCCAAAGGACTAGATACTCTGAAATAGCTTCTTAAGCTTCTTATCAAGACTGACTTTACCATTCCCCTTTTTGATGACTTGTCTGCATGGTAGCATCAGTATTTTCGCTCCCATTTGATGTCTTATTAAATCTATCACATCGTCACATTCTTATTGCCACTTTTATCACTCATAATGTTTATTTGGAATTGAGAGAGGCTAGAATCTGTGGTACTTAGCTTGGTTTGGTTACTTTTTTGTTGACATTTTAAGGGGGCTAGATGGTGTGCCACCCTGTGGAAAACCTGCCCATCTCAGTCTACCCCCAGCTCTTTGTTTCTTGGCTACTCAGCTGGACAGGTCAAAAATGATAGTAAGCTACCACATTTGAGTGTGTGTGGGGGGAGGTTAATTTTATTTTTGGCGTGAGTACTTAGTTATGGGCAGGACTGCTTTTCCAGCTTGTAACCGGTATGGTTGCACATCCTACCCAATCTTGAAATTCTTAAGAATTTTTGGACAAGGTTACCCTGCATTTTCATCTTGCACTGGGACCCACAGATTACGTAGCTTTTCCTGGTTAGTTGCCTTCCCACTTGTTAGTATTTAGCTGTCAGTATTGCTGCTTTGTTGATATATTATAGAACTGTTTGAAGGCTTTATGTCTAGTGATGCCACACCTGACTATCAAATTCACTATGGAGGACATAAAATGCATAAAATTTTTTCTTGCTTTGGCCATTTTCATTTTACAGGTGTAGAAGTCTTCACCGGTTCTGGTTACGCACAGAGCCCACATATTGTAGTTCAGTGCCAAATCCACACTTTTGTATGTTCTAATTTGGGAAGAACATTTATTGTATATTTATTTGGTTCGAGATACTAGACGGTTTATAGTGCTAGTTAATTATTTAAGGATTTCACATAACGTAAATTTGCCAAGTGGAAACAGAAGACACTTAAGCTTGAAAGGCAGTGCTTATTTTAAGGCTTTTACATATTAAAAGATAAGTGTTTTATTATGATTTAAATGATAACTTTTGGAGTCTGAATTAAAAGTCAAAGTTTGCGTAATAAAATCTTAGATTTTTGTGGGGTACTTAGGACATTTTTCACTAGTAAATTTAACAGATTTGGCTTTCAGCTTGTGTGATGTGTATCATATGTTTCATTTTAGTAAGGCTAGAAGAATTTTTTATTTCAAGGGAAGAATTTTTTTTATCTCTAAGCTTGTATTCCATTGTGCAAAACAAAACAAAAGGTAACTCTTGTGTGAGCAACGCTGTGCTAAATGCATTCTCATAGACATCTTCATCTTTAATATCAATGTTAAGTTTCTAGAGATTGGTCTTAATAAAAATAACTATTTTTGCAACGAGCATTCTTTTCTCAGAGCTTTGAGTTAGGCTCTCAATGCGTGAACTGAATTGATATGCTTAATGACATGGTACCTTTTTGAATATTGCTGAATAGTTCTGTGTGACAACAGATACAGGTTTTCGTTGTAAGAAATCTTTATGAAGAGAAGGATGGGGGCTTTGAGGAGTAAAATAGGTAAAATAACCCAGAAAGTCATAAGAATAGGTGGAATGGGGATAAAACTAAACCAGTTTATAGAATGCCTTACAGTGTCTTTTTTTTAAATAAACTTGCAGTTTCTTAGTATATATTTATATTACTGATATCTATTACATCAGTTTCTGACTGAAAATGAATAGGAGATAAGGTCTGACATGCAAAATCCCCTTTCCCACTTTTAAAAATGTATTTTAAAAAACTTGACAAATTTAAAATTATACTTACTGTAAGACAGTAACAGTAAAATGATAGGTTTTTTTTTTTAAGACACAGTGAAGGTTTTGCTTTAGCACTGGTATATTTTGAACCAGGTATGTTATCTACAGTTTGATGTACCTGTATATTTTTCCGTTGGCCAATCTAATACAGATGCTCCTGATAAACCCATTGCAAGTTGAAAATGGCATTAAGTTAAAAATGTATTTAATACGCCTAACCTACTGAATATCAGAGCTTAGTCTAGCCTACCTTAAACATGCTCAGAACATTTATGTTATAGTTGGGCAAAATCATCTGGCAACACAGAGTATCCATTTTTCACTCTCATGATCCATTGCCTGAGTGGGAGCTGTGGCTTGCTACCATTGCCCTATATCGAGAGAGTCTCTTACCATAGACTGCTAGCCCGGGAAAGGATCAAAATTCAAAATATAGTTTCTCCTAAACGTGTGTTACTTTTATATCACCATACAGTTGAAAAATCGTAAGTTTGAACCATCATAAATTGGGGACCATCTGTAGTGATAGATTTAATCCTTGGGTTTTTCCTTTGACTTAAAAAGTTTATCATGAAAGGGAAATTTATATTCTAAATGTTCTTTTCTTCCAGCATTTTGTTTTTGTGGGTTGTTCATTATTGGAGATTATTTCAGCAACTTTAAAGACTATGTTAATAGGATATCACAAAAATCTTTTATAAATATCAAAGCAATAAACTATTCCTTCAAGATGGATTTTTATCCCCTTTTTTTTTTTTTTTTTTTTTTTTTTTTTACTGAAAGCTTTTAGTACACACTTTCTTGACTAATTTCATCTCTTTATGGGACTAGGGAATGATAGTTGTTTTGAGATTCTTAGCTTTCCTGCATTTCTTTAGAGTCATTGTAAAATTGGAAGTTCTTGTTAATATTGAGGGGCTAGAATCTCTTTAAGCATTTGAAGAAAGCTGTAGCTGTCTCTTCCTAGAGAAATATATACAAATAAGAAATTTCCATACAGTTTTTAGTATTTTGCACTTTGGAAGAAAGCGTGTTAAAATGAGGTTCCATTTGGGAAATAGGACTTTGGCAATTAGAGTTGTCTTCTTATACTAGTGAGAACTGGGTGAAGTCATTCAGAGGTTCTTGTCTGCTGTTGAGTTAGTGATGTGGGCCTTTAGCATTCTTTGAAGGATGACTGACTCTAAGCTTTCCTGTCTCATAGTTTGTTTTAAAATCCATTCTGTTTTTGTAAACAAATAATCACACACATAAGGTCTTGTGATCACCGTGCCCGTGCGGCCAATTTGCTGAGTTGTCTCAGTAGGTTTTGTCACTTAGGTTGAAATTCTTAATTTAGCACAGCCAGGTGGAAAATAGTAGGCTAGAAGTCTGAAGTTTTCAGCATCTGGTTTGGTTTAATTACTTATATCCTTGGTTTCTTAACCTTTGATTGTGTATAAAATCTTACCCTCCCCATCTCAAGGACCACGTAAAGATGAGCATATTGAAGTACAAGATTTTTTGACAATGAAATGACATTGACTGAATTGGAAAGGTGGTAGTAGGTGGTTACTGCTTGATTAGTTTTATATTTTTGGCTTTCAATGTGTTATGAACCATTTTTAGTGATTTTGTTTTTTTATAATACACCATCATATGTTTATTTCTGCCATGAAGTAAAAGAAAAATCCCAGACTGCAGGGAGGATTTGGGAGAATTGTGACTTTGGACATTTCAGTATGGAAATAGACATATTTATACCTATGATGATGGGACTTGGAAAGTTTAAAATGCATTTTCCTTGAAAATATAAATAATGCTAAAAGATTACATATGAGACTGAGAATTTAGCCAGCTAACATTCCAGGAATATAAATTTCTTAATTTAAATTTCTCATATTTTTTTCAGTGAAAAATCAAAATTTTAAATTTAACCATTTATATTAAAATAGTCCGCGTTTTCTCTGATTTGAATTTTATTTAACCTCTTATCAAGGATCCATTCCTATACATCACAAAATGGAGTTTACATAGAAATACATTTTTTTCCCCTCATTGCTGATGGTGTGAACATCATTGATGGATGCCCTGTCAAGTAAGTTATTGGAAATTGCTCACTTGTTCAGCTTTTAAAGGATGTTTAGCACTTTTTTTATTCTTTAGGCATCATTTGTGTATATCAGAATAAAGCAAATCACAGTGTATCTGAAAATAAATTCAGTGAATTGGGTAAGGATGGGAAAATATTTCTGGAGCACTTGATCTTGTTTTCTCTGAGCTGCTTTTCAAAAGTAAGAATTTCTTGTTATACTGATATTGCTTTATTGGAGGTGATATGGCAGGTGAGGGGGTCATCCACCTTTATTGCAGAGGTATCCAGAATGTGTTAAATATACAACATTTATTATAGAGGGAGCAAGATTTTATAACCTGTTCCCAGGTAAGGCCTATTTCTATTTGAGTTTATTCAACACCACTTTTGATCTCCCCAGGTGCTATTTACTGATTGCTGGCTTATTTTGTTTAAAAACCCTTGGGGTCTTTTCTGTCCTGTGCCTCTGAATGACCCATGGACTTTTCCCAAATACGAGGTCATCAGTGCTTTTGACTTTCATCTCTTCCCTTCTCCATAGTCTCCGCAAGGAATTTGAACTACCCACAGCCTTCCTCCCCTCTTTGGGATGCGTCTGTACTTGCCCTCTGTCCCTTGTTTATCCTTTTAGCCTTGTGCTTAGTTCCAGGTCCTGGTAATTTGGGGTCAGGTGCAACCTGCTCACTTGTCCCTTTATTTTCTTATCCTGCTTGGGCTTTTGCATTGGCTCTTATGCACTTTGTTACATTTTACTTACTGAAGAATATCTTCTGTGACCAAGTGAATCACTGATACCAGAAGGAGCAGTTGGTATCAGTGGACAAATTATTTGTGCCACAGGTCCTGAAGGGTGATCCGTGAGCTTCATATGGCCTATAGGTGTTTTGATTGCCCTGAACTGTGTTTTAAATAGTTGTGAGTTGTTGATTTACGGTTTGGTAATATATAAAGATCTGGAGCCAAATGTATTGCTTCTTGAAAACTTGGAAGGATGGAGCAACAACAATGGAGTCCACATTTATCGACTGCGCCTTAAGGATGAAGCATGGCTTGTTTCACTTTGACCTTGGTTTGTTTGCCTGGCCTTGGTGTCTCTAATGCTATACTTCCTAAAGCCACGTGAATTAAAAAGTTAAGTGTAAAGACAAAGGCAGTAGTTCTAAAGGTTTTATATTCGTTTGATCTCTTGTATTTACAGATAATGTTTGAATCATGTTAAACTGCTCCTTACATATTTAGATCTTATAGTCTCCTTTACTTCAGAGAAGATTTGTCTTGGGTCTCTCCTTCCTTAACCCGTGGTTGAAAAACAGTTTCTCCTTTTATAAAATGAGCTTCTCTCAGCTTAACTTACCTTTTCTCTCCTCCCCCCCTGGGATTTTAGAACTGTCCCCATTGGGAGTAGGGATTTCTCCCTGCCAGTTGCCTGCTTCTATTTATTCAGATGCTTTGGGGTCAACATTGCTACTTGATGCTGTAAAAACTGATAGGATGTTATGAGCTGTTTAAAAGAGGCCTGTGGCCCACCTGCTAACCTCATTGCTGATGTTGTGAGCTTATAAATGACAACAGATTTATAAGATTGTTGTAAAAAAAAAAAAAAAAAGCCGATATGAGACTTCCAGGTGTGTGGTTTATGTGTGTGTGTTATTTCTCTCCCTTTCCCCTTTATTTTTTTCAGTCTTCAGCCTTTTCTCCCCCACTCCAGAAGCAGCAGGGCAGCCTTAGCAAGGCCCTCTCCTATGTGTGCCGTAGAGCAGACTGATGCACCAGCAGAAGTAGAAAGAGGCTCCACATGTCATGTTTGGACCAATGCTGTAATTTTATTTTACAATAAGGAAGGTGGATAATATTAATCTACTCCTGAGCATAATAGCACAATTTGAATAGCAGAGAGCAACTTTGGTGTGTGTTAATGTCTAGTGAGATGAATATAGTTGAATGCTAAGTAGGTAGAAAATGTCAGTGTGGAGCCTTCCTTTTGGTGACTTTAAGCACTTACATTTCTAGTTAACTTTTGTTCAGCCTGGTAAATAGATATGAAGATCTGTTGTATCAACCCAGCATTAATGTAGCTTCTTAGGATGGAACAATGCCCATAAAACCCTGCTCTCCTGGCAGCCACTTCAGCTAGGCCAGTTATAACGATGAATCAGAATGTGCCCCTGTATTGAACATCTTAGCAAAACCCTTCAGAATAATAGCTTAATGTTGGCAGTTTTAAGCATTGGCTTACTCTACAACCCAGCCAATTTTTTTTTTTTTTTTGATATTTGGAGTGTTAGTATAAGTGTATGCTCACTTAAAAACTTAATTTTGAATTAACTGTGTATGATTTTAAAAAATCATTGTAGGTACATTTGGAACTTATTTTTCAGAGGCACTTAAAAATTCTTGGTACCAAGCATCTTCTATTCTATGATTATATGATTCTTTTAGGTGAACGTGTTGCTTGTTTTTGATGCTCCCTGCAGCATCTCATTGCGGCACCTCAGGGTGGCTTAGTTACTGGGTTGGGGTGGGGAATTGAATATCAGTAAAAACAAGCATGTTTTATCCCCCTAAAGATTGGGAGTCATTCCCGTGGAGCTTCTACTGTGCAATAAGAATGACTTTGATATATGTGGGCTGCTAGTTAACTTGAAGCTTAGGGCTTTTCCAAATTAATCTAATTTTGTTTTTGAGTTTGTTGAAGGATCAATAAAAATATTCTTCTAGGTTTTGTGTTGAGATTATGTTCAGAAGCCAGGAAGATTGTGTAATACTTATTGTTTCATCACAAATTACTGAGTGCTGGATACTGAGAACGTTGAGACTTGTATAAAGTGCCCTTTACCTCATATTCCTTGGTCTCTACCTAAGGAGATGAGGCAGAAAATGATAACTTAAAAAAAAATCACACACTCCCCACTCTTGCATTTAATAGTAGAAACTGAGTGCTTGAGGAATTAAGCAAAGAGATATATCCCTGTTGTCTGGGAATCAAGGGATCAGGCCAGGTTGTTGCTTATTGCTTTAGGGACAGGACTGTGTCTTTTCTTGGTCCATTTTGTCTATTTTTTGCTTTTTATGTCTTATTTCCCTCCCCCGTTCCTCCCATATTGTTTTTGTTACCTTTGATTTTCTTTTATGGTATGAGTAACTATTTCCTAGTTTGCCAGGAGCTCAGTCACAGGTGAAAAGTATTTCTGCAAAACCTACTCAAGTTTGAGGGTGTGGCTAGAGAGAGACAAGCTGTGACTGTCTTAATTCCACTGTTGTCCCAGAAGAGTAGATCTGAGGCACGTTGTGTTTCAAACTACATGAAGCTGGGTGTTTCCCCCAGAGTTTTATTCTGTTGACAACATTATGTGCCAGCAGCCTCCTCTGGGTATAACATTTATTTTTCAAAACACCTAGGAAAAAGTCAAAATAATTACAACTTTTTTGACTTCCTCCCTTTTGGGAATATAGTTGCAGGAGCAAGAAGCAAGTAACAGGACAGAAGCTGGGGTGCTTTTCAGAGCATTGATCTATGCCTTCTCCTTGCGTCATCTTCATGGCTAAGGCCATGTCTTCCAGGAGCATGTGTTGTCTGGGCTGCTGACTATGGCTTTCTCATGCCAGTGCTTGGTGTTCTGAGGCCTGGCCACTGCTTTTCTCCCTTAATGGCATTTGCATTACTGTTTCGTGGGTTTTTTTTTTTTTCCTTGAAAGGTGATCGAACAGCTTGTACGCTGCGTTACCTTTTTGATTTAGTGGAGAGGCTCATTCCTTCAGTTGGAACTGGCTGTTCGGGGAATAATTTGTGTTCTTGTTTCTTGGACTTTTTGAAAAAATTTTTTCCCAAACAGTTTGGCTGACTTATAAACATTGTTTTGTGGATGGTAGGGTGAAATCTTTGGTTTTAGAGTGAATAATAGTTTGTGACCTAGACAGGAAGAGTGAAGACATCTGTTTTGGTTTTCCTTTTGTACAACTTCTATGGTAACTTCCAAATGACTCTCCCTTGAGAATGCAACAGTAAGAAATTTTGTGTTGGACAGTCAAGTTAGCAGTGGATTGGGATGGGGCAGCAGGGATCTGCCACTTTTTAGTTGTTGACTTACCATTAGGAAGATAGAAAAATACGTGGAGTTGGCAATTGAAGATGGTGAACTACCACAAGGTGATGGAACCAGGAGACACGGAGCATTTCCTCTAGTAATGGTGATTAACACCAAGTTTTTCTGTCCTTATAGAAACTTGCCACAGCTCCCTGGGAATGATGTTTTATAGGTGAGGAAAATGAAGCTCAGAGGTCAGGTGGTTTGCCCAAGGATACAACCAAGTGGGGAAGTAGGATCAGGTCAGACTCCTAGTTCTGTACCTCTTTCCATGGATCCCAGAATGATGTTCTTTCTACTTTTGGTAGTTCTGCTGGCTGTAGTTTAAGGTGGCTGAAATCAGATCCAAGAAGCAACTCAGTTTTCATGTTTGAGAATGTATTGCTTCTCTTAGGGGTGTTTTGAAATAAAATGGTGTGACTCCAGCAGCAATTGTATCTCACCTCCATATTAAATTGCTTTAGAGGCTGTTTGGTTCCCCAGTGGTGGGGTTGTTGTACCAGGATTATTTTTTATTTTTATAATTTTTTTTAAAGCTTCACTGTGGTCCCTGTAGCACTCCTAGCAGTATGCCCACAACTTGTTCCTCAGGGCCAGGATTCTGACCTTGGATTATTTTAGGTCCATGACTGGGTGACTTCTGGAGGCATTTCCATCACAGGCTGGTGACTTTCTGATGCCAGCTGGCATCCTTGACTTGCAGGATTACTTTTTGGAACCATACAAAGTATGGATTGGTTATTTTCTGTAAGCAAGGAAATGAAGACACTGTCTTCAGGCTTTTTTTAGGATGCTGTTAAAATCAAGAAAAAGGTGAAAGTGACATTGAGATAACCCTGGCTCATTGTAGTAGATAATCTGTAAGGGCTGTTTTTTGAACTTGTTAAGTTTATGAAAAAAAATGTGTTCCCAATCAGGCAGGATTTTAGAAATACTACTTTTTGTTCTGAGAAAAAAATGGCAGGTCAAGTGTTCAATAGGATGTTTGATATCCAAATTGGAATAAACAAAATATTCACCCAGTAAAGATTGTTCTTGATTCACCTTTCTCCAGTAAGTTTTCAGTATTTCTCCAACTTTACTGTTTCTCCAACTTTACTGTCAGAAAAATTGGTTGGGAGTGGATGACAAAGAATTACAGATTCAAAATGACCTTTTTGCTCTTCCCTAGAAAGAGGCCATGTGCTCTTTTTCATTACTTGATCTCTCACATAGTGTGTTTTTAGGAGAAATTCAGGAAAATTTGTGGAGGTCACTGGAACAGCAGAACTCAAAAGTCTGGAATAGAGATAATAATTTAAAGAAAGAATATAGTACATGAGACTGATAATCAATTGAAAATTATTTGCATATGTAAGTAAATCATGAATGATAGGTAATCTTACTAGAATTTCAATCTCTACAGGGAAATTTTTGCAAAAACTGCCTTAACTAATCCCATGTTTTCTCATGTCTTAGATATGCAATTTTTATATTACTTTTGAGTCTCTTAAGTTTACTTAATGTCCTGATTCTATGTCCCCCAAAGCTGTGAGGTTAGTGGGTGCATCTTTCAGTCCAAATGTCTTAGAATTGAGAAGCTGAAATAGCTTCATGCCAACATGTTCTCTGATTTCTTATCTCTGCAAATATTTTACTCTTCCTAGAGTATAAATATTGTCCTTGTGCTATGGAAAGCTGGTGTAAACGTGAGAAAATAAGGTCATCAGATTGTCTCTACATATTTCAAGCAGGTGCCTCTGGTATAAAATTGGCCAACAGGCTATGCACAAAGCAGTCAGGTGGGATCCTGACAAGGCTGCTCCGTACTGGTTAGCTGTAATTTAGAATATCACAGGATGAAGCAGAAGTTAATTGTTGAGGGTGAAAGCTCAATAGCATTTTACTCATCATCACATTTTATAGGACATAGTAACCTTAAACTTTGACCTTAATACGTATCATTTCTCTTTAATTTTTGTTGTGTTTCCTTAAATTTGGCGAAGACTACCAGAGATTTTGTTGGGTAAAATGCTTTGTAGCTCCCCAGTTCCCTATGGAATTCAGAAGCATTAAGAGATCCAGGGACTTTGTTAAGTTTTGGGTGTTATAGTTCAGACTCCTTAAGGAATTTTCTGGAACTTTACCCATAAGGAATTTTTCATTATGGCTAACATTTCTTTCTCTCTCTCATTCCCTGTGATTATTCTCTGTTATCGTCTCAAAGAAATGTGGCAATTTGATGACAGTTTATTAAATAGCCTATGAATATTTGAAATGTTTACATCTAAAGTTTTTATTAGTAGCCACTTTAAAACTTTAAACTTATCTCTCTTTTCCTAGCATTTAACATTTTATTATTTTATTGTGTCTGGCCTCCTGACATGAATGGCATTTTGCTCTTTTTGATTGTCCTTCTATTCAGTTTTTGATTTGCTGATCCAGCCTTTTCTGCCCCCCAGTACTTTAAAAGCAATTATTTTGCCAGTTTACATGTGAACATTTCTTGGTTTCCTGTGCAGATTTTCATTTGTTTAGTAAATATTTGTGATCTTGCTATATGCCACATATACTACCTTAGGTATTAAGACTATAGTAGTGAATACAGTATACTCCCTGCTGATATGAAACTTAGAGTTTATTGGAGGAGATATTATGTTAAAGTTCTACAAATTATTACATATAATTGTGATTTGTGCTGTGAAGGAAAATAACCTTTAAGGCTTATAACACAGTGTGGGAGGTGATTAGTGAAGATCATTTGTTGATTTCCTTCCTAGCTACCTTATTTTTACTGTACATAAAAACAGACTAGTTTTTAATTTTATAGGCATAAGGATAGACAGAGGTCCTAAAATTAAACTCTATTCTCCTTGATAAATTGATGGTGAACTTTGAGTCCTAGAGCTGATTCCTGCCACCCAGCTTCTATCCCACCATGGATCTGGCTTTTTATATTTTTTACGAGAAACCGATTTTAATGTTCTTTGCAGGACAACGTAATTTGGCAACTTTTACTCTGAAAGCTATGTGGTGAATGCAAAGCCCAGCAGTGAGATCTGCATTGTCTAAATCCTTTATTCTCTTTACCCATGGCTTTGAAAATGTGTTGGATTTTGAAATATTATCAGTATTTGTTTAAATAACACTTTCTAATGTATTAATTGATGCAGTAAGAACTTAGGAATATTTGTTAGGCTTTTTGCTTGGCGGAAATTAGAATTTCACTAATTCATCCACAGTTGTGTTTTGTCATTGATTGGATTATTTGGTTTGTTTATGAATGACCTTTTAGATAATCCCTTTGACAGATCACCCCATTGCTTTACCATATTGTGTTCCTTCCAGTATTCATTTAAATTATAACTAAAAGGAAATACCATATTAATTGGAATTGTTTTTAAAATATTTGTTGGAGTGGAAGAGACTTAGGCAGTTTTTTTTTTGTAGAAACTTTGGAAGACATTTGTTGTTTAAGAGTGTCGAAAAATACTTTTTAAAAAAATGTCAGTGGCTTCTGTGGAGTTCCTTAATCCTAAAGGGCTAGGTATGTTCGTAAGAGATGGGTAGAATATGGGAAATTACTCTAAGCAATTGGAAAAGACACGGAAAAAAGGTTAAGGAAAATGAGGAAGTGAATTTTCCATCTGGCTAGTTTCCTCATTCACACAGATCACCAGACCTAAACAGTACAGTGAATGCATGGCAAGGATATGATATTTTAAAATAGTGTCTTTCTGACCACCTTATTAGATTATTAAGCTTACTTGACTAGGCTCTTAGTTTCCTCAGAGAGGTGGACTCTGGCAAACAGTTTTATTTTTAATATAAGCTGGTCTTTAGGAAGATAATAAAAACTTTGCATGCCTTTTAGCTTATACCATTTATAATTGTTTGATTTAACATGGATATAGCATTTTTTTGTAGGTGGATATTATTTCATCACAGCTTTTAGATTTCAGCCCCTTTTCCTTAGGTGCAGAAGGAAGCTACTGAAAATATAGACAGTAACCTCTACTCTTGATGGAATTTGGAGAGAAGTAAACCAAGTTTTAGTTCAGGAGAGGAGAATTTTAATTTTACTTCTGGCATTACAGGGACAGCAGGTATGAGAGTTAAGGAGCTGTTACGGAATGGGCACTTGGGGTAACAACTTCCCATTGCCTTTGGTGTCTGGTCTCTCCTTAATAGCTTTTTATATTGGTTTAAATTTTCAGGGCACAACTTAAATGTTACTTTCAACTACATTGGAAGCTCTTTGATGTCAGTGATTCTTATAACTTTGTTTTCTGAATATAGTGGGTCTTATTGTCTTATTACTGATTTTTTTTTTTAAGAGATTTAGTCTCACTGCAGTGGCATGATCATAGTTAACTGTAACTTTGAATTCCTGGGCTTTTAGGGATCCTCCAGCATCAGCCTCCTGAGTAGTTGGGTCTATAGGCATGCTTTACTGCAACTGGCTAATTTTTAAATTTTTTTGTAGAGATGGGGTCTCACCATCTTACCCAGGCTTGTCTTGAAATCCTGGGCTCAAGGGATCCTTCTGCTTTGGACTTCCAAAGTGCTGGGATTACAGACCTGAGCCACCTCACCTGGCTAGTCTGATTTCTTGAATCTAATAGGTCCTATGTCTTTAAAATGAAGATTAAAATTATATATGCTGAAGGTAAATGTTACATGCAAGTTTTTTTCTTTTAATTGTGTATTCGGCCTTGGTATTTTGGTTGCTATGAAGTTGTATAACTTACATATTTAACCAATTGGAGTTAATAAAAATTGTTAATATTTAAACTATAGCAAACATTTCTATGTTTTTTAGATATCACTACTATATGATGGTAATTAAGTGCTGGATACTGAATAATATTTTAAGATGACTTTATTAAAGTGCTATTTCTTTTCATCCATACCTGTGAATAATTAAGAATTTATGGTATCTGTTTGCAGTCTAGTTGGTGAGTTTAATTTACTTGGACCACCCAGAAAAAAATATACAATGATGCTTCTGTAACCACTTTGACTAAGCTGAAACTATGCTTTTTACATGTATTTATGACCTGTTAATACCGCTTCAAAGTGTGCTGTATTGAAAAGATATTGGCTGCTTCAAGGTTGGACTGAAATGACTGTGTTTGCCAGGAATAAGGAGGGGTCTCCATGGATGACCACTGGGCCAGTCATTTAATAGCCATGTGGAACCCTCTTCGGCTATCAGAAGAATGTTTTCTGCTCTACACTGAGTATCTTTGGAAGCAGATAGAGAAGTTGAGGTCTAAGGTAGATGCTCTAATCATGGATGGCTAACTTTAAGAAGCGTTATTGGGCCAGGTTCTCCTGTGGTATATGCCAAGCTCATGCTCGTGCATGGGTACACACACAAGCCCAAGGTACAGTAGCAGCTCCATCTGTTTTGTATGTTGTAGGCCTGCCTTGACATAGAACTGTTCGTTCTAAAGCAACTCATTTTAAAGCTGCAGTATGTTAAATGGGCAACCCTTCATTGAAGACCTTGGGTATGTTGGCAGTTTATCAGCAGCAGGGTTGTGATCCTGTCACTTCTTGTTAATGAAGGCTTTTATTTAGCTTAGCAAATCATATCTCTTGTTAGTATCCACTCTCTCAAATGGTAGACTTGAAAGGGATGTTTGTACCGTTTTATTTATTAGTAGCCATGAGGGTGCTTTGGCCCTTACTTGTTATAGCCATTTAGCCATATTTCTTTTACGGAGATGTGGTTTGTTTTAAACTAGGAAAATCCCCAAATGATTAACGTCTTTCTTTTGTTTATCATTTTTGAAATGGCTTTTTATATTTCCTATTAGGTGGTCTTTTTCTTCAGTCTCAATTTCACTTCCATTTTGAAATTCCTAGCAGGGGTTTGTCAGAGCATTTATGTTCCCAGTGTTGCAGCTGACTTTCCCAGCATTTATTTGTTGTCCTTGGGTAGTCCAAGAGGATAAGCATTCTGTCTTCATATTTAATGTACATTTCTTATATATAACAAGTTCAAGGACATCAGAGAATGTTAGAGCTGGAAAGGCCCTACCCATAGTGTTGAACAGCAGTCTCATTTCATATACATTCAGAACTGATGCTAAGATGTATTGTCTAAAGTCTTAGGTATAATGATTGTGGTTGGTGACTGTGACCTTGTGGCTGGTTCCCGACTTGCCTTTACTTCCCCCAGTGCCCTCTCTACACTGCTGCATTATTTCCTTTTTAAAAATGTAGGTTATGCTTTGGTGGGACTGCAAACTGATAAGTTTTCAGAAGTTTTTTTTGGCAGTGACTAGCGTAATTAAAAATGCAAATAGACTACAAACCAGCAATTTCTATCTTTAAATTTACATTTTTGCTTTACTGTATAAGGTATCTATTGTAAGCACTGTTTGAAATAGCAAAACCTTGGAATGTTCATCAGTAGGGGATTGGTTAAATTAATCAGGGTATATATCTCTATTATATAGTATCTGTAAATAAAGAGTATGTGCTGATCTTGAAATGTAAAAAGCAAGGTTCAGAGAGCATTCAAAAAGATCTATGTATTAAGTATTTACTTTTCCTCACCTGTGCCATTACATGTTTGTATTTTCTTTGAAAGTGTTCAAAGTGTTCATGAAATTGTTAACCTCTCAGGTGTAGATTTGAAGAAATTAAATATTTCTGTCTTTTATTGCTTGAACCCAGGAGGTGGAGGTTGCTGTGAGCCGAGATCATGCCATTGCACTCCTGCCTGGGCGACAGAGCGAGACGCCGTCTCAAAAAAAAAATAAATAAATAAATAAATAATAAATCCATCTTTTAAACAGTTCTGTGGTTATCTTTTTGCATCAAATATATATTTTTTAATTTGCACAAATTATTATAATAGAATTACTAATTACTTCAAAAGCTGATCCCCCTTGGGCTTTTCAGAGCATTTTAATAGATTTGCACTTTTCCTACATATGAGCTGTTTGTTAGCATTCAGTGCCTGCCTTGAGCTGAGCGTTGTGCATGGTCGTTGGGTGCTCAGAAACACTAGGATGTGGATGCCACTCTCAAGTTCTCCAAGTCTGGTTGACAGTCCAGAGGAAGAAAACGTGAGTTTATGGGAGTTTGGTGAGGTCTGCTGCAAACATTGGGAAAAGGTTCCTGAAACCAGGTAGATGTAGTAGCACTTGTGAAGCTCTTTTATACAGATAGGGGGACTTGTCCCCCCACCCCACCCGCAACCCCCCAGGAGAAGAGGATTAAGTGTGGTGTACTCCTAGCATGTAAGGAAAAAGTTTTGATTATTGGAACATGGGTGGGTTTCTAGAGGACACTGAAATCCATACAGGAACATTTCTCTTATTTTGTTTGAGAGAGCCAGCCTTGGGACAATTTTACAGGATGGCTTAGTGTGAGGAAAACTGAAGCAAAAGACATGGGCTGATGTGGCTAAAGGGGCCTTGAGGAGGAACGCACCAGGGCTTTGAGAGGAAGATGGAGCATGCATGGCTTCCTGACTAGGGTGTAAACCCCCAAATGAAAGTGAAAAACTGCTTCTGGCATGCTTTGTATTGTGTAGGAGAGACTCATAAGATACTCAAGCATTTTTCTAAACCAGTGTAAGTATGCAACATGAAACATGTAATAGCTTGTTATGCTTTATAAAGCATCTTTTCTGAGAACCAGAATATACAGTTATATTCATGTTTCCCCGACAATGTTTATGTAAAAATTTTACATTAAAGGCAGTTGAGATGATTCACGTTTTTTTCTTATAAATCAGGGTAGTACTGGGCATGAGAAGTAGTTTACATAGTCCCAGAGCTGGAGGAACATCCCTTTGAAGGTAAGGAGAGTAGTTGGAAGCTGTTCTAAGGTTTATCTATATGGGCTAAAGGGATTCACCATAAAGGCATGCTTATGTAGCAGTGAATTAGACCAGTAATTCTCAAAGTTCTTGATCAGAGGATCCCTTTGTACACTTAAATTATTGAGGACCCCAGGACCTTTTGTTTGTTATGTGTATAAATATTTACTGTATAAGAAATTAAGATGAGAAAGTTTAAAAACCTGTTTAAATAGCAAACCCATTACATATTAAAAAATATTTTTAAAGTGAGGAATATGTATATTTTTAAAAAGTAAGGCTGGCATAGTTTTACATTTTACATTTCTTTAACGTCTGGCTTAATAGATCTAGTCAACTGTATTCTCATTGCAACAGACTGAATGCAGAAGCAAGTGTCACATATAACCTTTAGAAAGCTCTACTGTACATTTATGAGAGGAAAAGGCATTCTCTTGACTTCCCGGATGTATGAGGAAGTCTCAGAGGACTCTTAGGTTCCCAGGCTATGCTTTGAGAACCACTGGATTAGCCTAATGGATTCTTGGAAGGCAGGGCTAGGCCCATCTGAGTCTTAAAACTTGGAATCTGTATTGTAGGGAGGAGTGGGCAGTCATCTTTCTAGGGGAGGGGTAAATTTAAGAATAAAGCTGTGGAATTGGAGTACTTTGGAGGTAAGATTGTCTTCAGGAGTTGAAAACTTGAATGCTATGACCAGATTCTATCACTAGCAAATTCTATCACTAGAAAGTTTGGCCAAGTCTTGGGGCTTGCTTTCTCTGTCTAAAAATTGAGGCTGTGGGCTAGCGTTTGGAAGTCCCTTGTAGCACTAACATTATTAATGTATTTTTTATAGCGCTCTTGACCCTTTCTATAAATACATGCCCACACATCTACATACAACATACTTGGAGCACGTTGGAAGGTCACATGAGCTAAAAATGCACCTCGGAGTAGTTCACCTGCTCCATGCATTTTCTTCTTCCTGTATTGGTTTCATTGTCCTAGTTTGTTGCTCAAGTAGACATTGACTAAATGGTACCCAGGATGTGTATAGAATCTTAACCTCTTTCTTCAATTGTGGAACACATCTGCACTTAAAAAAACAAAACGAAACAGATAAACAATCTTCCACTGTATTTATTTCAGCTTCCCGCATTAGTCGTGAGATTAGGTGGGTAAGGAGGAGGGAGGTGAGGTGTCATCTAAAACCACCATTGTCAATCAGGGCTCCACCTGTCAATTCCTATTTGCAGCGCTTGTTAGAAGAAAACTCTGTGGGAGTCCCTTCCCCCTTTAAAATGCAAAATGGGGTGTTGGTAGTGAAGGGTGCCCATTTATTTTTCTGTGTATGATTCCACATTTAATATTGTAATAGAATTAATTTCTTTCTAGTTTCAAATGTGCTGATTTAGACATTTTCTGCATTTTAGTTTGGATAACTAATGCGTGAACATTCTGTTGTCAGATGTTGACCTTTATACACCCTAACTGGATCAAGAAATGTCAGTAACAGTGACATCTAGCATTCTTAATGATGTTGATTTCTGTTTAAAACTAAAGTCCCTTAGCTAGGACACTTCTGTTGGTGAGATCATTGATACTCTGGGATTTCTGCTTGCAAGAAATTTACTTGTCTGAAAACTGAGTAGCCCTTGAAGGCAAAGACACACTTTATATTCCAATAGCTCCTGTACGTAGAGCTTAATATTTATTGAATGAATGACAGTATAACTTTTCCTTTCAAGCACAACATTCAAGAGAAGAAATATTAGTTTTTCATTTTGAAATCCCTTGTAGCTTTAAAAAATCTTCTACCTGAGAAAATTTCTTTGAGTTTAAAAGAAATAAAGCAGCAGTTAAGTTTTAAATGTTATTTTAAAACATATTGAGCCTATTTCCAGTAATGTTTTTGTATTTTGTTCTAGGCTCTTAATATTTATTTCATACTTCAGTATTCCTGGGTGCGTGTACCTACTTCCAAACAGAAAGTTTTGAGAAATAGTCTGGAGGGCTTCTGTGTCTGTTAGGTAGCTCCAAATTGAAATAAAATATAAAAATGGAAGACGAAGGACAGTTGCTGTACAGTTCACAATTAGCCTTAATTTGTAGATCTCTGCTGGGCCCAGCTGTAAAGTTTATTGGTATAAAATGTGTTCTTGATCTGGAAAGCCCTCAAATAAGGTGCCTTGCTTTCCAACAAGCAGGAAGGAAATGTTAATGCCAGTTTTCCTGTGGCTTCTGTTTAATGTGAATAGGATCCTCTGAGGAGATTTAAAAAGCGGCTCATTGCCCTTGAAGGCACCCGTATCAGATGAAGATAGATCTAAATTCGTATTTGAATAAAAAATTTCATACGTCATCTGTTTTCCCAAACTAAATTTAAAGTTTAGTTTTAAACTTTTACTGTAAGTTATTTTAAGTAAGTCAAATTTTCTAATTTTGTAGATTCATTTGCTTGAGAAGCATTCTATACTGATTCTCTACTCCCCAAAACCAAGTAATCTGAAGTAGTTTTCCAAAGTTGGGGATAATGACCTATGTTCTTTGAAAGAATTCTTAAAATTTCCATCTGATATCTTAAGCATATAGGGCTGTAGTGCATTTCACTTCATCCTTGAATAAGAGGGAAGGGGGCTAGGCTGGACATGTTCTGCAGCTTGTGAGGTCCTTCTCCTCATGTAAGCATGGTGCCATTTGCTCATTCTGGCTTAGTAGAGCTGCTCTTGGGCACTACCATCCCGGGTTGTGAAGGGTGCACTTAGGCCCCTGCATGAGCAGATACCCTGGGTTACACATTTGGTGTTAAAATAAGCTGAGAAGAGGAATAGGAACTCTACTGTTTTAGGACTTGATTGTTACACCTCCAGTTCAGAATTTGGGGTCCCTATTCAAAGTCACTCCACCTATCCAAGCCTTCGATGTCTGACCTACAGAATGGGAATAATGAAAGGTTGATTGTGATGCTTTATGGTGAAGCCCTCATTATTAGCTACTTTCTTTTCTCATTTTTGAATTGGGATTCTTTGGAAGACCAAAGAAAACTTGCCTTAATGAGGTTATTTTAGGAGAAATATTGGACTTTAAGGCTTTTGTTTCTTTAATGCTTTGTTTCTCTAATACTCTTCAAATCTTGCATAGGGAAAGATTAGGTCTGTCCCCTGCACCCACCCACAGAGTCCTTGGACAGCTGTGTTTAAAAGTGAGGGCTTGGTTTAGGTTTGCTGGGAGACCTCTTAAAGCTTTTGGGAAAGGAAAGAGAATGGGAAACTACAAAGGGCTTAAGATTTTTCTTTTCAGTGGTAAATAGAGCCCTTTCAGGGTTTTCTAATTCTTAATAGATTTCTTGCCCAACTGTGGTCTCTTATTTGGTGTGTTAGGTCTGTAAAGAAGCTTAGTCTAGCAGGAAGCACCTTGGGTGTGGTAAGGCAATTAGGGGCTCTCAATAGAAGATGCACTGGTGACCTGCATGTCTTTCAAACTAGGGTGTTGGCTGCTGGGAGTAGCAAGAGTTACTATTGAGCATCAGTGACAAAGAATTAATCTTATTAAGTTGGAAATGGGGCTGGATATTGTAATTAGATGTGAGAGACCCAGTGATCAGACTTGAGGATTGTAGGCCCTCAAAACTCTGCTTTTCCCCACTCACGTGGTGGGGTGGAGTAAGAGTACAAAATCTTGTTTTTTATGGAGGGACATCTAGGTTCTAGTCCAGGTTTCACCCTGAGTGCCTTAGGAAAATACTCACTTTTCAGGTCCTGGGTTTCTTATCTCTTAAAATGCGGGATGGGAAACAAGGTAACAGATAGGATTGCTTTTCTCCTCTAAAGATCTGACTAGGTGATGTTAGAACCAGGGGAAGGTTTGGTGCTACTCCTGACTTCGCTTGTTAAGAAGTCATAGGCGAGAGGTACTCCTTTGTATTTTGGGTTTTTTGGTAGGTAGTTTGGAGATAGAGATGGAAAAAAATTTTAAAAAGCTTCTGTGAGATTGCATTAGATTTTCTTAGGCTTTCTAGTCATATTATGTCTGTCTTAATTGTGTAATAATTAGCACTTTAGGAAGGCCATTATGATAAGGGTTTTAATAGTTCTTCCATCCTTCACTTTACATGACCACCACCTGGGAGAAAATTTTGTACACATATCAAGGAAGAAAATGATCAAGTTTTGGATTTAAGAACCTAATTGTTAAGTCTTGATTAAATGATGCCTATTAGGTTGTAATTATATCTATCTATAAAAAACAGATGGTGGCAGATTTGATTGCTGCATTTCCTGAAGCAGTTTTTTAAGATAATGAATTTAATTACACGTGTGCCTGGGAACCATTTTAAACCATCGAGAAGGGAAAAATGGACAAGGCCTATTGGAAATGGAAAGTGTTCACCTAGGTGTATAGCTTTTAGCTTGTGGTTTTGAAGGATAGGAACAGAAAAATCTGACTCCTCCCTCGTCTCCCTTCCCACACACACCCCCTACAAAGGCAGAATCCATATTCTGATACTTTATATGAAATGTTACAGTAACATTTATCAGATGTCAAAGGGTATGGCATAGAAGTGGTTGTGTCAGCATAATTTGAAGGCTGCTTCTCTGTGCCAGGCACTGTTCTCAGCAGTCTACATGGATTCACTCACTTGAGTTCTTACAAAACTCTGAGATGTAGGTGGTATAATTATCTCCCCACCCCCGCCATTTTATAGGTAAGGAAATGGCACGTAGAGTGATTTAAGTTACAGGCCCAAAGATGCAGTAAATGACAGAGCTGGAATTAGAACTCACGCAGTCTGGCTTCAGAGTGCACAGTAACATCTATACTGGAATTCTCTCTGCCCAGGTGTTAGAACTAAATTATTTAATCAAATAAAGGGTCCTGTTTTGCTGTTGCGACCTTTTTGCACTAATATTATGAACTGTCTCCTCAGATAAATAACCTTGCAGAATTTAGGCACATTTGAGTTAGAATCTTGTAAGAGACAGTTAAAGGACAGCTTTGGCTCTGTCATCCTGCCTGAAGGTTTCAGTGGCTCCCTATTGCTTACAGAACAGATTTCAAACACTTTCAGGCATTCAGAGTTCTCCCTTCTTTGCCGGATGCAATGTTTACTTCATGAACTAGCCAAATAACTTTTTCTCTTGATCATGACCCATGAATTCTTATCCCATACTTTTTTTTTCTTTTCTTTTCTTTTTTTTTCTTTTGAGACAGAGTTTCACTCTTGTTGCGCAAGCTGGAGTGCAATGGCGTGATTTCAGCTTACCGCAACCTCCGCTTCCCAGGTTCAAGAGATTCTCCTGCCTCAGCCACCCGAGTAGCTCGGATTACAGGCATGCGCCACCACGCCCACCTAATTTTGTATTTTTAGCAGAGGCGGGGTTTTCTCCATGTTGGTCAGATTGGTCTCAAACTCCAGACCTCAGATGATCCACCTGCCTCAGCCTCCCAAAGTACTGGGATTACAGGCGTAAGCCACCACGCCCGCATCCCATACTTTTTATTCACTCAAGTATATCATTATGGCAAACCTAAATCGTACACCTGGTGTCCTTTAAAAAATCTCCTCTCAGTCCCTACCTTTAATTATTTCTGTCATTATCTACCACCCATGCCCCTCCTGCTACCAAGCACCCTTTCTGTTTTAAATTCCCAATAGCTGGCCTTTGGGATTTTATTGAAGTGTATCATACATGAGATTTACCAGATAACATGAAGATGACTTACACATTTCTTCATTTAGTTTGTGTTTATATTTACACTGTTCCTGTGATGTGCTAGGGACTTAGCATGCATTACAATTTAAGATCAGTTTAATGATATTTAGAAAGCCGTGCTGTTTTTGTAGTGCCTTTACTGGTTGTATTTTTTTGAAAACGCCTGTGTTTTTCTTTTAAACAGAGGATAGAGGTTCACTTTTGGGCTTAAGTAGAATTAGTAGGATTCATTCTGGATTTTGGTTCATTTTTGTCTCGAATCTTAAACTCTTCAAATCCTGTTGTTAGCTGCTCAGGACTCAGCTGGGCAGATGGTAGCTATTGTACAAATTAGGACATTGAAGCATAAAGGTCAGGTTAATTCAACCTGTGTCCATTTAGCTAAATTGGCTACCATGTCATGCTTGTGAGTTGGACTCTGCATCAACCAGCTTTGCAGTCCATTGTCCCTGTCCTCATTCTTTATAGTTAGCTATCTCTCAAATGCATCCTTACTATTTGGAATGAGGAAAATGGGGTTAAAATGAAGAGATAAGCAAGTCAGAATCTATTTTCTCTAGTATATTCCATGACTGATATTGAATCAGTAGAATAACCTATACAAAGGACGAAGGGCAAGGGCAATTGTTCTCAGGATATCTTTTACATATTTGGGATATTACTCTGTTTTGAAAAAAAATTATAGAGCTATAATTAAATATCTTCTTGTGCAGGGAACTAACTCTACGTATAGATTTGGCAATAATAGTGTCAAGGCTCTCCGTAAGGATGGTGTAAACTCTAGATATCTTACTTATAGACAGCCATTGCCCTAGTGAGGCAAGTCATGCATCTTTGGATCATAATGACTAAGCAGCAGAATTTTAATCTGGCAATTTTGTGGGTTTACCGTTAGAGTGTGAAGCTGTTTTTGCCTTTTGGCAGTATTTTGCTTTCCTCGAGATGATCTCAGCTTTCATTAAGATTTCATCTGACTGAAAAGATTGATTTTTGAGTAGGTGAGAGTCCTTTTATGTGATGTCTCAAAGGACAGAGTATGGGTCAAATCGCTCTTCAAATGGACAGTAATTGTGAGGAAGAGGCTTTTTAAATGGAGATTGCAAGTTACCCAAAGGTTATTAGAAGTAAGAGCTTTTATATGTAATAAGCTTCCACATTTGTAAATAACAAGAACTGTAATAACCCAGTGAAAGCCCCATAACCAGGGCTTGAACCAGAGTTGTATGTTAACAATGATCACCCTTCTAACTCTAGTGTTTTATAGTAGGACCTAGAAAGTTCATCATTTGTCTTTTGGTTTAATTCTTCTTTGGATTGCAGAAGTATATTACTGTTCAAATTTTTGTTTCTCATAAAAATTAAGAAACAATTGAAGGTCCAAGGACCAAAATGGGTACACTTCGTTTTCATAATATTCCAAAATCTGGTGGGAAACAATATTGATCAAGAAAGTAATTTAAACATCCACTTATGCATTTTTCCCCCGGTTTGTAAGAAGGTGGTGGTGCTGCAGAGCGGGCTGTGAAGAGGAGTCAATATTAAAAATGATTGTTTAGCTCTTAGAAATTATTTCCTGGAAATGCTAAATAGCAATAAAATCAACTTTCAGGGAGGAGACACATTGCCATTAAATGTCTTGTTTTTGTCTCAGCTTTGTGATGAACAAAGGAATATTCGTTCTTAAATATGTGGAATCTTGAGATTTTAAATTCCATTTTAATAGTGGCAACTTAAAATTTCTTCTCTGTAAGAGGTTCTGTATTTTATGACAGTCCTATTTTTTGAGACATTTTATATATCAATGACTATGGACGTAGTATTTTCCAGTACTTACAATGTTGTTTTCCCCATTTATTTTTTATTTTTATTTTTTTGAGATGGAGTCTTGCTCTGTCTCGCTCAGGCTGGACAGCAGTGGCGTGATCTCGGCTCACTGCAGCCTCCGCCTCCCAGGTTCAAGCGATTCTCCTGTCACAGCCTCGCGAGTAGCTGGGACTACAGCCATGTACCACCACACGAAGCTAATTTTGTATTTTTAGTAGAGATGGGATTTTACCATGTTGGCCACGCTGTTCTCGAACTCCTGACCTCAGGTGACCCACCCACCTCAGCCTCCCAAAGTGCTGGGATTACAGGCATGAGCCACCACGCCCAACATTTTCTCCATTTCTTAAATAGACACTGGCAGGATCTTAGGTTCTTAGGGAATCTTATATAAAATATAAACAAACTACCCACTTAATTATAATGAGCCTGTGGTCTATAAAGATAAGGACTTAATTTTTCAAAGTTGTTGACTTTGAAAATATTGCTTAGAAATGTGTTTTTTAATGTCTGAAGAGCAGTAATATTATTTTACTCCTTTAGTTTGTTTTGATAGCAGTTGATCAAAAGCTATTATAAGGCATGTATACAGATGTTTTGTAGGTGTGCATAAGATAAAATAAGGTGGGAAATTTGGTTAAAGAAGTGTTCATCTTCTTTAGCTTTAGTTAAATTTTATTTTTCTAGGAGCTGTATATACCTAATTTGTATGGTCCTGGCTCTCTACTTATTATTAAAACAAGAGAAGATGGAAGGATTAATGCATACTCTGCCATATTTTATCTGTATTCCATTGGTCAGGAAATCTTCCCAGATTGTAGGGAGCATTGCCAAGTGGTTGGTGTACTGGATCTGAAAAGATTAGACTGGTTTCCCCACACAAATTTTTTCATGATTTTCCTAAACATTAAGGATTGATTTGTACAAGCTTTGTGTAATTTTAATAATTAGTCTGGTTTGACTAATGTAGTTATTTGATGTAAAAATGGTTGATACTTTGGAATTCTCAAATTCTAGGAATGTTTAAAACTGAATGTATCTTATTCAGCCTTGAATTTGAAAAATGGGGGCTGTCTATCCAGTATGGATTAGGGTATATATTTTCACTCCCTAAGAAAAATTGTTGTCCTCAGAAGCTTTTAGGAACTCTGGCAGGACAGCTTGCCTTTTCTCCTGCAAGAGGCCTGCTGTACGTGTGTTTAACAGTCAATCTGTTGTAGAAAGTGGGTGGTTCTTTTCCCCTCTTTAGGGGAAGCTGATGGCCCAGCCCTTTTGGGCACTCAGTGTTCTAGGAAAGTGTCACTGAAGTCCCTGAATGTTACACTATCAGTTTGCTTTTGATTCCAGGCCCTGATTGTAGATGTCATTGGTGTCATTTCTTTGCCCTACCAACCCTGAAGTTAGAAGGGGAAAGATAAGCTCATGAAGCAGCTTGAATGCTGTTGGTATGCTAGTCAGTGACATTGGAGTATCTCTGGGTGCTGCTGACTGCAGTGCCCTTTGATTTAGATCACAATGATGAAAGAACTAAAGCTCTTCTAGAATTTTATGTCTCCATTCTGGTTGGGTTTCTATATAAAGATGACCACATACAGGTGGAGTCATTGATGGGGCCTTACAAATGGCTGTATGATATAGTGCATGCTAAGTTACCAGGAAAGAGCTCTTGGAGGACTGTTTTTAAAGGGGTAAGCAAAATTTATTAGAGAAGATCAGCAAAGCTTATAATGAAGAGCATGCGTGTAAATTGGAACCAGTAGGGAGAAGATCATGAGTGGAGAAAATAGTTATAAAAGTTTGGAGGTGGAAAGTCCACTGAGTGGGACAGAGGCTATTTTGGGGGCATGTAAAAATCAAGAGCCAGGTATTCAGGTTGTTGGAAATCTTAGTATATTACTGTGTTTTGTCACTCACATGATGAAAATCAATAAGGATCCAGTATAGGTTACGAAGCTCAGGCTCTCATAAAGAGAGTGTTGAAGAGGCTTGTTATGATGTTCTTTGGAGGAATGATAGGGGAGGGGATCGTTGAAAATTGGGAAAATCTGAGAGACTCTATTAGTTTTGTTGCTGGGATTTAGGTGATAGCTTTAGAAAAAAAGTTGAGGGTTTGAGAGAAGAACTGATTGAGCTCAGATCAAATCTATATGTGTGTCTCATGGTCTCTAGACCTTACTTAGGATGATAATACTTAGGGGGAGATGAGAGCCTCTGAAAACTCTGAATTTCATTTGTGTCAGATCTTCCCATTTTCTATTTATGTGGAGCTGAAATTGGTACCATCTTTCAGATATTGTGTAAGTACCTGGCATGATTTGGTGGAGGTAAAAGCCTATTTGAATAAAATCAGTATGTGGCAGAGCAGCAGTTGAGGGTAGAAGGTTTTGCCATAACAAGCCCCTTGTGATTGTGTAATGTTCTTCAGAACTTCTTTCTTCCAGCTGCCATTTAGAAAGGAAATAAGCAGAGAGGACATTCCAAATTGTCACAACAATAGGAATAAAAGCAAGGAAACAGGCCAGGCAGTGGTGCCTCACTCCTGTAATCCCAGCACTTTGGGAGGCCTTGCGGGGAGGGATTGCTTGAGGCCAGGAGTTCAAGACCAGTCTCAACAACATAGTGAGGACCCTGTGTCTACAAAAAGTAAAAAATAAAAAATAACTGGGTGTGGTGATGCATGCCTGTAGTCCCAGATACTTGGAAGGCCGACGGGGGAGGATAGCATGATTCTAGGAGTTGGAGGCCACCGTGAGCTGTGACCACACCGCTGTACTCCATCCTGGGCGACAGAGTAAGAACTTGTGTCTAAAAAATAAAAGAAAAATATGAAAAAAGGAAGTAAATAAAATAATGCAACAGATTCAGAGGATGGTTATGGGTCATTTTGACCTTATGCAGGGTTTTGGCTTGAGAAGTTGGGAGAAAACATTAGGGATGGATTAGAAAGTTAAAAAGGCCCTTAAATGAAGGTCTGTATGTATACAATTGATGGTATTTGAGCAAGTGATAGCATGAGATGTTTTTGGGAAGTTGAAGCTAGCCATTATATAAAGATGAGCATGTTGGAGGAGGAGACAGATTTGAAGCAGTGTATATGATGATAAAGGCTTGCCCTGGTCTCATGGGAATTGGAGGATGAGGGGTAGATATTGGTAGACACTCATTTTAGTGAAGGTAAATTAGCAGTTATGGATAGATGACAGTGTTGATTCAAAAGCGAGGGGGCATGGTTCAGTGGCTACAAGAAGGTGCTCTGACTTATGATGGGGCTTATGTCCTGATAAACCCATCTTTAAGTTAAGTTGAAGATGTCATAAGTAGAAAATACATTTAACATACTTAACCTGCTTAACATCATAGCTTTCGCCTAGCCTGCCTTAAATCTGCTTAGAACACTTGCATTAGCCTATAATTGGGCAAAACCATCTAACACAAAGCCTGTTTTATAATAAAAGTGTTGAATGTTTCATGTAATTTACTGAATACTGACAGTGAAAAATAGAATGATGGTGTAGTTACTTGAAGTGCTGTTTCTACTGAATGTGTATCGATCTTGCACCATTACAAAGTTTAGAAACTGTTAAGTCAAACCATGTAAGTTGGGGACTATTTGCATACCTAAGGTTCAGATTCCAGGAAAAGATTGGGTGGCAGCAATGAGAGGAAAAGACAACTGAGAGATTAAGAATTGGTGTGGGGGTTGTATTAGTTTGCTTAGGCTGCCATAACAGAATACCATAGCCTGGGTAGCAAAAACAATAGAAATTTATTTTCTCATGGTTCTGGAGGCTGGAAGACCAAGATCAAGGTTTTGGTAGTGTTGGTTTCTGGCAAGACCACTGTTTCAGGCTTGCAGAAGGCCACCTTCTCACTGTGTCCTCACTTAGCTTTTACTCTGGGTATGTAAAGAAGGAGAAATCATTGGTGTCTCTTCCTTTTCTTATATGGACACCAATCCTATTGGATTAGGGCCCCATACTTGTGACCTCATTTATTCTTAATTATTTACACTTATGACCTCATTTAGCCTTATTTCCTGAAATAATTAAGGAAATAGAGTGAAAAACAGAGTGGTTGTGTAGTTACTTGAAGTACCGTTTCTACTGAAACTACTGAACTACACAACCCTGTTTTCAAATATAGTCACGTTGGAGATTATGGTTTCAACATGTTAATTTTGGGAGATACACTTCAGTTCTCTAACAGGGGTAAGGGTATTTAATTTCTCGAGGCATGAACAGAAATGATTCTTTTCCCCTGAATTTCTGATCTACAGTTTTAGTTTTTCATTCCAGAAGGGAAATGCTTTCTCATCTTTACGATTGGTCAAGACTCCTTGCTCCCACCCCTGCGATTAGCATTTGCCGTTTTCAACCTGGAGATTTCTTTTCCATTTACCCTGTCTGTACAGTAGTTTGTGACCACCTCTGCCTTTTAAAGTTGAGTTTTGACAATTGATATACAATTGATTTCTTCTCTAACCTCTTCAGTTTTATAGTTTGACCTCTTGTTACAAACTGCTTTTAAAGGCACCATGCTTATGCTTTAAAAGCCACTTAAACAGAACATATATTTAGAAGACAGGATGTTTTTGCCACAGATGTCAAGAGGGTCTTGGCAGTGTTTTCACAGAATGTCTGCTGGTGTCTGTGCAGCTCTGAGACTCTAGGCACTCTGTACTTAGAGAACATGTAGAGGTTAAGTGTTCATCAGGAGACCTGCGATGTTTGTGTTGGAAATACTAAGAGATGTGAGGTTTAGGATGTTTTGTGTTGTGTTGCTCTGTGTGCTCGTCCAGAGCAGACATCCTCAAGTCAGAACTTAATGAGGTATGCGGAAAATCACCAGGGGAACCGTAATATATAAAACATAAAATTAAAGCTCTGGGATGAATGGCTAATGCCTAGTTACATTAGATAGTCAGTTTATAGTTATTTGCTCCAGCCTAATTTGGCTGTCTATTCAAGGTAATCAGCAGAGAGTCAAACCTTTAACTTTTTCTTGAGGGACTGCAGTGAGCCTTTTAGCTTTCTTTACGTTGAGCTTTATGGTGACAGATGAGATGAAGGATACTATTTCACTTCCTTCAAGTTTTTAGTGTGGCCTCATTATATTTGAAAGTGAATTCCCAGAGCAGCCGATATGCCTGTAACTAATCCTAAGTAGAAAATCTATTCCAAAGCAGAAAATATATTTTGGCTTTACCTGTGCAGTCACAGACTGGGAAAGCGGGTATTGGGGTGTCTAATAATGTGGATTTAAATGGTTTGGTTAGAATATCTACTCTCCTTTCATCCAACCAGGCATTTCCATATATTTTTGTATTCCCTCTCTTTTTTTCTACCACAGAAGTTTAATTTCAAGATTTTCTGTCTCATCTCTCTCTGGTATTCATTACACCTGTTACATCTGTTTTGTTTCCAGTACAAAACAGCACTCGGACCTGCCTCTTTTACATTGGTCCTCTAACCAAAGAATGATTTAGGAGAAAATTTGTCATTTGTTGAAAGGTTGTTTTTTTTTTTTCCCCTTTTTTACCATCAACCTGTCATTTTGTGTATCTTAATGGATTATTCAAGCATTTATAGCCCTTTGAAAACTTTGGTTTCAGGCATTAGAAATTAATGTAATTTAGGAACATGGTTACCCCTTACCTTACCTCTGAGTGTCCTACCTGTATACATTCAGGAAAGGGTTTAAAAAGCATAGAACACTTAAAAACTTCAAATATGTTTTCTCATTTATAAGTGACATTTAGTAAAGTCTTGAAAGATATAAGAAGCTAACTGTTTTGCAACCATACTGTTTTCCTCTGGGCTGTCTTTAAGAATGTTTATTTACTTTTCTGGGGAAGGGAGATATGTGATAGCTTGTATAATACGATACATTATTTAGGAAGCAATTTCTTGCCATTCAGATTGTGGGTTTCGGATCATTTAGCTAAAAGATTACCCTGCTGAGTGCGTGGAAATCATCTTAAGACAAAATAAGGTTTGTGAAAATGAAAGTTGAATAGGAAGTTGTGCAGATGACCAAGCTTTATCATTCAGCAGGTGTCAGATTTTAAGTTGTGTGGATTCTTTTGAGAAATAATTAAAAGTTTTACCGAATTGTATTACTATTTTGAACTGTTTCCTCAATACTATGCCTCAAGAATTCAGTTGAGGACACATATGCATTTTAATACGTAATTTTGTATGTAGCATAAATTTAATAAATCACTTAATATATAAATTCACTATTTGTGAAATGACGGTCACTTCAGTAGGGTTAGGGGACATACATTCCACCTTACCATTTAGGAAAACTTGCATTTCTTGTGGCTGCGTCTAGTGTCTGGGCACTGGCCTAGACTGATATAGAGGGTCACTGACCCTCTGTATAGGGACTGAATAAGCAGTCCCTCTATATAGGGACTAATAGGAACTGAATAAGCAGGCCAAACTTCTATTCCCCATTTACTGAGTCTTTAACAAGGCCATCTAAAGTTGTAATGGTAAGAAGGAAAAAATTGGGGGACTATATTCTTACACTGCCCTCTATAAGAATACAGAAGCCGTTGGTCTCTTTTCTTTTGCTTGGATGGCAGTAGTTCCTCCTTACCCACAGTTTCGCTTTCCATGATTTCCGTTACCTGCAGTCAACTGTGGTTCACAAATATTAAATGGAAAATTCCAGGCATAAACAATTCACAAGTTTTACACTGCGTGTACTTCTGAATAGTGTGATGTACCCTCATGCTGACCAGTCAGGATGTGAATCCTCCCTTTGTCTAGTGTATCCATGCTGTTAGTCCCTTAGTATAGCCATCTCAGTTATAAGATTGACTTTCGAGGTATTGCACTGCTCGTGTTCAAGTAGCCCTTCTTTTACTTTCAGCGGCCCCAAAGCACAAGAGTAGTGATGCTGGCAGTTCTGACATGCCAAAGAGAGGATGTTAAAGTGCTCCATGTTCCCTTTAAGTAAAAAGGTGAAAGTTCTCGACTTAAAGAAAACTAAATACGCTGAGAGATCACATATACATAACTTTTATTACAGTGTACTGTTACAGCAGTTCTTAGTTATTGTTAATGTCTTACTGGGCCCAGTTTAGAAATTAAATTTTATCATAGGTATGTGTAGGAAAAAACATGGTAGGGGTCAGTTCTATCTGAAGTTTCAGGCATCTATTGGGGCTTTTGAGTGCCTGGTAAAAAGGGGACTGCCATATCTCATATATTTATTCCAATAACTGAATGAGATGATAGGATTATTTTCTCCATTTCCTAAATGAGGAAATCAAGACTTAGGATGGCAAATGCTAGAAGGGATCACCGTAGAGTTAACAGTTGTAACTACTAGGCTATATCCGATTGCTCAGCAAGCTCTGTTTATTGTCACTCACTTGTTATATTTTATATCCTGGTCCATTGGCTTTAGGTTAGTCAACTGTTATTTTTTCCTTATTTTCCTAAAATTCATACCCATTGGTTACATTAGCTGTAAAAGTCATTTTGTGCTCCCTTCTTACCTACAGTCTTAAAAGTAAAAATTTTCTAACCTGTAGTTCATTCTCTCAGCAAAATGATTCCAACCTGGTTTTTTGCGCCTTTTTAATCACTGCTTGGACTAAAGCCTGTGTTCAGACTTTCCCTGAAGTTAGTCTGGATCAGCTCTGCCTCAGCACCTCCACTGTTTTTGAACTTCTGTTTGCCCTCTAAAAGCTGGATGAATTCCCCAGTCTCTGATTATTTGACTCTTGTTTGTTTGGCACTACCTAGCTGATAGTCCACTTGTCTTACAAAAGTCTTTTACAGTGGTTCTCATCCTTGCTTGCAGATTAGAATCAAATCGGGTGCTGATAAAAATGCCAGTATCTGGGCCCTTAGGAGAGATTCTTATTTAATTGGTCTGGGGTGAAGCAAGATATTGGTTATTTTAGCTGCTTCATTGATGTGTGGTGCAAAGAGCATGGGCTCTGGAGTTTGTTAGACCCACATTGGCAGGTTTTGTGAGTTCTGGAAAAGTTAATCTTTTTTTTTTGTTTTTTTAAGCCTATTTCCTCATTTGAAAAATAGGGATGAGGCCAGGCGTGGTGGCTCATGCCTGTAATCCCAGCACTTTAGGAGGCTGAGGCGGTTGGATCACCTGAGGTTAGGAGTTCGAGACCAGCCTGGCCAACATGGTGGAAACCCATCTCTATTAAAAATAGAAAAATTAGCTGGGCATGGTGGCGGGTGCCTGTAATCCTAGCTACTCTGGAGGCTGAGGCAGTTTGCAGTGAGCTAAGATCATGCCATTGCACTCCAGCCTGGGAGACAAGAGCGAAACTCCGTCTCAAAAAAAAAAAAAATGGGGATGAAATGACCCATTTTATTAAGTTATTAGGATCACAGGGGGGTAATGCCCTTTAAAACGGCTTAGAGCATGGCCTAGCATATCCTAAATTAAATTAATAGCTGTCATCCTACCCTGTCCAACAATGTTGTCTTCCTTTTCCAAATGCTCATATTCTTTCTCACATTTGCCGTATATATATCTGTTGCCCTTTCCTCATGTTTGAATTCTTGTCTTTCCCATTAAAATTTATTTACAGGTCCAAGTTCCTCAGTGATGTTTTATTCCATTGTGTGCTTAAATAAAAGTGTACCTTTTATCTTTTGCAATATATTGGACATGAAAAACTTCCAAAGAGAAATAGAGAAACAGCATCAGAACTTCTTTGAATAGAAAAGTAAACTGGGTCATGTGGGTGTCACTTTAAAATTCCAGTGGCTTAGATTTTTAAAAGGCTTTCCTTTCTCTCTCTCTCTTTTTTTTTTTTTTTTTTTTTTGCCACTAAAATCTGTTACTGAGACTACTGCAGGTTTCCTGCTTATATACTTTTTGAACATTAATGTCTTCGTTTTCTGTCTTAACAGGCTCCTGGTCCTATCTGTACCTTGAAGTTTAATATTTTCCTCCAAGCTTCTTATAGCTTCAGGGTAACTTTCTGAGTGATACAGTCTATCTCCAGTAATAAAGGGCAGATCAACACCAGTTGAAAGGGATAACTGTCTTTCTATTTTTAATAGGTACATTTTTATTGAGCTGCATTTTTTTTTTAAAGTGTGAAAGAGACTCTCGCCCTCAAGTTTCATTGTTATTCTTCTGATATGTCAGTAATCACCTTTGGGTTGTTGTCATTTCAGTAGCTCAGGGTCAATATATATTGCTAAGTCATTCATGTCCTGTAAATTTCAGTATGAAATAAGCATTTACTGGTTCCTTGCCTGAATAGTCTGAGCCTATATAGTTTATCTCAATATAAATTAGATCTTTGTTGCTTACATCATTTTGATGAAATTAGGTATTATGGTTATAATTTTTTTAAAGTTCTCCTTGACTTTCCTGGTATGTTAAACAGCTTTTCTATGTTACTTTTTAAAAAATAGTGCACACGATGTGGGCTTTCACAGCAATTCTTCTGGAAGGTGACTTTTCTTCATTGTTAACAGAGATAAATACTCTGCATTTATCACAAATGTTTCAAATGTCCTTGGATAGACTTAGAAGTCTCTCAAGTTCAGCTAGCTTGAGACAGAGTACAAAATAGAATGTAGCATCAGTGAAGACCAGTCAGGCTGTTCTTGCAGTAGATCACTATGCCAGGTGACCTCATAGTGACCTTCAAGTACCGAAAAGTCTGGGATTCTTACTTATTTTACAATCTATTCTTTGGGAATGTAAATTCAGTGAAAAAGTTGAGATACTTTATTTTTGAGTGGGACCCAGTGTCTCTTCCTCTATCAAACCGATCAACTACTTTTCCCATTGTGTGTCCTCTCCAGTTTTGATCTGTTATTCTGCTCAGACTGGAGCTGGTCATATGCTTTGGAAATACCTGTTTACAGATTGATGCAGACCTGGAGCAGCTGCTCATTGACAGAATAGGTCTAGATTTCTATGTCGTGACTGATTCGTACTCATACTGGGAGTTTTGGGTTAACAGACGTGAGACAGTGAGGATTGAGCTATAGTGGCTTCAATTTGAAGGGGATTGTTTCCTCCCTTGTTATTTTTGTTTTCACACTATCCTTAAAGTAATGCAAAATTTGGGAGATATCTGATTAAAAATGTTTCATTTTGCCTATATTTGACTTGTAGGTGCAGCTGTGATAACTAAAAGATCCTAAGTCCTTTTTTGTCCTCCAGGACACTAAGTTAAATTCATCAAAATTCTCATTTTATAATATGCTTTGGTCTATGTGTGGGCTCTTACTTGGCTGCTGAAGAACATTGAATTGTGTGAACTTGTATGACTTTATCTTCATATCTTTCTTGTTCATCTTCCTTGATAAACACTTTGTTTTCATTTCTTGTGCTTTGATGAACAGTGCTGCTGTGAACTCTGGGAGTGGCTCCCTCTACTGCCTCAACCCTCATTGTGACAGTTGTTCCTTGATATATGTACTTCTCAGGGAAGTACAATAAGAAGTAAAACTGTACATTGTGGGAGGGGAATAATAGGTTTGTCAACTCTGTTTTGCCAAGGAAAGGCATTTAAGACCATCTGACACATTATCTATTATCACTGTCATTTCCTGGTTTGCTTAGATGCCCCAAAGTAGGATGCACGTAACTTCACAAGAGAAATTGAATATATTTCACTTTACAAAAAACTCATTACATTTCTTATTTTGCCTGGAACCAAATAAGATTTTTCCCACAATGTCTAGTGAAGTACTTGGCATTTAGGCCCAAGTCTACTTATTTTTCCCTACGGATATTAAGTGTTTCTTGTACATGATCAATTTACTGAATTCTGACATTCCACATAAATTCTGATTAAAAAGTTAATTGGCAGTGTGATGTAATGGGAGTTACAGGTTGTGCCCCACCTCTGCACCTACCTAGTTCAGAAACACTGAGCCAGCCTCTGGGTTTCATTTCCTTCATTTGATAAAAAGGAATGGTTGAGGATAGATGGGTTTCAAGATCTCTGTAGCTTAAGTTTTATCCATAATTGTAAAACTCTGCCTGCTGGGTTCCACATATTGGATGTAATTGCATCCCTAGGATGACATTCCTCAGGGTACAAATTATGTCTTATTCACCAGTCCCACTGCCCCCAACACTACCTAGTATGTGTGTGGCACCATCCTTTACCTTCCAAAGACCAAGTATTACATATATGTAGTCATGTTTATCTTTAGATCTCAGCTTAAATGTCACTTAATCTGCAGAAGGCTTTTCTTCTGATCACTGTCCCAGTTTTATTCCCACAGCATCCTTTTTTCCTTCATGGCATGAACTGCAATTCTAAACATTAGCTTTATTCTTTGGCTTGTTTAATATGTCTCTCCCACTAAGTTCCCTTAGTACCTGTCTTGTTTATGCTATAGTCTCTGTGCCCAGCATTTTTGTTTTTGTTTTTTGAGACGGAGTCTTGCTCTGTGGCCCCAGGCTGGAGTGTCGTGGCGCAATCTCGGCTCACAGCAAGCTCTGCCTCCCAGGTTCACGCCATTCTCCTGTCTCAGCCTCCTCAGTAGCTGGGATTACAGGCGCCCGCCACCATGCCCGGCTAATTTTTTTGTATTTTTTTTAGTAGAGACGGGGTTTCACCGTGTTAGCCAGGATGGTCTCGATCTCCTGACCTCGTGATCCACGCGCCTCAGCCTCCCAAAGTGCTGGGATTACAGGTGTGAGCCACCGCGCCCGGCCTGTGCCCAGCATTTTAAAAATGATTGCAACTATGTGTACTTTGCCCTTTATTTGAACCTATGACAACAGAGAGCCTAGTGCACATGGCTTTTCTCTGTTCTGAGCCTGATTTTTTTTTTTCATCTGTCATCCAGATACAATCTCTCCTTCTCACACTTACCAGATTGCGTCCTGTGTTGTGGTTCTGCATGTGTTCCCTTCTTTGCTTAGACAGTAAGTGGGAACTCCTTATCTGAGTCATCTTGGTTATCCAGCACAGTGCCCTGCACATAGGATTTGCATGTTAGAATGAATGCAGATGTCTGTCCTTCAAATGTGTTGATATTTGAGGCATATCTGTTTTCTTCTGTGTCCTTTTAGTGGTGACTAAAGCCTTATTTGAAAGCTCCATCTCCAAGAATTCCTGATGCCTTTATTCAATAATGAACCTCGTTGTTTTCAGGTTAGTGCATGGCCACTTTGTAGTTGTGCAGAATTGTACCAGTTTTTCATGCTCTCTGAAGTTACATGTTTTTCTTCAGTTTAACTTTCGGTTTTCCTTGGAGTTACTCCATTTAAGTGGCTTCAGACTGTGAGCTGAGTGAGATCTTGCTGTCTTCCAGTCTTGGCACCTTGAATATTTACTTTTGTTTACAAGCTAGTTTCTCTTTGGCTGTTTTTAATTTGGAGGACTAAAGTGTAACAAATGAGGTAAGGATAATTCTGCTTATTAATGTCTTATCTGGAAGTATGATGACTTCACGCCTCCGGAGAGTAGAGTTTGGCTACCTTTCACAGGTATTGGAGTAAATTCCAGGTATGCTTATTGCCCTTTTGAGATAAGAGTTTGTTGGATGCATAGAAAATGAAGTGGGCTCTCACTCTAGCCAAATAGTTACCAGTTAGTATCTTGGGATATCTGCAGACTCAGCTGAGCTCTCAAATGGGAGAGGGGATGAAGGCACAATGAGCAACTGAGATGGGAAGCTGGGATTGGAAAGAGAAGAGGCTATCAAAGAAATTTGTCTTCCTTCCTGGTTTCACTTCAGCTCACTTCTTGTGCCCCGGGGTCTCCATCCTTAGCTATGCTTCCACATCGGGCCCAAGTCTGTTTACCAAACCTTGGTGGTCAAGCAGGCTGGTAAATAGTTTATTAATAAATTCAGGTAGAATCGCCTCATTGGCAGAATATACCAAGAAGTATTTGAGCATATAAAGTGGTTTTCTTGGTATGGGATGGAACGTACGCTAATTGTCTTCAGGCTAAATCTTAGTTCATGGTTGCAGCTCTTTAAAATGGCTTAAGCTCTTGCATGGTTTTTTGTTTTGGTTTGGTTTCTTTTCGTTTGTTTGTTTGTTTTTTGGAGACAGTCTTGCTCTGTCACCCAGTCTGGAGTGTGGTGGCAGGATCTTGGCTCATTGCAACCTCTGCCTCCCAGATTCAAGTGATTCTCCTGCCTCAGCCTCCTGAGTAGCTGGGATTACAGGTGTGCACTACCACACGCCTGTAATTTTTTTTTTTGTATTTTTAATTTTTTGTATTTTTAATTTTTGTATTTTTAGTAGAGCTGGGGTTTCACCATGTTGGCCAGGCTGGTCTTGCATGTTTTTGAGAATGCTAAGACTCTGCGTTAAGCACTATGCTAGCCTCTGAGCAAATGCTTACGATGTACTTTGATTTTGAATTTTTCAGGAATAGCTATAGCGTGTGATTCTTAAATTGCCAACTAAAACATCACCGTCTGCTGTTCAGTAATAAAAGTGTTTTGACTTGGTTATCTGCTTGGACATTTTTATGTTAAAGAAACTTCTTGGTCGGGCATGGTGGCTCACGCCTGTAATTCTAGCACTTTGAGAGGCTGAGGTGGGAGGATCCTTTGAACCTAGGAGTTTGAGACCAGCCTGAGCAACATGGCAAAACCTCGTCTCCACAAAAGATTTTAAAAAATTAGCCAGGCGCGGTGGCTCACGCCTGTAATCCCAGCACTTTGGGAGGCCGAGGCGGGCGGCTCACGAGGTCAGGAGATCGAGACCATCCTGACTAACACGCTGAAACCCCGTCTCTACTAAAAATACAAAAAATTAGCCGGGCGTGGTGGCGGTTGCCGGCTACTCAGGAGGCTGAGGCAGGAGAATGGTGTGAACCCGGGAGGCAGAGTTTGCGGTGAGCAGAGAATCCCGCCACTGCACTCCAGCCTGGGTTGCAGAGCAAGACTCCATCTCAAAAAACAAACAAAAAAAGATTTAAAAAATTAGCGGGGTGTGGTGGTGTGTACCTGTGGTCCCAGCTACTCAAGAGGCTGAGGTAGGAGGATCCCTTGAGCCCAGGAGGCTGCAGTGAGCTGTGATCACACCACTGTACTCCAGCCTGGTTGGTGACAGAATTAGAACCTATCTTCAAAAAAAAAAAAAAAAGGAAAGAAAAAAAAGAAACTTTTCTTAAATATGCTATTCTGCTGTATGTTTTGGTGGCTTAAATATTTGGTACTTGGAACGTAGTATATTGTAGAATTCCTGATCTGTTTGGTGAAAACATGACCTTTTGAGGGAAAGAAGAAAGCAAAGCCTGGAGTGTGTGTGTTTATGTGTATCTTTGACCATTAATTTGAATTTCTCAGGTTGCAGTGATAATGGCAGTTTGACCTTACCATAAATTAAAGATGTGTTTTTAGGAGAGCATGAAAGCAGAAAACAATTCTCAAGAAGGTTAGTGCCTTGAGAACAATACCCTACTTTGTATAGTGCCTGAAATTTTTTATAAGCCATTCTTTTATCTGTAATTTGTTATAACTTATTTCTTTTAATAACCCTGTTCGCTAGCAGAGTGAGAAAAATCTGTTCTTAATAGATGAGGGAAGTTATGAACATAACAAACTTGTTGAGGGTCACAGAATCATTAAGAAATAGATTTAGGACCAGCAGTGATTGTCTTTGGACTTTATGTAGGCTTTTACCTTCGTTCTAGTCTTTTTTTCCATATCCCTGTTAGTTTGTTAGCCTGGGACTTGGGAATGAGATAATTGCTTCTCTGAGGCCACTCCTAACCCTGACTGTTTTATGTGAAAGCTTAAATTTGCTCCAAATTTCCTGAATGCTACATAGTGTTGTGACTTGCCCTTTTTTGGCCTTAATTTACCTGGCCATGTCTTAACTCTCCTGAAGAGCTGAACTAAAATCTTCATTTTGGTATAAATGGATGCCTTAGGTTCTGATGTTTTAGTTATGGAAAATAGTGCTTATGTTTTGGGTGCTGCTGTGTGTTACACATGATCATTTGATTTGAGTTTAGACCAAATACTCTTATTTCTTTAACCTTGACCATTAATGAAGAATATAAGAAGAATGTTGGTATAAGCCAACATAGTTATGGATGTGAGCTAAGAGGTGTGTTTAAGTTTTACGAAGGTCACAGGAAATTGACCACAAATTTTCTAAGAAAATAATTATAAAAAGACTCATAGGATTCAATATTATAAACTTTCAACAAATTGAAAATATGCTTAAAAAGCCATTTTCCAAGTTTATTAAGTTGGAAATTTATCTTAAGAGTTAATAACAATTGAATGTCCAGGGGGAACCCTAAACACTTTTTAGTGTTTATATTTGAATAAATGTGAGAGCTTCACATTCTGTTTAGAAAATTCTCTGTTGTTAGACTGCTTTCTTATTTTTGAATCTCATGCATGAGATTAGGAAACAAGTGTAAAATGATTATTATAATTTACTATTAATACCAACTGTTGATCTGTTCTCAGTTCAAAATGTTTTATAATACAGTCCTGGAAAAGAGAATCAACCTAAGTTATGTGTGAGGTTTTGTAGAATAGATGATATTCTCTGCAGATTTAGGAACCCATACTTTACTTTGCAATAGAGATTGGACTTGGAAGTTCATGAAGTTTTTTTTTTTTTTTTTTTTTTTTTTTTTTTTTTTTTTTTTTTTTTTTTTTTTTTAAGGAACACTATCACCGATTCTGGGGAAAAAAAAGAAAAAGCCAATAGCATTAACATAATACTCTGCAACCTTAAAGGTTTGCAGTTGATAAGGAATAATTTAATGTGCCCTATAAAACCCACAGTTTTGGAATTGCTCCAGCTTTTTATTTTTAGCTGTGGCTTTTAGTTAATGAGAAGAGGTGAAAAGTATAGTTTCTCCTGGTCTCTGCTTGAAATCACAGAAACTTTCCGCGCTGTGAAAGTTCAGGGGATTTTGGGAGACCATCCTTATGAATTGGATGGTGGTGTCTCCTCCTCTTTGTTCAGGCCTCTTTTTCTAGAGAATAGCAAAGAATGGTGAGTTGATTACCTTCAGATTTTAACCAAACTGTAATTGCTCTGATATTGTCAAATGCACCTAGGGACAGTGTTGCAGTATTTTGAAACCTTACACAGGAAACAAAATAGCAGCTTTGGAGGCAGGGAAGAATGCATTAGTTTCTGAGTCTAAGGAAGCCAGAAGGAAGCCCGCCCACCCACTCTCTAGCTTTCATATTCCCTCAGCCACCTCCCAGATCTTCCATTGCTGTGCTATAAATAGCCAGTGTTTAGGCAGGGCGTTGCTTTCTTCCCTTGCCTTTGAAGACTTTCTGCAGGCCCTGGAATTGCCTTTGTTCCTCTGTCTGCCCACTTTGCCAGTGTGAAGCAGGTTTTCATGGGATTCTACTGGGGTAAACCAAAAGCAGCAGAAAAAGTGTGAAGTAAGACCTCTTATTTACCCTTCAGTTCCTTCCCCACTTACCTCCTGTTTTACCTCCAAAATACAATTTGTGGTTTGTCATGAGACAGTTTTTAGAGCGTTAACCTGGAAATTTAATGTTAATTCAAGGGCTTCTGGTGTAGTGCCAGGTGATTTTTATCTTTTTTGTGTGCTGCCCTACTCACTGCCTCATCCTGGGGATAAAGCACTTCATTGGCCCCTCCTCTTCTTTCTCATAGCAAAATATTTGATTAGGTTTGAATTAACTGTCTCAAACTCAGCCCCCAGAAGGGACAGGATATACCTAATTCTTTGTGGACAGGATGACTTTCTAATCCAAATCCATAGTAGTATAAACAGGCCAAAATGAGTTATTTAGAGTGCTTTGAATGTCTGTGGCAGTCATATTAGGATGTTTAGTGACACAGACTTGATGCTTTTTTGCCTCATTTTTTGTTATGCATATTCATTAGAATATTTTCACAGATGATTAGGTCTACAATTAAAGATCCTCAGTTTAGATGACCTTGGAAAACCCCCTCCCTCCCCCAGTACTCTGACATTCTGAACCTCTCCATCATGGTAGAAAAGCATATACTCTTTAGCACATTTGACATTTAGGCTATGATACTCTTTTACTTAAAATCCAGCCCTTGCAGGGGCCGGAACATTAAGGCTGTATTGGGAGAGCTGGAAAGAAGGCACCCCATTTATAGGGCAACCTGCTGGCTAGTAGCTCTGGGAATATGGACTCTTGCCAAACTTTATTTATTAAGCGAAATCAGAAATATAGTTTTATGAATGTGAAATTGTTACATTGGTGAAATTTTAAATGTTGAACACTACTGTTTTTGTTTGTGTTTTGTTTTGTTTTTAAGGACGTTGGAGAAACCACGTAACATGTTTTCAGGCTAAATCTACCCGCTAGCTGCCAGTCCGAACTTTGGCCTGGAGGTTGAGGAGAGTTACAGAATCTGCTTGTTTTTGTCTATCCCTTGCCACTTTTCCTTTGTCCTTCTTTTCAACCTCGCACGTGATTTATTTAAGCAGAGTCCATTGTTGGCTTTTTATTTTTTGTTTTTGCAAGCTGGCCCTCGGATTCTGCCATTTATTTGAATGCTTAATACTTTAAGTAGACTTTTGACTCCCATCCCCTCAATGTTTTCTTCCTGCTGGTCATAGCCACTCTGGGGGGTTTTGTTCACCATGCCCTTAGGTATATGATGTACTTTGTATCAGGAAGAATGTTCAGAGTAGGCCACCTGGCTGCTGCTGTTTATGTTGGCCATGTTTATTAGAATAGGTCTTAGTTAATGTGTAGTCAACCTTGGTGGATAAAAAAGATTCACTTGTTTCCATTTTGGTTATTTGTAATGTAGGAGGCCAGCTGTCTTTATTCTTGGCAAGTAAAAGTATGGGTCATTTTCCAGTTAGAGCAAGAAGTTACTTAAGAGAACTAACTGCTGTCTTGGTAGCCAGCGATGCAGAGCAGTTGTTCTTCCTTAATTGATGGCAGGCAAATTTGGTCTAATTACTGTTCCAGTGCAGTGGAAGTTTTCTTCAGTTTTAATTTACCGTTCTTGCTTCTACCTCATGATACCCCCCGTTTCCCACTTTTGCTCTTTAGAAATGGAGAATAAAGAATAGTGTCCTGATGACTCAACTCAATTCCAAGGCCTGCAGTCTCCAGATCTTTGTTGTGAATCCTGGGTTTTAGCCTGACAAAGGATGGATGTAAAAAGCATGCTTGGGTGGGGCAGAAGGGTATAGAAAGGGCACGTTTCTAAACCATCTATTTCCCTTATAGTGATTCTCAACTAGAGACTGGCACTCAGAATCGTCAAGGAACTCTTTAAAATAGTCTAAGATAGAGCGATAGAGTGGCATTTGAGTAGATCTACACTCTTCACAGAAGAATTGAAAAATTTGGGTTCAGGGTCATGGTTCCCTTTAGAAGAGTGGTTTAAGGATCTTTTTGTTCATACCCATCTCAGATTAAAGTAGTGGATGATAGCGAGAATTTCTTTTTAGCTCGATCTGAAAGAGATTGCAGTCCTAACTGCTGTAGACTATATTGCCTGGTACTTAGTAGGTACTTCCTGAAAGTTTTATCAACAGTTAAAGACTATTTACTGCTAAGCAATTTACATGTTAAATCTACTCTACTGAGAGTTCTTTTAAAGAAACTTGTACTTTACATAGGATGAAGTTGTAACAGGAAATGGGTACCTGGAAAACTCTCTGAGCAATTCTAAATCAGGAAAACTTCAGCCTGCTCTTCTTTATAATTTAAAATTTTCTTAGTGAGGCAGAAGTCCACTTTAATGTTCAGTATCAATGCTGTGCACAGTCTCCTGTTGTTTAGCACTTTAAACACTGGGAAGCAAAATGCCTCATTTCTTCTCAAATACGTGTCCACACTCAAATATTGAAGTTAGAAGTGGTAGTTTCCATAGCAGCAGTGATTTTGCCATCTTTTTTTTTTTTTTTTTTTTTTTGATAGCAAACTATTTAGCATAGGTCAGGTAGAGAAGGGATTATTTCTGGCTGCGGGTTCTTAAAGGTTTCCTTGTGTGCGTTTGACTTCTTTGGACACCTTCTTAGGACACAGGTGTGTTTTGGAGAAGTTCCGTGAGGGGTGGAATGAGTGGGGTTTTGTACATCTTTGTTTTCCCAGCATCTGAGCACAGCGCTTGGTACATGCAGTAGATCAGGAATGTTGCTTTTCTAGCCTTGGGGAGTTTCTTTACTCCTCTTTTTGGTATTCTACACACCAGACCTTGGCTGTGTTGGGGAGAGAGTATAAACTTCAGGTTTCCTCTTGATTTTACACATTGGTGATGAGATTGGCTTATTTTGAACTGTGAGATGGTGACAATGGAACACACCTGTCCCTGGTTCCTCCCTGAGGTTTATATTGTTTTAACAAAGGCTTGTAGCTAGGAATTAAAAAATGCTGATTCCACTTGAAGTTTGAGCTTACAATATGGAATTAGTAGCTATATGCGGAAAGAGATGTGTGTGTTAGTGGTAGGACTTGACAGCCTACTTTCCCCTTTTTCCCCTTGACAGTCTACCTTCCTCTTTATAAACAACCTGAGATGACTTTGGCTGCTCCTCCAGCTATACAGGGTTGCAATGGAAATTTTTCCCACTTGGCAGGGAACATAAAACCACATGGATAAGTAAGGGGGTTGTTTTTTACTTGCCACCTTGAATCACAATTCATGGCATTCATTCTCTTTATGGATCTGTCTTGATATTTTTTACTGGGGAGATAAAGGTGAGTCAGGCATATAGGAGCACACAGAGTTATCTGGTCCAACTGAGTGGTTCACAGAAGGCTTCCTCGAGGTTTGTCTGCTCTCTTCCGGTGCTGAGGATGTTTCCATGAGGCAGGAGAAGAAAGGTAGGCTGTTGCAGGTGGAGAAAACAGGTTGGGTGACACTGGAAAACACTGGGAGTGGGAAGAACTACTGGGAGCTTGTTAGAGCTTGTGTATATGATGCGGGGGTGCTGGGCATGTGGATGAAGAGGTAGGAGCTCGGTCAAGTCAGCTGCCTCACTAGGGAGCTGAGATGTTACTTCATAGGCAACGTGGAGTGAGCAGAGCTTTAAAAGAGATAGTAGTGGAGTGCTGCCCATTATTTTAGTTAGATCCCCACAGCCGTGGAATGGAGGAAGGATTGGAGAAAGGGGCAAGCCTGGAAATAGAGAGATCAGCTAGGAAGCTCTAGATGGGGTCTCAGCACTGATTTCAAATCCCAGTTTCTCACTTAATACTTGTGTGAACTCTTGAAGTTTTGAAATTCTCATTTGTAAATTGAAGAGAATGTAATATAGCTTATAGTGCATAAGATTTGTTTTGGAGACATGGTCTTGCTCTGCCACCCAAGCTGGAGTGCAGTGGTGTCCTCCAGCCTTCCAAAGTGTTGGAATTACAAGCGTGAGTCACCTTGCCCGCTCCACAAGAGGATTAAATAAGATTTTGTTTGTAAATATCTAGCTTGAGACTGGCATGGAAAGAGGAATCAATAATTGCTAGTTTCTTTCCCTTGCCATTTATTTTTACTTTTAGTTGTAGGATTCGTTGGATTCTCCAGAAGGCAGGGAGATCATCTGAACTTCTTTACTGTAGCAAAAGATACTCAAATCCCACGGAAAGTTCCTTTTCTATTTTTCTTGTAATTAAATGTGATTTTAAAGCCACAGTTTAAATTCAGGTCATTTTTGAAGATCATGATAGGAGAAAGATGATAGGAGAGTGTATGATTTTGTATGAATGTAGATACATGGATCATTTGCCTGATCCATTAATTGTGGAAACTTGATCCCATGTGATCTCATAATGTACACATTATTAATCTAGATTCTAGGGTATAATCGTGGATTAGATTTCTACACTCTTGTTTTCTCTGTATTGTAAATCTGAATATAAGTACAAGATGCCTGGATCATCTTTGGAGTTCTTAGCCAGAATAAGGAGGTAGCAATTTCTAATCTTATTAAAATTCCAAGAGCCTGAGCATAAGCAGGCTCAAAGAGGATGGGAGATGTGTATTTTTATGGGGAGTTGGGGAGGGGGGTGGGGGTCACACACTTTTAAAAATAAGGTAAATTAAAATAGGCAAGGCTGTAATTCTAATGTGAAGTACTTGGGCTGTTAGTACTCTGTATATTTAAACATAGTCTTTGGAGGTCTGGGGTTAAAAATTGCAGCATTGCAAGTAAAAATTTTTAACTTCCTTAGTCACCGTTTGTGACTGTGCTAAATGTAGTTTAACATAGCATCTGCTTCAGCAGTCCAGGACAGGAATTAACAGTCATGATTAGGAAAAGTCTGCATACTGTACTTTCTGTCCACAGTCTTTCCTTTCCATGTTAAAAGGCTCCCAACACGACTCTGCAGCCTTGCTGTCCATTTAGATGTGGGGGGAAGAAAAACTGACAGGCTTAATCCAAAAGACAGATAAGCAAATTTTCTTTCTTTCTTTCTTTCTTTTTTTTTTTTTTTTTTTTTTTTTGAGATGGAGTCTCTCGCACTTTTGCCCAGGCTTGGGGTGCAGTGGTGCGATCTAGACTCACTGCAAGCTCTGCCTCCTGGGTTCATGCCATTGTCCTGCCTCAGCCTCCCGTGTAGCTGGGACTACAGGCGCCCGCCACCAAGTCCGGCTAATTTTTTGTATTTTTAATAGAGATGGGGTTTCACCGTGTTAGCCAGGGTGGTCTCGATATCCTGACCTCGTGATCTGCCCGCCTCGGCCTCCCAAAGTGCAGGGATTAGAAGTGTGAGCCACTGCGCCAGGCCCAGATAAGCAAATTTTCTATGCTAACATTTTAAGAGACATCTTGTTTTGTCCAGCAATAATGATAATACCCTCTGTTCACTTGGCACCTTAGAGTTTGTAAAGTGCTTTGACATTATCAGACAAAATATGTATATGTAATTAAAGCTTTTAAAGAGAACAGACCCCTTTACCTGCTCTTTTCCTTCCTAGAGTGGAAATAATTCAAAGGCTAATGCTTTTGTGATTTGAGTCTTAAGAATAATTTCCTGTTAAAATGTAGCCTGTAATTGCGTATGTGCTCCCTTCTCCTCTTCAGCCTGTGGGGGATAGATGTTTCTCATCAACACTTGGGAATATGTGTGTATAATGTATATACAGGTTATACATATACATATATGCTCATACACTTGCTTCATTTTTCATCTGTAACATGGGGGTACTTGCCCCACCTACTTTTTGAGATCCTTAAGCGTTCGTTTCAAATGTGCTTTACTTGAATGATACTAAGACAACTTGCAAAGCGGGAAGTCTGACAAAAGTAGGAGTAAGAGGAAGCTCTATGCTGGGTGAGATGGTGAGGTCATCAATCTAAGCATATTGACCCCTTTCTCTGTTAGGGGGTTGTTCGAAATTGGGTGTATGTGCCTGATGTGGATATAAGTGGATAAGGTCTGAGGCTAAGAAGGGCCTTACCTGTTCTATAGTGTCTAGCATTAACTTTTTTGAAAAACATTATTAACTCTTATATACATTCTTATGTAGCAGATTAACAAGACATTTCCTTGAGATACTTCTCGCCCTTAGCAACCCTTTCCTCACTTTGGAATCACTGAATAAAAATAACACTTGCATTGAATGTAAATTCTCCCCCTCCCCCACTTTTTTTTCTTGAAATGTAGTAAATAACCAGGAACTTAATTACCATAAAAAGTCACAGATGTACCTAGGTGTGTTTTGTTCTAGCTGGGATGTCGGTTTTTAAAGAAAGCTGTCTTTGGGGGAGCAAGAGGCAGAGGTGGACCAAAGGAAATAAAGTTACTATCTTAGGGTGTGAATCTTGTTTTTTTAAGATGCCTCAAATTTCCATAGTAAATAAAACATAGTTGTGTCTCTAAATCACAAGTATACATGTCTTGGGAATCTCAGGACGTTACACATCAACAGAAAAGAAAAACACATTTCATAGGTGAATACCAGTAATTGAGATGATCCACAGTTCAGAGCAGAAGGAAGCTGTCTGTATTGATCAAGGTTTTTAGACTCCTTGTTTTGCTCTCCACAATACATCAATGAATTCTAAGATATTTATGTGCCCTGGGATGGCATCCCTTTATTTGTAGCCTCCTAATGTTACTAAGGAAATAAATCTTGTTGGTTGACATTTTAGATGCCTTTTTTTTTTTTTTTTTTTTTTTGGTGTAAGCTGCTTGAGGTTAAACAGTGTAGCATTTGGTTTTCTATCTCTAAGTCCTGCTAAATAACAGTGAAAAATAAAATGTTAACCTCACTGGCCAGGAGGAGTGTTGTGGCCTTTATAACATTTGTGAGTTAAAAAACATTATTTTTGTCCATAAACCTTCCTTGTCTTTTATTTTCCCTTTAAGATTAGTCATTCTTTCTGCTTTGGAGTTTGTACATGACAGAGTATTTTAGTGTCTGTATCCAACAGAGGAGCTATGTTTTTAACCTACCTAATGAAAACACTCAACTACTGGGATTAATTTGAGGATTTCCAATCAGCCTTTCACAATTTGTACTACCCTGAGGGGGTTCCTGATAGCTGTGACTTTTGTAGAAGAATGTGAAGTTAATCCAATTTCTGTGTTGATTACTATGTTAACTGTCTTAATTTAGCAATTCAGATTAATCTGCCTATACCAAACAAAACCTCTGCCACAAAACTGAGGGAGTAGTTGATTTTATTCTTGTTGTACTCATATCCCTTTTTAGATTCTATTGCCAAATAATGGCATGGAAATTAATTGGGTCCACTTAGGTTGGAATGAAAGAATGGGGTTGGAATGATTCATCACCAGAAGGTAATGATTTAGTGTATTCCAGCCTATAACCAAGACAGAGTTATCTCATGGCTTAACCTTTACTATTGTAGAGGTATATAAATGACCCTGTTGAAAAATACAGATTTTAAAGTTTACTCCCATTTTACAAAATGTGACTTAATCTAATCTTCATCCACTTTGTTTTTAAACTTTTGGGGAGAGCTTTGAGCTATTTTACTTTGAATTCTGAAAGTTTTAAGGGGGCTCACATAGATTACAAATCAATTTTCTGATATACTATGTTTAGTAGTAGTTGCATGTTTTAAGCTACTGATTTGTGATTTTATATTTGCTCCTAAATGAATCAGTTGATTCTTTAAGAAGCTGGCAGTGGATTCATTTAGTAGCAAATATAAAGTGAATAGTGAATATCCAACCATAAAGTGAATAACTCTGGATTTAATATTTATAAAGTCAAAATTTTTGTATGTTGGGTTTCCTATATATATCTATATATAGATTTATATATATATCCTTATTTTCTTTTAAGGCACAACTGTCCATAAAATCTCTTCCTTTGCTTATTCATCTTGTGTTCTTAGTGTCCAGAGCATAGTAAATGTTTTGGTGGTTTGTAGGAATGTGAGCAGTTAGTATCTAAACCAGTTTTTTGACAATGGATTTCAACAGTGTACTGATGTAATTAAAATGTAGCACCTTAATAATGTGTTTTCTTCTGGGTATATCCAGAATCTGATGACTTCTCCCCAACTTCACCCTGGTGGGAGTCACTGTCATCCTGCACCTGAATTGCTGCAGTTGCTTCTTGACTGGTCTGTTTCCAAACTCACTGAGTCTTCCTGCACACCCACACACAATTTATTTTCACAGTAGCCACATGCTACTCTTTTGCTGAAAACCTTTTATAGTTTCCTTTTTTGTTATGGTGGCCTTCAAGGCCCTATGTGTTCCGGCCTCATTACCTCTTAGACTCATCTCCTCCTACTCTCCCTGTTATCTCCTTGTCATTCTGCACAGCAGACAAGCTTTGCACTGGCAGGTCTCTGCCTAGAATCTTTTCTTCTAGATATCTCCATGGGGGCTGTCTTTACTTCCTGTTAGACCTCTAACAAATTACTTTAAATTTACTGGCTTAAAACAATACAAGATTTATTGTCTTAAAATTCCGAAGAACATCAGAAGTCCAAAGTGGTTCTCAGTGGGCTAAGATTAAAGTGTTGGCAGGGCTGCATTCCTCCCAGAGTCTTTATGAGAGATTGTTTCCTTGCCTTTTGCAGCTCCTAGAGGCTGCTTATATTCCTTGGCTGGTGGCCCCATTTAAAGCCAGCAATGTCCTTTCGATTTCTTCTCATGCTTCATCACCCTGACAGTCTCACCTTCCTCTTTCACTTATAAGGAACCTTGTAATTACCTTAGGCCCACCTCAGTAACCAAGGATAATCTCCCTTTCTCAAGGTGAGCTGATTAGCAGCTTTAATTCTACAATCTTAATTCCCCCTTGTCATGTAACATAACATATTCACACTTCTGGGAGTAGGATGTAGACATTGAGGGGAAGGGGATTTTTCTTCCTATCACAGCAGCCAGCCCATATCTCCTTCAAACCTTGGTTCAAAGCTCACCTTTTCATTGAGGCCTGCTTGTTTAATGCTGGAAACTACCCGTCTTCATCTCCACATTTTCAACCCCCCTTATTCTTCTCTATATGTATTCCACAGCACTCTTACTTATTGCTGATGTACTGTTTTCTTCTATGTGTTCATACTTGTATATGTTCTGCACACACCATCCACAGCAAATCAGCACTCCAAGATGCTTCTTCATTGCTGTACCTCAGGACTCTCCTGAATTCGTGGGAGCTGCATGGAGATGTTCGTTGAATGGATGAATGAACAAAACATGAAACTTAAGCAGATCTTTTTCGCCAGATCTTTACTTTCCCATTGCTCAAACTGGATACCTGTAATGGACTTAGACTGAAGAGAAGGACTTGGGACCCTAAACTCATTATCTTACCTCTCTAACCTCAAAGCTTTTGAACCTGCCAGCTCTGAAACTACAAAACCTCAGAAAGACTGGCATGAAGGAGACTGTGTACTTTGTCCGTAGAAGTCATAAAGGGCCAAGAGACAGAAAAACGTTAGTGTTTGCTGCCAAAGAACATTCTCCTTATGACGCGTGCAGCTGTTCAGTGCATTGTCTCTGCAAGTTCTTGGGCCGTTGTTAGCCCCAAGGCTGAAAATGTGGGTTTGAGGAATTCGTAGAGCTAGTGAGACAGCTAACATGGTATGTGGGTGGGCTGGAGAATTGACAAGGATTCTAGATTGAATAAATCCTTTGACATTTAAAGCTACAAACCTTTATTTTAGGAATCACAAAGCAAAGAGAGTTAAAGAAAACAAACTAATGGCTTGTTCCTGTAACTGACATTGTTAGCCTTGTGATTTTAGCACTTGGTTGACTATTCTCTTGCTTAATTAAGTGAAACCACAAACATATCCTGAAAATACCACTTAGTGATTTGAATGGGAAAGATAAAGCATTTGCTATAGGAATGGTGTGTGTCGGGCAGATGATCCCTTTGACTGCCTACCCAGCTGTCATCTATAAGCTCATATGACTTATTTCACCAATTTTGGAGTGCTTTTGTCCCTGCTGCAAGTTCCCCAAAGGATGGTGTGGTAAAGGTTGTGATGCCTGGTTTTGTTTTTTGTTTGTTTGTTTGTGTTTTGTATGTTTGGCTCTAAAACTTTAGAGACAAATGTCTTCTGTTCATCTGTAACTTGGCATTTAGGGAGAGGTTTGATGTGGTCAGAAGGAAGGCCTTTGTACTGGGCTGATTCTGTCCTGGTGTGCTGTGTTTGAATACTCAGGGTATTCAAAGCTTCTAGTTGCAAATAAGTGTAGAGACCAAGTTCACTCTGTTTAGGCTGGACCTTTCCAGCCTGAGAGATAAGCTTGTCTTTGCCTCTAGCCATGATTCTTTTAAGAGATGTTATCGTTTCTGTTTGCCTAAACTTTTCTAGTTAGTATGAAGATCACTGGTGATCCACGACTTAATCATGATGTGCTTCTAAATGCCTTCTTCAAGATCTGTTTAATTTTCCTGCATTTACCTTTGATTTTGCCATTTTCCTGAAGTTGGACCCAAATTCCACATGCCCATATCCATAACCCTGCTGGCCAGAGGCTTGGATTTGTCTTGTCTTCCAGGGTTTTGTAGTTAGTGTGATAGATTGTTGAAATAAAAATACACAACTTTTCACAAAGGTAGATGGTTTCCTTTTACCATATAATAGGAATTTAGATTTCAGTGGGTGAGGGTGGCTGATGGAGTGCGTCAAAACTTGAAAATATGCTTTCATAATTACTTCTGGTTTGAAATACTTGGTGGGATAGAAAAACAAGTTAGAGCCACTCATGATTATTTGTGTTTCCAATTTATAGTTTAAATGTATTTGTAAAAAGTAAAAAAAAAAAAAAAAGTTACCTAGTTTGTACACATTTAGGGAGGGATTTGCTCTTTCAGTCTCCAATTTTTAAGAAACTGTTCTTGCCCTTTGCTTTTTCAATGCTTAGTTTGTACAAACCCCTGAAATGGAGATGGGGTGGGTTTGGATGGAGCCTTGAATAAGGGAGATGGGACTGCATAAACAAAGCTAGAAGAGTGAAGGTACTGGACTGTTTGAGGGACAAGGAGTAGTTCAGATCTTAAGGTGCTTGAATAAGTGGGCTGATAAAAGTAGTTGTACAGGATTTCTGTTGATACCTAGTAGTTTACACTTCATTTGATAGGCAGCAGGGAGCTGTGGGAGGGTTTAGAAAGTCTACCTGGGAACATTGTTAAGGTAGATTAGGATGAGGAGAGAGGGACCTTTTGGAGGCTTTAATTTGCTGGTCCTGAAGAAGATGAGAGCCCAGGTCAGGATGTTGACCATGGCAATGGAGTGGCTGGAGCAACAGGCGCAGCCTCACCAGGGGTCATTGTATTGGCCCTTTCAGCAGCCCTGCTATGACTTTAACCCGCAGAAGTCTGGTCCCTAAATCAGGTGGTTTCTAGGCTATGGAACCTTTTTCCCTCCTCGCAACATTATACTGAGTGAACTTAATAACAACTCTCAGAATATAGTTAGGATATATTTATTTACTTATTTTGGAGACAGAGTCTCTCACTGTCACCCAGGATGGAGTGAAGTGGTGTGATCTCTGCTGACTGCAACCTCCCCCTCCTGGGTTCAAGCCATTCTCCTGCCTCAGCGTCCTGAGTAGCTGGGACTACAGACCACGCCCAGCTAATATTTTGTATTTTTAGTAGAGGTGGGGTTTCACCATGTTGCCCAGGCTGGTCTTGAACTTCTGACCTCAAGTGGTCCACCTACCTCAGCCTCCCAAAGTGCTGGGATTACAGACGTGAGCCGCCGAGTCTGGCCTATTTAAGATGCTTTTGATTAACTACCTGGTTTAGTGGCTGTCTGCAAGAGGTTTGAAAATAGTGAAGAAGCTGATTACCTTAGTTTGCAGAATTTTTTAATTGTAAGATTAGAAAATATAGACTGCTTTTCTCTCATGTGACCAGGAAACTATTGGATCAGTTTGACTTCTCAAATTCTTAACTCTTCCCAGATATGAGATATAAAGCATTTATTTTCTAAATTCCACTATTGTGAAAACAGTAGATGTTAAAATTCATAAAGGATTATTTAAATAAAAAGTTTAGAAGTCTTTATGGCTTTTTGGAAGTACCTGTGTGTATAAAAGTAGAGACAATCTTCTATTTCCCAATAAAACCTACGCTTTCACCATAGTAACAGCCATTTTACCTTGGAGCCCAGTGAAAGTTTAGAATATTCTAGATTCATCTATGCTAAAGTGCCTTTTCGTAAATTATTACTTGGATAATAACAGGAGGAAAAGCAGTCTGAATTGGCACAAGTGATGTCTAAATTAAGAGGAGAATATATATTGAAACATTATTTTTTTAAGCCTTAAAATTAATGGCTCTGTTTCACTGGAATATGGCCTTTTTTTTCTTTCCGAAGAGTTTCAGAGCCAGTGGAATCTATAAATAGTACACAGCCCAGTTGTCTGTGGTAGATTGAGTAGAGCAGAATTGCCTGTCCTTAAGTGAAGGGGAAGTAGCTTTACATTTTTAGTAACTGAATTGTTGGCCAGCATAAAGGTAAGGGCCATGTGAGCAACTTATTTATAACTTCCCATAAAGGTATGTGTCTGCCTCAAGCGGAGAAGACTGTCTGGGGTGCTTGAAATGTAAAAGTGCAGTAGAATCATTTTCCATACACAGCCTTCCTATCTAGTTGGTGCAATAAAGTGATTGTTCACCTCCCTGGGGCTTTCAGAAAGAGGGGTGTCAATAGATTAGCTCATTAGTGTCCACCTCCTATGAAATAGAAGGGACTGAGGCAGTTAAATTAAAATCTGTTTTATGTAGTGAGCAATGTTTAGATTGAACTCCTGAAGGTATTCAGGACATACATTTATGCCTGCTTTACCCTGCTGGGTGTGGTCCTGCTCATGTAGTCTTAACTACAGTTGGGTTCTTATGAAAAATCTTTCATGGGTGTAAAGCACTTTTTCACAGGTTCAGTTAAACTATAAGTAGTTTTTTGAAAAATAACATAGGGTCAGACCAAAATCTCTTGTTACAGTGGGAGAACGGAAGAAGAGTAAAATATTTTCATGGCTTCCTGTAAAAAAGTATGTTAATCCTTTTTGATAGATGCCAGAAAGTGGAATCCATCGTTACTGGCGGCATTGCTAATATCAAGAGTAAATCACAGCCAGGATTGCCTCTCAGGATAAAATTTTTATAATTATCAATAAGTAAAAGACATTTTTGGACCTCTTCTGTTATTCACTGTCTATTTTTAGAAACTAAGTTTTCTGATTATATTGACCATTTGAAGCATCTGCATATATGGCAAAAAAAGTAAACTTTGGCTTTTGTGCCAATATCATGGCTCTGTTTGGTATTTGGGCAAGTTTCAATAAGTGGTAAATGGCCCATTAACTATATTGGAGGCCTCATAGCAGCACTAATTTCAAATCGTGCTGGGTTTACAATTTACATATTAAAAAATGTTCACTTGATTTCGTTCAGGGACAAAGCTGACATCCTATGCGAGCATTACTCCAAACAATCCTATTTATCGGTCCAATTATTTCAATTGAAAGATGCTGGTTTACTGCCTCTTAGTATATGTGAGCAATTCTCATTGAAACTGTTAGAAACCGTTTGACTGTAGTGGCAAAATAACCTCACAGGGTTTCGATTCACTTTTAATTTTAAGTCCCAGGATTAAGGATCATTTATAGTATAATGTAACAGTGTGGGCAAATATAGCTTCTCTTAATGTCTTTCTGATATTTTGGGGAAAGAGTGCTTTTATGCAAACCAATCACTTAGGAATTGCATGATGACTTTTTCCCACTATAAAATTTCATTCACATTTCCTCCCTTCTCCCACATCCTTAAGAGATAAGACAGCCTGCAGTATTTTGCTTTATTTTACTTTATTTTTTAAATTTTTGAGGTGTGGTTTACATTAGTTCTTCAGAATAGATGCCAAGATAACTAGTTAATACTGTTTTAAAATCAGGCTCTTAATTAAAAATGCTTATATTTGTGCAAGAAAACTACATGTTGAAATGAATTTGGAAAGATTAGATTGGAATTGCCTCAATTTCAATTAAGCCACACTGCATGGACGTGCTGGGAATATCAATACAATCACTGTAAATTTTGTACAAACTGATTTGTTGCATTATCTTGCTCATCTAACATACGGTACTTTTTGTGTCCATATTGCAGACGGCAACTCCAAACTAACATGGCAGTCAGACTGTGTGATGTGGCTTCTCTGCTTAGAAGTGGTTCGTGGGCAGCAGAGCCTTGGACCGGGGTCTGTGGGATTTTTCTTAAATTCTGTAGGCTACTTTTTTTTAGCATGTTGGAGGAGTGCTGAGGCCATACCAAACACTTGAATCTTTCATTTGGCATACTAATTATTCTTACATTTAACCTATTGTGGTATGGCCATCATTAGGACTTAAAGCACATTGCAATTTTAACTGTAGTGGTGTATGTAGCATCAGAACCATGCTCTCGTATGTAATTTTTTTACAATCTAAATTAGGATTTAGCGCAGACTCAAAAGAGTGACAAGCTTTTTTAAAAAAACAAAAAAAGTTTTGGTATGGTCTGAATACTAAGTTACCGTAATTCTATACATTCTGTTTACTATGTATTTTTTTGGTTACTAAATTTTGAAGTTATTTACAATTCTTTATGCTCCAAAAAAAAAGTTGAAATTGTAAATCTGGCTGAAAATTATTTGCCCAGTAACTGTTGAAAGAGTTTGCATTCTGTGAACAGTTGTGTTGAGCCTATCAATGGAATATGCATTATTTGTAAAATATAGCACATTAGTATCATTTTATTCTGAGCAGATGGTCCTATAGCAGAGAGATGCTGTAATTTTCAGCGCACACAGCCTACTGCAGCTGTTCACTTGAATGTTGGCTTAGGAGCTCATTCTTGCCACCTGAACATGGAAATAAATGTGCAATTAAGTGAGGAGTGTTTGTTGTCCTTTCTAAATCTTGCTGATTTCAGTCAATGAACACTTTGTATTTCAAATGCTATCCCAATGAGCTTTAGTCCGAATCTCCCATTCGGGTCTCTTGTAGTTTCTACACCCATCCAAACTTTTCAGTAGTGATTTAAGTGTCTTTGGCCACTTTAATCTTGTAGCTCATTGTTTCCATAACTGCTGGGCAAGGGTTAACCCCAGAAGAATTTTTGCTGTGAAAAGAGTGACCCACAGCTAATATTCTACAAACCAGAACAGTTATGTTTAATTAGGAAATCTGAAACTTCCCTTTTCAAATTCAAATAGATTTGCTAATTATAATAAAACCCATATCTTGAATTATTTAAGATTTTTAAATACAGATTTCCAAAGGTTTATTTTCCTTCATCCCTTTAAGTATTCCCTGAGAAAACTTAGCTTACGTAGAGAAACAGCTTGCAGCTTGTAGAATAAATTCCCACTTCTTTGACAAGGAAATGAAGTCACAGAGGGGTTACAGGTTGTTGGATATTTCAAAAGCTATTCTGGATTTTGCCTCATGTTTTTTTATCATGACAGCACTGATTCTTGTTCAGTCTGACCAGTCTCAATATGTCCAACACTGCCTTCTTTTGTAAACATCTCCTGGCAGTAGAGATTTCTTCCTATATGTTTATCTGCTAATGTGCCCTTTTATTTTTCTTAGGCAATATGTGTTTTAAAAGACAGTTTTTTCTCTTTCCTTGTAACCCTCTTTCCCTTTACTTTGCTTTTTTTCTTTGCCTCAAGTTCTTTGCCTTTTCTATGTTAAAGCTTCCCTAAAACTAGCATCCCGTCAATTCAGAATTGTCAGTTTTGAGAAGCAGTTCTTTGTGGAGGTGAGAGATGTATGCAATATGAAGGATAATCCTTTCAGTGATGCGTTGATTTTTAGATTCCACCACAGTCTTGGCTGTCCAAAGATAGGTAGTTAGTGGAAAATGATTTTGGAAAATTTGGGGCTGTGGTTTGTGACTCTTTTGCATAGGATTGGTTTTAGGAAACTAGATTTAATACTGCTTAATAAGTGATTTGTAGAGTAGCCTGAACAGTTTGAGGCCATTTTCCCCAATTCTGTTCTTTATCTGGTGTTTGGAGTTTATAGATACCCTATTACTTGCATTTTCAACAGGCTTATGTGCTCAGACGAGAATTCCTTGGGCTGGTCTGTTTGCAAAAGTTGATATATTTACATTGTTGTTTTCATTGACTGGATAGGTTTTCTTTTTTCTCATTAAAAAGCAGAGTCAAGGAGAAACACCATATCGAAGTGTTTGGGGATTTTATTTTGATGTTGTAGATCAGTCACCTTGTTGGTAATTTTTAGCTGCCAAGGTTGACAGGAGTGTCCTATTAGATTCTACCAGTTAGACAAAGTATTCATAGCTCATTCCCAAGTTACCTTACAGTTAGTTCCTTTCCACTCCCTAAAATATAGCATCTGTTTTTTTCTTACCAATGGTAGAGATAAGATATTGTCCATCAAAAACGTTTTCAATATGTAACCAAAACAGTACATGTTGACAAATTTATATTTTTAAAAGTACTCTTGCTCTTTGATTTTTAAGTTAATGGCTATCTGTCAGTTTTAGAATATTGAACCTCTTAGGATAACTGAAAATCTCTTCAGAGTTAGGTAGGTCATTTTTTTGTTCATTTTTGTAGCATGTTAAGCACTTTTATTTTCTAGTATGATTTTTAGTTAGGGTTCAATTCTGTGCCCTTTGGTACTTGATTTTCTCATCTGTGGACACTGCAGGTGAGTAAGGATATGTGAATAGACCCAGAATGTGATTCTAGAAAATGTTTAAGATTTAAATTGTGCTTATATGCATGTATGGAATATGTATGTGAAAATATAGTTGTAACCTTAAGATGAATAGGTTAATATGAAGTGAAAATTAGTGTAGGTATTACACTTTTTGTTGAAGCATTGTTGTAATTTCATTAGAACGACTTGTGTTTAGTGACAAGTGTTTAAATTCTTGGATGGAGTCTCTAATAGGTTGTGAAATATGAATTCTGACATTTCTTGTTTTCTCTGTTTTTAGCAGGTAATTGCTGCCATGGAAACACAACTGTCTAATGGGCCAACTTGCAATAACACAGCCAATGGTCCAACCACCATAAACAACAACTGTTCGTCACCAGTTGACTCTGGGAACACAGAAGACAGCAAGACCAACTTAATAGTCAACTACCTTCCTCAGAACATGACACAGGAGGAACTAAAGAGTCTCTTTGGGAGCATTGGTGAAATAGAGTCCTGTAAGCTTGTAAGAGACAAAATAACAGGTAAGCAGTTTTATGTAGATGATTTATATTTAACGGATCGTGTCTCAAGATAGGAGAAAATAATAAGATTACTGCTTGTAAATAATTCACTGCTGCAATTTTACATATCTAGATTTTCTCTCTGTTATTACATCAGCAATATGAAACTTAGTTTAAAATTTTCTTTTTAAATCATAAACTATTTTGGGGGCAGTATATATTTTAACTGGACTTTAATGTACTCTGATCTGGACAGGATCTTTGGAAAATCTTCTAAAAGTATATGTATCTGGGATAGCCAGTGTCATGTTAACTTTTATCTTTTAGTACCCTGAGTGTATTTAAGTTAGCATTTCAACAGTGAGATACAATATGTGTTTGGGAGAGGGGAAAAAATCTTAAAATGTGTTTTCCTTATGTTAATATAATCATTTTGCTTATATATGATAAAATAAATGGTAATGTTCACATTGTCAGTGTATAAACATTTTCACTGATATAATACCAAGCGTGATGAGATCTTATGTTCCGTTCCTTAACAAGGAAAGGACATGGTATATGATTGTCCTTCTTGTTATAAAGATAAAGCCTTAATTATAGTACATTTTGAATATTAGGTGAAAATCTCCTTAGTATTTTTTAAGATTTGACTAAATTTTTAGAGTAAACCAAAACCTAATTTAAAGAGCACGTTCTTGGGATAGAAGGGTTAATGCTTCCTGCAGGAGTTGTTTTCAAACACTAAAAATACATGAAGTTAGACATACATATGAAGTTAAACACTAAAAATATACGAAGGTAGACAGACTCTGTGGACTTTTCATGTTAATTAAATTTGATTGATAGTGTATACCAAATTGCTTTACAAAGCTTATAACCAAAAATATAAAATGGAATATTTGAAATGAGTAAAAGATACTTAAAGGCAGTGTGAAGAATGAGACCAGGAGTCTGAACTCTCACCTAGTCATGTGACATTGGATAAGTCAGCCCTAGACTTCTGGTTTCCATTGGCAAAATAAGGTAAAAGGCAGAGAAAAAGGGGGTAACACTGGGCCATTTCTAAGTTCACTTTTGACTTTTTCATACATGGGACTTTGAGCTATTCCGTTAATCGTTAGGGCTCATTCTCTCCAAGATCTGCAAGTGAGTTCTAGAGCCAGCCCCTGGACTTGGCTCATAATCATATTTCCTCAAGCTACAGATTGAGATTCACAGAGACAACTTACTGAAATCAAGTTAAAAAGCTAAGTACAAACTGATTGTCATTGATCCATAGCAAACGGCCATTATATTTTAATTATGTTGCTTAAATGTTCACTATGATATTAGGAAGGTGGTTCTTATGTTTCTGAACACTGATAATCAGATGGATGAGATTTTTCAATTTCTTTTCCAAAATGAGTGTGATAAGCATATGTGAAATTTATAGTGTTTTTAATAAGTTGAAAAAGGTGAAGAACAAAAGGCTGCTCTTACGTCTCTGTCGTGATGTTTTTAAACATCTTTTTAACATGTTTTAAACATGTTATCTTTTGTTTTTAAAGTAAAACAACACCCCTGACATGTGGATTTTGCAACCTTTTTAATATAAAAGATAAAAATATGATAAATGACTTGAGGGCTATGACACAAATGATGCAATTTCTGATTGCTTAGTAGAGCTCCCCTTACTATTAAAAAGAAAGATGCATGAACAGAGCACAAAAGTCATGTTTTGTTATGAAACTGTTACGAAATGATACATTTTATCATTTTATAAGATGAAAATATTAGACAAATCATACATCTTTCATATTAGGCATCTGCCACAGGAGACATCTTACAGATCCTCACGTCTCACCTCTAGTCAATCTTGAATTAATCTTACTCTTTTGTGAATCTTTAGAGCTGTTATGTGGCAAAATGGGATAAATTTGAGTTCTTTATCTTCACCTCCTTTGCCTCTCTAACTTTAGTGTGGTAGACGGTGGTAATAGAAGCACAACACATGGGTATTCTTTAATACATACCTAGATACTAAAAAACTGTGTAAATATTTCTCATCCATTTCCTTCACCTCTGACCCCTGCCTGTTGTCTTTTCAGTGGCTTGAGGGGAAGGATGTAATGGAGATTTCCACTGTGGTAAAATTTCTATTAAAAATATTTGGTAAGCAAGTAGAGTCCCCAAGAAATTCCACAATGGTCATGAGTATTGAAAGATGTTTCTAAAGATGTAAGACGTTTCTATACATTATATATATATATATATATATATATATATATATATAATACTATATATGATGTATACACATATATATTACGTGTACACTACTATATATAGTATATATTTGTATATAGTTAACACATAATTGAACAAATTTGTGGAGTACAGTGAGATGTTTTGATGCTATATACATTGTGTAATGATCAAGCAGGGTATTATAGCATTTCCAAATCTCAAACATTCATAATTTCTTTGAGAGTGTTCAAAATCCTCTCTTCTAGCTATTTGGAAGTATACTATACAATATTGCTAACCATAGTCACCCTTCTGTGGAATAGCACACCAGAACTTATTTCTTTTAACAGTGACCCTGTACTCATTAACCATCTGGCCCCCTCCTTCCTTCCTCCTCTCTTCTCCACCCTCTGGTACCCACTATTCTGCTCTCGCCTCCAATGAGATCAGCATTTTTCGATTCTACCTATGAGATCGTGTGGTATTTGGCTGTCTCACCTCACTTAACATAGTGTCCTCTAAGTTGACCCATGTTTCTGGAAATGACAGAATTTCATTCTTTTTTGTGGCTGAATGGTATTTCATTTTGTATATATAGCATATTTTCTTTATCCATTTATTGGTTGATGGACATTTGGGTTGAGTCCATATTTTGGCTGTTGTAAACATTGCTGCAATAAATATGGATATGCGTGCATCCCTTTTGACAAATTGATTTCATTTCTTTTGGGTTAACATGCAGTAGTGGGGATGCTGGATCATACGGTAGTTCTGTTTTTAATTTTTTGAGGAACTTTCATACCATTTTTCATAGTGTATTTGGTGTATTAATTTGCCTTCCCACGATAGTGTGTATAAGATTGAAAGATGTTTTTCAACCTTCATTTGGTGAGATACTAGTAATTATTTCTTAACATAAGTATTATATTGACAGACAAGTTTAGGAAGTGCTGCACTCTGTAGTTCTTTATTTAAGATCCATACTCGATAATCACTGTATTAAGAACTATGAAAAATCCAGCAGTAAAGAAAACCTGTTTGAATTATAGTTCCCCGGCCTTATTTGATCATAGAGCCTATTTGGGGACTGTGGGAAGAGTGAGTATCTCTCCCTGACAGTAGATTACACTGAACATGGTGCTATAAAAGCTTTTGAAATCATTTGTTGTTAACTGGTTATCAGACCAGTTTAACCTGTTCACATCAATAACATATGAGCATGATTCCTAAAAGAAACATATATGATAATAAATTCAAAAGTGGAGTAGGTAAATCTGAACACTAGGCATCTCAACTTCTGGTAATCTTGGTTTGATTTGGACCACTGACATATTTGTAATATGGGTTAAAATGGCTTTTAGAAGGATCTCACTCATTTAACTTAAGCATAAACTGCTTTAGGATATTTTTTTTTCTGAGTTTCTTACTGAATACTTCTATTGAGTAAAATAGTCTAGAAAATGGTAGTATCTAAATCTGGGTTCTGAGTGGTTGTACTTTGAAAAGTAGGCATACTTCGTAAGAGGTAGTACTAATGTATCTCTAGCAAGGTTTTGAAAGAATTTGTGGAGCTTTGGACCCTGTCCTGTGGTGTGTAGCATTACCCGTCTTGTGCAGTTTCTCAGTACGTATTTTAGGGACAGACCAGAGTTCTTTGGTCCTTCTCTAATTATCCAGCTTATTCTACCTCCTGGGAAGCAGTTGGGACCCATTTCTGTATTCCGATTTTGTAGGAGCATGTGCGTTAATTGGGTTACAGGAAAACTCTGGAGTCACTCTACAGGAAGATTTGAAATCTTTCCTTTTCCCTTTTCTTAAATCTTTCTTAATGCTGAATCAGGAAACTATATCTAAGGAACAAAAATATCTAGTTAGGAAAGTGTGTGCTTCTTAAGTCCTTGAAGAGAGTGTATAACTTTTAGACTGTGTCAGTGTTAGCAAATTAATGTCACTATTTTGATCGAGTGAGGATTAGGGAAGTACATTAAGAAATGTCTTCAGTAGCAAATACAATAATCTTCTCTCTAGACTAAGTTCTATTTATTATGTTATTTGTCAGGTCCGTCTCTTTGGGCTTCTGCCCAGCTGTATGCTTCAGCCTGTTTCCTATCTATAGGCATTCATCATGAGAAGCTTCTGCTGCTTGTACAGCTTAGCTGACTTTAGTCCATCCCTTTGCGTTTTTAAATGCACTTGGGAGTCCTTGACACCTGCTGATGCTGCATTCTAGATGAACGAAATGGATTTTATGATGCAAGGAATGAGTAATAAAGTGTTACAGTCAGAAAAGCCCTAGAGGTGACCTTAACCAACCCTCTCCCTTCTTTGCCCCAAACATCATAGGTGATGAGAGGCCCAGGTTTGTGAAATGACTAGTTCAAGGCCACAGAGCTATTAAGCGGTAGAGTAGGGACCAGAATTCTGATTATCTTATGCTTTACCTGGATGTTTCCTCTTTGCCACTTGTTGGAGGCAAGAGCTCACTCTTTAAAGATGAAGCAAATGGCCAACTGATGAATTTATAGAGAGATGTGTGATTTTTACAGAGTTATCCAGAGGGCATCTTCTGGCGAGTGTGTCTTCTCTGGAAGGAGAATGGAAGGTTTTTGACAGTAAGGACTGACGAATACACCAAATGAACAAGAACATCTGTGCTTCTCTAGAAACATTATAATCTATGGTTGTGAACTTGATATTCTAGCCCGGTGGTACCCAAATTTGGCTCTACATCCTCACCTACTCACCTAAGGGAGTTTTGGAATCTGTTGTCAGAGAGCTTCCCAGGTGATCTTGAAGCCCAAAAAAGTTTTGGGAATCAGACTGTGTCTCATGAAGTATGGTCACAGGATTCCCGCATTGGAATCACTTGTAATGAGTGCTAGAAATGCACGGTCCTGGGCTCTGTCCAGGCCTACTGAATCAGAATCTGTAGTGGGGACCTGGAAGGTACTCGTTAGCTAGGAGTTATCAATGTCTTAAACATTTTGTAGGGAGATTGAACCAGGGATTTCCAGGTTTACCTGAATTCTAGATTTAGGGCGTTATGGAAGAGGTGTTAACAATTGCAGTACTTAATTCTTTGGAAAGTTTAAGTTTAAAGTGCTGTCCCCTCTTCAGCATTGGTCTCTGAGTTAATTCCTAGCTTTCAGAACTAGACATGTTGAGTTTACGTCACTAGGCTGTGTCCTTACTGATCTGATATGTTGCTGAAAGCACGTGTGCGAGCATGTGTGTGTGTGTGTGTTTAAGTGTAATTAGGTTTTTGAAACTCCAGGGTAGATTGTTCTTTCACTGTTATTTTTCCTTTCTTCTAAAAGAATGGCTAGAGGAGTAGTTGGTGGAAGACCTCAGGTAATGAGTATTTCACCATTACTCTCAGTTGTTTGAGGTAGGTCTTGTACTGACCTCATCAGCTGCTAACTAGAAACTTTGACAAAAGGGGAAAAAACAAAAACCCAAATATAAATTCCAGAGGGCCCAAAGAGATGTTGATTACCTCTGAGTAGGTAGTGCCTTGCATGATAAGGCTCCTGCCATGCCCCAGCACGCCTTAGGGCTAGTATCTTAAAATATTTTTTATTAATATGAGTGTTCTTAGCTAGGTTTATCTTGTGTCTCTGCTTGCTGAGAATTTTACAGCTAGTTTTGATCCTTCTTTATTCTATCAAAATAATGTGATTTCCAAACTATTTTAATGGCATAGGATTCTCTTCTTTTTAAACAAATACAATCTTAGCTCCTCAGGATTGAAACAGATAAGTGGTATTTTATTAGACTAATGGGAACCTTCAAATTTAATAGCACTTATTTCCTATGAGTCAATCACAGTGAACACAAAGCTGTTTTGATGAACATTAATTTGAAAATGTGATTTTGTATGTCAGTTACAGTTGTACAGTGAGCATGTGAAATGTCCATAGTATCAAGAGATCAAGAATTCTGATTCTTGCAGACCAGTAGTTGGAAACAGCAGGGTGGTTGGGTGGGTGGTAACTTAATAAACACCTCACTTTGCAAACTCTGTATGCTATTTAATTAGAAAGATGGCAGAAAGGTTGTGTGTGTTCTTAGGTCTGTAGGAAAGGAGATGCCTGCACAGGGGTAAATGCTTTGGTCCGCAGTGCGTTAACTGTGGAATACAGTACATTTGAATCTATTTTTAGATTTTAGTGCCCAAGTTTGTATAAAATGAAATTTGTGTCAAGTTTGTGGAACCTCTATTTTTGGAACATCTCTCATAGGCAAAAGGTAATGGAGAAACTTTATTTATATCTTCATTGATGTATCTTTAAACTTAATTATTTTTTCATTATATCTTGTTTCTTTGCCAAAGGTCTTGCAGTCATTTAAAAAATTTGGTGTTATCACTGTAGAAGCTTCATATAAAATTTTGGAGAAAGTCTTTAACATTTATTCTTCTAGGTTCACTTTTTACTTGAACCTGGGTATTTTTATAGAACAATTTTCAGTGTCAGCCTTGATTAGTTTAGTGGAAAGATTACAGGATGATGAAACTAGAAATTTGTAACATTTTAAGAAATCAAATACAGTACAGTTCTTTATCATTGTTAGGAAAAACAACTTCTGTCCTCTTTTGTTTAGTACCTGGGGACTTGGAAATTAATTGGAGAAATGGCACACAATTTTTGCTCGTATTTTGTGTTTGGGAGTTGACAGAAAAGTATTATAAAACTAAAGTGGTCAGGGTTGGGGGGCTTATATACCATTTTAACAAAGGAAAGGTTTGGACTTTGCGGAATAGGAAATCATGGGGAAGCGTTCAGAAAATATGTAGGGGTAAGTAATGACAAGATAAGGGCACTTTTAACAAGGTTGGTTTATACAGAACTGTATGCATAAACAATCTGATGTTGACTGTCTCAAGTAATGAGTCGCTTACTTCTGAACTGGTACAGGACAGAGAGACATCTTCCCATGGGAAATTTATACTCTGCTTTTAGGGAGAAAAGGGGAGGGCAGAGAACTCATCTTGCATCTGTTGACTTCTTATTTTCCTCAGCCTAAAATAATACTTGATGCCAGCCAGGCGCAGTGATTCATGCCTGTATTCTCAGCACTTTGGAAGGCCAATGCAGGCGAATCACCGGAGGTCAGGAATTCAAGACCAACCATGGCCAACATGGTGAAACCCTGATTGTACTGAAAATAGAAAAATTAGCCAGGTGTGGTGGTGCTGCACGCCTGTAGTCCCAGGTACTCACAAGGCTGAGGTGGGAGAATTGCTTGAACCCAGGAGGCAGAGGTTGCAGTGAACTGAGATCGTGCCACCGCACTTGCATTTCAGCCTGTGTGACAGAGCAAGACTCCATTTCACAAAAAAATAATAAAAAAAAAAAACTTAATGCCAAAGTGGAATATTTTGGGGTGGCAAATCTGGACCTTTTCACCATTCAGTAAGTTAATTCCCAGTTAACATCTCTTCATAAATCAAAGAGCTGCTTCTTTAGATAACCTGTGGTAATGAAGCCTTTAATGGCTAGTTGCTAGGATGAAGAAACATCTATTTGAGGATACAGAAAAGTATGAAACAATATTCTTCTCTAGTAATTCATTAATCATCCAGATTTGTTTCTCTGATTTCCTGATATTGATATTTGTGTTACTTGGTATTTTGTTCCGTTAGAATAAAATGTAAAAAAAAATATGTGTCACTCCCACGAGACAGTTATACAGTTTTCCAACAGCTGTCTTAGAGTGTTTACTGGGAAAATAAAGTTGAACCTATGGTGTAAATGAGGTTTAGGAGTTTTGATTTTGTGCTTTCCTAGCCCTTATCAGAGGAACTTTTAGAATAGCCGTATTTGCCTTACCAGTAGATTAGGAATAGTCTTCAGTAACCTTTCTCTTTGTTGCTTTGCTGGTTTGATAGAAAACACAAACTTTGTAAACATATTCAAATTCATAGAAAATAAAATTACAGTTGAAATTCTCTTGTAACATTTGCCCCTTTATAATTCAGCATAAGAGTGCACGTGTGCTGTTTGCTATTCCAGACCTTTTCTGGGGGGTAGTCTTTGTTTACTTTGCATCAGGAGATTGGTGGTATAGAAGAGACACCATTCTCAATTTAAGCGCTTGTCGTAGGAATGATGGAAAATGTCGATGAGGAAGATGGTGAACTAAAATGGAAATAGTTCAGTTAGAAGATAAAAAACAGTTAAATTGTGATATGAACTTGTTGCTTCTTTTTTTTGTAGTTTATAGAATTTTAAAATTCTGTTTCTTTGGTATGAAAATGATTTATACCCCCCATTTTTATGATGTAGTACAAAATCAACCTGTTTTTGACAGTTTTCATTCTATTTCACTACCTTAACTATGACACAGCTTTGGCCACCAGCCTTTTATTTTTTTTTTAACTTTGTTTAAATTCAGAATAGACCGAAGCACTTTTATTCTGTACCTGTTGGAACATTTCCTTTCAAATATTCCTGAACAGAATAGTTGATTATTGGAGCTAAAACTGTGCTTCAAAATTTGCCAACTTCTTTTGAGCTTGTTCTAAGTTAATTGACTTTCAGCTGAGTACACTGCTGCTACTGAACGTTGAGAGCTGTGGAAACCCTCAGAGTGTGCTTTTCCAGCTCAAAAGGTCAACTTTAACAGATATTTTCTGGCATTTTATTTGAGTGTCATTCGATTTGTCAGGTCTATACAGTGGCTTAATTAGCATGTTTTAGTCCTTAAGGTATTTGTTTTGGCTCTTTAAAGTTTTAGATTGTCAATATTTCAAAACCCTTGGATGCCCCTTTTATTGGTGTTGGGAAATGTAATCAAATATTTTTTGAGGGGCTGTAAATCACAGAGTAGCATTTGCTGCTCTAAGTGTTGTGAAGAAACAGATTCGCAGTTAAAACCATCTTTTCAGACTCCACTCAGTAATTTCTGACACCATATATCATCTTTATGTAATCGAGGGGTGATCATTCTGTATTGTTCTAAATTAGAACAAAGATTTACCTTATGCCTCCTTTAAGGGGGAAAAAAGCAAGACAGAAGTATTTAAGCTGTGTTTATAAGAGTTCCTTGGCTGGGTATGGTGGCTCATGCCTGTAATTCCAGCACTTTGGGAGGCCAAGGTGGGCAGATCATCTGACATCAGGAGATCAAGGCCAGCCTGGCCAACATGGTGAAACCCCGTCTCTACTAAAAATACAAAAATTAGCTAGACTTGGTGCTGGGTGCCTGTAATCCCAGCTCTTCAGGAGGCTGAGACAGGAGAATCGCTTCAACCCGGGAGGCGGAGGTTGCAGTGAGCCACTGCACTCCAGCCTGGATGACAGAGGGAGACTCTATCTCAAAAAAAAAAAACAAAAAAAAGTTTCTTAAGTGGTAGTAGGATTTACTAAACCCCTGTGTACACTAGGTTTGTTACTTAGTTTGGGATCAAGTTCTTGGGATTAAGTTTGAATCAAAATACCTTTGCTTCCTCCTGCTAGGGAGGTGGCCTACTGGACACTAATCTTAGAGCTTTTAGCTTAGAACATTGTTACACTTGGGTTCCAATTCCAGCCTAGCCACTCAATTTGTGTTGTGTCCTGTGTGTGCTTTTTGACTCTGAACGTCAGTTTCTTTCATAAAGTACCTAGCACACAGGGGTACTGTCTCTCTTTCCTGTCCTCTTCTTACCAGTTAATACCCATTCAGTTACGTGACAGTTGCAGACTTTTGTTTTTCCCCCCATAGGTAAAAAGTAGTTTTTGAAAAACATCTTGAAGTAGATCTGTTGTCCTAGATTTCTTGGAGTTTGTCATGATGTGGGAAGAATGCAAAGCTCATCCTCCATCCTTTGCTTTCTAGGTGATTTGACCAACATAATTGATTTTCCAGGGGTGGAACAAAGTAAGAATAGAAAGTGCGAGGCAGGACTTGGGAGCCCAGAATGATGATTAATGATATTACACCAGCCTTTATGAACTAGAGCACCGGAGTGTGGAATTATTGCTCTATGTGGTATTGTGTGAATGTTTCAGAATGAATTAGCTTGACTTAAAATATGAAGGTGCTCTCAAGTGAGCTTTCCAGTGAGCTATTACTGGGCTTTCGAAGGTCAGCAAGTTGTTAAATTGAGCCATGAAGTGTTGGTTAGATAAAAACCAACTGCGGCTTATTTTTACTTTTATTGACATCATCTTCCTTAAGATGAGTATCCGTTTAATATAAAACGTAAATACTATACTAAATAGTCTCATTTTATCAAAGATGATGTTCAAGTCTAGATATACAGAGACCTGTGTTTTGGGATGTTCAAAAACCTAATATTCCTGCAGTGTTAGCAGATCAGAAGGCTGAGGAAAAAAATTACTATCCCTTTGTTTTCTTTTCCATTGAAATATTCATTGAAAACATCTAAAGCATTTCTTCATTCAGTCATCACAGACTTTACAGATTTCAGTTTGTGTGTATGGGGGAGGGGGCAGTTTCCATGAGGGTATGGTTAACTTAGCAGATGCAATTTTACATCTTGTTTTCCTTTTTTGTTAAATCCTTATGCATATTGTGAATTAGAGTTTATTTTTAGCTCTTAATGAGTTCTTTTCTCATCATTGTACTTTTTGTTGGAACTCTGTTTTGTACATACTGCTTTGATTTTGTAGGGAAAATGTGTATGGCGTACAAGTCCTGTATCCACCACCCCCAACTCCCATCCTCTAGCTCAACAAAAATTTGCATTTCTTGGTGAGGGATGATAGACTTGAATGTTTATTACCTTGTAGAGTAGATCTGATGGGGCCCTTGACTCTTTACAACCTGTTTGACCTTTGGACTTAATACTGAGAAAGTCAAATCCTCCTTTTAAAGTAAAGTTTAAGGGAGGCATAGCTGTGTGTAAACTGGTAAATCAGAATCACTGCACTGTTTTTAAGGTCACTGGAGCCTGAGAGAACAGTTTTATTTCCTCACATTTTAATGCTTTAAATCCAGTCTTAAGGAGTTGCCTCCAAGGGTACTGTCGTACGAATCCTTTTTCCTAACCCTGGTACTAAGTAAGCCATGGGAGCTTTTTTCATTCCATTTAAATGAATTGTAGTTTGCTCTTATTCTACTTTAAATGTATCTAAACATTTTGAATATAAATGAGAGACTGATGGTGTATCAAATCAATTGACATCTTCTCATGTAGACAAGGGCTCTCCTAAATGACTTCCCAAATCCTGCCTCTAAAATTGTCTTTTTTTTCTTTTGTGAACCTGAGTATTAGGTTAGCTCTTTTTAAACATGGTGCCAAGTGATTTTGCCATTATATGGTGCAGACAGTGTACTACCTTCTCAAGTAGAATGATTTGGGATCTAATATCTTAAAATCTAACAATGTTATACCAGGTTTGTTTTTAGACCTTTATATTCTTTATTATTTGTTGTCCTTTTTTTATGGGGGTAAGCCCTTTTATACATATTGGAATAGGATTAAAATACAGAATTGTTAATACCGATTTGTTACTGTGTTTTATATCAATATGTGTATTTTTTTAAGTGCTGGAAATTGGGAGCCTTTGCAAAAAGGCGTGATAACATTCCATTATATCCCCAGCTCTAGAACATACAAAGCTAGTCCTGATGTGCTACTTAAAAGTAGAATATGGAATCTTCTGGGGTTAGTTTCTTACTCTATTTGATATTTTAGTTCTCTGAATGCTTATAGAAAACAATATATTTGGATATAGCCATCAAAGTAAGGAGGATGTCTAATATTCTTTCCTAGCCTTTATAGTTGGACAACCGACTTTTAAAGAGTCTTTTTTTTTTTTTTCCTTTTTTAAGACAGTACCCTTGGAGGCCACTGTGTTCATGACCAGTGACTCCTTGAGACTGGGTTTATTAAATGGACCTGTTAGTATAGTGAATAACAGCTCTTAGGTAATTTTGCGTAGTTGTTAGTAGGCACCAAAGGAGGAAGGGTGAGCGTTAGTTGCTCTATAGATTATAATGAAAGAAGGTCTCAGGCCAGATCCCACCACACATAGAAACCTCTATCTAGCAAGCAGGACCAAATTGATGGAGAAGCCTTTTCTGAAAGCTTGGTAAAGTCCCACTTCTCTCTTCTTTTTTAAGTGCTTTGAACACACTTTAAATGAAATGTTCACCGGAGGCTAACAATATCCCAAAAGTCACGTTCTGCACCCTCACTTTGCATCATGCAAAAAGAAATCCCTTTAAACAAAGACTGAAACCCAGGACCATTTAACATTTAGGGGTTCTCTCCATAAAGATATAACCACCTTGGATTATGCCACCTTGGATTTTGTGCCCTGTTTATACGAAGGTGGGAAGTGTCTCTAAACTAATTTAGCCCATCTGCGTATCTTGAACTCCTTTAATTTTACCGGTAAGACTCCATTTCTAACACTCGTTATGCTAATTAACAAATAACTGGCTTACAGAACAAAACCCTATTTTGACATCCATTAGGTGAATCAGCAGAGAATTGGTTGTTGATTTAGGTATGGATAGTATGTAGGCTTACACTAGTCACTTGAATTTTAGCCTACTTGTATTATACTAGTTAACTAATCCTGGATTGTGCATTAATGATAGTATGTTAGATGACCACCCAGAATTAAAGCTTAAATGGCTGGTGCACACGTGTCATCAGATTAATTCTAAACTTTAAAAAGAAATGTTTTTATTGTGGCAAAATATAACATAAAATTTATCATTTGAACCTTTTCAAGTTTACAGTTCAGTGACATTAAGCACATTCACAGTATTATGCAGCCGTCACCCTTATCCATTTCCAGTACCTTGTCATCATCCCAGATAGAAACTCTGTAACCATCAAACAGTAACTCCTCACCCACCTCCTTTGCTCCCAGCCTTTGGTAACCATTATATTTTCTGTGTCTCTATGAATTTGCCTATTCTCGGTACCCCATATAAATGAAATCATACAACATTTGATATACCAAAGTATTTTGAAAGTAAATTATGATAATTGTTTTCAGGAGATACTAGTTTTTTTCCCCTTGGGCTGTAGACTCTTCTGTATGTTTTATTTCTCTTCCTCTCCAAGTGGCTTTAGGGACCAACCCCTCCCCCTGAAATAAGTAGCCTGGCTTCAAATTTAGTTCATGCCACATTCCCCGTAAAAGAAACGTCCAATTAAAATACTGAATTTGTGCAATATTTTGCCAGATTGCTGACTACTTGCAGGGACTTCATCTTACCCCCTTTGCAGTTGTTCTGCCTGGTTTCAAGCTTGTTTTATTCTTTTGAAAATTGCCTTCAATCTCTTATCACTCCCCATCTTGGCAAGTTACCTGGAGGAAGAGGCAGTTGGTGTATGTACAGTGGGTCAGAAAGAAGAACCCAAGTAGTTTTGCTCCCTGGAAGTCTTCTCTGCCTTCATACTTTTCTACTCTTTTCTCCCAGAGAGTCAGAGCATCCAGGGACAAACATCCGTGTGGGGTCTTGGGACACAGGACACAGTGTGTAACATCCCCAGACTACTTCTCGTTACCTCACTTCATTCTCTGCTGAGCACTTGAAGGAAATCTTGGCAGAAAGCCATTCCTCAATCAGAGTCAAAGAGCGACGAGTTAGAAATTCTCTTCTGTAGTTTTAGTTCTTCCATTTTTTTCTCCCCCTTCCCTAGTACTCTTTCCCCCTACCCCTCAAGGAAGCCCCCCATCAATATAACAGTCAACCACCCAACCAGAAACCCACAGGACAGAGCCATTTCTTTTTTTTAGACCACTGGAACAATTATTGTAGTTAGAGAAAACTTAAATATCTTTCTGAAGCAACCTTGGGAGACAGATGCTGATGTATGTTGAAGCTAGAGAGGCAGGTGGTTTGTGGCCTATTTCTGCCTTTGCATTATTTCAGATTCTGTTACTGAGTAGAACAGTCCTTTTTTTAAAAAAAAAAATTTAGGTCTTATATCTTGGCCTCCTGCCTTCTCTGTTGGCATCAGCCAAATGCATGTTGGCTGCAAGTACATCATTCCACACTTAGTGACTGGATTTATTTTCAGACGTTGGCTATTGACAACTGAAAAGCAATTTCCTGTGTTGGGGCTTAACAGAAAGCCTCCCCTGGGTTGTAAGAGTTTAAAATAATGAAAAAGGTGAATACTTCATGGGTAAGTCTTAATGCAAGCTTTGTGTAGACTTATCCCCACTGCCTACTTTGCACTCATGTTTGTAGGGAGTTTCCAAAAGCCTCTGATTGAGATGAGGAAGGTCTTCTACCTCTGGAGCTGTAAGGTCTTGTCTTGATTAAAGATGACTCAAGCTTAACCAGTTGTTCAGTAGTCTTTGTCTGAGCTTTGGGTGTGCTGGAGAATATCAGCCAGTGTTAAGTTCTTGATTTCAAGTGGTGACTATCTGTTGAAGAGAGCCTGTGCCATGAAATACCGTAGTCCTCCCATTATCAACAGTTTCGCTTTCTGCAGTTTAGTTAACTGGTGGTCAACCATAGTGTTAAAATATTAAATGGAAAATCCCAGAAATAAACAATCCATAAGTTTTGAGTTGCTCACCATTCAGAGTATCGTGATTAAATTTTGCACCTTCCTGCCCAGGATGTGAATCATCCCTTTGTCCACATTATCCATGGCTGGTACATGTTCCCTGTCCTTTAATCACTTAGAATCCATCTTAACAGATCGGAAAAAAAAAAGTAGTGTATATTATGTTGGATTCAGTACTATCTGTGGTTTCAGTTATCCACTGAGGGTCTTGTAACCCCCAAGGATAAGGTAGGGGGTGGAGGACTACTGTACTCGGCTAGTGGAACTTCTTGTGGTATACCTCATGGTTCAAGGGAGGTAGAGAAGGAGGGAATTGTCATACTGTGAAGGTGGAATGCAGGATGTTCTAAATTGGTGCTTGTTTTGTTGAGCGAAGATGTAAAGTATAGTCTGGTCCACTAATGATTTGTTGATTATTTCATTTGATGATTAATATTGGATGCAGTCATTTATTTGAACAGAAATGAGAGAGGCTTTTTTTTTTTTTTTTCTTTTTCAGTTTACATGGAAAGACTTCTAAGGATGTTCGTGGATCCAAGACAAACTTGTCTCAGTCTTACATTTCATTAGGGTCCTTCTGTATTGGGGAATTCTCTTTCTTAGTATATTGCTGATGGGAAAAAGCTAATTCCAGAAGCCAGTTGGGTGGGTCCTCTCTCTTTCTGCCTGCCTATAGGCAAGCAGCCAGTAAGGAACCGAAGTAAAGTCAATTAGGCATTTTATCTCAGGACCTAGGGTCTCAAGGAAGTGATAGAAGGATAAGATGGTGATGATGACTCACCTCTCTGTTCTGAGGTGGGGGTAGTTTTACTTCCTACTACTTAACTCCTTGAAGTCTGGTTCCCAGCCCTTACTCATTCTGAAAACGCTCTGTGACTCTTCCAGTGTGTTTCTTTGTGCCAGTTAGGTAGAGTCAGTGTACAATCTAGAACTCCATTGAAACAATATTTATGTAATTCATATTTTTTATCTTTTTCTATCAGTGTTTTTTAACTCAAAAGTAAGCTTATTAATTTTGTATTGGTCTCAATTTGACCTATAAGAGAATAACTTTTGTAATTGGTTAGAAGCCCCTGTTGTGAACTTGCCATAGCTATTGGTAAAGGAGTTTGTTTTGAGAGGTGTGTATGTATGTATGCATATTTTGTAAATAAAGTCACTTGTCAGTGCCTTTCAAACAATTTACTCATATTTGTGTCACTTTGTTAGTGTTGGAGGAAAGCAAAGTTTGAATTTAATTTTGAAAATAGTAGGTGCAGTGAAGATACCGATCCTCCCTTCCAAGTCATCTCTTGTGACTTCCTCCCCCTTTTGATTATGTTTCTTGGGCACTACTTTGCTCACTGAGTGTGAGCAAGAACAACCTGAAGAATGACTGAGATGACTACTAGCAGTAGCATTCACACAGCAGGTCTTTTTGAATGTTTCATCTCTAGCTTTTAGTCTTCAGAGGTCAGTAATGTTTGGTGACTCCCATTGCTTTTAGTAGCTAAGGAGAGCCATATATCTTGTGGTAAAACAGATTTGCCTCTGAATGACCTACATTTATCTCCTCTGCTTATTTAGTGGTCATTTCTTTAAAACCCTTCAGTTAACGCTTTTGGTTTCCAGCCATGTAGGGACATGTGTATGCTTACAGGCATTATATTTCTGTGTCCTATGGGATAAGTAGTATATGTCATCATTAGGTTTTTGGACAGTCTTTGGTTCTCCTTGAAAAGATGCAAGTCTAGTTTTACCTTTATTACAGTATGTTTTTTTTCCCAGCAAGTAAGTCATTGATGGTGAATTGTAAATGTAATTGTTCAAAAAAGAATCTAGTCAATTTTGTGTTCTTCTTTGCAACCTATTAAGATGTTTGTGTACACCTAAAGGATTTGAATGGGATATCTGTTCAGGTAGCTTAAAGTGAAAAGATGGTGGTGGGTAGGGCAGGGGAATGACCTGGCCAAGATAATACCAGGTTATAGAGGATTACACAGAAAATCTTTGTATAATATCTTAATTTGGCTGTAGATTATACATTCAGAAAACATTCTTCTTTGGGGATTGTAAAAATCTACCATAGTTCCTGGTTATTTGATTTGTATTTTATTTGTTTCTTGAGACAGAGTCTTGCTCTGTCACTGCCCAGGATGGAGTGTGGTGGTGTGATCACAGCTCACTGAAGCCTCAAGCTCCCAAGCTCAAGTGATCTTCCCACCTTGGCCTCCCGAGTAGCTGGGACCGCAGACATGTGCCATTATGCCCAGCTAATTTATATATTTTGTAGAGACAGGTTCTCCCTATTGTTGCCTAGGCTAGTCTTGAGCTCCTGAGCTTAAGTGATCCTCTAGCCTCAGACTCCCGAAGTGCTGGTATTTGGGAGCCACTGTGCCCAGCCTGTTTTTTTGGTTTGTTTATTTTTAAAAGAATTTTTTTGCTTCATTTTCTTTAAGTCATAGATTACAATGACAGAGAGTGCAAATGAAGGAACAAATTAGCTTTGTAGGGAATAATGAGGTAAAAGTTCTAATTCCTTTACTATTAGATTTAATTATTATTTTTATTTTTATTTTTTTTCGTGGGGGGTGCGCGAGAAGGATAAAGAAGCCCAAAATAGTATAGTAGGCTTTTGTGTTAAGATCCATTTCAGTATATATATGTTTTCTTGCTAGAAAGTACTCTTGCTTGAGAAAAATAAAGTTTATAATCTAAGTAGAATCCTTAATAATGTTGTTGTCAATTAGGATAACTAGAATAAGCACTTAATAGGTTATATTCTGTTTGGGTACAGGGGCTAGTAAGTGATCTGGCAGCATACATATTTAAAGTTTTTCCCTGAATAAAGGAGATTAGTTTATAATATATAACTATTTTATTCCTTCATTAGAAATAGCAAGGAAGAAGTTTTCAGCAACAAAATAGGAAAACTCTTGACAGCATAGGCTATTGAATATTGGAATGAGCTGAAAAACTAGTTATTTAGTAAAACATTCATTTCTTCGAGTGGTGTACTTGTAATTGAATACCTAACATTTTGTATGGCATTCTACATTGTAGGAACCTCTTTTAACAAGAGTGATTCTAACACGCACATCAGAATCTATTTGTGAAACTTAAGGTGGAGACGGTAGAATAATAGGTGGGGGCGAGCATCAGAGAGTACCTTTAGTGCAGTTTCTTTTCCCACAGATGAGATCCCAATCTCAAATTCATAAGGCTAGTTAGCTGGAGGCCTTAAACTCCTAACCTCCTTTTCCTTAGGGACCCCTTTGTGGTAATAAGATGGATTCTTCTGATCCACTTGTCTTAGCCTTAATCTTAAAATGTGTTTGCCAAGTGGGCATGTAATGTGGCCCAAATAGCTGAGAAGCTCTGTGTATAGAAGTTACTTCCCACATCAGATGGTCCTTCATATTGTTTAATCTGGTGCCATAAAAACATAGCGCCTTCCCCAAGAGTGGGTCTCAGATATGTGAATAAGCAAATCGAGTAACTTCAGTAACAGCAGATTAAAGAAAGCATCACATTAAAAGTTTTTAAGATGAATTAAAATTGAAGTGTTGTTGAATAAGATTTTTTTAACCCTCTACCCTGTTATACATTTAAGAGTACTTGAGATGATAAAATGGTAATATGTTAAAATTATTTTTGTGTTTAGGTTTTTCCTGTTTCATAGGAAAGATGTATCCAGAATTAGCAGCAATGGTCAGATGTACTAAGTTGCTGGGTATATGATTTAGATAGTTCGTTTTTAATATACTTTAAAGTCAGTGGTAAAAGACAAGACAAGCCTCTGTGCTCTGCTCATTCGGCAGGATAATGCGTTTACTATACCATGCTGATGTGGATGGTGCCACATTACTTTTGTGTCCTAATGAATCATTGTCTAGGTAAAATCTTTTTAGCAAAATCTTCCTCAAAGTATCCGTGAATTTTAAATTTGGAGGATTACAATAGCTAATCACTTCAACTTTTGGATGAGGTGATTTGGGAAGAAATGCTTATGTGTGATATGAATGTGGCAATCGTAGGAGCTGCACCATTTTGTACTTCTCTTTAGGAGCCATCTGTTAATTGGTGGGCAAGTTGCCCTGTGGTCTCAGAGTGGTTTGCTGTAGCATAAGCTGTCCCTGAGCAAAAACAAAATTGATACTTATTTCTGTCAGGGTACCTCTTTGACTTAATTCGTAGCCATGGTTCCCATCTGACCCATAGCCTTTACAACTTTAACCATGTACAGCTCAATTTCCTCTGGGGACTGTGTTCCATTAGGATTCCTTTTCTTTATTGCTTCAGAGAGAGTGTTCTTGAGGTTTGTGAAGCTGTGTCTGTAGTATTTAAATAGGTTTCCTTTATACTCAGCATTTATACCCCCACCAGCCCAAACACCATCAGTCTGTTTTGGAATTTTTCCTAAGCATGTAAAAATCAGTGCTGTGTGTGACTATTTTAAGTTTAGAGGAAAGAAAGAAAAATGTTCCTCCTACCCTCTTGATTAACTACCTCTTCATTAACTATAAACTAAGCAACATGTCCTGTACAAAGAGAAGAAAAATCACGTTATTTATACTTAATCCTTGTGTCGACTGGGGACGATGGATGTCCTTTGGAAATTTACTTCCTTTGTCTTTGCTAAAAATACCTCTAATTTAATTCTGCTCTTTCTTTTTGATATAAAAGGAATTACAGTGGACATTTTCCCCCCGGTGGAAGGGTTGTACATATCGGTCTATAGCAGATACTTTATGATCAGTACACATAAGGTGAAATATGTTTTTATTGAAACACCTGATCATGTGATGCTACCCAATATTCCCTTCTTAATGACTCAGCTTCCCTCCCTCTTTCACTCCTTTTCTAACTTGATGTCACCATATTGTATGCGAAGGACGTAGGTATGTACGTGCATTCACAAGGCATGTGTAATTTTGCAGTTGCTACTCAGTTAAAAATAAGGTTTGTTAACACTTGCAGTAGTTTTTCCCCATTTACTGTGGTAGTTATTAACACTTTGTCCACTCATAATAGCAGCTTAGCTTGGTCGGGGGGCAGAAAGAGGATTGAGGTACTTGTTTTTACAGCTGTGTAAAGGAGGTCTCAGAAAATCGTAAGCCCTGCCTGATGTAGTCATCTTGGGTTTAGCTTTTTGGTGGTTGGGGTTATCCATATCTGTTAGTTTTATAGTGCAAGAATACTTTCAAGGCTGCTGAGTTGGTGTGTTGTATTAATCTCTGGGTATTATGGTTCAAAAGGTTTCTTGCCCTTCTAGTTACTTTTACAAAGGCCAGATGTTATCATGCCAAGGAAGTATGGATCCTCCTGGGACACAAGGAGTTGCTAGGTTTCAATCCTGGCCATTACTCTAGAAGGCCTGTAACCGAACCCAGGTTCAGCTGCTTGCCACTTGAAAGCCAGAACACAAGAGGCAAGGATTGGTGGAAGGAAAAGCATTTTTAATGGGAGCCAGCAAACTGAGAAGATGGCAAACTAGTATTCTAAAGTACCATCTTCAATTTAAAAATTTACCGTAGGGCTTTCAAAGGGAGAAAGGTATGGGAGACGTGCAGAAGTGGTGCAGGATCTGTGTGTCTTGTTCAGTGGCTCTCTCAGGTGTCTGAAGGTCTAATTGGCATTATCTTGACTTTGGCTCAGTGGTGGTGGACTAATTATGACTCCTCCTAATCATGAGGATTTTGCAGTGGGGACTCTGTTCCTGGTTTGTTTCAAGATTAGCCTGTGGGATTTCTTAAGAGCCTAAGTAGATAAGCATGGATTGCCTAAGGGGGAGTGTCTAGAGAGGGAAGGAATAAAGAGTTGAGAGGGGAGGGAAGAAGGAAAAAGAATGTGGGTGATTTCTAACACTGAGGTCCCTAGTTACAGTCTTACATCTGCATCTGCTCAGTGATTATACCAGGCCACTAAGGTGACTGTCCCTGGGTCCCTCGTGTGCCTCCTTCCTCATTGTGCCTCAGTGCTTGGTGCATCCTGCAGTTTGTCTGCTGTAAACCTTCACATGGGCCAGTCTTGCTTCCAGGATGGGGGGTCGGTTTGCTTACCTCTACATAGATGCCTTACGTTCAGCGTAGTATGCTTTTGGCTTGTCTCTTTTATACTTCTTTACAAATTTGTTCTTCTCCATGTTCCTATTACCTTAATTTGTTTGTCAGGAAACACCTGAATTTCATCTTCTCTGTTTTGACACACTAAAGAGTTCTCTTTTTCAAGCTGGTCCTGGTTAAGCCTGAAACCCCTGCGATGCACTTTATGTATTTCATGTTCATTAGGTGCCTGCCTCTCTCCCTTGTTTACTGTGTTGGGCTTAAAATTTTTGAGCATCTTAGAGGGCAGAGACCATGTGGTATTGATCCCATCTTTTTTCCACCGCTATGAAATCATGCTATGCGTATGAAAGCATTTTAATGCAATCTGCTGAGGAGAGAAATGTCTTGTGTGGGAGACCGTTTTGGCAGTAGCAAACATGTTTGGCTTTAGCCATAAGAACTGCTTTCTGAGTTTGGAAAAGGAGTATGTAAATCAAGGCCCATTTTAAATGGATCTTTTTATAATGCAGATACCTCTCATCTATCTGTTTTGTAATGATGGATTTGTTTTGGGGGCTTAAGTGGTTTGTGCACCTGCAGGATGTCCTTCCTTTTCTTTCAGGTCATTTTTTTTTTCTTTCACAGATAGTCTCTTGGATGGATTAAGAAAGAATTGAAGTTCCAGTCAATTTATTTCATGACAAAGAACAAGAAAAAAATACAGATGTATTTGGAGATTATAAATATTCTGATTGGAAAGTTGTAAACTTTGGATGTACAGGATTCTGCCACAAAGTAATTTCCACACATGGCCAAAGGCAACAAAGTGTACACTTTTGAAAGACTGAGTTTGGAAAGGTTGATTGTAGTGTGGAAACCCAGCTGCTCCTTTGAGCTAGCTGTGTGTGCCCTTGAGCAAGTTAACTTAGCATCTTTGAACCTCCAACTTTATGTCCGTAAAATGGATACAGATGTATTTACATGTAGCCTTGTGGTGAGAATTAAATGTGATATATGTAATGTAAGGATCCTAGTTGCTTGATAGTTTAGTTTGGCAGTGGTACTGTTGACTGCCAGACAGGTAGACATAGCATTTATGGGGCAGTGGGAATGGGCATTTTTCCCCGACAAACTTACTGACTTTTTCATACTGGAAGGTTTGGGCTGGTGAACCTTTAACTTTTGGGTGAGAGAGTGATTTTTTTAAGAAAAATGTGTTCAAGAAGAAAATTTATCTCTAACGAGAATTTTTGTTTCACATGGACTTGGTGAGTTTGTTAGAGTCTAATTTTATAGTTTCCCGTTCTTGACAAAATGGGGAGCTCTCCATGGTGGTTTGCAGGGACTCTGACATAGTTTCAAAACAGGGCCTTTAAATTTTTTGTTTCTTGTGGTATCTGAGTTAAAAAATGATCTTGTACAGAGAGAAAAACACATTAAGAAGCTGTACTGCCTCTTGATGGACTGCTTAGTGGGGGGGGTGTGTGCGTGTGTGTGTGCAGGCACAGGCAAGAGTGCATGTTTGTGAAGATTGACACCAGCTGGTCGCACAAGCAACAGCAGATGCCCTTTTTACTACCACAGTTAACTTGTTTTCCTCTACCACAATACTATTTTGAGGAATACAGTTCCTTTGCCTTCATCCCAAATGGTATATACTTGAACAACTCCATTGTCTTTTAAGTAAACACAAGATAAAGCAGATAATATAAGACTGTTAGTGTGTGTGGGGGTGGGGGTAGGGGCGGTGGCGGATCTGTGTAGAATTAATTATAATTAACAAAGAAATGAGAAAGTTGCAGCATACCCAAACTTTTAATTGAAAGTAGATTGGACTAGCCTAGAGTTGTTAATGTCCTAACCTTTTTTGAACTGTCAGGTATGACTTTCAGGCTATCTGAAGGTATTTTGGCATTTGCTCTATCCTGGTGGCAGCTCCAGTGTTTGAAGGTAGAACTGCTGACCTATCTTTTAGAGAAACTACCTATATCAATAAGTGATGAGAACCGCCTTTTGTTTTCATTGTGGTGCTGAGCGTGCTACACTATCTCAGTCACTTTCTTTCAGGCTGGAGAACCTGCTTTCAGGTAGAGTCTCATCCTGTGGGTTGTAGAGGAATTGGTTTATTTTCCTACTGCACATAATTTTTCCTCATCTTCCTGGTCTTGGATGCAAGATATCTTTGTGTACCCGGTGTAATACTTGGCAAGAATTTAGAGGATTTAATATGCTGTTTCTGTTCTCAATAGTCTAAGACTGAATTGTGTGGGAGTTCTTAATGTTGTCTGAAAATGTGATATATTAAGAACCCACAGTATCGCCAACTTAAGCAGGGTCATGCCGCATTGCCAGCAGATTCATAATTACTGGGACTGGAACTACAGGAAAATAGAGCTCTACCAGTTGCATAATCAGGGGACAGATATGGCTATTAAAATTAACTTGAAGGGAAAATGCCCTGGTGCTGAGGACATTAACCGCTCTCTCTAGAATTAGGCTGCTTAGGTAATATTTACCAAATGATCACTATTTGCAGCTTTGATTTCAGCAGAAAAGTTATGATTTAAACTCTTCTATATTAGCTCCATGTATCTGTAAAGTCCTGAAAATCATTTAGAAACTTTGGGGCCTTTCAGTCTCAGGCCAGCTTTATTAGCATTTGGGTGGAAGATGAGTCTTCGAGTGAGCCATCTGTTTTCTGTATTATGTGAGTGTCTAGGTTGAATTCTCCATCCTTGTGATAATCCCTGGTAATGTCCTTTGGGAAGCTGGTAGAAATGCTCCCAGCTTTCAGGAAGGCTGGCTTGGACTGTAGTAATAGGATCTCACCAGTCCTCCATCTCACAATTTGATCTTACTCATTAGAGGGCAGCAAGGAAGACCTGTTTAACTTGACCCACCTTAACTTGAGTGTTTAAATGGAAGGACCTGCTGCATCTGGCATGCTACATTTGAGGAGACTCAGGCTAAGTCAGGAATTAAAATGTGGAGAAAAACGTGACTAGAGAGAACTGCATCCCTCTGTTCTGAGATTCTCTCAAACCTTTTCCCTGCTGTGTGGTACCCACATGGTTTTGCTGTGTATCAGATCTGAGATATTAAGAAAGCTCCTTTGTGAAGTCTGGTGCGAGTTGCTTTGGTGCCAGAGTTGCAGTGCACAGCCTGTCTGAACAGACACACATAATGAGTGCCCAAGAACAGTAAGTCCATCTGAAGAAATACAATATATTTGCAACTTTATTGTGTGTTTGAGGGAGGAGAGAGAAGGATATCAGGAGGCAACAGGGTCTTTATTAAAAACAAAAATTTTCCCCCTTTGTAACGAAAACTTGTTTTTGCAAATCAAATTATTTGCTTTTTTTTGTCGTTAAGGCATGCAGTTTTATGCAAGAGCTGTGTTTGGAGGAAGCGAATCTTTCCATTTTGCTTTTTAAAAGTATTGCATTATTAAACCTCAGGTTGCAAGTCTTCCTTGACAGAGAGGACCATAGTGACCTGTTTCTGCTAACTGTGGGATTTGAAAAAGATTCACACGGCTTTTATTCTTTTATTTCATAAAACATTACTACTGCTGTAAATGGAATAATAGATACACATCAATCAGTGTAGTCACCTTTTATTGTTGATTCAACTACCAGGTTTTTACAGAATTCACTCTGCATTTTATTTGACTTGTACATGAATAGTCTCAGCAGACTTAATTATATTAGTGAAAAAGTACTTTCAACAAAATTATATGCTGACATCCCATAATTCATACTTACCGATTTGTGGAACAGATTTATGTAAATCTATCAAATTACTCTAGATGACACTTTTTAAAATTGAGACTTCATCTTAATGGTATTTGTAGAAATTTTTCGTATGAACAATTTTACATGAACTATTTAAAACTCGTATGACTTCCTTATGAAGGCAGAATTACTATAACATTTGAGCATCTTGTCTCCACAAGTTCTGTAATCCATCTGGTACAATGTAGGGACATGAGGAACATGTTTATAAGGGCAACTATCTCCTAAACCACAGGCTCCTGGAAGGCAGATGCTGCTGCTCCTTCATTTGTTTTTCATTCAGTCATTCACAGAACATTTAATGATCTGTCTTAGGGTCCTCCTTGTCAGGAACTATGTTCTGCTTGCCCTTGCTCAGCAGTCTAGTGAGGGAGCATCCAAATGGACCCCAGACACACATAACAAAGATAACGGAATAATATAAGAAGCTGTGGGAGGACTAGTCGAGAGGAGCACTGTACAGTGTGCACTGGGGATGGGGCAAGTTGTGGCAGGAAATGACTTCAGAGAGTCTCAAAGGATACATGGGAGTTGGCTAGTTGGAGAGCTGTGTTCCAGACATAGAGAACTGAATGTGCATTTTAGGGTGTATGTGTAGGAGTGGTGGAAGATGAGCGAAAGTAGAAGTGAGCAAAAAACTGACAGTGACTGGAAACCAGAGTATGGTTAGATTTGTGTTTTAAGAAGTTCTCCTGGACAATGTTTTGGTGGAGGATGGCTGTTTTTGGAATTAATGGGAGTCTAAGCAAGGGTTGTCCTATTAGGATAGTGTAGCAGTGATCAGGGCCAGAATAATAGAGAACCAATGCTAACGCAGACAAGGGGCCGATTTAGCTGGTAGGACTGGCAGAACGTGATGCGGGTGTGGCAGAACTTGGGCTGGAACGTCTTGCACATCTTCACTGTTAGACTTGAGCTAGTTCCTTCAAGCCTTGGATCAAATGTTACCTGCAGGATAGGGCCTGCTCTGACCATTGTATTTAAACAGCAGCCCTGCTCCTCCCCTCCCCACTCTCACCCCCTGCTGCTTTTTTCTCCTTAGCTCTATTTTCTTCTAATACCCTGTAGAATGTGTTCCTGTCAGAATATAGGCTTTATGAGAAAGATCTTTTTCTCCTTTGCATTCTCAGGGCCTAGCAAAAAGTATGGTTCCCATAGTTATTGAATGCTTATTGTAGATGAGAAATTTGTAGGGTGACTCTTGTTTTTTTTAAATACAAAATTTTATTTTCCACAATTTTGTGTTGAGGGTCTTGTTTAATATTGGTTGGATAAAGTTAATATACTTTTAATCAAGAATTACGGTAGTCTATTGCCTTTACCTTTAAACCTGAGGGGGTAATTTGATTTTTCTGAACATTGGTAGTAATTTAAAATAGAAAAGACTAAATAAAGTGACCTTTGAATGAAACAGGTCCAGAAGATTGTGTATTTTTAATTAAAATATGCAATTAAAATTTTAATTAAAGTAGGGTATTAAAACAATGTAGGTGGCAGGGGAATAGCTGATGCTTTGAATTACACACAGTTTGGGATATATTGCCATTTACTGTGTTTCCCACAGTAGCACTTTGCCACTAAACGGGTTTTCTTCCTGTTTTCCTCTCCTTGCTCTGAACCCTGCTCTCAGTAGTCTTTGGTCCTCTTCAGAGGCCTCTGGAGTGCTTCAGCTCTGTGGTATAGATCCCTTGACCATGATTTCTACCAGCCTGTTTATAACTGTTCTCCTTGTGCCAGGAGCATCTTATAAACTATTTTTCTATCTCTTGTGAAGAAGGGTTTCTTTTCTGTGGCATGTATGTTAGATTAAAAAGAAGCGTGTGAAACAAAAGGCATTCATACACAACAGTGCAGCACAGAATATAGCAAAAGTTCTAGAATCCCTACCAAGGCCATTAAAATCAAGACTTTGGGCCAGGTACGGTGGCTCACGCCTGTAATCCCAGCACATTGGGAGGCCGAGGTTGGCAGATCAGTTGAAGCCAGGAGTTCGAGACGAGCCTGGCCAACGTGGCGAAACCCTGTCTCTACTAAAAATACAAAAAAATAGCTGGGTGTGGTGATGCATGCCTGTAATCCCAGCTACTTGGGAGGCCGAGGCAGAAGAATCGCTTGAACCCAGGAGGTGGAAGTTGCAGTGATCCGAGATCATGCCCACTGCCATCCAGTCTGGATGACAGAGAGAGAGACCTTGCCTCAAAAGAAGAAAGATTTGAATTAATGGTTTGAAAATTCTTAGAACACTTGACCACAGGTAGCTTCTGAGAATAGCTGAGGACACGTGGCATTGAGCCTCTTCTTTATGTTCAGTTACCAGGCAAATTTTTTGGCATTTAAAGACAGGATTTGTTTTTCTTAAGGGCTTTTTTTTTTTTTTTTTTTTTTGAAGAGCCTTAGCTTTGTCATTTTGGTCAGAATAGTCTTTTAATCATGTTGGTTTCCATAATGGTTGTACTTGGAATTTAAATGTAGCATCTTATAAAACTTTTTAAAGAAATGAATCTTAGTTTGGGGATTATCAGTATGCACATTCTAAATTCAGAGAGACTTGAAAAATAGGTTTGGATGATATGGATAAGTGATGCTTGGTTTCCAAGCCTTCCCTGGTGGCCCATGACTTACTGATGAATATAAGAGTGGGAAAAGGGTAGGTAAGGTATTTTTTTTTGTAATGTTTGCCTTGCTACTGCTTTTATTTTTAAAAACTGTGCGCTCATTTATAACCAGAAATATGCACTATATAAATAAGATGCAATTTATGTTGTCATAGGAATGAATAATGGCACTGAAATTCATATATAGTAAAACTGATATTTGTATAAAAGGTACAGAAGTTTGAGATAGTAATCAAACAAGAAACAACTTTTGCGGTAAAAGTGTCAGAAGTGCCTGGTTACGTTATTATTCAGGCATATTGGGTACAAACTAGTCCTGGGCTTATACGCAATATGCCTGAAGTCTCAGTTCAGGTATAAACTAGTTAATTGAGTGGAGTAGAGCACAGCATTTGAAAGTCCTGACTTCAAGTCCTGACTTTACTACTTCCTCCCTGCCTTTTTGATTTGTAGAAGCTGATTGACCTTGCCAAGCTTCAGATATCATTTCTACCTTGTAGGAGAAGAATCTGAATACCGAACATGGTTAATGTGAAGCTACAATTAAACAGTAAAATACCATGTAGCTAAAAGGTGAGAATGGGGAGGCTTGCCTATCTTGGTATCATCTGCGATACCCTTAATATATTTTAAACATCCAATAAATATTTGCTGCCTTGATTACAGATTTTCACTGTAAAGTAATTTAAAGTTCTAACTCCCTTTTGTTATAGTGCCAACATTTTAATACACCAACGATGGTAGGTTTAGGAATGCAGTCTTTTAATAGCAGATACCCCCTTTCATATTATTTTGCTTAGGATAATAATACAGTTTTGCTTACCTCAAACATATTCTGAGTGGCACTCATCCTAATAATGCCACTAGGCAAATAAGAAACTTTTTATAAGGAGGCAAAGTCATTTGGGGATAAATATTTCTGAGTATAAACAACTTAACAGATACTAGATATTTGACTGACTCATATAGCTAGTCATGATTGCTTGAGGGTATCAGGTGGAAGACCCATTTGATGGTTGGGTCTTCTGATGGTGGTGGTGGTGATGATGATAATACCTTTGGTTAAATAAATAACATCAGTAAGTTTCTCATTCTTTCATTTAGCAAATGTTTCCATGCCTACAGCAGGCCAGGAGTAAGGGTTCAGAGGCTAGAGTGGGAAACAGCTAAGTAGGAAGTAAGCAAGACAGGCTTTTCACTTTACCCAGTGATCTAATCTCAGTAGGCACTCTTGTGCCCCAGACAGACCTCAGGAGGCCAATAAACTGTTTCTTTGAAGTAATAGGTAACTTGAAGATTTTAGAAGAAACACATCCACGTGTACCTAAACAACGCAACTGTGAAACAGCAGTCATCCCTGCAAGACCTTTCTTAGACCTCCCAGCAGCCCCGTTGTAGCCCCAGCTAGGTTCTCACCATTAAGGCAGTGATTTCTCAACATGGTGGTTGTACGTTAGTCACCAGGATTTTAAAAAGCTAGTACCAATGCTTCATGACAGACTGATAAAATCAGAGCCCAAGGTGGGAGGATCGCTTGAGTCCAGGAGTTCAAGCATGGCCCAGCCAATGTAGTGAGATCTCATCTCATATACACATATATATACAGACACAAACACACATATATGTATATATATCTATCTATTTTTGGGAGTGGGATTCGGGGATCAGGTTTTTTTGTTTTAGTTTTTTTTTTTTTTTTTTTTAAGCTTTCTAGATGATTCCATTGCAGTCAAGTTTGAGAATGCACTGGGGTTAGAAGCTGCTAAGATGCAGGAGGAGGAGTATCTATCAGTAGAAAGGGCAATTAGACTATGCTGATACAATTGATTTATTTTGTCATAGAATAGCAGTATGACAAAACTATATTTGTATTGCCCTTTTCTTTTTCTGTTATATTTGTGGCATCTTTTTTATTTAACTTTAAATGAATATACTTAAAATCTTTAACAGTAAGCATGTTATTTTTTCTCATGTTATCTTTTGACTAGGGTGACGATCCACTTTCATCATTAATGAATATTTTCATCATTGCATCAGCAACCTAGTTGGGTAGGAATTACCCTCGTTTTAGAGAGAAGGAAGCTGTGGTTCAGAGAGGTGTTAAGTAGCTTCTTCAAAGTTGCACAGCTAACTGCGAGCCAGTAAACACCAGAGCCGGTATTGGAAGTCTGTCTTTCCACTATAAGCTGGTTCCTTGAGCAGATTTTGTTACATTCAGCCAATTTAATTCTACTCAATGACAATAGGACTGCAACACATTTTCATAAGAGGGGCACAATGCATGCAGTAAACACATGATAAATTTTGAATTAATGAAAAGCTGAATGCTTAAAAATACAGTGGCTTCACATGTGACTCTTTACTAGAACTGTAAAATAAAACCTCAATTTTAGTGTGAGATGAAATTAACCTAATTAGTTTTTAGCTCTCTATTCCTTTCTCTTTTTTAAAAAGGAAAAAATACATTTTGATAGAGGACATATATTAGCAGTGATTATCCAAAATTCTGATTGTGGTCCCAAAATATAATCACTAGTTTTCATATTGGGCACTGTATTTAGCCTTCTCTTTTCGTTTATGTGGTAACAAGTATCCACATTAGGATAACCAGAGTAGCTGTCCTAAAAACCCACATTGATAACCACTTGCACCTACGGTGCCCCATCAAGAAAAAATACCTCACTTCCCTATGAAATTGATGCAACAGTAGTACTTAGTAAAAGCATTTGGACCGTCCTTGGGCATCTGGGAAATCGTCATTTAGTTTGTTTTGACTTTTGTAGACTAAACTTTTCTTATGCCATTTTTGTCACCTGTATAATGTTTCTTGCCATTTCAAACTGAGAAACTTGCTTCATTGAAAAGTTGAGACCATTGCGATTGACTTTAGTTATCTTTGCATTCCATTGATGCAACTGCTTTTGATAGCTCCCATTGTCTGAGATCTAGGGCATCAGTGAACCAGGAGTGAGAGGGCTCAGATGATGGGGGGAGGGTGGCAACAACAACAAACACTTAGAAGCAACTTTTACTCTAGACTTTTTTTCTCCTGTTATTTTTGTTTATGTTCTATTTCTTCTTTTCCTATATGTTCTCATTGTCTTCGATGTCATCCCTGTAAGTCTTTTGTGTTCATATTTTCCTGTTCTTATCTAGATCATAAAACCCTCTTTGGAGAAATTTGATTGAGTGTATTTGAAGATAAGCCCTCGTCTAAAATAAACTTACATGTATACACGCCCACACATGGTTCTTCACCATTTTAGACTCCGACATTATTGTACTTGGTAAAGGCTGTAAATATGTCAGGGTACAATTTACTGAACACTGACAGATTCTTGGTTGATGTTTTCTGTCTTCCCATTTTTATGGCTAAGGAAACTGAAGCTGAAAAGGTATTGCCTGTTAAGCCCTCTCCATAGCACAGAGATTTATCCCCACAGTTTATGAAGCTGACCTTGTCTTGCTGATGGTATACTCTGGCTCAGGCAGGGCATGGATGGTGGAATCCTTTGGGGATGTGTGTTTTTTTTTTCCTAAACAGCACTGCTTGCTGAGTTCTAAAACTTGAAAATGTAGTAGACAGGAGACATAAAGACTTCATGTATATTTCTAGAATTAATAGAGAGTTCTTTTTACTGTTGAGGAAATATGCTGGTGTTAATGACAAGACCATATGCCAAAATGAAAGTTGATCTCTGTCAACAGTATAGAACTAATATATGCCTTTTTCCCCTTCCTTTTCATTAGGGCAGAGCTTGGGATATGGCTTTGTGAACTACATTGACCCCAAGGATGCAGAGAAAGCTATCAACACCCTGAATGGATTGAGACTTCAAACCAAAACAATAAAAGTATGTTTAAAGTTTTTTTATATCTACTTGCGGAACAGAAGTTTAAAAAAATTAAGATTTATTTGTAGTTCTTTCCTTTCTTCCTTTTGGGCCCATATAAACAGTTACCTGGGAGACATAGTGGAATTTTGGTGTTTGTTGCAAGATGGAAGAAACTGTTTGTTCAAGAGTGCTATGTATAATCATTCATGTATTCGCAAAGGGGGACAGAGCAACAACTCTCTTAGATAAATGTTATAGGAAGCCTACGGAATCAAGTCTCCTTCCCTTATAGAGAATTACTTGCCCTATAACTTGAGGAAACCTTAGACTTGTTCTTCTATAAAGGTCTGGGTAGTGAATAAGCAAGGTTTTGCGAGCCATGCATTCTGTCACAACTTCTCAACTCTGCCTTTATAGTATGAAAGCAGTAATAGCCACTACATAAACAAATGGATGCAGCCGTTATCCAATAAAACTTTATTTATGGGCAATGAAACTTGAGATTGATAAGATGTTTATGTATTACAAATATTCTTTTTATTTTTTCCAAGTTAAAAAATGTAAAAACCATTCTTAGCTCATGGGTTATACAAAAAGGTGGCAGGCTAGATGTGGTGCTTGAGTTGTAGTTTGCTCTAGCTAATTCAGCTTGCTTTGAGGAGACTGACTGGAGGAACTTACATGACACAGGTTATTTTTTCTGTTGTTTTTCTTTTTAAGACGTACAGTAAATAACTTTGTACATACTTTGCTGCTTTTGTGAATCTTTGAAATTCTTATGTAGATTCTCTCTTGAGAGGGAGCTAATCTAATTCACAGCATAGATTTCTTTTCCTTTAGAAAATAAGAGGGATGTCGCCTCTAGCAAATTCTTAGTTAGCTGTACCATCAATTTGCCCTCTCCTGCCCAGTGCAGACATTGCCAGTCAATCATGGCACTCTTTCTCACAGAGTCTAGATGTGGCTCCCAAATATTTTTTTCAAAATAGTGTTCCAGACAACTTCTATCAATTGACTCAAGTTTGAACCTATTTTCCACCCTTGATTTAAGAAACCAGCTCAGACTATAGCCTGAAGTGGTGAGGGGAAGTTAGTCAAGGCTGACTGTAGTATCCATCTTGCTTAGAGACTTGTGTAAAAGATTTTTGCTCATTTTTTTCAGGTATCTGGAAATGAAGTGTCATTTTTGTGCTTTAAAGTTGCTTTTCTTAGAATTACCAGTTAAGGTAATTTATTAGCCCTGAGTGGTTTTGACACATCAGTCTTTATATTTATTGGCCCCTAAGAAAAATGCCTACCAGCCCTGTCTTATCTAAATGAAAGTATATAGTGGTTCCCAAATATACTAGGGTATGAGAGGTCCAAGAATTCTAGATACTTCTTGAGCAAGAAACTGTTCTATGAAAAGATTCACCAATCAGAAAATGAACTGGTTACTGTATATTATCAAAATGTGAAGGGAAAAATGAGATTTCCAATAAAGTGTAAGACAAGTTTGTTTTGAAGTTTTTTCAGTCTGAACTGCTTTTTCTCGTTATCTATATTTCTCTGCATACTTTCTGTGTCAGAGATCTTTTACTAGTACTATTAAGTAACAATAAGTGTTCTTTAAAAAGACATCCAGTGTTCAGTTACCGTCAGACCGTGTGCTCTTTATCCTACAGCAGATTTTTGCAGGTTTCTTTTCCTCAATTTATATTGATTTCCAGCGTTGCTGCTAATTTGTCCTAGTTCTGAGGTCCTGAGTTGTAGTTGGGAAGAAAATGGAATAGGTGGTCAAGATGGCTTGTCCCAGGAACTATCCTTTTCTCCATTCTAGAAATAATTACCCTTATTTCATTCTAGTGTGTCAGTTCTTTTACTAAATATCCTCCTGCACGAAGATCCAGAAGAAGGTAGAAATGCAGGGGAAATAGGTCTCCACAGGAGAAATGCCCGTGGCCTTCAAGGAGACAGTTGATGACAGCTGCTTCCTTACTGTTCATCATCCAGCCTTTTCTCTTTAGGGCCCAGCTGCTTGGGCTGAATATGTGGAAGAAAGCACAGTAAAGCTTTGTGGCTTTTATAGTGTGACATCAGTTTCTGATTTTCTGAGATGTGGGTCAGGGTAATGGGCAAATAGCAGGCTACTTCTTTCCCCGCCCCTATTTGGTTCCTGTAAAAATATCAGATAACAGCTGGCATCCTCAATTTGGCCCACATTTGTCTAAGAGGCAAAGCAGACCATTTCCCACAAGTATATAGCACCCCCTTTGCCTGTTTGTTCTTTCTATGTTTATTTATTTCCATTAGACAGATTTTGTGCTCTTGTACAATGTCTTGAGCCAAGTTTTTCTAGTATTCACAGCTTTAAGAATGTTTTGGAAGTTGAGTTAAGCCTTTTCATTTCCTGGGATACTATTCCATAAATAAGTCTTTTTCCCTCGTCTAATCTATACTGGTGATGGCTGTCAGCACCACTTTCTTACACAGCACCACTTTACTCGTGTTACTGCTCACTCAAAACTCTATGGTGTTTCTCTACTGTTTTACCCTATCATCTGGCTGAGTTTTGTAGGAGTGATGCCAGTGCTATTGCCGTTCTCCACTGTTCTCAGACTGGCTCTTTACTTGTAAGCTGATCTTACTCCCAGCGTCCATGCATATGCTTTTGCAGCTCCGACTTTTTGGTATACCCTTTCACACTCATTTTTAGTTTAACTGTGGTCATCTCATCTTTTGGAGCCCATCTAAAGGAATTCTGTCCTTCAGCTTCTGTCTTTCCAGGTTGTTCCAGCTCCTGCTGAGTTCCCCCTTCTTTGAAGTCTATATTCTTTACCCTTGAGGAACCACAGAAGTTTTGGAATTACAGGGGGACCCATATGTAATTTAGGCTTAAGCACTGTTCTCTGTCCACAGTCAGAGTGGAGATCTTGGTGGTCATACAATTTAGCCAAGACCAGGCAGTTGAAGAAAGAGCTGCGACTCAAACAAATCCTTGTCTTCTGATCGTTATATCAAAACTCTTGCCAGGACACTGTGCTTTACTTTAGAAAGGTACAGAAGATTGGTTAGTATATACAAGTGTTTGTGTACTCCAAGCCACTTAGAATTTAGTATGCGTTTGGTAAAATTCCTGGTTATTGGGATATTGAAACAGTGAATCAAGTGCTGTGAAAGGTGGTTTATTTAGCAGTTTCTCCTGGGGCTCCCTAATAGCATTAGCTCAGTAGGGTTTTGTGCAGTAGTTGGTGTGTTGAATAAATGACAGATGTTCAGTATTTCCATGGTGAGTGAAGTGAAGTCCCTCAGGCTCTGTGAGGACCTAAAGCATTTGTTCCCAAACTTTGGTTGCATCTTAATCCCAAGGGAAGTGAGTTAGAAATACAGTTTCTGGGATCCACTGTAGATCTACTCGATCCCTGTCCACAGGTGAGATTCCGGGTTCTGTTTTTTATTATGCTTCCCAGGTAATTTATGACAGCAAGTCTAAGGCCTAGCACTTGGGAATCACCAAAGATGTTTGGCGGTTCTCTATACATTTGGTATTTGTGTGTGCAAAGTTCAGTTTGTCTTCTAGCATTTTACCTTAATAATCCTCCTGTGGTTCATTCTGTTAACCAAAATATTAATGTTTTTTCTTGAGCATGCTGGGCGATCGTTTAGCATTCAGAGTTCAACGTGGTTCACCAGCCTTTGCTTATAAAAAAACATGGCATAGAAATTGAAAACAACGTATCCGTCTCATAGTAGGATGCTGTTTGTTTAAGTAGTAGCAGATACAGGTTAAAGTCTCGAGATACTTGTTCTCTTGTCCTAAAGGTCACTTTTTTTCCTGGTTAAGGAGATGTCCCAGAGGCATACCTTGCTGGTGAAATGACATCATCCCTGTACTGCATGGGAGGCAGCTATTTTGGGTTAAGCCTGCCCACAGTATCCCCAGTGTTGACATGGTAAATAAAGTGTGAATATTACAAAAATGTTTTAAGATTCTCATTAGGGAAGGTAGTGAAAAGGTGATATGTGTACAGTTCAGGCATGGGGGTGGGGGAGTAATCTCATGGAAGTGTCAAGTTGTATGCTGGTGAGAAGAAGAGAGGTTTTTCTCCAAGATCCTTCAGGTCCCTAAAGGAATCCTTCCTTTGGTGAGTTATTCATGAAGTGAGTGGTTGTACCTACTGTGTTCAGTCTTCATGCTCTTTCTCTACTCATTTTATTTTTAGGGGTCTTAAGTATTGAAAAAAATCTAAATAGTATGTGGAATTTTTATGGCTTAAAGCCAATACTTTTGACTTGTTAGGTTAACGGTGTCAGACTTAAATTCATGATTAGCAAACTAAAATCATTCATTTCCAAGAATATGTGTAGACTTCCTCCCTCCTCTGCATAAAGAACTCTGGATAGGTGATTATCACATAACACAGTGAAATGGATACGTGGCTCCCAGCATCTCTCTCAGCTTTTCCCTCCTCTACAATGGGCCTAGGATGCTTTATTTTTCCTGAAACTGGGGTTGATTTATCTGGAAAGAAGGAGCTGTTATCTCAGGGAATAGAATGTTTTATTGTTATTGGTAAGTTCTGACCCCTCAAAAGAAAAAAAAATTCTGTCTAGAATTAACTACCATAGAAAAACTGCCCGATTTTGGTCTTGATTAAAGAAATATTTTCCTTAATCATTCAGCTATAGACCAGGCTAAAATTTACCTTTGCTTAAAAGTTATTAATTGGTATACAATCATGAAATTTCTTATACTGAAATAAACCACAATTTAACCACATTTGGAAAATTCTATTATAAAAATGAGAATATTATAAATAGTATTATCTATTTTTTGTGTTCAGTTTGAGAGTGATTAAGCAAACCTAAGAAACCTGTATTCTAAGCTACTGTATTGCCATTAACTTTTTGTTAAATTTATACCTTTTTCTAACTAGCTTATCCTTTCCTCATTAGTAAATGTCATATTTATACTTTTTTTTTTCTGTTCAGCATGAGCTTGACCCTTAACATAGGAATATAGAACTACATTTCTGAAATCTTACTCTGTCTAAATTACCTTACTAAAATGATTTAACTGGCTGCTTAATCTTGGACAGAGCTTTTAACCATTTAAGTTTCCATTTATATCGTTAAAATAATTTATTCATCACTGAGAATTTTCATTACCTGCTTTTTAGGAGAGGAAAAAAAGCTTTTCATGGTCTGCTAAGTTGCATATTAAGAAGAAATGTTAACTTTTTAAACAAATTCATGTTTATTGCATAAAATGATTTGATGAAAAGCAGCAACCTCTCCTGAAGAGAGAATAATTTTAATTGCCTTCTTCTTTCACTCTTGAAAGTTTAATAGCCACTGTAAACTTTATATGGGGATTTGAGTTTCTAGTTCAACCTCCTTTTGCGACAGGATTATTGGGATTGGGTTGGTTTTTCTTTATCATTATAATTTGTTCTTTTATAAAAGTTAATACTGGCCAGAAGGAAATATTCTTAGATGCTGTGTAAACCAGCCCCCACTGTAAAGAAGGAGGAGAGGGTATGCAGGCAGGAATGTAAGTAAAGCTACGCTAAGGGCTTGCCACCCAGTAGGTCCTCTGTTAAAATACCTGCAGCACAGTTCTGTGTTTGAGACGAGTGGCTCTAATAGCCATAATGCTGGGAGTTCATGACTTTAGTAGGGCATGGAAGTTTTAAAGCAGTTGATAGGGGAACCATATAGAATTTGCCCAAAAAGAAAGCAGGATGGGAGGCGAGTGTGGGAAATGAGCCTGAGTTATGCGTTATAGAAGTGTGTTCTGGGTGCGCATGTATGTGAAGGCGCTGATGTTTTGTTCTCTAGGTGAGGAAGGGGCACCGGAGGGTTTTGAGCAGAGTAGTGTTGGGATTGACCTTGAGTATTTATTCGGAGAGGAAGGTTTGTTTTGTATTTAAACGCCACATCTTTCTCAGCATTTCAACCCACCCTAGTGTTTTTCTGGCTTGTGTAGTTTGTTATTTCCTGTGATGGTACAAAGGGTAGAAATTTATAAATCATCGTCTACAAAGTACCCCTCATTTAAAAACCTTTACCTTGAGCAGATTTGGAAAATTTAGAAGTAATAGTTGGAAGAACAGGCCTCAAATTAACTGACCTACTTATGAGATGTTAGCCTAATAACTGTTATTTATCCAGACAAAAAAAAAATTGAAAAAGTATATGCCAGGAGTGGGGTAAAAATTGAAACGTTGAGTAAATTGTTCCTCTGCCTTTTAAAAAATACAGACTGACCGAGTACATGTTTTCCTAACTTCATTGTTAACTTGTATTCTGGAAATTTCCACAGCCACATGTCAAGTTTTAACAGTATATTACATCTGATTATCAGCACCTCTTCAATACATTTAAATAAAATGCTTCTATCTATATTGAGTCCCATTTACATAGTCCTTATTTGAAGTGAGAAGTCACAGATGACTTTTTTATTGTTATTTGTATAATGCCCTTCATGTGTTTTGTAGAATGCTCTCTTGTCAGCTTTAATTTTTTTCATACAAAAAGCCCAGAAATTTCTTACTCATCTAATGTGGTCTAGGGAATGTGGGTAGGTAGCCCAAGTAAGGTCCAGAGCTTGAATGTCCTGTCCTCAGGCCTCTTGTGTTACTTCTGTTCCTTTTAGCCAACTCCAAAGTGAGAGTTAATTGGAATTCTCAAAGGGCAATAACTAGGCATTCTTCCAATGGATTTCCTTTAGATTTTCCCACAGTTGTTGGAGCAGAGGCAGAGCCTACAAAGAGGGAAGGATGAGGAACAGGGTTCTTGGTGGCAGTGTCCCCTGCTTACTTCCTGCCTGTCAGCCACACAGTGGATAGTGATGGTAGAAGAGTCTCAACAGTTGACTGAACCCATCTTTATTGGAATTGATGGATCATTTTGTTACCTAAGCATGCTCCACAGGGGTATCATAGCCCCTCATGGCAGATGCTTAAACTTATGCAAAGTATGGTCTATACCAGAAAAGCCTGGCTATTTCATTTCTGTAACCAGCATGGAGAATGTCAGGTTTTATGAAGACCTCCATTGGAATTAAAAGAGTAACTGCCTCCTTGTGAGTATTGCTTCTGTGTAAGGTAGGGGGAAAGCCACAGAAGTAATAACTTGTATAGGTTTAGGAAATTGTTGCTGTCTGTGTGTGTGTGCACGTGTGGAATTGAAAGGGGCATGTGGTGGGGATGTCACTGAAACTTACTGTTTATCAGAAATTTGAGTCATTGAGGCAGAACCCTTATAACAGCTCACAGGTCTAGAATGTTAAGTGCAAAATTGGTTTCCGAATAATAAGGAGGCTGAGGAAGAGATTCAAGCAAACCATGTGCATCATGATAGAAGACACTGAAAATAGTTGAACCACATGTTCAAATGTGTTTGAGTTTGATTTCTAAGATAACAGTGAGATAAGATAAATTGAAACTGATCTGGATGGCCAAAAATCTTTTCTTTTTTTTTTTTAAATTATTATTATGCTTTAAGTTTTAGGGTACATGTGCACAATGTGCAGGTCAGTTACATATGTATACATGTGCCATGCTGGTGTGCTGCACCCATTAACTGGTCATTCAGCATTAGGTATATCTCCTAATGCTATCCCTCCCCCGTCCCCACAACAGTCCCCAGGGTGTGTTGTTCCCCTTCCTGTGTCCGTGTGTTCTCATTGTTCAGTTCCCACCTATGAGTGAGAACATGCGGTGTTTGGTTTTTTGTCCTTGTGATAGTTTACTGAGAATGATGATTTCCAATTTCATCCATGTCCCTACAAAGGACATGAACTCATCATTTTTTATGGCTGCATAGTATTCCATGGTGTATATGTGCCACATTTTCTTAATCCAGTCTATCATTGTTGGACATTTGGGTTGGTTCCAAGTCTTTGCTATTGTGAATAGTGCCGCAATAAACATACCAGAATCTACAATGAACTCAAACAAATTTACAAGAAGAAAACAAAAATCTTTTCTACCTGAACATCACACTGCTAGCCCTTGTTGCTTTACTTTCCCACTGCTTTTTAAGGGGAATGTGGGGTAGGGCTTTTCTTTCATTTATCACCTGGGAAAAGTGGTGCTAGGTCAGTTTGGCTTCAGTCTGTTCTACCACATACCTGGCTTGTGAAGTTAAGATGATTGTGTTAACTTCCCAAGAAGGAGCCCTTAATTCTTTGCTGTATCTACTTTTGAAACAAATTTCATAGGACTATTATCTTTTTACTGTTTTGAATTCGTGCAGAAACAGCAGTAGTCTCTGGTAGGCAAATACTTAATCCCTTTGATGAAATAAAGCTCAGGTTAAAAGGGATTTGTTCAAAATGAAATAGCTAATAAGCATCAGAAATGTAGTATCATGTTGGCTGATGCCGTAGCTTTTGTTGTTTTCTTTCCATTTCACATTATTGATGTTAAACTGTTTTGCTCAGATACCACTCTAAATAAACCAACTGAGAGAGGCCTTAATTTGGGCCTTTGAGTGTCTTTGTCTTGAGACTTTCTGGACCAGATCTCTTAGGTGCCAGAGAGTGGAGCTGTCTTTGCCTAGGAGTGAAGAACTCTGCCCTCTTGCAGAGTGAGCACTTGAGACAGCCAGACGTACAGTTTGAGAAGAAAACTGGATCTGGAGGTCATACTTAGCAGATAAGTGAGTTAACATTGATTCAGTTATTTCAGTTGTAATGAACAGTAAAATTATTATTATAGTAGTAACTTCCTGAAATTATTTTTTAGGCAGCTACGCATTCTTCGACAATGTTTTTCTGGTAGGTTCATGTAAGTCGTAGATGCTAGTTTAAAGGTTACAGAAATGTGTGTTAACATTGGTCTCTCTTTAAATTTGCGTAGACTCTTTAAAAAAGCATGGATGGTGCATTTTCTTTTATTTTCACTTCTGCCAGCCATTCCTATCATTACTTTTAGTGTGTGTTCTCACCCGCATGTACTACATTAGAATTACTTGTGGATGTTTTATTTCCAGAAGTGTCTTGACATGCTGCTTTTGGGCAATGAGACAGAGCTGTACAGTTGACACTTGAACAATTCGGGGGCTATGGGTAGCAGCCCCCATATAGCAAAAAGTCTAACTTTTGACTCCTCAAAAACCTAACTACTAGTAGCCTACTGTTGACTAGAAGCCTTACTGATAACATAAACAGTTATCACATATTTTGTATGTTTCATGTATTACATATTATGTGTTATTACAATATAAAGTAAGCTAGAGAAAAGAAAAGGTTAAGAGAATCATAAGGTAGACAAAATATATTTACTGTTCATTAAGTGGAAGTGGATCATCATAAGGATCCTTCCCCCTTGTCATGTTTATGTTGAGTAGGCAGAGGAAGAGGGAGGGGTTGGTCTAAAATCCCATATTAAGTGCACCCACACAGTTCAAACCCATATTGTTCCAGGGTCATCTGTATTTTGAAAACAGTACAGGAAATCTGATACTTGCCTGCCTCCTCTCCCTTCCTTCTGTGAAGAACTCTTTTGAATGCTGCAATAGGACTTGGAGGTGTAAGTCTTGGATTTGTGTTCTGTTCTTGGTTTCTTGATCAGGTGAGCTGCAGGAAGGGCAAGGAAAAATAGAACAAGCATGTAGTCCTGGAAACTAATAATTCAGAAAAAGTTTCAGTTTCTAGTTTTGGTTGTTAAATGTCTATCTAGAAATTTGTGCTTGCCTTAACCAAATAACCATATTCATATTCCTAGAAAGAGTCATTGAGAGAAGCTCCTAACTTCATAGAATCAAGCACAGTGGCCTTTTTGAAGAGGCTAACCCAGTTGAGCCACATCCAGCCAGTCTGGGTTCTTGGAAATATCTTTGGATGAGTTTCATGGGCTTTATTTTACGTCTGCATTTTTGCATTTGCAGGTGATTTATATTCCTAAATGCTTTGCTTTCAAGCTACCTGGCATTTGTCTTATTTAGAAACTAACGATCAGTGGATGGCAAGGAAAAGGGCTTGGCATCCGTGGTTGTTATGAGCTATCTAGGAAACCCTAATATGCCCAGAGTTTTGAGGATTATTTCAAATGCCTTTACACAAGAGACTGCCAACACTTTAATGTTTATCAGGATCAGTGGGGTGGGGTGGTTGATTAAAAATGCAGATTTCTACACCCCAACCAGGACTTACTGAATCTGATTATCTGCAGAGAGAGACTGAGGAAATTGTATTTCAACAGCCACCACAGGTGATTCTTAAGCAGATGGTGGCCTGACCTGAGAAACACTGTTCAGTGGATCTTAATGATTTGCACTTGGGTAGGTCTGTGGTGCTTATTTTAAAACAAGTCTACTTGTAAAAAATAGGATTTTCATTTGTCGGTTACATCAAGATATGTTGAATGGCTGGGATTCACTAATGTGTTTTTAATGAATATAGTGCTGGATTTACCTAAGAAATAATGCACGTTCTCACACACAATTTGCTCATTTTCAGGGCATTTGTGTGTCATTAAATACTTCAACATTACAATTATGCTAGCATAATTTATTTGCTTCTGAGGGTATTTGGAGAATTTTCAGTATGGTTCTTTAGGGCCTATCCATTTAAAATGGGTGTCTTGGCCAGGCACAGTGGTTCATACCTGTAATCCCAGCACTTTGGGAGGCTGAGGTGGGCAGTCAGAAGTTCAGGATCAGCTTGGCCGCCAACATGACGAAACCCCATCTCTACTAAAAAGTACAAAAATTAGCCGAACATGGTGGCGGGTGCCTGTGATCCCAGCTACTCCGGAGGCTGAGGCAGGGAGAATTACTTGAACTTGGGAGGCGGAGGTTGCTGTGAGCCGAGATTACACCACTGCACCCTAGCCTGGGTGGATAGAGGGAGATTCTGTCTCAAAAAAAAAAGGTGAAAGGGTGTCTTATAGAGATTGGGAGTTAAGTTTTGAAAGTGGCTTTTGAGCCAGGCGCGGTGGCTCACGCCTGTAATCCCAGCACTTTGGGAGGCTGAGGCGGGTGGATCACCTGAGGTCCGGAGTTTGAGATCAGCGTGGACAATGTAGTGAAACCACGTCTCTACTTAAAATACAAAAAATTAGCTGGGTTTGGTAGCAGGTGCCTGTAAACCCAGCTACTGGGGAGGCTGAGGCAGGAGAATCCCTTGAACCCGGGAGGCGGAAGTTGCAGTAAGCTGAGATCACACCATTATACTCCAACCTGAGCAACAAGAGCAAAACTCCCATCTCAAAAAAAAAAAAAAAAAAGTGGCTTTTAAAATTTAATAAAAATTTGTCTTATTTTTATAGCCTGCCAACCAAACCCCTCTTCCTTCCCTACCCAGTGTCTTGATATTTGAGCTTTCTAGCCAGGGCCTCAATAAATGGGAATTTGCTCTATTATAAGAGCTTCCACACATTTTATGCTATAATTTTTTAAAGGAAAAAATTTTTTGCTATATGCAAACTTAATTTAGAAACCCTTTTGACCTGTAAACCAAATGTTGCCCCAAAGCTATGTGAAAGCAGTGCATACTCTTGCCAAAAGGCTTACAGTGTTTTCCCCCTGCTCAGAGTTGCAAAAATGAATTAATAAGAAACCAAGGATTTTTCTTCATGTTCTTCATTAAGCAATGTCTGAGGGGAATTGTAAAATATGCATTGTCTACAGTATATGTATATCCTGGTGCACAAAGTCAGATGAACTGTGAAGGTGAGGGGTAAAAACACCCCTCTCACCTTTGTACTTTGTTCTTTGGAGTATTAAAGAACATTTATCTGCCAAGTGGCAAAGGGGATACTATTTGGCGGTTTAATTACAGCCAGTGAGTGTTATTGATGCTATCAGTCAGCAAGACCCAGGGAAAGGGCCTGGTACCAAATCATTCAGTGTAATTAAATATCTCAGGACGGGATTCTCAAGGTGCTTCTGGAGATCTGAAGCAGGAGAACACTTTGTCTTAGAACAAAGATAAAGGTGGTAGTTCCCCTCCTCGCTGCCCCTCTTTAAATTTCTGCAGGTGTTGCATAGATGGCAATGATATGGTCTCTTTATTGCGTACAGTGAAGGTTGTCCATGTTTTCCTTAAAAACTCTTTCTTTTAAAATCTTCACAACTGTCACACAAAGGGTTTTGGGAATACAGTAATTATTTTTTGTTAAAGCTGTTAGGGGGAATATACAGCTCAGGTGTCTAATAGATACTTGGAGAATGAAGGATTGTCTTTGAATGAGACTATTAGTCTTGCAAATCAGTTCATTTAAAAAAAGCTTTCCCTATGGTTATTCTCTAATGTCTAATCATGTTGTGAGAGAAATATCTTGGTAGACTTAAAGTCATAAAACAACACTCACTAATGTTTCAGGGGTTATCCCCTTATGTATTGAATAAATTTTTCATAGTTGCATAACTTATGTCAGCCCCACAAAATATGTGTAGGTAAAACTTCCTTTGGCTCTGTGGGGAGGGCTTTTAATAACATTTCTGTTATTCTTTTTCCTTGCTTTCTCCTTTATCATACGTGCCTTACACAAATTTCCATCTCTGCCTGTTAAATGCCATAAGCAATCTGCAGTGTTTGCTGTTACTGCTTTTTAAATTTTTAAAAAACTGGTACAGTTTCTACTGATTGAGGATTACCAAAGACAGGCTGCCCTTGAAAGAAAGTGAGCTGGCTTCCTAACTTCTTTGTGTATGTATACCTGTATACATACATTAGATCCCTGATAATTGTGTCAAATCAGGGCCCAAAACACTAAATCTTGGATAGCGTATGGTTTACTTGTAATGTAGATAGGGCTTGCAGATTGTGTTTTAAATTTAAAACAGGTGTTTAAATGGGGATTGTTGACATAAAACATCCTTTAAGAGGAAGATTATTTGTTAGGAATTTTTCTCTGGGTGTTTGAGGAATCCTATTTTTAAAATACGTTAAAGATTTAGTAGAAGTAGTTACTTTATGTTCAAGACTTCCCACCCCTTAGGGCTTTATTATATTATATGGAACCATAACAAGACTAATAGGCCTGTCTCCAAGTTTGTAGGAAAGGTCAGTAGCTTTAAAAGATGTGCATGGTGCTCACCTTGCCCACAAAACAAAGGGCCAGGATAAGCAAATGTAAAAGTTTTTGAGAAGTATTTAATTGCAAGTTGTTTTTTTGTTTTACTGAGACCATGTAATCTTGGCTATACAGTGTTGGACAGGGAGTATCTGTAATTAAATATTTTATAAACATTTTGAGTGCTTAATGTGGGCTAGTTAGCTTTGCTAAATGTTTGAACAGCATTAAAATAAGACAAGAGGTAGCCTTGTCCTTGATGTCATTGTGTAGTAAGGGAGACAGCACTTAGTTTATATGACCATTATTTGGATATATGATGAGTAAGTGCAGAATACAATGAAAATGGATATGCCACTTGCTGTCTAGAGGCCTCTGTGTTGATTTCAGAGTTGATGGTGTTTTACAAGCTAGGTTTTATTGGGCGGAAAAAGAAGAAATGTATTACACATAAGGGAATGTCTCATTCAAAAGCACAGAGGCCTTCACGTGATGTGTACCTTTTAGGAGAAGCTTACATCTGAACACCATAAAGTATACTTATTCTATCAAGTAATAACCTTCTACAAAAATGATTGGCAGGAAAATTTGATTAAACCTAGCCCTGTACTTTACATTTATCCCCCTTTAGTGAGGACCTAATTTATAAGAGAAACAATAGGAATGAATTTTGGGTGGATCAAGTAATTTGCTCGTAGAAACATATTTGCCTTGCTCTGCAAAGATCCGTGGAGACCCATGGGACTCATTTAAGTATTTACAAATGGTATCAAGATGAAGTTTCTCTAAGCAGTATTTAGTGTACACACAGAGGAAAGGATCATTATATTTTCATTACTATATGAAGTAGGTCAAAGAAGACTTGGGTTTCTGAACATTGTTGCAAAGCAGTTTTTCTTCTAGTTATAGTACAAAGGGAAACTTAACTGTAGATGGCATTTACATTTAACTTTACTACCACACTGATTTTGACTGTTCTCCTCACCTGCGTTATGATGGGAAACTGTCTCTGTATTCTCCTTCCATACATTTCTGTCTGATAATACTTACCAACATTTAGATTGTCATTCCTCTGCTCATAAAAGTTTTGCCCTGACATTCAAGGTCTCTAGACTCTGCCCTCAACTCACTGTTCTAGTGTTGTCAGTGTCCTACAGAAATCTTTATTCTGGCTCAGCTGGGCTCTTCATCATTCAGTATGGAAGCCTAATTCTCCATTGCCTTGGATTATTCTCTGCCTACATGGCCCTCTAACCCTGTCATTGATAAAGTTTTATTTGGCCATAAAATAAATTAATAAAGTGGATAAAAATTTCTTAACTATACATTTCCTTTCTCATCTATTTGGTGGTCTGCTCTCTGAGGGCAACGGGATTTTTGTCTTTGGAGAGCAGCTTGCAGAATGTTTTTATTTATAACCTCTGCATGAGGAAGCTTCTGTCTATTGCTTATAAGAGACAGTGAAGACCTGCTCTGTGTGCTCAAAGACGAAAAAAGTCACAGTTTAAGTGAAATTAAAAGTTGAGATTCTTGGAGGTTTTTCGTTTTGTTTTGTTTTTGTTTTAATGCCATTTTTAACTTTGGGTGTGTTTTTCAAAACTTGTTGGTAGGTGTCACTATACATTGAAGATGTGGTCGGATGAAGGATATGTAAAGGACTTAACAGCTTTTTTGTTTCATACAAAAACAAAGTTTTTTTATATATACATATTTTTAAAATTATACTTTAAGTTCTAGGGTACATGTGCACAACGTGCAGGTTTGTTATATATGTATACATGTGCCATGTTGGTGTGCTGCACCCATTAACTCATCATTTACATTAGGTATATCTCCTAATGCTATCCCTCCCCCCTCCCCCAACCCGACAACAGGCCCCGGTGTGTGATGTTCCCCACCCTGTGTCCAAGTGTTCTCATTGTTCACTTCCCACCTATGAGTGAGAACATGTGGTGAAAAACAAAGATTTAAGTAAAGGTATCCCGTTATGTGAGATTTTCTACATAATGTCCACCTACCCGTCTCTTGTCTTATCCACTTCTCCTTTTCATGTACTTCTCTCTGTCAGATCATGGATGAAGAAGTGTATGAAAGTCCTAGGATGTTTAATTCACCAAAATTGGCTTGATGAGAACCTTTTTTCTTTTTTCACATTACCAACCGGTACTGGTTGTTTTTTATTCTAAGACACCTGCAGTTTATTTATGCCAGCCAGTGTGTAGTCCTTCTTTAGTTTAACATTCTAACTCAGCATTTTAATCTGTTGACAGTGTCTTAGGCATACTAGACATTCAGATACTACACAAATTATATCTTAAGTACATTTTTGGAGATAAAGTTGCCATGGTTATCTTGATAGTATTGGCATCTGTTCGAGATGTCATTGGGTCAAGTTTCAGAATCTTGAAAGAATACTGAAGCCATTGCTGGAGAATGGGCTTCTAACAATTGAATGAATATATCTGATTTTCTGCAAGCCAATTTAGCCTGCGTTGTTTTCAGTGAAGCAGCAAAAGCCAAGTTATTTGGGCAAATGCCACAACTTCTAATCATCTTGCTTGAGAGGTACTTCAGAACAACCTCCTAGCTGGGCGTGGTGGCTCACGCCTGTAATCCCAGCGCTTTGGGAGGCCGAGACGGGCGGCTCACGAGGTCAGGAGATCAAGACCATTCTGGCTAACACTGTGAAACCCCGTCTCTACAAAAATACAACAAAATTAGCCGGGCGTGGTGGCGGGCGCCTGTGTTCCCAGCTACTCGGGAGGCTGAGGCAGGAGAATGGTGTGAACCCGGGAGGTGGAGCTTGCAGTGAGCTGAGATCGTGCCACTGCACTCCAGAGTGAGACTCTGCCTCAAAAAAGAAAAACCTCCTGCACAAGGCCATGGAATGTATACGTTCAACAGGTAGTAGAGTCCCTACTTGGTGGGTGGGACTATGTGAGATAGGCATCATATAAGACTTAGTTTCAACCCTCCCTCTAGAAGTATAAAACATAGTAATATAAAAGCTTTGAATGGTAATACTGTTAACTTGGGAGGAAGCTTTGAGGCAGTCTAGTTCTCTGGCCGTATTTAAGAAGGCTCAAAATACTGAGTACTGACTAGTGAGTACTGAGATTTTTCTTTTAGTCTCTCGAATGTATTCATAGTATATTTAATGAAAATGTCTAAAGTGAAAGTTTTATAGTGGTACTTGAGAGTGTAGCCTCTTCAGTATTTTTTTTTTAACTGGGAAATCATATTGAATCATCAGGTGGCCGATTGCATGGTAGCTTGTAACACATTTCACATGCAGAAACATACCCATAACCTTCATCTCAAGATAGAAGTTATTCCATGAAGTTCATTTATATTTCTACTACTGTCTATCCAAAAGAATCGCTCATTTTACGTTTTACTGGCTTAGGTTCAACAGGTCTCTACAAAAGAGAATTGAGGTAGTGAGAGGTTTAATATGTAACAGCTTGATGGGAGAAATAAAATTTTGGGGCCTTAACTGTTGGCCCATTTATAGATGTTGAATGTTTGCTCTCTGTATGTCAGTAAGACAGCTCCTTCCTTATGTTCCCTCCATCCAGGCTGCAGGCTTCCCAGCACACTCATCTGCTGTCATCTTACAAAATATTTGGAATATTCAGGAATTAACTTTAATAATTATCACCATGGATTTGGAAGAAGCCTCATTTATATATGTGATTTTTGAACTGTTTCTGTGTTAGAGTGCATACATTGTTCTTGTGCCACGTCTCCTCCTCTGTGTCATCTTTCCTGACCTCAAAGATAATAGTATTCCTTGAGTTTTTGTTCCATAAATTGGGGATGATGATGCTGCATAAACTTATTGGGAGGAGCAATTGAATTAACATATGTTACATATCCAGAACAGTGTCTGGCACATGGTAAACAATAAGTGTTAGGAGCTATCATTATCTGAATTGTTTCCTATGTATGTATATAAAATGATGTTATGATTAAAACATTTATGGTTCCTCTGCTCTTTGCTAATAGTTTTATTGTTGCATTTAATACTTGTAAGGTTTCCATGAGGTAAGTACTGTGATTAACATCAAATTACAAATAAAGAGATAGAAGACCTAAGGAAATGATTAACTGGTAAGTAACAGAGCCAAGACCTGGACCTAGCTCTGTGTGACTCCATACCATATGTTTTTACTCCTTAACATGGGAGGGTTCTGGTCCAAACATTCCATCCTAACCTCTAGTTTCATAGTATGCTGTGTAGTGGCCAGAACTTTACCAGTTACAGTGTATTCTCTTCTGCTTTGTATAATATATTTTTGAACCTGGTGCTAAGCTAACACGTGCTTGCCTCAGTTGCAGCCTATTCACATTACTTAGTATTTATAAATATTATGTGGCTAAATAAATGCAGGCTCATTTCTGAAGTTAAAAGTAAGGGAGTTAGCATTCTTAACCACTACTGACAATTTTCTAATGCAGAGAGCTACCGGTAGGAATAGACTCTTTGGTGGTTACGCTAAAACTCCCATCTATTTTTTATACTACTTTAGTGTAATCACCTTCTAAAGTCTGAAAAGGCTAAGTGAAATATACAGGATTGGAAATGGAACATGGAACATTTTGATTGACAAGTTCCTGCTTAGACTTGGAATGGCTAGCCTACTGCCACTACCATAGTGAATTTGATTTCACTGCCTCCACCTCAGATGCCATATCCACTACCATTGCTCAATTGTTTTATTTTCTGTTAAGTATCTCTGCAGGTAAAAAATTTAAGAAATGGTAAGGTATTTATGGCCTAAGTTGCATTTCAAGAATATCTTTACCATGTATCCCATTTGCCTTTACCAGTATGAGATGTCCTTGTTGAACCAACTTCATACTAGAACCAAGGAGAAACAACAATAAAAGGGCAGAAGTTATGTACCAGTTGTACTTTACTAAAAACGAGATGCCTGTCAGGGCAGCCTATTTAGACCCTCTTTGATACACATGGATGCAACTGTTTGGGTAGCATTTAATAAACCACACTCAGTGCAGTGTAGTTTGTCAGAGGCTGTTTAAGATGTGTGAAAAAGGTGGTCTAATTTGTGAAGTCTGTAGTTGATGATCAGTTGCTTGATATACAGTTCTTACAGCCAAAACACTTTTTATTTTTCTGTGGCTATTCAGTAGATTTATTATTGTCTTTAACAATGTCATAGGATCACTTATTTTTATGACATTACTTATTTATTCCTAGGTCGCCTTTAAGTTGAAGCTAAGATCAACTGCCTTGACTAATATTTAATGATGTTGCACTAAAACTTGAAAATTCTATGAAAATGAGAATCTCCCCTAGTGTAAACAGCCAGTTGCCATTCTGTTTTCCTGTTAATTGGTTTGTAATCTTATAAAAGGGAGAGACACTATCAAAAAGATTCTAGCTATTGTAGGTTGGTACGTTTTAATTGGTGGAAAGTACTAGTCTCAGGATTCTTAGTTTGATTTTTCTCTTCAACTCCCAAATAATTAGATTTTTTTCTCCAACATCTCCTAAATAATTCTCAGGCATTACTAGTAGAAGAATTATAATAACTGTCCTAAGACAGTTTTTTTGATGTGTTTTATTATTTCCTTATGTGTATACAAGAAAATATTCTATGTAGCAAAGCTAAGGTTCTTATTTTCTAGGAATAGCTCTTCTGATGTCTCCTTGGAAATGTCTGATTATTGTCCCAGTCACTGTCATTTCACAGGAAGATTTTATGATTTTGAAGACTGTGTTGCAGCTAATGATGTAATGGAAAATCCCGTGATGAAGAGCTAAGACCGCGAGTCCTACACCCAACTCTTTTTCTTTGTGTCTTTGGAAAAGTTGCTTCACCTTTCTGTGCCTCAGTCTTCCTATTTCCCAGATACAAAGAAATTGGACTAAATGATCACTGTATTTTCTTTTTGCTCCAAAATTAAGACTCCCCCCGCCCCACAGCCTCCTATCAGCACCATATTACTTTGTTGAAGATTGTGTCGCCTCTGGGGACTTGAATCCCCAATTTGAGAAATGAAATTTCATTTTTGAAATGATTAATAGAATTTTCATTGTAGTCTGTACACAAAGTACCAATGCGTATAATGTTGGGTATATGACAAAGATTGTGGCTTCTGTTAGCTTTTAAACAGTATTTCAGAAATAAACTCTCAATTTAATATGTGATTATAAATCATCTTCATTACAGTGAGTGTGTGGTAGTTACCAGGATGTACAAAGTAGGATGATGACAAGGTTTCTTATTTCAAGGGGTTAAGTCAGTCACAAGAAAGGGTTAAGAGATAAGTACATTTTGGTTAAGTCAGTATTTAAGAAAACAAGGCATATAATGCAGTGTGGGTGCAGGTAAGAGGCACCCAACTCAGACTGTAGTGGAGAGGACTGATTAGTGTTGACTTTAGGGACTAGGTGATACCCATGAGGTGTCTGAAATGACTGAAATTTAGCTGATTGGAAGGAGGGCAGCTTATTTTTAACACAGAGAAGTGAGAGCAGGAAGCTTGGAATACTACCGAAGGTTTTGTATACTTGTATGGAAGAGGTAGCCAGTGCTCTGACCATAAAGGAATAAGAATTCTAAAATTTATCTGAAAGTCTTAGGGAGCCCTTTAGGTAATTTAAGTTGAGGATGACATTATCAAATATATTCCGTGGTATCTCTGAACTTCTCACTTGAATTAAAGCAATTGTTTAGTCTTAAAACATTCAACAAATCCAGTCACGATAAAATTTAAGGTTCTGTGTGTATTTTCCACTGATAGTTTTCTAAATCCTATATTTTGGAATATCCGTTAAAGATAACTGCCCTAACCTTTAATACCTTTTATAAAATTTCCTGTTTGGATGTGATTATTTCTTTTAGCTCTAACTTTGCTGGAGCTAATACTTAATTTCTTATTGTTATCTTAGGCTTATTCATTTTCAACCCATTGTGAAATATGCCCTTCCTTATTGAAAACTTAATATTGGACTGTGATACATGTATGCCTTGATGTGTGTTTGAGACTTGTTCCTGGTAGGAGTTTGAATTTAGAAGCAGATCAAAGTACACATCTTCCTTTTGGGTGAATTTTGAGGTCTCTGGCCTGAGTTGTGGTTAGAGATCCCCCTTCTTCTGTGTACTATACTTCTGAGCTCATTTTGGAAGGTCCGATGTAGCCACCTGTCCAAATATCCATGATGCTGTCACAAGACCTTTGCTACTGCTTACTTAGAGCCTAGAGCTAACTTTTATTGAGTTATAGTGTCATTTTTCAGATAGTCCCACGAAGACTCCATCTTTAAAAAATATGAACAGCAATTAACTGTCCGTTTAAATAGGCATAACTGTGACCTTTCAGCTGGAGAGATTGAAAGGAGCTTTTTGAAAAAAGTCTAAAGTGGCAAGTGTCTAATTTTCAGGTTTAATGTTTGTAGTCCTGGGTCAGTAATTGACAAGTGATAAAAGTTGTTCAGTGGTGATCTTAGCAGTGGGTGACTTCTCAAATGTTTTTAGTTTAAAAAAGAGGGAACTTCTTTGTTCATTTATAGACCTTATCACTTTAATCTATTGGTATTAATGTCCACTGTCACTGATCTTTCCATTGATGAATCAGAGAAACGAGAGCAGTTGTGTGTTTGGACGAAAGCATTTAGAGGGACTTCTGATAGTGATGCACTGGGATTTTAAACATTGCTATGTACATTTAATAAAGTACTAATTCATAAGATGGTTTTGTTTCTTTGTATAATTTTGATCAACTTGTGTTTGATAGCCCACTCTTAGTGTATGTGTTACTCATCTTTGTATGTTTAATGTATCATTAGTTTTAGCTGCTGATGAAGAAATGAGCTTTTAATTACAAGTAATACACTATATTTCAAACGGTTCCATTTTCAAGACATAATTCAATAAATATATTCTATCTTTATTTTGTCTAGTCTAGTCTTGTTTGTGAAGAACAGTTTGAGAAGCCATGGGCCATTTACTTACCTGTAGTAGCAAGTACTTACTGCCTCCCCGTCCCTCCCCTTCCCTCATATAATCTCAGTATTGCTTGTCTTTGTTTATTATATCACTCGTAGCTTTTGTGAGAAATTCCAGAATAAACCTGAGTTTTAAATTGCTATCTTTGGAGTAGATTGGTGTTCAGTGTTGTACTCCCTGTATCATCTTTAAATATTTAAATTGCAGACTCTCTGGCTGCCTCTTAAATTAGATCCTTCACTTAGTAGTTTTGACATTTCATAACCTTGCTTCTCATGCATTAAATATTCACCTGTTTAAGTGGCAGTGAAAATTTAAAATCCAAACTCATATATTAATCCAGCAAATGGAAAATGGAGAACAGATTGCAGTGGAGAAAGAGGCTATTTTGACCTCAGTAGGACATATGCTGGAAGTCCATTGTTTTGAAGCATTTCTAAATAGAATTTGTCATTTAAAGCGAACTCTTTTGGGCCTTCAAGGGAGTTTAGTCTTGTAGAACCAAAAAGATACTTAACACTTTCTGAAAATAGCCCCTGTATGATTCTGTAGGTGCATATGAAGGCACCTGTAAGATCTAAATCCACAGGAAAAAAAAAAAATCGGAATGGAGAAGGTTGCTGGTAATGGTCAGATACAAAATTTAGTTTGGTAACTGATTTGATCTCCAGAGTGTGAGTCCTTAGGTAACTGATCTCCAGAGTGTGAGTCCTTATCCCACTATCAGCCTTCTTCCCACTTAGGTCTAAATACATTTTCTATTTATAATCTTTTTAGATGAAAGAAGAAATGTTTTCCAGGAAGGGAGGATTTTGATGACAGCGATATCCTTGATAGTGGAAGGGAAAGGAAGCTGTTTTAATTCCAAGAACAGTAAATAAAGGGATAGGGGTAGGACCTTGAGCCTTGGTCTGGGAGGAAGGAGAAGGCAATTACCCTTTCTTACACCTTTATTTCCTGAAAGTGAACGAAAATGGCATTGCTTACTCCTGAGAATTAGAAAGTAACAAAAATTAATTTAAAAATTCTAATGATGATGTGTAGTTTCTTTGGTTAATTGTAATTAGTGGCCACTTCTCTTTTCTTAGAAAAAATTACTCTTAAAAATATTAATGGAGCCGGGCGTGGTGGCTCATGCCTGTAATCCCAGCACTTTGGGAGGCCGAGGTGGGCTGATCACCTGAGGTCAGGCATTCGAGACCAGGCTGACCAACATGGTGAAACCCTGTCTCTAAAAAATACAAAAAAAGCCAGTGTGGTGGTACATGCCTGTAATCCCAGCTACTTGGAAGGCTGAGGCAGGAGAATAGCTTGAACCCGGGAGGCAGAGGTTACAGTGAGCCGAGATCACCCACTGCACTCCAGCCTGAGCAACAGAGTGAGACTCCGTCTCAAAATAATAAAAAGTGGAATAACTTTTAACTAATTTCTAGCAACATCCTGTTTTCTGTCTGTGGCCAGTTTCTCTGTGTATGCCTTTAAGAAACAGCCAGGATTCATTTAATTTTTCCCAACTCAGAACAAGTGAACTGAAACACTCACTTACCATAGTATTATTGAAGGAAAACTGGATGAGGAGACCAGGACACAGAAAGAGAAAGATCAGAGTTTGAACCCAGAATTCAACACTAGTTGTGTATAACCTTAGGCATGTTATTTACCTTGTCTGTGCCTGTTTCCCCAGCTATAAAATACTAATATGTATGCTGCCTACCTCATGGGGTTGTTGTGAGGCACAGACAAAATATTGTAGTTTGTGAAAATGCCTTGTAAATGGTGAAGTCTCATAATGCCCTAAATGTAAGTTTAACATTAAACATTGTTACCGACGTAAGTTTATATATAATCTAATCACTCCTGTCCTGCCTGTGGTAGTGGAAAATGGTTCTTTGACAATGTCACTGAAAGATACTGTTTTTGAGAAGGTTTGTCTTGGAGCCTTTTTAATGTGGCTGGGAACTAAAGATACAATATAAACTGAAGAGTGGACATTGGGGAAAAAAAAAATCACATAACTGACCTAGGTATGTTTTCAAAGCCTTTATATAAGCATTAAATATAAACCCATTTTCCTAAATATATTTTAGGATGACTTTTAAGACACACCACCTACACTCATCTGAATTGCACAAAGCAGTGAATGTCACTGCATGAGTAAATTGTTCTAGAACACTGTAATGGACCCAGGTTTCTCTCTACTTTAAGGGGCTGGGCATTTACCTAAATTTTCAGATGCATGTAGAGGTAAATAATATTTATAATGTCACATAGATTAGGCTCTGAAGCTTTTCATGTGGATTAGAAATTATTTAATTATTCCTAATAGCCATATAAAGAAGGTAGAATTGTGGTAATAGGCTTGAAGAACTTAGTTCTAAGTTCACAGAACTGGTTATGAATTAAACCTAGTTTTGAGCCCAGGCACACCGATTAGCTGTTACCTTTAACCACATTTCCACTGCCTCCTGTGACACTTGATCTCATGCAGAGCCTGTCACCTGCTGCTGGTTGCTTGATCAGTCATTGGAAGTTAGCCTCCTTGGAGAATGTGTAGATGCCTGCCCTGGAGCCCATGGGACATGGCTGTTCATAATGGGAGTACTTCAGTCACATGATCTGGAACAGAGTAACAGCTGACTTGTTGGGTGCTCCCTCCTGTGGAAAAAAAAGCCATAGAATCCTAGATAGGGATGCACGTCCCAGCTGGTGAGGTTTCACCTTTTCTGGATAATTGAGAATCTTACACGAGAAAAGAAATTAAGTTTTCATTGATTCATATTACTGAATGCATATATAATTCATTGGCCTTGTTTCATCAGTTTATAGCAATCCCAAGATTTGATTCCATCTAAGTTACATTAATCACTTGAAATTGGCCACTTGTTCTTCACTTACATTTAAGTTCCCCAGTCTTCATTGTTCTTAAGTATTTAGGCATAGAGAAAACAAATAGCGTATGAATAGTTATGTATGTTTTCTCCACCACTATTCCAAATTCCTTGTTTCTTCTGTAGAACAGGACAGTGCTAATATAACTTCCAAACATAGCCTTTGGAACAACAGGTATATTTTCACTTGTTAATGAGCAAACGGTTTGAATAAAGAAGAGTATTAAATGTTAACACCATTGGGGCAGGGGTGTGAAAGATAACGAGGTCTTTATAAAGTAGTATAAAATGTGGCTTATATTTTTTTCTGGAAAGCCAAGAAAAAGTGGCAACAGAGAGCTGTGGGCACAATTCAAATTATGGGGAAAATGTTTGGTGCTTCATACTAAAAGTTATTTAAGTATTAGTGTAAATTGGGAAAGTTTGTTGTTAACTGGATTAAAGGTGGGTACCAATAATAAAATGAGCAGGCAGTAGTTATCACTTTACCTCAGCAAATCAATCCCAGACACATTGACCATTTTTAGTAATAATCTGAGGATGGCGTATATTGTGAAATTTCTGTCCCTTGAAGTAGGCTAGTCCAGAATATTACAGCTAAACCAAAGGGAATGCGATCAGGAATAGCTCATGAGACTAAATGTTGGCAAAGATAGGTTATAGGCAGAGAGTCATCAATTACAATTGGGGCAGGAGATCTGGATGACTTGAACTGACCCTTAAATGCTCTGGTTCAGTAAGCCGTTGTGGATCTGCATGATCAATGGGGTATTATTGGATGGGCTTTACTCACCAAATGTGTTAGCATCTATCACATGTCAGGCACTCACTAGGCATTGAGGATACAGTGATGACCAAGAATGATGTGGTTTCTTCCCTCACAGAGTTTACATGAGGAATGATGATTATAAACAAATACATGCAGACCTATTTTGTCTTTCGTCCTTGTGGGATTTGGTATACCGTATCTCAAAGACATGAAACTTTTTGAAAGTACATACAGTGGCAGGCAAAGTTAATTATAGGGACTTAAGACCTTTTGAAAATCAAGGTTAAAAAGACCTGTGGATGAGAAGACAACAGACAAAGGATAATGAGGGCTTGTTCACACATTCAAATTTCTGGGAATTTATGGACAATCATACAGCATATATCAAAAGAGCATACTTACTGATAAGGGTGAATTTTTTTTTAGAAATGTAGCACTACCACCCACACAGATGTGAGAGGCTAGAAAACAAAAATGTTCCATGAATTTGGAATCTTTAAGCTTAGAATGATTGGGCCTAAATCCCTATTCTAGAGCAGGTGTTCCCAACCCCTGGCCATGGACCCATACCAGTCCGTGGCCTGTTAGGAACCAGTGCACACAGCCAGAGGTGAGCAGCAGGTGAGCCAGCATTATTGCCCAAGCTCCACCTCCTGTCCGATTAGCTGCAGCATTAGATTCTCATCAGGGCACAAACCCTATTTTGAACTGCACATGCAAGGAATCTAGATTGTGCAGTTTTTATGAGAATCTAATGCATCCCCCACCATGGTCCATGGAAAAATTGTCTTCCACAAAACCAGTCCCTGGTACCAAAAAGGTTGGGGACCACTGCTCTAGGGGATTGGCCCCACAGAAGACAGCCTATTATTGTGAACAGTACTGTGCTGTATGCACCACTGGTCTGTTTTAAGAACTTTAAATTTTAGTGAATTAAAACTGGACTAAAGGTGGGTACAAATGATAAAATGAGCAGGCAGTTGTTGAATCACTATACCTCCGCAAATTGATCCCAGACCCATTGACCATTTTTAGTAATAATCTGGAGGATGGGATATATTGTGAAATTTCTGTCCCTTGCAGTAGGCTAGTCCAGCATATTACAGATACTCTTCCCTGTCCACCTAGGGGAGAGGGAATGGGAATACTACTACCCATTTGTCTAGAATTTTCCTGGAAATGAATAAAGCAGTTAGCACCTGACTTGCTTGAACTTCAGTGTTCTATGCTGTTCATGGGAAAGTTACCGAGGCAGTTTTTGAGTTTCTAAAGGGAGGTGGGTGAGTGAGCATGCATATACATTTAATTTTATTTTCCTTTTCCAGGTTTCCTATGCTCGCCCAAGTTCAGCTTCTATCAGAGATGCAAATTTATATGTCAGCGGACTTCCAAAAACAATGACCCAGAAGGAGTTGGAACAGCTTTTTTCACAATATGGACGCATTATTACTTCTCGTATTCTTGTCGACCAGGTCACTGGTAAGTAGACAGCCACTCCGGACAGTCTTTCCCTGTCTCTGACTAGCAGATTGTGAAATATTCTGTCTTTCCATGTAGCAGTCTTGCTTCTAGAACATATCAAAGGTATATGTGGGCCAGAAAATGCAATTTTCTGCTGGAATTGTTCATAAATATGCATGGATAAAAATAGATTGTGGAGTATAGTGAGCGTGCTTGAGTCATTTCCACCCTGAAGGTGCAGGATTGAAGCCTGTTTCATGGCTTGTAATAAATTTATAGATGCTATAATCTTCATTTCCAAGCCACTGTGTGATAAAAGCCCCCATCCTGCTTATAGAGTACTAATAAACAACCTTTCTTTTGTCAAAAAGCGAAGTTTAATGCAGCGGTATGCAGCTAGTTCTCCAAGGGAGGATTACACTACATCCACACTGGTAATTGCTGTTCAGGCTGTTTTCCAGGTTCATGCTGTGCTGTATGGGCATATGTAAGAGTTTGAAATTTTGAATGTTAAAAATTTATTTTATTCCTAATATCACTGTTAGCCCAACTGAAATGGGAAGACTAAAATGTTCATTAAAACTCTTGAATGTAAGGGAGTTGTTCTGCCAAATCTTAGTTAACAAAGCTATAGCAATATAGATTTGATTATGAATTTTAAAAATAAAATACAGATACAATTTTCTATTATAAAAGCAATACTTGGCCAGGCACAGTGGCTCATGCCTATAATCCAAGCACTTTGGGAGGCCAAGGAGGGCGGATCACCTGAGGCTGGGAGTTCAAGACCAGCGTGACCAACATAGAGAAGCCCCATCTCTACTAAAAATACAAAATTAGCTGGGTGTGATGGCGCATGCCTGTAATCCCAGGTACTCAGGAGGCTGAGGCAGGAGAATCACTTGAACCCCAGAGGCGGAGGTCACGGTGAGCTGAGATCATGCCATTGCACTCCAGCCTGGGCAATGGGCAACAAGAGCAAAACTCCATTTCAAAAAATAAGTAAAAAATAAAATGAAAGCAATACTTGTTCTTTAGGAAACAGTTAAAAAATAGAGAAACATTGTGAGGAGGAAATATTAGCTGTAGTACCATAGACTGAAGCAGCCACATGAAGATTTGTGAGGTTGTTTTTGTTTGTTTTTTTAAGGTAGCTTTTCTCCTCACTGTTTGTTTCTCTCCCCGCCACCCGTATAATAATAATACCTTGGAGGCATGTTGTATATTACAATGTCTAATTCTTTTAAAGCAGTGACTTCAGAAGAAAATTGAGCCAGATTTTTCATTCATCAAGTGAAGATCCATTTAGTTGATCTGAATCTAATCAGAGGAGCCCATATTACCTGCCTCTGTGTTGTTAATTGGCTTCATAGGAAGCACCACCTTTAGAGTTCTGAGTAGAGAGAGCTAGCACTACATGCATGCCTGGGAGAATAGCCTACAGATTTTGCTGTCATGAGACTATTTAGTCAAGTGAGAGTATATAAAATACAGCCTCCTTAATTGTGTTAGTTAATTCATAATACTTATACATTGCCACCCTGTGTTGTTATCACATAGACTAATAATGGTGTTAAATAGAAATCCAGGCCTAGAAATAAAGATGAATTTGTTCAAAGCAACAAAAATATTTTTTATTTCATTTGTGCTTTCTAATTCATTCATTCTGAGATCTTGTGAATTGAGAGTAGGTTTCACCTATGACACAAAGTGCGTCTCATCTTTTACCTGCTAGTCCATCACAGGTGGACCTAGCTTGTTTTAGTCAGCGGTTCTCAAGTATGTCCCGCACCTGCAGTATCAGCAGTCTTCTGGAACCCTGCTAAAAATGCAAATTATTGGGCTTCATTCAGAACCTACTGAATAAATCTCTGAGGGTGAGCCACAGGTTGTTCTTAGGTATGCTTAAGTAGGAGGACCACCGATTTAGGTGACTCTAGCTGTGTAGAGGCTGTTTTTTTTTTTTTTTTTTTTTTTTTTTTTTGCTAATCTGATGCTTTTCTAATGGAACAGCTAAATTCTAGAGGTTATTAATTCTTAATAGGCGCTAGTAGATAAGTGAAAGGATTTGCTATCATTTCACTATTTATTCTTCATACTTAAGGCTTTCAAAGTGAACTTACTCAATTTACCTGAAATGAAAAATGAAACCCTGCAATTTTCTTATTCAGCCATCAGGTGGTAATAATGTGCAATGCATGCTCTTTAAATAGAAAAGGTAAAGTGATAGGGGCTGTCTTAGATACGCATATGTGGAAAAAATGCTTTGTCTACATTAGAAAATTCTTAGTCATTGACCTTACACAGTATTAATTTTAAAGCAAGTAGACCTTCTTTCTTTTTTTTTTTTTAAGCTCCTCCAAGTATGATGGTCCAGTGCTCATTTACTTGCCAAAAAAAATTTCCCTGCCACTGCTTATCTCATGATGACCAGCTGTGGTCACCCCACTAGCCTGTTCACGCTAATTAAATGGAATAAGCTGGGTTTCCCTCTACAATTTTTCATAACCTGGAAAGGTTCTTGGCTATCCTTTCCCATTTGTGTCTTTCACACTGGGGAGAATGTGGGGCAGGGAGTGATCTTCTGTAGTCAGGAGTGATGCTGCTGAGGTCAGAAAGCTTTGATGCTTTACTTCTAGAAATTTATTTATTTTTAAAATCTACGTCTTTTCTTTTTCTCCATATAATATTTTTCTGTAATAAAATATAGCTAGTCAGAAGCACAAGAGAGCTTCAGAGAACTGGAAGAGCATTTTCAGGCATTTTTTTCCTAAAGGACCTATATCCTATGCAATATTATTAAGCTGAATATATTATTTAAAATTTCAACCGAAATGTCTTTCTACCACAGTGTATGTATTTTTAGCATAGCTTTGTAGCATTTTTAGCAAATTCTTCTTTCTGTTCTCCTTGTTTCAAGGACAGGAACTACTGTGTCCCTCATTTCTGAGCTGCTTATCCAATAGCACAAATTGAAAAATGGAACTCCGGTACACTATTGACATTAAAAGAGTGTACGGGAGGGAGGTGGGAGAGAGAGAAAACATGGACATGCTTGTGTTTTCTTGTCTTAGCTGATTGGAATGCATGTGATAATGGGTACTCAGATTATGTAAGTGACACGAATTTTTCTAAAAATGCAAAATTGTGATTCTAAACTGAATGGCTAGTAAGTAAAGGGGAAAGTTTCCTCCTGGTGTGATTTTGTGGGAAATGTTATATGTAGGTGAAAACATGTTCTTGAGAAGGAAAAATTAATGTGTCCTTTCTTCTCTCCTTCCCTTCTCCTTCTGTTCCCTCTTTTCCAAATCTTTACTCAAATCTACCATAGGCATATCAAGGGGTGTAGGGTTTATTCGATTTGACAAGCGAATTGAGGCAGAAGAAGCTATCAAAGGCCTAAATGGCCAGAAACCTCCCGGTGCCACGGAGCCAATCACTGTAAAGTTTGCTAATAACCCAAGCCAAAAAACCAATCAGGCCATCCTTTCCCAGCTGTACCAGTCTCCAAACAGAAGGTATCCAGGACCGCTAGCTCAGCAGGCACAGCGTTTTAGGTAAGTCTGGTTTGGTTCTTGTGCCCAGCTACTAAACTGAAAGAGAATACTCAGGTTTACTGTCCAGTACTTTTATTGACAGGATCTCTGGTTTGCTTTTGTCAGTGTTGTTGGTTTTATTACTATTAATTTTTCATCTCCATGGGCACAGAGAGAATCTACTTGAGGAATAGTGTCTTTTGCTAATATTGAAGGTGGGGACCAAAGGACAGTAACCTACAGCAGTGATTCTTAACCAAGGGTGATTTTTGCCTCCCAGGGAACATTTGGCAATGTCTAGAGGTATTCATGTTGGCACAACCTGTGGGGGTGCTACTAGCATGTAATGCTAGAGGTCGGGGATGCTGCTAAGCTCCTACAGTGTACAGCATAGCCCCAGCAACCAGAAGTTACCTGGTCCAAAGCACCAATAATGCTGTGGTTGAGAAATTCTAATCTGTAGCTTTCTGGGGTTATCTGAATTGTTTCCAGGGCTTCAGATTTCCTTTTTTTTTTTTCTTAAAGGATTTTATTCTCATGTGTCAATTTTTAGGTCAAGCTGTTTCTGTTACTTCACTTTATAGTATGTGCACCATTAAGGGTATATAACCTATGTGACTACGTGAAGTTTCTACAAATGAGTTCCTCTCTTCCTTTTCAAAATTGTTTACAAACAGGTTGGCAGACTTTCTCTGTACAGTACCAGATAGTAAATATTTAACTTTATGGGTTATGGTCACTGTTGCATCTGTCTTGTTTTTGTTTTTAAACAACCTGTTAAAAATGTAAAAGCCATTCTTAGCTTATAGCCCATACAGCAACAGGTGGGAGGCAGTCTCCATTTGGCCTGTCGGTTGTAATTTACTGACCTCTCTGTAGTTCATAGAATGACCGTGGCTTTAGCCCAAAGAAGACACTCTATCTCACTGACAGGTGTACATATGCTAACTGTTTAAGTTTTATTCTGATCCTGGGATAACAAACCAGGAGTCATTCAAAAAATCTCTAATCTGCATGTGAGAAGAACAGTGACTTTAAGAAGTTAAGCAGAGCAGAGAGTTTTTGGTTTCATAAGCAAGTCATGCAGTTTTTATTTTCCAGGACATTTTTAAATATCCTTTTTGGCCATATGGTACACTATACCCAGAATGCTATCTAACCCCACACTGATTTTTAAAAATTATTTCCAAGTGCATATCAATTTTATTTATTTCATTCATGGGACAGAATAGTTAATTACCAAAAATATAATCACAAATATAACCTAATAAGATCAGGAGTTATGTTTTCTAGCTTAAATCTATGCATTTATTTTTTTCATTGGAATATTTGCAGTGCTGAAGAGAGTGGAGATAAAATCAGTTAAAAATAGCTCCTTTTAAAAAAATACTAAATTATGTTGCTTGAGATATGAGAAGGAAATTTGTTATGAATGCCACATTAAATTTCAACTTAAGTTGGCCTTTGCCGTGGGAGAAGAGGTGGTACTGTCAAAAGCATTGAGCCTTGTACTTCATGCTCTGCTGTGAGGAAAAGGCATTGGTATTAAAAAAAAAAAAAAAAAAAAAAAAAAAAAAAAAAAAAAAACCTTTGCCACCTTTGACTTCCCATGGTAGTGGTGATCAGACTAGTGTGGGAGATGCGTGGGGCTGCCTGATGCTTGCCTTTGTGGAGAAAGAAGTCTCACAAAGAAAGCCCTTTTTCAGCTCTGCACATAGGTTTCCTCTGTGACATCTTAAGTGAATAATATATGTATAAATATACTTTTTTAAATTGCAAACGTAGGATGAACAAGCCTGAAGGAATTTTACAGGTATTTCCTAGGCAGCTTGTCCAGTTAATTTCAGAGCTCTTTGGGGCCTTGAAAATGATCTCGAGTTTAGATAGAACAAAGTTCTTCATAATGTATTGGTTGATTTTTAACATTGTGAAGTTATAAAATGTTTGCTGTTAGTGGAAAGCTATATTAGCTACTTTTTTTTTCCAGATTGAAGCAATGATTTTGTTTGATAGTTATTAAGTAAAACAAAGTTCTTGGAATCAAGATTGAATTCTTAGGAAGATTGAGAAGACAGGATTTGGGAGAGTGCCTGATTATTGAAATGGCAAGGCTTGTAGGTGACTCAGGTGCTAGGTTGTTGATGGGTGTCAGCCCTTAGGTTTACCTAGCCTCCATCCCTGCAGGCTCTGTGCTTTTTATTTTTGGTTGAGTAAAGCTTTACAGGATGTTCTTATGGTCAAATTTAATTATCTTTTTCTGGCCCATTCTGTGTTTTTATCTTTTAGTACCATATGTTATCATTAACTTGAAAATTCTTTTTCCTTCACTCCTATAGAAAGACATTTTGGAAGAAGAGAATAAGAGATTGTCAGTTGTAAGGGAAACTTGGTTTCAGAAAATGGGAGAAATTGTTATTCTCTCTTCAGATTTTTAACTGTTGTCCCATTCACCCCATTTCTCATTCCTCCCATGATCCCTGTCCAGATAATAAAATATGAACGAGTTAGTGTGCTCAGAGATAGTGTTTGATCTAGATTGGGTGTGTTGGAAGAAATCAGATTTCAGGTTTAACCTGATGTTTGATGCTTTTCTTTAATACAGTATATTGAACCTGGTTGTCATTATCTTGATTTCCGCCCCACTCCCCCTTCTTCTTTCACCTGATAAAGAAACTTGAATTAAGGGCTTGCTTGTTTTGTTGGTATTTTGCTGTTTTCTGTAGTTCGAGTCTAAATCATCACACAGATATATTTTGTCCCTGATATTTGTGTTTTAATGCTCTTGCCTTGAGTTTTTGTCACCTTTCAGCAGACATGTAGAAAATTTCTCACTGTATTTTTATGTTCTCATAGTACCTTGGGAGTTGAGAGAGATTGAGCAATATAAGTTATATGTATTATGGTCAAGAATACTTTTAATAATCATAAAGTATGAGCCATATCTTTTATGGTCAAAAAGCTTAAAAATCCATGTAATAAGGGTTAAGTTTAAAGGTGGGTTTGTGAGGTTTATGGCTTAGTCAATCTATGAATAATCAGAGAATTGTTGTAATATGAGCACTGCTGGTCTAATACGCTTATTTAATTGACTGCAGTTTTCAAAATAGGACAAGCCTTATTTATTTGGATGGATGGTGTAATTCAAGCCCCTTAAGTATATTCTTGGGACATGATATCAGAATTAAACTTTAAGCCAAATTTTTTCATGTTCTTTTCTGTGAAACAGCTATAATTTTATTGAATATGATCTAGTGTAATGACCTGTGTGCCTGCTTCTATGAGCCTTTATGCATTTTTTAAAAAGCCTTTTAAATGAGCACTTGAGTTGCCTTTAAGGCATGACGTACTGGTTGCATTATCACAATTTCCTTTTGGAAGAAACCGGTATCAATCCCCTTGAATACTTTTCCTCTTTCTTAGAGGACAGATGATACCATCTAATTGAATAAGGCAGTAAGGCAGTAAGAAGATGATCTTGTTGTAGATAATTTCCAAGCAGTTCTCGGTTGGCGCTTTGGAGAGATTTTGATAATCATTATTTGTGGGATTCCGAGTATATTTTCTTACCCATCAATAACTTATCTTCCTATTTTTATTTCTGACTTTAATCGGGTTCACATTTCCCCTTACTTACATGTAGGCCTTCCCATAGTCCATCAGCTAATTTTTTTAGAAATTAGGCAGGTACTTTATTTTTATTTTCTACTTATGAACACCTAGCTTTAAAATAGGAATGATCTGATACATGGTTCTGTTCAAAATTTTGACAGGTTATAATTGGAGCTTTGGTCCTGTTGATAGAAAAATGTTTATACACATCTCTCTCCTATGTGCCTTTTTCATAAATTACATATGTACATGGGCGTGTGCTATTCATTAAATTATAAACTCTAATCAAACATAAAAAAGGATAAAGATGAGACAATCTGTATTAAATGTCTTGCTAATTACTATACTGGTTGGCTTCATTTTCCATGTACCTAATATCTTAATAAATGTCTTTTAAAGCAAGACCATAAAATAATTTCAGATATCTCATCTGACTTCATGTGATGCATGTTGGATTATCTTGTGTCTAACCTTATAATGTAGCTTGTACTAAGAGTAGGAGAAATAATCGGCTCTCCCTTTCCTTATTTACTTGTATTTCCCTTACTGGTACCATTCTTTACTCTGATTTACATTTGTAGTAATCTTTTTTTAAGTTACTTTTTCTTTAAATGGAGGTCATTTTAATTAAAGCAGGTTATCCAGTCTAATCCTCCATATCTGCTTGCTGTGTTATTTGTAAAATGGATTTTGTTCAGGCTAAAGAGCAGGAGAGAGTGCCACTCGCCGCCTCTCCCCTTCGATGATTGCTCAGTCTTCCCCCAGGGAGGCAGGTGATACACAGGACTGAGAAGGTACTGGGTTCAGTGCATCTATTAAATATAAGTAAAAAATACTTTATTTTAAATACATATTTATTTTATATTTTATTTTAAATATATATTTAATGGATACTTTAATATTTACCTTCCATATGTACTACGTTATCATCCACACCCCTCCCTGAGATATTCTGGAGGCAGCTAGCTTGCTCTCCATTTAAAAATTGACTTCCATTTATAAATGACCATAAATAAAAGATGGCTGGGCGTGGTGGCTCACTCCTGTAATCCCAGCACTTTGGGAGGCCAAGGCGGGTGGATCACGAGGTCAGGAGATCGAGACCATCATGGCTAAATGGTGAAACCCCGTCTCTACTAAAAATACAAAAAAAATTAGCCGGACGTGGTGGTTGGGTGCCTGTAGTCCCAGCTACTCGAGAGGCTGGGGCCAGAGAATGGTGTGAACCCGGGAGGCAGAGTTTGCAGTGAGCCGAGATCACGCCACTGCACTCCAGCCTGGGTGACAGAGCGAGACTTCGTCTCAAAAATAAATAAATAAAATAAAAAGATGTCCTTGAGCAGTGGACAGACCCAGCAGACATATTTCTAGGGGCTTGTTGTAGTAGTCCTTGTGTTTGAGCTGCTGCACTATTTTCTCTTACAACTGCCTGTGTTACAGTTTGCCAACTGCTACTGGATTTGGAGTGAATGGTGCCCATGTAGAGCACCCGTTGCCTTTTCTGAGCTCCCATGGGAAACATGAATCTATGGCACCGAGAAAGCTAGGAAATACTTCTGGGCTCAGATGCATACAGTCAGGGGGCTTCAGCAGTGCCTGGGCACTGTTTTCTAGGTTCCATGCTTCTCCCTACACTCGTTGGTGATGGAGGAGAAGAAAGATTAGAGTGGATAACTTGGCTTAGTTCCAAAGGACCAATTTTTTTCTAAAATGAGAGAGAAGTGAAGGAATCAGTGAAGATCATGGTATCATGTAAAACTTCACAGATAGGGTAAAAAAGATGCCCTATCATAATTTGGAGGGTCCTCGGAGATCCTGTTATAAAAAATTCGAAACCTCCTGTCTGGGGATGCCAGAGATGGAAGTGAGGGAGATGGAGGATGGAAAACGAAATGTTTCTCCCTCACTGCATGTACAGTCATGCATCACATAACGTTTCAGTTAATCACATGTACGACCGTGGTACCATAATATAGTAGACTGCAAAAAATTCCTATTGTCTAGTGATATCATAGTCATCCTAATATTGTGCAATGCATTACCTTTTCTATGTTTAGATATGGTTAAATACACAATACTTAGCATTGTGTTAGAATTACCTACAGTATTCAGTACAGTGACATGTTATACAGGTTTGTAGACTGGGAGCCATAGCCCATACCATATAACTAGGTGTGTGGTAGGCTATTACCATCTAGGTTTGTATAAGTGCATTCTATGATCGTACAACAACGAGATCACCTAGTGACACATTTTCAGAACATATCCCCATTGTTAAAAAAGGCCTGACGGTAATTCACTTCAGGGGCAGATTTGGTTTCTACCCTGTTTGAAAATTCTGAAAACTCATCTGTCTCTGGGCCGTATGCTTGGTGTCCTGAGTGGGTGGTAGCAAAGCATGACCTGTCCCTACATGGATGCAATTAATGGGCATAGATGATGTAACTTTTGAGTGAATTGATAAGGTGCCTCTGCATTCTGGGTCTTCTAGCACTTTGGTTGGAGACCTCAGTATGCGGTTCTCTTCTACAGGTAGCATATGCCAAATGCATTCTGTGTTGATCATTCCAGCAATTTGATAAAATTGTATTGTTACTTTATGATTGGTGGTGCTAATATGTGTTTGTCTTTATTGCTGGTAGTTGTGATCCTTATTCTTGACTATAAAGGCATGGCATCTTTGACTGTACTCACCTCTGCAAAAAATAAAACCCCACATCTTTTTACTTATGTGCAGACAAGGTCATCCAACCAATCCTCTTACTAGTTTTCATTCTGGACTAAGTTGACCATAATTTTGGTAACCTCATTGTCTTTATTTGGTCATCACATATTTATTATAAACTATCAGTGACCCTGGCTTGTGCTCAGTGGTGCAATGAGAGGGTGGTGGGTCAAGGCACGCACACACACACACGCACCACGCACACAGAGACACACTCACACACGAAGATCTTTTGTCATTGTGATCTGTTCTGTTTCCTTACACTTTGCATAAGCTCAGTTCTTCTCATCTTTACAAAACAGAATTTTCAGTGGAGACTGAGGGCAGGGATGTGGGAGGCTATATATTTCCCCATTCTGAAAGACCAGATGAGATGTGTTTTGGCTTTTACAAAACTAAAAGGTGTTGGCTTTTGCATGTATACTTTAGCGTGACTTGATGCCACAGGTTAGGTGATAAGGCTGAGACTTTTCAAACTTACCTTTCACGGGTGTTAAAGAAAAAATTCTCACCCCCACCCCCAGTCCCAGAGGGACAACCCTGGGATGTCTTTGGAGAGTGTTGAGCATTGTAGCAGTTGAGGGTGGTTGTGGACTATGTATTAAGTTATGCCTCCTCCTCAGAACACATAATTAGTTGGTAAGCACTGTGGAAATTTGGGACATTAGAGTGGTGTTTTGAAACTGATAAAGAAGAGTCAAATGCTGTAAAACTAATATTTGATATAGGAAAAATGTAGAAGGTTTTAAAGAGTACTTACACCTCCACCCCCACCCCTATTTACTTTCTATAAACATTTTAAGTGAGGCTCAGATTGGCTTGTTTTGTTTCCTACCTGGCCTTTGAAAACTGAGTAGGACGACACTTCCTGTAGCGTAATTTGAATACAGCATCCAGATCAGGATCTGAACTCTTGGCTTTGTTGCACACTGGAGTGATGGATTTTTCTTTTTTCCTTCTCTAGACCTCAGCTGAGCACATTTGAGAAATGGGAGGGTTAGCTTGGGTTGTCCATAAGGTTTTTTCTACCTGTAATTATACCTCCTTGATTCTAAAAGATGAAAGCCCTTCAAAGTTGGGAAATGAAAGGAAAATGTATAGAATTCTGTAACCTGCAGAGTTTGAGTATCAATGCCATAATTTACTAGCCCTGTGGTCTTGAGCAAGCCACTTAAACCCTGTGTGCCTTAGGTATCTGCAGGCACCAACAGAGTTGTGAAAATCAAAAGTAGTATAAAGAACATGTAGCTATACATTGATCACTTTGAAGCTACCTGATGAGAACCCTAAAGTTAACTATCCCAGAGCTTTCGCACTTCCTCTCTGAAAGGTATCCTCAGATGACCGTCACTGTGTCCCATGTACTGACCCTTGTAGAGAGAAACCATTCATTGGAAGAACTGTCCTGTGGCAGTCGGTGCCCATTAGCTTAAAAACGTAAAAAGACCCAGCATTCTGAGTCTTCACATATAATCAGTGTACAGATATCCCCTCGGAAGATGGCAGTAATGAGCCCAACTTTCTTGAACATCAAGGGGAAAAATTAAAAACTGAAGTTTGCTAAATGTGTGTTTTGCAGGTTGGACAATCTGCTCAATATGGCTTATGGAGTAAAGAGGTAATGATAGAGGTTCATGATACTCATAATCCCTTTCCACAGTTGATTGGTTTCTTTGATTTTGGGAGTGCTATTCACACCCCTCATAAGTTTTTGTTGGGTTTTATTTTGCATGTGCAACCTAATGAAAAGCTGCTCTTTGAAGCACAATTGACTCAAGAAATTTTTATACCACCGGATGCCACCTGGTCTTTTAAAAACCCATCATTTGTTTCGTATTGCGTTACGACGTTACAGCATGTTTACGTATGTGTTGATCCCTTCCCCTGCCAATCCTGCTTAATTCATGAAGCCAGTTCTAAATATATTTCTTTGCTATTGTGGATGATATTCAGTACAGTGAATAATGGTCATTTCATAACTTATTAATATCTCAGTAGTCTAGCATGTCACTGCAAAGCCACACACAGACCTTGGTCAAAACATGAAATAGTTTATATATTTGTTGGGGGAGGAGAGTTACTAAAATTCTTGGGGATGGAAAAGGTATACGTTCATTGCTATAACCAACCTCTGTTTTTATTTTTTGTGTGTATGTGTGTATTTCCTATTCTGTTTAGCAGGTTTTCTCCAATGACCATTGACGGAATGACCAGTTTGGCTGGAATTAATATCCCTGGGCACCCTGGAACAGGGTGGTGTATATTTGTGTACAACCTGGCTCCTGACGCAGATGAGAGTATCCTGTGGCAAATGTTTGGGCCTTTTGGAGCTGTCACCAATGTGAAGGTCATCCGTGACTTTAACACCAATAAATGCAAAGGTTTTGGATTTGTGACTATGACAAACTATGATGAGGCTGCCATGGCGATAGCTAGCCTCAATGGATACCGTCTGGGAGACAGAGTACTGCAGGTCTCCTTTAAGACAAACAAAACGCACAAAGCCTAATGAGCTCTTGTCCTCAGTCCATTTATATATGAAAACTATACAACAAAGGCAAGTTAAGAGAAACTTTATACATTAGTAAATGTCTTTGTAAGTCAGTGTTGAGATGGGGATAAAATGACTACTTAGCATCCTAAGAAATATGTGAGATTTTTTATTGCTAGTATTTGAATTAAAACTTCTTAAATATCTTTTATGTTTGAATATGGACAAGAGGTACAGGGTTTTTACCTGTCACATTGCATTCTATTGCCTTCTTTGAAGAAGGTGGACCTTTTAAAGTGTTTCAGCTAAGGGAAGACATTTCTTTTCTTTTTACATAACTGCCTTGAACCTGTGAGTAAATATTGAGGCTTTGTGTTGTAATTCTTCAGTTGGTTGTGTCTTTTTTTTCCCCCCTTTTTTTCCTTTTTCTGATTAGCTTTGTGTTTGGTTTACATTTAAAGCATTGCTGTTATGTCTGTTTAAGAAAAGTATTTTGAAGTTTACATTTTTATTTATGAAGTTTAAAACAGTATTTATTTTGTAATTATGATTTGGGTTGGGGAAGGGGGGGCTACATTATAAACGCTTATTGTAAGAATACTGGAGAACTTTTCGTAAAGCAGTACCTTGCCAAAGAGATAAGAGCCTCTTTGATGTGGGTTTAAAAAAAGCATCTATTTTTATAAAAAAGAAAATTTGGAGAAACTTTTTACTGGTCCTGGAACAAATATTTTGACTTGAATACTTTGAGAAATCTCTTCATATGACACCTAGTGAGCTTTTAAAATTTACCAGGAAATTTGCAGCGGTTGGAAAATTTAGAAAGATTTATGGTGTAGAAAATACTTTTGAGATCTTTGTATGAAAGGAGTAGAATCAATGGGGGGAAACACTGCTGGTTTCATTTTTGTAATCACCAGTGGAGCGTCTGATCATCCTGGTTATTATGTGATAGGTGGCTCACATTGATTTGTGATTTTGAAACAAATAAAAAAAATTTACAAAAGAATATATAAGAGCAGGCAAGAAATTTAAATTACCGAGAGATGGGGGAAAAAATCTGTTCTTCCTAAAGAAATCCCTTCAGATAGAGCTCATGGTGTTTAGTGATGTACTTGCAGTATTGTTTGAAGAATTGTTTTGTCTTAAGGAAAAAAGACGTTGCACATGATTTGTACTGCAGCAAATCAGCAAAAGTGATCTGAGTTGGATATATTTGAAGGTATTTTGAAAGTTACGTTCAAGGCTAACACCTGAGCTTTGTGTAATGTAAATAAGACCTTGTGTTTATGAACCTTTCAGCTAATTTAATTTTTTTTCCCTTACATGCCAAGTGATGTTCAGGTTTTGAATGTTTTTGTATCAGTTTTTTCCTTTGTAAATGGCATTAACATTGTTACTTGAGGTCTTGCTTAATCACTTTTGTTGTCCTGAGGACTTGAATTTACAGTGCATCAGATTTGTTGCAAATTTTGTCTGTAGATAGTCTAGCTTCAGCTGTTTATGGTGATGCTACATTTTGGTTTATAAATATGTTTGTGGTATAAAAAAATGAGTATAACCATAGGTTTTGAACAAATTTCCTTACATTTTTCATACAAAAATCATAAATATCTGTATGCTATTGAAATTTAACTTTGTATGATGCTTAAAAACCACTATTTGGGGAAATAATAAAATAAGTCTTTACCATGTATGAAAGAAATTTTAAAAAATACAAAATATTTTCTGATTAGCATCTAGCTTATAATAAATTTTCAAAAAAGCTGAAGGCAAAAATGCCTTCATCAGGATGCACTGAGAACTATATAGTTACGTCCTGCTTTTTGTATAAACTGAGATGCTCACATGCTTCCCCTTAGAACAGGCAATGTGCTATGCATAACATAGTTGTACATTATCTTTGCGGTTGCTTTGAGTTTTATTTTTTATTATTTAAAATTGTAGTTATAAAATTTTTCAGTATAGTACAGTACATATACTGTGAGGCGCGTGCTAAAGTGAATAAGCGAGTTTTCATGCTGACCCACTCAATGCTATTCAGAAATCAATTGGCTTAGCACTTTCTCATATCCTTAGGTGCATTTAGATTGCCAGAGTTAACCTTCTGCGTTTAAAAAAAGAAAAACACTAAAAAATAAAATACATGTATATACTTAAAAAAAAATAATAAGGTTTCCCTCAAGGGAAAACAGCAGCTACATGCTTCTTTCCTATACTACTGTAGCAAACCAAGGCATTGATGAGAGGGCATGCAAATTGTGCTTCACTTTACAGTGTTTTATCAGAGCACTTAATAAAATGTAAGGCTGGTATTTATTTGAAGTTGTACAGTATGACTTAATTCACATCTGTTGGAATAGAAAATATATTCTGTTGAGTATTTAAGAGGCTGTACATGTTTTCTTTTGTGTTTGGATTCTTTGTACTTTTTCATGTTCAGTACATCAATAAACAAAGTTGAAGGGAAAGAACAGTGTGGTGAGTAGGTCTTTATACACAATTCGGGGGCACCTGTGCTCAGTCTAATAAGCAGACTTGCTTTCTTGAATTAAAAGAAGTTCCCTGAGAGTTTTAGTGGAAAGCAGTGTTACCTCTTAGAATTCCAAAAGGCAAGTTAATTGAAGTAGAACGTGCAGAAAATTTTTGGACTGAATGACACCTTCTGATTAGTTTTCAAATACTGCTAAATGAGTAATTCTCACAGGAGAACATACTCTCATCTGCTAGTTGTAAAGTTTGGGAAATCGGATATCGACACCATTTTATGGCTGGGATTCAACCTTCAGCTTTTTGCACAGATAATCACCCTTACACGTCAGTTAAAAACCAAACAGGAGGAAAGTAGCTTACTCGGCTTCCACTGGCAATCTTTAATTCCCTCATGGGATTAAGTGTTGCTGTGTGAAAGTTACTTTTTTGCACAAATGCTAGATTGTCAAGAGATTGTTCCCTAAAATCAGAAATTCAGTTTCTGTTAAGTTAGTGTTGTTGTGTGTCACACACGTTACAAACCATGAACTCTGCCAACCCCGTATTTCGCATAGAAGTTCAGTTCTTGTATACACCCTTAACAGATCTGTGAAGGTTAAAAGGATTTCCTGCTGATCTTTTGTGAAAGGATTCTACTTCTATAGAACTTCAGACAAATGAGTATAATAATGAAACACTTTTTTTTTAAACAAAGTATACTAAATGACTTATTTTAATTTTATTGTATCTGTCGGCTTTTTTGGTAAAAGCCATTCTAAAAGTAATTGTCTTGAATTCACAACCTACTAGTCAAGAGCGTAGTTGAGTGACAAGACACTTCCTTTTTTCAACATGCAATTAGTCTTAAATCTCCATACTCCCTCTTCTTATTATATGAATTTAATACTCTAATTTTGTGATGTTGGAACATCCTCCCCTCACCTCTCTCCTCTTGCATGTTTTATCGGTATTTTGATTGGTTTGCATGTCAGCAGTTCTTTTATAATTGAGCAGATAGTGGAAAAATTCTCAGCAAAGGAAGTTGGTATAGTAACTACTGGTATATTTGAGGAGAAATTTCGTCTTTCTCCCTTTTTTTTTTTTTTTTTTTTAACCTGTGCTTGGAAATTATCTGAACAATATTGAAATTCAGTTTTAGAGCGGCCTACGTGAAATTCTTAATGTTAACATCATTTTACATTATTATAATCTGAGAAAAAAATGTTAGCAATTTAACCATTCTGTTTTTTTAAGATAAACAGATTGCAAGATTTCTACTTTTTATAAGAGGTTTACAAATGAATTGTAGTGGAAACTGACAACTGCTTGCTTACAGCGTTACCTAGAACAAAGAAAATGTGTTTTTTAATAAGTTTGTTGAAATTGTAGTACCTAGGCCTATTAACCTACTTATGGAGCAATAGGCCATATACCTTTTATTGGGTAGAAGAAAAAAAGAGGGGCATTTAGCTTTTTTATGCCTCTATTATAGTGGAACCTCAAACAGTGGGACCAAACAAATACTGATAAAATCGTGACAGTTTATTATTATTGGATGAAGAGCATTTATAGTCTGTCATTGCAGTTAATAGCCCATATTTTTCTACTTCTAGTAGTAGTCACACTCCTCCTCTGAAAATTTCCAAAAGTAGGCCCATCTCCCTTCAAGTTGCAAAGATTGAATATTTACACCACTATTACAGGCATCCTGTGGATATAGGATGGACCTTATTGAAATTAACCTTTCTAGAATTCTGGCTCATAAAAATAAAGATTTTTTGGTTGGTCAGCACATAGTTAACTATCTACCATACTGTGCCCTGGGTCTATAAAAGTGAGCAAAATACTGCTCTTACCTTCTTGGATACCACCTGGAAGGGAGGACTAACAAGCCAGCAGGTTACGACTGCAACGTCCTAAGTGCTATGAGAGCCCAGGAGCAGCTGTCAAGCTACTTTGCTGTAGTTTTTATAAATGCAGTTACAACTCACAAAAGTAAAACCTGTTCTACTCCTCTTACAGATGCTTCTTTTCCTTTCTTGGACTAATTGTTGGCTGATTGTTTAATTTTCAGTCTGACAGTGGTATCACTTAGTTTTGCAAATCTTTGAACGCTGCCATGCTCAAGTTGTCCAGATCCTCTCTTTAAAAAACGCAAAGCTACTAATAAACGATAAGACACTGTCGATCTGAATAACTGGATGGCGTGAGGTATCTGGCTGGATAGTCTTGCTCTCTCTAAACATAAACTATGGAGTGACGATTTTGAATGTACTAATATAGTAAAGTACCCTGGATATTATAAGTATGCTTGATGGGTTTTACCCTACCTTAAGACTCACCACTATCTTAGGATCTTAAACTTAGTATTAACATTACTTTTGGTTTAAGTAACTAAAGATATGGGTGAAGACTACGTTAATACTCAGCCTCAAAATCACTCATAGGTGTTTTTTCAAATAAATACCTTATAGCAACCTTATAAATACAAGAAAACAGTCTATTTCTGCAGACATAAATGTGTGGAAGACATACGCCTTTCTGCTCTCCTGGAGCCTGTCATGCTCTAGAAGATTACATCTGTAAGTAACTACAGTAAAGTGTTGTACACAAAGTGCATTAAAAGAGGAGGAAGTGGGGAGACTCCTAATGTTGCATGTAGTCGTGGAGAAGGTTGTTCCTGGGATGGGAATGCTGAGCCACACAGAAGTGGCAGCAGTTGAGCTGCATCAGTAAGGGTAGGTGGGATTTTAAAAGATACCCGGGGAGGCAATTCAAGAAGACATCCCTGGGATCAAAGACATAGGCAAGCCTCTACCTCTATTATTTCTGGAGAATTAATAAGTCATATTCAGTCTAGACTTAGGAGTTTGTGCCCATGACTAGTTAAGTCTAAAAAATACCTAAACAGCAAAACTTTTTTTCTTGCCCATTTCTACTGCAACACTAAAAATTACTTGCCATGATAGGTTATGTGTGGTTTGGGGAGTTCCGTAGAACTTGGTAGGGACATTCCTCTCTTTTAAAAGAGACATTTATTTGGGGTGTGTCAGGCAGTCAGTGTATGTGAAAAGATCAAACAAAAATAGAATCTCTCCAGCAACAGAATACTGATCTTTTTCTCCCACTATTATACCTAAAAAACTCTATTGTTCAGATGATAAAAGTTATCATTTTTTAGGATTTATACTATTTCTAGTGTTACAGTACCTGATTCATTCCTTTCTTGGATATGAATTTTACACTCTTCTTACCTGTATCACTCAAGCATCACCTTCATCGAAGGTGAGGGAAAAATTATAAAATTCAAATACTTCTCAGATATATGCAAGATGAGGTTTTAGTTTGATAGGATGCCCTTTTTTTTTTTTTTTTTTTTTTTTGGTGTTTGGAAACTCAATAACCATTTCAATGATGAACCTTGCTGGGTTTTTTTAATCCTGTAAGGCCCTTTGACCTACAGGTTGTTGATAGCCACATGCTACCTCTAATGCTGATTTTCATGGTGTACTCCTTTTGAGAATGCTCCTCGTCCTGTTGAATGCATGCTTCAGAAACAACCCGCCCATCTGCGGATTTTCTTGCAGACATGATGAGACCAGCAGCCATTCTCAGGGTGACTCACTCTTTGGAATGAAACACAGTTGGCAAGGTAGTTTTGTTATCTGGATTGCGGGTTTTTAATTGCAGTGTGGCAAAGGTGCAGCAGCTGGCCATGAGAATGGGGGAGGGAGGTCATGACCCATAAATCTATGTAGGCATCCAAAAGATGCAGTGCTTCATTCCTTGGACCTTGAAGAAAAAAAGCAGCCCATCAGGAAGTACCATTGAGCACCTTGTTGAAAGAAAATCCCCGTACTTTTACATCCATGTTGTAGATCATCTATTTCTTTAAAAATGTTTTGTTATGCCTTAGGTGTAGTAGTAATTATAAGAAATAATGCAGATTTTCACACCAAGAAAAAAAAAACCTGGGTGACTATCAGAAAGGTTAAGCAGATATTACTAGAAATGCTGAAGCAGAAATTGCAGTTGTTACTTTATGAAATGTTCTTTAGTAGAAATTTCATCTCTTGAGAATGGTTGCTGCAGTGTGTTTTCTGTATGTAGAGAACTATATGTTGAATGTATTCTGTTTTTCAGGGGTTACTCTTAAAGAAGTACCTGTGTTCTATTCATACATTGCATAAAGAAGTCCTCTTTGCTTAAGTAAACTGCTACTTATGTTTTCTGTCTTAAGATGGCCTGAGGACCAGATGATAAGCCAAGCATTCGGTCTTTCCTACATAAAGGGTGGTAAGAACTTTTCATAAATTTAGTCTGAAACTTATCCTCATCCTAATAATGAAAATTTATTTTATTTTTTGCTGAAATAGTAGTACATTTTAAAAGTTGTGCTTCCCAAGCTCGTTTATGTCATGAGTGCCTGTCCTGAGGGGGAACCTTTATCTCCACACACGTACAACCACTTCTAGGCCAAGCAGCACACCAGGGCTTATGTGTGGGAAGCTCTGATTTAAATAGTTTACTTTTTTAAAATTTCCTTTCTTTCACTAAGTGTACATCAAGCATCTACGCTGTACCAGTCACTATGCTGTAAGATTTAGGCTGAAGACTTAATCTATGTTCTATTTCTCAGTCTGGTTTTGAGTTGGAAGACACTTCAGTGGTCTTGTTCAGCACACCTTATTTTGCAGATGTATGAGCCAGACCCAGAGAGATTAAGGTTCTCCAAGATTTTTTGCTAACCTGAGACCTGGCACTGAAACCCAGCCCTCCCCCACTCTTGGAGCTCTGTCCTTCCTACCATCAAAGTACTAAAACACAAGCTGAATTAACTTTAATAAGCTGTGTCCTTTTAGGAGGTCAGATTTTTGAAATCCTTCAGGATATGTATGGCATCTAGAAGTTGAACATAGGTAAGTGCATATAGTATTTTTTGATGTGCTCAATATCGTTTACCTCCCTTAAGAATAATTTCAGTCAATAATAGTATAGTCACTGTCGAAAATGCATAAAGTACAAAAAAATTCAGGTCAAAATTTACTCAGTCCTTTCATGGAAAGAAAACATTTTTTAGTACATTTTGTCGCTGCCTCTTTATTTTTAATCCTTTCTACAACATTTTTAAACGTTCAGATTTGCTTTTTTCTTTAATAAAGTTTTTTTGCTTTTTTAATTGTGTTCTATGCGTATATGAATAATATTTTTTGAGATAAAATAACGTATTTCTGATTTTTAAGACATGTCAAAGCTGTTGTCTGTTTTTTGTTACATTGATTGTTGCTGACATTATGTCAGGGAGGTGTAAAAATCAGGAGTTCTATGTGGTTTCCTATTACAACTGTATTTCTCCAGGCTTTTTTTTTTTTTTTTTGAGACGGAGTCCCGCCCTATCGCCCAGGCTGGAAGGCTGGAGTGCAGTGGCACCATCTCTGCTCACTGCAACCTCCGCCTCCTGGGTTCAAGAGATTGTTCTGCCTTAGCCTCTTGAATAGCTGGGATTACAGGCATTTGCCACCACGCCCAGTTTTGTTTGTTTGTTTGTTTGTTTTTATGTTTTTAATAGAGACAGGGTTTCACCATGTTGGCCAGGCTGGTCTCAAACTCCTGACCTCACGATCCGCCCGCCTCAGCCTCCCAAAGTGCTGGGATTACAGGCATGAGTCTCCAGCCTTTTAAAAAGGCTAAAGACAGATGAAGTCCAGACGCTAAGATGATCTCTCCAAACCTCAGTTTAGGGTAGTGATGCCTAAATGACTACTTGCTACTGTGTTCGGTGGGTAATTTGGTCGCAAGCATCAGCTATGCAGTAGGGTCATGGATAGGGAGAGAAGTATGAAGCTACTTTTTCTCTCTACGGACAGAGGGTGAGTAGATGTCATAGGGTACTGATAACTACTTCTGTCCTTCTTTTCTTAGCAAAAGAAAATGCTTCCATCCCTAATGGGGACAGGAGGAGAGGACGACGATGAACCCAATTGTGTGTGAGTAATTTTTCCTCCTCCTTCCTGGGTCTGTGATTGCGGTGATGTTCTGTCTTGCAAGGGTCTGGGTAAATACTGGCTCCTTATTGCTTGTGCTCAGAGAACTAGCTGATGGTAGAAGAGCACTTTTAAAGGAATTGATGAGACTGAAAGCTGCTCGTTAGAGTGCACCTGGATCCTGCCATGACATCACAGGCGGACCATAAACGGCTCTCCAGAAAGCACGACAGCCTTTTTTCACCCCTTTCTTAACAATGAGACGTAGATTGGGCTTGTTCTCTATTCAAGCATCCTTATGAGTAAATGTCTATTTTTATGGTAGAGCTGCACTTTAAAAATAGCTCCAATCAGTGCGACTCTTTTCCCCCATATGTTAAAAAGTTATACATGAGTTAAAATATCTCAGATTGCTTAAATTCTTCCAAACCCAAGCCACATTCCTTTTTCCTTTTTTTTTTTTTTAACTGTGGGGGAGGGGGTTAGGTGGGTGGGAGGGGCGAATTAACTACAAAATAAGGACTTTCAGGGCCTCCTTAACTCTGTTTCAGACTTTTTAGCAGTAGCAAGATTTTTAAACCAAGATTTGAGATTTCTGATTTTAAAAATTCATTAATATTTGGTGGATACAGTCTCCTTCCTGAAGCGATTGTTTATTTTTGTTGCTGAGAGCAATTAGCTAGAACAGTCACAGTTGCAGCTGTTAGATACTATAAGCTCCAGTGGAGATCACAAAAGGCCTTATGCACATTTAGAGGCTGTATTTGGATTGTTGTTAATGGGTGATTCTTCTGGAGTCTACTGTGTTAGCAAATTCGATTGGGCGATCCTGAGCCAAATCAAATGTACAATGGGATCATCAGCATGCTGTGTTGATCAGAGTCACTTAAACACCTTGCTGTTTTGTGCAAGCCAGGATGGCTGTGGCTGCATGTGCAGAAAGAGCATGTACTGTTCCTTTTCCTGAATCCTCCCCATGCAAACCTGGATGTGACTCATCTCAAAACATTATGCTGTTTTCTCAGGAATTTTTCCTTTTGTGTTTACTTCTTGTTTGCTGCTTTGGACTTGTTGGAGCTTTTGTGAGATAATCTGCATGTGCACGCATGAGAGAGATTCACAGATACAATCTGGTGCCCATTGATTTATGTCTTTTGGAAAGAGTATCTTCTTAGAGAATCTTGGCTCCAGTTTAATGGCTGACACTTCAGAAACAGCAGCTCAAATGAAGGAGTTGTTTCAGTATTTTTCTAGTGTCTGTACTTCTGCCTGTGAATATCATTTTGGTGAAGGAGTGTATATTTCTGTGCATATCCATAATCATACTGCCTTAGGATTCACAATATGCTTCGTGTGTGAGAATTTTTTATTGGGGTGTAGGACACGGAATGGGAAATGTCGCCTTGGGGTAGGATGTGCCCCGCCTGACGGGGGACGTCCGTTTGCACTCTCATCTTCCTGGGGTACTTTATGTAACTTTTTCTTCTTCTTGGAGCTGCTCTTGCTGCCAGCAGCCTCTTCAGGTCCACTGCTGACCAGCTCCTTCCTCTTTGAAGGGGAATTTCCTGTTTTTTTCTTAGTGACACTCCTGTTGCCTGCCTCTTTGGGATCATTAACTGCTTCCTCCTTGGGTGAAGACGTCTTCCTGTTGGGAAGACTGATGCTGCCAGCGGTCTCTTCTCGATGGCTGCTAACCAATTTCTCCTTGGAAAAAGATTTCCTTTTATTAGGTTTGGAGAAAGAGTTAGATGGGTCTTTGATTCCATTCTCCTGAGGAGCCTCCTGGGGCTTTTGCTTTTTCTTCTTTTTGGGTTTTACACTTGTCTTTGCACACTCCTCTGGAGTTCTGTTTTCCAAAGATGGGACGGCAAGTGCAGCTAGCATTTCTTTTCCTTGTTTAAGTGTTTCTACTCCTGTTTCTCCAGCTTCCTAATAATCTCAGCAGCCGTTTTCTCTGCCTGAACCATTTCTGTTTTCATGACATCCATTTTCTTTGATAGGATCTCTCCAGTCTCATAGAAAGACAGTCTCTCTTCAACTTGTTCTTGAAGCTTCTCCCCAAATATGCTCATGAGCACCTCAGCGAAGCAGTCGATTTGCGAGGCAATACTGCATTTGTTTGCCAGGTATTGGGAGATGCGACCTTTATTCCTGGCAGCTGCTTGGCCAGTGAAGGTGGAGTGGAAAACGAGTCCATATTTTGGTGTATTACCCTTTGTCATCAGGGTTCTGGAGACTTGGTCCTTTTGCTAGGCCCTGGGAAACAGTATGCTTTTACATACATTTTCTCTCTGATTCTCACAACCTGTGAGGCAGAGAATTCTGTATTGTTCCCATTTTACAGAAGTGTACATAATCTTAGAGTTGGTAAATAGCAGCACCCGCTTACTTTTGTGTACTGTTGCCATTTTGTGGAAATAAGAAAATGCGTATTTTGTGTATTCTGTAGCTAAAGCAAATTGATGGACTCCCCTACATTTAAAAGGCTGGTAGAGATTGCCCTAATTGTAGGACTAGTTTATAGTGGCTTCATAGTAAGTGGAATCAGGAGATGTTAACCGTGTCTCTTTTTGGGGAAATAATTTGGGAATCTTGGAGGGTTTTGGTAATTGTATTATAAGTGGGAATCTCAAGTGTACATTGAAATTTTGTTTCCTGCTAGCTAGCATAAATTAATTAGAAGTCATTACATTTTGATGAGATTTACGCACTTATATGAAGATATTTTTAGAGCAGCTTTTCAAATGGCAATTGAGTGACCAGATGGCAATCTGTTTGAGTAGCCAGCTTAGATCTATTACTAAGTCAAGTAGTGTAGTTCTTTAATCACACCTCCCTGTAATAGAAATTTTCATACAATTGGAGAGGTATAAATGCTGGTATATTTTATCTGGTAATTTATCTAGTAATTTTAATGAAACTTTTTCTGTAAATATTTTTTATCTTTCTCTGGATAACGATTTTTAAATAATTCTGTAGTCTCCTACAGTATTTGTGTTTTGAATTGACCACATGCAAATTTCAGCAAATGCAAGACTTTCTTCCCTTTTTCCTTCTAATGAAGATTAAATAATTATCGTAGTGTGAATTGTTGATGGATTTTTTTGTTTCTTTAAGACAATTTATATTTTATCTGTTTGGAAACCAAGCCAATATATACTAGGGCACCAAAATCATTAGAATTGGAGTGTGTCTATTAGACAATGTTTTTTAATACTCAGACTTGATTTTAATACTCAGTGTTTGAAAGCAATGTGGTAACATCATCTTGAATAAATTAGTTAAGGACCCATTAGAGATATGGAAAAGTGAGATGAGAAGGATGTGGAGCTGTGAGTGAGGATAGATGGGTTGACCAGACCTCAGAGCAAGATGGATCAGTGAGGGCACCTCTGTGTCATGCTCTTCTTTCCCACACAATGGGCAGGAGCCCTGGGCAAGGAGTGGAGGTAAATCAGGAAGAATTCCATTAGGAAGATTTCTGAGTGACATTTTGGACAGTGATCCTGAGATTTTGAAGACTGTAGACAGCTGTATTGGGCTCAGAGTAAAACATCAGATCTTAGTTGAATCATGTCGCAACAAATATTGAAACACTTGTAAAGCATTTTATCTTGCACTGTGGCTCTCAAACTTAGGTATGCATGGTAACTCACCTTTGGAACTTATTAATACAGATGCTTCAGACACAACTGGATTCTGATTCAGTGGCTCTAGGGTAAATCCCAGACAGCCTTTATAACAGACAGGGCTTTTTCAGCCAAGGCAGAGACACATTAGTGGTTGGAGTTAGCTGGAAAGGGTATAGGAAATCTGAGGTGTTCTTGCTCTGCTCGTTCCTCCTCCTCCTCTGTTGTGTTCTCTTCAGGGTCCAGGAACCCTGTGGTTGTCTATTTCTATACTAGTTGACACCCAGAAAACTTATATTTGACGAAATGATTTGAGTCAAGCACCATGCTAAGTATTTTCTGTGCATTATCTCGCTTAACATTATGAGAGAGATACTCTAATCCAATTTGACAGAGGAATAAGATGAGACTGAAAGAGGTTTAAAAACTCGTCCAAGGACTGTAATTAGCAAATTGTTAAGCTAGATCTGCAACTCGTGTGACTTCAAAACCTGCAGTCTTAACACAGTATACTGTAATGGTTAATAGTAGGTGGCCTTGATAGAAACATTTTACCCTTAAGTGAGGTGGTTTGGTTTTACTGCTGAAATACATCACCTGGAAAAAAGCCTAGCTGGGCTTTTTGTGTGAGGGGAAGTCTATAATACATACATAACTTAGCTCATGTTTTAGCTTCCTAGACTGGAAAATCCCTTAGAGTAGTACCTTTCCTGCAGGTCAGCTTGGTGTTTCTTTTCCTCTGTATCCACCACAGTTCCTTGAGCATTGTGAGCACTCAGAATGCATGCAGGATACATAAAAGGGGAGAGTGAAGTCTGAGGAGTTATTACCTACTCACAGTTAGGGTGTGAGGCCTGGCTCATTCTAAAATGTTATTTTCTCTATCAAAATATTAGTGCTGATAATATTCGTTGTGGGTTTTTTGTTTTTTGGTTTTGGTTTTTTTTGGTTTGTTTTCTTTTTACATTTTGGATTTGCTTGTTTCGAGGGTGTGTCAGGGTTGAAAATAATGCCTAAATTATAAAACAGTGACTCCAGGAAAAGTAGGGAAAAGGAATTACTATGTTTCAAAAGAAAGTGCAAGTGTACACACTCAGTAAACTTTGTTGTGTGTTGTTTCTGTTCTCCTTGGATAAGAACATCTTGTAAGTGTGAATGTTTCTTATATAAAGTTAGTGATATAAACAGTTAATTATAACGTCTTCCATCTTGGACAATATATAAACTGGTCCTGTGTCTGAAGTGTGTGTGTGTGTGTGTGTGTCTCTCTCTCTCTGTGTGTGTGTGTGTGTGTGTGTATCAGAAAAATCAGACGAATGTAAAGAAACGTTGAAATGTCTGATGTTCTATTTCTTAAGAGACCAGGTGAGTGGTATTTAGCGTACACTTATAAATACAAGACTTCATAACTTTCCTCTTTTTGATGGTAATATTATGGTGTTAATAGCCAAAAGGTAACCTGACCTGCTTGAATTTACTATTAGTAGTAGAATATCCTCTACTTAGAGTTGATAGCTTGACTAATGCCACTTATTCACCAAAAGCCAAATCCTAAGAGACATACAACAATATCAGGAGGTTACATGCATGTGGAGTTCTTGGGTGTACTTGGGCAGATATTTCTCTGACTTAGTATCAGACTCTTATATAAAACTGTCTTGTCATTATTGCTTTCCTTTGCTGAATGTAGACCATGACCTGATTACTAATTTTCGTAATTCTGAAAGATACATATTCCCTAATGGAATAAGGGGTTAGGGGTTAGGGTTTAGCTTCTTTCATCGTCACAGAATAAGATGGAAAGATGAGTTATCTGTTTCTAGGTAAGTGAGTGAAAAAGACGAAAGCATGTATCCTGACTAAAGCATGGTCAGAGTCAGACTTTTTGGAGTAGAACCCAGATTATTTCCCTTTTGTCTTGCGGTATGTGAGCCTCTAACAGGTAAGAAAGCTTGCAAGCTTTAATGGAACCCAGTTCAGATTAAAATCTTTGATTAAAATCTTTATTTTTCTGTCTTCAGAGACAAAACATTTGTTCTTTTGGTGGCAAGATAGGCAATTATCTTAACTGCTTTGTATGTGTAGAAAATTACCTCGGTAGCAGTTATGGGTATTTCTGTTTTTGCTGTTTCCTGTTGTTCATGCATGCTGTTGGACCCATAAGGAGTAATAAGCCTTGTGGATTAGTTGATGCAAATGCCTTCATTTGGCAGGTAAGGAACTCTGGTAAAGGAAAAGTGATTGACTTGACCAATGTTGAGCACTCTGTGTGATTAGAACCACAGACCTCTATGTACCAAGCTATTATTTAGAAACTGAGTAGTATCATATGAGTGAAATAATACCTAAAAGTATTCAAATACATTTTACAGTAGCACTTGCTATCTAAATTGACGTGCATAAACATGAAGGATATGGACTTGCCTGAAATAAAATGTGCAGTATTTCACACAGTGTTCCAACTACTTACCACCATATCACCTTCAACATGACATAATCTTGGTTGCCAAAGTAGATTGCTAATAAATTATTATAGTACATAGAATAAGACCTGGACTCTGTTCTCAAGGTCTTGTTGTTCTAATTATGGCCCATGGATCAGCAGCATTGATGTCTTTTGGAAATTTGTAAGAAATGCAAACTTACTTTATAATAGCTTCTACCCCTAAACGACTGAGCCATAATCTGCATCTTAACAGAAGTCCCAGGTTGATCCATTCGCATATTTAAGTTTGAGAAGAAGTGATGTAAGGCAGTGTTTCTTGAACTTGAGCATTCTTAAGATTGACCCAGAGGGCTTGTTGAAACATGTATACATAGATTCCTGGGCCCAAAAAGTGATTTCATAGGCCTGGGGTATGTGCATTGGGAGTTGTCTTTTCCCTGGACATCTTGCAGCTTTGGTTGGATGTCTTCCAGGGCTGGGATATTCCAAGTGTCGTTTAGGTGGTTGAACTCAATTAGTTTAAGATTGTGTCTTAGTCCATTTTGTGCTGCTATAACTGAGTACCACAGACTGGGCAACTTCTTTTTAAATTTTATTTTAAGCTCTGGGATACATATCCAGGATATACAGGTTTGTTACACAGGTAAACGTGTCCCACGATGATTTGCTGTACCTATCTAAGCCCAGCATGCATTAGCTATTTTTCCTGATACTCTCCCTCCCCCTACACAGGCCCCAGTGTGTGTTGTTCCCCTCCCTGTGTATATTTGTTCACATTGCTCAGCTCCCACTTACAAGTGAGAATGTGCAATGTTTAGTTTTCTGTTCCTGCATTAATTTGTTGTGGATAATGCCTTCCAGTTCCATCCTTGTCCCTACAAAGGATATGATCTCATTCCTTTTTATGGCTGCATAGTATTTCATGGTGTGTGTGTCTTCATTTTTCTTTATCCAGTCTATCATTGATCGACAATTGGGTTGATTCCATGCCTTTGCTATTGTGAATAATGCTGCAATGAATATACGTGTGCATGCATCTTTATAATAGAATGATTTATATTCCTTTAGGTATATACAGACTGGGTAACTTATAATGAACAGAAATTTATTGGTATCTTGGTTGCGGAAGCTGGGAAGTCCAAGAGCATGACACCAGCATTTGGGTAGGGCCTTCTTGTTGCATCGTCCCATGGTGGAAAGCTAGAGGGCAAGAGAATGTGAGAACAAGGGCAGAGAAGGCCAAACTTGCTTTTCATCTGGAACTCACTCCTGTGATAACGGCATTAATTCATTCATGAGGGCAGAGCTGTCAATGCCTAATCACTCCCTAATGGGTCTACCTATTATATTGTCACAATGGCAATTGAGTTTCAACATGAGATTTGGAGGGGACATTCAAACTGTAGCAGATCCTTTGCAACCAATTCTGGTTACTTTTACTAAGGGCTGGAGGTGGAGTCTACAGTAGTTCCACATTTATTTGTTAAAAGTTACTCTGCAAAGGACTATGGTTGATGGAAAAAACTGTTCTGTGGTTACTAGAGGTGAAAATCTGTGTAGAGAGAAATAGGCCAGAGGAATAATATGCGAACTGTTTCCAGTTAACCATTTAATGGGTTGGCTAGGGGCTTTACTGTCTTTGTCCATGGAAAAGAAAAAACAAATTGCACATCTCTGCTTTTCTAAATGCTACTTCTTTCTAAGAATTTTGATAACTTCCATCATTTCTCTAGCCAAGTACAGCCAACACATATCAGAACCCGGCGGTTGACATGGCCATTTCGTTTTTCCTTTTAAAATTGATTTAGGGCAGTTCTTGAGCAGCCAAGGCTTGGCCACCTCCTACTTTGCCTTAAGGTGTTTTTATGTGTTTATACGCTGAGAGCACGGGTACCTTTGAGGGGTTGCAAACAGTTCGGTTGATCAGTGTGGTCAGGAAGTACTGGCCCTCACCGTTGTAAGACTGCTAAATCTGTAAGACTGAGGAAACAGGAGGATTTGGATATTGGATGAGTTTCAATAGGTATGTTTGTGTTCTTGTCAAAATGAAAATTCTTTTGAGTTGATACGTATTCTTGTTTGTGTTGTAAAGTCTTAATATAGCAGTGGCACAGGAAAAATACCCCAAAAGTAAGTTTTTCTAAAGGATCTTTTTCCTGTAATGTTTAAACCATTATTTATCTTCTCTGGATGGCATCAAGTACTTGGTATGTCTTAATAGAAGGGAAAAAAGTTGCTTCATTACTTGTGGTGGGTGCAATCCTTAGCAAACTCTACTTTTTAGAATTTTGGGTAAAGCCTGGGTATGTGAAGTTTTGTTCATTTGCCCTTAATTTTCACTTATCTCCTGTAATAAAAAGTAAGTCATTTATAGATAATATAAAGTAACTGCTAAGAGAGCACGTTCCTATATGACACGTGTCAGGATTTTTAAAGCTTTACTGCCTGTAAATTTCTTTTGTTTCAGTTTATAAAGGTGTGCTTTTTGGAACAATATAAGAATTGAAAAGGTTGGATATCTTCAGTTTTGTGTTCATTTTGAACATTGTATATTATATATTAAGATATAATACCACAAAGCCATTGGATAATTACAGAAGATTTAGTTGGAAGGCACCACAGGATTAGAAGAAGAAAACCAGTATTTCATTTAGTATCCATTGTTAGCCCCGCCTCGTGTGCAGCACCTCATAGTTCTACAAAATGAGTTGTGTCTTCCGCTTTTACAGCTGAGGAAACAAGAGTGTAAGTAGATTGCCAAGATTTATTTAGAGAGCTAAGATTTAAATTTGGGGTTTTAACCTGGCCTCTGGAACCCATTCTCACCATGTACCCTGTTTTATTGAAAGCTGGGTAAAAGAGATTTGAGTCCATGCCACCATTAAAAATGAAAATGCCTGATGACTACTTCAGGGTTGTAAAGCTGTGAATATACGTTTTAATTTGATCTGCAGAATCTCGTGATAGATAGGGCAGGTGCTAAGATGCTCATTGGGATTGGGGTGAGAAGGTAAGAATCTGAATCTCAAGAGAACTGAAGGACTTGCTGGATGTAACAAAGGCTAGTAAATGGCAGAACTTGGGAGCGAGTGTAAACTCGCTCCTGGTGACTCCGAGCCTCATATACTTTCTCACACCTGTCCTACCAGTTTGTTAGAAGTGCATTTAAAAGAGCCTGGAGAAGTTAAGTGGAATATTTCAGGATTGTAACATTTCATAAAAAGGGCCGAAAACTGCGCCTTTACTTTCACTCCCCCGTCATCCTTTCTAAGCTGACTCCAGCAGGAAGCTGTGTGGAGCTGAGCACCACCTGGATGAAGTGTGTTAATAGTTAGGTTCTGATCTAATGATATTCAGTAACCCATATCTTCAGAGTTTAATTTTCTTAGGGAAAAAAAAATGAATGCCCTGCTTATTTGAACATTAATTATTCTTTTCAGTGGATTGATCCTACTTACTGTAAAGCTTTGTTGATCTTTTGGCTTATGTCACCATGTAATGTTTATGTGATTAATTTTTGTTTGCATGAAAAGGAGGTTTTACTTACCACAAGAACATTTTTAACCTCTTTGCTCTAGAGACATTTGGAGTTCGATGGAAGTATCCTGTGTGAATACCTGTGGTTTTGATAGTGATTGTCGCAGGGTGGGTTTTCTTCTTTCTGGAGGCCAACTTTGCTTTTATGATGACCTATTATCCCTGCGTGTCTGGCTCTGTCTAGTCATATGTATGGATCTGTTCTTCCTGTCTGGTCCACCCAGGCTTGGGAAGTAACTTGTCAACCCTGCCCTCAGAGCCTGCTTGAGAGGGTTGGCAAACTCTACTGGTCCTGCTGTGAATCTCTCAGGCTTGCGAGGGACGACAGATGGTTGAGCTAAACTGGGAGCCACCCCTCTACGTAATGATGAAAAATGACCAGCCTCCTGGTAAGTGGAAATCAGGACCATGCACCTTTTAATTCTAATAAACAGGACTTTGAAACAAACAGAGTGAAGAAGGAAGAGGAAACCCTTCCATAAGTAACCTGTCTTTGTTAGTACTCTTTGTACTTATTAGTAGGAAAGATCTTCACGTATGTATATACTATTGTATCCATGTAGTCACTACACATAGACTGCTGGGACTGAAAAGTAATCCCGTGTGCCCTTTTGGATATAAACAATCTCTGTAAAAGCCAAAAAATGTGAGGCAGATTACAAACATGGATGCAGAATTGCTTTCTGTACTACATGAGCAGCATGGGGCCCACTGTTCTTATGGCTCCTTCCATAGGTATCTGCCTTTCCCATAACTTCAGCTGAAGTTGGGGCCCTCAGCAGCCCTTGAGGCCCCTGCTCTTGTACCTGGCCTCAGTTAATTGAACCATTGCTACCTAACTCAGCCGACAACCAATCTGTAGCCTAGACAATGAGTGACTTGGACCAGTTACAGAGAACAGAAACAAGTTAATAGAAGGGAAAGCAGGTAGGCAGAGTAGCTGTGTCAGTAATAGTGATACACAGGAGTGAAGACCCATGAACTTGTGCTGCCTGGCATCCTTCTAGTTACTTTGGCTCCACTTATTGTCTCCCTGAAGCATGTTTTTGGGCTCTTATCCTTGTCTTCCACTTTACCACTCATATCCTTATGATGACACTCCCTTGTGTGAGCGGCCTTACATGAATCTCAGTCCATGGTCAATATAGTTTCATAGTTACAAGTGAAATTAGTCCCTGGAGTCAGCAGCTAAGCTTCAATAACAGCTTTATCCGTTCCAAACTGATGAGCTCTTGTAAGTTCTTTAATTTCTGAAAGCATCTTTATTCTTCCTCTATAATATGAGACAACAGTACCTACCTGAGAATGCTGGAAGACTTAATAAATAACAGATGTAACCATTAACATAATGCTTGGTACATGCTCGAAAGATGTTAGCTGCTGCTGTTATTATTATTAATATGTGATTCTGTTGGGGCCTTTCAACACATTAAATGATGCAAGGCTTTCTTTTGTTTTCCCTAAGCCCGTTGGAACTCTAACCATTGACTTGATCACTGTCTACACACCTGAGGCTCTTTTCAGCTGCTCTGTTTCTGAGAGAAACATCTAACCTACAAAGGGAATCCCCAAATCTCACAAGTCTCAGATTACTAAGGGATTGTCATACCTGGATAAAATCATATTTATATGCTGTCTTCCTTAAGTGTATGCCCACTTTAAATGTCTCTCTGCCAACTAATTATAAAAGGGAAAAGGAGTTTAAGACGTTCCATTCTGTTTTCCCAAATGACTGTTGTTGCTCACTGAAATGCACAAACATGCTACAGTCTTTTGACCGTATCTCTTCTCTTTTGATGACCAGCATGCTCTAGGTTCTCTCCTGCTGGCACGTGGACCAGGAGAAGTTAGCAGATACGGTCTTCTTTCTCTGGACGGTTCACCTTTGGCTCAGTGCCCTACAGCTTGTATACAGGAAAGAGAAGTAAGAAGTAGTTATTTAAGAGAACTTCCCCACTGTCTGTGCTGTGACCTCCTTCTCTGACAGCCAACTTTTTAAACAAGCATCTTAATATTTCAGCAGATGGTGCTAAGGTTTGCTGAAACAGCCTACAGTATTCCCAGTTTGTTCCCACATTTCTGGATTCTTTGTAATTAGCTCGCAACATGCGTGAAAGTGAGCTCAGATGTAACCTAAACCCATGGAACTTGGAAAAAGAAGCATCTGCCGAGAGGAGCGGGGTTGATCTTGATTTGCTTTCAGGGAGTTGCCACGGAGGTGAGCTTTATGAGATTATCAGTGGCTGGAAGTCATCGCAGCTGTGTTGTGTTGTCTGTCCTGGGTGCCCATTTGCTTCTAGTTACAAATCAAGTATTGGTTTTCATTTATAGAGACCTATGTCAATTTTGTTCCCACCCTGGTTATCATGAAGTCAACTCTGGTTTTCCTGGTTTATTATTTGCCATGGTCTCTGTTCCTACAACTTGTGCCTGTGTCTGGGGACCTCACGTAGAAGGTGTTACAATTTTAGAAAAATACTGAGTTAAATTTTGTAAACCAATAGTATATTCTTAAGAAAACCTTGTAAGGCTGAATTTAAGCCAAGTACTTCACCGTGTTAGGATCAGTGATATTATTTTCCTAATGTTTCAGCTACTTATACTTTCTTTGTCTAAGAAACATTTATTTTACAACCCACGGAGCAATGCTGGGGATGTAACTATTTCTTGATTGATTCCTGTGGCACAGCATCGTCTGCAGAGACCTGCATTATGTGAAGCAGCATCTTCTTTCCCCTTGATGTTGAAACTGGATGAAGGATCTTGTCAGGCTCACAGGTAACGCTACACAGGGTTTTGGGACCAAAAGCACTAAGAATTTTCCTTTTTCTCCAAGTATATGACTCAGAAGAAAATCAAGAAAGATATTTTTCCCTTGTGACTTCTTCTGTGCTCCACCTTTGTTTCTGCTTCTAACAGCAACTATTCTTTTAGCAGGAACTTTGCTCAGTAATGATTGTTAGGTACCTATTAAGGACTTACTATGTTGTGACTCAGGCACTATTAAATGACTTATATGCATTTTTCATTCAATCCTCACAATAACAGCACCAGTAACTACGTTATTATTTTGTTTTATAGATGAGGACTCTGAGATTATCCAGGTAGTAAGTGGTAGTTCCGTATGTTCTCTATACAACTACTCAACTCTTTCACTTACACCCAAGTCCATCATACTTCAAAAGCCTGTTGGCTAAGATTGAATGATCAGAATCTGTTAGCAGTTGCTTTTCTTAATGCCTCTACTTCTAGTTGCCTAACTTTCCCCTTATGTCTGATCTTAATATTGTCTCTTTCCTACCTGGAGCTGAACAGAACCAACCCTCTACGGCGAGCTTGTCCAACCTGTGGGGCCGCTTGCAGCCCAGGATGGCTTTGAATGCAGCCCAACACAAATCCATAAACATTCTTAAAACGTGAGATTTTTTTTTTTTTTTTGCGCGATTTTTTTTTTTTAAGCTCATTAGCTATCATTAGTGTTAGTATATTTTATTGTAACGCAAGACAATTCTTCTTCTTCCAGTGTGGCCCAGGGAAGCCAAAATACTGGACACTCCTGCTATACTAGCAATCTTGTCCAACCCGCCTTATTTTGTTTTTGTTGTTGTTTCTGTTTTGTTTTGTTTTGCTTTGTTTTGTTTTAGGCTTTTAGCAGCCTGAAGCCATGTCATACCTAGATAAAAATCATATTTATATGGTGTCTTCCTGAAGTATATGCACACTTTAAATGTCTCTCTGCCAACTAATTATAAAAGGGAAAAGGAGTTTAAGACATTCCTTCTATTTTTATATAGTTTTTCTATTATGTCTCTAGTGATAAGCGGAAAAGAGGGATGAGGAAGAGGCTTTATTGGCTCAACCAGAAACAGAAACCAAGAACCCACGGCTGTATTCCTCTCCCTTGGACACCCCCGGCAGAGCGTTAGGAATGAAATGGGGGGAAATGCGTTAAGATCAGAGTCCTAATTAACTTTGCAAATTTATGGTTTGTTCCGCGGGGAAATATTCTTTAGAATAACAAGGTCTGAATATCAAAGATGAGTTAAGGTGGTTAATGAGAAGGAGAAACATTGTTATATCTAGAGGAGAGCTACTCTTGTTAGCAGTTCAGAAAGTATTGTTCTTCCTGCTTTCTGTACATAGCAGAATATCAGGGTATTATCTTTTTCATCTAAGGGAAAATTTACTGCCAAGGGAAATTGAAGAAATTCTCTGAAAAGGAGTCCCTGAATGAGTAGTCAGCTATCCTTGTCTTCATCCTTATAATCATCTTCTGTCATAATTATTTGAGACTTCTTGTCTAAAGGGCTTTACTTAACATTTTGATAGAGAGCAAATACCTGAGGTTCTAGCCTTGGAGCTTAGGATTCCCCTCCTGAATGTTCAGCAAACCCGAATAGCAAAGGTACTCCTAAGGAATCCTCTTTGGCCAGATGGATCAGGGATACATTTCCAAAATTAGTGCTGCACAGAGAATTCTCTCTCATGGACTAATTCTTCTCCCCCTCTCTGAGGACCATCTGTCTCATGGGCAGAAGAAAAATAGGCATCTGTTCAGATTTGCAGGGTTGCCACCTGGACCTGTTCCTATAGTGTTTCCAAGCAGAGGGTTGGGATGTCTGTGGGCCAACCCAAGGCCTTAAGTACTAGGATCTTCAGTGAGGAATTACAGCATCAAGACAAAATAATTTTGACCTAGAACCAGGTTTTGCAGAGCAAGAATTAGTGAATGCTCCACCATTCTAGACCAGGGATTGGCAAAATTTTTCTGTAAAGAGCCAGGTAATATTTTAAGCTTTGCGGACCATATGATCTCTATACAACTACCCAGCTCTTCCACTGTAGCACAAAAGCAGCAGTAGATAATATTTAAATGAGTTATTGTGGCTGTGTTCCAGTAAAACTTTATTTACAAAAAAAGTGGCTGGCAGGAATTGGCCTGCAGGCCGTAGTTTGCTGACCCTTTCTCTGGATTACAAGAACTCAATCTGTATAGGAGATTTTCCCATCCAAGGATTTGGATTCATGCGATGCAGTTGACAAGGCTGCTGTTGTGAAGTCTGCACCCTTTGGTTTTGTAAGTTTGGTTTAAGATAGTTTAGCCCTGCACCTACACAGTGTTCAGTCTCTATTCGCAGTTGTAGTGATTTAGCAGTAACGTTATCAACGCAAGATGACACCAAAAGATCTCATGCTGATGCTGGACTCCCAGTGGAACACCAGGTACCTTGGAACATCCATCGGAACACATCCCCTTAGATAATGCTGCTTTTAAATCGAGTGTGACTAGATCAGTTCTTAGACATTGTTGGGTGTACTGAATAAAGTTAATCATGCTGAATAGACTGTTCCTTTACTTCTAGATTCTGCCCCTATGTGGGTTGGAGTTCTTCAGCATGAAACTAATAGCTTCCTTCTCATGATGCTGTGGGTGGTTCAGCATATCACAATCACAGTGATGGATTTAGGCCCAGTAACTTTGTTCCCTTCCTCGTTTGGCTCTGAAAAAAATACATTGAGGGGGAAAAAGCTGCAGATGTGAGCCACCAAAATAAACACACTTGTGACAGAACTTATGCTTCCTGTTTCTTGGTTGAGTTTGAATTCTTTACATCCAGACTGATGGTTAACTGTCTAGGCAAGTGAATTAGAAATTGTTTGCAAGCTAGAATGTGAATACCAGTTAAGTGTTTCTGCATTATTTTGCATCATTTCCCCTCTCTCTATTCTCCCTTGGGAGGGTGCTAATTGTGCCCACCTGAAAGTTCTGCTTTTATCTGCCCAGTTTAAAGAGGCGCATGCCTTGTTTGATATGTCTAGTATTTGCCTTTGGATTTGTGTTCAGGAATATGTGGCAGGGAGAGGCACTAACCTCTTTACCAGGTGATTGGAGGGCAATATTAACATTATAAATGTTTTATCAGTTAATTTTCTTTGATTGGATGAGTCAACAACTGGGTGACTAGTTGCGTCCCCACTTAAACCTCTCATTGTTGGAGATATGTGGAAGCATCAAACACACTCGAGAGCTTGTCTTCACTGGGAGAATTTAGTCTCAAACAACAGAGAAGACTGAATGAATAACAGAGAATGTGAGGAAATGCAGTGACATAGAGGGATGAATACTGACTTATTTTCTCCCATATTAGTCCAGTGGACTGTGTGCTTCTCGGTACCAACTGAGGTTAATGAAATTTATGTAATAGTCTCATGAAAATGGTCCATGGAGCAGTCGCTCGTCGTACTTATTTGTATATTAAGTTGACTCACTTATTGCACTCTCATACTGATGGATGTTTATTAAGCCCTCGAAGGGGCCAATATCTAAGGTGTAGGTATCTCTAAGAAGAGGAAATAAATGGAAGAGAGGGGAAAAAATTATGTGAAGATACAGTTTTCATCTTTAGTATTTTTCTTCAGAATTTGAAGAAGAGTTGTGAAAAATGAGTAATATATGAGTGAATTCAGTAGTATTGGCCTGTTATGGAAAATAGTTCATTTTTTCATGTGTGAGATTGCAGGATTTAATGACGCTCAGTAGCTCAGTAGCTGCTTAAGATAATAAGTGAGAAAGACAAGTAGAAAAGCATTTGCAATACTGAATGGTGAGTATGAGTAGATCAGGGTGTGTAGAAAGCAAAGGAGCTCACCTTAGATGTGAGGAGAGACAAGACATATCTTCCTGACAGACGTAACGTATCAACTGATACTCAGAGATAAGGGGGAATTAGCTGGGCACATGTGAAGAGCAAGGAGAGGCATGCCATGTGCAGAGGTGGTCCTGTGTAAAGGCTCAGAGGTAAGAAAGAATATATGAGAGTTAAGAACTTTCCAGTAGTTCTTTTAACTAGAGTTAGGGACAAGGCAGGGAATAGTGAGAGGCAAGGCTCACAGATATGAATAGGAGCCAGAACTTGGTAGAGAAGGCGTGGGACCAAGTTAGAGGTGCATGAATGTTCAATGTCAGGGCAGGTTTGCAGATGAGGAGTAGTGACTTAGTTTGAGCTGTATTTGAAGGAAAACTCGAGAGATGGAAGAGGACTAGGATATTAAGTGACTTTGGAGTAAGCCAAGTAAGAGGAAAGGAAAATGCCTATGGAACTGGAATGAAGAGACTTGCAAGAAAATGCAAGTATAGATGTTGATGGAGTTTGTCAGTGATGTCGAAAAGGTTTAATACAATTCCAAAGAATTCTTGCTTGCAAAACTAGCTCAATCTCGTCTTTCTAGTTTTACCTTACACGGTTCCTTTCACATGCTTAACCTCAGCCAACCTAGGCAGTTTGCGTGTCATAAATGTGAGCTTCATTTTCCACCCCGTTACATTTTTTTCTTCATCATAAATGTCCTTTTTGCACTTAGGAATCCCTGATGAATCTGGAAGGGAGAGTAGGATTTTAATGAGAAAAGGGAACCTTTTTCTCTCCGCCAAGCTTTACTTCAAATACCACCTTCTGAATCCTTCCCTGTTGGTCTAAAATCTGTTGTAGTGCCTGTATCATGGTTAGTGGGTCACACTTCTGACACGTTGACCACATATGTCTTGATTATTTGTGCCTGTTTTTCTCATTATACCTAGTAGTTTCTCAATAAAAGCATGCACAGATGTTTATTAGAATTAAACCACCCAGGATTAAATCTGTCCTGTTTACTTCTTGGCACTGTTACCTGGAACAACTTAATTTACATCTTTGAGCCTCAACTTGCTCATTTGTAAAATGAACATGATAAAACCTACCTTAGAAATTTGTTGTGAAGGGGTAGATAATGATGCATATCCAGTACTTAGTGTCATGTTTGGCACATGACAGATGCCATTATTGAGAGTTATTATAATAGCAATGTGTGGATATTGGGTTACAAGGAGCCCTTCCCATAAGAATTTCTCATAAATCACAAAGGACACCTATACTAATGGATGTCCCAGAGTGTATGGATGAGGGGACATGGAAATGATACATTCTAATGATTTTTCTCTACTTCTGGAGGTGCTGGCAGATACCTAAATCATATCAACAAGAAGTTTATGGAAAAGAGAACTACAATCATCATAAACCCAATCATGTTTTACTTGGTGTTGAAGGACATTAAAAAATACCTCCCACCTTAATTTACTAAATTATCAAACAAATCCTGTTCCCCGATCTCAGAAGACCACCTGGCTCAGTATCACAAAGCACCCTGATTTCTCCCTCATCTTGAGATGTCAGGATCCCTCAGAAAACTTCGTAGAGGTGCCCTAGTAAGTAATATGCCTCCAAAAGGAGCAAGTCTGATAGTGAATGAATTCATGTGTATTTGCTTCACTTAAAGACTGTTTAGCTCTACTTATTTCTCACATTTATGCTGAATCTTTAAAAAAAAAAAAAAAAAAAAAAAGACGAGGTCTTGCTCTGTCATCCAAGCTGGGGTGCTGGGTTGCAGTGGCATGATCATAGCTCATTGCAGCCTTGAACTCCTGGGTGCTCAAGCAATCCTCCTACCTCGGCTTCCCAAAGCACTGGGATTACAGGCACGAGCCACCATGCCCCTCCCTGTTTCTTAAAGGTTTATGATTTTATTTTACTTCTTGTTATTTAGTGGAGATTAATTGTATGCATTCTATAAACTCTTATTCAGATTTCACCTTTGTATTTCACTCAAAAAAGTGGACTTTGCCCTACTTGGATAAACAATAAACTAGCCAACTTACAGCTTACAAAGCTCCTTTTATCTTCTGCCCCACAAGTAGGTAGGGAAAATTCATGTATGAACTGGGTCTCTAGTCCTGATTTTTCTCATCTTCCCCATGGATACTTTTATGTGGCTCATAGTCTGTAGATACTTTTCACATCATGGAAATTTAGCATCTCACACAATCATCTTGAAGTGAAATCTGTTTGTGTTTTTAATCCACACAGGCAGTTTCCCATTATAATGAAGCTTTCACAGTTGAGTACCACTGATCTCTTGTGTTCTTGAAAGTGATTGGTGATCAAAATCACCCTTTTTGCAAGCAGCTACCTACTATTACTCTCCACAGAGAATAATGAATCACTACACACAGAAATATTAAGATACCACTTAGAGTATTAGAATTTTAACCACTTCATGTGGCTGAGGCACAGGGGCCTTTTCAGCCCCAACGCTAGTTTTCTCAAAATTGGTCCTGCGGCCCAGCTTTGCTCTTATGCTCTCCTGGGCCCAGGCTGCCTCCTGCAGTGTGGTGTGAAACTTAACTGTAATTTGTTGTGACTGATCCCTAATGCAAGTGTTAACAGTGGCTACTTGCCATGAGTAGGAGAGTGAGAGTAAGTGTTGTTTATCCAGACAAGAAGTGATACCAAAATGAGACTGGAGGTGTGATTCTAATTTGCACCTCCGTTTCATTTGCCCAGAGGAACTACATTTTTTTGTCATTATTTCTGAATATATATAGTGACAGGGGAAGGCTTACCAAATGCACTGCTAACAGATGTGGCAATCACACTTCTGTGTATCCCCTCTTTTTGTTCACTCATGCTTTGGTTAAATCACCTTGTGTTTTGAAGAAAAAGGCCCTTACCAGAATTGCCTGAAATATCATCCAGGTAGGAAACATAGTAATTATGCCAAAAAGCATTGTGAAACATGCTCATTGTGCTTTACTATGTTGTAATATACATAGAAGCATATAAAATACATGGCATTATATAAAATATCCATATGATAGGTGGAATAGTGTGTGTATGAGTGTCAGAGAGAGGTAGGAAAGACAGTAAAATATTTCAGACACTTTTAAGTGGCCTATTCCGAAGATTCAAAAAGCTCTGTGGAAGACTAGCCCTACAAACTGTTGCACTTTATAAGAAAAATTCAATAAGAAATTATTTTAAATTCATAATACATGTCAGAGTATTAAAAGCTCAGAAATGTGGAAAAGTAACCCATTTAACTTTTATTTAACTCTACACCGTGTACTTATTTGGTCATAGAATTTTTTTTTTTTTTTTTTTTTTTTTTTTTTTACTATCCACATGATGAATTCACTTTGGAAAATGACCACCTTTTCTGATTGTTAAGATAGACATTTCTTGCTACATCAGTCAGCTGTTGTGATCCTCTATTTTTGAACAGACTGACAGTATATTCAGTGCCTAAACAAGGTGCAGCAGCTTTTCAGTAAGAATATTCATGACGTTGTCATTATTTTTTATTGCTACAATTGACTCTAAACAGCTCTATCCTAAAGAAAACCAAAGTGTCAGTTCAGGAAATAAAGTATAGTTGGAATCAAGCTGAGACCATTGTATTTTTCACTCATGCAATTGAGGAGAGAGTGGGAAGTCCTGCTAGAAACCTAATCTTAGCAGCTGTGGGAGTCTTCACTAGTCAAATGCTGAGGAATGCATTTACCCTGTAGTCTTACTTATTAGAAAGCCATGTTGGAGGTTTTCAGGCAAATTGAGACATTTCTTCATTTCTAGCACTTACCACATATTGTGGAAATAAAGCTTTAGGAGATGCACAATTAATGCCCTCCTTCCCTTTGTGACTTTTTAGCAATATCTTACAAATATGTACTTTGAATCAAATAAAGAAGTATTATATAAAAACTGCAATACCAGCTGAACTACATTGCCTGGTAAAAATGCAGGGCTGGAAAATGTATTTCTAATGAATCAAAAGCAGCTGTGGCTTCACTGGCCAGCATTTGATCACTTTAGAGCGTGACTCATGTAATTGGTTTTCTTGCTGTCATATGACAGACATATCAACCCAACATTATATTAGAAAGCTGAAAAATAAACAGCCTAGATAGGGATGTCTGGAGCTAGGAAAGAAGAATGCCTGCAGTTTAGCACTGGTTGCTCTTTTAAAGTTTGTTCCGCAAGGTGTGGCCTTGTGAAGAGAATTATAGTCAACGGGAAAGTGCGCAGATGTCAGTCATTGTTAAATCAAGGATCTTTTACGAGAGATGTTGGCGAGATTTCACCACTGATAGTCCTGTTCACCTGTGTGAACAGAAAGTTGGGCAGGTATAAAACAACTGCTTTGTTTTTCCAAAACTTGGCCCATTACAGCATGAAATTCACATTGGCGAAGTGAAAAGGATTAAGCCTTTTTCAGTAGAGCAGGTATGAGGGGACTTTTTACTTGGTAAGAAAAACTGTTGTACAGGAAATGAACATAGTTCACACTCCAGTCACATTTTATGCAGTCAGGAACTGGGTGAGCAGAGTATCATCCCAGGCATATACAGTCTGAAGATCTTTTAAGGTTCTACATAGTTTCCTGTGATACAGCAGATATAGTCAAGAAAGATTTCCCAGGACCCAGTTCCCTGGCTTGCTGGCAGGTTTCAGATAACTGTGATTGGCCTCATTTGGGGACTTTGAGGTATATAGAGACAAATTCACGTAACTAGTGCTGACAGGTTATTTTATCTTCAATTAGGTGGTGGCATGCACCAAGATCAGATTGTTCTACCTGAGTTAAAGATGTTCCTCCTGTTGCCTTTTGTGAAGCAGGAGAGAATCAGAGCACCAGTGGAACAACAGCAGTGAGAAGCTCATCAGCTTCACGAACTGACCACAGACCAATCAGTGAATTCCTGTCCTGCTTTCACTTTGCTTTCCGTGCTATGTGGAAATAAGAGCTCTCCTCATGGGTCCAGTGTGAGGAACAGATAGCAAGCACTGATTGGGTGGAACCAGCCAAAGGTAGCTATGAATAATAGTACAAAAATAATTTTTATTAGGGAAAGGTGAAGCCGATTAGCCCTCAAATCCTCCATTTCTAAGCATAGACTCTTGTTAAAGGTTGTACCCATTAATGTTTATCCCCACCACTGATCCACCATTGTTACCCAGGGTTATTCTGATTTAGGTGCCGCAGAGGAACTGGAATGGATAAGTCAGTTCATTGAGCAAACCCATGAGACTTATCATAGTACCCAGAGCTTCAAGCTGCATGTAGCCTGGTGTTGGTGGTGGGGAAAAGTCCCTGCTGTGCGTCACATGAGGTGGTGACTTAACTGTTAACCTGAATCACCAGTGTGAATACCCAGTTAAGTAGTAAGGCACAGCCCCTGTGAGAGTAAGTCCTCATTTCAGTGATGAGTCCAGAGAGTAAGAATAGCATAAAGATGGCAGAGGACTTCACAGTGGTATAGGGGAGCAAGCATCACTTTACTGGGGGAGGGTACAGGGGGGTCTTTATCATCACCAGCATCATCTTGTTCATGCAAAGGTCATTATCTGATAAAGTGGATGGAAGTTCCAAAGAAGAGGACAGGGACTGTAAACTCTGGGCTATTCTTTATTCTGCAACATTGATTAAAAGTTGCTGTGACAGGCTCTGCCCTAGGGCTCCAGGATACAGTGAATAACACAGATGTGGTGCCTACCCTCATGAAGGTTACCTTCCATTCAGGGAAGACAGGCATGAGTAAGTAATAAAAATAATTATAGATTTGATAAGGGTTTTGAAGGGAACAAAAATAAGAGGCTGAGGTAGAGAATCATTGGTGAAGGGTGAGAGGAAGCCATTTTTCAAAGAATATTAGGGCAGGAGATATTGAAATTGAGACTTGAATGAGAAGGTAACAACATAGTAATAAACATTTGTGAAAAAGGAAACATACAAAGGCCCTAATGTGTTTGAAGAAGTTTGAGAAAAATGATGTGACAGTTCATGGTTGTGTTAGGGTTACACAGAGAAATAGAACCAATAGGAGATACATATCTATCTAGATATATACCATATATATAAAACATTTTTGTGTTTTTATGTATAAAGGACTTTATTATAAGGAATTGGTTCACACGATTATGGAGGTGGGCAAATCTCAAGATCTGCAAGGTGAGTCTGCAAGCTCCAGACCCCGGACAGCCAATGGTGTATTAATAATATGAGTCCAAAGGCTTGAGAAGCATGAGAGCTTGAGACCCAGAAGGAGCCAATGTTCATGTCTGAAGGGAGGAAAAAGTCAATGTCGTAGTTCAAAGGCAGTCAGGCAGGCGGAGTCAGGCAGAAGGAGTTTTCTCCTGTTGACTAGAGGGCCAACCTTTGTGTTCTATTCAGGGCTTCAACTGATGGGCTCATCCACATTAGGGAGTGTGTATTGGTTAGTTTTATGTGTCAGTTGGGCTAATGTAAGAGATGCCCAGATACCTAGTTAAACATTATTTCTGGGTGTATCTGTGAGGCTGTTTCTGGAAGAGATTGTCATTGTAATTGGACTGAGAGCAAATTACCCTCCCCATTGTAGGGTGGGTATCATCCAACCCACTGATGGCCTGACTGGAACAAAATGGCACAAGAACATTAATCTGACTGCTTGAGTGGAGACATTAGTCTTCTTTCCTTGTACTGGGACTTACAGCATTAGCACCCCTGGGTTTCAGGCCTTCAGATTGTCATTTGCACCACTTGTGGGACTTGTTAGCCTCTGTAATCATGTGAGCCCATTCCTTATCTCATTACAGACATACACATATTTTATATGTATAATCTCCATCTTACTGGTTCTCTTTCTCTGGAAAGCCCTGACTAACACAGAGGGCAATCTGCTTTACTCAGTCTGCTGATTCAAATGTTAGTCTCATCCAGAAACACCCTCATAGACACATTCAGAATAATGTTTTACCAAATATCTGGGCATCTCTTAAGGCAGTCAAGTTGACACATACAGTGAACCATCACATAGAGTCAAAGACAAGGAGAGGATTACAAAGTTAGAGAGGCAGGGCCTTGCAAGGCTTGGCACAGATTATAGAGTTGATTCTGATTATATTTGGGGGGTGGGCTGTTGACTATTGAAGGAGTTTAAGGAGTGATGATTTCTCTTCAAAGCCCTTCACTCTGGTGGGTGGTGACTGCTTTGAAGGTAAGATTATTGTCCAGATGAGGTGGAGGCCATGGGAGAGATGATGGGAGCAGAGACAAAGGAAATGGAGACAGTGGACCCCATTGGAGGAATATTTTGGAGGATTGGATTTGGGAAGGGAAAGGGATAAATTGAGTATAACCGAGCTTGTGAAGAAAGACTCTGCACTTTGCATTTTCTGTGGTAAGATGCAGAATATGAGTTGTCTCATCCTCTCAGTCAGGAGTCATCAAACTACAGACTCCTGTTTTTATATGGCCTTCGAGCTAAGAATTATCTTTATGTTTTTAAATGGTTGAGAAAAATCAAGAGTATTTTTTGACCTGCAAAAATTACATGAAATTCAAATTTCAGTGTCCATAAATACTTTTATGGGAACACAGCCATGCTCATTCATTTATGTATTTTCTATAACTGCTTTTGCCCTAGAACAGCAGAGTGGAGTAGTTGTGACAGAGACCATATGGCCCACAAAACCTAAAATATTTATCATCTGGTCCTTTACAGAGAAAGTTTGCTGACCTCTGTGCTAGTTTATTTAGCACTCTATGGAAAAACATGCTAGTGTTTACATGTCCAGCACATCTAACCCTTAGATACCTCTTGGCAAGGATGCTGTCCCACGTGTGAATTTATCTGTCTTTTCTCTGTAGAGCGAAGAAAGCCAACTTATTAAACGAGCACTTTGTTTGCCAGCCTTAGAGCCTTGACCTTGCCAGCAGCCAATTAAGGCGTTTTCTAAAATTGCAGATAGTGTAGAGGTGATCGGCAATGATCATGAACAAAGCCTCCTATTATGCTAGGGTTTCCACAGGTTTCCTCTGTCTTGGAAGGTACCACCTGGGCCCTGTTGGAGGGAAAACAAGTTTGAGGGCTTGTGTACCCTGAGAGTAGAGGGGCAGAGTATGAGAAGGAAGTAAGGAAAGCAGTGCTGGCAGTAGCTCATACCTCACCTTTTTTTTTTTATTTAAATTCTCCAGGGATTGTCTCCTGGCTTGATTCAGCTCTTCAGGCCCTGGAGATGAAGTTCTGTGTCAGGCACCAAGCATCTGTATGCGGTAGGCAGCTGGAGGTCACTCTCTTGATCACCTCTTGTGTGGACAAGTTTTCTTACAAGCAGAAGCCCATCCCCAGGCATCCTCTAGTGCTGACTGACGAGATAGGAGCAAAACTCATGCAACCTGCCTTTCAGATGCAAATAGAACATTCCTAAGTCCTTTGAGGCACTCTGCCAATGTGGTAAATATTCTCTAATAGGTATAAATTTGATACTCAATTTTTTGTTCATTTGGGGAAAAATTCTGAACATTTATTGTTGGATACAATTTCCCAAAACATACTGTAGGGGTTTCACTTTGTTAGGATGTATTTACACAAACGTGAAAATGACCTCATGATTTAAGATCACAGAAGCATAGAATGGCTTTTAGACAGGGCTTCTCAGCCTAACTCCCTTATTTTTAGTAAGGATTTCAGGAGTCGAGAGATTCTGCAAAAAGGCACCCTGGTTAGTGAGAAAGTCAGGGCAAGATACTGCTGTCTGTGGCCATCATCGTGCTCCACGCTGCCCCGGCGCTCTCCACACCCTCTTCTGAGAGGTGCCTTTCTGGGCTCCATGCATCTGCAAGCTCTGCTGATTCACTTTTAGTGACATGAGAGTGTGAGAGTCCTGCTGTCAGAGAAATGCCATTATAGCTTTTGATAGCTGAGATAGTGTAAGTAGGACCCAGGCTTTCACTTTTGAAGCCAGAAATGGGAGGTTTCCCAGTGCAGCTCTTGACGTTGGCGCATGCAAAGATTCTCTCTTGGGCTCAGTGAAATTTCTAGAGCAGTGTCACATCTTCAGTAAAGAGTATTTAATGTTCCTTTTTTGTCTCTGTTTACTTTCTGTTTCCATCTTCTTGACCTGAGATTCCATTTTGCCTTTGCTTATACCTCATGGAGGAATCTGAAAATAATACCGAGCAGGAAGCGTTCTTAAAAAATGGAAAAAAAAAAATCTGCTGTTCCAGCATTATTTTTTCATACTATGCTAATCATTTTTGAATACATTGTACAGATGGTAGGTTGTATTTTAGCGGAGGGTTTTTTTTTCAAGCCAAGTTCATAGACATGATCTTGAATTTGTAATGCTGTATTCCTAAGTGTCTTTTTTGGCTGTCAAAATAGTGCTGTCTTTAAAAAGTACAATGTAGCTACTCTGGGTAAGGCTGATTATTTCTGCTTTCTTTCTTTATAAAAATAAGTATTTTCTCTTATTACCAAAGTAACATTTACTAGAGAATATTGGGGGAATAAAAGCAAAAAGAGGGACAGTAAATTGGTTTAAGTACCACCCTCAATATCAGCTACACCCTTTTCTTATCCCCAATCCTCTCTTTGCTTTGGTCATACAATGAGCACTGTGATACAAATTCATTCAGTTTCATCTTGACTGTCTTTCACTGAGCCCAAGAGAGAATCTTTGCATGCGCCAACGTTAAGAGCTGCACTGGGAAACCTCCCATTTCTGGCTTCAAAAGTGGCTTCAGAAGTGAAAGCCTGGGTCCTACTTACACTATCTCAGCTATCAAAAGCTATAATGGCATCAGATACACAGGGGATAACAATACCTAGCTTGGAGGACGAATTAATAGAGGGCTTAACTGTGTGATTTTCATGAGAGACTGAAAGATCATGGGTTTTTGGGACATAGTGACCTGGGTTTTAATTCTAGAATTAAAATTCTATGTTCCATGTTACTTGCTTGCATTTTAACTATAAATTAGGATAATGGTTATTTGGGGAAGTATAATGTAAAAAGCCTCAGGTAATGCCTGGCCAGGGAGTCATATCCGTTGACATGGTAGCTGGCAGTGTTGGCCCTCACGTCCTGAGCACCTACCGTGTACAGGCTTGGCTATGGCAGACTTTATTGTAAAGGGCCACATAGTCAATATTTTAGGCTTTGTGGAGTTAAGGGGCAGAATCAAGGGTATGAAGTAGGTACTTATACGCCCATTTAAAACGTAACCATTTAAGAATGTAAACAGAAAACTTCCTTAGGTCACAGGCCATACAAGACATGCAGTGGGCCAGATTGGGCTGACTCCTGTTGTAGGGTGTCTTGACATTTACTTATAATTTTCACAACCCTAAGAAATAGTCACACTTTTTTTTTTTTTTTTTGAAGCAGGTTCTCACTCTGTTGCCCGCCCAGGCTGGGGTGCAGTGGCACAATCTTGGCTCACTGCAACCCCCGCCTCCTGGGGATTCAAGGGATTCTCCTGCCTCAGCCTCCCAAGTAGCTGGGACTACAGGCATGCGCCACCACACCCAGCTAATTTTTGTATTTTTAATAGAGACAGGGTTTCACCGTGTTGGCCAGGCTGGTCTCGAACTCCTTGCCTCAAGTGATCCACCTGCCTTGGCCTCACAAAGTGCTGGGATTACAGATGTGAGCCACTGTGCCTGGCCTTGTCACGCTTCTTATAAATGGCAAATCCCAGATTCAAACTGAGGCAGCCAGAGCCAGGAGCCGCCTCAGTTGGAACCACTGCACTCTCCTGCTGAAGGTCTGTTTTACAACTAACCGCTAGGACCCTGTTTCCCTCGTCCTGCACCTTCAGCTTTCCCCTTCTTTGCTGCCCCCACCCCCTCAACCCTGCCCTTAGGCTGGAGCTTGTGGAGCTCTCACTCCTCAGGGCCTTTTCCTGTGCCGATCTGTCTTTGTAGAATACCGTTCTCCTGGTTGCTTGGCTAACTCCTTCTTCAGGTCTCAGTCCAAATCTTAACGTCATTTGGAGAGTCCTTCCTAACATATTTGTCCTTGGGCCCTAGGTGTTCTGTCACATCATCCTTTATTCTCCAGATGCTTTGCCTGCTTCCCTCCCTGGCAGCATTTATCAGGTTCTGCAACTGTATTGTGCTTTCTCTTTGTTTATGTGTTTGTCTGCTTCTGCCCAGTGGAATATAAACTCCTCAAGGGTAGGATCAGGGCTTTGTCCTTTTCATTGATACATTCCTAGGTCCAGAACAGCGTCTGGAACATAGTAAGTGCTTAGTAAATATTTGACAAACGCCTTAATTTGCTTGCCAACTGTCGTTGTTTTTCAGAAATCAGCTTAAATTTTTCAGCGTTGGCTTTCCTGATCCCAAATCCAGGTAGATTTATTATAGTACCCCCATTATTTTCCTTGGTACCTATAAAAGCCACCTAAAATTTGGTAAACTCAGCACCTGAGAAGCAAGTCAGCACCGCTTGCATGGAGGGGGAGATACGAGGCGTGAATCTTAGTAACCTATAGCAGCCAACATTCCTGCGTGAGGCAAAATCTCATCTACAGCAAGAGATGAGAAGTCACGCAGGGAGAAACATGCCTGGCAAAGTCATTACCTGACTCCAGATGTGGTAGGAGCTGAGGGTCCTGCTTCTCAAACCTTCATGTGCTCAAGGGATACCTGGGATCTTATGCACATTCTGATTTAAATTATCTGGGGTAGGGCCACAATTCTGAATTTTTGATCTACTTTAAGATGCTGCTAAAAGCTGCTGTTTCGACAGACCACACTTATAGTAACACTCAGATCAAGGTTTCTCAACCTCGGCAATGTTGACATTTTGAGCCAAACTATTCTTTGTTGTCAGGGGTTGTCATGGGCATTGTAGGGTATCTAACACTATACCTGGCCTTTACCACTAGACGCCACTAGCTCTCCCCCAGTAGTGACAACCAGAATTGTCTTCAGACATTACCAAGTATCCCCTGCGGGGCAAAAATCATCTTAACTTGAGAACCACTGGCCTAGATGCTTCTCTGTTCCCAGTTTGCTATAACACTTGCTTGGAATCTCTGAGCCAATGAGTTTCCCTTTTGCCTGAGCTAGTTTAGTTAGATTGTTACGAGCTTGTAGTTGAATCCTGCAGCTTACATACTTGACAGTATATAGTTATTTGTGTGCTTTTATATATATTGACCGTCTACTCTGCCGAGCTCTGTAACTGTACGCTTTATGTATCTTCATTTCAGTACTTAGTGTGGAGTCCAGTCTGTGAGAGGTAGTTGATACATGCTGCCTATTGAAATTCTATAAGGGATGAGGTAATACATGCTTTTTAAAAAAATGTTATTGAAGCACAGTATACATATATACCCCAAAAACCCAGAAAAGTGCACATAAGTGTATATAGCTTGATGAGTTTTCACACTGGAAATTCCCATGTCCCGGGCCTCCAGATCAGGAACAGAGTAAGACCAGCATCCCAGAAGCTTTCCTCCATTAACTCACTCTGTAATTTTTTAAATTTCTTACAGATACAAGAATATTGACATTGGTGGACAGATAGGGCCTTTAAAATAAAGGTAGTAGAAGCGTGTTCTAAAACTTTAAGTTTCTCAAAGACAACAAAAGGTTTTATTGAATGACTAAATCCATACTCTCTAGGTCAGGAGGCAGCAACCCTTTTCTGTCTAAAGAGCCAGATTGTAAATTCCTTGGGCTTTGCAAGCCATTGGCCTCTGTTGTAACTACTCAGCTCTCTTATAGTGCTGAAACAGACAGATAATACATAAACAAGTGGGTGTGGCAGTGCTCCAGAAAAACTTCATTTACAATTAGCAGCCAGATTTGGACTGACACCCTGGTTTGCCAATGCCTACTCTATTATTGTTGAAAATGTGGCCTGTGTATTGAAATGTGAATATTCACAATAATTGCACAGTTCAGAGTATGGGATGTGGTATTAACTTTTAGCTGTTTTTCACAAAGGATCTGGTGGGGTACACCATTCCCTTCAGGCCAGTCTACTTGCCCCTTTGATGTTCTGCTGATTGTCCCGTGTGTCCTGAACTATTTTGTTCCTCCCCTCAAGTCTGTCCTGGAATCTGTTACCTTCTTTGCATGGGTTTCTCAGTCTCTTCTAATGAAAGTGGCCAAAATTTTCTTCAAGTACAGAGTCTGTTTAGTTGCTCACTAGTGATTTGCATCCAGTTTTCTTCACAAATGCATGCACCTCATCACTGATTGTCAGCAAATTGCTGTCTTGGTGTTGTATCGCAGCTCTGCCTGCCCTCTGCTCTGATTTCCTGTCCATGCTTCAGCCTCCCTACAGTAGTGTGAGAAGTTATATTCTACTCTCTCAGGTAGTAAGAGTCCCTGCCTAAATGAAGTTCAAACTAAAAGCTGTTGCCTGGATGCAGATGCCCTTTAACTTCTAAATAATTACTATCTAAAAGCCCTATCTTTATCTTCCAAAGCCCAAGGTTTTACTTCTTATTTCTTAAAACTACCATGTCTAATGTTACATGGCTACACTTATAGGAGCATTGCTGATGCTTATTTGTTCTGTTCTTGATGAAGGATTTGGAGATCAAAAGTGACATTCCTTCATTAAAGTAATTGAAATTATTTCCAGATCAGGATGTCATGGCTGAGATAGGCTAAGTTATAGTAACAAACAAACAAAAACCCAAACCTCATTGGCTTAAAATGGCATTCATCCGATTCATTAGAGATGAAAGTGAGCTATTTAGATTGTTACTCTGTTTTCTAGTAAGTTATATATAATTCGTTCCATATTTATGATATTAAGTCATCAGTACTTTGTCATTTTGCAAAGCCAGGTTTTCTGAAAGTCTACCAGAAAAAAATACCATGCCTCCTATGCCCAAAGTACCCTGCCTTGCTGTGTCTTCACTCTGGGATGCATCCAGGCTGACAGAGCAGCCTCGACTTCTAGGTGCTTCTTTTCTCTCCAGATAGATATATTTAATGAGTTACCATGTACCTTTCTATGGTGAGTGTTTTTTCCCCTTTCTTATTAACAGTCAGTCACTACCTGACTTTAAGACTTATTGTAAAACTGCAGTAATTAAGACAGCATGGTATTGGTGAAAGAACAGACAAATAGAGTAGTGGAGCAGAATAGAGACACTAGAGACCCACACAAATATTGTCAACTGATCTTTGACAAAAGAGCAAAGGCAATTTATTGGAGAAGGGACAGTCTTGCTAACAGATGGTTCTGGAACAACTGAATATTTTTGCAAAATAGTGACTCTAGATACAGACCTTATACCTTTCACAAAAATTAGCTCAAAGTAGATTATAGCCCTAAATGTAAAACCTAAACTTATAAAGCCCCTAGAAGATAACCTAGGATAAAATATAGGCAATCCTGGGTTTGGTGATGACTTTTTAGATACAACAACAAAAAGCATGATCCATGGGAAAAAGAAGTTGATAAACTGGATATTATTAAAATTTAAAACTTTTGTTCTGCAAAAGACGCCGTTAGAGAATGAGAAGAAAAGCCACAGACTTGGAGAAAATCTTTACAAAACCCCATTATCTGATAAAGGGCTATTAAGCAAAATGTATTTAAAAACCTGTTAAAATTCAACAATAAGAAAACCCAATTAAAATGGGCAAAAGATCTGAATACCAAATGATATATGCAAATGAAAATAATTATATGAAAAGATGCTTGAGATATGTTAGGGAACTGTAAATTAAAACAACAGTGAAATACCACTAGACATCTATTAGAATGACTAAAATTCACACGCTCATCATACCAAATGCGGGTGAGAATGTAAAGCAATGGAAACTCTCATTCATTGCTGGTAGGAACGTAAAATGCTACAGCCACTTTGGAAGACAGTTCGGCGGTTTCTTTAGAAAGCTAAACATGCAACCCAGCAATCAAGCTTTTAGTTATTTACCAAAATGAAAACTTACATCCACGCAAAAACCTGCATGTGAATGTTATAGCAGCTTTATTCATCATCGGCCAAAATTGGAAGCAATCACGATGTCCTTTAATAGTTGAATGGGGACACTATGGTACATCCATGCAATAGAGTACTCTTCGTGGTAAGAAACGAGCCATCCAGTCATGAGAAGACATGGAACTGGCATACTACTAAGTGAAAGAAACCATTGTGAAAAGGCTATATGCTATATGATTCCATCTATATGACATTCTGGAAACGGCAAAACTATATAGAGACAATAAAAACATCAGTGATTTCCAGAGTGGCAGGGGGTGAGAGGAACAGAGAGATGAATTGGTAGTCAAGGGATTTTTAGGGTGGTGGAACTGTTCTGTATGACATTAAAGGTAGCTACATGACATTATGCATTTGTCAAAACCCGTAGCATGTGCAACACAGTTAATCCTAATGTAAACAATGGACTTAAGTTAATCATATATCCATAGTCGTACACGAATTTTCAAAATATACCACATTAATGCAAGAGGTTAATAGTAGGGAAAACTGCATATATCAGGGTGGGAAGGAGGAGTATATATACTTTCTACACATTTTCGCTGTAAACCTAAAACTGCTCTAAAAAAGTCTTAATTTTTTAAAAACCTGGATACTTACCTTTTCTATACAGCTTTATCAAAATAAGGTTTTGAGGGATTTTCACATGATTTTGACTATCAAAATAAGGTTTTGAGAGCTTTTCCTATGGGAAAATTGCCACATCTTTAGTCACTAGCCAGTGTGACAACTGTCTTCACCTGTCAGAGACCTTTTCACTTTTTGGATGGTTCTCCTGCGTATCGTTGCTTGACAGCTAAGCTCTGGATAGATGCGATATTAACTCTGTATTTGTTGTCCTTTCTGTTCGTTTTTTCTTCTCTCCTTCAATATGAATTTAAAAAGAGACATGAGATAGAAATACTCTGTGATTAATGTCTAATAGGGATGTATAAAAAGTGATGAAGTGTCTAGATTTGTAAAGGAGTAATTTGCCTAACTGAATATGTCGTTTTTGGAAACGATTACCCTGGGTATATTTTAGAAGGTGGGTTAAAAGTCATCTGTACAAAACCTTGGATTTGAGATGTAATAATCCAGTAACTTGTAAACTTAATCTACCTATTACTGGTTCTTTGCCTTCCTTAACTACCACATCCCTTAAGGGGAAAAGTGTATTCTCTACCTGGTACGTGGATGTTTTTCTCAAATCACAGTTTTAACTCTGTCTGTGCCTACCAGACTGTGATTTTCCATTCAGGAAATGCCTTCGGAATAAAGTCCAGTCTCCCCAGCAAAGGTACTAACATTGTTGGGCAGTGGTATTAACATTATTGGGCAGTGGTACTAGTGTGTGAAGGGTGTTGCTGAGAGTACCAAGCCTGCAGTTACGGCTCCCCTGCCTGTACATGGAGCCCCGTCCCTTACTTCTTGCCACCACTGCATCCCCACAGGGCCCACAATCATCGGACACCTTGCGGCTTTTGCGTGAGCTTATTCCTGTGTTTGGAAACGCCCCTGCCTTGTCTGTACTTCAAGAATCAACTTAAGCTAGCTTCATTCTCCCATTTCCACAAAAACTTCCAGAACTCTGTACACATTTCATTCGTAGGACTCAGGACTGTGCATCATTGGATTTTTGTCTAGTTACATTGTTTCCTTTACTTGCTGAATTTTCAGGGTGAGTCACTTGTTTGTTTTCTGTCATGTTTTGAGTACCCAATGTGTTTTTGTTTTAACTGAATCAATACATAAGTTAACAAATAAAGCAAAACCAATGTATAGTAAAGCTAATGCTAGCTACTGCAAGAAATCAGTGCCAATCAAATATATTTATTCCTCCAGGCTCCTTCCATTTTGTGGCTCTGCCGGTCTTCTTGAACACATGGCTCCTGAGGCTGGGGTAGAGAAAGGTAAGGAATGTGGAGAATTGTTTCTTTGGGGGCATATGGGCCAGACCAGGAAACAATGCACATTATTATACTTGCATTTGATTGGCCACAGTCTTAGTTCAACGCTAACTGTAAGTGAGGCTGGGAAATCTAGTCTAGCTGTGCACCCATGAATAAGACAAAACGGGTTTTGAACAGCTAGCAAGTCTCTGCCACAACCTTTATTTGAAATTAATCGACATTGAGATTTGAATTCCCATTACTTTACACTGAGATAGTAATATACTTTTTAATTTAATTTTTTTTTTTGTTAGATGTGTGCTCTTGCTCTGTCACCCAGGCTGGAGTGCAGTGGCACGATCATACTGCAGCCTTGACCTCCTGGGCTTAAGCAGTCCCCCTGCCTCAGCCTCCCAAGTAGTTGGGACCACAAGTACATGCCACCATGCCTGGCTAATTTTTAAATTTTTTATAGAAACGGGGTCTCCCCGGTGGCTCACGCCTGTAATCCCAGCACTTTGGGAGGCCGAGGTGGGCGGATCACGAGGTCAGGAGATCGAGACCATCCTGGCTAACACAGTGAAACCCCGTCTCTACTAAAAATACAAAAAAAATTAGCCAGGTGTGGTGGCAGACGCCTGTAGTCCCAGCTGCTGGGGAGGCTGAGGCAGGAGAATGGCGTGAACCCGGGAGGTGGAGCTTGCAGTGAGCCGAGATTGCCCCACTGCACTCCAATGCAACTCCAGCCTGGGCAACAGAGCGAGACTCCCTCTCAAAAAAAGCAGCAGGGTCTCCCTGTGTTGTCCAGGCTGGTCTCAAACTCCTGGGTTCAAGTGATGTAAGCCACTTTTATGTAGAGCGTGGTATAGAGTGAGGTATTAGGAAAGGGAATTAAGTCCCTCTTGAAGAAACGTGAGTTATTTAGATTGTTACTCTGTTTTCTAGTAAGTTATATATAATTCGTTCCATATTTATGATATTAAGCCATCAATACTTTGTCATTTTGCTACGCCAGGTTTTCTGGAAGACTACCAGAAAAAAATACCATGCCTCCTATGCCCAAGGTATTCTTTGGCATAGAACTACTAATTTTATCACTATATGACAATAACACTGCCTCGTTGAATTAAATGATGCATGTGTTACATTATTTTTGGAGGATTAAGGAGTTCTATAAGTGTGTTTCTCAGTGGCACTAGTGTTTGAAGGAAATGGTTTTTTAGATTTCAACATTGTAAGAGAATTAGAATTCAATCAGTATGATAAATCATTGAACTTGCTGTTGAAGGACCTAAATTTAAATTAAACCTTTAAATGCAATAACTTCTTTTCAATTCTGGTACTACTTGGAGATCATGGAGCTCTTAAGTGGAATGAATTTGATTCACAAGTACAGCAATTGTTCCTTCAATTGCCGATGTTTCCCACAGTATATGTTTTATTCTTTCAAAGTTTAATCAATAAGCTTAGTGAGTTGCCTCTTTCTCACCTGTTTCTTATATACAACGTTCTCTAGTTTCTAGATTTGTGGGGCTTTTTGTTTGACATCAGGATTGTAGGTGTGGACATAATTGTGTCAGATGCATATTTTATTAATTTCCTAGCAAGAGAGATGATTTTAAACATCAAGCTAAGAATCTCAGGAAATGATGTGTTTAATAATAAACGGACATTATCCCAGGTATTCACGTGACCAGATTCACGTCTGTCAGATTTAGTTAACACACTTCAACAGTGCGACTAAAAGGAACTGCACCCAGAGCTTGCAAGCCAGTGCCCTGCTCATCCCTGCACCAGGGTGGAGGAATAGTCACCAAAGGTGGGGATTGTCTTCAAGATCCAATCAGCCAGAAGGTCTGTCTCCCCAGCCTTGCAGAAGTCAAGACCACTTGCCTACTTGCGACTGGGGTATTGCATTGGTTTTCTATGGCTTCTGTAACAAATTACCACAAACTTGGTGGCTTAAAACAACTGAAATTAATTCCCTCACAGTTCTGGAGGCCAGAATTGTGAAGTGGTTCCACTGGGCTAAAATCAGTGCTTTCACAGAACCACACCTCCCCCTGGAAGCCATTCTTCTCACAGTCTCTAAGGGAGAATCTGTTCCTTCCCTCTTCCAGCTTCTGGTGGCTGCCCAAGTTCTTGGCTTGTGGCTGCATCACTCCAGTCTCTGTGACCACAGGCCTTCTCTTGTGTCACCACGTTGCCTTCTGCTTCCCTATTATAAGAACACACCTGACTATATCTAGAGTTCACCCAGATAATCCAAGATAATCTCCCCATCTCATGATCCTTAATCGTATCTTCAGAATCCTTTTTAACATATAAGGTAAGATTCACTGACTCCAGAAATTAAGACATGGATATCGTGTGTGTGTGTGTGTGTGTGTGTGTGTGTGTGTGTGTGTGTGTGTTTTGGGGCCAGGGATGGGGAGGGGGGGTTGTTGTAATTGTTATCCAGCCTACCACAGATATTAGAAACTGTTCCATAAATGACTGTTCTGAAAGTAAATTATTGGCTATAATGCTAATGGTTTTCTTTTTTTTCCTCATCCAAGTTCTAGTTAGGTGAAAACATAGCTCTCTAGTAGTTTGCTGCACATTTCCTGTGAAAGTGAAGATTCTCCTTTCTTAATGAAGAGCAGCTCATATATGATGACAAAACAGAGGCAAGGTTAGCACTTTTGGGACATGTTTCATATTTTAGTTTTAATTTCTGATCTAGGTTTTCTGTATTCTCTGGTTGGTTATGACGATAAAAATCATGGCATTGTAACTATTTATGTTATGAAATATCCCCTAAGAAAATATATTAGACTACCTTTTAAAATGATACTTATATTTATTTTCTGATTAGAAAAGTTATAGCTCATTTCAGGGAATTTACAAAATGCAGAACAGCGTGAAGAAGAAAGAACTCATAATCTTAACCTAGAAAGGACTAGTGTTGATATTTTGGGTTCTTTTATCATACGACATTTGTTGTCTCCCTAGAGTGTTAAGCTATTGTTATACCATTTGTCCAGACGGATTTGAAACACCATCATCATTATTATAGGGAAACAAGTTTTTTCAAATGCAGTAAAACTGAAGAAGCAGAGTCGTTGTTAAGGCTTAGACTCTACTTTCTTCCTCGGTTGAAGACATAGCCTTACTGACCTGAATTTACAAACAGAGCGTAATATTTACAGATGCTTCTTTTAATGGAAGTCCATCAACTGTTAGTGTAAATTCTTCCTGAATACATCTTTAAGCTATTTTCTTGCATGTTTGAATAGAACTTAAATATTGAGAGATGTACTGAACAGGGAACAAAAGTTGATGAACAAATAAGTTTGGGAAATAGTGAATACACACAGTCACACACACATTTTAATAAAAGTCGCAGCACGTATCAGCGTATTAAAATATCAGAGACTTTCCAAAATAATGGAGCTTCTTAAATCTAGAGTTCCCCCCAGCTGATTGATTTTTTTTTCCTAATCCCTATAACAAGAAACTGTGGAACAAAATTTGTGAAGTAAAATAATAATTTAGATAAGGGTTATCCAAATGTTTTTGGTAAGAAAAGAGTTTGGTTGGTCAAAAAAGGATGTGTGTGTGTGGATGGATGAGTAAATAGAGGTGTGTGTGGATGTATGTCTCTATATAAATATTTTTATTGCCACCCTTGCCAAAATAAGTTTTTAAACAGTGGCTTATTTGAATCTGGTATCATGAAAACCTTATTAAAGATATCTTACATTCTAACACATTAGATGGCTTTTCTCTGCCCTTGGGAGAATTTGGAATTAAAATCTAGGAATAGTATCAAGCAGAGTGAAAGTTCAAGGGAAGAGTGAAAGAGATTTGTATTTTTTTTTTTTAAATGTGTGAAAGCCTCCCGACCTCTCCCACCAAGTGTCATTATGGCCTGAAGCTGAATTACTTCTCATCTGATTAAATCAGAACCAGATTCTGATACTTCCTAACTGCTGTGAAGTGCAGATTTTTAAAATGTGTTAAAAAAAAAAAAAAAAAGCAAGAATGTAATCCTAGTAGGAAACAACTCTCTTAGATAAATTAGCATTTTTAATATCATTTTACAACTTTGCAACATACAAAATTATTCACCCCCTTTATGTAACATGTAATTATTAACCGCCTGGTCAGAATATGAGCATTAATTTTGAAATTGAGGTTTCTACGTTTCTATCCATGAAGGTTTGAGAAATCGTAGGCATAGGTGGAAAACCATACTAACCTTGTTTTAGTGTCGGTGGTCTGTCGAATCTGAGATTTGGTGACTTCAGTAATGTCATTAAACTTTTGGTTTTTATACTTACGGAATAGAAAAGGGGCTCAGTTGATAGAAACAAGGGGGTAATCCAGAAATTGGGTAATCGAATTTAGGAAGCAGCCACAGGTATGCATTTTAACATTCTCTTTTCAAGAATATTCTCTCAAATATTTGGGGAGTGAAAAGTGTGGTTTCTCTGATGGGTTAAAAATGTAAAAGCCTGAGGCCGGGCGTGGTGGCTCACACCTGTAATCCCAGTCACCCCTGTAATCCCAGCACTTTGGGAGGCCAAGGCGGGTGGATTACCTGAGGTCAGGAGTTCCGGACCAGCTTGGCCAACACGGTGAAACCCCATCTCTACTAAAAAATACAAAAATTAGCCCGCGTTCTAGTGAGCCGAGATCACGTCATTGCACTCCAGCCTGGGCGACAAGAGTGAAACTGTCTCCAAAAAAAAAAAGTAATAGCCTGAAAAGAGGAGTAGAAGAGGCCATTATAATTTAAAAGCCCATTGCTACTAGATGATTTTACTTGGCTTGGCTTATGTATCTTCATCGCTGTCCTGTAGGGCAGTGGCTTTCAGGAATACCAGGACTTCAGCAGCACCTGATGTGGTGTTCAATTTTGGGTGTCAATTGGACTGGGCCATTATGCCCACTTGTTTACTCAAACACCAGTCTAGATGTTGCTATGGAGTTATTTTTTAGATGTCATTGATATTTAAATCAGTAGACTTCGAGTAAAGCAGATTACTCTCCATAATTCTGGTGGGCCTGATCCAATCAGCTGAAAGCCTTAGGAGAAAAGATTGAGAAACCCAGAAGAGAGGAATTCCGTTCCAGTTTACCTTCAGACTGAAGACTGGAACAGTGACTCCTACTGGAATTCCACCCTACTGGCCTGCCCTGCAAAATGTTAAACTTGCGAGGCCCACAGTTGTGGGAGCCAACTCCTTGAAATCAGTCAATCTCTCCCTTCTCTCCCTTTTTCTCTTTACACACACACACACACACACAAACACGCACACACACACACACCCCTATCCACCCACCCACCCAGTTGGTTCTCTTTCTCTGGAGAAACCTGTTAAACTTGAGTGCTTATTAGAAATGCAAATTCTTAGACCCCACTCCAGACCTGGTGAATGGAAGTGGGGTGGGCCCCAGCGGTCTTCTTTAACAAGCACTCCTGCTAGTGCTGGTGGCCCCCAAGCCTGAGGGCCACCGTAGGCAAATGAAAGAAGCCCCCTTATACCATTGAGGAAATTTAGGTTCTGAAAGATTTAAATAACATGCCCAAAGTCATCCAATTGGTTAATAGCGTCAGCCAGATCTATTCTTGGTGCTTTCAGAAAGATAAAATAATATCCATTGATACCTTAGTAATTTTTGAATCTGCTTTTATATAATCGTTCATTGTTATGATGCCCATTTTCCTTAAGGAAAAAAATAACATGAAGGGACCCAACTATATCGATATGGTATGTGAGAGCAGTGATTCCAAATCTTTGTACCACCAGGTATCACTTCTATTATTTCATGTAATGAGAGATTTTTGTTGACTAAACAAGCTGCATTTTACAGGGATATTTATTTGGCCATACTGCAGCTCCAGGCTCCTGACTGGCACGAGTTGGCCAGTGCTGCTAGCTCAAGTGATGCATCGCAGCCAAAAGCAGAGAGGCTTGATGTTTTAATTAGCCTGGAAACCTAAATGTAGAATTTTCTTTAGGCATTTTGAATATTGAACATAGCTACGGACTTTTCATTACTATATTATAGTTTTCCAAAACACCTGGAGACCCTTGTGGGGTATCTTTGCTCTAAAGAATATTTTCAGGTATAGATGCTTAGTGCTGCCATATGTACAGCTAGGATGTATTATAAGGGCATAAAAGATAAATTCCCAAATCTTAGTAGTACACCACTTTTTCATTCACCAGTTCTGGTTTAGGTGGCAGCTCTCCTGCAAGCAGTAGATCAGAGACTCATGGTCGGTCTTTCTGTCTTGAGGCTCCATGGCCATCAGCATGTAATTTCCAAGGTTGCTGGGCAAGCAGGAGAGTGTGGCAGTGTTTCCTGGTCAGGCTGGCACGTGGTGTTCATCATTTCCATCCATATTCTGTTGGCTGGAACTCAGTCACATGGACTCATCCAACTGCTAGAGAGGCTGGGGAATGTCGTCTGATCGTGTGCCCAGGAACAGGAAGAAATCAGTTTGATGATCAACTGGCAGTTTCTGCCACCTGCGGCTTCAGTGCTCTGATTGTTGGTAGTTTTGTGTTTCTGCCCATGATGGATTTATGTCCCTTCCTGATAACCACAGTGTGGCGGATATGAGTGGTGGTAATAGACTTAGGCGTTATTAATGCCACCTGACTCTTTCTGAGTCCTTCCTAGCTTGTGCAAACAGAGCCACAGAAACTATAACTCAGATTGTACTGGCTCTTGCCCACACCTTCAGCTGGGATCTTCTACCATTCCTAGGTTTTCATCTCTTTATATCTTATGGACTAGTTTATTGGCAATACTTACCATATGGCCTCTATCATCATTTTGCTCTCCCACTTCATGTGCACTCCTACTTCTCTTGCCACCATTTAAATTCACTGCCTGTTTAGTCATCTCAGGGTACCCCAGTACTACCACTGTGCCAAGAGAGTACTGTCTTTTGGGATCCATAGCCACTGTCCCCCTAGAGGCTTGAGTGGTACTGTATTAAGAGCAGAAGTAAGGAGAATACCCTTTGTCTTAGTTATCTGTTGCTATGAAACAAATTATTACAGAGAACTATAATTTATTTTTCCTCCCAAGTCTGGGTTGATCAGGGTGACTGAGCACTTATTCTGTTCCATGTACTTTTGGCTTAGTCACTCAGGTGGCATTCAGCTGGAAACTTGGCTGGAGCAGATAAGTCCCAGATGGCCACATCCTTCAGGGCTTCTCTCCATGTGACCACTCATCCTTCAGTAGTCTGCCCTGGCTTTCCTTTGAGCTTGGCTGCAGGGCTCTAAGAAAGAGGCAGCCGCCAGGTTTCTTAACCTCTTGAAAGTCTTTCATCACTTCCACTGCATTTTTGTTGGTCAAAACAAGTCACAAAGCCAGCCCAGAGTCTAAGAGAAAGGAAAAAGGTCTTGTGTGTTCAGGGATGGGAGGAATTGTTGGCGACTATCACCATGTCTTGTCAGCCTGTCTACTTTGCAGCTTGTACCTCAGGGCTGTGCTACCTGTATTGCAGTATGTCAGTCACTCATTGAATGATTCCTTCTACCACCAGTTTAACCATTCTCCGGAGGGTTCAGGCTACTGCCATCATCTTGATAGCCTCAATTCTGGGAATGTGAGGTATGCGGAGGAAATAATGAATGAAACAGTTTGGCTGGTGCTGAGAGTTTGTGTTATGAGGGTAGTGAGCTTGAAGAATTAAGCAGTTCCTGAATTCTAGGCTAACGGGCTGGGGAGCTTGAAACCAGTGGTGGTAAATTGGAGAATAGTCTTTAAGGAACATGAATCCCACAACGATGTATAAAGAAGATTGATTTGTGACTTAAATAATCGTAAATTTCAAAATTGCTGAAAAAGAGTAGGTCTTAAATATTTTAGCACAAAAAATAAGTGTGTGAGGTGATGGATTTATTAATTAGTTTGATTTAATCATTCTATAATGTAAACATGTATCAAGACATCACAGTGTACCCATATAATACATACATATAGTTTATGTATACATAAATACAATTATTTGTTAATTAAAAATTAAATTTTAAAAAGCATATATTAAAAATAACATTTTAAAGATAAGTAAATATTAAAAAGAGGGTTGAAGGGTAATATCATTGGCCATAGCCACCATATGCAGACATGGAATGAGCAGTCGTCCATGGACTACAGGGAGAATAGGAAGGCCTAAAAGAAACAGTCATGAAAGGCAAAGGAATAATCACTGTGACTCTGAGATGATGTGGGCAGGCAGAAAGAAAGCAGGGGAGGCTGGGAGCAATGAACTCTCCCATAAATACCAGTTAAAAAATATTGGTAGCAGAGAGGTCTGAAGTTAATATGGAACACCAGCACTAATTGGAAATAACTGAGGGACTGTTATAATTATTTAAATCCTAGTTTGGTCTTGTGGGGGGTGGTGGTAGATTTGCTTTATTAGTCAGCTTAGAATGTGTTATCCCATGGTAACAAACAGCCCCATATCTCAGTGGCTTATGGCAACGCAAGATAACTTTCTTACCTGTATTTTGGCTACGGCAGGTTAGCTCGAATCTGCTTCACATCTTTTTGCTGTCCAGGCTCAAGAAGCATCTCCTATCCAGAGCATGCCTGTCTCAGGGTGGAGGAAAAAAAAAATTGATGGAAGCACATGATAAGTCTCAAGGTTTTTGTTGGGAGTTGTACGTGTCCCTTTCGCTCATATTTTATTTTTATTTCATGAGTCAAAGTACGTCACATCATTAAGCCTGATGTCTATGGGGACAAAAATTATACTCCTCCCATAAAAAGAGGCACCAGGAAAGGGTCACTAAGAAGGGGCAGTGGATATTTTTGAATAAATAGTGTAATCAGCCACAGTTGCATTTTTTCTATTTATATTACACAGATATGAAAAATCATCATAGAAAATACAGAAAAGCACATGGCAAGTATTTCCAATCACCCCCAAAATTTCTCTCACTAGAAATAACTCCTGCTATTAGTATGTTGATGTAAATATCTTCAGACATTTTTCCCTGGGTAATGTTTATAACAGAATCAAATGATATGTACTATCCTGTAACTCACATACTGACTTAATGGCACATGATGAACATGCATCCACATCAATAAGTCTTCATCTACATCCTAACTCATACCTGTCCTCTGGAATTCCACTGTATGAATACACCATAATTTAATTGTTGGACATGTATCTTTAATAAAATGTTATAAGCATCCGATATGTACATATTTTGCACATTTAACAGACTATTGCTCTTGGATAAATTTCTAGCAGTGAAATAATTGAAAGGAGTATCTTTTAAAAGTCCTTTTTGATACATCATTGACAGATTTTATAGCTTATTTGTTAAGGCCCACTCTTTCTTTTCCGTCTCCTACAATGGAGTAGTGTTACCATAGCAATAGAAAAAAAAATTCAGCACTCTCATAGAAGTGCGTAATTTGTCTTTGTCTTCATTTTAACCCAACAAATTACATTCTGTGCCAAGGTTGGCACATAAAATACCTGAGCAGAGCTTCTTGGGTTAAGAGGTCAGTGCTCTCTGTGAGGTGACCTCCACCATCTCTGGTTACCGTTTCACAAATTGGCTCCCCTGTTGTCTGCTGGGAAATGCTTTGTCAGGAACAGTTGGTCAGACAAGTTGTAGTCCGTGACTAATAGGTGTCCCATCAGCATGTAATTTGGAAAATGATCAGTCATAAACAAGGCAGTTTATGGAAAGATGAATTAATTTTCAAAAAACATTATGGTAGATTTATTTTGGGATCTGAAACATTTCTCACGATAGTTAGAAAGCACAATACAAGCTAACTGTCATCTGGATTTTGTTGAAGAGAGGGAGAAAATCGATGATGATGAAATGGTTAATTTAATGATATTTAGTCCACACTCCAGAGAGGGACTGCTATTATAAAAGCTAACTCCGAAATCTGGATTTGGAAATGGGTGGTTGAATGAAGAGATGGTCATAGATGGTCAGATGTAACGTGTGAGGCATCCACGTGAGGTCCTCATGGGGTGAAGGGAAGAATGCTGCACTTGGGGAATGGGGAAGGCAGAGGTGAGCATCAGAAAAGCATCTTGGTTATCCAGCTGCCTCCATTGGGCTGGGAAACCCTGAAGCTAGACTTATACAACTCTTCAGTGTTGTTACCTAAAATACCAAGTTGCCTCTTCTGTATGGCAGAAAATAAATTTACATTTATATTGTAAAATGCAGTTTCATGTGGTAACTGGAGCAAGAGCCATCACACCACATTCTTATCTTGCTTACCTTTTTTCCTTAGAGAAGGCAGGGTAACAAGGGGTGGGGCGTGAGCTCTGGAGAAAGACAGAGGAGCTTGAGCTTTGGCTGTGTAACTTTCTAACTGTGTAACCTAGGCTTTCACCTTTTACCTCTAAGCTTTCCCCTTTACAAAATGAGACATAGTAGCAATGTGTACCATATATACATATATATATATAGTGGCATCAGTCATTAATCATATATATATATAGGGGCATCAATCATTAATCATATATATATATATATATATGATTTTTAAAAATCCATACAACACACAGTAAGATCCCTGCCTGGCACATAGGGAAAGGTGAGTAAATTGTGGCTATTTTTAATCAATATAATGGTTACAATTTTTTTCAAAAAGCGGTAGAATACTCTTAAGGGGTTAGATTCCTGTGGTCAAGGGCAATTCCATAGCCCTCAGTATCATGCTCATGGAGATGGTTTTAACTGAAACCTTAAATATTTCTAGTTGTCCTGATTTTTTGGTGCTGTAAAAAAGCACACTTCAATATTTTAGTGAATTAGTACGTGAAATTTATGTCTTCACATATCAGTGAAACGTGGGTGCTGCTGGACAGAGGATACTTTACTTCACATGGTGATCCAGAATCCAAGCGGCTTCCTTTCGTGGCTCCACCATCACTTAAGACCCCAAATTTCATCACGGCCAGCAGAGAAGGGAGAAGCATATAGGGGCTCTATGAGGAAGTTTTTCATGGGCCTGGCCTGAAAGTGGCACACATCATCTCTGCTCACATTCTGTGGCCTAACATTCACTAGCACACCTTATTGCAAGTAGGGTAAATAGAACTTCAGAGTAGGCAGTCACTTCCTGGCAACAACTCTACATTATAGAAAGGGGGCATGAATTTTGGAGAATAGCTGACTACCTAATGTATGCTGTGGTTCTAAAACATAGTCAAGCGAAGGCTGAGATCTTTTTGGTGTGTCACCAAGTTTTTAAAGAAAGAAATGATGAGATTTGGTGATAGAGGAGAGAAATAGGAATGAAGAATGATTTGAGGATTTTAACTGGTAAATGTAACCAGGCTGCTGATCATACCATTGTAGGAAAATGTACCATTGGCCAGGACAGCACGTTTGTGGGAAAAAGAAGGGTGTTTGGGGCATAAGGAGTTTGAAGTGACTGTGAGATGTACTGTGGGATTTGAAGTGACTGTGAGATGTACTGTGGGAGTCTTCCTTAGGCAATTGGTAAAACAGGCTTAGAGCTTCCGTGTGTCCATTTTTCCTAAGGAGGACAAGTATGACCTGCCTTTACATTTGCATGTATCATTTTAGTTATTGAGCTGTCAGAAAATGATTCTCAGAATTCACTATTTTGTGATAAGAAATGCCCTACCCAAATGGCAGGGAAAGTAGGCTTTTGTTGGAAAGATTTTTTAGAATGTGTGTTTTCGAGAGGATCATGCCTAATATACCTTGGGACTGTATACACTGTTACATGATTAATGATTCATGCCACTGCTGCCCAGAAAGAGTGAGTCACTTTGGAATAGAAGAGACCACTTGAAGAATGTAGATCCAGAAACTCTAGGTAAGCAATCCATGTTAGTTATAGTGTCATATCTGGTATCTGCACGCTTTTTATGGTATTTTGATTAAGTTGGCCTTAATGTGGGACAGCATGACTAGCTGCTTTATTTTATTTTATTTATTTATTTATTTATTTATTTATTTATTTATTTATTTTGAGGCAGAGTCTCACTCCATCATCACCCACGCTGGAGTGCAGTGGCGTGATCTTGGCTCATTGCAACATCCACCTCCCACACCTCCCAGGTACAAGCAATTCTCCTGCCTCAGCCTCCCTAGTAGCTAGGATTACAGGCATGTGCCACCATACCCAGTTAGTTTTTATATTTTTAGTAGAGACGGGATTTCGCCATGTTAGCCAGGCTGGTTTCCAACTCTCGTTCTCAGGTGATCCATCCACCTCAGACTCCCGAAGTGCAGGGATTACAGGCATGAGCCGCTGCACTCAGCCTAGTTGCTTTTATTTAAACAGCATTTGTCGAACTCACACTACAGGGCAAGAGTTTTCTTAATCCTCAGATTCTGTAAAAAAGTGTTTATTACCAGCAGCAGTCTTTCTCCATAGCTTCTTATCCAGATACCTCACTTAATCATTCATCCAGAAGGAGTATTTTCTGTAGTATAATTTCCACTTCTTTGGTACTACCTGTATTTAATTCAATATGCTTTTAAGGCAAAGTACCAGTGAGTTTCTTGTGCTTGAGAATCTTCCACCTTGGTGTTCCCAAGCCATCTTCATCTTGGCAAAATCACTTGATACATTTGGTAATCACCTTGCCTTTACCAATTCAGTAGGTTTTTTGTCTATATTGAAACGTATTTAGTGGCGCTGAGGGTCTTTTCTAGATTTCAGATGGAGAAAAAAAAAGGTACAGCTTGATCTATATTACTGCACTCTTTTCCTGTTATGATAATGTAGCCATTGCTTCATTCTGTAAACATTGATGACACATTTAGTTACCAGGCAATGAGCTAGGTGCCAGGGATGCAAAGATTACTGGGGCATGGCCAGTACCCTCAGATAGCTTGTGGCTTTTTGTTTTTTGTCTTTTAAAGGTGGGGTAAGGGGAGTTGACCTTCGATCAAATATGTACAGCAAAGTGCTGTGATAGGAGTTAGCAAGCATAGGGTACAGTGGGGCCCCACAAAATGGTTCATTCTGCCTGGAAAGATAAGGAGACTGGAAAGAACTTTCTATCAGAGGAGGCTGTGAGCGAAATGGTGGCTTGGTGTTGAGCAGGCAGGCATAGAGGACATGGGCATTTCAGGTTAAGGGTCAGTGTGAGTAAATTTATGTGACTCTGAAATTATGTGTGGGAAAGCAAATAGTTCAGCTGACTGGACCATAGCTTAGGTAGGGGCTTAGCTGGAGTTGAAGCTTGATGTGTAAATAGGTGCTACATCTGGGAGGAGTCTGTCCTTCATGCTAAGGAGCTTGGATTTTATCTTTTGGGCCATAGGGAGCCACTGAAGGAAATTAAGCATAGGAATGACATTACTGACTTAGAAAGATCACCGTGGCAAAGGATGGAAGAACAAACTTAGCAATTCATATTACGTTTTATTTCTGGACCACAGAGGTTGGGACATGTATTTCCATGTGTTTGAAGTATTATCAAACATCTTTTGAGGATCACTATGACTCAGATCTAGAAATGCACTTATGACAAAGTACGAGACAGGCACGAATTCCTTTGTTCAGCAGCTCTGCATTAAACACGGACCTAAAGAAGCTTGAGATCACCAGCCATTTCGTCCCAGGGCACTACGCTCCCACCTGGAAAAGGTCATTGGTAAAACTGCACTGAAAACTGCCCTCAGGTTCTGCTGCCTGAACATCATACTGTCAAGTGATATATCTTAAATGAGAAAATAGCATGCTGGTCCGAGAAAAGGAGTGTGCCCTTTTTCTTTTCTTGTTTTGTTGGTTGGTTGGTTGGTTGGTTGGTTGGTTGAAGGCAGGATCTTGCTCTTTTACCCAGGCTCAAGTGCAGCCCGACTGACGACCCACTCCCACAAGCAAACTTTGAGCCTGTTTCAAGATAAAGTTTCATGAAGTTCCATACATACTTACTGTGGCATATATGTAGTTCTTAATCATCTAATATGTGTAAAACTGTGCTATTTTTATTAGGTTCCTCTATGTCACTAACAAAACTTTATGAGTGACCCCTAGCCCCAATTTTCCTGTGAGCCCTGTGGTTTTTACCATGTGATTTTGCATAGCAAGGTATTTGTTCCTAATGCCTGTGCTGCATGATGGCATAACTGACTGTTTTTTAAGGATTAAATATTAGGATGCACATGATAAAATTCTCAGTACAATATTCACACATTATGGGCATCAGTCCAGACTGATTTTCTTCCCCTCATGAAGTGATTCAATGGGGACCAGATCAAATGGGAAGAGTCTTTTTGGTGGGAATCATTAGGGGTCACACTTCACCATCAATCGAGGGGACAGGATGTTTGGTGATGAGTTCCTTCAGCCTGTCCTGTCTATTCTGTTTACCAGCACACCTGGCCTAATGGGAGTTGTGCTAATTAGTACTTAAGCTTTGTCTCCAACTTCAAACTCACCCTTCTGTACTTAGCTTTGTTTTTGGACTGGGAGTTCCTGAAGCTGGTTCTTCAAGTCCTTAGATTCTGCCTATAGGAGCACCAGAAGAAGACTGGGAGACTAGAGGAGAGGAGAAGCATTTGCTCCTTCCTATATATTTGCAGTTCCTGTTTTCACCCTAGCAACAGTGGTTGGTTTCAGTCTCCAGTTCATTTTGGTACACCCAGTACCAGCTGGGCAGCTCCTCAGAAGTCTGGTGCCCAGCTCTGCAGAGTTCCTCCTCCAAACTTCCAGATTCTAATTACCCTGTCTCCTCCTTACGTTCCCTAGGGGTGGTTGTTGCTTCTTCTGGTTTTGATGCCTGGATTGCCTCAGTGTTCTTCGTTTACTTTTTCAGTTCCACAACACCAATTTAACTAATTTCTTATCTCAAATTCTCTCTGGTAAGATATCTGGTGTGGTTTCTGTTTTCCTCCTAAGATGGAAGATTTAGTGATTACAGTGTAACTAGCAGAAGTGGTATTACACCACTACCACTATTACACTTTTGCTATTACAGCAAAAGATAGGAGGGCTCATTGAGGACTCAGATTTGCTAGGCCTGACTGAGACGTAGAAACCCAGACATGGTATGGTTAGGATGCCAAAGGAATGCCAGTGAGGTGAAGAACTTGACTCCTGGAGCCTGAGTTCTTTTATTTACTAGTTATTTCTTCAGTAGCCTAGTTGACACCTTTAAATCTGAATTTCTTTATCTGGAAAAATGGGATAATAATATCAGTGGGTTGTGGTCAGGAGTAAATGAGATGATGCTTACAAAGTGCATAGGGCAGTGAGTGGCACATGAATGCATTCTCGCCTAAGGGTTGCCCATTTCTATGGTGATGATGGTGACCCTGGGGAGTGCCTTTTGATATCTGTGGCTGCAGTTACTAAAATACTTTTGTTTTGAAAAGGCATCAAGACAGACATAGCCCATATTTTCAGCACTGAAACATAAGTGATCATTCCCTCTCTTTCTACCCATAGGAAACTTGCTGACTGTGAAAAAGAGTGACTCACCTTTTTGAAGTTCATTTTAAGCAGAAAACTTTCTTTGATGACTTCAATTTAGAATGGTTGGTTAGTTGCTTTGCAGGGGAGTTGCAGCTCATCTGTTGAGGAGGCTGGTGACTGTGTTCCAGTGCTTTGTCACAAAGATTGGACGTTAGAATGTGCTGTGGCCTGAAGGCATGATAGAATAGCACTGAAGTTGCCGTGATATCACTCCAATGAAATGAGGACACTTTACTTCCCCACACTTAAAGAGAAAAACCCTCCATAGAATTAGTGTGAGTCTTCCATTTGAGTGATGGGTATGAATTTGTTCTATAACATTTGGGTTTATGGATGTTATATTTTCTTATTATTCAAAACTTAAATGTGAGTCTAAACCCATACATGCCAAAGTGGACAGATGACCGATACTAATGAGGTGGGGATCTTCATAGAGTTTTACATGCCTTCCAGAGACCTTACACAGTTCTGACATTCTGGGATGTGCCGTTTGTTCTGATCTACATTGGTCACCACCAGGCAACTTACTGAAATCAACATGGTCCATTTTAAAGGCAAGTTATATACAGCAATCATTTGTCAAGGCTCTAGGCGGAAGGATTTGGTTCATCCCTTCCAGGCATCATGTAGTCTTATTTGGAAAATCAACTTGGGCACATATTTGCCTTCTCAGGTGAAGGAAGGTTAACTCTTCCCTCTCCCAAATCAAAGAAACCATTTATGTTAATTTAACCCAAACCTGGATAGAAGTAAGAGGGCAGGAACCCCACCCTCTTCCCTTGCTACCTTCTGCTCCCTTTTAGCCCCCAGGTAAGACCCCAGAACTCAGATGACAAGGGCATGGCTACATTATTATAACAGAAGAAATGCCGCTCATGATTTTGCTTCTTAAAGCAGTTAGTAAAATGCAGATTATTTTCTGAATAGATATTATGCCACAGTGCTACATTCTAGAACCACAGCCTAGACTTTGCGTTCAGCAACTCTAACCTTGACGATTCTGCATGGCACTGGCTCTGTTCAACATATAAGGAAACTGAGGATTCAGGAACGTATATGATATGCCTTAGGATATGACATGAGCCCGGATTAGAAGATCACTTTTAATATGTGAGACTTTGGTACATGTTTCCTTATAAGAAGACTGGAAAAAATAGATGATTTGATGATCAACTCAAAATGAAAGAGAAAGGGCTATCCATGTGAAGGAGAACTTTGTACCTTGGAATTATATTTATACTTGAAAGTGTTCAGCATAGGTGTTTTGCATTTTGCCTTTAAAGAGAAAAATAAAGTGAACATAAATATAGATAAAATTGTGACTATGACCTAATGAATGCTCTGAGGTTAGAGGTTGTTACCTGCAGGAAGCCTGCTCGTTGCATTAATGTTGCAATGGCATGCTTTGATTTCTGGGCCAGGTTGTGTGACTGCAAGTATTTTGGTACATTGGTATTTTAAGTTGTTGGCCTAGAGCTATTAAACAGGAGATCACTGGTTATGAGGATGTAAAATCCATTGGCATGACCCCTTTTCTCCTGTACCCGCATACCCACATGGTGGTTTAATGACCTTTTATTTTATTTTATTTTATTTTACCTGCATTACCACAAGTGTAACTTGCTTTAAGAGCACCTGGCAGCGAAAGCAGTAGGCTCATAATTAGAAAATAAATGTACAATTTTAAATGGGAGAAAAACTCATCTGACCAATAAAACCCACCCATTGTGTTGCTTTAAATAATAACCTGGCGTAATGCATTTAGTTTCATCCAGGCAACACATTTATTGAAAGCTTACTTTGTGCTAGGCGCTGTTCTAAGTGTTCTGGACATATCACTGAACACAATACAGATTCCTGCCCTTGTGGATCTTAAAGTCTTTTGAAGGAAGCAGGCCATAAACATTAGGCATAGTATATACATATATACACGTACATATAGAAAAAGTAAGATATGCACTGTGGATAAAAAAGGAGAACAAGAGACCTCCAGAATTGGGGTGAGGAGTGTTACATTGTTAAATTCAGTGGTCCAAAGGATTGTATTTGCATGAACTTATATTGGATATTGCTAAAAGTTGGAATACTAATCAACAAAGGGTTTTCAAAATGTACCTAGGACTTATCTAGTTATTCTAAGGCAAATCTGACCTGTAATTTTTGTATCGGATGGTGAAAACGGATATTGCAATGTAGTTTCGTTGTTTCGAGTCAAAGATGCTCCGCTCTTGTTTTCCTTCTGCCTATGACATCGCATGGAGTTTACCAGACATAGTTTCTCCACAGATATGTTAAGTCTAGAAACACTAATTTTTGTAATGTGATTTATTCACCTTCTGGTTTAATACATTTAATTTGAAAAAATTAGAATAAGTGTGCAGATATGCTGGATATATGCTGGATAGCACATTTACAAATTAATTGTTCCTCATAAAGTAATGATTGTCTACTTTTATCACTTCTCAAATAGACTTTCTAGAAGTAGTTTTTCCAGAGATAAACAAACACCCTCTTTGTAATGGTGAGTGAGAAAAATCAATTTGATTCATTTTTGGCCAAATGTAGGTAAGCAGCTGCGGGATTAAGTTTGTGAATTTATTTATTTATTTTTAAACAAGAAGTTTATTTAAACAAGACACTTGACTTGAAGGGAACACTACTGAGGATTCATTTTTTTAGAGTAGTTTATCCCTACTTAAAGACATTGCCCTATATATAACAGCTGTATACAAAAAAGTTATAAAATTGGCTTTGGTTTACCAGTGATGAATGAAAAACGTTCAAATTCTCCAAGTGAGCCAATCAAAGATATGCAAGGGTTTTTGTTGTTGTTATTGTTAAAATTGAGAACAAAATAATTTACTGGAATATAAAAATGAGAGCTGAATGAGCATGCAACTAATGAAGAAAGGGGGCATTTTCACAGATCCAGTACTTTTTCCCCATCTCATCTCCATTTCATGACCATCAAAAAATACCATTGGCCATTTAGTTTAAAAAAAAAAAGCATTATGCTTGTGCACATACGCAAGCTACTTTATATACAATAAAAGAATAGGGAAGAGGGAAATGAAAGAACAGAGAATGCTGTAGTAGTCAGGATGTGGTAAAACCGAATTAGAGTTTTCTAGTTGAGATTGTATTCTTAGTCTGTAGGAAAAGAGTTCTGGAGTTAAGTAGTAGGTTCATTTGTTAGTAGACGCCTCCTGTCTGCTGCTGGAATACATCAGTTGTATCTTCATCCTTGTATTTAACTGTGCACGTGTGCCTGTTTTATTGATTGGAATTTGATCTGCCTCAATGACAATAGGCTTTCATTAGTTTACTAAGTGGTGTATACTACCTAAGCTTAAACTACACCCCAGATGTATTATGCCCATCCACCTTCAAAGTAATGCAGTGGTGGTTCTGAGTCTTCATTCCTTCGTTGGGCTTTTCATTGGCCTCAGTGGGTGCCAGAATCTCCTCAGCTGCCACCTCACAAAGGAGGTATCGAGTCTTCACCTAAGGAGCACTGAAGTGGCACCAGCAGTGGCAAAAGCAGTTTAAAAATTTAATTTGAAATCAATTTCTCACTTTTCCCTTACCTGCATTGCTAAAGGGACCCATTTTTAACAACCTTTGAAAAATCTGGCAGGCAGTATTTAACTGGTGTCACAATTCATCAAATATATGTTTGGAGTATTTTGTTCATTTTACTAGAGTTATTATTTTTGCATTGGAAAATTTTATCATTTGACTTTTTGGCAGTTATCAACCCATATAAATCAATCTGAAATCCCATTATAGCCATACTTTTTGAGAGAAGGAATAAAACACAACTATTTAACAAAACTGTTCATTTTTTTCAGTGTTTTTTATGGAAACAAGTTTCTTTTGACCATGAAACATTGTCTGAAAGAAATAATATGGTCCATCAAATGCTTTCAAAAGTTGCTGATTCTTCATTAATGTATACGTTTTAACTGTATGTGTGGAAAGGAGCCAGGCACGGTGGCACATGCCTACAATTCCAACTACTGAGGAGGCTGAGGCAGGATTGCTTAAGGCTGCGAGTTTGAGACCAGCATGGGCAACATAGCGAGACCCCCATCTCTACAAAAATAAATGAATGAAATAGGTATGGAAAGGAAAAAGAAAAAAGAGCTAATAATACGGAACTCTGCTTCTTACTTTGGTTCCAAAAGAACTGTTTAGCTCTTTTCAGCCCCAGCATCTCTGCTGTGGAACACAGATGTGCAAGTTCTTACCCACCTTGTGCCCTCACTCTAAGGGAGATGAGGAGGGAAAAGGAACTGAGTAACTACTTGGAGGCAGACACTGCGAGGTACCAGTGAAAGTCACGATGTGGCTCACGCCATGCTGATTCTGTTCTGAGCTCACTGTACAGAGCATTGGTTCATTGCCATGTGTAATCTACACTTAATCCTTTGAGACGAGTAGCTGATATTATTGCCATTTACAGGTGAAGAAACTGAGACATAAGGAATTAAAGGTGGCCTAATAATACAAGTTTTAGTCAATTTTACTGGATTTCAAATTGGTGTTCTTTTTTTCTGCATAGGGAACCAAGATATGAATGCCAAAGTATACTGATGTTTCTCGCTCCTCTTATCCAGGAAATGCTCTCTGAGGAGGCCTTAGGGAAACATTTCAGAAGCAGCCTTGTTATTCTGTCATATTGGCCCATTTATCCTTCCTAGTTCTCTCCTTTCTCCCATGGCACTGGGTGCTGTCCAACATTGTAATATGTGTCTGTTTAGAATTTTGTTTAATGGTGGTAGAAACTTTAATTAGCGGTGATTCACAGCACCTAGAACAATACCTGGCTTACAGCAGGCATTAAATAAATATTTATTGAATGAGTGCATGAATCCATCCTCCTCCACTCCTTCAGTCTTCTTACCCCCATGCTCTGCATTTGCTGGAGATTCTAAGAAGGGAAGGCTGCTGCCCCTGCCTACCCAGAACAGAGCACTTTCCATCCTTGCCCGTTGACTGCCCACTTTGAGGAAGCAGGCCCTGTGGTTGTGAAGCCTTTTGTCAGACTTATGATGTAATTTCTAGCCCTGAACTCCTTTTGACCATCAGGAAATTCACCTGGGATGTCCTTGTGTAATGAAATTGCTCTTAACAATCCCTGAAATGCTGAGGAAAGCCAGGTTAAAGAACCCTTATTTTGTCTACAGTACTTTAACAGGAGACTCAGATCATTCAGTCCTAATATCTGTGAAAGTAAGTCATCTGAGAGTCAGGGCAAACGTATTTCAATAAATAAGAACCGGCAAGTTTATTTTAATAAATAAGACTGACTGTAGAGATCAAATGCAAACTACTTACTAGTCCCATATGCCCTCTAAAACCTTTAAAAGAAAGGCAAAATATCAACATCAGTTCCCTTTTTATTTCTTTTCCTTGGAAATTTTGAACCTAATGTTAAGTTTGCTTTGAGAAGAGAGAAGAAAACATAACGTGTTTATATCCAAGGCCAGCTGGTATGCCCCTTGGGGCCCTTCTGGCTTAAAAAGTAGCATAGTTCAGGTGCCTACGCTCTAGTAGGATCTCTATTACTTTCTGCTATGGAGATGAATTACAAACTTTTACTTTAGAATTTGGATCAGATGATATAAACCAGTGGTTGCTCAGCTGCATCTAGCACCAGGTGTATTTTTTGACCTGGATGACTTTTACTTTCATTGCCAACATTTCAGAATTGGGAGATTTCACAATAAAATTTGTATTTTCACTTCTCTTAAAATATCACATTTGCCATACTAGACCTGCATGCTGTCATGGCAAAACATTGGGTTAGAGTTGAATAGTGGCTGCCCTTTGGATAGGGCCTGGACTTGCCACTTTGTCCTGATTCTCTGTTCTCTAAGTACTTCCCACGCTTGCTTCCCTCAAATACTTGTCTGGCTCCAACAGAATTTAGGCAGCAACTGATTCAAGGCTGGCTTAAAAAACTCAACTCTTGGCCATACCTCATACCTCTGCTCTCTCCCCCTCAAAGTACTGCATCTTTCTTTGGGTCTGAATTTTTTTATAGCAATGCCCAGGTTTCACCAGGGTGGCCAAATTGATCGGAACCTTTTAAGAAAGGCTCAGAAAGCTGATTTGGAGATTGACATGTGTCTCTGCTATTTTACCGAGATGGGAATATTTGATTCAGTGTCTGCAAAATCAAAGATAGACTGTAGCCTTCTCCTCCTTCCTGAGCTTTATCCCATCAGGAGGAGGCTCAATAGAAACTCTCAGTAGACCTTCAACATGCTGTGCTAATAACTAGAGCCAGCACCAGCTATCATGTCTGTCCAGCGGGGTAAGCACATTGACAGTCCTCTTCCTGACCACCCACTCCTTTTGATATTCAACACTCTGCTTCTTTTGCAGCCTGTTCTAGTTGGCTTTTATGTGACCCAGTGGATAGAAACCTTAATGTCAGTGCCATTAAATCAGTACCTACAAAAACATCTGAAAATGCTAAGCCCTGGCGGGAAGAATGTCCCAATTAGTACTGATAAAAGTTCAGTGAGCTGAAAACAAAAGTAACTTCAGCAAGGAGGAAGGATGAAGATACAGCTCCTCTGGCTCACTTGGAATATGCAAGGAGTCTCAAGAATTAATCTTCTTTGTTAAGTGTATTTATAACTATTTTTATAAGATAGTTTCTTTTAAATTTAGTTCACTGGTTGAAAGGGCCATTGAATGTTCCTTTGCAGATAGGTCTTTAAGACTCTGGGACTTTTCGTAAGAGTGTGTGTGTGTGTGTGTGTGTGTGTGTGTACGCGCGCCAGGGAAAGGGGATTTTAACTGCCGTGTGTGTGTGTGTGTGTGTGTGTGTGTGTGTGTGTGTATGCGCGCAAGGGAAAGAGAGGGGATTTTAACTGCTGTCTTCTCCAAGCTCCATGTATTTGAGATGTCATGGAGTTTGCACTGTATGTCCCCAGTGCCATCAGAGGAATCAGTAGGGCTTGTGTTAGGAAAAATCATGCCAACTTTCCCTGGGCTTCAGAGAGAATTTTGTGTGCTATCCTTAGATCTGATCTGAGTTTTCCATGGATATAAAAGACACGGAAAACTTTTACATACTGGGAATGTGTTTTGTTGTTACATGTGAAAAACAACTATTAGCTTTAAAGTACTATTCTTCTTTTTACCCAACTATCTCCTGCTTATCATTTAAAACTCTTTATTCAAGAAACCTTTAAAGCTCCCATCTCCTCCCTTATCTGAGCAAGGTATCCCTTCTCTTTGCTCAGAACAGCATCTGTAGTCCTCTCATACACTGTCTTATGATCAACACCATGTCTCTTGTCAGATTCCAGGCAGTATCCCCTTGAAAGATGTGTCTGTTTCTTTCATCTTTTTATCCTCAGTGCCTAGCACATAATAGGAGTGCAGTATATGATGACTGAATTTTAAAAATGAATGGATAATTGGATGAATGAATAGAGGAATACATGCCTTTTTTAGTGATTGCCAACTTAGCATAATTTCTGGATTTTATATATGATTGGACTAAAATACATCTCCTGTGGTGACTTGTCATTTTGCTTTATTTTAGGGATTTGCATATTCTGACTTTAAGTTCTAGTGTATGGCATGTTTTAGTTCAGCATAAATATGAAGCATTTTTTTCCCCAATTGGTAATTGGAGTGTTCTATGAAAAATATGCGGTGTTGAAAACAGTGACTTGGCCCTAAGGAAAGTGAGGGCAAAATAGAAACATTTACTAACATATTGACAGGTTTGGTTATAGCAGCACTGAGGAACTTCATAGAAGTTATTTTTACTTCTAGGCCACTTCTTCTACAAGGCGAAGATCCATGGAGATTTGCCAACTTCTTTATAGATGAGGAGTGTTGGAGGGGACAAAAACACCTCACTCTGAATGCTCGGATTTAATCCACCTTATGTACATCTTTTTTGCTGATTTTTTTTTAAATTCAGATTTGAATGGCATTAGAGGAAGCATGCAGTCTCCAAAGTCACATTTTTATGGTAGCTGCCCATCTCCTGAAGACATTTAGTCTCTGCATTCTCACTGTCTATCCTTTTATATATATATATATATATATATATATATATATATATATATATATATATACACTTTAAGTTCTGGGATACATGAGCAGAATGTGCAGGTTTGTTACACAGGTATACACGTGCCATGGTGGTTTGCTGCACCCATCAACTCATCATCTACATTAGGTATTTCTCCTAATGCTATCCCTCCCCCAGCCCCCAACCCTCGACAGGCCCCAGTGTGTGATGTTCCCCTCCCTATGTTCATGTAGTCTCATTATTCAAGTCCCACTTATGAGTGAGAACATGCGGTATTTAGTTTTCTGTTCCTGTGTAGTTTGCTGAGAATAACGGCTTCCAGCTTTATCTATGTCCCTGCAAAGGATAGGAACTCATCCTTTTTTATGGCTGCATAGTATTCCCTGGTATATATGTGCCACATTTTCTTTATCCAGTCTATCATTGATGGGCATTTGGGTTGGTTCCAAGTCTTTGCTATTGTGAATAGTGCTGCAATAAACATACATGTGCATGTGTCTTTATAGTAGAATGATTTATAATCTTTTGGGTATATATCCAGTAATGAGATTGCTGGGTCAAATGGTATTTCTCGTTCTAGATCCTTGAGGAATCACCACACTCTTGTCCACAATGGTTGAGCTAATTTACAGTCCCACCAACAGTGTAAAAGCATTCCTATTTCTCCACATCCTCTCCAGCATCTGTTGTTTGCTGACTTTTCAATGATCGCCATTCTGACTGGTGTGAGATGGTATCTCATTGTGGTTTTGATTTGCATTTCTCTGATGAACAGTGATAATGAGCTTTTTTTCACATGTTTGTTGGCCACATAAATGTCTTCTTTTGAGAAGTGTCTGTTCATATCCTTTGCCCACTTTTTGATGGGGTTGTTTTTTTCTTGTGAATTTTTTGAAGTTTCTTGTAGATTCTGAATATTAGCTTTTGTCAGATGGATAGATTGCAAAAATTTTCTCCCATTCTGTAGGTTGCTTGTTCACTCTGATGATAGTTTCTTTTGCTGTGCAGAAGCTCTTGAGTTTAATTAGATCCCATTTGTCAATTTTGGCTTTTGTTGCCATTGCTTTTGGTGCTTTAGTCATGAAGTCTTTGCCCATGCCTATATCCCGAATGGTATTGCCTAGGTTTCCCTCTAGGGTTTTTACGGTTTTAGGTCTATTCATTTTTATATACCTTACTCTCATTACCTCTTACCATACCGGTGTAAGGGCTTACCCAAGGTCATAGATTTCAAGCCTTTTGCCTTTCAGTTCACTACAACCTCATTGTTGCTGTAGGCACCTTGGAGAGTCCCATCTCTAGCAACAACAAAAAAGGCATTTTTTTTTAAACGTGATTTAAAATGAGAGCATTTGAGGAAAAAGTCTCAAAAAGCAAAAAGATCTTTCCCGTAAGGCAAACATTTATTGAACTGAAACTTTAAAGAAAATGTGTTGCTTTTGTTGACGGACTCATGCATGAGAGCTTTGTTTTCTTTGTTACTCTATGAGCCAGGCAGCTTAAACCCAAGCATTGAATGTGTTCAGTGCAGGAGCCCTGGCTTTGTTGGGGGGCTCTGCAGATAAAATAATTTCAAAACCCACTAAACCTCCAAAAATACTCCACAAGGTAAAACCATATTAGAAGTTTGCCTTTAGCTTTTAGCACATAGAGGGCCCAAAGAGACTCTTAAGTAGCTGTAACTCTTTCTTTAAACTTATGCTATCAATGGGGAATTTAAACTCAACAGAATTGATATTAACAGATAAAATGTAGACTCTAAAAAATACAATGATATGAAATAGGATTATTTCTGTTTAGTAAATAGCGTAGAGTGTGTAGATGAAACAACTGCTTAAACAAATAGAAAAACGACATAATTTGCAATGAAGTATGTCGACTTACCAGTTTGAAAGGAATATTAAGAGGTCATTCATTCATATTCATTCATTCACAAAACATGTGGTTCCTCTTGCTGTTTAGTAGTTCTTAATAATCCCAGACAAATGAGGAACACTGGAGGTTGTGATTTCCAGATAAGTTGTTTCCATTTTTATCTTAAGTAACTCATCCAAAAACCAACCAAACAAAACCCCAAAATGTTCTATTATCTTGAAATTATATTTTATCTTTAGTAATGATGGAGAATAAGCTTATTATCTTGCATTGTATAAAAGCCCTTTACATACTTGGAATACCCATCATAAAGATTTTCTTCACTGTTATTTCTCCAAGCTGAATAAAATTATCTTTTCTAACCTTCTAGGTTACTTTTTCACTCTACCCTACTTCTGCCATACATGTCAATGAAAATTAGGACAGACTACAGAAAATTTTGGAAAAGAAAGAAAATTTAGTCTGTTTAATTTCCATTGAACTTTATTCTGCTTTGATTATGATGAGCTCTCTATATTAGTCGTTGTGAAAACCAATCCTCCAAAACAAATTTCTGATACCTCCTCTGTAATGCGTCACTTTGATGGATTGTGTTTTCAGGACCATGTTGGGAAAAGGACCTTAGAGATCCATCTAGTCCAAGGTTTTGTGTTGTTTCTTGTAACGTGGTATCTGTTGGTGAATGTCAGGGGAAACACAAAATCCTGGAAATTATAAACTACAGGGTTTGTGTGTTTTTGTGCAGAAGGTTCATAACATTTATCAGATTCTGTAAAGTGTCGGTGACCTCCAAAAAGTTAAGAATCATTAAACAATACATCCCTGCATCCCCTTTCATTTTTAACTTGAGTGCTTATACAGTTTGCCTGAAATCCATACATTAACAGCCTTTGGATTTCCAAACTCATAGTATGGTGTATCTCACAGGTGATCATAGCAGATACCTACCAGGAACTGATAAGTAGAGGGGACTTGGTGTGGTCTTTCCATATAGCACTGTCAGTAGAACTGTCTTGGACATCGTGACCAAATAGACAAAATCTGTTTGAAATGTCAGGAATCCATTTGGAAAATATCATTTTAATGTCCATAACAGACATTATAGGGTGGGGCAGAGTTGGGAAATACAGAAAAAGAATGAGTATTCTGCCATTATATCACAGGTCTTTAGATTTAAAAGGGGAGATATTTATATATTTTAGGAGCGGAAGAACTATAGAATCCAGCCAAGTGGTATAGCTACCTGAGTGACAGTTAGAAACTCTAATCTCATTTGCAGTTTGGTTACAATGTGACTCAAATCTTAGGAACTAAGTTACATGACCACCAACTTTAGTTTGAAGTCCGTCACATAGTCTATAAATAGGGCTCATGATCTCCCATCAATTTTGCGAAGACTCTAATGACTTGGTCAAAATCAACAGTGGTGTTCATTAGTTGGAAAAGAAGTCATCATCTCTTTCAACTAGGGAGTTAAAAGAGTAAAGCTTTAAATATAGCAGTATTTGAGAGAATCAAAACTAACACAACATGCTTTTGTGTAAAAAAGGAATCCGTGTTTATTTGGTATTTAAGTTTTTGTAATGCTTAAGAGAATTTGTTCTGTTAAACAGACCAGCCTTATAATTCCAATATAAAATGCATAATTGCGTAATTGACTTAGGCTTATGGTTTTAGGTTGAAATATTACTAAATTGATCTACAGTGCTGGAATATTTAAATGAATTTGATTCACCATATTTATAAATTTAATTCATTAGATTTCAGAGATTTATTTAATTACCCAGGAAGGTTTAAAGTCAGACAATTGAAGTACTTAAAGGAAATCAAATATATTAAATTTATAAATGAATTTAAAAATGTTTGAAGAGGTTTAGTTAACTATTTATAAATGGTGCTAAATATTCCTCTAAGTACCCTTAAAAGCAGTTGCTAAACTTTCCTAGATTATAAACAGAATTATATTTGTAAGCTGAAGGAAAAAGTAGGCTTTTAAATTTATTTATTTTAGACTTTTAAATTTATAACCTGAAAAATCAAATATTAATATTTAAAACCAAAGTGCCATCAGAGTAATCTTTTCTGAGCATAAAGGTCAGTCTCAAGGACTCCAGAAACTTCAAACACAACACACACTTTTTGTATTAGACTTAGGATTGTTCTTCATTTCCACAGAGAAGTATACATTCTCTTTTGTTCTAGAATCATGCAGTGCTCTGGCTAGCAGTAGTTTTCCTTTTTCCATGTTTGCTAGACACGTTTTTGCTAGGATTTCCTGGGAAAAATCAGTGCAAGTGTAATGTATGGGAAACAAAAAGAGTGGTGGGGATTGTGGCAATCTTAATACATACTCTTTAACTGATAAGAGCTATGTGGTTATCCCAATATATTAAAACTGCTGGGAGTTTTTACCCCAGAAGTCAGAGTTTCATGTTGGTCTCAATTTTTAAAACATCTAATGGGGGATCTCGGTGGGGGAAACACCAAAATGTACATCTGAGACTGAATCAGCGAACGAGTGACTTGTTGTGGAGCTCTGGTATGTTAGAAAGTGCTCTGAACAGGGATATAGCTAGGAAGTGCACTGTCCCCTTGTCAATGCCCACCTCAGATGTAGGGCATGGCAACCTTCGGAGTGACTCTAGAATCACCTCCTACCAAAGTGTTAGTGGATAATGTAGTTTGCACTGAAGGTTTTTAAGAATAGAGGGGAGAGGAAGTTTATTGTATGTGCATATGTGTGTCTCACATTAAGAAACAAGAAACTATGAAAAATCGTCTGTTACAGATTTCTTTTCTCCAGTCTTTTCTACATAGCTATTCTTCCTAGAGCAGAATGGAGAGTAGGGGTGGTGATTTTTTTTTTTTCTTCCTCAACTTTCACACAGTACCCAGGCTCCTAGGCATCTGTCCTCTTTCCTTGATTCTCTTAGGGCACTTTAAGTTCCACACCCCTTATTAAGCAGAGCAATCCAGCTTTGTCTTCCACCTAAGCATTCTGGGCACTGGGTGGTGGTAGTGGTTGTGTGGCTGCAGCTGCTGGGGGTATATGAGTAACTTTTTTTGGTTGGATTGAAGCCTGTAACGAATGTTAGTATCTACAAGCGACACTGAAAGCCCATGTTTTCTAGTTCGCTATAGTCCACTGGCGCTTGCTTCCTTTTTGACTTTTCTTCCTGCAGCAGCAGTTGCTCTTGCTGCCCTAGACCCCTGCCATTTCAGTGCACACTGGGCTTGACCTCTGGTGCAAGCACCAGCTTCTTTCTCCTTACGTGCTTTCCGTGGCTGCTGAAACCCACTCGGCTTTCTCCCTCAACCACCACCCACTCTTCCACCCTCAGGCAGGCAGCAGGTTGGAAAGTGCTGGACAATTAAGGCCTTTTTCCCACCCCCAGCATCCCATAATGGGGAGCTGGTATATGACTATACTTCCTCTCTCAGGCGGGTTAAGTTTTGAGGCACATTTTCCATGCTGCTTCCTAGAATTCCCCAGTGAGATTAAGCGCCACTTGCCCATTGTGGTAATTTATTGACAATGAACCTTTTATTAGCTCACTTCCTTTTTCCTGTCTCATGTTTTTGCAGGAGTTGCCCCAAATCACCTCCCACTTGCATTCTAATATCCACCTCTTGATCTACTTCTGAGAGAAGTGAAACTAAAATATTTTTCAAACCAAGTGTCATTTTAATGAAATTAATTAGGCCTAGAATTTAGTTAGCCCTTAGCAATCTTATAGGAAAGCATGTATTTCCTATATAACTCAGGCACAGCACTTGCCTTACTCACTTGAAACAAAAATGTGCTTGGACAGCAGGATGGCCTTAGTTATGGTTGCCCAAGTATTAGACAAGGGAATTCTCACCAGAAATTTTGATTGAATGATTAGAATTTTAATAAATCATACTGACCCCTTTTTTCTTACGAAATCACATACCAGTCATGCCATCCCAGCTTAAGGTAGAAAATGATGTTGGTGTGGCTGAAGAGAGAGTTTACGCTTTAGGTTCTTCCCCAGTTGTCTTCATACAGTTCAAAATGTGGCTGCACTAATGGTTTTCTGCTGAACCCTGTTGGGAGGCCTCCTATACTCTTGGGGCCTAATGGATGCATGCAGAGTAGTTCATTATTCCTCCATTAAAGGTTTTCTGTCTGCCTCTAAATCACCTTAGTTGGTGACTCAACTGCTCCCAGGAAGTTTGCTTCAGGAAAGACATTTAAAATTTCTAACCACTGACCAGGGAGTGGCTTACTCACCCAAAGGATGCAATCTATTCATGCTGACATAGGCTGTCTAATGCAAACATTATAAAGTATTCATAAGCCTCCCCTTTGCCTCAAAATAGAACCCATTTCTCCGCTTGGGGAAGATATTAGAGCCTTAAATGCCTCCGAAATGAATCTGCTCCCTTCTGGTTCTAATTGTCTCTCTCTTCCTTTGAGGGTGACTCTAGGATGCTCTGCTTTTCTTAGCCATCTGTCCTTTTGCATTGCTCTCGCCTCATCTCCCTGTCTCACTTTTCCCTTCAGCCTTGTTTACAGTTCTTTTTCTGGAGGGGTGGTTGTGGAGTTGACTTCCCAGGGAAAAAAAGATTAAATATGCATGAGAAAGATAGTGTGGGCTTATGGGATCTGGAAGAAGGCACACTGAATATATAGTAAATGAAAAAATTTAAACATGTTAATTTTAATACTTTAACAAGCATTGGCATGTCTGTAGCCCCTTTCAAGATGTAAGTCTTCTTAAAGCTGGATAGCCTGTGTTACAGCTATTTTAGTCATGCATGATTTTTCCTCTCTGTCATTAAATTAGAATATGATTACCTCCCACAGACAAAATCACACCTTTGGGTACTAAGTAATATAATTTATTTCATAAATAGGATCAAAACACCTTTATTAGATGCTAGCGACTAGGGGAAAAACATCATTTTATTAACATTTTAGTATTGACTCTCTTTTATTACATTTAATCAGAAAGGGATTTTGACAGCAACCCAGAGATGTACTCTAAACTTTTATCTGTGCTTCAGCTACCTTGCTTGAAAAATGCTTGTTTTTGTTTTTCTTTTAACCTAGAAACCAAACTGTTTGCAATGGATTCTCTTGAAAACCACAAAAGCTACATGTTTAGTTTGTCTGAGATCTGGGCTCCTAGTGGTTTTTCTCTTGATACGTTCAAATGAAAAGGCCCGCATAGAAGCTAATGTGCCGAGTCCAAGGTGGAGAATCCTTGAAGATACCGACTTTGTTCCTCCTTCTCTTCTTTCCTTTCTTTTCTATTTTCAACAAATATTTATTTAACACTTGGGAACATAGCAGTCAACGATAACAGAAAAAATCCTTTTCCTTGTGGATCTGAAGGTTATGGGGATATAGACAATAAAAATAAAGAAATATGTGCTACACCAAGGGCTGTGTCCCTCATTCAGCACAGCTTTTCAGAATGACTGTTCTATGCAAGTACTGAAGTACAGTGTTATGTGCCACCTACACTCTGAGCCCCCATGGTGCTGGACAGTCACACTTGGACATTTTGGAAAGCTTTTTCCCTGGAGATGATAAAAATAGGATAGCAACTCATTGCTAGTGGAGGCATAAAAAAATTACTGTGAAATTTAGAGGACACATTAAAGGTCATTTAAAAAGCTGGCTCTGCCATTTCCTGGCAAGGTGAACTCGGTCAGGTTATTTGACTTCTGTGTCTTAGTCTGTGCTGTAAAATGATGACAGAAGCACCTGCCTTCTCAGGTTGTTGTAAGGATTAAATGAGTTCATATTTGTCGTGCACCTCGAAGATTGCTCCCGGCATGCAGTTAGTGACATACAAATGTTAGTTATTTTGTCTGCTCTGTAACCTAAGGCTTGAGCTTTTCAACCCTATTGGATTGGTTAGCCAGCTTCTGCTTAAACAGTTCTGCTGATGGGAACCTGGAACCTTCTGAAATGCCCTTGTGAACTTTCGACTGTCACTTTGCCTGTTACTGTTCTTCCTCATGTGGAGCTGAAATCTTACTTTCTCACTTGTCTTCTACCTTGTGGTCTTTCACCTGGTGTGTCATCCAGAGCAGTTCCAGTCCTCCTTCCACATGATACCTCCAGACATATGAAAAGAGGATGCACCATCTGAGAGTACTTTTTACTGGGGCTGAATATCCCAGGCCCTGCAGTTTTCTCCCAAAGCACATGGTTTCCAAGTTTTTTCTATTCTCATTCAGGTTTTTAGGTGGACCAGACAGTAGCTTCTTCTTCATAGACTGTGGTGTGGAGTCTCCTAACCATCCCATGTGTGTTCTCCTCTGGTCCATTTTCTCCTTATCTGTCATAGGATGAAATGGCCAGGTGTGAATAAATGGTCTAGTGGTACCCATAGTTCTGGACTATACAAGTAACAAGGCCTTGGCAGTCTTGCTTTCATGGAACTTGCACTCTAGTTGTGAAGACAAGCAATAATCAAGTGAAAGAATGTGAACATTTCAGTTGATGCTATTTTAGATTGGGTGGACAAGAGAAGGCCTCTTTGAGGAGGTGCTACTGAAATGAGATCTCAAGGCTGGGAAGGAGTGTTCTACGGAGAGGGAAGAGCACATGCAAATACTTTGTTGGGAGAATAAGCTTAGCTCTGAGCTCAAGCAGCAGAAAGCAAGCCCATGTTGCTGGAGCAGAGTGAGCAGGGAGAAGGAGGAGAGTGGTGTAAGATGAGGGCCTTGGTCTCTGCTCATCCTATGGTAACCCAGACATAACTCTTCCCCTCTCCTCTAAAAAGTCAGATTCCCAGGGTTGCAAAGAACATGTCCTCAACTCCCCAGTCTCCTTTTTCAGCAGTGCCCATACTCAAGTTTCACTCAAACAGTGCTTAGGTTCTCATAATATGCTCTGTGTGGGAGTGTTTACAAAATATACCAGTTACCCAAATGTAAGTATGACAAAAGTAATTCTTTTCTACATGGATTGCTTTCTCAGACCTCTAGCACCATGTTTTCTCACACTTCTGTTCCTTAACCCCCTACTGTTTTCTCTCTCTGGAATTTCTTACTCCATCTTGGCAAATTCCTGTACGTATTCTACAAAACCCAACTTCAAGGCCTCTGAGAGGCCTCCCTATCCTTTGAACTGCCCCACACCCCAATAGTTAGAGGAGCCCTCTGTCCTATCCGTGCCTGTTCAGATTTCTAGATTAGCCATTTTTCACTCTCTTGAAACTGGTTACTTTTTCTCTCCCATTAGTCTCGAGCCTCTTGTAAGAAGAAACTATCTTGTGCAGCCTTTTAACCCTAAAGTTTTAGCAATGTGCTTGAAACTTGCCAGTCACTCAATAAACACTTACTTCATGATTGAATGTTGATCTTTAAAACATTCCCTCCAGGATTTGTCTAGCTCAGTATTTCTCAATATTTCTCAAGAGAGATGCTGTTGGCATTTTGTGTGGTGGTAATTTCTTGTGTGGGGACATCCTTCACTGCATTGTTTAACATCTTTGCTTCTCACTATGTGCCTCAGTGCATTTCCAAACACCTTTTAGGAAGAATTAGTAGTCCCGGTTGAGAAACACTGCCAGCCTATTCACTCATTCATTCATGTAAAAATGTTAAATTGCTACTATATGCCACACCTTGTACTTGAGTACTACTGGAGCAGGAATTTGCCTACTTCCTGAGGTTGACTATTGGACCTTGGGCCATCTTTGTAGGACAGTTCTTCCTCATTATATAAAGATGTATCTCTCTGTAACATCTAAACATTGATTCTGGTGTTGTTATTGTCTAGTGCAATACAGAACATACCTAGTCTTTTTTTTTTTTGTAATAGCCTTTCAGCTATTTGAAGATACTTTTTTATTGCCCTCTGTGCCACCTACATTTTTCTTTTCTCTAGGTGAAACATTGCTGATTTTTTGGACCAGTTCCCTGTGACATGAATTCGACTGATCTTAGCTTTTTGTTAGGGGGTAAGGATGTGTCAGTATGCATTCACTTCGACTATCCCATTGTAATATTTTCACTCTGTTTTCATGTTTGGCATTTTCCCCATTGTTTACAACTCAAACAGTGATAGACCTGCAAGGTTTTTGTGTGTGCGTGGAGGTATTTTTAACTGCATAAGGTCAGATAGATTAAAAGCACATAGCAAAGCTGTCTTTGTGAAATGGTTGCTTCTTTATAGGCTCCTATCAAGTGGCAAAATGTTGAGCACCCACTGTATATGTTGAACAACACAGAGGGCAAAGACAAATGTGTAGCATTCCTATGATCAAAGAGCTAATGAACCTAGTGGAACAATTTAAAATGTGCAAAAGCTAAAATCAGTGGTGTACCTGTAAATGTTTAACAACTGGCACCAGAAAGTAGGGGTGTGGAGGCTGGGCATAGTGGCTCACACCTGTAATCCCAGTACATTGGGAGTCCGAGGTGGGCAGATCACTTGAAGTTAGGAGTTCGAGACCAGCCTAGTTAATGTGGTGAAACTCCGTCTCTACTAAAAAATACAAAAATGAGCTGGGCTTGGTGGCATGCACCTGTAATCCATCTACTCGGGACGTTGAGACAGGAGAAGAGCTTGAACCCAGGAGGTGGAGCTTGCAGTGAGCGGAGATCACACTACTGCACTCCAGCCTGGGGACAGAGTGAGACCGCGTCTCAAAGAAAAGCAGGGATGTGGAATCCTGATTTGCAGCATTTGCTGATTTCTAAGGTGTGAATTCTCCTGCCATGACCAATTGCAAGTTTCAGGTTGCCAACATGATGACACTGAATTCAGAAAGAGAGGTAAAGTAACACTCCATTTTATAGTGTCCTCTATACATATATAACAGACATAATTTCAAGAGCATAGATAATAGCAAAATATCATAAATGTTATACAAATAGTGGAAAGCATTATGTTTTGGGTATTGCCTTCGTTTTTAATATAACTTATTTAATCATAATTTTCTGTAATTTAATTTTTAAATAATGGGATATTTAGCAACTATCTCTCAAAATTTCTGAAAATTTGATAATTAACTCCAAAGATCTAATGTGAACTGGCTCCAGCCTAGGACTGGAAATTCAGTTTATGACAAAATAAGATAAGGGTATCAGACACACATTTGTAGCAAATGGTTTGGAAATCCAGAAAAAAAGAAATCACTACATTGTGTATTGAAGTAATCAAGGGAGATTTTCCTGGAGGAGGTGGTGGGACTTGAAGAATGCATAAGATTTTTGTTAAGAGAAGGGAGAACCACTGGGGCTTTTTAGTATAGGTAAAGATTACTAGTGTCTTAGAAAGAGTAATACAACAAATATTTATTGAGGACTTACCTTAGGGCGGGGACTTCATGTACATGGTTTAATGTAACTGTCCTAAAAACCCAAGAAGTAGATACTGCCATTAGCCTTCTCTTAAAATGAGGAAACTGAGACTCTGGTTAAACAACTTGCCTAAAGTCACACAGCTAGTAAGAGTTATTTTGCTTCTTGTGTTCATCTTGTCTAGGATTATCTTGAGATACATTGAGTAGAGGGGACCATACCATGAGCATCCTCTGGCTTGTCAAATTGTCTATTCATTTACCACCATCCGTAATTTTAGAAGAGCTAACTAGTGGGTTTTTAAAATCACTTAAGCATTCCCATCAATTTTTCACTGGTGGGAAAACTACCAAATATGTAATACTTTCCCGTGGACATCACACGTCATTCTTTGGCCAGGAGGAGAAGAGATAATGGCAAGTGACAAAAAACCCAGCTGAGATTGGCTTAATGAGAAGTGAAATGTATTGGCCACAAAACTGAAAGTACAGAGATAGGTCTGCCTTCAGGCACATGTGAACTCAGCAGCTCACACAGTATCGTGCCATCTCTCCTCTGTGTTGGCTCCATTTTAGGCAGGCTTTCCCTTGGTGGAGCCAGATGTCCGCCTGCAGCTCCATGCTTACATTTTCACACTTTACGTCAGGCTCTTTCTCTGCGATCTGAAGAGAAGTCCTAATTCAGGACTTCCTAGTCTGATCTCATTGGCCCAGGTTAGGGTACACCTTGTCTCTTAACTATCACACTGGCTAAAAGGATATCCTCCTCTCACCAAGACTGAATCACATGGCTTTCCTGCTTGCCACAATGCAGGAATTGAAGGAGTGAGAATCAGGAAAGCATATTCCTCAAGGGGAAATGAAGACGCTGTTAGTGGGTGTCATATATATTTATATATATATACGCACACACGTATACATACATATATATATATGGAGCAAAATAAGAGACAGGAAGAGAAATTCACAAAGGAGATGTTTTTTGTTTTTATGCTTGATAGCTAAATGAGGTACAATAAACTACGCACATTTAAAATGTACAATTCAGATTTGACCTGTGAATCCGTCTATGAAACCATCACTACATCTAGAAAACAAACATCTATAGCACCACCATCTTTATCTATATCACCAATTTGTTTATCCATTCGTTTGATGTTGATTTGGGTTGTTCCTAGTTTTTTGCCATTACAAATAAAGCTGCTATGAACATCACCACCATCCCTCAAAATTTCCTTGTGCCTATTTGGAATCCATTCCTTCCTCCAAAACCTTTCCAGACAGCATCTCTGATCCGCTTCCTGCCACTGTAAATTAATGTTTCAATTTTCTACAATTTTATATAAATGGAAAAATACTATATATACTCTTTTTTCATATAACTTCTTTCACATGGTGTAATGATTTTGAGATTTATCCATTTTGCATGTATCAATAATTTGTTCCTTTTTGTAGCAGAGTACCACTTCATTGTATGGATGTGCCACAATTTGTTTACCCGTTTATTTCATGTTGATTTGGGTTGTTCCTAGTTTTTTGCCATTACAGATAAAGCTGCTGTGTACATTCATGTGACGTCTGCATGTGAACATATATATTTGTTTCTCTTCCCTAAATTCCTAGGAGTGGAATACTTGGGTTATATGGCAGTTGTATGTTTAATATTGTAAGAAACTGCCATATAGTTTTTGTTTTGTTTTGTTTTGTTTTGAGATGGAGTCTTGCTCTGTCACCCAGGCTGGAGTACAGTGGCACAATTTCAGCTCACTGCAACCTCCATCTCCTGGATTCAAGAGATCCTCCTGCCTCAGCCTCCCGAGTAGCTGGGACTAAAGGCACACACCACCACACCAAGCTAATTTTTTTGTGTGTGTATTTTTAGTAGAAATAGGATTTTGCCATATTGGCCAGGCTGTTCTCAAACTCCTGACCTCAGGTGATCCCCCCACCTTGGCCTTTCAAAGTGCTGAGATTACAGGCATGAGTCACCACACCCGGCAGCAAATAGTTTTCCAAAGTGGTTGTACCCTTTCGTATTTCTATCACAAGCACGTGAGAGTTCCATTTCCTGCATGTCCTTTCCAGTGCTTTGTATAGTCAGAGTTTTTGTTTTGTTTTGTTTTGTTTTGTTTCAACTTTATCATTCTAATGTGTGTGTTGGAGTATCGCAGTGAGCTTTAATTTGGCCTTCCTGAAGACTAATGACACATTCTCATTTTGACATAATTTCTTACCAGGAGAGGATAGGAATTTTCTTTTACTATGGATAAAATTTCACCATATGTATTTAATAGAAATATATATATACAAAAAATCCTATCAAAATAGAAAGATCTTTCATATATATTAGAGATAATTGTTGACAAATATCTTGTGCAGAAAGGTACTCTTTCCATATGGGATAATGACGATTCAGTCATGTGGTATCTCCCTTGACTGATAATGTCTGTGAAACTTTCTCTAAAGAAACTATCCTTTCAAAGTCATCTACCTCTTGAAACCATTGGTTGAAACCAGTGTAGTTTAAAATAATAACAAGACTATAGCTGACCTGCTGGTTTTTTTTTTTATGTGACTGAAAATTTGCATCTAGAAATACATTTGCATCTAGAAATCTATCTTTAAAAGTAGTCAAGGCAACATCTTTCTTGAGTGTCTTCTCTCTGGAAAATTCCGGACTCACAGCCAGAGGTAAAGCAACATAGTAAAGGAGATAGCATTTACATTATTGTCAAATGGTGCGATTATTCTACTTTCTGGAATTGCTCATATCCACATATCAGTGATACTGAGCATTGTCATGAGGTTGGATTTTGTAGAAATAACTGCTTGTTTACTGTGCTTCCCTCAGTTCTGAGGCTGTATTTTACTCTTTCTAATCTTAGTTGAATGCTTCTGATTAAGTCAGTATTTTCTGGTGCACATGCATGCACACAAAGCTTTAATTTGAAGGAGGAAATAGGATTATTTATCTTTGTTCTCTGGTTTCCACCTTTCTGGCATGCAAGTCAAATACCTGCCCTTCGTAAATGGCTTCCTTGGTTTCTGGAGAAATTATCCTCCAGTATTTCAGCCAGAAATCTATCTGCTAACCTTGAAAATCAGTGGTAGTTGTTATGGATAGTTAAGTTATGGGATGCAAGAGGAAGAGAAAGGATAAGTAGAGGAAGTGTTTTTAAAAGTTGTCAGGGCAATGCCGGCAGCACATTTTAAAGAACTCCATCCAAGTTATTATAACCACTTCTAATACATCTTAAGCATTTGGGCTGTGGCAAATACAGGGCTAAGTTATTTACTGGCATCCTCTGATGTAATAAGTGTAAGCAGAGTCACTATCTTCACATTTGTAGATATGGAAACTGAGGTTCAAAGATTTTAAATAACTTGCTGAAGTTCATTGTGAATGTCTTGGCAGAGCCAGGGTTTGAATCTGGGCCTGTATATTCTAGAACATGTGATTTTAATCACCACGTTGTACTGACTTGACTGGGTCCAGAAGATCAGGTTATCCGGAAAGTTGGAAGAACAATTTTTATAGCCTTGGAAAATTTTTGCTATTTATGTCTCTAAAAAATTGGTTTTATGCTGGATAAATAACATGGATTTAACTACAAAACTGTGCAAAGCACTTATGCCATAGCTGGATGCTCCACTGAAGATGAACACAGACTGGCTACACTGAAATATTCCTAGAAAGAAACATCAGCAAGATAAGGCAAACATCATAAGCCTCAACAAATTCCCCAGTGCATTTTCTTTTTTTCCAAGTTCTGGATGCCTGTATCCCCTCCTGATTAAACACCGTAGATCTATGTTTGGAAAGGTCTTCATCATCATCCCATTGAGACCCTGTTGATGGTTAATTTTGCAAGTCAACTTGACTAGGCCACAGAGTACCCAGAAAGTTGGCCAAACATTACTCTGGGTGTGTCTGTGAGGATATTTCTGGAGGAGATTAGTATTTGAATTGATAGACTGAATAAAGCAGATTGTCCTCTAATGTAGACGGGCCTCATCCAAGCAGTTGAGAGCTTCTAGAACAAAAAAGTCTGACCCTCCCCCAAGTAAGAGAGACTTCCTCCTGCTTGACTGCGTTAGAACTAACATGTTGGCTTTTTTCTGCCTTTGGACTTGAACTGAAACATCGGCTCTTCCTGAGTCTTGAACCTGCTGACCTTCCAACTGGGACTACACCATCAGCTCTTCTGATTCACAGGCCTTGGAACTGAGACTGTAACTATATCCCATTTCCTCTGGGTCTCTGAGCTTGCCAACTCACCCTGCAGCTGTTAGGACTTTTCAGCATTCATAATCACATGAGCAAGTTCTTTATGATAAGTCCCTTTACACACACAAACACACACACACACACACACACACACACGCCCTATTGGTTCTGTTTCTCTGGAGAACCCCAACTATCACAGACTCCTAATTTGATTTCCTTTACATAACCCCATGCCAAGTGATCATTCAGTCTGTGTGTAATTTTCTACTTTCCTGGCTCAGGGGGATGTGGGGTTGGTCTCTTCAACTCTGCCAAAGCGTAGTAGTTAGGCCTTTTATCACCAAATTCATCTTGCTAGGTGCTTAGCATTCCACTCTCCGCCCTTTAATCTCTGAAGTCTAAACATCTGGACTGTTGTGAGGCTGTAGTGGGAGTGAGTTCCCCTCAGGAGATGAGTCTTCCAGGGGCTGTGCGAAGTCTTGCCCCTCACATGCTTCTTGCCTCCCGGGCAGGCATCCGTGTACTTAAAATACTGAAGCAGGCAGAATGCAGCACCCTGAGGCACAGGCAGTGTGTATGGACCTTGTTCCAGGGAAATTTGGACCATCTGCAAATGTTGACTTGGTTCTTGCCTACAGGGTCTCTCCAGGTAAATGCTGTCATCCTGAGCTTCACAGACTCTGAGTTCAAAAACCTCTAAGTCTGTCTCCACCTTCTGCCTCAGAGCATGGTTTTGGTTTCTAGTATAGTGGGAGATTTTTTTTTCCCGTTCTCATTCCCTGGAGTCTAGACTTTGGAATACAAATATAAAAAAGGGCTCCATTTTCCTCTGCTTTGTGTTCATCCCTTCCCAGAGGCAATGAGGACAGGCATCTTGGCTGCTTGTAAAGAATCAAGGGCTACGAGGGAAAAGAAAAGTCTTAGAGGTGGACAGAAGGAGTCAATGAACATTTCAAACATAGTATTGTTACATTTGTTCAAATGTGTCCCGGGATAGAGACTTAGCTAGTTTACCTCCTGCCAATCCAGGGAAAACACATTGAATTTTTGGATGGTGCTATTAGCAGGAATCAGTTTTTCCAGGTTTAACATCCCCTAGTTCCTTCCTTCCTTTCATTCTTCAACTATTCATTCTCATGTGTCATTTATTTAAGTCTCTCTTTGTCCTGGTTGCTTTCTTCAAATGTGCTACATGTCTCTTTTGAGGCTTGTGGCTGAGACTGGCCACCACCTGTGGTCTGACCCAGGACACCTACATAATTTCAAGTGGTCTATGTTTTAATGATGAAAACCATCCAAACCCTGGAGTGCAAGTGTGCATGTATACACACACACACACACACACACACATGCTGTGTGAGGCTTAGTCAAGGATACAGAAACTTAGCAGAAGCGATATGACAACACACAGCAAAAGCAGCTGCAGAATATCTTCCTGCCGCTTCACCTGGGCCCCAGAGTCTGTAATGGGTGAGGTGGGGGCATGTAGCTGCTGGTAACATTATCCATGTAAGGTAAGGTCTTGCAGGATCCAAGAAGCTTAAGTTTGTGCTGGGTCAGAGTCACTTTATATTGTGCCTTTGCTCACCATTCATAACGAATCTACACACTCAATAAAATCTCTGTACTTAATTCTTCAAGGAGATATTTGCAAACTTTAGGCTCTGCTGGTTGTTGAGCCAAACTCAGGTCAGAGCATTCCATCCTCACCTGGGGGAAATGGCAATCAGTGTGTAGGCATTTCTGAGCACTGTTTCTCTGCCCTCAGCTCTCCAGCATCCTGGAAAGCCCATTCATTCACAGCACTGTAGAACACACTATTGCTCTTTAATAGTGGCTTCACCTGGCTATGGAGAGATTTGCTCTATGCAGTGTAGCTTAGTGGTAGACCTGGCTTTGCCAGACAGCACAGAATTTAAAGCTATTGTCTTGTATTTTCCCTGCCTCTCATCCCTTAACACAAGGGCCTAAGAACATAAAAATTCTGATTAAAGTTCTTCCATAGGAGTGGAGAACTGGGAAGATCACCTTTGTCTGTGAAAGAAGAGTAGACCCACCATCCAATTTGGAAAAAATAATGGCTCATGAGAGACTGAGCAAGCAAAGGGGCAAAGGCCAGACCATGTGTGACAAGTGACTCAGGAACTGCACAGCCACCAACCCGGGGCACCACACCACAACTTCTGTAGCATCAGCCCATTATTATCAGGACTTGGTTAGTGACCCTCTGCTCCCCTAATTTTTGCCAGTTACCACTCAGGATCAAGCAGAGAAAGTCCAATATGCTTCGCAAGCCAATCACTTAAGATGTCTGGTCCTGGTTAGCCCATCTAGCTTCCCCATGCCAGCAGCCTCCAATCAAAGCATACCTGAAGCCTTCCCTTTTTTCATTATAAAGTTTTCTCATTCCCTGCCTGACCTTGACTCTGGCAAATGCAAGTGACAGTGGCTGACTCCTTGTTACATCAAGTTCTAATTAAACAGCTTTTGTTCTCATTTTGGGGGTATCTTTATTGAGACGCCCCATCATTTAATTTTCACAACAACCCTGTGAATAAAATATGAGGGTTATCTCCATTGTTGAGGTGAAGCAGAGAAGGGATATGCTATCTGCACAAGGTCACACCACTGCTAGGTGATGGGTTAGAATTTGAATCTAGGTTTGTTGGCCTCCTAAGCCCCTGTCTTTAAACCGGGACTGTATCACTGTGAGGACTTAGGAGCCAGGCATTGATAATCTCCTGGAGGATTGGTAAGAGTTGAGATTGGTAGATCATGTGTGTGTGTGTGTTTTTAAAAAATATGTCTACATTAGGTCCTCAGAACAGAGATGGCTAGCTGATCACCGGCAACGTGGCATTCCCTTTCCAGGAGGTTGAATGCCATTTTGCCGGGTTTACATTTCCCAAGGCTCTTGAATCTAGGTGAGGCCTTTGGCTATTTCTGGCTTATTTAATGTGAACCTAAATTATTATGTGTTACTTTGGAAGAGGTGGTTAAATTTTTGGTAGGCCATGCCTACACTCATATTATTGCATGAAAATAGTGGTATGTTATGTTGCAGTTGCAAACAGTAAAAGTTGGAAGGAACCTGGATCCCCTAGTTTGTGTTTAGGAGAACAGCCAGACCAGGAATATCCACATTACATTTGGCATAGATGAGAAATAATTGTTGATTATATTAAGTCATTGAGGTTTTGGGGTTCTTTCCTCACTTAGCCTACCCTGATTAATATACTTCTCTCTAAGGACACTTCTACAGGGAAGAATAGGCCCCCCAGATCGTTTTCTAGTAGCAATTATATTTCACCTGGATAACTAATATGTAGATGTTGATATTTTCTTGAAAGTGTTCATAGAATTTTTAGTGTGTACAGCTAGAAATGCAGGCACAGTAGACTGTGGTACTAGGAGTTGACATGGAATGCAATTGATTGTAGCCACACCGGGAACAGGACAGACAAGGTAAATAAATTATGAATTCCAGGGGAAAGGAGTTTGCAATAGCTGCTATTTCATTTCCCTCTTAACCCCCTGTGACTGTAAACACGCTTATAGATATATTTTATTAATCATTGTTTTGATGTATCTGGAGTTTGCAAGTGGCTATTGTAGCTAGGGGATTTCTGGACACCCCTCTAGCTGATCAGATGAGGGACACAAATGCTGCAGTGACAAGCTAGTCTGTGTATGAAAAGAGAAATGGAAAAGCTCTCCCTCACCAGCACTTGTAACTAGCTATTTGTTTAAAATAACAGCTTTAGGCCTCTTTCCAACTGTGCTGTCCTCACTTCTGTCTACAGATGATGGACTTTAGACTGAAAATTACATGAGAGATACTTAACAAGTGGATATCTTTCAAGGGACATCATCAGAATAAAACACTTCAAAATTCACTTTATGCTGCTTGAAGAAAGATAGCATTGATATGATATTTTGAAAGAGCGATAACTACCAGAACTTAAAAAGACCTGTTCATTTTATAAAGGAGGCAAAGAAGTGTGTCATTAATGGTACAGTACGCTAAATCTTGAGAGGAGAGGATAGGCTTTGCATAACTCCAGACTTATCCACAATAAACTGTGTGTGTACTGGTGGTTTATTTCTATCTACACTTCATTGGGTGGTGGTAACTACTAGTCTCAAACCTTGATTCTTTCCCAGGACAGCTCACAGTGAGGTCTGACCCAATCTAGCATCACCCTAGGTCTCAGAAAACCTGGTGAGATCTCTTCTCATTCTGAAGTCCGTCTTGGTAATCTTGCCATATTACCTTTTACTATAGAAATATAATTTTAATTTTTGTCTGATTGTTCCTCTGCCTTGTTTACCACTCATCTGTTTTGTTCACTGCTGCATCTCCAGTGCCCAGCACACTTCCTGGCACATAGAGTACATTAATTCACTGTGGAATATACACAGTTGTAAGCAAGGTGACTAGAGATGGCAGGAATTGGAGAAGTCTTAACATCTAAATATAAGATGGGGCTTGGGACAAAATGTGAAGGTTAGATAAGTTTGAATATGCAGAGATAAAAGTGTTCCACATGGAGAATGGAACACTAAGGAGCTAAATCTAGGAGTCAGGAATGGGTTCAGTATGTTTAAGGGACAGCAAGTAGACAGCTGGGGAGACTGTGGAGGAACGGAAAGTGTGTTTCATGGCTTTAGAATGTCAAGCATTAATAGAAGTATGCAAAATTCTTCATTGAAAATTATAGGATAGCCTTGCGTTAACTCAAAAATTGTAAAATACCCTGTATGGAATAACTTTACAAGTTAAAACCACACACTTCAACTTCTGTTATCCTGTGAGGTTCATCTGCATGAAGCTCTCTTTAATACTCTACATGTAAAACCAGAATATAAGAGCATTTTTGGTTTCATGGCTTGCTGTGGACTGAATGTTTGTACCTTTCAAAATTAGTATGTTGAAGCCTAAGTTCTCAATGTGTTCAGCGGTGTGGCCTTTGGGAGGTAATTAGGCCATGAGGTCAGAGGCCTCATGAATGGGATTAATACCTTTACAAAAAGATAAAGAGGCCAGAGCTCATGTACTTTCTGTCTCTCTCTCTCTCTCTCTCTCTCTCTCTCTCTCTGTCTCGGTGTGTGTGTGTGTGTGTGTGTGTATGTGTGTCTGTGTCTGTGTATCTCCACACCTACGTCATGTGAGAGTACAGCAATAAAGAGGGGCCATCTTTAAACCAGGAAAACAACCCTCACCAAGAACCTCATACCCTGATCTAGGACTTCCAGACTCCAGAATTATAAATGCATGTTATAGCAGCCAAACTAAGACGTGGCCGCAAACCAAAAGAGAAATTCATCACTTAGCCATTGCATTTTCCCTTCCTGGCCACCAAGATAGAGGACTTTTATGGGTCATGAAATATTTCCTGGAGCAGATGTGGTTATAACAGACATAATGTTAGTGTCTCTTTGTGGACCAGAGTTCATTTGGTTGGCTTTGTGCACCCAGTCCTGGAGAGATCTGGAGGAGCAGGGCTAGATCTAAGATGTCATTCTGATGAGCTGGATATAAAGCCAGCTGCAGTAGCCCCAATGTGTTTAGGGGCTCATATTTTTAATGGTCTCATCTGCCTGCTTCGCTCCAACTCCTGATAGTTAGAGAATAACACATTTATCACTGGTCACTACCCCATAAAACTCTTACATATGAAGCAGGAGTCTTATTTCTCTGATTCATTTCCTTCTTAGACAAAAGCAGAAGAGCAGGTAGTCTTAACAACCTTCAGCTCAGTAATCTTAGCTCACTTAGGAAGGCCAATAAATCAGAAAGAATATTCTTCCACCTCAAACCTGTTTTCCAGCAACAGTAATGACCATTACTAACATGTATTTCATCATTGCATTAGGGTTCTCTAGAGAAACACAGTAGGCTCTGTCTGTCTGTCTGCCTGCCTATCCATCTATCTGTCTATGAGGAAATTGATTATAGGAATTGGCTCACACAATTCTGGAGGCTGAAAAGTCCTACAGTTTGCCATTGGCAGGCTAGAGGACAAGGGAAGCCAGTAGTGTGATTCAGTCTGAGTCCAAAGGCCCCAGAACCAGGAATGCCAGTATGCAAGGGCAGAAGATTGATGTCACAAGCCAACTAAAGATAGCAAATTCATCCTTCCTCTGCTTTTTTGTTCTACTTGGGCCCTCAAAGGATTGGAAGATGCACACCCACATTGGTGAGAGTGATCTTACTCAGTCTGCCCATTCAAATGCTAATACCTCCCAAAAACACCCTCACAGACACACCCCAAAATAATGTTTTACCAGCTATCCGGACATCCCTTAGCCCAGTCAAGTAGACACCTAAAATTAACCATCATACCTATGTTATTTATTTTCAAGAACCAAATATTTTTATGGCCCCCATTATGCATATCAGGAAACTGTGCACTGAGAGTTTAAGGAACTTCCCTAGAGAAATATAGTCGGTGAGTGACAGCCTTATTTGTAGATTCATGATATGTTTTTATCTAACATATAGTCACTGTATAATGCTATCCTTTGTCTCCATTTTAAAAGGGAATGATTTTAACATTTCACCTAACATCTTCACGCTTTTCCTTGGGATCTTTAAGTTTAGACAGCCACAAATATCACTTTAAGAGAGATCCTTTACAGTGATTATTCAGGTAGAACTAAGAACACTACAAGAATGCAGTGAATTTAATACCCACTTATTGGATGGCCTGGGCTCGAATCCCAGTGTTCCATTTACTAGCTGTGTAACTTAAGCCTGTTTTCTCATCTGTAAAAATTGAGATAATACTTCTCAAGGGATTTGAGGCTTAATTAAGATACTATATGTAAACCACTTAGCACTGTACCTGGCACGTGAAGACCTCTGTAATTGCTGTTAGTATTGTCTTCTAAAATATACAAAGTTGAATTAATAATGGTAGAGATATTTTCCTAGTTCAGTAATGTGCACTGCCTTACCTTTTCTTTCTTTTTTTTTTTTTCTTGTAGAGAGCATATGTTGGAGAACCTGGCGTTCTATGTCATGAGAGAATGAACCAGAATGGGGCATATGCTTCTAACCTGAAGACAAGACTGCAGAATTGACTATATACACAGTCCTGTGTCACTTAAAGACAGGGATACATTCTGAGAAATGCATCATGAGGCAGTTTCATCATTGTGCGAATATCATGGAGTGTCCTTACACAAAGCTAGACGGTATACACCTACTACATACCTAGCCTCTATGGTATAGCCTGTTGATCCTAGGTTACAAACCTGTACAGCATGTTACTGTATTCAATACTGTAAGCATTTATGACACAATGGTAAGTATTTGTGTATCTAAAGATATCTCAAGATAGAAAAGGCACAGTAAAAATACGGTATTATAATCTTATGGGACCACCATTTTACATTCAGTCCATTATTGACCAAAGCATCATTATGCAGTACATGACTGTATTTGTGTAAGGAAATTTAAAAATAAAAAGGTATGTTTGGAAACAGATTAAAAGAGGGATCATAAAGTGCTGAAAGGACTCCTGTTTGAACCCTGAAATTTCTCTAGCACTGTTCCTAAACTTTTGGGGTCACTGGCCAGTTAATAACTGTAGAAAAACCAGAGAGCATGTACCTTCTAAATGTACCTACACATGAAATTATGCATACAATTTTGGGGATTCACAGAAAAGTCCTTAAAGGTCTATCCATGTGATTGCTCTCAATATGTATGAGAACACCTGGCCTGAGTGAAAATTCTCCATCAGGAGGCTTCTCCCCATGGCGAACATGGAGTTAGAGGTTGAAGGCTGAGGAGGAGTTTTGTAGGTAGAAAAGAGAGAAAGAGGCCAGGCGCAGTGGCTCATGCCTGTAATCCCAGTACTTTGGGAGGCCAAAGTGGGCAGATCACTTAAGGTCAGGAGTTCGAGACCAGCCCAGCCAATATGGTGAAACCCCGTCTCTACTAAAAATACAAAAATTATCTGGGCATGGTGGCACATGCCTGTAGTCCCAGCTATTCAGGAGGATGAGGCACAAAAATTGCTTGAACCCGGGAGGCGGAGGTTGCAGTGAGCCGAGATTGCACCACTGCACTCCAGCCTGAGTGACAAGAGTGAGACTTGGTCTCAAAAAAAAAAAAAAAAAGAAAAGAAAGAAAAAGGAAAGAGAGAAAGACATTGCAGTAGAGGGGATTTCATGTATGAAGTTACAGAAGGGTGAAAGGGAATAGTGGAGTGGTCTCTGGGGAAGAGCGAAGGGGCGGGGACTAGATGAAGAACAGTTTTTTATGCCATGCTAAGGAGTTTCACTTTGTCTTTAGACAGATAGTATCAAAGTGCTCAGATATTTACAGCGGAATGAGGCTAATGGAGGTCTTGAAGCACCTACTAGAGTTATAATGACAGCAGCTACATTTTATGATGTATATATAAGATTTGGTTTGAATTATATAGCTCTAAAATGTTGGGAAAATGTTATAAGCAATAGACACCAGAGAAGAATTTTAAACAGGAGATTGACTTGAGCCCATTTGTATCTGAAAAGATGCCTAAAGCACAAGAACGCCAGTGAGTAAGTCCATATGAGTCACATCTCTAGCTCAGCACTGTCCATACTTTGCGCAGTGATGGGAGTGTTTTGCATCTGTGCTGTCCCATGCAGAAGCCACTGGCCACACGTGGCGACCGAGCTCGAAATGTGGCCAGAGTGATGGAAGAGCTGAAGTTGTAATATTATTCAATTGTAATTAGTTGAAATCGCTATGTATGGCTACAGCTACTATTTTAGGCAGTGCAACTCAGTGGTCTCCTGTCTCCACAAAGGAACGTAGCCCTACTCATACCTTGATCGTAGCACACGGAGACCTGTGTTAGGCTTCAGACCTGTGGAACTGTAAGATGATGCGTTTGTATCATTTTAAGCCACTGTGTTTGTGGTAAGTAGTTACGGCAGCAGTAGAAAAGTGATGCAGTTATGAATCTAGAGTGGCATCATTAAAGGGGCTTTTGGCAAACATTATTTCAGGTTAAAAGTTACCAACTGAGCTAATTTTTTGAAAAAGTTTATTTTTTTTATTATCTGAGTAGTATATGGGCGTTAGACAAAATTTGGAGAAAGCACAGGACACTATAAAGAGGAAGAAAGCCCTTTTCAGAGGTAGATAATAATGTTTGGATATATTCTCCCTAGTTTTTTAATTGTATTTTTGTAGTGGAGATGATAAAGAGCTAACAGTTATTGAGTGATTATTATGTGTTAGTCCCTGTTCTAAATACTTCACCGATATTAACTCATTTCATCCTCATTACAATCTATGATGTAGGCACGGTCTTCCCATTTCCCAGATGAAGAAACTGAAGCAAAAAGATACATCACTGGCTTATCTGATTAGACACAGCAGAGTAAGGCATCTGCCCCAGGCAGTAAGTTTCGGAGCAAGGATGAATTCTATGGTATACTGCCCGTATTCTGAATATATGACTTTTAATCTTGATTCCTTTCACTTAACCCTTTAAATTCAAAAATTTCTCATGTTATTAACAACTCTTAACTGTGGTTTGCAGATCATGTAGGTGGTACAAGTGTCACCATTTTCTTTTTGCCACATTTATGCCAAAAATTATAATGACCTCTTTATCATTGAGAAGAGGTATGTTAGAAATAGAAACTCTTTAGCTTAAAAATGAAGTTAGCATAAGGCTAGTTTATTAATAGAGATGGAGGGTGTGGGAGCAAGTGTCAGATACATTTGTAAAGTTATTTACTTGGAACTTGAAGCTAATTTTTCTGGAAAGTAATATGATACATAACTGGACCTTCAGTAGCCCCCATCTTCCCACATACCTATTTTCCCTGCAAAGTAATGGAAATAGTAAATGCTGTTAGTATGTTGAGGTTCAACCCAAGAGCTTATGTGTAAGGGAAAAAAAATACCCCCTAGGGAGTGCAACTATAAAATTAGTATAAAATTGATCAGAACAGAGATATGCAAAGTTACCTTTAAGAAGCAAAATAGCTTTGGGGCCTATAAGAATGTTACTCAAAGAAGGGAAACTCAGTTCTTAGCCCTGGAAGAACTGAGAAATTAGCCCCTTGAACAACCACTGGCAGCATCCCCAGGTGGTACTACATATTGTAGAGGGAGCTTTAGCCAATGACTGCTGAAAGATCTGTCTCTCTGGAAAATAGATGCATCAGCCTGTTTTAGGGAGTATAGCTAAAATCAGCTAACTCTCTTGTTTTATTTGCATACTCGCCTAATAACTTCTGGTTAAAATTGGGCTTCTTATATAGATCTACAGGGAGACATTTCTCTGGTTTTGTTGCCACAAGTATTACAGCTCTGTCATAATTATGTTTATTATTGTAAATTAAAAGATAGGTGTTGCAGTTCTATAAATGTTTCCTGAGTTTGATTAATTCAAATGTACCCCTTGAGAGATGGGTCCATTCTTAGCAAGCTGACAAAATCAGACCTCGAGCAGAGCCTGTGATCTGAACGTCAGGCCCTGAACTGGGTACCCACCAGGTAGCCTGGGTCTTCCCCTGGCTTCACCTCCTCTAACATTATCATTGGCCAAAGCTAGGCTCCTATGATTATTTAAGTAATTTTAGTGTGTGTTTGTAATAAAAGAATAGGAAAAATATAGTTGCAGTCAGTAATTACTACAAAAGGAGGGTAAGAGCAAAAAAATAACAGTTTAATTGGAGAAAGATGTAGCTGCTGTTGCTGCTGATAATGATGAGTAACATTAATTGTGGACTTAAAAATTTGTGAGGCATTGTGTTATACACTTTAAATAAGTTATTTCATTTAATCCTGTGCACAATTTACCAATGAGGAAATTGAGGGATTTAAAGGTCAAGTAATTCACCCATGGTCAGATATCCAGAAAGTGCACAGCCAAGATTACGGTCCAGGCAGCACAAGCCTTTGCCCAAACTCTTGACTGCAAAGCTCGATTAAGAAGCTGGGAAGGAGGCTTGAGGGGAGAAACTATGGGAGCCTTTTATTTCAGTTTCAGGAGTTGATTTATCTGGTTTATGGTTAAACTTTCTTCTTTTTGACCAGGTATATCATTGACTTCTCATACTGACTAGTCCGGATATGATTCCAGTCTTGGCTCACTACTCAATCAAATGGTGGGGTGGGGGTGGAGAGCTAAGAAAAGTGGATAAGACTTGGAAGAGGCTGAGGCAGAGTGAGATGGAAGAGGTCAAAGATGATATATGTGTATGGAAAAGGTAGCCAGATAAAAAAAATTAAGCAGTGCACATCAACAGAAGGAAAGAGGGACAGCAGCTTTGATGCCCAATCATAATCCCTTTGAGGGAGAAAACGAGTAGATCAGACACCAGTAACTAGAGAATCTTTGTTTCTGACTGGAGAGGCAGTGCGGGGGGTAATGGAAGCACGCTCAGTTGGATATCAGTCTGCATGTTCCCTGATTTGTAACTGGAAGTCCTTACTATTGCCTTTGAGCTCTGGAACTGTTTTATTGCTTTTATAAACTACTAGTTATCTTCTTTTAGGGGGACATAACAGATGGTCATGCTGGAACTGAGCTTTTTATCTGAATCTTCAAAACCTTTTTGTGCACAATTTATGAGGTTCACTTCTTTGCAAATTCAGTGCTTTCTTGTAGCTTTTCCTTTTGAGATGAGCCACAAGAGCCTCATTTTTGTTGGGCATTGCCTATTAGTGGCAAAATTCCTTTCTTATTTAATCAGCTTCTCCAAAGGAATAAGGCTGAATCCAGATAGGTTCTGTTTATGAAGACAAAAAGGTTTTGGTGGTCTAACTAAAAATAACACAGGGAATCTGCCACCTGGGTCTCCCTTTGATATTCATCTTATATTTTTATGCATTTTGCTCATGAAGTTCCTGCTCGTAAGTCAGCCCCTTTGATCATGGAAGAAATTTGACTGGGTTAAGTGTTTGTGGCTATAGAAAGGACAACCCCAACCGGTCATGTGGTTGGAAGGCAAGGCTGACATAACCCAAGATCCTTGCCTTGTTGGGTTCAGAATATACAGAGGATCGTTGCATACACTCTCAGTTGAATGAAAAAAAAATGAGTAAAACAGTATTATCTACGGAAAAAAAAACTCGGAAAATGGTATGTTTTTCATAATTACCAGAAACCTGCAAGATAGGTGGATACACACGGGGCTCAGAAAACAACCAAACCAAAATCGACTTTGCAAACTTCAGCATCTTCATAGTTCATTTTGTTCTATAGGCTTGTTTCCCAAATCATTTGGAATTAATACTGTTCTGGTTTATTATTCAAATTCGTGAATCCACCAGAGGTACTTTCGCCAGCTTTTGTGCAGTCTCTGAATATTACCTAGACTCCAGAGTGGCAGTATAGTGTCTAAGAAAACACAAACTTTGGAGTCAAAGCCTTTGGGTCTGCTACATATAAACTGCATAACTTCAGGCTAATTGTTAGAGTCTTTAAATCCTTCAGTTTTTCTCAACTGCAAAATGGAAATAATAACAAGTATCTTCCAGGGTTATTATAAAGATGAAATCACACGTACACACACGTATACATATATATGTGTATATATATATATATGTGTGTGTGTGTGTATGTGTGTATATATATATATATACACACACACACACATATATTGCATAGTTTGTACTTTGCATGTATATATGTATGTGTAAAGTGCTGGCCTGTAATACACACAATAAACAATAGTTGCATTATTGTTGTTTGGTTGCACTTTGCTTCTCTGTTGTCCTTGTGAAGGAAGAAATGCTTCTCTCAGTGGTGGGTATTGTTTGCTTACGAAGTCTCTGAAAAGTTCTTCAATAAAGAAGCCGGTTAAAATTCTTATATGCTGAATGTTCTCAAGCTTATTTGATCACCAAACCAGTTTTTCCAGTAATACTTATTAATATCCTGTGGATTCACTGCTCTGCAAACACAGCAAACATACTTCAGGAAATGCTGATCAGGTAGATATAGCCATGATCTTTAATATAGAAATGTGTATTTTGAAGCCTTGTTGTACACTTCCTGGGCTCTGTGACTCTGACAAGGCACTGAATTTAGCTGCTACTATCAGTTAAGGCTCAGCTCATATGTAATCAGTTCCAGGACCACCGGTCCCCAGGAAGAGGGTAAGAAACCTTTCCTGTATGTACTTATAATCAGTGCCATGCAGAGCCATACTAGAACCTGAGGCACAAGACAAAAATCAGCCATCCTGGTGTTGTCTGCTTTTAAAATGAAGTTGTTTGCTTGCCTTGTCCTAGTCCTGGCCCTGCTCATAATGCCCTGAACGTGTATGGATCATACTATAATAATGTATTTATATATGTCTTCACAAATAGACCAAAAGCTCCTGGTAGGTCAAGACCGTGCCTCATTAATCATTATATCTACGGTACCAAGCTCAGTACTGGCACGAAGTCGGTTTTGATAAATGTGTCTCTGGTGAGAGTGCTCTTTTCCCATATATCTACTCCTTCACTTCATGTTTCTGCTTAACTGTCATCATCAGAGAGGCTTTCCATGTAAAAGGGCTTCCCTGTCACCACCACCTCAATATTTATCCCTTGTGTTGTTTAGTTTTTCTTCATGGCACTTACCATGTCCTGACATCTTTTTGAATTGCACGTGTGTGTGTGTTTCCCTTGAATTAAACCTTGGTCGAGCAGGGTCTGTTTTTTCATTCCTGCATCCCCAGTACCTAGAATGGTGCCTGGTATGTAGTAGATATTCAAATATTGGTTGAATAAATTAATAATTAAATGGATTCATGACTATCTTCTTTTTCTTACATTGCCTCATCTAGCAAGTGGAAATAATGCAATCTCCCTTATCTGCTATTAGGGTTACATCAAAATATGTATGTGGAGGCACTTAGTATAGTGCTTTGCCCATTGTTAGTAGTCAATAATGTATGTTAAAGAAATCTGTATCTGGCTGAATGTGAATAGAAGATGGTAACTCCTATGGATTTTTTTTTAAATATTGATAACTTCTGTGCCAGAGTTTTCTAATACTGTGGAGAGAATGTGAAACACCATGGTGTCATTTGTTGAGTGTATTTTTATAAGCAGAATACGAATGAAGCAACAAACTACTTTTGTATAGTATTCAATCAGAGACTGAGATAATGGCTTTTCATCTTATGGTCTTACATATTATCACACAGCATCAAGGGTATTAGAGGCAAGTGTCTGGGCTTGAATTCTGTCTCTGCCCTTTACTAATTGTGAGTGATTGCAGATAAGTCACTCTCCTTTTGAGGTTTAGCTTCTTCCTTTGTAGAAGAACATTGTAAATAGCTATATCTCAGATTTGATATAAGAGTTTTATGTGCTCATTTTATAAGACATAATTAATGTTAGTTGCTACTGTTCTTTTTACAACTATTACTACTACTGGCACTACCACTGCTGCTGCCAATACTACCACTACTACCAATTGACATCTGGGAGTTTAGAAGACGAAATATAAAGAAAAACAAATGCTACCCACTTTTTTTTTCTCTCATAAACTTTTAGCAGATCTCAAAGTCCAAAGGGAAGCTGAAGCCAGGACAAATTGAATTAACAGATTATACCCACTGACAGAATCCAGAAGCTGCTACTGCCACCAGTGGGCTGTCTTTTGGGTCCTGTAACTCCAATCTCCACATCCCCTTAGGGTTCACCTGCTATCTCAGGGAGGTTCCAACACAATCTGACAAATCTTTAGGACAGCATCCCTTCACTAACAAGCAGGTTGTTGTCTTGAACATGAAGAATTGCAGATGACCCACGTTGCTAGTCTGTTGATGCATGATTTCTCTATTTCCTGTCTATGTGTTTTTCACAAGGTAATTAAGCAGTTTTGCATAAATTAATCATTCCTATAAAGTGCAGAGTATTTCCAGAAAAAGTCTAGAGGTATGACCTCAGTATCCTTGGAAGGGTGACGTCAGCAAGGCCATGGGAACTTTGAAGGAAGTTCAAGGAGCTGTTCTTAAAAGTGAATCATGACTCTTATAAGGTTATTTAAAGATTACACTGCTAAAAAGGTATATTTGTTTATGCTGTTTTCCTGAGGACTTGAAAAGAGCTAGCAGCTTCCCTTGGGTGCTTTTTCTTGCCTAACTCCACTCACTTTCTTTTACTACTTCTTAATTTATTTTTGGAGAGATCACAGCAAACTGTGTGTGTGTGTGCATGTGTGTGTGTGTGTTCTCGGTAAGCATTAGAAAGAAAAGATAGCCCCCTTAAAATAGAATTACTGAGAACATATCTCCTTAAAAGAAGCTGAGATAACAGATTTCATTAAAACTGTGCTTTAATGGAATTGAAGGAAACTCTATCATTAAGATGTGTTTGCAGAAGGTAAGTAGAAAGTGATTTTAATTATTGAGTGTTTCTAAATATATCCACCCACTCCTCCCCAACCAAGTAATGCAGATCTGTAGTTCCAGGAAAAACCATGTAATACCACTGAAGGATGATAAGAGGTATCCAACTGACCGTCATTTGGCAAGGTCACTTTTTAATTAACCCAAAGCAGAAATAAACCTAGAATTTTCTACTCATATAATGGAACCATGTTTTGAAATACTACAACTATGCTTCTTTCCCCCATATTTTCTGCTAAATTTACCATGTTCCCCTTTCAGGCAGTAGTAAAGTTTTCATTTTTTTCTCTCCTACGGTTTGCTATAGCCTATCTGTAGAAAGATAGAATAGGCAATGCTCAGATTTTGGGTTTCAGAATTAACTTTTCAAACTTGAAGCACAGATAAACCTCAAAACAGCTGTGGGAATTCTGCTTTCCAAGTATCCTCCTTTCCAGAAAGTCAGGCCGGGAAGGTACAGAGTCATAGAGAAGCAACTGTGGCCAGCATGGTTTAGGCTGGTAGGTGAGAATGGCTACAAGAGGTGCCCCGGCAGGGGCGGGCAGCTTCAGAGGGTCCCCATCCCTTCATGGTATGGAGTGTGGAGTGGCAGAATGTTTGCCCATGTGGCTTGCAGTAGGGCAAATGTGGCCCAAGAAGTTAGAGCTGGAGAATCTTTATAGTTGCAAGAAGAAGATTATGGCAGGCACCAGATAGGAACATGCATGTCTTATCAGATGGATAGCAAAGTCATAACCTTGGTTTAAACCTTCCCTTACAAAGGATATTCTTGTCACATGAATTTGTGACAATTGTAAGCATACTTGGGAAATAATGGAAGTTCGATTAGTTAAGTTAATATGGTAGCACTTTCCATGCTTGGCATTAATTCTTGATTTGGTGTGTTTGGCAACTAAGAGTAATTGTATTAAATAGTTTCCCTGGAAGGAGAGTGACAAGGCAAAACATGCTTTAATTGGAAGAATGCAAAGGATATTAGAAGGAACAAAGACATTTAGATTTTAAGAATAAGGACTGGGTTTTATTCATCTTTACGCCTCTAGTGGCTACTAGCACAAAGTCTGGCACACAATGTATTGAATGCACATAAGTGCTTAATAAATGTCTGTTGAATGAGAAAAAGAGAACGTTTCTATCCTATTGAATCCTCACTAAAATCTAAAAGGATTTCAGCAATTTAGTGCAGATATGAAGAAGGTTTTCCTGGTGGGAAATTGTTACGCTGTGAAATAGAAACTGAGGGAAAATGTGCAACATCTTGGGAGGGCGCTAGGCTTTAGGCTTGTTCTAGCCTAAATGTCAGAGGTAATTTTGCTGACTTTTCAACACTAAGGTATCTATGACTTAGTCAACTCTTGTTATGCAGAGTTGTTAAAAAAAACTTTAATGAAATGACATAAACCTTAAATGAATATTCCTAAGTGAAAGAAGCCAGTCCGAAACGGCTACATACTGTATGATTTCAAACGTATGACACTCTGGAAAAGGCAAACTATAGAAATGGCCGAAGAGACTCAGGGGTTGAGGGGAGAAAGTGATAAATAGGTGGAGCACAGGGAAGTTTTAGGGCAGTAAAATTATTCTGTATGATACTGTAATAGTGGATACACGACAGTATGTATTTGTCAAAACCCATAGAACTGTACAATTCAGAGTGAACTCTAATGTAAATTATAGACTTTAGTTAGTAATGTGACTGTCAGTTCAACTGGAACAAATGTGCTACACTACTGCAATATGTTAACACAGGAAAACTATGGCAGGGAAGAGAAAGGGAATATATGGAATGTACATTAACTCTATACTTAGTCTGCTCAATTTTTCCATAAATCTAAAACTGCTCTAAAAATTGTATATTAGTTAAAAAAAAAACTCTGGAAATCATCAAGACGTTGAGAAATGGGGGTTCTCTTAATTTGGGGGACTACTTTTTCTAACATGTTAGTGAGAAATGGTACACCAGCCTTTCTCTACTAGTTAGGAAGGATTAAGAGACATTGAGAAAAGAAGCATCATTATTCTCTGTCAGACAAAGAAAGTGAATTGTAGCAGTCAGTTCCTTTATGCCTACTCTAACTGAAAGACACAGGAGAAAAAAGGCTCTTCTTTGACTTTTCTCCCTGGCAATTGATGGCTTATGCTCTTGGCAGTTAAAGCAACTGACACGTGAGTAGGTATATGGAAATCAAAGTGCAGAATAGAGTAGAGTGCAGTCCTCATTCAACATTTTACAAAAGTAGGGTCCAGTATTCAAAAGGAAATAGCAAATCCCATTCCCACAGCCTAGATTATTCCCCCTTGCTCCAGCATTTCCTTGTGTTTTGTCTCAAGCTACTGTCATATTTTGGGGACATGTTGATTCCTTTGGTGCCACTCCAGCCTGCTATGTAATGCCAAATGGTATTTCCAGTTTGTATTTCCTTCTTATCCAACTATTAGAGTGGACTTAGCCTTCTGTTGATTTTTTTTTTAATTTTTATTGGAAATTGAGCAGACGGATTTGAATTCCTAATTTTCTTTAAAAATGTGACAAGTATTTGTTCCTTTGTTCCTTATTTTCCTCTTGACCAATTCCTTGTGTCTTTGCATCTTTTTCTTTAAAGGCATCTCACTGATTAGTCTCATCTCTCTGTGTTCTAGGCATCTCTTTGGAAGCTAAGTTCTCTAGAATTGATTCTCTTTTTGTCTTGATACATTATTGTCCTAGTTTCACACTTGTAGTGTACGTAGGTATATGCACAAATAATATTAGTGAAATAATTGAAAATTAAAATACTAAAATACAATTCATACTTATGATGGCTTTAAAAAAAGAGATTGGAGAGACATATTTGTCTAGTCTTTTATTGAGTACTATAAACCAGCTACCTTGCAAAATGTTTAAGATAAATTATCTTATTTAACCTTACTGAATGCCCCCAAGAAGTAGACTAATAGTCCCATTTTACATAATAGAAGGATAGTGAGACTACCAGAAATTGGCTTGCCTGTGGTTAGATAGCTAGTAAATGGTAGAGCTAGGAGGCAAATTCAGATTTATCTTACTGTATAATCTACTTTGCTTTTAATTGAAAGAGCATTGGTTTTATCATCTGAAAGGTTTAGCTTTGAGTTCTTCCTTTGGTGGAGTGGGGACATGCAGAACTCTTAATTGACTTACTTAACCCTTCATTTGTCTTTAAAATGGGAATGATATTCATTTACTTTCAGTATTGATCTGAGAAGAGGTCATGAAGTAAGGTCTTTGCACAGAGCCTAGCATACAACAATATGAGAAGTGTCAGTTATATTTACATTAAAGCTATTGTTTTTTTGATGATATAATTCATCCTGGGACAGAAAAGTAAACTATACTAATTTCAGAGATAGAAATTATCACATGTCACTAGATCTGTGTTCCTTACTGTTCTAGTCCATTGTGTGATGCTATAACAAATACCTGAGACTGGAAACTTGATAAAGAACAAAAATTTATTTTTTCACAGTTCTGGAGACTGGGAAGTGCAAAATCAAGGTGCCACAGTTGTTTGGTGAGGGCGGCTCTCTGCTTCCAAGATGGCGCCTTGATGCAGCATCCTCTGGAGCAGGAAACACTGCGTCCTCACAGGTCAGAAGACAGAAGGGCAAAAAGAGACAAACTCCTGTCAAGCCCTTGTATAAGGGAACCTAATCCTGTTTACAAAGGAGGAGGTCTTGTGGCCTAATCATCTCTTAAAGGCCTTATCTCCTATTAGTATCAAATTGGCAATACCTGAATTTTGGAAGGGACACATTCACCTGGGATGTGTGACTGAAACCAAATCTTAAATTGTTGAGAATGTAGTCCCATATTGACATCTGCAATCTCATTTCCCAACCCTGTGGCCAAAAAAATATTAGGAGACCTGATGGTTTTGCTCTTTTCTTAGAAGCTGTGTTTTTCTGGTCAGCAGATACCTATACAATTTAATGCCAGACTTTCTTCTTCTGTCAGCACATCTGTCTCAAACCTTCCTACTAGACTGAAATGATCTATTTTCAATCCTTAGTGAGACTCTTGTTGGATTAAAGGTCAGACATCCACATCTGCAGATCTTGCCTTGCTTCTGCAGCTGCCTGTGCAAACAGCAGTGTTACATTGACTTGTTTTGCTGTCTTCCTCCTGCGTCTCTTTCTACCAGTCAGATATTAAAGCCTTACCTTGGCTAGGTGCTTACTTGCTTTTGCCACTGGTTTTAGGATTTGAAATGCAGGATCTCCAGAATCAAAATTATTAAAAATAAAACCAAGCAAAATAATAAAACATAAGCAACCGGTGACCTTTCAGACTATAGCAAATGGCATACTGGATGTTTTAAATTAAACACATTTTGAAATTCCTCTTTCATGCTGTAATGTAGACTTGTTTTTCATTCTATTTTCTTTAAAACATGCTTTTTCAACCTTAGGAAAGTCTGCCTTATTTTCAAGAAGAAATTGGATCCAAAATCCAAGTCAGTCTGTAATAACTTTATGGCATGGTGGCAGGCAGGGGTAGGGGGACACATTGGTAGTTTTCTATATCTTAGTACTCTATTTTTGTCAAGTTAACCTACATGGAACAAATATCTGAATGGCTGTGGTGTGTCAAATAAAACTTGCGTGGCACAGGGTATGAAATAGCCAAACAGAAAAGGTCTAGGAAGCTACAGGTGGGAGGGTAGTTTAGAAAATTAAAAAGGAAACATAAGGATGCTAGATTTCAGCCCAACAGGAGGCCAGTTTCTAGTTATGATACAACCAGGAAGCTCCACTTCCCACAAAAGAGCTTGCAAATGAAGACTTTTCAACAACCTCAGTGGCCTAAAGAGCACAAGGCAGCCGGGCAGAGAATGCCCAGAGATGGAAATGAGACAGAAAGGCTTTTTGCGAATGGTATTGATGGAAAGTAAAGTTTGCTTAGTGGTGTAATTGACTGTGTTGCTGACTTAAAACCTGAATTTTAAACACTTACAGATATAGACAGAGAAAAAGTTTTGCAATTGAAAATCTGAACTCTAATACAACAAAGCAACATGCTAGTGTGCCCTTTGGTGGAATAAGAACAGAGTTGGAATGGAAAAGATCATCTGGCATTTAAACATTACCAAGCAAATATCATTCTTAGGTACACTGGGCTAGGGTTTATCAATGTCTTACTAAGTAGGAGTTAGAAGTTGGTAACAGAATCTTACTTTATGGAAATTGAAATTTGCCATATATTAGCCATGCTTAAGCTAAACACAATGAACTGCAAATGAAAATTCCCACGTCAAAGGACTCCTCTGGATTTTGTGAAAAATGAATATTTGAACCAGGTGGTCCAACCTGACCACTGAAGTAACGGGCATACCAAAATTATTTTATTTATGTTTTGTTGTCAAAGTAATAGATATGCATGTTAAAAACAAAGCAAATATTAAAAGAACAGCCTATGTATTTTTTAAAGTGCCCTGACCCTGCCCCTCCCTGCTTCCACTCACTATCTAGACTCAACTACTTTTAACTACTTCTATTTTTAGATCTTCTGTTAGTTGTGATTCCAGCACTAAAATATATGTGTAAACTACTTTATTGGTAAACATGCATTATCTGTTGCCCCACATGACTTTAAGATTTAGCTCACCTCCTTCCTTATGCCTATCAAATTTTATAATTGTATAATTGTGTTTATTTCTTCTGATTATTTTTATAACTAATTACATCTGTATTTTTCCATTCCACCAACTTCTGAGGGAATCTTTTTTCTTTCAGCATTCTCTCCTTCAGGCTGTCTACAGTTCTTGCCCAACTCCATTATCAGAGCCTGAACTTCTACAATGTAAAAGGCAAATAAGTTTTACTTTCGGTTTCATAGGGAGGCTTAAGTCTCCCTTGCTTTGTATGCAGATTATTTAAATAGCAGTATAACATTCTTCACAAGGAAATGAAGCATGCATAGTCCAGGTTATTCTGCTAGTTACTTTATGAGATCTGAGAAATCAGTATAGGTGAAATAAATGGAAAATGATTCATGAGGCATTAGGACATGATCTGAGTCTTACACAATGCAGACTGTGTAAGCCTCAATGTGCAACTTCTAATGGGCAGAGAGGTTGAAGGTATAGAGTGGATGCGAAAACAGAATATTCAGAATGAGTCTGGTGTAGCCAGGTGATAGACACATGACAAGGCAATATGGAGAAAATTATTTCTTGGAGCAAAATGGTGGATAAAGTTGGAAAAGTAGTTTAGAACCAGATGGTTGGCTACGTGCCTCAGGCTGTCTGCTTCCCAAAAGTTGTAGCCTACACTTTCCCTGCCTCCACTTCCTGCTCTCTCTCTCTCTCTCTCTAACCTCTTTCAATCTGTTGAAAGCCCACATAGCTCTGTTAAAATTGCTCTCAAAGACCACCAGGACCTTCACTAATAGTCTAGTCCTAACCCATATCTTCCTTTGAATCTCTGAGATTTGATACTATTGGCCATAATCTACTTCTTAATGTTTCTCACTCCCTTTATCATGTGGCGTTGTAGTCATGTTCTTCTCCTGTCCATCTTAATATTACTCCTTTGTCTCTTTCAGTGTGCTTTCTTGAGGGTCTGTTGGGTTCCTGCACTTGACTCTCGTCTCTCTCCATTGGTCATTCTGTTCACTTCTGTCTTCCTTATGCTGTTGACTCCTGAGTCTCCACCTTTGACGTAATTCCTGTGTTTTAGATCTACTATACATTATCAAGAATTTGCTGAAAATCTCGTTCTGAATAATCAATCAAAACTTTTTTTACGCTCAGCATGTGCAAAATTCACCATATCCCCTTCCCTGCCAATTCCTCTTCCTGTCTCCTCTGTCTTGCTTAGTTCTGTCATTGTCCTTCAAATCAGCTAGGTTCAAACCCTAATTATAGCTCTTGATTTCAACCCCTGGCTAGCCTTCATATCCAGTCACTCACTGAGTTCTATCCATTTTCTACCTATGTCATTTCACCCCACCTTTACATTCCTAGTATTGGAACCCTGATAGGGCCCCCTTTTGGTCTCATGTGAATTGAGGCAAAGATATTCATATCTTCTAATGTCTCCCCATTTTAATCTGTACTTTACAATAGTACCAGAGTAGGATAGGTTGGATCATTCTGTCTCTTGCTCAGAACCTTTCAGGGTTCCAAATTATTGGCAGAATAAAGGCCTAATGCTTTACCTGGCCTGCCCATTCAGGATCATCCACATTGATTTTTTCCAGAGCTGTTTTTCACTGTTTCCTCTCATGGAACCTATAGTTGGGCAATACTAGGATTTCTCAGTTTTTCCTCCACTTGATTTCCTTCATTCCTTTGCCAGATTCCTGTCTTAAGTTCATGACATCTTATCTTTCACAGAAGACCCACATAAATTGATAAATTGCTGCCTGTGTCATAAAGTCTTTCCTGTGTAACACTACTTTTCTTCCACTTGAGTAAAATAATATGTCTGTTTCCTTTGTTATATATATATATATATATATATATATATATATATATATAACATTTTGCCTTATACCACTGAAATATTATTCAGGGATGTCTTAGTCCCTTTGTATTGCTATAACATAATACCAGAGACTGGGTAATCTATAAATAGAAATGTATTGCTCACAGTTCTGGAGACTGGGAAGTTCAAAATCAAAGTGCTGGCAGATTTGGTGTCTGGTGAGGGATGCTCTCTGCTTCAAAGATGGCACCTTGTTGCTGCATCCTACAAAAGAGACAAACACTGTGTTTCCTCAGGCAGAAGGGACAGAAGAGGTGAAGTTGCCCCCTCAATCCCTTTTATATTTTATATTTTATCCATTCATAAAGTCAGAGTCCTCATGGCCTAATCACCTTCTAAAGCCCCACCTCCTAATATTGTTGCTTTAGGGATTAAATTTCAACATGAATTTTGGAAGGGCCACAAACATTCAAACCATAGCAAGGAATAAGATAATGGCTTAATTTTATATCACTCCCCTTCTCTTACCCTGGGAACAATTTGTTATTTAACATGATTATAGAAAGGGTGTATTTAATGAGAAAGACATGCCTTTTGAGGTCAAATTGCTTAGTAAAAGCAAGGGTCCTGTTAACCATTTTATCTTAAGCAAGTCACTGAGCCACTTGAGCTTTTGTAAAATGGGAATGACGATACTTGTACCTCCAATTCTCTGAGAATCAATGAGTTTATATCTGTGCAAGAACTTCGCAGATTGCAGGGTTGTATATTTTTCTTCCTTTTCCAAGAGTTAAAGAGTTATAGTCTTCCAAAACACTGTCTACCAGGCTGTATCACTCTAAGATGGGTGTTACTCACTAATTCTGTTTTAGAGAGGAGGACTGTGAGAAAGGGAAGAATTGAAACTTACATTTATCTAAATAGATATCCTGTCTCTGGAAAGGATTCATAGCCCAAAGAAGGAGGTCTACTTTCCTTGAAACTTTTTGTTAAATACGCTGAAGTGCCTAGAACTTCTGAAGCAAACCCAGAAATCTCCAGCTGCTTCAGTATCCCTTTCATACCCAGGCAGGCTCCCGGCCAATTTAACTAGGAAGGTACTACAGGTCTCAGTGTCCTTGGGAAAAAGGTCTGGAGAAGGCATTCACTCAGTCTGGATATCCCCCTGCCCACCAGAGGGTGCTCCATGCAGAGGCAGTAAACCATGGTAATAGACTTAAAAGTAGCCTGTGGAGCCCTAAGTTCAACTCTTTAGTTACTCTTTTAATTTAGCCAAGTTGCCTGTCATTTTAGAATAGGAACAATGGGATAATACCTGCTTTGCCTAATTGTTAAGATTAAATGAGTTCATGTAAGTGAGAGCACCTAGCTCTAGTCCTGGCATGCTATTGGTACTCTGTGAATTCCCTCCTTCTTTTACTTCTTCCTATTCTCCCATTTCTTCTCCCTGTTGTAGAGTTTACTCCCTTGGCTTGGGTCACGAGAGGCTTCCTCAGAGCAGGATCACGTCACTTGACCTGTCTCAGGGTCCCTTAAATCTCTAGGGGTTGTCACTCTAAATATAGCTTTTGGATGAACAAGGAAATGCAACCAGTCAGCAGCTCCTAGTGGCTTCACAAAAGCAGTTACTGGCAGGGAGCCCGCAGTTAGAGAGTGTGGAGACAAGAATAGTACTCAAGGCTAGTTCAGGGTTCTTTCTGCCAGTTTCTGCTGCCACTGCACATGTGGGCACAATTGGGGATTAACTCTTCCCTTCTGTAGTATAGCCACAGCCACAACTTTTAAGTATGAGCTCAAATTCAGTTCCTTATAGAAAAATTATTTTCTCATGCTTAATAAAAGGGCACAGTAAGTCCACCTTATGACCAATACCTTTGTTTACCATCCCAAAATTATAGATTACAGGCCTTTCAGGTTGTTTACTAGGCTGCCTTGTCTATCCACTTAAGCGAGTTTTGGGGAGGCCCAAATGGAGACATGCACCTCTTGAAAAGGTACAGACCGTATTTTAGCAGACACTTACTTAGTTATTCCTCTAGTTACTTTAGGGATGATTACTGCTTTGCCATGCTTTCCCAGACCACTTAGCTTTATTGTAGCTGATTGCACAGAACTAAGATACCAGATCACATTTGGTCTGCTTCAGTGCCTAATTCATTGGTCTGCCCTTGACAGAAAAGGGGAAGTATCTGTTCTCTCACTCTGATGATTAGTGGCAGTTGATATAGGTCACTGGCTTTCTGTGTCTGTGTCTAGTCTGGTCTGGGCATCTCAGAGTAATTCTTGCTTTCTGGAAGCCAAAAGGAATAGAGCCAGAGTATTAGGAAAAAGAAATTACTCCTATGGAAAAATAAAAACCAGCACCACATACCCAGAAGATCATTGAGTGGTTTTTTGTTGTTGTTTGTTTGTTTTTTTCACTGAATAAAGTAGAAGTTTGGTTCCAGATATCAGCTGCTTTCTCTTAAACAAGCTTGAGGAACATAGTATACCACTGAGATTGAGAGAGCTTAAAGTGCAGGATGTTGAGCTGAATAGGAAATTGTCATGTCCCAGGAGGGAAGGCAAGAAGAGAGATTCACGAATGGCATTCATAATTTAAAACTTCAGCTATTTAATGAGCACTTTCTTTGTGCTAGACACTGTTGTAAATGCTTTATGTGCATTATTCTACACTGACCCTCAAAACAAACCTATGAGATAGGTGTTATTCTTATTTTACAGATGAGGAAATTGAAGTTTAGAGAGGCTAGGTCACCTGACCAAGGTGACTCCAGTAAATAAATTCAAAGTTCTATTAAAGTCATAGTATATATCATTATTTTTATCAGTTAAAAATATAAGAAAGAATATGGTTTACTCAATTGTCACTTCTTAGGAGTAGAAGCATTTGATCACATTGATTCAAGTACTCACTACCTAAAAAGGTGCCATCGTTCCTGACATGGCTGAAGTGTGGATTTACCACAAGAAAGGTAAATTTAGAAAGGTACAATTCAGGCTGGTCTGCTGGCTCTCCCTTCTACCCCTCCCGCCCATATGGCTGCACATCACCTTGCACTTCTTTAGCCCTCTTCACACTGCACTGTAATTGCCTAGTGGTCTGACAGCCCTTTAGACTGAGTGACCTAAGAGTGGGGTGGGAACCAGGTCCTTTTCTATCTCTCCAAACACTGGATACAAGGCCTATAATAAAGTAGTTCCTCAGTAAATGTTTGTTGGATGAAAATCAGTGTATTCAGTGAGCCAGTGAGCTAAGTCTTTTATAATGAATAAACTCCAGATTATTTAAGTATACATGGAGCCAACAGGGATTTAGCACAGAGTATTAGGAAACAGAAATCTCTCCTTTTATGGAACTACGTGGACCTACAGATGCTCGTTCAGAAAAAAATCATTGAAATTTTAAAATGGACTTATATGGAAATATGTAAACACAAAGTTTACATTGTGTCACTTTTTGGACACCTTCTCTAAGGGAGTATTGGAATATAGCACCCAGTCATCCAGTCAGTGAGAACTGTATACTGTGCCTGTGTGGGACATCAAGAAATACAGGGGATTGCTAATCCTCCTCAAGATGTGTGTCAGGATGTGCTTTTCAAAACACTGTCTCAAAATCACTGAAATCACTCCATCAGTCACAGACACCTGAACAAAAACATGTCCTTTTATGTCTTTATACAACTGTTCTGATATTGGGGTTTTAAATATCAACATAAACCTTGCCAAATTCTTGAGGCTTATGTGAAGGCTTCAGTTCAGCCATTTGTTGTTCGAGTATCTTCGTCCTGTCTGGCACCTTGGTTTTAGAAATAGACACGGCAGCCTCAGAAAATGGAATATCCATAAATCACTTATGATGATGGAGTGTGACTTTATTTTCGTGATCATTTTTGCCCAGGTGCCTGTTACTGTGTTACTAAAACAGAAGTAGACACTATTCCACTGTTTGGCATAGAATCTTGACAAAGAACTATTTGCAGAGGAACAGGCTTAGAATCTTAGTTTGTTTCATTATCACCAAGAGTTTCAAGGTTTGAAGTGTGCATCCTGGTAGGGTAAAGTGTTTGGGACCAAGATCAACTACCTTGCTGAGAGTCCAGAGGAGGAACTGCTTATTTCTCATAATGGTCTTGAAGTAGAGTCTACCATGGGCTGTCTGTTGACACGCAGCATGCACAATAAAGAACCTTCAGTTTTAATTCTTGGTGGCAAAGTCACGTCCTATTCTTTGGTTCTTTTCAAATCCAGATTGAGAAGTCTGGCTTATGGAAGAGCCTGCCCAACTCGTGCACTTCCACTTTCTGGCTTCATAGCTGGTGCTAGAGATATCTGTCCTTAAGGTGTTACCATGAAAGTCTCCTGCTATTTCATGAATTTATATTCTTGACCTAGCTCAATTGTGAGTGCCATAAGGGTGGCAACTTATCTTTTATTGCGTGTGTATTTTCCCCACAGCACCTATTACAACATTCTGAGTGCAGAGAAGTTCTCATTGAATATATTGACTGAATGACCAAGATATTTGGAAACACATTGGAGTGGTGACACGATGTCAATATAATCTCTGGCTTGTGGTGAGAAACATACAGAATTTTAGCTATTGTTTCTCCAGATGCTCTGGTGTAGAGTAGTTGTGTTGTTTTGCTTTGTGTCATCTGGCCTTACCCTCCATTCCCTTCCCTTCCTTTTCTTCCCTTTTCCCTTTTTAAAAAATTTTCCCTTGCTTTCCCTTCTTTCCCTATCATCTTTTTAAGAAAATATATCTGCATGGTTCTTGAAGACTTCTCAGGGATATGAGGATGGAGAGTTTAGTATAGCAAGATGTCATAAGAACAATGTATGTTCCACATGGTTTGCCTCTCAACCTTTGAGTCTCAGTTTAGTTTTGTGTAAAATGGGGATATGACATCTGTGTTGTGGAGCTGGTTGCAAGGATTAGATATTTTAAAGGTGCCTAATGTTATTAGCAATTGGCATCAAAGGAGCTCAATAAATGGTATAGATTCTTTTGTTGCTGAAAATTTTGAAATTAATTTTTTTTTTTTTTTTTTTTTTTTGGAGATGGAGTTTCGCTCTTGTTGCCCAGGCTAGAGTGCAGTGGTGCAATCCCGGCCGACTGCAACCTCTGCCTCCTGGGTTCAAGCGATTCTCCTGCATCAGCCTCCCAAGTAGCTGGGATTACAGGTGCCCGCCACCATGCCCAGCTAATTTTTTTTTTTTTTTGTATCTTTAGTGGAGATGGGGTTTCACCATGTTGGCCAGGCTGGTCCTGAACTCCTGACCTCAGGTGATCCACCTGCCTCAGACTTCCAAAGTGCTCGGATTACAAGTGTAAGCCACCACGCCCAGCCTGAAATGGAAATTTATAACTAATTTTTGTTACTCAAATGAATTATATGTTCAGTCATTTCTATTAAGCTGTTAAAAAATGGAGTAGGATGACACAAAAAGGCTCTACTTTCTGTTCCAAGAATATTTTCCACACAGTTTTGCAGGTGACAGGAACAGACCCACACAGAGCATGCTGTACTGTTTGGTACACAAGTCACTCAAGCTATAATCCTCTGTTTTCCTACAACATTATTCATTGTTTTAAAATTCTTTCTGTGTGTGATAAACCTATTTCTTTTTGCTTTCTAGATGAGTATAGTTACATAAACCCCTGAGCGTGAGAGTATGTGAGTGAATCAGTGGGCAAAGGATAAGTGTGAAAGTTACTGTAAAATATTAGTTGGATCCTTAACCTACAGTTAGTAATACGTAAGTGATGGAGAACGAAGGTCTTACCTATTTGACTTGCTTTAGCGTATGAAGGGTAAATATAACAATTAAAGAGCTGATCATGATTATTCAGAATAAGGAAAACACATTTCTCAAGACTAATTTTCTTGATTACCAGTTTTCAGATTGATGTGACTTTGACACAGGATATTTCTACTTGGAGCGCATCTCAAAATATCTTGTACTAATATAGCTTTCGTTCTATAAAATTTGATTCATCAGTAGGAAATCTGTCATAAGAGGAGAATATGAAATTCAACCATAAGCCGACCTGAGTTAGAAATACAGCTCTACCATTACTAACCATGGGATCTTGTGGTGTAATAAAAAATATAAACTTGGTCTTTGCCCCTGGTTCCTGGCACAGATTTCTAAAACCCTTGGACTTCACTGTCTTTTGTGTACTAATGAGATGACTAAACCATGGGCAGAGGCTTTAGAGAGTCATGTGACTAGAATGTTAGAACTGTCAGCCCCACCCCTTGATTTCCAGAGAGGAAAGAGGGGCTGGAGATTGAATTTAGTCACCAGTGACCAATGATTTAGTCAACCGTGCCTATATAGCGAAGCCTTCATAAAAACTCCTAAGCGACAGTGTTTGGTGAGCTTCTTAATTGGTGAACATGTTGATATTCTAGGAAGGTGGTGCACCTGGAGAGGGCATGGAAGCTCTGGACTACCCCTCTACCCCTTCCATATCTTGTTCTAGTGTCTCTTCCATTTGGCTATCCTTTAAGTGTAGTGTTTTCCTGAGATCTATGAGTTTTTCTAAGGAATTATAAACTTGAGGAGAGGGTCGTGGGAACCCCTGAATTTGTAGTCAGCTGGGCAGAAGTGTGGGTAGCCTGAGCACCCCACTTGCAGTTGGCATCTGAAGTGGGAGAAGTCTTGTGGGATTGAGCCCTTGAGCTGTACGATCTGTGTCAACTCTGGGTATTGACATCTGAAGAATGATGAGTTTCATAAATTTGGACAGGAAAACTATTTCTCATAAAAGAGAAATAAACTGGCCATTCCACAGGCTAGGAACCATGGCCTTTGGCCACCGAGAGCAAGCACTTTGAGGGAAGGAAGCATAATACAGGAATTTATGCTGAACAGGTTGGCTAAGTATACATATTTAATAGCTATATAAGGAATATTTGAAAGGAGAAACATATGCATGCACAACTGAGCTTCATGGCTCTTCATGAGTCACATGTTCGAAAATAAAGGGTGTTGTTAGCATGGTCCAAGGGTGGAGTTTTGAGCTCGCTGATGTCAAAAGGTGAAGCAGAGGGACACGAGAACCCTCACTGTGCATCCTCCATGAGTTGGCCAAAACCAGCCTGGAGAGGGTGGTTAGTTTTCAGGAAGGATGCATTGTGAAACTGGTGAGTTGTCATGTAGAAACAGCAAAGAGGGAGGGGAAGTGCAGACATGGCCTCAGATGGTTGGTTAAAGGTGATTAATGAAATGAGTTGTCTGTTTCTTCTTTTCCAAAGCTGGTTTCTGTTTACTCCTTAGGAAAGAATTCTGGTTAAAGGTTAATAAGAAAGGAGCATACTGAGGCATGTCTCACCACTTGTCCTGTCATGGCCAGGAACTCAGTTTTTAAGATTTCTCTGGTGTCTCCTTGGGTCTTAGGATTTTGTTTTTATTTCTCAATAGTTGTTGGAATTGAATTAAATTGTCGGACACCCAGTTGATGTCAAAGATTTAGAGAATTTGTTTGGAAAACAACGTGTATTTGGTGTCCAGAAAAATAACATAGTTCTAAAGCAAGTTTCTGAACTACAGTAAACTTTTTAGTAATCTCTCTTTAAAAAGCTGGGGGGTATTGTAAGACCTTAAAAAGTGGTTAGGAGGACCGAAGGAAATAATGTATATAAATCTCCTAGTGCAGTGTTTATTTAGTAACTGTACATAAATTACATAAATGTTAACACCCACCCTCATTTTTCCACCTGAGTTTTAAAGGAGTGCCAGACATCTGTGGTGTACTGTTTAAAATGTGGTGGAGAGCATGGCAAATAAATCATTTATGGAGGCTCTAAATTACCTGGTGGAGAGACAGAAAGGAAAATCCTGAGAACTCTGCATGAAATGGAAAAATATGGAGAGTTATCTTTTGTGGTACTTTAACAGACAATTGAACAACAGTTTCACCCCAATATTTATAAATGGCTTGATAACCAGAAAGGAAAGCTCTTTTAGCATATTGTCTCTGCCTTGTTGAATTTTTTTATTCTAACGATTTGGATGACATCATGGAGGGCTTGTTTGGCAAATACGTTCAGGGGGAGAACTTGCATATTTGATGAGTAAGGATGTCAAATAATCTTCTTAGGCCCAGAGACGTGGACCAAAATCGAAATGGTGAGTGTCGACACCAAGGGTAGTTGTAGACATCTACAATCACCCTTGGCGGTTGGTTATAGGCATATTGTGTTATTGTGTTATTGCAAGAGCTATAAAATAAGTAACATTCACTACTTCAGAGTAACCAGAGAAGGGCAACTATCTGGAATGAGGGGTGGACAAAGGGACTACGGAAGTTGCGCCAACTAAGGAAGAGTTCAAGGCCCAAATTGTTTCTCTACAAGAACAGGGATCTCAACTTTGTTGATTTATTTAAAGGGCTGTCATATGCAAGGAGACACAAACTTATTCTGCTCACTCTAAAAATCAGTGTTAGAAACAGTAGATGCATAACACTGAGAAGTAAAATCCAGTTCAAATTATGAAAGACTTTTCTGATCATTAGAGAAATTTAAATGTTGAATTGGCTACTTTACAGAGTAGAGACCTTGTTGCTGGAAATTTTAAGCAGAGGCTGCATGATATGATGAAGAGTATAGTCTAAATAGAGTCTCTTCCAATTCCACCTCTACAAATTCCATAAAATATTTTTTAAAATATTGGACTGCATTAAAACCAAAGGAAGACATTCATAATTCATCTAGCTTTGACAAATCAAATTTGTTTGTTTCTATCCTGTATTAGGTCCCCTTTTAAGGACAAGAGACCCAGACATAGTATGTAGTTGAGTGCATCACTCAAGATACACGCATTCTCAAGTTACTTGATTAGCCTTGCTGTTGAACCAGCCACAACTTCCAACTCACCAAGTCACTATTATCCGTAGCAGCTGTCAGTGAGTGGTCATACCTATGGAAGTTTGCATGGAATGTATGTTCTTTTCTTGATTGTTTTATTAGCTGTTTTCAATTTCTACTTTTTATTTTCACTTTAAAAAGATGGAGAACAACATTTCTTGAGGCAGACACTGTTAATTGACTATCCAGTACCCATTTCTCCCTTTTTTGTTGCTAACAGAATCCAGATTCTATGCCCAACTCCAGACACAAGCTCCAGGAAATACAAGCACTTTCCCAGACTCTTTTGCAGCAAGAGGAAGTCATATAACACTGCTAATGAGATTTAACTGGAAGTCTACTGGGGGCTCATCAAGGCGTACTCTTGCCTTGAAAATGGATTTGTGACCGAAGCTAATGCGGCCATCTTGAGGCAAAAGGGGAAGGCTGAGAGAATTTTAGAGATATCACCCCTGACATTGCTGAGCCATAGAACAAACATCAACACCTGCTTTCTTCTGGACATCTAGCTAGATAAGAAAAAGACACCTATATGTTTGCTTATATCACTGCCTTTGAGTTTTCTGCCACTTGCAGTTGAAATTACTCCTAGTTGACCATTTGCCCTTGGCCTTATTCAGTAGTCAACAAATACTAATAAAACTTGTGCCTTGTGCTTTGTGGGATCCTAGTCACTGTACACAAAGATGAATGAGACAAGAGTACTTCCTTCAGAGAAATCTCAGTTTCAGCTAAGGTCTAAAAGCAGTCAGACAACAGCATAAATATTCAGTTCCTTCTTTTCACTTCTTTTCCTAGGAAGTAGGACTATGGGATGATACATTAGAATGACTGGAGGACAGCTGTTTCAGGAAGTGAGGCCTGTGTTAATTGGCACCTGAATGCTGTTTTCATCATGTGCTTCCTAGGGTTGTTGTGTTAAGATTTTGGTGGCATCTGTACCTGGTGATTTAACTGTTGAGAGGGAAGAGGTAGGGGCAGTGTTTGAGGAGAATGTTAAATTGCATTAATTTTCTGGGTACTTTATTTAGCTCTATTTATCTAAAAGGTGCATTACCACTGTAAACTGTGAATAAGATATTTAGAAATTTCTATTTAAAACCATGTGAATGCTCTTTGTAAGATGCATTTTTGAAGTGGCAATTTATCCCCAAATATCTTGATGATCATGTATTAATATTTTCAGGGAAATGATACATATATTCTTTTCAAGAACTATATATAAACTATGTCTTTAAAAATAAACTCAGCAAAATATAATCTTTAAATAGAAAAAAAAATACCCAAAAGGAAATACACCAAATGTTCATCTAATGCCACTGAATGTTAGGAATTTGTGTGATCAAGAAAATCTTCTTTCTACTTTTTTGACTTTATTCTAATTTTATTGTAATTAGGAAGCATTATTTTTATACTCTAAAAAGAATGAGTCTAAGGAATTATGTACCAAGTCATGACAAATGAATTGACATAGAAACAGCAGAACCATTTTTAATGTGTTTATATAAATAGATCTGTATAATTATAATTAGCTTCTTAAGCACATACTGCTAAAAAGAACAGTTCTATTTACTCAAATTGAAGCTGGCTTTTATTACAATATACAACTCAGTAAGTTAGATGATATTCTAAAGAGAATGAGATAATGGCAGCATTAAAGCCATTGTATTCAGTATGTCTATGTATTATGTATCTGTGCATTAATACCTATCTATGTATGAAGCAGTCAGTGTTACATATCCAAAGCTTTGGTATCAACCTAAAAAGGCTGATGTATTGCTTCTGGGACCTTGAGAGAAGACTATATTGTCACATCCTTTTTATGTGATAAACTCAAGAATCTTCTATTGAGGGACTCTTTTCCCTAAGTGGATGATACTTGATTCTTAAATTCATAAAACCACTGTAAGAAGAGCACACAATCATATATTTTAGATTTTGAAGTCCAAACCTTTAATTTGAAAAGATGAAGATATCAAAGCTTAGTGACAAAAGCATTTTATTCAATTATCTATTTGATAATCATTATACTCTTACTTGACATACAAAGATGATTAAGTGATGGGCCCTGCATTACCACCATTAGGGCCAGGAAGCGGTTCAGTGGATGAAAAGCAGGAAAGCTCAGTTCATGGGAAACAGGGAAGAAAAGGAACCTACATTAAAATTGAAAGCACCCATGGGATGGCAACTGTGGCAGGACAGAGTCACTGATGAGCTTCACTTAAGTAGATTCATCAGAAAGGTGGAGGCAGAAACTAGCTTTTGGAGGAGAGGGGAGGTGGGGAAGGGAAAACATTGGCGGTAGGTTTTCTCTTCTTTCAAAGGTAAATAGGGGTTTGGGGACCAGAATTCAAGTCTGCTGACTCCCAGATTATTACCCATTCTACCAAAGCATTTAAAAGTTTCATGAATGCAGAATTCCATCAATATCAAAATTTAGTAACACTCATCTTATATTCCTCAGGAAGAGCCCCATGTTCAATCTTTATAACCCCTCAATAGAGCTCATTGGCCTATTTCATAATCATGTGCAAGCTCCACTGCAGCAGGCTACTAATTTTTATTTGTTTGTTTTGGCATGGGAGGGCTCAATAAAAGCAAGGACTCTAGTTTTATGTACACGTGTGTTTATGTGCATGGTCATCTCCCCTCAACCCCAATCAGGATTTTATTTTCTCTAAAAATGAGGCCACATATTACAGAACTTGCTGCCCCTGCCAGTACAGACCATTTTGTAATCACCTGCCAACTGTGTGATAGTTCCTACTCTTTCTCTCTCTTGACCCTTGGAAAGTTTAGGTACATAGCTGTTAGCTTCCAACAAACTGCACCCTTCCATTCCCAGCAAATTGTCCATCCTCTCTCAAACCCAAATTATCTGATTGCTCTGCCATTCCCTACTTCTAGGTCCACCAAATATTAACCCTCCTCTGGATCCTTTCCACTGAGTGCTCAGAAACGTTCCTTTCTCTGTTAAACTGTACCCTACATCCTCAACCTTTTAGATGGAGTCTTGCTCTGTTGCCCAGGCTGGAGTGCAGTGGCATGATCTTGGCTCACTGCAACCTCCTGCAACCTCTGCCTCCCGAGTTCAAGCGATTCTCCTGCCTCAGCCTCCCGGGTAGCTGGGACTACAGTTGCGTGCCACCATCCCCAGCTAATTTTTTGTATTTTTAGTAGAGACGGGATTTTACCATGTTAGCCAGGATGGTCTCGAGCTCTGGACCTCGTGATTCATCTGCCTGAGCCTCCCAAAGTGTTGGGATTACAGGCGTGAGCCACCACGCCTGGCCCCTCGACCTTTTATCAAAATGACATTCAGCCAAATTAAAAAACCTTTGTCTTCCTCAGAATACCCTTTTTTAAAAAAAAAAAAAAAAATTGCTCTGCAGTGAAGGCCAATCTTCCCTTAAACTCCATATTTCATGGGGCCAGGAAGGGGGCTTGTCATTCTCCCAACTTTCCAAAATATTTCCAAGTCATTAATCATTCTCCGTCATTGAAAACACATTCTACTCCGAGGATCAGGCCTCCCAGTTGTAGCCTCAACCCTTCTCCTTCCCTGTTGTCCTCAGGCTTGCCTCTCTCTTCCAGTGAAACCTTGACACCTGGGCGCAGAGTTTTCTTCTTTATGCTAACTACCCGAGTATCAGGATGTCCCTAGCTACAGAATAAGCCTATGGTATGCAAGTGAATGCTTCACTTGGCCACATAGGCATTTGCGTTCCCATTTTGAGCAGGACTACCAGGAGGAGCAAAGCGGATTCCAAGCAGGGACTATGTGCTTTCAAGAGCAAGTGGTGTGCTGAGTGGCAGATCCCAGGACACTTTCTCTCTAGAACATCTAGGGGCTGCAGGGAGACAGGAGACTTTTCAGAAAACTTCAGATCTATTCAGGTAGGATCTTAAAAATCCTGGACCACAAGCAGAAAAAGACGTTGTTTCAAATTGCCCCTAGGGCTCGGGTGAAACACTATAGTATGACTGCAGATTTTAAAAAGAGCAAGAATATTCCAGCTAATCAGGGAATTGCTTGAAAAAAAATCTTTCAATAATAATAATAATATTAATAAGGAAAAGTCAGAGAGCTCCAGGAGGCTCTGATAAAAAAAAAAAAACAACACAAATATGTTACAATCTTTGGTGAAAGGAACTCAAAATAGTTTCCTCTCTAGTTTCAACTGCTTGCACGTCTGCCTTTGCTCTCCCAGCTTAGCTTTATCTGTGTAGTGTCAGTTAGATTTGACCTGTGAGGGAAGATCTTTGCTTTTCATTTCTGCCAGCTGCAGGAGTTTCTTGCTGGGCAATGCTTTTGCTTCATCCTTTTAATGGTTGACCAAAGTGATAAATGCTGGGGGTGAAGGGGAGAATCATCTTATTCAGAAACCAGAATAATTCTGAATCCATTGAATGGAGAGGCCAGGCTAAGAGTCTGCCTTGGACCTTCCCTATCTTGGCTTTTATTAAACAACAATCAGACAGGGGGAGTGGGGGTGTGGAGGAAGAAGCAGAATGTTTTCTCTCCTGAATACTGGATTTATTTCTGACACATATAGCAGTTCCAAAGAGAAAATGGCTTTTTAACATGTCTTAAGCAGACAGCTAAAAATCTTGAATTCTGAATCACAATTCAGCTCTGACTTAATTCATAAATATTATAGCCAGGAAGAAACACAGTCTCACATAGCTGAACCCCTCCATTTTACAGATGTACAAATTGAGGCCCCAAGAGAATACCGTATGTGACTTAAGACAATATGCTAATGCTCTTTTCTCATCAGCATCATCTTTGCAGCGTTTTCTCTCCCAAATCAAATTCTCTAATATTCATCTTACTTATATGGTAAAATTCTTTTCTCCCTACCCAAACTCATTTCTATTGACTCATTCTTCCAAGAAGTCAGGATACCTGATAGCCTTTATCTCTTATTTTACATAGTTCTTATTAAGTAAGGGATATAGTTTCCTGGGGACGGTTAATACTCAGAAAGTGTCTTATGACTTGTTCAAGATAAGAAAGAATTGAGAACCAAGAGCTGAAAGTGACAGGAATCCAAATATATATTTAACAGAAGAAGTGACTCTCTAGAGTATGCTAGAAAGGAGGAGGCTTTAGATCTGGGGAATTACTATGATCAATCACACTGTGCATAGTCGACTCATGGAACCTTGAGCCAGTTTACTTCCTTCTCTTACTCTTCTGCTTCCAGGTCAAATCGAGGCTAAAGCATGGCACACATTTTTTTTTCTTTTTAATGATTTCACCTTTCTGACTGAATACTTGTTTGCCATCTTACATTACCTAAATAAATAGATACATATGAGAAAGGCTGATCTCTAATTTTTTCATCTTTGTGTGTGTGTGTGTGCGCGCATGTGGTGATATAAGTCCTTTATTCTGTTTGTTCTGCTTTCAACTGATCAGAAAACAGGTCATAGTCTCCGTGAACCATTTGGTCTTCCCCGAACTTGATCCGATGGGCAGAATATAGTTTTTGTTCTTGGAGACAGGGTAATTACTTTGTACTTTTCTTAATGGATTCTTGATCAATTGTATTGCCTAAAATTTTCTCTTTTACTTCATATCTCAGCATTTGACTCTAAAAACCAATATGTTGCTGTCTTTGTTTTATGATTCTTCTTAGCAACTTCCTCTTGGTCTGAATGAGAAATATCATGGGATTAAAAAACAATGGGGATGAGGACAACAAACATCAGAGGTCGGACCTTGAAGAATTTGTAATCTTATGTAGAAAGTAATAGGAAAACCTTGCAGAAAAGAAAAAAAAAATAACAATCCCAGAAAGTTGTGCCACGTTGAGGTTTGTGAAACTATAGCAATGTTAGTGGACATTACTCTTGAAGAGAAGATGATTAGCCAGAAGATATGAATAGTGAATAAGCCTTCATTTTCAACTTAAATTCTAATTTCCTCTAGCATACAAGTCAGAGTAGTAACATACTGGTGGTACTTTCTTTTGAGAGAGCAATTTTGGTTTCTCCCTGCCTCATTCTTAAATGAAAAGGTTACTTCCTACCACTAGAGGTGAGAATGTTAAAATGGCATTCTTTTATTTATTTTTAGTTGTATATCTATCATCTTTTCCAAATGATTTGTGAAAAGTAAAACCTTAACATTATGGGGTTGGAAATTTTCTTTCTTTCCTTTTTAAAAGAATTTTTGAGTAGCAGTGGCTCCCAATTCTATAGTGTGACTTTGGGTGGATAATTACTATAGAATACTGCAGACCTTTTTTTTTTTCTCCTGTAGAGTGATTGATTTTAACCTTTCTCCTCTGCCAAACCTTTGTTCTGTGCATGACATTTCAACCCCCACCACTTCCTATGTTCTATTTTGCTAAAGAAAATAGCATTTTCTATTTCTGGACAAAGCATGGTTGTTTGTGTCAGTCCATTTAACACAATACACCAGTTCTTATTTGTGCAGAGGAAGCACTAATAAGATTCCAGCAGGAGATGGGTCCTGAGCCCATGACCATGTCTCCCACTGGGCCCAGAAGATGGAAGCTACAATAAGCCCTTACTGACAAGGCTACTTAATGGTAATATAGGACCTTTTTGTCTCAGAAACTTCCAAGTAGTATGGAGTCCCAATTCCTGCCCTATACACTCATTCCTGCAAATTGTACAAGGACATGGAAATAAAATGGTTACGTGGGGTAGTGGAAAGGGCAGGCATTTTGGAGATTGTGTCATAACTTCGATCTCTGCTCTGTTGTTTACCAGCTCTGAACCATTAGCATTACATATCTTTTCTGAGCCTCTGGTTCCTCATCTGAAATGCCAAAAAAAAAAAAAAAAAATATATATATATATATATATATATATATATATATATATATATATATATATATATAGGTTTCAATTTTGCAGGGTTGGTGAGAAGATGAAATAAGCTAATGAACACAAAGCTCTTAGCATAGTTTATGTTATGTTACATGGCAGTCACTCAATAAATGGTAGCTATTGAAATGAACCTATTGCATTTTGATGAAATAAGCAATTCTGTTTTTGTTGTTGTTGTTAGGGTGCTATGGTTTGGATTTGTGTCCCCATCCAAATCTCATGTGTGAATTATAATCCCCAGTGATGGAGGAGGGGCCTGATGGGAGGTGATTGGATCATGGGGGCAGACTTCCCCCTTGCCATTCTCCTTACTGTGAGTGAGTTCTCACAGAGCTGGCTGTTTAAAAATTTGTAGCACCTCCCCCTTCATTCTCTTTCTCCTGCTCCGGCCGTGTAAGACGTGCCTGCTTCCTCTTTGCTTCCCGCCATGATTGTAAGTTTTCTGAGGCCTTCCCAGCCATGCTTCTTGTACACCCTGTGGAACAGTGAGTCAGTTAAACTTCTTTTCTTTACAAATTACCCAGTCCCAGATGGTTCTTTATAGCAATGTGGTACAGGGTCTCGCTCTGTTGCCCAGACTGGAGTGCAATGGCATGATCATGGCTTGCTGCAGCCTTGACCTCCTGGGCTCAAGGGATCCTTCCACCTCAGCCTCCACAGTAACTGGGACCACAGGTTTGTACCACCACACCGGGCTAATTTGTTTATATTTTGTAGAGATAGGTTCTTGCCATGTTGCCCAGGATGGCCTCAAACTCCTGGGCTCAAGCAATCCTCCAATCTCAGCCTCCCAAAGTGCTGGGATTACAGACCTGGATAAAGTAAGCAATTCTTATTGTGAGGTGTTGTTTTTCATTTAAAACAAGGTTACAAACCTCCAGCCTTTTTGTTCCATAGAGTAAATTAGCTATGGGAACAGTTTAAAATATTTTATATCACTGCTATTTATGCCTTAATCCATTAGGCAATCACTTAATGAATGACTACTAGATGCCAGGCACCGTGCTGGATGCCTGCGTCTAGAAGGAAAAACAAAGTGCAGAGAGGCAGTATCATGGAGAGGAAAGAGCCTCTAGTATAAGCAGATGTGGCTCCCCATTCTGGCTCTGCTGTTTACTAACTGTGATTTGGTTGGGTTATTTAACTTTTCTGAGCCTCATTTTCTGAGCCTACATTCTACAGATAATGTAGAATGTTGATAATAATACATCCTTCACAAAGCTGTGATGATAGTTAATAAAGCAGTTAGATTCAAAACACAATTGGGATGATGATAAAAATATTTACTAACCAGTATGATTAGTAAATCAGGAAGAAGCAAGTGTAGAAAAGCAGTAAACTTGTACATATCAGCATGTCAGCAGAATATCAGCCCTGCTTTCAACAGGGCCTAGAACATAGGAGGGAGGAACTCAGATTTTAGTTTGAGGCTGGGAGTTGTATCATTTACATTGTTCCTTTTCTATGTATTATAATGTTTTTACATCTTAAAAATCTTTCTTACTGGGGAGAGACTGTTAATTCTTAGAGACAGCCCAGGACTCAGCCAGGAGCATTGCCTTTGATATGCAAACTAACCAATCAAGAGCCGTACCTCTTCTGTCTAGCCCATACACCACAGGAAGCAATATTCCTTCACTGTAAGCATCCCTGGCCAGGTACCAGGCAACTACAGACCATCCCTAGAGCCCAAAGGCCACCAGAATTACTCAATTTAGTCAGTCCTAATCTGTTTACTATACCCCGCCTTGCCTTTCCTGAGGAAACCCCCAACAAAGGCTCTGGTCTAGACTTTCCCCTGGCTATTATATTTTGTCTCCTGACCAAAACCTGGTGCTTCCCCTGTGACCCTACATAGGTATGTGTATTAGTCTGTTCTCACACTGCTAATAAAGACATACTTGAGACTGGCTAATTTATAAAGGAAAGAGGTTTAATTGACTCATAGTTCCACATGGCTGGGGAGGCCTCCAATCAGGGCAGAAGAGTAAGGGACATCATACATGGTGACAGGCAAGAGAGAATGAAAGCCAAGCAAAGGGGGAAACCCCTTTTAAAACCATCAGGTCTTGTGAGATGTATTCACTACTAGGAGAACAATATGGGGAAACCACCCCCATGATTCAGTTATCTCCCACCTGGTTCCTCCCAAAACATGTGGGAATTACGGGAGCTACAATTCAAGATGAGATTTGGATGGGGACACCGCCAAACAATATCAGCATGCCTTTTGTTTCTAGGACCAGTGAGTATAATAAACTTTGTTTCCCTGAGCCTCTTCCGTGTTTCCTCTTGTAAGCACACCTGACTGACCATCATAAACACAGGAGTAGACATAGAGATATTTAAATGATGGCCATACAGTATGAAATGTGCTATAATAAAAGCATATAAAAGGGCAAAGCCAGCACAGTGTAGAGAGCCCCTAAACCTAACTTGAGGAAATTAAGGAATGAGAAGAAGACAAAGCATTTGAGCTGAATGTTGAAGGATGGGTAGGCAGGTTTGTGAGGGCTGAGAAAACTCCATGCAGAGAGGGAAAAGCGTGCACCACAGTGTGAAGGTACACACACATAGAACGTGTTTCAGGATGGACGAGGGTTGCTGGGCTGTGAAGAAATGGGACTGGATAGATAATGGACAACTCTGGAAATGTAGGTAGGAGCTTGATCTTGAAGGGCCTTTGAAGTCATGCTGTTGCAGTATGAAGAGCAATGGGAAAGGGGGAGATATGGGATAGAAGAAAGTGAGTGATGTGGCTGCTTTGGTCAGCAGAGATTTGAGAGCCTGAACTGTAGAGGGATGTCCAGTGGGCAAGGAGAGCACCAATTTAGGAAATGTTAGACTTAGAACAGATGGAGCTACATTTGAGATTAAATATAGGGGTAAGAGAATGGACCAATTGGAGATGACTTTTGGGTCTTTAGCTTCAGTGACAGGTGCCAGTAGGAATCCCAAAAGAGAAAACGATTTTAGGCCAAAGTGCTTCTCTACAGGCCTGTGTAGCTACATCATTCCCCTGACTACCAGGTCAAGTGAGGCTTTTTTTCCCCCTTGTCTCACAGCTGTAAATATTTCATGCCAGTGGCCATGTTTCTGTTTTATTTTGGGAATGGCACTTTAACTGGTTTTTCAGTTTAAACGACTCAGGAACTGAAGGGCCATTTTTGTCCTCAGGGATATGTTTGGTGCTGAAGATGGCAGACAGTTGGGTGTGGGTGAGGACAAATAGCGCCTGAGGTCTTGCAACTTAGAAGTAACATCTTGTCGTTTGAGGATAACACTGCCAAAGGTGTGTGGGTGTATCTTTGAAGCAACAAAACAGAAAAAGCATGACCAGCAATCCGATCTAGGCTAGGTGTCTATAAAAAAATCATTATTCTCTTTATTGCTGTAACTCTTGTGGAGCTCCCTTATTGGCCTCAGAGATGGCCCTGTGTTCAAAGGAAACCACCCCGTTGCTCTCAGAGGGTGGTTGGCCGGCCTTTCGTTGATGTTTTCTTTTTTTTTTCCTGGCACTGCCCCGTTATGCCGATTCACTTAAAATTTTGCTTTTGTGTTTCCTCTCCCCATCATCCTTGGCAGTAGCTAGTAATCACCCACTCCTGGGCCTGTAGAGTGCAATAAGCCCCTGGCCTATGTGTTCCAGCAGGCATCGCTTCAGAACTAGGGAGGCTGCATACAGGCCAGACTTCACTACCCCCTTACTGTTCTGCTAGCACTGAAGCCACTTCAATGGAGGACCGATTTATAAGAGGATTCCTTTCTCATCATAGTCAGTCCCTGTCCAACTTTTTGATTCCAAAGAAATTTGCAATGGTCTGGAATTTTCTTGACAGCACACGTTTCCATTTTCTAAAAAATCTACTAAAAGCCAGGTTTTTTATACCCATCATTTCATTTGCTACTACTCTACAACCGCCACTGGCTACATTTGTTGAGCGCTTACATGCCAGTCCCTGTGCTAAGCACTTTACGTAGATAATAGGAGTTCATCTTCACAACAACCCATGCAATAGGGCCATGACTACCTCTCTTCTTCAGAGGAAGAAACAGGCTTCCAGAGGTAAAGTCGTTTGATCAGGTTCACTGAACACTAAGTGGACAGGCCATGAATCCAACCTAGACATTCTTAACTGCACAGTTTGCACTCCTAACCATCACTTTGTACAACCCTGCAAGTAACTAAATATTACTTTTAAAGAAGATGAGATTGAGAATTAGACAGGGTTAAATCCAGAACCCAGGCCTCTCTGGTTTTAGAGCCATGTTCTCGTTTGTTATAATTTGTGGCCAAAGCATTTCTTCATATAAATTGTTTTATCCCAGGTAACTGACCTTGAATCCTGTGATCTTCAGAATAACTTGATGAAATTGGTATTGGTTTATGGTGTAATGATATTTCTGGTCTTATGTCTGATCATGCCATGCTTTCTCAACCTTGATGGTAGAAAGTACATACAAGGAGACTATCTGCGTCATAAATGATTAACTATGAAATCCCAGAAAGTCAGTTTGGTCTTGCTGACTTTCACTGAATACCAAGTCCTCTGCCATTAAGGCTGATACATGGGAAAATTTTTCCCTCTTTCTTTGGAGTTTACAATCTTCAGAGAAATGCAGGACAGCTATTTATTTTTGTATTTATGCAAATTATATAGACATAAAGAGTAGTTAAAATATAAAAACAACATATGGTTTAGAAGCATTTCTGTAAGTGTTCCTGGCGTCTCCAGATACAGAAATAGCATGGCTGCTAATAACATGGCTTCCTCAGCAAACAATGATCACAGTGCTTAGCCTCTCTCAGAATATGAGAGGTGAGGGACTCTTCGAGAAGTGGGTGCAGTTTTTTTACTTACACACTAGTTTTCCATCCTCCTTCATAATAAATAACTGCCATTTTAAGGAAGTTGAAGCTGGGGGAAAAGGGGGGAGGGCTGAGGTGACAGAATCGAACAGAGCAAAACTCACTTATGGGATCTAGCCTGTCTTCTTGGGCTGAAACCAGCCAAAAACACTGATCTATATTCTACAGCAAACTTGACACACTTAGCAGAATTTGATTGAAGTTCAAGCCTGTAAATTAGAAATATTTAAGGACAGCATAGAACCAGCTCCTTAATCAATGAGCCTAATAATATCTCTTACTAATCAGAAGAAAAGAACCAAAAAAAAAATTTTTTTTAAAGGGAAGATAAAGAAAGATGGACCTGCCAGTTATCAGAGTCTGTCTACATGCCAGGGTTGTTGTGTCATATTATCTTCATAACAACCAAGGGGAGCAGATGCTATTCTTAGTTCTCCATGTTGTAGATGGGAAAACTGAGGTTTCAGAGTTTAAGGGATTTGCCCAAGATCATGCAGCTAAGGAAGTGGTAGGCTCAGAATCCTTACCCAACTCTTTCTAATGTAAGAAAAACCTGTACTTTCCTACCTTAGTGGAAAGCTTTCCTGAAAGACTCCTAATCACTGCCAAGTGGCGTTTGCAGTCTCTGGGCACATCCTGCCTTGATATTTGGCAGAAACCGTGGAAACCGAAGGTGAGCAGTGTGGCCAAAAAGCAGCTGGGGACTCTTCAGTTCTCTCTCCTTCCAAGCTGGTGGACGAGAAGCACAGCCCTCGCTTTATACACCAGGCTTCATTTGTTCTTTGCACCACAATGCAGCCCCAGTGCCTACAGTGCAGAAAGAAATTAATTTTCCCAATATTATGTAATTTTTGGCATGTACTGAATGCAGCCAGAGAAACTAAGCCAGGATTGTATCAAGGACTTATGCCTGTGTCTGTGCAGAGGGATGTGCAGTTGCCATAGCAGCAATCAATCTACTAAATAACTAGTAGCATAAACTGATTCAAAGGCAAAGACTGATTTGGGTCAGAGAATTGCACTCTATAAAGCACAACTTCTTGGTGACTTCTGAGGGTTTTTTTTAGCTTTTATGGGTGGCCCTAGAGATGTATAGTGAGTGACTGCTCAGATGCAAGAGGGTGTGTGTACCTCAAGAGGAGATCAGCATGCTGTTCTCAGGCAGTCAGAATAGAGAATTCCATGGAACGTGCCATGAAACTGCTTCCACTGCATATCAATTTCCAGGGGCTTAGGAGGACCAGGAACAAAAATAATAGCATCCAATTATTGAGTTCTTACCATGTCCTAGGATGCTTCTCGGTGCTTTACAAGCATCTTGTCAACAATCCTGCAAAATGGGATTTATCACCACTTTTCTACAGATGTGGACACTAACATTAATATGCCCCGAGTTATAGAATTACCAGGTGTAGATTGAGGATTCACACTCAGGTGGGTTTCATACAGATGCTGTTCCCTCTCCACCCTGCCATACAGCTTCTCTACCTTGGACTTTCTCTGAAAGGGAAGGATATTTCTTCTTGGCCACCCACATGGTGAGGATTGCAGTGTTCTGATTCTGCTTTGCACAGTGTGGAATGCTACTAATTATTTTTAATCCAACATGAAAACTCTTAGGGCAGGAGGACTTGCAGCCCCTAGAGGTAGCACTGACTAATTCCAAAGGTTTGTGTTGTCATACTCAAAGAAAATTTATTTTTTCTTTTCCTTGAGATTTTAGAATAGTATCAAGTATTCTGTTGTCTCCTTTTGATCTTGCCAAGCTTTTGGGTAAACCTGGACTAGGGAGAAAGAATTTCTGAATTATAATAAAAGGTGGCATGTTGTAAGCAGAAACCAGTGACTGGATAGTCTATGTTGCCTTATGGGCTGTGCTACTTTGTAGATGTGTGATCTTGGGCAATTACTCCAATTCTTTTAGCCTCAGTTCTCAACTCTATGCAATGGGAATGATTATGATAACAGTGTGATGATGATGCCAACTAACTCTCAGTTGCCTAAAATACTTTTGGGAATGCGAGGTAAAAATTGCCTCACAGGCTTAAGAATTGAAGACTCCTGCAGACTCTCTTGCAACAGGGAATATATTCCCTCATCCATATATCCTAATTTTTTTTTAATTTGCTTTTTGGCTTAGCAACTCTCCATTAAATGTTTGTGAAATGAAGGAAGTCTAGGAAAGCAATTCATAGAGTGGTGTCACATGGTTATGGTTTAATGAATACTCGTTTTCTGTTTAAACAAAGGCTAAATTTTAGAGAATCTTTCATCTACAGTTTTTAGTTGCTAGTTTGATTCAGTATCTCAGAAGAACTTGAGCCCCAGGAACCTGGAGGAAGGAGATTTATTTGGACATTTGGAAGTACTTTTATGTTTTGCCTTCCTTCTTTCTGACTCTGTGGCTGAAAGTCAGGATGTAAGGTAAGAGATGTTAACTGAGTGTCCCCCTGGAAGCCTCAACTTCCCAGGGCCCACAGCCACAGAGCCTGGGTCGAGAACGCCGGAAATGGGCTTTAGTCAATGGGCAATTGACATGGCTGTGCCAGGTGGAATACACCTCGAGGAGCTGCATAGGTGAGTTCATTTGCGGGGTTCCTATTGTTTCTCAGTCTCTTCCCTGAAAGGACGACATTTCTGGTGAAAAGATAGTCTCTGAGCCGGCCCTTTTTACATGGACTGTCAGTGGGTTATAAACATCATACAGGCAGGGCTGGGCAGCATTTTGAACTTGTGACCTGGAGGTGAAAACTCTGCCCGTCCCTTCTAATCATTCTTCCCCATGCGGTAGTATTTTTGTATTGACCTATAGCCCCTCTACTGGTTTTCTGTACATGGCACTGCTGTAATCTGTGGCTTTAAAATAAGTGTTCAGTTTTCTTCCTGTGCATGGACATTGATTTTTTTAAAAATCCTAGAATGCAAACGGAACCTGTGCCTGCTATCTGAATATCTCTAATTAGACTACTTGTGCAAATCTACCAATTGACTTTAATAGATTGAACCCAAGTCTGCAATTGTGTTGGACGGGAAATGAGATTGCCTTGCCTCTCAAGTTATCTTCAGTACTTTGAAAGCAGACAGATTTCCCAAATTCAAGATACAACAGTAGGCAAAAGTTCCTGAGACACTGGAGGCACTATGTAATCATCACACAGGTAAATTATCTCTGCCATGAGAAAATTGGAGCAGTAAATGAAACATTAGCCCACTTCAATAGGAGGTCATATATGTTTCAGTGCCATGTCAACCTGCTTCTCAGATTATATAGAATTGAGACAGCCATTCATGCCTTCATTTTTTTAGTCCTTTTTCTCTTTATATTCTGCTGAGCTTTGTTTTACTTGAGCTTCTTTGCCTTCTACCAATTAAGCCCAAAATTGGCAGTTAAGACAAAATACAAATGAAAGGGAGGGTGCGGTGAGAAAGTAGAAAGACAATGGAGAATAAAGTTGAAAATTGATCTTTTCTTCCTTCCTCTCTGGCAGCTGTGTTGAGCAAAGGAGATACTGAGCATTGCATGACAGGGAACCAATAATTTGCCAGGTTTGAATCCCTGAGCAGTCTTGAGTAAAACCGTAGGGGACAAAGGTTTGCTATTTGAGCCTATCCTCTCCCCATCTGACCTCGCTGCTTCAGTTTCTGAACCCCCGCTGGGCTCTTCCACATGCAACAACTTTGGGTAACATTTATCAAGGTTTGCTGTATGCCATCCACTGTTCTAAGTGTTTCATGTGGACTACCTCATGATTATCTTATAAAAACCCTAAAAAGAACCATCATCTCCATTTCCAGATGAGAAAGCTGAAGCAGTAGAGAAGTGTAGTACTTGCATGAAGGTCACAGTTATAAAGAAGTGGGAATAGGATTCAAAAGAGAGCATCCTTGCATTTTCTAATTATAAAAATATTCTGCCTTTATCATAGAAAACCTGAAAAATATGCAAAAGCATATGGAAGAAAATAAAGCCATCCACGCTACTGCTCTTATAAAACCACAATTACAGCAGTTTGTTGCAGTTCTTTCCTTTTTAAAAATATAAATAGCGGCCGGATGTGGTGGCTCACACCTGTAATCCCAGCACTTTGGGAGGCCAAGGCGGGCAGATCACGAGGTCAGGAGTTTGAGACCAGCCTGGCCAACATAGTGAAACCCTGTCTCTAATAAAAATACAAAAATTATCTGGGCATGGTGGTGCGCACCTGTAGCCCCAGCTACTCGGGAGGCTGAGGCAGGAGAATCGCTTGAACCCGTGAGGCAAAGGTTGCAGTGAGCCAAGATTGCCCCACTGCACTCCAGCCTAGGTGGCAGAGTGAGACTCTGTCTCAAAATATATATATGAATATATTTTAAAATGAATATATTGTTGAGTTCATACTTTCAATAGAGTTTTTATGGTCCTTTTAGTCAAAATTGGAAGTGAACATTTTTCTATGCCATTACAATTTCTTCCTTTGGATAGTCCATGATGTAATTAACCATGCCCCTATTGTACATGTAGGATATTTCTGGTACTTGCATTTTAACAGTGGAATAAAAACACACTTTAACGGGAAAATGAATATTTTTAATGTGTGAAGTCAGGAAGGGGTGGCCTTTGGAATCAAGAAGTCATTTGATCTAGATTTATTTTTATTTCTCAGGTTGTCATGTTCACTTTTTATTTGTATACATTCTAAGCCATCTTTAGAGAATGTATACGTTCCTAAGCTTGCTTTCCTTTGACATCTGTACTTACAGAAAAGTGTAATTTCACCTCAAGACTGACTGACTGACTGACAATCTGTAAAGCAAAACTTATTCAAGAGCTGCAGTGGACTTCTTTTGCTGGCATATTTCCTAGGTTTCCTGGAAAATCTTCACAGCATTCCACTGTCTCTAGTCACATCTGGACTGTACACCCCAGGAAGTGCCTCGTTTTCAACTCAATCACACACTTATTGTTTGTTACTGTGGTGGGGTGGGGGGAGCAAGGGGCAAGATACTCAACAGGCCAACGGGAGGAAAGAGCCATCACACGTCATTCTTGTCATCAAGGACATACCCATCTAGCCAAGGATGAGAATGAAGAGCAACAATGATGACTTTCATAAGTGCTGTGATACATGTGGTTATAAAGGGTTATGGGAGGCCGATCCAGTGGCTCATGCCTGTAATCCCAGCACTTTGGGAGGCCAAGGCAGGTGGATCACTTGAGGTCAGGAGTTCGAGACCAGCCTGCTGAACGTGGTGAAACCGCGTCTCTACGAAAAATACAAAATTAGCCAGGCATGGTGGTGAATGCCTGTAATCCCAGCTACTCGGGAGGCTGAGGCAGGAGAATCGCTTGAATCCGGGAGGCAGAGATTGCAGTGAGCTGAGATCACACCACTGCACTTCAACCTGAGTGACAAGAGCGAAACTCTGTCTAAAAAAAAAAAAAAAGAAAAAAAGGTTATGGGAACCCAGCTTAAGGAGCATGTTTCCTAGGAAGAATAGGTATCAGCAGATGTGGTTTAAGCTCAGCTTGGAAAGATGATTATGAATTATGAAAGTAAATGAGGTGGGGGAAGGGTACACCTTACAAAGGGAATGTTACACATAAAGGCATAAGGTGGGAGTTGTTAAGGAAACACATGCAATACAGGGTGGGTCAAGCAGAGGATAGATAGTAGTTGAAGATTAAATTTATGCCTAGTGTTCCATCATTGGAATGCTAAGCTTGTGGGAGTTATTTATATCCTCCCTACTGCTCAAGGTCATTGCCAAGGTCTGATTTTTCACACACAAAAATTTGCAACCTCCAGCATAAATGGGTTAAAGAGCTGGGCAGGGATGAGATTATGGAAAGTGTTTAGTGCCAACTTTAGAGGTTTTGGACTTTAGTCGCTGGTGCATACATGAGGCATTTAGACAAAGAGGAACCTGATTACCTCTTTCAGGGGCTCACAAATTTGGAAGCGGCATCTTAGGTACCAGTTGCATTACCCCCTTACTCATCTTTCCTTCTGTCCACTCCTCCTTTATAACTTGGTTCCTCTTATATGCTCTGGCCTTTGGAAATTTATTCAAAAACCTTGTTATATCTTAATATAAAGTTTTTCAACCATCGATATCCAGTAGAACCATTTAGAACATCTGCAGTTAACTCGTTCATCTGTAGGTTAACTCATGGCCTACAACATTGTGGTCTACTATGGTGGGCCCTGTGTCATTTCTGCCTTTGGTTGGTCATGCCTTTGGTTGACTTATGGTTGGTCAGCTACTGGACAAAAAAAACAACACTGGAAGCTCAGTCACTTAAGGCATTTGCTCCCTTCCATTGCGGTCTAATGTGGGTCAGGGCAGATGTGTGTGGAGGGGTGGGATGGCTGTGCTCTGCTTATTCATTCATGGTTCCAGGCTCCCCTAGGTCTTCCATTCACGTTTCATTGGATGGAACTCAGTCTCGAGGCCACACCTCATCTAGGGGAGGCTGGGAATATGGGCACAGAAGATGAACCCAGGGAGAAAAGGAAATGGGATTTGGTGAACACACAACTATAGTATATATGCATATGACTGAAATTATAGTTTCTCTTTTATGGGAGGCATCAGCAAAACCACAAGTCAGGCTTTCTGATTTGGGGACATCCCATTCCCACAAATATTTTATCGCTTACGAAACTTATCTAATCCAGTTTGGATGTACAGTCTGACTTATTTGCCCAGATTTTCTATTTCTGCCTCTTATCCAGAATTTATTTTCCATTTTTGTCCCCATTTGGTAAAGCTCTTATAAAGATGTTTATAATTTCTACTTTCACTCTGATGTTGAAGTGATGATTGTGAATCAACCTTCAAGTTGTAAATGCAAAATTGAATATTCTATCAAAATAGTTCTCTCTGTTAATTTGGAGACATCTTAAATAGAAGGTAAATCAGAAGCTTGTGAAAGGCTGAAAACAGTAAGACAGTGTGTTCAGACTACATTTATAATAGAGGAAACTGCTAAAAATTATTTTCAATTTGGTGTGATTTATCTGTATAAAAGTGTGACTCTATTGTGCCTTTTGCCCTAATCTTTATATAGAATAACATTTGCTGTTTTTACCTTGTCCTCCACCAGACCAATCAGTCTGTCATATAAGTCATATATTTTGTTTTGTTCTGTCACCTCCACACCTGCCTTATTTAATTCCATGCCATCAGGAATGTGCTAGGGAGAATATAATTAGCACTGCCAACAGACTAGCAATGAAATTGCATCTCTGTATGGAAGAAGAAAGAGATGCTGCTGGGTAAGGAAATAGATTTTAGTTTAAAATTACACAGGAACAATTGGAAACCCAAAGGATAGGAATCGTTGAAATACAAAATATGCTTTGGTGATATCATTTGACAATTAATAGGTCTTTTCGGGTTTTTCCCTTCATCCCTTCTTCCCCCAGCCTCCCTCTTCCCTGCCCAGCAGTCTATGAGAGTCAGAGAGAGAAAGGCATTATGCTGTCTCTTTACTACCAGGATTATGTTCCTGATAGAAAGCAGGTTGCTCACTCCTATTCGACCTTCAGATAACTTCAATGACACTGCCTTGAGAAGGGCTTCCCTGAGCAATGAAGCTAGGCTTGAAAGAGTTCCCTCAGTTTGCTTCCTTAGCATTCAGACTCCCTGTCTAATACTAATGATACTTTATCTATCAGTAAATTATTGTAATCCTGGTATCTAGCATAATTCCCAGCACATGGTTGACACTCAGCCAATATCTGAATGAATGAAAGAATGCATACTATTTGTAAATAGGAGAAGCTTTAGAAACAGGCACACGTGGGTTTCTACTTTGGCTCTGCTGGTTCCTAGCTCCATGTTTGTGGGCAATTTATTCATTCCTTTCATGATCCAATCACTATAGCTGCAAAATAAAGATGGTGGTCCTAATTCTAGGGTTGGTCTGAGGATTAAGTGAGACAATGTATATGCAGCCCTGGAAGAATTCTTATCACACAAATGTAAATTAAATGTTAGTTCTGTGATCTGTGGGAAAACATGGAGGGTTCAGAGCAGGGGAGTGTTGGAGCAAAAGTCGTGATTTATGAGAGATGAATCTGATGAAAAGGTGCAGAAGAGATGAGGAAGGTAGTGAAGAAACTGCTGTGTTATCCTTAGTATAAGGTAATGAGGGCAGGGAGCAACTAATATCCTGGATGGAGTATGTAGACCTAGATACCATCTCTGGGTGGAGCAGTTCATTTTGTTAAACTGGCATTCATATGACATTTAAGTGGCATATGAATGTGCTAACCCCTCACTGAGCCCCCTTACTAAACTGTTGGCTATCTTGTCAACAGGTACTGATTCAGCTTAGTCAGGCCCATAACCAAATGAGGAGCAGTTACTCATTTAGACCCCTTCATAAATGGGGTTTATTTTAAAGACATCCTGCAATTTACTACATTTGAAACAGGAAGGCTATGAGGATCCAAGGCAGTTGCTTCATCTCTCTTGACTGTCACTACTTCACAGTCAGAGTGTGTCTACTTCTTTCTGTGTATTTACTCTTTTATGTTTTGCTGATTAATTTCCAAACTGCTCTAATTCAAATCCCACAGGATAGTTATCTGTCTTAGTTACCATCAGTCCATTTAGAGTTTGCTTTATGCTAGACCAGCTCATGAGTCCTCAGCCTGGCTGGGAATGAACTTGGGGGCTCTTCTTGTCACTTACGAAGAAGGCCGCTAGGGTGAACTAGAAAGAGACATTGGGAATGATAAGACACCATGACCGCTATGCTCAGGACAGAGCAGTTGTGAGGGCAACATAAGTTTGTTACTGCTATTAGAAAAACTTGTCCCATATGTTGGCTTAAGTAAACACGGGCCTACTCTGATGGCAGCGGCTCAGTGACATAAGCAGGATAAAGAATATGGTTTCCAGAGCATCTGAAAGAAGAGGTAAATATGACGTCATCAGAGAGTGTGCCCCACAAAAATGCATTTAATAATTCAAGAAATAGTTATTGGTGTCTTATGTGTTCACAGTTCCAAGCACTGTACTAGGTACTGAAAATACAGTGATGAATAAGAGAGGGTCTCTGCCCTTGTGTAGCTTACACTCTCATGAAGAGAGGCAATTAAAAGGTAAGCAAATAAATATGTGATTTCATATCAGGTAGAGATAGGCCTTATTATGGAGACAAATATAATAGCATGAGGGGCTGGTAGGTATAGTAGATTACCAATCCCATTTACTCTTTCACATGGACACAAAGATAGAGTGTATTTGTCAACTTCCCTTGCAGTTCAGTGTGGTCATTTGACTGAGTTCTGGCCAATAAAATGTGAAAAGAAGTGACATGCCACTTGCAGGCATGGACCATAACAATTTTTAATGTATGGTCCTTCATGCTTTTTTCTATTTTGGTTGACTTGGAGGGAGACCACTCCTGGGACAACTGTGGGCACTGTGTTAAAAGAAGTGGAGCCACAGGATCCTTGAATCACTGGATGGAGGAATACTTATCAGCTCAAAGTGCCCATATAGAATGGTCATGTGAGTGAGAAATAAACTGTGTTAAACCAGTGGTTCTCAAAATTGGGTCCCTAGACTAGCAGCATCAGCATCACCTGGGGTTTTAGTCTGTTTGTGATGCTATGACAAAATACCTAAGACTGGGTAATTTATAAATAATAGAAATGTATTTCTCATAGTTCTGGGGACTGGGAAGTCCAAGATCAGAGCAAAGCAGATTTGGTATCTAGTGAAGGCTGTTTTCTGCTTCTAAGATGGCACTTTGAACACTGTGTCCCCACATGGTAAAAGGGACAAAAGGGGAAAAGGAGTCTAGCTAGTTCCGGCTGGTCCTTCTATAAGGTCACTAATCTCATTAATGAGAGTGGAGCCCTCATGGCCTATTCACCTCCTAAAGTAAAGACTCCACCTACTAATACTTGATATGGTTTGGCTGTGTCTCCACCCAAATCTCATCTTGAATCGTAACTCCCACAATTCCCATGTGTTGTGGGAAGAACCCGGTGGAAGGTGGTTGAATTATGGGAGTGGGTCTTTCCTGCATTGTCCTCGTGATAGTGAATAAGTCTCATGAGATCTGATGGTTTTAAAAACAGGAGTTTCCCTGCACAGTCTCTCTTGGCTTGTCTGCCACCATGTGAGACGTGCTTTTCACCTTCCACCATGATTGTGAGGTCTCTCCAGCCACATGGAACTGTAAGTTCAATAAACCTCTTTCTTTTGTAAATTGCCCAGCCTCCAGTATGTCTTTATCAGCAGCATGAAAATGGACTAATACAACACTGTTGCAGTGGGGATTGTTTTAACTGGAGGTGACAAAAACATTCAAGCCATAGCACCTGGGAACTTGCCACAAATGGATATTCATGGGCCCCACCCTAGATATACTGAATCTTGGAGGGGTGGGGTCTGGCAAACTGTGTTTTAAAAAGTCCTCAAAATGATCCGGATGCACCCGAAAGTTTAGGACTGTTTTAAGTCACTGAGATTCTAGAGTTTGTTCATGACATCAGCAAGCATTAGCTTAACCAATACACAGAGTAATTTGGATGGCAGGAGTGAAGTTAGCAGTTTGAAATGGAGTGGTCATGTCCTTCTGAGGAAGGATACATAATTAAGAGGGAGGGAGGAAGCCATATGAAGATGTAGAAGAAGATCATTTTAAGCACTGGAAAGCTATTGCAATGAACTTGAGAGAACAAGTCTGGTATTTTTGCAGAAAAAACAAGAGTGCAATGTGGTCAGAGTAGAATGTTTATGGGAAAAGGGTAGGAGATGAGATCAGAGAGGACAGCAGGAGCCACATCACATGGTGTAAGGGGCTGTGAGTAAGGCTTTAGTTGCTCTTCTAAGTACAATGTGATTTATTTATTCAGCAATTTTTTTCTTTTTAAAATTGTGGTAAAATGCACATAACATAAAAGTTACTATTTTAGCTATTTTTAAGTGTATAATTTAGTGGCATTAAGTACATTGACAATGTTGTGCAACCATCACCATTACCCATTTTGAGAACTTTTTCATCATCTCAAACAGAAACTCTGTACCTACTAAACAGCTCCCATTACCCCTTCCCCTTCACGCCCCTGTCTCCTGGTAACCCCTAATCTAATTTCTGTCTCTATAAATTTGCCTATTTTAGGCATCTCACATACATGTACAATATTTATCCTTGTGTGTCAAGCTTATTTAACTTAGTATAACATTTCCAAGGTCCATCCATGTTGCACATGTGTCAGAATTTCCTTCTTTTTAAAGGCTGAATAATATCCCATTGTATGTATTATATGCCACATTTTGCTTATCCGTTCATCTGTGATGCACACTTGGGTTGTTTCCCACTTCTGGCAATTGTGAATAATGCCACTGTGAACATTGGTGTACAAGGATGAGTGTGTGTGTGAGTCCCTACTCTCGATTCTTTTGGATCAACAAACTTTTTGAGTGCCCTGGTGCTGTGTACTGAGAATGAGCAGAAGCATAGGATCTGTTCTGGTCAAGGCACTCATTCCAGGGAGGGAGAAGATAAGTGAAAATCAGCTGCAATGTATGGGAGTGCTAGAGGTATGCTCATATAGAGCACCTAGGAGGATCACTAGAGGGTGTCAGGGAAGGCTTCCTGGAGGCAGCAGTGCTGAGCTCCATCTGAAAGAACAAGTAGGAGTTAGGTGAAGAGAGGGAGTGGCATTTTAGGGAGATCGATGGTAGAGCATCAAAGCAAAGAGGCGTGAGTGTGTAACTCCTCTGGAGAAGCTCAAGCTGGCAGAGGAGGGATGAAGAATGGCTAAGGAGGGAGTAGGAGAGAGTGGTGAGTGATAGGGCCACAGAAATAAGCAAGGGCCTGGCTGCAGAGGATTCGGCAAGAGATGTTGAGGAGCCTGACACTAATCCCTTAGGGCAGTGGTTCTTAATCTTGACAGCACTTGAGAATTGCTCAGCAGCTTTCAAAAAACACCAGTGCCAAGCCTGAGTTCCACCCCCATAGATTCTGGTTTAATTGGTCTGGGTTGGGGCCAGAACATTGGCATTTTTTAAATTTCCCCAGGTAATTCCAGTGTGCAGCCAGGGTTGAGAAGTACTGCCTCAGGCAATGGGGAAGCTTTTGGAGGGTTTTAAGCAAAGGAGTAACAAGATCAGATTCTTTCTTAACCACTTGCACATATTTCAATGTAAAGTGAATTTTATAGCTGAGGAGGCCTCCTTGGGGAAAGAGGCCCTTCTCTGTTCTCTGAGAATCATTTTCTTTTCCACTATAAAATGAAGATACTACCTACATACTTCAAGGGCTGCCATAGGATTACACAACATTGCATTTTGTCCCGACCCAGGGTAGATGGAGAGCACATTTTTTTCCTGGGCAAAGCTGACAGTACAGAGAAAACGTAGGCAGGGTCCTTTATTCTCAAGATTCTGAGACCCACGCTAGGGGTAGCCCTGGAAGGCAGCATTGCTCCCCCCTCCACCATCCCAGAAAGACAAAAGCAGCCTTCCATTTGTGTGGCTAAGTCTCCCTCAGGCAGAGAGCCACTGGGGGTCTGAGCTTCTCTGGTCTTGGCACTCTGCTGGGATCGCGTCAGAGTCTCATTTCCTTAACAGGAGACTTCCTGATGAGCAGGATGAATTTACAGTGTATTTGACCGGAATGAAAAGTAAAAGCTGATGCAGCTGTGTGTGATAACGATGAGGGGGATGAGGGAGAGTGAGGCGGCACCTGCCTGCTGACTTCATCACAGGCTCCATGCTGTGGCAGCAGTTGTGTAGTGTTTGCTTGTTTCCATCTCTATCCGGAGCAAAAATCCTATAGCAGAGCCACTCACGCAACTCCCTTCTCTCCCCTTCCCAGGAGGGAGGTGTGTCACTGGGCTCAAAACACAAATATTAAGAACCCTGATTCTGATTTGCATCTTTTCTTTCTTAGGGCACAGCAGCCCTTAATTTTGGGGGCAGTGGGGATCTTGTTTCCTCTGCCTTTACTATTCCTTGAGGGCTTGAACCATGCCCTTAGTCATTTTGTACTTTGAGTACACTAGGTGGACAAAAAAAAAAAAAAAATGAGCGTTCAATTGACAAAGGATGTTGGAATTGATTGTGCTAGAAAGTAGGGGAATGAAGATGACTTGGGTGGCCTTGGGACTTGGAGAGAAGTGAGGTTATGGGGAGGTCTCCACATCTCTCTCCTAGTGCAAGTTAATTTTACTGCTGTATGTTTGTGATTTTCATAGGTTCAGGTTGCCCCCAGAGTAGTGAAATTCCAAGCCTCTCCTACTCCACTGACAGCAGTGCCAAGTTTAACATGAGAGTACCTGGGATGAGACATCCAGAAACAACAGCATGTTTGGAAGGGTACACCAAGATCTTGCATATCCTTGATGCTTTTTGCATCAAGATATAGACAAATCAATGCAATGTTTTAGATTTTATGTGCTCTTTGAGGTCACAAATAAAATCTAAAACAGCATTGATTTATCTACACCTCTGCTCTCTCTCATTTAAGTGGATAAATAAGTAGCTGATGGTAATTTTGGGGGATCCTATATCCAATGGCCTAAATGTTAAAGGGTGTAATGTTTCTCTTCTCTCTAGATGGTAAACCTCACCTTGTTAGCTAGATTTATTTTTAGGCTTTATGCTCTTTTTACAAAATAAGTTGGTTCTTTCATTATATAAAAATAGGATCATGGGGTTAATAGTGCATTCAGGGTAAGCATGTCAGCCTGTGGCTGTCTATGGGGCTGTCCTAGAGCCATGGCCCAATAGGGGGCCCTATGATTCCTAACCTCAGTAACAGGGCCTGGCCATGCATGCATGCTCAGATGATGGGCCATCTGTGCCCTGCCTTGAGCCAACACATAAAGTACCTCACTTGCGAATTAAAGGTAAGGAAGCCTTAGGCTTCCTAGGTCATTAGGAATGTGGAAACCAGCCTCTTTTAAGAGGAACTAAAAGAAAGGACCCTACTGAAAATATGCCAAACATATTTTATAAATTACTTCTTTGAACTCTTACTAACCTTGTGAGACAGGATTTTTTATCCCTGTTTTACAGATGGAGAAATTGAAGCTCCAAATGGCTAAGCAATCTACCCAAGATCACACAGCCAGATTGGTGGCATCTAAAATTCGAACCCAGTCCTGATGTGCTGAACTTCGCATCTGGATTTCTCAAAATGTTAAGGATTGATATGCTGGGCTGGTAATTCCTTATTGTGGAGGGCTTCTTTGTGTATTATAGGATGTCTAGCCGTATCCCTGGCTTCTATTCTACATCGTAGTAGCACCCCTACTCCTATATGACAACCAAAAATATCTCCAGATAGTCAGTTGTCTCCTGATGGGCAACATCACCCCACTCCCAGTTGATCACTACTGCCCTGTGTTAACATATGTTTTCTCATATAATTCTCACAACAACCCTATACACTAGGTGCCATTATCATCCCCATTTTGAAGATGAAGAAATGAAACCCAGAGAAATTGGGAGTTGATGAGGGTCACAAAGCTTGTAAATGGCTCTCATTTTTTCCTGGGTATAAAGTGGTAGAACTAGTGAAGGTGATGAGAGGCTGAATATTTCAGTGGTTGATACCAGGCAAGTGCAACTCCGAAGTCTTGATTTTATTGCTGCTTTATTAGGCATTTGAAAAATTTAGTGCTTATGACACTAATAACCAGGAGTAGGCTGTTAAAATTCAAATTCTTGATAGAATCAAATTCAGTAGATCTGCAGTGGGCACAGAAATGTGTATTATAAAACATAGCTACACTGACTGGCGGTGCTGTTGTCCAGGGAACCTAAGCGTGAAACATGGAACATTGTGCCCCTAAAAGAAAATTTCGGGAGAAAGAATGGAGATGATAAGCGGAAAGGAGAGGGTTTGGGATGAGACCTGACGTGCAACTACTTGCACAATTCAGTTTAACTGCCACACAAAGAGGGCACCGAATATGCATTATACCAAGTGACCTGCAATGCTTGGATGAGGGGTCTACTGTAGACCTTGGGATGATGCATCCAGTGCCTTCAAATCACTACTCACTCTTGGCTAGTGTTGAATCCCAAGGCTGAGTGGGCTGCCTCCTTTGGAAGCTTAGTGCATCCTGAGGTTCTAAAAATGGTTACAGTGAAACAAAAACAGCTGTGTCAATTTCCAATTTCCGCTCTATTCAGATTCACACTCTGCCTCCTCTCCTCTCTTAGAGGCAGTGGGACACAGGCACACACATGCACTCATTCCACCTCCTTTCCTCCCTCAGGCGTGGAAGGACATGAGCGTGCACACAAGCAGGCACACACAGACACACATGTGCGCACTCTGCCGCCTCTCTCTCACTTACTTGAGTTCATTTCCCCATGGAGAGGGAATGTTTCTAGTTTTCCAAAAAGGAATGGCAAACAAGAGAAGCCACAAGAGCCTAGACTACAATAAAATGCTACAATATGCTTTCAAGCTGGAGCGACTAAAAAGCTGGGAAGAGAAAGCGGCAGTATAATGTCTATTTTTATCTTCAACTATAATCTACCCACTTGTAGTTTCATAGCTGTCAGGAGGCAGAAAAGGACATGGAATCAGCCTACTGTTCTCTGCTCGCATCCTACACCTGTGTGGCATGAATGTGGGTGTGTGTGCACATACACAGATACTTTAACACACTGTCAGAGGATTTGATTGAACTCACACCTGAAGCCAGATTTTTTTTAGAAGTTGTCCCTTTGTTCATTATTTCTTGGCCAGGCACAGAAAATTAAAAGCAGGTTATTGAAACCCATTTTCTGGGTCCTGAAGGATAACTGTTAGCCTTGGATGATCAGAAGGAGCAGCTATGCACCTATTAGGCTTTGTCAGCCTTGGCCACACTGGGTTATGGGGATTCCTAACCTCCTGAACACTACTCACTAGTTTGGTGATTATCTATCTCCTTGAGAGAAGGCAAGTATGGCCCAATGGAAATAGCACAGCCTTGGAGTCGGGACACCTGAGCATCTTGCCTCATTCTGCCATGTACAAACTCTGTGGCCTCCAGCAAGTTCCTTTACCACTCTGAACCACAGTGTCCTCATCTGCAGAGGGACGACAACCCCTATTTGATGATTGTTGGGAGAATTCAAGATAATGTATGCAAACAGTAAGTGTTATATGGTAGAGGCTAAAGAAATGCTGACTACTGTTATTTTTGTTATTGCTGTTTTATCTGCATTATTATTTTATTAATAGTAGTCGTAGAAGTAGTAGAGGTAGTTTGGGGTTTGATTTCTACATCTGTTCTATATTCTTGGTTCTGTTTCAGTTGTTACTCTCCTATATTGGTGGTGTGAGGTATCACATAAGGTTCCTACATCATCATCATAAGCAAGGCAGAGGAAGGACCTGCTTTGGGTGTAAGGCTTAGCTTTTGAAAAATGTCTGGGATGCCCTAGTCTCCTTTAACATGCTGGCAGATAAAGGACTTAAAATCTTAATGGAGAAGTTCAGTCCCTTGAAAGCTCCTTCTATCAGAAGCTTCCTTTTTAGCTGTTTCAGTGACATCTTAGTACATATGGGGGAACTGAGAGTAAGTCTGGTGATAATTCTTCAGAAAGTCAAGCACCTGGAGTCATACAGGTCTCCATTCAAGGGCTGTCCCTGCCTTTTATTAACCACATGAACTTGTGTATTTTGTTGAACCTTTGAAGGACTCAAATTTTCTCATCCGTAAAACAATACGTTTACAGTGATATGGTGAGGTTCAAAGTGTGAAAACACTATAAACCCTAGAGGATCAGATAACTGTTAACATGCTACTGTTATCGTAAAATATTGCAGGAGGATGATCCGGCCTTTACAAGTTTTGAAGTCTAAAGAAACACAGTAATTCCTGTGGGCTCCAAACCAGTTTTTTGCAAATGAAGTATTATTTTTGAGCATAGGTCTCCCTCTGTGCATTACTCCCAGCCTGCGTGCGGACCCTGAGCTACACACCACACAGTCATGCCTTTGTCTGGAAGCTCATTAATGCAGCAACAACTTCAACAGAAGAGCAGCTGTGTGGTGGTGTCTGGCTCACTGAGAGGGACACACAGGTCCTGCTGCTGCTATTAAGCATTTGCAAGGTGACAGATTGCCTCAATGACGTGTCCATGTGCTTCCTCATTATAATGCCTCAGGTCTAGAAAAAAAGCCTGGACCCACCAAAAAGCTTTCACAGATTGGAAAGTGCACAGTTTGGGGGTGTTTAGCACTTCAGCACATGCTCTGTGACTGTGCATTCAAGGCAACATGTCACAAGAAATTAGTCTGCAGCAGGCCACATATGTCAGCCAGCCGGTGGAAGCATTTGCCCAACACCCAGGCAAGAGACTCAGAAGAAAAGGCTGCTCACCTTAAATCGCCCTCACGGTTAGCACATTGGTGAGATCATCCAGAATCCTCTGCTCAGGTACAATATTGCTGTGGAGAAGCAGGAGCTTGGATAAAGGGAGAAGTAACCAGGAGGTGCTAAGGGGGGGAAAAAAGGCATCTCATGCCATTTACTTTGCATCAGGCAGAGAGAGATTTGCGTTGCACACATTATCACATAATATAACAGTCCTGCCAAGTGAGCACTATTAATATCTGAATTTCCAGATGGGAAGATGGAAGCTAGGAGAGGCCATGTGTCTTGAAAGCCATCTAACTAGGGAGTCCCCCAAAGATCTCTTAAAATCTAAAGTCTACCGACACTCCTTCCCTTCCATTGAGCATGTGCCTGAAATGTGATGAGGTTGATTTTCTTTGTGACAGACTTACCTACACTTGTACATTCAACTATCATCTTCTTCAAAGAAGAAACTGTGGCAGGTGCTATTCCACAACCCATGTTTATGTTCAAGCTTTGTTGGATTCCTGTTTGGGAATTTCCTTCCGAGGCGGGCGGTGTCACATTCATTTGAAGTCAGTCAATAATGGTGAGTTATTGCCTCTTGCAGGTAGGTTTACAAGGGGTAAAGAGAATGATTAGGACTGCATTGTTAAAGTCTGTGCAGGAGATGACTGAAGGTCAGGGGCAGTAGTGGTGGAGGCAAGGGCAGATGTGAGAGAATTGAAAAGATACAGTGACTAACTTGCTACGCGAGAAACATTTGCAGCTTGGGAGACTGTATCTATAGTAGTGCAGTTTTCTAACTAAATATAGGAGGAAGAGGAATGATTTTCTGGAAAAATTGGTGGTGGTAGGGGGGCAGATAGGGAAGGAAATGGGCAGAATGTGCTCCCTGTAAGACTTAGGCATTGGTTTGGAAGTTAGGAGAGAGTTCCAAACTGTTGCTAAAGAGTTGGGAGTTTCTGATAAATGAATGACCAAGGAAACAATGGGAGGAGATACGATGGAGAAGGTGGAACAATGAAGAGGGAAGAACACTGAAGCTTAATGATGGTTAAAGGGTATATGAGGAAAGGGAGTGATGTTAGTAATCTTCAAGTAGCAACGCCTCTGTTTCAAGCATATCTTTGAAGATAGCCAGTTTTAAGTCGACTGAGCATTTGTGAGAGCAGGGAGACAAACATAGTCATGTGGCTTAGGCCAGTCACCTTGTCCAGGCTTGGTCTTATGAAAATGGTCAAAGCAGGTAGAGTGATGCTAAGTGAAAAAATCAGATGTTTGCCAGCCACTGTGTACACACAGACACTCCCACGGGGCACCCTTCAGCCACAGAGTAAGATTATTTGGGCCTGACTGGCGGAACTCTGCTTTGAAGGGTACATTTGGGAGAGAAAAATTCAAGCAAATATTCAACCCTTCTTTTCCTACTAATGGGATCTCCATTCTCTGGGATTCGGTGTAATCTGCAAGTTCCTGAAGAGCCACGAAGTGTGGAAGGAAGTAACAGTGTGGTATAGGGCAAGAAGAAAACACTAGCTTATTACAGTCAGTCCCCTCTTAAGACTTCATGCCTAAAACAGCAATTCAGTTTTTTCTCCTGCTTAATTGACGCTCTTTTCCTTAGACGGGCATGCCATGGGCCTAAACTATATGGATTATATGTGTTAAACAGAAGGCAGTGTCAGGGAAAACAAAGGAGAAGACATGGGAGAAGACAAAGGCAGGCTAGACTCTGAAACAGTTGTTCATACTGTGGCAAACACTTCAGTTCTCTGGGCTTTAGCTTCCTCAATGTCAAATGAAGGCTTTGATGTGGACTCTTAAGTTTGTCCCTACTCAGATATCAGAGAATATCTGTGATGTACAAGTGAACATGCAAACCCATTTATACATGTATTTCACAAATAACAGTTCCCAGTAATCGGAGAGTACTTAAATAAGGCCAAAATAGGCCCATGGTTTCTTTGATAGCTGGGTCACAGAGGCTCTGACCTCCATCTGTTTTCTTCCCTAAATTTCACTGCAGTCCTCAGGATTGCAATGCTAGTACAGAGGTGTCCTCCTCTTTGCTCATTTGCTGCCTCCTCCAGGAGAATTAAAAGCCTGATGCAGCCCTCAAAGGGGCATCTGATTAAGTAATGGTGTCTGATAAGATTCATGCTGGAACCTTGAAAGTCTCAAAGAGATTGAGATTGGCCAGACCTCAAGCTCCTGCTTTCGCAGTGCCTTGCTTGATTCTCTGAAGACCTCAGTGTAAGCCTCCATTCTTATAACATTACATTAAAAACCTAAGCTCCTTACTATGGTCTGTAAGTCCTAAATGACTGGGCCTCTGCCCATCAGCCCAGGTTCCTAGTGCTGTCCTTCCTGGTTGCTAAGCTCCAGCCACAGTACCTTTCTTATGGTTGCTCAAATACACTTAACCCCACCTCTCCCTCAGGCTTCTCTCTGCATCTGACCCTATTGCACCTCCAACATCTCCCTTTCTTTCTTTTTTTTTTTTTTTTAATTATACTTGAAGTTTTAGGGTACATGTGCACAACGTGCAGGTTTGTTGCATATGTATACATGTGCCATGCTGGTATGCTGCACCCATTGACTCGTCAGTTAACATTAGGTATATCTCCTAATGCTATCCCTCCCTCCTCCCCCTACCCCACAACAGGCCCTGGTGTGTGATGTTCCCCTTCCTGTGTCCATCTGTTCTCATTGTTCAATTCCCACCTATGAGTGAGAACATGCGGTGTTTGGTTTTTTGTCCTTGCGATAGTTTGCTGAGAATGATGGTTTCCAGCTTCATTCATGTCCCTACAAAGGACATGAGCTCATCATTTTTTATAGCTGTGTAGTATTCCATGGTGTATATGTGCCACATTTTCTTAATCCAGTCTATCATTGTTGGACATTTGGGTTGGTTCCAAGTCTTTGCTATTGTGAATAGTGCAGCAATAAACATACGTGTGCATGTGTCTTTATAGCAGCATGATTTATAATCCTTTGGGTATATACCCAGTAATGGGATGGCTGGGTCAAATGGTATTTCTAGTCCTGGATCCCTGAGGAATCAGCACACTGACTTCCACAATGGTTGAACTAGTTTACCGTCCCACCAACAGTGTAAAACTGTTCCTATTTCTCCACATCCTCTCCAGCACCTGTTGTTTCCTGACTTTTTAATGATCGCTATTCTAATTGGTATGAGATGGTATCTCATTGTGGTTTTGATTTGCATTTCTCTGATGGCCAGTGATGGTGAGCGTTTTTTCATGTGTCTTTTGGCTGCATAAATGTCTTCTTTACTGGTACCAAAACAGAGATATAGACCAATGGAACAGAACAGAGCCCTCAGAAATAATGCCACATATCTACAACTATCTGATCTTTGACAAACCTGACAAAAAGAAGAAATGGGGAAAGGATTCCCTACTTAATAAATGGTGCTGGGAAAACTGGCTAGCCGTATGTAGAAAGCTGAAACTGGATCCCTTCCTTACACCTTATACAAAAATTAATTCAAGGTGGATTAAAGACTTACAAGTTAGACCTAAAACCATAAAAACCCTAGAAGAAAACCTAGGCAATACCATTCAAGACACAGGCATGGGCAAGGACTTCATGTCTAAAACACCAAAAGCAATGGCAACAAAAGCCAAAATTGACAAACGGGATCTAATTAAACTAAAGAGCTTCTGCACAGCAAAAGAAACTACCATCAGAGTGAACAGGCAACCTATAGAATGGGAGAAAAGTTTTGCAATCTACTCATCTGACAAAGGGCTAATATCCAGAATCTACAATGAACTCCAACAAACTTACAAGAAAAAAACAAACAATCCCGTCAACAAGTGGGTTAAGGATATGAACAGACACTTCTCTTTCTTCCTTTCTTTCTCTTTCTTTTCTTTCCTTCCTTCCTTCCTTTCTTCCTTCCTCCCTTTCCTTTCCTTTGTTTCTCCCTTGTCCCTTTCTTTCCTTCTTCTTTTCCCTTTCTTTCTTTCTTTCTTTCTTTCGTTCTTTCTTTCTTTTCTTTCTGTCTTTTCTGTCTTTCTGTCTTTTCTGTCTTTCTGTCTTTCTTTCTTTCTCTTTCTTTGTCTTTCTTTATTTTCTTTCTTTCCCAGGCTGGATTGCAGTAGTGTGACACAGCTCACTGCAGCCTCTAACTCTCAGGCTCAAACAGTCCTCTCACGTCAGCTCCTCAAGTAGTTGGGACTACAGGTGTGGGCTACCACACCTGGCTAATTTTTGTAATTTTTTTTTTTTTTTTTTTTTTTTGTAGAGATGGGGTTTTGCCATGTCACCCAGGCTGGTATCAAACTCATGAGCTCAACCGATCCACCCGCCTTGGCCTCTCAAAATCCTGGGATTACAGACATGAGACATTGCACTTGAACCAGCATCATTTTCTATCCCTGTCCCCTTCATGCTCTCTACTTCAGCCACCCTGGCCTCCTTGCTGTTCTCTGAGCCTGCCAACCGTACACCCACCTCAGGGCCTTTGCACTTCCTATTTCCTCTGTGTGGGGTAACATTTACTCTTATCTGATCTCACATGGTAGCTTCTTCACTTCTTTTAGCTCTCTACTTAAGTGTCACTTCCTCAGAGAAGCCTTTACAGAATACCCCATATATAATAAAACATGAAATACCAATTATGTATCATTTTTTTGCATCCAGCTTTCTTTTTCTTCATAAGCATACTTGATATTGTTATATTTGTTTATTGACTATCTCTGCATACTAGAATGTAAGCTCCAGGAGGACAGGGACTTTGTTCATTGCTTTATCCTGAGCACCTAGAATGGTGCCTGGCATAGGGTAGGTGCTTAATAAGTGCTTTTTGAATGACAAAAAAAATAAATTAACACACAGTAGAGAATGTGCTCTAAGAGTTATCTCTCTTGGTGGTACAACTCTTTCAACTCATTCCTGTTGTGGTTAAGAAAGATAAGATCCTCATTTTCGTGGCCTTTATGTTCTAGCAGGAGAGGTAGTTGAAAAAGTATGCCTATATTTTCATTTCAGATGATAGCATGTCCTATGAAGAACATAAAGGAGGGAAATGGGAAAGACCATGGCTGGGTTGGGATGATGGAAGTTCTTTTAGGTAGGGTGGTTAGGAAAGACCTCTGTTTCAAAAGATGTGTGCAAGTGAAGAATTGAGGAAATAGCAGGTGTAAAGCCCCTGAGGTTGGAATAAGTTAAGTATATTTGAGCCAACATAAGAATGCCAGTGTGGTTGGAACTTGGTGAACAGGAAGGAGAGTACTAGGTGGGCAGAGGCCCAGTCCTTTAGGACTTACAAACCATAGTAAGGAGCTTAGATTTTATTCTAAGGGTAATGAGAAGTCATCCACTGAACCAGGCTGGCCCGGTCAAGTTTTAGTGTATAGCCTGTTTATAATTCCACTGACCTTGACCCTGCTGTGGGATCCAGGTTACACAATCCAGAGTCCCGCCTTCTGGACAGTTTCCTTTATGAGGCTGCATGATGTCCTTTCTCATCATCCGGTTTTAGTTACAGCAAGACAGTCCATCACACACATTTTAAAATAAATATATTTGATATTCATCTGGGAAGAGTCAAGGTCCCATTCTTTGTTTTCCAGGTTTAGGAGAAGGGGTCTACCTCATTTCTCTCTTAATGCCCATACATGATACTTCAGCGTCAAAACTCTGGACTATGCCCTTGAACTGCTAAAAATGTTAGTTAGTACCCACTTGCGCATGCATGTACATGTGCACACCACAAATGTACTCAAAGTCTTGCAGCGTTTTTTTTTGTTTTTTTTTTTGTTTTTTTTTTTGTTTTTTTTCAGACAGAATCTTGCTCTATCAACCAGGCTGGAGTGCAGTGGCGTGATCTGAACTCACTGCAACCTCTGCCTCCCGGGTTCAAGAGATTCTCCTGCCTCAGCTTCCCAAGTAGCTGGGATTACAGGCACACACCACCATGCCCGGATAATTTTTGGTATTTTTAGTCTCTACTGAAAATACTCTACTCCTGACCTCAGGTGATCTGCCCGCCTCGGCCTCCCAAAGTGCTGGGATTACAGGCGTGAGCCACCACACCCAGCCACTCTTTCAGCTTTAATGTCTATACTTTTTTTTTTGTTTTTCCAGTAGAAGACCCTTTTTACTTCCTGCATTGGATTTCTAACATAGTGTTGAAAAGTTCTGCAAAATTTCCATGATTTTGAGCCACTCAGAAGAAAATTCTGGCAAAGAACTTTTAGAGATGTGCAGTTCAAAGAATCTCAGGTTTGGAAAAATTTTTAGAGATTCCCATCTTTAAGGTTTGTTTCCAGTAGGAATAGGTTATTGGGTATCAAGTTATTACCATTTACTTTATCTTTTTTTTTTTTTTTTTTTTTTGAGGCGGAGTCTCGCTCTGTCACCCAGGCTGGAGTGCAGTGGCACAACCTCGGCTCACTGCAAGCTCCGCCTCCCAGGTTCACTCCATTCTCCTGCCTCAGCCTCCTGAGTAGTTGGGACTACAGGCGCCCGCCACCACGCCCGGCTAATTTTTTGTATTTTTAGTAGAGACGGGGTTTCACCGTGTTAGCCAGGATGGTCTCTATCTCCTGACCTTGTGATCCACCTGCCTCAGCCTCCCAAAGTGCTGGGATTACACATGTGAGTCACCATGCCTGGCCTACTTTATCTTTTAAAATGTTGTTAGGCCAATATTTTAATACTCTTTTTTTCTTTTTTCTTTCTTTCTTTCTTTCTTTTTTTTTTTTTTTTTTGAGACAGAATTTTGTCTGTTGTCAGGCTGGAGTGCAGTGGCATGATCTCAGCTCAGTGCAACCTCTGCCTCCTGGGTTTAAGTGATTCTCCAGCCTCAGCCTCCCCAGCAGCTGGGACTACAGGTGTGCACCACCACGCCCAGCTAATTTTTGTATTTTTAGTAGAGACGGGTTTCACCATGTGGGCCAGGATGGTCTTGATCTCTTGACCTCATGATCCGACCACCTCGGCCTCCCAAAGTGCTGCGATTACAGGCGTGAGCCACTGCACCTGGCCATATTTTAATACTCTTCCAGGTTTGATCCAAATTCGTTACCTTATAAAACTGCCCAGTGGAATATTGGGCTGAGATGGCTAGTATTAGTCAAGGGTAGTGGCAATCCTTTCAAAATTTGCAGGGAGAAAAACATTGTCATATTAGAGGAGATAATTTTCTCAATGTTTTATCCCAAAATTTATTCTTTGACTTTGATGCCTGCTACCACTTGTCTGGTAGCAAGCACTAGCAGACGACCAAAGAAATGAACAAGCAGCAAATGAATATTAATGGAAAAATTCTGAAACAGTTGATCATGCTTGGTTTGACAGCTTGTTTCTTTGTGGACATGTGGGCTCCCAGTTCTACATACAGAGTTTTTCTCCTAGTAAAATTGTTCCTGCTTCACATGATGAAATTCACTATGCTGATATTTTAAGGTATTTGGCAGAACATAGTATTTTGCAAAGAGCGTTATTTCTTCCAGGTTCTTCTTTTCTTTCATAAGTCTGAGAAACATTAAGTTTTAGGGATCAGCTGAGGTCTAACCCTTACAATGTCCCCAAATAAGGTTCTGTCTCTCGGCCACCAGAATGTTTCTGACTAGTTTTTAAAAGGCTGTGTGAAAATGTGGCTACCTCAAGTGTTCAGGGATTCAGGTTCACTTACTCATTCATTCGCAAGCCTGGGCCTCTTCGTGTTGTGCTGAGTCATCTGTTATCAGCTTCAAATGACCTTCATCTGCATCTAAGCTTTTATAGAGGAGAAGCTAGAGACATGTCTTCCAGGATCCCCCTCCCCACATGGTTCCAAGTTAGGGTCTGCCCATGACAGCCAATCATGTCAGATTTAGAAGGTGAACAGAAAAAGAGGCCATTATACTCCAGAGGCAGTGTATGCAGATTTGTGAACCGGTGACAGAGGAGGTTTGCAGAAGCTTATAGCAAGCTCCTGTGAATTACCTGCTTTGTGATCCAGGCAGTGGAGGTAGACAATGCGGCTTTTAAAAAATCTTTAGTTGCATGTTCTGGCTGAGATAGGGAGAGGGAGCTTCCTGGAGGTTCTTGACATTTGCAGCAGCTTCTTGGGAATCACAAGTCTCACTGTTGTGGCAGAGATCTTCAGCAAATGCTTGTCTGTTCCTTGCTGCCCCAGCCCTTCCAATGATTGCTCAAGCCTCTGATTCCCTCTATTCAAACCCTTCATCCTTAGAACATGTGGAGGTTGGAGGTTTTAAGAAATGGGACGTTTGGTTGGTCCTATCAGGCATTTTGTGCCACCAACCTTCACAGTCCCATAGTATATCATCAAATGGGTTGTAATTTTTCAACTTGCCTAATAATCCCTTTTCATAGCATCAGCCTGGTGGGAAGAAAATCTCTAACACACAAGTCTCAAAGGACTTGAGAGGACACTAATCTGTTCAGATTTTACATCACTGGATTTACCAAACCCTCCTTGAATCTGTTTACATTTTCAGTGTTACCAGCACTTGGAAAATAATTTCACTCTCCTTCTTTTATTTTTCCCCATAACTATCATGTTTAATGCAAAACCTGGCTGGTATCACTGAAACAGTTCCTTCAGGACTTTCCAAGTTAAACATACTAGGCATAGTGAAATCAAACTTTTTCCTAGGAATGTTCTCTTGCCCAATATCTGTGTTAATTATCATACTTGAAGCTGATCAGGGAAGGGTGCTGAAAGCAGCAATGTAATAGACATCTACTACTTCCTCCAAGTTTGCTCAACATGCTCAACATGATTGTGTAAAAATATTTTCATCTTAGCTGTTTCACAGAGAAAAAGCAGCACAGAAGTTCAAATAAAATAAATTTTAAAATAGATATGGAAGCAGAGTGAAGGGATTACTTAGGTAGCTTAACTCTTTAATGGATATAGGCTTAGAGAGCCAGCTGGGCCCATCTCCACCATTGATGAATCCTGATGAATGGACCAAAGTCTCTCCTGGATTAGCATTAAGATGAGTGCAGCTGTTGGCATTGGCCTCCATGTTCTATGCCAGGTGGCTTAACAGGGTGGCTAACCCCATTTTTTGTCAACATAATTTTCTTGACATGTTAAAACATTCCATTGTGTTACCGTGAGTCATGTTTTAGGAAGCATCTCCAGGGCTGATGTTCCACTGTTGCACCACCTCTATGACCCTACCAATTATTAAACTATTGGAAAACTTTCTTGCTACTGGGTCGCTCCTTTGGGTCTTCTCATTGTACTCTACCATCTTTCCACATTTCTCTGTATTTCAGCAATTAAGAGGTTCCTAATGTCTGGCACAGCTGGGCAGCCCCCAGGGCCTGTACACTCTCTCTGGTTGATACCTGATTCATACCAGCTGTTAAATATTAACATTATGTCAGTGTACATTTGTTGAAGAGCTGAAATCTCAGAATAATTTTATTTCCATTTCACTGTCTCATACTACCATCAATGAGTGGCCAATCAGGAATATTCATAATTTTAATGTAATCATATGTAATTTTGGTGTAAAACAAACATAGACACCCACAAATGAGGCTATTAACAGCCTGGTTAGATATTCACTGGACAAGAGAAGGGGAGTGAAACTTCAGAGAAGGGTGCCTTCAATTCTTTTCTACTGTTGGAAAGTTAAGCCATAGAGACTGTCCTTCTCTTGTTGTTCCATTCTCAGACCCAGATGTGGCACATGAAACAGAGTTGGCCAGGAAAAAGAAGTCCCTGTAAAGCTCATGTCAGAGAGAGAGAGAGAAGGAAGAAGCATGGATGGGCCTTAAAGATATTCTAGGTGTGTAGGTTATTCACCCCTGAGATGGGTTTACAGTGTGTGGTGAAAGAACCCTGGCTTTGTTGCCACAAACCCGTTCTAATCTGAATACTGATTTGGCCACTTCGGGCTCTATGACTTTAACCTCATTGGGTCTTAGTTATTTTATTTTATTAATTTTTATTTATTTATTTATTTATTTATTTATTTATTTATTTCGAGATGGAGTCTCACTCTGTCGCCCAGGCTGGAGTGCAGTGGCACAAACTCGGATCACTGCAAGCTCTGCCTCTGAGGTTCCCGCCATTTTCCTGCCTCAGCCTCCCGAGTAGCTGGGACTACAGGTGCCCACCACCACACCCGGCTAATTTTTTATATTTTTAGTAGAGACGGGGTTTCACCGTGTTAGCCAGGATGGTCTCCATCTCATGACCTCGTAATCCACCCGCCTCGGCCTCCCAAAGTGCTGGGATTACAGGCTTGAGCTACTGTACCCCGCCTGGGTCTTAGTTATTTTTAAATGGGGATAATTCACAGGGCAGTTGTGGGGATCAAGTGAGGTGGTTAATATATACAAAGCACATAGCACTCAAATGATAGCTGAAACCTGAACCACAAAACAAAACCTACCTGCTCTTCAAATTTCTTATTCTTGACAGTGTGCAGCAAAGGCTCCTGGCCAATGGCACTCTGTGTTGTGACTGTTTTTTGTTAGTTTCTGTCATGGACTTTCTTATGTATTAACATACCACCTAAGGGGCCTGTATGCTAATATGAAGGTCCTGTCCAAGAAAAAGGAAATGAGATCCAAGGCTTTCCCTTATCACTTCTAGGAAGATGTGGCCAAGGAGAAACAACTTCCTATTCCTATCCTGTAGCCTGCCAAGCCTGAGAAGCTACCTCCCTGAAAATCTTCCTAGGACTCCTCAGCTTCCTCAATGCTACCAAATACCCACTATCTCCATAGACACACACAAATGTAAGTATGTCAAGTTACCATTTTTCTAAGCTTGTCCTCCCATCATGATCCTCTACCCCATCCCACAGGCTACATTCCATGTCTTCTTGTGGAAACCAGGAGCACTTCCTGACAATGGTGGACATGCCCTTTTGATAGTAAAAGTTGTGTCATAGTCTTCTCACTGCCTCTTGAGCAATGAAGCTCACTTCCTGTGCTTTAATATTTGCAATATGTGATTATTATCTTTAAAGAAGGTGACAAATAGGAGCAATATCAAATACCAGCACAGATTGATTGGTAAAAGCTGCTGGTATACTGTGCTTTAGCAGAATTTGAAGGCTAGAATTAAAGCCTTTAGTGACCAGCAATGTCTGTAACGGGTATGAGAAGGGATGGTGGCAGTCTATCTGTAGAGCATTTGCTCATCTTATTTTAAAGTGGTCTCTTTGGTTCATGTTATAACAAAAAGACTTTTGTAAAGGTAAAAAACAGTAGATTGAATGGATTAGAGAAGTCTTTCTTAGAAAATTATAGAACACAAACTATAGAGATACCCACTCCTAAAGAGTGTTCTATGATTTCAAATTGGAGGGTGTATTGTTATATGTGCAAGATGGGTTTTCTGGTACTTATGTCTACATGAAAAGAAAAGCTAACATGCCGTAAAAAGAAAAGTATGTATGTAAGTGTGCATAAACAATATGTCCTGGCTTTCACCTTTATCTGCTAAAGTAGGGTATATAGGCAGGCCTCCTTAAGTTTTCAATTTTTGACTTTCTTTAGGGGTGTTTGCACAGTGTTCTGTACTACAATGGGTTGTGTCCATTTCCTCCTTTTCTTTTTTCTTCAGCCCCTCCACCCACAATGATGTCCTGGTAAGCTACTTGGTATCTTACTGCAACAAGTATTCAATGAAGAAGCTTGATGTCTGTGCTAAAGATGCCATCCCCTGAGGTTCTGAAAGCTGTAAATGCTCAAGCTCCTGCAGCAGTGCTACTCAGGGGAAGACAGCCCCCACTCTCCGTGTCACACTTTGTATCTTGGGCACTAAAGCAGCCCTGCACTTAATCCATTCCTTCTGCTTTTGCATGTAACCCCTGTCTACTCAGGGCTCATGCAAATAACTGGGTGAGGTTTACAGGCCTTGGTAAGCTCCTGTCCCATCCCTCACAGATGTGTCAATTGCACTTCTTGCAAAACTGCTTGTCCAAGTTGCTAGCTTGTGGGCTGGTCTTCACCTGACATTAGTACTTGGGCAGTTAGAGTTTTTGATCTTTTAGACTATAAGTTTTTAGTGAGTCAGGTTTTCTGTTTAATTCTTCACAGCCATTTTACTTCACAGTAAAATGGTATGGTTTTTGCTGTAGCATACAGGAATATCTAGAATAGTGGGGGTATGGAAAAAATGTTTCACATTTAGTTTAGAGCTAGTCTTCTTTTACATTTTCTTATATTCCATTTTGTTAATTTCTAGTATTTGTTAATTTCTGTCATTTGTTTATTTAACATTTATTGAGCTACTCTGAAGAGATAACACTGTATCCTGAACCAATAAATACGACTACTACAATCTCTGCTTTCAAGTTTCTATAATTTTGGGGAGAAAGGGAGATAAACACGAAAACAAAATTCTGTTGATGAGTGTAAATGGAAACACTCAAACGTTTATTTCCAGAGGATAACTTATGAAAGGAAAACATTAATCCCAGCCAGATGAGGGGATCAAATGATATTTCTCACTTTCACTTTGCCACCCAATCTCAGACACTATCCTCTCTGGGCTGACATTGACTTCCTCCAGCTGACAGAGGCATCATTAGTGAGTCCTGAGCTGCCAGTATGGTCTAAAAACTAAAATTTAACAGCCTCCTGAGCTGGGGAAAATCTTAACTGAGAACTGCAAGGAATAGCTGCCTTGGCACAAGCTGTGTGGAATCTTAAAAGGGAGCAGGTTTTGAGGCCAAGATTTATGTTCAACAGCTAATGCTTTAGAGACAGAGTTATATGTAGAAAAGCTGACTCCGTGTTTGTCCCTTACTGATGCAAATAAGAGTCGCATCTGTAACCCATGTTTTATCTGTTTATTTTTTTTAGACCCTGACATAATATAAAAGGTGAGTATTAAGGCCCACTAAACCTCTGAAGGTCTATCTGCTTATCCCATTGCAGGACAGAAGTAAAAGGAGCCACGAAGATGATGGAAGTCGGTTACCACATCGTCCCTAACTGTAGGGGTTGGTTAGCTGTACATGTCAATAGTTCTAATGAGGGCTGTGGAGTAATTTGTTAAATAACCGAGTGAGCATGCCAGTCAGAAGCTGCTGGATGAGAGCGCAGCATCAATTAGAGACAAAGGAAATCGCTTGCTTTTCTCTGCAGCGAGCGGGCCCTTGGAGGCGCGGCACTAGCTGGTCCAGAAAAAGCAGAGAAAGCAGAGGGAAGGAGTGGGGGACGGAGAAGGCAACTCAGCCCCCTGGAAGTCTGAGGGGTGATAAAGAAAAAGACCCCTCGCTCACGCTGAGCAAACACATATGACCAGAGCGGAGAGTGGAAAGAAAACCCTGCAGTCCCCAGGGAACTTGACAGAGAGCATCTGACAGCCAGACTGAGTGACCAGCCAGACCATCTGCTCCCACACGTCTCTCCCCAACAATGGGGGCTTCTGCAGACCTTCTGCCCCCTCCCCCTCCCTTACCCTTAGCATGAATTTAAATGAAGCCTCACAACTGGGGGGCAGCGGCTCCCGTTGTGATCTCTCACACAGAGAGAGCTAGCCTAGTGCCCCGAACAGGAGGCCCGAGGGGAGAGGTTAAAATCTCAGCTGCCCGGAGAGATGATTACGGAGCCGCTCCCAAATTAAGCTGCTTCACTGCTGGTCCTTGGGCATGTGTTCGGATAATTGTGCTTGAATACTTAATGCTTGATTGACTTGGCTGTTTTGCGTTTGACCATATTTTGAAATGCGATCTCACTCTTGGGGTAGGCAATTAGCATAGAGCCCACGGGGTTGCAAAGAGTGAAACTGAGTTGCTTCTATGGTGATTTCTGCTTCTTTCCTGGATTCAGCACAGAAAGCTGAGTGTTCTACTGGGGCTCATTTGCCTATATTTGGATCATCTGGAATTTTGATCTTAAAGAGGAAGTCTCTGAATCCTGAACTTTAGCGTAGCTGCCAACTTTGATCTTTGCGCCTTTGGTAACAGCTGAGTTTTGCTTCGCTTTCAAGTGACCTTTGTTCCGGTTCAACAGTGGAGGAATAGAATAGGAGAGGTGGGGTCAGTGCTCAGAAAAGGAAAATTAATGCCAAGCATCAGAAAGGCTAGAACAGAATGAGGGTGATAAATTAGGACACAGAATCCATAATTTCAAGATGACAGTCAGCTGAGTGGCTTTGGTGCCCTGTCTTGTTCAGTTCTTTGTGGGTGTATCTTAAACATCTTTGTATCTCCAGCACCTAGCACAATGCCTGTCTTTTAATAAGCATTTAGTATTTATATATGTGGCAATGTATGTTAAGGCTAGCACAGTTTCTTGGAGAAAGGAGAAGGGCAATTAGCAACATTAAAAAAATCTGTTTGATAACATTTTTAAATGCTGACTTTGAGCACCACTTTATTCTTGGAATAAAGCATTCCAGTTAAGTATTACAAAAGGCAGGCAGTGGATCTCACAGATTCAAGATGACTTTGGGGATATTTGAAACGATCAACTCCTTATAATAAAAGGAGGCTAGGTCTCTATTCATTTAATCTCATTAAAAGCAGTACAAGCTGGAAACGATTTATTTAAAATGAAGAGGAAGGTTGACCATGGAATAGTCAGATGACTTAGTGTGTAGCACCAATTTCATAAAGTGAAAGTGTTCATTCTATAAATGAAGATGCCACAACCCATTTGTTGAGTTTTGTAACAAAATAAGAACGAATAACTAATTAAATATGTTATGAAACCTAGGCGATGGATCTCCTGAAACAATTCCAGAAATACAGAAAAGTTATTGGAGAGATCTAAGACCAAATGTTGATAATATGTGTGAAGTAGCAATTTGGGTGTTATTTTGGATCTCTGAGGACTAAATCTGAGCAAAATGAGAGTGTTCTCTGACTCAGTAGTGTAAAATCCAACATATCTAAGATATGCAAACCCAATTTATTTGTAAACTGATCACTAATATCCTTCAATCTCGAGGAACAACTCCTATGTTGTTTTTATTGTTTTTCTTTATAAATAAGATTGATTTTTTCATTTGCATCTGTGTTCTTTGCTTGTTAAAGACTTTTTCTTGTCCTGGGTGTTTAATCAACTCTTTCAAAAATAGTTGTTTATAATTTTTGTGCCTTTGTTCTCTCATCTGTAAAATGGGAATTTTAATAGCATCTACACATAGAATTTTTTATTGTGGTAAGAATTAAATAATAGGTATAAGATGCTTATAACTGGGCCTGGCACATAGCATTTACACATATATTGGCAAATCAAACTACAGCTAGATTGAAGGAATAAGTTCTGGTTTCTCTAGCACTTAGAGCAACTATAGTAAACAATAATTTATTGTATATTTGCAAATAGCTGTAAGAGAGGATTCTGAAATTTCCCGACACAAAAAAATGATAAATGTTTGAGGTGGTAGATATGCCAGTTACACTGATTTTATCATTACACATTGTATACATGCATAGAAATGTGTCTCTGTACCACATAAATATGTACAATTATATGTCAATTAAAAATTTAAAAGATTAATTATTAATTTGAGCACCTTTTAAAAAAGTATAGTCTCATTTCTATTTCTTTTCTGTTTAAGTGTGTGACTCTGCTTTAGAATTCTGTAGACTTCCCCAAAAGATAGTGCAGACAAATTTATTATAGTAAATACTTTTGTAAGGTCATATATTGAGGTATAATAATTCTCAGTCACTGCCCTAAATTTGAAATTCTAATTATACAATTTAGCATAAAATCCTAGCAGCCAGGGAGCCTGGGTTAAGTATTAACAAGGCTAAGTATTTTCATGTAGCACATAATGCAGAATAAAGTAGTGAATAAGAAAGTGGAGCATGAATCTTGGCACTTTCAGTTATTAACCTCTTTGAGCCCTGAGATTCTTATTTATCTCTCAATGGGGTGATAATACCTATGCACAAAATTGATGAGAAGATTAAATAAGATAATATATGTAAAATACTTAGTAAAGTGCTTGGCCTCTATAGAAAGAACCCAATAAGTGGTAAGCATTATTTTATTATTATTATTGCTATGATCATCATCTTAGGTCCCAGAAATTGGAGGATGGGCCTTTTCTTACTTCTCGTGAGGAAATATCCTCAGGGGAAGCTCATGGGGGACACTTTGGAATCTTAGAGGGTATGCTTTGGTCTATTGCAAAGAAAACAGGAGACATGGGTTGAAATTCTTAAGATGAGTTGTAGCTTACAGTCCCCCTTAGAAGGCTCTACAGAACCGAACTGAAAGCCCTTTTCTGACAAAGGATGACTTTGCTGCTACAGAAGCAAAGTATTGTTCTCCTCCTTCTGTGTTCTCCTTCTGCCCCCAGAAATCACAACCATCATCATTATAAAAGCACCATTTATTGAGTTCCTTATATGTGTAAGGACTTTATTTGCATTATATTTGCCATAGAAAATCTAATTTGCAAGCTAGATATTATACCAACTTACCAGTTGTGTAAAAATCACATAGCTAGTGGGTAGCAGAGACAAAGATTCAACCCAGGTCTTTCTGACTGCTAAACTTGAGACTTTATCATTGTTCTCTGCACATTTTACCACCTTGGTGCTATCTCAAACTCTAACCTTAACAAAAGTCTCTAAAAACAGTGATAACGAAACATTTTTGAGGATAATTTTTCTTCTCAACTTGAGTTGTATTTCTTTTCCTCCCCTACAGAGTACAAAATTATCAGAATCCACACATATACACACTTGTGAAACTGTAGTGCGAGTCACTACTCTGAGTGATGTTACATATAGTTTGGCTGTAAGAAAATTAAACTCTATTTCAGGAAATGGTTGCCAAGACCAGTAATTTTTTTTCATATAGAAGCAGATGCCAACAAAAGAGTAAAGCAAATTAGAAAAAAGTCAGCCAACCACAGACAGTAAATACGTATAATATTTAGATCAATATTCTAAAGAGGTTGAGACATGTTCAAGGTCAGTCACTCAGTAAGTTAGTAATGGAATAAAATTAGACTCTAGCCTTTGGACATTCATTCCAGTACTTTTTCCTGTAACTTCTGCAGTCTTCCAGGGGTTGGGGTGGAAGAAAAGGGAATAGCTTTTTAACAAAAATGAACTGGGGAAAAGTGTTTAACACACTCCAGGAATAGTATTAACTGAGGAAGGTCTATAATTTTTGAGCTTTTTTTTACATGAGTTACCACTTTTTTATTTGTATTTTTTTTATTTTACTTTAAGTTCTGGGGTACATGTGCAGAATGTGCAGGTTGGTTACATAGGTATACATGTGAGCACTTTTTTTTTTTTAAAGCAAGACAACAAATTCATTTGCAACTTCACAGCAACACAGATCACCCAGAGATGGGATGCTGTTTTCTAATTTGACATCCCTGGGAGGAGTAACAACACAAATGCTTGATTGTTCAGTGACTGTAGGCACAGCAGTTTCTGAAAGAAAACTATGATTCTCTACAGAGACTCGAAGTTGACTGGGGAGAGGACAACTGGCTAGAAACAGTGCTGGGCACTTGGCTTCCCTGAGATTTGACCTTAACACCTGTATGTCCCTGGAGTTGAAACAACTGAATGCACATTACAGCGTTGAGATTTTATCTGCCTTTAACTGCTCTTCAATAGCAACAAGATTTTCGCATTATTTTCCGGAATACATAACTTTTAGTTAAGGAAGCAGGTTGATGATGGCAGGCACTGAAGCCCGTAGTATTTATCCATTAGCTTGGTCTTCTTGACTATCTTAATGCCTCCTACCCGCCAATCTTGGTGAAAGACTAACTCCAGACTATTTCTATTTTTCCTTGCAAGGAAATACTGTGTACATAATTGATGGCACTTTCAGGTTGCCCACCCCCTTGGATCCAGGTGTCATGCCAGAAACAGCATATTTAGCTTCCAGCCTTGTCTTGGTCCTGAGCATATCCTCCACTGTACCTGTTTGAAGGACCACCCATTCCAATTAAGTATCTCAGGGACATCTGAGGTGCAGGCAAAACCTGTTTATGGCAACCTCCCATCTTCCCTCTCATAGTCTCTCTAATTCCTTTTAAATATACCTACTAGCTCCCCAGATGCCCCTAAAATCCTATTTGTATGTTTGAATTACTGAAGAGTTTATTTTGACGTAACAACAAGTTTCTATACAATTCTACTAATTTCTACCAAAAAGTAATACGAATCACTTGTATTTGTATAGCTCCTTACATTACAAAAATCATCCACATAGGCAGCATTTTATTTTTCTTGCTAACTCTGCCAAGTGGACCAGATAGGTGGGTTATCTACACTGTACAAATAGTAAGACGAGGTTAGAGAGGTTTAAAGACTTGCCCCAAGTCACACTGGGCAGTGAGCAGTGAAGTCAGATGGAGCCAGGTGTTTTGAATCCTAACAGGGCACTCATCCCTGAGATGGAATTCCTCACAGTGTTTTCACTTCGAGAGAAAATGCCTCAAGACAGAAAGGTGTTTAATGCACAAAGACTGTATGTATAGATTTTAGAATTATGGCAGGTATTAAGCAAAGGTTCACTTTGGGGCACCTCTTGATTGATATCATACAAACCTAAAACAATGAAGAAAGACCATTGGAAGCATTTCTCTCTTTAAGGTCTTATCCCACAGCAAACATTTGACAATTTTTTTTTTTCAGAAGAAAAGAGGTATATTTTTATCATTGTCAAGGATAAATAAAAGTCAGTGTCAAGCCCAAAATACTCACTGTTTCTTCCATTTACCATGTGCTAGAGGATTTTTGTGAGAGGTTTGAAGCTTCAAAATAGATGCTAGGCAAATGAATAAACAGGGTTAAATTGATGGGAAATGGCTAAACAACTAATGTCAGACAATCAAGTTAACTTCTGGTCATCATGTTGGCTGTGGGGTCTTTAGAAGATTAAATTGCGTAATAATTTCTTAGGTTCTTGGAAAATGAGAGTCAGCACTGTAATTATTTTCAGGTGGACAAATTATCCTTATCGTTATAGAATAAGCAACTTCTGATTTTGAGAAAGAACAGATGTCCCAGCCATAGTTGCTAGTTATATAAACCTAACAAGTTGAGATTGTGTTGTTGATAATTGTTTTTTTTCATTTGTTTCAAGAGAATTCATCATTGCTCATGGAAGCATTTTTATGATGGTTACTTTAACATCTTTGTCAGATAATTCGATATCTGATTAATCTTGGTGTTGATGGCTGTGGATATCTTTTCTATTTAAATTGTGATTTTCTATTGTATCATGGACATTTTGGATGTTATATTGTGGCACTCTGGATTCTATTTAATCTTTTTTTTTTTTTTTTTTTTTTTTTTTTAGTGTTATACATAGTCCCCCTATTGAGGTGTAGCCTGAGGGCTGGGTATGAGTATGTGTCCAGCTTCCCAATGGGCTCTGCTAGTAGCAGAAGTGAAGTGCTGGTTCACACTGCCTTACTGCAGGTTGGTGGGTTAAAAATTTAGCTCTTTCCTTAGCCCCACTGACATGTTTCTAGAGAAAGTGGGGTATTAATTCGTATTCCTTCTTTGCCTCCGAGTGGGCGTGTAAGACCAGCTAATGACTGTGACTGTGCCCTGACATCATCAGCGAGGGAGGAAAGCAGAGGACTGATTCACATTGCTTTGTTGCTGCAGGATGGGACGGAAGCCCAGCTCCTGGCTGGGTGTCCTTAACACAAAAAGAGGGGATGGGCCGGGCGTGGTGGCTCACGCCTGTAATCCCAGCACTTTGGGAGGCTGAGGCGGGTGGATCACGAGGTCAGGAGATCGAAATCATTCTGGCTAACACGGTGAAATCCCATCTCTACTAAAATTACACACAAAAAATTAGCCAGGCATGGTGGCGGGCGCCTGTAGTCCCAGCTACTCGGGAGGCTGAGGCAGGAGAATGGCGTGAACCCGGGAGATGGAGCTTGCAGTGAGCCGAGATTGCCCCACTGCACTCCAGCCTGGGCGACAGAGCGAGACTCCGTCTCAAAAAAAAAAAAAATAAATAAAATAAAAAGAGGGGATGGCAGGACAAGGAGTTCCAACTAACCCAGCCCCATACCTCCTATTACTGCTGGGTGGGCATGGATGTTTCAGCTTTCCACTGGGCTTCACTGCCACAGGGCCAGGGGAAAGTGGACTCACAGTTCCTTTAAATTTTTTTGTTACCTGGTAGGGACAAGAGGCTCCTCTTGCCTCCAGACCTCTATTAGGGGTCAAGAAACTACCCATGTGGGGAATATGAGCCTCACTGATGGTTTCTATAAGGAGAGAAACCTTATAGGTGGGTGGAAGATGAGCGCTGTACTCAGCCTCACTAAAACCACAGGATGGGGGAATGCAGTTTTTTCTTTAGGATTTGGCTGCAGTGAGGTGGTATTGCCATAAATATTTCTGTTGGTTGGACACCCTGTCCTAGTCCTTTGGCTGAGGAGAGTAGGCTTTTTCTGTGCATGTTGACGGTCTCTTGTTGGAAGCTTCTGCAGTGCCACGTCTGGGATATATGAGGGGCTAGGGGAAGTAAGGGGAGGGAAACTTACTACAGTGTCTTTTCTTAAGTCCTGAGATTGCTAGGCAGACTGTCTTTTCCTCCTCTTTCAGAAATTGAGTCAGCTTGTTGGTGCTGTTATGGCCACGATTTTCTAGTTGTAAGAGGAAGAGTTTCTGCTTCTGTAAGAGGGGGAAATGGAATAACTCCCATCTTGTCTGGAAATGGTAGTCCCTGTTTTTTAAAAAAGAGTTATTTATTTATTTATTTATTTTGAGACAGGATTTTATTCTGTCTCCCAAGCTGGAGTGCAGTGGTGTGATCATAGTTCACTGCAGCCTCGACCTCCTGGGCTCATACAATCATCCCACTTCAGCCTCCTGAGTAGCTGGTTCTACAGGTGCATACCACCATGCACAGCTAATACTTTTGGTCTTTTGTTTTGTTTTGTTTTGTTTTGTGGAGATGAGGTCCCGTATTTTGTCCATGCTAGTCTTGAACCCCTGGCTTCAAGTGAGCCTTCTGCCTTGGCCTCCCAAAGTGCTGGTTATTATAGGCATGAGCCACCACAACCAGTCTAGAATTCATTTAAAAAAACCTCTTTGTTTGACCTTCACTTTGATCAAACTGTTTTTATGGACCGTGCCATAGGAGTAGTGTGTGTGTGTGTGTGTGTGTGTGTGTGTGTGTGTGTGTGTGTGTGTGTGCGCGCGCGCGCTTGTCCACACACACAAAATTTTCCTTCTCCTAATAACCATTTATCACATTTTGCCTTTCCTCCTCCATTTTATATGTGTATGTGTATATTTATGCGTGTGTGTATATATAGTGTTTTTGTGGTTGTTGTTGTTGTACCATGCAAGTTTACTTTGTTTCTCTAAGTGCAACTTTTCTTCATACCCCTACTCTCAACTCATTCTAAGTTTTTCCCCTATAATTCCTTGCCTTAGGGTAGATATAAGAAAATCAACAGTATTTACTTAGGTCGCCAAGTGATCTCAAGAATCTACCTGTTAGTCTACACCAATTTGTTCATTTCCTCTGGTATTGTAATTTTTTCTTAGTGGCCTTGCATGGAGAATTCCTTGAGCTCAGGGTTCTGACTATTTACCTTTATATCCAGCACATTTGGGCTCAGTGCCTGCTTCCTCAGTGGTTCTCAATGAATGCTTGTTGAATAAAATGTCCATATATGAACATCTTTATTCACCCTTGCCTCTGATTGGAATTGTTCCATTGTACATCCTCATGTGCAGTTTGTTAATATATTTGAGAGTGAAATCTATGGCCTACCTAATGTTGAGTCATCTCTCTCTATAACTTTGGGTAGTTCAAAGTTTTAGTTATCTACTGATGTGCAATAAATCACTTCAAATCTTGGTGCCTTAAAACAATGATTTTTGTCATTTGGGTAGAGCTTGGTGGAGACAGACAGCTTATCTATGTTCCATGCACCATCAGCTAGAGTGTTTTAACTGGGGCTGGGGGATAGTTCACTCACATAACTGGCAAGTTGGTGCTGGCTGTTGGCTGATAGCTCAGTGGAAATTATCAGCCAGGGGCCTTGATTATTCTCCACATGAGCCTCTCCACATGGCTTCTTGGGCTTCCTTACAACATGGTGGCTAGATTTCAAGTTGTAGAAGCTGCCAGGCCTTCTTAATTCCTGTCTTGGAAGATTTATAATATTTTTTTTCTCTGCATTCTATTGGTCAAATCAGTCTCAGATCCAGCACAGGTTCAAGGCGGAGGAATGTGAGTTCCACCTTATTGTGGCTGGAGCAGCTTGTATATATAGGAAGAGATGGAATTATTTGGGGCTGTCCTTGGAGAACAGATACCACCTGTAACTTTAGCTATCTGCCTTCAACTTTTTTATCTGTAAAGTGTGAATTGGAGGGAGGACACAAACAGTTATATGTAATAGAGTTGCTATGAAAATTACCAAGGATAATTCACATAATAAGCTTAAATGATTCCTGGCATGTAGTAAGCAGTCAATACATTTTAGTTAATTTTTTAAAATATGGGAATGGAAAATTGTTACAAAACACTGAGTTAGATAAGAGCATACTTTTTCCTAATAAATCTCATTTAGACAATTTTACTGGTTAATATTTCCTTTGACAGCTTCAATGAATGCATTCTCTTTGATTTGCTTCCTCTTAAACAACTGAAGTTTTTTTTTTTTTTTTTTTAAAGACCTCAAATCAGTAGCCATCAAATGAAAAAAAAATAACTCACAGTTATGTTGTATAATGACTTTTGGTATCTCTGTTGGAATCCTTTTTCTTTTTATACTCCCTTGCAGGTATTATTAGATGCTTTTTTTGCTTGATGTCACTTTTCAGTCCCTCCACATTGTACTTTGAAAAAGCAGTCCTCTAAAGAGATATAATGAATGATATTGGAAGGATATGCCCTTGGAAGCTGCTCTTGGTTTTCTCTTCAGAAGCACTCATGTGCAGTTAGTCCTTTAAAAAAAAATTACAGGTCAGTGGAGGTCTTCAGCCAGATGAATCCAAGGAATAACCAAGGGTGCAAGATAAATTCCCAGTCAAGTAATCTTTACATTTTAGCAACTCCAAGAGAGTTTCTTGTTTCCATACTAGAGATGGGAATGTTTGCCAAACAATGTACTATTAAAATTATGTAAATTCATTATTTTTGGCAGTTGAAATGTTAGCCAGGTCAAACTTTCATTAACCAGTGTGTAGTGTCTCTGTAACTACCTTGATTTTGTATTAAAATAGCTATCAGGTTCATGCCATGTTTTTCTTATAGCACAGTGAATTTCCATTCTTTTCTTTTTATTCTGTGTCCATACCTGTAATTTCTCCAAGTGATTAAGACCATAAGTTGTTCCTTCTACAGCTGACATTTCTTTCTACAGTTATTCATCTCCTTAGTTCTTTTAACAGCCATGTTTTATTAATGGTCATTTACCATGCAGTAATAAACTCCATGTCATTTAGTCCTTCCGGAGTTTTCTGGTCTTTGATTACAGTGTAACATATTGCCTGATTAATTGGTCATCATTGCTGTTTTCAGCTTCTGCATGCACTAGTTAAGGTTATTTTTTCCCTTTTTGGCTTTAATATCCTCTGAAGATTTTCAACAACGTTGTCAGTTGTCCCTAACTTCTCACTTCCTTTTTGCATTCCCTGATAGCAAAGAATGTATAATGAATCCTTGTAAATGGCTACTGTCTACTCTTATTTCAGCCTAGACAGTGTTTCTCAAATTTTAGTGTGCCTCGGGAGCACGTAGAGGGCTTAAAACATAGATTTCTGGAGCTCCCTCTTGGAGCTTTTGATTCAGTGGGTCTGGGGTGTGGCCAGATAATTTATATTTCTTACAAGTCCCCAGTGATGTTGATGCTGACTACCCAGGACAAAGCCCTGAGAACCAGTAGCATAGCAGATGAACATGGTGGTTAAGAGCCTGGATTCTGGGTTCCGCTGATAGGGGTTCAGACCACTGCTCTCCCACTTAACTTTCCCAACCATGTGAACTTGGAAAAGTTACTTAATCTCTGCCAGCTGCAGTTTCCACACTTGGAAAAGGGGAAGACCAACCTTCCAGACTTTTAAGGAATGAATTCGATACTCCATGTAAAGCACTTAGTTCAGTGGCAAGAAGCAAATGCTCAATAACTGTTAACTACAGGTATTTTTTTTTATAAGATGTGAGTAATTAATGTTCAAGCTCAATTACCAAAAGTAATAAAATGTGCCTCCTTCAGCAAATTGGTCACTTTCTCTGAAACTTGATTAACTATATTGCTGAGGTAAAAATGCATTAAAAAAAAAAGATTGGCCATGTGGATGCAGTGGAAAAATTATGAAATTTGAAACCAGGAAAATGCCTGGGTTTTAGTCTAGACCCTGCTATTGCTAGCTTTGTGACTCATAGCAATTTTCTTCATCTCTCTGATCCAAGTTTCCTGTAAATATCCTCTGGAGTGGTGATATAAATGGTAAGAACTGTTATATGGATCAAATGAGCCAAACCATTTGAAGGAATTTTGTTTTATTTCCTACTTTAATGTTCTGTACAAGTGTAGTTATTGTTATTTTTATTGAGAATAAGGATCTAGAGTAATTTTTTGTACTTATTTACTAAAAATTATAAAAAGTTATGCTTCTTATGGAATGGCAATTATGAAAAAGACTTTTCCACTATAATTATTTTGAGATGGTAGTGACTGTAATTGGGAATTGTTAGACACTTGCTTAGATATTGGGATGTGCTATTATCTATTAGTAATCTAGCCAGATCTCTTTCTTTTTGACTACAGTACTGGTTCATCTTTAAACCAAAAGCACACTTAAGAAAGCTTTGTTCTTATGCTGTGAGTTTAATTTTGACAATAAATTTTAGACAAAAATAACAGCCTTATTTTCAGTTGATACTATAGGATTCTTTCAGAAGACAAAAAGAAGCACCATTTGATCACATTTTAAAAATGTAGCATGAAGCACTGTGCTGGGCACTCCGGGAGATGTCAAAATGAAGCACACGTGCTTTGTGCTTTAGATGCATTTTTCTTCAGCAGAAATCAGAACAACGTACAAATTCACCACGTATGTCACAAAGAAGGACGAGTCAGAGGGCGAAGTGAGTTTAAAAAAGGAAGAGATTATTTCTGGCTCAGGGTTCAGCACCCTCCATTTTCAGGCCACGCACTGAGCCACATTGAGCCAGTGTATCCGAGTATCATCAGGGACCTGGAAAGGACTTGGCAAGCCAATTTATTGACCTTCACAAAGGATTATATTTAAGCCATCTCAGACAGATAGAATCTATTCTCCATTGGGGGAAGAAATCCTTCTCTTGAAGGAGAGTCTATAACCTTCCTTATTAGCTCATTTCAATATTTAACAGCCTTCGCTTGCTGCAGAGAAGCCTGTTTTAACTCACACATGAACATCAGGATTTGTCCTACCCAGACTCCGTGAACACCAACTTGCCTCTTTATGCTAGGCAACCATTATCTTTGGAGACCCCCATATTATTGCTTTAGTTGGTTAACCAATTTAACTAATAATTCTGGGAGTCAGAATATAATACTGGTTAGGAGTGCTGAGAGTCAGGCAGTCCTGGATGAGGGTCTGGGCTTCTTCACTTTTCTGTTATATCACCTTGGGAAAAGTTACTTAAAACCTCTGAACCTCAATTTTGTTTCTCATAGAATGGGTATAATAACACATCTGCCTCTTCAAATTGTGGTGAAGATGAAAACAGTGCATGTTTTAGGCTGAACTACCTGAAATTACCAGGTATGACCTGGTCATAATATATGACCCTTTTGGCCAATAAACACAGCAATTCTATGCAATTCAATCAATAAATGCCTTAGCAAAGTGCCTAGAGTCTACCAAATAGTCGCCATTATCAACAAAAGAAACAACTATTATTATTATTGCACTGCTGTCATTATCATTGTCATGGTCTGCAATATCCAGACTCAGTGCTGGAGGATATTCCTGCAAGGAAGCCAGTATAAAAATGGTTAGAACATTGTTTTGTGGAGCTGTGTGTATAATGCTATAAATGTGGGAAAGTAGAACATCTGGGTTGGCAGCCTACAGAAGTCAGGGAAGGCTCCAGAGAGGCGGCAACATTTGGACTGGGACTTGTAGGGTGAGTTGGAGATTTCTGAATAGAGAAATCGAGAGAACAAAAGCAGTAATCGGTGTGACCAAATCCTTAGTTCTTATTTTTGTTTCTGCCTCTGACACAATTTATTTCCTTCCCCAATTCTTAAAACAACCTTTTCTTTATTTACTATGTTCTGTGATGCTAGACTTTCTTTGTTCCTTCTTATTTCTTCATAGCTGTCTTTGTTTTCTCAACTCGTATTCCTCTTACTGGGAAGAGGAAAGGGCATGTGCCCAGAGCACAGAGCGAAGAGGGAATGTGGGAGATTTGGGCACCTGCAGTGAATTTTTGTGGCCAGAGGATAAAATAGGGCCAGTGGTGTGGAAGGAATTCAAAGTAGAGAGAGGAGAAGGGAGGTGGCTCAAAAGAAACAAAAATTTTTATTGGGGAAGTGCCATGATTGGTTTTGTAAGTTTGAAACTTTTCTCCAAGGGTTTTATAGAGAATGATTGGCCTGGAGCAAGCATAGAAGCAGAGAGGTGCATAAGGAGGCTATTGCAACAGCTCAGCTGAGAAATAGTGTAGGCAGAGCCCAGGGCAGCAGCAGTGTGCCTGAAGAGGAGTGGATGAAAATGAACTATTTCCAAGGTATGTATTAGAGGTTCTAGGGATGGGGAGTTAAGGCAGGAATGAAATGTCAGTTGACTTGTAGGGGTCTGACTAGCTAGAATTTCAACTGGGCCCCTGGATGGGGACTATGCTATTTCCTAAGATATAGACAATAAGAGAAGTAGGAGGAGAAAGACCAGGGCATGGGAAACGGGATGGGAGAGGGATAAGAAGGTAATGAGGTAAGTCTGGGTATGTGGCATTCAAGGGTGCGTGGGAGATTTCCATTTCCTGAGTTTTCTTAGAGCCTGATGTTTCTGATCTGACTGCACCGTAAGGTGTTTTGTTCTCATGAGCATCACAAGGATTCATGAGATCCTGTTTGGGCGTTCTGACAGCACAAATTACATTTTGTTTTTAAAATTTCACTAAGGTTTTGCCTGCCCAAGCACACTGGCCATGCACCTGTGCTGAAGTAATAGTTAATGAGTTTAAAAAAAGGTAGCTAACATTAATAGAATTCTTACTATGTTTTAGGCACTGTTCCAAGTGCTTTCTGCCAAAACTTCATTTAATTTTAGTAAACCTCCATGTGATAGGTAGCAGTATTAACCTCATTTTATAAACAAGGTAATTTAAGCTCTTAGAGGTTAACTAACATGTCCAAGGTTATATAACTTGAGAGTGGCAAGACCAGGATGCAAACCAAGGTGGAGGGCTGCAGGTGCTGTACTGCTAAGCATTATGTTGGGATAGGAAATTCGGCCTAGGCTAGAGAATACTGTCTATTGGAGTACTTTATACTGGGACTTTACTGTTTTAAAAAATATTTTTTATTTTTCACAAATTCTTCTACATAATGTTCTGAGCTTTGTCGATTCATAAAGACAATTCATGGATTAAAATTTATTTTGTCTATTCCACAGTCTCCACTGGGAACATTTCTGGAGTTTGGCTCTAGATAATCTCATTGTATTTAGTCTGTTTTGTTTGGCTTTCTACTTTGGTGCTCCTCCTAAGGAGGAGTCATATTACACTTACAAGTGATATTTACTTGCTAGTGTAAATTGATTAAATATATTGCTTATTTTTAATTTTAGCTGAAATAGAGGTTTTGTTTTGTTTTGCTTTGTTTTGTGTGTGGGGGACGGGGGAGCCTAAGTCATCTACGTGATGTGCTAATGTCTGTCATTCTCTTATAATCCTTTCATTTAGTCCTCCTGGGACTCCAGTAAGACAAGTCTTGCCTTTCATGTGGACTCATACAATGGTATGCATCAGTTGTCTCCAGCCTTTTTGGTACCACGGACTGGTTTTGTGGAAGACCATTATTCCAAGGACTGGGGTTGGGGGATTGTTTCAGGATGAAACTGTTCCACCTCAGATAATCAGGCATTAGATTCTCATAAGGAGCATGCAACCTAGATTCCTCACATGCATAGTTCACAGTAGGGTTTGGGCTCCTGTGAGAATCTGATGCCGCTGCCAGTCTGAGAGGAGGCAGAGCTCAGGCAGTAATGCTTGCTCGCCACTCACCTCCTGTTGTGCGGCCTGGTTCCTAATAGGCCACAGACCTGATAACAGCCCATAGCCTGAGGGTTGGGGACCTCTGGTATGCTGGGTCCTTGATGTAAAGGAATCCTCTAACTTGGTGGAGCCAAGTCACTGGTTAATGGAAAAACTATAAGTTAAACATTTTTTCCTGTAGTTATGCTTTTATGAATTATTTAACTGGGCTTTGTCCCTCCCTTTACTTAATTGCACTTATAGAGAAGAACTCTGAAGTCTTGGCATTAAGAATCCTTTAAACCACAAAGCAGTTGATTATTCTTTTTATTAAAGTAGGTGCTCACATTGGCGGAGTAAGAAGCACTGCACAGAAATAGCTCATTGGCAGAATTGCGCTCTCAAGGATGGATATCTTCAAGCCATCCTTGACCCTCTAGAGCAGAAAGACAAACAAGTGTAATGCTGAGGAATGGGAAAAATGTTTAATTGCAAGCAGAAGAATCTCACGTGAAATTGTGAGTGGACTTCAGTGATGACTATCAAAGGAAATTCTCATAATGATTCGTTTTTCTTCCCAATGATGGCACTACCGTTCTCAGGAAAGCCCAGTTCCCTTCCTGGCTTGGATATTAACTGATAGTTTGAATGAACATAGTATTTTTATAAAATTGTCTTTGCATGTGTTGATGCCACCGTCAGGAAGGTCCTTTCCACCTCCCTTCTCCCAGTTCTTCTGGGAATTCCTACGTGGCCTTCCATACCTAAATAATAACAATGATACTAGCAAGCACTTATATGGTACATTCTGTGTACCTGGCAGTACAGGGGGTGGAGGGTGGGGAGGTGGGAATATTTCCTTCAGATGAAGGCAATAAGGGGTTACATTGTCTATAGAGTTTTAAAAAACAATAATAAAACCAAAAAAGGAGTCTACTTTTTCTCACTACCATATGTTGGCAGTTATAAACAATGTCCATGATAAAATACCCCTCCCCACTAAGGCCAGCCTTCTCCCACTGAGCCCTCTATCACCCTTAGTACTCTTGTATGTGTATAGCACCTTCCTAACCATTTACATGTATTAACTTCCATAATTTGTCCCCAGTTTACAAATGAGGAAACGGAAGCACAAAAAGGCTGTGCTAAGGTCAAGCAGATCATACTGCCTAACAGGTAAGTGATGTGGCCAAAGTTTTAATCTGGGCAGTATTGCACCAGTTCACCCACCTAACTACTGAACATATGTTTCTCATTTGTATGTGTATATTTCATACGCATATAAATACCTCCTTGAAGACAACCCTTATCCACCAGGTATAAAATGGCTTCCTGCATGTGTTATACAGCACTCTATTCATATTTCCATTCCAGCACTCCCTGGGCTGCAGGCCGGTAGAATGAGAACTCCCTGACTGGCTGTCCTATAATAAATGCAGAGTGAATAAATGAATGCAATCTTTGGTAACAGAACTAGTAGAATTGTGTATATTATGGTAGATTGGTGGAATGTTCTAGATTTTGGTTTGGAAGTCAAAGACAGCCTTTATTTCAGAATCTGTTACTGATTATCTCTGAACAGGCATTTCATATGTCTGTGTCTTTTTTTTTCCCAGTCTGACTCTCTACAGCAGAAAGTCAACCAAGTATAAGGCTGAGGAGTAGGAAAAATGTTGAACTGTGGGCAGAAGAATAGGGGACAGAATTACATCAATGATTCTTAATAGTGGCAATCTTTATTCAAGCTAAATTGAGCGGATTTCTTTCCCACCCCCCAACATTGCTAACAAGCATTTTTGTAGAAAAAGTTTTTATTTAAGTATAACATACTGTATAAGCACACAAATTATAAGCATATGGTTTAATGAACTACTACAAGGTAAACATATCCATGTGACACCACCTGGATCTAGGAATAGAACAATACTAGCCTCCTGGTGCCCTCCATCCTAGCTGTGTATGGAGCTCTTCTGACCTCTAACATCACAGACTAACTTTCTAATAAATAGAAAACTGTAGTACATGTTATTTTGCTATTAAGTCTTCTTTTACGTAACATTATGTTTGTGAGATTCATCCATGCTGCGTGTAACTGTAGTTCATTCATTTTCATTGCTGAATAGTATTCCACTGCATACATAAATATAATTTATTTATCCATTCAACAACTTATGAATATTCTGGATAAATACAAAGAAAGCCGTATCTAGTGAGCCTTAATAAAATTGCCAAAAAGATCACAGACATATCTATTAACATTTACTTATTCATCCTAATAATACAAATTCTTTTCCCTCTTTCTGGGAACTATTCCTCTTTCCTCACTTTAGCTGACAATTTCTTTTTTTTTAATTATTATTATACTTTAAGTTCTAGGGTACATGTGCACAACATGCAGGTTTGTTACATAGGTATAAATGTGCTATGTTGGTTTGCTGCACCCATCAACTAGTCATTTATATTAGGTATTTCTCCTAATGCTATCCCTCCCCCAGCCCCCTACTCCCTGACAGGCCCGGATGTGTGATGTTCCCCTTCCTGTGTCCAAGTATTCTCATTGTTCACTTCTCACCCATGAGTGAGAACATGCGGTGTTTGGTTTTCTGTCCTTGTGATAGTTTGCTGAGAATGATGGTTTCCAGCTTCATCCATGTCCCTGCAAAGGACATGAACTCGTCCTTTTTTATGGCTGCATAGTATTCCATGGTGTATATGTGCCACATTTTCTTTATCTGGTCCATCATGGATGGACATTTGGGTTGGCTCCAAGTCTGCTATTGTGAATACTGACACAATAAATATACGTGTGCATATGTCTTTATAGTAGCAAGATAAGATCTATAATCCTTTGGGTATATACCCAGTAATGGGATCGCTGGGTCAAATGGTATTTCTGGTTCTAGATCCTTGAGGAATTGCCACACTGTCTTTCACAATGGTTGAACTAATTTACACTCCCACCAACAGTGTAAAAGCGTTCCTATTTCTCCACATCCTCTCCAGCATCTGTTGTTTCCCAACTTTTTAATGATCGCCATTCTAACTGGTGTGAGATGGTATCTCATTGTGGTTTTGATTTGCATTTCTCTGATGACCAGTGATGATGAGCATTTTTTCATGTGTCTGTTGGCGCATAAATGTCTTCTTTTGAGAAGTGTCTGTTCATATACTTTGCCCACTTTTTGATGGGGTCGTTTGTTTTTTTCTTGTAAATTTGTTTAAGTTCTTTGTAGATTCTGGATATTAGCCCTTTGTCAGATGGATAGATTGCAAAAATATTCTCCCATTCTGTAGGTTGCCCGTTCACTCTGATGATAGTTTCTTTTGCTGTGCAGAAACTCTTTAGTTTAATTAGATCCCATTTGTCAATTTTGGCTTTTGTTGCCATTGCTTTTGGTGATTTAGTCATGAAGACTTTGCCCATGCGTCTGTCCTGAATGGTATCGTCTAGATTTTCTTCCAGGGTTTTTGTAATTTTAGGTCTAATATTTAAGTCTTTAATCCTTCTTGAATTAATTTTTGTGTAAGGTGTAACGAAGGGATCCAGTTTCAGCTTTCTACATATGGCTAGCCAGTTTTCCCAGCACCATTTATTAAATAGGGAATCCTTTCCCCATTTCTTGTTTTTGTTAGGTTTGCCAAAGATCAGATGGTTGTAGATGTGTGGTGTTATTTCTGAGGCCTCTGTTCTGTTCCATTGGTCTATATGTCTGTTTTGGTACCAGTACCATGCTGTTTTGGCTACTGTAACCTTGTAGTATAGTTTGAAGTCAGGTAGCATGATGCCTCCAGCTTTGTTCTTTTTGCTTAGGATTGTCTTGGCTATGCAGGCTCTTTTTTGGTTCCATATGAACCTTAAAGTACTTTTTTACAATTCTGTGAAGAAAGTCATTGGTAGCTTGATGGGGATGGCATTGATTCTATAAATTACCTTGGGCAGTATGGCCATTTTCATGATATTGATTCTTCCTATCCATGGGCATGGAATATTCTTCCATTTGTTTGTGTCTTCTTTTATTTCATTGAGCAGTGGTTTGTAGTTCTCTTTGAAGCGGTCCTTCACATCCCTTGTAAGTTAAGTTGGATTCTTTGGTATTTTATTCTCTTTGTAGCAATAGCTGACAATTTCTAAAATATCCACAGTTTCTTATTGATTAGCCAGGGCTGGACACTGAACAATCCAGGCTGGCCATAGTCCTTGTGCTCATGCCTATAATTTCAAGAGTAATCACAATCAAGCTGTTCCTCCAAGATTTTTGACCTTGGATCAGAGAGAGAGAGTGATTATAAGAGACTTTGGAACTGACTGAGGCCATGTTCTTTATTATGAGGAAGAAGTCCTTCTGAAATAGAAGGAAGTAAAACTTATACATGGCTAGATACAGTGTGGAAAGATGGAGAGAATCTCAGTGGTATTCCTGGCTTCCTTTATCCCAAGAGCCCTGCTATACCTTCCTCTTCCTGCTATTAGTCGTTTGATCCATTTACTTCCTCTTTAACTTAAGTTAGTTTAGGTTGGTATGTAGTCCGTTTTCACGCTGCTGATAAAGACATACCCGAGACTGGGCAATTTACAAAAGAAACAGGTTTAATGGACTTACAGTTCCACTTGGCTGGGGAAGCCTCACAATCATGGCAGAAGGCAAGGAGGAGCAAGTCATCTCTTACATGGATGGCAGCAGGCAAAAAGAGAGCTTGTGCTGGGAAACTCCTGTTTTTAAAACCATCAGATCTCGTAAGACTCATTTACTATCAGGAGAACAGCACAGGAAAGACCTGCTCCCACAATTTAATCACCTCCCACCAGGTTCCTCCCACAACACATGGGAATTGTGGGAGTCACAATTCAAGATGAAATTTGAGTGGGGACATATCCAAAACATATCATTTGGTATTCTCTTCTAACCAAAAGAAATCTTGCCGGCATAGACATATTAAAAAGACCAAAATATATAAAATCAATAAATGTGGAGCTGTTCGGTCTCATTGCTGAATCTCACAGAAGCCCTCTTTAAGAAACATTGGGTTCAATGATATCTAAGATCTAGATGTAAATGAGGGATGCCAAAAGTGGTAAGTTTTGTCAAAACAAAACTAGAAAAATTATTAGAATCTTGAATAGCATTTTGTGAGTGGCTCTGGACTCTGGACTCCTGGCCAGCACTTCCTTCAGTGCTGTCCCCACTTCCATACTAAGTAGTCCTCTCCTTGACTCTCTGCACCCCTGAGCCCTGGTCACAGAGTGTTGCTAGTAAAAGATGTATTCGGCTTCAAATGCATGTGCCTAGCACATAGAAGGAACTCAGCAAATATTTATTTTGCGATTGCTCCCCAGTTCAGCACTGAAATACTTAGCTGCAAGTTTTTTCCTCATGCTTTAACACATGTCTACTAATAGCCATTTCAGAGTCTCTTAATTCTTCTGAAGTCCATATCCTCACTCAGTGATAAATGATTCTCTATTCCGTTTTTAATGTTTACCCCTGTTGCCCTTCCCTTCAGCTCAAAGGAATCTGTATCTTTATTTTTCTCTAAAGCTAAATCCTATCTGAGAATGATGTTGCTTTATTTATTCCTTCTCTCCGGTAGCTTCAAACTCTTTCCCTGTGTAGACTTCCAATCTGTATGTTTTTCCTTCACCTTGAAAGAAAATCTTAGCATGATCTTGGTACCCTCCTGAGCTACCATCTTATTTCTTTTCCTTTACGGACACATTTATTGAATAAGAAGCTCAAGAATATACTGATTATCTGTCTTGAAACCCCTCTACCTATTTCCAAGCTTATTCATTTTACTTCCTTGCTTGATCTTTGCCTCAAATCCTGGCATTTCTTCTTTCTGTCCCCTAACTCTGAACCCTGAGCATTTCTGAAAGTTCAGCCTGGTTTCTGGCCTCTTTCTCTTGCTACAAATGTCTGTCTGCTTCTTGGATAACATCTATAAAAATAATGCCCAAATCTATACCATCAGCCATGTTCTCTCACCTAATTTCCAGCTGTGCTGTCTTTAATTCCTGCTGAAGATCCCCACTTGGCTGTTCTATTTTCTCCCCTCATATGATCACTTGCCAAGCTGAGCTCATCCTTTTCCTTCCATCTACACTGGGCTCAGCATGCTGTACCTTTCCTTCATCAATAACACCAGCATTTCCCCAATTAGGCAGGCTTGAAACTCCATCAGCATTGACAGTCCCTGTCTTTCATTACACATGGTATTCAGTCACTGTGACTTGTGGAGATTTTTCTTTGAAAACACTCTAACCTGCATGTGTTTTCCTTTTTCTTACTTCCCTACCAATCCACAATTTATATTAGCTGTCCCCATTACAGAGCTCATAGAGAAACCTGGCATCTTCCTTTTCCCATGTTTTCCCTCCTCAGTGGACATGTAACTTCTCTCTCTGAAAGGTATTTCTAGCACTTTGCTATTTTCAGACCAAGGTAACTGATCAACATGAAATCTCGGAATGAGCAAGTCTTCCTCAGGCTCTCTCTACCAGATCAGACCATGTCCCACGGGCTCTTTATAACTTCTCGCTTAGAAGATTCTCCCCAAGGGGGGTGTATTCTAAAATCAGAATTTTACAAAATCAAAATACCTTAAACACATTAAATAACAGCCATCATTCTCAGGTAGAAATGCAGAGATGATTTCCATGCATCCATGTTTCAGTACTCAGAAAAGGTGACTACTTATTTCTCTATATTATAAGGAGTTTAGGGGCTCTGTTTGCTATTTTCCTTAAACCCTGTAATATCTAATTCAGGATTTTGCGTATAGTAAGAATTTTAAACATTTTAATGAATGAGTGGCTGAGAGGGCTATATAATCAGCTCAATAACACATTATTTGTAAAAAAAAAAAAAAATCACTTCCCAATATTTAACTTTATAGGACTCCAAAAGTCAACCTTTGAGGTAAGTAGGACGTGTTATTTTTGCTATTTTCTGCTGCGGAATTTGAGGTAAAGACATGTCGTGGATTGACCCCAGTCACAAAGCTGTTTGGTGGCATGACCAGGCCCAGAACTGATCTGCTTTCTGCAACCCAGTGTCTAACCAGGTCAGAAGAAGTGGTTTTGAAAATAATAATATGTAGAATCAAAATCTCTAAATTTGAATTTTCTCCCTTAGAATATTTGGTGGGTTCATAAATATTTACAAAATATTTTTTTGTGTGTGTTTTAAAGTAAAGCTAGTCAATTATTTCTACATGAAATTCAATTGTTTCTTTATTTGTGAGAGAAAAACAACTTACCTAAATTTAGATATTTTATTTGCTGTTATTTTATAATATTACCATACAATTTCCAAGTGTTAGGTAATATTATAAAATAACAGCAAATAAAATATCTAAATTTAGGTAATTACATATTTAGATCTGGAAGGGAATGTTAGAGTTTGTCTGGAATGATCTCATGACAGTGCTCCCTTTTTTTTGAGAGGGAGAGATGGAAAGGGCCTTAATGTATAAAATATGCCATTTCTTCAAGGGGACTTAAAAGGTGAGGCACTTGAAAGATGTGAATTGAGCTATACTAGGAAACTCTGTGCTTCCTTGGCTGATAATCTTTCCACACGGGCCCTTTGTTTGTCCTGTGACCTTTGTCTAGCATCCCACTACAGACAGTACCACTTGGGAATTACCTTAGTTCAGATTTGTCTTAGGAAAATTTGCATTTGCCTCCCTGGCAATCCAACTCCCTTTGTTTTTTCTATCCTAGACATTCTTCAAAATTCCTGGTCCATGGATATCACTTTGCTTTTAAGGATGGGTTACTGTTCTTCATGTGGGCCAAGCTCACATCTGCTCTAGGCCTTTGCACTCGCTATGTGCTCTACTGGGAATATTCTACCCCAGAGATTTTTGCAGATCTGGATCTTTGGATCATTCAGGTCTTTGCTCACACATTATCTCCTCTAAAAGGATTTCCCTGGCTGCTACATATGAAATAGTCCCCCAACCCTCTTCTACCAGTCACTCACAATCATAGTATTCTGGTTTAATTATTTTGTTGAATATATCACTATCCACAATTATCTCACTGACCTATTTGTTTGCTTGCTTATTGTATTTTTTTCTCTTCTCCCCCGGCTTGACTTTAATGTAAGTTCCATGAGATCAGTGACCTCATGTTCACCACGTATTTTATTCACCACTTTAGCAGTGACCTCATGTTCACCACATATTTTGTTCACCACCGTAGCACCTACAGCATAGTAGGAGAGCCTTAGATATTTGTCAGATGAATGAAGGAATCATGTTTACAAAGCATTTTTTTTTTCTGTAACTTCAAGGGATTTGGGATATTGGGAGGTAAATCTGTGTACTCAGTCTATCATATTGGTTCATTTTCTTTCCTCCTTAATACATAGGATTTTGGCACCATTGGTAGTCACTTTGACATGTCAATAATGATAATTGCAAAGAAGACTGTTGTTCCAAGTAATGGATAACACAGCATCTGAACCTACCTGGATACTTTTTCAATATCTAAAGAATTATGTTGTATAAAAAGATGCTCGAAGCCCAGAAAAAATAAAAGATGAGCACTTCTGGAAAGTAAGCAAAGTCCCATTTACATACTTTCTTCTCATCCCTTCCAAAAAATGCTCCTGCTTTTTAGTCATTGGATGTGGAATATGATGGTAGTAAGGGCTACTGTGAAGAGGATGTTATGAAAGTGTGCATGTTTGAGAAGGAGTTTTTATCTTGTAAATGACTGTGTCATAATACCTACTCTGAGCTGGGCTTAGGCTACAGTCTTGCCAGCTTCTGTGATACTGGCAGGCATTGTCGTGCCGTTACCTTTTCCTAAGGCTTTATGAGCCCGACAGGTCTTTGTCGTTTTCTTGGTTACCCTGGTTCCCAGAGAGGCCAAGGCAGCTTTTTGGAGGGCAAAGGGAACAGGGGAGGCTCTTTTATAATCTTCAGAACCACTCTGATCAGATAGGTATTATTAAAACCAATTTTCACATTAAGGGAACAGACTCAGAGGTTTTGCAACTTGGCCAAGGTTTTGTTGCTAATAAGTGACACAACTGGGATTTGAACCTCAATCTATCAGATACCAAAGCTTATATTTGCCGTATGTTGCACCATTCAGCAGCATCCCTATCTAGGGAGATGAGGAGTTCACTCTTTCTAATTTATTATCGATTAGCTTAAATTGTTGGAAGGCAATTTCAGATACTGAACCAAAATCTGCTTTTTATTTTTATATAAAATTGCCCTGTGGGAGTTGTAGCTAGAATGTCCACCCTTTCTTTTTCCTGACAATCACTTGCAGATACTTGAGTAAAACTCTTGAATATGATAGTTAAGTATGAATTCATAAAAAGGCAAACCTGCAGAAGAATCATAGCATTTGGATTGGCCAAAATGAGAGAAACACATTATAGGCAATCAAAAGTGATAATAGAAAGATTTGTTGAATGCTTATTATGTGTCCAGTATTGTGCTACTCACTTTCTACACATTATCTCAAGTAATTCTCATGATGATTGTGCAGTAGATGGATGATGTTCTCATTTTGTAGATGTAAAAACAGACTCAAGAGATGTGAGTTAATCCAGTTCACCCAGGTACTAAGTGATGGAGATTTGAAACCAGACTTATGTGATCCTAAAGAATGTGTTTTCTGCACTAGTCTAAGCTTGTGTTTTGGCTACATAAATTAAGTTACAAAAACAGTGCTATCTGTTTATCAGTTTGAATTTACTACAGGACAAGTCTGAAAAATACCTTATTGTTTTTCAGTTACTATCTTAAACTTGTTCTGCAGAATTACTCCATTTTTGTCCTCTGTTAACATTTTAAGAAGATTCCAGTTCTTTTTGGACCTTTTTAGTTGTAATGGAGCCCAGCCCATGTAAGTCTAAAATTCTAATCTCCTTTTGTTTTCCTCTCCCTCTCAGACCTATCAAATATAGCCAGTGACTTGTAGCAAAGAGTATGGTCTTCTAATTTACTCTATTTCCCCCATCTGTTTTTCACAGGCCTTTGAGGCAGGGAGCAGGGAAATGGTGAAAGTCAAGTGACTCTTAGCTTGCGCTGTTGTCATCCTCTCTGGACTATTGCTACATTTCTAGGTAACTCTGATTAGCTACTGATGCTATCTGTAAGGCTGGCATCTATCCTTGGGCTAAATTTTGGGAAATGAATGAGAAAAGGAGGCATAGTTAAGGTTTGGGTGCCAGGGAATATGATATTGATGTACATGGACATGCTGGAAGAAAGTGAGCTGGTTCAGGGTAAGCATAATCCAACTGAGCATCATAGAAGCTTCTACATGGTGACTAAAATGGAAATACTGTCAGCTTTTGCTTTATGGAACTGATGCGCTCCAGCTGTTCATCCTAAAATGAATCCAATTTTCCTTGTTAAATGCTGTTATAAAATCAAGGATGTATCCCCACAAGGAAAAAAGAAAATCCTCAATGGACTCAATTAAAAACTTTTGGTGAGATATAGTTGAAATGGTGGCCAGCTTCATAGGCCCTATGGGATTTGTTGTCCCACTTAGTGGTTCACTTTCCTTTGCTGTGATTTTTCAACTCTTTGGTCTCCCCTAGGCTGTCAGGCCCACTCCTGCTCCCTTTGGGATAGAATGTTAGTGCAATGTCTATTATTGGAGAAATGAGTGCATGGTTGCTAATACACTGGAAATTTTCTGACTGGCTATAGAAGATGTCACATTTGCATTTAAGTTTTACACATTTACTCCATTGCCATATCTCACCTTTGGAACATTTCTAAAAATAAGACAACCTACAGAGCATCCATGAGGGACAACAGTGACCTGTATCTCTGTATCTTTACACGAATAAATATCCTCCAAAAAAAATCTATAGATATGGCATGTTATGTTTCATCAGACTCTTAGTTGTTCTAGAGATTTGGCATTATTTGTGTCTATATAATACCTATTGGCCTGTTTATTATCAAAGAGCTCTCTTTTGAGGTAGTTATTTAAAGATCTAGTTGGGCAAATGGTGAGTTACATCCCTAACTCTGCCCCTTGAGCAGTTGGATTTTGGACACCATGGGAAGTTGCTGAGGTTTGGGAGGGGATCATGCATGGAAGACACCAGGAGATCGAATAACCTAGGAACATTTTGGGAAAGAGAAGAGGCGTAAGGAGGTAGGGAAGGGCTCCTGGCAAAGACAAAATTGCTTTAGAAATATTTCTGCACTGGTTTCTATGTGGGAAACCTATAATACCAATCTTGTTGAAAAGACTGGGTAGAATCACCTCCTGAACTCTCAATTTATAGTACCAACACTTTCTCTAACTTTGTTACAGCTGAAGGAAGGAGTCATGTTGATACAAAACACTATTACAGCTCTTGTTGAAAAGAAGAAAAGGATTTTCACAAATGCTTCCCTTCTCTTTTATTGTCACTACCATTTTTTTCCCTAGACTACTCTCATTCTCAGCCCACGTAGGAAATCAGAAGATAATTTAAAATTAAATAATGATGGCTCAGAGCTTAAAGCACTTAAAAAAGAGAAGAAAGAAAAGCATCACATCTTGACAGTGCTGGGAGTGATGGTGGAAAGCTTGCCAAGGAGGCCCGGAAGAGTGGTTGGAAAGTGAGCTTTTGGCATTTTGTGAGACCATAGAGCTCCTGAATATATTATCCTTTCTTATGCCATCGAGTAATGTTTGAGTTCATGGGAACCTATGTTAATGAGTTGAAAAGAATGGAAAGAAGATACAGATAGAATTAGTGAGTTAGGAAAATCATCTGAATCCTTGATTTACCAGTTACTATCTTGTAATACAATCCTGTTAAGCATTTATTTCTGTACCTATAACAATATCTTCATAGAATATCTATGAGAAATAAATTAAATTATATACATGCACATTTATATACATATATACATCTATGTTATATATAGCATATATATGTTATATATGTATGCTCATGTACATAAAACACACCATACACATACAATTATTAGCTCAAAGGTTGACATATAAAAAATTCCTTATAAGTAATAATAGTTTTAACTATTTTTATTATAGGTTATAAAGCGAGTTCTTCAGTAGCTTTAGCTTTAGATCAACTTGTTCATGTGTGATGATGTGCAGATCACTAAAATGGGCCATTCCACTTATCATCTTCCATTTCTTTTCAAAGTTATCTGACTGTTAGAAATAAAAAGTGCATAGGCATCAGAGTCTGACAAATCAGAATTTAAATTTGTGCTTTGCCATCTATAAGCCATAGAACCTGTTGTAAATACCTCTCTGAATCCCAAAGTCCACATCTGGATAACGGTATTATTTTTTATTTCTTAGAGTAGCTGGGAAACTTAATGAGGTGAAAAGTATGTAACGGTGCCAAGCACATTGCTTGGCATTATAATGTATAATAGCCAGGGGTTGGCAAACTTTTTCTGTCAAGGACTGGATATTAAATATTTTAAGCTTTGCAGACCTAACTGCCCAGGTTGGCTATGACAGCATGAAAGCAGACAGAGATGATACAACAGCATGGCTATCTTCTAATAAAACTTTATTTTTTAAAAAGTGAGCCAGTTTTGGCTGGGTGCGGTGGCTCATGCCTGTAATCCCAGCACTTTGGGAGGCCAAGGCAGGTGGATAACAAGGTCAGGAGATCTAGACCATCCTGGCTAACACGGTGAAACCCCATCTCTACTAAAAAATACAAAAGAACTAGCTGGGTGTGGTGGCAGGCGCCTTTAGTCCCAGCTACTCGGGAGGCTGAGGCAAGAAAATGGTGTGAACCCGGGAGGCGGAGCTTGCAGTGAGCCGAGATCGCGCCACCGCACTGCACTCCAGCCTGGGGGACAGAGCGAGACTCCGTCTCAAAAACAAACAAACAAACAAACAAACAAACAAAGAAAAACAAAAAGTGGGCCAATTTTGGCCTATGTTCCATAGTTTTCAAATCCCAGCACTTAATCAATATTAGTTTCTTCCCCACTTCCACAATTTGTCTTGTCTGAGATTTAGGATTTTTTTATATGTATAATGGAGAAAATAGGAGAAAATAGTATCTGTCAAAGTTTATTTACTGAGCATCTATTGTGTGCCAAGAACGGAGTCAAATGCAATGAACAACAAAGTTAATAAGATTTATTTCTACGCTTGATGGGCTTAAAGGATAACAGAAGGTGGTTACTTAAGGTTGGTCATTTTAGCCATAGAATGGCTTAATAATACTTATTTCATGAAGTTATGAGAATGAAATGAATAAAATAAAGTATATTTTAAGTGTAGAAGTGGTTCCAGCCATAGCAGAGATATGATTATTGGACCTTACATTTTGGTGTGAAGAACTGTATAACTGGATAACATGTATGAAAAAACTATTCTCAGATATTAGACAATAGATAGCACAGGGCTGTGATGCTTGAGATAAGGAAACACCACATTTAATTCTTACTTTTTTGCCTAGGACCATTATTCATAACAAAAACCAACTCAAAATGGATTAACGACTTAAACATAAGGCTGGAAATGGTAAAACTCCTTGAAGAAAACATAGGAAAACGTGTCTTGACATTGGTCTGGGCAACAAATTTTTTTGGATATGACGACAAAAGCACAGGTAACAAAATAGATAAATGAGATTGCATCAAACTAAATGGTTTCTGCACAGCAATGGAAACAATCAACAGAGTGAAAAGGCAACCTAAAGAATGAGAGAAAATATTAATATTTGCAAACCATATATCAGATTAAAAAAAAAAAATCCCAAACCCAAATAACCTGATTTAAAAGTAGGCAAAGGACCTGAAAAGCCATTTCTCCAAAGAAGACATATTATGACCACCAACTATAAGAAAAGGTGCTCAGCATCACTAATTGTGTTAGTCTGTTTTCACACTGCTGATAAAGACATACCAGAGACTGGGAAGAAAAAGAGGTTTAATGGGCCTTATAGTTCCACATGGCTGGGGAGGCCTCAGAATCATGGTGGGAGGTGAAAAACACTTCTTACAGGGTGGCAGCAAGAGAAAATGAGGGAGAAGCAAAAGCGGAAACCCCTGATAAACCCATCAGATCTTGTGAGACTTATTCACTGTCATGAGAATAGCATGGGAAAGACTGACCCCCATGATTCAATTATCTCCCACTGGGTCCTTCCCACAACGTGGGGGAATTCTGGGAGATACAGTTTAAGTTGAGATTTGGGTGGGGACACAGCCAACCCATATCATTCTGCCCCTGGACCCTCCAAATCTCATGTCCTCACATTTCAAAACCAATCGTCTCTTTCCAATGGTCCCTCAAAGTCTTAACTCATTTCAGCATTAATCCAAAAGTCCACAGTCCAAGTCTCATCTGAGACAAGTCAAGTCCCTTCTGCCTATGAGCCTGTAAAATCAAAAGCAAGCTAGTTACTTCCTAGATACAACGGGGGTACAGGTATTGGGTAAATACAGCCTTTCCAAATGGGAGAAATTGGCCAAAACAAAGGGGTTACAGGGCCCATCTAAGTCCAAAATCCAGCGGGGTCATCAAATTTTAAAGCTCCAAAATGATCTCCTTTGACTCTAGGTCTCACATCTAGGTCACATTGATGCAAGAGGTGGGTTTCTGAGGTCTTGGGCAGCTCTGCCCCTGTGTCTTTTCAGGGTACAACCTCCCTCCTGGCTGCTTTCATGGCTGGTGTTGAATGTCTGCAGCTTTTCCAGGCATAAGGGGCAAGCTGTCATTGGATCTACCATCCTGGAGTCTGGAGGATGGTGGCCTTCTTCTCACAGTTCCACTAGGTAGTGCCCCAGTAGAGACTCTGTGTGGGGGCTCTGACCCCACATTTCCCTTCTGCACTGCCCTAGCAGAGGTTCTACATGAAGGCCCTGCCCCTGCAACAAACTTCTCCCTGGGCATCTAGGTGTTTCCATACATCTTCGGAAATCTAGGCAGAGGTTCCTAAACCTCACTTCTTGACTTCTGTGCACCTGCAGGCTCAACACCACGTGGAAGCTGCCAAGGCTTGGGGCTTCCACTCTCTGAAGCCACAGCCCAGGCTGTGTGTTGCTCCCTTTTGGCCACAGCTGGAGCAGCTGGGACACAGGGCACCAAGTTGCTAAGCTGCACACAGCATGGGGACCCTGGACCTGGCCCACAGAACCACTTTTTCCTCCTGGGTCTCCAGGTCTGTGATGGAAGGGGCTGCCTTGAAGACCTCTAACATGTCTATGGTCTTGGGGATTAACATTAAGCTCCTTGCTACTTATGCAAATTTCTTCAGCTGGCTTTAATTTCTTCCCAGATAATGGATTTTCTTTTCTATCACATAGTCAGGCTGCACATTTTCCAAACTTTTATGCTCTGCTTCCCTTATAAAATTGAATGCCTTTAACAGCACTCAAGTCACCTCTTGTATGCTTTGCTGCTTAGAAATTTCTTCTGCTAGATACCCTAAATCATCTCTCTCAAGTTCAAAGTTCCACACATCTCTAGGGTAGGGGAGAAATGCCACCAGTCACTTTACTAAAACATAACGAGTCACTTTGCTCCAGTTCCCAACAAGTTCCTCATCTCCATCTGAGACCACTTCAGCCTGGACTTTATTGTCCATTTCGCGATCGGCATTTTGGGCAAAGCCATTCAACAAGTCATCTCTAGGATGTTTCAAACTTTCCCACATTTTTCTGTCTTCTCCTGAGCCCTCCAGACTATTCCAACCTCTGCCTGTTACCCAGTTCCAAAGTCGCTTCCACATTTTCAGGTATCTTTTCAGCAACGCCCCACTCTCAGTACCAATTTACTGTATTAGCCTGTTTTCACACTGCTGATAAAGACATTCCAGAGACTGGGAAGAAAAAGAGGCTTAATTGGACTTACAGTTCCACATGGCTGGGGAGGCCTCAGAATCATGGCGGGAGGTGAAATGAGGAAGAAGCAAAAGTGGAAACCCCTGATAAACCCATCAGATCTCGTGAGACTTATTCACTGTCACGAGGATATCATGGGAAAGACCTGCTCCTATGATTCAGTTACCTCCCCCTTGGTCCCTCCCACAACATGTCGGAATTCTGGGAAATACAATTTAAGTTGAGATTTGGGTGGGGACACAGCCAAACCACATCACTAATCAACAGGGAAATGTAAATCAAAACTACAATGAGGTATCACCTCACACCTGTTAGGGTGTTATTATCAAAAGATAAAAAGTAAGTCTTGGTGAGGATATAGAGAAAAGGAAATTCTTGCATACTGTTGGTGGAAATAGAAATTTGTACAACCACTATGGGAAACAGTATGGAGGTTCCTAAAAGTAATAAAAATAAAAACTACCACAGGATCCAGGAATTTCGCTTCTGGGCATATATCCAAAGGAAATAAAATAACTATCTCAAAGAGATATCTGCACTCCTGTGTTCATTGTAGCATGAAGCATTATTCATTATACCCAAGATATGGAAAAACCTGTGTCCATTATGAATGCATGGATAAAAAAATAAGATGTATATACATATATGTGAGATATACATATTAGGAAAAAAAAGAAACCCTGCTACTTGCAACAACATAAATCAACACGGAAGACATTATGCTAACTAAGATAAATCAGACACAGAAAGAAAAAAGCTACATGTTAGCATTTATACGTGGAATCAAAATAGTCAAACTTGTAGAAGCAGAGAGTAGAATGGTGGTTTCCAGAAGCTGCAGGGAGAGGGAAATGGGGAGATATGGGCTAAAAGGTATAAAGCTTCGGTTATGCAAGATGAATGAGTTTTGGATATCTAATATAAAGCATTCTGTCCATAGTTAACATTATTTATTGTATTGCATATTTGAAATTTGCTAAGAAGGTAGATCTTAAGTGTTCTCACCACACACATGTGCACAAAGAAAAAAATGATAATTATGTGTAGTGATAGATATATTAATTATCTTGTTTGTAGTAATCATTTCACAATGTTCACGTATATGAACACATCAAATTGTACACCTTAAATATAAACAATTTTATTTGTATTATACCTTAATAAATCTGAAAAAAAGACTATGTATATATGATGGGCCATTAAAAAGTGTTGTAAATTTAAAATTATCAAAATATCTCAGTATGTATTCTCTGTCCATAAAATAACTAGATTAGAAACTAATGTCAAAATATCTGCACAATTCTCTTGAACTCCTGGTCTCAAGCCATCCTCCTGCCTCAGCCTCCAGAGTAGCTGGGGCTCCAGGCACGTGCCAATGTGCCTGGCTCAATTCTCAAATATTTTGGAATTAAGCAACACAATTTTAAGTAATCTATATAACAAATAAAAAAATGATAGGGATTATCACAAAATACATTACTAAATGATAATAAAAACATAAAGTATCAAAGTTTGTGAGATACAGATGCAACATTGTTCAGATGGAAATTTAAAATATTAAATTATTATATTACAAAAAGAAGAATCATATTAAATTAACCATCTAGGTTTGCACTTTAGGAAGAGAGAAAAAGAAGAGTAAACCAGGTATGGTTTTGTGCACCTGTAATCCCAGTTTCTCGGGAGGCAGACCACTTGAGCCCAGGAGTTTGAGTTCAGCCTGGGGAATATAGTGAGGCTGCATCTTAGTAAAAAACATAGTGGAAAAGAAGAAGAAAAAAATAGTAAATTATACCCAAAGTAAATTGAAGAGAAGAAATAATAAATAATGAAAATCAATGAAACAGAAAATGAGCAAACATTAAAAAAAATCAGTGAACCAAAAAATCAATTATCTGAGAAGATCAATAAAATTGAGAAGTGACTTTTCACAACTGGGATTTTGAAAGATAATTGAGACTTAACAAATATGATTGGATTGTGTATTTGCTTTATATTCCAAGAAAGTTACATATCTAATACTACTAGTTTAGATCAATAGGATTTTTTTTTTTCATTTTACATGGTAGATACCCTTAGGGCATTCAGGCTTAATTCTTTCATGGAACCCCGGTTGAGAAGAGTTGCCCTAGCTATACAGATAACAATTTGAAAAGAAAATAAAAATACAAATTACCAATAAAAGAAATGTTGGAATCACTCTGTAGTGCTGTAGGCATCAAAAATTAGTAAGAAAATACTGTGAGTAACTTTATGCTCCCAAATTTAAAAACTTAATTTATAACTGTTAAAGAAATTTAATTTGTAATTTAAAATATACCCATAATTGGCTGGGCACGGTGTCTTACACCTGTAATCCCAGCGCTTTGGGAGGCTAAGGCAGGTGGATCACAAGGTCAAGAGATTGAGACCATCCTGGCCGTGGCCAACATGGTGAAACCCTGTGTCCACTAAAAATACAAAAATTAGTGTGGTGGTGGGTGCCTGTAGTCCCAGTTACTCAGGAGGCTGAGGCAGGAGAATTACTTGAACCCAGGAGGTGGAGGTTTCAGTGAGCCGACATTGTGCCACTGCACTCCAGCCCGGCAACAGAGGCTGGAGTGCAGAGACTCCATCTCAAAAAAAAAAAAAAAAAAAAAAAAAAAATATATATATATATATATATATATATATGTGTGTGTATATATATATATATATAATACACGTATTATACGTGTATTATACGTATGTATTACTATACGTGTATATATGCATATATATGTATATATAATATATACGCGTATATATTATATATGTATATATTATATACGCGTATGTATATTATATATATATATATAATATATACACTTATATATAATATATGTATAATATATACATGTATATATAAAATATATACATATATAATATATGTATATATTATATATGTGTGTATATAATATATACATATATTATATAATATATATACATATATGTATATAATATACATATATGTATGTAATTATACATATATACACATTGTATATAATATACATATAAGTATATAATATATACATGTATATATTATATATATACATAATATATATATATATATATATATATATATACCCGTAATTCCAGAGCTAGGTTGCTTATCTGGAAAATTTTGTCTTACATTAAAAAACAAATATTTCTAGCTTTACATAAACTTGTTCAGAAAAAGGAGTTGGAAATGCTACTAAACTTTATAAAGCGAACATAACCTTGATGTCATACTCTAATATCTTTCATAAACATAGGTGCAGAAATCTTGACAAAATATTAGGAATTGAATTTAAAAATGTATAATTGGATAGTACATCACGACAAAGTGGGATTTATTTTACAAATGAATGCAATATTATTTCATTATTCGAAAATCAAAGTAGTATGCCACAGAAAAAGTTAAAATAAAAATGCAGAAAAAGATAAAATTCAATAGTTATTTTTAAAAACCTCTCAGCAAAGTAGAAATAGTAGGGAGCTTCCTTAGTCTGATGAAATGTACAGCTAAAATATTTAATGTTGAAGTACTGCTGGTTTTCCCCATGATATTGGGAACACGGCAAGGAAGCCTGTTCCTACTGCTTCTATTCAATGTTGTGCTGAAGGTCATGGCTAGCATAAGGCAAATCAACCACACAATCAGAAAAATGGCAATATGAATGTGTACATAGAAATTCTATGGGATCTACACAAAATAACCCTACAACCAACACATTAATTTAGCAAGACCACCAAATACAGGGTCCACATACAAACATCAAGTGCCTTTCTATGTAACAGAAGCACATAATTTGCTAATCATATTGAAAAAAAATTAAAGACATTAAAAATTAGAAATAAAATAAGATGTGCAAAAACTCACAGAAAATTTAAAAATCTTGCTGGATAAAATTAAAGATCTTCATAAGTGAAGAAATATACCATATTCAAGATTAATTATGTTAAAATGTCAGTTTTCCCCAAATGTGTCTCCAGATTTTCAGTGTAATCTCAAAATTCCAAGAGGCTGTTTCTCCTTGACAAGCAGATTCTGAAATTATTTGTTAATGCAGAGGACCAGGAATAGTCAAAATAATCTTGAAGAGAAAAGACAAAGAATATACACTACCTGATTTCAAAATATATTGTGAAGTTACAGTATTCAAGATAGTTTGATATTGACCTAATGCTAGATCTATTATGATCAAAGGAACAGAATAGAGTGCCCAGAAGTAGATCAATACTTACATATAGTGATATGGTTTGGCTCTGTGTCTCCACCCAAATCTCATGTTTAATTCTAATCCCCAATGTTTGGGGAGGGACCTGGTGGGAGGTGATTGGATCAGGTGACTGGATTTCCCCTTTGCTCTTCTTGTGATAGTGAGTACTGATGAGCTCTGGTTGTTTGAAAATGTGTAGCCCTTCCCCTTTGCTCTCTCTATCTCCTGCTGGCCAGTGATGACGTGCTTGCTTCCCCTTTGCCTTCTGCCATGATTGTAAGTTTCCTAAGGCCTCCCCAGCCATGCCTCCTGTACAGCCTGTTGAAATTGAATCAATTAAACCTCTTTTCTTTATAAACGACCCAGTCTCAGGTAGTTCCTTATAGCAATGTGAGAATGGACTAATACATATAGTCAAGCGATTTTTGACAAAAAAGCCAATGCCATTCAATGGGAGAAAATAAATTATTTTCAAGAAATGAAGCTGGAACACTGGTATTCACAGTGAGAAAAACAAAACAAAACAAATCAAAACAACTCAGTCTATGTATCACTCATCATTTAAAAATAATTTCAAGATGGGTCATGAATCTGATACAAAAGCTAAAAGTGTGTAGTTTCTAGAATAATCTGGTAAGAGAATATCTTCATAATCCTGAGGCTGGTACAGTGTTCTTGGAGAACAATGACCTTAAAAGAAAAAACACAATAATCTGTTATTCAAAATTAAAACCTTCAGCTCACTGAAAGTGTCTGTTAAGAAAATGGATAGGCAAACATAAAAGAAAATATTCATCATACATACATATATAACAAAGGACTTGTATGCAAAGTATATAAGGAATACCTTCAATTCAATAATAAAAAGACATCTCAATAATAAATAGGCAAATCAGACACTTCAAAAGGAAGATATAGAAATAACCGATAAGCACTTGAAATGTTGCACAATCTTATTAGTCATCAGAGAAATACAAATTAATATAAAAATAAGATATCCACTTCTAGAATGGCTTAAATTTAAAAAGTCTGACAGCACTAAATGTTGGCCAGGATGTAAAGCAACTAGAATTTTTATATATAGCTGGTAAGAGTACAAAATGGTATAAACAATTTGAAAACTGCTAGTTTCTTATAAATTAAAGCATAAGAATAACTTAAAACCAAATAATTTCATTCCTACATATTTACCCAAGATAAAGGAAAACATATCCCCAAAAAGAGATTTTTTTATACAAATATTCGCAGCAGCTCTATTAATAATAGCCCCAAATGGAAACAATCCAAATGACCATCATTAAGAGAATGGATACATTGCATTTTTTTTTCCTGGGCAGAGTTTTGAGTATCTTCAAAGGGGGCTTTGTCATTGTGAGAGTGAGTACTGAGAATGGTTTTGAGAGGAGATTACTTATCATGTTTCAGTACTCCTTGCTCTTCTTTCTTATGAAGTATTTTTAGTTCAGGGATTTGTGGGTCACTGATGGGATGGGTGCCTGAACATTTACACTTCTGTTTGGTTGTACTCCAGCTGGGGGAATTTGGACTGAGGTCCGCTATTTTGAGTGCTCAGGGATGATAATGAGAAAGGAGAAGAAAACCATCACATAGTACCATATGTCAGGACCTTTAGGAAATGGTCATCACATTTATTTATTTTCTATAATATAGTTATTTTAAAAAATTTTCTAGTTGGTGAATTATTTTAGGGTAGATTGTCTCACTCATCTTTTATTCTTTTCTCCCTGAAGTTTACCATGGAATAAAGTTGGTGTTCAGTGAATAGATGCTGAAAAAAGTAAAATTTGCCTCTAGAGATGTCATCACTACTTCCTGTGAGATACAAAGTTTTGTTACTAAAGAGAACAATAACAAAAATAAACAACAGTAACAAAGTGGATTTGAAAAGAAACTTTCCTCTCAAGAAAAAAAGGAAAAAAGACAGGCTTAGTGTAAAAATGGAAAGACCCTTGACTAAAACTGACATTTAAAGACCAGATTGGAGGGATAAGAAAGCAAAAGAGGAAAATCAGATACTCAAGCTTTCTGAACTCAGAAAGGAAAAAAGCAGAGGAGACAGATCAAAGAATCAAAACTCCATTAAGGGCAACAACTGGAAAGTAAAGGGATGAGGGTGTCCCTGCAAGATACAGAAGCATTTTGATTTAGCTGTAGAAACAGAGGAAGGTCACACAAAAACAGAGGGGAGGCTACATGAAAACTACCCTCTGTTACTCAGGAGAGAAGCTAGGATTGACATTCAGTTTTTTTCTCACTCTCCATTCAGAGAACTGCTCTCTAGATTATTCACCTCTTGATATTTACCCATAAACTTGATAACCAGATTAGAATAATGCCTGCTCATGAAGGATTCGTGCTATGACAACTCAGCCACCTTGCGTTTTCTAGCTACTGTCATGTACCTTTATACCCCTTAAACCTGACCTTGAAACCACTTCTGTTCTGTGTGTTTCATTCAAAAGACGTCGTAAATTCTGGTATCCTCTACTTCTAACTAAAGGGATTAGTTGGAGCTGTGTTTTTTGAGTGTACAAGAATGAATATGGGTAAAGAAAGTAAAAATAATGATTACTTTAAGGAACAGAGGGTATGGTTATCTTCTTCAAATATTATTTGGCAGTAGTATTGAAGTCCTCAAAGTCAATACTGTGGCCTGAGAAGCAATTTTCTTATATTCTAGGGTTGCCTTCTACAAAATCAAAGTAGATTAGTATTTATTTTTAAATACAAGTATTCAAAAAATTAATATTTGAGAATGAAGGACGGTCCATTGACAGAAAATGCTTTCAGTATGAAGTTGTCATGGGTTGTATATGAAACATTCAAATACCTCAGCAAAAGCAAAAGTCAGTTGTCTCTGGAAAAGTCATTGAGAGCTTGTCTTCTTAGTAAACAAAATTTTGTGTAAAGGAAATATGGGAAAAAAATAGAAGTAGTGGTTTTATGCTTTGGGAGTTTAGATGGTTATTAGTTACCTATTTGCTGCTGCAACAAATTACCATAAATATAATAGCTTAAGACACCACAAATTTACAGTTGTAAAGGTCAGAAGTCTAACATGGGTCTCATGGGGCTAAAACTGAGGTGTCAGTTGGGCTGTATTCCTTTCTCTTGAAAGGAATACAGCCCAACTTCTCAGGCCACAGCATTAGGGGAGAACCCATTCTTTTGCCTTTTCTGTCATGTACAGGCTGCCCACACTCCTTGGCTCATGGTATACTTCCTCCGTCGTCAAAGCTAGCAATAGTTTATCTAGTCCTTCTTACATCTCATCACTCTGACTTCCTCTCTGTCTCCTTCTACTTTTGAGGACCCTTGTGATTATAATGGGGCTACCTAGATAATCTCCCTATTTTAAGACCAGTTGATTAGCCAGCTTAATTCCATTTGAAACCTTAATTCTCCTTACTATGTAACATAATGTAGTCACAAATCAAGGGATTAGTTTGAGGACCTCTTTCAGGGACTATTATTCTGCCTACCACAGCTAGCCTTTGGTTTCTGCCTCCAATGCAGCATGATGAATTATATGATGGTAGTGCCTACTAAACTTGGGCAGTCCCAGTTACATTTGCTTAAAAAATACAGACTCCAACCCATATGCAGAATTGTTCCTGGCACATAGTGGAAAACATTGGAGGCTAACAAAAATATAGAAAATGTTTGGGAGTTGCCTCTCTTTAGTGTTTTACATATCAAAACTAAATTATGAAAACTTGATTATCCCCCCCAAAAGACTTCTAATAAATTATTTTATAATTATCTGCATCGTTAGTTCAAGTCAGGGCCAATGTTTTAGTTCATTTTGTGTTGCTGTAACAGAATACCTGAGGCTGGGTTATTTATAAAGAAATGAGGTTTATTTAGCTCATGGTTCTATAGGCCAGGAAGTTCAAGAAGCCTGGTGCTTGTATCTGCTTAGTTTCCAGTGAGGGCCTCATGCTGTTTCCACTCATGGCTGAAAGCCGAAGGAAAGCAGGTATGTGCAAAACGATCACATGGAAATGGAGGAAGCAAGAGAGAGAGAAACCCAGGAATTCAGACTCTTTTTAACAACCCACTCTGGTAAGAACTAATTTATTCACTCACAGGAGGGCATTAACCTATTCATGAGTGTTCCGCTCCCGGAACCCAAACACCCCACTAGGTCCCACCTCCCAAAACCTCCACATAAGGAATCAAATTTCAACATGCGTTTTGGTAGGGATAAACCATATCCAAACGATAGCAGCCAGGTTAGCTTTTGTTACATACTCCATGTCACACTTCAATGACATTTTGGTTGCTACTGAATGTCATGTAATGCTTTGCTGCATTTTAACCACATTCTTTATTTCTGTAGGTAGATGAATGTAACAGAGTTTTAAAAAATGCTGTCTTGGCCAGGCGCGGTGACTCACGCCTGTAATCCCAGCACTCTGGGAGGCCGAGGCGGGTGGATCACGAGGTCAGGAGATTGAGACCATCCTGGGTAACAAGGTGAAACCCCGTCTCTACTAAAAATACAAAAAATCAGCCGGGCATGGTGGCGGGTGCCTGTAGTCCCAGCTACTCGGGAGGCTGAGGCAGGAGAATGGGTGTGAACCCGGGAGGTGGAGCTTGCAGTGAACTGAAATCGTGCCACTGTACTCCAGCCTGGGCGACAGAGCAATACTCCGTCTAAAAAAAAAAAAAAATGCTGTATTGATCCAGTTCTGAGGCCCTGGCTAGATGTGGATCAATTTCCCGTTTTCAGTTGCTGATTAAGTCTATACTCCGATCACTTCTCTTATCAGGCTCTTTCACTCTGGGACCACTATTACCCAGGGGTGGACAACTAGCCCTCATGCCTTGGAGCCCACAGAATTATTCAAATTAGCTAATCTGCAGCGAGTCCAGGACACCTAGCTAGCTCAATCCCATTTGCCATACACAGGCTGCTCCCTCCAGCTCCAGCTTGCTGCTACCCTCTTCCTGGATGCCACCCCCTGTGTGACCCTGGCTGGCAGCCCTTTTTTACTTGGAGCTGGAGTTCTGCCTTTTATCTGTCTGAGTATCAGTGTGTTCTTTTCCACCACCAAAAGATCTTTACATCTGAAAAAAAAGTGAGCCCTTTCAAATACCCACCTATTCTTCCATGCCACAAATATTTATTGTGTATTTTCTGTGCCAGGCCACAGAGATGATTATTGTGGTCCATGTACCTGAAAGCTATTCAAGACGCAGATTTCTTTCCTACCTGGGCTCTAGCTGTTTCCTCTCTCACTCCAGTTTTTTATCATATGCTGCTGAAATGAATAGCTCTGCATTACTTTTGCACAAGCCAACCCATGTAGCTGGAAATCTGTGAATATCGACCATGGGAAGGAGACATTCCATTTGAGTTTATATGGATTTAATATGCCATAATACTGATTGGATACATTGTACTTTTAAAAACAGTATTGACCCTTAATGATACCAACTAGTTACCAACGATTTTCTTGGAGATGGCTTTGATACATAAGCTACTAAGGCAAAGAACAAAACAGCAAACCTATTGTAGTTAACATTGTAGACCAGCTGTGTAATAAAAGAAATTCAAGACACGTTTTAACAAATGCTGCCGTCTGTAAAAAAGGGTATTTTTCTATCAGAGGCAGCAGGTATAGCATTCGTTTGAATGACCAGGTTCTTCTCTTGCTTTTATAGGCAGCCACAACCCATTTTAGGATGGAGAGAGACACGTTGCAAGCTCATTTGAAACACATCTCTGGCAGACAGGGAACTGTATGATTTGCACTAGAAGTTCTCTGTTGTTAGAAGGGGATAAAACCGCTTTGACTTCAGGAGTATTGGAGGTGTTAGGAGCTGCCTGGCATTTTGACTGTGTTTTTGGAGACGAATATGTATGTGTGACTGCCTAGGGATAAACCACACACAGCAGAACCTGAAATGTATAACATTGGGTGATATATTGCCCCTTACCATCAGTCAGATCATATGCAATGTAAACAAAGTGAAGTAATTTGCTACTTTCCTGGGTTCCATTATGTATATGTGTTTATTTAATCAGAACTAAATGATATTACATGAAGTTCCCCTTGCCCTCCTGAGGAATCCAGATTCAACACTTTCAGCAGTGTTCAGTGCTGGAGAGCGAAGAAAGTGTAACCATAGTGATGGAATGGAAATGATTTTCTTTGTTCAGAGGCTTCAATATCCAACAGACATTACAGTTTTCAAGGTCAAAAATATATTAGGATGAGATAAAAATTAAAGAAAAATGTGCTGGCTTAGCTACAAAAGCTAATTTAGTTTATGCATTATAAATTATGTTAAAATGACTAAAATGAGATTTCTCAGCAAGAACTAAATGTGTGGTTTCACAAAACTAATTTCCAAAGATGAACATGATTACAGAATTTAGCTTTAAAAGCCTTTCAGGCCATCAGAGAAAACAGCAAAGCTATCAATTATCAGACTTTAGTGGTGCCTCTGTCAGAAATATAATGGTATTTTTAGCATTCTGCTCAGCCTTTACTAAATTAAGAATGTCTACAAACAAATCAATTAATTGGGACATTATTTAATTAAGTAAAACATGTGATCTGCCAAAGAACCTTAAGCAGACGATTATAACAAACATCCCAGTAGCCTTCCTTTTCTATTGAGGGAAATAGCACACCATGCAATAAAACGAAGATGGAAGCTATGGAAAATGAAATGTTGATCAAACAAACACAGCCTCCTGCTTTTCTGATTCATGCTGCATATTTTTGTAATTTTAAAAAGTGCTTGTTTTGAAAATCTGTGATTTCCTGGAAGAAGGTCAATGTTACCTGTCAATCATTTCATCCTGTTAGGTGGGTATGTGGCATTTGTTTTCTTATAACAATGCACATATAAACATAAACAATCTGTATTCTATGTGTGGTACATTTAAGCCTCTGGACACTAGGAAGTTACTGGGTTCCTGATATATATTTTTTTCGTATTACTGGAAAGCTAAACAGTTCAGGTTTAGTGAAGATTTATTTTGGACCTACTATAAGCCAGGCACTTTCAAACAAACCATTTCATTCAACATTTAACAGTCCTGTGAGATAAGTATCATGTCCCCAGTTTTGTAAATAGGGGACTAAGGTTCAAGGAAGCTTTGCACGTTCCCTGTATTCACACATCTGGTAAATTGCAGAGCTAGGATTTAAACCCACGACGTATGACATATCCAGAACCCTTTCCATTATTACATAAAAGTATCGTTTTCTCCAGGAAAGCCACTATGGACTAGCCTGCATGTAAGTGGGGCTGCACAGATGAAACAGCTATACTGTTGGCCAACGGAATTTTTGGAAATACATTGTCTGAAAAGAGGGTTAGCAATAATTTGGTTACGGGGGAGCAGAGACTCTCATCATACTTGGACAAGTCAATGCATCCAATTGCCTATTCTTTTTAGGCATCATGGGAAAGTGAAGACTGCCTTTTCACCTACAAACAACCCACAATAGAGTTCCATCCTTATCTGAAATAACTGCAAGTAATGGATCAAGAGTACGTTAAGTGAAATGTAATGGAGAACAAGTGCAGTGGTGCTGGAAGTCGGTATATTCAATAGCAATGTTGTGACCTGTTAGAAACTTTAAAATTTAATTTTTCCATTTTGTTAATGAAGATTATCTTTCCACATATATCAGAATGGTGAACTTGTATACTGGGGAACAACTCATTAGCTATGTAAAACATCCTTAAAATCATTTTCAGAAATCATTTGATGTGAACAATTATTATTGGTTCTACCCAGGTGACTCTCATCATTCAGGCCAAGTAAATCTTCTAGTCCTCTTTTTAATTTGTTTCCTTTTCTCCTTTCAGATGCAGGTGCATCCCTGATATGAGTATGCATTTGGGCTTTCTTATCCCACTGGGCTTATTTTTCTGAAAATTACTCAAATAAGACATGGTATAAGTCTGCAAGACATTGACAGCTGATTATCTGAGAATGGTATAAACATCACAAAAACACCAAATCCCTTCACATTCTTGTCTCACAAAAAAAATTAATTTTTTGAGTCAAAGTTTTGTTACTTGTTATTCTTCACATTTTTATTACTAAGTGATAGGTTAAACTTTTAATGAATGCCATGTGGGAAAACTGTAATGTTTCTAGTCAATTCTAAAAATAAAAGAACTCACTCTGTTCATCATCAAACTGGAGAGAAACGTCTTCTTGCTCAACCTGTACCTGATGACTGATGTGTGATGCGGGATATACTGGCTGGAACTATAGGGAAGGACACAGATGGACTCTACGTTTTGCCTGGGGTTGACAGCATGTGAGCAAAATGCTTTACTATATTTAGAGTAATTTTGTATGCAATGGGGAAAAACAATCCCTTAAATATCAGTGTGGAATTCAACAGCAAAATATGTCTAGACATGTGAAACCTTCCACGCTGAAAGAAGTTATTGAAAAATGATTCATTTTTACATCCTCCACCTGCTGCCTGATTCTTTGTGATATTGATTTGTGAGAGAAAGGACTTTTTCCAAATGATAGTACTGAGATGTGTTGCTAATAAGATACATAGTTTTTAACACTCAGCCTTTATTGAGCATCAGCCATGTGCTAGATGCCGTTTAGAAAAATTGCAGTAACTGTATTTATCTTAATAATTCAAATTTTGTAAAGATTTTCTTTTGTCATTCATATTCATGAGTTTAGAATCAACTAAATATGGATGACATTTGATCTTTTTTTAGAGCAGAAAATTATGACTTTGGAAATACGCTTTTTAAAGTAAGGATATATATTCATTATAATACAATTTAATTTTTAAAATCTCACTAATATGTGTACTTTAGAGATGGTGTTTTAGACATTTTTCTGTATTAGTTGCTGTTTTACCTGTAATTAACAGAATACCTTAAAATTCCTTAGACAAATAGAAGTTTGTTTTTCTCATGCAGCAAGGAGTCTGGATATAGGTAGTTATTCAATGAGGTAAGAAGCAGCATCTCTGCAGCTTTTTTTCTTTTTTTTTACTTTTTCCTAATGGTCACAAGATGATTGTTGCTGCTCTAAGCATCATTTTCATAGTCAGGCAGGATGTAGAGGGGAGGTGGAATGTTAGAGATGTATGTTCCTTCTTTCAAAAAGCAGAGTTTTCCATATCCATCAACAAACTTCCACTTACAAATCATTGACCAGAACTCAAGACGGCTGGCCTTCCCTAGCTTCAAGAGAATCTGAAACAGTGAGTATTTAGGTGTTTGAAAATGAGTCTTAGGCTAGCTATTCAACAGTGCCTGACACTTCTTGCAACGAAATGTGTATTTTAATGACTAAGATTGATACTGTGACTATGTGAAATCACCTATAGGTTGAAGCTTTGTTAGAAAAGGAAATGAATTTAAATTAAAATTATCTGTGTTTAAATCTCAAATCTTAGTTTCTATGTTGTGATCCTAAGCAGGTCACTTGCATAAGCTTCAGTTCTCTAATTTCTAAATGAGTATAACAATTTATACATTGTTGCAATAAGGATTAAATAATATCAGGAGGTGTCTTGCAGTATCAAGTATAGATCTGAATACTAAATAGAATTTCACTAAATTGTTCAGTTATTCACTCCTTCATTCATACATTTAGTTGATCAATAGAAACTTTACTCGGGAGAGGAATTAAAAAGAGGTCACCACTGGGAGGTTTGCATCCATGACGTCAAATGTGCAATACTTGCTAATGTCAGGATGAGAGTGTGTGTGTGTGCGTGTGTGTGTGTGTGTGTTGACTCTAGCCTCCAGACGGCAATGTGGAAGGGAACAGGGGGAGGAAATCAATGTTTGTTGACCACCTCCTGAATGCTTCTCTTAATCTTGCGTCCTTTTTACCTGATGAAGCAGTCATATCTTTCTTCTATGTTAAGCCAGGCTATGAAGCTAAAACCAGAATTGCTTTGACCTCTCATATTTCTAAATTTCACATATGTATAGTTTTTCCATCTCATTCCCTTTTTAATTCCTTGAGAACCCATCATATGTCCCTGGGAGCTGGGCAGAAAGATCATTAAATACTGTTCAGGGTGGCACACAAAATCTCTTCTTCCTTTCAACCTTCAACTAATATTCCACAAATGGGTGCAACCTGTCTTTCCCCTCAGACTGTGTTTCTTTCCCTATGTGGAACTCCTCCATCCAGTTCCATCCTGAGACAAAGGATAGCTATTACTGTTTACTCATTTGGAGTCTGAACCTCAGGGACAGTTGTCCACCTCTTCAAATATTGTGTCTTCTCTGAGGTTCATTGTGTCATCTTTGCTGCCCTTCTGGTGCATCCAGGTGTGGCCAAAATTTGCTATAGATATATTCTTCAGGCCCTTGATCTGGGAACTTTGCCACATACGGATTATGTAATACTGAGTCACATGCATTGTTTTCCAAATAAGAACATAAATATATCTTCTGAACAAGGAAACTTTTGAAAAAATTTTTCCGTTGTTCTTCCTTCTATCCATCTAATCCTCACTCTTTTCCTCCGTCCTTGTCTGTGTCTGCTTCTTACTCTTTCTCTTTCTCATATCTGGGTAATCTGCAGCCTTTACATGATAACTGCATCATTTAGAAGGAGGACACTCAGAGAGATGGATAGTAATATGTGTGTAACATACTTATGTGTTAGAGATTGAGAATTTGGCACTCCCGAAAGATTGCACATGGAATCAAATCAGTCATTAGGTGGTTGCCACAGTTGGCTGGGTTCAGGCTCTGTAAATCGATGGAAATAGGCTAAAGGAAGATGAGTGAGGCTAAGTACTAATTCCAGGCTTTCCTCTAGAGGGAGCTGATGATCAGGCTAGAGGAAACCAACATTGAGACTGGTCAGACTAGTGAGGAAGCTTTACATGTAGGCAGTATCACAAGACTGGATGGGGGTGAGCTATTAATCCTGAGCCTGTGAACTTAAAAGCCATCAGAAACTCTTACTATAATATCAGAGAAACAACTACTACCTACCTCATCTTAATAGTATATATTCCATGGTATAGAAAATGCTCTAGTGCTAACATTCTGATTTCAGCCCTGGAGACTAATTCAAATATTTTATGAAATTTCAACCATCTATTTATCTATCTGATTCCTATTAAAATTTAATATTTGCTGAGTTCATATTATGTGTCTAATGCTGTGTCAGATATTAGGGTGCAGAATTTAAATGTCATTGTTTCTAACTTCAAGGAACTTACATTCTAATGGTGAAAATAAATACAGAAGCAGCTGGTTCCAATCTGGTGCAAAAGTGGTGCTAATCTGAAGATTTATATAACAGATAAAGTATATAGGGGATTAGCATGAGGTATTGAAATACATATATTTTCAAACTACCTATAGCTATCTCAGGAAATTAGGGGACAAGCAGACAAGGCAAGAAAGAGGGGCATCATGAAAACCCTATAATCAGGGGTCCCCCCTCACCTGCAATCTAAACTCTGCCTGACATGCAAACCTCATCAAGCCACCATTGATTCTTAACTCCGACTGTTGGTTCCCAGAACATGCCATGTTATTTTACACATTCATTCCACTGTGTATGCTGTTTCCCCCACTTGACATGCTGTCTTCTTTCATTCTGCCCTCTTTTGTCCACCCGGGAAGGTTTAACTTCTTCAAGCATGAGTTTGAGTAATTCCTTTGTGAAAATGTTCCTATTTCTCTCTCTCATCCTTCCTTTATTCCTTATCACTATCCTTCATCCCACCATTTGCCTACCTCAATAATAAATAGCACCTGCACACTATTCAGTAGTTTTCTTCAAAAAGTATGACCCTTCACTGGCACTCTAGTTCCAGCCCTCCAGTGGCTTACTCTTTGGATATGATCTGAACACTTTGCCATAACCCATAAGAAATACACTGCATGGCCTCTGACCAGTCTCTGTCATTACCTTTTTATACTTTCTTGGTCACTCCTTTGGTCTAACAACACTCTCCTTTCTGTTTCCTCAAACACACCCAAATTTCTTTGCTCTTTAGAATGTGTTTCCCTAGGATTTTAGATTGCTTGTCTCCTCCTTTATTTGTCATTGGGTGTCAGCTCAGTTATCACCTATTTAGAGATGTCTTCTCATCCTGTCTGAAGTGGTAACTCCATCCACATTTGCCAACACATCACACTTTCTTATACTCCTCATGATACTTGTATATATCCAAAATTATCTTGTTCATTTATGTGTTTACTGTCTGTGTCTAACTCTTGATTAACAAGTAAACTCCATGATATAGGGGCTTTGACAGTCTTATTCACTGCTGTATTTTCAGGGTCTATAATCATGTCTGGTAAATAACAGGTGTTTAATAAATATTTCTTGAATTAATAAAACAAATTAATAGGCCTTTTTTTGGTTGGTGGGTTGGTTGGCTGGCTTTTTTTGGTTTGTTTTTGTTTTTTTGTTTGTTTTTGTTTGTTTGTTTGTTTGTTTTTTGAGACAGAGGTCTCACTCTGTCACCCAGGCTGGAGTGCAATGGCCCAATCTCGGCTCACTGCAACTTCCGCCTCCTGGCTTCTAGCAATTCTCCTTCCTCAGCCTCCTGAGTAGCTGGGATCACAGGCACACGCCACCACGCCAGGCTTATTTCTGTATTTTTAGTAGAGACGGGGTTTCACCATGTTGGCCAGGCTGGTCTCCAACTCCTGACCTCGTGATCCGCCGACCTTGCCCTCCCAAAGTGCTTGGATTTCAGGCTTGAGCCACTACGCCCATCCAAGAATGCATGCTTCTTAAGAGATGGGATCATCAGTTTTAATCTATGTATTCTACCATACTTGGTACAGTCCCTGATGACACATAGTAGATGCCCAATGAATATTTATGGAAAGAATGACGGGGGAGCCACAGCGTTTTTGCTGATAACTCCAGGGCTGGAGCTCAGGTGCTAATACTGCAGTTCTTTTTGGAATGTGAGCTAGTTGCTGAGCTAGGATAGTTTCAGAGTGATTGCTGCTCCAATTGGAGCACGATCACTGACCTGAGACTGCAACCATGTTGCCTCAGTTGACAAATTAGGCTTGCTTGCCCCAAGCACAAGAGCAGGCTTTGCAAACTCAAAGGATGGCCACCACACAGCCCTTTAATTTCCCACACTCATAGTTTCTATGGTGATTATGGTATTGACAGAAAACTGTAGAAGTCTCTAAAAGCCAAGCTGTAAATATTTTATATACATTATCTTGAGAAATAGTACTTGGAATTTTGAAGTGGACGACCTAAATCGATCATGGCAAAATTTAAATGGGTAGTGGCAAAATGCTTAAATATCTGCCTAAGGTCGTTCACTTAGTCTGGTGTCCTATAAAAGCAATTAGTTAATATTACCATTACCAGTTGGTATGTGCAGTTCTTCCTTTTAAAAAGTAAATTGATTCTACTATGTAATACATTTTAACCTTCTAAGGAGTTTGGCTGTGACTACATGGAAATTTTAAGATGCAATTGTTTGAGCAAAAAGTTATAATATTTGGTACATGTAGAAGTTTGAAAGAGGAAATATATTATTTATCATATTCAGGCCAGTCAATGTCCAAACCGAGTGTTCATGCTTCTTAGTAATATTAGGAAAAATTCCTGCCTTCATGTACGTATAAGTTACTCTGGCCAAAGTTCAGAGGAAAACAAAAATTATCCCGGGGCTCAGATTCCTTAAAAAACTTCAGCTACAAAGGTAAATTTTTTTGATAAAATTATTAACAATAAAAATACCTTCTCAAAATAGATTTTCTCCAAAAGATTCTCTATGTTTGGATTTGTTTTTTAACAGGAATCATATAATCTATGTGCCAAGTGGTGCTGAAGAGCCTTAATTTAATTGTATTGGCATGAGATGATTGAGTTCATTGGTGATGGAAGAAAGAGTGATTTAGCATCAGATTTCCTGACAGAGGAAGCTTCCCTGTTTAGTTTTCGTTTCTACAAAGAATGAGGGGAAAGTGTCTGGTAAGGAGGTCACATTCTTTCTAAAAGACAGCCAGGATCCAAAACCCTCACTTGAAAAGGAAGTAGTGAAAGTTATTTCAAATTAATCACACATTGGGATATATAAGGACCCTGGAGATATTTTGAAATACTTTATGAATCTGAATGAACCAATTTATATGGATTCTAATTTATCCAAAATATTGTTTTGAGTCATTTGAAGGTAAGAATACCAAATCTTCGCCCTCAAGAAATTTATAATCTGTTGATGCAGACAGGATATTTCCACATAAAGTGTAGTAACCTGCTCAATGAATGGGTTAGTCCTGAAAAGAGAAATCCAGAAAGAATGGCTGACATTCCTAGGTCTCATGCTGAGCAAAAATTCAAGAATCAGTCAATACAACTTGCCTTTCCTTGAACTTTTCATACATATTGCCAGTTGGAATAGAAATATTGGAAGTAAGGAACATGTATTTCAACTTTTTGAATAATTTGAAATATCTAATATTTCAATGTAAATATTTTTTAAGTTAATGTAACTGATTGTTTCCTACAAGAAAATGGAATACTATACAGCCACCCCAAAAAATGAGGGATTATGTCTTCTGCAGGAACGTGGATGGAGCTGGAGGCCACTATCCTTAGCAGGAACAGAAAACCAAATACTTCATGTTCTCACTTATAAGTCAGAGCAAAAAGATGAGAACACATGGATACACAAAGGAGAACTACAGACACTGGGGCCTACTGGAGGGTGAGAGGATGGAGAGGATCAGGAAAAAATGACTAAGGGGTACTAGCCTTAATACGTGGGTGATAAAATAATCTGTACAACAAACCCCCATAACACGAGTATACCTATATAAGAAACCAGCACATATTTCTTAAAATAAAAGTTAAAACTGAACTTAAAAGTTGAAAAAAGAAAATTTTATATTATGAAAATAATGATGTTTAAAAAAATATTCTAAAAAGCACCCCTGCCCCCAACTACCTATGTATTCCAATGGCTTCCAGTGCTTCTATGATAACACATCAGGAGAGTGTATCTCCCTCATTTGAACATAAGCTTCACAGAGAGTTGTCTTGTTCAAATAGAGTATTTGATGTATAGGTGATGAATTAGTGTTCATTAAGTTGAGAAACAAACCAATTTATCCTCAACTGCGAAGAACTTGGCTTATACTTTTTGGTAGCTCTAAACAGGTTGGCTTCTTGCTGATTTTTTGAACATGCCAATTTCTTTCCTGCCTCAGGCTTTTACAAACAGCTTCTCTTTTCTAGAAAAACTCTCCTTGTTCTCCTTCACTAGGCTTGTCTTCCAGCACCACTATAACCTCAGAGTGGACTTCTCTGATCACTCTATCTGAAGTAGGTCCTCCCTGCTGCTAGCTTAGCTCCTTGTTTTTTTTTTTTTTTCCCCCATCACAGCAACTAATGTTTTACTATTATTTATGTCCCCTGCCCCACTGTATTGTAATCCTCATAATGACAGGCATATTTCTTATTGTCCATGATTGCAACTCTAGTGACTAGCACAGTGTGAGGTAGAGACAAGTCAATAACAAACAAAATAAATAATGCTCATGTGTAGGACAGACTTATCAGTAACATTTACTCTCATGCTGGAGTATCTATATAAATATGGTAGCTGGAAATTTATACATAATATTCTGTGCACAGACTATAGCTCTATGTCCTATATTTTATACTGATTTAGCAACATGAGACACCTTGGTAGAAAACCACTTGGATGTAGTGTATGGTTTATGAGGGAACAGAGAAGAGATCATAGTTCTTTAGGACAGCAGATACCATTTGGGAAGCTGAAGCACATGGGAAGCTCTGGAAAAACGCCAATGCCGATGACTTCTCATAGCTTAATATTTTGTTTTTTTGGTCATTTGAATTCTTTGCAAATTACCTTTCTCTTAACTATTTATTGATATGAGAATGTTAATATCTCTTAAATTAGATTAATTCCTCTGAAAATTCTACTTGCCAGATATTAGTTTTTCTATGTATGCAAGATTGTTGTATAAAAAAAAATTGTGTTCCATTAGACTCTCTGGGTTTATCTATATGAAGGAAACACCAAAGGAGCATCACTGCCCAAGAGAGTTGAGTGGCTTTGTTTCCAGTGGTCATATCAGGGATATCATCCTGTTATACTGAGGATGCTGATACTAATGATGATTGTATAATAAAATGTAGATAATGACATAACCGGCATTTCTCCAAATGGCACCAGCTTGGGTACACCAGGCTTATGATAACAGCAACAAACCTTCTGATTCAATGCCCTTTTGCAGTATCTCTGCAGCCTCAGCCTAAGCCTCTTCATGGTGGTCCTCAGGGTATCACTGGGAATTCTCATTTGCTCTTGATTGTCCATGACAACCCCCTGCTTCAACCACTGAGTGGAAGCCATCCTTTCCCCTGCCAACCCAAGCAGTGGTTACTTGTGGTCATCTGTCTTGACATCACCCACCTCAGAATTTGCAATGTGAGCCCTTTCTTCTCCAGAATCCCCTGTGCCTGTGTGCCATCGTGGGAACTGCCCTACCAACTCTGACATGTTAGAGAAATGCAGCCCTGAATTGTGCTCCCAGGTTCTTAAGATGAATGTAGTCATTTTAGGTTTCCAATTTCATCCTTAGAGCCCTGACACAGATTTCCTTTGAGGCTGGTCTGAAATAGATCTTTGTCATTTGAAATATAGGTCATGGGTCATTAGTGTACATATTGTCTGATTATTAGATACTATATTATTTCTATACTACTTATTAGAAATGCAAACTCTCAGGCTCTGCCCCAGACCTACTGAATCAGAATTTGTATTTTCATGAGATTCTCAGGTGATGTGTAGCACACTGAAGTCTGAGGAGCACTGAGAAAGGATTAGATCAACTTTCCCTAGTTTACCTCTAATGATTGCCACCTAATTGCTTGCTCATCACCACTCTCTTGCCTCAATGGTTGGGGGTAATTGAGTTTCTTAGTGTCTTATAGGTCTTAGTTCTCTGGACTGCTGTAAGGCCTCCTGTGGTGTCTGCTTCATAGGCTTTCCAGCTGCACAAAAACCTGCTTGAATATGCAGTAGATCTTTCACAAACCCTTGCATTGGAGCCCTGTTGACATAAACTATATTAGAAAAGAGAAATCATAGTAACACCACTAATAGTACATGTCTTAAATCTCCATTATGCTTTTCTCTGTTCAAAGGACTTTAGTTTGCAGTAGTCATTTTTCCCTAAACAACCCAGTGAAGGGGGTGTAATTGGTATTGTTATACCTCTTTTGCAGATGAAGGAGTGAGGCTTATGGAGATGAATCTAGTTCCCAGACAACATCATTGGCACACCTTTGAATCCAGTTCTCATTTCACTCTACAAACCAAATGAAGTAAAAATGAACATAGACAAGTGAGAATGCAATTATGACAAACCATGGCCACTGTTTTGAAGATATTTTAAGTCATCAGGAGAGGTTTAATGCATTCTTTATAGACCCAAGAACATGTCTTCATGTTTAGCCTTTTATTAAATAGAAAAAATTAACTCAGGAAAATATTTCAAATGAGATATGCTGCCAGAAAACAGCCGAAAGCAATATTGCCAACATTTTGACAGGCTTACTTGGGTGAAAGCAGTCACTATATACTTTTATTATCTTTGAAAATGTTAAAGGAATGCCAACTTTGTGTTTGCATCTCTTCAATTTATAAACCCTAATGAATTTTTGTTCAAATGATATAGGTTTGGAATGAAATGTTTTATACCAGCTTTGGAATAAATCCTCAGGTACATTTCTAAGATTGCTGTACTCTTTGGTGATGAGGCAAACTGTTGATCAGAAAGCAAGGCGTTATTTTACATTTTTACCTGGAAAAAAACACGAGATAAATTGTTTTTATTTTAAAAATTTTACACTGGTTTGCACTTTCTCAAGGAGAAATTGATTTGGCACCTTTAGAAATGATTAAGCATTTTCTTTTTCATTTTCTGCAGAACACTTTGGTTGCTTTTGGTCTGAAATGTAATAAACCTTTTTCCATCTGTAGGAAGGGGTGCCTGGTTGCCCAGGGGCACCCAGAGATTCTCTCAGCTATGAAAAAATAGGAGCCAAAGTTAAGCTGAGCACTGGCACAGCCATCAGATGTTTCCTACTGAGCTCTCTCTCGGCTCTGGATACTCCAGTGTAACTATCTACAGTGATTTTATTCTCAGGCCAGGTCTAACTGCCTGCATCACCAATAAATCTGCATTCTTTTTTACATTTCCGGTTGCTTCAGCTTTTATTTGGGTCCTTTCCCCTGGCTCCCTCAGTAGCATTCCTATTTTGGTCCTCAGACTTTCCAAAGTCAGCGAAACTTATCTTTTTATTTATTTATTTTGTTAACCACTCATTTACTTTCCCATCTCTTCTTACGTCTCCCTTTTCTGCTCCTCTTTCTCCTCTGCCTCCTCCCCCTATTTTCTTCTTTATAGTAATCCTTTAACTCTCCTTTCAATTTTTTCTGTGATCAACTTTTCTATTTAAATGAAAACCAGTATGTTCTTATGAAGTCATAGAGGTTGTCATGATATTAAGAATCTGAGACAACTGGGCATGGTGGCTCATGCCTAAAATTCCACAACTTTGGGAGACCTAGGTAGGAGAATCGCTTGAGCCCAAGAGTTCCAGACTAGCTTGGGCAACATATAAATCCTTGGCTGATAGATGCAATGAAAGGTAGAGTGAGACCTTGGCTCTACAGGAAAAAAAAAAAAATGCTGGGTGTGGTGGCGCACCTGTGGTCCCAGTTACTTGTGAGGCTGAGTTGGGAGGATCACTTAAGCTCAAGAGGTTGAAGCTGCAGTGAGCACTGTGATCACACCACAGCACTGCAGCCTGGGTGGCAGAGTGAGACCCTGTCTCAAAAAAAAAAAAAAAAAAAGGAACCTAAAACAATCACTGTAGAAATTTATCAGTTATATCAGAAACATGGCCTAGTTATTTCGATGACATCCCAAGCCTGAATACTATCTGTCTGAAACCTGTGTATTTAACCTGCAGCAGCCTGTGTGTTTAACTTCTGGATCAGCATAGCATCCAATGATAGAGCGGTACAGTTGTCTCAGGTGTGTTTGTAGTAAAATTCTGTACCTTTTCATCTTGTTGCTACACTTGCTTGACATTTTTTTTTTAGCTGAAGTTGTGCATTTACCTAAATTTTATAACTTTTTTGTATCTTTTGACTTTGTTCTTATCATGTTGGCTTGGTTAATAAATATTGTTTCTGTGACTTTTGGTACTTTGACACTTACCCTTTGGTTCTCTATGTACATAACGCAAATAAGTCTTACCCCTTGTGACCCAACCCTAGGGTTGCTTGATGGGGTGGGTTTCCATGTGTCCTTTCAATCCCAACCTTCAAAAACTGCTTAGTTGACAGATCCAAGGCTTCAACTTCTGTTTAACAATTAAATAGAGCCAATAATCCATGTTATAAATCCTTGACTGATGGATGCAATGAAAGGTGGAGTTGCCCCAGGTATAATAAATCTGACTTTCTTACAAATTCACCTCTTTCTCATCTTTAAATATTTATTTAAATTTATTGAAATTTATATACATGAAGAAGGTAACAAGCAGCTATAGCTTACTTTCTGCAATAAGTGTATTCCTGAAAGTGTTTTGTATAATTAGAAGGCATGTACATGAATTCCTATTAAAACCTCTTACAGGATCTTACACTTAAACCTCAGAATAAAAGTTTTACAAAGTAATAAATGAAAGGTCATTGTGTTCTGTATCAGTTAGGGTAAGTTGATTTATGCTACAGTAATGAATAACTCCCTAGTTGTAACAAAAGTGTACTTATACCTCATACTATATGCCCAGAGTGGGTTGGTAGGGAAGCTCCAGAAAGTTGATGGAAGCTCCATCTTTACACATGCTTCTCGGATCACCTCAACAGGGAGAAGGGAGAACTCAGGAATATTCTGCACCATTAAGAATTAGAATTAAGCGTTAATTAGAAATTAAGTACTTAATTAAGAATTAGAATTCAGTAATTAAGGAGCATCTTACACCATTAAGAATTAAGTGTTCTGGAAATGATGGTCCAATGGTCAGAACTACTATTCCCCGACACAACAAAGAAAGGGCTAAGAAGTTCAGTTTTTTTACATGGGTAGAAGGAAAAAAGAACAGATATTAGTGAGTAGCACCAATGCTGATTACAATGTGCCCTTGTGGCTACCAACTATTTGTTCCTCTCTGCTTTCTCTAGGTAAGACACACTCCCTCTCCTGTTTCCTCGAAGGAGACAATCTCAAACACCTTCCAATCATAGCATCAAGCACACAGTCCAGGATCCTTGGTAAGCTAATATCTAGGGATGATGTGAAATATTTGCATCAGATCCAGCTATGGCCCCTGATGACCCAGAGACCTGTAACTAAAAAAGGCAAGTTACTAACCTCCCTACCCACCCATCTACCTAGCCAATATGCAGTGGCGAAATCAGGCCAAGATCATCTCAGTAAATACTCTTGTTTAGAAAGTGTACAAATTGAAGGTGTACTACAATCACTGCAATGGGTCATTGCAACTCTCAGGTCTTACTGGGCAAATGCTTCAAGGACTCTTCTCCTGAGATGGCCCTGGAGTAGAAGGGTCTCCTTAGCTCCTAGAATCTATGGTCCTTGTCTCTGTCCTCTGGGAGAGTCTTCCTTTCCATGATCCTCTTTGACTACATTTGAAGTGGGTGTCAGGGAATATACCTCCCTTAGGGAACAGGCAGCCTCCTTAGCCTACATCCTATCCAATGATGGTTGAAGCCTCAGTGTTATTTTAAGTCCTGAACTGTCACATTCTCTTTTAGTTCAAGCTGATTCTTTTGGCAATATAATTCTCTCAAAAACTTCCCTGAATTTTTCTCTTTGATTTCAGTCAGCTTCATGTACCAAAACTCGTGACAGTTTCTTTTTAGATATAACAGTCATATTTGCTAAGCGTCTTTCCTTCCTCACTCCCATGCTTCTGTCCCTTTCCCTTACTCTCTTGATTGCATTGTGGGTATCTTGTGCCTATCAGGTGTCCAGAACCACACTTCTAATGTCTTTTCCCAAAACAATTTTGCCCAGTTTAAAAGATATTCTAGGTATCACTCTGTGGCAGGCAGAATAACAGTCCCCGCAAAATGTCTACCATCTAATCCCCAGACCTGCGAATATGTTATATTATGTGGTCAAGAAGAATTAAGGTTGCAGATGGAATTGCTGACCTTAAAATAGGGAGGGTATCCTGAATTATCCAGGTGGGCTCAACGTAACCACAAGGGTTCTTAAAAGCAGAAGCAGGAGATAGAAAGAGAATCAGCGTCAGGGGGATACAATAGGAGAATGATTCAACCAGTTACGTCTGGCTTTGAAGGTGGAAAGGGGCCACTAGCCAGTGAATATTGGGCAGCCTGTAGGACTCGAAAAGGCAAGAAAATGGATTCTCCCTTACAGCCTCCAGAAAAGAACACATCTCTGTCAACATCTTGATTTTAGCCCAGAGAGGCCCATTTAAGACTTATGCCCATCAGAGCTATGAGTAAATTTGCATTGTCTTACGCCAACAGGTTTTTAGTAATTTCTTACAATAGCTATAGGAAACTGATAATCCTTAATTTAATATTAGCTGCAAGGCTGAATTTTAATCAGACTTTACTACTCAAAAATATTTCTCTGTATTTTACTGTTTAAGTATAAGAAGTAGTCATTTCTTCTAAAAATTTACCAGTCCCTGAATTTGTGAACTTTCTATTTTCTGTTTAATCTAGTTTGCAAGCCAGCTAGTTCTTTCTTCATCTTATCTCTACTACAGTACCTTGTCAGATAGAGCCAGTAGCCAATACATGTTAGTAACATTTTTTTCCAACTTACTCCACCAGTTCTCCCAATTTGTTAGGTATTTGATATTCACTCCAAGTTATTGCATATGACAATCTTTCCAAACAGTCTGCCACTGTACAACATGCATCAACATTCTTCCAGCTCCATGGACAATTTTCTCACCACGGCTTTTAATGAATGCCACATTTTTGTTATGGTAGAAGCCCACTTCTGTGTACTAATTTCTATTAGTTAGGAGCCCTTATTCAGTCTACTCAAGATGGATGAATACAAATAATCCTCAAATCTTGCTGGCTTAAAGAAGAAAGGTTTGTTCCTTACTCACATTGTGTCTGTCATGGGGAGGCTTCTCTGCCTTCTCCTACCTGCAGAACCTAAGCTAGTAGAGTAGCTGCAGTCTGGAACATTGTCGGTCTTTATGGCTGAGAGAAAGAGATGTATGGCTAGTCATATACTGCTCTTAATCCTCACTCATAAGTTACACACATATGTCCACTTATGCAAACAAGTTGTATGACCCATCAAATTCCAAGGGAATGGAGAAGTGCGATCGTAAGATATGCCTGTAAAGAGAATAGAAGATATTTGGTGTACAGCAATCAATACTACCACACCTTTTGCAATTTGTGTAAATTGAGGTTTATTACAGTAGGCCACAAATATATTCAGAAATTGCTGCTGTAATATGAGAAGAGACTTTACAGAAATATTTTTTAATATTTGCAATGTCACATGTAGTCATAGTCGGCTGCTTACTCTGAGTTCATATTTTAAAAGCCCATTTTCAAGCCTATTTTAGAATGTAAGGAATACTTTCAGATAAACATAATACTCAATTCTACACCTAAGTAAGTATATATCCGGAAAGAAATCTAAAATGCCAGCAAAGATTTATGTTTAAAAATGGGTAACACAATGTTATTCATAATGAAAAACTGGTAATATCCCATATACACCTAAAATAGAGTAAAATATATTCATTCACCATAACGTTATGTGGCCATTATGTAAACACTAAATGCCAGAAATGGCTCTCAACTTGACAGTGATTTAAGAGGTGCAATAGAATACTGCATACACTTTGAACTTTCACTTTTATAAAAATGTGCAAAAAAGAATGACTAAAAGAAAAGATATAAATACTAATAATAGTGGCTATGTACAAGTGATGAAATTATAATTGGTTATAATGTTTTATACATTTTTTATTTTCCAAATTTTCTACATTGAGAATATTTTACTTTTATGTCCCAAACAGTAAACATAGTAAAGAAGAAGAATACAAGTCCTATACGGACTTACAGTGCCTTATATGAAGTCATGTCAATAAAACTATTAAAAGGGAAATAGAAAAATTTTTTAAATCATATTTGGCAGGTAAACTTCTAATGATGTCCCTCTAAGTGTCCCATCACTTGGCTATTTGATTAAATATTAATTTAGGTATTGTTGTGACAGGACTTTGAAGATGGAATTAAGGTTTCTGATCAGCTGACCTGAAATAGGGAATATATTCAGGATTTTTCAGGTGGGCTGAATGTAATCATGTGATCCCTGGAAACAGAAGAGGAAAGTAGAAGAGTCCAACAGAGAGATATGGCAGAATGAGAAAAAAAGCAGAAGAGGTCAGAGATACTCAAAGCTTGAGAAGGACCTAAACCACTGTTGATGGCTTTGAAGATGGAGGAAGGGGAACATAAGTCAAGGAATGCAGGTAGATTTTGGAAGTGAGAAGGACCGCTTACTGACAGCTAGCAAAGAAACTGGGACCTCACTTTTTTTTTTTTTTTTTTTTTTTTTTTTTTTTTGAGACGGAGTCTCGCTCTGTCGCCCAGGCTGGAGTGCCGTGGCGCGATCTCGGCTCACTGCAAGCTCCGCCTTCCGGGTTCACGCCATTCTCCTGCCTCAGTCTCCCGAGTAGCTGGGACTAGAGACGCTCGCAACCACGCCCGGCTAATTTTTTTTTAATATTTTTAGTAGAGACGGGGTTTCACCGTGTTAGCCAGGATGGTCTCGATATCCTGACCTTGTGATCCGCCGACCTCGGCCTCCCAAAGTGCTGGGATTACAGGCGTGAGCCACAGCGCCCGGCCACTGGGACCTCACTTCTACAAAAGCATGGAATTGAATGCTGCAAACAACCTGAATGAACTTGGAAGCAGGTTATTCCCTAAAGCCTCCAGTAAGGAACACAGTTCTGCAGACACCTCAATTTTAGCCCATTGAGACTTGTGTTTGACTTTTGACACATGGAAACTGCAAGGGAATAAATTTATGTCGTATTTAGCTGCTAAATAGGTGGTAACTTGTTATAGCTGCAATGGAAAATGAACACTCTATGAAATGGAGGTGAATAAAAATATACTGATTCAAAGGGCTAATACAATTTCTGTGGTTGAGGATTAAATATGACTTTGACTTTCTTGACATTCAAGGCAAAAAGGGAAACAGTGGATGATGCTTTTATTTACCAAATGAGAGCTCAAAAACCTGCCCATGAAAATTGCTTTAATGAGGGCCTGCAACAACCTTCTTGTGGACCTCTTTGCTTCCAGTTATAGACCTGAGATTCGCCTCCTTCCATTGCCTTAACAGCCACAATGCTCCAGCTACATACTTGCAGTGTCCTCACATCAACACCCTTTTTACACTCTTAGCATTTACAGATGCTCTTTCTTGCCCCCTAAAATGGGGTTTTCTTCTTGTTCACCTAAACAAAAGTTTATACTGAGGTCGGGAGTTCGAGACCAGCCTGACCAACAGGGAGAAACCCCGTCACTATTAAAAATACAAAATTAGCCAGGCATGGTGGCGCATGCCTGTAATCCCAGCTACTCGGGAGGCTGAGGCAGTAGAATCGCTTGAACCTGGGAGGCAGAGGTTGTGTTGAGCTGAGATCGTGCCATTGCACTCCAGCCTGGGCAACAAGAGTGAAACTCCATCTCAAAACACACAAACAAACAAAAAAACAAAACAAAAAAAACCAAGAAAAGTTTATATACCGTGACTTGGTTAAAGGTTTCTCTTTGGTGAAGCTTTCCTTATTGCCTCTCCCATTCAACAAGGAGTAACAAGGAGAGTAAGTCCTTGTCACTCTTTTCTCTGTCCTCCTATGATGCTTTGTTCTTTGTTTCATTGTAGTACTTAGGTATTGCAACAAAATCGCTGGCTTACAGGTCAGTCACTTCCACTAGATGGTGAACTTGCTAAAAGCAGGTTCTGTATTGCATTCTAATCTGGAACCTTAGAACATAGCACTGTGCTTGGCACACAGTAAATCCTCAGGACACATTTGTAGAACAAATGCCTGTGTTAGAGACTCAATCACTGTTGAGTACATGATTATAGGCAGAATAAAGTAATGGAAAATGTCAGATCTCAGTTTGAATTATGCCCAAAGTGACAAAATACTTTCTGACTTTGTGACTTTCATAGATATATTTTTAATGTTATCATGATTAATAAAATGAAAATGAATGTATAAACATTAAATTAAGAAATTAGAAAAAATAAGCCTACATAACAATTATAAAAATAAAAGAAGAAATTAATATGTGAAGGAATACAAAACCGTAGAACTTATTAATGGTTTAAAAATCTGGTCCTTTGGGAGAAAACTCATCTATTAAATAGCCTGATGGACAAATCACATTTTCAATGAAAAACGAATTTGGCAAAACACAAATATTCCTCACAAAACTAGGACCAAAGATGCATATAAAAATGTACTTATCAACCCTTTTTAGAGATGGTATGAGTTATCAAAATGATATTAGAAGAAGTTGCAAATCCAACTTGGTAAAAACCATGAAGAAATGGGAGAACAATATTTTATGAACAAACATTACAATTTTTAAGGATCCTATAATTTCCATGTCTTTGAACTATCATAAAAGATAGAACAGTTTTGCTATTTGGTTTTTCTTTTTGTCAACAATGATGCAACTTGATAAAGGTGTTCTCTTTTGATGCAAAGATATTGAGCTATACATAATTTCACTTATAAACACAAAACAAAATACGTAACTAAAACCCTAGCAAATCATATACAGCTATGCATTAAAAATAATATAATCAAATGGGATTTATTAAGAGTATAGTTAAAACAGAGTTGTGCTTGTATAAGAACAATGACCCCTAATGATGATGCAGAAACAAATCCAAAAATATACAAAAATTTGGTATACGATAAAGGAGATAAAGGAAATCAGCGAGGGGGATTGGTATAGAAGTTATTCAAGGAATAATGCATACTATTGGTTAACTATTTGGTAACATATAAGTTTTGATCCTTATATTATGATTTATGTCAAAAGCAGATGAAAGAGCTTAATGACAAAATAGAGAGTAAGAGAAAGACAGATAAGGAGAGAGAAAGACTGGATGGATGGATGGATGGATGGATGGATGGATGGATGGATGGATAGATGGATGGATGGAGAGATTAGGAGAGAAGAGGGGGAGAGAAATAAACCAGAGGAAAGAAGGAGAAAGAAGATTAAATATAGAGAACTTAGAAATAATTAAAGGTAGTGCAGGCAGATTATCTCTTCGAAGGATAGGAAAGGACTTTCTAGGCAAAAAAGCAATGGTGAAAAGCACGGAGAAAAATATTAATTGGTTTAAGTCCATAAACATTAAATATTTTGTAGATACAAACACATGAGTTACAAAATTCAATGTTAAGCAAGAAACTCTTTTTGAAAGGTGCCACAAATAAGAAACTGGGTTAATATTATCGATGTATAGAAATATACTGAAATGGAAAACTAGGCAAATCAAAGAAGAAATGCAGTTGATAAAAGTATTAGGAGAATACTCTTTTGACAGCTTTTGAACTAAGCATAAAAAACTATGGCTTAGGCAAGAATGTCCTAGAACTATAATATGAAACCCAAAATAAGAAAGAATTATGTATCACAAGATTTATAAAAAGTTTGCAAATTTAAAAAAAGACCCATTACAAATGTTTTTAGAGTGAAATTATATTTCATGTTTATTTTTAGTTAAATAAGTCTCAGATAAAAAAATCTCAGATGAAAATAAAAATTTGATTAAGCTCATAAATTTTAAACTATAATACACAATACATATGCATTTCTAAATTGTTACATAATTCTCCTGTAAGACATAACTGATATAGATAAGTGATATAGAAAAAGCCCAAATCATCATCTAGGTTAAATTGACTTGAGACTCAGCCAGGAACCCAGAGGCAGGAAGGAGAAGAGGGCCCAGTTCAGAGCACAGCCCTCTGGTTGTCATTGTCTATTCACCTTGCTATTGCTAAGTTATCCTAAGCTGGTAATTTAGTATGTGCAAACTCATGTTTTTTCATCTGATAAATGGGCAAATATGGTTCTTGAGAGAGTCAAATTATATAATCCATGTAGAATGCTTGGTATGGTTCCTGACCTTAGTAAGTACCCAATACATGTTATTTTATCATTCTAAACATACTGAGCACAATTCTTCAGGAAATATAACATGACCCTACTTTCTGAATAGTTACTGAAAGGAGGTAATGTGAAACCAGCCAAGAGACTTTGAGACACAATTTTGGTGGTGTCTTAACCTTGGTTGAGTCATGTTACCTCTGTAATCAATTTAGTTTCCTTCCCTTTAAAATGAGGATGCAACCTGCCTTGCCTACCACCTAGAATGTGTGAGAGTGCTTTGTAAACAGTAAAACACAGTGTCAGTGGAATTTAACATTATTAATATGTCACTTCTATTGCTAGTGACCCTCTTTTTTTGGTATTGCTGGCATGATTTCCTACCCTATGAAAGGAACTCACACAGCAATTCCAGAAAACATTCATTCAGCATCTCCATAGAGCGTGATCTAGTATAAGGGGTAGCAGCGCTTGGGAAGAGGTGTGAGATAGAAACTCTGACCCTCAGGAGAAAGATTGATCTGCTAGCAGTGTTGATGACTGATTAGAGAAGGAAGAGATGGATTTGGGAAGATCCGTCTGGAAGATTTTGTGGTAGCACAGGTAAGATGTAATGAGGACCTGCTGCAGGATGGTGACAAAGGCACAGGAGATAAGGGAAGTGGTTGAAACCATTGTGTCATAGTCTGAGTATGGGGTTTGATTGGTGAGGGTTTTGCTCAGCATCAATGGTGGCTGCTGGAGCTCAGCATATTCCCATCTAGTGATTCCTCTTCACCTCCAAATCCTGGGGCAGAGATGATGATTGATAGTGATGATGATCATGATGATACTATATAATATTTATGGAGTATGTACTATGTGCCAGGTACAAACATTACTTATATTAGATCCTCAGAGCAACGTGATAAAGCAGGTGCTATAATTACCTCTATTTTACAAATAAATAAATAGAGTCAGAGAAATGTTAAATAACATACCCAAGAATATACAGCTAGTAAGTAGTAGATTTGGGATTCAAAGCCTCTGTAATGTGTCTCCAGAGTCCACACTCTTAGCCACTGTTCCACAGTGTTAGTCATGATGATGGTGTTAAGAATAAATATGGGCTTCCTCTGTGATACCTTGTGTTAAAGGCCATGCATGAACTCTCCACTTGATTGATAGAGTGAAGGCAGCTCAATCACATGTGCTCTTTTAGGAAGGCCTCCACACACATATTAAGGTATTAAACCAGGCCAATGCTCTTGACTGCAGCTACAATTCCTCTGAGTGTATGGTCCACATTCAGGGCATGGAGCATTCAGGGGTGGAAATGGGTCTTGCAGAAAAGCACATTCTTATTCCCTGAAGCTCTGCTTGCTTCTCCTAAAAGGCTGGGAGCCTTTTAGGTCTCACTCATTTACTGTCCATAAGGAAGCCTACCAGTAACATGACCCGGTATTATGACATCCTTAAATCAAGAGACTTACCTCCATGACTATGCAGAGAAGCTTCCAGGCCACTAGTTTGCTCACATGGGGCACTGGAGCACAATATGCAGCTTATCACTATTTGCAGTCATATCCTTGTACATGCATTGTTTCTTTAAATTTTCCCTTAATCAAAATAAAATTGAGTTTTGGCTATACCACTCTCTTGGGCAGGTTAATGAATTTCTGTGAGCCTTAGTTTCTTCATGTATAAAAATGAGGATAATAGTTGTTGTGGGACTTAAATGAGATAGTCCATGTAATACAGTACTTACCAAAGTGCTTGTCCCATATACTAAGTGGCCAATAGATGTTAGCTGTTGTATCATTTTCTTCATTTTCAACAACCTAAACCTATGTAGAAGCTATCCATAGCGCTCAAGCATAACTTGAAAAAACAGTAAATATAAATTTTCCCAAAGACCTATCTCATAAAATGAAAATGTAAAGAAAAGTGGGGGTTTTTGTTCCCATCTGATTTAATGTACTTTAGAGTAAAGAATAGTTTAGGATTACAGGCTAATAGGATGTTAACTAATCTTCCGAACCATAATCTAAATTGCTGGAGACAAATGCTGAATATTTCCTTTTAAAAGGCTTGAAGGAGCTATAATTATTGAGATATTAAATAATTTCAACTTTGCCCATCACCATCATTAACACTTTTGTTTTATTTTTTAGAGGAGAAAGAAGGTCGAAACTTAGGTGGCTCTTTTGGAAGGTTAGGGACTTGCAGAAGGGTGAAAGAGTGGAAAAAGGGTTGTAGAAGACTGAATGGACCTTCAACCAACATAGCCTCTCTTAGAATGGGAATGTAAAGAAAATTTCAGGGCAAAGAACAAAATCATAAAAACAATTTAAAATGCAGATAATTTAGAGTGGTGTCCCATGGACATCAAGGTTTAAGTGACTGATGAGAACAGGAAATTACAGTTAGGGGTTAGAATATTTGTACTTGGCTCCTAAAGTATGTGAAAAGTTCTATCTTATGGAGCAGGACAGAGGATCAGAGAGAGCAAGCCACAGCACCTGAGACTGCTTTGCCTTTTGGTGCCAAGTGCTTGCTGAGGGAACTGCTCTGAGTGTTGGGACTGAGGAGAGGTCCAGGGTAGGGTGGTCGTGTCTAGTTCCTTTGCCCCCCACATCTACCCTGAGGCGATGCAGCCATGTACATATACAAGTGTCATCTCAACTTTTTCATGGCTTTTCCATCAGCCTGATAATTCTCTGCCACTTTACATTTAGTTCCTGAACACTTTCCAACCTTCTCAGGTTTGGCTCCATTCCCATATGTACTTATGACTTTTCTTTGCCGTTGGATCTATAACTCCTTTTGGATACAGATTTGCAGCTCTTAAGGACACACATGCCTGTGTCCATCCTGGTGCCCAGGAGACCTGAAACTGGGTGTAAATAATTTGCTGATAGGCTGATAAGGCTTGTTCTGTCCCTAAAAGAAGGACCAGGACAAGTGAAAATTATTTACATGCCTTAGCCAAGAAGTGCCTGGAGATTGGTAGAAAGGGCATCAAGAAGCTTGTATCAACACACTGTCTGTCTTTACTCACCTCCTTCAAATGAATCACCCTTTTTCTTACCTAGGTACAATTGCTCCAGTTCTTTCTACATCTCTGTGGTTGATCATCTGCATAGTTGAGTTAAATTAATGATTAAAAATTCAAATGAACAAATCCAAGAAAGTAAAGCCTTTCTAAATTGGGCTGAGAAGTATTTTGAAAAATGAATACAAATGATTTCTCTATTTTTTTTCTGTTAATACGTAATACCCTCATCCTGGAATAATTTTTAGCTTCTCAGGGAACACAGACATTGATTAAAGAAAAATATATGCTTCTATGAATCCAAAAGGAACACAAGTTAAATTTGGTAAATGCAGACATTCTTACAAAAAAAGGAGCAAGGAAAACAGAAATCAAATGAAAAAATAGCCCTAGATATGAACATATGAAGAAATGAAAAAGAAGCTTCTCTGCTTCCAACTTTTCTTGAAAAGTTTTGGAGTTAAGAGCAAATGAAAAATCCTTAGCTCATTTATGTGACTTGATTACCTTTTCAAATGTAAAACAAAGAAAATCCTTGAGAGAAGATACTGGGAAATGGAAAGTGTTTTCATGCAGCATTTTCTGTTAAAGAGAAACACTCTCAGACTTGAAAAGAAGTACATAAGCATGGATCAGTAGCTCTGATATTTACCTTGCGGTAAAGATTATAGCAATCCACAATAGCTGATTAGTTGTCTACGTGGTATCTTCTATGGTTGCCAGTGCTGAGACAGCTTCATGTAACCCCATGCAGGACCAGCTTTTTGGAGGAAGGAAAGGCAAATATCTGCCTACACTCTGAAAAATATCCTTGGTCTTGCCCTCTTGAAGCAGGACATGGAGATTATTGCACAGTGACAAAAATTTCCCTTGATTTAACCTAAATATAAGAAATATAGAAATTGAACTGAAAGATTAGATGGCCTAATAAAACAATTGATAAACACAAACCAATGGGGATATATACAAAGGAGAATGGACTATGACAACCCGAAAGATTGTTTAATATAATGTCAAAAGCTACAAATATAAAAGACCCAACTTACTCCCGTCTCCAGATGCTGGAAAAGCGTTTTGACAATTAATTGGAAGATTTTATTTTTGACATTGAAAAGCATGGGCTTGCCACAAGAATTCATTTCATGGGCAGAAACATTATCTGATCATTCAAAGGCCAAAATTAAGGCTAATGTGTATAATTGGACACCATTTCTTTCTTTCTTTCTTTTTTGAAAAGGAAGCAGCCACAGACTGTCCACGTTTTTCTCTATTATTTGGTTCATCAATAGAATCTCTGGCTGGCAGGATGAAAAATGGACTACTTAAGGCCCACAATTTTATTGTGAGAAGATAATGTCGCTCAATTCTGGGTTGCATGTAAACTTGTGAAATCCACTTCTGGGGAGTCAAGTGGGAGGTGAATCTCCTCTCCTAGTGGAGGGGCTATTTGGTTTGTTCAAATGGTATTTTCCTTTTAGGATCACATTATTGCTAAATAAAAATGTGTTTCAGGTGGCTCCTTCTTTGTCATTGGAAGCTGTATCATATCTCAGTTTTAGCCTATTTCTTCTATTCTTGCCCAATTTTTTTTTCCAGAGCAACCTCTATGAAACAGAAGAGCATAACTTTCAATAATAGCCATGCACTGTTACTTTCTCTAATTTTATTTACTCTTCCTAGAAAAATATATAAGTAATTCAGATTATTTGATGGGTAAATAAGTAAATGAGAACTATAGGAACTATAGGTTCTTACATATAAACACAAAATACATAACTTCAGCAAATCATACAGGAGGTATGATAGGGAATTTGCTTTAAAGCTAGTTTTACCTAACAAAATAGTGGGAGGTGTGGTGCATTGTACAGTTTTTATCCTCTTTCATTTTTTTAAACAGCTTTATTGAGCTATAATTAACATATCATGAAATTCTCTCACTTAAACTGTGCAATTTTTTTGGTATATTCAGAGTTGTGACACCACCACTGACATCAAGGATTTCAGAATATGTCCATCACCCTAAAAAGAAATCTCACATCCATTAGCAGGCACCCTCTTTTCCTTTCTAACTCTGCAAGTTCCAGGCAATCATTAATCTGCTTTCTGTTGGTAAAGTTTTGCCTACTCTGTATATTTTGTAAAAATAGAATCATACAACATGTGACCTTTTGTGTCTGGCTGTTTTCACTTAGCATAATGTTTTCAAGATTCTTCTATATTGTAACATAAATGAGAACTTCATTTTTTATGGATGAACAATATTTCATTGTGTGTATATATCACATTTTGTTTATCCATTTATGGGTTGTAGGACATTTGGGTTGTTTTCACCTTTGGCTATTATGAAAAATGTGGCTATGAACATTCATGTGCAAATTTGTATGTGACTATGTTTCTATTTATCTTGAGTATATACCCAGGAGTGAAATTCCTAGGTCATATGGTAACCGTCCAGCTGCTTGCCAAAGTGGCTGCATCATTTTATATTCCTACAAGCTGTGTATGGGGGTTAAAATTTCCTTAAATCCTCACCAACACTTGTTATTATTTTTCATTTTTATTATCATGATCAATTCTATTTCATTGATTTATATGTCTGTCCTTATGCTAGTACCACATTCTCTTGAAGAGCATAGCTTTGTAATACATTTTTAAATCAAAGTCCTTCAACTTTGTTCTTTTCCTTCAAGATTGTTTTGGATGATTCATCTGTAAGAATTTTAGGAATACCTCATCAATTTCTGCAAGGGAGTCGGCTGGGATTTTGATAGGAGATTTATTCCTAAGTATTTTATTTTTTTGATCCTATTGTAATGGAATTGTTTTCTCAATTTCATTTCAGATTATTGCAAGTGTATAGAAATCCAATCAATTTTTGTATTTTGTTTATTTTACAACGTAGCTGAACTCTTATTAGATCTAGAAGATTTTTAGTTGATTCTTTAGACTTCTCTATAAACAAGATAATGTAATCTGCAAATTGTGATAGCTTTCCTACTTCCTTTCAACCTAGATGCTTCTCCTCTCCTAACTTTTCTTTTTTCCTTTTTTTTTTTTTTTTTATTGAGATGGAGTCTCGCTCTGTGGCTCAGCCTGGAGTGCAGTGGCGCGATCTCGGCTCACTGCAAGCTCAGCCTCTGGGTTCATGCCATTCTCCAGCCTCAGCCTCCCGAGTAGCTGGGACTACAGGCACCTGCCACCACACCCAGCTAATTTTGTTTTTGTATTTTTTAGTAGAGACGGAGTTTCACCGCGTTAGCCAGGATGATCTCGATCTCCTGACCTCGTGATCTGCCCGTCTCGGCCTCCCAAAGTGCTGGTATTACAGGCGTGAGCCGCCACGCCCGGCCCTCCCCCGCTAACTTTTCTTGCCTAATTGCCCTAGCTAAAACCTCCAGTGTAATGTTGAATCAAAGTCGTGAGACTAGACATTCTTGTCTTTTTCCTGGTCTTAGGTGGAAAGTATTCAGCCATTTATTAAGTATGATGTCATTGGTGCGATTTTTTATAGATGCCTTTTATTATGTTGACGAAGTTCTCTTCTATTCCTTGTTCGTTGAGTGTTTTTTCTTTTTCTCATAAAAATGTGTCAGATTTGCCAAATGCTTTTTCTGAGTCAATTTAGATAATTGTGTGGATTTTATTCTTTCTTCTATTGGTATTCTATGTTATACTGATTGATTTTTGGATGCTAAAGCAACGTCACATTCCTGAGATTAATGCCTCTTGGTCATGATTTATGATTCTTTTAGTATATTGCTGGATTCAGTTTGCTAGTATTTTGTTGCAGAGTTTTGCATCTATATTCATTAGAGATATTGGTGTGTAGTTTCCTTATCTTGCGATGTCCTTGTCTGGTTTTGGAATTCGGGTAATACTAGGCTCATAGAATGAATTAGAAAGTATTCTCTAATTTTCTGTTTTGGAAATGTTTGTCAAGAACTGGCATTATTTATTCTTTAAATAATTGATAGAATTCACCAGTGAAGCTGTTTAGGCTGAGGGTTTATTTGTTATAGGTGTATTCACATTTTCTATTTCTATTTGACTCAGTTTTCACAGTTGGTGTCTTTCTAGGGATTTTCCCATTTTATCTAAGTTATTTAATTTTTTGGCATTTAGTCATTCATAGTATTCTTGTATAAACCTTTTATTTTCTTTAAGGTCAGTAGTAATCCCCCACTTCCATCCTGATTTTAGTAATTTAGGTCTTTTCTTTCTCTTGGCCAAACTAAATATTTGTCAATTATTTTGATCTTTTCAAAGTACACACTTTTATTTGATTTCTGCGTTTTTTCATTTTATTAATTTATGCTCTAACTTTTATTATTTTCTTCTTTCTTCTTGTTTTATGTTTACTTTCTCTTCTTTGCTAGTATCTGAAGTTAGGAGGTTAATACATTAATCTGGAAACTTTCTTCATATAGGCATTTATAGTTGTAAATTCTAAGCTCTGCTTTAGCAGTGTTCCGTAAGTTTTAGTGTATTGTGTTTTCATTTTCATGCATCTCAAAGTGTTTTCTAATTTTCCTTGTACTTTCTTCTCTGACCTCTTATTTAGGAGTGTGTGCTATCATTTCCACGTATTTGCAAGTTTCTCAAATTTCTTTGTTACTGATTTCTAATTTTATTCCATTGTGGCCAGAGAACATACTTAGTATGATTTCCATCCTTTCAAAGGTATTGAGACTTGTTTTATGGTCTTGCATATCATCTCTTCTGTTGAATATTCCATGTGTACTTGACAAGGATGTGTATTCTGCTGCTGTTGGGTGGAGTGTTCTATAGAAAACTTTCAGGTCTTAACTGGTTTACATTCTTGCTCAAGTCTTCTATTTCCTTGTTGATCTTCTCTGACATGTTTTGCTCATTGTTAAAGTAGAATATTGAAGTCTCCAACACTTATTGTTAAATTGTGTATTTCTCCCAATAATTCTGTCAGTTTTTGTTGCATGTATTATGGAGCTCTGTTTCTAAGTGTATATTTATTTTTAAAATTAATATCTTCCTAATGAATTTACTCTTTTATTATTATACTTCCCTCTTTATCTCTAGCAATATTTTTTGTTTTAAAGTTTATGTTGTCTTAAGTATGCCTTTCCAGCTTTTTTACGGTTGCTGTTTTCATGATATATCTTTTTGCATCCTTTTACTTTCATCAGATTTGTATCTTTGAATCTAATATACATCTCCTGCAGTGAACCTACAGATAACTGTGTCTTGGGTTTTTAAATCTAGTCTTACAATTTTTTCCTTTTGTCTTGATTGTTCATTTACTCGCGTTTAGAATTATTGGATTTGGATAATAATCCTGAAAGATACAATCCCAAGTGCCATAATCCCAAAAGATCAAAATTCTTAAATAGAAGATGGTAAAATTAATAGGGAATGCTCACGTCAGCAATTATTGAATCATAGAAGAATTTCAAAAGGAGCAGCACCACATAGCAAATAAGTGTGAATATATTCTCTCAGGAGAGCCAAAACCTAAAAGGAAAAAAGTAGCTGATCCTCATGATGCAAGATTTCAAAATTATCGTGAATGTTGGCCAGCTCTTATGGAGTATTTCTGTGCAATTGTCCATAATCTATCTCTGTAATACACCTTTTTGGATGTTGATTTTTTTCTTTTTTTAAACTATTTTAAATTGTCAGCATTGTTTTTTACAGTTCACTATGACATGTATTTAATTTTTGTATTCTCTCCAATACTGGAGGTATAAATTCCGTAGAGACTTGGAGAGTTCTAATGCATTTTGTGCATTTTTTGCAAATTTAACTCCAAGGAAGTGCATTATCACAAGGTTGACTTTGTAAGCATTGTGCTTGTATGTAAAAATGTTGAAACTTCCTCAATAAATGAAGAGATGTCCTTTATGTACATGTGTATTTGTGAAAGATAACATTTCTCAAGATTTTGGTTATTTCGGTGACTGCATATGCGATAGTGAAAATTTTTAGTTTTTGATCAATCTCGACAAAAGACAAATTATTCATCATAGTGTTTCATATGACTGCAGTAATAAAGCTGGGTGCACAGCATTACCAACCATAGTGATATGCAAATGCGTTTCCCTTTTGACCTATTTTTTTGTATGATTCATCTGCTCATACGTTTATACTCATGTGACTGTTATTAGTATACCTGAGTGTTTATGCTTGCAAAAATATATATATTATTGGCTATTTTATTATGTAAAGTGTCCTATGAAGTGTTATGTTGTATTTTTATGTTTCTAAAATAAATCCTCTTTTAAAAATGTAAAGAAATATATTTAAGGTAATTTTTAAAATTATTTTTTTCCAGAATTATGTTTTTTATAATTTTGACTTTTCAAGATTGTGATTTTGGAGATTTTAGATTTGTGGGATTTTGAGCTTTTGGAATTTCAATATTAGGGATTATGGCATTTGGGATTGGGTTTTGGGGATTATGATCAGCTCCCAATGTTATTACTGATATAGTGATTTACACATGCAATTTTACTTTTAAAAAATACGGTCTCATGTCTTTTTTGCTCTTATATTTCTCTTTTATTGCTTTCTTTTGTATTAATTTAATATTTTCTAGTGTAACATCTTAATATTTTGATTTACTATATACTTATATCACCTTAATTGCAGTGAGATACGGAAACAATACTTCTGTATAGCTCTATTTCCTAGTTCCGCTTTTCATACTATTATTGTTATACATATTTATATGAGTTACAGATCCAACCATATATTGTTATACTTATTACTTTATATAATTTTATATCCTTTCAAGAAGATATAAGAAAGAAATTTGAGTATTTAGAGAGTTTCTTATATTAATCTTCTTATTTACCCTTTATGGTAGTCGTCATTTGGTTCTGTGGATTTGAGTTACCATCTGGTATCATGTCCTTTCTACAGTACAACTTTGCTCCCACCTACCACTTGTGTACTGTTATTGTGAAATAGATTACATTTGTATATGTTGTAGGCCCAACAATACATTTTATACATATTATTATATACAATTGCCTTTTAAATCATTTAAGAGAAGAAAGGAGAACTATTCATTTATACTATCCTTTAGAATTACATAATTATGTTTACCAGTGCTTGTGTGTATGCGTGTGTGTGTGTATGTGTGTGTGTGTAAAACTAAAAGTTACTGTCTGGGGCCCACTTGTTTTCAGCCCTGAAGGAATTTTTTTTACTATTTCCTAAGTGGGTTCAGTAGGAAAAAATTCTCTCAATTTTTGTGTATCTGGAATGGCATTGTTTTGTCTTCAGTTTTGAAAGATAATTTTGTTGGATATAAGATTTTTGGTTAATCGTTTTTGTCATCCAACCACTTAGGTTCTCAATAGTTTTTGATGAGAACTCAGTCATTCTTCTTATTGAGGTTTCCTTGGGCATGATAAATTATTTTTCTCTTGCTGCTTTCATGATTTACTCTTTGTCTTTGATTTCAGTATTTTTACTGTGATGATTCTGGGTATGAATCTCTTTATATTTACCCACTGAGCTTCTTGCATGTGAACAGTATTGTTTTTCGTCAAGTGTGGGTAGTTTTTAGCCATTATTTATTGAAATATTTTTATGCTCATCTCTCTCCTCTTCTGGTACTACCATTTTGCCTATAGTGGTGTGCTTAATGGTGTTCCATGTCTCTCTTATGATCTGCTCAATTTTCTTTACTCTTTTTTTATCTCTGTGGCTTTCATAATATGTCAAATTATCTTCAAGTTTGTGTATTATTTCTTCTGCTTGTTCAGATCTATTGTTTTAAGCCCTTCTAATGAATTTTTAAAAATTGTATTTTTCAACCCCAGAATTTGTCAAATTATCTTCAAGTGTGTGTATTATTTCTTCTGCTTGTTCAGATCTATTGTTTTGAGCCCTTCTAATGAATTTTTAAAAATTGTATTTTTCAACCCCAGAATTTCCATTTGGTTCTTTCTTATATATTCTATGTCTTTATTGATATTCTCTATTTGAACAGACGTTGTTCTCATACCTTCCTTCACTTTGTAAAGCATGCTTCCTTTAGTTCTCTGAGCATATTTATAATGACTATCTTGAAGTCTTTAAGTTGGATATCTTACCCCTCTCCTAGTCAGATTTTGTTGCCTGCTTTTTCTTCTGTGTATATTGGTTGCACTTTCTTGTTTCTTCACATCTCATAATTTTTATTGTTGTTGCAAATTGAGCATTTTGGGTAATATACGGTAACAGCTCTGGACATTGATCCTTCTTCTCCTCTAGGGCTTGTCATTGTTATTGCTTTCTTGGTTATGTGTGTTTTGACTTGGCTAGGAGATTTCAGTAAAGTCTATTTCTGCCAAAGTTGAAGACTGATGTCATGCCTCACGAAGTTCAGCCTTGGGAATGCATACAGTGACTCTGTGGTGACAGTGGTTTTGGCAGGTTTCTCTTTGTTTCTGTCTATGATCTCTCTGTTAATCTCTCTGCTTCTGTTGGTATCACACCAACTGTTAGGCTACACTAATTATCCTGGGGCATAAGTTGCTTCATCTTCCGATCCAAATAAATTCAGACTCTTTTGCAAAGGCGGTTTCTGAGGCCAATCTTTAGGTGTGTTCTGATTCCAGGAAGGCTCTACTTAGCTGTTTCTTTCCCTCATTCTCTCTGATGAACTAACAGAACAAGAGTTTAGCCTGATGTTCTCATGGAAGTGCCAGCCTCACCTGAATTATTTTCCATCAAAATATCAATTTTTGTTTTCAGTGCACCATTAGGCTTGAACTTTCCCATTTTTAGTTCCAAATAAAGCCAGTTCCTTTGATAAGTGTTTCAGAGTTCTATGTTATTATGGATTGCCTCTCTTTCTGGACAAACTCTTTGAGCCACTGCTCCAGAAATAGAAGTGGCCCATTTATTTAAGAGTAGCACCCTTACTTTACAAGAGGGGCCAGTGTCATAGCCTCTGGTCCCTTTACTTGCTTCTCTCTAAATGGACCTTCTGCCCTACAAATGAGACAGTGTAAGAGTGATTAGAATCCTAGTATTCTCAACTTGCCACATCTAAGGTAGAGCCTCTGCTCTATGAGTGGAAGGTGGGTGAAAAAATACAGCCCTTTCCTTCTCTGCTGTACTGCTAGACTGGAATTTAGTCTCTGTGACATGGAGATGGGGGTCCCGAGAAATGCTGGTTGTCTACCTCTCCTTGGGTCCTATCCTAGCACTTGACTGTTGCTGTGGGAAAGGGATCCTTGCCTCCTGGTCTTGTCTACCCAGAGTGGAACTTCTGTCATCTTGAGCTGGAGGTTGGAGTTCAGTAAAGGAGTGGATTGTGGCTTACGTGCCACAGACTGTCACTGTTCTTACTGATGTTTAGTAGATAATATTGTGTAAATATTTCTTCCTTTGCTGTATATGCTTAGGACAATTTACAGAGACTCTAAATACTTCCTGTTGTTTTTGTAAAAATAAATTTTATAAGTCATTATTGTTTATCTAGAAGCAGGTCCACAATGCTCCTAATGTTGCCATTTTATTCCTTTTCTCTCTCTTTTTCTTATTGTTTCCTTGCTCTTGACTCTGGGATTGGTCACGTATTTATATTAGGATTCTCAAAATATCTGGGGAAGTTCCTTAGGTTCTTCATCTTAGGATACTCCAAGTTTATATTAGGTTCAGTTCTTATTAATTGATTTATATTCTTGCTTGGTCCTACCAATAGACTTGGCAAAGTGTTTATTGCTCTTTCATAATCTTGAGGACGTTTTTATGTTTATGCTTGGTCTTGATGCCCTTTCCCCAATGTCAGTCACAGTCACCTGTGTCCTCTGTTATCAATAGTATTCTGAATGTATTAATAGAGCATTTAAAACATCTTTTGACAGGAAAAATCCCATTTTGATTGTGTTCCAAGTTCAAATTAATGCCCCATTGGGTAAAAGCATGTGTGCCCTATTCCTGGATGCAGTAATTTGGGGACTATTTCTGCTTAACCCTCACATGCTTGATGCTATTTAATTTAAAAACCTCCTCTTCTATGCTGTACAGTCATACATCATATAATGACATTAATTGCCATTTTTCATGCTAATAGAAAACGACTAATAAGATTATAATTTCTATGTAAAAATCTTTGGATACAAAAATACTTGCCATCGTGTTACAATTGCCCACAGTATTTAGTACAGTAACATATTGTACAGGTCTGTAGCTAGGAGCAATAGGCTATAGCACATAGGCTAGGTGTGTAGTAGGCTGTACTATCTAGATATGTGTAAGTACACCATATAACGTTCATACAATGACAAAATCAGCCAACATATCAGAACATATCCCTTTCATTAAATGACACATGATATACTCTATTGTGTGTCTGAGTTGGTATTTGATGGGGTTTACCTCTTAGGGTACTCCATAGATAGCCACATAACTACTTTCTTTGCAGTTTGTGTCAAAAAGTCACAAATTGGAAATGTAAGATGTACTTTAACTTCCTCTATTCTTACTATACACATCTAGCAGATATAAGAAAAATTATCTGAAAAAAGGACTATGAATAAAGGAGCCAGTACTATTTTATGCTAACTGTTAAGGAGAGGAACTTTGCTTTATGTAACTTTTATCTACCATAGCATTGAGTATATGCCCTTGCATCCAATAATTGTTAATTAACTCATTAATTTGATTTAATTAAACATTTTTCATGCTAATAAAGCAAGCCCAACTTTAAAAATATTTGATTTTAAAGTTTTACTACTATATATTTGGAATCTACTTGATATGAGGGGCAAAACGATTTCTTCTGAGACAGAGTTAAAATAAACTTTTAAGTTGTATTCATGTGTCATTGGGTTCAGTGAAACATCTGCCTTGGGCCCCCTTTCTCAACTTTTTGGAAGTGTTTAGGAAGGATTGGTTTTAGTTCTTTAAATGTTTGATAGAATTCAGCTGGGAAGCCATCTGGTCCTGAGATTTTTGTTGATGACTTTTAATTACTGATTGAATCTCCTTACTTGTTATTGGTCTGTACAGATTTCTAACTTATTTGTGATTCAGTCCTGGTAGGTTATATGTTTCTAGGAATTCATCCATTTCATGTGAGTTCTCCAACTGATTGGTTTATAATTGTTCATGCTAGTCCTTTGTATTTATTGGTTGTCAGTTGTAATGTCTCCTCTTCCATTTCTGATTTTATTTATTTGATGCTTCTCTCTTTTTTTCTTATTTAGTCTAGCTAAACATTGGTCAGTTTTTTTTTGGCTTTTTAAAAAACCAACTTAGCTTCATTGATGTTTTCTATTCTGTATTTTCTTATTTCTGTTCTGATCTTTATTATTTTCTTTCTTCTGCTAACTTTGGGCTTAGTTGGTTCTTTTTCCATTTCCTTGGGTATAACATTAGGTTGTCTATTTGAGGTTTTTTGTTTTTTTTTTTTCTATTTTGATGTAGGCACTTGCTGCTATAAACTTCCCTCTTAGAACTGTTTTTGCTGCATCCCATAAGTTTTGATATGTTGTTTTCATTTTTATTTGTCTTAAGCTATTTTAAAATTTCTCCTTTAATTTCTTCTTAGACCTAGTAGTTGCTCAGGAGAATATTGTTTAATTTCTACACATTTGTTAACTTTTTCCATGATTTCTTCTCTTATTGATGTCTAGTTTCCTATACTTGTGGTCAGAAAATAATTTCATATAATTTTGATCTTATTAAGCATGTCAAAACTAGTTTTGTGACCTAACATATAGCCTATCCTGAAGAAAGTTCTGTGTGCATTTGAGAAGAATGTATTCTGTTGGGTGGAGTCCTCCATCTATGTCTGTTAGTTGTATCTGGTCTGAAGTATAGTTGAAGGCCCATGTTTCCTTACTGGCTTTCTGTCTGGATAATCAGTCTGTTGTTGAAAGTAGGGTATTACAATCCCCTGCTATTATTGTGTTCTAGTCTATGTCTTCTTCTAGATCTCTTAATGTCACTTTTTACATTTAGGTGCTCTGATATTGGATGCATGTATATTGGTAATTGTTAAATTCTCTTGATGAACGTATGCCTTTATCACTATATAATAACCTTTGTTGTCTCTTTTTAAAGTTTTTGACCTAAAATATATTGTCTGAAATAAAAATATCTACACGTGTTCTCTTTTGACTTCCATTTGCATGGAATGTCTTTTCTCATCCCTTCACTTTTAGTCTATGAGTGTCCTTTAAGGTGAAGTGAGTTTCTTGTAGACAGCATGTAGCTGGGTCTTGTTTTCGTAATCCATTCAGTCACTCTATGCCTTTTGATTGGAGAATTTAATTAATTTACATTCAAAGTGATTACTGATATGTGAGGACTTACTGCTGCCATTTTGTTGTTTTCTGGTTGTTGTATAAATCCTTTTTTCCTTTCTTCCTCTATTGCTTTCTTTCTTTGTGGCTTGATGGCTTTCTTTAGTGATATATTTTATTTATTTTATTTTTATCTTTTGCATATCAATTATAGTATTTTGCATTTTGTTTACCCTGAAGCTTACATAAAGCATCTTATACATATAACTGCCTATTTTAACAAATAAAAACTTAACTTTGATTGCATACACAAACTCTATATTTTTATTCCCCTTCTTCCCAGGTTTTATTGTTTTTGATGTCACAATTTACATTTTTAAATAATTTGTATCTCTTAACAAATTATTGTTATGTTAGTTGTTTTTAATAATTTTTTCTTTTAACCTTTATAGTAGAGATATAATTGATTTACCCGTCACCATTATTGTATTAAAATATTTGGGATTTGACAATATTAATCATTTTTGGTACATTTAATCTTGTCTTTAGATCTTACTTCTCATCACATATCAGCTTTCTTCAGCATGAAGAACTTCTTTTACCGTTTCTGTTCATACTGGTACACTGGCATTCTCAGCTTTCATTTAACTGGGAAAGAGTCTTTAGTTCAAATTCATTTTTGAAGAATATTTTCACTGAATAAAGAACTATAGGTTGATGGTCATTAGAAGTGTCATTCCATTATCTTTTGTCTTGTACTGTTTTTGGTGAGAAGAAAGCATTTCTACTATAATCATTACTCTCCATGTGACATTTTCCTTTTGACCGCTTTTACAATATTTTACCCTTGTTTTTTAGTGATTTGCTTATGATTTTCTAAGTTTGGATTTTTGTGCATTTGTCCTCTTTGGGGTACCTAGAGCTTTGTGGATTTATGAGTTTAAAATTTCTATCAAATTTGAATTTATGGCTTTAAATTTTATATGAAATTTGGAAAATATTGTCACTCTTATTTTTTCAATTTGTTCCTTTTCATTCTCTCTTGCTTCTTTTTATGAAAGTCCAGTAAAATGGAAGTAATACCATTTAATACTGCCTCACATGTCACTGATAATTCACTGTTCAATCTTTTTAAATACTTTTTTCTCTCCAAATTTTATTTTGGATAATTTCTATATATTTATCTTCCAGTTCCTGTTCTGTTCTTTAACAATGTTATTCTTTTGTTAAGTCAGCCTAATATATTTTTGTGTTAAATATTTATAAAATCTCTGCTCTCTATTTAGTTTATTTAAAATTTCTGTCTGGCTTCTTTCTTTCATTTTTTTTTTTTTTTTTTTTTGAGATGGAGTCTGGATCTTGTTGCCCAGACTAGAGTGTGCAGTGGTGTGATTGCAGCTCACTGCAACCTCCGCCTCCTGCGTTCAAGTGATTCTCTTGCCTCAGCCTCCCTAGTAGCTGGGACTACAGGTGCCTGCCACCACGCCTGGCTAATTTTTGTATTTTTAGTAGAGATGGGGTTTCGCCATGTTGACCAGGCGGGTCTCGAACTCCTGACTTCTGGTGATTCGCCCACCTTGGCCTCCCAAAGTGCTGGGATTACAGGCGTGAGCCACTGTGCCCGGCCCTGTCTGCTTACTTCTTATTCCATACTTTTCTCTAAATCCTTGAATATATTATTTTATAGATCTTGTTTGCTATTCTAATATTTGGGTCACTATGCAAGTCATTTTAAGTTGACTTTTTTCTTACTTTGGCTCCCATTTTCTTGTTTCTTTGCATGTTTGGTAACCTTTGGTTGAATATATAATATTGTGTCTTGAACAGTAAGAATTGGGAATCCTGCTACTTTATTTTCTACAGACAGTAGGAGTTTCTATGTCTTGCTGCTTAAGTGAGATAGGAACTAGTCCAATTTTCACTGTTAAGTTGATCTGTACCTGGACTGTAGCTCTAAGGTTGGGCTCATTTTTGATTATCCCAGCCCATAACCTGGAGCACTGCCACTGAGGCTTGATTTTACCCATGATGCCACCTAGGTGGTGATGTCATCAGTGCAACTGCCACTGTCACTGCTGCCACTATCTCTATTATTTAATTTTAGAAACGATTGGCCTCCAGTTTTGACAGAAAAAAACTTGATTGTAACGGCTGAAAATCAATAAACCTTATTTATATTATTATAATTATTTAAATTTTATTTATTAGAGGTAAATATTATACAAAGTTTTCATTTTCATTTTCTTTTTTTTCTGTACGAACCATAAGTCACTTGAAACACAGTATTTCTAGCATCCTTTCTTATGCTCCTAAAGTTTCTCATAATCAAACCATAGTTTAGTCTGCTTCATATTTGGACCACATCTCATTGATAGCACTGTGTGTTTGCTTGTATCTTTCTCTAAAGTTTTCTATTAAGTTTATTATTATTGAAAGAATTATAGGCCTTCTTTTAAAAATAATACTCTTAATATCTGCTAGTAACTTACTTTTTACTTATTGAAATGAATTTTGTCTTCATACATATATTTAATTTGGAGCCATCTGCCTTTTTTAAATGCAGAGTTTTTTGTTTTTTGTTTTTTCTGTGCTTGCTGTTTAACTATTGTACTGCCCATCCTATTCCCATGGAATCTTGAGTTAGTGTCACCGTTTCTAGTGTCCTACATATTTCTTTCACTTGATTTCTCTCTCATTTTATTGAAGTACATCCTTATGTAACTTCCACAGAAGTGTTGCATGGCATTTCCTATGTGATTGAGAAAGCTTTCATTTTGCCCTCAAGTTTGATTGCATGTTTGGATTAATATTCCATTTTAGGTTTACGATGATTGTCTTTCATAACAGAAGAATTTGCTATTCCATCTTTTTTAATGTCTGTTGTTGTTTCTATTTTAAAAAACACTAAAGTCCAATTTTTATTCCTTTGTAGAAAACTTTTTATTTCTTTGAAGGCTATTAAGACCTTCTCTTTATCATTGATATTCTATCCTTAGTGGTACCTTTGTTGAGATTTTTTTGAATATTTTGACATTGTTTTGAAATTAAATAATAAAAGCATTATCCTTAAAGGAAGACAAATTATCACAGAGAAGTCATCTTTCTCTCCTACTCAATCCTACTACTGTCTACCTGCTCCTCCTAACCCTATTCCATGAAAATGTTTACATACATTTACATGTACATAGAATGTGCATGGTATTGTTTGTACATCTATTTGGATGTGTGTTTACTTTTGTAAACATTATCGTATTGTAGGCGTTTTTCTGCAAGTTGTCTCTGTCTCTGAAAACCATGACTGGTGATATGGTTTGGCTCCATGTTCCCATCCACATCTCATCTTCAACTGTAACTGCCACTTGTTGAAGGAGGGATCTGGCAGAAGGTGATTGGATCACAGGGGCAGTTTCGCCGATGCTGTTCTTGTGATAGTGAGTTTGTTCTCATGATAACTGATGGTTTTAAAAGTGTGGCACTTCCCCTCTCTCGCTCTCTTCTGCCGCCATGCACGACCTGCCTTGCTTCCCCTTCTGCCATAATCGTTAAGCTTCCTGAGGCCTCCTCAGCCATGCAGAACTGTGAGTCAATTAAACCACTTTCGTTGATAAATTATCAAGTATCGGGTAGTATCTTTGTAGCAGTGTGAGAATGGACTAACACAACTGAGATTTATACTACTTCATCTTATCTAACAAATTTATTTTTGCTGTTACATATATTTTTATATCTGTATTGGGTATTTGTATGTTATTTTTTGTGAATTATCTTTTTTTGCCATAAATCTATTGGTTTATTTGTGTTTTACTTTTAATTCTTAGAAGTTATTTATATAATTACCAGTCCTTTTTCTGCTGTACAAATTGCTAATATTTCTTCAAGTAAATTACTTTTTTAATTTTTTTGTGGTGTTTTCTTTCTTGTGGAAGATTTTAATTTTTATGCTACCAAATTCATTAGCTTTTTCCTTCATGATTTTCTCTTTGCACTTGATTTAAGGCCTATCACATCCTAAGGGATTAACATATTCTTCTATATTCACTTTAAATATTTTGTAGTTTTCTCCACACTTATGCTTATAATTTATTTGAAATCAGCTTTTGTGAATTCCATAAAACAGAAATCTAGCTTTATCTCCCCTATAGATTGCCAATTGTTCCTTGGATTATATTGAATAGTTATCTTTCCTCTACTGGTTTTGAATGCTGAATCTATCATATTAAAGGTTTTTGAATATATTTCGAATGTATTTATATATATATATTTATGAGTTGGGTTTTGGGTTCTTTACTTAGTTGTTCTTTGTAACCAAAATAGCAATATACCAATTACCATAGTTATATACTATGTCTTGATATTTGGCAAGAAAGCAACCATCCTTTTGAGTCCCTTTTTCTTTTAAATTTCTTGACTACTCTTGCAAATTTAACCTCTCATATGAATTTAGAATTGAGTGTATGACTACTGAAAAATTCTGTTGAAATGTTGATTGTAATTTAGATGAATTTATAGATTAATTTGTGAAAAGTTGACAACGCAACAGTTTTGAGTCTTCCTACCCAGGAATACGAACTATTCCAGTATTCAAGTTTTATTTTATATCATTCAACAAAATTTTGTAATTTTGTCCATGAGTGATTTAAACACTTTTGTATTTTTAATTTTTGTTTCTACTGTGAATAGCTTCTTTCTTCTACTGCATTTTGTAATTGTTATGACCACTATGGAGGTCTTTGATTTTTTGTATGTTGATCTTAATATTGCCTACATGCTTAATTACCTGATTTTAAAAATATTTCGGCTGGGTGTGGTGGCTCATGCCTATAATCCCAGCACTCTGGGAGGCAGAGGTGGGCGGATCAGGAGTTGGAGACCAGACTCACCAACATGGTGAAATCCCATCTCTACTAAAAATACAAAAATTAGCCAGGCATGGCGGCGCATGCCTATAATCCCAGCTACTCAGGAGGCTGAGGCAGGAGAATTACTTGAACCCAGGAGGCGGAGGTTGCAGTGAGTGGAAATTGCACCACTGCACTCCAGTCTAGGTGACAGAGCAAGATTCCATCTCAAAAAAAAAAAATTTCAGGAGGTAGCTTTATTGATTTTTATGAATGGACGATCATGTCATCCATTAGCAATGATAGTTTACAAAACTTCGTTTTATATCTTCTACTTTTTTCTTAATTGACTAGAAACTTCAGTGTAGCTTTCAATAGTATCTACAATAGTAGAAAACATGTACTGTGCTTGATTTTAAAGAAATGCCTCAAAGGCTTACCCTTACATAAAACTTTTGCTGTAGATTTCCAGTGAATATTCTCTATTCTTAACTCGGTTAAGAAAATGGACATACACACATATATATATGGATACGCGCATACAATGTAGATCAAAATGCTAAGTATAATTTTATTCTAAGAGGTGGGATTATGGTTGTTTTTAGTTATTTTTCTTTATTTGCATTTAAAAAGGTTTTGGAAGAACATTACTTTTGTAAAATAAAATGCTATTTTGGATAAAAGAAAAGTATGTAAAATGTGTATTATTCATCCTAAGCTACCAGAAAAGGCCCAATTCTCAATGGTATAGTCCATCTTTAACTATTTGTTTTATGATAAGCTTTCCCTAAGTTTGTTCCTCAGGATGTTATTTATTATTCTTTGTAAAAAATTTTGTCATCTAATAAATGTGGAGTAAAGCGAAGTTAAACATGATTTCTTTAATCCAAGATTCCTTGAAATCTTTAATATACAAATGTGAAGAGTGAAGCTCCAACAGGAGAAAACAGAATGTGGCATATTTTTCAGTAGCATCTTGTAACCAGTGTGTCATTCTTCTTCATTATTCAGTGGACTTTTCACGTTGTTGCTGTTTGTAAAACAAAACAAAAGTCAGTGTTATGTGTGTCTACTTGAGCACAGTTTACTTCAGAAATACTTATGTAATAAAAACTTGTATGAATAGCTCTCTGTAGGGAGTTTTATATTTACTTGTCTTAGAAAACAAACCAAGTAAGCCAAAAAATTAGTCAATTTTGTTCTGCCCTCTAGAGCATTGGATTAGGTGGAGAGGATAAAGGACTAGTTTTTATAGTGTTAAAAAATGAGTGACTCTCAAGGAATTTTCATTCTACCGAGACATGTGCCAAGTGTCTTCCTCTTGATTCTAGGGTGTAAGACCACTAATAGCAGTATTTCGCTTTAGCAAATGAGGAAACAGACACAGATGAATTGGTGATGAGTCCAAGTTCATGCAAATTGGAATGTCAGTTGGGAACAGAACAGATTCATTTGACTACACTTCCAGCACTGTATTTAATTGACCTAACTTCCTTTCTTACACGGTAGATATAAATAAGAGATTAACTGTTGGGAAGGGAAAAGTGAGGGAGTAGAAGCTAAGTATTTTGGAATATCAAAATAATTTAATTGGATCCCAGATGAATTAAGATGTGTGGGAGTCCAAATTATACCCCAAATACCAAGCCTGCATAAGGCTAATTTAAAAATAATTTAAATGAACAAAATAGAATGCCTGTCTCATGCTAATAAAAAGAATGCAAAAAAATCACAAAAATATGCTGAAAATAACCTTATTCATATCAAACCACAATCATTAAACCGTGAGTTCAATAAGGTAGGCAAATTTGAAATCTATTCAAAGTATTAAAAAGACAGATATCTATGCCTAATTTGAAATACGGTATAGGTATTAGTGAACACAGAGTAAATCTGTTGGGTCGGTTCATTTTAATGACCAACATATTTCTGAAGGTGACACTTGTTTTTGCCAACCAATGGGTGTGTACACATAAAATGGCCTCTAGAGAATCTGCAGAATTACCTGTTACCTTCTCTTTGTAAAAACCTGAATGCAGAGGGAGAAGGTCCAGTCCTCTTTTTGATTTCTCCTTTCCTTTCTCTGCTTCTTTCCCTAAATTTGAAGGTCTCCCTTACGACCTTTAAGAGCTCAGAGAACCATTATTTTTCTCTCTTTTTTTTTTTTTTTTCTGAGACAGATTCCCACTTTGTCACCCAGGCGGGAAGGCAGCGGCCCAGTCTCAGCTCACTGCAACCTCCACCTCCTGGGTTCAAGCAATTCTCCTGCCTCAGCCTCCTGAGTGGCTAGCACTACAGGTGTGTGCCACGACGCCCAGCTGATTTTTGTGTTTCGTAAAGATGGGGTTTCACCCTGCTGGCCAGGCTGGTCCGAACTCCTGATCTCAAGTGATCTACCCTCCTTGCCTGACCAAAGTGCTGGAATTACAGATGTGAGCCACTGGGTCTGCCCTCTTCTCTCTCTTTAAAGCATCTGTAATACAATGTTACTGTTTGCTCCTTTCTTGGGAGGCAGCTAGTACTAAAGAGCACAGTCTTGAACAAGTTTCTGTGCACTGCAAATTCTCCACAGTAACGTGTCAGGAATTGGTGGGTTCTTGGTCTCACTGACTTCAAGAATAAAGCCACGGACCCTCGCGGTGTGTGTCACAGTTCCTAAAGGTAATGTGTCTAGAATTTGTTCCTTCTGATGTAGGGATATGTTCGGAGTTTCTTCCTCCTGGTGGGTTCGTGGTCTCCCTGACTTCATGAGTGAAGCTGCAGACCTTCACAGTGAGTGTTACAGCTCTTAAAGCAGGGCGTCTGCAGTTGTTTATTCCTCCCAGTGGGTTCATGGTCTCCGTGGCCTCAGGAGTGAAACTACAGATGTTTGCGGTGAGAGTTAACAGCTCATAAAGGCAGTGCGGACCCAAGGAGCAAGAAAGAACAAAGCTCCCACAGTGTGGAAAACAACCAGAGAGAATTGCCACTGCTGGCTCCGCAGCCTGCTTTTATTCCCTTATCTGGCCCCACCCACATCCTGCTGATTGGTCCATTTAACAGACAGCTGATTGGTCTGTTTTACAGAGAGCTGATTGGTCCGTTTTGACAGGGTGCTGATTGGTGCGTTTACAATCCCTGAGCTAGACACAAAAGTTCTCCAAGTCCCCACTAGATTAGCTAGACACAGAGCACTGATTGGTGCATTCACAAGCCCTGAGCTAGACACAGAGCACTGATTGGTGCATTTGCAAACCTTGAGCTCGATACAGGGTGCCGATTGGTGTATTTACAATCCCTTAGCTAGACATAAAGGTTCTCCAAGTCCCCAATAGACTCAGGAGCCCAGTTGGCTTCTGAGCCCAGTCCTGCATGGGGGCACAGGTGGAACTGCCTGCCAGTCCCAGGCTGCCTTGCGCCTGTGTTCCTCAGCCCTTGGGCATTCGATGGGACCGTGCCCCATGGAGCAGGGACAGATGCTCGTCCAGGAGGCTCCGGCGGCGCAGGAGCCCACCAGGGAGGCTCAGGCATGGTGGGCTGCAGGTCCTGAGCCCTGCCCCACGGGGAGGCAGCTGAGGCCCCGGGAGAATTTGAGCGCAGTGCGGGCGGGCCGACACTGCTGGGGAACCTGGCACACCCTCCGCAGCTGCTGGCCTGGGTGCTAAGACCCTCAGTGCCCGGGGCCAGCGGCACTGGCCGGGCGCTCCGAGTGCCGGCCCGCCAAGCCCAGCCCACCCAGAACTCACGCTGGCCCGCAAGCACCTCGTGCAGCTCTGGTTCCCGCCCAGGGCTCTCCCTCCACACCTCACCGCAAGCTGAGGGAGCCCTCTCCAGCCTTGGCCAGCCCAGAAAGGGGCTCCCACAGTGCAGCGGTGGGCTGAAGGGCTCCTCAAGTGCCGCCAGAGTGGGCACCGAGGCCGAGGAGGCACTAAGAGCGAGCGAGGGCTGTGAGGGCTGCCAGCATGGTGTCACCTCTCAGTAATAGATGACTTTTGGGATTATATTAAGTGAATGACACATGGAATTGAAGCCAGTATGTGATTTTGATGTTTATCTGAGAGGGAAAGAGGAAAAATCAGGACAAAGCCAAAGAATGCTTTGTTTTCCCTCATGATTCCTGGGTTTGTTGCTCTGGTGGTCAGATGTTCGACCTTCTTTATGTACAGGATTTTTATAGATGAATTGCTCTGGCATTCTCTAGTTGAGAAGTTGATCCACTTCTGAGTATGTTAAAGCATCCAGCTACCTATTCCACTTTTTTTGTTGTTTTGTTTTTTTGAGACAAGGTCTCACTCTATTACCAGGCTGGAGTCCAGCGGTGTGATCATAGCTTACTGCAGCCTCCAACTCCTGGGCTGAAGTGACTGTTTCACCTCCGCCTCCCAAGTAGCTGGGATTACAGGTACACACCACCACACCCTGCTAATTTTTATATTTTTGTAGAGCTAGGGGTCTGGCTATGTTGCCCAAGCTGGTCTCAAACTCCTGACCTCAAGTGATCCACCTTCCCCAGCTTCCCAAAGTGCTGGGATTACAGATGTGAGCCACTGTACCCTGCCTTATATCACTTTTTTTGAGATGGAGTCTCGCTCTGTCACCCAGGCTAGAGTGGAATGGTGGGATCTTGGCTCAATGCCACCTTTGTCTCCCAGGCTCAAGTGATCCTCCCGCCTCAGCCTCTTAGACACCTGAGACCACAGACGTGTGCCACCATACCCAGCTAATTTTTTGTAGTTTTGGTAGAGACAGTTTTCACCATATTTCCCAAGCTAGTCTTGAACTCCTGAGCTCAAGCAATCTGCTTTCCTCAGCCTCTCGAAGTGCTGGGATTTATAGGCAAGAGCCACTACGCCCGGCCTGTATATCACTCTTAATGCTGGAATGGACTCCCCTGTCACTTGAACAATTGAATGTCACCTGAGAACTCTCAGACTTAGGGCTTTAAAAAGAAAACCCATTAGAGTGACTGGGAGAAGGATTGAGGGGAGGTTTAAAGCACTGACCAACTTCTCCCCATTCTTTCCTTGGGCAAGTGGTAGGGTTAGTGAGTAAACAAGGAAGCGGGTAAGAATAAGGACACTTTGTAACCCTTAGCCCCTGAAAGTGCAGGATATAGAATGACCTGCCTCAGAAGCAACTTCAGTTTCTAATTAAGGAAACTGGCAGAGTTGTTTCCTTCCCTGCTCAGTTCCTTTTCTCTCTTCCCTCAGTGAATTCCAAGAATGATTTGCTTGGCTTAAATAAAAGGAACATTTTAATATTTGTTTATGTTGACTGTCTGACTTTTATGCCCAATGAACTTTTGACACTATAGTAATTATTCATATCATTAAGTATGAATTGGATTAACTGTTGTAAATTACATGTGATAATTGTGCTGGGTTTTATTTAAATGTAATTAGTGATGTTTCTTATCAAATATGATCATGTTTCTTTAAGTTTAAAATGTTGAGGAAATTTGAGAAGTTGGTAATAGTTAAAATTATTTCAATAAAATGCTGAATACAACTATGACTAAAGTCATTCATTCACTCACTCAGTGAGCACTTATTCAATGCCTGGCACTGTTTTAGGAGATAACAATACAGCGGTGAAAGCCATGATTCCACCTTCTAGAAACCAACAGTTTAGGATGGGAAACAAATAACTAAACAGAGAGTTGTTATAACAATATGACAGGTACTAGATAAGTGTGTGTGAGGGAACTCTCATCCACACCAAGGGGCAGGACTCGGCAAGATCAGGGAGGCTTCCTAAGTAGATGACACGGGAGCTGAATCCTAGGTGACTTGTAAGAGTTAAGCTGGTAGAGAAATGGGGAAAGGGAGATCTAGGCAAGGGAAGAGCGTCAACAAGGGCCTAGAAGCAAGAACTTCTAGGTGCAGTTAGAGAACTCCATGAGGTTCAGTGTGTTGACAGACTAGTACGTTGTGATGAGAGTAGACACAATGTGGCAGAGACAGGCAGGAGCCACATCACAGAGGTCTTTGGATGTCTCATCCTTAGTAGGAAAGAACAATCCATATAACAGGCATTTCTGTTTCTTGACCAGTTGCTGGTTTGTTATGTAATGTCTTTTCATTGCAGAAAGTATTAATATTTACTGAGCTTTAACTGTGTGCCTGCAATTATGCCACGCTCTGTGAGGAATATATTTTCTATAAGGAGGTCTCAAATGAAGTTATTACCTGATTTTTTTTGATGCAGTGTAAACATAATTCCCCCTATCACATGTTGCATATTTTAAAGAAAAATCTGTCTATCAATTGAAATACATCAAGGGGTTTTTATTGAAATTGATCAGGGTCTTTCCAATATGATGCAGGTATGAAGCATTTAGTTCTTGTAGTTCTGCTTTTCAGTTAGTCAGCGTATAGAGTCTCCAAAGTACAGGAGGAAAGACAGGAGATTTAAAAATCTCCAAAGGTACACATTTTATGGAGTCTCCAAGATGGACTGAGATGCTCATAAATTAGGAAGAGATGATCTTTTAATGCTGACCCGTGGTGGAGAAGAGGCAGCATCGATCGCTTGATAGGTTCCACTTCACATCCTCGTGCCATCATGGTTCTGCTTTTGATTTTGGCGGCAGGGCAATCTAGTAATCACCCTGCTGGATACCATCCACTTGGAAACTATTCTGCTGGCCTAAAGAGTTGGAGAAGTCTCACCCTAGTTGTGAAATTCCTAATATTGATATTCCATAACATCGTTGGGTGATTGTTTATTGAGAAGCTACTTTACAACAGATGCTTTGATATGTTATTTTTAAACTCGTAACAACATTGCACAAATCTTAATTTGCAGATTAAGAAACCATGGCGGTGAAAAGCTAGGTAGTAGTCTGTCTGATTCTAAAGTCATGCTTCTCTTATACCACATGTATTCTGACAAGGAAAGTTGATTCTATACGGCTCAGGTGGGTCCTTCTTTACCGTATTAAAGGGTTTGTGGATTTTTTCTCCTTTAAGTAACTACTTTTTTGAGATATGACTCACATATCATAGCATTCACCTTTTTAAAGTGTATAGTTGAGTGGCGTTTGGTATATTGACAAGATTGTGTAACCATTACCACTATCTAATTTAAGAACATTATTGCCCCCAAAAGAAACCTCATACCTGTTAGCAGTCATTCCCCATTCTCTTTCATCCCCCAGCTCCTGGAAGCCACTAACTTGCTTTCTGTCTCTGTGGATTTGCCTATTTGGGGCATGTTATATAACTTAAATCATACAATATGTGGCCTTTTGTGTCTGACGTTTTTCCTAATTATGATGTTTTCAAGGTCCATCCATATTGTAGCATGTATCAGTACTTCATTTTTTTTCTGTGGCTAAATAATATTCCCTTGTATGGGTATACCACATATTTGTTTATTGCCTCAATAAACAAATTGATTATTGTTGATGGACATTTGGGTTGTTTCCACATTTTGACTATTTCAAATAATTTTATGTCTTTGTGGTTTTAGACTGCACGAGGAGCACCTAGGACATAACACGTTTTATTGTAATTACCTACTATTTTGTCTTTTTCTCTTGAGGTTCTGTAAGCTCTGTAAGCACAAGAGGTGTATTTGTCTTGTTGGTCATTATATCAAATGCAATATATCCTGCAGGGAATGTATGAATGAATAAATTAAGGAAGGCAGTTCTATAGCTCTAGGTGAGGACTTTGAACTGCTCGTGCAGTTTGCCTTGCATCACTTAACTGAGGGCTATATCCCTCACTCTTAAGAGTGTGTCTTTCGGAGTGAAGATAATGCTGTAGATTTTCCCTGACATTTTTGATTGTCGGGAGAGTGGAGGTTACATTGATATAGCAGCCTTATAATTTGTTTGGTTGAGCTGAGTGTTATCACCTATCAACAAAAGTCAGAGGAAAGCTAGATTTGTTTTGACAGCTTGTGCTGGGAGCATTTGGGACATTTATTAGTAAAGGAAGTAGACCATGATCCCAAGTTTGTCTGCTGTCTTGCCCATTAAACTTGCCTGCTTGGGCACATGTCACTATCCCCCAATGGGATTCTTCCTACTGGGGACAGTGGAAAAAAATCCATCAACGTTAAATTACTTTTTTCCTTTTCCTCTTTCACCCATTGTTTGCCTAACTCTTCCTTGCTCTTCTCTGAACTCTTTCAGGAAGATTTTCTGAGTTTAGTGCAAAATGCTGTGTAATTTCTCAATTCTCTCTTGTAAAAATAAGAGGATTTAATCAGGGCATAGTCATCCTATGTATTTGTTACTTCAAATAAAGCCTTGGATGTTGGGGTGTGCCTTTCTTGTGGGGCGCTTTGCTCAATTGCTTATATCTATTTCTCTGTCTTGAACCTAGCAAGAGCACCTGAGAAATGCTGGGCACTGGGGAGGCTTGTGATGGCAACACAGAATGTGGCAAGTGCTCTGGCAGCCTTTGCATTCCCCCTCCCTCCTGCATCTGCCTACTCCTTAGCCTAGTGAGAATGACAGGAAGAGGGAAGGGAGCTGCCAGGTTTCCTGTATGCATGTCTGTGGGAGGGAGACGAAGAGGGCTGGCAGCCACGAACTAAGTGGGCTCCATTCCATCTATCTTTCCTGATTAAAGTGAAGCAGATTCAGGCTGCTGCCTATGAGCTGTGGTGGGAGCCATACCTCAGAGATAATTCCTGGAATGACTGTTCTAGATGTTGCACCCATTTCTACCCCTGAAGCAACTTACAGACTGAGGGGGTTGAGAAGTCTAGAGCTGTTTGTAGTATATGCATGGTATTTGGATGATAAACTTCAAAGAAAATACTGTGAAAATATAAATAAAGATGTCCTTAAAAGTATAAAGTGTTTTTGGTGTGGCATCCCATAAGTTCAATTTTTATGCCATTTTATTGCTGTTGATTCTCCCATTTGGGGAAATAAGGGTTTAGCTTCCAAGTAGTTGTCATTAAAGGCTATGATGTAAAGATCCAAGGAATGTATTAATTCTGTGTCTGATGATTGCAGCTGATTCTAGATCCTGTTGGATGGTTCCATAAACATCCTTTTTAATATGAATTCCTGCTTTCTCAGTCTAGTCTAGAGGAGGACTGCCAAAAATCTGGGTAGCAATCACTGTGACACTGAAATGGGTCTGGGCTTCCATGGTAAAATTTCTGGGTCCCAATTTCCCACCGCCCCCACCTTGCACACCTAGCAGCATCCTGGCATAGTTTATCAGTTTTTCTTGGAACAAATAACATCTTGCTATATGTACTAGTGTTAATCTCTGCTCAGCCATAGAGAGTGTTTGTGGCTGCAAGCCTTTGGGGCTGGTTTCATAAGGATGTTGCTGCCATGTACGGGAGAATCACTGCTCTTCCTGTTGCTGTGAGTGATGGACCTGTGTTTTCTCAGTCATTGCTGTTGCTTCCATGGTCACTTTAAGAGCTGTTGAGGCAACAAAGGGTGCACCAATACAATTTTTGTTTTTATTTTCTGCTCCATTACCCAGAGGTCTTCTATTGTTATAACTTTTTTTTTAAAAATTAAACTTTTAAATCAGGCTCCCTCTTTCTTGAGAAATTTGAAGTAGATTCTCGAGGAATGTATCAAAGGATATTTCAGAGGTGTTTTATGTTGCTTCTTAAAGTCATCTTCTCTAGTAATTAGGGTCTCAGGATAGAGACCAGGTGCTTCAGTTCTTTCATATATCACTGTAAATTCACTCATCTTTTAAAAATGACCTAATATCTCACATTGGGCACATTGCGCTCCTTAGTACTTTTCTCCCTAAGGTAGGGAGGAAAGACTACCAGGTGCTCATAAGCAGGATTGTCACGGCTTTACTTGGGATGTTAGTTAGGATAAACTATTTTATGTTATTGCAATAACAAAACGTCTTAGTGCCTTAAAACAAAAGAAGATTATTTCTTGTTCATATTATGTTCCCCAAAATAATTGCATTGTAGTTACTTTGAGGCTCAGACTTGATAGAGACTTCATCTTATGTCATCATCTCACCATAACGTTCAGGGCTTGCTGTGCTAGTGGAAAAGAAGAAGTGAACACAACTCTTAAATACATCCATCAGAAAGTGACACAAGTCACCTCTGTTCACTTTCTTCAGCCAAAGTAAGTCACGTGGCTGCACATGACTTCAAAGGGAAGAGGGCCGGTAATCTTGGCGAATTCTGGAAGTGAGAGGATGGCGGCATAGTCAGCAAATAATTTGAAAAGAATTTTGAGTGCGTTTAAAGGTATATATGATAAGCCTAGAATGTCCACAATTGATTTTCTGCTCATAGCATTTATTGTTTCTTTCACGGGAACCAAAGAAAACAAATCAATAACGATAAATTCTGTAACTAAATGATGCTCTCACGTGAGTCAAGTGAATTGGGGGCTCACTTCTTAGTGAGAGTGTGAAATGCCACAGGAGTAACTAGAGTGATAGAACTGAGCCAGTAAGGCCACTCTGCCATGCCTCTCACATTCTGCTGCCATCGAGGGATTACCAGAGGGTGTGGGAATCACTGAATGCACTTGAGGTCCTGTGCACTGCATCTGCCTGGTGAGCATGCACCATCTGCCCATAGGAATGACAGTGCTCTCTGTGGGTTTGAAGCAGGAGTCTGTGGTGAATATGAAGCCAATACACAGCCACTTAGGCAGTGAGTTTGTGAGGGTTGTATGACGCATCTTCTATAACTTGCTTTGAGTAAAACCAAAACATAAGAAAGATACTTCTTAAATTGGATAGAATTTTCAACCTTTGCCTTATACTTCTTTAAGCACTTTTATTATTATAAGCTATCTCATTTGGTGTTTTAAAAGTATAATAATCAGTTTTAGCTTCTTTGCCTGCTTCATCTGCTTGGCACTTACCATCATGTAGCATTCTAAATATTTTACTTATTAATTGTCTCTCTTACCCACTATAATTCAACCTCCTTAAGGACATTTTCACTCAATTATTATATCTTCAGAACTGGGAACAGTGCCTGGCATAGGGTACGCCCTCCTCAAGTATTTATTAAAAAAATGAATGAGTAATTGTGATGTTTATTGAAGCTAGTTTCACAGCACAGTGATGCCTTAAAAACATGTTGACTTATTATATTATTACATTATTCTGTGTTAAAAAACTTACCAATTGTGGAAAGTAGTTTTCCACTTTACCTTCTTTCATGATTTGATATTTTTCGAGCTCTCACAAGGTGCCAGGCATTGTTTACATCAGTGAGTAAAACAAAGATCCCTGACCTCATAGAGCTTTAGATTCCCAGGTGTTGGAGGCAGAAGGAGATAATACATATAACACATACATTATATAATTTGGAAAGGGATAAATGCTAATATATAAAATATAAAACTAGAGTAGGTGAAGGTGGTTGGAAGTGCAGAAGGTGGGGAGGAGCGGAGGCATTCATTTGGGTGGTCAGGAGAAGCCTCATTGACTAGGTGATATTCAAACATAGAACTCAGAGTTAAGAGAGGTAGCCTGTGGACAGGGTTGGGATGAAGTGAGTTGGGGTGGGGGGAAGTTCCAGGGAGTGGTGATGGCTGGGGGTATGACTGGGGCTAAGGCAGGAGGCTCGAAAAATAAGGAGGAGGCCAGTGTGTTTGATAATGAGAAGGGAGGGGTATAAAGTAGCAGGAGATGGGCTCTGATAGGGCCTCATAAGTCACTCTAAGTACTTTAGCTTTTACTCTGAGTGAAGTGAGATATTTTTACAGGATTTTGAATGGAGGAATAACAGGATCTGACATAGGTAAATATCCTTATGGTGGCAACATTAAGAAAATTAAGAATGGCCAGTGGTGACACCATAGCTGAATCCAGGCTAGAGACGATGGTGGCTTAGACAGAGACGGTGGTGGAAGTGGTGAGAAGTGGTCAGATTCTGCAAATGTTTCCTAAACTCATGTCCGGTAGCTGCTTCCTGCCCTGCTGAGGTGTAGGTAGGGCTACATTTCGACACACAGTGAAGCCCTCACTCTGCTTTCCATTCTCAGCTCCTCTCCTGGCACTCTCCACCCTCCCCAGAGGAAAACCCTTCCTCTCTTCTAGTTGTGTCATGTCCCCTTGTACCTCTTTCTGTATCAAACCACAGCACTTAGTGAAGGATTATGGTTTGAATCTAATTTATATTTTCAGCCTTTACTACCTAAATTGTTGAATATAAAATGCATGCTCTTTCCTTTTCAAACCATTTTAGCCATCATGTGTATGAAAGGAGGAGTAGAGCCTTAGACTCCAACTGTCCTGGTTTTATTGACTAATGTTTCTTACTGATTGATTGATTGATTTTTGAGACAGTCTCGCTCTATCACCTGGCTGAGGTGCAGTGGCACCGTCTCGGCTCACTGCAACCTCTGCTTCCTGAGTTCAAGCGATTCTCCTGTCTCAGCCTCCCGAGTAGCTGGGATTACAGGCATGCGGCACCACGCCCAGCTAATTTTTGTATTTTTAGAAGAGATGGGGTTTCACCATGTTGGCCAGGATGGTCTCGATCTCTTGACCTTGTGATCTTCTCGCCTTGGCCTCCCAAAGTGCTGGGATTACAGGTGTGAGCCACCGTGCCCTGCCTGTTTCTTATTTTTTAGGTTTGGCTCCTTGAATCACAATAGTTGCTGTATGGTGGTAGGGTGGGGGTGGGGGGCGCTGTAAAACATTCCCAATTTCATCTTCTTAGTGCGATAAGGGAAAGGTCAGAGGAGTAAGCCTGGGGGGTCTGTTATCATGGCAGATAACCAGGACTAGGGCAGTTTGAGACCGGTGTTTGTTTCTCTCAGGGAAGAGGGACCAGCAGATCTTTTCCCTCCAACCTACTCACATCTCCTTCCCCAACTCCCCTTTCTATCTTTTCTCTCCTCTTTCTTTTTCCTTTCTTCCTACTTACCAGATCAAAAGTAAAACCTTATTTTATAATTTTTTATGTAGAGCACTTTATCTCTGAAAACTTCATGGTTGCACTTTCTTTCACAGTGAGATATTTTTCTTAAGCAAAGGTAGCTTCCTTAAAAAGAAGACTTCTGATGTCAGGAGGTACTATAATAATTTTTTCTAATCTCATTACATGTCAATTAATATGAAATAATCTTTCCCCTCCCTCTCTCCGTCCCTTTCCTTCCTTCCTTCCATCCTTCCTTCCTTCCTTCCTTCCCTCCTCTCTCCCTCCCTCCCTTCCTTCCTTTTTTTTCCCCTTTATTCTTTCTTTCTCATTCTGATGAACCAGAAATTGAAAGTGTCAACTAATTTGATAAAATTGGTTAGTGGCAGAGTTAACACTGAAACCTCTTTCTGAGTTTATATGCAGTTTAAAAGTTAGAACTGGTGCTCTACAAAGCCTAAAATTTGCAAATCATAATAGTGGGGCCACAGTCAGGTTACTATAAAATTAAAGAGAAAGTGACTGAGATTTGAAGCTGTATTGTTGAGAGTGGAATGGGCATGGTGAATTACTTCTGGACACTGAAAAATGGGAATCATTCCTAAATGCTATTTATTAATGCAACAGTGGTTTTTTTTTGGCAAAATTTAATGGGATCAAATATAGAATTTTAGGTACTTTAAATATTGTGATACAATCACATTCTTCCTCCCAACTTCTTTGAGCAGAGATGAGCCCGATTTTTCTTCAGTGGGACTACATTAGTTTCCTGTGGCTGATAGAAGAAATTACCATGACGTTGGGAGTATAAAATGGTAAAACATATTATCTCAAAGTTCTGTAGGTCAGAGTTTCAAAATCATGCACCACCTGGGCCGAGCTCATTCTGGAAGCTCTGGGAAAGAAACCTTAGCTCTCCTCTCTCAGCCTCTGGTGGCCGCCAGCAGTGCTTGGCGTTCTCAGTGTACCATGATGTGACTCCCATCTCTGCTCTTGTCTTCATGCATTCTCCTCTGTGTGTGTTGAGTCTCCTTCTGCCTCTCTCTCATATGGACACTTGTGGTGACATTTACGGTCCACCCAAAGAACCTAGGATAATCACCTTTCCTCAAGATCCTTAATGTAATCACATCTTCCAAAGACTCTTTTTTCAAATAGGGTAACATGTACAGGTTCCAGAGATTCTGATGTGATTATCTTTGGGGTCATAATGTAGCCGACCACAAGGCCTTAACTCAAACACTGCCTTCATCTCCCCTTTTTCCTAATCTCTTCACAAATCTCTAAAACCATAGTACATTGTTTTCTGTCACAATTTGTGTTTTATTTTGTTTTGTTTTGTTTGAGACAGAGTTTCGCTTTTGTCACCCAGGGTGGAGTGCAATGGCGCCATCTTGGCTCACCGCAACCTCCGCCTCCCAGGTTCAAACGATTCTCCTGACAGAGGCCTTTTTTCTGATGTTCTAAAGCAGGGGTTGCCAAGCTAGTTCCGTAAAGAGCCAGATAGTAAATATTTTAGGCTTATGTGCCCTGTAGTCTCTGTTGCAACTATTCAACTCTGCCTTTGCAACAGGAAAGGAGCTATAATCAATAGCAAATGAGTAAGTGTGGCTGTGTTCCAGTGGAACAAAAACCAAAACTAGATTAGGCATGCTGGCCTTAATTTGCTGATCCCAGTCCTAAAGACATCCCTATGTCTCATTTGTTATTTCTATTTCAGCATATGAGGTTTTGATGTTATGTTTTAATCAGTCCTCTATTAAAGATATCACCATCTATTTATTTGTAAGATTTTTCCTACCATCAAACCAAAACATTTCCAAAGAGAGTCAATGAAATGTAGATTGGTACTTTCTAAATCACAAATTAAAAATTTTTTTTCTTATGGCTACACTTTATTGATCTCCATCTAGTTACAAAATCATTAATTTAGCTTGCATTTATTATTGTAATTATGCTAGATACCAAACATATGTCCAGAACTGAGGTCCACATGACCAAGTGTTCATTGTGAAGAAGGGATTTAAGTTGGGGTGATTGTTTTTGAGATTCTTAGGAGACAAGGTCATCAAGACTTAGGGTGAGTGAGATATGGGCATGAGGAAGAAGATCTCAAGGATGACTCCTGTGTTTCTGACTTGCCTATGGCTGGAGAGTGTCTTCATCCTTAGATAAAGCATGTGGGAAGCGGAAGGTTTGATGGAGCTTACAGTATGATGCTGGGTAGATTGATTTTGAGGCATCTTTGAAGTCTGCTTTTCTCAGAGAGTTTTGCTTACCTTATTCTTCTTATTTTACTTTAAAAATTTTTCGTAAGTGTGTGGATACATATAACTTAAGATATATATAATTTGATATATATATACACACGAGTATATATAAAATTGAGATTGATATATATATGTACATATAATTTGAGATCCATATGCACATTGAGCTATCTTTTCGGGGACTAGAACAGTAATCTCTCATAATCTTGACCCACTTGCTTCACATAGAAATTCTGGTATGAGATAGGATAGCTATTCTTACATCAATTCATGCAAACAGAAGGAATTAAGCCAGCAAACATTTGTGGAGCGCCAGCCTTCAATACATATTTAAAGTTTTCATTATTACAATTAACCTATGATGTAGATAAAAACGTTGCTTCTATTATGCTAATGTGTAAAGGGAGGCATAGAAAGGTCAATAAATTTGCTCGACCTCCGAGCTCAAATTTGAACCCAGCCAGCTTTTTCTGATTTGTGAGTTGTGCTGATAGGCATGTAAATAATTTGCTTATACTTTCTCACATTAAATGACACTTCATCTAGGACATCTTCCCCAAACACTCTCTCCACCCCCTAAAAACATAGTTTAGATCCCCCTTTCTACGAGCTCCCCCAAAATTCCATGTTTCCTTTTTCATAGCACTTATTGCATTACATTTTCACAGATTAAGTTTTTTGAGGGCAAAGACTTTTTATTTTTTGTTTATCTTCTTTCAATCAGTGCTCAGTGTATATTTTTTGAATTACGAATTAATCTTTTCTCCGCTGGGCGTGGTGGTTCACGCCTGTAATCCCAGCACTTTGGGAGGCCAAGGCGGGCGGATCACGAGATCAAGAGATCGAGACCATCCTGGCTAACACGGTGAAACCACATCTCTACTAAAAAAAAAAAAAATTAGCCGGGCGTGGTGGTGGGCGCCTGTAGTCAGTCCCAGCTACTCAGGAGGCTGAGGCGGGAGAATGGTGTGAACCCGGGAGACAGAGGTTGCAGTGAGCCGAGATTGCGCCACTGCACTCCAGCCTGAGTGACAGAGCAAGACTGTCTCAAAAAAAAAAAAAAAAAAAAAAAAGAATTAATCTTTTCTCTAACTAAGGGCTGTTAAACTGATGATATGGTTTACTTCTTTTATAGGGTCTTGAGAACATGATATGTCACCATCCAGTGGTGTATTAGTTTGCAACAACCATGTTCCAGTGTTACAGTCATTTTGTTTTTGAGGATTCTTGACTAAAAAGAAAGCAAAATGAGCTCAGAAAAACAAGCAAGACACTATATAAAATAGCAAAACAGTGATAAATCTTAAGTTCAATGGAAGTCTGATAGGAGATGTTTTGGGGTAGTTGGTCCTTTATGTAAAAGAAGGTGAGCTCCTGAGTAAAGGAATGCAAATGAGAAAAGGTTGTAATTATCATCTTCAGGGATTGGCTAAAGCTGAGCACATTGAGGCAAAGTAGGGATTTGACAATTAGCTTTCAAAGTCTCTTCTCATACTTTAAGCTTCTGATTTCAAATATTCATCTACTCTGGTTCAGTCACTGAATTGCATATTTTAGATACATTGTTACATATAATCTTCACAATTTAGTGGATATAGAGTTTATTACTTAACACATGGGGAAATGGAAAACTAGAGATGTTAGGTAATTTGCCCAATGACCTACAGCTGCTAAGTGATGAGCAGTGGTCTCAATCCTAGGAAAAGCTACTCCAAAACCCCTGCTTTCTTCAGTATACCACAAGAAGTGGTGGCACTCATAGCAATTTGTAGGGCGATAAATGGTGTCACCCTCCAGGTTTTCTTAAAGCACTTTGCAAACTTTAATGTGCATAAAAATTACCCTGAGATCTTGCTAAAATTCAAATTCTAATTCAGCCTGAGTTTCTGCAGTTCTAGTACGTTCCCAGGTGAAGGCAATACTGCTGTTCCACGGACCATACTTTACTCAGACACAAGAGACCGCTGAAGTTAATCATTACCGTGATAGGTAAAGTACAAACTGTTTGCAAACGGCAACCTGTGTCAAAGTTTAGGTGGAGAAAAAGTAGCTGTGGGAGCAGATCTCAGAGGATTATTATGCTTGATGCTGCTGTTAGAGATATTTGCTGTCTTACAGGCAAAGGAGAGATTGTGGAAAAAGAATGGGATAGAGGTAAGGTTAAGATTTGTCTGTCATATCCTCCATCAGCAGTAACCGCGTTTGGCGCTCTGTGTTATTGTTCATTCCTGAATACAAGTTCACAGATTTAGCTGGTTGTTACAGGAAGGACCTCACACAAAATCTTTCCTTTTGGTTGTTCCTGGAGATCTAGTCTTTTCTCACAGTTTGTCTTCGACACAAGACTGATGAATTAGAGACAGATGATAGACTCTCTTCTCCAAACTTTTCCTTCCAATCCAGAACATGGGAGAGACTGGGGAATCTTAGAATCTTAGGGTTGGAGTAGAACCCCACTGAAGATGTATGCAAGAAATGGCACAACGCATCAGCTTCTCACTGTCCCAGATACTTCCTTGCATATCTTGGCTCCTTGCTTATAGATTAAGAAATAGTAGTATAGCTAAGACTCCTATCTTCCTCTAACTGATAGTGGGTTTGGAGCTTGGGAGACTCAGCGTCTCCCACGGAGCAGTGAAGGATTCTTGAAAAGAAATACAAGAAGAAAAAGGAAAAAGGAAGAACAAAAGCAATAGAAACGGCTAATTTCTAATTTATCTTTGCCATTTTAATTTTTATTTAATAGTTCAATCAATAGTAGGTGTTTGAAGGGATCCTCTAAAGCCAAAATCTACGTTAAAAACTAAGACACAAGCACACAGGAATTTATTAGCTACATTGTAATCTTATGGGACTACCATCATATGCTGTATGTGGTTTGTTGCAGACCGAAATGCCGATATGCAGCACATGACTGTAACTAGAAGAGAAAGTACATGGTTTTGTTTTTGTTGTTGTTGTTGTTTTTTAATACAGTCTGACTCTGTCGCCCAGGCTGTAGTGTTGTGGCGGGATCTCAGTTCACTGCAACCTCCACCTCCTAGGCTCAAGCCATCCTCCCACCTCAGCCTCCCTAGTAGCTGGGACTACAGGTGCACGCCACTATGTCCAGCTAATTTTTGTATTTTTGGCAGAGACAGGGTTTTGCCCTGTTTCCCAGGCTGGTCTCGAACTCCTGACCTCAAGAGATCCTCTGTCTCAGCCTTCCAAAATGTTGGGATTACAGGCGTGAGCCACCGCACTCAGCCAGTATATGGGATTTGAAGGTGTGTTGCTGGGAGTGGGATTGGCCTGGTGAGTGACTTCTGGATCCTTCTCAGCTAGTATTGAAAAATGGGATGCATTCCTAAGGGCTATTTTTTATGTAATAGTTTCTTTTTTATTGGCAAAACTGAATGGGACCAACGACAAGTGTCCAGGTATTTTAAATAAACATTGTGGTAAAATAATTTCATTAAAATCGAATGGCATTTAGAAATTCATGAATGAGAAGCAGAGTTTTTAATTATTAGAGCAGCACATCAATTCTAGTGAAAATGTAGGAAAAAGAGAGAGAAAAAGTAATTTGTAATTCCAATATCCAAATAAAACAAGCTTTGTTACTTTATATTTTCTTTTAGACACTGTCACTATGAATGCTATACAGTGTTGTGATCATAATATACGTCTAATTTTGTATAATGATTTATAAGCATTTTCCCTGTTCCACAGAATTTTCAAGTCGCTATTTTAGATATAAAACAGAACATTTGATCATTCTCTTTGGTTTATATTAAAGTTTATAATTTTCATTATTAGAAATAATTATGATGTGAATATGATCTGTCAAATAGATGGAATATATTTCCTTAAAATAAATTCCCTGAGATAGAATTACTGAGTCAAAGCCTCATTGTGATTATCTAATACCTCAGCTTCATGAGAAAGAACTTTGGTATACTTTTGTCAAATAGAATATTATAATTTTTTAAGTTGCTAATTTACTAAGTGAAAAATGGTACCCAGGTTTTCTAATTTGCTCTTTTTTTGATTACTAGTTAGTGAACCTTTTTGTTTGTCTGCTATTTGTACTTTTTTCTTATGAATTTAGTATTTATATCTTTAGCACACGCATCTGTTGTCTTATTGTTTCTTTCTGTTGTCTGTCTTATTGTTTTCTTATCCATTTGTGGTGATCAAAAGGCTTGTTTTAGGATATTAAGAATGATTAAGCAGTGCTTTGTTTAAAACACTAGACTTTTTCTGATGCGAGCTCCTTACGCTTAAAGCAAAGAGGTGTGGAATTCCATTCCATTTTGGCATGTGCTGACTTCCTCAGCAGATTTCAAAGCTGTCTCTGGGCTTCATGTCAGTGTGACCTAGAAAGGAATGAAAGCACAGCCAGCCCAAATCCCTATCAGAACCGTAACCTTCACTGTGATTTCCTGTTTTCCTTAAGCTTGACCTCAATATAGATTCCATATTCTTGAGCAGAGTGCATCCTTGGATTTATTTTCTTTTTGCTTTGTCAGAATTGATTAATGCACATTGAGGTTAGAGACTGCCGGAGAATATACGGTAAAGAAGGCAAATCTAATTTTGGCGTCTCCATCTCATTGTCTAGTGATCCCATTATGCTCCTAGAGGCTTCAAGAGCTTCCTGATGAACCACATGTTCTGGACCTTTCAAAGGCTTCCCTTGACTATCAGAACCTCCTTGTCAATTACTTTATTTTCTCTGAGTCCTGTAGTCTGCTAGCTCTTTAATGCAGGGTCTTTCAGTGACTTTTTTAATCCATTTTGGATTGCCCATTTTGAAAGAAATGTATAAAGAAAAAAGATCCCTATACTTTTGCTCATTTGCTTCTTCTGCTTGTATGGTATCAGTGTTTCATGTGTTAAAAATCTGACTTTCTGGCCAGGCGTGGTGGCTCATGCCTGTAATCCCAGCACTTTGGGAGGCCGAGGCGGGTGGATCACCTGAGGTCAGGAGTTCGAGACCAGTCTGGCCAACATGGTGAAACCCGTCGCTACTAAAAAAAAAAAAAAAAATTAGCTGGCATGGTGGTGCACGCCTGTAATCCCAGCTACTTGGGAGGCTGAGGCAGGAGAATCCCTTGAATCTGGGAGGCTGAGGATGCAGTAAGCCGAGATTGTGCCACTGTACTCCAGCCTGGGTGATGCAGCAACACTCTGTCTCAAAAAAAAAAAAAAAAAAATCTGACTTTCATGGTGCTTTGCACATTTCCTTGTCTACAAAAAATTCCTCTGTTGCCTTAATTGTATTACATCTTTTCTAGTTTGATCCTCTGTTGGATATTGTTTGCTTTCTTTTAGCATATATTGCATTCCAGTATAGTTATTTGTAATTTCATCCTTTTCCTCAGTGGATTATATAGTCTATAAAATAGAGATAGTATATAATTAACTTTTACATTTCCCAACAATTAATCAATGCATTTCCCTCATATAGTACTTAATGGTTGTTTATTGAAAAGTTTGAATGATATTAATGGTTAGAGTTTCAGACACTACGGTAGGCCAAAGCAATGGGGAGGTATTTTACATGGTTTTATACAGGTGGCTGCCAAAACATGGGTCTTGCAGAAAGGGCAAACATTGGTTAAGGCAGTTCCTCAAGGAAAGCTGAAGTCAAGTTTTAGGTGTTTGGTGGTGGTGCACTTGTAGCAATATCCTTAAAAGTCAATATTATACTTGGATTTTATAGGAGACAAAATTGGCCGTCAAAATGAGTAGGAAAAGATGAATACTTATTCAACAAATGGGATATGGTTGTTCAGAAGTCCACTGAGTAAAATGTGCTCTACTGGCCACAGGTTTTGCTTTCTATTGTTTGGTGTTCCCTGGACAAGCAGTGAAACTATGAGACAAGCACAGGTGTTTCGCTTTGCTTTTTTGGTTCCTGACTGTTGGGAAGAGTAGTTAAGCTAAGGCTCCAGTGTTGGCTCTTGGGGAAGACCCCGTTTAACTGATACTAGTGTATTAAGATATGTTTGTACGAGAAACTTCTTTTAAGAAAGTGAAACTTTCATCCAAAATTGTTTATATGCTAATGTGTCTTGATTTTTCACTGCAATAAACATAACTATTTCATAACCTTTGTTCTGGCAGTCTTCGTTTTTTTAGCCAGTTAAGAATAAATGTTTAATGATTAATGATTAATGTTTAATGGTGAAACATTAATGATTTAAGTGTCTTGCTTTAACATATTTAAAAGAAACTTTCTAGACATCCTTATGCTGTATTGTTAAATAGAGCACACTATAAACAATCCAGTTACTTTCTCTTTTTTTTGTTTTTGTTTTTTGAGACAGAGTCTCGCTCTGTCGCCCAGGCTGGAGTGCAGTGGCTCGATCTCAGCTCACTGCAAGCTCCGCCTCCCGGGTTCACGCCATTCTCCTGCCTCAGCCTCCCGAGTAGCTGGGACTACAGGTGCCCGCCACCATGCCCGGCTATTTTTTTTGTATTTTTTAGTAGAGACGGGGTTTCACCATGTTAGCCAGGATGGTCTCGATCTCCTGACCTTGTGATCCACCCACCTCAGCCTCCCAAAGTGCTGGGATTACAGGCATGAGCCACAGCCCCCAGCCAATAATTCAGTTACTTTCTACAGACAGTTTTGTAAACCAAACTATTATTTTCCAATAAATTTAGATTAACACCTAATTTGCATATTTTCAAGCTCTAGGAGGTGCAATAAAGGTAAAGAAGACCTTGTTTCTATTTTAAATAATATTATTCATAGTATAAGCCAGGCTGTGAAAAGCTGTGTCATAGAAGTCACAGTGTTATGAGGTTCTTTAGCAGATGTAGAGATGAAGGCCAGCGATCCTGCCTCCAGCCAGGTGTGTCCATGGAAATTACTTTTCAAAAAGAGCTTCAGGTTTCCCTTCGCTTTTTAATCATTTGACTCCACGTGAAGGTGGCGCTGATATTTAAAGCAGTGGGCATGGCTGATTTTTTTTTTACTTTGCATCAATGAAATGAAGGATTAAGGTAAATGCTGGCTTTCTCAACTTCCAGAAAAATATAATCTTCAATGTTTGTTATTGGTGCTTTTAATGTGTTGGCACTGTCTAAAATGTCACTTTCAATTTCTACATCACCAACAGAGTGGACCTTGTTTATGTTTGTACTCACCTGCTCCTAATTTCATTCTTCTGGTTTAAGAAAACCACTTACTTCTGAGTTTAGGGTTATTGTGGGAGGTCAGTGGTTTTGAGAAACTGACAATCATGTAATAAAATCTTCTAGACTCTACAAAATTAAGACTCTTCTGTTTCTCTCATCTTCTAATTATTCTGTTCTTTCTCCTTTTTTTCTCTTATACTACAATCCATAAAGCTCAAAGTGGCAAAGGCTTTAGCAGAAGGAACAGTTTGATAACTGAATTTGAACCAAAGTACATTAGGATATGAGAAAAGATTGATATTTAAGTTCTATTGGGCTCCATAAGAAAAGAATCTTAATTTTGTTTGGAATTTCTGTCCTCTCTTAAGTGACTGTAAGAAAAAGTCTGAGTAGTGTAAGGCAGGCATAATTACTATATCACCTGTGGCAATGACTGGGTTAGGAAGGCGTATATGAACTTATTCTGGCCAATGATATGTGAGAAGATTGCTAGTGGGTAATATCAATGTTGTCTCTCTGATAGAGATATGTAAGATGAGATACCTGCTATTATTCTGGGCTTGGTTGTGTCTATGCCAAATGCCTGGAGCTATGGGGGGCATCTTGGCAACATGAGAGGGATTAGTGGGGACAAGCTTGGGCACATGCTGAAAGGGGCAGGGTAGAGAGATGGGTCAGCCTTACACCTTGTTAGTGCTTGGGACTTCTTACATGAGATGATAAACATCCTTATAATTGTGGCTATTTGAGTTAGAGATTTCATGACTTGCGGCCAAACCATCATAACTGATAAAGTGTGATCTGCTGGAATAGGCTGGAAGACACTAGTTTGCAGATAGTTTCCCCTCCATACTGCCATGTTTCCCGAAGTTCTACCAATCGGCTCTCCCATGAGTTAAAGTACTGAGGCCTCTGTTAACTATAAATCTGCTTTCTAGAGGGTGTAACACATTTGCATTTTATCTCTATATTTAATTAAACTCTCATTTGTTACCTAGTTTCTGAGAAACTAGCAAACCAAACAGCAAGGTTTGATGGTGAGAAAGGAGCCAGGAAAGATGAGTAGGAGAGGATGCCAGGAAGAGCAGTTTAAGAGGATGGGCTTCCAAATGGGTGAGTTGTGAGGAGCTTTGTGACAACACAGTGGCAGCTGTAGGGAGACTCTGAGTAGAGGGCAGGGAGTGAGGGTGGGGACCAGGATGAGTACCAGTTGCAAATGTGGCTTATTCCAGCTGTAAGTTTTACAATCCAGGACTGCCCAAAATGCTATGGTTCTGAGCTGGGATACAACAAACTACAGGGTTTCCCATTTAAACCTACAGAATCTTTGCTTCCTGCATTTTCCACTCTATTGATGCTATATTGAGTTTTGTTTGTTGTGGTTTTTCTGGTTGGCTGAAAGAAATTCAACTTCTGTGGCATAAAGGGATTTAATCCTAGGGCAAAATATTTATTCCTAAGAAGTAGGCTCTGGGTCTAATGACTTTGGTATATACAATATGATGTGGGTTTGATAAGACATATTGATTTCTTCCTCTCCCTTCAGCCACTCACTATCCTCTTACACCAAGATAGACTTTTTATTCTGTGTATTTTATAGTAACAGAAAGGTTTTTTTTTTCTTCTCTTGGTGGACATGGAATGGAAAAAAAAAAAAACCTAACTCTCATAGACTGGGTGAAGAAATACATTATGTATAAGTGGAGGACAGGGGCCGCTTCTGCAGTTATCGCAGGTCTCATTTACTAAACAAACTTCCCAAGTCTCCACTTGAGTCTGAAGCCAATGTACTCCCCCCAGGTGCTGCTCACATGAGCAGAGCATATGGCTGTGCTAACGTGCAATAAAACTTGAGAGAAACCACTGAAGCCTGCTCTCTTCTGGGAACACAGAATCTTTCCAATCAATTCTCCCATGATCCACCCATGTCCTCTTGGCACGTCCCTTCTGGGCCCTGCCAAGAATTAGCTCATGGTTACATTTTGTCTCTGTCGATTTGCTCCTAAGAGGCTAATCCCACAAATTTCATTTGCTACTTTTAGAAAAGGGAGGAGGAGGTAAATCAAAAGATGAAGTTTTTTTTTTTTGAGATCACCTTAAGGCAATTTCAATAATAAATGACGGCAGGGTTGAGTTTCATATACTAATTTTAAATGACTACTTGAGTAGATGGGCTCCTCTACATAGTGCTTGGAGTTATGGTATGCCCTTAGCTTGGTGCTATTTCAAAAATATGTGTGAGTTTTATTGTGTAGCCCACAGAGTGACCAGTATAATTAAGTGGCCAAACAGCTTTTCTCTTTTTCTTTATCATCTTCTTTTTTCAATTACTGCAAAGTTTCTGAAAAATTCAGCTTAGTGCCTTCAATTTTCTACTTGATCCGGGCAAATGAGGCCAGAGTAAACAGATGGTGCTGCTGCTGCACCCCTGCAGACAAGCCATCTCAGAGGCTGTTGGATTAGAAGAAAGAAATGAATGGATTTTAGTGCTTTGGGGTCTATGCTGTAAATAATCTTTACAATTCGGAATCACGAGTCTTTCAGTCTGCACAATGGGATCATCTGAACTCTGTGAAGTAGTGCCCAGAGTAAGAAATAATTTATAAGTGTGTCAGCATTGGGATTCAAAATTTTGATAAATAATCGCACATTTATTAAGGTGAAAATTAGTTAATCTGGCACTCTATCAACTTGAACTCTCAAGTAGCAATTTTACCCAATTACAGTAAAATACAATTAGTGCCCATAATGAGGGCCCTGAGTCCCTGCAATTATTGGAATGTCTTCTGAATCATCCAAGAGGGCTGTCACTGTGACCAGTACAGTTAATGTTATATTTGTTATGGATTCTATCCTTTAAAATATGAGACTCTGCCCTTGACTTAAATGGTAATTTGCAGTCATATGAAACTCACTATTGTACCCTGTATTGGGATGTTGTTGAAAATATTATGTGCAAAAAGTGGCCGTTTTTAGATCTGAAAATCAATGAGATCTGTTTTTCTGATTATTTGATTTTGACTGACTTACGTAACTGTCACTTTCCTGCTTTGCTTTGGTCTCTAGGAAGCTTAGAGTCTGTAGGCTATTATTGAATGCATAGGATTGCATACTAACCTTATTCCTCAATTCTATTCTGTCACCTAGATATTTTTCTTATTCTTTCTTCTCTCAATGAACTATTTTATCTTTTTTTGTATGTGTTTCAAACTTACCTTGTTCATGGAATGACTAAAAAATAGGAATTTTATGTTCTTTCTCTGGGCCATGCCAGATAGCAGAAATCTTGCTTTTCATGAATATCTACACCTTAATTGTAGTGTCTGACTGGTAGCACATGCCCGGTATTTGCCTCAGGTTTTTGTGGGGTTTCCTAGTTTTGTTTATAAAACATATCCGGTAGAGGTATTAGCCTCTATTACTATTGGTTGCTGGTAATTGTGATCCATATTCCTTTTGTTAGCTTGACCACAGTGCTATACATGTCTTGAGTGTAACTCCTATTGCATTCCATCAGAAACAAGGGCAGTGTGAACAAGAAAGCCACAGGTTAAAATAATTCGTATCTGCTGAGGGCTTGATACCCTGGGAGGATCTTGCTGTATGGTTCTGTAATGGAGTCCTCTCTCCATTGTGTGGGAGTTTTATAGTCAAGACTTTTTTGTCTACCTTTCCACAGGCCTTTCCAACTAGCCAGCTATAATTATTCCCTCTACCAAGTGGAAAGTCATACTTAGTAATTATTGAGTGCAGCTCAAATGTTGGAAGGTCTAGGTTTGAAACCTCATCCTAGCCCTCGTAGTTATAAACTAGAACATGAGCCTATTACTTCAATTCTCTAAGCTTCAGTTTCTTTACCTGTAAAATGGGGAGGTAATAGTATCTTCCTACAGGGCATAGGAAAGATGCAGTATTTGCCACAGAATAAGTTTTCAATAGATGTTTGTTGTCACAGTGACAAATTGTTTTAATAACAAAGGAGAAATGAGAGTCGATTCTAGTCAAACTTTATTTTCTATTGGGTGTGGACACCAGAAAGAATGTGCCTTTGAAAAAGGTTTGGGGCCATTTCAGTGATTAGTCTTCTATCTCTGGTCTTTATTACATAGATTATTGAACAATGAGTGTATATTCTAGTTGAGCTCGTGACCTAGTATCTGACTTGAAATTTCTGCTTTGTCTTTTAACACTTCTGTGCCTCAATTTCTTGCTCTGTAAAATGGGGATAGTGAACTGTATCTAAGAGGGTGATTACGGAAACCTATAAAAAATGTAAGTTTGGCTGATGTGGTAACCAACCCAGAGTTGAATTAAAGACACTTCTGTGTTACTTGTAGGGCTACTATTACACAGTAAATGCTTAATAAGCATGAAGGAAATAGTAAGCCTTTGCCAATACATAGACTATCTTAAAAGGATTTTAATGCATTAAAAAATTTTATTGTGGCAAAAACCACATAACATAAAATATACCATTTTAGCCATTTCTAAGTGTACAGTTCAATAATGTTGATTATATTTATATAGTTGTGTAACCAATGTCCAGAACTTTTTCACCTTGTGAAACTGAAACTCAATACACATTAAATAACAGCTACCCATTCTCGCATCCCCATGGTCCCTGGAAATCCCTACTCTACTTTCTGTATCAATGAGCTTGGCTACTCTAGATACCCCACAGAAGTAGAATCATACAGTATTTGCCTTTTTGTGACTGGCTTATTTCACATAGCATAACATTATCAGGTTTATTCCTGTTACAGTATGTGTCAGAATTTCCTCTCTTTCTAAGGCTAAATAATATTCCATTTCATGTATGTGCCACATTTTGTTTATCCATTCTTCTGTCAATAGAGACTTGGGTTGCTTCTACCTCTTGGCTATTGTGCATAGTGGTGCTGTGAACATGAGCGTGCAAGTATCTCTTCAAGATCTTTCTTTGAATTCCTTTAGATATATACCCAGGAGTGGAATTGCTGGATCATATGGTAATTTCTATTTTTAATTTTTTGAGGAGCCACCATATTTCAATGCTTAAAAGGAATCTTTTCATTAATTTGTGAATGAAGCATCACCTAATTTCAAACAGTAAATGTCTGCTGAGTCAGATTTTATGGGAAAACTATGAAATGGAACTTTTAGTGCCTTTTCATAAAATGTTATGAATATGCATCCATTTTTTCTAGATTTATGTCTCAAAAACACACAAAAAATGACTTAAAAGTTATGAATGGAGAGTGCCACCACAAAACTGGGAGGTTCCAACTCAGTTTTTTATGACTTGTCTGTTACTTATTGCAGACCATCATGTGGCTTTAAGCCATCGCAATCTGATTCCAATACATGCAGTCTGAGTCTTTGTAAAGATTGTAACTTACTATAAAAAGAACAGAATAAATTATGCAGCTACTTAAACCTTGGATGTTCTGCCTTGGTCACAGTCTCATTATCTATTTTTAATGGAGCATTATACAGTATTAATACTCATTTTTCAAGCATATATCCTCTCTGCAAAATGTGTTTACACAAAAGGCTGAGGAAGAATTTTCTTTCTGTTTAAACTGATGATGAATAAGTGGGTCATATGCTTTCAGTGGTATGTTTTGGGGTGAGAGAGCGAGAACAGTGTGAGAATAACAGGGGTGTTAGGGTGAAAGCTGGAGCCATCCGATTTTCCTGTATCTCTCAGGAACAGTAATCCCAACTCCATTAGTACAGAATGAGAGGCCATTTGGGTAAATATAGTCACATAAATATATCATTAGGCAGTTTTGTAAAATGCACATTATTTACTCAAGCAAATATGTAATTAGAACATTTTTAAAAACACAGATTATCTACCAAAGAGGCTCAAACTGCTCCTTTGGAGCATTTAAGCCTATTGGGTAAAACTGTAATTAGGCCATTAATTAAACCCAAATCATATTATTTATTAAAAGGTGCTTTGCTGATCTGATAAGCATTTTCTTTGCTCTTTTAAGGCATTTTAATAATTAATTGTTGTGAGCCCCTCGGCTATCACTTGCCCTTCATTCATTTCTTTCTGATTTTCTTCTTGCTTTATTTTATGATGATGGTTATAGATTTAGATTTCTCTGTGGATAATATGTGCAAAAATGCCTGATCTAGCATTACACCCTCTTTCCCTGCATAGTCCTTCAAAGATGTGAGGCTGAAAGGACCAGCTCACTATATTTTCTATATTTTTTAACTATATCCTTTTTGAATATTTTTTAGGGGAAGTGATTTCTAGAATTGTCTTTGTATTTTTTCCTCATCATTGCAAATAGACTTGGTAAGATAAAAAATTTTCAAGTTCTAAAACTCTGAGGTTCATGTGAACCTGCTGGAGTAGGTTTGTTTTGAATGAAGTCAAATTCTCCCTTTGAGCCCTTTTTGTGACTAGAGAATGTATATTTGTAAAGTAATTTAATTTGATGTAGTCTTTTATTTGTGGTCCTGAAAAGGAGTGGTGGCTCATGTAGGTACTGGACCTATAACAACAGTCTTTGGTTTGTTTCGAGCAATATTCTCTTACAGTCCTCCAAAAACACACGTCCCAAAGGATAAGGGTTTAATAGGATTTTTAAAAAGAGTTAGCTGTTTTTGGTTTGCCCTTCTCCAGTTGAATCTCTCCATTGTCGCTCATGGTTTCCCCCCCACCCCCAAAAAACGCAACATGATTAATTAGTTTCTCAGAAGCTCAGAGTTCTTTGTTTTTGCCTCAGAGTCTTTGCTTTTGCTCTACCCTTCCTTTGGAACCCTGACTATCTCTTGACTCTCCTTTGTCTAGGTAACCCAAAAAGATTCCACACAATATGGAGTTAAGAACACACTAGGGGAGCCAGACTGTCTAGGTTTGAATTGAGATCCTCTTTTAATTAGCCAAGTGACCTTGGCAAGTCACACACCTTTTTTGCCCCCTAGTTTTCCTATGTACCTCCCTTATTAGATGAAGAGCAGTGTAAATTGCTATGCACTCAGTGTTCACATAGTGATCATTATTATTTAGGTCTTTCGTTTCACGAAAATCTTCTTTAACCATCCACGTCTGAGTTTTCCCCAGAAGCACATGTTTTAACCCCATCACACATTGCATTGCACTTGCTTATTGATTACCTTTTTCTTACACTAGACTACAAATTCTATGAGCAAAGAGGTGCCCTTTATCTTCTTGCATGTTCTATGACAGCACCTAGCATGGGGCTGATAAGATAGTGCCTGGCTCCAGGTCCACCTACATTGTTCAGGGTACTATGCTAGGCACTAGAGATAATAGTAGTGAACAAAAAGTACACTGCTTGCTCTCATTTAGCTTCAAGTCATGGGGGAAGATAAATATTGAGCTAATGATTATCTAGAAAATGTAAAATTGTAAATAAGACAAGTTCTATAAAGGATAACCATGTAATTTCATGAAAGTTTAAAATAGGGGCATTAGGTCTCATCTGGGAGTTAAAGTAGGTATTTCTGAAGAAGTGATGCATGGCTAACATCTTAAGATTGAGTAGTTACTAAATAGAAGAGGAAGAAAAAGAAACACATAGAACAAATAAGCTGTGCCAGTATTCTAGGTGTGAGTTCAGCGTGTGTGTTGCATTACAAAAGGTCCAGGTCTTTCAAATGGAGACTGAGCAAAAGAGAAATCTTAGATGAAGCTGAAGAGATAGACAGGGGCCATGCATAGAAGGCACTGATGGACATCTTAAGAAGGTTTTATTTATAATCAAATAAATGACAAGCCATTGATATATTTTAAGTAGAAAAATTATATTGGCACTTAAAAATATCACACATTTTGGGCTTGTTGGGTGTGTCTGTAAGGTGAAGAATAGATTGGATTAGAGTGGCTGATGCACGATAGATATGCAGGGTTGGCTCTTCCTGTTCATGGATTCCACAGCTGTGGATTCAACCAACCATGGATCAAAAATGCTTGGAAAAATAAAAAGGGATGATTTCGTCTGTACTACACACATACATACTTTTTTCCTTGTCATTATTCCCTAAATAATAGAGTACAATAACTATTTACATAGCATTTCCATTGTATTAGGTATTATAAGTAATCTAGAGGTCATTTAAAGAGTACAGGAAAATGCACATAGGTTATATGCAAATACCATGCCATTTTATATAAGGGACCTATGTAAGCGAGCCCTAGAAACAATCCTCTGTGGATACTGAGGGACAACTACATATGACAGTTTCTATGTTGTTGCAAAAAGGTGAGGAAAATGATTTTGGTAACTTGGACTATACTTATAATTGTCAAGATGAAAAAATTGAAAGATTTTGAGAGACATTTAACAACAGAGTCAACAAGATATGATGATTGAATATGGGCAGTAAGGGAAAGAGAGTCACAAGATGATACCCAGGTATTGGTAAGTAAATTGATGTTTCCTTCTATCACTGCCTGAGAGCACACTACAGGAAGGGGACAAGGTTTAGGAGGAAAATAGCAAGGTTTCCTTTGAATATATTGCACTTGAGAGGACATTGGGACATCATAAACATGATTTCAAATGGGAGGTTGGAAAAATGGTTTTGGAGCTTAAAGAAGTCTGGGATATTGATTTAAATGTGGGTGTCATCTGCAAATGGGTGGATTTTTAAAGCTATGAATGCAGTAATCTAGAGAGAGACTCTTGAGTGAGAGAAGGAAAGGACCTGGGGTTGAGGCCTGAGGACTCCAAATATTGCTGACTGGCAGGCAGTGGATGAGCTAGTGAAAGACTAACCAAAAATATATAGAAGGAAAGAAACCAAGATCATTATATTGCAAAAGCTGATAAAAGCCAAAATATTTCATGCCAAAATATACTTCTTTGACATATTTTTAGATGGCTGTTCAGAGGACCTGCAAACAGAAGTAGCCTCGTAAAGCTGTCTTTTGTGGGAAAGATTTGTATCTGTAGAGAATCTTCATTGACGCAGCCAGGTTTTCTCTGAGGCCCTCCCTTGTCCAGATCTAGGAAAGATTGACTGAGAGTCTGACACCTTTAAAGGTTTAAAAGAAACATTTGCCATATATCTTCTCTGAGGGCTGCTACCTGTGATGTTTCATCTATGGAACAGCACTACCTTTGCTAGCTAGGTCTTCTTTTCTCCCCATCCCATAACCTGTTTTGCCATGCTCCAAGCCCCCATTCTTTCTATACCCTCGAAATGGCATAAAATTATCAACTACCCGGCCATTGTTTTGCGCTCTTATATCTTGCATGACTCCCATGCATGTTAGTATATTTGTATGCCTTTTCTCCTATTAATCTGCCTTTTGTCGGTTGATTTTCGGCAAACTTTTCAGAGGCTGAAGTCGAAATTTTCCCTTGGCCCCTACACAGCCATGCAAAGAGCATGTTTCAAAAGGAGGGCAAGGTCTATTGTGTCTAGAGCTGCCTAGAAGTCCTTTGGATTTAGGAACACACAGGTCATTTCATTGAATGAAGCAATGAATGAATTCATTGATGAAATAACTTTAGGATCATCTAGATAATGAAAGAGAAAAAATATTTTAATAAATATTTTATCAGAGCCTGTAATATTATCATACGTATTGTATTTCTCATAAAATAGAATTATACTATGCTGTGTTTTTCAGCTTCACTATCCTTGGAATCCTTGTTTTCCTTTTGCATCTTACAGGATAAGATGTTTTGTAAAATCCTAGTTTGGGAAGTGTTTAGCTACAAGTATTATTTGCGCAACAATTCTTGGTTCTGTCGTTTCTCATTTCCCAGGAAGGCTTTCCAATCTACTTTCCCTGTCTCATGTTAGACTACGGTGTTGAAATTGTGTGGCAGTTTAGAGGCGGGTCTCTGAAACCAGACTTTCAAAGTTTAAATCCTCTGGCATGCTGGATGACTTTGAGCACATTACTTAAGCTTTCTGTTCCTCAGTCTCCTCACCTGTAAATTGGAAATGGTGATATTTACATAAAATTTAAATGAGGTAAGGCATATAAAGTACTCAGTAGAATGTCTGGCACTTTAGTAAGCAATTTAAAACTCTGAGTGATGATGATGATTAGAACACCAGAAGGGGACATGAGCTTTTTTTTTTTTTAATTGTAACAAGTAGTAAAATAACTGGTTTCTTTCATTATATATACTGAAGAGAAGAAAATGCTTTCCTGTGGCATCTGTTTGGTAGCAAAGATAAAGAAAGCACAAACTGGGAGTGTGCCCCACTGTGTGTTTCAATTTCTGCTTTTTAAAATCAATACATAATATTTATACATATTTATGGGGTGCATCAGCTATTTTGTTACATGCATAGAATGTGTCATAATCAAGTCAAAGTATTTAGAATATCCATCACTTTGAGCATTTATCATTTCTACGTGTTGGGAACATTTCAAATCCTCTCTTCTAGCTGGTTTGAAATATGCAGTTCGTTGTTGTTAACTGTAGTCACCCTGCTCTGCTATTGAGCATTAGCACTTAGTTCTTCTATCCAACAATATGTTTGTACCCACCAACAAAAGTTAATCACATAGAGTAGAATGATAATTTCTGCTTTTTAAAACAAATGTTGATTGAGTCTTTCAGAGAGTTTAGGACCATCCTGACCCTGTGGGCGTGGGGTGGCTTGTGTTGAACACCCATTCAGATACATATTAGAATTAGGCACCTTACATTTCACGCGAGAACTGGCCCTATCTTTCGTTCATTTGATAAGTAAGACTACAGCTTTATTTTCATTCGTATGTGATCCTTGCCTTTGTCAGAGAATATGAACTGTCAGTTGTTCAACTGTTTTAAAAATCTTTGTTAAAAAGAAAGTGGCTGATACTCATGGAGAATTACATAAAGGATTATATTGGTCCATTTTCACAAAGTAGAAAGAATTACTTGGGACTGGGTAACTTATGTAGAAAAAAGGTTGCTTTTTTTTTTTTTTTTTTTTTTTTGAGATAGAGTCTTGCTCTGTTGCCCAGGCTGGAGTGCAGTGGCGCTATCTTGGCTCACTGCAAGCTCTGCCTCCCAGGTTCATGCCATTCTCCTGCCTCAGCCTCCCGAGTAGCTGGGACTACAGGCGCCCGCCACCATGCCTGGCTAATTTTTTGTGTTTTTAGTAGAGACAGGGTTTCACCTTGTTAGCTAGGATGGTCTCGATCTCCTGACTTCATGGTCCGCCTGTCTCAGCCTCCCAAAGTGCTGGGATTACAGGGGTGAGCCACTGCACCCGGCCGAAAAAAGGTTTAATTGACTCACAGTTCTGCATGGCTCAGGAGGCCTCAGGAAACTTAGAATCATGGCAGAGGTGAAGGGGAAGCAAGGTCCTTTCTCTCATGGCAGCAGGACAGAGAGAGAGTGAAAGGGGAAGGAACACTTTTAAACCATCAGATCTCATTAGAACTCCCTCACCATCATGAGAACAGTATGGAGGAAACTGCCCCCATGATCTAATCACCTCCTCCAGGTCTCTCCCTCGACATATGGGGATTACAATTCGAGATGAGATTTGGGTGGGGGCCCAGAGCCAAACCATATCAAAGATACTCAGTTTGACAGTTTCTCCAAGTTCTCTAAAATTTAGCCTTATATTATCAAGCCATGAGACCGGTAGGTTTATAACCCATTATTGTGAACTTGCAGAATTACTTCTCAATTGCTCTGTATACCGTGCCTCAGTGTGCCTCGGTGCATGCTACAAGAAGGAACTCTACGAAAGTCACTCTCAGAGCTTCCCATGGGAGATTTTTATCTCAAGTCTTTGTGTCTTTTCACAAACCATTGATATGCTATTAATGATAAATGCACAGATTTTCGAAACCAATTAGGCATCTCATTTTGTTCTGGCTGGTTGCTAAAATGGGCAGAAATGAATTTGCAAGATTATACTATGTGTTACATGTCTTCTCCTTCCACCTCTTTCTACACCCTGCTCCCTGCTCTGGGGCCTGATTCATATCAACTCTATCAAGGGATTTCTCTGCCCTTGGAATTCCATCAAATTTGGCCCATGAGAGGTTCCGGAAAGAGATCTAAAGGAGCGGAGAGAGTGAGACTAGGTACTTATTCTCTGAGCTCTCTGCAGGTTAGTTACTTCTCTTGGTAAGTCCACACCTCCTATCAGGTGGCCCTCTCTACAGAGTTCTTTCTCTGGCTACCACTAACAACTTCCTCGTCTTGCCCTTCAGGCCGAGAGTAGTAAAAACTCCAGAGTTTTCCTCTGTTATTTTTCTGGAGGCACTCTACTATCCACTTTTTATTTTTCATTTCTTAGATCCTTCTGACACCTTTGCAAATAGTCTCTTTATTAAACTCTACTTAATGGATTCAATTTGAATGTGCCATCAGATTCCTGCTGAGACCCTGACTGGTACTGTGTAGCAATTGTCTGGGCACCAACTAATCACCTTTTACTTTTACTCTGTTCTATTTTACTTATGGCTGTGTCTTTTCTTCCAGCAAATTGTAAGAACCTCTTTTTTATAAAGCATCTCAAAATACTCATTTGCAAGTTCAGTGTGTAAATGAACAAGTGCATATGCAAAAGAAATATCAGGTGTTTTGCTCTATGGTGAGGATAAAAAGACAATTAAGCTTTAGTCCTTGGGAAGATCACAGTCTTTGAGGAAGACATCCATAGAGACAAATAATCACAATGGATTGTGGTGAATTAGAAAAGAGAGATAGAAGCTGGGCGTGGTGGCTCACGCCTGTAATACTAGCACTTCGGGAAGCTGAGGCAGGCGGATCACAAGGTCAAGAGATCGAGACTATCCTGGCTAACGTGATGAGACCCTGTCTGTACTAAAAATACATATTAGCCAGGCATGGTGGTGTGCGCCTGTAATCCAGCTACTCAGGAGGCTGAGACGGGAGAATCACTTGAACCCAGGAGGCAGAGGTTGCAGTGGGCTGAGATCGTGCCGCTGCACCCCACCTGGCGACAGAGCGAGACTCCGTCTCAAAAAAAAAAAAAGAAAAAGACAGATAGAAGCCAGGCGTGGTGGCTCATGCCTGTAATCTCAGCACTTTGGGAGGCTGAGGCAGGTGGATCACGAGGTCAGGAGTTCGAGACCAGCCTGGCCAACCTGGTGAAACCCTGTCTCTACTAAAAATACAAGAATTAGCTGGGCGTGGTGGCACATTCCTGTAATCCCAGCTACTGAGGAGGCTGAGGCAGGAGAATCTTTTGAACCCAGGAGGTGGAGGTTGCAGTGAGCCGAGGTCGTGCCATTGTACTCCAGCCTGGGCAACAGAGCAAGACTCCGTCTCAAAAAAAAAAAAAAAAAAAAAGACAGAGATAAACTTCTATGGGGACTTGAGTGATGAAATTCCTTACTGTGCTTGGAAGTACAAGGGTAGAGGAAATCAGGGAAACCAGAATGGAAGGGGATTGAGGTGGTTACAAAAGGTGAGCTTATTGAAGATGGGTGAATAGGATGGCCACAAGCACTTTATCTAGAGGGACTGTCATTTGTCTCCCTGCAATATCCATACTGTTACTTGTTATATTGGATTTCACATTCTATCCTGAAGTGTTGCTTATTTATTCTTTACAAAATCTTTTAATTTTAAAGTTTTGATTTAGGAAACAAAACCTTGGAATTGCAAAATACTTGGTTATTTCCAAAAATTTATGTTTAACTCAAATGCAACTAATGAGCCTTGAGATATATGCCTAATTTCCTTTTCCTTTCTTGTGTTACAAGAATGCATAAATCATGTATTCACTTCAAAATTTTTTTTTAAATAAGATGAGAATTTTTTTATAGAGACTATGAACAGCAGGTAAGTAATGTTCAAGTAGTGAAAAATACACATTTTGGTTTCAATAAGAGGTGAAAACTGTAACAGTCCCTTAAAAGGAAATTGTGATTTACTATCTGATCTTAGAATAAGCTTAAGAATGGCCCACAAAGAGCCTGCAGGCAAACACAATGTATCCTGCTATGTGTGCTAGAGATGGCTATTTCTTATCTGTCACATATGTTTAAAAGAAAAGACCAAGTGATGAAAATCTCTGAATTGTTTAATTTTGGATTAATCAGAAGATGAAACGCAGGCTCTCAGTCTTTCATCAGGCTTCAAAATGAGTTCCGACCTAGTCTGCTAACTTAAAATAAAACTGAATGCAAACCTTCCCTGCCGTGTGAAAAGGTTTGGCTAGCAGGCCTCCTGGATTTTTTTGTCTGTTGGATTTTTAATGAGAAACAAAGTCTAGGTTCTGGAACATTGTGAATTTTGATTACAGTGGGGTTCCAACCTGGTTGGGATAGGAGAAATGTCAGAAACCTCGTGAACTCACCAGCCTGCTTCTAGATGAAAGGCTTTTGGAGAGGCTTCTCAAGTGCTGCTCAATTCATGGTTTTTATCCAAACCCAAACTCTAAATCCACAGAGGTTTAGTAAGCACAAAATCCCAGCCAATCATTGGCTTTGTAAAATGCCAATTTCTCCTTCAGCAAACAATTATGAGGCATAATTGCTAGTAGAGGAAATCAATCGACCTTCATAGATTTTTAATTGTCCATTTTATTTTGCTTCCTCATAAGTATAAAAAAAAAAGATTGGATTTAGTACAATATTGTGTTTCTGTTAAAGTCCGGACATATTGAAAGTGAGGAGGAGCCCCAGCGCCTCCAGTGATCAAAGTATCCTGTGACAGCTCCCATCTCCAGGGAAAGCATGCTTGAGGAGCATGCAGAAGCTAGCAAGTGCTCACTTTCTTAGCTTCTCTCCAGAGACTTCTGCAGAATATGCCAATTAGTGACTTGCTGGGTGGTTTCTATGTGTAGAGAGACATCAAGATGTAAGATAATTCCAAGCAGCGCTTACTGAGCTACTCAGCTATAAGAAGGCTGTAATTAATTTTAATCCTTATCTAATTTAAATAACCCTTGGTCAAAATGAACAACTAGATATTCTTGAAATCATGTTCGTTCATGCTACTATGTTAGGGCAGTGGGTCTCAAACTCTTTAATCTCCCAACCCATCTGGTGAGACAAAGGTTTCTACAGACCACCCAGCAGTTTGGTTCTGTTTGCCCCTCAGTTGTCCCTAAATGCTGATGGTTGCAAATTGGAATCTGGGGATGAATTTGGCTCAGAGATATGTTTCGTTTAGCTTGCGTAGTGGTGTTTTTTTTTTTTTTTTTTTTTTTTTTTTTTTTTTTTTTTAGTTAAAACAGCTGCATCACTGAAAAATAAGATTTTATATAAAGTTCTAGTTTCCTAGTTTATTAAAAATTACAAGATCTGGGACACATGTCTTTTTATGGTAATGATCATTTGGAACCCGATAGAAGTTACGCCCTCATTATAAGGAGTATTTGCTCTTTAGTCCACCAGAGTTCCTGCCATTCCACGTTTTCTTACACATGACCAGATAAATTTTTTTATATTACCTGACTTAGCTCCATAGGTTTGATTATGACCTTGGATTGGTTATGGCAAACTTCTCAAAGAATGATTGAAAAAATATGCAAAGCAAAGTAAAAAATACAAAGAAAATATGGGAGTGAGTTTTTCCCTCCTGTAATTCCTTTTACCCTGTTTTCTTTAAAGCATTGATTTTTAAATGCATTTTAAATAGGAATACATATATTTATTGTAAAATGTGGGTACAGTTCAGTCTCACCTCTAGCCTCTGCAGATGAATCTGCTCTCTAGAACAACACTCACAAAATTCTTTTGCTCTATAACTTTGGTTTTACAAACTGGCATATAATGATGACTTTTTTTTTTTCCCCAGGGAACCCACAAGGACTTTCAGGACTAGAAAACTTTTAAAATTTTCAAAATGATTTTTAAAATTAGTATAAATATATTGTTGCCTATTTAGATGGCCAGTTTTAAAAACTTCCGCTTGATTTATGACCAAATTTGCAATTGTCTTTGCAATCGCATTGCTGTGAGTGATCATCAAAAGACAGCATTTTACTTTTAGTATTGAATTTTTTTAACTTCAGTGCTCAAGTGACTGCAGTGATATTTTAGGTCATCCATGATACTTTTTTTCCTTTTTAAATGGTGACTGTCTATTTATCAGTTTTGTGAACTGCTGCAAAACATTTTGAAATTGCTGTAATGGAATTTGAGAACTATAAAACTGAGTGCCATGAAGATTGACCAAGAGGACACATTTAAAGTCACAAGACAACAAGAGATGTGTATTTTCTATTTTCCTGAAATAAAAGATGAAAATGGTAACAGTCACCATCATTTATTGGGCATACAATATATGCAAGGCTTTATGCCAAGAGCTTTGCACACCTTGCTTTGCTTAGTCCGTAAGTATTATGAGAAATCTATAAGGCATAGTTCGATAAAGAGCTGAGGTTCAGAAAATGAAGTTCCTTGCTCAGCTTCACGCCATCAGGATTAAAATCTAGCTTTTTTGACCAGAAGGATAGGGTTGTTTGCCATGTGTAAGAGATAGATATGGAATACATGAAGGGAAGGAAAGAAAATATAACCCTCCTAGACAAGAAAACCTTAAGTTAGCTTTGTAATATTGCCTAATTCTTTGTAACTTGAACAATACCTGTATTTCAGAGAACTGTTTTTTCATCGCTGTAGTCAGCAGTGAATATCTACCATTTCCATATCAGCAGGGTCTGCATTTTTCCCTATAACAAACGTCTCAGAGATGCTTTTCTGTTTAACTGAGAATGTTGTTCCTTGGCCATTTTACATGTTGTTCATTCTTAAAGTGACATTATGTTAAAAGTTTATTGAAATATAAATTTGTGTGCTCCTGTGAAAGCTTAAGCATTTCAAGGCTCAGTTTCGTTTCAATAAATTTGCTCTATTATTCTGACATTTTAAAATTCTGCAGGTCTTCATATAATTAACTTTTTACCATTATAGGATTGCTATTGTTCTCTGGATAGCATTTCTGTTGATTGTCATACAGCTTCTCAAACTTTAATTTTATTTTGCTTGGGACTAAATAGAAGAAGAATTTTTTGGGAGGGGTAGAAAGCTATAATTGTGAATGTGAAGGAAAATACCTATTATTTTATTATAACAAAATGATCAAAAAGAATATAGCTTTATTTTTAATTGCCACAGCTCAGAGTTTTAGCATGAGGGTGACTTTAAACATGGGAAGTCCTCTAGAAGAGGAATAAAACATTTTTATCAGTAGTCTGTGAAAGTCCATACTTTTTGTTTATTTTTGGCCTATCCAGAACATTTAGTGGTCTTCTTTATTTGACAGCTTGATTTGGATTTGGTCATGTGACAACAATTTCCTTAGCTATGCATTTCGCCAACTGGGGATTATTTTGAGGACAGGATTTCCCATAGAGAAAGGCAAACCAGTGTAGCCACCTTAGGTTTGGTGTTTGGGAAAAATGCCCACTGCTAGAAGACACAAAAAGTGAAAACCAGGCTGCTATGGAGAGCTAAGAGGGAAAGCTAGGAGGAAAATGTAAATGCTAAAGAAGACAAGATGTAACTGTAAAATTAGGAAAGAGATACATTTATCAGAAGCTTCTCAGAAACCACCAGGTCATGTTTACTTAGTATGTACGTGTATAATTGCTTACCCACCCTAAACCATCAAAGCAAATGGGTGAGCATCCTACTTCACATTCTACACATTCTGCTTGCTCTGTGTTTACACACTTTTTGCATCTAATATCCAAAGAATGTGTCTGAATAACTAATTCTAGATTTTCACATGATGGTTTTGAAGTGCAAGAGAATAAAAGAAAATGAAGAGACTGTACATGGGTTTAATCCCCACGTAAAGAAGGCAGCAACATGAAGACTTTACAGGAATATTAAGGGGCTCATGGGACTTACAATTCATAGTAACATGGGGACAGATAGGAGGTAACATTTGCTGAGCCTCTTCTAGTTGTCGGGTACTATATTGAGCAGCGTGGACATAGTACAAGACAGACTGGGACCCTCTTCTCATGGAAGTATATTAGGAAAGAGAAACAATGGTCAAGGAATTAGAAGTATTTTGAGGGTTCCAGAAGGAAAGCACAAGGTGCTAAGGAAATATATACAAAGGGAATTTAGCCTAGTCTAGGAAGTCTAAGTGGTGTCACTAAGGAAAAGCAAGTACTCAAAGCAACAGAGTTGTGAGAAAGGAAATCTTCCAGGCAAACATAGTGTCTACCTCCGTGAAGGAGGGAGCTAATAAGAAGCAAATACATAAGCAAAAATTGTGTGAATAGCTATAAAGAAAACCAATAGGCACCATGACAGGACAAAGAAGAGGACCTGTATAATAAAGATATATGTTGTATACATTCAAAGAAATGCATCCTTAGGCAATTTTGTCATTATGTGAGCATCATAGAGTGAACTTACACAAACCTAGATGACGTAGCCTACTACACACCTAGGCTATATGGTATGGCCTATTGCTCCTAGCCTACAAACCTTTACAGTATGTTACTGTTATGCCTAATAAATGTTAGCTCCTATCTGTCCCTGTTTACTATGAATATAAGTGCTATGAGCCCCTTAATACTCCTCTGGAGTCTTCATGTTGCTGCCTCCTTTATATAGAGATTAAACCCAGGCACAGTCTCTTCATTTTCTCTTTCTTTACCTGATTACTCTCTTACACATTGGAACTATTGTGTGAAAATCTAAAATTACTTATTCAGACACATTCCTAGGATATTAGATTCAAAAGAGTGTGTATACTGTAGGCAACTGTAACACAATGGTAAGTATTTACGTATCTAAATATATTTAAACATAGAAAATGTACAGTAAAATCAGTATAAAAGATAAAAAATGGCACACACATATAAGAGCACGTACCATAAATAGAGCTTGCAGGACTGGAAGTTGCTCTGGGTGAGTCAGTGATGGTGAGTGGATGTGAAGGCCTAGGACATTACTGTATACCACTGTAGACTTTATAAACACTGTACTACTAGGCTACACTAAATGTATAAAAAAATATTTCTTCAATATTAAATTAACCTTATATTTCTGTAGCTTTTTTCCTTTATAAACTTTTAAATTTATGTTAACTTTTTTGGCTCTTTTGTGATAGCACTTAGCTTAAAACACAAACATATTGTACAGCTGTACAAAAATATTTTCTTTTTTTATATGTTTATTCTGTAAGCTTTTCTCTGTTTAAAAACATTTTTATTTTTAATTATTTTTACATTTGAAACTTTTTGTGTTAAAAACTAAGACACAAGCATACACATTAGTCTATGCCTACACAGAGCCAGGATCATCAATATCATTGTTTTCAGTCTCCATACCTTGTCTCACTGGGAGGTCGTCAGGGGCAATAACACACATGGAGCTGTCATGTCCTATGATAACAACACTTTCTTTTGGAATATGTCCTGAAGGACCTACGTGAGGCTGTTTTATGGTTAATTCTAAATATATAAATATATATATATATATATATAAAATATATATACACATATATATGTGTATACACACACACACACACACACACACACACACATACACCATAGAAGGAGTATACTCTAAAACAATAAAAAGCATAGTATAAGGCATACTAGCAATAAGAATTTTAGCTCTGTTATAATCATATGTGACCACTGTTGCATATGTGGTCTGTCCTTCATGGGAACTTTGTTATTCAAGGCATCACTATACTAGCGATGAAACCTGGAGGTTAAGAAACTAGCCCTGGTACAGGGAGCGAGGAAATTCAGGTAGAGAAGACAGGATGTGAGAAGGCTGTGAGAGAGGCAAGTATTTGGCATGTTTAAGAAACAGAAAGTAAGCCAGAGTCCTTGACATGTTGTGTTAGGAAGAGACTAGAATGAGATGGGATTGAAAAATGTAGGCAGCGGCCAGATTTAACAGGCCTGGTAGACTCTATATAGTTTCTGTGGGAAGTCATTGGGGAGTTTTTGGCAGGGGCTTGACAGCATGTGCAGAGGCCTCACAATAACTCTGTAAGATGAGGAAATTAAGGCTATGAAAAGTTAAATAAGTTTCCAAATGTCTTGCGCACTGTAAATGACAGAGCCAGGTTTTGGATTTTAGTCTATTTAACCCCCAAACTTGGGCTCCCTGGGAAGGTATCTGTGAGTGAATCATTTAGACTAATAATTGGCAAGGAAGAGCCCTGAGAGAAACACATTCAGAAAGAATTTTTGGATTTGTCAAAATCTTCACTCCATAGAGAAAGACCATGTGAATGGACACTCTCAGATGTTTGTGAACGAATTGTACACAGATCAAATGCTAAAGGAAGAAAAAATTCTACCAAGCAACAACAATAAAACCTAAGCGTAGGTGATGTTTTAAAGTTCTCTTTATTCATTTAAACATGGGAAGTCAAAAAAGACATTTGAGACTGAGCAATGTTCTCATATCTTATAAATGAAAATAAAATTGCTTCTTCTTTCATACTTTTTGTATACATTTATCACTTATTTCTTGTTCTTAAATGTTGTATATTGGCTTTTGGAGTCCCCTAAAATTATGTTGTATCCTTTATGGGTAGTGGCAGTCAAGTAGTTAGCAGGCATCTGCTTCCCTATTCCCTGTCTCTATTGGCACAAAAAAGGTGTCCTCTACTGGGTACCTTGGAAGAATGATTGGCATGGAATGGGGTCATGGCCAGTGAACAGCTCATAGACATACACTTTTTTATCCCTGATCCCAAGGGATAAAAAACTGAGAAAAGCAGCTTTCTCGGTTGCTTTCTTAAAGATTCCTCTGGTTAAGAAATTTCCAATGACCATTCTCCAGACTCTTCGAAGAAAGAAAAATAGATTAAATAATTAGGAGAAAAAGATTTGAACTGAAAACACAGCCTAATCATTGTGGTGAACGCCGTCTGTTCATTGGTGATCTGGGCAAGTGAGGGAGTCCTGGAGATCTGACAGCTGGCTGGCATATTTCTGAATGAGTGAGGAAATTTTCCAGTTCATCTGTGGAGAATTTAGTCCGAAATTACAGCATTAGGCTACCCATCTGCAGCCTGCAATTGGTACAGACAAGAGAATCACTATTACTTTGTGGAGACAAGCCACAAATCTGGAATGAGGCAGACTGGCATGCCTATTTGGGGTTGGCAGGGCTGAGGTTTAGTCTATTGTTGCAAGCCTGCCTTGCCAAGGGAGAGTGAGAGTCTGATTAGATTGTGCCCTTGTCACACACATTATCTTAGAATGGACAGAATGTGTGGAATGAACTGAGAAACTGACTTTATGAAGGCTGTTGTTCACACTCGCTTGCTTGTTGTTTGTGCTCTTCCTAATGGGCTAGTGTCTTTTTCCTCTGAAGGCCATCTATTACTCGAGTTGGATGGCTCTGTTTTGATGCTGATATCAGTTTATGGGTTATTATATCCATTTGCAAATCATGACTCAAAAGAGGAAACTCTGGGATGCAAAACACTCCATATGCCCATAAATCACAAACTGAATAAAAGTTGGCAACATAAACGTGATTGTGTTGGGAGTTTGAAAGCTTCAGTCAGCCAGCCTTTATTGAAACTCTGATGTTGTATGCTGCACTACTTGGGGACTGCAAAGAAAATAAAGACTATAAAAGAAAATATGTGGAAAGGAACTTAGAGGTCATATAGTCCAAATGGCCATCTTGAATAGATGACTGGTTTCTTGCCATTGGGCTTATATTTTAAAGAGGAGGATAACTCCAAAAAAGAGCCCATGTTTTGGCCCAAATAGAGCACATTGACTGTGGCATATGTGTGTGTGTGTGTGTATATATATGTGTGTGTATATGTATGTATACATATGTGTGCATATATATGTGTGTATATATGCATATATATGTGCAAATATATATAAAGCATATATGTTATCATTAGTTCCTGTTAAAATGTATGAGAACTTTGAGGGTCACCTGGATTTAGTGACTTGCCCAAGATCAGAGATAGCAGTGTACGGTCCCAAAATTGTACCCCAGGTGAAAAGCCCTACCCTTCTATTTATACATGATGAAGGAAAGTAGATGTAGAATCATTAGAACTGAAATAAATGCTTTTATTTTTCCAGCGCTTGAAGTTGTGTAAATTAGGAATAATGTTTTCCACTCTCTGAGTTTTAATTTACTCATTTATAAATGGCAAAAGCAGTTGACTGTCAACACACAAGGTGACTAGGATGAATGTGTGAAAATCATGTATGTGAACTTAAAAAATGCCAAAGCATTACAAACAATGATCTTTTGTTTAGGCAAGAAACATGAATTGAGTGACTCTATTACGTTTAGCATTTTGCTGGAGTAGCATTAGAGAGAACACGAAGACATTGTGGAGGCCACAGAGAGCTCAGCCTACAGTGGAAAAAGGCAAGCATATGATTACATTGTTATGAGATAATTGCCTTGGCATCAAGAGAAGGAGAGAAAATGAACACTGTCTGGAGAGGTTGAAGATGACTCTGTAGAAGAAGCCATGTCTCAGATTTTGTCAAATGGAGAAGGAGGCTTATGTCTCGCCAAGGAAATATCACAATGAGGAGAGGTGAGAAGAATATGCTGTGTTAAAAATATTTTTAAATTGTCACCTTTTTTTCTAAAATAGGCTTTTTATTTTAGAATAGTTTTAGATTTACATAAATATTGTGAAGATAGTACAGAGAGTTCCCACATATACCCCACATCCAGATTCCTGTATTAATATTACATTAGCATAATACAATTATAATTAATGAAAAAATATTGACTATTACTAACTAAAGTCAATACTTTACTCTGATTTCCATAATTTTTACCTAGTGTCTTTTTATCGGGTCCAGGATCCAATCTAGGATATGATATGACATTTAGTGATAATATCTCCTTAGGCTCCTTTTGGCTGTGAAAGTGTCTGAGATTTCCTTGTTTTGGATGACCTTTACATTTTTGATGAATACTTGTCAAGCATTTTGTACAGTGTCCCTCAGTTGCGGGTTGCCTAATATTTTTCTCTAATAGACTGGAGTTACGGCCTTTTGAGAGGAGGATCACAGAGGTAGAGCGCTATTATTATCACTTCGTATCAAGGGTATATATTACCAATATGATATATCACTCTTGATATTAACCTTAATCATCCAGCTGAGGCAGTGTTTGTCAGGGTTTTTCACTGTAAAGTTTCTTCCCCTCCAACCCCTACTTCCATTACTGTACTCTTTGTAAGAAAGTCAACATGCACAGTCCTACTCAAGGAGTGAGGAGTTACGCTCAACCTTCTTTAGAGTGAAATAGTTATTCTATAAATAACTTTGAATTCTTTTGCATGGGAGATTTGTCTGTTTATCCCCATTTATTTATTCAGTCATTTATATAAACCAGTATTGACCCATGGGTGCTTATTTTATACTTTGGTTTATGATCCAATAATTTATTTTGTTGCTTACATTGTTCCAGCTTTGGTCAATAAGAACTCTTAAGTTGGTTTCTGTATCACTTTGACCTACCCCTCATTGTGGTTTTTTGCATACTTACTTTCTGGCACTATTGGATGGTCCAGGCTTATCTCATCTATTTCCTGCTTGAGGCCATTTCTCCAAGAATTTCTGGTTCTTTTTATTGTATCAGAAATCAAGATCTGGATATAGGTGTGCTTGTTGCTACTGGAATGTTATTGCTTCTAAGGCTTTTCAGCTGACAAAGAAGGAAATATACATCTGAAAACTAACTCATGTAAATACACATATTTATAAACATCTCTGTATGCAACCATTTGTGTCAATACTGAGCTAAAAATGAGTTCAGACTGATGTCTCCCACCCTAATCTATTACAATATGGATCATTTCAGCCTTCTCTCCTTGTAGATTCTTTGGGGGTTTTTCTACATAGATAATCATGTCAAATAATAACAGTTTCATTTCTCCCCTTCCAATATGTATCTGTTTATATTTTTCTCTGATTATATTGCACAAGCTAGGGCTTCTATTAAGATATTGAGCAATTTGCTGTTTGTTTTGTTGTGTTCGGTTTTTGTTTGTTTCTAATTTGCTTATTCATTGCTGTTTTTTAAGATAGTAATGATGAGTCCTTCAGCTGGTGAATAAAATCTCCCAGGTTTTAACATTTTACAGTTGATTTGATAAGCATTTAAAATGGCTTGAAATAAATCTAGTTGTTCAAAACAAACAAAAAAAGATATTGAACAGGAGTGGTGGGATCGGATGCCCTTGCCTCATTCCTGATCTTGGTGGGGTAAACATCAAATCTGTCATCATTAAGTATAAGTTTGGTTGTAGGTTTTGTGTAGGTGTTCTTTATCAAGCTGAGAATGTTCTCTTCTATATTCCTAAGTTGTGAGTGTAATAGTTGGGGCTCCACAGTCAGAAGGACAGAACAAGCAGGACACACACACACACACACACACACACGAAAGGGAGTTTATTGAGGAGAATTGGCTCACATGATTACAAAGGTGAAGTCCCACAATAGGCCATCTGTAAGCTGTGGAATGAGAAAATCCAGTAACATGGGTTTGTCCTAGCCTCAAACCCTCAAAACCAGGGAAGCCAACAGTGCAGCCCCTCAGTCTGAGGCCAAAGGCTTGAGAGTCCCTGGGAAGCCACTGATGCAAGTTCCAGAGTACAAAGGCCAAAGAACCTGGAGTCTGATGTCCAAGGGCAGAAGGAGAAAAAGCATCCCCCTCCAGAAAGAGAGAGAGAGAAGTTCAACAATGAATATGCCCCCTCTTTGGCCTGCTTTGTTCTCACCTCAGTAGTAGGCAGTGTGGGTTGGATGGTGAACACCCACATTGAGGGGAAATTTTTTTCTCCCAACCTACTGATTCACACACCATCTAGGCATTCCTTAATCCAATCAAGTCAACACCTAATATTAACCTTCACACTGTGTTCTTTTTTTAAAAGCATAAATGGATGTTGGATTTTGTCATGCCTTTTTTGAGGTCAGTTGATATAATCATATGATTTTTCTTCCTTAGCCTGTTGATGTGATGGTTACACTAATTTTTGAATGTTGAATCATGCTTGCATAACTGGAATGAACTCTACTTGGTTGTGGTGTTTAATTATTATCATTATACATTATTAGATTCAATTTGCTAATATTTTATTGAGGATTTTGTGTCTAGCTTATAGAAGTTATTGATCTGTAGTTTTCTATCTTGTGATTTTTTAAATCTGGTTTTGATATTAGAGCCATGTTGGCCTTATGAGATAAATTAGGAAGCCTTCCCTCTGCTATTTTTCAGAAAAAAAAATGAAGAATTGATATTATTTCGTCATTAAATGTTTGGCAGAATTCATAGTAAACTATGTGGGCTTGGTGCTTTCCTTTTTGAATTTTATTGATTATTGATACAATTTCTTTAATAGACATGGAACTTTTCAAGTTATCTGTTTCTCCTTGTATGAGCTTTAGTAGTTTCTGTCTTTCGAGGAATTGGTCTAATTTTATCTAAGTTATCCAACTTGTGGGCATAGTGTTGTTCATAGTATTCTTTTATTATCCTTTTAATATCATAGGATCAGTAGAGATGAATCCTCCTTTCTGACCTTGTTCATTTGTGTCTTTCCTTTTTTTGGTTATAAATTTTATTGATCTTTTTAAAGAACCAGTTTTTGGTTTCATTGATTTTTTTCTATTATTTTTCTGTTTTTAATTTAATTTGCTTGCTTATACTTAAATTACCATTTCCCCAGTTTCTCATGGAAAAAATATTAAATTACTGATTTTATACCTTTCTTCTCTTCTAATAAGTATATTTAATGCTATTATTTTACCTTTAGGAACTGTTTTTGCTAAATCCCACAGATATTGGTATAAGTTTAATTTTCATTTTCATGTTAAAATTATTTTTAAAATTTATCTTGCTACTTTAACCCTTGTGTTATTTAGAAGTCTACTGTTAAATTTGCAAATATTGGGGGATTTTCCAGCTATCTTTTTATTATTATCTCTTGTTTAATTCCATTGTGGTCTTTAAACAAACTTTGTAGGGTATCTATTCTTCCATATTTGTTAAGATGTGTTTTATGACCCAGAATATATTGGTGACTATGAGCTGAAGAAAAATGTGTATTATGCTGTTATTGGATGAAGTATTCTATAAATGTCAAAAGAACAAGTTGATTGATAGCGTTGTTAAGGTCATCTGTATCCTTACTGTTATATTCTGCCTGTTTGATCTATTACCTACAGAGGTATGTTAAAAGTTTCTGACTATAACAGTGGATTCCTCTATTTCTCCTTGCAGTTCTATCAGTTCTGGCCTCATGTGTTTTGCTGTTGTCTTCAGTTAGGATTATTATGCCGTTTTAAAGAATTGATCACTTTATCATTATTTAATGCTTTTCTTTTCCATAGTAGTCTTACTTTTTCTGAAGCTAGCTTTTTCAGAAATTAATATACCTCCAGCTTTTTTTGATTAGTGTTAGCAAGGTATATCTTTCTCCATCTCTTTATTTTTAATTTATCTGTGTCTTTGTACTTAATGTAGTTTTCTTGTAAACATTACGAGGTTGGATTTTATTTTGTTTATCCACTCTGACAGTCTCCTTTTTTTTTTTTTTTTTTTTTCTTTTTGAGACGGAGTCTCGCTCTGTCGCCCAGGCTGGAGTGCAGTGGCGCGATCTCGGCACTGCATGCTCCGCCTCCCGGGTTCACGCCATTCTCCTGCTTCAGCCTCCCAAGTAGCTGGGACTACAGGCGCCCGCCACAACGCCGGGCTAATTTTTTGTATTTTTAGTAGAGACTGGGTTTCACCGTGTTAGCCAGGATGCTCTGGATCTCCTGACCTCATGATCTGCCCGCCTCAGCCTCCCAAAGTTCTGGGATTACAGGCGTGAGCCACCGCGCCTGGCCGACAGTCTCCATTTTTAATTGGTTGGTGTATTTAGACCATTCATATTTAAAGTGATAATTAATTTAGTTGAGTTAATATCTACTGTGCACATATCTGCCTTCTATTCATTCCCTTTCTTGTTTCTTTTACTTCCTCTTTTTCTGTTTTTCTTGTTTTAATTAACTATTTATATTTTCATTTTCTCTCTTCCCAGCATCTCAATTATAATTCTTTATAAATTTTGTTTGTTGTTCTAGACTTTACAATACCTAGTGAATTATGCAGGCATGACCTTATCTGTAATATCAATCAGATTGTGATAAATAATGCAATAATAAAATGATAAAAGTAATGTAAATACCTTTCTCTGAGTTTTTACTAGTCAAGCCCCATGCTAAACATTTTTTATAATGATCACAGTTAACAGTGAAGATCTTGCTGGGTTTCTGGATAGTAAAACCTGTGAAAATACGTCCCCTAATGCCCCAAGCCTCCAGCCTCCAGGGGTTTGTCCCTCTATAATGATGGTTCACCCTCACCTTTCAGCAGTTCACCAAAATTACCATTTAAGTGTTCCTTTCAGTTTATGGCTCCAGTGGGTTTCTGCTTCAGATAAGAGGATCTCAGCTGTGTTTCCCTGAATGAGCTTATTTCTCTAGATTTCAGGGTTACAGTTGGCTCTGCAATCTCAGTTCTCTGAGGGTTCCAAGAAAAGTCATTGATTTTCAGTTTTTGCAGGTTTTACTTGTTTTAAGAACAGGAGTGAAGACTTCTAAGCTTTTTACATGTGAAGTTGATACTGGAAGTTCAAGGAGACAATTTTCATGTGGCTGGAATATAAGCGGTATGAATAAGATGTGATAAGCGAGGCTATAAAAATAGGTATGGTTGGGATTTCAGCAAGGTTTTTTTGTGCCACGCTAAAAGTTTGGACTATATGCTTTAAGCCAGAAATGTGCAAATATGGAAGAGTTTTAGCTGGGTAGTCACAAAGCCAAAATGATTACATTGGTGGCAAAGTGGGGGTTAATTTCCTGGGGACTGGAGGCACCCACATGATGTAGTCAGAATTATGAAATGACATCACAAATACTTGTCCCATTTAGATATCTTAGGTGCTTTTAATGCTATTGTTTAGTTGTTATTTCAGCAGGACATATGTCACTGTTTATTTTAATTGAACTAGAAAGAAAGCTTTTTGTGTTATCTTGTTCCATACTGCTTTCCCAATGAACTGGGGATAGCAGATACCTAAATAGCAATTGAATTGGGTGAACAAAATCACTTAGGAGTTTCAGTGCAATTTCAGCTCAAGCTACCTCTGGTAGGTATGTTGCTGGAAATACAGGTTAGATGAGACTTAATATATTATTTTCTGTAAGCCTTTTGAAGTCATGTTAATTTTATACTTTCGAGTGAAGAAGAGGTAAAAAGAAATTGGCTTCTGTTTCTGCTTTTTCAAGGATTATTGTGGCAAAATTACAAAGAACAATTGATAGCATCACATGTATTTATATTGTTAAAGTAATACACATGATTTCATACACAAATCAACAGATATATATTGGTACATTTTCACAAAAAAGCCTAGGAAATCTTGTATCAAAGGCTAATGGACTTGATAAGCACTGAGATGACACTGTCAGTAAGTCAGACACTGTGTTAGGCACTATAAATAAAATGTGAATATGATAGACCTATCTTAATGACTCAAAATCTAGTAGATTATGCAGGTATGACATTATCCAAAAATCAGATGGTCATACATGATGAAATAATAATAAGATGATAAAAATAATGTAAGTATCTTTCTTTGAGTTTTGACTAGCCAAACTATGCTAAACATTCTTTATAATGATCACAGTTAATCTTCATTGCAATTGTAATATGTCGATATTATACCCATTTTATAGGTGAAAAATATGAGGCTCAGGGACCTTAAGTGTTGTGCTCAGGTCATGGTAAGCAGGAAAACCAGAATTGGAAAGTACATCTTTCTGACTCCAAAACTTTCACTCCCATCTGTTACACTCTATATTAAAGGTATAGGAACACAGAAGGTATGATTAATTCTATCTGGATGAGTCAAGAAAAGCTTCCCAGGGAAGGTAGCATTTAAACTAGATTTTGACAGAAGAGTTGGATACTGCCAAGCCAAAAATAAAGAAAGGAACATGTAAAACAGAAGAGCAAGGAAAAGGTATGTAGGGGTTCAGGATTGGTAAAATATGTAGAATGGCTGGAGCGTGGGCACATGGATGGCATCTGTGGGTAAAGAGGCCTGGTCTGGATGAGACTGAAAAAAATAGAAGGGTGAAGGGTGTTTACTGCCATGGTAAGGCATGAATTATAAACCACAGAAAACTTTGGAATGGAAGAGTAAGTGACCTGATCAAATCTGAGTTTTAGCAAGGTTACACTGGAGGCGTGTGAAGGATGAAGTGCAGTGAAGCAAGCCTGGAGGCAGGGAGAAAATTTTGAGGGCTGTTATGAATACAGGAGAAAGAAGTTTTAAGATCTAATTCTTAATACCAAGTCAAAAATATTTTAACATTCCGGATCAGAATATTTTAGATACCCTTATAAGAAAAAAAACCTCTTGATTTTCTTGAGATTTGCGCTCAGTAATAAATTGAAATGGTTTCAATGCCTGGGTTACAGGATGAGTTAATCCCAGCCTCAGGGTTCTGAATTTTACAGAGAAATCCTACTGTTTCTTCTGAACAAAGGAAGATAACAATGCTCCAACTTCATCATGCTTAGAATATTAATCAATGTCCATTTCTTCTTTGAAAGAATAAATATTCAATTCCTACAATGTCCCAGACATTCCTATTCAAAAAAATTTATTGGGCACTAGATATAAAGCACTGTGCTAAGCACTAGAAATAGAATGGTGAACAAAACACACATGGATTGTGTTTCCAGATGGTTTACAATCTAAAAAATTTGGGATGTGGTAGGAAAGTGCCCCAACTTCGAGAAAAAAGATACCAAAATTTTAAAGCAACACAGGATCAGAATCTCCTTTTGATTAAATTTTAGAGCTGATTTAATTCTGTATGTATACCTCACTTCTTCTCCACTCTGTGTATCCAAACCACTGTTCTCTCCTGGTTTACTATTTCCCTCAGGTTTATCTCCAGATGTGGCATGGTTTTGGCCCATTCCTTTGCCATGTAGCTCAAAACTTGCTCTAGGTAACTCAGGTTGTCTAGTAACTGTCAAGATCTGACTAACCTGGTCTTAGGATCCTCTCGCAAACAGAAAATATCCCAATATAGATACGTGGTTCTTGGTACTGGACATTTGATTGGGATAGTCTTCTTCAGACTTAGGATCGTCTTCCTTAAACAACATTGGAGTTCAGGATCCTGAAGTTTGAAAGTTCACATATGCCTTCTAATCATAAAATGTTTTTATCTGTTTTTATGAAAACTTAAATGATTTTGACTAACTTAAAATGTTTCAATGCTAAAGTTGTTTGAAAAGAGTAGTTAATAAAGTGTATTTTGTGGTAGAAGGAAGTCCAATAAATTTTCTTACGTTTAATCCATGAACTTGAAGTTCTTTTACAAAGCATGGACACATGTCCTTGTTAGCAATTAAGCTAGAAAGAGTCTTAAAATAAAATGCAGCCGGACACTAAAGTGAGAAGTTTGGGTGACATCCAGACATTTACAAGCAAGTATCAATGGGACGTATCACACAACTGGTCATAACGAACCTCTTAATTTCTGGAGGGGGCAGTGATGAAACTTGTTGGTGGGCAGGAGTCTGAGAAAATGGACAAGTGAATTATGTGTCACAGGAAAGTAAAGATCCCTCAGCCAAGACCTCTTTTAATTGGCAATGGGCCTGTTTGAGATTGGAGCAGACTCTCATCAAGTGAAGGCAGACCATCATAGATGGGCCATCTGCTCTGTTTCCTCAGCAGTGGCACTTGTTCAGTTCTTACCTTTAGAACCTGCTCCCTTTGATGAGATAAACAATATGTTTGAAGCACCATAGATGCTGTGCAGCTTAGCAGAGAAATGATGTTTTATGAAGTGTCATTCTGTGCAGCCATCTGCAGAAAGTCACATTTGACTGTCCTTGGGGACTATTTCCATTTATCTCAGAGTTTCGATTCCATCCATTGAAAACTGTCGATTTATTAGTTTAAACATAGCGTACTGCACTGCCCCTTTTCTTGGATGACGAAAGGGTTTCCATTATACAGTGATTCATGGATAAAAGTCAGTTATTGGAGATAAATTATTTAATGGGAATGCAATATAGAAAATGATAATGCCACACATCCTAACAGGAGTTAATTGTAAACCAATTTCCTGTCTCCTATAAATGAATTATTCAGAACTATGAACTATCGCACCTCAAGATTAGCTAGAAATTGAGTTCTATAAATAAACAAGTCACAAAAAGAATTATATTAGTCACTAATACATAATTTAAGACAGTTTAAAATTTCAATTTATTCAAAATGATGTAATGAGACAAAGGCATTACTTAACACTGACAAATACATTATGTCATTTAAATCCACTTCTGTATATATATATATGTATATGTATCTATATACACACACATATATATATACACAGAGATACAAAAAATTGTGTATGTTTACAAAAAAAATATACATATATGTATATATATATTTTCTAAACAAGTATTTTCTCACATAATTACAAAGCCATTATTACACCTAACAAAGTTAACAATAATTCCCTAGTAATGTAGAATAGCAAATGCATGTTAACATACCTTCAGTCATTTCAAAAATATCTTTTCAGACTTGATTTTCTTTAATAAGTTCTCCTCATTGCAAATGGTTGTTATGTTTCTTAACTATCTTTTTTCCCCAAACTTCACTGAGGTACAAATGACATGTAAAAATTGTATACATTCAAGGCATATTATTTTGTACATGTTTTGACATACATATACATTGTGAAATGATTACCACAATCAAGCTAATTAACATATCTGTCACCTCACGTAGTTACTTTTCATGACGAGAATACTTAAGGTTTACTCTCTTAGTAAATTTTAAGTATACAATATATTACTATTAATTCTAATCACCATGCTGTACTTAGGTATCCAGAACTTACCATTGCAAGTCTACATCCTTTGAGCAACATCTCTCTATTGTTGCCATCCCCTATACCCTGTTAACTATCCTTCTAGTCTTTGTTTCTATGAGATTGATGTTTTTAGATTCCACATATAAGTGAAGTAATGCAGTATTTGTCTTTCTTTGTTGGTTTATTTATTTCATTTAGCACAGTATTCTCAGGTACATCCGTGTTATTGCAAATGGCAGAATTTTCTTCTTTTTAAAGGCTGAATAATGTTCCGTGTGCGTGTGTGTGTGTGTGTGTGTGTGTGTGTATGTATGTATTTATCCATTTATCTGTCCATGGACTTAGGTTGTTTCCATATCTTGGACATTGTGGATAATTCTTCACTGAGTACGAGAGTGCAGATTTCTCTTTCAGATAATGATTTATTTTCTTAAATGTATCATCAGAAATGGGATTTCTGGATCATATGGTAATTGTACTTATTTGAGGAAACTTTATACTGTTTTCCATAGTGGCTGTACCAATTTACATTTCCACCAACACTGCACAAGGGTTTTCTTTTTTCCATATCCTCACCAACACTTATTTTTTGATTTCTTTTTCATAATAGCGATCCTAACGTGTGAGTTGATATCTTGTGATTTTGATTTGAATTTCCCTGATAATTAGTGACGTTGAACACTTTTTCATATACCTATTGACCATTTGTATCTTGTCCTTGGAAAAATGTCTACTTTGACTAATTTTCCACCATGTTGTTTATTTTTGTACTATTGACTTGTATGAGTTCTTCATATAGTTTAGATAGTAACCTTTCATTGCATATAGGGTTTCCAAATCTTTTCTCTCATTCTGTGGGTGGCATTTTCATTTTGTTGGTTGTTATGAGTGCAGAAATATTTTGGTTTGATGTAGTCCCACTTGTTAATTTTTGCTTTTGTTCCCTGTGTTTTTTATATTCTATCCAAAAAATCTAATGTGATGGAGCTTTTCTCTCAGATTTTCTTATAGGAGTTTTACAGTTTCAGGTATTATATTTAAATCTTCAATTCATTGGTGAGTTGATTTCTGTGCATGGTGTAATTTAAGGATTCAATTACTATTTTTCTGCATGTGGATAAACAGTTTAACACACACTGTCTATTGAAGAGACGGTGTTCTCTCTGTTGTATATTCTTGATGCCTTTGTCAAAGATAAGTTGACCATATATGTGTGAGTTTATTTCTGCACTTTTTATTCTGTTCCACTGCTGTATGTATCTGTTTTTATGCCAATACTATATTGTTTTGATTATCACATATTTGTGATATGATTTGAAATCAGGAAATTTGATGCTCCCAGCTTTATTCCTCTTGCTCAAGATTGCTTTAGCTACTCAGAGACTTTTGTGATTCCATATGAATTTTACCATGATATTTATTTTATTTTATTATTTTTATACTTTAAGTTTTAGGGTACATGTGCACAATGTGCAGGTTAGTTACATATGTATACATGTGCCATGTTGGTGTGCTGCACCCAGTAACTCGTCATTTAGCATTAGGTATATCTCCTAATGCTATCCCTCCCCCGTCCCCCCACCCAACAACAGTCCCCGGAGTGTGATATTCCCCTTCCTGTGTCCATGTGTTCTCATTGTTCAATTCCCACCTGTGAGTGAGAACATGCGGTATTTGGTTTTTTGTCCTTGTGATAGTTTGCTGAGAATGATGGCTTCCAGCTTCATCCATGTCCCTACAAAGAACATGAACTCTTCATTTTTTATGGCTGCATAGTATTCCCTGGTGTATACGTGCCACATTTTCTTAATGCAGTCTATCATTGTTGGAAATTTGGTTTGGTTCCAAGTCTTTGCTATTGTGAATAGTGCCGCAATAAACATACATTTGCGTGTGTCTTTATAACAGCATGATTTATAATCCTTTGGGTATATACCCAGTAATGGGATGGCTGGGTCAAATGGTATTTCTAGTTCAAGATCCCTGAGGAATCGCCACACTGACTTCCACAATGGTTGAACTAGTTTACAGTCCCACCAACAGTGTAAAAGTGTTCCTATTTCTCCACATCCTCTCCAGCACCTGTTGTTTCCTGACTTTTTAATGATCGCCATTCTAACTGCTGTGAGATGGTATCTCATTGTGGTTTTGATTTGCATTTCTCTGATGGCCACTGATGATGAGCATTTTTTCATGTGTCTTTTGGCTGCATAAATGTCTTCTTTTGAGAAGTGTCTGTTCATATCCTTCGCCCACTTTTTGATGGGGTTGTTTGTTTTCTTCTTGTAAATTTGTTTGAGTTCATTGTAGATTCTGGATATTAGCCCTTTGTCAGATGAGTAGGTTGCAAAAATTTTCTCCCATTTTGTAGGTTGCCTGTTCACTCTGATGGTAGTTTCTTTTGCTGTGCAGAAGTTCTTTAGTTTAATTAGATCCCATTTGTCAATTTTGGCTTTTGTTGCCATTGCTTTTGGTGTTTTAGACATGAAGTCCTTGCCCATGCCTATGTCCTGAATGGTAGTGCCTAGGTTTTCTTCTAGGGTTTTTATGGTTTTAGGTGTAACATGTAAGTCTTTAATCCATCTTGAATTAATTTTTGTATAAAGTGTAAGGGAGGGATCCAGTTTCAGCTTTCTACATATGGCTAGCCAGTTTTCCCAGCACCATTTTTAACTAGGGAATCCTTTCTCCATTGCTCGTTTTTGTCAGGTTTGTCAAAGATCAGATGGTTGTAGATATGCAGCATTATTTCTGAGGGTTCTATTCTGTTCCATTGATCTATATCTCTGTTTTGATACCAGTACTATGCTGTTTTGGTGACTGTAGCCTTGTAGTATAGTTTGAAGTCAGGTAGCACGATGCCTCCGGCTTTGTTCTTTTGGCTTAGGATTGACTTGGCGATGCGGGCTCTTTTTTGGTTCCATATGAACTTTAAAGTAGTTTTTTCCAATTCTGTGAAGAAAGTCATTGGTAGCTTGATGGGGATGGCATTGAATCTATAAATTACCTTGGGCAGTATGGCCATTTTCACGATATTGATTCTTCCCACCCATGAGCATGAAATGTTCTTCCATTTGTTTGTATCCTCTTTTATTTCATTGAGCAGTGGTTTGTAGTTCTCCTTGAAGAGGTCCTTCACATCCCTTGTAAGTTGGATTCCTAGTTATTTTATTCTCTTTGAAGCAATTGTGAATGGGAGTTCACTCATGATTTGGCTGTTTGTGTGTTATTAGTGTATAAGAATGCTTGTGATTTTTATACATTGATTTTGTATCCTGAGACTTTGCTGAATTTGCTTAGCATCTTAAGGAGATTTTGGGCTGAGACTATGGGGTTTTCCAGATATACAATCATGTCATCTGCAAACAGGGACAATTTGACTTATTTTCCTAATTGAATGCCCTTTATTTCCTTCTGCTTCCTAATTGCCCTGGCCAGAACTTCCAACACTATGTTGAATAGGTGTGGTGAGAGAGGGCATCCCTGTCTCGTGCCCGTTTTCAAAGGGAATGCTTCCAGTTTTTGCCCATTCAGTATGATATTGGCTGTGGGTTTGTCATAGATAGCTCTTATTATTTTGAGATACGTCCCATCAGTACCTAATTTATTGAGAGTTTTTAGCATGAAGGGTTTGATTTTGTCAAAGGCCTTTCCTACATCTATTGAGATAATCATGTGGTTTTTGTCTTTGGTTCTGTTTATATGCTGGATTACATTTATTGATTTGCATATGTTGAACCAGCCTTGCATCCCAGGGATGAAGCCCACTTGATCATGGTGGATAAGCTTTTTGATGTGCTGCTGGATTTGGTTTGCCAGTGTTTTACTGAGGATTTTTGCATCAATGTTCATCAAGGATATTGGTCTAAAATTCTCTTTTTTGTTGTGTGTCTACCAGGCTTTGGTATCAGGATGATGCTGGCCTCATAAAATGAGTTAGGGAGGATTCCCTCTTTTTCTATGGATTGGAATAGTTTCAGAAGGAATGGTACCAGCTCCTCCTTGTACCTCTGGTTGAATTCGGCTGTGAATCCATCTGGTCCTGGACTTTTTTTGGTTGGTAAGCTATTGATTATTGCCACAATTTCAGAACCTGTTATTGGTCTATTCAGAGCTTCAACTTCTTCCTGGTTTAGTCTTGGGAAGGTTGTATGTGTCTAGGAATTTATCCATTTCTTCTAGATTTTCTAGTTTATTTGCGTGGAGGTGTTTGTAGTATTCTCTGATGGTAGTTTGTATTTCTGTGGGATCGGTGGTGATATCCCCTTTATCATTTTTTATTGCATCTATTTGATTCTTCTCTCTTTTCTTCTTTATTAGTCTTGCTAGCAGTTTATTGATTTTGTTGATCTTTTCAAAAAACCAGCTCCTGGATTCATTAATTTTTTGAAGGGTTTTTGTGTCTCTATTTCCTTCAGTTCTGCTCTGATTTTAGTTATTTCTTGCCTTCTGCTAGCTTTTGAATGTGTTTGCTCTTGCTTTTCTAGTTCTTTTAATTGTGATGTTAGGGTGTCAATTTTGGATCTTTCCTGCTTTCTCTTGTGGGTATTTAGTGCTATAAATTTCCCTCTACACACTGCTTTGAATGTGTCCCAGAGATGCTGGTATGTTGTGTCTTTGTTCTCGTTGGTTTCAAAGAACATCTTTATTTCTGCCTTCATTTCGTTATGTACCCAGTAGTCATTCAGGAGCAGGTTGTTCAGTTTCCATGCAATTGAGTGGTTTTGAGTGAGTTTCTTATTCCTGAGTTCTAGTTTGATTGCACTGTGGTCTGAGAGAGAGTTTGTTAAAATTTCTGTTCTTTTACATTTGCTGAGGAGAGCTTTACTTCCAACTATGTGGTCAATTTTGGAGTAGGTGTGGTGTGGTGGTGAAAAAAATGTATATTCTGTTGATTTGGGGTGGAGAGTTCTGTAGATGTCTATTAGGTCCGCTTGGTGCAGAGCTGAGTTCAATTCCTGGATATCCTTGATAACTTTCTGTCTCATTGATCTGTCTAATGTTGACAGTGGGGTGTTAAAGTCTCCCATTATTATTGTGTGGGAATCTAAGTCTCTTTGTAGGTCACTAAGGATTTGCTTTATGAATCTGGGTGCTCCTGTATTGGGTGGATGTATATTTAGGATAGTTAGCTCTTCTTGTTGAATTGATCCCTTTACCATTATGTAATGGCCATCTTTGTCTCTTTTGATCTTTGTTGGTTTAAAGTCTGTTTTATCAGAGACTAGGATTGCAACCCCTGCCTTTTTTTTGTTTTCCATTTGCTTGGTAGATCTTCCTCTATCCCTTTATTTTGAGCCTATGTGTGTCTCTGCATGTGAGATGGGTTTCCTGAATACAGCCCACTGATGGTTCTTGACTCTTTATCCGATTTGCCAGTCTGTGTCTTTTAATTGGAGCCTTTAGCCCATTTACATTTAAAGTTAATATTGTTTTGTGTGTATTTGGTCCTGTCATTATGATGTTAGCTGGTTATTTTGCTCGTTAGTTGATGCAGTTTCTTCCTAGCCTTGATGGTCTTTACATTTTGGCATGTTTTTGCAGTGGCTGGTGCCAGTTGTTCCTTTCCATGTTTAGTGCTTCCTTCAGGAGATCTTTTAGGGCAGGCCTGGTGGTGACAAAATCTCTCAGCATTTGCTTGTCTGTAAAGGATTTTATTTCTCCTTCACTTATGAAGCTTAGTTTGGCTGGATATGAAATTCTGGTTTGAAAATTCTTTTCTTTAAGAATGTTGAGTATTGGCCCCCACTCTCTTCTGGCTTGCAGAGTTCCTGCTGAGAGATCAGCTGTTAGTCTGATGGGCTTCCCTTTGTGGGTAACCCGACCTTTCTCTCTGGCTGCCCTTAACATTTTTTCCTTCATTTCAACTTTGGTGAATCTGACAATTATGTGTCTTGGAGTTACTCTTCTCAAGGAGTATCTTTGTGACTTACTCTGTATTTCCTGAATCTGAATTTTGGCCTGCCTTGCTAGATTGGGGAAGTTCTCAAAGATGGGGAAAAAACAGAGCAGAAAAACTGGAAACTCTAAAAAGCAGAGTACCTCTCCTCCTCCAAAGGAACACAGCTCCTCACCAGCAACGGAACAAAGCTGGACGGAAAATGACTTTGACGAGCTGAGAGAAGAAGGCTTCAGATGATGAAATTACTCCGAGCTACAGGAGGAAATTCAAACCAATGGCAAAGAAGTTAAAAACTTTGAAAAAAAATTAGACGAATGCATAACCAGAATAAACAACACAGAGAAGTCCTTAAAGGAGCTGAATGAGCTGAAAGCCAAGGCTCGAGAACTACGTGAAGAATGCAGAAGCCTCAGGAGCCGATGTGATCAAGTGGAAGAAAGGGTATCAGTGATGGAAGACGAAATGAATGAAATGAAGTGAGAAGGGAAGTTTAGAGAAAAAAGAATAAAAAGAAACGAGCAAAGCCTCCAAGAAATATGGGACTATGTGAAAAGACCAAATCTACATCTGATTGTTGTACCTGAAAATGACAGGGAGAATGGAACCAAGTTGGAAAACACTCTGCAGGATATTATCCAGGAGAACTTCCCCAATCGAGCAAGGTATTTTTTATTTTTGTAAAATATGCCTTTGAAATTTTGATAGGGATTGCATTGAATCTATAGATCACTGTGGGTAGTATAGACATTTAGACAACATTGAGTCTTCTAATCCATGAACATGAGATGTCCTTCAATTTTTTGTGTCTTCTTCAATTTCTTTCATTAATATTTTGTAGTGTTCAACTCATGGATGGGTTAAATTTATTTCTAGGTATTTTTTTCTTTTTAATGCAACTGTAAATGGGATTTTTAAAAATTTAATTGTGAGATAGCTCATTGTTGTATGGTGATTTTTGTTTGCTGATTTTGTATCCTGCAGCTTTACTGAATATCTTTATTCTAACAGGTTTTTGGTGAAATTCTTCATATATATATATTTAAAATTATGTTATCTGCAAACAGACAATTTTATTTCATCCTGTCCAATTTGGATGCCCATTTTTTTCGTTTCTTGACTAATGTATCTGACCAGGACTTCCAATACTATGTTCAGTAAAAGTGACAAGAGTTGGCATCTTCGTCTTTTTCTTATTCTTAGAGGATAAGATTCCTTTTTTTTTTCATTGAATATGATGTTAGCTCTTGGGCTTGTAGTATATGGCCTTTACTGTGTTGAGGAACATTCCTTGTATATCTAATTTGTGAAAGTTTTAAGATCGTGAAATGTTGTTGGATTTAGTCAAATGCTTTTTCTGTGTCTTTTGAGGTGATTATATAATTTTTGTCCTTTATTCTGTTAATGTGGCATAACACATTTATTGATTTGCGTATGTTGAAACATCCTTGTAACCCAGGAACAAATATCACTTGATCGTGGCATATGATCCTTTTAACGCATTGTTGAACTTGGTTTGATGTAGTATTTTGCAACTATGTTCATCAGAAATACTGGCTTGTAATTTTCTTTTCTTATTGTTTTCCTTAACTGGCTTTTAATTTTGGATATTGGCTTGTAATTTTCTTTTCTTATATTGTCCTTATCTGGTATTAGTGGCAGGTTATGCTGGTCTCATAAAATGTGTTTGTAAGTGCTCCTTCTTCTACAATTGTTTTCGAAGTTTAGAGGTATTGACATTAATTCTTTAAATATTTGGTGGATCATTGAAGCCATCTGATCTCGAGGTTCTTTTTGTTGAGAGTGCTTATTTACTAATTTAATATTCTTACCAATTTTAGGTTTACTTAAATTTTCTATTTTTTCATGAGTCAATCTTGGTAGTTTGTATGTTTCTAGAACATTCATCTCTTCTAGGTTATCTAATTAGTTGGCATATACTTGTTCATAGTAGTCTCATGATTTTTGTATTTTTGTGATATCAGTGGTTATGTCATCTTTCATTTCTAATTTTATTTATTTGAGTCTTTAGCTGATGATTTGTCAGTGTAGGTTATGTTTTTAAAAAACTGTTGGTTTCATTGATCTTTTCTAATGTTTTTCTAGTTTCTATTTCATTTTTTCTTTTCTGATCTTTGTTATTTCCTTCTTTCTATTAAATTCAAGCTTAGTTTATTCTTCTTTTACTACTTACTTGAAGTGTAATGTTAGGTTGTTTATTTGACATCTTGTTTTTTTTTTTTTTTTTTTGAGGTGGAGTCTCGCTCTGTTGCCCAGGCTGGAGTGCAGTGGCCCAATCTGGGCTCACTGCAAGCTCTGCCTCCTGGGTTCACGCCATTCGTCTGCCTCAGCCTCCTGAGTAGCTGGGACTACAGGCACCTGTCACTATGCCGGGCTAATTTTTTGTATTTTTAGTAGAGATGGGGTTTCACCATGATAGCCAGGATGGTCTCGATCTCCTGACTTCATGATCCGCCTGCCTCGGCCTCCCAAAGTGCTGGGATTACAGGCATGAGCCACTGTGCCCAGCCTATTTGACATCTTTCTTTTTCTTCATGTAGGTGTTTATTGCTATAAACTTCCCTCTTAGAACTGCGTTTGCAGAATCCACAAGTTTGGTATGTTATGTTTTTAGTTTTGTTTGTCTCAAGGTATTATTTTTAAATTTTTCTCTTAATTTCTTCTCTTCCCCGTTGATTATACAGGAATGTGTTATGTAATTTCCATATATTTGTGAACTTTCCCAAAATATTCCTGTTATTGACTTCTGATTTCATACTATTTTGGTCAGAAAAGTTACTTGATATAATTTGAGTTTTCTTAGATTGGCTAAGGCTTATTTTGTGGTCTAACATATGACTTAGCCTGGAGAATGTTTTCTGTGTGCTTGAGAATAATGTTTATTCTGTTGCTGTTGGATGGAATGTTTTGTATATGTCTGTTAGGTCTATTTGTTCCAAAGTGTTTCTCAAGTCTAGTATTTTCTTACAGATTTTCTGTCTGGATGATCTATTCATTATTAGAAGTAGGGTATTCAAGCCTACTACTATTATTGTATCACTGTCAATTTCTCCCTTCAGATCGATTAATATGTACTTTATATATTTAGGTGCTATGATTGGTGCATATTATTTATAATTGTTATATCTCCTTAAAGAATCAATGCTTTTATCATTATTAAATGTCCTTTTTTATTGTTTTTACACTTTTTACCTTAAAGCATATTTTGTCTGATATAAGTATAGCTGCCGCTGCTCTTTTTCTGTTTGCAAGGGATGTTGTTTTCCATCTCTAAACTTTCAGTCTGTGTGTGTTCTTGAAGCAGAAGTGAGTCTCTTGTAGACAGCATGTAGTTTTTGTGTGTGTGTTTTTTTTAATCGGTTTGGCCACTCCATATCTTTTGATTGGATAATTTAATCCATATACATTGAAGGTAATTATTGATACGTAAGAATTTATTATTGTTCGTTAATTATTTTCTATTTTGTGGATTTTTTGTTCCTTTCTTACTGTCTTGCTTTTCTTCCTTTTGATTTGATGATTTTCTGTAGTGGTTTCCTTTGATTCCTTTCTCTTTATCTTTCATATATCTACTATAGGTTTTTGTTTTGTGGTTATAAAAGACTTACATAAAATGTCTTACTATCTAACTATTTTAAGTTCATAGGAATAGTAATTACATACCAAAACTTTACCCTTCCCCCTCATTGTATGCTTTTGATGTCACAATTTACATCTTTTTATATTGTGTATCCATAAATATATTATTATTGCTATATTTTTAATTTTTTTCCTCTAGCCTTTATACTGGAGCCACAAGTAATTTATACACTATCATTAGAGTATCACAGTATTCTGAATTTGACTACATACTTAATTTTACCAGTGAGTTTTATACTTTTATATGCTCTTATGTTACTAATTAACTTCCTTTCATTTCAGATTGAAAAACTCTCTTGAGTACTTATTTTTCCTTTAAGTAGAGCATTAGTATTAGAGACCATAACCTTTATGCTAGGGGTGCTCATTGCTCCTGAGTCGCCACAGATTCTAGGCCTTTCTAGTAGACAGAAACAGGCAATATGTATTTTTAAAATGAAAGAGATAAAATATTTTTACCTTAATATTTCCAATTCAATATTAAGATGTGAAATTTTATTTTTCTTGTACTTATTTTTTTCTCAAATTAAAAATTCTTGTTTTTATTGGCATTAACATAATTATTCACTTTATCCTACAACATACTTTAAAAACAGAAACATAACATAGTTTAAAAATAAAAATGCTAATATTAGTATTAAAATTAAATCTACATAATACAGTTTACGATCGCCATTTTCCTACTTATAAATGAGAGCGAACATCATACACACATGCATATGTGTGTGTATATATATTTAATGTCTTCCTAATTTTTTCTTTTGTGGTCTCTCTTCATATTACTCAACAATTTTTTGTATTACAGGCTTGATCATTTTCTTTTTAATTATTAGGAGTGCTTTATTAGGGATATGAAAACATATAAATTACAAACATTTTTATCAGTTCATTATTACTTTTTCCCTTTTATATGGTGTTTTATAATGTAACTTTTTGTGTTTTTAATTTTTACGTAGTCAAATTTATCAAGTTGTTTTATAATACTTTAGAGAGTCAAAGGAAAGTTTCATCTACCCTTGGTTTATAAAGGAATTCATCCATGTTTTTTCCTACTGCTTATGTGATTTGTTATTCTGATCCACTTGATATTCACACAGGTGTGTAGTGTGAAGAACAGATTCAATTTTATCTTTTTCCATATGGCTCCTCAGTTGGCAAAACATTAAAAAATCTATTTTAGACCTCTACTTCTAGATGGGATGGACTAGCTTGTATCTTGATAAAACAAAATAGAAACAGTAGGATACAATGATAATAGTAGTACAAAGTGGATATTTCGAAGGTATTGCTGAGCTATCATGTCCTTCAAGACTTGAGGGACTCAGTTATTGGATAGAAGGGAAATACACTGTGATGAATAAAATATTCTCTACTGTACTTACCCTTACAGAATTTGCTAAGGTAATGCGCCTAGAACTGAGAGGCTGAGAAGCCAAGCATAAAGCAGAGACTAATAGATTGAGACCTTGCATGAACAATTTAATGTGTTTTGACAAATACATACGGCTTTGTAACCAACACTCAAACAAAATATTTCATCACCCGAGAAAATTCATTTGTACTTCTTTCCAGTCGATACTCTACAGAAGAACCACTGTTATGACTTCCTTCAACAAAGATTAGTTTTCCCATTCTTGAACTTCTTATAAGTGAAATAATATAGCATTTACTAATTTATACCTTTATTATTTTGTTAAACATAATGTTTTTGATATTCACATATGTTATTAGTATCCATTTGGGTTTTAAATTAGCTAGTTTACTTTTAGAGAATGCAGTACTATCCTAAACTATTTCACAGTTCTTTGGGTCATTGAATACATTTTGTACCTGTCCTATTTATCTGTCTTCTGGGGCTAGACTTTTCTGTTTTTGCATATCTACTTGACCTTATATATATTTATATCTATCTCGTGGTATCTATAACTTTGTAGGTAGGGGCTATGGATTAACCATCTTTTTTTTTTTTTTTCTCTTTTTTCTTTTTTTGAGACGGAGTTTCACTCTTATTGCCCAGGCTGGAGTGCAATGGTGCGATCTTGACTCACTGCAACCTCCGCCTCCTGGGTTCAAGCGATTCTCTTACTTCAGGCACCGGAGTAGCTTGGATTACAGGCATGCGCGACCAAGCCTAGCTAATTTTGTATTTTTTAACAGAGACAGGGTTTTGCCATGTTGGTCAGGCTGGTCTCGAACTGCTGACCTCAGGTGATCCACTCGCCTCAGCCTCCCAAAGTGTTAGGATTATAGACGTGAGCCACCACTCCCGGCCTAACCATCTTTTATCTCCAGGTTTAACACAGTTTCTACTACATAGTTGGTGGTCAGTACATTGGACTAAGATTCTGCTTTTAATTGATTTATTGCCTGTAAGTGTACCACTATCACTCCGAAATTGTTTGCCTTTGAACCAACCCTCCTCTGTTGCGGGAAGTCAATCCATGTTCTTCTGCCATGGCTTCAGTCAGTCTCTCCGTTTGAGAAGAACATAGATTGTGAAGATTTCATGGACATTTATTAGTTCCCCAAATTAATACTTTTATAATTTCTTATGCCTGTCTTTACTGCAGTCTCTAAACATAAATTGTGAAGATTTCATGGACACTTATCACTTCCCCAATCAATACCCTTGTGATTTTCTATGCCTGTCTTTACTTTAATCTCTTAATCCTGTCAGCTGAGGAAGATGTATGTCACCTCAGGACCACGTGATAATTGCATTAACTGCACAAATTGTAGAGCATGTGTGTTTGAACAAATATGAAATCTGGGCACCTTGAAAAAAGAACAGGATAACAGCAGTTGTTCAGGGAATAAGAGAGATAACCTTAAACTCTGACTGCCGGTGAGCCGGGCGGAACAGAGCCATATTTCTCTTCTTTCAAAAGCAAATGGGAGAAATATCGCTGAATTCTTTTTCTCAGCAAGGAACATCCCTGGGAAACAGAATACGCGCCTGGGGGTATAGGTCTATAAACGCCCCACCTAGGTGTGCCCATCTTCTATGGTCGAGGCTGTAGGGGTGAAATAGACCCTAGTCTCCCATAGTGCTCCCAGGCTTATTAGGAAGAGGAAATTCCCACCTAACAAATTTTGGTCAGACTGGTTGCTCTCAAAACCCTGTCTCCTGATAAGATGTTATCAGTGACAATGGTGCCCGAAACTTCATTGGCAATTTTAATTTCGCCCCGGTCCTGTGGTCCTGTGATCTGTGATCTTGCCCTGCCTCCATTTGCCTTGTGATATTCTATTACCTTGTAAAGTACTTGATGTCTGTGACCCACACCTATTCGCACACTCCCTCCCCTTTTGAAAGTCCCTAATAAAATCTTGCTGGTTTTTGCAGCTTGTGGGGCATCACGGAACCTACCGACATGTGATGTCTCCCCTGGATACCCAGCTTTAAAATTTTTCTCTTTTGTACTCTGTGCCTTTATTTCTCAAGCCGGCTGACACTTAGGGAAAATAGAAAAGAACCTATGTGACTATTGGGGCAGGTTCCTTGATACTCCTCCTTTATCTTGAACAAACTCTCAAATTTATTGTCTTTATTTGATCTATTGGATCACTTCCCAAAATTGAAAGTGGCAACTTAAGTACTGAGTCAGTTAAATAAAAATGTAAACTTCTGAGTATGCTAATTGACACAAGTTAGTTGCTCAATAAAGTCGTGGGAAAGCAAATGGGAACTCAAGCTCAATTCTTCTTGGACTATTAATTGAAGCCACAGAGGTCCTACTATGTCCTACAGGTGAGCCTAAGTTACAAAACTATTTTTATTGTTTCAAAATTATATCAGCTTTTTCTTTTCTTGTGTTTTTCTATTTAAAAATTAATGCTATTATATTTATGACATTCCTATCTTTATCAGAAAGTAAGTACCTTACAATTAAGAGACTAGGTCTTTCTGTACTTTTATCTTTTGCTTTAGGACCAAGCTACAGTTTATACACACTGGACACTCAAATATATAGAGAAAAGAGTGATGGTGCTAATGAATGCTGAACAGAATAATAAATGGGTATAATCCCTAGGTGCTCAAAACATACAATGTCACATAAAAGCTTATTATAACTGTCAGTTTTGATGGCAGAGCAAAAGGAACAAAGAGATGAAAATCAAAGAGAACATCTGTATATAAAGTGAGATGAAGTAACAGAACAGAAACTTAGTCATAAGAAAGTGTTATAACTGTGAATTGTCAAACTCAAGGGAAGGGTTTAGAAAAATATGATAGGCTCCACTTACAAGAAATTCAGTTTTGTTCAGTAAATGGATTCTGTAATTGGAATTTTTGCTCCTTCTCCTCTGGGAGTATGTGGATGAGAGTTAATTAATGTGATAAAGTTGTGCAGTTTCTGTGAATACTGTAATTGTTAAAGATTCAAATTGCCCTTCATCTGTGTAATTTGGGTGAAGATATGGGAATGGGTAAAGAAGACCCAAATCTGCTCTCTCTGAAGTTTTAGGTTCCAGAGTTAAGATTATATAAAGAAGGGATAAAATGGAGGAAGACGAATACTTCAGATTTGTAACAGATAATTGTAAGCCTAATTGTATAGCTTCGTACATACACCTCATCTGTCAGGTCATTGGGATAACTTTCAAATAGGCATACTCAGGATGAATTCCATAGCTTCTAAGTCTCCATCAACCTCAATTTTTTTTCTCTCATTTTTTCAGGAGTTGTTTCAGTAACTACTGTTGAATTATAAACCACCCCAAACTTAGTAGTGTAAAATAACCATTTTATAATACTTACCAATTCCATGGATCAGGAACTCAGACACGGTACTGAAGGGATGGCTTGGCTCTGCCCCAGGATGTCTCAGGCTTCATATAGTGAGGGTGAATGAAGCAGTGGGGGCACATATATAAAGGCTTCATTACTTGCATGTTTGATGCCCAGGGTAAGATGACTCAAAACTGGGCTTAGCTGAGACTGTCAACTAGGGCTTCTCTCAATATTGTGGCTGGATTCTAAGATGGAGTCTTGAGACCAAAAGATCCAAGAAAGCCACATGGAAGCTCTGTTGTCTTTTTGGCCTTATTGCACAACTCACATGCCTTTACTTCTGGCAGTGTATTTTCAAAGCAGCCACAGGACTCCAAGAATCTAGGATAAAGAGAGGATATAGACCCCACCTGTTGATGAGAGAAGTGTCAAAGAATTTGTAGCCATTAAAAAAAGCACTACCTCATCTCTACAATTAAAATATAAATATTTTATTAGGCAATACTCTTCCAGATAGCTCAGAGGAAAGGTCTTGCATTGGTTTCTGGTCCTTTGATTGTTAATGGTAATAAGTCCTGACTAGTAGGATTCTAAAGTTAGGTTATTTCAATAAAAGGTACTAGTGTGGCATTTGGAACATGGAAGGGAGATCATTTTATTTTCTGGCAATGGTGGGCAGATGGCAAATCTCTGATTCAGTGCTACCGTCAGCTGAGTTCCTTAGTGGCAATTTCTTCAGATGTCTATAGTTTCTTAATCCCCTAAGACCCAGCAGTCTTTTCCCTTGACCTTTGTCCCACAGCCCTTCCATTAGTTGTGTAAGCATTAATTCCTTGTATTAAATTCATTCTTACTTGAAATGCGTCTTTAAACTATCTAATAAAATTCATTTTTGTATTTATATTTACATTGAATTAAGGAATTCTTTATAAGGTATATGGTCCCAATAGACATATTCCCTTTGGGGACTGACAAACATTGTCTTTATCATGTAGTAATAGCTAATTTTATGTATTCAATTTATATTAGCTGGGCATGGTGGTGGACACCTGTGGTTCCAGCTACTAGGAAGGCTGAGGTGGGAGGATTGCAGGTGCCAGGGAGGTGGGGGTTTCAGTGAGCCAAGATTATGCCACTGTTCTCCAGCCTGAGTGACAGAGCAAGACTCTGCTCAAAAAAAAAATGTTAGGAATATACTTTTGGCAATAAAATTACTTTTTAAATTTAATTATATTTTTATTGGTATACACTAGGCATATATACTTATGGAATATAAGAGATATTTTGATATAGGCATGCAATGTGTAATAATCACATCATGGAAAATGGGGTATCTATCCTTTCAACCATTTATCCTTTGTGTTACAAACAATCCAAATATACCCTTTTACTTATTTTCAAATGTACAATTAAATTATTATTGACTATATCCCTCTGATGTGTTATGAAATATTATGTCTTATTCATTCTTTCTAACCTTTTTTTTTGTAACTGTTAACCATCCCCACCTTCCCTGTAGTCCCCCAGAGGCTACCCTTCCTAGCCTCTGGTAACCATCCTTCTACTGTCTATCTCCATGAGTTCAATTGCTTTGATTTTTAGATCCCACAAATAAGTGAGAATATGTGACATTTATCTCTCTGTGCCTGGCATATTTCACTTAATACAGTGACCTTCAGTTCCATCCATGTTGTTGCAAATGACTGGATCTCAGTTTTCTATGGCTGAATAGTACTCCATTGTGTATAATTACCACATTTTCTTTATTCATCTTTTTTTTTTTTTTTTTTTTTTGAGTCAGAGTGTTGTTCTGTCACCCAGGCTAGAGTGCAGTGGTGTGATCTTGGCTCACTGCAAACTCCACCTTCTGGGTTCAAGGGATTCTCCTGCCCCAGCCTCCTGAGTTGCTGGGATTACAAGCGTGTGCCACTATGCCTGGCTAATTTTTCTATTTTTAGTAGAGGTGGGGTTTCACCATGTTGGCCAGGCTGGTCTCAAACTCATGACCTCAAGTGATCCACCTGCCTCGGCCCCCTGAAGTGCTGGGACTACAGGCGTGAGTCACTGTGCCCGGCCCCATTCGTCTGTTGATGGACAGTTCAGTTGCTTCCAAATCTTGGCTATTGTGAACAGAGCTGCAACAAACATGGGAGTGCAGATATCTCTTTGATATACTGATTATCTTTCTTTTGGGTACATACCTAGCAGTGGATTTGCTGAATGATATGGTAGCTCTACTTTTTGTTTTTTAAGAAACCTCCGAACTGTTCTCCACAGTGGATATACTAATTTACATTCCTACCAAGAATGTGCAAGTGTTGCCTTTTCTCTACAAACATTCCAACATTTGTTTTTGGCAATACAATGATTAATTTGAGTCTGAGATAATTTCTTGACATTTTGAAAATTGTTTTTGACTTTTTAATTTTTACAATTTTTATATATTGATGAGGTACAAATTAGGTTTCTCACATGCATATATCGTGTTATGGTATTGTCTGGGCTTTCAGTACAACCATCACCTGAATGGAAACGTTGTACTCAATAGATAATTATTCAACTCTTATCCCCCTTCCACCATGTAGTCTCCAATAGCTGTTATTCCACTCTGTATGTTCATGTGCATCCATTGCTTTGCTTAGCTCCCACTTATAAGTCAGAACATGTGGTATTTGGGTTCTGAGTTATTTCCCTGAGGATAACAGCTTCCAGTTCTGTTCACATTGCTGCAAAAGACGTGATTCCATTCTTTTACATGGCTGAGTAGTATTACAGGGTGTGTGTGTGTGTGTGTGTGTGTGTGTGTGTGTGTGTATTTACCCCTCCACTGATGGCTACATTTAGGTTGATTCCGTATCTTTGCTATTGTGAATAGTGCTGTGGTAAATGTATGAGTGCAAGTGTGTTTTTGATATAATAAATTATTTCCCTTTGGGTAGATACCCAGTAGTGGAATTGTTGGATTGAATGATAGTTCTAGTTTTAGTTCTTTGAGAAATCTGAGTCTGAGATAATTTTTAATAAGGAAGAAAGCAAAGAGAGAGAAAGAACATTGTGGAAATATCCCATTTTGGGAGGCAAAAGCCATAAATATGAGGAAAGCCTAAATAATTTAATAAACCCCAAAAAGAAAAGGATATGATCTGATCTAAGCTGAATAAACTATACAAAATACTGATAAAATTCTGATATTTAAAAAGAAATGTAAAATTGAAAAAATAGTATATTTTAATTTAGATTATTTTGTCCCTTATTTGGTGTTCTTTTCCAGTTAAGAGTTTTTATTGGAGAGTCTGTTTATATTACACTTAGAATCATGAATATCTATAAAGATATTCATCTATATTTATGAAACAGAAAGTGATAATGATATATTTTATGTATTTAGTAAGTATATATATATATTGAATATAATATACAAGTACACTTCTATTTCTGGGGGAATCAAAGAGAGAAATAACGCTATCCTTACTCCCCCAAATCACATTATTACTGTAATTTCAAAGAAAATAAGAACTGGTTACAAAAAGTTATAAACTTGAATTTAACAGATAATGAGTGTATTAGTTCATTTTCATACTTCTATAAAGAACTGCCCCAAACTCAGTAATTTATAAAGGGAAGAGGTTTAACGGACTCACAGTGCAGCATGGCTGGGGAGGCCTCAGGAAACTTACAATCATGGAAGGCAAAAGGGAAGCAAGGCACTTTTTTCACAGGGGACCGGAAGGAGAAGTGCCTAGTGAAGAGGGGAAGAGGCCCTTATAAAACCGACAGCTCTCATGAGAACTCACTCACTATCATGAGAACAGCATGGGGAAAACTGCCCCCATTCAATTACCTCCACCTGGTCTCTCCCTTGACACAAGGGGATTATGGGGATTACATTTCATGATGAGATTTGGATGGGGCCGTAAAGCCTAACCATATCATTTTGCCCCTGGCCCCTGCCAAATCTCATGTCCTTTTCACATTTCAAGATCAATCATGCCTTCCTAACAGTCCCCCAAGTCTTACTTTATTCCAGCATTAACCGAAAAGTCCAAGTCCAAAGTCTCACCTGAGACATGGCAAGTTCCTTCTGCCTGTGAGCCTGTAAAATCAAAAGCAAGTTAGCTACTTCCTAGATAAAATAGGAGTACAGGCATTGGGAAAATATACCCATTTCAAGGGGGAGAAATTGGCCAAAACAAAGGGGCTACAGGCCCCATGCAAGTCTGAAACCCAGCAGGGCAGTGATTAAATCTTAAAGCTCCAAAATGATTTCCTTTGATTCCATGTTTCATATCCAGGTCACACTGATGCAAGAAGTGGGCTCCTATGGTCTTGGGCAGCTCTTCCCCTATGGCTTTGTAGGGTACAGTCCCACTCCCAGCTGCTTTCACAGGCTGGCATCCAGCATCTCTGTCTTTTCCAGGCACGTGGTGCAAGCTGTCAGTGGATCTACTACTCTGGTGTCTGGAGGATGGTGGCTCTCTTCTTACATCTCCACTAGGCAGTGTCCCATTGGTGACTCTGTGCGTGGGCTCTGATCCTACATTTCCCATTTGCATTGCTCTAGCAGAGATTCTCCATGAGGGCGCCACCCCTGCAGCAAACTTCTGCCTGGACAACCACGTGTTTCCATATATCCTCTGAAATCTAGATGGAGGTTCCCAGACTTCAATTCTTGACTTTTGTGCACCTGCAAGCCCAACACCATGTGTAAGCCACCAAGGCTTAGGGCTTACACCCTCTGAAGCAATGGCTTGAGCTGTACATTGGCCCCTTTTAGCCATGGCTGGGATGCAGGGCACCAAGTCCTGAGAATGTGCAAAGCAGCAAGGCCCTGGGCCCAGCCCATGAAACAATTTTTTTCCTCTTAGATCTCTAGGCCAGTGATGGGAGGGGCCGTGAAGACCTCTGGCATGCCCTGGAGACATTTATCCCATTGTCTTGGTGATGAACATTTGGCTTTTCTTTACTTACGTAAATTTCTGTAGCCAGCTTGAATTTCTCCTCAGAAAATGGGTTTTTCTTTTCTATTGCATTGTTAGCTGTGAAGTTTTGGAACTTATGCTCTGCTTCCCTTTTAGATATAAGTTCCAGTTGCGAACCATATCTTTGTGAATGCATAAAACTTAATGCTTTCAAGAGCCCTCAAGTTACCTCTTGAATACTTCGCTGCTTAGAAATTTCTTCTACCAGGGATGCTAAATTAGCTCTCTCAAGTTCAAAGTTTCACAGATCTCTAGGGAAGGGACAAAATGCCACCAGTCTATTTGCTACAGCATAGCAAGAGTCACCTTCATTCCAGTTCCCAACAAGTTTCTCATCTCCATCTGAGACCACTTCAGCCGGGATTTCTTTGTCCATATCATTATCAACATTTTGGTCAAAGCCATTCAACAAGTCTCTTAGAAAGTTCCCAACTTTTCCACATCTTCCTGTCTTCTTCTGAGCCCTCCAACGTGTTCCAATCTCTGCCTGTTATCCAGTTCCAAAGTTGGTTCCAGATTTTCAGGTTTTTTTATTGCAGCACTCAACTCTCTGTGGTACCAATTTGCTCTATTAGCCCATTTTCATACTGCTATAAAGAACTGCCTGAGATGGAGTAATTTATAAAGGAAAGAGGTTCAATTGACTCACAGTTAAGTGTGGCTGGGGAGGCCTCAGGAAACTCACAATTATGGTGGAAGCCAAAGGGCAAGCAAGCCACCTTCTTCAGAAGGTGGCAGGAAGGAGAAGTGCCTAGTGAAGTAGGGAAGATACAAAAAATTAGCCAGGCCTGGTGGCAGGTGCCTGTGGTCCCAGCTACTCGGGAGGCTGAGGCAGGAGAATGGTGTGAATCCAGGAGGCGTGGCTTGCAATGAGCGAAGATCATGCCACTGCACTCCAGCCTGGGCGACAGAGCGAGACTCTGTCTCAAAAAAAAAAAAAAAAAACCAAAAAAAAAAAACAGATCTCATGATAACTCATTCACTATAATGAGAACAGCATGGGGGAAAATGCCCCCATGATTCAATTACCTCCACTTGGTTTCTTCCTTGTCACATGGGTATTATGGGGATTCCAATTTAAGACGAGATTGGGGTGGGGGCAGAAAACCCAACCATATTACGCAAAAAGTAATGTTGGGCAAAGTTTTCATGATTTCTGACCACCTCAAGAATGTTTTATAATATTAATACATTATTCTTGATCCTCTTTATTACTAGATCTCCAGAGATTCGGACTGCTGGAAAATTTTAACATGTATTTCCAGTCAAATATCTCTTTGCTAGATGAGATGATTTTTGCTAAAATTTAGAAATTCTACTTTGATAAATATGATATGCTTAACTTTTTGCACTTTGATGTCATCTTATAAACAAATCTGAATGGGGAGCCTAGAAAGCATGTGTGTGTGTGTGCATGAGTGTTATCTGTTAGTATATTGACTGTACTGCATTACCTGCTCTGCTGGTGAGAACACAGGGTTATTATTGGATCATGAGTCTCCTATACCAGCTGGGTATACCTTGCTTCTTGATCACATTCATAGTTTCTACTAATAACTTTACTAATGAGTAATTTTAAGCCCTGAAAGAATTGAACAAAGATTGTTAAAGAATAGGGAAATTCTACATTGCTCCAAAACAAATTCCAAATTCATGCTTGTGAATCAGTGGACTGTTTGCCTTGTGGTATTAACAAATACAATTTTGTGGAGTACTGTATATCTATATTCAAAGACACTTTCATGAATTCTGAGTAAAATGTGATTTGCATGAACATATGGACCCTTCAAGGGGCTTAGAGACTTAAAATGAGATGCATAATGTAAGCAAATGAATAAAATAGTTACAAAGGTCCTGGTAGAAGTGTCTATAAAGTATAATGGGAACACAAAATAAGGACTATAGTCACTGTAGATTCTGGAAAGTCTTAAATAGAGGAAGGGACACAAAATATGCTTTGAAGAAGTGAATAAAATTGCAGGGTAAGATAGGAGGAAAGGGAATTACACTTGGAGGGAACAACATGTGCAGGGGCCCAAGGCCATTTGGGAATACTAGCAGCTAGTAGCTTTTTAGAGCTGGAATATATGGAGTAAACAGGCTCTGGGAGAAGAAGCTTCAGAGAAAGTAAGGGGTCCAGAGATATGAAAAGGCTGGATGTTTGTTCTTATCTCAAGAGTTTCACTTTCTGCATGAAAGGGAGACAGGAAGGATTGAAATCACCATCATATTTCAAGGCCAAAGTTGTGTTTTAAAAATAATTCTATGTACATTACAGAGACTGATTAGAAATCTACTAAGAATTGTTTTTTGTTTGTTTTTTCTTTTCTTTTCTTTTCTTTTTTTTTTAGAAAAAATGAGCCATGAGTTATGATTGTGCCATTTCCAGCTTGGCTCTCACTCTGTCACCCAGGCCAGAGTGCAGTGGTTTAATCATGGCTCATTACCGCCTCCGCCCCTGGGCTGAAGCAATCCTCCTGCCTCAGCCACCCAAGCAGCTGAGACTGTGTGCACGTGCCACTATGTCCAGCTAATTTTTGTATTTTTTGTAGAGATGGGGTCTCATTGTGTTGCCCAGGCTGGTCTCGAATTCCTAGCCTCAAGCATTCCTCCTGCCTTGTCCTCCCAAACTGTTAGGATTCCAGGCATGAGCCACTGCACCTGGCCTACTAAGAGGTAATCTGACAGAACTTTGATGTAGTCTACCCAAATGCAGTAAAAACAATCTTCTTAAAAGTCCAGCATAGGTGCAGCTACCTTCAGGGACTTCTTTGATACTCTTTACCTTTCATTGTGTGTGTGTGTGTGTGTGTGTGTGTGTTTGTGTGTTTGTGTGTGTGTCCACAGAAACAATGAATAAGGCATGCTGTGATATCAGTAGGTATTTCTATCTACACCTAAATCTATAATTCAGACATTTATGCCTTCATCTTACTGCACAGATTAGACCAGTGAGATAACAAGGGGGAGGGAGGAAGTAGAAGTATTTAAAAGTAAAGCAAAGACTGGAATAGTCAAACATGAATTATACAAGCACAAAAATCTTTAATTTTGGCAATTCCTAAAAGACAGCAAAGGGCTGGAATCTTTATGGATAAAAGGTTTCCAAAAGACATTATGTAGAAAGAATTCAATAAATATAGTAGGTTCAGAGAAAAATCAACAGCTAAGAAAGACAAGCCCAATATAAGGATGCCTGCTGAGGTAGGCCAATCTAACTCAATTGATGATGCCTTGAAGAAAGATAGTTTTCAAGCAATAATCTGGAAAGACAGGAGATTTAAGAAAATAAAGAAGAGGTAGTTAGAAATATATTATGCTTGCTAGCAGGAAACATTGCATTGATTTTTCCTTAATAAAATGTTAATGGGTTCCTCAGAGGAATTCTTGGCTTAAAATTTGGGGACATCCCAGACTTTGCGAAGAAACCAGTACTTTCACAAATGTATCAAACATTGGCCAAGTAAAATGACTCAGGATTTAAATTTAGAGATGCTAATATTAGTCATTACAAGGAATTTTAAAAAAGATGAACTCAGACAGTTTAAGTAATATGTTCCAATGAAATTAACAGAAAAATCATTGATATATATGCATATATGTATGTCTGTGAGTTTATAATTTTGTGGAAATAGAGGTTGAAAATAAGACATAAAGAACTCAGGTGTGAGTTAAGGCACTCCCAGGGATGTAGCCAAGTTCTGCATTTAACCCAGTTAACTATATACCTTTATGAGTCTCCAAAAGTCTGAAGTTGGGGACAAAAAAATTCATGTCTAGAAATTTGAGTGTTTATATTTTTCAGAAGTGATCTGTTCTAGAAGATGAGGTACACTAATAAAACTTGTTAAAGAGTGAACTAACCAGAATAATGTATACATTTATAATAAGAAATTTAGCTTCTAAGCAAATCGATAGACTTGTGTCAGGTGATGTGTACAGTGTGGGAAAAGATATGTGGACAGGCAAGCTAAAACTAGGAGACTGCTTGGTAAGCTTGTAATAGGAACCACTAGCATAAGTGGTATTATCTAGATGGCTGGCATCTTAAAGACACTATAGCTTGGGGTTTTCAACAATATAAGCAGACCATAAACACTAAACCAGGCTTGTTGGCTCTTCAGGGCATGCTCTTCCCTGGATGGGGCTAAGTATGTGTTTATAAATGTTCCCCTTTTGTGTTCTCTTTCTGGACACTGTGCAAACCATTTCTCTTTGTAGTTCAGCAAACATTAGAAGGAAGGATAGAAAATCTAAGATATTTTTAGTGAGTATAGTGCAAACTAAAGAGAGGAAAGAGGTGAGAGTTACTTAGGGATAGAGCTAAGTTAAGCTTAAGGATTGTAAAGAAGTTATAACTTCAGCAGTTTTGACCCGAAGCAAGAATGATAAATCAAGTCTTGAGGGAAAAGCATCAGGGATGCCAGAATTGCTTATTGCTGAGGGCAATATGGGCTCCCGGTGGTAGGTAGCTGTGATGTCAGTGGTTTGACCTAAAGCCATGGAGATAGATGTAGAGAGAAAAAGAGTTTTTCCTCTGGAGAACAGATGGGGAGCTGGAGGGTTAAAGGAAGATGAGAGGGTGTTATAACAACCTGAGTCAGAAAGAATGACACACTTGAAGAAACCTTGAGTAGGTAAGCAGCCCCAAGGTTTTGGTTAAAGCTGCTCTTACCTCTCAATTGTATGGACTCTTTCTGGAAGTCTTTAATCAAGACCATGCCTTGAACTCCCTCAAGGAAGGAACAAGCTTGGTCTGAAACTGGAAAGTTGAAGCCTGAACCTCCTGAGAGTGACCAGCAATCTAAAACACCAAGTCTGAAGTTTGCAGACAATTCACAGGTGATATTATCTGGTGCAGATATTCAAGGGCATAGTTGGGTCACATCTAGATGGAGTAAAGTAGTGGTAAACTTTTTAATTAAACTAGTGCCTAGCCCAGTGTCTGGCATATAATAAGTGCTCAAATATTTTTTGAATGAATGAATGAAGCTTGGATGTTTAACGAGGAACAGAATAGTAGGAGAAAGAGAGGTTCCTGGGTTGATGTTAGCCATTATGATTTTGGGTAGGCAGTGGTTAAGTAGTAGCTTCCCTGAGTTGCTATAGATGAGAGGGATATTAATTGTGGTATAGAGATGAAGTTATTGTGTCCATTTTTTCACAAAGTGAGTGAGCACATTGTTAGCTTGTAACCTCATTCCAGAAGCTATTTTTTCTTCTTTAAAGGGATCAGAGTTGAACATGGCTTCCATCACAGAAATATGCAGAACTCATGCCCGGCACCAATTGCATGGGGCACTCAGGTGTGGGAGATGAACTACTGCATCAAGTAAACAATATAAGGACTAATTAGTGGCAGATATTCTCCAGAGTGTGTTGAGGGGAAAAAAATCCTATCTGGAAATACAATTATTAAAGCTAGTATTTAAATTTAACTCTAAGCAGTTTTCATAAAGAGACTGTAAATAAGTACTGTGATTAAAAAGAAAACATGTTTGTTCAGCCTAGACTACTATGAATAAACACAGCATGGGGCCCACAAAGGAGGGTAAGCAGGGCCTACATGTGGCACGGAGAAAAACACCATGCTGAATTAGAACTAATACCACTTTTGACATGCTGGCAAAAGGTTTTCATTAACCTCTTAATGTAGAGGAGCTGAATGTGTATTCCAAACTTCCCACTATAATAATTGCATGTGAGTATGCTCAAGTTAGCTATACAATAAATTGCATAAACATAGTTTTCATTCCATCAATGCAAATAAAGGCATTTTCAGAGAATTTCTTCATCATTTTCACGAAGTCATGATTAAAAATAACCACCACTAGAATCTCTGGCCGTTGACATAGATGGGAATTTGGACTGAGGAAACTTGACTGATGATTGAAATCAGGGTGCTGGATCACAGTGGGAAAATCCAGGTAGGCCGTAACAATTACAGAATATTGTTTTTACTCAGATTTTTTTCCCAGAGTGCTATAAATTGTAGAAAAAATAGGGATACAAGAAGCAGCAATTGACCCAGCCTCAAAGTTGAGGACATGGAAAGGCAGATGAAGGACTGACATAGATCAGGGTTTAGGTCAAAATGGTAGATTGAAAGGTGATTCTTCTATACTGGCCATACATGATGAAGGTTATATTGTCTTTAAAATGTTTTTTCTGGCCTCTCTCCAGAAACTAAAGAGGAAATTAATGCCCCAATCCTGAAACATCCGTTTTGAAACTAGTTCCCTCCCGTTTGAAACTGGTTTTGAAAGTTTTCTACTTCCCTTGGCGGGAATATGGGTTTCTAGTCAGCTGTTGAATCTGGGTCTCATTGGCTCCAGGTCTAGTGTGCATGGAAGCCACTAAGCAACCGTCGTCATCAGGCCCTAGGAAAAGTTGTAAATTCCAGACTCTACTTGTTTGGTGGGTTTGGGATACAGACTCAGATACCAATTTTAAGATCTTTAAGTTTTACAACTGAGAGTGGCTGGGAAGGCTTGGCTGGACAGTAGATGTGAGTATCTTGTTAAAAACTGCCCAATGATTACCTTTGATAGGGTAGGATAAGTGATTTGGAGCTGATTCACTCATGCTATCAAGAGTTTAAAGCCTTGCTATTTATTGTTTGCTGTACTCTATAAAACCTTTTGTTTACAAATTATTTAAATTAGTATTTCTTTCCAAGAGCTGCTGATTAACTCACAAACTATGGAGGAAAGTACATCTGGAACAGGTTAAAAGACTGCCCAGGGTTATGTGGCAAGGCTGTGGGGGCAGAGCTGCTATGAAAACAGAAGTCTCTGGAGTTCTCTCTCAGCCTGCTGTGTCACTGTGCTGCTGAGCGTCACCATACGGCTCCCTCCACCCAGGTTTGTGATTCTTAAAGCAACTCTCACCACAGGCAGTTTACAGATCATATTTTCATTGTCCACAACTATAAATAATCTCTTGGCAAATGTATTTGAACTGCAGAGTAGGTAATAGAGTTAAAATGCCTTCATTTGATTCTTGAATCTGGTAAAAACTGATTTTCTTAGGCCTCCCATACACTTAGGTACTTCTTTCGAGGCCTGTCAAACCTCTAGAATATTCAAGGAAAGATGGTTTGTACTTGAGTCTGAAAATATGTTCATTTTTGGCCTTGGCTGACTAGAATAATGGTCTGAGTAATATAAGCGTGAGACAGTGAATTAAGATAATGCCCCACATTTGACTCATATACTGACAACCCACCTTTACAAACTCATGCCTTTAGACTTACTTTTTCTCTTTTTAAATCAGTAAGGCCATTGAAAATCATCAGAAAAGGATTTTATTCCTTTTAGCTGTTACCAAAATTTGAAATATAAAGATACATGGAAATGTTTTGAGACAGTGCCTTACTCTGACATCCAGGCAGGAGTACTGTGGTGCAATCATGATTCACTGCAGCCTTGGCCTTCTGGATTCAGGTGATCCTCCCACCTCAGCCTCCTGAGTAGCTGGGACTACAGGTGCCCAGTTAATTTTTCTATTTTTTGTAGAGATGGGGTTTTTGTCATGTTGCCCAGGCTGGTCTCAAACTCCTGCGCTCAAGCTGTCCACCTGCCTCAGCCTCCCAAAGTGCTAGGATTACAGGCTTGAACCACCACACCTGGCCAATATATGGAGATTTTTAAATCACATAATTGATGGATTTTGAGATGATCTGTTGATATGGTGTATGAAGAGAGTAAGGCTGCTTTTGAGTTTTATCTTTTGTGTAATCTGTTAACTGATGCCTACTCGTAATGGACCAAATGTTTCTGTCTCCCCCATATTCATATGTTGAAATCCTAGTCTCTAACGTGGTAGTATTAGGAATTGGGCCTCTGGGAAGTAATTAGGTTATAAGGGTATAGACCTCACAAATGGAATTAGTGTCCTTATTGAAGGGGCTCCAGAAAGTTCTTGTGCTCTCTTTCTGCGAGGTGAAAGGACAGGGAGAAGTCGTCCATCTGAAATCTGGAATAGGGCCCTTAACAACTGACCATGTTGGCAGCCTGACCTCTGACTTCCAGCCTCGTGATCTGTGAGAAAGAAATGTCTGTTGTTTATAAACCTCCCAGCTTATGGTATTTTAAAGATATGGCCCAAAAGATAATAGCATATCTAAATAGTCAAGAGGCAGTATTACACTGAAAACTGGGAGTATGGAGAGTCCAGAAACAATTTTTGAAGTATCTATCTTTTGTCATCTTTACCTTTCTTTTCCCTTCACTTATCCCATCCCTTTTGGCTGCTCTAAACATCTTTCCTCCATTTTAATGTCCTACCCAAGCATGTCTTTACTTAAAGCCCTCTCCTCATATTCTGAAATTGCTCTTCTTTTTTCTATGTTTCTGCTATTAAAGTACTCATTACTCTGGGGATATATCAACTAGAGTTTAGGAGAGAAGTAATTTGACTAAGGCAGCCTGTGTACTCTCCATAAAGGACTTAATTGTTAAATGAATCCTTTTAGAGTTATTTACCTATAAAAATAGGCTTGTTAACCCAAACGAACCTTGATTTGGTAGCATTTCACACCTGAGAAGAGGGAAAGTGGCATACTCAGGCAGTGTGAAGAAGAGATGTTTAGGGCAGTGGGGTTTTTTTTTCCTTTAATTCCCAACCTTGTAGTTCATTGTAGGGACTTACACATGCGGCTAGATAACCGCAAATATTGATCAAACTGTTTCTAATTCAACATTACTCCCCTACAGAAGACTAGGTGATTCAAATAGTTGATTTTTAGATGACATAAATGAAGACTTAGTAAGTGACAGCTGGCATGTAGGACTTGTTTCCAACTTTGAGGTGGTTAGGCATCTCATAAGGTAGATTACTTGTTTGGATTCTAAGGGGTGCATAAGTATTCCACCTTGCTTGAGATGATATCCCTTTGGCCTTGCTTGAATTTCACACTATTGGTCACTAGTAGTCTAGAAAACAAAGTAGAAATAGAAATATCTTCTGTTGCTTAGTGGCAGTTTTCTCTTTCTTTTCTACTGGCTTGTGACTGACTTGATGACATTTACCAGTTGGTAATTTAGAGTCTACAGGAGTGGGACAAAAAATAATTCTAGGTTATGGTTCTTTTTTTCACAGTTGGGATAGAATAACAGCATAGTTTCAAAGAAACTGGCTGAGAACTGTCAACTATGAGCAGATAGAAAAAGGGAAGGCTCTAATGGCAAACTTCTCTTTCTTTATATTCCTCCCCTCGAAGACATACAGGTTTGGTCTTGGGTAAAATAAAAAGCTTTAGGTTTCTAGCACCAGGATTCCAGTTTATTGTTCACATTCATTTGAGCTGCTGAGATAACTTGAAGAACAAGACCAATCTTGTTTTAAGAGAACTTGAGAAAATGTATTATGTTTGTGAAGCCCACAAGCTTCATATGGGAGACAGGCAATTGTATAACTTCAGATTGTTTCAAAGCTATGTATGTTGGATCTAGACATATATAGGTCACAGAAATAACTTCTCTCACTGAAAATATGCCTCACTTAAATAATTCAGGCCTCTAGCCAACATAATTACTTGAGAGGGTGTGGTGTGGAGGAAAATATGTACAAGAGATATGAAAGCAGTCAATGACTTTGACGTCTACTTGAAGCATGTTTGTCTTAGCAAGTTCCCATCCAGGTTCTCCATATGACCTGTTGGCATCTCCCAATATTCAGTTCTTGTCCAGAGGGACTAGGTATTTCTAAACATCTTGGTGCAATTGTATAGTTTGCATTCTACCTTATAGGTGACAATAATAGACTGGAATCAACACTAAAGTTACTGAAACATAGTTATCTACTCTAGAAAGATAAAAATCATCTAAGATAATAAGGGAGTACAAATATTACTAGTTAGTTCTATTTGAGGGATGAAGAAAATTAAAGACCTGAAACTGCTTGAGGCTAGGTGGTGGAAAAGGTTATAATTGTCCAATTATAAAGAAAACAGGAATAATTTTAATTGGTACAGATTTGACTTCAAACCTTAGCTGCTTTCAGGTAGTAGTCTAGAACAGGCCCGCTAAAATAACTGATGCCCTGCACTCTGCTATGGTACAGATGGTTTCAGAAAGACTAGGTTTGTCCTGTAAGAAAAGCGCTTGCATGACTTGAGGTTGCTGGAAAACATGCTTTTTCCTGGTATTCGCTGGAAAGATTTTGTAAACTTGCTCAGCCACGGCAGAAAGTATAGGCCACCTAACCACCATGTATTCTTCCCCATGGATCTCTAGGTCTTGAGCAGAGCCAGGAGCAGCTGATTTGGGTGGTACGGTAGGCAGAATGTAGAACAAATGACATTTTCTTTCTTGCATTAACTGGCAGACTGCCTTCTTGGAACACATAAATATAGACAGTTGTCACACATCTTAATTATGTGGAACACAACTGTAGATAATGCAGGAAATATATTTGCCTCTCTGGAAAATATTTGATAGAAGACATACTAACATGTCTGAAAAAGCCCACAATTCTTGTGACATGGTAAAAAATATCCTATGGAATTAACCATATCCAGAGAACTCAGCTAGGAGCTTATTCTGAGCTCCTTATCTGACCCCAGGGACCTTATTTTCTTTTCCTCACAGAGCCGGAGACAATGCCAGGATCATTAGAAGTGCTGCCTTTTACTTTCACTTGATGAACATATCTCCCACTATTCTTTCTGCTCACATCGTTCTTAAAATTCTGAACTAAATCATATTTGCTGTTTTTCCAACAGAAGAAAAAGAAATTTTGTTTATAGTCACATGTTATAAGGCATTTTAAGTCTCTTGACTATTTCTAGACTTAAATTAGTTGGGCCAATAATATTTGATAACATTTACCTTTCTTTACAGCACTTGCACTATGAAATTATGTGTTTATTATTACTTGTTTACTTCTTGTATCCCCCAATAGAATATAAGCCTCATGTAGACAGAAGCTATAGCTGTATTACCTTTTTGCTGTATTGTTGAATTTGGTTTACTAGTATTTTGTTGAAGGTTTTTAAATTTACCGTCATCAGTGTTATTAGCCTGTAGTTTTCTGTTGTTGTTGTTGTTCTTGTTGTTCTATCTTTGTCTGGTTTTGTTACCAGTGTAATGCTGGCCTCTTAGAATGAATGTGGAAATATTCTCTCCTCTTCAATTATTTTTAAAAGATTAAGTAGAATTCATATTAATTTTTTGTAAATGTTTGGTAACATTGAGCATTGTTGCTGATGCAGTAACATCAGGTCCTGCACTTTTCTTTGATAAAACCTTTTCATTACTGCTTCGATCTCATAGCTCTTTTTTGGTCTTTTTAGGTTTTCCGTTTCTTCATAGTTCAATCCGTTAGGCTTCTATCCACTTCTTCTAGGTTTTGCATTTTGTTGGTGTATAGTTTTTCATATTAGTCTCTTATGATCCTTTGTATTTCTGTGATATCAGTTATAATGTTTCCTTTTTTGTCTCTGAATTATTTGGGTCTTCTCTTTTTCTTAGTATAGCTAGAGGTTTGTCAATTTCATGCATCTTTTTTAAAAAAAAACTCCAACTTGTTTAATTAATTCTTTATTTCTTTAGGTTCAATTTCATTTATTTCTGCTGTGATGTTTATTACTTCTTTCCTTCTACTAATTTTGGGTTTGATTTGTTCTTGCATTTCTGGCTCCTTGAGATGCATCATTAGGTTATTTAAGATTTTCTGCTTTTTTGATGTATGTGTTTATTGCTATAAACATCACTCTTAGAACTACTTTTGCTGTATCCCATAGGCTTTGGTATGTTGTGTTTTCATTTTCATTTGTCTTAAGGAATTTTTAAGTTTTCTTTTGAATTTCTTTCATTGACCCACTTGTTCAGGAGCACATGGTTTAATTTCTATAAATTTGTCCAGTTTCCAATATTCCTTCAGTTATTGATTTCTAATTCTATTCCATTGTGGTCAGAAAAGATAGTTGATATAATTTTTATTTTTAAAAATTTAAAATACTTGTTTTATGACCTAATATATGGTCTACACTGAATAATGTTCTATGTGCTATTGAGAAAAATGTGTTTCCTTCTGCTGTTGGATGGAATGTTCCATAGATGTCTGTTTGGTCCATTTGGTCTGGAGTGCAGTTTAACTCCAATGTTTCAGTGTTGATTTTCTGTCTGGATGATCTGTCTATTGCTGAAAGTAGAGTGTTGATGTTTCCTACTATTACTGTATTACAATCAATCTCTGTCTTTTAGTCTATTAGTCTTTGTTTTATACATTTGAGTCTTTCATTGTTGGGTGCATATATATTTCCAATTATTATATTCTCTTGCCATATTGACACCTTTATTATTCTGAGTATTATTATGTAATAGTCTTCCTTATCTTTTTAAAATCATTTCTTACTTAACATCTATTTTATGTGACGTAAGTATAATGTCTCCTGCTTTTTTGTTTGTTTGTTTTCCATGGGATATCTTTTTCCAACCCTTCGCTTTCAGTCTGTACATATCTTTATAGGCAAATTGAGTTTCAGATAGACAGCATATAGTTGGATCCTGTTTTTAAATCATGTAGTTACTCCTTCTTTTAATTGGATAATATAATCTATTTGCATTCAAGGTTATTATTGATAGGTAAGGGTTTACAATTGCCATTTTGTTACTTGGTTTTTGGTTATTTTATAGACCCTTTCTTTTATTCATCTCTTGCTGTCTTCTTTTGTAGTTAAGTGAGTTTCTTTAGTAGAATGTTTTCATTCTATGTTGCTTAGTGTATCTATTGTGGGTTTTTGCCTTGAGGTTCACATGAAGATTACAAAAAAAATCTTTTAGTTATTACAGATTTTTTAAAGCTGATATCAACTTAACATTGATTGCAAAGGAAAGTACTGAAAACAAAATTATTTTCCCCCCACATTTTAATTTTTTGATGTTTCAATTTACCTATTTTTATATTGCCTATCTCTTAACCAATTACTATAGTTATCATTGTCTTTAATACTTTTGTCTTCTAGTCTTTATACTTGACATATAAATGGTTTACTTGCACAATTATAGAATTAGAGTATTACAAATGTGGCTTCTTGTATTTACCAGTGAGTTTTATAGCTTCAGATGTTTTATTGTTACATATTAGTATCTATTTCTTTAGCATTTCTTGTGACAGGTCTGCTGTGGATGAATTCTCTCAACTTTTGTTGGTCTGGTAGTGTAATGTCTTAATCTGTTCTTTGTGTTTTAAGAATAGCTTTGTTGAGTACAGTATTCTTGGCTAAGAGTTTTTTTTTGTTGTTGTTGTTGTTGTTTTTTACCTTCAGCACTTTGAATTTAGCATTCTACTTTTTTCCTGGCCTGCAGGGTTTCTCCTAAAAGCCCACTGAAAGCCATATTAGAGAACGCTTGAATGTGATATGTTTCTTTTTTCTTGATGTTTTGAACAATTTGTGTGTGTGTGTGTGTGTGTGTGTGTGTGTGTGTGTGTGTTTGATATTTACTAAGTTGATTCTGATGTACCTTGGGGAATTCCTCATAGGACTGAATTTGACTGGTGACCTCTGAGCTTCCTGTATCTGGATGCTGCCCTCTTTCTCCAGATCTGGGAAATTTTCAGTCATTATTTTCTTAAATATGCTTGCTTGCTTGCTTGCTTGCTTGCTTGCTTTTTTTTTTTTTTTTGAGATGGAGTCTCACTCTGTCACCCAGGCTAGAGTGCAGTGGCTCAATCTTCACTCACTGCAACCTCTGCTTCCCAGGTTCAAGCGATTCTCCTGGCTCAGCCTCCTGAGTAGCTGGGATTACAGGCGGGTGCCACCAAGCCCAGCTAATTTTTGTATTTTTAGTACAGACAGGGTTTCACTACATTGGCCATGCTGGTCTTGAACTCCTGAGCTAGTGATCCGCCCACCTTGGCCTCCCAAAGTGCTGGGATTACAGGTGTGAGCCACTGCACCTGGCCCTTAAACATGCTTGCTAAGCTCTTTTATTTCTCCTTTCCTTTGGGGGTTCCAATTATGCAGAGGTTAGTTTTTTTTTTTCTTTTTCTTCTCTGATTGGGTAATTTCATATGTGCTGTCTTCCAGCTCAGTAATTCTTTCCTTTTTGAACAAGTTTGCTTTTGAAGCTTTATAATGAGTTTTTCTGTTCATAATTATATTCTTTATTTTCAAGAACTCTATTGCATTATAAAAACTATTACTATTTTTCTGTTAAATATTTTTTTCCGAAATTGTTTTTCAATTTTTATTTAATTTTCTATTCATATTTTTCTGCAACTTCCTGAACTTCTTTAAGTGGGTTATTTTGACTCATGTATCAGATATTTCATAGATCATCAATTTTTCTGACTCTATTGCTGAAGTTTTCTAGGTTTCTTTTGGTAGTGTCATATTTTCCTGAGGTTTCACAATGCTTGTATCTTTATGTTGATGCCTATAAGTTTGAGGAGACAGCCACCTCTTTCACCTTTTGTAGGTGCTTTTTGATAGTGTGAGATCTTTACTTATAAGGATTGAAACCTAAATGCTGGCCTATTATTGCTTTCCATTCTGGAGAAGACTTTTAGTGACCACCAGAACTCAAGACAACACTGGAACAATCTCACTGCTCTGTCATCATTTCTTGATCTGAGGAAGATTCAGATTGAATATTGGAATTTAACTGCTAGTCTAGATCTAAATTGCTGCTTTGCCATTATTTACCTTTCTGTGAAAGGCTTAGAGTGAGAACCAAGGCTTAAATGCTGTCCCAGAACTATATTGCTTTATCCCAACTGCTTTGCCAGCGTGCACGTGCCTGCTTTTGCCATACCCTCCTGCTTTGGTAATGTGCACACACATGTGAACCTTTTAGCAGAAATCCTACAACCCAGAATACATTGGGGGCCTATATTCAGCATCCTTAAAGAAAATAAATTCCAACAAGAACTCCATATCCAGCCAAACTAAGCTTCATAAGTTAAGGAGAAATACAATCTTTTTCCAATAAGCAATGTTAAGAGATTTCATTATTATCAGAACTGCCTTATAAGAGGTCATTAAGGGAGTGCTAAACAAGGAAATGAAAGACTGTTACCAGCCACCAAAAAAACACATTTAATTACATAGCTCACTGACACTAAAAAGCAACTACACAATCAAGTCTACATAACAACCAGCTAACATCATGATGACAGGATGAAACCAGCACATGTCAACATTAACTTTGAACATAAACAGTTTAAATCCCACTAAAAAGGCACAGAGTAGTAAGTTGGATAGAGAAGCAAGACCCAAATGTATGCTGTCTTCTAGAGATCCATCTCACATACGATGACACACTTAGAGTAAAGGGATGGAGAAAAAATCTACCATGCAAATAAAAAACAAAAGACGCCAGTAGTTGTATGGGCATGGTGGCTCACGCCTGTAATCCCAGAACTTTGGGAGGCTGTGGTGGGTGGATCACTTGAGGTCAGGAGTGCAAGACCAGCCTGACCAACATGGCGAAACCCCATCTCTACTAAAAATATAAATGTTAATTGGGTGTGGTGGCACACACCTGTAATCTCAGCCATTCTGGTGGCTGAGGCATGAGAATTGCTTCAACCCAGGAGGCGGGGGTTGCAGTGAGCCATGATCACATTACTGCACTCCAGCCTGGGTGACAGAGCAAGACTGACCCCCTGTTTCCCATAAAAAAGAAAATATTCTTAAAGAGCAGGGGTTGCTATTCCAATTTCAGAGAAAACAGACTTCAAACAAACAGTGATCAAAAAGGACAAAGAAGGACATTACATAATGATAAAGGGTTCAATTCAACAAGAAGACTTAACTGTCTCAAATATATATCCTCCCAACACTGGATCAGCCAGACTCATAAAACAAGTTCTTAGAAATCTACAAAGAGACTTAGATAACCATACAATAATAGTGGGAGTTCTAGGCATCCAAGGAACATGCTTCAACATAATAAGAGCCATCTATGACAACTAAAGATTAGGAGAACATATGTCAAAATAATAAGTGCCATCTGTGACAAACCCACAGCCAACATCATACTGAATGGGCAAAAGCTAGAAGCGTTCCCCTTGAGAACCAGAACAAGATAAGAATGCCCACTTTCACTACTTCTCTTTGATATAGTATGTTGATGATGTATACTGGTATTGTTATTATTATTTACAGATCATGCTCAGGGCATTGTATCTGAGAACTCTTTTCTTAACGAAAGGTCATAGGGATCATTCTCCTAGGTATTCTTCTAAAAGTTTGACAGTTTCAGCTCGTATATTTAGGTATGTTATTCACTTTGACTTAATTTTGTGTATGGTATAAGGTAGAGGTCTAAATTCATCTTTTTACATGTGGGTATCTAATTATTTTGGCACCATTTGTTAAAAAGACTATTTTTTTCCTCCCATTGAATTGTCTCAGCACCTTTGTTGAAAATCAATGAACCATAAATGTTAAGGATTTACTTCTGGACTTCCAATTCTGTATCTTTGGTTTATGTATCTTTTGCAAGTGCCACAGTACTTTGATTACTGTGTAATTATAGTAAGTTTTGAGTTAGAAGTATAAGTACTCAAAGTTTGTTATTGTTTTTCAAAATGACTTGGGCTATTTTGCATCTTTTGCATTTCATTAGAAAAAACCTCATCAATTTCTGCAATGGCCTGCAAGCACACACACACACAAATACCATTTAAACACTTGCTTTTATTTTGATAGAGATTATTTTGATGTTATAGATTACTTTTAGGCAAATTGCCGTCTTAACAATATTGAACACGAACATAGAATGCCTCTCCATTTACACCTTCATTTCTCTCAGCAATGTTTTGTGGTATGCAAGACTTGCACTTCCTTTATTAAATTTAATCCTACATTTTTTTTTCTTTTTGAGGCTTTTGTGAATGGAATTGTTTTCTTAATTTCATATGTGAGTGGGTCATTGCCGATATATAGAAATTTAATTAATATTTCCATATTTATCCTATTTGCTGTGACCTAGCCGAACTAATTTATTAGCTCTAGTTTTATGGTAATGTGGATTTCTTAATATATCCTACATATAGGACCATGTTGATTGAAAATATAGTTTCACTTCCTCTCTTCCAATATGGATTAATTCAATTCATTTATATTGTCTTATCATATTAGCTAGCACCTCAGTATAACATTTAATAGAAGTGATAAAAGTGAATATTGTTGCCCTGTTTACAATTTTAGTGGAAAGCATTCAGTCTTTTACCATTAAGTTTAACATTAGCTGTAGATTTTTCATAGCTGCTCTTTGTCAGGTTGAGAAAGATCCTTTGTATTTCTAGTTTATGTAGTTTTTAATCCTAAAGGAGTATTTGATTTTTTTCAAATAATGTTTTGTGTCCATTGAAATGATTCTATATTTTTGACTTTTATTCTATTAATATAGTAAATTAATTGTCTTTATCTTTAGTCAATTTTGCTTTTGTGGAATTAATCTCACATGGTCATGCTGTGTAATTCTTTTCATATTGCTGGTGTCTTTGTATTGCTAATATTTTGAGAATTTTTTGCATCTATATCAAGGGCAGGCAAACTGTGTTTCACAGCCTAATTATAACACTATTGAATCTTCTAGTCAATATGTATAGTATATTTTCTGTTTATGTAGATCTTCCTTGATTTGTTTTTTCAGTATTTTGTAGTTTTCCACAAGCAGATTGTATATATACTTTGTTAGGCTTATACATAAGTGAGTTATTTTTTGGAATTTTTATAAATGGCATTTTTTAAAAAGTCTCAAATTCTGAGACTTTTAAATGCTAGTATACGGGGTGATGGTTGACTTTTGTACATTAACCTTTTATTCCATGACCTTGCTAAAATTATTTATTAGTTTGAGGAGTTTTTGGTTCCTTGAGATACTCTATATCCCAGTCATATTCTCTAAAAATTTCATTTTCATTATTGAAGGATAGTTTTGCTGATTTAAGTCTCGGTTTACTTTTTTTTTCCTTTGGCATTTTGAATGTTATCACATTACTTTTTGAAATTTATTGTTTCTGTTGAGAAGTTAGCTGTTGATCATGGTTTATTTCTGATCCCTATAAGTGACAAATTATTCTGTTGCTGTTTTCAATGTGTTTTCATTGTCTTTGGCTTTCAAAAGTTTGAATATAATGTTACTAGGTGCGGACGTCTTTTGTCTATCCTACTTTGAGTTTGTTGAGCTTCTTGGATGTCTAAATTAACTTTTTAAATCAAAGTTAGGAATTTTTTAGCTTTCTTATCTCTAAGTATTTTTCTTTCACTTTCTCTTTATTCTCTATTGGGAAGCCATTATGCATATATTTATGGCTTCCCACAGGTCTCTGAGGCTCTGTTTCTTTTTCTTCGTTATTTTCTTTTTTGTTTACTCTTGTTTTTCTTCAAGTTTGTGCATTCTTTCTTCTCCTATCTCAAAACTGATATTAAGCCCTTCCCACCTCAGTAAATTTTTATTTCAGTTATATTTTTTGTCTTCAAAATTTCCATTTTCCCCTTTTAAGTAATTTATATATCTACTGATAGCCTATGTATGGACCACTATTGTCATACTTTAGTTTTTGAAATGTGGTTTCTTTTAGTTCTTTGAACATGTTTATAACAGCTGCTTTAGCTTTATCTACTAAATCCAACATCTTTGCCCCTCAAATACAGTTTCTTTTTTTTTTTTTTTTTTTTTTTTTGAGATGGAGTCTCGCTCTGTCACCCAGGCTGGAGTGCAGTGGCGGGATCTCGGCTCACTGCAAGCTCCGCCTCCCGGGTTCACACCATTCTCCTGCCTCAGCCTCCCAAGTAGCTGGGACTACAGGTGCCCGCCACTACGCCCGGCTAATTTTTTGTATTTTTAGTAGAGACGGGGTCTCACCGTTTTAGCCGGGATGGTCTCGATCTCCTGACCTCGTGATCCACCCGCCTCGGCCTCCCAAAGTGCTGGGATTACAGGCGTGAGCCACCGCGCCCGGCCTCAAATACAGTTTCTACTGGTTGCTCTTTTTCCCTGAATATAGTCATATTTCTTTTTTCTCTCCGCATGTTTAATTTGTTTTTTTGCTAAAAACTGGACATTTAAGATAATCTAGCCACTCTGTATTTTAATCTTGCCGCAGTTGTTTTTAGTGCTACTTGTTGGTTTGTTAAGTGACATGCCTGTACTAATTATCTCTTGTGGTATGTGGTCACTAATATCTGTGCTCAGATATTTTAAAAAATTATGATTTCTTACGGGGTTAGCATAATTTAAAGGTCAGATATTAATTAGTCAGTGGTTGTACTCAATTTATAACATAAGTAAGGATTGTATACCTCGCCTATGAATCTGTGTTTGGATTGGGGAATGCATATAAAGTTTAGGCAGTTTATGAATTTGACCCATCTTTTATTTTATGTTCTCTCATGTCTCTTTCGTTCATATGCAGGTCTTATGTACATTCAGGGATGTGTGGCTGGCTAGTTGCCTCCCTGTTGTCTCCCAATCATGTGCATAACCTTGTAAATGAACACAGCTTTTCAGGCCAAAAGAGCATGTAGGAGTTTCTCAAGGCTCACTATGACTTTCTAATTACCTGGGTATTACTTTTAAAGTTCTTGCTTCTCTGCTGGTCTGTTGCTTGCCACAATTAGATTGCAATTTTAGATTAGCTATGATATGATTTTCCAATTTGGTTGTAAACTATTTTCCAATGGCATGTCGTTTTCCCACAGTCTGCTTAAAATCAAATCAGCTTTCTTTAGCAGTAAAGCATCTGTTTTTCCGATGTTATCTTCCTCTGGTAGAATTCCAATTTTGATGGAGCTAGGGGAGGGGTGTATGGTAGCATTCCCAGGCTAAAACACCACAAACTCCTATTTTTCTTATTCAAGTTTCAGTAGCTTTTCTTGAATAAACACTGCTCAGTTTGTTGTATGCATGTTGTTGGTTTCCAGAGCCCTGGAATTACTGTTTTTGACACATTTATCCAGTATTATTGGTTTTTGGGAAACAGTTGGGTATTCTGACATTCTGGAAGTACTACCTCCCAATTAATCTTTTGAGGAAATTAAAATATGAGAAGACATTGTCTATATTTACCCATGTATTTACAGTTTTATTATTCTTTATTTCTTGTGTGGATCTGAGTTTATATCTGGTAAAAGGTTCTTTCTACCTGAAGAACTCTAGCATTTTTTATAGTATTAGTTTGGTTGTGATAAATTCAGATTTTATTTTTTTGAGAGTCTTTAGTTACCTTTTTGATGCGGTTTGGCTCTGTGTCCCCACCCAAATCTCATCCTGTAGCTCCCAGTGGGAGAGGATTGAATTATGGGGGTGGGTCTTTCCCATGGTGTTCTTGTGATAGTGAATGGGTCTCATGAGAGCTTATAATTTTAAAAATGGGAGTTGTCCTGCACAAGCTCTCTCTCTGTCTGCCATCATCCATATGAGACATGACTTGATCCTTCTTGCCTTCTGCCTTGATTGTGAGGCATCCCCAGCCATGTGGAACTGTGAGTCTATTAAACCTCTTTTTTTTCCCAGTCTTGGGTATGTCTTTATCAGTGGCATAAAAATGGACTAATACAGTAAACTGGTACGAGTAGAGTAAGGCACTGCTGAAAAGATACCTGAAAATGTGGAAGCAACTTTGGAGCTGGGTAACAGGCAGGAGTTGGAACAGTTTGGAGGGCTCAGAAGAAGACAGAAAAATGTGGGAAAGTTTGGAACCTTCTAAAGATTTGTTGAATGGCTTTTCCCAGAATGTGGACAACTATATGGACAAATGGACATGAGGAACTTGTTGGGATCTGGAACAAAGGTGACTCTTGTAATGTTTTAGCGAAGAGACTGGCAACATTTTGCCCCTGCCTTAGAGATTTCTGGAACTTTGAACTTGAGAGAGATGATTTAGGGTATCTGGGGGAAGAAATTTCTAAGCAGCAAAGAATTCAAGATGTGACTTGGGTGCTTTTAAAGGCATTCAGTTTTATAAGGGAAGCAGAGCAAAAACATTTGGAAAATTTGCAGCCTGACAATGCAATAGAAAAGAAAATCCCATTTTCTTAGGAGAAAGTCAAGCTGCTGCAGAAATTTGCATAAGTAACCAGGAGCTGAATGTCAATCCCCAAGACAATGGGGAAAATGTCTCCAGGGCATGTCAGAGGTCTTCATGTTAGCCCTTCCCATCACAGGCCCAGGGGCCTAGGAGGAAAAAGTGATTTTGTGGACTGGGCCCTGGGTCCCTGTGCTGTGTGTAGCCTAGAGACTTGGTACCCTGTGTCATGGCCACTCCAGCTGTGACTAAAAACAGCCAAGGTACAGCTCAGGCTGTTGATTCAGAGGGTTGAAGCCCCAAGCCTTGGCAGCTTTCACATGGTGTTGAGCCTGAGGGTGGACAGAAGTCACGAATTGAGGTTTGGGAACCTCTGTTGAGATTTCAGAACAGGTATGAAGATACCTGGATGTGGCCAGGCTCTGTGGCTCACGTCTATAATCCTAGCACTTTGGGAGGCTGAGGTGGGCAGATCACCTGAGATCGGGTCTTCGAGACCAGCCTGACCAACATGGAGAAACCCCATCTCTACTAAAAATACAAAAAATTAGCTGGGCATAGTGGCGCATGCCTGTAATCCCAAATACTGGGGAGGCCGAGGCAGGAAGAGAATCACTTGAACCCAGGAGGCAGAGGTTGTGGTCAGCCGAGATTGCGCCATTGCACTCCAGCCTGGGCAACAAGAGCGAAACTCCATCTCAAAAAAAAAAAAAAAAAAAAAAAAAACAGAAAATATCTGGATGCCAAGGCAAAAATTTGCTGCAGGGGCAGGGCTCTGATTGAGAACCTCTGCTAGGGCAGTACAAAAGAGAAATGTGGGATCAGCGCTCCCACACAGAATCCCTACAGAGGCACTGCCTAGTGGAGCTGTGAAAAGAGGGCCACCATCCTCCAGACCCCAGAATGGTAGAACCATTGACATCTTGCACTGTGCACCTGAAAAAGCTGCAGACACTCAATGCCAGCCCATGAAAGCAGCCAGGAGGGGGCTATACCCTGCAAAGCCACAGAGGTGGATCTGCCCAAGAGAATGGGAACCTACCTTTTGCATCAGCGTGACCTAGATGTGAGTCAGAGTCACAGATCATTTTGGAGCTTTAAGATTTGACTGCCCCACTGGATTTAGGGCTTGCATGGGGCCTGTAGCCCCTTTGTTTTGGGCCAATTGGCCCAAATGGGCCAATTTCTCCCATTTGGAGTGGCTATATTTACCCAATGTCTGTATACACATTGTATCTAGGACAGTACTAACTTGCTTTTGATTTTACAGGCTCATAGATGGAAGGGGCTTGCCTTGTCTCAGATGAGACTTCAGACTGTGGACTTTTGAGTTAATGCTGATGTGAGTTGAGACTTTGAGGGACTGTGGGGAAGGCATGATTCGTTTTGAAATCAACCAATGGGAGGGGCTGGGGGTGGAATGATATGGTTTGGCTCTGTGTCCCCACCCAAATCTTATCTTGTAGCTCCTCTAATTCCCACATGTTGTGGGAGGAACCCGGTGGGAGACAATTGAATTATGGGGACAGGTCTTTCCCTTGCTGTTCTTGTGATAGTGAATGGGTCTCCTGAGATCTGATGGTTTTAAAATGAGAGTAGCCCCGCACAAGTTCTCTCTCGTTGCCTGCCACCATCCATGTGAAACATAACTTGCTCCTCCTTGCCTTCCACCATGATTGTGAGGCATCCCCAGGCATGTGGAACTGTGAGTCCATTAAACCTCTTTTTCTTCCCCGTCTTGGATATGTCTTTATCAGCAGTGTGAAAATTGACTAATACACCTTTATTTGTAAGAATATTTTTGTTGTTGATGAGTACAGTATTCAAAGTTGAGAGTTGTTACTTTTAATCATGTTAAAGTTGTTCCTTCATTGTCTTATGGTTTTCATTTTGCTGACAAGAAATCAGGGGACATTCCTAGCTGTTTTTCCCTATGTGCTGTGTTCCTTTTTGCTCTGGCTGATTTTAATACTTTCTATTTATGACTGATTTTTAGCAATTTAATTATGAGATGGCTGTATGTCTTTTTGTCTGTTTGTATCTCCTTAGGGTTTGCTGATCTTCTTGGATCCACATATTTACATTTTTATCAAGTTTGGAAAAGTTTAGTGATAATTTATTCAAATGATTTTTTTCTGTACCCCCACAACTTCTCTCCTTCTGGGTATTCAGTTGGTTGTATATTAGTTGTTTGATATTGTCCTACATGTCACTGAATCTCTTTTTTTCTACTCTTTTTTTCTCTCTGTGGATATGTTTAGATAGTTTTATTGACAAGTTTTTGAATGCACTAATATTTTTAATTCTGTTGTTATATTTATATTTGTTTTTAAGTATATTCATAATTTTTCAAACAGTATATCTCAGCTTTGGAAGTGCTTCTTTTTAAAAATATTTTTAATTTCTCACTTTTTCATTTTAATGTTACAACTTTGTGGACATTGAGCATATTTACAATAGCTTTTTAAAAGTCTTTGCCTGCTAATTCCATCATCTCTGTCATTTTTCAGTCTGTTTCTATGGACTGTTTTTTCTTTTGGTAAAATATCATATTTTCCTGCTTTGGATGTCTAAGAATTTTTAATTGGATTTTTGACATTATGAATGTTACATTGTTGAGGAATAATAAATATTTTGGTGTTCAGTGTGGGTCTTTGTTCTGGCCAGCAGTTAAGTTACTCCTTTATAAATTTGATTCTTTCATGGCTTGCTGTGTATCTTTTTTGGGTACATATGGAGTAGAATTTAGTCTAGTGTTACTTTATCTCTACTTTTAAATCTTCATCTTTCTGGGGTCTTTACTGGAAGTCCTATGTACTAATTGAGACCTTTCCACTCTGACTAGTGGAAACTCTGGCCCTGTGTGAACTCTTGGAATTATTTGACTTATAGTCCCTTGATTATTGTTCTTTTTCCAGCATTTTTTGTTTTTCCTGCCTTATGAATTTTTATCCTAAGCAATTACAACCAAGGACTCAAGGTGATCCCTATGCAAATTTGCAGAACTCTGTTTCCATGTATCTTTCTGCTCTGTGGTATTCTGTCCTCTAAAGTTAGCCTCTCTGAACTCTAATTTTTGTCTGCAGGCTTTCTTCTGTTTTAGACTTCTGGACTCTGTTTGGGTTCCCTGACCTTGAAACCATAGTCCATAGTTGCCTCTAACCTTAAAACTGGGATTATCATTGGCCTCACCTCATTGCCTTTTCTTCTTTCAATATCCACTGTCTTGTGACTATTGTCCAATGTATGTAGGATTGTTAAAGTTGGCAGATAAAAATACAGTATCAGTATGTTTCAAAGATTTCAAGGAACACACTTATACTAAAACTGTCTGAAATTAAAACTTATCTCAGCATCTTGTGTTTTATCCAGCCACCTTAAATTTATCAAAAACAGTCATTTTGATAGCCCAGGAAAATGGAGGATAGCAGGCAGGACTAACTTGCAGCTCCCACTTGGATGGACAGAGTAGCATGTGGAGACTGACATCATGAACTTTTGCTCCAAGAACTACCACAAGAATATACCAGAAAAGCTGAGAGAATCCACAGACCCTTTGAACGAGGTGGTCTGCTGCTGCAGGCCCCATAGGTCATTTGAGGAACTGTGAGTCAACTTGCTTTCTCAGCTGGGAGGCTTGTAGCCTGGGGCAAGTTCTCAGCCCAGCTCACCAGCTGCCTGCAAATAAACTCAGTGCTGGTGGGAATGAGACCAAGACCAGCCTTTGGGGTTGTGGGCTGCGTGGGAGCTGAGTGAAGCCTGTGGCTGCTGGCTTTACCCCACTTCCCTGGTGACCAGTGTGACACAGCAGAGACAGCCATAATTCCCCAGGGAACATAACTCCATTGGCTTATGGAGGGGCTGGGGAACCATACCCTCTGCCCCACAGCAGCCACAACAATCCCCATCCAAGGAGAGTCTTGAGTTCAGACATGCCTAACCCTGACCTCACCTGATGTTTTTTTCCCTACCTGCCCTGGTAGCTGAAGACAAAGGACATAATCTCTTGGGAGCTCTATGGCCCCACCCAGCGCCTGATCCTCCCTATACAACCAGAGCTGATGTGCTCTTGAAAGTGGCACTTCCTCGCTGGAGGCCAACCAACACAAAATCAGCACACTAAACAAAAATACAACCAAAGGATCCTCACAGAGTCCACTTCACTCCCCTGCTACCTCCACTGGAGTAGGTGCTGGAATCCATGGCTGACAGATCAGAAGATGGATCACATCACAGGACTCTTTGCATACTATCTCTAGTACCAGCCAAGGGCCTGGTAGCTCTTCTGGGTGGCAAGATTCTGAAGAAAAATACCAATCACTGCAGTTCAGCTCTCAGAAGGCCCCATCCCTAGGGGAAAGGGAAGAGCAGTACATCAAGGGACCACCCTGTGGGACAAAAGAATTTGAACTTCAGCCTTTGAGTCATAGATCTTCCCTCTGACATAGTCTACTCAAATGGGAAGGAACCAGAAAAACAATTCTGGTAATATGACAAAACAACGTTCTTTAACACCCCTGAAAGATCACACTAGCTCACCAGCAATGGATCCCAACCAAGGCAAAATCTCTGGACTGCCAGAGAAAGAATTTAGAAGATCTACTATTAAGCCAGTCAAGGAGGCATCTGAGAAAGGTGATGCCCAACTTAGATGAATTTGAAAAAAAAAAAGACATGGGATATGAATGGAAAAATCTCCAGTGAAATAGATAGCATAAATAAAAAAATCATAACTTCTGGAAATCAAGGACTCAGAGAAATGCAAAATGCACTAGAAAGTCTCAGCAATAGAACTGAACAAGTATAAGAAAGAACTTTAGGACTCGAAGACAAGGCTTTCAAATTAACCCAATCCGACAAAGGAAAAGAAAAAATGAACAAAGCCTCCAAGTCTGGGATTATGTTAAGTGACCAAACCTAAGAATAATTGGTGATCCCGAGGAAGAAGAGAAATCTAAAAGTTTGGAAAACATAGTTGAGGGAATAATCAAGGCAAACTTCCCTGGCCTTTTTAGAGATCTAGACATTCAAATATAAGAAGCTCAAAGAACACCTGGGAAATTCATTGCAAAAAGATCATCACCTAGGCACATAGTCATGAGGTTATCTAAAGTCAAGATGAAGGAAAGAATCTTAAGAGTTGTGAGGAAAAAGCATCAGATAACCTATAAAGGAAAACCTATCAGATTAACAGCAAATTTCTCAGCCAAACTTTACAAGCTAGAAGGGATTGGGGTCCTATCTTTAGCCTCCTTAAACAAAACAATTATCAGCCAACAATTTTGTATCCAGCAAAGCTAAGCTTGATAAATGCAGGAAAGATGCAGTCTTTTTCAGAAAAACAAATGTGAGAGAATTTGCCATTATCAAGCCAGAACTAAAAGAACTGCTAAAAGGAGCTCCAAATCTTGAAACAAATCCTCAAAATACACCAAAATAGAATCTCCTTAAAGCATAAATCTCACAGGACCTACAAAAACAATAACACGATGAAGAAAAAACACATCATTCAGGCAAAAAATAGCATGATGAATAGAATAGTACCTCACATCTCAATACTAACATTGAATGTAAATGGTCTAAATGCTCCACTTAAAAGATACAGAATGGCAGAATGGATAAAAACTCACCAACTAAGTATCTACTGTCTTCAAGAAACTCACCTGACACATAAGGACTCACATAAACTTAAGGTAAAGGGGTGGAAAAAGATAGTTCATGAAAATGGACACCAAAAGGAAGCAGGGCTCACTATTCTCATATCAGGCAAACAAACTTTAAAGGAACAGCTGTTAAAAAAGACAAAGAGTGATATTATATAATGATACAAGGACTAGTCTAACAGGAAAATATGACAGTCCTAAATATATATGCACCTAACACTGGAGCTCCCAAATTTATAAAACAATTACTACTAGACCTAAGAAATGAGATAGACAGCAACACAATAATAGTAGAGGACTTCAATACTACACTGACAGCACTAGACAGGTCACCAAGAGAGAAAGTCAACAAAGAAACAATGGGTTTAAACTATACCCTGGAACAAATTGACTTAAAAGATATTTACAGAACATTCTACCCAACACCTGTAGAATATACATTCTATTCATCAGTACATGGAACAGTCTCCGAGATAGACCATGTGATAGACCACAAAACAAGTCTTGACAAATTTACCAAAATAAAATATCCACTACTCTCCCAGACTGGAGTGGAATAAAATTGGGAATCAACTCCAAAACCATGCAAATACATGGAAATTAAATAACCTGCTCCTGAATTATCACTGGGCCAACAATGAAATCAAGATGGAAATTAAAAAATTGTTTGAACTGATCTATAATAGCTACCCAGCCTATCACAACCTCTGAGATACAGCAAAAGCAGTGCAAAGAGGAAAGTTCATAGCATTAAATGCCTATATCAAAAAGTCTGAAAGAATACAAATAGACAATCTAAGGTTACACCTCAAGAACATGGAGAAACAAGAACAAACCAAACCCAAACCCAGCAGAAGAAAAGAAATAACCAAATCAGAGCAGAACTAAATGAAATTGAAACAAAAAATACAAAAAATTAATGAAACAAAAAACTGGTTCTTTGAAAAGATAAATAAAATTGATAGACCATTAGTGAGATTACAAGAAAAGAAGAGAGAAGATTCAAATAGAAATGTAATAGAAGATATTATAACCGATACCACATAAATACAAAATATCATTCCAGGCTACTTTGAACACCTTTACGTGCATAAACTAGAAATCATGAAGGTGATGGATACATTCCTGGAAATATATAACCCTTCTCAATTAAACCAGGAGGAGATAGAAACTCCGAACAGACCGATAACAAGCAGGAAGATTGAAATTGTAATTAAAAAGTTACCAACAAAAAAAGTCTAGGATTAGGCAGATTCACAGCTGAATTCAATCAGACATTCAAAGAAGACTTGGTACCAATCTTATTGACACTATTCCAAAAGACAGAGAAAGGGTGAATCCTCCCCAAATAACTTTATGAATCCATTATCACCCTAACACCAAAATCAGGAAAGGACCTAACAGAAAAAGAAAACTATGGACCAATATCCCCAATGAACATAGATGCAAAAATTTTCAACAGAATACTAGCGAACAGAATCAACAGCATGTCAAAAAGATACTCCATTATGATCAAGTGGGTTTCATACCAGTGATGCAGGGATGGTTTAACATTCACAAGTCAATAAATGTGATACACCACATAAACAGAACTAAAAACAAAAATCATGTGATCATCTCAGTAGATGCAGAAAAAGCATTTGACAAAATCCAGCATTCTTTATGATTAAAATCAGCAGCAAAATCAGCATAGAAGGAACATACCTTAAGGCAATAAAAACCTTCTATGACACACCCACAGCCAACATTATACTGAATGGGGAAAAGTTGAAAGCATTTCCTCTGAAAACTGGAACAAGACAAGGCTGCCCACTTTCACCATTTCTATTCAGCATAGTGCTGATAGTCTTAGCCAGAGCAATCACTGCGGGCAGTGAAAACCAGTGTAAATGGGGATGAAATGTGTTGAAGGTAGTGCTCTTTGAATTTTAATTTAGAAAGACCTATGCTAGTATGATGTGTTCAATTTAAGAAAAACAGAAGGCAGGCATGTAAGAGACCCCAGTGAAAGATAATCAATGAAATATACATTTCAGTTATAAAAGGTTTCTAATGAACCTAAGTTCTGAAACCAGGTGAAGAGAATTATGGTCCCTGAGTGTTCTGCTATAGGATAATGAGGCCAAAAGGAGTATAGCTGACCATTTGTTGGTAATGCTAGGTAAAGTGTTTTAAAAGTCAGTGGAAACTGGGCTGTATGATCTTTTAAGATTCCTTCCATTTCAAACCATTCATTCATTCATTCATTCATTCATCAAGTGTTTATGATTGAACATATCCTGTGGTCCAGCAACTGATCAAGGGACACAAAAAAGATCAAATCTCCCCCTCCGTCTTAAAGGAGAACACATTATTAGAGGAAAATAGATATGTAGATAACAAATTACAATATAGTGAAAAAGTTCTTGACTAAGATCTTTTGTTTTCCCCTTACAGGTCACTGCTAGGGATGGTGGGGGAGGGAGACAATAAATAGGTTCTATGTGATTCTGAATTGAAATGGCAATGTGGTATGTGGATTAGGCTTCCACTGTTGCAGTATTTAACAGTATTTAAGAAACACTTTGAGTACCTGCAAAAAGTCAGCCAAAAAAAAAAAAAAAAAAAGGGAAAACTGACCTGGAGAGCAGTGAATATATATTCCTAACTATTAAGATTTGCAAACCACTTTTGCAAGAAAAAAGTCTAAGTCATATGAATTACATTATTAAGCATTAATCTGTATAAAGATGACTGGTTTATTTAAAAGCCGATTAGATTAATGTTATTATCATAATAATGACGAGTCATTTTAAAAATACTATATTATTATTATTTTTAAGAGAAGACCAAAGTCATTGTTGTACACAGTGTTTGAGGGCTATGATATATTCCATGGGTACCACTGGAGTTTGGTCCACTTGTAGGCAAAATAACAGTTTGTGAAAAAATATTATCTTATTTTGTGTGAGAATTAGTTTTCTGAGTCACTAGTGAATTCAGTAGCCTTTGTATTCATTAATGAGAACATTGGAGTTTCCTTTAAGTAGTTTTTCCTTTCTATGAAGTTTATTTATATTTTTCATTAGGAAATTAAATATTATATAAAGATTGGGAAACAGAACAGTGAAAGGGATAAATATCGATTCATTTTCTACCATCCAAAATAATCACTGTTAATAAATATATGTTTTTGCATTCTTTTTTAATATTCATAATTATGTATGGTTTTAAAAAAATTGATTTGACATTGTTCAGATTGTATTGCACAAATTATTCTGTATCTTTTTTATCTGTATTGCTTCAACATATGTAATGGCAAATACACAGTAGGTATAGCATGTCTTTCATATCTCCTATTTCTAAATCACTTGGCAGAAAGAAAAAGGAAGGGGAAGAACAACTAAAATGAACTCTGTATTTGTTATATTATGTGACTCTTTAATTAACTCATTTAATTATCATAACAACCATGTGGGGAAAGTAATATCTTTACTTTTTAAATAAAGAAATTAATTTGTAGAGAAGTACTCACCTGAGTTTACAGAGTAATCTTATCAGGGTACACTTGAGAACTGAACTCAGGACTCTAGGACTCCTAAAATGTGTTCTTGTGGATGTCAGCAAAAGCTGGAGATGAATGAAGGAACCAGTGTGGGAGCTGCAGATGGTTGGCAGAGGTTTGAGGGGATCATGACATAATAGGTTCATTTTCATAGAACGATAGTTTTCTAAATTTAACCCTCTTGATTTAAAGTTAGAGAAAATGCAGTGGAATAAGGGGCAAATAGGAGGAATAAGAAATAGTTCTTATTTCTTATTCTATTCCCATAAAACATTTTTTTGCTAAGCAATTTTATGGCCACTTATATTTTTATACTATCTTTAGAATCTGATTATTTTAACAAGTGCTGTCCAATTGCCCTGTTATTTTAAAGAAAAGCTTCTTATATTTCTAATTAGACTTTATTTTTAAAATACCTGTCATCTTAAGGTTCTGTGAAGATTTATATCTCTGATCTGTGAAGATAAAATATTTTCTTTTTGTCTTTAGGCTGATTCTGCTTAGGTAAAGTCATCAGAGAGGCAGTTTAAATTTTGTGTTTTATTGTGGAATAGCCTGAATTCTAGTTTGAGAATATGAGTTGGTAATATGCTATTTTTCTCAAAACATAATTGAGGAATAAACCAATCCATTTGTGTATATCTTAAGAGTGTCCTTGAAAAATGAGATGAAGAACAATGCATCTTTTCTGGAGAAGCCCATATCCTGGATTTCTGTATACGGAATTGCCTTGAATAGCCCATCCTCTGGTCAAACTAACCAACTATCAATATTCCAAAAACCCAACTAGTTATTGCTTTGTTATAATCATCTGCCTAGCAGTTTTGTAAAAAATCCCAACAATTCTGTATCTTCAAGTGGTAGCACAACTGTGATAAATCTCCCCTTCGTTAAACTGAAACTGAAGAACTCTTTTTTTCCCCTCTTATTTTCATCTATCAGCCTCGTACAAAATTTTATCTGTTGTCTTCAAAAATTTCCTCTGTTTTATTCGTTCCTCTTTATTGCCAGGGGTCAAACTTAGATCATTGTTACTTTAAAAATGGCCACTGTTTTCTAATTTTTCTCTGTAGCTTCAAAATTTCCCTTTCTTTTCATTATGCAAAATGATGCCCAGGTCATCTTCAGTCACCACTTTTATTATATTGTGTATCTGTTGAAGTCTCTATGATATCTCAAGTATCGTCAGCCTTGTAATCTCCCATGGGACAGGGTCTGTTTACTCAGTCCTTGGGCAGTGTCTTTTACAAAGCAGAACATGAATATTTATTTAGTGAATAAAATGAATGTCCACTTAATCAACAGACAAACAGATATAAGGAATGGGGAACTAATATAAGTACATGACCTTTGCTCTTAAAATTTTAGTTAAAACCCGGAAGCTGAGGAGTACAAAGAATACCTCCATAATCTAAAGAGAATGCTCAACTGTAGCTAGTTAACATTCTTCTAGGGTAGGGATTCTCAGCTGGGGTAATATTGCCCCACCTAGAACATTTGGCAATGTCTAGAGACATTTCTGGTTGTCACACCTGAGAGGGAGGAAATGCTACTGTCATCTAATGGGTAGAAGGTAGGGACACTGCTAAACATCTTACAGTGTGCAGATCAGCCTCCTCAAACCAACAAAGAGTTCTTGTCCAAAGTGTGATTGAGAAATCCTCTTCTAGGACTTAATAATACAGTCTTTTGAATTATTCATTCACCTGCTACTCAACCTATATAGTCAGAAGATAAAAAAAATGAAGAAAAAATGTGTGAATAAGGAGTCATAGGCTTAAGGGTAAAGTATTTTTTTCTTCTCTTCTTTACCTTCAAGTCAAGTGAGGGAGACTCCAAGATAATCCCTCAGAGATTTGAGGTGGTTACAAGATGAGGTGATGACATCTCATACCCTAGCTGGAAGTGTGTTGAGCTGCAGAGACTTGTTCGTGTATTTTATTTTGAGACAGGAGTAGGATGAAGGGAGGAAATTCTTGGAAGTGCCTGATGTGCATTCTGAGGGTTTTAGAGTGTACTTAAATAAAGAGACTATTTTTTGACTCCTGCTCTGAGAATGTGAAAGTTGGCAATCTTTGTGGAGTGATGTCTGACAGCAGGACAAGAGAGGAAGGCCATAAGAAGCAGAGGAAACATTCAACTTTTGGTTTGACAAGAATGCATGAGTTTCCTATGGGCTCACTGAGCACCTCATAAGATAAGCGGGATGAAGATATTTGGATGGAGCCATGCCTATGAGGATAGCTTGCCTAGGGCAAAGCGTCCCTGGTGGCGTGAAGTTATAGGAGCATCTGCTGATAGCAGAAAATGAACAGTGGGAGGTTGCAAGAGGTCAGGTGGATATTGTTTTGCTTGCCTGAGGAAAGTGTACAATGGGAAGGTCACTGTAATCTCCATGGAAGAGCTACAAATGTTCTCCTAAGTGAGCTAGCTGGCATTCGGGCATCTGCCATGCTGAGGGAACAAGTGGTCAGATTACAGCAGCACTTTTATTAATCCCCTCTCTTGAGTACCAATATGATGGACGAGGAAGAGGACCAAGCAGCAACAGAGGGAAAGAAGGAGCAAATGAAAGAAAGAGAGCAGAAGAAGTGAAAGAAAAGGAAGAGTAAGGACCTTTCTTTCCCCTGCAGAGGTATCTAAGACTGGATCATGTATAAATTGATGTGAGGGTAGACTGTTTGAAATGGGTAGGAAATTGCAGTTTTGGTCTAGACTGTATTATTTGAAAGTGAATTCTTAGTTACAAAATCTGATTTTCATTTCAGCCAAAAACCTGAAAGAATCATTCCAGATGTCATCAAGGATGAGAAAGGAGATCCAGCAGGGCCTGTTAGAAGGAACTGGTTGGAAAAAGTGTTTCTGTTTTGTTTCCCATAGAGTTAGGATTGTTAAAAAATAAATTATGTTAGCTTTTGTTACACTCATAATATGGGTTGGTATGTTAAATATTTACATGCGCTAAGTCAGTCTTTTCAATAGCCTCAGAGATAATAATTTTTCTTATTTAAAGAGGAGGAGAAAAAGATTTTTAGAAGTTAAATAACTCATAACATAAGTGGAAAATTCTTTCTATGTTCTTGTGTTTTGAATGTTTTCTTAAATAGCTAATGATTCTTCAGGAACTAAAATTTATATTACTTTCTGGGAGTTATGAGCAATAGATAATGAAATTTTAGAAATATTAATAAAAATTATTTTATATATAGAAATTAGCATGATAGTTTAAGCATTAGAGCAATCATGCTTGTTCTACCTTGGACCCATAACCTTGTGATCCATAGTGAGCTCCTAAGATTTTGCCCTTTTCTGACGGATTTATACACTGATACTGTTATCAGCCAAAACATCCTATCCTTTAGCATTAGAGATAACTACATTATGAATTATTAAATCTAGTGACAATGAGTTGAATGAGAGAGAAGTTTTCCCAAGTTATATTGAAAGTACCATATAAGGGTGGAAGAATTCATTCAGGTGATGATCCAATTACTTAGCATACACTAGGTGGTGTCCACTTCTCTACCCTAGTTACCTGTGTGGGCATATTTGTATGGCCAGAGAGGTGTTAAAATGCAGCAAGTTAAGAACTAATTTCTACTGGACCTTGCTGTTTGTTTTACTGTTTTGATCTTAAAATTTCCCCAGAGAGCTGATTCCAGGTGTGAAATGAAACCATTCTGCACCCTGCTTTGTCTTTTACAAACGATCACTGAGTAAGCGTATATGCATTCAAGGATGCAGTAAGATAGAAGTCAGCACTCATTTGCTAGAGCCTCAAGTCTACATTTGGCTTTTTTAAAAAAGCATGAATGAGGATACCATTATTTGTGACTGATCATCTCTCTGGAAAAATCAATACCTATATATGATGAAAACTTATGCATTCATTTTTCTCTTATTTAATTGGCTAGTAAAATTGTACATACTTATGGTGTACAATATGATGATCTGATATATGTATACATTGTGGAATGGCTAAATCAAGCTTTTTAGCACATACATTACCTCACTTATTCTTTTGTGGCAAGAACACTTAAAATCAATTCCCAGCATTTTTCAAAATATGCAATATAGTGTTATTAATTGTGTTCAACATGATATACAATAGACCTTTTGAACTTATGCCTCCTGTTTCATGAAAATTCTGTGCCTTTTGACCAATATCTTCCTAATCCTATACTCCCCAGCCTCTAGTAACCACCATTTTACTCTATTTCTATGAGTTTGACGTTTTTGTGCTCCACACGTAAGTGATATTATATGATACGTATCTTTCTGTGCCTGGCATAGTTCACCAATCATAATGTCCTCTAGGTTCATTTATGTTGGTTATTGCAAATAACAAGATTTCCTTCTTTTTAAGCTGTCTAGTATTCCATTGCGTGTATACACCACATGTTTTATCTACTTACTTGTTGGTGGACATTTAGGTTAGGACATTCCGTACCTTGGATATTGTGAATAATGCTACAGTGAACATGGGACTGCAGATATCTCTTTGACATATTGACCTCAGTTCCTTTGAATATATACCCAGTAGTGGGATTGCTGGATCATATGGTTGTTCTTTTTTAATTTTTTGAACAACATCCATACTCTTTCTCCATAGTGGCTATACTAATTTATATTCCCACCAACAGGATACAGGGGTTCCCTGTTCTCAAAATCCTCACGAACACTTGATATTTTTCTTCTTTTTGGTAATAGCCATCCTAACAGGTGTGAGGTCATATCTCATTGTGGTTTTAATTTGCATTTTCTTGATAATTAGTGATGCTGAACATTTTTATATACCTGTTCGCCATTTGCAGGTCTTCTTTTGAGAACTGTCTATTAAGGTCCTTTACCCATTTTTTAAATCAGGTTATTTGTTTTCTTACTATTGAGCTGTTTGAATTCCTCATATATGATAGATATTAACTCCTTATCAGGTATATGGTTTGCAAATATATTCTCTCATTTCATAGGTTGTCTCTCACTCTGTTGATTGTATCCTTGCTGTGCAGAAGCTTTTTACTTTGATGTAATCCCATTTGTCTACTGTTGCTTTGCTGGCCTAAGCTTTTGGGATCATACTCAAAAAATCGTTGCTCAAACCAATGTCAATGAGCTTTTTCCTTATTTTTTTTCTATTACATTTAAAGTTTCAAAAATCCTCTGCATTTATTTTTTTTTAAAGACGGTATATGGTGTTTGCTTTGTTGTTATTATTATTCTATAATTTGAACTTCTAGATACAGGAGGTATATGTGAAGGTTTGTTGCATGGGTATATTATGTGATGCTGAGGTTTGGAGTATGGATCCTATCATCCAGGTGGTAAGCATAGTACCCAACTGGTAGTTTTTTGTAACCCATCTCTCCTCCTTTTCTCTCCCCCACTCCCCAGTAGTTCCCAGTGTCTATTATCCTCATCTTTATGTCCATATGTACTCAATGGTTAGTCACTTATAAGTGAGAATATGCGGTATTTGGTTTTCTGTTCATGCATTATTTCACTTAGGCCTCCAGCTGCATCTATGTTGCTGCAGAGGATATAGTTTTGCTCTTTCTTAAGGTCGTGTAGTATTCCACGGTGTATTTGTACCACGGTGATGGGCACCTATGTTGATTCGATATCTTTGCTATTGTGAATAGTGCTGCCATGAATATAGAGTGAATGTATCTTTTGGGTAAATTGATTTGCTTTCTTTTTCTTTTTCTTTTCTTTTTTTTTTTTTTTTTTTAGACGGAATCTCCCTCTGTCGCCCAGGCTAGAGTGCAGTGGCGTGACCTCGGCTCACTGCAAGCTCCGCCTGCCGGGTTCACGCCATTCTCCTGCCTCAGCCTCTCGAGTAGCTGGAACTACAGGCGCCCGCCACCACGCCTAGCTGATTTTTTGTATTTTTAGTAGAGACGGGGTTTCACAATGTTAGCCAGGATGGTCTCCATCTCCTGACCTCATGATCCGCCCGCCTCAGCCTCCCAAAGTGCTGGGATTACGAGCATGAGCCACCGTGCCCGGCCTGATTTATTTTCTGCTGGGTATATAGGCAGTGATTGGATTGCTGGGTCAACTCTGCTGGGTAACTCTGGGTAACTGCTGGGTAACCACTGGGAGATTTCAGAAATATCCAAACTGTTTTCCACAGTGGCTGAACTAATTTACATTCCACCAACAGTGGAATATAAGTGTTCCCTTTTCTCTACAACCTCGCTAGCATATGTTATTTTTTGACTTTTTAATAACAGCCATTCCGATTGGCGTGAGATGGTATGTCATTGTGGTTTTGATTTGAATTTCTCTGATGATTAGTGATGATGAGCATTTTTCATATTTCTGTTGGCCACATCTTCTTTTTAGAAGTATCTGTTCATGTCCTTTGCGCATTTTTAAATGAGGTTGTTTGTTTTTTGCTTTTGCATTTAAGTTACAAATTCTGGATATTGGAACTTTGTTGGATGCATAGTTTGTGAATATTTTGTCCCCTTCTGTAGGGTGTCTATTTACTCTATTGACAGTTTCCGTTGCTGTGCAGAAGCTCTTTGGTTCAATTAGGTCTCATTTGTAATTTTTGTTGCAATTGCTTTTGAAGACTTAGCCAAAAATTCTTTGCCAAGGTCGATGTTGAGAAAGATTATTTCCTAGGTTTTCTTCTAGAATTTTTATAATTTGAGAACTTATGTTTAAGTCCTTAATCTATCTTGAGTTAATTTTTGTGTATGGTGAAGGGTAAGGGTCCAGTTTCATTCTTTTGTATAGAGTTAGCCAGTTATCCCAGCACCATTTATTGAATAGGGAGTCCTTTCCTCATGGCTTGTTTTGTTGACTTTGTCAAAGATCAGATGGTTGTAGGTTTGTGGCTTTATATCTGGGTTCTCTATTCTGTTCCATTGGTCTATGTGTCTCTTCTACCAGTACCATGCTGTGTTGGTTACTGTAGCCTTGTAGTATAGTTTGAAGTTAGGTAGTGTAATGCCCCTGGCTTTGTTCTTTGTGTTTCTTCTTTTTGCTTAGAGTTGCTTTGGCTATTTGGGCTCTTTTTTGGTTCCATATGAATTTTAGAATAGATTTTTCTAATTTTGTAAAAAATGACTTTGTTTGTTTGATAGGATTAGCACTGAATCTGTAAATCACTTTGGGCAGTATAGACATTTTAACAATGTTGATTCTTCCAGTCCGTGAGCATGGAATGTTTTTCAATTTATTTGTGTTGTGTCTAAGTTCTTTCAGCAGTGTTTTACAGTTGTTCTTGTAGAGATCTTTTACCTCCTTGGTTAGCTGTATTCCTAGATATTTCACTTTTTCATGGCTATTGTAAATGGGGCTGTGCTCTTGATTTGACTCTCAGCTTGAATATTATTGGTATATCAATTCTACTGATTTTTGTACATTGATTTTGTATCTTACAACATTACTAAAGTCACTCATCAGTTCTAAGATCCTTTTGGGTGGAATCTTTAGGGTTTTTTAGGTATAGAATAAGATTGTCAGTGAAGAGTGATAGCTTGACATCTTCTTTTTCTGTTTGGATGTCTTCTGTTTCTTTCTCTTGCCTGATTGCTCTGGCTAGCATTTCCAGTGTGATGTTGAATAGGAATGGTGAGAGTGGGCCTCCTTGTCTTATTCCAGTTCTCAAGGGGAATGGTTCCAACTCTTGCGTTTTCAGTGTGATGTTGGCTGTGGGTTTGTCATAGATGGCCCTTATTGTTTTGAGGCATATTCTTTTGATATTTAGTCTGTTGAAGGTCTTTTTTTATTCATGAAAAGATATTGAATTTTATTGAAAACTTTTTCTGCATCTATTGAGAATGAAGCTTCATTAGGCTGTTTTTGTTGTGCATTTTATTTTTGCACCCCATTTAGCATCTTGAGTTCTAGATTTCCTAAAACTAGGAGGCTCTATTTTGAGTATATGATTTACCATCCTTGCTGATGAGGAAATCTTTCATATGTTCATTGACTCTTTGTTTCCTTGATTTTCCTCTCATTCATTTGTTCTTTCATTTGTGCCTGTATTTATTCATTTATTCATTCCCTTGCAATCACTCATGAGTTTAACTATTCGTTCAATAAGTCTTTGTTGAATTTGTTTAATGAACGTATATCTACATAAAGAGAAACTCAGAAGACACAGGAGTACACAGTACAGTTCAATCAACCAAAACTGTTGCTAAGAATTCATGTTTCTTGATGTCAAAGAATTTGAAATTCCTATAACTTCTTGACTTGCTATTCACTTTTTGATTCCTTACTTCTCCAAATGTAGCAATCACCAAATCCCATTGATTCTGCAAATTAGTATTTCAGGAATCCAAATTCCTCGCTCTCACCTCACTGCCACTACCTTGGTTCTTCTACTGTATGTGTTATTATAAGAGCTCCTTAACTGGATTTCTTGACACCAGTCTTTTCCACTTCTCATCTACTTTTCAAAGAGTAGTATTTAGAAGATAAAATGTTGTATTGGTAATCCCTTACTGAACAACTTTTCTTTCTTTTTTTTTCTTTTTCCTTTCTCAAGCCTGCCCTCTCCCAGACAATGTTTGAATTGCCCTGATTATAAAACCCTAGATCCATAGCAGATCTGCAAGTCTTTTCATGATGTGTCTCTCCTTCCAGCACAACATTCTGTCTCAACACTGTCATTATATTTTGTGATCACAGACATAGAAAAAGACGTACTGTAAAGCAAAGAGATCATTCCTTTGCTCTGTTCTGCCTTGAACATCCTCCTGTTTCCTTGCAACATCCCTAACCCCTTTCCATTTTTACCTGGTTAGTTTTCAATCATTTTTAAGTTTTCAAACAGATATTCCCACTTGTACTAAGCTGGGTCTCTGGTTACATGCTTCCTGTAGCTCTGCACTATCTCTGACATACCACTTACCACATACCCTACATTCTGGACTCTGAGCACTATGAGACAGGGACTCTGTCTCCTATTTTTTTTCCCACTTAATTCCCTTTGTCTGACACATCATAGGTGAACAATAACACTTGCTACTTTAAGGCATTTTTCTGAACCTAGTACTTTTGTAGATTTTAAGCCCAGATCGAAGAATTTTAGATGTTGATAGATAAATGTGTACACACTCATCACATGTACACACATGCACACAGTTTTCCATTGGTTATTGCATTTTATGTACTATGTTCAGGGAACTTGGGAAAAGTGCTCTACAAGCCTAAGGATCAGATTGAAAAATAATTGTTCACTTCATCAGGCTGTTAATCCTACATGCCTGTGGTGATAAACCCCAGAAAATCTGGATAATCCTATATAATATTCAGAGAAAGCTGGAATCAGCTATAAATACATATCAAACTGTCAAATAGCATTATTATTTAGACAACTCTGCAGTCCCTTCCAAATTATATTAGGCTATTCCTGCTCCATGAAGTCTTTCCAAGCTTCTTCCCACTTTTTCACTGTTATTCCCTGTACTTTCTGAATTCTTGCTCTATCTACCTAACCCTCTCACATTTCTCCCTTTTCCACCTTCTTTTTTCTTTTTATTATTTTGGTTTTTTGACACTTTTCTTTTCTGCTTCTTTATGTCTCTAGGACTTCTGTCATCCTCTCTGACATTTCTCTTCCTTTTCTCTCATGTCCTTCCCTCCCTTGTTGAATTTTCTTTTTTTATCATGCTTTTGTGTGTCTCTTCTTTCTCTCCCTTTGCATTATCTTCTCTCTTTTCCACTTCTTTTACCCTCTCCTAGTGGCGTACTGTGAATGCCTGCCCCTGTGTGTTGGGCAAGGGTGGGAGGAAATTGCCCAAAGACCACAGTAAGACCCAGTGTTCTGTGCAGTCCTGTTTATTCTAGATCAGCATCAATATGACTCACAGGCAGGGAAAGTAGTTGAAATTCCACAGATAAGCAAATAATTCTTGGCAGTTTCAAAATGAAAGCAACTGCACTGCCAAAAGGCTTCTGTTTACCACACAAAACAAATGTTGTTACTATTTCAATTCCAAAAAAGCATCTTAAAAGCATCCTTTCACAAGAACATTGTTCTAGCCTTTATGTCTAATTAGATATAAAGAAAATCTTTTGTTATTTTTGTTACACAATTTAGACTTGGCTAATAACCAGAGATAAATAATAGTTTACCCCTGCTGGGTTCTGTAGCAACATTCTTCTGAATAAAATAAGTGCACATGTGCAGTACAAATCCTGTGAAAGGCCTTTCTTTTCTATGCTTATTTTTCTTTCATCTTTGTCCTGATTCCTTTCACCTCACAGTAATCTTCCTTTTCTTCTTCTTTTTGTTTCTTCAGGAACATTGTAGTGTGGTTTCCATAAATATTTTTGGGAAAACAGCCTAGGTTTCTCTCCATTTCTCATTTTGTATGTTTTCTACTAGAACATGCCATGAATCTATTGGCTTCTTTAGTTGTAACTAAACTATTCTGTTGAGTCTGGATGGGATGGGGATAGTAAGTAAAGACATCAGAATGGAGAGGTGACTGACTTATACTGTATTTGCAAGGTAAATTACACCAGTGGATTTTTTTTTCTTTTTCATGTGTGCAATCTCCACCTCCACCACCCTCCTCACCCCACCAAGATAAAAATCCCCTATTGAGATTCCTTTTCTCAGTGTGCTGTTTGTTCTCTTTGCTTACCGTTTTAATTTAGTTTTTGACACAAGCAACATATTCTTTTCCAAACGTGGTGAATATCTTTGACTTTCTACCTAGTTGTATTTGTTGCTGCTCTGATATTCAAGTGTGGGTAGTATGGCTACTATATGGCAAGCATCCAAAAACTCTGGAACAGATGTCACCTAGAGGTAAGGCAGAGTACATTTTAGCACATAGCTAAAAGTCAAGAGACCTAGGCTTTTTTTCTGACTTGACCGAAGGCTTCCATTCAGCCTTGAATAAAACCCTTGACTAATCTGTGTTGTTAAGTCTTTATCTTTATGTAATTGGCATTCCTTTTATTGGAATCAAATGGATGCTAAGCTTGATCTATTTGAAGAAAAAATTTAAGTAATATTTGAATGGAACTTAAATTTTGTGCATCTGTAAGGGTAATTTAAGAAATAAGTGAACTAATGATTTATTGTGTGCTGTGCTCCATGCTAGACCCTTATTTTTTATTTCTGTATATTGTCTTCTCAGAGAAATAATTAAGTTAGATTCTAACGTGCCTATTCCCAGGTGAAGAAACTGGGGATCAAATAAATTTTGAAACTGGTTCTTGAATTGACAAATAAGTGGCAGAGTTAGGATTGTGCTCAGGGTTATTTGGCTGCAAAGTCAATGCTTTTTCCTATTACTCTAACACACACTCAGTTTTTCTAGTCCATTTGGTGCTTCTATAACAAAATACCATAGGCTGGGTAATTTATAAAGAATAGAAATGTATTTCTTTTGGTTCTGGAGGCTGAGAACTTCAAGATCAAGTCACCATCAGGTTTGGTATGTGTTTATCACAAAAAAACAAATGTTGTTACTATTTCAATTCCAAAAAAGCATCTTAAAAGCATCCTTTCACAAGAACATTGTTCTAGCCTTTATGTCTAATTAGATGTAAAGAAAATCTTTGTTATTTTTGTTGCACAATTTAGGACCTTGTCTCTGCTTCCAAGCTGGTGCCTTGAATACTGCATCCTCCCAAGGGGAGGAACTTTGTGTCCTCACATGACAGAAGAGCAAGAGAGAGAGAGAGAGAGAACCCACTCCTGGAAGCCGCTTCTGCAGTAGAAAATAGGTTCATGAATCCTTTCATAAGGACAGAACCCTCCTGACCTGCCCACCTCCCATTAGGCCTCACCTCACTGTTGCATTGGGGCTTAAGTTTCCAACACATGAGTTTTAGAGAGGACAAAAACATTCAAAACATTGCATGGATTGTGCATTTCTTATTCACCTGCTCTTTATTTTGCTACTGTGCTTAGCAAATTAGATTAATCCATAAAAATAATTCTATTCAGTCATAGACTCCTTCTTTTTCCAATACTTTTAAAAACTTCATTCCTTTTTCCTTAGTATACTAGCTAGCTGCCTTTCAATTAGGGGAAATAGTAACGATAATGCTAGACCATTCATATTAATTTCATATTGCCTAATTATAAGGTGTGTTGTTTACTTTTGAAAGCCTGAATATGTTTGGTAATAACTAACAAAATACAGTATCCATGGCAGTTTACTTGGCTAAATCAATAATTATTTAAATAAGGAATTTAGTCAAAATTAGATAATTTAAATCTATTTTAATTGAATCTTGCTTTATAAATATGTACTTTGCAATACTTTGCCAAGTTGAGGCAGAAATGATGTGTAAATTTAATATTTTTTAGAGTGTGTTTGGTAAAGTAAAAAATAATGTACAAATTACAGGGCATAGTAAAAGTATTTGAAAGCTGTTATTGTTATATTTTCTTGTTTCAAGTTTGCTGAGGGATTCTGGAAGTTATTCTTATTATATGTCTGGGAATAGGATTATATCTTTAAATTGATGAAGTTAAAATTCCTCTAAATAAATATCTTTCAACGTGACTTTTTTCTTTCCTTGTGGTATCATAGTGGGCAGCAGTCACAATTTCCAAACCTCTGTGATTTGCAGGGCAAGGATTTTTATTTTGTTTACTGTCTTCTCATCAATTCTAGATGAAGGACTAAAGTGGCTTGCTAATAATAATAAAAGGAGGTGTAGCAGTAACAGCAGTAGGAGAAATTACAGGAGCAGTAGTAGCTGCTGCTATAGTAGCGCTATCAGTGATAGAAAACAACACCAAGGGGTATGGCCGCCCAATACCCACTTTCTTTTGTTTTTTTCTTTTCAAAAACATTATTTTGTGAATTGACAGATAAAATTGTATGTGTTTATCATGTACAACATGATTTACATACATACATACACACATACATACATACATACATACATACATAGTGGAATGGCTAAACCTACGCAATATTAACATATGCATCACCTCACATAATTATCATTTTTGTGGAGAGAACACTTAATAGCTATTTCAGGGAAAGAAAGAGAAAATACTGCATGATCTCACTCTTATGTGAAATCTAAAAATGTTGATCCAATACCCTCTTTCTTGATGTTGGTTTCATACACAGGAGTGTATCTCTATTGGTGATACCTGTGGCCTTCTGTTCTTTGCTTATTGACCCAAGAGTAATACATATCCTGAATCTAGTTGGAGTAATTCGGCATTCTCTCCTAGGAATTTGAAATTTGGAGTGGAGAGTTAGAGCAGCTTTGGGGTTGTGTGCCCTTTATGCTGAACAGTGCGGAGCCCCAGCTGCTGTGGCCCCTCAGTGACCCTAACTGCTGTGTGTCTGCTAAGCATTATTTATTATTATAACTATAAGCAGTCTGCTAAGCATTATTTATTATTGTAACTACAAAGGATTATTTCTTGAGTTCTTCCACCAAGCATCATGCATATTCTCTGCCCTATTCTCCCATTTTTTGGGTTAACCTAGCTGTTTCATTTATTTGTAAGCAGAAACTACTACTACGATAACAATTATAACAACACTATTTATTGAGCTCTTAGTGTAAGAAGGCATTGGCTTACTTCATATTCCATATCATATAATCTTCACAATAAATTTATGAAGTGGATACTGTTGTTATTTCTATTTTTCAGATCAGGAAAGTGAGGCTGATAGAGGTTATGAAATTTAATTATGATTACAGTTGCAGTAAAGGTTAGTCTGAACCCAGCTTTCTGATCCTAATTGATTATTTTAGCAAATACTCTATGTTCTTTTATTGCAGCAGCTTATATGGTACTAGCTAATGCATGACAAAAGATGGCATTAGAAATGGAAGGGAGAATGTAAAAGATTGTGGTTTTGTTAGAGAAGAATGGGTCAGGGTGGAGGTAAGGAAAATTTAATAAGTCTTTTAATGCTAGGAAACCAGAATGGAAAATTTATATTTGCTGTTGGGAAGAATTTCTTGACCATAAGGTTTGTAAGCAGGGAAATAAGTTACTGAGGGGATAGTAAAATTAAAAGCTGTAATAAAATATTAAATAACTATTCATATGGAGCAGTTTATGTAGACTTTAATGTGAAGGCAGGGAATTGGAATTGAATTCAGCCTCGAAAAATCTTGTGGACTCTTAACAAACGTAAAAGATTTAGTAGCTAATAAAACGAATTTTTTTCTCCCCGTAAGGAGATACACAGTTTGTAATATTACAAATATCAAAATTATTTATTTTATTGTAAGCATCAATGATCAGAAGTAGTTGATAATAAAAACTGGGATTAAATGAAATTTTAAATTCTTTTGCAAATATATACATTGACATGGAATAATGCTGAACTATTTGAGAAATCATGGGAATATCCCCTGATATGGTTTGAATGTTTGTCTTCTCCAAAACTTATGTTGCAATTTAATCTCCAATGTAGCAGTATTGAGAATGAGGCCTTTGAGAGGTGATTGGGCCATGAGGGTTTTGCCCTCACAAATGGATTAATCCATTCAGGAATTAATACATCATTAATTAATGGGTTAATGGATTACTGGGTTATCATGAGAGAGGAACTGATGACTTTATAAGAAGAAGGGAAACCTGAACTAGCACACTCAGCCCTCTAACTATGTGATGCCCTTTGTCACCTTGGGACTCAGCAGAGAGTCTTCAATAGCAAGAAGACACTCACCAGAGGCAGTACCCTGATCTTAGACTTCACAGCCTCCATACCTATAAGAAAAAATTCTTTTTTAAGTAAATTACCCAGTTTCAGATATTCTGTTATAAGCAACAGAAAATGGACTAAGACATCTCCTGAAACTGGAGATCAATTAACCCTTTTCCAATTTTTTAAACAGTATAACATAGATTCTTTTTGTTAATTTAAAATTTTTTTTTTATTTTATTATTATTATACTTTAAGTTTTAGGGTACATGTGCACAATGTGCAGGTTAGTTACATATGTATACATGTGTCATGCTGGTGTGCTGTACCCATTAACTCATCATTTAGCATTAGGTATCTCTCCTAATGCTATCCCTCCCCCATCCCCCCACCCCACAACAGTCCCCAGAGTGTGTTGTTCCCCTTCCTGTGTCCATGTGTTCTCATTGTCCAATTCCCACCTGTGAGTGAGAACTTGCGGTGTTTGGTTTTTTGTCCTTGCGATAGTTTGCTGAGAATGATGGTTTCCAGCTTCATCCATGTCCCTACAAAGGACATGAACTCATCCTTTTTTATGGCTGCATAGTATTCCATGGTGTATATGTGCCACATTTTCTTAATCCAGTCTATCATTGTTGGACATTTGGCTTGGTTCCAAGTCTTTGCTATTGTGAATAATGCCGCAATAAACAGACGTGTGCATGTGTCTTTAGAGCAGCATGATTTATAGTCCTTTGGGTATATACCCAGTAATGGGATGGCTGGGTCAAATGGTATTTCTAGTTCTAGATCCCTGAGGAATCGCCACACTGACTTCCACAATGGTTGAACTAGTTTACAGTGCCACCAACAGTGTAAAAGTGTTCCTATTTCTCCACATCCTCTCCAGCACCTGTTGTTTCCTGACTTTTTAATGACTGCCATTCTAACTGGTGTGAGATGGTATCTCATTGTGGTTTTGATTTGCATTTCCCTGATGGCCAGTGATGATGAGCATTTTTTCATGTGTCTTTTGGCTGCATAAATGTCTTCTTTTGAGAAGTGTCTGTTTGTGTCCTTCGCCCACTTTTTGATGGGGTTGTTTGTTTTTTTCTTGTAAATTTGTTTGAGTTCATTGTAGATTCTGGATATTAGCCCTTTGTCAGATGAGTACTAATATAGATTCTTAAGACTATAGGTAAGTAAAACTTGATCTCAGTTTTCCTAGATATTTTAAACTATTGAGAAAATCTAGAAAAGACTGTGGTAATTCTCAGGAACCATCATAGATTCACTAAGAAAAATTTCTAATTCTCATTTTCTGTTTGGAGGCTTGCAAAGTTTGTATCTGGAGAAGGCCATTGATATGGAATGTATTGACCATAGCAATGAAAGAGTCAAACAGGACATAGGAAAAATATGGAAAATATTCTTATGAATATTTGAAGCTAATCATCAATTGTTCTTGAATTTGGAGAGAAGTCATTAATGGATTTCCACATAAAGCTGTATTATTGTTTTTTGCACTCTAAAAATTTTATCAAGTGATTTGAAATGCTAGTTTTAACATACATTAAGTATTTATACATTATGATGATTTTTCTCTCTTGACTCTTTACTTTTAGCATAAACTTTGTAAATTGAAGTATAATACACCTTCAGATGGCTCAATGATTTTCATATATAACTCAAAAATTTTCATAAAGTGAACCCACTCTTGTAACCAGCACCCAGATCAAAATAGAACATTACCAGAGCCTCAGAAGGTCTCTTATGCTGTGCTTTTTCCACTGCCATTTGCCCCAAAAGTATCCTGGCTTCTAATGCTTTAGAGAAGTCTTTTGTTTCTGAAGTTTATATTAATGGGATCATATATGCGTGTGTGTGTGTATATATATATATATATATATATATATATATACACACACACATATATATATACACATATATATATACACATATATATATATATATTTTTTTTTTTTTTGAGACGGAGTCTGTCTCTGTCACCCAGGCTCAAGTCTCCAGTGCAGTGGCGCGATCTTGGCTCACTGCCACCTCCGCCTCCTGGGTTCAAGCGATTCTCCTGCCTCAGCTTCCTGAGTAGCTGGGACTACAGGTGTGTGCCAGCACACCTGGTTAATTTCTGTATTTTTAGGATAGATAGGAGGTTTCACTATGTTGGTCAGGCTGGTCTTGAACCCCTGACCTCATGGTCTGCCTGCCTCAGCTTCCCAAAGTGCTTGGATTACAGGCGTAAGCCACCGTGCTCGGCCATAGTTTGTATTCTTTTGGGTATGACTTATCTTACTCAGCATTACGTTTGTGAGATTCATCCATGTTGTTGCATGTAGCAATAATTTGTTCATCCTCACTGTTGCATAGCACTTCATTGTATGAACACTGCCACAGTAGTTTTAATCCATTCTACTATAGGTGGACATTTGGGTTGTTTATAGTTTGGGGATTTTACAAGTAGCACTGATGTAAACATACTTGTAACATACATTATATGAATTATGTGAACATACATACATATTTCTATAGTGTATACGCCAAGGAGATAACTGCAAAATCATAGGTTTTGCATATTTTCAGCTTTAGTGGAAATAGAAAAGAGTTTTCAATGCGATTTCTTCAATTTACATGCCCACCAAAAGTGTGTGAGAAGTTCTGTTGGTCCAAAATTGTAGCAACAATTTGTTGTCTTTTTAATTTCATTCATTCTGATGATGGTCATATGACAGCATGATGGTGATCTTATTTTCTATTTTAAAAAGTGAGATATAATTTAAATATCATGAAATTAAGCCTTTAAAATGAGTTATTCAGGGTTTTTTTTTTAGTATACTCACAGTATTGTGCAGCCATTATCATGATCTAATTCCAGAACATTTTCATCACTCCAAAAAGAAACTTGTACCCATTAGCAGTTACTCCCCATTTCCCTTTACTCCCAGAACTTAGAAAATAATAAAGAACTTTCTGTCTTTATGAACTTGCCTATGTTAGGCATTTTGTATAAGTGGAATCATACAATTTGTGGCCTTTTGTGTTTCGCTTCTTTCACTTAGCATAATGTTTTCCAGGTTCTTCCCTGTTGTATCTATCATTAATCAGTATTTCATTCCTTTTTATGGATGAATAATATTTCATTACATGGTTAAATCATATGTTATTTATCCATTCATCCATTAATAGACATTTGGTTTGTTTCCATTTTTGGTTATTATGAATAATGTTGCTGTGAACATTCATGTATAAGTTCTTGTGTGGATGTTTGTTTTCAGCTGTCTTAGCTGTATAGCAAAGAATGGAATTACTGAGTCATGTAGTTGATATTGAATTTTTCGAGGAACTGCCGGACTGTTTCCAAAGTGGCTATGGTATTTTACATTCTTCCCATCAATGTAGGAGCATTCCAGTCTCTCAAATCTGTCCCCACTGATGCTTTTTTGTTGTTATAGTTATCATAGTGGGTATGAAGTGGTATCTCATTGTGGTTTTGATTTGCATTTTCCTAATGGCTGGTGATGTTGAGTATTTTTTCATGTGTTTATTTCCCATTTGTATATCTTCTTTGGAGAAATGTCTGTTCAAATCCTTTACCCATTTAATAAGTGGGTTATTTGTCCTGTTATTGTTGAATCACAATTGTTTTGTATATATTCTGAATCCTAAACCTTTATCAGATGTATGATTTGCAAATATTTTCTCCTATTCTCTGGGTTGTCTTTTAACTTTCTTGATGGTGTCCTTTGCTGCACAAATGTTTTTAATTTTGATGGAGTCTAATTTATCAAATTTTAGTATGATTACTTGGGCAGTTGGTATCTTAAAAACTGTGTCTAATCAAAGGTCATGAAGATTTGTATGTGTTTTTGTCTTAAGAGTTTTGTTGTACTTTTAGGTCTTTGATCCGTTTTGAATTGATTTCTTTATATAGTATTTGGTAGGATTCCAATTTTATACTTTTGCATATAAATATCTAGTTGTTACAGCACCGTTTATTGAAAAGACTATTCTTTACCTATTGAATTGTCTTGGCACCCTTGTTGTAAATTAATTAGCCATAAATATGTAAAGTTTGCTTGTGGTTTTATTTTAACTTTCTCTTACGAATAATGATATTTAGCACTGTTCCATATGCTTATTACCATTCATGTATACTCTTTTGTAAAGGCTTTTCCACATTTCTGCCATTTTCCTAGCTGACTTATATATTTTTATATATTAGTCTTCGTCAGTTTACGTCTTATAAATAATCTTACTTTGTGGCATGATTTTGCCTCTTTTAATGGTGTCAGTAAATAAAACTTCAAAATTTTGATTTAGTCTAATTTATCATTTTCCTTTTATAATTAATGCTCTATGTGTCTTGATTGAGAAATCTTAGCTTGTGCAAGTTTGTGAAAATATAGTACTTTTTTCTAAAATTTATGTCATTATATCTTTCACAATCCATCCGGAATTGATAGCTAGGTTTAATGTAAGGATTGATTTAATAACTAGCATACAGATAGCCAACTGACCCAGAACAATTTGTTCAAAAGGTCACCTTTTCCTTACTGCACTATAGCAACATGCTTGATAGAAATAAGAGCAACACATATGTGTGAATGTTTCTATACTACCTCTTCTGTCTCTTGTATGAGTGTTTCCCATTGTTGTATTGTATTCTATTGATCTATTTTTCTCTCCTTTCAGTAAGAGTACACTGTCTGTCTTGCGCTCACATTATAACAAGCCTTCATATTTGGGTAAATGTTTAGCCATATTCTTTTTCAACATCGCTTTGCTATTCTTAGTCTTTTATTTTCCATATATGTTTTTGAATCAGCTCGTCAATTTTAGATTTATTTTAGATTTTTTGCAGGTGAGGTCTTCTGTGTCTGTTGTTGGATCAATTTATTTGCATTGATTTAATTAATATTTTTTCAAAATTTCAGTTTTTGGTTATTGCTTATCCATAGGAATTATCATTGATTTCACATATTGATCACAAGTTCAATCCCCAACAACCTTGCCAAAGACAATACTTAGTTCTATTGGTTTGAGGTGTCTTTTGGATTTTAAAAAATAAACTTGCAATTTGTAAAAATGTGTGTTATTCTCTTCCATCTAATGCTCATTTTCTTAACGTTTTGCCCTGGTTAGGACTTCAAGTGTAAAGTTAATCAGAAACTATGATAAAGACATCCTTTTTCTTTCTTTTTTTGCTCCTGTAAAGTGTTGAAAAATTCATCATTAAATATGATGTTACTGTAAGTTACTTTTAGATTCTCTTCATCACATCTAGTAAATTTTCTTCTGTTCCTTGTTTAATAGAATTAGGAAAAAAATCTTGTGTTAAATTTTAAGTGCTTTTCTACATCTACCTAGGTAATCATCATTTCCTCCATTTTTTCTTTATTGTGGTGAATTGTATTGATTTTTTTTAGTGCTAAAACATTTTGACATTACTGCAATAAACCACACTTGGCCATAATGTATTACATTTTTTTCTGTGTCATTAAATTCCAATTGCTAATGTTTTGTTTTTGCCTCTACACTTATGACAGACATCATTCTTAATTTTGCCTTTCTTTCGTTGCCTTCGTCATGTTATTTTGTCAGCATTCTTCTAGCACTATAAAATGAGTTTTATCGTCTTGAAGACTGTCTAAATTAAATACACACACACACACACACACACACACACACATACATATATAAATTCAACATAAAAGCAATCTGGACTGGTAATTTTTTCTTTTTGGAAAAGTTTTTATTAATATTCAGACTCTTTATGATAGGATTATTTAGATTTTCTATTTGCTCTTTTATCAGTTTACCAACAAATTTATTTCACCTTTACTGTCAAATTTGTTGATATAGATTTTTAAAAAAAATACCCACTTACTATCTTTTAAATTTCTCTAGCTTCTGTAGTGAGGTTAAGTTTTCATTCCTGATATTAGACATTAATGTTTTATTTCTTTTTTTTCTTAATCAGCTGTCTACATTGTTCATTAACTTTACCAATCTTTTAAAAAATACAACTTTTGGCTTTGGTGATTTTTCTTTATTTCATTTACTACTTCATGATTTCTTACTGTTTCTTATTTTATTTGTTCTACTTTATTTGGATTTGTTCAGATGTCTTTTTCTAGTTACTCAATATGGAATTTATATTAGTTCGTTCTTGCACTGCTATAAAGAAATACCAGAGACTACGTGATTTATAAAAAAAAAAGAGGTTTAATTGGCTCATAGCTCCATAGGCTACACAGGAAGCATCGTCACTTCTGCTTCTGGGAAGGTCTCAGGGAACTTACAATCCTGGTGGAATTTAAAGCAGGAGAAGACATTTCACATGCCCAAAAAAGTAGGAAGAGAGAAGGAAGGGGGAGGTGCAGCGCACTTTTAAACAACCAGATCTTGCAAGAACTCACTACATGAAAACAGCACCAATGGGGAAATCTGCCACCATTATACGATCACCTCCCACCAGGCCCACCTCCAACACTGGTGTTGGTTGAATTGATTACAATTCAACATGAGATTTTCGCAGGGACACACAGCCAAACCAAATCACTCCACCCCTGGCCTCTCCTAGATCTCATGTCCTTCTTACATTTCAAAATGCAATCATGACTTCCCAATAGTTACCCCAAAATCATAACTCATTCTTGCATTAACTCAAAAGTCCAAAGTTTAATGTCTCATCTGAGACAAGGCTAGTCCCTTTCATCTATGAGCATATAAAGTAAAAAAAACAAGTCAGTTACTTTCCACATACAATGGAGGTACAGGCATTGGGTAAATATTTCCATCCAAAATGGGAGAAATCATCCAAAAGAAAGCAGCCGCAGGCCACACGTGGGCCCAAAACATAGCAGGACAGTAATTAAATCTTAAAGATCCAAAATAATCTCTTTTGACTCCATCTCTCACATCCAGGACATACTGATGCAAGGGATGGGCTCCCAAACCCTTGGGCCATTCTGCCCCCATGGCTTTCCAGGGTTCAGGCCCCATGGCTGCTCTCACAGGCTGGGTTGAGTGCCTGCGGCTTTTCCAGGCACAGAGTACAAGCTGCCGGTAGATCTACCATTTTGGGTTCTGGAGTATGGTGGCCCTCTTTAACAGCTCCTCCAGGTAGTGCCCCGGTAGGGACTCTGTGTGGGGGCTCCAACACCACATTTTCCCTCCAGACTACTCTAGAAGAGGTTCTTTCTGAGGGCTCCATCCCTGAATCTGGCTTCTGCCTGTACATCCAGGCTTTTCCATACATCCTCTGAAATCTATGTGGAAGCTCCCATACCTCAACTCTTGAACTCTGTGCACCCACTGGCTTAATACCATGTAAAAAGTGCCAAGACTTATGGCTTGCACCCTCTGAAGCAGGTACAGGCCTAAGGTGTACCTGGGCCCCTTTGGGCCATGGCTGGAGTTTGAGCAGCCAAGATGCAAGCAGCAGTGTCCCAAGACTATGCAGAACAGTGGAGCCCTGGACCTGGCCCAGGAAACCATTCTTCCCTCCTAGACCCCTGGGCCTATGATGGGAGGAGCTGCCATGAAGATCTCTAAAATGCCTTCAAAGCTCTCTCCCATTGATTTGGCTATCAGTACTTGTCTTCCTTTTACCTATGCACATTTCTGCAGCCCATATGAATTCCTCCCCTGAAAATGGGCTTTTCTTTTCTACTCCATGACCAGGCTGCGAATTTGCCAAACTTATACACTTTGCTTCTTTTTAAAATATGAGTTCCAATTTCATGTCATTTCTTTGCTCACACATAGGATTATAGGCTGTTGAAAGCAGCCAGGCAAAATTTTGAACACTTTGCTATTTAGAAATTTCTTCTACCAGATATCCTAAATCATCACTCTCAAGTTCAAAGTTCTGCGGATCCCTAGAGCAGGGGCATAATGCAGCCAGGCTCTTTGCTAAAGCATAACAAAGGTGGCCTTTGCTCTACTTCTTAATAATTTTCTCATCTCCATCTGAGACTTCATCAGCCTGTCCATCCCTTTTCATGTCACTATCAGCATTTTGGTCACAACAATTTAACAAGTCCCTAGGAAGTTCCAAATTGTCCCTCATCTTCCTGTCTTCTTTTGTGCCCTCCACACACTTGTAGCTTCTGCCTGTTACCCAATCCCAAAGCTGCTTCTACATTTTCAGGTATTTGTATAACAATGCCTCACTCCTCAGTACCAATTTCCTGTATTAGTCTATTCTTACACTGCTATAAAGACATACCTGTGACTGGGTAATTTATAAAGAAAAGAGGTTTAATCGGCTCATGGTTCTTCAGCCTGTACAGGAAGCATGTCAGCTTCTGCTTCTGGGGAAGTCTTAGGAAACTTCCAATCATGGTGTAAGGCAAAGCTGAAGAAGGCATTTCATATAGCTGGAGCAGGAGGAAAAGAGAAGAAAGGGGAAGACATCATATGCTTTTAAACTACCAGATCTCATGAGAACTCACTAGCTATCACAAGAACAGCACCAGTGGGGAAATCTGCCCCCATACTCTAACCACCTCCTTCCAGACCCCACCTACAACACTAGGATTACAATTCAACATGAGATTTGGAGGCTTGGAGATATCAGAGGCTTAATTAACTTTTACTTGTTCTTCACTTTCTAATGTATTCATTTAAGGCTAAAGAAATTCATCCAATCATTCTTTTTTTTTTTTTTTTTTTTTTTTTTTTTTTTTTTTTTTTTTTTTTTGAGACGGAGTCTCGCTCTGTCGCCCAGGTGGGACTGCGGACTGCAGTGGCGCAATCTCGGCTCACTGCAAGCTCCGCTTCCCGGGTTCACGCCATTCTCCTGCCTCAGCCTCCCGAGTAGCTGGGACTACAGGCGCCCGCCACCGCGCCCGGCTAATTTTTTTTTTTTGTATTTTTAGTAGAGACGGGGTTTCACCTTGTTAGCCAGGATGGTCTCGATCTCCTGACCTCATGATCCACCCGCCTCGGCCTCCCACAGTGCTGGGATTACAGGCGTGAGCCACCGCGCCCGGCCCCAATCATTCTTTAGATGCATCCAACTAGCTTTCATGTGTTCATGTTTTCATTATGACTCAGTTCAAAAGATTTTCTAATTTCTGTTGTCTTTTTTACTTGGCCTAGGATTCAGTGAATGGCTTTTGGGAATTTCTAGTTACTTTCCAGTTATTTGTTTTTAGGTTTCTTCAACTGTGTTTAGAAAACAAACCCTGAATTATTTTAATCCTTTGACATTTTCTGGGATTTGCTTTATGACACAGAGTAGGATCAATTTTAGTAAATATTGCACCTGAAGAAAAATGGGTATTATTGTTGGGTGAAAGTTCTATAGGTTGTGTTTATCAATTATATTGTTGTATTTTTGATGTTGTGTTTTTCCATTTTCTTACTGATTTTTGGCAACTCATTCTATCAGTGATTGAGATAATTTTATTAAAATTTGTGTATTCTTTTTAGTTCTATGAAATTTAGCTTAATATGTAATTTAAAATATATTGTTTGATACACATATATTTAGGATTATAATATCTTCCTGGTCTACCGTATCTCTTTATCATTGAGAAATGTCTCCCTCCACCTCATTTATTGTCTTAAATCTATTTGAGCTATAGCTTTAGAAGCCTATTGGTTAATGTTTCCATGGTATATTCTTTTTTATCTTTTTATTTTTAACTTCTTGACATCTGTATATTTCAGGTAGTTTTCTTAGAAGCATAATGTAATGAGTTTTGTTTTTACATCCTGTCTAACAATGAGATTTTTTGCCTGAGTATTTTATCTACTTCTAGGCATGTTTATTTTTCCTAACATTATGATATTTGTCTCTATTTAGGTCACCTGTTTTATGTTGCCTTTTTTTTTGTTCTTTCTTGTCTTCTTTATTTGGTATTTTTTATCAGTCTATTTTCCTCTGTAAATTATTAGAAACTCTTGGTCTTGTTTTGTTTTTCTCCTGTTGCTTTGCTGGTTAATCTGGCAATTACACATTGTATCTTTGTTTATTGTAGTCAAATGAAAATGATTGCTTTGACCACTTCCTTGATAATGCTAGGACCTTGACACACTTTAACTTCATCTACCACTTATTGCCCACCATTTGTGTTGTTATGTATTTTGATTATACATTTTAAATTTATTGTATCCCATGCAGTTTACATTTCTAATATTTGTTATTTATTCCTAAATTTCCATGTTTTTCTCTGGAGGTCATTTATCTTCTGCCCGAAGAATTTCCTTTATTATTTCTTTTACTGTATGTCTGCTGACACATTTTCTTAATTTTTGTTTGTTTATTTTGAAGAATGTGGCTCAGATATAAGGATCAGATTATGTTACGAATCCTCTCTCCTTTTCTTCTCCCAGTCTAGCTATACAAATAGCCCACCTGAAGGACGTTTTGGTTCTGCAGAGTAGATGGATTTATCCAGTGTCACTTTTTCTTTGGCCACAGGCAGAGAGGAAATAAAAGAGACCAAATTATTGATGTTTTTGCTTTTTAGTAGATCAGATCCTAGGAACTGAGAAAGGTTGACCAATGGCCATCTTTCACCAACGAGGTATCGTACTCCTCTGGTATAAAAGGACAAGAAGGAAGTTGGAAAGTATTCAAATATATTGCTTCAGCAAGGTGACTCCACATGGAGACTGAAGAAATGGGGGTTAAATGTTTCTTCCCTGAGTCATTTTCCACGAATTTCTTTTGCTTTTGGTTGTCTTAATCCAGTTATCTGAAATATTAAGCCTGGGCAAGTCCGGCTTCTATTTGAGTGAAGTGTCTCTAACAATTGTCCCCCTCTGAATTGTCTTTGAACTGTTGCTTATTGGTGCACATTTTGTCTCCAGAAATCTCAGAAATAGGTTAGAACAACATATTGATTAAATCTTATCAATGCCTCACTATATTCAGGGCTGAAAGTTCACTCCCTCTTTGATTATCGTTGCAAAATTTCCAGACATGTAGTCCACAATAGCTCAACATAGGTTTTACGTAATGAATTTATGACAGCATTAAGTTATACCAATTATTTAAGGCCTACAATTTAGAGGTACTCATAATTGTTATATAAATTCATTCTTATTATGAATTTTCCAAAGAGATATTAAAGTTCACAGAGTATGTTACAAGTTTAAGCCCTTAGAAATTGCAGACCAAGTCTTCAAAGTCCCAAATCAAATTTTATTGAATTTTTGCATTAAAAGACCAAATAAATTAAAGTCTAAAATTCACTCTTGCCCATATCTTATTCTCCTTTGTCTCAGCAAGAGGGACTTTGGGACAGCTGATATGGTACTTTACATCTCAGTCTGCAACTAACAGTTTGAAACTAGAGTCTTAGTGCTCTATAGTAAAGGTAGGTCTCAACTGCCTTTGCAGTCCTGACTTCCTTGTTTGCAAATCACACAGAGAAACAAAAAAGGAATAAAAATTATTCTTTCCCAATGCTTAAAAAGCCTGTCTACATAAAAACTTTCTTTTCTCTCTAATTAAAACTTTGCCTCAGCTGTGCCTGCTTAGATACAAGCCACACCTCTATTTTTCCAAATCAGTTGCTGGAGACCACACACTGATGCCTTCATAACTTGAATTATCCAAACACCCCACCCTATTAAAAATACGCTCCGCTTACAGATTCTAGCCATAATTAGCTGTGACAGTCAATGTCAAAGTTCCATGTAACCAAGTTTATTGAAGTCAAAGTCTGTAAGTGCTCTTCAAACACAACTCATTGTCTTTTTCTTTTTCCTGGGTACCTAATCAGAGAACCAGGTATTCAAATTTGAGGGCATAAATTGCATTCATTTTTTTCTTCACCACTAATTGTGACAATAATAAAAATATCCTAGTTAATGAGGGTAACACTGTTTGGAGAATATAGCTTAAAAATGACTATGAAATGCTATTTCCTGGCTCCCATTTCTTCCTGCCTACTCTTCTCCTGCCCTCTCTCCCATTGCTGATTGCTTCTTGGGACAGGTTACCCTAGATAAAATTACGGTCTATTGAAATTATTGTCTCTTCTTGGTATCAAGAAGAGAGCGGAGAGAGTTAATCCCAATTGCTCAAAATGTTTAAGAAGGTTATTGCTATAAACAGTGGAGCAATGGTGGTTACTCATGAACTTGGTAGCTCACATCCTTTGAGGATGCATAAGCAAGGGATAGGCAAGAGGCAAGGAGCACTACTCTAGGAAGCCCCTCCACACGGGCAACTGAGAAATGGGAGAATAGCAGCTAGCTCTCAGAATTAAGTCAAATATCTGACTACTAACTTCAAAAATTCACCACTTTATCAAAAAGCTTATATTTGGAAAGTACACCAATATCTAATTATGAAGATGTCCATTATAGTTCATAGTTGAAGAACACGTGTTGCTCATAAATCTTAAGGAGAGGTGGAATGCTTCCTAACATGCAGACACCTTGTCTCAGGAAGTGGTGAAAAGAACTCCCAGGAGCAGTAGAAACTGGAGTTGTTTGGTGTGGAGAAGAGTAGGCTGAGAAAACAAGTCTATAATAATGGTTCTTTTCGAGAACCCTAGGAGCTATCATAGGAAAGAGACACTTAATTTATTCTGTGTAACTAGAAAAGGCAGAATTAGGGCAACATGATGGAAAGTTTAGGGAAGTATACTTACATTCACTAAAGCATTTTTTAATTTTTCAAAATTAGAACTGATAACAGTGGAACAGACACACTCACAAAATACTCATCTTGTATCATCTTTGACGTGTGTGGGCAAAGGTTGTGTAATTAACATAGATGAGGTATTGCTCCTCACAAGAGGGCATTAGCTGCGGGCGTCTGCCCGCAGACCCTGACCCAAACGATGGATGAATAAAACGTACACTGACACACAGATGTTCTGTTTTGCCAGTCCTGCTGAGTGTCTGACCACCTACACACCAAGAGAAGTTTGTCACTGCAGTTGGCCTCCATGAGCTAGGGAGATTTGCATTTATTCAGTAAGTTTAACTAACAAAAGCTTGAGTCAACACCATTGGAGAGTAATTGACATTGTGGACTTCCCAAGTAAAAGGCACTTAAGCACCCGTGGTACATCAAAGGTTAATCTTAAGACCACATGAGTGAACAAGCTAGCTAGATAAACTACTCTATATTCCCTTAACTAAAGGTAATGGGACCTGCAGATCTATTACAGAAGTTATCAAAACTTCTTGGCCTTCCAAGAAGCTTTGTGTTTATTTCTATAATTATCTCTAATGTTTTTCCCACCAGCCTGATTGAATCCCAACAGACAGATAGTGCAGAAGATAGGAGTGAGCGGACCACAGGCTGGATCACTCAAGCATCCTCTGACTTCCGACCATGTTAGGAGGTTATCATTGTAACTGGAATATTGCACAAGCACAACTCATAGGACACAATCTTAAAGCAATTTCTTTGGTCTCTTCTAGTCTCCTTACCTCTGCTTAGTGGGGCTACTTTTGCCCATGACCCTGAATGAAAATTTGGGCAGGCAGCAAGACTTGTCTATTCACTTCCAGGAATTATAATATAAAGGTGTAGAGTAACCTTAAGTTGCAGAATAAAATCCCAATTCTCTAATTACAGTTTTCTCCACCGTGTTCTCTTTTTTTTCTCCTAGTGTAAGCCTATTGTAAATAGGAAGACTGCTGCTAGGGAAAGATGCCAGATATGTTTCCTTTAGCTCACCATTCTACTTATTCTTTCTTGTCTTGTGAATAAAAAAATGATGACTTCTTTGGCGTGGAAGCTGGGAAGGTGATGAGCTAGAGAGAGTTGGAACTTTGTTATCTGGTAGAGTTCTGGCCATCTAGTTTTGACACTTTCTGAATTAGGCATATCCCATAGGCATACACTTTTATCTTGTGAGAACTCTCACTTGGGGTGTACTTTTGAGGATGGCAAAGTCATCTTCAGCTTCTTTCTTACTCCTTTCTCAGTTTCTGGGAATCTGGAATGCCTTAAACATTTTGCTGTTGATGTGTGTTTTCACCCTTTACGTGCCCTATTGGTAGGGTATGGCAAGCCCACCACCAGCTTTCTCTCTGCTATCGATATAGGCCATGTCTGAACCTCAGAAAATATTTGCAGATCCTTGGTTTTAACAAATTCTGAGAGTGCAGTTATTTATAAGCCACAGCTCTCTAGTCTAATTTACCATCACAAGATCTTAGGCCAGCCTCCTAATTAATAGTTCATTAGTATCCAAAAACTGTAGAAGGCATATATTAAGCTCTCTCCCTAAGTTTTAAGGCAGTACCACCCCCCAAACCTCATCCAGTGGGGGCTAATGGAGCCCAGAGTTCCACCATCTCCAAAAAAAACAAACAAAAGAAGTATCACGCATAATTCTTCATAAATTTTCACTCCTGGCCCTTTTATACCTATAATGAAGGTGAGAGGTCTCTTATACCAAGAGTCTTATAGATATTTTTCATATACCTATTTTTGAAAGTCTTACAGAGTAAGACGATATTGCAAATTCCTTTGACATTTAGTATCAATTTTCACAGGATCACAAGCAAAAACTTTAATTTGAATACTCTGTTATATAATTTGTTGGAAAACATTTATTGAACTTTGACTAAGTGGAGTTAAGAAGATGGTGAGATAGTACCTACAAACAAAGGTAATAATAGATTACCTAATATTATCGGAGATAAGTGACTTTCAAATGAATGACAAGAACAACATAAACTGTTAATAATTCCCTCCCTGCCCAAATCATACCAGCAAATTTTTCCAATTTCCTAGTAGACTCTCATTGATAACCCAAAGATTTGTCACATTCAACCTGCTCGAAGAATGACCTTATTTAATTTATCTTACCCTCGAGAAATATGTTCATTTTCCTGGAATCTTTGTCCTGTTTAATAGCATCACCAACTATTGTAAATCCTAAGCTAGAAGATTTAGTGTGGTAGCTTTATGTTCTTATAGTGGAGATGGGAGGCCATGGGAAAAAACTCATAATCTTCTAGAATATAGCCCTGCAGATGCATCCGTGACAATTCTTTTTGTGTGTATGTCAATCCCAGACTGAGGACATAGAACCGTATTGCTACAGTGTCTGGTTTCTAGTTGCCAGGTAAGCAGTCGTTGCATGATCATCAGCATTGTTTTATGCAGACCAAAGTCATTGGCCAGTAGGGGGCAAAATGTTCTCCTTTATACATGTTTTAAAAATATTTTTATCTCAACATTTCTTCTAAATATATGATATGCAAATATATGTGTATACAATATACGGGAGCATATGACATCAAAAAAATTCCACCCAGCTACATACACATATCCATTCTATGGAGGATGAAGCAGGAGAAAAACATTGTTTTCATTTTTGTGAAGCCATGTGTAGGGTCAGTGGACTAATAAATGAAATCTGAATTATTCATCATTTTGTTGTCATTCAGATCTTTAAAATCAGTGCTGATGGAGTAGAATAAATGTTTCAACTCTCACCAAACCAATATAATTGTTTTCTTTCTTCTCTGCCTTTCATTTTTAATCATTTGTTTTTGTTTAGGATTTTGGAATCTGGGTAAATTTCCATACATTGTCCTCTAACAACCATAACACTCATTAATAATTTATGAGCCTGAAGTGTAGAGGGCATTTGGGAAGAATATTTCATACAGAATAAATATAATCTCATAGAAGTAACTCCAGATTTCTGATTCACTTTAGTTAACTTAGGCAGCGACTAACTTATGAATTTTCTGTATTAGCAATGGGTATCTGTGAATTTTTTGGAACTACTAGGCATGCATGAATAGGACTTTATGTGTATATACTTTTAGCAAACAGATGAATTTATTTACTCTCTTTTTTTGTTTTTAATACAAATCTACATGGGCAAAATGGAATTAATGCTAAAGAGTCACTTACTGATTAATTTTTTACTTTCCTCTGATTTTTGCTTCTGTCTTCACCCCTGTAGATATATTTCTCTTGTGCTTTTCTTTGTACTTTTTGAAATCACCTGTAATAAATGCTCGGTATTTACTAAATAATTATGTCTTATGTGATACTAAAACGTACCAATTTATAAAGAATATTTATGGCATCAAAAAGATTTCTTCCTGATCTACTGAAATGTTATTTTCCATTAACTTTTTTGAAAAACTTACTTTAAGGAACAGCTGCAAAAAAGGACTTCTAATTTAATGAATTACTGAGAAAGTAAGTAGAATAGAATGGGATACCTTAATACTCAAGCATTCATTCATTATATGTTGTGGATTTAGACTATATAATACCTGATATTAACAAGAATAACCAACATTTATTGGTTATATCCTGCATGCCAGATAATGTTTCAAGTATTTTACATTTTTCCCCTTAATTGTTTCAACAACCAATGAGATAACCTGTGATTATAATAACTGTCTTACATATGAGGAGTCAGAGGCATAGAGAGCTTACATAACTTGCCCAGTACCACACAGCTGCTGAGTGGAGGGGCAAATGTCAACCCAGTCTGTCTGGCTGGAGAGCTTTTACAAACAGTTGCTATCACTTGATACTTGGGTCAGGCAGTGCCCTGCGAATCATACAATGATACAGAGTCTTTTCTTTTCTAACTGAATAATGCTCAAGTCTGTTTTGCGTATTCTTCAGCAAGTAGATTGGAATGTTCTCCATTATGCTGCATTCTCTGTGTCTAAGGATGAGCTATATACATACAGATAGCATTTTTGTGCAATCTTCAAAGACTCAAGATCTATATTCATTGGGGATGGAACCTAGGAATTTATATTTTTCAGAAGTTTCCCAGGAGATTCTGATGCTGTTACTCTTCAGATAAGCCCCTGGGAACAACCACGTGAGAGCAAATCTATGAACAAATATGCCCATATTTGCACCAGAACACATACAATTTTGGCAGGGAACCAAATGGCACAGATGGGTGTGGGTGATAATTAGTTCAACTGGAGCTACCCTATAAAATGTTTCATCACACTGTTGGTTCCAAAGCAGTGTGTCTTGTCCCTGGAGGGTAGCAGCATTGATTGCCAGTTTTCTAGTAAACTGAGCTCAGTCACCGGGATGGTGTACTTGTTCACAGTGGGTGCTCAATGAATCATATAATGGTAATGATAAGCACAAATTTAGTACTCACCACATCTAGGGCAGGTGTTGTTTGAGTTGTTTTAGGTACATTAACTCTCTTAATCCTCTCAGCTTCCTGTGAGTTCGATTTTTTTTAATGTCCAATTTTTATCATTAAAAAACTGAAAACAGAGATGTCAAGAGCAAGTAACAAATGAAGTAACTGGGATAAGTTTGACTAAGAGCTCCAAAAAAATGTCTCAAGTCGATAACTTGAAGCACATCACTGCCCTTATCTTTCTTCTGCCAGTTCAAAAATGAAGATGGGGATTTTATATTATTACAGTTTTATACCATGTTTATGTCTAGCTTTAAGAATGTCCCCCCTTCCTGATATGTGGCATTCTCTCTCTTCTCCCTCCTCCTCTTCCTTCTTTCTCCTGTTTCCTTTCCTTTTTCTCTACCTTTTTTCTTTTTATTAATTCCTCACTCTCTTCTTTTTTCCTTTCTTACAATTAGAAATGCTTATCAAAGCACACATTATTTAGTAAAATGAAAAAGCAAATAATTTGTACCCGAATAATTTAATATTCTATTTGGCAATACATTTTTAATATAACCATGACATAAGTTCAATATTAGCACATGAGAGGCCTTTAAAAATTTCATTGAAAATGCATATCCTGAAAAAATTATGCATGGAATTCACAACTTTTTTTTGCACCAAAAAAAAAAACTAGTATGAATTTGTTGTCACATGTCTGAACAGAACTTAGTTTAAGGCACCAAGAAAGATAAGACATCAGTTTGAAAAGAGCCCCTATCAAAACAACATGAATTCTGCTAAAATTGACACAAGAACAAACATCAAATTTTGGTGAAGCTTGGGTAGAAGAATGATGAAATCACTGATGCTTTTTAGGGACAATGCCCTAGAGAAATCAGCAGTTTACAATAACTCAATTTCAGAAAGGGTGAAACGAAGTTGAAGATGAAGCTTGCAGCAGCACATCATCCACATAAACTTGCAAGGAAAAATTTATCTTGTTCATGCCCTAATTGAAGAGGATGAATGATTAGTGATAGCCAACACCAAAGACATCTCAACGGGTTCAGCTTATACAATTCTGACTGAAAAATTAAAGTTGAGCAACCTTTCTACTCTATGGTGCCAAAACCATTGCTCCAAAATCAGCAGACAAGAGTGGAGCTCTCAATGGAGATTTCAAGTGGGATCAAGATCCTGAAGCATCTCTTCAAATAATCATAATAGGAGATATAATATGGCTTTACCAGTATGATCCTGAAGACAAAACATGATCAAAGCAATGACTACTAAGAGATGGCATGGTCTAGTCAAAGCAAAAGTGTACCAGTCAAGAGCAAAGGTCATGATACTAGTTATTGGCATGCTCAAGGCATTCTGGTTGTTGACTTTATGGAAGGCCAAAGAATGATAACATCTGCTTATTATGAGAGTGTTTTGAGAAAGTTAGCCAAAGATTTAGTAGAAAAATGCCTGGGAAGGCTTCACCAAAGACTCCACCAGGACAATTCTCCTGGTCAGTCCTCTCATTAATTAAGGGCGATTTTGTGAGAGTTTTTATGGGAAGTCATTAGACAGCTACCTTACAGTCCTAATTTGGCTATTTCTGCCTCCTTTGGTTTCTTAATCTTAAAAAATCTACAGAGGGCACTAGACATTTTTCAGATAATAACATTCAAAATGTCATTAAAATGGTTAAACTCTTAGTTATTTTAGGATGGACCAAATGGCTGATATCATCACTCAAAAATGTGTCTTGACTATCATGAAGCTTATGTTGAGAAATAAAGTTTATATTTTTTATTTCCATTTTTCATGAACTATTTGAAGTTCCCTCATACACTTCTAAATCAATTTTTGAGACAAGCATTTGTTTATCTAAGCAGAATTCTCATTTTTGCTCAGTGAATAAGAAAGAACTGTGATTTTCTGTGCTTGCCTACCTGTATACCTTCCTAGATGATTCAAGATTGGAGAAAGTGTTAGGCTTGGTAAATATTTCAACTTACCTGAAGGCTGTTGTAGGCCATCTACCTTTTGTATTTTTAATATCTTAAAGGAGATAGTGACTGGTAGGTAAGTTTTTCACTGATATAGAGGAAAATGATAAAAATATTCCCTTGAGCTTAAAATAACTTGGGGTTTCAAAAGCAACCTAGGAATACAAATCTGGAGCAACACTGGCTAAGATCCACTTTGTGATCACTCTTGATCACTGTTTCAAGAGATCACTCTTGAAAATATTAGCTGATGAACTATGGGTGGCCAATGAGAGATATATTTGCTAGAATAAATGAATGAATCTATCCAATATTCTAAGTAATAATACAGGAGTATTCCCAAAACTTCCCTAAGTATCTTAGTTTAAACACTCATCATTCCTCATGCAAGTCCATGTATCTTAAACATCAACAATATATGTGTCCTTTTGTAGGAAAGAATAGCCAGAAAGTCCCCAGTGTTTATTTAATATTATTTTTATCATCACATTACATAACATTAGGCATAAATTCCTAGTGCTTATATTTTCTAATTAGGCCCCAAAATAAATTTAGAAATTAAATGCAAACAAAATAGCAAAATAATAGCATTTAAGACAACATTATTTACTGTTAACGATTTCTTTTTTCCCGCATAGGGAACATAGGAACTCAAGTTAGATTTACACCATTGGTGGGAGCGTAAATTAGTTCAACCATTGTGGAAGACAGTGTGGTGATTCCTCAAGGATCTAGAACTAGAAATACCATTTGACCCAGCAATCCCATTATATACTGAAAGGATTATAAGTCATTCTACTATAAAGACACATGCACACGTATGTTTATTGTGCTATTCACAATAGCAAAGACTTGGAACCAACCCAAATGCCCATCAGTGATAGATTGGATAAAGAAAATGTGGCACATATACTCCATGGAATACTATGCAGCCGTAGAAAAGGATGAGTTCATGTCCTTTGCAGGGACATGGATGAAGCTGGAAACCATCATTCTCAGCAAACTAACACAGAAACAGAAAACCAAACACCACATGTTCTCACTCATAAATGGGAGTTGAACAATGAGAACACAAGGACACGGGGAGGGGAACATCACACACCGGGGCCTGTCGGTGGGTAGGGGACTAGGGGAGGGATAGCATTAGGAGAAATACCTAATGTAGATGACGGATTGATGGGAACAGCAAGCCACCATGGCATGTGTATACCTATGTAACAAACCTGCACATTTTGCATATATATCCAAGAACTTAACGTTAAAAAAAATCAAGTTTCATGTTTTATTTATTGTCCACGAAATCCTTCTGACTCTAAATGTAATAAACCAGTATTTACAGAATGGTCTGTATTGTCATTATCATTTGAAGTACTAATGATATTTTAGTCATCAAACAATTATTTTGAGGGATCTATCAATTTGATGGGTGTATCACAAAATCCATTACTATCAAGATGTAATAAAAAGTTTTTTAATTGTATATCTACTGATAACCTTCTACTTAGTACATATGATGACAGGAATTGTACAGTTGGTGCTACCATACCACTTCTTTTGAGGTTTTACACTTATTGTATTTTCTACTACATGATAGTCAAATTTTCTTAGTATTCTTTCTCATTTAAACACCCGTAAAATTTTTTATATTCCTATTTCTGAATTGGTTTTCAGTGGGCACAAACTCATTATTTAAAAATTCATGGAGAAACCCTGTCTTTACTAAAAATGCAAAAATTAGTAGGGCATGATGGCAGGCTCCTGTAATCCCAGCTACTCAGGAGGCTGAGGCAGGAGAATCACTTGAACCCAGGAGGTGGAGGTTGCAGTGAGCCGAAATCATGCCACTGCACTCCAATCTGGGCAACAGAGTGAGACACCGACTCAGAAAAAAATAATAATCTTTATTATTGTATTTGCCCTCAACAGTAAAAATAGTACATAGTGTCTCTCTATTGCAGTATTCTCAGGATATCAAATCTAAGTATTCTTTTATTAAATAGCATAGGAAATTAAAGCCTTATTCTATGAAACATGTTTTTCAGCTGTAAGTTATAATAGCAAAGAAGATTTTTATCTTATTAATTGGTAAAAAGAACAACATGAGTATGAGTTTGTACCTGAAATCATTGTCATTTTGGCATTAGAAATAAAATTTCAATAACAAGGTGGCAAGGCAATAATTGGTTAGAAAATTATCCTTCATAGGCTAAGAAGCTAATATAAAACAAAATAAAAGCCTTTATTTTAGATCTCTCAGACGTTTAATAATTTATCCATTTTTAAAATCTAATCTGCTTTGGGCAACTTTGGCCTCCTTGCCTCTCTGTCTGCAGCTTTAATCCCATTAAATCTACTTTTAGACTAAGGGCTAAATAATGTATCTCAAATGCAAGTCTGTTTCATTCATCGCCTGATTGAAAATCCTTCAATAGCTCCATTTCTTCCTAAAACCTAAATTCCAAATATTTTGCATGACACACAGGACCATGATTTAGCTCTATATGTCTTTTAAATCCCATGTCCATGTATTTCCTTTTGTGGGACCTTCATGTTCTGCTCTTTACATGCACTCTGATTTCTCACACCTCCAGTCCTTTTAATGTGAACCGTTCCTTCTCCCTTAAATGTCTTCTGCTCTGTCAAAACTTCCCTTCCTAATTCATGTCTCTGGAAACCTTCCCTTCAAAACTCTTTTCTGTATTATATTTTTAAGTCAAATCTCTCCTTAGTTTCATCAGGCAGTTGAGCCATCTTTGTGCTCAAATCAGTCTTGTATCGTATTTGTTCACATTTGTGTCTTTCTCCACACATAGATATCCTTATAATTAGTGACTTTGCATACACCAAGTTTAAGAATATTTATTAGGTAAACTTTTACAAAGGAATGGCATTAACAGGTGCCCCTTCCCCAAGAAAGGCTTCAATAAAGGAGATTTGATAATTGATTCCCTATGTGTTAATTTCCAGCCTTTGTTTGACTTAATGTTTTCATTTTGTTTTAACAAACCAAATGAAGTGGCTATGAAAAGCAGATGCTTTGGATTCAAATGCATTTACATTCAAATCTACAGTCTTTTGTAATTCTCTATATGACCTAAGATTTGCTTACCTACTTCTACTTGCTGTATAAGGTTGTTTTCATGATTAAATGAGATGATATAATGGTTAATACATAGTAAGTATTCAATACCAGTTAGTTATAATTGATAATAAAATATTAATGTCAAATTAGAAGTAAAAAATTCACTTAAGTCTTGATATGAGACAGAAAGTAAGAGCACTAATATCAGTTGCTGATGTATTAGTCAGGGTTTCCCAGAGGGACAGAAATAACAGGATATATATATATATATATGAGTTTATTAAGTATTAACTTATACAATCATAACATCCCACAGCAAGCTGAAGAGCAAGGAGAGCTGGTCTGAGTCTCAAAACTGAAGAACTTGGAGTCTGATGTTTGAGGGCAGTAAGCATCCAGCACAGGAGAAAGGTGTAGGCTGGGTGGCTCGGCTAGTCTCACCTTTTCACATTTTTCTGCCTGCTTTATATTTGCTGGCAGCTGATTAGATTGTGACCACCAGATTAAGGGTGGGTCTGTCTTCTCCAGCCCACTGACTCAAATGTTAACCTCCTTTGGCGACACCCTCATAGACACAACCTGGATCAATCCTTGGCATCCTTTAATCCAAACAAGTTGACAGTCAGTATTAACCGTCACACTGCATAAAAATACTTTTTGCCTTTTTGACATTCTAATCCTTCCTGATGACAACTGAAAAAACAAGTCAGAAGTTTATTTTGTTTGATTAAGTTTATGAAGTTTTTCCATTCCTTGCCTCTCCTCTCTCCTTTATGCCAAGCTTCTACCATTTTGGACTTTTCATGTAGAAATCTCCAGTGGTAAAATATACAAGTAATTGATGATGAAATGTTATTGTCTTTTACCCTTTGAAAGGATTTAATGAGTCCCTGCTGGTTTGTGCTACCAAATATATTTTGTGAGTTTTTGTTTGGAAAGGAATCTAAAGCACAGGTAAAATATGTCCAAAAAAAAAAGTTTTTTTTTTTTTTTTTTTTAACACCCTGTGTCAAGAAGATGTCATTTGGAATCTAGGATGAATCACCTGTCGTTGCTGAATGGCAAGATAATGGTCTTATGTTAGTAAAGAGAGAAACATAAATGATGTGTTGCAAAGTAATAACGGAAGATTGCTTAACAGGTATGCGAAAATGGCACTAACGCTTACAGATACAAATGCAATGTGACAGCAATCTGTTGGTACATGGTGCTACTTGTGGAATGCACATAGTCCTACAATGAATGTTTTAATTCTCTATAAATACTGTATGTTTATGCATTTGTGTGGGATTTATAAACATGATATAATAATAGCTTATGTGTATTCAGGTTTAGAGTTCACATGAGTTTCATACACATTATTCTATTTATTTCATATAAATAGTCTGTGCTCTAGGCCTCCATGGAAAAGGGGAATGGATCTGAGAGATGAAATGGCACGTAGGAGTTTACATAGATAAATAACGATGGGTAGATTTGCCTTATCCATCTCTGCATTTTTTTCCTAATATGTAGCAATCTAGTTTTTTTTAACCATATGACAATCTGTTCTCCATACAAACACATTTGGAATATATAAACTTACAACTGCATTGAGTTATGTTTTTTCATGTATTAATATAAATAATTTTCCCTCTTTTCATTCCCAGAAATATTTGTGATTTGATTTTTCCTAGTGACCAGGTTGCTTTGTTCTTCTGCGAGGATATTATTCGAATGCAGGACACAGCAATTTTGTCTACAATGTCTCTAGTTGTATAACATATAATACTCAGACAAGCTTAATGCTCTATAAATGAATGCTTTTTGGTGATGGACAGAAATGATGAAACCATTGTATGACTATATTAAGACATAATAGTAGCATTACAGTTGTCATAAAGGAACCAGCAAATTGATTTTTCTTCATTTGCTTTCAAGATATTTATTTTCTGTTTCAATTTTTATGTTATAATTGAATTTGATAAGTATGTATTTATGTCTGTTATGTAGAAGATATTGGGCTACCTTTTGGGGACATTATAAGGAGGGCTAAGGTCAAGAGGTTTATAGTCTGATAAAAGATACTGATGCATAAACTGTACAATACTAAACCAGATGAAACAAGATTATATTGTTCTATTGCAAGTCCATAAAATTAATAACACTGTATTACAATTTACAGAAGAGTTATAATGCAGTTGGTCAATTTTGTTTAGTAGATGAAATTGAAATAGTATACTGTGTTTGGACACATTAAGACAACAGAATTTTAAGATTAGTGCAAAGAGGAAAGCTTATTTAACACTGAAGTTATGTTCAGTATGTCATTTGCTATGTTTCTGTTCACATAAAATATCAGTCAATATTTTTCAAAATTTTGGTAATTATTTGGCATAATTCTTTAGGCTAATTATTATAAATATACTAATACACTTTTTGCGTACTTTATCCATCCAGCTATTTATTTTGAATATCATCCTGAGAATATAATGTAATTGTGATATTATGCTCTATTGTTTGCTTTTGATGGTTACATCAACATAAATCTGAACAAAACATCAACATCACTTTTTCCTTATCAAATCATATGATTACACTTGGAGGAGGAAATATGAAGTTTAGATATAAATAGGCATCACTTTATTAGAATTTTTAAGATCAGTAGTTGATTTCACTGCGTCATCTGCTTTCCACCATGTCGCCTTGCTTTTATACCACAGACATTTGTCAGGCACCAAACATAGAGGAATTCTTTGGCAATCGCTGATGGCAGTCAAATAAATATGTGCACTGCAGTGTGATGACAGCTACATTGGGGGTACCATACAAGGAGCTGGGGTACTGCACAGGGTCAAGCAACATTTGAGATGTGCTAAGGAAGGGTAGGCTGGGGGATAGTGCAGAAGGCTTCACAGGGAAAAAAATGGAAAATTTGAACCTAGTCTTAAGGACTTATTTCGATGGCAGAGGTATGGAAAAGAGTGTTTTAGGCACAGAAAACAAGTACATACAATGATATGGATATTGTGTCATGGTAGAATAACTGCATGATTACGTTTGATTTTTTTTTTTTTTGGCTGAACTTTCTACATGTTTGTGCATAGAGAAATTTTTTATTTCATTAGATTAAAAAATTATATGATTTTTATTCTGGAATTTCCCAAGAAATGGTCCAAACAAAAATATAATTGATAGGATACTTTTTCATCCGTAATTCTCAGAGAAATTCTTACCACGCTATTTAATCAGAAACAGGGATAGGTAAGAAATAGGAAAAATGATTCTTCTTTGTTACAAAGATAATATGGTAATGTATCACTTCTAAATGTATCACTTCTAATATATCACTTCTTGATGGTCCACTTTTAAAAGAATCTTTGTATCAATCAAGTCTAGGGACTATTGTTTAAACAATCAAATGGGTGTGTGTAAAGCCATAGTATAATCTCTATTTTTATTAGATGTGTTGCACCTTTTCTTGATAGGCAATGGAGCCAAATTCAAATCCAGAAATTACCATTCTCTGTTAGATCTTAAGCAAGTTGTTAAAGTCTCTTGACCTCAGTTTTTTCATATGTGCTTTGAAGGAATGATTTATTTCTAGAGTCGGTTTTAGGGGAAAATGAAAGTTTTCTTGCAATGCATTAAACAGATAATACTTGATAACTATGTCTACTATTTCTTGTGAGGAATGAGGTTTTGATTTTAAATAATTTATTTAGGTATGTTCACTTAGACAGACAGGTGAAAGTAAATAGGCTGTAGAATGTTACGCATCTATCAAAATTTCACCTAGTGAACCTTAAAAATATTTGTATCACAGTATGTACTGAGAGGCATCTAGTAGCAAAACTAATCCATTGATAGTTTTTCAAACATTTCAGGAGTTGATTTTTCCCCCCTCTTGTACCAGTTTCCATGCAGCTGAATAATATTAGCAGATTCACTCTACAACTTTGTGCTTCTATGCATAAATATTATAGATTTGGCTTCAAAAGTAGAATCTAACAAATTGTTGCATATAACTGTATTCAATGATCACAAATCTAGTTGCCAAAAAATATTAAGTATCATGTGTCATTCACATTAAAGGCTTATAAAATATTCTGCTAGATGTCAGTGAACTTTTGGGCCTACCATTTTTACTTATTATTTTGGTAATCAGAAGAGACTGTGGCAGTTATGAAAATGTGCTGCTCAAGATCTCCTGATGTGAGGAAGTAATTGACATTCCCCGCGTGTGCCCTCTGGGTTCACCACTGTGTTCACTTAGAGGTTATTCTTCCTATTGGCTGCTCTCAGCCAATGACTAAGCATGGTGGGGGTATTAAGGTGGACCCATTCCAGAAAGATGGTGGACTTGCTCTTCCAATGAAGTTATTTAGCTTGAGGACATTATATCATCTGGCTGAAACTTTCTTGCAACTGTGCTGTAGTCACTATTGCAAGAAATACCTACTCAAGCCTCTTTCCTTCATTCTCTCTTTCCATAACTGTCATACTTGTATTGCATTCTGAAGTCTCTCCCCACTTCTCCTTTTCCCTCTGCCAATAAATCTCTTGAAGTTTTAATCCTATCTTGTGGCCTGCTTCTTAGGGGACCAAGAGTATTCTTTTGGCAGGGTCCTGCCTGGAGGCAGGGTTATGTACTTGAATGCCCATGAGCTCACAAGCCTAAGGCTCCTTGCCCCACAAGTATGTGAATTAACACATCTCTTTGAAGAAACTTGTTTGATAGTTTGTGAAAGAAAACAGACTTAAATAGCAGTTTGGTAAAAAGTGAAGGCATAGGAAAGATCTCTTTTAGCTTCAGTCTCCTCATCTGTAGTTTGAACCTAATAATATCTCACTTCCCTACATCATCAGGTTATTCTCAGGACCAAATATTAGAATATGTAACAAAAACACTTGAAATTATAAATCACTCATAAATTATTGTAGGCTACATTCATAACATTATTTCTCTAGAATACACTTTATTCCCACAATCAATTTCCTTTCAGACTTCTCACAGCTTGAAGAAGAATTTTTTGGTCCTAGTTATCATGTGAAAGTTAAGTCTCAGTTCGTCTGTTTCCATATCTTGAAATGGGGATATATTACACCCAACCTTGCTATATTCTGAGAGTCTATTCATGACAGAGCAAAATTCATCATAAGGCTGGTATGTCTTAGAAATCATCCAAAGGGATTAGCTACTGACATTTCAAAATGACCTCCTTATATGTAAATCTTCCAGGAAGTTGTCCTCACAGTGAAGAGCCTAGTGATCGAGAAATTCTAAACATTATAATAATTTAGGGGAATTGCATAATATGTGCATTTATTTTATGAAAAAATATGTAAGATATAATGGAAGAAGAAACAGTTACTTCATGCTCCAAATAATTTTGTTATATGGTAGAAGTTTCACAAATTAATCAATTTTAGAAAAACCTTGTTTTTCAGGCTTCTTTCAGGGCTGAAATAGGCAAGGAACAGAAAGGATAATGTTGACTTTGAGAGGGTAAGGCTAATTTAGTTCTCATAGTGTTCTGTCTCATTGCACAATCTAAGTTAAATAGCACACACACACACACACACACACACACACAGCAGCATAGAAAAAAAGGATTTCAGGCAAAACACCTGTGTTTATTTAAACTCCCTTAATTTTATGTACAACCTTGGGTGAAACACTTAATTGCTCTTCATTTTAGATTTCTTTTTAGTTGACTATATATCTTACTTTTTAAATATGTGATAACTATTTTTTATCATTCTTAGAGAAGTGATGCTATCTAATTACAAGTTTATGACAGAATTGGGAAAAAGCATTTTAATCTTTGTAGTTATTTGCCCTTAAGTTTTAGATTCTTCCAGTAGAATACTAAAAAGGCCCACAGTTATTTTATAGTATAACAACTTATCATGGTGGAGAGAATATGGCACTCATCTTTAATATGCCTGCTTATCTTGAACACAGTTTTTAGATGTTTGTATCACATTCAAAGGGCTCTCAATGGATTTTAGTAGACTGGAAAAATATATATATGTATTTATATAAATTTATGTATACAAATATATACATATTATATACATATATGTATATGTATACACTTATATACATGCTTATACTTATATACATATTCATATACATTATGCATGTATATACATACGTTATATACATATTTATATACATTATACATGTATATACATACATTATATACATATTTATGTACATATAATAAGTATGTAAATATATACAAAAATACATATGTATGTAAATATATACATATATACATAAATATAATAAAATGTTTATTTTCATTTTATTATATACATAAAATTTATGATATATGTGTGTGTGTATATATATATATATATATACACACACACATATATATATCTCAAAGATTGAAATTGCCTGGTGTTGGGTAACATGTTCACTTATTGCCGGGCTGTGCATCTGATATACCATTATGTTTACGACAGTGGCTGTTTCACCTGAGACAACTTGCTTAATGTCTCTGTTTTTAAATTTATATATCAACAGAATGTAGATCATAGTAATACCTATTTTGTAAGGGTTTTGGATAATTAAGTGACATGTTACATAGGAAATGCTTAACACAATTCAAGGCACAAAGTCAACACTTGATAGTTTTTGGTAAAAATACGAACTGGGAGAAGAAGGTAAATTTTCCCCTTAAGCTTAGTGATTAAATATAGTCAGGTATATATGTATCAAGTTGTATTAGAAAATTTGAAAAACAATTGAGAAAATGAAGCAGGTGCTTCAGCTGAAAGTTAAAGAAGTAGGGAGAAAGAAGATAGGTTGAAATGCAAATGACTGGAGCCTTGTTGCAAAATATATGGTATGAACAAGTTAATCATAAGTGAAAATTGAGTCATCTGGTAACTCCAAAATTTATATCTCTTAGGCAGATATCTCCTCCCAAGTCTGCAAACTTATATCCAACTGCCTACTTGAAAAATCTAATGGAAATACCCAAAAGGCTTCTCAAACCATATTTCTAAACCCAAACTACTAATTTTGTCTCCTAAATGTGTACTTCTATTGACTTTGCCTTCAATTTTAAAAACATCCATCTATCTATATTTGTATTTATTTTCTTTTACTGCATACTTTGTTGATGGTCTATCTTCCCTCACTAGATTGACTGTGCATTTCAAAAGGGTAGGGATTTTATCTGTTTTGTGTACTGCTTTAATTTCAGTTCCTGGAACTACTCCAACTCCTAGGAGCTTTCAGTGAATGTTTGTTGAATGAGTGGATGAGCCCAGAATGTCGTTTATTTGCTTACAAGAATGTATTTTTTCTAGTTCTTGCCATAGCAATATAAGGGCACAAAGCAGTGATGTCGACTGAATAATATGCGAGCTTATAAGGGGGGAACTAAAGGAATAGGGATTGTTTGAAGTCACATCTATGAAATAGCGTGACTATCAGAGGTTTATTAGCAAATGTGTTTCCACTCTATGGTGAAAAAAATGTGAAGTAAGAGTTTTAAATAACAAGATGGGAGGAATCCCTTTTAGGCATGTAGATAGCAACATGGGGTGTCTAAACATTGGAATCACTGAAAATTTCTTTCCTCCAGCTCTAGAAGGCGGGTTGCACTTTCCATTCTTTTGATAGGTTTTTGGCAGGGTCCTGCCTGGAGGCAGGGTTATGTACTTGAATGCCACATGAGCTCTCAAGCCTAAGGCTCCTTGCCCCACAAGTATGTGAATTAACACATCTCTTTGAAGAAACTTGTTTGGTAGTTTGTGAAAGAAAACAGACTTAAATAGCAGTTTGGTAAAAAGTGAAGGCATAGGAAAGATCTCTTTTTAATAGAGAACTCAGAAAAAAACTTCAGAGTAGAAGAACGGTTATATCTACAAATTGTTTCTCAAATAGGACTGAAAGAGTGACCTGTCCTTTTTTATATCTATCAGTTTAACCACTGGGGCATCTAAGTCTAAACATGTGCAATTCATTTAAAGGAGCAATGACTGGAAGTGAAACATGGTTTCCAAAGGAAATGGATATTTTTGCCATAATTGTGACATTTATGGTGTCACAGATTTAGACATATATTCAATCTAGGCTGAATTTGGATGTTGCCAAGATTTGAATCAGCTAAGCTCTCAGAGAGACAAATCTGCAAGCTGGAAATCTTCAAAGGACAGAATTGTTCCATAACCTCAGAAAGCATTATAGTTTCTTTTAGATTTGCTTTATTGCTTAACCTGCTTGCCCTGTGTGCATCCTGCCTCTGTGTTCAGAGAGAATACCCTTACTGAATGATAGGAAGAAGGTTATTATGATAGTTGTCTATTCTGTGTTCTGGTTTAAAGATAATTCTTAAGAGCACCTGAATCAGCCTGGCTCATGGGAATTCATACCCCCAGGGGCCACATTGCATCTCTAAATTGAAATGTCCTTGAGTAATCAGACCCAAGAATATTCTAAAAAATGTCTCCCATCTGAATTCTAATTTAGCGTGCTGCTGTAGACACCAGCTTTGGGTGAGCCAGCTCAGCATGTGTCCCTACTATTTAATGTCAGCCTATGACTATTCTTAGCCTTGACACCTCCAGACAGTTTTACCAGAATGAACAGATTTCTCCAACCCATCACATTTTCTATCCATTGAGTTGCAGATGGAAGAGGATAAAAAGGATACATATATGAAAGGGAACTGGTACACGTTTCCCCCACACTCACGAGCTAATCTCAGCAACTGAGCTAGTGTCAGTTGCATGTGAAAATAGGTTTTTATTTTTTATTTTTTTCCCCATGCTGGGTTCTGGGAAAATGAAACATAGAGATGACAATGATGTATCTCTGCCAGCTTTGGTCTTTAGCTGTCCAAGTTGGCAGATACCTAACATCAAGGAAATACTTTCTAGCTAAAGAGGAAGGACAACTATAAAGAGATTAAAGTAAATGAGAACTGACTTTTTTTGGAGGGCAGGAAAATCCATTTTGAAATAGAAACTAATTGATGGTATGGAATATGAGGAAATTATCTTCATATTTTCTGAAGTACTTTCTGCGAAACACTACTGCCCACTGAATCTCAGTGAATGAAGAACAGAAAATTGGATTGTTGGTTTTTCCATTTTTGTCATGAATAATTCTGCAGTGAAGAACTGACTACTTCACACCGTCGTTTTTTTGTTTCTTTTTTTTGAGGTGAGGATGGCTTATTAAGAGTAACCCTCTGAAACATCAGGAAAATACCTGAGGTGGGGACCATCATGGAAAGACTCCCTGTCTGTACTGTGCTCACCCCTCCTCTCCCTGTTATTCCGCACAGGTCAGAATCGGAACCTCAACCACTTTTATTTTTCTAAAATCACTTTTACTTCAACCTTTGTTTTCTTCATAGGACAAGTTGGAGAAAACAAAGCTTGAAGTAAAAGTGATTTTAGAAAAATAAAGAAAGAAAGAAAAAATAAAGAGAAGCACTTGGGTCGAGATAAGAAGTGCTGTGGAAGGAATTTCATCTGCTTGTCTGCCTGGAATCGGAAGACGATAAATGTCCCCCACCACCCATCCCCTGAAAAAAATTGGCAAGCCATTTCATTTTGAGCGTTGCTTGCAAATCAGAAAATTTCCGCTCCATCTACTACTACTTGAGAAAGCTTATCCAGAAAGCATTTGAAGTCACAGGGCTTTTCATTTTTCAGAACCCTTGATGCACTTTTTTTTTTTTTATTTTTTGATTTTGTTTGAATAGTTTCTGGATCTGTGTCATGTTAGTACTTTTCATAGACTCACAGCCCAAAAGTTGAAGGACTATTTCAAGATCACTTGTACAGATAGTCAGTGGTGGAACCAGGGCTATTAACTTCTGTGAAGCTGTTGCCATACTGTACCATGTCTTTGTCCTGGCAACTCCTTGTGAAATGTAATTACAGCATCTGTCAGGGCTTCTCTGCGTAGTCTGATATACAGTGATTAGAATAAAGAATATGAGATGTTCGTGAGGACATCTTTGATTTGCATAACTGGTTATGGTATAAGTATACCTGCCTTGGTGTTCTAATTCAGCTTTTGTGTGTTCACTTGATTGAGTTTTCAAATCAATCAGGGTTTATGTCTTTAAGATAAGACAGCAAGTTTTAGAATTATTTTATTCTTAAGAGAAAAAAATTTTCATCTAATTTGTTGATAACACTATGACATTAATTAAATAAAGTAAAATTGGGGGGAGTCAAACTTCCAGAAAACATAGATGCAAATTAATTCAATTTAAACAATTTCCATGTGTGTGTGCATGTGAAATTATGATGGAAGGGTAGAAAACAGTAGCAATTTTATAAGAAATATGCGTTTTCCTACTCAGTCAGAAATTGCATAGAGTTCCTCATGTATTGGAGAAGTATAACTATATTTTATGTGGGAAAAAACATGATATTTCTCTCACACTAAGTTGAATATTTTACTAACACAGCCTTACGATCAGTTTTTATAACATTTGGACCAGTTGCATTTGTAAAATGTCACTACTAGTTATGTGCAGATCTCGTACACAGATGACTGAATCTGTTTAAGTGCCCACAAGTTTCAGAAGACTTGTAGATAATTACCTTTGATTTTTCAGCCTATACAAATTTTAAAAAGGTTTACATTCTTCATATATCATGCTACCTAAAAATAGGCAAACAGAAAGAAGAAACTGAATCTAAAACATAAGAGTTACTTTTTGGATTGGCCCTGGGTAAGTTGCTAGTCTGTGAAGCTGCCTGATAAGAAATGTTTCTTTAAAAAATAGCCAGAAATAGTGCTAAGAAGCAAAAGAAGAAAAAAAGGGCCATGTAATAGGAGGTCTTAATTACATTTTTTTGTTAACTATTTTAACCCCAATGTCATAGGTTAAACACATTCTCTGAGGCATTTACTATACAAGAGTATTACACTTTGGGTGCCCAAGATTTTCTCTGTGATATGGTAAAATCTCATTACCTTGGACTTTTTCTGATTTAGAATTGGTGATTACTCTGATAGAGCTGGTGCTAGCTTAGAAAATCCTTTTTCTCATAGAGGAAATTATAAACAAGATTGCAGAGTAGATGTTAAAATTCTTAGACCCAGGCAGATACAAATGAGAACAATGTTGGAAGAAAATAAATAAAATGTTTGACATTGGTTCGTATATGTGGTGGAATTATATATAATTTCTCCTTATTTTCCCCATTTTTATATAATTTGTTTGTATTATTTCATTATAAAAATACACATAGAAAAAAACCAAATGCCCAGAACGTTTGGGGCACTTCTAAGTATTTTAGAATTGTCCAGTTATTCGCAATTGAAATATGCGTTGAAAATTATTCTGATCTATCCTAGCAATTTTTCTTATTCCACCTCATATAGTTGAAAATATTGATATTTTTCTCTAAGTATATTATAAATGCTCTCACTCTCCCCCAGTAGATATTAGTTTAGAAAGAATCCATTATAGATCAAAACCCATATGAAACATGTTTTAAAAGGGTGCTACCATATTGACCAAAATTGAATTTGTCATAAGGATGTAGACATAAGTTTTTAGGTGTGTGTCATCTTGGACCTCTTACAAGTGTTAAGTCCTGTTAAATCATAGTAGAGATTTGAGATAATTTAGAGTAGGAAATATATTTCAGGTGGGAGTGTTTAAATAGAAGAGAGCTTAGGACAAAGCAATGTATGTAGTCCATATTAAGTTAGTATCTGTTGGTATGGTTTTGTGACTTCATTCACAATTCATTTCATCTTCAACCTGTTTTATTTCTATTATTTTCTTATGTAGATATTTTTAACGGTGAAATATTGATATATATTTTTGAAACATGTCAAATATTATTTGGTATAAAGATATTTCTAATAAAATATTTAATTAGCGAATTTACTAATTAGATTTATTTTTTAGGATGAAGATTTTGTTCTAGAGACTGTTTATGGTGTAGTCAAACCTATCTTTTCTTCTATCATTAAATGGTGTCATGCTTAGATAGGCTTTCTTCACTTCAGATTTATAAAATGAATGATCTGGATTTCCCTTTAATACTTCATATGTTTTAAAATTAGATTTTTTATCCATTTGATATGTTCTATAATGCAGGAATTCAAATTTGTTTTCCAACTACTTGTCTCCTCCCTAGTGTTTGAATAGTATATCCTTTGTAAATATGCTTTATATATTTTCATAATTATGTTTCATTGGTATGTCTGTTTATTGTATATTAGTGTATCCTTTCTAAATTGGGTTTTAAATTAAGCCCTATCATTACAATAGGTGAATGAATGAAATGGCCATCTGGAAAGTACAGGCTAAAGAAAACACAAGCCTAATTTTTGCTGAGCTTATTTGGATGGTTGCTTCATGTCTTATTTTTTTTTTTTTATTGTAAATAGATACTTGTTCTCTTAAAATTAGGACTATGAGAAAAACATCTGTCTTGACTAGAGTGTGTACTCCTGGGGTCACCATGATACTTTTCTTGGCTTTGCTTTGGGTGAGGAATGGGCTTTTCTTGGAGGGTCTCTGGTGGATTTATTACCTCTCATTTTGAAGTGCTGGTTCTGCAAATTTGGAAGCTGAAGAACTGTCAAGCTATGTGCACAGGCTGTAAGAGAACAAAAGTTTGTGATGTTGATTTTGAGCTGTATAGAGATTTCTGAGATTTATTTCAAGAAAGGTGTAAAATTAATAATGAATATTCCTTTGGATATGGCTTTATACTTCCAAGAGTGAAAATATGTATCTGAACATAGTTTGAATGATTAAGTGGAAATAATTATTTGGTTATTTTATATTTTAGTCGTTATGAACCAAAACAATTTATTCTGATGCTACTATAGAATAGAAAGAATTCGTACCTTCTGTACAGAATTTTTTTTCTTATAACTCTGTATATGCTTCCATTTCTCTAATGAGTTTGGAATGTGACTAAATCTCATGAGAATCTCAGATCTACTTACTGTGGTTTCAAGGCTGCTTCTCCTTGCTGAGGCTGCTAGATGAGCTTTGTTGCATAAGGCATCATCTTCAGTGCCTCTGAGGAAGAAGGCTTTGCAGTAAATGCCTGATTTCTTTTACGAGATATTTTTCTGGGAGAAGCAATGTTTTTGATCTTTATAAACCACTGGATATAAATCTTGAGTCATTTTATTGGAAAGGATATCAGGCTGGACTGCGATGAGCATACAATGTTGTCTTTGCAATGTTCTAAGTGTATGTGAATTGTGGCTGATATGGTTTGGCTCTGTGTTTCCACTCAAATCGCACATTGAATCGTAATCCCCAATGTTTGGGGAGGGACCTGGTAGGAGGTGATTGGATCACGGGGGCGATTTTCCCCTTGCTATTCTTGTGGTAGTGAGTTCTCATGAGATCTGGTTGTTTAAAAGTGTGTAGCCCTTCCTCCTTCGCCTGTTCCTCCTGCTCTGCCATGTGAAGAAGATTCTTGCTTCATCTTTGCTCTGACATGATTGTAAGTTTCCTGAGGCCTCCCCAGTGATGCTTCTTGTATAGCCTGAGGAGCTGTGAGTCAATTAAACATCTTTTCTTCATAAATTACCAGTCTCAGGTAGTTCTTTATAGCAGTGCGAGAACAGACTAATACAGTGGCTACTCTCTACAACCTAATTCTATGCTCGTTGGTGAAAAGGGCAAAATTTTTAAATGACAGTGTTGTTAATTTGGAAAGATTTGATGGATTTAGAGCTCTTGAATACAAATAAATCTTTATATTGAGTAAGGGAGATATACATATATAACATATATGCACTCACCTATATTATTGCATTATAATATTACACATTTATTATATAATATGTGTAAATTATATATTAACATAAATTAGTAACATGCATACACAATTAATATGACAGAAAATAAACAGTACATTAATATATAACCATATTATATATATATAATATAATAATTTAATACTTCCAGAGCAAAAAATACAGAAAAATATGAGGAAGAAATGGTGCTCTTTGTAGACGTGGTAATTGTAGACATTTTTTGTTTTACTTCCATTTCTCACTTCATTACAAATACACACACACATATTTATTGCATTCACTTCCCATTATAAAATGTTTCCTATGTTAATTAAAACCCATAATATTAATATCTAATATTCCATTCATGAATATACAGTATAAACGTTCAACATTTCTAATAAGTTTTCAAACAAGCTTTTTAAACCTTTGGATATAAATCCTGAGTTGTTTTATTAAAATGAAAATATTGAATTAAAAGGACTCATAAATATGGGCCTCTTCAGATCATATGAATAAAAATAAATTTTACAGAACATTTAAATAAGGAAATCTTAAAAATAATAATGATCAAAATTTACATAGTTGTATATATAAAGCACTAGCCAAATGATCACAAAGTGAAAGGTTTTGTTTTGGTACAATGAGAACATTTTATAAATAGATTTTACATGGGGCAACAAAGCAAATCTTAAATTCAAAGACTTAAAACTTTTAGAATTTCTTCAGATCATGTAAATAAAAATAAGTTTCACAACTTAGGCAAAGTAAGTAAAATTTTTGAAAAAAATGTATTAAGACTCACATAAGAAAAAGAAAATATGATTTGTAAAAAATCGAGAGTTTTCAATTTAAAACTTCTGCTTACGGAAATCATCAGATCTCAGTGACTTCACTAATTAATTCTTCCAAAAATTTAAAGAAAAAATTGAAGTCCATTGTGTCCCATGATTGTAGAAACATTCCACATTAAATATTAGAAAATGAAATCCAAAGATATGAAAAAGAAGACTACATGATGACAAATTGTGTTTTATACAGGAACACAAGTTAAGTTTGATGTGCAAAATTAACCAATGTAATTCACCACATTAACAGAATAAAGGAGAAAAAACAACATGGCCATTTTAATAGAGGCTGAAAAGGCATCGGATAAAATTCAATATTTATTCATGGCTAAAAGTCTCAGTAAACTAGGAATAGAAGGAAGTAATTTTAATTTGATAAAAGTCTTTTAAAAAACAGACAGCTAACATCACAATATAAAATATTGAGCACTTTCCCCTCTGAGGTTACTAACAAGATAAAATGTCCATTATGAACCCTCCAAGGGGTCAATAGCATCTTGAAGACCTGAGCAAGTGGGTTGAGAGGGAGAGAGGAAGAGGTAGAGAGAGGGAGACTGTGAAAGGAAGTTAGGTAAGTAGATAGTGAGAAAGAAAGGCCTACCCATGGGAGAATCAAAACTATTTTTATTTGTAAGATATGTGATTTTTATACATAGAAAATCCAATAAAATATTAGAAATATTAAGTGAATTTGGCTGGGCATGGTGACTCATGCCTGTAATCCCAAAACTTTGGAAGGCTGAGGTGGGCAGATCGCCTGAGGTCAGGAGTTCGAGAGCAGCCTGACCAACATGGTGAAACCCTGAATCTACTAAAAATAGAAAAAATTAGCTGGTCATGGTGGCAGGCACCTGTAATCCCAGCTACTTGGGAGGCTGAGGCAGGAGAATCGCTTGAACCCGGGAGGCGGAGGTTGCAGTGAGCTGAGATTACGCCATTGCACTGCAGCCTGGGCAACAAGAGTGATACTCTCTTTCAATTAAAAAAAAAAAAAAAAAGAAAGAAAGAAATATCAAGTAAATTTAGTAATACTGCTATATATAAGGTCAAAAATCTTTTTTTATACATCTGGTACATAGAATCAGAAATAAAATAGTAGATATTATCATCTACTATTATCACAAATAGCTAACACTTAGGAATAGGTTTTTTAAAAGATGTATGAGACTCCACATTATTATACAAAAACAAAGAAGTCTGTAAATAAATGGAAAGATATGTTTATATTATATTCATGGATTGGAAAACTGTGCATTAATTAGATGTAATGCACAGTTGTTATGTAAGTATATTAAGACAATGAAATACCTGCCCAAGAACATACAAACAGACCAATAGAACAGTATAGCGAATCCAGAAACAGACTTAGGTACATAATGACACTTGATATTTATCATCCATCTCTGTTACCAAACTCAGATGACCTGAAAGATACAACAGCCTTTAAAAGAAAAGATTGAAATACTCCAGAACTATTCCAGAGCACAGAAAAAGTCATTTTAAGAGATCATTATTAACTTAATCACAAACTGGGGAAAGGAAAGTTTAAAATAAATAAAATACACAAAGGGAAAGCAATATTGTAAGCCAGTCTCATTTATGAGAAATTCTAAATATGGCATTGACAAATCAAATACAACAATGTATTAAAAATTGTTACATCTTGACCACTCAAGTGTTTATCCAGGAATACAGGAAATGGTCAGCATCAAGCAACCTGTTATTATCATCAGTAGATTAATGGTAAAAAAATATGATTATGTATATAGAGGCTGGAAAATTTTGACATTTGACAATACTGCCATTAAAAAATCTGTTAGCAAACTAATGACAGCAAACTTTCTTAAGTTGCTTAGCGATATTTTCCAGAAACTAATATATACATCTACAGTTACACATTTTTCTTTAAGCATGGCTATGGCTATAATTCCATCTCAAAAATTTTCATGCATCACATTTCTGTTTTTATTCAGTTAATTTTTTTCTAATTTCCAATGTGGTTTCTTGTTTGACCTGTAGGTTATTTAAAAATACAAGTCTTAACTTCTGAACAGCTGAGAGTTTGTCAGTTAACTTTTGATGCTGATTTCTAGGTTTGCTTTCACTGTGGAGAGAAGACAATATGCATGATTTCCTTTTTTAATATTGTTGAGACGTGCTTTATGGCCCAGCAGATGGTTAATTTTGGTAAATGGTACACTTGCGCTTGCTTGAAAAGAAAATGTATTCTGTAGTTGTTACGTTCAGTGTTCTATTTACATCAATGAGGTTAATTTTGTTTGTTATATTGCTCAAATATTTTGTATCTACTGATTTTTTCTTCTTATAAATGTAATTACTGACAAATGTGTTTTAAAATCTCTCACTGTGATTTTGTACTTACACATTTCCCATTTCTCATTTTATGTATCTCTGGATTAGATTTCACATTTATACATGGTATATTAATTTTTGCTTAATGTATTGCAAGACTACATTATTAAGTGCAAATAAGTTTAGAATTTTTATATGCTGTGAAGTTTTCTACTTTATCTCCATATCTCCAGTAATAAATTTTACCTTAAAGACTACTTATATATAGTATATGTACTATACACTATTATATGTAATATATATTTATATATATGATTATATGTAATATGTAACTCTACGAACTTTCTATTGACTGATAGTTGTGTGGTATATAGAGGTTTCCTTTCAGAGTTTCTGTATTTTTAAATTTTAAACATTTCTCCTGTAAGCAGAAATTGTTGCACTCCTTTTCTTTTAAAAACTTAAATCCTGTCAGAGAATCCTGTCCTATCCTTTTGTTTGCAGTTTTTAGTCTGTTTACAAATAATGTGATTCCCAGTGAAATAGAGAGACAGATGATGTGTTTATATCTGTCATCTTGTTACCTTCCTATTTGTTTCAAGTCTGTTTTGCTGTCTTTTCTCTCTTCCTATTTTCTTTTGGGCTGATTATTTTTGTTTTTTCAATTGTTCTTAATTTTCTTTGTCATTAATACTCATTTTACTTTTTCAACAATGACCTTAGAGCCTGCATACTTACTTTATTAGAGCTTAATATAAATTTTTACTTTTCTGTTTTCCCAGAAATATTAGGACTTGAGAATGTCACAACTTTGTCCTGTTGCGCAGGTTTCTCTTCTTCTGGGATTGTCCATTTTGGTTATCTGTATCTTTAATCACAAAATTATTATTAGATTATCATTAACATTGCCTTATACTGACTATATTTTTTTATATTTATTCTTTCAATGATTCTGTGTCTAATAACTCTATAGCATCCCGTCTGGGTGTTTTTCTATTTTTGTTTGTTCTTCTCATTTTATGATCATGTTGAGCTCTAACTACACATTCGATTATTTGTATTGTTTGCTGGATAGTGTATGTAAAAAATTGCAAAGACGTTTTGAAGCCTAGGTTAATTTTGTCTTTCATCAGATGATTTAAAGTTTGCTTTTGGCTAAAGACAAGAAGGACTAGCAATGAGTCCTGTTTGAAAGTAGGGATTACCTTATTTCAAGTAAGAGTTGAAATGACTTATCTGGGCTTTGGTCTTTCCGTGGTCCAGTCCATTTGGGTTCATTCTTAGACTTTTCTAGGTTCTCTTAGAACTTTCTTAAATTCTCTTGGTTGCAAATCCAAATCATGGGATGGATTAGCCACCCCACTTTTCTTGGTGGGCCCTGGACTGGATAGTCTCTGGTCATCTGGGCCCCAAATTATTGAAGGCTCTGCTGGGCCTCGCAGCCTTCCAGACCCACACTCTTCCCAAGTTAGCAGAGGCTTCCCAGGCTAAAAATGGTGTCAAATGCCCAGTTCACCTTTTTGTGTTTTCTTCTTCTGCTGAGTCTTGGCCCTGTATTTGCTAACTGCCTTTTGAGCTCTGTAATATCTTTTAAGACATTTAAAATACATATTTTCTCCAAGTTCTCTGGTGGCTCTCAATGGGAGCATCTATTTACCTTATCTAGTCAACTTTTAGAGGAATTAGCCCGCTTTATTTCTTTTAAATCTTTTTCTTTTAAATAAAAGTTAAGATTTATAACTTCCCACTAGTGAGACAAGAATTTTAGAAAGCTCTCACATTTCTTAGTTTTTTTTCTGTCCCATTATGCTGATAATTACCTACTCTGGGGATTTTATCACTATCTTTTCTGTTTTTCTTTCCCTTGGTATTAGCAATTAAAAAAAAATTACAACAAACATTACCTAGGTGTTTATTCACTTTTACTTCATGTATTTCCTGCAGTATTTATATTTATTTTTCTTTTTTCTTAAATATCCAAGACTGTTTACTTGTGGGCCTTTATGTGGCAAAATTTTGAAGCTTTGTATGGCTGAGAATATTTTTAAATCTGTATCTCCTATTTGAGTAATAGTTTGGCCAGATATAAAATTCTTGGTTCAAAATTATTTATTTTCAAGAAAATATTACCCCCATTGTTTTCTCTTATTCAGTGTTCTGATTCCTATGTATATGCTCTGCTCTTTCATTCTTGAAATTATTAAGGTAACTGCAAATTTTTTGTCATTAATAGTCAATGCTTTTTATTATAGTTATGAGTTTATTTTAAACTCTGGTACTCTATGGGCCCATTACATCTCCTTTTCATCTTTTTCTTAATCACAGAGAATTTATTTTTTTCAAATATTTTCTTCTCTTGACTTTTATATATTCCCTCTCTGGAACTCCTGTCTTCTGGAAACCTGTACTTTTGTTCTGTCTTCCTTATATTTTAACTTTATTTTTTATGTCATGTTTCCTTTTCCTTCTTGGACAGTTCTACAATTTTATTTTCAAATTGCTAATTTGTTTCTCATCTGTGGTAATTTACTATTAATATTTTTCCTATCTGTTGTAGTTCTCATTTTAACAATTTTGTTCATACCAAGTGCTTCCACTTGGTTCTTTTAAAACTATATTTCATTGTTCTTTTTTCTTTCCTAATTTAATATAATCTTTTATCAGTTTGAGTACACTTAGTGAGATTGTTTTGAATTCTGATGTACCTGTTCTAATTTCAGCCTTTGATGGAAGCTTTAATACGGTTCATATTTTTTATTTCAAAATAGTTTTTTTCTCAAATGGCTTAGCTTTTAGATCTGTGATCCCGTTTTCTCCTGGGCTCATTGTCCACTATGGTAGGCAATGTGTCAAACTGGGGGCCAGATGAACTTTGGAGGAGGGGTGTCAAATGAGCCATACAAGAGAACCTGGCCTTGGAAAACCACCTTCCGCATGCCTTATCCAGTAGAACTATTTCTCAGGGGAGGGCTCAATCCCTAGCCCATCAAATAGGAGCAGAATTAGAAGGAAACATTTTTTGGATTGGAATTTCCAGCCCTGAGATTTGAAGAGACAGAATGGCATAGGAACTACCCTAAGCCACCTTTTCCTTCTCCTGCTGATATTTGCAGTGTAGATCTGAATTGCTGTTGTAGGAACAAGTATTACTTATCCCTAGACAATGGTAGAGTAGAAGCAAGAAAGAATGTCAACAACCTCTATTTTATCTTCCCATAGCTATGCTGGTCTGCCTTTGTTCCAACCTAGAGCCACTATTTCAGATAAACCAATTAAACAACTACCCCCGTTCCTCTAACTTACCTCATGTACCCCAGAAAGCTCTTCATTATTTTCTTCCTAAAGTGGGGTTCCCTCTGTAATACTCTGCAGTTTACCTTGGGGATTGGAGCTGATAATCTTGCTAGTTTAACATTTTGGTAGGATGTTTTTTGTTTCAAAATGTCTTATGCCCAATCAATATTTCCTTTTCTTCATCTTTTTCTTTATTTCATATTCTTTCTACCTCATTTGTTCTACCATATTTATCATGTCTCTGTTAATGCATCATTATGTCTCTTTCACTTACCTTCTCTCTTTTTTGTCTCATTCTTATATCTTTTTTCTCTATCTCCCAGTGATGTCTGTTCAGCTGTCCCTGCTTTACTTTCCAATACCTGCTCCTTTTCTTAATCAATTCCATCTGTTCTAGGATCCTCCTGTAAATAGTTTTGTTTCTCACTTCTTATTTTTTATCTTTACCTCCAGTTCCAAAGTTCTCTGCTTCCTATCTCATGCTTTTTATTTATTTTTAACTCTCATTCAGTAGCTTTTGGCCCCAGATTTCTGAGATACATTTGTATTTCAAGACTAATCAACATTTTGAATCAACATTTTACTTGACTGAGTGCTTTAGGTAAAACCTTAGTTTATCATTGCATCTGTAGTGCTTTAATGCCTACTAAAATTTTTAATATATTGTAGATGATTGGTACAGGTTTGTTGAATAAGCAAAAAAAAAATTCAAATAAATGCAAACAAGATATGTGTAGTAGGGATGAAGTAAATGATGGTCTTTTGAGTGAAATCCTATATGTAGTCATTTTCCTTAAGTTTTATCTAGTTTCTAAGCATTTTTCCCTGTTCATAAAGACCACTATTGAATTGTTTTGCAAAGCGTCCAGAAATGGACGAAAGTGAATTGCACTTTCAGCTTTTCTGGACATCTCCAATTCTTATTCATACTCTTCTGTGTGACTTGTTGTGGCTGTGGGTTCTCTTGCAAGAGAGATACAAAATGTTTACTGTGGTAGACACAATAAAATAAGACCTTGGATGTGGTTAGGAAATTTCTGCATACAGAGATATCACAACATATCAGTCCCCAGGGAGAACGGATTCTTTTGCCTCCTAACTTGGATATACATTGAATGTCAGGTTTGGTTTCTTTTTCTTTTTCTTAGTGCTTATGCCAGTTAATGTATGATCTTCTGCAGACTGCCAGCTTGTTCTGTACTCTGTGGAACAGTTGATCTTGAAAGATGTCATTTTTTTTTTCTCATTTTCTGACTTGTTTTGTTACAGCGACATTGATTTATTTTTCACTTTTGACAACGTGAATTTTAAAAAAACCCAAAGTGGTCATGTCTCAGAAACTTAAAATTAATGAAGTGGATACTGTGAGCTCGGGAAAACAATAATATATGGGGTCTGCCTATTTTCTGTTTGTTCCCTATATCTCATCTTCTTTCCTTTTTTCTCTGTCACTTCCTTCTGAAGTATAAACAGATCCAATAATATTTCATCAACCTTAAATGTATGTGTTCCCAAAGATACACAATTTAAACAGTTAATTATAAGTCTTCATTTGGTACTTTGTTTTATAACACATATTCCGTTTCCAAGACGGGACTGTTGTGCTTACTTTGAACCTAGTTATGATGGATTAGTAGCAAAATTAGTTAATGATCATTATGGTCACCCTCAAGCTTATTTGCAGTTTTAGGTGTATTTATTGTAATTTGAATGTATATCCAATCACACTTTCTATATAACTTCATCTTCACATTAAGGGAGACACATTAATTAAACTTGAAGGACACTTTGGAGAAATAAACAGACTGACAAGGTCTCTGTTTTTAAAACACTAGTCAGAAATGAAGTATAAAATCAACATTTAGTGTACAGATTCTGTGACAAACCTGTACTTGATCCAGCTTCTGCTGATAGGTTGTTGATGTATCTTGGGTAAATTGGGATAAGCCTCAGTTTCATGTTTTTATTCCTTTAAATCTTTACTCTGGGATAAAAATACCTCAGAATTATTATGAAAATTATGCATACACACATATACATAGATACATATATGTGTATATACATGTATGCATAATAAAGACCCCAGAGTAAAGGCTCAATATATGGCAGCCTTAACTATTTTTGCAGTTTTGATGGCTTGTCATCATTAAATCATTGGCTTCTAGTGCCCACTGAATGGCAAATAAGCGTCAGTACTAACTTAAATCCAGAATCAAGTTTACCAAAGGAAAAAAAAATAGAAAACTTGGAGTCAGATAATTTTCCTCTGCAGCTATGTTAATTATTTCTAGTTTTTCCAGGGTACACAATTATCTTCATTGGAAAGCACAGTGAATGATAATTCAACCTGCCTGTAAAAGAAGATGAAGACAGATAGGTTATGAACCATAAATGATTTACCTTTACATGTTGTATTTCATGTAATTTTGAAATTAGTTTCACTTAAAATATATACAGGGAAGGAGAAACTTGAAAAATCGATCAAAAGGAGATAAATTTTTTACCAATTTTCATTTGCCTCATATTTTCTTTTTCTGTTTTTATTGCTCCAAATTAAGACATGTTCTGCATTTTGAGTGTCTATTTTAACAATTATATTGATGGTGACTAATAGGACTTTGGCTAGATTTTGTATTTTATCACTTTACTATTGAAGGCAGATATAACAAGTAAGAAATTTCTGTTAATGAAAACACAGCTTAGTTCGAAAAATGTTCAATAATAGCTTATCTGTTGCAAAGTTATTTAAAAAAATCTTCAAACTCTGATTTTGGAAAAATTTAGCCAACCTGAATTTATAGTTTATCATTGTTGACCTACTTATGCAGTTTACTAAGCTAAATTTACTAGAAAAAAGTTCCACTACCGAAAGAAAAAAACAACACTTTTGTGGATATCCTTTCTTTCGATCATTTTTCAAAAACACATACCTTCTAGAACTTCAGGTTAGATATTTCTCTTTGCTATTAGATGCATATGAGACTAGCAGTAAAATGATTGTATTTTATAGTTTCACAATTGGGAATAAACTGTAAGTGCTGTTTTGTAGTCTGCTTTATTTTGCCAACAATATATCATGAACATCTTTGAAAGTCATTATATATTCTTCTAAGACATCATTATTAATGGCCTCAATAGTAGCCCATTGCATGACTGTGCCATAATTCATTTAACGAATACAGTTGGTGCATTATTGATGTAATAATATTGGAAATATTGTAAATGCAGTCATTTAAAATAATTTATTCATATATGCATTTCCTCTGTGTTTCTTTACTTGATGTATTTTCAGCCCTGAGAAATAGAGCATATTATATTTTGTTCTGAATGCATCGAGCCTAAACTCACACTCAAGCCTGAAATAATGTGTATGTGCGTGTTTCGGTGTGTGCAGTAAGGGGTGGAGAAGGCATAAAAGTTGGGGGTAACTTGTGACCATAATTAAAGCATATAAAGGCAAGAGCAGAATATATCTCTGCTAATCCTTTCTAAGATCCTAATTGCATCACAGTGTCAGGTTGAAATATTACAGTGAAATAGAAAAACCGCTCGCCTGTGGCTTTTTGTTATGAAGATTTTTTGAAAGGAAAGAGAAAAAAAAATGAACTCTGAGTTACAGAGTAACTTCTTGTAAAGTTTGTATTATATGGAAAAGGAAGTTATATTCAGCCCCCAAATCATTTTGCTATACTAAAAAATGGGAACTGTGCCTGCTCTCCTCTATTTTAAATGCATAGATATAGCACTTGCTTACCTTCTGGAGGCTGTTAACAACCAGAAGCATAATCTCTATATAAACACAATGAATGCTGTAGATTCCACAGTTCTTTTCTTTGGCATTTTCATCACATTTATCTTTGGCATTGAAACATTATCACAAATTAAAGAAAAAAAATGTACAGTTTTCTCCTCTTTATTTTCTTTATTTTTTTTTTCTTTTTCTTCCTTTTAGATCAGCTGCAAAAAATCAGAGAGAAAAGATTAAGTTTGTTCTCAGGTACAGTGGCATCCAAGAGTGCACAACTGTTCTCCTCTAATCATCCTTTTCTTTGTCTGAATGTTCGTGGCTAACATTCCCAGCAAATAGCCTCTACTTGCTCATCATTCTCTAAGCCCTGAGCAACAATCAGTGTGTACTCATGTGGCAAAGCCCTGGCCTTTCCTATCAATTCTCTTGACAAGAATGTTGTCAAGTCTCGTTTGTTCTTTTCTGAGCTGATGAACTTATTTCAGGAGGCTGGTAGTTATATCTCACATCTGTCTGTGATGTGACGGTGAGCCTTGAGGATCTGTATCTTTCCTGGTTTTCGAAGAGACTTTGCAGAGATTATGTGAGATATTCTTTGATGACTGCAGGCACAGGACACCCATTCTCCCTTGTTCACGTAGTACAGAAAGACCCTTTTGTGTGTGGTGAAGGGGGCCTTAGTATGTGGAATAACTTCTGTTCCCTAACTTCTCTTGCCTTTTTGGGGTGGGAGATGGGATGAGAGGAGAGCTGTGGGAAGACAGAGAAAGAGCTGTTTCTTTTTCTTTTTTTTTTTTTTTTTTGAGAGTGTCAACGAAGAGATGACTACCCTCACCACTGCTACCAATGAGTACGTGTCTACCACACTGCTAGCTGAATGGTGCGTCATGCACTTTGCAGCTTGTCACAGACTAAAAATGTTGAAAAGTCCAAAAAGGCTGGCAAAATTGCAGGCCAGAATAATGCAAATTCAACTAGTTCAGTCAAGAATCATTTATACAGTGATGTTCATATACTAGAAACCATCTTCATTCATATCTAGCTTCCTAAAGTCTGGTAAGATGAAAAAGGCAAAATAGAAGATAATCTTGATATGAAGTGATATATACTGTGATAAAGAATAAATGAAGGAGGGGTACAATAATACAATTTGGAGATTAAAGACATCTCAAAGGATGTGATAATGCTGATGTCCATTTTGCTTCTGTGATTTCCAATCTGAGTGTAAGAAACAATCCTCCCAATTTAGTGTGGCTATATTGAATTTAAATTTTCATATGTGAATACAGCCATACAATATATGATCAAAAGGAACTTGTTACTGGGCAATGTAAGTGGTAGGTTGAGAGGCAGTTTGCATTGTTGAGATCACAGGCTTTAGTTTTAGGCATCCCCATTCTGTCTTCTCATTAGTTTCATGGCCTTGGGCAACTTTTACTAATCTCACTTAACTTATGTTCCTCATCTATTCAGTGAGGATAATATCAGCTTCTACAGATAGTTGTGGAGAATAAATGAATCTCTTAAGAGAACATTTTCATGTTTTGGGGAGTTTCTGCCATCACGTTACTTTCTGTTTATGAAGGAAAAAGTTATTCTTTGTGTCAGGTGAGTGATACCTACATAGCCCATGTTCTGCATTCAAATCTTATCCTTCTTCATCTTTTATTGTGTTCATTCTTATTTCCATAACATACCCAGTTAAGAATGGTTTTTGTATCCAGGTTCCACTCTATTTTTTTTTTTTTTTTTTTTTTTTGAGACGGAGTCTTGCTCAGTCACCCAGGCTGGAGTGAAGTGGCGTGATCTCAGCTCACTGCCAGCTCTGCCTCCCGGGTTCATGCCATTCTCCTGCCTCAGCCTCCTGAGTAGCTGGGACTGCAGGTGCCCGCCACCATGCCCAGCTAATTTTTTGTATTTTTAGTAGAGAAGGAGTTTCACCGTGTTAGTCAGGATGGTCTCGATCTCCTGACCTCGTGATCCGCCTGCTTCGGCCTCACAAAGTTCTGGGATTACAGGCGTGAGCCACTGCGCCTAGCCCCACTCTATTTTCTAATCTCATATTCAAGAAGAATAATGCTTACTATGTTCCTCTTTAATAGCCAGCATAAAGGTAGCAATTATAGGAAGTATTAATAGATGAAGCAACAAGGTGCAATAGCATGACAAGCAGCAATACTACATACTTAGATCAGAGATTCATTGTATGCAATATCCTCAATAGGATCTTGGATAAAGGAAGAAATATTTCCACCATCAAATTTGCAGAAGATAACCACTTTTGGGGGTGGGGTGCTAATACAATGGAAGATAGAATAAAGTTCCAAGAGAGTAATGATATTCAAGAGATATGTCAACTTGTCAGACAGACATAAAGTCCTGTTTTGCGGCATACACACTTTATCTTTGTGGGCTAAATAGAAATAATTTTTGCCTAATAATTTGTGCAATTGAAAGTTGTATTTAGGATTGAAGTTAACACATATAAAAAAGTCATGTACTTGTTGCCACTTCTTAGATTTCTTCTTTGTGTGTCTTAATAGTGTCTAATGAGGGCTCTGTCACTATGTAGGAAAGTGACCCTTGTTTAGTCACCATCTGGGTCCTTTTCAACTTGGATTTCATGTGTAGATTCCTGAATATTGGGCTAAGGTATTTGTAATACCATTGATTACATGGTAATTAATCCTATTTTTCATCCAACGTGTTTATTTACACAAATTAAATGCTTGCTAGGGCAGCCCTGATTCAACTAAAAACAAACAAAAACGTAGTGCCAATCTTTCTCTTTATCCTAATTTAATGCTATTCACTGCCCTAGGTTTCTAATCTCGCTATTTGCAATTCTGAAGCAATAGTGGCTAAAGATCACAGTTCACTTTTAAATGCCTTTTGAATGTGTTGATAAGACATATTCATTCAGTTACACTGTCCTTTCGGTGCACTTTAAAAATTCATTACAGAGATAATTATTTAGTGTTTATTTCAGTCTACCTGTGTTATCTCATTTTCTCCTCATCTCTAATAGGGATGGGGAAAATGGATTGTGTGTGATTATTTTTAGCATTTATTTAAAACTTCATAAATGTCGTTAAAATGTTGTCTGGCTAATAAATGAATAAAAATCAAATAATTGCTCTTATTTACTCTCCCAAAGGAAATAAAACAGGAAAGAAGGAGGGAAGGCAACAGATTGTGAAAGAGAATGAAAAAGCAGTCTTTTATATCTGGGAACTCAGAATTGGATACAAATGACAGTCATGAACCATTGGTTTACTTTATCTGCAATTTAAAATGAAATCATATGCTCCAGATCTGCTTTATTGTAATTGTTCTTTTCTTGTTTTCCTAATAAACATAACTAGAGCTTTAAAAATAAATGCATGGAAAATGTGAGATCCTAGATATTATCTGAAGTACATGTAGTCTAATATGTAATTTTGGATTGTCAGTGCACTTTGCCTTTCTATTACATCTCACTTTAAATCCTGGGCATTGAAGCAGTTATTAATTTGTTTGAATATCATAAGCTACATGTGAGCTTAATATCCACAGATTGTGGAGCAGGAAAGAAGTTGGAAACTTTCATATTGCATGAAACTTCAAGGCTTCGTTCTACTGGTTTTAAAGAGGTGGTTATTTTCTAAATAAGTAATAATGCTTTAAAATGCAGAATATAATCAGGTTTTATCAAGAAAATTCACAAACTTTATAATTATTCTTCAAATCACTTTATTGAGGTGTGAGTGACATACAAAAAGCTGTACGTATTTAATGTATACAACCTGATAAGGTTGGAGATAAGTATATATCCCTGAAACTATTACCACAGTCTACCAGCTATAAAAGTTTCCTGCAGCCCTCTTTATTTACTATCATTTTTTTTTCTGATAAGAACACAGGATCTACCCTCGTAGCAAAACTTTAATTATATAATACACTATTAATCATAGGCAGTATGCTGTATAGTAGCTCTCTAGTACTTACTCATCTGGTATAACAAAAACTTTGTACCCTTTGACTAATGCCTACATATTTCCACTCTCCCCAGCTCCTAGCAACCATCAGTCCACTTTCTCTTCTGTGATTGTTTAACTCTTTTTTTTTTGTTTGTTTGTTTTTTGTTTTTAGGGATGGAGTCCCACTCTATTGCTTAGGCTGGGGTGTAGTGGTGTGATCATAGCTAACTGCAGCCTTGAGCTTATGAGCTCAAGTAATACTCCTGCCTCAGCCTCTTGAGTAACTAGAATTAGAGAGATGGTCTACCATGCCTGGCTCTAGAACTCTATTTTAGAGTTATCATAAAGTGGTATCATATAGTATTTTTGTTCTTCTGTGTCTGGCTTAACATATCGTCCTCTGAATTCATTCATGTTTTCACAAATAGGACAATTTCCTTTTTAAAGTCTGAATAATATTTCGTTATATGTGTATACAACATTTTCTTTATCCATTCATTCATTAGTGGGCATTTTCTTAGTGGCATTTTTTAAAAGAAATAGAAAAAACAAATCTAAAATGCATATGGAACTGCAGAAGACCCTGAACAGCCAAAGCAATTCTGAGAAAAAAGAACAAAGCTGGAAGTATCACACTTACTGATTTTAAAATATATAACAAAGCATCACAAGAGTATGATATTGGCATAAAAAGACACATAGACCAATGCAAGTAAGTAGAGAGCACAGAAATAAACTCAGACACATATAGTTAACTGATTTAGTAGGGGGCCAAGAGTACACAATGGGGAAAAAACAGTTTTTTCCGGTAATGTTTTTGGTAAGACTGAATATCCATATGCAAAAGAATGAAATTGGACCTTCACTGTACACAAAAATAAACTCAAAATGGATTAATGGCTGAAGCATAAAACCTGAAACTATAAAAATTCTAGAAAAAAAATAGGTAAAAAGCTTCTTGACATTGACCTTGCAATGATTCTTGGATATGATGTCAAAAGCAAAAGTAAAAAAAACAAAAACAGAAAAACAGGCAACAAAAGTAAAAATAGGTATGTAGGATTATATCAAACTCAAAAGCTTCTGCACAGCAAAAGAATCAACCACAAAATGAAAATGCAACTTATGAAATGGGAGAAAATATTTGAAAACCATACATTGGATAAAGGATTAATATCAAAATGTATAAGGAACTCCAATTCAATAGCAAAAATGATCATATTAAAAAATAAAGACTCTGAATAGATGTTTCTCCAAAAAAGCCAAAAAAAGCGTCAACAGATATCTGAAAGGTGTTTAACATCACTAGTCATCAGGGATATGCAACTCAAAGCCACAGGAGATATCACCTCACACTCATTAGGATAGCTACTATCAAAAAGTCAAAGGACAACAAATTTTGGCAAGGATGCAGAGGAAAGGGCACTCTTGTACACTGTTGGGAAATGTAAATGGTGCAGCCACTATGGAAAAACAGTATGGAAATCCCTCACAGAGTTAAAACTAGAACTATCATATGGTCCAGTTATCTCACTACTGGGTGTATATTAATTGAATTGAAATCAGGATCTCAAAGAGATATCTGCTTTCCCATGTTCACTAATTGTAGCATTATTCCCAATAGCCAAGTTATGAAACCCAAAAACTTTAAAATCATAGTGATCTGTATTTAAATTCTGGCTCTGGAATTTATTTGGTTTAAGTATGTTATAATTTCTCTAAGCCTCTGCTTCCTTTTCTGTAAAGGATGGACAAAAGATGTTTCCTCAATGGGTTATTTTAAGGATTAAAAATAATGTATGTCAATCTCCTAGCACTTTGCCAAGCACACTGTTAGTGCTCAAAACTTAGGTATTAATTATCTAGTGATTGCTACTGCTATTATATAATTTGACTTCTTTGGTTTAAAAAACCCTACAAATACAAACAATTTACCATTATTAGTAATAAAATCTGCCCATATAGAATCAGCTGAAGTTTGGTGGAGGCTTAAGGAGGTTTAATTTTAAGAAGCTTACCCAAATGGTCTGACCTGGAAAGAAATCCACATTTCTTAATCCTAAGTGTCCTACTCTTTCAATAAATCTTGACCTTCGAATACACCAAAGTCAATTGTATCAGTGACCCTTAACAATATGTAATTTCTTATACCTGCCAAGTGATAAAATGTCTCTTCTTTGGCAGACCACATACCTAATAACACTGACAATGACTACTGTTATAGCTCCTTCCACCATTGGAAATAGATTTTCAAAGTGATGGAGTATTTTAATCTATGTTTTCAAAAAGGAAATTAAGAAAAAATACCTTAAGTATATATTTGTTCATTTCTGATCACTTCTTATATTATTAATAACGGATTTTCTTATATTGTCAGAAAGTGGGAAGAAAAAGTGATACCTGACTTTAAAATGTTGGAAAATAGAATCCTATTATATCTGTAGGGTAATAGCTTAACAGCAGTTACATCTTGCACTTGAGATGGTCTATCTTTTTTCTTTGCTCCTTCCTCTGCCTCCCTCTCTCCTATCTGTCTATCATAAAATGTTAGTGTCTACATGTCATACTTGATTTGAGGTTCTGGAGTTACCGTGATGATGAATATGGCAGGGTTCTTGCCCCGAAGAAAGTCGTCGTCTTTTGTGGGGAAACAAGCAATTGGATCACTACATGCTGTTGTGACAACTATTAGGTTAGCAGTAAGCACTGGTGTTAAGGATGTATACAAGTTAAATGCTTAATTCATGTGTGGGGTATATCTGTGCACTTTGCAATCTGATTTTACAGCTCTTCTCACTAAAGTGGTAGTGTATATGGCCTCACCTCTTGAATGTGTGTTTGGCCTTGTGATTTGCATTTTGTAACAGAATGAGATAAGAATGCCACTATGGCAGTTTTAAGGCTCAGCCTTAGGAAGCCTAGCAAGTTTCTGCTTGCTTCCATGTACTTCTGCCGTTTGATGAACAATGCATGTCCTGGTTAGCCTGTTGGTTCCAAGAGAAGGATAAAAGATGCATGAGCAAGTTTAGCCAAAATCAGCAGAGGTACTCAGCTGAGCCCAGCCCATATCAGCCAACACCCATTTGACCCACAAATGCATGAGCTAAATAAATGCATATTATTATATGCCACTAAATTTTATGGCTATTTGTTACTTAGCTTTATTATATCAATAGGTGACTGAAAAAAATTGATGAATTAAGGAGATGGTGTGTATGTCAGAAAGACACTGTAGAAAAGAAGACAAGATAAGTAGGAGGGGACTACAGAATGCTTACCTTCATATTAACAAGGGAATTTGATGTTCCAGGAATGCTGCTAGAATTTGACCAAATAATGGAGATAATACAATTTAAGCTGAGTTTCACAAACACTCTCTGGTCATAGGTCTCTTTACAGATATATATATATATATATATACACCTATACCTGTATATATTTGTAAACCTGTATGTTTACAAATATATGTTTGTATATGTTCACACACATGTGAACATATATGTATATATGTTTATAGGTTTATATATATAATATTTTAGCAATTCATATTGTATACATATAGTTAAACTATATGTATATAAACAGTAATCAGAAAGGAGCAGCAAATAATCTAACTAGCCATGCCTTTGGGTGAGCTCTGGATGGCTTTCTGGAGAAGATTCTGTAGTAGGAGAATGGTTGTATTTGTCTATGATACTGATTTTACTGACCATATGAGCTTGTGTATTTTCTGTAGACCTTATAGGATCTCCCACAGACAGGGTAAAAATCTAGATGTTGATACATCACTTTACCTCACCTCTTCTACTTACTGGTAATTGCTACATGAAAAGAGGCCCCAGGATTGGGTAATACAATAGTAGAATTTATTTTCCTGATATGGGGATTTTTGCTATTAGGTTTGGTTAAAAATCTAACAATTTTCTGTTTCCTGGCACTTTTGTTCTACCAAGGAGGCTACAACACAATCAAAAATGTTGAAGAAGATACAATAGGTTGTTAAAACCCTATGCTTGAAGCTCTGTCTCTGTTTTCGAATGACTGAAAGTAAATGTCAACTTCATTTGAAAACTTTCAAATTTTTTTTTGATTAAAAATAATCTTTATTTTCCCTGAGATCCTCAAAATTTTATACATGTCTCCTTTATAGCATTTCTTACATTCTAAGCTGTGTCATGCCTTCCCTCCACTTACAGACTGTTAATTCCTAGAGAATGGAGACAACGCCTTGTCTACGAGATATGGTTTGTATCATCTAGCATATTGTTTGGTGTGTGCTCAATTAATACAGTAATTTAATGTAGTACACATGCCCTTCTATGAAACCTGCAGAGGAACCACATATCAAAATACTAAAACTTTGTTATTTCCTATTTAAGTTGGAAGCATTGTTTCCTCCCATTTGTGGAACACTTTTTCTGGGGAGAAGTATATAACTAAATCAAAGTATAATTTCAGTTCTGATTCAATTTGGGCTCCTTTCCTGCTTATAGACTCAGTCCAAATTCATTTTGTATACTGTTTCTTAAAAAAAAATCGGACTTGATTTAACACATTCTGTAGTAAGAAAGGCAAAACTGCAATTTCTCATCATAGAGAAAAACACAAACCAGTGAATACTTGATAATTTGCCCCGTGCAAGGAAGATGCCTGTTATGGAAACCAAAACTAAGTGTGAAAAATCTAACATTTAATTTCTTAAAGGAAGGCCATACTTGTTATTGCTGGCAAAGTTATCCAGACATGAGGAGTTGTGACATGTTGCATCAAAATGTATATTAACGCCCTTTTCTATCCATACACAAAGGCGTCCAACTGAAGTCATTCATTCACAAAGGAAGATTTCTGGCAAAAACCATATTTATATTATTTTTGCATTAAAAATTAGAAAAATTTTGGCTGAATTTTTAAACATATTTTTTCCAATGCATTTTGATGCTTCTAGCAACATAATTCCACTGTAAAATCTGAGTCAATGGTTCTAAAAATTTCAGGAACATAAGCTTCAAGTGGAATGCTTATTAAAAATGCACATTCTCATATCACACTTGACATATTCTACATCTGCCCAGGAAATGACACTTTTAAACAACCACTGCAGGTGATTCTCCTATAGGTTGTTGTAGGTTGTCCATGGACCACATTTTGCGACAAACTGAATTCCCCCTAATATATGCAAATAAATTTAAAATCACTGGAAAGTGACTTGAAAACATTCTTTATTAAATATATAATGGCCCACAAGTTATACTAGTGGTTACTATTTAAAGTATTTAACCTCCTGAAAATAGAAGTGCTGTATTCCAAAAACTTCTTTGGGTTCCATTAGAAATGAATCAAGAGGGCAAGTAGGTTCTTATTATAAATTTCATCAGCCATCTGCTGTAGCTTTGATCAGATCAGCTTTTACGTTAATATATTTTAAATAAATTATCCTATGTAAAACAGTATTTTCACCAAAATTTGTTTGGAAAAGGATGAAATATAAAGCACGCTCAAAAACTAATATTTATTTTATTTTGTTCAAAATTTCACATTTTTTTGAGGCTGGTTGTGGTGGCTCACACCTGTAATCCCAGCACTTTGGGAGGCCGAGGTGAGTGGGTCATCCGAGGTCAGGAGTTTGAGACCAACCATGGCTGACGTAGCTAAACCCCATCTCTACTAAGAATACAAAAATTAGTCGGTCATGGTGGCACGCCCTTGTAGTTCCAGCTACTCAGGAGGCTGAGGTGGGAGAATCATTTGAACCCGGGAGGTGGAGGTTGCAGTGAGCCAAGGTTACCCCACTGAACTGCAGCCTGGGTGAGTAAGCAAGACTTTGTCTCAAAATAAAAATTCACATTTTTGTGTATTAAAAAATGGAAACCATCTCTGTATTTTAAGTAACAATTTGATTCATTTCCAATTTTTTCAGCTTTTCTTCATCTACTTCTTTTAAAAAAAATAAAGCCTGACAGAACATATAGACATTCAATTTCCTGCTTTCATTATTTTTTTTTTTGCTAAAAAAAGTGTATCAAAATTCTATTACCATGGTACCATCCATTCTTATTTCCTAATGTTATCATTAAGTTCTCTATCATATAGTTTTTCTGTGGTAAGTTGGCTTCAAGGATAAATCTCAGAACCTGAGATCCTGGATTTTATTTTTTTAAAGGAAATGTGTACAAACAGTCAGTAGCTATTTGCCATAGATGTGAGAAGAAGAAAAGTTTCTTTTAAAATGTAAATTGATGACTCTAAAAATTAAAACAAAGCTGAAAAAAATATATATTGAGCACCTAGTATGTGACAGGTGCTGTGATGAACAGAAATAACTTCAGGTCAAATGCCTGATTGTGTTTAGTTAAAAGGGACACTAATGGCAACTGCATGTCATGTGCCATGCTTTGTACTTTCATAGCACATCTCGTTTAATCCTTACAACTCAGAGAAAAATACATATAATGGATCTCATCTATGTTACAAAAGTCATATATGTTTAAAAGTAACATCTTAATGTATTTCCTATATATAATTAAATATATATGTTTTGCAGTTATATTATGGCATGGAGATGTAAAGTTGGAGCCATTCTGCTTTGATTTAAATATTTGTTTCACCAGTTATTAGCTTCGTGCCCTTGAACAAATTAGTGAGCTTCTCTAAGTATCGGTTCTTTCCCTGGAAAAACAGAGATATTCATGATCTGTATCTCACAAGGTAGTTAAGAACATCAATGAGATAATCCATTTGAAGCAAATAGTCAAGTGTTCTGCATAGAGCTAACACTTCATAAATGTCATAACTATTATTATTTTGTGAATGTATAGAAACCTACTCTGAGGTAACTCACATAATTTATTAATGGTAGTGTGGCCTGGGAAGAGAATTGTAGTAAGTGGAAGAGGATGGAGAAATTGATGAACACTTCTATTTATTAGTCTTTAATGTCTCTGTTAACATGAGTGTGTTTTGCTTTTGCAACTTAAACAGTAAATTTATTTTAAGACTAAAAGTAACACATTATTTTTCAAACCTGAGATTATTATGATTATGGAAAATATCTAATAATTTAGGCCTTTTCAGATTATACGTACTTGAAGACACCAATGCTCTTTCCATAGATTTCTAAACTCTAATTAGTGAGCTTAATGCTGGATTTATCTTTTGCTGTTTATTTTCTTTCTTAGACAATAATTTACTTTTCAGAACAGTTAATATGTATCCTGCATAACTACCCATAATAGATAATTTGGAAAAACATGTGGACTGATACAAGTTCATGAGTGCCAAAGATTTACCTTTTAACATCTCTACTCATTAACTTGAAATTAATAAAATAATGGTACATGGAGATGTTAAAAAATGATGTCTTTTTAAATTGTGACATAGTTCCAGAATTTACTTTTTATGTTTTATTTCCTTTTCCTTCCCTTTTTACCTGAGTGGAGTGATACAATGGAAAGCACAGAAAGAGTAAAGTATTAACTTAATTTTTTCAATAAAAATAATAAACCCATTACCTATGCATAAATATTGGTCAAACTAATATATTCCAATCACTTGGCTAAGTTACACATTAGTAAGACACGAGAGGGAGATATGGAATATAACATACCTACATTATATCATGATATAATATATATATATATCATGATATAATGTAGGTATGTTAAAGGAGTGTGCTGTTGTTATTGTATATAAGTAGAACAAAAAAAAGCATAGCCATTTAGAGGAGAGAGATTTCAATGGAGGCAGGTGACAGCTTTTAGTTGGATTTTGATGTGTAAGTAGGAGATGAATATATATATAGGAACAAGGAAGGGCTTCTATAAAGAAAGAATGATGAAGATGCAAGTGCTAATACCAGAGAGCCCACAAAAGGTGACTAATATTTATTTCCCTTTTACTCTGTTCCCCACCACCTACGCTATAGTCATTACCGGGAATTAGCTCAAAATGCATATTCCTAGGTCCCACTGCAAACTTTCTAAATCAGACCTTCAGGAGTCTAGACATATCTTTTAAATTAGATCCCTGGTACTCTTATGAACATTTAAATTTGAGTCCTTTTGATTCCTACTTTTTAAGTGAATAATACAATTTGATAATCATTAGGTTAGATGATGCCATGAAATGGGTACTATTTCTAAATAAATAATATGACTTTATTATAAATTTATTCACATTCTGTCTTCCCCTCTGTCTGCCCAGTATTGTCACATTTTTTTGGACGAGAGTTCTCTAGTTTCTGTGAGAAGCCAAATGCTATCAGGCTAGCATTTTGTATGTGTGCAAGGTGATGGTGTGGACAAAGGTATCTTCTAGCTGTTCTGTGGACAGCCTTGTTACCAATTATACTGATTTTAGTTCTACAGCTCATGATTGCTCTACAAATCTGCTGACTACATTGGTGACTCCTCTCGAGGGCATTGAGGGAAATAGTGGCTTTCACCTTTGATGAAGACTTCTCTGTACTAATTCTGAGCTTCTGCTATCTCTGTTTGGTCATGCCTTTAAAAATGATCCCATTTGCAATCCATCTTCTGGAAGTTTGTAAGATCTATCTGCTTATGGTACTCACTTCCCTTGTTATTACCATTATATATTCTGTGTATACATCTCAACTATAATTTCAGTGGGATTTTGGCTGAAAGGGAAGACAAATGTATGCACTTGGTTTTTCTTGAACCTGAAAATCAGACATTGTTTTAAACAATTCAACCTTTTACTAATCTGATGGATGTCAGATGGAATCTTACAGTTTATTAAATTTACATGACTTTGATTACTGGAGAGGCTGAATTTTTTTAATAATTTAGTCAGGCCATGTATGTGTTATACTTTGTGAGAGGCAGCTTAGCTTCATGGCTGACTCAGGCAAAGCAGCTGTTCACAGCTACATAAAAATATGTGTTGCCAAGCTCAGGTTTCACAGAGCCTTCCTTTAAGGCTCTCTATTCATACAAAATCTTCCTGTTAAAAGGAATACTTCTAAAAAACAGAAAAAAGGTTTTTTTCCAAGTTAGTTTTATGTTCCACTCTTCCTGAAATTTATAAGCAGTATTAATATTCTTTGCAAATCTTAGTTTTATTGATGATACAAAGGAAGTCTTCAGCCTGTCTTACTCTGGTGGGTCATCAAATATTCTCAATTAGTTGAACCTGAATCAATAGTTATTTCAATGAATAGCCTCCAATAAGAATCATTTTCCTATGTATTAAACTAGTTTCTGTCATGTAATTACTTAAAGCAAATTTCCCCAATGGAAATAAATAGCAACGACATCTTTCCAAGGTGCAAGGACAAAAGCCTTACATCATCCTTAAAACATTCTTTTCCTCAACATTTCCCATCAATTCATCAGCAATTTCCATCAAAATATATCCACAAACTCACGATTATCACCTCTGCTAATTCTAGCCTCTTTTAACTGGATTAACTGCCTTTTCTTACTCCTGTTGCCCAGGCTGGCAATCTTGGCTCACTACACCCAGGCTCAAGCTATTCTCCCACCTCAGCCTCTGAGTAGCTGGGACTACAGGCAACTGCCACCACGTCCAGCTAATTCTTGTATTTTTTGGTAGAGATGGGGTTTCACCATGTTGGCCGGGCTGGTCTTGATATCCTGACCTCAGGTGATCCACCCTCCTCAGCCTCCCAAGGTGTTGGAATTATAGGCAAGAGCCACCACTTCATGCCAGGAGTTACTGCCTTCTAATGATCCTTCTTGCTTCAGCACAGTTCTCCAGACAGCAATCTGGAGTGACCCTTTTAAAATGTAAGTCAAAATCTTGCTACCTTATTCTAAAACTCTGCAATGGTTCTGTTTCCAGTTAGAAGCCAGTGACCTACAAAATCCCATAGGATCTGGTACTGCAGTCTCTGTCTTCTCTCTCACTCTTTTCTCATTCCCTCATTCTCCTTTAATCACTCTCTACTGTCTCCTGACTATGCCAGGCATGTTTCTATTGTAGAAATTATGCACTGGCAGTTTCTTCTATCTCCTTCATTACCTTCAAGTCATTGCCCAATAATAATCTCAAAGTTGGCCTCAGATCTGACCACTGTCTTTAAAATGGAACCCCCAAGCTCCTCTCCAACCATGTTTAATCCCTAATGCATGTCTATCCTCCACCTCTGCCTTGGCATTTTATCATATTCAAATGAAGACAAAATTTTTTAATTATTTTGTTCACAAATGTATCCCACATTACCCAGAAGAGTATCTGTTAAATAACAAGTGTCCCATAATTAAATCTGGGACAAGACCACTTGATGCATATCCCATAATATCCCCAAATACCTTTGCTAGATAGATACATGCTAATGATTTTTATCTAATGCAAACAAAACAGATATACTGTTATAATTACGGACATTATCAGAACTTCTGCTACCCAGCAAATGAAAATATTTATCTGAGTAACGTTGATTTGCAACAGTGAAACACTTTTAAGATAAAAATAATAAGAAATAGTGGGAGTGATTTTGGGTACTTTTTCACCAGACTTATAAATTCTATGTAATAATTATATTTTTGAGAAAATGCATATATTGGATTAACTTTATCATTGGATATACAAAATGTATTGTAAAGCCTTGGGAAAATAGCTTCCATGCATCTGCATTTAATATTACTTAAAGTAAGTAATTTAGAAAAAGTAAGATTGCTGCTTTTGATCAGAAGAACAAATATATATTTATCTTTCTACTAATATTATTTGATTCAAATAAAAAAGCTAGTGTAAAAAAGCATGTGCAAAAAATATAAAAATATGTGTTTAACATTTGTATAAACAGTTTCTTGAAGTTAGAATTATATTCTGATAATTGCATGCCCTCAAGTAGACCAAATGGCAATTAAGCACTTGGATTTCAAGATTCGATGTGTACTCTTGCGGATGTGTGTGTGTGTGTGTGTGTGTGTGTGTGTGTGCGTGCATGCATGTGCATGTATGTGAGCAAGTGTGTATTAATTCCCAATTTCTACAAAGTATCTTTTCTAGTCATCTATCAAAAGCTTTTCCAATTAATAAATAGAAGCATCCTATAATAACAGACCATCCCTTTCACAGAACATATAAATGACAATGATGACACTTATAAACTTGATAAGGTCACATCTGTCAGAATAGATTGTTGCTTTCTGCCAAGTTTCGGTTCTACATCTCGCTCTTTTTCCCCTTCCAGTATTTATAGCCCTAGAATAATCCTACATGACTGTGTCATGCATTTATCTGAAGCCTAATAAGTATAATTTAGTTTGAAGAAAGATTTATACAGGATGAACCACAATAAGTAATATGTACATTTAAATATATCTTTGCTAAAATGTAATGTTGATCAAACCTAAGTGAAAACTTCTTTAGTTACTAACCTTTGAAAAAAATTTTTAGAGCACACAGCTGTTAGAAAATGATTAGAATTTACCAAGGAATATTCTTGTGACATGCAGCCTCAAGATGTCACAAAAACAGTGGCTGGGCTGAGAAAACACATCTTTGTTCAGTTGTGAAAAGATCTTTCATGACCATAATACAGTCTGGGTGTCATGCTCAGATGCTGTAGAGATTAGCTTTTTATTCTGTGCTTCCATTGAAAACTTCCATTTTCCGTTTAAAAATCTTGCCACAGGAAAATGAATATGGCTGAATTGAGGGATTGGTTCTGCCATTCACGTACTGTGGGCTTGCATTCAGAATGTAAAGAGAGAGGGAAGAAAGGATGCGGATGACTGAGTATGATTCCCATTGATGGGGCTGGGAGCTACCTTTATCTGCTGCCAACTATTTAGTTTATGGCTTGTGGTGCTTTAGCAAGAGATGGAGAGAAATGCTAGTTGATTGTGAGATTTTTTTTCATTCCATTTTTTATTGATACTATTCCCATCTTATATTCTAGTTTGGTTTCTTTCTTTCCAACTTTTCTGTCTCCAGTCTGTCTCTTAACCTTTGTGAGCCTTTCATCATATGTACAGTCATGTTTTCTGCACTCCATTTTCTTCTAGTCTTAACTCTCCACATGGCTTTTCCAGCTTTCTGTTTCACCTCCATCCTCTATTATTCACTGAATTCACTTGGGATGGTCTCTGGTATCTCCTTCTTCCATTGCCCATGTCCAGTTATTTGCTGAGTCTATTACAGTGCATCTCTTTAATGCCTCTTACCTCTATTCTTGAGTTTCTTTTGGCTGTTCTAACATATTTTTATTATGATTTGCTGAGAATAGTGCAATAGTTTACCAGGTGGTCTTTCTGATTCTTCTCTTTGCCTTAAACAACACAAACTAAAACTGACCAATTAAAAAATCTTTATTATTGAATATCTAATCAACTTGGTACATGACTTTCGGACTTCATTCAGCTTCTTTAAAAGGGCCAAGCAACTTTCTCACTTCTTCAACTTCTCTTCTCTCTAAGTTGAACATCTCCCTGTTTCTCCAAATTTCAGTATATTTGATCTACTCCGTGATCTTTGATCTTCTCTTTTTTCTGTATCTAAATTATGTTTTAATTCATGATATGCCATAAATATGGACTCTTCCCTCCTTTAATCCTTCATGATATTTGCCGGCCCACTTTAAAACAAATGTAAGGTTTTTGCTTTGTTTAGGAATTACTTCATCTCTTGCCCAAACCTCCTACTACAATAAACATTTTAAAGTCAAGGACGTTATATTGCCAACTGTTGTTTTCACCTTTTTTAACCTAGCATAATGCTTTACTTTAGGAAGGAGCTCAATATATTTTATTTGAATTAAACTGCCCTGATTTAGCTCTATATCCATGACATTGGATTGATATAACTTAATACCTCTGGCTTCAGATAAACGTTTGGGGGCTGCCCTCAAGCCCTAGGAAAGTGTATAGACATACCTACATATTTTGATGTATTATGACCAAAGTAATGGGGCAGTTTTTGTCTCTTCCCAGCTGACTTAACTTTGTCCAAAAATATATAGTCCGAAAGACCTATCACTAGTAGCTCATAATGACACAATGTTTTAACTGGTGTGACTACTCAGGTGTTGCTTTTGCTAGGTCTTACTTCTAGGGCAGTTTTAAGCCATGAGGCACTAAATACCACTGGATACATCCTGCTAGGCCCAGGAGTGCCTTAGATCCTGGGAGATAAGGAGAGTAAATCTAAAACTTTTGTGGCATTGGTTGGCATAAGTAACTGCTATAGGTTTTATTGATAGATGTCAAAAATACAAAATTTGTATATTCTTTGGGGATTCTATTTTTGTTTTTGTTATTATTCAGGATAATCTGTGAAGCACTTTCTAATTTTAGAAATTGTCTTGATATGGCTATATATCCTCTGATATTTGACCTTTTAATTAGTACCATATAATCATCAATATATGTAGATCACATGCCTTTACATGTCAATAAAAGCACAATGGCACAAAAAATTGAATGGAATTATGACAGGCATTGCAGTAAGAGTGAAACGTTACAAATTGGACTAGTGATGAGTGAATGAAAAACTAAGAACTGTCTAATTTAAACAGGGAAAAACAAAGGACAGTGTATTTTTCTCACATTTGACTCATTAGTTGTCAATCTTATATCTTATTATACTTAAATTTGATGTCAGACCTGTGTATAACAAGATATTTGATTGACAAGGCAAGTTTTTACACATGGATGTGATGTTATACTCATGTGTAACTGGGTATTTGATTGACATATGAAAGATATCAATATATCTTTATATTTCCAACTAAGAGTTAATATCCAAAAGCAAAATGAAAGATAGCAATCATTTGATTATGCATTGTTATCTTGTTTCATATTTCTTTTGGTCAATATGTAGTTGTCATAAAATTAATTTTACTTTAATATAGATGTTAGAGGATCTTATAGTATCATATATGACAAATTTACTTAAACATTGAAGTATATATACTGTGAACCTTGTCCCATTCCTTGACATATTAGAGTCTCATTACAATATAACTTGTTATTGTATGGATTCGGATATAATAAAAATAAAATGATATTCTGAAGTATAGCAGTCAATTTAATGTGAATACAAAAGTATCAGACTGAGACACCACAATAATAGTGTTATTCAAGGTTATGATTAGATTTCTTTATGATTTTAATTATTTTAAATTGTGTTTCAAATGCTAAGCATGAAATAAGTCATGAAATTATGCTTGTTTTGAGTAAAAGTCTGAATGTATTTTCATTTAAACTTGGACATTTTCAAAGTATTTTTTAAAGCAGCAGAGAGTATTTTAAAGTACATCAATAAGTATCACACCAAAACAGTGTGCCCTGGTTAATAAATGTTGACTTAAGCAAAATTGAACATGTTTCTTTAGTACTAGACTTCTCAGAGTGTTTGAAATGCTAATATGAACTGTGAATATCCAAGTATGGGAAATAATATCATGTTCCCCAAACTTCTTTGAAGTAAACTCTTCCTGGAGAGCAACAAGTGGAAGCAAAAGAGATTTTTTAAAAAAAAACATATTTCGGGAAATACTGCTTTGAGCATTTTTTCCTTTAAGCTCCCTGAGGGTGTGGAATTTTCCTGAGGACAGGACAGGGAGCTTCCATTCTCTTCTCCTTACAGTCTTCACCACAGCCTGGCCAAGGATTAGAGAGTACTCAAAATACTCATGTTGAACTGGACTGGACTGAACTGATCTGGATGATAGCCCTCTTGATACAAAATAAATTGGAAAAGAGAAATGTTTCTACGGACTGTAAAATGTTTACAGAAATTTAAAATAGACCACTGAACACTGATCATGTTTGGCAGGTCATGGTTCCTCACTTCCTCCATCTCTGATAAGTTTGTGACATTAGAAATGTATGAACAGATATAGGTTTCATAGGCTAGCAGTTTGTATAGGTTCATTAGAAATTGTTAACTTATATATATCATGTTAATCTATTGTATCAAGACATTGTTTTTCAAGGAATTGAGTAGTTATACACAATTATTACTAATACATTTTAAACACTTGTGCATTTGAAACAGGTTGATAAAATTTAATATCAGTACAAATGTAAAGTCATTCAAGATCAGCATTCAAATTCAGGAAATATAGAGAACACCGCAAAGATGCTCCTCGAGAACAGCAGCCCCAAGACATGTAATCGTTAGATTCACCAAAGTTGAAATGCATGAAAAAATGTTGAGACCAGCTAAAGAGAAAGGTCTGGTTACCCACAAAGGGAAGCCCATCAGACTAACAGTGGATCTCTCTGCAGAAACCCTACAAGCCAGAAGAGAGTGGGGGCCAATATTCAACATTCTTAAAGAAAAGAATTTTCAACCCCAAATTTCATATCTAGTCAAACTAAGCTTCATAAGCAAAGGAGAAATAAAATCCTTTACAGACAAGCAAATGCTGAGGGATTTTGTCACCACCAGGCCGGCCTTACAATAGCTCCTGAAGGAAGCACTAAAAATGGAAAGGAACAACTGGTACCAGCCACTGCAAAAACATACCAAACTGTAAAGACCATCGGCACTATGAAGAAACTGCATCAACTAATGGGCAGAATAACCAGTGAGCATCATAATGACAGGATCAAATTTACACATAACAATATTAACCTTAAATGTAAACAGGCTAAATGCCCCAATTAAAAGACACAGGCAAATTGGATAAAGCATCAAAACCCATCAGTGTGCTGTATTCAGGAGACCCATGTACAAAGACACACATAGGCTCAAAATAAAGGGATGGAGGAATACTTACCAAGCAAATGGAATGCAAAAAAAGCAGGGGTTGCAATCCTAGTCTCTGATAAAACAGACTTTAAACCAACAAAGATCAAAAAAGACAAAGAAGGGAATTATGTAATGGTTAAGGGATCAATGCAACAAGAAGAGCTAACTGTCTTAAATATATATTCACCCAATACAGGAGCACCCAGATTCATAAAGCAAGTTCTTAGAGACCTACAAAGACACTTAGACTCCCATACAATAATAGTGGGCGATTTTAACACCCCACTGTCAATATTAGACACATCAACGAGACAGAAAATTAAGGACATTCAGGACTTGAACTCAGTTCTGGACTAAGTGGACATAATAGACATCTACAGAACTCTCCACCCCGAATCAACAGAATATACGTTCTTCTCAGCACCACATCACACTTATTCTAAAATTGACCAGATAATTGGAAGTAAAACACTCCTTAGCAAATGCAAAAGAACAGAAATCATAACAAACAGTATCTCAGACCACAGTGCAATCAAATTAGAACTCAGAATTAAGAAACTCACTCAAAACTGCACAACTATGTGGAAACTGAACAATCTGTTCCTGAATGATTACTGGGTAAATAACGAAATTAAGGTGGAAATAAATAAGTTCTTTGAAACCAATAAGAACAAAGACACAATGTATCAGAATCTCTGGGACACAGCTGAAGCAGTGTTTAGAGGGAAATTTATAGCACTAAATGCCCCCAGGAGACAGCAGGAAAGATCTCAAGTCATACACAGTTTTTTTTTCCCCCAAGGTTTCTCTTTCTTTTAGAACTTAGAATCAAAGAACTGGAAAAGATTAATAGAATTCCTGCCTCAGGTAGGATCATATTAGATCATTCCTGACAGAAGCAAACCTAATTTTCATTCCCAATTGGCTTTGCTCCCTCAAGTGAATTATTCTATCATCTTGTTCATACCTGATAAATTTCAATACATTTTTGATTACCTTTTCCTTCTAGATTTTCTAAGGCAGTTTCAAATCTTGATCCAAATCTCATCACCATATTATCATGCCAAAGTCATTGATAATAAACCTTGTAAAGCACTGTTTATGCAGTTATCTCTTTCCTCCTGTGACCAAGATTGGCCTCGTTCCAATCATAAACAATTGAACATGACTAGGAATAGATGATTCTACAAATCAAACTGAACAAATTTGCATTGTGCCAGTATGCAAGACATTGTCCAATATTTCTATTGATATTTCTCCATACTTGTATATAATAACTGGAAGTGCTTGTTTTTTTATAATCCTTCTGGCCAGTTACCCTTTAGGGTAGTAGTTCAGCACTATGGGTGAACACATGGATACATCCATGTAATCCAACATCTGATTATCCAGTTAACTCAGAACATGGACCCATGTCTAATATGAAAATGAGGTCTATGAAATTTCTTGGCTTTATATTTAAAATATTGTTTCAGACTTGGAGATGTGTGGACATGGCTCTTTTGTAATGCTGTGAACACTCATGAGTAGGATGCCTGTGAGGTTTTTGAGAAAATTATATCAGCATAAATGCTGCTGGCTTGGACTGAAAGGCACTTAGACAGTATGAAATAGACAATATAAAAATGATTCCATTTGAGTCCAAAATTCTACTGTCAGGAAGAAGGAAAAGAAAACCACTCAGCTGTATGCATGTCTCATGACAAAGAAATGACAATTGATTGCAGAACCGAATATGCATAGGGTGGAGCTGAAAGTAATGGAATTATTCCCAGGCCATGAGCCCTAATAAGTGAACTGCCAAGATTTTCCCAGCTGGATTTGGAATTGCTATGAACCAGTGACTTGCTTGGCCTACCGTTTTTCTCTTTTTTGAACAAAAATGTCTATAGCATATATAGCAAAAACACTCTAAGGTGGTCCCATGATCTCTACCTCCTGGATGTTCATACCTTATGTAACCTCTACACCTAGAGTGTGAGTAGGACCTGTGAGTAGCTTCCATCCAGTAGACCATGACAAATGTATGTGATGTTACCCTGCGATTATATTTCCTTTAAAAATTTTTGTATTGCTAGAAGGTTCTTTCTTGTTTTCTAGCTGGCTTTAAAGATGTAAGCTATTATATGCTGCCTAAGTAAAGGGCCATGTGGTAGGGACTGTGGGAAGCCTCTAGGAGCCAAGAGTGACCTCGTGCTGCTAGCCAGCAACAAGTAAGTCCCAACGTCATATAGCTGTGAGAAAATGAATTCTGCCAATATTTTAGTCAGCTTGGTAGTGGATAATTCCCCACTTGAGCTCCAGATGAGAATTCATGCCTGGTCAACATCTTGATTGCAGCCTTGTAGAGGACCAGTTAAGTCATACCTGAATTGCTGACCTATAGAAAGTGAAACAATAAATGTGTGTGTAATTGTTATGGACTGATTCCTTGTGCCTCTGTTCCCCCCTTATCCATATGTTGGAATCTTAAGTCCCAATATAATGATATTAAAAGGTGAGGACTTTGGAAGATAATTAGGTAATGAGTGAAACCCTTATAAACAGAATTAGTGCCCTTATAAAAGAGACTCCAGAGAGTTTGCTCTGTGCTCTCCACCATGTGAGGATACAATGAGATGGCCATGTTTAGATAAGAAAATGGGCCCTCGCCAAACACCAGACCTGCTAGCACCTTGATCTTGGATGTCTCAGCCTCCTAAACTATAAGAAATAAATTTCCGTTGTTTATAAGCCACCCAGTCTATAATATTTTATTGTAGCAGCACACATTGACTAAGACAGTTACTTTAGGAAGCAAAGTTTTGGTAATTTTTTATAAAGTAACAGAAAGCTAACACATTAGTTATACTGTTCCTGTCCTGCGATTATATGTTGAGTGTGTCAGGGCAGATAGCTTGTCTTTTTAGTTTCACAGGTCCATATATCAAGAGAACCTGTACTTTGGCTACTTCATCTGCATTGGGACCCAATTTAGGTGAAAAGATTCTGTACTCTGAGCTGATGATGTAATGAGATGAGACCTTTAGAAGCCTTGGAAGGGGATAAGTACAGTTTGCAAGTGGGAAGAATGTGAATCACTGGGGGTCATCTTGGAGGCTAGAAAACACATAGTCTCTAAATTTTTATTATGATTTATTCTACTTAATACTATAATAAAGAAATTATACTTAATATAATTTCTTTAATTAGGGTTTAAGTCTGCCATCTTACTATCTTATGTACCACCTAGTATGTGTTTTAATAATTCCATTCCCTATTTTGACCTTTGCAATTTTTGTTAGTATTTTAGTAGTTGCCCTGAAGATTATGGCATGTACCTTTGTGTTATTAAATAAAATGTAAATTATAACTTATTCTACTTCCTAGAAAATGCAACCACCATAGAACACTTTAACTGCTTTTATACTGTCTTCTTGTCTTTTGCACATATTATAATTACATATCCTTAATAAAATAACACTAACACACATATTTATATATTCAAATGTTTCAAGATAGTATTATTATTGTTTTATAGGTAAATTTTTCTTATAGTTACCCATAATTTTTATTATTTAAATCCTTTTTGTTACTGCATTTCTGAGCATCCAAGCAGAATCTTTTTTTCTGTCCGCAGAGCTTTCTTTAGAGCATTTCTTCTGAATTTGAATTCTTTCAGCTTTTGGTTGCCTAATAATGCTATATTTAACCTTCATTTTCTGAAGCATATTTCAACAGGAAATAGAATTCTAAGTTGTTTTCAGGTTTTTTTTTTTTTTTTTTTTTTTTTTTTTTGCTTTCAAAAAGAATTTAGTTTACTTCTGGTAGTCATTTAGAATGAAGCCAAATCACTTCTGTTCAATCAATGATAAGTCTGATTAAAAGCTTGGCTTAAATCTTTATGAGAACTGGTTTTGTTTTTTGATTATCCAGCTTCTAAGATGTAGACGTTTGAAAGCTAACTGAAACCTTGGATGTTTACTAGGAAACTTTCTTTTTGATGAGCTCAGAACTCTAATTCTTTGCATCCTAAAATTTTGCTGAACTTCTTACCCTCTGTGTCTACTTTCTCAGTTTCTTATCATCTCGGTTTCTCAGCTTCTTACATTCAAATAATAGCAAATATTTTGAAAGAAAGTAGATACCAAATATCTGGATCACAACTCTGGCCTTCCCTTCTTTCTAGGATCTTGTATACGCTAGTCTACTGCTTTAATAGATCACCAATGTTCTCAAATAGATGATATTTCTATTATTCTATTTTTAAAGATCTTTCCAGTAGGCGATCTGGTCTGAAAAAACCTATCCCATCATGGCTGGAACTGGAAAAATGTGCTTTCTACATCAAGCCCACTGTAATCTTACTTTTTTCCTTACAACCAATGAAATGATGTTTTTCAAGGTTTTTAATGACATCCGTGTTTCTTATTCAATTAATTTATTATAATACTGCTATCTACATATTTTGATACAGTTGATATTCTCCTTGGACATCTTTCTTCATTTGGTTTCTGGTGTACCACGTTCTCCTTCTTTTTTACCTCCTACCACTCTGTTCACTCCTTCTCACTCTCTCTCACTGATTTCCATTCTTCCTCTATACCACAGGTCAGCAAACTTCCTGTAAAGGGCCAATACTAAGTATTTTAGGCATTGTGGATTTCATAGAGTTTCTGTCCCCTAGTTTTCTTCCTTTGCTGCTTATGCTACCACTGCTGCCTCCTACTCTTCCTCTTCTTCTTTTTGTTTTCACAACACTTTAAAAGTTAAAAAAAAAAAAGACCAAAACAACAACAAACAAACAAAAACTCTTAAGGACCATACAAACAGAGGCCATTGGTTGGCTTTGGCCCACAGGCCATGATTTGCTGACTCTTGCACTAGACTTTTAACCCTGGAGCAGCCAAAGCACAGTTCTTGAACTCTGTCTTTTTATCTACAGACATTACCTTGGAGACCTCACCCAGTGTCGTGGTTTTGAATTACATTTATATACTGGTGGCACCATAATTTATGTTGGAAGCCAAGACTTCTCCTTGAAGTACAGACTCACTTATCTAATTGCATAATCAAATCTCCACTTGGGTATCTACCAGGACCTCTAACTTTACATGTCCAGAATTAAACTTCTTACCTTCATGGCTTCCAAAATGTTTCCATTGTAGTTTTCATTATATCAGTTAATACCTTCTAAGATCACTTCTAACTTAGGTTGAATTTCTACCAGACCCAAATCCTGGGAATGATTTGAGTGCCAGTAGCTGTTTTGGATGTGATTCCAGGAAACTATAGTAGGAAGTGGGGAAATGAGACAAGAAAGGGAAGGCAGCTAGTAAGAGGTACATAATCAAGGAAGTTTCCACAATAGGCAACTGGTGGTAAATTGCCCTGGGGAAATCTGGAGCTCTTGTAAAATACATGTGTCAGCTTCATTCCACTTCAGAAATAACAACACTGTGGTATTTATATACCAACTCCGGTCTGTTATTGGTGTGGGTGCTTGTCCAAGGGGAGAAAGTGGATATTGTTGGGCTTCTGCATGCATGGGACAAGTTAGCTCCAGTCCCAGATAGCCTTCAAGCAAAGATATGTTGATGCTGGCAGTTAGAAGTTAAATGGCATGAACTGAACTATAAGATCCAGGAAATATGGGCAAGGCACTGCTGTTATCTTCTGTACCCTTTAATGCCAACATGGCTCTGGGCTGCCATAATCTCTCTCTAGATTCTTGCAGTTGTCTCCTATCTGTTGTCTAAATTTCCACTTTTACATCCCTTTAGAGTGCTCTCAACACAACAGTCAGAGGAATGCTGGTAAAACATAAGACAAATTGTGCCTTTTCCGTGCTCAAAACCCTCTGTTGGCTTCCCATATTGCACAAGATAAAAGCAAAGTCCTTGTAATGAGATTGCAGGTCTTATAAGATCTGCCTCAATCTCTCTAACTTCCTCTTCTACCACTTCTCTTCCCTACCATTTTGATCCAATGAATGGGCCTGTTTAATTTTTAAACATAAAAAAGCAGGCAATACCTTAGGCCTTTGCATCATTGCCCCTTCTGCCCTTATGCCTAGAAATCCCTTCCCCCAGACAGTGACATGACTTTTTCCACCTCTCTCTGTTTTTTTTTTTTTCCTCTTTTTTTTTTTTTTTTTTTTCCTCTGAGGTGGAGTCTTGCTCTGTCACCCAGGCTAGAGTGCAATGGCTCAATCTGGGCTCATTGCAGCCTTCACCGCTTGGGTTCAAGCAATCCACCCTCCTCACCCTCCCAAGTAGCTAGGATTACAGGCTTGCACCACGCCCAGCTAATTTTTTTGTATTTTTAGTAAAGATGGGTTTCACCATGTTGGCCAAGCTGGTCTCAAACTTCTGACCTCGAGTGATCCGCCCGCCTTGGCCTCCCAAAGTTCTGGGATTACAGGTGTGAGTCACCATGCCCAGCCCTCTTTCTGATCTTGACTCCAATATCTCCTCAGTTTGTCTGTTAAACTCAAAATTACCCCCAATCCCTATTTCTTTCTCTACTTAATTTTTCTCCCTTACCTTTATCACTAACATTCTAAATATTTTAAAATTAATTTTGTTTATTAATTTTGTTTATTCTTTCTCCATCCTCTAGAATGTGAGCATCACCAGGACAGTTTTTCTTTGTTTGCTTTATTCACTTCTTTATCTTTGATACATGAGAGTCAATCAACATGTTTTTTACTGAATGAATGAAAGAAGCAGTTTAGAACTTAGTTACTGAAAATGACCCAGAGGTTGCTTTTTAATTTCTTAAGAGGCAAGGTAACATTTTTCTTAGGAAATTTAATAGTCCAATTTAGTAAAATGTTTTTCTTTTAACATAGTTATACTGTAACATCCTTAAAGTCATGATGTGGTCAAATTTGTGGCCTTAATCCCAGTATTGTTCACTTAGGTTGTTATAGTACATGATGTGATATTTATTATTAATTAAGATACACTTTGAAAGCCAGATTATTTTTAAAATTGTGATTTTTCCATGAATCCTTTTATACATTACAGGCTTAATACTATTTTATAAATTAAATAGAAAAATTTGAGAGTAATCTGTTTGGCATACTACTGTCCTATTTTTACAAAAGTTTTATTATAATAACTACATTTAATTTTTATCTTCATATGCCATATTATCTTCTTATAATTGTATTGGACATTTTGGAAACCTTCTGAATCAAATTGACAAATGTGATTTTGCTCTGATGTTTAGTGATTTTATTTATTGTTGTTATTTTACTACACGTAGTTATCTCCTTTCTATAACTTGCCATTTCTCCAATTTTTTAAACAATGCATTCCTGCTATAAAAGACAAACAATATAGAAATGCATTAAATAAAAAGTAAACATTGCTCTTATTCCTACTCTACAAAAGGAGTAGTTAACCACTTAGTATATATGCTTATTTATATACTTAGTTTATATGATTTCTTTCTAGACACATAGAAGCATATACTTTTGATATTATTTTATATTTTTACATAGGTATGTATACCTTTATGAAATTAGTACTATATGATTTATTATTTATTTATTTATTTATTATTGTTGTAAGAACATTTAACATGAACTCTGTCTTCTTAACAATTTTTTTTTTGACACAGGTCTCTAACCCAGGCTGGAGTTCATTGGCACAATCTCAGCTCATTACAGCCTTGACCTCCTGGACTCAAGCCATCCTCCCACCTCGGCCTCCCAAGTAGCTGAAACCACAGGTATGTGCAACCACACCCAGCTAATTTTTGTATTTTTTGTAGAGAGGAGGTTTTGCCGTGTTGCCCAGGCTGGTCTCGGACACCTGAGCTCAAGCAATCTGCCCACCTCGGCCTCCCAAAGTGCTGGGATTATAGGCATGAGTCGCCAGGCCCAGCAACAAAATTTTATGTATGCAATACATTAATTTTAACTATAGGCACAATGTTACACAGCAGAACTCTAGAATTCATTCATTTTGTATGACTACAATTTTAGTACTCTATAACTTAAAAGAATAATTATGATATTGATGAGATTGACAATCCAATTATAATCCCATTTGTATTGGTTACTATCATCAGATCTGGATATGATTTTGAATTTTACAGACTTTATTTTTATTCAGATATGATTTTGTATACACAAAGATTAAACTATGATTTTACCATGACTCGGGGATAAATTCTAAACAGCAGCATATATGTTGAGAAGGCAATACGATAACTGTGAAAAAGTAAGTTGTCCTTTAGTGTTTGAAACTTGACAACTACAAAAACTGTGAAGACTGAAGAGAGATAACTTGTATAAAATATAAAGAAATCCTAACCTTTTTAAAAAAGAACTATCTTTATGAGTGAGAAGAAATAACTTATAAAGTATGTAGCCATGAGCAAGTCATCCTATCTTTTCTTTCATAAAGATGTATGTCGTAATAGATCAACTCTCTGCCCCTGCTTTACACATTCAATGTATATTTTTTCCTCCTCTATTCTTTGGTACTGAAATTACTTTAGAGGGTAGTTAAAGAAAATTGAAAGTGTTTTGGAATGTGTAAGAATACAAGTTCAGACTGCAGTGAAACCTTTAATAACTTGTGAATTATGTCATCTGTGAAATAACAATAGATGACAAACTCAGCTATGAGCAGAGTAAAAGCATCCTTTTCTTTTAGAAAAAGAAAATAATCTAGTTTCTTTCTGGAGTTGTGATTAGCTTTAGATTTTCAATGTTCGTTTTGCAAAGATTTAATATACCATGAAGTATACCTTAGATACAATAAAGATATTGTATTTAGTAGAGTCTGGGGTTCAAGTACCAGTTTCTTATGTGTTAAACCTGCTTGGGTGGTCTCATGTTAGGAAAGAATTCCATTTGTATCTACCTAGAAATTTTACTGAGAGACCGATTTCTGCTACTACATGTATACTAGATTTTCTGATAAAGATTTTTTAAATCAGAAATCCATCATGTATTATTGCTAATACTGCCCACTTGATACTAAATTATTTTCTCTTGGGTGACTAATAAACATCTCATACCTGAATTCTTCAAGACAGATGACTTGTTTTTCCCCAAACCTGTCTCTCTATGTTTTGTACTTCACAGTAAATCATGTCACCGTTTATCAAGATGCCTAAGCCCAAATTCTGAGAGTCATTTTTTATTCCTCCATTTCTTTACTACAAACAATGAATAAAATATATAAATATGTAAAATAAAATATATAAAAATCTAACCTCTTGTCGCTGGACCTTCTACCAATGCTCTTATAATTGTGCTACTATTGCAAAATACTTGAGCCTTTGGCTAGTAATAGAGGAGGTGAATTAGTGATAGGGCGAAGATGAAAACATGCAATTATAATTTATTTTAATCATAGATTAAAGATACATACTTTCTTTTCTGCTTTTCTATCTTACCTATACAGAATGAATTAGACTAATCTAAGTGGAGAACAGCTTGGTGTGGACACTGGGAGATATTGCAGACTTTTTCTGCTTTTATTTTCTCCAAACCTACTCTTCCCTCATTTCTCTTTTCTTTCCCACTTATGAGAAAACAGAAACAAAACATTGAACATTGGCCAGCTTACTTTTTGATAATATATTCTAACACCATAGCATTATTTTTTAATCACGATTAACATTATACTGTTCTTTGTGTTTCGTTCCAAGACAAAATTATGACTGCTTTATGGTAAAAAGTTGTATCTTCAGCAGATAGATGAAAATACTTCCTGCCTATTTCCCCTGGCAAAATTGCCTATGCATAGGTTTGTAAGCCTTAGAGCCAAATATTCAGATAAAAATTAATGAGAAAATATACTAAAACAAAGCATTTTTAAATACCACCTGATATTCTGAGGGTTATTCGTTAAATTACGATTCTTTATACCCCAAAACACCTTACAACAGAATTCCTGGCTTTCAGAAATGTTTCCCTTTGTGTTGAACATGTAATTAAACTTTTAAAAGTCACATGTGTGAAACATTCTTTGCTAAGAGATTATTATCTTCATCTCCTCCTTTAAATTTTGGTTATCAGAAATTCTCTTTGAAAATATCTGTTTTATTGGTTTACAGGTCTGTGTTCAGTCTGGCAGTCAGATTGCACATATCTGTTAGTAATACCCACGGAATAATACATCTCTGTGAAATATCAGGTTAGAAGCAATCCAATTGCATCGTGTAGCACAGTAAAAAATTAAACTGATATCTAGCAGAATTCAGCATTCTGTTTGTTGCACTTTCATCATAAACCTGTGTCAGCTTTATTCCTTTGGAAATCTCAGTCCAAATAATCTCTTCTCTGTTTTGAGTTCTATTTATTTTCTCCTTGGGAAAAATGACCACTTTGCTTCTTTCTCCCATGAACTATGAGTGTTTACAGTATATGGTTCAATTTATGCCTTCTACTTTATAGCCTTGTGATTAATTTCTCAAACTCAATATTTTCCCCTTGTTTATACTTCAGGTTGCCATCCACAAAATCTTAAAGGATAGTCCATAAAAAGTTATATTATTTAGAAAACAGAATATTTATCCATAACCCCAGTCAATCACACTTATATAACTACATTTATTTTTGCATGTTCCCTTCTCATCTTTTTTTTTTTGCCATCAATCTGTTTATATGTGTCACTGATGTTATTCTGAGTTTTCACTTGGCAATATTTAATAGACATTATACCATAATCTTTGTCATAATCACTTTAAAATTTTAATAACTGTTTGAATTAGTATTACCTAATAAGCATCTTGCCTTCAATTTTACAATAATCACTGAAAACATTTTAATTCCTCTTCAATATTCCATACAGTGTATATGCCATAATTGAAGGAGCCATTTCCTTGATGCTTGTTATTTAGGTTTCTTCCAGTTTTCTCTAACTTAAATTATGCTCCAATGAAAAGCTTTCATATCTATGGAAACAGACACAGTAAAAAAGAGAGAATGACAATGCCGTAAAATGTTAGCATTTGGATAGCAGGTGAAGAGTATACAGGAATTCTTTGAAATATTTATGCAACTCTTCTATAATACTGAAATAATCTCAAAATAATATAAATGTATATGTGAATCAGTGGAATTATTGGGTCAAATGTCACATTTTGAAAACCTCTTTTTATATTGTCTTTTTATGCCAATAAATGGTATAACAGTATGTGAATATCTGTTTCATTGCTCAATTAACAAGTGATCTATGAATAATCCATGTAAAAAAGAGATTTTTACTCTTTGCTGTATTCAGCAACAAGTTCTGAATTGGAAATGAAAGGCTGTGAAAATGTAAATAGTGAGAGATAAGGGGAGAGGGAAGAGATATTGCATTTAGAGGAACATATATGCCAATTTTTTTTTTCCAGTTATCTTTGGAAGTACTCACACAAGAGAACAAGAGTGAGAATAACAATAGATTGATTTATCCTTTTTGGTGAGTTTCTATCTGGGCATATATTTTCTTTTTTTTTTTTTTTTTTGAGACAGCGTCTGGCTCTGTCACCCAGGCTGGAGTGCAGTGGCGCGATCTTGGCTCACTGCAAGCTCCGCCTCCTGGGTTCACGCCATTCTCCTGCCTCAGCCTCTCAAGTAGCTGGGACTACAGGAGCCCGCCACCGCTCCCGGCTAATTTTTTGTATTTTTAGTAGAGACGGGGTTTCACTGTGTTAGCCAGGATGGTCTCGATCTCCTGACCTCATGATCCACCCGCCTCGGCCTCCCAAAGTGCTGGGATTACAGGCGTGAGCCACCACGCCCGGCCTGGGCATATATTTTCTGTAAAGCAACCCCACTATTGTTAGTAAGATTTGAGACATTGCTATATGCAAAAATCATAGAATCAAATAATTTAAAGCAAGTGGAACTAGAATTTAGAGATTCCCCAACCCAACTCCCATGATTTTACTGATAAAAATATGAAAACCTAGGATTAAAGGGCAAAGTTAAGTTTACAAAATTAATCAACAGTAGAGCCATTTCTATAACAAAATCCTCTTTACTAATATTCTTGGGCTTTTTCCATAAACACCACCATCTTAGTGATATGGTTTGGCTCTGTGTCCCTATGCAAATCTCACCTTGAATTGTAATAATCCCCACGTGTCAAGGGTGGAAACTCGTGGAGATGATGGAATCATTAGGGTGGTTTACCCCATGCTGTTGTCCCTGATAGTGAGTTCTCATGAGAGCTGATGGTTTTATAAGAGGCTTTCCCCTTCGCTTGGCTCTCATTCTTTTTTGTACCATCCTGTGAAGAGGTGTCTTCTGTCATGATTGTAAGTTTCCTGAGGCCTCCCCAACCATGCAGAAATGTGAATCAATTAAACCTCTTTGCTTTATAAATTACCTAGTCTCGAGTATGTCCTTAAAGCAGCAGAAGAACAGACTAATACACTTAGTCTATAGAAGGACAGCACATACTACTATTGTCATGTAAAACTGACTTCCAGTTTCACGGCGGTTCTTTCAGTTTTTAGTAGTTCTAGGACTTCTTTAAATCAGTGGACTATATAAATTATTTAAAGTTCTTAAAGCAAATATATGAATGTGAACACAGGCCAGTGTTCATGCTACACAAAATTATTTTGAAGAGCAGTGGAGTTCACTTAAGAAATATTTACAATTGGAGAACTCCATTAGATATACTCTGCTGATTTTTCTGCAAATATATATTTTGACTACCTATTATATGTCACTTGCTCTGTCTTTTAGGTGCTGGGTACTGGGGATGCAATATAAAATGAAAGCTAATCTGGCTTTCATGGAAGTTACACTTTATTGACGAACTTGCATTCAAGTGGGCACCAGCCTAGTGTGAACTAGATAAATTGCTCTTAAATTTAATTGCAATTAATTGTTAAGATAATTTCCATGATCTTGGTTCTGAGGGAAAACCCTATAAATCTATAGGAAGAAGGGTGCTTAGAATCACCATTTGTAAAAATAAAAGCTTGAGAAGGAAAGATAGAAATATCCTTTCATGGTAGCCTGTTATCTTGCATTTTACAGAGTTGTTAACCATTTTAGTGCTAAAGAAATGCTAATTCACTTACCAACTTATTTATTTTTAGCATTTTGTACTTTCATTTTTCCTTCCACCAGATGTTAGAAGTATGACTCACTGCCTTCTAGCCCAAATCAGGGGGCATCATCATCTGAGATCCTTTTGGTGACTGAGAGCTTAACCAGATTTACCTCTGCTTAAGCCACCAAATTTACACTCATGCATTTTTCACAAGGCAGCAGCCCATCCTAGAGCTTCCGGTGGTTTGCTATTACAAAGAAACATGGCAACTGACATTTTTGGCATACATGAACATGTACACTTGTGGAATAAATACAGAAAAGATTCAGACTTGAAAGGTTTGTAAGTTACTAATTGGATGGACACTGTCAAAATGTCCTCCAAGGCACCTACACCAATTTATGTACTGACCAACGGTATATGAAAGCACCAGTTTTTCCAAACACTTGTCAAAATTGTATGTGCCAAAAACTTGTCCTTGGAAATGTTTTTGTAATATTGTTTTACTTTTTATTTAACCAATTATAATTAATTGGGTAAATTCGGATATCACTTGATATCTGAAGAGGTGTAGATTCCCTAAATTTCTGGATAGTTTGAGCAGGTTCTGAAAAAAGTAGTGCTTTTAGTTTTTTAATTTGGAGACTGAATTTTCACTTATTTTAGAAAAAGAAAGATTGTTAAATTAAAAAAATGTAGTTATTTGATGTTTGGAATACTGTTAGCACATCTCTTTCCTCTTTGACAAAAAAAATCCTTATTTTGGATATGTGGATATTTCTATTGACTTTGGTACTTTGGATTCATAGAAGTGTGGGTGTTCTTCCATGAATAAGAATGAGATGAGTTCATGTAAAAGTATTGAAAGAAAGGCGGTGTCTTCTGTAAACAAAACCAATCTTTTAATTTTCTTGCTATCTTATGCTGAAGCAATGTACAGAGATTGGAACAAGGTATTAAACTTATTCCCTTGAGATTTCCTGGAGGTGATTGTTTTCTGAGAGAATTATATTCTACTTGGCACATACCTTATTTTGGGGGAGAGAGGCTTAGAATTATTTTAACTTTCTGTGAGTTAGACAGTTGCTTTACTTTTGCAAAATGTGAAGACTCTTCTACAAGTAATGACGTCTGTTTAATTCTACCATATGTTATTTTGGTGGCAGACAGATAGCTACCTAGAGAATAAGCTAAAAGGTACAAGATACAGATGTCATATGGGTTAAATTGCAAATCTTTTAACCAAAGAATAATTATAATTTAATGTACTTCATCAATGTACTTCATCACATCATTCTTATAAACATTTATGTCTAAAAATGTACTAATTAGATGTTATATGTCATTATTTATGACTCTTATGAACTAATATGAAAAATATATTCAATTATTCATTAGCTTTGGATGGCAACTCTACTCTGTTTTTAATAAAACTTATGGGGTTCATCTCAAATTTCAGTGACATGAACTAATAAGATTAAAGGTGGCATTTTGACGGACAGCTAGAAATCAAACTTGAGAACCTCACTGTGACAAATACAGTAGCCTACTCTGATATTTCTAGGTGTCATAAGGATGAAATTAGATTTTGTTGTAACATCGGCGATAATAGAGGAAAACATATTTTCTTTGAAACTAGGGGGTTTGAGGGTTCTTTTCAAATTTGTTAATCGATTTTTATGTAATAAATACTTTTTTATTCTGTATGCAGGAATTTTTTTAATTATTATTATACTTTAAGTTTTAGGGTACATGTGCACAATGTGCAGGTTAGTTACATATGTATACATGTGCCATGCTGGTGCGCTGCACCTACTAACTCGTCATCTAGCATTAGGTATATCTCCCAGTGCCATCCCTCCCCCCTCCCCCGACCCCACAACAGTCCCCAGAGTGTGATGTTCCCCTTCCTGTGTCCATGTGTTCTCATTGTTCAGTTCCCACCTATGAGTGAGAATATGCGGTGTTTGGTTTGAATTTTTTAACTCCACACATTAGCTGATACTTTTTCTTTGGAAAGAATTATTTCTTTGGAGAAAACATAACATTTATTGAGTACTTACAGCACACAAGGCATTGTGCTAGGTGCTTAACTCATTTTATAGATGAGAAAACTAGGCCTTAGAGAGCATAGGTAACTTATAAATGAGTGACAGTTCAGTGGTGGAGTCATAATTTGAACTCATGAGTGTTGGACTTTAAAGGTCAATCTGTTAACATTATGTTACTCCAATTAGGCTAACTAGTGAGGAAAGGGGGGCAATTACCAGCTATTTGAACAGATGACCGTAACTGTCTAAACTGAATGGATCTTGCAGTGCATTTCAGGAACCTACGATTTGAATTGGGGAAGAGAATCACAGTTATTTGCCCTTTTTAAAATAATCTGTTTGGCTCAGGGCAAATGCCATCTTTGGAATTTTTTTTTACAAAGTGAAAGCATTTGCTGAGGTTCTTCTATGTCACGGTCATATTATTTATGATCATATCTTAAATCCTCATTTCAAATCTGTGGTGTAAAGATGGAGAAACTGAGGCTTACTAGCTTGCCTAACGATGACAAATGGTCTAAGAGCAGCTCAAAATTCAGACATTCCCATTATGCTCGTGGGTGGTGGAAGGCTAATCAAAATATAATCATTTTGTCCTATAGAGACAAAGATAAAAGGGTTTGACTGTTGTGCTTTCCTGAAGTCTATAATACAAAGTTTTTAAATGTTTGCCCCAAATCTTAAAAAATATATAGTTTTCACTTATTTTTTATCTTTCAAGACAGTTTAACTTGAGTTCTCAAATGGGAAAAATGTGGCATTTTTTTCTGGTACCTTAAGATTTTAGAAAATATAGAAGTGATGATCTTATGACTCTGCCTTTTCCCACCAGAGTGGACCTACTTTTCAGAGCCAAAATATCATTATTTTACCAGTGGGAGATATGGGGAAATGTTTTAGGTAACAGAATATACCATTTTGACACATGTCACTATTATTCCATTTCAGACATGCCTCAGGTCAAACACATTCTTAAAACACTATCTTTCAAATAAAAGCTCTTTGTAGAATATCCAAAGAGGAATTTGATGTCATGTTTCCCTAAAACCAATACTAAGTACACATTACATTCTGCTTAGAACATGTGTCCATGAATTGAAATGGGCTGAACTAATTCTGAACTTGAACATTAACCTTATTATTTTAAAAATTACCAAGAACGACAAGCAAATAAATTAAAGTCCCGGGGTGATTTGGGCTTGAGTTTAGTTTTAGGAAAGTAAAAGAAAGAGTTATTTTGAGACTTTTAAAATGATCTTGCTTTCCACAATAAAATAATGATTTAAACTATCCAGTTCTGACATGGTATGAACTTTCTGTCACTTAGTACTTAAATACCCACAACAAATGCAGCTTTTTCTGTACAGCTTGGGTCTGTTTCCTTCAACAAGAATTAATTGCTTTGTATTTATTTGGCTACACAAAATATTTGGGTTTGTTTTGGAAGTGTGCTTTGTACCATTTGTTTCACATTGTCTCTGAGATGGGGCTGTGATTCAGAAACAACCTCCTACTGTAAGATTTATGAATTTTAACGAGGTTGTGCACAGGGAAATAAAAACTAGGAAGTAATAACTTAAAGTGATACTAGAGGTGTTTATTTAAGATGCCTTTTGTAACTAAGAATTTTATTAAGCAAGGCTTTTAGTATTAAATAGCCTTCCTCATCCAAGATAACCAACTTAGGAAATTCCTGTTCTCTTCTACCTTACAAAACAAAGAAAGAGCTACTTCACCGGGTACTTTAAATGACTTATTTTATTTCTTCATTAAACAATACTATTGTATAATGGTATAGATAGGAATTGACAGGAAATAGATAGGAATTGTTATCTCTCGTTTACCAATGAGCAAGCTGAGGTTCAGCGAAGTTCAATAATTTGCTCAAGGTCATAAATACAAAAAAGTAGCAGAGTTCAGATTTCAAAATACTAAATAAATATTCGGTGAAATAAATGGATAAACAAAAAGTTGAGTTGTACTTATACTATATCCAAATCCAAGGCACACGTTTATATTATGAAACAGCAGTAAAATTTATATCGTTAGGGCCTTCATTCAGTGTAAGAATATGCAAAATCACAGAGTAGAGACAAACCTGGATGACTCCAGAAGCTCATTCCCCCATCTGCCTGTGAGAGCTTAGTGAAGACCTTGCTTAGCTGCTTTGGGCTAGTTTTGTAAAGAATGAGCTGGGCTGACACTAGAAGCTTAGTACTGGAGGCCCTTCCCTAGAAGCTTCCCGCAACCTTCGCCATATCTGCTACTGACTAGAGGGTTTCCATTGTTTTCTAGTTGCATACTTTATTCCTTCCTATTGTTTCTTATAAATATGTGAAGCTTTTAGAGGGCAGGAGCGCCCTCAATGGGAAAGCATACCACCTAGCTTTGCTCAACTTAGCACATCTCTTTTTGGAATAATAAGTGATTTAAGGGATTAGTTGTCTTCTGATATTTCTCTGCTTATAAGTTTTTACCCAATAAACATTATTTAATATAGACACCAGGTAGCATGTGTGTCTGTGCTCCCTCTGCACAACACTAGAATATCCTTCAGAGTTTAAAACAAAGCTAGTGGTGATTAAATCTTTGTTAATGTTATATGTGATCATGTTGGAAGAGAATTCTTTGAAGCTGAGCTGTTTAAAGTATATTCTGTTATCATCCATTCCTACCTTAATGTTTTCCTTTCTGTTGACCAACGTCTGATAATCCCCCAAATGTGGACCCAGTCTACTCTGGGATCAGCTTCATCAAAATCAACCCAAAATTCAGAAGAAATGTTATACACTGATATTATTCACCATGAAGCTTCTATGTCAGAAAGAAACTTCTTTTAATAAGTAGAGGGAATCCCACAAGGAAATGAAAATAGGCCATTTTCAAACCAGTGAGTTTCTCTCTTTCTCTGTCTCCCTTCTCCTCACTCTTAGATCTTTCCCTGTTCTTCTCATTCCCACAACCCTTCTCTCTCCTTGACTTTCCTTTCTCCAGTGAATATGCTGGAGGAAAAGTCAAAATGTACAATACAAATTATTTCCTAAAATCAATATAAAAGCTTTGTGTCAATGAAGCTTTTCATTGGTGTAATAAAATGTGTTACTTATTTGTAAATTCATTGAGCTTTCCTTAGTGACCATGTCACTTTTCTTTTCCAAGACAAATATATGATTTTCCAGAAAATTCAATAGTTGGGGGTCTTATATAATTTCATGCTTATTTGTTAAGAGAGATGTAGAAAATAAACAATTTGTGATAGGAGCAAATCTTGTCTTCTTTCATTTAATTGTGAAGGGATCTCAAGTGATTTTTTTGTCTCTCATTTAAAAAATGCCCCAGTATCTTACTGGGGAAAACACAATCTCTAAAATACAAAATCATAATTTGAAATTAACAAATGTGATGCACTCGTCTTGTAGTATAATTTTTGTAATGTTGAAAACCTCACATTTCTGCCATTTATTACCACATAGCAATGTTTGAATCAGGTAAACAAACGTTTTATTTGTTTGTTTGTTTATTTATTTTCTTAACTTTTATTTTAAGTTCCAGGGTACATGTGCAGAATGTGCAGGTTTGTTACATAGGTGTGTCCTGGTGGTTGGCTGCACATATCAATCCATCACCTAGGTATTAAGCCCAGTGTCCATTATATATTCTTCCTGATGCTCTCCCTCCCCACTGACCCAGCAAGCCCCAGTGGGTGTTGTTGCCCCCATATGTTCTTATCATTCAGCTCCCACTTATAAGTGAGAACTTGTGGTATTGTTTTTGTGTTCCTGCATTAGTTTGCTGAGGATAATGGCTTCCAGCTCCATCCATGTTCCTGCTAATTACATGATCTTGTTCCTTTTTTAAATTTTATTTTGTTATACTTTAATTTATGATACATTTGCAGAATGGGCAGGTTTGTTACATAGGCATACACATGCCATGGTGGTTTAGTGCACCCATCAACCCACCATCTACATTAGGTATTTCTCCTAATACATTAGGTATTTCTCCTAATGCTATCCCTCCCCTAACCCCCCACCCACTGACAGGCCCTGTTGTGTGATGTTCCCCTCCCTGTGTCCATGTGTTCTCATTGTTCAGCTCCTACTTATGAGTGAGAACATGCAGTGTTTGGTTTTCTGTTCCTGTGTTAATTTGCTGAGAATAATGGTTTCCAGCTTCATCCGTGTCCCTGCAAAGGACATGAAAGTGGTGTTTGGTTTTCTGTTCCGGTGTTAGTTTGCTGAGAATGATAGTTTCCAGCTTCATTCACTTCCCCGCAAAGGATATGAACTCATCCTTTTTTATGGCTGCATAGTATTCCATGGTGTATATGTGCCACATTTTCTTTATCCAGTCTATCACTGATGGGCATTTTGGTTGGTTCCAAGTCTTTGCTATTGTGAACAGTGCTGCAATAAATATACATGTGCATGTTTCTTTATAGTAGAATGATTTATAATCCTTTGGGTATGTATCCAGTAATGGGATTGCTGGGTCAAATGGTATTTCTGGTTCTAGATGCTTGAGGAATAGCCGCACTGTCTTCCACAATGGTTGAACCAATTTACACTCCCACCAACAGTGTAAAAGCATTCCTATTTCTCCACATAATCTCCAGAATCTGTTGTTTCCTGATGTCCTAATGATTGCCATTCTAGCTGGTGTGAGATGGTATCTCATTGTGGTTTTGATTTGCATTTCTCTAATGACCAGTGATGATGAAGTTTTTTTTCATATGTTTGTTGGCTGCATAAATGTCTTCTTTTGAGAAGTGTCTGTTCATATCCTTCGCTCAATTTTTGATGGGGTTGTTTGTTTTTTTCTTCTAAATTTGTTGACGTTTTCATAGATTCTGGATATTAGCCCTTTGCCAGATGGATAGATGGCAAAAATTTTCTCCCATTATCTAGGTTGCCTGTTCACTCTGATGATAGTTCCCTTTGCTGTGCAGAAGCTCTTTAGTTTAATTAGATCCAATTTGTCAATTTTGGCTTTTGTTGCCATTGCTTTTGGTGTTTTAGTCATGAAGTGTTTGTCCATGCCTATGTCCTGAATGGTATTGCCTAGGTTTTCTTCTAGGGTTTTTACGGTTTTAGGTCTTAGATTTAAGTTTTTGATCCATCTTGAGTTGATTTTTGTGTAAGGTGTAAGAAAGGGGTGCAGTTTCAGTTTTCTGCATATGGCTAGCCAGTTTTCCCAACACCATTTATTAAATAGGGTGTCTTTTCCCCTTTGCTTGTTTTTGTCTGGTTTGTCGAAGATCAGATGGTTGTAGATGTATGGCATTATTTCTGAGGCCTCTGTTCTGTTCCATTGGTCTATATATCTGTTTTGGTACCAGTACGATGCTGTTTTGGTTACTATAGCCTTGTAGTATAGTTTGAAGTCAGATAGCGTGATGCCTCCAGCTTTGTTCTTTTTGCTTAGGATTGTCTTGGCTATATGGGCTCTTTTTTGGTTCCATGTGAAATTTAAAGTAGCTTTTCTTCTAATTCCATGATGAAAGTCATTGGTAGCTTGATGGGGATAGCATTGAATCTATAAATTACTTCTGGCATTATGGCCATTTTCACATACTGATTTTTCCTATCCATGAGCATGGAATGTTTTTCCATTTCTTTGTGTCCTTTCTTATTTCCGTGGGCAGTGGTTTGTAGTTCTCTTTGAAGAGGTCCTTCACATCTCTTGTAAGTTGTATTTCTCGGTATTTTATTATCTTTGTAGCAATTGTGAATGGGAGTTCACTCATGATTTGGCTCTCTGTTTGTCTATTATTGCTGTATAGAAATGCTTGTGATTTTTACACATTGATTTTGTGTCCTGAGACTTTGCTGAAGTTGCTTATCAGCTTAAGGAGATTTTGCACTGAGATGATGGGGTTTTCTAAATACACAATCATGTCATCTGCAAACAGAGACAATTTGATTTCTTCTCTTCCTATTTGAATACCCTTTATTTCTTTTTCTTGCCTGATTGCCCTGGCCAGAACTTCCAATAACATGTTGAACAGGAGTGGTGAGAGAGGGCATCCTTGTCTTGTGCCAGTTTTCCAAGGGAATGCTTCCAGCTTTTGTCCATTCAGTATGATATTGGCTGTGGGTTTGTCACAAATAACTGTTATTATTTTGAGATACGTTCCATCAATACCTAGTATGTTGAGAGATTTTAGCATGAAGGGGTGTTGAATTTTATAAGGCCTTTTGTGCATCTATTGAGATAATCATATGGTTTTTGGCACTGGTTCTGTTTATGTGATGGATTACGTTTGTTGATTTGTATATGTTGAATCAGCCTTGCATCCTACGGATGAAGCCATCTTGATCGTGGTGGACAAGCTTTTTGATGTGCAGCTGGATTTGGTTTGCCAGTATTTTATTGAGGATTTTCGCTTCAATGTTCATTAGAGGTATTGGCCTGAAATTTTCTTTTGTTGTTGTGTATCTGCCAGGTTCTGGTATCAGGATAATGCTGGCCTCATCAAATTAATTACAGAGAAGTCCCTCTGTTCCTATTGTTTGGAATTGTTTCAGAAGGAATGGTACTAGCTCCTTTTTGTACCTCAGGTAGAATTCAGCTTTGCATCCCTCTGGTCCTGACCTTTTTTTGGTTGGTATGCTGTTAATTACTGCCTCAGTTTCACAACTTGTTATTGGTCTATTCAGGGATTCGACTTCTTACTGGTTTAGTCTTGGGAGGGTGTATGTGTCCAGGAATTTATCCATTTTTTCTAGATTTTCTACTTTATTTGAGTAGAGGTGTTTATAATATTCCCTGATGGCAGTTTGTATTTCTGTGGGATCACTGGTGATATCCCCTTTATCATTTTTTGTTGTGTCTATTTGATTCTTCTCACTTTCTTCTTTATTTGTCTGACCAGCGGTCTATTTTGTTGATCTTCTCGAAAAACCATCTCCTGGATTCATTGATGTTTTGAAGGGATTTTCATGTGTCTATCTCCTTCAGTTCTGCTCTAAGTTATTTCTTGCCTTCTGCTAGCTTTTGAATTTGTTTGCTCTTGCTTCTCTAGTTCTTTAAATTGCGATGTTAGGGTGTCGATTTTAGATCTTTCCTGCTTTCTCCTGTGGGCATTTAGTGCTATAAATTTCCCTCTAAACACTGTGTTACCTGTGTCCCAGAGATTCTGATACGTTGTGTCTTTGTTTTCATTGGTTTCAAAGAACTTATTTATTTCTGCTTTAATTTTGCTATTTACCCAGTAGTCATTCAGGAGCAGGTTGTTCAGTTGCCATGTGGTTGTGTGGTTTTAAGTGAGTTTCTTAATACTGAGTACTAATTTGATTGCACTGTTGTCTGAGAGGGAGTTTGTTATAAATTCCATTCTTTTGCATTTGCTGAGGAGTGTTTTACTTCCAATTATGTGGTCGATTTTAGAATAAGTGTGACGTGGTGCTGCCCTTAACATTTTTTCCTTCATTTCAACATTGGTGAATCTGACGATTATGTGTATTGGGGTTGCTCTTCTCTAGGAGTATCTTGGTGGTGGTCTCTGTATTTCCTGAATTTGAGTGTTGGCCTTTCTTGCTAGGTTGGGGAAGTTCTCCTGGATAATATCCTGAAGAGTGTTTTCCATCTTGGTTCCATACTCCCCGTCACTTTCAGGTACGCCAATCAAACGTAGGTTTGGTCTTTTCACACATTCCCATGTTTCTTGGAGGCTCTGTTCATTCCTTTTCATTCTTTTTTCTCTAATCTTATCTTCATGCTTTATTTCATTAAGTTGATCTTCAATCTCTGATATAATTTCTTCTGCTTGATTGATTTGGCTATTCATACTTGTGTATGCTTCCCGAAGTTCTCATGCTGTGTTTTTCAGCTCCATCAGGTCATTTATGTTCTTCTCTAAACTGGTTATTCTAATTAGCCATTCCTCTACCCTTCTATCAAGGTTCTTAGATATCTTGCATTGGGTTAGAACATTCTTCTTTAGCTTGGAGGAGTTTGTTATTATCCACCTTCTGAAGCCTACTTCTGTCAATTCCTCAAACTCATTCTCCATCCAGTTTTATTCCCTTGCTGGCGAGGAGTTGTGATCCTTTGGAGGAGAAGAAGCATTCTGGGTTTTGGAATTTTCAGCGTTTTTGTGCTGCTTTTTCCCCATCTTTGTGGATTTATCTACCTTTGGTCTTTGATGGTGGTGACCTTTGGATGGGTTTATTGTGTGGATGTCCTTTTTGGTGATGTTGATGCTGTTCCTTTCTGTTTGTTAGTTTTCCTTCTAATAGTCAGGACCCTCTGCTGCAGGTCTGTTGGAGTTTGCTGGGGGTCCACTCCAGACCCTGTTTGCCTGGGTATCACCAGCAGAGGCTGCAGAACAGCAAAGACTGATGCTTGTTCCTTCCTCTGGAATCTTTGTCCCAGAGGTGCACCTGCCAGATACCAGCCAGAGCTCTTCTGTATGAAGTGTCTGTTGACTTCTGCTGGGAGGTGTCTCCCAGTCAGGAGGCACTGGGGTCAGAGATCCACTTGAGGAGGCAGTCTTTCCCTTAGCAGAGCTCGAGTGCTGTGCTGGGAGATCTGCTGCTCTCTTCAGAGCTGGCAGGCAGGAACGTTTAAGTCTGCTGAAGCCGCCCCCATAGCCACCCCTTCCCCCAGGTGCTCTGTCCCAGGGAGATGAGAGTTTTAGCTATAAGCCCCTGACTGCAGCTGCTGCCTTTCTTTCAGAGATGCCTTGCCCAGAGAGGAGGAATCTAGAGAGGCAGTCTAGCTTCAGTGGCTTTGCTGAGCTGTGGTGGGCTCTGCCCAGTTTGAACTTCCCAGGGTCTTTGTTTACACTGTGACGGGAAAACCCACCTACTCAAGCCTCAGTAATGGCAGATGCCCCCCATCCCCCCACCAAACTCGAGTATCCCAGGTTGACTTCAGACTGCTGTGCTGGCAGTGAGAGCTTTAAGCCAGTGGATCTTAGCTTGCTGGGCTCCACTGGGGTGTGATATGCTGAACTAGACCACTTGGCTCCCTGGCTTCAGCCCCCTTTCCAGGGGAGGGAATGGTCTGTCTTGCTGGCATTCCAGGCACCACCGGGGTATGAAAAAAAACTCCTGCAGCTAGATCAGTGTCTGCCTAAATGGCTGCCCAGTTTTGTGCTTGAAACCCAGGGCCCTTTTGGTGTAGGCACCCGAGGGAATCTCCTGGTCTGCAGGTTGCAAAGAGTGTGGGAAAAGCTTAGTATTTGGGCCGGAATGCATCATTCCTCATGGCACAGTCCATCATGGCTTCCCTTGGCTAGAGGAGGGATTTCCCTGACCCCTTGCACTTCCCGGGTGAGGTGACACCCCACCCTGCTTCGGCTCACCCTTTGTGGGCTGCTCCCACTGTCTAACCAGTCCCAGTGAGATGAACTGGGTACCTCAGTTGGAAATGCAGAAATCACCCACCTTCTGCATTTATCTCACTGGGAGCTACAGACTGGAGTCCTATTTGGCCATCTTGCCAACCACTTTTAAACAAAAGTTTTATAGGTTAATAACATCAGTTCTGTAGAAGAACAAAAGCCTTTCATGCATTGTTGGTGAAAGTGGAACTTGAAATCTATTCTAGGATGAAATTCTGCAATACTTACTCTATTAGTTCATTCTCACATTGCTATAAAGAACTACCTGAGACTTAGTAACTTATAAAGAAAATGGTTTAATTGGCTCATGGTTCTGCAGGCTGTATAGAAAGCATGGCTGGGGAGGCCTTAGGAAACTTACAATCGTGACAGAAGGCAAAGGGGAAGCAAGCACATCTTCACATGATCAGCAGGAGAGACAGTGAATGAGGGAAGAGCTGCTTCAAATAACCAGATCTTGTGAGAACTCACTGACTATTATGAGAATGCAAGGGGGCATCCACCCCCATGATCCAGTTACCTCCCATCAAGTCCCTCCCCCAACACTGGGGATTACAACTCAACATGAGATTTGGGTGGGGATACGGAACCAAACCGTATCACTTACCAAAGTTGAAATATATTATAAAATGCACCAAGATATAAGTACACTGTTGTGATTATAGCTGTCTTTGTAAGATCAAATATAATTGTGGTAAGTTGCTATAATCTAGGCACTTACTAAGTGCATTACATACATCTACATGATACAGACACTGCTAAAACCATACAGATATGTATATGTTGGCTTGAATTAAACATTTCAGATGCATGATTAAATGAAAAGTATGATATATAAGAGTGATTATAGAATTATTATTTATATGCTTTAAAATGGATATATGAATGCAGCTGTAGGCATGGAAGCTGTTCCTGGGCTTAGACACAAACAACTGTTAATAGTGGTTCCCTTTGTGGTAAGCGACTCATAGGTAGGGATTGCAGAGGCTTTAACTTTTTATTATATACTTCTCCGAGCATATATAACATCTAATCATTTATATGTTTACCTTTATTATTTTTTAAATACAAAGAGGATAGCGAGATAATAGACCATCCTGAGCATTAAAATATAACAAAAAATGTAATTTTGAAAATATTAACTTGTGGCTTACACTAGTAAAACATTGCCCTATAAATCTAGAACTTACTGTACATCCTCTATAAAAAGGAATCCTGATTTTAAACTAGATGCTTAAGATTCCTGGAGCGAATTTTAGAATGACTGAATAGAATTGGAGAGGCAGAGCTCAGAAAAATTGCTTGGTAACAGAAAAAATGAACAATTAGTAGTGTGTTTTCTCATGCCACAGCAGACAGGGGAATTCAGTCAGGTGCATGGGATAATGAGAAGAAGAAGTAATCTCCTGTTCTTCATGCCATGTTCATACAGACTCTAAGCCTCATTTTCCTCTGAGCCTGTTGGAAGATGTCATGGACACTTGCCTACCCACAGCAATCAATGGTCCTTTAGTCACAGAGCAGTGTCCACGTTCCCTCTTTTGATGCTCCGGTCCTCACTGAATGGATGCATGGATCCATTGTCAGTCAGTACACTGTGGGATCTGGTTCTGGCCAGGGTTGCTGCACCAGCTGTCATCTCCTGCCAGCACCTATACCAGGGAGGTAGCAGCTGGATTTCTCAGTGTTCCCATTAAAATAGGAAGAAATAATAAAGCTCAAAACAAATGAGAATTTTCAAAACAAATTCTCATTTGTTTTGAGCTTTGATATCAATTTCAGAGCAGAATTCACAAAATATTTCAAATGATATTACCCCATGGCATACTCAGAATCTTCCTTCTCTTCTGACATCATCCCTTTTTCTTCCCTCTGCAACAAAACCAAACTTGTGTACCATGAAATTCTTGACTCTCAGCTGAATTCTACTACTGGAGAGGTTAGAGGTGAACTTGAATCATTGGCATGCTGACTCTGGAGAGCTTTCATATGCCTCTCATGAGATTGATTATTTTTATTTATTGTTATTTATTAATGATTGTTTTTATTTCCTAAGAATAGAATGACATTGATTCTGTCTATACAGTGAGGAGCAAGTCACAAATTGATATGGCTTTAGTGACTACACAGATGCTGATATTCCCAAATACTGTAATGCTTTCTGAGGTCCAAAATAGAAGGCCTTTACTCTGGATAACATGTAGCTATCCCACATATTTTAACTTGCAATCACTATCTTTCCTTCATGTACAGGACTTTGGAATCATGGGTCAGAATTCTGTCTTTTTCATTTGCTAGTTGCATAATCTATTGAAGGTATAATTATGTAATGTCTTTGAGTCCCAATTCTCTCATATCTAAGGGTAGGTGTGAAAAATATAAATAATAATGATTGTGAACTGTATAGAACAAAACACTACTTGGCACACAGTAAGAATTCTACAAAAATATGGAACTTGGGTAGTTATTACCTTTTCTCACTCATTGGTGGTACCAGTCTACACTGGTCTCCACAGCTAGAAAAAATAATGTAAGTTATCTGGTACATAATAAATTTTATATAAGTTATTGTACTCATGTAACAAAATCACATAACTTTGTTAATATTTCTCAATATAGCTTGTTAACTTAGTACTTTAAATTATGTTGTAATTAATAAATATTTTGTTTTATAATATAAGCATATAGCATCAATTAGCATTACATAAGTCTTTTCTATAGAAATATTACTATTATTATTACTGTATACCATAATATTATTATTACCGGTCTTTTCCATTATACATTCTTAATTTTTCTCTTATCTGTCTCCTGTAGCCCTCTGTGACTGAGATATTTAAGTTCATGCACATATCAGTTCTCTATTCTTGTAATAATCAAATACATTTTACTGCCAGTTGTATACCTCTTCAAACTGTTCTCCACAATGCAAATAATAATCTTTCTAAAATGCAAATATTTTAATATTCTTCTTCAATTTACCACCACATTCAATGGTTCTTAGTTGTTCACATGGTAAATTCCATGCCTCCAAGAAAAGTACACTAATATCTTCCTGAATTCATCCCTTCCCCATCCCCATTTCTCACCACACCTTACAAATTGTGATCTACTCATTCTAAGCCATTAGTTATGTTTTTAAATGAATGATGATCAATCATATTTATAACCTTTTACTCATATTGACACCTTTGCCTAAAATAATGTTGAAGTCTCTATGGTTTTCAAGGTCATTCAAACCTTGTGAGTACAAGAAAATATGGTCAGGTCACCTAATTGTGTTTTGGGGTGCCGAGATCACTACGTGAATGGTGTGGTAAATGCAGGTGTTTCCAGAGGTTCTGTAAAATACTGTGGTACTGACTTTGCTGTAATTCCTGCTGACTTTTTAACGTTGTTCTGACTCTTAAATTCTAATAATTGTAAGTGAAGTTATTCCTTTAGCATTCCAAAAGCATGACATCCACTGAAGACAGAACTTTTAAAATAGCACCTGAAATTCTAAGTTTCATTTGTTTATAGATGTGTCCTTTCTTTACTAGTACTGTAAGCTTCTGAAGGCCAACACTGTATCTACTTGTCACTTTATTCTTAGAATTGTGTTCTCACCAGAAAATTCTTTATGTTTGTTGAAGGGATAGATGGGTTTATGGATAGGCACATGAATGAATGATAATACTCAAATGAAGCCTGAGATCTTGGACACTCATTGCATAGCGTGAGTTTCTCACAGCTTTCCATGCTTCAAGTAAAGACTTGGGGAAATCAGCATTTTCTCATACATACATGCTGTAAAACAGTACAACCACTCTGGGAAATGTTCTGGCATTTTGTTATGAAACTAAACATATGCCTACCCTATGACACAACAATTCACTTTAACTGAGAGGGAAAAAAATAATTCTTTCTTTTCTGAAGAAATTTATGTAGGATTGGTGTTATTTAGAGAAACCATCTGTGTCTGGAGTTTTCTTTATGGGAAGGTTTTTAAATCACAGATTTAATTTCTTTCATTGATACTGGTGTTCAGATTTTGTGTTTTGTCTTCTGGTATGCTGTATTTTTAAGTAAATATGTCCAATTCATCTAAGTTGTTAGATTTTTTTGTCATAAGAATTGTTAGCAATACTCTGTTAGTATCCATTTAATATCTATAAGATCTTTAATGACAGTCCCTCTTGTATTAATATCAATAATTTAGCTTCTCTTTTATTAATCAATTTTCTTGGAGTCGAGGTCTCGCTCTATTACCTAGGCTGGAGTGCAGTGGTGCAATCTGGGCTCACTGCAGCCTCCACCTCTGGGGTTTAAGCAGTTCTGCCTCAGCTCCCTGAGTAGCTGGGATTACAGGCACCTGTCATCATGCCTGGATAATTCTTGTATTTTCAGTAGAGATGGGGTTTCACCATATTGGCCAGGCTGGTCTCGAACTCCTGACATCAAGTGTTCTGCCCACCACTGCCTCCCAAAGTGCTGGGATTACAGGCATGAGCCACTGCACCCAGCCTGTTAATTAATTTTTTATATTTGTTATTGATACAGAATAATTACACATATTTATGGGATACATGTGATATTTTAACACATGCCTATAACATGTAATGGTTAAATAAAGCTATTTAGGATATCCATCACCTCAAACATTTATCATTTCTTTGTGTTTGGAACATTCCAATTTTCTCTTCTAAATATTTTGAAATATACAACAAATTATTGTTAACTATAGTCACCCTACTGTGCTATCGAACACTGGAACTTATTTCTTCTATCTAACTGTATGTTTGTACCCATTAATCAGCCACTCTTCACACCCCTTCTCCCTCCTGGCCCTACTGCCTCAAGCCTCTGGTAACAATGATTATGTTCTCTACCTCCTTGAAATAAATTTTATAGCTTTCACATATAAATAGGAATGTGCAATATTTGTCTTTCTGTGCCTGGCTGATTTCATTTAACATAATGTTGCTGCGCATGACAAGATTTCATTCTTTTTTGTGGCTGAATGATATTCTCTTAATTATATGTACCACAATTTCTTTATCCATTTGTCCTTTGATGGACACAGGTTGATTCAATATTTTGGCTCTTGTGAATAGTGCTACAATAAACATGGGAGAGTAGGTATCTTACTGATAAACAGATTTCCTTTCCTCTTGATATACATCTAGTAGTGGAATTGCTGGATTGTGTGGTAGTCCTATTTTTAGTTTTTTGAGAAATCTCCAAATTGTTGTCCCTAATAGCTCTCCTAATTTACATTTCCATCAACAGTATGTAGGAGTTATTTTTTTCTCCTCATTCTTGCCAGCAGTTGTTATTTTTTTTTTGACTTTCTGACAATAGCCATTCTAACTAGGATGAGATGATATCTCATTGTGGTTTTGATTTGATTTCCCTGATGATTAGTTATGTTGCACATTTTTTATATACTTGGTAGCCATTTGTGTCTTCTCTTAAGAAATGTCAATTCAGATCTTTTGCCCACTTTTTAATTACATTCTGCAACTTTACTGAATTCATTTATCAGTTCTAAGAAATTTTTGGTTGAGTGTAGGTTTTTCTATATTTAGGGTAATGTTGTATACAGAGAACATCTGACTTCCTTTTTTCAAATTTTGATGCCTTCTATTTCTTTCTCTTGCCTGATTGCTCTGGTTAAGACTTTCAGTACTAAGTTCAATTCTAGAGGGCTGGAAGTGGGCATTTTTGCTTTGTTCTAGTTCTTAGAGGAAAGTCTTTCAACTTCTCCCCATTTCCTTGTGATGGTAGTTGTGGGTTTGTCATACACGGCCTTGACTATGTTGAAGTATGTTCTTTCTATGCCTAAGTTTTTGAGAGTTTTTATCATGACGAGTTACTGAATTTTATCAAATGCTTTTTCTGTCTGTTTAGATGATCATGTGGGTTTTCTCCTTCATTCTGTTGATGTGATATATCATGTTTAGTGACTTGCAAATGTTAAGCCATCCTTGCATCCCTGGGATAAATCCCATTTGATCATGTTGTGTTATCCTTTTGATGTGTTGTTAAATTTGGTTTGCCAGTATTTTGTTGAGGATTTTTGCATTTATGTTCATCAAGGATATTGGATTGTGGTTTTCTTTCTTGTGTCATTGCTCTGGTTGGGTATCAGGGTAATGCTGGTATTGTAGAAGGAGTGAGGAAGCATTCCCTCATCTTCATTTTTTTGCAATAGTTTGAGAAGAATTAATGTTAGTATTTTGTAAGTTTGGTAGAATTTTGTGGTAAAGTCATCTAGTCATGGGCTTTTCTTTGTTGAGAGATTTTTATTACTGATTCAATCTAATTTCTCATTATTGGTTTGTTCAGGTTTTCTATTTATTCCCTGGTATGTTGTTTGTGCCCCAAATTTTCCATTTCCTCTGGGTTTTCCAATTTGTTAGTGTGTAATTATTTATCACAGTCTCTAGTTATTCTTTGTATTTCTGTGGTATCATTTGTAATGTCTCTTCTTCATTTCTAATTTTATTTATTTAGATCTTCTGTCTTTTGTTTTGTTTATCCTCTGTATTGTTACTTAGTCTCTATCTGTTTAGTTCTGCTCTCAACTTTGTTATTTCTTTCCTTCTACTAATGGTGAGTTTGGTTTGTTCTTGCTTTTGTAGTTCCTTGAAGTCATCATTAGGTTGTTTACTTAAAATCTTTCTAATTTTTTAATGTAGACAGTTATTGCTATAAACTTCCCTCTTAGTACTGCTTTTGCTGTATCCACATGTTTGCTGTGTTACATTTCCATTTTCATTTGCCTCAGGAATTTTTGTATTCCCTTCTTGATTTCTTCATTGACTCAGTGTTTGTTCAGGAGCATACTGTTTAATTTCTGTGTACTCGTATGGTTTTCAAAGTTTCTCTTGTTATTGATTTAAATTTTATTCCATTGTAATCTAAGAAGATACTTGATGTAATTTAAATTTTTCAAAATTTGTCGAGACTTCTTTTGTGTCCTGACATATGTTCTGTCCTGGAGAATGTTTCATTTGCCAATGAGAAGAATGTGTATTCTGCAGCTGTTGGATGAAATGTTCTGTAAATATCTATTAGGTCCATTTAGTCAAAAGTTTAGCTTAAATCCAGTGTTACTTTATTAGTTTTCTGTCTATATGATCTATTCAGTGCTGATAGTGTGATATTAAAGTCCCATCTGCTATTTTATTGGAAGTCTGTCTCTCCCTTTAAATTTAATAGTACCCAACTTCCATATCTGAGTGCTTCAGTGTTGGGTGCATATATAATTAGAATTGTTATACCTTTGCTAAGTTTATCCCTTTATTATTATATAATAACATTATTTCTCTTCTAAGATTTTTTGACTAAAATTGTGTTTTATCTGATATAAGTATAGCTACCTTTGTTCTCTTTAGGTTTCCATTTGTGTGGAGTATCTTTCCATCTCTTCACTTTTAGTCTCTATGTGTCTTTACAGGTGAAGTGAATATCTTGTAGGTAGCATATAGTTGTGTCATGTTGTGTTTATCCATTCAACAATTTTAAATCTTTTAAGTGAGAAACAATGTTTTTACACTCAAGCTTATTATAGGTGAGGATTTATTCTTCTCATTTTGTTAATTGTTTTCTGGCTGTTGTGTGTACCTTTTGTTTCTTTCTTCCCTTCTTATTGTTTTCATTGCAGCTGGTAGTTTTCTGTAATAGTAACATTTGAGTCCTTTCTCTTTCTCACTTGTTTTTGTTCTACCAATGAGTATTTTACTTTTGTGTGTTTTCATGATGGCGGACATCATCTGCTTGCTTCTAGATGTAGGGCTCACTTAAGAATTTCTTGTGGGGTCAGTCTAGCAGTGATAGATTTCTTCAATTTTTGCTTGTCTGGAAAATCCTTCATTTCTTCTTCATTTTGGAAAAATAGCTTTGCTGGGTTTAGTATTCTTGGCTAATAGTTTTTTTGTTTGTTTTTCTTTCAGCACTTTGAATATATCATCCCATTCTCTCCTGCTCTGTAATGTTTTTGCTGAGAAATCCTCCATTCGTCTGATGGAGGTTTCCTTATATGTAATTTGATGCTTTTCTCATGTTGTTTTTAGAATTACCTCTTTGTCTTTGAAATTTGATATTTTGACTATGGTGTACCTTGGAGAAGATCTTCTTGGGTAGAATCTATTTGGGGATACTTGAGTTTTCTGTGTCTGATGTCTGTTTCTCTTGCAACACTTGGTATTACATTTGCTATTATTTTGTTAAATAGGTTTTATATGCCTTTGCCCATCTCTTTTTATCCTGGCACTCCCCAAATTAGAATATTTTGTCACTTTGTGGTGTCCTATATGTCATGTAGACTTTACTTGTTCTTTTTTTTTCTTTTGTTCTAATGGGGTTATTTAAAAACAACTTGTCTTCAAGTTCAGAAATGTTTCATCTGCTTGATCTATTATATTGTTGAAGCTATTGATTGTATTTTTAAATTCCATTAATTAAATTAATCATTTCCAGGATGTGGTTCTATTTTATTAGATATATTTCTTTGTTGAACTTTCTCATTCAAATCATGAATTGTTTTTCTAATTTCTTTATATTTTTATCTGTTTTCTTGTATCTCACTGAGTTTCTTTAAGATTATTTTGAATTCTTTTTCATGCATTTCATAGATTTTCTTTTCATTAAGACTTTTCACTGGAGAATTATTGTGTTCCCTTGGAATTGTCAATTTAATTGATTTTTCATGTTTATGTCCTTAGATTGATATGTATGCAGCTTGTGTACAGTCGCTTCTTCCCATTTTAAGGACTGGCTTTCATAGGGAAAGACATTTATCTATAGATTTTATCTATAGTATTGGGTGAGTATGGTACTTTGGATTTGATTCTGGGTGGGAGCAGTAGTGTAGTCTTCCTATTTCTTCAGCTGTAATTAGTGCCATTGGTGTCTGTGAGCTCTTCAGTGGCTTAGACTGCAGTTGTTGGTGGTGGCTGTGATAAGGCTTTGCTGGGGATGAAGATGACATGTAGAATAGTTATGGCCATCAGAGGTCAACCTTGCCAGTTCCTCAGTCGTCTAGTAACAGCAGCTGGTGGTAGTGGGTCCTAGTGGGGTGGTTTTTGTGCCTCCAGGTGGCTTGCTCTGGTACCGGCAGTAGTAGTGGTGAGTGGGGTAAGTGAGTAAGTCCTGCAGTCCCTCAGCAGTGTGCATGGCATTTGCAGTGATAGTAGTGGCAGTGGGCCAATTCTCAGGACCCCAAGTGACACACACAAGTGTGATGGTGGTGGTGGTAAACTTTGTGGGTCAGTTCTCAGGCTCCCCAATGTCAGTGGTGGCAGTGGAGACAAGCTAGGTGGGCCAGTTCCTGGGACTCCAGGAATTGTGTGCTTGTGCTGCCAGTAGGCAGAGTGGGCTTATTCCCAGGCCTACAGATAGTGCACAAGAACAACAGTGGAGAGTGAAGCATGCCCCTCCTTAGGCCGTTAGAAGGCAAGTGCAGGTGTTGGCAGTGGCAGATGGGGCAGGTTGATCCATATGCCGCCAGATGACATAAATGAGCCCTCGCAGTAGCAGTGGTGGGAGAGGTAGGCCTGTCCTCAGGACCCTAAATGGTGTGTGTGAGTGCTGGTACCAGTGATTAGGGTGGTTCAATTCCCAGGCCCCCAGATAGTAAACTGGGTACTGACAGCAGAGGCTACAGTTGGGTGAGTCTGTCCTGATACTCCCTGATGGTGCATGTGGGCACCCAGCTGTGATCGGCAAGGCAGATCAATCCCTAGGATCCTGAATTGTAGGCTCGGGCCTTAGTAGTAGTGGCAGTAGGTTGGGTGAGCCAGTTCTCATATTAATCAATTTAGAATGTACTGTATGAATTTTGTTTACTTTTTAAATAACAAAATTTTATATTTATTATTTTTTCCTCTTATTCATCTTTTACAAATTTTTTCTATTATTTTCTTTGCACATATTTTTACATCTTTAAGTATATTCATAGGCATTTGACTTTAGACTACTTTTCTCTTGACTTTAAACCTTTTTAATTTTTCTGTAAGTACTGCTTTAGCTGCAACCACCAAATTTTTATATGTTATGGATTCATCATCATTATATTTGGAAATATTATTCAATTTATCTTAAGATTTCTTTCTTAACCTTGTGAATTATTTAAAAATGTATTAATTTTCAAATATCTTGAATTTCCATAGCTATATTATTGTTTTAGCTAATTTAATTTCACTGTGATCAGTGAACACGCACTGTGTTATTTCTGTCTTTTAAATTTATGTGTAAGTGTTTTAATTGCTTAGCACACTGTTTATTATGGTGAATATTACCACATATCCTTGAAAAGTAATGTATATTCTATACATGTTATATGTAGCTTTCTATAGATAAAAATTAGGTCAAGATTGTTGATGATGTTTTCTATAATATTTTTCTCTATTTATTTTATCAGTTGCTGAAAGAGCACTCATTAATATTTTTGAAGCTCCTTCCTATTATGTGATTAAAGGATTGGGCTACATAACACATAAGGTCACTAGTCATTTTTGAGTTGAAAGTTTTAGAATTACATGATTTAACATTTGTGTATGTTTAAGGGTCATTTTTTTTTCTCTGTGATTATATACTCTCCCTAGTTTGTTAAGCATTTTTAGAAGATTATGTAACTTTGCTATGGTATAATTTGTCCCAGGGAAAAATAAAAATTTTGTAAACTGACAACATAAACCTATTCTCCCCTTGTACTTCTAGAGATGTCATCTCAAGAAAAGATCCAGGATACGATCAACATCACATTTTCGAACATAGTAATAGTGAATACCTTGAATAATTCCATGTAAAAATATTTTAAAGAACAGATCATTTGTTCAAAGTGTTTATATGAAAAAGTCAAAAAATTATGGTAAAAATATTAGCTACTCTGTCAGTAGCCAAAATTTGACAAAGTTAAAGTGAGTGGTTAAAATCATTTGACAATCTGACTTGCATACATTATGATTTTTTTGGTTGATGTCATTTAGATAGTTATTGTTACACTCTTCCTTCCCACTCTCATTCTTGCAGTTTTCTTTAGCAAGTATCATACCATGTTTTCTCTTGGTGTTCAAAGGTACATTGATTATATCAGGGACTCAATGTCATAAACTCCCTGCAACTTGCCAGATAGGTCTGTCTTCTCTTTTCAGGTACTGGTGCACTAAGCTCAAGTGTGGCTATTAATTCTAAGAATGTATTGCTCCACTTACAATGCTCCACTCCGGATAGTACCACTAGGCTGTTCTTTCACTAGAACTGCTTGTAATTTGAACAAGGAGTAGATACTTAATTTAAGAGTAGACCCCGTTAGTAGGTTGACTAGTAGCTGTGGAGTTTAGTAAGAGTGAAGAGTGATGCTAAAGCAGCCAGATGATTACTTTCTGGAATCTTGAATTGGAAAGTGTTGTGGGGATAGACCAATTTGGGGAAAGAGAAATATAAAGACAGTATAAGATCAGGAGAGAAAATAGGGAGTTGATGGTCCCCAAAGTTTCTTTGATTCTTGACTATTTATTTTTTATGCAAATATTTTCAAGGGCTCTATTTAATGTTCCAGAAACTGTTTTAGGGATCATGGAAATGAAACTGATAACTTCCCTGTTTCATTTGCAGTTTCATTCCAAGTACACACATATACTAACTTTCCTTTTATTGAGATTTTTTTTCCACTAAAAGTCAACAGATCCTAATATATATACTAGGGAAATGATAATCTTATAGTAACTTTTTGTAACAGTACATTTATAAGTACATTTATCACTAGGTGTTAACTGAGTAAATTTAAGAGTTTGGGGAAAAATACAAACCTTATTTTATATAGTTGTTGGTTTTGTGAACAGTTTTATATATAAGTTACTTTAAACCTAGTTTCTTATCTGCACTGAATTACTTTATGTCATGGTTCCATGAGAGTATAAAATCAAGAAACAGAGCTCCTAGAATTATTTAATTGAAAATCAAGAAGTAGAGAAAGAATTGAAGGAGTCTGATTTATTAAGGTTTATCAGCACACATACTTAGGCCAACTAAACTTGTCTGTTTTAGTAATTACTTTTATAATTTAAACTCAAGATATGTTTCTTTCCTTGTCCAAAGTACCAATTAATCAGAATTATGATTGGCTTAGTATGTTGTTCATGATTTTGTTCTATGGTGCTTTCGAAAGCTTGCCTTTGGGATATGGTTCATATGCTCTGCAAAACTACCTAAACTCTCAGTAATATTAAATTGGCCCCAGAAACTCCAACACTCAGAGGTTGGGAGAAGATGGCAATAGAGATGGATATAACACAGATGTATAAATTCAAAAGAAGAAGTACCTCAAATAAATATTAAGTGCAACATCTTTCAAAACAGTATTTTTTTTAGATAAGAGTAAAGTTTTTTTTTTTTTTTTAGACTGGGTCTTGCTCTGTCACAGGTTGGAGTACAGTGGTGTGATCACAGCTCACTGTAGCTTTGACCTCCCTGGGCTCAGGAGATACTCCTACCTCAGCCTCCCTAGTAGCTGGGACTGCAGGCGCACGCCTTCATGCAGGGCTATTTTTTCTTTTTTAATTTTTTGAAGAGACGAGGTCTCATCGTATTGCTCAGGCTGGTCTTGAACTCCTGAGCTCAAATGATCCACCCACCTCAGCCTCCCAAAGTGCTGGAATTATAGGTGTGAGCCACCACGCCCAGCCAAAAATAATTTTTAACTAATTAGCATACAAATCTGAAGGAGAGTTCAATATTTACATTTAACAATTCCTAAAATTTTAGATTTCAAATCTAGTGTAGAGTTAACTGATAGTTTCATAGCCTGCTAATCAGGTTCCCTGAACTACCAATAATAGCTAGCATTTTATAGTGCTAAATACCTAAGTGTTTTACACATGTTAGTTTGTTTATTCCTCATTACGGCTCTGTGTGCTAGGTACTCTTATCATCCCCGCTTTACAGATAAGCTAACTGAATATTGAAGTAGTTTCCTAATCTGCCAAGTTATAGTGCAAGTGAGTGACAGTGCTAGAATTGAAACCTAGGATATCTTGCTGAACACACCATGCTGCTGGAGACATAATGCTCCCAGCCACTTTGCTTTACTGATTCTTGTTTCCTCCTTATTTCCTGATAATGGACTCCCAGTGCTGACCTCTGTGGGGACCCGTTCTATACTGACTGGTTTGAGTGTTCTCAGCTTGTGTTGTGCCCATGACCACTTTGGTCAGAAAGGAATGTTTGTTTACCTTCAAAAAAATGGTGATTAGGGCTGGGTAGGGTGGCTCACACCTGTAATCCCAACACTGAGAAGTGAGGCAGGAGGATAGCTTGAGACCAGGAGTTTGAGACCCCATGTCCACACACACACACACACACACACACACACACACAAAATTAGCTGAGACATGGTGGTGTGGTGCGTACCTGTAGTCTCAGCTTCTCAGGAGGCTGAGGCAGGAGGGTGACTTAAGTCCTGGAGGTTGAGACGGCAGGGAGGAGTGATTGCAACACTGTACTCCAGGTAGCCAGGGCAACAGAGTGAAACCCTGTATCTCTCTGAAAAAAAAAAAAATTAATGTGATTATTGAAGCAGATATCATGATTCTAATTTTATTCACCTTAGAATATTTTGCAAAATCCAATAAAAGTCATGAAGACAAAATTGCCTTTTCTATCTCAGACTATGACATCCATACATAAGTTAAATTTTATTTTCCAACTGTTAAGTGGAATAACGTTTCTTCACTTCCAGTTCTTTAACAGTTTTATTAATATGTAACTGATATACAGTAAAGTGCATATATTTAAAGTGTACAGTGTGACATATTTTGACGTATGAGCACCATTAACACAATCAAGATAATGATGAACATAGCTCACCACCCACAAGGTTTCCCTTGCTCACTTTTGTACCTCTGTTACCAGGGGCAAATGACTTTCTGGGGGAACTCCACAGGAAAAAGGGAAGAAAGCCTCAGATGGGAATGCATACAACTTCCTAAACCTCTGTTACCAGTGGCAAATATCAGTGTTTATGGTGGCAAATCTGTAAGGGTCTGTAGCAGCGTCAGTTCTTGCCTCCTCAGAAGAAATAATTCAACTCATGGGCATAAGGCAGAAAAAGAGACCAAGGCAAGTTTCAGAGTAGGAGTAAAAGTTTATTTAGAAAGGCTTTAGAACAGGAAAGAAAGGAAAGTTCACTTGGAAGAGACTCAAGTAGGCACCTGAAGGCCAAGTGTGCTGTTTAACAGCGATCCTAAGACTTTTATAGGCTGGCCCCTTTCCCACGATTCTTTCCTTAGGGTGGGCTGCCCACGTGTGCAGTGCCCCTGCTACCCCTGGGAAGTGAGCACATGCAGTGTGTTTAGGAAGTTGTATGCATTCCCATCGGAGGCTTTCTTCCTTTTTCCTGTGGAGTTCCCCCAGAAAGTCATACTCTGCCATGTTGTCTCTTAATGGGCATGCCCAGGAAGTTGTTTCTCCCTGTTGCCTGCATTCAATTAACACTTCAGTGCAACAGGTGTGAACCATCAGGAAATGGCCTATCCCTGGTGCTGGCTGCCAACTTATCACTTTTAGTGAGGCATTGTGATAATTGCCAAGCCATCACCTGACATTCCTAGTGGGTGGGAGAGCCCTCTCCTGCTCTGCTCATGCCTGTATAACTACCTGGAACACCACCACATGGCCCTTCCCAGGCAACCAGCGTTCTACTCTCTCTTATGATAGAATAGTTTGTATTTTCTATAACAATTTAAACGACGTTATACAGTATGGATTTTGTTGTCTGGGTTTTGTCTGGGTTTTTTACTCAGCATAATTATTTTGAGATTCAGAATGTTGCCACATGTATGAGTAGTTCATTTCTTTGTATTGCTGAGTTGTGTTCCATTGTATGATATATATCAGTGTTTTTAGCATTCATCTGTTATGAGTTAACCTCTTGATGGACATTTGGGTTTTCCGTTTTGGGCTATTACAAATGAAACTATTATGAACATTAATGACAAGTCTTTAAGTGGACATAGGCTTTGTCTTGAGTTAATATGTAGGAGTAGGTGGCTGGATCATATGTCAGGCACATGTTTAATTCTGTAAGAAACTGTCAAACTGTTTTCCAAAGTGGTTACCATTTTACATTCCCACCAGCAGTGAATGAGAATTTCAGTTCCTCACATGTTTGGTAATACTTGATATGGTCAGCTTTAGTTTTTAATAAGAGTGCAGTTGTATTTCCTATGGTTTCCCATCCAGTTTAAAAGTAAATAAAAGGAAGGTTTTAAAAATTAATCCCTAATAGATTTTCATAAAATTCAAGTTGTAAAAAATTAAACAGAGAGCAACATTTAAAAAGATATGTGCAAATTTTTAAACAGTTTTAAAATTTATTAATATCCCTTTTCTTTGGAGCTAATTGTAGAGGGAAAGTTAGAAGGCTTATTTTTTTGAAAGTAATTTTGAAGGCTACATTGGATGACATATTCACTTAAAATCCAAGTGTTATAACAAATCAATCGTTTTACTTGACTGGTTTCGGATAACATCATGTCAAAACCCAAACACCTCCCGTTAGACCCCACCTCCAACATCAGGGATCAAATATGAACATGAGATTTGGAAAGGACAAACAAACCGTATCCAAATTATAGTAACTGTGTTCCTTAGTGAATATGAAACCAAGCCAAACCAAACCAAAACAAAAACTGATTCATAGTAACTTATTAAATTGTCCAAAGTCTGGACAATTAAATTGTCCAAAGAAAATTAGTGATTGAATTAGTGCTAAAATGTATGTTTCTTTACTTCTAAACTGATGTCATGCTACTTCTCATATGTTGATATATTGTATGCATTGTGCTGGATTTAATATGCAGTTGGGAAAATTTGAGTGTGTAATAAAAGGATACATAGCTCTTGTTTAAAGTGTGATGAAAAGTGCTTATGGTATTCAGTATGCAGAAGAGGAAACAAATCACTCAATTGGTGCATCTTTCAAGGTGTGGAAAAGACCCAGTCAAACATGTAACATGTTTGTATGATTAGAGGAAGGTCTCTTTCTTGCTAATATTAAGAAAATACTGTAAGAAGTTACTTCAAAAGGAATTTTGGGAAAATATGATAGCAAATTATATAAGAAGAAAAGATTGAAGGAAAGCAAACTAAGAATAAGTAAGAATTGCAAAAATGCTGTGTAGAGATGGGCTTGCAGGAAAAACAAGATATATGCATGTAAAAATAAATCACAAGAATAAGATGCCCAAGATATAAGAATCTATCACTCATAAGATTTCAGAATACAGAAGGGCGATGGTACAGAACCTGAGAAAAAGACAAAATAAACTTTTAGATCTCAAAGGGAAGGGGATATATAAATAATAGTTGAAAGGAAATCTTTGAAGGGCTAAACAAAATAATTTAAAAATGCAAGCTCCTAGAAATAGAAATTGTAGATTTCCTTTGAAAAGAGGAAAACTTACAGGGAAACAGATTTTCCATGAACCACTTGCATTTGTGACTTGTAATATCAGAGAAGCTAGATATATGTTTAATTTAGAAAACATTACAAAATACATGACATTTATGTTAGAAGATATATGATTGTAAGTATGATTAGGGGAGGGGATACAATGATTTTTATAATATTCCACTCCTTTTGAAGTGGTGGTTCCACCCAATTAATTAGCACTACTAGGTGATAATTCATTGACGTTACTTGTAATAATGGACCAAGTTTTATTTAAAAAACTAATAGAAATAAATATGAACTTAAATAAATAAAAACTTAAGAAAGAAGTAAAAGGTGTTGGATGTCAAAAAGATCAGACATATAATACAGTGGAGAAAGTCTGATAGTATGCATGTAAAGGATATTAGTGTTGCAGTGAGTAGATGCTAGGTGGTATCAACTCATGTCATGGAATGGATGATTTTTATAATTACTTCTATTTATAGTCCAAATTCAAAATAAGAGGAAGCAGAAAAACTGAAAAAAAAATTGACCTCCCTGTGTCATTGCTCTTTTAATTTTTTCATTTAAAAGGGAGTTTACTTTCAGTAATGGTTTAGTTTAGATTCAAACTGGGCCATGCTTTCTTAGTAACAGCTGAAGTGGCATGGTTGTTTTTTCTAATGTCAGTCCAAATGTTGCCATAAAAGGTCACATATATTATTATATCATATGAAGAGTCAATGTTAACTACTACCTTAGATACATTGTCATGGCTATTAATTCAGTCCTTTGAATTGTCAAGGATGTTGATAGTGTGTTCAGCTTTGATGCATTGTCGCACTCTCCATGCAGACGAGAGCTGAGTTTGCTGCTGATTGGTGCTGGTCCATCTCCATCACAAAGCACAGATTCATTCCCTTTGACTTTGCCTCTCATCCTTGTAATTAAGACTCCTTTGATTTTGTTTGGCAACTCACCATCTGTAGAAAAGGAGGGCAAGCACAGAAAGCTGGCGTTTTCACAATTTCACAGGGTCCTTGATTAAACTCCGTTTAATTCAGAGAATCTTAATCAAGGTAATTATCTGATGGAGGGTGTCTGCGTCTGTCCTCACCCCTCTTGTGGTTTCCTCCAACAGCTGGAAGGTGTTTTGAATGTGGCAGCTCTCCACAATGGGCCCACTGTGGAGGAGCACTGCGGGTATCAGCAGCTCTGTTTAGCATAGTCCTGAGTGTATGGCTATATTGATTTGTTTTTAAAACCTTCCAAATGTGTACAAAGCAGGCTGCTTATTTTGTGCCAAAAAACTAGATTAGCTAATTTGAGATAATGCAGAATTCAACCCTTTAATATATTTTTCAATAATTTTCCAAATTCTCACACCAAAGTGCATTAATTACTTACCTAGCACACTTTACTAATTTCTCGAAAATGCAAGAGGAATTTCAATCCAGAGGAAGACCAGGGGTCATACTCAATTCATACATCAGTCATTTTATGCCATTTCGGATTTACTAGATGCTAAACATATTAACTTTGTTAACTAGCCAACATTGGCAGAACATGTTGATCTCTGGCAAATTTAAAGTTCTGATAGTTAAAATTGTTTTAAGAACTAGTATTTATGCATAACTAATGAGCTTAGCATTTTGTTGTATTATATTGTTTTGTTCAAGAAGGTTCATCTGCAGTTTGGAGTACACAGATTTTCTTAAAAATAATCCAGGCATTTCCTTTTGATTTATACCTTATGAGTGAATCGATCCACCAGGGTAATTACATATCTTCCCTTTTTCATTTCTTTCTGTCAATGCCTTCAGTTAGTGGGTGTAGGAAAGATGAGAATCTGCACATGATGGCATTTCAGAATAGGAAGGCCTTGGAGAGCCTCCAATCCAGCATTTCTCACCCTCTGTTTTTGTTGTTTTTGTTTTGTCTGTGTATTTTTTTTAACTTGCTAAATTCTTCCATAGTGATATAAAATCTAATGAACAGTTATAGAAATTTCTAATTAATTTCAAGCTTTCAGTTTGGGCTATAAGAAGACATTATAAACCAAGTATTTTATTTCATATCAGGATAGTATTTAATGCAATAAAGTTAATTAAATGTAATATGCAGTCATACTTATAACAAAAAATGTCTTCAATTTGTTAAAGTATGTTAAATAAATATATAAGAAAAAGTATTATTGATGTCAAAGAAATTTAAATGAATATATTATAATTTTTGGTGTATAGACTATATATATATATATATATTTTTTTTTTACAAAACAGATAAAAACTGCTTTCATGACTTGATGTTTGGAATGTTTTAGATTATACCTTCAAATCAACACTTTAAAAAACACATAACTTCCATATGTTATCTTAGATAATGAAATCATACCAGATTCTATTTGTAAGCATTTTGTCTGTAACACTGTATTGACAGTGTGAATAAGTTTGAATTCTGACTTCTGGTTTTATTTCTCACGTTACTTCTTCTTCTTCTTTTTTTTTTTTTCCTGAGATGGAGTCTCGCTCTGTCACCCAGGCTGGAGTGCAGTGGCATGATCTCCGCTCACTGCAACCTCCACCTCCTAGGTTCAAGCGATTCTCCTGCCTCAGCCTCCTGAGTAGCTGGGACTACAGGCTTGCACCACCACTCCTGGCTCATTTTTGTATTTTTACTAGAGACGGGGTTTCACCATATTGGCCAGGCTGGTTTCGAACTCCTGACTTTGTGATCCACCCACATCTGCCTCCCTAAGTGCTGGGATTACACGTGTGAGCTACCACACTCAGCCTCTAATGTTACTTCTTATACTAAAAGTCTAATAGCCACACTTGGACCCACCAACCACTCCTGTGGCCCCACCCAGAAGTGACTTAGCTTGCAAGAGGACCTTTTCCCACACCCCTGTGATTGTACCGTCTACCAGTCAGCAGCAAGCACCCCTTGCCTAGCCACCCCTCCTCTCATCTCCTAAACTTTGTTTGAAAAACCCTAGCCTCCAAGTTCTTGGGGAGGCTAATTTGAATAATAATAAAACTCCAATCTCCCATTTAGCTGGCCCTATTTGTGTAAAACTCTTTCACAATTGTAATTCCCCTGCCTTGATAAATGAGCTCTCTTTGGGGAGTGGGCAAGAATAACCCATTGGGCAATTGATTATCTGTGCAAAATCTCTCCAAAATCTTTTTCTGATTTGATTTGCTTCAAAAGTCTACTAGATAGCTTTCTGTCATCACTGACTATAAGAAATGGTTATGTTAGTTAATATCCTTTGCTTCAATGTATTGCTCCATGTCATCACATGGTTGTGAAAATTAAATAAGGTGACATTTGGAAAGTGCCTACCACGATGTCTGGCCCAAGTATCAAATAAAAATATTAGATTTCTGTCTTCCTCCTGTTATTGTCTTTTTCATTCACTGTTATGTTTAAAAATCTTCTTAAAACTGTCTGACTTTTATATCTTCCAATTCCTTTGTATGGCTTTTGATTTCTCTATTACTATCCCATAGTCCATCCCTGGAGGGTGCTAATTATTTCCCCCAGCACCTCAAAAATCTGGCCTCTATGAGCAGTCCAATGGTGACTGTAAAACTCACTTTCTCTGTACGCAGTGCAATGTTCAGAATACTTTAAAGGCCAGCGTGTTCTTTTGTCAAATAATAAAGAAACTGCAATTCAGAAGTTGATTTTTATGTGTTCCAAACCAACAATTCCTCAAGTGTCCAACTGTTTAACTTGGCTTTTTTCCTTTTCCACTACAGGGGGTAATGGTAATGTTTGGGGAACTCAACATGACTATATAAGTCTGTTAATGGAATAAGGGGAACTTTAGTCAGAAAGCCAATGGGATGGATTTTTTTTTCTTTGCTGTTAAAAGGCATACATTATGTGATTACTTAAAAATAAACCAGGACACTCTATTCTGGATAGTTTTTATTATGACTATATTTAACAATATAAAAACCAAAACCCTGTTCATATTACAAATTACTAGAAAGACTTTTTTTTTATTTTAATGGTGGTTTCAGAGAGGATATTTTTTCTTCTCATATTTTTGAATTTTCAAATTTTCTATAATCGAGCATGCATTACTTTTGTACTAGAAACATTGTATAAAAATTAAAAATAAGAAAATAGTATCACCAATGACTTATATTTGGGCACATATGTGTGCACAATGAGATGAGGTACCACTCATTAAAAATAGTGAGGGGGGTACTTTGTAGATTGAAGGTAGATGAACTTTGGTGCCAATGTCAGCAGTTTTTTTACAGACTTCTCACAAATCTATGAGGCATGCAGTGATAATTCTTAGTACAAGCAATTAAGGTTATTTCAGCAAACAGCTGTCTCACAAACACTTCCAAGATTCCTTTGAAGGTTGAGGAATGTTGATCAAAGCAAACTCTCTTGTGAAGCTTCAGAGACATTTCAGCAGGACGTTAAAACAAAATGTGGAAACCGATATCAACTTAGCTCTCCATCCTGATGTGGTTTATCCTATTGGCACAAAGCTTCTGATATTATCTGTGCACAAGGGTCTAGATGTAATACATTGCTATTGTCATAGCAAATTCAGCAAAATACCTATCAGTGTATGGTCCACAAATGCTTAGAAAGGAAAGCATCGCATTTACTATGATTAACTTCTCTTTGCTGGGGAAAAATAGAACTCACAATCTTCAAGATGGCTGCATTTGAAATAGCCTTTCCTCAGGAGAGGGCTAAAGACAGATCATACAATAACAGTATACAATTATTTTGGCTGTTTATGAGTTTTGCACACAGGAAAACACAGGAAACTTCAGATTACCCATCTCCTATCTTGGCCCCTGCCCCTGAAGAAAAAAGACCACTCAGTCTGTGCCAAATGGTAGGATTCAACAAGACAGAAAGACATTGATTTTGGAAGACAAAATCTTAAAATTCCAAAATGAAGAGATAGCACGTGTAAAAACCATTTTCTTACCCATATTCCACTGGAAATATACAGCCTATTCAGTATGATATTGGCTGTGGGTTTGTCATAAATAGCTGTTATTATTTTGAGATATGTTCCATCGATACCTAGTTTGTTAAGAGTTTTTACCATGAAAGGCTGTTGAATTTTGTCGAAGACTTTTCTGCATCTGTTGAGATAATCATGTGGTTTTTGTCATTGGTTCTGTTTAAGAGATGGATTACATTTATTGATTTGCGTATGTTGAACCAGCCTTGCATCCCAGGGATAAAGCCATCTTGATCGTGGTGGATAAGCTTTTTGATGTGCTGCTGGATTTGGTTGACCAGTAGTTTATTGAGGATTTTCGCATCCATGTTCATCAGGGATATTGGCCTAAAATTCTCTTTTTTTGTTGTGTCTCTGCCAGTCTTTGGTATCAGGATGATGCTGGCCTTATAAAATGAGTTAGGGAGGATTCCCTCTTTAGTTTCAGAAGGAGTGGTACCAGCTCCTCTTTGTACCTGTGGTAGAATTCGGCTGTGAATCCTTCTGGTCCTGGACTTTTTTTTTGATTGGTAGGCTATTAATTATTGCCTGAATTTCAGAACATGTTATTGGTCTATTAAGAGACTCAACTTCGGCCGGGCGCGGTGGCTCACGCCTGTAATCCCAGCACTTTGGGAGGCCGAGGCGGGTGGATCATGAGGTCAGGAGATCGAGACCATCCTGGCTAACAAGGTGAAACCCCGTCTCTACTAAAAATACAAAAAATTAGCCGGGCGCGGTGGCGGGCGCCTGTAGTCCCAGCTACTCGGGAGGCTGAGGCAGGAGAATGGCGTGAACCCGGGAAGCGGAGCTTGCAGTGAGCCGAGATTGCGCCACTGCAGTCCGCAGTCCGGCCTGGGCGACAGAGCGAGACTCCGTCTCAAAAAAAAAAAAAAAAAAAAAAAGAGACTCAACTTCCTCCTGGTTTAGTCTTGGGAGGGTATATGTGTCCAGGAATTTATCCATTTCTTTTAGATTTCTAGTTTATTTGCGTAGAGGTGTTTATAGTATTCTTTGATAGTAGTTTGTATTTCTGTGGGATCGGTGGTGATATCCCCTTTATCATTTTTTATTGCGTCTATTTGATTCTTCTCTCTTTTCTTCTTTATTAGTCTTGCTAGCGGTCTGTCAATTTTGTTGATCTTTTCAAAAAAACAGCTGCTGAATTCATGGATTTTTTTGAAGGTTTTTTGTGTCTCTGTGTCCTTCAGATCTGCTCTGATCTTAGTTATTTCTTGCCTGCTGTTAGCTTTTGAATTTGTTTGCTCTTGCTTCTCTAGCTCTTTTAATTGTGATGTTAGGGTGTCTATTTTAGATCTTTCCTGCTTTCTCCTGCGGGCATTTAGTGCTATAAATTTCCCACTACACACTGCTTTGAATGTGTCCCAGAGATTCTGGTATGTTGTGTCTTTGTTCTCACTGGTTTCAGAGAATATCTTTATTTCTGCCTTCATTTCTTTTTTTTCTTTTCTTTTCTTTTTTTTTTTTTTGAGATGGAATCTTGCCCTGTTACCCAGGTTGGAGTGCAATGGTGCAATCTCTGCTCACTGCAAGCTCCGCCTCCCAGGTTCACACCATTCTCCTGCCTCAGCCTCCTGAGTGGCTGGGACTACAGGCACCCGCCACCATGCCCGGCTAAATTTTTGTATTTTTAGTAGAGACGGGGTTTCACTGTGTTAGCCAGGATGGTCTCGATCTCCTGACCTCGTTATCCGCCTGCCTCAGCCTCCCAAAGTGCTGGGATTGCAGGAGTGAGCCACCGCGCCCAGCCTCTGCCTTCATTTCTTTACTACAAGGCTACAGTAACCAAAACAGCATGGTACTGGTACCAAAACAGATATATAGACCAATGGAACAGAATGGAGGCCTCAGAAATAACACCACACATCTTCCACCATCTGATCTTTGGCAAACATGACACATACAAGCAATGGGGAAAAGATTCCCTATTTAATAAATGGTGTTGGGAAAATTGGCTAGCCATATGCAGAAAACTGAAATTGGACCCGTTGCTTACACCTTATACAAAAATCAACTCAAGATGGATCAAAGACTTAATCATAAGACCAAGGACCATAAAAATCCTAGAAGAAAACCTGGGCAATACCATACAGGACATAGCCATGGGCAAAGACTTCATGACTAAAACACCAAAAGCAACGGCAACAAAAGCCAAAATTGACAAATGGGATGTAATTAAACTAAAGAAGTGCACAGTAAAAGAAACTATCATCACAGTGAACAGGGAACCTACAGAATGGGAGAACATTTTTGCAATCTATCCATCTGACAAAGGGCTAATATCCAGAATCTACAAAGAACTTAAATTTACAAGAAAAAAGTAAACAACCCCATCAAAATATGGGCAAAGGAAATGAACAGACACTTCTCAAATGAAGACATTTGTGCAGCCAACAGACATGAAAAAATGCTCATCATCACTGGTCATTAGAGAAATGCAAATCAAAACCACAATGAGATACCATCTCACGCCAGTTAGAATGGTGATCATTAAAGAGTCAGGAAACAACAGATGCTGGAGAGGTTGTGGAAAAATAGGAATGCTTTTACACTGTTGGGAGTGTAAATTAGTTCAACCATTGTGGAAGGCAGTGTGGTGATTTCTCGAGGATCTAGAACTAGAACTACCGTTTGACCCAGCAATCCCATTACTGGGCATATACCCAAAGGATTACAAATCGTTCTACGATAAAGACACATGCAGACGTATGTTTATTGCAACACTATTCACAATAGCAAAGACTTGGAACCAACGCAATTGTCCATCAATGATAGACTGGATGCAGAAAATGTGGCACATATACTCCATGGAATACTATGCAGCCATAAAAAAGGGTGAGTTCATGTCCTTTTCAGGGACATGGGTGAAGCTGGAAACCATCGTTGTCAGCAAATTATCACAAGATCAGAAAACCAAACACCACATATTCTCACTCATAAGTGGGAGCTGAAAAACGAGAACACATGGACACAGGGAGGGGAACATCACACTCCAGGGCCTGGAGTAGGTGGTGGGGGCTAGGGGAGGGATAACATTAGGAGAAATACCTAATGTAGGTGACGGGTTGATGGGTACAGCAAACCACCATGGCACGTGTATACCTATGTGACAAACCTGCACGTTCTGTAGATGTAACCCAGAACTTAAAGTATAATTTTAAAAAGTCAGAACATTTCAAAACAACCAGGAACATGGAATGTATCTGAAGAAAGAACAATCAAAAACTTTAATGAGTTATTTCAAGACCTATATAATACATGTTTAGTTTTAAAATTCTAATTTTTGTTACCTATATAATACGTGTTTAGTTTTAAAACTATAATTTTTCTTACCTCCACTCTCACCATATAATTATGTATTTGGACATAAAGATTAACTTAAAGGCTTCACTAAAAGAGTAAAATACTGATTATTCTATAATGGATGTACTTAGCATACTTACAAAATACAGGTTGAGAAGGGAAACCACACCTGCACTCACTCTCTATGTCTCTGCCTCTCTGTCTCACACACAGTCACCTGAATATTTACATGTACCAGAGAACTCACTCATCTATCTGACCATCCTTCTTTTTCTTTCCTCTTTACCCTGCAATATGTGAGAATAGAATCAGAAGGCTGAAAAAGGCTCTGTTTTAGGAGTGTTGCTTTTCTACATATTTCTCAAAGGAAATTGAACATTATCTCAACCACCACTAAGGTAACATAAATTTTGAAACTGAGGGGAGTACAAGTGTATTGTTGTGGCTTGTTATACCTCATGATCTAGAATAATATGGTCATGTCCAAGTGATGTAGTGAAATCTAGTCTATGTTAACTGGAGAAGTTGCACAAGATAGAAGAAATCCTTGGAACCTGGGTGGTCTCTGTCAATAGATAATTTGTACACTGAGGTAAGAAACTGCATTAAAGGTTGAGTTTTCCTTAGTGCTCATGTCTGGTAACCACTATACATTGATGTTTTCTGATCATAACTGTGAAAGTCAAGGCATTTCTTGATTTTACCTCAAGTCTTATTTCCAGGTGTCATACTCAACCCTTTATTCTTTTCCATTAGCGAGCTCTAGAGGCTGCCCCAAAGCTACCATTGCACTTTCTTGCTTCTGATTTTTGTCTGTTTGTTTAGTGTTCACTCTGCTTGGAATGCTGATTTTATCTTGGCTGAAAAACCGGGAGCAATTTCTAGCATCCCCAGTGAAAAGCGCACAATATGGAATTATTTATATTTGTTTTGTTCACGGACCTTGATCATGCCGTTATTATAACACATAATATATACTGATTTTTCTTATGTTGAGTTCCATATATCACTAAACCATGGGCTTTTTGAGAGCCAGAACCATTTATAACTGGCACAAATTTTTTTAAAAATGGGCCTTGGAGTCGCCTGAACCAGAGGTGATACTGAGTTTTGCAACTTAGATGCTGTATAAACTGGAGCAAAATTCTGAACTTCTCTGAGCCTCAACTTCCCAACTTGCGTGTCAGGTATTTATCTTATATGGTTGTGATAAAAGTTAAACATTATTGTGGATTTAAACACTTAGGACATTGGCTGTCACATAGAAGATCTTTAATATGCTATTATATCTTCCACTCTAAAATGCCTAGCATAAGATGATGAGCATATTGAATCTTCAATAAAAGTTTATTGATTGTTGAATTAACAAACTAAGAAATGAATGAAAATGTCCTCTTTCAAAGAGTTAAGTTTCTTAGTGTATTTTTTAATGTGTGAAAACTAAGGGTATGTAACAAAAAAAGTTAGTTGTGTGCAACAAATAAGTCTGCTGAAGCATTCACAAACCAACTGGGGAGCACGGTAATTGGTGACCTGGGTGAATTTTCTCCTGAAGGCAGTTCCCTGTAAGAACAAGGAAATGCAAAGATATGCAAAGAGTATCATCCAGCTGAGACAAGCTTATTAGTGCTCTCATCGACTCTACCAGGAGGCCCCACCTGCTAAATTTCTGCCTGGGAACCCTCAGGAGCCCAGATGGCCTCAGATGCACAATAACAGCCAATGCACAGAGTAAATCAGGTCATCAGCCTGGGAATGTCCGTTGTTCAACCAGCCTGTCCTGATTTGGGCTGTGGTGCCACATGTATGAGTAAGAAAGGAAAATCTTGGCTTTACATATGAAGAAAAAAGATTTGTTTATGTTACATGTCATGAAAAGATATCTTTACAATTATTCAAGATATCCTAAAGATTGAAAGTAAACTAAAACAGGAATGATCTACCCAAGTAAAACTTAATTGCCCACAGATAAAGGAAGATCTTTGAAAATATTCTTGTTTATTATTCTTACCTTAACTATAAAAGTATTCATATACTTTATTATAATTAAAATAAGTACCTATGGTATTCCTCAAGCTGGGCATGGTGCTCTATCGTTAAAATTAGATAATAAGAGTTCCCCCTTAGTTTACAGTAGAGAAAACACAATAATTTAATCATAAAATGAAATACACATATTAGCTGGGAGCTCCCTTCCTCTCAATATTTAGAAAACATTATTTTAACCACTGTTCTATAGCTTGAAAGTCCAAAACCTGACCCAAGATTTCTTGAGCCTACCTGGGCTTCTGATCTGCTGATCACCTCTATTTCTGCTCCCACAGCCCCACCCCATGAAATCTCTGTTCTGTACAACATTCAACATTAACCCAGATGTGAAACTCTGCCCTGTCACTGATTTTTACAAGATTGCTGATTTGGGGAGTCATCAGGAGAGGCCACAATGTGCACTGCTCAGCAAAATAATGTCTCATTTTGATAATGACAGGAAGCAGCCAAATGCTTAGGCAGATAGAGGCAGGTACCCAGTGAAATCCCACCTCCAAGGGGAAGAGAGTTTAAAGCCTGAAATCCAAGCTACAGGTTAAATAATCCTCAGACCGGGTTGAGAACTTGTCTTCCTGTTAGGCACGCTTCCCTGTGATTGATCCCCACCCTTCACCTGTTTTACTTATACCTACCCTTTCCTAATTGGTTTTCTACAATGTTGTGCCCACCTTTGAGTGGTGTCTTTGCTTTAACACTTTTTGTATACTCACAAAGCAATCAGCAGTCACTCCCCATCCTGTGCCTAGACTTAGCTGGCAGAGGAGGAGACAACCAGCCCTTCCCATCCCCTCCCCAGCTCCCCTCTCCACTGAGAGCCATTTTCATTACTCAATAAAGTTCTCTGCCTTCTCCATCTATGTGACCTCACTCTTCTTGGACACTGACTAGAGCTCGGGACCCACCGAGTGTGGGTACCCAGAAAGGCCATCACATCAGCCCTTTGCCCTCGCCAGTGGAGGGCAGCCACCCCATGCAACGAGGCAAGGGGCCAACTGAGCTGCTTACACACTGCTGTCTGCAGACGGTGGATCTAAAGGAGCACTGTCACATCCCCTCCGAGACTTCAGGGTCATAGGTACATTCACCTGGGTGCCGCCGCATTCCCCTCGAGGTGACACACCTAGCCTTGCCATGGCCCTGCCTGGAACTGGCTCCTGAGTTGGCGCCGGGAGCTTCTGGCTGGATCCTGCAGTCAATTCCTGCAAGGGAGTTCTCCTTCCCGCAATGGGGTTGAGCAGGCGGAGTAGAAGGGTTGCCCCTGCTGTGAATCTGGCAAAGGGGCCAAGAAAAGTCCTGCATCTATTTCATATTAAACACTTTTCTACAGTCATTCTGCCACTAAAAATAGAGACCTTACCTCATCATCCTCCAGCTTTTTGGCATCTCTGGTTCCCTTTTTCTCTTCTCACTTCACCCACTCCCACATTTTCTTTTTCAGTCAACCAGCCAACCAACCAACCACCGACAGCAAACACCTGCAAAACTGTTCTTATGTTATCAGATAAAGGAGCATTGTATGCTGATGAATATTTGGACTGAGGAGTTGGTTCAAATCCCAGCTTTGCCACTTACACCTGCAGTACTTTGGTTAAGTCACTTAACCTCCCTATACTTCAGTTTTATGATCTAGAAAATGAAGGATTATAGAATTCATGCCACATAAAGTAGTTATGATAATTAACTTTGTTAATATGGATAAGCACTTGCTTTGTATAGAGTAAGCAAAAAAAAAAAATGCCTTTTATTGTTGTTTCTTGGACTCTATCAGTGTGTCACTTTCAATCTCCAATGACTTACCACGATTGTTTCCAGAAAAACACCTTTTGCTTTCTAAGAGAAATTCTGGTGCCAGATGCTCAGGGAATACTGGTTTTATATTATTAAAAATGTTTTCATCCTAGAAATGATTTGTAGAATGTTGACGTCTGCTATTATTATCTGCTATCAAGTGCTAAAATACTGCAATAAACAAGGAAAAGATATTTAGAGATAGGCTGGGAACCAACCTTAATACTATGAAATGTTAAATTTATGGAACATGATCTCATAGAACTTAATGACTAGAAGATGAATATTGCATAATTTCATTCTAAAAAGTTTATTAAAGGAACAGGGCTTTTGAAGTTCAAAGGCATTATCAGAAAAAATAATTTCTCTTGGACTGTGGCACATAAACATTAAAACCTAAAACAGCAAGTTTTTCTTGTGGTGCTGAAATAAAATTGTTTATAACTCCAACAGGGCCTTGGACAATAGGACGTAGGGGACAATAAACCAAGACATACATCATTTAAACTTGCCTGAATGTTAGTGTTTCTTGAAATGAAATGATAAGCACAAATATTTAAGGTCATCTCCTGGGTACAGGAATAACATGTGAACAGTAGCTCCCAGGACATTTTAAAATAAAATCTAAAGTCAAAGGAGATGCTCTTTAAAGTAACGGAGAGGTGTGGGAAGGGAAAAGACTGATTAACAAAGATTAGTGCCAAATTAATTTAAGGAACAAGACAAATTAAACTGAGAATGCAGACTTCTAGTTGCTCCAAATGACCATCAACACCACCCAGCACCTTGTTAGGAATACAAATTATGGGGGTCCTCACCCTGGCTGTGAACTCAGTCGTAATCAGAATCTTTGTAGGCTGGCCCCAGGAATCTGTGTTTTAATAAGATTCCCAGGTGATTCTTATACTTGCTCAGTTTGAGAAGCACTATGGAATGTGCATTTCTGAGTTATGCACGTCCTTTAAAATAACTGCGATACACACATACACACATACAAGAGACTGTCATTCAGTCTTTAAAAAAAGAAGGAAGTTTTGTTATATTTGAGACATATATAAACTTGGAGGACATTGCGCTAAAGAAAATAAGCAAGTCGCAGAAAAACAAATGCTGAATTATCTCATTCTCATGTGGAATCTAAATAAGTTGAACATACAGAAGAGTGAATAGAAGGGTCGATACCAGGGAATCGAGGGGTGGGGGAAATGGGAGAAGATGTTGGCCTAAGAGTACAAAATTGCAGTTATAAGATGCATAAGTTCTGGAGACCTAATGTATAGTATGGTGACTATAGTTAATAATAATGTATACTTGAAATTTGCTAACAGTAAATCTTTTTATTTATATTTATTTATTTATTTTTGAGATGGAGTCTTGCTCTGTTGCCCAGGCTGGAGTGCAGTGGCGCAATCTTGGTTCACTGTAACCTCCACCTCCCAGGTTCAAGCGATTCTCCTGCCTCAGCCTCCCAAGTAGCTGGGATTACAGGCGCTTGCCACCATGCCCGGCTAGTCTTAAGTATATGGATATGTTAATTAGCTTGACTGTGGAAATCATTTTACAATGTATACATATATCAAAACATCACTTTATGCACATTGAATAATGTTTGTCAATTATGCCTCAATAAAGGTAAATTTTTTTTAAAAAAAGTAATTTCAGTGGAGTTCTAAGATTGGTTAAATTATTAACAGATATAAATACATTGCTGTCAAATTTAACATTATATATTGGAAGAAGCCCTGACTAATTGAATATCAGTTTCTCTAAAACAGTGTTATGGCCTCTTTATTTATCTGTAACATTTCTGGGAAGTCTATGTGGTTTTGATATATAAAAGGACTGAGAAGAGAGGGTCATTTTATCAAGGCTTCTATAGATGCTGGTCTTAATCCAGGTAGACAGTATTGGGTGATTTGTTAGGTCAATGATAGCCCATTAAGGGCTAATATGGCATGTGAGCATGTAACATGCAAACAGATAGAAATATTTCTATATATTTACTGATAAAAACAAGAGTATAACAAAAACAAGAGTTTCAAAGTTTGTTTTTAATGAGGATCTAAGTTTGAATAAAAAGATATAGGAGTAATTATTTATTTTAAAAAGAAAATGTAACCAAAATAAATAATTTGGGAGATGTGAATGTTTAGCGTTTAAGTGCTAAATTAATGAATGTATGCATTCATAAATATCATTAATTCACTTGTAATAAAATACTATGGGTAATTGATTTCAAATTTAAAAGCTAAACAAATACAGTCACGTACTAATATTTTCTATTTCTCTGCAAATTTGGTTACACATTTGATCTCTAATAAATCTGAATTAGTGGCTGTAATTATAATTATTTAGATTATTAGATTTTTCTTTGGAATACAACCTTAAAATATTGTCAATCATTCTCATCATAAGATATACAAATGTAATATCACCTAATTTTCCTAGAAATGTGAGATTATTAAAAATGGAATATAAACAGAGGAAAAAAAGAGCTTGGTAGGCAGAAATATCTTGAGTTATTAATAAATCATTTAAAAATATTTTAGAAACATAGAGGGTTACTGCAGTCTCCCAGGTTCCAGAGATCATGCATGGTATTTTTCATGCAACATAAATACTATGTGAAAAAATACCATGCATGGTATATAATATATTTTGCATGAAATATAATGAAAGCTGGTTTAGATCTAATCATATAACTGAAGCAATGTAACAATTTCATCAACATTTTATTTTTTTAAAGAATGCTGTATTACTAATAGCACTGTCTTACTATAAGTAAATATAAATGATGTGCACCAATGAAGGAAATAAACCTGTTCTGTCATCACCCTACACATTAAAAAATAATTTATAGGCCTGACATGGTGGTTCAAGCCTGTAATACCAGCACTTTGAGAGGTGGAGGCAGAAGAATTTCTTGATCCCAGGAGTTCAAAACCAGCCTGGGCAACATAGGGACCCAATCGCTACAAAAAACTAATTAAAAAAAAAAATTAGCCTGTCATGGTGATGCGTGCCTGTGGCTCCAGCTACTCAAAAGGGCAAAGTGGGAGGATCGCTTAAATCCAGGAGGTCAAGTCTGCAGTGAGACACGATTGCACCACTGTACTCCAGCCTGGTTGACAGAGCCAAACTCTGTCTCAAAAAAAGAAACAAACAAAAAAGTTTGTATTAATAGAAAACTACTTTTCAGTTTTGAGAAAATTCATTGACGTATTTTCAGCTATATTTTGCAATTCAAAAAGTTTACTTTTCTCTTTCTCATTTAAAAAGTATACAATTTTAAAAATAAACCACAGTGTTAATATAATTGTAAGCAATGTAAGTGAGGAAAAACTCAAATTATATATGTTTATATAAAAGGAAAAAAGAGATAAGGAGACAAAATTGGGGTCAAAAAAGACATGATCTTTTCAATAAAACTATTAATTATAATTGAATTTAACACATAAAATAGAAATTGGAAATTGATCAAGGATACTTGTTTTCTTATTAGAGGTAGTAGTTCCTTTAAAAATTCCTCCAATGTTAAATGAAAGCTGACTTAAAATTTTTGAAACAGTGGTTATTATTTTGAACCATATGCTTCAAATTTGGGGTGGTAAATACTGAATCTTCATTATAAAAGATGATAAACAGATTTAAATGTATTTATTGTGTCTTAATCTGTTGTAGTTTATTCTTTCTATTGATTCCATAATTGTCCCAACTTTGGTCAGTGGGAATTTCTGAGCTGGCTCTTGTGTCCTTTGGGTATTACCCAGTAGTTTTTAATAATCCAACTTACTTGTTTTCTCATATGACAAGATCTTCTGCCCTGCCTGGACCTCACATCAGCCACTTCTGCCCTAAGAGTTGCCCTGCTTCCTTTTAATGGTGAATGTTGTTTAGAGACCATAACTGTGGTCTGCTGTTGCTGTGCACAATTATTTTTTATTTTTGGTATTTATTTAAATATTCAAAGAGGAATTGTTGAATGAGTATTTATTTAGAATTGGTACTGATTTTATATTCCTTGCTCATATGCAAACTAGTCATTGTCTTTCTTCCAGAAATCCTAACTTTATAAGAAAGAAATAAGGTATTTGTATTGTTTTTACTAATATTTCTTTTTCTGCTTGCAAGATTAAATATTTTGTTGGGGTTTATCAATTGTTTATATTCTTTTGTTAATGGCCTGTTCATACTCTTTGTTTACTTAATTCTTTCTTCATGTAAAAATAGCACCATTTGTGTCTCATAAATTTTTGTTTTTTTGGGTTTTTTTTTTTTTTTTTTTTTTCGAGACAGAGTCTCTCTCTGTTGCCCAGGCTGAAGTGCAGTGGTGTGATCTGGGCTCACTGCAACCTCCACCTCCCAGAATCAAGTGATCCTCCTGCCTTGGCCTCCAAAAGTTCTGGGATTACAGGTGTAAACCACTGCACCTGGCCTCATAAATGTTTTTAAAATGAAGTCTAATATGTTGGATCAGCATTCTGTAGTTCTAAGACTCATATTTCTACTGAATATTATTTATTAAATAAATATTTATTGAATACCTATTCTGTGCCACACAACAAATATTTATTGATTGTTTACTTGGTGCTGGTGATACAGAAGAGAATAAGTCAGGAAATAGGTGCCATTCCCATCGAGATAGAATTCTAATAGGAATATTAAAATTTTTATTTTCTCAGAAAATCTTGCATAAGAATGAATTTGTCATATATAATTTTAAAAATAGATAAGAAAAAATCTTCCACTTTGGTTAATGTTTGTCTTATTTCTATTTAGTTTATACCTAAATCATAACATATGTGATTGAAGTGCTTAATATTTTTCAATTGCTTACAACTAGTGCCTTAAATTTAAGTGTTGGGAGTTCATTCTTTGAGTGAAATAGTGCTTCCTGTTTTGAAAATACACATTAAATAGGTTTAGTTATTAGTATAAAAATATTATTACATAATTGTTATGGTGACAATAATAAATATTACTATGCATTGCCATATATACATGCTATTCCATTTTATAATTAATATTTAATAATTCTGAATATAATTGAAACTTACAGTAGTTAACACTGACAGAACTACAACATAGGATGAAGTAACATTTCTTGTAAAAATGCTTGGCTTGCTTAATCTAAAAATTCAAGAAATGAAATTAGAAAGGCATCTTTAGGTTTCTATTAAATATACGCGTTAGGTATATCCTTGGATGGTTCTGACTTTTAATCTCCTATTACATTGTTTCCAAAATTACATTCAGAATTATAAAAAAAATTTAGGTATAAAATATTAGGATTACATAGTTTCAATTAGCTAGGAGGATATTGAATGTTCCCAACACAAATAAATAATAAATAATTGAGATGATGGTTATGCCAATTACTCTGACCTGTTCACTATGCATTATATGTATTGTAACATCACTATGAACTCCATAAATATGTACAATTATTAAGTGTCAGTTAAACAAAATTAAAGTATTATTTATAATACTAATAACTTCTAAACAGAAATCATTAAGTGGCTACTTTGGCAATTACAAATATTAATAGTTTAAAATGGATGCTTAAAAAAGTAAGGTCTAAGATGTTGAACAGGTGCAAAGCTTTAATGAAATCATGCAATTTATTATATTGTTTTAGACTATCAGTTACAGGGAAATTGGCTTTATGTACTTCTGTAATAAATGGATTAATAGTAAAAATATTTTTTAAAAGAAAAGCATATAATGGTTGTATAGAGACCTGGACTGGAAAGGAGAATGCTCAGAAGTTTTGCAAAAAATATTTGTTCCTCACCCCCACCATCGGCTGACCACCATGTATTACATTGAGATGTGTGTAAAAGGATCATTTTCACTTTCAAATGGGTATTAAACTGCATAAATTTGTAGGAAGTTGATATCAATGTATGATAGAAGCTAGGTGCACATTGAAAACATATAAAATGATCCCCATCATTTAGGTAGTACAGATCATTCATTTGGTTTTACTATTTGATCATTTATTTGGTTTAACTGTTGATTCAATAATATGCAAGTTGAATTTATGCTTGAGCCAAAAACATCTTCAAATCCTCCTAGAAGTGATGGAAACACTAAATATGACCCATTGTCATGTAAAAATCTGCAATGCTATAAACTAAAATGACAGAATGGGATTATCATAAATATTGAGTTTTTACTACTTTCTGTGCAGTCATCAATTAAGATCTAGTCTCATATGTGAGATTGCACAAATCCATTGTTTATAGTAAAAGATAAGTGATGCTTTCTTCCTCAAATCTTCAGGCTAAAGAAAAATGTGTTTTTAAAGGTGTTTTCTTAATGTTGTGCAGCTGGCTCAGGGATTTTGCTGCTTGCAGTGTTGCTTTTAATGCTATTTCCCACTACCCACCCAGTAAAAGTACATCATTTCTATATTAAAAAGAAAGAATATAAAATTGTAACTTATTTTTTAAAAGTTGCCCAAAGCTTTTAACAAAGGCTTACACTATCTGATACAGAAAAAAGACAACAAACTGTCAAAGGGGAAAGAAATACAGATAAAGCAAGTATTAACTATGTTTATAATGCCTTACTTACAGTGGTATTATCAAACATAGCAAGTAAAAACACTAACTGGCAGTATTTGAGTCATCACTAGAGGAGACTTAGGAGAAAAGGAATTGGATCTCTGGATTACAATTCGTAGACTATTGCAACTGCACAGGCAAATGATGATAAGAAACAGAGAAACAGCAGTTGTATTAAGAAAAGAAGATGATACTGCCATATATCAGCAGGCTCATACTAATAGTAAAAGTATTGAAATCTTTCCATAGTCTTTGCTGAATCATTATTTTCTCAAGATTCCCACTCTTATAAACAGTCCATTCCCTGAAAGCTCTAGATTTACCTATGGCAAAGCTGTAGGGGTCAAGGAATCTTTAGCAAAGGGCATTCTTGATCCTGCCCTAGCACTACAGCTGCCATCTGTGTTAATACATTGGTGCCTGCCAACCAGGTTGTAAAATATTCTTAATATTGTTCTTGTGGGGTTAACACATTTTTGCAGGAACTGAGGAAAAAATAGAAGGTAATGTTTTTCACACGTTTTTGAGCAATTGGGTGGATTTTGCTCAAAAAGGGAAATATGAGAAGGGGTAGTTTTGGACAGTGGGAAGGAGAGATACTGAGTTTAATTTTTGTTATGTTGAATTTGAATTACCCATGGTGATATATAGAATAATCAGTTGTGAATACAGACCTCGAGTTCAGAAGAGATGTAAGACTAGGATAACATATTTGAATAGCACCAGTGTATAGATGATTGTTAAAGTTATAGATGGGGAGAAAGTAACCTAAGTAAGGTGAGATCTTAAAATGAAAAGAGGAGTGAGTGAAGGAAAAATGTAGTTATAGAATGAAAACAGCTTTAAGGGAATGGTCCTTGGTAAATACCTAGACATTCTAAAATGTCTCACTTTTTTTGGTGTCCTTATTCTGCATATATATACAAATAAGTTTCATTCTTAACTGACTTGTTTTATTAAAAATTATGAAAATCTAGTCAATTGGTTATAATGGCCACAAGAAAGTAAATATTTACCACACACCAGAGATTGTCTTAAGTTTAATATTTATAACAGTCTCTTAAAGTAATTGTTAGTGCCTCCACTTTAATTCTAAGGAAACAAAGTCTCAGAGGAATTATGCCACTTGATAATGATCTCACCATCAGTAAAATTGGAACTAGTATTAGAAGTCAGGATTATCTAAATTCAAAGACAATATTCATAAACTCTATTCAACAGTGGTTTGTAGAAAATTAACACCAACTTTGTCCAATTCAAGTAATAAACATAATAAAGATACTGACTATACATGTAGAAAAATATTACGTAGTCCATTCTCTTCTCTAGCTACTAATGATGATGAAAAATTCTTCTGTCAGTATTTTATAGGTTGTCTACCACTTATCTTGGGTAAAATTTTGAGTTTTTTTAAATCATTGAAGGTTTTTTAAAAAATATGAATATATATAGACTTCTATTTATCCTGCTCAGGATTTGGCGTACCCTTTTAATAGGAGGATGTATGCATGTCTCTCTTCAACTCAAGAACTTTCTTAGCTAACATCTCTTCAATAACTTTTTTCCTCACTATTTTTTCTATTCTCTTCTTCTGTAACTTTAATCGGTCTACTTTCAAACCTATGCATTTGCTCTATATGATTATCATAGTTTTAATATAACACTGTTTAATATGTACCATTTGAAAAACCATTTTTGATTACTCTATTATTTTCTTTTTTTTCTGGAGAGAACTCATATTCTGATTGATTCTACTAGCTCACTTAGTACTATTATTAGTTTTCCTCATATATTTTCAGTTGCTCAACAGAAAAGGAAACCTCCTTCTTCTCTTTCCTCTTCTTATTCTTCCTCTCTCTTTGCTCAAATACCACAATCACTAACAGTTCTGTAAATGCTTCCACCTGTCTTCCCAGGGGTCCCTATCCAGATCCATGTCAAACACTGGTAACTCAGAGATCTTTAGGACGTAGTAACTTAGAACGTTTAGGTCACTGAGAATTAGTAGCTTGCCTCAAATCTTTATTTGCCAGGATATGTCCACTACTTCCTCCCACTGGGTCTCAGCTATAAATAGCCACAATTCAGGGCAAGGTTTAGAAGACAGCTTTCTTTCTCTTCTAGCAGATAGAGAAGGGAAGTCTCAGCCACACAGTTCACGTAGTGAGTCTAGGCCCACTCCTCTTTACCCCCCTCATATGAAGCACTTTTTAACCTCCCTTATTCTATAGAAGTAGAACTCCCTACTGCAAGCTTGAGATTCTATAGATCTGCTTTTCAGGATAGATTACCCTTTGTGTCCCTCTTTTAGTATGAGCGATATAGATGCTATCTTTCCAAATGAATATCAATATGAACATATTTCATTTTACATTTATCATTTCATACTTTATCATTTCTATGGTCTTAGAAGAACGGAAGATGGCACTTTTATCAGTCACGGTTCCAGCAGGAAACAGATGGCATACTCAAATTAGAATAATTCAAGGCAGGTTTAAAAAAGGGACCACTGAAAATGATCAGGGTATAGGGAATCAAAATTGATACTGTCATATTCCAGAGCTAGTTAAAAGTGGGACCTGAAGACACACAGAAAGAGAATTGTTAATGAAGGCAGGAGGAGAGAGGACAAGATTGCCCTTGGTATGGACAAAGAAAAAAATAATCCAACCACTCCCTTCCCCTTTACACATACATACAACTTTATGAAACACTCAATTGGGTGTATACAATGTGCATGCTACAGAATGCATGGGGACTTTCAGCCAAGATGGTGCTATACATTTATATATTGTACATTGGGCTAGATTACTTCTGTTTGCCCCTCCAAAGGCAGAGAGCAGAATGAAGTGTGGAAGGAGTGTTTGAGTGTTTCCTAATTGTGTATGTGTGTGTGTCAGAAAGGATTGCAGTTAGATTTTTTCTAGTGCAAGTATTCTTCATACCAGGATGATGGCACAGTGGGTGTTGCTTTTCACTCAAAGCGTGTGTGTGTGTGTGTGTGTGTGTGTGTTGACCTGCCTCCTGTCTTTCCTTGAATTCTATCATTGCCTGCTTTTTTTTTTTTCTCACCCTCCCAATGTAGAGACTTGACTAGATTTTCTTTAGTGATAGAAAATCTGGACAAGATTTGTCTGTGATATCATAGGCAATGACAGAAATACCACTGGGCTCAGAGTGAAAGATTTGGGGTTTGACTTTGGAATTGAGCTCTTTAAAGGAATGAAACTTTCTGATTATCAGATTCTTTATCTTTGCAATGGAAGTATTTATGTCCACCTTTCCTCAGAGGTTCAAAAACAAAAGAAGCTAACATAATTGAAAATGCAGATTATCATTAAAATGCTGGCTAATTACTCAGAGGATCAGAGACAAAATATATGCACTGGAGCCTGAGGGTAAACCAGAAAAAGAAATGTAAGAGTGGGCACTCTAGCTAAAAAAGACCCTTGAAGCAAAATGCCTTTCTTCCTTCTTACTTAACATACTAGGAGTGCTCCCACAGTGCGGTTTTTTGCACTGGATATTTTCTCAGCCTCAAATGCTCCTCCTACAAATGTTTGCCTGGAAAACTCCCTTATTTCTTACACATCTTTGCTCAAAAATCACCTTCTTAATGAGACTTACCCTGATTACCCTAGTCGATCTATAGTCGCCAGCATTCTTGGTCACCCTTGCCTGGCTCCATTTATTCCGTTACGTTTTTTGCATTCTAATATGCTCTATAATTTACTTATTTAATATATCTATTATTTTTTCTGTTGTTTGACAACACTTGTTTACCCCTTTAACCCCTGCATTAGAATGTAAGCTCCGTGTTAGCAGATATTTCTGTTTGTTCATGGATGTATCCCAAGCTTATAGTTCAGAGGTTGGGACATAGAATATGCTTCATACCTATTTGCTGAAAGAATGAATGTGTTACTTTAATAGTTAGAAGCAACCATACGCAGATTTCCCTGGTCACTCACTGAGGAATGGTATATCATAATTGGAAAATTAGACGGAATCTAATTTTAGAGCTTTTGCAGGCTTCAGTGACTGAGAACCAACTTAGGGAAATTGCATATGATGTATTTCTTCCTTTGAAAAAGGGGTTTTGTAAACCTGGAAGAGCTATTACTTAAACATGCCAAAAAATTTTAAAGAATATGAAAATGTTAAATATTTGTGAGGTAAGATGCCAACTGCAAAAGCTATTGAGGGCAGGGGCTGTAGAGGTCATCATGAAACCATTGTTCATAAAGTCTTAAGTGAAGAGAAATAAGGCAAAGTCTTGAGACTGTAGAGAAAAATTTTCCTCCAAATTTGAATATTCTGCATTGACCAACAGACAAAACATCACAGGCTGGAGCCACAATAATAAACCCCAGAGGAAACTCCCAAAATCTGAGATCACAATAGTATCAGAGCAATAGGAGTTAGCAACTCCAAATCAAGATATATTTGAAATCAAGCTTTTTCAGTGCATTTGGACACACTACTGTAAATAAGAATTTGTTCTTCCAGGTTTACAAAACCCATTTTTTAAAGGAAGAAATACACCTAGACTTCTGATATACTTTGGACATTTGTCCCTGCCCAAATCTCATGTTGAATTGTAATCCCCAGTGTTGGAGGTGGGGCCTGGCAGGAGGTAATTCGATCATGGAGGATCCCTCATGGCTCGGTGCTGTCCTTGCGACAGTGAGTCAGGAGATCTGGTTGTTGAAAGTGTTTAGCACTGCCCGCATCCCTTTGCTCCTCCTCTGGCCATGTGACATGCCTGCTCTCCCTCGCCTTTTGCCACAATAGTAAGCTTCCTGAGGCCTCCCCAGAAGCTGAGCAGACAGCAGTATCATGCTTCCTATAAAGCCGGAAGGACCATGAGCCAATTAAACCTTTATTCTTTACAAAGTACCCAGACTCAGGTATTTCTTTATAGCAACACAAGAACAGCCCAATACAACTTCTGCAAAAGAAATGTGGAAATTTGTAAACAATGTCACATGTATGTCCATTCAAGCTGTACTCTCCACTCCTCCAGTGCCATTCACTGAAACTTAGATGTGAATAACAGTCCTTACAATGGCACAGTGGAGACTGTATAATGGTACAATGCTAGTAATTGCTTATGAGATCATTTAGATTAACCCTAACTTCAACTCTGGCTACTAAAATCCATTTCTTATTCTATCTACTATCTCTACCAATTAATGGGAAATATGCAGTGGCTTCAAATCCGAAGTGGTAATTAGAAGTAAAGTAAAATTTTAGTTGACGTAAAACATAGAATTCTTGACTTTTCATTCTAAATCTGCAGTGTTCATAATAATCATTTAATCCAAATTACTTCCTTTCCATTTAATTCCAAGTCATGTATTTCTGCCTCATGATAGTCACCTGTCTTATTTGCTACAATTGTGGCAGGCAGGTGAGACAGAGACTTGCAATGAGCTATTGTGGTCTGCTGCTAATTCGCCATTGTGCCTAAAGTTACTCAAGTGAGAAAGCTGGCTTATTTTAAATTTCAATATTTGGATAAAACATATATAAAAAGCTATTATCTACTAGTTTTCGTCATCTAAGTTAATTTTGAGTCACTTTATGTCATTTATACTGAAGCAGACAATGACCTTAGAATAAATTATTCTGAGTAATAGATCTGAGTAGTAGCTGTGAGCATCAAGTAATCTAGTATTTCAGAGGCTACATGTATGGCAGGAAGGAGATTTTAATAAAGGTTGCAAAAGACTGTGACTTTGGATCCCTTTATTTGCTTTAAGAGACATGAGAAAAAAATTCCTTTTGAATGTCATATTGCTTCAGGCATTCAAATTTATTATGAATTATGCTAAAATTTAGTCAGAGGTTTTGAAAATATATTCCTCCTAAAGATTCTTCTCTATAGTTTTTCCTTTTTTCCATTTTACATACAGTTTAATCTTTTAAATTCTATTTTCCTTAGGATTTTTCTCATGATCTGTTTTCTATATTAAACTAGTTACATAACTTTTAAAGTTTTTTCTTTTTGCTTTTTATAATTAAACATTTATTTTAAAATTATGTATAGTATATACATGCATATTTATATATACATGTTATCTACATGTGCACACGTGTGTGTATATATAAAGTTATATATAATATATTAAATATTTAACTAACATATTTATATGTATACATGTACATATATGTGTATATATAAAGTTATATATGCATATATTTAATAAATATTTAACTAGCATATATTTATATAAAAAGTAATATATGAAATATATATGTATTAGTAGCCACAGTTGCTACAAATATAAATATATACATAATAAGCCTTGGTGCTATATATGGTTATTTTATATATATATATATATATATATATATATATATATATATATATGATATTGTAAATAATGGCAGTCTTCTTATTCTCTTTCTCATCCCTTCCTACCCCCATCACTCTGATACCAATATCGATCTTATCACTTTTAGATATTTCTTCTTGCATTTACTTGACCAATTCCAAGCAATATAAACTGTTATATTTTGATTTTCCAATCTTAGAGATAGTGACATAATTTATTGAAATCTTATTATGAAACATTAGGATTGATTCACTTATGATGCAACCCTCTCTCTTTCTACAGGTACACACACACACACACACACACACACACACACACACGGAGACACACAAACATTCCTTCCTCCAATTCTCTCAAAATAGTAATATCTAAAATTTTGGTTAAATCAATATTTATTACAGTCATTATGCATATATAAATATAATTCAAAGCTAATCTACATAATAAATTATGACTATATCCCTTTCTTCCAAAACTTTTTTTACTAAATGTTAAAAATGATCTTACTTTTTTGACATATGGAGTTTTTCTATGGATATGTTATAAGATAGTCTTCAAGCTCTTTGACAGAACAAACTTTTCTCACTGGGTTCAAACACATCTGTAAACTACAGGTTCATATTCTTCTGAAAGATATCCCCTCCAGAGCGTTCCATATTTCTGCTCCGACTGGACTGGTAGTTTGGTAGGTCTTGTGCATTTATCCTATGTTTTCTCTTTGTCATTATTTTAGGAATGTCCTTTGCCTTTTTCCTGTTGATATCCCTGTTCTTGTGGATGCTGTTTTTTATTTCTGTTTCAGGATTTACTCTTTCACTTTATTGAGCACATTCTCCAGTAGTTAATGCAGGATAAACAAATGTAAGTGTTTTGATTCCTTGAATTACTAATAATATGTTTATTCAACCCTTGGTTGACTATCTGTTAATATACAGAATTCTATGTTGAAAATATTTTCTGAAATGATTTTGGAGTCTTATACCCCAGTATTTTCTGGCATCTAGTACTGACTTTGAGAAGTGAGATGCAATTTGCTAATCTTTGTATTTCATCTGTTGTTTCTGCCAAGCTGGATATTTTGTTGACTTTTATTTTATTTATTTATTTTTGAGACAAGTTCTTGCTCTGTCACACACAGGCTGGAGTGCAGTGGCGTGATCTCCGCTTACTGCAACTTCTGCCTCCTGTGCTCACACTATTCCGTCTGGCTAATTTTTGTATTTTGTGTAGAAATGGGGTTTTGCCATGTTGCCCAGGTTGGTCTCCAACTCCTGGGGTCAAGGAATCCTCCTGCCTCAGCCTTCCAAAGTGCTAGGATTACCACACCTGACCCAAGCTAGATATTTTAGAATCTCTACTTTATCCATGCTGTGATGAAAATTTACATTGATGTGTCTTGTGGGTCTTTCTCCATTCATCATGCTGGCATTTGACAGGCCCTTTAAATCTGGAGGTGCATGACTTTCAGTTATGAAAGAAAATCTCATTTAATTTCTTCAATTAGTTTTCTCCTACCCATTTTCTCTGCATCATCTCTTTTTTAAAAATAAATCATATTCTGTACATTTAAGGTATGTAACATGATGTTATGGAATACATACAGTTAGTAAAATGGTTACTGTAGTAAAGTAAATTAACGTATCTGTCAGCTCACATAATTACCCATTTGTTTTGTTCTGGTGGCAAAGAGCAGCTAGAATCTACTCACATAGTATGAATCTCACATACAGTATATTTACTACTTATAGTCCTCATGTTGTACACTGGATCTCTAGGCTTGTTCATTTGACATATTTGCCACTTTGTCTATGACTTCCTAGCTTGTTCCTTTATTTTTTTCCATATTTTTCCTCTCTGAATTTTTGTTCCATATTTTGTGAGATTTCTTCAACTTGACTTTTCAACCGTTCTGTAAACGGTACTTTGTTCCTGTTGTATTTTTAAAATCTGAAACCTATTTTTTGTTCCCTGAAGGTTTCTTTTTCTCTATTTTTGAGCCTATTAAAGGTTTCTACATATTTGTGGTTTTATGTTTCTATTTAATCTGAGTTCCTTTTGTGGGGTTGGGGGAATGGCCTCTAACTTTCATTTATTGGGAGTTTTTAAATGTCTAATGATGTTTGGCTGTTTATTGATAATCTTGTCACTATTTTATCAGTAAAGCATAAATAAAATGCTGCTTATGAATAAAAATAATAAAAAGGCTATTTATCAAAAAAGCATAAAACATGAATTGGCAGCCCTGAATATATGGGTGGCACAGGGTGAATGATGAGCTTCATAATTGGATAACCAAGCAGGAATATGGCTCTATGTTTAGGCTAGTCACAAATGCCTGGGTCTTTTTTTTTTCTTTTTTCTCAAGTTTTCTCAAGAGGAGAAAACTACACTCTCCTGTCTCCCTATAAAAAGGGCAGAGGCCTGTCTGCCCATAGTGGATGAACCAGGGAGAGGAGGTGAAATGACAACATCAGGTTTCATCGGTAAATGGGTAGGATTTCACTAAATTCCCCTGTTTTCAGTACAGCGTCTCATTCCTGCCTGTTTTGACGTTTTCCTGTGTTTCATTCTTTAGCAAATACATGTTGGAAATTTGGGAAGATGGGGGGACTCTTAGAGACATGGGAAGTGCATATTATGTTATGCCCTTGGCAGAAGAAAAACAGAGGTTGTATATGTGGATGCAGCTTATTTAACTTTGCAGTCTTCCACAGCCTCAAGACTCCCTGAAGCCACATAAATTAGTATATTAATTTCTATTTATGAGTGATGGCATTTTACTTCCTATGCTGGTAAAACCTGTTTATTCTGGAAAGAGAAAATGCTTGCATTTCTACCATCTAAGAATATTACCCTCTAAGAACATTATCTGTTCGTGGTAAAACCTGGTGAACTAAAAAGATTTTACTGACAGATTGAAACAAAAAGAAACTTTTTCTGCAATACAGGAATTCATTTTACTTTTCTAATAAAAAAAACGAGAATAAAGGATTTAAGGTTATCAGTGGAGGAAAATAATGAGCTATAGGTATAAAGGGCCCAAAGCAAAAATTATAATCTCATTCACTAAGTTACTACATCTAGTCACTTTGATGTAGATTTTATAATTCATTTATCTTGGAGATTTCAACATAAAAGAGAATTACTCAAAGCCAGGCTTTCTATGGGTTTTTATTGATTTTTGTTTGTTATTTTTTGTTTTTACATGGTTTCGGCAGGCATCTTGGTTATACTTTCCTTAACACTTCTCTTGACTAAAAATGTAGTAACTATGGTTATGACAGAAACCTTTGGGCCTAATTGCATATGTAAAAATAACCAAATGTGTTGACTTAAGTAAGGATGTAGACTTAATTTATACATATAACATAGAGTTATATTTTCTTTAGCTAGGTAACTAGGCCCAATAGCACATTATCATAAAAAGAAAGCCTGCTATTCTAAACCCAAAATTACTTTGGGTATATATTCAGGTTTACAGTACTTAGGCAAAGGTGATCTGTCTAGAATCTATAGAAATAAGGCATAGGCTGCTATATGACAGATTTTGGAAGGTTGAGCTGAATTTGAGTGAAGTGGCCAAAAAGATAGTGGTCAGGTTGTGTCCCCAACAATATCTTGGTAATTCACTAGGACCCGTAGAACTCAATGTACACTTGTACTCATGGCTAAGATTTATTACAATGAAAGCAAAATGAGCAAAGGGAAAAGGTACATGGGGAAACGTCTGAAGGAAACCAGGTACAAGCTTCTAAGAATTCCCTCCCTGTGGAGTCACACAGGACATGGTTTATTTCTCCAGCATTGAACTGTGACAACATGTGTGAAATGTTGTCTATCATGGAAGCTCACTAGAGAGTCAATACCTGATATTTTTATGGGGGGCTTTTTAGATAGGCACACTTTGGTAACAAACATTTGAGAGTCACAGGTGGAGACCAGATGTATAGCATAAACCATATTATTTGCACAATTTAGGCACAGGGAGCCAATCTAATAAATTAATGAATGGTATAAACTTTTGAATTCCAAGCACCCAGATGCCAGGCAAGGACCAACCTTGCAGGCAGACTTAAGGATAGCAGTCTCAGGCCTGCTTTGTTATTTCTTTTCTGCACAGAAGCAAAATAAGAAAATTAAATGTATTGGATGCTTCTGTATTTAAATGTTTTGTAGGCATTTTTACATACAGCCCATTTAATTTTCATAAAATCTCTATGAGTTATAATAGCAGAAGAGCTGGAGCTGAGGGTTGAAGAGATGTAATAAGAAGCCTTTGTCTCAGCCCTTAAGACTGAGGATTGCCTTAAGATGCCATTTTATATACAACAGTAATATGGTTTGGCAAATTGTGTCCACCCGAATCCCATCTTGAATTGTAATCCCCACGTGTCACAGAAGGGAACTGTAATCCCCACGTGTTGAGGGAAGGAGGTGATTGGATCATGGAGGAGGTTTCTCTCATGCTGTTCTCATGATAGTGAGTAAGTTCTCAGGAGATCTGATGGTTTTATAAGCATCTGGCATTTCCCCTACTTGCACACTTCCTCGTGCTGCCTTGTGAAGAATGTGCCTGCTTTCCCTTTGCTTTCAGCCATGATGGTAAGTTTCCTGAGGTCTCCTAGTCATGCTTCCTGGTAATCCTGTGGAACTGTGAGTCAATTAAACCTCTTTCCTTTATAATGACCCAGTCTCAGGTAGTATTCTTTATAGCAGTGTGAAAACGGACTAATACAAATGGTAATGACAAAATAGAATTGTCACTCATTCCTACCCAGTGGACTCCAGAACCTGGAGATTTGGGGTTTTGTTTGCTCCTGTAGACTGCATTGGAACATGTCAACTTTTTTTCGAGAAGTAAAAGTTGGTTTCTGCACTGTCTCCATCCAGTAAAGAGGGTACCCACACCCTAAGTGGGGTATCTAAACTTTCTGTATTCTTTCTTTACTTTAAGACTTCTCACAGAGAATGTAAACACACGAGGAGGGTAGCAAATTAGTCAGGGGTCTCCAGAGAAAAAGAAAAAAAGAACCAATGGGACGTGTGTGGGTGTGTGTATACACACACAGTTGTGTATATACACAGTTGGCTCACATGATTATGGTTGCAGACAAGTCCAAAGATCTGCAGGGTGTGTTGGCCAGCTAGAGACCTGGGAGAGCTGATGGTATAGTTCCAGTGCAAAGGCCGGAAGGCTCAAGACCCAGGAAGAGCTGATGTTTATGTCCATTCCTGAAGGCAGGAAAAAGCCAGTGTCCTAGTTCGAAGGCAGTCTGGCAAGAGAAGTTTTTTCTTACTCAGGAGTGGGTCAGACTTGTTCTATTCAGGCCTTCAGCTGATTTGATGGGGCCCTCCCACATTAGGGAGACAATCTGGTTTACTCGGTCTACAGATTTAAATGTTAAACTCATTCAAAAACATTCTCACCAAAACACCCAGAATGATGTTTGATCAAATATCTGGGTTCCAGCTACCCCAGACAAGTTAACGTATAAAATCAACCATTGCAGGTAGTTGTATATTTCTTCATGGAATGGGTACATTTGGTAAAGAGCAGAGCAATGCAAACACATATGAATGTCTTTAATCTGATAAGTTTTCTCCCTAGCTGCCACAAACTGTCCATAGTACAGGAAGATGTAGGAGGAATCACTCGTTTTTGCCATCTCAGCTCCCCTAGCTTTCTTCTGATGGCCACACACCCTCATTATCCTTTTTCCACAGCCAGGTTCTTTTGGGGAGCTCATTCTTCCCATATTGTACAGGTTCTGAGAGACTCTGATAATTGTAAGATATCACCTCCTTGGCATAGAATTGAGTTTTACACAAGCTAAGCCAGTCAGAATCTATTTCCATCCCCCCATAATTACCTGGAAACGGAGTGAGTTAGAAAAAGCCATTTCCTCTCTGGAGAAAAGGTGGAAGTATGTTGTACTAGAAGCTGTTTTACATCAGGGGAGAAGAAAGACAACTGGTAGAGAAAAACAGGGACAGCAGATAGCATATTGTTACCGGTCTCGGTTCTGCCCGCCTTTCCCATAATTGGGAGCATTTCTTAACGATAATGAGCTAGTTCAAGTTGAATTTCTGCCACTACAAATCACAGTGGCTCTGACCACTGGACAGGGCCATTATACTCAAAAGGCATTCCTGGGGAGAAGAAAATAAAACCTTGGGTTAAGGCTATCTCAGTGAGGTGATAGAAAAGTTCTTCTGGGAATAAATATTGAGTCAAATTTTATATGATAATGAAGAATAAATAATAATGTTTCTTTTACAAACTTAAGTCCCAAACTGATTTGAGATAAAGAGAATGAACACAAATCTATAAGAGCACAGGAGCAGGCCCACTCTAAACCACGTCAGGATCCATTTCCTTTTGTTTCAAAGACTAGATCAAGAACTTCAAGGCAGTTCTGAAATCGTTTTCCTGGTGCTGAGGAGAGGATCAGGCAGAAGCCAGTCTCAGACCAGCTCTTACCTTGAGGTGGATATGAGGCCCAGACTTTGCCAAGAGAAGTACATCCTTGACAGGAGCTTCTGAACATATGTCTTACACATCATGCGCCTGTCCCTCAAACTAGATGAATGCTTCCTTTGCACTCTTCTTATATTACTTTTATGTTCTCTTTTAACTATTTATATCTATAATAAAAATTGAATTTGTTTATTGCTTAGTATAGAAATCCAACTACTAAGAGGTAAAGAATTTGAAGGATGTAATTATGTAGAAGAAAGTATGCTGAATATTTGCTTTGAGAAGTATTTAAAATATGATTTTATACATTGTCTGCAGATAATATGAAAGAATATTTTGTGCAACTTTTTTTTCTAATGAAGTTTTATTTTTCTAAGAAATTACCCTGCTTTGTTTTGGTGTCTAAAAATGTGGAACACACATCATGCAATAATCTGTGTCTACTTTTGGGAAACATGTTGAGGATTCTTATTTCCAAATAATACTTGTTTGTGTCAAAGTGAGTAGTTATATTTTGCTTAAAAATAGAGCTGGTAATTGTAAATTGTGAACTACTGTGAGGTAGACATCAATATTTAAGTGGAATAAATGCTGGGAGATTGAATTTCTCTTGGAAACTGGCAATCACATGGCATCTCAAACTCATTAAATATAAACTTGACTAGGAAGTTAGACCGAAAATTTGTTTTTAATTTCATATATTTTTGTGAAGAGTCATGCAGTTCCCTGCCATATGACTGAGAGTTTTGTCATTTGAATAACCAAGCTAAAAAGGCACCTCATGATATGATCAGAATAGTCCAGGTAGCTTTCCATTCATAAACTCAGAATTTTAGGTGGTTGAGCTGAATTCTAAAACTGCTTTCAGCAATTACTAGCTTATTTTGCTGTTGTTTTTATTTTGTTGCATGTTAGTTGTTTCTCTTTTTCCCCATTTCCTAATTCAAATCACTTTCCTTTCTGTTGATTATCATTATGTTTGGACGTAACTGACTAGAACCTGCCAATCTGTGTCTGATTAATGAATAGTTACATATTACACAGAAACACGCATGTATGAAATCACAGACACAATTCTACAAGATTATGTGCTATAAAAGTTGACTTTCAAACCCCTTTGACCTCCATGCCATCCTGGATACCACTTTGTGGTTGTACCTTTTCCAAAGTAACTTGGAGTGCTGCCCTCTTTTCCAGTGATAGTCAAGAAAGCAATTTTCCCTCAAACCTGCTACTGCAAAGTAGCTGCAGCTGGTTGCTGAGGGATGTTTGTGTGTTTGCATGGTGCACATTTTTCCCCTGACGACTGCTGTCATATCAACTCACTTTGATAGTCAAAATAAGCCTTTTAAAATGTTTCTCTATGCACTCCAGACTAATCCAAACCTAAAACAATCAGGCTGACTTTGTTTGCCTCTTTCAGTACCAGCAACATCAAGATAGCAGACAACACTTCCAGCTTCAAGAATGATTACCGTTGCTGAAGATGTGAGAGCCTGGTAGAAGGAAGCTTGACTTTCATAAAAGAAATTGTCTCTGGAGGGCTTAGAGTGGCTCAGAAAGAGCTTGCCTGGGGAATCAGAAAGACGCTATCAATGGCATAGACTCAAGATGCCATTTCACAAAGAGCTTCTTTTTATCTTTTTTTTTTTTTTTTTTTTTTTTTTTTTACGTTTGCCACCTCTGCCAATGTTGGCAGAAACTCTTGCAAAGTTATAAAATGAAGGTGAACAGGACAAAATTAGTAGATTCCTGTGAGTCATGACAGTTCCAATACAACCCCTAGCTGTTCTTCATGTTAAATTATAGTGTGGGGTATTTTAGCATGTATTGGAATGATTAACCACAGGGCAGGCTCACCTCCCAAGGTGGTGCTTTATGTCATTGTGTAACATAAATTGAGAGAGAAATAGAGATGGAGAAGGGAGCCAAATGATTTGAATTTATATCATTTCATCTCATTATCTTAATGTATGGTACAGCCAGCGGACTTACTGACTTAAAACCTTCCTGTTAACAAAAGGGATCTGTAATGAGACCTGAGCTGCACAATGCCAGTGTTCAAATGACTCAAGAGACCTTTCTTAAAAACCTGATGTTAACTATGGATGTTCTGACATGGCATTTAAAACAACAATAAAAAAAGAAGTATCTTTCAGGAATGAAGCATCAAAATGATCTCTCTTAATCACTGAAGTTTAAGAAGTGGGGGGAACTGAACCTTCTATTACCCTCACTACTTGAGATAGAGCTGCATTCAGACAGGAAGGACGAGTTTTTGTTTTAGTGGTTTTAGAACAGAATGGCATGGTTTTGCAACAGCAATAGCTAACTACTGCTGAGCTCTTACTGCATGCTAGACGCGTGTTGTTTATACTAATACATAACAGACTTGCATCCATTCCATGAGCTAAGCATGTGCTTATTTTGTCCATTTCATAGATGGGGAAACTGAAGTTTAGAGAGATTAACTTCTTTGCCTAAGGCCACATTGCGTGTCAATGGCGGGACTGTTTATGCTTTTCTCTCTTACTGAGAAAAAAAAAAAAAGCCAGAGCTAGCCTGACCTTGGAAACATGAAAGCATTGATGTAACTGCGAGGCAGAATTCTGTGGTTCATCTTGCTGCATTTAGTATCCTAGCCAAAATGGGGCTTTGATTTTCTGAGGCAAATTCAGCCAGTATCAAATACAATTTTTCTTGGCTGCGGATTAGAAATATGAATGCATTTGTTTCTGTTTGCACCCTTTTCCAGCTGAAAACCTCTCTTGTTAGCTGTCGACAATGTCACTTCCACATTTTCATGTGATGGGTTTCTACTGCTGCTTATTTTGAAACAGAGGTGATAATTAATCTTCCCACATTCAAGCATTGCAAACATATTTCAATTTCAAATGAGATAAGACCCAAGCTGAAACACCCACACTTATATTTTAGATAGCTTTGTACCGTGCATTGTAACTGGCCTGAATTTGCTTTGCAGCAGTGGCATTATTGATAATAAGCATAGAAATATTATTTATAATGGACAGTCTCAGCAAAATAAGAAACTGATCCATTAGCAGGTTCTCCGAGATTGCAAAAGTTGAAAAGAAAAACGGAAATGGGAATCAGGTTAATGTTAGTCATTTTGCTGACCGTGCTTCATCCACTTGACATTCAATAGCAGTATAATTTTGAAGCTTACCTGTAGCATCTGGTAAACATATCTCTCCTTATAGTCACTGGCACTGATTTTGAAGGTTAGGTCTGGTTAGAGTATATCAGATTCAGAACTATGAGACGTGTATGTCAGATAGCTTATATTTTCATATATGTGCTCAGATACTTATGTCTAGACTATGGATTTTTGTAAACATTATTTACAGGCGTGTCAGTTACTAGTTAGGATGGTTTCATCTCAACCCAAAAGAGTAGACAATAAGATATCTCTAAAGGGTTACCTTCTTACACATTCTCTATGTGTATGATACATATAATTCAGTTTTTTTTTTCATAGAGTTACTTTTGAAGAAATCAGAAATCTCACTTAAACCCTAAAGCATGCTAATATTGTTATAGGTATTCTTAAAGTGGCTAGTCCAGGTGTTTTGCAGGGCATAAAATTGGGTTCTTCAAAGATATAACAGGTTTTTATATTTCATAGTGCAACCATTACAAAAAAATCTGTCTTTCTTCTCACTTCTTTTGGCTTCCTCCAATTTCTTATGTGCCTCCTGGATGAGGTGGTTTCCAGGATATCTGCAACCCCTCACAAGTCATGCAGATTGGATGGTGATGGTTGGGTGCCCAGCAACTTCACAGCACCTGTACTAGGAAGCGTGCTATTTTTTTTTTTTCATTCTGAATATTGCTATTGCTAAAAATTCTTGGGGAGATTTCTTGGTAAATAAAATTATTCTTCCTTTTATAGATGAATACACATACATATATAGATTTATGAGTATTTATTTACAGAAACAAAGATGTTTACTATAACATCCATAACTGAATGGCATAAAGCAGAAATACAGAGCAGAGGAGAAGGCAAAAAAGCAAAATGAAAGTAATGTCTGGCTTTTCCTTTCTTGCCCTAAGATTCAATATTTCATCTGTCCTGTCCTGCTTATAGATTGAATTTTAAAATATTATTGAAATGTAGAATATACTAATAATTATTTTTATGTATTAGGTTTTTAACTTTCTTAAAAATGAAATTAAGACAATCCTGGGAAAAAAAAGTCCCATTTAGGAGAGTTTTCTTTTTAAGCCTGTACTGACATAGACTGTTTCTCTACACCTGGGGAATAGTGTAACACAAAAGAATGGTGCGATGGGACAGCAAACACAAAAGGGGAATGACATGGTGCAGAAAAATGAAATTATTCATTATTCTGAAATTTGGGACATGGTAATTTGAGGTACTAGGTTTTGAACTAGGAAGACCTTCTCAACGTAAATGAGGAAATTTTCAGATAAATCTTGAAAGAGAATTGAAAGCTTGAGATGTTAATTTGAATTTTTTTAATCTACAAAAGGTGACATGAAGGGCTAATCACAATGGCTAACACACATTGAACACATCTTATATGCCAGGCATTGTCCTAAACTCTTTGTATGAATTAACTTATTTAACCTACACTACATCCCCAGAATGTAGATATTGTAATGTGCCTATATTACAGATGAAGAAAGGGGAACTAAAGGTTAAGTAAATTCCATAAAATCACTTAGCTAAGTGCCAGAGTCAGTGTTTCAAACCCAGGCAATCTATTCACAGAGCTCAAATTTGTTGTTGAAGCATAAAAATACGTGGAAAAAGAATACACAGATACATAAATGCATTCTTTAAAACCTCAAATGAATGAACTAGATTCTAATTAGCCCTGACTAATGATGTAGCCCAGCTCATATCACCTATTGATTGGAGGTCTATTTTTCACTATCTATAAAATAAGGGAGATATTCAAGATTATTTTTAAGCTTCTTCCCTCCTATATTCATGGTTCTAAAATCCTCCACCCCCTCTTCCCCCACCCACACCCGTTCATTATATTTTGGGAATGAGAAGTTGTATTCTATTTCAGTAAAATCCTAGAATCTGAAGGCTAAATTTGGATCTCCTAAAGACATCAAGATGCCTGGATGTGATCTGATGCACCCTTGTTGGCCCCGAGTCCACCGTGAATCATTTCATACAATAGGAAGAGCTGTCTCCTGCCACAGTTGCTCAGTTCTTTTTCTTTTAGCACAGTTTAGTTCAGCTCAATTCTTTGAAGCTGGAGGTGTCATTCGTCTTCAGAGATTGTTTGTTATTTGTTCACAAATATATTTGTACAGTAAAATTTTATTTTGTTAGTTTACACATACTATTTGTACATATTTATAGGGCACCTATGATATTTTGATACATGCATATAACGTGTAATGTAAGTCAAGGTATTTGGGGTATTCATTACCTCAAGCATCTATCATTTCTATATGTTGGGAACATTTCCAGTTCTTTCTTTTAGCTCTTTTGAAATACACAATACATTGTTGTTAACAATAGTCACCTTTCTCTGCTATTAAACATTATATCTTATTCCTGAATCTAACTATATATTTGTACGCAGTAACCAACCTCTTTTCTTTCCCTCGCCCTGACATACATCCTTCCTGGCCTTCGATATTTATTATTCTACTTTTACTTACATGAGATTAACTTTTTTAGCTCCCACATATGATTGAGAATATGAGATATTTGTCTTTCTGTGCCTGACTTATTTCACTTAACATAATAACCTCCGGTTCCATCCATATTACTGCAAATTACATGATATCATTTCTTTTTGTGACCAAATACTATTCCATTGTGGAAATATACCACATTTTTTCTTCATTCATCCACTGATGGACACTTAGGTTGATGCCATATAGTTGCTATTGTGAATAGTGCTGCAATAAACATGTGAGTGCAGGTACCCCTTTGAAATACGGATTTCTTTTCCTTTGGATAAATACCCAGTAGTGGGATTGCTGGATCATATTGTAGTTCTATTTTTAATTTTTTTGAGAAATATCCATACTGTTTTTCATAATAGTTGCACTAATTTACATTCCTACTAACAGTGTTTCAGAGTTCCCTTTTCTCCACATTCTCACCAGCATCTGTTATTTTTGATCTTTTTTTTAATAATAGCCATTCCTACTGGACTGAGATGATATATCATTGTGGTTTTGATTTGTATTTCTTGGTGATGAGTGATGCTACGCACTTTTTCATATACCTCTTGGCCATTAGTATATGTTATTTTGAGAAATGTCTATTCACGTCCTTTGCCTACTTTTTAATAGATTACTTTGCTTCATTTCTTTGTTGATTGTTGATTGTTTCCTTTGCTGTGCAGGCCTTTTTAGTTTAATATAGTCCTATCTGCATTTGTTTTTGTTACCTATGCTTTTGAGGCCTCAGCCATAAAATCTTTGCCTGGACTGGTGACCTGAAGTGTTCTCCTATGTTTTCTTCTAGTAGTTTTATAGTTTTGAGTCTTACATTTAAGTCTTTAATTCATCTTGGGTTGTTTTTTGTATTATAGTGAAAGATAGGGGTCCAATTTCACTCTTCTGCATATGAATATCCACTTTTCCAAGCACCATTTGTTGAAGAGACTGTCCTTTCCCTAATATATGTTCTTAGTGCCTTTTTCAAAAATCAGTTGTCTGTAAATTTGTGAGTTTATTTCTGGGTTCTCTATTGTGTTCCATTAATCTATGTGTCTGTTTTTATATCACTACTATGCTGTTTTTGTTACTATAGTCTTGTAATATATTTTGAAGTCAGGTAGCATGATGTATCTAGTTTTGCTCTCTTTGCTCAGTATTACTTTGGCTATCTGGAATCTTTTTTGGTTCTATATAAATTTTAGGATTCCTTTTTCTATGTCTGTGAAACTGACATTGGTTTTGATAAGGATCACACTGAATCTGCTTATTGCTTTGGGCAATATGGTCATTTTAACAATATTAATTCTTCCTCTCCAAGCACATGGGATATGGTTCCATTCGTTTGTGTTCTCTTCAGTTTCTTTCATCAGAATATTTTAGTTTTCCTTCCAGAGGTCTTTCACCTCATGGTTATAATTTTACTTTTAGAAGTAGGATTTTCATTGTCAGGTGACAAATTCACCAACTGAAAGTACTGGGGTGCTTCTAGGCTTCTGAATCTCGCAATCTGAGCTGGCATACTCCATTAAGTGTACACGATTAGGATGCCATGTTTTTAGAGACACATCCACTGAGAGCAAATATGTCACTTTTTGGTCTGCAGGTATTATAGGTAATCATATCATGCATCACTTCTAGGCTTTCTTAACAAATCTATCCTCTGAAGATATCAAGTTTTAATTTTCAGCCCATTTTGGATCCTGTCTGGAAATCCCTTCTGTCATTCTACTTAACAGGGTTGAACTTTAAACAGCTGTGTTTGCTTCAGGGAAAGGAACAAAAAGGGAGAGAAGTAATAGAGGAACTGTTTTCTACAAAACATGTTTAATCTGCTTATAATTCTTTTCTGTATATGAGAGGCAAAGAAGGATGATGGTTGTGGTGATATCTCCAAGTGCTTTTATGTTCTTTGTGAAGAACAGAGGAAAGTGAATTATAGTCTAGATCTTCTGGACCTAGAGAAAGATTATTCATCCTGCTCGATCCAGTGGCATGATGAATCATGATTTGTGGAGGATGTCTTAAAAACATTGTATTGGTTACTTATGGACAAAAGAGAAAAGTGTAGACTGGGGATTAAGGCAGTTAGGAGCTCTTGTGCAAGTTAAGAAATTTTCATCCAAAGCATGCTTTTGAATAAATTAATTCACTCAAATTCAAAAACAATACAAACAAATGAAAGGATTATGGTCATCCTAGATGAAGCCCGTTATTATGTTTCTTAAACTTATTTTATTTAACTTTATTTTTGTAATTGAAACTGTGAATAACGACCTACACAGTAATTACCTACCCACTAGATGGAGAGTTGTTCAAATAGAAATAACTATTTCTTTCTCACATTGGAATGCCAAGTACTTGATATGAATGATTTTTTGTAAACTATCTGTATGGACAGTCTGTGAGGAATGTGGAGCTGGTCTTGTCATAGCTCATCCTCCATGTGACATCATTTTAAGAGGGATGATACCTAGCTATTGTCCATGACAGGATTATCTTCATATTCAATATACCCCTTCATAAATCCTTAGAAATTTCTAAAATGTGTCTATATATTAATCTGCCTATAACAATGAGAGAATAAGGGAAATGCAGTAAAGGAGAGTGAGAAAGAAAAAGAACAGGCAATTCAATTTCTAACTCCAGTTCTTATGAGACTATTGGGAGAAATGACTATGCCTATTTGTAAAAGTCAGAAAAACTATGATTCATTGGCTTAATCTTTTTCACTAAAATAGAAGATTTTCTCTGTATTTATGCACATCTTCAACCAGAGAAAATTAATCTGTATGTCAAAATACAGTAAATGTCTTACACAAAAATAGCATTGCTTATTGATAACATATCTACAAAGGTGTGCTCTAAAAGGTATTTTATTTCTATTACATATTTCTTAGAAACATTTTTCTGGTGATCAAATACATTATTTGGACTTTTTCTCTGCTTTTCTGTAGGCAACACTGGAAAATGAAAAATAGAAACTGGAGTAAAATTATTATTGGAACAAGGGGAAGGAACATTAAGCAAAATAAAAGAAAAAATTTAAATCAACTAATGGAGAGATACGGATGATTTATACTTTCAAAAATACCTACCTCCTTGATTTGCATGAGAACCATGTTTGAACTTTGCTTATTACCACTAGTAATAATTTTTTGCCTTAGCACTAAAATAGCTAGAAACTAAGGACACTTTCCTTTAAACACAGTTACTCATGTGCTACCACTTGCTCCAGTAGTCTTCAGAGTAGCACATGTAAGCTTCCAAACATCACAGCTCTTCCCTAGAGATAACCCACAAAGAATATAAATTACATTTTGTAGACTCTCAAATGATAAGAAGTGAATAATTCATTTCATTTGTAGATGACTGTGAATTTGTGCTACATAAGGTTTTCTAGGTAGATACAAATAATATTGTTATATATGAGGAAAAATATAATATTTTTGTAGGGTTAATTATTGCACTTACATGAGTTATAAAAAATATACCTGGAGAAAAAAAGAACAGAGACTCCTGCTTTTGCTTTTTCTGGAGCTTTTCAACAATCAATTTTGGATCAATTCTGAAACCTTTTCAAAACAGAGTACAGACAGGAAAAAATGCACTGGTAAGATGGAAACGGGTATCACAATTTCTTTAATTTGATATCAATTGATATATTAATATGCAACTAGATTTTCTAAAGATCATTCTGAAATGCTTAATTTATAGTATTTGTTTACAAATACATAGGAAAAACAATAAATGTCTCAAACACCATCTGTCTGCATTTTCCCCGAAGGGCTTTGCATATTTTCAGCAAGAAATGAGTCTAAATAGCTTGTAATTTTCACCAAAATGTTTCATAATTTCACAGCAGCCCTGCTAATGAAGTACAGTGTGAGCCCTTATAATAAGCCAAAATGATTCCAAATAGCAGACAGTGCCTCCTAATATTGTGAAAACATAGAGAGAGCTGCTGGGGAGCAGGAGAGTTGTTTCCTGCTTTGGGCAGGGAAGAAGGCTGAAAGGAAATTTCATTTTGAAAGGAGAATGAGAAAGGCTTATGTGTGCATCCACCTTAGATGAAGTTCAAGGAATTCAGAAACTTGGAGAAATGAGTCTGTGAGGACTCTTAATATTAGCTGTGAGCACTGAGATCTAGCGACAGTTTTGGAGATAGATACCAGATCATTTCCTCATATGTGGTGTATGAACCTCAATGTAGAAAATCAACATTTAGATACCTGTAGAAAGGAATACTGGAGATTGCAAAATTGGATCTGAAATTAATTTCCTGGTTTGTCACAGTCATAAATCCGAGCTTCCAACACAGAGCAAAGATAGGACAGCGTATGAAGGCTAACAAAGGCTGGACTCATGGCATCAATATTAACTGAAAGTTCCTCTGACCAAATGGAACTACAAACACAAGGACACTAATAGTTACAAAGGCTAGTAGCTCTAATTTATTGAGTGCTTACCATGCGCTGAACATTGAGATAGTCCCCAACATAGTGTCAAATTCTCACGACTCTCCCTCAGGATACTGTCATCCTCACACTGCAGAAAAATCTGAGGTTCAGACAGTATGAGTTGCTCAGGCTTAGAGCTACTATATGACAGAGTTAAGTGAGAGATCTGTCTGAAGCATCTCATGTTCATTGTACAACCACCTGCCTTTCTGATCATCAAGCCAAATGGTCATTTTGTGCTAATTACCCAGAGAGTGTAATGGGATATCTGGACTGACATGAGTGAGGATGATATTTTAAGTGGTATTGTTGCAATTTATTTATTGTATTTTTAATAATTATGTATTTATATGTATTACACAGACGTTGTTAGCATACTATAATGTTGTATGCAGCTATATTATTTTTTAGGACAAAGTAAAAAGTAAGATGGGGGCATTGCCATCCAGTTACATAGAACACATGAATTACTGGTGTGGGACTGGAGATGACCACGAACGTTTCAAGCATTTGTTAAGTTCAGCCTAAAGTCTTCTGAGAATGATGGTTATCTAGCTCTATTTGTCTGTCTGTCTGTCTGTCTGTCTATCTATCTATCTATCTATCTATCTATCTATCTATCTATCTATCATCTATCTAATCTATCATCAATCATATATTTATCACATTCCTGTATATCTTCTGTCTAATATGGGCTTTCACTTTCTGAATTTTCAAGCCTTAACTGTGTCCTTTTTAGCAGTACATTAAAATTATCTTTGGCAATAGTCAAATACAGCAAAACTTCCAAAATAGTATGTGAGGACTGAAATTTGAGCAACCTCATTTAATCCAATGAATTCCAAACTTTTTGAGCATGTGCCAATGACGAAAATCAAAGTATTATAAATCTGTATCTATCTATATAATTGTAATATAAGACATATAAAATAGACAACTTAATATAATGTAATAATACAAAGTAGCATGTGAAATTGTGATTTTTTTCTAACCCAGTGGTAACTCTTTTCACTTCCCCTAAAGGCATTCATACTCCACTTTGAAGGCCACTGACTCTTAATTTCTTTTATAATTAAGGATGGAAGAGACTAATATGTCTTAGTAACCATTATGTGCCAAGTGATTTCATATATTTTATTATTTAAAGACATAATAAATATGTCAAATATTTCTCTTTGTCATAAAGTCACAATTAAAGAAAAATTTTCTAAGTACCTTGTTATTGTGTTGAATATTCTAGGTTCTCATAGGTAGTGGGTCAGAAGTGATAATTATGCTCCAAAAGGAATAAAGACATTATAGTTGAAGTTGCAAAAGTATATTAATTAGCATGAGATGCTGGAGTTTGGATCACTATAGAAGGAAACATAACAAGGGTAAGACACTTGGAATGTATAGAACTACATTACTATAGTGAAATCATGAAAATGGAACAGCTTGAAATAGCAAATAGAGCATCTAAATCTAACTCCAAAAAGAGAAACGTGTCAAAAATCTGGCAAAACCTGCCAATCCCACATTGGTTGGATTAGTAATTTAATAACAAATAAAAGATTCGTATAAAAATATCACTGCCATCTTCAAAGAATTGCTGATCATCACCTCTATCTGTAGAGGCATGTGTGCTTCCTAAACTAGGAAAATTCAATAGCAGTTTCAAACATATGTCAACATATGACTTACTATGTTGTTATTCTATAACTATCATTACTAAATCAGAATAATTTAGAAATTCAATGTGATTTTTTAACATGCAAAATTGTCCTTAGGATTTTAAATGCAATATAATTATCAGAGCCAAATGATTTACTTTTTCACGGGAAAAAGTTAGTACATAATGTGTTGCCCGAGTCTGGTGGAAGTATTGCCTGTGCCATTCCCCAAATCATTGCAAATTCTCAATAAAAGTTTAAGTAAGTGCCAGCTGCAGACTGAAGTAATGAAAGAATCAAAAGCCCAAAAAAAGAGAAAATTGTTTGGTTTGAAATGCATATACAAAATCTGCCATAAATAAAAAAGTAGGCAGCGAGAAGCAGAAGAGTTCAATCGTAATTATGTTAATGGAAATTAAACCTTTTCCAAACTTTTACTAATGCAGACTTCACTTCCCACATTTTTGAACCTAGTTTGTTAGTAGTGATGGTTTTGAAAATAATGTTATTGCAGTTAAAATGGAATTCAATGCATAACCGTGTCTAGATGAATAAATCTGGTCCTATTGTTATTGAAGATGAGCATAAAATATAATCTTAAAAAGGCTATGTTTATAGTTCTAAAATATATGTGAACCCCTAGGTTTAAATTTTATTTGCCCCTCTCTTTTCTCATATATCCTGTGCATATATCTCTTTTCATAGTACTTATGAAATCACCAATATAGGTCTATGTGTCCATATTCCTCATTAGTACATGACTCCTTGAAGGCCAGAACTATGTCTTAGTCATCTTTGTACCTGCAACATGCAACACAGAGATGGATACACAGGAAAGTGCGAAATGCTATAACAGTGATGGAAGGAAAAACAGGTCAACAACCTTTTGCTGCTAAAATGTCAACATATATTTGTTCAACACATTAAATAGATTTTCTCAAATATATTCTGAAGAATTGAGAACTTACAAGTAGGAGCTGACTTCAATCCATCTGGATCCAACTTTTGTACCAATTCACTACAGCTCATAAATACATTTTCTTTTTCTTTTGCCCTAGAGGACAAGAGACTGACTTGAACATCTGTAATCAAGCAAGGTGTACTTGAACTAGACCAGTGATTTTGGCGATTTAATAAGTTAGGCTGCTTCTATCATCCTGAAGCATTTTGTTCAAACACAGAGAACCGATAAGAGATTAAGTAAACGGGTTTACAAAAGTCACTCAAAGTTCATGTTAAATACATTTGATCCATCATAGCAAGGCAAAAAAGTGAACAAGAAACATAAATTTTTGCCTAAAATATGTTCAAAACTCCCATTTATATGACAGGCAATAGACTGAAGTATTTAGGGGATTTTAGCTGTAACGTCTTAGACTGAGGAACCATGCAAAGGTAGCAGGTTCCTCCTGAATGAAGCAAGGAGGAGCTAAAGCCAGTTACAAAGGGTGAAAGTACCACTTACAAATTTAGCTGTACGATGGCAATACAAAACAGAAAAGTCACTCCAATGAAAATGAAATTAAATTTTCAACGCCAATAAATACTGAATTGTGGTATGCTAAGTGCTATACAAAAAAGAAAAAAGTAAAAGGGTGGATTTGTATTTTAGCTGTTCACAATATACCTGGTTGCTATAGCATAAGTCTTCCTCAAAGTGTTTTCATTATAAAGAATAAAAGTCTTTACAACACACGTTATGTTAAAATTTTAATATAATTATATAAATATGGTTAAAGTTTAATTACCAATATTTTCTGATTATCAAAGTAATCTGTACTCCTTTTAGAAAAAAAGTTGAAAAACACAAAGATCCATGTATACCGAGTATGATCCTATTAACCATAGATATTAACATTTTGTGGTGTATTTCCTTTCAGAAGCAGATAAAAATCAAACATTCATATATAATTTATATAATATTGTATAACTTTAAAATCTTCCTGCATATTTATCTTTCCTTTTCCATTCAATATTAATGTTGAACAATTCCCTGTGTAGGTTATTAGACATGTTTAAAACATTATTTTTAATCACAATAAAATATACCATCATGACTACATCATGATTTCTTTACTCACTCTCTACTTTGGGAATTTACATTGTTTCCAAATTTTTGCAATGATAACAGCACTGAAAAAAATTTTCTGATATACAAACCTATGCCACATCTCATTGTTTTCTTAGGTTACATTTCAAGGAAAGGAATTACTAGGTGAAAGGATTTGACAAGCTGTAAGACTTTTTTTCATTTTGTCAACTTTTTTTCCAGGATACGTTTATGTAATTTTCCTCCACCTGTTTATTATGAAAAAATTTAAACCTAGAGAAATGTTTGAATTTCTCAGGCATAAAAGAATGAACCCTCATTTACTCATTAACATAGCTTAAGTAATTTTAAAAATATTGCCATATTTACTCTGTGTACATGTATACAATTTTTATGGCAGAACCATCTGAAAGCTAGTTGCAGAAACTTCACGGTACTTAGTTCCTGAATGCTTCAGCTTGCATTAAAAAACATGCACATTCTAATATATAACTACAAAAACAATATTACAATTGAGAAATAGTTCTTAATATCATCTCTTTTCCATTGCATATTCAAAATGTATCTATGCCAACAAGTTACGTTTTGTAATTGCTTTTTACATTTCTCTAGTCTGTGTTAGCTATTGCTATATTATTATATTTCTTTAGTCCCAGTCAACCTAAACTTTTTACTTTCTATAACGTTAACTGTATTAGTTTTCTATTGTTGTGTAACAAAGTACCCTCAAACTTAATGGCTTAATACAACACACATTATTACATCATAGTTTCAGTGGGTCAGGAAGTCGGGATCATCTTCGCTGGGTGATTCTGGCTCAGGGCCTCTCACAAGGTTTCAGTCTAGATGTCCACCAGGACCGTATTTATCTGGTGACACCACTGGGGCAGAAGGCTACTCTTCTGAGTTCACTCACATGGTTGTTAGTAGGCATGCTGACTTCACAGGAGTCCTCTGTTGTAAACTACATGGAGCTCTTCATAGGGTTTCCCAAAACGTGGCAGCTGGCTCCTCCAGGGCAAACGATCAGAGACAGAGGGAGGGGGGCAGAGATAGAGCCTGAGACTGTAATGAAAGTTGTGGTCTTTTCATAACTTAATCTCAAAAATGACATCCCATGACTTCTGTTATATTCTATTCATTAGAACTGAGTCACTAAGCACATCCCACAGCCAGAAGGGTAGAGAATTAAGTTCCACTTGAGGAGATGAGTACCAAAGAATTTAGGATTGTGTCTTTAAAATCTCCACGTTGACTATTTGAAGAAATCAAGGTCTCATAGAATACCCTAAATGGTGGATTTGTCAGAACTTCATAGAACACCGACATCGATTATAGTAATTCTGCGACCATAATGAAACAGGATAAAATAGGATGAAGACACACTCATGTTGGAACACTAAAAAACAAAACACAAACGAACAAAACAGAACAGTGCAAATTATAAAAATGATCCACTGTCTCCCTCTCTTATCTCACATGAGTGACTGCTTATTTTTACCAATTATAATTAAGCTCCATTTAGTTTCTCCTGACTCCTAAATAAAAATTAAACTATCCAATCACTGAATTGCCCCTGCTTTATGATAGTGTTCAATCCTGAGGAAACTCTTGTTCTTTGAACTCTTCCTCAGATTATCTAGCATAGAGCTAAACCTTATGACAAGCCATTCCTTACATCTTCTTGAGACATCCTATAGTTTATTCTGGGATGCAGACTCCTGTGCTATACCAAAAAACAAATCTAGGCTTGTTTCACTGGAGTTGTTTTTGCTTAGCTTGTGGACATCAAGAGAAGCTTACAACTTCTTTGTATGCTTTTTATTTTTAGAATATGTTCTAGATTGCAAAATTTGATATGTACTTGTATATTACACTTCATTGATTAAACTGTTTGTGTTTTGCATATGCTATATTTTTTTGTCTAATCGATCTGTCCAGAACGAGATTCTGTGCCAAAGTCTCCTATTATTAGTAAGTTTCTACAATTTTTCTTTTTTGTGTAACCATCAGTGTTTTCCTTATGAAGTTTGCTGCTGTATTGATTGGTACATAGCTATTCATGGTTGCACTGTCTTTCTTGTAAATTGTAGATGTAGTGTTATGGAGCATTGTTCTTTTGTCTTGCGTAAAGCATCTTGCCTGATTGTTAACATTGTCAGGTAGCAACATTGCAACTTCTGCATAATTTTCTTGAATTTTTCCCCATATTCCTTTGCTCTTCTTTTTAATTTTGCTTTTTGTACCTTTTTCCTTAGTTTTGTTGCTTATATGCAACATAGAGGTTTTGGGGATTTTACTGATAAGCCAATTTGAAAATATTTTAATAGGTCATCTAAGCCTATTTATATTTGTTAATGTGACTGATATATTTGGGCTCAGTACATATTATTATTATTGTTTTGGCACAGGGTCTCACTATGTTGCCTAAGCTGGTCTTGAACTCTTGGGCTCAAGCAATCCTCTCGCCTAAGCCTTCTGAGTAGCTGGGACTACAGGTGCACACAACCTTACCTGGCATCAGCTCATGTTATTTTAAGTTAAAATTACTAAATATATTATATTCACTACGTTTCACTATGTGACCTCTTTTCTTTTTCTTTTTACATTTTTATTTTATATATATTTTGGTATTCATAAATATTGTGGTTTTGTTCTAGTGGTAACTTTCATAGAACATAGTCTCTTTTTCCTCTCCTTAGCCTTTTTTCTCTTTGTAGGTAGTTTGTTATTAGTTCTGATTATCCAACTGTTCCTGTATTCAAATTTTTTGCCATGTAATTTTGTAGTAATTTCACACTATGTTTAGGCATATTTGCATTTTTCCATGCCTTGTGACGTTTAGTTTGACAATATGACCCTATTTGAGCAATAGAATGAGATTGAAACATTAGTATGGCATTTTTAAGTCAGAGTTCAGAGACTTTGTGTGTGTTTCCATGGGCTCTACTGTACTTCTCCCACTGCCATAAGACAAACAGGCCTGGCTTGTCATGACACTGCCTGAGCCAAAAAGTCCCAAGTTGAGGATGGGAGACTTGTGTAGCAAAGCCAAACTGCCTCAGCTGAGCCTCACCTTATTTAGCCTTCCCTAGCCAACACCCAGATATGAGAATGAGACAATCTTAGATTAGTAGCATTGCCTCATAGGATTTAGCCCAGTCCACGAGAATATGATTCTTGCTTTAAGCCTCTGAGGTTTGGGTGGTTTTATAAAATACAGTATTATATAGTAAAATGGTAACAGTTTTACATTTTTAAGTGATATCCCTTGACTAGCACCTATCTGGCCATCAAGGAGCTTAACCAATTTTTCATTTTCTTTTTTTTCTTCTTCCATTAAAAAATGTCCATATTATCATTTACATAGTATTCTTATACATTTATTCTCACCTTTATGTTAAAATTATATTTATTATTAAATAATCATTGCATTCACCACCAGCAGTTTTGCTGCCGTTTCTCTGTCTTGGTTGAATGAAGCTTTCTCTCTAGTATATCTTACAGGAAAAGCTCCTGAGTAAAAAGTTTCTTGAAATTTTCATATTAAAACTGTGCTTTTATACACTTGATACACAGTTCAGCTGTATATTAATTCTTTCCCTCTTTCTTTCTTTGCATTTCATAATATTCTTCTGCTGTTTCCTGCACTGGTATGTTGCTGTTGAAAAGTTAGATGTAAACATTTTTTTTTTTTGCTTGTTAATTACTTCATATTTGACTGTGGCTCAAAGGGTTTTTTAAAATTATAATAGTTTACTAAGATATGTCTAATATTTGATGGTAATGGATTGATTTTTCCCACATAATTGATGGCAGCATTTAATATGAGGTTCCAGTTTATTCAGTAAAGTTTTCTTAAGTTGTGGTTTTTATATCAAACATCCCAGTTGTTTAGTTTTTCTTCTTTAGGGACTCCACTTATCAAATAGATCTTCTTGTCTTTTTTATCCATTTCTTTCTGATTGCTTAATGTACTTTTAGTCATATATTTCTTATTGTAGTTTTGGACATATCTAGTCTCTTTTGGACCTTGTAGTTTATTTCTTCTTTCTGAAATTATGTTATTATTCTGTAGTTTCTTTTTTGAGTTTGGTCTGCTCTGATTTCATATCCATGTAGTGTTTATCCAGTATTATTCTGAGTTTTTAAGTTCTAAGTTTGTGATGGTCCCTCATGTTTACAATTGCTTGCTTCATGTTTAATTCTTCTTGGAATATATTATAATAATACCTGCCTGTTTCATCACTACTTTTTAGTGTTTTAATCTTCTGAAAATGTTTTACTCTGTTTTCTGTTTTCTTCTTAATGAACTTCTATAGATACTGGATTCCTTTTTATTTATATGTACTTGTATTTTTTTAGACAGATGATAATTGATAATTCAGTGAGGGTGGCATAAGGATTTTGGATGGTCCTTTTGGTGCTTAGCACCCTCTTCTGAGCCACAACAAAATATGCTTTAAAAATAAATGTGTACTTCTTGCTTTTTTCTAATTTTTGATACTAACCTTTTTCAGCGTCTTTATGTCTTTAGTCACATATTTTTTTCGCTTTGCCAATAAGCCTGTAGGGAACACCTACGTTTTCAAAGTTGCCTCCATCTGCCCTCAGGATACTGCCTTTCTAAGACTGCCACTAAGCTCCTTACTTTTAGCCCTAGTGACAGTGGACTAAACCACCAAGTCTCAGGGCTCTTTTCAGTATTTTCCCACTCAAAGTAGACTTTATTCCTTCCAGGTATGATACCTATACGGTGTTGCCTTTGATGGGCCAGTACCTTGACTCTGCTGTACACTACTTCCAGTGCAAAATTCCCCAGTTCTCTCTGCTAGTGTGGGCTCTGGATCCAGCTCTGTTGGCTTAAGGTATTCATGCAGTCATAATGCCTCCTAGACTTGGCTAGGAATGGGTGTTTGCTGAATTTTTTCTCTCATTGTGATTTTGTAGTACTTTTTGAGGATGTAAAGGGATTAAAATATAGATAGCCACTTTTATCCCACAGAGATGTGGGAGCCCTACACTCAATTATAACAAAACTGTTTTGTGGTTAATTTCAGAATTCCATTAAAATAGTTTTTGTTTCTGACCTCAGTAAACTATAATATATGACTCATACCAAAGATATTTATTAATTGAGGTTTGAAAAAATATTTTAAATATGATAGAAACATAATTTTTTTTGATCTGCAAGAAGTGTGAGATTTTCTAGGTGCTATCAAATGGTAGTTTTTTTAAAGTTATATTCTAGATGTCATCTATTGTGCTATTTTTTAAACAGAGTGAGCCAACTACTTATATATTGATAAGGAAGATGGTGATAAATCTTTTAAAAATAAAAATTCTGTCAAATAACATTTTCTGAGGCAAGACAAATAATGTGGTAGAATTATCCAGCTGGACTTGGTGGCTCACAGCTGTAATCCCAACCTTTTGGGAGGCTAACGTGGATGGATTGCCTGAGCTCAGAAATTTGAGACCAGCCTGGGCAACATAGTGAGATCCCATCTCTACAAAGATTAAAAAGTTAGCTGGGCAGGGTGATGCATACCTGTAGTCCCAGCTACTTAGGAGGCTGAGGTGAGAGGATTGCTTGGGCCCAGGAGGTTGAGGCTGCAGTGAGCTGTGATCGCACCACTGCACTCCAGCCTGGGCAAGACAGTGAGACCTTGTTTATGTACATATATATCTATATTTATTTTCATTCTTACAAAACGATATTGCAAAACTTTTACGTCTGCAGTGATTGAAATTTCACTCAAGCATTGCAGACTTGTATTTTCTATATTCAATATCCTACAGCTTCTTTGATAGCAAATGGCAAAGTAAAATTGTTAGACTATCCAAGGAGACACAGGTAGATGTAAATTTGATCCTTGTTTCTCAGTGAGGCTGATAACAATGTTGATGAGGTTTGGTTTGGTTTTCAACAATCGCATTCTTATTACCATCATTTTGTGTGACCATGGTAGTTGAAGTGGAAACTTAAACAAATGGAAGATTGCGATGGCTCCTTTAAGTTTTGTAATAATAATATGCTGAGATAAGATGTCTTTAAGGTTCAAGGGTTCTATAATGCTGATGTGTTCTACTAGTGTGCCTTCCATCAAGGAGCTAATTTCCTTGCCTTCAGTGAAAAAGAAAAAAGAGAATAAATAAAAGTGACATTCTTTTCTATCCAACTGTTAGACTATTAAAGGAAGTAAAATGGAGAAACAAAGTACAGTATATAAAGAAAGAAACACACAGAGTGATAATGAAATAAAAAATTATGTCCCAACTTGGAAATTAGTAAGAAAAAAAGATGACAGTTCAAATTCATGCAAGCTTTTTGGTTCCCTGTCAATATGCCATACACAATTATTAAGGTTGGAGAAATGTTAACTACTAAGCTCAGTACCATCAAGAAATACGGATGTTAATATCAAAGACACAGTAAAATAGAGATCTCCTAGTGCTCAACAACACTTAATAGTAGTACACAACAGATTTTTTTCTACTATAATATTACTGAAACCAGATATTAAACCCAGGGAGTAAAACTAAATTCTCCCAGTCATATCTTATGGTAAACATGCTAAAATATAAAATTCAGAATAATAAAACCAGACATCACTGAATTAATCTGTTTTTAAGTATATTACTCATTTATAGAAAAGAAATAGAATCAATATATGAGAATAGAATTATCTATAATTCAAATGATTAAATGATAATTATTAGATTTCTATTAAACCAAGGCATATGAGTTATTTAAAAAGATTTATCCCCCTTTACAGTCATTTTTATTCATTCAATAAATGTATATTAAGTATCTGTGTTCTAGGGGCAGTGAGTTCTAGGGATTAATCAGTAGGGACACAGTAACAGCCTAAGCAGACTTGCTTCTTATGTCTACTCACTGGAACATTTACAGAAAATGAAGGAAATGTAAAAACCAGCGTATCCCCATGTGGGGATACTGCAGTAAGTAAAATAGAGTACTATGAAAAAACACTTGATAAAATTTTATTACATTTGTGGAGGACAACTGTAGGAATTACCTGGGATTTTAAGTTCCTATTGTTTGGTTCTAGAAAGATGTTTTTCTCAGGGTGCAATTTATGGAGTATGGATTTGGAAGTCAAATAGACATGCCTTCAAATTTTGACTGTGTTCCATCTACTAGCTATTTTATTTTTAGAAATTTGTTCAGTTCTATTGAGTCACATTTTCGCCACTATGTAAAATTTATTAAAACATGATTATCAGATTCCTATTAGGATTAAATGTGCTAATATGTGTAAAGAGCATAGTAGAATAACTCATTCTTAGTAAGTTCTTATTGTTAGCTCCCTTACCCTTGTTACTGAAGGCAAAAATTTATGATATTCTAGGAAAAGAAAATATAGCATGTTCTCTCTATCCCATAGAATTTATTATATACATGAAATAAAAATAAAATAATTATTACTTACTTTAATTGATAGCTTTCAAAAGATCAGAATAGCGGGATTTTACCAAATAAAGTCTGAGTTCCCACAGTAAAGGTAGTTATGATAAATTAACTTCAATATTCTATAAAAATAAAAATTCAATATTCTACAAAAATAACTTTGGTATTCTATAAAAATAATCCAAAAAAATTCTATAAATATATTCTATAAAAATAATAATATTTCCAAATTTGTATGTAAGTCATACCATCCCCTGTAAGTCATGAGTTGCTAAGAGTCAGGAATCATGTTATCTTTTGCTCAATCACTAAGTGGCACATAGAATATATCCAAGATAATAAAACGATGTATTTCTTTTTTCTCTCCTATTATATATAAATCTAGAATTATACATCTTTGATTCCTTTTTTTCTTATACTCCAGCAGCTTATCTATGCATTTTAATAATAACCTATAAAAATGTCTAGGTGAGAGAAAAACAATTTAACTGTAGTTTTACAGTAAGTTATTAGCAAACCAGACCCACTGGGTCAGTACTGTAATGTATCAGAAGAGCCTTGCAAGCAACAGTGCAGGACAACAGGTAGATAGGGCCAGATTTGTTAGTCTAGATTTCGTAGGTTGTCAGGAAGACCATTAAGAAGTTGTCATAGTTTTGAAAGGGGCAGTGAGCTGAAGCAAAGCTGACAGATGTAGGCCACCATGTCCAAAATATCAAACACTAGGGTAAGAGTAGGCTAAAACCCAGGCAAGCAGAATGAAGACAAATATAGGCAAGTCTCTGGAAGGAGAACATTCACAGACACTAAACATCCAGTGGAAGGCATGCAGACTGCATGCGAAGTAATGATATCATGCAAACCCTGCTGTACAGGAAATATGCTATTTCAACCAGAAGGGTTCCTGCTGCAGAAGAAAAAAAAATCTTGTGACATGCTGACAATTTAATTCTACAGGAGGAAGATTCGTGGTATGTGTATTTTATTGGGGAGGCCAAATGTTCAAACACAATGGGGGTGATCTGAGCCAAGCATCTAGCTTGGAATAAAGCAGTTATGAAACCTGACTAGATTTTCTTACCTTTATTCTCTGAGCCACAAGTGCTCATGGTGAAAAGAATTAGTTCCATGCAAGATTAGTTCCACTTCTAGGACATTGAAGATCCTCCTCAACTGTCCTTATTTTCCTTGTTAAAGGTGGTTTTCTTGACTAAAATCTCCATGATGGCATAGACTGAAACTTTATATTCTCACTTTTTGAGTGTTTTGTATGGTGATTCCTAATGTAGTCATTGCTCAAAACATATTATTAAAAAGAATAATTATTTTTGACAGTAAAAAACCTCCCTTCATTTTTTGGTATTTTTTGCATCTGAATAGAAGCTGTTATACTGGCTTTAAGGAGTTCAAAATAATTTGAGCGTGTTTGGATTATCATAAATATTGAGTCTCTGAATTCGTTTTATTATTTATTTAGTGCAGGTGCTGATACTTGACATATGAAAACTGGACATAGGGTACTCCGATGCATAGGAAGAGCCAGATGCATTTATATTTTACCTGGTAGTGCTGTAAATACAGAGATGCTAAAAGTTTACATAAAAAGATTAATACTGTAAAATGGAAACTCCAAGAAATCCTAACGTGTTTCTACTTTGCTTTGCTTAAGACACATGCTGTTTATTGTGTTTGAAAATTGTTTTGGTGATGAAGAGGGATGGAGTTAGAAAAAGAATGGGGATGATCTGAAACATAGGTGGGGATGTTCTCTTTCCTGTGTCTTGTTTTCTTATAGGGGCAGGAGGAAGATGGGAGGGCAAATCATACACCTATTATAGTCATATTCACAAATATAATTTATTTACTTCAATCTCTTTTAATATGTCATTCTGACTTAATTAGAGGGTGATATTAGGTCATGCAAACAAAAGCCAGATAATGCAACTTTTTGAAAAGAAACAATCATTGCAGACTAAGTGAATACCCATTGAATACCCATATTCATAACAATGTGTCTTTCGTGAGGTGTCATGTTTTCTCTAGCTATGCAATAGAAATTTCAAGTGAAATATTACAATATCGTATTTATAAAGCCACACACTCAAAGAAAATCACTGAAATCCTAGGACATAGCAGCATGGATGGCTTCATTGCATTTAGATAATATATCCCCAAACAGTCCTCAATTTTGGAGCATGGGATGGTTAACATTATGTATCAACTTGGCTAACCTATGGTACACAAATAGTTGATCAAACACTAGACTAGATGTCCTGTTGAAGGTATTTTTTAGATAAAATTAACATTTAAATCATCAACTTCAAGTAAAGTGGATTATCCTTCATAATGTGAGTGGCCCTCATCCAATCTGTCAAAAACCTTAACAGAAAAAGACAAGTCCCCATTCTGCCTCCAGCCTGCCTTCAGACTCAAGCTGCAACATCGGTCTCTCACTATTTCTCTCTCTCTCTCTCTCTCTCTCTCTCTCTCTCTCTCTCTCTCTCTCTCTCGGTGTGTGTATAGAAAGAAAAAGAAAGTGTACCATGACTGAGAAGTTTTATAGCCATGTGATCTTGGACTAGTAACTTTAACCTTTTAGGTGTGTTTCCTCAGGTATAAAATCCATATTAGATTTGCCAGTAGTATAGCTATTTACATTAAAATTAAATTAAAAATTTAGTGCAGCAGTGGTATTAGACACATTTCAAGTGCTCAGTAGTCACACATGCAGAGTATTTTCATCACCTCACAAAGCCCTATTTGAATGTGCTTGAATGGAATATTTCTAACGGTCCCCTTAGAGACAAAATGTAATGATTGAGGAACCCTAGGTAGAAACCACAGTGGGCTTATGTTGTGCTATTTGTCAGTTAGCTTATTTTGGCCAATATGCAGGTTTGTTTACAGTAGGTAGTCACTGAATGCTTACTAAACTGAATTGAACTAAGACCAGTGCAGAAAACTGTAAGTGATATATTAGTGACCTGAACTGAAAGCCAACGGCTACAGTAGAAAAATAGGAGGGGGGTTGGGGGAGATGTTGTGATACATCAAAAAAAAAAGAATGGTCAGGTCTTGAAAATGGATTAGCTATAGGAATTTAATTAAAAAAAAAAAAGAAACAGAGGGCAATTGGTAGTTCACAACTATTGTGGAAGGGAGGAAACTGGGTCAGAAGAGGGAGCAGTAGTGGGCCAGATATGTAGCTCTCACAATGCAGGCATGTATTCTGCTGAAATCAGCCTCTAAACTCCCCCCTCCGAAAGAGACAAGGATGAATAGAGACAAAGAAAAAGTGGGAAACGAAATAAAGCAATTTATTGATTTTGTAGAGATCATAATAATCATCTGGAATTGCTCTTACTCTAATTTGGTTAACAGAAAAATACATTTTCTCCTATAGTGGGGTATTTGACAACTTGCAGAAAGAAAATTTTGAGGTCAGTTTGCTAATCTCATTTTATTTAACAAAGTAGTAGTTCAGGCCCTAGCAGTGCCAGTTGTACTAACATTTGCTATTATTAGCAAATAATTATTTTTTTTCCTGCTGGTGGGAGGAAAACTTATCAACTAGGTAAGCTATTCTTCTCACTGCTCCCTCCTGTTTTGTTACACCATTGGCCTCCATATTAAGTAACAGCTCTATTATTTATCCTAGCCCCACTCTAAAGAATAACAACTTAAAAATCTGTGATGATCCACTTTGGGAGGCCGAGGCGGGCGGATCACGAGGTCAGGAGTTCGAGACCAGCCTGACAAACATGGTGAAACCCCATCTCTACTAAAAATACAAGTTAGCTGGGTGTGGTGGTTCGCACCTGTAATTAATCCCAGCTACTGAGGATGTTGAAGCAGGAGAATCGCTTGAACCCAGGAGGTGGAGGTTGCAGCCAGCCGAGATTGCACCACTGCACTCCAGCCTGAGCGACAGAGTAAGACTCCGTCTCAAAAAAAAAAAAAAAAAAAAAAAAAAAAAAAAAAAAAAATCTCTGATGATCAATATTCTACCTTAAAATCACAAATAAATGGGCTACATTCAATGCAGGAAATATGCTTATACAATAAAAAAAGACATTAAGTTGGGAAGAAACCTTAGCAAAAGCATTTTCCAAACCTCTCATTTTACAGATAGAAATCCTAAGATTTAGAAGTGTACTATTTTACCCAAGTTATACAGCTAGCTCATGGCAGAACAGAAGCTAAAACTAAACTAAATTCTGTCAATATTCACCCACTCAAATAATTTGTTAACCACTTTCCTAAAGAATTTACAGATACCATCATCATTATCACCATCATCATCATCACCACCATCACCACTATTATATTATTGTTATACTTTTTGAACACTTCCCATGTGTTAGTACTGTTCTCTTTCAAGTTTTAACTCTTCAACTAGTTCCAGACCACTTTTTGACTTAATTTCTTGTTTTAACTCATTTTATTCTTATAATTATATAAATTATATCATTAATACATTTTTTAGAGATAAGAAAACCAAGGCATAGAGGGGTAGATACTAAAGTTTAAGAATCATTGTTCTGTACATTTTTCTGCATATATTTACAACCTTATAATTTCCTTTTCAATTCTCACAGTGTTTACTATTTCAATACTAACACACTTTCTATTTCTTGAGCAGAATAAGACATCTTTCTCAGGCCCAGGAACTCACAGTTTACTGGATGACACTTTTACCTAAACCAATAACAACCACATTCCATGATAAGTTTTATAATACATTTTTATGAAGTGTATATACGAAATGCAGTAAATGAATCTATTCACCAGCTGGGGAAAACACCCTGGAATCATGTATTGAAGGAAATGTTTACAGGGCTAAGAAGTGGGCAGAAACATTCCAGGACTTAGAGTTGGGAAATGTGGCCAAAATACTCTTAACTGGGCAAGGCAAACATGCTAAAATATTTGGTGAAGGATGAGTCTGGAAACAAATGTTGATGCTTAAGTATTTTTCTTCTTTAAATCTCGGTGTCTTCAATTACTTCTGTACCCTTCAAAACACATAAGAAAATTTATACATTGTATAAATATGTGCTGAACTAAACTGAAACGTGATTGATTAATTGACTATGACTGTACTACACTTTTTCCTCGGTTGTACACAAGGTCGTATGTGGAAATATTTTAGTTGAGCAAACAAGAAAAAGCCTTGGGATCCTTAAACTAGCTTATGCGTGGCAGCAATAAATTATGCATTTCCACTTGGCATCTGTTTATTTAATAATTCATTTAGTTTAAATTTTGTCTAAGTATCTTTCCCCAATAATTTATAAAATCTCCTGACACTCAGTGAAATAAAATTCACTGAATTTATTTTCTTTCTCCCTTCTTCCCTGTCTTTCCATTCTGCCCTTCTCTCTATCTACCCAACTCTCTGCAGCTGCAAGAGATAATAATAGGAGGGTCTTGAAATATACCAAAAATGTTATTAATTTATTCTGTGTTATATAACAGTATCAGAATAGATAGAACATTTTAGATGAGTGAAATACATGATTCATATATTTAAGAGCCCTGGGAAGTTTTTAACAGAGCTCTAATTTTTAAAAAATAATATTGCCTTCTTTTATTTCTCTGCCATCTGCTTCCCAATTCTTTCTACTGATAATGCTACAGATACTGAGGAAAACACTTTCCCACTGAGATCAAGTAGGGTCCTCTTCTAGTCTACTTTTATTGTCTCAATAGTACAATTCTAGAATATACCATGTGTTTTTGGCTTTTATTTTCTTCGAGGGGAAGCAGAATTGGTGAATTGGCTGTCAAGCAGTTTTCAAAGGAGCTACTGTTTGTGCCCTGAAAGAAATGAGAGTACAGGACCCAAATGGTAAATATTTAACAACAGGGAATTCTCTTTCCCTTGCTAAGTGCTCTGCCAGAAATTTGTAATACTAATAGTCAGCTTTAATTAATAGGTGACTGTGCCTGGAGTCACAGTCCTCGCAACAATAAGTTACATACACATCTTATTAAACCTTCGAATGCTGATGCCTCTGAAATTTTTTCTATAATAACACACCCATCTGTGGTATGAGTACCAAAAATACTATACGCAGAACATACCTGATCACCATAGATACTAAAACAAGAGTATTTGTTGAGTGAATACATGTTTAAATACACGAAGGCTGAACTCTTCTATATCTTTCTGTGTATTTCTATTCTATTACTTATGTTAACGGTAATATTTTGATGAAGATGATGATGATAACAAAGTCTGCATTTTAGAGTGCTTTGATACTGTGTAAACAAAGAAACATTTAGAGTTTCTTTGATACTGTGTAAACACTATGTCAAGCAAATACAGTTCTTTAATAATATATTCTATTATCAGGAATATACTATCAGGGACAGACACAGATGGAGAGCAATGGTCTTATATCTCACTGTTCTATCTCTGGCAATTTAATTAATATTTGGTTTGAGAGATAAATTGCTTGCTCTTAAAAGTTTAGGATATCATTTCCTAAAGTATATTCTGCAGGATGGAAAGCAGTGTAGATAAATGTGAACAACATGGAGACACACCCTCTTTGAGGAAGCATGTTTTGCTCAGCTGTAGGAAATGCAGTCAGCCTGCTGTGGTCAGTAGACTGCTTCCAGCTCCCAGCTCCTTCAGGATGGGCCTCAGCTGCAGAGAGCCAACTTCCTGGTCTTCCTCACTTGGTGACTGAGGGGGGAATGTGGTATAAAGAACCTGGGCCAAGCTGAGGCACTCTGATGGGCAATACTTTTCCTGGTACCCAAAACTTCATCTCAATTTCTACTTCAGAGAATACAACCTATGATACCAGGAAACTAAATTCTTATTAAATGTTTAAGGAACACTGCATTAAATAAAATCATCTTTTTTTTTTTTGTTTGAGACAGAGTCTTGCTCTCTCGCCCAGGCTGGAGTGCAGTGGCGCAATCTGGGCTCACTGCCAGCTCCACCTACCAGGTTCAGGCCATTCTCCCGCTTCAGCCTCCTGAGTAGCTGGGACTACAGGCACCCGCCACCACACTGGGCTAATTTTATTTTGTATTTTTAGTAGAGACGGGGTTTCACCGTGTTAGCCAGGATGGTCTCGATCTCCTGACCTCGTGATCCACCTGCCTTGGCCTCCCAAAGTGCTGGGATTACAGACATGAGCCACCATGCGTGGCCTTAAAATTATCTTTTTTTTAACCACTTCTGAAATTCTTAGAGCCTTAATATACTTTTATACATTGTGAGTCTCTAAGACAAGACTTTCTGCTGTGTAATGTTTCCCACACTTGACAGTCACTTTTTCCCCCAGGCACATTTCATCTGTTACATCAAATAAGCTGTTAAATTAGCCTCAGGATGTCTCTGAACTTTGAGCTCCTACATAACAAACTGCAACCTAACTTAGTCCATAAACAAACGGAAACCTAGTAATGTATTTTTTTGTAACAAATACCTGGATTTCAACCAATCACAAACATCTGAGCTTCAGCCAATCACAAGCAGCCAACTGATAAAACCATGTCCGAGTAAACAAATGCCTCATGACATCATGCCTAAATAAAATAAATGCCTGTCAGTAGACAATCTGTTGATTTCTCTATTTTTATTCTGCTAGTCAGCATGTAAAAGCTTACTGCTTATGCTGCTATGCGGAGCTCTCTGAGCCTCTTCTGATTCTGAGTGCTGCCCAATACATGAATTGTTTTTTTGCTGAAGTAACTCTGTTAAATTTATCTAAAGTTTTTATTTTAATGTACCAGATTACTGTTCTGCAGAAAAGTAGCCTAGAGAATCAGCACAACAATCTGCACAGTCCACCACTAAGCTAAAAATGCTTTTTAATATGTTACATTTCAATGTATCACTGGTTGGGAAATAATGAGTCTCTTTAGTTTTCTTTCTGTTCTATTAAACACTCTATTTGATTTTTTTTTCTGTCTCTTTTACAAGTGAGAAGGCAGACTTTCCTCATCTTATACATCTCCTATGTTCTCAGGATAAATTCAAATTCTTCACAGTTTCTCCTCAGATTCTCCTTAGCACTCCAGGCATTTCCCAACTTCCTTCACCATCCCTGGTTACAGGATTGCTAAGCTATGCCATATCCACATAGTTTATCTTCACTACAAAAATTACATTAATTTTATATTTGTAAGTTTTAAGTTCAAACTGCAAGATTAATAGAAAAAACATATGCCCTTTGCTCAGATTCACCTATTGTTAATATTTTGCTCCATTTGTTTGCCACATGCCATCTATCTATCCATCTGTATATACGTATATAAGTATATCGATGTCTGTGTGCATGCATTTATATTTTTTTCTGAGCCATTTGAGAGTAAATTGTATAGATTATGGTCCTTTACCTTAAATAATTCAGTGCACATTTCTAGTTTAGTCAACGGTCCAGTAATGTTTATACAGTATGTTTTCCTCTATTACAAAGATTCAGTCTAGGTTCATGTATTAATTTGAGTTACCATGTCTCTTTAGTCTTCTTTAATCTGGAGTAGTTACTCAGCTTTTTGTTGTCTTTTATGAACATGACATTTTTAAAGAATATAGTCCTCTGAAAAATATATTTTACAGAGTGTTTCTTGTTTAGGATTGGTCTAATGTTTCTTTAGATTATAAATTCCAAATCTGGAATGCTATATAGGTGACAGTGAGTCTTTTGGGGTCTTGCATTCCTAAGTACATGATGTCTACCTGCCCCTCATTGTTGATATTAATTTTGATCACTCAATTCACGTATTGTCATTTTTTGCTGTGGTACATTTACTATGTTTTTCCCTTGCAAGTAGTACATAATTGGTGAGTAGACTTTGAAAATATTCTGATCTTCATCAAAATTTTGCCCCTAGACTTGGCATCTATCGATGATTATTGCCTAAAGATGGATGATAATTACTTTGATTATTGAAACTCCCTTTGTATTCACTTCACATTCTATTATGAGCAAGAACTTTCCCTCAGCCTTTATTTGTTTATACATTCATTCATTCATTTGAATAAATATTATCAGTGTAGACTCATACCAATTTTAGTGACTCATTATTCTCTCTAGTGGGTTGTAATACACTACTATCTTTATTTGTTTTGTTCTTCCATTCTCCTAGATTTGGCTAGTAAGAGCCCCTGCAACCTAAATTCTGTATCCTTATGACACGCTCCAATGTTACTTTTAGCAATTCTTTACTTTCTGGTGTAAAAGATGTTCACTTTCATCTAGGAGTTTCCCTGCACCATCCCTGGGGAGCAGTCATTTCTCTGAGGATCATTTTAGTGGGAAATAGTATTACAATCCAAGATCTAAACAATAAGTGTGCTCATTGTTATTGGAGTGTCATTTGTCCTTTTTTGCTTTGGTTGCCTACACCTGTAAAATATTCCTCAAGAAATCTTTGCCCAGTCAAGTAATCTGGAGAGTTTCCCTAAAGTTTTCTTATAGTAGTTTCATAGTTTGACGTCTTAGATTTAAGTCCTTATCCATCTTGATTCGATTTTTGTCTATGGATAGAGACAAAAGTATAGTTTCATTCTTCTGCATGTGGATATCCAGTTTTCCCAGCAAGATTTATTGAACAGGCTGTCTTTTCCCCGATGTATGTTATTGGCACCTTTGTCAGAAATGAGTTTGCTGTAGGTATGTGGATTTGTTTCTGGATTATCTATTCTGTTCCATTGGCCTATGTGTTTGTTTTAATGCCAGTACCATGTTGTTTTACTTACTATGTCTCTGTAGTATAACTTGAAGTTAGGTGATTCCTCTAGTTTTGTTATTTTTGCTCAGGATAAGGCTATTGTGGGTCTTTTGTGGTTTCATATACATTTTAGTTTTTTTTCTATTTCTATAAAGAATATCATTGGTATTTTCATGGGGATTGCATTGAATCTGTAGATTGCTTTGGATAGTATGGACATTTAACATGAAACATTTAACAATATTGATCCTTCCAATCCATGGACATGAAATATTTTCCCATTTTTTTTGTTTTCCTCTTCAATTTATTTCATAAGTGTTTTACAGATTTTATTGTAGAGATCTTTTACTTCTTAATTCCTAGGTATTTAATTTTATGCATAGCTATTATAAATGGGATTACTTTTTAAATTTGTTTTTCAGATTGTTCTCTGGTGACATACAGAAATGCTACTGATTTTTATATGTTCATTTTGTAGCCTGCAAATTTGCTGAATTTGTTTATCACTTCTAATAGTTTTTTGGTGGAGTCTTTAGGCTTTTCCAAATATAACATCATATCATCTGCAAACACTGATAATTTTATTTCTTTGTTTCCAACTTGGATTGCCTTTAATTTTTTTTCTCTTGTCTCATTGCTCTAGCCAGGACTTTTAGTACTCTGTTGAATAACAGTGATGAAAAGCGAGCATCCTTTTCATGATCCCAATCTTAGAACTAGTATCATTCTGTATGATACTAGCTGTAGGTTTGTCATATATGGCTTTTATTATATTGAGATATGCTCCTCTACACCAGTTTCTGAGGGATATTTTTATGATGAAAGGATGCTGAACTTTATGAAATGCTTTTTTAACATCAATTGAAATAATCATATGGTTTGTGTCCTTCATTCTATTGATATGGTGTGTCACGTTGATTTTCATATGATTTTGATAAATCCCACTTGGTCATGATGAGTGATCTTTTTAATGTGTTTTTGCATTTTATTTGCTAGGATTTTGTTGAGGATGTTTACATCAATATTCATCAGTGATGTTGTCCTATATTTCTATTTTTTTATGTGTCTTGTCTGGTTTTGGTATTAGAGTAATGCTAGCTTCACAGAATGAGTTTGGAAGTATTCCCTCCTCCTGTATTTTTCAGAATAGTTTGAGGAGGTTTGGTATTAGTTCTTTACATATTTTGTCGAATCCAGCAGTGAAGCTATTGAGTCTCAAGCTTTTCCATACTGAGAGACTTTATAACAGCTTTGATCTTGTTATTTGTCTGTTTCGGTCTTCGATTTCTTTAAGTTCAATCTTGGCAGGTTATATGTGTATAAGAATTTATCCATTTCCTCCAGAGTTTCCAATTTATTGACATATATTTGCTCATAGTAGCCACTAATGATCCTTTGAATTTCTGCAGTATCAGTTGTAATGTCTCCTTATTCATGTCTGAGTTTATTTATTTGGGTCATCTCCCTTTTTTTCCTCATTAGTCTGGGCAAATGTTTGTCAATTTTGTCTTTTCAAAAGACCGACTTTTTGCTTCATTGATCTTTTGTCTTGTTTTCTTCATTTCAGTCACTTATTTCTGAGCTGATCTTTTATTATTTCTTCTACTCAGTTTGGGATTGGTTTGCTCTTGCTTTCCTAGTTTTTTAAGATACATCATTAGGTTATTTATTTAAAATTTTCTTCTTTTTTGAGGTAGGCACTTATAGCTATAAGTTTCCCTCTTAATACTGATTTTGCACTATCTCATAGGTTTTGATATGTTGTGTTTCCATTACCATTTCTTTCAAGAAAATTTTCCCATTTCCTTATTAATTTATTTTATTAATAAATTTCCTTATTAATTTATTCAATGATTTGCTGGTACTTCAGGAGAATATTGTTCAATTTTGATGTGTTTGTATAGTTTCCAATATTCCTCTTATTAATTTGCAGTTTAATTCCATTGCAGCCAGAGAAAATGCTTGATAATATTTCATTTTTTAATGTTTTAATAATTGTTTTGTGTCTTAACATATGGTCTATCTTTGAGAATGATCCATGTGCTGAGGAGGAGAATGTGTATTCTGCGGCTGTTGGATGAAATGTTCTGTAAATATCTATTAGGTCTATTTTATCCGTAGTACTGATTAAGGCTGTTGTTTCTTTGTTAATTTTCCATCTGAATTATCTGTCTAATCCTGAAAGTGAGAGGTTGAAGTCTCCAGCTATTATTTTATTGAGGTCTGTCTCTCTTTTTATCTCTAGTAATGTTTGCTTTATATATCTGGGTGTTCCAGTGTGGTGTATATGTATTTACAATTGTTAAATACTCTTGCTGCATTGACACTTTTTCATTATATAATTACATTTCATTTCATTTAATTATTTATTCTTTGTCTCTTCATATACTTTTAGTCTTGAAATCTATTTTGTTTGATATGAATATAGCAACTTCTGTTCTTTTTTGGTTTCCGTTGACATGAAATATTTTTTTCATCTCTTTATTTTCAGTCTGTAAGTATTTTTATAGGTGAAGTGTGTATCTTGTTGCCAACAGACCATTGGGTATTGTTTTTTCATCCATTAAGCCACTCTATGTCTTTTGATTAGAGAATTTAGTCCACTTACATTTGATGTTATTATCCATAAGTAGGGACTTACTCCTGCCTATTATTTTGTTTGTTCTCTTCATTATTTCCTTTCTTTCTGTCTTCTTTTAAGTGAGGGTGATTTTCTCTGGTGGTGTGACTTAATTTCTTACCTTTCATTTTTGAGTGTCTATTATATGTTTTTAGATTTGAGGTTACCATGAAACTTATAACTACTACTTTATAACATTATGTTAAACTAATGAAAACTTAACAGTGATTGCATGAACAAACAAACACACCAAAAGAAAACTAATAAAAACTCTACACTTTAACTTCATCCCCCCACTTTTTAATTTTTTGTTGTTTCTCTTTATGTCTTACTGAACTGTGTCTTGAAAAGTTGTTGTAGTTATTATTTTTGATTTTCCTCATTTAGTTTTTTACATTGAGTAGTGTACACAGCACAATTACCGTGTTATAATATTCTGTGTTTTTCGGTATGCCTACTATTGCCAGTGAGTTTTGTCCCCTCTGATGATTTCTTCTTGCTCATTAACTTCATTTTCTTTCAGATTGAACTACTTCCTTTAGCATTTCTTGTACAAAAGGTCTGGTGTTTATGAAACCCCTCAATTTTTGGTTGTCTGGGAAGGTTTTTATTTCTCCTTCATGCTTGAAGGATATTTTCACCAGACATACTCTTCTAGGGTTAAGTTTTTTTTTTTTTTTCTTTTTTCCTTAAGCACTTTAAATATGCCATGTCACTCTCTCCTGGACTATAACGCTTCCACTGAAATGTCTGCTGCCGTATATATTGGAGGTCTATTGTATATTATTTGTTTCTTTTCCTTTGCTGCTTTTAGGATGCTTTCTTTATCCTTGACCTTTTAGAGTTTCATTATTAAATGCCTTGAGGTAGTCTTCTTTGGGTTTAAATCTGTTTTGTTTTCTATAACTTTCGTGTACTTGAATGTTGCTATCTTTCTTTAGGTCTGGGACCTTCTCTGATATTATTATTTTGAATAAAGAATCTAGGCCTTAACTCATTCTCTACCTCCTCTTTAAGCCCAATAACTCTTAGATATGCCATTTTATGGCTACTTCCTAAATCCTTTAGGTGTGCTTCATTTTTTTAAATTTGTTTTTTTTTTTTCTTCTCTGACGGTATTTTTGAGTAGCCTGTCTTCAAGCTCACTCATTCTTCTGCTTGATCACATCTGCGATTAAGGGACTGATGCATTCTTCAGTATGTCAATCATGTTTTTTAACTCTAGAATTTCTGCTTGATTCTTTTAATTATTTCTATCTCTTTGATAAATTTATCTGATAGAATTCTGAATTCCTTCTCTATGTTACCTTGAATTTCTTTGAGTTCTCTCAACATAGCTATTTTGAATTTTCTATCTGAAACTTCACATATTTCTGTTTCTCTGTGACTGGCCCTTGGTGCCTTATTTAGTTCATTTGATAAGGTCATGTTTTCCTGGATGGTCTTAATGCTTGTAGATGTTTGTTTTGTCTGGGCATTGAAGAGTTAGGTATTTATTGTTGTCTTCACAGTTTGGGTTTCCTTATGCCCATCCTTCTTCAGATGGCTTTTCAGCTATTCAGAGGGATTTGGGTTCCAGTCCCAATAATGCTGTGTTTTTGCATACTTATAGAGGCACTGCCTTGGTGGTCTTGAATAAGATCTAGAAGAATTCTCTGGATTACAGGCAGAGACTCTTTTTCTCTTCCCATACTTTCTCCAAAAATAATACAGTCTGTCTGTCTCTCTCTCTCTCTCTCTCTCTCTCTCTCTGTCTCTGCTGACCTGCCTTAAACTGGGGATGTAGTGATGCAAGTATCCTTGTTGCCACCACCACTAGGACTGTACTGAGTCATACCTGAAGCTGGCACAGCATTGGGTCTTGCCCAGTGCCCACTGTAACCATTACCTGGCTACCACCCATGTTCACTCAAGGCCCTAGGGCTCTGTAATTAGAAGGTGTTGAAGCCAGCCAGGATGATGTTCTTGCCTTCAGGGCAATGAGTTCCCTGAGGCACTGGGCAGGTCCAGAGATGCTGTGTAGGAGCCAGATATTAGATTTATAAACCTTAGAAATTTACCTGATGTTCTATTCTGTGATGGCTAAGGCGGCACTCAAACTACAATACAAAGTCCTTTCTGCTCTTCCCTCCCCTTTCCATAGGCAGAAGAGCCTCTTTCTTCTTTGGTCACTACCATCACCAGCCCACAGGGGTTTATGAGAGGACATCACTGACATTCACATAAAGCCCAAGGGCTCCTCAGCCAGCTTATGGTAAATGCTGCCATGTCTGCAAGTCACCCTCCAGGGAAGTAAGCTCCCCTCTCATCCAGGGAAGGTCCAGAAATGCTGTCCAAGAGTCTAGGCCTGGACTTGGGGACCCCAAGAGCCTGCTTGTTGCTGTACCTAACTGTGGCCTAGCTGGTACCTAAGGTGCAAGACAAAGTCGTTTTTAGTTTTCCCTCTCTCAGCAACACATTTTAATCATAAAGAAACTTTTGAAATTGCAGATAAAGAATTCAAAATATTGATCTTAAAGAAGCTCAGTGCAGTAGACAGAGTCTTTTACACTAGACATCACAGCTAAGAATGTGCTATGTCACACCTGGAGCCAGCACATCTCAGAGACCATGGCCTGTGGGGTACTACCTATGTTTTGCTGCTGGTTATTCAGGGCCCAAGGGCTCTGCAGTCAGCAGGTGATGAATCCTGCCAGTACTGGTTCCTTCCTGTCAAGGTAGTATGTTCCCTTTTGGCCAAGGATGTATTTAGAAATGTTGTCTGGGAGCTCAGGCTTGGAGTAGGGTCCTCATGACTCTGCCCACTGCCGTATCCTACTGTGGCTGGCCTGATATCCAAGATGCTAGATAAAATCCTCTTTACTCTTTGCTTTCCGCTCCTTAAGCAGAAGGAAGGGTCACTTTCATTGCTGCAAGCTGTGCTGCTTGAGGTTGGGGAGGGGTGGCACAGGCACTGTCTTAGCCACCCAAGTTGGAATCTCCCTAGGTTCCATGAACCCTAAGTCCACTGGCACTGTGCCCAGCCCTGCAGTAGGAGTTGCCTAGGAATTGCAGTCCTTGTGTCCTAGACTGCCTTTCAAGTTTACCTAGGTCTATGGTGGCAAAGCTTGCTGGGAAATTCAAATTCCAACCACTGGGATGGAGAATTCCTTTCTAGCTAGATCCGGTCCATGTGTTCCTTCCATGTATAGGTGCTGGCCGAGACCAGCACAGCTTTGCTCTCTGTTGTGAATGGGCAACACTGAGTTCAATGTAAAGTCCCCCAGTTTCGGTGCTCCCCCCTCCCCAAGTTTACAGACTATCTCTCCATGCCGAATGGCTGCTGCTGGGACAGGGGGTAGGGGTGGTATTGGTGATTTAAGACTGTCTCTCCTACCCTCTTTAATGCCTCTATCAGTGACAGTAAGTTAAAACTAGGTACTGTGATTGCTCACCTGATTTTTAGGTCTTGTAACAGTACTTTTCTGTGTACAGATAGCTGTTAAGATTTGGTGGTCCTGCAGTGGTGTGGAGGCAAATGGTTTAGGTTTCTATTTTGCCATCTTGCTCTACCCGTCATCAAGTCTCTTGAAGCTTTCAAAATTATTTTGTATTTGTTTTAATGATGTCTTCAATTTCAGAATTTGTATTTTGTTCCTTTGTGAACTATCTATCTCTTTTGTAAATTTCTCATTCATATTCTGAATTGGTTTTCTGATTTCTTTTTTATCATTTTTCAGAATTTTCTTGTACTGCACTGAGCTTCTTTAAGATCAGTATTTTGAATTCTTTATTTGTGATTTCAAAAGTTTCTTTATGATTAAGATGTATTGCTGAAGAATCATTATGTTCCTTTGGAGGTGTCATATTTTCTTACTTTTTCATATTTCCTGTGTCCTTATGTTGTTATCTGTGCACCAGGTATAACAGTCACTTTTTCCTATTTTTGAGTATACTCTTACAGGTGAGGACTTTTTCTTGAAGACGTATATATGTTGTTGGGTAGGGTAATTTGGCTTTGATACTGGGTGCATTCAGTAGTGTAATCTCTGTATGATTTCTTTCACTGTAAGCAGTGTTAGTGGTGTCTGTGATTTTCTTAGTGAGTTAGGGTATGGTGAAGTTGTGCTAGGTATCGGAATGCCAGATGGGCAAGTCTTCAGGCCCCAGTGGTGGCAGCAGTGGGCTGAACATACTTATCTTTGTGCCCAGAGCGGTATATGCTGGTACCTGTTTTGGTGGTTATCACTGGCCTAACTCTTGGGCCTCCAGGTGGCATGCTTGGATGCCAGTAGTGGCAGCAGTGGAACTGGGTGGATGGGCAGATTCTTTGGCCTCTGGGAAGCTGGCATGGTATGAGTGATGGCAATAGCAGTGGCAAGATGAATCTATGGGTCTTAGGTGGTATGCATTGATTTAGCAGTTGCTGAGATAGACTGGGCCCACCAATTATTGGGAGCACTGGTCGTGCTTGCACATAATTCAGAGCTGAGTTGGTCAAGGCTGGGAATTCAAGCCCCACATCAGACCCCTGGGATGAATACTTAGGTGCCCAAGATGGTGGATTGGTCAATCCCCTGGATCTCAGGCTATTGGATGGGTCTCAAAGAAGGGGGTTGAAGCTGGGCTGGGCAAGCTTGTGCTCAGGCCCTTCAGTGATGAGAGCAGGCACCAGCCATGATGGACAGGGGTAGGGCAATCCTCAGACCCCAAGTATAATGCTCTGGTGAAGGGCAGTAGTAGCCATGCTGAGGCCCTGCCACTGGAGAGGGCAGGGCTGTCCTTGATGGCCACAGCCTGGGCTGGCAGTTGAAGAACACACATGCCCAAGTCCCAGCAGGTCTTATTCCCCAACCATGCTGGCAGTAGCCCACACCTAGCTCATGCTCCTCCCCAGTTGCAGGAGCCTCACCCAACTGGCAACCAAGTCCCAGCAGCAACTCATGTTCTGCTCATATTCCAGTCTCCATTCCGGTGGTACTCACTTCCTGGCACTGGTAGCTGCAGTTCATGCCTCACTTGCTCTCTAATCCCAGCTGTAGGAGGACTCCAAACTTGCTTCCCAATTCTAGTAGTGACAGTCCAAGTTTTTGTAACACCTCAGTCCCAGTGTCACTGGGCTCCAGGACAGCATGCAGTCTGCCAAAGGCTAGGTTTGAAAATGGCACCTTGCTGTAGTGGCTTAGGCCTCAAAAAGGGTGTGTGACCCAACATGAGCTTCCTCTCTGGAGCAATACTGTCTCACGGTCTTCTGGCAGCTTCGTATGTTAGTTTTGGGACCAAGAAAGCTTCCAGGAGACCATGGGACAGGGGAACAAAGGTCAAAGGGTTCTCCATAGCCAGGATTGCATGATTCCACAGTCAGGATGTGGGGCATTGAAAGTCTGTGGCTTACCCTTTCCCTATATTTGGAAGTCACTCCTGGCTCCCAGCTGATGCCAGCCAGGCAGACTGCCTCTCTCTCTTCTCCTTCCCCACTTTTGATGTTTTCTTTCACTTCTTTGTTGAATTCCAGCATTCTCTTGTGGATAATGCATTCAAAGTATGACTGTCTGTACACTATTTTGGTTCTTCTAAGTGGAGAAGGCTGGAGTGAAATGATTCCAGTCCGCCATCTTGAAGCCTCTATGCTCTTTTTCTTTACTTAACAATATGTCACTATGTATTAAATAATAGAGATCTTCCTCATTTCTTTTTGTTGCTGAATATTACTCAATTGTGTGTATGTACCTTAGTTTTTTGAACTTAACATCTGCGTTTGGATATTTATTTACTCATATTATTGAGGTCCTTTTAAGGCAGGACATGGAGAATATTTGTCTCTGTGTTCCCATCACCTGGGAGCTTCTGACACATAGAAGCCTCTCTTGAAATGCTTGTGCAGTGAATGGCTAAATATATTTGTGTATAGTGTATGCAAACACTAATGTCTATTAAGCCTATTAATGTCAATGTTCACACTTTCTATTTCTAGTATAGTGCTGAAAAATATCTCTGTGACTTTTCAGGTTAATCAAGGGAGACTTCTTGGACAAAGTAAAATTTGAGGAGTTCCTCAAATGTAGAAAATAAAATATATGTGTACCTATAAGTGTGTGAGCTACATGTACACAAAATTAAATATGTCTGCATTTTCCAGGCCAAAAAATTATGAAAGGAATTTTTGAACACTTCTTTATTTAAACCTCACTATTCAGATCCTTTACAGATTGCTATATTTAATTCTCACATGTTTATGAGGTTGATGCTATTATAACCTTCTGATGAAGAAAGGACCAAAATTTAAGAAGATTCAATAGATTGTTCAGGCTATTAATTATGTCTACGAACACATGTAAATCTCACTCTACATGCTTACAGAAATAAGATCATGGTAACTGGACCTAGGCAAATGTATATTTTGGTTTGAGAGTAGTAAAAATAGCTGACCTAGCTATCTACATTAACACAGTATATTAGTCAGTGTGTGTGTGTGTGTGTGTGTGTGTGTGTGTGTTTATATATATATATATATATATATATATATATATATATATAGAGAGAGAGAGAGAGAGAGAGAGAGAGAGAAGAGATTTACCATAAGAATTGGCTCATGGCTGGGGGCAGTGACTCACACATGAAGTCCCAGCACTTTGGCAGGCCTAGTCATGAGAATCACTTGAGGCCAGGAGTTCAATACCAGCCTGGGCAGCATAGTGAGACCCCATCTCTACAAATAATTTGTTTTAAATAGCCGGGTTTGAGGGTGTATACCTGTAGTGCCAGGAACTGAGGAGGCTGAACTGGGAGGATTGCTTGAGCCCAGGAGTTTGAGACTGTGGTGAGCTTTGATTACATGACTGCACTCCAGCCTAGGTGACAGAGCAAGACCTTGTATTAAAAAAAAGAAGAAGAAAGAAAGAAAAAAAGCATTGGCTCATGCCGATATGGGCTATGAAGGCCAAGAAGTCCCATGCTATCTGCCCCACTGGGGAACTAGAAAAGCTGGTGGTATAATTTGGTCTGAGACCAAAGGCCTGAGAGTCCAGGAGCCAATGGTGTGTAGGTCACAGTGTAATTCTGAAAGCTTAAGAACCAGGAGCTCTGCTATCCAAGAGCAGAAGATGGATGCCTTAGCTCATGCAGAGGGAGTGAATTCGCCGTTCTGCTTTTTTGTTTTATTTGGGCCTTCAGTGGATTTGATGATACCCACTCACATAGATAGGGAAATCTTCTCTATGCAGCTTATTAATTCAATTTCTGATCTCATCCAGAAACCCCCTCACACAGACACCCAGATATAATGTTGTATCAGATAGCTGAGGATCCTTTAGCCCAGTCAAATTGCCACATAAAACTAACTATCGCACCCAGGAAGATTGAAGCAGATTAGTTTATTAATTGAAATATCAGAATAGATGTGTTTGATGCTGTTCTTTCAATATTTCTTTTTTGCTCTCATGACATTCTTAAAACATATGCATATTAATTAAAAATAACTCTTCATAATTTTGGTGTTAATTGCCTTACAGTCAATTACATAATAGTGGTAATAACATCTACCATTTGTTTGAACACTTATTATATCTGAGGCAATATTTCTAGTTATTTGCATGTGCCATCCCTTTTTAAAATGAACTTTATTTTTAGAATGGTGATTCTAAATTTTTCTGATTCACAATCAGAAAAATTATAAAAATAATACAGAGAGTTTTGAGATATGCCACACCTAATTTCTTCTATTGGTAACATATTAGCATGGTACATTTGCTACAATTAATGAACCGTATTATTATTAACTGAAGTTCATATTTTATTTATTTAGACTTAGTTTTTATTAAGTGGCCCTTTTTTGTTGTTTCAGGATCTCCTCCATGTACCATATTATATTTAAAAGTCATATCTCCTTAATATTTTGGCTGTAACAGTTTTTGCAACTTTCCTTGTTTTTCGATAGCCTTGACAGTTTTGAGTAGTACTAGTCAGGTATTCTGTAGAACATCCTTTCATTGGGATTTTTCTGATATTTTTCTCATCATGACACAGGTGGCTTGGGGAATAAGACCACGGTTGTAAAGTGCCATTTTTGCCGTATTATATTAAGTGTACATATTTTGAACATGATTTATCACTGTTGACGTTGACTTTGATCAGCTAGGTAAGGTATGCACAGTTCATTTCTAATTTTCATAATTCATCATTAAGTAGATATTTTATTTATTTTACGGATGAAGAGACAAAAATGTCATAGAACTTGGTAATAGTCACCAGCAGATTTGTCTGAGAAAGCCTCTCATTTTACCACTAAATTAAGTCCTTAGAAAGTGAGATTAAAGTAAATTATATAAGTAAATTTTTGACTTGGGAGAGTGCAGGTGTGGAACATTTTCCATGATATGGAACAATTTCCTCCCCCGACCCCTGCCAAGGATGAGAATGGAAGGAAATGCAATGGACTGGATGTACAGAGTTTAATGTAGTTTTACATAAAAAAGAGATGTTGGTTAAGGGTCATTTCTTAGTGAGAAGGTCCTTCTTGGTCATCAAAAATTAAGAGAGGGTAATAATGTCATAGTCACTGTGTTCTGTATACAGTGAGCAGGGAAATCATCACCAACTAATATTTTTATAACATCTTAGATGTATGAGGCACTTTTACATAGATAATTTTATTTAATCCTCACAGTAAGGCTATGAAGTAGTAGTATCCCCATTTAGTAAATGCAAGAACTGGAGCTCAGGGTGTTTAAGTGACGTGGCTAGGTTCAGACAGCAAATAAGAGGACTTTGGCTTTTCATATTTGCATACAGCACCTACAGATATAAAAATATTCAAAAATTATTTGTAAATAGACTAACTGAATGGACAGCTGCATGAAGAGACAGTTCCAAGATGAGGCAGAAGATTCTCTAATTCCAAATTCAGCAATTGCATGCAGTTAGGGAGGCTTGTATGCCATCTTCTGCGTGCCTTGCTATATTCTAGGATATAATGATGATGACTTGCTGAATTTAAAAAAAACTATTTTAATATCTCTACCAAATTGTGTTTCTCGGAGATGTCTCATTTTTTATGAAGAACTACATTTCTTGGCCACTGAATTAACTTAATGAAATTGTGAGGTTCGTGCTTGGACATGCTGCAGCCCTATGGGTAATGAAAACCCACTAAGAAACCCAAGAAAGATAAAATAATATAATAAAAATTAAATTGGAGTGAGCATTATGAGTGAACAAATTAATGAGACTATTATAAGGGATGTAACTCCTTAAAATGTAGAGTCTTTCGTTTTTGCAGAGACATCATTAAGTATTTTAATCACATGTACTCACAGAAGAATATCCAAAACCCTTTTTAAAAAGGTTTAGGCATGTTTATATAGTATTTTTTCCCTAAAAAATCTAAAAAATCATCAGCTGTTAAAGTGTGTACACAAAACAGCAGAAATCACTAGCTTTTACAGTGTATGTGTGGAGGGGTGTAGTTTGCACAAAGCACCATCATTATTGAAAAGGTGATAATGTCAGTTTTGTCTCATCAAGGGATTAGTTATCAATGGGAGCTATTTGAATTTTTAGAAGGTCTCCTTCTGGTCCTGGGTCAGATCTGGCTCTGTATTTTCTCTAAATGAGTTAGAAGCTTTGAATTCTTTCCATTCTAACCCAGAGTTCTTTAAAGGAGAGGAGAACTACAGTTATTTCTCTTGCATTGCTTTGAGTATGAGTAAATTGAATTCATAAACCCCTACAGTTGCACACCTCTGTGGCCTTGCCCCTTAGAAACAGCACTCAGGAGCTCTTGTTTCTGAGACTGTTCTTCCTGCATTCAGATTTGGGTACAGCAGGGGATTGAAGAAGCAATTTTCAGATTCCATGGTGGGCTGGATTAAATTACTCCACAGGCCATATGTCTCACAGACCTACTAGAGTGGATTAAGTGTTTTGCTTTCTGTTTGCATTTGAATATTTTCATAAAAGAAAGAAAATGTTAATGCAGGCCTAGTAAAGGAGAAAGAGACGAACAAACAAATTCAGGTGGCAAAGAAGCCTCCTAGATATTTCCTGTTGGTGCATGACAGCCAGGACTAGATGGATTTGAAGATGAAAAGGTTGAAGCAGGACATTCTGCTTGGATTTCATTAACTATTAACATACGTTCTATCAAGGACAAAGAGTAAGCATTAGGCTTTTGTCTGTTTGTTTTTAACACCTTTCCAGAGCTTGTTGATACAGATTGCTGAAATTTAAAAATAAAAAAAAACTATCATATCTATATTTGCACTTGGAGGAAAAATATACTTTGGAGTTAAAGGAACTGGGACTGTGGTTTTCCAACAAGGTGAACTATGACATAGAATTTAATATATTCAGTCTTTTTTAAAATAGTAAATTGGTCATAATAATATGTCATAGTAAACATTTGTAGATAATAGTAACATATGATTTATTGTGTAATCACCATATGCCTTATAGTTTGCTTGTTATTTTACCCTCAAACAGCACTCTGAAGCTTGTTATTAATACATTATTTTAGAGATGAAGATATTGAGGTTAAATAACATTCAAGTTCACACAGTGAAAATGGTATGTGAATTCTGCTTTTTGGTTTTAACTCTTGAACCCAGGTTCTCACCTACAACCTTATATTTTCACTTGCATAGAAAATATATAGGGAAGTTTAAATTTTCCCTATGAAGATTTGATTAACTGTCTGCTGAAATAAATTGACAATGAAGAGATTAACAGGAGAAAACACATACAAATGTATTAACGTGCAAAAATGTGCGGGAGCTACACAAAATATGAGACTCAGAGGGTGGAGCAAAACTGTGGAATAAAGCTTCCACTGATCATCCCCCCAACAGGAGCACCAAAATTAACAAGCATCTACAAAGAAAAAACACCTTCCTAAGAACCAAAAATCCGGTAAGCCCTCATAGTATCTGGTTTTAACTTCATATTGCTGAAAGCGGCACTGAAGAGACAGAAAAAACAGTTCTGAATTGCCAACCCCTCTCCCATCCCCCTGCAGCAGCGATGTGGTGCAAAAAGCATGTCTGGGTGCTGGGGAGGGGAGAACACAGCAGTTGTTGTTACCTGCAGTGAATCCATACGGATCTGCAGCAACCTTAATTCTTGCCTCCTCAGAAGAAAGAATTTGACTGAGGGCTATAAGGCAAAAGGAGAGACTAAGGCAAGTTTTAGAGCAGGAGTGAAAGTTTATTAAAAAGCTTTGGAGCAGGAATGAAAGGAAGGAAAGCACGGTTGGAAGAGGGCCAAGCAGGTGATTTGAAAGACACACTCACGGTTTCACCTTTTGACTTGGGGTTTTATGCATTTTCGTACTTCTGGGTCTTGAGTTCTTTCTCCCCTGATTCTTCCCTTGGGGTTGGCTGTCCATGCACAGTGGCCTGCAAGCACTTGGGAGGGGAGCATGCTCAGTGTGTTTACTGGAATTGCATGCACCCTCACTTGAAGCAATCTTCTCTTACCAGTTGAACATCCCTAAGAGGTCATATACCAGTTAAATTCTGCCATTTTGCCTCTTAATGCGCATGCTTGAGTTCACTTGCCCAATTCTTGAGAGCTTATTGGGAAGCTACTGATCATTAGTTTCAGGTGCTTCTATTTATTGTGATACTGCCTTTCCCTGGTGCTGGCTGCTACCAATTATTATTTTGGAGAAACGGTGTGACAGCTGCCTGACCGTCATGTGATGGTCACTTGACATTCCTGTTAGGTTGTGGGGAGCACTCTCTTGCCCTGATCAGGCCTGACTAGCTACCTACTGGTACATTGTGAAGCACGAAACTTAGTGCTGTCCTATTAGAACAGAAGGGAAAAGCAGACCAAACTCAGCTGATCCCCAGCAAGGAAGGGAGCATTTAAACCAGCTCTAGCCAGAGGAGAAAAACCGATCCCAGTGGTCTGAACTTGAGTGCCTGCAAACTTCACCACCGAGGGCTACAGCATTCTGTGTCTCCCAGTAAACTTGAAAGTCAGTCTAGGCCACAAAGACTGCAAAACTTAGGTGAGCCCTAGTGCTGAACTAGATCCAGAAACAGTGGACCGGGGAGTTGGGGTAGCCAAGGGAGTGCTGGCATTACCACTCCAGGCTGCATGGCCCACTTCTCCAAAGAGACCTTCCTTCCACTTAAAGAGAGGCGAGGAAAGAGTGGGGAGGACTTTGTCTTGCACCAAGGATACCAGCTCAGTCACAGGAGGATAGGGTACTGGTCATAGTTATGAAGGCACTGTTCCAGACTCTAGCTTCCAGATGACATTTCTAGATACACCCTGGGTCAGAAGGGAACCCCTTGCTTGAAGAAAATGACCCAGTCCTGGAAGCATTCATCATCTGATTGGGCCCTGAATCATTAGCTTTGATACCCAGGTACTATATCAAGGGTCTTGGGTAAGCCTCTGAAACTTGCTGGCTTGAGGTGAGACTCAGCTTATTACCAGCTGTGGTGGCTCTGGGGTAAAACTCCTTCTGCCTGAGAAAAGCAGAGGGAAAAGTGAAGGGGACTATGACTTTGCACTAGCATGGCCACAGATGGGTACAGCACCAAGAGGGCTCCTGAAGTCCTCAGTTGCAGGAACTGACTCTTGGATGGCATTTGTGAACCTACTGTGGAACAGAGAAGAGCCCGTTGCCCTGAAGGGTGAAGCCCAGGCCAGCCAGCATTAAGGACAAGTTGACTTAAGAAAGCGTGGGCCTTAAGGGAACATTGGCAGTAGTCTGGCAGTACTCTTTGTGGCCTGGGGTGGCAGTAGCTACCGAGTGAGGCTCCTCTGTCTTTAGAAAGGGGACGGAAGCATGGGAAGAAGTGTGTGTTGTGGTTTGTGTGCCATTTTAGCTGCAATACAATAGAATACCAGGTAGACACTAAGGTTTTTTACTCTATTCCCTAACTCCTCGATGACACGTATGGAGCCACCCAGCACCTCGGGGACTACATCACCTTGAAGGAAAGGACAAAGGCCTGTCTGGCCTTGCCACCTGCTGATTTTAGAAGTCCAGGGACTTGAGTGATCACAGGTATTACCCAGGTAGTAGTTACAACAGATTTTGGGTGAGACCCAGTGTTGTCCTGACTTCAGGTCAGACCCAATGCAGTCATAGTGGTGGTGGCCACAGGAGTGTTTGTGTTTTGTGCCCCCAGCTTTAGGTGGCTCAGAACAGATAAACTATGTTTAGGGGAAAGTAAGAGAGGAGAGCAAGAGTCTGCCTGGTAATCCAGATAATTCTTCCAGATCTTGCCCAGGACCATCAAGACAGTACCTCTATGAGTCTCCAAGAATCATGATGTTACTGGGTTTGGGGTGCCCCCTAAAGCAGAAACATCTTAGATCACAACACCTAATTTTTTTCAAATATCTGGAAAGTCTTCCCCAGAAGGACAGCTACAAATAAACTTACACAGTGAAGACTATAATAAGCACCTAACTCTTCAATGTCCAGGCATAACAGACATCTACAAGCATTAAGACCATCCAGGAAAACGTGACCTCAACAAATGAACTAAATAAGTCTCCAGGGACCAATCATAGAGAAACAGAAATATGTAACCTCTCAGACAGAGAATTCATAATATCTATGTTGAGGGAACTTGAATAAATTCAAGATAACACAGGGAAGGAATTCAGAATTATATCAGATCAATTTATCAGAGATTAAAATAATTATAAGAAACAAGCAGAAATTTTAGGGTTGAAAACACAATTGACGCACTGAAGAATGTATCAGTCTCTTAATAGCAGAACTGATCAAGCAGAAGAAAGAATTAGTGAGCTGAAGACAGGCTATTTGACAATACAATCAGAGAAGAAAAAATAATAAAAAATGAAGCACATCTGAAAAATCTGGAAAATATCCACAAAACAGCAAATGTAAGACTTATTGGCTTTAAAAGAGGAGGTAGAGAAAGAGATATGGAAAGTTTATTCAAAAAGTTAATAACAGGAAACTTCCCAAGCCTAGATAAAGATACCAGTATTCAAGTACAGGAAGGTTATAAAACCCCATGCAGATTTAACCCAAAGAAGACTACCTCAATGTATTTACTAATCAAACTCCAAAAGGTCTAGGATTAAAAAAGCATCCTAAAAGCAGCAAGGGAAAGAAACAAATAACATACAATGGAGCTCCAATATGTCTGGCATCAGACTTTTCAGTGGAAACCTTACAGGCTAGGAGAGAGTGGTATGACATATTTAAAATGCTGATGGAAAAAGAAATTATGCTAGGATAGGAAATCCAGTAAAACTATCCTTCAAACATGAAGGAGAAATAAACACTTTCCCAGACAAATAAAAGCTGAGGGATTTCATCAATGCCAGACCTGTCCTACAAGAAATGCTAAAGGAAATACGTCTATCAGAAAGAAAAGGACAATAATGAGCAATATGTAATCACCCGAAGGCATAAAACTCTTGGGTTTTCTGTGTAAAAACACAGAAAAACACAAAATATTATACACTGTAAATGTGGTATGTAAATTACTCTTATCCTAAGTAGAAAGACTCAACAATGAACCAATCAAAAATAATAACTACAACAATTTTTCAAGACATAGTCATTACAAGAGGATATAAATAGAAACAACAAAAAGTTAAAAAAAAAAAACTGGGGGGTGAAATTAAGCTGTGGCATTTGTATTAGTCTATTTTTCTTTGTCTATTTATGCAAATAGTGTTAGGTTGTAATCAGGTTAAAATAAAACTTTGTAAGATAGTATTAGCAAGCCTCATAGTGACCTCAAACCAAAGAACATACAATGAATAGACAAAAAGCAGGAATCTAAAAATTATATCACTAGAGAAAATCACCTTCAGTAGAGGAAGGTAGGAAGAAAAGAAAGATGGAAATCGTGACCAGAAAACAAATAATAAAATGGCAGGAGTAAGTCCTTATGTATCAATAATAACTTTAGATATAAATTGACTAAATGCTTCAAACAAAAGACGTAGTCTGGCTGAATGGATTAAGAAAGATGACCCATTAATCTGTTGCCTGCAAGAAACACACTTCACCTATAAAAACACACATAGACTGAAATAAAAGGGAAGGTAAAAGATATACCATGCTAATGGAAACCAAAAAATAGCAGCAGTCACTATACTTATATGAGACAAAATAGATTTTAAGACCAAAACTATACAAGAGACAAAGAAGGTCACTATGTAATGATAAAGGGGGCAATTTAGCAAGAGAATAAAACAATTTTAAATATGCATGTACCCAACACTGGAGCACCCAGATATATAAAGGGAATATTCTTATGGGTAAAGAGAGAGGCCCCAATACAATAATAGTTGAGATTTCAATATCCAACTTTTATTATGAGACAGATCTTCCCAACAGAAAATCAACAGGGAAATATTAGACTTAGTCTGCACTATAGACCAAATGGATCTAATAGATATTTACAGAACATTTTATCTAAGAGCTGCAGAATACACATTCTTTTCCTCTGCACATGGATTATTCTCCAAAATAGACCATACATTAGGTCACAAAACAAGTCTTAAAACATTTAGAGAAATGGAAATAATATTAAGTATCTTCTCTGACCACAATGGAATTAAACTAGAAATTAATAACAAGAGGAATTTTGCAAAGTATATGAATGTGTGGAAAATAAACTATATGCTCCTGAATGACCAGTGGGTAAATGAAAAACATTAAGAAGGAAATTGAAAAATTTCTTAAAACAAATGATAATGGAAACACAACATGCCAAAACCTATGTAATACAGCAAAAGGAGCACTAAGAGGGAAATTTATAGCTATAAGTTTCTACCCCAAAAAGGAGGAAAAATTTCAAATGAGCAATCTAACAATGCCTCTTAAAGAATTAGAAAAGCAAGAACAAACCAAACCCAAAATTAGTTGAAGAAAAGAAATAATAAAGATTAGAGCAGAAATAAATAAAAATGAAGTGAAAAAGACAATAGAAAAAATTAAAAGTTGGTTATTTGAAAAGTTAAACAAAACGGACAAACTTTTAGCCAGACTGAGAAAACAAAGAAGTGAAAAGTTAAACAAAATGGACAAACTTTTAACCAGACTGAGAATAAAAAGGGAGAAGATCCAAATACATACAATCAGAAATGATAAAAGAGACATTACTTCTGAAACCACAGAAATTCAAAGGCTCATTAGTGGCTAGTAAGGGCAACTATATGCCATTAAATTGGAAAATCTAGAAGAATGAAGAAATTTCTAGACACATACAACCTACCAAGACTGAACTGAGAAGAAATCCAAAACCTGAAGAGAGCAATAACAAGTAACAAGATTAAAGTCATAATAAAAAGTCTCCCAGTTAATAAAACAACAACAACAAAACAAACAAACAAAACCTTGAGATATGATGGCTTCACTGCTCAATTCTACCAAACATTTTAAGAACTAATACTAATTCTACTCAAACTATTCCAAAAAAAATAAAGGAGCAGGAAATACTTCCAAACTCATTCTATGAGGCCAGTATTATCCTGATACCAAAACCAGACAAAGACAGATTAAAAAATAGAATTACAGGCCAGTATCACTGATGAACATTGATACAAAAATCCTCAACAAAATCCTAGCAAACCAAATTCAAAAATAGTTTACAAATATCATTCATCATAATCAAGTGGGATTTATCCCTGGGATGTGAGGATGGTTCAACATAACTAATCAATGAAAGTGATACATCATGTCAACAGAATGAAGGATAAAAACCATATGATCATTTCGATTGACGCTGAAAAAGCATTTGGTAAAATTCAACATCTCTTCATGATAAAAATCCTCAAAACCTGGGGATAGAAGGAACATACTTCAACATAATAGAAGCCGTATATGACATACCGACAGCAAGTACTATACTGAATGGGGAAAAACTGAAAGCCTTTCCTCTAAGATCGGAAACATGACAAGGATGCCCACTGTCACCACTGTTATTCAATATAGTACTGGAAGTCCTAGCTAGAGCAATCACAGAAGAGAACAAATAAAGGGCATCAAAATGGAAAAGTAAGAATTCAAATTATCCTTGTTTGCTAATGATATAATCTTGTATCTGGAAAAACCTAAAGACCCCACAAGAAAACTATTAAAACTGATAAACAAATTCAGTTATGTTGCAGAATACAAAATCAATATGCAGAAATCAGTAGCATTTCTATATGCCAACAGTGAACACTCGTAAAAAGAAATAAAAATTAATTCCATTTAAATAGCCACACATAAAATTAAATATTTAAGAATTAACCAAAGAAGTGAAAGATCTCACTAATGAAAACTGTAAAACATCAGTGAAAGATTTCTTGAGCAATATCCCACAAGTGCAGGCAACCAAAGCAAAAAATGGACAAATGAAATCCTATCAAGTTAAAAAGCTTCTGCATAGCAAAGAAGCAATCCACAAAGTGAAGAGACAACCCACAGAATGGGAAAAAATATTTGCAAACTACATGTCTGACAAGGGATTAATAACCAGAATGTATGAGGAGCTCCAACAACTCTGTAGGAAAAAAATCTAATAATCTGATTTTTAAAAGGGCAAAAGATTTGAATAGACAGTTCTCAAAAGAAGACACACATGTGGCAAACATGCATATGAAAATGTGCTAACATCATTGATCATCAGGGGAATGCAAGTCAAAACTATAATAAGATGCTATCTCATGCCAGTTAAAATGGTTAAAATGGCTTTTATACAAAAGGCAGGCAATAACAAATGCTTGCCAGGATGTGGAGAAAAGGGAATCCTCAAACACTGTTGGTGGGAATGTTAGTTAGTACAACCACTATGGAGAACAGTTTGGAAGTCTCTCAATAAACTAAAAATTGAGCAACTATATGATCCAGCAAATCCACTGCTGGCTATATAGTCAAAAGAAAGGAAATCATTATATTAGAGAGATTTCTGAACTCCTATGTTTGTTGCAGCTCTGTTTACAATAGCTAAGATTTGGAAGCAACCTAAGTGTCCATCAACAGATAAATGGCTAAAGAAAATGTGGTACGTACACAAAATGGACTATTATTCAGCCATAAAAAAATAAGATCTAGTCGTTTACAACAACATGAATGGAACTGGAGATCATTATGTTCAGTGAAATAAGCCAGGCTTGGAAAGACCAACATTGCATGTTCTCATTTATTTGTAGGATCTAAAAATCAAAGCAATTGAACTCATGGAGATAGAGAGTAGAAGGATGGTTACCAGAGGCTGGCAAACATAGTGGGGGGCTGAATGTGGTAGGTGAGAATGGTTAATTGGTATATAAAAAAAGAAAGACTAAATAAGACCTAGTATTTGATAGCACAATAGGGTGACTACAGTCACTTAACAACTTAATTGTACATTTTAAAATAATTTAAAGAGTATAATTGGATTTTTTTAACTCAAAGGATAAATGCTTGAGGGATGGATACCCCATTCTCCATGATGTGCTTATTTTGCATTCCATGTCTGTATCAAAACATTTCATGTACCCCATAAATATAAACATCCTACTAAGTACTCACAAAATCTTCTTTTAAAAAACAAAGAAATTAGAGGGTAGTCATAGAAGAACACAATACATTTACTTATTAAACAGCAACAACAATAAATGAGACTCAAAGTAGGACCAAACTGTTGGATTGAATACCCATTTCATAGTGGGAGGGAAGTGGGAACTGTGGACAATTTTACAGGAAGAGTAAATGAGTTTTAGGGGAAATGAATGGAACCAAATATCAGACAATAGCCTGGAACAAAGATTCTTTGGGCTCTAGGGGATATGGCAACAGTTATGGGCAGGTAAGGGTGGAATTGCACTGTGAACAAAAGTTGTTTTATTATGCAGATAAAATCTCTCTAAAAACTCTTAGAAGAATAGTTGAAAGAACAGGTAAAAAAAAAAAAAAAATCTGTCCAGATATGGTCTTCTGCGCATGGAGACTTTTAGTTTCCTCTCTAGCAATAAGAGTTAAACTCCTCCGGTTAATATAGATTCCAGGAAAGGGGTTCCAAGATAATGACATTTCTTTTGGAAGAGTTTCCTCAGTCAGGATAATGGAACTTTAAAGAGGGCCCCTCCCTGCACTTAGCAGGGTAGAAACAGGAAAGGTTAGAGAGGTCTTGATTCTGAGGCAGTTTCTAAGGCCTTTTAATGTCCTTAATTCAAAGTGTTCAGCATGTTAAAACATCATACTTTGGATTATTATTTTCTGAACCTTAACAAATAAAAACAAAGCCTTAGGAACCATGATGTTATCTGATATGGTTAGGCTTTGTGTTCCTACCCAAATCTCATTTTGAATTGTAATCCCCACGTGTTGAGGGAGAGGCCTGGTAGGAAGTGATTGGATCATGGGGCCATTTTTCAATAATATGGTCATGCTGTTCTTGTGATAGTGAGTGAGTTCTCTTGAGATCTGATGATTTTGTAAGTGTCTGGTGTCTCACCTGCTTGCACTTCTCTCTCACCTGCTGCCATGTAAGACATGCCTGCTTCCCCTTCTTCCATGATTGTAAGTTTTTGAGGCCTCCCCAGCCATGTGGAGCTGTGAGCCAATTAAACCTCTTTTCTTTACAAATTACCCAGTCTAAGGGATTTTTTCACAGCAGTATGAAAACAGACTAATACAGTCAATTGGTACCCATAGAGAGTGGGGTCCTGCTATAAAGATACCCAAAATGTGGAAGCAACTTTGGAACTGGGTAACAGACAGAGGTTGGAACAGTTTGGAGGGCTCAGAAGAAGACAGGAAGATGTGGGAAAGTTCAGAACTTCCTAGAGACTTGTTGAATGCTTTGACCAAAATGCTGATAATGATATGGCCAATGAAGTCCAGGCTGAGATGGTCTTAGATGGAGATAAGGAACTTATTGGGAACTGGAGTAAAGGTCACTCTTATTATGCTTTAGCAAAGAGACTAGTGACACTTTGCCCCTGCCCTAAAGATCTGTGGAACTTTGAACTTCAGAGAGATGATTTATGGTATTTGGAAGAACAAATTTCTAAGCAGCAAAGCATTCAAGAGGTGACAGATCATAAAAGTTTGGAAAATTTGTAGGCTGACCATCTGATAGAAGAGCAAAACCTATTTTCTGAGGAGAAATTCAAGCCTGATGCAGAAATTTGCATTAGTAATGAGAATTAGAATGTTAGAATTAGAATTAGAATTAGAATTAATTAGAATGTTAACAGCAAAGACAATGGGGAAAAATGTCTCCAGAGCATGTCAGAGACCTTTGTGACAGCCCCTTCCATCACAGGCCCAGAGGCCTAGGAGAAAAAAATGGTTTCATGGGCTGGGCCCAGGGCCCCACTGCTCTGTGCAGCCTCAGGACTTGATGCCCTGCATACCAGCAGCCAGGGCTAAAAGGGGCCAAGGTACAGCTCAGGCTGTGAAGGTGTAACCCCCAAGTATTGGTGGCTTCCACATGGTATTGGGCCTGCAGGTATGCAGAAGACAAGAACTGAGATTTGAAAACCTCTGCCTAGATTTCAGAGGATGTATGGAAACACTTGGATGTTCAGGCAGAAGTCTGCTGCAGGGCCGGAGCCCTCATGGGGAACCTCTGCTAGGGTTGTGCAAAGGGGAAACATGGGGTTGGAGCCCCCACACAGAGTCCTGACTGGGGCACTGCCTAGTGGAGCTGTGAGAAGAGGGCCACCCTTCTCTAGACCCCAGAATGGTAGATCCCCCAACAGCTTACACCATGGACCTGGAAAAACCACAGACACTCAACACTAGCCGTGAAAGCAGCTGGGGCAGGGGGCTGTTCCCTGCAAAGCCATAGGGGCAGAGCTGCCCAAGGCCATGGAAGCCCACCTTTTAAATCAGCCTGACCTAGATGTGAGACATAGATTCCAATAAGATTATTTTGGAGTTTTATGATTTACTGAATGCTCTACTGGGTTTTACACTTGCTTGGGGCCTGTAGCCCATTGTTTTGACCAGTTTCTCACATTTGCAATGGAAGCATTTATCCAATGCCTGTACCTCCTTTGTATCTAGGAAGTAACCAACTTGTTTTTGATTTTACAGGCTCATAGGCAGCAGAAACTTGCCTTGTCTCAGATGAGACTATGGACTGTGGGCAATATTGAAATAAGATAAGGCTTTGGGCGACTGTTGGGAAGGCATGATTGGTTTTTAAATGTGAAAAGACATGAGACTTGGGAGGGTCCAGGGGGAGAATAATATGGTTAGGCTTTGTGTCCCATCCAAATCTCATCTTTAATTGTAATCCCAGGTGTTGAGAGACCTGGCGGAAGATGATTGGATCATGGGGGTGGAATCCCCCATGCTGTTCTCATGATAGTGAATGAGTTCTCATGAGATTTGATGCTTTTACTTGTGTTTGATATTTCCTCCCACACACACTCTTTCTCTCTCCTGCCGCCTTGTGAAGAAGGTGCCTGCTTCCCCTTCTGCCATGATTGTAAGTTTCCTGGGGCTTTCCCAGCCATGCGGAATTGTGAGTCAATTAAACCCCTTTTGTTTATAAATTACTATCTTGGGTAGTATCTTTATAGCAGCATAAAAATGGACTAATACATTATCTTCCTTCTTTTTATGAGATTTAATATTATAATATGCCTTGGGGGTAGGAGAAGAAAGAAAAGTGAATAAAACTCAAATAATTTAAGATTTTTAGATGTTTCTGTTATCCTTCATTTAAGCCTAAGAAAAGGCAGTAAATATAAGATCGTGATTTATAAAGAAATAAATCTCAATATTGATAAAGCAATTTCTCTGCTGCCGCCATGGCTTTCCAAGGTGATTGAATCTAAAAAGAACAACAAAAGCATATTATAAATAGAAATCCATAGAGTAAACAGAAAAAGAGTTTGGGATTTTTGAAGCAAACTGTATTGATAATATAATTGAATATGCTAATAAGTGTTTGTACTTTCATAGAGAAAGTCAACCAACCCATTAAAGGGTTCTCCAATGTGGACTACTGAAATATTAGCACTGTTTATAACATATGATATTTCAAAAGTGAATCTGATGATGTCATTTAGACATACCACACCTCCTCTGTGATCACCAGACACTTTTGTGATGGAAATACTTAGTCTAATTTTCTGATCAAGATAATAAGAGATTGTAAGGTTATATAAATAGGTAAGAATATTTGCACCACCTGAAAATCTTTTCTAAGACTTTACTTTTGCCTTTATACTAACTCTCACTCAGACAGTATTATTTTGAAAAACAATGTATTATTTTTCTTCAGGTTCTTTTGAACCTTTGATTAGTAAGGTCACATACGCAGCTTAATTAGTGGAATGTGAAATAAATACTCTTCAAAGTCTCTTAGCCCAGTGATGAGGTAAGCTGCCAGCCAGGGTAGTGTGTGATTGAAGATGAAGCAGACCATCTTAGAGTACCACGTGCACCAGGTTTTTCTCAGCAGCAGAGGAGGTACTAAATGAATCGAATTTTAAGCCATGTGAAGATTAAACTGTTAGTCAAAGAGCCAGTTAAGTGGGGAGAGACATTGACTCTGAATATTTAATAATTCTTACTTTACTACCAAATTTCTTAAACTTTTTCCCTTTGCTTTCATTTCTCATAATTGGGTTGAATTTAGATAATGACAAAATGCCGTTTGGTTAACCCATTGTTTCTGAATCTTTTTAATGTCATGGCAAACACAGATATTGAGTATTAAAAATAGCACACATTATTTCAGAAGTCACTCATGAAGCAAAACCGGATGCTACTAAAAGAGTTTATTGGCTGCAATATAAAGTGCCTTAAATTGGGAAAGATTTGTTCCTGGAACAGTATATACCAACAGCCTTGCCCTGCCTCTGTCTGTTTCTCACACCTGAACCCAACAGCCCACACCTTGGGCTCAGAACAATACTCTTTGGGAACGTCCTTTAGCAAGCACTTGACTGCTCGTTTGGTGGGATATGGTTCATTTTCTGCAGTGAGCTGCTGAAGTAGGGTTATGCTGTGTGTGTCTCTGAGGCACAGCAAATGCTGAACATTGCTTACTATGGCTGCTGCCTGTGAGGATTGCAGGGTGCTCCACTGTTCCACTCCCCAAGAATTCCTTGATGAGGCTTCCTGTGACAGGTGTTTACCAACCTAGGGTTTTATGTCTGTCCCAGGCTCCACCTGGATGCACTGGCTCAATGTCATGTGCCACACCTTTAAAGCATTTGCAGAGCACCAACCCCAGCACAGATCACTTTCATCAAACATCTTTGCATCCTTCTAATGCAACCTTAATGCCAGAATAACAAGGGAGAATTAGCAAGTAAAATCAGCTTTCAACTATCTGTTCTGTCCCATAAAGTATCCCCTGTACCGAATGTTCTGTGTGAAGCAGGAACAATGGCAGCTGCAAAGCCACAGAACTTGAAACTAGTTCAGGTAAAAAAAAAAAAAAATTATGAATTGCTTCTATTATATTATGGTAGGCAGTATGTCACCAGAACCTGACAAGGTTAGGAATAATCTCATAATTTACACTGCAAGAGAACTCACAAATGCATTCTGAGGTTGCGAGTTCATTGAAGAGGGAAATATTTTCACTTATAGTGACCTGAGTTAAAGGTTTATAAATCACTATAAAAGTTAGCAGATTATTTTCCGGAGTATGTCAGTTCATTGAGGTAACATTTATTAACAGTATTTTTCCCAGTTTTAGGAAATTATTTAAGTGAAAACTAAGATGAATTAGGTATCACTCATAATCTGATCACCCAGAAGTAACCACCAAATATATTTTAGTAATTTTTCTATAAGTATATATATATGCATGTGTGTATATATACCATACAAATATATACATACAATACATATATGTATAACATCAGTATATATTGTTTATAAAACTTTTTTTTTTAATTAAATACATGTTGTGAATGTTTCTCCTCCTTATTTTATAATAATAGTGCTATGGACTGAATTGTAGCCTTTCTAAATTCATATTTTGATGCTCCAATGTGACTATATGTGAGGATGGGATCTTTAAGAGGAAATTAAGGTTGTATGAGGTTATAAAATTGGCGACATACCCCAGTAGAACTGTGGTCTTTTAAGAAGAAGAAAAGAGAGTGAGATTTGTTTTTCCCTCTCTTCAACATATGAGAACACAGCAAGAAGGTATCTGTCTGCAAGCCTAAAAGGGTATACTCAGAACCCAGCCATACTGGTGCCCTGATCTCAGACTTCCAACCTCCTTCCAGAGTGCGGAGAAAATAAACCTTTGTTTTTTGAGCCACCCAGTATGTGCTATTTTGTTATGGCAGCCAGAGAAGACTAAGACAAACAGACAGACATAACCTCTAGTCATTTTTGGTTATCTTCTCCCATTTCTATTTCCTTTTCTTCGCTTCATACCTGATTGTCACACTGCACCCTGGATACTCTGATATTGCATGCATTACTTTTTTTTTTTTTTGAAAAGAGGACCTTTCCAAACTGCCGGAGGTGAAGAAAGAAAGGGCAATTTAGGAAATTTTGTGAAAATGACCTGTGTTTGTGAATCTTCTAGATGAGTTATGAATGTTTGATATGATACCTAAAATAAGAGAATAAGGCTCCTAAGTCATAGACGTTCAGGGCTGTTTTATTTCAGCAGCATACTTGCTAGATGAAGGGTTTGCTTAAGAAAGGTGTTTGTTTGTTAATTTTAAGCATGTTTGTTAGTTGTAGTATAAGAAAATGACAAAAAATGTTATGGAACATGCGGGACAGGAAATGAGAGTGACTTCAGTTGAGAAATCAGGTATTTGTAAGAAACAAATCATTGTTCCTTACAAAACTTTCAATAATGCTTGTAAATGTTGGGCTACCATGCCAAGCATAACACTAAAATATTTTATTTATTTACAATTTGATTATTAAAAGGCTACTTTTCTGTTTATATTTCCGATATTAAAATGAGTTTGCATTCCTCAATTAACATCAAATGTCACTGAAAGGAAGCAACTTCCAAAATGTTCTGAGAGAATGAGAAAGGAAAAATCTTGCTAACATTTTAAAACACAGAATGAGGTACAAAGTAGAATTTCTCCTTAAGATAGCAGGTGCGTTAGCAGTAGGCACTTTAAAGGGTCTGTTCCAAATGACAGTGTCTGTATATCAGGCTTATGCTGTGAAAAATAAAGAAGAGAGTGATTGTCAAAGGAAATGTGGGGAGAAAAATTAACGGTTTACGGCTTGCATCTGATGGAGAGTTCTTGCTCAGAAACTGAAGCTGCTGAGAGGGATATCAAGCCAGAGCCTGCAATCTTCAAAATTTTAAATGGAGGAAACAGAATCTCAAGGAGTTAAACAACTTCTCCAATGTTATACAACCAGTGACAGATCCAGGACCAGAATTCAACTCTCCAGATGCCTATGTTCCATTTTTTTTCTTTTCACTCCACAAAATGACAACCAAAACGTTCCATATTTGCAAATGTAACAGTCCTCATTTGCAAGATTTTAAGTCTATATTTACTGACTATACCTAATCCTTAAATCAAAATAGAAAGGAAATCTAAAAATAAAACTGACATTATTTTTATTTCCACTCCCCCTCCTTCTTTCTCTCTTTTGTCCCTATTTTTTTTTTTTTATACTAGAGATACTTGTAGAGAATGTTAGTTTCTGGAGGAAAATAAAATACCTCCCAGTTTCCTAGTGAATATTGTTTTAAATTCTTCATTAATTAATTTTGTTTCATAAGTACTCCAAAAGGAATACAAATAGCACCTGTATTTAGAATTGATCTTTTTCTCCCTGAGGTGTCTTGGCAGGAAGGGGGAAGTTGAAAGAGTGGCACTATTTGGTAAAACTCTTTGCCCTTTTCTTTTTGTAAATGTTGTCTTTTTTTGTAAATGTCAACTCCAAATTATAGGTGAGTATTGGCAGAGTTGCAGAGACTACCTGAGACCAATTACAGCCTCTGGCATTTGTGCTGCTAAATTTGTAATGAGTTGCAGGTGTTTGTGATTGAATTTTTTGTTGCCTTTGTGATTGGCTCACTGCTTCACAGTCCATTAAGCCTATGCTTTTTTGCGGATGTTAAAATTGCGATGATGCAAAAACAACAGTTAAAGATAAGGTAGATAGTAACAGTTTTAACATAGAAAGGTCTGAATGGTTTAGACCAGTGTCCGTTTTCTCTTTCCCATATGGGCAGTCGCCAGTTTAACAGGAATATATTCCTAATGTAGTGGTAATGGTTTGACATGCATCACTGAAGAATACAGTTAGAAGATACCATTTAGACCATTTTCTATCCGGTACTCAGCATGGATAAGAATTACCCAAAAGCCTTGTTGAAGTGTTTTATGGACAACTCTTTGAAAATCACAATGTCTAATTCACTTCCTTTACTTTATCACATCCTTTACTTTGGTGAGAGATGAAGGCAAGAGATCACAGAGAAGAGATCTATTCATGTTTCCTAATGATTTCATGAAAGAGGCAAGCTTACTTAGCCTCACTCCCATTTCAGCAATAATTGTTGCTTTTCTACCTCTTTAGATTATTCACAGACTAGAGAGCTATAGAGTTTAGGTAATTATGCTGGATTGATAGAAAGGTAGCATACTTGGTCAATCAAGTCTCCATATATAATCACAAATAGGCCGGGGGTGGTGGCTCATGCCTGCAATCCCAGCACTTTGGGAGGCCGAGGCTGGTGGATCACCTGAAGCCAGGAGTTCAAGACCAGCCTGGCCGCCATGGTGAAACCCCGTTTCTACGAAAAATATAAACATTAGCCAGGCGTGGTGATGCATGCCTGTAATGCCAGCTACTCAGGAGGCTGAGGCAGGAGAATTGCTTGAACTCGGGAGGTGGAGGTTGCAGTGAGCTGAGATTACACCATTGCGCTCCAGCCTGGGTGACAGAGGGAGACTCTGTCTCAAAAAAAAAAAAAAAAATCAGAAATATATTTATATATATTTTATAGGGGTTTGTGTGTGTGTATGTGTAGACTACAGAGAACACACAGTGATCATATAGAATAGTTCAAAGAAGTTTGATGTAGAATAGATATCAGGAGCCACATGCTATGTCAAATAAGGAGACTACAAATTTTACGTTTCTGAATATCTTTCAGAATTTTACGCAGTCTCAGGATCATCACTAATAACAATTACACTAGTAGCAACTACTTTTTAAGCATTCACCATGTTCTTTTGATAAGCATTTTAAATGCATTAACATAGTTGATTCTCACAACAGCCCTATTCAATGAGACTGGCACTATTGTTTATTTCTGTCTATTTTTTATAGATGAGGTTTGGAGTTTTAGCAGCTTATCCAAGGCAAAAGTCTAGTAAGATGTGGGTCTGGGTTTGGAACCTCAGAACTCTGACTGAGTCAGAGACCTTGAAAATCAACGATCTGATCCCTGCCTGCCATGAATATGTAGAAATGTTACCGCAGTGTGGATGTACAGGTAGCTGATTACCAGCAAGTTCTGCTGGATAAAATGAAAATAAATAAGCATTTATTGTATTTGCCTTATCTGATTCATTAATGCATTTGTAGATCATGCCAGTGAATATATAATTGACTGTGAAGTTTGATAAGATGCAGCTTTGCACACAAATCAAGCATGAATAAGCCTATTTATATATGTATGTATGTGTATGCGTGTAAATATGTATATATTTTCTATTTCTGTGATATGTGCATAAAACCAACAGAAACACTAACAAAAGAAGCAGCGACTCACCAGAACACAAATCTTCTGCTGCATTTTCTTAACCCACATTTTAATTTAATGATGTTATATTTTGATTTTTAATTATGCCTAAAAGACTTGCTATCTTGTTTAATGAAAACATCATCATTATGACACTTATGTCTATATATCAGATACACATAGTGCTGAGTGCCTACTTAGTGCCTGATATGCAATTGGCATTCAATAAATGTTGTTAAAATAAATTGTTTCTGGGAAGTGTAGAAAATGCCCACAGACAGTATCAGTGTTAATCATGGTCCTGGCAAGAGACAAATGCTCACCTGAAAGAGTTTAGCTTAAGTTAATTAAGGAAATAACTATTTATAAACATATGGGCAATAAGGCATCCAGGTACTAAAAATAGTTGGAAGACTTTAGCTCCCCTGGAAAGCAAGAAGAAAGAATGGCATTGCCAGTGCCTGATAAGAGCTGGGACTTGGAAGGGAAAAAGCAGCCAGGCAGAATCTGTTATTACATTCAGAGTCAGCTGGTAAAGAAAACATGTCTGGAAAAGAAAATAGGGGAAGTGGAGGAGTTCTCCTATTGTTGGATCTCAAGGAGGAGCTTAAGGGAAAATGGATCCAGGTAATACAGATTATGGATACCAGTCACAGCACAGAACAGGATGCAGTAGAGTGGGAAATGGATCTGGTAGATCCAGGGTGCAGTAGAGTGGTGAATGGAGAATAAGTTGTATGTCATTTCATGCCATCTTCCCAGGAATAACATATCTTATAATAATTCTATTTAAAAGAGAAAATGGCTTAGGGAAATGAAATGAGTAATTAAATAAAGCTTTTTTAAAAATGGATGGAACTACAATTAGGGTGAAGTCTGGCCTAAAAGGACAGTGGTCCACACCCCCTATTTAATAATATTTTTATTCATTTAACTACTGTCCCAACAAATATTTATTGCATCAGCCAATAAATAGACACTGGGGAAAATTCACCTAACAAAAGAGTCAAAGTCCATCATCTTATTAAAATTATATGAGAGAAAAAAGACAAAATGAAATCAATAAACTAGAAAGATAATTTCAGATACTAATAAGTGCTGTGAGAACTGCAATAAGGTCTTCCTGTGATAGTGACTGGGAAAGGAGATTGACTGCTTTAGATTAGGTGGTCAAGAAAGGACTCTTCAAGGAGACAATATTTAGGCAGAGACCTGTGAAATGAAAGGCTACAGAGAGTGAAAATCTGACAGAAAAGTGCTCCTGGCAGAGGGAAAAACAAACACAAAGTCCTAAGACAGGAACAAGGTTGGTGTGCTTATTTGAAGAAAAGTAATGGCATTGTCAAATCCATGTGTTTGGAGTGCTGTGAATTAGAAAAGAGTACCACGTGAGGAGGGGGAGGGAGAGATAACATGGGGTCTTGTGATGAATTTGGACTGCATTCAGAGAAAGCTAGGATTTTGAGCCAGGGAATGATGCCATCTGATTTATGTTTATAAAAGATTCCTCACGTTGATGCATTGAGAATGGATTATAGAAGGGCAATAAAACAGGTATGGAGATCATTGAGGGCAATCAGTCTGAAAAAGTGATCAAGAATGCAGTCTGATTTACAATAGCTACCAAAACATACCTAGGAACAAATTGAACCAATGAGGTAAAAGATCTATAAGAGGAAAACTATAACACATTGATAAAAGAAATTGAAGTGAACACACACAGAAAATTGAAGGACATTCCCATGGGTTGGAAAAATTACATGGTTAAAATGTCTATACTACCCGAAGCTATCCATAGATTCAATGTAATCCCTGTCAAAATACCAATGACATTCTTCACATAAATAGAAAAAAAGTCCTAAAATTCACATGAAACCATGAAAACCCTGAAATGACTAAAGCATCCCTGAGCAAAAAAAAAAAAAAAAGGAGAAAAAGATAGAAAAAAAAAAAAAAAAACCATAGCTGGAGGCAACATATTACCTGATTTTAAGTTGTACTATAAAGCTAGAGTAACCAAAACAGCATGTTACTGGCACAAAAAGACACCTAAACCAATGAAACAGACACAAAAATCAATGAATAAAAAACCCAGGAAATAAATCCTGCATGTACAGCCAACTCATTTTTGATAGAGGCGCCAAGAGCATACATTGGAAAAAAGATAGTCTCTTTAATAAATGTTGCTGAGAAAACTGGTATCCATATGCAAAAGAATACAACTAGGTCCCCATCTTTCACCACATACAAAAAATCAACTAAAATGAATTAAAGACTTAAATGTAAGACCTGCACTATGCATCTACTAGAAGGAAACATTGGTGAAATTCTCCAGGACATGGGTCTTGATAAAGATCAATTCTAGAATGGAAAAAATATGTCAAACTGACAAAGGATCAATAACCAAAATATATAAGGAACTCAACCAACTCAATAGCAAAAACCTCACAAATAGTCTAAATAAAAAATAGTCAAAATAACTGAATAAATGTTTCTCAAAAGAATACATATAAATGGCCAACAGGTATATTTTAAAAATGCTCAGAATTACGATGAGGAAGTGCAAATTGAACCACAATGAGATATTATATCACCCCAGTTAGAATGGCTATTGTTAAAACAATAAATAACAAATGCTGGTGAGGATGGTGAGAAAAGAGAACCTTATACATTGTTGATGGGAATGTGAATTATTACAGCCATTATAAAAAAAAGTATGTAAATCCCCAAAAAAGGTAAAAATAGAACTGCTATATAATTTAGCAATTCCATTGCTAAGTATATATTTTAAAAAAAGGAAATCAGGATATCAAAGAGATATCTGCACTCTTATGTTCATTGCAGCACGATTCACAATGGCCACAATATTGAATCAACCTGTGTATATCAATGCACAAATGGGTTTAAAAACTGTCGTATATAAACACAATGGAATATTCAGCCATCTAATAAAATGAAATCCTGGCCTTTATAGCAACATGGATGGAATTGGAGGTAATTATATTAAGTAAAATAAGCCAGGCACAGAAAGACAAATATCACCTGTTCTCACTCATATGTGGGAGATAAAAAAGTGGATCTCATGGAGATAGGGAGTAGAATGGTGGTTACCAGAGGCTGGGAGGAGAAGGGGCAGGGAGGGTGTATGGAAGTTGGTTTATGGGTACAGAAATACGATTATATTGAAGGAATATTTTCTAGTAATTGGTTGCACAGTAGGGAAATTATAGTTAATAGTTATTTATTGTATATTCCCAAATAGCTTGAAGAGAGGAATTGTAATGCCCTCAACACAAAGAAAAGATAAATGTTTGAGGTGATGAATACCCCAATTACTCTGATTTGGTCATTATATATTGTATACATGTATTGAAATGTTACATGTTCCCCCAAAATAGGTACAACAGTGATATATCAATAAAAAATAGAAAAGAAAAAAGGAAACACGCATTTTTGCTAGAATATATTTAGTCTATAAGTCAGTGGTTTTCAAATTAATTTTTAACATCATAAATCTTTGCAAGCCAAATCTTATGAAGAAAATCACAATAAAATATGTTGAAATGTTAATTACATAAAAATGGGTGATAGGTACATAGGAGATTTTTTTATAATGCTCTCACTACTTTTGAATATGTTAAATCTCATTTTAAAAATATATAAAGAGGTAAGAATAGAACTGCACTCTTTGAAACACAGGATAGGAAATTCCAGGCTTATTAACTCTTCCACAGACTCTCCATAAATCCTCAGAACAAGCTTTAAAACTCCTGTCATTGATGAATACTTTTAAAATATCAGTGATATACTTATTAATTATGAATAGGAAGTATTGCATAATCAGTCATTGTGGAAAACACTTTACAACTGCTATCTCATGAATGCTTATGACCACCTTATATGATGGGTACTATTAACATCCCCATTTTGCAAATGGAGCACCTGTGTGGTAGGGAGGTCATGTAATTGGCTCAAGTTCAAGTAACAAGTAACTGGAAGAGCTGTGATTCTGCTCAACCTGCTTGATTTCACATTAATAACTACATTAATTACTACAGTAGGCAATCAAATTAACTTCAACAACAATAAAAAAACCCCACAAATTCAATCAGTCCTTTAATTAGGATAAGAATTTTCTCATTGAGAGCAGTAAAGATGTTAAATTTTGTGTGTGCATTTCTTTACATCATAAACTTTCCCCATAATATGTTTCCCAGAGCCACAAAGTTTAACTCTTTTCTCTTTTGATTTACAAAATATTAGTATTGAGAATGAATTTCAAATAGATGAACAGTGACTGACATTTACTCCTAACCTAGAGACAGCAGAATATCGAAGTTCAAAGAAATGATTAATTAATTCAGTAATGCACCAACCACGTAGACTAACACCAATTCAAAGGCATTTGTTCCAGGTTGCTTTTTCTTGACTAGACTATTATCACTTTGTTTGAGCTGAGATTTATGTCCAAATGATGGAAAACTTTGATCCTGCTATTTTTTTGGAGATCAAAGATTTAAATGTAACACCTTGCTCTACAAGGTCTCAATGCAATGCATACTGTTCTAAAGTATTAAAGTAATGCAAAAGAATAATTTGCTTTTGTGCTGGGAAATGTAACTTAGATATGAGAGTCCTTAAATACCATATTGTAAACAATAATCTAGTTAGAATAGGGAAAAAAAGTGAATGTGCCATGCAATCTTTTTTTTTTTTTTTTTTTTTGCCTTTCTTCTTTGCCATTTGCCCCTAGATTTTAAGAGACCAGTTTGCCTGTTGTGTATGTGTATGTGTTATTAAATTTGTTTGTGCATTTCATTCTTTTTTTTCTAGTCGGGTGGGGAAGAGGGAATATTAAAGCTATTTCTGTAGCCTTTCTTGTTCTTTCTAATGATTGCTAAATGACGTGGAATGTATATTATTATCTTTTTAACGTAGGCTTAATTCATGTGTAAAGCATCCAAGCAAGTATTATAAACATCCTGTCACTTCCAACCTCACAGTTACAGCCAGAATGACTTTTAAATCATTTTTATCACAGCAAAACTTTAATTCTTCACTTGTGAAATCAAGCAGGGAAGCCTTTCCCATCTAAAACAATTGTATTAACTGAGTGTTGATTAATAAAATAAAATGACATTTATTTCTAGACTAAATGACCCTGTGGCCCATTTCTCTTCCTTCCTTCTTCTCTCCCTCACTCCCTATTTCCCACTCTGTTTCTTTTTCTCCTTTGCCTTTCTTCTATTTTTCTCACCCTATTTCTTTCCCTCCCTGTCTCTCCTCCCTGCATTGTGGTCCTCAACTCATGACTGTTCGATTTAAGATTTTCCAACTTTATGATTTTGTGAAAGGAATACACATTCTGTAGAAACCATACTTTGAATACACAACCACCATTCTGTTTTTCACTTTCTGTATAGTATTCAATAAATTACATGAGATGTTCAATTCTTTGTTATAAAATGGGTTTTGTGTTAGATGATTCTGCCTGATCGTAGACTAATGTAAGTGTTTTGAGCATACTTAAAGTACACTAGGTTAAGCTATGATATTCTGTAGGTTAAATACATTTTCAAAGTACGGTATTTGCAACTTATAATCGGTATATCAGGACATAACCCCATCATAAGTCAAGGAGCATTTGTGTTGAAGAAAGAAATATTTAATTAGTTAAACTAATGATTCAAATTTTCTTCAAGCTAAAAGCATGTTCTTGTTTATCATTTTGAATTTTTTGCAGTGTTTAATGTGGCCTGGTTATACAATTGGCATTTATTAGGTCTACTTTTGTAAGATAATTATCACAATAAACTAGCTAAAAATCATGTTAAAATATCAGTATTTACACTTGTGGATGCAAACTACACCAAAAGAGCAGATCTGAAATTCTACCCCTTCCAACATAGTGGTCTAAACTGAATTAGAACTAGCAAAAAATATCAACAGTTATTAAGCAAAAAAGGTAGACTCCAACTTTATCCCAAAATCTTTGAAAAGTTTTGTTTGAAACATAGAGAAAGTAGTATCTAATAATTCATAGAAATTTTTGTATAGTTTGGTGAGGATCTGATGCATGCTTCAAAGCATAGTCAAATGGGAAAAAGTAAGTCTACCAAATCCAGGAAATAATTGACCAATGTCTTTCAATTTAGAGCGAGGCAGATGTAGAGTATGGACATCCCTTCACTATTAGACGTAGTTTGAAAATGACTGCTTGGGAGAGCCAAGAGAAATGCAGAATATCAGCACCCAGTGAATAATTTTCCTGTCACATCCCAAGCATGTAGTTTATCCTGGATGACATGAGACATTTGAAACCTAAAGGAACTCTGCACATAATTAAGTGCCCCATCTTGGAAAGTGAACAAATACGATTCTAGAAAAAGGAATAGATGGCAGGCCTTCCAAGCAAACTTCTCCACAGACTCCCTTCTGGGATAGTTGAATTCTAGAAGTATGTTGGAAAGTTTCACCAAACATATGTAGATTTAAGAAAATAAGGATAGAAATAAGAAAATAAGGATTAGAGTCTATGGATTAGTTTAAGAAGAATGCTGTTCATAATATTAAGGCTTTCATCTATGAATGTGATATATAACTTCATTTAATTGGTTCATTTTATGATCAAAGGCTTTATAGTTTCATACATATATATCTTCCATTCTTTTTGTTAGATTCAGTCTTGGATATTTAATATTTTTTGATGCTATGGTAAAAGGTATCTGTTATAACATTTTATTTTCTTTTTCTTTTCTTTTCTTTTATTATTATTATACTTTAAGTTTTAGGGTACATGTGCACAATGTGCAGGTTAGTTACATATGTATACATGTGCCATGCTGGTGTGCTGCACCCATTAACTCGTCATTTACATTAGGTATATCTCCTACTGCTATCCCTTCCCCCTCCCCCCACCCCGCAACAGTCCCCAGAGTGTGATGTTCCCCTTCCTGTGTCCATGTGTTCTCATTGTTCAATTCCCACCTATGACTGAGAATATGCGGTGTTTGGTTTTTTGTTCTTGCGATAGTTTGCTGAGAATGATGGTTTCCAGTTTCATCCATGTCCCTACAAAGGACATGATCTCATCATTTTTTATGGCTGCATAGTATTCCATGGTGTATTATGTGCCACATTTTCTTAATCCAGTCTATCATTGTTGGACACATGGGTTGGTTCCAAGTCTTTGCTATTGTGAATAGTGCCGCAATAAACATACGTGTGCATGTGTCTTTATAGCAGCATGATTTATAGTCCTTTGGGTATATACCCAGTAATGGGATGGCTGGGTCAGATGGTATCTCTATTTCTAGATCCCTGAGGAATCGCCACACTGACTTACACAATGGTTATTTTCTAACATTTTGTTAGTGGTATCAAAGTAAATTGTGTTGAGTAAACTTTTTCAGCTCACTAACTTATTTTAATAATGTATTTGTGGATTCTTTTGGATTTTGTAAACCCACTTATATCATTATAAACAATGAGAGTTTCATTTCCCCCCTCTCTAATCCTTATATTACATATTAGTTTGCTTGCTTGCTTGTTTTTGTTTTACTACATCATCAAGTTGAGACTTGAAAAGAATGTTGTTCCTGGGTACCTTGTTTTGTTTTTTATTTAAAAGAGAAGGCATTCAATATTTTCCAATTAGATATAATATATGTTATAGATATTTTGGTATATTTTATATATGGATTTTATAATATAGATTTTTAAATATATTTTTTAACCCATGATAAGGGAATTCTTTTCTATTTTTAACTTTGCATGCAAATTTCTTAATGAAAATTTACTGAATTTTATCAATGCTTTTCTGTATCTACTGCAATGCTCATGTGATATTTTCCACACTATTCAGTAAATATGTTGAATCAAATTGATTTTTAAATATTAAATTATCTTAGGATTTTGGTATCGAATCCAGCTTATTTGTGCTATTATCAACATTTGGATATTTCTGAAATTTTTTCTGCTATTATATTTTAGTGGGTATGTCTATATAAATTGTGGTTTTGGTCTGGAATATCTTTTCAGCTTGTTTGTCAGGTTTAAGTATTTTGCTGGCCTCATAAAATTATTAAGTGGTTGGCTGGGAGCAGTGGCTCATGCCTATAATCCCAGCACTTTGGGAGGCCGAGGTGGGTGAATCACAAGGTCAGGAGATCAAGACCATCCTGGCCAACACGGTGAAACCCCGTCTCTACTAAAAATACAAAATATTGGCCAGGTGTGGTGGCATGCGCCTGTATTCCCAGCTACTTGGGTGGCTGAGGGAGGGGAATCACTCGAACCCAGGAGTCAGAGGTTGCAGTGAGCAGAGATCACACCACTGCATCCCAGCCTGGGCGACGGAGTTAAAAAAAAAATTATTGAGTGGTTTACAGCTTTATTTGCTAAAAGTGTTTATGTAATATTATTAATATTTATATCTTGAAAAGCTAATAGACTTCTAGTTTGGGGCCCATGTAAAGAGCTTGGAAGTCTTTACTCCTATCCTCACAAGAAAAAGGCTGAACAAACTGAAAATCAACCACTCTTCTTAGATACATCTGAGAATTGAGGTTACACAGAAAACTTCTGCTCTATAAACTATAGAGACAGACAGGCAGACACAGAGACTTAGAGCTTTTTGTGAGCAGGAGCCCAGCAGCGGAACCCTGCAGCTAAAGCCAATGTGGTAGGAACTCTTTAAACTGCAATTGACAAATTGCTGGTGTCTCACTATGAACTAGCTTGAGAGTTCTAGGGGACTCAATCTTAGCGGGAACCCTCACACTTTCATGACTATTACCTCCAGGAGCTTTACCTGGTTCTCTGGGTGAAGATTGGAGAATCATCCCCTTTGCTTCCGGCAGTGGGGAGGGAAAATTAACTATTTCGAAATATATCCAGAGGTCTCTATTCTCCTCAACAAGACCCGTCCTCAAGGGAACTATCTTACCAGAGCCTGAGAGGCTGGGGTTTTACCAGAGTCTAACCAACTTCGGCGAAGGGAAATGGATATCCAACACAGGCTTGCAGAAAGACTGAGACCTAATCACACGACACTTCCCCTCCCTCCACCCCTATCAAATAGGATTCTTATATAGTAGCAACCATTGCAGCCAAAAGAACTGCAAACCTTAAACAAACCCTATTTAAGGAGGTTCTAGAAAAGCCCATAGACAACAGAGAAGATAAAAACAAGACACAGCAAACAGTAAACACATATTGCTGGTGACATAAATGTTAAATTTCACACCAAAAGCCTATCTACCTCAGTCCTTTTTACTCAATACATTCATGTCCAGATTTCCTAAAAAATTAACAATGCATGCTAAATGGTTAAAAGAGACAAAGCAACATCAAAATTGCACTCAGATATGTCAGACATTGGGATTATCAAACTGAGAATTTAAAAGCTGATAGAATTTCCTACAGAAACCATCTGATCCTCAAACTTTTTAGTATAAGTATGTTAAATTAAAGAATAATTGAAATTCATAGAATTAAAGAAACATAATTTCTTCAATATTTGTAAGATCATCTAGATTTACTATATCTTAATGTTAGTTTTGGTCATGTTTTTTCTAGAAATATGTCCTAAAAAATCTACATTTTAAAAGTTATTATTAAGTTTTTTGTAGTATTATATTCATTTTCATAGCCATAGTATTTTTACTAATGCCCTTCTTAAATTTTCAATATCAGTTATTTGCGTCTTCTCTTTATTTTTGTTAATCAGTATTCCTAGGCAGATACCTACTTTACTAAGCTTTTCAAGTACCCAACATTTGTACTTGTTTATTCTTTCATTATATGCTTATTTTCTTTTATTTGTGTTTTTATCTATATTATTTCCTTATTTCTGATTTCTTTGTATTTAATTTTCTTTATATTTCTAATTTCTTGAGTTAAGCGTTTGCTTAGCTTTATTTTTCTGCCATTTAATATATGGATTTAAGGCTATAATTTCCATCTAAATATAGATTTATATACACTTTGCTTATCATTTAGTTAAAATATTTTCTCATTTTCATTTTAATTACTAATCTGACCCTAGATTATTCAGATATGTAGTTTCCAGTTTCTGACATATGGACATTTTATGGTTATCTATTTACATTGATTTAACAGCGCATTTTGGTCAGAGAACATATTCTGTATAACTTCGATTCACTGGACATTTTGTTAGCATATTGTAAATATTTGCATGTTTCATGTGTGCTTGAAAATGATATGTATTCTGCAGTTGAGTGTAATGTTCTGTATATGTAAAGTAGGTAGGTGCTGCTAGTTAAGATGTGCCAAAAATTTAAAAGGTGGTCTGTGACCTTTATTATCAGAAATACATGATATTTGACCCTTGGTAGAATCTTTCTCACAATGCAAAAATCAAAGACCTTATAGGAATATACTGGATCCAAGATAAATGCCATATACAGGCTGAGCATCAGAAACTCATGATTGAATTAGTTTATTGAGTAACTTGTAATTGATGAGTGGGCACTTATTAATGTGATGTAGCTGTCCCTGAGGAGTTTACATGAAATTGGTTCTTATTTTGCTTAAGTATATCCATTAGTAATTCTTTCACAAAACCTCTGTAAGAAATAAACTATCTTTTGCGGCACTGCTCTGCTTCCAAGGTACAGTTACTCATACTTATAAGCAAATACTTATGCTACCAACTCCTTCAGAGGCCAAATTTCTAGGCTGCTCCAAGTGCTATTTCTCAAATTATCACCCTGAACATTTCCCAGGACTTTTATTATACCATTTGTTCATTACTTCCGAGGTTACTATATCACGGAAAGTTCCCACCTCTGCAGAACTACTCTTCTATGTATGATTTTGGATATAGTCACTTCTATACATCTGATACATATCTTCTGATCTTTTAGGAATTTCCAACATTCCGTCACACAGATAGTATTCTGTTCTTCCGCACTAAGTATTTATTAATTTTAAACGTCTGTTCTTAGCGTAAAGAATTTTAGATGTATGGATAGGCCCACATACTCAGGCATTCATCCCAATTCACTACCTGGTCTTTTTCTTCTTCTGAGTCTGTCAGTATCTTTCTGGATGAGAACTAGAAAAAATTTTGATTACAAAGACTCGTTGTCCAGGGTAAAGTTCAGCATGGATGTGCTATGCTATTATAGTTATTCACAGTGGTATAACCATAGTATGTGAAATATAGATGTGTTAAGTACTTACAAACATTCAGACTAGTAGGGATGGCTCTATTTCCAAAAAACGTTTATTGGTCAAGAAATATGGATAATTTTAGGGAAGGAAAATGATAGAGGAAATTGAAATATGATGGGAAACTAAATTATATATTTAAGAGTTAGTGAGTAGATCAGTTTAGCTAGAACGAAGTTTCAATACACAAAGGAATGGAAGATGAAGCTAGTGAATTTGGACCAAGCTATGTAATTTGAAACATGTTAGTCCATTGAGTAATACAATTCTCTTACTACAAGCAATAAAATCCTTAACCTGTCCTTACATGGATCTGCATAATGTGGTCTCTGCCACTGCACAAGGCTGACCTCTTGATTCCCCCCCTTTATTATATTGACTATAGCTCACTTCCCTGAAGTTCCTCAAACATGCTTTGTCTCCTCAAAATATCCTCATGACTTGTAAAGACGACTCACCAAAGAAGATATAGATGACAAGTAAGCATAGAAAAGATGTTCAACATTTTAAGTCATTAGGAAATTGCAAACTAAAACAAGACACCACTACACACCTATTAAAATGGCCAAAATCCAAAACAATGACAATAACAAATACTGGCAAGGATATGGAACAACAGAAACTCTCATTCATTTTTATTGTGGGAATGAAAAATGGTACAGCAATTCCAGAGGACGGTTTGGCAAATGATCCAACAATTATGCTTTTTGGTATTTACCCATATGAATTGAAGATTGCATTTATATAAAAACCTGCACATGGATTGTATAGCAGCTTTATTCATAACTGCCAAAACTTGGAAGCAACCAAGATGTCCTTCAGAAGGTGAACGGATAAACTGGTACATCCAAATAAAAGAATATTATTCGTGATAAAAAGAAATAAGCTATCAAGCCATGGAAAGACACGGAGAAAACTTAAATGCATATTACTAAGTATAAGAGGCCAATCTGAAAAGACTTCATATTGTATGATCCAACTATATGACCTTCTGGAAAAGGCAAGACTACAGAGTCAGTAAAAGATCAGTGGTTGCCAGGTCTTGGGGGAGGGCAGGAATGAATAGGGAAAGCACAGAGGGTTTTTTAAACAGTGGAACTACACTCTATGATACCGTCCTGGTGGATCCATGTCATTATACATTTGTCCAAACCCTTGAATGTACTACAACAACCAATGTGAATCCTAATGTACATATGGACTTTGGGTGATAATAATGTCAGTGTAGGTTCATCCAGTTGTAACAAACGTACCACTCTGATACAGGATGTCAATAGTGGAGTAGATTTACATGAGTAGGTGAACAGGGGTATATGTGCACTCTCTGTATTTTCCATTCAACTTCTCTGTGAACCTAAAATTGCTATAAAAAATAAAGTTTATAAGCCCCTGGAAAAAAATCCCTATGACTTTGTATATGCTGTTTCCTTTGCCAAAATCTATTGCCCACTTTGCTTTTTTACAAAACTAATTAATTCTTCAGATCTCATCTTGATTTTATCTTTCTAAAGATGAGTTGCTGACTCCTTCCTTTAATAACTTCAGGAAACCCTATTTACCCTCTATTTCAAAATATTTAACTCAGCAATAATTGAATAATTGATTAATAGTTCTTGAAGGTTTTTCTCCCCCAATAGAAGAATAGAAGCTTCACCAGGACAGAAACAATGACTGTCCTACTCAGTCAATGCAAATTATAGAACATTTTGAATTCCAATATAAATAAATGTTTTGAAACATCAAACTCAAACCAAAGACATACTGATAATTAGCATAATAATACCAATAAATATAAATATTTGAAAACCAACTTCTTATTTATTTATTCTCCTATATAAAATTTTAACGTAATTGGAAGAGGTAATTGTTGTGTTCATTTTCAATTATAAATCTGAAAGTCCTTTACAATGATTTTTTATAAACATGTTAAATTTGCATAGTAAAAGACATTGGATTAAGAATTCTAAAATCTGTAATCTAATTCTGATCATTAGTTGCATGACTTGCTTCCTTTGCTCACCTATGTCATTAAGATGTGAAGCTTGAATAAAATATATATATATAAGTTGTTTTGACATTTAAAATATTATATGTATTTAACTCTTATTGTTCTTATTATTATCTTAACTTTCTGAAGTATTTAAGAATGGTAAACATTCTAATAATAATTAGTTGGAATTTTGTTTTCTAAAATTTCCTCAATCATTTCTGACTTAACATACCCTCTGAAGGCCAACATAACTTCAGGTAAATAATTAGTGGCCTTTTATATTATTATATTTAGCATATTCTTGATTCTTACTTAAAAATGTCTTCTCCCACCTTGACACTTTCCAAAGAATGCTACCATGTTGCTATTTTTGTTTAGATGGTCTTTGAAGCCTTGGGTATGTGTTCCTTTTTTCTGAATATGAATTAGATCATTTTTAGGCATCCTTATATCAGGATCCTCTTTTACAGCAACAGATGTTATTGGAACATTTACTCTACATCCTGACTGTACTTCTGGTAAAGACACTGGTTTGTAACAAATAGATCCTGTTAAAGGTGTGTGTTGACTTGTGTCTACAATATTATTTTCAGCTGGGTTTTTTTTCCACCTATTTGTACAAGATAAGGTGTGTGTCTACCTATATCAACAACAGCCAGAGGAAAAAAAAAATGTGTTCTCTTTCTCACTAGAGTCCCTCCAATGAGATGTCAATCAAAGTTTGCTAGTCCAGTTGTCAGTACTCACATTAATATTGAAATAAGCATTAAGATTTATGAAACCACAAAGACAAGCTGGAGAGCCACTAGTAGGCCATTGACTTTAAACTTAGTCGAGGTTAATATTTATTTTGACAAACTAAAAAATTTCATCTTAAATAAAAAGGTATTGCTTTTCAGGTCATTCCACCAAAGAATCAAGGGAGGAGGGACTGGCAACTGTTCTTAAATGCTATCTTAGTGTTGATAGTTTGCAAATATGGAGCATTTATTGTTTGATTTTTGCCTTCCTTACAACCTAAGTTTGGCAGAAACCCTGCAGCATGTTCTCAGGGAAAAAGAAAAAAAAGCTTCGACATTTCAACCATCTGCCAGATATACCTATCAAATTATTCATTTCTGAGGCTGCTTAAGGTTATTTAAATTCATAGCTTTTCAAACTACTGACAAGGTTTGCACATTGTGAAGAAAATGAATATTGTTAAGGGTTAAATGGACAGCTTCACACTTTAAATGCATTATAAATTCACCCCAGGCACTCTCCTACTGATTTTTCTCTTTATTATTTTATTTTACAATCAGGGACTCTTCATAATTATGGACCATGCTGACAATCGGCATGACAACAGAAATATTCAAACAAAACTGACCCAGGTATGAGGCAATAGTTGCATTATACCTCCAAGGAAACATGCCTTCAGATACATTTTAGATATAGAAATAGTACTTCCAGAAACAAAGATATACAGCTGAGCCCCCAGCCTGCCTTGCTGGGCATATATACCCCACTCTGTCCAATTTATGTGGGTTGACGTGAAGACAGGCAAGACCACCCTTAGAAGTGGTCATTGTTAAAATGTAGGCCGTCTATCAAGAGAAATTGTCTCCCAGAAATCAATACCTTAAAAACTCTTGTGGCTAAATGTTCTGCCAGACACTTTCAAATTTTTATTATGCTGAAAATAGTGTAGAAATAGTAGAAGTTCCATTTATTTGATTTCTTTTTATCACAGTCGGCCCATCCTCGATCAAGTTTCATAATTCAAAGATATTAATTTACCACCAGGTGTAGTTCAAACGAATGTTGACCTTTGATTTACAAAACCCCTTAGATTTACTCTATGCCTTTCTTAAGAGAGTTCCCTTTTTCATATACCACAAGAAAAGGCCTGCAAAGTTGAGGACATGATTTAGGATGCTGGACCTTGCACCCCCTGGTGGCCAACACACATGCTTCATTATCTTTCTTTTTATTTGGTTTTGCAAAATTTGTTCAGCAAGAGATTGAAAAAATATTTTAATAAATTTTGATGCAAAGTGGCAATCATACAGTGAGAGCCTGACAAGTATAGTATGTTCAAAAATAATTACCCTTGGGCCCAGGATCTGTTATCGGGTCACTATAATAAAACCATGCTTTTTGCTGTCAGACATACATAGCAGAAAGACATTCCAATTCTGCCTCAGCACTAAACCCAGGCCAGTTACTTAACTTTTATGATCCTTAATTTTCTCAACTGTAAAATAGGGCTGATAATTTTATCTAGGTCATAGTGTTCTCGGATGCAATAAATGAGAAAATATATTACAAAGGCTTAGCTCTGTGATTTTGAAGTACTGGAGAAATGACTGCTGAAAGTGACAGTTGTAATATGATAGTTAATATAATATCACCATATCGGCATAATTGGTATAATGATAGCTGATAGTTGTAAATAATAGTTGTGAACAGTTGTATGCAAAATGGAGTTAGGTTTTATTGTATGAATTATGAATATTCTGTATTTACTGGTAGTCCTCAAGTTCAGATATATAGAAAGTAGAAATTGTTTTTCTTTTTCCCTCTGTCCATAGAAACGAAATCATAATTATGAAGAGCTGAGTCTAGACAAGCTTGCACGGGTCTGAAACTGTTCCTTTGCCCTGAAAACAATAGAAAATTGTGTGATTATAATAGCACTTATTAAATCAAAATACACAAATTTCTTATAAAATGTACAGTGTTATATTAGATACGGTTGAGTGAAATTTTGATTTCTTAGAAAATAATAAATACCCATTAAAAAAGACTTCTGCAAAAATAGGGGACATTTGGTCACTGGCATAGGCCTTGGCGCTTACAAGCAGCAGAGCTTACACAGCTATGTTGTCAGGTGTCCCAAGTTTGGATTCTGGTTCCATCACCTGAAAAAGCTTGTGACCACAGGAAATTTTCTAAATCTCTGTGCCTCAGTTTCCACATCTATGCTAGAGGCATAATTATAGCCTTTATCTCATAATTATTTTTTGAAGAATGTATAAATTCGTATGCAAAAGTGTATTCAAGGTAACTGACAGCCAGTAATAGTAGTACTATCTAACCCTGTATACACCTCCTTCATATACACTGCCTGGTGAATGTTTACTGACATACTTAAAGAATCCTTGAGTTGAATATTTTTAAGATGTTTAGTTCTGGGGTTATGGTTAATAGTCATCTTCAAGATAATGAGGAGAGAATGAATAGATTTTCTCTTCCACCTTTCAGTCTTAACAATAATGATAATGTAAAGCAATACATCGACTTTGGTTAGGGACAAATAGAATTTCCTAAATCTTGGATACTTTATACTTGAAATGAATTATTGAAGGAGGGAGTAAAATTTCATTTTGGAAAGAACTTTAAAAATGAGATTGCTAAAGGTGAGAAAGATATTTTTGAAGCCAATGATAGCTGAAGGTCAAGGGATGAAAGATTCTACTATCCTACCTCGCTTTTTACAAGTCATCTTCAGGAACACAGACAGACTGAAGACTTAGACCCCAGAACTAGTCTCCCCCATATCCTAAGACAGACACTGGGAACACAGACCTGTGTGTAGAGCCTGAAAACTGGCAGTCACTGTAGACGGTGAGGACGGTGTGGAAGAATCAGAATCTCATGGGTGGGGAACCTCTGCCCTGACGTAACTGGCATTACATGATTGCAGGCTGGAACAGGAAGTGATGTTTCTGTAGAATGTATTTATTTTACCCCATCTTTATCCTCTCCAAAACTATAAACAGCTTACAAAAATACACTCAACTCACTAAGATAAGAGCAAACTAAAAATAATTAGGTGAGCCTTTCTAAACTTTGGGGAGATGAATTTTGTAGGGAAAGACAGGGATGAAATTACTGCAAACAAACATTGGCTGTGAGGTGCTGCCTAGTTGATAAAGGTGGAGGCTGAATTTTTCTAACAACTATCGAAAAGTGGAAAACAGTCAGTTATATAATTTGAATGTTCAAAAAATAAAAACAAGCATGACAATAAATACAAAATAATGAGTTTCAGATATAACGATTCCTGTGTGTAGGTTCAAAGAGGAAGTCTTCCTATGGATCCTCATAAAGAACTCCTTATACAAGGTGATGAGAAATAGTCTCAGTAGTAGCCGTACATAAATGAATTTCAAGAGCTGGCTAATTTTTATAATGTTCTTTCATGTAAGCTAATGGTATAATAAAAAATTCATTCCAGCAAAAATAATTCAATGAGTAGATAAAACATACCAGTGGACATGGCAATGGTAATATAAGCATAGGCACAGTTTAGGCTGTCAGCAAGTACCAGTGCTTGAGTATTTGGCTGTGATCCAGAGGCCGCGTCCCTCCCCTGGTTAGGTGACTTTCATGAAAACAGCAGAGGTGCAGTCCTCACAGCATTAAAGAATTGCTTAGATGATAAAAATAAGAACTAAAAGCAGAGGAGAGAAGACAGAGACCCAGTTATCCAAACTGGGGCACAAAGTGAAGTTGATATCTCAGGAACATTTCAGAAGTCCAGTTATAGACCTGAGAGGAGGAGGTTCAAAGCAAGAGAATCTAGATGTGTAGTTCCAAAACCTTGGGAAGGTTCTATTAAATCCATTCTGATTAAAGTGAGAGTAGGGCTAGAATAAGCTCACAGCTTGTGCAACCACAGCTGGAAGAAGCAATGACATATTACTGCAAGATATTATGAAACCACTTGTTTTGCTTTTCTCTAAAAACAAAAATAACATCTCAGCAGACTTAAATAGTGAATATTGTAAATGGACATGAACACATGGAAATTTTCAAAAGGTAATTTGAAGTTTCTTTTCTGTCATTAAGCTTGTTTTCTACTACTTGATTTGAATCTCTAATAACTTTGATATAACCCAGGAGGTGCCACTGTATCAGAAACTCTACAAATTCCTTTTATTTTTATTTCTCTTATGATTTCAATTTGACTTCTAAAGCCCTTTTGTTTCTTTTTGCTATTTCATGCTCTCCTTTCCTGATATCTATTCTATAAATTGTTGCTTTTCCAACCTTTGCCCCATTTATTCTTGCTTACCATATTGGACAATAAAATTTATTTAACTCAGGTAAAAATATTACTTCATTTGTTTTCTGCCATATTCTATATATTCACTCAATATTTTAATTATAATTACCCCAGATGATTTAGTGTACTGGATTGTGGCAAGTTGTGCAGATATTAAGTAATATAGCCTGATAGGTACAATAATAGAGAAAAATTATTTTATCTAACAAACTGAAAAAAACTATCTCCTCTGAGGACTGATTTAATGAAAACAAATGGCAAAGCTCAAATATCTATTTTGAAATTGTTGTCATTACATAGGTGATACCAGTAGCAAGGGAAATAATTCTGTGCTTAAAAAAATAATTCTCTGCTGCTACTTTCTCTTCTTCGTGCAAGAAAATTACCATGAAGGTATACATATGCGGGTGAAGTTCAGTAAGATTTAGAGTTGCCTGACTTGGTGTCAGTTTGAAACTTTGAATTTCTAAATAAAATTGACAAAGTCATTTATAGCAACTTCACATTTTTATCCTTGGGACTAATAGCAGCAGGGAACAGAAGCATCTAACCGTCAAGATAGAAAGAAAGGTCCCCTGATGCTTTGTGATTTTTAAATGAAAATAATGTAAGATGAAAGTAAATCTTCACTTAGTTGTATTTGTGATGCCTAATAATTATGCTTCAGGAGATAAAAATAGTCATTGAAGAAAACCTTTTAAAACTCCATAGGCTTCGCCATGCCTGTGTGGCTTGGCTGTATTTATTTTTTTTTTAATAATCCTTTTAGAAAAGGACCTTTTCTTAGCCATCTGCTTGAAAATCATTTGAGACCAGTTTTTTTTTCCCCGGTAATTCACTGATTCAATATTGAACATCATTTTACAATTTCTGTTACTGTCTTCAAGGAGGGTACTATGGAAGACACAAGAAAAAAGATCGGTGTCTATTTTGTCTATAAATAAGAGGCAATATATTCTTGCCTTTGCATCCTAAGTACTTGCATACTGCTTGTCTAATAGTAGTGATGTGGTTTGGCTTTGAGTCCCCACCAAAATCTCTTGTTGAATTGGAGGAGGGGCCTGGTGGGAAGTGATTGGATCATAGGGGCTGATTTCCCCCTTGCTGTTCTTGTGATAGTGAGTTCTCATGAGATCTCATGGTTTAAAAATGTGTGGCACTTCTCTTCTCATGCACTCTCTTTCCTGCTACCATGTGAAGAAGGTGCTTGCTTCTCCTTCACCTTCCGCCATGATTGTAAGTTTCCTGAGGTCTCCCCAGCCATGTGGAACTGTGAGTCAATTCAATCTCTTTTCTTTACAAATTACCCAGTCTCAGGTAATTCTTTATAGCAGTGTGAAAATGGACTAATACAAGTAGGTACCTGAATTTTGTTGAATTTAATTAATCTGATCAAATGCCTCAGTTTCCAAATGCCTCCCTTTAGACCCCTCCTCTTAACACTACCATACTGGCAATTAAACTTTAACGTAAATTTTGGTGGGACAAACCACATGCAAACCATAGCTTACCCAATAGTTACTTAACCTCTTGAGGGGTACATGACTAACTTCCATTTACAAATATAACTGCATTTCATAAATATCATTACTCAATAAACAATCTGGGCAACAATTTTTAGGTGTTTGATCTTGTGCATGGTAACTTTGCCAGATTCTTCTTTTTCTGGGATCTTGTAACACTTCATTGAATTCTTTAAGTTACCATTATAAGGAGGATTCAACCAGAGAACAAACCCTCAAGTGTCTTCATATAAAGGAAGGCCACATACCTACTGTTTATCTTTTCTTTATGTCTAACTACATCTTATTTTTTAAAAAGACTGGAAGGATATATACAAAAATATGTGTATGTCATAGTCATTGGATTATTTGTGATTTTTGATTATTGGTGATTTTTATTTTTTATTTTTACTCTTCTATATTTTCCCTTTGTTTAACATAATAATATAAAAAAACTTAGTTCACATAGTAAAATGTAATGGGAGCCATTGTTTAGGCTCCCTTAGCCTTTTATTGAGTGACCTCCCCAAGATAGAAAGCCAGATTCTTTATTTAGAAAAGGTGGGTCACTCCTTTCCTCGACCTCATGCTTCTACATTGATTATCATCCAGCAGTGAAACATTCTTGTGTTCTTGTCCTGGCCTGGCTTTCAGTGCTACCTATGGATGGTAAGTGAGCTACCAAACTGGTAGATTAGGAAAATATGTGAGGCATGTATCACGTAACTTTCTGGGCCATTTCTCTTAAGAGCCAGGAGGACAGCAAGAAACTGCTGTTCTCTCCTTGCTCCCCCTCCTTGCTGTAAGCTTGTAGGATGATGTCACTGTACGGGAAGACCTGTGGTGATTCAGTACTGCCAGTCACCAGATAGACATGTCTGTTTAATGGTGGGATTTCTTCTTTGGCAGTTAAATGTTGCTTTAAAACTAAGTGACATTCTTCCACATAACTTTTGGCTATGGTAATTATGTATTTATTGCCCATATGGAGAGACTTTTGAGAACAAAAGAATGTACCAAACAGAATAAACAAATGTTAATTGATCTATCCACCCTAGATCAGGACTGTCCCTGATAGACCAAGAAGGCAACTTGGTTTAACACTAATATAGCTGCTATATTGGGTTCTGTGTGATTTGCTTTTGGTTTACTACTCATTTAAGTTGTTCCTTATGTTGGGAAGGGTAGTGCTATTTTTAGACCCCTTCAAACCTGAACATTGATAGTTTTTTAAAGTATTCTACATTTCAGAGCAATGTCCTCTAAAAATACGTTGCCTACACTAGTCAGTAAGACAAATTAAATCTGTAAGACTGTACACACAACTGTCAATGGACAATATTGCTTTTTTTGAAGGGTAAGATTTTAGGCTAATTTCCATGTGCATATATATATATATGTATATGTATGTGTGTATGAGAGACAGATTTTGCCTTCAAGTTTTATAACTATTTCTTTGAAAATCTAGAAAAGAATTTTTTTTAAAGTCTAGTGATATGCAATGGGCCTGCTTATTATTCAATAAGCTTTATATTAGCTCTTATAATCCTATTAACAACAAGTAAGGTAGATTTTATCTCCTTATTTTATTAATAAGACACTGAAGTTCAAAGATACTGTGCCTAGGTAATGGCAAAGCCAGAATTTGAACTTGGGTCTACTTGGGCCCACAGTCCATATCATTAATTGTGTGTAGTTAATATACTACAGTAAGGTAGCATAACACCACTCATGATGGCTGATAATTAAGTTGGGAATTGATGGCTCATTTCTCATTTTACTCTATCTTATACGATGGCTTCATGTGTGAAGATAAGTGCACCTGAGCTCAGTTCTCAGATCAGCAATGAGCATTCATTTCTAATTAACAAGAATATCTAGTATCATGTTTTTAATAGCCATAGATCTATTTCTTCTAACAGTCACATGCCTATCTCAGTGGAAATTTTACCGCTTGGTTTGATTTCTTGCCTTCTATATTATAGTCCTCATACGATTGATTTAAATTTCTTGGATATAGCTTTCTACACATTTAGCCTGCTCTCAATTTGGTAATATTCAGCACATTTTCTGTTATTTTTGTTTTGTTTCACAACTTACTATGGAATCAAATGTGCAGAAGCACATGAGGACAAGATTGATTAAAGAGAATGTACTCTATTCAATTGTGTATGCTGACAATTGCAATTAAATTTCATACCAAATCTTGTCTTTCATGTAATAGCTTACTTTTCTTTTTTAGATAAAATTTACTGATGCTGAGAAATTAGCTGTGAATGAATTAGATAGTGGCTAGAATAAAGGCCTGCAAAAATGAATGTGTGATCTTTTCCCTATACTACAAATGTTCTTCATTCAACTCTAAACATAAACATTTTTTTGAATAAATATTGTGAGTTTGTTGGAAAAAAAGAAGCCACCCCTTGCAAATATGTATTGACTTTAAAATATTAGTACTTTAGTTGGCACTGGAATACTCTTTGTTTTGGACTTCGTATAGGACACCAATCCTACTGTAAAAAGGGTGCTGTGTAATGATCAACTCTTAAAGAAAGTGATGAAAATCGAGAAAGGAGTTATGGGGAATGAGTTTCAATGAATGCAATGTTGGCAGTAACACAAATGCTGCCTATTGCAAGGCGGACACTAGGGAGCCCTCTTTAGTTTTCTTATTAAAAATTGCACTTAATCAATCTACACCTTGATTGTTATTATAAAGCGAAGATGATGATAAAAATTGAAAAAAAAAGTGAAGGTGATAATAAAGGATTTATCCAGTAGAAAAACTTTGAAGTATATACTCAATTGTTTTGAAAGCTTTTATGATCATATATAGCACAAATATTCATAAACATATTGATAATCTAATTTAAAAATAGAAAAAATAAAATAGTAGCCAACCAAATATTGCAGTCCCTTTGACAATGTTTCTAGTAGATTTACATATGGCTAGTTATTAGACATTGAAATTTCTTATTAAGGAAGTATAAATATTTTTTAAAGCCAACTTAAAGAGGTGCGAAAACAAAAATTTCCACTAGAGATATGTCTGTCATATTTAGAAATATTACATGTCTTTAAGTGGCAACTTATTTCTTTATGTCATAAACAAACACTTAATGCATACCCTTGTTGTGTACTAGCATGGAAGACAAAAATACAGATAAAAAGAGTTATTCCTTATCCATAGGAGTTTATTGTCTTGTTGAAGGTCTTAGCATCATCTTGACAGAAGAAAAAAGAGAAATGTTTATGAATTAAAACTGCTTAAACTTCTTCAAGTTGAGGTAAACTGAACTCCCCTAATTTCTAGGAGAAGGCAACTTAAGAAAAATTGATATGATATTCCTTATGCATACTTTCTACTAACAAAGAAATGAAGGTGCATATCTTAAAAACAAAACATCATATATTAAAGCAGTAAAAATTCAACTACTGCCAAACTTCTAAAAGTTTACAAACATTTTGGCACTATGATGAGTGCCAATATGTGCCAGTATGATGGCACATACTATGAGTATGTGGTTCACAGTAAGTGGTCAAAATGTTGTTGTTGTTTTTTACTTGTTCTCAAATTACTATTGTTTAGTATAGATTTTTTAAGTGAAAATAATGTAAGAGTTCTCTTTCCTAGAGCATTTTACTTTATACTTGGATCTCAACTTTAAAAAATAACCTTGACATAAAAACTGTATTAATAATTCATGGACTATATTAATGGCTGAGTTAAAACTTTAACAAGTTGGTGTTACAAAACTGTCGAAAACGTAACAGCTCTGCCTTCTTTAATTTCAACTGCTTCTGATGAAGCGTAGGGAAATGCCTTATTGGTGTGCAATGTTACCAATTATCTGACAGAGCCAGAGTGTATTTCCAGCTAATCAGAAATAAGAGTGCAGAATTAAATCTCCCGTGTGAAACTCATCATTTACATATTTATGATTCAAAAATGATAATAAGGCTAATGAGAAACTCGCGTACTGTCTTTAAAAGTCAAGCCAATCTTACAGTTAATTTCCAACAGTTAAAGCCCCTGATATATGATTGTTGAAAGATGACCTCTGTTGATGACAGTTTAGTTTAATTAAACATTACAATTATTTGTGTGGACTTATCCATACATTATATGAGGGGGTTTGTTTTTTAAGCTGCTACTCTTTGGGTTAAGAGTGAGATACAAGGTTAATAGAAATGGGTGTAGCACAAGTTTATACACGTATAATGCATTAGGGAAAATGGTGATAATATAGGCGTGCATTCACACACCTAAACCCAACACTACTTCGTATGTTTCTAGGAGTACTAGAAAGGAAGTGACCAGATGTAATTGGTGAAGATGCTTTAAAGCTGTTAAGAGCTTGAAATTGTGTGTTGCTTATACATTTCTGACTTATGGCAATATCTTGTGGTCTATGATATGCTCATTAAGTGGCACTGTCTTCAGAACCAAGGCATTTGAATATGTTCATTGCCGAAGCATCATTAACTAAAGAAGTGATGTTTTCCTACTCCCACATCGGTCTAAGAAATGCCTTATACATGTCATCAATTTGCTGATGCTGGCAGATGTTCCTTTCTGTGTGTCATGTGGGTTTTAGTTCTCTGTGGGCATTCTCATTTGTACACGAATCGTGGGCACATTTTGTGTAATCCAGCCCTGTCCTTGACCTCATATTTAAAGTACATTTTTCCCCCTCTCAGGTAGCTTTAACTAAAACCCAAATTTATAAGTTTTTATTCCATAAAAGTGTGTTCATTTCTGGTTTGCTTTCTTTTCACCTGCTTTCTTAAGAATGTTGCACTAACATAATACTGTAAGGAACAAATAGCATTTTTAAGCTCTGTTGCAGTGCTGTTTAACGTCTTATGGTTATTAACATTATTATTATGAAAATAATGTAACAATAACAACTAAAAATAGCAGAAGCAACAACAACAGCCTATATGGTCATGGAAACCATAGGAGGCAATTACAGCTCTCGTAAAGGAAAATGGCATCATGGCTTAAATAAAATATATCCATATTGCTGTATTAGTTTGCTACTGCTGCATAAGAAATTACAACTCTGGACTGGGTGCGGTGGCTCATGCCTGTAATCCCAGCACTTTGGGATGCCAAAGCGGGTGGATCACCTGAGGTCAGGAGTTTGAGACCAGCCTGACCAACATGGAGAAACCCATCTAGACTAAAAATACAAAATTAGCCGGGTATGGTGGCACATGCCTGTAATAACAGCTACTCAGGAGGCTGAGGCAGGAGAATTGCTTGAACCCATGAGGCAGAGGTTGCAGTGAGCAGAGATCATGCCATTGCACTCCAGCCTGGGCAACAGAGCAAGAATCCGTCTCAAAAAAAAAAAAAAAAAAAAAAAAAAAGAAGAAATTATAACTCTGTTATTCACTCACTGTGTGACATTTGAAAGGTAATTAACCATTGTGAGCCTCATTTTTTTCATCTTTAAAAGAAGATGATGAGAAGATCTGCTCCTAATATTGTTGTGAAGATTAAATGCATTCACTTTGCATATATTAAAAACATAATTTTAAGCACTTAGAACACTGCCTGGCACATCACAAGCTTTCAATATATGTTACTGTCACTGATCTCTATGATAAAATAAGCAATTCTCATTTTTCACGTTCTTTAGGAAAGTGGTAACACTATAAATGTAGATGAAGAAGGTGACCTTCTAGAGGAATGATAAAAGTACTACCTTATCACTACATCATTTCCCTTGAAACTACCGACATATCTATAACTCTGATCATTGAGATTATTTGTATTACACTTGTGTGTCTTGACTTTTGATGAGGGTGACTCTGTGAGTATAGTTTAAATGTGGAGAGATTTTTAAAAAACACAAAAGAATATTTAAGAGAAATAGAAGATAGACTAAGTAATCCTAGTATTCACTTTAAGACTATTTGGAAATAATGAATGACAGAAATAATGGTAGAATATATTTGAAGAAATAATTGCTGAGAGTTTTCTAGACATAAAGGGAGATATGAGTTCCCAGTTTACAAATTTAAGTACTGAGCCATATTCATTTAAGAAAAAGCAAACCCATACCACGAAACACTGCAGTCAAATTACAAAAAATTGAAGAAAACAGAGATAATCTTAAAATCTACTGGTAATGATAAAACCAAAAGCACACTCATATAAAAAATGGGTATTATTAGTAACAATATATTCCAGAAACAACAATGTAGTTGCTAAAAATAAAAATTGACCGTTCCACTGGACTTATTCTGGGTTCTCAATAATTTGTATATCTTGTGAGATAGTTACTCTTATTCCCATTTTACAAATGAGAAAGCTGAGGCCTTGAGAAGAGAATTTCCTAAAGTTAAACAAACATTAAAAGGTGAAGCTGTTTACCTGTTTATATTCCCAGCTTAATGATTGAGAGAGAGAGCTAAATTATTATTTTCAAGTTATAATAGAAAGAGTTTAGCACCCTAAGTAACTCAAATAACTTTGGGAGGCTGTACTTGATTAGAAGGTCAGTGAACCCAATGAACCAAGAGAGCATATACAGATTACAAGGAAGAACAAGCATAGAGCTTGATGAATGATATCAGTAAATTTGATTAAGGATTTAATAATAACTATTTTCTAAGTTTAAAAAAGTGAAATAGACACTTTAAAATATTAAAAAGATATGCAGGTTGGGCTAGTAGTTACAATGGGTAAAGCATGGAGAGATTTCCTGCCATATTGGGAGAAAGACAGAAATACTGAATAACAATTGATTTTGTTCGATACATACTTCATTTATATTAAAATTTTATTTGAACATATACATATAAATATATTATAAATTCCATATACAGTCATCCCTCAATATCTGTGGGTTCCACATGTGTAGATTCAACTACCCATGGATCAAAAATAATAGGCCACGCATGGTGGCTCATGCTTGTAATCCCAGCACTTTGGGAGGCAGGCGGATCACCTGAGGTCAGTAGTTCGAGACCAGCCTGGCTAACATAGTGAAACTCTGTTTCTACTAAAACTAAAAAAATTAGCCAGTCGTGATGGCATGCGCTTGTAATCCCAGCTATTTGGGAGGTAGAGGCAGGAGAATGGCTTGAACCTGGAAGGCAGAGGTTGCAGTGAGCTGAGATCTTGCCACTGTACTCCAGTCTGGGCAACAGAGTGAGACTTCATCTCAAAAGCAAACAAACAATCAAACAAACTATTTTATATATATATATATATATATATATATACACACATGATTAAATATAACAAAATATATATATATTTGATTAAAAAATGGATGGTTACATCTGCTGAGCATGTATACTCTTTTTTTCTTGTCACTATTCTAGTTTTTTATTAATTTATCTTTATTTTATTTTATTTTTATTATTATTATACTATAAGTTTTAGGATACATGTGCACAACGTGCAGGTTTGTTACATATGTATACGTGTGCCATGTTGGTGTGCTGCACCCATTAACTCGTCATTTAGCATTAGGTATATCTCCTAATGCTATCCCTCCCCCCTCCCCCCACCCCACAACAGTCCCTGGAGTGTGATGTTCCCCTTCCTGTGTCCATGTACTCTCATTGTTCAATTCCCATCAATGAGTGAGAACATGCAGTGTTTGGTTTTTTTGTCCTTGCGATAGTTTGCTGAGAATGATGGTTTCCAGTTTCATCCATGTCCCTACAAAGGACATGAACTCATCATTTTTTATGGCTGCATAGTATTCCATGGTCTACATGTGCCACATTTTCTTAATCCAGCCTATCGTTATTGTACATTTGTGTTCATTCCAAGTCTTTGCTATTGTGAATAGTGCCACAATAAATATACGTGTGCTCGTGTCTTTATAGAAGCATGATATATAGTCCTTTGGGTATATACCCAGTAATGGGATGGCTGGGTCAAATGGTATTTCTAGTTCTAGATCCCTGAGGGATCGCCACACTGACTTCCACAATGGTTGAACTAGTTTACAGTCCCACCAACAGTGTAAAAGTGTTCCTATTTCTCCACATCCTCTCCAGCACCTGCTGTTTCCTGACTTTTTAATGATCGCCATTCTAACTGGTGAGAGATGGTATCTCATTGTGGTTTTGATTTGCATTTCTCTGATGGCCAGTGATGAGGAGCATTTTTTCATGTGTCTGTTGGCTGCATAAATGTCTTCTTTTGAGAAATGTCTGTTCATATCCTTTGCCCACTTTTTGATGGGTTGTTTGTTTTTTTCTTATAATTTGTTTGAGTTCATTGTAGATTCTGGATATTAGCCCTTTGTCAGATGAGTAGGTTGCAAAAATTTTCTCCCATTCTGTAGGTTGCCTGTTCACTCTGATGGTGGTTTCTTTTGCTGTGCAGAAGCTCCTTAGTTTAATTAGATCCCATTTGTCAATTATGGCTTTCATTGCCATTGCTTTTGGTGTTTTAGACATGAAGTCCGTGCCCATGCCCATGTCCTGAATGGTAATGCCTAGGTTTTCTTCTAGGGTTTTTATGGTTTTAGGTCTAACGTTTAAGTCTTTAATCCATCTTGAATTAATTTTTATATAAGGTGTAAGGAAGGGATCCAGTTTCAGCTTTCTACATATGGCTAGCCAGTTTTCCCAGCACCATTTATTAAATAGGGAATCCTTTCCCCATTTCTTGTTTTTGTTAGGTTTGTCAAAGATCAGATAGTTGTAGATATGCGGCATTATTTCTGAGGGCTCTGTTCTTTTGCATTGGTCTACATCTCTGTTTTGGTACCAGTACCATGCTGTTTGGGTTACTGTAGCCTTGTAGTGTAGTTTGAAGTCAGGTAGCATGATGCTCCCAGCTTTGTTCTTTTGGCTTAGGATTGACTTGGCGATGAGGGCTCTTTTTTGGTTCCATATGAACTTTAAAGTAGTTTTTTCCAATTCTGTGAAGAAAGTCATTGGTAGCTTGATGGGGATGGCATTGAATCTATAAATTACCTTGGGCAGTATGGCCATTTTCACAATATGGATTCTTCCTACCCATGAGCATGGAATGTTCTTCCATTTCTTTGTATCCTCTTTAATTTCATTGAGCAGTGCTTTGCAGTTCTCCTTGAAGAGGTCCTTCACATCCCTTGTAAGTTGGATTCCTTGATATTTTATTCTCTTTGAAGCAATTGTGAATGGGAGTTCACTCATGATTTGGCTCTCTGTTTGTCTGTTATTGGTGTATAAGAATGCTTGTGATTTTTGCACATTGATTTTGTATCCAGAGAGTTTGCTGAAGCTGCTTATCAGCTTAAGGAGATTTTGGGCTGAGACAATGGGGTTTTCTAGATATACAATCATGTCATCTGCAAACAGGGACAATTTGACTTCCTCTTTTCCTAATTGAATGCCCTTTATTTCCTTCTCCTGCCTGATTGCCCTGGCCAGAACTTCCAACACTATGTTGAATAGGAGTGGTGAGAGAGGGCATCCCTGTCTTGTGCCAGTTTTCAAAGGGAATGCTTCCAGTTTTTGCCCATTCAGCATGATATTGGCTGTGGGTTTGTCATAGATAGCTCTTATTATTTTGAGATACGTCCCATCAATACCTAATTTATTGAGGGTTTTTTGCATGAAGTGTTGTTGAATTTTGTCAAAGGCCTTTTCTGCATCTATTGAGATAATCATGTGGTTTTTGTCTTTGGTTCTGTTTATATGCTGGATTACATTTATTGATTTTCGTATGTTGAACCAGCGTTGCATCCCAGGAACGAAGCCCACTCGATCATGGTGGATAAGCTTTTTGATGTGTTGCTGGATTCGGTTTACCAGTGTTTTATTGAGGATTTTTGCATCCATGTTCATCGAGGATATTGGTCTAAAATTCTCTTTTTTGGTTGTGTCTCTGCCAGGCTTTGGTATCAGGATGATTCTGGCCTCATAAAATGAGTTAGGGAGTATTCCCTCTTTTTCTATTGATTGGAATATTTTCAGAAGGAATGGTACCAGCTCTTCCTTGTACCTCTGGTGGAATTTGGCTGTGAATCCTTCTGGTCCTGGACTTTTTTTAGTTGGTAAGCTATTAATTATTGCCTCAATTTCAGAGCCTGTTATTGGTCTATTTAGAGATTCAACTTCTTCCTGGTTTAGTCTTGGGAGAGTGTATGTGTCGAGGAATTTATCCATTTCTTCTAGATTTTCTAGTTTATTTGCGTAGAGTTGTTTATAGTATTATCTGATGGTAGTTTGTATTTCTGTGGGATCGGTGGTGATATCCCCTTTGTCATTTTTTATTGCATCTCTTTGATTCTTCTCTCTTTTCTTCTTTATTAGTCTTGCTAGCAGTCTATCAATTTTGTTGATCTTTTCAAAAAACCACCTCCTGGATTCATTGATTTTTTGAAGGGTTTTTTGTGTCTGTATTTCCTTCAGTTCTGCTCTGATCTTAGTTATTTCTTGCCTTCTGCTAGCTTTTGAATGTGTTTGCTCTTGCTTCTCTTGTTCTTTTAATTGTGATGTTAGGGTGTCAATTTTAGATCTTTCCTGCTTTCTTTTGTGGGCATTTAGTGCTATAAATTTCTCTCTACACACTGCTTTGAATGTGTCCCAGAGATTCTGGTATGTTGTGTCTTTGTTCTCGTTGGTTTCAAATAACATCTTTATTTCTGCCTTCATTTCATTATGTACCCAGTAGTCACTCAGGAGCAGGTTGTTCAGTTTCCATGTAGTTGAGTGGTTTTGAGTGAGTTTCTTAATACTGAGTTCTAGTTTGATTGCACTGTGGTCTGAGACAAAGTTTGTTATAATTTCTGTTCTTTTACATTTGCTGAGGAGTGTTTTACTTCCAACTATGTGGTCAGTTTTGGAATAGGTGTGGTGTGGTGCTGAAAAGAATGTATATTCTGTTGATTTGGGGTGGAGAGTTCTGTAGATGTCTATTAGGTCCGCTTGGTAAAGAGCTGAGTTCAATTCCTGGATATCCTTGTTAACTTTCTGTCTCATTGATCTGTCTAATGTTGACAGTGGGGTGTTAAAGTCTCCCATTATTATTGTGTGGGAGTCTAAGTCTCTTTGTAAGTCACTAAGGACTTGCTTTATGAATCTGGGTGCTCCTGTATTGGGTGCATATATATTTAGGATAGTTAGTTCTTCTTGTTGAATTGATCCATTTACCATTATGTAATGGCCTTGTCTCTTTTGATCTTTGCTGGTTTAAAGACTGTTTTATCAGAGACTAGGATTGCAACCCCTTCCTTTTTTTGTTTTCCATTTGCTTGGTAGATCTTCCTCCATCCCTTTATTTTGAGCCTATGTGTGTCTCTGCATGTGAGATGGGTTTCCTGAATACAGCCCACTGACGGGTCTTGACTCTTTATCCGATTTGCCAGTCTGTGCCTTTTAATTGGAGCATTTAGCCCATTTACATTTAAGGTTAATATTGTTATGTGTGAATTTGATCCTGTGATTATGATGTTAGCTGGTTATTTTGCTCGTTAGTTGATGCAGTTTCTCCCTAGCCTTGATGGTCTTTACAATTTGGCATGTTTTTGCAGTGGCTGGTACCAGTTGTTCTTTCCATGTTTAGTGCTTCTTTCAGGAGCTTTTTTAGGGCAGGCCCGGTGGTGACAAAAATCTCTCAGCATTTGCTTGTCTGTAAAGTATTGTATTTCTCCTTCACTTATGAAGCTTAGTTTGGCTGAATATGAAATTCTGGATTGAAAATTCCTTTCTTTAAGAATGTTGAATATTGGCCCCCACTCTCTTCTGGCTTGTAGCGTTTCTGCTGAGAGATCCACTGTTAGTCTGATGGGCTTCCCTTTGTGGGTAACCCGACCTTTCTCTCTGACTGCCCTTAACATTTTTTCCTTCATTTCAACTTTGGTGAATCTGCCCATTATGTATGTTGGAGTTGCTCTTCTCAAGGAGTATTTTGTGGCATTCTCTGTATTTCCTGAATTTGAATATTGGCCTGCCTTGCTAGGTTGGGGAAGTTCTCCTGGATAATATCCTGCAGAGTGTTTTCCAACTTGGTTCCATTCTCCCTGTCACTTTCCGGTACACCAATCAGATGTAGATTTGGTCTTTTCACATAGTCCCATATTTCCTGGAGGCTTTGTTCATTTCTTTTTATTCTTTTTTCTCTGAACTTCTCTTCATGCTTCATTTCATTCATTTTGTCTTCCATCTCTGATACCCTTTCTTCCAGTTGATCGCATCGGTTACTGAGGCTTGTGCATTTGTTATGTAGTTACGCCGTGGTTTTCAGCTCCATCAGGTCCTTTAAGGACTTCTCTGCTTTGGTTATTCTAGTTTTATCCATTCATCTAATTTTTTTTCAAAGTTTTTAACTTCTTTGCCATTGGTTCAAACTTCCTCCTTTAGCTCGGAGTAGTTTGATCTTCTGAAGACTTCCTCTCTCAACTCGTCAAAGTCATTCTCCGTCCAGCTTTGTTCTGTTGCTGGTGAGGAGCTGCATTCCTTTGGAGGAAGAGAGGTGCTGTGATTTTTAGAGTTTCCAGTTTTTCTGCTCTGTTTTTTCGCCATCTTTGTGGTTTTATCTACCTTTGGTCTTTGATGATGGTGACATACAGATGGGATTTTGGTGTGGATGTCCTTTCTGTTTGTTAGTTTTCCTTCTAACAGTCAGGACCCTCAGCTGCAGGTCTGTTGGAGTTTACTGGAGGTCCACTCCAGACCCTGTTAGCCTGGGTATCAGCAGTGGTGGCTGCAGAACAGCGGATATTGGTGAACCGCAAATGCTGCTGCCTGATCGCTCCTCTGGAAGTTTTGTCTCAGAGGAATACCCTGCCATGTGAGGTGTCAGTCCACCCCTACTGGGGGGTGTTCCCAGTTAGGCTACTCCGGGGTCAGGGACCCGCTTGTGGAGCCAGTCTGCCCTTTCTCAGATCTCAAGCTGCATGCTGGGAGAACCACTACTCTCTTCAAAGCTGTCAGACAGGGGCATTTAAGATTGCAGAGGTTATTGCTGTCTTTTGTTTGTCTATGCCCTTCCCCCAGAGGTGGAGCCTATAGAGGCAGGCAGGCCTCCTTGAGCTGTGGTGGGCTCCACCAAGTTCGAGCCTCCCAGCCGCTTTGTTTACCTACTGAAGCCTGAGCAATGATGGGTGCCCCTCCCCCAGCCTTGCTGCCACCTTGCAGTTTGATCTCAGACTGCTGTGCTAGCAATGAGCGAGGCTTTGTGGGGGTAGAACCCTCCGAGCCAGGTGCGGGATATAATCTGGTGTGCCATTTGTTAACCCCTTTGGAAGAGCATAGTATTAGGGTGGGAGTGACCCGATTTTCCATGTGCCATCTGTCCCCCCTTTCTTTGACTAGGAAAGGGAATTCCCTGACCCCTTGCGCTTCCTGGGTCAGGCAATGCCTCACCCTGCTTCGGCTCATGCACAGTGCATTGCACCCACTGTCCGGCACTCCCCAGTGAGATGAACCCGGTACCTCAGTTGGAAATGCAGAAATTACCTGTCTTCTGTGTCGCTTATGCTGGGAGCTGTAGACTGGAGATGTTCTTATTTGGCCATCTTGGCTCCACCCGCTCCTGTCACTATTCTTGAAACAATTCTGGAACCAATCCTCCATGGATAGTGAAGGAAAACTATATTATACTTAATAACTTCCAAACCAGTAAATTAATAAAGAAAAGGTTAAGTTGTACAAAATAGTATCAGTTTAACAGTTACAGAAAAAAATGAAAAAAAAGGTAACTATGAAAGGCAGAGTAAGATAATGGAAAAGGTAAAATATATTATCACAATAAATGTAAATGACTTACATATACCTACTAACTAAAATACAAAGACTTTGTTGATAGAAACAAAAATGTACCTAGCTATCGTCTGCTTTTAAATGTCATACCACAAATAAAATTGCTTTGAAATGTTCCAGATAAAGAAATGGGAAAAATATCTAATGAACAAAGACTGTTCAGAAGAATGTTATTATACCAATATAGTAATAGACAAAATTAAAATTAAGGGAATGGCATTAACATAGGTAAATAGGTATATGCATAATAATTAAAATAAAATTTACTTAGAAGGTTATGACATTTTATGTATATAACAACATTGTCAAAAAAGTAGTAAAGCAAAAATTGCAAACTCTGCAGTGTCATCAGACACTGATATATTAAGCAAAGTAAAATACCTTAAATTCAACACATTGTTATATAAAACTAACTAAAATTTCAAAGAAATGATTACCCGTAAAACACATTTTTAACCATAAGGCAACTCAAAAACCTACACTTAAAAGATAGCTTAAAAAATAAAATATACTTCAAAACTTTGAAATGCATTTAGAAATAACATAGTTCTTCAAACTTTTCTTGTTTGATTTTTTTCAATCTAAATGCAGTATTTGATATTCACTTTTCTTCATTTTATTAAACACATGGCCGTTTGTTTCAACCTGCCAAGATCATCTTAATTAATTCTGTAACCACTGTAATTGTTATTATTTCATGATTTCTATCAGTTTTATATTATAAACATGTTTTCTGTACATTTGAGTCATGTATCAAAGTGTTGAATCTGTTAACATGAAGGACAGAGACCTAAATTGTTAATGTTTCTAACTAGAGAGGAAATGATGCATTAACTCTTTCAGGTTAAGAGATATTTGTATTTTAATTACATATTTTTAATTTTGTGTACTTATATACTACATAAGGTAATAGTAATACAGCTTCCCTTTTAAGCCTATGTCCCGTTATGAATATAAACTTTTTTATTATCCATCACATGACTGAGAAAATATTGATACATTATAAAATGAAAAAAAACTTAGTAAAATGCTTAACAGGGCAAAGAATAAATAAACAATGACAATACATAAATTTTTGACTTGCAGATACAGTTTGTTTCTGGAAGCATACAGATCTTCCTTGTTTGTTTACATAAGCTATAAGAAAGAAAAAAATGAAATTTCTGCAAACACTGATTTACCAGTTCTTTATCTCTCTACTCATAGGATGAACACTAACCATAAATTTCACCTCTATCTAAGGAGTGTTCTCAGATAGTTAGATCCACTAGTTAAGACCAAGAAAAAGCAAAAATGATTTTAGCCCCCACAGAATTTAGTGATTGATCTTTCCAATTTTGTATATCATCAAGATAGTTAAATCTCAAGATACCAAAAATGACAATAATATTCATACTAAAAGAGTTCTACCCAAATGGTCATAAAGGGGATTGTTCCAGAAATGTGGTTCATTATTTTCTAAAGCTTTTAATTTATGATGACATCCTGACATCAGACCTTGAATTAGGTACTAAAAAGCCAATCCTTACTGGAGTCACGCACTGGAATGTGAGTTGAGAGCATGATCTTACCCTCTCTGAGCCTCAGTTTTCTCATCTTCAAAATGCTGTGGTTTGCCTTAGTTAGGTATAAGGTTTCTTGTTCTTCTAATCTTTTTCAGGGCTATATCCCCTTACTCCTTCCCATCTGTTCAAAATTGTAATCCCCATAAAACATAGAGAAATATATTCTCTATATATCTCAGATGACTAGAAAAAAACTTCAAGAAATACTTCTTGGAAGAAATATGTCCTTAGTTTCTGGTTTAAGCTCACGTTCTTCCTTTAGTTGGCTTAGGTCTCCCTTTTCATGAGTGTCCTAATTGAGTATTTGGTCTCTCTGCAGCTATGTGTTATCCAGCTGGCATTTTGAATTTCTTGATGGAGCATTACTTCACTTTAGATTCCCAGTTCTTGGAAAGTGAATCAAGCTTTCTTTTTATTGCCTGACTCTTTTTCATGTAGGATATTTTCTGCTATTTCTCTAAGCTTACTGAAGGTAAGTCTTTATGGTAAGCCAATGCAATCTGCTACATGACCTCAATCTTCTCCAGGCATATCCTTAATTTACAGTGCTCTGCTGACCTTGCAAATCTGTTTATAATCCCTTTTCTTAAATGAGCATATGCAGAGCAAAGTCATTAACTTTCCTCTCAAATATCTGTATCAATGACTTTTGTTCATAGATATTAAAGGGCACCAACTATCTGATATAAATGTTCATATACTTTATTGCAGCAAGGCACAGGCCTGTGACATATCATGGAATTTTAATTCCTGGTCATCTCACTCTTCAATATGCTATGGATTGGTAGGAAACAACTAAATCTGAGAAAGTCAATTTGTCATTTGAGAGACGTGTAGATTCTAATAGATTCTAAGTGAATAAGTTAAGTAGTAGCAGGTATTTTTGATCTGCCATTGAAATTTATACCTTGCCTTAGAAGAGTGCTGACATTTTAACTCAGTGTTTAAGGATAAGTAGTAGTTCATGCAGTAGAGGGAGAAAAGAATGTCAGTACATAATGTGGAAGAATGAATATGTTGTACTTAGAATGACAGAAAAATTTGATATGTTTAGAGTATAAAGGATATTTTAGAAAGTATTATATAATAAGGTTAAAATGATAGTGTGGTAAGCATTATCACAGATCTAGTACTGAAAAGCTTTCCTTAATATTATAATAAAAGGCAAGGTTTTGAAAGGCATATTTGAGGAGAGTAGCATACTCTGATTTGTGTTGTAGTATAATCATTAAGAGGATAAACTGGAGAAAAAGATACTCGAGGTACCAAAAAGTTAAGAGAGGTAAAATGAAGTGTGACATGTAAGAGGAGAAAAATACACTTTAGTCCTTGATAATCATGTTATATGGAGGTGACAAAGAGATAGTGAGAGAAATAGTGCAGATGAAGCCATGTCTTACATTTTAGTAAGTAAGTAGATGGTGATATTATTAACAGAATTAAAAAACAGGGAAGAGATGTAAGCTTGATAGAACCAAAGGGAGACATAATTTCAATTTTAGAAGTGTTTAGTTTAAAACTATAAATAAAATTTTTAGGCTTAGGGAAAAGCTGAGATGCAGGGGTATGGTATTGAAAGGTGACTGAAGCATAAAGACAGTTCTTGTTAATAAAACTCTGTCCATAAAAAGAAGAACAGTTGTTATGGGTACAGAGTTTAGAGGTCACTATTATTACCAAAACCATCACATTATTAACTTCTTAATATCAAAGACAAATAATTCTGTAAATTCAGTGATTATATGCTTATTTGACCCCCCCAAAAAATGTAACTGTATTCTTTAAGGTACATATTATTGTAGTATCCTCAGCTTGCTGTAATAACAAACTTGCACAATTACTAGTAACTATGCAGTTTAAATAAATAAATGGAAGACTTTAATAAATACAGTGTGTGAGAATAAATTATATATTAAAACTATAAGAAAACATATCATGCTAAAATATTTGTCTTAGTTTATTTTGTGCTGCTATAATGGAATACTTGAGACTGGGTAATGTATAAAGGATAAAATTTAGTTCTCTTAGTTCTGGAGCTGGAAGTTACAATATCAAGAAGCCAGCACTTTGGGTGTTTGATAAGAATCTGGTCTTTGCTTCCAAGATGGTATTTTAAATGTTGCTTTTGCCAGAGGGGAAGAACATTATGTCATCACATGGCAGAAGAGTGAAAGAGACAAAACCCGTTTCTGCAAACACAGTGGCATTAACCCATTCTTGAGGACAGAGCCCTTATGAACTAAACCCATTAGTCCCCATCTCCCAACATTGTTGCATTGGAGACTAAGTTTCCAACACAATGATTTTAAAGAAGACAAAAACATTCAAATGATAGCAGTATTCTTTGATGCTTGTTATATTTTAACCCAGATAGCCCGTCTTTACAAATTTTGATTAATTTCACTCAAAATCTTTAAGAAGAAACTATTGTTTCTTCCAATATCTGTAGATTTATTAATTTTTTAGAAGGCCAGGGAGTATCTCTTTTACCAGTGTATATCTGTCCTCCAAACATAACATAATTATATTCTAAGTCTCTATGATTTTTGGAACATATGCCTATCCTGTTTTCCCACATTTCTTCATCCTAATAGGTCCCATTCTTTTTCCTTCCATAAAGGGGTAGTAGCATAAGACTTGGTGTGAGATAACTATCTACTGATGGTTTGATATAATAGAAATGGCATCATATTACTATATATAAAGCATACCCTTACTATTAATATCAATTCATATTCTTAAAAATTCCTTTGCCATTTTTATCCTCAGAAGGTTCACACAGATTGTTTGTACATAGAAAGTCCTAGCCTATTAGGCACACTGACTTCCTGCTCTATTATCCCAAGTTTGCTAAACCACAACTACCCAGTCAAAATCATATTCATTATATTTTTTATTATCAGGAATCTATCTTTTTTCTAGTTCCTTCTTTGTCTTATCTCAGTTCTCTCAGTATATAACTAGAAAATCTCAACTTATTACCAAATAAGTACATTGAAATATCTCCAAAAAAGGACAGATTTTCTCTTTGAGAAAATTTCTGGGATGAGTTATTAATATAACATTTCACTCTCAGTTCTAATATTATAAATTATTCTTCACCCTCATCATGTGGCAAATTGTAGTGAATAAAAATATTTCTCACACCGTGACATTCTTTTAGGTCTCTCTACCCTCTTCAACATGCTCAATACTAAAAAATACACATGGCCCACTTCAATGACTGCTATTTTATTTTGTGGGAATGAGGCATATTACAAGAAACATTGTCTAAGTAATTGACTAAAAAATATAAACATGGTTATATAGCTTCAAGAACAAATTCTATGTTTCATAGAATTTGATAGTGTGGTAAACATTATCACAGATCTAGTCCTGAAAAGCTTTTCTTAATATTATAATAAAAGGTAAGGTTTTGAAAGGCATGTCTGAGGAGAGCAGCATACTCTGATTTGTGTTGTAGTATAATCATTAAGCGGATAAACTGGAGAAAAAGATACTCGAGATACCTAAAAGTTAAGAGAGGTGAACTGAAGGAGTGACATATAAGAGGAGAAAAATACTCTTTGGTACTTGATAATCACGTTATATGGAGGTGATAAAGAGATAGCAAGAGAAAGTAAAAGTGAGAGATAGTAGGAAAAAGTAAATGAATAAATACAAACATATGAAAGGATTATCAACCAAAAACATTGTAGTAACTATAATAAGTATACTTTACGAACTCAATTATTTGAAGGGAAACCTGAATTGTGACACAACATGAAATATCTTGAAGTTATAATAGAGGTACTCATTTGGGGAATAACAAAAAAAGAGAGTCTTATAAAGTATAGGCTTCAGGAGTAGAGCACATGTGATAAATGATTAAGAAGAAATGAATGTCCTAAAGACGAGACATTACTGCCTAAAATGAGGGTGCTATTGCACACAGATTATGGTTTTGTATTATCCAATCTACTTACTGTATTTTGTGGTAAGAGGACATTAGGGTTATACCATGACATGAGTACTATCTCATCTAAGTAAGATGGGAGCATCATGGAAAAGGCTACTCAGTATAAGAAGGTACTACACCTTTGAGAAAAAAAAAAAAAGAAAACAAATGTAACAAAATTGATGAAGACCAAAAACTCTAGGGAGAAATATAATTGCACAAATCCACAGAGACAGCCTTCTACAAAAAAAGAGGCTAGTCTCAAAGAACAGATAGTAGTAACTGAATAAACCCTGGAGCACTAAAGATAAAGGCTTACATGGAATGGAGTGTCTTAAAACCATTTCCTCACGGGGAGCTATCCATCTTACTGACCACCCGTATTCAAACCTCTTAGGAATGAAGGAGACCTTAATTTCTCCAGAAAAGCTGTCTATGGTAATGTTTATTCTGCTTGGATTTGATGACAGCCATCTAGCTTACTTAAAACATATTTTAATGATTTATTAATGTATTAAGTTTCTATTTTGTACCAGGTACATATGGTTTACTTTTAATCTCATCATCTTGTGAAACTAAAATTATCAATAACTAAATTAGAATTTATTTTATATAACTTGCCAAATATAATACAGGTACTAAGTGTTTGCACCAAAATTTGGTGCATAGTACCAAGATTAGGTACGATGCTGATTAGTACTGTCTATAAATATTTAACATCATGGATCAAAATTAACAGTTTTAGAATAACAATAATTTTTTCTCACATTGCTGTTACTTTATTAAGTTTATTCTGCACCCTATGGTAAAGTGGAAAATATCTTGATCTTCTATAGCTAAGCTTCATATTCTTTTTTCCTGTGTTAAATGAATTTAAAATAATATTTTTCTTCATAAGCTTTAATGATGTGCTAATAAGCCAACAAATGACTAGAATAAGCCATTAAAATTATCATCTTCTTTTATTCATTCACGAAGTATGGGTTAGGCAGATAATGAGGTCCAGAAGTCTGTGGTGGGGTACCATTGAATATTTGGCTGGATACAAGTCTGTGCATGCAGAGTATAAAATCCAAACTCTGTTGGTTAAGAATAACTTATGAGAAAAGAACAATTAATGGGGTTGGTGTATAGAAAACAATTCCCAGTGCAAACACAGAGCAGACAATCATTTATGTTCTTCCAAGCCAGAGTGGAGAAACTTCACCAATTATACAGAGAATTAAGTAAAACCTGCAGAAAGCCACATGAAGAAATGAATATAAATCATCTCTAAGATAAAAGCTAAATTTTATCTCTCCAAAATATTAAAAAGAAACTAAAAGGGATAATGCTCATCAGCAAGTTAAATAACAGCATACCAGGAAAAGTCCAACAAACTTTAAAGAAATACAACAAAATACTTGTTGAGTAAACTCAACAAGACAAAATTCACAATATCTGATGTTCAATTAGAAATTACATAAGATGAGGCAAGTATATGTTATCAATAGCTAGGAAAAAGTCAATGAATAAATAGAAACATATGAAAGGATTATCAACCAAAAACATTATAGTAACTGTAATAAATATACTTTACGAACTCAATTAGTTGAAGGGAAACCTGAACATAAACATGAGGACAGAAATGCGATATAAAAAAGAAACAAATGGGTTATATTAGTTCATTAGTCCATCATGCTGCTAATAAAGACATAACTGAGACTTAATAATTTATAGAGAACAGAGGTTTAATTAACTCATGGTTCAGCGTGACTGGGGAGGCCTCAGGAAACTTACAATCATGGTGAGAGGGGAGGCGAATACTTTCTTCACATGGCAACATCAAGGAGAAGTGCCAAGCAAAGAGGGGAAATCCCCTTATAAAACCATTAGCTCTTGTGAGAACTACCTATCACGAGAACAGTAGGGAAGTAACAGCCCCCATGATTAAATTACCTTCCAGCAGATGCCTCCTGTGAGATGTAGGGATTATGGGATCTACAATTCAAGATGAGATTTGGGTGGGGACACAGACAAACCATATCATTCTGCCACTGGCCCCTACCAAATCTCATTTCCTCATATTTCAAAATACAATTATGCCTCTCCAACAGTTCTCCAAAGTTTTAGCTCATTCCAGCATTAACCCAAAAATCCAAGTCTAAAGTCTCATATGAGACAAGGCAAGTCCCTTCTGCCTATAAGCCTGTAAAATCAAAAGGGAATTAGTTACTTCCTAGATACAATGGGGGTACAGTTATTGAGTAAATACGCCTGTTCTGAATGGGAGAAATTGGCCAAAACAAAGGTGCTACAGGCCCTACGCAAGTCCAAAATCCAATAGGGCAGTCATTAAACTTTAAAGTTTCAAAATGATCTCCTTTGAATCCATGTCTTACATCCACTGATGCAAGAATTGGGCTCCCACAGCTTGGGCAGCTCCACCCCTCTGGCTTTGGAGGGTACAGACCCATTGCTGGCTGCTTTCACAGGCTGGTGTGGAGTATCACTGACTTTTTCAGGTGCACAGTGCAAGCTGTCGGTGGATCTACCGTTCTGGGGTCTGGAGGACAGTGACTCTTTCCTCATAGCTCCACTAGGCAGTGTCTCATTGGGGACTCTTGTGGGGGGCTCCAATCCTGCATTTCCCTTCCACACTGCCCTAGCAGATGGTCTCCATGAGGGCTCCACCCCTGAAGCAAATTTCTGCTTGGACATCCATGCATTTCCATACATCCTGTGAAATCTAGGTAGAGGTTCCCAATTCTCAGTTTTTGACTTCTGTGTACCCAAGGCTCAATGCTGGTGGCTTGGGGCTTGCACTCTCTGAAGCAATGCCCTGAACTGTATGTTGGCTCCTTTTAGCCATGGCTACAGCTGAAGCAGCTGGGGCTCAGGGCACCATGTCCTGAGGCTTCACTCAGCAGGGGATCTGTGGGCCCAGTCCAGGAAACCATTTTTCTCTCCTAGGCCTCTAGACCTGTAATGGGAGGGGCTGCTGTAAAGGTCTGTGACATACCCTAGAGACATTTTCCCCATTGTCATGGTGATTAACATTTGGCTCCTCATTGCTTATGCAAATTTCTGTAGCTGGCTTGAATTTCTCTCCAGAAAATGGGCTTTTCTTTTTTATTGCATTGTCAGGTTGCAAATTTTTCAAACTTTAATGCTCTGCTTCCTCTTGAATGCTTTGCTGCTTAGAAATTTCATCTGCCAGATACCCTAAGTCATCTCTCTCAAGTTCAAAATTACACAGGCCTCTAGGGCAGGGGCAAAATGCCACCAGTCTCTTTGCATAGCAAGAGTCACCTTTATTCCAGTTCCCAAGTTCCTCATCTGTATCTGAGACCACCTCAGCCTAGACCTTATTTTCCATATCACTCTCAGCATTTTGATCAAAGCCACTCAACAAGTCTCTAAGAAGTTCCAAACTTTTCCACATTTTCTTATCTTCTTCTGAGCCCTCCAAACTGTTCCCACCTCTGCTTGTTATCCACTTTCAAAGTTGCATCCAAATTTTTGGGCATCTTTACAGCACTGCCCCATTCCCAGCACCAATTTACTATATTAATCCATTCTCATGATGCTAATAAAGACACACGCAAGACTGGGTAATTTATTAAGGAAAGAGGCTTAATTGACTCACAATTCAGCATGGCTGGGGAAGCCTCAGAAAACTTACAGTCATGGTGGAAGGGGAAGCAAACATATCCTTCTTCACATGGTGACATCAAGGAGAAGTGCTGAGCAAAGACGGAAAATACCATTATAAAACCTTCAGATCTTGTGAGAACTCACTCACTATCAGAACAGTATGGGGGTAAACGCCCCCATGATTCAATTGCCTCCCACTGGGTCCCTCCCACAAGATATGGGAATTATAGGAACTACTACTGAAGATGAGATTTGGATGGAAACATAGCCAAACCATATCATGGGTCATCTGTAGACGAAAATTATAATATCCGAAAGGTAACCCAGACTATATATTTGAAAGAAAAACAATCTGCATTAATATTTGAAGAAATGATGACTGAAAATATACTGAAGTTGTTTTTGAAATCAAAAGTTCAAGAAACTATGTGAAATACAAGCAGAAGAAAAATAAGAAAAAACCCATCAATATGTATAATAATTAAATGTTCGAAAAGCAGTGATGAAAACTAAATATTAGAGGTAGAGAAAAAAGATACATTATATAGAGAAGAGCAAAACAGAATGACATTAGACTTTTTTTCAGAAACAATGCAAGCTAGAAATCAATTATTATTAAAGCACTAAAAGAAAAAGGAATTTCAACCTAGAAATATATATTTAGCAAATGTATCTGTAAAAATAAAATGGCAAAATAAAGAGTAATTTTAAGAAATATAAGCTAAATATTTTATTACCAGATGTGTTCTATAAAAAACACTGAAGGTTCATTAAGTAGAAGGAGAATGAAACCATACAGAATCTGTATCAAAACAGCAAAGCTTTAGAAGATCACTGTAAATGTTAAATATGTTGTTACATAAAAAATAATTTTATTTTCATTTTAGATCTCTTAAAGATAATTAAATCTCCAACATATGCAGAAATAAAATACATTACAATAATAGCAAAAAAAAAGAAGAGGAAATAAAAGTATGCTTTTGTAAGGATACTTACATTATCCTTGCATTATATGTGACATGCCATAACATTATTTTACACTAGATTATAATAATTTAAAGATGCATAATGTAAGCCTGGAAAACAAATTTTAAAATAAACAAGAGTATTATTAAAGAACCAATAGTGGAGATAGAATTTTAAAAATGCTCAATTTTTTCAGAAGAAGACAGAAAAATGGGGAAAAAAGAGATAAAGAACATATAGCTTAAATAGAAAACAGCAAGGTGTACACTTAAAACCAAACGTATCTACAATTACATTAAATGTAAATGGGTTTAAAAGTTTATTTGAAAAGCAGAGATTGTAAGATAGTATGAGCAAGGTCTAACTATATACTTTTGACAAGGAATATACTTTAATTATATAGACAGATTGAAAGTAAAATGTTTGGAAAATGCAAGCCATACAGAGAATGATCAAAAGAAATCTGAAATCTGAATGTCAGACAAAGTAGACTGTAGAATATTAAAAAGAGCCTTTTCATAATGATAAAAAGGTGAATTCATAAAGAAGATATAACACTTCTGTGTTTATATCAAAATATTCTTCAAAATACATGAAGCCCAAACTAACAAAATTGAAAACACTCAAATACTCTTATAATATTTTTCTCTCAGTAATTGATAGAACAAAAGACAGAAAACCAGTAAAGGTATAAAGAACTTAATACTCTCAAGTAACATGATATAGTTTACATTTGTATAAGTCTCCTCCTAGCCATAGCAGCATCCATTTTTCTTTCATGTGCCTATGAAAATACCATCAAGATAGAATATAATTTGGGCCATAAACATGTCTCAGTATATTTTCAATTAGTATAGTACACTAAAATCATACAAAGTATGCATTTTTACCATAGCAGAATTAAATTCTAAAGCAATAAGAGAACAATATCTAGGAATTCACAGATATGTGAAATTAAACTACATACTTCTAAGTAACCTAAAGATGATCAATAAAAAAGTAAAGGAAAACAGAAATATTTTCCATATGTGTGTACATATATACATACACACATGAAACAATAAAAATAAAGCATTTCAGATTTTATGAGATATAGTTAATAAAATGTTTAGAGAGAAATGTATGTAGAGCATAAATCAGAAAAAAACATGATCTAAAATTCACTTAACTAAACTTCCACTTTAAGATACCAGTTTAAAAAAAACACATTTTAGACATAAAGCAAGCCAAAATTATGAAATAAAGAAGAGAAACCAAACAGATAAAAAATATGATTCAATGGGGAAAAATATCAGTGACATGAAAAGCTGATTCTCTGAAAAGATCATTAAAATGAATAAATCTCTAGTCAGACTAATTTGGGGGAAATTAAAAACATAAATTACTAAAGTCAGTTACAGAAGAGGAGATATCGCTATAGATTGTATAGATATAAAAAATCAGTGAGAGGAATAAATTACAAAAGGGCTTGAGAAAACTTTTGAACACGATACGTATGTTTATTATTTTGATTCTTGAATTTCATGCTTGTTTACATGTGCTAAATTTTATGAAATTATAAACTTTATGTACAGCTTATTGAATGTCAGTTACATGCTATATAAGCTGTTAGAAGCTATGGTTATTCCTATATATTAAAAAATACTGGACATATGTAGTGGTATGTGTGTATATGTCCATGTGAATATGTATGTGAGTGTTGTTTGTGTCAACAAATGTACACTGCAGTTTTTCTAAGAATTCTTTGTTGAATTTACTTTGGAATAATCTTTTCCTGTCATTACCAATAATAACACATCCTTTCTCCTTAATTATCATTATCATACATTAGATGTAGTGGTATAGGTTGAATTTCTACTTTTTGACCTGACAATCAGAACATAATTAATATTGTAGCATATATGTGATTGAAACATTACATTTTTATTCATGAAATGGAAATTTCATTACTGCCTACAGCTGTTTCAGTGAATAATTTATATTTATTGGGCATTTGTGTGATGCAAACAATGCTAATTTAATCTATGAAACAACTTTTGAGGTAATTATTTTTATTATCTAATTTTATAATTGAATATACTGAGACTAAGAGAAGTGAAGTAATTGCATTAGACCACATAGTCTGTAAATATTAGCAATCAAGTCTTGCAGACCCAGAGCCTGCATCCTTAGCTAGTAGCCTACATTGCCATCACTGCCAAGGTGGATGCCCATATTGAGGTATGTTAGTTGGGTTGCAACATGTGGGAAGTAATAAAAATCATGTTTTATTTTAAAAATAATATTTCATGATTTTCTTTAAAATATAAAATTTTAATGGAAAGTGATCTCATTCAAGAAACATTTACATACTGTCTGATATATACCTTAAATTGTGCTAGATCTGAGGATCTAAAAATACGTCATCTGGCCAGGCACAGAATGAGTGATAAATGCTCAACATGCATATACACAAAATCTTTGTATTTTTTAATAAGGTAAGCAATTAATCAAGTCCTGGTACCAGCAAATGATACATTTGTGTCCTTGAAAAAAGTTTTTCATATTATCTATCAGTTTTCAGTATTTTGAAAATGATTAGTTTAATTGTAGATCCTGCATAGCGCTTTGCAACTATTAAAATTTAGTATATTCAATGTTCTTTCAACATAACTAGTATCTGTAGAAAATACATGCTAGTCATTGCTTTTGATTTATTTGTAAACAGAATTAGAAGCCCATGTTTAGAGTCGATAGTATGAGGATATTCGATGTAACTTATCCTGGTTGCTGCTTTTTTGATGCTGATTTTCACAACACATGTTTTATTTAGTATAAACATACCTACATTAGAAATTGAATTATCTATTTTCCTTATTATTTCCACCTCTTAGTACTTAAAAATTTCATGATAGTTGTAACTGTTATTTATTTATGACTATAGTTTCTAATATGCCCTCTGGTTTCTGCTGTTTTTTTCATCCATACAGAGAACTCACCAGAATAGCATTCTTGAGGAAAAAGCATTCTTGAGGGTGTAAATTTTTTTTAAAAAGCATATCTCAAAGTCAGCCTCTGAAGCACCTGTGTGAACAACTTGTGGGATAGACAGTGAAATGGAGATTCCCGGCTCAGTTAAAGCTTACTAAATCAGAATCTCTATTAGCAATGGTCCTGGAATCAATGTTTCACAAATCTCCCTCATGTAGTACTAGAATCGGAGAGGCAGTGGTCTAGGAAGCTGGTCTCAGGGATCAAAACCTACTAACTTCAAATATATGGTTATCAACAACTCCCTACCCCCAAAATCTCACTCTGTGATGCTAGTTTTATTTGTTTGTTTATTTATTCATTTATTTATTTTTGAGACAGAGTCTTGATCTGTCGCCCTGGCTGGAGTGCAGTGGCATGATCTTGGCTCACTGCAACCTCTTCCTCCCGGGTTCAAGCAGTTCTTCCACCTCAGCCTCCTGAGTAGTTGGGATTACAGGCATGCGCCACCACTCCTGGCACATTTTTTGTATTTTTAGTAGAGATGGGGTTTCACCATGTTGACCAGGCTGGTCTCGAACTCCTTACTTCAAGTTATCCGCCTGCCTCAGCCTCCCAAAGTGCTGGGATTACAGGCGTAAGCCACCAAGCCCAGCCATGCTAGCTTTTTAGACTTTGTTTCTAGAAATGCCTTCTTCTTTCTTTCTCTTCTAATATTTGTGTCATCTGGATGCAGCCCACTAACTCTGTAGAATACTTATGCAGTCTGATTGCATTTGTCACTTTCCAGAAATCAAAAGTATTGCTATTCTGTTATAGATTATTTTTAAAGGCTAAGGGGGAAGAAAGTTTAATCCTTTCAAATCAAGCACTCAGATTTCCCTTCATCATCACCTTGACCCTCCCCTCCAAAAGAGCTTTTCTTTGTGATATTTCACAAGCATGACAGAGGCCGTGAGATCTCAGATTTGCTTAGAACAGGAAGCTTTTCCTACAGCTTTAATTAAAGGGAAGTTTCAAACCTACAAATTAACAGTTTTAATATGCTGTTCCTGGTGATTAACTGCTTCATTTTAACAGGCATTCACTGTTAACACTGCAACTGTTAATTTGAACGGCTTGATTTTTAAATTCTAAGAAGAGTAAAACTGGTTCAAAAAAATACCTACCATTTTTATCATTGGCCTAACCATCTTTATTTAGAAAATCTTCTTGAATAACATTATTCTCCTCTCAAGAAATTTGGCTCTTTTACCTCCAATAGGCCCTGATCAGAAATCTTGCTGTTTTGGTTTGGTTGTGGGTTTTTTGGTCTCTACCTCAATCGCAAACTTTGCGTGTTACTATCTCTTTGGAGACTGTATGAAAAGAAAAATGTTTTGAGGAAAATCTCCTTTACGTAATCAAACATTTATATATGTTTGTAGTTTTTAGAAATAAATTTAGAAAATTGTACCTCAATATAACCAACTTACAATGACAGATATTAGAAAATATTGTAAATTAAATCTGTTGAAAAATCTAAAATACAGCCAGCTTTGAAGAAACTGACTTCTGACTTTTAGAGTTTTACTTGTTCATTTGTATCCCTAGAGGACACGGAGCTCATGCTTATCAAGGATGAAATAAAATCCACAGATAATCCAAAAAATTCTTTTTAGCTTCTAGTTTTAAAGCCTTTCCTTAAAGAAATCTTTCTTCAAAGCTGTTAATAAGTAGTTAGAGTGGCTGATTTAAAATGCATCTCAGATCATTATATCCTACATATTTATATTTAAATGTACTTTCTTGTCTCCGTTCTCTCTCATTTTAGTCTATCTTTTTCAATCCATTTCTATTCACTTCTTACAGAAAACCAACCTCATTCATTTCTGGTTTATCGTTTCTGTTTGTTTCTGTTAACTTTTTCTATTTATATCTTTTTGCACAAATGAGTAAATATATATAGTTATATACATATTTTTGTGCATATATTAAAAGCATACAATATGTTTATGATAGTGGCAGGAAGCAGACAAATGCCTAGGCAGATAGGGGCAGATTCCAGGGGCAGATTCCAGGTGAAACTGCACCTTCAAGGTCAAAACAGCCTGAAGCCTGAAAGAAGGGACTGTTGGTTCTGGATGAACTCCACAACCTAGAGTGAGAATTTCTGTTCGAGTTTGCCCACGCTTTCTCTCTTGGTTCTTTCTGAATAATGCTTTTTAACCAATCAGACGTTGCCTTTTCCAATGCTACCTACAACCTGCCCCTGCCACATCCTGTGCCTGTAAAAACCCCAGACTCAGGCACACTGGAAGAGACAACCCGACTTTGGGTGAGAGACCACCTTCCCATCCCCTCTCTGCTGAGAGCGGTTTCGTTGCTCAATAAAGTTCTCCACCCTTGTTACCCTTCAATTGTCAGCATGACCTCTTTCTTCTTGGACACAGGACAAGAACTCAGAACCCACTGCATGTGGGTACTCAGAAGGGTGTAATGCTGTGACCCTCTGCCTTCCACCAGTGGAGGGCAGCCACCCCATGTAACAAGAAGCAGCAATGGGGCTGAGCCAGCCCTGGCGCTGCAGGCTGGAATGAGGCAAGGGGCTGACTGAACTGTTAACATGCCACCATCCCTCAGGCTGCAGACGGTGGGACTAAAAGAGCTAATTAGCATGTTACAACACTCCTTCTAGGGCTTCAGGGTCACCAGCACCCCTGTCTGGGCACCACTGCGTTCTCCTCACAGCAGCATGCCTGGTCCAGCAGCAAGCCCTGCATGGAGCACACCCCACCCCACATCAGGGGCTGAGTAGGCAGCTGCAGTGGCTGTGGGAGCCGCCAGCCAGAGCGCAAGCTAGATGTGGCCCAGCCAGCTGAGTAGCCAGGGCACCTCCTGATGTGAGCCGGGCAAAGGGGCCAAGAAAAATCCTGTCTCACTGACATAAAATTTCTTTCTTACAGAAAAGATAAAGCTAAAGATATTCTTTTGCCCTTTGCATTTCCCTCTGGGAAATATATATTTTGTAAACAACTCTGTATTAGTTCTCAAATGTATACCTTATACTTTTATCTAGCTCTATTGTACTTTTTTATGTGTACCATAGTTTATTCACTCTCCCGTGTATACCTATTTATTTTTAATATTTTTCAATTATAAATAATGCTGTAATGAATAACTTTGTTTGTGTCCAACAATATAGAAAAATATTGTTGGAAGTATATCTTCAGGGTAAATTCCAATAAGTGAAAATTGTAGGATCAAAAGTAGATTTGTGAGAGTCCCTATCTCCCTACAGCTATTCCAGCAGAATTCCTACATTTTGATGATTTTATCAGGAATTTATTTTTATAAATTTTAATTTTTGCCACTGTGATATATTAGAAATAATATCTTCTTGTAGTTTTAATATATATTTTTAAAAATATAATTGAAATGAACATCTTTTCATATATTTAAGTACCATTTTAATATATATTTTTGTGAATTGTATGTTTATGTCTTTGCCCATTTTTTTCCTGTTGGATAGATCTGTTTTTACCTCAGCATATAAGAGTTCTTTATATAGTAATGACATGAACTCTTTATATATGATATACAGTGCCAAAAATTTCTCCCAGTCTTTCAGTTGCCTTTTGCCTTTCTTGATTTTGTGTTTTGCAAAGGAGAATTTTCTTAAAATATTTTACATTGTCAAATTTATTAATCTGTTAATTCATTGCATCTGGATTTCGAGTCATATTTATAAATCTTATCTCCTACACTCATTATCAAAGAATGTACCCATATTTTCTTCCAGTATTTGCATGGTTTCATTATTGTTGCATAACATTGTTTCAGAGGTTATTTTACATTTAGATCTCTGAAACATTTAAAATTTATTCTTGTGTATAATGTGAGGTGTGCATCCGATTTCATCAGTTTTCCAATGGTAGCCATTTGCCTTGTTGCTATATATTTTTTTAAACTCCATTTTTGTTTCAGTAATATGAGATGCCACCTTTACCAATTCTTAAATATCCATATGTACTAAGGTTTATTCTTAAATATCCATAGGTACTGGAGTTTAGTCAATTATGCTTTGTCTATTCATGCATGATAACATATTATTTCAATTACTAAAGTTTTATTGTATGCTTTAATGTCTAGAAGGCTAGTACTCCATCATAGTTTTTGGTTTTAGTGTTTTTATGACTATTCTTGAATGTTAGTTTTTCTATGTCAGTTTTAGTGTCAAACTGTCTAATATGATAAAAAACATAACAAAGTGTTTTAGTTTGGATTTAATTCAGTTTTTAAATTAACATAGGGTGACTTTGCATTTTCAGTCATTTTTTAAAAGTTTTTTTATAACATTTTTCACTCTGTTCTAAACAATTTAATAAATCTTGCTGTTTTTATAAACTTGATTTTCTTCTCTAACTGGTTAGTGTTTGCGTATATGAGAGCTATTTGCTTTCTGACTGTTTATTTTATAGCTAGCTTCATGATATATTCACAATAAATTATTGTATTACTTGTGTTAGTTTTATCTTTTATGGCCTGGGGTTTTCCATATATATTATCACAGCATCTACAAAGTGCAATCGTTTTACTTCTTCTTATAGAATTGTTTATATTTCTTGTGTATCTAATTGATCTTTTTTCTTATTGCCAGCTAATGCCTCCAGTGCAATGTTGAATAGTGCAGATGATCACTCATATATGTGGAAAGACCAAACAGTTTTGTAGTACTTAATTTTTCTTTGTATTATACTTTTAGTTCTAGAATACATGTGCAGAACATGGAGGTTTGTTACATAGGTATACACGTGCTATGGTGGTTTTCTGCACCCATCAACCTATCATCTATATTAGGTATTTCTCCTAATGCTATCCATCCCCAGCCCCCCACCCCCTGACAGGCCACAGTGTGTGGTGTTCCCCTCCCTGTGTCCATGTGTTCTCATTGTTCAACTCCCACCTATGAGTGAGAACGTGTGGTGTTTGTTTTTCTGTTCCTGTGTTAGTTTGCTGAGAATGATGCTTTCCAGCTTCATCCATGTTCCTGCAAAGGACATGAACTCATCCTTTTTTATGGCTGCATAGTGTTCCATGGTGTATATGTGCCACATTTTCTTTATCCATTCAATCGTTGATGGGTATTTGGTTTGGGTCCAAGTCTTTGCTTTTGTGAGCAGTGCTGCAATAAATATACGTGTGCATATGTCTTTATAGTAGAATGATTTATAATGCTTTGGGTATATAATGGGATTGCCGGGTCAAATGGTATTTGTGGTTCTAGGTCCTTGAGGAATCGCCACACTGTCTTCCACAATAGTTGAACCAATTTACACTCCCACCAACAGTGTAAAAGCATTCCTGTTTCTCCATATCCTCTCCAGAATCTGTTGTTTTCTGACTTCTTAATGATTGCCATTCTAACTGGTGTGAGATGGTATCTCATTGTGGTTTTGATTTGCATTTCTCTAATGACCAGTGATAATAGCTTTTTTCATTTGTTTGTTAGCTGCATAAATGTCTTTGTTTGAGAAGTGTCTGTTCATATCCTTCCCTCACTTTTGATGGGTTGTTTCTTTGTTCTTGTAAATTTAAAGTCTTTATAGAATCTGGATATTAGCCCTTTGTCAGATGGATAGATTGCAAAAATTTTCTCCCATTCTGTAGGTTGTGTGTTCACTCTGATGATAGTTTCTTTTGCTGTACAGAAGCTCTTTAGTTTAATCAGATCCCATTTGTCAATTTTGGCTTTTGTTGCAATTGCTTTTGGTGTTTTAGTCATGAAGTCTTTGCCCATGCCTATGTCCTGAATGGTATTGCCTAGGTTTTCTTCTAGGGTTTTTACAGTTTTAGGTCTTACGTTTAAGTCTTTAATCTATCTTGAGTTAATTTTTGCATAAGGTGTAAGGAAGGGGTCCAGTTTCAGTTTTCCGCATATGGCTAGCCAGTTTTCCCAGTACCACTTATTAAATAGGGAATTCTTTCCCCATTGCTTGTTTTTGTCAGGTTTGTCAAGGATTGGATGATTGTAGATGTGTGGTGTTATTTCTGAGGCCTCTGTTCTGTTCCATTGGTCTATTTATCTGTTTTCGTACCAGTACCATGCTGTTTTGGTTACTGTAGCCTTGTGGTGTAGTTTGAAGTCAGGTAGCATGATGCCTCCAGCTTTGTTCTTTTCACTTAGGATTGTCTTGGCTATATGGGCTCTTTTTTGGTTCCACATGAAATTTAAAGTAGCTTTTTTCTAATTCTGTGAAGAAAGTCATTGGTAGCTTGATGGGGATAGCATTGAATCTATAAATTACTTTGGGTAGTATGGCCATTTTCATGATATTGATTTTTCCTATCCATGAGCATGGAATGTTTTTTCATTTGTTTGTGTCCTCTCTAATTTCCTTGAGCAGTGGTTTGTAGTTCTCCTTAAAGAGGTCCTTCATATCTCTTGTAAGTTGTATTCCTAGATATTTTATTATCTCTGTAGCAATTGTGAATGGGAGTTCAATCATGATTTGCCTGTCTGTTTGTCTATTATTGGTGTATAGGAATGCTTGTGATTTTTGCACATTGGTTTTGTACCCTGAGACATTGCTGAAGTTGCTTATCAGCTTAAGAAGTTTTTGGGTAGACACGATGGGGTTTTCTAAATATACAATCATGTCATTTGCAAACAGAGACAATTTGACATCCTCTCTTCCTATTTGAATACCCTTTATTTCTTTCTCTAGCCTGATTGCCCTGGCCAGAACTTCCAATACTATGTTGAATAGGAATAGTGAGAGAGAGCACCCTTGTCTTATACCAGTTTTCAAAGGGAATGCTTCCAGCTTTTGCCCAAATATATTGATATTGGCTGTGGGTTTGTCATAAATAGCTCTTATTATTTGGAGATATGTTCCATCAATACCTAGTTTTGAGAGTTTTTAGCATGAAAAGGTGTTGAATGTTATAGAAGGCCTTTTGTGCATCTATTGAGATAATCATATGGTTTTTGTCATTGGCTCTGTTTATGTAATGGATTACGTTTATTGATTTGCATATGTTGAACCAGCCTTGCATGCCAAGCTGAAGCCAACTTGATCGTGGTGGATGAGCTTTTGGATGTGCTGCAGGATACAAAGTATGAATACAAAACACAAAATCAAATACATTTAAGAAAAGCCTCACGTACGAATTACAGTAACAAAAATTAACAAAAAGAAGAAAAAATAATAGAAGAAGCAGAATATGGCAAATATTTATAATTAATACCCCACAAAGATTGAAAGTTATTGTATTCATGCAATAAGAACAGACGTTTTTGCAAAGAAGCAATCAAAAAGTAAATTATAGCCCTGGAAATTAAAGCATGTAAGCAGATATATAAAAATTTAGTGAGACACTCAAAATAGATAGCTGAGGCATAATCCTGAAGTAGAAATAGAAGTTAAAATGCTACACAAAATGGGGTAGAGAAGTGAAAATCAGTCTAATTGTAATTAGGGAAGGAGGGAACAATAGAAGTGTTAGGAGATAAGTTATCCTAGAAAATAAAAGTTTCTATACTTAAACACATCAAGTTTCAGATTGTAAGACACCATTAAAAAGATTACATTTTAGAACACAGGAATAAATAAGTCTTTAGTATGTATTCATAAAAAAAATAAGTCAGAGAAAGATTGGATTCATTTTTTTGAGGGGAGCAGGGATGAAAAGGGAGGTGAGTTTGCATGTAACTTTGGTGTTCTTGTGATTCCTTTGCCTGGTTAAGTTTTCAATTCCAGGTAGTTGTTACTGTTTTAGGTCTCATGAAGATCCCCAAAATACCTAATATTGCTTATATTTTTTTATCATTTTTGCTCCTAGAGTAATTTGAATCTAAGGGTGTTTTCCAAATACAAGGAATACTTACATATTAAGTTTACAAACACATTAGCATATGTATGAAGGTATTGTATTAGTCTGTCTCATGTTGCTAATAAAAGGAAAGAGGTTTAATGAACTCACAGTTCCACATGGCTTGGGGGGCCTCACAATCATGGTGGAAGACAAAAAAGTGCAAAGGGATATCTTACATGGCGGCAGGCAAGAGGGCATGTGCAGAAGAACTTGCCTTTATAAAACCATCTGATCTAATGAGACTTATTCACTGTCATGAAAACAGCATGGGAAAAACCCACCCCCATGATTTAATTACCTCCCACCAGGTCCCTCCCATGACACGTGGGAATTACTACAATTCAAGGTGAGATTTGGGTGGGAACACAGAGCCAAACCATATCAGGAAAATTTCATTGTGATGCAGTGAAGGTTTAGATTGGGATCTCTGTTCCAATTCTTGCTAGACAGTCAGTCACTTTCATGAATCTCAGGATAATAATGCCTTTCCTGCCTTACCTCATAAAACTCTCAAGTGAGCTGATGGCCATGAAAGCATTTTAAAGTAACTTTACATAAATATTCTGTTATCCAAATAATACAGCGTATGTTAATTTATTTTTAAAATAGCTTCACCTTGAAAGATTCAATCCACAATAGATAAGACAAGGGGCTTTCCTTCTCAAATCACCCCCATCCCAAATTCCTTTCAAAACAAAGTTTACATCTATACATATGCGTTTTATCAACCTCAGTTATTAGCAAGTTGTCTTAGTCACCACACTGATGGTTTTCCTGCTTCCCATTTATTTCTGTTCTGCTAATGATTTTTGTGAAGTTTAGATGTACTTGCTACTTCCTTATTGATGCTACATATCCCGCACTGGAGGATTTTACTTCCTTGTCTTTGATATGCTAATCACAGGCCTCCTCTTCATTTTGCCAAATATGGTCCATTAAAAAAAAAACGAGAGGTAACTCTGTGTCTTGAGATGAGTCAAGTCTAAGTTAAAAAATAATTTGTATATAGTCTATCCCAGAACCAGAAGTCTCATGACACTTTTATAAAAGATTCAAGATAATGCAGCTTTAATTTCCAGATCTCAGCGTTGACATTGGCTTGGACCTGTAAAATGGATTTTTTTGCAGCTGGGCATTTGCTTTTTCTCCTTTGGTAAATAATTTTTATGTTTTTCAGGATAGTTTTTATTTTTGATGCTTAACTTTACTTGGCCAATAATTATCAGTGTTATTTTTGAAAGTGAATGCTCATATATTGAACTGGCACTATTCTTACATAGCACTGTTGAAATATATCTTATCAAAGCAATTAGCATATTTATACTATAGACCCATTTGTCAATAAAATGATTCATATTCTAATATTATGTTATTATTAATGTAATTTTAGTAGAAAATATAATGTTGTTATTTTTATATTCAAAACATTAAGCCTCAATATTTCTTTTTCTTATTTTTTTCTAAACTGCATTAATCTCTGATCTGTGCTAGGAATTGCCATTCCATAGAGAAGAAAAAGGGGTCACAGGAAAATGAAAGGAACAGCGTGAGAATTGTTTTTTGTGAGAAGAGAAAGTTAACTTTTCCCCCAGTGAAGTCCAGAAAATGACTCTATATATCCTACATATTTTACTTACTTCAGATAATATTTGTTCTCCCTTCTGAAAAAATTGAAGTCCATTCCTCTAGAATAAGGTCTCCACAAACAATTTAAATGATTAAAGAACCAAAGAGAAAGAACTCTCACATTATCACTACAACAATATAAAAGTCTGGTGAATAAAATTTTACTGTTTATTACTAGATATAGGTAAATTGGTGCCAGATTAAAGGACATAATTTATAGTTGACTTATAACTTTCTTTCCTAAGAAAGTAGGTTAACATTCCTGTTAGAAAGCAAGAACTTGAGGACAGGGATTTGGTCTGTTTTGCTCACTATCGCATTACCTAGAACATAGTTGTAATTCAATTAATAATTATTTATTTACTAAATCACTTAATGAATAAAACACAGCAATGAATAAATGAAATTCATGAAATACAGGTAAAAATAGTGGCAGAATTTGCTGATTATCCTACATTTTAGAGGCTTAAAAACTGAAGTTCTAGTTAAGTGAAGGTGTTATTTCACTTAAAACCCCCTTTCCAATGGAGGTTCTCAACACTTGTTGAAATCTGTACCAAACTACATCAAATCCAGAGTCTTTTGGTTGCAGAGCCTCCTTTTACATGCAGATTTTCCTCTTTGAATGACTACATTTTAATTTTTCCCAATGGAGCACAGTCCTTTCGTAATGGAGCAGGAACTCTTCAGTTAAAGAGGCAACAGCACTGGAGAGAAAGCCAGTCAGTCTCAGGCACGGTGGGGCCCAGCGTAGATCCTAGGGTACATTGAAAACTAACTATGAAAAGCTGGTCCCTGGCTCAGCAGCATTAGCAAATGCCGGACAGGACAGAAATCATGTAGACCTCACTTTTAGGATGGCTTATGCTCCCAGCTCCTTGCTCCTCACTCCACCAGAGCTGTGGGATTCCTGAAATGATAATCTAGAACTACATCACATGGTTCTACGGTTTATGATCTGACTGGCAGATGCTGACAGCATTTCTAAGAACGGTAAAAGACCTAACGAAAACCCACTCACACTACTTTTGCCAAACATCTGCCTCAGACAGATTTATTCTCAATTAGGGATAAATAGACTTGACCTGTTCTTTGAACAAATTACACAGCAAAAATGAAAAGAATATGCATAGCTCTAATGGGTTAGTGGAAAGAATTTTAAAAAAAGTAATAATATGAATCACAAGTAAATTTCAAGAGCATCAGATTTTCATTGCAAAAGAAATGCCTGACAACAAAGACAATAAGACGTGAAAGATTAGGTAATGAAAGCACATTGATATGAAAAGGGAGCAGTCAGATTATAGACATACGTATTTTTATGTATATATACATGTATGCAGAATTAACCATTCTTATTCTTCCATCTCATGTTTGTAAATACTTGATCTAGTTAGGTATTATTTTTTCTCAGATCTCAACAGTTTATTGACACACTTTTTGAAAATTGTCTTGGGCTGATTGAAAAACAAAACTATAGCCTGTACTTGGTGTCTGGGAATGTGTGTCTGAGTGAAAGTAATTTAAAATTAAGAGTCTAGGAAATCACTTTCAGGAATTCACTAGAGAACATTACTTTATATGTCTGATAAAATATTGTGAAACTGAAGTAATTCTAAGGCATAAGTATTGCATTGGCAAAGGAACATTGTTTGAGTCAGCTTTATAAATTTACTAGTAAATCATGGACGCATCATTTTAGTTATGTGCCCTTCAAATTATGAGACATTTAATACGTAAGCATTTCAGTGCCAATGGAACTAAATGGCAAGGAGTTTTGGAAAAGCAAAGTCTGCTGAAAAAAATGTATTTTACATAATGTAGATGAACTGTTTTTAATCTGATACATTTGCCTGACATGGAAATATGGCTTTTCCTGTGGACATGAATGTAAAACAGAAGGTACTAGGAAGTTCAACATGCACTTTTAACGAGATTGCTGAAAATTTCCAAATATTTCCCATGTCAACTTTTATGTTTTCCTTTTTATTGTTCAAATTCATCACTCTGACAAGAGTCAAATAACTTTTCTTTATACTGTCTTGCCAGTCTCAAGCAATATATGCATCTGGAAAAGTCAGTCATTCTCAACAATCTATGCTCTTTAGAAAAAGTTTCTTTCATGATAAAGTTGACATTCCCAATCAAGATTTCATAGCTACTGTATAGTCACTATGACTCTTCACTGTGAATGCCAAAGAAATTTTCATTTGTAAGCAATTCGTAAAATTAACAATTTAAATAGATTATTTGGCAAAGCAATTTTTCTGAGAAGTTAACCTAAAAGTGAAAGTAATTTAACTATGTGCATGTATCTGTTTCTAGATAGCTACATTACCACATATACATAGCTACACACACATATTTTCTTTTAAATAGATTCTTGGGAATGACGAAGACCTTTGATGGAAATAATTTGATGTAACCACCACCACACAAGAAATAATAGATTTATGTAAATATTATTTTTGTAAAGCTTTCTAACTCAGTGAACCTTATGCAGTCTTATTAAACTGCAGAAGGAGATCAATCAGAAAATATAGATAAAACTAATTGAAACTGTATAGGCACTAAAATATGAGATGGTGGTTCTATGAAGAAGCTATGACTGTTTTATTTTGAGGCCTTTCTTTCTTTCTGTGACAATTGTCCTGTTTTTCTTGTGAAACAATGCAAGTACTATATAGTTAAAGTCAAGAGAAAGGATCAAGAAAAGCTACACTCATGTAGGTCAGATTCAAGATAACATCTGTAACTAACTTTGAAGCCTTATAAAACTAATTCGTAGAAATCTGAGAGCAAGAAAATTGAAGTTGGTGTGATTCATTCACCAATTAAATAACTTTTGTGAAGATATAACTACTTTCATTTTCATGATTAAAAAAATCTTAAATAGCAACCATTTAAATTCAACAAGTATTTACTGAGTGTGTTTACACGAAATGAGTGGTTCTTGGGGTTGGTAGCACATTAGTAAAGCAAAAAGATAAAAATCTCAGTCCTTGTGGAGTTTTATATTCTCATGGAAGCAGGCAGGAAACTAAAACAAAAATACAGAGCCCAGTAAGTGAGATTGTCAATGGCTTGTTGATACACTGAATCCAATTTTAACCCCATTTTAAAGAGAGATCCAGGTAGGCCTAGCTGAGAAGATAGCATCTAACTAAAGACATGGTTGAGATGAGGGAGTGAGCAATGGGAAGAGACAATTTCAGGCATAGACGATAATAATTCCAAAAGCCTTCCAGGGAAGAATACAAGAACATAAGACTCACATCCTGGAAGTAAAGTAAGAAAAAAAAGTGTTTGAAGGTGAATGATTGATTTGCTGTGTCAAACACTCCTGATACATAGGACACTTGGTAAATCAGAATTCACCATGAGATTCACAGTATGGAGTTCATTGGTTACCTTTAACAAAACCAATTTTGTTTGTAATATACAGAAAAAAAGCTTGGGTACAGCAGGTTTTGGAATGGATAAGAGAAGAGGAATTAGAGAGTGATTATGTACAATTCTTTTAATGAGTTTTGATGAGGTCAGGAGTTCAAGACTAGCCTGACCAACACGGCGAAACCCCGCATCTACTAAAAATACAAAAATAAGCCGAGCCAAAGAAATTAGAGGTGGCATGTACCTCTAATTCCATCTACTCAGGAGGCTAAGGCAGGAGAATCGTTTGACCCGGGAGGTGAGCGTTGCAGCGAGCTGAGATCAGGCCACTGCACTCCAGTTGGGGCAACAGAGCAAGACTCCGTCTCAAAAAAAAAAAAAAAAAAAGAAAGAAAAAAAAGAAAGTCCTCTGTAGACATTTTAAAATTTGTCTAGGACTTACCTTTAGAAACTGAGCATATCTAAAGCTATTAACCTAGGAAAAGATGCAACCTAATGGAAATTTAGGCAACAACAGCCGAAGAACTTCATTGAAAATAACCAAACAAGGCTGACCCACATGATGTGCTCTGGTCCTTGCCTCTAGGGTCTTACTCAAAGCTGGCAGTGCAATTTTTCTCTTCCAAGGCTGACCCACTTGTGCATGGTGCAGATAATTATTTCAGTCTAAATTCAGCATCTTAAAACCTCACGGCCGGGCGCAGTGGCTCATGTCTGTAATCCCAGCACTTCCGGAGGCCAAGGCGGGTGAATCACGAGGTCAGGAGATCGAGACCATCCTGGCTAACACGGTGAAACCCCGTCTCTACTAAAAGTACAAAAATTAGCTGGGCGTGGTGGTGGGCGCCTGTAGTCCCAGCTACTCGGAGGCTGAGGCAGGAGAATGGCCTGAACCCGGGAGGCAGAGCTTACAGTGAGCCGAGATCGGGCCACTGCACTCCAGCCGGGGCGACAGAGCGAGACTCTGTATCAAAAAAAAAAAAAAAAAAAAAAAAAAAAAAAGATCTCACAAGTATTCCATAGTGTTGCCCAAGAAAATCATTACAAGAGGTACAAGTTGAAGTATAAACGTTTTATGGGAAAGCAAATAACATATGATTAAACATTTGTCTTATAAGTACGCACTTAAGAATGTCTGAGGCATCTATCAGTTGGAGTCTATGGCCATTTACTTTCCTCAAATTGGCTACTAAGGCAGGGAAAAGTGTATACTATGTTGGTTTTTCTCATAAAACTAGCAAAACTGTTTCTTATAGTGGGTCATTTATGTTTACATGGGGGAGAACAGTTGAAAAATGGAAAAGTTGACTTTACATAACTAATAAGTGGGAAATAAAAAAATTAAAATTTCCAAAAGTATGTAGCTTACATTACAATTAAGAAATTAAGTTTTCCAAAAGTCTGCATGCTAAAGAATTGAAAAGTTGCCCTCGCAGCACCATATATTCTACAAAATAAAGAAAATGTCTCAATTCAACAGATTGATACAAATATTTTTAAAGTCTTATTTTATAAGCTATTCAATATTAGTCTGTGTACAGCTCAATAGTTACAAACACTACATAAGAAAACAGATTTGTAGTAATAAAATCCGGTGTAAAAAGACATGATACTCATTAGCCAGGTAGCAACATGATTTAAGGAATACATATTAAGATTGATCATTGGTGATGGAATGAAAGTTCAACAGTTTCACTATTTGTAATGCTTTGCTATTAAAATAAACAATGCTAAATAATCCCAAATATTCCAGGTTAGGGAAGTGTCATTACTCAAAGTTTATTCATAATGGTGATTTTTAAGAAAAAAACTTAAGAATATTGAGATATTTTAATTAAACCCTTTGCAAAATAGAAATGAGGGATATAAATAATTTTATGGTACATAGATTAATTAAAGGAAAATCAATGAAAGGAATATAAACATGGTTAACAGTCCTGTCCTTGACTGATAAATTCTTTTGAAACTGATAAAACATTCAATAGCAAGACTCATAAGAGGATATAAATGAGTACTTTATTGTTCATCATTCGGTGTTCACTTTTGGGTAAAATAATTATACACAAACATATGCAGGATATACAAAATAGAAAATTAAGAATCTAATTTTAATAGTTCAAGATATACTCTAAGCAAAAATAAATATCTCTAGCCTAAAATAAGCTCTCTGAAATATTTTCTAGGATAGTAATTATTAAAATATTAAATAGAAGTCGTAAAATTCAACAATTCCAACAGTTAAGGTATCTAAAACTTTAAAGAAATACACAATTTCTATGTCATATATATATACATTATTGCATAGGATAAAAAATGAACATTTTACTCATACTAATAAAATTGTGAAAGCCGGGCAGGGTGACTGGCGCCTGTAATCCCCCCTACTAGGGAGGTTGAGGCAGGAGAATCCCTTAAACCCGGGAGGTGGAGGTTGCAATGAGCTGAGATCATGCCATTGCACTCCAGCCTGGGTGACAGAGAGCGACTCTGTCTCAAAAAAGAAAAAAAAAAAATTGTGAAATTAAATGTCAAGTATTACAAATTAAAAAGTGACCGATCTCATTATTTTATTTTGTAAACATATCTGAATGTAAAGATAAAGAACATCAGCAGTAAATTAAGGTCAATTTATACCCATAATATATAGTAAGTTGTGACCAAAGAAACTACATTAAACTTTATTAAAATTATGAAAAATGGTTTTTATTAAAAAGTATAATAATATAACTCATATATCTATATTTCATAAGAGAAATAATGTTGATAATCTCTATGGAGTGTGAACAAGTATCCAGATTAAAAAACAAAGAGAAACAAAGAAAACAAATTTACCTCGAATCAGGAATAGAAAGATCTTAAAAGTGAAGAGAATGTTTCTTAAGAAGATACAACTGAGTACTTGATAAAGAATCAAAGGTCTTCCTATTGAAGCCAGGATCTAGGGAACAAAAAAAAAAAAAAAACATTATTACAACTACAGTGGAGGGTATAATGATTTTTGTATGCTATAGGAAAAATTATACGACATTTATACAAAGATGATATAATTACTCAGAAACCTCAAGAGTTCAACTGAAAATAATTTAGATATGAGGATAGAGGTAAGGGGTGAAAATAGCAAAAAATGCTGAAAAAATATTTTTGTATGGGTATTAATTACATTATAAACCTGTCATAATTCAAGTATTGGATCACTGATGCAAGGATAGGTATATACATAATTGCAACAGCAAAAAAAGTCCTTCCCAAGTCCCTGGCTCATTAAAATATAGTAATTGGTAAAGATAGCATTTCAAAGAAGTGAGGAAGTCTGGGCTATACTTTCAATTAACGATTTAAAAAATGGAATATATTATTTGGTAAAATAAAGTTTGGTAAAATAAAATTTGTACTTTGTTTAATCAAAGCCACTGTTATTTAAATTGTGCATTTAGCTTATATGCTCCTCTCATATAAAAATGAAACAATTAGAGCAATGAAAAATAAAAACGTGGGTGAAATTTTTTTTTTTTTTTTTTTTTTTTTTTTTTTGAGACGGAGTCTCGCTCTGTCGCCCAGGCTGGAGTGCAGTGGCGGGATCTCGGCTCACTGCAAGCTCCGCCTCCCGGGTTCACGCCATTCTCCTGCCTCAGCCTCCCAAGTAGCTGGGACTACAGGCGCCCGCCACTACGCCCGGCTAATTTTTTGTATTTTTAGTAGAGACGGGGTTTCACCGTTTTAGCCGGGATGGTCTCGATCTCCTGACCTCGTGATCCGCCCGCCTCGGCCTCCCAAAGTGCTGGGATTACAGGCGTGAGCCACCGCGCCCGGCCGAAATTTTAAAAGTAATTATACAACAAAGAAAAAAATTGAACAGACTCAATATTAGAGTAAACAGCTGAAAGCTGAATCTTTGATTGGTACATGGAGTCAATAGCTTAGGTTTAAATGTACTGTAAAAAGATAAAGAGATGAGATTACTAAATTAAATTTGGACAACCTATCCAATAGGAGTTGTAGAAAAAGAAAGTAAAAGACATGCAAAAGAAGAAATGCAAAAATAAAATTTTTCTGAGCTGATTAAAGCATTAAGCTTTGAAAACAGTCCCATAAGTACTGAAGATCATGGTGGTATTAATGGGGAAGGACCTAGAGAATTAGTGTAGAAATTTAAGTATTCCAGAATTTTAAAAGCTTCATAATAGCTTTCTCTGCAGAAAAGAGACAAACAAAAGTAAACAATCAAGTGTACTTGATTACTGTGAAAAGGATTAGAATTAGACTGGCATCAGATTTATATTTTGCAACTCAGGGTGTTTGAAAAAAGTGGAGAAATATTTTTAAATTTCTAAATAAAAGTATAAATGTAAAACTCTATGTCCTTCAAAAATATCATTCGCTTTTGAGAATAAGCTCATGACATTTTCCAATTTGCAGGATGATACGAAAGTCTTTCTGAAACACCAAATTAGTTATTCCTACCAAATAAAAAAAAATTGAGTTCAAGAACTATTGAACTTTCAAAATATGTAAAACGGTGTTGAACAAATAAACCAGCAAAATTTATAGTTAAGTATATTTAATAGTTGAAGGTGTGGCTGTAAACCTTAAGACAATCTATAAAATTTACATCTATGAAAGTAGAAGCATATTGAAAATATAATAAAAACCAGATATTAAAACTCCAGAAGATTTCAACAAAATATGGGATATTGGAAGAGGAAGAAAGTGACAGCTTGCAAAAAGCATTTTTATTTGGAAGGAAATGTTATAGTTGCTGATTAATTTTCCATGTTGATGGAAAAATATGTTTAAATATTAAATGTTTAATATAAATGTTACATAAATAATAGTGGAGTCATCATATTAGCACTGGATCACCTACCTCAAGACAATTATTTTACATGAGAAAGATAACTCTGTCCTTTGGAATTACTTATTACTGCTATGTGCAACTCAACCTAATTTTGACTGATGTGTATTCTCTTTGGATGAAAAAATAAGTTTGACATAATTTTTAAAAATATCATTTGAGATTTTAGCTTCAAACTTTTATTTTTAAGCATCAATTTTACATGTAATAGTAGGTATTTTTTCCCTAGTGTTTATTTCCTGTATCCCATTTCTTACTGAATGTATTTTTCTTGCTAAAATACATCCGTTAGTAATGCTTAAATGTTCATTGTCTTTGCAGTTCCGAAGATCTGTATTTTCTCCCTTACAAATTAGTGATAGATTAGCTTTCATTATATCTATAAATGTATAAAATTTTAACTTCATTTTTTTTACAATGGTGCTTTGAAGACAACATTCCACTGTCATCTTACGTTCAATGTAACAAATAAGAAAGCTGAGACGAATCTGATTTTTTGTTATTTAAATAGTCTGTTACTTTTCATTAGGAAGCTTTTATAATTTTTCTTCCTTACTCCAGGGTTCTAAATTTTGCCCTGATAGTCTAAGAATGGTCCTTGGTCATTTATCCTAACTGGGACTTGGTGGGCCTTTTCCATTTGATAATTATGTACTTTAACAATACATTCTTTTTTCATGAGGAATTTATGCTGGGAAGTAGAGACAACCAATCTAGTCCTTCTTCTTGAACTGGAAGTGAGTCACCTTTCAAAAAGTAGATATGAGTAATGAAACCTTCACTTAAAAAAATCTTGAAGATTGACGTTTGTCCTTAAGGAAACTTGAGCTGATATGGCAGAGTAGCACAACTGATGCAGACACAGAAATTCTAAATAAATATGATTTTCAAAAGAAAAAAATTTCCTTAATGTAGAATTTTAAGTGCTAGAAAAAAAGGAGCAAAATCAAAACCAATTCAGAAAGTGGAGACAAGGATGCCAAAACTGAGGGCTCAGTTGTTTTGTTTTTAAGTAAGGACCCAGGTACCTGGGGGTTGAAGTATTGCCCTGGTTTCCAAGAAAGCAAGAAATCTGAAAGGGAGTCTCTAACATAAAACTTGCAGCTCCAATGGGCTGCAGCATCTTTGAATAAGGGATAGAAATACTTCATGCTTCTTCTCAGGAATTAACACAGCAGTTTGTTATTTTTATGCTACAAGGGTTACCTGTGAGAAACTATCAATATGTAGAAGGAATTGGAATCTAGAAAGAAAATATAAGTGAAATTATAGTCATTGCCTCCTCCAGAGTCAAGGCAGACAAAGAAAGTGCTTGTGAAAGCACTTTCAAATAAAGATGACCTCCCAATAATAACAATATTATACTTTACACAGGGAAATGAACCGGTAGACACAACAAATAGCAAATTAGTATCTCAAGAATGGAATATCACAGTGTTCTGGGAACATAAATGTCTAAAGACACAAAGTTATTATTGATAGCTAGCAATCCAAAGTTATTAGTGTCTTACATTATTTGGTGTCAACATTTGTACATCTTCCCATATGATAATTTATCTTATGTTTTTTTATAAGATGAATGAAGCAAAAATGATTTGATTGATTAAAACTGATAGAATCTGCAAATCGGAATTGGTCAACTTTGGAAGTTGGCTGGCCCAGTGCCTTTTTTAAAAAAAATAGAGTCCACAGTAAAGGCATGTTTCATCACAATGCAATATACACACTGGCACACATTAGAATTTGCAAATAATTCTCATAATACTTTATTTATCCTTATATGTGATACCCTATAATAATATTCCTTCCCTTCCATCTTATTTTAAAAATGCTGAAATGCTGATGTTAACCACTTAATTGATTTTGTGAACTTTTAAGAGGCTTTAAAAAAATCACTTTAGAAAACCTTGATCGACTTTAACCTATTTATTTTATAAACACAGACTAAGGTCCCAGGCAAATAAACTCATTTTCTTAAGAATTCATGGCAGGATTTGATAGAATGTGGCTCTTTTGATTATTAGTCCCATTATCATTTGCATAAAATATTATGCAACTTCATTTGAAAGCATGGCAATAATTAGAAAGTATGCAATTTAATTTGATGAGTATGTAGAAAAATTTTATTATAAAATTTATGAAATAGGGGATTAACTCTTATAGATTAACAACATAAAATTAAATTTTGTGTAAAAAGTTCAAGTCTTCTGAATTTAGAGCGTTAGCCAATCATTTCAGAAGACAGTTGCAGTCATGCAAAGTTATTTTTCAGGGAGTCTACAAGATCAAAGAAGGTCAAGCCATTTGCTTTTTGCAGTTTAAGCTGGTGTGGTTTTTACTTATTCCCACAACTGAGGTAGGACAAGCCAAGTTTTGATGTACTAAATGAACATTATCTCTTGGTCATTAATATATTCAACACTAAGTGAATTCTTATGTGTGCTAAGTATTGTGGCCAAGTACTATAAAGAAAGTAATGATCAAGACATGGGCTCTACATTTATAGGAGTTCATTGACTATTCATAGCAGTCTTGCACTTCTTAAGTCAGGCTGCCTCTAAAGCATTTTTCTAAATATCAGTCTCTTCTAAATGATCCCCATGTATGCACTACTCTCCTGCTGTGATATGTCCATGTGTTAACTATTCTCCAGGATTTACAAGGAGAAGAAACATGAGATGAAAGAGTAAGATTATAATTTTTTCATAAAAGTATCAGGAATTATTTTTACATAAAAAGAAAATAGCCATTCCAATGACTCAGTGCATTGCAGTGGAAGCAGAATTATGGAGGTGATTTTATGACTACCTCTGCTAGATTACTTACAAGGAATTTACAATCAGATGAATTTTTTTTTTTTTTTTTTTTTTAAAGACAGAATCTCACTCTGTCCCTAGGCTGGAGTGCAGTGGCAGCATCTCTTGGCTCATTGCGACCTCTGACTCCCTGGTTCAAACGATTATCCTGCCTCAGCCTCCTGAGTAGTTGGGATTACTGGCACGCACCACCTTGCCTAGCTAGTTTTTGTATTTTTAGTAGACACAGGGTTTCACCATGTTGTCCAGGATGGTCTCGATCTCCTGACCTTGTGATCCGCCTGCCTTACCTCCCCAAATGCTGGGATTACAGGCATGAGCCACCATACCTGGCCCAGATGATCCATTTTTAGTGGGAGTGCACAAATTAACAATAGGAGGTTGCAGTCTTTGCAGCTGTATCTGTAAAGAACATGCATGTAATATAATAATAGAACACCAGAACTCATTCCTCTTATCTAACTGTAACTTTTTACCCTTTGACAAGATCTCTCCTTATCTCTCCCTCCCCACTGGCCACCTCAGCCTCTGGTACCCACTCGTCCATGCTCTACCTTTATGAGATCAGCTTCTTTAGATTCCACATATGAGTGAAATCAAGTGGTATTTGTATTTCTGTGCCTGGCATTTTTTTTTTTTTTTTTTGCTTAACATAATGTCCTCCAGATTCATCCATGTTGCCACAATGCCAGGATTTCATTCTTTGTTTGGCCAAATAGTATTTAATTATGTGTACATACCACATTTTTTTATGCATTCATCTGTTGATGGACATTTAGGTTGATTTCATATCTTAGCTATTGTGAATAGTGCTGCAAAAGACATGGGAGTGCAGATAGCTCTTTGATACACTAATTTCATTTCTTTTGCATATATACCCAATAGTGCAATTGTTGGATCGTATGGCAATTCTACTTTTAATTTGTGATGAACTGTTTTTCATATTAGCTATACTAATTTATGTTCCCATCAACAGGATATGAGTTCACCTTTCTCTATATTGGTACCAGCATTTGATACTTTTTTTCTTTTTGGTAATGGCCATTCTAATTGGGTTGAAGTGATATCTTAACTTGGTTTTAATTTGTATTTCCCTGATAATTATAATGTAAACATTTTTTTCACATACTTGTTGGCTATTTTTATGCCTTCTTCCGAGAACGGTCTCTTCAGGGTTTTTTTTTTTTTTTTTTTTTGGAGTTGAGTTGTTTGAGTTTCTTACGTATTCTGTATATTAGCTTCTTGTCAGATATATAGTTTACAAATATTTTCTCCCATTCTGAAGGATGTTTTTCACTCTGTTTCCTTTGTTATGCAGAAGATATTTAGTTTGAGGTAATCCCATTTGTCTATTTTTGCTTTTGTTGCCTCTGCTATTTCGGTTTATTTCAAAAAATCCCTATTCAGGCCAGTCATGAAAAATTTCCCTTGTTTTCTTCTGGTGTTTTTATCAATTTGGGTCTCACATTTAAGTCTTTAATCCATTTTGCATTGATGTTTTATTATGGTGAGAGATAGGGGTCTAGCTTCATTCTCCTACATGTGGATATCCAGTTTTCCCAGCACCATTTATTGAAGAGACTATTCTTTCCCCATTGTGTGTTCTTGGCACCCTTGTTGAAAATCAGTTTTCTGTAAGTGCATGGGTTTTTTTCTATGTTCTCTATTCTGTTCCATTTTGTTTATTATTTCCAGGCTTTTAAAACAGGAATTTTTTTTCTTACCATATGTGTATTTATTTTAAAGCAGATAATACTTTAATTTTTTATTTAACCCTTTATTTTGAGGTATAATAAGCATAATGTAAAGTTTATAAAATATAATTGTACAGATGAATGAATTATCATGAAGCAAATTGCTATATGACTACCCTCCTGAATCAAGCAATGGAATATTGCTGGCACTCAGGAGCTGCCTTACTATTTCCATCCTAATCACTACCCTTTGCCCTTCCCTAAAGATAACAGCTAACCCGAGTTTTCACACAATATTTATAGCTGCTTTTGAGTTTTACATCAATGAAATTATACAGTCTGTATCCTTATATATGGCTTCTTTTGATAAATCTTGTTTTTGAGATTCGTTCATATTATGTGTATCTGTAATTCATTTATTTTCATTTTGTAATTTTCCATTTTCAGTATATCACAGTTTGTTTATGTATTCAATTATGGATGAGCATTTGACTTTTTCCCAGTTGGGGATTACTACTAATTATGCTACTATGTACTTATCTTTTGCTAATTTACCTATTTATTGACCTATACTCAACATTAGGAAATAATTTCAAATAGTTTCCCAGAGTGGCTGTACAATTTTACAGTCCCAACAGAAGTGTGTCAGCATACTACATCCTTCCTGACACTTTTGTCTTTAATTTTAGACATTCTAGCATGTGCTTTTTTTTTGAAATTATACTTTAAGTTCTGGGATACATGCGCAGAACATGCAGGTTTGTTACGTAGGTATACATGTGCCATGGTGGTTTGCCACACCCATCAACCCATCATCTAGGTTTTAAGCCCTACAAGCATTAGGCATTCGTCCTAATGTTCTCTCTCCCCTTGCTTTCCGCCCCCCAACAGGCCCCGATGTGTAATGTTCCCCTCCCTGTGTCCATGTGTTCTCATTATTCAACTCTCACTTATGAGAGAGAATATACGGTGTTTGGTTTTCTGTTCCTGTGTTAATTTGCTGAGAATGATGGTTTCCAGCTTCATCCACATCCCTGCAAAGGACTTGAACTCATTCTTTTTTATGGCAGCATAGTATTCCATGGTGTATATGTGCCACATTTTCTTTATCCAGTCTGTCTATCATTGGTGGACATTTGGGTTGGTTCCAAGTCTTTGCTATTGTGAATAGTGCTGCAATAAACATACCAGTGTATGTGTCTTTATAACAGAAGGATTTGTAATCCTTTGGGTATATATCCAGTAATGGGATTGCTGGATCAAATGGTATTTCTGGTTCTAGATCCTTGAGGAATCGCCCCACTCTTTTCCACAATGGTTGAACTAATTTACACTCCCACCAACATTGTAAAAGTGTTCCTATTTCTTCACATCCTCTCCAGCATCTGTTTCTTGACTTTTTAATGATTGCCATGCTAAGTGGCCTGAGATGGTATCACATTGTGGTTTGGATTTGATTTCTCTAGCGACCACTGAACTCTTGATTAGTATTTTTTAGATGAATAATGTAATCGAAAACTTCTTTATATATTTTTTCCATTTGCATCTCTATATTTTTAAACTGCCTATCCATGTCTCTTCCCTGTTTTTGTTCTAGTGGTGTGCTTGCTTATTTTCTTATATAATTTGTAAGAGCTTTTTATATTCTGTATGCAAGGACTTTGTATTATATATCACAAATACGTACATCAACACTGTGGTTTGTCTTTCTCTCTCTTACTAGTGCCTTTTGATTAACAGAATATCTTAATTTTATTGTACAACAATGTATCAATAGTTTCTCTTATATTTCATGTTTTCTTTTTACCATTTGAAAAAAAGCTTTATCTTGTTCAAGTATTTGACGTAAAGATATTCTTCTATATTTTCTTCTAGAATCTTTATTTTTTTTCTACTTCACATTTTTATTTACAACACACTTTAAACTGACATATGTATGGTGTAAAACAGGGGTCAAGATTTTTCACAGATACGTTTAATTGACATAGAATTTTATTTTGGAAAGAACTGTCTTTTTCACGAGCTCTGCAGTACCAAATATGTCATAAATCAAAAATGGATGATCCTGCTCCTGGGTGCACTGTTTTGTTTTATTGGTTATTTGATTATCATTAATCTTAATTATCACATAATAATTATTAACATGTAGTACAATAAGTTGTCATAGTTTATTCATTTTTTAAGATAGTCATGGTTATTTCTGACATATATATTAGAATTTTCCCCCAGATTGTCATGATTTAGTTAGGTATTTCATTGAATCTGTAGATAAATGAAGGCAGAATGAACAACTTACTAGTACTGAGTCTTCCAACCCATGAACAAGAAGAATCCTTACATTTATTTAGTTTCTTTCTTTTTAATAAGAATAAATACTTAGAATATAATAGGGAACTTAGCAGGTTATTCCTTTAGGTTTATGCCTAAACAATTGATAAATTTTTTATTCCTTCTTGAAAGCTTTTTGTGTCCTAATTAATTATTAATGGATATAGACATTTAATTTAGTATTTTATTCTAAACTTATTATTAATACAAACAACTTTGCTAAATTTGTTTCTTAATTCTATTAATTTATTTTGACTTTTGAATTTCTTATGTGTATCCAACCTTATAATTTATAAATAATTCAAACTTTATTTATTTACTATATTTACACATCTTTTTTCTTCATAAAACTTATTTGACTGCCAAAGACCCTCTGTTTGATGTTGAGTAGATGTAGTGATAGCTATCATCCTTGACACCTTCTGTATTTCAAAGGAAAAGCTTTCAATATCACTCTATTAACTATAATAGTTGTTAAAGTTTTTATGTAGATACAGTTTTACAGATAAGCTAGATTTTGTCCATTCCTAGACATATATTTTGAAACTCTTATATCTGCATGCATATAAGATGACTTGATGTGTTCATTATTAGCTAATGTATATATCTTTACATTAAAGTTGGTAGTGTGTAGACTAATTATATCTAATGAGATAGTATATTTAAATTAAAAGGTACTCAAATTAAAATGTGCCATCTTGCTATTTGCTTCCTATTTATCCCATCTCTTCATTGTTTCTTTATACTACCTATTCTATCTTTTTTAAATTGACTTTTTGTTTGTGTTTGTGTGTCATGATTCCACTGTGGCTAGTGGAACATGAATTATTTTGAGCCCGAAATAATCTCTGAAATTGTTTGTATTGCTGTCTTATGATTCCCTCCCGGCCTTGAGTACTTTTCTCACATCAATTTGCAAAACAGACTTTAGCCAAAGACTAGTTGTTAGTCTTAAGGAGACTTTTCTGCAGATCTCATGAGCTCTCCCTTTGTGCAGCTTCTTTATTTCTAGTCCTCTGATCCTAAATTCTAGCTACCCTAAATTTCCTGACGTACAATCTCTGATTAATCAATTCAGTGAGACCGCCATTCTCTGTTTGTCCCTTTCTTTTCTGTGTCCTAGAAATTTTCTCTAGGCACTAAGCTGGTTCCTGGAGACAATGAGGGCTTACTTTGTTTCTTTCTTTTTTCTTAGATACCACAGTCCAGCATTAATTGTCAAAAAACTGAAATTTGGGGGGGGATATATTTTACTGTAATATATTTTAGTTGTTTAGCTGCTTCATATAGCTTAGTATTTTGTGTTCTAGTTTTTTTGTATTTATCTAATTGTTTAACACAAGAGAGTAAGTTTATCCCTGTTATTCTGTCTTGGTAGAAAACAGGAATCCAGATGCTTTCATTATATTATATATCTTTTTCTCATTAATTTATGGGACATCTTTATGTGTCTGTATAAAATTCCTATATATAGATAGATAGATAGACAGCAAGACTCTTCTGCACATCTCTGATTTTACTTTTCAGTGGATTTAATGGCTTTATAGATTTTTTTGATTTGTCACATTCAAAAATCTTGATCAATAATATGAAGATCTTTGCTATGTTTTATTTTACATGCTTCATTATATTACATATCATTTATGAGTATGACTCATTGTGAATAAATTTTTGTGTATTGTGTAAGGCAATATTTTTCCCATGTGGATATCCAACTAATCTAACATCATTTATTAAATGTTTTAATCCACTGAATTGCAGTAACATCTTTGCCATAAAACATGTAACTGAATATATAATCCTAATCTCTCTTCTGTTCCATTGGTTCATTTGTCCATCCTTGCACTAGAAAGACACTATTTTAATTATGATAAATATTGAAACAGACAATGTAAATTCCTCCAACTTTGTTCTTCTTTTAAAAAATTGTATTATTTACCCAATAATTTTTATTTTCCAAATTCACTTTAGAATTGGCTTGTCAATGTACGCACACTAACAATTATGGATAAATTTGCAGAGATGGGTGCTTTAACAATAATTATTTTCTCAATACATAAACATGTATATGTGTTCATTTATTTATGTTTTCTTTTACTTTAGCAGTATTTTTTAATAATTTTTTAAATTCTTCCCATTCCTGGAAACTAGTAGCTATATGTAAAATCTTGATTAAATTTGGGTTATTTTTTACTACCTTAATTTTAAGAACAATTTTTATATTTCTACTAAGAATTGCAGATATAATATGTATTTGTCAGAATTAGTTAAACATGGGTGATATGGTTTGGCTCTGTGTCCCCACCCAAATCTCATGTTAAATTGGAATTTCTATAATCCCCATGTGTTGTTGGAGGGACCCAGTGGAAGATAATTTAATCATGGGGGCAGGTACCCTCATGCTGTTCTCATGAGAGTGAGTTCTCACGAGAGATAGAGAGTTCTCAGGGAACACATGTCTTGCATCAGCATGCCCTGGATGTGAGACATGGAGTCAAAGGAGATCATTTTGGGAATTTAAGGTTTTATAAGGGGCTTTTCCCCTTTTGCTCGGCACTTCTCTTTGTTGCCCCCACGTGAAGAAGGACGTACTTGCTTTGCCTTCCACCATGATTTTAAGTTTCCTGAGGTCTGCCCAGCCATGCAGAACTCTGAGTCAATTAAACGTCTTTTCTTCATAAATTACCCAGTCTCAGGTGTTTCTTCATAGCAGCGTGAGAATGGACTTATACAGTAAATTAATACTGAATAGTGGGGCAATGCTATGAAGATACCTGAAAATATGGAAGCAGCTTTGGAACTGGGTAACAGACAGAGGTTGGAACAGTTTGGAGGGCTCAAAAGAAGAGAGGAAGATGCGGGAAAGTTTATAACTTCCTAGAGACTTTTGAATGGCTTTGACCAAAATGTGGATAGTGATAGAGATAATGAAGTCCAGGCTGAGGTTATCTCAGGTGGAGATGAGGAACTTGTTAAAAACTGGAATAAGGGTGACTCTTGCTATGTTTTAGCAAACAAACTGGCTGCATTTTGGCCCTGCCCTAGATATCTGTGAAACTTTGAACTTGAGAGAGGTGATTTAGGATATCTGACAGAAGAAATTTCTAAGTGGCCAAGCACTCAAGAGGAAGCAGAGTATAAAATTTGGAAAATATTTGGAACCTGAACATCTTACAGAAAAGAAAACCCCATTTTCTGAGGAGAAATTAAAGCCTACTGCAGAAATTTGCATAAGTAACAAAGAGCCAAATGTTAATCACCAGGACAAATGGAGAAAATGTCTCCAGGGCATGTCGGAGACCTTCACAGCAGCCTCTCCCATCACAGGCCTGGAGGTGTAGGAGGAAAAACTGGTTTTCTTGGCTGGGCCCAGGGCCCTCCTGCTCTATGCAGCCTCTGGACATGGTGCCTTGAGCCCCAGCTGCTTTAGTTCCAGCCATGGCTAAAAGGGGCCAACGTACAGCTCAGGCCATTGCTTCAGAGAGAGAAAGCCCTAATCCTTGGCATCTTACATGCGGTATTGAGCCTGTGGGTGCACAGAAGTCAAGAACTGAGGTTTGGGAACCTTGGTCTAGATTTCAGAGGATGTATGGAAACACCTGGATGTCCAAGCAGAAGGTTGCTGCAGAGGCAGAGTCCTCATGGAGAACCTCTGCTAGAGCAGAATGGAAGGGAAAAGTGGGCTCTGCCTAGCAGAGCTGTGAGAAGAGGGCCACCATTCTCCAGATCCCAGAATAGTAGATACACCAGCAGCTTACACCTGGAAAAGCCACAGACAATTCCAGCTTGTGATGGCAGCGAGGAGTGGAGCAGCACCCTGCAGAGCCACAGGAGCAGAACTGCCCAAGGCTGTGGGAGCACACCTCTTGCATCAGCATGCCCTGGATGTGAGACATGGAGTCAAAGGAGATCATTTTGGGACTTCAAGGTTTTATGACTGCCCTATTGGATTTTGGACTTGCATGGGGCCTTTAGCCTCTTTGTTTTGGCCAAGTTCTGCCATTTGGAACAGGTGTATTTTCCAAATACCTGTACCCTCATTGTATCTAGGAAGTAACTAACTTGCTTTTGATTTTACAGGCTCATAGGCAGAAGGGTCTTGCCTTGTCTCAGATAAGACTTTGGACTTGGACTTTTGGGTTAATGCTGGAATGAGTTAAGACTTTGGGAGACTGTTGGAAGGGCATGATTATGTTTTCAAATATGAGGACATAAGATTTGGGAGGGCCTGGGGCGGAATGATATGGCTTCACTGTGTCCCCACCAAAATCTTAACTTAAATTGTGGTTCCCATAATCCCCACATCTTGTGGGAAGACCCAGTGGGGGGTAATTTAATCATGGGGGTGGTTACTTTCATGCTGTTCTTTTGATAGTGAGTTCTCACGAGATCTGATGGCTTTATAAGGGGCTTTCCCCTCATCACTTGGTGCTTCTTTTTGTTGCTGCCATGTGAAGTACGATGTGTTTGCTTCCCCTTCTGCCATGATTGTAAGTTTCCTGAGGCTTCCCCAGCCCTGCAGAACTGTGAATCAATTAAACCTCCTTCCTTTATAAATTACCCAGTCTCAGATATCTCTTCACAGCAGCATGAGAACAAACTAATAAAATGGGGAAGCAGAAGAATTTTGTAGGATCACTCATTCCTGCTATAGACAATCAACATTTATCATAACATACATATAGTGTTTTTTCATATACATTTAAACTTCTGTATATTGTTTTTGTTGTTGTTTGCGCGTGAATAGCATCATCTTAATCGCATTACTCTGAAATTTGCTTTTGTCACTTAAAAATAAAACATGGCTTTTTCTGCAAGTCAGTAGATTAGAGCTATGCCAATTCTTCTTATTCGTCTGTATAATTCCCTTTCATGAAGAAGTTGTGCAATATAATAATACATTTGCCAACTGATGGAAATTATGCTGTTTTCAATTCAATTCAAAATGCACCTGTCAGAATGATTCTTTCTACATCACTGATGGACATGATATGCCATTATTGTGGTTGCTATGATATCAGAGAACCACAGATCCATACTGTTTATAAAATGTTGATTTTCACAATTTCTGTTTATATATGGCTATATAATTATTTGATTTGAGCAAACATCCTAAAACACCACTAAAATCTGAAGTATTTTATTTCATCGCTTGATTGCAGTGAAAAATTTGTGTTTCTCTGTTTTCCAAATACAATTTAGTATACTTCTGTTTGACTGGGAGATATGAATGCCTCCATTCAGGCAGTTACATAATTATTTTCCCTGATTTGATTAAAAAAGATCTTCACCACACACATTATCAAAGTTGTAGCTAAGTTTTTCATCAATCTCTTTATAGCCTGGCTGAATTCTGTATGTTTCCATATTCTTCCTTTTTTGCAAAGCCTTAGCATTTCCAACTGAAGATGTTTTGTAAATTTAAGGTACAAAAATAGTTTTATTTGAAGCCTACTCAAATATAGAATTTGCTACTTTACTCCTTGCAATGAGAGGGAAGCATGGCTTCAGTGGTTCAGTGGTTTATCTTAATTACTATGAAATCAATACACCTAGAAACTATTTATTGCTCTCAGTTTTTAAAAATCTTAGTCATGAATGGCTGTAAAAGTTCTTACTTTTAAGCAAAAGCTTACTTATACTTTTTTTTTTAAAAAAGTTCTTACTTTTGAACAGAAGTAAAAGAAGCAAATATATTAATATTTGTGAACCAGAAAATGTAGCTTTTGAACTGGAGAAAATATTTACAAATATGTACTGAAGCAATATTTAATAAAACATTGATATCATAGCCAATTTTATAATAAAGTCATGCTATAATCTTGATTCCATATAATAATATATTTTAGACTTTTTGTTGATATTAAATGGGCACACTCATTATAATAACTACTGTTTTCATATGTTCCAGGACCTTCATATATTTCATTACATCTGTTTATACTACATATGCAATCGGTGTTGAGCTATGTAAATCTACTTCCAATACAGATAAATCAAACAGACTATTCATGAAATAATTAAATATTTCCTTCAATAAATATTATAAAATAGCTTAGTTAGTGTTGTTTAAATGTTACTTAGATTCCATTATTTAAATAGTGTATGAAAGATGAGACTCCAGAGAGTGGGGACTTGAAGCTTTTTAAAAGTGAAAACTAGGGAATTAAAGCTTAGATTCACAATTCTTAGTTAAAAAACATCGTGCGTCCACCTGTTTGACTTTTATAAAGATGAAACATATAAAACTGAGACTCTCTCAACAATGCCCCAAGACAGTGTCATAAAGGAGATAGTGTTCCCCAGAAACTTGTGTTAAGCAGCACACTTATTTATACATAGCTTCAACACAAAGCCTTCTTATAGAGACCTCTAAATGCCAGAAGGTGAGGATAGCCACACTCTTCCTTGTTGCCTTCTTGTATTATGGTGAACTTTCCCCCCACACTGTTAGTTTATTGTTTGTGTTGAAAAGTTATCTTTAGAAATGGAAATGGGTGCAATTAATATATGTACACGCATGCATACATGTACATACATATACAAACATGTATGTACACACATAGACATGTGTAGATTGGTGTTTGTCATTTAATATTATAAATTGAGATCATGTTAAAATACAAATTTTGATTCAGTACATCTGAGGTCAAATCTGAAATTCTGGGTTTCTTAAAATCCTCCAGGGTGTGCAAATGCTGCTGGTCCACAAATATTACTTTAAAGAGCAAGACTCCAGAGAGAGTTTTGCAATTAATACTGGAATCGTAAATTGCAAAAATAGTGAAAGAGTTACTATAGCCTGAAGTTCCTCTCTGTGTTACCTTTTTCTCTCCTATCTTAATGCTATTTGGGCAGAATATAGCAAATATAAAAAGGAAAATAAAAAGTTATACATAAAACTATTCTTTAGGCTAGAATGATTCCACATAACAAGAGTTATTCATACAACAGAATCTTGCACTTGACATATTATTCCTAATTATTGTATTAATGAAAGGAGTGACTAACTTCCTGCTAGAAAATATTGCTTCTTTATAAAACCCTCTAAAGGTAATTATCTTGTAATGCAGTAAACTCTGCCTTTCAACAGGGGATAGAGCATTAATGATCAAAAAGAGAATAACTCCAAAATTTAGTCACATTGCCGAATTCTCTGAAACCTAATTCTAGTTAAGTCTGCAAAACAGATGCAAAAGATCATCAGATTGTATATGAATCCCCAAAATTTAGAGAATGAAGTCAGTATAAAGTCAGGAAATCAATTATGTCATTGGTTTTTGAAGCATTACGTTTTATGGGACTGTAAGTATCTAGACTGTGTTTGGTGGTATATTAGAGTATTAACTATTCAGCACATACCATAATTGAGTCCAGGAGAACAGCTCAAGTCTACAGTAAGAAAAGTAGCAGAAAAATTCATAAATCCTCTGCTTACATTTTCAACTGCAGGCACGGTCTTTGTTTAAGTAACAGGTTGCACATGCACAGGCCATTACTGGTGATTGATCTGTGAAACAGTTCTTGAATTTCACAAGTAGGTTTGAATTTCACCAGTTGTATTCCACATCAGGAAGTCAAGATTATTCACCACTTTCATATGCTAATACCTGTGATCAGGGCATAAAGGCCAATAAACTAGTATTAGTTCTTTGTATAAAAACATAAGCAGAAGTATAAGCCACAAATTCGCCAATTGCTCTTCCTTGCTGAGAATATTAGCTGATATTCAAAATGTATGCCCATTAAGCCTGGAAAATGGTTTCTTTCATAGCAAATTTTAGGATATTAAAATGCTCCTGTCCACGATCAACCCCAAAAGAAGGAAGTGAGCTCAGTTTTTAGGATAGCAATATTTTCTTCATTATTCTTTTATTATGGTATAGTGGAGGCTCTGAGGAAACCACACATTCAACTTAGGCAAATGAATTCTGTTTTTCTGAATCAAAAGAGGTTACAGATGTATTTTTCATAAAATTTTAGAATGAATGAGACTGTAGTATGAATGAACAGTACAGATATCTGTTCTTTCATTTTATTAAAAAATGTGGGTTTTGTTTTGCTTCTACCAAAATGGGTATCTTTATATCTCCATTGTTTGTTTTATATTTATATAAGGCTGTAAATAAAAACAACATTGTAGGATGTTTCCTATTAAAAAGCATGGAAATCTTTAATAATAAAAGCTAAGTTTTGTGGCACAAATAAAGGAAAACTTTTATTTGCTTGATTGTAAATTTGCAATTGTTCACTTCTTATTTTAAACCTCAAAATTAAATGTAAATAGAAAAATTAAATCAGATAATAGAAATTATATATTTAAAAATCTTCTTACATTATGGAGGTAGCAATATATTTTACACAGTTAACTAGTTGATTTGTTACAATTTTCTCTGATTCAAATATTTGCAATACCAATTAACATTACCTTTTCAATAAAATTGAAGACATCTATTTCCAGCTGTTTCTGCCTTTATATAGCTGTGGAATTGACCTTTTGAACTTCAAGTATTCAAATACTTTACTAGCAGATGTTTAAAGCAGAAATTGCATGTCTGGAACTGTAGAAATGCTCCTGGGGTGAAAGAGAGCTTTCTTAATTTCCTTTGAGTAATTTTTCCTAACTTTTTAACAGCTGCGTTGAAATATATTTAACAGGCCATAAAATTTATCTCTTTATTCAATTCAGTGTTTTTAGTAAATTCACAGAGTTATGCAACTTTTACTACTAAAAATTCTAAGAAATTTCAACACCTAAAAATGAAACCTCCTGCCAAATAGCAGTTATTCCACCTTTCTTTTGCAACAGTTTCCTGAAAACCAATAATCTACATTCCATCCCTAGGGATTTGTGTCACTTGGACATTTCATGTCAATAGAATCATACAATATGTGGCCTTTTATGTGTGACTTCTTTCACTTCGGATAACGTTTTCAAGGTTCATCCACATTGTAGTTTGTATCACTAAGTCTCTTTTCTGTTACCAAATAATAGGCCTTAGTATGCTTATACTACATTGTGTTTATCCATTCCTTATTTGAAGTACATTTGAATTGTTTCCACTTTTTGGTTATTATAAATAATGCCACTATAAACATTGATATGAAGTATTTGTGTGGACATATGTTTCATCCTCTTATACCTAGTAGTGGAATTGCAAGTCTTAATGAAACGAGAGAGTTCCCTGATTCCCCTTGCAGGGGTGTGCCTCGTCTTGTTCGATTGCCATGCATGCTCAAACCCCTGAAACGATGGAGAACACGCAGGCAGGCAGGTTCAGGAGCCAGGGCAAGTTTCCCTGGGCTCTGACCCCACAGCAGCATCCAGGGATGGGAGTATGTGACTCCCAAACCCAAGTGGGCACATGTTACAGTGTGCTCCTTTAGCTTTGTCATCTGTAGACAGCTTAAGTGTTAGACAGCTCAGTGGACCCTCTGCCTTTTCACAAGAGCAGAGGGCCAGTATGAAAGCATTCTTTATGTATCCTAAGCTCTTGTCCAGCATCCAGGAAAAATAAGGTCCACATGAACTTGAAGGATGAATGTGAGGGTTTTACTGAGTGGTGGAGGTGGCTCTCAGCAGGATGGATGAGGAGCAGGAAAGAGGATGGAGTGGGAAGATGATCTTCCCCTGGAGTCTGGCAGTCCAGGGGGTGATCTCCTCTCCAAACACCCCAGCTGAACTCTTCTTTGTGTTCAGACACTCCTTCATTTCCCTCTTCCATGCTGTTCTGCCATTCCTCTGCTCTTCCGTTCATCTCTTCCTCATCTGCTTCTGGAGCCTGGGGTCTGGGGTTTACATGGGTACAGGATAGAGGGGCATGGTGGGCCAAAAGGCAACTTTTGGGTGGGAAAACAAGAATGCCTTTTCCCGCTTAGGGCTGCAGGTTTCCAGGCTTGAGTGTGGGGCCTTTACAGGGAACCACACTCTTTACCCAGTATTTCCCTGTCTCCTGTCTGTATCAAAAAGTTAACATGTCTGATAGTTTGAGCAACTGCAAAACAGTTTTCCAAGGTGACTGAACAATTTACATCCCTTAGCAAGGGATGTAGTAGGAAGATGATCTTCCCCTGGTGTTTGGAGTTTGGCAGTCCAGGGGGTGATCTCCTCTCCAACCAGCCCAGCTGAACTCTTCTTGGTGTTTAGACACCAAGTATGAAGGATTTTCATAAAATTTATGAAATAATTACTATATGATCCAGCAATCGTGCTCCTGGGTATATATGCAAAAGAATTGCAATCAGGATCTGGAAAGAATAGCTGCATTCCCATGTTCATTACATCAGTATTCACGACAGCCAAGATATAGAAACAACCTAAGTATCCATTGATGGATGAATGCATAAAAACTGTGTTATATACATACTATGGAATACTATCCAGCTTTAAAAAAGAAGGTAATCCTGCCATTTGTAACTACATGGATGAAACTGGTGGGCATTATGATAAGTGAATAATCTAATCACAGAGGACAAATACTGCATGATCTCACATATATGAGTTATCCAAAATATACAAACTTACAGAAACAGAGGATACACTAATCACTGCCATCTTTGTATGAGGGTTCCAATTTTTCCATACGCTTGCCAGTATCTGTCACCATCTATGTTTTTTTTTAAATTTAAATATTGTATCCATCCTAGTGGTATGAAGTTGATATAACATTACAGTTTGGATTTGCGTTTCTTTAAAAATAATGAACATGTTTTCTTGTGCTTATTGACCTTTTATATATCCTCTTTGGAGAAATGTCTATTCAAATATTTCCCCATATTTTAATAGGGTGATTAGAGTTTTTTATCTTGAGTTGTAAGAATTCTTGATATATTTTGGATACAAGTGTCTTATCTGACATATAATTTGCAGATATTTTCTTCCATTCAGTGAGTTAACATTGCACTTCCTTGATGATGTCTTTTGAAGCACAAATATTTTTAGTTTTGATAAGGTCCAGTTCATCTATTTTTCTTTGTTGCTTGAGCTTTTGGTGCCATATCTAGGGACATTATGTAATCCAGTCATAAAAATTTACTTTTAATTTTTTTCCTAAGAGTTATATAGCATTAACTTTCATTTTATTTCATTTTGAGAGGAAATTTTATTTTCTTAATGTGGATGACATGTACAGAACCATTTTATTTTCTTTTAGTTTTGTTTTTAAATTGTCGTAAGAACACACTGCATGAAATCTATCCTCTTGACAAACTTTTAAGTGCAAAATATAATTTTGTTAACTATAAGCCCAACGTTTACTGCAAATCTCTAGAATTTACTCGTCTTGTATAACTAAAACTACATACCTGTGGAAGAGCAACTCCCTATTTCCACCTCTCCTCATCCCTTGGCAACAATTAGTGTATCCTCTGTTTCTGTAAGTTTGCATATTTTGGATAACTCATATACGTGAGATCATGCAGTATTTGTCTTCTGTGATTATTCACTTATCATAATGCCCACTAGGTTCATCCATGTAGTTACAAATGGCAGGATTACCTTCTTTTTTAAAGCTGGATAGTATTCCATTGTATGTATATAACACAGTTTTTTATGCATTCATCCATCAATGGATACTCAGGTTGTTTCTATATCTTGGTTGTTGTGAATACTGATGTAATGAACATGGGAATGCAGCTATCCATTCAAGATCCTGATTGCTATTCTTTTGCATATATACCCAGGAGTGCGATTGCTAGATCATATAGTAATTATTTCTTAAATTTTATGAAAATCCTTCATACTATTTTCCATAATGGCAGCACATTTTACATTCCCACTGACAGTGTAAAAAGGTTCCAATTTGTACACATGCTTACCAAGATTTATTTCATCTTTTTGATTATAGCCGTTCTACCAGGAGTAAGGTGGTGTCTCATTGTAGTTTACCTATGCATTTTCTTGATGATTTGCCATGTTGAGTCTCTTCTTACATACCATTTGGCCATTTGTAAGTCTTCTTTAGAGACACGTCTATTGAAATCATTTGCCCATTTTGAAATTGGGTTATTTGCATGTTTATTTGTTTTTGCTTTTGAGTTGTAGTAGTTCCTTATGTATTTTGGAGAGTAACCCTATATCAAATATATGCTGTGAAAATATTTTATCCAGTTCCACAGGTTGTTTTTTCACTCTGTTGATTGTTTTCTTCATTGTGCAGAAGCTATTCAGTTTGAAGTAATCCCTCTTCTCCTTTATTGCTTTTCTTGCCTGTGTTTTTGGTGTCATAGCCAAGAAATCATTGCCAAATTCAATGTCATTAAGCTTTACCTTAGTTTTCTTACAGAAATTTTACAGTTTCAGATTTTGCCTTTAAGTGTTTAATTCACTTCGTGTAGGTTTTTGAGTATCACATATGATAAAGGCCCAAATTTACCTTTTTGCATCTGGATATCCAGTATTTTCAACACCATTTGTTGAAAAACTACCCTTTCTCCATTGTGTTCTTGACACTTTGTCAAAGAGCATCTGGTGTTATATGTGTGAGTATATTTCTTACTTTCTATTCTGTTCTATTGGTCACTGTATCTGTTTTTAGGGCAGTGTTTTACTCTTTTAATTACTGTAGCTTTATAATATATTTTGAAATCAGGAAGTGTGATGTTTCCAACTTTGTTTTCTCTCAGAATTGCCTTGGCTATTCATAGTCTTTTTTGGTTCCATATGATTGTTTAAATTTTATTTTTAATTGATAAATAGTAATTATATATTTGTGGGATACAATGTGATGTTTTGATATATGCTTACAATGCAGAATGATTAAATCATGCTAATTGACAAGCTTATGATGTCCTATACTTATTTTTTGTGGTGAAAACACACAAAATCTACTCTTTTAGCAATCTGAAATATATAATGCATTATTATATATTACAGTTAACCTTCTATGCAATAGAGTGCTAGAGCTTATTCCTCCTCTCTAGCTGAAACTTTGTATGCTTTGATCAGCATCTCACCTTTCTTCATCCACTCCCCTCCCTCTGCCTCTTATAACCACCATTCTACTCTCTACATCTATGAGTTCAACTTTTATAGATTTCACATATAAATAACATCATTTGGTATTTATCTTTTTGTGCCTGTTTTGTTTCACTTAACATAATGTCCTCCAGGTTTATCCATGTTGTCACAAGTGACAGGATTTCCCCTAATTTGAAAGATGGATAGTATTCCACTGTGTATATACCATATAGATAAAGAAAATAAATATTTTCTTTATCCACTCATCTGATGATGGTCACCTAGGTTGCTTCTATTTCATAAAAATTCTAAATTTATTTTTTCATTTATAAAAAATGCCATTGAGATCTGATAGAAAATCTGAACAGACAAATAAGTAATAAAATTAAATCAGTAATCAAAAACTTCCAAAAAAGGGAAGCCTAGGACAAGAGGGCTTCATTGGTGAATTATATCAAAAACTTGAAAGATTTAACACCAATCCTTCGTAAATTCCTTCAAAACATTGAAGAAAAAGGAACACTTTCAACCTGACTTTTTAAGGTCAGCATTACCCGATACTGAATCCAGATCAGATGCTAAAAAAAAAAGAAGAAAAATAGAGGCCAATATCCCTAATGAACATATATGCAAAATTCCTCAACAAAATACTAGCAAACAAAATTTAACAGCATGTTAAAAGAATCAGTTACACGCCAGGACCAAGTGGGATTTATGCCTGTCATGCAAGGATAGTCCAATATATGCAAGTCAATTAATGTGATACACTAAATTAAGAAGTGAAAGAAAAGATTACATGATCATTTCAGTGGATGCAGGAAAAGCATTGGACAAAATTCAACACTCATGATTAAAAACTTTTAACAAACTAGGTATAAAAGAATTTAGTCAACATAATAAAGGCCACATATGAATTTTTCACAGCTAACATTATACTCAATGATGAAATACTGAAAGCTTTTCTCTAAAATCAGGAAAAAGGCAAGGATGCCTTCACTTATCACTTTTATTCAACAAAGTACTGAAAGTCCTAGACAGAGCAATTAGGCAAGAAAAAGAAATAAAAGTCATCAAAATTGGAAAAGAATCAGTAAAATTATCTGTCTGCAGATGACATTATTTTATATATATAAAATCCTAAAAACTATATACATAGACAGATCCCCACAACTCTCAGAACCTATAAATAAATTCAATAAAATTGCAGGACACAAAATTAATATTTAAAAACTAGGTACATTTTTATACACTAACAACAAATATCCAAAGTAAGAAATTAAGAAAATAATCCTATTTACAATAAAGTAAAAAAGGATAAGGTACTTAGGAATAAATTTAACCAAAGAAGTGAAAGATCTGTACATTAAAAACCTAGAAAACATTAATGAAAAAAATTAGCTTTTAAATTTAGGTCTCTGCTTTGAATTAATTTTTATGTAAGGTATGAGGTAGAAGTCAATCTTCTTTTTTTCTTTGTATATTGATTACTGTTCCAGCACAATTTTGTAAAAAAGATTAATCATTATCCATTAAATTTTTATGGCATCCTTGTTGAAAAGCAATTGACCATAAATATAGGGGTTTGGTATATATTTTCCTGAACTCTCAATTCTCTTCTACTGTCCCTATGCCAGTACCACACTGTCTTGATTCCAGTAGACTTTTAGTCTTTAAAATCAGTGTGATTCTTCTAATTTTGTTCTTCTCAAGAATGTTTTCACTATTTTTGTTCCCTTGTATTTTGTTATAAATTTTAGGATCAACTTTTGAATTCCTGCAAAGGAGTCTTCTGGTGTTTTAAGATGATTTATGTTGATCTGTAGATCAATTTGTTCAGTATTGCAATCTTTATAATATTAAGTCTTTCTATTCATCGTATGAGATGTATTTCCATTTATTTAGGTTTCCAAAATATCTTTGCACAATATTTTGCAGTTTTCAGAGTATATATTTTGTACTTCATTTGTTAAATTTATTCATATTTTATTCTTTTTGATATTATTGTGAATGTAGTTATTTTAAATGTCATTTTGTATATTTATGTTATATCCTGAAGCCTTGGTGAATGCATTTATTCATTTGAAAACTTCAGTGGATTCCTCTTATTTACCATATGCATTATCATGCCATCTGTAAAGAGGAATAGATTCCTTTCCAATGTAGATTACTTTTATTTCTTCTTTCCTGATTGTCCTGCCTAGAACCTCCAGTACAACATAAAATAGTAGAAAGCACAGGCATCCTTGTCTTGTTTGTAATCTTATATGAAAAGATTCAAGTCTTCCATCAATAAGTATGAAGTTAAATTTAAGTTATATGTTGATAGTCTTCATCAGGTTTAGGAAGCTCATTTTTCCCAGCTTATTAAATGTTTTTTATCAAGAAATGTTTTTTACCTCATGATTGTACTGTGTCTATTTAGCTGTTTTGTGAATTTTTTTTTTTTTTTTTTTTGAGATGGAGTCTTGCTCTGTCACCCAGACTGGAGTGCAGTGGTGGGATCTCTGCTTACTGCAACCTCCATCCCCTACGTTAAAGCAATTCTCCCACCTCAGCCTCCTGAGTAGTTGGAATTACAGGTGTGTGCTACCACATCCTGCTAATTTTTGTATTTTAAGTAGAGATAGTTTTTTGCCATGTTGGCTGGTTTCAAACTCATCATCTCAAGTTACCCACACACCTTGGCCTCCCAAAGTGCTGGGATTACAGGCACAAGCCACCGCTACCGGCCTAGATGTTTTGTGACTTTTCTCCTTTATTCTCTTGAACATATTAATAAATAATAAAATATAAAATAACAAAATTATGAATACTTAAATGAATAAAATAATATATAAAATAAAACTATGTTACTTTGATTTTCTTTTTTTTTTTTTTTGGAGTAAGGATCTCACTGTTTTACCCTGTCCCCACGACTAAAATACAGTGACCCATAATCATGGGTCACTACAGCCTTAAACTGCTGGGATCAAGCAATCTTCCTGCTTCAGCCTCCTCGGTAGCTGGAACTACAGACATGTGCCACCACACCCAGCTCCTTTGATTGATTGTCATATAGTAAGTTAACCTTGCATTCCTGGATGAAATATTACTTAGTCGTAACTCCATGACCAGTGCTTTTTAAATACTGATGAATTCAGTTTGCCAATATACTGTTTAGGATTTTTGGATCTATATTTATAAGGGATATTAGTCAGCTTTTTCTCTGTGATGTCTTTTATGTATACATACAGGTAACACTGGCTTCATAAAATAAGTTGGGATCTATTCCCTTTCTCCTGATTCTTGAAAGAGTTTGTCAAGTATTGGTATTAATTTTTCTTCAGATGCTTGGTAGAATTCACCAATAAAGTAATGTAGGATTGTTTTTTATTTTAATGAAAAGACTTTACTTTTTAAAGGATATTAGATTTACAGACAAACTGACCAGAAAGTTAAAAGAATTTCCATACACACCCTGCCCCCATACACCCAGAGCCTCCCCAGATATCAGCATTCCATACCAGATGGTATATTTGCTACAACTGATAAAGCTACATTGACACATCATTATTGCGTAAGTCCAGTTTACATTAGGGTTCACTTTTTGTCTTATATATTTCTATAGGTTTCAACACATATATATAAACTTATTTCTTTTCAGTTTGTAAATGTTTTATTTTATTTTCTTATCTTTCATTAACTAGGACAATCAGTATGATATTGAAAAGGAGTTGGGGAAGAGGACATTCTTCCCATGTTCCTAATCTTAATGAGAAACTCTTTTTTCTAACTATTAATTATGATGTTAACTAGTCTTTTTGTAGATAGTCTTTGTCAAGTTGAGGAAGTCCCCTTCTATTCCCAGTTTACTCAGTGCTTTTTAAAAAAATCATGAATAAGTGTTAAATTTTGTCAAATGCTTATTCTGCATCTGTTGATATGTTCATATGATTTTTCTTCTTTAGCCTGCTGCTATAATGGATTATATGAATTGATTTTTGTATGTTAATTCTGCTTTGCACAACTGTAGTAGATCCCATTTGGTTGTTGTATATAGTTCTTTTTCTACATTGCTGGAATTGATTTGCTAATATTTTGTTTAGCATATACATGTGTGTATATATACGTTAATGACTTGATAGTGGTCTGTAGTTTTCCATTCTTGTAATGTCTGTCTGGTTTGAGTATTAAGGTAATGTCAGCCTTATGGAATGAGTTAGTATGTGTTACCCCTTCTTTTATCTGCTGGAAGAAATTGTAGAGAATTAATAAAATTTTGTGGAATTAAAATAAATCTCACAGCTCCAAAAGCACTAAGCTAAAGGGAAAAGTCAAGCTGGGAACTGCTAGGGCAAACCTGCCTCCCCTTCTATTCAAAGTAATCCCTCTGCTCATTGTGACAAATGCATATTTGATTGCCTGGTTTGGAAAGGCTAATCAGAAACTCAAAAGAATGAGATAATTTGGCTCTTATCTACCTATGACCTGGAAGCCTCTTCCCAACTTCCAGTTGTCCTGCCTTTGCTTCACGTTGTCCTGCCTTTCTGGACTGAACCAATGTTCATCTTACATATGTTAATTGATTAATTGATGTTGCATGTCTCCCCAAAATGTATAAAACCAAGCTGTGCTCGAAACACCTTGGGCACATGTCGTCAGGACCTCCTGATTCTGCGTCACAGGCGCGTCCTTAATTTTGCCAAAATAAACTTCCAAAATTGACAGACCTGTCTCAGATTTTGAGGGTTGACAATTTCTTTCTTAAATATTTGATATAACTTATCAAAGAACACACCAAGGCCTGGTGGTTTCTGTTTTGAAAAGTTGTTAAATATTGATTCAATTTGTTTAAGAGACATAGGCCTATTCGGTTGGTCTGTTTCTTCTTATGTGAGTTTTAGTAAATTGTTTATTTCAAAGAATTGGCCCATTACATCTCAGTTGTGAAATCTGTGGCATAGAGTTGTTCATACTATTTTATTATTCTTTTAATGTCCATGGAATTTGGAATCATGTCCTATCTTTCATTTCTGATATTAGTAATTTGTATCCCTTCTCTTTTTTCATACTTAAGCTAACTTTTTGACCTTTTTAAAACACCAGCTTTTCATTTTATTGATTGATATTTTGTGTCCAATTTCATTCCTTATTGTCTAATTTTTATAATTTTTATTATTTTGCATTTAATTTACTCTTTTTCTAGTTTCAGGTAAAAGCTTAGATTATTGATTTTAGTTGTTTCTTCTTTTCTTATATATGCATTCAATGCTATAAATTTCCCTTTAAGCATTCTTTTCACAGCATCTCACACATTTTGACAAGTTGTATTTTCATTTTCATTGAGTTCGAAATATTTTAAAATTTCTCTTAAAATTTCTTTTTTACTCAGGTAGTATTTATTTTAAAATATGTTGTTTAATCGCCACACTTTGGGGATTTTTCAGCCATATCTCAGTTATTGAGTTCTAACTTAATTCCAATGTGGTGAGTGTATAGATTTCGTAACTTTTGTTATTTTAAATTTGTTTAATTGTGTTTTATTATGTAGAGTTTGGTCTGTCTTAGTGAATGTTCTATGTGAGCTTGAGAAGAATTTTTATTCTACTGTTGTTGCATGAAGTAGTCTACAGATGTCAACTATATAACCTCAAGCTCAGTCTTTCCTCAGCTGTGTCCAGTCTACGAATAAGCCCCTCAATGACATTATTTATTTCTGATACATGGCTTTTAATCTGTAATATTTCTTGCTAATCCCTTCTTAGAATTTCAATATCTCTGCTTATTTTGCCCATCTCTTCTTGCACGTTGTCTATGTTTTGCATTAGAGTCCTTATCAAATCAATCATACATGTTTTAAATTCCTTGTCTGATTATTCCAACATCCCTACCATATCTGACTCTGGTTCTGATGCTTGCTTTATCTCTTCAAACTCTATCTTTTTGTGACATAACAGTTCATCTGAATTTTTAACTCTCAACTTGTCCACAGTGAGCCTCCAGCAATTCATCAATTACAGTTCAGATTTTTCTACTTCAATACTGGTTTCCTGGAAAATTTTTCCTCCTGGGTTTCTGATAACAGAAAATGTGATGCTCCATCCATCTCCTCTATGTTTAGAGCAGTGATTTGCCACTACCTCAGTTCTCTACTTACCTAAAAAGAGTTTAACATTGATTTTTTTAGTTTATTTAGCTTTTTTACTTATTCCAACATATGTGTGCATGTGTCTTTATAGTAGAATGATTTATATTCCTTGGGTATATACCCAGTAATGGGATTGCTAGGTCAAATGGTATTTCTGGTTCTAGGTCCTTGAGGAATTGCCATACTGTCTTCCACAATGGTTTAACTAATTTACGTTTTCACCGACAGCGTAAAAGCATTCCTATTTCTCCACAGCCTTTTCAGCATCTATTGCTTCTTGAGTTTTTAATAATCACCATTCTGACTGGCATGAGATGGTATCTCATTGTGGTTTTGATTTGCATGATGCTAGCTGGTTATTTTGCACACTATTTGATGCAATTTCTTCACAGTGTCATTGGTCTTTATATTTTGGTATGTTTTTGCAGTGGCTGGTACTGGTTTTTCCTTTCCATATTTAGTGCTTCCTTCAGGAGCTCTTGCAAGGCAAGCCTGGTGGTGACAAAATCCCTTAGCACTTGCTTGTCTGGAAAGGAATTTATTTCTCCTGTTTATGAAGCTTAGTTTGGCTGGATATGAAATTCTGGGTTGAAAATCCTTTCCTTTAAGAATGTTAAATATTGGCCCCCACTCTCTTCTGGCTTGTGGTGTTTCTGCAGAGAGATTCCCTGGTAGTCTGATAGGCTTCCCTTGTAGGTGATCTGACCTTTCTCTCTGGCTGCCCTTAACATTTTTTTCCTTCATTTCGACCTTTGAGAATCTGAGGATTATGTGTCTTGGGGTTGATCTTCTCATGGAGTATCTTAATGGTGTTCTCCATATTTCCCGAATTTGAATTTTGGCCTGTCTTGCTACGTTAGAAAAGCTCTCCTGGATAATATCCTGAAGTGTGTTTTCCAACTTAGTTCCATTCTCCTTGTCTCTTTCAGGTATTCCAATCAATTGTAGGCTCAGTCTTTTCACATAGTCCTGTATTTCTTGGAGGCTTTGTTTGTTCCTTTTCATTGTTTTTTTTCTCTAATCTCATCTGCATGCCTTATTTCAGTAAGACATTCTTCAAACTCTGAAAGCCTTTCTTCCGCTTGGTCAGTTTGGCTATTGATACTTGTGTATGCCTCACGAAGTTCTCGTGCTGTGTTTTTCAGCTCCATCAGGTCATTTATGTTCCTCTTTAAACTGGTTATTCTAGTTAACAGTTCCTGTAACCTTTTATCAAGGTCCTTAGCTTCTTTGCATTGGGTTAAAACATGCTTCTTCGGCTCAGAGAAGTTTGTTATTACCCACCTTCTGAAGCCAACTTCTGTCAGTTCGTCAATCTCATTCTCCATTGAGGTTTGTGGCCTTGCTGGAAAGGTGTTGTGATCATTTGGAGAAGAGGCATTCTGGATTTTGGAATTTTCAGTATTTTTGCACTGGTTTTTCCTCATCTTTGTGGATTTATCTACCTTTGATCTTTGAGGCTGATGACCTTTGGGTGGGGTTCTTATTGGGGCGTTATTTGTTGTTGTTGTTGTTGTTGCTTTCTGTTTGTTAGTCTTTCTTCTAACAGTCAGGCCCCTCTTCTGCAGGTCTGCTGCAGTTTGCTGGAGGTCTACTCCAGACCTTGTTTGCCTCGGTGTCACCAGTGGAGGCTGCAGAACAGCAAAGATTGCTGCCCGCTTCTTCCTCTAGAAGCTTCATCCCAGAAAGGCACCAGCCTGATGCCAGCCAGAGCTCTCCTGTATGAGGTGTCTGTCAACCCCTGTTGGGAGGTCTCTCCCAGTCAGGAGGCACAGGGGTCAGGGACCCACTTAAGGAGGCAGTCTGTCCCTTAGAACTGGTGTACTGTGCTGGGAGAATCCCCCTTGTCAGGATCAGCCACTCTCTCCAGAGCTGGCAGGCAGGAAGATTAAATCTACTGAAGCTGTGACCCCAGCTGCCCCTCCCCCCAGGTGCTCTGTCCCAGGGAGATTAGAGTTTTGTCTGTAAGCCCCTGACTGGAGCTGCTGGATTTCCTGCAGAGATGCCCTGCCCAGTGAGGAGGAATCTAGAGAAGCAGTCTGGCCACAGCCTCTTTGCTGCGCTGCAAGGTCCAAACCTCCCAGTCTCCTTAGCACTGTCAGGGGAAAACAGCCTCCTAAAACTACAATAATGGCGGTATCCCCTTCCCCCACCAAACTCAATCGTCCCAGATAGACTCCAGACTGCTGTGCTGGCGGTGAGAATTTGAAGCCAGTGGTTCTTAGCTTGCTGGGTTCTGTTGGAGTGGGACCTGCTAGGCGAGACTACTTGGCTCCCTGGCTTTAGCCTCCTTTCCAGGAGAGTGGACGGTTCTCCTTTCTCACTGGAGTTTTAGGTGCCACTGGAGTATTAAAAAAACTCCTGCAGCACAGTGTCTGCCCAAACAGCCACCCAGTTTTGTGTTTGAAACCCAGAGCCCTGGTGGCATAGGCTCACAAGGGAATCTCCTGATCTGTGGATTTCAAAAATCCATGGGAAAAGCATAGTGCCCGGGTTGAGTAGCACAGTCTCTCACCGCTTCCCTTGGATCCATGCACTTCCAGGTGAAGCAACACCTCACCCTGCTTCTGCTCACTCTCTGTAGTCTGCACCCACTGTCTAATCAGTCCCAATGAGATGAACTGGGTACCTCAGTTGGAAATGCAGACATCACCTGCCTTCTCTGTTGGTCTTGCTGGGATCTGCAGACCGGAGCTGTTTCTATTTGGCCATCTTGGCCCCTCCCCCTTTCTTTACCTAGTCTACCATTGATAGGCATTTACGTTGATTCCATATTTTTGCTATTGTGAATAGTGCTGCAGTGAACATCCATGTGCATGTGTCTTTATAATAGAATGATTTATATTTCCTTGAGTATGTACCCAGTAATGGGACGGCTGAGTCAAACGGTATTTCTGTCTTTAGGCCTTTAAGGAATCACCACACTGTCTTCCACAATGATTGAACCAATTTACACTAATTTACACTCCCACCAACAGTGTATAAGCGCTCCTTTTTCTCCACAACTTCACCAGTGTCTGTTATTTTTTGGCCTTTAATAATAGCCATCTGACTGGTGTGAGGTGGTATCTCATTGTGGTTTTGATTTGCATTTCTCTAACGATCAGTGATGTTGAGCTTTTATTCATACGATTGTTGGCCGCATGTATGTATTCTTTTGAAAAGTATCTGTTGATATCCTTTGCCCACTTTTTTATAGTGTTGTTTCTTTTTCTTGCAAATTTGTTTAAGTTCCTTATAGATGCTGGATATTAGACCTTTGTTAGATGCATAGTCTGCAAACATTTTCTTCCATTCTGTAGGTTTTCTGTTTATCATGTTGATAGTTTCTTAGCAACAGGATATTACTCAGCCTTAAAAAAGGAGGAAATCCTGTTATATGCTACAACATGAATGAACCTTGATAATATCATGTTTAATGAAATAAGCCAGTCACACACAAAAAAATGCTGCATGATTCCCTTATTCCAGTATCTAAAGTAGTCAAACTTTTAGAAACATAATGCAGAGTGGTAGCTGCCAGGGGCATGTGGGGAGGCTAAATGGAAGTTTTTTCCAATGAGTATAGTGTTTCAGTTTTGCTAGTTGAAGTTCTAGAGATCTGTTGCATAACAAGGTACATATAATTAACACTGTTTTACTCTATATCTAAAATTGTTAAGGCAATAAATTTTATGTTTTTAAAATATTTTACCATAACTTTTTCAAAAAGTGAAAAGCAGTAATCTATTGTCATACATAAAACTAGTCATCAGTTAAATTTACTTGGGGAAAATGAGGAAAATACATATTAACCACTAAGAGTTGGATTATTGTCTCAAATTAAAAGAATGATCTCTTCATTTGTAACTATATTCTACTGTTGAAAAAATGGAAAAATAGCAAACACTATAAAACAATGAAAGAGGTAGAATGCCATATAAAGTCAAATTAAAGGTCATACAGGTTAAAAATAGTCAATGAAGTATACAGTATGTCTTACTTTTTTTGTGTACTTAATAGAGTGAAACTTGAATTTTATAAGTTTACATACATTATTTTTTATTTCACTCTAATTTCTTGCTAGCAAAAAGATTAGTGGCAATTATTTAGAAAATATGAGCATGTTTTTCCACTGATGATTTTTCACTTAGTTTAGCTCAAAGTGGATATTTGAAGGATTTTTTAAATTTAATGCTTCATTGTTCCCTAAAATAATACGAAGATACAGAAAGAATTGAAAAAGGTAATCTAAACCATGAATGTGCAAAAAAACCACTAGATTTAAATTAATAGCATACTTAGTTATAAAATGACATATATGAATTTTAATAGGATACAAACTCATTAAAATTCTTTAAGACTTGAGTAATATTCAGTGGATAGGCCTTCAATGTTCTATTTCATCAGGGCTAGGAAGATAGGATGAGATAGGAAATATATGGAAAATTCCACTGTTTTAATTTTTATCTCATTTGACTTCTTTTTTGTCCCTATTTAATCTGTTCATCATCTGTAAGTTTTTTGAGTTTTTCTATGACTAGCATTAGAAATTAACATGTAAGAGTGTATTCTATTTCTCTGGAATAACAAAACTAAAATTTCTTTGACCTCAAAGTATTTTAAAGTTAATTTTTACACTTAGTGAAAAGAGACAATCAAACCTTTAGCTTTTCAAACTGTTGAATACACTTAACTTGATGTACTATGTAATACTACTATAACTTTAAAATTTTTTGACATTAAAAAATCTTATGTTCATTTTAAAAAATATATTCTTGAAGTAAAGTAGATTCAGGCTCTGTGAATTTTTTTTTTTAACAACCATTGATTAATGCCTTCTGAAGAGTGCAAAGTAACATTTTTAGGACTATATAAGAGGAGTAAAGAGTGAGGGAATTCCAGTAAGAGGCTAGATGGAGAAAGAAGATAAAAGAAAATTATATTGTCTCAACTTTTATTGTTGTATTAAATTTTTTGTGTTCTTTAAAATATATTTACATCACTAGTAAATGTGATTTGGTCTTTTCTTCTATCTTTACTGAAGGAATTGAATGAGAAAATCTACTTGCCACCCATGAAATCATATTTTCTCTAAGGTAAACCTGCCTTAGTTATTTTCTGTGCCATTGACAGAGGCATGGTTATATATAGAGGTCAGCCCCCTTACACTTCATCCTCTTTCTATTACCATTGCTTTCCTTTCCTCTCCCTCTGTCCCAGCTTTCTTCATCCAAGGGAATTGGAGCTGATATTTTGATACCATTTTCTCTTTCTGGAAGGAAAGGCTAGTAGTTGAAGAATTCTAAATCTTGGGTATTAAGATAAACATGATATGATTATTAAATATTTCAGGGAAATATGATCAAATTCGTGGTAATTATAATTGTTAGACTACTAACAAGGCAAGAAGGGAAAACCATAAAAACTTGACTACATTACTACTCAAACATCTGAAAACTTATATAATTTATTCAGTATTGTAATTATGCACTCAAATAAATGTTTCAGGTAAACTTTAAATTTAAAAACTTACAATAGTAAATTCCACAAACTTACTTGTCAATTTTCAGAATTTTTGGTTCTCGTATCATGTCTATTATCTACTACTAGTTTAGAAGTACCATTGTTGTTCTTATCATTATTATCCATTATCATTAACATCCGTCTCCACTCCCATATCTGGCTTTGTCATTATGTATTTCCTTAGGGGAGTTCATCTAAATACTAGACTAGAGTTACTCTTGGATCATTTATCACAGTTTTTAGTGCTAGCATCTCTCATTCCTTCGCTTCCTTTCTTCCTTTTTAATATCAACATCTGTTGATGCTAAGTTCCTGACTGAATGACTAGACTTTGAACCTATCACTTTTTTTCTTGTATATGCATCCTTTTGTTCTTGACTGTCGAACAGAATTTTTGATCTTCTGCTTTAACTTAGCCTTATTTTTGATATATGCCTTGATTCTAATTTCCTTACATACTTCTGGTTCAAATCATTTTTTTTCAGAAATTAAGTCTTTCCTAATTTCTCAAGGATTTCTCAATTCTTCTTGTCTGAAAAGCTTACTTGGCAGTCCCTGCTGATAAAATGCACTGTATTAAGTGCCTACTGTGTGCCCACTAGTGAGATAAGTGAGAGATATATAAAAATCAAAAGTCCACAGTATTCTGCTGCCACCGTCTGCATGATAAACTCATTGATTCCAGTGAGCTGTGTGTTTGGTAACAGATTTCATCATTTCAATAGTGCCAAGTGTCTTATGCTTCTACTTACCAACAAACCAGTTTTTCTTTACTATATGCTAGCAATAATTGTTTTCAGTGTCAATCACTTTATCCTGAATCACTAAATACATGGTATTGTTATTACTATAATTATTGCTATTATTGCTATCATATGTCATTCTGAATGCAGAGGGGAATTCTGAAGAAGGAATATTTTGAAAAGAATAGTACTGACACTTTCACTAAAGGGAAATGAATTATGCTAAATGTGAGTCAGAAATTTTGAGTCACACAAAAGGGAACAAATTGTGTGTACCTTGTTAGAAAAATTGCTGGTAATTATAGTATCATTCCTTTTCCTGGATGCCTCAGAATCATAAGATTCATAAGATGAACTTGTTAGAACTCCTTGGATATATTGTCCTTTCCTTGTTAGTATCATTGTACATATGGAGACCAGCTTAAATTGAACAGATCAGAGTAAACGGCAACCAGTCACGTACAAAACCTGACCCTACACCTTTAAGTTTTCACTCAAGCTCTGAGTCCACTCAGACCCACAATACCTGAAGAGAACTTCATCTGAGGTTGTAATATTTTGCAATTTGACAAGGTACACACTCTCTAGGAACACAACTTTCAATTAAGACCTTTATACTTGATAATATGAAGATGATAGCAAGAGTAAGAGAGCGAGAGAGTGAGAGAGAGAGAGAGAAAAAAGCATATTAACTTCTAGGTGTTTTTAGGAACATTTTATGGCTCACCCGGTACTAATTATAATATGATTTTGAATGTGTTAAGTTAACATTTCATGAAGTCCTTTTCATATGCCAGCGTTAGCAGGTCTTATTTTTGCTTCCTGCATATTTTCAGGCACTGAGATAAGTAGTTCATATTGCTTCTTTTCCTTTTATAACTTTTTAAATATGTGTGCACTCAAACATTACTTCTTAACTGGATCCGTATCTCTCCCCTTCACTCTTTAAACTCAGATATTTTAATTGTACCATTTCCAATATATTTAAAATACAAATAGCATATGAAATGTGTCAGTATTCACATTGAATTTATAAATAAGTCTGGTCACAGTCAAATAATTTCACACATTGCCCAGCATAAACGTCAATTTAAAATATGAGGCTCATAAATAAAATGAAAACTGTTACCCGGCAGATCTAAAAACAGTGATAATGTCAGAGTTAATCTTTGCACCAGCTCATGGTCTTCCTACACACACTTTGAATGTGAACCCCTAAATACCAAGGGTACTGCATAATTAATCTTACTATGCTACCTCATTTGCAAATTTAAATTGGGAAAGCATCATCATGTACCTGAATGGAATTTAACCTTATAGAAAAGAAGATAATTGTGTATTTGTAAAGGATGTCAAAACAACATGAGATGGTGCATTTTTATTGACAAATAAACAAGCCTGTTTTAAAAAAGTCTTCTGCAGAGCCTGACAAATATCACAGAAGCATAACTACAGCCTACTGCCTCTTCCTTGCAGTATAACCACAGTCTACTGACTCTTTTCAAGGATTGAGAAGCAGTTCTGGTAGATCACAACTTTGAACCAAACCATTTTGAAACTTGGCCATTCAATGTACAAAGTATAGGAAACACAAGTAGAAAACAAGGCTATTTCAATGAATGTTTAGTGTACAAAGGGATCTGTACAGTAAGTATGTATTTCCAAGAAGAAAACACTGTTTCAGATTCTCCCTTTTATTGCTATCGCGAGGTTGGCATTACCTATGCAGGAACAAGTAGAACAATTTTTAATATACTGATGAGGAGTTGCTTATGTGCCAACTCTCAGTGGCACCATATAATAGTTGTCCATATTATTATTTCTTTATCAAAACAATCTTTTATTTTTGTTGATGTTTTTTATTTATTTCTATGAGAGCTTGATTTTATAAATTACACCAGTAGTGAATTTTCCACCTGCAGTCTCTCCAGTGCTCTCGCAGAAGGGCTATATTTTTTAATTATTTGGAAGTGTATGAATGTTTCTCTTTCCACTTTGTACATGAATTCTAGCTTGATTATTTGCAACAATTTTTTGGTCATGTAGATTTCCAAAGCCATTCTGATGTTAGCAGCTGCAGAAATAATGTTTTGTTGTTTTTGGTGGTGGTAGCATTTCTTCTCTCTTATTTAGAGACTTACATAACAATTATTTTCTTAAATTGTAGAATTTCACTAGAACTTTTTTCTTAAAAGACATAAATTATCAGTTTTTCCTAGACTGTTATAGCCCCTTTCCAAAATATCACACTGTGACTCCTCCTCTAAGTTCCAATTATTTTTATTACTCAATACCCTTATCTGTAAAATGATGATGTTGCACTTACTTTACAGGTTTGTTAGAATTAAATGAGCTAATATATGTAAGACACTTAGGATGGTAAGTAATTTAACTGTTTATTACTTTTTGTTATTATAGTTTTTTCTGTTTCTTGCCACTTCTCTTTAGCAATTTACTATAAATGCATGATGAATTTTAATGTTCTCTCCTATGTGTTTGTAATCTTTTGTCATTTATTGGATTTCCATGAGCCAGATACTAGGCATTTTGCATAAATTTTTAGTTGCATTTTCCCTATGACCATGTCAAGTAGGTTTTAATTTTAATTTTACTGAGAAAGGAAATTTTGAGACTTGGAGACATCAGATAACTTGCCTGTGGTCAAATGGTTAGTAAGGGGCAGAGTTAGAACTCAAATTAGGGTACAGCTGACCTCATAGGCTGGGTTCTAGATTCTAAATTTATATTTTACCATCATGCTATTCTTCTGTAGTAAATATATATATATACATGCATATATATATACACACACATATATATATACATACAGGGCAGACATATATGTATATACATGTTAACACAATAGCTAAAGACATACATATATATATTTACCTATATACATACATATATATACATACACAAACATACAAGGTAAAAATATTGTGCATATACGCATACACATACATATATGTACATATATGTATATAAACATACATATATATCTACCTTGTATGTACATATATATGTATTGTGTGTATATATATGTAAGTATGTATATATATTGACTACAGAAGAATAGCACGATGGAAAAACACAAACTTAGAATCTAGAACCCAGCCTATGAGGTCAGCAGTACCTTAATTTGAATTGTAACTCTGCCTGCCCCTTACTAACCATTTGACCACAGGCAAGTTATTTGATGTCTCCAAGCTTCAAAATTTATGCACATACACACATTAGACTCAAGAATATACACCTTGAGTTTATTTTCTGTTTCACTGACCTAGATTTCTTCAGGGTTGGCTTCACTACACAGCATTTTACTGATGATCATATCATTTTTGTTCCATAAATAAAAAAGTCTCTATCTGTTTTTGTGCCATGGAAACAATGTTGTCGTTTGTTCTTTCCAGAGAATGAATGGTAGCTATTTTCTAAAATCTTGCTTTTCACCACTGTTACCAAAAAGATGTCATTAATTTTTCCCCTGTCTTTGAGTTTTTATATTGCTGAATATGTTCATCAGTAATGCTAAATTTTGTTTCTCCTGCTCTCTCAAGCTTCCTTGAAAATAGGCTCTCTGCAACATAGTTCTATAATTCGGTCTTTGGTGATACTCCATGACAGCAAGAGCCCTCAGTGCTAATTCTGGGTGAAAAGACTAAACCCACTTGACATATTTTTAGAAGTACAAGTTCAGGCTGATTCTGTAATTAGTGAGGAAGGTTCAAGGTAGGAGCAGAGTCACAGTGATCCAGCCTCCAACTAATGACAAAAGCTCAAATCCAGTCAGCTAGGCAATGATCATCAATAGCATTTGGCCTGGATTCGGTGTTAAGGACTATGAGGGGATCCAGGGCATTTAGTTCCTTGGATTTTCACAGATTTGATTTTCAACAAATTCTTCTCCTAAGATTTGAGATTAGACCAAAATGTTCTTCTAGAATCACTAGGGTTGTGGCCATACAGACTATGCAGATAATACTTGATTGATCCTATATGATCAATTCTAAAAATTGTAGGGATTGTTAAAGCAATTTAGACCTGGGAACACTGATCTCAAAATCATCTAAGGGGTGCTTCTACAAATCAAAATTTCTTAAGCTCAAGCTAAAAAAACCTTCTGAACTTGCCCCCAGTAACTCTACTGCACAGTGGAATCTGAGAAAAAAAATCTCTTCTTTAAGAACATGGAATATACTAAATGATTTTTTCTCTGGGGATATAATTCATTCAAAGGTTTACCAAGTTGACAAAAAAACAGAAATTCTACTCTTTCTATATTCCAAGAAATCTCAACAAAAAGATTTTATAGTAAAATGTTGTGAAATTTAAGAACATAATGTTCAATACCTAATGGGGGATCTTATCATGTGCCAGTAATAATCCTTTGTAGGAATAAACTGAACTCTCTGATCTCACTCACAGGAATTTGCTTCTCTCAGTGTTTCCTTTAGTAAGCCAAGTTGACAAGAGAAAATGGAGAGCTAAAAGAGTTGTTAAACTTTTTGCCATATTCATTTATCATCCAAACAATAGAAAGCAATTAAGATCTTCAGAAGTTTAAAAAAAATGACCTATCGGAATCTTAAGAGCATCTTCAAGAAGGTGTCCTTTTATTTGGAAATGTAATTATATTGCGTCTGATAACATTTTTTAAAAGTATCTTTCTTGAATAAGTAATTTGAATATAAAACTCTATTATAGAATGATTTCCACAATTTGAAAGGTATGTATGTATTTTTTTAGCTATTGTGTTAACTAATAATCTCACTGGAAATTAAGGGACTTGTTTCAACACTCCTAATTCTAGGAAATATACATATGTGTGTGTATACACACATATATAATGTAATATTATTAGAGAATAATTTATAATGTTTATAGAACATCGTGTAGAAAAATGAAAACAAAATTAATATCCTGTTTCTGAATTTATGTTTCAATTAAAGAACAAAAATATGAGCAGTTTGGAAATGATTAAAACATTTACATAGAGTCTTATATGATTTTTTAATACAAATTTAAACTTGGCTGCTCAATAAAAGATAGTATAGTGTATTAGGAAGAGCAGTTTGCTAGGAGTCAGACAACATGAGTCCTTGTCTCACTCTATCACCCAAGCAAAAGGCCTGAGGCAAGTCACTTTGTATTCTAGTGTTAAATTAAGAAACTTTTAATTATAACTTCTAGGGCTAAAATCAGTTTAAAACTGAAGATTCTCTCATTCTAACTCTGCTTTCCGACTGTGAGAGGCCAGGTAACTTTTTTACTTAGCGAGGAAATGCACATTGCGTAACAACAAAGATACGTACATTAAATGTGCAAGAAAACTAATTACAAATATCATATCCCATTAAGATTATTCACCTAAACTTTTAAAAGCACTTTGTATAGTTCTTCTTAAATGTCACATGTTTACAGATTTGACTAATGTCTTAAATTAAAAAAATAAAGTAAAAGTTTTCTTGCTATGTTTGGTATAGCTTATGATGTTTGACATTTATTGTTACACAGTACAGAGGTGCCTTCATTGTTTTTTGGTAGCATTGTCCCCAAAGTACACTATTAAAAATTTCAAACATTCATGAAGTAAAAGAATGTAATAATAAATATTCACATACCCACTACCTAAATTATATTATTTTTACAATATTTATTTTGTTAGATAGCGCTCCACTCATTCATCCTTCTATATATCTCTTTGTCAATCTGTCTTATAGTTTTTATGAATATGTTAAACTAAGGTGCAGACATCAATATACTTTCTCCTTAAACACTTCAGCATTCAAAGTATCAACTAGGGTTCAATATTTGTTTACAGTTCTTTTTTTTTTTTATTTGAGGTAAAATTTTCAAACAAGGAAACAAATTTAAAGTTTACTATTTAATGAACTTTGGCATATGTATATGCCTGTGTAAGCCAAGCCACCAGCAAGAAATATAACATTCCTACCACCCCCTCATGCCCTTTCCCAATCTTTGCCTCTAATCTAACACCTGAAGCAAATGCTATTCTAATTTTTCAACCATAGATTAGTTTTTCCTGTTCTAGTATTTCATAGAAATGAAATAATAAGATATAAACTTTTGTATAAGCTATCTTTCACTGAACATAATGCTTTTGAAATTTTTCCATCTGCTTCTGTGTATCAATATTTTAAATCTTTTTATTGTTGGATCATATCCCATTCTATAGATTAACACGGTGGGTTTATCTATCCTACTCTTGATGTACACCTGGAATATTTACAGTATTAGGTTATTACAAATAAGCCTCCTATGGTCATTTTTTTGACAAGTCTTTTTATGGACATATGATTTTATTTTTCTAAGGTCAATCCTAGAAAGTGAAATTTGTGGGTCATGAAATATGTGTGTGTTTAGATTCAAAATAAATTTCCTGAACTTTCTCCAAAGCAAAAGTACTATTTTACATTCCCAGTGACAAAGTATTAGAGTTACAGATACTCCAGGTACTCAGCTACATTTATTGTTGTCAGTCTTTATAATTTTAGACTTTCTAGTGGGTATGTTTGTTATTGTTGTTTTTATTCACTTTTCCCTCATGAACAATAATGTTCATGTGAGCATGATTTTATGTGCTTATTTTCCATTAACATACCTTGCTTTGAGAAAGGCCTTCATATCCTTCCCCTTTTTGTATTATATTTTGTATCTTTTTATTAGTTTCCTATGCTCTGAAGAAGTTTGTTTGCTTTGCCAGTATTGTGTCCCAGTCTGGCTTACCCATTCATACTGTTTATTTAGTAGGTTTTTTTTTTAGATTGCTTAGGATTTATTTATTTATCTATTTTGTTAGTGTTAATTGACACATAATGATGGGTCATATATGACAAGAGTCTGATATTTTGATATCTATATACAATGTGTAATGAATCAAATTGGGGTACTTATCAATCACTATAATATTCATCATTTCTTTGTGTTGGGAACATTCAAACTCATCTATTCTACTCTTTGAAAATATAGAATAAATCATTGTTATCTACAGTCACCCTACAGTGCTATAAAACACAGAAACTTCTCCTTCTGCCCAGCTGTAATTTGTATCTGTTAACCAAGTTCTCCCTGTCCCCTATTTTCCTCATCCTTTCCAGCCTCTAGTTATCAGTATTCTACTCTTTGCTTCCGTGAGTTCTACTGAATTAGTTTCCATGTATTAGTGAGAACATGTAGTATTTATCTTTCTGTGGCTAGATTATTTCACTTAACATAATGTCTTCCAGGTTAATTCATGTTGCCACAAATGCCAGGATTTTATTCTTCTTTATGGCTAAATAATATTTCATTATGTTTATATACAACGTTTTCTTTATTTATTCATTTGTTGATGGAAACTTAAGTTGATTGCATATCTTGGTTATTATTAATAGTGCTACAATACACGAGGTAGTGCAGATATCTCTTGACATATTGCTTTTTTCTGTTTGAATATATATCTCATAATGGCATTGCTGGATCATATGGTAGTGCCATTTTAGTTTTCGGAGAAAGCTACATACTGCATTTTATAATAACTACTAATTTACACTCTCACCACCAGTTTATGAGTTCCCTTTTGTCCACATGTTCACTAGCATCTGTTATGTTTTGTCTTTCTGATAATAGCCCTTCTAACTAGAGTGAGATGATATTTCATTGTGGTTTTGATTTACATATCCCTATTAAGGATACTTTTTTAATATACTTGTTGGCCATTTGTATGTCTTCTTTTAAGAAATGTATATTCAGATCATTTACCAATTTTAAGTAATATTTTTGGTTCTTTGCTGCTGAGTTGTTTGAGTTCCTTCCATATTCTGGATATTGATATCTTATCAGATACATAATTTACAAATATTTTCTACTATTCTGAAGATTATCACTTCTCTTTGTTGATTATTTGTTTTGCTGTGCAGAAACTTTTTCGTTTGATATAATCTCACTTGTCTATTTTTGCTTTTGCTGCCTGTCCTTTTGAGGTTTTATAGATAAAAATCTTTGCTAATACCAGTGTTCTGGAGTGTTTCCCAAATGTTGTCTTCTAGTATTTTCATAGTTTCAGGTCTTATGTTTAAGTCTTTAATCCATTTTGAGTTGTTTTTGTTATATGCTGAGATATAGGGGTCTGGATTCATTATTCCGCATGTGGATTTCCAGTTTTCTCAGCACAGTTTATTAGAGATTGTCCTTTGCCCAACGTTCTTCACACCTTTATTCAAAATATATTTGCTGTAAATATGTGGATTTTTTCTGGGTTCTGTCTTCAGTCCAGTGGTCTGTATGTCTGCTTTAATGCCAATCTCATGCTTTTTTGGTTATTATAGTTTTGTAGTATATTTTTAGGTCAGGAAGTATGATACTTTCAGCTTTATTCTTCTCTCTTAGAATTGCTTTGACTATTGGGGGTCTTTTGTGGTTCCATAAAAATTTTATGATTTTTTTCTATTTCTGTGAAGAATTTTATTTTATTTTTTTTGATACAGATCACCTTGACTGTGCATTACTTTGGGTAGTATGGTCATTTTAACAATAACAAGTCTTCCAATTCATGAACATGGAATGCCTTTTCATTTTTTGTGTTGGTGTCCTATTCAATTTTTTTCATCATAGATTTATAATTTTTATTGTAGAGATAGTTTCATCTTGAAGTTTCTTTCTAGGTTTTATATTTTGTGGCTATTGTAAGTGAATTGCTTCTTGACATTTTTTCAAGTAGTTTATTATTGGTATATATAAATGCTACTGATTTTTTACAAGGATAGCTTGTATAAGCTATTCTTCTAAAGAGTAGCTTTGCTGGCAGTAGTATTCTTGGCTGATAGTTATCTTTTTCTCTTCTTGCAGCACTTTGAATATATGATTCCTTTTTCTCCTGGCCTGTAAAAGTTCTGCTAAGAAATCTGCTGTTAATCTAATAGAGACTCTCTTATATGTGATTGGATTCCTTCTTACTGGTGTTTTTAATATTCTCACTTTGTCTTTGACTTTTGATGGTTTTACTATAATGAACCTCAGAATGGAATCTATTTGGTAACTTTTGAACTTCCTGGATCTAGATGTCCATGTATCCTCCAAAACTTAAGATGTTTTCAGCTATTTTTGATCAAGTAGCTTTCCTATGTCTTTTCTTGTCTCTTCTTCATCTGAAAATCCCATAATGCAAGTGTCTGTGTTCTTAATGGTGATCCATAAGTCCCATAGGCTTCTTTATTATTTTTTAAATTTCAGTGTTTTACTGAATTATTTTAAAAAGTCTCACTTTAAGTTCAGAAATTCTTTCTTCTGCTTGAGTTTGTTTGTTGTTGAAACTTTCAATCACATTTTTTATTTTATTGATTGATGTCTTGAGCTCCGAGATTGTTCACGAATTTTTTATGACATCTATCTCTTTGTTGAATTTCTCATTCTGATCATGAATTGTTTTCTTGATTTTGTTAAATTCTCTATCTGTATTCCCTTGTATCTTGCTGAATTTCCTCAAGATCATTAAATTAAGTTAATTTTCAGGCTTTTATTGTTTTCCTTTCCTTTGGAATGTGGTACTGAAAAAAATATATTGTATTCTTTTGGAAGTATCATATTTCCTTTAAATTTTTTTTCTTGTGTGTGTGTACCTACACTTATACCTTCACATCTGGTGAAACAGTTATCCCTTCCAATTGTATGGAGTAGCTTTCATAGAAAAATACTTTTTATTGTAGCTATGTCCTATAGTATCAGTTGGGTAGTGTGCTTTGGTTTTCATTCTGGGTGGGTGCACTAGTAAGTTCTCCATGTGATTTCTTCAGTTTTGATCAATATCAGAGGTGTCTTGAGTGCCTTAGTGGCCTGTACTGTTGGTGCTTACGGAAGCAGTGCCACAGCTTTGTTGAGGGTGGGATCTACTGGGTGGATTGGCTTTTGGGATTTGGGGAGGTACATGCCTGGCACAGTGGTTTAGCCAGGTTTGGTGGTAGCAATGCCACCTATGGTGGACACCAAAATAATGGGTTTTTGGTTTCTGAAGAGGCACATGCATTGTGTGGCAGCTGGGATGATGGAGAGTCACAGGTAGTCAGTTCTAGGGCCGTGGGGAGCACATGTACTTGCTCCCTTGGTCATGGGAAGGCCTTCTGCTATGTTGGACCTCTTGTTTCCTAGAATATAAGACACTGTGTGGGCTCAGATGCTGGGGTCATGGCTGTATGTAGTCTTCTGTGTGTATGTAGTGGAATGATGGCAGGGACCAAATGTTGTGGAGGTGTAGGGGCTATTAAACCCCAGGCTATGATGTACTCATGTACTCCAGAAGTAGCTCCATTCCCAACATGGTTTTGTCTCATAGCAGTTTTGGTCCCAGGGAGTTGGGTGGTAGTGGTGGGAGGACTCGGTGTGTGTTCCTTCTCTGGATCAACGAAACTGCATGGACTTCAGGCAGGTCCCTGAATCCATTGTGAGAATTGTGGGACTTGTCTGTAACTAGGATTACAGGTATCTCCAGTGCTAATGGCAACTGCTAGAAATCTCTAGCTTACCTTTTCTTTCTAATGGGGAGTCCCTCTTGGCTCCAGGCAGATCTTATTTAGGTGTTTTGCTTCCCTGTGTATGCTATCACACTAACTTGCTCATAAACACAACTTGAACAACATCTGTAATGCTTAAACCTAATTATTTTAACATCTGTAATTCTTAAACATAATTATTTTGTTCCCTAACCTAGGAAGCATTACGTTTTTAAAAATTTTTTTCAAGACATAATTTAAAATTCTTAAGTTGGTGAAGAAAATTCACCTTACTTGGAAGTCACTGGGCTATTACCATTATCACATTGTCTGTTGAAAGAATAGAGTTTGGCTATATGAATAAAGTAACAAAATTACATATTTACCTACTGAATCATTCGTAGAAATCATATGTACTTCACATGATGTAAAAGAAAATTTCTGGCCAGGCGCGGTGGCTCACGCCTGTAATCCCAGCACTTTGGGAGGCCGAGGCAGGCGGATCGTGAGGTCAGGAGATCGAGACCATCCTAGCTAACATGGTGAAACTCCATCTTTACTAAAAACAAACAAACAAACAAACAAAAAATTATCCGGGCGTGGTGACCGACGTCTGTAGTCCCAGCTACTTGGGAGGCTGAGGCAGGAGAATGGCATGAACCAGGGGCGGAGCTTGCAGTGAGCCGAGATAGCGCCACTGCACTCCAGCCTGGGAGACACAACAAGACTCCATCTCAAAAAAAAAAAAAAAAAAAAAAAAACATTCTTTTGGAAAATGTGTTAGAAAAATGGTTCTGAAGTATTTTGGTGTCAGAATACTTTTAGGCTATCAAAAGTTACTGAAAGATTTTTTTGGCTGGGTTCAGTAGCTCATGCCTGCAGTCTCAGCACTTTGAGAGGCCAAGGCAGGTGAATCACTTGAGGCCAGGAGTTCAAGACAAGCCTAGGCATCATGGTGAGACCACATCTCTACAAAAAATACAGAAAAATTAGCCAGGCATGGTGGCACATTCTTATAATCCCAAATACTTGGGAGGCTGAGGTGGGAGGATTGCTTGAGCCTGGGAGGTCGCAGCTGCAGTGAGCTACAATCATGACACTGCACTCCAGACTCAGTTGTAGAGCAAGACTCAGTCTCAAAAAAAAAAAAAAAAAAAAAGCAAAAACCAGCTTTTTATATGTTTATGTCTATTAATGTTAGAAATGTCAACCTATCTGTATTTAAGTAATATAGTTGTTATTTCATGTAAAAAATAATAAATTCAATTTTAACATAAACAACCTTTTTGTGAAATTTAACTATAATTTTTCAAAACAAACAAAAAGTAAAAGAGTGACACTGTTTATATTTTGTAAACATCTAGAAAATGTCTTATACTACATCTGAGCTTCATGCCTGTTTTTATTTCAGTCTGTTTTGATATATTATTTTGGTCAAAAAATATCACTAGAATCTGACCTCAATATGTACGTAATTGGAAAAGAGAGATGTATTCTAATAATCTTTTTAGGTAGTTGAGAATATTCCTCTTTCATACTGCATTAAAACTCATTGTTAGTAGTTTTTTAAAGGTTAGAAGTAATATGGACTCTAAAACAATATAGATTATTAATAAGTTTTTGTGCTCTTAACATTTGTAAGGAAGTGAAATTCTAATAGATAAATAATGCCAGTATTATCATGAAAATAATTTTTACCTCATGAACACCCTGAAAGAACTTTGAGAACAACTATGTAGAATATAAGAAATAAACTGACACATTCAATAGTATCAATTTCAAAAATTTATTATGATGATGCATATAAAATGCTTGGCAAAGTGCCTGACTATTATAAACTGTCAGTAAATGCTGGCAATTACTGCTATCAATGGATTGTTAACATGTATTAACAATCAGTAAATAATTGAATCAGTAAATAGTTGAAAATTAAGAATGCAAATTAGATAATCTTATGTATATAACATATATTTTTAGAAAAGATCTTCAACTTCTTTGCTAAGAACACTGAGCTTCAGGGCACCTTTCTCGGTATTATTGTGCCCATAGCATCCTTAGAGTCCAGAGTATGATTGAATTATAACAATAAAAAAGACACAGTGGGATAAAAACCTGAGTAAAAGCAAACAAAGCAAAATACCTTTACGCAGTCATAAAAAGAAATCAACTAAGATTAAAAAAAAAAAAAAAACCTCAACTGAAATGATTGCAGTGAAACTGAGTTGAACAGTGTTTGCCTTGTTTGAAAAAAACATGTTTCTATCTTTTCATTACCACATGCATTGAATAGTCCCATGTGATTAACAAAATCATCTTGAAACACTGGCATGTGTTGGCCACAGATGAAAAATTAAATGACATCTTTAAATTTCTGTCTCTCATCTCATTTAAGACAGAATGTTTTTGCACTTGGACTCTAGTCTGTCTAATCAGGCAGTGCATTTCCTATCACATCTAACACCTGGCCAACTCCTGGGTGCCAACTGTGCCCAGTGCAATGATATATCTAGAAGTAATTATTTCTATCATCCGAATAAGGGAAGAGGATATAAGATTCATCACATGCTTACTTTTTACATGAACTTCCTTTTTTCATTTTAAATGCATGTATAGGTTGTCCAATGTGGACTCACCCAAGTCCATAAAAGAGAAATTTCAAAAAATTGAAATTGGGATGAGAAGTATCAGACAAGGAAAATACTCTCGCCAGCTACTCAATCTTTTTTTCCAAAGCAAATATACACATAAACCACTGATACTGGCATTTTTTTCTAAGTGAATGAGGTTAAAGGACAGTTATATTCATGCAATAATGGTTTTCCATATTCTTATGTTTTAAATGTGGCAGCTTTCTCAGGATAAAATGTCCTATGAACAAGAAGCTACTAATGATACTGCTTATCGTGAAATTTCATCTGATTTTAGGATGCTTGTGTTAGGTGTGTGTGTGTGAATTATCTCTCTCTCTCTCTAATATATACATTATAGTAAGATAGGTAAATAAATAAATTGATATAGATATAGTATTTTTGGAATTGATAAAATTGTACAAACTTAAATCCTCCTCACTGATTTTACAATGTTCAAATGTCTTTCTTTTTGCTAAACCTTTTGTGTTACAGATATCGATTAAATCATCTCCTCTCCCAGGACCGTTGGGTATTTAAATTACGATGTCTTTAGAGTCTTGTTCTGGCATTCAGTCACTGCATGCAAGAGAATCCATTGTATCATATTTAGCCGACTAAGCTCTCAGAGGAAAGGATTAGTGAATAGTTACTGAGTATGTTTTAACAGCAGATTTTCCCTGTAATATCTATGTCTATTCTTGGAATATAACCAGATATGTTCAAAATACGGATGCAAAAAGAAGGAAAGAATGTCCCAAATTAAGTGTATTTATCTGATCTGCATTTTTCAAAGACCTAATCCTTCCCTGCTTTCACATTTTTGTTTTTATATTTTAATTGGAGTTTTGCATAATTTAAAAGTGAGATGGATAATCAATACAAATATCAATTCAGCACTAAATCTATGCATAAGATCACTAAGGTTTTTCTTGGCAAAATAAAGCAGAAAGCTAGCTCAGTGTCTCCAATTAAGGTAAAAACACTTTTTTTTTTTTTGGAGACTAAGTCTCACTCTGTCGTCCAGGCTGGAGTCCAGTGGCGCAATCTCAGCTCCCTGCAACCTCTGCTTCATGGGTTCAAGCAATTCTCCTGCCTCAGCCTCCCGAGTAGCTGGGATTACAGGCGCATGCCACCACACTGGCTAATTTTTTGTATTTTTAGTAGAGATGAGGTTTCACTACGTTGGCCAGGCTGGTCTCCAACTTCTGACCTCGTGATCCACTGGCCGTGGCTTCCCAAAGTACTGAGATTACAGGCATGAGCCACCGCACCTAGACTAAAAAACCCTTCTTCTTTTTTTTTGTTCTTTTCTTTTGAGACGGAGTTTCGCTCCTGTTGCCCAGGCTGGAGTGCAATGGCGCGATCTCGGCTCACCGCAACCTCCGCCTCCCAGGTTCAAGCGATTCTTCTGCCTGAGCCTCCCAAGTAGCTGAGATTACAGGCATGCACCACCACACCTGGCTAATTTTGAATATTTAGTAGAGACAGGGTTTCTCCAGGTTGGTCAGGCTGGTCGTGAACTCCCGACCTTAGGTGATCTGCCCGCCTTGGCCTCCCAAAATGCTGGGATTACAGGCGTGAGCCACCTCGCCCAGCCCTCTAAAACACCTTTCAATGATATATAAGAAAATATAAATTTACAATATATGAAGAAAATCAGGGGAGGAACAAACAGAGTCTCATTTGAAATTAAAAACCAACCATTTTATTGTTTTCACTCCTGAATTTAAAAATTAACATAAACGAATGAAAAAAGTAACAATTTCACATAGTAATATTACATTTTATGGACTCAAAGAAATAGAAATTGCAGTAAAGAAAATACCAGTGTCTTGTAGCCTCCACCATAGTCCGTTTCTAAACTGGTATCCTCTGAATCCTTTAGCTTTAGAGCCACTCATTCAAAAATACTCTCATCTTGGTACATATTTAAAGAAAGTGGCCGCCTGTGTTTGGCAGACATATGAGAGGGGCATTCGGTTGTTAACACATGGGGAGAGGCCATTTTGACATTCGCTTTTATCTTCTCTTACCATAAGAATTCTATATTCAGTGACAAGAGAAGGAATTTCATGACAATAAATGTCACCAGCTGATTTTCTTTCTTTCTTTCTTTTGTGAGACAGTCTCACTCGGTTGTAGTGCAGTGGCACAATCTCCACTCACTACAGTCTTCACCTCCTGGGTTCAAGTGATTCTCCTGTCTCAGCCTCCCAAGTAGCTGGGACTACAGGCTGGCTAATTTTTGTATTTTTAGTAGAGTCAGGGTTTCACTATGTTGCTCAGGCTGGTCTTGAACTCCTGACCTCAAGTTATCTGCCTGTCTTGGCCTTCTGAAGTGCTGGGATTATAGGCATGAGCCACTGCGCCTGGCATGGCTGACTTTCATCTCAGAATTAACTCATGATATTTGAGTAGTTAGACTAGCATCCAATTTGAAGTAGGTGTCCCTTCTTTTTACATAATACACAGAACACACACACACACACACACACACATATACATATATATATATATATATACATATATAAAATGAAATTTAATTTTGCTGTTTATAAAATCACGATATAGAAGGAGAATTTGCTTCCCAATATTCTAATATTGTTTGGCTTGGGTACATATTACAAATTCAATGCATCAAAAAAAGGTAGTACATATAGAAATGGAGACCAATGAATGGTTTGTAGAGTTAAGAATGGGATAAGGTGAGAAGAAAATGGGTGTGGTCATAAGAGTGCAACAGGAAGAATTCTCCTGATGTTGAAAGTACTGTTATCTTAACTAAGTGGTGAATATACTAACCTATGTATGTGATAAAATTGCATAGAACTGAAAAAGCATACACATGAATACAAATCAGTACAAGTAAAACTGAAGAAATCTGAACAAGATAAGTGGATTGTATCAAAGTCAGTATCCTCGTGGTGATATTATCCTACAGTTTTCCAAGATATTATTATTGAAGGAAGCTAGAAAAAGAGTAGACAAACTGTCTCTGCATTATTTATCATAACTGCATGTGTTCTTCTATTATCTCAAGCTAAAATGTTTTGTAAAAGCAAAAGGAACAAAGCTGGAGGCATCACGCTATCCAATTTCAAACTATACTACAAGGCTATAGTAACCAACACAGCATGGTACTAGTACAGAAACAGACACACAGACCAATGGAACAGAATAGAGAACTCTGAAATAAGACCGCACACCTATAGCCATCTGATCTTTGACAAACCGGACAAAAACAAACAATGGGGAAAGGATTCCCTATTTAGTAAATGGTGCTGGGAGAACTGGCTAGCCATATGCAGAAAATGGAAACTGGACCCCTTCCTTAAACCATACACAAAATTTAACTCAAGATGGATTAAAGAGTTAAATATAAAACCCAAAACTATAAAAATCTTTGAAGAAAATGTAGGCAATACCTTTAGGATATAGGTATAGGCAAAGATATCATGACAAAAATGCCAAAAGCAATTGCAACAAAAGCAAAAATTGACAAATGAGATTTAATTAAACTAAAGAGCTTCTGCACAGCAGAAGAAACATCATCAGAGTGAACAGACAACCTATAGAATGTAGTCTATCCATCTGACAAAGGTCTAATATCCAAAATCTACAAGGAACTTAAACAAGTTTATATATATAAAAAAAGCAAAGAACCCCATTAAAAAGTCAGCGAAGGACATGAACAGACACTTCTCAAAAGAAGACATACATGTGACCAACAATCATATGATAAAAAGCTCAACATCACTAATCATTAGAGAAATGTAAATCAAAACCACAATGAGATAACATCTCATGCCAATCAGAATGGCTATTATTAAAAAGTCAAAAACAACAAATGCGGGCAAGGTTGTGGAGAAAACGGAACACTTTTACACTGTTGGTGGGAGTGTAAATTAGTTCATCCATTGGAGAACACAGTGTAGCCATTTCTCAAAGACCTGGAAGCAGAAATATAATTTGACCGAGCAATCCCATTACTGAGTACACACCCAAAGGAATATAAATCATTCTATTAAGATACATGCACACATATGTTTACTGCAGCACTATTTACAATGCAAAGTCATTGCATCAACCTAAATGCCCCATCAATGATAGACTGGATAAAGAAAAAGTGGTACAATACACTGTGGAATACAATGAAGCCATAAAAAAGAATGAGAGCATGTCCGTTGCAGTGACATGGATGGAGGCGGAAGCCATTATAGTCAGCAAACTAATGCAGGAACAGAAAACCAAACACAGCGTGTCATCACTTATAGTGGGAGCTGGCTGATGAGAACACATGGTCACATGGGGGACAGGAAACAACACACACTGGACACCTGTTGGGGGATGGGATGCTGGGGAGCATCAGGAAGAACAGCTAATGGATGCTGGGCTTAATACATGGGTGATCGGATGATCTGTGCAGTAAACCACCTTGGCACATGTTTACCTATGTAGCCAACCTGCACATCCTGCAGATGTACCCCTGGACTTAAAAGTTGATAAATAAATAAAATTTTCAAATGATTGAAAAATAGTTTAGTGGCATTCTAATTTCTAGTCAAGGATGTAATGACCTTAAAAGGCCTCACTTCCATCTTTGCAACAACAACAAAAAAGCTGAACAAACTGAAAATCAGCAATTCCTCTAGGATTCTTTAGAGAAATGTGAGCTCACAGAGCAATCTATTGCCCCTCAAATTGGAGAGAGAGAGACAGGAAGTTAAAGGGAATCATAGCTTACTGGGGTAAAGGTTGAGGAGCAGAAACCATTGCTGGAGCCAGCACAGGGTTAAGAAAACTTAAACTTGTAATTGAATTGCTGGAAGATAAAGGTAGACAAGCTTAAGAGTTAAAACTCCAAGGAGACTCAGTCATAGGAAGGCCTCCACACTTTTCTGAAGCTTACTTCTAGGAGCTCTACCATGTTCTCACAGTGAAAATCAGAAAAAGAAAAAAACAAACCCCTAGTATTTCCAGCAGAGGAAAGGGAAAATAGCCATTTAAAAATATGTTTAGAATATTCTGTTCTCCTTAACAAAACCTGCCCACAAGGGAAACTATTTTACCAGAGCCTAAATGACTGGTGTTTTACCAGAACCTAAGCAAACTGTATGAAGGGAAATATACAACTCTTGCCCACTCTCGTCTTCTACATGGCAAAAAGGAAACGCCCAGCTCCAATTAGATGAGGCCAAAAGGCCTCACCTTCATAGAAAAATAAAAGAAAGTAAAAGTGAGAAGCATTTGTGAAGGTCACAGCCCAAGGACACAGGCTTGGTAAAAGAAAGAGACCTAATCATAATTTTACAGAACATTTTTTCTCCCCCAACACCCTATCATTACCTCAATGGAGCTCCTAGAAGATAATAGGATAATACAGATGAAGGAATTGAAAATGTCAAACATCATGTAAGAGTCACTAGGGAAAACTACAACAAAAAAGACAAAAACAAGAGCATCAGAGAAAATTAGCCCTGACACCACACCTAGAGCAAACAGTAAATACAAGGTAACTCCTAACTGAATAAACATACACACTCACACTAAAGGCATATATACCTAAGTTTCTTTTACTTGCTAGCTTATGGCCAGCTTTCAACGAGTAATTACAAGGCATATATATATATATGTATGTATATATATATATTTTTAAGAACAGTGTTTGAAGGGAAAAACTAAGCATCAGAACGAGATTCAGGTACGGCAGCCATGTTGGAACTATCAGAATGGGAATTTAAAACAACTCTGATTAATATGCAAAGGGCGATATTGGAAAAAGTAGAAACAATCTAACAATATGAAAGAACATACAGAAACTGAAAGAAGATAAATAAAAACCCCAAGAAAGAATCAAAAGAAAATGCTAGAAATAAAAGATGCTGTATCAGAAATTTGAAGGAATCATCAATAGACTGGATATGACTAAGAAAGAATCAATAAGCTTGAGAAAATGCAATAGAAACTTTGATAACTGAAATGCAAAGAGAAAAAAAGGATAAAACAAAATATTTCAAAACTGTGAGACAACCACAAAAGTTATATGTGTAATTGGAATACCAGAAGTAGAAGAAAGAGATAAAGAAATAGAGAAAATGTTTGAAGTCATAGTCATAGGGCAGAGAATTTTCTGAAATGAATGACAGAATACCAAGTAGGATAAATATAAAAAGTCTACAGTTAGGCCTATCATTTTCAAACTATAGGAAATCAAAGATAAAAAAATGTTTAAAGAAGTCAGAAGAAATAAAGAGCTTAGCTAAAGAAAAGCAAAGGTAAACACTCCATCCAATTTTTCAGAAAGCATGCAAGCAAGAAGAGGGTAGAGTGAAATACTTACAGTGTCCAAAGAAAAATAAAGAAGAAATTACCAACATAGAATTCTGTATCCTGTGAAATTATCCTTCAAAAGTGAAAAAGAAACAAAAACCTTCTCACAAAACAACTAGGGGCATTTGTTTCCAATAGACCTGCCTTGCAAGAAATGTTAGAATTCTTCAGAGGGGGAAAAAAATGATATAGGTCAGAATCTCAGATCTATGTTAAGAAATGAAAAACATCAGAGAAGGAATAAGTGAAGGTATAATAGACTCTTTTTTTTTTTTTGTTTTAATTGATCTAACAGATTACAGATTTTTGTCAAAATAATAATAGCACCATATACTCAGTGGTTTTGGCTATGAATATGTGAAGTGAAATGGCAGTTATGAAATAAGAAAGGGAAAAAACTAGAGATAATATGTTATAAGATGCTTTCATTACCCATGAAGTAGTATAGTGTTATTTAAAAATTGGTTTAAATTAGTTGCAAATTTATACTGCAGTACTGCAAACTCTAGAGCAATCATTAAAAATAGTAAAAAAGAAACGTAATAGATACTCTAACAAAGGAGATAGAATTATAGAAAATGCTTAGTTAAAACCAGAGAAGGCAGAAAAAAAGTATAAAACACACAGGCAAACTAACAAACAAAAAAACCCCACAAAGGCAATGAACTGGAAACACTAACAAATACGGTTATTTGTTAATCTAACTATACTAATAATCACTTTAAATGTCAATCATCTAAAAACACCAATTAAAAGAGAGGTTATCAAAGTGAGTCAAAAAACAAGAACCAACTATATGTTGTCTACAAAAAATCTACTTTAAATAAAAGAGACAGATAGTAAAGTGTTGGAGAAAGACATACCACACTAACACAAATAAAAAGAAATCTAGATTAGCTATATTAATTTCAGTAAGTACAGACTTCGGAGCAAGAAAAATTATCAGAGAAAAAAATGGGGCATTATATAATCATTAAGGGCCAAATTCTTCAAGAAAATATAGCAATCATTAATGTGCATACACCTAACACAAAAATATTAAAATACGTAAGGCAAAAACTATAGAATTGCAAAGAGAATATGACAAATTTACTATTACAGTTGGAAACTTTAACATCCCTCTTTGATAACTGACAGATCTAGCAAGCAGGAAAAAGTAAGGATATAGTTGAACTGAATAGCACCATCAATCAACTGGACCTAATTAACATTTATAGGATACTTTATCCAAAACCATACATATGACATATTCTTCTGAAGCTCACACAGAGCATTTACCAAACAGATATTTTATCCAAAAACCATACATATTACATATTCTTCTGAAACTCACCCAGAGCATTTACCAAATATAACATATTTGGGGCCATCAAACACACCTTAACACATTTAAAAGAATAGAAATCATACAAACTATGCTTTCAGACCACAATAGAATTAAATTAAAAATTATAGCCAGAAAAATAGCTGGAAAACAAGAAAATGCCTGTAGATTAAACACTTCTAAATTATATATGGAACAACATATTTTCAAGATAAAATTTTAAAATATTTGAAAACAAATACACAACTCATCAAAATTTGTGTAATGCAGTCAAACTGGTGCTTAGAGGGAAATTTGTATTATAGAATGGATATTTTAGAAAATAAGAAAAATCTAATATCAGTATTCTAAGTTTCCACCTTAGGAAACTAGAAAAAGAGGTGTAAAGCAAGCAGAAGGAAATAAGTAATAGAAGTTAGAGCAGAAATCAATAAAAACAGTAAATCAATGAGAATAAACATGACCAAAAGCTAGTTTTAAAAAAGTATTTTTAAAAAATATTGATAAACTAGACTAACCAAGAAAAAAGATGCAAATTACCAATATCAGGAATAAATGAGTCATCATCGCTTTTAATTCCGTAAGTATTAAAACAGAAATAAAGGAGTACTATGAACAATTCTATGTTCTTTTCGCAAAAGACACAATCCACCAAAACTCATAAAAGGAGAAATAAAAAATCTGGTAGTCTTAAATCTATTAAAACATGAATTACAAATTAACAGCCTTCTAAAACCTTTCGAAACAACAGGCCCAGATTGAGTTTATTGTTGAACTGTACCAAATATTTAACAAAGAAATTATACCAATTCTCTGCAAACTCTTCCAAAAAAAAAAAAAAAATCAAAAAACAAACAAACAAAAACAAAAGCAGGAAGAATACTTCCTAACTCATTTCATGTGGTCAACATTATCTTAAACCTGAAAAAGATATTTCAAGAAAGAAAATCTACAAGCAATTATTGCTCATGAACATAGACGCAAAAATTCTCAACGAAATATCAACAAGTTGAATCCAACAATTTATAAAAATTATATACCATGACTAAGTGAGATTTATTGCAGGTATTCAAAGGGAGTTCACCATTCAAAAATCAAATAATGTAATTCATCACATCAACAGACTAAAGAAGGAAAATTATATGAGCATGCCAATAGATGCAGAACAAGCATTTGACAAATTTCAACACTCATTCATGATTTTTAAAAATGCTCTATAAACTAGGAGTAGAGAGGAACTTTTTCAACTTCATGAAGAATATCTACAACAGACCTACAACTAACATCATACATAATAGTGGACAGACTGGATGCCTTCCTACTAAGATTAAGAACAAGGTAAAGATGTGCCCTCTCACCACTCCTCTTCATCATCATGCTGGACATCCTAGCTAACACAATAAGACAAGAAAATGAAATAAATGGAATACTGATTAAAAAGAAGCAATAAAATTGTCTTTGTTTATAGATGACATAATTTTCATGTTGAAAAATCTCAGAATTTACAACAAAAAACTTTTGAAACTCATAAGTAATTCTAGCAAATCGGCAGGATACATGGATAATTTACAAAAGTTAATCGTTCTCTTAAATGACAGCAGTAAACAATTGGGATTTGGAATTAAAAACACAATACCATTTAAATTAGCACCAAAAATATAAAATACTTAAGTATAAATCTAAGAAATTATTACATATTTTATATAAGAAAAACTACAAAATTCTAACAATTTTTTTAAAACATCTAAATAAGTGGAGAGATGTTCAATGCACATAGATAGAAAGTGTCAATATTTTAATGATGTCAGTTCTTTCCCACTTTATAGATTTGAGGAAATCCTAATCAAAATCCCAGTATTAATTTCATGTGTATCAGCCAATTACTTCTAAAACTCATAAAGAGAGGCAAAAGATCCATAATAGCCAACACAATATTGAAGGACAAGAACAAAATCAGAAGATTGACATTACTTTACTTTAAGACATTACAGTAGCCAGGAGGATACAGTATTGGCTAAAGAACAGGTAAATAGATAAATAAAACCGAATAGAGAGCCCAGAATTAGATTCACTCAAATGTAGTCATGTGATTATTAACAGTAGAGCGAAGGCAATTTGATGGGGAAAAGACAAACTTTTCAACAAATGTGCTGAAACATCTGGACTTCCACATAAAAAGGAATCTAAACATAGACTTTACACATTTTATAAAAGTTTTCTGAAAATGGATCATAGACCTAAATGTAAAACACAAACTATAGAACTCATATAGACAATATAGAAGAAAATCTAGACAAATTTGGGTTTGTTGATGATTTTTTTGGATTTAATGCCAAAAGCTCAATCTATGAAGGAAAAAACTGATGATGGATTTCACAAAAATTAAAACCTTTTTATCTGTGCAATACACTGCTAAGATAATGAAGGCACAAGTTAAAAATAGGGAGAAAATTTTTGCAAAAACACATATCTGATAAAGACCCGGTATCCCAATTTTACAAAAAACTAATAACAATAAGAAAACAAACAACTGAATTAGTAAATGAGCAAAAGATCTGAACAAACACTTCCTCAAAGAAGATATACAGATGGCAAGTATGTACATGAAAAAATATTCAGCATCATATGTCATTAGGGAATTGTAAATTGAAACAACAATGATATACCATTACACAGCTATTAGAGTGGCTAAAATCCAAAACACTGACAATAGCAAATACTGGCTAGGATTTGGAGCAACAAGAACTCTTATTCATTGTTGATAGGAATTCAAAATGGTACAGTCACTTTGTGTTGGCGTTTGGCAATTTCTTACAAAGCTAAACATATTCTTACCATATTATCCAGGATTTACACTCATTGTTATTTACCCAAATGAGATGAAAAATCTACGTTCACACAAAGAGCTACACAAGAATGTTTATAGCAGCTTTATTCAGAATTGCCAAGACTTGGAAGCAGCCAAGATGTCTTTCAACAAGTGGACAGACAAACTGGTACAGCTACACAATGACATATTATTCAGTGATAAAAATAAATGAGCTAATAAGCCATGAAAAAGTTGGTAGAACATTAAATGTATATTTTTAAGTGAAAGAAGCCAATATGAAAAGAGTATACAGTTCCAACTGTAAGACATTCTGGGAAAGGAAGAACTATGGAGACAGTAAAGAGATCAATGGTTGCCAATGGTTTGTCAGGAAGGAAGGATGAAAATGCGGAGCAAGCGATTTTTAATGCAGTGCAAGTATTCTGTGTTAACACTATAATGGAGGATACATGTCATTACATATTTATCCAAACCCACAGAATGTGCAACACAAAGTAAATCCTAATGTAAACTATAAGCTTTCGTTAATTATAATGTATCAATATTGCCTTATTAATTGTAACAAATGTACCACATTAATCCAAGATGTTAATAATAGGGGAAACTGTAGTGGGGAAATGAGGAAGATTTGTAAATTCTCTGTACTTTCTAAAAAAGTTTTTATTTTAAATTATTTGGGTACCTATGGGTATATATTTATGTTGTACATGTGATTTGTTGATACAGACATATAATGTGTAACGATCCCATTGGGGTAACTGTGATGTCCATTAACTCGAGCATTTATAATTTGTTTTAGGAACATTTCAGTTCTACTCTCTTAGTTGTTTTAAAATGTACAATAAATTACTGTTGACTATAGTCACACTGTTGTGCTATCAAATACTAGATCTTATATATTCTATCTAATTATATTTTTGCACCCATTAACTATCCCTACTTCCCTACCACTGTCTTCCCAGCCTCTGATAACCAGCGTTCTACTCTCTAACTCCATGAGTTCAATTGTTTTAATTTTTAGTTTCCACGTGTGAAGGAAACATTCTATTTTGACAATTTTTTCTACAAACCTAAAAATGCTAAAAAATTTTGTCTATTAAACTAGTGTAGTTGCTTAAATTTCACATTAAGAAGTTAAAGAAATATACTTCAGCCAACCTTTAAGTATACATACCAAAGCTGTCTATAACAGAATATGAGATTCTGAGATCCTGAGAAAAAACATTTTTTTCATAAACATCCTTATGTACCAGAACAGATTAGGCATATTGGTAAATCAAACTACTGTCAAAAAAAGTAAAGGTTTGCTGTTTACTATTGCAAATATAGAAAAGCAGGAAACAACTTTTCAAAGTATGCATCCCAATATTCTTGGATGATTATTGTTCTTTATGGTGAAGCATTTTTTTTCAGAAGAACAGGTTTAGTTTGGCAATTTACAAAATTGAAAAGTGAATGAAAAATCCTACATATTGTGTATAAAAATGATTTAGAAACACATTAAGTCTCATAAAGTAAGATAGATATTCTTTAACCCTAAATCTTTCATGAAAATGCAAAGCTCCATTTCAGAGATGGTAAGCTCTATAGATTCAAATCCCACATATTTCTCCACATATTACAGAAAGTTTCTGTTCTGTCTTTTGTGGGTCAAGAGAGGTGCCACTTGCTGATAATTTAATTTATGCCAGTTTCTAATGCTAAGAAATCTTAAATGATTATTTTATTTTATTATCATGAAAATGCTGAATTACGAGTTTAACTGCTTTCTTTAAAGAGATGAAAAAGTTCAGTAAATTTGCAAACATGAGATTTAAACCTAATTTATTTGACCCTAATGAGCCTGTATTTAACTTTTATTCCCTGCTTCCTTAATAATGTATTTATTTAACTAATAGTGACTAATCTCATAGGTTTTATGTATAACAAATTAGATTTTATGAAATTTGCTATGAGTTATTCTTTTACTTTTTTGTACAAACCTAAAAGTCAATGAAGCCACAAGCCCAAAATTAAGTTAATGGATCTGGAAAACAACCACTATGTAAAACATAGTTTTGGACAAAACTTGGTTTTGTGTTGTTAGCCTTATCAGGATATAGAATTGGGGCTGTAATTTCATCATACGCAAAAATCAGCTCCATGAGAAATATACACAAATTTTTGTCAGTTAAAAAATAAAGATATTTAAAGAAAAGTGAAAAAAAAAAACAGCTACAGCTGGATCAAGGAATGGGATATAATTTTTTTAATGTTAACTATTCGATGAATATAAAGCAAATATATTTTTGTATTTCAGTTAATACTCTTTTTCTACATAACAAACTGCTCCAAAATTTGTGATTTAAAGTAGCAAATTATTATTATCTCTCACAGTTGGGTAGTCCTCACTTGAGGCCTTTTATGTAATTATAGCTAATGGGATGGAGTTGTCTGAAAGCTTGACTTAGCTGGACATCCAAGATGGCTCACTCACATGGATAGCAGTCTGTCTGGTATTGTTGGGGAGCTCATTTGAAGCTATTTCCCTCCCAGAATGTCTACAGATGGTTTCTCTTTGTAGCTTGGGCTTCTCACAGCCTGCTTGCTGGCTAGTATCTGAAAGGCAGTAACCGAAGTAGAGCTATTTTAAGAAGCTCATCCTATGTCCCAACCACAGAAGTCTCAGAATGTCACTTCTGCTCAGAAAGCCACTAAGTCCAACCTAGATTACAGGACAGGAGAATTATATTCCACCTCTAGATGGAAGAGAGGTGAGACTACATTACAGAAGAGTATTTGGGATGGGACTTGTGTTTATTTTTGGGAAATGCAATATGCTACAGCTAGACTTAGACAAAATAAATATACTAACCATAAAAGAATACATTCAATTGCTTTCTTTTTTTTTATTATTATTATACTTTAAGTTTTAGGGTACATGTGCACAACGTGCAGGTTAGTTACATATGTATACATGTGCCATGTTGGTGTGCTGCACCCAGTAACTCGTCATTTAACATTAGGTATATCTCCAAATGCTATCGCTCCCCCCTCCCCCCACCCCACAACAGGCCCCGGTGTGTGATGTTCCCCTTCCTGTGTCCATGTGTTCTCATTGTTCAATTCCCACCTATGAGTGAGAACATGCGGTGTTTGGTTTTTTGTCCTTGCGATAGTTTGCTGAGAATGATGGTTTCCAGCTTCATCCATGTCCCTACAAAGGACATGAATTCATCATTTTTTATGGCTGCGTAGTATTCCATGGTGTATATGTGCCACATTTTCTTAATCCAGTCTATCGTTGTTGGACATTTAGGTTGGTTCCAAGTCTTTGCTATTGTGAATAATGCCGCAATAAACATACATGTGCATATGTCTTTATAGCAACATGATTTATAATCCTTTGGGTATATACCAAGTAAAGGGATCACTGGGTCAAACGGTATTTCTAGTTCTAGATCCCTGAGGAATCGCCACACTGACTTCCACAATGGTTGAACTAGTTTACAGTCCCACCAACAGTGTAAAAGTGTTCCTATTTCTCCACATCCTCTCCAGCACCTGTTGTTTCCTGACTTTTTAATGATCACCATTCTAACTGGTGTGAGATGGTATCTCATTGTGGTTTTGATTTGCATTTCTCTGATGGCCACTGATGATGAGCATTTTTTCATGTGTCTTTTGGCTGCATAAATGTCTTCTTTTGAGAAGTGTCTGTTCATATCCTTCGCCCACTTTTTGATGGGGTTGTTTTTTTTTTTCTTGTAAATTTGTTTGAGTTCTTTGTAGATTCTGGATATTAGCCCTTTGTCAGATGAGTAGATTGCAAAAATTTTCTCCCGTTCTGTAGGTTGTCTGTTCACTCTGCTGTGCAGAAGCTCTTTAGTTTAATTAGATCCCATTTGTCAATTTTGGCTTTTGTTGCCATTGCTTTTGGTGTTTTAGACATGAAGTCCTTGCCCATGCCTATGTCCTGAATGGTATTGCCTAGGTTTTCTTCTAGGGTTTTTATGACTTTATGTTTATTATTGTGCAGTCACATTGGAAAATAATTTATCTTAAAAATTTGAATTTTCTTGCACATTTGCCCTATAACTCAGAAATTGTCTACTTAGCTACATATCTTCAAAAGGCACATGCACATTAATAATTAGAAGCCTTGTCAATAATAGCAAAAAACCTGGGGAAAAACTGCTTGCTAGGCATTAAGAATGAAAAAATAATTTGTGGTATATTATTCACACAATGAAATGCTATAGCAATAAAATGGATTAATTGTATTAGTGTATTCGTATTTGTATTGAAAAATATGAAGTTACTCATAGAAGACTACATAGAATGTTATCAATATTATTATAAAACTCAAAAGCAAATAAAACTAAGAAACACGAATAATAAATATAATATATAATAATCAATGTAATACCTTAATAATCAAGATCAATTACATTGTAATAAAAAATGTAAAAATAAAAATTATTGCATAAGATCCAATGATAAAACATCAAAATTTTTAAAAGACACAAAATCAGAGTGTGTAGTACCTCAAATCACCATATAGGTCCCTGAGGCACAGGTAAACAAAAACCCTCTAAATTGGCAAATTCAATTCTAAATTGTAAATTTCACTTTCTCCTCTTTTTTTTTTTTTTTAAACACAATTATGTGGTAGCAACCAAATTTTTAAATGGCCATTATTTTTGACACAGCAAACTTGTTCCTAGGATTCAGTCATATGGAAATTCTTGCATATATGTACACAAAGGCGTTTGTACCATGATATGCCTTGTAGCAGGTACACTGAAAATCACCAACACATTTCAGACAACTGAAACGTCGTTCAATATGAAAATAAATATGTAAATTATGGTATTTAGACCCAATAAAATTTGATAAATAAAACAACATTCAAGGTATATGCTTAATAAAGTCCAAGATATGAATTGTATTTTCCCAGGTTTCGTTTTTATATATGCACATATGGAAAAATAACTAGAAGAATCTACACCAGATTTTTAACACCTGTTATTTATGGAGATTCTGTTTGGAGAAGATGGGGAAAGGGTAAAATCCCCATTCTCCTTAGTGAGAAGAGTTATCCTCAGTTCTCACTGGAGAATTCTTAGTTCTCATTTTACAATGAGAATGTATTACTTGATATTTTTAAAAAATTTCTAAATTAGCATTATAAGCAATATAAATAGCAAAAAATATTACAACTAAAAATGCCAAATAGGAAACTATATTTTTCTTTTTGCTGATTACTCAAGATCAAATGACATTGTATGAAAACCATATTACTTACTAAATCTACCTTATTTACTGGATTTGGTTCTGTAACAGAAAAATTCAAGACAACTTTTGGTTAATTCAAGCCCTTAAAAAGTAAACCAACGCTACTTTCAAACATTAGGGTGTATTTAATAAATTTCACTGAAGCCTAAATCTGGCTCAGGATGTGTCTCTTCACTGTTCACAAGTATTTGAGCATCCATGTTTATAATGAGATTAGACATGGGTACAAGAGCCTTCAGTTATTTATAAAAAATCAAGCTTTTGGCATGCTGTCATTTTTCCCCTACATTATTTTGGTCAAGGAAGTCAGAGGCCTAAATCTAAGGAGAAAAAATTCTCAATTACTGGATATATTTTCATAATATTATCTGTTTTAGACATGTAAATTTTTATTTGTATTACTATTATGTTCGCCTAAATGAATAATTTCAATGAATTAAATAATTTTTAATAAATTAATTTATTGAAAAGTATTCATTTAGGCTAATATAACAATAATACAAACAAAACTCTCATAAATGTATATTATGTTTGAAAGTCCAGAGGTTTCATTGATAAGCATTTAATAATAGAGAGAAAAAAATATATAAAAGATATAAGTAGGAAAATATAACATGAGAATCTCATTAAATGGAGAGCATCTTAGTCAACTGAATTCCTTTTAGGAAAGGAATATATTTATGTAAGCAAGTGTAGTGGAAAGGGAGATCCCAATCTAAGTGTGTGGTAGAAAGTAGGACCCCGTAGTTTTTGGTATAAGAGGGGAAGAATTTTCTTGTTTCTGCAATAATTCAAAGTGGAAAATAGAAATGAAACTGAGGATTGAATTAGTGAAATGGGGAAGACTGTAAGCTATGTGATATAATCATATCCAAAACCACTTTGCCCAGGGCAAAAAAAAAAAAATCCTTCTATGAAATTATTAAATTAATTTATTTAAGAGAATTGGTGACAAGGCTGGAATCTACACCCAGATTGATTTGTGGTGGAATAGAGGCAGCAAATGCTTATTGATGCGAGAGCACCAAGACAGAGAAAAATAGAAATGATTTCCTAGAATTCACAGAATTTACAAGGTAGAACTCTGGACTGCTACAAGATTGTGAAATGTCAAGTCACATTAAGTTTAACCACGGCTCCAAAGGCTGGGAGATTCCCAGCCAGCATATGTATATACTATACACATATGTAATTTTACCTCTTCCTACCACTAGAAAATTCCAAAGTGATTTTTCATCAAGCACATATCTAATTAAAATAGCTATGTGGTTCCTGACCATCGCCAAATATATGTAGTACATTTATTTAAGGAACTATTAGCTGTAGTCTACAAAGCCACATGATAAGAAATGGACCCAGGTCAAAATAAGGTGTTTAAAAATATGATTTCATTTTTTGAGTAACCTCCATAGTGTTTTTCATAATGGTTGCACCAAGTTGTATTTCCACCAGCAGTGTATAAGGGTTAACTTCTTCTGTACTCCTCAGCAACACTTGTTACCTGTTGTCTTTATAATATTCATCCTAACAGGTATGAAATGGTACCTAGTTTTGGTTTTGATTTGCATTCCTCTGATGATTAGTGATGTGGAGCACCCTTTCATATACGTGTTGGCCATATTTGTGTCTTTTTGGGAAAAATATCTATTCAGGCTCATTTTTAAATTGGAGTATTTGTTTTTATTACTATTTATTTCTGTGAGTAATTTACATATTTTGGATGCTAAATCCTTATCAGATATATGGGTAAAAAGGATTTGCTCTCAATCCATAGACTGCCTTTTCATTTTATTGGTTGTTTCCTTTGCTGTGCAGAAGTTTCTTAGTCTGACATAGTCCCACTTGTTTACTTTTCCTACTGTTGCCTGAGATTTTGATGTAATATCCAAAAAAATAATTACCAAGACCAACATCAAGAACCTTTCTCCCTATTTTCTTCTGTATTTTATTATTTCAGGTCTTATGTTTAAGTTCTTAATTCATTTTGAGTTGGTTTTTGTTTATGGTGTAAGATAAGGGTTCTATTTCATTATTTTGCATATAACTACCCCATTTTTTTCAGGAAAAATCACTTATTGAAGAGACTATTCTTTCCCCATTGTGTCACTTTAATGACTTTCTTGAAAATTAGTGGATCATATATGCTTGGGTTTATTTCCAGGCTCTCTATTTAGTTCCATTGATCTATTTGTCTTTTTGCCAGTAACTGTTTTGATTAATATAGCTTTGTAATATAATTTGAAATCAGGACGTGTAATGCCCCACCTGTGTTTTCTTTTCTTAATATTGCTTTAGCTATTCAGGGTCTTTTGCTTTTCTATATGAATTTTAGAATTATTTTTTAATTTCTGTGAAAAATGCCATTGGGTTGTTTTAGGAATTGAGTTGATTCAGTATATTGCTTTGAGTAGAATAGACATTTTAACAATACTCATTCTTCCAATCCATGAGCATGAAATATCTTTCCATTTATTTGTGTTTTCTTCAATTTCCTTCAATGTTTTATAGATTTCAGTGTACAGATCTTTCACTTCCTTGGTTAAATATGACGCAGTAGTCCCTCTGCTGGGTATATATCCAAAGGAAATGAAATCAGGACCTTAATAGAGATATATGTACTCCCATGTATATTGCAGCATTATTCACAGTTCCCAAGATATGGAAACAACCTGTGTCCATTAATAAATAAATGGATTTAAAAATTGTGACATATATGTATATACACAAACATACACATGCACACATATACAATACAATATTATTCAGCCTTAAAAAAGGAGAATCTTTTACTTGCACTAAGATGGACGAACCAGGAGAACATTATGCTAAGTGAAATAAACCAGAAACAGAAAGATACTGTATGCTCTCATATATATGTGGAATCTAAAAAGGAAAGTTGAATACTTAGAAACTGAGAATAGAAAGGTGGTTTCCAGTGGCTGGGAGGTGAAGAAAATGGAGAGACCTAGGTCAAAGGGTAGAACTTAGCAGTAACATAAGATGAATAATTCTAAAGGTCTAATGCACTGCAAGAAGACTATAGTAAATAATATTTTATTCTATATTGAAAATGTGATAAATGTGTAGATTGTAGGTACTCTTACCAGGAAAATAAAAAGGTAGCTATTGAAGGGGATGAATAGGTTCATTTACTTACCTGCAGTAGTTATTTTATTTGTATATGTATATCAAACCTGATGCTGTATACCTTAAATATACATAATAATAAAGAAGTAGATATATAAATGATTAAGTGTTGTTTATAACACTATTTTATGAGGAGTTGCTGTCTTCATGTTTCATCCATATCTGTTTTATCTGACGGGTTGAATTCTACCCAAAAACTCAAACCATCCTGGCTATGATACTGGAGTCTGGGACAGTACTGAAAAGAATGAGTCATCTGCAGGGTTTAGCGCAAGTTAACATATCTGAGGAATATGCTAGAAACATGTTTTCTCAGATAGTCACAGGGTTTTCTAGAACCATGTTGATGGCTCTTGGCCTACTCCAGGTCTCTTGTAATGCTTCCAGGTCTATGCACATCCTAGATATTCATATGCAATGAAATACAATAACGACAGTTTTCACTTAGAGCTTCAGAGTATGAATCCTACTCTGCCATGGACTATTGGTGTGACCATAAACACGTTGCTTTACTTCCCTAAATCTGAGTTTTCTCATCTGTAAAATGAAGACAAATTACCTATGTTACAGGGATATTGCAATATTTAAATGAAAAAGTTTAATGTAACTGTTTTATAGCACCTAACACAATGTAGTCGATAAGCAATAGATATTATGTGTTTGGTCAAGTCATGGATGGTATACCCAGCATATAAACCCATGCTTTCCTGTTCATTTATATTAGTGGTAGTCAAACATTTTTAGTAGTGTCGTAATAAAAATACACTTTATATTATATACCGATGGTCTTCTATCATCTATCTAATCTCTCTTTTAACCTATTATTTATACATCTACCTATTTATCATTTACTTGTTTAACTCTTATAACTCAAGCATTAATCTATGCATGTCTTATTGTACTTTTTCCAGATTTCTAAGAGATGATACTGGCTGTTCTCAGACTCATATTTCCATGGTCCATCAGCTTAATGCCACCATTTGTAGACATATGAAAGGAGACCAGAAAACACATGAAACAATTTAGTTTGGCAACATTTATTTTGGCTTGATTCAATTGAACTGTATCTGGAGTGAAATTTGTGTTGATAACATTCATTTCAATTGAAAAGCATGCATTTTCATTTTTAATCAATTGTTACACTTAGAAAGAAAAGAGGGAAGAACACACCTCTTATATTTACAGACCATCAAAGCTTGAATAAAGTCTGTGCACTTCTAAGGTATAGATCTTTATTTGGCCAGCTGTTCCTTCTATGTGGATAGTCAGGTAATGACTCCCTAGGTTCCATCAACCTAAACACACACACACATACACCACTAATTTGCTGTCATATTAACATGACACCTGCACTATCAAATATGTCTCCAGCCATCTGGAATGCAGCATAACCAAGTCCTTGACTCAATATTTTAATTACTCCACTTTTGTGATAAGGACCGTAAAAATTAAACTCCCAAAAAAGATTTTTCTTTGAAAGTAGTACATATTTTCATTTTTAGAAACTATTTGATGTCATCACAGATGTCATGAATCATAAAAAATGCGTAAAATAAACAGGTATCTAAATAATCTTTGTGATGTTTTTCAGAAAGTCAATATTTTATATTTTCAAGACCATTCTAGGCCCTGAAATATATTTTCATTATCATGTTCTATAGTTTTTAAAAATATCACAAAACATATTCTAACCATACAGTAGATAAGCTTTGTAAGTACTCAGGAAAACATCATTTTTTGCCTCCATGCAGTGCAGATATTGATAATTTTAACATTGCAATAAAATATGATTTTTGAGGACATGAGGTATGTACAGAGGAAGAGATAGTAGGCCAAAAATTTTACAGGTTCTAGCTTATGTGTGTGTGTGTGTGTGTGTATATATATATATATATATATATATATATATATATATATATATATAAAGAGTCTCGCTCTGTCGCTTAGGCTGGTATGCAGTGGTGCAATCTCAGCTCACCATAACCTCTGCCTCCCAGGTTCAAGCAATTCTCCTGCCTCAGCCTCCCGAGTAGCTGAGATTACAGGCATGTGCCACCATGCCCTGCTAATTTTTGTATTTTTAATAGAGACAGGGTTTCACCATGCTGGCCAGGCTGGTTTCGAACTCCTGGCTTTGTGATCTGCCTGCCTTGGCCTCCCAGAATGCTGGGATTATGGGTGAGCCACTGCTCCCGGCCCTATATTTTTGTCAGCCAAGTATTCACTGAAGATATCTAGCATCTTTACAAATTAAGCAATACAAATTTCTGAAATATTCTTTTTATTTTTGTAGTACAGAACGTGCTACTTCATTTCAAAAAAGGAAAATTTAAGGGAAGCATGGATTTTTTAGGTTAAATAAGCAAAAATAATTAGCTAATGAGTTTAATTTCTTGGTCACATTACTTGGAAAAATCCCTCAAAATTATCCTAAAATATCTTGCGTTGTGTAATATACAATTTGTCCCTTTCAAAAAAGAAATATTCAAAAATATTTTTGGATTTATTTGTGTGAGCTAATGATTTTTGAGGGGCTCAGAGGGAGTACTGGTGGTAGCATAAATATCTGAAAGGACAGTAGACATGAGGGATGAATGATGTTACCATTGTAGATAAAATGCATGCTCATCACCTTCACTGCTTAATGAACTAGCAATGAATGGCATAATTTTTTTTTTTGAGATGGAGTCTTACTCTGTTGCCCAGGCTGGAGTGCAATGGCGTGATCTCGGCTCGCTGCAACTTGCGCCTCCCGGGTTCAAGTGATTCTCCTGCCTCAGCCTCCTGAGTAGCTGGGACTACAGGCCTATGCCACCATGCCCATCTAATTTTTGTATTTTTAGTAGAGACGAGGTTTCACCATGTTGGCCAGGATGTTCTCAATTTCTTGACCTCGTGGTCCACCAGCCTCAGCGTCCCAAAGTGCTGGGATTACAGGCGTGAGCCACCACGCCCGGCAGAATGGCATATATTGTAACTCTAAGTGTGACACGCTAATGTCTAGAGTAGATACATACATGCAATATAAACTGTGTGCCCCAGACAAAGAAAATACCGCGAATTACACCCACTATTTAGTTACATGCTCTTGGTGATACCACAACCGAAAAACTATGTATTTTAAAAGCTACATTCAATGAAGCACTCTTCTTTCCATCAGTTTTGTCTCAGCCAATCATCACATCCTAGCCGATATTAGAATCCCTTTTCTTTCACTAGTCAAAATGTTTTATAGATTTTTGTCATTTTATGAATTTCCTGCTTTGGGAGTAATTTTACTGTCATTTCATGAGAACTTTGAAATGTCATGAAACTTTTGGGAAGTATAGTACTAATAATTAAAATTTAACCAGAAGTATCTCTGACAGTATCATTTGAATGTGCAATTTCTTCATATAACATATGTGAAGGCAAGGGAAAAAAATTCTGTAAAATGAATAGAGTTTTGACAGCGAATACACATACTATACAGTGCATACTTATATATGTCACAGTGGCAGCTTCTATAACAGAAATACATTAGAAAATGAAATGCACAGGGACATGAAGCCATTAGGAGTGCAGACTGTCATTTTTCATGTTAACAGAATATTTTGTCAGTCTCATCCAGCAAAAAATCTGATGTATAAGACAACATTGCTAACTGATCTGTCACCCTCTGTCCTTCTTTTTTATTTTGCATATACAGCTCACAATTCTCTGATGGGCTTGCCTACTCATTTAGCCCTTCATGAAGTCCCTGAGCTGCCTTTTTCATCTGGAGTCTCCATGCACAACGGTGAAAAGTGCATCTTTTATCTCACCTGGTAGGTAAGCTTTCCCCAAATCCCAAGCAACTGTTAAAGGAATTGAGGAATGCTCTGTGAGAAGAAAATCATGAGAGCAGAAGGATGTTCTGCTCTCAAGGGAGGCCAATGAAAGAGAAATCAATCACGTGAATTAAGAGCTTTTGATGAATAAATAATTAGCATACACACTAAATTAATTAGCCAATTTCCAAGTCAGGCTTAGTATTGCATGCTAGAGCTAGCAAGCATTGCATCAGTTGAAATGTAACTGTTTGGCTTTGCTTCATAAGATTTTCAAATGCAAAATGACTGTGCCTGGTTAAAGGCTACCATTTAAGAGAATAAATGGCCAAAACCAGGTGGTTAAGCCCTCACTTCCCAATGCACAACCAAAGACTAAGGCAAGTATTTCTTTATAAACAGCTTCTGACCACTGTATTTAATAGTGTTGACATTTACATAAATGGAATGCAGTGTAGTTGCTGAACATATACTGGGATGATTCCATAATCCTGTTTTAATTAGATGGATGTTGCGAGCATACAAAAATCACAAGCTGCACTCCCTGTGGTGATGCCATACTGGCAAGGAATCAATCACCACGGCTCTGGTTGCCATAGAAACTGATAGCTCCTGCACCACCATCTAAATGGCAAATGATTGGTGGTGTACTCATAACACAGGGAGAGCAATGAGTTTTTCTATCCTGTCCAGCAGCTGTGCCAGAGAGTTAATTAAAAGCAGAGAACATGAAATAAATCTAAATCTGTGAAGAAATGAAATGTACAGTACAAATTGAATTCCCGTGTCGGACAGAAATTAATATGCAGCGCAAACCACAGAGCTGCCTGAACAAGCAGCAGCTGGGAATCTTGGGAAATGTTGCTTCTCAGGCGGTCAGAGCTGAAATGTGGAGAGGGCACCTCCTTATCTTATTACCTAAACAAGCACTTTGTTCAGCATTTGTGTTGACTGATGCATGCAAATTGCAGCCTCAGATGTTAAGAGTTCCTGTTTTCAAGCAGGAAGGACAAAGCTTAACTAAGATTTAATTAACAAACTGTTAGCAACTGCAGTTTATCAGCTGTGAACACAATGTAAGTAAATGTTTCTACTCCTGTACTAGAATACACCAGTCAACCTCCGTGAAAGTCAATGTGTTTTTATTGATAAGCCACGAATTCAGAATTCATATTTCAAATACCACAAGTCGAGGAACAAGTACCTGAAATGCTTTCTCCAGAAATAAAAGAAGCTCAACATAGAAATAAATATTTTTTTTAATTTCCATAGAATAAGCTACAACAGATCAGGCATGAAATATTTAACTAGAGAGAACCAAGTGTTTTTGGTTCATTCTATCCCCATTCTGTGATTTTGGCTTTATCATCTAGGGAATTCAGCATTCAAGCAAATTGTTGTCTGTGTGAAGCCTACCACTTTCATAGGGCAAGTAGAACAACTCAGGGGCCACAACAATGTTTCTGCGGCTTCCAAATATGCATGAGGTGTAGGAATCAGAGGAGAGGATAACACCTTAGATCATACAATTCACCCCCTCCCACTCCATCACTCCACCCCTAATTTCCATCCCTAGTAAGGAAACACTGGGTCCAAAGAGAATGAGCATGACTGACTATAGAAGAATGAAAAATTTTGGTGGGAGTTCAGAATTTATATCATAATGACATATTTTTATGCGCTTAATATTCATCTAATGAACTATTAGAACTTTTCTCCTATTAAAATGCATTTTCATCTGGCTAGCCCTCTATTTTTTATGGCAATTGAATCGCTCTTCTAAGGAGAATTTATGCAATTCCTCCAATCATCCATTTTAAGTAGTTTTCAGTGTGATAAAACAACAAGAAGGCAAATGCCAGGCTTACATATACTTGTTTATGACGATATCTCTGTATGAATCAGATTTTTATGGGTAGTTGTGAACCGCTTGATTTGAAATATCACATAGATGTCCATGACATAAGGAGTAAAATCCTGAGGTATCTTTTACAAAGACAGTTTTTTACACTTTGCAGACCATGAGTAGACTTCTAGTGACTGATAGAATTAATACTATTGTAACAGAAAAAGGCTTCAATTTGAAATAAGATAAGAGGGATGAATAAAAATGTTATTTTAGTCAAGGGAGGAGAATTTTCAATATTATTCTGAGTGTACTATTTTAGACTTTAAATACACTCAAGTTAATTATACTACACTTATTATCTCTAAGTAGAAATATTGATAATCATTAGTGGGAAAACTATTTGATGTCTTTATGGGAGTATCTGAATGCATAAAAAGAATAATTGTTTTAAAGTATATAAAATGTTCAGAAATTCTGAAATACCTCATGAATGTACAAAATAACAAATTTGTTTAGTTAATGTATGAGAGTAAACATTATCATGTTATACATATCTTTAAGTGGGCATTTCAAAATGGAAAAGTGCAGGATTTCACTGATTTTTTAATGTCTTTTGAAAACGTCCCTTTAAATTCACAGACATAAGAGATTTTGAGGTCCATGTTTATTTTCAAATATTCTATCTAATTTGAATGTATTATCTCTGGTATTAGGGTTATATAGTGCGATGTTACAGATCATGAAATTTTAATTTCTAAGATTAATAACACTGTAAATAAAATCTTGAATACACATCCTTTCTTTCCCATTCTCAGTGCAGTATGTCCCTATACACTCTGATTTGAATTCTTATTATTGGCCCTTAACTGATCTTCTTGGAGTGCCTTTTTTATCTGTTGGTAGAGGAAAGGGATTGATCTGTATAGTTTCATAAAGCTCTCTTGGTGTTTCAATAATTCTGTTGCTTTTTCTTTTACCTACTCTATACAATTGAGAAACAGGACTCGAAAAGAGTAGTTCTTAAACCTACTTATTTATCAAAGTCAACTAGAATATCTGAGAGAGAGAGAAAGAAGTGATTCCTAGGGCATGGTAAATATTGATTTAGGGTTTCTGCTTAGCAACTGAGCATTCAAAGTTGTAATAACTTTCACAAGTAAGTCAAAAGTGCAAACTCACTTTACAAAAAAAGGCAGAAATTTAGCTCCATTCACTTCTGACGTCTATTGATCTTTTGACTATTTTTATTGATGACTGTTTCATCTGCTAAGAATTATGGTGAGGCTCCATAATTTATAAAAGCAATGCTGATCCTGACATCTTTCTATTCGGGGATTTTATCCATTTTATCCAAAGCAAAAGGCCCTTTCCTCAGAAAATACACATAAACATTTATACACAAAATTTGTGAAGAACTTCCAGGGCTTTACTGACTTCCCGTACCACCACCTTTCATGAAATAATCCCCTTTTTTACACAACAGGGTATACATTTGGACTTCTAAATATTTCTTCTGATTTGTACTTTTGCAAGATGTATTTGGTTAAATGTTAGCTGCTATTATTAATATCACTGTCGTTTTTATTGATTGTACAGTTCCTTATATGAAGAACTATGTTCTATTTTTAGACATTAGGGCCAGAAAAAAACAGTTTGTTTCTCCTGAAAAATAAGGCTTATGCATTTTTAAAAGAAAAAAAGCTTAAATGCAATTATTTCATTCCCAATTTCAAGTGAAGTCCCAATACAATATATATCCCCTATTAAATTGAAGTTCAAAATCACAAGGGATGACTTACAAAATAAATTTTTGAAAAGCCTGTTTCACAACTCTTAACTCCCTCATCACATTGAGGATGTGAACAGGTTGGGAAGTTAGATGTTAAAGGATAATTCTTTTGAGAGAGTTGGTTGTAAGAAACCCTATTCCATTAGTGAGCTTTTCCCTTCATCTCGATTCAAAAAAGGAAAACTTGAAGGAGACCTCTGGGAGAAATAAACGTTTCTCTGGAAATGTGGAAGCAAAAGTCTATTGGAGTTTTACCTAGCCAAGGAAATCTCAAGGACAAGAGACTGAAAGGCTAATTCTTCTGTCATGAAACAGCAGAGAGATGGCCATGTTAATCTAGACGTTGTCAGAGCAAAATATATATGAAAGTTTACTATGGACCAGATGTAGACCACTTAGAGAGCTAGTATGGAGCTGTATTAGAGATTGACCAAGAACACCTAGAGGGGCAAAGTAACACAACTTTTTCTTGAATGGAAATATACATATACTGTCCATCACATATCTGTCCTTTACCCAGTAATGCAAAGGTTCTGAGAACTCACAAATTGTCCCACAAGAAAATCTGTCATTTTGAAACACCCATGAGAAAGAAGCACAGAACTTAATATAAAATTACAGTTTTAGTCATGTAAGAAACTCTTTGTTGTTTTTCCTTTTCTCTGGTACACCTATTTCAACTGACTTTGGAGCCAGACTCACTCCTACTGTTTGGGGGACCCAAGCAACATCCTATGTCTAAAGATTTAGCTATGAATTAAACACACACACACACACACACACACACACAACGCACACACTCTCTCTCTCTTTAAAAAAAACAATGTTCTATTCTCTTACATGACAAATATGCCTTCCTAAATATCTGCAAGGCTAGAGTTGAATTTAAAATTTTTAGATCCTTTTTAGTCCAATGCTGGAAATTAACAGCATATAGAGAGCTCACTGTTGGCCTCCTGACCCTTGGAAGAGCTTGTAGTCTGTCTGCCTTCTTTTCTTACTCCAGTTTCCTTCGGCACCACGTGATGTCCAAGTTTCATACATAGTGCCAGGAACAGCTGGCCCTTGGCCACCCATCAAGCCAAAGGTATTCACACCAACGGAGCAGCCCTATCCTTGGGAGGGCAAACCCCAGAGAGGAGCACTGTATAGAACATGGAATCAGGGCTGGCGTCACTTTGGCAAAGAATGCCAGGGTCCTAGGTATTCCAATTATAGTGGGGTTAGAAGACAGTTCTGAAAAGGTGTATTTTTCCTTGATCTGCATGATTTCTCTGTCCCATATGACAGAGCAGGACAAGAAGACAGCCAACAGAAGCCTCTCCAAAGCATGGGGTCAAGGGTAAGAGCTCTCATACCTGAGTCTAAGGGTAACACAGTCTGGAAGAATCAGTGACCATTACTAGCATGATTGAGAAGAGAAAAAAACAGCATTCAGGTGAAGAAAGAGAGCAGAAGGCAACTGTGACCTCTTTCTCACTGCAAGGGGTTAGCCTATGGTTTGTGCAGACTGGTGAGGGGCATAGGTATAAGTTTAAGAAAGTTTAACATATTAACTCCTTTAGGCATTTAAATTATGAGATTAGACACTTAAATTACTGACTGGAGGACCTTTTATCACCTAGTAGTGTTTCAAAATTAATGAGACATGTCCTAATTTCCATTCAGGGGAAGGGAAATGATTTTCCTCACAGAAAAAAAAAACAAAACGAAACAACATATTGCTTATAAGTAAACCTGCAAGTTCTGTTTATTTAATACATTTACTACAACTTTATTTCTATAAACAATAACAAGTTTTTAGCTAATAATAGCTTTCTTTGTTTTGCTTTGTGGGACTCTCAGAGCCAATTATATGTATTAGTTTATTTACTATATTGGATCTTACAGACTGCATTCCTGCATATTACCCTTTTCTCTGGTCTTATCTCATATTTTCTTCTATGTTGTCCTAATTCTAAAGTTGTTAGTGTTTCTATTTTTTTGTAGTTCATCTGTTTTATAAAAACATATGGACTATGTATGAAGTATAATATATATACACATATAATTGTGTGGTATATTCTGAATTGGCTACAAAATACTGATCGAAAAGGAGAGAAAAGTAAGATCAGAATACACTGGTACTAGGATAATTTGAAAGCCCCCAGTATAAAGAATAATGGGAAATTCAGGCTTGATTATTCAGATGATACCATGTAAACATCCCTCCCCACTTCATTAGTAAGTTGGATGTGATAGGTAAAGTATAAATTATAGTCAGCATATTTATTTATTTAGCATATATTTGTTGAGCACCTATTCTGTGTCAGTCCCCGTGTGTTTAGACAAAATAGACTTGGTTTTTCCACTAATGGATGGGAAGGAGAGTGGCAGTGCAGCTTCCCAAGCTTATGGCTCCATGCTTAGGACTCTGCACTTGGTTTAATGCTCTCCTATTGACATCTTGAAATTCTTAACCATTTTTGAACAAAGGTGTCCACATTTTCATTTTGTGCTGTTCCCCACAACTTATGTAGCTAGTTCTGAATAGTGGATTGTATAATCTAAATCTTTGTCTATTCACAGATTTACCAAACACTGTCGCGCCTCTTCTGGATCTGGCATTCAAATTTTTTTTTTTTTTTTTTTTTTTTTTTGTTTTTTTTTTTTTTGAGACGGAGTCTCGCTGTCGCCCAGGCTGGAGTGCAGTGGCGCAATCTCGGCTCACTGCAGGCTCCGCCCCCTGGGGTTCACGCCATTCTCCTGCCTCAGCCTCCCGAGTAGCTGGGACTACAGGCGCCCGCTACCACGCCCGGCTAATTTTTTGTATTTTTAGTAGAGACGGGGTTTCACCGTGTTAGCCAGGATGGTCTCGATCTCCTGACCTCGTGATCCGCCCGCCTCGGCCTCCCAAAGTGCTGGGATTACAGGCGTGAGCCACCGCGCCCGGCCGGCATTCAAATTTTTTATGCCTGTGAATGGATTTAGATTTCTTTGTCAGGACACAGTGCTGGCACATTATGTTATCCCTATCAGAAACAAAAAAGAACAGTTTGAAAATGTATACAAATCCTCTCCTGTGTCAGCAAGACATCAGAGTGACTTATTTAAATGATTAGTTTGTAATGTGCTTCTGTTTTAGGAAAACAAGGTCTGTGGGTAAAGGAATTGTACAAATTGAATAAATTGGGAAGTCTCTTCCTAGTAATCTGCAGAGATGGTACTATGTATTGTTTTTGTTATCGTTTCTTGATTTCTGTGGGGTAGTGCTCTCTCGCTATATCCTTAAGCACAGAAACTTGAAACCTTAGGGGATATGAAAATCTCCTTTACATTTCTCTGCCTTTCAGTTCTAAATAATTTGTCCTAGGCACACATAGATGTTAGTCTTGTTACTTCTCTACGTATTCATTCCTTCCTTGCTGTACCTGACATTTATCTTTGCATCCTCAATACTGACTGCAGGCAGGACCTGTAACCTGGAAATTATTTATCCAGTGATTGAAATAACCTTCCATGTTCAGGCACTCAGAAAAGTGCTTTACATATGCTATTTTGTGGAATTAGGAATTATTTATTTCAGCCCATTCATAAGCTTTTATAAAATTCAGAAAGCTGTATTTCATCCATGTAATACTATTTAATATCTGCAATGGGTGTGTTCTTAGAGATGCAGTTCTAGTATATCAAGACCCTTTAGGTACTTCAGGAACTGCCCTCTCTAGTATGGGGTTTGAGACATTTACCTTAGACAGCTGCAGCAATTACTAATTATGGGTCTTTTAAACATTATAGTGTCTGTTTACCAAGTATGAGTGAGATATCTGAGATATAATATTGTTGTCACTGACTATGCCATTATTCTCACAATTTTAGTCCTGAATGGACTATATTTAGCCCATTCATTTAGTCCAACTAAAATAGTCCCAGAAGCTAGATGATATGGTTTGGCTGTGTCCCCGCCCAAATCTCATCTTGAATTTTAGCTCCCACAATCCTCACATGTCATGGGAGGGACCCAGTAGGAGATACATGAATCATGGGGATGGGTCTTTCCTGTGCTTTTCTCATGATAGTGAATAAATCTCATGACATCTGATGGTTTTATAAAGGGCAGTTCCCCTGCAGACAATCTCTTGCCTGCCACCACATAAGACATGCCTTTGCTCCTCCACCGTCACCCATGATTGTGAGACCTCCCCAGCCATGTGGAACTGTGGGTCCATTAAACCTCTTTTCCTTTATAGATTACCAAGTCGCAGGTACGTGTTTATTAGCAGCGTGAGAACAAACTAATATAGTAAATTGGTACCAGGAGTGGGGTGCTACTGTAAGGATACCTGAAAATGTGGAAGCAACTTTGGAACTGAGTAAGAGGCAGAGGTTGGAACTGTTTGGAGAGTGCTGAGGAAGACAGGAATATGTGGAAAAGTTTGTAACTTCCTAGAGACTTGTTGAATGGTTTTGACCAAAATGCTGATAGTGATAGTTACCAAAATGCTGACAATAAAGTCCAGGCTGAGGTGGTCTCAGATGGTGATGAGAAACTTATAGGGAACTGGATCAAAGGTGATTCTTGCTATACTTTAGCAAAGAGACTGGCAGCATTTTGCCCTGGCACAAGAGATCTATGGAACTTTGAACTTGAGAGAGATTATTTAGGATATCTGGTGGAAGAAATTTCTCAGCAGCAAAGCATTCAAGAGGTGACCTACATGCTCTTAAAAGCATTCAGTTTTATTCATTCACAAAGATATGGTTTGGAATTGAAACTTATGTTTAAAAGGGGAGCAGAGCATAAAAGTTCAGAAAATGTGCAACCTGAACGATGCAATAAAAAAGAAAAACCATTTTCTGAGGAGAAATTCAAGCGGGCTGCGGAAATTTGCATAAGTAACAAGGAGTCAAATGTTAATCACCAAGAAAATGAGGAAAATGTCTCCATGGCAGCCCCTTCCGTTACAAGCCAGGAGGCCTAGAAGGAAAAAGTAGTTTCATGGACTGGGTCCAGGGCCCTGCTGTTGTGTGCAGCCTAGGGACTTGGTGCCCTGTGTCCCAGCCACTCCAGCTTTGGGTACAGCTCAGGACGTTGCTTCAGACGATACAAGCCCCAAACCTTGGCAGCTTCCATATGATGCTGAGCCTGCGGGTGCACAGAAGTCAAGAATGGAAGTGTGGGAAGCTCCACCTAGATTTCAGAGGATGTATGGAAACACCTGGATTCTCAGGAGGAAGTTTGCTGCAGGGGTGGAGCCCTCATGGAGAACCTCTACTAGGGCAGTTAGGAAGGGAAATGTGAAGTCAGAGCCCCCACACAAAATCCATACTGGGCACTGCCTAGTGGAGCTGCGAGAAAAGGGCCACCATCCTCCAGACCCCAGAATGGTAGATCCACCGTAGCTTGCACCATGTGCCTGGAAAAGCTGCAGACACCCAACAGCATCCCATGAAAGTAGCCAGGAGGGAGGCAGTAACCAGCAAAGCCACAGGGCCAGAGCTGCTCAAGACCATGGGAACCCAACTCCTGCATCAGTGTGACCAAGATGCAAGGCATGGAGTCAAAGGAGATCATTTTGGAGTTTTAAGATTTGACTGCCTTGCTGTATTTTCGACTTGCATGGAGCTTTTTGCCCCTTTGTTTTGGCCAATTTCTACCATTTGGAATGGCTGTATATACCCAATGCCTGTACCGCCATTGTGTCTAGGAAGTAACTAACTTGCTTTTGATTTTACATGCTCATAGGCGGAAGGGACTAGCCTTGTCTCAGATAAGATGTTGGACTGTGGACTTTTGAGTTAATGCTAAAATGAATTAAGACTTTGGGAGACTGTTGCGAAGCCACAATTGATTTTGAAATGTGAGGACATGATATTTGGGAGGGGCCGGGGTGGAATGATATGGTTTGGCTGTGTACCCACTCAAATCTCATCTTGAATTGTAACTTTCACAATTCCCATGTGTTTTGAGTCATGGGAGAAACCCAATGGGAGGTGACTGAATTATGGGGGTGGGTCTTTCTTGTGCTATTTTCGTGATAGTGAATGTGCCTCATGAGACCTGATGGTTTTAAAAACAGGAGTTTCCCTGCACAAGCTCTTTCTCTGCCTGCTGCCATCCAAGTTAAGAGGTTACTTGTTTCTCCTTGCCTTCCACCATGCTTATGAGGCCTCCCCAGCCACGAAAAACTATAAGTCCATTAAACATCTTTCTTTTGTAAATTGCCCAGTCTCAGGTATGTCTTTATCAGCAGCGTGAAATGGACAAATACACCATTAAACCTCTTTTCCTTTACAAATTACCCGGTCTCGGGTATGTCTTTATTAATAGCATGAGAATGGACTAATACGCTAGTCTTTATAGACTCTTCATAATCTTTTTGTTTCAAATTAGACCTGTTTCTGGCTTTGTTATTGACAAGGAGATGTAATATTTAATCACACTAATTTTATTATTGTTCCTATTATTCTATTCTTTTTTTTTAATATTCTCCAAAGTGCATTGTTATTTTCTATAATTATTTTACAATTGCTATTTGAGTAAGTTTTATACAAAACTTTCAAACTCTTTCACATAATTGTTTGTTTATTTATTTTTCGCAACTGTAGTCCAGTACATAGAAAAGATACTGGTACGTGTTAGGTGTTAAATAAGTATTTGTTAAATGACCAAAAGAAGAATAAGTGATTGAATGAGTTGACAACAACCTAGGACATTCTGAAGTAGGGTGTGAAATAAGCACAAAACTGCTGCTACCATACAAAACTGAAAATTTTAAAAGCATTCATTCCTGAATGACTCTTAAATTCTCCAGCTCCCTAATGAAAGAAGGTACTCAATAAAACACAGGGCAATGCATACGAAAAAGGACTCTGCATTTGTTGGGAAATATTGATCTTAAGCTAAATATGATTTATCAATATGCTGTTGTTGTAAGAACAAATGCTGGCACAATCTAGGAACTTCCTAAAGCATAGTATTCCAAAAAACAATAAGGGTATCACCATGTTTCTCTTCATTATTTCAAGAATGTCTCATGGCAGTAGATGTTAGACCTTGATAAATGGAAATCCATTCTGAGGATAGGAGAGTGATAAGACAGTAAGAGATATGTGAAAAGATATTTCATCTGGAAATTGTCTTCATAAAACCCCATATACTTTGACCGTGTAATTCCAAAAGAAGTCCAAAGGAAATAAAACAAGATTCAGGCAAAATTCAGGCATATCATTGTACATAGGCTTAATCATGTTTTGATGATCAAAACAACATAAATAGACAATAATAGGGAGAGTATTCAGTAAACTAGGATGAGGTGCAACCACTAAGAGCAATGTTTTACAAAGTTTTACAGACTTCGGTGAAAAGTTATCTAGTTACAAACTGTTATTAACAATATACGTTTCAATACATGTATCTCTTCCTTCTTCCATATAACAGAAAGAAATACACCAAAAGTATTACCAATAGTAGATATTAATTTCCTTTCTTTTTCTTATGTTTCCACTATAATGCTGTTTTCTTTTGTTCTTATAATTAGGAAAATAAAGCTTTTGTATAAGTATATAATTTATATGTTTTCTCCCTCCCTTGGTGGCAAACCTAAAACTTATAACTTATTTTCTGACAAAGAAAAAGAAAGACATGCTTGGGGATAAAACACTATGTACCAGTTTTTGTTTTCTACTTTCTGTGATTCCTAAATAATATTGTTGATTTGAACTTGTCTCCTTTCAACAATTATTTAATTCCACTTACTTAAAACATGAAGAAAGACTGAGGCCAAAATCGGATAATATAAGATTGAAGAAAAAATGTCAAGAAGTAAGTGGAGTGAGAAAAATAAAAAGCCTGTAAGTCTTATTAGGCAAATTGCAGCTGTTGAATCAAAATGCCAGTGTAAGCTTCCTGATAGCATATACGAAAAAGACAACATATTATTCTAATTAATTAACCGTGGGAAAATTATTAGCTTATTAGGAAAGACTGGACATAAGCTTTGTCACATTTTTACATTAATTAATTTATTCATGTATTTAACAAAAGTTCATTGACCATATACTGCGTATAAGGAATTAAACTAGTGGCTTAGGCAGAGGGAATAAAAAGTATAGAGAATGTAATTGCAAGTAAAGGTCAGGTTACTGTGGATGAAGAGCTTTCCAGCGTGACAAGTCTCATCAACTTTGAGGTGCTACCCTTTATTGCTAATGATGTGCATCTTCATAAGGCTTGTGTTGTTATAAGGTTGTTGAAGGTTGCTTGATATATGCTCCTTGATTATGAAGCTACTATTGACCATCCTAGTTATTATAAAGACAGCTTGTTTAGTGTCTGCCTTACCCACTTCCCAATTTTCTGCCTGCTGTCTCCAGACAATCTAAAGTCTATGAAGTTAGGAGTTCTAAATTTGTTCATGTCCATTCCCTAGAGTATAGAATGGCACCTTATTCCACACTAAGTGCTCAGTAAGTATTCCTTTGATATTGATGAATTGATTGAATGGATGACTACAATCTTCTAAGGCTCAGATTTTAGCATGATGACTTTAATTTAGGGTGATAACTACGGTTTTCTTTTAATCACAATGATTTCAAAAAATAAAATAAAATATTAAATAACATTGATTTCTTGAAACACACTTGGGTGGATACTAATGTGTAGAGAGATTTAGGGGATTCTTTTTCATTGGCTGCTCAAATTTAAAATTTGTGTAGGTCATCAATGTATCTGTTAGTACACATTTAAAAGCAGCTTTGTGTGTTTTCATAAGAAACCCTCTGTTACAAAATCTTTTTTATTATAATCTGCAGACTGAATTCTCCTTTGATCCCCATAGTCTCTAGATCTATAAAAACGATATACAAGTTTCAAGACATTAGCATAAAAGGTAAAAGATATTGTAGCTCAGTATGCATTTGTAGTTTGCAAACATTTTCTTGGCATAGGAGCTCTTTATCAAAAGAGTTCCCATGGGAAACTCCCTTACCTGCTTTAAGAGCATCTCTCATTAAAAAGGTATAAGGACAGGATAGTAACCTCTCATCCCTTACTCACATCTCCTTTTTTTCCTTCCTCTTCCTTCTCTCACACCATTTGGTAGCCCCTAATGTGGAAACTCATGCCTTCTAAAAGTTAGAAAAACAGTGTAGAGTGTAAGTTTTTATACTTCATATGAAGTGTTTCTTCTGAGAAGATTTCACCAGTATGTCTGGCGACGTCATCATCATCATGTTAAAAATCTATCCCATGAGAACACAGCAGGTTCTAACTCAGCTACTGTTACATATAGATATATGAGGAAAACTAATTTCAGATTTTAAAGAGAAACAGTTTGATTCAGCACATTAAGCAACTGGATGGCAATTCACGGACTCAGGGTTTTCAAGGTGTCCTTTGGCTGATGTGTTTGACACTGGGAAAGTCACTGCTTCTCTTTACCTCGGGTTACTCATCAATAAAGTAGCGTAGCACATGATTATGCTGACTCAGCTCATTCTCACAGAATGTTGATTCACTAGCAATGATACTGCACTATTCTATTTAAGTAACCAATAAAAATAGGAAGGGGTAAAATTAGTCACATTTGTAGCTAAATAAGAATTTGAAGGAAGCTTATATGCTTCAGGGCTTCATATATATATATATATATATATATATAAAAATTGGTGAATTTAGGTAAGATTTGACAATGAAAATAAAAATAAATTTCAGTTGAGATGTGCAAGGTAGCTCTAAGTAATTTTAATTTTAGTGCAAATTGGAGAGAATGCCAGCGTTCAAGTTTCTGGGGGAAGGTGTGAGCAGCAGTTGGGATATATGCCATAATTCTATCAAGATGAGTATCCACTGCTTTCAGGACCTTTACCAGTAAAAGGATGTTTTTAATTTGTTGAAAATTAAAAAAAGAAATCTAGCTGGTTCTGGCTACTAGAATATGAAATTAATAGAAAAATGTTTATCTTTGTAAATCTGACGTTAGGATATTGCTTCTGATTATTAGTAAATTGAATACCTTAATTCTCTGCTTGAGTATGAATAGCTATTCCAGCTAACAGAAAATAATAAAAATAATAATTTTTTAAAATCTTAGTAACTAAAATGGTCATTCTTTATGTCTTTTTCAAGGTAATCATATCATATGCCCTAGGTGACAGTTCTGTGCCTTGTTCTTAATCATGTGTGAAGCAATCTTAGATTAATCACTGAATTTTCTTAGAGAACTTGAACTTCATGGAAGGTCACTTCCTTTAGTTCAGAATGTTTTCTTACATTTTGATCAGTTTGCATTTTATCAATTCTCCTTCATCATGGTTCAAATCATTTTATCAATGATCTTGCCAGAGAGATGAGTCAGCCATATTTGGGAAGTTAATTAAATTGGAGGCCACAGGGGCACCATTTGCTCAGCTGAAGTACTATTCACACAGGCCCAAGGAACTAATGTGCTTCCTAAATTGCTCACAAAATAGTTTATTCACCCAGAAAACTCTCTCCATGAAACCCATTAATCCCTTTAACATACTTGCAGAGCAAGTATATTAAAAAGATTTGAATCCTGATCCACTGGACAAATTACAGGTTATTCAAGAGAACATTTTATTACATTAAGGGCTAGGTTTGGAAAGATATTGATTGGGAGGGGAAAATAGAAAGATCTTGAAAGCAGGAGAGCTGGATTGAAGTCTTAACCTAGGTCAACTTCAGGCTATACATTGACTATTATGTGCTAGGACAAGAATATAAAGGTGCCAAGACAGAGTCCTTGCCTCAAAGTACTCCACAAACAGGTGGGAAAGACATTTTAACCTTGGACAAGTAGATGGATCTCCTTCTTCATAAAATGGAGAGAATGATATATGCTTCTGAGTTACTATAGTCTATTCATAAAGAATTGAAAGTGCTAGCTAGCATCAGGTAGTTCTGAACTTGAATCCAGATTCTACACACATCTTGGTTCAGTATGATCATAAGCAAGTTACATAACTCGTCTAAGCTTGAGTTCTTCTGTCTTAAAAATTAGTTATAGCATTACTTAGCTGCAATGATTATTGTATAGCTCTGATGTGCTAATACACAAAGTGCTTAACTCTTTTCCCAGAACACTTAGGAAGGTATCTCATCATTCACCCAGAAAATTACACACATGCACTGATTACACACACACACACACACTCACACATATGTATATAAGGATACACATGCACATTTAAACCTGTAAGTCATGGAGAACTACTCAAACTACCAGTGGGAATTACATGAAACACTTATAAAAAACACCTTGAAAGAAAATTTTATGCAGAATGAAACTTTCAGAATATAGACAAAAAGAGCTATGCTATTTAAAATGGACATCAGTTAATTCAATTATGTACTTCAGTTATTTCTAAAGCCTTATGCGTTGGGAGAGAAAGCAAAGATCACTTTGCTCTATTAAGTTTCACACACAAGCTCTAATCTTTTACAAGTTAAGACAATTACAGTTATTTTCCTCTATGAGACAACAGAACTTCTGTTAATGGACCAATAAAGGGCACTATTCTGACATACAAATGAAATGAAAATAGTTCTCATGCCAAATAAGCCCTGTGTTCCTTAGTGAACCCTAATTTCCACTTCCTGGTGTTCACGTCTTTATCTACTTTCCTCTGCTTGACTGGCAATAGAATAGAATATGACAAAGGTTAAAGGATTTTGCAGTTATAGTTAAGGCTCTAAATCACTTGATTTTGAATTAATCAAAAGGGAGATTACCTTAGGTAGGCGTGAACTAATCAGCTGAAAGTTCTCCAAAGTGGAGCCAGGCTTCCACTGAAGTAAGCGACTCTCTCTATTACTGAGTTTGGAGAAGTAACCTGTCATGTTGTGGGCGGGTCTGTGGAAGAGCCATGTGACAAGGAACTGCAGATGGCCTCTAGGAGCTTAGAGCAGTCTGGCCAACAGCCAGGAAAAAAAAAAAAAATCTTAAAAAAGGACCCTCTGTCCTACAACCACAAGGAGGTAAATTCTCCAACAACTAAAGTGAGGTTGGAAACAGATCTCTTCACAGTTAAGCCCTGATGAAACGGCAACCCTAGAAAACACCTAGCTTGCAATATGGCAAGACCCTGGAGCAGAGAACTGAGGTAAACTGCACCTGGACTTCTGAACTACAGAAACTGAAGTTGTAAGCCACTGAGATTGTGGCTTTTTTTTTAATACAACATAGAAAACAAACATACTCCTCTTGACAGAAATGTTTTTAATTTAGAGTACAGAAAGATAAAACACAATAATAAGTAATGGTATTTTTTTATGTACCAAAAATGGTATTGTTTTATAAACATTTGCTCCCTAGTGGGAGTCTTTGCAGTATAAGACACAAGATACACTGGGATGGGAGTCACCTCTCTGAAATTTCCTGGGCAAAGGAATTATCCACTTGAGATATAAGTCAATGGAGTAGCCAGGTGTTTCCTATTTACTATACCCACTAACTGTATTGGCTGAAAGGGTTGGCACTAATTTTGGAGAAAGTGTTCTTTACTGACTAGTTCAATGTTGAAGAAGAAAATTGTTATTAATTTCTCCTTCAGTAACAAAAGAGGGCAGAAAGAGAATTTTAATTACATATGGAAATGTATAGTAAAAATTATGTTTCAAGGACATGACTACAAAAGAAAAAATAAGTCTATGAGCATTGTATGTAGGTACTTTGGAATGAGAGATAGGATAGAAATTCCTTTACAGTAGATAGAAATGCAGTTGGAGTTGGCCCTAAGAAAAGGAAGTAAAATGATTTCTGTAGGTCGATGGGAAGGACGAAAGAGGCACAGTTAGAGTGTCAGATAAATCCAGGGACCTAACTGCCAAGACACCACATTGGATCATTTTTAAATCTGTAGGACATAGGGAAATACTACTGCTTCTCTTGCAGTTGATATGTGGAAAATTTAACTGTTTACATAAAGCATAGGCCCATGATAGATTAGAGCTGAAAGAGAGTTTTAGGGTCCTTGAGTCTAATTCTTTCTTTTGCTAGTTTTTTGAGAAAACTAAGGGAAAGAGCTGGTAAATGATTTCCGTATTGTCATTCAGCAAGTTATCATTAGAGCTGAGAGTGGAAAAAAAGTACTCTAGATTCCTGATTCAATAGTCTTTTTGTTTAAAGCTTACTAAACAGATGTAAAGTGGTAAATAGGGATAGATAAATAGATAATCAATGTATATCAACAATATATTATATATAGCTATATATATTTAATATTTTATATATAGGTATATATAAATATATATATACACACACATAACTTAAAAAGTAGATTAAACATGATCTAGTAAAACAGTCCAATGCTCCAGTTTTATAGATTGGGAAAACTGAGAGCCTAAGGGGTCACTTGTTATAGCTCCTATCCCCAAACTTACAAAACAAAGAGTTTTACAGAATGAGTCAAATATAATTTGTTTGGGCTACTATTTCATTTTACCATTTTATCCCTATTAGTATTTATCACCATACATTCAAAGGAATTCATACATGTAGACACATCTGAGGTGTTCCTGATTTCTCCTGTTCGACCTGTGGTAAAACTCCTGTGGCACTATAGCACCTTTAGCTTATCAGTCTTCTTTCCCTCACCTCATAGATCAGAACTTATCAGCCCCCATCCTGGTCCTTCTGAATCTTTTGTCAAGTCATTGCTTTCCAATCTCTGATAAAGTGTTGAAAGGTTACCATTATGCCTCTCAGAGATACACACAGTCATGTGCCACCTAACTATGTTTCAGTCAGTGAGGGACCATATGTATGATGGTGGTATCATAAAATTACAATACTCTATTTTTTTTTTTACCGTACCTGTTCTATATTTAGATATGTTTAGATACATACATACTTACTGTTGTGTTACAATTGCCTGCAATATTCAGTATAATAACATGCTATACAGGTTTGCAGCCTTGGAGCAAATAGGCTATACCATATAGCCTTAGTGTCCTTATATCATGTCCCCAACATGTAGCCTATGATGTCCCCACAATGATAAATTTACCTAATAACACACTTTTCAGAATGTATATGTGTTGTTAAGAGACATGTGACTCTACATTTTAAAAGTAATCAAGAACATGCCAAGTCTCAATCCCCTGAAATAATGTCCAACATTAGAAATTTTACACTGATGGGAAAGTGTTTCTGGAGAATGTATTAGAAGTCTTGGACAATGCCATAAAACCACTTAATATTTTAGATAGCTCTAGCTGCTGGGAATCTACTTCAAAAGATAAACCAGAAGTAAACTAAGTAGATGGCAGTAAAATCTTTTTTTAAAAAAAATCCAATGCCTTATATGTCAGAGGTGGAAATACTTTTCGGATCTTTCTGTTTTTAACGTAGAACCTAAACTAAATCTAAAGCGTCTAGCCTGAAAATAAAAAATCCCAGGATACATGTTGTTTAAACTGTTTTGTTGGTCCCCCACTATTTTTAATGATATTTTTCCTTACCTGAACAACCCAGAGGTTGAGCAAATGCAACCCAAAGCCTGTGGTTCTTTTTAAACTCAGTTCGATTCTCACCTCTCTTCCTCTGCTTCTTCCCGCCCCCCACTCAGTTGCCATGTTCAACAACACTTCAAAGGTGTGGCTGGCTTCATTTCTGGGCTTAGATTCTGTTTAAAGAAGAAGCTAAATTGGAATCAGTTTATCACCCTTGGCTAGAATTTTTAACAAAATTTAAAACCGTAGAAGACCCCCAGTTACATCTAAAATGATGCTGAGTGTATCAGCTGGGTAGTTAATCTTCAAAGCAAGCGATAGCCCTGGATAAATCTCACTGTCACTGCTAACATTGCATCTTGAGCCTTCAGACACATGGCTTCATGGATACCAAGGGCACTTTCAGTATTTTTATTTTTTCTTAAAAAAGAAGAAATTAGTGAAGTGTGTTTTTAACATATTTTTCTTTACATGATGGTGCTTTCATTAAAATGAAAGCAAATGAGAAATAAGTGCGGGAAGATAGGCAAACACAAAAGAAAAATCCTAAGATTAATTTTCTCTATTGTATTTGAAATCAGGTCAGCAGAGTTAGATCTGACAGCATAAACACTAACCATCAAATAATGTTATAGGGTAGAGAAAGCACAAACAACTACAGAGCTTCTTCACTTAATTGGCAGTGCTGTGAAGAATGCAGTCGGTTGAAAGCAGAACCATTGTCTTGAAAAAGTAGAAGTTCTTATCTGTATCTTATGTTTATCATATCAAGATTTTTCTAGCACATATATTTAACAACGCCTTTATAGAACCTATGAACAGAGGCTGGACTGCAGTGTTTTGTCCTCTGTAAAGGTCATGGTATGTTTTAAAGAACTTTTCACTTGAAATGAACGTTGAATGATGGACAGGTGTTCTCCATAAGAAATGAAATACTCCTAGCAAAGATGATAACATGAACAAAGTCAAAATGGGATAAAATAGTCTGGCATATTTGCGGAACTACACGCATTTCAGAGTGGCTGCTGTGTAGGAAAGGGGCAGAGGTAACCCACGAAGAGATGAGGCTAAGGTGCAGGGAGAAAGATCTTATTACTCAGTTTAGACTGACTGGCTGATTGTGAGGAGTTACTACAGGTGAGGGCAGGATACAGAAAAGGGAGATCCAAGGATCATGAGGACATTTTAGGAGTGCAGTAGGCCAGAAGGATATGCACTTGGTGTCCACTAGGAGGATAGTGGACAGGGATGTCAATACTACTTAGGGATACGAGAAAGTAAAACAAACAGTGAAGTCCTGAATAGGTGACAAACACCATTTTATGAAATTGAATTTGAAAACGTAAAAATTGTACTAGGGTGATTTATTTATTTGGAGCCTAATACATGGAAAATGAGAAGGTTCCTCCAATATGTACTTCATAGACAGCATGGTTCAGTGGAAAGCCATGGCTTTTGAGGCCTGAAGACCTACATTGATATTTTATCTGCATCTCTGTATCTGTGGGAACTTGAGAAGCTACTTAACCTCTCCAAGCATTGGTTTTCACATATATAAAATGAATAATAATAATACTTATTCTATAAAATATTGTGAATTTTTATTTTTTTTTAGAGACTAGGTCTAACTTTGTTGCCCAGGCCAGAGTGCAGTGGCATGATGAAAGCTTACTACAACCTCGAACTCCTGAGCTCAAGTGATCCTCCTGCCTCAGCCTCCAGAGTAGAAAATATTGTTAATTTTAATTAAATTTATGTATAATATCTGGTACAATCTGTGGCACATATCATATGTAAAATAGATGTTAATTTTCTTTCGTGTAGAAAATCTACTTGAGATACTTTTGCATTCTGCATAATTTAAAAAAGGGTTTTGCGGTAAAATAATATCTGACATGATGGGGAGAAACATATAAACACCACAAGAGAAAAAGGAGCCAGGGACTGCATTAATGGTAAAGCCAATTATGGCACAGCAGGAGAGAATTTTGTAGCATTATTCCCTAGGACATATGAGACAATGATGATTGAAGGAGCTATTTCCTTGATAATTAGGGCCTATGGTCCTTCTAGGCTAGTACATAAAAAATGTTTTTTATTAGTTTCTCCTCCTATCTTTATGACATGTTACTATTTGATAAAAATTGTCTGCTTAATCTAGTTACGAACAATTTCAACCACCAAGATGCTGTACTGAAATGCTTTGTAACACATTTTGCAGAGCTCAATCTGCAGTTAGTAACTAACAGCTTTATTTCAATGTCATTCAATTAAATCTAGCCCTCATTACTTGTGCTCCTACTGTGTATCCAATGCTATGCTAGCGCTGTCAATAAATGTCTACAATATATCCCATTCCCTCAAAGATCTCATATTTTGGTAGCTTATTCCTATTCACGTGAATTTTTTTCATTATGGACCAATGGGATATATAACTTTACATACCACCGTGGATCATACCAGGGCAAAGGAACACTTGGTAAAGTTGGATGGAGTGTCCTACTACTTCACATCACTTTTACAAACTGGTCAATGTCCTTTTCTACTGAAATTTTATCTTGTCTCAATATATGAGTGTCAAAAACAAGATAGAATGTCAACTTCCAGAATCACTTATTTTCAGTTTAAAAAAATTAGTTTACTTGGCCCCAAACAGCCTAGTTTCAAGAAAACCTTCTTCTAGCTATATACTCTAGTCTTCAAAAGCCAGAATTATTTCTTGTACTTTCTCAGAACAGGGCTAGACTTCCCAAGGTAGCTTGCAAACTTAGCTCAGTAATGCTTCTTTAAGTCTAGTGGGTAAAGTGAGAAACCCTTTCTTCTACCTCTAAATGTCTGTTTCTCCTCCTGGAAAATATCCTTGACTTCTTATTTTTACCCTCTCATTTCCCACATCCAAATCAATGTCTAATGATGCTAATTTCTAAATATTTATTGAATCTACATGCCTTCTCTCTGTATTCTCCCTGACTATATCAGACTCTTACTTATCACCCTAACCAACTTTTCTTCCCTCTGTCCTGATCTATTGGCAAAGTGAGCATTCAAACAAGGAACTCTGACGAGGAGCTCATTTGTTAAAAGGCTTCAAGTTTCTTTGTTTAGAATAAAATGTCTTCTATAAAATGACCCCTGCCCACATCTCTGGCCTTTCTTCATGGCACTTCTTGGCTTCATTATTTTAATCGGTGTACTGAAAAACTGCACGCCCCAAGCCATTTTACTCCATTCTATCTGTGCTTACTCTGAAAAACCTGCTTGAGATACTGTCTTCCTGTCTTCTGCTTTTTCACTTTAAGACCTTCTACTCATATTTCAAGAATAAGTTCACGTGTCATTTCTTCCAGGAAGCGTTCTCTGATAACCTTCCTTCGGGCGGGGTAACATCCTATTTCTCTGGGCTTAAATAATTCTCTGTGTATCCTTTTATAACAGTACTTATTAATGAAGTTACCTGTACAGATTCTGAGCTCCTTTAAGTAAAATACCATATGTCCTTAGTCTTTCTGTCATAACTGTCTTCTTCTATCATGCTTGAAACACAATCATCAATAAATATTTCAGGAAACATACCAATTTTCCCTTGTTTTCCAAAATAAGTAAGATATGCCTACCATGGTTGCTATTTTCCTATGAAAGCTGCTCGTCTCCACTCAATTTTACCATATAAAGTTGACAACTCTAACCCTGCCGGATACACATGATGTTTTATGAGACCTGGTGTTAGCTCTTCCAGCTGCGCAGATTTGGTCACTTATAAATATTCTGTATTTTCTTGTCCTTAATTACTTTTATAATTTATTAGGGAATTTAACTCCAGAGTTATCAGGTTTCTTTGAGAGCCTGTGGAGACAGACTTAGCAAAAGCCATTCAGGATCTAAGTTAATTAGAGTTTGTGTCTTAATTACAAACATGCTATGTATTTTATTAACTCCTTCCAATAATCTTAACCATATGGAAAAAGTAAAATTTTCTTTTATAATAATTATACTAATGTGATCTTGCTAAATTTATCTACTCTGGCCTCTGATGGCTAAAATCTTTGTTTCAAAATCCTAAGGAACCTGATGTTAACTGCTTTGCTATTGATTTACCTCTCTTGAAATTGTTGCTCTACGTGAACTTAAGTGTAAACACATATGAACAAATTCATAGTATAAAACTTTCTTAATTTCAACTGCACATCAGCTCTCTAAGCTCAATGTATCCTATACCAATTACTTATTAAATCCCTGGCATACCTTTTGTGGAGTAAAGAAGGATAGGGAGTACCAATAAATATTGTCTAATAGGTTTTAGTTTTTGTACACAATGATTTTGAACATCAAAGTGTAAAGGAAGCTTCATTTGAAATGCAATAGCATGGCTTCTCCAACAACTTAATCAAAAAATATTAAGAAAATTGATACTTGTGGATAGATCTCGTGGGGAATTCCTTGAATGAGGGAAGAAGTGAATGGACCTTAATTTAAGAGTGAGCTTAGAGGAGGACATGTGGGAGAACTATCCCCATACTGCTTTTTTTCTTTCTTTTTTTTTTTTTTTTTTTTTTTTTTTGAGATGGAGTCTCGCTCTGTTGCCAAGGCTAGAGTGCAGTGGGACCATCTTAGCTCGTTGCAACCTCCGCCTCTTTCGCTCAAGCAATTCTCCTGCCTCAATCTCCCTAGTAGCTGGGATTACAGGTGCCTGCCACCACACCCGGGTAATTTTTTTTGTATTTTTAGTAGAGATGGGGTTTCACAACGTTGGCCAGGCTGGTCTTCAATTCCTGACCTCAGGTGATCCACCCGCCTCAGCCTTCCAAAGTGCTGGGATTACAGGTGTGAGCCACCGTGCCTGGCCCCCAATATTGCTTTCTAACACGTGGAATGAAGGTATGTTTAGAAGTATTCTTGTTTTACCAATAATTCTGCTAGAAAAAGCATAAAATATTATGATTCCTATCGTTTAGATAATTTGAATATGTTATACTTACTACCTCCATATCAAGAAGAATTGCCCTTTAAGATGGCCAGGATACCAGAGTGGCATTTATGCATCTACTTTCCTGGCAACAATAAGGTTTTTTTTTGTTTGTTTGTTTTTGTGTTTTTTTTTTCAATTTAAAGTTGATCTGTTTGGCCTGTTTAATTCATTCTTTCCTATGGGACAAAAACGTTAGGAATATTCAACTAGCAATGTAGTATTTTGCAAGCATTTCTTCTCTTAAAAAAGGTAATCATCTGATCAAAGAGGACGCTTCCTAGTTAGATACTGACGATGAAAAATAGTACTTAAAACTACTGTAAGGCAGGCAAAGTAGAACTTATCATGTGTTTGGTAATTAAATTCCCAGGGAGACAGTGATTTTACCCTCAAACCCATGGCCTTCATCTGCAGATCTAATTATAATCTACTAAGAAACGAATGTGTCCCTGGCTTTACAACAATCCACATTTCAACAGTGACCTCACAGAAAAGGGAGACAGTAAGGTAACTGCAAGGAGATATCAGTTTCTAAGGAAGGAAACTTTAAGGAAAATCAAGAAATTTAGCCAGGGTGTGCATTAGAAGAACAAAGGTACTCCCAAGAAACCAAATAATTTGTATAGAGTTTTGACAGATGGATCTCGGTACAGGAGAATTTTAATATTCATGATGATTTATCCTGGAAAAATAAATCAGTCTCCTTCCTCAGCCACTGCTATTGTTCTCCAATTATCTCATGGACAAAGTGGCCATATTAGCAGGGATGAGATTATGTATATTCTCAGGAATGAGGACTTCCACTTGTCAACACCCATCTAGTTGCAGCTATTTTTGTGTGTCCAGTCTTCCAAGAGCAAAGACCAACACTGCATCCCCCAAACTGCACTATTCCCCAGGGTTATTAGCCATCTACCCATTGGTGGATTAAGTTGGACTACTTCTATTATGGAAGTGGCAGCTCTCTGATTTTACTGTACTAGACATATATTCTGGATGTAGATTTGCCTTTTCGGTATTTATGACATCCTTGGACATACAGAATATCTTATCATTTTTCCCAGAAGCATCACTTACGACCAGGGACCTCACTTTACAGCAAATGAAGTGTGGCCATAGATTTATGCTCATGGTTTTCATTGATTTCACTATGTTCCCCATGAACTAGAAGCAACTGTCTGAATGGAAAAGTGAAATTGTTTCTGAAGACCCAGATACAGGGCCAAGTAGGTGGTAACACTTTGCAGGGCTTGAACAATGTCCGCAGGATGTACTACTGTATGCACTAAATCAGAGTTCAATTTATGGTGCTATTCTTTCATATTTATGAATCTCATGAAGATGTGTAAATAAATAGATCCTTTCATTTTTATCCCTGGTGATCCGTTAAAAACATTTTTGCTTCTGTTTCTGTGACTTTAGGCTCTGCCGCTTTAGAGACTGTACTTTAAAAAAATATATATTTCTACCAGGGGACACACAATGATTCCATTAAACTAAAACTTGAGACTTTTAATGTCTATCTACTTCATTACAGCATAATTACTGAAATAATGATCAGCACTTTACTAAATTCCCAGACAATTCAGTGTCCTTAGAACATATTTCTATTTACCTTCCTGTGTATTCTATGATTGCCATACATTTTATTATGTATAAAAAGAATTTGCATTTTATAGTTATGATTCATTTACACTTTCTAATTTTAATTCCACTGGTTTTTACATTTCAATTCCACAAATTTTTGTATCTCTGAACTTTATTGTAGATATTTTTCTTAATGTATCATTTACAACAGATAGTTAACAAAAATCTCTTAGTTTTTGTCTGAATATATCTATTTTACTTTTACAATTGAAATATAATTTCAAAGAAAATAGAATGCAATGTTGTTATTATTTTCTTTCAACTCTTTGAAGATATCCACCCATCATCTTCTGGCTTCATATTTTCTGTTGAGAACTTAGCTATCAATCTACACATTGTTTTTCTGGAGGTTGTATGTCTTTTTCTTAGTCAGCTTTTAACATATTTTATAGTTTTTGTTGGTTTGTTTTTGGTTTTATTTTGATAGAGTCTCGCTCTGTCACCCAGGCTGGAGTGTAGTGGCGCGATCTTAACTCACTGCAACGGTTGCCTTCCCAGTTCAAGCAATTCTCCAGCCTCAGTCTCCCAAGTAGCTAGGATTGCAGGCACCCACCACCATGGCCAGCTAATTTTTTTTTTTTTTTTTGGTATATATATACAATTTTTTTTTTTTTTAATAAGATGAAGTCTCTCTCTGTCGCCCAGGCTGGACTGCAGTGGCGTGATCTCGGCTCACTGCAAGCTCCACCTCTTGGGCTCAACGCCATTCTCCTGCCTCAGCCCCCCCGAGTAGCTGGGACTACAGGTGCCGCCACCACACCTGGCTAATTTTTTGTATTTTTAGTGGAGATGGGGTTTCACTGTGTTAGCCAGAATGGTCTTGATCTCCTGACCTCATGATCCGCTCGCCTCGGCCTCCCAAAGTGCTGGGATTACAGACTTGAGCCACCGCGCCCGGCCTTTTTTTTGGTATTTTTAGTAGAGACGGGTTTTCACCATGTTGGCCAGGCTAATCTCAAACTCCTCCCCTCAAGTGATCCGCCTGTCTTTGCCTCTCAAAGTGCTGGGATTACAGTCATGAGAACATTGTAGAGTTTCTAAAAACTATTTATTTTAAAATAATTCTAGAGTCACATTAAATTGTAAAACATAGTTCAAGATGGTTCTATCTATCTGCCCTTCACTGAGTTTCCTCCAATGATTATATCTTACATAACTATAGTATAATACCAAAACCATGTATTTCCTTTTTAAATATTTTATATGAAAATGGTTTCAGATTTACACAAATTTTACAAAAAGGTGCAAAGTATCTGTGTCCTTCAAACATCTTCCCAAGTGTTAACATTTATTAAATCATAATATAATTATCAAATCCAGAAAATTAACGATACAATTTACTAATTAAATAGAGACCGCATTTAAATTGCAGCATATATCCACCAATGCTCTTTGTCTGATCCAGGATCCGATCCAGATCCACATAATTCATTTAATTGTCATGTACAATTAGTCTCTTTGGATCTGGAACAGTTTCTGTTTTTATTGTTTTTTATGACCTTAATGTGTTTGAAGAGTACAAGACAGTTTTTATGTCAAATATCTCTCAATTTTCATTTATATAATGTTCTCTCATGATTTTGTTCAGGTTATTAATATTTGGCAATGATACAACAGAAGTGATACTGTGTGCTTCCCATATCAGAGGCACCTTATGTCTATGTTTCTTTTCCTTGTTGACTTTAGCTTTGGTTACTTGCTTAATGTAAGTAATGTGATATGTGCCATATTTCTTAGGTGTAAAATTACTATTTTACCAATGGAATTAAGTATATGTAGAAGATATCTTAAAATTATGCATATATCTTCTTTCTCATCATAAGTTTGCTCTTTAATTTTAACATTCATTGATGATTCTTGCTTGTAAGGAGTACTACTATGGAAAATTGTTTGTATTCATATTTCCATTATTTCCATTTTATTTATTCTAATTCAGCTATTACTATGAACTTCTGTCTCTCCTTCATTTATTTATTATTAGGAAGACATAGATGTTTATCTTAGTCTATGGGTTTAATCCGTTGCCCTCATTTTTTAAATTGTGCTCAAGTTGTCCCATATGTGTCACCTGGGAGATTTTTCCTATTGTCTCCTGAATTCTTTCAACATATTTTAATCAGTTTTGAGCATCTCCTCTCTTTCTGGCACCAAAATAATTTCCAGGTACATCTCACACTTTCCCTGCCCATCCCTGAAATCAGTCATTTTCCAAGGAGTTCTGGTTCACTTTATTAAAGAAGCATACAGAAATCAATACCTAGGAACTAAGCTCATTGCTACTGTGATGCCATTGCTTCTAGCCCTCTCAGCAGAGAGCTGGGAAACATATATGAACACATCTTTCTATCATTAAAATCGTTAGTTCGTATGAAACCTCTAATTCTAATTTTAAACTAAAGGATTAAATCTCTCCTTTCCACTTTCTTATTGGTAACTAAATCTCTTTTTTGAAAGTAAGAAGATTGACTCTTAGCTGGGCACTACGGCTTGTGCCTGTAATCCCAGTACTGTGAGAGGCTGAGGCAGGAGGATTGCTTGAACTCAGGAGTTTGTGGTTGCAGTGGGCTCTGATCACTCCATTGTACTCCAGCCTGGGCAACAGAGCAAGACCTTGTCTCTTACCAAGAAAAAGAAATAAAAAAAGAAAATTGACTCTCATTCATACATATTTATTCAAATAAATAAAATATGTACTTAAAATATTTATTCAGTCCTACAATACATGTAGAGCAGTTTCAGAATTATTAACTTATATTCTTGTGACAAACACATACATTAATAGAGTACAATATTTCTATGTAGTTATTTTTGTCAGTAGCCTTAAAATATGTAGCCAAAATACTGATTTCCAGAGACAGTTACACAAATTAGTTTTTCTTCGGCACTCACTTTAGTGAAGCAGTTTTATCAATATTACTGTTATTGTTCATTCACTGTTACTGTTTGTATTCATTTTGGTTTCTCCCCATTCTAGTTATTTTAATTATATATTTTAATTGTATATTATATATATTTAATTATATATTATTTCAATTATATATTATAATAACTTTATATATAAAATATATAAAATTATTATATATAGTTATTTTAATTATATATTATATATTAGAGGACTACTAAGTCCTTGACTTAGTAGACATTAAACACATTATAAAGTGTTTATGGCTAATTTCTTCAAGCAATATGATTTTCTCCTAATTAACTCCAATGATGAATCATTAAAATCAGTAAGGAAGTGGCTGGATATAAACACCAATATAAGTACTATTTTTCAGCATATGAGAACATCTGGATAAATCAATTAGTAATCTGTTTTCATGTGAAGGAATGTTGAATTTTCTTTGAAATGTCAGTCTTTCTAAATTATTCTGAAAGTGCAATCTAATACCTACAAAATATTAATAATATTTTCTATAACTTAATAATCAAATTCTAAAATTCACAAGTAAATATAAATGTCACCAGTCACAGTGGCTCACGCCTGTAATCCCAGCCTTCGGGAGGCTGAGGCGGGCGGACCACCTGAGGTCAGGAGTTCGAGATCAGCCTGACCAACATGGTGAAACCCTGTCTCTACTAAAAATACAAAAATAAATAAATAAATACACTTTGGGAGGCCGAGGCAGGCAGATCACGAGGTCAGGAGGTGGAGACCATCTTGGCTAACATGGTGAAACCCCATCTCTACTATAAATACAAAAAAATTAGCCAGCTGTGGTGGCAGACATCTGTAGTGCCAGCTACTCAGGAGGCTGAGGCAGGTGAATGGTGTGAACCCAGGAGGTGGACTTTGTAGTAAGCCGAGATAGTGCCACTGCACTCCAGCCTGGGCGACAGAGTGAGACTCCATCTCAAAAATAAATAAATAAATAAATATGTACAAGAATGATCAAGGGCATTCTGAAAAAGGAAAAAGAAATTGTCCTTGACTTAGTAGACATTAAACACATTATAAAGTTGTAATGAGCAAGTATCAAACTGGGTACTAGATGTCTACACAGAATGTAATATCTATATATCAGAGCACTGAGACTGAACTATTAATTTCTCTTCATCTCAGCTGCTGCCTCAAGACTACCTTTTCAGTAGTCTCAGCATTTTAGTATAATGTAATAATATGAGGCATTTTATGACAACAAATTTGTCAACTTAGATGAAGTGAACAATTTCCTAAAATAAATGAGCTTATTACAATTAACATAAGAAATAGAAATCTGAATAGTCCCATATCTGTTAAAGTACTTGAGTTCATAAATAAAAAACCTTTCCAAAAGGAAACTTTAGGTATGTAGAATTTAAGAAATAAATTTTACATATATTTTTAAAAATTTCATAACTTTTAGAAAATACAGAAATAACACTTTTCCAATGCATAATCTTTATAAAACAAAAACCAAAACCTGATGAGGCCACTGAAAGAAAAATTACAGGTGAATCACTCTCATGACTGTAATGTAAGATATGCAAAATACTAAATACACATATTAGCTAATATAGTCCACTGACAGATATAAAATATATCATTATTAAATTGGGTTTTCTATAGAAATAGTAAGGTTAGCCTAATATTTAAAAATTAAGTAATGTAAATTATCATATTAAGAAAATAAGGGAAAAACAATTTCCTCACTAGAAATAGAATAGCAGTGGTTTGATTCCAGGATATGGCTTAGTCACATGTATCATATATTAGTCAGGATATGAAACATCTTGACAAATATTCCAAGGATGTCTAATTTGAAAAAACAAAATCCTCCAAAAATGGGCCATGTACTGTTAAGCTATGTATCCAGTATTTGTAACGTTGAGCAAGTTACTTTACTTCTTTGTCTCTTAGTTCCCCACACATAAAAGTGGCATCCACAAAATTTGCATTGCCTTGTTTAACTCACAGCAAAATATTGTTGTAAAGATCCAAATTTTATTAAAAATATGTTAAGACTTTTTAAAGTATATACCTGCATATAACTTTAGTGCTATAATCTATTTTTTAATAAAGTCTTGATTATGATGCATAGAAACTAATAACACCATATACAAAATATGGTGTGAGATAGTCCAATATTATACGAAGAAGAGGTTTAGGTGGAAATACAGTTGTTCAGTTCTCAACTTGCTATAAGCGCTTAAAAGATTAGACCGGAATTCTAATCTAAGTAAGTAAGGCCCATCATTATTAGTGTCTTAAGTTTCTTCCTTTGTTAGCTTGAAGAAAGCTAGAGGAAGCTGGCTAAAAATGAGTCAGTGAAAATACTATGGATTTTACAATGTCTCATTTAGTTGTCTTTTGTGGTTGATACAATAAATCCTAGGGGTATTGTGGTGTTCTAAAATACCATGTAACCCAAACAGTTAGACTCCCCACAGGTTAAGTTAGTCTACTGAGGTGAAAAGATTTGAAGTTTTTCTCTTTGTTTTAAAACACGTTTAAAATAAAACTCATAATTAACAAATCTGCAATCATTATTTGCAAATCTTTTAAGTTTTTTGCTCTTTGGTTGAGATAAAGAGGCATAAACATAAGCACAACACCATTCATCAGGCAGTGTTATTTACCTTCTTGATGTTTCACAGTATTCTAGCCATATGCCAATAACACTACACATCCACTGTACTTTATTCATCTGTTCATATGCTATCTTCCCTTTTAACCTGTTAGTACTTTGTGGATATAGTGGATTATTTTCTTGCTCTCACTGTTCTTGACTCCCAACATGGCATAGAATAAGTATCAATACATTATTTTAAGTGAATAAATGAAACGTGAATTTCTCTATAAAAAAATACTAAGGTATTCTTTTTTTTTCTCAATGCAATGGAGCCAATATTGTATTTGATTAGAATCCGGATTTCCAATATGTTTAATTAAAAAAAAAACACTGTATCTTCTTCTCCCAGTAAGAAGTACAACTGAACCAAAAACAAGAACAGTAGAAAAACTTGGTTTTCTTTTGCTTTCATATTGTGTATCATTAAGAAAATTTCAAGAAATGAAAAATATTGATAAATCATATTTAAGTAACCAATTTTCTAACTTGTTTGAATAATTCAGGTAATAGAATGATAAATGTGTGTTGAGTTAAGGTTTTTTGCAGATATAAACCATGTCTAAAATATACGTGAAAACATAGGTTGGGTCATTTTTTTGTTTTTTTAATTTTTCATTGTAAATTATATGGATACATAATAGGTATATATTTTTGTGGGGGTAGGTGTGATATTTTAATACAAGCATACAATGTGTAATGATCCAATCAGAATAATTGGGGTATCCATCACCTCAAGCATTTATCATTTCTTTGTGTTAGGAACATTCCAACTATACTCTATGAGTTATTTTGAAATACCAATAAATTATTGTTAACTGTAGTCACTCTATTGTGCTACTAAACACTAGATACTATTTCTTCTATCTGACTGTACTTTTGTACCAATTAACCACCCCCTCTTTTGCTCCCCTTCTCCACTATACTTCCCAGCGTTTGGTAACAATCACTCTACTCTCTATCTCCGTGCATTCAATTTTTTGAATGTTATTAGAGGAATGACAAAAGCATGAAGACAATTTTAGTGGGAAGGTGATGCATATAAAGCTGAACTTAATAACATCAATCTGGAGAATGCATAAGATTAGTAGAACAAAAAGAGACTGAGATCAGAAAGGAACATTCTATTTAAACCATAAGGTGATACTAAATTTGTTTAGAATTATGACTATTACAACAACAATAAAGAAATAATACAGACAAGAGCAAAAAGAAAAAATGAAAGAAAAGAAAAAACTGGCTAGGCATGGTCAATGAGGTACAAAAAAATAGATGTAATATCTACTTTACTATATTAAAACAGTAAAAGCATTATAAAATACTCTTTTTAAGATTCTACACATAATTAACTAAGTTTTATATTTTCATATGATTTGGTGCATTATTTACTCTGTATATTATCTATCAGGGGATTCTCTTTTCCCTTTAGAGCCTTTTAATAAAAATATATCTTTTAATGTTTTATTATTAAAGTATACAGGTATGCTATGTACTCTAAACAGCTCTAGTTGCTGTCATCATCTTTTGCAATCTTTTCTTACCTACCTACTATGAAGAAGAAAACTTTTGCGAAAAAGGAAAGCCTTGAGAGTCTCCTGGCCTTTAGAATTGCTCAACGCAGGACATTATTTCTAGTGTTCTCCTCTTGTGTAGCCTACTTTTGAAGTAATTCCCTAAAGGTTTCTTTCCTTTTTGAGCTCTGCTTACCATTTCATTTCCTGCTTTCTTATGTGCCAGGCAAAGCATCCTCTGCTTTTAAAAACAGCTATAACACCTTAATTTATATAAAGATATGTGCTGCACATATAAGTTGTTTTTTAAAGAAAAGGCTAGCAAATTATTGTTGAAGAGCCTCTGTTCCCCTAGACTGTGTAACCTGGGCACCAGAAAGTTAACGTAAGTTTCAGTTGGATTCATCATAGCAACAATTCATTCTGTCTGTTCTTATTCCCCCCGTTCCATGAAAAAAAAAAAAAGGAAGCAGACTGTATTGCTGAACACATAGTGCCCCATGAGACCTGGATATTGAAGCCTGTCTCATGAAGGGAGGGGTGAGCGCTCAGGCAGCCTGAGCTCTGCCCACCTCTCCACTGGTATCCCTCTGATTTTCACACTTTGCCTGAGGACATAATATTTTATTATAGCTAAAACTGAAGTAAAAATTTTTGTAAACATTATGTATGTGTTAAGAAAATGTACGTATAACAAACTTCCAATACCTCTCAGTTAATATGTTGGTGAAGCTTTGACCAAGGTAAAAGCCTCCCAGAGATCTTCTTTGCTCTGTGTCATTCATCTAGCTCTGTGATGTGCCTTTAATTCCTATGGCCCAGGCCACAACGTGACCTAATCTGTGCTGTAACAATCATATCTGGGTTTCATAGCATTTGCACTTATTTTTGTGCATTCTCGCCTTTGGCTGCAATTTAGCAAAGTTTACGCTGTGTATAAAACTTTTTCACCAAATGTATGTCTAGAACTTCAGCTATTTCTGTTGCAGTTATCTTATTGGACCGATTTACAATGATTATGGAGGCTTGTCTTCCCTTCGTGGCTGCTTTACATTGTATCACTTGCCCGTAATTTTTTCTGACCTCCATTGTCTTTTATTTTTTCTTGCAATAGTTGTGAATTTTTAGCAACATATCTGATTTTCTCATGACAAAAAACAACTACTTAGATGAGAACTACTTGAAAAAAAAAAAAAAAAAAACAAGAGTTCAGAAATAATTGACTCTCTGATTACTCCTGCGCCTTGCTTTTTTTCCTCCTAGATTATGAAAAAGTGTATGACTTCCTCTGTATTCCTGGCACCTAATGCAGTGCTTAACAAGTTATCAGTGTTTGCAATGAAAGTGTGTTGAGTCAATGAATAAATGTCACCATTAAATATCTCCTCCATTTTGTTGGCTTTACAATCACCCAGCTAGAAACCAGACAGTTGGATCAGGTAACCTTTTGGATTTCTTTTTCTAGTTGATTCGATGATACCCCACATATCTTAAGCATCAATATGCATATAAATGTTATTCTCAGCTTCAGTCAAGCTCATTCAAAAGGTTATGCCTTTCTGAATCATAAAACTTGGTATTTTGCTTCAGCATGACCTTTTTGGCAGCTATACACAGTTTTGGATATGGTCTTAAATGCCTCCATTGGCAAATAATATAACAAATGTTCTGGTTATTTTTTCCTTCAAAAACCATAATCCTACTAATGGTTGCAGAATCACAAATAGGTTAAATTTATAGTTAGGATATAATGGTATTTTTAATGTGAGTGGATTCTAAAATAGCCATGGTTGGCCAGTTTGGTATTTACAGTCTGTGGCATTTCCAGAGAGACAAATCTTTGTTTACTGACTGTCTGACAGTATGGTTTCTTCAGATGGTGTAAACATCATCTGTGGTTCAGCAGAAAGTGCACACCATACACAATGCCTGAACAACTGCTATTAGATGATCATTGATTATACTTTTAGTTTTTTCAAGGTCAGGAAAAAGTCTGGCTAGGATTATATAGCAGATAGCAAACTTCCTTAGCAGAAAGGTCTTTTAAAACCTTTTCTAGCTTTGGCAGTGATGTACTATATGCTGCAGGCTTACTATGTCTCTCCAGCTGGTCATATATTTTCTTTTACGCTCAGCTGAGTAGAGCCAGGATCAATTTTTAAATCACATTGCTATATTATCCATCTCCACTATTTGACACTAGGTGGATAATTGTTTGCTATTTTTAAAAAAGCCTTTAAGTTATACAACTTGGAAGTCAAGGAAAGGTAGGACATAGTTAATTCCCCTGAAATGTTAGGTTATAAATTAAAATTAAATCAAATCATGTGTGTAAAAATTTCACACTCCAGAGAAAAAGAACTATTTCATATTTGCAGGGGTATTTAAAACAAAAAGAAAAATAGAATAACAATAAAGAATGTTATTGAAAAATCAACTCTAGAGGAACAATCCTTTTTTCTATTTTAATACAACCACTAAAATGGCGTAAAATCATTTGGGACACATAGAAAATGAGGAAAGAATATAATTAGAAGAATAACATTTGCTATCATCATTAAAAGTTTTCCTAGTTGAGTTTTTTTTGTTGTTTGTAAAGTGTAACCAGTGGCGTAAGCTGAGTGAAGTGCATGTAAAACTTCTCTGCACGAGTTTTGCAACTTCCAGTGACTCTATATATTGTCCAAATAAAAAATGAAAACAAAAAGTCACAATATGTGTATATCAAAAAGGAATATATGACATTGATTATCTAATGGATTTTGCTCATTAAAATTATGTTATCTGGCTTCTCAGAAATATTTTTTCCATATAATAAAATTGAATTTTTTTAGGACTGATTGAAAAACCAGGAGATATTCAACATAAATTGGTAATTACAGTAATTCAATAAGTTAAAGCCATATTTTTCTCTTCTTAACAATAATGAAAAATGCTCTATTTAGTGGTCTGCTTTGAATAAACTTGTGAAAGAAGTAAATGCTTTTTGCAATCCCTAAAACCATGGGGAACATATATATAAAGTAAAACTTGTGAATATCATAAAGCATTGACAGAAAGGAGTTATCCAAAAATTCAGAACTTAATGTAGAACAGTGTATTCCACTAAGGGTTGGAGCCAGAATTTGTCAGATGGTTCAGATAAACATGGCTAGAAAAACTATCCTTAATATATCTTCAAATTTATTTCATAGCCTTAATGTTAAAGTTATCAAACAAGAAAAAAATATTATGTATTAAATGTAAAATGATAGTCAAAATATGACAATGTGAGACTAGGGAAAGCAAAAAAATGAATTTATAAAGGAAAGGAAAATACAATGTATACTTTTGAATGCAGAAATACAGCATAATTCCTCCAGGTGTGGTGGCTTTAAAGTCTGTTAAATTTAATTTGTCTAAGGCTTTTTTGTTTTTTTCAGTGACATCAGAGGTGGGATCTGAAGTAGAGCTTCAGCAACCGCCAGGAGTCCTGAGTGATCGAGGGAAGTACCTACTGGGCCCATTGTGTCCATTGGTCTCTCATAGCTCCCTCTCCGATTCTGAAGCTCCACGGATTTATGTTTTGAGCTATCCAAGTTTGAGCAAATTTCTGTTCCAAACTGAGTTTGGAAATTTCAGTAGAAACTGGACTGGGTCCAGGATCAGATCGAATCCAATAATTGGCCTGAATCCAATTAGAGGCCTCATATGTTTGACTGGGTCTGACAGAAACCGATTGTAATGGTAACACCGCAGGGGGAGCAAACTTCAGCTTCCAAAAGTTTGCAGAGGTTTTTCTGTTCTACCTTCTTTGTTTCTTTTTTCTTGCACACATAGGTAGGGAAAAATAATTGACTAAGTTGGTCAAGGAAATCTAAGAGCCAAAGTCAAGATTCAAGGTAACAATGGAATCCTTAATTTCTGAAGAACTGAGTAATGTACCTTCTGACTATGCCTACAAAACATGTATAAGTATTAGGTCCAGGAGCAGCAAATGCTTATAGAAATGACAAAATTTTACTAAAGCTAATTTTAAGTGACAATGAAATGTTCCAAACGCACAATACTGCACTTTAAGAAATGCATTTGAAAGTGAGGGCTCCTGAATTAGTCTCATCCAGGGATGCCTACTGATGTGTAGAAGCTTCTAAGAATATTTCCATATTTGTAGGTTTTTTTGACTTCTTATAAAAGGCCAATGAAAAGCTTAAGCAACCAATTGTTAAGAAAAATTAAATCTGCTAACACTTTGGCATAGTTACTATCCCACCCCAAAGACAAAAAGAAAGCTATCCTAGATAAAGTGTTTATAAGGCCCTCAAGTAAATTAGGTTTGCTTGTTTTTCGGATCTATCCATGCTGAGTCCAGGCATGGAGAACACTTTCTTTGTCCTATTCCTTAATGGCCTCCACCCTGAATTCAATAATTTAAGCTAAGAACCAGCCCCTAAATTAAAATGACCAACTATTTAAGATACCCCTTTCTGACATTATAACTGGCTCTGCTGAAACCCTTTGGAAAAGAGATTTACATCTGTAAAGGACATTTTCATTTGTAAGGGTATCTGCCTGTCTGTATTGGAAACACTTACCATTGTTTTAAACTTACATAACAAGTCATACATTTGTTTTGCCTCAACTGAACTTTTACTTACACCATTTTTTCCTTGGTTTGAGCAAATAATGTTATATTTAAGCCTAACATCTTAGCTCTATGCTTTTGAGAAACAAATTTTCTACCTTGTTTCACCTAAGAGTTGTCCCTTTAGAAATGCAAATTTAGGGTGTCCTAGCCAGCTGCTTAGGACAATGAAGTAGATATTTGGGAAATTGATAGTCTGAATGGGGGGAAAATATATTTAAAATATTTAAAAGCCAGCCAGGCCAGCAAATGAGAATCCTAATGAAAGCTATAAGATCTGTTTCTGTCTGTTTGTCTGTATGTCTATATGTGTTATGTGTGTGTGATAACATTTGGTAAATAAAGCTAGTTTATGAATTGTTATTAAAATAAGAATGGCTTCAAAATTGACAAGTGAGGCAAAACAAATGTATGACTTGTTATGTAAGAATTTTCAGAAACCACGTCAGAATTAAACAATTAGTTGTGGAAATGGCTTGAAATGGTCATAGTTAAAAGACAAGGAAATTTGCTTATTTCTGTGGCCTGCAATAATTTAACATCATAAGGATAGTTTCAGGTGATGGTATATACACAGACATCTCAGAATGTTAAGAATCCCATACAATATTGAAACAAGCAAGATATGCTTTTAATGAGGAAAGTTGTAAAGGCATAAAAATGTATGTTAAAAATAATTTTCACCATTTAAAAATTTACTTAAAGGTAGTTATAAATTGAAGGGATACAAAACAGAGATAAAATTAAATAAATACAGAAATTTGGGAAGAGAAATAATTTTTAAAAATAAGTAGATTTTTAAAAGTTTATAAAAATCTTGTATAGTTAAAAATGTCAGATTTGGTAGATTTATTTATAAAGTTCTATTAAAATTGGCTTTAGTATTGATAATACACTAATACAAAAGTAAAATTTGATTTTCTCTTTTGAACAAACATTTTGTGTAATATTAGTAAGTGACAGGAAAATATTTTTGTTCACTTTTTTAGTAAACTGCAAAAAATTAAAAAAGAGACAAGAATGAAGGAAAGTCAGGTTCTCTCTCATGCTGTCATTCTCAGGTCTTTTGAATATTTGCAAAACTGAGTCTCCTCTCTATGACAAAGTAAACATTTTTGATTTTTAAAATCTTTGTATTATCACTTTAGCTAAATGAATGACTATTTTTTTACAGTGGCCTGTGATCCTATTTTGAAGTGTTTTAAACTTTTGATATATTTGACAGTCATCCCAAAATCAAATTTTAACCCCCAAATTTTTTCACCTCTCACTTTGCAGTGCTTCGAGAGCCCCTGAAGCATCCAAAAGAATGATAAACAGAATTATTTGACATATTAAATTACACTGGAAACATTGCTGAATAAGAAGTGATGTTTAATCTTCGAGTTATACTTTTATTAATGTTATTAATATATGTTTCAATATTGTACGGGATTCTTAACATTCTGAGATGTCTGTGTATATACCATCACCTGAAACTATCGTTATGATGTTAAATTATTATAGACCACAGAAATAACCAAATTTCCTTGTCTTTTAACTGTGACCATTTCAAGCCATTTCCACAGTTAAATGTTTAGTTCTGATATGGTTTCTGAAAACTCTTCACAAGGAACCAATCTAGAAAGTAAAATCCTAGATTATGGTGTCTTCAAGGAGAACTGTTAGAAAGGATGAAAAGGACTTTGACAAAAATCCTTGCATACAACAAGTTTCTAGTAACTTTATGATTATATCATTTTGACTGGGTAACAGTTCCCAGAACCATAATGAAGAGACTGGCTGGTTTATAAAACTGCTAACCAAAGCAGGACAAAAATTAATTAAAAACCAAGAAAATATTTTGCCAGATTTTCATGCTAAATTAGCCGGTGCTGAAATTATTTAGATATGCAATTTGAATGAAAACTTCATGGTTCAGGTCAAATTACCTGTAGTAACCCATCTAATGAACAGTACTCTGCACCTGAATTGGAGAAACAAAATTAGTATTTAAGAGGATTTAACTGTGGACTCATGGAGAGCCTGGACACCCATCTGGTCCTTCCTGAATCCTCAAGTCTTTCATTATTGAAAGTTCTACATTTAATGACTCATCATAGTAGAGATAAAATAATCCAAATTATATATATATTATATATATGTATACACAAATATATATATATATACAGACAAATATATTTGTAACATACATATCTATCTATATATTACATACATATCTGTATATATCTATATCTATATATATATTGTGTGGTCACTGTTCTAAATTGTTAAAATCGTTTATGGCCAATGTTTGTTTTGTCAAACCCAAAATCCTGGTGAGACAATCAAAACTTCAGGTACATTTCTGCTACCTGATGGGCAGTTTAAACATGTGTAGAAGGATTTCATTCAATTATCGTATTCAGTGCATGTTTTCTCTTTGTATAGAAAGTTTCTCATGCATGAGTGCTGATGATATTACAGTAGCTAAAAGGTTATAGAAAATGTATTTCTCTCATGGGACATTCTTGGAGAAATCTCCAATGATAGAGGTACTTGTTTCACTGGACAAGTTGTAAAATAATTAAATACAGTATTACAGATACATTAACATTTTGCAAAGCTAACTGAATTGACTGGATTGCCTTGGTCAAAGGTATTGCAGATTGATGATAATCGGATCCACTTAGAGTGGAAAATATAAGTTGACCTCTTATGAAATAGTCGCTGGAAGGCCTGTGCACCTAATAATAGAACCTCATGTACATTCTGCTACTAAACTCTGATAGGACTAAATGTTGTAAGGCTTTAATGCATTATGTCAAAATGTATTTTCACTAGGTGAAGAAAGCTTTTAATAATCCACTGACAGAGAACAAACAAGCAAACTCTTCATAATATAGAATACAGAGATTAAGTCTTCTGAGAACATTAGAGAAAAGCTGCCCTTGCCACCCACACTAAAGCAAAACTTTGGGACCTTGAACTTCAGGTTAATAACCTCACAACTTAGTAGGGCCCCTCCAGACTTTAGGAACTTTATGCACTTTAGAAACCTTAAGGTAAAGATAACCAGGGAAGTTTCTCTCCAGAAGCAGATGGTATCCCAGACATGAACAACTTTTTCGCAAGATCACGGATCAACACTTCTCTGCTATCATGAGGCTCTCATCGCTCAATTTTGTCCTTGCTTATGCCTCTGTGAATGATAGAACTAAAAAGGGGGTCTCTTGTGTGCACTCTTGGGGAATACTTTTATTTGTGGAAGATTTCACAGCCAGTCTCATATATGGATGAGCTTATGCCTTGAAAGATAAAAAATAAAGGGCCAATGTAAGCAAAAACGTTTAATGGGATCTTGGTTGCTTTATAATCCATCAGAAACAGAACACTGGTCCAACTCCTCTTTACCCACAAAATAGGCTAAAGAGAACATTGCCAGCATAGGTTGAAGAGAGCATTGGCAGAAGGCTTTCACTTTTCTGAATGGGCACCACTTGTTAGGTCTTTTTCTCCACGGTTTGGAGTAAATGAAGCAATGGTTAGAAATGTATCTCTTATAATAGGCTGTATAGCAGATTCTACTGCAAAAACTACAGCTACACAACAGACTTAAATCTTTTGAAAGTTTTGCTAAATAATAGGATTGCTCCAGATTACTTATTGGCTAAACAGAAGTATATGAACAGGTGCTGACACTTCTAGTTGGACATGGAAGAATACATTGGGTTGGGTATTATGGAGATTGAGTTGTAGGCAATTAATAACAGGATGGTTGGTTAAAATGACTAGACTCTTCAGCTAATTCCGTGGTCTATTTGATTTTAATAGGTTTGATTCTTGAGGACCCTGGATAAGGAGCATACTTCAAACTCTTGGTATTACCCTGCCGGTAGTCTAACGGTAGTTTCCTTGGTGCACTGTATTCTCTCAGAAGTTTTAAATGTTTGCATGCAGCCATCTGTAGAATGTCAAATTGTTACTCTTCAACCAGAATGACAAACAAACAAAGAAACATATGACCATGAGGACCCTGTAACCTACAAATTACATGCTGAGACTGAAAACCCAAGATATTGGTGAATAAGCATGGTCACCCTCTCACCTATGTGAGAACCTGAACAAAAGGGGTAATTTTTAAACAAAATTATGGGAACCTATTGTTTTGGACTGGTTCATGGTCTAGGCCCCAGAGACCAGACTAAACCAAAATGAAGTCACTCATGCTAATTGCAGTGTAATTGAACTGACACTTTAAGAAAACAAATCCTAAAACAGATGGAGTTTGGTTTTTCTCCTGAAAACAGGAGATTCCAGAACAAGAAGGTCCTTTGACTCTAACCCTTATATAAAATAATAATAATAACCTGAAGTCCTTGTTCTCACTTTGCAAGACCTATCGTCCTGCTATTTTCCAGTGGGATTTGAGACCAAATAAGTACATTTATGATGGTGACAGAATGACATCCAAAGTTTTAGTCTATCTTTCAACTGAGAGTTTGACCAAAAGAAGAGAGTTGTTAAATTAAGTTTAGCCTAAAGGTTTTTATATATTTTAAAGGTTTCTCTGTACATAGTGAACTGCTCCCTGACTGGATGTGTGAACAGACTGTAACCTACTCTTATGCCAATCACCAAGTTTTGGCCAATGAAGAGCAGCCAGCTCTTCAAACCATGTTCAAATAAGGCAAATGCCACACTGTAAACAATCCAGTTGTTTCTGTACCTCACTTCTGTTTTTTTGTGTGTCACTTTCCTTTTCCTGTTCATAAATCTTCTTTGACCATGTGGTAGCAATGGAACCTCCCTAAACTTCTGGTTTGGTGACTGCCAGGTTCGTGAATTGTTCTTTTCTCAATTAAACTCTGTTGAATGTAATTTGTGTAAGGTTTTACTTTTAACAAGATTAATGGGAAGCCGTTGAGAAAGTTAAATTCAGCATAAATCCCTGAGCCAGTTTAGGCAGAAACTGGTTTGATTTGAAACCAATTTTGTGTAACTTTCCTCTGTCCAAAACAAGATTGTTTAAAGGGGTTGACAATAATTTTAAAAGCTTCGGTAACAGAACGAATTTACCTAACTTTACATAGGCATGCTATATTAAGATTACCTGGTGGTATCATATCAAATGGAGAGTGCATTTTCTAAGAAAGAAAACATCTTTGAGTTTAAAAGTATAAAACATAAATTACGTGTCAAAATTATAGTTACCTTTAAAAGTTAAGTACATTTATATAACCCTTCTCCTCTCAGATGGGAAACTATATTTGTAACCTTTCTTCCTGGAGCACCTAGGAAGTATACATTTATACAATATATTATCTCTGTGTTTAGTTTGATACACTAGGAATTTTGCCTAAAGTGGCTTGTAATAGGGACTTCTAGGACCAACTTCAAGCTTCCATTTTTCCATGTACTCTGAAACTATTATAAACATAAATGAAAAAAATGTATGCTATCAGAGTACATTTTCAAGCTCAAACATAGATAAATAAAGCATTCTGCAACAGCTGATACTGGCAATTTCAATATTTTGCTTTGGGAAATCCTAATTGTCTGCTTTAATAAAATTAAGAAAGTAGCAGATAAGACTTTAAAGAAAACCACTAGATTTATTTTTTTTTGAAATAATTTTATTCTATTACTACATGTTATTATGCTACACATTTACTGACTATGGAATAAAGGTGACACTGGAAGGTATTTTTTCAAAATCATGACTCCATCAAAGATATTTGAAAATTCTTTTGATGTTCACATCCTTTCTATTTCTAGTTGTCATTCTCCTAAATTTATACTTTGGACTATTAAAACAGCGTTCTATGGGGCAGTCCTGCTTCTAGTCCATTCAACTCATCTGAATTTGTTAAAGCTGTTTCATTCCTCTGTGAAAGCATCTTAAATTATTTCCCACTTTTCAAAAGATAGAGTCTCAATATTTTGTTTGCCACAGAAACCTTTAAGATCATGAGCATTATAGTATAACCAGATCACCCTATACACAGATAATTACAGGAAAATTGTTCTCAATTTGTGGGATCTGAGGTCTGCAACTAGATCTTTTCACTGAGAGTGGGACAAAAGCTGGAGGAACCAAACTAGAAGCAAGCATATAAATAATTCACACCAGAATACCAAAGCTGTTATTGTTCCTGCTAAGGAAAAATCAAGACGCCATGCCAGGGTCAAAGTGCAGGCATGGAAGGAACAGAGTGGTAATTGATACAGACTGTTTCTCCTGGATCAGTGGTATGGAGGAAGGGTCCTTTCAGTACATGAATGAGATTGTTTCAGTAGATTAACTGAGAATTTCAATAGGAAATCCAGAAATTTTAGCAGACATTCAGAAGAAAAATCATTTTAGAAAGAAATGCTGTATTTGAGAACACATCAAGATTTATATTGTCTTAGCCCTTTTTATTTATATGTAATAAAATAATAGCTAATATTTACATAAGAGTTAGTTTACTATATACTAGATGTTTTGCATGCATTATTTCATTTCTTTTATTTGTTCATATATTTCTAGGGTACATGTGCACAACGTGCAGGTTTGTTACATATGTATACATGTGCCACGTTGGTGTGCTGCACCTATTAACTCGTCATTTACATTAGGTATATCTCCTACTGCTATCCCTCCCCCTTCCCCTCACCCCACAACAGGCCCCGGTGTGTGATGTTCCCCTTCCTGTGTCCATGTGTTCTCATTGTTCGATTCCCACCTATGAGTGAGAACACGTGGTGTTTGGTTTTTTGTCCTTGCGATAGTTTGCTGAGAATGGTGGTTTCCAGCTTCATCCATGTCCCTACAAAGGACATGAGCTCATCCTTTTTTATGGCTGCATAGTATTCCGTGGTGTATATGTGCCACATTTTCTTAATCCAGTCTATCATTGTTGGACATTTGGGTTGGTTCCAAGTCTTTGCTATTGTGAATAGTGCCGCAATAAACATACATGTGCATGTGTCTTTATAGCAGCAGGATTTATAATCCTTTGGGTATATACCCCAGTAATGGGATGGCTGGGTCAAATGGTATTTCTAGTTCTAGATCCTTGAGGAATCGCCACACTGTCTTCCACAATGGCTGAACTAATTTCCACTTCCACCAACAGTGTAAAAGCATTCCTATTTCTCCACATCCTCTCCAGCATCTGTTGTTTCCTGACTTTTTAATGATCACCATTCTAACTGGTGTGAGATGGTATCTCATTGTGGTTTTGATTTGCATTTCTCTGATGGCCAGTGATGATGAGCATTTTTTCCTGTGCTGTTGGCTGCATAAATGTCTTCTTTTGAGAAGTGTCTGTTCATATCGTTCGCCCACTTTTTGATGTGGTTGTTTGTTTTTTTCTTGTAAATTTGTTTGAGTTGTTTGTACATTCTGGATATTAGCCCTTTGTCAGATGAGTAGATTGCAAAAATTTTCTCCCATTCTGTAGGTTGCCTGTTCACTCTGATGGTGGTTTCTTTTGCTATGCAGAAGCTCTTTAGTTTAATTCGATCCCATTTGTCAATTTTGGCTTTTTCATTTCAATCCTGAAAATAATCCTATGAAATAAGAGCTATTACTATTACCTGACTACAGAACAGAAAACATTAAGTTTAAACATAAAGTGACATACCCACAGTGACGCTGCTACACTACTACAGAACAGAAAACATTAAGTTTAAACATTAAGTGACATGCCCACAGTGACATTGCTAGTAAATTATACTGTTGGAAAGTTTTACTGACACCAGAGTCTGTGCTCTGAACTATTCTGCATCTTCTAGCAATTACTTTTGCATATTCTCAATGCCACACAATTACAGATAGATTGATAGAAAACAAGAAAGCAGAAACCTATCTGTATTGTTTATCTGTAAGGGTGCAATTCTTTTTCTGCATAGAAATTATGACTAGATTTGTATTTTTCAGAGAATGATTAACTCTTTCTGAGCAACAGTTTTTGCTTTGTGAACTCTTCTTTACTGTCAGTCCAGCTTTTACCCTTGAATAGACAATTTTGTCCAGTGTGTGCTATTTGGCTGGCTGAATTATTCAGTTATGTTCATATCTTTTTGACTGATCTACTTTATACTTCCTAATATTTTAATCAAAAATTAATTTTTGTTACTTAAGCCATTTTAACTATCTGTACTATAGAACAATCTATTATATATAATGAATAATAAAGATATTTGCAAAGTGTCTGGGTGTGGTGCCTCACACCTGCAATCCTAGCATTTTGGGAGGCCAAGGAGGGTGGATCACTTGAGGTCAGGAGTTCGAGACCAGCCTGGCTAACATGGTGAAACCCCGTCACTACTAAAAATACAAAAACATTAGCCGGGTGCGGTGGCACATGCCTGTAGTCCCAGCTACTTGGGAGGTTGAGGCAGGAGAATCACTTAAACCTGGGAGGTGGAGGTTGCAGTGAGCTGAGATCGTGCCACTGCACTCCAGCCTGGGCAACAGACCAAGACTCCATCTCAAAAAAAAAAAAACAAAAAACAAAAAACAAAAACGATATTTGAGGTGAGATATTTGCAATCCCTGGCTCATTCTCCTAAATAATCTGAAACGTTAATTTTTCTTTCAGTTTGTGATAGCAAAACACTTAAATAGAAAAAATGTTAGTTTAGTAATATTCATTTCAGTTACTCTTTTTTAGTACTCTAATAGGAAAGGAAATATTTTCTACCTTTAGTGTTGAGGTCTCTGAATTTTAAAATTATTTCCAATGCTTATCTCATAGATAGAGAAATATTTTAGCTGTGATTTATTCTCCTAACAATTACAATCTATTAAGACTCCAACCTAACCATTTTATTACACTGGATTACTTGGTTTTAGTCTGCTGAGCATTAGTGCTGCTTTTAACACCATTGGTTTTTATATCCTTATAATGACCTCCTTTGTTTTAGTACACAAAATTGTCCTTTTATCGATGTGCTGAGGTATATACCTTCCATAGAAAATCATCAAGATAAAGTGAGGTTTTGTGATTCAACTCTCATGTTTTGATTTCTTCAGTGATTTTGTTATCTCACTTTCTGGCTGCAGGTGGTTTTGCAGATAAACAGTTGGATTATTTCAGAAGCCTTAGAGTTCTTCCTATTACACATTCAAGTCAATGGTATCAAAGAGGTCCATTGTAAGAACTCATTCTTTCATAAATGGAAAAGTCTAATATAAGAATAACTAAATTAACTAAAAAATTCTGTTTCACAGTATTAAAAAGACAAAGAAGAAAATATATGTGAGTGGGTGTCTTAATCCATTTTCTGCTGTTGTAACAGCATAACAAAAGCTAGGTAATTTATAAAGAATAGGGTTTTATTTGGTCACAGTTCTAGAAGTAGGGAAGTCCAAGAGCATGGTGCTGACATCTTGTGAGGACCTTCTTGCTATGTTACCCTATAATAGAAAGGCATCACATGGTTAGTGAGTGTGCAAGGCAGGAAGAGCAAGAAGGCTGAACATGTCCTGTCATCAGGAGCCCACTCCCATGATAACTAATCATCTTTCAGGATAACAGATTAATCTATTCATGAGGACAGAGCCCTAATGACCTAATCACATCTTAAAGGCCCCACTCCACCAAACTGTTTCATTGAGCATAAAGTTCACAAAACATGAGCTTTGGGAGATATATTCAGGAAATAGCAGTGGAAAAATGTAAGTAGCAACTAAAGCTGCATAGAATCAAACACCAAACTGAAAAGCTTGAAACCGGTTTAAAGGGCATTTATAGTCATTGAAGGTTTTGAAGAAGCAAGGAAGATTACTGAGAGGGTAAAAAAGAGTGAGAGCTTGCTATTTTACATATTACCTACCCGACTCTACCCTCTGACAACAATGGACCTTTAGCACAACTGCAGATGGATTCTCCCTACCACATTATTGTACTCAACTAAACACATGCAGATTTGGAGACTAGCCAGAATCATTCCCCAAAATGAAAATACTTGTTTCTAATAAGTTTACCACAACTACTTTGTGTTTACTTATCCTACGTGACTCTTGTGACAGAGGACCTTGAGTTTAGAGAACAGGTAAAAGAAACGGCTTTGAGTTGGTAAGAAGACAAGTTATAGCTTGTGTATGGAAAGAAGCAATATGGATTATGAGTAGATAAAGATAAATTCTTGCCTGAAGGGTAATACAGTACAGGAATCTTATACAAATTCCCATAAGGTGGTTTCTCCTTTCTCTGAAAACAATAAAGAAATGCTCATATTTACAGTGAAGTGGATGTAAATATTTAGAACAGTGGCAAAAATTTGGAAAAACATCTAAACCAAAGTAATTAGAGGAGGATGTAATCAAAGAAAAGTACACAGTTTTTCTGGCTTGACTGAGAACCCATTGGAATGGACAATTACATCTATATGGTAATACTAATATCTAGGTTTAGGTTTTCCGTAGCAAGCTCTGGAATGGGGAGGCAGATAAATAAAGAAATATGAAAATTGATGTTATTGTGTATAATCTGGCTGAAATGATGGAACACTATTTTAGGATGAAGAGGAAGATAAAACAGAGGGAAGCTGAAGTGCAGAGGGGAAATAAGGCAATTAATTATTGGGAGAAAATGTGGGTTCAAAATAAGACACATTGACCAATGGAACAGAATTGAGAGCTGGGAAATAAAGCCACACACCTACAACCATCTGGTCTTCAGCAAAGTTGACAAAAACAAGCAATGGGGAAAGGGTTACCTATTCAATAATGTGCTGGGATAACTGTGTAGCATACGCACAAAATTGAAGCTCGACCCCTTTATTACACCATATACAAAAATCAACTCAAGATTGATTAAATGCCTAAATGTAAAACCTAAAACTGTAAAAACTCTGGAAGATAACCTAGAAAATACTATTCTGGACATAGGCCCTGGCAAAGACTTCATGATGAAGACACCAAAAGCCATTGCAACAAAAACAAAAGTTGACAGACGGGATCTAATTTAACTAAAGAGATTCTGCACAGCAAAAGAAACCATCAACAGAGTAAACAGGCAGCCTACAGAATGGGAGAAAATATTTGCAATTGATGCATCTGACAAAGGTCTAATATCTAGCATCTTTAAGAAACTTAAATATTCAAGCAAAAAACAAACAGTCTCATTAAAAAGTAAGTAAAAGACGGCCGGGAGCGGTGGCTCACACCTATAATCCCAGCACTTTGGGAGGCCGAGGCGGGTGGATCACAAAGTGAAGAAATCGAGACCATCCTGGCTAACACGGTGAAACCCCGTCTCTACTAAAAAAAAAAAAAAAAAAAAAAAATACAAAAAATTAGCCGGGTGTAGGTGGCGGGCGCTTGTAGTCCCAGCTACTTGGGAGGCTGAGGCAGGAGAATGGCGTGAACCCAGGAGGCAGAGCTTGCAGTGAGTCAAGATCACGCCACTTCACTCCAGCCTGGGCGACAGAGCAAGACTCGTCTCAAAAAAAAAAAAAAAAAAAAAAAAAAAAAAAAAGTAAGTAAAGGACATGAACAGATAGTTTTCCAAAGAAGACATACACATGACCAACAAGCACATGAAAAAGCGCTTGACATCACTAATCGTTAGAGAAATGAAAATTAAAACCACAACAAGATACCATCTCAGACCAGTCAGAATGGGTATTATTAAACAGTCAAAAAATAATAGATGCTGGCAAGGTTATAGAGAAAAAGGAGCACTTATACACTGCTGATGGGAATGTAAATTAGTTCAGCCATTGTGGAAAGTAGTTTGGAGATTTCTCAAAAAACTTAAAATGGGACTACCATTCAATCCAGGAATCCCATTATTGGGTATATACCCAGAGGAATATAAATCATTCTACCATAAAGACATATGCATGCGTATATTCATGGCAGCACTATTCATAATAAGCAAAGACATAGAAACAATCTAAATGCCCATCAGTGGTGGTATGGATGACGAAAATGTGATATATATATATATGTGTGTGTGTGTGTGCATATGTGTGTGTGTGTATATATATATAAATACTATGCAGCCATAACAAAGAATGAGATCATGTCCTTTGCAGCAACATGGATGGAGCTGGAGGCCATTATCTGATGCAAACTAAAGCAGGAATAGAAAACCAAATACTGCACGTTCCTACCTATAAGTGGGAGCTAAACATTGAGTACACATGGACGCAAAGAAGGGACCTGCAGACACCAGGGCCTACTTGAGGGTGAAGCATGGGAGAAGGAAGGGGGAGAGATAGAAAAACTACCTATCGAATACAATGCTTATTACCTGGGTGATGAAAGTCTGTACACCAAACTCCCACAGCAAGCAATTTACCTATAGAAAAAGTCTGCACATATACCAATGAACCTGAAATGAAAGTTAAAAGATAAATATTTTCTTCCACAAAACCAATGAGTAAAAATATTTTTAAAGTTAGAATCCACCTATTTGAGAACTCTAGAAATTAACCAAAGTCTTGTAGTAACTCAGGGAGTATTCATTCAAGAAAAGTGACTGAATCTTAGGAAGAACTTATGGCTTTTTTTTTTTTGCTTTTTAGCTTTATTCTCATCACTTGTTCTCCAGCTGTGGGGTAGCCTTGAAAAATAATAGCCCACATTTGCAGTAAAAAGCAACAATAGTGCAGGCACTAGAGACAACAGAGACGGTTAGAGCTCATTCCCAAATAATTACCGTTGTCTGACTTACCTGGTAATTTCATGGAAGACCCCACTTGCAAAGCTATCTATACTGACATGACTTAGAGCTCACCCAGCATGAACAGCCTTTTCCTGGAGGTAGGGGAGGGGAGGAGTTGGTAAAAACAAACAAAGAAACACAACAGGGAATTATTGTTTAACTTTATGGTCCTAAGGCAGTGGATAATATTTCTATCAAACAATAGTATAAACAAAAAGCTTAAAAGTAAAAGCTGGAAATTAGATGTTCCTAAGGCTTTGAAAAACTCAGCAGTATTCCCAGGAATCTTGAAGGCCACACACAGGCAGACAGTGTTCTCTCCTTCTTAGGAAAGACATAAGAAGGTCCTAAATTCTCATCACTGAATAATCTTGTGGCTTTATGCAAACAGGAAGTAAAGGCAAAGGCAGATTTGAGAAAAACCTGACTGAGTGTTGAAGATATGCCCCAATATGCACACAGAGCTTCTCAGCAAAGACTAACTGCATTTTTTCCAAAAATCAATTGTTCATATACAGTAAAGGTCTACTTCTGGGCTCTATCATATTCCATTGATCTATATGTCTATCTTTACATGAATAGCACACTGTTCTGATTACTATATGCTATCGACTGACTGTCTTTCCAAAATTCATATGTTAAACGCTGATCTCCACCATGGTGATATTTGGAGGCAGGGCCTTTGGGAGGTGATTAGTTCATGAATTGTAGTACCTTTTATGAATGAGATTAGTGCATTTATAAGAAAAGACCAGAGAGTTAGTCCACACTCTTTCTGCCATGTGAGGATATAATGAGACGTTAGCAGTCTGCAAAATAGAAGAGGGCCCTCACCAGAACCTGACCATCCTGATACCCTGATCTCAGACCTCCAATCTCCAGAACTGTGAGAAATAAATTTTTGCTATTTTTAAGTCATCCAGCCCACTGTACTTCTTTATAGCAATCTGAACTAAGACACTATAGATTTATAAAATTTTCATCTTTTCAAATATATTTTTGCTGTAGTTATTTGTATACTTTTTATTTTCATATAAATTTAGAATCATCTTGTCATATTTTATAAAATAATTATTTTTAAAAAATAAGGATTTCACTGACTATAGAGTTCAGCCTGTGGAGAACTGTTATCTTAAGCATGTTGGATCTTCTGACCAATGAACAAAAAAAAATTTCAATTTATTTAAGCTTTTAATTTTTTTCTCAGCAATGTTTTGCAGTTTTCAGTGTCCCAGTACTTTACATATTATATCAGATTTATTCCACAGTATTGTTTTTTTTTTTGAGATGGAGTCTTACTCTGTCACCCAAGCTGGAGTGAAGTGGTGCGATCTCAGCTCACTGCAATCTCCGCCTCCCTGGTTCAAGTGATTCTTCTGCCTCAGTCTCCCAAGTAGCTGGGATTACAGGCATGTGCTACCACTCCTGCCTAATTTTTGTATTTTTAGTAGAGACAGGGTTTCGCTATGTTGGTCAGGCTGGTCTCGATCTCCTGACCTCAGGTAATCTGCCCATTTCAGGTCACAAAGTGCTGGGATTACAGGTGTGAGCCACCATGCCTGGCATATCCCACAGTATTTAAATACTTATGTCAATTTAAGTGGTATTTTTCTATTTCAGTCCTATGTTGTGCATTGTTAATACAAACAAATACAATTGATTTGTGCATAGTGATCTTGCATCCGGCAAGTCTTGCTAAATTCATCTATTCTAGAAGCTTTTTTGTATATCCAATGGATTTTCTACATATATGATCATGTCATCTCTGGATCAAACAGTTTTACCTTTTCTTTTCTACTTTGGATGCCTTTTAGTTCTTTATCTTCTTTCTCTGTTTGCACTGGCTAGAACATCCAGTACAATGTTTAACAGCAGTGATGAGGGTAAATATCCTTGTCTTTTTACTATCTTCGGGGGAACACTATCAGTGTTCCACTAATAAGTACAGTGTTAGCTTTTTAAACGATTGATTTTTTTTCAGGTTGAGGAAATACCCTTCTGTTTCTAATTAGCTGAGGTGGTTTTGTTCGTTTTCGTTTTTAATTAGAAATGAATGTTTGATTTTTGGCAAATGCTTTTCTGTGTCTTTCAAAAAGATAATATTACGTATTTCTAATTTTTAGTGCGTTAATATGGTGAATTAGAGTGACTGATTTTTGAATGTTGAACCAGCTTTACATTCTTGGTATATTCCTCACTTTTGTGACAAGGTATTATCTTTTTATATATATCTGGAGTTGTTTTGCTGGTGTTTTCATCAGAACATTGTTATGTCCATGAGGGATATTATTACGTAATCTTCTTTTCTTATAATGTCTTTGCTGGTTTCAGTAATGTGTAATGTTGACCTTAAAGAAAAAACTGGTAGGTATTCCCATATTGTCAACTTGCTGAAGGAATTTTTATAGAATTTGTATAATTATTTTTCCCTGAATATTTAGTAGAATTTACCAGTGAAGGCATCTGGGACTGAAGTTTTCATGGTAGGAAGGATTTTACCAAAAATATATATTTAAATATGTGGGACTATTCTTCTTATTTATTTTTTTGTTTTAGTGAACTTTGGTGGTTTGGGTCTTTTGAGAAATTTGTCTGTTTCATCCAGATTTTTGTATGTATTCTAGTTAAGTTGCTCATAATATTCCATTATTGTTCTTTTAATATCCGTAGAACAGTTTTCCTCAAACGTTATTTCAGTCACTACCCTATGAGTCTTTTTTGACTTTTTTCTTAATTGCCCCCAATAAATTTTAATTTCAGAGACATATTGTATGTCTATTTATGTATATGTAATCTATGCTTTATATATAAAGAATTTTTTGCCTCCTTCCCCAAAAGAACCTTTTTAAAATATATATTACTATTTAATTTAATTAATTTATTTTTAGAGATGGGGACTTGCTCTGTCCCCCAGGCTGGTGTGCAGTGAATTATAGCTTACTGTAGCCTCCAACTCCTGGGCTCAAATGATCCTCCTGCCTTGGCCTCCTGGGTAGCTGGGACTACAGGTAGGTGCATGCCACCACATTCAGATAAGCTTTTTTATTTTTTTTATAGATGGAAACTCAGTTTGTTGCCTGGTTGGTTTCAAACTCCTGGCTTTAAGCTGTCCTTCTAGCGCAGTCTCCCAGAGTGCTGGGATTACATGTGTGCGCCACCATGGCCAGCCTCAAAATTTTTTATTTCTGCTTTATTGTTTTTTCTCTTCTTACTTGGAGTTTTATTTGTTCTTTTTCTGGTTTCTGAAGGTGGAAGATAAGATCACTAACTTGCTGTTATTCCTCTTTTCTTACACAGGCATTTTGCACTATGAATTTCCCTTTAAGAACTGGCATACCACAAATTCTGATATGTTGGCTTTTCTTTTACATTTAATTCAAAATACTTTGAATGTCTCTTTTGATTTCTTCTTTGACTCATTTGTTTTAGAAATCTCTCATTTAATTTCCAAATACTTGGGTATTGCCCACATGCCTTTTTATTATTGACTTCTAATTTTTCTAATTTAATCCCATTGTAGTCAGAAACATACTTTGAATGACTGAGACTTTTTTTATGACACGGAGCTTTGTGACAAGTGATTTTACATTGAGTATCTCACCTAATTATCAAGAAAATCCTATAAGGTGGGCACTATTATTGTCACCATGCTATACATGAGGAAATAAAAGCTGAAAGGTGTTAAGCACATATCTAAAATCACGGTTATGAAGTAGTGGAGTCTGAGTGCTTAACCATTATTCAGTATATGTGTGTGTATATGTATACATATATACTGAATATGTATATTGAATATATATACTGTATATGTGTATATTGTGTATATGTATATGGAATATGTATATTGTATATTGAATATGCATATTGTATATATGTATATATAGGATATATTATATATAATGTATATACAATAGGTATGTATAGTATATTGAATATATATATTGTATATTGAATATATATACTGAATATATATATTCAGTATATGTGTATATATACAGAATATGTATACTGAATATATATACTGAATAATGATTAAGCACTCAGACTCCACTACTAGTTTTGAAAAGACAAAATTAATTTTTAAGTATATGTGTGCGTATATATATTTTATATATATGTGTGTGTATATTTATATATATATATATATGATTCTTTTATTTATTTATTTATTTATTTATTGAGACAAGGTCTCACTCTTACCAAGACTAGAGTGCAGTAGCTCAATCATGGCTCACTGCAGTCTTGACCTTCCAGACTCAAGCAATCCAGCCTCCCTAGTGGCTGGGACTACAGATGCATACTATCACACCCAGCTAATTTTTAAATATTTGTAGAGGTAGGTGTCACTATGTTACTCAGGCTGGTCTCGAACTCCCGAGGTCAAGTCATCCTCCTGCCTCGACTTCCCAGAGTTCTGAGATTCCACATGTGAGCCTCTTACCCAGCTATCAGGTCCTTTTACCTGCAAATCATTGTAAGACATAAGTAAATAAAAGAGTTCAACCTCTTTATTGCTTGACTTAGAGGAGAGACATAAAACAAAGAAGAAATGCATGGATGGAGTAAGAATGAATTGCTTTTTGATAAGTGGACAGAGAAAGATAATTCCAGCTAGAAAGAATGGAGAACTTTTGTTTTTGTTGCAGCTGTGACATTTTAACTAAGTTTTAAAAGATACGCAGGATTCTAAGTATATTTCACAAAGAAATGTCAGTGAGTGAAGGGACATAGGAAGTACAGGGCAGGTTGATGTACTCTATGATTGGGAAGATGAGGACAAGACAATTTGAAAATAAGTTTTGATGAACATTTTTTCATGTGTCTTTTGGCTGCATAAATGTCTTCTATTGAGAAGTGTCTGTTCATATCCTTTGCCCACTTTTTGATGGGATTGTTTGTTTTTTTCTTGTAAATTTGTTTGAGTTCTTTGTAGATTCTGGATATTAGCCCTTTGTCAGATGGTAGATTCTGGATATTAGCCCTTTGTCAGATGAGTAGGTTGCGAAAATTTTCTCCCATTTTGTAGGTTGCCTGTTCACTCTGATGGTAGTTTCTTTTGCTGTGCAGAAGTTCTTTAGTTTAATTAGATCCCATTTGTCAATTTTGGCTTTTGTTGCCATTGCTTTTGGTGTTTCAGACATGAAGTCCTTGCCCATGCCTATGTCCTGAATGGTAATGCCTAGGTTTTCTTCTAGGGTTTTTATGGTTTTAGGTCTAACGTTTAAGTCTTTAATCCATCTTGAATTAATTTTTGTATAAGGTGTAAGGAAGGGATCCAGTTTCAGCTTTCTACATATGGCTAGCCAGTTTTCCCAGCACCATTTATTAAATAGGGAATCCTTTCCCCATTGCTTGTTTTTGTCAGGTTTGTCAAAGATCAGATAGTTGTAGATATGCAGCATTATTTCTGAGGGCTCTGTTCTGTTCCATTGATATATATCTCTGTTTTGGTACCAGTACCATGCTGTTTTGGTTACTGTAACCTTGTAGTATAGTTTGAAGTCAGGTAGCATGACGCCTCCAGCTTTGTTCTTTTGGCTTAGGATTGACTTGGTGATGCACGCTCATCATCACTGGCCATCAGAGAAATGCAAATCAAAACCACAATGAGATAGCATCTCACACCAGTTAGAATGGTGATCATTAAAAAGTCAGGAAACAACAGGTGCTGGAGAGGATGTGGAGAAATAGGAACACTTTTACACTGTTGGTGGGACCGTAAACTAGTTCAACCATTGTGGAAGTCAGTGTGGCGATTCCTCAGGGATCTAGAACTAGAAATACCATTTGACCCAGCCATCCCATTACTGGGTATATACCCAAAGGACTATAAATCATGCTGCTGTAAAGACGCATGCACACGTATGTTTATTGCGGCACTATTCACAATAGCAAAGACTTGGAACCAACCCAAATGTCCAACAATGATAGACTGGATTAAGAATATGTGGCACATATACACCATGGAATACTATGCAGCTATAAAAAATGATGAGTTCATGTCCTTTGTAGGGACATGGATGAAATTGGAAGTCATCATTCTCAGTAAACTATCGCAAGTACAAAAAACGAAACACCGCATGTTCTCACTCATAGATGGGAATTGAACAATGAGAACACATGGACACAGGAAGGGGACCATCACACTCTGGGGACTGTTGTGGGGTTGGGGGAGGGGGAAGGATAGCATTGGGAGATATACCTAATGCTAAATGACAAGTTAATGGGTGCAGCGCACCAGCATGGCACATGTATACATATGTAACTAACCGGCACATAGTGCACATGTACCCTAAAACTTAAAGTATAATAATAATAAAAAAAATTAAAAAAAAAGAAAATAAGTTTTGAAAGGTAGGTTTCCATCTGCATTATATGATCTATTTTGTTTGGGTCCAGAAGATTGAATTAGAAGAAAGAAGTCAAGCCTATAAGAAGACAAACAGTAGATACATAGAAGAAAGAAGCTTTTTAAAATACAATTTTATTTGGGTGGGGTTGATATATAAAACCTGCATATACCTACTGCATACAATTTGATGGGTTTGAACGTATGCATACACTGTGAAACCATCACCACAATCAAGGTAATAAAAATATCTATCACCTCCAAAAGCTTCCTCCTGCACTTCCACCTTTTAAAACTTTATGGTAAGAAGATTTAACTTGAGATCTGCCCTTTCAACAAATTTTGAGTGTACAATACAGTATTTTTAACTACAGGGACTGTGTCTTAAAGCGGACATCTAGAACCTATTCATGTTGTATAACTAGGACATTATACCTATTAAACAACTCATTTCCCCTTCCCCAAGCCCCTTGTTATCACCATTTTACTCTTTGCTTTGTGAGCTTGACAATTTTAGATACCTCATATAAATGAGATCATGCAGTCTTTGTCCTTCTGAGACTGGCTTATTTCCCTTAGCATAGTGTCAGTGAAATCCTGCCATCTCCAACAACGTGGAAGAAAGAAACAAAGATATTTGTTAATAAAAACAACTGCTTGTAAGGGTAAGGTGGTGAGTTCTGGTTATAGGAATTATTAAGTTCCTAAGTGTATTGTGTTTATTATCTTACATTAAAAGGAATCTTAAAATATGCATGTTTTAGCCAATATTCAGATGCTGTAAGTCTTAATGTAGTTTCTGTTATTAGCAGATAATTTTCTTGATCAATGAAACTTTGGAAAATTTTCAGTCATAAGCAACTTAGTTTTCCAAGAATAATAATAATGTGAATTAGCACGTTTTATTAGCTTTAAATTTAATTTTTCAGTTTCTCTCAGATCTTAAATTTACTGATTCTTATCTTACTCTTCAATTTGCATTCCCTCTGTAGTTTTCCCAGGTTAACTGTGTTACTGATTGCTTTAGTGATTCTTACCATTCATGGAATAGTTTTGAAAATTAATTGTTAAGAAACTAACTGCAGAAATGTCTTGTTACATGGCATTTATATTAAAGAATAAAATACTACTTTGTATAAGGTATAAAAAGTATTATTATTATTATTATTTTATTTTTTTTGAGACAGTCTCACTTTGTCACCCAGGCTGGAGTACAGTGGCACGATCTTGGCTCACTGCAACCTCTGCCTTTTGGGTTCAAGTGATTCTTATGCCTCAGCCTCCCGAGTAGCTGGGGCAACATGTGCGCACCACCACACCCGGGTAATTATTGTATTTTTAGTAGAGATCGGATTTCACCATATTGGCCAGGCTGGTCTCAAACTCCTGACCTGGTGATCTGCCTGCCTCAATCTCCCAAAGTGCTGGGATTACGGACAGAAAGTATTATTTTTACATAAGGAAGAGTAGTACTCTCCTCCGAGAACTCTTTGTACCTCCTGTCATTTTATATTCATCAGATTATAACAGTGCAATGCCCATCAGTTCTTTTGTATTCATCAGATTATAACAGTGCAATGCCCATCAATTCTTTTATATTCATCAGATTATAACAGTGCAATGCCCATCAAGGATCACAGAAAATAATAATAATAATACAATTTTAAACAAGCATAACCATTGCCTTCATATTATCCTTTAATACAGAATACTTTTTCACTTCTCTTAATTGTCACACAAACACTCTTAAGTAGTGTGATAAAAGCATTCTTTCAAATTATATACATAAGGACTCAATGAGTGACTCTAAATGCTTTTAAAACCTTTTATAGTAAGCTTAGAACACACATGAGTATAAATACACAAAAGCTTGGTATCTACAATCTTAAATGCCTAGATTTTCATACAGACTCTCTTTGTAATTAAGGATTGGTCCTTGTGCCTAGCTCAAAATATATTTATAGCTATTTCAGCAAAAGATAAATACTAAATATTTCTGCTCTGAAAAGTTTCTCAACTATTTCTACAAAGGAGGAATATAAAGTAAACCTTTTTCTGTTGTCTAGCATCCAAGTAATACCTGCTTTTATCACTTCCTTCTTAGTTAGAAATTGAAGGAGAAATTGTATCACGTTTGGATTAAATAATGAAAAAGCGATCAAAGTTCATTTTGATAGACAATGTTCCAGTTTTACCAAAAAAAAAACAAATCTGATCCAAACAAAGTAATCATTAGAGTTTTAGGGTTCCGGGACTAAAGTTCTGTATGTTCATCACTATCAGAGCACAAGCTTCTGAATTTCTTTTCTCAGTCGCATGTCAAATATGGAGGCCATACCCATGGAAAACTACACAGTTTTAAAAATGTGAAGTATGCTATAACAAAAGAGCTGAAAATCAATAGCTACTGAAATGAGTATTCTTTCTCTTAAATGTAAAAATATTTGCTTAAGTGAAAATACATTGATGTTATCCATTAAGAAGAAATAAAACCTTTGCGTATTAAGAACATGGTGGTGGTAAAAGAGGCACAGTAAATAGTACCAAAATAAAATTTTACTTCTTGGGGAACTTTGGGAAAGTTTCTTAGTCTCTGTGCCCAAATTTCCTCACTTGCAAAATATGAAGATTAAATGAGTTCATACTAATAATTAATAAGATTAGTCCCTGGCACATAGTGAGTATTAAGTAAGTCAATTTAAAAATTACTTGTTTTTTAAATTTATTTTTCTTAAAAATTTTTTTAATAGGGATGAGGTCTCATTATGTTTCCCAGGCTGTTCTTGAACTCCTCAGTTCAAGCAATCCTCCTGCCTTAGCCTCCTAAAGAACTGGGATCACAAGCATGAGCCACTGCTCCTGGCCCTAAGAAATATTACTTTTTAAAGCTTAGCAGTTTCACGATTTGTACTTAGTCTGAAAACCAAGGATTAATGATTTATTTCAAAGAACTTTCAAAACCAAAAGCTAATAGGGAAATAAGGTTTATCTGTATCCCTATCTCTTAAAGATGGTTTTGATGAAGATGTCCCCAAACATATAAAAAGTACTATTACAGTCATAGGCCAATTATATTAGCTAGAATAGCTGTTTGCTATGAGATCAAACAATCCTTAAGTCTTGGAACTGAGAATCAGAAAGGCTGATTTCTGAGTTACATTTCATCTCTATCTCTCATCAGTTATTGGGGGAATCCATTCACCAAAGTCACTCAAGGACTTAGTCTAATGAAACAGCCATCATCTTGAACATTGCTGATTGTGCTAGAAGTAAAGAAAACTCTGGAAGGCTTTACCCTGTCACATCATTTTACTCAACTCGTTGGCTAAAATCAGGAGATCAAGGAGTTCAGTCATCCACATTCCCCAAGTAGCTAAGAATCAAATATCTATGAACAACATTAATAAATGCAAACCGCGGATTTATTAATACATATTACAGATGATTGGTGTGTGGGCCATAGAAATAGGGATGCAAATAGATGAAAGAAGCAGCCAATATGATGGAGTGGATCAATGGCTTTAGTTCTGGATTTGTACAGCATTCCCTTCCCCATCCCGTCCTCCTCTCCAGTACCTCTATACACTCACACAACTTCATGCAAGGCAAGCATGTTCATCCAATTATCTATGTTTTTTAGAGAGACAGACAAAAAGAAAAACACCAGTTCTAATCTGGCATTTATTTCTGTCCCTGGATCAGCTGAAGTTTATACGTCTGTGGCCTGGAAAAATTGTGACAGCAGTTTACATTATGGCATTGTTAATTACTCCTTAAATTATCTTCCAGGTAAAATCTATGGAAAGTTCATTTGTCTAAAGGGCCCAGTTGTGATTACTAGAGGGTCAAATTTCTTTTGCATATACAAATCTAACATAGAGTGGGGGAAAGGAAGTAGCTTTAATGAACTGAGATAAAAATAAAATAAAATAAAAGGACAGTGGATGCTTCAATTTATATTTCAGTCTCATCTCCCATAACCTATCCTAGCCTGAGGTCTCAGACCTCCTCATGACCACTAACCAGGCCCATCAGTATGCATGTGGCCCTCGGCTGAGGCTGTGCCTGCTTCAGACAACTCATTTCACTTTGTTTCACTTGTGTAAAAACTTTGGGGAAAAGAGAAGGAATTTCTTGCCTTGCTAGGATCCCTGAATCCATATAGGGCCAGGGTCCAATTACTAACATACTTCGGGGACATGTAACAATGGATTGGTCACTATCTCATAAGCACACATGTGCAGCTCTATCTCAAACATTATCCTTTGTGGCAAAGACAATTTTTACCAAGCATCTTTCATGAAAACAACTGTTGGAGGCAGAATTGGTCCTATTTAATTAACTTCTTACTTGCAAGCCTCAGGCAGAGGAGAAAATAATGAAAAATCATCACTAAACAGTTGGTGACTACCTACTAATTTTTTGCAGTATTTCTAAATGTTTTGTTTTTGTATGTAAAAGCGTTTTTCCTTTAGCGTTTTAGTTATCAGAGAAATTCAATTCTATTAAAATAAAGAAAAATAGTAGAAAAGTGTTATTTTGTTTATGTTTTCATTGAATTGCTTATTTATTTATGTTCATTTTTAGGCTTTTCAATAATCGAATTCTGTTTGATTCAGTTGCACTTGTTTCCTGTATTTTAAAAACTCTATATTCTGCTCTACCCCACTCAGTTTTCATGCGTTTATCCTTCTTCTCCAAATAGCCATATTGTATCATTAATACAAGGGAGCAGAATGAAGAAGGTTGATGTTTCTAGCTCTCCTTATATCAAAATGCAACTTGTATTCAATTCATTTATATTTGTTCATTTTTCATATATATTGAATGAAATTTAAACAGAAAACTACTGTTTAATGAGCTGAAAACAGCAATTTTATAAATGTTTACATTGGAATAATGCATAGTGCCAAGATTCCATGACAATATTGTTATATCAATATATATAATTATTAGTGTTTTTGTTTGTTAATTACACTGCTACATTGATCATTGCAAAATGGTCCTGACAAACTTTTCTTTTTTATATGCCCTTTCTCTCTGTTTTGTACAGAAATTGTGATGAATAAGCGATGTAGATCAACACTTCAAAGATATGCTAACCGTTGGTACTATTTATTATTTTGAATTTGTAGTTTTAATAAAATAAAAACATTCTACAATAAGAATTTCACAGAAAACGCAAATAATTGATACATTTTGTTTATAAATTATTCTTTTTGTTGGTACCTACAGTTGGTATAAAAAAAAAACTTCGAAAGAGAAAAAAAAAAAAACTACACCTCCACTTTTTGTCAGTCAGAAGACTTTCATCTTTTGAAATATCAAAATAATCCAACCTTTCAAACAGAGTTGTCATAAATGTCCTGTTTATGAGGACAAGCTTCTGTAGTTTTCCACAGAAGGGAGCTAAGTAACTATTTTCTTGTGTGTGCAATATTTGGAGCAAGAAGCAGGTCATTTAAGATAAGTGTTCACAATGTTCCCCATGATAGCAGCAGTATGAATTAAGTGAAGAAAAGTGGGAATATAATGAAAATGACCACAGAGAAACTTATCAAAAGATTCAGTTAAGTTAATATTGTTAGTTTCAGAATGTGAATTCGACTTTGAGAATTAAGGTGCCAGGAGGAAGTGGAAATAGTTTTGGGGAAAATTCTGCATATGAAGGTAACACTATGAACTGTAGATGTAGAACACTATTGTAACCGTGATACTAGAGTATGTTTTTATTATAACCTTTGAAATTGATTGGGCTGTTTCATGCACCTATGACTTTTTATAAACTATCCCTCTAGCGATATTCTTTTATCTGATTTATTCACATAGAGAACTTGTATTCAACCTTCAAATTAAGTTCAAATATTAATCCCTCTTTTGGACTTTACTGGTCCCAGGTTAGAATTGACTTTTGAATTGATTTCTTCCTACTTTATACTATCACTGAAACACAATTACTTGTTTACATGTCTGGCTCATCAAACTGAGAGTCTACTTGAAAGCAAGGACTATTTCCACTTTCTTTGTGTATGTTTCTGGCCCTGGTAGATATTAGGTAAAATGTAAATATGTGCTAAATGAATGATTCACATGATTGCAGTCATTATAATTCATGAAAACTTACTTTTGGTAGGAAATAGCAATCAGGATTAATTGTGTTCTTTAATTGATTGTGAGTTTAACATGCTAAAAGCAATATTGTGCATATTGTGTTGGCAAGAAGATACACGTACAGGTCATCTAAAACACTTTGACAGGACAATGGAACAAGAGGACTGGTAGTGCAGAAAAGATTACACAATTTTAATGAACGATGATAATGAGAGAAAAACAACACAAATCTCCAATTGTAGATGTCTGGTGCTACATGGGAGAAAATGAGGAGAGTAAGTTATGGAAACAGCACGCTTTTGTTAAAATTTTGCATAACAAAGAGAAAGCCTGTTATTTTTGAAAGACCAAAGAGAAATATTATTTGGATCTCTCCTCAGTCCTTTTCCTGCTCTAAATCTGAAGTTACTGACAAAATTGGGCATTCTGTTTTAGTAACTTTCTTAGTAGGCTTTTTACCGCTATGCTACATTGCTGCACTACTCTACACTGCTCTCTGCTGACTCTCCTACTATCAGTACTCCTCTGTATTTGACTCTCTCAGTGGTCTATGAGTTGCTTGAAGTCAGAACTCTGGTTTTATTTTTCTTTCTCTTTACTTGCCAGAGAATCATAATTTATTTGAACAAATACAGTTTTAATAATTTTTAGATAAATATTATTTTTATATTAAAGGGGGCTCGACCATGTATGAATATATATATAGTACTATAATGCTAACAAATACTATTGGCTTCATATGAAGAGTAACCAGTGATAATGCAATAATTTGAGAAAAACAGAAGAGCCAGCTAGATCACACAGGAAGATTCTAGAAATATTCATAGATTTTTTTGGTAATTTTATTTCTACAAATTTATCTTCAGGGTGTAAATGGAAAAAACAAACTGTAAAATATTTAAAGAGACTTATTCTGAGCCAATATGGGTGACCATGGCCTGGATAACAGTCTCAAGAAGTCCTGAGAAAGTGTGCCCAAGGTGGTCAGGATACAGTTTGGTTCTATACATTTTAGAGAGACAGGAATTATAAGTAAAATAATCAATATATGGAAGGTGTATATTGGTTCAGTCTAAAGAGGTGAGGTCTCTTGAAGAGGTGTGGGGGTTACAGGTCATAAGTAGGTTCAAAGATTTTCTGACTGGCAATTGGTTGAAAGAGTTAAGCTTTGTGTAAAGACTTGAAGTCAGTAGAAAGAAATAGTTGAAGAAAAGTTAAGGGAGGAACAGCTAAGATGGCTGAATAGAAATAGCTTTGCTCTGTGGCTCCCACTGAGAAGGATGAAAACAGCAAAAGAATTCTGCATCTTCAATTGAGGTACCAAGGTTTTCTCATTGGGACAGACTAGGTGGTTGACATGACCCACAGAGAGCACGGAAAAGCAGGGCGGAGTGAGGGCCCGCCTGGGAGCTGTGCAGCGCAAAGGGAGCTCCCTCCCCCAGTCAGTACCAGTAGAGTGGAGCATTGCTGAAAAGATACCTGAAAATGTGTAAGCAACTTTGAAACTGGGTAGCAGGCAGAGCTTGGAACAGTTTGAAGGGCTCAAAAGGAGATAGGGAAAATGTGTGAAAGTTTGGAACTTCCTAAAGACTTGTTGAATGGCTTTGCCAAAATGCTGGTAATGATATGAACAATAAAATTCAGGCTGAGGTGGTCTCAGATGGAGACGAGAAACTTGGGAACTGGAGCAAAGGTGGCTCTTGTTATGTTTTAGTAAAGAAACTGGTGGCATTTTGTCCCTGCCCTAGAGATTTGTGGAACTTTGAACTTAAGAGAGATGATTTAGGGTGTCTGGAAGAAGAAACATCAAAGCAGCGAAGCATTCAAGAGGTGACTTGGGTTCTGTTAAAGGTGTTCAGTTTTACAAGGGAAGCAGAGCATAAAAGTTTGGAAAATTTCAGCCTATGTGATAGAAAAGAAAACCCCATTTTCTGGGGAGAGATTCAAGCCAACTGCAGAAATTTGCATAAGTAGCAAGAAGCCTAATGTTAATCCCCAAGACCATGGGGAAAATGTCTCCAGGCCATGTCAGAGACCTTCACAGCAGCCCCTGCCTTCACAGGCCTAGAGGCCCAGGAGAAAAAAGTGGTTTAGTGTGCTAGGCCCAGGGTCCCTGTGCTGTGTGCAGCCTAGGAACTTAGTGCCCTGTGTCCTAGCTGCTCCAGTCATGGCTGAAAGGGGTCAACGTACAGCTCAGGCTGTGGCTTCAGAGGGTGGAAGCCCCAAGCCTTGGCAGCTTCCACGTGGTGTTGAGCCTCTGGGTGCACAGAAGTCAAGTATTGAGGTTTGGGAACCTCCACATAGATTTCAGACGATGTTTGGAAATGCCTGGATGCCCAGGCAGAAGTTTGCTGCAGGGGCGGGATCCTCATGGAGAACTTTTGCTAGGGCAGTGTGGAAGGGAAATGTGGGGTTGGAGCCCCCACACAGTGTCCCTACTGGGGCACTGCATAGTGGAGGTGTCAGAAGAGGGCCACTGTCCTCCAGACCCCAGAATGGTAGATTAACCAACAGCTTACATCCATCGTGCACCTGGAAAAGCTGCAGACACTTAACACCAGCCCATGAAAGCAGCTGGGAGGGAGACTGCACCATGCAATGCCATAGGGGCAGAGCTGCCCAAGTGCCTAGGAATCTACCTCTTGCATCGGCATGACCTGGATGTGAGACCTGGAGTCAAAGGAGATCATTTTGGGGCTTTAAAATTTGACTGCCCTGCTGGATTTTGGACTTGCATGGGCCCTGTAACCCCTTTGTTTTGGCCAATTTCTTCCATTTGGAGAATGGCTGTATTTTCCAAATACCTATACCCCCACTGTACCTAGGAAGTAACTAGCTTGCTTTTGATTTTGCAGGCTCATAGGCAGAAGGGACTTGCCTTTTCTCAGATGAGACTTTGGACTGTGGACTTTTGGGTTAATGCTGAAATGAGTTAAGACTTTGAGGGACCCTTGGAAAGGTGTGATTGGTTTTGAAATGTGAGGACATGAGATTTGGAGGGTCCAGGGGCAGAATGGTATGGGTTGGCTGTGTCCCCACCCAAATATCAACTTGAATTATATCTCCCAGAATTCCCACATTTTGTGGGATGGACCCATTGGGAGGTAATGGAATCATGGGGGCTGGCTTTTCCCTTGCTCTTCTCATGACAGTGAATAAGTCTCATGAGATCTGATGGGTTTATCAGGGGTTTCTGCTTTTGCTTCTTCCTCATTTTTCTCTTGCTGTTACCATGTAAGAAGTAACTTTCGCCTCCGGCCATGATTCTGAGGCCTCCCCATCCATGTGGAACTGTAAGTCCAATTAATTCCCTTTTTCTTCCCAGTTTCAGGTGTGTCTTTATCAGCAGTGTGAAAACAGACTAATACAACATGGAATCAACCCAAATCCCCATCAGTGATAGACTAGATAAAGAAAATGTGGTACATATACACCATGAAATACTATGCATCCATAAGAAGGAATAAGATCATGTCCTTTGTAGGGACATGGAAGGAACTGGAAGCCATTATCCTCAGCAAAATAATGCAGGAAAAGAAAACCAAACACAGTATGTTCTCACTTACAAGTGGGAGCTAAACAATGAGATCACATGGACATAAGGAAGGGAGCAACACACATTGGGGCCTGTCAGGGGGTTGAGTTTGAGGAGGGATAGCACTAGGAAAAATACCTCATGCATACTGAGCTTAATACCTAGGTGATGAGTTGATAGGTGCAGCAAATCACCGTGGCACACATTTACCTATGTAACAAACCTGCACATCCTGCACATATACCCTGGAGCTTAAAAATTAAAAAAAAAAGAAAGAAATGCTTGAGTTAAGATAAGGGGGGTTGTAGAGACCAAGGTTCTTGTTATATAGATGAAGTTCCCATGTCGCTGCCTTCAGAGAAAATAGATGGTAAATTTCTTTTTCAGACCTTAAAGGTGTGACTTTCATTAATCCCTCCTGGATCCAGGGAAGACCTGAAAAGGGAATCCCTGGCTGTATTAATGGAGATTCACTACAGATGCAAATTTTCCCCACAAGAGGTGGCTTTGCAGGGCCATTTCAAAATATGCCAGGAATTCAGTTTTTCTGATTTCTCTGGGGTGCCTTTGGTCAAAGCAGGGTCCATTCAGTCACTTGAGGGGCTTATGATTTTATTCTGGGTTTACACAATCTTAAGTCAAAATAGAAAATAAGGAAAAAAGCCAGACGCGGTGGCTCACTCCTATAATCTCAGCATTTCGGGAGGCCGAGGTGGGTGGATCACCTGAGGTCAGAAGTTCCAGGCCAGCCTGGCCAACATAATGAAACCCCATCTCTACTAATAATACAAAAATTAGCTGGGTGTGGTGGCAGGTGCCTGTAGTCCCAGCTACTAAGCTGCTCGGGAGACTGAGGCAGGAGAATCACTTGAGCCCAGGAGGCAGAGGTTGCAATGAGCCGAGATGGCGCCATTGCACTCCAGTCTGGGTGATAAGAGCACAACTCTGTCTAAAAAAAAAAAAATAAGAGGAAAAAAGTTATATTCTCAAAGATGTTTCTTTGAAAAATTATCTTAAATAGTAAACATTGTAAACAAACTAAATTTCAACAAAAGGATAAATTAATCAATTATTGTACATTAATTCAATGAGTCATACAGTTATAAAATGATAATTATAAAGATGTTACAGACACATAGAAAATAGTTTTTATAAATTTTAGAAGAAAAAAGTGAGCAGCTTATTGAAAATGTTATATGATTTCAATTGTGTTAAATATATATGCTGCTGAAAGAAGAAGGGATAGAATGAAACTGTTTTATAAAAATCATTTTAGTGTCGTAGAATTGTGGCTTTTTAATTTTTAAAAATTATCTTTAATTTTATGGTATTTAAAATAAAGAGAATGGAAATAAAATGCAGGGCTTTTTAAAAAAACATCTTGACAGCTTAAGTATAAAGACTTGAAAGAAAAAAATCAGTTCTCCTTCAAAAACAGCTTATAATTCATATATTCAATATTTCTTAAATATTGAAATATTTCTAGCACCTACTATATCCTCTGAGCATTTCTGTTTCTTTTACCATATGTGTCTTGCTACAACACACAAATTTATTATTATACAATTATGTATGTCAGAAGTCCAGTATAAGTCTCACTGGGCTAAGGCTTTGTTGCCAAGGCTTTGTTCCTTTCTAGAGGTTCCAGATAAGAATACATTTCCTTACATTTTTCATCTTCCAGAAGCTGCCCACTTTCATTAGCATGTGGTCCCCTTTCTCCATCTTCAGAGTCAGCATCATTCCATTTCTTTGACTCCTCTTTCCATGGTCTCATCTCTCCCTGACTACAGCTAGGACAGGTTCTCCACTTTTAAGGACCTATATAATTAGATTTGGCCCACCAAGGTGATCCATAATGATCTCCCATCTCAAAGTCCATAACCTTAATCATATCTGTGAAGTCCCATTTGCCAGCTAGGGTAATGAAGGAAATGAAAATATTTTATCCAAAAATATATTTGTTTGCCATATTTTGAGATGGCTGTCCCAGAGCCAGCAGACTGAAGTGGCCCTTCAAAACTGTCTTTTGTAGGGAAAATTTGCAACCATAGAGAATCTCCATTAATTCAACTAGGCCTTACCTTGTCCTGATCTAGGGAAGATTAACTAAGAGTCTGGCACCTTTAAAGATTCCAAAAGAAACAGAAATATTTACCATCTGTCCCTTCTGAAGGCTGCTACCTATGAGGTTTGATCTACATAACAAGACAACCTTTGCTAGCCAAGCGTCCTCTTCTCTCCCTTCATAACCTGTCTTGCCACTAAAACCTGACTTACCAACATAATCTATTTTTGGCAATGCTCTGAGCCCTCATTCTTTCTGTAATCTCAAGATGGTAGATAAGCTTCTTTTTTTTTTTTTTTCACCCCTACTGGGGGATTAGGTGTTTATTCCGAAAGCTCCTATGTATACATGTGAAATAAATTTGTATGCCTTTTTTTCCTATTAATCAATCTGCCTCATATCAATCATTTTCAACAGAGCTTCAGGGGACCAAGGACCTTGGCCTCTACAGTTACCTGTGTATAGGCTTTGAGAATTAGGACCCAGACGTCTTTGGGGGAGAAGGCATGATTCTGCCTTCATATTCACTGTTGTGATTCATTCATACATGTCTAATGAAGTACCTAATTTTTAAAAATAATCTTAAAACTTGGTTTCTTGTGCTATTTATTTTTATAAAAGAATATTTTTTCCAAACACTGACAAAGTATCTGCTAGTTATAAAGAACGTAGTTATGAATTTTTAAAACTAATTCATGAATCTCTCTCCCTTTTTTCCCTCCTTCATGAGTATTTAGCCTAAAAGATATTAGGTTGAGTATATGCTAGATAGAAACACGTGCTGGAAGGGAGATAGGTACAGTGGCCTTGTGCAATGAGACACAGGAGATATTTATATGTGGGTGGTGGGTAAAGGAAGAGAATGGACTGGTGGTACAGCCACTATAATGGGATGCTAGATTGAGGGTGGGGTGAGGAAGTGAGGGGTAAAAGGTGTAAGAAACCTGAGAGGAGGAGGAGCACATTCTTTTGGCAAAGCTCTGAGTAGTCATACTCAAGAGTGTGAGAGGGACAGCTATGTAAGGGGTATATAACAGTGTAAGCAGCTTGGTGAGATATCAGAAACCCAAGTAGGTAAAGAGGCTGTCTGCATGTGGGATGGTTGTGGTCCCACCGTAATTTGTTACAGCCCAAGCATAGCACAGATGGCTTCCACATGGAGATAGGGCACAGCAATGATATCCATGACTTGGCACAGAGCGTCAAAGCCCAAGGAGGGTAAGAACACATTCTTTGTAGGTAGGAGCACCATATTGCAGGGGCTCAGAGACTGGACATGGTGAGGAATGCATTCACAATCCACACAGTCTGCCACAGACACTATGTCCTGAGATAATTAAGAATATTTCTACTTCAGACCTGGAGGAGGATTTTGTAGCAGGGGGTTGACAATGAACAACAGTGAAATGCTGAAGTCTGGGTGAGGTGGAAAGAGCATTCACATGGTGAAGTGGAGGGGAAGAAATGTTGGTTATGTAAAGGTAGGATTTATCAAATAAATAAAAATATTGGGAATAATAGGAGCAAGATTTCTCAGGTTGAAAAAGGAAGTTATAGAAAAAGGAAGTTATAGAAAATGCAGAAAAATTAGGATAAAACTTCTAGCACTAGTATTGGATTGGAATTGGAGATATTTGTGTGAACTTAAAGTTTTAATGCATATAGATGGATACAGAAAGAATATAGGTGTGTATGTATTGCAGGTGTATGCATGCTTACCTCCTCAAGCTCTGCTCACTGAGAGGGCTTTGAGACATCAACACCCATGTAATAATGAGCATGTCTAGCCTCAGATTTTGTTTTCTGAAGGTCATTTTTCACTAAAATAAAACATAGCTCCTTGGATCAATGGCTAATTTCAGGACTAAGGGAAAAAAATGTAAAATGAGCCATTAACATCATGTGGTACATGAAAATAAGGAAGTGCTCAAATAATCATAAGGATATATCAAAAGGACAACAACAAAAGAGCTAGCTTGAATGAGCTCTCACTAGTCAGATAGGGAAAAATTTGTGTATCTAAATAAATAATGATATCAACAGATTTTAACCTATGAAATAATATTGGAATGCATTTGTGATAAAAATACACATATACATATGCAGAGGGAAAATCTTGTTAATTAATAAAATAAAAGGAATAATAGATTTGATGAAAATCGCCTATTGGCATCTATCATCCCAATATTTAATTCATGCAGAAAACATTAGTGGGTGGTAAAAGTTTGATGAGAAACAGAGTATTTATATAGTCTCAAAGTATCGTCCTTCAATACACTTATTAAGTTGGGGAAAAAAGTAACTTCACCATAGTGAAAACTAGAAGACACCACCTTAATCAAATGTTCAAAATTAACATCATCAAAATGGGACAAATCAAATCATTACCACCTGATAAGATGCAATCACAAACATTACCTCTGTGATATTCCTGCCAAAACCATTTAATCAGAGGAAGCATCAGAGAAACACAAATTGAAAGGCATTCTCTAAATAACTGGCTTAAAATCTTCAAAAGTGTCAAGGTCATGAGAGAAAAGAAGACAGAAGAAGGAGGTTGAAGAAGATTAAAAATACAGGGCATCTAAATGCAGTATATGATCTTAAACCAGGGCTGGCTTTATGGGCATGTAGTTTGTGTAGTGGCACAGGGCCCTGTACTTGGAAGAGCCTATGTTTGATTTAATGTTCTGCTGTTGTCCTCTCAATTCTTAACAATATTTCAAAAGGCTCACATTCATTCTGAAGTGAGCCCCAGGTCCCCACTGAGTAGCCAGTCCTGTTCAGATTGAATCCTTTTTCTAAAAAAGGACATTATGGGGACTATTGACACAATTTGGATTGGGACTACAGTTTAAATGATAATAATGAAATGTTATGTCCTGATTTTGGTAATTATATTGAATTACATCAAGGAATGTCTTTGTAGGAAACACACACTAAAATATTTGGGTGTTAGGCAAAATGTGACTGAGTAACTTTCAAATGATTTAGGGGAAATACTTTCTGCACTATAATTACAACCTTTCTGTAAGTTTGAAATTGTTTTAGAATAAAAAGAAAAAAAGCAATTCATCATATCCTCTGTAAAATCAAGAATTGGTGAATTCAAACAACATGTATGGAGGGATTTGAAGGGCATTATACTGAGTGAAATAAATAAAGTCTAAAGGTTACTTACTATACATAGCATTTATAAAACATTCTCAAAGTGATAATATCAGGTCATTGGCTGCTGAGGGTTAGAGTTCAAAGAGGGTGTGATTATTAAGGGATAATACAGGACATTTCTTTGTGGTGATGAAACAATTCTAGATGATCCAGAATTTTAATGTAGGAAGGGCTTAGGGCAAAAAATATGGTAAGAAAATTTACAGGAAGAGAGTAAGAATGAGGGTTATCTTAAAGCTGTATTCGTATGGGGAGCCCACTGATATGACCCAAGCTATTTTGGTTATTGGGCCACCAAAACCAAATAGGACTGTGGGACTTTATCAAAAGGTAGACAAAATGGGAGGAGGCTTAAGCCCCTGAAGGCATTTTATAAGATCCTCATTAATCTAAGAATTTTTTCATAAACTACATTTGAGGCCTGGTAGCTCATGCCTATAATCCTAGCTCTTTGGTAGGCCAAGGTGGGAGAATCACTTGAGCTCAGGAGATCAAGACCAGTCTGGGCAACATAGCAAGATCCTTGTCTACACATATACACACAAAAATAATTAGTGTGGTAGTGCACTGGACAGTCAATTTATCAAGACAGGGAAATAGAGAAAGAGTAATTAACATAGAACCTCTGTGCAGGTGACCAGGATTCTATTGTTACTCAAATCAGTCTCCCTGAAAACTTGGGGATCAGGGTTTTTAAGGACAATTTGGTGGGTAGGGGCCAGTGAGTCGGGAGTGCTGATTGGTTGGGTCGGAGATGAAATCATAGGGAGTTGAGGCTGACCTCTTGTGCTGTCATTTCCTGAGTGAGGGCAACAAGACCAGAGGAGCCACTTTATCGATCTGGGTGGTGCCAACTGATCCATCAAGTGCCAGGTCTGCAAAATATCTCAGACAGTGATCTTAGGTTTTACAATAGTGATGTTATCACCAGGAGTAATTTGAAGAGGTTTAGAATCTCGCAGGCAGCCTCCAGCTGCATGACTCCTAAACCACAATTTTTAATCTTGTGGATAATTTGTTAGTCCTGCAAAGGCTGTTATTGTCTTTGTTTCAAACTATAAACTAAATTCCTCCCAAAGTTAATTTGGCCTACACCCAGGAGTGAACAAGAACAGCTTGGGGATTACAAGCAAGATGGAGTTGGTTAGGTCAGATCTTTTTCACTGTAATAATTTTCTCATTTATAATTTTGCAATGGCAGTTTCAAGCTTGTCTCAAAAATAATTTTTTTTAACTAAATTTGATTAAAAGTTGAACATTGTTCCTATAGAGAAAATATTTTATTTACATCATTTGTTAGTTAAAATATTCTCAAATAGGACAAAAATCTCCTTTACGAAAAGGTTTTGAAGACCCCTTTCTTAACCAGTGAGCTAAGATAGAAAACCATGAAAGGCTATGTTTTTATGCTTATATATATAATCCCACAAAAAGTTAAAAGTTGATGAAGACAATCTAAGGTTCCACTCGATTTCACGAAATTTTAGACAAGCTTTTATCTCACCTAGGACCCTGACCTTCCTTTTCTTAGAACATTTACTCTAGAAAACACATAATTGTACATCCTTTCTCTGGCCCTTTGAGACGTAAATTTTTTGAAAGCTTCTAACTCGTTATAGAACTGAAGAATGGCTTTTTGAAGGATCTGAGAGCCATTCTATCGAAGTGTAATTGTCAAGAAAGATAAACCACCCCTCCTCATCCCCCCACTTCAGTTTCTGTGGGAGAGTGGGGGCCTAACGTTGCCTTTGTTCCAAGCTGTAAAATTGCCTCCAGTCATGAAGATACAAGAAAAGTGATTTTTCCTTTGAGTAAGGCCAATTAGCAAACTCAGATGGCCCCTATCCCAACTTTTAAAAACTCTCCAGCTCTTTGGCGTAAGGGTGGGTGGTGGGTGACTGGGTATTCAGGCATCCTATTGCTGACAATAGTATAGAAATGAAATCAACTTCTCTCTGCTTATTTTGTCTGGTGCAATGTTTTTCTCTTTGATAATGTTGAAAACTGATTACAAATCTCAGTCCACATATTTTCCAATTTGGGGAATATTTCTAGAATTCTAAAAAAAAACAACAAAATATGAATTTATTTTTATTTTACTGAAGGGCACAAATGATAAATGGATTGACCAAAGTAGTTTCAAGGCTAGTCTAGTTTTACTTAAAATATATAGAGATTATATATATAGGAAGGTTTTCATACAATGTCCATTAAAATTAATAATTTCAAATTACTGTCAGAGGCATGTGAATCCATCTTGAATAGGAGCTGGGTAAAATGAGGCTGAAACTTACTGGGCTGCATTCCCAAACAGTTAAGGCATTCTAAGTCACAGGATGAGATTGGAGGTCTGCACAAGATACAGGTCATAAAGACCTCACTGATAAAACAGATTGCAGTAAAGAAGCTGGCTAAAACCCACCAAAACCAAGATAGCCACGAGTGACCTCTGGTCTTCCTCACTACTACGCTCCCATCAGCGCCATGACAGTTTACAAATCCCATGACAACATCAGAGAGTTACCCTATATGATCTAAAAAGGGGAGACATGATAATCCACCCCTTGTTTGGCATATCATCAAGAAATAACCATAAAAATGGGCAACCAGCAGCCCTCAGGGCTGCTCTGTCCATGGGGTAGCCATTCTCTTACTCCTTTACTTTCTTAATAAACTTGCTTTCACTTTGCACTGTGGACTCACCCTGAATTCTTTCTTGTGTGAGATCCAAGAACCCTCTCTTGGGGTCTGGATTGGGACCCCTGTCCTGTAACATTACTGTCCTTTTATAAAATAATAGAAAATCAGGTAGCAATTGCCCCCGTAACTGCTGAGCTTGGAAACAAGTAATTCAATATAGATTAAACACCTATAAAAAAGGGAAGGAAGAGTTAATTGAGTGAACGATTCCATTGCTTAGGTAACTTAGGAAAGACTGCATGGTCTGTTCAAAATCTTTTTTTGTTTCTGGAACCGATGATGAAAAATAAAGAAATACAGGATATAGAGAAAGGCACTTCAGAACATCTTAGATATTGGATAGGCAACTCTGAGAAGTAAGGCTAGTTACTTGTAATGAGAATACTGAGGCTGAAACAGAAGATGTTTAATTTACTCGAATTCAAGTCTTAGCCTGAGTACTCTATTTACATTATTGGTAGAAATACAACTAGTCTTTCAGGCTAAAAATTTAGTAGTCATACTAGGCTTCTTACTTCTTCCCATAGTCCCATAGTACCATAGTACATCTCCAGGAGAGATGTCCTTTAATCCTTTGTTTGCCAGATAAATATGACTCTATCAGTCTAAGGACAGCCTAACATTTCACTCAGTTTAATCATTGGTAAAGGCTTTTATCACACTTAAGATTTAAGTGGGGAAGGTTTATCACAAACCTAGAGCCTGGAATTTTTTTTCAATGGCTCAATCTGCTGAAGGGAAAAACTATAATCATTTTTCTGAGAGTAGAAAGAACAGTTGACTTTACTAAGAGGTTTTTAATAACAGTTGTGCTTAGAGGGTAAGAGTATCTATATTAGTTTAGTTGTTTGTATTATTTAAGCTGTTTTCCTTATTCTGCAATTCTCACACTTTAGCATAAAGTAATTCACCTGGAGTTGAGCTCTGTCTCTAGAATTTCAGACAGAGTAGGTCATACTTTGGTGATGCTGATGCTGCTGGTCTGACAGTCACATCTGAGAAGGACAGCCTTAGTGGATCTTGACTATGCTTGTAAAATAAATGCAGAATTGAGTATTAGTGCATAATTATTTTTATAATAATGAATTGTGCATGAAAACGAAAAAGGAAGGAAAATACGTTACTCTCTCATCTTTCATTCATAGCCGGATGAAATCTTCATGTTTAAACTTTAGATCCACTCTTCATTTGATGTAAACACTACTAATATTCCACTCTTCATTTGATGGAAACATTTACCAATATAGGCAAACTATCTGGGAAGAAAAAACAAATCTTTTGGGCTTGTTTTTCAAAATCAACTATTTCAAGTGACAGCAAATTTCAGCAATGAGTGCTGAAAACTGATCTATAAGTCACCATCCTATCTAATTTCAGATTAATATTGCTCCTACAAAATTACCCGGTGAAAAAGTGTGTCATGAAGAATATCTAGTTCACTGTTATTTTCTAGAAATACAGACCTAACAGCTTCTGTTTTTAGGGGAAAAAATAATATCCTATTGCTTTTTTTATTTTTATTTTTTTGAGACGGACTCTCTCTCTCCCTGTTTCCGAGGCTGAAGTGCAGTGGCATGATCACGGCTCACTGCAACCTCGGCATCCTAGGCTCAAGCAATCCTCCTGCGTCAGCCTCCTGAATATCGAATAAATAAATAAATTTTTAAAAAGATAAAAATTTAAAATATCATATACAGCACTTGGAAAACTGAAGAATATTTAAAAAACTAAATATTACTACCTACCAATAACAATTATCAACAATTTACTGGTTTTGTTCTGTCTTTTTATTAATATTATTTATTTGGTTGGGATGATAGTGAATATTCAAATTAGATTCTTCATATTTTTGCTTCAGAATTAAAAGAAATATTTACTCATGACTAAATACTTTCGCAAACATGATCTTTAGTAACTACATCAACATTTACTATAGATATATAATATAAATTACTTGATTCCATACGTTTGACAAGATAACTTTAAAATAATCACTTTAGGTTCTTAGCACTAGTCTCTAAAATGAGTTTCTTTTTCTAACAGAAAAACAGGGCTCTTGTTGACTGTGGCAATGCTAATCCCTACAAATGTATTACTGACATTAACCCATTTACATCACTGTCACTGATATATTGTAGAAGGTAGGACTATTATCAACTTTAATGTAGTTCAAGAAAAATTTTACTAAGTTTCTCTGGAGAGAAGAATTGAATAACACTTTAAACATTGGTCTCCCCAGCTATAAAATCAGTGGCTTGGGATAGCATGAAAGCAGTGGAGGTAGTGATTAAAGAAATAGCTTCTGTAAAAAAAACTTCCAGATGGTGAACATGGGGCAGTATGTCCCCGAATGAAAGGCAGCTTTAGAAAATGCCATAAAAAGCATTTAAGCCATTCAGAGCTCTGGTAGGAAGTTGAAATGAAACCTTCCAGTGATTCTGTTTGGGTGTTGGGGGAGAGAGAGTGTGGCTTCAAGTCAAAGTATATTTTAGTTACTACTCTAAATGTTTCTCACAGACTATTATTATCCTTCCTCAAACCAGTGCCAGGAGAAATAACTAAAACTACTCTGTGTCATTATTGTGTCTAGATATTTATTTATTTATTTATTTTTCATTTTAGGAGTAGAGCCCTTACTAGATGCACATAAGCATCAAATAAGTATAATAGTTACTTACTCATATTGGTGCTCCCAGATCTTAGCACTGTGTTTGGGCCACATTGAATATTCAATTAACGTTTGTTGAAATCATAAATGAAAGTTTAAAACAGTCTAAAAGTTAAGTAGGTGTCTTGCTATTTCTCAAATATTTCAAGCACACCCTCACCTCCAGGAATCTGCACTGGTTATTCTCTTTGCCTACAGTGCTTTTCTCCATGACTTTCTTCTTCTCTTTTCAATCCCCCCACATGTTACCTTCCCAGTGAGGCCTTCCCTGACAACCATATTTAAAACTTCAGTCATCTTTCCCACATCCACACACCCACAGAACCACTTCCTATCTCCTTTCTCTGCTTATCTTTAGCCATTACACTTATGGCCATCTGATTAACTATGCATTTTCTTTAGTTATTCACTTATATTCTGTATTTTTTCTCTAGAACATAAGTCTTACGAAGGCAGGGAATTTATTTTATCTTCTGACATATTCTCAATGACTGAAAAAAAATGCTGGGGGTGGGTGTGGAGGCTCACAATTCTAATCCCGGGACTTTGGAAGGCTGAAGCAGAAGGGTCATCTGAGGCCAGGAGCTCAAGATCAGCCGATCAGCCTGAGCAACTTAAAGAGACTCCCTCTCTCCCTTTCTCTCTGTCTCTCTCCATATAGATAGATGGATAGATAGATACACACACACACACACACACACACACACACACTATATAGAATAAAAACATTAAAAAGTAAATAAATTGCTTGGCATGTGTTTGGTGTTCAACAACTTGTAGAATATATAAATGGATGAATGCATATTATACCATTCCATGAACCAATGCTGCTGAGAATGCAATGGATGTACTGCATCATTGGACACTGAGGTTAACAAACATAAGGCAAAATAGTATAGCAGAATTGCTTACCCACGATAGAACCAGAACAGAGTGAATTCTATTAACTTCATATGGCTGAAACTTTTAAGAGTTCTTTAGATATAACTGCAATGAAAACTGGAACCACACTTTAGTTATGTTTTTGGTACACATTTATGTTTCAGTTCACGGTTTAATAAACCACATAGGTCATTTTATAGTGAAGGATTAGTCATTCTCAGTTATTCCTGATTTTTTTCACATAAAATGTTAATTAATTTAAATGACCCTTGAGGAATTGTTCAAAATAGACAAATGGTTCAGCCTGACCCGAATTAAAGTCAAGATTCTGAGGTTTGGAAGAGTAATTCTCCCTATAAAATAGTCTTTTTAAAAAATATACAGGCTAAATAAAATTTATCCATTCTAATGGTGCTACATTTTGTGATGATAGAGTCTAGGCAAAAGATCAGATAAAGATACATTTATCCCTTCTTTGCCTAAATACACTTCATTTATAACCTCCAATCCCCTACCTTGCTCAAAATAATTAAATGGCTAAATACACTCAAGATTACTCATTGCGTTATATCCTCTTATTAACTCAGGTTTACTCAAAATATGTAACAGCAGCTGGATCCTAGAATCAATTTCAAGGTCAGCCACTAACAACGTGACTATAAGTAAATTTCTTGAACTCCCTGGACTCCAGTTTATTGACCTATAAGACAAGATGGCTAGACTTCATAGAATATTGTTAAAGTCCCTTACAGTTCCAAAGCTTCACTTCATGTAATTAAAATGTTTTGTAGAAAATTGTGAGGAATCTCTAACTCCTCAAGTTATGTTTGCTTTTAAAATAGGAGCAGATGGCTGGGCACGGTGGCTCATGCCTGTAATCACAGCACTTTGAGAGGCCAAGGTGGGCAGACCACCTGAGGTCAGGAGTTTGAGACCAGCCTGGCCAACGTAGTGAAACCCTGTCTCTACTAAAAATACAAAAAACAAAAACAAACAAGCAAAAAAAAAAAAAAAAAACAAATAAAACTTAACCAGGCATGGTGGTGGGCACCTGTAATCCTAGCTACTCGGGAGGCTGAGGCAGGAGAATTGCTTGAACCTGGGAGGCGGAGGTTGCAGTGAGCTGAGCTCGTGCCACTGCACTCCAGCCTGGGTGACAGGGCAAAAATGAATCAATAAATAAAATAGGGACAGATAAATCTTGATAGATATTCATGAAATTATGTCTAAAATATTTTATAAAGGTACTTTAGTAACACCCACAGATTATTGGTCCGCAAGCAGAGCAGCCAGTCCCACTTTGTTTCCTGTCCTGAAATCCGTGGAACTCAAGGTCTTTTGCCTTATGCTTCACATCACCAGCCATTGCTGCACTGAGGATGTCATGCCTTAGAATTGCTGTAATGCCTTAGAAAGAATCCCAGGGTAAATATCCTTTAGTTATTCTGTAATAAAGAAGTATGTTGCATCCCTTTTTAAATTGGCTAAGTATTTCTTTGGAATGAGCTTGCCAATGAAAAGTGAATGAATTGCTAAGGAATAAAGAAGTAGACAGAGGATTTGATTATCTCTGTAACTATTGTAGCAAGTTGGAAAAGCAAAAGCTAAGTAGTTTGTATCACTTCTCAGGCACTTAATAACTTGAGGCAAAGAGCAAATTGTACAGATATTTCTCAACCTTAGTTTTATCTTTTTATATTAACAGTAATACCCAATTTGGGATCAGCATTGAACAGTGAGTTAGGGCTCTACAAAACTTATTTGCTATAACCTATAAAAAATTAAATAAAATGAAGCAACAACAGCTGAGCTGAAGTATAAAGTAAAAATTATGAGCAGTGAAAAAACGAAACAAGTATAAAAGAGTGAGGGATAGAGTTATTAGCTGGGCTCTGGCAGTAAGCAGTAACAACCAAAGGTTCAGTCATTGATGGGTAAGAAGAATTAAAATTACTGTGTGAGGGATGGACATCAGAGACATGCTTCCTGCCTTTGCACTCTGGGAATATTAGGAATGAATCTAAATTACATTCTGTTTCTGCGACTAGATCTGCCATAACCCCAATATCTCCTCAGATTCAGTAACCCTGAGCTAGGAGGAGATTGGTAAAAAAAAACAAAACAAAACAAAAAAAAAAACTGTTACAATATTATGTTCACAGGGAGAAAAACAAAAGCAAATTGGCCTGCAAATGAAAATTCAAGCCATGTTAGGAAAACTAATTCTGAAAAGACAGCCAACAAAATCAATAACTCCAGCAGTATTTGCAGATGGTCAAAAGACAAATATCTAAGAAGGAACAGAAACTATAAAATAAAGATATAGAAATAAAATAAGATCAAGTGAATATGCAAAAAAATTTATGAGAAAACTTTGAAATAAAGTAAAATTACAGATGTTAAAAGATAACAGTAGACAAAATAAGTATTTGACAGAGTAGAGATGAACAGAAAATTAACAAATAGGAAGAGGATACAGAGGGGTTCACTAAGAATGCACTGGAAAAGCAAAAAGATTAAGATAAGTTGAAAGAGTACTTGAGAGACATGGAGTATCGAAAAAGTGATTAAGCACTCATCTAACACAGAGGTTTGCCAAACTACTTGCCGAGACCAATATCCAGCTTGCCACCTGTTTTTATAAATAAGTTTTTATTTAAACACAACTATGCCCATTCAATGTATATATTGCTTATCACTGTTTTTATGGTACAATCGCAGAGTTGAGTAGTTGTTAACAGAGACCATATGACCTTCAAAGTCTAAAGTATTCACTCTCTCGTTCTTTGAGAAAATGTTTGTTGACGTCTGATCTAACAGGTATTAATAGATAAGACTAGTGTGAATGGTAGTAAACCAATATTTGAATCAAAAGATGATTGCAAACTTTCTACAATCTGAGAAACACATGAGTCTTCAGATTAAAAGTGCACTCCAGGCTGGGTGCGGTGGCTCATGCCTGTTATCCCAGCACTTTGGGAGGCCAAGGCGGGCAGATCACGAGGTCGGGAGATCGTGACCATCCTGGCTAACACGGTGAAACCCCATCTCTACTACAAATACAAAAAAGTAGCTGGGCGTAGTGGCGGGCGCCTGTAATCCCAGCTACTTGGGAGGCTGAGGCAGGAGATTCACTTGAACCCAGGAGGCGGAGGTTGCAGTGAGCCAAGATTGCACCGCTGCACTCCAGCCTGGGTGACAGAACGAGACTGTGTCTCAAAAAAAAAAAAAAAAAAAAAAAAAGCGTATACTCCAAGTACGGAACAGGAAAATAAAAATAAATGCACACTGTACATAGATTTATTTCAGTGCAGTTGACTAGCTTCACAATTAGAGAAAATGTTTCAAAAGTTACTAGTGCAAAAAGATGGATTAAAAGAAGAACATGGGCTGATAGTATACTTCTTCACCACTCACTATTGAGGCAAAGAGACAATGAGAAATAGTCTCAAAACACCAAGTGAAAATAACTACCACAAGTTTATGTACAGGCAAATAAACCTTGAAAAGTGGAGGCCAAATAGAGCCATTTTCAGACATACAAAGCCTGATAAATCTTACTGCCTATTGAAACTCAAAAAAAAAGATGCATTTTAGAAAAAAAAAAAGACAAAGGGGAAGGTACAGGAAACAAGTTATAATGGTGACCAGAAAAATTAATAAAATACTCACTACAAAACAAGTAATATAGGTTGCATATTAAATATTAGAATGAAACTAAAATGAAATAATTATGGTAAGACTGTAGAAGCCAAGGCAGTAATTAATGCATAAAATCTGAAATATTCTGTAAAATGGTCAGGAGGATGTTAGAAATACTGATAATTATAGACTGTTCTCAAAATTAAATACCTATCTTTAAAATTAAGGAAAACACTAAGTAGAAATAAATTGGTAGCCTTCAAATGAGCAGATATATACAAGAGATTATAGAAAACTTTCTCATTCCGAAAAAAAGAAGGGTGAAAGGAGGAAGAAGGATGCCAGGAAAATAATTTTAACACAAAATAATAAGTTATTAATTAATTCATATGAAGGGTCACAATAAATATACAAAATTCCACCTTATAAGTGACAGAGGTTATTAAAATAATACTAATATTGATTATGATATTGTTGTAATGGGCAATTGAAGTAAGCAAAAGTATCTAGTGTCTGGTACATAGTAGATATACAGTAAATGGTAGGTATTATTGCTGTTGTTCTTGTTTCTGCTGCTATGGCTGACATTACCATTTAAAATGGCATGGTGAGAAAGAAATATGGACTTCAAAAAGTAACAAAATGAATATCCACATGCAGAAAATCTCAGCTGGACATCATCCAGGGCTTTAGAAAAATCAATGATATATGTATATTTTTAATAGCCAATTGAAATGTGTTTGTTATGGCTCTAACTACAACAAACACCGGCTGTCATCATCATTGACATTTTTAGTAATGATGCCAAGTATTGAAACAGCTTGGAAGATTTAAGTGCTTGGTTTCTGAAAAGAGTGCTGCTCAATGAAGACTTACGGCAATGTCAGGGATAAATAGCATGTACTCAGCAGTTATAGTGAACACTGAGGCTATATCTAATGGCCTGAGTTGTAATATTAAAAAACCAATGAAAATCGCAAACTAGGAGTTTGGAAGAGCAGAGACTCTGGTGAATGGCAGTGAAAGGACACTCACTTACACAAAAGCAGCCTTTTGGTACTTAATTCACCTTCAAGGCCATTCCAATTCTAGTGTTTTCTCTCAAAAGGCATATTTTATAAATGTTAGGTAATCTGTGAATTCTGTAAGCCAGTCAAAACTCCAAGCAAAAACCAAATTAATTTTCATCCTTAAATTATCTCACCACAGTTTAAAAAAATGCTTGGAAATTCTTCTGCAAGGCAAGATTAAAAGATAATTAAACATAGAGGATTGCGTTGTAGTGTTTGAACTATACATCTAAATTGGATTCAGAGGTGTATTAGTCTGTTCTAATACTCTCATGAAGAACTGTCTGAGACTAGGTAATTTATAAAGGAAGAGGTTTAATTGACTCACAGTTCTGCAGGGCTGGGGAGGCCTCAGGAAACTTACAATCATGGCAGAAGGGGAAGCAAATACCTCCTTCTTCACAGGGTGGCAGGAGAGAGAAGTGCCAAGCAAAGGGGAAAAGCCTCTAATAAAACCATCAGATCTCGTGAGAACTCACTCACTATCATGAAAACAGCATGGAGGTAACCAGTCCCATGATTCAATTACCTCCCACCAGGTCCTTCCCACTACAGGGGGCCATTATGGGAACTACAACTCAAGATGAGATTTGGGTAGGGACACAGACCATATCAGGAGGTATAGAGGGTGAGCAATTTATTGGTCTTCATTTTATAAATCTGTTCTGATTATTCAGAATGAAGGCTCAGGTGCTGTTTGGTGGTGGTGATGGTAGTGATTTTGCATGTCTCTGTATGTGTTTGTAAGTATGCATATATCTGTGTACCTTCATGCCTCTGCTTTAATAAGCAGGACCTAGCTGGACTGGAGAGGAACCATTGTCACTATTTTTGTTTTCAAAAACTTCAGATTCTCTTGCCAAGGTGCCAGAATTACTTTTCTTTGCATGTTCAAGAGCTCAGCTCCTCATCAAACCAGCCCTTCCCTTTGCTCTTCATGTCACCTGCTGTAGTAATTGCTGGCACTGGCAGGCTTTTATTTATTAGGAGGAAACCTGAGGTTGTTCCCATTGACAGGAAATAGTAAGAAATGTAATTTAAAAAAAAAAAAAAAAAAAAAGGAAGGAGTAGAATTCTCCAAGCATCCTGGAAAGTAAGGCATTTGGAGAGACATTGTCCTCAAACATTTTGGGCATCAACCTAATTATAAAGACATTGAGGACCCAGGGCAGCAGTGGCTCACCCTCTAAGGAGCAGCTAGAGTCTTTGGTTACCAGCAGCCCTGTGTGGGCCTGGGCTCATAAAGGAGGATGAAGGAAGAACTTGTGGGAATCTGAAAAGATTGAGCCTCAGCACTTTGTCTTTGAACACTTAGAGTAAGGGCAAGCACTTGGATGGCAACCACGTGCATTTTCTCTGCTTAACTACCTCTTTGCAGCTGGACTGATGCCTACTGTCTTAATTAGGCACCTCACTTCATACAGAAAGGATGGCACAACAGGGCTGCATCATGTTTATATGGTGTCCTCTGTCCCCTTTGGATCGTCAGAGCTGTGTTTGATAATAAAGCTGATTTGTATCTTTTTCTTTTTCTTAACCTTGGCTCTACAGCATGTGAGATGTCTGCAGCAGCACTTATCTCACCAGAGGAGCTATATCTCACTAGCCACATAACTCTACATTTGACATACCAGTGACAAAAACAATTGGGATTTAGCTCTCTCACCATAAACTTATAAAACCTGACAGCCAGGTGGTCAAACACATTTGAATGACTGCAGCTAAACACAAAGGGAAAAAAAATATATAATATATATAAATTTATATATATATACACACACACACACACACACACATATAGTGTGTAAGTAAAGCTTTCCATTCAAATTAAAAAGCGCAGCTGACAAAAACTTTCAAAACCTTGTGAAAACTGCATGGCAAAACAAACAAAAACAAACAAACAAAAAAAACTTCCCTACCTTGCAATAAGGCAAACATTCTCAGATTCTTAGTTAAGAAAAAGAATAAAATGAACTCGTTTTTGATACATGTTTGCTCTGATCTGAAATATCTTGACATATATTTGAAAACTCTGGCTATCTTTGGCTTTTGGGTCATGTTCTTATCTAAACCTCTTATGTCATTCAATGTTTTGCAAAGAAAAGCATAGATAATTTCAGATGGCGTTGGAGAAAAACAGGCCTCTAGTGTATAAACAATGCAACGTTTAGCTCTTTAACTTCTGCAGATCGCATCACGTTTTTGAGCTGACAGTAATTTGCAAGAAGGAGCAGAGACTGGGTCCAATGCTCATAAAGAATGAATTGAACCAGTTTAAAGTTATCCAAATACTTTTAAAACGAATGTAGTGAGTTATAATTTTCTGTTGCCTTGGCATCCATTTTGAATACAAGTTCAGCTTCCTCATACCGAAAGCAAGGCTCAGTCACCTTTGAGACAGTTTCCAGTTCTATACCACAACCAAATGACTTAAGCTGGTGGTCAGAGATAAGAACTTAGTGGCATCTCTTCTGCCTACCAGATAGGACTCCCCACTTTCCTGCTACCTCCTTTAAACCATTCAGGCATTTGCCTGCAAACTTAAAGGGATCCATATCCTATTACTCCCTTTTACATTCCGCTAGTTGCGCAGGTGCTTACTCTGTCTTTCTCTACCTAACTCTTCATTCTTGCCTCACATCACCTGGGGATGGAGGACTGCTCTCCTGGCCCAGGATCTGTAAGTAAAACATCTTTGAACTTGTTTCTTGCTGTGGTGGTAAATTAAATTTGCACCTTCCATTAGAACAACTAGGGGCTGTCCCAGGTTTTCCCCCTGATACCAGGGAGAACACAAAGTCAGGCTCCTAGAGCCAGAGTGACGATCAGGAAGGCATAAACTGGACAGAGGTCAGAAAAGAGCCACAAAGGCATCTGCCAAAATGAACAAATTTCCCCTGTGAGGGACTTCTGGTCACAGGTCAGACAACGAGTCTTTAGGCTGTCTGCCAGGTAAGCCAGGTAAAAGAAGTGTCCTCTGAAAGGCACACTGTAAACATCCAGGTCCAGCTCCCCTTCATTTCTCATTAGGGCAGGGCTGCTAGCACCACGGTACTGAAGACCACACTTAGCTGGAGGCTCTCAAAACAGTAGCCACTCTTCTTGACAGGTGTTAGATATGTTACCATGAAAAAGCTGTAGGGCTATAAACAGCAATTACGCTTCGACTAATCATTTATATAAGAGCTAAATTATAATGACAAAAGAGGGCTAAATATAACTGAAGGCAATGTTATATCCTATCTCTATGTGTTTCAGAATGTTAGTCATCCAAAGTAATTCAGGAGTCCCCAAGCTTTTAGAGGAAGCATCACACTATCCAGTTCAGGCATTAATAGCAGAGGATAAAACCATCTTTCACAATAGGCTTCATGGATATTTTAAATTAATGTTTTAAAAGTGACTTGAATGTGTTAAAGTACTACATGGTGATTAGATGTTGTGATTATGTGTTTATGAAGGCTATATTTATACGTTTGTATCTGGTACTGTGAGTTCAGAGCAAAAATAAATTGGCCTAGGTGGAATGGAAGTAATGAGATGAAAATGAACCGTCAGTTCTAGTGGGACAGAGGAAATAGAATAGCGAAGTAGTCCAATGGGAGATCGCATGAATGATTTGGCTGGTTATACTAGACCTTCTTGGCAAGGGCTATTGTTGGTTTTCTGGTTTCTCTTTGAACTGTCTTGAGGAAAGCTTCCTTCTTAATATGTGTATTTATGTACACATACCCCTGACCAAATTTCTAAGAAAGCAGAAGAAGGCAAGTGCTTCTCTGCCTCTGACAGTGACTCACTTATTGATTGTTAAGCCATCTTGTAGCTTCATGGACATGTTGTTGTTTCATGATGGTCAACATTTTGTCTACGTCCTTCTTTCTACCTTGATTCATGTAAACTGACATTACAAATGCTGACTGGTAGGGGTGGTAGAATGTATGAATTAAGAACACAAATTTGGAGCCAGACTTTCTTGGTTTCAATTCTAACTCTGCTATTTATTAGCTGTGTAAACTTGGGCTAATTACTTCACTTTGTCTCAGATTTCTTGTCTTAAAAGTATGATAATTATAGCTACTTTAGGATTATTGTGAGGATTAAATGGTAATCTATATAATTACCACATAGTAATAACTTTCTATGTTAGTTTTTATTATTCTTCAAATGATCTAGTAGACCGTATTTCCAGATTGCTGATGGGAGATATCATGGCATCTATGAAGACAGCAAGATATTCAGACAATGAAAAAGGAAGGAAGGAAAAGTCTAGACTGAAGCCATGACTTCCTAGGCTGAAGAGATGATTTCATTGAACACTTTACTGTTCAAACCTCATTGAGAATGTTGCTTACTTTTCAAAATTATTAAAAAATTAGTTACTGCTCTTTAAAAGTGGAATTAGGTGCCTTTACATATACCACACATGTCACCTTTAGAAAAGACAAGATAAATGACAATTTTATATGTGTACATGAAAATTATCTTTCAATTGTAAATAAGGTGTTAGTATGTACATATTTATATCACAACTCAGCAAATGAATATTTTGTAACCAAACTTGCATTTGACACTGGGAGTTAATCTGTGTCCAAAAATGTTACAGGAAGTTGGTTGGGTATAAGTAAGGAGCAAGGAGAATAATATTTGCTTCCCTCAGGAATCTAATTATTATTTCAAAATTTTATTTTTTTAAATAGAGACAGTCTTGATATATTGCCAGGTCTGGTCTTGAACTCCTGGGCTCAAGTGATTCTCCCGCCTCAGCCTCCAAAAATGTTGGGATTGCACCTGGCCCACAGTTTCAAAAGTATCTTTTGAGGTACACTTTGTTGCAGGATTTTTTTTAACTTTTATTTTAGGTTCAGGGGTACATGTGCAAATTTGTCATATAGGGAAACTCTTGTCATGGGCATTTGATGTACAGATTATTTCATCACCCAGGTACTAAGCTTAGTACTCAATAGGTACTTTTTCTGCTCCTCTCCCTCCTCCTGCCCTCTACTGTCTGGCAGGCCCGATATTGTGCAATTTTTTTTAAGTTCAATGCTAGAAGAAATAACCTGGAAACATGGCCAGTATAATTTTTCTGAGCAAAGGATTATAGATAGATATGTGGGAGTTCAGTGTCTCATAAGGAAAAGGAGGTGGAGTAATTGTAAGCAACGTGATAACCAATCAAAGCAACTGACCATTTCCTGTGATATCTACTGATGCCTGTGGTAGAAACTGACTTAAAAACATCACTAGTGAAAGTACAACTAAGAGAGTAGGAAGTAGAATTCTGAGACTTGGCAAAGCAAATATAAGGAAGCAAGAGCAAAAATGAATAACTATAGCACACATGATAATCCATAATCACTCCTAATACTTTAAAGTATTTCAATTTATCAACAATTCTTGCCTACCTTCAGAAATGTAGCTTTCAAATACAGAATCAAACATACATTTGCTGTGATGCAGACTGTCAATGGAGACCACAGCTGTATATGAGTATTGGTTTAGGACTTGACTATTTTATTCAAAATCTAAAATATAAATTCACAATCTAGCATATCTAATGACGGATATTTACAGAGTGTAGCCTTTATTTTGTTTGTACTTAAATTCCCCCTTCACCCTTCCAGTGCTCTGCTTTGTACTGCAGGGACAAATATTTCTCATGCTCCTCACTGTGCTCTCTGGTTTCCAGGTAAGTCTAGTTAATGCGAGGCACTGAGAAAAGATTGGAAGACAAGTGGAGGTGAGAATCCAGGTTCCCTCCCTCTCCTTCCATAGGACCAACCAGAGAAAGCCAAACATTTTCCCCTTAACCAATCACACAGAATGCCCACTTCTAACTAGCTTGCTTACAGCTTCTCTATGTCAACAGCTTCCAAGCAGAAAATACCTGAAGCCTTTCTCTTTTATTTTTTGCACTGTGAAGCTTTCCCACCATTCTGCCTGCCTTTGAGTCTTTGCCAAATACAAGTGATGGTAGCTGACTCCTTTGCTATAGCTCTGAATAAATAGCCATTGCATGTCCTCATTTAGGCAGTCATTTATTTCCTCCTGTATCCTTCCTTCCTTCTTTCTTCTTCCTTTAGTTTCGAATATATAATTTCGTCTATATTTGTTAATATTTGATGGTGCTGGTTTATAAGGTAGACATATTTGTAACATTAGAAGCCTTTTATCTGGCCTAAGCATAGACCTATTTCCAAGAATATGGAGGATTACATTAAATCTAATTTAATGGACTATGATAAATACTCCAATTAAAAGTCACAATTTTTAAGTCAATTAAAAAGTTATGTCTGTCTATGTGTTGTCTTTTTCTAAATAGTTAAGGAAAACATCTAGTTGAAGAGGACCTTATAGGATAGACTATGGATTTTCAGAACCAGAAACAGCTGGTAGTAAATAATTGAATATCATCTTTTCCTACAATGCTTTCTGGCCATACAACCTAACGGTGTGTACCCTATCCCAAGCTCAAAGACAGACAAACTGATTTGCCCTGGATTTTTTTTCTTATTAATATATCCCTTTAAGTAATAGAACTAAAATTCAAAAGCAAATTAAAAGGTAAATTGAATGAAATCACCTGATTGCATGTCATTTCACTGTATGCTTAGGAAGTGAACCCATTTTACTTTTTAACTGGTCTAAAATTTCAAAAAGGCACAGAAAAAATGTAAATGAAATAACAATAACTATTTCACATTATTCCTAGGATAAAATTGAGAAATGGTCTACATACTATAACCCCACAAGTTGCTCTTTCCTAATGTCACATCAAATAGAAATGGAAAGTTCTATTTAAAGCCAGTGTAAAATATGCACAAACTAAAAGCAGAAATGGGAATCTATCACTTCATTTTGTAGCAGAAAGCTGAAATTTATTTTTTATTTTTAATTGCAGAATAACATGAGAAAAATAATAATTACTATATTTTATACATTATATATATTCAATATATATAATAACTGATTTTGTAGTAAAAAGCTTATTTGATTTAATGATATCAGAGATAATGCTCACCGTGGTATGTACATTTTAGGTATAATTTTATATCAAAGAAAGAACTGATGTTTTTAGTTTAGATTGCAATATATTGGAATCTCTTGTTTACTTAAGTGACAGGAAGCGGTGGAGTTTCATTTTAATGTAATGACAGTGTTTTTTAACAGGCTACACATAATATCAAATCATGAGTTTGAGGGACCACAATGTTAAGTGTCTGAAATATGCTTCATGATGATATAGATTTTCTATGTGGAATAAATAATGTTTGAGTAAATCAATTTTTTGCTTACAGAATAAAATACTGTGTCTGACAATATTAAATTTCATCCACAGCCTACACATTAGCATAATGTGGATTTTCCAAGCTACTTTTATACATGAAATAATATAAGCTGTAATGAGTGAAAGTAAGCACGGATTTTTCAGCAGTACTTTCCAGAAATTTTGATGGAAGATCAGCTTTTTGTAGCTGGAGAAGTTGGATTAAAAAATGACCACAGAGAAATTGAAAGATGTCCAGTAGAAGGTCTGTAGACTTCATTCCAATTCAGCATATCCATGAGGTCACCAAGAAATTAAGTCACCAAGAAGTTAATTTCCTCAAGAAAGGACCCTTGAAGAAAGTTGCTATTATTAAGTCGATTAGGGTGTAGTGGCAGGAAAAAAAGTAAGGACTGATTTCTAAGAAACATAAAAATGAAAACATTAAAGAAAAACCCTAAATTTCATTGAAGAATAAATTGTGGGACTGAGCCACAGAACAAAACTGAATATTTATATCATCACCACATGTATAGTTAGTGATATATCTATTTTCTGGGAGTCTGTATTTTAAAATTAGGTTTATTGAGGTATAATTCGTATGGAGTAAAATTTAATCTTTTTGTGTGTTCACTTTTATTAATTTGGACAAATATTCAAAATAGTATAACCACCACTACAATCAAGATGTAGAACATTCTCATCACCCTCAAAAGGCCCCTTTGAAGTCATATAATTATAGAGTATGTTGCTTTCTGATCTGGGCCTTGTTACACTTATTATACTGCATTTGATAGCCATAATGTCATTGCATTAACAGTCATTCAGTCTTTTATTGCCACTTTGAGTTATATGCCATATTATGACTATGACACCATATGTTTATATATTCATTAGTTGAGAGATAATTGGGTTGCTTTCAATTTGTGCAATTATAAATAAAGCTACTATGCATATTTGCATGGAGAATTTATTGCAGATGCTTTCATTTCTTTCGGGTAAATACCTAGGCACTGAATTGTTGATTCATATGGTAAACATGTACTTTCCTTTATAGGAAGCTATCTAGCTGTTTTCCAAAGGGGCTATATGATATTTTTATTTCTACAAATAATGTATATGAGTTTTAGTTGCTCCACATCCTTGTCATCACTTGATATTTTCAGGTATTATTATTATTAATATTGTTATTTTAGCCATTCAATAGGTATGTATTGGTATCTCGTTATGATTTTAATTTTCACTTCCCTAATGATGTAATGATGAACAATTTTTTGTAGTTATTTACGTTTTGTGTGCATTTATCTGAGGGATCTGTTCACATCAGTTACTCTTTTCTATATTGTGTTGTGTATCTTCTTCTTATTGAGATATAATGGTTCTTTATGTAGTCTGGTGCCATCAATCCTTTATCAGGTGCTTTGCAAACATTTCTCCATTCTGTGGTTTGTCTCTTCATTTTCTTAATATTTCCTTTCAAAAATCTAGTTTTAATTTCAGTGAAGTCCAATTTATCATTTTTCTCTCTTTTATGTTTCTTGCTTTTTATATTACAGCTAAGAAATCTTTGTGGCAAGCTTTTTAGATGTTTTATGGCCTTAGACTTTACATTTAGGTCTATGATCTATTTGATTTATTTTTGTATATGATAAAAGGTGTAGGTTATGGTTCATGTAGCCACAAAGGCCTCAGGATCCTCCCCAGGGATTGTCAAAGCCTTAACACATGGATGGGCCACAAGGAACAGAAAATATTTTTTAAAAATGTGAAAATGCCCTGTGATAAATACAATTTTCAAGTATCTACAAAATGGCAAATAAAGATGGTTGTATAACTGATGCAAGAAAAATAAGACCATTCTGTTACCACAAACCCCAATTTCTTTTTTTAAAAAAATTTTTATTTTGATTCCTACTTATGTTTTCTTGGCATAAGTATTTCAGGTCAAAAAATCAGTGCTGTCAGTGAATTGAATCTATAATTTGCATTGTTTAAACATAGTCCATCATATGGTGATAGAAACATCAAATCATGGTTCTGCATATTGGATTTTTAGTCAAAACACCTCTTAAACACAAAGTAGATCTAGTATAAAACCTAACTTATCTGATTGGCTGCTTCAATGACAGTATAGAAAGGGCTCACAAACTCTTTTAAGGGCAAATACATGTTACATATTTTTGTATAATTTCTAATGTCATTTTTCTGATTTCAGAAGTAATTCATGTTAATTTCAGAATTTTTTAAAAAATGAAGTACTAAAATTTCTGTTATCTATAGGTAATTTTTATTTAAATTTGCCATATGTTTTCCCAGTGTTTTTCTAACAGATATACAAATATGTAAATCTGTCATAGTATAATATCACATTTGTTTAATAAAGCAAACACATGTATATATATGTATATGCATATTACATGCATTTGATATTTATATATATAGTGTTTTTTAATTCTTTTTTATAATTTATAATAATTAGCACCTTTCACATAAAAAATTCAAGAAATAATTTTACAAAGAACAAACTTCAAATATGTATCTTTTCTTTTCATAACAATTGATTTTGAGAATGTTTTGATTACTATTTTACTAGTTTATAAACAATATAGAATTAGAATTTTCTAACTAAATCAAAAGCTTACATTATTTCAATAAAAAGACTATGTAAGATAGTCCTATAACTCTCTGGAAAGGAAATCGTAAATCCCATGGCTACAGGTAATCTATAATATGTTAATGTACATGTTTTCTATTAGCAGTGTGAGAACAGACTAATACAGCTCTGTAGAAATATTATTGGACAAGAAGAGTATGAGCTAATGCTAATAGACTGAGTGGAGAAACCCAGCACATCTAGTATGTCTAGATTCTTCTTGTCCTCTCTAGGCATCCATTCTTCCTTCTGAGTATAGGGCAGGTTCCTCTCTGGAATAGGGGTCTAAACGACCTATAATCAAACAAAGTAGGTCAGATAATTTCTTTATGACCAGTTTTCTTTAATTTTTGTTTCAGAGACAGGGTCTTGCTCTCTCGCCCAGGCTGGAATGCAGAAGCACAATCATGGCTCTTTGTGGCCTCAAACTCTTGATCATAAGAGATTCTGCCACCTTTTCCTCCCAAGTAGCAGGGCTACAGGCATGCAGAGCTTGGCTAATTTTTAATTTTTATTTTGTAGAGATGGGGTCTGGCTATGTTGCCCAGGCTTCCCTTGAGCTCCTGTTATGGCCAGTTTTTACATAGAATATTTTTAGGTTTTATGGCTGGCTTTTAGGAAAAAGGGTTTCTATGTTCTCGCTTGGGGAAGAGGGATTTTAGTTTCTGTGTCAGGGATTGGGGGGCAGTCAGGGAGGGGTTGGAGAACGGAAGGCAGGGGAAGATCAGAGAAGAACTTTTGTTTCCCAGGCTGCTGCTGCTGCTGCTGCCTTCATTTTAGGATATTGTCTTCTGAGCTCCAAAAATAGAAAAACAAAAGAAAATCAAAATATCTGTGTCCTGTATTTTACTTTCTCACATTTGAAATCTATCTTACCAATTCTGTCCATTCTATCTTCCTAATATTTCCTTTTATAACTGAATACTCCCATTTTTCTAAGACATTTTTTTTTCTCTTTCTCTTATTTTCTCATTCCCTACTTCCTACTTAGCCCTTTAGAAATGTAAAGATAACCTTTTGCTTCCCCTTCACCAAACACTGCCTATGGGGCAATTTCATCTACGTGCTCCAAGACAGATCTCTCTTTGAGAGTTAACAGTCAGTTTGCAGACTAAAACATGGAACTCTCACCCTCCAGGGGGTTGCCTTGGGACTTTCACCCACCGAGAGTTGTTGCCGGAAATAAAAGCCAGTTTCTATGAAACTCCTTCACATGTGGGGAGTTTTCAGCTTAGTCCTGCCATCAAAGGCACCAGCAGTCACCAGCTCTATGTTCAGTAGATTAGACACCAGAGCTAACAAGTGACCCCCTGACCCCTTGGTCACTTGCTCTCCTGTCTTTCAAAAATGCCCACTTTCGGCTCTAAAGGTGAAGTGGTATATTTAAAGGTGAGACACTTGTGTGTCTTCACCTTAGCTAGCTTTGGAAATAAATTACTTTCTGTATACCAGACCTCACTCATGTTCATTGTGTGATTGGGGGCAAATCCGTACAGGTCTGCAGCAACCTCAATTCTTGCCCCCTCAGAAGGAATGTGACTGCGGGGCATAAGGCAGAAGAAGAGACTGAGGCAAGTTTTAGAGCAGGAATGAAAGTTTATTAAAAAGCTTCAGAGCAGAAATGAAAAAGAGAGTAAAGTACACTTTGGAAGAGGGCCAAGCAGGAGACTTGAGAGATTAAATGTGTGGTTTGACCATTTGACTTGGGGTTTTGTACGTTGGCATACTACCAGGGTCTTGTATTCCTTTTCCCCTGATTCTTCCCTTGGGGTGTGCTGTCCGCATGCACAGTGGCCTGCTAGTACTTTGGAGGGGAGCATGTGCAGTGTGTTTACAGGAGTTGTACGCATGCTCACTTGAGGCATTCTTCCATTAGCAGCCCAACATCTTAGGAGGTCATATACCAGTGAAACACCATAATTTTGCCTCTCAGTGCATATGTGTGAGCCCACTCACCCAGCTCCTGAGATCTTAATAGGAAGCTAATGACCACCAGCTTCAGGTTTTTCTTATCTATTGGGAGACGGCCCTTCCCTGGTGCCAGCTGTGCCCAATTATTCTTTTAGAGAGATAGTTAACAAGTGCCTAACCATCACCTGATGGTCAGCTGACATTCCTGGTTGTGGGTAAGGGTTCTCTTCTGCCCCGTTCCTGTCTGACTAGCTAACTACTGTAGCAATTGAATCCTGCATACTGCAAGCCACTGGCTCATGATTTGGTTACACTTTTATTTTCTCTAATCCAACAAATAGACTAAATATGTTAAAGCAACAGATAAAAATAAATGTGTGTGCATATATAAGCATGCTGTCTCTTACACACACACACACACACACACTCACACACACTGAATAAAGTTCGGGATTGATCAATGTATCTAGAACTTTGCAATCAGAACACCAAGGAAGAAATTTAAAATTCATCGTAAAAATGTTTTGTACCTTATAGTTGAGAATGGGTCACTTTGTTTCTCACATGTCGGGAAAGACATCTCATGATCTTTTTAGTTTTTAGTGTCTGAAAGTGCAAATTAAACCTGCTTCTCTGAATCTTCACCAAGAGTGTCTTAATCCTATACATTTTTCACCTGGAAAGCTCCGACATTATTTAATCTATTTCAGCCATTGTCCAGATGGCTTCCAGGGTCCATAATTATAGCACAACTATGACCCTGTTGTCCTAATATTTGAAATCTTTCTATTGTGTTCTCTTCCAGATAAATTAAAAGCAAAATATTTAACACATTATTCAAATCTCTCTTAAGTTGGCCCCTGTCTACTTTTCCTGCCTATTTGCATGCATTCTATGCCTCTGCAATCAACCTACGATACCTCCAAAGTGCCCAGTGAAAAAAAATCAAAACATTTTACCCTAAAATATATTTATTTGACATATTTTGAGTTGGCTGTCAGAGGGCCAGCACAAGAAATGGTCCTTGAAAGCTGTCTTTTGGGGATAATTTGTATTTGTAAAGAATCTACATTAAAGTAGTGAGGCCTTTCCTTGTCTGGATCTAGGAAAGAACAACTAGGAATCTGACACCTTTAAAGATCTAAAGGAGACATTTGCCATCTACTCCCTCTGAGGTTTCATTTACCATAACAAGACCACCTTTGCTAGTCAAATTTCCTCTCCTCTCCCTCCTGTAACCTATGTTGTCACTAAATCCTAATTTACTGACATAACCCTGTTTTTGGCCATGCTCTGAGCCTCCATTCTTCCTGTAACATCAAGATGCTCTATAAGCTTCTACACCCGACTGGGAGATTGGGTCTTCATTCTGAAGGCTCCTGTATTACATAAAACTGTGATCAAAAATAAATCTATATGTCTTTTATAGAACCAATTAATCTGCCTTTTTTTTTCTTTTTTTTTTTTTTGCAAAACTTCAGAGGGCAAAAAGGAAATTCTCTCCTCCTCCATCCTTTATAAACATTTCCTCAACTGGAATTGCATTTACACTATTTTGTCCCCCTAATGATGCCAATGCCTCCAAGATTTAATGTTTTCAATTTTTTTACTTTGAAATTTCTGAAGTTTGTTCATTCCACACATGCAAAATACAGTCTTTCTGAGTTCTTTGAAATCAGTCAAGTATTCCCTTCTCCATAGCCACATTCTGCTTTATGTATTTCTATTATATGATGCATTGATTTCCTATTGCTGCTGTAACAAATTACAAAATCTTAGTGGCTTAAAACAACACAAATTTATTATCTTATATTTCTCAATGTCAGAAGTGCTAAATGGTTCAACCTGAGGAAAAACAATATAAATGTTAAAAAAAAAAAAAAAAAAAGGAAAGAAAAAAAGAAGTCCTAATTGGGCTTCATTTGTGCCAAAATCAAGGTCTTATCAAGGCCTACGCCTTAGGGGAATATAGTGGGGTAAGAATCTGTCTCCTTAGCTTTTCCAGTGTTTAGAGGCCAACTGCATTTTGGGCTCCTGACTCCTTTCTCCACCTTCAAAGCCAACAACAGTTTCTTCAAATCCCTCTTCAACTCAGATCCTCTGCTTCTGTAATTGTATCTTCCTGTCTGATGCTAACACAATTGTCTCCAACTTATCAGAACCCTTGTGGTTGCATTGAGCCCATCCAGATAAGCCAGAACAATCTTCCCATTTTGAGATGATCAATTTAATCACAACTGTAAAGTCCCCTTTGTCATGTAAAATGACATACAGCTTCCAGTGACTAGGACATGGACATCTTTGGGGGCCACGGTTCAGCCTACCACACATAATATTAACTAAATTGCTATCTTTTTAAATGTCTTTCTCCTTCAATTAACAACAAAGAGTATTCAAACAATTTCCTGAGAGCTATATTTACAAAAGTCCTTGGGATGTTTCTGATAATCACAGATTCACGAGTCAGATCTTTGATTTGCTAAATAATATCTCTGAAGGTGAGGCCCAGGAATCTGTATTTTTAATGGATTTTGCAATAATTATTATACAAACTGAAGTTTAAAAATCACTGTACTAGAAGTGAGGGGCTGTGTGTTACTTTTTATCATTTTATCTCTAGTGTCTAGCACAGTATCTGATGCACACTAAATGATTACATGAATGAATGCATTAGGTAACCTTTAAAATTATTTTTAACCACAAGATTAGTCTTGATTATAAGGTGAGAGAGAGGAAAACTTTTTTTTGAGAATGTAGATTGGGCAATTTCTAAATTACCTTCCTGCTGAAATTTGCTGAAATTTGCACATATGTATAATTCATGTAAAAGGAATCTTCAGGATAGCATAATTTGATAAAGGAAATGGCAAAGCAGTACTCTGAATAGAACATGACCATCTCCCAGCATTGTCATTCTGTCAGCTGGAAAATGTAGAATAGAGTCAAAGAGCAACCTCAAGCTAATGCATTTACTTTTAAACATTTTGTCAACAAATACTTTTATGGTGAAGTTAGAAATATGAATGTGAAAGGATTTGAAAATCATAAAGTAATGGATAAATATAAGGGATTTTTACTGAAGTTGAAACAAAGTTTGAAGTTGAAATTCCTTCTTTAATTCTTCCCCACTCAGAAAAGTTCTGCACTCTGTGATGCCTGTAGACATGCACTGGTCAGATTTCCTTTCATAATAGATCATGCTGTTGTGCTGCAAGGAGAGCTGTTAGCTGGCAGCCTTCAACTACACAGCACATTCAGCACCTGTCACAGCATTAGAGTCAATGTCATGCCTCCCCCCAGGAAGCCCCCAGCCAATGAGTAAGCATGGAAGAGCTACTAGGCCTTGGCCATTTTCAAGCAACTTGGGAACCCTTGAATGAGCCATCTACTTTGGAACTCTCCATTGGTTTGGCTGAGACTTTCTCAGATGTGAATTACATTCAGACCTCTCCTTCCCCAAATTTTCTTTCTCTCTTCTTTCCTTCCACAAATGTCAGATCTTCTTCACAATCTGAAGGGTTCCCTGCTCAGTACTGATTTCTCCCACTTTATCTTTCACAGGCATTATCCTCCACTCCCCTAACTCCCATCTATAAAGCTCTTGTACATCTAACTTTGTCTCCATGTCTGCTTCTCAGAGGACCCAAACTGATATCATTCCCTACCTGAAATATCCCATGCTGCCTTCTTCTCTAGCTAAAAAGGCCTTATCTTAATTCTGCTCAATGCTGGACCTACTTTATGTGTCTGAAACATGCAGTCGCCTAGAGCCCTGTGCTCAGAAGGGTCCGTACTTGGTTTAACCTTCTTCTTGAAGGTTGCCATCTTGAAATTATAAATGCCATCTTGAAATTTTAAATGATTTTTGAACAAGGAACTCTCTATTTTTATTTTGCACTGGCACTTCATACTATGTAACTATGTATCCAGTCTTGCATCAATTTTTGGTTACAAACTTTTGTTTTTTAGGTTTAGCCAAAACAATAGTGTTAACTACTTTTTTATGAATACCTTAGTTCTGTGGATCATTTGTATGATATCGGTTTTCAATGTTGGTGCCTCTTTTGTATTAAAGTTATATCTTTCTTTCCATATGTACTTTAATTTGGATGGATGAATGTGTGTATGTCTTATTCTCTAACTAGAACATAAACTCAGAGATCACATTTGAGTCTAATTTTCATTGCACATAGAATTTTCCAGTAAATATGCAGAAAAGTCTGTACCTATTTTCTGAATAAATGACAATATCCCATTTAAGTGAAAGGAGGTGACATAAATTTAACAGTGACAAACTTGGATGTGCTAATAAAATAAGACTCGTTAATACTCTATAATGCACCTATTTTTTTCCCTTCTACATTGGCGGTTAGTGGGAAAAACTTAAGTTTACCAACTAAAATTGAGTTTCTTGTGATTTAAATAAACACTGTCATTTCAGTTTGAAACAGGACACTTGAGATAAATTTTCAATAAATAAAAGTTCTATTTAATTTTTCTTCACTTCTAATCCAGAAGACTTTACTGTGTCCTTATGGAGGTAGGAGGACAGTGTGGATAAACCTAAAGAAAAGCAACAACACAAACATCTGTGGTCCTGATAGTGTGCTCATCATTTTATATGTATAATCCCATTTATTCTTCTTAAAAATTCTAAGATGGTGTTACTGTTGTTAATCCATCAAGATAATAAATTACGGTATAGAGAATTTATTAAACAATTAGCAAATAGAGTTGGGAGACTGTGATGCAAGTCTAATTGCCCCAAGACTAGGGTCTTAATCAGCATACTTTTATCTCTGACACACACTTTTTACCTAATATGCATTTAGGAAAAAAATAGCTTTCCCCTCAGAAGCATATCTTTCCGAGTACAACTGGGAGAACATCTTGATGCTGCCATTGGAGTCCACCTATATGAGAAAATAAAACAAATCTTAAATAATACATAAAAAAGAATAGCATTAATTAATTGGGCAGGAGATATTTCCTACTTTTAGACCATAAAAAGCATTACATTTTCCCCTTTTGCTCCAAATTACCTGAGAGACTTATCTACTGAAGACAGACCTGATCTGAACAAATGGCTATAGCCCTGAGAGCTTCCAAAGCTGATATGGAAAGATGGCTGAAATTCAAAGTAGTCAATACAGAGTGCGCTACAGGAAGCTTTTAAAGTACAAATTAGCCCATTTATTATGTCTGAGATAATCAAAGTAGCATGTTTTGCCTTGTATTACATTTCTCATGTTTCCCGTAAACCATGTTTTAGCATCCTTTTGGAGGATTAAAACTAGAAGTCATTCCTAGTATTAGCAAACATTTCGGTTGAGTAGTGTAACTACTATTCTATCAGGCCTTGCAACTTAGCAGCTGGTCTCTTCAATTACACTTTTTAAGTAGGACGAGACTCTGAAAGAAAGCAAACTCTTCTTGCTGAGTTCTACAATGGGATTGGATATGCTGTGGTATCTCCCCAAGGCACATTTCCTTAAGCTAAAGTGTGTTTTTGCAGATGGTTACTTCTGATCACTTACTGCTACCACCAAACAATTACATTTTTTTTTTTCCGTTCCTACAGGGCAGCTATCTAAAATTAAGTCAGAATGTGCACATTTTTTTAAAGGAGAACAGAACTGATTTATATAGACCATGATAACTAATCATTTCTTTTCAAAAACATGCTGCAGTTGGCATAGACTCAGTGAAACCTCAGCAAGAGTGTTTTAAGTGTCATGGTTGTTGGTTTATTGTTTTATGAAGAATCCAAAAATTGAATTGTTTTCTTTTGTATGATAGAGAAAGAGAGTAATTCATTTTTTTTGAGTATATGATGTCTTCTTGTAATATACTAAATCAACATCTTTCCATTTTGAGTGGGTGTAGATTGTTTCTGACTCTGCTTTCCCACTTCATTCAAGCTAGAATAAAAAATACTTTTTATAAGCAGGTTTCATTCTATCCAGTCTGTACAGTATAGAATTGACTATTTTGCTGGTCAAAATGTGTCAAATATCAGTGATGTCACGTGGTTAAACCTACTAGTATTCAAGGTACTCCTGAACAATATAGTCCATAGCTGAGTAAACTCTTCAATTAGTCTAGGTGTCAAAGACCTAGGACACCATATTTCTGGGGTGAACAGATGCAGATGTGTGTCCAACAAGTCAATCTTTACTTATCTGGGCGCCATGTTCTCCACTGCTTTTGGATTTCAATTTTGCCAAATTATTTATTCCTTTTACTTCCTTCCTTGATCTTATTTCCTACATTATAAATTATGCTTGATACCAGACATCATACATTGCTAATGATTCAGAAGTGTTTCAGAACTTTTTTTACGTCAAAACTAATGAATATGATCATTTTTTAAAGCCAGGAGGACATTTTTTGCGGCAGCCTCTTGAACCACAAATTGGATCCAAGATGTTGTTTAACATTTTTCACTGATTTGAAAGTTCTATTACAAATAAAATAAGAAATAATAATAAGACTGAAATAGAGACTGCATTCCATACATTTTAAAGCATCACTATTTTTCTGTAATATCAGATTTTTATTTCTGGCACGCAGTCATCATCCTAATGTATTCTTTGAAATATAATCCTTGAGCAAGAAATCCACTAGTTAAATGAGATAATTTATAAAGCCATCAAAACTTCCTAATAATAAGGGAGAAAAGGCAAATGAATCTTATATAGACCATGTTCCTATCCTTACAACTTGCCTTTATCCTTGCAACTTCCACAGTCAATTTTAAAATTTAAAAGAATTTTAAGCTCCTAAAAAAAGATAATTAATTTTGTTTTGCCCAAGCTTCACCTCTTTTGATCACTTAAAAATTCTCCTTTTATGCATTATGCTTTATATTTGTCATCTCACTTATTTCCCTTCTATTTTTACTCTGCTCTTTTTATTTCTCCTTATTGCTGGAAATACCCCTTATACCTTCCTTTAGTTTTAACGGTATATGTCAAACAAAGATGATAAATGTTGGGCAAAACTCAGAAACCAATTCCATAAAATTTCTGGATTGGAAGCATATTGACAAGTTATAAAATATTTGAAATGGTCTTTTCTTCTTTGAATTTTGTTTTATTTTTGATCCTGATATAAGATGAGAAACATTCAACTTCTCTAAAATATATTTTAAGAATAAAAGTTCATCTAACTTCGATAGGCAAAATGTAACTCCAGTTTGCTCTTGAAAAGTTTTCTTCAAGTTAAGTTTAATATCATAGTCTTCTCCTGATGCTACCTGAAAGAGGCTGCAGAGTTTGTTTATATAAAGAGAAGATATGGGGGTCTGGGCACAGTGGCTCACGCTTGTAATTCCAGCATGTGGGGAAGTTAATGTAGGAGATTACTTGAGGCCAGGAGTTCAAGACCAGCCTGGGAAATATAGTGAGACTTCCCCTATACAAAAGAAAAAAAGTAGCTGAATACGGTGGTGCACACCTGTACTACCAGCTACTCAAGGGGCTAAGGAGGGAAGATGCTTGAGTCCAGGAGTTCTAGGTTGCAGTGAGCTATCATGGCACCACTGCATTCCAGCTTGGGTGACAGGGGAAGACCCTGTCTCTAGAAGAAAAAAAAAAAATAGAAGAGATTGGAGTGCAAATCCTGAGTCTATCCCTTCCTAATGGATGAAACTTAGCCACTTAGCAAGTTAGTTTCTCGAGGGAGAATATAGACCTGGTAATATGTTATGAATATGACTCAAAGTTCCATAAAATCTAGCTGCTAAATAAATGTTCATTTCCCTCACCATTGTGTAACCAACTTGTTTGTATGAGTGTTACTAATAGGGTTATCATAATTAAGAAGGAAACAAGGGTTACTTATTTATTTACTGATTTATTGTCGAGTTGTGTAACTGACTTCATAACTGAAGGTGCAAATTCTTCATTTTGATATTGTTTTATAACAATCATTTTGTAACAATCATTTTCGTGTTATAAAACAACCACAAAAATTATTTTAATTTTCTCTCTCTCATTTTCTTTAAATAGAATCTTGAGGCTGAGAGGGCAAATATAACGATGATTTCCAAATGGTGAGAGTCAGCCAGAGCGGTTACATGTTGTAGCTTGTGATTGACAGGCTAAATCCAAAAGTCAGGTTTCCCGACTGTTATTTACACCCTATTTCTAATATAAAGTGTAGAATTAAGAATTAGAAACAAAGTTTATGTTAATATGTGGTAAATGGACTGTGTATGGTTGTCAGCACAGCGTAACAACTAAGAGCATGGACTCTAGATCCAGATTTTGAATGTGCAACTCCCAGCTCTGCTACTTGCCAGTTGAATAAATTTGGGTAATTAACTTAAGTTTAAATGTTAGTTACTACTGCAAGCCAACAGGCATATGAAAAAATGCTCAACATCACTAATCATCAGTGAAATGCAAATTAAAATCACAATGAGAGATCATCTTACATCAGTCAGAATGGCTATTAGTAAAAAGAAAAAAAAACAGATGTTGGCGAAGATGCACAGTAAAGGGAACACTGATACACTGTTAGTGGGATTGTAAATTAGTAAAATCTCTGTGGAAAGCAATATGGAGATTTCTTAAAGAACTAAAACTAGAACTGCCATTTGATCCAACAATTCCACTACTGGATATCTACTAACAGCAAAATTAATAATTATATCAAAAGATACCTGCACCCATATATTTATTGCAGCACTATTCACAATAGCAAACATATGGAATCAATTAAATGCTCATCAGTGGATGACTGGATAAAGAAAATATGGTATATATGCACAGTGGAATACTATTTAGCCATATAAAGGAATAAAATCAGCACCACGAATGGAACTATAGATCATTTTCTTAAGTAAAACAAGTCAGATACAGAAAGACAAATACTGCATGTTTCACTTATAAGTCAGAGCTAAAAAATGTGTATACATGGATATAGAATGTAGAATAATAGACAGAGTGGGGACAGTGGATGTGAAGGGAGTGAATGATGAGAAATTACTTAATGGGTACAATGTTCAGGATGTTTAGGATACACTAAAAGCTCAGACTTCCCAATCTGCAATCTATCCATGTAACGAAATTACACTTGTACCCATAAATTTTTACAAATAAAATAAAAAACACATAGTTACTACTTCATTAGGTTGTTATGAGGACTAAATGATGTAAAGTATGTAAACTACATAACCTTAAACTTGGCACATAGTAATTTCTCTTTGTGTTTGCTGTTATCAGTATTACATGTGTATCAGCCAGAAAGAATTATAAGAGAAATTTTAATAGTGAATAATGGAAATCCATCAGATACAGGATATAATTAGATATTGTCTCATTTTGATTTATTTCTTATAATGATAGACATACCTTAGTCAAATTTACAGATGAGGAAATGGATACTCAAAAAGTAAAAACTCACTCAAGTTTGTGCAAGTAACACATGCCAGAAAAAGGTATAAACACAAATTTGTCTTCAAAACCTATCTTTGTTTTGGACTGAGGCACACTACATCACTTATAAATTAGCTACCATTTTCCTTTTCACATAAGCAAACTTAAGGCCAAGAAGAGAATTACCTACACATTCTATGAATGATACACGATTAGTAACAGGCCTAAACTAAGACCCAGGGCCCCTAAATCAGAGTTCAGCACTTACATGAAACCAGGCTATGATTTAAATAAATATGTTTTTTAAAAATAGTCTATAATCTTACATTATTGTCACTGCCTTATATGTTAAAAAAACTTATTGTAGAGAATAAGTACAGAAAAGCATTTTTTAAAATTTAATGAGGCATTTGTTCCCTGAATCTACAAATTCTAATAAAAACCACAGCCAGACTGATACATAATTCATAGAAGCTAACAAATTACTGTGCATTTGCAAAAATGACCTGTTCTTTCCTACTTATTTTTTGTGTGGTACATTAATGTCAAAAATAACATTGTGGTAAATATAGACAGCATAGTACAACAAATAATATTGAGATAATGCATTGATATAACCCCCGCCAGAAATGCTAACAGAGCAATTAGAGGGCTCACACAGTTTTAAAATGAAGTCAAAAAGGTCAACCAAGCTTTTATTTCAGCAAATGTTACCTTATATTATTTCAGCTTTATATCCATTTTAGAGCAAGGATTCAAATCTTTATTACTGGAAAGACAAATCAGATAGTCAAAATTCCATTCTTAAATCCTACCAAATGGACTTCATTTAGGCTTTCAAGAATCACATAAACATATTATAGATATAGACCTATACCAGTAAGCAAAACATTAGTAAAAACTGTAAATTACTGTAATCCCAAGTGTAACATTCAAAATGGCAAGTTTCCAGATCTGTTCCTTGAAAAGAATGTATTAGCTAATGGGAAGAGATTGCAGACAAGAATAAAAACCTTCTTTTCTCAAAGTTAAGGGGTCCAGTCCCATTCTCAATATTACTTTTAAGTCCTGGGACAAGAGCCCAGTAACGGTCTGGCTAATGAGATAGATTGTGGATACCTTGGATAAAATTATGGGATATGGGACACTGAGGGAACAAAATCCACAAATGAAAACAACCAGATAATAAAAAATGTTTAATTATAAGATATTTGAAGTTCATCAAAGCATATGTTAATAAAGTTTGTAATAAAGAAAAAGCATACAACTTTATCTTTCTTAGATACAATTTTATCTTTCTCAGATAATATCAGCCTGTATAACATGTGGTTGGAGAAATGCCAATCAATATTCTAAGTTTATACCAGTATTTTCCCACATGTACGGCTCTTGCCATTTATGGGTATTCATTTCATTGCCATTCTTCTTCATGAATGGTGCTTATCTCATGAATGTGTTTCTTTTTATTTAATATAGTATTCTGCACATAGATCAGAGCTGAAATACTCTTGGCATTACAAAGACAAGATGCCTATAGGCTAAATCAGAATCTAAATACTAAAAAAGAGCAAACACCATATATGTCTGAATTAAAACTATGATAACTATTAATATTGCACATAGTAATACAAATGCTTTTAAAATAAAGATCAGATTTCAAAATTCAAAACTCTGAGGTTTGGTCATATCTAGGTTCATAAATACTCACTGTCCAGGAAAATATAAATGTGTTTTGAGGCAAAAATCACATGAATAGAATTGATTATGAAACATTAATGGGTGTTTCTTATGTTCAATAGAAAGTGCTAGGTGATATGAGTAAATAGTAATGTAAGATTTCTCCCCTTCTCCTCTGGAGGTCCTAGAGGAGAATCCATTTTTCTTGCCTTTCCTGGCTTATGGGGGCCACCTGCTTTCCTTAGCTCAGGCCCCTTCCTCTACCTTCCAGCCAATCACTTCAATCTCTGCTTCTGGCAACACAGCTTCTCTCTGACGTTGACCCTCTTTCTTCTTCTTATAAGGAGCTTTCTAATTACTATATATTCGTCTTATCTAATAAACCAGGAAAATCTTTCCATCTCAAGATTCCTATTTAATCACAACTGAAAAGTCCCTTTTACCATGTAAACAAACATATTCATAGGTTCCAAGAATTAGGATGTGACCGTCTTTAGGGACCATTTTTTCTGTTACCATAAAGGAGAACTCACCCGAGTCTCATACTATGATACTACTCAGAGGTTCTGGAAGTCATGCTTTTAAAGGGATAATTATTTTAATAATAAATACCTTTCAGAAACTAGTATGCATCTAGCAAAGTGCTCTATGATAGAGATAAAAAGTATATAGACCCAGTTTCTGTTTTTAAAGAAATGTTAATCTAGTGTGACTTTAAAAAATCTTTTTGACCTTGCCCATTGTATGAAATACATTTTACTTTACAATGCAGTTCACATATACATCTTTTGTATACATGTGTATGTCTGAAAAAATATCTCATAAAATCTTAGACTACTGAGACTCTAGCATTTTTTATTATGTCCTTTTTATTTAAAGCAAGCATATGTTTATCACAATATCCTAATGTGCTTTTGTTGTCAAAACAGACAGAGATTTAAATGTATAAAAAATGTACTGCTCTTATAGGTTGTACAGACACACGTCTAACAGTGTAATAAAGATAATAGCACCATTACTAGCTAGAGGAATGCAGACTATACTTGAGTAATGGCTTCACAGAGACCTTACAGGATGTGTTGTTTAAAGTGAACCTTAAAAGGTAACTAAACATTTGCAGTCAGAACCAGTGTTTAAAGTTGTCCAAGCAAAGTAGGCAAAACCCCTAAGTATTATCCAAAGTGGCATATTCAGGAAACTTCAAAATAGCTGGAAAATAGGGTATAATTGGGAGCTTGTCAAGAGGTGAGATAAACAAGTGAAGTAGACAAATGAAATAACAGTGGACTTGTTTGAAGGCTTTTCATCTGTTCAGCCTCACCTGCTGTGAGATCCAGTTAGATCTAAACTGAGAATAAAATGGTAAATAAAAAGACAAGGAATTTGCTCTCATAGAGCTTACATTCTAACATTTAACTTATTCTTTAAGCAATGATAATAAATTCAAACTTAGCATATGGGCAAATGTCAAGTCACTGAAATATTTTATACAGAAGGGAAACATGATGAGATTTATGTTTTTAAAAGATTATCGTATTTGAGATGGACTTAGTGTATACAGATAAAAACTTTGTGCATAATGAGAAATAGAACTAAGGCAATATCAGTGGCATGACTCTTAGGGCGGATATTTGAAATGTTAATGAGACAATTTATAGGATTTGGAGATTGTATATGAGTGGTGTGGGAAAAGAGAAATGAAGGATAATTTCTGTAGTTTTATTTTTGCTGAGTAGGTAGATGGGAGTATCATTCAATGAGGAAGAATTTACACTTGCAAAGCAGTTTTAGGATAATGGATGCTAAGTTGATTAAAAATCAAATGTACATATATGGGAAATGGAAAAACATATAGAGCTGGGTCCCAGGGGCTCAAATTGTGTATTAGAAGATAGGTGGCATTTCAACCCATGATATTAGGATAAATCATCTAGGAAAAGTGTAATAATAAGAGAAGAAAGAATAAATCCCTATACATGCCAACATTTAAAGGATGATCAGAATGGGATTCCACAATGAATTTGTAATAAGAGGGGAACTATAATATAGGACAGAAATTTGTAATTAGAGGGAAATGATAATGTGTAATATATTTGTGTGATAAAGAAGAGTATTGAGATTATATGGACTGGTTGAAAGTGGATCCAAGAGGTCATACAAGAAAAGAAGTAAAGAGCATCAATCCAATATGGTAATCGGGGTATCTTTGATAGCATTAGTTGAAGTGATGTTGCGGAATGGTGAGGTGGATATTATAGTGAACTGAGGAATGAGGCAGGAAATTACATGACAATGGTAATTATAGCCTGTGGTTTTAGTTTGCTTTTGAAGGAATGAAAAGAGTAAATTGCTGTAACAAGAGCAAGGTACAGACCGTTGTCATTTTTAAAAAAGGAGCAACTTATAGACATTTTATATTTGGGGAAAAAGGTGTGAGGTTCATATTAGAGGGTGCATTGAAGTGGTTTAAAAGGTGTAATGAGAGCAACAAGGAAAATATATATGTTGTGGCCTAAATCGTCCCTTGCCCTTTGTGTTATAGTGTATGCACATATAATATATGCATGCATGGTGTACAGTAAAAAAAAAAAAAAAAATTAAATGACTCAAAATTTTAAAACATGGGTCCAATTGATTGTTCACAGTAGAACTCAAGAGCTTTCCACATTAATTTTTGGCTCTCTTCTCCTTCTCACTTGTAAAACCACCAAGGGCAATTAACATAAACAGGCCAGTGATACCCTTGACTTTGCAAGGTAATTAACACAGCAGGTAATACATTCTGGGGCAGACAGTTCCAAAAAGAGTGGGTGGAATCTTAATGGGAGACTAAGGAAGAGTAAGCAAGTTAATAATTCCAGACCATATATAACTCGCAGATCATTAAAGTCTCAAAGCTATTTTTAAAAACTCAACAACCTGGAAAGAATTGTTTTAACATTTTCTTCAGTTTCATCAGTGGCTGGGCTTTTATTATTATTATTTTTTTCTGATAGTAGTGTTTAGATAGACTTTCTAAAATCGTTTAAAAGCCAACCTAATTGCTAGCCTTGCATAACTTTCTAAGGCATTATTTAAGCCATAATGACCTTCACACTGGATATGTTCTTGGCATTAATAACCAATTGAAACTATTGGTAGGCTCGGGTGAAACTAGAGGCCTTTAATAAAGCCTGCCATTAATGGTCAGGAAATGTCTAACTGGGAGGTCGTTAGTGTGATTATAAATCATAACAATGTAAATAAAAAAAGCAAAGTGTTCAAAAGTTATAAGTCGAACATCAAGTTGCCATGGATACTGTATTTTCCTAGATACAGCAACCCAGACCACTAACCAAAGGAAAACAATTCTCCATTTTTACAGTTCCTTTTAGGATTATAAACGCTCTTTGGATACAAATATTGATTCATAGGATCTGAAACAACTAACATTCTGTGCACAAATAAGAACTTTTGGAATGGAAGGCGTTTAAAAGGTTATTCTTTCTAATTTATATTACTACCATTATGATACAGTAAACTACTTTAATATCTCGTTATGTTTAAGCTATCCAAAGAAGGAAAGTATAGACATCATAAGTAGGGGTGGATCCAGTTTTTGTGAAACCTGAGGCTCATATTTTAGGATCCCTTAAGAAAAAGAAATCCAAATATAAAATAATTCTAATATAAAATATTCGTTTCTCCAATGCTCCCACCACAAGGGGAAATGTGGCAGAGACAGCTATTTTACTGATTGCAATAAAAATTTCTTACTTTTGCAAAGTTTAGAAAAATCTTATGACTATATAATATTGCAAGTATCCTCCCTTATGTATAAGCTGAAGGATTTTCTCAATTTTAGGCTTGATTCATTTCACAGCAAATTCTCCCCTTATATTCTGTTAAGAATCTTACAAGTTTAGACAAAGAAAGGGGGCAAAGAGATTATCCAGTGTAACAACCTCATTGTAGATAGGAAAATTGAAACTCAAAATGCTAAAGCAAGGAGGCTTAACCAACCCAAGTCCCCTGACTCACACTTTTCTGCACCCAAGTTCCTTAACTCTTATTGGCTTTTTATAGGAGGAGGACTGCCTGGAACCTAAGTGATTTATTTTAGAAAATCTTGATGAACCAATGAAACAGATTCAAGGGGAGTATATTTGCATGGAACTTCTTGATGGAATAAGGCATTTTAGAGAAAAGAGATCAAATTATTGTTTATTTTAAAAACAGGTTCTGTAGTGGAAACCACTAGTTGTGAAAACAAGATACCTCCTCCCCATGTTTCACAGGAAAATGAATTATGGCAGAAACATCACTGCCCAAGTAGGCCTACATTTCTCAGCCTCATCGTACAGCTAGGTATTGTTCTGATAGCTGGGGGTCAAGGGCAAGGAAGAAATACAGAAATTCTCATTTAATTTCAGTGCATTGAGATGTGACAGTGTAACCACTTGTTTGAAAGTGGTTAAAACAAGAGCTAGGGCACTTATCGTCAGTTCTTAAAGATTACTTATTGTTTGTTTAAAACTGTTAGTCAATTACTTACTCCTTGGACATTTCAGAACTTGCTAGCGATTGAAATCTTAAGAGTATGTGAGAAATGTCTCAGAAAAGATCAATTTCAAAGGCATGAGTGTCCAACAGAAACTAACTTGTGATGCCACAAATAATTGATTAAATCTTATCTTACTGACATTTGGAAGATCTTGGTTTTAATTTTTAGATGAGGACATAGGTCCTGCTATAATTTGTTAATAAAAGAAGTAAGTGAGCTGGAAATATTTACAGATAAGATTATCAAATTATCGCTTTTTTCCAGTAAAATATAAAAGATATATGTATTGGTGCGACGACTTCACTGTCATCTCAGAATTGTTTTATTTTATCATATAAACTGATGTCAGTGTGTATGTGTACCCACATACTCACATATAATGTATTGATTTTCATTTCTTGTCAAAATTACATTTATTTGAGCAGCATTTCTTGTTTGAATATATTTTGATATTGACCTCAAGGGAACAAAGTCAATAACCTCATAATATACCTCCAGCCATAGAAACCAAATATTCAGACTTCTGTCAGTGGCACATCACCAGACTAGCATGGATGCTTGTGAGATTGGCAGCCCTGCAGGGCTTGTCTAGAGGGAAAGAGATTATATAGACTTAAGAAAAAACCTCAGCAGAAAATCAGAATTAAGAGGTGAAAGCTAGTTCGCAGATGTCCGAGTAGATCTCCTAATGACTAAAGAAACAGAATTGTGATTTTCAAAAGGGAAGATTTCTACAAATGGCAAATTTCTACTCCTTTCCCTTCTGTAGCCTGGTTGCTGTGGTTTGGAAACTGGACAATTTCTGAATGTGACTTTTCCTGAGAGTAAACTTTTAGAGAAATTATTATCCTGTACCTTCTCAGTTTTACATCCCAATCTAATTTATTATCTATTCCACTAACTCTTTTCAGATATGAGGTAGAAACCACTGAACTCAGATCAAAAGGAATATTTTTTACCCATAAATTCATCAGACTTAAAAGTCAAATCTTGTACAAAATAGTTCCTTTGAACATGATGTTCTTTACTTATTTTGGATTAGTGTAAAAACTAGAACTGGCTCCTGGTGATATGAGATAGTTACTTTTGATCACTGCTGCCTAAATTGCAATGACATTTTCTAAAATTCTAACACCAAGGACACTAACCTGCAACTGATGAGTTCTGTCTGAGAAAGCACAATATAGGGCATCAATAAAAGTAAACACACAGGGGCTACTTAATGCAGAGGGTAATACAGCCGCCTTGACACCCTAAGGATCTGGGTTTACAACCAACTGAGCTCATTGCTTCAAGGAGTCTAAGGTCAGTCCCTGTCCATTTTCTACGCATTGAAAATCACCCACTATTCAGCATAATTGACAAGTTACTTTCCAATAGGACTGTGCATTAAAACAGAGGTTATTTTTCCTGCATTTTCAAAAGCAATGTCCAGACATACACAATTCTGATAGTTTTGGGGGGCTGACTGTATAATAAAGTTCCCAAATTTAATTTCAGGCTTCACTTGGCTTCTGAAACTTTTCTACAGCATGCAAAACAATTAAAAACACCCTACCATGTTTCTGGTATTGCATCTGGTGATTCGTGAACATTCTCAGACGCTTGAGTACTTTGTCTTTTGGGTTCCTAAAGAGGTGATTACAGACATGATGAGAATAACAAATCGGAAAAATACCTTTCGGTTTGTGGGATAATTTACTAGGAATTGGTAAAAAAAAAAAAAAAGTATATTATCTATATGATGTTAAAAGAAAACATATTTTAAAAATAATAATAATATAAATCTAATACAATAGGTCATAATACAAAATACATATTCAGACGCTAAGAATTTTAGATGCTAATTTTGGAATACAATAATCAATCAAGCCAGCTTTCCATAGTGGTAACTGCATAAATCATATTTTTTTCTAAATATAATCTCTACATTGTACTCTTTGAGGATGGGTATGTTATACCTGTGTATATTAGACTGAATGGCTAAATAGTTTTTTTGAAGGGATTTTCTTTAATGACAATATTTTATTCATAATATTTTATCATTTTCCTCCTATCCTTATGAAAATTTTTATTATTTTCCCACTAATTATTTTTTTAAAGCTTCCCTACTTCATTCCCCCAGCTTCATTTCAACTTGCCGTTATACTCAAACAGTACTATATATAGTATGGTCACAATAAATAGCAGCCATAAATGAAGCCTCTTGTGATTTTCACAACATGATATGCTATCTCACTTTTGCATAAATTAGAACAAGATTTCTCAAATGTGACACTATTAACATTCTGGGGTGACTAATTCATTGTGGAGAGTGCTTCTGTGCATTGTAGAAGGCTTACCAGCATCTCTGGTCTGGACCCTCTAGATGCCAGTAGCACCTGTTCCTCCAGCTGTGACAGCAGCCATTGCCTAGTTCTTTAGACATTGATAAATGTTCCCTGGGTACAACATTTCTCAGCTGAGAAAGGCTGACTTAGCACATACTGTTCTTTGTGTTAGGAATAACTTCTTTCTTGGCCTTGCCCAGCGGCATACTACTATCCATACATTCTGGTATCACCTTAATGTGTCATCTCCACTTTAAGCCTTAATTGAATCACCCAGGGAGAAATAAGGGCTTCTTTTATTCTCTTTTCGCTATGATGGGTTTATATCCCTGTTAAAATTCTTAGCATAAAACATTCTCCTTTTATTCTCCTTTTATTGTAAGAGTACCTTCATCCGTTACTTGCTGTGCTACTTAAGTGAAAAATTAAGGGTAAGTATGTTACCTTTTTCCATGGTGTGTTCCCAGATTCTGCCATAATTCCTGATACATAGTAGGCATCCAATAAATATTTATATAAATGATGAAATTAATGACTAAATAGATAAATGCGGCTGGAAATTTTGTAAAAAGTGAATTCATAAATATATTTTTACCTTTATACAGAACACTTGTCTGGAAAAATTTTTTTTTAATTATTTTTTTCTTAAATTCTACACTAAGGGATTTCAAAGTCATAAAGAAAATTTACTGGTTAGAGTTTGAGGGTAGGGGTCTAAAAAGTCATTAAGGTTTTATAAACACAAAAGGGATCTTATATATCAAATTTTTAGAAATGGTATTTGATGAGATTATCACTCACACAAAGGACGCCAGTAGCTGACATGAACCTATAGTTAGCTCCTTTATTCTCCATTGCTGAGGTGCTAATTAATATTTGTTAGTGATGATGAAATGCAAAATTTTAAACAGAAATATTTTTTCTTGCTAGTTGCACATAAATATTGATCAACTGCTTTGGAATAAATTTCCTCTTCAATAAGATAGCATTTCAGTGCTTTTGTAGCCAATATAATCTTATGTATCATCGCAGTAGACTAAATAATGCCCCCTGAAAAATGCCTGAATTAAAATTTCTGGAACCTATGAATATGTTATGTTTTGTGGCGAAAAGGACTTTGCAGGTGTGATTAAGTTATCTTGATAAGGGGAGATTTTCCTGGATTACCCAGGTAGATCCAATGTAGTCTCAGAAGGCCTGATATAATCAGAGAGATAGAGACAATATGACAGTGGAAGCAGGCAGAGGTTTTAAAATGCTACGCTACTGGAGTTGATGATGGATGAAGGGGCCATGAGCTAAGGATGCTGGTGGTCTCTAGCCATAGAAAGTAAACCTGCTGACACTTTGATTTTTGCCCAGTGAAACTGATTTCAGACTTCTGAGCTCAGTATCTATAAGACAATAACTTTTTATTGTTTTAAGCCACTAACCTTGTGGTAATTTGTTACTATGGTGATTGAAAACAAAATCATTATGAGGAGAAGCCTTTTGACTTACTCTTGGTAAGAATTCTGTATTGAATGTGTAACTATATATGTTTATATATCATTTTTCCATTTTCTGTAGGTAAACATTGTTTGAGACTATACACCATTCTATAAATATGCTAGAAGTATTCATCCATTCTTATCTATTCTATCGTCTGTCAAGCCAGTTGCTCTGGGATAGTGGACAACATGGTTAGTACACTTGGGTAGCTGCCCATGTTCAGTGACGCTGTGAACAAGCTTGTATGTAGATCCTGAAACACATGGGGTGTCCATCTATGCCAGAACTATTCTCTTATGATCTGTGTGAAGTATAAAAGCTTTGCAATAAGTATTGCTATCTAGAAGTTCTTATAATTTTATTTAAGTGTCTCGACTAATTTGGCCTTTTGTATTCTTGTGATTTTATGTGGTGTTTCAATGTGTCTATATATTGAAATGGAAAGAAATGACATCTTTATAATATTAAATATTTGGATCTTCTTTACTGCATCTAACAAGCTTTTCTGTAAAGCAAACTTGCACATCTTCTGTTTGATTTACTGTTAGGTACTTATTTACTTTTAATGTAAATGGTTTTTTTTCTAACTTTGTTCTTAGCATATAGGAATAAATGGGCTTTGAATTCAGTAACCTAGATTAACTCTGTTGTAAATTCTAGTAATTTATTAGCAGTTTATTTAGGAGTTTCTATGTATATAGGAACCTTATCTGCAATTCTTTTTCCTCTTATTTCTTGTTCCTGGCTTAAAGAGCTGCTAAGAATGGAAACAATAACAAAAAACCATATCTTGTTTCTGATCTCAAAGGGAAAGCGTTCAACACTTCAATTTATATATGATGGTGCTGAAATGGGTTTTGTTTTATTGTGGAATAATTTGAAGGTAGAACAAATAGGATTTTATGACAGAGTTGATGTGGCAGCGGATTGAAAAAATGTGGTAAAATATGATTTATTTACCTTGGTGTAATGCAGTTACTATGCTAGGAGGATTGGAGGAGGCTATAAAATCAAGAGCTCGGTTTAAACACGTTAAATTTGAGATGTATATTAGATAGGCAAGTGGATATGGAAAGTAATCAGTTAGATATTATATTAGTCAAACGTCTCCAGAGAAACAGAACCAATAGGATATATAGAGATATGTAAGAGAAGATCTAGTCTGAGAATTGGCTCATGTAATTATGGAGGCTGAGAAGTCCCATGACATACCATCTGCAAAGTGGAGGACCAGGAAAACCTCTGGTGTCATTCAGTCTGAGTCCAAAGGCCTAAGAAGTAGGGAAGCTGATGTTGTACATCCTAGTTCAACGCCAAAGGCCTGAGAACTGGGAAGGGTAGGCCATGGGTCAGACAGGGGAGGTGTTATTATGTAAGTCCTGGAGTTCAAAAGCCCAAGAACAAGGAGCTCTGGTGTCTGAGGGCAGAAGAGGATGGATGTCTCAGCTCAAGAACAGAGAGAAAATTTACCATTCTTTTACCCTTTTGTCCTATCCTGGCCTCCAGTGGATGGGTGATGCCTGTCCACATTGATGAGAGTGGATCTTCTTTATTCAGTCCACTGATTAGATTAGTCAAATACTAATCTCTTCCAGAAGCCCCCTTACAGACACACCCCGAAATAGTTGTACCAGCTATTTGGGCATCTCTTAGCCCAGTCAAGTTGAAGCATAAAATTAACCATCACAAGTCCACTGCTTGTCAGCTTGGCATTCATATGTATCTCCTTAAACCATACTTAATCTCTAAATAAAGCAAGCACATAATTCTCCCTAACATGTTAGGATCATCCCGCTTACACCCAGACATGTACTAATCTCTTCAGAAGAGTTGATGAAGTCTTTGAAGACCTTTACCCTTCTCCTGGTATTCTCCTGTAACTTAAACACATGACCTAAAATTACCAATACTCAAATGATGATATAAAATTAATACATCTTATGTTACTAGTTAAAGGAGTAAGAGAGGAAAGAACAAAAACATTTACTTAATATACATGTATATACACACAATATATTCATAACAAAATAAGAAAGAAATGCCCATCACGATTATAGTTTTATTTCCTTAACTGCTCATGTGATTGTAGCTAACATTTAAAACTACACTTTTCTACTCCCCATTCTGTGTTCCTTTTGCTATTATTTCTGATAGTTGGTTATTTGTAGTCCTCACTGAATTGGGTTGCTGTAATTTTCCGTTGACCTTAATCACAGAGCATGGCAATACTAAGAGATATTCTAAGGAATCTTTTTGCCTTAACCCGCAAGGTATCACCAACTAGTTGATCCTACAGCTGAATCTTCAAAAGGCCGTTCCATCATCTATTCAGCCAGTTGCTTTGGGATAGTGGAGACAGTAAGACTAGTGAATTCTATGAGCATGGGCCTATTGCTGCACTTCATTGGCTGTAAAATGTGTTCTTGGTAAGAAGCAATGCTCTGTGGAATACTGTGGTGGTGGGGAAGGTGTTCTGTAAATCTACAACTGATTGTTTTGGAAGAAGCCTTGCATGCAAAGAATGCAAATCCATATTCAGAGTAAGTGTTTATTCCAGAAAGGACAAAATTTCACTTCTTCCAGGATGGAAGTTGTCCAGTGTAATCAACCTACCACTAGATACCTGGATGACCACCTCAGGGAATGATGTTATGTCAGGAGCTCAGTGTTGGTGTCTACTGCTGGCATATGGGCACTCAGCACTGACCAAAGCCAGATTAGCCTAGGTGAGTAGAAATTCATGTTGCTGAGTCAATGCTGCCACCATGGCCACTTTACTTATGAGCCCACTGGGCAGTGATGAGTGACTGAGGAAAGAAGCTGATTGGTTTCCACAGAATGGATCATTCTATCCATGTGATTATTAAAATCCTCCTCTGCTGAGACATCCTTTTGTGAACAATCAAACGGGACACAAATATCTTCATGTTTTTTCCCCCATTCCGAGACATCTATCCATATACCTTTTCACTCAATTTCTTTGTCACCAATTTTCTTTTAATGTTACTTTCAAGTCCCTGATCATCCAGCCAAACTTTGACTACAGCCCATGAATCAGTACACAATCCCATGTCTGGTCATTTCTCCTCCCAAGCAAAGTATACAACCAGGTTCCCTGCCCAAAGTTATGCCTATACCTAACCCACAAATTCATAAAGTGGGGAGTGCATAGCACACTCCATTATCAAATGGAAGTGGTATGTGTGTGATAGGGCCTGAACAGCCCCTGAAGGCACAAGTAAGTTTCATTAGGAAGAGGCCCAAATGCCCATGGTACCCACTCTTGCTACACTGCCTCATTTCTCCAAACGCTCACCTATGGCATCATGAGGAGTTTCCTACGATCAGTTGACAGAGAAAGAGAAGACCTGGTCATGGTTTACATACAGTTTTGCAGAATATGCAGGTAACACCCAAAAGTGGACAGCTGTAGCACTACTGCTCACCTCTAGGACATCCCTGGAGGTCAGTTGTGAAGGAAAATGTTCCCTGTATACGAAATATCGGCATTGGATAATTTGTAATCAACCTCTTATAAGAAGCAAGGATATTTTTGAACATTTGGGGAAAATTAAGTGAGAGATAAGTTTTTGCATCTGGCTCCTAATACAATCAAGAAAGATACACAACATCTAGTGGGCCAGTATGGATTTTGGAGACAATTCACTCAGTTGTGTATACTGAAAATCTGATAGTTTTGAGTAGGTCCCAGAATACCGGAAGGCTCTGTAGCAGGTCCAGTATTCTGTGTAAGCTGGTCTGCCCCTTGGAGCGTATGATTCAACAAATCCAAGGGTGCTTCAGGTGTCCATGGTAGATAAAGATGCTGTTTAGAACCTATGGCAGGCCGCTATAGCTGAATCACAGTGCAGACCTTTAGGTTTTCGGAGCAAGGACTTGCAACCTTCTTCAAATAACTTTTTTTTTTTTAAAGATGGTCCTCGGCCTTGATACTGGACCTTAGTAAAGACAGAATGCTTGACTTTGCGCTGTGTAAGTAACCATGTGACCTGAGCTACCTATTATAACTGAATCTCCATAAATAGTTGCTCACGATGGACCACCAGCGGTCTTTTTACTACTGGAAATAGAGTCATCAGCCTATTCAAATCTAAAAAGATTAAAAAGCCAATCCCAGAAACCCCAAAGCCAACTTAGAAAAGTCATCTTTAAAATTCCGTTTCTCTGGAACCACTCTTAGTATCAAAATGAAATATGTCTTGATTTTAGAGAAAAGGAACAAGAGAAAGAATGAGGCAAATTATCAATGTTTAAAGGCTATTTAAAACCTTAATATTGGATAAAATACCAAGGCATAAAGGGTAGATCAAGAAAAAGTTGAAAGAAGCTAGCCCTGAAGCACTCGACTATTAACAGTTCAAGGTGATGAAGAGAAACAGCCAGGTCTGGAAGCAGTGGCTCAAGAGTTAGAAGGAAAACCAGAAGAATAAATGAAGTATCCTTGAAACCAAGCATAGAAAATAAGGAAATTTGCTTAAACTCCAATTATTATTATATGAATAATGCTTAAATAAATATTCTTGCATCTATATCATAGATCACTTGCAGTAGTTTTTCTGGTAGACTAAATTTCTACAGCAGAATTTTGAGGAAAAAACCTATGTCAATTTACAATATTGATAGGTGTTTTACAATTGCTACCAAAAGAGGGGGATTATACAACCTTACCTATCTGTCCTTAGTATAAGATAATACATATAGAGAAATACATATCTTGCTCCAGATATCTTTCAAGTATAAAGAAATTTTGGCAGGTTGTCAAAGACAGAATCTGAACTGGTTTGCCCATTTACAGACACTGGTTAAGTCAGAAATCTCTGATTTTCATTTGATCCAGACAAAAACCATCATTAAATAGTAAATTCTAAAATTGAACATATAACCAGACACACACTTGGTTCTCCCTGAATGAGACTTTTTTTATAGGATATTGGCAAGCAAATCATATTGGAAGCAAGTGAGATAAGGTTATTATGATTATCTAAGACATCAGACGTGATCAGGAGAGCTGCAAATAAATCACATCTACTTCTAAGTCTATGCTTTCAAAATCTTCAGACATCTAATTATCACTTTCACTATTTTTATTTTATCCACATGTGACCTATACTTTTAATCATTTATTATGTTTAAAATCAATTTACTTTCTTTTGCCTAAATCTACTCTAGAAGAAACATTTATATCACCGTTATGAATGGGGAGAAGGTATCACTTGTCGTTAAAGGAAGGTAACTGTAAGAATAAACACAATCAGTACAAACAATGTTATTAAATTTCAGGTTGATGTTATTGCTTGCCAAAGGCTTTGAACCTATGGAATATAAAAAAGAAATTACCAAGGGTTAGAGAAAAATTAAAGGTATATTTGTTTTTACTTGGTATGCTTATTGAATTGTAGAGGCATGGATTGAAAAAGTCTGAACTATATTTCGTCACAGAATGTTTTACTTAGAGCAGCATTCTAGTCCATTAACAAAATAAAAACTAGTGGTAGCTCTTATTTTTCTATTAGAATTATGACTGCTATTTTACATGAATGTCATGAATGTTACTCCACAGGGCTTAAAGCAAACATCAGTGTCCATCTCCTGAAACCGTAATAATAAGAATTTCTATTTAAAAGGAGCCCTAAAAATTAGATTCTTTTTTTTTTTTTTTTTTTTTTTTTTTGAGATGAAGTATCACTGTGTTGCCCAGGCTGGAGTGCAGTGGCACGATCTCGGCTCACTGCAACCTCCGCCTCCCAGGTTCAAGCGATTCTTCTGCCTCAGGCTCCCGAGTAGCTGGGACTAGAGGCGCACGCCACCACACCTGGCTCATTTTTGTACTCTTAGTAGAGATGGGGTGTCACCATATTGGTCAGGCTGGTCTTGAACTCCTGACCTCGTGATGTGCCCACCTCTGCCTCCCGAAGTGCTGGGATTACAGACGTGAGCCACTGTGTCTAGCCAAGAATTAGATATTTTTAACTCTCTTCTTTTTTTCCAGGAAAGGTTATGCTTAAACCATGTTATTGTCAAAGATCTTTAGAGAAAGACTTTTTAAAATTTATATTTATGTAAGTAATTTTAGATTATTTTTATAGCTGAGAAGTGAGTCCAGAAATCGTCCAGTGCGATAACTTCACTTTTTATATAATAAAACGGAATCTTAGACACATTAGAAGTCTGAGAGTAGAAAAATCACACACAAAAAATGGGTACAGACTGCGAGTCTGTTTAAAGTTAGCATTTCTTGGACATAGGACTCTATCTTATAACATCCTTTTTTAAAAATTTAATTTAATTTAATTTTTTTATTATACTTTAAGTTCTAGGGTACATGTGCACAACGTGCAGGTTTGTTACATATGCATACATGTGCCATGTTGGTGTGCTGCACCCATTAACTCGTCATTTACATTAGGTTTATCTCCTAATGCAATCCCTCCCCCGTTCCCCAACCGCACGACAGGCCCCAGTGTGTGATGTTCCCCTTCCTGTGTCCAAGTGTTCTCACTGTTCAATTCCCACCTATGAGTGGGAACATGTGGTGTTTGGTTTTTTGTCCTTGTGATAGTTTGCTGAGAATGACGGTTTCCAGCTTCATCCACGTCCCTAAAAAGGACATGAACTCATCCTTTGTTATGGCTGCATAGTATTCCATGGTGTATATGTGCCACATTTTCTTAATCCAGTCTATCATTGTTGGACATTTGGCTTGGTTCCAAGTCTTTATTATTATGAATAGTGCTGCAGTAAACATACGTGTGCCTGTGTCTTTATAGCAGCATGATTTATAATCCTTTGGGTATCTACCCAGTAATGGGATGGCGGGGTCAAATGGTATTTCTAGTTCTAGATCCCTGAGGAATTGCCACACTGTGTTCCACAATGGTTGAACTAGTTTACAGTCCCACCAACAGTGTAAAAGTGTTCCTATTTCTCCACATCCTCTCCAGCACCTGTTGTTTCCTGACTTTTTAATGATCACCATTCTAACTGGTGTGAGATGGTATCTCATTGTGGTTTTGATTTGCATTTCTCTGATGGCCAGTGATGATGAGCATTTTTTCAGGTGTCTGGTGGCTGCATAAATGTCTTCATTTGAGAAGAGTCTGTTCATATCTTTTGCCTACTTTTTGATGGGGTTGTTTGTTTTTTTCTTGTAAATTTGTTTGAGTTGTTTGTAGATTCTGGATATTAGCCCTTTGTCAGATGAGTAGATTGCAAAAATTTTCTCCCATTCTGTAGGTTGCCTGTTCACTCTGATGGTAGTTTATTTTGCTATGCAGAAGCTCTTTAGTTTAATTAGATCCCATTTGTCAATTTTGGCTTTTGTTGCCATTGCTTTTGGTGTTTTAGACATGAAGTCCTTGCCCATGCCTATGTCCTGAATGTATTGCCTAGGTTTTCTTCTAGGGTTTTTATGGTTTTAGGTCTAACATTTAAGTCTTTAATCCATCTTGAAATAATTTTTGTATAAGGTGTAAGGAAGGGATCCAGTTTCAGCTTTCTACATATGACTAGCCAGTTTTCCCAGCACCATTTATTAAATAGGGAATCCTTTCCCCATTTCTTGTTTTTGTCAGGTTCGTCAAAGGTCAGATGGTTGTAGATGTGTGGTATTATTTCTGAGGGCTCTGTTCTGTTCCATTGATCTATATCTCTGTTTTGGTACCAGTACCATGCTGTTTTGGTTACTGTAGCCTTGTAGGATAGTTAGGTAGCGTGATGCCTCCAGCTTTGTTCTTTTGGTTTAGGATTGTCTTGGCAATGCAGGCTCTTTTTTGGTTCAGGGAAGAAGTTGAATTCCTGAATAGACCAATAACAGGCTCTGAAATTGAGGCAATAATTAATAGCCTACCAACCAAAAAAAGTCCAGGACCAGACGGATTCACAGCTGAATTCTACCAGAGGTACAAGGAGGAGTTGGTACCCTTCCTTCTGAAACTATTCCAATCAATAGAAAAAGAGGGAATCCTCCCTAACTCATTTTATGAGGCCAGCACCATCCTCATACCAAAGCCTGGCAGAGACACAACCAAAAAAGAGAATTTTAGACCAATATCCCTGATGAACGTCGATGCAAAAATCCTCAATATAATACTGGCAAACTGAATCCAGCAACACATCAAAAAGCTTATCCACCATGATCAAGTGGGCTTCATCCCTGGGATGCAAGGCTGGTTCAACATACGCAAATCAATAAATGTAATGCAGCATATAAACAGAACCAAAGACAAAAAACACATGATTATCTCAATAGATGCAGAAAAGGCCTTTGACAAAACTCAGTAGTGCTTCATGCTAAAAACTCTCAATAAATTAGGTATTGATGGGACGTATCTCAAAATAATAAGAGCTATTTATGACAAACCCACAGCCAATATCATACTGAATGGGCAAAAACTGGAAGCATTCCCTTTGAAAACTGGCACAAGACAGGGATGCTCTCTCTCACCACTCCTATTCAACATAGTGTTGGAAGTTCTGGCCAGCGTAGTCAGGCAGGAGAAAGAAATAAAAGGTATTCATTTAGGAAAAGAGGAAGTCAAATCGTCCCTGTTTGCAGATGACATGATTGTATATTTAGAAAACCCCATCATCTCAGCCCCAAATCTCCTTAAGCTGATAAGCAACTTGGGCAAAGTCTCAGGATACAAAATGAATGTGCAAAAATCACAAGCATTCTTATACACCAATAACAGACAAACAGAGAGCCAAATCATGAGTGAACTCCCATTCACAATTGCTTCAAAGAGAATAAAATACCTAGTAATACAACTGACAAGGGACGTGAAGGACGTCTTTAAGGAGAACTACAATCCACTGCTCAATGAAATAAAAGAGGATACAAACAAATGGAAGAACATTCTGTACTCATGGATAGGAAGAATCAATATCGTGAAAATGGCCATACTGCCCAAGGTAATTTATAGATTCAGTGCCATACCATCAAGCTACCAAAGACTTTCTTCACAGAATTGGAAAAAACATCCTTTAAAAAAATTTTCTGTTTTATCTCAAAGTCTTAGAAAAACCTATTAGGAGCTTTAATTGCTTTAAAAGGGAATAGATGGATGATTATACATTTGCATTAATTATAGAGAGATTGCCCTAGTGGGAACATTTTAAAGATAGGAACTGTAGTTGTGTCAGAACATGGAGAGCCGATGGAATGACATAGAGGAAAAGCTTCATGAAGACAAAACACCTTTTGCTGAATGTTTGAATGCTGGTGTCCCTCCAAATTTCATATATTGAAGCCTAACTCCCAAGGACATGGTATTAAGAGGTGAGGCCTTCAGGAGGTCATTAAGTCATGAAGGCAGAGCCCTCATGAATAGGATTAGTGCATTTATCAAGAGGCTTGAGGGAGCCTGCTAGTTCCTTTCCATCATGTGAGGACACAGCAGCAAAACACTATCTATGGAGCAGAGAGCCACCCCTTATCAGATACTGAATCTGCTGGTAACTTAATCTTGGACTTCACACCCTCCAGAACTGTGAGAAATAAATTTCTGTTGCTTATATATTACCCAGTCTAAGAATTCATTATAGCAAGCTGAACAAACTAAGACACCTTCCATTAAGTTTTTGTACACACAGATGTTCTCTGCCATACCCCAATACACTGGTTTCTTGCTCCAAAAACTAATTCTGTATGTTTATAAGTGTTAACTGCATAGATAAGATCCAAAAAAAAAAAAAAAGAAAATGTCCTTAATCATAATAGCTACTAATTATTTTAAATAACAAATATGTATAGAGTGCTTATTATGTTTCAAACACTCTCTTGGGTGCTGGGTAGACTCTTCATCTCATTGATCTAATAAGAAAAGTCAGCAGTAAATTAACATTGTCTATTAATTTCCCTTTTTGATGAGTCAAGAAAGAATTGCCAAAACCACTATCATCATTTATAGGGTCAATACATGAATTGGTACAGGCTCAATTTGCCAATGATGCTTAGAGGACAAGGAACTGAAAAGGCACAGGATAGCATAAGAATTTCTGTTCCAGTCCCATAACAGTCATATCTTATGTATTACAGTTTTGTTTTTTTGTTTGTTTTACTTTAACCTCATGCCCAATGAGAAACAGCTTTTGCTAGAATGGAGTTGCATTAGCCATGATGACTTCTGCCTGTAGCTAGTCCCACAAATCTTTCAAATTTCACTTGTAGAAAATGTAACTAAGACTAAAATTAAATAAACAAACCAATGCCGATGAGAATTGTTTGTCTTGTAACTTTAAGCATAAAAATGTCTTCTTTGAAACCTGACCTGTTTTTACAAGGGCGAGCATATGTAGTCTTCACATTTCTTACGGCAAACAAAGCTCCACATTTCCCTACTGGAAAGAAGCAGCATTTTAACATTGATGAAGCTTTGTGCTGAGAAGCAACATCCTCCTGATCACTGCTGTCTGGATACTATCTGTGCTTTGTTTACACTTGCATTATCTATTTAAAATGGAAGTTTTGCTCCAGATCACTAACGTGGTAAAAATAGACGGATTCCATTCTTTCCCTTACATCTGTATGCGTTCTTTCTTGCTCTTCACTTTTCCATTAAAACTTAATTTATCTGTAGACAATTCCTGATGGTTTTAGTAAATTTATTCCTGAAGAAATAACATAGAACTTCCTAACTGAACTTATAAGTAGTATAGAAAACAGACACAATACAAAATAAAAATAAGTTTACTAAAAAAGAAGATTGACTAAAATCAACTTTTATATAGGAGCATGGTTACACAAGAACATCCAATTAATATGTGTGTGTCGTGTCTTTGTGTATCTATTTCATTCCAAACTGCTTAATGTTGGAGAGCAAAAAAGGGCTGAAAAACACTAACACCACACTATTGTTTTGGCTTATTCTGTCAGTGAAAAGTAATTTATTATTATTGTTATTATTGCTGGCAATCAACCAGTTAGTAAAATTTATTGAAGACTCATTATTCACTATAATGGTTGATGCAAGGGGAGTATCATGATTCCCATCTTCATGCTATGAATGCTAAAAATTCAGTTTCATTGTTTATCAGTAAAACCTTGAGACATTCAAAGATTCCTAAATACTGGTTATGAAATATATTCTACATTATGATATTGATTCTATGCATGCATACACATTGTATGACTATATCAATTGCATGTGTGTAATGAACACTTTTAAATATATATATAAATATATTAATAATAGTTTTCATTGGGTGCTGTGCTGTACGTGCATTTTTTCTTTCTCAAACTTTTATTTGCCAAATTTTAAACAATAGAAATGTTTTATCAGATTAAAATAATACATTTTTGTATTATTATTAATAATATTATTTATATTTATATAAAATATATAAATATATATATTTTAATATATATTTAATTATATATAATATAATATATAAATATATTATTATTTATATTTATATAACTCATAAAAGTGGGTAATTTGTTTCCAAAAGGTGAGATAAAAGATCCAGTTTGGGCCAGGGATGGTGGCTCACGCCTGTAATCCCAGCACTTTGGGAGGCTGAGGCGGGCGGATCACTAGGTCAGGAGATCGAGACCATCCTGGCTAACACGGTGAAAACCCATCTGTACTAAAAATACAAAAAATTAGCCGGGCGTGGTGGCAGGTGCCTGTAGTCCCAGCTACTTGGGAGGCTGAGGCAGGAGAATGGCATGAACCCGGGAGATGGAGCTTGCAGTGAGCCAAGATCGCGCCACTGCACTCCAGCCTGGGCGACAGAGTGAGACTCTGTCTCAAAAAAAAAAAAAAAAAAAAGATCCAGTTTGACATATTTACAGACTACCTCAATACTGTTCAAATATGAGAGACTATGTCACATGAAAGACTCATAATCACAGCTAATGTTTGTTTTTTTTTTGCAAGACCAAGAGTAGCAAATATTGCATGGTTATTGTATATGGCAACACACAAGGTCTGGGTTTCCTCTGGAGGTTTTACCATAAAGTTCTTTGTTTAATGTATACAACCAGTCACCTGACAGATATCTTCTGCCTAGAGTGAGGTTTAACACTATTAATTTTAATTTAATTTAATCTTTGTCTTTATTTTTATTTATTTATTTTGAAAGCAGATCTCACTCTGCTGCCCAAGCTGAGCTCAGTGACGTGATCATGGCTCACTGCAGCCTCAACCTCCTGAGGCTCAAGTAATTTTCTTGCTTCAGCCTCTTGAGTAGCTGAAACCACAGGCATACTCCTCCACACCCAGCTAATTTTTTTGTTTTTTTGTAGAGATGAAGTCTCACTATTTTGCCCAGGGTAGCCTGGAATTCCTATACTCAAGCGATCTTCCTGCCTCAGCCTCCCAAAGTGCTAGGATTACAGGCATGAGCCACAGTACCAAGCCAGGTTTAGCCTTTTTTTTGTTGTTTTAGACAGAGACTCTCTGTTGTTGGCTTGGGCTGAAGTGCAATGGTGGGATCTCAGCTCACTGCAACCTCTGCCTCCTGGGTTCAAGCAATTCTCCTGCCTCAGCCTCCCCAGTAGCTGGGATTACAGGCGTGTGCCACCACGCCCAACTAATTTTGTATTTTTAGTAGAGACAGGGTTTCTCCATGTTGGTCAGGCTGGTCTCAAACTCCCGACCTCAGGTGATCCGCCCGCCTCGGTCTCCCAAAGTCCTGGGATTACAGGCTTGAGCCATCATGCCTTGCCAGCACTTTTTAACTTAAAGAACTTTCATCCCTCTCTCCCAGAAACATTTTAGTCCCCTAATATTTCTGACACCCCTGTGTTTTCTATTTTTCACAATTGTGCTTCTAAGGTTTATTTTGTGAGGGAGACGTGTGAGGGGAAAAGAAAAGGCACACACACAATACCTTTAAGGGTAAACAAGCTTTATCCCACATAAATGGCAATGCAGATATAATAAGCAAATTAATATAATAAGCAAATTGATATAATAAGCAAATGACATAATAAGCAATTTGATATAATAAGCAGATTGATATATTAAGCAAATTGCAATGGGAAGGGGAGAAGGGAAAAGAGATTTACATTCACCAAACTATGGAGGATTCACCACCAGACTGGGAAGCAACAGCCTGGGCTCCAGAGTGGGCCACTCCTCCATGCAAGATGAGGAGAGGTCTCATGAAGCTTCTGTGCAGTCTGGGACCTAGCTCTTTTTGTAACAAGTTGTTTGGCATGAGGCCCAGTCATGAAGGCCCTCTGCAACTGGGCTCAAGGAACACAAAGAGGTCAACTTGTTTTGGGGATTGTCTATTGTTTTTCAAAAACTAACGTATAGGAATAGATTGAAAGAGAGATTTTTCCAAAACAGTGCTGGATGAACGCTTCAAGGGGCTCACACAACCTGTTCCAGGACTTGGTGACCATTGTGTCCATGTTCGATTGAGTTCATATTTAATATTTAACTTTTCCTCCACAAAGTTCTATTTATTAAATATGGAAACTTCATGGGACTTTATTCTCAGTCCTTTTCTTTTATATCTCTATCTCTTTTCCTGGGACAACTCATTTCCTTTCAGAAAACGAATCACCATCATATTCCCTAATCTATTTCTGTGATTCACATGGTTTCTAGAGTATTTATGTACAGTTCTCCAAACAATCTACCTTGACATCCCATGGCAATCTCAAAAGAACATATTTGAAATCTGCATATTCTTCTGCAGCTCTGCTAAACCTCTACTCACCTAATTGCTCAATATATGAAGACGTTTGTTTCCTTGGCTCCTTTCAAATTTCACTCACTCAGCAATGTTAAGGTCTGTTTGTTCCTACTTCCTAAAAAAAATCCTCAGTGTATCCACTGTTTCCCATCCTCATTGCCATCCCCCAAGTCCCAACTTCAATAATTTCTTTCCTAAACTGCACAAAGAGACTTCTAACTGTTATCTTTACATCTGTTTACTTCCCAGTCATCACAAATGGTCTCCATAATAATGCAAAAATTATCTTCTTATTATTAATTTTTCCATGGCACCAGTTCTTTATAAAACTACCTTCTTTTTTTTTTTTGAGATGGAGTCTCACTCTTGTTGCCCAGGCTGGAGTGCAATGGCGCGATCTCGGCTCACCGAAACCTCTGCCTCCCGAGTTCAAGCGATTTTCCTGCCTCAGCCTCCCGAGTAGCTGGGATTACGGGCATGTGCCACCACGCCTGACTAATTTTGTAATTTTAGTAGAGACAGGGTTTCTCCGTGTTCGTCAGGCTAATCTCGAACTCCCACACTCAGGTGATCCACCTGCCTCTGCCTCCCAAAGTGCTGGGATTATAGGCATGAGCCACCATGCCTGGCCAAACCTATCTTTTAAAGTGGTAAAATGATGTCGTAATTCCCCTAACACAAATAGATTGGTAACTTCTCATCACCTTAAAAAAACTTTCAAAATCTTTAAAATAGATTATATACTGTGTATGGGACAGATTTTATCTCCCTCTCCAGGCCTAGCTCCTAGTATTCTACATATTGCTTTCTCCACTCAGCTCTCTGGGGCTTCTTTCGGGTTCTTGAACATACGACACTCTCTCAATGTCCTAGGTTTTCATACATGCAGGCTTCTCACTCCTGGCTAAATGCCTATCCACTGTCTGTTTAATTAACTCACATTCATTCCATAAAGTTCAATTCAATTATTGATTTGCTTATCCATGAAAAAAATTGTTGCCTGTTTGTTACGTGTCAGGCACTGTAATAGATGCTTGGAAAACAAGGCTGAGCAAAGAAAACAAAGGGTATTTTTTGATGCTTAAGCACAGGGTAACATAACTGTATTCATTAAATGTTATAAATATTTTTTCCGCTGTAGCTATATGCTTAACATCATTTTATTATATTTTAATTTTTTCTTTATTATCTGTCTTTTCCATTAATGGTGAGTTCTATGGAGGCAGAGATAAATTATTTGCTGTATATATAGCTAATATTTTTTGATTAACTAGTACTAATATACTGAAAGAAAATCCCCAGGATAATATCTAAACTACTTGCTGATGTATATAAGGCCACTAATGCCCTGACTATAATTTCTCACTTCTCTACCAAGTACTATCTACTTTTTAGCCATGACAAATAATGATTAGCTTTTTTTTGAGCTGGAGTCTCACCGTGTTGAGAGACAGGACTAGCTGGATTTCCTAGGCCAACTAAGAATCCCTAAGCCTAGCTGGGAAGGTGACTGCATCCACATTTAAACACAGGGCTTGCAACTTAGCTCACACCCGACCAATCAGGTAGTAAAGAGAGCTCCCTAAAATGCTAATTTGGCAAAAACAGGAGGTAAAGAGATAGCTAATCATCTATCCCCTGAGAGCACAGCGGGAGGGACAGTGATTGGGATATAAACCTAGGCATTCGAGATGTCAACGGCTACCCTCTTTGGGTCCCCTCCCTTTGTATGGGAGCTCTGTTTTCACTCTATTAAATCTTGCAACTGCACACTCTTCTGGTCCATGTTTGTTACCTCTCGAGCTGAGCTTTCGCTCGCCGTCCACCACTGCTGTTGGCTGCCATCACAGACCTGCCGCTGACTTCCATCCCTCCGGATCCAGCAGGGTGTCCCCTGTGCTCCTGATCCAGTGAGGCACCCATTGCCGCTCCCGATCCGGTAAAAGGCTTGCCATTGTTCCTGCATGGCTAAGTGCCCGGATTTGTCCTAATCGTGCTGAACACTAGTCACCACTTTCCGTGGTTCTCTTCTGTGACCCACAGCTTCTAATAGAGCTATAACACTCATCGCATGGCCCAAGATTTCATTCCTTGGAATCCGTGAGGCCAAGAACCCCAGGTCAGAGAACAAGAGGCTTGCCACCATCTTGGAAGCGGCCCGCCACCATCTTGGGAGCTCTGGGAACAAGGCCCCCCCCGGGGCAATGTTGTCAGCCAGGCTGGAGTGCAGTGGCGTGATGTTGGCTCACTGCAACCTCTGCCTCCTGGGTTCAAGTGATTCTCCTGCCTCAGCCTTCTGAGGAGCTGGGATTACAGGGGTGCACCACCACGCCCAGCTAATTTTTGTATTTTTAGTAGAGGCGTGGTTTCACCATGTTGGCCAGGCTGGTCTCGAATTCCTGACCTCAGGTGATCCACCTGCCTCAGCCTCCCAAAGTCCTGGGATTACAGGCGTGAGCCACCACGCCCAGCCCATGTTCAGCTTTTCAAACCGACTTTCTTATTATTATTTTTAGCCTTTACACAAACAATTTCCTGTATCTTTTTTTTTTTTTTTTTTTTTGAGATGGAGCCTCGCTCTGTTGCCTAGGCTGGAATCCAGTGACTTGATCTCGGCTCACTGCAACCTCTGCCCTCTGAGTTCAAGCAATTCTCCTGCCTCAGCTTCCCTAATAGCTGGGATTGCAGGCATGTGCTACCACGCCTGGCTAATTTTTGTATTTTTAGTAGAGACAGAGTTTTGCCATGTTAGCCAGGCTGGTCTCAAACTCCTGACCTCGTGATCTGCCCGCCTCAGCCTCCCGATGTGCTGGGATTACAGGTGTGAGCCACCACGCCTGGCCTTGCATGGTGAATTTTTACTTTCCTTTCAGTCTCAATTTTGTGAATAAATTCATAAAGCAATCCATGAATTGTGAATCTAAGTTGTTTTGAGGAGCCACAAACGTAGATGTTAATTCTGGACATTTGACTGTAAGAGGACAAGATAAAAGCAATGATCCCTTTATATTTGCATCATATCCTGGTACATGGTTGACAACTCTGGAGAACGTGGGAGGTTTCTTCCAGTAGATGAAGTAGATGTCGAAGATGTTGCTTGATAGTACCAAAGGAGAAAGAAGAGATGGTTCCTTTCCTTGAAGAATCTACACTATAGTGGAAGAGACAGAGTGGTTAATATGTATAATTATGGTCATGCTTTAAAAATTGATATATGAAGGAAATATAAGAAAAATAACTGAGGGCTGGGTGTGGTGGCTCACGCCTGTAATCCCAGCACTTTGGGAGGCTGAGATGGATGCATCAGTTGAGGTGAGGGGTTCAAGACCAGCCTGGCCAACATGGTGAAACCCTGTCTCTACTGAAAGTACAAAAATTAGCTGGGTGGGGCCGGGTGCGGTGGCTCACGCCTGTAATTCCAGCACTTTGGGAGGCCGAGGCAGATCACGAGGTCAGGAGATCGAGATCATCCTGGCTAACACAGTGAAACCCCGTCTCTACTAAAAATACAAAAAATTAGGTGGGTATGGTGGTGGGCACCTGTAATCCCAGCTACTTGGGAGACTGAGGCAGGAGAATCACTTGAATCCGGGAGGCATAGGTTGCAGTCAGCCGAGATCACGCCACTGTGCTCCAGCCTGGGCAGCAGAGTGAGACTCCGTCAAAAAAAAAAAAAATAAAGAAATGGAACATAAATTTTTCTGGATTATTAAATAAAGTTTCATTAAATAAAGTGACTTCATTAGATAAAGAAGATAAATGTGATAGTGGTAGAAATTGAGGAATAGGGATAAGAAGAAAAAAGCCCTCAATAGTGACTTTGAGTTGAGAGAAGCATAACTGTAGAAAAAAATCACTCCACTGTGCATCCATCTTTCGGGGTCTGAAATGTATATAGTCAGGAAGCCCATCTTTCAGAAAATAAACCTAAAATTACAATCACAAAAGTAGTACAAGCCAAATATAGAATGAGAAAAGAAATTACACAACTTACAAAACCCTTGAAATGTCACAAGGTAACAGCATTTTCAATAATGTTTTTTATTCATCAAGGCATAATTTACATAAAATATACAAATCTTCGTAGAGTTTTGTGAGTAATCAGCTATCTAATCAAGATATAGAACATTTCTATTAGTGCAGAGAGTATCTTTATGCTTCTTTCCAGTTAGTCTTCACTCCCAAAGGCAATCACTGTTCTGATTTCAATAATCATAGAAGGCTGGGTATGGTGGCTCACACATATAATCTCAGAACTTTGACAGGCCATGGTGGGAGGATTGCTTGAGCCTGGGAGTTTGAGACCAACCTGGGCAACATAGGGAGACCCTGTCTCTATAAAAGCAAAAACATTTACAGTATAGGCTGGGTGTGGTGGCTCACACCTGTAATCCCAGTAGTTTGGGAGGTCAAGGCAGGAGGATTACTTGAGGCCATGAGTTTGAGTCCAGCCTAGGCAACATAGGAAGACTTCGTCTCTACAGCCATGGTGGCATGTGCCTGTAGTTCCAGCTACTTGAAAGGCTGAGGTGGGACAATGGCTTGAGCCCAGAAGATTGAGGCTGCAGTGAGCTGTGATCAGGCCATTGCACTCCAGCCTGGGTAACAGAGTGAGAGAGTGAGATCCTATCTCAAAAAGAAAAAAAAAAGAATACTTTTGCTTCATCTTAATCTTTCAATAAAAGAACCATTCAGTGTGTACCTTTTATGTAAATGTATATATATATGTATATGCATATGTTAATGTATGGCTTTTGCTCAATGTACTAATTTTGAGATTTATTGATGTTATTAAATGTATGAGTAGTTTGTTTCTAAAGCTATGTTGTATTCCACTGTAATAATGGGCCATAGATTTCTTATCCTGTTATGGAATATTTTGATGTTTAGTTTGGGGTATCATGAGTTAAGTTGCTATGAATATTCATACAAGTCTTTCTGTGGACATAAGTTTTCATTTTTTATTTAACATGAGTAAATATCTAAGAGAGAAACTAATGGGTCGTGGGTTTAATTTTACAAAAATTTGTCAAACTGGTTTCCAAAGTATTCATGCCATTTTACATTCCCAGCAGAAATTTAGGAATTTCGGGTTTTCCAAATACTCTTTTTTTTGGATGTAAAGTACTATTTAATTTTGCTTCTAATTTGCATTTCCCTGTTATCTATTGATGTGGCTAATTAATGTGTAAAAAGATGTTCAACATTAATATGTATCAGAAAAATGTAGAAATTTTAATTTTCAAAAAGCTCCAATTGATAATTTTTTCTTCTATTATTATTGGTTTTGGTACTTGTTAATTCTTTTCCCACATTAAGATTGGTTCTTCCTTCTACCATTGAGGCAATATTTAGATAGTTTCCATATTTAGGGTATTGTAAGTGAAATTGCTACAAACATAAGTACATAGTTGTGCATATTCTCACATATTTCTCCATTCACATACAAGTATTTGATATGACATAATTCTTCATTTACTATGGGTAAACTCCTGAAAAAGAAACTATGCATTACCAACTACTTCTTTGTAAAGTATGCATTCATATCTCCTATTTTTATTTATTTATTTACTTACTTATATATTTATTTGTTTATAGAGACAGTGTCTTGCTGTATCACAAAGCCAGATCCAGTGCTGGGATCACAGCTTGTTGCAGCCTCCAACTCCTGGGCTCATGGAATCCTCTTGCCTCAGCTTCCCTAGCAGCTGGAACTACAGGTACATGCCACCTCACCCAACTAATTAAAAAAAATATTTGTAGAGACAGGGTCTCTCTCTGTTGCCCAGGCTGGTCTTGAACTCCTGACCTCAAGCAACCCTTCTGCCCCAGACTCACAAAGCACTGAGGTTACAGGTGTGAGCCACCACACCTGGCCCATATTTCCTTTTAAGTTGATTTCCAAAAGTTCTTATATATTATGGATTCAAGTCCTTTTGAGATTCATGTACTGAGAATATTTTTCCTGAGTCTATGACTTGCATTTTTATTTTCTTGGTGTTTTTAATGAGCAAAGCATTTAATTTTGGTGAAGATAATTTTCTGTTTATTATTCTATGTTTGGTATCTTCTCACTCTCAATGAAATTTTTTTCTATAAGATTAAGAAGATATTTTTCTATGTCATCTCAAAAGGACATGCACATTTAGATTTTATGTGTATGTCTTTGATCTATCCCAGATATTTGTTTATGGTATAACAGGCTTGTAAATGTAATTTGTTTTCCCCATGTGGATATACAGTAGTTCAAGCAGAATTTGTTGAAAATGATTTTCTATTACCTATCAGAATATCTTGGAGCATTTGACAAAAGTCAATTTTCTATTTATGTGAAGTTTGTTTCTGAACTCTGTTTTGTCCTATTGATCTACATGTCTATAAGCCAATTACAGTAGCCATGTAATAAGTTTTTTTTATTTTTAGTAAACAACTTTAATTAATAAAATAGGCAACTTTTAGAAAATTTTACAGGTGATTCTAAGAAAAATTTCTATATTGAAATAAAAAGTTGTCTATTAGAAAATATATCGACAAGAAACTGATTAAAATATATAAATATGCATATTCTGTTCATATATTTTTAATGCTCAGATAACTAATAGAAAGTTCTTCTCTACTTATTTTACCCAGATATAGTATTTTAAAAATAATTTTATTTTATTTATTACTTTTTATTGAATCATTTTATATTGAGAAATGGCCAAACTGTCATCCAGGGTGCATGTACCACTTTTATTCCCATGGGCAATGTATGAGTAGTCTATCTTCTCAACATCCTTTCCAGCATTTAGTGTTTTCACTATTTTTAGCCAGGTAAGTGTGTGATGATATCTCACTGTGGTTTAAATTTGCCTTTCCCCATTAGTTAATGGTGTTGAATATCTTTTCATGTGCTTATTTTCATCTAAATGTCGTTTTCAATGAAATGTCTGCACATATCATTCACTCATTTTCTAATTGGATTCTCTGGTTTTCTTATTGAGTTTTTAGAGTTCTTTATATTATGATACTAGTCCTTTGTCAAATATATAGTTTGCAAATTTTTCTTTCTGTCTGTAGCTTGGCTTTTCATCTCCTTCACTGGTCTTTTTAAGAGAACAAATTTTTGTATCTTGATGAGGTCAAATTTATCATTTCTTTTATGCACATCCCATTTGGTGTCAAGTTTAAGAGCTTTATTTGACCTTGGATCTTAAATGTATTTTCTATTTATTTTCTAAAATGTTTAGAGATTTACATTTAAGTTTATGGTAAATTTCGGGTTGACATCTGAGATTTAGATCAAGATTTTTGGTCCATGGATTTCCAGTTGCTCTGTTTGTTAAAATGGCTCTCCATTAGATTGCTTTGGTCACTTTAAAAACTCAGCTGGGACTATTTGAGTGGGGCTCTCTGCTAGGTCCCACTAACAGCTGGAGAAGGGGAAGTGAAGGGAAGTTAATTATTCATTAGCTGCACCTCACACTGTCTCATTAAGTCCTTTCTGCTAAGTGAGGATAGAGGCTCAGCTTTACCAACATGGAAGAATCAGAACACTGTTTGCTTCTGCTGTGCTGGGGACAGATCAGCTTCCTGCATGCTCTGTCAACACCACCCAAGTGGGGGAAATGAGAGTGCCACTTCCTGTTTTCATGGAGTGGGGTTTGTGGCAGTAGAATATCCGTGTCCCACTTTCCCGGGTGAAGCCATAGAATGGGAGCGATTTATTCATTTGTGTTGGGGTAGAATAGAATACGTATTGCCCGAATGTTTTCTGTTGTGTTAGGCCACCCTTTGTCTGGTGCATTGATTAGGAAGAATAGGCTTTTCTTAGAGTTTTTTTTTTTTAATCTGTGCCTGTTAGTGGTGGTTTTGGAGTCTCCTGTGGTATACATGGGAGGCCTTATCTGGTATATATGGGAAGAAATACGAAAACCCAGGGAACTCACTGCCATGTTGATATAGTTTGGATGTATGTCCCTGCCCAAATCTCATTTTGAAATATAATCTCCACTGTTGGAGGTAGGGCCTGGTAGGTTGTGATTAGATAACGGGGGCAGATTTCTCGTGAATGATTTAGCACCATCCTTCTTGGTACTGTCCTCCCAATAGTGAGTTCTTGTGAGATCTGGTGGTTTAAATGTATATAGCACCTTCCGCCTCACTCTCTTGTTCCTACTCTGATCATTTGATGTGCCTGCACCACATTTGCCTTCCACTCTGTTTGTAAGTTTCTTGAGGCCTCCCCAGAAGCCGAGCAGATGCCAGCAGCATGCTTCCTGTACATCCTGCAGAACCATAAGCCAGTTAAACATCTTTTTATAAATTACCCAGTCTCAGGTACTTCTTTATAGCAATGTAGGAACAGACTAATACACATGTCATTGATCAAGTCCTGAAGTTCCTAGGCAGTCTGCTTTTTTCTTTCTACTGGTGAAAGTCTTATTCTTCTTGTTTGTGTTGTTTGTCAGGGCTTTTTAGTTGTAAGAGGGAGAATATGGAAAGAATTGGGCTATTCCATCTTGATCAGAACCAAAGTCCTACAAATAATGTTTAAAATATTGGAAAACATTTGTGTTATCAACAGGTATTATAGTAGTACATTTTTAGAGTTCCTTATATAATTAATAGCTTGATGTATAATTGTATGTCTCTTTACAGAAAAACAGACATTTGAAAGGAGTACTTTGCCATCGTTTTTATTTGTTAATGTTCAGAAATTAATAAATAATACTTCATAATTTAACACTTCTATCTTGAATATATTTCACATATGGTAAGTTCTACCTTTTATTAAAAAACTCCAAGTATTGACTCTATAAGTACATTTATTGCACTTGTGCTACTTCCATTACAAATGTATGATTCCTCTTTTACATGCAGATATCTCTGGCAATCTTTAATTTATATTAACTGAATGTTTCACAGTCTAATAAAAAAATCGCATAACTAAAAGTCATAGATTCCATTCAAACATATTTTTATATTTTAAATTATCTCCTTTTTTTTTAACTTGAAATACTTTGGGAAACCTTATGCATACAAATGGGAGTATTAGATCAAATTATTCCATTTAGCATTTTAAATATGTAGATGCATTTATGCATTTTAAATTTTATATTTATATTAATATTCTGAAGTTTTCTAATCTTTTAAATGAACTTTCACTGTGATATTTTTCTTCTTGTGAGATTGAAGATACATACATCTGTTATATAATTGTTTTTTCACTAGCTGTTTTTCTATTTGTAGTACATTGCAACAAAAATTGGCAATTTTTAAAATAATCTTTAACATTTACAATATCAATGATACATTTGCAATGATGCTATTATGTAAACAACAATACCTAGATTAGTAAACTATAAATGGTTACAAACCCTCCATAGACCTCTTAGGGTTTAAGTAGTCTCCCAGGTCACATTCTGGAACTCAGACTGGCATTTCTTATTTCCTAAATTGCAATTTACAGAAGTTTAAATGTATTTATCTTTTCTATGGAACTAACTTCCTTCTTCCATTAGGCTATTGAACATTGGCTCTTTTCAGTGTCAGATTTTACTGCTAATTACTAATGGAAAATAGGAATAATAAAGAGCAACAGACATGGGACAAGTTTTCAGGATCTTACATACTCCCCTTTCCCAAAAGCAAGAAATTGTTTCCTGTCTTCTCCAATCTATTATTATGAGCAACATTTATTTCTCTTCTTCCTCTCCTGAACTCTGCACAGCTTGAATTTCACTTTCCTCTAACACAATCAAAAGTTATTGCTGAAATCTACTGGTGTGGCCTTTTGCTTGGTCCCAACTAGAATTACAGAAGTGCTTTTAGGAAGCTCAATATACTTGTTACTTATTAAGCAATTCAGTGGAGGGAGGGAAGCCGTTTTTAACAAATGGAGCAATTAGAAATCCATAGGCAAAAAAAAAAAAAAAAAAAAAAAAAGAAATGAACTTCAATCTAAACTTCAGAACTTAACTGAAAATTGATCATAGACTTACATGTAAAACTATAAAACTTTTAGGAAAAAAGAAAAACTTTTAGAAAATCTTTGAGAGCTAAGTTGTCAGGTAGCATAAGATGCATTTCTGAGGTAAAAGAGATACACTATTTTTGACTTATGTGGTGATTATTTCAATGTTCAGTGTTGTAGTGTTAGTTTACATGTACATATTAAGTTATGTATTTATATTATAGTTTATATTATAGTATAAAGTTATTATCAAAGTGCAAGAACAGCCATTGGTTTTAAGAATGGAGCATTTGCTCTTGAAGGCATCATATCCAGGCAGGCATTTAACATGGAAGTGAATGAGACATCCTTGGCCAGCTACTCTGACACTGCTCAACTATCTATGGCAGGTGCATATAAAACACCACATGGTGACCTCAAAACTAAGAGGAGTGTCAGCCTTTGAGGAAAGTCGTGCTTCCTAGGCATTCCCAGGTATTAAGGGGTTTATTATTATCTTGTAGCTAAACTGTACCCCAGGCTATTGAAGCCTACGGATATACTTAATATAGTAACATTAGGCAAATAAATGCAAGTCTTGCTGTTTTACATTCCATATTCATCCAATCCATCTCTCTGTCCATAATTGTTGGAAATATTGTTTTTAGAAAGCACCTAATATATTATTTTTAACTTTAATAACATGTATTATATTATATATTGGAAGTAACATGTTCAGTGAAGACAATTAGGAAACTAGAGAAAAGAACATAGAAACTTTAATGACAAGGTAGTCCAAAAATCCAGATTATTATTCAGGCAATATGTAATGTATATATATCATAAATATATATATGATTATTATAAAAAGCATCTGTATATAACACTTTGACTCCTTGATATTGATATTGCAAACACTATTTCTTGTTTATGATTTGCCTTTAATTTGCGTAGTGTTTTTAATGTAATTTTTAAATTAAATATTTTTATATAACCACTTGTATCAGAGCTTTTAATTATTATCATTAATTATATAATGAAATCATTGTGTTATGTGATTATTAATTATTATTTAATAGTAAATTTATCTTTATTTTTAATGGACACATAATAATTTTACATATTTATGAGGTATGTGTGGTATTTTGACACATGCAACAGTGTGTAATGATCAAATGCCCAAACGTGTAATGATCAAATGCCAAGATGGCAATTGGCATATCCATTACTTCAAACATTTATCATGTCTTTGTGTTGAGAAAATTCAAAATCTCTCATTTAGTTGTTTTAAAATATAAAACAAATTTTTGTTAATCCTAGTGTTATAGGGCACTATATTTATTGCTCCTAACTGTAATATTGTACCCATTAACCAAACTTTCTCTATCCCCTCATATTCTCTACCCTTTCCAGTCATTGGTACTACTATTCTACTCCTCTACTTCTATGGGATCAACTTTTTTAGCTGCCAGTATGAGGGAGAACATAAAGTATTTGTTTTTCTGTACTTGACTTATTTCAGTGAACATAGTGTCCCTCTAAGCTCATAAATGTTGGGCTAGACTAGAATGTTGTACACCAAAAACACAGAATATGTGATGGGCCAATATTAGGAATGAATCTATTGGAATTGTCCAACAGGTGAATAGTGGTATGGACAATAAATATAGGGAAAACTGGATAAAACTGGTTATTATTAGAGGTTATTTAATGATATGAGAAAAGCTCAAAAAGAAACATTCTAAAGGGTTTTTATGTGACATATAAGGTAATTCTCATGCAAATCCATTTATTATATCACTAATTTGCACTTCTTCCCATTGTCCTCAGAATAAAGTATGAACAACTTGGAATGTTTCTGAAGTTCATAGATGATGCAGCCATTGCTTACTCCTTTTAATCTTTAACATTTTCTTATCCAAGTACAGGGTATACTTCCATTCAGACTGAACTATTTTCATATTCCTGAAAGTAAAATTATTTGATCTTCAAGGATTTCTGTACATGTATTCCCTCTGTCTACATAAATCACTTCATTCTGTCCAAACCTTGGCCCTCAATACACCTGATCTTGTGTGTTCACAATTTTAGCCTCAGAAAATATGATTTAATGACTTATCAAGTTTGAGTTAAAGACCCATTGTCTATATTCTCATAGTATATGTATTTTATTCATCTAAATACTCACCAAAATTCATTGTCTCTTATCTGGTTACTCTCCATTATAACTACATGCTGTATGATCAGGGGCCATAATATTTTCATCATTTTTTTTGGCAAAATCATGAACAGTGCAAGACAGCAGTTTTAAAATAGTTTTTACACATTTTTGAATAAATGAGCTTCTTAAAGCTGTTCTTCAAACCACTGATTAATTTTCTACAATATTGATTTTGCAAATTAGGCTTTAGAATATATTTAAAAGTTGTTAGAGCATCTTTATTTTATTACATTCTTCCTTTATATTATGATGCCCATTAAGGTATTGTTGGCCTCTCAGCAAAGCTCCCTTTTAATCTTAATACTTCTGATTTTTTTGGATCTGTGTCTCTGCCCAAATCGCATGTCAAATTGTTATCCCCAAAGTTAGTGGTGGCGCATGGTGGGAGGTGATTGGATTTTGGAGGTGGATTTCCCCTTTGGTACTGTCATCACGATAGTGAATGAGTTCTTGTGAGACCTGGTTGTTTAAAAGTGTGTAGCATCTCCTCCCTCTTGCTCATCCTCCTGCTTGGCTATGTGAAGTGCTGGCTCCCTGTTCACCTTCTGCCGTAGTTGTAAGTTTCCTGCGGCCTCCCCAGAAGCAGAGGCTGCTATGCTTCCTGTTTGTACAGCCTGTAGAAACATGAGCCAATTAAATCTCTTTTCTTTATAAATTACCCAGTCTCAGGTATTTCTTTAGATCAGTGTGAGAATGGACTAATACAACTTCCTACTTGTATCATATTCTATGTCATAATTCATAGTGCCAATATATCTTTGAATTTTTTTCAGAATAAAAGGCAAGATTTGTGGCCCTCAATAGAAAGAAGCAATCTGAATTTTTAAAAACTATATGGAAAAATCACTATAATTGACGCCAAATAAACAAATGGCAAACCCCCCAAAATTTTTTTATTTATCAGTTTGTCAAAAATAAAATTATTTTTATTTGTAGGAAAACATACACTTATTAATTGAGATTTATTTGGTAACAAGAGCCATAAAAACATCAATGCATATATACTTTGAACTATAATTCCAACATAAATTTGGACACAAAATCTAAAACCTTAATCCAAAACATATTACAGAAAGCCATATATGATTTTATATTACTGAAATGACGTATTAGTTCAGTAATACCCAATATGAAATAGTTATTGAGACCTTTGAAATATAGTCATGTTTATTATATTATCTGAGCCTCCCACACACCTTGTCATCTCTACCTCCATGTTTATTAGGGCTCTTTTCCTTGCTGTTGCTTTAAAGTCTTCATCATCTCTCTTTTGAAGAAATATGTAAAGCGCCCCCTCTCATCTTCCTGTCTCAGTTATCTTTCTAAAATATAGATATAATCCTGCTTTTACATATTATTCACCATTGTCTAACACATAAAGACCAAATTCTTTTGCGTGAAATTCAAGGCCCTACAGTTTGAATTTCATTTTCTACCAGCAAGTCTATTGAGGTGCACAGCTTTCCGAAGAAGGACATCTTTCTTCTTTTGTCTCAATGACTTTGCATGCTTTTCCTTTGCTTAGAGTTTCTTTGTATCATCTGTAACTTGTAGGGTTCTACTTATCTGTTATTACTGTGTTAAAAAGTGATCACTCTCTCTCTCCTCCTACAGTTTTGCACACATTGTGCCACAGTATCATATCACCACCATAGCAGCATCCCCACACTGGTCGGACTTCCATGAGCACAGGGATATAGTATTGACACAGATCAAATGTTTATTGAATAAAGAAACTATTTGGTAGAAAAATATGTATTATAGCCATTTTATTATTTTGACATTTCACAGCTTATTAACATATAAATGAAGTACATTAAACTATACATATTTAAAGTATATAATTTGCTAAGTTTTGACATATGTGTAAACCCTTTAAACTCTCATCATAATCAAGAAATGAACATTTTTACCCCCAATTTTTCCACATGCCCCTCTCTAAATCCTCCCCCTCCCCATTCAGTCTTCTCAACATGTTCAGACTATTGTGCCTTTCTTAAAACAAGTTATTGTACAAAAAATTTCAGGGCTGAGCCTTGTAGTTCTCACTTATAATTCCAAAACTCTGAAAGGCTGAGGTGGGAAGATTGCTTTAGCTGAGAAGTTTGAGACCAAACTGGGCAACATGGTAAAACCTATCTCTACCAAAAAAAAAAAAAAAAAAAAAAAAATTAGCCAGGCATGGTGGCACACTACCTGTAGTGCCAACTACTAGGAAGGCTGAGGTGGGAGGATCTCTTTAGCTCAGGAGGTTAAGGCTATAGTGTCACTGCACTCCAGCCTGCATGACACAGTGAGACTCTGTCTCAAAAAATATATATTTAAAAAGTTATGGCCAGGCACGGTGGCTCACGCCTGTAATTCCAGCACTTTGGGAGGCCGAGGCAGGCAGATCACGAGGTCAGGAGATAGAGACCATCCTGGCTAACACGGTGAAACCCCGTCTCTACTAAAAACACAAAAAATTTAGCCGGGCGTGGTGGCGGGTGCTTGCAGTCCCAGCTACTCCGGAGGCTGAGGCAGGAGAATGGCGTGAACCCGGGAGGTGGAGCTTGCAGTGAGCCAAGATTGTGCCACTGCAATCCAGCCTAGGCAACAGAGCAAGACTCCATCTCAAAAAAAATAAACAAAGAAAAGTTATGTGTTATTGCAAACAATAGCATGTAAAATTTAAACATGTAAATTTAGTGCGTAGCTGCTATGGTCTGAATGTTTGTGCCCCCTCAAAATTCTTATGTTGAAATTCAAATCCCCAAGGTGATGGAATTAGCAGGGGAGGCCCTTGAAAGGTTATTAAGTCATGAGGACAGAGCCCTCATGAATAGAATTAGTGGCCTTGTAAAAGTGGCACAAGAATGCTACCTTGTCCCTTCAACTGTGTGAGAACATAGCCAAAATATGGCCGTCTATGAACCAAAAAAAGGCCCTCATCAGACACTGAATCTGCTACCACCTTGATCTTGGACTTCCCAACCTCCAGAAATGTGAAAAATAAATTTCTGCTCTTTATAAGCCACCTAGTGTGTTACGTTATAGCAGCCTGAATGTACTAAGACAGAAGATTTGTGCTGAGAGTGGAGGTACTACTGTAACAAATACCTAAAAAAATGAAAATGGCTTTGGGACTGAGTAATGGTCAGAAGTCTTAGAGTTTTGAGTTGCATGCTAGAAAAAGCTTATATTGCTGTGAATAGACTGCTAAAGGCAATACCGGTAAGGATTCAGAGAGAGGAGAGCTGTAGAGAGATCCCCAATTTTCTTAGGGAATATTGAAGTGGTCATGAACAGAATGTTAGTAGAAATATGATTAATAAGGGTCATTCTCAAGCAGTCTCAGAGGAAAATAAGAAACATGTTATTGAAAACAAGGAAAGAGGTGATCTTTATGATAAAGTGGTAAATAACTTGGCTGAATTGTCCTAGTGTTTTGTGGAAGGTAGTTGTGAGCAATGAAATTGGATATTTAGCTGAATCTATTTCTAAGCCAAGTGTTGAAAGCGTGTCTTGGTTCCTTTTGACTGCTTATAGTAAATTAGAGAACAGAGAAATGATTTAAAGGCAGAATTGTTAATAAAAAGAAAAACAGAACTTAAAAATTTGGATAATTCTCAGCCATCCATATTACAATAAATGAAAAAAAATCTGTTTGGGAGAGCATATAAATCTCTTTATCAAACTTGTGGCCAAATTTGATAAAGAGATTAACATGTATTGGCCACATCAACAGAAGCTGGGAGCTGTTAAGACAATGGAGAGATTAGTCAGCCATCTAAACAAAATCCAGGACCCATTGTTCATGACAATGAAAGAATACTGGGAGGCATTTTGGAGGTCATCAGGGTTGCCCTCCCATTACAAGTCCAGAATGTAAGGACCTGGGGGTCAGAATGATTTCAAAGAAGGGGACACTGTTGCCTGCAGGTCCTTGGCGCATGCTGGCTGGCACTGTGTAAATGCTTCACTTCTCATACTACTGTGTTGCATGCTCCTGGGCTGTGTTGGGTGTGTGGCTCTGGTGCTGTCTCACTATGCCCAGTAAAACTGTGGGGATGTGGCTGCCTCCACCTAGGTTTCAAAGGATGCCCCAGGGAGCCGTGTGGCAAAAAACTGCCATGGGAGCAGGGTCACTGCAAAGAGTCCCCATAAGGGCAATCTCCAGTAGATTCACAGGGGTGAGCTGCCCCTTCTCCACCAGATGAGTAGAGACACCAGTATTATATTCCAACTCACACAGGACAGCCACAGGCATATTGAGAGGTGACAACGTGCTAGCAGCCCTAGCTGGCTCTCGGCGCCTCCTCTGGCTGCACTAGAGGAGCCCTTCAGCCCGCTGCTGCGCTGTGGGGGGCCCTCTCTGGGGCTGGCTAAGGCTGGAGCCAGCTCCCTCTGCTCGCGGAGAGGTGTGGAGGGACAGGCGTGCGTGGGAGCCGGGGCTGTGCACAGCGCTCACGGGCAGGCGTGGGTTCCGGGTGGGTGCGGGCTCCGCGGCCCTGCACTCAGTGCAGCTGGCCTGTGCCTGCTGGGCTTGATCGGAGGCTGGGTCCCATGCGTGGACCGCCGTTCCCTCTTTGCAGGGTCGTTGCCCACAATGGCGGGTCTCCATCTCTTTCGCGCTTCCCCCCTTTTCCTCTTGGTTGTCTGGGACAAGCTCCCTCTGGGCTGCCGGAGTGCCTGGGCTAGGTGCCACAAAGTCCCAGGGCCAGTGCCAGTGAGAGGTGAAGCCGCTGGACTTCTGGGACAGGTGGGGACTTGGAGAACTTTTCGGTCTAGCTAAAGGATTGTAAATGCACCAGTCAGCACTCTGTGTCTAGCTAAAGGTTTGTAAATGCACCAATCAGCACTCTGTCAAAACGGACCAATCAGCTCTCTGTAAAATGGACCAATCAGCTCTCTGTAAAATGGACCAATCAGCAGGATGTGGGTAGGGCCAGATAAGGGAATAAAAGCAGGCCACCAGAGCCAGCAGCGCAACCTGGTAGGATTTCCTTCCATGCTGTGGAAGCTTTGCTTTTTTGCTCTTTGAGATGAATCTTGTTGCTGCTTTGTCTTTGGATTTGCACAGCAGCTCAGTGCGAAGGCCTGGAGCTTCATTCCTGAAGCCAGCGAGACCACGAACCCACTGGGAGGAATGAACAACTCTGTACATGCTACCTTTATGAACTGTAACATTCACCATGAAGGTCTGTGGCTTCATTCTTAAAGTCAGCGAGACCATGAAACCACCAGCAGGAAGAAACTTCGGACATGTCCGAACATCAGAAGGAACAAATTCCGGAGACATCATCTTTAAGAACTGTAATACTCACCATGAGGGTCCCCAGTGTCATTCTTGAAGTCAGTGAGACCAAGAACCCACCAATTCTGGACACAATATGACGCCATTTCATGAGAGCTGAGGGTTGGGCTGTGCCCAGCACAGCTAAGGGAGCATGAATCCTGTCCCAGTATATCTGGAAGGTGAAACTTATACCCCAGTGGGTTTGGAGGGCAGAACATTGAGACAAAAACAATTATTCTTGAACTTTAAGGCTTTGATTTGTCATTCCTTTCTTTTTTTCTACTTCTCTTTGTGATGGGAATGTTTATCCTGTTCCTGTCCTTCCATTGTATTTTAGAAGCACGTATCATGTTTTATTTCATGAGTTTACAGCTGGAAAGTAATTTTTCTCAGGATGAATCACACTTTGAACCTCACTCATATCTGATTTGGATGATATTTAGCATCCTGTGCAACATAGTGAGATCTCATCTCTGAAAAAAAAAAAGTAGGTGGTGCTTGCCTGTGGTCCCACCTACTTGGGAGGCTGAGATGGGAGGACTGGTTGAGTCAAGGATGTCAAGGCTGCTACTCCAGCCTGGGTGACAGAGTGATACTCTGTCCAGACGAAAAAATAAAAGAAAAAAGAACACACAAAAGCTATGAGGGTGGAGCCGTTATGATTGTAATTAGTATCTTTAAAAAAAAGAGTCCCTAGAGAGATTCCTTGTCCCTCCCACTGTGTGAGGACATAGTGAGAAGGCACTGCCTATGAGGAAGTGAGTTTTCAATAGTTACTTAATCACCCAATGCCTTGATCTTGAACTTTCCAGCCCCCAAAACCATGAGAAATGAATTTCTATTTTTTAAAAAAGCCATGCAGATTATGCTGTTTTGTTATAGCAGCCTAAACAGATACTATCTTATGAGATATGAATATTAAATTTAGTCAATAATTTTACCTTCAGAATGCAGGGTTTTTTTTAGGAAAACATTATTTTTTGTATAACAAATTACCTCAAAACTGAAGTCTGAAATAGCAATTATTTTATTTGTTCACGAGTTTCGCGGTTGTCTAGACAGAACTCAGCTGGGATGGCTTAAGTCTTCTCTATGTTGTGTCAGCTGGGCTACTCCTGCATCCACAATTTTAGCTAAAGAATTCAGGATGGTCTCTCTCACTTTCTTGCTTTTCAATGGGACTGGCTCAAATAGTAGACTCTCTTTCCTGTTTTATCATTCTCTAGGACCCCTTTTTTAGACTGTCTTTTAACTTATACATCTGTTTCTCCAGTCTCTAGCAGTCTCTAGTAGTATGAAAACAGAGATTTCCATGAGTCTTAAGGCCTAAGCTCCAGAACTGGTATAACTTTAGTTCAACTACATGTATTTTTCAAAGCAAGTCACAAGATTCAAGAACAGGTTTAAAGGAAGACAAAATTGACTCAATTTCTTGATGGAAGGAAAATAGCCAAAGGGGCTTTGAGTAAAGAACACAACCAGAAACATCCAAAAATGTTTAGGGAAACAGGAACATAGTATCTGAGGTCCTGCAACAGAAGTATATTGGGAACCCATAATAGAAATATTACTTATATCTTCTTTATTTTTTATTAGACGAAGGATGGTCTTCTATTTTTCTGTTTTTTTTTTTTTTTAACTTCTAGGTTCGGGGTACATGTGCAGGTTTGTTATAGAAGGAAATTGCATGTTACAGGCATTTGCTGTACAGATTATTTTGTCACATGGGTAATAAGCACAGTACCCCATAGAGAGTTTTTTGATCCTCACCCTCCTCTCATCCTCCACCTTCAAGTAGGCCTTGGTGTCTGTTCTCTTCCTTGTGTCCATGTGTACTCAGTGTTTAGCTCTAACTTATAAGTGAGAACATGTGGTATTTGATTTTCTGTTCCTGTATTATTTCACTTAGGATAATGGCTTCCACCTCCATTCATGTTGCTGAAAAGGATATGATGTTGTTCTTTTTCATGGTTGCATAGTATTCCATGGTGAATATGTACCACATTTTCTCTATCCAGTTTACCTTTGTTGCACATTTAGGTTGATTCCATGTCTTTGCTATTGTGAATAGTGCCATGATGAACACATACACGCATGTGTATGGTAGGATGGCTTATATTCCTTTGGGTATATACCTAATAATGGAAATGCTGTGTCAAATGGCACTTCTGTTTTAAGTTCTCTGAGAAGACACCTCACTGTTTTCCACAATGGCGGAACTAATTTATATTCCCACCATCAGTGTATAAGTGTTGCCCTTTTTCTGCCACCTCTCAAGCATCTGTTATTTGTTGACATTTTATTAATAGCTATTGTGACTGGTGTGTGATGGTATCTTATTGTGATTTTGATTTGCATTTCTCTAATGATCAATGATGCTGAGCTTTTTTTTATATGCTTGTTGGCTACATGTATGTCTTCCTTTGAAAAGTATCTGATCATGTTCTTTGCTCAGTATTTAATCAGGTTGTTCCTGTTTGCTTGTTTATTTAAGTTTCTTATAGATTCTGAATATTGGACTTTTGTTGGATACATAGTTTGCAAATACTTTCCCCCATTCTGTAGAGTGTCTGTTTACACTGTTGATAGTTTCTTTTGGTGTGCAGAAGCTCTTTAGTTTAATTGGCCCTACTTGTCAATTTCTGTTTTGTTGCAGTTGCTTTTGGTGTCTCCATCCTAAAATCTCTACCAGGGCCTGTGTCCAGAATGGTACTTCCTAGGTTATCTTTCAGGGTTTTTATACTTTTAGGTTTTACATTTAAGTCTTTAATCCACCTTGAGTTGATTTTTGTATATGATGTAAGAGAAGGTTCCAGTTTCAGTCTTCTTCATATGTCTAGCCAGTTATTACAGCACCATTTATTGAATAGGGGGTCCTTTCACCATTGCCTGCTTTTTTCAGCTTTGGCAAAGATCTGATTGTTGTGGGTGTGAGGCATTATTTCTGGGCTCTCTATTCTGTTACATTGGTCTATGTGTCCATTTTTGTGTCAGTACTGTGTTGTTTGGGTTATCGTAGCCTTGTAGTATAGTTTGAAGTCAGGTAATGTAAAACCTCCAGCTTTGTTCTTTTTGCTTAGGATTGCTTTGGCTATTCAGGTTCCTTTTTTGGTTCCATAGTAATTTTAAAATAGTTTTTTCTAATTCTATGAAGAATGCCATTGGTAGTTTGGTAGAAATAGCATTGAATCTGTAAATTGCTTTGGGCAGTATGGCCATTTTAACAATAGTGCTTCTTCTATTTATAAGCATGGAATGTTTTTCAATTTATTTAATGTTATTTCTGATTTCTTTGAGCAGTGTTTTTTACTTCTCATTATAGGGATCTTTTGCTTCCCTGCTTAGCTGTATTGCTAGGTATTTTATTCTTTTTCTGTGGTTATTGTGAATGGGATTGCATTCTTGATTTGACTGTCAGCTTGGGTATTGTTGACGTATAAAAATGCTACTGATTTTTGTACATTGATTTTGTATTCTGAAACATTGTTGAAGTTGTTTATTAGATCAAGGTGCTTTTGTGTAGAGACTACAGGGTTTTATAGGTATAGAATCATATCATCTGCAAAAAGAAATAGTTTGAGCCTCTCTTCTCATTTGTGTGTGTGTTTTTTCTTTTTCTTCTCTGATTACTCTGGCCAGAACTTTTAATGCTATGTTGAATACGAGTGATGAGAGAGGGCATCTTGATCTTGTTGAGGTTTTCAAGAGGAGTGCTTCCAGCTTTTGCTCGTTCACTATGAGGTTGGCTATGGGTTTGTCATAGATGGCTCTTATTATTTTGAAGTGTGTTCCTTCAGTGACTAATTTGTTGAGGGTTTTTAACATGAAAGGATGTTGAATTTTCTCAAAAGCCTTTTCTGCATCTATTGAGATGACCAGGTGGTTTTTGTTTTTAGTTCTGTTTATGTGGTGGTCACATTTATTGATTTGTGTGTGTTGAACCAACCTTGCATCCCAGGGATAAAGTCTGTTTGTTCGTGGTGGATTAGCTTTTTCATGTGCTGCTGGATTCAGTTTGCTAGTATTTTGTTGAGGATTTTTGCATCTGTGTTCATCAAAGATATTACCCTGAAGTTTTCTTTCTTTATCGTATCTCTGCCAGGTTTTGGTATCAGGATGATGCTGGCCTCATAGAATGAGTAAAGGAGGATTCCCTCTTCCTCAATTTTTGGAGTAGATTCAGTAGGAATAGTAGTAGCTCTTCTTTATATAACTGGTAGAATTCAGCTGTGAATCCATCTGGTCCTGGGCTTTTTCTGGTTGGTAGGCTTTATGTTACTGATAATGGAGGGTGTTTTAAATATTTAAAACTGATATCATTAATTATTTTTAGTTTGTTTTATCTGCTGAACTAACACTTGTTACTTATTTTTTTAAAATTAAACTTTTTTCTGAAGACCTTGTGTCAAAGATACTAGCAAGGACATAGTACCAAATCCTTCCCATCCTTATGGCAATCCTTCTCTGCAGTGCTATATAATGAAAATATGCTAGCAAAGGCAAAGTTCTATAGAAGAGCTAAGACCTATGGAACTGAGATAATTTATTCAAAGTAAATACCTGAAATGTGAACCTGAAGAATACGTCTTTGACCAAACTTAAGTAAAAACTTTTAAAATTTCAAACTATTTGGATAAGTTTTTCATACTGAAGCTTTATTATTGTACTTGTTTTTTGTTTGGTTGGTTTTTACTTGCGAGCAGAATTCTAAGACAGTAAAAGAAGTAAAGCCTCTCAAGCTAAGTATGATGTTCATAAATATCCTCAAAATTGCAAAGAACCCTAAACTGACCCACCTACTTGTTTAGGTTGAAATAGTGCATACAAAGGAGATTGATATACTTCATTTATTCTTAGGGTGAGTTATTGAACCAGAATCAAATTTAAAACCCTTGGAGATATGCCCATCCATACAAAAGGCAGAAATACTGGCATTTAGAAGATAAAAATTTGCAAGATGGCACAATGCCTAGAGTAAAATAGAAAATCTGGGCTCATCCCCAACTCCATTGCTGACTTTCTGCATAACCTTGAAGCTTATCATTTAACTCTTTCAAAACCTTTTCCTCGACCACATAATGTGATCCATAAGAAACCTACTTATTTTATTTATATGTATCTGAATATATGTAAAATACCTTTGTGAGGATACACAAGAATCTGGCTACATTCTCTGCTTCTGGGGACAGCTCCCTTGTCGATAAAAAACAAAGATGTGCGGAAGCCATAATTTTCACTGTGTACTCATTTACTTCTTTTGCATTTTGTTCCCTATATGTGAGTTATTGAGAGAGAAAAAGAGAGAAAGAGTGGAAGAATGGAGAGAAGAGGGAGAGAGGAAGAGAGAAAGAAAAGAAGGAAGAAAGGAACAAAGGATATTTTAGATTTATTTACATTCACAGCTAAGCACAAGGCTTTGGAGAACTGACATTTATTTTGTTCAAAAATTTTGAAAAAAATTAGATGCTCATATTATTATGGGTTTTTCTTAATATAACTTGGTGTTATTTTCTTCATCTTATATCTTAAATACTGCCTTGTTTATTTCAGTGTATTTTTTTTCACCTCTTATCATTCACTCTTACGCCAAGAAACTGGGTAAGCAGGTGGACAGTAGCCTCTGAAATAATCACCATGAAATGAAAAAAAAAAGTTGCATTATGTATTTTCTATTAATATAGAAGCATCTGTTATTTGTTAATACAATATATAGGGATTCCTTGGAATTTCACAAGCTTGAGCAGAAAGTTAGACATGCATGACTTCTTAATCTCTCAACTTCTTGATCATGTTATTCTACCTTTGAGTATAAGCTAACTCAGGTCAACTATTTTAAGGGTAGAAAGGAAGGATAGAAGGACATAAGGGACATTTAAAAACAACACTTGACTAAATATAGTAAATTAAAATAAGGTGAATCAACAAACTATATGTTGCAAGTGTTTTATGTTTAGATGCTGGGGGGAAAATTGTGGTACTTCTAGCAATTAAATAATAGGAGATATTTTATTAAGGTTACTCATTCAGCCTGCAGCCTCTAAATTTACCTGGGTATGAGAGATGTGTGATTACTTGGAAGGAAAGATTGCAAGAAAAGAAGTCTTTGGGGGCAAGAATGTTAATGTGTACAAGCCACTACACTTCAAAGATGGGTACCAAATTTGAAATGTTGCTGCACTGAGGTTCACATGAGGCTGAGAGATACAAGCTTAGTCATCCTCAGGCTTTTGAAGAGGAAGCAACAGGGGGCAAATCAAGAAACACATCAAAGTGCCCTCCCTGAATTGCCAAAGAAAGGTGAAACTGCAAGTGGCTCTGTTAGTAGTGCTCTGTGTGCTGAGGCCACAACCAATGGATTGCTTGGAACACAAAGGGCTCTTCTCATTAACTTTCTGTTTCTCCTATGAAACCTCCCAGTGGGCAGTAGAGTTCTGTCAGTGAGTTTACACCCTTCTTCCTTAAGTGAGAACTACTGACTGTGCAATGACTGCAATTTTATATGTTGCCACCTTACTAGGAGGAAACATATTATCAATATTTTTTAAATAAACTTCCTTAAGATATTTTCGAGTTGCTTTAGGCAATCCTTGCATCCCATGCTCTCAGAAAAACTTCAACTCCCTCCCCCAAATATAATACATGATCATTGTAAATGGATCATGCATTATTGTTATTTCCATGTTCTTTGTGCAATGCACTTTTAAAAGTACATTTATATATGGTATCCAGCGTTGTGGCCATTTTAGAAAATTGGGGTATTCAGCATTCGTAAAACTACATGTGGGATGGCCAGTGGACCTTTCCTGAAAACCTGCTATGTTCTTCATACTGTACTACACATCAGTGAGTAAATATAAACATAGTTTCTGCCCTCAACAACTGTATTGTAGTCATTCCATACTGACAATAGTTAGTTGCATGTATTTTCTGTCACAAAGTTTCGAGCATCAGCTCCCTAATCTCTGTATCTCTAGTTTATTTCTTCATGCATCTACCCCATCAACTCCTCACATCAGATTTCTTAAACATTTGTGATCATGTTTAGTGCAAAGGGAAAATCAGTAAGTCCCCATTGGCTCTTTTAAAAATGCAAATGTTTTACTCTTTTCTAGAAAATGAATGGGATCATGGCTTTTAACTCTAGGCTTTCCCCCCGTATGCTTTAAAAGCAAGATAATATTTTGTTCCCTCCTTACTCAACTCCCTGGTTAGTGCTATGTCTCCTTCTGGAATGACCTTCCTTATGTTTGTCCACGTGACACAGCCCTTAACCATCTATCCAGGCCCGATTTCATATTCCTTTTTATAGCTTTCCAAATATTTTCTCATCTGCCACCTGAGAGTATTTACTCCATCATTTGTATTCCTGTTTTACTTTTAAAAATAAAGCCAGGTTGATATTCTGTAGATATTTATTTTCCTGCCAGTTTTAGCCATTGCCTACTGAGCACTTTGTGGTCGCAATGGTAATGGCTTACTCCTGTTTATAAAACAGGGTTAGTTAAATATATTTGTGTTTTACTGACTATGTTTCCAAAAATCTGGATCATTATCAATTATCTTCAAAACCTGTATGTTTTACCAATATCAGCAATGATTATATATAGCAAAATAGAAAAATATTTTAAAAAGGTATTGTACAAAAAGTGAGCACAATGGTTGAAATAAAGTTTGTTTCTGAGGTGTTTCAATCATTTCTTCTCCATCTCAAAGAATAAATAGGCAAAAATATCAATAAAGTAATTCTTAATTTCTAAGTTGAACAAAAAACCAGGCTGGCTTGAAGGACTGGACATCAAGGGGTTCCTAGACCCATTGCTGCTGGCAGCATCACAGGAAAAAAAAATTATAGTGATTTGGATTGATCTGTTTATCTGTTTTGCTTTACTCTCTTTATATTCTGCCTCGACATAGCATAAATCTTTTGCTTCTCTCTGAGTATCATTTCTTTAGAAATAATAATCTTACTTTCTCAAATTTATTAATTAATGTGACATAACACTGTTTTTCTCTTTTGTCCCTATAATTTGGACCAGGAACGTATATTCTGCACTTCCCAGCTCGCTTTGGCCCTTGTTCTGCTCACTTAGATTTCCTCAAGGTATTCCCTGAGTTTTACGTCAGTCGAAGGCTAACTCTATAGGCCATAATGTAGAATCCATAGTAGAACATCTATTAGAATGGGAACAGAGGGCTGGGCATGGTGGCTCATGCCTGTAATCCTAGCACTTTCAGAGGCTGAGGCGTGCAGATCACTTGAGGTCAGGAGTTCGAAATCAGCCTGGCCAACATGGTGAAACCCCGTCTCTACTAAAAATACAAAAAAATTTAGCCAGGCATGGTGCCGTGCACCTGTAATCCCAGCTACTTGGGAGGCTGAGGCAGGAGAATCTCTTGAACCCAGGAGGTGGAGGTTGCGGTGAGCCTTTTCTTCTCAAAAGAAAAAAAAAAGAGAATGGGAACAGAGAAGATTGTGTGTCCTAAGGCATGGAATCTCTCTATTATGAATCCTTTATCACAATCCCAGAAGAATATACATACGGTTCCTTTAAATAATTTTTTAGAAATGTAATAATCTGTATAAATCATAACAGATTTTCAATGTCGATGAAACAGCTTTCTATTAAAAGAAGTTGCCATCTAAGATTTTCATAGCTAGAGAGAACTAAATTGTCAATTACCTATGCTGATAGAGATGTGTTCACAACTTTTTAAATACAATAGACTTTGATACTCATATATAAATTATATAGCATTCTTAAGTATGTATAAAACATAGTATACACATGCATAAGTTGGTTTTCTTACTCCAGGTTGATAGTTTATAAATGTTTGTTAAACTGATATAAAATATATATATTATTTTGACTTTAAAAAGAATGTTTTAATGTTATCTACATTAAATTCAATAATATTATCATAATTGGTTTGCAGTTGAATACACTACATTCTTCACTGTAAACAACTTATGCTGCTAATTATTTAAATTTAATCTTCAGTGATATAAAAAATTTAATAGAAAAATGTCATTTCTCTAGAATTTTAAGTATTGCCTAAACATATGGGGAACATCAACATTTACTGACGCTATGTCACATGAAGCTTTTAGTGAACTGCATTGATTAAAAGTATTAGGAAGTATCTGAATATGTTTTTGTGAGAGAAAGAGAAAGGATCTGTATCATGGTTAATTCTCAGTACTCCCCTTTCCTATATTCCTATTAGACATTCTGCATTTTTTCCATGTATATCATACCAATCTATATTAATGTCAATAAACTTATAAGGTGTTTTCCAGTCAATGATGTTGATTTTTGAGGGAAGTGTTAGAAAAATGCCAACAGATACTATTTTAAAAATATATTCTTTATAGATTTGGTCACTCATTTGCCATAGTATTTTGATGGTAACCATGACTACACTGTGTGAGTTGGACTGTCCAATATCTGTTAATCTCAGCTCACTCTATTCCTGTTTACGTCAAGGAGATGCACAAAGCCATTTTGCTGTAACAGTGAAAATGACAAAATACTATAGGCACAGAGATAGAATAAAGGGCACTCTTCACATCTCTGTATCTTAGGGATTATTTGAAGGGTAATAAAAGCTTGTGGCTTTCAGAAATGATAAAATATTAGCATAAGAAAAAAGCAATAAGACAGTAAGTCAGTACCTAAATAAAATGAGTAAGTGGATACATTCAAGGTACACACACACAGAAAATAAAAAGAAAAGCAGCCCATGAGACAACAAATCTAAACTAATATTATTTTCAGCAGATGAGAATGGAAAATGAACGATTCTAGAGTGTATCAACACATTGTAAAGGAATCAACTGATTTTTTTAAAGCATAAAAATGCAAAAATAACAAAAATTATTTTAAGAAATCAGTACAATACAAGCTCTATTTCATAGAAAAAGCTCAAGGAATAAGACAATTTTTTTTTTTTTTTTTTTTTTTTGAGAGGAGTCTCACTCTGTGGCCCAGGCTGAAGTGCAGTGGCGCGATCTTGGCTCACTGCAAGCCCCGCCTCCTGGGTTCACGCCATTCTCCTGCCTCAGCCTCCCTAGTAGCTGAGACTACAGGCGCCCGCCACCACGTCCAGCTAATTTTTTTTGTATTTTTTTGGTACAGATTGGGTTTCACCGTGTTAGCCAAGATGGTCTCGATCTCCTGACCTCGTGGTCCACCTGCCTCGGCCTCCCAAAGTGCTGGGATTACAGGCGTGAGCCACCGCACCCGGCTGGAATAGGACAATTTTTACACAGTTATTTGCACATCTTATTGTTCAATTTAAAAATTAAAAGAGAACTAAAAGCATCAGATTAAATAACCATTCATATATAGGCGTACCTTGTTTTATTGAGCTTCACAGGTGTTACATGTTTTATTGCAAATGGAAGCTCTGTGGCAAACCCTTGTGGAGCGAATCTATTGGCACTGTTTTCCCAACAGTATGTGCTTACTTTGAGTCTCTGTCACATTCTGGTAATTCTCACACTTTTTCATTATTATTAGATCTGTTATGGAGATCTGTGGTCAGCAATCTTTGGTGTTACTGTTGTAATTGTTTTGGGTCACCACAAACTGCACTCATATAAGATGGCCAACTTAACAAAATAAATGTTTTGTGTGTTCTGACTGCTCCACTTACCAGCCTTTCCCCATCTCTCTCCCTCTTCTCATGCCTCCCTATTCCCTGAGATACAGCAATATTGAAATTAGGTCAATTAATAACCCTACAGTGGCCTCTAAGTGTTCAAATGAAGGGAGGAATCACACATCCTCACTTTAAATCAAAATCTAGAAATTACTAAGCTTAGTGAGGAAGGCATGTCAAAAGTCGAGATAAACTGAGAGCTTGACCTTTTGTATCAAACATTTAGTCAAATTGTGAATGCAAAGAAAACGTTCTTGAAGGAAATTAGAAGTGCTAATCCAGTGAACACATAAATGATAAGAAAGCAAAACAACCTTATTGTTGATATGGAGAAAGTCTGAGTAATGTAGCTAGAAGATCAAACCAGGCACAACATTCCCTTAAGCCAAAGGCTAATCCAGAGTAAGATCCTTTCTTCAATTCTATAAAGGTTAAGAGAGGTGAGGAAGCTTCAGAAGAAAAGTGTGAAACTAGCACAGATTGGTTCATGAGTTTTAAGAAAATAAGCCGTCTCCATAACATAAAAGTTCAAGATGAAGCAGCAAGATGATTCAGAAGCTACAGCAAGTTATCCAAAAGATCTAGCTAAGATCATTGATGAAGGTGGCTACACTAAACAGCACATTTTCAGTGTGGACAAAACAGCCCTCTATTAAAAGAAGATGCCATCTAATACTTTCATAGTCAGAAAGAAGTCAATGCCTGACTTCAAAGCTTCAAGGAACAAACTGACTTTCTTGTTAGGAGCTAATGCAACTGGTGACTATAAGTTGAAGCCATTGCTCATGGACCATTCTTAATATCTTAGGACCCTTAAGAATTATGCTAATTTTACTCTGCCTGTGCTCTTAAATGGAAGAACAAAGACTGGATGACGGTATATCTGTTTACAGCATGCTTTACTGAATATATTTTAAACTCACCATTGAGACCTCCTTCTCAGAAAAAAAAATCTTTAAAAATATTTCTGCTTCTTGACAACGCACCTGGTCACCCAAGAGCTCTGACATAGATGTACAAAGAAATGAATGCTGTTTTTATGCCTGCTAACACAACATCCATTCTGCAGGTCATGGATCAAGGAGTAATTTTGATTTTCAAGTCTTATTATTTTAAAAGTATGTTTCGTAAGGCTATAGCTGCCATAGATAGTAAAGCCCTGATGAATCTGAGCATAGTAAATTGGAAACCTTCTGGAAAGGATTCATAATTTAGATGCCATTAAGAACATTCATGATTCATGGGAGGAGGTTAAAATATCAATATCAGTATCAACAGGTTGGGTGGAAGAAGTTAATTCCAATCCTCATGAATGTGTTTAAAGCATTCAAGACTTTAGTGGAGAAGTAACTGCAAAAGTAGTAGGAATAGCAAGAGAAGTAGAATTAGAAGTAGAGCCTGAAGATAGAATGAATTGTTGCAATCTCATGATAAAACTTGAATGGATGAAGGGTTGCTTCTTATGAATGAGCAAAGAAAGTGGTTTTTGAGGTGGAATCTACTCCTGGTGAAGATGCTATGTTGAAATGACAGTAAAAAATTGAGAAAACTACATAAACTTAGTTGATAAAACAGCAGCAGAATTCGAGAGCCTTAACTCCAATTTTGAAAGAAGTTCTACTGTATGTAAAGTGCTATCAAGCAGCATCTCATGCTACAGAGAAATTTTGTGAAAGAGAGTCAATTACTGCAATAAACTGCATTTTTGTTTTATTTTAAGAAATGGCCATAGCCACTGTAATCTTCAGCAACCACCACCCTGACCAGTGAGCAGCCACCAACTTCAAGGTAAAATCCTTCACCAGCAAAAAGATTATGATTGGCTAAAGGCTCAGATGATCTTTAGCTTTTTTTCAGTAGTAAAGTATTTTTAATTAATGTATGTACACTGCTTTTTTAGACATAATGCTATTGCACACTTAATAGACTACAGTATAGTGTAAACATAACTTTTATATGCATCGGGAGACCAAAACGTTAGTGTGTTCACTTTATTCATTGTATTGCAGTGTTCTTGAACTGAATTTGGAATATCTTCAAAGTATGCCTCTAATAGGTTGAACCAACATGCATCCTGAATGTGCTCAACCTGCTTATATATCCATGGAAACATTCTTTAAAATTATTAAACAATGTAGTGTCCTGCAAACATTATTCACTAATCTGGTTTAAATTCTGTGTCTTTTACTGGTTCTAGTGACTGTAGGCACCAGATTTTAGCTATTTTTGCTTCAGTTTCTGGATGGTTGTAGCTCTTCATATGGTCACGTATCTCTGATTTAAAAAGTAATGTATGACGTTCAGGATGGCACAATTACTTACATTTTACTCATATTACCTTCTTCAAACATTTATAGAAGATAAAGAGACAAATTTGGAAAAGAAAAACAGAAAAAAGAAAGAAAGAAATAGATCTTAGCAAATAAAATTACAGAATGCCAAGTTATATTTAAATGTCATATAAGTAGAAAATAATATTTTAGTGTAAATGTTACTGACCACAGGTTCTTAGGCTCCTATGCAATAGAAATTAAGGCCAAGTAAGTTTCCCAGACTAAGCTTTATTAGGGGCTTGTGCTTGAACTCAAGGGAGACAGCACTGGAACAAGAGTTCCCTGGCTGGCTCTCTGAGAAGGGCTGCTTAGGACCTTTTATTTGGGGAGGGAGAGGGGTCGAGGTTAAAGGAAAAGTAGGTAAGCATAAGTAGGGAGGGGTTTCATTCATGCAAGTGCAATGTAGAAGCATACATCTTTATATATCTCATGATAAAAAAATGGCAGATAAGCCCCTCCCTGGACAGACACTTTAGTACTATAATGAGGTAAGGGGTAAAAATTGGTCATTAATCTGGTCTTCTGCAGGTGATAGGGTTAACTCCCTTGAGTAAGATTTAAGGTGGGGACACTGTGGGTATGGCACCTTGATTAAACTTATGGTGGGATGCTGCTTATCTTAGTTTCTTCAAGTCCCCTAGTCAGTGGGTAAGAAACAATATGTTAGTGGCAGTTGAAGGGCTGAGGTCTGTCCCTACTCTGTCTCATAAGTATGTTTTAAATATTACATGGGACAATCCTACCATAACCCTAAGTAGACTAGAAATGGAGCAATAATGAAAAACAGTTTAATGGGCAGAAGCTATGGGTTTGCTGAACACTGTTGTCTGAAAATATGTGGTATTGTGGGGCTCAGAAACCAATATCTCCAAATCCTGTGTTTTGACATACTAAACTGAAGTAGAAGCCTCAAGGTTTCTCTAACCTTCCCCCACCCTTCACCATTTCTCCCAAAGAGGCTGAAGTTTCCTTATCTGGCTATGATCAGACCCACCAAGAACAATAGTTTTCCTTCCCTCCCTGTAAGACCAAAAGGGTAACTATACTTGAACAGGCCTTTCTTCTCAAGATAAAGACTGCTTCCAAGGATCATTTAAGTTTCAAAGAGAATTATTTACAAGCTAGTCTCTGTTCACTGATCCATTCATTCTTATGTAGTAAGTATGTATTGTCCCTAAATAGAATTCCTCTCTACCCCCTCTCATAATCTGTTTTACCAGGATCCAAGTCCCCATTCTTTCTGTAACCTTTAGATTGTATACAAGTTTCTGTAACTCATTGGGAAGGAGAGTATTCTGAAGGCTCCTATGTATACATCTTAAATAAATGTGTATGCCTTTTCTCTTATTAAACCACCTGCCTCATGTCAATGGCTTTCAGGGACCACTGAGGGGGCCAAGAACCTATGGCTTCCAGAGTAGCAAGAATTTTAGTGCCCATGAGACAAAGTGAACAAAACTGTCAATAAAAGCAAAGTCAAACTTATTTGACATGAAGAGGGGAAACAGAATTCAAAAGTAATAAAACGAAAAGATTCCTGTCAAAATTAGTCTTCAATTCTAAAACTAGTGAGAAATATAATGTTGAAATAAAATGCCACAGTGTAAACTCTTGGTTTATAATTCTATAGAAATAAAATTAATATAGTTTAACAGTGCAAAATATTATCAACTGTTTTGGAGTAAGTATGTTTCTTAAATACACATATAAATTCCATTAAAAGGGATTTATTAAGAAAAAGGTAAATGAAACAAAGATAGATAAAATATATATTTAAAAGATCCCATTTTTCAAGCTTTATTGAGATATTATTGACAAATAAAAATTGAACATATTCGTTATAGCTCAAGCAGATTCTTCTTGCCCATTGCACAGAGAAAGCCAATACACTGAGACAAAAGGTATTGCAGTAGAGAAAGAATCTAATTATCACAGGGCAGCTGAGGGAGGAGATGGAAAATATTTCTTAAATCTATCTTCCCAAGAATATGGAGGGTAAGGTTTTTAAGGGTAATTGGCAGGCAGGGGGCTAGGAAATGGGTACAAATAATTGGTTGGATGAGGGATGAAATCACAGGGGTGTCAAAACTGTCTTTGTTCATGAAGTCAGTTCCTGGGAGGGCATCAAAGATCCAATTGAGTTAGTTCCTTGGTATGGTTCACCAGTCTGGATGGAGTCAGTTGGTCCACCAGGATGCAAAGTCTCCAAAATATCTCACAAAATAGACTTAGGTTTCACAATAGTGATGTTATCTATATGATCAATTGGGAAGTTACATATCTTGTGACGACTATGTGACTTCTGAGCAGTAAACAGTTAAAAAATAAAAGGGCAAGCAAAGAAACAATGACTGGTTATTATATAACTCTCCTTATCTCTTAGCAAAATTCAGAACCCTCCACAGTTTTAACTGGGGCCTTTCATTAATTTTATAAAGGCAGTTTCATATTCAAGGGGGACAGTGTAATGATTTGATATATGTATACCTTGTGAAATGACTACTACAATTAAATTAATCAATACATTCATTACCATACATAGTTACTCTGTGTGTGTGGGGGGGCGGTGTTGAGGACACTTAAGATCTATTCTCTTAGCAAATTTCAAGTAAATTACACAGCATTATTAACTAAGTCACCATGCTGTCATTAGATTTCCAGAATTAATTCATCTATACCTGAAAGTTTGTACCCTTTGACCAACATTTTCTAATTTCCCCATTGTCCCAGCTCCTGGCAACCACCATTTTACTCTGTGCTTCTATCAGTTCAACTTTTAAAAATTACATGTTTGAGTTTATGCAGTATTTGTATTTCTGTGTCTTGTTTATTTTACTGAACATAATATCTTTCAGATTCATTCTTGTTGTTACAAATGTCAGAATTTCCTTCAAAAAAGAAACCATTATTAATGTACTAAAAGCCATTGAATTACTTGTTTTAATTAGTAAATTTTGTGATATGTAAATTATACCTAACTAAAGCTGTTAATTAAAAAGCCCATGATATGTTTGGCTGTGTCCCCACCCTAATCTCATAATGCACTGTAGCTCCCATAATTCCCATGTGTCATTGGAGGGATGTGGTAGGAGTTAATTGAATCATGGGGTCTTGTTTTTTCCATACAGTTCTCATCATAGAAAATAAGTCTCATGAGATCTGATGGTTACATAAAGGGCAGTTTCCCTGCACACAATTTCTTGCCTGCTGTCATGTAAGACATACTTTTGTTCCTCCTTTTCCTTCTGCCATGATTGTGAGGCCTCCCCAGCCGTGTGGAACTGTGAGTCAGTTAAACTTTCTTTTCTTTATACATTACTCAGTCTTAGGCACTTCTTCATAGCAGTGTGAAAATGGACTAATATAGTAAATTGGTACTGGTAGAATGGGGTACTGCTATTGAGATACCTGAAAATGTGGAAGCAACTTTGGAACTGGGTAACAGGCAGAGGTTAAAACACTTTGGAGGGCTCAGAAGAAAACATGAAGATGTGGGAAAGTTTGGAGCTTTCTAGAGACTTGTTGAATGGTTTTTACTAAAATGCTGATAGTGATATGGACAATGAAGTCCAGGCTGAGGTGGTCTCAGATGGAGATGAGGAACTTATTGGGAAATAAAGCAAACTTGAGTCTTGCTATGTTTTAGCAAAGAGACTGGTGGCATTTTGCCACTGCCCTAAAGATTTGTGGAACTTTGAACTTGAGAGAGATGTTTTAGAGTATCTGATGGAGGAAATTTCTAGGCAACAGTGTATTTAGGAGGTGACTTGGGTGCTCTTATAAGCACTGTTTTATTTATTCACAAAGATATGGTTTGGAATTGGAACTTACGTTTAAAAGGGAAGCAGAGCAAAAAAGTTTGGAAAATGTGCAGCCTGATGATGCAATAGAAAAGAAAAACACATTTTCTAAGGAGAAATTCAAGCCAGCTGCAGAAATTTGCATAAGTAATGAGGGGCCAAATGTTAATCACCAAGACAATGGTGAGAATCTTTCCAGGGCATGTCAGAGGACTTCATGGCACCCCTCCCTTCACAGGCCCAGAGGCCTAGGAGGAAAAAATGTTTTCGTGAGCTGGGTCCAGGGCCTTGCTGCTTTGTGCAGTCTTGGGACTTGGTTCCCTGCATCCCAGCTGTGGCTAAAAGGGGCCAATGTACAGCTCAGGCCATTGATTCAGAGAGTGAAAGCCTCAAGCTTTGGTGACTTACACATGGTGTTGGGCCTGCAGGTGCACAGAAGTCAAGAATTGAGTTTTGGGAACTTCTACCTAGATTTCAGACAATGTATGGAAATACCTGGATGTCCAGGCAGAAGTGTGCTGCAGGGGCCAGCCCTCATGAAGACCTCTGCTAGGACAGTACAGAAGGTAAATGTGGGGTGGGAGCCCCCACACAGAGTCCCCACTGTGGCACTGCCTAGTGGGACTGTGAGAAGAAGACCACCATCCTCTAGACCCCAGAATGGTAGATCCACCAACAGCTTGCACCATGCACCTGGAAAAGCCACAGATACTCAATGCCAGCCTGTAAAACAGCCAGAAGGGGAGTTGTACCCTGCAAAGCCACAGCAATAGGGCTTTCAAAGACCATGGGAACCCACCTCTTGCATCAACACGACTTGGATGTGAGACATGAAGTAATGGAGATCATTTTGGAGCTTTAAGATTTGACTACCCCATTGGTTTTTGGACTTGCATGGGGACTGCCCTATGTTTTGGCCAATATCTCCTATTTAGAATGCGTACATTTACCCAGTGGCCTGTACACTCATTGTGTCTAGGAAGTAACTAACTTGCTTTGATTATACAAGCTCATAGTGAGAAAGGGACTTGCCTTGTCCCAGATGAGACTTGGGACTGCGGACTTTTGAGTTAATGCTGAAATGAGTTAAGATTTGGGAGATTCTTGGTAAGGCATGATTAGTTTTGCAATGTGAGGTCATGAAATTTGGGAGGAGTTAGGGGTGGAATGGTAGGCTTTGACTGTGTCCTCACCCAAATCTCATCTGGAATTTTAGTTCCTATAATCCCCATGTGTCATGGGAGTGACGCAGTGTGAGGTAATTGAATCATAGGGGCAGGATTTTCCCATGCTGTTCTTGTGACAGTGAATAAGTCTCATGATGGTTTTATAAAGGGCAGTTTCCCTGCACACACTCTCTTGCCTACCATCATATGAGATATGCCTTTCCTCCTCCTTTGCCTTCTGCCATGATTATGAGGCCACCCTAGCCAGGTGGAACTGTGAGTCCATTTAGCCTCTTTTTCTTTAGAAATTACCCAGTCTCAGGTATTTCTTTATGGCAGTATGACAATGGACTAATACAGCCCACTAAGGCTCTTTTTAAATATGTTAAAAATTATATATACAAAAACAAATTGAGTATTTGTATACTGTGTGTATATGTATACATATAGACGAATTGTGTGTGTAGCGTAGAGAGAGAGAAAAAAAAGAGAGAGAGAAAAGGAGAGAGAGCAGGAGACAAGGAGAGAGACAGAGAAAGTACACATTAAAGTACTAAAACAATTCCCCCAGTATGTCTGATAGACAAAGAGATTTAAAATATCAAAGAAAACTTGTGAACCACCTAAAAGGCACTTAGCTTATCAACTGACTTTTCCAAGTCAGTTGATATTGGGAAAAGATAATATTGGGAAAATAAGACAATGAAATAGTATTTTCAACATTCTGAGAGAAATAACTCTCAACCTCAGATTCTAAACACGTACTTATCTGTCTAAAAGAAAGGTCTGGCAGGGAATGCTCTGATCTCACCAAAACATTGTTCCTTCTCCTTCTGGTACATACTTAGATTATTTCTCCCACACTTGCTTGAAATTAGGTGGAATCATGTTTTAATTCTGGGCAATAGAATGTAGATAGGGCTTGTGTGTACCCTATCCACATTCTTTCCTTTTTCTCTCTTTCTTTCTGTCTCTCTTCCTGGAAAAATATGTAACTGAATAACCCTTCTCTTTTCTTCTTACCCTATGCTGTCGCAAAGTGAAGAATTTAGATTTCTTAATGGGTGTCAGAGACACAGGATAAGAGGGGATACCCAAATCACTGAATGGAGGCAGCCTGCTGAATTCCCCCTTTTATTCAATATGAATGAGAAATAAACTTCCATGGTATCAGATATTGAGATTCGGTGTTTTGCTTATCATGGCATTAGGAAGAATGAAAACATTTTAGGTAAAACAAAATCTGCATTTATATCCAAAAGTTGCACATTAGGAAAACTCTAGAGCAGGAATCCCCAGTCCCCAGGCTGCAGACTGGTACTGGTCGGTGGCCTCTTTAGGACCTGCCACATAGCAGGAGGTAAGCAGGGACCAGCAAGCATTACCATCTGAGCTCCACCTCCTGTCAGATCAGTGATGGCATTAGATTCTCATAGGAGCGTGAACCCTATTTTGAACTGTGCATAAGAGGGACTTAGGTTGTGTATTCTCATTAGGAGAATCTAACTAATGCCTTAATGCCGTATGACCTGAGGTGGAATAGTTTCATCCCAAAACAACCCCCTGCCCACCCCACTCCTCCACCTGTGGAAAATTTATCTTCTACGAAACCGGTTCCTGGTGCTAAAAAGGTTGGGGACTGCTGCTATAGAGGATGTACTTCATTAGAATTAAAAAAAAAAAAAAAAGGCAGACAAGAGCAAGGACATCCTATCAATATTTGGATAAATCTCCACAAAAAGTGCTTGTACATTAAAACAATACATGATACAAAAGTATAAAGGCTTCAATTATTTAGTGGATGAAATATGTGGAAAAATAGAAATTTGATTAAAATAATTTGGAAACTTTTGTATTATTCAAAAGTAGGGTAAAGATAATTCATTGTTATATACACATATTAAAATATCTTGACTTCTAAAAAACTAGCCATGGTGTCAAAAACTTCTGTACAAATAGAAGGAAAAGTAGAAGGGAAAGAAAGAGTTAAAGGGAAGGAAAGAAAGAAAAAGAAAGCATTCAAATAAAAAATAAAAAAAGACACAAAAAGAAATTAAAATCATAATAATGTAGGAAAACATATCCACATGCAATTCTAAACACAGACTGTGAGAATTAATTTTAAAAATTCATCTATATGTTATACATGGAATGCATATAAAGCCAAGGTTACAGAAATAATAAAAGCTAAAGTGTGTGAACATGTGTATGTTGGGATAATGCTAAACAATATTTTATGAGAGATATATTGATACTATGGCAAAAAAGCCAAAATAAAAATGAAGCAGTTCACTTAATAATGAAACAAAATTTTAGTTCTCAAAAACGATTCAGTACACCATGATGACCTAAACAAAGCTTAATTTTTATGGAACATGACACCCCCAAATTAGGGAACATAACATAATATTCCAACAAACTTGTAATATTAAAACAAAATAATTTTATACAACACCAACAAGCTTATTTTATCAAATTTAAAAAGGTTGGAATTTTTGAAATAACACTATCAAGCAACAATGCAATTAATTTAAAACAATATATTTAGAGATGTAAAAACATAGATTTAACATCTCGTGCTTCAAATAAGAAGTCATATTTGAAATTAAAAAATATATACAAGAGAAAAAGTTGTGGGTTGCCACTAAGCACAAATATAAGAAAATAATTTTATACAAAGAAAGACTAAAATTAATTAGTGAACAATGTATTTAACAAGTTATAAGAGAATAACAAAATTGAGCAAAATAAAATATAAGTGAAAATATAAAATAAGAACAATTTTTAATAACATTATGTAATTCAATTATACAAATTAGAGGTAATCAACAGTGAAAAACGGATTGTAAAGAGATTAATAAAACAGACAATTACTTACAAAATTTATCAAGAAAATGAATGAAGACATTAATAATGTCAGGAATACATTTTATATAGCCACAGATGCTGTAGAGATTAAAATAAGTGGATATTAGGAGTGAAGGTTATTGTCTACATTAAGCAAGCAGGTTTAAAATATGAAAAATAAAGTAATTGAATCAGAAGGTAAAAATCTTACTTCAGTAAAACACTGGTACCTGATGAGTCTATGAGCATTTCATCAAATATTCAAGGAATATTTCAAAATTTGCAGTTTCAAAATTATCTACACTATTCCAGAGAACATAAAAAGAGGGGCTACTCTTCATCATTCTCATTTATATTAGTTGGAGAAACCTTTATTTTCAAGCCAAAGAGTCACAAACAAGGTAGGAAAATTACAGGGCATTCTCATTTGTGATTGTAGGTACAAAAGATAAAGAAATCCTAAAGAAAATATTATAAAATGTATTATAACAATATTTATTTTAGCAATACAAATTTGATTTAATATTAGGCAATTTTTTAATGCCTCTTACTCTGCTCTGTAAAGGATGGGAGAGACGGTGAAAACTGAATTTCCCAGACTCCTCTGTCAATTGGCTTCTCAGTAGGAGACTCTGGCAAAAAACATAAACAAAAACAAAAACAAACAAAAAACAGGTAGGAGAGGAGAAAGAGCCTCTGTTCCTTAGTAATCTCTCTTTCTCTCTCTCCCCTGACCTCCTACCTCTCCATCTCCCTGCTTCATGGGCATCTCAAATTCCTGAGTCTTCTTGGGAACTCTACCTTTAGCCTTAGCAACCTCTCCTCAGTCCTCACAGCTCTAGTCTGATTGTTCCCTCTTCAATGGCTACAGCACCTGGAGCAATTACAATGGCACCTCCAGCAGAGCAATAGCATGTAGGCTCTTGGACTCCTACAGCACCCTCCCCACTACCACAATATTCCCATCATTATTATTCTCTGGTTGCTTTTTTTCCTCTTTTATGGAAATATAGTAGTTTGTACATATTTTTGGGTTACATGTGATATTTTGATACATCTATACAACATATAATGATCAAATTAAGGCAACTGAGATATCCATCATTTCAAACATTTAACCTTTCTTTGTGTTAGAAACATTGTAATTCTTCTGTTCTAGTTATTTTGAAATAGACAATAAATTATTTTTAACTATAATTTTCCTACTGTGCTGTTGAATACTAGAACTTAGTATTTGTGGCAATTCACTATTAACAGTTTAAAAGAGGAAAATAACATACTGTGCTCACTAGATGTAGAAAAATATTTAATACAATTCAAAATCAACCATGATTTTTAAAATTTCAAAACAATTTTATAGTAAACTTTGTACTGAAGTGAAAAATTTTAAATTGGTGTAATGCATCTACAGAAAATATACTCATCATACAGGTGATAAAATATAAAAATTATTTCTTTTAACAGGTCAAAGATGTCAGCTACCTCTTCTGATTCAGCATTCTACTACAGGTGTTATTTGTTCAGAAATACTGAAAAAGCATACATTGCCAATTATTGACAGATGATATATTTGCGTGTGTGTGGCAAATTCAAAATAAATAATGAGCTTAGAAGAAAATTTAACAAAATTTCTGGTTATAAAACTGATATTAAAAAGTCAATTGGCCAGGCATGGTGGCCCACACCTGTAATCCCAGTACAGCACTTCAGGAGGCTGAGGTGGAAAGATTGCTTGAATTCAGGAGTTCAAGATCAGCCTGGATAATCTGGTTAGACACCATCTCTATTTTTAAATAAAATATTCTAAAAATTAAAATAAGATAATGTAGGGTATTTGTTGCCATGGGAAAATGTAGGTTGTATATTTTTATTCTATAAATATTATTTCTGTTGTTTGCTATTGCCACAAAGGAACTAGAAAAATAAGAGCAAATGAAATACAAAATAATCAGAAAAAATAAATTATAGAAGAACAGAACTAACATCAAATAACTATAAACAGAAGTATAACCATGGAGTTGATAAAAAATGTAAAGTTAGTTCTTTGAGAAAGACCTCTAGCCAGACTAACAAGGATTTTTAAAATCCCACAAATTACTAATATTAGGAATGATAAGAGACTCAATTGTTAAAAGGCCTGTTCTCCCAAATTGATATGTTTCTTCAACTTTGTTACAATCAAACCCATAAGGATTTTAAAAAGTAATTCTGTAACCTGATTTTAAAATTCTTGTGGAAATGCAAATGACCTTAAAAAAGGCAAAGCAACTTAAAATTTTTTTTTCAAAAGGAGGACCTACAGTGCCTGATATCAAGAGTATTTATAAAGCTGCAGTAACAAAGACAGTGTAGTATTGGTATCAAGATACTCAAATACATCAGTCAAAGATGATACAGAGTTCAGAAACAGACCCATACATTTGTAAAGGTGCAAAGGTAATTCAGTGGGAGAAAGAATCCTCTTTTGACAAATGATTAACAATTGGATATTAATATTATAAATACAAAAAGTGATCTATACCTTGTACAATATGCCAAAAAAGTTCTGAAGACATAAATGTAAAATATAAAACTCAAATATAGTAGAGGAAATAAAAGAACATCTGTGTGACATTGAGTTAGGCAAAAATTCTTAGATTTAATACCTAAGGCAAGACCAATATAAGAAAAATCAATAGAATAGTCTTCACGGAAATTAATAATTTCCCAGAAAAAGACACTGTTAAGGAATGGAAAGACACAGACTGAGAAAAGATATTTGCAAATCACATATTTGATAAAAGATTTATATTCAAAATATGTAAGGACTCTTAAAACTTATCAATCAAACATCCAAAAAAGCTCTTTCAGAATGGTGGAGTAAGGAGCTCTGCTCTCCATAAAAACAGTAAGAAGAATGCCATAAACTCTCAAAATCAACTTTTTCAGAATTCTAGGAATTAGAAAGGGCTTGTAACAATGCAAGCTGCATTTATTCAAGACAGACAGTTAAAAGAACAATGAGAGTTGTAGCATTTTAACTTTACCTAGTTCCATTTTTCTCTCCTCAGATACCTTAGCCTTGAAAATCAGCAGCCTTAGAGCCACTGCAGCTGTGAAAACGAGCAACCTAGAAGCCACTTGATGGGGCAAAATAAGTTTGGCACTCCCAAAGGGTACACCCGAGATAATTGTCACTCTTTGACCTCTCAGCTTTATGAAAAGGCACCATTTATGGCACCAGCTTTATGAAAAGGCACCATTCACAGGGCGTGCCTTTATTTGATCTGACTTAGGAGTCACATAGAGAAGAAAACCTAAACCCTAGGATGTTTGTTGATAATTCTCAATGGCTATTGTTTAACATGGCAAATGCCTAAAGCAGTAATTCTAGTTAAAACTAACAAGAGGCTGACCAAAAAACTTAAGACAAACACATAAACTGGGAATTGAAATGTTTATTGAAGCCTTTGAAAAACTTCTAAATATTCTAAGGAAACTAGGACACCACATGTATGTACAGGGCTGTTTGCATGTCTAGGAAGAGAGAGCTGAGAAGGCCTTCATCTCACCTGGCTAGCCTCAAGGTTTTGCACAGGAACGAGGTTTAAAACTGCCTACTAGAGCACTGAAGATGTTCCCTGACACATTTATTGGTTTAAGACATTTAAGGACATCTATGTGTAATCATTAATTGACATTAATCTAAAAAAGCCACCTTCAGTGACCATGCACAAGAAAGAATACAGACTTTAGAGAGAGACCTGAGAAAGGAACTTTAAAAAAAAAAAAGAGCAATAGAAACAACAACAAAGAACAATGAAACAAACCTGAGGTGGGGAAGATATTGGATTTTCCAATATGCCACATTATATTATTTAAAGTGTTCAGTTTCAACAACAACAAAATTATAAGACATGCAAACAAACTCAAGAAAGTATTGCCTATACATAGAAAAGAAAAACAGTTAATAGAAACTTCCTGAGAAATCCTAGATAAATAATTTAAGTAAATATTATAAATATGTGTGAAAAACTAAATATAATAATATTTTAAAAAGTAAAAGGAATTATAGAAATGATGTCTCACTAAATGGAGCATATCAATGAAGAGGTAAAAAATTGTTTTAAAGAATAGAGATTCTAAAGTTGAAAATTACAATAACTAAAAGAAAACTTTACTAAAGATGATCAAAAGTGGATTAAGGATGACAAAAGAGAGAATTGGCAAACCTGAAGAAAGATCAATTGAGATTACCAGTCTGAGAAACAAGAAGCAAAATAATAAAGAAAAATAAATACACCTTCAGAGATCTTTGGGGAACCATTAAGTATAACAACATACACATAATAGAAATACCAGAAGATAGCTAAGTGAAATTATAGTAAGAATGTCTGAAGGAAGAGTGGCCAAAACTTCCCAAATTTGATGAAAAATATTTATCTGTATGTCAAAAAATGAACTGAGGCAAGATGGTGGAATAGAAGCCTTCACCAATTTTCCCTCCCATAAGAACATCAATTGAATATCTACAAAGAACAGTACTTCCATAAGAATCAAAAATCAGGTGAACAATTACAGTACCTTGTTTTAACACCATACTGCTGAAAGAAGCACTGAAGAGGCTAAGAAAGACAGTTGAATCACTGATGCTGCCTCTCCTCCATCCTCCCACCAGCCACTGCATGGCATGGATAATCTGTGCACTTGGAGGAAGAGGGCAGCAGTGATTGTGAGACCCTGTGTAGAACTCAGTGCTGCCCTGTCATAGTGAGAAGCAAAACAGGGCTAAACTCAGCCAATGGCCATGAACAGAGGGAGCATTTAGACCAGCACTAGCCAGAGGGGACTAGTCCATCCCAGTAGTTATAACTTGAAGTTTGGCAAGCCTTGCCACCACAGGCTAAAGTGCTCTGGGGTCTTGAATAAATTTCAAAGCCATCTAGGCCACAAGGACTGCAATTCCAAGGCAAGTCCTAATGCTATGCTGGGCTCAAAGCCAGTGGATATGGGACACCAGCTAGGGAAGCTATGGAAGTGCTTGTGTCACCCCTCTCCAAAAGCCAGGTAGCTCGGCTCACAGCAACAAAAGTGACTCCTTCCATCTGCTTTCAGGAGACGAAAGGGAAAAGCAAAGAGGACTTTGGTGTCTTGAATGCCAGCTCAGCCACAGTAGGAGAGGCACTGGGAAGAGTCATGTGGTCTTTGTTCTGTGCCCTACCTCCAACATGGTATATTTAGATATACGCTGAGCAAGAAGGAAACTGCCTGTTTTGAAGGGAAGAACCCAGTCCTAGCGGGATTAATTACCTGCTGACTAAAGAGCCCTTTTTCCCTGAAGAACCAGCAGCAATAACCTATAGATAGTAAGCCATGGGCCTTGGGTGAGACTCTAATTCAGGCAGGCTTCAGGAATCAACTTGGCCACAGTGGGGTAGAGCACCAAGTGAGCTTTTGGGGTCCCCAGTTCCAAGCCTTGGCTCTTGGATGGCATTTAAGGACCTACCCCAGGCCAGAGCGGAGCCCACTGCCCTGAACGGTGAGTCCTAGGCCTGGCAGCATTCACCAAAGGCTGACTGAAGAACCCTCGGGCCTTAAGTGAACATTAGTGGTAACCTGGCAGTACCCTCCATGGGTCTGTGGTGGTAGTGGCCAGGGGGAAAGGCCCCTCTGCCTGTGAAAAGGAGAGGTGAGAGTGGGAAGAACTTTGCCTTGTGGTTTGAGCACCAGTTTAGTTGTAATAAAATAGAGCACCAGGTAGATTGTTAAGGTTTTTGACTCTAGCCCCTGACTTCCAGACAGCATCTCTGGACCCACCCAAAGCCAAGGGGAACTCTGCCCTGAAAGGAAGGACACAATCCTGGCTGGCCTCACCACCTGCTGATTGTAGAATCCTAGAGCCTAGAGCAAACATAAGCATTAGCCAGGTAGTGGTTCACATCGGGCCTTGGGCAAGACACAGTCCTGTGCTGGCTTCAGGTCTGACCCAGTGCAGTCCCAGTGATGGTGGCCACAGTGGTGCTTGTGTCCTTGCACCCCCTAGCTCTAGGTGGCTCAGTACAGACAGAGAGACTCCATTTGTTTCGGAGAAAGTAAGAAAATAAAACAAGAGTCTCTGCCTGGTAATCCAGATAAATCTTTTGGATCTTATTCAAGACCACCATAGTGGCTCCTATACAAGGCTGCAAAAATCACAGCACTACTGATCTTCGGGTGCCCCCTAATACAAATATAGCTAAGATCATAATATTCAAGTCCCTTTAAATATTTGGAAAGCCTTCCCAAGAAGGATGGGTACAAACAAGACCAGACTGCAAAGACAAATTAAATACCTAACTTTTCAATTCAGAGTCTTCAATTCAAACCAGAAACTGATGAACATCCACAAGCATCAAGACCATGCAGGAAAACATGACCTCACCAAACAAACTGAATAAGGCACCAGGAACCAATCTTGAAAAAACAGAGATATATGGACTTTCAGATAGAGAATTTAAGGTAGCTGTTTTGAGGAAATTCAAATTCAAGAAAAGACAGAGAAGGAATTCAGAATTTTATCAGATAAATTTAACAGAGATTGAAATGATTAAAATAAAGTAGAAATACTGGGCTTCAAAAAAAGTAATTTATATACTGAAGAATGCATCACAGTCTCTTAATAGCAGAAATAAGCAAAAAAAAAAAAAAATTAGTGAGCTTGAAGATAGGGAATTTGCAAATACTTGATCAGGGGAGAAAAAAGAAAACTATAATAAAAAAAGAATAAGCATACCTATAAAAAATAGCCTCAAAAGACCAAATCTAGGAGTTAGTCATCTTAAAAAGGAGGTAGAGAAAGAGATAGGGATAGATTATCTATTTAAAGGAATAATAAAAGAAAACTTCTGAAATTTAGGAAAATATATCAATATTTAAGTACAAAAAGATTATAGGACACCAAGCATATTTAACTCAAAGAAGACAGAGTATTAGGGTTCTCTAGAGGGACAAAATCAATAGGATATGTACATAGATACAGATATAGATATAGATATGGATATAGATATAGATATAGATATATAAATGAATATATATCTATATGCAACAAAGCCCAGTAACAGGCAAAGGGCAGTCTCTCAAAAGGAGAGTAGTTACCTGCAGAAGATGGCAGGACCTTGCTCCAAAATCCTAGAGGCCTCTGCTGTGATTCACCTATGGGGGCCTGCCAAAGGCTCCGAACAACATGCCTATCTGCCACTGCCACCTCAAGCACCATTGGATCTGCTGGGTCATACGGCCTATGTGGCATAGCAGCTTGCACAGCACCCTGGAACTGTTGCAGAGCCTTCTCCTGTTCTGGACCCACTCAAAACTGGCAGCCTTTTGGGTCACTGGATAAATGGGCCAGAGTAACACACCCAAATGTGGAATGTGGTGCCTCCAAAATCCAAAAGACTCACTAGGCGTTGTACCTCTTTCCTGGTTATAGGAGGGGCCAAATGCAGCAACTATCCTTAACCTTAGAAGGAATATCTCAACAGGCCCCACACTACTGAACCCCTAGACATTCTACGGAGTAAAGGGTCCCTGAATTTTACTCAGATTTATTTCCCGTCCCCTAGCACACAGATGTCTCACCAAATAAATCTGGTGTGTTTGATACTTCTTGCTCACTGGATCCAATCAGCATACTGTAATCAGTGTAATATCTTGTGGAAGTGAAAACCAATCAAGGTCTCTCCAAATCAGCTAATGACACAAAAGCGGAGAGTTGATATACCCCTGATGTAGGAGAGTAAAGGTGTATTGCTGGCCTTGCCAGCTGAAGGCAAGTTGCTTCTGCTGGGCCTTGTGGACAGGAATGGAGACAAAGGTATTTGCCAAGCCAATGGCTGCATACCAGGTACCAAGGATGTGTTAATTTGCTCAAGCAATGAAATCACATCTGGTACAGCACCTGCAATTGGAGCCAACACTTGGTTAAGCTTATGATAATCCACTGTCATTCTCCAAGATCCATCTGTCTTCTGCAAAGTCAAATGGGAGAGGTGAACGGTGATGTGCTGGGAATCATCACCCCTGCATCTTTCAAGTCCTTGATTGTGGCACTAATCTCTGCAATCCCTCCAGAGATACAATGTTGTTTTTGATTTACCATTTTTCTAGGTAGAGGCATCTCTAGTGGCTTCCATTTGGCCTTTCCAACCATAATAGCCCTCACCTTACCAGACAGGGAGCCAATGTGGGGGTTCTGCCAGCTGCTAAGTATGTCTATGCCAATTATGCATCTGGCACTGGGGAAATGATTATAGGATGAGTCCAGGGACCCACTAGACCCACTGTAAGTCGGATCTGAGCTAAACCTCCATTAATTTCCTGACCTCCATAAGCCCCTACTTTAACTGGAGGACCACAATGACGTTTTGGGTCCCCTGGAATCAGTGTCAGCTTGGAGCCAGTGTCCAGTAGCCCCTGAAATGTCTGATCATTTCCCATTTCCCAATGCAGAGTTACCCTTGTAAAAGGCGAGAGATCTCCTTGTGGAAGGACGGGAGAAAGATTAACAGCATAAATTTTTGGTAGTGTAATGGGGTCCTTCCTCAGGGGGACCCAGCCTCCCCTTCATTCAAGGAATTCTGAGTCTGTAAACTGAATCAAGTCTGGAAATTGACTGAGGGGCCCCAATTCTCTGTTTTTTATTTATTTATTTATTTATTTTTTATTTTTTGCTTTTGTTTTGTTTTGTTTTGTTTAGAGGTGGAGTCTCGCTCTGTCACCCAGCCTGGAGTGCAGTGGCGTGATCTCAGCTCACTGCAACCTCCGTCTCCCGGATTCAAGCAGTCCTCCTGTCTCAGCCTCCTGAGTAGCTGGGACTGCTGTTCACTACCACACCCAGTTAATTTTTGTATTTTCAGTAGAGACACGGTTTCGCCATGTTGGTCAGGCTGGTCTCAAACTCCTGACCTCAGGTGATCCACCCACCTTGGCCTCCTAAAGTACTGGGATTACAGGTGTGAGCCACTGCACACAGTCAATAATCTGTTTTTTTAATTCAAATTATTCTTTTGTCCATTTGATCTGGAAGTTTTCTGCTTATATAAATTAAGTAGGAATGCAGTAGGCTTCCTCTCAATTTCACTTCTAGAAACACTGTGCTTAATTAGCCAATGCCAGAGCTCTACCTGAGTCAGACTATTCTGATTGCTGCTTCGCCTCTACTATCCATTACAGTAGCTACACCCACCTTCCCTTTGACAGTTGAGTGCTGCCACTTGGTCCCTGCCACCTCAGGGATCCAATTATTCTCATTGTCTTCAAGTTTTGTAGTTGAGTGACTGCAGTTCCCACCATTAGATCTGACATACAGAGAAGAGCAATTACAGGGTTCTTTAAAGATGCAGGTGCTGCCCTCACAAATCTATTTTGCAAAGCATAGGTCAAGGGTATATTTTCTGGACTCTCCCAGCTGGGATGGTAGGTATAAAGTAACTAATCCACTCCACCATCCCTATTTTCCCAAGCCTTTGGATCCCTTTCTCTACATTAAACCAAGGGAGATCAGGCATTTCCAGCTCACTCACAGTGGACCATCTTTTAATCCTTATCTCAGCCAACCAAGAAAATAAACTATTACAACCTGTTTTAACTCATCAAGCTGCAACGTTAAATGCAGAATCCCTATTTAGTGGGCCCAAATCAATAAATTCAGCCTAATCCAAATCTGTGTTCCTTCCACCATTATTCCATACCCTTAATATCCATTCCCATACCTGTTCTCCAGATTTTTTGCTTATATAAATTAGAAAACAAAAGCAGTTCTTTACGAGTGTAGCATACCTCCTCATAGGTCACACTCTCAACCTCACGTCTAGGAGCCCACCAGGACTTTAGTCTACTTATAGGTCTAGAAGTAAAAAGGGGTATTGGGAGTGGATCCTGAGGAGAATCAACATTATGTTGCCTGGAAACTGCCTCAGAGGAGGCCATCACTGTTGCCTCAGGCAGCTCAGGGTTTATCTCCTAGGACAAAGGTGGAAAGGCTGATAGGAGTGTGGGTCGGGGAGGGGATGTTGCCACTACTGGGGATAGGAAAGCTGTTTCTTCTGGCAAGAAAAGTTAATCAGAGTTTACGAACTCGTTGTCCCCAGCTTCATCAGGGTCCTCCCACATATCCCCTTCCAAGTTGCAAGCTTTCATTCTTTTCCAGTCAATGCCCTCACTTTAACAGTAGCCACCTGGTAAGGCTGTGCATGCACCTTTTATTGCAGGTCAGCCACTTGCATGATAAGAGCTTGTGTCTGTTTTTCCACAATTACAGCTCTTTCTCTGCAGGAGATAAGACTCTTACTCATGGCAATCTTAGCAGATTTGAGACAGTATCTGCTTCTAAACTGGGAGTTAGAATCTCTGAGCTCATCATTTTCTTTCATCACTTTGTCCAGTGAACTTAGGAGCAATCAACCAACTTTTTATGTTCCTTGGTTCTACTCATGTAGTCAAATGTCTTTTGTATAGAGTCACTAAACTCCTTGCCTCTCATGAGTGGTGAATCGGGAGTATCAAATGAATTCATTTTGCATAACTCTCTAAACAGTTCATGCCAAGGACTATCAGTGTTCTCCATACTATTAGAAGTAGAATGCTCAGCATTTTTGGATCTAATCATATTAAGCATCCAACTCCAGAAACCCCAAAATCAATGAAAGAACTCCATTCTTAATATTCTCTTCCTCTAGAATCACTCCTGTTACCAAAATCTGTATTAGTCAGGGTTCTCAAGAGGAACAGAATATATATATATATATATATATATATATGTATATATATATACATGTATTAACTCACACAATAACGAGGTCCCACAGTAGGCTGTCTGCAAGCTGAGGAGCAAGGAAGCCAATCCGAGTTCCAAGGCTGAAGAACTTAGAGTCTGATGTTTGAGGGTAGGAAGCAATCCAGCACAGGAGAAAGATGTAGGCTGGGAGGCTAAGGCAGTCTAACCTTATCACATTTTTCTGCCTGCTTTACATTTGCTGATAGCTTATTAGATGGTGTACATCCAGACTGAGGAAAGGTCTGCCTTTCCAAGCCCACTGACTCAAATGTTAATCTCCTTTGGCAATACCCTCACAGACACATCCAGGATGAATGTATTCATCCAGGATGAATACTTTGCATCCTTCAATCCAATCAGTTGGATTGGATACTAAGCTGACGCTCAGTATTAATAACCTCAACTACCTCAAGGCATTCAATAATAAAATTTCCAAATGTAAAGGATTAAAAAAAAGAATCCTAAAAACAGCAAGAAAAAAGAAATAAATAACATACAATGAAGTTCCAATACATATGGCAGTAGACTTTTCAGTGAAAACCTTACAGGCCAGGAGAGAGTGGAATAACATATTTAAAGTGCTAAAGGAAAAATATTTTTATTCTAGAATAGTATATCTGGAACAATAACTTTCAGATATGGAAGAGAAAGACATTCCCAGACAAACAAAAGCTGAGGGATTTCATTAATGCCAGACCTGTCCTACAATAAATGCTAAATGGGGTTTTGCAATCAGAAAGAAAAGGAGGTTAATGAGCAATACAAAATAATCTAAAGGTACAAAACTCACTAGTAATAGTAAGTACCCAAAAAAACTCAGGCTATAATAACAATGTTATTTGTGGCGTGTAAACTAATCTAATCTTAAGTGGAAAGACTAAAAGATGAACCCATTGAAAATAATAACTAGAACAGCTTTTCAAGACATAGACAGTTCAAAAATATATAAATAGAAACAACAAAAAGTTAAAACGTAGAGGGACAATGTTAAAGTGTAGAGTTTTTATTAGTTTTCTTTTTGCTTGCTTGTTTGTTTATGCAATTAGGGTTGAGTTGCCATCAGTTTAAAATAACAGGTTATAAGACAGTAATTGCAAGCCATGTGGTAACTTCAATCAAAAAACATACAATAGGAGTATCAGAAGGAATACATTTTTAGTGGAATTTTAGAGGTCCTAAATTGTCACCTGGCCAGAGTGGCAGAACAACATGGTGGAATAGAAAACTCCACCAATTATTCCTCTTGCAAGGACACTAAGTTAACAACTATCTACACAGAAAAAACACTATCATAAGAACCAAAAATCAGGGTCATAACAAAGACATTACCAGAGAAGGAGTGAGAACCTGAGCATGTCTTGGGCACAGTCATCAAGTCTCCCTCTTTCAACCTGCTGATAGGACTCCTGCAACTCCAGCTTTGCCAAGAACTTTGTGTGCTTTTCACAGCAGATAGTAAATAATAATGTGAGAGTCCACACACCAGGATGAATGAATCATTCTTGGGGACTAGAGAAGTGCCACTCATTTTGCAAATAGAAGAGAATAAAATTTCAAGAACGTGAAATGGCATGCTTTACAACAGTAGATTGGACAGTCAGGAGCAAGATTGAGGAACAAAAGTCAAACCTCAATATTCTCTCATCAACTAGTAATCAGAATCAGATTACGTGAAAGTCCATTGGAAAGAAAACAAGAAATCAGGCTAATACTTCAAATAAAAAATATGCTTGAGGAGTATTGAATTGTTTACCTTGGCTGTCATCTGCCCTTTAAGTGGCCTTGACCCAATAGGTAGTTGGGATGCTTAAGGTCGATCTCCTAGTCCCTAAGCAAATAAGACTTCACTGCAGTTAAAATAAGTTGAGTACCAGGAAAGGAGAGGATGTGCCAAACCATCTGCTTGTTGATTAATTTCACTTCTTGGTCTATAAATGGCTATTACTTTGGAAATTAAAAGAGTCACTCTGTTGTCGAAAGGTACCAATTGTAGAAAGAAGCAAACAGATTTACTTCTTTATGTCAGGATTTTCTTTTGTGATTTAAAATTGTGTATATTCTACAAATAAATATTGAGCAAGCCTACCCATGCATGGCGCTCGGCACAGAATTATAGGCCTGGATGGAGTTGTAGAGATTACCCAGAATGATTCCTTAATTTAACAGCAGAGGAAATGAAGATGACAGAGAAAAGAAAAAACAAAAACAAAAAAATCCCTCCTTGATGTAACTTTCTCATCTAGTAGCAGGATTGCGACTTGAACCCAGTTCACTTAATCCTAAGTAATCTCAAGTTCTATCATTTCCTCCCACCACCAGCATTCATTTTCAATTCCTCACCTCAAATAAGGTCACTCAACTAATAAAAAATTAAAAAACATAAAATAGATTTACAAAAGATAAAAAACAAGAAATTAATTTATACCACCATAGAAAATAACCTTCACTAAAAGGAAGACAGGAAGGAAGGAAAGAAGGAAGAGAAGATCACAAAACAACAAACCAGAGAATAAATAACAAAATGGCAGAATTAAGTCCTTACTTATCAATAATGACATTGAATGTAAATGAAATAATTTCTCCAATCAAAAGACATAGAGTGGCATAACGGATTTTTAAAAAGACCCAGTCATCTGTTGCCTACAGGAAACATATCTTACCTATAAAGACGCACATAGATTGAAAATGAAGAAATGAAAAAGATATCCCTTACCAATAGGAACCAAAAAATAGCAGGAGTAGCTGTACTTACATCAGACAAAACAGGTTTTAAGACAAAACTATAAGACAAAAACTGTAAGAAGAGACAAAGAAATTCACTAATGTTAAAGGGGTCAATTCAGCAAAAGGATATAGCAATTTTAAATTAATATAGGCACCCAACACTGGCGTACCCACATATATAAAGCAAATAACAGAGGCAAAGAGAGATAGAGACTTCATTACAATAGTAGCTGGAGACTTCATTGCCCCACTTTATGGATTGGACATATTTTCTAGACATAAAATCAACAAAGAAACATTGGACATAATCTGCACTGTAGGACAAACAGAAGGAATAGATATTTACAGAACATTTTATCATATGGCTTCAGAATACACATTCTTCCCCTCAGCACATGGCTCATTCTCAAGGATAGACAATATGTTAGATCACAAAGTGAGTTTTAAAACATTAAAATAATAAAATAATATTAAGCATATTTTCTCACCATAATGGATTAAAACTGGAAATCGATAATGAGGAATTTTTGAAACTATGCCCATACTTGGTGTGATGGTTAATGCTGAATGTCCGTTTGATTGGATTGAAGGATACAAAGTATTAATCCTAGGTATATCTGTGAGGGTGTGGCCAAAGGAGATTAACATTTGAATTGGTGGGCTAGGGAGGGCAGACCCACCCTTAATCTTGACGGGCACCATCTAATCATCTTCCAGCAAATAAAAGGAAGGCAGAAAAACGTGAAGAGGTGAGACAGGCCTAGCCTCCCAGTCTACATCTTTCTCCCATGCTGGATGCTTCCTGCCCTCGAACACTAGACTCTAAGTTCTTCAGTTTTGGGACTCGGACTGTCTCTGCTTGCCCCTCAGCTTGCAGACAGGTCCTACTGCAGGACCCTGTGATCATTTAAATTAATACTTAATAAACTCCTATATATACATATATATATTCCCATATATATTATATACTATATATATTCCCCTTTGTATTTTATATATATAATATATAAACTCCCCTTTATATTGATAAGAAATTACTACACACACTGGTTAGAATATGTGAAATATAAAAGACTGACTATATCAAGTGTTGGTCAGGAGGTATGTAAACTACAACTCTCATCCACAGCTGATGTGAATGTTAGATGTTACTTTGGAAAATATTTTGAAAGTTTCTTTAAAAAAGTAAACAAGTACCTATCTTATGAGGTGGCCATTCTACTTCTAGATATTTGCACAAGGGAAATTAAGTAGATATATCCAAACAAAGACTTAGAAGCAAATGTTTATCTAAGCTTTATTTGTAATAGCCAAAAAAATGAGGAAAACTAAAATGTCAACTTTATCACAATAAACAAATTGTGATATATCTACACCACGAACTACTACTTGGCAATCACAAAGAGTGGGTTATAGATATGTTTAACAATGAGAATAAAACTCAAAATAGGCTGGGTGTGGTGGCTCATGCCTGGAATCCCAGCACTTTGGGAGGCCGAGGCAGACAGATCACTTGAGGCCAGAAGTTCGAGACCAGCCTGGCCAACATGGTGAATCCCCCATTTCTACTAAACGCGCATGTGTGCGCACACGCGCGCACACACACACACACACACACACACACACGGAAAACCTCAAAATAACTAAGCTGAGTGAAGAGTCAGACCAAAAAGAATATGTAGTGCATTATTTTATTTTTATAAAATTATAGTGAATGATTCAAAAAATACTTAGTAACAATACAAATATAAAAATTATGGAAATAAATTCAAGTAATTCAAGTAATATAGTGATGTATTACACATTGTTGACAACATTTCTTGACATCCCTTTAGAAACTATAAAATCAAAAGTATTTATGGATACCAGACCTCCTTAATTCCCAAAATACAACTGTGATGGATCCATGGATAGGTGAGTGATTGGAGGTGTCAGGGAAAGCCAGAGGCGTTAATGAGAGAAAAATGTTAAAGGAAAATTCTTTTTCTCTAATCTTTCCCCTGCACTGCCGTTGGATTATTATACCCTGTAATTTAATCTATTGACACCAACAGTCAAGTTGGTTGGCATCTGTGTGGTTGATTTCAAAGGTGGAGTTGAAAGTTAATGAGAAAGGTAAAGGCTGAACATGACTGACAAGTATTTACTCAATCATTTCCCTCTGTGTTTCGTACATCTGGCTCCTCAAGATTGATAGTTAAAGTCTGACAGTATTGCCACTTTTTGGTACTTCTTCTCCATGAGTTTAAAGATGAAACTGATGAAAGAAAAGCAAACTGCTATTATTAATATTTAGTTTATTGTGCTTCAGTTTATCTACTTTAAGGATTAATCTCTCTCATCTCCTTGAACTCACCAAGACTGAGACAGACTGGGGTTTTGCCATCAGCCATTCCTTTATAGATATTATCGAACAAAGTCGCTCATAGCATTGGGGACTATGACCCAAACAAGCCAAAATAGCTATACATCTGAATAGTTCAAATAGACCTAAACAAGCCAAAATAGCTACGTATCTGAGGAGTTCAAATATTATTATTTTAAAAGATTATTTATTATTTTAAAAGATTAATTATTATATAACATTTTATACCCTCATATACCACCATATTTGTGGAACAGGTGGGGCAATAATATAAAATAGGCAGGATAAACATATTTAATTAGATAAAGAAGCTATTATTCATATAAAGCAAGAATAGAAATCATACAAATAACAGAAATTTTCATTTAGTGAAAATGTCAAGTGTGAAAAAAGTTGCTATCTAAAGAAAGAAATCAATATCTTGAAAATCAAGCATATATGGAAAACAGCAGGATTGATAAACGTTTGGAGTAAATAATAAATTAATGACATATTAAAATTGAGAAAATTTTCCATAGGGCAATAGGAAGTCATAAAATAGATTAAAATAGTAAATAAAATTAAGATATACAGATAGTATCTTTATTTAATATATCTGTATTCTATTGTTTTATATAATTGCACTTAGAAATAATATTTTCTTTTTGGGATTTTCTATTCTTTTTTATTAGAAGCTTTAGCTTTCAATAAATATGTACAATTAAATTTTCAATAAAGATATACAATTTCACACATTTTAATATGGTAATACCATAAATACTATAAATCATTTGAGCTATGTTTTGTTCTAAACAATTTAAATTATGTTTATTATTTAACTACCTATCTGGGAAAAACTTCCAAAAATCTTATAACATTTGTGTGTGTGTGTGTGTGTGTGTGTGTGTGTGTGTGTGTGTGTATTTTCGTTCATTTACAAAAGAGTCAAGAGCAACTACTGATTTTCAGTCGGATACCTAGAAGACTACACTGTGGAAGCAGGGTGAATCCAATTCAGACTCTTACCCCCGAAATGTAGCCAAATGTTGAGTAATCTCAGTTTCTGAACATCATAAAAAAAAACCATGTAAGACACTTTGGACAACAAATACTGAGAAAACGTTTTGCTAAAATATATGAATAAAAAGAAATACTAATAGAGAGAAGGAAATGATGACAGATATAAAAGTAGAAAATTGTAAGAATGCATAGAGAGCAATAAGAAAACTGTACATATGTGGGTAAATATAAGTAAATGTTTGCATAAAAACAACAACAATCCCTTATGAGGTTTCAACTCATGTAGAATGAAATTCAGGACAACAATAACATAAAAGGTAGAAGGAGTTAAATAGAAAAGTTTTGGATTACTGACATTGTCAGTAAATGAAAAAAGTCATCTTTACGTTTAAGACTAGAATAATTGAAAGATGCATCTTTTGAATAACTAAAAAGTAAGAGAAGCTCTACATAAAATGTTAGAGATAAAAAATGGTAGATTAAAACAGCTTGTTGATCAATCAAAGACTCTGGCAAATGAAGAGAAAAAAGCATATGTAATAATAAAGTCAAACAGAAAGAAATACAAGACGTAATACTTTTTAAAAAGTTGGTGTATTTTTATTAAGATTAAAGTAGAAATTGAAGCAATCAACATGTCTAGATAGATAGTAAGTAAGTAAGTCATGCCAGTAATGATCATGGTTTACTCCAAAAGAATGACACCACAATTCTACATTTGTATGCAGGAAATAATACAACTTCAAAATGCATAAGGTAAAAAAAGAACAAAACTGAAAGAACAACTCAAGAAATTCACAATTGAAGTGGACATCTTTAACACATATTCCTGGATACTTGATAGAACAAATAGAAAAATGACCAGTAAGAATACAGAAAACATAAAAAACATCATGGATGAATTTAACTGATATATAAAAAAGTTAATTGTTTTTCTTTTCTTTTTTTTTTTTTTTGGTAGTTGAAAGATTTAATAGAGTGAAAACAGAGCTCCCATAAAATGGGAGGGGACCCAAAGTGGGTAGCCATTGCTGGCTTGAATGCCTGAGTTTATATCCTGATCATTGTCCCGCCCCTTGTGCTGTCAGGCGATAGATGACTGGCTATTTCTTTACCTCCTGTTTTTGCCTAATTAGCATTTTAGCAAGCTCTCTTTACTACCTGATTGGTCGGGTGTGAGCTAAGTTGCAAGCCTAGTGGTTAAAGGTGGGTGTAGTCACCTTCCCAGCTAGGCTTAGGGATTCTTAGTTGGCCTAGGAAATCCAGCTAGTCCTGTCTCTCAGTCCCCCATCTCAACAGAAAACCCAAGTGCTGTTGGGGAGGTTGGCCAACGACCACTCTAACTGCTTCCTGCTGAATTGGGGCGTAGTAGGTGTCATGCAGTTGAGATTTCCTCGGGAGGGGTGCCTTTGATGTCATTAATGTGGGAGCTGGGCTAGCAGGCCGGTCCAGAGGTCCGCAGTAGATCTTAGTCATGGACTGCATCTGGGGCTCCATTTGGAGAACCATTTGTAGTTTTATAGCTTTGATTCTGGAAGAGACAAACTTAACAAGGAGGTTAAAGATACAGAGATTGAAATGTATGGCCTGCATACAGGGGATTATTTCTTTGGCACACTTCACAGGACCTGACTATCTGCTTGATAGTTTTGAAAAGGCCTGGTCCAACAAATAATAATTTGTCCATCTGATGGGTGCTATCAATGCCTAAGTGAAAGGTTTGGTGAAGGATTTTAAGTAATTTCCATTGGTTAGTTGCAGGCAAAATATAGCAGCATCACAAAAATGTGCAAAATAAAATACCAAGTACCATGGAATAAACCTGTAAAACAACAAACTTTATGAATGATATTTAAAAGAACTCAAATATATGGAGGAATAAATCATCTTCATGGATTGGAAGACTTTATAAAGATTTCAGTTATTCTCAGATTGGTTTACAAATTCAATGCAGGACAACTTTGGCTATTATTTTAGGGATAACAACCATACATATATACTTAGATGTCAAGTGGTTGAAAAGTAAGAAAGAGAAGAATGTATAGGGATGACTGAGGTTTTGTACCTAGGTGGCAAGGAGGGTAGAGATGTCGTCATCTGACATTACATGTCCCTCTCCAGAATTTAGGTAACAAAATGCAGGCATGTAGAATTAGTCACATACTTTCTTTTGAAGTTTCTTTCGAAATTCCCATATAAATACCAAAATCATTCTGAGAAATTCTGGAATGTGACAAGAGTTCTGAAGGAAAATGTCTCGAAATTGCTGACCCACTGCTCCTTTGATAAGTTAATGAAATCTGGTTGCAAATCTAATCTATATTTATAGCAGGTTTTGCTTTATAAAAAACACCATTGATCTAATTCCAGTCGTTTTCCTAACACCTCAAATAAGGCATCAAATATTTTGTCAGAACTTTGCTTTGCTAATGAAAATAAACAATTTAATTTTATTGAGGAATTTGGAATCTTCAAATACTGTATCTGTGAACAGACAAGAAACTTAAATAATCGATGAAAAAATGATAGTATTTAAACAATACTGGCCCTATTACTAAGTGCTGGGAGGACACTGAGGAAGTTATTAAAATTTGGAGTTAGGCTGATAGGTTTTTGGATTCTATTCATGTATATATGGCATTCATCTAGCACTGATGCTGCTGACTTTTAAGTCAAGAATTCCTGAGTAACTGTGGTTTTGTTGCTCACAGATCTATTCCATCCGTCCATCAAGCATGGAGTTTACACAAACACACACTCACACGTGTGTATACGTATGGTCAGTATATATGTTTTATATATGTGTGTGTGTGTGTGTATATATATATATATATATATATATATATATATATATATATATATATACTGTTTTACTGTTCACCCAAAAGACATATGCCTGTTATTTTGAATTAAAAGGCTTTGTAATTTAATATTGTTAAATCTATAGTATTAGGTTGATACAAAAATAATTGTGGTTTTGGATTGTGAATTTTAAATTGTTATAGCTAGGCTCAAACACATCTATATTAATCAAAATAGACACCATTACAATCAACACATTTTTGCCAACAAGAAATAAGTTTGCTTACTCCCATGGCATAAAAATCCATGTTTTGGGATTCAGTGAACTCTTGGAAAGCATTTTCTGCATCCTGCTGGTTGTAGAAACAATTTCCCTGCAAAAAATTGTCGAAATACCTGAAGAAGTGGTAGTTGGTTGGTGAGAGGTCAGGTGAATATGGCAGATAAGGCAATTTTGTAGACCAATTTATTCAACTTTTGAAGGGTTGGTTATGTGACATGTGGTCAGGCGTTGTGGTAGAGAAGAATTGGATCCTTTTGGTTGACCAATGCCGGCTGCAGGCCTTGAAGTTTTTGGCACATCTCATCGATTTGCTGAGCATATTTCTCAGACATAATGGTTTCGCTGGGATTCCGAAAGCTGTAGTAGATCAGGCTGGCGGCAGACCACCAAATTGTGACCATGAGCTTTTGTTGGTGCAAGTTCAGCTTTGGGAAGTGCTTTGAAGCTTCTTCTCCATCCAACCACTGAGCTGGTTTTTGCAGCTTGTCATATAAAATCCACTTTTCATCACATGTCATAATTCGATCCAGAAATGGTTCATTGTTGTGTAAAATAAGAGAAGACGTCACTTCAAAACAACAATGTTTTAAAATTTTTGCTCTGTTCATGAGGCATTCACTTATCAAGCTTTTTCACCTTTCCGATCTGCTTCAAATGCCAAACTACTATAGAATGATTGATGGTGAGTTCCTTGGCAACTTCTCCTGTAGTTGTAAGAGGATCAGCTTCAATGATTGCTCTCAATTTGTCGTTGTCTACTTCCAATGGCTGGCCACTACACTCTTCGTCTTCAAGCCTCTCGTTTCCTTCGCAAAACTTCTTGAACCACCACTCCACTGTACGTTCATTAGCAGTTCCCGCGCCAAATGTGTTGCTGATGTTTTGAGAGTTGTCTCTGCTGCTTTACGACCCATTTTGAACCCGAATAACAAAATTGCTCAAATTTGCTTTTTGTCTAACATCATTTCCATAGTCTAAATAAATATAAAATAAATAACAAGAAGTCATTAGCAAAAAAAATTATAAATTGAGAAATGAACAGTTAAATGATGTATAACCTACATTCATTTAAGAATGTATTCCAATATCAAACAGCAAATCTCAACAATGCAAAAAACCACAGTTATGTTTGCACTATCCTAATACTGTCTGCCATTATGCTTTTTCTTTATCAATGATATTACAGGAGTTTATCCACAATAATTTTTGATATTATCGTAATTGATTTTTCGTGATTGAAAATGCAAGAATCACAGCCCAGAATATGATAATAATTGGTCATGGTCATATTAATTATAAAATTATCTTACAATGTGTGATAATTATGAATTTTATATTAACATAATCTCTTAGTGATTAATGTGCAATCTCTTCAGTTTTATAGTATACAAAATGCATTCCTTTATGCTCTCTCATTGACTTTCTAGCTAACTTGGTGAAGTAAATTTTATTACATACAGATGCAGAAAATAAAGTTCAGGGAAATTAAATTGTTTGTTAAAATATCGTATAACTTCTAAGTGTCTGATTTGAAGTTAGTGTTCAAAACTAAGCATCTACCCTACAAATATGTTGCTTCTTTTATTCTGTGTTTCTATGACATCGTGAAGACATTGAACAGGTTTTCAAATTTTATTTCCTGAAAGATTAACCCTCTATCATGTCAAAATATTCAGACTCTTTAAATTCTATTTTAACCCCAAAATGGAGTGGCAGAGGGTAAGTTAGATTGATAATGTAGACATGTTCTGATCATTTTGTAATTGCAACAGCTACTAGCTCTGGTTCTCTACAGCTCTTTTCCCACACTAAAATTTCCTAGGCTCTTGAGATGCAGTAAAATTTGAATGTAGATGGAAATGGATTTGTGTGTGTGTGTGTGTGTGTGTGTGTGTGTGTGTGCGTGTGTGATTCACAATGCTCTACAAAAATCACCTTAATGAAAGAGGATCAGAATTTTTCACATCAATATAACAAAACAGAGCATTTATGCAAATATCCCCATTGAGTGTTTCCATTATCAGACTATTCTTCATTGATTCATGCAATAACAATACCAACTTGATACCATAATGACTCAAAAAGAGCATCTCTAAAGTGTGCTTTTCCTTGAGCAAATAGAACTCAGTGAATACCTTTATTACAACAAGACTCTCCTAAACTCTCTGGGTATCTTATAGCTGCTTCCATTCATAAAAATAAAGGTAAACTAGACCATAGGTAGGGAAGGTACAGATGGTAGCGAAAGGCCCGAAAGAGGAAGTAGCATGAATGTGGCGGCACTGGGGTTAAAAACATAATCTACATCAGGTGTGTTCTGAAAACTGTACATATTCAGTAAGTGTGGAGTGTACATGTGACTATGACAAGAGGCATAGTCAAGAGATAAGCAGAGGTCAGAACACATAGTCGTATGATAGGCATAGGAATTTGAAGATGGCAGATTGGATGTATGGGAACAGTCATTTTGGATTCACTGTGGAGAATAGAATAGAGATGGGGAGAATGAAAACAATGAGAATCAATTTGAATACTTCAGCAGCACAGGTAAAATGTATCATGGGTCTGAAATATGGCAGTAACCATAGATATAGGAAGAGTGAATGCAAGTGGAAATATCAGGACGTAAAACCGTGAAATGATTCACGTGTTCATGTAAGTGGCATTTGTATATTTGAGCTTAAATAACTTGAGTTTTCTCATTTGCCTATTGTTGTTTTGTTGTTGTTGTTTGTCTTACAATATATTGTGGGCAAAATTCTAAAGAGTGCAAATTTGACTTCAGACTTCCTCCCATTCTCCAATCACATGATTTTAATTTGACTTGTTGCCTACATAGTTTCCCACAGCTAGCCCTATATACTCAAGTTTACTTCCAAGGACATGAACAATAGCCTGAGACTTCTATTCTCTAATCAATTTAATTATTTTTTCCAAATGTTTCCTCTATGATAATTGAAAATGATAAAACAAACTAAATCAGAGATGTCCAAGAGTTGACTTTACATTAGAATCACCTGTGTTACTAAGTTGTAGGATGTCTAAGAAACTCAGAGCTATAGAGATGGAATGTATAACCAGGAATGGGGGCTTACTTTTAAAAACATTTAAACATTAATTCCCCAGCAAATCCTTGGAATTTTAATATGATTATCACCACAAAATACAGGCTTACAAGGTAGTTTAATAGTTTGGTTGCTGCTATATTCCCTCTTAAACAACTTATTTCATTTTGAGATCATTCTGATTTGTTGAAGAATATGTAAGTTATAAGAAATATTTTGTAAACTGAGAAAAAATATTGTATTAAGTTTAAAGTACCAGACATGGAAGTATTTTACTGTAGCTGCTTTCTCTGTTAGAGTGGAGAGGGTGTATTGAATTCTGCCTTCTCACTTTGTCCTTCATTATTCTTTCCATCTTTTTTTAGTGTTAAGATCAGCTACTCTGCCTTTATTGTAAAAGCTTCTTTTCTACAGATTACGTTGAGTGTCCTACATTCTTAACCTCAATTGGCTTCCATCTAGAGCACTTTGTGTAAGAAGCTGTATATCAACAACTGTGATATGGAATGCAGCATCACAGGTTTCTTTGTTTCCGAAATAGGTAATGCATGTGCTCAGGATAAGTTCTCAGTGAAAAGCCTAACCTGTTGCAATATTCAGTTGAGGTGTTACAACAATAGATTCCTGGTATTTTAAAACACCATCAATATGCTTTGAGAGAAATAGGCATATGTTATTATTGCCAGCACTCATACAAGATCCCACCAGGCTGCCAAAGAATCTACTTACTATTTAAACATCTAGTAAATATGCTTTCTCAATGAAAGTCAGTCACAGGTAATTATGGAAAACTAATGTAGTCTGTATATTCAGTTCAGTTTTGGAGTGAATACTAACAAACTCAAAGCTATGGCTTTTACCTTATATGGAAGAGAAAGGAAATGGAATACTTTGATCAAAGTCCCGCTACGTTCATACTATATTCACAAAAACACTGGGTAATGCTATTATTCTTAGATTATCAAAGAGAAAGTTGGGACCTGGAGGATTTTTTTTTTCTAAACTTGCACAAACAATAAAACAGTGAAATTTGAAGTTTTTCCAATTGCAAATCTGTGTTCTTTCATCTGTGTGGAAGCCCTATGTATATGCTAGCCCTCTTACTTGCTTTCTTCTTTCCTTTCTCTAGGCTGTTCTAGGGATCATCTGGCTCATGATATCAGAGTTTGAAAGTTCTCAACTTGCTCCTTCAAACCTTCCCCCCAACCCCTAATCAGATGACTTGTTGTCTAGGAATTGCAATGTTGGTTTCTCACAATTTCTTTTGAACTGAGTCTGATTATTATACTTTTCAGCAGGGTGGAAGTGGGAGAGAATGCTGTCATAGCTATGTCACCATCACTCACATTCCTTCCAAATTCCTCCTAACTTTCCTTCATCTGACTCAGTACATTTTCTGCCCATGGCCCCTCAAATTCATGTCTTTCTCACATACAGAATATATACATTTCATTGTAATAGTCCCCCAAATCTTAACTCTTTACAGCATCAGCTAAAAAAATTAAAATCTCATCTAAATATCATCTAAATCTGATACAGGTGAGTCTCAATGTATGATTTATCCTGAGGCAAATTCTTCCCCAGTTGTGAACCTATAAGTAAGTTTTGTGCTTCCCAAATACAGTGTGAGATAGGCATAGGATAAGCATTCCTATTCTAAAGGGAAAAATAAGAAAGAAAGGAGAAACAGGTTCCAAGTAAGTTCAAAACCAAACAAGGCAAATAACATTAAATCTTCAGGCTTAAAAATAATCTTCTTTAAATCCATATCCCACTCCCTGAATATGTTGGGGTAGGGGTTGAGTCCCCAAGGCCATGGGGTTGTTGGGGGGTTACCTTCACTGCTTTTCTAAGCATAGCACAACAGCCGCTCTCATGGATTGGAGTTGGGTAGATGTGGGCTCTTCTAGGCTGGCATTGCATGCTGGTGGCTCTATAATTGTGGGTTCTTTGAGGTAGCCTCACCTGCACATCTCCAAAAGGCTTTTCTCTTGTGGAGACCCTCTTCAGTGGTCTTAGCCCCATGGTGTCACCTTACTGGGAGCTTTCTGTGGCATTTGTCTGCCTGGTCCCCAAGGCTCTTCAAGGCATCTTTTAAAATCAAGGTGGAGGCAGCCATGCTTTCATAGTTCATACACTCTGTGTGCATGCAGAGTTAGCAGCACATGGACGTCTCCAAGGTTTACCACCTGGGGCCATCTAAGCTACAGCTGGAGAGGCCAAGGAGTGCTGTGCCAGAATGTATGGAGCAGAACCTTGAGGCGATGCTAGGCAGTGACCTCTGAGGTCCCATGGGCAACATGAGCCTCTCTCATAAAACCATCCTGCCCTCAAGGGCCTGGCACTCTGGGTCTGTGATGAGAATGACAGCCTCAAAGATATCTGAAATGCCTTTAGGGTCATTCTTTCATTGTCTTACTAAATAGTATCTGGCTTCCTTCTATTCATACTAATGTCATTATCAAATGTTCACTTGGCCACACCGTTAGTGTCTTCTCCCTAACACACTTTTTAATTTTTTACAATCTGGACAGGCTGATACTTCTTCAAATCTTTAACTTTTTTTTTTAATTATAAATTCCATCTTTAAATTATTTCTCTCTTGCTACATTTTGCTATAAGCAGCCAAGATTAGCCATGCAGCTCCTTCCACATTTTGCTTAGATATTTCTTCCATCAAATATCCTAGCTCATTGCTGCAGGTTCTGTCTTCCACAAAGCACTAGGACACAGACATAATTCAGCTGAATTCCTTGCCATTTTATAACAAGGGTAGCCTTTCTTTCAGTTTCTAATACATTGTTTTTCATTTCCACTGTAGACCTTACCAGAACTAGCTCTCATGTCCATATTTCTACCAACATTATAATCATGACCACTTAAGTAATCTCTATGAAGATTCAAGCTTTCTCTACACTTCTCCTTCTCTTCTAAGCCGTCACCAGAATAGCACTTTAGGGTACAGCCTCTATCCATTACCCAGTTCCAGAGTCACTTCCAAATGGTATTTGTTACAGAAGCATGCCACTTCTCTCTCTCCCTCTCTCTCTCTTTTTTTTTTTTTCTCCTCTAGCAACGCCAGCCTGAGATAGCTACCCCAGCCCGAGAAACACACCACTTCTCAGTACTAATTTCTGTCTTAGTCTGTTTATACAACCATACGAAATACTTGAGACTGGGTAGCTTATAAACAACAGAAACTATGAGTTTTGAAGGATGAAAGTCCATGGTCACAGTTCTGGCAGATTCAGTTTCTGGTGAAGGCCTTTCAGCTGGGAGGCCTTGTGCCTTGCAAAAGGGTGCCTTTTAGCTGTGTCCTCACATGGCAGAAGGGAAATATGCTATGTCCTCACATGGTAGAAGGCAGAGGGGCAGAAGGGCCTGAACTCATTCTCTCAAGCCTGTTTGTAAGAGTGCTAATCCCATCCATGAAAGTTGAGCCCTCATAACCTAATCACCTCCTAAATCCACCATATCTTAACACGTTGCACTGGGGATTAAGTTTAAATTTGAATTTTGAAGATGACACAAACATGCAATTCATAGCATCAAGAAATGTAGCATATGTATTCTGCTTATCCAAGTGAAGATAAGAATGTAGATATCTACATAAAATGACTGTCAATTTATCTATTTTCATGTTTAAGTAACCTTTTGTTGAAGGCAGTGAACTGAATTTTAGATATGATAGGATCAGGCCCAGACAAAACTAATTAAACAAACTGTTGATCACTTGTATTTCACTAAAAATAGGCACGATCTTCAGGGACTTGTAAATTCCCTAGGGATCCAAGAAAATCATGATGGATGTACTTAATAAAAGATAATTAAAGTGTAAGAGGCAGAAAAGAATGGTCTAGCTGATTCTGAAATAAACCTTATCAATTACTTGAAGTAGTTTATAATTATTTTATTGAATTGTCAGATAATCATTTCAACTTTATATTGCCTATTGATCCCTTAATTCATATTTTCTTATTTATTCATTCATTGAATTATTTTTCAAAAGTAAATGTCTGAAATATAGCAAACTTATGTTTACTATGTTTTAGAAACTGTGATAGGGGTTAATAATAGAACAAAGAATAAAACAGATATGGTGTTCCCCATAACAAAGGCTAGATTCTGCCTGTAGAGAGACAGTAAAGAAGTGATGACATAAAAATCATAAAATTATAATTGTTAGAAATGTCATAATGAAAGCAATCGTTGTATGCTGTTAAACTATATTATAGGGAAAACCAAATGTAAATTAAGTCTGGTAAATTGGGCAGTTTTGAGTCAAAACTGTGATGGGTGATGAGACATTTCTGAGATGAAGGATCTTAGTCAATCTAGTGTAGTATAACAGAGAATAAAATTATTAAAATATTGGGTAAAAAGAATTAGGGTAGTGTTAAGTGTATGATCAGGTGGACAGTCATATGAAGAATACCTGACTGAAATATTAGATTGATGCAAAAGTAATTGCAGTTTTTGCCATCAAAAGAGAAAGAAATATTAATAGATTCCTTGCAGTCATCCTAAATGAAGAGCAGAATTTAGTTATGTGAAGAAAGGAATAAAAGATGTTCTTGACCTGGAGAAAACAAGAGGCATAAAGATAAGGCAAGGCACTGTAATTATTGTACTGTGCTATTCATGGAATTTGCAAGTAACACTACTGGAAAGGTTGGCAGAGCCAGAAAGCCCACGAGTCTTGATGTCTTTCCTCAGTGTGGATGCCAGATGTTCTTGGTCTTGCCATATCATCGGAGTTGTAACATGTGTGTTCCAATACATGGGTCTCAGAGGGCAACTTAAAGATGGGTTTTTTTACAATGATTCAGAATTCCCTAGCACATTATAGTAGAGATTTTCAGTGCATGGAGATACAGAGCAGGTGCCAGTTCTTTCCCTTGAACAGAACAGCTACTTACTGCCACCATGTGGAAGTCTTGAAGTTTAAATAAACATGAATATCTAACATGTTCTAACACATAGATTATTTTAGATCTACAATTGGAATGTTAATTTTTAAAGAGGTACAAGAAAGTCCAGTGGGTTTTTCAAGGAGAATCATCTGTGTTTTCTGTGAGCCTGAGATTTACATCTGCGGTATTAAATCAGACATTAAGCTACACCTAACTCTGCATTACAGTGAACTTTAAGTATGTTTGTGATTAAGGTTGAATTTGTTCTGATATTTATTAATCGTCTCGTTTTCTTATCATTGTTATGTTACTTAGATTCTTCCATATATTTTAACCCTCCATTCCAATATCCTGCCTCTCTTGTTATTCAAGTGAGAACTGATTCCGTGAAAATCTTTATTTTTACCCTCCCCACTAATATAATTTAGCTCTGTTGTTTTTCCTGTAAATACTAAACTCTTTTTTTTTTTTTTTTTTTTTTGAGACGGAGTCTCGCTCTGTCGCCCAGGCTGGAGTGCAGTGGCGCGATCTCGACTCACTGCAAGCTCCGCCTCCCAGGTTCACGCCATTCTCCTGTCTCAGCCTCCCGAGTAGCTGGGACTACAGGGGCCCGCTACCACGCCCGGCTAATTTTTTGTATTTTTAGTAGAGACGGGGTTTCACCGTGTTAGCCAGGATGGTCTCGATCTCCTGACCTCGTGATCCGCCCGCCTCGGCCTCCCAAAGTGCTGGGATTACAGGCGTGAGCCACCGCGCCCGGCCTACTAAACTCTTTAATGACAAATTTTCTTTGTCTCATCCTGGCTCATGTACAATCTCTGTTGTAGAAGAAACATAGCTAGTTGAATCTGAGGTGTTCTATATATAACCAAAGATTTAATGTCTTGGAAGTTATCAAACATAACTGAAACTTAAAAAGCATATGGATAAAAATAAGACACTTTAAGGCCTAATGCTATAATTTTTTGTGTTCTGTTTACTCTAAGACTCGTATTAAGGCTTTCTTGTCCGAGAATACCTTTATAACAGTGGAACCATGTATACACATTACCATCACTGGGAGCATTTACAAAAATATATCAGCTGTATAGTCCCCACCCCAGATGAATTAAATTAGAATTCTGGCACGGGCATTGGTAATTTTTAAACCCTCCCCAGCTGATGCCAACATGCAATCAGAGAACCACTGCTCTCTATTAAAAAGCTTCCTTAATTTAGGACATTATAGAAACAACAAAGGAATTGATAGAGAATAAGTGGATGAGGAATATTGAATGACAACTGCATAAAGGTCAATATTCAATTAATAGAAATCTATAAATATAAGATGGCCAGGTGCAGTTGCTGACGCCTGTAATCTCAGCACTTTGGGAGGCCGAGGTGGGAGGATTGCTTGAGGCCAGGAGTTCAAGACCAGCCTGGCCAACATGGCGAAACCCCGTCTCTACCAAAAATACAAAAAAAATTAGCGAGGTGTGGTGATGTGCGCCTGTGATCCCAGCCACTTGGGAGGCTGAGGTGGGAGAATCCTTGAGCCTGGGAAGCGGAGTTTGTGGTGATCCAAGATCGTGCCACAGCATTCCAGCCTGGGTGACAGAGTGAGACCCTGTCTCAAAACAAAACAAAAAATATGTATGTGTATGTGTGTGTGTGTGTACATATATAAAACAATATATACACATACACACACACACGCACACACGCATATGTACTCATATACATTTTCTTGTATTACTCCATATATATGTATGATGTAATGCAATAAAATTTAAATTTCCTACTTTTCTTTATAAGAAATTGGTAAAAACCCTTGGTAAATGTAGCTAGGAGAACTGATTTTGTTTCAATACATTCCAGATTTATATTACAATTGTATTATCCAAATTCTGCGGTATCTCTTCATTTTATTTCAGGATACTCCAGTATCATAGCAGTTTGCAGTTGGAGAATTAGTTCAGTATGTCAATCAAGGTTCCTGTTTCTACTTAAAACTGTATTCTGCAATAATTCCAAGTCTTCATTTAACGGAGAATTAATTTACCAGTGAAGTCTACTTTCTTCAAAATGTACTTTGAAAATGTCAGCTTTGGCCGGGCACCATGGCTCACGTCTGTAATCCCAGCACTTTGGGAGGCTGAGGCACGCAGATCACTTGAGGTCAGAAGCTTGAGAACAGCTTGGCCAACATGGTGAAACTGCATCTCTGCTAAAAATACAAAAATTATCCAGGCGTGGTAGTGCCCGTAATCCCAGCTCCTGGAGGCTGAGGCACAATAACCCCTTGAACCCAGGAAGTAAAGATTGCAGTGAGCTGAGATCGTGCCACTGCACTCCAGCCTGGACGACAAAGTCAGACTGTCTAGAAAAAGAAAGAAAGAAAAAAAAAGTCGGCTCCTTCTCTTATATAACTGAAAAATATTTGAGCATACTCTGAACATACATCCTACATTTGGTGCCCTTGAACATACATTCTATGTTCTTGGCCACATATGGGGGGATTTTATAATATTCTCCCTGTTGCAAGAATCATAAATTCTAAAATTCCCTTCTCCATCCCACAGGCTGAAACATAGTTACCATGATATTGTCTGTGTAACATAAATTTGAGTCACCTGTGCTTGCAAGTATGCAAAATTCAACTATTTAACCATTTTATAGTCATTCTGATATATATTGCATAACCAGTAGATTATTTCTAAATGAATGTTAATATCAAATAATATTTGTTCATCTTTGGAATATATACTTTTCTCCTCACAGCCATTTAATTCCCTCTCCCATCTATTTATGTCATTCCAGCTTTATTTTAATATTTTCAGAAAGATCTGGTAAATGAAAACAAATTAAAATATCAAGGAATATTTAAATTATTCCTCCTTCCAGTGGCACAATGGACCCTTATAGACCAATAAATTTGGTTATTAAAAGAATACATCTCTAAGATACATGCACTTTTAAAAATGATAGGTTGGCAAAAGCAGGGACAGTAGATATTTTGTGATAAAATTTTTATTCCGCCAAACTTCTCAGGTCACTTTATTGACTTAAAATACTTGCCTTGCTCTAACTCAGAGTTGTAGTCTCAGACATTTATGTATCACATAAAATCTTCCACAGACTAGGAATCGGTAGCACACGCCCTTGCTCTTAAGGATATATATGTAAAAAGGTAACTTGAAAGCATAGGTCTGGCTCAGATTTATAGGGATTCATGTAAGCCATCTAGAGTTAGGGAAAGATTCTTAGGAGAATACACCTAAAGTTGACCTTAAAAAACAAATAGGAACTACTCTAAAACAGAGAAAGATTATTCAGTTGGATGAATCAATACAGCAAAGGCAGAGAAATGGAGGTCTGAAGTGACATGCTACCTTTCAGGAGCTACAAGTAGTTTGGCATTACTGAAATGTAAAATGCAAGACAAAAAGTTGCTAGAGATGAGGCTGTAGAGGAGCTTAAAACCTACTGGCATGTTAAAGATCTTGAAATTTAATTTATTGCCTTTTCTTTTTGTTCAAATCATGCCTTTTGTAACCTCTCCAAAGATATCAACAAAATAGTTGCCTTCTAGCCCCACCTCTTATTCAAATACAGCAGCTCAGTTTCTGCTTGTTGTTTTTCATTTATATTGGCAACTAATATTTTACCTAATCAAAGCTTGTTAAGGCTAAAACCAAAAATTCATACCTATATTGTCAACAATAAGGAACCAGACTTTTTTTTTAACCTGAGGATGATCATGATCGGATTTAATTGTAAGTGGACCTTTCTGGTAGTCTTTGTAGATTCTGATTTCAAGGTCAAGATTTGTGGCCAGGAGATAAGTTAGCAGGTGAGGCTTTGAATATTAAATGACTTGCCTAAGTGGCCAAAATTACAACAAAACATTAAGATTAATTTGCTGATTACTTAGTCTGTACAATAACTCTTTCTTTTTCTTTGGTAAAAGATATGCTACTAATGAAGTCATAATTGAATTAAGATGATTAATACACATTTTAATAGAGCGTGTTTGTTTTTACAATTCTCAGATTATCTGCTCATCTAGCCTGTGCCATATTAAGTGCTTGTCCTTGATTCCTCTATTCTTTATTCTTGATTGTCTGGGTGCTCCTTGGTCCTGCTCTGAAGGACTTCACTGATATGAGTTGTGGTTGCCTGGGGCAATGAGAGAAACCAGGCACATGTCTTCAGCACTACCAGGCCAGCATTGGTTCTTCATCTTCTGGCTCTGGGGTCCCAAAACAGCAACAGGGAACAAGCCTCGATGCACAGGTCCTTTTTAAGTCTCTAATTTCAGATTTGCTAATGTGCAAACCTAAATCAGATAATCAAGCCCAGATAGAAAGGTAGAGGGAAAGATGCCACAGCTTTATAAGGAAGAGCAACTAAGTCACATTGCAAAGGGGATGCATTAAAAATGGGAAGAATTTGTGGCCTTTTTTTTTTTTTTTTTTTGCAATCTGTCACAAAGTATGTTTTGCCCAAATATTCCATATGAAATTACGTCCTTGCAAACTATCATAGTCTTTTCTATGTTGATTATATATTAATTATACCTTAAATATTCCTTAATGTACAGGCAGTAATATCACTAGCATGAAGGCATTCATAGTCACAGACTGACTTGTTTTGACTTGAAATAACTTGCCTTGGTTTCTTCACACTTTGTCCAGTACCTGCTGTGGCTTCCACAGTGGCTGCCCTTAAATCAAGAGTATCTACTTACTAGTTTTGGAACTAACTAACTGGATTTTGTTTAGACTGAACTCAGCCTTGACCTCATCAAACACTACATTCAAAACAATTGAAATAGCTGTCTTAAACTGACATTAAACATAAATCAGGTTATAAATATCATAATTCTTGGATATGATTTTGATGTTTACTTATAATTTCATTATTGCATCCATACAATGTTTTTAAAACTCAAACTGTCTTCTTTGCTAAGATTTTTAGTAAGTCTTTTAAATGCTCTGTTTTCAAATCATGCCTTCTAAATATATCTTCATCCTTTTGTCCTCAGCCTTACTCGTGAACCTATGTTAACTCTTCAAAAGATTAGTAACTCATGGAATGTTAAATCTAGAAAAAAATTGGGGTATAATATAATCCAAAGTCCTAATTTTTTATGAAGAAAGTAAAATTCAAGTAATCGGCTTATCCAAAGTCATACAGATACGTATAGGAGAAGCAGAAATCTAACTTGCCTTTCCCATTTGTTCTTCTTCAGTATTTTTTTTTCTCTAAATCACCAGATGTTCTCTTTTATTTTCAATTGTAGGGCAAGAAGCAGTATTTGATCATGGCAAGGTAATGAAGGCACAGGAATCAAGAGAAAAGTAATAGTTATTATTTAAGAATAATACATCCCTTTGTTGAGTGATTTATTGGTAATGTGTGTGTATATATGTGTGTGTGTGTATATATACACACATATATATATATATATATATACACACATATAATTTTCACTCAGTCTCTCAAGTAATCAACTGTATCGTAAGAACTCTGGTTTCCTAGTAGATGACACTTCCAAGGCATGGATAAATTTGATGCTTATATTGTTTGTAGGTTATAAAATTATCCCCTGTTTTTAAGCCACTTATTTTAAGGTATATATAATCATATTAGGAATCTTGTAGCATTTTCTAAACTCCTATATATCTTTTTGAACTCTACAGCATCTGAATTTGGCCAAACACAACAAATCAGACTTTTTGTACTCCAGGCATTAATGCCCATCTCAGGTAGTACACGTCAAAGTGTCTGTAGTCCAACTGTTACTGAAAGCCTCACTGGAAAGGTGATAGTTGTGGGGAGTTATATTAAAAACATGTAGATCCTCTATCTCTCTAGATAATCTATGAGTTATTGGATCAAGCTATATCAGTGAAAAGGAAAATGTTGGGCCATCTAGTTTTGGAGCCTTGTATAACTTCATTCAATAGTTTGCATTTTAGTGAGATGGTAGATTTCTGGAAGAGTTACTACAAAATGTTTTCCTGCTGTATCCTGTCAGGTGATGACCCATTGCTCATTATCTCCTATGTAGCTAAGTGCCTACCCCTTTTTTGATGGGCCCTGTAAAAAAGTAAAATGATTTTAGAGCAACTGCAAGAAAAGAAAATAACACAGTTGTTTGGAATGACTAATTAGAACCATGTAGCTAAATACGCTTCCCTTTTTTACTTTGACTTTCAGGAAACAGAGTAAAATATATGACTCAGCTACACGATTTATGTAAGCTCTTAAGACTTCTTCAGTTGTGTATTGTTCATCTCTCCCCAACTCAACCTATATTTCTGATCTACATTTCTATTTCCCCCAATTTAATGTAAAACTAAAAATATTTAGTTTTAATTTCTATAAGCGATTCCAAATTTATTGTAAATAAGGCCTTAAAGTGTGGGTTGAATGGATGAGCGAATGAATGCATACCTAAATGCATATATTCTGAATAACGACCATAATAGTTTTCTTCTGTCATTATTTTTTCTTATGTCATCATACTATTCTTTTCCATGCAGGCTTATGGCATAGGTACTGTTATTTTAGACTAGGAAACTGGAGTTTAAAAGAGTTAAATTGCTCAAGTTTAGATCAGCAATAAAAAAAAAAAAACAAAATAATACTAAAACTCAGGGTTACTAATTACAATACAATCCTCTTTACATTGTACCATGATCCTAATAAAATTTCTTGTGAATTAGAGATAAAGTCAGCTACTGAGGTTGAATTCTTTCAGTAACATAAGTCCTCTGCAGCACAGGAATTTGAATAGACAGTCAAGTCCATGGGTTTCTGCTTTTTTGCACAGAATTAAGAAATATTTAAAAAATTTTAAAGATACTGTGTCATATAATGTGTATTTTACTTTTCAAGTTCATTAGCCAAAATTGAATTTATTTTGTTTTTCTCAACATGACAGTAGAAAATATTCTACCAATACAGTTTCTGTTCTTAAAGAAAAGTACATTAAATTATTTTGTGATTCTTTGCAATATCCTGGTTTAATTCTCTAATTTCTAATATTTTAGATGAAAATTATGTCTTTTAGTTGAGGCATCAAGTTCTTGTTAATTAATAATAATTATAATGGTGATGATTATGGTAAACAGTATTTAGAGGTTTCTCTATGCCAAGCATTTATAATTATTTTCTCATTTAATCATTTCAAAGTATCAATAGATATGATTATTGTTATATAAAAAAATTAAAAAATTAAAAATGGATCTATAATGTTCTGAGGAGTTCACACTAGTATACAGAAGAGCAAGGCTTTGAGTCTGTGTATGGATGGCTAACTGTAATCCTCATACTCAATATATTACTACTATAACAAGTACTGCCACTACTACCACCACAAGGAAACATTGCATAATGCTTATTCCAGCCAGATACTGTTCTAACAGATTTATGTACATAAACCTATTTAATTCTGAACATAATCTTAGATGGTTTCTCATTTTAGAGAAAATAGAGACTCAAGGAGTTAAACTTGTTCAAAATTTCAGTTATTCAATTATAGAGCCCAGATTCTATCCTATACAATCTCATTTAAGAAGATATGGACTTGTCTACCATTTTACATTCTCTGTCTACTAGCAGTTATTTCTTCTCTGGTTTGCTTAACAATTGTTTATATTGTGAATACTTTTCAGAAAGAAGTGCATTCTGATTTTATGAGATGGGGTCCATTTAAATCCCATCTGGTTTGTTTACTTCCAAATTACTCTTGTTGTCTAGAGATATTGACTTTATTTGTAAATTTTGTAAAAATCTAATGGTACAGAAACCTGGAGGAAAGAAGAACTTGGAGATAGCTGTAGAACTTAAGGCATATGTGTCTGACTTTGCATACTATTTTGTTCATAGAAAAATACTTTCTGTAATTCTATGTGTGGTTTGAGAAGTTTGAGAAGGATTGGCATTAGTTCTCCTTTAATGCTTGGTAGAATTCACCAGTGACACTATCTTGTCCTGGGCTTTTCTTTATTGGAAAGTTTTTGATTATTGATATACTTACTAATTATTAGTCTGTTCATGTTTTCTATTTCTTCATTACTTATTCTTAGTAAGTGGTATGCTTCTAGAAATTTGTCTATCTATTCTAGTTTATCCAATTTATTTGCATATGATTGCTCATAGTTTTATGATGCTTTATTTCTGTGGTATCAGTTTTAAATGCTTCTTTCATTTACATTTTTATTTATCTGAGTGCTCTCTTTTTTTCTTGGTTAGTCAATATAAAGTTTTGTCAATTTTGTTTATCTTTAAAAAGAAAACTCTGTTTTGATAATTTCTATTGCCTTTCAAGTCTTTATTTATTTATGCTCTTATCTTTATTATTTCCTTCCTTCTGCTAATTTTGGGCTTAGTCTCCTCTTCTTTTTCCAGTTCTCTGAGGTGTTAAGTTAGGTTGTGAGCTTGAGATTCTTCTTTTTTCATAAAGTAGATATTTATCACTAAAAGCTGCCATCTCAGAACTGCTTTTGTTGCATCCTGTAAGTTTTGGTATGTTGTAATTCCAATTTTATTTGTCTTGAGGTACTTTTAGATTTCCTCTTTGATTTCTTTTAGGATGAATTTGTTGCTAAGGGGTTTAGTTTTTAATCTCTACATATTTGTAAATTTTCCAATTTTCATCCTGCTATTGATTTCTAGTTTCATTCCTTTGTGGTTGAAAAATATACTTGAAATGATTTCAATTTTCTTAAATTTGTTAGACCAGTTTTATGGTCCAACATATAATCTATCTTGGAGAATATTTATGTGTTTTTGAGAAGAATGCATATTCATCTGCTTTTGGATGGAATATTCTGTACCTGTATTCTAGGTCCATTTGGTCTATAATGTTATTTGCATCCATATCTCCTCATTGATTTTCTGTCTAGATGATTTATCTGTTGTTGGAAAGTGGGGTATGGAAGTTCCCTACTATTCTTATGTTGTTATCTATTTCTCCCTTCAGTTCTATTAGTATTTGCTTTATTTATTTAGGTGCTTCAGTGTTGAATATGTGTGTGTCTATGTGTGTGTGTCTATGTGTGTGTGTGCGTGTGCGTGGGTGTGTGTGTGTATCATTGTATCCATTCCGTGTGTATATCATTGTATCCTCTTGGTGGATACAATGACCCCTTTATTATATAGTGACCTTATTTGTCTTTGTGACAAGTTTTTGATTAAAGGTTTAATTGTTTTAAATGCAGCCACCACTGGTCTCTTTTGGTTATCATTTGCAGGGAATATTTTTTCCATCCCCTCACTTTTACTCTATGTATGTTCTTAAAGCTAAAGTGAGTCTTTTGTAGGAAGAATATTGTTGTATCTTGGCTTTTTATCCATTCAGCCACTTTGTAACTTTTGATTGAGAATTTAATCCATTTACATTTAATTGTTGATTGGTGAGTACTTACTATTTCCATTTTGTTGTTTTCTGACTGTTTTGTGAGACCCCAGGTCTGACTGCTCGAGGCTGCTTTAGGTCTCTGCTTCCTGCATTCCAATTCAGCACTCCTTGGCCACCTCAGTTGTGACTCAAGTGGCTAAGGTGAGGCTCAAGCTGCTGCTCCAGTGAGAACAGGTGGTAAGCCTTGGTGTACATGGTGCTAATTCTGCAGACATATAAACTGCACAAATTGTGGAGTCATGGCTTCCTCCAGCTACGTTCCCAAAGGATTTCTTGGAGAGTTTTGGAACCACTGCAGAACCCTGTCACAGGGGTGGAGCTTTCACAGATAGCTTTCACTAGAACAGTGCTTACTGGAGTTGTGGGTACACAGCTGCCCATGAAACTCCAGAACTTCAAAGCCTCCAGCATGCTATGCCATGACAGCCTGGTAGAGCTTCAGCGATCCAGCTCCAAACAATAAGAGCATTATAGGCTGAGCCTAGAAAAGCTATAGGGACAAGGCTACCCTGGGCTTTGGGGTCCCAATCCCTGCCCAGTTGTGTCTGGAAGGTGAGATGTAGTCAAGGCTATTCTCAAGCTTCAAGGCTTAATATTGTTTGCCCTGCTCGGTGTGGACTTATAGGAATTTATTATTCCTTTCTTCTTACCCATTTCTCATTTGGAATGGGACTGCCTACCCTCTGCCTGTCCCACCATTGTATTTTGGAAGCACTTGTTTGATTTCACAGTCTCGCAGCTGAAGGGAAATTTGCCTCAGGATGTATTGTGCCTTGAGTTTCACTCATATATGATTTAGATGAGACAATAGACTTTAAATTTAGTGCTGGAATGAGTGAAGACTTGGGGCTATTTGGATGGAATTAATGTATTTTGTATGTGAGAAGAAAATTAGTTTTGGGGGTGGGGGCAGTGACAGAATACTATTACTTGAGGGTTTTTTTTTTTTTTGCCTTCTAAAATTTATGTTGCAATTCAATCCTTGATGTGTCAGTATCGGGAGTTGTGGACTTTGGTAGGAGATTGAGGAATTAGGGATTAGGCGCTCTTGTAAAAAATAACTTGACAGAGTTACAGAGTCAGTTTGCACCTTTTTGCCCTTCTGCCTTCTGCCTTGTGAGCAAACAGTGTTCCTCACCTCCAGAGGACACACAACATGCTATCCTGAAAGTGGAGAGCAGCCTTCACTAAATGCAGGAATCTCAATCTTGGGCTTTCCAGACTCCAAAACTGTGAACAATAAATTTCTATTCTTCATAAATTACCCAGTATGGGATAATATTCTGCTATAGTAGCCCAAATGGACTAAGAGACTCCATTAACAAATTATTATAGTGTCTTAGTCTCTTTGGGCTGCTATAACAAAATACCTTACACAGGATAAGTTATAAGCAACAGAAATTTATTGCTCACAGTTATGGAGGCTAGGAATTTCAAGATTAAGATGGTAGCATATTTGGTGTCTGGTGAGGGCCTGTTGCTCATAGATGGTGCCTTCTATATGTGCTCACATGTTTAACGGGGCACACATTTCTTCAGCCTCTTTTTATAACGGCCATAATTTCATTCATGAGGGCAGAGCTATCCTAAAAAGTCCAGCTTGTTAACACTATCACATAGATGATTAAATTTTAACATATGAAGTTTTGGGGACACATGCAGAGTGTCACATGTAGCTATTATTTTTAATAATTTTGCCTTTAATGTTTTTTACTGGATTTAAAAATAAGACCCACCATTATGCTATTAAAGTATTCTGAATTTAACTACATATTTAACTTTACCAATGAATTTTATACTCTCATATATTTTTATGTTATCATTTAGCATTTGTTGGTTTCATTCAATTTGAAGACTGCCTTTTAATGTTTTTTGTAAGGTAGCCCTAGTGATGATAAACTTCCTTAGTTTTTGTTTTTCAGGGAATGGACTTATCTTTCCTTCAGATCTGAAACACAATTTTATACAAAAAGCCAACATTATTATTGGCGGGCATTTTCTCTTCTTTCAGCACTGTGAAAATATCGTCTCAGTCCCTCCTGACCTACAAGGTTTCTATAGAGAAATCCACTCGTAGACTTAAGGGTGTTCCCTTGTGTGTAATGAATTGCTTTGCTCTCGCTGCTTTCAAAATTTCCTCTTTGTCTTTTGACAATTTGATTATAATGTGTCCTGGGATAATGTTGCTTGCAGTCCTTTGAGCTTCAAAAATCTGGATGTGTCTATTCCTTTCAAGATTTGAGAAGTTTTCAGCCATTATTATTTTCTTTTTAATAAGCTTTCCTTACCTTTATCTCCCTCTTCTCTTTCTTTAACTTTCATAATGTATATATTTGTTTGAGGATATCCCAAAGGTCCTATGTGCTTTCTTCACTGCTTTTAATTTTTTTTTCTTTTTGTTACTCTAACTGGGTATTTTCAATGACCTGTCTTTGAGTTTGTGTATTCATTCTTTAGCATGTTAAAGTCTGCTGTCGAAGTTCACCATTAAATGTTTTTAGTTCTGGCATGGTATTCTCCCTCTCACAGATTTCTGTTTATTTCCTTTCTATGGTTTCTGTTTCATTATTAATTTTCTCATTTTGTTCATTCATTGTTTTCTAGATTTGGTTTAGTTGTTTTTATCTGTGTCTCTTGTGTTGCACTCAGCTTCTGTAGGATGATTATTTTGAATTATTTCTTAGTCGATTCATACATCTTTATTTCTTTAGGGTTGGTTACTGGGTCTTTGTTTTCTTTGGTAGTGTCAGTTTTGCCAATTTCTTTGTGATCCATGTAGCCTTGCATTGGTGTTTCAATTTTGCATTTGGAGGAGATAACACATCTTCCAGATTTTATAGCTTGCTTTTGGCAAGTAAAGGCCTTCTCATGTTGAGTGTCTGGGCTGATGGGATTACTGCAGGGATTGTAGTCAAATAGGGTTACAGCTAATTATGTGGCTATCGCAGGGCAGGCAGAGGGGTCTGTGGTTGTGACCAGGGGCTTGGGTGAGTGTCAATTATGTCTTATTTCTGGAAGGACCAGCCTGCCTTTTGCACCTTGGTCAGTAGAAATGATATGTAACACTTGATTGGCACACTTCAGGGTGTGCAGTTGAGCCCACAGATAGCCGGCCTGTTATCACATGTACAGATAGTGTGGCTACTGCCAGATCCCTGGGAGGGTTCCTGCCAATTCACTGGGAAGGTTCCTGGGCAGGCAGCATTGACCCTGGACCATGACTAAAAGGGGCTAATACTGAATCACAGGGGGCTGCTTCAGGATCTGCAGTCAGATCCCCTTGGGGCTCCCTGGACAGGCAGGACTGTTCCTGGACCTGAAGCCAAATTACTGGGCCACCTCAGGGTCCACAGTCAGGACCTTCTGTTATCTGAGGTACAATGGGTGTGACTTGTCTCAGTCCCCTTAGTGGCATGCACTGGTGGAAGCATCAATGCCAAATGAAGCCATAGAGTCCACAGGAAGACAGGACTATTTCTGGGTCTGTTTCCAGGACATAGTCAAAAAGCCTGTCACTTAGGCTTGGTCCTGCCTTCTCAAAATGACCTTCCTCAGTCTTGGGCTCCACTGGGTTTTTGCAACCTCCTACCTGGATCCTAAAGCTCCTACAAAGGCACTTTTTTCCCATGATGGCTGTTAAATTATGGTTACTATGTGGGGATACAAGATGAAGGCTTCATATTTCACCTTGCTGATGTCACGAGCCTGTAATTGTCTTATGTTACATCTCTGTAACTCCATCAGCTAATGCTAAATATCTTGCTTTCAACTGTCAAATGTATTTTAGAGAACTCAAGAGAAAAATGGTCTATTAAATTTACCCAGGTATTTCCTAATTCTGTTGCTCTTTATTCCTGATTTTCCAAGTGTCTTTCTGGTATATTTTCCTTATTCTCTAAATAATTAATTTTCTTTGGCAATTCTCTTAAAATAGGTGTGATAGCCACAAATTATTTTAGTTTTACTCCATCTCAGAATGTTATTTCACTTTCGTCCTGAAGGATATTTTCAGGATAAAGAATTATGAGGTGACAATTATTTTCTTTCAACACTTTCAAAATATTGTGCCATTTCCTTCTAGTCTCCATGAAAATATATACGGTTATTTGAATCATTATTTTCCCATTGGTAACATGTCATTTTTTCTGGATGCTTTCAAGATTTTGTTGTTTTTTGTGTTCACTACATTTATTATGATATGTCTAGGCATTACTTTCTTTGGGGCTATTCTGTTTACAGTTCCTGAACCAATTGGACCTATAAGTTTATGTATTTGCCAAAATTAGTAAGTTTTCAGCCATCATTTCTTCAAAAGTTTTTTTTAGAACTATGCTCTTTTTATTTCTCTCTTTCTGGAACCCTAATGACACAAATTTTAGACCATATTATTCAATAGTTTCCTGATGTTCTGTTTATTTCTTAAAATCAGTATTTTCTTTGTTCAGATTCAATCAGGTTTATTGATGTATCTTCACATTCACAGATTATTATCTTTATTTTGCTATTGTGTTCTTCCAGTGAATTTTCTATTTTGGTTATTGTATTTTTCAGTTGGTGACTTGCCATTTGAGCTTTCTTTATATTATATTTTTGCTATTACATTCTAAGTAAGTTTGTTCCAAAGTTGCTCGCTCAACATTTCTTAAAAAGCTGCCTGAAAGTCTTTATTAGATAATTCCAACATCTGTATCACTTCGTCATTGGCATGTATTGGTTGGTTATCATCTTTTGACATGTAAGTAAGTTGAGATTTTCATGATTCTTTTTATTCTGCTGAGTAATTTTGAATTATATCCTAGACATTTTGAATATTATATTATGAGACTCTGGGTTCTTTTTAAATCCTGTGGATAATGTTGATATTTTTGCAGGCAGTTGTCATGTTTTGGTTGAGACCAGAATGTCCAACTCAACTACATGGGCTATGTTTAAATGTTAGCTGAATGGTTAAAGTTTGCCCTGCTACATAGATCGGTCCCCCATGTGTGGCACCCAGAATTCAGCTTGGAAGCTGTGTGGAGGTATGCACATTAGCTCAATTTTCTAATTTGTATGCCAATTAGGATCAGATTCATGCATTTGTAGGTCAGGGCTTACTTTGAGTTTTCTGGCTTTGGGCAGCTCGATGCGTTTTATGTTGCAATCAGAGAAAGGATATAAAAGAAAGAGAACATGTTTGGTTTTGTGTAATGAGAAGTCTAACAAGTTAAATTCAGGACGTGAAAGCACGGGAACGTGAGTTCAGAAGAGAGAGATATCAAAGAGGAAATATCCATTAAGCATTTGGAATTAAAAATCATATCACAGGAGAAATCACAGTGTTACTTCTATCCTCAAGGAAGCTAAATTCCTAGGAATGTAAAGAGCAGTCTTTTATACCCAACCCTCCATGTTAAAATCTGTGATTTGGAGCAAATATTTTGTGTGCATCAAGTGACCAATTTGTAAATGGCAGCAGTCATGTATTTTTGAAGTCCCTTTTAGATCTTGATGAGGGGTCTTGTATGTATTCTAATAATAATTAATATATATTTCCTTGACTCACCACCCTTTGGGGAAAAGAAATATGCTGTCCTATTACAACTATGCTACTGCTATGCCTTTAAACCAAATGGTGCATATCTCTGTAAAGCCTGTGGGAGTTACTGATTATGAATCTCAAGGGCTCTTGTTCGAAACTGGCTTCTTTGAAGTGCAGGACATACACACACACAGCAGTCGTAGATATTGGATGGAGACCCTGCTGAGTGGTTAAGTCTCTGCTTGCTGTGTCTAAACCATTTGGCAGGCACAACAATCTTCTTTTCCTTCACAAGCTTAAATTTGTCCCATTTGGCAAACCAATAGTAGACCTCCATCAATGCATAAAATCATCCAATCATGTTTATTGGCAACTAAAAATATTATACAAGGGTGTGAATCAATTTAGTATCTTGTACTTCACTTAGAATCATTGAAGACCTATCTATCTTTTAGTGTATATTGAAAAGATTATATATCAAGGAAAGGTGAACATCCTAACTAATAATATCTAGTATATTTTGGCAATAAATAATTTCAAAGCCTAGTATATCTTATTTGGCCCTATGCATTTCTGTATAGAAGGTAGGAAAGTCACCCTGAGCAGTGATGCAAAAATTATTGTTTATTTTTGAAATAAATAGAAACCTGACCATATTCCTCCCTTGCCCATAAAAATTCAATTGCATATTCAATATTTGAACAAATCCATGTTTCTTTGTATGGTATATAATTTTGATGCTCAAAATATGAGCATCATTACTTGTGTGCTTGTTAGAAATGCAGACTATCAGGCTTTTCCCCAGACTTTTCTAGTCAGAATTTTCATTGGAATGAACACCTCAAGTAACTCTCATGCACTTTAAAATTTGAGAAGCACTACTATATATGATTCTTTAGAATCCTCCCCCAATCTGATACTTCTTTCCTTATATCTAGGATTCTTTCTTCATGTTCACCAGACTAGCCTGAATATTCTAAATCCTAGCTACAGTAATACCATCTTTCTCTGAACTTCCTTTTCCCTTTTCTTTGCCTAAGTCTTATTATCAATTCCTTCCTCAAGTGGCAATCTACATTTTCATGCCAAGTTCAAATGTCACTTCACCTTTCCCTAAAAGAACTATTCTCTTCAGTTTCTGGACCAAAGGAACCAAAAAGAAAAGTCTAGCACTCTTTGTTACCTCTATCATTGCTATAATATTGTAGTGGATAAGTGAGGCAGTATGGCATGATGTTTAAAAGTGGCCCTCTGGTGTCAAACAGTCCTAACTTTGAATCACTGCATTTATTAACTAGTGGACTTTGGAAAAGTCATTAAAATGTATGTTTTAGTCATTTTGTTTACAATATGCAAATAGTAATAGTACACATGTCATTGAGTTGTTATTGTATTTGAATTATATTATGAATGCAGGGCACAGATGCATATGTGCTAATTTTCCCCATGACTATGGATTTACCAGTTTATTTTGTCAGTAGACTATGTAGATTAGGAGTTCTTTAAGGGCAAATAGTATATGTTAGTCATTCTGTTAACCGTTCCCATTCTGCTCCTACCACATAGTAAGCATTTAAAAAGGGAGGACAATGAGATGCAATGCTTGCCCAAAACTACATTGCAAAGTTATGAATGGCATCAAGGCTAGAATTCATGTCTACATATTTTTAATGTGCACTCATCCCTCTGCCTGTCTCCTATACACTGTGCCTTCATATACATATATATATACACACACAAGTATATTCACACAGAAATGCTGATATACTTTCCAAAAGTTTAAGGCAAGTACTTTAAAACTTTCTCCACAAAAATAGACATTGAACACATTTTAATGAACTTCTCACCACATTGGCTGTGGTGAGAAGTAAACATAGTTCCATAAGAAACATGAAGACTAGTGATTTAAACAAAATCCAGCCAAATCTTCTGAAATAACTGAGAATCAAGCTATCAATGTAGCTCGTACATGGCTTCATGCACTATGTCATTTCCAGTGAGACAATGGAAAGTTTCAGTTTAAGGTTTCAGAGATGAGATGAGAAAATAAAGATAGCAAGAATGAGATCGGGATAAAAGAAAATCAGAACAAGAAAGATGTGATCCTAAGACATGGTGATTATTTGATACTCATCTTGTGGTCTGACAAGGAATAGTATTAAACTAGTTTGGACAGCCTTACTGGTAGGCAATTATCTTTCTCTCTCATGAAGAGCTCTATTTGGACTTGGAAATTTGCATGATCACTTCTATTTGACAATGCGAAAGAGAATTAAAGATGAAAGTAAGGCCAGACATGTCGGCTTACGCCAGTAATCTCATCACTTTGGGAGGCTGAGGTGAATGGATCACTTGAGTTGAGGAGTTTGAGATCAGCCTGGGCAATAGCGTGAAACCCCATCTCTACAAAGAATACAAAAATTAGATGTCCATGGTGGCACATGCCTGTAGACCCATTTACTCAGGAGGCTGAGGTGGGAGAGTTCCTTGAGCCTGGGAGGTCAAGGTTGCAGCGAGCCGAGATCATGCCACTGCACTCCAGCCTGGGCAACAGAGTGAGACCCTGTCTTAAAAAAAAAAAAAAAGAAGACGAAAATAAAAATAAGTTGACTACTTGCTCATAGTTCTTAGAAAATGCCTACATATAGAATGTAAAAATTTTATTGGCTAAAATTAGATTTCCTGATAAACCTCACTGTCCGGTCCCAGAACCTACTGCTACGGATGAAGGAGAATTCATTCTTTTCATGAAGATTATTGTTTCTGTTTGTTTAGTATTAATATACTTTGAGTTAAAGTACTCTTAATCGAAGAGTTCAAGCATAAGTGATATTTTTACAGCAGCTAGTTATGCTTGAATTTTAGCTCCTCTTTCTCAGTAAGATATTTTAGCAATACAACTCAAAACTGAGAGAATAATATCTTGCATTTATTAAGCATTTGCTAGAAACCAAAAGTGGCATGTGTTCCACTGATCTTCTCTAGACAGAGCTAATGTAAGCTTTCTTGTTGTTTAAAGAAAAAAAAAATAGGACATGAGTTCATACTGGTGACTCCCATTCAAATTCAGGATCATGGATTTCCATTTAATCTCCCCAGTTCTGTACAGCTTTCTTCCAGGGTGAGAAATCCAAGAACCCAGCAACACATCATAATTATTCATTCACTTTATTTCACTTTGCACACATAACCTTTTCAGAATAATAGTACTAACACTACCGTCTATAATATAAATACTAAAAAGAGTTTAATAGTTTTTATTCTATTATTTTCATTCTCAGAATGTACAGTCAAATTACCATGTCTTAAAATCATTTGAAATAACTTCTTTCTATGTAGTCATGCCAGTAGCTTGAAAGATAGGTTTATTTATTTAACTGTGCTATTATTTTATAGATTATTTTATATACTTAGCTTGGCTTTAAAATTATTTGAAAGGTTTATATGGTTCCAGAGTCAAATCTACAAATAATTAAATTTAGAGAAGTCTAAATTCTTCTTTTCAAAATCCAGCTATCTGTTCTCCTCTGTATGGAACTAGTTTGTCCTCAATAGAAAACCATTTACATTTTTGACTTCAATTTTTCCTACTTTAAAAACAAATAAGCAATGCCTACCCCACGCAAGACACATATTTGTATTCTTTCCTTTTGTAAGCAGTAGCTTATTATATCCATCTTGTGTATCTTGTTTTGTTGACCCTTCTATACTTGATTTTCTACAGTGCATAAAAAAGAATTTAACTCCTATTAATAGGTAGATGTAGGAATTAGATAAAATAATGTGCAGAAACCAGATTTAATAGTAATTCAGTGACTGTTAGTGAAAGTTGAATATGAAGTAAGATATTTGACATTCTTATGAGAAATTGGAAGGGATAAGTAGTAACATTGTCTTCATATTTGGTGTGTGGTCTTCACAAGCATGACAAGGGCTACAGGGTATAGCTTCATCTGATAAAATTGAAAATTCTTGGGGGAACCAATCAATCCAAGTGTGAATTTTACAAACCATATGGAAGTAGATCAAAAGAATAGCAAATAATCTTCTATATGTTTTTGCAGCACTTCTTCTGGCCAAATCATAACCTAAAAACTGGCAAGACATGCATCGTGAAGCATCATTAGACTAGAGCTGATTTCTTGACATTAAAGTGAATCCTGTAATATTTTCAAACAACTGTGCCTCTATCCCAAGGACATCACTGGCATTCCCCAAGCATTTGATTTTTAAGTGTTTATAGCACCCTTGTTTCTAACAGAGTGGGAGGGAGAGAGGGAGAGAGAAGAGAGAGGAAGGATGAGAACACAGAAAAAGGGCAGAAGGGAGACAACAGAAAATGCATTGATTACTACTGTGGGCAACACATCTCATTCATTTATTTATTGGCCAAATAATGTTCAATGTGGGCTTACTTAGAATCAGGAACTAAATCTGCTATTATATCAATTTTTCCTTCAATGTCTTTGCATTTGCCTACTATTCTGACTTGAGTATCTGCCCCTAGATTTTTATATATATCACTTTATTTCTGTCATAGACATAATAATACAGCCCACACCAAAGACGCTCATGGTCTAATTCCTGGACCCTGTGAATATTTTACTACACATGGCAAAAGGAATTTTGGGGATGTGATTAACATTAAGGACTTTGAAAAGGGGAGAATGGCATATAAAGATGTGATGCTGGAATAAGAATAAGAGAAATGTGAGAAGAAACTTGACTCACTGGCTTTAAAGATGGGTAACAGACACCATATACCAAAGAATGTGGACAACCTCTAGAGGTGGAAAAGGCAAAGAGACCTATTTTTCCTCGAGGACCTCAATACAGCCCTACCGATATCTTGATTTTAGTCCAATGATACCCATGTCAGACTTGTGACCTATAAGATAATAACTTTGTGTTGTTTTAAGTCACTGTGTGGTAATTTGTTACAGTAACATTAGAAAACTAATATAATTTTTTTCAGATCTTTGAATAATGTCACTTTTGTAAATGGGGCTTTTGTAATTTATCTATCTACAGCAATCACCAATGACTCTCTATTCCCTTGCCCTGTTTGGTTTTCTTCATAACAACTAGTATATCAGAGATTATATAATCTGTTTATTGCTTTTCTCTCCCCAGCAACAGAAGGTAAGCTCAATGAAGGCAGTAGATTTGTTTTTTATCTTAGGCACCCCCAGTAATTAGAAAAATGCCTGGCATATACTAAGTAGCACCCCAGAATTATTTATTGTATGAATGAGTGAATGACTTTCAATTCCATAAAATTAGCAGTGTTACATAAGAGAAACCACCTAATCCGCGGGTTCTGGAAGGTGTTTTGGGTAAGTAAATGTTAAACTGAATTAGGTATTTTTATATGTATCTATATGCTTGTCTCCCACAATGGATTACTAAGCTGATGGCAGAAACTTGGTTGTATCTGTCCCTGGATCTGCAGCCCACAGTAGGGGCTGCAAATGTTTGAAATATTTGAAAATGAATATGATATATTTGGCAAATGAATATGTATTTATATGGCAATTTGGGGGGCAGTCATGGAGGAGGTTGATAAATGTTAATTTTTAGCTGAACATTACTGCCTTAACCTGATGTGAAATAGCTATGGGTTTTTCTGCTACCAGTGAGAGAAAAGCTGATTGAAATAATTAGAATTTTTCCCCCAGAATAAGCAAAAATACAATTATATGAAAGTCAATACATTTTTAAAAAGGAATAAAAATGTGCTCTTCATTTGGAAGAACATTTTTTTTTTCTTGAAAACACCAAAGATATTTGTTTTGATATTTTTAAAGAGAAGGAATCCAAGTAGTTCATAAGAGAAAACAAAGTAAAACTAGGGCTTTCAAGACAAGACTTGAAAATACAAACTGACTCCTTAATAACTACCTGGATAAGAGTTTTATAGAATAGTTGTCAATAGGTTTCCCTTTTTTTTTTTTTTTTTCTCAGTAAGGTGTTTGTTTGGGATTGCTGTGACCTAATTTTGGACCCTGCCGGGATGTGTGTGTTGAGCAGTTGTTTTTTTGCAGTTTTCTTCCATCACATCGCAGTCTCGATGTTACTGATGAACTAAACGATGGGGTCTGTGTATAAGCTATGGTAAATGAGTTCTCTCCTCCACCTCTTCCTCATTACTTCTCTTCTTGTTCTTTTCTCATCTCCTATTTACTATAATTTCTATGTTCCATATTAGGTAGTGTGCTTGTTAATTCTGCCAGAAGGGAGCTTGTTGTCTATTTTTACCATGCATGACAGTCATTAGCAAAATTAAGTGATTTGTATTGACTTGATACTGTTTTGTTAATTGTGTGCTTTGTGACTTCTGTTCTCTCATGGCACCATGTGGTTGTTCTTGGGTCTGTGCTATTTTTATTCACATACAAAACAAAAAAGAAATTTTTAAAAACATCAGCCAAATTCCCTCAAATGTGTAACATATATCAACATTTCCAAGTCATTTGGGGGATTATATACATTTACAACTATGTTGCAGTTATTCTGATTTTGTCTTTTTGTAATTATGTTATTAGTTTTGGAATCTGTAAAACTAAATTCTTATCTCTAAAATGTCATGATAATAGAAAGTTTAAGTGAGAATTTCATTTTAGTGGATGAATGGATATTCTCTGAAATGTGCTCACAGGAGAACATTTTGATTGTCAAGGTAATTCCTGGAACTTGAAAAAATACCATTTTTATAGAAACAAAACCTGAATTTAAAGGTCTTAAAATAATGAAAAATTTCCCATATAGTATGATATGACATTATTTTCACACAATATGTAAAGAAATCTCATTAAAACATAAAAGTTAGGTCATATTCTTCTGCCCAAACCCCCAGTGGCTGACCCTTTTTTGAGAGTAAGAGTCTAAATGACTTTGAATGTGGCTGACCCTTTATTGAGAGTAAGAGTCTAAATGACTTTGAATGATGTCTGCCCACACCTCTCACATCCATTGTGTGTCTATCTGCCCTTGTTTCTTACCACTCATTTAGGTTCTCACCCCAGCCACACCGACCTCATGGATAGTCCTTGAATATACCAATCTGGATCTCATGTTAGGTTATGTATATTTTCTATTCTTGCTAGGTAGAATACTCTTCACCAAGATATTTTCTCACACTCTTTCTTACTTATTTCCAGATAATTGATTGTTTTTAGATTTTCACTATTATGAATAATACTGCTATGAACATTTACATACAGGTTATTTTGTGGACATATCTATATATTATCATTTCTAACGGGTAAATATGTAGAAGTAGACTTGATGATTTATATAATAATTAATTATATATTTAACCATTTTTTAACGAAGCTATTTATTTTGAGGCAGTAGTATATATATGCAGTTGTAAGAAATACTGCAGAGATATCCCATGGGTACATGGGATATCTATTTGGCCAGTTTTTCCAGTGTTAACATTTTGCAAAACTACAGTACAATATTACAACTGTGAAATTGACATTAATTTTATTCAGATTTAACCTGCTTTAAAGTACTCTGTGCGTGTGTGTACTTCTTTGTAATCTACCACTACAGTTGTGTGTGTGTGTATGTTTACTTCTCTGTAATCTACCACTACAGTCAAGATAAAAAAACAGTTCCATCACCACAAAGAAAGATCCCTTTTTATACTTTTATAGCCACAGCCACTTCCCTTCCCCAACACCAACCCTTATCTGATCCCTAACAACCACTAATATGTTATTCATCTAAATAATATGTTCAAGAATGTTATATAAATTCATAAAGTATATATATTATTGATTTTGCAGTATATATATTATTGATTTTGCCTTTTTCCACTGTAGAATTTCCTTAAGATTCATCCAAGTTGTTGCTTATGTCAATAATTTGTTCCCTGTTATTGCTAATTAGCATTCCACTGTATGGGTATACCACAATTTGTTTAACCATTCACCTGTACAAGGACATCCAAGTTGTTTCCAATTTTTGGCTGTTATAAGTAAAACTGCTATAATTGTTTTTATTTTTAATTTTTATTTATTTCCTCTTTTTTGAGATGAACTCTTGCTCTGTTGCCCATGCTGGTGTGCAGTGGTATAGTCTCAGCTCACTGCAACCTTTGCCTCCCTGGTTCAAGTGATTCTTCTGTCTCAGTCTCCCGAGTAGCTGGGATTACAGGTGCCTGCCACCACACTCGGCTAATATTTTGTATTTTTAGTAGAGATGGGGTTTCACAACGTTGCCCAGGCTGGTCTCGAACTCCTGACCTCGTGACTCACCCACCTCGGCCTCCCAAAGCGCTGGGATTCCAGGCACGAGTCACTGCGCATGGCCTGCTGTGACTGTTTTCATGTGCACATAGTTTTCACTTTTGTGGGACAGATGCCCAAGGGTACAATTGTTTAATCACATGGTAATTGAGTGTTTAGTTTTATAAGAAATGCCAAATTGTTTTTTCAATATTGGCCTTACAATATTGCATTCACACAGGTAGTGTATGAGTAATTCAATTTCTCTATATCCCCTCCAGCATTTATTTTTTAATTTAGCCATTCAGGCAGGTAAGCTAATATATCTGGTTGTGATGTTAATTTGCATTTGCCTAAAGGTAATGTTGAACATCACTTCCTTTGCTTATTTGCCATCTGTATGTCTTCTTCAATAAAATACCAGCACATTTTCTATTTGGAGTGTTTGATTACTTTAAGGTTGATTTTTGAGAGGTCTTATATATTCTAGGTACCAGTCCTTTTTTTAGTAATGTGTGTGTGTGTTTTCCTGTTCCCTAGTTTATTCTTTTCACCCTCTTTTTTTTTTTCTTTTGAGATGGAATCTCACTCTGTTGCCCAGGCTGGGGTGCAGTGGCGCAATCTCGGCTCACTGCAAGCTCCACCTCCCAGGTTCACGCCATTCTCCTGCCTCAGCCTCCCGAGTAGCTGGGACTACAGGCACCCGCCACCACGCCGGCTAAATTTTTTGTACTTTTTTTTTTAGTAGTGACGGGGTTTCCCCTTGTTAGCCAGGATGGCCTCCATCTCCTGACCTCGTGATCCACCCGCCTCGGCCTCCCACAGTGCTGGGATTACAGGCCTGAGGCCCCACACCCGGCCTTTTCACCTTCTTAACAGGGTCTTTGGGAGAGCAAATGTTTTAAATTTTGATGAGATTCAGATAATCAGTTTTTCAATTTATGGATGACGCTTTTGGTGTCCAATCTCAGAATTCTTTGCCAAGCCCTAAAACCTGAAAATTTTCTTCATTTTGTTCCCTAAAACTTTTATAGTTTTATGTTTTACATTTATTTATTTATTTTATTATACTTTAAGTTCTGGGATACATGTGCAGAACTTGCAGGTTTGTTACATAGGTATCCACGTGCCATGGTGGTTTGCTGCCCCCATCAACCCCTCATCTACATTAGGTATTTCTCCCAGTGCTATTCCTCTCCTATCCTGCTACCCCCCAACAGACTTCAGTGTGTGATAGTCCCCTTCTTGTGTCCATTTGTTCTCATTGTTCAACTCCCGCTTATGAGTGAGAACATGTGGTGTTTGGTTTTCTGTTCCTATGTTAGTTTTCTGAGAATGATGGTTTCCAGCTTCATCCATGTCCCTGCCAAGGATATGAACTCATCCTTTTTTATGGCTGCATAGTATTCCATGGTGTATATGTGCCACATTTTCTTTATCCAGTCTTGGGCATTTGGGTTGGTTCCAAGTCTTTGCTATTGTGAATAGTGCTTCAATAAACATTTGTGTGCTGTGTCTTTCTTTATAGTGGAATAATTTATAATCCTTTGGTTATATACCCAGTAATGGGATTGCTGGGTCAAATGGCATTTCTGGTTCTAGATCCTTGAGGAATCTCCACACTGTCTTCCACAATGGTTGAACTAATTTATACTGCCACCAAAAGTGTAAAAGCATTCCTATTTCTTCACATCCTCTCCAGCATCTATAGTTTCCTGACTTTTTAGTGATCACCATTCTAACTGGTGTGAGATGGTTTCTCATTGTGGTTTTGATTTGCATTTCTCTAATGACCAGTGATGATGAGCTTTTTTGCGTATGTTTGTTGGCTGCATAAATGTCTTCTTTTGAGTAGTGTCTGTTCATATACTTTGCCCACTTTTTGATGGGGTTGTATTTTTCTTGTAAATTTGTTGAAGTTCCTTGTAGATTCTGGATATTATCCCTTTGTCAGATGGATAGATGGCAAAAATTTTCTCCCGTTCTGTAGGTTGCCTGTTCACTCTGATGATAGATTCTTTTGCTGTGCAGAAGCTCTTTAGTTTAATTAAATCCCATTTGTCAATTTTGGCTTTTGTTACCATCGCTGTTGCTGTTTTAGTCATAAAGTGTTTGCCCATGCCTATGCCCTAAATGGTATCACCTAGGATTTCTTCTAGGGTTTTTATGGTTTTAGGTCTGATGTTTAAGTCCTTCTTTCATCTTGAGTTAATTTTTGTATAAGGTGTAAGGAAGGGGTCCAGTTTCAGTTTTCTACATATGGCTAGCTAGTTTTCCTTGTACCATTTATTAAATAGGAAGTCCTTTCCCAATTGCTTGTTTTTGTCAGTTTTGTCGAAGATTAGATGTTTGTAGATGTGTGGTGTTATTTCTGAGGGCTCTGTTCTATTCCATTGGTCTATATCTCTGTTTTGGTACCAGTACCATGGTGTTTTGGCCACTGTAGCCTTGTAGTATAGTTTGGATTCAGGTAGTGTGATGCCTCCAGCTTTGTTCTTTTTGCTTAGGATTGTCTTGGCTATACAATCTCTTGTTTGGTTCCATATGAAATTTAAAGTAGTTTTTTCTAATTTTGTGAAGAAAGTCAACGGTAGCTTGATGGGGATAGCATTGAATCTATAAATTACTTTGGGCAATATGGCCATTTTCACAATATTGATTCTTCCTACCCATGAGCATGGAAATTTTTTTGTTTCCTCCCTTATTTCCTTAAACAGTGGTTTGTAGTTCTCCTTTAAAAGTCCGTGAAATAACCTGCTGGTATCATAATGACAGGATCAAATTCACACATAACAATATTAATCTTAAATGTAAACAGGCTAAATGCCACGATTAAAAGACACAGACTGGCTAATTGGATAAAGAGCCAGGACACATCGGTTGCTGTATTCAGCTGACCCATCTCACATGCAAAGACACACATAGGCTCAAAATAAAGGGATGGAGATTTACTAAGCAAATGGAAAGCAAACAAACAAACAAAAAAGTGGAGGTGCAATACTAGTCTCTGATAAAACTGACTTTAAACCAACAAAGATTAAAAAAGACAAAGAAGGGCATTATATAATGGTAAAGGGATCAATGCAACAAGAAGAGATAACTATCCTAAATATATATTAAATATATATGCACCCAATACAGGCACACTAAAATTCATAAATTAAGTTCTTATAGACCTACAAAGAGACTTAGACTCCCACAAAATAATAGTGGGAGACTTTAACACCCCACTGTCAATATTAGATCACTGAGACAGAAAGTTAACAAGGATATTCAGGAGTTGAACTCAGCTCTGGACCAAACGGACCTAATAGACATCTACAGAACTCTCCACCCCAAATCAACAGACTATACATTCTTCTCAGCACCACATAGCACTTATTCTAGAATTGACCACATAATTGGAAGTAAAATACTCCTCAGCAAATTCAAAAGAATGGAAATCATAATAAACAGTATCTCAGGCCACAGTGCAATCAAATTGGAATTCAGGATTAAGAAACTCACTCAAAACTGCACAACTACATGGAAACTGAACAACCTGCTCCTGAATGACAACTGGGTAAATAACGAAATGAAGGCAGAAATAAAGATGTTCTTTGAAACCAATGAGGACAAAGACACAACATACCAGAATCTCTGGGACACAGCTAAAGGAGTGCTTAGAGGGAAATTTATAGCACTAAATGCCCACTGGAGAAAGCGGGAAAGATCTAAAATGGACACACTAACATCACAATTAAAGGAACTAGAGAAGTAAGAGAAAACAAATTCAAAAGCTAGCAGAAGACAAGAAATAACTAAGATCAGAGCAGAACTGTAGGAGATAGAGACATGAAAAACACTTCAAAACTCAATGAATCCAGGAGCTGGTTTTTTGAAAAGATTAACAAAATAGACAGATACACTGCTAGACAGACTAACAAGAAAAGAGAGAAGAATCAAATGGAGACAATAAAATATTGTAAAGGAGAGATCACCATTGATACCACAGAAATACAAAGTACCATCAGAGAATACTATAAACACCTCTACGCAAAAAACCTAGAAAATCTAGAAAAATGGATAAATTCCTGGACACAAACACCCTTGCAAGACTAAAACACCCTTCCAAGACTAAACGAGGAAGAAATCAAATCTCTGAAAAGACCAATAACAAGTTCTGAAATTGAATAACAAGTTCTGAAATTGAGGCAGGAACGAATAGCCTACCAACCAAAAAAAAGCCAAGAATGGGATGGATTGACAGCCGTATTCTACCAGAGGTATAACAAGGAACTGGCACCTTTCCTTCTGAAACTATTCTAAACAATAGAAAAAGAGGGACTCCTCCCTCACTCATTTTATGAGGCCAGCATCATCCTGATACCAAAACCTGGGAGAGACACAACTAAAAAAGAAAATTTAAGGCCAATATCCCTCATGAACATTGATGAGAAAAATCCTCAATAAAGTACTGGCAAACCAAATCCAGCAGCACATCATCTGTGGGATGCAAAACTGGTTCAACATACACAAATCAATAAATGTAATCCATCACATAAACAGAACCAATGACAAAAACCACATAATTATCTCAATAGATGCAGAAAAGGCCTTTGATAAAATTCAACATTGCTTTGTGCTAAAAACTCTAAATAAACTAGGTATTGATGGAACATATCTCAAAATAGTAAGAGCTATTTATGACAAACCCATAGCCAATATCATACTGAGTGGGCAAAAGCTGGAAACAATCCCTTTGAAAATCGGCACAAGACAAGGATGCCCTCTCTCACCACTCCTATTCAACATAGTATTGGAAGTTCTGGCCAGGGCAATCAGGCAAGAGAAAGAAATAAAGGGTATTCTTATAGGAAAAGAGGAAGTCAAATTGTCTCTGTTTGCAGATGACGTGATTGTATATTTAGAAAAACCCCATCGTCTCAGCCCAAAATCTCCTTAAGCTGATAAGCAACTTCAGCAAAGTCTCAGGATATGTTTTACATTTAAATCCATAATTCATTCTGAGTTTTTAAAAATAATTGTGAATATTATGTCAAAGATATCATTTTTTTTCTTTTTTGCCTCTAGATGTACATTTCTTCTAGCACCATTTTTTGAAAAGGCTATGCTGCTACCATTTCATTACCTTTGCACCTGTTTTCAAAAATCGGTTAAGCAAAAATCTATTTTTGGTTTCTTTATTCTGTTTCATTGATCTATTTTTCTATCCCTCCACCAATAACATTCGTGATAACTGTTGCTATGTGTTAGAATTTTCAAATTTTTAATATAGGTTACCTCTACAGGATGAGCTTAATTCCAAATTTTTTCCCTAGCATTTATTTGCCACAAGTTTTATGACAGCATGATTCATTCATTCTACAAATATTTAAGTCCATATTTTGCTTTTTGTACTCCAGATACATTACCAAACAAAATGTGAAAGAATCCCTGACTTCTTATGGCTTATAATCTAATAAAATGGTCATACAGTTCACAATAACCATTATAAATGCATAAACTATATTGGATGTTGAAAGTAATATGTACTAGGAGAAAAATCACATTAATAAAAAAATAAAGATCAAATTAAAAGGAATTGTGAAAAAATGAGTTTGAAATTGAGCGGGTGTGTTAGTTCTTACTGTGGTAACAAACGACTTTAACAAACTCAATGATTTGCAACAGAAATATTTCTCACTCTCACTTGATATGATCTGCAGCAGTGGTAGGTCAGCTCTGGCTCTGCTCCACATGTCTGGTTAATTTCAGTATTCAGATAGAAAGAATGCCATTTTTTAAGAAAAGGAAGAAACATAAATACAATATTCCTACAGTCAGGTGAGGTGGATATATAATGGGAGCAACACTCTCATACATAGTCTTATCTAATACTCTAATATACCAGAATCTACTATCTTGGTAACAGATATTAAGTTTCCTTCCTTTTTTATTCAACATCATTCGCCCCATCACTAAGAAAGATACAAAGATACCTCAATATTCACTTAATGTCCACAATTTTAAATATGTTTTACATATCACTTTTCTTAGTCTAAAGATATGTGAATAAAATGGAAGGTTATGTCTCCATCCTTAAGATATAATGGAGAAACAAGGACATATTTATGACAATAAACACTTCCTTTGAGAAAAGGAAAGAATAGGAGGAACATTGCCATTACTGGTATGTAAAAATTCTGAAACCAAGAAATACAGATATTTGCAAGAGTCTTCTATGTTGGATGAAAAGCATTTTCTTGAAAGTAAAACTTCTACTGCATAGGAGGAGGACCTCCATCCATTCTTTTTGAATCTTGGCTCTTCCCTTGAAGTTCAGTATCCTTCTTGGCCACATCTGAAAAGGAGACTATATCCTCTATTGGAATAAGTTAATGTCTCAACCTGTTTTTGCCTGTAGAAGTTTAGGAATCCAAGAGTTATTTTAAAATTTGATAATAACAGTCGTTCATTTTTAGCTGATGGTTCATTTGGCAGTGCAATTCACTGAAAAAAGATTTTTTTTGGCTTTTTACCTACTTGATGGCAATTTTTTCTACATGCCAATAGACACATCAAAAAGTATAGAGTATTTTAAAGATTAAAGATATGTTCTATAAATTTCATTCTCATTATGTTTAATTTATAAGGATAATGTGAAAGAAGCTCACTATTAGTTTATTTTCACTAAGCCATTTTAGTCAATTGAAAGGATTTATCATGAATCAACTGAAATTATTCAGAGGCTATAGCAAATAATAAGATTGGCATGCCCTCAAGTTGGCTTTTGCTTTAAGGTTGCCTTAATTATTTGTCATTGTTTCTCAAAGCATTTCTTGATTTTTTTCTTACCTTTTTGTTATGAGAGTTGCATCTTTCTATACTGTAGCTACTGAAATTTTTGGATTCTCTTTTCCCTTTTAGCATGCTTGCTGGCCAGTTAATTGTTTTCTGAGTTTTTGTTTTTTTTTGTTTTTTAAATACCCAATCAGATGTAGCTGATAGAAACTATGTGAAGCCCAGTAACCATCAACTTATTATCTTCCTTAGGTGACATATCACAGTAACAGTTTTACTACATTTTCTGTACTAAATACTACAGGTGACAGTTTTACTCAATGTTCTGTCACTGGATAACATGGCTTTCTATCATTTGAGTGTTCAACAGGAGCTTACTTAAGACCACATTTGATCCCATGTATTGTAGGATTTTTCTTATGAAAGAAACCTACTTCTACTTACCATTTTCTATATCAGTTGATGTACATCTCTTTATATTTTAGTAAAACAAATGGATATAAGAATAAAGTTTTATTTCTCTCTCATAACTAATTAGATTGTAACAGCTCTAGTTTCCTATGGTTCTTCTCTACATGTCTTCTTTATTTTAGGATCCAGGCTTAAATGCTATACTAATGGAAGAGTTTAAAAAAATAAAAACTGAATATTTCAGAGGAATATTCAAAGATTAGCCTAGAATGTGATATACATTTTGTCTTTCTACAGTCCATTGTCCAAAGTAAGACACATGGCCAAATCCAGTGTCACTGGCACGAGAATATTTGTTTCTCTTACAGTGAGGCACTTGAAGTCACACGCTAACAGAGGAGTGTTTTTAGATTGCAATAAAAGAATGTTTTGAAAAAGTGTTTTGAAAAAGTACTGCAAACTACCATAGTAGGAAATGGTGGTGTGCAACTTTAATTGAAGACTTAAGGTAAGACTTAATGAGAAGATAAGATTTAAGCAATACTTTAATGAAGAAGAGAGTATAGGCCACATCGGTACCAGGATTTACAGCCTATATAAAGACTCTGAATTAGGGACATATCTCCCATATTGAGGAAAAGTAGAGAGACCCATATGTCTGGAGCTGAGTTAGGGAAAGTATACTCAGTAAGAGTTTAAAAACAAATATAGCCTTACAATTCCTGTGTAAATATATTCCTTCCTATGGATAATGTCTACATCCCCATTATTCCATATTAAGACTCTTGAAATAGCCTCTCAATGTTTCTCATGTCTCGAGTTTCACTTACTCCTATGTCCACGCTCCACACTATTAAAAATGCAACTCAGACTGTCACTCTTGTGTTCAAAATCTTCTTCTTTCTCCCCATTAGGTACTATAATATTTATAATTCTTTAAAATGGTTTACAACGTTCTTCATTATCTAACTTCAGTATCACAGATACAAGTTAAGTATCTGTTATTCTAAATGCTTGCAACAAGAAGTTTTTAAGATTTTGGATTCTTTTGAATTTTGGCATATTTGCATTGTACTTACTGGCTCAACATCCCTAATTCAAAAATCTAAAATCCAAAATGCTCCAATGAGAATTTCCTTTGAGCATCATGTTTGTTAGTGCTCAGAAACTTCAGATTTTATCAATCACACAATCAGACATGAAATAATCCTCATCAATGCAAAAGAACCAAAATAATACCAACCATTCTCTCAGACCACAGCACAATAAAAATAGAATTCAAGACTAAGAAAATCACTCAAAACCATACAGTGCATGAAAATTAAACAATCTGCTCCTGAATTACTTTTAGGTAAATAATGAAATTAAGGCAGAAATCAAGAAGTTCTTTGAAACTAATGAGAATAAAGATACAACATACCAGAATATCTGGGACACACAACTAAAGCAGTGTACAGAGGATAATTTATAGCACTAAACGCCCACATCAAAAAGTTAGTTAGAAAGATCTAATTGACAACTTAACATCACAACTAAAAGAACCAGAGAAGAAAGAGAAAACCAACCCCCAAGGTAGCAGAAAACAAGAAATAACCAAAGTCAGAGCTGAACTGAAGGAGACTGAGACACACAAAAAATTAGAAAGATCAACGAAGCCAGAATATGCTTTTTGGAAAAAAATAGTAAGATAGCTAGCCAGACTAATAAAAAAGAAACGAGAGCATATCCAAGTAAACACAATCAGAAATTCAGAAATGACAAAAGGGATATTACTACTGAACCCACAGAATTAAAAATAACCATCAAATACTATTATGAACACCTCTATTCACACAAACTAGAATTCTCAAAGAAACGAATAAATTCCTGGATACTACACCCTCCTAAGGCTGAAACAAGAAGAAATTGAATCCCTACACAAACCAATAAGAAGTTCCAAAATTGAATCAGTAATAAATAGTCTACCAACCAAAAAATGACCAGAACCAGATGAATACACAGTTGAATTCTACCAGATGTACAAAGAAGAGCTAGTACCATACCTACTAAAACTATTCCAAAAACTGAGGAGGAGGGATTTCTCTCCAACTCATACTATGAGTCCAGCATCATCCTGATACCAAACCTGGCAGAGACCCAACGCAAAAGTAAAACTTCAGGCCAATATCCTCAATAAACATTGATGTAAAAATTCTCAACAAAATACTAGCAAACAAAATTAAGCAGCATATCAAAAAGCTAATCCACCATGAACAAGTAGGCTTTATCCCTGGCATGCAAGATTGGTTCAACATACACAAATCAATAAAAGTGATATATCCCTTAAACAGAACTAAAGACAAAAACCACATGATCATCTCATTAGATAAATAAAAGGCTTTCAATAAATTTTACCATCCTTTCTTAAAAACTCTCAACACACTAGGTATTGAAGGAACATACCTCAAAATAAACATTAAACTGAATAGGCAAAAGCTAGAGGCATTCCCCTTGAACACAAGTACAAGACAAGGATTCTCTCTCTCACCACCCCTTTTCAAAATAATATTGGAAATCCTTACCAGAGCAATCAGCCAAAAGAAAGAAAGGGCATCCAAATAGGAAGAGAGGAAGTCAAACTATCCCTGTTTGCAGATGACATGATTCTATATCTAGCAAACCCCATAGTTTCAGCCCCAAAGCTCCTTAAGCTGGAAAACAACTTCAGCAAAGTTTCAGGATACAAAATCAAGGTACAAAAATCACTAGCATTCCAATAAACCAAGAACAGCCAAACAAAGGCCAAACTAGGAACATAACCCCATCACAATTGTGACAAAAAGAATAAAATACCTAGGAATAGAGCTAACCAGAAAGGTGAAATATCTCTATAGTGAGAACTACAAAACACTGCTCAAGGAAATCAGAGATGACACAAACAAATGTAAAAACATTCCATACTCATGGATAGGAAGAATTAATATTTCAATGGCTATATGGTCAATGCAATTTACAGATTCAGTGCTACTTTTATTATACTACCAATGACATGTTTCACAGAACCAGAAAAAGACTATTTTAAAATTCATATGGAACCCAAAGAGAGCCCTAGCCAAGGCAATCCTAAGAAAAGAAGAGCAAAGCAGGAGTCATAAAACTACCCAACTTCAAACTCTACTACAGGGCTACAGTAACCAAAACAGCATGGTACTGATATAAAAACAGAAACATAGACAAATGGAACAGAGTGGAGAGCCCAGAAATAAGGCCACACATCTAAGACCATCTGATCTTCAACAATGCTGACAAAACAAGCAATGGGGAAAGGCTTCCTAGTCAATAAATGGTGCTGGCATAATTGGCTAGTGATATGAAGAAAACAGAAACTGGACCCCTTCCTTACACCACATATAAAATCAACTCAAGATGGATTAAAAACGTAAATGTAAAACCTAAAACTATCAAATGCCTGGAAGAAAACTTAGGCAATACCATTCTAGACATAGGAATGAGCAAAGATTTCATGACAAAGATTCGAAAAGCAACTGCAACAAAAGCAAAAACTTTTGGCATCTAATTAAACTAAAGAGCTTCTGCATAGCAAACTGCCAACAGAGTAAACAAATAACCTATAGAATGGGAGAAAGTAATTGCAACCTATGCATCTGACAAAGGCCTAATATCCAGTATCTTTAAGAAACTTAAACGTTCAAGCAAAAAACAAACAATCCCATTAAAAAGTGGACAAAGAATGTGAACAGACACCTTTCAAAAGAAGACATACATGTGGCCAACAAGCATATGAAAAAAAGCTCAACATCACTGATTATTAGAGAAATGCAAATCAAAACCACGATGAGACACCATCTCACACCAGTCAGAATGGCTATTATGAAAAAGTCAAGAAATTACAGATACTGGCAAGATTGCAGAGAAAAGGGAATTCTTATACACTGTTGGTGGGAGTGTAAATTTGTTCAACCATTGTGAAAAGCAGTGTGGCGATTCCTTGAAAAGTTAAATACAGAACTACCATTCAACCCAGCAATCCCATTACTGGGTATATACCCAAAGGAATATAAATCATTCTGTCATAAAGACATGTGTATGCTCACTGCAGCACTATTCACAATAGTAAAGACATGGAATCAACCTAAATGCCCATCAACAGAAGACTAAATAAAGAAAATATGGTACATATATGCCATGGTATACTATGCAGCCATAAAAAGAATGAGATCATGTCCTTTGCAAGAACATGGATGAAGCTGGAGGCCATTATCCTTAGCAAACTAACACAGGAACAGAAAACCAAATACCACATGTTCTCATTTATAAGTGGGAGCTAAATGATGAGAACACATGGACACAAAGAGGATAACACACACTTGGGCCTACCAGCAGTGGGAGGATGGAAGGAGGGAAAGGTTTAAGAAAATTAACTATTGGGTACCAGGCTTAGTACCTGGATGACAAAATAATCTGTCCATCAAATCCCGGTGACACAAGTTTACCTATATAACAAATCTGCACATGTACCCCTGAAACTAAAATACAAGTTAAACAAAACAGAAACTTCAGATTTTGGAGCATTTCAGATTTTGGATGTTCGCTACCCTGTACTCCAAGGTTAAGTTCTGTTATTTCCTCCATTCTCAATCTATCCTCAGAATTGCATACTTCAAACCTACAGAATAATTAATAACCCATTGAATGTTCTATGTTGTATTCCTAGCTGAGTTTGTAATGCTTTCCCTCAGCATGGTTCAAACATATATTTGCATGAAGAATATGTAATTATTTTTAAAAATATAATCAAAGTCTCACCTCTGTGGAGAAAATGCTATGCATTCTATGGGTTTCAACAAATATGTTAATGACATGTGTCCACCATTATATCATTCTGAGAATTTTCACTGACCTAAAAATCCTGTGTGCTCTGCCCATTCATCCTTTCCTGCCCCAACTACTTGACGCCACTGATCTTTTTAATGTCTCCATAGTTTTGCCTTTTCCAGAATGTCATACAGTTGAAATCATACAGTATGCAGCTTTTCAAATTGGCTTCTTTCACTTAGTAATATGTATTTACATTCCCTTTATGTCTTTTCATGGTTTGACAGCTCATTTCTTTTTAGCTCTGAATAATACTCTATTGTCTGGATGTAACACAGTTTATTTATCTTCTTGTCTACTGAAGGACATCTGGGTTGCTTCTAAGTTTTGGCAATTATAAATAAAGCTGCTATAAACATCTGTGTGCAAGTTTTCGTGTGGACATAATTTTTCAGTTTCTTTGGGTAAATATCAAGCAGTGTGATTTTTAGATCTATGATAAGAGTATGTTTAGTTTTGGAAGAAACTGCTAAACTGTCTTCCAAAGTAGCTCACCATTTTGCATTCTCACCAACTATTGAGAGTTCTTGTTGCTCCACATCGTTGCCAGCAGTTGGTGTTGTCAGTGTTCTGGATTTTGGCCATCTTAATAGGTCTGTGGTGGCATCCTACTGTTGTTATAATTTGCATTTCCTTGCTTACATATAATGTGAAGCATCTTTTATATGCTTATTTGCCATCTGTATATCTTCTTTGGTGAGGTATCTGTTTGTCTTTGGCCCATTTTAAAAATGTTATTATTGTTGAGTTTCAGAGCTTTTTGTATATCTTAACAGTCCTTTATCAGATATGTCTTTTGCAAATCTTTTCTCCCAGTCTATACATTATCTTTTCATTCTCTTGACACTATCTTTCACAGAGCAAAGATTTTTAATTTTACTGAAATCAAGTTTATCAATTCTTTCATGGATTGTGCCTTTGGTGTTACATCTAAAGAGTCATCTCCTAACCCAAGGTCATATAGATTTTCCCCTATATTATTTTATAGGAGATTTATAGTTTTGTGTTTTACATTGAATTCCGTGATAAATTTTGAGTTAATTTTTGTGAAAGGTATAATGTCTGTGTCTAGATTATTTTTTTTGCATGTGAATGTCCCGTGGCACCATTTTTGAAAATACTATCTTTTCTCCAATGCATTGCTTTTTCTCCTTTGTCAAAGATTAATTATCTGTATTTATGTGGGTTTATGTCTGGGCTCTGTATTCTGTTCCATGGATTTATTTGTCTATTTTCTTTTTGCCAATACAACACTGTCTTGATTACTGAGGTTTTATAGTAAGCCATGAAGTTGGGTGGTGTCAGTCCTCCAACTTTATTCTTCTCCTTTATTATTGTTTTGACTGTTATGTTTTGATTTACTTTTTTCTCCTGTGAAATCTTCATTGTTTTATGTTCTATATGTGTCCATTATATATTGCCCTAATAATTCTGTATAACAAATAATCACAAAGCCTTAATGGCATATAATAATGATTATTATTAACTCAGTGATCTTAGCTAAATTCATATTATCTGAGGTCTGCGGATGGGTTGGGTGGGAACAGTGTGGTCAAGGATGACCTTACAGCTTGCTCGCATGGGAGAGGTAGCATTCAGAAAGAGTAGAAATGTGCAAAGCTTTTTTTTTTTTAGTATGAATAAGTTCATATATATATTTAATTTTTTATTTCTATGGGCACATTGTAGGTGTATACTTTCGTGGAGTGCATATGATGTTCTGATATAGGCATACAATATATAATAATCACATCACAGTAATTGGAGTATTCATCACCTCAAGTATTATCTTTTTGTATTAAGAACGTTCCAATACTGATCTTCTAGTTATGTTAAAATATACACTGAATTATTGTTGATCATAGTCACCATGTTGTGCTATAAAATACTAAATCTTATTCATTCTTTCTAACTATATTTTTGCACCCACAAACAATCTTGACTTTTCCCTCCCTCCCCACAATCCTTCCCAGTCTCTACAAGACTTCTTGAGGCCTATGTTTGGAACCACCACACTGTCACTTCCATCACATTCTATTTTCCAAAACAAGTTAAAAACTAGTTCAGATTCAACTGTTGTGCAATGTCACACTAAAAGAGGCTTGGCTCTAGTGAAATAATTAATTAAAACCAAAGATATAATCAGCATATCACATTGCATACTTATTTGTATACTTTGCTTATAATCAGTCTCCTTTGTTGGAATCTAAGCTCTGAAAAAAGAATTTTGTCTGTTTTGTTCAATGTCTTATTCAAAATGCCTGTAATTTGCCTGGCACATAACAAAAATTCAGTAATTATTTGTTGAATAAATGGATGAATGGAAACCTTCACAACACCTTTACAGAGGCTGTAAGCTCTATAAGATCAAATACTCTGCCATTATTAAAATTTTGTTTATACCTGATATGATGCTAGGCAAATAAAGGATATGTAATAAAAGTTTCTTGGATGAATAAATGAATAAAAAATAGCAATAGGTCCTAGAAGGGAAATGAAAGAGAAATTTCCTCCCAATGGTATCAACTTGCTTTTATAAATGAATTTTTCCAAATGTTTTTTTCTGATTCAAATAATTTGGAAATAGTCTTTCTAACAAAAGATGGACTTCAGTGCTTTTGAAATAATTATGGAAGTTTTCAGGTGCATACGGCATATAAAGATGAGAAAGCAGCATCTGCATATGGCTATGGAGGAAAATATGAACATTAAGATGTCCACCTAATTGGGAAGATTAATTGTAATTGTAGAAATTAAACTATAATTTGGGTTCCAGGATTATCCCTCGAGTTTCATTAAGGTTAACATGACTCACCCGTAATTGCTTCTATCAACACAGCTTTGCCAGACTGCCAGACAGAAGAGCCTATTGGCTTGGTTTAAGTCCAGGTCTCTCACAGACAAATGACCTAAAGAAGTACCATCCTTTTACTCTAACATTAGCCTGAAGAAAATTTTAACCTGATTTCTTGACTGTCAAGTTAAGTGAAAGGAATTTGGAAAAACAGACTACTTAAAATATTCCTTTATTTTTAGTTTCTTGAATCAGATAATTTTTTTATAAACTAATTTAAAAATACATAGTGTTATGGTTTTATTGGTTTTATGCACTTTATGAAGATTCACTGAGCTGTGCCTTCTTGATTTATACTCTTGTATATATCATTTTATATTTATATACTTTTATATAGTTATATCATATTTTAATAAAATATAAACAACTAATATATTTTTATGTGCATATTCTTAAGAGATTTAAAGCACTTGTGAAATACATCAAAATTTGAAACTAATGGAAGTATGTGTTTAATTTATATTACTTTTGAAACTTATTAACCAACCTGAACTGCAATGTATTACATTAAATTGGTAACATGAATGAACTTTTGAATATACCCTAATTTAGAAAAAACACAAAACTTAATTCCCATTTCCTTTGAATGCCATGAAATGCATTATTGGCTTTCCACATCTCCTTTTTGCCTCTACTTCAGCCTACTAAAGTGGTTTTTCGTATTATTTATGAATTTCTTTATAAATACAGTCTGTTTTTCTCACCATAGTGAGGAAAATAAATTAAACCTAAAGTTCAGTATTGGGACATATTATATTTGATTCTGTATAGTATTTGCATTTTATTCCAATGGGAAAGCTGATATGTTTAAGTTTTGAAGTAAAAATTCTATTTATTTGAGGATAATTTATAGATCTTCTCAATATATTCTAAAATCAATTTGTCAAAATGAGGGGAAACACCACATGGCACATGGGTTTAAAACTAAAACACTAGAGATGATTCTACTAGGGACATGATATTTAAGATAATTATTACTCACAGCTATGTAAGTATCTTTCAGTGAGAGACTAAAAAATTTGCCATGTAGCTTGAACCCAGAGGGCGAGGTTGCAGTGAGCCGAATTCGCACCACTGCACTCCAGCCTGGGCAACAGAGCGAGACTCCATCTCAAAAATAAAATAAAATAAAATAAAATAAAATAAAATAAAAAAATAAAATAAAATAAAAAAATAAAATAAAATAAAATAAAATTACATTATCCTTGTAAAGGGGCTGATAAGAGAACCATTGCATTTAGAAGTTAGTTTTAACTGACTGCCAATGTTTACTTTAAGGTTGCAAAAAGAATTTAAGGACTGAATTCATAAAAAGAGCCGAATTTATCTGACTGTACTGTGACAATGGCAGATACATACAAACCTCCTATTCAGGCCCTTAGCTAAGTTCCAATTTCATGAGTTAGACATTCTGAGACAAAGCAGAAAGAAAGGTGTTAAAGATTAGACTTGCAAATTTCAAAATACATAGTGTCAGTCTAGTGATGTTTAAACATCCATTTAGAATAACTCACAGAGGAACTGTAGCATATTACAAAGTGGAATCATGAATATGCAATCGGCAAATGGTTCTGGAGCCTGATCACCATCTCTGTCAATTACAGCAGTCACTTTCTGTGATGGTACCTTGGCACTTTGACAGTGATTATACCTTTACGTGATGTATTGCAGATATTATGCTTCAGTTGTTTATAAATAGAACCATATCTTTCTTACTGTTTCGCTGTAAGAATAGAGTGTTTTAAGTAAGGAAAATATTCCCCATAATAAATTTTCCACTTAAGTCACTCATGCATGATCAGGCTGGGAATATTGTATGATGCCACTACCACATGATAAAAGCAAGTTCCCAAATCCCTCTTTTTATTATTCCTAAATGCAAAGTAATGTGGAGCTGTTTTCAAGGTAACTGAAAAGAACCTGCACAAAGGATTCATTTACAACATAGTGTCCATCACTCTAAAGGAGTAGGCTAGTAAAAAGAGAAATCCATTTTAAAACCTGAAGCAAAATGCCAAGAAAGAGGTATACAGATGTCAATCAAGGCAAAAATGATCTGGCTGTGAGGTAGTTTGGCTTACTCCTTATCCTAACCAAACATTGTCTATTAGCTTATTTGTAGCCATCAACTTTGTGTATACATGGAAACTCAAGTGGTTTTCTTACAAAATAATATTCTCCAAAGCCCATTTGCTTATGTTTGAGGTAAAACTATTAGCGAGACTAAATTATCAGATAATTCCTCAGCTTCTCACTTAATTTTGTCTATATATCCATATAAATAAAAGCTCCAATAGTTAAGGCTGCTACAGGGTATCTGAACGTACTCAGATACCTATAAATACCAAGGAATTTACTATCATGCAGATAATACATATGAATATTATATTTACTTCTTTGCAAATTTTTTACCCACATAAGTTTTTATAGAGCCAACTTTATATTTAGCCGTTACTCAGGAGGTCCAGAAATTCACAGTTATGGAACACTACAGCTAAATTAAACTGTGGAAATCATATTGTTCAAATCACTTTACTCTCACCACCTTCCTCTGCAAAAATTTTCCAGATGAGAACGAAATTTGCTGCAGGTCACATAGCTAGTGTCAAAAGCAGGTCTTCAAATTAGAGCTCTTGTTTCACAATCAAGTGCCATTTTCAAAAAACCACAGTCTTTTTATATGTTTAACATAATGATATAAAGGAATAGTTCTGAGAGATGGAGGGAGGTAGAGAAGGGGGAGAAGTAAACCATGGGACTATGTTTCCTTGACAAAACTGTAGTCTTAGACTTAACACACAAAGCTACAGAAATAATCCATGGCTTGAAAATGTTCTCTCACAGTTATGGGATCTTCCCCCCAGAGTAGATGAACAAAACCTTGGTACGGGACTTTAATAAACAAAACAAACAAAAGCAATTAGAATGGATTTAAGATATTCTAAAAATAAATGCTTACATTTCAACTCATCTTTTCTTGGTAAAGTCTTTCCACAGTCCACCACCATTAGGCTATACAAGGGGAAATACTGCACAAAATAACAAACTAAAATTTAATGTTTATTTCAAGGAAATGTTTTTACATCTCTCTTGAGAGATGTAAAAAAAAAAAGTGAGAAGAGAGAATGTGAAAACTGCTGCCCAAAAGTGAGCAATATAAGAAAAAAATGGTGTGGCAATTGTGCTTCATAAGTATCAAACAAGAACAAATAGCAAGAGCATAGTATGCAAAAAGGTAGACGAAGTACACAGTGCTGAAGAAAATATTCACGAATCAAGAGTTATATCCAATCACTGCAAAATGTAGAATAATTTGGTATGACTAATTTAGTAAGCTTCGACTTTAAGCATAGGATTGAAAGGTATATTTAATTGAGATTGCAGACTTGCAAAAACATAGAAAATCACTAAAGAACAATAATCTCAAACTGACAAATAAACACAGCCAAAACTTTAGTTACTTCTGAAATTCTCATCATAGAGAAAAAGATTGGAATAACTCTAACCAATGTAGATAAAGAAGGCAAATCAATTAGGCCATTCAGAAAGAACCTGATAAATCCAGAATATAGATAAGCCTAATGAAAATAGTTACGTTTGAAGTAGGAAAGTCATTAAATGAAATCGCAGATACATTTAAATACTTATGATAATTTCTCCTATAGTGAAGAAAGAACTGTATCTGTAAATCAAAAAGTACAGTATTTTAAAAAAGTAAAATCAGACACACAACATCAAGAAAAAGCAGTATTTACCAAGTTCTAAAGACAACCAATTGTGATCCAGCTCAAACCTCATTCTGGTGTGAGGATAAAGTTGTAGATGCTCAACTATAAAAAACAACCCCATGAATAATAATGAGTAATATAGCATGAATCTTTCTTATAAACAATAAAACAAAACAAAAACCCAGGAGTGATAAATTTGAGCTAATTAAAAGGTAAATAAGAAGTCAAAATAATAGTGGAATGGAAAGCCATCATAAAATGATTGTAGATGACATGTGATTCCATTTAAATAGAGAACAGATACAAGATAATTTCTCAAGTTGTGGCTATATAATCAAAGTTAATGTTATGAAACATATAAAATGGAATTAATAAACTAAGGGCATGAGGCAAAGGATCTAATGTCCTTATTTTTCATATCAAAGTGAAGAGATATTGTTTAAATTTGAAACACCATATTAAAAAAGGAAAAAGAAAAGAGATTACAACCACTTACTGTTCTTCATAATCTCATTTCTTACCTTAGGGAGAAAATTGCTTTTAAGATAGAACCTCATATAATAAAGAAATATTTAGCTGATGGTCAATAATTCCTTTATTTTTACTTAAGTTTGATTTTAAAATTAGCTTCTGGAGTGTTCACTTCGGCAGCACATAAAGTAAAAATTAGCTTGTGAGCATTATGAAGTAAAATGGTTGAATTTACCTTCCCACCAAAACAATTAAAAAGCTGAACAAATACAGGACAGAAATTTTTTTAGAATTTGGACAGCAAGCAGCAAAAGACTGTAGTCACTGAGAGAAGCCACATAAGCAGGGTGAGCCCCAGGATCCCACTAGCTTTATTTCTAGAGAAAAATTCTTAACCACACTTAACCATGATATTAAATGGACGACAAATAGAGCGCAGTGGATATGTTGAGTTGAGAAAACAGGGATCAGATTTGAGGGAGGGTGAAATGACTAAAAACTGGGGAGATGCTGTAGAGGGGAGGGAATTACTAAGGAAACAAGCCCTAGAAATCTGTACAGGGATCCCCTTGAATACTAAGCTATGCATGGATGAGGTGGAAGTTTAAGATTAGTAAAACGACCCCTAGTAAGCAGAAAGGTAAAAACTTCTCAGCTTTCATAGTGCTGTGAGCCACCTGAGCTCTGGAAAGGCGGAGTGAATATTTGTTGATCACTCAGTACATTCAGCAGAAACCAGAAAAGAACTATAGTATGGTAGTAGGGATTACCCATCCCCAGAGTAAGAACTATTCCAAATGAGCTCTTACAAAAGGCTTTAAAATAAGCCTGCAAGTAATCAAATTGATCCACAAGTAACAGCTGCATGCCTGTACAAAATCCAACATTTTAAAGGAAGACAACAGACCTAACACACAGCAACATACATTCAAAATATTGCAATTCCCGTAAAATAGGTATAATGATGACAAGAAGTGGAAATATGTGAGCCTTACCCAGTAGAAAATCAAACAATGAAATTATCACGGAAAGACTTTGAAACAAATATTATGTTTAATGTGCTCAAAATGTAAAGTTATACAAGAAAATAATGAAGGAAAATAAAAATTATTTTAAAAGGACAAAGTAGAACTTCTAGAGTGAAAAAAATAAAAAATTTACTGGATACATTTAACATTAGAATAGATACTGCAAAAATAAGAAAAAAAGACTGAAAAAAATTGTACAGAGCTTCAAGTGTATGTAGTATCAGATGGTCTAACATATGGGTCTTTAGAACACAAGAAAAAAGGAAGACAAGCATAAAATTTTTGAAGAAAATAACATCTATGGTTTCCAGGTTTAAATAAAACTCCAACCTTACTTATTTAATAATTTTACTAAACGCCAAGGAGGATAAACACAGTGAAAACCACATTAAGTAGTGCCATAATCAAATTGCTAGAAAACAGTGCTACAAAATCTTTAAAGCAATAAATACTTCTGACTTCAGCTCCTACACGGAGTTTGGAAGTTGTGACTCTCATCTCTACACCAAAGAAAAAACTCAACAAACTGAAAATCAGTGAGTTTTCTCGGACTCATCAGAGAAGAAATTATTTGCAGGATAAAATTTATCACCACAAAATGTAGAGACATGTGAATCAAGAGTCACAGTACAAATCTTCTTACCTGGAGTGAAAACCACTGGAGCCATAAATTGATAAATACACTTAATTGGTCATTTTGATGAAATGTTGATGGCTGATTGCAGATGAGTTTAAGAATGAGAAACTGCTGGGGCTGCAATAGGCAGGGGGAGTGGAAGGGCAGGTGGAACATTGTGTGTCTTACCTCCAGGAACCCTACCAGGACCTCATAGTGAAGATCTGAAAAAGATCCTTTTGTGGCTCTAGCAGAAGAAGGGAAAAAGAAATAAGCTAACAGCATCCTTCTATTACAAACGCCTACTGTCCACAGGATAAAGCTTTGCCATAGCTTTATCCTACTTGGAGGAATGGGCTTACTCTCACTGCAACCCTCTTGAGCCTTCCTGTTTCATGCACAGTGAAAGAAGGAATTTAAGAAACACTTGTGAAGGTCAGAGCCAGGAGCACAGGCCCAATAAAATAGCAAAATTTAATTTTAATATTACAGAATGCTTCCTCTCCTTCACAACTTACCACCAAAAAAACAGGGCTCTAAAATAATACATTGTATTTCAGCTAAAAGAGTTGTGAGACAAAGATTATTTGAGGAGGAATACTGAGGGAAGCCCAAGTCAACCAGTGACACAAAAATAAGGTCACTGGAGAAATTTGAAACCTCTGACACCTGCAGACGCATACACATTAAGCACAGCCCATCAGATATTAAATACAGTTTAAAGCACCCAGATTAACAAAAACCTTTACACTAAACGTGTACTTCAGTTTTTATTACCTGATACATCATGTCTGACTTTAAACATGGCAAAAGGCAAGAACGAACAGATTCTGAAGAGAAAAAAAGTATCAAAACCAGATGCAGATATAAAGTTGACAATGAAATTATCAGAGAGGGGATTAAAATGAACTATAATTAATATATTAAAGGCTTTAATGGAAAAAGTAGAAAATTTTTTGTGAAGTTTATATGAGAAGATAAAAGACCTAGAATAAATAATCAACCTAATAATGAAGAAGAACAAATTTGGAGGACTGACACTACCAACAAAAGGAATCAGGGCTTCTTAGAGAAATATCTAATTCTAAGACGTGGGCAGTTAATATGCAAGATGAGTTTTTGGCATCTTATAGTGTTTGAAAATGAAGAAAAATTTAAAAAGTGAAACAAACATACTAAACACAATGATGTATTATGTCAAAGGGACTAAGAGTCACCTGAAAGAGCTCCCATTGTCCAAAGCTGGAAACATCTGAACAGTAAAATAAAAGGTGGTATTGTATTATAAGCCAAAGTATAAAGTACCCATGTAATTATCCATGAATCCATATTGATATGAATAAATGACTGAACAAATAGAGATGAATGTCAAATAATATATGTAGATACTCTACCTTCAAAGAGGTGAAGCATAAATCTTTATTACTCAATTGTGAATTATGCGTAGTGACTTGCTTCCAAATGGTGCTATATAACAAGGGAGGAAAAAGAATAACTTTACAGTAAGAAAATCTGCAATTGCTACCTCATCCAGGTAATCATGGTTTACATCTACAATGTTATGTACACTTGGCATACTGTGATAAAATAGCTTTTCCACGATGATTTACCTCCATGCCTTACTTCTGTGCCTTCCCTCCATGTATCCCCATCATCCCAGTCTAATTATAGGAAAGCATCATACAACTCTCATTGTGGGAAATACCTGACTGTACTCTAGAAAACTGTCAAGGTTATAAAAACATGATTATCAAAATTCTTGTCTGAGAGTGTCACAGCCAAGAGGAGCTTAAGAAGACATGATGACCAAAAGTAATTTGGTATTCAGATGAAATCCTGGAACAAAAAAGAACATTATGAACAAAATCTGAATAGAATATGGATGTATTTAATACTAATGTATAAATATTGCCTAATTAATTGTAACAAATTTACCACACTAATGTAAGATGTTAAAACAGGAAAAACCTGCATTTATGGGGGTAATGGCAACTCTGTACTCTCTTCACAATTTTTCTGTAAATCTAAAATGGCTCTAAAATTAACAGTTTATTTTGAAAAAGAGAGAACAGGTAAACTTATAAAGACAGGAACAAAACTAAAATTAATACAGACTGTTCATTAGACAGTAGGAAAAAATGCTTGAAGAGCTGAAAGAAGAAAACCATAAACTTAAAATTTTATATTCATCAAAAATGTACTCCAGATCCTTCCTATTACATATAGAAACACGACATAAATGTTAACTATCAGTCTTCCTATCAGCATTGTACTGATGAACTAACTCATCAAACAAAAAGAAATATGAGCTATTAGGTTGGGAAAGTGTGATAGATTGAATTTCAGCCCAAATTCTTTCTCCCCTCTTTATATCTGTTCTTTTCGTATACAAGTTTCAAGTACTGTCCAAGTCTGGGCAGGAAATTTTACTCAGCCCTTAATGTTGTGATTCATAGCTTTGGCCACGTGCTGTTTGTAAACAAGACACAAATAGAGACTTCGCACATACTTAGATAATTGGACTTGTTTACCTTTGCACCTCTACTTTCACCATGAGAACTTGCCCAAGTTATTCTGAAGAATGAATGTGGGACATATGGAGCTTCACTGCATAGCCAGCCAACTGTAGACAGAAAATGTAACTCAGGAAGACACAAACAAACAAACAAACAAAACACAAACCAAACAAACAAAAATCCCACCAAACCTAAATCTCTGATTTTCAAATTCACAATATGAATAATTATTAGAACAGTGAGTTTAAAGTCAACTTTCTACATAGTATTATTGTGGTAATACGTACTAATACAGAAAGAGTAAATTTTTATTCTAAGATGATATAATTTCATGTAGAAAATTCAAAATAATCTACAGACCATTATAATTCAAAAATGGATTAAAGAAGTTGGGTGGATCCAAGGTTAATGTAGAAAATTTATTTGTGTTTGTATATGCCAACAATAAACAATTATAAATAAAAATTTAAAATATGATTAATAATTTCATAAAAATTCACATAGTAATGATGCAGTAAAAGATATACAAGACTTTTATTCTAAAAATGTTGAAATGTTATTTGGAGAAACTAAAGAATACTTAAAACATTAGAAAGTTTATGAAAGTTCAATATTGTTAAGATGCCAAATTACTAAATATTGATCTATAAATTTAATATAGTTGCAATCAACATGTCAGCAATTTTTTTGGTGAAGATTGATGAGCTGATCATAAAACTTATATAGAAACAAAAGTTCCCCCAAAAAACGAAGACAATCTTAAATAGCAAAGAACAACATTAGAGGTCTTATATTCTCAAATTTCAAGACATGATAAAGTTATATTAATTGAGGAGTTAATTGTGCATTGTTAGACAAATAGACCAATGGACAGAAAAGAAAACCTAGAAATATACCCACATATTTCCAGTCACTCCAATATAGTCACCTAATTAGAGCAAAAGAGGATGGACTTTTCTGTAAGTGACAGTAGAATGTTTGGTTATCTATATGGAAAAATTATGAACCTTGAGATTTACTTCATACTATTCTTAAATATAAATGTGAATTTGATCTTAGACCTAAATCTAAAATTAAAGCAGTCAAACTTGTGTGGGGAAAAAAAAAAACAGAATATATTCCTGACTTAGGATTACGCAAAGGTTTCTTAAACAGGAAAAGCAATGACAACAAATATAAAACTCAACTGAATTACATTAAAATTAAAAACTTCTGTTTCTCAAAATCATGATTAAGAATTGAATAAGCAAGCCACAGACTGGAAAAAAATATTTACAATACAAGAATCTGGTAAAAGGCTTATATCCAGAATGCATAATACACTCCTACAAAACAATCAGGAAGAGGTAAACAATCCAAATTTTAAAATGGCAGAGATGATCAGGCAATTCACAAAGTAGCATATTCAAACCAAAGATATATGAAAAGGAACTCAACTACATTACTATCATTATTCATCAGGAAAATGCAAATTAAATTCAAACTAAGATTATAATTACACATTCACCGGAATGTTTAAGTAAAAAATAATGAATACTAAGTGTCAGTGAAAATGCGCAGAATTTTGCTGGTGGAAAGGAACATTTTTACAATCATTTTAGAAAACTCTTTGACACTATCTACTGAAATAAAACATAGACTACTATGTCACATAGCAATTCTTCTAAGTGCATACTCAGATAAATCTGGGCATATAATCACAAAGCACATGTACAATAACCTAATAGAGCTTAATTCATAACAGCTAACACTTAGAAGCAATGCAAATGTCCAACAGCAGAAAAGATAAACAAATTGTGGTATATTCATACAAAGTAACACTGAGCAATCATATTAAAAAGAACAAACTGCTGATATAATAAATAACTTAATAAATCTCTAAAACACTAGGTTGCACAAAGGAAGCCAGGCACAAATGAATATATATTTTATTATTACAACACTATGAATTTGAAAGTCAGGGCAAAATAACCTAATTGTATTTTGTCATCCTAACCTTATACAGGGAATCCAAATTCTCATAAATTCTTGTTCCTGGTAAATAGCCATCTAGCAAGTCCTGATCCTGATTCTCAGCCTCTATTAAGGTCCAGATCAGCAACTATCCTCATGGAAAAATGGTAAGAAATCTTCAGTTGCTTCACCACTCCCTGGAGAACTTTACACCCCTCCCTGTTTTTCCCATGGATTCTTCTTCTTTTTTTTTTCATATTTAATAAAATGTTTTATTTTAAAGTTAATTAATTCATTTAATTATTATACTTTAAGTTTTAGGGTACATGTGCACAACGTGCAGGTTTGTTACGTATGTATACATGTGCCATGATGGTGTGCTGCACCCATTAACTCGTCATTTAGCATTAGGTATATCTCCTAATGCTATCCCTCCCCCCTCCCCCAACCCCACAACAGTTCCCACTGTGTGATGTTCCCCTTCCTGTGTCCATGTTTCTCATTGTTCAATTCCCACCTATGAATGAGAACATGCAGTGTTTGGTTTTTTTGTCCTTGCGATAGTTTGCTGAGAATGATGGTCTCCAGCTTCATCCATGTCCCTACAAAGCACATGAACTCATCATTTTTTATGGCTGCATAGTATTCCATGGTGTATATGTGCCACATTTTCTTAATCCAGTCTATCATTGTTGGACATTTGGGTTGGTTCCAAGTCTTTGCTATTGTGAATAGTGCTGCAGTAAACATACATGTGCGTGTGTCTTTATAGCAGCATGATGATTTATAATCCTTTGGGTATATACCCAGTAATGGGATGGCTGGGTCAAATGGTATTTCTAGTTCTAGATCCCTGAGGAATCACTGTAAATGGGTCTTTTGTTCATTAATCCTGTGAGACTGCAAGAAATTCATCTCTAGTTGTTTTTACCTCCTATCTATCACAGCTTCAAAATTTAACAAAAAATATGGAAGGATAAATTTTCTCTGTGAATGATTCTCCAGTGCTCCAATTTTGTGACTCTTCACTGTGGGACCATCAAAAATTCCTCTTGTTTTTCTGTCTTTCATAAGGATCCTGTCTGTCAGTAGGTTTGTCCTATTTCAGATTCCAAAACTGCATTCCGGTTTAGAATGACCCCAAGGGGATGCAAATTCCCAGCTCACAGCTAAAAACTTATTTCCTATCTGTAATTTTTATTCCTATAGTCCTCATTGCTTCCACCGTTCACTGAATCTTTTTTATTTTTCCCTATCAAATAAATATATATTGACAAATAAAAATTGTTTATATTTAAGATGTATCATGCGATGTTTTGATACGTGTATACATTGTGAAGTGACTACCACACTCAAGCTCATTAATGTATCCATTACCTCATATAGTTACCTTTTGTGTGTGTGGTGAGAACAGTTAAGATCTATTCTCTTAGTAAATTTCAAGTTTACAGTGCATTGTTATTAACTGTAATCATTATGCTGTCTATCAAATCTCTAGAACTCATTCATTTTATAACTAAAATTTGTACCCTTGGAACAAAATTCCTTCATTTCCCTCAATCTCTAGCCCTTGGAGACCACCATTTTACTCCTGTTTCTGTGAGTTAACTTCTTTTGATCCCATATAAAGTGAGACCATGCAGTACTTATCTTTCTGTGTCTGGCTTATTTCACTTGGCATAATGTCGTTTAGGTTCACCATATTGTCCCAAACAGCAGAATTTCCTTTTTTTCTTACGGCAAGTAATATTTCATTGTATATACGCACCACATTTTCTTTATACATTCAACTACTGAGGAACACTTAGGTTGTTTTCATATATTGGCCATTATGAATAATGCTGCAATGAACATGGGAGTGCAGCTATCTCTTCAAGATACTGATTTCAATTTCTTTTGGATATATACCGAGAAGTGGAATTGTTGGATCATATGGCAGTTCTATTTTCAGTTTTTTGAGGAACCTCCATAATGTTTTCCATTATGGTTGTACCAATTTACATTCCTACCAACAATGTACAACTCTTCCCTGTATTTCACACCATTGCCAACACTTGTTATCATTTGACTTTTTGATAATAGCCATCCTAAAAGGTGTAAGGCAATATGTCATTGTGGTTTTGATTTGCATTTCCCTGATGATTAGTGATGTTGAGCACTTTTTCATGTACCTCTTGGCCATTTGTGTGTCTTCTTTGGAAAAAAATGTCTAATCGGGTATTTTGTGTATTTTTTAAATTTGGTTACTTGCTTTTTACTATTAATTTGCATAAATTCACTATATATTTTGGGCACTATTCCCCTACCAGATATATAGTTTGCAAATATTTTTCCCTTTCCATAGGTTACTTTTTCATTTAGTTGATCATTTCCTTTACTTTGTACCAACATTTTAGTTTGGGCCAGATGCAGTGGTTCATGCCTGTAATCCCAGCACTTTGGGAGGCTGAGGCGGATAGATCACCTGAGGCCAGGAGTTCAAGGCCAAACTGGCCAACATGGTGAAACCCTGTCTGTACTAAAAATACAAAAATTAGCCAGGCGTTGTGGCATGCACCTGTAATCCCAGCTACCCAGGAGGCTGAGATATGAGAATCACTTGACCCTGGAAGGAGGAGGTTGCAGTGAGCTGAGATTGTGCCACTGCACTTCAGCCTGGGTGACAGAGTCAGACTCCATCACAAAAAAGAAGAAAAAAAAAAACTTTTTACTTTGATACAATTCCACTTTATTTTTGTTTTTGCTGCCTGTGCTTTTGGTGTTATATTTTAAAAAAATGTTACCAATACCAATGTTAAGGAGCTTTTCCCCTGTTTTCTTCTAGTTTGTTTTTTACCTTTCCAGTTCTATGGGCAAAGGATATGAACAGATACTTCTCAAAAGAAGACATTTATGCAGCCAATAGACACATGAAAAAATGTTCATCATCACTGGCCATCAGAGAAATGCAAATCAAAACCACAATGAGATACCATCTCACACCAGTTAGTCTCTTTTGTACTAATTTTTTGTATGGTTTAAATTAAGGGTACAATTTCATTATTTTGCACAAGAATATAGTTTTTCTACCACCATTTTTATTTTTTGTATTTTTTTGTATTTTTTTATTTTAAGTCCTAGGGTACATGTGCACAACGTGCAGGTTTGTTACGTATGTATACATGTGCCATGCTGGTGTGCTGCACCCATTAACTCGTCATTTACATTAGGTTTATCTCCTAATGCTATCCCTCCTCCCTCCCCCCACCCCATGACAGGCCCCGGTGTGTGATGTTCCCCTTCCTGTGTCCAAGTGTTCTTATTGTTCAATTCCCACCTATGAGTGAGAACATGTGGTGTTTGGTTTATTGTCCTTGCTATGGTTTGCTGAGAATGATGGTTTCCAGCTTCATCCATGTCCCTACAAAGGACATGAACTCATCATTTCCTATGGCTGCATAGTATTCCATGGTGTATATGTGCCACATTTTCTTAATCCAGTCTATCGGTGATGGACATTTGGGTTGGTTCCAAGTCTTTGCTATTGTGAATAGTGCCGCAATAAACATACATGTGCATGTGTCTTTATAGCAGCATGATTTATAATCCTTTGGGTACATACCCAGTAATGGGATGGCTGGGTCAAATGGTATTTCTAGTTCTAGATCCTTGAGGAATCACCACACTGTCTTGCACAATGGTTGAACTAGTTTACAGTCCCACCAACAGTGTAAAAGTGTTCCTATTTCTCCACATCCTCTCCAGCACCTGTTGTTTCCTGACTTTTTAATGATCGCCATTCTAACTGGTGTGAGATGGTATCTCGTTGTGGTTTTGATTTGCATTTCTCTGATGGCCAGTGATGATGAGCATTTTTTCAGGTGTCTGGTGGCTGCATAAATGTCTTCTTTTGAGACGTGTCTGTTCATATCCTTTGCCCACTTTTTGATGGGGTTGTTTGTTTTTTTCTTGTAAATTTGTTTGAGTTCTTTGTAGATTCTGGATATTAGCCCTTTGTCAGATGGGTATATTGCAAAAAATTTCTCCCATTCTGTAGGTTGCCTGTTCACTCTGATGGTAGTTGCTTTTGCTGTGCAGAAGCTCTTTAGTTTAATTAGATCCCATTTGTCAATTTTGGCTTTTGTTGCCATTGCTTTTGGTGTTTTAGACATGAAGTCCTTGCCCATGCCTATGTCCTGAATGGTATTGCCTAGGTTTTCTTCTAGGGTTTTTATGGTTTTAGGTCTAACATTTAAATATTTAATCCATCTTGAGTTAATTTTTGTATAAGGTGTAAGGAAGGGATCCAGTTTCAGCTTTCTACATATGGCTAGCCAGTTTCCCCAGCACCATTTATTAAATAGGGAATCCTTTCCCCATTTCTTGTTTTTGTCAGGTTTGTCAAAGATCAGATGGTTGTAGATGTGTGGTATTATTTCTGAGGGCTCTGTTCTGTTCCATTGGTCTATATCTCTGTTTTGGTACCAGTACCATGCTGTTTTGGTTACTATAGCCTTGTAGTATAGTTTGAAGTCAGGTACAACCTGCTTCTGAATGACTACTGGGTACATAATGAAATGAAGGCAGAAATAAAGGTGTTCTTTGAAACCAATGAGAAAAAAGACACAACATACCAGAATCTCTGGGACACATTTAAAGCAGTGTGTAGAGGGAAATTTATAGCATTAAATGCCCACAAGAGAAAGCAGGAAAGATCTAAAATTGACACCCTAATATCACAATTAAAAGAACTAGAGAAGCAAGAGCAAACACATTCAAAAGCTAGCAGAAGGCAAGAAATAACTAAGATCAGAGCAGAACTGAAGGAGATGGAGACAAGAAAAACTCTTCAAAAAATCAATGAATCCAGGAGCTGGTTTTTTTAAAAGATCAACAAAACTGATAGACTGCTAGCAAGACTAATAAAGAAGAAAAGAGAGAAGACCCAAATAGACACAATAAAAAATGATATAGGGAATATCACGACCGATCCCACAGAAATACAAACTGCCGTCAGAGAATACTATAAACACCTCTACGCAAATAAACTAGAAAATCTAGAAGAAATGGATAAATTCCTGGACACATACACCCTCCCAAGACTAAACCAGGAAGAAGTTGAATCCCTGTATAGACCAATAACAGGCTCTGAAATTGAGGCAATAATTAATAGCCTACCAACCAAAAAAAGTCCAGGACCGGACGGATTCACAGCCGAATTCTACCAGAGGTACAAGGAGGAGCTGGTACCATTCCTTCTGAAACTATTCCAATCAATAGAAAAAGAGGGAATCCTCCCTAACCCATTTTATGAGGCCAGCATCATCCTCATACCAAAGCCGGGCAGAGACACAACAAAAAAAGAGAATTTTAGACCAATATCCTTGATGAACATTGATGCAAAAATCCTCAATAAAATACTGGCATACCGAATCCAGCAGCGCATCAAAAAGCTTATCCACCATGATCAAGTGGGCTTCATCCCTGATGCAAGGCTGGTTCGACATACACAAATCAATAAACGTAATCCAGCATATAAACAGAACCAAAGACAAAAACTACACGAGTATGTCAATAGATGCAGAAAAGGCCTTTGACAAAATTCAACAACTCTTCATGCTAAAAACTCTCAATAAACTAGGTATTGATGGGATGTATCTCAAAATAATAAGAGCTGTTTATGACAAACCCACAGCCAATATCATACTGAATGGGCAAAAACTGGAAGCATTCCCTCTGAAAACTGGCACGAGACAGGGATGCTCTCTCTCACCACTCCTATTCAACATAGTGTTGGAAGTTCTGGTCAGGGCAATCAGGCAGGAGAAAGAAATAAAGGGTATTCAGTTAGAAAAAGAGGAAGTCAAATTGTCCCTGTTTGCAGATGACATGATTGTATATTTAGAAAACCCCATGGTCTCAGCCCAAAATCTCCTTAAGCTGATAAGCAACTTCAGCAAAGTCTCAGGATACAAAATCAATGTGCAAAAATCACAAGAATTCTTATATGCCAATAACAGACAAACAGAGAGCCAAATCATGAGTGAACTCCCATTCACAGTTGCTTCAAAGAGAATAAAATACCTAGGAATCCAACTTACAAGGGATGTGAATGACCTCTTCAAGGAGAACTACAAACCAGTGCTCAACGAAATATAAGAGGACACAAACAAATGGAAGAACATTCCATGCTCATGGATAGAAAGAATCAATATCATGAAAATGGCCACACTAATGGCCCAAGGTAATTTATAGATTCAATGCCATCCCCATTAAGCTACCAATGACTTTCTTCACAGAATTGGAAAAAACTACTTTAAAGTTCATATGGAACCAAAAAAGGACCCGCATTGCCAAGACAATCCTGAGCCAAAAGAACAAAGTTGTACGCATCACGCTTCCACCGCCATTTTTAAAACAGACCATTCTTTGCTTATTATGTATTCTTGGTGACTTGTTGAAGATTAGTTGACCACAATTGTGTGAATTTATTCTATTCTGGGATTTCTGTTATGTTTCCTTGGTCTATGTGTCTGTATTTATGCCAGTACTATACTCTTTTGATGACTAGCTTTATAATATACTTTAAAACCAGATAGTATGAAGTCTCCAGCTTTGTATGTCTCTTCTAATTTTGCTTTGGCTATTTGAGGTTGTTTGTGGTTCTATATGAATTTTAGGATTGCTTTTTCTATTCATGTGAAAAATGTGATTGGAATTTTGATGGAGATTCATTGAATATGTAGATAGCCTAATTACTAACATTAAAATATGTAAAAGTTAAAATATCCTGGCAAAGGCAAATATATAGGTCAATTCAGAATACTCTAATACTGTAAAGTTGGTTTATAAATCATTTTTAACTTCAATATAAAGTTTAAAAGACAGAAGTGCTAAAAATAACATTCGCTACAATATTTTATTAATAAATACACAATAAAAGATATATATTGTGATATTAAAAGCATAACATTTGAAGGTGGAAGAAGAAGCAAAAATGTCAAGTTTTTGTATGCAATTAAACTTAACTTATTTACAGCTTAAAATAGACTGGTATAACTGCAAGGTGTTGTACACCTCTTAGTAACCACAAAGTAAAAACCTATAGTAGATACACACACACACAAAGTAAATAAATATAGAGAAAGAAACTGAAACACACCACTGAAGATCATCAAATCATAATGGAAAATAACCTGAGTCAAAGAAAGGAAAAGGGAAATACAAATGAGTCCGAAAACAATTAGCAAAATGACGCTAGTAAGTCCTTACATATCAATAATTACTTTAAACATAAATGGATCTTAGAGAGTCTAAGTGGATTAGAAAAAAAAAAAGACCTAAGTATATCCTGCTTACAAGAGACTCACTTTAACTTTAAGAATATACATAGGCTGAAAGTGAAGGGATGGAAAAATATTCCTACAAATCTAAACCAAAGAAAAGAGGTGTAGTTTTATTATTTTCAACAAAATAGAGTTCAAGTCACTGATGCTTTTAAATATTTATATCTTTGGTCATTTATCAGGGTTGTTTTTAGTTATTCCCCATGGAGGACTGACTTTCAAAATCCCATCATTCATAGAAGTAAAAGTTATCCCATCCATAATATTTTGAACACAAAGCTGACAGGATTTCTGCTGGATTAGATGTGAGTTTTGAGAGAATCAAAATATGACTTCAAGTTTTGAGTTTGAGCATTTAACAGAGGACAGTTGCTATTTACTGAGAAAGGTACAGTAACTCAGAAAAATAGAAATAGGCAAATATGTAACAGGAACATAAATTAATCAAAATAGAGCAAAGTGCTAGAGAAAAGATCAAAAAGGAAGTTCTTTAAAAGACTGATATAATAAACAATTTTATAAAGATTGAACAAGAAAAATGTCAGATGCCAAGGCTATCAACAAAGACACTGCAAACAAATATATTAAGCAAAGTGTATGAACAATTTAAAGCAAATTTGAAAATGAATATGAAATGAAAAATTATCTAAAACAATGTAACTGATAAAAACCAATAGATATATAAATGAGACACTTTGATATTTAGACTTCATAAATTAGAAACTTTAATATACTTGAATAGAAATATTTACCCACCAAGAAACCATAAACCTGAACCAGTTTGTGTTTTTCAAAATACTTTCATAATAAATTATACCAATGCTATATAATATCTTCTAGTAGAAAACACCTTAAAATACACTTTGTAAGCATTACAATAATATAAAAACCACAGGCTCTCAGAAGACCAGAAAATTATAGGCCTACCTAATTTAACATGAGAATTTTAAGCAAACTAACAGCAACTGAATCCATTCACATATCAGCAAGAGACCACCTCTTCAGTCCTCAAAAACAAGAAAAAGCAAGATAATTGCTGAAACCTGAAGGAGACCCGAGGATTAGATGTTATTAATAGTTCAGTGTTAACTTCATGATGTTGTTTGTGATACTGGATTTTGTAGGAGGAAGACTTACTTGTAGAAAATGTACACTACATTACTAGGAAGTTATGTGAAATTAGGTTAGAAATTTACACTTAAGAAAAATTATTTGTAGTGGTTTTGCAACCTTTTTATAAATTTCAGATTTTTTTTTCTCAAAATAAAATTTAAAAACTAATGGGTATGAATAGACAAGCCACAAGCTGACCAGTGAGATACAGTACTTTTACTTTTTCTACTTCCCCTTTCTTCAGAAATTATTTTCAAAGAAAAAGCAGCCTTCTTTTGATTTGGAGAAGACAAGTGAATAATGATGGCAGATGGAAGAGATGGAAAGAGGTTCTTAAAGCAGGCTATATCTTTGATGTGACCCTTGACTTTCCACCTCTTGAGACAATACCTTGTTTCTAAGCCTCTTTTAATATGTATCTCTGGTACTTATAGAACATTAATAGTTATATCAGTGCTTAAAATAATTCAAATCTCTCATAATCAAATAAGCTAAAATTGGGACTAACAGTATGTTGTTAAAACTGATAGAGAACAAATCGGAAAAATATTAGGTAATAAAGAACAACTCTCTAAAAACACATTTGATATTATAAATGAAGTGGTCTGTTTTGGAGGAAACTAGATATTATTCAAAAATAAAGACTAAATGATAAAATTGAAGAAGTCTGAAGTGACTCAAGAATAAAACCTGATAATCTCATGGAAGAAATTGGGAAATATTATTTTTAAAAATTCCTAAAGATACATTGGTGGAGGCTCTTTTACTTGTGAATTTTCTTAAATTTAAGAAACATTTAATTCCCAGGCCAGACACACTGATTCAGAATATAAAAAATGGTGTCAAGCTACACAATGTAACTCATAATGACAGAACACAAAATCTAACAAAGAACCCCTTGAAATAAAACTACAGGATAATTGTACTTAAAATATATACATCATCAAATGGAAGTGAGTTAAAATCAATATTTCAAAATAATTTTTTACTGATATTGATAAAGATTTACAACAGCAGTCTGCTCGCATAAAATATATTAATATAGTAGTTAATATAATGATGAAGGAAACTGTATATTACAGTTGACAATAAGTACTGTCAACTAGGCTTCGTAAATTACAGATAGATAATTCCCTTAACATAATCTTTCTCTCCTGTCCTCTCCTCTTTCCTTTTCCTCTCTTCTTTTCCCTTGGAGCTAGTCCCACATTTAATAATACAAAAAGTTTAAAAGCATTTGTTTTAATATCAAAAATAAACGATGATGGTTTCTATCCCTTTCAAAGGACACTTGAACCTGCAAAGAGAGTTATCTATCCAGAGAGCTATATAGGAACTGAAGCATAGAGGATTGGAAATTTGCTATAAGCAAGTCATTTATAACTAGGAATCCTAGAGAATATCTAATTCCAAAAACAATTTGTTGCATTCATTTTAGTGAACTGAGCTTAAGAAACTGTTACAAGTTTTCTGCCGCTAAATATAGAAGATTATGAAGACTGATACTAAGAAATCCAAGCAACAGCCTGCAGCTTCATTACAAATACCACCTGATTGAACCATTTTGAGGGGCTGTCTGTCTTCAGTACTCATGTGTGCTATATTTTAGACTGAAGTGGGAGAAAATTAAGGAACTTTCAAAATGAAAACTGATTTCAAAAATTACAGCCCAGAAAATAACAAAAAGAGCTGTCATGCTCTCTAGCAGCTTTTCCTTTAATTTCTGCAGAATCTTTTGTCTTCAACCTTTGAGCCTTCCTATTGTCTCTATTGTAGTCAAAAGAGGCCTTTTTTCTTTAGTGCAAGTGCTAGAAAAGACACATGATGATTTTGTGCTGATTAGAGGAGAATGTGCATGTACAGCTAACTTTTGCAAGACCACAAATTGTGCAAGTTAGAATACATGAAAGCCTGAGAAAAACGACAACCAATAAATTAGTATTAGCCAAAATAAAGTTATATTATATTGTATGATAAACACATAAAAGATAGGCCTAATTCATTAACCTGTTATCAGAAGGGCAGTTATATAAAAAACTGTGGCCAAATATCTTTGGACAAATGAAAATGATAGTGTCTCAACCTCCATATTTGAATGGGTATACCCAAGAATATGAAGAAAATTTTGTGATGAACAATTTCTTAAAGGCTGGTGTTAGTTTTAAAAATTCAAAACTGTATTATTTGTTTTAATTTAAAGTTTGTGTATTGTCAAAACCTATATCATAGACCAAAGTAGAAGGGAAAGTATATATTGTTGCTTGTTTGTTATCATTTCATTCATTCATTCACTCATGTATTTATTTACTAAAAAATAATATATCAAGTACATCTATGTGCCAGGCATTGTAAGTAAACACAAAGAGGACTAATAAATGCCATCTACCTTAAAAGAATATAGTTGACATGTTACATACATTTAAATAGATTTGTTTTATTAACAAAACATGCTATAAGAGGACCCTATATTAAAGTATAGTGAAATCGTTTACCATCAAACTGAAGATTTTTGTTTAAGAGGAAAAAAAAGTCACTTCATTTGTTTTTATCAAAGAATTAAGTGTTCTTAATAATGAAGGTAGACAGATAAGAAATGTAAATGAGACAGGCAAATAGAAGGAAGGAAGTAAATAAAAACAGCCTCAAATCACAAACCCAGAAAGTTGAAAAAAAATCATTGATGTTTTCTTGGAGTTGTGTGTGTGTGTGTGTGTGTGTATGTGCATATACAGATAGTGAGTGAGACGAATATGCAGATGACATCTCGACTGGCTGTAAAGAGTGGGTCATGCTTTTCTTTTTAAAATCTGTAGATGTTAACCCATTGTCTAAAATATTGCTGTAGAGAAATAGAAGGTAAAAGACTAGACTTCTAATACCTCTCACCCTACCTTAGTTCACCTTTCTTCCTGAGTATCTGAATAATAATTCTTCTTAAAAACATTTCTTCAAGATTCAATAATGGAAAGAGAAAACGTTTTGATTTGCAAGACGCACTCTCAAATCTTTCTGGATCATGGTTGGATTTTTTATTTTAAAATCTAGTAATTAAATATTTCAGGGGTTACTTATTATCTTATTTAACATTTTTACCCACTATAATTTTCCTTCTATTGGTAAATTGCTGATCCAGGGACACAAAGTATGGAATACTGAAATATATCTTCAATTAGCATTCTTTTAGGTTCATGTTTTTAAAATATGCACTAGGTAGGCTTATCTCAAAACTCCTTCCTAAATAATTCAACTTATAGTTTCTTGATGTTAAGTTCCTTAATAATAATTTTTCCTAAAATTTGTTTCTTTAGGCAATCAATCCTCTATAATTGAATTATATGTTTATATTTACCTCAAATCATTTTTTTCCTGGGAATAAGTTTTCTTGAATGATACTTTTAATGTACACAAAATGAGTTTTCCTTTTGCCTAAGTTATATTTTCTTCTAGACTGGACTCGTTTTTTTTTTTTTTTTTTTTTTTTGTCGTATAATGGTATGTCCCTAATTTCTTTTTATTTATTTTCTTTTACTTTATCAATGTTCTTGTTATAATTAATAGAACATTTCTATATGGACTATGCCATTTTCATTCATCTTTCTCATGCTTGAGAAGCTATATTTCCTGATTTAGTGTAAGTACACTCTTGACTTTCTACTACATCTGATGACTGCTTTGGATTTTGTTTTTTTAACTTCAGTTTGAAGACAAATATGGCTGCTTTCCATTCCTTTTCCCCTAGCTTGAGGGCATGAGGCAGGTGGATGTTTATCTGAGAGTTAAAAAGGTTTTGTGCTGCACGTGAGATGTACCATCAATTCTGAGGTACTGTTAAATACCCCAGTACTCATTCCACTGGGGAAGGAGAGGGCTCTTATCCTATTCCGATGATAGGAGGAGGTGGATAAATATTGGTTTGGCTTTTCTCCTGGAACAGGAGGACACAGGATACTTACTTCTCTTCCTATTTTCTTGCCATGTTTCACACATTTCTCCACAGTAACGATTTCCATCACTCTTTAGTGAAACAAGGTTAGAGATAAATTAGAAAAATAAATTCTGTTCCCTTCCTTGCAGTTTTGGAATATTTCTGAGAAGGCTCAAGATTTTGTTCTCATCAATTCAACTTCAAGGGAGAGGGTAAGCTCTGTGAACCAAGTCATGCTGTATTCCTCAGCTCTGCCTCCAAACCCGGATTTTATTCCTTGCCCAATTATTTGCTGCTACGGGGGGATTTTATTCATTTTCTTATTATCTTAGAAAATTCATTTTGTTGATATTTTCGGAGGGGGGTCTAAATCTTTTAAATCATTTTAAGAATTCTTTTTCGCATGACATTATACACAAAACAATTTTTTTGAAAAAATAGCTTTATGACATGCCATAGAAGTAAAACGATGCATCAATTTCTAAATATTTATACTAAGAATAATTAAGCACAAAGATACAAATGCTATAAAAGGAGTCTCATTAAGAGACTACAGAAAACTTTTAGTCTACTAGGTCAGAGAAATTAGTCTCTATCATAATATGACTCAGTCATCTTTCTGTAATAATACCAATTTCATTTCATTTTGGAGGACAAACTACAACCAACCATGTGTAGAATAAATAAAAACAAATTTATAATATAAAATCCCCGAACAAAGGCAGCACATGTTCATTAATTTGCAGCCTTTTATAACACCCTGAGCATGTGGGATACTGCACAAATAGGAAATAATGGAGAACTAAAGAAACATAGGAAATACTGGAGTGGGGGTGTTAGATCTTTATGAGGATTATAGAGAATGGCTTTAAGCAGAAGAAAGAGCCACCACATAGATTAATATATGTGTTTTATCTCTAATGCTTTCTATCTCACCAAATGGTGTTTGAAAAAGGAGAAATCTTAAATTATAAAATCAAAGGATGCTTTTGAATATTCAACTTGGAGTTAGAAAAAACTGAATTCAAACTCCATATGTGTAGATTTGGGTATTTTGTTTATGCTATCTGAGCATTAACTGCAGAAGGGGCAAAATGGAAATGATGCTTATCTTACAGAAATATGGTGAAAATTGTGTGGCATAAATATGAAGAACTGAGCACAATGTTCGACATATGTAAATATTCAATAAATCATGCCATCTAATAGCATTAGTGGTTGGTTGAATGATTTGTAATTACTGTAACTACTTATGTTAGTATTATTCTACCATCTGAATACTCTTTAATTTTCTTCCTCTCTCCCACCCTGCATTCTGTCAGCAGTGGTTACAGCTTTACAAATGGATGGATTGAGTTACAATGCTGCTGGTATGGCGAAGTCTGCCTAAATGAGGCATTGTGTTTTATGGTCCATCTTTGTGTAGAGTACAAATAATTTAAGTAGTAAAATTTACTCTTTAAAATAAAATTATCAGCCAAAAATTAACAGGAAGAAATTAAGTGATAGCCTAAAATCTACTCTCCATCTAAGTAGGTTTTATCCTTTGGAAAATATATCTTCCTGGATACTTCAATCTTAATGAGTCTGCTTCCTTGGATTATCAAAAAGCCAGAAAGCAGAACTAAGTAGCACTCAGTTTTTGCATGTTTATAAAAACCTTATCTAGTTTCAAAATTATAAACTAGGTCAATGCTGAACAATCTATACCACTGGCTTAGTAAACATGTATTTCATTTACATCTGTATAGTAGTATAGACAGAAATTATTTGTTTTGAAACCCAAAGTACATTGTCAACCCTAGGCAAAATTGTAAAAGAAGTCTAGTTTTTCTTGCCTCAACCTCTACTCTTCTAGTTTTGGCCCATTTTACTATTTTCTGTTGCTGTGTATTACCTCCGTGTTTAACAACCACTTACTGCAATGAACTGGTACCCTGGCCTGCCCTTCCTGACTGTCTCTACTGAGCATTTTAATTCTGCCCATTCTCCTTTTTCGCAATTTCAAAAATTGTTTGTTGAATGCATCATTCTCCCAGAGTTCTGCACTTAATTTTCAAGGTAAGAGCTAGCTAATGAGTTAGTTCCTGTGTTTGTTCTCCACCTTTATCTCAACTACTTGTAAGCGCTATGATGCCAGGAAATTTGTCTAATATTTTAGAGCCTAAGTATCAAGCATGGTATTTTTATATTGATAATTTATTTTTATTTTTATACTAAAGGTAAATGTTTTGAAATGAGGTAAATTTATTATCCCCAGTTGTTATAAACATGAGAAAACTAAGATTCAGAAATATATATAAATTTCAAGATGACACAGACACCAAAAGACAAACGTACTGTGTTATAAAGTTATCTGATTCAAAAGCTTTTAGATTTTTCATTATACTATGGTAATACTCTAATGTGTTAAATCAAAGGTTGATACATAAAAGACTTTGAGCCCCATGGCAGACAATTCAAAATGTTACTTTATGGTTGTTTGATTTTGCAGATGGGCAATGACTACTTTATCAATAATTAGTCTAGCCAGTGTATGTCCAAATATAAATATTAAATTACTTCTATACTAGTCAGAAGTTCCTAGTACTTATGTCATTTGGTTTTCTGTTTGTTGGCAACTTTATATTATTTATTTCTATTTCTTCAACAAATATATATTTTCTGCTATCTTATGTTCTTATGAAAAATACTTTATGTTCACCCATTAAAAATATGATTGTGCTAGAAATACTGGCACTCCAAATTTTTCTGAACTAGAATAAATTAGTGTGATGTGGAATAATATTTAAAAGTTCAAAATGTTTTGCCTATTGATTAATACGTGCCAGAGAAGCAAAATTGTTTTGGCTGGAAAAGTAAAATCATAGATATTTTGGACATTCCCCAAAACAAATGCCTCACTGCCTTTATCACAAGTAGAATAAAATATGATCATATTTGTTTGGAAGGGAGGATCTTTCTTTTTACTTCAGAAATTATATATATATATATTTACCCCCAGTTGTCATTTATTTTCATGAGGGAGGAAAAAGAATCCTTTATGATAGTGAAAATATACATTTTTTTAAAATACAATAGCTGTCAGCAATACACTGGTTTTGATATTCCAAAGAGAAAAGTAAATACTTGCATTCTATAATAAGCTTTAATTTGCCTGTTCAAGAAATTCTAAAGAAAATACTCCAATTCTATTCAACATTATGACTTGAGGAGTTGAAATTTTTCCATGATAAAAATATAATTTTTGTAGCCCAAACCTTGTCTATTTATAAAGGATGGAATTTTTAAAAGTCCATATATATCAATGAATGCTCCTGTCTCTTTGAATTCAATGCTTAATTCAAATTAATGTAAGAAATTGGTGAATCATTAAATGATGAAATTTGTATCAAAATGTTCATTAAAAATACATTTCTATTTCCTCTCCATTTTCACTTTCCGGATATTTTCTTTTTTTTTTTTTTTTTTTTTTTTTGAGACAGGGTCTCACTCTCTCACCCAGGCTGTAGTGCCATGGCATGATCTTGTCTCACTGCAGCCTCTGCCTCCCAGGTTCAAGTGATTCTCCTGCCTCAGCCTCCTGAGTAGCTGGGACTACAGGTGCACGCCACCACGCCCAGCTAATTTTTGTCTTTTTAGTACAGACAGGGTTTCACCATATTGGCCAAGATGGTCTCGATCTCCTGACCTCGTGATCTGCCTGCCTCAGCCTCCCAAAGTGTTGGAATTACAGGCATGAGCCACCACACCCAGCCTACTTTGTAGATATTTTCTAATTGACTGTAAGCGCACAGAAATAAAAGCTACCTACATGCAACTCTGGAGAGATTCAAAACACAACAGAAGTAAAGTTAACATGCCTAAATCCTAGAGTTGATCTACTCAGTTTAAGAATAAATGTGAGAAATCTCTTAATTGTATACAGATTGCTCAAGGATTTAAAGATAAATTGTGAAAACCAAAATTATCAAGAAATAAAATCTTATTTGAATTTTATCACAAAAGTTAACAGTCCTAGTAAAAGAAGACAACAGAACTGTATAGAAAATCTGCATCTACATCAAAAAAAGGGAAGTTTTATCAACTAGAATGGAAGAGAGCTTTCCAACTCCTGAATACAAAAATTTCTCAGTATCCCCCGGAAAACAGACTTTCTATTCAGACTCCAATCTCTTCATCGAAGTAAAACACAACAGGTGTTTAAATTAAGAGGAATGGATTTGTTAACTGTAAAAATAAAATCAGATTTTTCCATAATGTCAGTTCATATACTCCATGAACTGTCTACCATGAAAACTTTTATGTCCCAAATTTCTCAAGATTTTAAGCTATGGTCTTTCCACAAACATGCAATGGGGTTAAAGCATGTTGTTGGATCTTTTTCCTAGCTAGCTTTTGACCATTTACCAATTTCCATTTCATTTGACTAACTTCCCTGATAAAGTAGTATTTGTCTTTCTACAGAGAAAAATAATTCTGTCTTCATTAAAATCACAATAGACATGCCTTCCTCGAACATTTAGAGGGATAAAATGATTTTAAAATAATACTGCTTAGGAGTGTATATCTTAAGATAACTACTATACCTTGTCTATGCTTGATCCTAATCTTCAATAATTGCATGTTCATGCAAAATACAATTTCTACTCTACAGGAAGAGGAGTAGCCTGTTAGGAAAAGCAAATTCTTAGAGCAAGACATGAACACATCTCTTTCAGAAACGCGATTTTACTTGGTGAGTCTTTTGGCTACATCACTATATGCTATTTCAACCTCCTCATCACTGGGACAGGTACTGGTGAACTCATCCCTACTGTATGCATTAGTTAGTTAGGTATCTCCAGATGACAGTCATTTCTTTTGGAATATCAAAGTTGCGATTTTTTTGGCCACAACCTTGACAATATGCAGCTTTGACAGCAGATTGCAATCAGCTAATGTCATTTCATTGCTGTCCAGAAATTTACGTTTAGAAAACTTAACGTCCTCCATACTATTTTCATCAATTTCATCAGGGAGAGGAGAATTCAGATATTCATCCAGTTTCTGCAGGGTTTTCAGGAGACCCCTCTCCAGTGCTTCATTAGCCTCTGGCCTTGAATTCTTGATATATGCAGAGAATTTGGCAAAGATGTCCATTCCAGCAGTATTTGATTCTGGGTGTTTTGGTGAAGGCTTTAAGTACGTGGGAGGGCTTAAGACTTCTTCAAGAAATTCCTCAATCTTATTTACATCTGTTTTGACTTCACTGTTGAAAGTTATGTTCCCCTCTCTTTAATTTGGAGACACTCCACCACAGACTTTTCACTTTAGAGGTAGCTTGCCATCTCTCAGGAGCCCTCACCATTGTGTCCATTCACTGTGTATAGATGGCAGAATTTTTGAGTTGTAATGTTTAATTGTTAAAATACTAGCCATGACTTTATCAGGCAGCCCCAAACTGGTGCATAATGCATGGTACAAGGGATATTTATGTATTTTTTGGAATTTTGTAATATTTAGTAACAGTATATGAAAGTATTGCTATTGTATCAGAAATATTGTTTCAATTTAATCTATCCTGGATATATACTAAAGAATATTACCATCAGAGAAGGGAGCTTTCTACAAAAGTCACTACAGATTTTGCTATATTGCTTTGTAGATAGATTTTTACTTTTGCCTGAAAGCATTTATCCTTCATATCAATTGTAACATCTGACACCATGTAGGAGCTAAACATTTAGAGGGAGGGAGGGTTCTCTCAAGATCTTCCTCAAGCATTTATCTTTATAAGAGAAACTGATGGGCACCGAATACTGTCTAAATATGTTTTGATATATGTGTTTTGCCCTGTGCCATTCATTTGGAACATTGTTGCTTTCTTCCTTTATTTTAAAAAGCTTGTTTTTAGGTAATCATAGAGCTGGCTATTTATACATCTTTTGAGCAACACTGCATAAACTGATATTCAGATGATTTAGCTACAGCAGTACAATGATTAGCAATGTAAAAATTAACACAGAAATTAACCTAAGGAATGAAGGGTGGGTTTGTCAAAATATCAAGTAAATTTTTGTTTCTAAAGCATATGTAATGTAGATGATATAATGAATGCATTATTTATCCTATATATATTTGTTTCTAAAGCACATTTAATGTAGATGATATAATGAATGCATTATTTATCATTCATATATATATATGAATGATATATATATATATCATATATATATGATAAAACACAGGTCATCAACTTTCTCATTTCACCTCATTTACCTTGTATAGAAGATTGTTCATTCCTTTTGGACTAAGTTATAGTTATGGTGAGTGTGTATTTACTGCAGTTTTGCCTGATCTCACTCACTGCACTTGCTTGAGTTAAATTTTTCTACAGCCATGTTGAGGAATAGCACTCCACATGTTTTTGTTTTGTTTTGTTTTGTTTTAATTGAAGCCCTAAACCAGAAATTATATATAGCTTTTAGGCCATAGCTTTTTTTCCTCTCACCAGTTCTAAAATCTTAATCATTCAATTTCTCACGAAGTGTTTCAGAAATATATACACAAATGATTCTATACGTAAGAAATGGTTCTCATGTTGACAGCTGCACCAGTAGATTGTGATGTAATATTACTTTTAACCTTCATGTCATGTGTTATTGTTGTTTTAATAGTTTATTGTTCTTGTCATTAATCTCACAAAATATCCAGAGAGGTTTTTGGGTTTTGTTTGTTTGCTGCTTTTGTTTTTCTGTTTGCCAGCGAACTATTTACTCTATTACATTTTGCTTAAAAGAAAAAGAAAAATAAACTCAAACAGTATTTGAGATATGTATACCTATATAGGTATAGTTATAAACATTTCCTGTGTTAGTCTCTTTATTCAGGTAAAATTTATATACACTGAAACACATAGATCTTAAGAGTTCAATTCAATAAGCTTTAAAGAATGTATTCACTCTGATAGTTAATCCCAGTCAAAATATGACAGACAGGCAACCACTGTACTGATTTCAATCAATATATATGTTTTACTTTCTTTTGAACTTCACATGAATGGAATCATAGGGAGTGTACTCTATTCTGTCTGGCTTCATTCACTCAAAATAATATTTTTGCAATTCAACAATCAAAAGTTCATTAAGGAGAAAATCTACTCAGCAATAACTAATGGACTATTGATACAAGTTGTGATAAACATTTTTGTACAATTCTTTTTGTGCACCATATGTATTCCTTTTTTCCCAGATAAATGTCAAAATGTGAAATTTCTGGCTCACAGTCTACATGTATGTTTATCTTGAGAAACGGATAAAGAATTGTCCAGAGTGGTTGGTCTATTTTATATTACCACCACCATTATAGTATGGTCCCCGTTGTTATACACCATCATCATAATTTATGGTTGTCAGTCTTTTGAATTTGAGACACTGTAGTTGGTGTGAGAAAGTATCTTGTAGTGGGGAATAAAGTATCTTGTAGTGGGGAATAATTGCATTTTCTTATTTATGAACTTACTGGGATTTGTATACCTTCCTTTACAAAATTTCTTTTTCTTTTTTTTTTTTTTTTTTTGAGACGGAGTCTCGCTCTGTCGCCCAGGCTGGAGTGCAGTGGCGCGATCTCGGCTCACTGCAAGCTCCGCCTCCCGGGTTCACGCCATTCTCCTGCCTCAGCCTCCCGAGTAGCTGGGACTACAGGTGCCCGCTACCACGCCTGGCTAATTTTTTGTATTTTTAGTAGAGACAGGGTTTCACCGTGTTAGCCAGGATGGTCTCGATCTCCTGACCTCGTGATCCGCCCGCCTCGGCCTCCCAAAGTGCTGGGATTACAGGTGTGAGCCACCGCGCCCGGCCACAAAATTTCTTGTAAATTCATTTGGGATTATCATTGATACAGAAAAGTAAATTTCATATATTGATTACAAATCCTTCAAAATACACATTGCAAATATTTCTTCAAACTTGTGTCTTGCCTTTTCATTGTTTTAACAAAATGTTTGATGAATGGAAGTGTTTATTTTGAGTGGAATCCATATTATCACTTTTCTATGATATTTTTTGTATTCTTTCTAAAATGTCTTTACCTACTCCAAATTCATGAAAGTATTCTTAGGTTTTGTTTTAGAAATAAGGTTTTGGCCTTTATATTTGGATACCAGTTATTCCAACGCCAGTTATTGAAACTGTTCTCCTTCCTCCATTGAATTACCTTGGTTTCTTGCCTCTGTACAGAATCTCTGTTCTGTTCTATTGATCTATTTGTCTATTCATAAGCATATCATGTATTGTTACTTTAGACTTAAAATTTAGGCAGTTAAAGTAATGCAACTTTGTTCTGTTATTCAAGTCTGTTTTGGCTATTCTAGGTTTTTTTAATTTCTATACATTTTAGAAACAATTTTCAAAATAATGTTAGGATTTCAAGTCAAATTGCCTTGAGTCTGCAGGTAAATTCAATGATAGACAAATCTTCACAAAATCAAGTCTTCTAATTTATGACCTTGGTATATCTCATTGTTAGATCTTTAATTGCACTTAACAATTTTTTGTAGTGTTCATTGTATAGATTTTGTAGATATTTTAAATTTTATGACTAAGTACAGTATTTTATGTTCTTGATGGCATATTTTTAAGATTTTATGTTCCAACTATTTTTTGCTAGTATGCAGGAATGCAAATGGCTTTTGTACATTGATTTTGTATCTTGGGACCTTACCAAATTTATGTTTTAGGAGTTTTTAGCATCTAGAATTTTTCACATAATCATATTGTCTGTAAATGGAAACATTTTTGCCTTTATTTTCCAAATTGTATTTCTTTTGTAATTTTTTATTGCCTTCATCTGCTGAGCATGACCCTTATTATAGCACAGTGTTAAATGTAAGTAGTAAAAGAGGGCAATTTATCTTTTTTCCAATCTTGGGTTAAAGAATTTAATATTTCAATATTAAATGTGACATCAGCTATTTATTTTTGTAGATGCCCTTCATCAAATTGAGGAAGTTGCCTTCTAGTTTTAGTTTGCTAACAATTAAAAAAAAAGTTTCTTATACTCTAAGTTCTGGGATACATGTGCAGAACGTGCAGGTTTTTTACATTGGTATACACGTGCCATGGTGGTTTGCTGCACCCATCAACCCGTTCTCTACATTAGGTATTTCTCTTAATGCTATCCCTCCCCTAGCCCCCCAACCCCTGACAGGCCCTGGTGTGTGATGTTCCCCTCCCTGTGTCCTTGTGTTCCCATTGTTCAACTCCCACTTATGAGTGAGAACATGTGGTGTTTGGATTTCTGTTCCTGTGTTAGTTTTCTGAGAATGATGGTTTCCAGCTGTATCCATGTCCCTGAAAAGGACATGAACTCAACCTTCTTATGGCTACATAGTATTCCATGGTGTACATGCGCCACATTTTCTTTATTCAGTCTGTCATTGATGGGCATTTGGGTTGGTTCCAAGTCTTTGCTATTGTGAACAGGGCCACATTATTGTGGCACGCATACGTGTGCATGTGCCTTTATAGTAGAATGATTTATAATCCTTTGGGTATATACTCAGTAACGGGATTGCTGGGTCAAATGGTATTTCTGCTTCTAGATCCTTGAGGAATTGTCACACTGTCTTCCACAATGGCTGAACTAATTTACACTCCCACCAACAGTGTAAAAGCATTCCTATTTCTCCACATCCTCTCCACATCTGTTGTTTCCTGACTTTTTAATGATCACCATTCTAACTGGTGAGAAATGGTATCTCACTGTGGTTTTGATTTGCGTTTCTCTAATGACCACTGCTGATGAGCTTTTTTTCTATATGTTTTTTGGCCACATAAATGTCTTCTTTTGAGAGGTGTCTGTTCATATCCTTCGCCTACTTTTTGATGGGGTTGTTTGCTAACAAACAATTTTTAATCATGAAGGTACTGTTAACATTTTATCAAAAGCTTTTTATAGATTTATTATTATGGCCATATGATTGTTCTGTGTTATTCTATTCTTTGGTGGATTATATTGATCAGTTTCAAATGTTGACTCAATCTTCCTGCTCTTGATAAATTCTACTTTGTGATAATGTATGTTAATTTTTCTTCTGTAGTGTCTTTCAATGTGTTTCAAGTTCTACTGTAATGTGAATTTCTGGATTTCGAATTTCAATTTTTGTTAAGCAATGTCAACTGTGTTTTCTAATCTGGTTCCAGAGGGCACATAACTTTGCTTATCAGGGGCAGTGGTGCTCATCAGATTCCATCTGTTCCCTCACCACCTTCCCCACCCCTGAAATTAGTCAGGGCTGTTTGGCAGGTTTTTGGTCAATGGGCTGTGAGTGGAAGTCACCTGGACCATTTTGAAGCCAAAGCATAAAAGAGCTGGTGCATGACACTCCAGCTCACTCACTCCTCCCCTGCAAACTGTGGTTATGGGGTTTTCATGCTCCAGATGATATAGTGCCAAGGTGGTGTTGTCATTCTCAGCTCACTTTCCCAAAGTCTATGTGGACCAAACCCTCTAATGTCTTACAATATAAGTTGATCATAAACAGAAAATAAACTTAATTTTATGAAGCCACTGAATCTTTAAGGTTATTGGTTACTGCAGCATAGAGCAGCTCAATCTGATCAATACTAATCATGGAAATTGAGAATATAACATTTTTATCATAAAATTAAAACAATAAATGTTTGCAGAAATTAATGGAGTATTTATATAATGCATTCAGCAGAGGAGCTCACTCAGTAATTATCAACAGTAGCTATACACAAGATGGAAAGCATAACAATGGAAATAAAATAGTTTTAATTGCTAACAGTCATTAAATTTCATAGGTCTCATCTTCAATGCAGTAGTGGTATTTCAAGCAAATTGAAATAAATTATTTAACTTATTTATTACTTTATTCAACATATATTTTATTGACTACTGACTATATTCTATTCTAAGAATAAAATAGTTCCTCTTCTCATTTAAGAAAGAGTGATATAAAGATTCGTGTATCTACATTTAAAGGAGCTCAGTAATCATGTATAGAGACAATATGGATACAAAATTCACTGACAACTGGCTTCACTGGTCCTTCCTAACCATACTCTGAAGATTGTATCCATTTTATTCCTTTGCCCTTCTAAAAGCAACACTCCTAATGTCCAGCAAACCAGTCCAAAGGCAAAGAGCCAAGGGAGGAAGGGACAGCAGCAAAGGATAGCACTACTCCACTGTACAATCAGTTCTTTATAAAACAGAATTGACTGTGAATTGAAATGCTTCATTAAATTACCTGTTATTCAGAGGCAATCCTCTCAGCCATTTTGGAGAGAGCACAAAAATAAAGTATAAATTTCTACAAGTTTTTTCTTCATTTCTGACCTTTTTACATAAATTAAACTACTTTACCAGACACCTGGGAGGAAGATAAATACCTATGGCTAATACTTAAGTTGGGTTGACTTCTGGTTTCTGTTCTAGCTCTAATGAAGAAATGGTGGTGACAATTCTAGAAAAGAAAATGCCAAAGATGGAAAACCTTTAAAATATAACTTAAAGGTGAAGAAGACCACCTGGACCGGCCACCATGCAAGATCAAAGAAAAGGCCCAAAATATGGCAAAAGTAAGATTGCTAAGGCTGTCCAAACACTCCCACCTCCAGTTTGAAAATTCTAGATACTGATTTTGCTTTTGATTTTGTTAGCTGTCTTGCAAGGACACTCTGCATATAGGTAAAATCTATATTATGCCTGTCTAGCTGTGAGCTGTCAAATGATGTTGCACTTGCTAATTCATGGACTATTTATCTTTGTGTTTATGCTCTAACAAAATGATGGCTGTTTAATTATACTACAAATGAGTTTTGCCAGCCAATTGTATGGCAGATGTTATTTACTTCCAGAACAACTGTCAGAAGACCAAAGCAGAACATCTAACAAACTAAAATGTACTGTATTGGGTTACATTTCACAGGCAACCGCCTCTATCACCTAGCTACAGGCTTTCCATTGTAATAAAAATGGGAGGGGCAGCATCATTGAGTATAACAGCCAGCCAGAAATCTGGTTGTCAATATTGAATAAGATTAAGAGTTGTAACTGAGTAGATTCTACCTGGAGAATAAAACAAGGAACTGTAGTAAACATGAAAAAAAAGATCCTTCAAATTTGCTAAATGCTATGGTGTTACAGCATTCATTAACTAATTCCATAATGGCAGATGGGAAGAAAAAACATCTATCTTCTCTATTTGTATGGTAACTGAGCAATAGTCACTGAAGTATCATTTTTCTCATGAAATTTATGAATGATGTAAAGGTGGAGAGAATGCCTATAGTTGGAGGGTACCATAACTTGAACCCAGGAAGCAAACTCACAATAAACTTGTTCTGTGTATTGTTTAAACTTTTCTAAGCTTGTGGGAACATTTTATTATGCCTACCACTTGCTTCAAATAAAATTTTCCAGGGAGAGCGCTGCTATGGCCCTCTTTTATGTAGTGTGCTGGTAACATGCCAAGGTTTTTAATAAGGAGAAAAAATAAGAACTCTTAAAAGTTTAAAGCCCAATAATCTAGGAGCTAAAATCTGATTAAGTATAAAATAATGAATTAAATGATTCAGTAGCAGATAAAATAGAAACAGAGTCCAAGAAATAACTCTTACCAATTTAATTTTGCCTACTGCAACAAATTGGAATAATATATCCCTGTTTTGCAAGAAAATATTGAGGCAAAAAATAGGCCCTCATTTCTTTCAGCCAGAATTACATGCCATTGTGAAAGATCAACTGCTTGACTTTCTTACTGCGAGTAATGTGAAAGATTTCCCTATATAACCCTTGTCCATAGCTCATTTCTATATAACATATTGGCTTTATGAAGAGACAAGTGATTTATAATGATTTATAGACCTCTAATGTATGCCCATAAATCCAATCCATTATTCCATAGTTTCTTCCCAGTTTGCCTCATTCTGGGAACAAGCAAAATGAAAGCTTTGTTTAGCTAGGGAAAATGGATGACCTAGTGTTCTGTCTTTTCTGGCATTTCTTACAAGTAGGAACCTCATGTTTGAGACACAAGCATCTGCTGACTTAGCAGGAAAACAGAGCGACTAATCATAGAGCTGAGGGTAGCTGTCAGATTTTGAAGCATTTATATTTACATTCCAAACCAAAATGATGAGAATTTACTTAACAAACTCTTACCTTGGCTTCCTTATTCTTCTTTTACTTTTTCTCCTGCATGCCCCTTATATATTATTATTTTACAATGAGAATACAATTTATTAGCTACTAATATCTATAAACTGAAATTATTCTGGATCATGTGACGAAAAAGTTACTTTTCTAACTTAACTAAGACACAGAGATACAGGGTGTGACTTGAATGAATATTAATATGCAGAAGCCTCGGGAGCCGATGCAATCAACTGGAAGAAAGGGTATCAGTGATGGAAGATGAAATGAATGAATGAATGAAATGAAGCAAGAAGGGGAGTTTAGAGAAAAAAGAATAAAAGAAACGAACAAAGCCTCCAAGAAATATGGGACTATGTGAAAAGACCAAATCTACATCTGATTGGTGTACCTGAAAGTGACGGGGAGAATGGAACCAAGTTGGAAAACACTCTGCAGGATATCCAGGAGAACTTCCCCAATCTAGCAAGGCAGGCCAACATTCAGATTCAGGAAATAGAGAGAACACCACAAAGATACTCCTCGAGAAGAGCAACTCCAAGACACATAATTTGGTCAGATTCACCAAAGTTGAAATGAAGGAAAAAACGTTAAGGGCAGCCAGAGAGAAAGGTCAGGTTACCCACAAAGGGAAGCCCATCACACTAACAGCGGATCTCTTGGCAGAAACGCTACAAGCCAGAAGAGAGTGGGGGCCAATATACAACATTCTTAAAGAAAGGAATTTTCAACCCAGAATTTCATATCCAGCCAAACTAAGCTTCATAAGCGAAGGAGAAATAAAATCCTTTACAGACAAGCAAATACTCAGGGATTTTGTCACCACCAGGCCTGCCCTAAAAGAGCTCCTGAAGGAAGCACTAAACATGGAAAGGAACAATTGGTACCAGCCACTGCAAAATCATGCCAAATTGTAAAGACCATCAAGGCTAGGAAGAAACTCCATCAACTAACGAGCAAAATAACCAGCTAACATCATAATGACAGGATCAAATTCACACATAACAATATTAACTTTAAATGTAAATGGACTAAATGCTCCAATTAAAAGACACAGACTGGCAAATTGGATAAAGAGTCAAGACCCATCAGTGTGCTATATTCAGGAAACCCATCTCACGTGCAGACACACACATAGGCTCAAAATAAAAGGATGGAGGAAGATCTACCAAGCAAATGGAAAACAAAAAAAGGAAGGGGTTGCAATCCTAGTCTCTCATACAACAGACTTTAAAGCAACAAAGATGAAAAGAGACAAAGAAGGCCATTACATAATGGTAAAGGGATCAATTCAACAAGAAGAGCTAACTATCCTAAATACATATGCACCCAATACAGGAGCACCCAGATTCATAAAGCAAGTCCTGAGTGACCTATAAAGAGACTTAGACTGCCACACAATCATAATGGGAGACTTTAACACCCACTGTCAACATTAGACAGATCAACGAGACAGAAAGTTAACAAGGATACCCAGGAATTGAACTCAGCTCTGCACCAAGTGGACCTAATAGATATCTACAGAACTCTCCACCCCAGATCAACAGAATATACATTTTTTTCAGCACCACACCACACCTATTCCAAAATTGACCACATACTTGGAAGTAAAGCTCTACCTCAGCAAATGTAAAAGATCAGATATTATAACAAACTGTCTCTCAGACCATAGTGCAATCAAACTAGAACTCAGGATTAAGAAACTCACACAAAACCGCTCAACTACATGGAAACTGAACAACCTGCTCCTGAATGACTACTGGGTACATAACGAAATGAAGGCAGAAATAAAGATGTTCTTTGAAACCAACGAGAACAAAGATACAACATACCAGAATCTCTGGGACACATTCAAAGCAGTGTGTAGAGGGAAATTTATAGCACTAAATGCCCACAAGAGAAAGCAGGAAAGATCCAGAATTGACACCCTAACATCACAATTAAAAGAACTAGAAAAGCAAGAGCAAACATATTCAAAAGCTAGCAGAAGGCAAGAAATAACTAAAATCAGAGCAGAACCGAGGGAAATAGAGACAAAAAAAAAAAAAAAACCCTTCAAAAAACTAATGAATACAGGAGCTGGTTTTTTGAAAGGATCAACAAAATTGATAGACCGCTAGCAAGACTAATAAAGAAGAAAAGAGAGAAGAATCAAATAGACGCAATAAAAAATGATAAAGGGGATATCACCACCGAGCCTACAGAAATACAAATTACCATCAGAGAATACTACAAACACCTCTATGCAAATAAACTAGAATAAATTCCTCGACACATACACCCTCCCAAAACTAAACCAGGAAGAAGTTGAATCTCTGAGGAGACCAATAACAGGCTCTGAAATTGTGGCAATAATCAATAGATTACCAACCAAAAAGAGTCCAGGACCAGAAGGATTCACAGCCGAATTCTACCAGAGATACAAGGAGGAACTGGTACCATTCCTTCTGAAACTATTCCAATCAATAGAAAAAGAGGGAATCCTCCCTAACTCATGAGGCCAGCATCACCCTGATACCAAAGCCGGGCAGAGACACAACAAAAAAAGAGAATTTTAGATCAATATCCTTGAGGAACATTGATGCAAAAATCCTCAATAAAATACTGGCAAACCAAATCCAGCAGTACATCAAAAAGCTTATCCACCATGATCAATTGGGCTTCATCCCTGGGATGCAAGGCTGGTTCAATATACGCAAATCAATAAATGTAATCCAGCATATTAAACAGAACCAAAGACAAAAACCACATGATTATCTCAATAGATGCAGAAAAGGCCTTTGACAAAATTCAACACTCCTTCATGCTAAAAACTCTCAATAAATTAGGTATTGATGGGACATATCTCAAAATAATAAGAGCTATCTATGACAAACCCACAGCCAATATCATACTTAATGGGCAAAAACTGGAAGCATTCCCTTTGAAAACTGGCACAAGACAGGGATGCTCTCTCACCACTCCTATTCAACATAGTGTTGGAAGTTCTGGCCAGGGCAATTAGGCAGGAGAAGGAAATAAAGGGTATTCAATTAGGAAAAGAGGAAGTCAAATTGTCCCTGTTTGCAGATGACATGATTGTCTATCTAGAAAACCCCATCATCTCAGCCCCAAATCTCCTTAAGCTGATAAGCAACTTCAGCAAAGTCTCAGGATACAAAATCAATGTACAAAAATCACAAGCATTCTTATACACCAATAACAGACAAACAGTGAGCCAAATCATGAGTGAACTCCCATTCACAATTGCTTGAAAGAGAATAAAATACCTAGGAATCCAACTTACAAGGGACGTGAAGGACCTCTTCAAGGAGAACTACAAACCACTGCTCAATGAAATAAAAGAGGATACAAACAAATGGAAGAACATTCTGTGCTCATTGGATAGGAAGAATCAATATCGTGAAAATGGCCATACTGCCCAAGGTAAAGTATAGATTAAATGCCATCCCCATCAAGCTACCAATGACTTTCTTCACAGAATTGGAAAAAACTACTTTAAAGTTCATATGGAACCAAAAAAGAGCCCACATCGCCAAGTCAATCCTAAGCCAAAAGAACAAAGCTGGAGGCATCACACTACCTGACTTCAAACTATACTACAAGGCTACAGTAACCAAAACAGCATGGTACTGGTACCAAAACAGAGATATAGATCAATGGAACAGAACAGAGCCCTCAGAAATAATGCCACATATCTACAACTATCTGATCTTTGACAAACCTGAGAAAATCAAGCAATGGGGAAAGGATTCCCTATTTAATAAATGGTGCTGGGAAAACTGGCTAGCCATATGTAGAAAGCTGAAACTGGATCCCTTCCTTACACCTTATACAAAAATTAATTCAAGATGGATTAAAGACTTAAACGTTAGACCTAAAACCATAAAAACCCTAGAAGAAAACCTAGGCATTACCATTCAGGACATAGGCATGGGCAAGGACTTCATGTCTAAAACACCAAAAGCAATGGCAACAACAGCCACAATTGACAAATGGGATCTAATTAAACTAAAGAGCTTCTGCACAGCAAAAGAAACTACCATCAGAGTGAACAGGCAACCTACAAAATGGGAGAAAATTTTCACAACCTACTCATCTGACAAAGGCCTAATATCCAGAATCTACAATGTACTCAAACAAATCTACAAGAAAAAAACAAACAACCCCATCAAAAAGTGGGCAAAGGACATGAACAGACACTTCTCAAAAGAAGACATTTATGCAGCCAAAAAACACATGAAAAAATGCTCATCATCACTGGCCATCAGAGAAATGCAAATCAAAACCACAATGAGATACCATCTCACACCAGTTAGAATGGCAATCATTAAAAAGAGTCAGGAAACAACAGGTGCTGGAGAGGATGTGGAGAAATAGGAACACTTTTACACTGTTGGTGGGACTGTAAACTAGTTGAACCATTGTGGAAGTCAGTGTGGTGATTCCTCAGGGATCTAGAACTAGAAATACCATTTGACCCAGCCATCCCATTACTGGGTATATACCCAAAGGACTATAAATCATGCTGCTATAAAGACACATCCACAGGTATGTTTATTGCGGCACTATTCACAATAGCAAAGACTTGGAACCAACCCAAATGTCCAACAATGATAGACTGGATTAAGAAAATGTGGCACATATACACCATGGAATACTATGCAGCCATAAAAAATGATGAGTTCATGTCCTTTGTAGGGACATGGATGAAATTGGAAATCATCATTCTCAGTAAACTATCGCAAGAACAAAAAACCAAACACCGCATATTCTCACTCATAGGTGGGAATTGAACAATGAGAACACATGGACACAGGAAGGGGAACATCACACTCTGGGGACTGTTGTGGGGTGGGGGGAGGGGGGAGGGATAGCATTAGGAGATATACCTAATGCTAAATGATAAGTTAATGGGTGCAGCACACCAGCATGGCACATGTATACATATGTAACTAACCTGCACATTGTGCACATGTACCCTAAAACTTAAAGTATAATAATAATAAAATTAAAAAAATAAAAATATTAATTATGTTCTTGATAATATAGAGTGAAACTGACATTTATAAATCATGTATTTGCCAAAAAAAAGTATACCTTCACAAGCATCTTAACTAGGCCCCTGCATTTCTCTGAATTTCCTAACAAACCTCTTCCCACCTGACAGTGGAGTTTTTGTCAACTTCTGTTCAGATCATCAATAAATTATTCATAGATATGGTCTTCTTTTCCTTTTCATTCTTTCCTACTTCTTATAGGGTTGTATAAATACTAATAAATAACTCCAAATATGTTATACATTATATCCATTGACTCTAGCGTAAGCCAACTACTGAAGATAGTTGCTTAAACTTGGGGATAAATGATCAAATCCATGCTCTTAGTCTATTGGTTTTAAGACCCTCTACCTTTCAGTCTTAATCTACCTCTGACTCATCTGATACTGGAAGCTCATAGGCTTCACGGTAGCACCAGACATTGGGGATTACCAGAAGTATGCACAGTCCCTGCAACTGGAGATTTCACAGATGAAAACTACAAAGAGGAAGTTACAATCCAAATAATGAACCAAACAGGGTATATCTTCCTGAAGCATAAATATTGCCCAAATTTAGGAAAACATGGCTCAAATTTGGGAAATTAAGTAATTTTATTACTGAATACTTCAAGACATTATCCTTACATTAAAACAAGTGTGATATGTTTTAGTATAAGAAAAATATCTTACTGATATAGAATAGTTAGGAGTGAGAAAGGAACATCTATTTTTTTTTAAAAAACTGTGCATATTATTTTGATGCTTAGCCTAATGCAGAATGTAAAAATCAGAGGAACATTAATGATAAAGCACAAGACGAATAGACTAACTATTAGTGAGGGGCTGAATGTGACATTACCCTGCAAGTAGGACTGTCTTGGAGATTTCTGAGGAGAGTTGGCTATTGGATATGTGTCCAAGCACATATCATAGGACCATTTGATACAGTTAAGTAAATTTCTTAAGGCACAGCATACTGAAGACAATTGGTAGAACTGGAAGAGTCCAGCGTTTGGAGTGAGGCAGACCTACCAAGTTTGTTTTCTTTTGTTTTGTTTGTTTTTTACTGATTGGTTATATGGAATTATGTAAATTATTGAGACCTCCTAAGTCTCAATTTATTTGTCTTTGATATAGGATTACACTGCTTATCTCAAAAAATTGTAATGACTATTAAATAAGATAATGTTAAGTGGCCAATATGTTACTCCAAACTTCTTCAACATATACAGTGTGATTAAACTGTTTCTAGAAACAGTAAAATTCCGGATTTATACCTTCAGTGAGATTACAAATTTGTTGAACATCACAGAACACTTAATTCTGACATAAGATGAATATTAAACCATGGGACACTAGAATAAAATGATTGAGATGAAAATTTTACAAATAAGACATAAGGACCTCTATTCCATTTCAAGTTACTGAGTACTCAAGTTCTGAGTTTCAATAACCAATGGATTAGGTTGCAATTTAAGTCCCAAAATTTACAATAATTAACACCTTCTTTGAACTACCTCTATCATCAGAAAACAAACCTCTTTCCTCAGTTGTGTTTTCCAAGCTTTGTTTAAATTAAATGAATCATATATTTTGGAAGTTTTCCCATTGTGTTAGAATTAACTGTGTGAAACATCCACAGAATAAGAGATGTAAGACAATGGATAAAATGTCCATTTGTTGTTGATTCTTGGAATACAGATATCAGTAAGGACAGCACATTCTTCTATTTGTGTAAAATGTGATAAACATATATGCATAGATTTATCTAAGAAGACAATGAAGTGGTAGAAACACAAGCAAACATTTAAAGTGTCAGGTAATATAAATGCATATGTTCATTTCTGCACTATTCACGAAAGCAAAGGCATGGAATCAACCTAAACACTCATTAGTGATCGACTGTATAAAGAAAATGTGGTATATATACACCATGGAATACTATGCAACCATAAAGAGAATGAGATCACGCCCTTTGTAGGAACGTAGATGGAGCTGGAGGCCATTATCCTTAGCAAACTATCACAGGAAAAAAAAACCAAATACTGCATGTTCTCATATGTGGGAGCTAAATAATGAGAATACATGGACACAAAGGAGGAGAATAACACACACTGGGGCCCAGCAGAGAGTGGAGATTGGGAGGAGGGAGAGGATGAGGAAAAATAACTATGGGTACTAGGCTTAATAACTGGGTGATACAATAACTTGTACAACTAACCCCCAAGACACAAGTTTACCTATGTAACAAACCTGTCCATGTAACCGTGAACTTAAAATAAAAGTTTAAAAGAAGTGTCAGGTACTGAAAGTCTATTTCCGTTATAATGGGAATTTTATAATAAATAGAGCTGGTTCAATGGGTTGTCAAAGGAAATTGGTGAGATCTCTTCATAGTCATTTAATGTAAACTTTCTGAATACATATAAACATGAGCTGCAAACACAGACTATATCACTTTTATGCATTGTTATTCAAATATTATCACCCATCAACATGAAATGGAATCCATCAGGAAAGATAGAAAAGGAAATTAAGCAAATATACAGTGTGTACAGTAACCTCTCTTAAATTTTAGTCGCCTTTACTTTCAGATACCTAACTGATATTTACATTTGAAATTCCTCAGAGAATCTTATACTCAGAAGATCCAAAAAGAAATCCGCTATTTTCATCTTGCAACCCCAAACCTAGTACTTAGCTTACACTCCTTTCCACATTCTTTAAATCTTGCCTTATCTCGTATATCTAGTCACTCTACAGTTCCTGTTGATTCAGCCACTTTAACATTTCTGGAATTCTTTCTCTCTACCCAATTCTACCTTGCCACCACTCTTTTAGTCTCTGATAATTTCTTGCATGGATTACTATAACAATTGCCCAATTTGTCTCTCTGCCTCAATCTCAACCACTATATTCAATTGTTTAAACTGTGCCTTTCATGGCACCTTCCTCTCACCTACTTATTCCAAAGAAAAATGTATCTTTACAATGAAGAGATACGTAAATCTCGCACTCACCATTTTAAGTGATTAAAGGTGACATCAACAATAGTGGGGTAACCTGATGTCACATTTCTCATGACACAATGCAATAAAAGACAGTTCACCAATAGTTTCTTGCCAAAAATGTATAATCATAACTGAATCATGAGGAAATAATTTTTTGAGAATAGAATATGGAAAGTTCTACAAGACAACTATCGGTTTTCTCAAAAAAAAACAAATTAATATTGGGGAAAATTCTAATTGCAATACTGCAATCTGGTTGCTTGCCAAGGAAAAGGAATTTACAATTTATTTTCCCATTTTCTCCCTTATTCTGTAAACTGTTGAATGTGAATTTTACTTAATGAAAGGTGGTGGATTAACAATCTTCAGAGATGTGCTGGATATTTGCACAAAATGCTTGTTGTTTGGGAGAAATGCATCACTGGTATCTTCTCGTGGGCAGAATGTGCTGCAAACATTACCCACAATGAATATTCTGTCACAGGGGAGACTGGGCACAAACATCTGTTAGAGTCTTTTATGACAGATCAGTATATAGGCAATGTTGCCAGCAAGGGTTTTTCTCCATTATAAAACAACAATCTTCAGTAGAATTGGAGTCACTAAAAGCAGGAAAACAGCTTGCTTTATGAAAGATGCCACATTTTCTGCAGCCAAGAAATCACCGATCTGATGTTAAGTTCCTGCTATTAGTCTTTCTTCAGCTGTGCAGGTGGCAACTGTTCTGTGTTCCAGTTCAGCTCCCCAAGGTTACAGCTGTGAACTTGGGTAATGGTTGTGTTTATTCTCTGCCAGGCTTAAAAATCTTCAGGGTGAAGCTTTTTTCTTTTTCTTGCTGTTCATTGAAAATTCCTTCTGGAGCAGATGTGCCGCTCCCCGTCTTCTGTAATTTCTGTGTTTTTATTAAGTTCAGCAGTTTTTTGTTTGTTTGCTTGTTTGTGGCCTTACTTTCTAACTACTCATGACATAGTCAATTCTGAAGTTAGTTTCTGTATATACAAAGGCTCTTATCATGTTACGAATAAAAAAAAATCTTGGTAATCTGGATGGCACATACCTTATGCCCTGAGTATTATAAGTCACTGTTGTGTTTTATATTGTAGTCTATGTTTGCTTACGCCATATCAGCCTGAGTTTAAGAATTTGGATGAATGGGACAATAATAACCCTTATTTTTTACTATTTTATATAATTGTATTTATTTCAGGGACTCTGGTCCCTGCAAAGTGGCCTCCCTTAACCCAATGATTTATAGAAGTCCGTAAGTGGCATCCCATAATGGCTCTTGAGTAAGTCCTGTCATTATATGGCAGGCATCATTTCTTCTCTCTGGTGTTGGCTTCCTGAAGGAGCATTACGCATCCTCATTTCCAGCAACACTCCTACTCTTCCAATACACTGGAATCCCCATAGGTCTCAAAGTAATGCCAGGATATTCTCTGGGGTTCCCATGCAACAAAACTAATAGAGAATAACATCCCTCCTTTTCTTCCTTTCTTCCCTCCTTTACATATACAATTAAGAATCTATCACTAGATGGTGAGGGTAGCATTGTGTTAGAACTGAAGAGAGAAAAAGAATGATGTGCTTCTGGCTTCATGTTTTTGATTTATCAGGGTAAAATACATTAAACAAATAACAACAAGTTCATTGAGTTTCATTATTGGAGTATTACAGGGTGTAATGAAAGCAGGTACTTGGGTACTAAACCAAGTCCAAGAGTTCAAAAAGGCTTCTCTGAGGCAACCGAGAACTCAGATGAGTATAATTTAGCTAGGTGAAGAGGAAAAGATAAAGTATTCCAAGTAGAAGAACATAGTTTCAACCAGACACTATATCTTCATTGTTTGTAGCTAGCTTTTTAATGAAATGTGCTGCATATGTCAATATTTCAGAGACGTTTTTTTAGTAAATATCCTCTTAAACTTCGACTTTCAGTAAAGGAAAAGGTTATAAAATGAACACTCATACACCTATCACCCTTTTGTCAGTCTGATCTATCAGTTACTGAATATAGTGTTTTAACATCTCTGTGAATAAAGGCAGACTTGCCCATTTATAATTAATTTTGCATATGTTTTCAACCCATGTTAGATATGAATTCAAGTTTAAATATATAATCCCTATGAAATGAGTTTCGTGCTTATCTAGTAATAGATTTTTAAGTTCTCTTCCTCTAAAATTAATATAGCTACACCAAATTTTATTTTAAAATCTATTTTTATGTCCTTACATTTCAAGTGTACCTAATGTAAATAGTATATTGGCAGATTTCCTTTTTAAACTGTCTGAAAAATACCTTTTGCACTGGAGAACTTAGGCCCATCATTGCAACTGATATATCTGCACAAATTTCTACTATTCTATTCTGGGCTTTGGGCTTATGTCATTGTTTTTATTTGTTTTTATTTTTTCTTTGTTGCCTTCTCTTGAATTTTTTTAATTGCACTTTTGAAGGCATCCTCTGTATTATATTTATTCAGGGTTGACCTTAGATAATTTTCCATGTATACTTAACTCAATACTAAATAAAGATATTTTATATCTTTATTTTCCACAGAGTGCCTATAAAATTACAAAGACATTAGGATTTTGAAAACTGACTGTCCCTTCCTCCATTTAATGACATTGTTGTCAGGTATTTTAATTTTTTACTCACACATAATTAAATGATTATTATGTAAAATGTTATTATTGTAGTCTTATGCAATCAGTTTGTTTAGACTCACCAATATGTTTATCATTATTATTGCTTACTATTTCCCTTTGCATCTTATAAGTTCAATCTGAGATCATTTTTCTTCTGCCTTAAGCTTATTTTTAATAATTGTTGATAATGAGTATGTAACTTACTAGATACTCAAAAGTAGAAGTTTCTGTACTTTAATAAAAGGTCTTAATTTTGTCCATATTCTTTGAGATATACTGGGCATATGATTTTAATGTTGACAGTAATCTTTCCTCAACACATGTAAGATATTATTCTATTAGGCTAAAAAGAAATCAATTATCAATATAATATGTATACAGTGTAGGTTCTCTTTATCTTTCATGTCTGTCAGTTCACTGTCATGCGTCTAGGTATAGATTTATTTTTATTTACTATAATGAAAATACATTGGGTTTTCTGGGATTGAGGTTAATGTGTTACAACAACCCTGGAAAAAAATCTCAGCCATTATCCCCTCAAATATTGTTTTTGTTCCACTCTTTCCATTATCCTAAACTTGAGTAGACAAATGTTAATCTTTCTCACTCTATAAGCTATGTGTTTTAACCTCTCTCTCACATTTTTCCTTTTTTTTTTCTGGCTAACCCTGGATAATTTCCTCAGACCACAATTTCAGTTTGTTAATGCTCTTTTTAAATTTTGACTACTCTGCCATTTGATTTATCTTTTATTTTAAAAAACCTTCTTCGTCTCTTTTGATCTTTGTTGGTTTAAAGTCTGTTTTATCAGAGACTAGGATTGCAACCCCTGCCTTTTTTTGTTTTCCATTTGCTTGGTAGATCTTCCTCCATCCCTTTATTTTGAGCCTATGTGTGTCTCTGCACGTGAGATGGGTTTCCTGAATACAGCACACTGATGGGTCTTGACTCTTTATCCAATTGGCCAGTCCGTGTCTTTTAATTAGAGCATTTAGCCCATTTACATTTAAGGGTAATATTGTTATGTGTGAATTTGATCCTGTCATTATGATGTTAGCTGCTTATTTTGCTCGTTAGTTGATGCAGTTTCTTCCTAGCCTCGAAGGTCTTCACAATTTGGCATGTTTTTGCAGTGGCTGGTACTGGTTGTTCCTTTCCATGTTTCATGCTTCCTTCAGGAGCTCTTTTAGGGCAGGCCTGGTGGTGACAAAATGTCTCAGCATTTGCTTGTCTGTAAAGGATTTTATTTCTCCTTCACTTACGAAGCTTAGTTTGGCTGGATATGAAATTCTGGGTTGAAAATTCTTTTCTTTAAGAATGTTGAATATTGGCCCCCACTCTCTTCTGGCTTGTAGAGTTTCTGCCAAGAGATCAGCTGTTAGTCTGATGGGCTTTCCTTTGTAGGTAACCTGACCTTTCTCTCTGGCTGCCCTTAGCATTTTTTCCTTCATTTCAACTTCGGTGAATCTGACAATTATGTGTCTTGGAGTTGCTCTTCTTGAGGAGTATCTTTGTGGCATTCTCTGTGTTTCCTGAATCTGAATGTTTCCCTGCCTTGCTAGATTGGGGAAGTTCTCCTGGATAATATCCTGCAGGGTGTTTTCGAACTTGGTTCCATTCTCCCCGTCACTTTCAAGTACACCAAACAGACGTAGTTTTGGTCTTTTCATATAGTCCCATATTTCTTGGAGGCTTTGTTCATTTCTTTTTATTATTTTTTCTCTAAACTTCTCTTCTTGCTTCATTTCATTCATTTCACCTTCCATCACTGATACCCTTTCTTCCAGTTGATCACATCGGCTACTGAGGCTTGTGCATTCGTCACGTAATTCTTGGGCCTTGGTTTTCAGCTCCATCAGGTCCTTTAAGGACTTCTCTGCATTGATTATTCTAGTTAGCCATTCGTCTAATTTATTTTCAAGGTTTTTAACTTCTTTGCCTTGGGTTCAAACTTCCTCCTTTAGTTCAGAAAGGATTCCCTATTTAACAAATGGTGCTGGGAAAACTGGCTAGCCATATGTAGAAAGCTGAAACTGGATCCCTTCCTTACACCTTACACAAAAATTAACTCAAGATGGATTAAAGACTTAAATGTTAGACCTAAAACCATAAAAACCCTAGAAGAAAACCTAAGCAATACCATTCAGGACATAGGCATGGGCAAGGACTTCATGTCTAAAACACCAAAAGCAATGGCAACAAAAGCCAAAATTGACAAATGGGATCTAATTAAACTAAAGAGCTTCTGCACAGCAAAAAAACTACCATCAGAGTGAACAGGCAACTTACAGAATGGGAGAAAATTTTTGCATTCTACTCATGTGACAAAGGGCTAACATCCAGAATCTACAATGAACTCAAACAAATCTACAAGAAAAAACAAACAGCCCCATCAAAAAAGTGGGCAAAGGATATGAACAGACACTTCTCAAAAGAAGACATTTATGCAGCCAAAAGACACATGAAAAAATGCTCATCATCACTGGCCATCAGAGAAATGCAAATCAAAACCACAATGAGATACCATCTCACACCAGTTAGAATGGTGATCATTAAAAAGTCAGGAAACAACAGGTGCTGGAGAGGTCGTGGAGAAATAGAAACACTTTTACACTGTTGGTGGGACTGTAAACTAGTTGAACCATTGTGGAAGTCAGTGTGGCGATTCCTCAGGGATCTTGAACTAGAAATACGATTTGACCCAGCAATCCCATTACTGAGTATATACCCAAAGGATTATAAGCCATGCAGCTATAAAGACACATGCACACGTATGTTTATTGTGGCACTATTCACAATAGCAAAGACTTGGAACCAACCCAAATGTCCAACAATGATAGACTGGATTAAGAAAATGTGGCACATATACACCATGGAATACTATGCAGCCATAAAAAAGATGAGTTCATGTCCTTTGTAGGGACATGGATGAAGCTGGAAACCATCATTCTCAGCAAACTATCGCAAAACAAACAAACAAACAAACAAACAAACACTGCATGTTCTCACTCATAGGTGGGAATTGAACAATGAGAACACATGGACACAGGAAGGGGAACATCACACACCGGGACCTGTTGTGGGGTGGGGGGAGGAGGGAGGGATAGCATTAGGAGATATACCTAATGTTAAATGATGAGTTGATGGGTGCAGCACACCAGCATGGCACATGTATACATATGTAACTAACCTGCATCTTGTGCACATGTACCCTAAAACTTAAAGTATAATAAAAAAGAAAGAAAAAAAACCCTTCATATTTTCTCATTTCTACAATGGTTCTTTAGGAAATCTGCTTGGTCATGTTTACAGCTCCTTAATCTATGCTCATTCAAGGATTCTTATTTCTTTTAGAATATTAAATGTATTTATTGTATGTTTTGTAGATAATTCTAACACAAAAAGTTTTTACATGGCTGATTCTGCTGTTTGCTTATTTTTTTATTAGCTCAAGCATACAGGGCTAGGCAGTATACTTGGTCTTCATTTATCATGGGTTCTGTAATTGTGAATTTATCTACTTGCTAAAATATATTTGTAACCCTAAAATCAATACTCATGGCACTTCTGTGGTCATTCGTGTATATTCACAATGTAGCAAAAAAATTTTGAGTCACCTGATAGATTCCCAGCTGAGGTCAAACAGAGTGAAGTTCTGCCTCTTGTTTCAGATCTCCTACTATAAATAAATGACCTTTTTTGCTGTCTATTTAGGGCCATATTTTTCACATTTATATGGTTTTTTACATTTTAAAATGGCCCACAAGCGTAGTGCTGAAGTGTTTTTTAGTGCTTCTAAACAAATGAAAATTTTAGTGTGCCTTCTGGAGAAAAGGCATCTTATCGGCTATGAGTTCAATGTTAATGAACTAGCAATATATATTAATTAAGGTGTCTTTAAACAGAAACATACATAATAAAAAATGATGTATTTATCAGTTAATGAAAACATTATGACCACAAGCTCATAGGAACCTAACCCCACATTTCCCTTAGGAGCAATTGTTCAATATTTGCTAATCCAGTGTTCACAGCAACTTTATGGAGCATAACTACTGCAAATAATAAGAATTGATTGCATTTTCTTACTTTGCTATGAATTCACATTCATTGGACTTTATCTGTTAAGTTATTATATAAGAAAACTTACATTTCTCCAGAAATGGTTTGTATTTTCTTTGCTAGTAGCCTAGAAGCAATACAATCCCAAGATGGCTTCAAACAAAGCTATCTGCTTGATGTTTTATAACTAAACAGTGTGAATGAATTCAGGCCACACAACTTTGTGGACAACTATTTATGTTTACAAATTCTCAATAGATTTTTTTATCCTACCATATACTAGGGTTGGGAAATTCAACTTTTCTTTCACTAACATTTTCTCAGAAAGAGTAGCACTTTGAAGGCCCCAGATTCATGTGGGAGCCTGCTATTCTCTTTCCAGACTGGCTCCAGGAATTATTATTTCCCACAATTTGTACAACTGTCAAAATGGAATCTCAGTGTTATCAGTCTAGGTAGATTATCACAAGAAACATTCTCATTTTGGTACTTGTTTCTATCCCAGGATTCCCATTTTTGCTTGATTAAAAATAAAAAATAAAAATCTTTGTAGATGTGTTATTAATTATAAAACCAGGGACTAATGTTTAAAAACATTAAAATAAATTTTAGCTTTCTTATTTGTTTTTTTCAAGAGATACACTTAATATGCTGGAAACAAAATTCTTCTATTCCAGAGGGTTTATAATTCCAAGCTACAGCCAAAATATTAATATAGAAAGAATTGTCAGCATAAAGCAAGGAGATCTCCCACCAAATCTTTTTTTCTGTTGCTTTCCAGTGCTGTGAATTAAGGTTATTGATACAATTATCTGATTTTCATTGTGTATTTCTTCAAAATAGGGTACACTGATGTGTCATATGAGTTGTTATGGACTATCAAATGAGATGGTGCATGTGAAAACATATATCATCGTGCTGCAATGTGTTTGCATATTAATTAAAAGAGGGAGTGTGATCTAATACAAATTTCCAGAGTTTTGGAATGAGAAACATTTATCTTTTATCATCTATGAGAGCTTCAGAGAATCAAGTCAGTGCTCATGTGCTTATTTCTAAGAAGCTGGATAAAATCTCATTCCCTTCAAAGACTTATAAGCAACCACATACTTTATACTTGATTTCTGTTTATAAAATAAGGAGAACCATGGATATGCTCCTGCTGCTCACATTATAAGAATATTGCTAACTTGATGGTTAAGCTTGCATGCCTTTATGTTTGCTGTCTTTATGATTCAGATTTTGCTACATTGTCATTAGTAATAATCATTGTCTTGTGTTTATTTAAGTAACAGTAATATTAATAAGTGAATATCAATGCTAAGTTTGCATTCATTATTCAATTATTTTAAAGTCCAAATAAAAAAGAAATAATTATTACACTGTTATATTAGAGTGGACTAAGCTGCAGTACAATTAGCACCAAAGGTGTATTATGTCTAAAACAAAATAGAAGTTTATTTCATACTCACATTACCATTCAACATGAGTTTTCCCAGCCTGAGTCTGATTCAAGTAGCCAGTCGACTATCTGTGGTTTTAGCATCTCTTACAGACGTGTTGATATATAAGCAGTGGAAAAGAAAAAATAATAGTCAGTGGACATACCTGCTTCTTAAAGCCCTGGGTCAAAAATGATGCTTATACAATCTTCTACTCATATTTCTTTGTTGGAACTCAGTCATATGGTAAAACTCGACTGCATAGGAATCTTGAGAATTTTAGTCTGCCTGTATATATGAGAAGAAAAGAAATTGGATATTTTGAGACAAGTAGTATTTTCTGCCAAACCAAAAATGAGTAATATTATCTTGCATTAAAGCAAAATTATCTTTAACATCAACATCTGAAAGAGCACTAAACCATTTTCTACCTAAAGTTAAGATTAATTTGCAATACACATTAATTTTTAGGAAATAAAGTGTAGTTGAGTAAAAAAATAAGTGTTCTTTATTATACTTAAATTTCTTCTTAGGTAACACCTGAATAGTAAATTTAGTATATATAACTTATGCATTATAACTATGGTTGTTGAATGATGTTTATCTTTTAGCTCAAAGTAAAAGTTCTGAATAGATGCATTACAGAAATTTCTTCTGTAAGTATTTAAGTTCTTAAAGAAAATTTGCTTTATTGTTAGGTGCCCGATTCAGAGTATGTGTAAGTAAAATAGTTAAAATGGCTCAAATACTTGATAGTAGAAACCTAAATAAAAGTCCCTTTAAATCAAATGTCAAGCACCATCCTTGGGCACAAATTCTTCCTGGGAGCAAAGATGTACAGTATGAGAGTTAAAGGAATGTGTTTTAACAATGACATGTCGCTTTGTCAGGGATGTCTTTGTAATGACTAAGAAGCAGGTTAATAGGATGATTAGAATGAAGGCTAAATATGACAAAAGCACAAAACACTTTCTTCATGTCATTCCTCTGAGATATGTGGGTGGCAAATATTATCTCTGTTTCGTAGATTGAAAAATGAAATAGTTTAAGCACTCAGAGGCATTTTACTGACATTCAGATTTTTACACAGGTGTAATTTCTTTTTATAGATCTCTAATAGTAATTACATCAGCTTTAGGCTCCTGAAATATTTTCAAATGTCTAGGGTTGTTGAAACAATGAATGTTTCATTCTTCACTCTTTTTAATTCTTCATAAACCCTTTAACTCTCTTTAGGTAATAAGAGTTACACAAAAATAAGAATGTTATTTCTAATTGCAAAGAGAATATGTAAGATTTAGAGGTGTTTTTTAAAGAACATTTGTAAGATGTATCTCATTATTGGCCTTTATACAACTGATACCAAAAATGGCTATTTGACACATTTATCATCTGCGTTTTTGACCAAAAGGCAAAAAATATCCAGAAAAGCCAAATCTTTATCTATTATAATAAACTAGAAAATTGAACATCTAATCTTAAAAGCCCTATAATAAGTGCTATAAGTTTACCATTAAAAATGCTGTGGAACTCTGAAGAAAATTAATGGAACTTAAATGATTTTAATGAATTAAAATCACAGTGTTCAGCAGTCGTCAGTTATGTAACTAATATGTCCTAACAGCAATTGTTCTCTCTCTGCCAATTGATTGAGTGTTGCATAGGGATCCTGTAGGTCTCATTTCTGACCAATACAATCATTGCTCAGACTCCTGTTGAGGCTACACCCTCTCACCCAAACAAATTTACCTCAATCCATAATGATTATTATAAATATTAGTATCAACTTTCTGAATTAGAAAAAGAGCATGAGTATTGTCTATCCTAATAAGGATACTATTCTATGATCTTCATCTGGAATTCCCTGAAAGTTCACTAAAATTCTACATAACCCAAGCAGATTTGTACAACAGTATCTAAAACTTCACTTGTTTTTATATATGTCTCTAGGGGGAATAGATAGTAATGTATTTTATAAAAGTCAATTACTTTATCTCTCATTTATTAGAGATAAATTATATCACTTTAAATTTTTAACAACAAAAAAGAATTGTGGTAATAGCAATTTATCTATGGTAATTGTAAAACAAATTAAATTAATTAGAAATCCAATTATATTATCTATGTTGGCCTTCATAGCCCTTCTAAAGCAATTAGTCTTCCTCTATCTTTACTTAAGAAATGATGCAATTTAGTTTTATGGCATTTTCTGTGAAAGGTGTTATATGATATTGCAGTTTAGAAATTTGACATTGTTCAATAATAAATTGTGTGTTGCTTTGTATAGAATGAAAATTGTCAACATAAAAATGTTCATCTATATGTGGTAGATATTTAACTCTCAAAATTAGCTTAATCTGTTTAAGGCTAATAATTGTTAATTGAATTATTTTCATAAGCAAATGAATCTTTAATAAACTTAGCTTTCTGGATTCTATTACTATTTTTTTCCAAGTCGCATTAATTTCCCTTCTTTATTTGTTATAATAAACTCCAAGGACCTAAACTTTTACTTATTATAAATAGTGGATAACCCGTTTGGATCCAGTTAGCAACATCTATAACTTATTTATTGGTGCTGATTTCATAATTTGTGTTGGAAAGCTATAATATAGAAAGGAAGGAAAGGAAGCAGGAAGGTAGGAAGGAAGAAAGGGAGACAGAAATAAGATGTAAAAATTCTGTATGCTAAGAGAGTTCTACCAAGTGGAATATTGAAAAACAAAAACTGGAAATAATCTAATGCCTATCAGTTGATAAATGAACAATATGTGGTATATCCATAGAATGGAGTATTATTTAGTGATAAAAATGAAGCAAATACTGACCCTTGCTGTGTCATGGGTAAAACTCAGAAATGTTGTGCTACATGAAAGAAGTCAAACATAAGAGACTAAATATTGTCTTGTTGTATCTATTTATAACAACTGTATAGAAAAGGTAAATTTATGAAGTAAATTAGTTTTTTTAAATTTTAGTTGAGGTGGGGTTCCTCATGTTGGTCTAGCTGGTCTCAAACTCCTGACCTCAAATGATCCACTCGCCTTGGCCTCCCAAAATGCTAGGATTATAGGTGTAAGCCACTGCGCCTGGCATGTGAAAGACATATTTACAGAGTCACGATATTTGCGTCTTTTTTAGGACAGAAGATTACGTTCTTTAATATAGTTTTTCAGCATCTGCAACAATAACGTCTTCTTCTTTACCAAATTTAAAGCTTGTTTTTGATAGATCAATTTTTGATGTACAAATCAGAAAATTAAGATATACCCTACTGAGGTACTTGATTGGCAAAATTACCCCTTCTCTGATTAACTTCAAAGGTAGTAAACAAGTCTATGGAAGCACCTAATGTTATATAGTAAGAATAAATAGAGTACTGATTATAATCAGATGTCTAAAAAATGCAAATGCCTGTCTACACAGAAACAAAGACTTGCTCTTTGGGAGATATTGTAGATTATAGTGCAGGATGATTATACTGCAAAAATTGGTTATAAATATTTTATTATGTAGAGGAAAGATGGAAGAAACTAATGTTTTTTATATAATCTAGCTTATTTTTGACATAGTGTTGAGCAATTTTATTAACTCTATGTATTTTAATCTTCATTTTTTAAATGAGAAAAATTGTGTTCAGTGAGTGTAATATAATACAAGTAGTGACACAGTCTCACCATAAAGGATCTCATTTCTCACAAAAATAATATAAAGAAGGAAAAGTTGAATATTCACTTATTTTTATGAGATGAAAAAAATACATGACAAAATTTTAGCAAATGTCAACAGAACACATTGCAGAGTATTGAAAATGGTATGCTTGGAGCATCATTTTAAAACCTGAATAATTCAAGAAGCATATATGTGTTCTTAACAAATCTCTGTTTCTGCATATTTTCTGTTGTTAGTATTGCTGCCCAAGAGACAGTATAGTGGTCTGTATAAAACATCAAAACACATCAAGTGATTTGCTTGACAGTTAATCCACTACGATAAAACATAGTTATATGCTTTTCAAGGTTTTATAAAAACCTGATCAAACCCAGAGCATATGTATTCAAGGTAGTCATCTCATATTCAAGGTAGTCATCTCCCATGAAACATTTTCTAAAACACTTAATCAAAATTACAAAACCTGTTCATGTCGTTGTATTAACAAAACTATTTAAAGTTATTTCTTTTTCCTTTAGTTTTTAAAGGTTTGAAATATTAAGCTCATAGAGACTCTGAAATATTTTACTATTCAGTGGAGAACATTACCAGTGCTATTGCCAAAATAGCATAGTAATATTTGGGCAGAGTGTGTTCTGTGATAGTAAGTTTATACACGACTAGAACACAAAAACAATATTTAACTTTCATCTCTGAGCTTAGTGAAGTGGAAACTATGCAATTTTTTCTGTCATTATCTAGTAGCTTTCTGACTCTGTGGCAGCTTTTCCATAAAGTAGGTTATATAACTATAAGGGAAAATTTAAGAAGGCAACAGAAAAACTACAGTGTCAAGCCATAAAATTCTCTCTAAGCAGCTGAAAAATTTCTTTGGAGTCTTAAATTTTTTTGTCCAGATGAATATTTATGTGCATGAATATCTAGTCATTTTAAAATATGTCGCTATTCAAAACTTTGTATAAAAAGCTACTATTTAAAGCAGAAAATGTTGTTCTCAAATTATAAAAATATCAGTGTATTAATGAGAATCAATACATTTCTTTTAAAATTTAAAAATAATTTTAAGTTTTGCTCCCCCTAGAGGAAGCAAATAGCTTGCTATGTACAGACACATATATATACATCAATCTTGGGGTCATATGTTATTTCATATATATATAAATATATTATCTATATTCCATATATTGAAATATATTTTACATATTAAAATATAATTCATATCTATAATAAATGACAGGTGATATCAAAATTAACTTATCACAGTGTACAAAATAAAATATTGCAAATGAACTTTGGTGTTAATAGTGGTAAACTGATGAAGGTTAATCCATATCAGTTTACCTGCCAATAATCTATTTTTTAACTTTATCAATATTAGTTAAGATGTGTTTATGAAATATATGGATAAACATCAAATAAGAATGAATGGGGATTCTGCGAAGTTGATGGCAGGGGTCATAGTTTTTCAATATCCTTGGATCCCCAGACAAAAACAGACTCAGCAACTAAATGTGAAAGTCAGGAATTTATGGGCAACCTGTTAATAAAATTTAGTTAAGAGGTGCCTGATGAACCCCAAAATAAGTGAATTGGAAAAAGAAATCACAACAACAGCCAGAAGTCCAGCCTACTATCACTGTCTGGAGGGGAGAAAGCACAAGAAAGCAAGTGGGAATCTGAAATACTTGAGAATGGAAAAAAATCCAAATGACCAACAGGTATTTATTTAAAACCACAATGGTGTAGATTTTAGTTGTGTGCAGCAACTAAAATTGGAGAGTTTTACCTACTGGAAATGTGGGTAAGTGCAAGTGTGTTTAAAAAGATGTAAAGGGGCTGAATCAGTCATCAAAACTGAATGGCCAAGGATCATTCCAGAATAGCTAAAACACATTAAAGCTCTGGTACAAAACATGAAAGAAGGTAAATAAGAATTATTCAAAATTCAAAATGAGACTATGCAACTCAGGACATAATTAGAAAGGATATTTCTGGTTATGAAAACCAAACTAGAGAGAATGAAAAAAACCAATAAATACAAAAGATTAAAGCCTTAATAGAAATAGTCAAATGGATGAAAATTTTAAAAATCAAAAAGAAATTGAAAAATTGCTTTAAAAATGGATTTGAGATAAGTAATAATTACAGAAGGTAGTAAAAAAATCCAAAATAGGTAATAATGTTTTCAGGAATAAATACAAAACAAAGGAACACAATAAATAAAACCAATTATAATTTTAGTAACTTTCCTGAATAATTAAACAAATTGAGGTGACATCAGTGAAAATGGCTGAATAAGGAATTACAAAAGACTGTCCTTGCATAAAAAAAGTGAAGAAACTGGTAAGCACTGTCAGAAGCAACTTTATTAGAACTCTGGAAAAACTCATCATAGGTTTTAGTAATCAGGAAAATGCTTAATTAAGAAAAGAAAAACAAGAAACTTGATTCTTGCTAGTATACGTTTGTGGAGTCTTAATTTCTCTGGGCAGCGTCTCCCACCTGTGCAGCAACTTTGAGCACAACAATTCTCATTTTTGATATAGGTTATAGGTGCCTAGCACTAGGGGGAGCAAAATAAATCTCATTTTCAAAAAAGTATGACTTTGTTTTGATACATCTGCTGGCTCCCTGAAGGACCACTAGGCTTGTCTTTATTTTACTGAACTCTGAACTCTCCCAGTACTGAAGTGGCTACCAGGAAAAAAATATTTTAAACAAATGCATTATTCATTGCCACCTAGGGCAAGGGATAACAGTTGGGGTAAGCAATAGACAAAGCTAAAAGTTTGGGAGGAAAGCTTAGAAAATTAGATGCTTCTGGTAATAAGGGAATTAAAAATCTTCCACATACTACTGAGAACCTCTGAGGCTACAACATACATGTTCAGAAAAAATGGGTTAAGGCCCCAAGCTCTCACTGTGACTTGAACTCTACTCAATCAGAAGTAAAGCATTAGGCAGAATTGCAGTCTTCCTGTCTGAATGTGAAACATGTGCTCCAACACAGAAACAGAGACTATCTTCAAAGACTGGGGTTTTGGTGTTTTGTTGTTGTTGTTTCTACAAGTTTAAGGAAATCACTATTAAATCACAAGCTGACCAACAATATAATGAAATGGAGATTTTAAGGAACACAAAGAAGAAATTTAGACTTTACAAAATTAGTGCAGAAAATCCACTTGACACTCAGGCAAAACAATGTCAATATGAAGAACATAAACCTCTGGGGAGGAGGAGAACATGATCCTGAGAGTTGTTACATAATAATATTCAAAATATCCCCTCTTCAAGAAAATAATTATAAGTTATGAAAGGAAATAAGAGTATATAACCCATATACCAAAAATACAAATAGAAATTATCAAAAATTTTTCCTGAGAAAGCCTGGACATTGAATTTACTAGACCAAGACTTAGTCAACTATTTTATTTTATGTATATTTTTAATATCTCATCTAAAATGTATAATCAACTATTTTAAATATACTAACATGGCTGAAGAAAATCATAGACAAACAAATAAAGGAAGTCATCAGAACAATGTCTCACCAAGCAGAGAATACCCATAAACAGATAGAAATTTTGAAAAGAAACCAAATAGAAATTCTGGTGTAGAAAAATATAACTAAAATAAAAAATTCACCAGAGGAATTCAGAAGATTTGAAAAGGTATAGGGAAGATTTGAAGGTAGATCAAATGAGATTCCCAGGTCAGAGGACCATAAAGGAAAAATAATAAAGAAAAATAGAGAGCCTAAGAAACCTGTGGGATACCAAGCATACAAAAATATCCATAATGTTAGTTCTAGGAAGAGAGGAGAGACGAAAAAAAAAAAAAGCGGCAGAAGGAATATTTAAAGAACTAGGCCAGGTGTGGTGGCTCACGCCTGTAATTCCAGCACTTTGGGAGGCTGAGGCAGGTGGATCACTTGAGGTCAGTAGTTTGAGACTAGCCTGGCCAATATGGTGAAATCTCGTCTCTACTAAAAATACAAAAATTAGCTGGGTGTGGTGGCACATGCCTGTAATCCCAGCTACTCAGGAGGCTGAGGCAGGAGAATCACTCGAACATGGGAGGCAGAGGTTGCAGTAAGCCAAGATCGCACCACTGCACTCCAGCCTGGGCAACAGAGTGAGACTCCGTCTCAAAAAAAAGAAAAAAAGAAAAAAGAAAAAGAAAGAAAGAAATAATGACTGAATTTCTCAGATTTGGTGAAATACCTGAATCTGCATATACAAGAAACTTAATTAATGTCAAGGTGCATAAACGCAAAAAGATCAAAACTGAAAATAAACCCAAAAAGAAACCTAAAACCAGCAAGAGAGCAGAGACTCATCATATACAAGGGATTCACCATAAGATTAACAGCTGAATTCTCATTAAAAAAAAAAAAAAAAAAAAAAAAAAAAAAAAAACTATGAAAGCCAGAAGACTGTGGGAAGGCATATTTAAAGCGCTGAAAGGAAAAAAAAAATCAACAAAGAATTCTGTATTTGGCTAAAACCGACTTCACAAATGAAGAAGGAAGTAAGATATTCCCACAGACACACAAACTAAAAGTGTGTTTCTGGTAGATATGCCTTATAAGAAATACTAAAAGGAGTCCTTTAAACTAAAGTGAAAGTACACTAGGCTGTAGCTGAAATCCACACAAAAGAATAAAGGCAATCCACACAAAAGGCAACTACACAGGTAAATATAAAATTCAGTATTAATATAATTTCGGTTTGTAATTCTTTTTCTTGTCCTTCTTGATTTTAAAAAAACAGTTAAACAAAACAGTCATCATAAATCTATGTTAATGGGCACACTATAAATAAAAATGGAATTTGTGGCATAAAAATCAATAAAGGGGAGACAGGAAGAAAGTAACTAGTGTACACTATATGACATTAATTCAAATGATATAATAATGTTGTTATAAATTAGGATTTCTTTTGTAATCTCCAAAGGATCCACTAAGAAATAACCAGAAATCATTTAGTAAAGGTAATAAGAAAGGAATTAAAATGGAACACTTAAAATAGTTATCTAACATAAGAGAAGGCAGCAAGGGATGTGTTGTGAGACAAAAATAAAAGTACAAGATATAGAAAGCAAATAACAAAATGGGAAAAATAACTTATTCCTTATTAATAATTATATTCATTATAATTAATTACATTTTAGATATATTAAACTCTATAATTAAAAGATACCTTCATAAGATGAGCTAAAATAATCCAACTATATGCTGTTTGTCAGAGATTCACTTTAAATATAAAGACACAAGTAGTTTGTAAACCGAAGTATGAAAAACATATTCCATGAGTGACTATACTGAGCCAGAGTGGCTATACTAATACCAGGCAAACTAGACTTTAAGTCAAATTTGTTACAAGGGACAAAGAAAAACATGACCAGTACTGATTACAAGATCTATTTAAATAGATGTAGTAAATAGTAAAGATAATAATAAAAACTTCCAACAAAGAAAAGCCTAAGACAAGATGCTTTCAATGATAAATTCTACTAAAGATCTAAAGAATTAACACCACTTCCTCTCAAGTTTTTGCAAAAAATAGAATAGGAGATGTATTAGTCTGTTTTAATGCTGCTGATAAAGAGATACCTGAGTCTGGGCAACTTACAAAAGAAAGAGGTTTAATTGGACTTATAGTTCCACATGGCTGGGGAGGCCTCACAATCATGGCAGAATGCAAGGAGGAGCAAGTCACATCTTACGTGAATGGCAGAGGCAAAGCTTGTGCAGGGAAACTCCCGTTTTTTAAAACCATTGGCTCTTGTAAGGCTCATTTAGTATCATAAGAACAGCACAGGAAAGACCCGCCCTCCCCCCACTCAATTCAATCACCTCCCACTGACTTCCTCCCCTGGCACATAGGAATTGTGGGAGTTACAATTCAAGATGGGATTTGTGTGGGGACACAGCCAAAGCATATCATTCTGCTCCTGGACCCACCAAACCTCATCTTCTCACATTTCAAAACCAATCATGTCTTCCCAACTGTGCCCCAAAGTCTTAACTCATTTCAGCATTAACCCAAAAGCCCACAGTCTAAAGTCTTTTCTGAGACAACGCAAGTCCCTTCCACCTATGAGCCTGTAAAATCAGAAGCAAGTTAGTTACTTCCTAGATACAATGGGGGTACAAGCATTGGGTAAATATAGCTGTTCCAAATGGGAGAAACTGGCCAAAACAAAGGGGCTACAAGGCCCCATGCAAGTCCATAATCCAGCAGGGCAGTCAATTCTTAAAGCTCCAAAATGATCTCCTTAGATTCCATGTCTCTCATCCAGATCATGCTGATCAAGAGGTGGGTTCCCATGGTCTTGTGGAGCTCTGTCCCTGTGGGTTTTCAGGGAACAGCCTCCCTCTCAGCTGCTTTTATGGGCTGGCATTGAGTGTCTGCAGCTTTTCCAGGTACACGATGCAAGAAGTTGGTGAATCTATCATTCTGGGTTCTGGAGGATATGGCCCTCTTCTCGCAGTTCCACTACGTGTTGCCCCAGTAGGGACTCTGTGTGGGGGCTCCAACCTCACATTTCCCTTCTGCACTGCCCTAGCAGAGTTTCTCCATGAGAGCCCCTCCCCTGCAGCAAACTTCTGCCTAGACATTTAGGCATTTCCATATATACTCTGAAATCTAGGCAGAGGTTCCCAAATCGCAATTCTTGACTTCTTTGCACTGGCAGACTCAACACAATGCGGAAGCTGTCAAAGTTTGAGGCTTGCATCCTCTGAGGCCACAGCCCAAGCTCTACATTGGCCCCTTTCAGCAATGGCTGGAGTGACTGGGACACAGGGTACCAAGTCCCTAGGCTGCACACTGCAGAGTAACCTATGGGCAAGCCCACAGAACCATTTTCTCCTCCTAGGCCTCCAGTCTTGTGATGAGAGGGGCTGCTGCTAAGACCTCTAACATGCTCTGGAAACCTTTTCCCCATTGTCTTGGGGGTTAACGTTCAGCTCTTTGTTACTTATGCAAATTTCTGCAGCTGGCTTGAATTCCTCCTTTGAAAATGGGATTTTCTTTTCTATTGCAATGTCAGGCTGCAAATTTCCACTTTTATGCTCTGCTTCTTTTGTAAAACTGAATGCCTTTAACAGCACCAAAGTCACATCTTGAATGCTTTTTTGCTTAGAAATATCCTCTCTCAGATATCCTAAATCATCTCTTTCAAGTTCCAAGTTCCACAAATCTCTAGGCCAGGGGCAAAATGCTGCCAGTCTCTTTGCTAAAACATAACAAGAGTCACCTTTGCTCCAGTTCCCAACAAGTTCCTCATCTCCCTCTTTGACCACCTCAGCCTGAATTTCATTGTCCATATTATTGTAAGCATTTTTGTCAAAGCTATTCAACAAGTCTCTAGGAAGTTTCAAACTTTCCCACATTTTCCTGTCTTCTTCTGAGCCCTCCAAACTGTTCCAATCTCTGCCTGTTACCCAGTTCCAAAGTCACTACCACATTTTTGGGTGTCTTTTCAGAAGTGCCCCACTCTACTGGTACCAATTTACTGTATTAGTCTGTTTCCTTGCTGCTGATAAATACATACCCAAGACTGGGCAGTTTACAAAAGAAAGAGGTTTGATGGATTTACAGTTCCACGTTTCTGCGTAGGCCTTACAATCATGGTGGCAGGTGAAAGACACATTTCACATGGCAGCAGATAAGAGAAGAGAACTTGTACAGGGAAACCCTGATTTTTTAAAACCATCAGACCTCATGAGACCCATTCACTATCATGAGAACAGTGCAGGAAAGACCCTCTCCCATAATTCAATCACCTCCTACCAGGTTCCTCCCATGACACATGGGAATTGTGGGAGTTACAATTCAAGATGAGATTTGGGTGGAGACACAGCCAAACTATATGTGGAGGGAAAAATTTTCAAGTCATTCATGAAGCCAGTGTTATCTTCACTTCTAAGTCAGACAATGACATCATTAGAAAAGGAAATTGAAGACCAATATACCTTATGAATATAGATATAATAACCTCCAACAAAATGCTAGCAAGTTATATTTGGCATCATGTTAAAAGGATTATACATCATAACCCAGTGGAATGTATTTCAAGAACGCAAAGGTGGTTCAACATAGAAAAGTCAATGTATGTAATATACCATAAAAATCCACACAATTACTTCAATTAATGTAGAAAAAGGATTTGAAAAAATCCAAAACTCATTTACGATAAAAAAAAAAAAAAGCACACAATCAACTAAACATAGAAGAAAACTTCCTTAAATCAGTAAAGGGTATGGAAAGGTTTACACTAATTTCTGCAAGGGTTTTTAGGTGTGGATGGACCAAAAAACAGACCCAGTTGCCACAGCAGTCCCAGTTTCATGAGAGCACCTGTGAGCAGCAAAAGAAGCCCCAGTATCTTTACTACTTGCATGAGTCTGAGAGACAGAACACTTGCACAACAAGGCAGGCAAAGCACCTCTATTAATGAGAGGCACCAAGTATAAACAGAAGCCAAGGAACCCTGGTGAATAAGTCCCCTAAGTCTCAGGAAAGCTGCCCAGGGACATGGAGCTTTTTCTGTTCATGTCCCCAGTCATACTATATCTGAAGGATCATGAAACCACTCAGCTCTGTGTTTTATACCCTGGACACAACTTCGATTGTTGAGCTCAAGCATTGCAGAATATTCTGTTCTGGAGGAAACAAGGACATAGTCCAAGTTGTTTCAAACATTTCTTCATTATTTCAGAAATTTGCATTCTCAGTACATTATGCATAAAAGAGGGAGAAAACCTACTTAGGTCAGTCAAAATTATTCAGGGACTTGTCTTCCTGTGGGGTATTTATGAAAAACTAGCAGTTAACATTATGCTTAATGGGTAAGGGTTAAGATTTCTCCTAAAGATCAAAAACAAGTCAAGGAGGTTGACTCTTGCCAATTCTATCCTACATTGTACTGGAAGCTCTAGAAATGAAATTATAAAAGAAAAAATAAAATATATTTAATTGAGAAAAAAGAAATAAAACTTTCTATCTAAAGATGATGTGATTTTTACACAGAAAACCCTAAAGACTGCATGTACAGAAAAAAATAGGTTAGAGTGAATTAGCACATGTAACAAAGTATCAGGATATAAGATCAGCATACTAAAGTCAATTGTATTTCTATACATTAGCAATTAGCATTCCAATAAGGAAATTAATGAAAAATCCATTTAAATACTATTAAAAACCTAAAATACTTACAAATAGATCTAATGAACAAGTTACAAGATATGTACACTGAGTACTGTAAAACACTATGAAAGTAGATTTTAAAAAACCTAAATAAATTGAAAGACATCATGTGGTATGAATTGGAATACACAATATTGTTAAGATTAGTATTCTCCCCAAATTGATGTACAGATTTAATGCAGTCTATATCATATTTACTGCCTTTTTGTAGAAACGAACGTGCATATGCTAAAATTCATATGGAATTTCTTCAAGGAACACAGAATAGCAAAACTCTCTTGATAAAAAATAACAGAGCTGGGGACTCATACTTCCGGATTCCAAAACTTACTATAAATCAACAATAATCAAATCAGTGTGATATTATCATAAGAATAGATATAGAGAACAATGGAATAGAAAGGAGAATACAGAAAATTGGCATCTATGATCAACTTATTTTTGACAAACATGCCAAGAAAATTTTCTTTTTTTTTGAGATGAGTTCTTACTCTGTTACCCAGGCTGGAGTGCAGTGGCACAATCAAGGCTCACTGCAGCCTCTACCTCCCAGGCTCAGGTGATCCTCCCACCTCAGCCTCCTGAGTAGCTGAGACAACAGGCACATGCTGTCACACTTCACTAATTTTTTGTAGATACTGGGTTCACCATGTTGCCCAGGCTAGTCGTGAACTCCTGGGCTCAAGGGATTTTCCAGCCTTACCCTCCTAAAGTGCCAGGAACAGGAATGAGCCACCGCTCCCAGCCCCAAGAAAATTTTCTATGGTTTGAATGTGTCCTCCAATTAGCATGTGTTGGAAATGTAATCCCTAATGTAATAGTGTTGGGAGGTGGGGCCTAATGAGAGGTGATTAGGCCATGAAGACAGAGTGAATGAATTAATGCTGCCATTGCAAGAGAGGGTTTGTTATTGATAGGGTTTATTATTTAGCCATTATTAAAAGATTTTGACATTTTCACTCTCTCCTTTTATTCTCTCTCTCCCCTTCTCTTTGCCCTTTCACCATGGGATGATGCATAAAGAAGGCTCTTGCCGCATGTAGCTCTTTGATCTTAGACTTCCAGCCTCCAGAATTGTGAGATAACAAATTTCTGTTCTTATGAATTACGTAATCTATGGTATTCATCATACCATCACAAAATGGACTAAGACACGATTCAACTGGGAAATAATAACACTTTCAACAAATGGTGCTGGGATATCTGGATATTCACATACAAAAGAATAAATTTGGACATCTTTTTCATGCCGCTTGTAAAAATCAATTCAATATAAGAGCTTAAACTATAAAACTCTTCGAAGAAAATGTGAGGTAAATATTTATGACCTTGTATTTGGCAATGGCTTCCTAGAGATGACCCAAAAGGACAAGCAACTAAAGAAGAAAAATATGATAATTAGACTTTAACAAAATTTAAAATGTTTGTGCATTAAAAAAACTGTTAGGAAGGTGAAAAGACAATTCATAGAATGGGAGATAATATTTGCAAAAATCCAAAATATATAAATAACTTACATAATCCAACAACAAATAAGAAAGCCAAATTCTAAAATGGGCAAAAATATTGAGTAGATATTTATCTCAAGAAGACATATAAATCGCCAATAAGAGCATGAAAAGATGCTCAATATCATTACTCATTGATGAAATGCAAATTAAAACCATAACGAGATACAACTTCACATTCATGAGGATGCCATAATTTAAAGAAAAAAGAACAAGAAAAATACGTGGATATGAAAAAATTGCAACTCTACTATATTTCTGGTGGGAACACAAAATGGTGCAGCTGTTGTGGAAGAATTTGATGATCCTCACTATTCCAATTATTGCTGTATATCAATGGGAATTGAAAACAAAAGCTTGTACCTAAACATTTACAGCAGCATTATTTATAACAACAAAAATGTGGAAATGACCCAAATGTTCATCTAATAATGAATGGTTATATAAAATATTGTATATGCATATAATGGAAAATTACTTAGCCACATAAAGGAATGAAGTACTGATACATGCCACAATCTGCATGAACCTTGAAACATTATGCTAAAGAAAACAAAGACAGACATAAAAGTCCACATATTGTATGATTTCATTTGTACAGATTAATCAAATTCATAGAGGTGGAAAGCAGATTAGTGGTGGGCGGGGGCTAAGAGGAGAGTGGAATGAGAAGTGGTAGCTTAATGGCTGTCAGGTTTATTTTGGGATGATAAAAATATTCTTGGATTAGAAAGTAGTTGTGGTTTTGTAACCTTGTGAAGTACTAAAAACCACTGAATTGTACAACTTAAAAATGGTTAAAGCTGTGAATTTTATGCTAGTGTAAAATAGAAATTACATAATAAAATGCATAGCTGCATACCTGAAAATACTGACTACAACAACCAACATTGAGTCATAGCCTATTAAACGTAGTTGACTTTACATAAAACTCATTTAGGCATATAAATAAAAAGAACAAATTATAAGAAAAAATAGATTGTTACTGGATTTTTAATAGCAATATTTCATATTAGAAGAAAATTGAGATGTTTAAGATACTCAAGGAAAGAAAATGGGAGCCCAACATTTTATAACTAGAAATAGTGACATTCAAGTGAAAGGGCACAAAGTATTTTTAACAGTCAAAAACTCAAGAAATATGATTTCTATAAGCCCTTCTTGAGTAATCCATCTAGAATGAAGTTCAGACAACAGAAAAGTAAAAAGGCACCAACATAAGATCTAGTGGTATTATGTATATATTTATTATAGAACTAGATGAAATAAAGGTTAAATAAATCTAATATGTAATAAGGTATTTATCTGACAATGGATATATAGCACAGATATAATAATTGAGTTCATTTGGGTGTTTTACAGTTTTTCAGGTGAAATGGGAAAATTTATGGACATAAAGTCGGCTCTATTAATCTCATTTTAACTTTTTTTCATATTGAGTTTTGTCTCCTTTTTACTCCTTAATATCATTTATTTTCTCTTGCTTTCTCTTTTTTTCTTGCTCAGTCTTGCCTAAGGTTCATCATCTTTATTAGTTTTAGCAAGGAACCAACTTCTGCCTTTGATGACACCCTATTATATTGTTCCCAGTAATTTCTGTTCTTTACTGTTTCATTTCTTATAGTTTCTTTGCTTTTCCTTTTCCTTAGGTGTTTTGTTGTTGTTGTTTCTTAAGTCAATTACTAGCACATTAGCTTTTAGCCTTTTTAAAAATACCAATAAACCTCTTAGGGCTATAAATTTTCCTCAAAAATCACATTAGCTGCTCTCAAAGTATTGGTAAGTGTTACTTTAACTATTGTTAATTTTCCATTGTTAGTTCTCTCTCGGATCTGCTCAAGCTCCAGACCTCCCCTTTTTTTCCCTGTGATCAGCCCAAGGGCTGTTAAAATCCAGCCTCTAAGTCCCTTACAGATGGTAGATATCTCTAGAGGTAAGCTTGACTCCAGCATTCTCTTAGCACTATATATTGTCTCTTGTCACTTGTGTTCTTTGAGGGATTCACTTGAATTCTGATACATATTTGAAAACATTACACTATGTAAAACATTTTTAGGTACTTTTATAGAAATTTATCTGTTTATTTCATATACCATCTTACCAAAAACAGATGTTCAGCAATTATTCCTACCAATATCTTGTTTTTTTTTTTTTTGTTTTTTTTTTTTGTTTGTTTGTTTTTTTTTTTGAGATGGAGTCTCACTCTGTCACCCAGGCTGGAGTGCAGTGGCACGATCTTGGTTCACTGCAAGCTCTGCCTCCTGGGTTCACACCATTCTCCTGCCTCAGCCTCCCAAGTAGCTGGGATTACAGGCACCCGCCACCACGCCCGGCTAATTTTTTGTATTTTTAGTAGAGACAGGGTTTCACTGTGTTAGCGAGGATGGTCTTGATCTCCTGACCTCGTGATCTGCCCACCTCGGCCTCCCAAAGTGCTGGGATTACAGGCATGAGCCACCGCACCCGGCCCTCCTATAAATATCTTGATAGTCTGAATGTCTAAAGGGCAGAATTTGTGCCTAAATGATCCTATCTCCTAAGTTTGAAGGCCTGACATACTGCACTATATTTTGAATTGTGAATAAATGAATGTGTGCCTGGTTTTGACAAACATTTAGAAACCAAATTAAGAAAATTTATATTTATCTACTAAAGATCACTTATTTTAGAATATGAACAAATGATTTACATCCTCTAGCATCATTTTAAATAAACATTCTAGAATCAAATTTTATTAGAATTATTTTTACATAATAAAAAAATACTTGTTTGATTTCTTAAAATACCCTGAAGAGGGAAACAGTAATTCAAGTTTTAGTAGCTTTTCAAAAAGATTAAACTCTAAAGAGTTTCTGAATATTATTTGGAAGTGCAACTTTAGGTATTGTGATTTTCTGCTTTTATCAATACTAAAACATCAAAGAGAAGAAAAATTCCCTTACCAGTTAAGAAAATAGGGAGAGGAGGATAGTTTTCCATGGCTGCAACACAAAGTTTATTTAAAACACACACACACACCCCCGTATGTGCACACACACATACTCCCTATGTGGACATAGACATAATTTCTTTGCTGGAATCTGCCCAATGTACAAAATTAACTTCTTTATGTTAGCCAAAATACTATGGGACTTTTAATAACCATGATTCTTTATGTCTAATCTAAGAGATAGGACCTCCAACCAGCTCAATTCACTGATATCCCACTGTGGTTGTGAATCGCCACTGACTCAGATGCATACCCCCCAGTGTATCCCTCACAACACATTTTACTTAGCTTTTAAAAACTGACAGATCAATTGGGTACAATTGCACAGGTGGAACATTTAGGTTTAAGTTTTTTTTTTTCATGTTCTGTCATTTTCCCCTGCATCATTAGTCTCATTCTCCCTGCTACTAAAAGAGAATGATTTTCCCCCAAATCTCCTGTTTCATTTATTTTATTCTTACATTCTTCCCTTCTCTTCTACCTCTTTCTTCAACTTCCCTCTTCTTCCTTCTAAAATACCATATATCTTCTTTTTCTTTTTCTATTTGCTTCTCTGCTGTTCTCTACAGTTGTTTGATGCTAGTATTGAACTTTTTGCTTCTTTCCCCTATCAAGGTTCGATTTAATCGACTTCGTGAGAGGATATACAAGTAAAATGTGCTTCTAAATCTTGCTTCCTATTTTCAGTCTGAAGGGGAAAAACAGCTTCAGTTGTTAAAAGTCTAATTTCCTTAAAAGCTTGAATTTTACTCCTTTAAGTTTTGTCCTAAAGCAGATTCATTTGACTTGTAATTGATATGTCCCTCTGTTGGTCAGACTTCAGTTCTTCTTAGAGCCCAGAATAACTTTTCTCTACTTATTGCTGTTTTGGTTACTGTTTATGCTTTCTCATGTCAAAGTCACAATGCACTGACTTCTACTGACAATGGGTCTCTCTGTTTTTCTCTTCACATTTTCCGTGCTGAGTGGTGTTTTCTGAATAGGGTGAGTCTATACTTTCTTTTTGTCCTGCAGAAAAATGGACATGAGGAATCCAATTATGGTAGTCACAATGTCTGTGACAGATATGTTAGTTACGAGCAATATGCATGATGTTTCTAGGATTCTCCAGAGACAATTGAATTACTAGCTCTGTCCTGCTGTTGTTATTGTACATGTACCACATCCTTACCACTGTTCTAAAGAGGATTCGTTATAGTTATAGGACTAAAAGTTTGGATTTTTTTGAAATTTTAAAACTTTTCATATATATTATCACTATCTAACATATACTGAAGACCTACAATGTGCCAGGCATTGTTCTAAATACCTTACACTGTTATGTCATTTAATCTCCACAGACACTCTGTGAAGTTGGTAAAATTGTCTATATTTATACCTACAGAAATGGAAGCACAAGGAGAAGTCTGAAGTCACACTCCATAGGAATCTTAGTGGTCTAGCACCAAGTCCTCAGGATTAATTATTATTCCACAGCGACCTGTTTGGATAATCATGGTGACCTTGATTTGGGGAATTTAACATTTATCGTCATTGAATTTTATGACTGGTGAGAATTAAGCAGTTTGATTTTAGGTGTCTTGATGTTTCCCAGCAATGACGCCCAGTTTGCTGCTTTACAGAGCAGCACACATTTTACTTCTCAAGATAGCATGGGAACATTTAGACTTTATTAATAGAAAAGTAGTCATAGTAATTTTATTCATGCAATATTGTTACATTTTAGTTAGGAAAAGTGAAAATTAGGGAAGTCTAAGGAAAATTACATATAGCTATTTAGATAGTCTTACAATCTCACAAATAGCAATGTAAATAAAAACAAAAGGTGAAAATATTGTTTATGCAGATAATCCCAAAATGTATTTAACTAGCACTTATTATATGTGTTATACTATTACTATTTGACGATCACTGTGCAAGGTACAATGAGGAGAGTGGCATCAATTGTAGGGGAACTCCTTTTAGAGGGAGGGCTTTATGAGTGTCACCAGCGTATAGGACTGGTCACTCTCAAGACCCTCTCAGAAGTGTGAATGATGATAAAAATACCCCAAAGAATCTTTATGGACTGTCATTTAATAGTAAATTTCAATGTCTTCTCTAAAATCCATTTTTTATCTCAGTGACTCTGTGATCAGAAATATAAGAAACACAAATATGGATAAGATAGGAATGAAAGCAGTCAAGTGAAAATGGCAATTGCTCTGGTGGCCAAATCAAATAGCACAATATAAAAAGGGTCAGATTCATTAAGTCCTTCATTAACCAGCCCAGTGGAGTTCCTCCCAGTTCCCCATTGTCAACTGCCTATTCAACGCCAGGGATAGGCATTCTGACAACAGGATCTCATCAGCATCCTCCAAATATTTGAACTAATGTTCATTTTAAAACTTACATTGTAATAAAGAGAGATATTTAAATCCCAAAGTTATTTAGAATTTAAAAGATGACTTTCAAATTTTTCCCTTAAGGTCTCCATTTCCATTTGCTGCCATCCTGAAAAATCTTATAAATGACTGATCAATAAGTGATTCAAACATCACAATTAAAAGAACTAGAAAAGCAAGAGCAAACACATTCAAAAGCTAGCAGAAGGCAAGAAATAACTAAAATCAGAGCAGAACTGAAGGAAATAGAGACACGGAAAACCCTTGAAAAAATTAATGAATCCAGGAGCTCGTTTTTTGAAAGGATCAACAAAATTGATAGACCACTAGCAAGACTAATAAAGAAAAAAAGAGAGAAGAATCAAATAGATGCAATAAAAAATGATAAAGGGGAAATCATCACCGATCCCACAGAAATACAAACTACCATCAGAGAATACTACAAACACCTCTACGCAAATAAACTAGAAAATCTAGAAGAAATGGATAAATTCCTCGACACATACACTGTCCCAAGACTAAACCAGGAAGCTGAATCTCTGAATAAACCAATAACAGGATCTGAAATTGTGGCAATAATCAATAGCTTACCAACCAAAAAGAGTCCAGGACCAGATGGACTCACAGCCGAATTCTACCAGAGATACAAGGAGGAACTGGTACCATTCCTTCTGAAACTATTCCAATCAATAGAAAAAGAGGGAATCCTCCCTAACTCATTTTATGAGGCCAGCATCATTCTGATACCAAAGCCAGGCAGAGACACAACAAAAAAAGAGAATTTTAGACCAATATCCTTGATGAACATTGATGCAAAAATCCTCAATAAAATACTGGCAAACCAAATCTAGCAGCACATCAAAAAGCTTATCCACCATGATCAAGTGGGCTTCATCCCTGGGATGCAAGGCTGGTTCAATATACGCAAATCAATAAATGTAATCCAGCATATAAACAGAACCAAAGACAAAAACCACCTGATTATCTCAATAGATACAGAAAAGGCCTTTGACAAAATTCAACAACCCTTCATGCTAAAAACTCTCAATAAATTAGGTATTGATGGGACGTATCTCAAAATAATAAGAGCTATCTATGACAAACCCACAGCCAATATCATACTGAATGGGCAAAAACTGGAAGCATTCCCTTTGAAAACTGGCACAATACAGGGATGCCTTCTCTCACCACTCCTATTCAACATAGTGTTGGAGGTTCTGGCCAGGGCAATTAGGCAGGAGAAGGAAATAAATGGTATTCAGTTAGGAAAAGAGGAAGTCGAATTGTCCCTGTTTGCAGACGACATGATTGTATATCTAGAAAACCCCATTGTCTCAGCCCAAAATCTCCTTAAGCTGATAAGCAACTTCAGCAAAGTCTCAGGATACAAAATCAATGTACAAAAATCACAAGCATTCTTATACACCAACAACAGACAAACAGAGAGCCAAATCATGAGTGAACTCCCATTCACAATTGCTTCAAAGAGAATAAAATACCTAGGAATCCAACTTACAAGGCATGTGAAGGACCTCTTCAAGGAGAACTACAAACCACTGCTCAATGAAATAAAAGAGGATACAAACACATGGAAGAACATTCCATGCTCATGGGTAGGAAGAATCAATATCGTGAAAATGTCCATACTGCCCAAGGTAATTTACAGATTCAATGCCATCCCCATCAAGCTACCAATGCCTTTCTTCACAGAATTGGAAAAAACTACTTTAAAGTTCATATGGAACCAAAAAAGAGCCCGCATCGCCAAGTCAATCCTAAGCCAAAAGAACAAAGCTGGAGGCATCACACTACCTGACTTCAAACTATACTACAAGGCTACAGTAACCAAAACAGCATGGTACTGGTATCAAAACAGAGATATAGATCAATGGAACAGAACAGAGCCCTCAGAAATAATGCCACATATCTACAGCTATCTGATCTTTGACAAACCTGAGAAAAACAAGCAATGGGGAAAGGATTCCCTATTTAATAAATGGTGCTGGGAAAACTGGCTAGCCATATGTAGAAAGCTGAAACTGGATCCCTTCCTTATACCTTATACAAAAATCAATTCAAGATGGATTAAAGACTTAAACGTTAGACCTAAAACCATAAAAACCCTAGAAGAAAACCTAGGCATTACCATTCAGGTCATAGGCATGGGCAAGGACTTCGCATCTAAAACACCAAAAGCAATGGCAACAAAAGACAAAATTGACAAATGGGATCTAATTAAACTAAAGAGCTTCTGTACAGCAAAAGAAACTACCATCAGAGTGAACAGGCAACCCACAAAATAGGAGAAAATTTTCACAACCTACTCATCTGACAAAGGGCTAATATCCAGAATCTACAATGAACTCAAACAAATTTACAAGAAGGGAAAAACAACCCCATCAAAAAGTGGGTGAAGGACATGAACAGACACTTCTCAAAAGAAGACATTTATGCAGCCAAAAAACACATGAAAAAATGCTCATCATCACTGGCCATCAGAGAAATGCAAATCAAAACCACAGTGAGATACCATCTCACACCAGTTAGAATGGCAATCATTAAAAAGTCAGGAAACAACAGGTGCTGGAGAGGATGTGGAGAAATAGGAACACTTTTACACTGTTGGTGGGACTGTAAACTAGTTCAACCATTGTGGAAGTCAGTGTGGCGATTCCTCAGGGATCTAGAACTGGAAATACCATTTGACCCAGCCATCCCATTACTGGGTATATACCCAAAGGACTATAAATCATGCTGCTATAAAGACACATGCACGTGTATGTTTATTGTGGCATTATTCACAATAGCAAAGACTTGGAACCAACCCAAATGTCCAACAATGATAGACTGGATTAAGAAAATGTGGCACATATACACCATGGAATACTATGCAGCCATAAAAAATGATGAGTTCATGTCCTTTGTAGGGACATGGATGAAATTGGAAATCATCATTCTCAGTAAACTATCGCAAGAACAAAAAACCAAACACCGCATATTCTCACTCATAGGTGGGAATTGAACAATGAGAACACATGGACACAGGAAGGGGAATAATACACTCTGGGCTCTGTTGTGGGGTGGGGGGTGGGGGGAGGGATAGCATTGGGAGATATACCTAATGCTAGATGACGAGTTAGTGGGTGCAGTGCACCAGCATTGCACATGTATACATATCTAACTAACCTGCACAATGTGCACATGTACCCTAAAACTTAAAGTATAATAATAAAAATAGAAAAAAAAAAGTCTTGAAAGTGAGAAAAAAAAAACAAACAAAAAAGAAGTGATTCAAAAGGTCACCCATTCCCAGACATCCAAAGAGCAGAGCAGGCAAAAAACTACTCTTCTCAATTAAGTCAAGCTCAGAGTTCCTGGAAAGCTTATTGACAGCTTACCCAAATGGTTATGGCAGTTTTAAAACCTTGGACCATTTCCAACTTGCCCTTCAGTAAATGAATGAAATTTGGACAAGCATTAATTTGCAGTATTGTCATTGGCAGGGAGAATGTTAATGTATTTGTCATTACAGAAGAATTACAAATCCCTGATTATAGCTCATCTGTGTCTACTCAGAGAAAGTCAGATGGAGAATGGAACAGATTGGACATTGAGAGAAGTGGAATATTTTCTGTTTTAATGAAATAAAACAAAAGTCTGAGTTTGAGCCTTAGTCATCCAGGAGTCTATCTTTGTATTTCATCTTACCTGTTTCTATAGCCAGAGAATTTAAGATATATAGTGTAATCCAATGCAATTTAATGAATTGCTGTCCCACCATAATAGCTCCAGCAGTTTATCCAGACTCTTTATGAATACATCCAGTGACAGCATATCCCATCATGAAAAAGAACTACTCATTTTTCTGCTTTATATGTCTTACAGTTTAACAATAAATGATAGCTTTCCTATTTTTGAAAAACTTCCATTCAACTTAGTAGCAACCGTAGACATACCTCATATATGTGACCAACCTTCACATATTTGGAAATAGTTGTCAGTTAGTCAATCTCAATGATCCACTTCTCTGTGGCTAAAATCCTCAATCCTAATTCAAATTCTTTAAAGCATTATTCATAAAATATTGTTTTTAAATCCTTCACTACCCTGGTCACCCCCTTGGACATGATTTTGTTGTACAATAGCTTGCAGCAATGTGGTATACTGCACAGTGAGAAAGAGAAAAGCAACCTCTCAGCCAGGAGGAGCCCGCACACTCACAGAAAGGCTATGCTGTTCTTCTGTTGTACATAAACAATTTACAGAATTGTTTATGTAAAACGACTTTAGACAAGTCCACTCTGTGATCATGGTGGATTAAGCTAAAACCATTCTATAAATATTACACAGAAGTGACAAAATATTCTTTGTTCTAGCTAATATGAATGCCTGCTGGATTTTTCTTTTTTTTTTTCTTTTTTTAACCAATTATAGCTTTAGTCTTACTTCATTCCTCCAATCTTCTCAATAAGAATTATTAAAATACCCAGTCATGGAACTGACAACTGGGTAAAAGTAAGGTTAAAAAAATTATGAGCAATCATTTGATATATGACCCGAGAGATTAAAATAAAGCAATAATACTATACTATTACCATTATTATTATTATTACAAACAAAATAATAAAATCAGAGCTAGTATTCATTCATTGAGTGCTTGGTCTGGATGTTGGCAGACCATGTGACAGACAATTTACCTACATTACTCTTTAATGTACACGATTTATAAAATAAGTATAGTTATCTCATTTTACAGATTAGAAAAAGTGAGGTTTGTGAAATGAAGTAGCTAGCTCAAGATCTCTCTGCTAAAATTAAATTTTGAAACCAAGACCTAAAATCTACAAGCCAAAATTTTATTGCCTCAGTTCAAGGCAGTAAGTAGGACTGATGTACTTGCAGGAGTTGCATCTAACCAAGGAGAAATGCCTTTTGAAATGTGTTTGACCAAAAGATGTGATGTCTTTATTGCACATTCTCAAAAAGTTGTCTGTGTGCCAACTATGAATCCTCTTAATGCAGGAAGAACCCCTGATGGTCTTAGCTTAAAGATACCTTTTTGAAGAATTTCCATAAAGTTTAAGCATTTTAAAAACTTTTCTATTAACTCTCAGTTCCAAATAGGTGTGCCAATTCTTATATGCCAAGTATCAACTAGAAGATTGTTCTGTATCAGCCAAGTTGTCATGATGTTTCATCCCTCTCTAAACTCCCACTGTCTCACCAAAAATTGGAAACATTGGTACCCAAATTCTACTGTGTAACTTTTCAAGATGATTGTTTGTCCCTATAATCCTACTTTGACCAAGAGGATGATGCTATTTTATAAAAATATTTTCCGGTCTACCTTTAGAAATTCACATATTCTTCATGGCGATTTATACTGATTAAAAAAGGACAATAATCCAGTCATATTAGTTAGGAAAGGTTAGCAGCAAATTGCCCACCAAACACACAGATTTGCCTTCGTGAAAAGTCTCAAAAGTACAAACATTACAAAATGACAAAAATAACTACCAATGTATCAAAGACACTGGGTGAATCTCTAATGTTAAGAAAAGACTCCAAGTCTTTCTTAGAAAAACAAAAGAAGCAAAATGTGTTATTCACCCATTCCGAAAAATATCAACCAACTCTGTCAGTAATTTCATGAAATAGCTAATATAGACAATATCAATTTCTGAGAAAGAAAGAATTTAGTTGTGTAGTTACCAAGACAGTAACAATTTGTTTTTGGCTCCCACTTTGTGCCAAATTGTGCCACACTAAATGCTTTGGGTATGGAACTCACTCTCTGTAAGTATTCCTTAATCTTGTATGATGAAAGATGGCTACAGGCAACTGACTCCCTCCAAAGTCTGAAAACAGTAGTACAAATTAGCATAAGGCCAATGATCTGTGAGAAATTAGAAATAATGTTATAGGCAAGTGAGAAATGAGTTTACTAGATGCTGAAAAGAGTGCCAAGCTAAGCATCATAGAATAAGAGATGTTACATATAATTACATAGCTTTATAGATTTTCATTTTAATATATCTCTCTTCCATTTATTGTATGTTGCATGAAGACAAAGACCATGTCAGTCTTGACCAATATTGTATTACAGTTCTTTAAGAGAACAAATGAGTGAATGGAAGAATGGAAATCTCTTCCAGCCCTGTTACAATATACATCTGTTATTTTGTGTGTCCAGCATTCACTCCACATTTATCTCATAGCAGGACTTCTGTTTTCCCAAGGGACTTTCAAGTTTCCTACTCTCAGCCCACTATTTAATTAGTCTTGTTAGGTGATGCTGTGTTAACTCATTAGTACACTCCATCTCTCTGGCTACAGAACCTAAGTCTCAGGGATTTGGGGAAAACTTTTAGGCTGGAATTTTTGGTTGTAAGAAAACCTGTGCATTTTAAAGGTTACCATATGGTAAATTCCTTGCTGAGAATGAAGTTAACATAGACTAAGAAAAAGCAACCAGAAATAGTGCACACACACACACACACACACACACACACACACACTCAAAGCAAGAGAAAGAAAAAGATAGAGAGAGAGCATTCTGGTGAATTTGGCTTGTTTTGGCCATTCTTGTACCTTGGTTTTCTGAGCAAATAAATCATTTTTTATGCTTGAATTATTTTGGGTAGGGTTAATTTTAGTCGTAATAAAAAAGAGTTAATAATACACTCTTCTCTCTGCAAATGGAGAAATGAGTACAGAGGAGAAAAGTGCCTTATACTTTCGTAGGTGCAATATTTTATAGTGAAAGAATTATGACTGGGACCATGGTTCTTAAACTTCCAATTCTTTCTACCATGCTCCATTGCCTTTATTAAATAATAGATTTGTTAAAGACATGGAAGATTAAGAAAAGAAATATTACAACAACTTTCTTGGAGAAAATAACCAAAAATCTACTACCTCCATAGGATGGTCTCCGTTTTCTCACTTACATTCCTCCAAATAGGAGGCAGGATTTGAATCTCCGAATTCATTTGGCCATGTAACTTTCTGCTGAGACTGCCTGAAGAGGAGACAATTATACCCAAAAGGCAGTCTAATTAATAAATTAAAGTAAAATTACTCATTGAAATTCTTATTATCAAATACAGCATTAGTCCATTTGTCAGGTAATTCGTAGTAATGTTTAGTAGTTGATAGTAATTTGTAGTAATTACATGTCAAGCCATTTCTTCACTTCATATTGGTTTCACTTAGTAAACTCAATACTAAGAAAAGGAATTAGTGGTTGATGGCCATGTCTGCTTTTTAATGCAAAGTAAGTAATATAATATAATATAATAAGAAGCAAAGTAAATACAGAGTTGAGAAGGAAGTAGCTAATGTACAGGGCCAGATTGCGTAAGTGGTTCTGTACTGAAGTAAAAATCTCATACTATTTTATTAGCAAACATTGAATTTGGGTAAAAGAAAAAAGAACACAAACATGGAATACATTGGGCGTTTAATAGTTATGAATTTCCAGCTAATCTATTGGCTTTTAATTCCCAAATCTCCATTTTTTCTAGAGGGATTAAATAAACCTATTAAGGTTCTAGGAAAGACTTTTGAGACCATTATTTGAGTCCATAATTGTCACTGTGATAATTTATGGATCAGTAGATCAGAACAGAATCTCACTTGCTAGAATGGAATTTCCTTTGCAATGTGCTTTCATTTTAGAAGCCATAGAAAGACTTTCATTTTAGAAGCCGTTGAAAGACTTTCATTTTAGAAAACATAGAAAAAAGACTTTCATAGCCAGGATTATATTTGTTATACTGAGCATTATGCAGTTATTGAATTGCTTGATTCCAAACTCCCATGGGCATAAAATATCATCAATCAACTTCATATAAATGTATAAATCTTCAGAAATAAGTTTAAGTTGAGCATGTGCAAGCACAAATGTCACAAGATACAAATTTTCAGTCAGGTGTTTAATTTTCATTTTAATGTACTGACCACTACCCTCGTCTCTCTTTCTACCTTCTTGGTCCCTTCTCCATTGTTTCCTTATTACCAGTTCATCCCACAACTGCAGCATCTTGTAGGGGTATTGTTTATTGTTGTTTTATGACCTACTTCTCAGGGTTGCATTGTTTTCATTTTGCAAAAGCCCTTTAAAATTCCACAGCTCTAAAAATTTAAGTACTACAAAGTTCAAAAATCAATATCTTATCTTGAGTGATACACAAGTTTCCAGAAGAGAAATTTTGGCATTCATTCCATCTTAGTAAATAAAAAGGAATTCACATATTAGTAATTTAAAATCCTAAATAATGTAAAGCATGTAGAGATGAAGCAATCATTATTCAATTGCAAGTGAGAGAACTGCCCTGAATCAGTGGTTATAGATGGATATATAACTTTTTCTTTTAGGCCCTTTTCATAATATGGTTATTTGTGGTCTGAGTAAATCATTGAAATCATAATATAACTCTTTTCAGTCTCTAAATACGTGAAAAAAAATAACATTTTGAAGCCTTCAGTAAAGTAGGCTGACTGAAAGGCAGCAAAGGGAGAGAGGCTTCTTCCTACAATTCTCTTCTGCAAGAACAATATTGTGTATTCCGAAACAATTACTCTTTTCACAGTAAATAATTTGGAATAATTGTTCATAATTGATAACAATTTCTAGAAGTAATAGAAGACTGTGGTAAAAGAGATTGGACTCTGTAGACAGACAACCTTATATTTAGATCCCTGGTCTTAAGTCTACTAACTTGTGTGGCGCGGGAAAATTACTTTCATCTCTTTCAGAGACGTTTATTTGTTTTCTTTCCTCCCTCCCTCCCTCCCTTCTTTCCCTCCTTCCTTCCTTCTAAAAAATGAAGACAAAATTCATCAATTTGATGTTGCCTTAAGGAAAAAATGTGATTAAGTTTTCAAAAGCGCAGTGTTCAGCCAATGTTATAAACTTTTCCATTAGTATTCAGATAGGTATCAATTAAGGAAAAACTCACCAGTAATAATGGTAATATTTATTGAAGGCTTGCTATATACTAGGCACATTTTAAGACCTATTTTGGATGTTTCCCTCTTCCTAAAATATTTAATAATATCCCCAGTTACTATCTTTTCTTTTTAATTTGACCATCATAAGTACTTTTTTATTGTGAAACTATTAGCATTTATATTTGTCTTTCTTACTTTCCTTACAAGACTATAACTTCTTGAAAACAAATAGTCTGTTTGGACATCTTTTAGACAGGACATCTTTCCTATCTAATCACACATTTTTAGCCTAGAATTGCACTTAGTCAACAATAAATTGAATCAAGTTAACTTTAAAGAAATTAATTAACAACCCTATGCTGAGGTGTACCTTTTTCACACATACAAACACACATGTGAGTATCTCTTATGGTGCTGAAATTTAAGACTCAGAAAGTAATTGCTGAAGGAAATGTTTTTGATTAATCTTGGTGAAGAATAATATCCTAACTTACATTCTGCAAATTACTTCTTCAACAAGTACAATACAAACTCTTTAAATGGTCTTACAATATGTCAACCGTGAATATGATTATGTTATTTTTGTTTTTAAAGCATGTGAATCTTCTTTTGATAAACACAATGTCTACACTTCAGGTGCTTGGCAAAATAAGAATCATAGGTAGAACAATTTTGCCATTGTTACAAAACTTTTGAAGTTACAATCTAGAATATTGTTCAGTGCATTTTATAATGAATCTCACAATAATGTCTTCTCAGAGTTCAAAGACAGGAAAGAGTTACTTTACTAGGAAAAAGAAAAACCCAGGATTCCTTTTATTAGCTAACAAAAACCATGTAAACCTTTGTAATTCTGTATTTTGTTAAGAGTCAGAGCTAAATTTCATGCTCAAGTAATTTACTGCGTTTTCCTCACTCTATCGCATTGCCCCTTGTTAAACCAGTGTTTTAATGTTTTTGTAATATCTTTGCCTTCTAGTAGAGTATGAATCCTTTTATGAAAGTAAAGATAAACAAATGAATATAATGCTTACTCCTTTTTATATCCCCACCTTCACAGTTAGACTGAATGCTTTATAATTACTCTGGTAGACTCTCTGATGTCCTGCCAGCAACGCCTTCAATGAAAACTTATTGCCCATCCCATAAGAGTGCTTGGTAAACAGATTTCTGCATTTGCCTCTTCCAGAATTGCCTCACCTGCAGACTGCCACAGCCACATTATTTAAGTTTACACTTCTTCCTAGGGTGGCCCACAAGTAATGGCATCAATCATCAGTGAAAATCGGGTCATCTCAGTGTAACTTAGACAATTCCGAGAGAACTGTCTAGCTTTAGAGCATCCCATGGCATTGCCCTAGTTTTTCACTGGGATTGTATCACAGATCAACTTCTCCCTCTGTCCAATCCTATCTACTTACCCTATCTTTTACAAGTCAGGATCCTGTTTGGCAAAGGACCAAATAAGCTAGAGACATCAGGGATGACGTCCATGCATATTTAGAGTCTCCAGATTCTCCTTGATCTTGCAAGTTTGCAGAAGTGGATGAAACATCTCTATGAAAAGGTAGTATTCCCCTCTTGCTTGAAGATGATTCAGACATTACTCAAGACAACACATGCTCCTACTACCCTTTTTGGCAAGAAAATCTATAATTAGAGTTATGACATAACATAAACCATCTAGAGATATGATGGGATGGTGCATTGCAAGTACCATGGCATAAAAACCTGGGAGACTTTATGACATTAGTGGTATGAGTGATGAGAAAAGATGCCATTTCGAGACTATGGCAAGTATCAATGAGAAAATCACAACACAGATTGCTGGTAGTCTGGAGCAAGAGCATTCCATCAGAATCATGCCTTTTAAACAACAACTGTTGACATACTACTGGGCCTGCCATAGATGAAGTAGCTGACCATGGAGCACCAAGTGATAACTGAGCCACACCTGTCTGTCATGAGCTGGGTTCTGTCAAACTCACTAAGCTCTAAGATCAGAAGATTCTTGCAACAATTTATTGAGAGTTCTAAGTGTTACATCTAGAACTAAGCTCAAGCAGATCAGAGGGTCCATGCAAGCTGTATAAGCAAATTACCAAACCACCCATGTCATCCACCGCACCTCTCCCCCAGCTCACACCCATTACCAAAAAGAGGATCCTTACACTCAGTAAATAGTGGAAGACAAAGCACATGATTCGTTCATAAAAGGGTCAGTTAAGCATATGGGTAAAATGTGAAATTAGATAGCAGCTGCATTATAGCCCCACTCAATGAGGGCATTGAAAGAATAGTGAGAGAAAATCCTTGCAATGTACAGATTCTTGGTTTGTGGTGGGGGTAGGGGGCAGAATGTAGTCATATATTTTGTGTAAAAAAATAAAATTAACTCAAGTTCAGAGCATATGTGAATTCAAGGACAGTAGCAAATGGCTTGGCTAAGTGATTAGGAGCCTGAAGAAAGATAGGAGAAGATACTGCATAAGAACTTCTGTAGTAGATGCATTTAGAATGGGTACCTGGAAGAGAGCATGAAGTATGACGAAGTTTTTTTGTTGCACACTAATACTCACTAGAGAGCACCCACCACGGAAGAAGCACTGAACAATGAAGAAGACAAAAACTCGCCCAGTTGATATTAGTCTCTGTCATCAGCTACTCCAGCTGGCATTATGATTACATGAAATGGCCAAGGAAGTAAGGATGGAAGCTTTACATGGGTCCAATCTCTTGGAATCTAAGTAACTTAATTGATCTTGCTATTTGTGTTAGCTGATTTTGCTACTGCAAACACAAATATCCAACTGTCATCAATAAAGGCCAATGCTGAGTTGCCATTAGAGCAGCCTGCTTCAAGAAGACCATCTTTGTCTTTTCTTATTGTCTTTTTTGCTTGCAGGACATCAAACAGTATGACTGTCTGAAGACTTAGGGAATCCTAGGTACTGGATTCCACATGAAAAAATGACCAACCAGGAAACCTAGTTTATAGCAAAGGAGGTGCTAAGGCAAACCTCTGACCATGAGATGAACTAATCATTTAACATACAACACCACTCATTAACTGGAAGACTAGAAATCCCGCTTGGAGGCAATACTTTATGAGGATGCAACACAATCCATGCTGTGGTATGCTCATTGAATCAGTAACATGTATAACTGTGCCTCCCCTTCACAGTAGGAAGAATACATGGGTCTAGGAACCAAGAACAAAAAGAACAAGTAGGCTCACTTAAATCACTTCAAGTAACCCACTTGGGAATTTATTTTTCCTATTCCTTCTATTCTAGGCTTTGTAAATTTAAAGGTCTTGGTTCCCAAAGGCAGGACACTTCTGCCAGAGGACACAGCAAAGGTCACATTGAATTGTAAGCTGTGACTGCCAACTGGGAACTTTAGATCAGCAGGCAAGAATAGCAGGGATCATCTTGGCAGGGGCAATAGACCATGATGCTTAGGAAGAGGTGGGGTTGCTGCTACACAGTGAAGATTGAAAGAATGTATGTGACACTCAGGTGGTCTACTTGGGTACCTCTGGTATTCCTTTGCCTAGTTGTGAAAATAGACAAGAGCAACAACTTTAGCCTGAGAAAGGTGTGGTGGCTAGGGACTTAGAGCCCTTAGACTCCAGTAGAAATGGTAGTAGAGAGTGAATGGAATATAGACTGGATAGTGAAAGAAATCATGAGCATCACTTGTCCCCCTACACCCAGGGCAGCTGTGGTGATAGTACCTATTGCTTCCCACAAACTTGCTTATAAATTTTCTCCATGAATAGATGTCTAAAACAGTCTCTGGGAAGCTTCCAGAAATTTTATGAAGAAAAGGATCTAAGCAGGCAAGAGATGGACTGTGGGGGATCACCACATTTGACCACATGTTGGTCAAATATCCCTTCAATGAAGAAATTGTTCCCCCAGAATCTGGGAGTGCTGACAATAGTCGGTCTTTAGCTGTCAGCCCTTTAAGGGACTATCTCAGCTGCAAAGAGTCTCCTTGCCCAAGGAAATGCCTCTTCCCTGGGTAGACTGCATCCAAAATTAATAAATGAGAAATTATAAATATCAGATCATTAGTCCAATTTAGAACAATTCTGAGGGTTATCCTAGCTCCAGAACTTCTCATGGTAACAACTATGGCTGTCAATGAGTCTACATCACAACTTGACGTTTCTCTACGGATGACTACTTCTTTCTTCCTTTCACAGGTATTGATTACAAGAGTACTATTTAATAAACATCCTATATGCTAAACTCTGTTTTAGAGTTTGGTTCCTGGGGTACTCAAATTGTGCACCTGCCAAGCAAAGCAATGATTTGTGTAAGTATTCCAGTTAATGAAAATATATCTGATTCATTTAGGGAGTAAATGATTAGGATTTAGGTTAGATTCATTTAGGGAGTAAATCGTTAGGCTTTAGGTTAGAATCCCAATGTATTTCTTGAATTTGTTACAAGGTATGTAAGTAGCCAACAAATCACTGACAAATTATTCAACCTTCTAAAAGATTCCTCTTCATAACCAATATTCTCTTTAAAGTAAGAATTGGTTTACATGCTTTTTGCTAGGTTTAACATATGCTCAGAGTGGATCAAAAGTCAATTTTGATGGCTATATTTTGTGTTATTTTTTAAAGAACTTTTTACTGTACTCCACCTCAAAAAAGGCAAGGCATAAGAAGTTTTAATGATGCTAGAGGATAAAATATCATTTCCAGCTATTATAATTTTGTACCATTTAAATAATATTTTAAAAGACTATTCAGTTGGGTTTAAAAAAAAAAAAACCTTCCATTTATAAACCTCAAGAACTTAATAAATATGTTACTATTTTAGGTGTAGTCAAAGCCAGGTAGTTCAAGGTACAGATACTGGACTTTGTTTCAGCCTTTGAAAACCAATAACCTAGAATAATTTCCGAAATTGTATTGTTAGATAAATCTGAAACAATCAATGATTTTATCATTTTATTCCTTTTCAAAGTGTTTATTGAAATAAAACCTATAAAGAAAAGAACACATAAAATTGTGGTTAATCAATTTTCACAAAGTAAATGCAATTTTAAAATCATAACTGGCACCTCAGAAGCCCTTCTCATGCACTTTCCAAGTTGCTACTTACCTCGCCAAAGACAATTACTATTGTGACATGTCACCACGGAATTTTGCGTATTTAAAATATTATATAAAAACAGCCTTATGGTATGTGCTTTTTTGTACCTGGCTTACTTTACTGAACATTATGCTTGTGAGAGTCACCCATATTGTTGAACTTACGTATCATTTTCATTACTTTATAATATTTCATATGAATATTTCACATATTTTCCTAACTCATCATTCTGATTTTAATTTTTTTTCCAGTTTTTAGCTGTTATGAATCTTTTGTTGTAAAATGCACTCATTTTTCCTGGGTATGTATCTAAGAGTAAAGTCAGTAGCTCATAAGACAAAGTTTGAACTTTATTAGGTACTGAATATTGTTGTTGAATGCTTTTTACAAAATAATTGTCCATATTTACATTTATACCAGAGTTCTAGTAGCTCCACATCTTTACCACTACTTAGCCTTTTGAGGTCTTTACATTTAGCTGTCATTTCTGTGAAATGATAGTCCCTCCAACTAAACTCACAAAGTGCTTATCATATGTACCATGCAGACAATACTTATCCCATACTGACCTGTTCTTTAAATGTGTGTCAATTATGTAAGGGGAGGACCTGTCACATAATAATTAACATTGACTAAGTATTTATTATTTGCATGTATTTCCCTAAGTAATGTAAAACGATAGGTAATAAAAGCAACAAAGAACAAGAACACTAACATTGATTGAGGACTTATGTGTGCCAGATGCTTTTCTAAACATAAGGCATGTTTTAATTCATTTAATTTTTACAGTAATCTACTTTATAGAAAACAAAATAGAGGCACAGAGAGGTTACATCACTTACCCAAGTTCACAGAACAAGTAAATGGCAGAGTCAAGGTTTGAACCCCAAAATCTGGGTCGTCAGCCTGAGCTTCTATTATCTTCATTTGACATTCTATGTGAAAACATTCTACATTGTACATGTTTCATTGCACATTCTAAATTAATGTTTAGATATTTCAGGTAATTTTCCCACATGGCCAGCAAATAGTAAAGCTAGGGTAAGACTCGAAGCAGTCTGACTACAACTTCTGACCTCCTGTTGCTCTACCACTTCCAATAGCGGTGGTGATCGTATACCATTTATCACACATTCCAAGGCACAATAAGGCAGCAGTATGTTTTTTATTGGATTGGTGAGTAATTTTTTAAATGTACGTGCATAACATGGCAGAAAATACTATAGCAGGATAGGAATAAGGAAAAAAAAAAAGAGAAGGGAGGGAAGAAAACAATCTTTTATACTGAACCCACTATAATTTAGTTAAATAGTTTTCAAAGCTCCAATTGTCTCCAGAATTGGTTCCTTCCGGTGGGTTCTTGGTCTCACTGACTTCAAGAATGAAGCCGCTGACCCTCGCAGTGAGTGTTACAGTTCTTAAGGACGGTGTGTCTGGAGTGTTTTCTCCTTCAGATATTCAGATGTGTCCCGAGTTTCTTCCTTCTGGTGGGTTCACGGTCTTGCTGACTTCAGGAGTGAAGTTGCAGACTTTCGCAAGTGATTGTCACAGCTCTTAAAGGTGGTGTGTCCAGAGTTGTTTGTTCCTCCCGGTGGGTTCCTGGTCTCGCAGACTTCAGGAATGAAGCCGCAGACCCTCGTGTTGAGTGTTACAGCTCATAAAGGTAGTGCGGACCCAAAGAGTGAGCAGCAGCAAGATTTATCATGAACAGCAAAAGAACAAAGCTTCCACAGAGCGGAAGGCTACCCGAGAGGATTGCCGCTGCTAGCTTGCGTGGCCAGCTTTTATTCCCTTATTTGGCCCCGTCCACGTCCTGCTGATTGGTCCATTTTACAGAGCGCTGATTGGTCCATTTTACAGAGTGCTGATTGGTGCGTTTATTTTAGCTAGACACAGAGCGCTGATTGGTGCGTTTTTACAGAGTGGTGATTGGTGCATTTACAATCCTTTAGCTAGACACAGAGTGCTGATTTGTGCATTTTTACAGAGTACTGAATGGTGCCTTTACAATCCTTTAGCTAGACACAGAGTGCTGATTGGTGCATTTTTCCAGAGTGCTGATTGGTGCATTTATAATCCTCTAGCCAGACAGAAAAGTTCTCCAACTCCCCACTTGACCCAGGAAGTCCAGCTGGCTTCACCTCTCACAATCATTTGGTGGTTACTGTCTAGAGGTCTCACCTGAAGATGTGGAAGTTCCACTAAAACTTAGGGGGAAAAGTCATTGATATATTAATAGTTTAGGGGTGCAGGGTACAAGGAATCATATTAGCACATATTCCATGTAGATGGCATATTCTTAAGGATGACATGCTAGGACTTTCACATATGCTACTTCAAAAAGTTAGCATAATTCCCTGAAAGATAGGTTTAATTATTTCAGATAAGGAAAATAAATAAAGTCATTAAAGCTTTGGTCTCTTCTTACATACAACATAATGATTGAATAAGAAAGTAGTAGCAAACCAATTGGAAAATGCCTAATTACACTTTTAAACGGGACAAGTGAGTATGTGACTATCCTAGAAGTTCCAGAGGGTTATACTATCTAATAATAATCTCTCTCATCATCTATTTTTGTAGCTATTCCCCTTTCTGACCCTAACACATAGTCTTGGTCTCAGGAAACTGAGTCCAATATCAGGTAGATGCATTTCAGCCTCCAGGAAAGCATAGAGAAGATCAAAATGAAAGTATTTGCTGCCTTTTCCCCCTCGCAAAGAAAATACCTTTTTTTTTTTTTCTTGTGAGATGCTCGCTCTGTCACCCAGGTTGGAGTACAGTGGCGCAATCTCGGCTCACTGCAACCTCCACCTCCCGAGTTCAAGGGATTATCCTGACTCAGCCTCCCAAGTAGCTGGGATTACAGGTATGTGCCACCACACCTGGCTAATTTTTGTACTTTTAGTAATGATGGGGTTTCGCCATATTGGACAGGCTGGTCTTGAACTCCTGGACTCGAGCAATCCACCCGACTTGGCTTCCCAAAGTGCTGAGAATACAGGTGTGAGCCACTGCGCCTGACCACAAAGAACAAAAGAACATCTTCTAGGAGATAAATCCTGTCATCTGGCGGGAGCTGTTCTGACAAAGAACCCCTGGTGTACAGTTTTATAATAAAATAGTAGTGTTTTCCAGGTTACTAGATATCCAGAGTCAGACACTTTATAAACTTGCAAACATTTTCTGTATGTGCTCCATAGGACTTCAGACCTTAGAAGTATTACTTAGTGCCTATATAAAACACCTTCTATTTTTGGTTCAATAAATGGTCACGTATTTCAGGGTAATCATCTCCTTGCTGCCAGAAACACAAATCTTAGGGAAGTAGATTTTGCCAAAGTGGAACACTTTCCTTCCCACCACTATCCTTTAGTACTCAGTAATCCTGAGCACCAGGGGTATAACTGAGCAATTAACTCCTGACAATGGTATAAATGTAGGCTTGTTAAAACAAGTATTATTAATATTCCCTCAGGTTATCACCCTGGCCTAATTTACTGAACCATAAAGTACAATAAGACACAGACCTGTAATTTTGTGGTTCACATAAAATGCCCAAGGAAAGAGACAGAGTGGGAAAAAAAAACGAAAAAGAGAAAGAGAAAGAAACCCACAAACACAGTGTAAGAGCCCAATAAAATGAATTGTATTAATCATACATTAAATAGCTGAGACTTTGCATTTTATTTTACAACCAATAACTGCAACAATAGTTAATGATTGTGATAACTCATTATAGGCCAAGATGACATATTTATAATAGACTGGTAATTAAAATTCCAGAAGCCGCAACTCTTGCCTATCTCTGGCTTTTATTTATTTTTATTTATTTTTTTTTTTTAAAGAAAAATGACCTTCTCTAGGCTTCTCTGATAGAAAAAAATCCAAAAATGTTTAATTACATCATTGCAATTTAGTGTCCTTATCTCTCTTGGAGGTAGTGTTATGGATGAAAAACTCTGGTTCTCTTACATGAATCTTTTGAGATACCAGATAAATCTGACAAGTCCAGCAGAGTAACAGGAATGTGTTAGGAAAAACATCAACTTTAGTGTGAGAGAGACTTGAATTCAAAACTAAGTTTTGCCACTGACAAACTGTGAGACTGTAGCTAGTCTCTTCTGTGGACTTCACTTTCCTCATCTGTAAAATAACGACAGAAATGCCTCCATCACAGGGCTCGTATCTTTAACTTAGAGCATGACATATAGTTAGTCATTCATGGTAATACATTTAAATGATAAAATAATTATATTAGGTAATTACATAAAGTATACTAGATATATTATACTTTAAATATATTAAGTACCTGGCATGTAGCATGATCTGAATAAATGGTGGCTTCTATCTTTGTTATGTATCGATTAGTTTACTGTGTTGGATGGTCAGCAATATTTTTGTGAAGCAAGGGATAAAAAGCAAACCTTTTTTAAAAAGTGAGATCACATATACACGCGCGCGCACACACACACACACAGAGAGAGAGAGAGAGAACAGATCAGAATACATCGTTTTGGATGTATACTGCTATAAGCTAACTATTTAACTCATGGTTTTACCCCATTTACTTTTCTTCCTGTTTTTTTTCCCCACTGCAAGATCAGACTGTTGCACTTAATGAGGCAAGGAAGCATAGCAGTATATCTGAGCAATTAAAGCCCCTTCATTCAGACAATAATAAAATCCGCAATTGTCTCCTTTTGCCTGGAAAAACAACTTTATAGTTTATTGAATAAGTAAGATTTTGATCTAACTCTAACTCTTCTCCTTAAACATCTCTGCACTTTCCTGTCCTCACCTAACTCTCCAAAAGGATTCTTTAGATGGAAAGAATCACAAATCAATATTATCAGAATACATCCAGGTTGAGTACTTTCTTCAGGCAAAGTGTTATTGTAACAACCCCAACAAAACAGACTTCTCTCACTGATTCTCAGCTTTCCGCTCTTCATCAAAGTTTGCTTTTTTTCTCCTCTCCTAAGTATGAAATAAACATGGTAGCATCCAAGGATAGCCATGTTTTTTCTCTATTCTACATGCTGTATTATTTCCTGGCAGTCAAGTCATCTCCCTTACCAGAGTCTTGTACTAGCAAATCCTCACCTTTACTAAACATATTCTGCTTGGCAAATGTGACCATAAGAGTTTGAAGAACATGAATAGGGCTTTTTAAAAATTTTTGAACTTTACCATTGACTTGCCCTGGGCAAATATCTTTTGGAGACACATGTACAGTTCTACATTCTCTGACTTAAAGAGGATCTGAAAAACTGCAAAGGAGGCTCTGAAGAGTGCCATAAATTGATAAAAAGTTTAGAGATAAAGCTAATGAAGCTTTAATTCTGCTTCCAATTAAATAGGCTGAAAGAGTGATTTTGCAGTCTGAGTAAGGAATGTTTCAGAAAATGGTGACAAATTTCTTGTGCTCTCTAAGCACATTATAAAAGGAAGCAGGTTTAAATAGCAGAATAAAGGATTTTGTAAAAGTTGTTAAGTGATGGCATGGATTTCTATAAGGATGGTATCTGAAGTTACTTTTAAGTGGACTAGGTTCTTATCTGTCTGGGGGATTTGAGTAGATGTGTGTAGCCTATTACCTTCTCATGTCACTTTTTAGTCCCCTGAATCCATTATTAACCAGTGCAGAGAAGAATAAGAACAAGAAAAAGATGGAGAGAAAGAAAATGGGAAGGAAAAAAAGAAAAGATGGAGAATCAGGAAAAAGAGGAGAAACAGAACCTAGGTTTCTCTACGTTAAAAAAAAAAAAAGTGCCTGCTGCTTCCTGTGACCAGATGAAAGAGATAGCACACCACATGCAGACACTGAAATCTCTCTCTGATCTACTTGCGAAAGTCATACTGTCATCAGTGAACAAGGCATCTTAGACATCCTGACTCACTCCATTTATAGTAAATGCTTCAGGTTTCTGAAAGAGCAAGCAACCTGACTCACTGTGATATAAAACCCTATACACTAACAAGAAAATAAAACTCACCATCACTCCTCAGGTGATAAGAGCTTATGACACTGAAAATTATATGAACATTAAAAAGAAACATACAAACAGCATATTTACACACTCATTTATTAATATCAATTCTGGACAGAGGATACGCTTTTAGAAAGCAGAAGTGCCTGAAATTACCAATCAAATAGTAACATCATTGAAACCTCCCTCCCCTGCTAAAGATAAACAAACAATTCAATACCAGCTTCATAATGACCACATATTTTCAGCCACAGCAGGTTGCTGCCTAGTCCCCGAAGGAAAATGACAAATGAATGCTGTTTAATATTTTGTTTGAACAGTTTTTTCTTTCAGAGAACTATTTGCAATACGATAATGAGAAGAGCATAGCTGCAGAGCATAGCATTTTGTAAGGATGACAACCTTTCTAGGGCACATCATCTGATACACACTTTGTTTATCCAGAGTGAATTTAGTGGTTAAAATGATTAATTGAACCCATCTTGTGTTACTCATACTAGCTCTTGCAAAGGAGGTGATTGCTATTTTTTCTTAGTGACTCATACGAAGATGCTAGCAGTTCACTGGCAATAACAAAATGACATTTCTAAATTTAGCAGTTCATAAATCTTAGAAGATGCCAGCCACATCCAGCCCCCTTCCCCCATGCTCCTCTCCCAGTCCCTTCTCAAATGTGTAAAAGACTTAAATGTGCATGGAGACAAAACAGAGACTTCCTCAGGGCACATGTGTCTCTTCCTCCCTCAGTACCTACCAACACCACTGTGCACTCAGATAGGAGCAATGTGTATATTTCCCAAATGATAGCTTTTATTATGCCATTACGATGCTAAATGTGTCTGGTAAAAATACATGCAGAATATGTGAATGTTTCCAAAGGAGCCCAATTCGATGAATTATTTTCAGGGGGCACTGTGTAAACTAGCAAATTTCTTCCTGTCCTCCTATGTTATCTATTCCGTGACAAGAAGTATGCAATAAATCACCAGCCTTAGGAAAGAAAAAAATTGCCTCTATCATTTTCTGTGGTTTACATAAGGCACTTACCAAATGTATCATGCCCTCCGTATTTCTTTTTGCCATTGTTCTGAGACTTCAGGGCTACAATTGACCTCCAGAAATTGCACTGACATGTGACTCACACAGGTAGCCTGCAATAAAGGATACAAGAGAATTAGACTTGATGAACTAAAAATCCACATGGCTAAAAAGACATTACTGAGCAAAGTGACACGCAAGTATTGTTTTGTAAAATAGTTGCCTAATTTTAATCCCTCCCTCTCACAACTTCCTCACTATGGAGATCTTCTCATCAGTGAATGAAGGAACAAATAGAATTGCTTTCCAACTACTTAAAATGACTTTCTAAAAATGGTAACTGGGTAATAACTTTTTTGCCTCTATTCCATTTTTCTTCACATCTCCCATTAAAAATACACCCTGCTTCAGGTCAACAACAATGACAAAACTGTCATTTAAGAGTAAACGTATTCAGCAAATATGAGATTATTATATCAAAAGCCCAAAATTAATAAAGAAACTCTTTACAAAATATTAGCTTCTCAGTGGCAAAGCTGAATAGTAGAATATGCAAATTATGGGAAGCAGGAAGTTTTATTTAAAGTAGGGGATGAATGTTTTTTGACTGTAGAGAAGTATAGACATTTCCAAAAACCCTTCCCCACTCATATTTTCTTTCTTTCTCTATATCTAGGATTATGTTTCTACTATTTTTTTCAACTTATTTACTGGTGACCCCTCCCCGAAATGCTTTTTATTGATGCAACTTTTGGAATAAACCCAGCAGGAGTAGCCATTTATGCCTAGTGTTCCATTATTGGAACATTAAGCATGTGGGAATTATTTATATCCTACTGCTCAAGGCCATCGCCAAGGTCTGATTGCAAAAATTCAAAGAATTGCAACCTCAGGCAGAAATGGGTTAACTTTCAGAGTTAATAATTATATTCATTTCACTGATACCCAATTTTGACAAGATTTTGTGAGCAAATAAATAATTCTCTAAAGAGATCCAGCATTGTGATAGAAAAAAAAATATGTTTGATACAAGTGACTAGGCTAAGCAAAACTTTCATCTCTCTTTAATATACCATACACCTGCATTGATAGAATTTGTCCTAAACATAAGGGCTTCTCAATTAGTCTCTCTGTTTTGCCCGCTGTGCTTGCTATTTATGTTACACAAATAGAATGTTGTATATTTGGAAGCAATTGAGCTAAACAACTAATTCCTGACTTAGAGTATCTGTGATAACACATTTCAAAGACCCAGGGTATGACACATTATGCCCAGTAACTGACTCAGTTAAGTATCTCTCTGGAAAGCATGTAAACTTCACTGAATCTATTGAACACATTTGCCTATGCATTAGTAAGACATCTGGAAAACTAGACAAGCAATAAAATAAAGGCATCTGAGTACAGTGTACCCACTGATTTAAGAAAATAAAGTAATCAGCTTTCCAACTGGGTTCAAGATAATGGTCACTCTTTGATTGGGAAGCAATAAGGTCAGATTCTATTTCTACAAAGAATCAGGTAGTTTCCAGGCTCCCCTCTGAAGACCTAGTAAGGATAAATAGTGCTTCCAAATATGTTTGAAGATAGGATACAGAGAAGAACACGTCCAAAACACATCTTTGAGATGATAATTTTGCTGAAGTTTGCTATTGACTTTATGACAATAATTAAAATTGGCACTACTTCTTTCTACTCCCAGTTCCTTTGTCTTAAACCATGGTGGGGGGGAAAGAAATATCACTCAGAATTTTTCAGTGTTGGTCTTGCATCTCAAGATGTACACAGCTATGCTTTTCTAAAAAACGGATTTTAGCTACTATGAATCATTTGTAATATACATGGTATATTATACCAAGTATAATATATGATGGCTGGGGTTCCTTTACAATTGGTTCACCCACTCCTGGTCTCAAAGTGATTTGTAAAATGATGGGTTGGATGCTAGGAGTGCAAGGGATTGTTAAATTCTGGGTTTTTGTTTGTTTGTTTGTTTGTTTCTGTTTATGGTGGTTACTGCTGTAAAATAGTAATTTGACTTTTTGTTAACCAGTAACAAAAATCCTTCCTACTTCCCTTTCATTCTCCCTAAGGGAAAAAAGTTACTCGCTGGATGCTGAAGATATCCAGAATTGTTAGCAGAACAGCTATATGGTCTTTTTGTCAATATAGGACTTTAAAGTTAGGTTAAATTTTTATTTAAGAGATCTCTGTGTGAAGGTGGTAGTCCATCAGCTATGTGTGCGTGAACTGTGGGGAGGAAGCACTGACTGACTGAGGTCTCAGGTGTTGATGAACAGCCAATGTCACAGGAAACAATGATATGACAAACTGGCCTACATTGATTAAGTTGGGCTATTTTCACAGCTAACTTTAGTAAATTCAGGGCAGCAGAAAAACTAAGCTGTCAGTCCAATTCTACCTCTCTGTCCCCAGATATCACACTTGCTCCAGCATTCTAAGAAAAGCAGATGCTCACTCTGCCCCTGATACAAAGTCACTATTTACTGGCATCAGTGCAATTTAGCCAGGCTACTTCAATCCCTTTGGACTCAAAGCTTTCAAAATAACGAGGGAAATAGACAGACATGGCTTGTCATGAACAAACTCCTCAATAAATCGACAGGCAAAATGCTTTCCACCTAAACAGATGTTGCAAAGCAAATGTGTGAAACCAATGTAATTTTGTTTTCCCTTTTTTACTGCCTATCGTGGATCCTCCTCTGTCACAGAAATTCTACACCTGCACAGTGCAAAAAATGAGGCCTTTGATCTACTATAGTTATAATGTACATCACAGAATTTTATTCCTCTTGAATAAGTTACAGCCATTTCTTCTTTAAAAATGTGAAATCTGAGATAATTAAAAAGCAGCTCAAGGAGCTATCCAAACCCTAATCTCTTTCCTGTATAAGAAATGGGACCAACCAACCTCTCATTAAATTAACCATAAAGAAGAAAAAAAAGATGAAAGCTCACAATACTGAAAAATACGACTTTAGTCAACCTTATGCCAGTATCTGGGCAGCTGGAATGGGAATTTAGTTCATAGCATATTTCTGCTTTGCATTGTGAAAGAGATTACTTGGTAGACTTAGGAAAGCAGGGAAATAATACTGCCTTTTATTAATAAATCAAGCTGGAAGAGATTTTATAAATAATTTAGAGCAACATCTCACCCTTCTGATAAGCAAGGTGGGACAGAGGGCAGTTAGTGATCTGCCAATGGCAAACATTTACTTAGAAACAGAGCTAAGACTGGCGAGCAAAGCTTGAAAGAGCAAGGGCTCTGGAGTCAGAGGAACTCTCTTTGAATGCCACCTCTTACTTAAGAAAAGTTACTAAACTCAAGCATAAATTATCCAACTGTAAAACAGAATTATTAACACCTAGAGTTGAAACTTAAAGAGTTACAGGATAAGATGGAATAATGCAGAGCTCCATGGAAGATATTAATAAAGCAAACAAACCTGCCTTCTTCAAATTACAATCTGAAAAAAATGCATCAGAACTGAACAATAGTGAAGTTATTTCTGTACTCAGAGAGACCCTGTGATAATTATCAATAACATCTAAAGAATGAGAACACTTCCTTGGTTTTAGGTTGGTCAGTCCAAAGACACGGAAAAATAAGAGACCTAGGCAATTTTCAGCAATGACCATTCATGCATTGCCCAGGGTAAGAGGCACTTTGTCAGGCTGACCTAAACATTTGATTCTCTGGACAAATAAGCAAGTGTAAAAATGGACAGGGTTGCTTGAAGCATTGAGCATTTAAGTCTTAACAACTATTTCTTTTCTAGTGTGTACCAAACAAAGCTTTGCTGATGTGACTTCCCATAGTAGTTTGAGTACTGAGAAAAATATCTCAGTAAATTAAATTATTTCTATATGATTTTCATAAGAACTTTATTAGTGTGAGATAGCATCTCTGAATCTGATCCAATTGGGAAACCTGATGAAACTTTATAAGACTGCATGAATGAAAGGCAAGCCCTGACTATGAAGACATAAGAATCAAGGTCAACTTATGTGTCTCCATAGCCAGCTAGCTTTTCCCAGATTACTCCATTCTGCATTTTCACATACCATATAGCTTTTCTATTTGTAAATTCTCTAATAACCACTTCACAAAACTTTTCAAATGACTTAGCGTATATTATATTTAAAGCATATAGGACAAAATCTTAGCATATAATGTCTCAATAAATGTTCCTTTCTTTCTCATTTTTAATCCAATGCATTTTCTTCCCCAAGGAAGTAAAGCAGAGCCTAGCTGTGGGGAAGAGGAAGAGTTCCCTAGAGGAGGTGATAATTTAAATTTCATAATAAAGAGCAAGAAATATGTTTGGAGCAGAAGAAAGAAGAGGATAAGGGAGTAATAAGAGATAATATGAACAAAGAGCAGACAGCGAGAAAGAGTACAGGGCACTAAGGGAAATTAAAATTATCCAGGGTATTTTGGAAGTTGGGTATTTATCTAGAGAGAATAGTCAGCCATTACAGGGTTTTGAAGTAGGACAGTTAATAAAGTGAGTTTTTATTTTAGAATGAATCCTCTGGCTGTAGCCTGGATGCTTAAATAGAGAGAAGTAGGAGAGAAGCTTGAGACAAAGGGTCTAATTAGTGATTTGTTATATAACCAAAATAGGAGATTATGAATTAAGGATATGCCAATAGGTATAGAGAAATATGGACTGATTTAATAAATGTTTAGTTGGTAAAATTTCTAGCATTTGGTTGGTTTTTGTTTGAAACTGTAGATAAGATGACTTCCAGGATTATGGTTCTTGCAATTGATGGGATACTTTTGCCCTTCTCTGATGTTGGGAGCAGAACAGAAAGAGTAGAAGTAGAAAAAGAGTATAGATAATAGGCCAGCATGAAGTGTTTTGTGTTTGAGAGTCCTGTAGATCAATAGGTATTTGGATTGATGAGGAGAAATTTCTAAGCTAAAGATAAAGGTTTTTTAGTTATTGGGAAATAGTAGCATGGCAAACAAGAAAGATATTTAGTACCTGAGTCAATGAGCTCATACAGAATGATCAAACCTCTTCTTCATCTTTTTGAATTTTTCTAAAACTGCATATTTAAAAAATGACATCTCTAAGATCATAGAAAATGGTGTAAAAATGTGAGCTTTCCTCACCCCTCTTTTTTGACGTGTCATAGGCAAAATACGTAACATCATCAGTATAATAATCTAGTTCTTACAGGTAAGAAAGTCTGCTTAAATCCATGCGAGACAAGAAATAATTTAAGATTACAAATGGCACGTGTATTCGGCAGAATAATTCCCACCCCCCAAATATGTCCATTTTCTAATCCCTGGAATCTGTGAATATATTACAAGACAAAAGGGACTTTGCAGCTGTAATTAAGGTTAAGGACCTTGAAATGGGGATATTTTCCTAAACAATCCAGGTTGGCCCAGTATAATGACATGACTTCTTAAAAGTTGAGAACATTTCTTGCCTGTATTCAGAGAAAGAGATGTGACGGCAACTAAAGCAGGGTCGGTGGGATGGGACATTAAATCTCAATCCACTGTTGCTGGCTTTGAAAATGGGAGAAGGGAGCCACGAACCAAGGAATGTGAATCCTCTTTGGAAGGTGGAAAAGAATAAGGACATTGAGTTTTTCCTAGTGCCTCCAAAAAGGAAGACAGCCTAGATGACATGTTGATTTTAGCCCAATGAGACACATTTCAAATTTCTGAACTAAAGAAATGTAAGATAAAAATGTGTGTTGTTTAAGCCACTAAATTTTATAGTAATAATTTTATACTATCAATAGAAAATCAATATAGCATGGTATAGAGGTGATGTTATATAGTAAAGAGTATGTTAGATTGTAGGTTACAAAATCTACTTTGGTACATTTCTCCCTTCATTTATCTGACAAACTCATATTTACCAAACAAAATGTAATTCAGGCACCAACCACTCTATAAAGTAGTCCCTGACCCTTGCAAGAAGTACAATTAGTTACATCTCTATACTTTTGTTGTTTGAATATATTTTACATTGTACATATTTGAGACTCTACCTGCCTGTTTGCACATTTGTGATTAATCCTGCAAGTGTAGGTACTTAAAAAATTGTTTGCAATATCCTAATGAGTTAGAAAACTACCTGTTATATAGCATATGCCTGATAAATGCTTTATAATTGAACTACTTATAAATTGTGTGAACTTGAGCAAGTCACTTAATCTCTTCAAACCTCCACTTTCTCACCTGTAAATAACAAAATTGATATTCATAGCTGCTCAGGAGATCAAATGAGATAATATACCTGAAGGGATTAGTGAAAAGGAAAGCACTATACACAATTCATTATTTAAAATATCTGTAAAACCCTTAGCACTGATAAATTTGGATCAGGTATTTATATCACTGCTAATAAATACCTCAGAAGGATTCTTCCTACCCTGTGTAACAGTACCAAAGAATTAAAAAATTATCTAATAGTGGGACTTTTAAAAACACAATATAAGAAAATGTTGAGAACCAATAATAGTTTTCAGCAGTATATTATTTTCATGCATAAAAATCTGGAAAAAAATAATAATAATTCTAAAGGGCTTTGCTGTACAAAGTTAATTTTCTGGAGACAACTTGAGGAGGAAAATGTCCCCAATGGCATGGAAAGAAGCTGTAAAAAGCTGTAATAAGAGTAAATGATCTGGTGCAGATAATTGCAAAGATCAGTGAAGAACAGGAAACACTTTGCTAACTATTAATTTAGACACTACTGTCAACGTTGGTTCACATAACGTTAAGTTCCATCTATTATTCAGGAAATTAGCTATTCTTTTTTAAAGTCCTCTTTTCACCATTTCATATCAATGGATGACAGAACAGAGAATTTTCAAGTGCATTATTGAGAAAAACTTTGAATGCTTTGACCATTGTACTTTTTTAGTAAAAATTATATTCTATGTATTATCCTCAAGTGCCATGGTCATCCAATCACCTAGGGTAGATTCATTTTTGTTCTTGCTTTCTATAACATATACAAAGCCACCTATCTCAAAATAACTAATCTTTCATATTCTTTTACTTTTTACTTTTCATGAGGCATATTTCCATTGGCAGTAATGTTTTCATGTTATTGTTATCTCCTGACTATAAAAATGAAATTATGTGCCAGTGGAGCAAAGTTTTCACTCTGCACATAAAAGTTAATGGTTTTTAAAACTCCATGAACTTCAATCAGATAGTTTTGTAGCTAACATTAAGTTGGCTTTTGGATGGTTGACTTAGAAAGTCGGTTACCCAATGTGATATGCCAATTAAGTATAAAACTAAAGTGATAATTATTATTCATCAATAACTGCAAATGAAGAAATTATAATCATAGCAAAAAGTTTACTCTTTTTCCATCTAAATATAGAAAATAAAAACTAGAAAGTATTTTTGTTTCACAGTGGCTATTTGTTTTATAAAATATGTTATTGTTTGAAAATGTTACAGGGATGAATATAAAACATGAAAAAGGGGTATTTTAAAATTTTCAGAGACACTAAAATAATGTATAGTTAAAAATTTCTAAAGAGTATAATTTGGGAATTTTGTGGCTTCTGTCTATTCAGAAGCTTTTACTTTATACTGTTTTCTTTCAATGACCTTAATGATGAATATTTTCATTCTCATTAAATGAGTTTATGAAAACTGCATAGTCAGTTTCCATACCTCTTAATGTAATAATAGAAGTAGGCCATTAGAACTTTATTCCTCATAGAACTTGGAACTAACCTTTTCGTCATAACCCAAATGGCAAAATCATAGGTAGCTGTGCAAATAATGACTTATACTAAGACAGTAAAGGATAGATATACACTCAACATTAACCTACAGGAAATCTGACTAGATGAATACAACTTTAACAAAATTGACTTAGGCAAAATGGTGAGTTCATGATTCTGATAGCGAATTAAATGATTGAAAAGTGCAGAGAAATTACAGCAGAGACTAAAAGGAAAGTAAGGATATTATATGGTGAATACAGGTTTGGTGTTTGTTTAATTTCAGCTTCTTTAATGTATAACATGAATACAAAAATACCTGTAACTTACATGTGAGTTCCCTTCTCCTCTTCTTCTTCTTCCTCCTCCTCCTGCTCCTTCTTCTCCTTCTCCTTCTCCTCCTTCTTCTTCTTCTCCTCCTCCTCTACCACCATCTTTTTCTCCTCCTCCTCCTCCCTTTCCTTCTCTCCTCCTCCTCCTGCTTCTTCTCCTTCTCTTTCTTCTTGCTTATTCTTCATAACATGCTGGTACCTAATAGAAGAAGAACATCATAAAATTGCTTGACTCCTCAGTCAAATTTCATTTTTAGTATTTTTTTTCCATATGTGGTTGAACAAGATAGGCTTTGATATTATTAAATTCATTGGCAGTTATTCTTTAAAGTCTTTTAAAAATAAGGCAGAAGTGCTACAAGGAAATGACATTAAAATTATTTTTTCCTTTTAAATCACTTTTGTGCTGCTAAGGATGCTCTAGGAATCACAATTTAATACTACTAGTAGTAATATTATTAAACAAACATGAACATTTTCTAATTCTTATTTTGTATATTTAGATGTTTATAGTTAGATATTTGACCTATTATTAAAATACCCTTGATTTATAAACAAAAATTTAACATGATCAAACATAAAAAGAACTAAGTTTCTGTTGAAATTTGCTACTAGGATAGATGAGGACAGGACCTAGAAATAAATTACCAACAATGAAGAAAAGGGGAAGATAGGAAGGAGTCTCCACAAAAAGGAATGGATGAGCCAAACTGAAGAGTACTGTGTGAAAACTGAACTAGAGTCTCATAAAATATCCTAAAAGCAGATGAGTTGTTGAGAGTTGAGGGAGAGAAATGCAGGGGAGGACTAGAAGGTACACAGAAGATAAACCATTTTTTCATTGATTAATAACAAATGTATTAATCAATAGTTTTACGGTTAGATGAAATAAAAATGAGTTAGAGATTCTGGTGGGCGCCAACAGCAATTGTTATATGGAGCCAAATACATGATGCAGTGTAAACTAACTAGCCTAATTCCAAGACAGGAATGGGCCTTGATGTGTTCCCTGTTAGTAAGGGGTTCATTTTCCTGGTCTGTTTCATCTGAGCATGTTATTGTTCTGCATTTGTCACCCGGACCCTCCCAGTATAGATTAACAATAACTGAAAAGGATCTTTTCTTTCATACTTTACGGTCACATTAGAAATACTTCATTGACAGTGTTTGAAACTATATTTTGAAAGGAATGATAAGCAGCTTACCAGACAATATGCAGTAAGCTAAGGTCTTTGAAGCAAAAATTCATCACTAGCTATATAACATCCTAGAGAAAACTCTGGCCATTTTTCCACAGGAGGCTGCAGGTAGATTTGGGGCACACTAAGGGTAAGGGTCTAACTTGAAGGACAAATTTCAGTTTTGTAGCCAAGTATGTGTAGACACATACATATAACCCATATGTGTAGACACACATATATATAATCAGAAGCTGAAAATATTTAATACAGTTAAATTCAGGTGTTAATTTTAATCCCTTGCCAATATAGGATAACAAAATCATCTGTCATTGCTCCATTTAAATCATTTTTCATCATCATAGTTTTGCACTATTCATGAACGTGCTTCAATGATCCGTATGGTTCCAATTTGTATTCTGGTCACCACTTCCTTATTATCACAGTTTTTATACATAATTTTTGGTCTCTGTCATCATTTTGCCCATGTTTAGATTTTCACTTCATTGATCGCAGATCTGAAATATTAGCTACTGTTATTCCTAGTTTTCTACTACCCAGACCTAGGCCACACCAGTGTTCAAGAAAGTGTGTATTCTTCAAAATTATTCTCTGCAAATGCCAGCTAGTATTTCCCAGAAATGATTGTATCCTTACCTTTGGAAATCACACTGTGTTTTCTTTGAAATAATAGGGAGGAATTTGTAAATCATACTGGTCTTTGGCAAATAAAAACCAACTATCTGATCGAGTGCAATTCAAAACATTAAAAAAAAAGTTTCTCTACAGTGCAGCCATCATTAATTCCCTGTTATTTACTGTTTTGTAGTATAAAGCCTTTCCATATCTGCAGTAAAGAAGGTAGTTTTACATAACAATGATGACTATGGGCACTGGAATTAGCAAGTCCTGGATTTGAACCTTGGCTTTGCCACTTACTAGCTGTGTGGTCCCAGGTAAGTTGACAAGTTTTGTAATCTCATTAAACTCATCCTGTTAATTGAAATAAGAACTTACGAACAATCACATGTAAAGCTCTTACCACAGGATTCACTATCAACTAAGTCCTGATGGCATTTGTTGTTTTCTATTGGCAGATAACCTCCATCCATTATGTAAATACTACATAAACATAGAAAGTTATTAGCAACTTATAAAATTAGTGAAGTAGTAACATTATATAACCATTGGTCTATAACCAAACTCAAATTTGAAGTAAAGTAATATCCCTGTTGGTATGCATTTACATAAAATCTGAATTGTACCCCAATGAAGAAGGCATAATAAGAGAATATCAACTGTGATAAGCCAGAGGTATCTAGAGGAATACTAATCACTATCTATGTAGTACGTTTCCTAGAGAAAACTTCGGCCTCTCTTCACAGAAACAGCAGGTACTTTTTAGCCATGTCAGTGTGTATCTATTTCTACAGCTTACAGATGTCAGTTGTATTATGATCTACATAAACTGTGAACTACTGATTTTAGACATTCTTTGGGAATTTTTAGAAACAGGAGAGTACTTAGCACACTGATCCAGACATCTCTCCTGAGAAAAGTGACAGGATCCACCATAAAATAGGGGCTGACATGCTTCTATAAGCAGTACCTTTCAAGTTGGCTTTTCCTGGTCAGTGCTATGCAGTTATACAGATTTAAGGTTAGCATGGATTTTCTTTCATTATTAGAATAGTTCACTCATATCATACAGCAAAGGCTTTTATTCTGCAAAACAGAGTCATACATCCTGAGAGATCTCAAGATATACAGACAGAGATAAATGTTAGTATTTTCATAAATAAAATTGTTCTTTTGCAATCATGAATACATCCATTCCTTTTGATTTTTTTTCTGAATTTCAAAATCAAAGATTAAGTCATTATTTAAAAACTCTCAAAACTCTGTGAATCATAGCTGTTAAGATGATGGGGTATAAAATTACAAAGCTTTAAAAGTGACAGTTTATTTTGATTTTATCATGATGTTAAGAAAGTAATTTTAAATGATAGTATACTTTGTCACTTTCCACGCAGGGGAATGAGGAAATATATACATACACAAGCACACACACACACACACACACACACACACACACGAAGTATATATATCCATAGTATACACATGGCAATATGTATGTGTTTTTGTGTGTTTGGGTGTATGTTTGAAGTGTTAAAAACACGAAAGGGTGGGTAAGGCGATGAAATTATTTACCTACTTTTTCTTTCACTGTAACCTTAAGCCAATGTCTGGGATTAAGATAAAATTTCAGATGCAATTAAGTAAGTTCACAATAGTATTGTTTTGTTTTTGCAATACCTAGAACCTCTTAGGATATAAAAAAATTAAAAATCTTTGGTTACAAACCTTGGTTTCAGAAATATTGCAATGTTATTATCTGGTTTTATTAATTTGTTCTCTGGTTTACAAACTTTTAATGAATAGTTATTAGGTTCTCAAATTTGTGCTAGGACTAGAGATAGAGAAATGTAAGATAAAAGACCTCTATCAGGTTGGTTTCAGTCTTCTGAGGTAAACAGAAGTAAGGAAGGGTCACCACAGATTATGGTAAGTGCCCAAATAAAAGTATGTGGATACTGATGAGAGACAGAGAAATGGTTACTTCCCCATACTGGGCTTTATGGAAAGCTTGAAGCTGACTTGAAGAATGAGTAGAAGTAAGTGACAAAGAGAAATAGAGAAGGGCCCTTCAAGCAGAGAAAAAAGCAAGTGGGAAGTTGCAAAAAGTAGCTGGCATTTAGGAAATAACCAAGAATTCAATATAGTAGAAAGAGGGAACATATGGGAAAGTCCTGAGAAATAAGACTGTGGAAATAGGAGAAATTTTTTCAAATGTTTCACAAACTTCTCTTCCTAGGATAGAACAAGAACACAGTTCTCCAGCACCGAGAAGCATTTTATGTGAGGCAGCATAGCTCAATAATTTATGAGTATGGACTTCAGAATCAAATAACCTTGATTGCAATCTTGGTTCTGTCACCTACTAGCTAAATTTTCTCGAGTAAATGCTTTTAACTCATTGTGTCTCACAAAATCATCTATAAAGTGAAGATTAACATAGCACCTACCTCCTGGTTTGTTGAAGATTAAAAAGACCTAATACATACAAAGCATTTAAAAGAGTGTCTGACATAATAAACTGTTTTCCTACTTTTATAAAGAGAACAAAGGAGACAGAGTTCACAGGAGGCAGGCCTGTTTCATCCAACTATGTTATGAGAAACAATTTTGTAGAGTCAAAATAGAAAGTGGGGCTTCTTGACATATTGATAAGGGAATGAAAAAGAACTCTGCTCAGAGGGAGGAGAACAACTAAAGCACCATTCATTGTTTACATGTTAGTGAAAATGAGCATGTAATGTCCATTCTTTGGAAAAGGAAATTATATGGAGAAAAGGTAGGGGAAATTAATAAACCTAAGCCATAAAATGGAAGAGGACATAGGAAGGACAAAATAGAAATCATGGTTAAGCCCTTCTTATTTTCCCAAAAAATCTGTTCAAGTTTTAAACCTGTGCATGCAGTCTTTATCTAGTATTTTATCAGACATAGGGTAGTAAAACCTCTTAAAAGCCTTCCTCAAACCCCAGAAGAATAGTTTTCCGAGGGGATTAATAGTGCTAACTGTGTATTGGTTTTGTTCTGAGATTGGGCAAGACAATAAAAGCACTTCATGGTAAAGGTGTAAATCTCTTTTCCAAACCATAAGGATTGAGAATCTTTGCTGCCACTATTAATTAGCGACTCTAAGATAGAAATATTCATATATTTTAACACACATATTTAACACAGATTATCTAATACTGCAAGTCAACTATGTCAGTAACTTCCCAGAGTTAGTGCAGATCCCACAGATCAAGGGCATAGTCCCCAACAAGACTGCTCTCATTTTAGATGCCAGAGGAAGAGGTCTAGGAGGGTCTTGAAGGCCCTCTCTCCATGGAATCAGGACCATGTCACCCTCCCAGCACATTGATGTGTCCCCAACCAAGAAGCTCATCTGAGCCCCAGTGTCCAGAGTTTTTACTGGAGTCTTGCTATGCAGTGCGATTGCACAGGATTTAACTCAATCTCCAATCCATCTCTCTTGCCCAGAGGTTGAACTGATATCATCTGGTTCAAAGCACCAACCTTCTAATTACATGGTTGGTTTTTCTGGCATAGTCTGCCTTCATGCTGAGCTATCTTGTTAACATAAGCTATCTAAAAGTCCACCATAAGTGACCTTATAAGCATAAACCCAGAGACTATCATGAACAACACAAATACTCCTCTCCCTTAAGAAATGTCTGGGGTTTAGAAGTTCTATCCCAGGAATCTGGGACAAAGACCAGAAAATTTTCTATTATTATACAATACACATACACACATGTGCACATATGTAAATACATGTATACACATGTGCACATATACATATTTATTTAAGTGTCAAGTAGCTAAATAATAGATATGTTACATATACTGTTGGAGATACTGAAAGAATAATAAACAACCTCTAAACTTATGAAACTTAGAGTTTGATTAATGAGCTGGAGGTGGATAGAATGGTACCAGAATATTTAGTACTGTCAGAATCCAGGAGGAAAAGACAGCAAAATGGAAAAGATCAAGAGAAATCCATCATGTGCCCACAAATAAAAACATTTTCCTTAACACCAATCTCATCATTTTCACTCTTTCTCTGGCACACTTAGGCAAAAAGAGAATGAGATCAGAATTCCATTTACCCAGTAGGTTTGCTGTCTTTAACTTAGCTTCTTTTTATACGATCAGTAAAATTATAACCCTTTGAAACAAAAAAATTTTGGTTCGCTTGGAAGCTTTTATTAAGATATAATTAATAGTTAGGAGAAATTTTACTAGGCATTTGGAATGAATTGAACTATTGCCTAATTATTATACTAAGAAATTCTTTTATAGAAAGAGACTTGGGCATCCAAATCATTTAGGAAACTAAAAAATACCATTTTAAATGAATTGTTGTGGTATTTATGTATTGAAGCTCTCCAAAAAATGTATAAACTGAAAACTATAAGCCTAAAATGAATATTTAAAACCCATTAGCACATTGTTCCTTGCTAATTGTACAATTTTGTATACAGTGAAAATTTAAAATACCTTAAGGGTTTCATGACATAAGCCATTTTGAATTTGAAATTTTGTTTTATTTCATTGCACTCTTAATTTACTGGTTAGTACTATGTTAATACAGTCATTTAACTTTCAACTTTCTTTTTTCTAAATTTCTTTTATTTTTAACTCCCCAAGAATCTTTAAAACGAACGATAGCGCATAGGCAAGGCACTCCAGCTCTACTTGTCTAACCCTAGATGAAAAAAGACATTAAGTAAAGAAAATAATCATTAAAGCATCTTTTACAGTTGGCTGAGGGACTGTTATGATTGGAATGGGAGGGACATTAACTTGCACATTACTCAAAGCAAAGTATAATAATATATTTTACAAGTTAAAGAGGCTTTGCATTGTAAAAGATAATTTTCAACAATATAGAGAAAAGAGCTGAGAAATTTCAGAATATCTTTCTATCTGAGTACACTCAATTTAAACACATTTGATCTCTAGTAGGTCTTAGGAGTTGGGTACAAATGTTCACTGTGAATGCAGAACCAACATGAATATGCCTCCACCATAACAGCACACTTCTGTTTATATGATCTACTTGGGTCCTTAGACCAGAAATCTTTTTCTAACAGAGAAGCCTATTTAATATCATGACAAAAAGCTCAGTACAGCCCCATGCTGTCGTGACAATCACATTATAACCTTTTTTTTTTTTTTTTGGTGGGGGTAGGGTGGCAAACAAAAATTAAATTAGTATTAACATGACTTAACATTGCTAAGCTTCTCTTTGGATCCCATGTTTCTGGTTCTCCAATGCCACTAATGGAAAAAGAGTATGGCCACAATAACTAGTCTTTGGCATATAATCCTTACCAAGATAAGTGGAAAGATTCAAAACCTCACTAATCTATTTTTTTCTGTTCTAAGAATATCCACAGTTTCCCAAATGTGATTATGCATCCCCCTCACATTTTCCCTTTTCACTAATGTCACCTAAATATTCGGCTCTATCCTATTCAGGAAACCAAAGTTCAGAGACATAAACAAAAGAGAAAAAACCCACAAAACTTCCTCAAGTCATAGGTCCAGTAATAAGGTAAGCTGGGAATTTAACTCACATTTTCTGACACTAAAACTATTGTTCATTCTCCTGCACTAAGCTTCTACCATAATTTATACACAATGGACTTTACCTAAGGTTAATATAATTTTGCAATCACTAGACAATTGGGATCATCTTCCTCTATCTCTGAAGGTTGGTTCTATTCGGATTATGTTGTGGTTGAGAGGTTTTATTACAGCTACCATGTATTTACCCTAGGCTGAAATAATGCAAGCAATTTTAATGGAGTGCCAATTATATGCAAATTTCTGTCCCAGTACTGGTGGAGAAGAAAACAAACATTTATGAATAAAATCATCATCAAAGGATCTCTTTGTTCAGATTTTTAGAGAATAATATGATATTGCAGATGCAATCTTACCTTCAGATATTACATTGAAATATTGCCAGTGGCATGGCATCTATCCAATAACTGGCTTAACTTCCCCTAAATACAAGCTATGCTTTAGTTAAACAAATATTTATTGTGTGCCAACCATGGACTCGGTATTCGGGGCACAATAACGAACAAGGCATGCAGTGAAGGTATTGTCCTCATCAAGTTTACAATGTAGAGGAAGATGGGATACAAGAAGAGCGTATACAAGAGAACAGAAAAGTGAGCAAAAGAATGATAAGAGATGTAAGGAAAATTTTAAAGAATGAAGGGATAGAGATTGAATTGGGAGGTTATTTTGAATTATATGGTAATTCAATTAGATGAATTTTTTTTTCTAATTGAATTAGATGGAGAATCTTTTTCTAATGAGGTAACACTTGGACTGAGACCTGATGAATACTGAAGGAGAGTACTAGAAAATCCCAGGCAGAGTGTTATTAGTAGCCAGAGGAATTGGGCAATTAGAGAAAGAAATAAAAGGCATCAAACTTGGAAGGGGCAAACTTAAATTGTCCCTGTTTGTGAATGACAGAAAATATATATAGAATCATATAGAGTGTGCATAGAAAACCCTAAATACTTCACTAAAATACCATTAGAACTAATAAACAACTTTAGTAAAGCTTCAGAATACAAAATTAACATACAAAATGCATAGTATTTCTATATACTACCACAGAACTATCAGAAAAAGGAATCAAGAAAATAATACCATATACAATAGCTACAAAAAAAGGAATAAATTTAACCAAAGAGTGGGGAGACCTATATTCTGACTACTATAAAACGCTGATGAAAGAATTGAAGAAGACACAAATAAATGAAAAATATTCTATGTTCATGGATTGGAATAATTAATATTGTTAAAATATCCATATTACTCAAAGCAATTTACAGACACAGTGCAATCCCTATCAAATTACAAATGACATTCTCCACAGAATAAGAAAAAACAATTCTAAAATTTGTATGGAACACAAAAAAGACCCCTAATAGTCAAAGCAATCTTGAACAAAATAAATATACCTGGGAGCATCACATTGCCTGACTTCAAAATACGCTACAAAGCTATAGTAGCCTAAAAACAGGGTACTGGCATAAAAACAGACACATAGACCACTGGAACAGAATGCAAAGCCCAGAAATAAACCCACACATATACAGTCAACTGATTTTTGACAACAATTCCAAGATACACAATGGGAACAGAATAGTCTGTTCTACAAATGGTGTTGGGAAAACCAGATATCCACATGCAGAAGAATGAAATTGGACCTTTGTCTCACAACATATACAAAAAATGAAGTCAAAATGGGTTTAAGACTTAAATGTAAGACCCAAAACTATAAAATTATTAGAAGAAAACATAGGACAAAACCTCCATGACATTGATCTGGGCAATAATTCTTACATATAACTCCAAAAGCACAAACAACAACAGGAAAAATAGATAAATGGGATTACAATGAACAAATGCTTTTGCACAGCCAAGAAAAAAAATCAACAGTGAAGAGACAATCCACAGAGCATGAGAAAACATTTCCAAACTATCAATCTGATAATGTATTAACATATAAAATATATAAGAAATTTAAACAACTCAATAGCAAGAAAACAAGACAATTTAAAAATGGATGAATAGGCATTTGTCAAAAAGAGACATATAAATGGCCAACATGTATATGAATAATTGTTCAACATCACTAAGTATCTGGGAATGGCAAATTAAAACCACAATGAAGCCGGGCATGGTGGCTCATGTCTGTAATCCCAGCACTTTGGGAGGCTGAGGCAGGCAGATCACGAGGTCAGGACTTTTGAGACCAGCCTGGCCAAGATGGTGGAACCCCATCTCTACTAAAAATACAAAAATTAGCTGGGTGCGGTGGCATGCACCTGTAATCCCAGCTACTCAGGAAGCTGAGGTAGGAGAATTGCTTGAACCTGGGAGGCCGAAGTTGAAATAAGCCAAGATTGTACAACTGCACTCCAGCCTGGGTGACAGAGCAAGACTCCATCTCAAAAATAAATAAATAAATAAAAATTAAAAATAAAAATAAATAAAACCACAATTAGCTATCACCTCACACCTATTAAAATGGCTATTAACAATAAGACAAAAGAAAACAAGTGTTGGGAGGATGTGAAGAAAAGGGCTACTTTGCACACTGTAAGTGGGAATATAAATTCATACAGCCATAAGGCAAACAATATAAAGGTTCAACAAAAATTTAAAAAGCAGAACTACCATATGATCCAGCATTCAGCGTTACTGGGTATACATCCAAAAGAAAGGAAATCAGTATGTCCAGAAGAGAACATAGCCCTGACAGTGCCTTGATTTTAGCTCTGGGAGACCCATGCCAAATTTCTGAACTACAGACGATGAAATAATAAATGCATGCTGTTTTAAGATAATGAATTTACGGTAATTTGTTATGGCAATAATAGGAAATCAATGCAACACCTCTGAGAATTTTTTTATACATAATCTCCAGTGTAGCATCTGTATCTGCACCTTCTCCGGTCTAATGCATGAATATTCCATGTGGGTAAGATTGGCTTAATCACTTTAGCATCTTTCAACCTAAATATGTGGTATATTTGTTTGTTTGTTTGAGCCTTTTGCTTTTTAGTCTGTAGTTAACATTTTAGCTTGTGAATCTAATTTTCATACTTTTGCTATCATACTTTGGTGTTTACATATCAATTCCCACTGTGAACTTTGAAATGGCCAAGTCTATGTTTCATTCAGCTAGTGCATGGCATATGAAAGAAACTTCAAATATATGTGGAAACTGTCAGGCCTCTAAGCCCAAGCTAAGCCATCATAAACCCTGTGACCTGCACATACACATCCAGATGGCCGGTTCCTGCCTTAACTGATGACATTCCACCACAAAAGAAGTGAAAATGGCCTGTTCCTGCCTTAACTAATGACACTATCTTGTGAAATTCTTTCTCCTGGCTCTTCCTGGCTCAAAAGCTCCCCTAATGAGCACCTTGCGACCCCTACTCCTCCAACCAGAGAACAACCCCCCTTTTTCCTTTACCTACCCAAATCCTATAAAACGGCCCCACTCCTATCTCCCTTTGCTGACTCCCTTTTCAGACTCCCTTTTCACCTGCACCCAGGTGAAATAAACAGCCTTGTTGCTCACACAAAGCCTGTTTGGTGGTCTCTTGACATGGACGCGCATGAAATTTGGTGCTGTGACTCAGATGGGGGGACCTCCCTTGGGAGATCAATCCCTTGTCCTCCTGCTCTTTGCTCCATGAGAAAGATCCACCTATGTCCTCAGGTCCTCAGACCGACCAGCCCAAGTAACATCTCACCAATTTCAAATCTGGTAAGTAGCCTCTTTTTACTCTTTTCTCCAACCTCCCTCACTATCCCTCAACCTTTTTCTCCTTTCAATCTTGGCACCACACTTCAGTCTCTCCCTTCTCTTAATTTCAATTCCTTTCATTTTCTGGTAGAGGCAAAGGAGACATGTTTTATCAATGGACCCAAAACTCCGGCGCCGGTCACGGACTAGGGAAGGCAGCCTTCCCTTGGTGTTTAATCACTGCAGGGACACCTCTCTGATTATTCACCCAGGTTTCAGAGGTGTCAGACCACACAGGGACACCTGCCTTGGTCCTTCACCCTTAGCGGCAAGTCCCGCTTTTCTGGGGGAGAGGCAGGAACCCCGACCTCTTATCTCTGCACCCTGATCCCTTATTTCCATACCGTGACCTCTTATCTCCATGCCCTGACCCCTTCTCTGCTTTTTTGGAGGGCAAGAACTCCCCACCCCTTCTCCGTGTCTCTACTCTTTTTTCTCTGGGCTTGCCTCCTTCACTATGGGCAACCTTCCACCTTCCATTCCTCCCTCTTCTCCCTTAGCCTGTGTTCTTAAGAACTTAAAACCTCTTCAGCTCTCACCTGACCTAAACTCTAAGCATCTTATTTTCTTCTGCAATGCCACTTGACCCCAATACAAACTCGACAGTAGTTCCAAATAGCCAGAAAACGGCACTTTCAATTTTTCCATCCTACCAGATCTAAATAATTCTTGTCGTGAAATGGGCAAATGGTCTGAGGTGCCTGACATCCAGGTGTTCTTTTACACATCTGTCTCTCCCTAGTCTCTGTTCCCAATGCACCTCATCCCAAATCTTCCTTCTTTCCCTCCCACCTGTCCCCTCAGTCCCAACCCCAAGCATCACTGAGTCTTTCTAATCTTCCTTTTCTACAGACCCATCTAACCTCTCCCCTCCTCGCCAGGCTGAGCTAGGTCCCAATTCTTCCTCAGCCTCCACTCCTCCACCCTATAATCCTTTTATCACCTGCCCTCCTCACACCCGGTCTGGCTTACTGTTTCGTTCCATGACTAGCCCTCCCCCACCTGTCCAGCAATATCCTCTTAAAAAGGTGGATGGAGCTAAAGGCCTAGTCAAGGTTAATGCTCCTTTTTCTTTATCCCAAATCAGATAGCGTTTAGGCTCTTTTTCATCAAATATAAAAACCTAGCCCAGTTCATGGCTCGTTTGGCAGCAACACTGAGATGTTTTACAGCCCTAGACTCTAAAAGGTCAAAAAACCGTCTTATTCTCAATATATATTTTATTACCCAATCTGCTCCCGACATTAAATAAAACTCCAAAAATTAAATTCCGGCCCTCAAATCCCACAATAGGACTTAATTAACCTCACCTTCAAGGTGTACAATTCCTTGCCTCCGCTGTGAGACAAACCCCAGCCACATCTCCAGCACACAAGAACTTCCAAATGCCTCAATCACAGTGGCCAAGTGTTCCTCCAGGCCCGCCTCCCCCAGGAGCTTGCTACAAGTGCCAGAAATCTGGCCACCAGGCCAAGGAATGCCTGCAGCCTGGGATTCCTCCTAAGCTGTGTCCCAACTGTGCAGGACCCCACTGAAAATCAGACTGTTCAATTTACCTGGCAGCCACTCCCAGAGCCCCTGAACTCTGGCCCAAGGCTCTCTGACTACTTCCCAGATCTTCTCGGCTTAGCAGCTGAAGACTGATGCTGCCTGATCGCCTCAGAAGCCCCTAGACGACCATCACAGATGCCGAGCTTCGGGTAACTCTCACAGTGGAGGGTAAGTCCGTCCCCTTCTTAATCAATACGGAGGCTACCCACTCCACATTACCTTCTTTTCAAGGGCCCGTTTCCCTTGCCTCCATAACTGTTGTGGGTATTGACAGCCAGGCTTCTAAACCTCTTAAAACTCCCCAACTCTGGTGCCAACTTAGAAGACACTCTTTTTGCACTCTTTTTTAATTATCCCCACCTGCCCAGTTCCCTTATTAGGCCGAGACACTTTAACTAAATTATCTGCTTCCCTGACTACTCCTGGGCTACAGCCACACCTCATTGCCACCTTTTCCCCCAGTTCAAAGCCTCCTTCACATCCTCCCCTTGTATCTCCCCACCTTAACCCACAAGTATAAGACACCTCTACTCCCTCCTTAGTGACTCATCATGCACCCCTTACCATCCCATTAAAACCTAATCACTCTTACCCTGCTCAATGCCAATATCCCATCCCACAGCACACTTTAAAAGGATTAGAGCCTGTTATCACTCGCCTGTTACAGCATGGCCTTTTAAAGCCTATAAACTCCCCTTACAATTTCCCCATTTTACCTGTCCTAAAACCAGACAAGACCTACAGGTTAGTTCAGGATCTGCGCCTTATCAACCAAATTGTTTTGCCTATCCACCCTGTGGTGCCAAACCCATATACTCTCCTATCCTCAATACCTCCCTCTACAACCCATTATTCTGTTCTGGATCTCAAACATGCTTTCTTTACTATTCCTTTGCACTCTTCATCCCAGCCTCTCTTCGCTTTCACTTGGACTGACCCTGACACCCATTAGGCTCAGCAAATTACCTGAGCTGTACTGCCGCAAGGCTTCACAGACAGCCCCCTTTACTTCAGTAAAGCCCAAGTTTCATCCTCATCTGTTACCTATCTCAGCATAATTCTCATAAAAACACACGTGCTCTCCCTGCTGATCGTGTCCAGCTAATCTCCCAAACCTCAATCCCTTACAAAACAACAACTCTTTTCTTTCCTAGGCACGGTTAGTGCAGTCAGAATTCTTACACAAGAGCTGGGACCGCACCCTGTAGCCTTTCTGTCCAAACAACTTGACCTTACTGTTTTAGGCTGGCCATCTTGTCTCCGTGCAGCAGCTCCTGCTGCCCTAGTACTTTTAGAGGCCCTTAAAATCACAAACTATGCTCAACTCACTCTCTACAGCTCTCATAATTTCCAAAATCTATTTTCTTCCTCACACCTGACGCATATACTGTCTGCTCCCCGGCTCCTTCAGCTGTACTCACTCTTTGTTGAGTCTCCCACAATTACAATTGTTCCTGGCCCGGACTTCAATCCGGCCTCCCACATTATTCCAGATACCACACCTGACCCTCATGACTGCATCTCTCTGATCCACCTGACGTTCACCCCATTTCCTTCTTCCCTGTTTCTCACGCAGATCACACTTGGTTTATTGATGGCAGTTCCACCAGGCCTAATCGCCACACACCAGCAAAGGCAGGCTATGCTATAGTACAAGCCACTAGCCCGCCTCTTAGAACCTCTCATTTCCTTTCCATCGTGGAAATATATCCTCAAGGAAATAACTTCTCAGTGTTCCATCTGCTATTCTACCACTCCTCAGGGATTATTCAGGCCCCCTCCCTTCCCTACACATCAAGCTCAGGGATTTGTCCCCACCAAGGACTGGCAAATTTGCTATTCTACTACTTCTCAGGGATTATTCAGGCCCCTCCCTTCCCTACACATCAAGCTCAGGGATTTGCCCCCGCCCAGGACTGGCAAATTAGCTTTACTCAACATGCCCTGAGTTAGGAAACTAAAATACCTCTTGGTCTAGGTAGACACTTTCACTGGATAGGTAGAGGACTTTCCCACAGTGTCTAAGAAGGCCACCATGGTCATTTCTTCCCTTCTGTCAGACATAATTCCTCGGTTTGGCCTTCCCACCTCTATACAGTCCGATAGCAGACTGGCCTTTATTAGTCAAATCAGCCAAGCATTTTTTCAGGCTCTTAGTATTCAGTGAAACCTTTATATCCCTTACAGTCCTCAGTCTTCAGGAAAGAACAGAATAATGGTCTTTTAAAAACACACCTCACCAAGCTTAGCCACCAACTTAAAAAGGACTGGACAATACTTTTACCACTTTCCCTTCTCAGAATTCAGGCCTGTCCTCAGAATGCTAAAAGGTACAGCCCATTTGAGCTCCTGTATAGATGCTCCTTTTTATTAGGCCCCAGTCTCATTCCAGACACTAGACCAACTTGGACTGTGCCCCAGAAAACTTGCCATCTCTACTATCTTCTGTCTAGTCATACTCATATTCACCGTTCTCAACTACTCATACCTGCCCTGCTCTTGTTTACACTGCCAGTTTACACTGTTTCTCCAAGCCATCACAGCTGATATCTCTTGGTGCTATCCCCAAATCGCCACTCTTAACTCTTGAAGTAAATAAATAATCTTTGCTGGCAAGGCTATACTGAACCTTCTTAGGCACTCTTTACTTAAATGTCCTAGGTCCTCCCAATTCTTAGTCCTTTAATACCTGTTTTTCTCCTTCTCTTATCCCATTTAGTTTTTCAATTCATATAAAACTGTATCCAGGCCATCACCAATAATTCTAAATGACAAATGTTTCTTCTAACAACCCCATAATACCACCCCTTACCACAAAATCTTCCTTCAGTTTAATCTCTCCCACTCTATGTTCCCACGCCACCCCTAATCCCACTGGAAGCAGCCCTGAGAAACATCGCCCATTAACTCTCCATACCACCCCCAAAATTTTCACCATCCCAACACTTTACCACTATTTCATTTTATTTTTCTTATTAATATAAGAAGACAGGAATGTCAGGCCTCTGAGCCCAAGCTAAGCCATCATATCCCCTGTGACCTGCACATACACATCCAGATGGCCAGTTCCTGCCTTAACTGATGACATTCCACCACAAAAGAAGTGAAAATGGCCTGTTCCTGCCTTAACTGATGACATTATCTTGTGAAATTCCTTCTCCTGGCTCATCCTGGCTCAAAAGCTCCCCTACTGAGAACCTTGTGACCCCCCACTCCTCCAACCAGAGAACAACCCCCCTTTTTCCTTTACCTATCCAAATCCTATAAAACGGCCCCACCCCATCTCCCTTCCCTGACTCTATTTTCAGACTCAGCCCACCTGCACCCAGGTGAAATAAACAGCCTGTTGCTCACACAAAGCCTGTTTGGTGGTCTCTTCACATGGAAGCGCATGAAAGAAATGGAAGGGAAGGAAAGGGAAGGGGAGGGGAGGGGAGGGGAGGAGAGGGGGGAACGGAGGAAGGGAGGAATGGAGGAAGGGAAGGAGGGAAGGAGGGAGGGAAGGAAAGAAGGAAGGGAGGGAGTGATGGAGGGAGGGAAGACAGGATATGAAGCTAAGACATGAGAAACATCATGATAGTAAATATATAACAAAGTTCAAGTTTACAGCTTCACACAAAGAACAACGCCTGCCTAGTCAAAAGTAGGCTTTTAAAAAATATTTGCTGAAAAATGGTCCACATTTGTTTAAGTAGGTTTTGTTGTTGTTGTTGTTGTTGTTGTTGTTAAATAAAAGCATATCAAGTTTTCTTGAGTCTATTTGACCAGCACATTTAGGAGTACTGTATATTTTATCATTGAGCCTTTAACTTTTTACAAGTAAATAATGGATTTTGGTCAAAGATTCTAAAGGAACACGTACAGTCAGGAAATAAGATAACATTATGAAATTTGCAAACATTTTAGCTCTTGTAAAGACAGATTGCACTTTGCTCCTATTTCAAAACAGACTTGCAATTTTATGTTGAAAGTTGGAAAAATCACCAAGGGATTGACAATTTTACCATGAAAATTCCAATATAGTATGAATCATATGATCCTCCAAAATTGCACAAGAAATTGTTTCCTTATCCCTTTAGAAGTTTTAGTAACATTGGCAATGACTGTGCCAAACCATTTTTAAATGCAGTGCCTGAACTCCTGCCTCTTAACTCTATGAAAGATACTGATAAAATACTTCAGGTAATTTAGTTCATAGGAGATTATTGTACCAAATTTTTCTGCTGCTTGAATTTTTCCTGTTAGACTCACCTCTCCTTAGGTGAGTTGTTGTTGTTGTTTTATTGAGCATGCAAAACTGATATGCTCCTTTAAAGGGCTGACATTTTTTACCAATTATCTTACAACCAAGTCTGTCCTCATCTGGCTTTTGCTAAAACAGAGCTGTTTATCTACAAGCTGCAACTATATTTTCCTTTCCTAGTGATTAAAACTTTGACAGCCATATGCTCATTCTTGTGTAAGTCATATCCTTTTGGGTTTTAGCCTTAGTCTTCACTGCTATTGGCAAACAAAAGGAAATGCTTCTAATATGTAGGGCTCCCCTCTAGTGAAACCTATAAACACAAATGGGACACTCACTTCTAAAGGTGGATTTAGTTTTAAATTACCTTTCCAAAGTAGGTAAATCTCCAGGCTCCCTCTCTGATTGATCTGCCAAGCCAGCCACTTTGTTAGCATTAGCATGGCTTGAATTTGAGAACTACAGATGGTGAAGGCATATACACTTCGTGGAGGAAAATCAGGTTTCAATGAAGGTTCCTAACCAGCATACACTATTAAATGAATTCTTCATTTGCTTTTTGATAATAGGTACTACATGCAACTTAAATGATTTACTGTAGGAAATCTAGTCCTAGTTATAGTTGCCAATCCTGGCCTGTTCAGCAGTTATGAACACTAAGACAGAAAAACTATTTCTTTCTAAGTGGGTCAGAGATCTAAATACTACTAATGAGTTGAACATACGGTATTTTCTATTAATAATTTACTTTATCACTGCAGTTCCTTTAGTCATTTTACATATCCGTTCTAGTTTCCATTTTACCACTATATTTATTAATATAATACAAGAACAATTATGTCCATTTTCTTTTGTTTATACGTCATGTTTTCCTGATCTCACTGTCTCTCATTCAAGCAGAAATGTGCTATTGATCCTGCAATCTTTAAATACTGGTCTTTCACACAAAATGAAAAAGAAATTTCTCCTTTTTTTTTCATTTTACTGTATCACTTTATTCTCTAAACTGGCCCCTCTTAGCATCTATGATCTTTAAAATTAGCACAAGATTTGTTTTCATTTATTACAATGGAACTATGAAAATCAATGGAGTCTGGTTAGTTGAGATTATTTATATTTCCTCATAAAACCATTATCCTTTAATGCGCATATCTGTTTTCTCAAAGTTTAAAGCAGGTCACACTGGGATCTGGATATCTGCCATTATGGACATACTAGAGCATCACCAGTTATTTGAGAAAGTCAGTGATCTTACTGGATGAAGAAAACATTCTTTATTTAGTTGTTATTACTTTTAACAAAATTAAATCCCTATTAAAGAGAGAAATTCATTGTAAGAAAAATTTATTTTTTCACCAAGTTGATGTTCACTATTAGCTACAAATCATGCTTCCCACAGTGGATTGCATTCGGGAGAGAGGGAGGCAGAGAGGTCTGTATGTATGCTGCACAATTGTTCAAAGAACTAAACACTTAAAAATTATTGTACCCCAGATGCACAATCCCACAAACTCATGGGATAAATAAATACCTAAACCATTTAGTAAGCCTACACAACAGCCATGTATTTCTTAAAATTAAATAAAGCACCTTTTAAGTTTCCAGAGTAAAACACACTCATTTTTGGAACTCTAAAATTTATATATAATAGTGTATCATTTAATCATCACAAAACCCTAAGAGTTGGGTACTATCATATTCCCGTTTTATTTATGGGTACACTAAAGTCCAAAGAACGAAAAATTAGCCCTAAGTACAAAAGCCATAACTGGTAGCGTCATTGAGCCTGAATTGTTATCACATTGTTTATCATGTTGGTTAAGAGAGCAAACCAAAGATATTTTGTCAGTCTAAATTTCCCTTTTAACTTGGATTGTTATATTATCCATAGTGCCTTATATCTCCCCACTTAATCACTCTCTTCTCCATCCCCTTTCTTTAAACTCCAAGTTTGTAGATGACAAACTAGACGAATAACCTTTTCTCAATGCTGCTTCTTCCTAAGGTATTGATGATAAATCCCAATCACAGCAGTTGCCTGGTGGAGGACTGCAAAGAGAAATAATAGTCCTGAGCTCTCTTTCCTGAAATTAAGCCCGTTTTCTTTTTCTAAATTAACTTGGACATACAGAGAGGAAGGCATGGCCTTGGGCATTCCATAGTACATATTACCAGACACAGTAAGTATACCATCATGGTGAAATGAGCACCTAGGGAAGATAACTAGATGTATAAAGATTGCAAGGACTGTTAAAGAAAGACAAACTCAATAAACTGTCTGAACACTGGAATGGATGGATCAATAATGTAAAATAACTGTAATACTTTAGAAGATAAGGAAATATATTAGTAACATAAGAACAAGAAATCTGAAAAGTAAACTGGTGGAAATGATAAACATAATAACTGATCAAAGAAGATGATACACTTAAGAATAAATATGTGAATTAGAAGATGACATTAAAAATTCCAGAAGGCAGAAGAAAAATATAAAAAGAGGGAAGCTATAAAATCAAAGCTAAAATATATGAAAAACAGAAGTAGAAATGATATTCTGATGTCAGAAGTTTTGCTATAAAAAGACTCACATTGAAAACATTCTTGCTAGAAAAGCTCAAGTAAGATAAAAGAATGATGTCATCAGGATTCTTAGTATCCCAAACATAACAATAATCATGAACAGTGAAATCAAGGAATGTGGAATAGGTGGCCATGCTATGTGCCTCCCTAACACCTCATACAAAGCTCTGTCAAGTGACTTACCATTCTGTTTTGTTATAATCTGCTCATGTACATGTTTCCTCTGATAGTAATACTGCTTAGAAAAACAAGTGTGAAATTATTTTACTTTTGTATTCTAAATTTTCATAATCTATCACAAGTCCTGGCATACAATGGCCATTCTCTATATTCAGGCGAAATGGAACTGAGCTGATTTATACCTACCTCTTTCAATTCTATCATTCATTTACTTGATCTTTTGTGGTCTTCTGGTTTTCAGACCTCAGAACTTAGTTGACTTCAGATAGCTGTTTTACAATCTAGCTAGCTAGCTGTTTAACTGTCCTGCAATTGGTCCAGTGCTGCCCCATTCTCTGACCAGTCTGCCTGGTCTTCTGACCCGTTATATTGCCTGGTGGAGACAAATAGAAACATGGGATAGACAATTCTATTCTCCGTCCTGTTCTTAAGTGCCTATGCTGGCACTGATATTTAGAAAAGTGTTAAGTTTTAGGTGGGATAGAGAGAAGAATGAAAGGAATAATAGAATGAGAAACACTACCATACACACTGTACAAAGTATTGAGGGAAACGTGCTGTCAGACAGCCTTAGAAATAAAGCAGTCCCTTCCTTATGTAGTCTTGTCACCAAAATAGAATACACGTGCACACCTGAAGAAACTTTTTTGAGAGACAAATTAGATGAAAGTATAGCCTATTCTCTGATTTTCTTGCCTTGCCTATTTAAATGTTTAGTAGTTTCCCTTGCTGTTGATTAGGAGATAGATGTAGAATTATCTCTGCAGTTAACTTTGTGTTTGAAGTTCTCACATTACTACCATCTTTCTGAGCCAATTAAGCATACTTTTATCATGCCTCCTGATGAGGTTATTCAGTATGTGCTAAATGGTTTAATTAAAATCTGTCCTGTTTCCCTAATGCCCATTTGGAGGAATACCTTTCTCAAAATAGCAATTAAATATATAATAATCCATATAATCCATTACTTGGGAAGAAAAAAGAATCACTGAGTGTCTCTGAAAGATAAACAAGTAGGATTTCAATGATCTCATTTAAAATCTTACTTTACAAATATATAATGGCATTTCCTTCTTTATTTCTAATTGTATTAGTCAAACTTATCACACGGTCTTGGAAATTTTGATATCTCATAATGGAAATTATCTTGTGACTATTATTAGAGTGACAGGGAAATACATAGTTACAAATACAGTGATGTTGCCAATAGGAAGGATCTATGGTATGGTAGGGAGAGTGTAGGCTTTACAGCTGAGTCCTCACTAAGTCTACTATTACTTAGGCACTCTGCCAACCTCTTTATAAATGGTCTTGCAAATTGTTATGAAGTTTAGTATTATTCCCATTTTATCAATGATGGCAGTGAGTCCTTGAGAGGTTTCGTAATTTCCCCCAAATCACTGTGCTATTAAGTAGTGGGACAGAATTTGAACCCAGGCTTGCCTGACTCAAAATCTGTATGTTCCATAAATGTTCCCTTCCTTCCTTTGTGGCAGAAACTAATACAGAATGCAATACCTAATATGAATTCACAAACCAAGTTGATCTATTACATGTCACATATTCCAATATTTGTCAAAACTTTACCTTACTTCTTTTTTCTAAAATCTGAATTTAAATCTCTGCTCTTCCACTAACTAGTGATATGACCTTATGCTAGTAATACCCCTACTTTGGACCTCAGGTATGGTGGGATTTTCCTAACTTTACAGTGTAAGATGCCTTCTTTAGGAGACAATACAGCAGTCAGAACATGCCTATGGTTGCTTATAGAAATCAACACTATGTCTGAGGCCTAGAGCCTATATAGAAGAGGAAGTTGAAGTCAGTAAGCTAGACAATGGGCCCCAACCTAAGGGATAAAAGACATGAGCTATTATGATTGAGGTAAATTGCTGAGATATTCAATCCTTACATTGTTGTGCACTTAGCCAAATTCTTAGCTTTCATTCCTTAAACAGGCCCTGACACAAGGTGGTTTCACATACTTTACAGAGTTCAATACATCCCAGCTTCAGTTGGCCCTCTCTAATCATGCCTAATGTAGACTGGCAGAACAGCACTCATGAATCCTAAATAGCTAAACATTTCTGCTAGATCCATTATGTAGGGAACAGAAGACTTAATTCTCCAGTCCGGACTCTCATGCATTTTCTGCCAACAATAAATTCACTCTAAATGCAAAGAAAACATTAAATTTTAAACCTGTGAATATCTTTAAATGGTGAAGATACACACCAGAATTGAGTTGTCTTTGTACTTACTAAGTCTATTCAGTGATTGAAAATCATTTCAAAATGGTGTTCTAAATTCAATGACTCATTTACAATTGTTCTGGGAATCTCTACTTTTGGCTATTTCTTCTGTGGCTAATAAAGCAATTTTTGAATATAGTAGCCTAAAATTCTCTCCACATAGAAAGAAGATGCTTAGATTTGCTGGTTCAAATTATGCTGGACTTCTAGAAATGCATTTTTAACAGGCTTGGTTTACAAAGGGAATTGCTGTTAATCCCAGAGCACATTTGTTTTCCCAAAATAGCATCATTTAAATCAAGAATCAGGAGCATAATGAAAAACAGAGAGAAGTGGGATAGAAGATGCTGCTTAGGAATATGTCTTGAACAACATATGTTTGCTTATATAGGATATGTCTGATGTGGATTTAGAATCACTAAGGCAGAGATTGAATTTACAAAAGCCAGGGCATAAGGAAGGAAACATAACCAGGAATCTACTTGAAAAGGTTATTGGAACAAGTTCACTATATGTAACAGAAAAATGGAAAGGAAGACAGTATTTGAAGTGGCAGATAGGATTCAACCAGGCTCACATAGAATTCTCTCAGAAAACTAAATGAAAGGAACCTCTCAATGACAAAAACAGCTCCCTTCACTCAACTCTGCTTCTATGGGCATATCAAGGCAATAGAATCTCTCACACCAAACTCCCACTTGCTTTTCATCTTTGTTTTAGTTTTCTGACATTTTCAACAGTAGCCCATGTGCTCCAGCCCTGTACTATGGTCTGCTTCAGGGTAACACAGCCATGTTGGAGCATGAGTAGTAATTAGAATTGTTCAATTGTTCACTCTTTTTTTTTTTTTTTTTTTTTTTTTGAGATGGTGTCTCGCTCTGTCGCCAGGCTGGAGTGCAGTGGTGTGATCTCAGCTCACTGCAACCTCCGCCTCCTGGGTTCAAACGATTATCTTGCCTTAGCCTCCAGAGTAGCTGGGACTATAGGCACCCACCACCACGCATGGCTAATTTTTTTTTTTTTTTTTTTTTTTTTTTTTTAGTAGAGATGGAGTTTCACCATGTTGGCCAGGATGGTCTTGATCACTTGACCTTGTGATCCGTCCACCTCAGCCTCCCAAAGTGCTGGGGTTACAGAGGTGAGCCACCACGCCCAGCCTGTTCACTCTTTTTTAAAGCACTAACAAGTCTCCTTAAAAGTTACTGAAAACGCTTTCTTTATTCCCAACCACCAGTCTTTCTGAACAACTGTATTGCTGGGTGCAATTAGAAATCAGATAATCATCCTGAAAAAGGATTGCACTTATTCCATATTTTAACATTTCTCCCCCATTCTAAATTGTTAATTATGAATTTCAAGCATTAAAAGAAAAAGCCTTGCAGCCTGTACAGAAACTCTTAAAGAGATTGTTTTCAGAAAAGTGCCAAAAGTACCTCATCTTCTCCCATAAAAGCCAGAGAAGATGATGACAGTCCAGCTGCTTGGTAAGGATTGCTCACCCTTTATGGGCTCCCAGAAGCTTCTATGCAACATAAAGAAATTCATATTTTTATTGCCTCATATTCTCTCAGCATGAAGAAGAATTTACATTTCTTAATTGGATTTCTTTCTCTCAGCACAAGAAATTGCAACAATCTCACTAGACTCCATTGCTTAACAGCCCCAAGAAGCAGTTGTATAACTTATTTATAAGGCAGGGTGTAGGGCAAAGTTTTTCAGTAAAGTTCAAGGACTACTTACATCAAGATTCCTTAAAATGCATTGTAAAAATCCAGAGTCTTAGCCTATGCTCCAGAGCTACTGAAGTAGACTCTCTAAATTTGAGACTCTGAAATCTGTGTTTAGAAAAGCTCTATATGATCTTTATTTAGTCATAAATTTGATAATTACCAATTTAACAGAAATGACAGATTTTGGAACACATCTGGGAAAGTCTCTATTTAACTGTTTCCCCTACCTCCACGCCCCACTGGGGCTGATCGGTATGAAATGGTAACGTACACCTGTGCTATTTAAGTTGTAAGGGTACTACTATTTGAAAGGACACAGAATTTATGTAGTTAAAAGAATCCTCAACTTTTTAATCCATGAAGGAAACTCGGAGAGTCTTCTAAGCTTATTTTTCTATGTTACAGACAGAGTATTTTCACTACAACTTAAAATTCTGGAGGCAAACTCTTATGCCTTAAAATATACTCTAAAATGAAACCTGCCCCATTTCAAAGTGCCTGTGAAGATGGGCATTGTTGTTCAGGGTCTATAATCATGTATCTGTGTCATGGTTCTGGGATGTAGTAATAGAGCCAGAGCTTAGTTGTTGATTTGGAAGTTCAGGTTAGCACTTTTGTTTATGAAAGCACAACTATGGGAGATTGCGAAAAGCATGGTGGGCCAATCTTACTGTAATTCTTGCTCTATAAGCTGTTTAGGTTCTTGTATTTGTACGAAATAATTGTATAGTTATTAAAAGTATTAAATTGCTAAGCTGGAAACTCCTAGCTCCTCCCCGTTGATAACTACCTCATCTACTACAGAGAACTGAGCTGATTGAGAAGCAAAAAAAAAAAAAGAAAAGAAAAAAAAAAAAGAAAAGAAAATGAGAAAATGTGTGTGTCTCTCAGTTAATTCTAATCCTAAGTGTAGAGTATATAGTCTCCATTTGCCGTATGAAAAAACAGAGAGGTTTTAGAAAGGAAATACTTTTTCCATAGTTATATGTGACCAAGATAAAATTTGAGCTAAATTCTAAACTGACTAGCTCTAAAGGCTGTGCTTTCTCCAAAGGAACAGAAGAAAAACAAATGCCAGAAAAGAAGGGAAAGACGCAGAGGAGCAGATATAAGAGAGGGAACAAACAACCAAATAAGTTTCCATGGTAGGCTTTATTGAAATTAGGAAATTTCTAAGAGAAATTATTGTGGTGACCCCCAAAGCACAGAATAGGGGCTACAGTACATGAGGCAATGTAGTTTGTCTGTAAAATGTGTTGTGATCATGTCTGTAAGAATCTGCTATTTCCTAAGAAAGAGTACAGCTCTGGTATTTCATTCTGGCATTAACCCCACAGAGCTACAGTGACTTATCAGCATGCCTTTATCCATTAGTATAACAGAGAGAACAAAAATATCCGCTAGCCATTCATTTCTGCAAACAGAGCTCAAGTGTTTTGCAACAAAGTTATTTTCCTATGCTTATGCCAACTAGAGACGTTTTGACTCCTATCACAACACTGTCACTAAATCTTTTCAGTTAACCATTTCTTCTTTCTCTTGGATAAAAATAAGTTACAGTGCCTAAAAAGTAGAATTATCCTTTGAAATGTAAGTCTCCAAATAGTTTGAATCTTTATACATAGAAATTTTCATTATGAAATGTAAAGGATTCTGAAATTAGCCATCAGAGCCTATGATTGTTTTCCCCATTTTAAAGTTCAGAAATTCATGTGACTGTTCCATATTTTATTAAAATTTTAGCTGCTTAAATCTTTTTTCTTTAGGTTTTGAGAGGCAGGTGCAATGGAGCGGGCGTGCAGGAGGTTGTATAATAATTGCAACCAAAAGAAAAAAGATGCGTGAGTTAGACTCATTGGTAGCTGAAAAACATTAACAGCCAGAAAGTTTCCTTCTCAAGCTTTAAATAAATATTTTATGAAATGTCAATAAAATTTTTCTAAAGATTAGATCTTGCCTCCTAAGAACCTTCTTGGTGTCTATGAGTGGAGTATTTATATTGACAACTCTCAAACTATAATGAAATGTATGTCACCAGTAGCAGCCAACTTAGAATTGGGCACTCCAAAAATAACCTGATTTAGTGAAATAACAGTTATGGTCAGGCCCATGGGCAGGGTGAGTATGAAAGCCACTGCTTTGGGACAAAATGATTATATAATGGGCTGTTTCGGAGCTACCTTAAAAGGAAACATATCCTTCTATTGCAATGGGATATTTCTGAGTTCTCTGCACCCCTAAAGCTCTTCTTGTTGCATTATTAGCTATGTGAGGAAATCATAAAGGGGATAAATAAGGGAGTTGGTGGGGGACAGGAATCTATTACCTCATACTCCAAAAACACTAATGGCTCACTTACATTGGTTATATATGAAATTTGAACAACATAACATCTTTTAAAAAGTAGTTCCCCTAGGTGGAGGGAGATGGGTGAACAAATAGGATCAATGTGGAAAACTTTTTGTCTACAGCACTATTGAATTAACACTTTCCCAACATTCTAGACACCTCACATCAAATAGTGGAGTTTCTATCCATTTGACTCATACATTACTAAGTAGCAATAGCTTTCTTAAAATGTCCATTTGTTCGAGTCAGTCTTTTCCTTAGAAATCTAAAAGAATTTTCATATAACTCTCTTAAAATTAGTATTATTTTCTCTCTATCATATACACACACACTCAATATTTTACTATACCCAGCACTTTGGGAGGCCGAGGCGGGCGGATCACGAGGTCAGGAGATCCAGACCATCCTGGCTAACACGGTGAGACCCCGTCTCTACTAACAACAATACAAAAAATTAGCCAGGTGTGGTGGCGGGCGCCTGTAGTCCCAGCTACTCGGGAAGCTGAGGCAGGAGAATGGCGTGAACCTGGGAGGCTGAGCTTGTAGTGAGCCGAGATAGGGCCACTGCACTCCAGCATGGGCGACAGAGCAAGACTCTGTCATAAATAAATAAATAAATAAATAAATAAATAAATAAATAAATAAATTTTACTATAAAAGAAGACATTCCTGTGTGTGTATGCTAACATCAACTGATACTATTATTTGCACTTTGTCCACTTGAAATACTTTCGTATTATCACCAAACTCACTTTCAAATCCCTTTGTAAAGTACTGAAGAGAAAATTTAGAAAAGGGTATGAGAAAGCAATTCACATAAGAAAATAAACAGGTAATATAACGGAAGTAGTATCTATATTTGTGAGTCACAAAAATGAACTAGAAATCACAGTGAGATATCATTATTCACTTTACACAAATGAGAAGATAGAAATAAAAGCATCGGCTGGGCGCGGTGGCTCACGCCTGTAATCCCAGCACTTTGGGAGGCCGAGGCGGGTGGATCACAAGGTCAGGAGATCAAGATCATCCTGGCTAACACAGTGAAGCCCCGTCTCTACTAAAAATACAAAAATTAGCCGGGCGTGGTGGCGGGTGCCTGTAGTCCCAGCTACTCGGGAGGCTGAGGCAGGAGAATGGCGCTAACCCGGGAGGCGGAGCTTGCAGTGAGCCAAGATGGCACCACTGCACTCCAGCCTGGGCTACAGAGTGAGACTCCGTCTCAAAAAAAAAAAAAAAAAAAGAAAAGAAAAGAAAAGAAGTAAAAGCATCAATTTCACCACAAAAAATTAATTTGGAGGATAAAGTATAATATGAGAACCCACTGGCATGATAATAATCCAGGAATTATACAGACTTCCCCCTGTTAAAAGCAATGCTAAGCTAGATCATGTGTACCAATTTACAAAGGTAAAATCTTGCTCTCTGAGGGCAGCTGTCTTCTAAGACAAAAAGGGTGGAACTATTCGGAGCATGTCTAATTGATTTTTTCCAAATTTATTAATCAGAGTGAATCACTCCATCTTCTCTGGTAGATAGTGAATAGAAGAGCAGAGAGAGGCAAGGAGTGTAGCACACGGAAGACCACATTCACCTGGAAAGAAATATCAGGACTGAGGACAAGAATTCCTCTCCACACCTTCTCCCCACCCCATCACCCTGCCAAATTCCAGTACAAAATAGTTTCACTAGCTGGTCTATCATAGCTTTGGAAAATCCAATAGTAGAGATTCAGTTATTTGAATAGAGTTTCTTTTTTAATAACAAATGACCCCAGGAGGCAAAATACCGATAAATCCTATAACCTTTAGTATGTTATCAGAAACGAAAGTAGCCTTGAGAAAAGGAGAGATCAGACTGGAAAAAGGAAAACGGACTCAGAAACTTAGTTATCTCAGCTATGAAAATTAGGTAGTTGAACTCCTTGAAATACAGGGCTCCATCCAATACTATGTACCAATTGTGGGATAACTAGAAGTAAATACAGAGTTAAAACTGTAGTCTCAGTTGTTGTCGGTAATAACAGCAGAGATTGCAACCTAAAGGGAATGTGCAGCACGATCAGATGCACACAATCTATTTTCCACTTCTCTAGTGTGTCTCAGCTTGTTAAGGTTAAATACAGAATTTTTTTTCTATTTTGCTTTATCTGTCAGTATAAGATAATTAAAAAGAAGTGAACTTCCTTCATCCATTTATCTTGGATGGCATGCACACTTTATTCTGTTATCACCAAAAACATAAAACCTAGAGAAAATGCAAATTAAAATTTTTATAAATGTACATACCACATAGTTTTATAGACATCTATGTTCCACTCTTAAGCCAGGGTCAAAGTAGAATTCTCTTTGGTCTCTCTTCCCTTAGAGGAACAGAAAATAAAAGACCGAGAAAACAGACTGTGATGGAGGATTCATTATAAGCCAAAACCTGAATCACCATAATTACACACAGTTCATAAGTGCAAATCGTACCCATCTCTTGGCAGATTAAAAAGCCAAGTGATGAGTAATATTGCTGAGCTAAACATGCCTGTTTCATAAGCCACTCAAATCAACACTCCTGTTATCCCTTGACACACAGGCAAAAATTCTATCTGTAAGCCTAATAAAATCTCATTTGTTTTACCTGAAGGTCCTATGAACCACCTGGTGCCTCTCTTTGCACTTGTTTTTCTCTATTAACTTATGCTTTGTAGAAATTAAGGCTTTAATCTGATAATTCTTTCCACTAGCTTTTAATTATTAGGTTAATGTGTGAATTTGAAGCAAGCAGTCCAATATGAAACTATTAAGAAAAAAGTTGAAAATGCTGAATGATATTAGAAATTCTAGACGGTAAAATTTAGACAATAATTAGTCTTCTGATTTTTCCTAATGACAGTTTGTAGGAAATACAGGTTGAGCATCTCTAATCCAAAAGTTCAAAACTGGAAATGCTCCAAAATCTAAACTTTTTGATTGCTGACATGATGCCACAAGTGGAAAATTCCACACTTGATTTCATATGACAAATCTCAGTCAAAACACAGACAGAACTTTGTTTCAGGTACAAAGTTACGTAAAATATTATATAAAATTATCTTCAGTTTTGTGTATACAGTGTATATTAAACATAAATGAATTTTGTGTTTAGACTTGTGTCCCATCCTTAAGATGTCTCATTATGCATATGCAAATAAATATTCCCAAATCTGAAAAAAAAAAAATCTGAAATCTGAAACACTTTTGGTTCCAAGCATTTTGCATATGCGATAGTCAATCTATACTGTACAATGCTAGGTTATATTCACAAAAGAGTTGTTCACAACAGTCTCAACTTTTGATTAGAAAGTTGTTATTGCGGTAGCTAAATCTATAAACTTTTTAGCACATCAATATGGTAACTGCTACACATAAATATAAAATTTATTTTTAGCTTTAAGTTTAATGACTTCTCTTTAAAAAAAAAGCTAATAGTCAAATACAATGTATGTTTTCAAATTTAAAATATTTTTGCTTAAGAGTAAGATTTAAGCTTAGTGACGAGAAAAAACCTGAGACGTTTCTTGAGATATAAATATTGTAGCCTTTAATTATTAAGTGTTTTCAGAAGCAAAAATTAGCAGCCAACTATTTGCTAATAAAGAATTAAGTAACTTGTACTTTAAATACCTTATTGGTAAACTTACATCCTTTTTCTTGAAGAAATCAACCATACTAAGAAAAAAACTCACAGAAAGTTTTGTAAGTCAAGTAAAGGTTTGGTCTTAACACAGGCTCAGTTATGATGCCTCCACTGAAATTTGTTCAAGTGTGGCAGAATATGACAAAAATATTCCCAGTTTCTGTCGATGTATGAGCAGAGAAAGAAAAATGTCTATTGTTTGTCAAGTCACTAAAATTTCATGCTCCCTATTTTGTTCTTTTTATTTTTTCATTCTATGTTGCTCTGTCTCATCTGAGATTAGTGCCCTTATAAAAAGAGATATGAGAGGGCTTGCTTCTTTTGGCTTTCCTCCATGTGGGAATATAAGGGAAAAGCAGCCATCTGCAAACCAGGAAGCCAGCCTTCACCAGACACTAGATCTACTGACACCTTCATCTTGGACTTCCCAGCCTCCAGAACTGTGTGGTCACATAAGCTACCCAATGTATGGTGTATCTGTTTTAGCTGCTCAATCTAACACACATGGAGGAAAGCGGACAGGACACAAGCCCTCTCATATCTCTTTTTATAAGGGCATGAATCTCATTCCTAGGGTTCCACCCTCATGTCCTAATTACCTCCCAAAGGCTCCACCTATAAATACCATCATTTTAATGATTAAACTTCAACATACTAACTTGATTTGGGGGTAAGGGTATGCAGATATTCAATCCATAGCATCCTGCGACCTCCTCTTCTCTAACCCTCCACCAACCCTTGACAATCATGAGGAAACTGACACAAACTATATAACTATATGCTTATATTTTTTCTATCCCCATCTATTGCTGGATCATTTTCTATTACATCTTTGCCTTATTACATTCCAGAATATGAGTTTATCCACAGAGAGCTCATTGCTTCCTGAGACTGTTCAATTATGATTTAGACAACACTAATTACATTTCTTTTTAAAAATATTTTTTTCTGGTGTTGAACCAAAATCTTCATCCCTTAATTTTCCTCCATGGGTTCTAGTTCTGCCACCTGTTTTCTACATAGCAACTCTTTCAAAATATTAAACTTCAGATTTCACATGCTTCTGAGTTATTTGACTTTTCTCCATAACAAGTATCAACAGTTGTTTATGCCATTTCTCATATAAAGCACTCCTTGTAACTGAGGAACACTGTGGCTTCTACCCAAGGAGGAGAAACTATGCATATTTGAGTGGTGAAGAAACTGAAACTGAGTGTGAGAAATCCAGTTGATATAATAATCCTGAAAAAACATTAATGTTAAAAGCATGCATTCAAAGAAGATATTCTTAGGCAATTTTCTTTGAAGTCCATGTAGATTTCCTGCTTTTTTGAAAGTATTTAAAATCAGAGAATGTAATGAAAACACCTGGTTTCAAATGCCAGCTCCACAACAGCATAGGTTTGTGATGTTAGGCCAGCTTCTCTACTTCTCTGAGTATCATTATCTAAAAGTAGGGGAAAAGAGTCATTAATTTGAAGTTAAATGAGATAATATTAATACATTTAAAGTGCTTTAGTCAGTGGCGAGCTCATAATAATTCACTACATATTAGTTATGTTTTTATATTCACTGGAAAACAATCAATAGTTTTCTGTAAAGTTGATGGATTGCAAAATGGGGAGGAGGGAATCTACAGATTTCATCCTTTTAACTGGGAAAGATATTTAATACTGAGAATGGTAATAAATAGGTTCCCAAATTTTAAAATTAGATTTTTTTGCTAATACCTGAAGATAATTACCATTTATTAGCATCTTTTGGAAAGCCTGGAAAAGGAGCAGTTTGACAAATGAATTTAAATGACTTATTTGGAATTCTAATTTCTGATTATTATAAAGATGGTTTTGAGGTAGTAGCTGCCAAAGATGGGACCACAAGTTAGTAGTGGTAAAACTAATACTATTTTCCTGAAACAAAATTGTAAAATACATTATCAGAGAATAAAGCAGTAAAAGCTGATGGTTGAAATGTGAAAATCTAAACTTCTGATTACTGAAATAGCCAGTAGCATCCAAGTTTAAATTACCACTGAGTATATTTTAAAGTGCATTTATATTTATTTATATATCTATATAATATGTAAAGTATTATATTTAAGGTATATTTACATATAATATATAAAATTTATATTTACATGTAAAAACAAATTTGTGAGTTTATATATATAAATAAAAAGTAAAAATGGAATAATTGAGTATTAGAATATTTCATATTTACTTTATGCATATAGCAAGTTATAAACACCCTGTGTTTTTAATTTATCCACTTCTATTAGATTTTTAGAGAGTTCATGTGTCTGTGAAGAATTTTACTCCCAATGCACTGGTTTAATAATTGCATGGATAAATCCTAAATGAACTGATAACCACATATTTGTTGTGCAATTACTATATACTATGTGCTGTCCAATGGACATTATATAAATCATCTCATTTAACCATCTCAACCACCATGAGATATAATTAAAATTGCCTGTTTTAACAAATGAGGATCAAAAGAGAAACCACAACTCTCTGAGAATGAATAATTTACCCAAGACTTGGAGCCGAAAGGGTCAAATTTGAATTCAGGTCTGTCTGAGTCTGAAACCTATGCCTTATCATAGGTTTGGTATGGGTATTTTAATGAGAAGGAAGTAAAACCATGAATATTTGCATGACCTAGAAAATTATTATCTGGTTCAGGTCCCACTTTTTCATGATGTAACAATGTATGACTTTCAATTTTGTTGGGAACATTTTGAAACTCTTGTGATATTTCAAAGTTTTACCATATAAAATATTGACAAGAATGCATTCTATAGGTGCTTTCCAAAGAGTTCAAAGCATCTTGCTAGAGCCTCCTTATCTGTGTTTATATGCGTTTTGTGTGTTCTAAGAAAAAGTGCTTTCTCTACAATGCAAAATACATAAGATCCATAAAATGACTTTATTAAGGAGAAAAGGAGACAATACCGTGCCTGATACCGTCCTGGTTCCCCTGCTTCACTACAAACTTTATTTTATTTTTACCAGATGGTGCTGTATTTTCTTTTTCTTTATAAAAGAGGCTACTTGAAGAATTATATTTCAGACCGTGCACTCTACTCTGTTAAATGGATAGTCACTGTTATGTCAAAAACAGACAAAAAGTTAATTTGGGTTTCCTAGGCTGTAGAGAATTTTAGGAGTCTCTCTCACAAATAGGGTCTCTTTTTTCATGTTATACTCTACTTCTGTTTGAAACTCTGATTACAGTAATATTAGATATCATTTTTAAATCTTGTTTTAAAAGTCTAAAGTTGCTAAAACTGAAATCATGTACTGTTCAACGTATCATGTGATCCCACGAGGGTGGCTATTTGGAAGGTAAGTGTTTTAATTTACATGGCATATTTTCAGGCTACATAATCACCCTAATATGGTAGTCTGATTAGAAATATTTGGAGTGTATGCTTTCTGGTTACCAGATGATCATTAGAAACTACATGACTCTTTTTTCTTAATATGTTGACTTTAGAGAAGCCATTTCTTTTACATCTGAAAAACATCTTTCCTTCTATTTTAACTTAATTCATCTAAGGTTTACCCATACAATTATTATATACATGCAATAATTTCATGGATAAATCCTTGATAAACTAGTAATGAAACATTTTCTGTAGACTTGTAGGGTGCCAGTTAACTTAGAATATGTGTTACATAAATCATTCCATTTAATCTTTTCAACAACTTTAAGGTATAACTAATATTGCCCCATTTCACAAATGAGGAATGAATGAGAAACAACGATTGAGACTATGTGGATTACAATTTTCTCAGTCTAATAATAAATTATCAATAACATTGTATTTAAAACTAAAAACACATAATAGTTTATTTAAAAAAGAGAGAGAGAGATGGTTTAAAATAGTACATAATGTAGATTCCATGAATTGAATTAATTAATTCAACCTATGCTTTTTGAGCAAGCACTCCAAGTCCTTTTGTGGCATACCAGTCACCCTGAAGCTGAGATTATAATTTGTTTACACTTAACATTTATAGGACCTAGCATCCTTATCTCAGTTTTCTTGTCTGATCTATAGCTTCTCATTTGGGAAGTTCTCTGTTGCTGTTTACCTCCTTAGAGTGTTTACTCCTGTTTTTGCATTTCACACCTCCAGATTCTCCTGTAAATCCTCTAAGATGTGTCTGGTTTCCTGTCTCAATCAAACAGCCAAGTAGTCAGCACCAAAAAGTCCTTGGTGCAGAAACTGTGAACAAGAAAAGGAAACTGAGTTATAGATCAAACTATTTGTGATCTGATCCATGCATCCTGCCATGAGTGGAAACTTGTGCCATTTTCATTTGCTCAGGATTGCTGTGTAAAATTCAGACACTTCTAAAGGAAGTAGAAAAAAATAAACTAAAACTCTGCCATGTTCCACCTCAACTCAACTGCTGATTAATGTAGTTATCCCTGTGAATTGCATGCACACTGATTATGTTTCCTATATAGCAGGGGGTGGAAGATCTACTAGATTAGAAGATGGCCATGTGCATTGGGACAAGCATGTAAATAACTGTCTGATCACTGGTCCATAATGTGAACATGGTGTTCCCTTTTCTCATCTTAAATTCCTTGAAATTATGCATTACACTCCTGCCTTCTGCTTCATCCCAGTGTGAAATAACCTAACTGGAAAAGAGAATCTAGTAATAATCAAGTGCTTGGAGGTCAGCGGCTTAGCGGTGAAGATGATGTGAAATCACTTGATAGTGTCTGAGTTCCTGAGCTGTGAAGTTAATTTTTTAATACCATTTCTAATTAAATGGGAGCAGAGTTCTTCCTTTACAGACTCTGTTAGATCTGAAAACGACAGTGAAGCTTTCTATCCAACCAAATAAATATTTAAAAGGCACTTACTATGTGTGATTTGGTTTGAATACCAAAAATAGCTAATATTTATTTCAGATAGTATCTTCCAGGTACCATATTAGAAACTTTACATGCATTATCACAGATAAGGAAACTAAGCTTTACAGAGGTTGAGTAACATGTCCAAGTAACATAGCTGGCAAGTGGCAGAACCAAAATTTGAACATAGAACTGTTTCTTTTCAAGACATGCTCCTTAACTGCTACTCTAATACTGTTTTCCTGAAAACTAACTACCTCTAACGTTGTGCTATCTGCCTACAAGCTCATTTTCAATGAAAGAGATGGATAGGTACAGAAATAGAAGCAAGCAATCCATTAATGAAGACAGCAAATTATAGATGCAAACAAACTTTAAGACAAAATAAGCAAAGTAAAATCCAAAAGAGATGAAGGAAAGGATAATTGCAAATGATAAAGTTATATTCATTCTGCATTACAAGGAGCCAGAAAAAGTTGTTCCACATACTCATAGTTTCCTTTGTCTTTTTAAGCTATTATTTTCCTCATCTTGCAAGAACTCCTATCTGTTATAGACATGCCAATTATCTCTCCGTATTTGGTTTTCTTCACCAGAAAAAGATACTTGGATGTTTTAGTTTGACACACGACTATCTGGAATAGAGGCTCAATTTCAATGTGAATCAATTCTGGCTTATAGAATGTAAAAAGAAATATGTGCACAATTTATACAAAGTTATCTTAGTGGGAGGATTATTGTGTGTGCCTTCTCTCTTCTCTTTCCTAATAGGTAGAAAGTGAAGCTAGACCAGTATCTTGGGCCATGAAGTGAAAGTGGTGGCTACATAAGGAAGAGCAATAAAATCTATGAAGCCTGACAGAATGGGTTGCCCCACTTTCCCTAAAATGCTTACCTCAAAATTTTTAATTGACAATGAAATAAACTCAATATTGTTGATTTTTATGATAACAATAATCAAAATCTTATAATTTAGGCTTTCTGATTCTCACCCTGCATCAAATTCTAATCAATTTACCCTCCTTTTGGGGGGCTTATGAAATCAGTATTGATTATCGTTCTCAATGCCATCATCTGTTAACTTCTTTATTAGTTCTTCATATTTATTAAAGACATGGATGGAATCTGGTCCTCGTAATTTCTCTCCACCCTAACTCCCATCATCATGATGAATAACTTCAATGTTCCTAGAACTGATCTTATTGGTTTAAGTTTTCTAAATACTGTATATATGCCATGTCTTCTACCAAAAAAAATGTGTCATCTCTTTTGTCTTAAACAGTAAGTCATGGAGCTTTATATGATGATGAATATCAGATGATTTTGTAAAATTAATGATATTAGGTAAACTAAATTATACTGAATACTGTGACAATGTACCCAGTAACATGGAGGAGCTGGTTGGCCTATGACCCCCACTTTTTATAGGTAATTTCTGAGACCCTACCTTTTCCCTTTTACCCTTTAACCTTTATTTTTAATGTCTTTGTTTGTTCATTTGTTTGTTAGTTAACGTACTTTCTTGTTTCATCCTAAACGGAGTTTTCTATAGCAAATTCTAAAATATATTAGTGCCTCATAGACTAGGAGAAATTCAGTACTTCACTGATACAAAGGTCCCTGTAGCAACTCATAGGCTTTTTTTTTCTATTTGTACCTATGAATACAAAATTTATAGGCTTACTGATCAAATTTCTAACTCTGCTTTATTCATGGGACAATGCAATATAAGTGCTCAGTAGACAATCTATGTGCTCACAATGGTGTCTAACTGATATTTCTTAGGCATAAGGGCTTGGATCCCAGGGGTCACTTACCAAGTGGATCCACATAAATATAAAAACATTCACATTACCTAGGTTATTATTAGTGTTCCATTTTGAAATAAGAAATCTGTGTTAATTTATTTGAGAACCTGCCATCCATTAAACATTTATTCAGCCACATTCCCTAAAGAATATTTTTTTTTTTTAGTAACCGGGAAATATAAATGGCATTTGTATCAAATGTAATCATAGAATCTCTGTCAGTTGGGCATCAGCATTTAAACTTTAAAAAATGTAGTTGACTGATGTTGGGAGTGACACATTTCTCAGGTCCTTTTATTCTTTCACATTCTTCTGTCTAGTGGATTTACTTTGGTCTATTCTTTTTTTGCTGTAGCAATGCAATTTTCAAGGTCTTGAATTTCATTTTTATGCACAGTGATTGCTATTCTTAGTCCCAAAGTATACTTCAGTGAGATATTTGATTTTGGTGATCCTTTTGTTGTTGAATCCAATATGTGTGATTATATTTTATTGTTTGGATTTTTAAAATTTTTATGGTAGAAAAAATTATAGCAGCACATATTGAACATTAAATAAGAGAGCAAAAGAATGTCATTTACGGTATAGCCATTGCCTTGCTCTACTTTTTTTTTTTTTTTTAAACAGAGTCTTGCTCTGTTGTGCAGACTGGAGTACAGTGGCAGAATATTGGCTCACTGCAACCTCTGCCTCGTGGGTTCAAGCGATTCTCCTGCCTCAGCCTCCCAAGTAGCTAGGATTATGGACGCACACCACCATGCTCAACTAATTTTTGTATTTTTAGTAGAGATGTGGTTTCACCATGTTGGCCAGGCTGGTCTCAAACTCCTGGCCTCAACTGATCTGCCCACTTTGGCCTCCCAAAGTGATAGGAATAAAGGAGTGAGCCACCGCGCCAACCCTGTACTTTGAAAGCTTGTATTTAAGTTATGAGAATCTAGCTTTGTTTTTCTTAGTTTGAGGTGCCATTGAAAATTCCTTTGGTGGTGCCCACCAAGCTCACAATGACCCCCTTTTCTGAGAGTTGTGTCTTTGTATGTGATTGTGCTTACTGTTTTTTGAGTCGGGGGAGCAAACTGGAACCAAATTGAGCCAAAGCTATTCTTTCTTAGAAATTTGGAATTGCAATTGAGGAAAAAAATATGGCAGTCTTGGCTCTTGGCTGGACTCATAAATGGGAGAGAAACTTGACAAATTGGGATGGTTGTATGCACACAAAAAATAAATAGAGAAAGAAAATTTGAAGAAATAAGCTAACGTGCAGTGAGAAATAGAGACAAAGGGTAGAAGCAGCAAAGCCTCCAGGATTCCTGTTGGTTTGCTTGTCTTTGAATTCTGCAAGATTCCCAGGACCCCTTCTCTCTCTCTCTCTAGCTCTCTCTCTCTCTGTCTGACTCTTTTGGGGGATACAGGTGGAGGGTAGGTGGGAAGGAGACTTAAGTCAGTACAAAGTGTTTTTCTTCTATTTTTAACACATGCGGAATAGAAAGCCAAATTATTCCTAGCACTCAAGCCCCAATCAAATGATGATATCAGAAAAGTAATAACTCTATGAAGAAAAACATTCAGCTGTTACCAAATCCCTGGCCACTCCAGCCCAGTCCATGGAGTCTGCTATAATATTTAGAAAGAGATTAAGAGTGCCTTGTTGAAGGATTGTGTGAAAAGAAGAATTATCAGAAAAATCATCTCACTTAAATATTCACAATAGATTCCACTAGTCACACTATTTCACCATGACAGAAACAAAAAGCCCACATTTCTAAGATGAATATATATCGACTCAAACACACACACATGCACACACACGCACACACAGGGAATCCACTATGTCTGTATATGTATACATGTAGTCTGCACACTGTGCATATTTATGTATGTGTATAACATAGTCATCTTATAATAGGTATATATGTACATATTCTTAGAATATACGTATTAATGCAATTCTATAATGATATTTATAACAAACATGACCATAGGGAGGGTCTAGTTTACCCAGCACCATATCTATTTATACAACTCTGTGACATAATTTCAAATAGTACCCCATTAACTCACAAAAGTATTTATATTGGATGATAAATGTTATAATCACTCATGTTCATATTTTTTTAAGTTTTAAAAAACGTAATATAGCTAGGAGTAAATTGTTACACTGCACATTAAAAACAAAAATAAAGCAATTAGTAATTTAAATTTGTAATACTTCTATGAAGTATGAATTTTATGACCCAAAAGTTTTAAGAACTGGAGTCTCTCATACCTTATATTTTCCAAGGTACATCACAGTCTGTCCATGAGGTCTCATAAGGACTTGTAAAATATAATAAGTTAATATATAAGGATATTCATCTTATAGATACACAAGTTATAGGTTACTAGGTATAAGTCCTGTGGCATTAGACTAAGACTGATCCAGCAAGAGGTGATGTACTAGGTGACCATATTATAGAAAAAATGGCTGTGGTTTTACAAAATGTGTGGGTTTAAATGATTCAAATTCCAAAAAGAAATTTTTTCATAGAATTTCGAAGTTAAAGATTGTGCACTCAGAGTTGCCAAGTTTTGATTTTATCAATAAAGGATTTTACAAAAATAAACCACTTCCTTTATTAGCTTATTATAGCAGGATAGGTATTTTCAACTCCAAACAGTAGAAAGATATTTATTTCAGCAACAGTACCTTGATATACAAAGAATAATAATAATAGAAGTTTTTTCTTCAAATTTTAAATCTAGAAAAATAACAATATGACAATTTGATATAACATGATATGATACATAATTTGTCTTTACATAAACTTGCCTGAATACATTCAGCAGCAATATAAAGTAGCACTTAAATACCAGATTTGCTCAGGTACTTTATTACATCATCAAATATTGAGGGTTTTTTTGGTTTTGTTTTGTTTTGTTTTGAGAGGGAATCTCACTTTGTCACCCAGGCTGGAGTGCAGTCACGCGATCTTGGCTCACTGCAACCTCTCCCTCCTGATTTCAAGCGAGTCTCCTGCCTCAGCCTCCTGAGTAGCTGGGACTATAGGCGTGCGCTACCACACCTGGCTAATTTTTGTATTTTTAGTATAGACAGCATTTCACCATGTTGGTCAGGCTGGTCTTGAATTCTTGACCTCAAGTGGTCCGCCCACCTCGGTCTCCCAAAGTGCTGGGATTACAGGCATGAGCCATCATGCCTGGACATCAAATATTGAGTTTTGAAGTGGTAGGTGTATTGACGAAGCATTAAGCAAACGTCCCCTCTATTTACATTAATTTAGGAAAGTATGGTGAATTGAGGGAAGAATGGAACCTTTAGCCTTCAGCATTCTAATCATTTCTCTTATCTCCTGATAGATTTAGGGATGGGGTTGCTTAGAGTATTTGATTGCTTTGGTAAATATAGTGCTCTTCACATTTACGGCGGTATTAACAAGAAGTATGTGGTTCACCATGCATTATTTTTTTTACTGCCACAACAGTTGGCAATGTTCCAAATGGTGGAATCTCCATTAACCACGGTCTCCATATCAGGAGACATGAAAGAGTGCTCCCAGTTGAAGTAAAATGGTATTTATTGTAAACAAGAAATAAATTTATATTATTGTAAGCCATTTATGGTTGTTTATTACCAAATAATATCTATACTGTATGATAAGTTTGCCCATGTGGAGATAGAAATATACCTGAAATGAAAGCAGTCAAATGGTCACAGGGATCAACTTATTAAATACACTCTGTAATGGCAGAAACAAATAGTAAGAAATAATCAGATTTTTTTGGTAAAATAGATGATGCTGGATAATATGTGACAACTGAGTTCCAAAAACACGATAGCAAAAGACCAAATTCTTGGTGATTATAAAACCATGTATTCTAAAGAGTATAACAAGTATTTGCTTCCTCTCTAGTGATTAGATTTCTCAGTAGCTGAAAATCACTGAACTTGAAGACGGAGTGGTTGGAGGATAATTTACTTTTAGATTGTAAGCAACCACTAACTAGAAAACTAGGATTGGCAAGTATTCAATATGTTTTCATATTGGCTTTGTTGAGGCATATTTAGCATAGGATAAAATTAATCAATTTTAACTGTACAATGTAACGTATTTTGACAAATGATGTCAAAAGAAGTGATGCATATCACCCAAATTAATCAGTATTTTCTATTTAAATGTATTAATTAAAATTAAAATGTAAAATAGATTTAATCGACCACATGAGCCACATTTTAAATGTTCAATAACTACAGATGGCTAGTGGCTACTGCATTTGGACAGTGAAAATTTGTAAAACAATACCATCATCACAGAAAGTTATTTTCGATAGTGCTAATATACAACATTTTCATCACCTACAAATATTCTTTCCTGCCCCTTTGCAGCTAAGCCTCCTCCAAAGTGGTCTTAAACAAGAATTGATCTGTTTTCTATCATTATTATTTCATCATTTCCAGAACTTCACAAAATTTACATCATATAGTGTATAATATATTGTGCCTGCCTTTTATTATTTAACATAATACTTTTTAGATTCATTTATGTTGTTGCATTTATCAACAAATTGTTCCTTTTTATTGCTGAGTTGTGTCCTAGTGTATGGATATATCATAATTTGTTTACCCACTCATCAGTTAATAGGCATTTGAATTGTTTCAAATCTGTATTATTCTAAATAAAGCTGTTAGATTATTGATGTTATTATATATAGTATTCTTATTTAATTTTAATTTTTAAGTACCACACTGTGTGGATTTATTTTTGTTTCTCTTGAGTAAAGACCTAGGAGTATAAGTGATAGATCATATGGTAAATATATGTTTAAAATCACACACAAAAAATGACAACCTATTTTCCAAAGAGGCAGATGATTTTACATTTCTTTATTTATTTATTTATTTTATTTTAAGTTCTAGGATACATGTGCAGAATGTGCAGGTTTGTTACATAGGTATACATGCGCCATGGTGGTTTGCTGTACCCATCAATCCATCATCTAGGTTTTAAGCCCAGCATGCATTAGGTATTTCTCCTAATGCTGTCCTTCCCCTTGCCCTCCACCTCCCAACAGGCCCCAGTGTGTACTGTCCCCTCCATGTGTCCATATGTTCTCATTGTTCAACTCCCATTTATGAGTGAGAACATGTGGCATTTGGTTGTCTGTTCCTGTGTTTGCTGAGAATGATGGCTTCCAGCTTCATAGATGTCCTCACAAAGGACATGATCTCATTCTTTTTTATGGCTGCATGGTATTCCATTGTGCATATGTGCCACATTTTCTCTATACAGTCTATCACTCATGAGCATTTGGCTTGGTTCCAAGTCTTTGCTATTATAAATAATGCTGCAATAAACATACAGGTACATATGTCCTTTTAGAAGAATGATTATAATCCTTTGGTTGTATACCCAGTAATGGGATTGCTGGGTCAAATGGTATTTCTGGTTCTACATCATCCTTAAGGAATCACCATACTGTCTTCCACAATGGTTGAACTAATTTACACGCCCACCAACAGTGTAAAAGCATTCCTATTTCTCCACAGCCTCACCAGCATCTACTGTTTCCTGACTTTTTAATAATCACCATTCTGACTGGTGGAGATGGTATCTCATTGTGCGTTTGATTTGCGTTTCTCTAATGATCCGTGATGATGAGCTTTTTTTCATATGTTTGTTGGCCACATAAATGTCTTCTTTTGAGAAGTGTCTGTTCATATACTTTGCCCACTTTTTGATGGGGTTGTTTGCCTTTTTCTTGTAAATTAGTTTAAGTTCCTTGTAGATTATGGATATTAACCTTTGTCAGATGGGTAGATTACAAAAGCTTTCTCCCATTCTGTTGGTTGCCCGTTCACTCTGAAGATAGTTTTTTTTTTGCTGTGCAGAAGCTCTTTAGTTTAATTAGATCCTATTTGTCAATTTTGGCTTTTGGTGTAATTGTTTTTGGTGTTTTAGTCATGAAGTCTGCCCTTGCGTGTGTCCTGAATTTGTGTATTGCCTAGGTTTTCTTCGAGAGTTGTTATGGTTTTAGGTCTGAAGTTTGAGTCTTTAATCCATCTTGAGTTAATTTTTGTATAAGGTGTAAGGAAAGGATCCAGTTTCAGTTTTCTGCATGTGGCTAGCCAGTTTTGCCAGTACCATTTACTAAATAGGGAATCCTTTCCCCATTGCTTGTTTTGGTCAGGTATGTCAAAGATCAGATGGTTGTAGCTGTGTGGTGTTATTTCTGAGGCCTCTATTCTGTTCCATTGGTCCATATATCTGTTTTGGTTCCAGTATCATGCTGTTTTGGTTACTATAGCCTTGTAGTCAGGTAGCATGATGCCTCCAGCTTTGTTCTTTTTGCTTAGGACTGTCTTGGCTATATGGGCTCTCTTTTGGTCCCATATCAAATTTAAAGTAGTTTTTTCTAATTTTGTGAAGAAAGTCAATAGTAGCTTGATGGGAATAACATTGAATCTATAAATTACTTTGGGCAGTATGGCCATTTTCACAATATTGATTCTTCCTATCCATAAGCATGGGATGTCTTTCCATTTATTTGTGTCTTCCCTTATTTCTTTGAGCAGAGGTTTGTAGCTCTCCTTGAAGAGGTCCTTGACATTCCTTGTAAGTTGTATCCCTAGGTTTTTATTGTCTTTGTAGCAATTGTGAATGGGAGTTTATTCATGATTTGGCACTCAGCTTGTCTATTGTTGGTGTATAGGAATGCTTGTGTTTTTTGCACACTGATTTTGTATCCTGAGACTGCTGAAATTGCTTATCAACTTATGGAGCTTAGGGGCTGAGATGATGGCATTTTCTAAATATGGAACCATGTCATTTACAAGCAGAGAAAATTTGAATATCTCAAAAAAATAAGAACTATTTATGACGAACCCATAGCCAATATCATACTGAATGGGCAAAAGCTGGAAGCATTCCCTTTGAAAACCAGCACAAGACAAGGATGCCCTCTCTCACCACTCCTATTTAACATAATATTGGCATTTCTGGCCATGGCAATCAGGCAAGAGAAAGAAATAAAGGGTATTCAAATAGGAAGAGAGGAAGTCAAATTTTACATTTCTAATGGCAGTTGCTCTACATCCTTGCCAACACTAGGTAATGCAAGCCTTCAGTCTCTTTACCCCAGGAAAGCCTCTTTGGGGTTTTAATTTATATTTTCTTAATAAACAGGTTACTGAGCATATTTTTACAAGTCTATTTTTAGTATATTTTCTTTGGTAAAGTGTCTGGAAATGTTTCCCCCTTTTATAAATATTATTATTATGTTGTTGCTATTATTCTTATTATTGTTGGTGTAATGAATGTTCATACATCCTGGATAAAAGTTCAATATCACATAATTGTTTACAAATATTTTCTCCCTGTAGCTAGTTTTTTGTGTGCTCAAGAGTGCTTTTTATACTCAAAGTTTTTAATTTTGACAAATTTGATTTATTTATTATTTTATGGGATGTTATGTCCTAATCAAATCCAAGTTCAGTGAAATGTTCTTCCATTTTTCTACTTTAAAATAAGTTTTATAGTTTTACTTCTTACATTTGGTTGTACGATCTATCTTTAGTAAATATTTACATATGGTTTAAAGCAAAGGACAAGGTTTAAGGTTTTTTGTTTGTTTCCTTTTGTTCTTTTCTTTTCAAAACGGATATCCAACTGTTCTAGCAACATTTGTTGAAAAGATTATCCTTTCCCCCATTGAACTGCCTTGACACTTTTGTGAAAGAAACAACCACATTAACCAAAATTAATTCCTAGATTGTTCTGTTGATCAATACAACTCCTTATGCAAATATAACAGTTATGATTGGTGAGGCTTTAAACCAAATCTGAAAATCAGGTAGTGTAAGTTCTTCATATTTGTTATTATTCAAAATTATTTTAAGTTACTTTGTTTTTCATATACATTTTAGAATCTTTTAATATCCACAAAATGCTAGCATTTTAGTTGGTATTACACTGTATAGATTAGTATAGAGAGATGTATGAGAATAACAATATTGAGTCTTCTGAACTATGAACATGTATATCTTACCTTTTTTAGGTCTTTTAAAATTTCATCAAAGTTTCATAGTTTATGTTTAGAGAGTTATACATATTTTGTCAATTTTATCCCTAAATATTTTATATGCTTTATGGTATTATAAATGGTATTGTCTATTTAAATTTAATTTTCTATTGTTTGTGGCTAGTACATAGAAATACAGTTAGTACACTTTTAGTACACAAACATACTAAATTCATTTATCATTTTTAATTGTTTTTGGAGAATCCTTAGCATTCTCTATATAGAATACCATGTCATTTTTAATAGAAAGTTTTAAATATACCTTTTATTACTTTTTCTCTTATTATTCTGACTACAATCGCCAGTAAAATACTAAATGAAACTGGTGAAAGCAGAAGACATCCTTGTCCTGCTTTTAATATTGGAAAAAAGCATTAATTTTCTTACCATTTATTTTTTAAATTCAGTTCAGAAATTGATCAGAATTTACCTCCTGTTTCACTGCAACTAGAAAATGACAAAATATGTGACCCAGTTGTTTTCAGATATGGCAAAACAAGCAGCACACAGCAATGAACCTGAAAGACGGCAATGTGAGCATCAGCATTTCCCTGGCTTATTTCCAGGAAGGATCTTCAAGGAAACATCACAGGAGAGCTTTCAAAATACAAATAGATCTTAAGAGTTTTGCTGACTTGTGAAAACAATGAAAAATTTGAGAAAGCCAGGTTGGATGGAATTTATGGGAAAGAATATGAAGTGATACAGAAGTAAAGAGAGAAAGAAGAGCAAACTACGGCAGAGGCGAACCTGTGAGTCACTGCTGAACACTGAACTGAGCCAACATATTAGAAAACTACATGGTACGAGAAAAAGAACCAATAAAAAATAGGCAAAATTGTCCCTGGACTTCACACAGGCCTGAAAATACATTGGGATCACACTAGCCAAAGTGGACAGACCTCCTAATACAGGAGACATTGAGTAAACTCCTCACAGTATAATCGCATTAAAAGTGAGCCCAAATTAGCCTTAGAATAAAGAGTCTTATTGGCTTGTTTCAACAATTTTAAGATCGATGCTTATTACCTGACTCCAGGTAATGAACTACAACCCCAAAAAACTCAATGGTATTTAAAGAAAGACCCCAAATCCATCACCCAATAATGTAAATTTCATAATGTCTAGTATGTCATGAAATAACTAGGCATGTGAAGAAGTGGGAAAATATGACAAAACCGGGAGGAGAGATCACACAAACAGTCCTAGAAATGTCATAAATGGCAAAATTAACACACAAAATAATGAATACAGCTATTATAAATAAACAGTATATTCAAAAAGTAGAGCAAAATGTTAACATGAGGAGGAAAAGAATGGAAGGTTGAAGGGTCTATAGTAGACATTCTAGAGCTGGTAATATAACTGATAAGAAACTACCCTAGTTATGATTTATGGGAGATCAGAGACATAATAAGAAAAACAATACTAAATTTGAAGACCTAGGCAAAGAAATAATCCAAAATTAAATACAGAGGGGATAAATAAAAATAATGGAAGAAAAATGAGCTGAGTATCAATTACGTGTGGGGAAATGTTAAACATGCTAATAGAAAAACAATTGGAGGCACAGAGAAGGGTAAATAGAAAGGACAGAAGAAAGTATTCAAAGAAATAATTGACAAAACTTGCCAAATTTAATAAAAATTAGAAGGTCACAGATCCAAGAAACTCAATGAATCACAGGCAGAATAAACACAAAAATAATCATATTTTTAGGTTATATTCCCACTTTTGTAATATTATTGTCAACCACTTCTACATATGCTATAAATTTGATAGTATAATACTTTGTTTTCATTTCAGAGAATGAATTATCTATTAAAAATTTGAAAAAAATAAAAATATTTACCCACACAGTTATTCTGACATTTTTCGTTGCTTAATATGAATTTGTGTTCATTTTTAACTATCATTTTTCTTCAATAAATACCCCTCAATAATTTCTTTGATATTTGTTATAGTGTAACTTTACTAGCGAAAAGTTCTTACAACTTTTATATATTTGAAAAAGTCATTAATTTGTCTTTATTTTTTAAGACATTTTCTTGGTTGACAAATTTGGGTTTTATTTTGGCATTTTAAAGATGGCCTTCTCATTGCTTAATACCTTGCACTGACTTCAGGAAAAGTCAAGGTAATTCTTTCAGTGTTCCCCTGTATGCAATGTGTTTTTTATCTGGCAATGTTTTTAAGATTTTGTATTTATATTTTCTTTTTAACAATTTTGACTATGCTATGTGTGATGTTGGTTTTTTTTTTTTTAAATCTTTATCCTGCTTAGTATTCCTTGAGTTTCTTGGCTTGGCTTAATAGTTATCACCAAATGTGAATTTTTTCCAGCCACTATTTCACTAAATTTTTTAATCCAATCTTGCCTATATTTCTTGGACTTCAGATGCACATATGGCAGACGTTTTGGTTTGTTGTTGTTGTTGTTGTTATTTTCTCTCCATATCATTGAGGCTTTGTTCACTTTCATCAGAATTTTTATGTCTGGATATCACTTTCTGTTCCTCTTTCTTCATGTTCATTGATCATGTTTTCTGCGGTGTCCAATTTGCTACTAAACTCATCTGTGAATATTTCAATTCGGATATACTTTTCAATTTTAGAACCTTATTTTTTTTACAGTTATAATCTTAGATTACCCACACATCAACTTAAACAGTTTTTCCTTTAAAATTTTACAAATATTTTAAAAACTGTTTTAAAATTTATTTCTGCTAATATTAACAATTCTCATATCTGATTTTATTTATTTCCTTTTCTTGGATTAGATTATATAATCTTGGGTTACATTTTACACAGGTCTAATAATTTACATTGTATTCTGGACATTGTAAGGAATACATTGATGAGAATGCAGACTTTTTCTGTCTTCTTTCCAAAGTATTAAGTTTTGTTTTTGAGAGCAGTTAATTTAACAGCAGATCACATTATTTTTTAAACTTTGATAAAGTTTAATATGACCCACACTCTTGCACTAGAGTAGTCCTAGTCATAATGCATGGCTTTTATGGGAGTCTCAATTGAATGCCCAGCTCTCACCATGCTACCTGGTCTGACCTCCTACATTTTCAAGTACTTTGGGATGTCTGGAATTGCTGTTCAGCTCATTTACTGGCGGTTCTCTGCTCACTTTATAAAAACTTTACCTGTATATGTAATCTTGGGGTTCATCCAAAGAATTCATGTTACTGCTATGATAAGTTTTGGAGCGTTTTCTCTGTGCATTTCTCACCTCTCTGTAACTCTGCCCACACCAAATTGAGCTTTTCCAGAAGCCCCCAACTTACATCTTTAACTTTTCAGTTTAATAAAACCACTATGATGCATTTGGGCTCTACTTTCTTACACTGTGGTTCAGAAAGGCCATCCCGGGTAAAATCCTAAGAAATCATAAAGGTTACTGTTTTCTTAGGAATCATAGTTCTTCACTACCTGTGGTAAAATTCCTAAAACTATAGCTTCATAAACTTTGTCCAGTTTTTTGTTTTTTGTTTTTTTGAGATGGTGACTCACTTTCTGTTCCTCTTTCTTCAGGTTCATTGATCATTGATCAAAGTCTCACTTTGTCACCCAAGCTGGAGTTCAATGCAGTGATCTTGGCTCACTGCAACCTCCAGCTCCCAGGCTTGGACGATTCTCCTGCCTCAGCCTCCCAACTAGCTGGGATTACAGGTGCACGCCACCACACCCGGCTAATTTTTTGTATTTTTAGTGGAGATAGGGTTTCACCATGTTGTCCAGGCTGGTCTTGCACTCCTGACCTCAGATGATCTGCCCGCCTCAGCCTCCCAAAGAGTGCTGGGATTACAGGCATGAGCCACCGCGCAGCCTGTCCAGTTTTATATAGCTGCTTATGTCAGGATGGTTAGAGATGTTACCCTTTATTTCAGCATGGTCAGAGCAAAAATCCATCTTAAAACAATTTTAAATCATAGGATAGATGGCTTATTTTTTTCTCACCATTGAATTGAATTGCAGCTTAATCTCTACAAAAAGAGTGATTGTTCCCTTTTGCAAGTAAAGAAGATTTAAGAGAAATTACTTCAAAGAGGATTTATAAGGACCCCAGTCTTACATTGTACTTCATCTTCCATCTCTCTGCAACTGCTAGTGCTAATGTGAACTTGTGTTAGGGAATTTGGCTTTTTCAAATTTGCAAGCTCTAAATCAACAGCCTCTCTTGGTCAAAGTGGATTTCAGGCTGCCGACTGAAAAGACTGCTCTTAGAAATGCTACATTTCCTTCTCTTTTCACTTCCAGATCAATCTTATATAAAAAGCAAGCTTATTTCATGTAATGTTAAGGGTCTAGAAGAAGGATAAGCTTCAATCATGCTTGATTGGGGTTCTCGCTCTGTGATTTTCTGGGTTTCATTCTTCTGTGTGCCAGCTTTATTGCCTTGTTGATTGCGTCATTTCTGAGCTTTATATGTATGCACAACGCCATATAGAAGAAAGGTTACTTGTGTCACAGAATGTTTATAAAAAGTCTTGAGGGACACATAATTGGCTTAATCTAGATCATATGCTTCTCCATTGAATCTAGATAGATCCCCATAGAAGACAGAGGGTTATGTAAAAGGAAAGAACAGCTGAACTCTTGGGAGACCATCATTCTGTTTATTACGTTCATATTCTGATTTTATTTGTTTAATGTTGTATCACAGGCACTTTTCCAGTCTTTAAAATTTTGGGTTAAGATAATACTGACACAATAAAATATACTAAATAAATTTCATGTTTGAAAACTAACTTATTTTCTTAAAGCCTCAAAGAGTAAAAATATCTTCAGAAAGATCCGAAGAGTCCCTGCTGATAGATTATTTGAGAGGGCTTATGGTTTTTTCTTTATTATTATTCTAACCATGTCACTATAAAAATGGTTAAAAGAAGATTATTCTAACCACCTTCTGTCATTTACAGAAAAAAATAATTTTGTCACAGTATGGTTAAATGTTCAGTCCAAATTTACGGAGAGACTAAATCAGTACAATGCTATTACATCAAAATTTCATTCATCAGACTACAGAGACTTTAAAACATTTACCTATATTATAGAAAATATGGATAAAATCATAATTTAGATCAGTTTACTTACATTTCAAATAAAGAGTTTTAGCACTTTTCAAATTATTGAAGACAGGATACTATAAATCAGTCGAAAAGTACATAGTGGAAATGTATTTGTAAAGGTTAATTTACAGTACATTTTAATGATAAACAATCCTTTGTCCTATTGTTCTGTTAATCATTACTTTATAAATTATGTTCCACCAGATATGCATTATTCATTCTTCAGAATTTTTTTGTTTTATTTAATTAGTACTCAGTTCTTCCTCCCTCCCTATTCTCTTCTTTCTTCTTTCCTTTTATTGTTCCTTTCTCTCCCCTCACCCCTAATTATCTCACTGCCTCAAAAACATTATAGGTAAAATGAAAAGGCTTGAGTAGCAACAATTCTATTGTCATAAAACCCCACCACTGTATCAAGTAATAGATTATTACTATAATTGTTACCCAACTATATCCAGCGTAACTTTATGCCAGAACACTGCACGACATGCTACAGTACTATATCTTAATTATATAAGTATATCTTACATAAATTTTATTACCTATAAAACTCATACCTATTGCTAATAGTCAAGGGAGAAATAAATCAGATAATTTATATATAGTAGTACATTGCCTGGACAAAGTAAATACTCAATAAATATTAACTCTCTTCATTAAATGTTACAAGAAAAGTACAAATAACTGTTAATTAAATTATATCTGAAACAATAAATAAAATATAGGATAAAATTCTTAACCAAAAACTCGCCTACTGCAAAGCTATGCTATTCTAAAGTTCTGTGTGTCCAGTTTAGCTTGTGGATGGCACTACAGAGAGTCCCCAACTAATGATAGTTCAACTAACAATTTTTTGACTTTATGATAGTGGGAAAACAATACACAGTCAATAGAATCCTTACTTCAAGTACCCATACAACCATTTTGTTTTTCATTTTTAGTATAGCATTAAATAAATTACTTAAGAGATTCAGTATTTCATTATGAAATAGGCTTTTTGTTAGATGATTTTGCCCAGCCATAGGCTAATATAAGTGTTCTGAACATATTTAAGGTTGGTTAAGTATGATGTTCACTGCATTAGGTATATTAAATGCATTTTAACTTAAAATATTTTTAATTTATCATGGGTTTATTGGGATGAAATTCCATCATGAGTCAAAAAATATCTGAATTCTGCACAGAAAGTCAGAGTTTTCCATTACTCCTCCCAGGAATCTAGGCTATCCCTGTTTAGGGATTTCAGGGGAAAAATCCAATGAGTTCTATGATTGGAGCCATAAGAAATTCAATAGAGGAATCTAAATTGTATTCAAGAAAGAGATTTGGTGATTAGAAGAGGCTGAGAATTGATATTCTTAGGCTATAATTAGCATTTTAAAAGAATGAAATTCTACTCATCTTTTTGAGTTGCTTGATTTATCCTATTACTTTATTCAGATGATAAGAACAGCTGAAAATTGCACAAGATGAAATGTTTTGCATGAGGCCAAAGACTTTGTAACCTTAAATAAGATTAAAGAGCTTTTCTCTTGAGAATCAACTTAGACAGACCCTGAAGTGTTTTCCTGGTCCTCTAACCTCAGACAGAGCTCTATAGCTCAGCCTCCCACTGGGCTACTGGTTACCACCCCTCACTGTGGGGCAGAATTAATTAGTGTCTCTGAAGCTCTTCCAAACTACTGTCCGAAGGACATACGTAACAGTGGCCCCTCAAGCATAATCATCCTGTCAACCTTTTACCACCCCATGGCCCATTTACACGGCTGGCATTTTAACACTTATAGTTCCTGCAGTAAATTTAGCACAGCCACATGCAAAGTGTTTGTTACTGTTCTCCAGAGAGAGCATATTTAATATTTTCTTTTGCAGATTAGCAGACCCAAATTTACTCCATCCTTCCTGTTATTCAGACTAGCCTGTGTTTTGGCATACAACCTTAATAGAACTGTTTTTCTAAGCATTTGAAACATAAACAGCATCAGAACAATTTCCAGGCAAAGCACCAAATGAGGGCCTGTTGGAATAAAGAAGCACAAGCTGTAAAAGGATTGAAGATGACTACACACACACCATTCATCATGTTTCTGTCTGAGGCACAGAGTGGGGAGAGTTTGTTGCCTCTGCTGCTCCTGGGAGTGTAGAGCCTATCAATCTAGCCATTTCAGCAATGCCCGCTATGCTTTTCACTCTTTACTCATGTTGGAGATCTGAAGTCTTTCTGCAGATGATCCCTGCCCTTCCATCTGCTTTGGCATCTGTGCTAGGAGCAGGAGCAAAGCTTCACAGCTGTGGTTTCCCTCACCCAAGCCTCCAGGACCAACTCTGCAGATGCTCTAAACACAATATAATTGGGATATTCTTTCAACCGCTGTTCATGTGTTCCTTTTGAGTTATGAAGAGAAGAAAATAAAACACATCAGAAGTAATCCTAAAAAGTTCTCCTTTTTATCAAAAGAGCCACAACAAATTACCGAGCAAACAATATACCAAGATTTCCGCTAAGGATGATTCAAAGCACTGATGGTCTCCTGTGGGACATGTAGGAATAAACACTCTGTGGCACTGTAGATAAGAAAATAAATATGAATCAAAGCAATAGATTTAAAATTCTTTCTATTTTATAACTTGTTTGTGTGTATGTCTTACTCTATATTGTGCTACCATAACACAATAACACACATTGAGTAACTTATGAAAAACCTAAATTTATTTCTCACAGTTCTGGACCCTGGAAAGTCCAAGGTCAAAGAGGTAGCATCTGGTCAGGGCCTTGCTTCTTCTACACATGGTGGAAGATAAAAGGACAAGAGTAAGCAAACCCACTCTCACATCTCTTTTCATAGCAGGGTTAATCAATTTATAAGGGCTCTGCCCTCATGACCTAAATACCTCCCAAAAGGTCCTAAATCCCAAAATGTTGAGTTAGGAATTAAGTTTCTGACACATAACTTTTGGGAAACATATTCAAATAATATAATGATGCTCCTGGTTCCCCAAATTCATGTTCTGCTCATGAGCACAATACATTCATTCCGTCCCATAGTCCCAAAAGTCATAACTCGTTCCTGTATCAGCTCAAAAGTCTGAAGTCCAGAGTCTCATTAGAATCAGATGTGAGAGAAACTCAAGTGAAATTTATCCTAAGCCAAATTTCCCTCCAACTGTGAGCCTGTTAAAAAAGGCTATCTACTTCCAAAATACAATGGTGGAGCACGCATAGGACTGACATTCCTGTTCCCAAAGTGAGAAACGGGCAAGAAAAAAGGGATAACTGGTCCCTAGTAAGTTTAAATCCCAATAAGAAAAATACTAAATTTTAAGGCTCAGAATAATCTTTCTTAAATTCATGTCCCATATTCTGGGCACACCAGGGTGGGGATTTGGCATTCAAGAACTCAGGCAGCCCTGCCCTTGTGACTTTATTTGGTGTAGCTCATGTAGCGGCTCTCCCAGGCTGGTGTTAAACACTGGTAGCACTACAGTTCTGGGGTCTTCGGGGTGATACCTTTAGTGAGGATTCTCTGTAATGGCCTCACCACATGTGATAAATCTCTGCTACTTGTGCCTTAGGTATGGCCTGAGCCATACCTAAGTCCCATTAAGCCACATCTGGAGCCACTAAGTAGTACCGAACTAAAATGCAGGGAGAAGACGGGAGGCACCCTTGAGCACTGAACACCAGCTCTCCAGGAGACCCTAGGCCTATCTTTTGACATATTTCCTTCCCTAGGCCTGGGCACTTTATACCTCTGATGACAGGAGAGGCACCTGTAATCGCTAATGTACTTATAGGATCATTCTCCTAATTAATTAAAAGCCTCTGGTTTTGTTCCATCCATACTAATCTCTTTGTCAATCAGTTGCTTAGCCATGTGCTTAGCTTCCACTCTTGAAAATGCTCTTTCATTCTCTACCACATAGCCAGGCTAATAATTCTTCACGTCTCTAAATTCTGCTTTCTTTTAATTATAAAGTCTATTTTTAAATCATTTCTTCCTCTCTCAATTTTACTGCATGCAGTTAAAAGACGCCATGCAGCATCTTCAATATGTTCCTTAGAAATTTCCCCACTGAATATTTTAGTTCATTGCTCTCAAATCCTGCCTCCCATAAAGCCCCCGGGCATGGACACAATTCAGTCAAGCTCTTTGCCACAATGTAATAAGGATGGTCTTTAATCCAGTTTCCAATACCTGTTTCTTTTTTCTGTCTGAGACCTCATCAGAGTGGCCTTTACTATCCAAATTTCTACCAACATTCTGATCACAAACATTTAAGTCATCTCTAAGATTACTTTTACTCACTTCACCGTACTTCTTTTCTGTCTTTGTCCCTTTTGTGCTCCCAAAACAGAATATCTGAGACTGGGTAATTTATAATGAACAGACATATTTTGGTTCCTGGTTCTGGTGATTGGAATTTCAAGATCCAGGGGCCAAAATCTCACAAGGCCCTTCTGGCTGTGTCATCCTGTGGCAAAAGGGTAAGAAAGGTCAAAGAGGAGCAAGAGCTCGAACTTAAGGCCTCAAACTCTTGGCCAGGAGCAGTGGCTCATGCCTGTAATCCCAGAACTTTGGGAGGCCGAGGTGGGCAGATCACTAGGTCAAGAGTTTGAGACCAGCCTGACCAACATGGCGAAACCCCGTCTCTACTAAAAATACAAAAATTAGCCGGGCATGGTGGCACGCATCTGTAATCCCAGCTACTCAGGAGGCTGGGGCAGGAGAATCGCTTGAATCTGGGAGGTGGAGGTTGCAGTGAGCTGAGATCATGCCACTGCACTCCGGCCTGGGCAACAGGGCGAGACTCCATCTCAAAAAAAAAAAAAAAAAAAAAAAAAAGCCTCAAGCTCTTTAGCGATTAGCATCAATATATTCATGAGGGTGGATTCATCATGATAAAAAAAAACACCTCCCATTACGCCCCACCTCTCAATACTGCTGCATTGAGAGATGGGGGCTAATAGGAGGTGTTTGGGTCATGAGGACTCCACCCTCATGAATGTGGGTGGAGCTTCCAACACATGCTTTTTGGGAAACACATTTAAATCATGGCTGACTCAAAACTAATTTCACAGGTAAAATCAAAAGTATCAACTTGGCCATGCACAAACATGTACTGGTTTTATTTCTCTTAATACATAATATTACTTTTTTGCTGAGATCCTACAAACCTTTATAATACATGCATTTTTAAGCTTGCAGTTAGTAATAACTTCACTATTTCTTGTAGTCATTTTTGAGTTTCTATCAGGAAGAAATTGCAAACATCTGCTGTGAATGACTTTTGAGATCACTAAGGAAGGGAAAGATCTAATCCTTCTTACTGTTTTTTTCTTGGATTTACTAGTATTGATAAGGAAAGGGAGAGTAAAGTGTGATATTTGACACACATTCTTGGTGGGGAGAGTGTACTCTACTTGCTTTTCTGTTAGCTTGTGATGATAGTCCAACTCATAGTCTTGTCTATGGAATCAGTATGGGCAGGTAAAAATCCAATAGGTCTAAATACATCAGATACAGTCCATTGGGGCACAAGGATTTCAGGCATCAATGTGAGAAGATACAGTGCCACTTCCATCTGGGAGCCCTTTTCTGCATTCTTCTAATGAAAAATACAGTGCCACTTTCATCTGGTAGCTTCCCACTCCAACTCCTAGCCCTATGTCTGCATTCTTCCAATGAAAATGTCTATTTGCTCTTCACTAAGGTGGACTTTGATAAGACTAATAAGCCCCATCTTCTATCCAAAGCCCCATTTGGAGATATATAAGGATTGGTGATATCCTTTTTCTTGTCAAAGAGAAATGACAGGGAATGAGGGAGAAAAAGGGAGACAGAGAAAAAGTTTTCTTCTTCTATTCCCATATGCTATGCCCCTACATCATCCCTCTGGCATTTTTCCTCCTTGGTGTTATATATTTGAAATGGATCTGCATCTCCTCTCAGTCAAAACACTCCAGTCAAGGAATGGCATACAGGGCTCCTCATCTTGGATATAACTCCAAATTTTAATAAAAGATAAACCCAGTTCCATCATTTTTCCTGAAGACCCAGGGAAAGTACAAGGGAAAAGCATTATTCCTCCACAATATTGTCCTGTCCCAGCTCTTCTTCTTTGAAAATGAGATTCTTTTTCCCTTTATTTAACCCATCTTAAGAGAAAAGATAGAGTAAAATGCAGGAGTTCTACTGGACTACCCCTGCTCTGCAAACTCTATGTTGGGATGGATCTCTAGCATTTCTATTTTAAATCCCCAAACACCTAAATATCAGCACCTCCATAGCACATCCTTCCCATTAAGTGATATCTGGAAATTATTTTTAAAACCTGGCTTAATCTTTCCCTCAAGAACAAATTCACCAAGTTGACAAAGTTATGACTTATTAAAATGAACACGAAATACCTTACACACCACAGCATAATAGATTTTTGTGCTGCTGTTCATATTACTCTTGTCTTATTTCAATTACAGTCTAGTACTTTACCATAATTACCTAAGTAGCTGAAATAATACATAGGACTAAACAAAGATCCCACTTCCAATATTATTGAAATGTACATAATTACAAATATCTTTGAAACTGTCAAAATGCTACATCTGACAAGGAATTACAGTTTCATTTGTTTCAGAGCGAACATGTTTGTGAAATTAAGAAAACACTCAATAATGGAGATCAAGCTTAAAATGTTGTGGCAATCCTGCATATTAAACACAGAAAAGACATGGGGAGCTGAAAATACACTATTTTACCCTTGCTTTTATTCTCATATATTTTTACTGTTAATAAGCATTTATTATATTCAAATTCAAGTGCACCCTAAAAGAATTATATAAATGATTAATTTATTAAACCATTGTTTAATAAGAATTTTAATAAGACTTTTTCATTAAAGCTTTTTAATTGAAACAAGGGAAATGGAAGAGAAGCTGAAGAATATTTACAAAAATACCTCAAATAATAAAATTTGAAAGGCATGCTTCATTACTAGGACATTTATCTTTAGAGGAACAGCTAAAATATTAGACAGAGCTTCAAGCATGGTAGAAGAGGGAGGAGGAATCACTCCTTCCAGCACTAGCAGGCTTCTAGCTTTCTCATGCTTCTCTTGAAATAATTCTCCATGCATAAAAGAAACAGAATGGAACTGCTATAAGTAATAGTGCTGTTTGACCATCATGAATGTGGCCTCCTTTCAAGCATGGCTCAGGTCTTACCCATGCCTGAGAAGATTTTCTTAGCTGGGAATTATCTGGTTGCATGGAAGAGAAATAAAGTTATACCAACAAAGTTAAATGGCAGGGAGAGAAGGAGTTGTTGGAAAATTGCAGGAAAATCTCAATGAACCCCAGAAAAAGAGAGCAAATTAGGAATTTAAAATTAGCTGGAACTAAAGTAGCAACTCTCAGGAGCTAAAGGGTCTTATTTTTCTGCTTTTCTCTAAATGTTTCTACTTTATTGTCTTTCTTTCTATATAACAGCTTTTTCTGATCTACTTTCTTATGAGGAACCACTGGCTATGTCAACCACAGCTTGCTTAAGTGTTCTAAAAAGAATGACCAGAGTAACTGCGCCTCAGATCCAAATTCCTGGGAAAAGAAGCTAATTGGGCACTTTCAAGCCAAAGGTAAACTCCTGCTGGATTAGCTGTGGTCAGGGAGTCTAAGTCATTTAGTACTAATGTTGTCCTTCCTAAGACTAACAGGGAAATTTGAGCTGGGCTGAATATTTGACCTAGTTTCTACCACAGGCTGTAGCTAAAAGAGCACCACGGATTTCATGTTAGCCAGGGCCCCCATAACCCAGCTCCAAGAGAGCTAGAACCTTGCCTCACTCTATCTGTATAGAGATTCATCTGTACATCTAACTTTGTTCCCAGACTATTGACTGGTTGACATTTTACCAATTATAGTGACCAAGAAAATTGTTTTCAGAAAAGACTTTATCCAATAAATTCTTAATTTTGACATCTTTTAGCATGGGGTTAGAGTGCCACCTATATCAGTAAGCATTTCGTTAACAGGCCTTAATTTTGGCTGCCAGATTTACTTTACCCATAGTTCCAAATCCCTCAACTAGCTCTATGCACACCAAGACAAAAACAAAATGCTAAATAATCAGAAATCAAGGAGTATCGCCATTCTTTGAATTCTAATTCTGATACAGATTTTCTTAAGAATTTGTACATCTCCCCCTCTTCTTCTTCCCTCTTCCCTTTCATTCTCTTCTCTTCTCTCCCCTCCGTTGCAGTCCAAAGGCCATTCAGTGGATCCAAGGAAAGTAGGCACCCACATCCTAGGGAGGTCACAGTAGCCTAGCCTGGGATGCTGGAACCCAAGAGGGATGACTATGACGTCTGTGGTACAGAGCTCTGAAGAGAAAAGTGAGTGGGTATCCTTACAGAAGGGCACCCTAAGGTGGGTTTTCAGAGCCCAAGCAAGTGGTGAGCATTCCCACTCAAAGGGCAATAGTGCAAGCAGCCTGATGTTCAGAGCATGAATGAGGTAAGGAGAGTGTTCACTCAAGTGGAGAGGTAATGTAAGGCTTTGGCGCAGAGTGCCAGCGCTTAAGCAAGGTGAGGGAGCATTTAGGTGTAAGGTGACGTGGATGAAGCAGTGGCAATGGCAGTTACAATAATTGCTTGAATATGTAACCAAAATGAAAACTGGATCAAGTAAACAACAATATTAAGGATAATGGGAATCAAGTTTCTCATTGTCAAAAAAGGGAGAAAATGAGAATTAATCCCGTTGTGTTGGATTTAAATTGCAGATATTGGAGTCAACTCATGGTTTAAAACATGCAGAGATAGAACTATGTAAAGATATATATAGAAAAATAAATATGTTTATAGTTAGATATGTAAATATCTACATATAAAGATGAAGTATTTCCCAGGCCTATCTACTGAGAGGGTCAATCAGCAACACCTACAAAACCATAAGCATACCTGCTTCCCAGATCTTGATTGCTAAAGCTATTCTCCACAATAAGAAAGCATGGATTCCTGGAAAAATAGCTGATACCACAGTGGGAGCAGACAAATATTAGATTGTGAGGAGAAATACTTGAAGAGTGATGAGGGCAGGGCAAAAGGACACACAACTGAGACTGAAGACACTCCTACAAAACAAATCTGGAACAATTTGAGTATAAACATTAATAGTTACAGATTATAACCATTGAATAAACTTGTATCCTATGAGACCATAGTGATATAAAAATGTAAATGGTATAAATTAATTCAACCATTGTGAAAAGAAGTGTGGCACTTCCTCAAAGAGCTAAAAACAGAACTACCAGTCAACCCAGCAATCCTGTTACTGGGCATATACCCAAGGGAATACAAATCATTCTGTCATAAAAACACATGCACACATATGTTCACTGCAGCACTATTCACAAAAGCAAAGACATGGAATTAACCTAAATGCCCATCAGTGGTAGACTGATTAAAGAAAATGTGGTGTATATATATAGGTATGTATATACCGTGGAATACTATGCAGCCCTAAAAAAGAATGAGATCATGTCCTTTGCAGGAACATGGATGAAACTGGAAGCCATTAACCTGAGCAAACTAATGCAAGAACAGAAAAGTACCACATGTTCTCACTTATAAGTGGGAGCTCAATGATGACAACACGTGGATGCATGGAGGGGAACAACAGACACTGGAACCTACCTGAGGGTGGAGGGTGGGATGAGGGAGAGGATAAGGGAAAATAACTACTGAGTACAAGACTCAATACCTGGGTGACAAAATAATCTGTACAACAAACCCCCATGACATGAGTTTATAACATACCTACACATGTACCCCTGAGGTTTAAATGAAAGTTAAAAAAATAATAATCACAAAGGGCAAACAAGTAAATTTACAGTGGAAAAATCTGTCATATCCCACCTTAATCTGGTAATCAAAATGAATATTATTCATAATGAGATACATCAAAAATATATTCCACTTGATGGCATGAGAAGAATATGGCATTACTTATTTGATATTCTTGTCAAAAACATAATTTAAATATAGTTTATTAGGATACATCAAAAATCCAAATTGTGGCATATTCTATAATACAGATGGTCTGTAATCTTCAAAATCAGCAGGGTCATAAAAATTAAGGAAAGTTTGAGAAAGTACTCCAGATTTAAAGGAAGTAAAGTGTAATAAAAACTAAACGTGTGTCTTTTTGTTATAAAGGATATTATTAAGAGAAGAGGTAAAACTTAAATGGGAAGTCAAATGATAGTAATAAATAAATGTTAATTAACATCTGAATTTTAATACTTGAATTTTTGTAATGTAGAAAGATTCTATTGATAAAAACAGAAGATCTTTAAGTTCCAGCACTGCATGAGTCTAGGAGGCAGGAAATTAGAGGCAGACAACAGAAATGAAAGGCACATAGAGTGATGAAGTCTTAGTGTTAGCTTTAAATAACTAAATACATAAACTGAGAATTCTCCGCAATTAATGGAAGAAAGCATTTATTAAGCACTTTTAATACAAGTCACTGCAATATATGTTCTCTTACTAGAAAAAGAGAAGCAGAAGAAGGACAAGAAGAAGGAGAAGGAAGAAGAAAGAATTATAATTTTCCTCATTTCCAATGCAAAAAAACAGGTAATAGAATGGTTACATGTCCAAGATTACATCATTTAAAAACATTAAGACCAGTGGTATTATAGTAAATGCTTAAGAGCTGGCTCCTTTGAAGGAAAAAACAAACAACAGCAACAACAACAATAACCAAAAACAGAAACAAAACCCTGCTTCGTAGCATTTGCCAGTTTCTGTGTTGTAAGTAACCCCATGAAGGCCAGTTTCAAGCCACCAACAAATACGATGTCTCTGAACACAGGAAAAGATGCATACACTCTCCTCATCCAAGCCAGGGCAAACCAGCTTCAGGACAGCACTGGTTAAAGCCAGGCTTTGCAAACAGATTTAAGTCCACAGCCCATTACGGTATAATGTCTGAATTTAAACCTTGATATAAAGGGGGGGAAATCATTTCAATGTGGAGCACGGAGGTACTGAAAAAAAATTAGAGGATTGCCTCCTCCCAAAACAACACAAAACCAGAATTTAATGAGATCCATAATACTTGGTTACAGATTTCACCAATTACTAGTCAAAGAAATAAAAAAAAAATACAAAATCACACTATATATTATTCTTTACACACAAATAAACATTTAATATTTGATTATATATGTATATGTGAGATATGTTTGTGTATAGGTTTGGGTCATAATCCTAAAAGACAGTCTCGAATACCATCATCCCAAATATTGAAATTCTAAAAGATCAAAATCCCTAAAGTCTAAAATCCCCAAAATCACAATCTTGAAAGATAAAAGTCCCAAAAATATGATTCTGGAAAAATTAATTTAAAAACATTTTAAAAAGACATTTATGTAAAGCCTGACAGAGAAGGTCAAATATCACATGTTCTCACTCATATGTGGAAGATTAAAAAGTTGATCACTTGCTGGTAGAGTGTAGAATGATGGTTACCAAGGGCTACAAAAAGTGGGGGTGGAAGTTGAAGAGAGGTTGGTTAATGGGTACAACATATAGGTAGAAGGAAAAAGTTTCAGTGTTCGACAGCATGATAAAGTGACTATAGTTAACAATAACTTATTCTATATTTCAAAAGAGTTAAAAGATAAGGTTTGAAATGTTCTCAAAGAAATGATAAATATTTGAAGCAATGGATACCCTATATATCCTGATTTGATCACTACACATTGTATATGTGTATCCAACTATCACATGCACCCCAAAAATATGTACAAGTTTATGTACTGATTAAACAAGAAGAAAACAATGAAATAAAATGGATCATATATGTAAAGAAACACATTTAATTACATTTCTAAAAGGAATTTATTTGGGAAACAGATAAAAACATGACAGAATATGTCATAGGCCACTTTACACAGTAAAATAGGTGATAATATTATTTTTGGCAAGCATAAGCACTCAGGTATACTAACAACAGTCACATGATTATAACAGTTGTGAGGAGACAAACTATACTCATAGAGAAACAGGCCAAAAAGTAATATGTGTAAATGCATATCACTGCGGTTGGTAATTGTATGCACTCAGCTTTATATTTTTGGTCATCTGAAATACTGTGAAAGACAATCCAATTTTTTTGACAGGATCAATCAAAAACCACAGTGGGTCACCACCACATATGAAGTCACCCAAGGAGCTGAGATCTCAAGAAGTTTTATATTTCACAAATGAAGATGTTCAAAAAGGACATCTCTTAATTTACTGAGGAAGTTTCAACATTTTTATGTACACACACAATGCTTAGCCACAAAGTCGATATCATGAAAATGCACTTTTGTGCAACCAAATTTGCAAAAAATGCATAAAACAAGTAAGAACTCTAAAAGTCTTTACATAATTCATACCTGCAGGATTGGAACTAATATGAAGATGTAATACATAGCAAATTGGTGCGATATGTGAAGGGGCAGAAGTTTGCATAATTGAACAGTTTGGCAGGGGAGGGGTAGTTTTTGGATTTTTCACCTACATTTTCTCTTCTATGATCTTTGAAACACTCACTGCATTTGTAATTGAAGAGTGGTTGTGGTCTCCAAATTTTGCAAGTATATGCTGTCCAACTGTAAGTCTGGTTTTTGCTTGGCCATTGCAATTAAGCAATTTCCTGCTTTTGCAGCACCAATAATAATTAGCTTTTAAACATTTATCTAAGTAGCCTCATAAACTTAACATCACAGCCTTTTTTTTTTTTTGAGGGAACAGTTTCTACTGTAGGAATAGATGCCCTATTGTAGGGAATACAGAAAAAGAAATTATATTTGGCTTCCTCAGTATCAGATCTGTATAAGTCAGCGTTCTTCAGAGAAATGGAAACAATAGGATACGTATAATGATATATGAAGCAATTTATTAGGGGAATTGGCTCATGTGATTATGGAGGCTAAGAAGTCCCATGACAGGCCACCTGCAAGCTGGAGAACGTGGGATGGGTCTGGTAGTGCAGCTCAGTCCCCCAAACTCCTAAGAGCCAGGGAAGTGAAAGGTGTAACTCTTAGTCTAAGACTAAATACCTCTGGAACCAGAGGGCCACTAGTGTTAAGTTCTGGAGTCCAAAGGCTGGTGAACCTAGAGTTCTGATATCCAAGGCAGCAGAAGTCAAGTCTCTGTCAGTTCTCAGAGAGATCAGCTCATCTTCTTTATTTGTTTTCTCCAGGCACCTGGCTAATTGGATGGTGCCTGCCAACATTGAGGGCAGACATTCCCCACCTAGACTACTCAGACACACACACTAATCTCTGGAAACATTCTCATAGATATATCCAAAATAATGCTTTACCAGGTTTCTACGTATTCCTTAATCCAGTCACATTGACATCTAAAATTAAGGCCACAAGTTCACCCTTTGTCAACCTGGCACCCATATGCATCTCATTAAAACATATTTAATTTCCAAATATGAGACAGTAGCAAGGAAATAGTTCTGATTGGCATAGTACTACTAATATGATGCAACTATCTTGCATCCAACTAAAAATGCACTAATCCCTTCTCCAGTGTTTGGCTTTCAGGATTTCAACACTTGGGAATTTTAATCTTTGGAAATTGTTATTTTCAGGATTTTAGACTTAAACTTGATCTTTTAAGATTTCAGACATTTAGGTTTATGTTCTTCAAGCCTGTGTCTCAAGATTATGGTTGGCACCTGATTAGTTGTTATATTTTTTGAGATTGGTTGACTGACAATATGTAAGTAGATAGATAGATATGGACAGAAAGAGATAAAACTGAGATTAATGCATTGTAATGTGATATATTGTACATTATAGATTATATTATATTACATATTGCATATATAATACCGATATATGAGATTGTTTGACATACCTTCCAACCAGTGTTTGAATTATGTGTCACCTTGGCTGGGACCATTCTGTTTGTTTTTGTAAGGGTATCTTTGAATGAGATTTACATTTAAATTGGTATAGCCAAATTGATAATCACTCACTCTTGGAGGCTACTTCTAGTTAAATTTTTCTTTCAGAGTCAAGAAACAACTAAAGCAACAACTCTTTGACCTCCAAAACATTTGTTTTTGGCAATCATTTAACTGTTGCTGATATCTTTCACTCAGATTCACTGTATGTTGTCATCAAACTATCTTCCAAATTAGAAATATCAATTAGTTTATCTTTTTTTTCAGACTCACTGCACTTGTAAAGTGAAAAAAAATAGCACAAAAATTAATTTATCAGACTCTGGGGTGAAAAATCAGACTCGTATTTGTGGTGAAAGGGGCACTCATAAGTTTAAGCAAGTCAAGCCTTCAGATAGTCCAAGCTGCTGTCAAAACCTTGTCCCTCTTAATTTTTCCCAAGACTATACCACATGATCACAACACTATAAATGCATCTCAATCATCTCTGGACCCCTGCTAATGTTATCCTTAGTGTGTTACCTTTTTAGTGCTGGTTTCAGATTTAAAATCTTGGTTCTTCTCTATTTGCTTCCTCTGCTTTCCCTAAACATGGCAATTATGAGTTTGTCTTCTCAATTAGTGACATCTAGAGCAGATTATGATACCATTTAGTCAATAGATAAGGAAATGTAGGCTCAGGTAGAATAATCACTCTGCCTGAAGATAGGCCCAATGATAGATAACTGGTTTGTAGAGCTGGCTTTACAATTCTCAGTTCAGAGTAGAGTACTGGGGTCAGCAGATTCTTACAACTGAATTTCTTCCCTTGGAAAACATTTATCTTTAGCAACCCTCAGACATGTTTTATATTATATTAATATGGCAACTAACTTACAATTACTGAGCATTTTTAATAAATGTCTTTATTTTCATAGAACATTAAACAGGCTATGCTGTTATAAAGAGAACCAATGAAAAAAACAGCTCCGATTTTGTAGCACATATCACATAATTGTGGATACATATAAAATAGATGGAGATTGATGAAAGGAGAATATATTGTTCTGGATCTGAACAAAATTGTCAAAGTGTGGCTGTCTTTCTTTCTTTCTTTCTTTCTTTCTTTCTCTCTCTCTCTCTCTCTCTCTTTCTCTCTCTCTCTCTCTCTCTCTCTCTCTTTCTTGCTTTCTTTCTTTGAGATAGAGTCTCACTCTTGTCATCCAGGCTGGAGTGCAATGGCATGATCTCAGGTCACTGCAGCCTCCACCTCCTGGGTTCAAGCAATTCTCCTGCCTCAGCTTCCCAAGTAGCTGGGATTACAGTCACCCCCCAACTACACCCGGCTGATTTTTTTTTTTTTTTAGTAGAGATGGGGTTTCATTATGTTGGCCAGGCTGGTCTTGGACTCCTTACCTCGGGTCTTCCACCCACCTTGGCCTCCCAAAGTGTTGGGATTATAGGCATGAGCCACCGTGTCCGGCCCTTACTTTCATTTTTAGTACATTCTTTACACCTCATGTCCCTAAGAAGGAGGGGAACTAAGAATAGATACTTAAAAAAAAAAGTTGTATAAAGCAAAAGAGACAAATAATACAATAGAAACACAAGATGGGAAAAGAGAGTCCCTTTCAAATTATTCTCTGGAGTAGCAACCCAACCCCCCACCCTGCCCCAACAACAGCAAGGAAGAGTTGAAAGGGCTGCTCTTAATCTATTCCTCTGGTGCCTTATTTCTTGATTGAATTTAACAACACCAATATTATCAAATAATATAAAACTTGTTTCCATGCTGTATGTTTTTATGCATGAGTTCACCTAATCACTATAACAACGAAGTGAGGTATTATTATTCTTAACTTATAGAATAGACAATAAAAATCAGGAGATTAAATAATATTTTTAAGTGTTAAGTGAGAAAGTGAGATTAAGCACTTTAAACTGAGATCTTATGAAATCAAACCAGTGTCTTTCTACCATGGCTGTTTCCTCTACTTTGGAATCTGGTGAAACCAACCAATATGTGGGGCAGGGGAGAGAGAAGCAGTTATGCTGATGTAAGAATTTATATTGATCTCAATGCTCCAGCCTCAAGACAACATCTCACTCTAGGAACACAGTTTAGAAATAAAAGAAATTCCAAACAATTTAAGATCTTTAGTTGCATTTTTCAAAGTACAATGAAGGGAGCTTGCAACCCACAGTGATGCTTCTTTAAATTGTCTTTTTTGTTTCCAATTTTTTTTTTTCATACTAATATTGCTCCTATGCATCAGAACTCCCAAAGTCTCTGCAAAGCCTACCTCCAAGCCCTCACCTACACTCGCCTTTTCCTTTTTTCTGTTGATTTTTGTTTCTTGTTCTACATTTCCAAGTTCTGAAAATCTTTGCATAAATTACCTTACTTACTCCTAACAATGTGGGAAGATAAATATTGTCCTTAGAGAGGTTGATGTGCCTAAGGCCTTACATCTAGAAATATCTAAACAGATGTATCTAATTTCAAAACCATATTCTTTCCAGTATGCCCCAGTACCACTTTTATACATCAAAAAATCCTAGAAGCTATTATAGAAAACCTGAATTTTTAATTTTCAGATATTTCCTCTCTGAATAGTTAATGGCTTCATTTCAAACATATATGGATTGTTGTCCTCTAGCCGAAACAGAACTACAAAGTCTCCCATTAGAATAACCAAAAGATGCTGGTTGTGTTCACACTGATGCTTTAATATGAACTAAGCTTGAAACAATCCCTAGAGTGGACAGAAATCTCTCCACTCTATATGTAAGAGTGTCCATGTGGCTTCCGAAGTTTAATGTTAAGGTCATTAGTAGATAGCATGCTGAAGCTCCTTCAGTCTTGCTTATATAGAAATAGCTTACGAACCTGCTGGGGGTGGGAAGAAAGGAGTAGCATTTATTTTCCTACCACTAATTAACCCTTAGAAACCCTTTCTAACTTATTTTCTAAAAGGGCATTTTACTAAAAAGACAATAATTTCCCAATTTAGATATCTAATGACTGAACCCCAGTTGTGCTTATCAGCATCGTAGTCCGGTCTAAGTTAAAGATAACGGTTTAGGGAATTTAGATGATTCTTAAAGCCCTTAAGATTGCAAATAATGGAGCCTAAGTGATGCTGCATTATTGGCAATCATCCTGGAACTAATAACAGTAGTTATTGGGCCTATAATCTCCTAGGAATTCACAGTCAACGTCTTTTTTCTCAATTTGCAGGACATCACCATTACCATTAAAAGGCAGTTAAGATGATAATGTGCCACTGTAAATTCATACAGTGGGCAGCAAAGGGTTATAAATGAAAGAGCTGAATCTCCAGTTCTGACTCAGCCTATAGTCTTGAATGTTCTTTCTTTGGGGCTGCTGCTTGGAAAAATTTTTAAAGTGACAGGAGAGTAGGCATCCAAGATAAATGGTTTTTTTTGTTGGTTTGTTTTTTGGAGATGACTCCTATCCTAATGGCACTGTAGAAATTTGGTATTTTCCCACCCAAATGACAGAGTTTCCTGTGGGACCACTTCTGCAAAAATTTATAACAATAACCAAGAATTTCAGAACAAAGGAATGCAATTACAGCACACAAAGAGAGTAGACAAACAGGCCGGGTGCACTGGCTCTCGCCTGCAATCCCAGCACTTTGAGAGGCAGAGGCGGATGGTTCACCTGAGGTCGGGAGCTTGAGACCAGCCTGACCAACATGGAGAAACCCTGTCTCTACTAAAAATACAAAATGAGCTGGGCGTGGTGGCACATGCCTGTAATCCCAGCTACTCGGGAGGCTGAGGCCAGAGAATCGCTTGAACTCGGGAGGCAGAGGTTGCGGTGAGCCAAGATCACACCATTGCACTCCAGCCTGGACAACAAGATCGAACTGCTGTCTCAAAAAAAAAAGAAAAAAAGAGAGAGAGAGAGTAGAAAAACAGTAGACTTAAAGAAGCAAGAGCTATAAAAACCATCCACGAGAAGGCAAGGCAAGGGATGTGCAAAGTGCAGAGTAGAAAAAAAAATGACAGAAATATGATTGACATCAATAAAAATTTGTTGAATCCCTACTGTGCTGCAGGCACTATGCTATGCATGGGTGATGATACAGAGAAAACAACTGATGTGGTCTCTTTCCTTGTGGAGCTTATATTTGTCTGAGAAAAACACGTGTGGTACATATTCTAAACGTGATAAATATTTGAACGTTATAATAAAATGAAAAGTATGAGAACATACAGCATAGGATTCTAAGCAATGAAAAATGAAACAGTAAACAGCAGTACAACAAAACATGCAGAAGTTAAATGAACCAATAAGGATTGATGGCAAGAGCAATAACGCCTTAGAAATCACCAAAATAACTGGAAATTCAATAACCTGCAGAAAGGTAGTTAAATCACCGCCATAGTAATAATAATGATCACTGCCAATTACTTAGCTCCTGCTTTATGCCCTGCTATGAGCTTTTATAAGACATTTTATTTTAATCTCTATGACAACCTGATTGAGTGGGTATTAGCATCCCATATTTACAGATACATAAAGTGAAATTTAGATAACTCTCCCAAAGTGACATAGCTAGTAACCAGAATTTGAATTTAAATCAGGCAAACTGTATAGTCCATTCTCTTGACCAATATACTAAATTTCAATCCCCAATACCAAACAGAGAAGAACACTGAGATTCAATAGCTAGATCAATGATCTTAATCAAAAAGAATATAAGGGACTAGAGTGAAGACTAGCAAATAAAGGACATACACTGATATTTGGGCCTATAAGAACATGAGTTCTTTATTACCAATATGCTATGAAGGTAGGATTAATGTTCAAATTTAGCTGACTTTGTGTAGGTTACAAAGAAATAATGGTAAATAAATATAACTCATTAACTTAGCATATCTATAAATCTAAAGTATACTATTCGTTTCTCAAAATTTTGTTATTTGAATGATCTTTATTCGTTTAAATGACATCCACTCCAAAACACATTTGAGACACCTTAAACATGGAGGTAGTATAGTAAGATCATTTATTATTAGAAATAAGAAGAAACAAAAGTGGTATGGAATTTTCAAAAATTCTGATTGAAGAGGGATAGAAGAAAATGAGAGAATAAGATTTTGTTCTGAGCTTTGGAGAAACAAAGGCAAAGAGAGATAAGATCTGATATGTAGGTCACATTTTCTACTTGAAAAGCAATGCATTTATTCAGAAGAAGTAAGGTTTTTCTTCAACCTAAGCATTAAGAGGAATTTGACACTGTGATCTTCATACAAGGCAAATTGAGCAACATAAGGAATCCATTAATAATATTCTCCATAATTATCTTCTTATAGTATTTTCAAATAATTTCTTTTTGAAGACTTATGGAAAACAACTTGGGAAGTGTCTGCCTAACCTATAAGCCACAGGGTCTGGCTGACTCATGCCTGATACATAATTCGAGTTATGATAATAAGATTCAAAAAAGAGAATTTGACCTGCTAGTCTGACTAGTTGGGGTTAGTGGGTTACACTATGGCAGAGCTTGAAATAAAAGTTTATTTCTTCAGTTGTTCCCAGGGTTACTACCATCCTGAGGCATGGTTTTCCAGTGTTTCCTTGAATTTAATGAGATAATCAGGAGGCTTCTAAAAAACATTTTTTTTTTTTTTTGGTAGCTAGCTTGAGTTAGTTTCTTTAATTTGCAATCCATATTCTTAATTAATACAATTCTAGATTTAAGAATCATAACAAGGAATCATTTATAGAATACCTGAATCAATATTGCTCTGGCTTATCGATTAGTTTTAACTTACACTAACTCTGAGGCAGTCATGACCAGCCCTACTTACCTTACAGAAGAAAATGTAGAAGTTTTAGAAACAAAGAGAAATTTGTCTAAAGAGAAATTTGCATCACAGGTAATAAACTAACAAGGTTTTATATGCTATTTCTGCCTTCTCCCTGCAATTTCTTACAAAAAGCAAATAGCATTAACATTAGTGGAAAAGTTATACACAAACTATACATACATATATTATATATATGTTATACGCATATATACATATAAGTTATACACAAATGTCAAATATATATGTATAATAAAATAGTATATAATTATTGAACACTAACTTTGTAGCAAGTTTTATGTTACATATTTTGCATCTTTTAAGATTTAAGAAGCAAATAATCATCAAAATATCAAATTTGCAAAGGAGGGCAGGGGAAGATCTTAGCATCCAAACTGGGCCCAACAACAATATGGCCTTTTTCTTCTTTTCTCTGGACACATGTTACCCACCAGGTCACAATAATTGATCAACTGCAGTTTCCCCCTTGTTTTCCACCCCATCTCTTCACTGCAGGAATATAGACTGGAGTTTCTTTTGACTTGCTTGGTAAAGAGATGAAAATCTGCATGTAAGGAGCAGGTCAAATCAAATGAAGGAAAAAAAAAGCAGAAGAAGCTAATTTTGAAAATTAAATCTTCTTTCTCCAATCAAAAGAGAGAGAAAACTTACCCACTCTTGCTTCTCCATTAATGGAGTAAGATGTGAAAAAAGGAAGCAGACTATTGCCCTGATACCATTCTCCCCTAAACAGTAGAGCCCCTTCCCCTCTGTGGTATTCTTATTACCTATCAGCAGTATTATCTCTATTTGAGAAAAATGCATGCGAAATCGTGAATATTTTGCCTAAGTAGATTTGAATTCAAACATAGATAATTTTGAGTTCAAAACCCATAATAGAATATTTTAGAGTTATGCCATTCTGAGGACATTTTGGAGTAATAAGTAGGATCAAAACTTGGGAATGATGAGTTTAGACAGAAAGAACAAAAGCAAAACAAGAACATATGTGCATTTAATTAAAATTGGGATAGGCAGCACAGTGGGTGAATGTGCTATCTTGGCAGGCAGGGGAGTCAGGCATATCGTCTTCTTGTGATATGACCTGCCTGGGCAAAACACTGGAACCCACAGGGACTCCATTCCCTCATATTTAGGGTGACTTGAAAACATTATGAAAGAGTTAAGCAAATTAAAATTTTCTATTTTGCTTTCTTTGCATTGTTGTCTCTTTTTTAAACATCTTTGAAGAGCATGGTGGAGAATTTGCCCAAGCTAAATTATAGTCCCAAAATCAAGAGATCTCCTTTGTTCTCATCAACTCTTTATGTAATCTGGGACAAAGCACTGTCAGTCACTGCCTTCTTGAATTCTTCAATTTCTTGCTTAAACTTACAGACTCAGCCCTGTGTGTCCTTTAACCCAGTTATGATGTAGGCAGCTACCGCTTTCGTATCCTTAAAAACACCAGGCAGAGAGGACTACGGTCTTTTCACGCTAAGCTTGGTTCCTATTGTGGCTAAGATTACTTGGCTCAAAGGCCTTACTGACAGTGGAATCCTACTGAACTTAGCTCAAGTTCTAAATCTCTGCTTAGTTCCTGACTCTAGCTCACAAGCACACCACAAATAGTACCCATTTCCCTAGTTCTCTAAGACCATGCTCTTGTGGTTATTCTGGTTAAAAGGACCATCAGTTTGGATTACAAGAGACTGCAACTGCTTAAAATCTGAAATGACTTTCTGTGCCTGTCTTATTTCACTTAGTATAATGACCTCCAGTTCTATCCATATTGTTGCAAATAAAAGAATGTCATTCTTTATGGGCTTGTACACTTCTACTGGCAGGAATCAGGCTGAGAACACTGCTCAGTCACCAAACAAAGGTTTATTCTCCATCACTCTTGTGAATATGGCCAAGGAGAATAACAGAGAAAAAGGAAACCCCCAGAGCACGGAGCTGAGAGTCATAAAGAATATTGAACTTGGGACTGATTAAAAAACAAAGCAAGCAGCATCCTTCATCCCCAAGATAAGAGATCTTAAAATTTTTAATCAGTTGGGCTTTATATTCAGCAGAAAAGTAAAATCTCTGTGTGCCTCCCAATCTTTCCCTTTCTCAATTAAAGTACTTATTATCATTCCTCAATTGTATATTAGGTAAATTGTACATTAGGTTTGTGTTAGTTGTCAGTTCAATGTCTACATTTTCTATCCACAAACTTCTGTCTCTTGAAGATCATTTGTGTGATTTCCCCTCTAGTTTCCTTAGTAGTGTGTAGGGGTAGGGAGAGAAGGATGATGAGTTTTCACAAACAACTTGTGAATGGAAACAATGCATATCACTATAGGGCAAAAATTTAATTACCAGTGCAAGACTATCTTTTTTCTTTCTGGCCTGGAGACCAGCAATTTTCAAGCACGTCACTACTCTACCAGTCTAGATCACTGAGTTGTTACAATTACAGTTTCCCATTCACCCATAGTAGGAAGCCAAGGTGAACCAAAAGTTAGCCCATGTTATTTAAGCCACTAAAATTAGAGGCTGTTTGTTACCACAACATTAATATGACTATTCTGACTGTTATATGAAGGAACATTTCCGTATCAGTATTTGTTGTAGCAAGCAATGTGTTCTTCTGTAATTATGACAAAATTACATTGTTTTATTCATATTTTCTTCTTTTTCTTTTTCTTTTTTTTTTTGTTGAGATGTAGTGTCGCTCTTTCACCAGGCTGGAGTTCAGTGGCATCATCTCGGCTCACTGCAACCTCCGCCTCCTGGGTTTAAGCAATTCTCCTGCCTCAGCCTCCCGAGTAGCTGGGACTACAGGCGCACACCACCATGACCGGCTAATTTTTTTTGGTTTTTGTATTTTAGTAGAGATGGGGTTACACCATTTTGCCCAGGCCTCTCTTAAACTCCTGAGCTCACACATTCCACCCACCTCGGCCCCTCAAAGTGCTAGAATTACAGGCATGAGCCACCATGCCCGGCCTTTATTTATGTTTTCTTACTGCTTATAGGTAGCATGATTGGCTAAGTCAAGGTTAATAGGAGGCTTAATTTCTTAAGAGATACCTTTATTTTCACTTTTACTAAAATTTGTACTTTTTTTTTTTTTTTTTTTTTTTTTTTGAGACAGAGTTTTGCTCTTGTTGCCCAGGCTGGCAAGCAATGGCAGGATCTTGGCTCACTGCAACCTCCGCCTCCCAGGTTCAAGCGATTTTCCTGCCTCAGCCTCCTGAGTAACTGGGAATTACAAATGCCCGCCACCACGTCTGGCTAATTTTGTATTTTTAGTAGAGACAGGGTTTCTCCATATTGGTCAGGCTGGTCTCAAACTCCCGACCTCAGGTGATCTGCCTGCCTTGGCCTCCCAAAGTGCTGGGATTACAGGCGTGAGCCACCGCACCGGCTTAAAATTTGTACTTTTTTATTGACCATTCCTTTCTTAAAAAACAAAATAGAATGATCAAGTGATAAAATGACTCAGCGCCACTGATAAATGTTAACCAGACAGGTAACTGTTTGCTTTATTATTAAAAACACTTTCTTTCCAGTAAGTCAACAATGTTAGAGTAGTTCCATTTGGAACAGTCATAGGCTTAGAGTGATATGTAATCTGGTTTTCTTCTACAATATTACACATCAAGATTTAAAACATAATGAAAAAGTCTAGTGAAAACAAAGAAAGATCAACATAGCCACAGACTGCAGATATTCTTTTGACTTAGGATCATGAATTTATTTCAATAAATATCATCACTGAGAAATAAGTAGATAAAACTACAAAGAACTGAAACCCTTTGGGGCAGCCAAAATTATTTGAGTCTCTTAAGAACAATGTTGCCTAACACTATTTCTTTTACGCTAGTGGAAAGTGACAGCTTCTTCTCATTCCCTAGGGCCCATTTCAAATTCTGTGTTTGTAGATCTAACTCCTAAAGCCTAAATCATCCTTGATTCAGAAGTCAAGAGTGTGGGTGAAAACGATCAGTTTTTCTGCTCAATCCAGTTTCAGTCAAAAATGTAGATAATGAATTTATCAGGATTGATTTTGTTATTCCCAGATCATAATATTCACTTTTCATTGAGCCAGTGAGGTGGTTTATATGCGGGTTTAGGTAAAAACAAAGCCCTTTTAATTATTTGGATTTCTTAGTTGACCATTATCAAGTGGCCAGAATAAAAAGGATTAACTTAATTCAGTCAGCTAAATCTTTTTGGATATAGGCTAAAATCACCTAGTGACATAAGACTGTCTATTAAGATATTCCAAACAAAGAAATTAAACTTTATCTTTTCTTCTAAATGCTTGGTTTCATGCACCCTATAGCTTCTCTTCTATAACTGAGGAATTGTTTTTGTATCTTTCACTAGAACTCTCCTATCATTTTTTTTCTTATAAGAAAACGGGTTTTCTAGGTGATACTAAAAACTGTCGTTTACAATCCTCTAACATGTAGTTTCCTTAGTAGTGTGTAGGGGAAGGGAGAGAAGGATGATGAGTTTTGACCTGTGAATGGAAACAATGCATATCCCTATAGGGCAAAACTTTAATTACCAGTGCTCCTAAAGATATGTTAATCCATTCAAACACTAGCTACTTGGAAGGCTGAGACAGGAGAATTGCTTGAACCCGGGAGGCAGAGGTTGCAGTGAGTGGAGACTGCGCCACTGCACTTCAGCCTGGGCATCGGAGCGAGACTCCATCTCAAAAAAAAAAAAAAAAAAAAAAGAAGATAATAATAAGGAGTTAAGCCTTCAAGTGAAACAGATCTTGGGAAAGTTAATGAATTTTTCAAAGGCTCCTTCTTAGGTCTGTTAAATGGGTATAATAATATCTATTACAAATAATGGCCATGTAACTTTGAATAAAATTATACGTATAAAACCATATAGATGCATATAATATCATTTAGTTGTGTGCCTAGTGATAAGTAGTGGTGGAACAATTGTCAACTACTATCAGCTCATGACAGGAATTATAAAAATAACACAGGAGTGTTAGGGGGGATAGATTTGTATCAGAGTCTAATAGGTTTTTAGTTGATAATAAGTTGAGAGCAAAGATAATGGTTTATAAAATGTTGGTTGCTTTAGAGCAACTACTATGTCTCGTACAAAGTAGGTATTTGATAAATGCTTCTTGAGTGACTGAACCTTCACAAACATAAATAAAATGCAATGCGCATTTTGCTTTTTTTGTTTGCTTGTTTGTTTTACAAGTTGTTGTGTGATGTCGGTATTTACACCTTGAATCTACCAATTTCCTTAAAGTTTGATGTGGGTGCAGCTATGAGAGAAGGGATTGATTGTTTCCTTTGGAATGCTGTTTTTATGTGGCGGCTGTGTACTAGTCAGCATAAAATATTTTTCCATAGTAGAAGGTAGTCAGCTACAACCTACACTTTGGGGCTTCTAAATTTATTCTCAATTGGCAAAAGACATATTTTCATTTTTCAACAAGACTTAAAATGCTCAAACAGTTGCAAACAACTCTTGGAAAGAACATTTTAATGAGTCAAATGTAAATATATGTAAATAAATTATACCCACACAAATTAACTTTCCATAAAAGCACTTATAATTAAGAGAAAATGTGTCTGACAGTAGAAATTTGGGTTTTTCTTAGCTTTAGCTAGCCAAGAAAAACAAATTATGTCCAAGATTATCCTGAATCTATTATGTCAAAATGTGGAAATATCACTAATTTCCTTGGGTTTCCACTGGCAGCGTAGCTCCCAAAATTTAAGACAAATTCTACCTGCAGCGGGAATCCATTAGTATCCAATCCACGTTTTATATATTCTTCCCAAAATTAGTGCAGCAGCTAATGACAGAATAGTCTCATTTAAGAAAGGTAAACCTAAGAGGCAGAATCAGAAAGTGTATGTATAAGCCTAATCCTCTCTCCTCCAGAGTACTACTATCTATATATCCCTCACATGTGTAAGTACTCCAGACCTAGGTAAATCCATCCTTAATGTCTGTTCATCCATCCAACATCTGTCTGTTCTGAATTTCTATCTTAATATGGACATCAACTTTTTTAAAAAATATGAACCTTTAACACAGTCATCTTTCCTGTAGATTTCTTCTCAACACCCGTTTTGCCTTCTCCTTCCTCACAAAGTGACTTCCTAAGAACTCCTTCCTATTTCTTTTGTTAAAACTCAGATTACATCAAGAAATTTCCTATAAATAGCAGTTTCTCACAGTAGTTAATGTTTTTTACACACTCGTTAACAAAGTGACTAAGGAGAAACAAACCTAAGGCTACTTTTTAATACCGAATTCCGAGTCCCAGCAGCATCAAGAAGTCCATAACAGTTTCAAAGAAGAAAGAATGACATTGAGGAGACAATCCCTCTATTTGCTGGATAACCCTGTGGCTTTCCCTCTCCCCTATGTACTCTAGAAGCACTCTAGCTCTGTAAAATCTAACCTAGGCAACTGTTGTGTGAGTTCTCAAAGCTCAAAGCTAGCTTTTTTTTCTGAGCAGAAAGCTCCTTTTATTACAGTATAGGCCAGATTCTCTTCGGTCCTCCCCTAGATTCTCCATAGGAGCATAACTCAGGATGTAATAGGGTCTGTCTTCTGTGGCACTTTCCACTTGGTATCTATTTGTGCTCCAGCTAAACACATTTCTTCATAGGATAATGGAAGCGTAGGGGTCCTGCTGAGTTTTGCTTTTGTATTCCTTGATAAATCATGCTTCACATTTTGGTGGTGTCTGTCCCTATTCTCTAGCTTTACATTTTTTTTTTTCCGTAAAGATCACCTAGAGCAATAACACTTCTAATGGAAGATCTCTGTCTACAGCATCTTCAGCAGATTTTAAAAATACCTTCAATGACCCTCCCTTGTTTACGTATTCATTGTCACTCATTACAAACAAATTAAGCCCTGTTCTAGGATACAGCAATTAATAATACAGACACTATCCGATAGCATTAAAAATACTCTAATCTGAAAGGACTGTACATTTTTTAGTGTCATTTCCCACTAGTGAAAAGAGACTAACATATATAAGCATCTGTTATAAACCAGGCACCATGCATTTTAATTATCATAGTTCTTACAATCTTCCCAGTAATACTGTGTAGCAAACATACATAAAGATATCAAGTTTTTACCCTAATATTATTATCCTTCTTACAGATTGATTCTCAATATCTGTTGCTTTGTTTTCTCAAATCCTTATTGCCTTAAGGAGAAAAAAAAAAGACCCTGAGATTTTAAAGGTGTGCCTGCTTCCATTCCCTGCATGCTTTCTGGCTCAGAATAAGTGTTTAGTAAACATTTTAAAATAAGTAGATGAATAAATAAATGAAGTAAAATAAAAACGGTACAATTGTTTTGCTATTTTGAAACTGCCTTTGATCTGAGACCTTCGAAAAATTCTGCATTGTTTCCTATACAGAAAGGAATGACAGTAAACGTATGGTCTTCAACAATTTCTGAGAAATACATTTAATGATCATTTTTCTCTAGCTTTTCAGTGATCTCAGAAGTTGTTCTCAGGCCGGGCGCGGTGGCTCACGCCTGTAATCCCAGCACTTTGGGAGGCCGAGGCGGGCGGATCACGAGGTCAGGAGATCGAGACCATCCCGGCTAAAACGGTGAAACCCTGTCTCTACTAAAAATACAAAAAATTAGCCAGGCGTAGTGGCGGGCGCCTGTAGTCCCAGCTACTTGGGAGGCTGAGGCAGGAGAATGGCGTGAACCCGGGAGGCGGAGCTTGCAGTGAGCCGAGATCCCGCCACTGCACTCCAGCCTGGGCGACAGAGCGAGACTCCGTCTCAAAAAAAAAAAAAAAAAAAAAAAAGTTGTTCTCAAATTACCCTGTGTTTCCATCTTCTGCCTTTAATAAATAGATTGCCAACTACCACAAAATATTAGCTTTAAAGTGGATAAAATGCTACTTGACTCATAGGTTGGCTGAACTGCAGAAGTGTGAAGGCAATGTAAGGCCACTGATGAATTTTATTTACTGACTTAAGGAAAAAAAATCCATCACTTAATTTATAAAGCCTGACCTAGATGAAATCCCCAAGAGCCAGACTCTTACTTGAGAATGCACATCAGTGTCTTCAAATTCGATTAGTGTGATTTTCTAAGACATAACCACAGCCCCCAGCAAAGTGTCCAGCCACTGGAAATACAATCAATCATGCTGGGCATCATAAGCTTAATGCAAACCCCCTAGTGGATCATAGAGAGACATGAGGAAAACAACCAAAAAAAGATAAGTAAGGCCTTGCTAAGCAAGCATAATTCACACTCACAATTCAAAATTTATCTTCTCCCACTCAGTGGAAGATTTCATGCTGACAATAAATAGTGGAGATTTGACACCTGAGCAAATCTCCTTTGGAGACATTCTTTGACAAGGTAAGAGGCTAAACAAAAGAAAAAATATCTAAGAGATATCTTCTCATCTTGGCATTTAAATAATAGAGTTGTAAAGCATCTTCAAGAGCATTCTCTTATATATAAGCAAATTAAGCAAGTGAGTGATTTATTTGAAGTTAGAAAACTCAGTGTGAGAAGGACTGGAACCCAAACTGAAGCCTTCGGACTCACAGTTAAGAGCTTTGGCCACCCTACCATGAAAGATCCTAAAATATACAAAACTCCCTACTAGTTTGGGGTGAGGACAATGAGAAAGAGGAATAAATTTCCTGCTTGTTGATAAGTTTATTCCTAAAATGATGCTCTCTTACATGTAGAAAGATACTTACAGATAATCTACCCCACACCTCTGATAGTTTGTAGATGAAGAGACTAAGTTCACATGGATAAAAATATTTATTTAAGGTTACACAATTAGCCACAAAGTCTGGTCTAAAATTAAATTGGTTTAACCCTTAGCTCATTTTTCCCATGCTTCACCATGGTAAGTCATATGGTAGGACCAGGGGAAGGGTGCAAGTGTGGTCTTGGCTCAGGGAAGATCTGAGACGTGGATGTATCTGCTGAGTGATGCTAAGCAGCACTGCTCAAGCCACATTTACAACACGACTTACAGGAAGGCTGAGGAATCTCCTGGATAAATAATGCAGTCACATCCATAGCTGGACCGCGATATCACAGCAATGTCTGACAGAAGGGATGGACACCCAAAGAAACTAAATTGCCAGGGGAGATTGAAGAATTCCTCCTCCATCCAAACCCCAATCATTTTCCCTGTGTGAGGGAACTATCAGGTGCAATGAGCCAAACTGAGCAACAGGGATTAGAGGTTGAGGGAGAAGCAGGTCAGGGGTGAGCAGTGGCTCACACTCACTTGGCAGAATGTGTGTCATGCCCTAGGGATTCCCCAAATCGCTTAAAAGAACACAACACTCTGAAATGGGGACTGAACTCCTATTATCACACAAACAGGGGCTAATAACAAATAAGATTCAAGTAATATGGTTAATGTAACCTTGCTGTCACCCACACACTAGAAATCCTTGAGCAGCTGTAGTTCTTTTAAAATGTGTGTGTGTGTCTGTGTATATATACACATACATATATATACACACACTCATATATATGTATATAGGTGTATGTACATATATGTGTGTGTGTGTATATATATATACATATGTATGTGTATATATACATACATATGTGTGTGTATATATATATATATGTGGACATGCTTAATAAAGAGTAGTCAATAGCCCTGGAGACTCAGTGTCATGGAACTATAGAGAGTGGGCAGCATTGGGAGCTGAGCTGATCAGGAGTGGCTACAATTACCAGAATGACCATCTTAGAGAAAAAGTGGTAAAATTGAAGAGCAAGGCTGAAGAATGAACTCCATAAGCAATAGCATCTCTTTTGAATTCTTGTTCATATCAGTGAGTCCTGATTTTTAATTCAGAATAGAAAATTATCCTGTATCTACTGAGTTTCCATATATAGAATTTCTTCTTAAAGAATACTATGGCATACAATTTTAAAATAAATTTAAATATCAGGACACTTTCTGAGACAATTAGAGAATACCTGGGGATAAACACTAGGCCTGACAATTACATGAGATATATGAGTTAAATACTACTTTGTGAGTTATTTATTTCCAGTAAGTCTGTAAAACAGTATCTCTAAGTTTATAGCTAACTCTCTATACAGTGGTAGATAATAGCTTTTTAACTGGAGAAAATATGAGAGATCATCCCTTTGTTTTTAATCTGGAATGGATACCAGAGACAACATGAAACCATAGAAACATCTATATACCACCTCATTCTTGATTTATACTCCACTGATGACCTCAAGTTGAGCACCTTTTATAGAATCCAGTATCCTCCCAACACACCAGCCACAGCAAATAATTAACCAGACACAGCTTAAATACTTTCAGTGTACACCAGTTCCATTTTGGCACAGCTCTAATTATTTGAGAATTTCTCCATATGCGAATTCACGTTCCATTTCCCTGTATTTTCTAGCCACTTATTTTGACATAAGAGAACAGAAAAATTATATGGCCTGCACTGTAACTTGGCTGGCTTTTTAAACTTACCTATGAGGAAACTACAATTTGCACAAGTAATTTGACTCATGGCAGAACTGAAATTAAAACTCAAGCTTTCAAGCCTTAGACCAGTGCTCTATCCACTATGGTAGGCTGAATCCAAAAGTTCTTCTCACTATTGAAATGCTATGAGCTTTTTCTGTACCCCAAGGCTGTGGTTGTCTATCCTATCCAACTCAATACCCTTTTATATAAGATACATCTTATCTCTACTCTGTTAAAATGAAATTCATGGATAATGCAACCTACCTACACACATAACTGTAAAGAGCAATATAAGTATAACAAAGTAATATATTTTAAAATATGTTGTTTTTCAGTATCAATGTTTGGGCAAAACTACACCAGATTGGAAGGATGCCTGCACATATGTGCAGAATCAGTGTAAATAAATGGCTACAGGTGCAGGCTGACTCAGGTGTGTTGTCATATCATGAGCAGCATTGTGGAGAGTGATGTGCATTTGGAAAATGATGAATAGCCCCAGGTAAAAATGAAATAAAGTGTATTTTCAATACAATTTTCACAATAGTAGCATTCCTGGAAAATTCACTTATGTTTGAACTGTGTGAAATTATTTTGCATTTATAAAATAAAATGGAGTTTATTTCTTAGTTCAAAAATTATAAACAGATATTTCATGTACATTGATGTCCTGTGAAACATTTAGAGTTCTGAAGAAAAGGAACACAATTTGTTGTTTATGACTCAAGCATTAAAGCCATTGGGCATTCCTAGTGTCACCCACTGCCAGTAATGCCACCTCCAATTATCAGAACAATGAATATCACCCTAATAGATATCCAGATATCTCAAGGGAGGGGAACCACCCTTATAGAAAACCAGAGCCCAGGCAATAAGTATAAGAATCACATGAGATCTCCTGATATTGATTTCTACAGAAACATATCAATACTCAAATAGAACTTAAATATGAACAAATCTCTCTTTTTATATATGAAGAAAATTTAATGTGGACCTCTGCAGCCAAAGATAACAAAGCAGGGAGGTAGAACTCAAGCCTCCTGACTCCTAAACCAATCTTCAGAAGCCTCAATCCTCATCCTCAGTAGTGATGCATTGAAATCAGTTTGGAGGTATGTGGCAAGTGTTTTTTGCTTGTTTGTTTTTGTCAAATAAATTTAAACTATTGCTGTTTGACATAGATGTCTGACTTTTATAAATAAGTAAATTACTATATAATACTTATTTATAAGGTGGGAATTTAACATTACTAATGTAACTATAGCCTTATTTGCCTTCTATGCTAGCAAAACTATTATTAACGGTGCCCAATTTATCTCTCAAAATGTTCCAATTTTCATAATAAATTACTATCATGGTTACCTTATTCCCATATCTTATGTTTGGTCTAACACTTATTGAATGGTTTTGACTGATAGACTAATACTTCTGATTACAAATCATTCTGATAAATGTGCATTGTCTTCCCCTTAATCTGCTTTATTCCCTCAATTTTCCCCCTTAAAATTTGCTCATATTCTTCAAACTATAAGTTGCATTAAAATGATTGATAATCCCTATATGTTAGAGAATGTTTTTCTTTGAGCTAATGTATATTACACATTAGAATAAATACAGTAGAATTTATTTTAGAAAATATAAGGACAACGAGCCTGGATTACTCATTCTGTCTCTGGTTCAGTCTGTTTCTTCATGATTAGCTAAAATGAAGGGTCATTGGTCATACTCTCATTGCAAGGGGAAAAAATATGCTGAGATGCAGAGGGTGGTGGTAAGGGAACTCTGTCGTTGAAGTGTAACAAAGATAAACACCCATGGGAAGTAGAAAAGGAAGAATTAGAATCAGCCATCATGGTGCATTACAAATGATCATTTATTATGGAGATGAAGATAAATTGTCCTCAGTAAAATTAAATGGTGAGAATATTATATTACTGTTTCCAAGTTCAGCTTTCAAACCATGTCAGTTTTCTAAGTCCTAGGTTTACTAAATTGGAGGAGGCAAAAACTATTTCTAACACACCATGCCACCTGTCTCTTTATTTGACAAAAATATTTGCTAAAAATGACTTTAGGAGGCTAAATACATGTGGAATACATATATTAGTATTCAATTGCTGCTATAACAAATTGCCAAAAGTTTAGCAGCTTTAACCAATACAAATTCATTATCTTACTATTCTAGATATCTGAAGTCAGATACAGGTCTCACTGGATTGAGATCAAAGTATTGGCAAGGCTGCATTTTTTTTTTCCTGCAGATTCTAGAGGACATTCAATTTTCTTGCTTTTTCTAGATTTTAAATATCACACACCTTCCTTGGTTCATGGTCCCTTTCCTCTCTCTTTAAAGCTTATGATAGTGGCTTGAATTCTCCTCTCACATTGTATTTCTCTGAATTCAGAGGTAGTCACATTTCACTCTAACCAGAGCTAGGATATATTCTCTGCTTTTGAGGGTTCATGTGATTAGAGTGGGCCCACCCAGCTAACCCAGCATAATATCCTTATCTCAAGTTACTAAACCTTAGTTACATCTACAAAGTACCTTTTCCCTTATAGGGTAATATATTCATAGGTTCTGGGGATTAGGATGTGGACATCTTTGTGCAGCCATTATTCTGCCCATCATAGTATTAAACTGAAAAACAAGTCAAATAAACTAGATACAAGTGCTGTCTTCAATGACACACAAAAAAACAGCAATTATGTTATATAAATGACTACTCCTTCACTGAAGATGCTTATATCCTATATCTGTTCATATTCAGTTTTTATTACCTCTTCCTGATATCTTAAGTGTTCCCTGTATCCTCCACAGCCTTTATACCTTCAGAGCTGGTTAAATTCTTTTGCATAGGCATTCATAGTTTAAGTTGCTTCAAAATTCTGGTAGAAACTGTCCATTTGGAAATATGGGGCAGGATATATTTTCATGTTTCATATTCATGGGCATTAATTTTAGGAATGCAATTACAATGGATGTTCCTCAGAATTGTTGAGAGCATGGAGAATTGGAAAAACATGTAGTATAGAATAAAATTCTTATCAGTTTGAGTCATAGCTCTACTACTTAACAACTTTGCAATGCTACTTAAGTTCCTTTAATCTTAGTTTCCTCATTTGTGTAAAATATGTACTAGATGGTTGTTAAAAAGATTAAATAAAAAGGAAGTATTTAAAAGTGATACATAAATCAATGGGAAATATTCTTTTAAAATACTGTTACATGTTTTACTGCCAGAGTATATGTATTCTGTCAAACTGTGAAACACTTAAGTTTGACTTTAGAGTAAAGTGCTGCAGGGTTTACATGGCATACTGATTGTGTTCAACATGTCATAAGATATATTACTGATTTAAAATAGGGAATGTATTTCTTCTTAAATATCAAATTTATTTAAAGTATACATATTCGTGACTTAAAAAAATAAGAAACTTAATGGGTCTTCACAATTTTTCACATCCATTCCTTTCCACTAGTGCCAATAGCTACTTCACTACAGGCTTTGTATTACTTTCACCTGGAATATTGAAATAGTTTTCTAAACTTTATCCACCTCAAATTCATTTTAAAAAACAGTGTTGTTGCCATGCCTTCATTGTGTTTAGCCCCAGGATCACTGTGTCCCGGCTGTTGGCCGATAGACATATTTTTCTGAGTGTAAAATAACTTTATCAATGTAAATAGTTAAATTAAACTGAAGTATAAAATGAAAACTGAAGTAAACACTTTTCTCAACAAAAAAGAGATTTCATAACATTTTCTCATTTGATAATATGTTTTACAGAACCATAGAATGTTGGAAATGTAAAGAACCTTAGAAATTATCCAATGCAAATTTATTCTGAATATGTAAAAAATAAGGCCAAGGAAGATTAAGCAATTTACTTGACTGAAGTCACACACTAGAGTAATTGATGGCAGAGTTGGAATTAAAACCAAGGCAGACTTAGCCTTAGTAAGGGTTCCTAAGCTCTACGTACTTTTTGGTTTGGAGAAAATCAATGTACCTGTACTTATAACTAGCTGTGTTGGGTCATAGTTCAACTTTAAATATTTACTACAAGGCTCTAAAATTAAGTTGGCAACCTGAAAAAAAGAAAGGTAGCATTGTATGTGTGTGTATATTCAGTGTTACCATTATTTTTGCATTAAATGAAATATCAGAGCCACACTAAAATATCCACATCTGTCTCCAATTGAATGGTGACTCATTCTAGATCATTTTTCAATTCCCCTCAGTAGAGAACACTGAAATTGAAGTTTATTGAAATTGTGATGGTTGGTCATTTCTAATCTGTGTGTGGAAGACCAAAACAATGCTAAACTAATATGTTAGCACAAACAATTAGAAAGAAATTAATTCTAACAAATGGTTATTGATTCTGATGGAAGCAAGCATTGGGACATCCAGTTCAATTTATTCCTGTTTTGTTTTTATTATTATGCCATTCCACTTCTCTATCTAATGATGATTCAAGTTTCCATCTTGGTTTTTACTGATGTATGAATATAATGCATAGATGTAAGAAAAACATGATCAAACCCAATAACTAATGGGTAAAAACATATGCAATGAGAGTGAGGAATTTCATTCAGTTGCTAGATGATTTTGCATTAAGCATTTGATGAATCTGAGAGTCTTAAAGTGTTATTACATTATTTATTCAGAGGTAAATTTGTGACAGTTGTTATGATCCCAAAATTTATTTTATCCTGAAGAAACAGAAGATAGTTTATCAGAAAAGACAAAGGAAGAAAAAGAGAAAGTAATATAAGGTTGATTCCAGTAAGAACAGGATTGAAAAAACACAAGAAATAGAAATTGAAGAAATAACTATTTGGAAAGTGGAAGACTGTTTAAAACCATATGGCCTTAAATCAGATCAGTAGACATGAATAAAAGTTAAATAAAACACAGAAAAAGAAAGTCCAAATTTAAAAGTCTAAAAAAAGTAAGAAATAAACTCCTAGGAATAATACTAAAGTACCAGGAATGGAAACATAATTATTATTCAAAACAGAATTCACTTTGTCTACAATTAATAACTGATAGATTACATTCTAATTTTGGTAATATTAAAGAGAAAAAAATCTCTTTGTTGTGCTTAGTCTCAGCCTTCCAACATGATTGTGAATACTCTCTTGTGCCTAAGATTAAAAAATAATGGCCAAAACTAATGAAGTCGTAGATTATTTATTGTGTGTTATTTCTTTTTTAACATATATATCAACTCTCTTGGTACATAATGAACCAAATATCTTTAATACTTTTGCTAATTTGAATTAAAACAATTTGCTATTTCTTACTCTACCTTCTCATACAACATTCTCTAGCATTATAAATCATTTATTCAGCAGCCCAAATTCTGTATTAATTTCTAAATTTTAAGTCTACTTTTATCATCTCTCTATAATTTATTAATATTAATAGAATAAGACTGTCTCCAAAATTACATTAGAAATGTCCTTTCTTTGACCAACTTTTACATAGATTTCCCCAGACGATGAATACAGATGGAATTATTCAATAAAAGAAAACCTGATTTCACAAGTTCTTGCCCACACGAAAACTCCAGTTTTCCCTACAGTGTTCCTTCCCACCAAAAACGAAAGCTCAAACTGGCATACAAGCTACACCTATTGCATAATGACTGTCAAGTTCTTCAGTGTTCTTTAACCCTTCCATCAATCCTTTTAACCTTAGTTACCGACAAATGCCAGATTTAACATATTTATAAAGAGACTAATATCTCCCGATAATGGTTTTCATTTCTTTATATAATTACTTAATGTATTTTTAATTATTGTAAGTACTCTTCACCATTTCACTGACTTCAAATGCAACTAAAACCAAGGAGACCATTCACAGAACACTTAGGTTATGATTCTGAAAAGTAAATGGTACCAAGTAGATTGGGAAAGAAAACCAGAATTCAAAGGACCACTAAACTAGAAGAGAAGGATTTGTTTTGTTTTGTTTTCCTCTATTATCTCCCAACCTGAACGTAAAGGCAACACAAAAGCTGGAAATACCCACCAGGTGAAAACAAAAAGTTCCAGGAGAAGCCCTATATTTATTGTCCTAAGACGTGAAAAAAAAATTGAAGAGTCAAAAAAAGTGGAAGAAACCTGGATTTTTGTGTTTGCTTCTTTCTTTCTCTCCCTGCCCTGAGTTAGTGGTGGCAGTAATAATAATGGTTTCTGGGTAGACACAAAAAAAACTACAAAGACAGGAAATCCATCTCTTAGACCAGTTGAACTATAGTCCCAAGAGCATGTAAAAAAAAATTCCCCATTTTTTTCCCTATATTTTGTCCTCATAGCCCTAGGTAAAGACTCAGACTCAAGAATTATGTGACAAAGTAGGTAAACTAAGGCCCTGACTTTTCAGCTAGGAGTCCAGGAAAAGGAGTATCTGATAATCAGAAGATTTTAGTGATTTTGGGCAGACTAGAACCTCAAGAAATTAACACTTTAAATTTATATATCGATTCCTGGGCCCAGCCTTGAGCTGTGAAAGGGTGGATCTGAACCTGAGTAGCACACCAAAGGTTTCTGGAAACTTAACTATAAGATAAAGCACTTCCAAAATCCAAGACTAGCCACCAAATACTACATATTTGGGATAGATCCAAATACCACTGAAAAGATTTTGGAAAACTAAAGCGACATTGTACCCACAGTTTACAAAAGAAGGGTAAGAATGTGCAACCTGAACTTAACCAGGTCAACTGCATGCTAAAGTAAAAACAAAACAAAAAAAATATGTATTCTCCATATAATTTAAATAAGACCTAGATTCACATGACAAAATTCAAAGTGTACAGAACATAGTAGAAAATTATTCAATATACAAAGAATAAAAAAATTTCAATGTCTCTCAAAGGAAAAGAAAATCAGCACATACCAACACTGAGAAGACACAGATGTTGGTAGTATAGACAATAATTGCAAAGCAGCTATTATAAAGATGTTCCAGTACAAAGGATAATCACTGTGGGAATGAATGGAAAGATAGAAATCCCATCATAGAAACAAAATAATATAGTACAGAACCAAAAAACATTTAGAACTGAAACATCAGATAACCAAAAGTAAATATCACTCAGCTCAACAGAAGACTGGAGATGACAACAAAAACATCAGTGAACTTGAAGACAGATCAATAAAAATTAACCACTATGAACAAAAAAAGGAAAAAAAAAGATTTCTGAATTTGTGGGAAAATATTAATAGGTCTAACAGTCATGAACATGGTGCAAGGAAATTTAAAAAATAATGTGTTAAGACTTCTCAAATTTGACTAAAGTCATAAACTTATAGATTCAATAAACTCAATAAACATCAAATAAGATAAACTCAAAGAAATTCACACCAGGAACATTAGAATCAAATGATGAAAAATAAGGATGAGGAAAAAAAAATCCCAAATGTGTATATACCTAAAAACAGAGCTCCAAAATACATGAAGCAAAAATGAAAAGATTCAAAGGAGGAGGGGGAAATTCTTTAACTAGAGGTATCATCATTTGCCTCTCAGAAATCAATACAACAAATAAAAAGGATATAGAGGAATTGAAAAACACCAGTGACCAACTCTGTCTAATGGACATTTAAGCAATACTCTAGCCAGTAATAGCAGAATACAAATTATTTTCAAAAGCACAAGAAACATACAGCCAGCCGTGGTGGCTCATGTCTGTAATCTCAGCACTTTGGGAGACTGAGGCAGGTGAATCACCTGAGGTCAGGAGTTTGAGACCAGCCTGGCCAACATGGTGAAACTCCATCTCTCCTAAAAGTGTAAATATTATCCAGGTGTGGTGGTATGCACCTGTAGTCCCAGCTACTTGTGAGGCTGAGGCAGGAGAATCTCTTGAGCCTGGGAAGCGGAGGTTGTGGTGAGCCAAGATGGCGCCACTCTGCTCCAGCCTGGGCAACAAAGCGAGACTCCATCTCAAAAAAAAGAAAAAGAGAAAAAAAATTCACTACACAGACAAAATATCCTGGGTCATAATGTCTCAACATATTTTTTTAAATTAAAATATTTAAAAATATATTTCTTGAGCATAATAAAATTAAACTAGAAATCAGTAATAAAACTGGGAATACCAAAATTCTTGGAAATTTACATACTTCTAAATTACCCATAAGTTAAAGAGGACACTACAAGGAAAACTAGAAAATATTTTAACTGAATAAAATTGAAAATAAAACATATCAAAATTTTAGGGATGCAACTTAAATCAGTGCTCAAAGAAAAACTTAGAGCAGTAAATGTTTATATTAGAAAAGAAGGAAGATCCAGATTAAATTACGTAAGAAATGATTTTGAGAATTTTTTTAAAAAGAGTAAAAATCAAGTAGAAGGAAAGAAATGATAAAGAGCAGAACATGATGAAATTTAAAATAGCAAAATAAAAGGAAGAATCAATGAAATCAAAAGATTTTTAAGGAAAATATCAATAACATTAATAATCCTCTAGCTATAAGGAGAAAAAAATAGAGAGAAGGTTCAAATTACTAATATCAGAAATAAAAGAGGTATTAGCACTACAAAGCCCACAGACATGGAAAACATAACAAGATGTTATTGTAATCAATCTCATATAATATAACTCTAACATCTTAGATGAAATGAACCAATTCTTTGAATGCTACAAACTACCAAGGCTCATCAAAGAGGAAATAGATAATCTGAATTGTCTTACATCTACCAAAGATATCGAAATCCTAGTTAAATGCATCCAAAGGGAAAAAAATACCCCAAACCCAGATGCTTTTACTGGGAAATTCTATAAAATTTTAAAGAAGAAATATACTAATTATATATACTTGCTTCCAGAAAATAAACAAGAAAGGAATATTTCCCAACTTATTTTATGAGACCATTTTATGAGACATAGACATACTCTGATATATAAACCAGTCAAAGAGAATAATTTTTTAAAAAATAAAAGGAAAGAACATTACAGACCAATATTGCTCATGAACACGGAGGCAAAATTCCTCAATAAAATCTTAGCATAAAAAATAATAAGCCTCAATCAAATGGGAATTATCTAAAATGCAAAGCTGGTTCAATAGTTGAAAACCAGCAATATAATCCATATATTAACAGAATAAGGAATAAAACACACATGATCATATCAACTGACAAAAGAAAAATAATTTCACAATATTCAACATCTATTCATGATTTTAAAAACAAAAAGCAATTCTCAGCAAATTAAGAATTCAGAAAAACTTTCTAAATTCGAGGAAGGGAATCTGTAAAGACACGACAGCTACCATCACACTTAGTGGTGAAAGACTGAATGTTTTCACATGAGGATGGGACAAAGAGACAGATGTTCATTTATACCATGTTTATTTAATACCATAAAAGTCCTAACTAGTGCAGTAAAGCCAAACACTAATAAGAATAACAAATGTAAATTTTAAAATAAAATTTTTACAAATTGAAAAAATAAGCATAAATGTATATTCTCAGATGTTATAATCATCTACCTAGAAAATTGCAAAGAATTTATAAGAAAATTTCCTGAAACTAATAAAACAGTTTAACAGTCACAAGACACAAGATCAACATAAAAAATTTATGTTATTATTAGAAATGAACAATTTGGAAACTGAAATAAATATTATAAAATATATGCATGCTTGATATGCTAAAAACTTTATGATAACACAAATCTAAGAACACCCAAATAGATAAAAGGGCATATCATTCCCTTGGGTTGAAAGATATTAGGTTGTTGCAAAAGTAACTGTGGTTTTGTCATTGAAAGTAATGGCAAAAATTGTGATTACTTTTGCACCAACCTAATACAATAAGTAGAATAAAGAGTCTATTAACAGGCCCCAACAAATAAGTCAAATTGATTTCTGACAAATGGGCAAAAGCAATTAAATGGGATATTGGTTGTATTTTCAACAAATGTTGGGGAAAGTGAGCATTCTTGTACCAAAAAAAAAAGAAGAAAACAAGCCGCAATAATCTTTCATCTAAACCTCACATCTTATATAAAGATTAACTGGAAATGGATCATAGAGTTATTTATGAAATGTAAAGCTATAAAACATATAGAGGAAAACAAAAGACTAAATGTCTTCTGATGAAATGTAAACTGATCACATCAACTCCAAAATTTTTGTATTGCAAAAGACACTGACAAGAGAATGAAAATGACATCTCTAGAATATATAATGAATTCCCAAAGCTCAATTGAAAAAAAAAATGCTTTTTTAAAATGAGGAGAAAGATTTGAACAATCACTTCATCAAAGAAACTATATGGTTAACAAATAAGCACATGAATATGTGCTCAACATCACTATCCATTAAAAAAGAAGAGCTGACAATACCAAATGCTGGAAAAGATATGGAGCAATGGGAAATATTATAGATTGCTAAAAAGAATGCAAAACGATAAAACTCTACCACAAAAGAGTTTGTCTTTTTCTTATAAAGTTTGTCTTTTTCTTATAAAGTCACTTACCCAATGACACAGGAATCACATTTCTAACAGAGAAAAACAAAACAAAACTTATATTCACACAAAAACGTGTTCATAAATGATCTTGGCAGCAGTACTCCTAAGTATTAATATCAAAAACTAAAAACAACCTAAATGTTCTTCAAAAGGTGAGCGAATAAACAAACTAAGGTACATCTATATAATGGAATAATATTCAGCAATAAAAAGAATGAACTATTAATAAATGCAACACTATGGACAAATCTTAAAGGCATTATGCTGAATTAACACAGTCTCAAAAGGTTATATAATTTATGATTCCAAGTATATAATGTTTTAGATGGGGCAAAACTATAGGAATGAAGAACAGATCCACAGTTTCCAAGGGTTAAGGGTAACAGTAGGTTTGACTACAAAGAATCTGCTGGAACTCTTCTACAGACTAATTGTAGTGACGGGTACATGAATCAATACATGTATTAAACTCAGAAATGTATACCAAAAAAAGCTGTTTCCTGTATGTAAATTTTAAAGACCAATAGCAACAATCATAAAAATGAAACAAAATGAGTCCATGTCTTAATTTTTTAAGGAAAACTCTTTACATGAAGTACTTTTGTTTCTTGAGTGAAATATGGAATTTTTAATAAGCATTTATCCTTTTATCCTTTTTTCATTTTTTAAATTAGTATTACCTCTATATACTGAATCCCTGTTGCCTACTGACTTTTAACAGGACAGTTTTATCCGTACCTAGTCTATTTTCCAGGAACAAGGTGAAGAAAAAAAAGGTTAAATCTAGGGTTTTTGGCAGTTTCAAATCCAGAATTTTGTCCTTGAACACTTTTCCCAAAAATGTAAGCAGCCCTCTTTTAGGATTTGGGTGGGACAATGAAACCATGCCAACTGCCCTGAGACAGTTAAAAGGGAATCTTCTCACCACCAAATCTTTTTGTGTCTTTAGATCTGTGCTCTTATTTTCCTTTCATTTTGTAACTACGGAATAAATGACATTTCTCTGGTAAAATAAAAATCCTTACATTTTTATTCTTTTTCCCATTTCCTCTTGGCTACCTAGGGAATAATGATAGAAGCTGGAGTTCAGAGTCTACTTGACATAGTGTAGTCAGAAAAGGTCTCTCAGAGGAAATTAAATTTGCTCTGTGACCTGAAAGTTGAGAAAAAGCCCTTCCTTTTCCTGGAAGCAATATGGATGGAGCTGTTTGAGCACAGTATGTATCAGTGGCAGATTCTAAGGTTAGTGGCAGTATACCTGGCAGAGATGCACTGGGCTAGACCATGTAGTTAGAGGCCATAGTAAAAGTTTAGATTTTATTCCAAGTTAAAGAAGAAGCAGGGAAAGAGGGATAAACAATAGAGTGGCATGATGTGATCAACATTTTAGAAGTACCTCACTCTAGTGTGAAGAGAATTGATTAGAGACAGGTAGAAACAAAAGAGTAAGACAATTATCTTTTAAAAAGGTAAGGACATTTAGGAGGCTACTACAGAAATTGAATGTGAAACAAGGTGCTTAAAATCAGGTGGAGTTAGTAAAAAGAGGGAAATGCAAGAAATGAGATACATATTTGAAGAGAGAAAGGGAATATTTTAAAATAAAATATACTGATTCATATTCAGACATAAGCTTGTTCCAAAATGAATCCAGCATCATTCCAGAGAGACCATCTCTCTGATTAATCTATTTCTGTTAAAAACACATTCTCTCTGTAACCCAGGCACAAAACCTCCAACATCTTTGCCTGCATATTTGTTGTCACCCTCCAGATCCAAGATCTGCCTAGCCCTGTACCAACATCCAATGCCTGGTACCAGTCCCACTGGCACTGTCAAAATTTATCCACATTAGCTCTAACTTCAGTCACTACAAACCCTTTCAAATTGGCATCTCTGCTTCCACACTGTCCTGGCTTCTATCCATCCTGCAAAACTCTGACAAATAAATATTTATAAATGAGTATATGGATTACTTTATTCCCAACTTCAAAAGAAATTATGGCTTTTGAATATTTGGTGACCTAGATAATAATAATGGCTAAAACATATAACTTACTTGGCACAATTTAAGTCACACTAGATTTATTAACTTGTTTAATGTTTCAAACAAGAAATAGAGTGTAATATCTGGTCAAATTACATAGCTAAAAAGTGGCAGAAAAGGCATTCAAACTCCACTAATTTAAACCAGAGCTGGTATTCTGAACCATAATATGTAAGACCCAACACAGGAAGTCTAGCTCATCTTTTCCAGGTTCACTTGTCATTTGTTTCCTATATGAAACCTATCCTCCTAGTTTTCTCTTTGCACTCTAAACCAGCTTTGCTTTCTTGCCTATTCAGCACTGCTCTTTAATCTTTAGATTTAGGGGAAACAAATACATTTTTCACCCATCAAAGCCTTTATCTGGAGAAGAGCCAGGATGGTCAACTAAACACAGCCAGGAATAGCTGATCCCACCAAGATACCAGACCATCAAGAAGACTGGCACATTCCAAGCAGATCTTTGGAAGGAAGGCATTGAGAGTGAATGGAAGGAGAAAACACATGCTGGGCTGAAGAAGGAGGAAGCTGGAAACCCTGCACAGGGTTGCTAAGCACCAGGACTCATTCCTGGCCCTGAATGCCTCCTAGGGAAGGAGCAAATTAAATAGGAATTGAGTGGCCCACTGTCACCACAGACTTCAAGAATCCTAGCTGCTGAAGACCCCATGACAACCATGGACATTTGAGCTGTCAGAGAGAGCTGCTTGGAGAGTTGGAAGGGACAAGACTCCAGCCTGTGCGAACCCCAGGGGGTTTAGCATGAAACAGCTGAAGGGGAATACTGCCAGGGATGGCCAACCCCTAAGGCTCACAACACTCCTCTAGGTAGCTTTGGCCTTTGTTGGCAGTTGTACCCAGGTAGAACAAAGCTATCTTGCCTGTGAGGTGGTACCAGTCCGATCTGAGCATCCCCCCTGTCTGCTGATTTCTCCCAAGGTTCCTGTCTGGCCACATCCACTTGCAGCACAGCTTCAGATACACAACCAAGGCACCACCCAACAGCCAACACCATAACTCCTTTGCTTGCAGACCCTTACTAACCATCAGAGCTTCTGCAGATGGTCCCTCACTGGCGTGCACCTGCCCTCAGCCTTTCCCCACCATTTTATGAGTGCACACACTCACTTGCAGCCCCCCTATTGTTTTACTCATGCACACATGTGTGCAACTCACCACACTGCTACCACCAGCACACGTGTGCACATGGAGCTCACTGGCATATGCACATGTGCAGACCCTGCCACCACTGGCATGCATACATAAGCGTAAACAACACTGCCACCACACTGACAAAGTGCATTTGCTGGCATGCCCAATTAGAGTGTTGTTGTTGGCACAGCTCCCTCCCACATCAGAGTGTTGTTTCCACGATCTGGGAATACCTCAACTTCTTCAGCTCACCAGGTGCTCAACCTTGAGGGGTCAGGGAACAAAGCTGTGGGCCTGGTTAGAGCATGCCACTCAAGAGTGCTGAGCTGAGCCTTGCCCCCCTGAAATCATCCAGAAATGAAGCAAGCCAACTGTACTCAAACTTATCCCATAGTCAAACCCTCAAGGACGTCAAATAATATATAAGCAAAAAGCTCCATCCAAAGAATAGCAAATTCTAAGATTAAAAGGACATCAGCCCACACAGACGAGAAGAACCAGTGCAAGAACGCTGGCAACGCAAAAACCAGAGTGTTTTCTTACCTTCTCATGACTCCACCAGCTCCCCAGCCATGGTTTTTAAAAAGGCAGAAGTGCTGGAATGACAGACAAAGAATTAAGAACAGGGAAAGCAACAAATTTATCGAGATTCAGGAGCAATTTGAAACCCAATTCAAGGAATCTAAGGAATCCAGTAAAATAACAGAAGAGCTGAAAGACAAAGTAGCCATTTTAAGAAAGAACCAAACTGATCTGATAGAGCTGAAAAACTCACTACTAGAACTTTTTCATACAATCAGAAGTATTAACAGTAGAATAGACCAAGCTGAGGAAAGATCTCACATCTTGAAGACTGGTTCCTTGAATCAATTCAGTCAGATAAAAATAAAGGAAAAAAAGAATAAAAAAGACTGAACAAAACCTCTGAGAAATATAGGATTATGTAAATGGAACAAATCTGTAACTCATTGGTGTCTCTGAAAAAGAGGAAGAGAAAGCAAGCCAGTTGGAAGTCATATTTAAGGATACTGTCCATGAAAATTTCCCCAACCTTGCTACATAAGTCAACAATCATATTCAGGAAATGTACAAAACCCCTGTAAGATACTATACAGGATGATGATCCCCAAGACACATAATCATCAGATTCTCCAAAGTCAACACGAAAAAAAAATATTAAAAGCAGCCAAAGGAAAGGGGCAGATCACACACAAAGGGAATTGAATAAAGCTACTGCAGAACTTTCAGCAGGAATCTTACAAGCCAGAAGAGATTGGGGACCTATATTCAGCATCTTTAAAGAAAATAAACTTCAACCAAGAATTTTATATCCAGCCAAACTAAGCTTCATAAGCAAAGAAGAAATAAAATTCTGTTTAAACAAGCAAATGCTAACAAAATTTATTATCACCATACCTGCCTTACAAGAGGTCCTTAAGACTATTACTGGCCACTACAAAAACACCCTTAACTACATAGACCATTGACATTATAAAGCAACTACATAGTCAAGTCTACATAACAACTAGTTAACAACATGATGACAGATCAAAACTGCACATATAAATATTAACCTTGAACATAAATAGGCTAAATTCCCTACTTAAAAAAATAGAATGGCAAGTTGGATAAAGAAGCAAGACTCAACTGTACGCTGTCTTCAGGATAACCATCTCACATGCAAGGATTCCAAGTAAAGGTATGGAAAAAAATCTATCAAGCAAACAGAAAACAAATAAGAACAGGGGTTGCAATTCCTATTTCAAAAAACAAACAAACAAAAAAAAACGCTTTAAACAAACAATGGTCCAAAAAAGAAAACCCCAAAACCAAAGAAGGGCATTGCATAATGATAAAAAGTTCAATTTAACAAGAAAATTTAAGTATGCTAAATATATATGAACCTAACACCAAAACACCTAAATTTATGAAACTAGTTCTGAGAGACCTATGAAGAGATTTTTTTTCTTTAATTTTTTTATTTTTTGAGACAGAGTCTTGCTCAGTCACCCAGGCTGGAGTGCGGTGGCACGATCTCAGCTCACTGCAAGCTCCACCTTCTGGGTTCGTGCCATTCTTCTGCCTCAGCCTCTCGAGTAGCTGGGACTACAGGCGCCCGCCACCATGCCCAGCTAATTTTTTTGTATTTTTTAGTAGAGACAGGGTTTCACCATGTTAGCCAGAATGGTCTCGATCTCCTGACCTCGTGATCCACCTGCCTTGGCCTCCCTAAGTGCTGTGATTACAGGCGTGAGGCATCATGCCCGGCCGAAGAGATTTAAATAAACATATAATAGTAGTGGGAGACTTCAACACCCTACTGACAGTGTTAGACAGATCGCCTAGGCAGAAAACTAACAAAGACATTTGGGACCTAAACTCAACACTTGTCCAAATAGACCTAACAGAAATCTACAGAGCACTATGCTGAACAACAATAGAATATGCCCTCTTCTCATCTGCACATGGCATATACTCTAAAATTGATCCCATGCTCAGCCATAAAGTAATTCTCAACAAATTCAAAAATCCTGACATCAACCACACTCTGGGACTACTGGGCAATCAAAATAGAAATCAATACAAAGAAGATCTCTCCAAACCATACAATTACATGGAAATTCAACAATCTGTTCCTGAATGACTTTTGGGTAAATAATAAAATTAAGGCAGAAATGAAGAAATTCTTTGAAATTCATGAAAAGAAAGATAAAACATACCAGAATCTCCAGGACACAGCTAAAGCAATTTTAAGAGGAAAGCTGAAAATGATAAATGCCCACATCAAAAAGTTAAAAAGATTTCCAATTTATGATCTAACATCAAACCTAGAGGAGCTAGGAAAACAAGAGCAAACAAACCACAAAGCTAGCAGAAGAAAAGATATTACCAATATCAATGCTAAACTGAATGAAAATGAGATATGAAAACCATACAAAACATCAGAAAACATTGGTTTTTTTGAAAGAATAAACAAAATTGGTAGACCACAAGCTAGACTAGTAAAGAAAAAAGAGAGAAGATCCAAATAAACACAATTAGAATGACAAAGGGGATATTACCACTGACCCCACAGAAATATAAAAAAAAAACCCATCAGAGATTATTATCATTTATTTTTATTTTAAGTTCCAGGGTACATGTGCAGAATGTACAGGTATGTTATGTAGGTAAATATGTGTCATGGTGGTTTGCTGCAGCTATCAACCCATCACCTAGGTATTAAGCCCAGCATGCATTAGTTATTTTTCCTAATGTCCTCCCTTCCCCAACACCATCCCCCAACAGGCTCCAGTGTGTGTTGTTCCCCTCCTTGTGTCCATGTGTTCTCATTGATCAGCTCCCACTTATAAATGAGAACATGTGGTGCTTGGTTTCTGTTCCTGTGTTAGTTTGCTGAGGATAATGGCTTCCAGCTCCATCCATGTCTCTGCAAAGGACATGATCTAATTCCTTTTTATGACTACATAGTATTCCATGATGAAAATGTGCTACATTTTCTTTATCCAGTTTATCATTGATGGACATTTATGTTTAATTCCATGTCTTTGCTATTGTGAAGAGTGCTGCAATGAACATACATGTGTCTTTATCTTTGTAATAGAATGATTTATATACCTTTGGGTATATACCCAGTTATGGGATTGTTGGGTCAAATGGTATTCTGGTTCTAGATCTTTGAGCAATTGCCACAGTATATTCCACAATGGTTGAAATGATTTATATTCCCACCAACAGTGTAAAAGCAATCCTATTTCTGTGCAACCTTACCAGGATCTGTTGTTTTTTGACTTTTTAATCGCCATTCTGACTGGTATGAGATGGTGTCTCATTTTGGTTTTGATTTGCATTTCTCTAATAATCAGTGATGTTTCTGTTTTTCTCTTTTTTTTTTTTTTTTTTTGTTAAGACGGATGGAGTCTTGCTCTGTCACCCAGGTTGGACTGCAATAGCGCAATCTTGGCTCACTGCAACATCTGCCTCCCGGGTTGAAGCAATTCTCTTGCCTCAGCCTCCTGCGTAGCTGGGACTATATGCATGTGCCACCACACCTGTCTAATTTTTGTATTTTTTCATAGATATGGGGTTTCACCTTGTTGGCCAGGCTGGTCTCCAACTCCTGACCTCGTGATTCACACGCCTCAGCCTCCCAAAGTGCTGGGATTACAGGCATGAATCACTGCACCCAGCCTCAGCCTTTTTTCATAAGTTTGTTGGCTGCATGAATGTCTTCTTTTGAGAAGTGTCTGTTCATGTCCTTTGCCCCTTTTTTAATGGGGTGGTTTGTTTTTTTTTCTTGTAAATTTGTTTAATAAGTTTCTTGTAGATTCTGGATATTAGACCTTTGTCAGATAGATAGATTGCAAAGATTTTCTCCCACTCTGTAGATTGCCTGTTTGCTCTGACTATAGTTTCTTTTGTTGTACAGAAGCTCTTTAGTTTAATTAGGTCCCATTTGTCGATTTTTGCTTTTGTTGCAATTGCTTTTGGTGATTTCATCATGAAATATTTGCCTATGCCTAGGTCCTAAAAGATATTGCCTAGATTTTCTTCTAGAGTTTTTATAGTTTCATGTTTTACATCTAAGTCTTTAATCCATCTTGAGTTAATTTTTGCATAAGGTGTAAGGAAGGGGTCCTGTTTCAACCTTCTGCATATGGCTAGCCAGTTATCCCAGCACCATTTATTAAATAGAGAATCCTTTCCCCATTGCTTGTTTTTGTCAGGTCTGTCAAAGATCAGATAGTTGTAGATGTGTGGTCGTAATTCTGAGTTCTCTATTCTGTTTCATTGGTCTGTGTGTGTGTTTTTGTAGAAGTACCATACTTTTTTTTGTCTGTTTGTTTGTTTGTTTGTTTTTACTGTAGCCTTGTAGTCTAGTTTGATGCCTCCAGCTTTGTTCTTTCTGCTTAGGATTGTCTTGGCTATATGAGCTCTATTTTAGTTCCATATGAATTTTTAAATAGTTTCTTCTAATTCTGTGAAGAATGTCAATGGGAATGGCATTGAATCTATACATTACTTTGAGCAATATGGCCATTTTCACTGTATTGATCCTTCCTATCCATGAGCATGGAATGTTTTCCATCTGCTTGTATCATCTCTGACTTCCTTGAGCATTGGTTTGTAGTTTTCCCTGAAGAAGTCCTTCACTTCCCTTGTTAGCTATATTCCTAGGTATTTCATTCTCTTTGTAGCATTGCAAGTGGGAGTTCTCTCATGACTTGGATCTCTGTTTGCTTGTTGTTGGTGTATAGAAATGCTGTGACATTTGCACATTAAGTTTGTATCCTGAGATTTTACTGAAGTTGTTTATCAGCTTAAGAAGCTTTTAGGCTGAGGTGATGGGGTTTTCTAGATATAGAATCAGATCATCTGCAAACAATTTGACTTCCTCTCTTCCTATTTGAATGCGCTTTATTTCCTTCTCTTGCCTGGTTGCCCTGGCCAGCAATTCCAATACTACATTGAATAGGAGTGGTAAGAGACAGCATCCTTGTCTTGTGCCAGTTTTCAAGGGGGAATGCTTCCAGGTTTTGCCCATTCAGTATGATATTGGCTACGGGTTTGTCAGAAATGGCTCTTATTATTTTGAGGTATGTTCCTTCAGTAGCCAGTTTATTAAGAGTTTTTAACATAAAGGGATGTTGAATTTTATCTAAGTACTTTTCTGCATCTATTGAGATAATTATGTAGTTTTTGTTTTTAGATCTGTTTATGTGATGAATTACATTTATTGATTTGCAAATGTTGAACCAGCCTTGCATCTGGGGGTTGAAGCCAACTTTTTCATTATGGATGAGCTTTTTGATGTGCTGCTGGATTTGGTTTGCCCATATTTTATTCAGAATTTTGCACTGATGTTCATCAGGGTTATTGGCCTGAAGTTTCCCTTTTTTGTTGTATCTCTACCAGGGTTTTGGTATTAGGATGATGCTAGGCTCATAGAATGAGTTAAAGAGGAGTCCCTCCTCTTCAATAATTTGAAGGAGTTTCAGAAGAAAGTGTATCAGCTGCTCTTTGTACTTCTGGGAGTAATCAGCTGTAAATCCATCTGGTCCTGGGCTTTTTTTTTGGTTGGTAGACTATTACTGCCTCAAATTTCAAACTTGTTATTGGTCTATTCGGGGATTCAAATTATTTCTGGTTCAGTCTTGGGAAGGGCGTATGTGTCTAGGAAATTATCCATTTCTTCTTGATTTTCTAGTTTATTTGCATAGAGCTATTTATAGTATTCTCTGATGGTTGTTTGTATTTTTGTGGGGTCAGTGGTGATATCCCCTTTATCATTTTTTATTGTCTCTTTTATTCTTTTTTTCTTCTTTATTAGTCTAGATAGTGGTCTATTTTATTTTCTTTTTCAAAAAACCAGCACCTGGATTCAATAATTTTTTGAAGGTTTTTTTTGTGTCTCTATCTCCTTCAGTTCCACTCTGAAATTGGTTATTTCTTGTCTTCTGCTAGCTTTGCTTTGCAGTTTGTTTGCTCTTGGTTCTCTAGATATTTTATTTCTTATATTAAAGTGTCAATTTGAGATCTTTCTAGCTTTTTGATGGGGGCATTTAGTATTATAAATTTGCCTCTTAACACTGCTTTGGCTGCATCCCTGTGATTCTGGAACATTGTGTCTTTGTTCCCATTGGTTTCAAATAACTCCTTGATTTCTGCCTCAATTTCATTATTTATTCAGGAGTCACTGAGGAGCAGGTTGTTCAATTTCCATGTAGTTGTGTGGTTTTTGAGTGATTTTCTTAACCACATGTTTTAATTTGATTGTGTTGTGGTCTGAAAGACTGTTTGTTATTATTTCAGTTATTTTGAATTTACTGAGGAGTGATTTGCTTCCAATTATGTAATAAATTTTAGATTAAGTGCCATATGGCACCAAGAAGAATGTATATTCTGCTGTTTGGTGTTGAGAGTTCTGTAGATATCAACCAGGTCCACTTGATCCAGAGCTGAATTCAATTCCTGAATATCTTTGTTAATTTTCTGTCCTGATGATCTGTCTAATATTGATGGTGGGTTGTTAAAGTCTCTCACTATTATTGTGTGGGAGTCTAAGTCTCTTTGTATGTCACTAAGAACTTGTTATATGAATCTGGGTGCTCCTGCATTGGGTGCATATATATTTAGGATAGTTAGCTCTTCTTCTTTCCCCATAAAAACCATCAGATCTTGTGAGACTTATTCACCATCTTGAGAATAGCACAAGAAAGACCTGTCCCCATGATTCAATTACCTCCCATTGAATTCCTCCCACAACACATGGGAATTCAAGATGAGGTTTGGATGGGAACACAGCCAAACCATAATATTCCACACTTGGCCCCTCCCAAATCTCATGTCCTTACATTTCAAAACCAATCATGCCTTCCCAACAATCCCCCAATGTCTTAACTCATTTCAGCATTAACTCAAAAGTCCACAGTCCAACATCGCATCTGAGACAAGGCAAGTCCCTTCTGCCTATGAGCCTGTAAAATCAAAAGCAAGTTAGTTACTTCCCAGATACTATAGGGGCACAGGCACTGGGTAAATACAGCCATTCCAAATGGGAGAAATTGGCCAAAACAAAGGGGCTACAGGCTCCATGCAAGTCCAAAATCCAGCAGGCAGTTAAATCGTAAAGCTCCACAATGATCCCCTTTGACTCCATGTCTCACATCCAGGTCACACTGATACAAGAGGTAGGTTCCCATGGTCTTGGGCAGCTCAGCCCCTGTGGTTTTGCAAGGTACAGCCTCCCTCCCAGGTGTTTTCATGGGCTGGGATTGAGTGTCTGTGGCTTTTCCTGGTGCATGGTGCAAGTTGTTGGTGGATCTATCATTCTGGGGTCTAGAGGATGGTGGCCCTCTTCTCACAGGTCCACTAGGTGGTGCCCCAGTAGGGACTCTGTGTGGGGGCTCCCACCCCACATTTCCCTTCTGCACTGCCCTAGCAGAGGTTCTCCAGGAGGACTCCACTGCTATAGCAAGCTTCTACCTGGGTATCCAGGCATTTCTATACATCTTCTGAAATTTAGACGGAGGTTTCCAAACCCCAGTTTTTGACTTCTGTGCACTCACAGGCTCAACATCATGTGGAAGCTGCCAAGGCTTAGGGTTTGGACCCTCTGAAGCCATGGCCTGAGCTCCATATTGGCCCCTTTCAGCCACAGCTGCAGCAGCTGGGACACAGGGCACATAGTCCCTAGGCTGCACACAGCACAGGGACTCAAGACCCAGCCTACAAAACCACAAAACCACTTTTTCCTCCTAGGCCTGCAGGCCTGTGATGGGAGGGGCTGTCATGAAGACCTCTGACATGCCCTAGAGACATTTTCCCCATTGTCTTGGGGAGTAACACTCAGCTCCTCCTTACTTATGCAAGTTTCTGCAGCTGGCTTGAATTCCTCCTCAGAAAATGGGATTTTTTTTTCTATTGCATTGTCAGGCTGCAAATTTTCTGAATTTTTATGCTGCATTTCCTTAGAAAACTGAATGTCTTTAATAACACCCAAGTTAACTCTTGAATGCTTTGCTGCTTAGAAGTTTCTTCTGACAGGCACCCTAACTCATCTCTCTCAAGTTCAAAGTTCCGCAATTCTCCAGGGCAGGGGCAAAATGCTGCCAGTCTCTTTGCTAAAACATAACAAGAGTCACCTTTGCTCCAGTTTCTAACAAGTTCCTCAACTCCATCTCAGACCACCTCAGCCTGAATTTCATTGTCCATATCATTGTCAGCATTTTGGTCAAAGCTATTCAACAAGTCTGTAGGGAGTTCCAAACTTTCCCACATTTTTCTGTCTTCTTCTAAGTACTCCAAACTGTTCCAATTTCTGCCCGTTACCCAGTTCCAAAGTCTCTTCCAAATTTTAGGGTATCTTTTCAGCACTAACCCCTTCCCAGTACCAACTTACTGTATTAACCTGTTTTCATGCTGCTGATAAAGACATACCCGAGACTGGGAAATTTACAAAATAAGGAGGTTTAACGGACTTACAGTTCCACGTGGCTGGGGAGGCCTCACAATCATGGCAGAAGGTGAATGGCAGATCTCACATGGTGGCAGACAAGAGAGAGAGATTGTGCAGGGAATCTCCACCTTAAAAACCATCAGATCTGGTGAGACTTATTCACTATCATGAGAAAAGCACAGGAAAGACCTGCCCCCATCATTCAATTATCTCCCATCAGGTCCCTCCCACAATATGGAGGAATTCAAGATGAGATTTGGGTGGGGACTCAGCCAAACAATATTAGCAAGCAATATGATTCTATACCTAGAAAAACCTGCAGTCTCTGCACAAAGGCTCCTAGATCTGATAAACATCTTCATGTTTCTGGAGACAACAGAAGTTTCTGGATCAAGAAACAATATCAAGTTTCTGGATACAAAATTAATGTACAAAAATCAGTACCATTTCTATACACTAGTAGCATCCAAGATTAGAGCCAAATCAACAACACACTCCCATTCATAATAGTCAGAAAAAGAATTGAATACTTAAGAAGATAGCTAACCAGAGAAGTGAAGGAGCTCTACAGTGAGAATTACAAAACACTGCTGAAGGAAATCAGAGATGACACAAACAAACGGAAAAACATTCCATGCCCTTGGATAGGAAAAATCAATATTGTTAAGATGCCCATTCTGTCCAAGTCAATTTACAGATTCAATGCTATTCCTATCAAACTACCAACAACCTTTTTCACAGAATTAGAAAAAAAAATGTATTCCAAAATTCATATGGAACCAAAAAAGATCCCAAACAGCCAAAGCAATTATAAGCAAAATGCACAAAGCTGGAGGCAGCACACTATTCAGCTTCAAACTATAGGGTACAGTAACCAAAACAGCATTGTACTGGCATAAAAAACAGACATCTAGACTAATAGTACAGAATAGAGAGTGCAGAAACAATGCTGCACACCTACAACCATCTGATCTTCAACAAAATTGACAATAAGAAACAATGGGAAAAGAACTCTCTATTTAATAAATGATATAGGAATAACTGGCTATCCATATACAGAGAATTGAAGTTGGGCCCCTTCCTTTTACCATATACAAAAATCAACTCTTTGTAGGTCACTCAGGACTTGCTTTATGAATCTGGGTGCTCCTGTATTGGGTGCATGTATATTGAGGACAGTTAGCTCTTCTTGTTGAGTTGATCCCTTTACCATTATGTAGTGGCCTTCTTTGTCTCTTTTGATCTTTGTTGGTTTAAAGTCTGTTTTATCAGAGACTAGGATTGCAACCCCTGCCTTTTTTTGTTTTCCATTTGCTTGGTAGATCTTCCTCCATCCTTTCATTTTGAGTGTATGTGTGTCTCTGCACGTGAGATGGGTTTCCTGAATACAGCACACTGATGGGTCTTGACTCTTTATCCAATTTGCCAGTCTGTGTCTTTTAATTGGAGCATTTAGTCCATTTACATTTAAAGTTAATATTGTTATGTGTGAATTTGATCCTGTCATTATGATGTTAGCTGGTGATTTTGCTCGTTAGTTGATGCAGTTTCTTCCTAGCCTTGATGGTCTTTACAATTTGGCATGATTTTGCACTGGCTGGTACCAGTTGTTCCTTTCCATGTTTAGTGCTTCCTTCAGGAGCTCTTTTAGGGCAGGCCTAGTGGTGACAAAATCTCTCAGCATTTGTTTGTCTGTAAAGTATTTTATTTCTCCTTCACTTATGAAGCCTAGTTTGGCTGGATATGAAATTCTGGGTTGAAAATTCTTTTCTTTAAGAATGTTGAATATTGGCCACCACTCTCTAATGGCTCCTAGGGTTTCTGCCGAGAGATCCGCTGTTAGTCTCATGGGCTTCCCTTTGTGGGTAACCCGGCCTTTCTCTCTGGCTGCCCTTAACATTTTTTCCTTCATTTCAACTTTGGTGAATCTGACAATTATGTGTCTTGGAGTTGCTCTTCTTGAGGAGTATCTTCGTGGTGTTCTCTGTATTTCCTGAATCTGAATGTTGGCCTGCATTGATAGATTGGGAAAGTTCTCCTGGACAATATCTTGCTGAGTGTTTTCCAACTTGGTTCCATTCTCACCGTCACTTTCAGATACACCAATCAGACGTAGATTTGGTCTTTTCACATAGTCCCATATTTCTTGGAGGCTTTGTTCGTTTCTTTTTATTCTTTTTTCTTTAAACTTCCCTTCTCACTTCATTTCATTCATTTCATCTTCCATCACTGATACCCTTTCTTCCAGTTGATCGCATCGGCTCCTGAGGCTTCTACATTCTTCATGTAGTTCTCGAGCATTGGCTTTCAGCTCCATCAGCTCCTTTAAGCACTTCTCTGTATTAGTTATTCTAGTTATACATTTGTCTAAATTTTTTTCAAAGTTTTTAACTTCTTTGTCTTTGGTTTGAATTTCCTCCTGTAGCTCGGAGTAGTTTGATCGTCTGAAGCCTTCTTCTCTCAACTCGTCAAACTCACACAATAATAATGGGAGACTTTAACACCCCACTGTCAACATTAGACAGATCAATGAGACAGAAAGTTAACAAGGATATCCAGGAATTGAACTCAGCTCTGCACCAAGCAGACCTAATAGACATATACAGAACTCTCAACCCCAAATCAACAGAATATACATTTTTTTTCAGCACCACACCACACCTATTCCAAAATTGACCACATAGTTGGAAGTAAAGCTCTCCTCAGCAAATGTAAAAGAACAGAAATTATGACAAACTGTCTCTCAGACCACAGTGCAATCAAACTAGAACTCAGGATTAAGAAACTCACTCAAAACCGCTCAACTACATGGAAACTGAACAATCTACTCCTGAATGACTACTGGGTACATAACGAAATGAAGGCAGAAATAAACATGTTCTTTGAAACCAACGAGAACAAAGACATAACATACCAGAATCTCTGGGACACATTCAAAGCAGTGTGTAGAGGGAAATTTATAGCACTAAATGCCCACAAGAGAAAGCAGCAAAGATACAAAATTGACACCCTAACATCACAATTAAAAGAACTAGAAAAGCAAGAGCAAACACATTCAAAAGCTAGCAGAAGGCAAGAAATAACTAAAATCAGAGCAGAACTGAAGGAAATAGAGAAACAAAAAACCCTTCAAAAAATTAATGAATCCAGGAGCTGGTTTTTTGAAAGGATCAACAAAATTGATAGAACGCTAGCAAGACTAATAAAGAAGAAAAGAGAGAAGAATCAAATAGACGCAATAAAAAATGATAAAGGGGATAACACCTCCGATCTGACAGTAATACAAACTACCATCAGAGAATACTACAAACACCTCTTCGCAAATAAACTAGAAAATCTAGAAGAAATGGATAAATTCCTCGACACATACACCCTCCCAAGACTAAACCAGGAAGAAATTGAATCTCTGAATAGACCAATAACAGGCTCTGAAATTGTGGCAATAATTAATAGCTTACCAACCAAAAAGAGTCCAGGACCAGGTGGATTCACAGCCGAATTCTACCAGAGGTACAAGGAGGAACTGGTACCATTTCTTCTGAAATTATTCCATTCAATAGAAAAAGAGGGAATCCTCCCTAACTCATTTTATGAGGCCAGCATCATCCTGATACCAAAGCCGGGCAGAGACACGACCAAAAAAGAGAATTTTAGACCAATATCCTTGATGAACATTGATGCAAAAATCCTCAATAAAATACTGGCAAACCGAATCCAGCAGCACATCAAAAAGCTTATCCACCATGATCAAGTGGGCTTCATCCCTGGGATGCAAGGCTGGTTCAATATATGCAAATCAATAAATGTAATCCAGCATATAAACAGAACCAAAGACAAAAACCACATGATTATCTCAATAGATGCAGAAAAAGCCTTTGACAAAATTCAACAACCCTTCACGCTAAAAACTCTCAATAAATTAGGTATTGATGGGATGTATCTCAAAATAATAAGAGCTATCTATGACAAACCCACAGCCAATATCATACTGAATGGGCAAAAACTGGAAGCATTCCCTTTGAAAAATGGCACAAGACAGGGATGCCCTCTCTCACCACTCCTATTCAACATAGTGTTGGAAGTTCTGGCCAGGGCAATCAGGCAGGAGAAAGAAATAAAGGGTATTCAATTAGGAAAAGAGGAAGTCAAATTGTCCCTGTCTGCAGATGACATGATTGTATATCTAGAAAACCCCATTGTCTCAGCCCAAAATCTCCTTAAGCTGATAAGCAACTTCAGCAAAGTCTCAGGATACAAAATGAATGTACAAAAATCACAAGCATTCTTATTCACCAATAACAGACAAACAGAGAGCCAAATCATGAGTGAACTCCCATTCACAATTGCTTCAAAGAGAATAAAATACCTAGGAATCCAACTTACAAGGGATGTGAAGGACCTCTTCAAGGAGAACTACAAACCACTGCTCAATGAAATAAAAGAGGATACAAACAAATGCAAGAACATTCCATGCTCATGGGTAGAAAGAATCAACATCATGAAAATGTCCATACTGCCCAAGGTAATTTATAGATTCAGTGCCATCCCCATCAAGCTACCAATGACTTTCTTCACAGAATTGGAAAAAACTACTTTAAAGTTCATATGGAACCAAAAAAGTGCCCACAATACCAAGTCAATCCTAAGCCAAAAGAACAAAGCTGGAGGCATCACACTACCTGACTTCAAGCCATACTACAAGGCTACAGTAACCAAAACAGCACGGTACTGGTCCCAAAACAGAGATATAGATCAATGGAACAGAACAGGGCCCTCAGAAATAACGCCACATATCTACAAATATCTGATCTTTGACAAACCTGACAAAAACAAGCAATGGGGAAAGGATTCCCTATTTAATAAATGGTGCTGGGAAAACTGGCTAGCCATATGTAGAAAGCTGAAACTGGATCCTTTCCTTACACCTTATACAAAAATTAATTCAAGATGGATTTAAGACTTAAACGTTAGACCTAAAACCATAAAAACCCTAGAAGAAAACCTAGGCATTACCATTCAGGACATAGACATGGGCAAGGACTTCATGTCTAGAACACCAAAAGCAATGGCAACAAAAACCAAAATTGACAAATGGGATCTAATTAAACTAAAGAGCTTCTGCACAGCAAAACAAACTACCATCAGAGTGAACAGGCAACCTACAAAATGGGAGAAAATTTTCTCAACCTACTCATCTGACAAAGGGCTAATATCCAGAATCTACAATGAACTCAAACAAATTTACAAGAAAAAAACAAACAACCCCATCCAAAAGTGGGCAAAGGACATGAACAGACACTTCTCAAAAGAAGACATTTATGCAGCCAAAAAACACATGAAAAAATGCGTACCATCACTGGCCATCAGAGAAATGCAAATCAAAACCACAATGAGATACCATCTCACACCAGTTAGAATGGCAATCATTAAAAAGTCAGGAAACAACGGGTGCTGGAGAGGATTTGGAGAAATAGGAACATTTTTACACTGTTGGTGGGACTGCAAACTAGTTCAACCACTGTGGAAGTCAGTGTGGCGATTCCTCAGGGATCTAGAACTAGAAATACCATTTGACCCAGCCATCCCATTACTGGGTATATACCCAAAGGACTATAAATCATGCTGCTATAAAGACATATGCACACGTATGTTTATTGCGGCTCTATTCACAATAGCAAAGACTTGGAACCCACCCAAATGTCCAACAATGATAGACTAGATTAAGAAAATGTGGCACATATACACCATGGAATACTATGTAGCCATAAAAAATGATGAGTTCATGTCCTTTGTAGGGACATGGATGAAATTAGAAATCATCATTCTCAGTATGTCCTTTGTAGGGACATGGATGAAATTAGAAATCATCATTCTCAGTAAACTATCGCAAGAACAAAAAACCAAACACCACATATTCTCACTCATAGGTGGGAATTGAACAATGAGATCACATGGACACAGGAAGGGGAATATCACACTCTGGCGACTGTTGTGGGGTGGGGGTAGGGGTGAGGGATAGCATTAGGAGATATACCTAATGTAAATGACAAGTTAATGGATGCAGCACACCAGCATGGCACATGGATACATATGTAAGTAACCTGCACATTGTGCACATGTACCCTAAAACTTAAAGTATAATAATAATAAAATAAAATAAAAAAATCAACTCAAGATGGATTAAAGACTTAAATGTAAAACCAAAAACTATAAAAACCCTGGAAGAAAACGACATGACAAAGACTCCAACAGCAGTTTCAGCAAAAACAACAATTAATATGTGGGATCTAATTAAACTAAAGAGCTTTCGCACAGCAAAAGAAAATATCAGCAGTGTAAACAGGCAACCCACAGAATGGGAGAAAATATTTGCAAACTATGCATCAAAAAAAGGTCTAATATTCAGCTTCTATAAGGAACTTAAACAAATTTACAAAAAAACTTATTAAAAATGGGCAAAAGAATGCACAGACACTTCTTAAAAGAAGACATACACACAGCCAACAAGCATATTAAAAATGCTCACTATCACTAATCATTAGAAATACAAATATGCACATCAAATCATAATGAGATACTATCTCACACCAGTCAGCATGACTATTACTAGAAAGGCAAAAAATAACAGATTCTTGTGAGGTTGCAGAGAAAAAGAGAACACGTATAACCACTGATGAGGATGTAAACTAAGGTAGCCACTGTGGAAAGCAGTTTGGAGATTTCTCCAAGAACTTAAAACAAAATTAACATTTGACCTAGCAATCCCATTACTGGGTATATACCCAAAGCAATATAAATTATTTTATCATGTACACACATGCATGCATATGTTCACTGCAGCACCATTCAAAATATCAAAGACAAGGAATCAACCTAAATGCCCATCAGTGGTAGACTGGATAACGAAAATGTGATACATACACACCATAGAATTCTAAGCAGCCGTAAAAAAGAATGAAATCATGTCCTTTGCCACTAGAGGCTATTATCCTGAGCAAACTAATGCAGGAATGGAAAAACCAAGAACTGCATGTTTTGTCTTATAAATGGGAGTTAAACATTGAGTAAACATGAACACAAAGAAGGGAATAATAGACTTTGGAGCCTACTTGAGGGTGGAAGGTGGAAGAGGATGAAGATCGAAAATCTACCTATCAGATACTATGCTTATTACCTGGTTGACAAAATAATCTGTACACCATACACTCATGCATGCAATTTACCCATCTAGCAAACCTACAAATGTACACCTGAATCTAAAATACAAACTAGAAAAAAGAAGAACGAGGAGCCCCAGAGACACAGGTTTTATTTCCGATGATGATTTAAAAAGCTTTACCCATCCTTTATTCACTCAAAATACATTTATGTGTCAGTCTTGATTTAGGGATACATTAGTGAAAAAAATAAATAAAGCCAAACCTGTGAAGCTTACGTTCTGGTATCATAGAGGCATATAATAAAGGAATGAGAAAAGAAATGGAATAATGATGGGTTAATTTTGGAATAAACAAATATCTGAATATGAATGAGTGAATTTAAATTTTAAATATTCCATTTTTACTTTCAAAATATATTTCAAGTCTGTCTTTTTCTAATTCCCATTGATTCCTTTCATATAGTATGATAAACATAGTAAGTGTCATGGAAAAACAAAAATATACGGAATTAAGAGGATCAAAAAACACAATGGGAGTAGCAGGTTTGGGGAGATTGGCTGCAAGAGAGTTTTCAAGGTAGGTGTCATTGAGAAGGGGTGATTTGATCAAAGACTTAAAGCAGGTATGGATGCCATCTATACAGAAAACAAGAACGAGCACACCAGAAAAAGGGAGCAGTCAGTGTTAAGCTCCTGAGTTGAGAATGCTTGAAGCATTCAATGACTCTCAAAAAGGCCAGAAAGCTAGAACAAAATGAGCCAGATGATGAGAAAAACGAAAGATGAATTCAAGCAGTACTTGGAAACTGACTTGTGCTGGGTCTCACTGGACTTGGTAAAAACTTTCTCTTTTATTCTGTGTATAATGGGAAGCTACTTCATGCAGAGTGTGAGTAGACTTGGGATATGAAATATAGGAAATGAAATAGGAAACCCTTGGGATATGAAATAGGAAACTCTGCATATATATATATATACATAAAATTTAATTTATATATAAATATATAACATACAGAATATATAATATATATAAATTAAAATTATATATATATTATATATATAAAATTATATATAATATATATATAATATACCACTTTTACTATCCTAGTTTGAGCCTCCATTATATGTCACTTGGATAATTTTTTAGCTTTCTAACTGGTCTACTTACTTCCATCTTTGCCCCTATTTATATTATATATAATATATTTTGTATATTATTTATATTATGTATATGCTGTATATATTATAGAGAGAGACAGACACAGAGAGAGAGATTGTAGGGGGTAAAAAAACCTCATAACCTGAGATTCCTTCTTAACACATTTTTAACTGTACAGGGCAGTATTGTTAACTGGATGCATGCTGCTGTACAGCAGGTCTCTATAACTTTTTCACTAAAATTACTTAAATGATGAAAATGCCCGTTGAACAGCCCCATTTCTTCCTTTCCTCAGACTCTGGCAACCACAATTCTACTTTCTGTTACTATGAGTCTGACTACCTAGATACCTCATATAAATGGAATCCCGCAATATTTGTCCTTCTGTGGCTGGCTTATTTCACTTAGAATAACATCCTCATAGTTCACCAATATTGTAGCATATGACAGCATTTCCTTCGTTTTTTTAAGGCTGAATAATATTTTATTATATATACACATATATAGTGATATATATTATATAGTTTTATATATATAAAATATGTGCGTATATATATGCCACATTTCCTTTATCCACACATCAATAAACATTTAGATTGTTTTCACTTCTTGACTATTGTAAATAATGCTGTAATAGGCCGGGCGCGGTGGTTCACGCCTGTAATCCCAGCACTTTGGGAGGCCAAGGCGGGCGGATCAAGAGGTCAGGAGATCGAGACCATTCTGGCTAACACGGTGAAACCCCATCTCTACTAAAAATACAAAAAATTACCCGGGCATGGTGGCGGGCGCCTGTAGTCCCAGCTACTGGAGAGGCTGAGGCAGAAGAATGGCATGAACGCGGGAGGCGGAGCTTGCAGTGAGCCGAGATCGCGCCACTGCACTCCAGCCTGGGCGACAGAGCAAGACTCTGTCTCAAAAAAAAAAATAAATAAATAAATAAATAAAATAATAATAATGCTGTAATAAATATGGGAGTGCAAATATCTCTTCTAAATCCTGTTTTCAATTCTTTTGTATTAAATACTCAGAAGTGAGATTACTGGATCACATATGGTAGTTTTATTTATTTTTTTTTGAGGAATTTCCATACTGTTTTTCATAGCAGCTGCATCATTTTACATTCCCACCAACACTGCAAAAAGGGTTCCTATTTTTTTACTTCCTTGTCAACACTTGTTATTTTGTCTGTTTTGTTTTGTTTATAATGACCATCCTAATAGGAGTGAGATGCTATCTCACTGTAGTTTTGATTTGATTTCCCTGATGATTAGTGATGCTGAGTATTTTTTCATATATTTGTTGGGATTTGTATGTCATCTTTGGAGAAATGTCTACTCAACTTCTTTGCCTGGTTTTTAGCGGGATTATTTGGGAATTTTTGGTCAAGTTTTAGAAATTTTGTATATACTATTGATATTAACTCCTCACCAGATATATGCATTGCAAGTATTTTCTGCCATTTCATAAGTTGCCTTTTCATTGTTTTACTGTTGATTTTTCCTTTTGCCATGCAGCTCTTTGACTTGATACAATCCCAGTTGTCGATTTCTGCTTTTGTTGTCTGTGCATTTGGTGTCATATCCAAGACATCATTGGCAAGACCAATGTTATGAAGTTTTCCCCTGTATTATTGTCTAAGAGTTTTATATTTCAGTTCTTACATTGTCTTTAATATATTTTGAGTTTACTTTTGTATATCATGTATGATACAGGTCCAATTTCATTCTCTTCCCTGTGGATATCCAGTTTTCCCAATATCATTTGTAGAAAACACTATTCTGTCCTCATTGTGTAGTCTTGGCATTCTGGTTGATCACCAATTAACTGTATATATGTGGGTTTATTTTTGGGTTCTCTATTATGTTCCATTGGTTTATATGTCTGCCTTTTTGCCAGTATCATATGGTTTTGATTACTAAAGATTTGTAACGTGTTTTGAAGGCAAGAAGTTTGAGAACTCCAGCTTTGTTCTTATTTCCTATTATTGTTTTTACATGGGATTTTTTGTAGTTCCATGTGAATTTTAGGATTTTTTTTCCTATCTCTGAAAAAAATGACTTGGGAATTTTTATAGGAATTGTATTGAATCTGCTGTTTGTTTGGGGTACCATATACATTTTAACAATATTAAATCTTCCAATGCAAGAGCATGGTATGTCTTTCTATTTATTTGTGTTTCTTTAAATTATTTCAGCAACAGTTTGTAGTTTTCAGCATACAAGTTTTTTGCCCTTTTAGTTAACTTTATTTCCAAGTATTTTGTTATACTATTTGTATACTATTGTATATGCTATTACTTTGTTCTCAGATTGTTTGCTGTTAGTATATGAAAATACAACTGATTTTTACATGTTAATTTTATATCTTGCTACTTTACTGGATTCATTTATTAGTTCTAACAGTTTTTGTGGAATCTTTAGAGTGTTCTACATATAAGATCATATCATCTATAAATGTAGATAATTTTCACATAGATAAATAATCACATATGGTAGTTTTATTTTTATGTTTTTGAGGAACTTCCATACTGTTTTTCATAGCAGCTACATCATTTTACATTCCCAAAAACAGTGCAAGAAAGTTTCCTATTTCTTCACATCCCTATCAGCACTTGTTATTTTCTGTCTGTCTGTTTGCTTTTGTTTATAATGGCCATCCTAGTAGGATCTTTTCTGCGCCTTTCTTATTTGGATACTTTTTGCTTATTTTTCTTGCCTAGTTTATCTGGCCAAGTCTCCTAATACAGGTTGATCATTTCTAATCCAAAAATTCGGACTCTGGAATGTTACAAAAAAAAAAAAACATTTTGGGCACCAATATGGTGCCACAAATGGAAAATTCCACACCTAATTTCACATACACAAAGTTTGCTTCATGAACAAAATTATTACAAATATATAAAATTATCTTTAGGTATGTGTATAAGGTGTCTATAAAACAGAAATAGAGTTATTGTTCAGGACTTGGGTCCCATCCTCACGATATCTCATTATGAAGATGCAAAAATATTACAAAATCTAAAATCCAAAACACTTCTGGAATGAAGTATTTCAGATGAGGGATATCCAACCCATATTATTTTGAATAGAAAGGGTAACAGCTACCTTGTACTGTCCTTTATCTTAAAGGAAAAGCTTTCAGTTTTTCGTCATCGAGTATGATCTTTACTGTGGGCTCTTCATATACAACCTTTGTTATGTTAAGGTAATTTCCTTCTATTACTAGTTTTGTTAGTGTTTTATCATGAAAGGGTGTTGAATTTTGCCAAATGCTTTTTCCTATCTTCTTTCCAGCTTTTCCAACCAAGAATGTCTTTCTCAAGGACCTTAGAGCCATCTCTTTGAAATGTAATCATGGAGGAAGAAAGCACCCTGATCTCCCAGTCTGTCTGGAAGAGCAAGAGCCTAATTTTGATAAGTGCTAAGCAGCAAACACAAATGACCTAATCACATTGACCAAACCTCTCCACTAAAGTTCATCCTCCACTACTTCTCCAATAGCATACCCAGCTCTTGGAAATCCTCCTGCCCTTTGTTTCAGCTCAATCAGAGATTGATTCAGTTCAATCTCTCTCCCTTATTGCAAAAGCCTTGATACCTATTGAGTGATCTTCTTGCTTCTCTGTTTAAGTGGCCTGCTGTAAGTTTTCTTTGACACGAGTGAGCTAGAAAGAAAGTAAAGAGGATGTGATAGAAGCCAAGTAAATAATGAGTACCAAGGGAAAGTAATTGATTGTATTAGTCCATCCTTGTGTTACTATAAAGTAATACCTGAGGCTGGGTAATGCATTTTAAAAAGAGGTTTAATTCACTCAAAGTTCTGCAACAGGTACAGAAAGCATAACGGAAGCATCTGCTTCTGGTAGGGGCCTCAACAAGCTCACAATCATGGCAGAATGTGAAGGTGGAGGATGTGCATCACATGATGAGAGCAGGAGCAAGAGAGAGCAAGGGAGAAGTGCCAAGATCCTTTAAACAACCAGCTCTCACAAGAACTAAGAGTGAGAACTCACTTATTACCCTAGAGACAGCACCAAGCCATTCATGAGAAGTTCACCCTCATAGCCAAACACCTCCCATTATGCCCCACCTCCAACAATGGGAATCACATTTCAACATGAGATTTGGAAGAGACAAACATTCAAACTGTATCACTGACCAAATGCATTTGATTAATAAGATGAGTACAAATAAAAGACTAACACATTTAGCAATAAGAAGGTCATTGCTAACTTTGAGAACTACTGACCTTACAATGGTTGAAATAAAAGCCTAATGAGTGTAAATTTGAAAGAGAATGGAAATAGATAACACTTTCCAGGAGAAAGTACTGCAAATGGAGGCAGAAAAATGACTAGTAGCTGGAAGAGGAACTTGTTTAAGAAATATTATGAAAATAAGTTTCTTCAAATAGTTATTTGAAGTGGAAAACATAGTTGTTTACACTTTAAGTTTGAGATGCTGAATGCCTTTAGACATTTGAAGAAATATTTGTATGTAAACATTATGTTAAGTGTTTAAGGAAAACTACTAAGACAATAAGAAAAAAATCCACTTCCATATGAACAAAATAAAAGAATTAAATTGAAAAATTTATCTATCTAACTGAATGCAGGAGTAAAGTAAAAAGAAACAATAAGCAAAAATAAGGATAGCGAAAAGAATACACAAATAAGAAAATATATTATAAATGAGATATTTGAACAATGATGAGTTCTTTCAAATTGAATTTATTTAAAATTAGTTTCTTATTTAATTGCATTGTAATCTGAAACCAGGATTCTCAATGCCACTAAGTTAGAAACAAATAGTATAAATGTTAGTAATAAAAGTTTGAAAATAAAATGATGCATGTCAAAATAATTCATGACTAAAACATTGAATCATGTTCATGAATTGCTAAAAATGGAAAGCTAAAAACATTTATAACTAATGATAATAACTATCAAAACAAAAAATGGTATAGGCATACAATTTTATTGTATTTCACTGTATTGTGCTTTGCAATATTGCCTTTTTTACAAAATGAAGGTTTGTGGCAACACTGCCTTGAGTAATTCTTTTTTCTAACAGCATGTGCTCAATTTGTGTCTTTGTATCACATGTTGGTTATTCTCCCAATATTTCAAACTCTTTTATTATTATTATGACTGTTATAATGATCCGTGACCAATGAGCTTTGATCTTTGATGTTACTATTGAGACTTCACAAATGCACCTACATAAGACAGTGAACTTAATTGATTAATGTTTCATGTGTTCTAAGAACTCTATTCACTGGCTGTTCCCCTATCTCTCTCTCCTCAGGCCTCCCTACTCCCTAAGACACAATAATATTAAAATTAGGCCAGTTAATAACACTACAAAGACCTCCAAGTGTTCAAGAGAAAGGAAAGATCGCACATCTTTAACTTTAAATTAAAAGGTAGACAATCATGCCTTATTGTGGAAGACATCTCAAAAGCTGAGATAGGCCAAAAGGGAGACCTTTTGTGCCAAACGGCCAAATTGTGAGTACTAAAGAAAAGTTCTTGAAAGAGACCAGAAGTTCTTGAAAGAGGCCATGCACTCTAGTGAATGCATGAATGGTAAAAAAGTGAAACAGGCTTACTGATGATATATAAAGTTGATGGGTCTGGATAGAAGATCAAGCCAACTACATTTCCTTAAACCCAAACCTAATCCAGAGTAGGGCCCTAACTCTCTTCAATTTTGTAAAGGCTAAAAGAAGTGAAGAAGCTACAGAATAAGTATGAGACTAACAGAGGTTGCTTCATGAGATTTAAGGAAAGAAGTCATCTCCATAACAAAACAGTGCAAGGCGAAGCAACAAGTGCTGATGTAGAAGCTGCAGCAAATTGTTCAGATCTAGCTAAGACAATGGATGAAGGTGGCTACACAAAACAACAAATTTTCAATGTTGACATAACAGCTTTCCATTGGAAGAAGATGTTATCTAGGGCTTTCTAGCAAGAGAGGAGAGGTCAACGTCTGGCTTCAAAGCTTCAAAGAACAGGCTGACTCTCTTGTTAGGGACTAATGCAACTGGTGACTTTAAGTTGGAGCCAATGTTAATTTACCATTCTGAAAACCCTAGAGCCCTTAAGCATTATGCTGTATTTACTCTGCCTGTGCTCTATAAATGGAACAATAAAGCCTGGATGACAACATGTCTGCTTATAGCATGGTTTACTGAATATTTTACTCAGTTTTCTTTATTATTGAGGCCTACTCCTCAGGGAAAAAAAAAAAAGATTTCCATCAAAACATTACTGCTCATTAATGGTAATGGTCACCTAAGATCTCTGATGGAGATGTACAAGGAGATAAATGTTGTTATGTTTATCAACACAGCATCCATTCAGAAGCCCGTGGATTAAGGAGAAATTTATATTTTTTAAGAATTATTATTTAAGAAATTTTTTTGTAAGGCTATAGCTGTCATAGGTTGTTATTCCCATGATGGATCTGGGCATCGTAAATTAAAAACCTTCCAGAAAGTATTCACCATCTTGATGTCATTAAGAACATTCATGATTCACGGGAGGAGGTCAAAATATCAACATTAACAGGAGAGTTGAAGAAGCTGATTTCAACCCTCATGGATGTCTTTGAGAGGTTCAAGATTTCGATGGAGAAAGTAACTGCAGATGTGGTGAAAACAGTAAGAGAACTAGAAGTGGAGACTGAAGATGTGACTGAATTGCTGCAATCTCATGACAAGCTTGAACAGATGAGGAGTTGCTTCTTATGAATAAGCAAAAAACAAAGTGCTTTCTTGAGATGAAATTTACTGCTTGTAAAGATGCTTTGAACATTGTTAAGATTACAACAACAGATTTAGAATATTACATAAACTCAGTAGATAAGGCAGTGACAGCATTTCAGTGGATTGTCTTTACTTTTGAAAGAAGTTCTACTTTGGGTAAGATGCTATCCAACAGCATCACATACTGCAGAGAAATCTTTCCTGAAAGAAGAAGTCAATCAATGGGGCAAATTTCATTGTTATTTTAAGAAATTCCCACAGCCACCCCAACCTTCAGCAAGCATCACCCTGATCAGTCAGCAGCCATGAACATGGAGGCAACCCTCCACCAGCAAAAGTTTATGACAGGCTGAAGCCTTAGACGATTGTTAGCATTTTTAGCAATAAAACATTTTAATTAAGATAGGTACATTATTTTTTCACATCTGATAGACTACATAAGTATAAACAAAACTTTTATATGTACTGGGAAACCAAAAATTTGTGTGACTTGCTTTATTTTTATATTTACTTCATCATTATAGTTTGAAACCAAACCCACAATATCTAGAGGTATACCTGTAATTATATTAACATTTATAATCTTAAATAAATTTCTTCAATAGCAACATGATTTTTAAAATACATCAGTTATATATTCGACTCACACAACCAGGAAAAGAATCATAGAGTTAAATAAGAATAAGAAAAGAAAAATATAATAAAAAACAAAGAAAAGAGAAATTGTTAAAGTTTTAATGAAACCTGTCTTAGTTGGCTTGGGCTGCTATAACAAAATACCACAAATTGGGTAGCTTATAAACAGCAGAAATGTATTTCTTACAGTTCTGAAGGGTGGAAATTCAACATTAGTTTGGCAGCATGGTTGGGCTCTTGTGAGGGCCTTCTTCTAAGTTGCAGACGGCCAGTGTCTCATTGTATCATCACATGGTGGAGAGTAGGGCAGAGAATGAAAGCACTGTCATGTGACTCTTATAGGCATTAATTTTATTCATGAGGACTCCACCTTTATGACCTCTCCTACTCCTAATTACATCTTGAAGGCCCCACCTCCTAATACCATTGCACTAGAGATTAGATCTCAACATATGAATTTTAGTGAGACACAAACATTCAGTCCATAAAATTGTTCTTTGAAATGATTAATAAGATAGACAAATCTCATGCAATTTGCATCAAGTTTGTAAAGGAAAGAAGAAACTAACAAATAATACTAAAGTATTGAGACAAAAATTTTCTGTAGCAGGACTGCTTTCTTCTTTATCATTTGATGCCCACCTATGTGGGGCCACCTTTCACTTTCAGACTTGGAGAAAAACAGCCCACCTACGGTTGGGTGCCTGGATTTCTGGGAGATTATTGAGAAGCTGGCTGATACAACTCAGAAGTGTGGTGTTGATAGCTCTCCCTCCTTTCTTTTCTATGGATTCCCCCATGGTAGGGTTCTTTTTTATGAACTTTCTGGAGAAGTATTGAGAGTTTAGACACCATCTAAGAAATATGCTATCTATAAGGTGATAGCCTGAGCTATATATCATGTTGGCGAGGCTGGACTTGATCTCCTGATCTCAGGTGATCTGCCTGCCTTGGCCTTTCAAAGTGCTGGGATTACAGGCATGAGCCAACATGCCCAGCCAAGCATAGCTCTTAATGGAGGACTGTTAAAGTACATTGTAAGAAAAGCATATGGGGTCAGAGATATGTTGCAGCCATCTTTGAAAAATAGAATCTGTCCCACAGACACTATCAATGTTCTTGAGGGTGTGACAAATCAGTTACTCTCATAAACTGCCAGTGATAATGCAGTTTGGTTCAGTGGCTCAGGAGGACAGTTTGGAACAACCAAAAGGCATATACCATGTAATATAGTATTTCCCCTACTATTTTCCCTATATACTTACATAAATTCTAATAAATACATTTATTAAAAATTGTGGTGTTTTATAAGGAAATAGTCTAAATTTTCCTCAATAGAGAAAGTATGATATCTAATATATATAGGCATATATATGAATATATATATATTTTTTCATTCACAGTTCGTAGCTCATAACTCTCATAACCATTGTTACAGTATTTTGTTATAATGTTGGGGCAATTTGGGCCTTAGAAGCGACCTCAGGAAACAAAATCTCTCTCTCTGACCCTCTCCTGTCCTTCTTTTACCTGCCCATGTCAGGACTTTAATCTGATTGTGGGTCATAAGACCCTCATTCCAGAGAGGGTCCTGCCCCATACTCTGGAAGAAGATATGTTGCACAAAGACTAAGAAGGACCTAACAGACACGACTTGCTGGGTTTAGATCATACCCTTTTCATCCAATTACATTTTGATGCAATTGTCCATGTTTCAGTGAACCAATTAAGTCTCCATAAAGACCCAAAGGACAGAGTTCGGCGATTCCAGAAAACTGACCGTGTGATTCCTCCAGATTCCTGGAGGATAGCATACCCAGGGAGGGCATGGAAGCTCCCTGCACCTTCCGCCATACCTTACCTTATGCATCTCTTTATCTGTAGTCTTTGTACTATCCTTTCTAATAAACTGGCAAAAATAAGTTTTTCCCTGAGTTCTGTGAGCTGCTCCAGCAAATTAATCAAACCCAAAGAGAAGGTCACAGAAACCACAAACTGAAGTTGGTCAATCGGAAGTTTCAGGGGCCCAGACTTGCGACTGGTATCTGGGGTAATGGGTCCGTCTTGGGGACTGAGCCTTAAACCTGTGGGATCTGACACTATCTCTAGGTAAAGTATCTGAATTGAATTGGAGGGCACCCAACTGGTGTCTGCTGCTTGGTATGTGAGGAAAAATCCCCACATATTTGGCCATAGAATTCTCCTTCTGTAATGATGATTGTTGTGTTGTGTGAGAGCAGAGGAAAACACAGTTTGAGAGAGTTTTGCCCTTCAGAGAAAGAAGGAAAATAAGACTTATATGTATGATTGAATATCATAAATTATTTTTTAAATAAACAGAAACTACACATACACACACAATGAATTGATCTCAAAACCAGTGTTGAGTAAGAAACTTTTGGACAAGCTCATTTGTATGACAACTGTTTGGCATATTATCTGCAGATGTATATATTAACCTAAGTTTGGAGAAAAAATTTTGACCTGGATTTCTGCCTTTAGATATATATCAGGGCAGATATCCCAAAAGACTCTCATTCTAAAATAATTTGAAGTATTGGCTAAAATATTGGAAAAAAATTAACTTGGAGCTTAGCTCTTAAGCAAAGGGATAAAACAAAGATAAAATTAATAATACCAGAATATTAACAATATTAATATCAGGATATTAACCTGATACTGAAACTGCAGCTGCAGTAAAGGTATTTGTTCATCTTGGTAACAACAGTCTTAAGAGAAAGTAAAAAGACAGTACCTAATAGAGAACAAACACATAATTCATTTTGAAGTCTCAAAAAGCAAAATCTACATAGACAGAGAACAAGAGTGCAGGGAGATACTGACTACAAAGCACACACAAATATAAATTTTAGGAAGGTAATAGAACTGTTCTATAGTTTGACGGTAGTAGCTACAAGGTACCTAGCATTTGGAAAAACACATAGAACTGTACACCAAAAGAGTAAATTTTACTAGGTGTAATTTTTTAAATAAATAAACATCAAAAAATTACTTGAGAAATTCTCAGTGTTTCTAAATTAAACAACACACTTGACAATAACCATTGGGTTAACAAAGAAATCATAAGTGAAATTTAGAAATATTTTCAATTGAATGATAAAATGTGAGATATCAAAATCTGTGAGATGCAGCTAAAGCAGTATTTAGAATATTTATTTATTCGTTTGTCTATTTATTTATTTATTGAGACAGGGTCTCCCTCTGTTTCCCAGGCTGCAGTGCATTGGCATGATCATGGATCACTGAAGCATCTAACTCCTGAAGTGAAAACATCCTCCCACCTCAGCCTCCTGCATAGCTGGAACCACATCTGGCTTACTTATGACTTTAAATGTGTGTATTAGAAGAAAAAAATATCTAAACTAAATTATCTAAGTGTCCATCGTAAGAAACTAGAAAATGAAGAGCAAATTAAACATTAATAAGTAGAAGTGGGGAAAAAGTAAAGATCAGAACTGAGACTAATGAAATAAAAAATGGAAAACCAATAAAAAAAATTATGACACAAAAAGCTGGTTCTTTCCTCACTAGATTAATCAAAATTACAAAAAACACCCATTTTACCAAAGGAAAAATATACCTCAATCATGTTGTTTAAAAAAAAAAAATTTAGCAAGCAGAACTTGGCAATATATAACTTGTAAATTCCACTGACTTTCCCCAGAATTGCAATGCTAGAAGGTAAAACAATCTTTATTCCCACAGAGACCAAAAATGTGTTTCATAAAATTCAAAACTATTCCTGATTTAAAAAATATTTTAAGCATGGGAATAAATAAATATTTCCTTAACTTTATCAAAAAAAAATCTGCCGAAACAAAAACCCTCGTCAATAGTGAATAAAATTCTAAGTATATTTACATTAATATTCACCTGGCAAAATGTATTCATCTTTCAAAATTCATCCTAGATATAACATCTCCAAATATTTTTGGCACGTCTTTTAACACTCTCCAATAATTTGCTATTTTCTCTATAATAATATCATCTTCTACTTAATTTCTACTTAAATTTGTTCATTTAAATGTCTTTCTTCTAAATTTGAATACAAATTCCTTAAAAACCAGAACTTTGTTTTATTCTTAATAATTTTGATTTCAAATGTTTATATAATTTTTAGCACACAGTGTTTAACATATGGTTCAGATTTTTAAAGTGTATATTATTTTCTTTACTTTTATATCCTGAAAGTTAATAATCATTCTTTTTATTGTAGATGTTTAATAACTTTAATAATTTGCTGAAAGTTAATTAAAAAGAAGAACTGAAACTCAATTTTAGATACCTACTCAACTCAAATGTTTTCACTTTAGTAACGCTATATTAGTTGCCATTGCCGCTATAACAAATATTAAACATTTCTTGGCTTGAAATTACACAAATTTATCATTTTACAGTTCTTCCCAGTGAGATCTATGTGGGATAGATCTGTCTAAAATCAAGGTGTTGGCAGAACTGCATTCTTTTCAGCAGACTTCAGGGGAGAATCTGTTTTCTTGACTTTCTGGGTTCTGCAGGCTGCATACCTTGCTTGGCTTGTGGCTGTCTTCCACTTCAAAGCAAGCAACTGTTGGTCATGTCTTTCTCACATAACAGCACTCTGATTCTGACTCTTCTGTCTCCTTCCTTCACTCTTAAGAACCTTTGTGATTGCATTGGAACCACACATATAATTCAGGATAAACTCTCCATTTTAATGTCAGCTGATTAGTAACCTCAATCCTCTCCTTCCCACGCAACATAACATATACACAGGTTCTGGGGAGTAGAACATGGATCTTTTGGGGAAGATATTATTCTGCCTGCCACACAAATCCATTAACATGATCCACTTAAACGTTAATGAGTTAATGAGTAAAAATATTGAATATTGAGTCTTGAACCTGTAATACTTTTAAATATATAATACTTTTAGTATATAACATTTTCAGAGTATAAATAAAAATAAAAATATATATATATATAAAATTCTTGGGCAAAATGTATTTCCTAGATCACAATTTACATTTAAATCAAAGGATAAATGTTGTTCTACATGACTCCAACCAAATTAAGTGGAAAGAAAAAGAAAAAATAAACAATGTTATTAGATTTAAAATAAGCGATTGTTGAGAATAGACTTTACAGCGTGTGGTGGCTTTCAATCTATTCTCCGGAAACTTTAGTATTTCCCAAGCTCCAAAGAGGCTTTCTGCTTTTAACACTGAATAAAAATGATCTTTTTTCCAATTTGCAAGGGGAAAATGAAAATTTTTTTTCCAATTTTAACTTCTTCCCCCTAAAAAAAAAAAAAACAACCTTTTGGCACCTGCTGCCACATTTCCTCTATTAAACACTAGCAGATAATAAAATCAATCACTGAATAATTGGAAAATAAGTTTTTTAAACAATAGTAAAATAAACCACTACCAGAGAGAGAAAGTCTTTCTCAATTTAACATCTTGTTTTTCTTATTTTTTACATGTTTGTAAAGATTATTTATGACATTTTGAAGAGATAATAAGATGAGGCCCTGTAATGCTTAGTTTTGTGCCTTCATATCTCTTTATGTAAATGATTGTTTAAAACTATATTATCAGAACTCCTCAATATACATACACTATGCTCATTGTGCTACCTCTCCTCTCTCCTTTCTATTTATATTCATACCATATCTATGTGTCAAATTTAATTCAATCTCACATGCTCCACAGCATCCCTAGATAACACAAGCAAATGTCACCTGATCTTGTTCACTGTGTACATATAATTATGTATAGACATGGCTGTTATGTGGTGCTAATAATAAAATAAAATCAGTGTATTCTTTTCTATATACATTTCCCTATATACACTTTCATATATATGTATTTCCCTGTATACAAGTTTTTACCCTGAAAGCCAAATATAGCCACCTGTCTATGAATGGCTTATTAAAATCATTAAGAGGGATAAAAATAGACTAATTTATACTTAGCTTTCCTTACTCAAAATAAGATTTTGCAGAAAAAATGGGCCTGAAAACTTGGTAGTATTGAAGTGGACTTTGATACACTTCACAGTTTATATGAGTGGTCCAGAGAGGAAGAGGAAAGAAGGAAATTCCCACCCCTTGCAATCCCAGGGATTTGGGGACCAGGTGTGGGAGATGAGTAATTTTAGAAACTGCTGGATAAGTAGAGGGGTGGCCAAGCACATCTAGGTAGTGGCATAGTAGCAAGGAGAAAGCAAGCCTTTAGAAGCTTGCACAATGACATTTTCAACTCAGCACCTGGGCTTCATGGCTGAGATGGTAGTGTTTCAAGATACATACGCAGGTGAAGCTAAAGCTGTCCTTCTGGCTTTCCATGGCCTATGTGTGAGAGACCAAGAAGTCTTTGCAAATTAGGGGAAATAAAAGGAAGCTTTATGAAAAATCCCTGGATCTAAAGCAAAGAGCCTATCTCCACTGAAGATTTCAAGCTCAAAGACCAATGATGCCAGAGCCCTAGACTCCACAAGGAAGAGTGCAGCTTTATCCAGAGAGCTAGAAACAGCCAGTTGCAGCGCAGAAGGCACCACTCCCAAAAGCAGACCACAACTGCAAAATGTATCTGAAGAATGGTATGATTTCTCCTCTGCCATGATGACAAAATAAGACTCCCTTTTACTATCTGTCCCAACACTACCTGGGAATGGAGCAGATTTGAAAGACAGAATCCCTTTTCTGAGACACCCAAGGAGAGTTTGGGTTGCATAAAAAGATAATGACATTGTTGATTTGCCAGGAGGTCATAAGATAGGACTGAATTTCTTTCTCTTTACCCAATAGATTACACTTGCAGACAATTAAAAAAAAAAACTATCTATTCATTAATTACAGTGTGGATAATGTTGGAGCCTCAAGTTGTTCATTAATTGCCTTGAATGCATGTCTTAACTTTGATATGTTTTTTCATTTGGCACAGTGCTAGTCACAAAGTAAACATTAATACTTGATTAATAGAAATAAACATATCCCCCCACGAGTGTCCCTGTGGAATTTCAGACTATCTGTGGCTCTTAACAAAGGCCGATACTGCCTTCTTAGGAGGTATTGGCACTATAAAGAAATGTTTTTGCTTTTCACAGTAGCTAGGAAGTGCTACAGCATTTTAGTGGTTGGGAACCAGGGTTGCTAAATGCCAAAAAACAAACAACATTCTGCACTATAAAGCATTGTCTTACCTGAATTGCCAACAGAACCCCCACTGAGAAACACTGATAAATGGAGGCACTACAGTTACAAATACAGGACAGATAAAATTACAAAACAAGAGAAGAACATAACAGTATGCAAGAATAGAAAGAAAAACAAAACAGAGAGAGAAGTAAATGCTTATCAATACTGCTAAGAGATAACTACTAAAGACCACATACAGAATTATTTAAAAACACCAAAACCACAGGTCATTTGGTGGTTTTCAAAATGATCACTCACTAATGTGCACTATTGCTAACTTTTGGTTCACAGACAGATGGCTCTCTTGAACTCACTTAAAAGCTCTAAGAGATGCTGGAAGACATGGCAGGCATTGGTGGCAGTGGCCATGGGGGATGGAGGCAAAGAGAAGCAGATGGAGATGGTGAAGGCAGTAGGTCAACTACGCCCTACCGTGTGCACTTAAACCTCTGAGTGAAGATGCTAGCCTTCTGACTTTAGTGGAAACCAGGTGGAGGCTAAATTTATAAGTAATGAGTTCACAGCCCCTCTATGGCAACAGGAGGGGGAAAAGTCATAAAACAACTAAAAGCTTACCCAGAAATGTACATACTTTCAGTCAAAATATATGGGGAAAGACAATGGAAATCTCTTTCAATATTTCATTTTTTAAATACATGTTTACAATAACTCTTCAAAATTTGAGACTGACATCTTCAAAAGCTTCAATATGACTGGTATCCCTTCTTCAGCTTTATATATTGAACTACCAATAGTATCAGCGGATATAAAAATGACTCAGCTCTGTACAGCACATTCTGAACCTATGAAATATTTGTTGTTTTGCCCATCAAATATACACAGTTTCCTCTCAAATATACATATTTTCCTCTCTAATAAATATGAGCCCATAGACAAATGAAAAGAGTTTAAAACCTACTTCCTTGTATCAATCTTGCCAATAAATTTTAGTAAATTACAAACAGAAGAAACACTATACTTGAGAAACAAAAAGATTTTTATCCTTTGCAGCAAAATAAAATAGCTATGTGCCTTTAGGTTCTTGTGTTCCTTATAGTTTCTCTAATAATTAGCCTTCATACACCTGCACTGACCTTGAACCACTTTTCTCTTTTCTAGATGTTTGGGTGCATATAAAAAACAATTGCAACCACTATGAAAATAGTCACCAACTCATATAACAAAGGCTGTACAGAAATAGAGATAAAAAGAAAATAAAATAGTGTATAAAATACATTGAACATATTTTGATCCCTGTTTTTTATTTCCTCCTCATTTCCATATGGAGTTGCTGCAGGATCTCAGAGATCATTAAGAGTGAATGCTTGCATTCTCTGAGCATAGACAGTAGGAAAATAGAAATCAGGACCAACTGGCTTGGAAGTGAGTTTAGTTGCAAATATGGATACAACCAATTCAGTTTGCTGTTTTTAAAGGAGCTTCACTCCTTTAAACTGAAAAATAATCTTCATAGCCATATTAATAAAACTGATGAGAATATGAAGAAACAAGATCTCAGTCTGGGAGGCATTTAAATTGTTTTGGTCACTTAATATTATACTGAAGTATCTATGAAGTCATATACACACATGCCACACAAAGCCAATTTGCTCTTTGCTTAGATAACATCAGAGCTTTTGATTATTCCTTGCACGAAGATATTTAAAAAGCACAGTCCAATCCTTATTCAGAGTCCACATTATATCCACTCTAAAAACAAAGGCAGACTTTCAGCCAGAAAAGAAACATTAATTTTTACTTCTTCACATTCGATTTTTGAGAGGAGAACAAGTAAAATAAACCGTATCTCTTGACAGAGCATTAACACATGAGAAAATTGATTAACAGGGTTTCTTGGTGGAAATTTAAAGCTTAGGAAATACAAAGATTTTTATGAAGCCCAAACATAATTTACATATTATCATTGTAGTTTTCAAATGAACTGAGAAATAATTTTAGGAAATTGAAGACAAAAGAAATGTTAACATTTATTTTTGTGACTCTTTGTTACATCAACTTAATCCATACATTAATTCAAACAGCAGAAATTAGTTTCTCTGCTGAAAAATCGTTCAGGGTGAAGATGTGGAGAGGAGATGGGTGAATTCTTCTCTACTCCAAGAAAAATTCCCTTTTCTCTGCCATTGCCTGAATAATTTAGGTGGACCACCACCAGCCACTTCAGCCACTTTATAGCCCACAGAAAGAGAAAAAGAGAAAACAGAATGTAAGTCATGTTCCTTTTTAAAGAGTATGAGTTGGAATTTGCACACATCACATCACTAATATTTCATTGGCTGGGATTTCACAGATGTCTACATCTAGCTACAAGGAAGGCTGGAAAGGGTACTGCTGAGACAATCGTTCATGTAAGCCAGATAAAAATTACATGGTCAGTTACTGAAAGGAAAAAAGAAAGTTTGGATACTGGGGGACAATGACAGTCTTTGACATGTGAGTGATTACCTCTCCTCAAGGTAGACCAGAGACTCAGGGTTTAGAGTAAGAGAAAAACCTACTTTTCATTGTACTCATTTTGTTCTGTGTATATGACCTATGATATTTTCAATTTTATACCATGTGCATTTGTATTTTATTAATTTTTTACTTAAAATAAGTTTTTAAAAATAATTTAAATGGTTTAAGATAGTTAAGAACTATTATACATAAAAAGACATAATGGCTTTTCCCAATATCTTCAAAACTTGACACTAATTGAAGCTTAATCTTTAGCACTAAAGCAGGCAAATGTACATGCTTGTGCTAAGATGTAATCACACACTTTTAAACTTTGTTAATAGAGTGGGTTAAAAGCACTGTCAGGAGTCAGATTCCTAGGTTCAAACACTGGCATGACTGCAGCAACGACCAGCTGTGTGATCTAAGGCAAATTACCTAATCGTTCTGTCCATCTTGCTTCCTCATCAATAAAAAGAGTTAATAGCAATAGTGTCTCCTTAATTCGCTGTTGCACAGATTGAATGGTTTTAGAAACAATAAGTCATTTATAACAGATAATGTTTGTTATTCTTACTGATAATTATTAAAATGTATTGTAGAAAACATACATAATTACTTGCCCAATAACCATTTTCCCATTCCTTACAATCTCAATTTTATTCTATAAGGCAAAGTATGCATCTAAAAATATTCAGCTCCATGCTACCCTTGGAGTTAGGCATATGTATTTAACCAAATTGGCCAATGAAATTAAAACAGAAGTCACTAGGTAGGCATGCCAGTTGTTACGATACTGTCCTCTGTCTTGAAACTGGAAATATATTTTTTAAAACTTTGAAAGCATTGGAAACCACCCATTATCCAACAGAGATTTATAAAGCTAGGATAAATTTTCTGTATTTTGCAGTATTGGTGATATTTTAAAATTCAGATTATGGCTTCTAAAAATGAAACTCTTCTCACAAGATTTGGAGATTGCAACTGTAGAACATATAAAATAATAAAGTGTTCTTTAATCTAAGATTTCAGTACTATTTTTGTGATTCGGGTTTTCATTTACTCTAAACCTTTATTGGTTCCTCTTTAAAAGCAAACCATCCTTGGTTTCCAAAAGCAACAATATCTCATTTTCAGTACCTATCCATAAAAATAATATCACAGGACTAGCACCAGTTTATCATCATTTTTCTTCACATAAATTGTAATATCCTCTTTCCCCAGTATATCATGCTTATTTTTTCCAGACTGAATAAGTTCAGCTTTTCCTACAGGGCAACTTTACTTCAAATAAAAGGGATATTATAATTTAGAAATCTGAAAGAAAGAAAAAGAAGAGACAGAGTCTTTCTCAAAAGGAGAAATGCTCTGTGAACGTCGCTTAGGATGAAAAATATCTTGTTTTATGCTGTAATACTTGTATCTGCCTTAGAAACTATGTATAAAGAAGTAGGCAAAAATGTATTGTCCTAACCCTTATAAAGTTTACATTTTAGTGTAAGATAAAGATTTAAATTCTTAATTACATAATTAAGAATTTAATTAGTATAGTGGTAATTTCTAAGTAGAAGTATTCATATCAAAAGAGACTATCAAAGGCCTAGGGGTCAGGGAAAGGTTTGGTAAGTAAATGACATCTTAATGGAAATGTCAAAGATCGCTTGGTATGTTACTGAACAAGTCAATAGTATGCTTGAGAGCAATGATTTAGGAAAGAGCATGGAGCAAGTGAGGAACCAACGGACTGGAATTCATCAAGCAATGAGGACAGTTGTGTGAAATACGGATGAGGATCTTAGAATTTATCCTAACACCTCACACATACTATAGACTATCATATATCCTAATTGTTCTATCAGTCAAGATATGCTAGTTTATGCTGAATAACAAACAAGGCCCCAAATCTCAGTGGCTTCGAGGTACAAATGTTTATTTCTTGACCCTGATCACTTTGTGATCTAGACTCTCAAAGCTGTAACTCTGGGACTACCTTGTAGGTCTCTGTGGCAGACAGCAAAGAGAGCTCTGAAAATGACTCAAAAACTGGCAATTCAATTTTAGACAAAAAGCAGCACAAGCCACTTCGGCTGACGGTTCATCAGCCAGAACTGGACAACAGTCCCACCCAATCACAGAATGTGAGTAAGTACAACCCTACCATGAGCTCAGGAGGCAGAGAGTTAGAAATACTTGGTGAGCAGCATAATGACAATCCCACCACTGTTAAAACAAATCGTCCATGTCAACGGTTAAAAACATTCTATATATAAAAGTTTAGGGAAAAAAACTAAAATTAAGTCTTTAGAAAACTTGGAAATATTAATAATAAATAATTCTTTATGGTGGAAATATGCATACTTTATATTTTATTTTATATATAATATATAAATTATATATAATATATATAAATAGCTTCTTCGTGTTTGCTAAATGTTGTTCAATAAGTATTTTTATTATTAGGATGCTCAATAGGGAACAGAAAAAAAAAACACTCAAGACTGAGTAAAACAATATAGAAATCACTGTCTTATATTCAAAAAGTTAGAGGTAGTCATCAAGGGATGTTAGAGCACTCTAAAATGTAAGGCACCTAGGTTTTATCCTATCTTTTAACTCAGGAATGCATGGCTTCATTCTCCCAAGGTCATCTTATAGCCCAACATGGTTGTCAGAGCTCCAGCCATCATCTATTTTCCAGGAAGGAAAAAGGAGGAAAAGCAGCAAGTCCTCCCTTTAAGAATATAAATCAAGCATGCTACTTCTGCTATCAACACTCATAGCCCCCTAACTTCAAAGGAGACTGGAAAATTAAGTATTTATTTGTATATAAACTTATACCAGCCATATATCAGTGATTATAACATCATAGGAGTTTTAAAAAATTGATACAAGTGTAACTTCTGGTTGCCTCCTTGTCTCTAACATCAACTTCTTTCTCTAATATTTCCCCAGGCTGCAATCTGAAGTATCTTCCCCAAATAGCTTATTTTAATGGCTCAGAAAATAGTCTAAAATTATCTTTGTAGACATGTCCCTTATTCTCCTTGCCTTGTCTAGCAAAGTATAATAAATATATATACACAGTACAATTATGACATAACAAAAATATAATGTTCTTGTCAATAAAAGCTTTGCTCTGCTTTTGCACTTCCCTTCCTAGTACTTAAAAAACAAATCTTAAAATTTAACAAGTTAGTGTAATTCAATTTAAATCAGTCTCTTCCATGGAAGTATTAAGATAATTTATAATTCACATTCTTGATATAGTGCTTGAATGAAGGGAGCAGATCTACCCATGGAATGGGGATAAGTGTTTTTGATCATGGAACTGTCTCCTTTGCTGCTCCACTTTAGCTAGTATTTGGATGTTAATGTCTGTTCCTCCAGTATCCACAAGAGTGTCTGCAGCTGGTATAAATCATCAGCCTTGATCTTAGCATGGGCCAGGCCAGATGACTGCTCCCAAAGCTGTCTACTACCTTCCCTGTTGACTAGGTGTTCACCTTACCTCTGCCTGGCACTGTAGATCTGCTAAAGTAAGGCAGTTATTCCTACTTAATCCATTTAATCCTATTTTTTCTTTGAAAATGGCTTATAGTATAATTCTGTTTTCAGGCCTTCTGAAATTTTATTTTAATTTATAAAGGGAAGCTTTTGGAATGTAGAATTCCCTTTTTTCTTTTACCAAAACTTAGTTTACAAGGCTACGGTGTCACAAGAAACATAAGAAAAGCAGTTTTAAACCTCTTAGCTAAACAATGATGGTTTTAGGCATCATGCTCTTAATACATTGCATGGGGAAGGTGCAAGGTCCTATTATTTAAGAAGAATTATAGACAAATCATTTTGATAATTTAAAAATATTGCCCCAATATACACATCTCATGACATAATTCCCACATTGTTATAAATATATCTAATATTTTTGAAGACTTATTTTGTGTCAGTCAATGCTTTTTAAGTGCTTTATAAGTGACAATTTAAACTTCCCAATCACCTTATGATTATTGTCATTCTTCTTTTGTAAATGAGGAAAATGAAACACAGATAAGTTAATTGCCCAAGGTTGCACAGGTAATGTGCAGAACGAACCTGGCTCCAGAACATGGAATACCATACTGCCTTTCATATGACTGCGTCCTATAGACATAAGTACCATCTATAGGCTGATGAGTTATAAATTCAAATCTCCTGTCTTTCCTAAATTTCAGACTGAAATATTCAGTGGTAACTCAATTTCCACTTGGATTCCTAATAGTCATCTCAAAAATAGAATCTCCCAACAAATTACTTGATTTCTTTGTACCATCTCCTCCTGCTCACATCTGTTCCTCCTATTGTCTTTCCCATTCTAGTAAACAGCTTCATTATTTCTCCAATTGTTCAAGCCAAAATACTGGGATTGCTCTTGACTTTTCTTTTCTTCTCTTGCCGCATACCCAGTCTATCAGGAGATCCTGTTGGCTCTATCTTCAAAATATACACAGAATCCAACCACTTCTCAGTATCACCAAGGCTTACCCCTTCACCCCACGCACACCATCATCCCTCCCTTGAATTATCGAGAAGCTTACTATGTGGACTCTCTGTTTCTACTCTGTCCCTATGGGCTATTCTCAACATAGCTGCCAGAATGATCATAATTCATATCATGATGCTCTTTTGCTTAAAACCTTCTGATGGACTTACACACCACTCAGAGTAAAAAGCCAAAATCCCAAAAATTGATTGTGTGGCACTATGTGGCCTGGCCCACCTGGTCTCCCTCTCACCTCACTTTCTACCACTCTTTTCTTACTCAGCTTTTCCTTCATCACCTCCTCACTCATTCAACTCTAGATCCCCTGGCTTCCTTGATGTTTATCAAATGCACCGAGCACAGTTCTGTCTCTGGGCCATTGCACTTGTTCTTCTCTGGGCCTAAGAGGCTCTTTCTCTAAATATTTGCTATCTTTCTTACTTTTCTTATGTGTCTACTCTTAGATAATGTTACTTTATGGAAGAGGGCTTCCTGACCACTTCATATGACATAGCAGTTCACCCCACTTTCCCCATGCCCTGATTCTTTCTATTCCCCTTTCTCTGCCTTGTTTTTGTCATCCTAGCTGTTACCTCTAACATACATTTGTTCATCACATGCCCCTTTACGTACACTAGAATATCAGCAGGAAATGTATCTATCTCAAACACGGTCATATCTAAGAGCCTAAAATTTACCAGGCACATAACTATTCAACAAATATTTATTAAATAAATTAATGATATGCACAGTTATACAGTACTGCTTAGAATTCCACAAAAGCTTTTTATATTTTTTCTCTTTACGTGCTCTGTTTCCTCGGCCAGTAATGCCTTTTCTCCTCTTCTGCTTAGCTAACTCCTGCTTGTACTTCAAAACTCACTTTCAGAATTACCTTTGCCAGGAAATCTTGTCTATACTCGATCATACTGTAGCATAATACTTATTTCCTACCACCATCTTTGTTGAGTCACTTGAGAGTCTCCCCATTAAACCATAATTTTCTTAAAGGCAGAAATCCTGTTTTATATAGTTTTGTACCCACTCCAATTAGCATAGTTCAAAAGACCTAAATAGTGCTCAATATATATTTCCTGAATGAATATACAGTCATGCACCATACAACGATGCTGCAGTCCATGATAAACTGCACATACATAGATACGGCAGACATATAATTATGTACAGTATATAATACTTGAAAATGATAGTAAATAACTGTGCTGCTGGTTTATGTATTTATTATACTATAAATCGTATTCTTATTTTACAGTTTACTCCTTCTACTTATGATAAACAAAGTTAACTGTAAAACAGCCTCAGGCCAGGTCCTTCAGGAGGTATTCCAGAAGGAAGCAGTGCTGTCATAGGAGGTGACAGCTCCATGTGTGTTATTGCCCCTGAAGACCTTCCCCTGGGACAAGATGTGGAGGTAGGAGACGGTGATATTGATGATCCTGACCCTGTGTAGGCCTAGGCTAAGTGTGTGTTTGTGTCTTAATTTTCAGCAAAAAAAGTTTGAAAAGTAAAAAATGGAAAATTGTTAAAATTGAAAAAACTGACAGAAAAAGGGTATAAAGAAAGAAAATACTTTTGTATGGCTTAAAATGTATTTTATTTTAAGCTAAGTGTTGTAAGAAGTCAAAAATTTTAAAAAGTGTATAAAGGAAAAAAGTTACAGTAAGCTAAGCTTAACTTATTATTGAAGAAATATTTGATAAATTTATTGTAGCCTAAGTGCACAGTGTTTATAAAGTCTACAGTAGTTTACTGTACTGTCCTGGGCCTTCACATTCACTCACCACTCACTCACTGATTTATCCAGAGCAACCTTCAATCCTGCAGACTCTATTCATGGTAAATACCCTGTGTAGGTGCACCATTTTTTATCTTTTACACCATATTTTTACCATACCTTTTTATGTTTAGATATGTTTAAAAACAAAAATACTTGCCATTGTGTTATAATTGCCTATAGTATTCAGTATAATAACATACGGTACAGAGTTGTAGCCTAGGAGCTATAGGCTATACCATATAGCTAGGTGTGTAGTAGGCTATACCATCTCTGTTTGTGTAAGTACACTCTATGGTGTTTGCACAATGATGACATCACCTAATGATGCATTTCTCAGAAGGGATTCCAGTCTCTAAGGTGATGTATCACTACGCCAGTCCCAAAAACTAGAGTCAAAATATGAACCTCTCAGGAGCTATTGCTCTAAGCACTAATAAGGCATACTGAGAATGAAAACATCATTTATGGACATCCACAACCAAAAAGCAGCCAAACCACAGTACAACTTGCTCAGTAACTTTGAAAATTCCCTGGCCTATCCAAATCCTAAATTCATCTTATATTTATGATAACCTATTCCAGGTTTAATTCACTTATTTCGTTTTTGTTTTTTCCAAATAATAATGCATTTATGCTCTTCTGAAAGTTCTTTTTCAGAGATAATTGATTTGACTTCTCCCCTTCTTACTTCTGCAAAGCACTATATAGGTTTTTTGTTTGTTTGTTTGTTTTCTTTGACAGAGTCTCGCTCTGTCATCTGGGCTAGACTGGAGTGCAGTGGCACCATCATCTCAGCTCACTTCAACCTCCACCTTCTGGGGTCACGCAATTCTCAGCCTCCCAAGTAGCTGGGACTACTGCCCACCATCATGCCCAGCTAATTTTTGTATTTTTCGTAGAGATGGGGTTTTACCATATTGGCCAGGCTGGTCTTGAACTCCTGACCTCAGGTGATCTGCCTGCCTTGACCTCCCAAAGTGCTGGGATTACAGGCGTTAGCCACTGCACCTGGCCAGAGTTCTCCAATTTTCTGATTTCCCTGATTTCATGTCAGTCTTGGTGTGTGCAGGATAACATCCTGTGGCTTTTCCTGTAGCCACCCATATTACCTATTTGGAATAGCTTTTCAAAGACCTATTTGTTGTCTCATTGGAAAGCTAACAATAACAGAGACTGACTGGAACCCCGTGGCTGCTTGTGCGATTATGTGGTGCTTGCTTTATAGTGACATTATGGGACATGGTAGAAATGTAGCATACGGTAGCAACTCCATAAATATCTCTTCACAGCCACACTAGACGGGCAACTCTATACTTACAGTTTCCTACCTGGTTACTTGATGATGCTCTCACTTACTTCTTTTACTACAGAACGACACAGAGAAATTTAAGAGTCATGCCTCTATTTTCTTAATCGAATTACTGATAATACATGTGTAAACTATTAAAAAATTAATGGTCTTGGGAACGCCAAACAGTCATCCAAAGACCCAGCTTCAAATCTTGTTATGCTGGTTTTTATCTGTGTGATTTTTAGCATTTGCCTTTTATGATTTGTCTATAAAATTTTTAAGTTGGAATAAATGACTTCTAAGACATTTTCCTACTTTCAAAGTTTCTGCAATGCAAAGTGATAGCCATAACTAATAACTTTTAATGAATCACAAATTAAAAATTTGTAGTATAAATATGCAACATTAAAATTAAAATAATTTAGTGTCTGTGTGGCTCCAATTTTTATCTCTCTTTTTGTTAATTGGGAAAAAAAATAATAACTGTCAAGTAATTATTTTTTATCAAATTCTTTTGATTATGGATTTATTTTCATCAATCAATTGGAAGAATTGGGTGTTAAATGAAATATTTTATGTCTAGTAATGCAATGGCAAATGTTGAATTAAATATCTATGAGATATTGAGATCACCTACACATAAAAAAACACATAGTGCGGTGGCTCACGCCTGTAATCCTAGCACTTTGGGAGGCCAGAGCAGGTGGATCACGAGGTTAGGAGATCGAGACCATCCTAGCTAACATGGTGAAACCCTGTCTCTACTAAAAATACAAAAAACTAGCCAGGCATGGTGGCAGGCACCTGTAGTCCCAGCTGCTCGAGAGGCTGAGGCAAGAGAATGGCGTGAACCCGGGAGGCGAAGCTTGCAGTGAGCCGAGATCACTCCAGCCTGGGCAACAGAGCAAGACTCCTTCTACAAAAAAAAACAACAACATAATTTTAAAAATGTAAGCAATATTAAGTGGTGCAAAAAAACTTAAAACAAACAAACAAAACTGCAGGAAATCACCTTTGTAAAACCCCAGATCCTTTTGGAAAATAATGGTCTAAAATGATTAGGCCAGAATAACAAGTCCAGTGCTTCTTCAGAGGAACTAACATATTTATAGAAACAAGAACAACGTGAAAGTGTAATAAACTCTCTACCTGCCGTCGGTCACAGCATGTAGCTTATGACCTAATCAAATAAAAGAATTGGACCGATTCTACAGGTTAGTCATGACGGAAATAATATTCATGATTTAGCTGACAGGTTCTTTACTGTTTTCATTGTAGATAAAGTGGAACAGAGAGATATATTACACTTCCTATCATGCTCTCAGTCTGATTTGATTCCATAGCTTTAGTTTCTTCTCTGGTTTTCTCCCTAGTTGTTTGATTTTGTTCCCAGTAAAATTGAACAACAAATCACCTGATTTGCTTCCCTTTTAAAAGGCCAGGATAGAATTGGAGTAACGTGGAGCAAAGGACTTATTTTAATTCTTCTGGATTCCTAACTAAAAAGGCATTTCATAAGTAATAATCTCCCTTTATGCAAGGTTTTGCCAGGTTCTATGATTCTGTGGAAAGAGTCACTCCACATAGTTTATGGAGATGTTTCTGTCACATACCAGCAGTGTGATCCTGGGCAATATACTTAATCTTTCTGAGCTTTATTTATTGTGAGAAATGTGAATAAAAATTGTATTGTAACTATTTTTGCAAAGTTATTATGATACTTAAATGAGATTATGTGTACAAATGACTTAATAAACCACTTTGTATTTATTCTTTCAACAAATATTTATTGAGTTTCTACTACCATTCAGGCATTAAGCCATAGTAAGCGCTCATAAATACTAGCCACTATGATGTTCCTCATAATTGGCAGCATTCTCTTATAATGCCAGGAAGGAAATATTCCAAATCAATAATTCATATTGCAATTTCGGGAGTCCCTTCGCTGGTAGAGGAGGCGTGGTTAACTAAAAGGTCATTTTTCATCCAGTGAAAAGGCATGCTTAGAAAATCTATATTGCTTACTTTTCGAGATCTCTTTGTCATAATTACCGGAATTTGTTCTGATTTTGAAAGCAAAAACTGAGGTTTCCTGTTCTGTAATTAGTATTTATTCATTCAGTAGATTACTTTTTAAAGGACCCTTAGTCCACTAGAAAGACAAATGAACACAGGTTGCCATAAAAAAAGGATATTTCAAATCTAGTAAAGGGGACAAGATAGTTGAATAAGAATCAAAATACATGATAAATGCTACATTGTTGACACAAAGTACTGAAGAAAAAGCTATATAATAGTGTATACTAAAAATAAGCCTTACAATAGTTTTAGTCTCTATGACTTCAATCTAAATTTGGAGACTAGTACTCAACCTCTCTCCCTTCTCACACAATGTGACATCATAAATCAAATCAATTCTTCAAAATGGAATTCCCAAAAAGCAAATAGAGGGCCTCAAAACTGCCATCCTTGGAAGCTACTGGTGTTCAGACATTTTATGACTTTTCTTTTTAAAATAATTGTGAAGCCTCCATTTTAGTGAATTTCTTTAGTTTTGCTCTTCTTTCTTTGTAACAAAAGGATAGTTATTTTCAGTCAATCCCTTGACGCCAAGTGAAAAGAGAACAATCTTGTATAGGAGAATTAGACGTATTTAGAAGCTAAATACGGCACTCCTGTTAAGCAGTTTTGGAAAATTTCAAGGCAAAGGGATTCATAAGGAAACTGCAGTTGGGAAGAGAATAACAAGCATCTGAAAGCTGGAGAATAGAATGAGAGGATTAGTTACAAGTGCAGGTATAGAACCAGATAATTGAGGCAAAGTGGGTGCAGTGCTGTGAGTTCTTCTTCTGAAGGTTACCACAATATAGAAATTAAAGGTAAGTTAACCCTGAACACTCCCAATATAATTAACAACTCAGAAAAGCACAGAAAAGATAATAATACAGCAAAAATTCAGCTAAACTTTAGGGTTTACAATTGTTTAGAAAAAATATTCAAAATACCCCAAGGTGGATGAGAAATGGGCAGTTACACAAGTTATTTGCCCCAGTTGCAATTAAGCTGAAACCACAAGCTAGATGACCTTGGAGGAATTCACTGTGCCTCTGTCCAAGGTCATGATCTGTATGAGACTTACAGGTACCACATCTGTGGAAAGGTAACTACACATCTCAAATCCTAGGTAGCTAAGTAATATAAATTAAATAGCTAAAAGGAGATTTTAAAACATTTCCCCCATAAAATGTTTTAAAATAATACCATAGAAATTGAAGCTCTGTGAAGTACTTCTATAAATAAATCCACACTGGCTATTCTAAAATCTGCTTTATTCCTAAAAATATAACCCCATTTCTTGTTCAAACTCTTGGGGCTAAATTCCAGACTACCATATTGGTCCCTCTATGGTCTTTCTCTCTCTCTCTCTCTGTAAGTTTCTTTGTAATCTCATGCCTTAAATTACAGACTATTTTCTGAGAGTATAACTCCAGCCTGTGCTCCACTTATAAACAAAACCTAGCCGTATGTGTTCCAATGCCTACTCAACTTACCTTCCTGGTTGTCTTGAAGGCAATTTTTACCCAACATACCCCAAACTGAGTACACCAAGTCTCAGGTTAACTAAATCTTACTCATCCTTTAGATTTCCAACTAAAAAACATTTCCTAAGAGTATCTCCTCCTGATATCCCAGATATATGTTCAGACGGAATTATGTTTCATTACATAAATTTTAATTAAATACTCATTTAAATTAGTCTTCTCTGTTACACTGTGTTTTTCATGGAGTCAAGAATTCCATGTGTGTCTTGTTTTCTTTCTTTTTTATCTATTTTTTATTTTTTAAGTTCCAGGATACATGTGCAAAATGTGCAGGTTTGTTATATAGGTAAACATGTGCCTTGGTGGTTTGCTACGCCTATCAACCTGTCATCTAGGTTTTAAGCCTCACATGCATTAGGTATTTGTCCTAATGCTCTCCCTCCCCTTGACCCCCACCACTTAACAGGCCCCAGTGCGTGTTGTTCCCCTCCCTGTGTCCATGTGTTCTCATTGTTCAACTCCCACCTAAGAGTGAGAACATGCAGTGTTTGGTTTTCTGTTCATGTGTTAGTTTGCTGAGGATGATGACTTCCAGCTTCATCCATGTCCCTGCAAAGGACATGAACTCATTATTTTTTATGGCTGCATAGTATTCCATGGTGCGTATGTACCACATTGTCTTTATCCACTCTATCATTGATGGACATTTGGGTTGGTTCCATGCCTTTGCTGTTGTAACTGGTGTTGCAATCAACATACGTGTGCATGTATCTTTATAGTAAAACGATTTCTATTCCTTTGGGTATATACCCCTAATGGAATTGCTAGGTCAAATGGTATTTCTAGTTGTAGATCCTTGAGGAATCACTACATTGTCTTCCAAAATGGTTGAACTAATTTACACGCCCATCAACTGTGTGAAAGTGTTCCTGTTTCTCCACAGCCTTGCCAGCATCTATTGTTTCCTGACTTTTTAATAATCGCCATTCTGACTGGTGTGAGATGGTATCTCATGGTGGTTTTGATTTGCATTTCTCTAATGATCAGTAATGTTCCAGCTTTTTTTCATATGTTTGTTGGCCACATAAATGTCTTATTTTGAGAAGTGTCTGTTCATAACCATTGCCCACTTTTTGATGGGGTTGTTTGTTTTTTTCTTGTAAATTTGTTTAAGTTCCTTGTAGATTCTGGATATTAGACCTTTGTCAGGTGGGAAGATTGCTAGAATTTTTTCCCATTCTGTATGTTGCCTGTTCGCTCTGATGCTAGTTTCTTTTGCTGTGCAGAAGCTGTTTAGTTTAATTAGATCCCATTTGTCCATTTTGGCTTCTGTTGAAATTGCTTTTGGTGTTTTAGTCATTAAGTCTTTGCCCATGCCTATGTCCTGAATGGTATTGCCTAGGTTTTCTTCTAGGGTTTTTATGGTTTTGGGTTTTACACTTATGTCTTTAATCCATCTTAAGTTAATTTTTGTATGAGGTTTAAGAAAGGGATCCAGTTTCTGTTTTCTGCATATGGCTAGCCAGTTTTCCCAGCACCATTTATTAAATAAAAAATGCTTTCCTCATTGCTTGTTTTTGTCAGGTTTGTCAAAGATGAGATGGTTCTAGATGTGTGGCATTATTTCTGAGGCCTCCATTCTGTTCCATTGGTCTGTATATCTGTTTTGGTACCAGCACCATGTTGTATTGGTTACTGTAGCCTTGTAGAAAACTTTTAAAACAAAAACAATTTATTCTCCCTCCCCCGAGAAATTAAGCAAAAGTGATCATTGCTGTTCACATACACACACACACACACACACACACACACACACACACACACACACCTGGTCTTTATATTCACACACACATATAATTTTCCATATTATGGCTTCACATTCCTTATAGTTATCGTTTAATATGAGTTAATTCCAAGGGCTGAAATCTATTCTATTCCTTCTGTTTTCTCTCATGAAGCCAGGAAATACCTATCACTATGTTTAAGTTACAATTGACAGATAATTATCAAAGTCTCAGTTTGTATAAAGCACTCTACTAGAAATTCAGATTCCAAAATGTGTAAATGAAATGACCCTTCTTCTTGGACCTCACATGGAATGAGTTGTCTGACACATGATTTGATAGAACAAAATACTGGAAAATGTGATTGACCTGAAAACCATATAAATTACCACAATCAACTCATCACAAGGCATCTGTTCTATAAGCTCCCATAGTCCAATTGGCAAGATGAAATACATACATGTAAAGAGAACTAAAAATATAATGTAAAATATGCTAAGTGCCAAAGTTGACAATTTGAACTACAGGAATTCGGATGTTTGAGATATTGGTATAGGCTGGCATAATCATGACAAACTTCATTGAAGAAAAGATTTTCTAATTGTGTTTCAAATAAAGAGTCTTATTTAAATGAACTATATGTTTTATGAATCTCCCTTTCTGTGTTCTCTTATTTTGAACAACTGTAATTCTTCAAACAGTCTCATTTTCAACTTTATTTTGTATTTTTTTTAATACTGGCATTTCCTAAGCTGGGATACCAAAGAATACTAGCTCATACGATGTTTCATACTCTCTCTCTCCCTCTTTCTTTCTCTCTGTCTCACACAGACACACGCACACACACACACACACACATGAGATCTGGGCACAGTTAAGTTTGAGCTAAATGTATTGCAAACTCTCGGATAATTATAAAGCTCATTAGCCATTTCAAAGGTCTAAAAATTCTCATAGCAAGTTAAATAAATTTGTTTAGTTTTATTTAACCTGGTGAATTCCACCGTGGACCCCATCTGTAATAAGATGCTATTAATATCCAGAGGATAGTAATTCATGGAATATACTGAGAAATAATACAAGAGAAAATTAAACAGGTTGCTATATATACTTCATATGTTGATTCTTAAAAATATAATTGGAGACTCTTCTACAACAAGCATGTGCTTTCAGTCTATATTTTATTAGTCCTATGATTATTAAAAAAAAAACCCTAATAATTCATGTTATTGTACTCCATCTTGTTTCAAAAACCATTTACTTCAATCACATAATTTTTAGCCACTCCAAAATTATAATATAATCTTTCATGATTCAAGTCATCCCATCCAGTTTAGTAGTTTATCACAGATAAATTTGTAACTAAAATAGTTTTAGTACTTTGAAAATTTTATGTCTAATTATTTCATGCCACATGCCATCTGAATCTTACCCTTCCTCACATGTCTTACAATATACCTAATTAAAAGTTTACTTTTTGTTGTCGGTGCTATAGATCATTCTTACGAAACAAAAGGAAAGAAAAATAAGAATGCAAAATAATTGTCCTACTCTATTTCTCTGATAATTTGATGTTATAATTTAAGTAGCTTCATAACTTCAGGCTTGAGACCTTAGGTTAATTCAGTAATATAGAATAAAGAGGAAAAACAAAAGGCCATAAATAAAAAGGGAAAGAAACTTCATATCTTGAATGGGATTCACAAGGCCTTTAAAAAGGGGAATGAGAATGATGGTTTCCAGCTTCATCCATGTCCCTATAAAGGACATGAACTCATCATTTTTATGGCTGCATAGTATTCCATGGTGTATATGTGCCACATTTTCTTAATCCAGTCTATCATTGTTGGACATTTGGGTTGGTTCCAAGTCTTTGCTATTGTGAATAATGCCACAATAAACATACATGTGCATGTGTCTTTATAGCAGCAATACTATCGCAAGGACAAAAAACCAAACACCGCATGTTCTCACTCACAGGTGGGAATTGAACAATGAGAACACTTGGACACAGGAAGGGGAACATCACACACCAGGGCCTGTTGTGGGGTGGGGGAGGAGGGAGGGATAGCATTAGGAGATATACCTAATGTAAATGACGAGTTAATGGGTGCAGCACACCAACATGGCACATGTATACATATGTAACAAACCTGCACGTTGTGCACATGTACCTTAAAACTTAAAGTATAATAAAAAATAAAAATAAAAATAAACTAAATCAACAGAAAAAGGGGACTGATACTAGGATATAGAAAAACAGAAAAACAGGCAAATGTACAAATGACTCTAAATGTTGGCTTCAGTTTCTCAGTTTCTGCTTTGTGAATTTATCCTATTGTTTAAGGACTAGCTTAAATATCATTCCTCTGAACTTAACATCATGACAGCACCCTCTACATCTCCCTCACTCCCTGGCCTAGCAAGAATACTCTCCTCCTCATCTGCCAAAGCACATAAAGCATTTTCTGTACTTTGGACTTACTTTTTCATTAGAATATTTTTCAGGTTGCATTACATATGGTGAAGTGTTTACTTGCCTGACACCACCAGACTGTCATATTTTTGGCTTCTTCTCCCCCTAGTGCCAGGACAGTGAGGCAAAGTGAAAAGAATGTGGACTTTAGAATAAAAGAGAACCAAGGTTCAATGACTACTTGGTGACTTACTAAATGCAAGACCTTCTCTCAATAACTTCAACTATATAATAAGAGTTTTTAATACCCCTCAGGATTGGAGAGATAATTAAATGAGAGAGCTTGTATGAACTTCCTAACATTTGGCAGAGATTTTGTAAATGGTAGTTATTATTAGCTTCTTTATAGTAGATATACTATGGGTTCTACGAAGAATGGAAGGAAAGGAATGGAAGGGAAGGGGAGGAGAGGGGAGGGAAGAGGAGGGGAGGGGAGGAGGGAGCCACCGAAGGAGAATGAGCAACGTGGTCCCGATTCCAATCACTCAGTTTTTGGTGCAGGTTCCTGTGTTTGATGAAGGTGGTTTAGGAGAGGAGGTGGGGTACTAGACAGGAAAGGAAATCTAGATATCAGCTTCATCTTGCATCATAAGTTCAAAACACTACTGGAATAAGTGGGGAAGATGAGAGTACTGAAAATTAGGTGGCAAAATCCAATGTTTGTTGGTAGCAAAAGAAAGTGATAAGAGTAACACAGAATCTCGACTATGCAGACTGGCTTCCAGATTCTGCATCTGAGTACATAAACTAATCCCAAGGTGGTGGGGGTGTGGTAAAGCTACAAATATGTCTATCCAGATGGGCTTGGAAATCAGATTCTGTTTAAGCCTGTATCTGGGAGCAGTTGGTAAATACAGTTGCAATAGGAATCTGGGAGAATCAGACACAGAAAAACAAGATAAAGGCTCAAAGCTGAGGGATGTGTCCAGAAACAGACATTGAAAAGTCCAAGATTTCCTGAGATGGAGTCACAGTGTGGGAGAGAGTTCTATTTTTTTTTCCATTTTGGAGAATGAACCCCTTAAAATGCCCTTGCTCACCTCTTAATCCCCAGGGCAGGCCAGAGATCTGATCCCCCAGGCCGCATATTGGGAGCTTATTCAATCATCAAAGAGTTTTCCAAGTTCATCATGATATCAAACTAGAATCCAACAGTCCCCATAAATGCCCCAGGCTTTCCCATGTCAATCTAGGATCAAATTAATAGACATTCCTATACGGTGGCAGGGAGCTATAAACTTCTCTGTGGCTTTAACAAATGCCAGGGGGTTTTGCATAGCCCGGGAGCAAGTTTCTTGCAGCTTCTTTTAAGAGGAGATGAGTCACAGAGGTGAATAGCACAAGTGGGAAGAAATGTTTGGAAGGAAAATGATTGGCAAAATGCTGAAGAGGGAAGTACTGATGGAAAGGTTGCAGGGATGAGGTGAAGAAACACAGTGAAGTAAGAAGAAATTGTAATTTTCACAAATTTTGAATGGCAATTGGCATGAAAATATTTTCATATGTTTGAAGTATAATACTTAAGTTGAGGTCACGAAATGAAATTAACCAGCTTCCCCAAACTGATACTGAATATATAATCAACTGCTCATTAATTCTGAGGCTGGAAGAAGGGAAGTGAAAATGCTAAAGCATGATTAACCCAAACTAAATTAGAGGGAAATAGGACACTTGCCCATTTTAATTTGAGCTTGTGGCTTAGCTACTACGTGGTGACCTTTGCACTGCTGTTCCTTTTACAGAAGCTTCCAATGAACGACTCTTCATAGCTGTGTAGGTATTTTTTTTTCTAAAGGGAAATATCAGAAGACTGTCTCTTTAGCGTTATTTTAATTATACTCTGCTTGAAAGTATTGTGCATGTGTGAATCTTGTGATCATGATCTTAATTAGGATCATATTTAGATTCAGACTCAAATTGAACTAGATAATCGTTTCCATTACCTGGAATTTGATATAAGGAGTGAGGTTTGTACCAGTTGTATTGGGAGCATTGTGCAAACCTAGGACCTTATTAGGGATGTGTTTTTTCTGCCTCTGCCTGGTTTCCTTCACTTTTCTGAAACCTGATGTGGGTGTGCACAGGGGGCAAAAAGAACATCTTGTAAATGTGCCAGCCACTTTGTGGGGGTGGGTGGGGTGGGGAAAGGGTGGCATCATGAGAATAGAGACCATATTTTCCAAACATAGTTGAACTTGACTGTGCACTAATGAAAGTTGCATTCTCTTTCAGGGGGCCGTTGTGGCCAATGAGATTCATTGTTTCCACCAGTCTTATTTGGCCCAGCATTCTATTGAAATAAGGGTCATAGTTTTGCCTGAAATATTGAAGTATTTTACATAAGGAAATTTGATATGGCTAGAAAAGAAATAATTGATTCTGTCTCAAGAAGATGTAAAAGATTATGCTGCCTGAGATCATCTACTCAGGAAAATATTTCTCTAGTTTAAAAATCACATATAGCTTGTAAGTGGCCAGTAGCTCTGAGGGGATTTTCTGTATTAATATATTGTTTTTCCTTTTAAAGGTGACGAAAAATGAATTTCTAAAGGTTTGTTTCCTTGCTGTCCAGAAGGTTGATACAAAAGAGAAGTCCAGTAATGCCCCTCTGTGGCAAAAGCACGGCATCACAGAACTTCCTTACACAGCATGAAGAAACAAAGCCATTTCAAGCTCACTTGGTCTCTCCATTTATAAACTAGGTGTTTTAAAATTGAACAGCCAAAATAGAAACAATCTACATTAAACCCAGCAACACAAATGATTAATAAGTGTATAATATGTTTAAATAAATCCAACCACTGCAAAAAGCTTCTACATATTCAGAAAATGCTAAAGGGGCAGAATTTTAAAAGCATCAGCTTTTAATGTATAGAAAGGCTAACTCATTACTTACATAACTTACAGAAACCCATATTCTTCAGCATGAAAAACAGTCCTTTAAAGGGGCATCGATAATGCATACAATGAGAAACAGTGGATTTATATTCTTTGTTTAATTCTTAGAACCTTAAATTCTAAATAACTTTAAAAAGTTGTAGAGAAGTACCATACTGCCTTGGAGACATTCATGCTGTAGTCTCAAAAAATTAGTTTGATTAGTGAATATATAGAGGCAGCTTCAGACAGCCCGTTAATCAGAATGGAGAATGTTAGCGGCATGGCCATTCTGTCTGTATACTTTGTCTTTGTAAATGGTATTCCTTAAGGAAGGAAGGAAGGAAGGAAGGAAGGAAGGAAGGAAGGAAGGAAGGAAAGAAAGGTGGGTCACTACTCTCCTCTGTCAGCAGAAGAGTAGGATGCTGGACAACAACTAGCTGTATATGCTGCACCCATAGTGACACAGAGAGTGCATGCTGACACTCTACTCTGGCAAGAGAGGCCCTCTGTGATGTGGCCTCAACTCACTTCTTCGGTTTCACCTTCTCACCTCTCCTGACCCTCATAACACAAGTTTCTTACAAACTAATAGTTTCTCCACATGTAACACACCATTCCATACCTCTAAGGTCTCTGCCCATGAATTTCCTGTCCCCATATTTCTCTTAGCTAATTAAGAGTTGTCATTGAAAAGTGGGCTCATGTGCACCATGCTCCTAGAAAGCATTCCTCACTCTCCATACTAAATGACAACATCCTCCTCTCTGCTCCGTTACTACCTGTCTTATACTTGTCATTACATTTTTCATATTATAAAGATGCTCCTCTACTCAGCAAATGCTCAGGTTACGATTCAATAATGTGAGAAAAGGGATATAACAAAGGAAAACAATGTCAAGTTGAACCATCATCTCTAAGGCATGATTAATAGTGCTCTTAGTTTAGATATTGCCTTTGAATAAGTAAGTTGATGGCTTGTTATATATCCATTGTATTTGAAGCACTGTTTTTTTATACATTTACCTGTAATAAAAAATAAAATTTGAAATAGAAACATCCATATTTACAGTTTCCAAGAAGATGGAAAAGAGGAGTTAAGTTTAATCTAATTAACACAATGTCCACAATTGAGAGATAAAATGTAAATATATAGGTAAATGTATATATGTATATACAAGTCATTTAGAGCAAATGTAAATGTAGATATGTATATACAAGTCATTTTGAACAAATGAACTTATGTAAATAATATATTCCTTAGAATCTATTTTTTGTAAGTAAAAATAAGTATTTATACTGAAACATTCTATTTGTTTGACTCTTTCCTTTATGAAACTGCAAGATCCATGTCTTAACTCAAGATCCTTAGTTTCCTTAACTCAAGATCCATGACTTATTCTTCCTTCTATTTCTGCACCCAATACAATGCCTGGTATGCAAAAGTGTTTCGAACTGCTTAGAAATGCTTTCATGGAATCTCACCCGGGTCACATCAGAAGAACTTACGTAGTTTCACCGTCTTTCTTCTCACAGCATCACCAATGGCAGTTTTCAGAAAATATTTGTTCTCCCTGAGTTTAGCTGTCTCATAAAAGTAAAAATCTGAGAATCAATAAATTAAACCAAGCTGTCAAATGTACTAATGAGGTTAGGTAGTGGAATTTTCTAATATTAATGCATATGTTTCTGCAAATACAAGTCCTGTTTTCTCAAAGTAGGAGAAAGAACTAAAATGCTCAGCCTGCCTCACAGCCACATAATCACATGATCTAGGCGCTACCAATTAGGTCTTCCATGGAAGACGTTTCGTTCACACCTGAGCATGATGAGGGCAGCATTGGAGGCACCTGGATTTTGGAGGCATCACTGGATACAAGTTGAATTCCTAATGCAGAGTTGACATTGTCGCTGGTATCATTAGTAGTGGCAGAAAAATATAGTTCCCGAAATATTCTGCTTGATGGTTTCAACAGAACAGACAATGGTTCAAGCTTAGTATAGTATTGGCCTCAAATCTGTTCCACCAGAACTCCCAGAAAATCTGAGAGCTCTCTGATATATTGTAATAAATGATCCTCAAAGTGTGGTCCAGAACCAACAGCATCAGCATCGCCTGGAAACTTGTAAGGAATTTAAACCATAGGGTTCCATTCTAGACCTACTGAATCTGTGTTTAAATAAGTTTTCCAAGTGATTATGACGCATGCTCAAGTTTGAGAATTCTTTTTCATCCGTTTGCAACTAAGACCCCTGATTGGCTTATCAACCAATCACTGCCTTCATTTGTTAGGAGGATGCATTTCGCTGGGCAACCTAATTAAAGGCCAATACAACTACTAAGGCTCATAGAAACCTTGGTAGTTGGCAGATTCAAAGAAAAACTAGAAAGAGATCAGAATATATTTTATTTGGAAATAAATGAAAACAAACTAAAATGCATTTCAATACCTTTTATTCTGAGTTCATAAAGTGAAACTTTTATAGAAGGCTGTGTTATTGTGGTTTGTTTTTATTTATTTGACTTAATTGCTTACACTTGTAAATGAAAGAATTTGTTGAAATTTTATTATTATGTGCCTTCTAAAGCACTTGGCTTTGTCTAGAGTCTGAGAAAATTATTTAATTCAGTCACATTTTTCTATTGTAGAATCAAAAATTAGAATGTGAAAAGTAAAAAGGGAAGGTAATTTTGATATTTTAACTTTAACTATCTGAGCGTGTTGTTAACTAATATTTGAAAGAGATGATTATAAATTTACTTCCAAGTTGAAAGGTAAATGGAGAACCCGTCTGCCTTGAAACATCCTACACGCTTGTCATTTGTCTTTAATTTCCTTATTAATGATCATAAAATCTCAGGCTATAAGAGATATCACAAGTTATCCCATTAAGCTATCTTTTAAAATGTTGTATTTACAACATCTCTATCAATAGTAGCTCAGTCTAATCTCACATCCTCACTAAGAAAAACAAACTACATTTTGGAGACGGTACCCTCTTTGGACAGTTCTGATTTTAAAAAGTTATTTCTTATATTGAGATGCCATCTTTCTATCTTTAACTTAGACCAATTAATCTTACGTCTTCCAAAATTACACCAGAAATTTTCAAATGTCAACAATTTAAATACTTGTATATGATGCCCTTGGTATACCCTATTCTTGTCTGTAGGTCATACAGAACTTATTCCCTAAAGTTCAAGGTCTGAACTCTCTTCACACAAAAGACTTTGAAGTCTCTTTACATCCAGGCTTTTCTGGATGTGTTTTAATTTGTCTAGTTACCTATCAGTACATTCTCACTGTTAAATCTAAGCAGTCTTTAAAAAGGTGAGCCTGTGTCCATCTTCATTCTAGATTCTATTTATTTAATTGACTAATCCCCACAACCCACATCAGCTTTGGGCACATTCACATCATGTTGTTGATTTCTAAAAATATGACTGTCATCTAATACCTCTAAGCATTTTCACGCATTCTTCCCAGAAGCTATAATTTCTTCATCCTCTGCAGTTGTGTTTCTGTTTTTTGACCCAAGTAGAGGACCTCACATTTGTCCCTGTTAAATTTCATTATGTTATATCAGCTTAAAATGTTCCAGCCTGTCAAGATCTTTTGGAATCTTAATTCTTTCATCCAACACATTCTGTGTCCCTCTCAGCTTCGCCATCTGCAAATCTGACGAGATTTCAGTCGTTACAGTTTTATTCAAGCCACTAATTCTAAAATGAGTGAATAGGATGAGACTAGGGGCATAGCCCTGAGGTTGTCAATAGAAATTTCTCCCCAGATGAATGCATATCTATAAATCAGGTCCTTTAGTTAATGTTCTGTCATGTCTAGTTCACTTAACTGTAAGGACTCTAAATTTATACTTATTCTTTTTATCCATGAAAATGTATGATACACTTCGCTAAATGAATTATAGAAGTATAAATAGTCCATGTCAAATGATTTATCTCCAATATAATAACTCTATCAAAGAAAGATTTGGGGTAACTCTGCTTCATTTGCTTAGTGACCATGCAGTGATCCCTAGTGACTATCACTTCCTATCACTAGCCAGGATTCTAAGATTAGAGAAATCTTTTCAGTTATATTATTTAGTCTTGTGATGAAACTGTAATGGCACTGGGCTGGGCATGGTAGCTCAGGTCCGTAGTCCCAGCACTTTGGGAGGCCAAGGCGGGCAAATCATGTGAGGCCAGGAGTTCGAGACCACCCTGGCCAACATGGTGAAACCCAAGCCCTGAATTTACTAAAACTACAAAAATTAGCAGGGTGTGGTGGCCCACGCCTGTAACCCCAGCTACTTGGGAGGCTGAGGCACAAAAATCGCTTCAAATCAAGAGGCAGAGGTTGCAGTCAGCCAAGATCACGCCACTGCACTCCAGCCTCGGTGACAGAGTGAGACTCTGTCTCACAATAAAAAAAAAAAAAAGAAAAAAAAAAAGAAATTGTAATGACACTAAAAGATGATATGCCAGTAAATAATCTTCACCTTTTTAAAACAGTAAAATCTATTCTTTAATTAAGCTTAAAAATATATGTAATATATGAATAAAATATATGTGTAGATATATATGTATATATACATAAAAACTTTTTTAAAGTAGAATTTTTCGATTGAAATTAGAGTTAGGGGTGCAGTACCAGAGTCTCACTGGTTTGAAGCTCCAGATCCCTGCATCTGTCCATCAGGCTTCCCCATAGAATCCCTCACAAGTCTCAAAAAAAGTTTAAAAAGCACTGCTTTAAGCCATTTTTAGCCATTTTACCAACATGTGAATTAGTTTGTAAGTCAATTATCTAAGAAAGAGCTAGATGTGAGCAGTGCCTTTTAAAAAGTACATTTTGATAAGACAGAGGAAAGGGGATATAGGCAGAAAATGAAAACAAAGATTATGGCCAACCTCTCCAGTTCTTCAAGGGAATGGCAAGGTAAAACTCCTCTGAATTTTCTGACTGACTGACAAAAATGACCAGCAAGCCAACATATCCCTTCAGATTTTAACCACGGACTTGCTTCATACATGATAGGAAGAGGCTTTATACAATTACAAGGCAAATGTGTAATGCAAATTTTCACATGAACACTAGAACAAACACTTCTACAATAACTATAAATGAATTGGAATTGTTTGCCTGTAACGTAAAGTGGAAGATAAAGTGAGAAATAATTATGTACATTTGAAATTCAAACATAATCCTTTATAACAGTTACATAACTATTTTATTTGATAGACATTTATTGGAACTTGTGCCAGGCACCCAATTAGGAACTTTGAAAAAGGTAGCTAACTTCATTAGGCAGGGCACAACCTAGTGAGATACACATGAGGAAGCCAAAACTCAGAGCAGCCAAGTTTCTTATCCAAGTTTACAAACTAGTAAAAAGTACAATCAGAATTTAAACCCAAATAAGACCTGGTCCTAATTCGTAAGAAGCTCCCTCTCTAATCAAAGAGATAATTATGTAAATAATCAGTTGCATAGATTATCGATTCATACTGACAGCTCTCCTACTTTAAACAGGTCTTTCATCACCACGCTTGAGAGAAGCATGGAAAACAGAAGAAAGAGCAGGCATCAACCAGGAAAATCTACTCACACACTTAGGAGAGGCAGGTGACAGTTGCCATCCTATAAAGAAAACAGCAAGTACATTTCCCTCACGTTCTATGTGTTTGAAGTACTGTCACCTAATAGGCAGCTGTACTGAAGTACGCTTACAACATCTGGTTTTAAAATAACTTGCCAGAGAACGAATTTCAAGATTCTACTCTTAAACATCTCCAAGGCTCTTGCTAATGCTGTGGTCCTGGAAATGCTAAAGAGCTATTAAATCATGTTTATGTCAATGGCAGCTCTTAAAGCCTTGGTTAATTTTTTTCATGGCAGCAAAGGGAAAGAAACAGGAACAGAATTTGGCATCAGTACATCACTAGCTTCCTTACCGTGCCAACAAGCCTGACTTGAAGCATTTGTAAAGGTTTTCAGCTGCTGCAGACCACCTCCTTATACTCAGCAGATGGTTTGAGCAGCAGTCGAAGCAACAGAGGCCGTTTTAGGCTTCAGGAAATGTAGCAGGTGTTGTGGATTCCAAAAGAAAATTATGCCCAACTTTGCCTTTTATTGTTTTCTTCTCCCTTGATGTGTGAGATATTTCCTACCCATCTCTTGCTTCTGTCTGCACTTAACATGATGGTAGAAATGTCAATGAACTGGTGAAAAGGTTAGAAATATGATTGCATAGCATTAAAGAACACTTCTGAGTATCTTATGCAAAATGCTGACAGAATTCTGTATGTAACCGTATTTTCCACTTAAGAGCTTATAGTATTTCCTCCTGTGAATGCACAAGTTCACATTCCTATAATATAGAGTTTGACTTAGGAGTAATCTCACAGAATTTGAGACCAAAGGTGTTTTAATGAATAGGTACAAGACAGTTTGGGAAAGTAGTTTTAGAGAAATTAGAGATAGAATTAAATTTAAAAAACTAGTATTTAAGGCTCTTGAATTACAGCCTCTTCTCTGTGTGTCATTGTGCTCAAACAAGAGAAATTGTTTGATACCCCTTTCTCCTGATTTTCCTCCTTTTCTGGCCACTCCCCGCTGTGGTCCTCATTTTTCTGTCCCTCATTAATTTTCATATTATGTGGGGTTCTACTCTTGGGTCCCAATGTTTGGTGTACTATGATTTTCTCTGTTAATGTCATATGGATCTCTGGCTTAAACTAATATGCTAATGATGGCCAGGATAGTCTTTTGTTCTGGATCCACGTAACTAGCCAACTCAAAGCAATGGATCTCAACTTTAAACTCCTTCTGTTCCCTCTCCCCAGACCAAATCTAACCTTGTTTCCAAGTTTACTAATCACATTCCACTCAGTCTTCCAAGCCAGAAACCTGGAAGTTAGACTACACTTCTCTCTCCCTTCACCCCAAACTAAATATGTCATCAAAGTTTGTCAGGTTTACCACTGAAATACATCTGAATTTTTTTTTTAATTTGTACAGTCATTGCTCAGGCCCTCTGCTCTTCTTGCTTGGATTGTGCCACTTGTCTCACCTGTTCACAGTTTATTCCCTTTCTATTTTATCTAAAAGGTAATCCAACCATGTTACTTTCATACTTTTCTTTCACAGTTTTCCATAGTCATTATAATAGAGCCCCAACTTCTCTACTTTTCCCAACACTCATGAACTCTACCTAAGCCATACTGAACTACTTAGTTTCTTTTATGTTCTAATTTATTTTATCTTTCCACGCTATTTCTTCTGACTCAAATTAGATGTCTTCTGGCAAGACACAGTGGTTCATGCCTATAATCCCAGATATTGGAAGGACAACATATGATGTTTGCTTCAGGCTAGTAGTTTGAGACCAGCCTGAGTAACAAAGTAAGACCCTGTCTCTACAAAAAATATTTAAAATTAGCCAGGTGTGGTGGTATGCACCTGTAGTCATTTAGTCCCATGTGCTAGGCTGGCTGAGGCAGGATAATCACTTGAGCCCAGGAGTTCAAGGCTGCAGTGAGCTATGATTGCCACTGCGTTCCAGTCTGGGCAACAGAGTGAGACTCTGTCTTCCCCACAGCCCCCCCAAAAGATAGTTATCTTTCTTCTGGATAGCTTCATTACTTTGGGAGCTTCTCCATCAAAGCCAATAACCCAAAAAACTGGGAGAAGTATGAATAGAAGGCTAGTAAACCACATGGGTTGTAGGGGGCACAGATCATAGTCTAGTTCTCAATGATGCCTCATACTAGTTGTGTAATCTTGGGCAAGTGTTCTCATTCTCTCTCTGTCTTGTGTTTCTCATCCACAAAGTGAAATTAATAATAGTTTATATAGATTCAGATTATTGTGAGGCTGAAATGACAACACATGCAAAATGTTTATAAGGAAGCCTGGCATATTCAAAGTGTACAGTGAGCCATTGGTGCTACTATTGTCATGATTGGCTTACATTTTTGTGAGGTCCTTGAAGCTGGGGTGCATGACCTTTACCTCCATACAACAGTGCCAGGTACATAGTGAGTACTCAATATATGCTTTTATGAATGGGTTAACATATTTCTTTGACAATGTTTGGTGATATTCGTCAATTACATTCAAGCTTCTTTGAAAGAAAGATGGTCAGCTTTTTCAGTTTACTACTGTTTTGATAGTGGATCTTAAAAAAGCCTAAGATGCTTTATAATGTTGCAAACAAAAAGATGCTCTCTCTTTAAAATTGGATTGAAAAAAAATTAGATATCTCTTGAGCCCTCATTAGTTATTTTTTCTCTGTTATTACCTGGAAGCTTATTCTAAATTCTTAGATTTTATATATTATATCTTGTTTCATCATTTAGTTTATAATTTATTTTAAAACATATATGTACTGTGTACTAAATATTTCATTATGGAAAATAGTCTTCCCACTGGTCAATAGCTTTTATGATATTACATAGATTAGCTATTGCCTAGGAAGATGTAGGAAGAGTAGAATTTGAAGATGATGAACTCATACATGCTCAACTTCCCAAACCACAGGATAAAATGGCATAATATAAAAATACCAGATTCCTATTGATAATACATAGTAAAAAAAGAATAAAAATTATAGCAAGTACCTAACACACAGCCAAGCATACCGCAGTAAATGTTAATGGTACTCAAATCTAGAGCCCCTGCCACACCGAATGATTTTTTGAAAAGCCTCTATCAAATTCTATGGCAATAATAGTGTTCATGTACTTTGCAGGTGCACCATTTACTTGTCTTTAAAGAGCTTATTTCAATTGCTGAAGTCCACTGAACCGAAAGTAGTCAACAGAATACAATTTGTCTAACATTAGCCTTCAGTGTATGTAATTAAGGTGTTGATGCTGAACTGTTGGTGTTTATCACATTAGCTGGAAAGCAAACAGACATCTCCATTAGAATGTTAGACTGGTCTAATCACTGATATAAAGAGACCCTCATATAAGCAAACACCCTGTTAAAAAAATCAATTTATTGACTAAAATGTTAATTTATTAAACAAATGCATAGGTCCTATTATAATCTATGCTAGCCTAATTAAATCTAAATTATGTAAACTAATTAGAATAACTATAAAAACACTTATTTCAGATTTGTTAAGAGAAAAATTGACAATATGTTAATAGACTTCTTAATATAAACTCTTTCTCTGAGCTAGATAACGGTAATTTTTGTTAATATAATCATTAGTATCATTTTCAAACTACATATATAGAGCCTCATCATCAAAAAAATAACCTTATAACACCATAATTAGAATGATGATAGTGGTCCAGTGAATGACATTAAGGAGAGATGATCAATCATATTTCATGGTTGCCCTAGTTCTTCATATGCCCCTATTGGCTTTGCCTGAAAGACTTTAATCGGAAAACTCATAGTCATACTTCAATGCCTAATTTCTTCTCCAACTAACTGACTAAAACTGAGTTAGCAGCTTTATTTTCAGTGACCATAAAGTATTTTGTTTCTGTTTCAATTGCACTGTTTATCACACTGTGTTATAACCTATTGATTTGTCCCTCAATTAAACTAGCTTACTTATCTCTATTTGCCTAAAGGACAACAGAATGCTAAACACACAATAAGCATGCAATTAACATTTTGAATGAATAAATAAATGAAGGAACCAATCAATGATTACAGTTTTTATCAGAGACTTTGTTTTTTAGGGAAGTTTTATGTTCACAGCAAGACTGACCAGAAAGTACAAGGAATTTCCATACACCACCCCCTCCACACACAAACTCCACCACTAGCAAGATCCCACATGACAGTGGTAGGTTTATTTTACAGTCAAGGAACCTACATTAATACCTCATTATTGCCACAGCCCACAGTTTACATTAGAGTTTACTTTTGGTGTTGTACATTCTATGGGTTTGGATAAGTATATAATGAGATGTATCTACCATTATAATATCCTAAATAATAGTTTCACTGTCCTAAAAATCCTCTGTGCTCTCTCTATCCTCCTCTCTGCCCACTCCCCACTGGCAACTACTGATCTTTTTACTGTCTCATAGTTCTGCCTTTCCATTATGTCATATAGCTGAATCACACAGTATGCAGTTTTTCCAGATTATCTTCTTTCATTTAGGAATATGCATCTAAGGTTTCTCCGTGTCTTCTCGTGGCTTGATAACTTATTTCTTTTAAGCACTGAATAATTTCTTGTCTGATTGTACCACAGTTTATCCATTCATCTACTGAAGAATATCTTGGTTACTTCCAAGTTTTTGCAATTATAAATCAGGTTGCAATAGACACCTATGTGCAGGTTTTTGTGTAGATATAAGTTTTCAACTTCTTTCAGTAAATACAAAGGAGTGCAATTGCTAGATCATATGATAAGAGAATGTTTAGTTTTCTAAGAAACTGCTCAAACATCTTCCAAAGTATTAATAGCTTACCATTTTTCATTCCCACCAGAGATGAAAGAGAGTTCTTTTTGCTACACATCCTCATCAGCATTTACTGTTGTGAGAGTTTTATATTTTGGCCATTCTAATACATGTGTCCTGGTATCTCAGTTTTGTTTCACAATTCCCTAATGATGGATAATGGGAAGCATCTTTTTATATGCTTATTTGCCATCTGTATATCTTCTTTGGTGAGGAGTCTGTTCAGATCTTTAGCCCATTTTTTTAATTGGGTTTTGATTTCTTATTGTTAAGCTTTCAGAATCCTTTGTATATTTCTGATAACAGTTCTTTATCAGATGTGTCTTTTGCAAAATTTTCTCCCAGTCTGTGCTTGCCTGCTCATTTTCTTGAATCATTCAGATTTTATTTAATTCTATAGGATTTCTGTTTCATACTTCTTGAAATATAGCTTTATAATGAGGACTTTTAGACTCTGTCATTCTAATGTTTCATGCCAGAATCTACTATCAAATTACTATTCCATAACCCAACAATTCTCAATAAGAAATTAAAATACATTATCCAAACCTTCAGAACATCTGATTTGGTTGTTTGGAATGTGGTCAGAATCTTCATTTTTTAAAAATCACCACAGGTGTTTCCAGTACAAGTTGTGGTCATAGAAGACTTTTCAATAGAACACACTTCCTTCTACCTTGACTGGTCAAGTAGAAATCTTTGGTTCCGGCAGGAAGAATATGCAAAGGTTTCAAGGGAGTTAGGTATATTTACAGTTCTCTTATTTATCTAACCTTATCATACTGTCCTTTTCATCTTTCACAGACTCCTGGGTCTCTACAATCTGGAACTGCAGTTCCTTATGTACTTCTCAAACCTGATGACAACAGATTATATTCTTGCAATGACAATTGAAAAGCCACATGAAAATCAACTAAGCCTGTATTTCTTTTTGTATCTCTGATGTCACATCAGACCAAAACATGCTATTAAACTTTACACTACATACATGCTGCTACTCACAATACTCTACTATTACAATACATGCTCTTGTGTTCTACCACTGTTTAATATGCTGGGGTTTCATGATAAGAACACGGTCCATATGTCATAATGCATACCGTCTAGTAAAATACTTTGCTGGTCTTTATTTACCTCCCATCTGTCTCACCTCAGGCAGGCTTGTTTACTTTTGCATTATAAATTCTTCCAGAGTGGAAGGCACAGCTTATACACTATCTTTCATACTGTCTTAACATATTTAACTCTCTTTTGAGAGGTTTAACAATATAGATCAATTTAAAGAATAGTACAATAAATATTCATGATTCCACCATGTAGAATGAATTGTTAAGTATTTGTTATTTTTTATTCAAGATTTTATTAATAAAACACACAAAAAAATAGGAAGAAAATCATTATTTTTAAGAAAATTTCCTAAAGTACAATTTCTCTCCCAATTGACAGACTATACCTCCTAACCCTACCCAATCACTATCAAACATTTGGCATATAAATTTTTAGTCTATCGGTGTATTCTTTTAATATAACCCATAAAAAATATATACTATAATTCTGTATATTTAAAATGTACAGAAATACCATCTTTTTATATGTAGTTAATATATGTATCTATTTGTTTATTCCACTTTGTTTCACAAAGGAGCTTAGATTACATCAAAAATTATATATTGAATTTAAAAGTTTATGGCAGTTCAAAAGCTTCAAAAACTTTTCAGCCTCCTGTGATCTGATCTTTGTTTTAAATGGATCAACTTTTCTGTCATTGGGTATATAAAATTCCAGTTCAAAAAAATAAATGGATGCTATTTTAATGAGTTTTCTAACAAGATTAAAAATGATTTTTGTCTCCCCATTGGTGGTATGAATAAACTATCAAATAGCCACAACTGAAAACCTCATCAAGCTTTCCAAAAAAGCTATTTTTAAAAAAGTTATGTCTTAAATACAAGCCAGCAATTATAAGTGTAAAAATGCAATCCTTCCAGGGAAGAAAAGCTGCATCAGAAAACAAATATATATGGAAAAATATAATAAAGATAACCATTGGTATAATCCAATGTACAAAATACTAAAAAAAACATAATTTACATCTCTATCAACCTTACAATTTGTTGAATGGTTACATGTATATGATCTCACTCCCATCTAAGATACTAATCAGAAGAAGTGGAGGATTTAAAAAAGAAGCCACCAGCTTTAACTGGTTGCATGCAGCTCAGCATCTCCAAGCTTACTGCGCTCCCTTTCCTTCTGATGTCTCTATATTTTAGCTAGTTAATTACATAATCGAAGATGTTATTTATTTTCCTAGTGATTTCTTCCTACACAAGTTAATCAAGCGTGGTGGACGGGATATAATAAAAGTGAATCTTTATTTTTTACTTCTGTGTCCCTTTAACATTTGTTCAGTTGTGAGAGATATTTCTTCCCTGACCCTAGATTAAAAATCTCTAGGCCTCATGACTTTCAAAGTTCTATAACGACTTTAGATCTGAAGCACAGTCTCAATTCAAAACTTAGGGCATCCTTTCCACATTCTGATCAATACACTGAACTTAATTTAAAATAGAATTGTCTTCCTTCCCACAGCCAGGGCTGTTATCAGGCATTGGAGAAGGGGAAACAGTAAGTTACTTTCTTCTCATTCTCCAATCCTCTTTTCCCAGCATGTTAACCTTGACTTCAGGCCTCTGTGTGATTGTCACAAAGAGAGAAAGAAGGGAGAAGAAGTTAAGAAAAGACTTACTAGACCTGGCATGCTCATAAATTAACTTTGTGGCATCTGGGTCTGCTGGATGTGTAAAGCTAACTATGTCATTGGGCACATTTGTTTACTGGGAAATCCTAGTTAATCTTCACAAGGATATGTGACAAAATCATTCATCATCAGGGTCAGTAATAGCAGCATCTGGAAAAGGCAAAGGAAAGGATGACACAACAGTGCTGTAAAAGATCTGTCTGTGTCTCATGCCTGATCTTGCTAAGCCTTTCTTTGGTGCATTTTTTTCTGTCTACACATATGTCTGAAGTATCACCTGCTCAGTAGTAAATGACCTTTGTTCTAGGAAATTTATAAGATTTTCACAAACTAAAATAGTCTCTGACAGAGTCATTTTCAATCCATCCATTACCCTGTACAGTATAAATATCAAGTACAGGCTGGAGATCCAGAATGCCCAGATTCAAATCTCAGCTCTACTGCTTACCAACCAAGTGACACTGGGCAAGTCACTTAACCTCTGTCTCCTCATCTGTGAAATGGGGAGGATGCCAATAGCATCTACCATGTAAGGTAGTTTCAAGGATTAAATTAGTGCATGTGCACAGCATATAGTAAACCTCATTAAATGTCAACCATATAATTATTATGTGTTCATATCAAGCGGGCTGGGCCACTGTAATACCATAGACAGACAGGTCACTCACAGATAGTTTCTTACCATCACATTCACTTAAGGAATATTATTTAGAAATGCATTTTTAAAAATCCTATTAAAACAATTCCATTAAATAAACAAAGGTGTCTACACCACTGAAATTACTGTGGCACACCAGAAAATGTTAAAGTACATCAAAATCAGTTTGTGGATAGCATGTCATGTACTTTACATGGAAATACTAGAACCGATTATTCAAAAACCCTTAATTTCTCCATGAGAGAAATATACATGAAATTATGATTGAAGATTGACAACTGAAAGGAATGATCCTTTGGTGAAATGCTTTAACCTAACAACAATACGCATGAGTGTGACAAGCATGTGATGGCATTTTAATAACATGTTTATGTTTACATAAACTGTGCCAAAATGTATCCTTACATTATCCTCTTTAAAAATATGTTATTCCATTATGGTAAATTTTGTTGTAACTTTTCTTCTCCGGTCTCATATGCACACTGCACAAATCAATTAGTACTGGGCCACAGTTAAAATCATCGGTGTCTAAATCATCGAGCTGTACACTCAAAGATATGTGCACTTTTTGCATTAAATTATATTTCTATAGGAAAAACCTTATTTCAAAAGCCATCACATTTCTCAGTCAATTCCTTTACAGGTAATGCTTACCATTAAAGCGGGGGAGACCTCCCCATTACAATCAGCAAACGTAGGCCTTGATTATTGGTCCCAATGGACATAAATGATCACTGCCCCCATGGCCACTTTGGATAAAGATTTCCCCCAAAGGATCTGGTCCAGTGTTTCAAGGTGAGAAAGATACCCAAAACTATCTGCGACAGTGTTGTAATATAAGAAATTCAGTGGCAAATGTGTGAAGGCATTAATTCCTATAATGCTTCAGTGGACAGAAACGAGGTCCAATATCCCTAACCAAATAGTCTGTATGTAACACACACCAGATACTAAATTGAATTTTCTGCTTGGGTAAAATGGAATAATGGTTTGCCTCCTATTTCTATTTATGGCTAAGACTACTGATGACACTCAAAAAGAAATGTTAAAACTTCAAAAGAGAGATATTATTGATAACTTCAGCAATTGTCATTTGAAAGGTCTATAAAGTTTAAATATCTTCAAGTAATTAGACATCAACTAAAAAATCATTACTAATAATAATGTTTATTTATTTTTATTTGTATTAATTTGTGGGATACAAGTGTAATTTTGTTACATGTATAGACTGCATACTGGCAAAGTCAGGGCTTTGGGGTATCCATCACTCAAATAATGTACATTGTACCCATTAAGTAATCTCAACATCCAGCCACCTCCCAACCCCTGCAGGCATTCAAAAGCATTTTACAGTAGGCTAATTCTACCACTCTCCTACTCTCAAAGTTAGCTTTCAAAATGTTTAGGACATTGCCTGTAAATTATAAACAAAACAAAAATACAAAAACAAAATCCATTATTCTGATCCAATGAAATCCATTAGAGTAAATATTTTAGAGTAATTAGAAATAGTAGAGTAAAATGAGTCACAAAAATAAAATTCAGAAACTTTCATGTGACAGTTATAAAGTTCTGGGATTTGTGTTAATATTACTCACATCTAGGCACATGTTGATTATCTTTGGCTTTAATTTGGAGCTGAAAAAGTAATACAGACTGCTTCTTACAAGTTTAGGTACTTTTTAATATAAATCAAAATTAATACAGCACTTTCAGCATTGGAATAAAAAGGAATACAGGAGTCATATCTATCTTTGCCTTCATACATTCTCATCTTGTTACAGGGTTTGCCTATAAGCCAAAATGCAGCTGCACAGCTAATTTCAGGCCTACCAGCCTAGACCACACTCCCTTTCATAAGCAGCTGGTGATTAACCATATGGGGAAGTGTGATTGAACTCCAGATGGAGTTTGCTTTTTCATATCGTTTCAGACAAGTCGATTTGGGGACAGATATCTTTAGTGCTACTGACTACTGAATCACCTATTTCTTTAAAACTAGATAGTTCTCAGGGATTTTAATGTCTTAGAGAGAAAAGCGGATTGAAACCAAGGCTATGGCTTTTCTCTCCATTTGTAGTAACTACAACAAACAGAATATAGAATTGAGTAGCATTCTCCAGGACTGACCTTAGCTAGAGTACAACCACACACATGTTCACAGAAAGAATTTCTAATGACACAATAAATGCTCTACTACTTTCTATCTTGAGAAGATGAATTTATGATGCCAAATTTCAAAATATGTCAGTGATATGATAAAACCAATGTAACTTTAATCAAAATAATTAAATGCGTTTTACTTCTAGAAACTAAGCATAGAATAATCAAAATAAATAGCCTATTTTTTCAAAAAAATATCAGAAGTAGCAAATATTTCTGAAAGTTATTCCAAAATGATTAGCCTGTTTTTTCAAAACCTTATCAGAAGTAGCAAAGGCAATACAATAGCAAAATGAAAACAAAGCAGTATAATTAATTTTTCTTCCTCCTAGAATAAAATAATCAATTTACCATATTTAAAATTTTTATATTTATAAACTTTGAATTTGAGAGATTTTGTTCCTACTCAGAATTTACCCAATATTTCTGAATATGATTTTACTTTACATTCTGAATAAGTTGATAAATGTCCACAGACTAAGACTCACAAAATTTTAAAGTTACAAAAACTTTACATTCATCTATATACATCATCTATGACATATATGACTACCTACAATTTTGTAATACATATAATACTTCAACTTCAGGCTAGAGCTTCATCACTATGATAATGTGATAAAAATCACATGATAATTTTTTATTTCATTGTCACTTCACTATCACTATTATGATAATGATATAAAATTATCACTGTTATATTTCAAGATTAATATTTATAATGGATGAAGTAGATTTCCTTTTACTCTCATCTTATGTTTTTAACAATATCACTAAAAACCTGTATTAAATTTATCATGAATCAAAGCTCAAAAACTAATGCCAAATACACTTTTAAAAAATAATCTGGGCCAGGTGCGGTGGCTCACGCCTGTAATCTCAGCACTTTGGGGGGCCGAGGCGGGAAGATCACGAGGTCAGGAGATCAAGACCATCCTGGCTAACACGGTGAAACCCCGTCTCTACTAAAAATACAAAAAAATAAATAAATAAACAAAAAAAATTAGCTGGGCGTGGTGGCGGGCGCCGGTAGTCCCAGCTACTCGGGAGGCTGAGGCAGGAGAATGGCGTGAACCCCAGGGGAGGCGGAGCTTGCAGTGAGTCTAGATCGTGCCACTGCACTCCAGCCTGGGCGACAAAGCAAGACTCCATCTCAAAATAAATAAATAAATAAATAAATAAATAAATAAATAAATAATAACCTGTACATGTATAATAATTCATTTCTTTATCAAATCTATCTCAAGCCACAACTTTCTTTAAACTTTTTTTTTCTAGATTCTAAGTCTTTGTACTCACCAAAGAGACATGGTTCACTAGCTGCTCTACCAATTTCCATAAGTGTGTGGATAATGGACTTATTATATATTATACAATCTGGTAAACATACTTAGTGCACAGCAGACCTTCTACCATTGAATATGCAACCTGAAAGTGCACACAGACAAGAACAAACTAAAGAGGCTAACTCATGTCAGCAATGGACTCAACAATTAGTATACTGAATTCCCTCACAGATAGAAAGAAAATCCATCATATTTCTCATACAACTAATTTGCCACATGTTGAAATATCTTAATGAAATACATTTCTCATATATGACCTAGGCATATGTAAATCAAACAGTTCTAAAGAACTGTATAAACAGGCTGAAAGAAATATTTACAGTATGCAACAAAACATATAATACCTCATTAAATCCTGACCCACACTAATCTAAAACAATAAGTAGCCCAACTAACTCCAACCAATAGATTAACTTACCCCTTGTATAAATTAAAATAGAAAAAAAAACCCACAACATTGCTGAAAGACAGCCCAGGCTCTTCTCTCACAAAGACAAGAATGGCCTAGAAGACTCATTCAGAATAGCACTGCTAAGAATCCAATGCCATCATCCCACATCATGTTAACTCCTACCTTTTTGGGGTTTTTTATTTTTTATTTTAATTTTTGTAGGTACATAATAGGTATGTGTATATATTTATGCGATACATGAGATGTTTTGATACAGGCATAGAATGCATAATAATTACTTCATGTAAAATTAGGTATCCATCCCCTCAAGTATTTATCCTTTGTATTACAAACAATCCAATTATATTCATTTAGTTATTTTAAAATTCACAATTAAATTTTTACTAACTATAGTCACCCTGTTGCACTATCAAATATAAGTCTTATTCATTCTATTTCTTTTTTTTTTACCCATTAATCATTCCCACCTCCCCTCTACCTTCTCACTACCATTCCCAGCCTCTGGTAACCTATCTCCATGAGTTATCCTCTGCTCTCTATCTCCATGAGTTCAATTATTTTGATTTTTAGATCTCACAAATAAGTGAGAACATGCAATTCTATGACCCTAAAATATCTCCTTTCAATGCCAGCTATCAACATTTTTTCAAGGACACCTCTTCTATGAAGCTTTTCATCATATTAAAGCCAATATTGATTGATTGTTTTCATTTCTGACCTCTCAGAGAGTATGGATTGAAGTATTTGAAGACAGTAAAATAATAATAATGCTTAAAATTTCTTTCACGCCTTCCATATACCAGACCTCAAGTTAAAAGATTTGTGTGCATAATTTTATTTTATTCTTACCTCAGTCATAAAAGCTAGCTGTTACTGATATCCCACATGCTATTTTACACATGAGAAAACTGAAGATTAGGGAAATTAAGAAATGTGTGCAGAATCACATAACTAGTTAGTGGCAATGTGAAAATTCTAATCCAGCATGAGTCATCTGATTTATATGGTCTTAAATTGTAAACTAATTATTTTTGGTATAAACATCATCTCTGCTCACATTTTAGACTTTGGTTCTTTATATCCATCACAGCATCCAGGAGGCTGATTAAAGACACATAACCAGTAGTTAAGATATACTTTTCAGCTCGTAGTGAATGTAAAGGAAGATGAGAATGACATTGTCTTCTGTGCTCCCAAATTCACCCGTCTCTCTGGTCACTCCCCTCTTAGCATTCCAAATTGTCTTGTTTATTTCATACCTTTTATTTTTTTATGAAGTAAAGATGAGTTAAAATTCACTGTCAGCTGAGACCATTTCACATCTAACACAGAAATATAAATCAATTATCTTTTTTGGCAAGACATAAAATTGTAATAAAGCAAGTACAGTCTAATTTGCACTTGGCATTGGTTCAAGACTGTGGTACATACAAATAGAAAGCAGTTTAGCACAGTAGTTAAGAGAACATTCTCTGGAGTCAAACTGTTTCCTTTCAAATCCCAACTCTACCCTAAGTAGTTACATGATTAAAGAAAAATTATTTACCTCTCTAACATGCAATTTTCTTCTATATAAACTGAGAAGAGTATCTCCTACCTTACAGATCTTAAGATTCAATGAGGAGCGGTGGAGCCAAGATGGCCGAATAGGAACAGCTCCAGTCTACAGCTCCCAGTGTGAGCGACACAGAAGACGGGTGATTTCCGCATTTCCAACTGAGGTACCGGGTTCATCTCACTGGGGAGTGTAGGACAGAGGGTGCAGGACAGTGGGTGCTGTGCACCGAGTGTAAGCTGAAGCACGGTGAGGCATCGTCTCACCGGGGAAACGCAAGGGGTCAGGGAATTCCCTCTCCTAGTCAAAGAAAGGGGTGACAGACGGCACCTGGAAAATCAGGTCACTCCCACCCTAATGCTGCGCTTTTCCAAGGGTCTTAGCAAACGGCACACCAGGAGATTATATCCCATGCATGGCTCGGAGGGTCCTATGCCCACGGAGCCTCACTTACTGCTAGCACAGCAGTCTGAGATCAAACTGCAAGGCAGCAGTGAGGCTGGGTGAGGGGTGCCGCCATTGCCGAGGCTTGACAGGTAAACAAAGTAGCCAGGAAGCTTGAAGTGGGTGGAGCCCACTGCAGCTCAAAGATGCCTGCCTGCCTCTGTAGACTCCACCTCTGGGGGCAGGGCAGAGTGAAACAAAAGGCAGCAGAAATCTCTGCAGACTTAAATGTCCCTGTCTGACAGCTTTGAAGAGAGTAGTAGTTCTCCCAGCATGCAGCTGGAGATCTGCAAATGGACAGACTCCCTCTTCAAGTGGGTCCCTGACCCCTGAGTAGCCTAACTGGGAGGCACACCCATGTAGGGGCAGACTGACACCTCACACGGCCGGGTACTCCTCTGAGACAAAACTTCCAGAGGAACGATCAGGCAGCAGCACTTGCTTGCTATTCACTAATATTTGCTGTTCTGCAGCCTCCGCTGCTGATACCCAGGTAAACAGGGTCTGGAGTGGACCTCCAGCAAACTCCAAAAGACCTACAGCTGAGAGTCCTGACTGTTAGAAGGAAAACTAACAAACAGAAAGGATATCCACACCAAAACCCCATTGGTATGTCACCATCATTAAAGACCAAAGGTAGATAAAACCACAAAGATGGGGATAAAACAGAGCAGAAAAACTGGAAACTCTAAAAATGAGAGCACCTCTCCTCCGCCAAAGGAACGCAGCTCCTCACCAGCAGCAGAACAAAGCTGGACAGAGAATGACTTTGACGAGTTGAGAGAAGAAGGCTTCAGAGGATCAAACTACTCCGAGCTAAAGGAGGAAGTTCGAACCCATGGCAAAGAAGTTAAAAACATTGAAAAAAATTAAACGAATGGCTAACTAGAATAACCAATGCAGAGAAGTTATTAAAGGACCTGATGGAGCTGAAAACCACAGCGCAAGAACTACGTGACGAATGCACAAGCCTTAGTAGCCGATTCGATCAACTGGAAGAAAGGGTACCAGTGATGGAAGATGAAATAAATGAAATAAAGCGAGAAGAGAAGTTTAGAGAAAAAAGATAAAAAGAAACAAACAAAGCCTCCAAGAAATATGGGACTATGTGAAAAGACCAAATCTACGTCTGATTGGTGTACCTGAAAGTGACAGAGAGAATGGAACCAAGTTGGAAAACAGTCTGCAGGATATTATCCAGGAGAACTTCCCCAATCTAGCAAGGCAGGCCAACATTCAAATTCAGGAAATACAGAGAACGCCACAAAGATACTCCTTGAGAAGAGCAACTCCAAGACACATAATTGTCAGATTCACCAAAGTTGAAATGAAGGAAAAAATGTTAAGGGCAGCCAGAGAGAAAGGTCGGGTTACCCACAAAGGGAAGCCCATCAGTCTAACAGCTGATCTCTTGGTAGAAACTCTACAAGCCAGAAGAGAATGGGGGCCAATATTCAACATTCTTAAAGAAAAGAATTTCAACCCAGAATTTCATATCCAGCCAAACTAAGCTCCATAAGTGAAGGAGAACTAAAATACTTTACAGACAAGCAAATGCTGAGAGATTTTGTCACCACCAGGCCTGCCTGCCCTACAAGAGCTCCTGAAGGAAGCACTAAACATGGAAAGGAAAAACCGGTACCAGCCACTGCAAAAACATGCCAAATTGTAAAGACCATCATGGCTAGGAAGAAACTTCATCAACTAATGGGCAAAATAACCAGCTAACGTCATAATGATGGGATCAAATTCACACATAACAATATTAACCTTAAATGTAAATGGGCTAAATGCTCCAATTAAAAGACACAGACTGGCAAATTGGATAAAGAGTCAAGACCCACCAGTGTGCTGTATTCAGGAAATCCATCTCACATGCAGAGACACACATAGGCTCAAAATAAAGGGATGGAGGAAGATCTACCAAGCAAATGGAAAACAAAAAAAGGCAGGGGTTGCAATCCTAGTCTCTGATAAAACAGACTTTAAACCAACAAAGATCGAAAGAGACAAAGAAGGCCATTACATAATGGTAAAGGGATCAATTCAACAAGAAGAGCTAACTATGCTAAATACATATGCACCCAATACAGGAGCATCAGATTCATAAAGCAAGTCCTTAGTGACCTACAAAGAGACTTAGACTCCCACACAAAAATAATGGGAGACGTTAACACCCACTGTCAACATTAGACAGATCAACGAGACAGAAAGTTAAGAAGGATACCCAGGAATTGAACTCAGCTCTGCACCAAGCAGACCTAATAGACATCTACAGAACTCTCCACCCCAAATCAACAGAATATACATTCTTTTCAGCACCACACCACACCTATTCCAAAACAGACCACATACTTGGAAGTAAAGCACCCCTCAGCAAATGTAAAAGAACAGAAATTATAACAAACTGTCTCTCAGACCATAGTGCAAACAAACTAGAACTCAGTACTAAGAAACTCACTCAAAACCGCTCAAGTACATGGAAACTGAACAACCTGCTCCTGAATGACTACTGAGTACATAACGAAATGAAGGCAGAAATAAAGATGTTCTTTGAAACCAACAAGAACAAAGACACAACATACCAGAATCTCTGGGACACATTCAAAGCAGTGTGTAAAGGGAAATTTATAGCACTAAATGCCCACAAGAGAAAGCAGGAAAGATCTAATATTGACACCCTAACATCACAATTAAAAGAACTAGAGAAGCAAGAGTAAACACATTCAAAAGCTAGCAGAAGGCAAGCAATAACTAAGATCAGAACAGAACCGAAGGAAATAGAGACACAAAAAACCCTTCAAAAAATCAATGAATCCAGGAGCTGGTTTTTTGAAAAAGATCAACAAAATTGATAGACTGCTAGCAAGACTAATAAAGAAGAAAAGAGAGAAGAATCAAATAGATGCAATAAAAAATGATAAAGGGGATATCATCACCGATCCCACAGAAATACAAACTACCATCAGAGAGTACTATAAACACCTCTATGCAAATAAACTAGAAAATCTAAAAGAAATGGATAAATTCCTCAACACATACACCCTCCCAAGACTAAATGAGGAAGAATAGACCAATAACAAGCTCTGAAATTGAGGCAATAATTAATAGCTTACCAACCAAAAAAAGTCCAGGACCAGATGGATTCACAGCCAAATTCTACCAGAGATACAAGGAGGAGCTGGTACCATTCCTTCTGAAACTATTCCAATCAATAGAAAATGAGGGAATCCTCCCTAACTCATTTTATGAGGCCAGCATCATCCTGATACCAAAGCCTGGCAGAGACACAACAAAAAAACAGAATTTTAGACCAGTATCCCTGATGAACATCAGTGCAAAAATCCTCAATAAAATACTGGCAAACCGAATCCAGCAGCACATCAAAAAGCTTATCCACCATGATCAAGTGGGCTTCATCCCTGGGATGCAAGGCTGGTTCAACATACGCAAATCAATAAACGTAATCCCGCATATAAACAGAACAAAAGACAAAAACCACACAATTATCTCAATAGATGCAGAAAAGGCCTTCGACAAAATTCAACAACTCTTCATGCTAAAAACACTCAATAAATTAGGTATTAATGGGACGTATCTCAAAATAATAAGAGCTATCTATGACAAACCCACAGCCAATATCATACTGAATGGGCAAAAACTGGAAGCATTCCCTTTGAAAAATGGCACAAGACAGGGATGCCCTCTCTCACCACTCCTATTCAACATAGTGTTGGAAGTTCTGGCCAGGGCAATCAAGCAGGAGAAGGAAATAAAGGGTATTCAGTTAGGAAAAGAGGAAGTCAAATTATTCCTGTTTGCAGATGAAATGACTGTATATCTAGAACACCCCATTGTCTCAGCCCAAAATCTCCTTAAGCTGATAGGCAACTTCAGCAAAGTCTCAGGATACAAAATCAGTGTGCAAAAATCACAAGCATTCTTATATACCAATAACAGACAAACAGAGAGCCAAATCATGAGTGAACTCCCATTCACAATTGCTTCAAAGAGAATCAAATACCTAGGAATCAAACTTACAAGGGATGTGAAGGACCTCTTCAAGGAGAACTACAAACCACTGCTCAATGAAATAAAAGAGGATACAAACAAATGGAAGAACATTCCAAGTTCATGGGTAGAAAGAATCAACATCGTGAAAATGTCCATACTACCCAAGGTAATTTATAGATTCAATGCCATCCCCATCAAGCTACCAATGACTTTCTTCACAGAATTGGAAAAAACTACTTTAAAATTCATATGGAACCAAAAAAGTGCCCACATTGCCAAGCCAATCCTAAGCCAAAAGAACAAAGCTGGAGGCATCACGCTACCTGACTTCAAACTCCACTACAAGGCTACAGTAACCAAAACAGCATGGTACTGGTACCAAAGCAGAGATATAGACCAATGGAACAGAACACAGCCCTCAGAAATAATGCTGCGTATATACAACTATCAGATCTTTGACAAACCTGACAAAAACAAGAAATGGGGAAAGCATTCCCTATTTAATAAATGGTGCTGGGAAAACTGGCTAACCATATGTAGAAAGCTGAAACTGGATCCCTTCCTTACACCTTATACTAAAATTAATTCAAAATGGATTAAAGATTTAAATGTTAGATCTAAAACCATAAAAACCCTAGAAGAAAACCTAGGCAATACCATTCAGGACATAGGCATGGGCAAGGACTTCATGTCTAAAACACCAAAAGCAATGGCAACAAAAACCAAAATTGACAAATGGGATCTAATTAAACTAAAGAACTTCTGCACAGCAAAAGAAACTACCATCAGAGTGAACAGGCAACCTACAAAATGGGAGAAAATTTTTGCAATCTACTCATCTGACAAAGGGCTAATATCCAGAATCTATAATGAACTCAAACAAATTTACAAGAAAGAAACAAACAACCCCATCAAAAAGTGGGCGAAGGATATGAACAGACACTTCTCAAAAGAAGACATTTATGCAGCCAAAAGACACGTGAAAAAATGCTCATCATCACTGGCCATCAGAGAAATGCAAATCAAAACCACAATGAGATACCATCTCACACCAGTTAGAATGACAATCATTAAAAAGTCAGGAAACAACAGGTGCTGGAGAGGATGTGGAGAAATAGGAACACTTCTACACTGTTGGTGGGACTGTAAACTAGTTCAACCATTGTGGAAGTCAATGTGGCGATTCCTCAGGGATCTAGAACTAGAAATACCATTTGACCCAGCCATCCCATTACTGGGCATATACCCAAAGGATTACAAATCATGCTGCTATAAAGACACATGCACATGTATGTTTATTACGGCACTATTCACAATAGCAAAGACTTGGAACCAAGCCAAATGTCCAACAATGATAGACTGGATTAAGAAAATGTGGCACATATATACCATGGAATACTATGCAGCCATAAAAAAGGATGAGTTCATGTCCTTTGTAGGGACATGGATGAAGCTGGAAACCATCATTCTCAGCAAACTATGGCAAGGACAAAAAACCAAACACCGCATGTTCTCACTCATAGGTGGGAATTGAACAATGAGAACACATGGACACAGGAAGGGGAACATCACACTCTGGGGCCTGTTGTGGGGTGGGGGAAGGGGGGAGTGATAGCATTAGGAGATATACCTAATGTTAAATGATGAGTTAATGGTTGCAGCACACCAACATGGCACATGTATACATATGTAACAAACCTGCACGTTGTGCACATGTACCCTAAAACTTAAAGTATAATAAAAAATTTTTTTAAAAAAGTAAAATAAATGAAAATATTAAAAGGTTAGTTTGATCTTCAGTGAAGGAGATTGTCAAGACAGGAAAACTACAAGCCATAAAAGAATGGCTGATGGATGCACTCAATAAACATTTTTTAATATTTAAAAAAAAAGATTCAATGAGATCAGTTGTGTGTGGCCTCTATCAAAAGGTAAGCTCTCTATCACTGTTTTCTATTATTACCAGTATTATGACATATGTATATGAAAAAATTATTGGGCTATTGTGATGTTACTTGTTGAATTAAGCCAGCATCAACTTGCCAGCTTTATTAATGAGCCACCGTGAACTCTCCAACCCCAAATGAGTGATCCCAGCTGATACTATGTGTAACAGAAAAGATCTTTCTATACAGAGACTTGCCCAATGTTTAAATTAATGAACAAAATTAATTACTGTAATATTTTAAAGCCACCAAGTTTTATGCTGGTTTGCTACTTAGCAAAACAGAAGTATTAATATTTTGATACCAGAGATGAGATGCTGCCATAATAAAAGTTCAAATATGTGCCAATGGTTTTGGAACCAGTTAGTGAGCAGAAGCTGGAGGGGCCTTAAGAAGACTGCTAGTGAAAGCTTGAAAGGCCTCAACTTCAGGGATGTTATTTTTAAGGGCCTAAAGGGAAGTGGAAAAAATATCAAGGGAAGTAAGAGGAAATGAACCCTTTATAGAAAACTTCACAATGTCCACAGTAATGTGGAAAATAGGAAATATACAACATCTATTGAACTGAATAATCTAGCTATTGCAGAATATTGAAAGTACTACCTGGATTCTTTCTGCTGCCTATGATAAAATTCCAGAGGAAGGAGATGAATTAAAGAATAAACTGTTAAATATGAAAATATAAAGGAGTCAGGACATGCTGGATTAGAAAATGAAACTGTTTCTCATCCACAATTTCTCCCAACAGTGAATTATTCTCAAATTAGGAAAGGGCCTCAAACCAAAGATTGAATATCAGGAGGGACTGTAATATACTTTAAGATACTGTCACATAGCAGCATTCAGATAAACAAAAGCCCCTTTATGCATCTTAAGGACATGGTTACTGGCTCATATTCATTAAATAATAGGTATTCTAAGAATCTTCACAGCATTATCCCACAGCCCCCTCACAGAAAGCCCAAGGGAGAGAAAGGCTTATCTCAAAAAGATGGGTGGGAGTAGTTTTTGTCTAACAGAGTGAACCTTAGAAAGAGTTATAGAAAACCCACAACGTTTTTTAAAAGAATTGATCTGGCAGAAGCACCACCAATTTGGGCAACATGATACAGAGAAAGTTCAAAATGAAAATCGGTTTTTGGATGTCAAACATTATAGGCAGGAAGCAGGCTTAGAAGACAATTAAGTTGAAACTCATTTTTCTAAAAGAAAAAAAAAAGGATAATACAAATGGTGGAACAAAGTACCTAGAGGGCAGAACAAAGAGTCACAGAGAACAACCACCAAAGAATGAGTTAGCCCTAATTAGAGTGATATGGTTTGGCTGTGTCCCCACTCATATCTTACCTTAAATTGTAGTTCCCATAATCCCCACATGCGGAGGGAGGGACCCCGCGGGAGGTAAATGAATCATTGGGGAGGTTTCCCCACATTGTTCTCATGGTAGGAAATAAGTCTCACGAAATCTGATAGTTTTATAAGGGACTTCCCCCTTTGCTTGGCTCTCATTCTTCTCTCTCCTGCCACCTTGTGAGGGAAGACGTGTTTGCTTCCCCTTCCGCCATGATTGTAAGTTTCCTGAGGCCTCCACAGCCCTGCAGAACTATGAGTTAATTAAACCTCCTTCTTTATAAATTAACCAGTCTTGGGTATGTCCTTATAGCAGCATGAGAACAAACTAATACACAGAGATTCTGGTAATACGGATCCAGCTTAAACAGAGCTGCTATGGACCTGTTGTGAGCCTTCCGTTTTCCTGCTTTTGAAGAAGAGTGTCTATAGCAGTTATCATATGTATTAAAAGAGAGAATATACTGTATGTTTAGTTCAAAGATCTTCAGATCAAGAAGAAATATACTCAAGAGAATGTTCCTGTATTACTCCATTCTCACACTGCTACAAAGAAATACCCGAAACTGGGTAATTTATAAGGAGAAGGGGTTTAGTTGGCTCACAGTTCCATAGGATGTACAGGAAGCATGGCTGGGGAGGCTTCAGGAAACTTTCAATCATGGCAGAAGGGGAAGCAAGCATATCTTACATGACTGGAGCAAGAGGAAGAGAGTGAAGGGGGAGGTGCTACACAGCTTTAAATAATCAGACCTCGTGAGAACTCACTACCATGAGAATAGCAAGGGGGAAATCTGCCCCATGATCCAACCACCGCCTGTCAGGCCTCTCCTCTAACAACGGGGATTACAATTCAACAGGAGATTTGGGCAGGAACACAAATCCAAACCATATCAATTCCCAACGAATTGTGCTATCTCTGGTTTAAATATCAAGATCTTGGACTCTGAGACTGAAGTTCACGCCACAATGGGATAAGAAATTTAGAGTTCTTGGGGAATCGATGAATGCATTTGGCATATGGAAGGAATCTAAATTGTGTGGAGCACAGCAAATTGTATTTTCTGAAGATGGTTACAACATCACCTGTTCCACATACTCTTCTTGAGGTATGAAGAGTATGAAAAGGAGGATTATAAACTCCTTTACATGGAAGAGTTTATAATCCTCTCTTTCAACCCAGGTAGTCTTTTGTGATTATCTCAGTCAACATCATATGGTGGAAATGAAGCTGTATGATTTTTGATTAGTAAAGGCTAAAAAATGCCATGCTAACTCTTAAAATCTAACTACTATGTGTTAAGGGAACTCATGAGTCTGCAGAGAGGCACACATAGAGAAGACACAGGGTTCCTAGTCCCCAACCTTGACTGAGTTAGCAACCAGCAGTCTGCACCAACTTCCAAGCCATGTGAGTGAGCCATTTTGAAAGAAAACCCTTTAGCTTTCCAATCAAGCAATTTCAGCTGATGCTTCTTACAGCACAAGCCATCTTCTTCACAAAGAGTTACTCAGTTGGAGATTTCTGGGAAAACACCTGATTGCTATTGTTTCAAGATACTAGGTTTAGGATGATTTGTTTCAAATAAATCGGTTACTCATACAGATTTTTGGTAAATCATAGGTGAATTGTTGCCAAGTGAAAATTCTGGGATTTTATTTTACTCTTTTATCTATCTTATTTTTCCTCAAAAATTTTGTATTAAATTTCTAATTTCAAATGACAAAACTAAAACAGATCCACTTATTATATGACAAGAAAAAAATTTAAATAATTGCTGCTATTTACAAGTAAATGCATATAAGAAAACACTTTTTAAAATGAAATCTTACTACCTAATCCCAAATAAATATGCCCACTTTACTCACCTAGGGTAAAACTTGCAGTTTAAAATATGAACATGGAAGTTTTTTGCTTACTTGTCTTCTTTGAGCTTTTCTGTTTTGCCCTAATTTTGGTTTTGTTTGCAAAACAGCATTTACCTTCAATTTCTTTGACCAGTTAATCACATCCACTTGCCAAAAAAATGCTCATACAAACTACTAAATTTTAATCTAATTTACAAGTTTTTGTATTTGCAATTATCTGTAGGAAATAATGGTATATTTTTCGGTGCTATATATATAATTTGGCATTTTCCCCCTCTAATCAACATATTAATGTTGTCTACTTTAGACTTTATCTATTGAAATGTTTACATCATCAATTCAGAGGATTTGAGCCATATTAAAACTTTTTCTGCACTATATTGACTCACATAGGCTGTATGCTACTCAGTCAGCTTTGTCTATATATCTGGTCTGATATCTAAAATGTTTCTTCTTTTTGGCTTGGCATTTTCTTTGAAACTAACGTTTGCAGATACTGTGTTTGACCAATTTCATTTATACTAAGTCATCTGCAAGTAGACAATTACACGTTTTCTATTGATATCAACAGACTCCATTATACTAAAATGTTCCTTTTTTCTTTGAAGTATCATTTTTACAATAAAAAGTCAAACACATAAAGAAAAATAAGGAAGACTTTAAAAATGTAATAAATGTGCACTCATTGACAACAGCTATCATTTCTTGTGTATTATCTATAAGCCAGATATTTTATATATTTTGCAAAAATTTGATGTATACACATGAAATGAGAGAAAATATTTGCAAATCATATACTGATAAAGGGCTTAATATATAGAATATATAAAGATCTTCTACAACTCAACAACAACAATGAAAACTTCACTTAAAAATAAATGAAGACATTGTATTAATTTGATAGAGATGCCATTAACAAAGTACCACAGACTGGGTGGCTTAAGCAACAAATATTTCTCACTGTTCTGGAGGCTACAAGTCTGACAGCAAAGTATTGGCAAGGTAGATTTCTTCCGAGGCCACTCTCCTTGGCTTATAGATGGCCATATTCTCCCTCTGTCTTCACATCGTCTTTACTGTGTGTGCACACCTGGGTTCAAATTCCCTCTTCTTATAAGACAGCAGTCATATTGGATCAGGGGCCACCCTAATGATCTCATTTTAATGGAATTACATCTTTCAAGACATTATCTCCAGATACGGTTACATTTTGAGCTATTGGGGCTTTAATATGTGATTTTTGAGGGGACGCAATTTATCCCATGACAGACATGAATAGGCATTCTCCAAAGAAGATGTACAAATGGCCAATAGCATGTGAAAAGATGCTCAGTATCACTAATCATCAGGAATGCAAGTCAAACCTACAAGACATCACTTCACATCCTTTACAATGGCTAGTATATATTTTTTTAAGAAACAATAACAAGTGTTACTGGTAAACATACGGACAAATTGGAACTCTCAAGTATGACTGAGAGGAATGTAAAATGATACAATCGCTATGAAAAACAGTGTGGGGTTCCTCAAAAAATTTTATGTTACGTATATTTTACAACTTAAACAATTTGTCTATGCAGAAAATCTACCCAATAAATATATATATATTCCTATTTGCATTTTTCAGATAAGGTAATAGATGCTCTGAAAGGCCAAGTTGATATACTTAGCAAGAAGCAGAACCAGTTTTCAAACCCAGGTCTGTCTCATGCTAAAGACTTGTATTTATAAAGAGACCACACTGACCCACACCAACCACATACTTCCTCAACATGGTTCAAGTATTTGTTTGATAAAATATTGAATATTATTATAAGAGATTGTAAAATATACAGCAGTCTATTAAGAAAGTTTAATTCGTCAATGCTGTATTGATCCTAAGTGTTAGTAAAGCTGTTTCTCCACCGTCTTTTTATTCTAGGGCGACAATGACGCAGTTTACTTTTACCAGAAGAGTTTATCATTTCACAGAACTATCAGTGTAATGCTTTTTGTGTAAATGTTAAGAAGAAAAACACGTTTCATGGCTACATATTCTTCTTTGGAAGCTAGGATTTGTTTTTCTAACTTCCATGTGAAAGAAATAATTATTAAGCTGCTTAGGAACGTGAATTGCAAAAGATCCAATGCTTGCGCCCTGTTTTGCAAATTAGTATTAATGTTTACGTAAGATTTCTGAAATAAGAAGTTTTGTGCTTTGTTTACACAATAGTAAGCCAAACGTTTCTAAAGCGCCTAGGTCAGCCTCTCAAGAGAAATTGTTTCTTCAGCCAATTTCTTTTTTACTTCATGGTTTATAAAATAGCACAACATCTGAGATGCAAGAAAAATACAAATTAATAAAACACAGCACTAGAACCTCATATCAGTATGTAGAAGATTTACACACATAAACTGCCAAGAACAGGTTCTGAAACAAACCCTATAGACTTCCAGTTGCCATAGTAACTGCACAATTTTATTGAATGCGAAAGCGTAAATAGATGACCACAGCCTAGACAAATCATCAGTGTTGCTATTGTTGGCCTCTGATTGGTGGAAAGTAGTAGTATGTATTGTCACTTTCCAAAATAAGATAATCATAATCATATTTACACACTTCTTTTCTTGGTCTATGAACATCTTTCCTTTAGAATCTTCTTCAGTGCTGCTCGACTAATTACTCATGAAAAGAAAGGTTCCAATGAATTATTAATAATTTTATTATTGGAACAGGTTGGAGCAATACACTGAAACAGCAATCAGTGAAAATATGGCCATACTGCCAAACTCGTGCATTCTTTTCTCTCATTCTCTTCATCAAAAACTGTTCCTTTATTTACTTATGAAAAGAAAAGGGTAGAATGGAACGTAAAACCATTATTAAAAGTGCCAGCCCCCTAGGCCACCAGGGCCCTGGATTTGAAGCACAAAACCAGGTGGCCATTTGGGTAGACACTGAGCTAGCTGCAGGAATATTTTTCATACCCCAGTGGCGCCTGGAACACCAGCAAGACAGAACTGTTCACTCCCCTGGAAAGGGGGCCAAAGCCAGGGAGCCAAGTGTTCTAGCTCAGTGGATCCCACCCCCACGGAGCCCAGCAAGCTAAGATCTACTGGCTTGAAATTCTCGCTGCCAGCACTGCATTCTAAAGTCAACCTGGGACACTCAAGCTTGGTGGAGGGAGGGGCGTCTGCCATTACTGAGGCTTGAGTAGGCAGTTTTCCCCTCACAGTGTAAACAAAGCTGCCAGGAAGTTTGGACTGGGTGGAGCCCACCACAGCTCTGCAAAGCCACTATAGCCAGACCACATCTCTAGATTCCTCCTTTCTGGGCAGGACATCTCTGAAAGAAAGGCAGCAGACCCAGTCAGGGGCTTATAGATAACACTCCCATCTCCCTGGGACAGAGCACCTTGGGGAAGGGGCAGCTGTGGGCACAGCTTCAGCAGACTTAAACATTCCTGCCGGCCAGCTCTGAAGAGAGCAGTAGATCTCCCAGCATAGCACTCGAGCTCTGCAAAGGGACAGACTGCCTCCTCAAGTTGGTCCCTGACCCCTGTACCTCCTGAGTGGGAGATACCTCCCAGCAGGGGTTGACAGACACCTCATACAGGAAAGCTCCGGCTGGCATCTGGCAGGTGCCCCTCTGGAATGAAGCTTCCAGAGGAAAGAACAGGCAGCAGTCTTTGCTGTTCTGCAGCCTCTGCTGATGATACCCAGGCAAAAAGTGTCTGGAGTGGACCTCCAGCAAACTCCACCAGATCTGCAGCTGAGGGGCCTGACTATTAGAAGGAAAATTAACAAACAGAAAGGAATAGCAACAACTTCAATAAAAACGATGCCCATACAGAAACCTCATCTGAAGGTCACCAACATCAAAGACCAAAGGTAGATAAATCCACAAAGATGAGGATAAACCAGCGCAAAAAGGCTGAAAATTCCAAAAACCAGAATGCCTCTTCTCCGAAGGATCACAACTCCTCATCAGCAAGGGAAGAAAACCGGATGGAGGATGAGTTTGATGAATTGACAGAAGTAGGCTTCAGAAGGTGGGTAATAACAGACTCCTCTGAGCTAAAGGAGCATGTTCTAACCCAATGCAAGGAAGCTAAGAGCCTTGCAAAAAGGTTAGAGAAATTGCTAACTAGAATAACCAGTTTAGAGAAGAACATAAAAGACCTGATGAGATCAAAAACACAGCATGAGAATTTCATGAAGCATACACAAGTATCAATAGCCAAATCGATCAAGCAGAAGAAAGGATATCAGAGATTCAAGATCAACTTTATGAAATAAAGTGCAAAGACAAGATTAGGAAAAAAAAAAAAAAAGGAACAAATGAAGCCTCCAAGAAATATGGGACTATGTGAAAAGACCAAACCTACGTTTCATTGGTGTACCAATGCAAGTGACAGAGAGAATGGAACCAAGTTGGAAAATACTCTTCAGGATATTATCCAGGAGAACTTCCCCAACCTAGTGAGGCAGGCCAACATTCAAATTCAGAAAATACAGACAACACCACAAACATACTCCTCGAGAAGAGCAACCCTAAGACACATAATTGTCAGACTCACCAAGACTGAAATGAAGGGAAAAAAATGTTAAGGGCAGCCAGAGAGAAGGGTCGGGTTACCCACAAAGGGAAGCCCATCAGACTAACAGTGGATCTCCCTGCAGAAACCCTACAAGCCAGAAGAGAGTGGGGGCCAATATTCAACATTCTTAAAGAAAGGAATTTTCAACCCAGAATTTCATATCCAGCCAAACTAAGCTTCATAAGCGAAGGAGAAATAAAATACTTCACAGACAAGCGAGAGCTGAGAGACTTTGTCACCAACAGGACTGCCTTACAAGAGCTCCAGAAGGAAGCACTAAATATGGAAACAAAAAAGCAGTACCAGCCACTGCAAAAACATACCAAATTGTAAAGATGACACTATGAAAAAACCGCATCAACTAATAGGCAAAATAACCAGCTAGCATGATAATGACATGATGAAATTCACACATAACAATATTAACCTTAAATGTAAATAAGCTAAATGCCCCAATTAAAAGACACAGACTGGCAAATTGGATAAAGAGTCAAGACCCTTCAGTGTGCTGTATTCAGCAGACCCATCTCATGAGCAAAGACACACATAGGCTCAAAATAAAGGGATGGAGGACAATTTACCAAGAAAATGGAAAGCAAAAAAAACCAGGGTGGCAATCCTAGTCTCTGATAAAACAGACTTTAAACCAACAAAGGTAAAAAAAGACAAAGAACAGGATTACACAATGGTAAAGGAATCGATGCAACAAGAAGAGCTAACTATCCTAAATATATATGCACCCCATACAGGAGCACCCAGATTCATAAAGAAAGTTCTTAGAGACCTACAAATAGACGTAGACTCCCAAACAATAATAGTGGGAAAATGTAACTCCCCATTGTTAATATTAGACAGATCAATGAGACAGAACATTAACAAGGATATACAGGACTTGAACTCAGCTCTAGAACAAATGAACCTAATAGACATTTACAGAACTCTCCACCCCAAATCAACATAATATACATTGTTCTCAGCACCAAATCACACTTATTCCAAAACTGACCACATAATTGGAAGTAAAAAACTCCTCACCAAATGCAAAAGAGTGGAAATCATAACAAACAGTCTCTCAGACCACAGTGCAATCAAATTAGAACTTAGGATTAAGAAACTCACTCAATACTGCACAACTACATGGAAACAGAACAACCTGGTACTGAATGACTACTGGGTAAATAAAGAAATTAACTCAGAAATAAATAAGTTCTTTGAAACCAATAGGAACAAAGACACAACATACCAGAATATCTGGGACAGAGCTAAAGCGGTGCTTAGAGGGAAATTTATAGCACTAAATGCCCACAGAAGAAAGCAGGAAAGATCTAAAATTGACACACTAACATCACAATTAAAAGAACTAGAGAAGTTAGAGCAAACAAATTCAAAAGCTAGCAGAAGGCAAGAAATAACTAAGATCAGAGCAGCATTGAAGGAGATGGAGACAAGAAAAACTCTTCAAAAAATTAATGAATCCAGGACCTGGTTTTTTGAAAAGACGAACAAAATAAATAGACCACAAGCCAGACTAATAAAGAAGAAAAGAGAGAAGAATCAAATAGATACAATAAAAAAAATTAAAAAAGGGATAAAAGAGATATCAACATTGATCCCCAGAAATATGAACTAGCATCAGAGAATACTATAAACACCTCTATCAAAATAAACTAGAAAATCTAGATGAAATGGATAAATTTCTGGACACATACATGCTCCCAAGACAAAACCAAGAAGGAGTCGAATCCCTGAATAGACCAATAACAAGTTCTGAAATTGAGGCAGTAATTAATAGCCTACCAAGCAAGAAAAGCCCAGGACCAGACAGATTCACAGCTGAATTCTACCAGAGGTACAAAGAGGAGCTGGTGCCACCCCTTCTGAAACTATTCCAAACAATGGAAGAAGAGGGACTCCTCTCTAACTCATTTTAGGTGGCCAGCATCATCTTGATACCAAAACCTGGCAGAGAGACAACGAAAAAAGAAAATTTCGGCCAGGCATGGTGATGCACGTCCATAATCCCAGTACTTTGGGAGGCCTAGGTGGGTGGATCACGAGGTCAGGAGATCAAGACCATCCTAACATGGTGAAGCCCCATATCTACTAAAAATACAAAAAATTAGCCAGGCATGGTAGCATGTGCCTGTAGTCCCAGCTACTTGGGAGGCTGAGGGAGGAGAATCGCTTGAACCTGGGAGGCAGAGGTTGCAGTGAGTCAAGACCATGCCATTGCACTCCAGCCTGGATGACTGAGAGAGATTCCGTCTCAAAACAAAAAAAAAAAAAAAAAGAAAGAAATTTCAGCTCAATATCCTTGACGAACATCGAGGAGAAAATCCTCAGTAAAATACTGTAAACCAAATCCAGCAGCACATCAAAAAGCTTATCCACCACGATCAAGTCAGCTTCATCCCTGGGATGCAAGGCTGGATCAACATATGCAAATCAGTAAACATAATCCATCACATAACCAGAACCAATGACAAAAGCCACAGGATTATCTCAATTAGATGCAGAAAAGGCCTTTGATAAAATGCAACACCCCTTCACGCTAAAAACAGTCAATAAACTAGGTATTGATGGACCGTATCTCAAAATAATAAGAGCTACTTATGACAAACCCACAGCCAATATCATACTGAATGGGCAAAAGCTGGAAACATTCCCTTTGAAAACTGGCACAAGACAAGGATGCCCTCTCTCACTACTCCTATTCAACATAGTATAGGAAGTTCTGGCCAGGGCAATCAGGCAAAATAACGCAATGAAGGGTATTCAAATAGGAAGAGAGGAAGTCAAATTGTCTCAGTTTGCAAATGACATGATTATATATTTAGAAAACCCCATTGTCTCAGCCGAAAATGTCCTTAAGCTGATAAGCAACTTCCGCAAAGTCTCAGCATATAAAATCAATGTGCAAAAATCGCAAGTATTCCTATACACCAATAACAGACAAACAGAGAGCCAAATCATGAGTGAACTCCCATTCACAATTGCTACAAAGAAAATAAAATACCTAGGAATAAAGCTTACAAGGTATTTGAAGGACCTCTTCAAGGAGAACTACAACCTATGGCTCAAGGAAATAAGAGAGGACACAAACAAATGGAAAAACATTCCATACTCATGGATAGGAAGAATCAATATCATGAAAATGGCCATACTGCCCAAAGTAATTTACAGATTCAATGCTATCCCCATAAAGCTATCATTGACTTTCTCCACAGAATTAGAAAAACTACTTTAAATTTCATATGGAACCAAAAAAGAGCCTATATAGCCAAGACAGTCCTAAGCACAAAGAACAAAACTGGAGGCACCATGCTACCTGACCTTAAACTATACTATAAGTCTACAGTAACCAAAATAGCATAGTACTGGTACCACAACAGATATATAGACCAATGGAACAGAACAGAGGCCTCAGAAATACTGCCACACATCTACAACCATCTGATCTTTGACAAACCTGACAAAAACAAGCAATGAGGGAACAATTCCCTATTTAATATATGGTGTTGGGAAAACTAGCTAGACATATGCAGAAAACTGAAACTGGACCACTTTTTTACACCTTGTACAAAAACTTAACTCAAGATGGATTAAAGACTTACACATAAGACCTAAAACCATAAAAACCCTAGAAGAAAACCTAGGCAATACCATTCAGGACACAGGCATGGGCAAAGACTTCATGAATAAAACACAAAAAGCAGTGGCAACAAAAGCCAAAATTGACAAAATGGATCTGATTAAACTAAAGAGCTTCTGCACAGCAAAGGAAACTATCATCAGAGTGAACAGGCAACCTACAGAATGGGAGAAAATTTTCACAATCTATCCATCTGACAAACATCTGGCTAATATCCAGAATCTACAAAGAACTTAAACAGATTTACAAGAAAAAAACAACCCCATCAAAAAGTGGGTAAAGGATATGAACAGACACTTCTCAAAAGAAGACATGCATGCAGCCAACAAACATATGAAAAAATGCTCATCATCACTGGTCATTAGAGAAATGCAAATCAAAACCACAATGAGATACCATCTCATGCCAGTTAGAATGGCGATCATTAAAAAGTCAAGAAACAACAGATGCTGGAGAGGATGTGGAGAAATAGGAATGCTTTTACACTGTTGGTGGGATTGTAAATTAGTTCAACCATTGTGGGAGACAGTATGGAAATTCCTCAAGGATCTAGAACAAGAAATGCCACTTGACCCAGCAATCCCATTACTGGGTATATAACCAAAGGACTGTAAATCATTCCACTATAAAGACACATGCACACGTATGTTTATTGTGGCAATGTTCACAATAGCAAAGACTTGGAACCAACCCAAACGTCCATCAACGATAGACTGGATAAAGAAAATGTGGCACACACATGCCATGGAATACTATGCAGCCACAAAAAAAGGATGAGTTCTTGTCCTTTCTAGGGACATGGATGAAGCTGGAAACCATTCTTGTCAGCCAACTAACACAGGAACAGAAAACAGAAAACCACATGTTCTCACTCATAAGTGGGAGTTGAACAATAAGAACAAAAGGACACAGGGGCGGGAACGTTACACACTGGTGCCTGTCTTGGGTGAAGGGCCTAGGGGAGGAATAGCATTAGGAGAAATACCTAATGTCAATGACGGGTTGATGGATGCAGGAAACCACCATGACACGTGTATACCTATGTAACAAACCTGCACATTCTGCACATTCCCAGAACTTAAAGTATAATAAATAAATAAATAAATAAGCCAGCCCTCCTCTAAGAATGTTGCACATTGTTTTCAGGGAAAAAAAAAAGGAAAAAGCTTTCCGTTAGAAGAAACAAAGAAATAAAATGTTGGTGGAGACAGATAATAAACAACTTGAGTTATTAAAATACTTGAAAACTAAATTAATGTTCCCATAGGGGTTCTTTCTTTGTTTCAAAAAATAAGAATACATGTGATTACCTCATTTAGACCTAACTGAAAATCTTTGGGAGAAACAATAGAAATAATAACCTAGTAAAACAAAGAATTTTTTTGGAATAGGGAGAATAAAACTTGGAGTGGTAAAATTACCATTCTCAAGGTAGTTATATTAGTTAATTCTACCACCAAGACTTAAGACACTACCGCCTAAGTATTTCCTATTTGAGAAACCAAATGAAGATATGGGATACTTATTCTTAGTGCTATAAAGTTGGTTGTTTATTCTTGGTGCTATAATGTTGAGGTGTGGATAAATAAGGGTATATTTGACTTATAATTTGACCATAGGACTGATAATGAGGAATTCCCTAATTGTCTCATTTACTGAAGAATATATTACTAGAAAAGAAAAATCTTGCTAAACAATACAGAGTTTATGAATGTCTGTGTTAATAAAAGAATGACAGACTAGAATGTGTTTATTCCTTCATTCATTCATTTGCAAGCACTCAAATGTTAAGCAAACACATTCTTCATGCTAATAAAACTGCTATCATATAGTGAATACTCAATGTGAGCTGGACATTATGTTCAATGCTAATACATATTATAGTTTACTGATCGGGAGCATATATTTTGAACTTAATGATGGGTTCAAATCCTATCCCACTGCTTGTGAACTTTATAATCTTGAGCAAATCACTTAATCTCTATACTTTAGTTTCTTTGTAAAATGAAGAGGATAATAGCCCCATGCCTCAGTGTTCCGCAAAAGATCACTGTAGGCATTAAATTAGATATCCATGTAAATTATTCAGGTATAGTATTAGTAATGTGCGAATGTTGGTCAGCAATTTTGTATTATTATCTCATTTAGTCCCTTGCAACAACAGCAGGAGGTTGATACAATTATCCTTATTTCACAAATAAAAAAATTAGGCTTAACACATTTAATTCCCTTGGGCAAGTAGTGGAGTCAAGATACAAATTCTGAAATATACCTCATTCCAAACTTTATGTTTTTAACTGCACACCACACTGAATAAAACTGAGGACTAACATTGAGGTGTGGAGAGATTTCTTACTTTTTCTTCACAGTCTTGAGAAAGCCCTTTGGTCAACCCATAAATGTTTCATAAACATCTACCACATCCTAATGCTTCTCTTTATATCAAAGGGATACGGAAGAAGTACAGTTCCTCACTTTATGGAGATTATATCTGAGAATACAAAATTGAAATAAGGACTTAAGAAGGGATTAAACTACGTAGTCTCACACTGAAGATTCAGGATTCAGTTACAGAAAGCAGAGATTTAGATGGATGAGAATCGTCTGAAAAGAATATAGAATTAAGTGAGTTGGGAAGATGAATATACGTACATGTACTTAGAGAAGAAAGGAGGGTATTTTAAGTATAAGAAACAGAACATCAGAGAAACGCAAATCAAAACCACAGTGAGATACCATCTCACACCAGTTAGAATGGCAATCATTAAAAAGTCAGGAAACAACAGGTGCTGGAGAGGATGTGGAGAAATAGGAACACTTTTACACTGTTGGTGGGACTGTAAACTAGTTCGACCATTGTGGAAGTCAGTGTGGCGATTCCTCAGGGATCTAGAACTAGAAATACCATTTGACCCAGCCATCCCATTACTGGGTATATGCACAAAGGACTATAAATCATGCTGCTATAAAGACACATGCACACGTATGTTTATTGCAGCACTATTCACAATAGCAAAGACTTGGAACCAACCCAAATGTCCAACAATGATAGACTGGATTAAGAAAATGTGGCACATATACACCATGGAATACTATGCAGCCATAAAAAATGATGAGTTCATGTCCTTTGTAGGGACATGGATGAAATTGGAAATCATCATTCTCAGTAAACTATCGCAAGAACAAAAAACCAAACACCGCATACTCTCACTCATAGGTGGGAATTGAACAATGAGAACACATGGACACAGGAAGGGCAACATCACACTCTGGGGACTATTGTGGGGTTAGGGGAGTGGGGAGGGATAGCTTTAGGAGATATACCTAATGCTAAATGACGAGTTAATGGGTGCAGCACACCAGCATGGCACATGTATACATATGTAACTAAGCTGCATATTGTGCACATGTACCCTAAAACTTAAAGTATAATAATAATAAAATAAGATAAAATAAATGGAAAAAAAGAAAAAAAAAGAAACAACAAGGAAAGGCAAGAGTGTTCACTGAAAAATAATTTGGAAATAGATTTTGAAGCTCTAAGTTATGGATTGAGAAGAACAAAGAAATGGGTAAATTAAAGATGTAATTGATAGGAAAAATAGAATCTAGGAACAGATTTGATAAAGAACGCAAAGACAAGAAAAGAAACCAAAATGACTTTGAATATTCCAGACTGACACACAAGGAAAAATTTTAAAAATCAGAGACAAAAGTAGAGAAACTGAGAAAAAGAACACTTTTACTGGAGGATTGAGAACACTTAGGAATGACCTACTTAGCTTGGGACTTACTGTATTTGAGAAGCTGCCACAATATCTGTTGACTTATTCTGAAGACAGTTTGAAAGCAAAGAACACTAGCACAAGTGATGACCAAGAACAGGAAAAAGCAACTTTAAAAACTAAGCATGTAATGATAATTAAAGACATGATAGGTTGGGTCACTTTGAAGAATAATTGGGAGGCTATACAGAGTTGGTAGAAATACTAGAAATAAGAGCAATTAAGAAATTAAGAAGTAATGTAAAATAATTTAGCATAGTTCCTGGTATATAGCTGATTCAATCTTTTGTTTGTCATTTCATCAGTTTTTTAAATACCTTCTACAGTAATATATAGGGCTAGGATTTAGTATCTGTGTGTAACAGATACCTTCAAAAAATCAATAGATGTTAGAACCTCTCAAGCATGCTTTAGAAAATGTAAACCATATTTTTGCATATTTCAGAGCATTTGATAGAATCCCGCTTTTGACCTCTTAACACCAACATTATCTTAGAATGATTATACCGGGAATAAAGAAGGATGAATAGAAGGAAATATCACTAAAGGTACAGCTGAGTACCAATGTGTAAACTGATGGCCATAACGAACATTTGCTTAAGACAACCAGATAAATACCTGTAACTTATAAGATGTACTCATCTGTATATAAGTGTTGGGCCCCTGCTTTCATGTTTCCTATCATCTTTGAAATCAGATATTTGTCATGCAATCCTCTGTGCATATCATTTGATAGGTATTTGTCCAACATCCTAAAACCAATAACATTGCCTAACAACACAGCAGCTGCAACACTAGTGTGTGTTTAGAGAACGCTGAACCCACCAGGATGAAACCAAGACTACCTAGCTGGATAGCTCCACCACATATTCTCACAAGTTTATAAATTTGACTTCATAATAGTTACAACAAAAATCATTCTGTTCCATTCAAAGTAAAAATGGCTGTAGCTCTTCATCAGCATCTTTGAAAGCCTAAGTCTGGCTTATATATTTATAGATGCAGACATTCTAATGTCATAGACTAAACTGGCTAAGTCACGTCAAGGAACTCTAGCTTTTGACATATGCAGAACCAATAAAGATCTGCTAAGTGCCGTTATCAAATGCAGTCCTATCAACATATTTAAATACTTGGCTTGGCATTCTGATAACAACTGTTGTACCTCTTAGCAGCTTGGTGAGTAAGTACCTCTATAATAAGCATTACAACAGAGAAGGAAACAAGTCCAGCGAAAAAAACAAATTTCTCCAAGACACCTTGAATGGTAAGCACAAGGCAAAAACATGTTTTCACTAACCTTTTCTGAAATCAAACCTCATATTTCTCCCATACCATTATCCTCTCCTTGCAACAGAATGCAAGGACATAAATAAGCAGAAATAGTCAGTGTGGTTTTTCTAGTGACTGTGATTTCCAAGGAAACCAAAATCTGCAAAGTTGCCCCTATTACCTTATATAACATACTTCCCTTCCATCCCCACTTGTCTCAGTCTCACCTTGTTATTTCCTTTTTAACACTTAATGTATAATTATTTTTCTTAGTACTTGTCACATACACTAGAACATAACATATCTGAAGGCAGAAGAGTATGTATCTACTTTAGTGCACTCACTTTACCTAGCTTTTAGCACAATGCCTAACATATAGTAGAGTTTCAATAAATATTTCTTAAATGTATAAAGAGTTTAAGTCTTTAATCCATCTTGAATTAATTTTTGTATAAGGTGTAAGGAAGGGATTCAGTTTCAGCTTTCTGCATATGGTTAGCCAGTTTTCCCAACACCATTTATTAAATAGGGAATCCTTTCCCCATTGCTAGTTTTTGTCAGGTTTGTCAAAAATCAGATGGTTGTAGATGTGTGGCGTTATTTCTGAGGCATCTGTTCTGTTCCGTTGGTCTATACATCTGTTTTGGTACCAGTACCATGTTGTTTTTGTTACTGTAGCCTTGTAGTATATTTTGAAGTCAGGTAGCATGATGCCTCCAGCTTTGTTCTTTTGGCTTAGGATTGACATGGCGATGCAGGCTCTTTTTTGGTTCCATATGAACTTTAAAGTGGTTTTTTCCAATTCTGTGAAGAAAGGCATTGGTAGCTTGATGGGGATGGCATTGAATCTATAAATTACCTTGGGCAGTATGGACATTTTCACGATATTGATTCTTCCTACCCATGAGCATGGAATGTTCTTCCATGTGTTTGTATCCTCTTTTATTTCATTGAGCAGTGGTTTGTAGTTCTCCTTGAAGAGGTCCTTCACGTCCCTTTTAAGTTGGATTCCTAGGTATTTGATTCTCTTTGAAGCAATTGTGAATGGGAGTTCATTCATGATTTGGCTCTCTGTTTGTCTGTTATTGGTGTATAAGAATGCTTGTGATTTTTGCCACTCCTATTCAACATAGTGTTGGAAGTTCTGGCCAGGGCAATCAGGCAGGAGAAGGAAATAAAGGGTATTCAATTAGGAAAAGAGGAAGTCAAATTGTCCCTGTTTGCAGATGACATGTTTGTATATCTAGAAAACCCCATCGTCTCAGCCTAAAATCTCCTTAAGCCGATAGGCAACTTCAGCAAAGTCTCAGGATACAAAATTAATGTGCTCTGAAGCTTTTTAATAAACTTTCACTCCTGCTCTAAAACTTGCCTTGGTCTGTCCTTCTGCCTTATGCCCTCCTTGGTCAAATTATTTCTTCTGAGGAGGCAAGAACTGAGGTTACTGCAGACCCATATGAATTTGCCACCAATAACAATAATACTAATTTACACAAGAAAATATGGTTTATTATACATCACTGATGAAAACAGGCACTCTTATTCATAACTTTCTTTACCATGCTTCAGGACAGAAGACAAATTTCAACGTATTTTAGCCCCGCATACTCTCTTCAAAAATCCAGTACTTCTGAAATAATATAATTGGGGAAGGTAAGGTAATACATAAAATAAACACCTTATAAGGACTTTACATCCAACTTTACAATTTATGCAACAACTCAGAGAAATTCTTTAGCCTCTCTGTGGCATCAAGAAAATAGAAGAAAAGTGTTCTCTCACCTGCTAAATATACCCCCTTGAGTATATAGCAAATAACATTTTGCATCTTGGAATATAGGCTGTTTATAAACATATAACAAGGATTATTAATGCTAAGTTTCTACTATTATGTAAAAAAAGGAAAGAAAAAAATGTCCGGACTGAAATTATCTATCATTCACACCATGGCAAGTAGTTATCACAGCCCATATGGAGTGAAGATTACCCAGAGCTGAAAGTTCCAAGAGAATGTGACAAGGTGACATACAGGAGTCAAGTGCTGTATGCTGGGTGCAGCTCATTTCTTAGAGGTGCAGAACTTATGATATGAAAAGGATATACAGAAGCCACCATGCCAACAGGGGTGAAAACTGGGGAATCAAACAAATGTTGCTGATTCAAAGTTGTTTTCCTATGATAACAAACAGCACCAAATGAGTTGCCATGGTGGAGAGCAAGCTGTGCTCAGAGACTAATTGCTGCACTTGTTAGAGTGTGCAAGAAGGTGTTTATCTGTTTTACATGTGTTTGGTGCCAAGACATCCTGGGGATCTGGAGCTGAAGCGGAAACAGAATGACAGTGTTTAGAAAACTAAACATAAAAACAAAAGGGAAGGAGAGCATTTTTTGTGAAAGTGACTTGAGCATTAAGCATATGAAAAGCTTGAGGCTTCTATCCTGGGTGATTAATTCTTCAGTCTCCTTCAGATCAACCTGTGGGAGCCCATGCTGGAATGGAGTGTATTAAGTCTGGTTCTTTGATGTTATTTTATTTACATGGTGAATTGTTCAAAGCAGGAAGGATCACTTTAAGTGCTACCAATAGAAGTAAAAGGGAATAAACTCAGGAAAAGGAAGGAAGTGAAGCACAAAATGTGGTTTTTCAAACAGTTCCACCTGAATGGCAAAGTTTAGAATATGTACTATGGGGAATTTGCCATACTGTGTCTTCTAGGCTTCAGAAATAATAAATGGATTTTGACTAACATTTTTAAAGGTTTAATGATGGAAATACTACTGAACAACTTTGATTTTCTTCTCTCATACTTCAGAGCCTTCTTAAAGTCTTCCCTGGGACAGAAATTTGTTTCTCCAAGTCTAAACTCAAAATATTTCTGGAATATGATTAAGGAGTAAGGTAATTCCTCCAAGCAATAAACATGGTAAGTGTTAAAAATAATTATTGTTACTCAATTTTTTTTGATATACAGAGATATTTGAGTATTAATAAACTTAAGGACAAATGTGGTATGTTTACATTTTCTATGTAATTAACATACTATGTGGATTATTTGCTATTTAAAATTGAGGAATAATATAAATAATATTCATTATGTATCATATATCATTTTGAAGTACCTATTTTACATAATCTGTATCAGACAAAAAAATCAAGCTATTAGTTTTTTTTAAGTTCCCTGTATTACCTCAAACAATTTAAACAACAAAAAAAAAATGTGCTTGGCTCATGACTCTCTCTCTCTCTCCCTCCTTCTCTCAAGTATTTGAAAATTTCTCTAAAAGAAATAAGTGGTAACCTTCATTTTTCACACAAGGACAATAGGTTAAAGCTACACCCACCATAGATTTTTTTAAACCCTTCATTTTAATGTAATTTACTTTCCATTTTTCACTGCTTTCTGCCACATATAGTGTGAATGGTTCATCATTGTAGTGAAAAATATATGTCAAATCAGAATTCACACAAATCATTAGTCCTATACTAAAAGCAAATTTCATATCCAGAAAAGATTATAACTTCTCCAAGATTAAACTTATATCTAACTTTGAAATTATACTCAATTGATCTTTTTTTTATTATTATACTTTAAGTTTTAGGGTACATGTGCACAACGTGCAGGTTTGTTACACATGTATACCTGTGCCATGTTGGTGTGCTGCACCCATTAACTCTTCATTTAGCATTAGGTATATCTCCTAATGCTATCCCTCCCCCCTCCCCTGACCCCACAACAGGCCCCGGTGTGTGATGTTCCCCTTCCTGTGTCCATGTGTTCTCATTGTTCAGTTCCCACCTATGAGTGAGAACATGCGGTGTTGGAAACCATCATTCTCAGCAAACTATCACAAGGACAAAAAGTCAATTGATCTTTAAAAGTTGACAGGAAGGGGATGTAGTTTGTACCCTCTTAGAGCTGAGAGTTTAATGCATTTAATGTTTTCTTTTTTAATCTGGCTGTCTGTGCATGTAAGAAAATACATTTGTATACATCCTTATGGCAAAGAAAAGTCAACTTGCTTGCTTAGAGGATGAACATTTGTCTCTGGTTTAATGTAAAATTTATTAAGTAAGCCAGCAATATATATTATTGGCTCAACGATTAAAACTGCATAGAAGCTCTTCTTACTAAAGCTTCTGAAACAAAAGAAAAGTCAGAAAAATCCCCAAAATGGACCGTTTGTTATATGTAAGAGGGTGTGTGTGTATATGTGTGTGTATGTGTGTGTGTATGATGTTTACTCTGATAGTTGTAATTCTAATGCAGTATCACAGCGTTCCTCCTTGCTCTTCTATATTCTCCATTTCCATCTCTAAGCTATCTGCATCCCTCCACCAAGCATTCAGCTTCAAGAACAGAAGTGTCGTGACTCAGAGAAGTGTTTGCCACTGTCAGCTTAAGACCTTGGCTCAGAGATTTTTTCAGCAAACTGGAAAACAGATGGATCCTCATTTATTTTCAAAAGAACTGACTTCATTTGCACCAGAACATAGACAAATTTAAACCTAAAGGCACTCTCATGAACAATGGAGATTGTGGTGAGGAGAGATTCATTGATCTAATGAAAATACAGCCTAAACTACAGGATAGACTGGCTATCCTATCAGAGAGAACCTAGAAATAAGAAAACTGGGAGAAGTCCTCCTGAGATCAGAACAAATATCTGAACAGTGACTGCAGAAACTATCCTATCCATTGAAGGAGCTAAAATTTGATTTAATTAGTTCGTAAAGGAATGTATGTCCAAAGTACTGCTGAGAACAAAAAATCAACTGAAAATTAGTGGAGTTTAATATCTGGATGTGTAGTCTGGAAAAGAGTGGAAGAGAATTCTATAAGCACTATTGTTATCCCTGTGCCTCCCTGAAGAGCAACATCAGAGGTTCAATATTAGAAGTCGGGGAGAACACATTTTAGTAAAATAATCCAACCACTTACTACACAAATAAACAAGCAAATAACAATAATAAGACCAGTAAGGAGGGGAAGAATACCCAGAATTACTACAATATATTATCTAAAATATCATTTCCAAAAAAGTATTTTGAGACATGCCAAGAAACAGCAAAGATCCATATATTGGTGGGGGATAGAGTGGACGGAAAGCAACAGACACTGCCTGTGAGTGTGGGAGGATGTCAGATTTAGAGAAAATAATTTCAAAGTAACCATTATAAATGTGTTCACAGAACTACAGGAAAGCATGATTAAAGAAATAAAAGGACATATGATGGCAATGCTGCACTGATTAACGAATATCAACAAAGAGTTAGGAAGTTTTTAAAAAGAAAAATAGAAATGAGAAGTTAAAAAGTGCAGTATTCCAGGTGTAGTGACCCATGCTTGTAACTCTAGCATTTTGGGAGGCTGAGGCCTACAGATTGCTTGAGACCAGGAGTTCGAGGCCAACCTGTGCAACATGGCAAAACCCTGTTTCTACAAAAAAAAAAAAAAAAAAAAAAAAAAGGAAGAAGAAGAAGAAAGAAAAAAAGAAAAAAAGAAATTACTAGATGTGCGGCATGTGCCTGTAGTCCCAGCTACTCAGGAGTCTGAGGTGGGAGGACCCCTTGATCCAGGAGGCAGAGGTTGCAGTGAGCTGAGATCTCACCACTGAACTCCAGCTTGGGCAGCAGAGTGAGACCTTGTCTCAAAAAATGAATAAATAAATAAATAAAATAAAAAGCGCAGTAACTGAAATTTTTAAGAAATGCATTAGAGGTGCTGAATACTAGATTTGAAGAAAGCAAAGAATTACCAAACTTGAAGATAGATTGATAGAGATTATGTAAGCCTAAACAGAGAGAAAAAATAATGAAGAAAAATACAGAGTTATGCAGAACATTAAGCACACCAATTGCTTATAATGGGAATACCAGAAGAAGAGAAAAAGAAATAAGAATTTTAAAAACATAATGACTGAAAATTCCCAAATTTATTAAAAACTATAACTTACACATCCAGAAAGCTCAACATACTCTAAGTAGGACAAAATGCAGATACCCACAAACAGATCCACCATAATAAAAATGCTGAAAGTCAGAGCCAAAGCAAAAATGTTGAAAGCAGCAAAATAAAAATAATGCATACCTAACGCCAATGAGCTTCATGACTGAAATCTCACCCCATAACCAGTGGAGGCCAGGTGGCAGGAGGATAACATATTCAAAGTTATCAGTGAAACCATAAATTGTCAACCAAGAATCCTATACCTAGCAAAATTATCATTCCCAAATTGAGGTGAAATAAAGAGTGCCCAAAACAAACAAACAAACAAACAAAAAACCTGAGAGAATTTGTTGCTAGCACACCTGACTTACAATAAAATTAAAGGGGATTCTTCAGTCTGAAACTAAATGACCTTGGATAGCAATTCCATTCACAGAAACAAAGAGCACTGGTAAGAGTAATGATGTAATTATAAAAGAAACCATAATGACATATTTTTTTCTATTTCTTTAGTTAAAAGATTTTTAAAACACAATTGCATAATAATATAAAATGTATTGTTGTGCTTATAGCACATGGAAATGTAATATGTGAGTAATATATTTGTCAATAGCAGTACAGAAGAAGTTGGTCACAGTAAAGCTATAATGGGATAAGAAATAATGATAGGTGGTAAAGTAATAATTAATATAATATATTGTTGGCATGTAACATTAAAAGACATAACATGCACAATAATAGTACCAAAAAAGGAGAAATGGGAATAGAGTTATATAGAAGTAACATTTCTATGTATTATGGATATTAAGCTAGCATAATCCGAAGCTGATTCGGATAAATTAAAATGTATATGATAAACATTGGAGAAACCACTAAAAATGAGTAGCTCAAAAAGTGAGAAAATCATTAATGAAGCTAAAGTGAAACAAAAAGACATGAGGCCTATAGAAAAGGAAAAACAAAATGACAGACATAAATCTGGCAATATCAAGAATCAAATTAAATGGGAACTAACCCAGTTAAAAGGCAGAAATTGTCAGACTAGATTAAAAAACATGATCTAACTGTATGTCATTTACAGGAGAAGCATGTTAGATTCAAAAACACAAATAGATTGAAAATAAGAGGATGGGGCAGGTGTAGTGCCTTCTACCTGTAATCCCAGCATTTTTGAAGGCCAAAGTGGGCAGATTGCTTAAGCTCAGGAGTTCAAGACAAGACTGGGCAACATGGCGAAATTCCATCTCTACCATACATACAAAAATTAGCTGAGCATGGTGGTGCATGGCTATAGTCTCAACTACTTGGGAGGCTGAGGTGGGAGGATTATTTGAGCTGAAGAGGTCAAGGCTAGGGTAAGCTGTGATTGTGCTACTGCACTCCAGCCTGGACGACAGAGTGATATCCTGTCTTAAACAAAAAAATAGTAAGAGAACAGAAAAAAGATACGTTAGGCCAGCAGCAACACAGGAAAACTGGGGTAACTATACTAATACCGGACAAAATAGACCTTAATACAAAAGATAAAGTTATCAGAGATAAAGAGGAACTTCTTATAATAAAATTTTTAATCTAGCAAGATATATAACTATAATCAATGTGTATGCACCTAACAACTAATAGTAAAAAGTAACTACAGAGCATCAAAATATATAAGGCAAAAACTAACCAAATGAAGGAAGAAATAGACAATCAAAATAATTGTTGGAGACTTAGATATCCTGCTTTCACTAATAGGCAAAACAACTAAAGAGAAGATCAATAAAGAAACAGAAAACTTGAGCAACAGTATAAACCAACCAGACCTAACAAATACCCATAGAACATTCTACCCAACAACAGAATAGACATTCTACTCAAGTGAAAATAAATGAAATATTTCTTAGGATAAACCATATATTAGGCTATAAAACAAACATCAATAAATTTTAAAAGATAGAAGTAATATTATGTTCTCTGACTATAATACCATAACAAAAATTAATAATAAAGAGAAATTAAAGAAAATTACAAATATGTGGAAATCAAACAACACTCTCTAAAACAAGCAATGGGCCAAAAGAGAAATATCAAAAAGGAAACTAGAAGATATTTTGAGATGAATGAAACTAAAGACACAATGTGTCAAAACATGGGATGCAGCTAAAGCAATGTTTAGAGAAAAATTTATAGGTGGAAATGCCTATTAATCCAGGCTGAGTAACAGACCGAGTCTCCATCTCACAAAAATATATACAAGAAATGTCTCAAATTAATAACCTAAACTTCCGCTGAATAAAAGAGAGCAAAGTAAACCTAAAGTAAGGAGAAGGAAAGTTAAACATTACGATGGAAATTAATGAAATAGAGAATAGAAAATTAAATTTCTCAAAGTGATCAACAAAATTGGCAGCCTTTCCTAGTTTGACCAAAAGATAAAGATAAGACAAATTATTATAATCAGAAATAAAAGACTGGACATTACTACCAACCTTACATAAATAAAAAGGATTATAAATGAATACATTGAACAATTGTACACCAACAAATTAGATAACTTAAAAGAAATAAACGCTCTTAGAAAGACACAAACTACTGAAACTGATTCATGAAGAAATAAACGATCTGAATAGACCTAGGTGAAGATACTGAATTTATCATTTTTTAAAATAGCCACAAAGTATCCTAGGAAAATATGGCTTCACTGCTGATTTCTACTGAACATTCAAAGAAACTGTTCTTCACAAACTGTTCCAGAAAACAGAAGGGAACACCTCCCAACTCCCTTATTAAGGTCAGCATTACTCTGATGCCAAAATCAAAGATATTACAAGAAAAGAGAACTACAGATCAAAATTTCTTATGAATATAAATGCAAAAGTTCTCAACCAAATAACTAACATATGAAATCCAGCAGCATATTGTAAGAATTATAAATTATGACCAAGTGTGATTTATTTCAAGACGCAAGGTTGTTTTACATCTGATAATTTACAATCAATGTAAATTATCATATCAAAATAAATAAATCAAATGAGCATCTCAATAAATACAGAAAAAAAGCATTTGACAAAATTCAGCACCCTTTCATGATAAAAACACTCCACACGCTAGGAATAGAAGGAAATCTCAACTGGACAACGAACATTTACAAAAAATCCACAGTTAACATTATACTAATTGATGAATGACTGAATTTTTCTCCCTAGAATCAGGTACAAGACAAAGTAACCATCTTTAACACTTCTGTTTGACATTGCACCAGGACAATTAATCAAAAAGAAAAAATAAAACACACCCAGGTTGGAAAAAGAAAAACTAACAAAAACAAATTCTGTTTATAAACAGCAACACTGTGTACAGAAAAAATCCTAAAGAATCCACAAAAACACTATTATAATAAAGTTTCTCATCAACAAGTTTTCAGAATACAAGATCAATATGCAAAAATTAATTGTATTCCTACCAATTTGTAAAGAATAATCCAAAAATAAAAGAAAACAGTTCCATTTGCAATAATAAAAAATAGGAATAAATTTAACCAAAGAAATGCAAAACTTATGCTCTGAAAACTCAATAACATTTAAGCTTTTAATTGTTAAAGGAAAACTTGTTGACAGAAATTGTTGAGAAAAATTAAGGAAGGTCTAAATAAGTGGGACAGCATCCCGTATTCACAGACCAGAGACTTAACAATGGTAAAATGTTAATACACCTCAAACTAATCTATAGACTCAGTGAAATTCCTATAAAAATACCAGCTGATGTTTTAATTGAGAAACTGATTCTAAAATTTTTATGGAATTGCAAGAGGACCAGAAGAGCCTAAACAATCCTTCAAAAATGAAGCAGAAAAATGAAGGAAGATTCACACTTCCAAAGTTCGAAAATAACAAAACAGCAATCAGACAGTGTGTTACTGCTATAAAGAGACATATGTAGATCAGTGGAAGAGAATCGAGCGTCCAGAAGTAAACTCAAATGCCTAATGAGAAACTGATATTTGACAAAGGTGTCAAAACCATTCAAAGAAGGAAGAATAGTTTTTTTCAGCCAATTGTGCTAAAACAAATAGCTACAAGCAAAACAATATGCATAAAAATTAACTCATTTCTGGCATGAAGAAGATATAAAGTTGACTCATTATTGATAGCAGTTTAGTATAGCTGATTACAGTTCCTAAATGTTTATATCTCCAATAAAATGGTTATGATCTTTCCAAATATATGAGTTTACAAACAATAAAAGATATTGATTTAATAAGGTATAATGCCTAACGCAGAGTCTCCAATGAATGGAAACATGGGGTTCTTTTAAACAAATCAGGTTCCTAGTTACCAGGAGCTTAGTATTTGGTACGTAATTAGGGTAGTAATAAAGTATTGTTGATGCAAAATATGAAAAGATAAATAGAAAATTACCTTTATAAATCTAAAACTGCAAAGTGAGCACTAAGGTCCTTATTTTTTCCTTTTATGTCTCGATAATTTTTATCTTGGAATAAAATACAATTTGAATGCAGTGATAGGGAGTTTGTCAAGCATGGTGGCAAGGTCATCTCTCACACAATAGATTCTGGAGTCAGACTTCCTATGTGTCAATCATACTTCCATTATTCTACTAGCTGAAGAGTAAGACAAGATTTTTCATCAGAAAATGGGTATGAACATAATAATTCCCCCTTTATTAAGTTATTGATAGGATACAATTACTGGTACATATTAAATACTCAATAAATAATAGTAATTGATATTTTCTTTTTCTTTAAGGTTCACCAGAGAAAAATACTGGCCTGTATCATTACATAAGTCTGATCAAAATTAGCATTTTGTTATGACTAATTTCAGTTAATGAATACAAGGAACAACCATCTGTTTTCTCTAAAATTTTAGCTCATTTTGTGACTTATATGTTATGCTGAAGGTGAGAGGAGATCTACAGTACAATTTTTCTTCAGCAATAAAAATTATTTTTATAGAAGTCATTCAAATAATGTAATTTGAACAGTGACTGTAACTAAGATACCATGCAAGTGCTATTGCAAGCACTTTTAGCAACAATTTTAAAGCTGCAGATGCAAAATTTTAATGACCAGTGTTTAAAATAATATTAACGAGTAAACTCCAACAAAAATATTTGCAATAATAAACAGAAAAATGTGAATTGGAAGGATAAATTATATACTGCAATAAATTGAGCCCAAAGAAACAGATTGTTCCATAAACTATAAGTGAAAGCATTCTGGCCGGTGATGTTCCAAGCTGTTATTCCAAAAAGATAACTCCTAATGCCATTGAATAAACATCGTTAGTCTTTAAGTTCTGCCATTTGTCATATGATGATTATAATTCTCAAGCACTATTTTTCCTGTCATTATCTTCCCCATTATATTCATCTTCATCATTATCATTGTTATGATTGCCATTTTCTCCATTAGCCAAGTATTTTAAATATTCAAAATTTCTCCATATCCAAAATATATTTTGTTCAGAGTTGCATAAATATAATCCAAGTCATTCATTGACAGAGCGAAATGTCTAAAAATATTTGGACCAAATCTCCAGCATAACTAAATCCTCAAATCAAGACCCCAGTAACTCACATAGTGAGCTTGAAAATCAGAAATCAAAATGTCAGACAGCTTCATTTGGCAATCATACACCTATGAACAATATTCCTGGTCTTGTGCTTCCAGGTCAAAGACAGGACTATATTTTCCCTCCTCCTGCTTTAAAATGTTTTAAAATGGCTTTAATTTGCTTGTGTCAATGAAATGTGACTGAAAATGATGCCTACTACATCCAGGCAGAAGGATTTAAAAACCAACTCATCATATTTTTTCCTCACAACCACAGAGGTCAGTAATACTCCACTCAAAACCAGACAGTAGCTGATTCATTAAAGTAGTCACTGTTAAATCAAAAGGAATGTGACCAAAATTAGCTACAATGCGGCCAAATATATCTTCCATTTTAACAAACATAAAAGACTTTAATTCACCTAAGAGTAGAAAACAATTTTCAGATTGAACTAAAATATGAACCAAGTCTATATTGTATACAAAGATACTACTAAAACAAGTTGATGTAGAAAGTAGATGGGATGCGGTGACTCACACCTGTAGTCCCAGCAATTTGGGAGGCCAAGGTAGGGGGATTGCTTGAGGCTAGGAGTTCGGGACCAGTCTGGGCAACATAACAAGATCCCATCTCTTAAAAAAAAAAAAAAATAGCAGGGCATGGCGGTGCTTGCCTGTAAGTCCTTGCTACTCAGGAGGCTAAGGCAGGAAGAGCTTGTGAGCCCAGGAGTTCAAGGCTGCAGTGAGCCATAATTGCACCACTGTACTCCAGCCTGGGTGACAGAGCAAGACTCTGCCTCTAAAAAACAGAGAGGAAATAATAGTGAAAGGCATACCATACAAATATGCACACAAAAAAATGAAAGGTAAAGGAATTGTGATACTACTATCAAATGAATCAGCAGAGGTGAAATAATTCAGGCCAAAGTGTTAAAAGTTAAAAAAAAAAATTCAAAAAGGGCACTTTTGAAAATAATTTTAAATGGTACAAATCACAATGAATATATTACAGTCATTAAAATCGAGACATCTCATAATATAGCAACAATTTTTTTTTTTTTTTGAGACAGAGTTTCACTCTTGTTGCCCAGGCTGGAGTGCAATGGCAAGATCTCAGCTCACTGTAACCTCTGCCTCCAGGTTCAAGCAATTCTCCTGCCTAAGCCTCCAGAGTAGCTGGGATAACAGGCATGCACCACCATACCCAGCTAATTTTGTATTTTTAGTAGAGACGGGGTTTCTCCATGTTGGTCAGGCTGGTCTCGAACTCCCAACCTCAGGTGATCCACCCGCCTTGGCCTCCCAAAGTGCTGGGATTACAGGCGTGAGCTACCATCCCTGGCCCCAACAATTTAAAAGTACAAAATAATCCAGGAAATATGTGGAAAGCTAGAAATGTATTAGCAAGGGATAAGAATAAAATAAACATCTATTTGCTTATATTTGCAGGAAAAAACTAAGTATACAAAAGAAACTAATATAAAGGACTAAAAAGGAAGCACATCTTTTATTGTATGTATTTTTATGTTTTTTGATTTTTTTCAAGCAAGTTCATGTTAACAGGTAAAAAATAAAGCAGTTGGTTAGTTATATAATTCATCGAGCTAAAATGGTTGTCATTACCATAGAGGCTTTACGTTCCAAGCACTTTTCTTATATATTTATCTTTGTCTGACTCTCTGATTGCAATTTTCACAGAACAATACAACTCTTTTCATGGAAAGAAAAGGTCATAATTTTCCCTTTTCGTTTCCAGATTTTGGAAAGCAACATCTCCATCCAAAAGCCCATGAGTTATCAATGCTATCAATCCCATATGTCCTTTGAGGTGTGAGGTCTCAGCCAGGAAGATGAGTCTTACGCGCCTCTATATTTGTAGACATGACAGACAAAGTATTTCAAACAAGTCCATGATGTGGTTTTATGTTTTTGACATCAGCCCACCAGGTTTGCCTGTCCTGCCTAATGTGTGCGAAAATGTTTTATCCAATTCTGACATTTCTCGAAGTGATTTCATCAGTAGTGCCTCTGGAGGACCAAATGAAAGCCTCTAGTTTAACTAGAACTAGAGGCAATGACAGTAGCAAGCCTCGGGCAATTCCTGCTCTTGGAATGTTAAAGGTCAGTGTTAAAATTTATAACATATTGTTATCTAACATTAACACTTCCACTGATATATTCTCAAAAAAATGCCACTTTGATGGGCCTAAATCAAAGTTTGTTTCATGATCTGGGCTCTTAAAAGTGTTCCTTCATCGCAAGCAGAGTAGTCAGTCAAGCCATTGGAATATTTATGCAGACATATCCACAGGTGTGAATTAGTTGGTTCTATGGTTCTGAGCACAGGTGACATGCCAGATTTGGAAGAACAGATTGCTTTAGCTGTGACTCTAATTATAACTTATTTGGTAGTCTTTATCCTACTTACTCGCACATAGTATTTTATAAACAGATGTGTCATGTAAAGGGGGTATGATCACATATACCATTAGTGCCACTCAGGTACAATGTATTTTTTTTAATTAGAAACAAACAAGTGGCAGAGCGTACACAATCTCTTAAAGTCTCATCTGTTCCACAGAGGAGACTATGCTTAGGCTGGGCATAGCTACATTGCATATAACACAGAAGAGCAACAGGAAAGAATTCCACCTCCGTAACCTTCCACATAGAGGGAAAGGAGCAAAGTAGTACTGCAGGGAAAAGCTAGGCCACCAAAAACCAGTAGTGGCTTCCTGGTGAGGGAAGTGGCTCTGTTAGAAATAGCTGGGGTGGGGCAGGGAGCCTCAGTCTCTGGTATCAGCCTGTTCTTCTATTGAATTAACTCAGACCTACTGAGCTGGTTTCTTGCTAAACTACCAAAAAGTAAGAAGAAATGCACCTCTATGGCCATCCACTGCCATTTCCTCTCCTTGAAATGCCTGGAGCACATTTACCTCATTGGATACAACACAACATCGTGCAGGCAACATTTGCAAAGTGTAGACATCGAGGTTAAGGCTGAGCTTTTCAGTGGTATCTACTTCTCTCATTCCCACAGCTCTCCCCTTCAGATACAAATACCTTCTGCTCCTCCCCCTACCAAGCCCTACTTTCAGAAAGGGCTTTATAACTGCTCAGCACAATGCCTCAGACATAACAGGTATATAATAATGGCTTCCTATTTAATATGATGAAGGCCATGACCGCTTATTCAAAGCTCAAAAGATAATTATTTCAATGCTCTTCTCAATCACCTTTCAGTTAATATGATCTCTTGAGTTTGAGAAGTTTGAGAAAATCGCATCCAACCTGGAGACCATTAAAAAAGAGGTTGGTGTGGCAAACACCAACTGGGTTACCTGGATGGGTAATATTTACACATTTGCTTGTAAATTAAATAAAAATGTATACTATCCCTTTTGCTTTTACTTATGTTGGGAAATAGTAATTTTATGTAAATTACTGGCTTACTGTGCTCTGGGAATTGATTTCCTATAAATGCAAATACTATTGTAGTCTTTACCTAATTCGATTTTGCAAGAAATGGGAAGGGGGGGAACTTACCTATTTAAAGGGCTAGGGTGCCTTCCTTTTAGTTAAAGCAACTCTTGGTAACAACAAAAATGTATTTTGTTTCTAGACAGTAATTTGGCGTTTTATTACAGCTTGCCAATGTGATACAACAGTTGGGCATGCTGGCTCTGCCTTAGCACATTTATTGCATTATACAGCAAGAAAACAGAATTTCCTCTGCAGGCAAACAGTGGTATCTGTGTTTTCTTCACCAAGATATTTAATTTGGACATGTTTTAAAATAAAATCTAAATGTAATTTTACAATTTAGTGGGCAAGTATTTTTATATAATATTTATATATTATACATAAGATACCTTCTGTTCTTCCCCCAATTAAGCCCCATTTATATAGTACATGTAAATATATTTATACATAACATTTAAATGTATTATATTTGCCCACCAAATTATAAATTACATTTATATATGTTTTATATACCCAAATATGCACACACACAGATATATATATATACACATACACAGATGCATATATATTTGAATATACATGTACATACATTCACTTATATAAATGTGTGTGTATATGGTATGTTCAAATATATAATACACATATATTTAAAAGAAAGAAAATATGGAAGAATGTAAACTAGATGTAAACTGGTTTTATGCTTTGAGTGATCTAGGCCTAAGTCTAAGTTTTACATCACACACTGGTTAGGACAGCTTGGGAGAATTACTTAACCTTTCTCAGATTGTTTACTCATTTATAAAATTGGGATAAGTATTCTCCTCAAGATATTTGAAAGGATTAATAAAATTTAATGAAATGTCTAATATAAAGTGTTCAGCACAAGTAAGGATCCATCCTCCTGGAGCACCAATCAATAAGGAAGGCCAACGTGTCACTGGAATAAATTGGAAGTTTGATACAAGTTAAATCCAGCTGCCTAAAAACGTTCCTTGTGTAATTGGACATCTGCGGTATTTCAATTCGCACAGAAGTAGACAGCGCCCTCAAGTGGAAATTTTAAAAATCACTCCTCATAGAGCTGACCCATTCTGAGCAAGGTGTAAATGGCATAGTACAACCATGAACACATACCCAGGATGAAAACACAGGTAGCTGACGTTACCTAAGGTCTGCAGCCACCTCCATCCGAAAACCTGAAGCACAAAGTTGTGTGGTGTAGCGCAATTTTCCAATGACAAATGAGTTGTTTTATCATCTCAATTGTAAATATTTTTAAAATCACAGATTTCATTTACAGAATTGTAATGCTGCTCATTGTTGAAGAAATTGACATAGATGTATTATTACTGACTACTTAATCTACCTCCTTTCCAGTCAACAATCCTCAGGGCTAGGTGTTATTATTATTCTAATTGTCAGATGAGGAGATTGGGGCATTGAAAAAATCAACTTTGTTAATCAAGATCAAACAAAAAGTAGCAAAATCAAGAGTTAAATCTTACATCCTTGCTTTTGGCTCCAGTGTCACCCAATGCATCTTGCAGTTCAGAAAATCAGAAAATGGAGAAAGAACAAAACCCCAGAGAAATGGGAAATGCTTTGCTAACAGAAAAGGGAGACAAAAGAAAGTTCAAAGACAGTCTAAACAAAATCTTAAGCTCCCACAAATTTGTCCGTGTGAGTTGTCTTTTTCCTCAGGGTGAAAGCGACAAAAACGAACGCTGTTGTAATTACTTTATCGAATAAATCTCTTATTTGGAACATCAATATTTAATTTTTATTAATAGAAAACAAGATTCTAACTGGCAAATTAAAAAAATACTAAGTTTATATTTTTAAAACATCAGATTTAAGGAACTCCATTTTGACTGTGATGTCAAATTTGTTTACAGCCTGGCCAACTGGACGTGTTTACTAAATGTTAATTTATTGCCACCTGCTTTTGTCCTCAAAGGTCATTTCTGTATTTCTCTATAGCCCAGAATATTGTTTTATGCATGCTGCATATTAGATTAAAAAATCAGTTAATATTAATGGATGAATTAAGAACCCTCTCTGGCTACTCAGTTCCTAAATTCCTGGGAATATTTTTAATACTAAAGGCTCTCTTTTGCTATGGGAGGCAAAAATTGAGAAGAAATATTTCTTGCTTGTTTGGAGCCATTACTCAACAAAGAATGGGAGTGGAATAAGTACTGAAGTAATTCTTTAATGTCAGCCATGACACTGCAAACCTTGGTCTTCCGAATTAAAATTAGTGCAGTCTAATGCTGACCCTAATCATTCTCATGTATCTGAGCCTGAGACAGTATTTTTGTATTAAGTAAATTAAGTGATTAACTCTGTTATTTTGAAAAAATTTTAAAGCTCAGAGTTTCTTAATTTTTTTTTTTTTTTTTTTTTTTTTTTTTTTGAGATGGAGTCTTATTTTGTCGCCAGGCTGGAGTGCAGTGGTGCGATCTTAGCTCACCTCAATCTCCACCTCCCGGGTTCAAGCGATTCTGTTGTCTCAGCCTCCTGAGTAGCTGGGACTACAGGCGCCCGCCACCACACCCAGCTAATTTTTTGTATTTTTAGTAGAGACGGGGTTTCACCGTGTTAGCCAGGATGGTATCGATCTCTTGAACTCGGCCTCCCAAAGTGGTGGGATTTCAGGCATGAGCCACCATGTGCGACCCTTGAAATTTTTAAAGAAATGAAACCTTACAGATTATATTCATACACCTGTTACACTCACCAGTTCCATTTCCTTCCTTTTCTAGAGGTAACTGATATGGTTATTATAGCCAGTCCATATGTTTGTACTTTTATTATATATCTACCCATAAAAAATATATTCTAAGTTCTGTATTTTAGCTTAATTTTCATGAATAGAATTGTAGTATACACAATTATTTCATGAGATGTTCTTTCTAATCAGCAGTTTTCTCTTCAGATTTATCCGTATTGATACATAAAGATCCAACTAGTTCATTAAAACTGTTGGTTATTTGGCCAATTTTATTGATTAATAGTGTTTACATATCCTGAATAGATATTTTTGTATGTTATATATGTAGTTTCTAATGTCTTCGGTTATTTTGTATTTTATTGTTAAAATTTTTAATTTTACTATAGTTCTGTTTTGGTAAAAAAAAATATTTTCATCCCCCTTAGATATAAAGATAGTCACATTGTCTTCTAATAATCGGAAAGTTCTGTTTTTAACATACAGGCCTTTATTCTATCTGGGATTTACTTTTGTGAATAGCATGATGATGTACCAGATATGTACCTTTATCCTTCCAGATCAACTCTTCTTCCCCATCCACTCTGTATCCCAGAAGGTTGACCTGTACAGACAAATCAAAATATCTTGTCACCTCCAGCTTCCATTTGGGATTAATCAGTGAGGAATCCAAGCAAATTGGGAGAAGGGAGAAGGTGAGGACATGACTCTATAGAATAAGTAGAACATAACTGAAGAAAACCAATTGAAATGTTTATCAACACATCTCAACAGACTCTCAGCAGCACCAGGCAATTTCCATCATCAGTTCACTCTTTTAATCTCCAAGATAACTATTACACGCCTTCTTTCTCCTCTTCTCATTTTTAGTTTGTGCTTTCACCTCCAATTTTACTGAAAAAAATATAAGCACTTAAAGGAGAAATGGTTCATATTTCATCATAAACCTACCAACCTTCTGCTTCTGTGCCTATACTCTTCGTTCCCCCTTATTACAATGGTTGTCTCTGCTCTTCTCTAAAGCCATCTCCTCTACTCGTCCCCAAAATCCCATTTCCTGTTACCACTAGAAGACTATACACCTGCCATTATTACTTCTCTGCATCATTGTCTCTACTGCATTATTCCTATAAACACACAAACATGCCATACTATTGTCCTTAGAAGAAAAACAAATGAAACTTCCTAGAATCCATGTATCTCTTCAGCTGCCATCCTAGTTCCCTGTTACCCTTTAAAAAAAGATTTTCAAACACATTAACTAAACTTTTGGTTTATTCTTCAACTCCCATTCTCTCCTTCAGTCCAATCAGGTTTTAGCCACCGTTACCCTACCAAATCTTTTCTTGTTAGGGGCACTTGACAATAAGATCGTCAGATTCAATGATCCATCTCAGTTCTCATCATATTAAACCTTTATTAGCAACAGACACAATTCATTATCCCCATTCCCTTTTTTTAATTTGGTTTCTAAGACAGTGTTTCCCCTATTTCAATAACCACTTCTTTTCGATATTCTTGGCTGGCCCCTCTTCTTCCTCACCTTTAAATGTTGGATGCTGAAGAACATCATTCTCCTGACTCTATCTATACTTTCTCCTTAATAAATCCTACACAAACCCATTGCTTTAAATATAATAACTTCCTAATTTATCTCTCGTTTTCCTACTAGTCCTCCGACTTCTAGCTTCATATATGTAACAGCTATGTGATACCTAAAGTTTGGATATCTAACAGATACCTTAAACTTAAAATGTAAAAAAAGAAAAAGTCAGCAAATAGAAAAATCACTTGCATTTTTGTTTGTTTTTTTTTTGGTTGGTTGGTTGGTTAGTTTTGTTTTTGACAGGGTTTTTGCTCTGTCACCCAGGCTGGAGTGCAGTGGTATGATCAGAGCTCACTCCTACCACCTCCCAGGTTTAACTGATTCTCCCACCTCAGCCCCACAAGTTGCCAGGACTACAGGTGTGGGCCACCAAGCCCAGCTAACTTTTGTATTTTCAGTAGAGATGGAGTCTCACCTTGTTGCCCAGGCTGGACTCAAATTCCTGGCCTTAAGTGATCTGCTGATCTTGGTCTCCCAAAGTCCTGGGATTACAGGCGCACACAATCTTTTAGGAGAAAAAAATGCAAGCATCACTCTTGGCACTTCTATTTCCATCATACCTCACACACAGTTCATCAATAATTTAAGCATTAATCCAACGACTTTTTATCACCTCCAGTCCTGGTCACAGCTCCAGTCCTGGTCAAAGCCACCATCAGTCCTCAGCTAGACTATTGAATAGCATAATTGTTCTCCCTGCTTCCTCTCTTGCACTGCAGAGCAGTTATTTCCTACAAAGTAATCAGACAAATCCCTGTGAAATGTAAACCCAGCCTTGACTTCCCTGCTCAGACTGTCCAGTGGCTTCTGAGACATCACACTAATTTAAATATTTCAGTTGATCACTGCTGCCACCAACACCATACTGATCTCTCTCCAACCTCTTTTATCACATTGTGTTTTAACCACACTGTTCATGCATACTGCAAGTAAAATTAGGCTTGTTCCTGTTTCCATCCTGTGTGCTTGTGGTTCTCCTTAGCCCCATACCTCTACATACCTGCCTTGCCATTTACTCCGTTGTGTTCAAATGCCATTGTATTAGTCTGTTCTCACACTGCTATAAAGATACTACCTGAGGCTGGGTAATTTAGAAACAAAAGAGATTGAATTAACTCACAGTTCTGCATGGCAGGGAGGCCTCAAGAAACTTAGAATCCTGGCAGAAGGTGAAGGGGAAGCAAGGCACGTCTTGCATGGCAACAGGAGAGAGAGAGAGGGAAAACTGCTACTTTTGAAACCATCAGATCTGGTGAGAACTCCCTCACTATCAAGAAAATAGCATGGGGGAAACAGTACCCATGATCCAATCACCCGCCACCAGTTCCCTCTCCTGACATGTGGGAATTACAATTCAAGATGACATTTGAGTGGGCACACAAAACCAAACCATATGAGCCATGTTCTCTGAAAAGGCTTTTTCTGACCACCCAAACTGAAATAGCCATTGCTGTCACTCTCCCAGCCACCAGCATTCTCTATTCTTTTATCTTGCTTTACTTTTCTTCATAACACTTAGCACTACCTGATATAGTTTATATTTACTTGTCTGTTTATTATCGGATCACACTAACTAGAACATCAATTTCACAAGGGCATGGATCCTGACAGTCTTCTCACTGTTGTATCCCCCAGTGCACAGAAGAATGCCTGGGATATAGAAGGTGTCAATAAATTCCTCACTGTATAAATGAATGAATCTTATCCTATAGTTCCATATATACTTGGGTAAGTTTCTATGACATTCTACTAACTTGATTATCTATACCTGATTGTCTATTACCACACTGTTAGTATAACTTTATAATTAGCCTAAACTATGACTATAATTACTGAATACTTACTATGTGCCATCTGATAAAAAAAATCTAATTGGATATCTAATAGGGAAATCTGATGTCTGATAGTAAAATTTTTTCTTTTCTTTTCCAGAACTGTTTTGTATCTGAGGTGGTTTTTTTTTTTTTGGCTTTTTATTTTATTTTCATATTGAGGCATCATACTCAACAAAAGTTCCTGAAATTTTTATTGGAATTGCATTGGATTTATAGGTTAATAAAACATATGTACATAAATGGGCCAGGTACTGCTCTAAATATCTTACATGTATTCATTCTTTTGGTCACCTGAGTGATCAAATGAAGGAGTATAAAATTATTAGCATTATACCCATTTAACTGATTTAATAGATGAAAGCCCAAAGAAGTTAAATAACTTACCTAAGGTTATTTGGCAAGTAAGGTGTGGAGGTGGAATTTGAACTCAAGTATTCTGGCTCTTCAGCTTTTATATCTAACAAAATGTCTCCCAAATTATTTTAGGAAGAATAGACAACTTTACTAATTGAGCATTGTACTTCTATTGAGCATTCTCCATAAATATTTATGTTCTTCCATAAGTATTTATTAAAGTTTTATTTTATGTTCTCTAGAAACATTTCATAATTTTTTTCAAGTTTTCATACGTATTTAGTTAACTTTGATCCTAGGCATTTTACAGTTTTTGTTGCTGTTATGAATGTTAATTTTTTTATTCTACTATGTTTTTCTAACTAGCTATTGTTTTTATATACATAGAAAATATATATATAAAATCAATAACTTCTCTCTGTATATATTATATATTTTTCTATATATATAAATCAAGAACTTTTCTATATATATTTATATATTTTTTCTATATATATTTTTATATATTCTATATTTATACATATTTTCTATATATTTATATATATTTTATATATATTTATATATATTTATATATTTTCTATATATATTTATATATATTTTTTATATATATATATATAGAGAGAGAGAGAGAGAGAAAAGTTACTGATTTTGTTTGTGTGTTGGGCTTATAACCAGCCATCTTGTTGAATTCTTTCCTTAGTTCTAGTTTCTCTTTGATTTTTTTATCATAGCAATTGAAAATATTGAGTTAATTTTCAACAATTATTCAATTTTTGTATTATACTGCATTGGCTAACACTTCTGGTACAATGCTCAATAGAAGCAGTATGAGTGACTCTTCTTGTCATATTTCTGACTTTAAGATCTCTCTAAAGAGTTGCCATTAAGTATGATGTTTGCTGCATTAAATTAAGGAAGTTCCCATTAAAGGCAGAAGCTGTTGGTTCTTTAATGAATAGGCATTTCCTTACAATTTTATTTGAGGTGGCAATGTGCTCAAATAAAACATACAATTTCTTAGAGCTACAGCAGGTGATGTGACACTACTCTTGTCATTGAGACATGAGCAAAGTTCTGCTGGAGATTTGTAGGATAGTTTTTCTTTCCTGATATAGGCACCACCAAGCCATGCTCTAGAGCCAATCCATGCTTGCCAAGATAACCTATGGTGTACATTTCTTCCCAAACCCCATTCAGTGACATCAGTTTGATAGCTTAAAATTAGTCATGGTTCAAGTATTTACACCATGGGATTAGGCAATTGCTACAATCAGATATGTTCACCACCACCTAGTAGCCTGACGTTATTGTTAAATATTTATCAGTAGATGACTGGTGTCACATCTTTCTCCTTGCTGAGTCTTTCTTCCTTTTACAAGAACACAAATGTGATGGCTGAAACTATGATAGACCTATTGTGAGCAAGAGAGAACAAGAGAATCACAACATGCTAACTTCTGATATCCTTGAACCACTGATTAAATGTCTCCTGAGTAATGAAATAAGTATAAAATTTACCAGCTTTACCTACTTTAGTGTGAGACAGGTCATACAGAGCATAAATTTGGGATAGAGGCTATCCAAGTGTGAAGTTCAACTCCCAGCTCCTCTACTTTACTTGCAACATGAACTTAGATTCCTTGACCCTCTGTTCCTCAGTCTGTCCTCTGTAACATGAGGGAAACCACACACACGCATGCACACACACACACACGTACACACACACATACACACACACAAAAGACAGGCATATGGCAACCATTCAACAACTTAAAACTCATAGTTTAGTAAGAATTAGTTAAAATGTCTCTTTCTTATCACTGGATCTATTCATAGTTTTCATCCCTAGTTATCTAAAAGGTTTCTTAAAAATTAGCTTTGAAATTTATTAAATATTTTCTTTATCTATAAATAAGATTTTTCTTAATTTGTTAATGTAAAAAATTACACCAATAAGATATCTGTATTTGAGGAATATATGGTTAATGTGTATTATTTTTAGATACACAAGTGACTTTGATTTCTTAATTTCCTTCATTTAAGATTTCTGCATAAATAAATTTTCCTTTTCAGCACTTGTCATGTTTTGTTATCAAGATATACCTCTAATGTGAAGTTTAATAAGCATTCTCTCTTGTTTTATATTCTAAAAGATTTTTCATAAAATAGAGATTAGCTGTTCCTTGCATGTTTGGTAAACCTTGCCAGAAACACTGTGGCACTGACAGTCCCATGGAAGCACAGGCCTGCATTTTTTAAACTACATATTCCACTTATTTAATGGTGGCTTCTCAACTTTGCCAATTTTTAAATAATTCCTAAAAATGTTTATAATTGACATAAGTTTTCAAAAAATTTAGTATTCATACTATTGTTATGATTTATTTCATCTCTACTGAATCTCTTGTTCTACCTCCCATATCACTTATAATATTATGTATTTATGCCTTCTCTCCTTCTTTCTTGGTGAGCCTTTCTATAGAGATTTTTCTATTTATTAATCTTTTCATAGAACAAGTTTTTGCTTTTTTTGACCTGCACCTTTGTTATTTAATTTCTACTTTATTAATCTCTACTTCTCCCTGTATAATTCCCTTCTCCTTTCTCAGATCCATTACCTACTCTTACCTAGCTTCTTGAGTTAAATTATTTGATTATTTGTAAACTTTTGAAAGGTAATACATTTAAAGCTGAAAATTTCCTTTTCTCAGTCTCTTAAGCTGCATCACACTGTGTAGTAGTTAATTTGTAACTATCACTCACCTCTAAGTATTTTTCACAATACTCCATTGAAATTTTACTTTCTACTCCTAAGTTACTAACAGTACTTTCGTTTTACTTTCTTAGCGTGTAAAAGGAGGCGGTTAGAGGAAAGAAAAGTTGTTATGGTTTTTCTTCAATTAAAAACATTTTAATATAATCCTATTGTGACCAGAAAGATGGCTGGCCAGTATAATAATTGTTCTTTGAAAATTTTCAGGCTGCCTGAATGGCACAAAAATGAACAAATTTACAGTCTTTCTCATCTCAGTAAGTAAGAACACCATTCAGTCCAGTTGTTTAGAGCAAAACTGTAGAAGAATCTTTGGTACCTTTCTTTTTTTTACACCCGAATCCCTAAGCAAATCTTACGGTTTCTACATTCAAAATGTATCTACCATCTTATTACTACTTACCACACCTCCAACTCTTTTTTTATTTTTACAATCATCTTCTAAGCCACTGTCGTCTCTTATCTGGTTTACACAACAACCTCCAAATGTATGTTTTTGCTCCCTTCTTTGCTCCTTTGTTCTCCACCACACAGTGAGAATGATCTTTTAAAATGACGTTTTCCTATGTCAAAAATCTCGACTTTGTATGTTGTCTTGAATGAAATTCATGCATATTCTGTGGATTATGTCAATTTCCTAGTTGTGACATTGCACTAAAATTATTCAAGATGTTACTCTTGGAGAAAAGTGGGTAAAAGGTATATGGGATGTTTCTGTACTGTTTCTTACAATGACAAGTAATTTTAAAATTATCTTAAAATAAATTTTTAAAGCTAGTGAAATCAACAGTAGGTCAGCCTAAAGACATTAGGCATTTACTATTATTGATTCCCTGTATTTAATATGTGCCCATGCTTTGATTCGGAGTAAGAAAAAATACTGCTTCATAAAGCTATACAATTGAAAAACTATGAAATTTATAATATTTTATATGCTTGATTTTGTTCTGTCAACTTGGCTAAGACTGGAAACTAAATTTCCCGGAATTTCCTTCCCTATATGTTTCAAAGTTTGAGTTGGCCCAAAGAGGAACTCTACAAGATTTACAAAGCAGAAAGGAAGCAGAAGTCATTACAGTGAGAAAGATTCAGCGGTACCCAGCAGGTCTTAACTTGTCCTTTCTCTCTTCCACTAGAAAATTAGCGTATATTCCTAATTGCTGATCTTGTCGACCAAGAGCAGCCCAATTCCCACCAGCAGGTGTTTGGCTGAGGACTCACGGATGTAGTAGCTACATAGAGAAAACTGCTTTCTATAGACACCTCCATAGTGCCCTTTCCATTAAGCCACTCTGGCAAGATCATGTGCACTGGGTTTTGGAGATTAAAAGTCGGAGTGGATTTATTACATGTTAACTGCTTATGCACCTCTAAATTATATTCCCTAGGAGACCCTCGAAGATGGTACCCCCTTGGTAAAGAAAGCACCATCATCATCAAAGTCCTCTGTTGTGGCTTTTCCCTGTATGCCAGGGATATCTGTGAGACTTGTGGCCAGGAAAATACCCTCCCTGAATTCACAAGGGATGATGTGACCCAGGAGTTGTGAAATCCAAGAAGTGGCACTTATATTACAGATACAAGATGGACATGAATTCTATGTTTTAAAAAATTGTGCTGAAGCAATTACCAGAATGATATGACCTACAGAGATGTTTTGCATTGACTAATCAATAATTGTGTTTCTACAAATGAAATAGGTGGGCAGGTTAATAAAGTCACACTTGATTTGTATAGGTGGAAAAGCACTAGGTCTGATAAAGCTAAGTCTGCCTCAAATTATCATAAGGAAAGTAATGACCCCTCAACATACTTCTAGAGTTGAACCTGTTTATAGACCCAGAGCCTCTTGCAGAAAGTGAAGATGGGTACTTGTAAGTAGAGACTCTGCTACACTTTCAGTAATTTACATAGTAAATATTTCTCCTAGCTTTCTCCGAAAGGACCTAAACCAATTTACCAAGAGACTATACATTAAGAAAATAAAAATAACCCTACTTTTTAGAATTTACCGAACAATAACTACTCTCTAGAAACCTAAACTGCCACTGTGGTCCACCAGGCTGGGTAGGTCTTAAAGAGGTGAGTAAGGTCTAATCATCAATGACAGTTTGGTTCAAGTCCATCTCACAGTGAGTCTAATGGGCTCCCAAATCTATTCTACATTTATTTCCTCATTTCTGGAAAGCATCTTTGGAAGATACATATTCAAAAACTGGCAGAATTTCCACATTGGATCTCTGACACAGGGACTGAGGACTATTACAATTGGAAATGTCAAATAGAGTCTTAAGAACTTTTCTCCCTCCCAAAGCAGTGAAACAAAAGCAATAACACATTCCTAGAGGGACCACCAAAGTTTGTGCCACAGTCAAGGATGGAAGGGGTCCTAACACATTCCCATTCAAATCACCTATTTGGCCTGTGGCTAAGGCAGATGGATCTTGTGGAATGACATAAACTTAATTAGGTAATGATTATAACTGCAGTTGTATTTCCAGATGTAGTTGCTTTATTGGAACAAACCAACACAGCCTCTTTTTTGTAGTTTTAGGCTGCTGATGTCATAAATACTTTTTCTCTATACTTGTTAGTAAGAACCACTAGAAGCAGTAATGCACGTAGCATTCCTTAAGACTATTTCAACTCTCCAGCTCTCTGCTACAGTGTAGTCCACCAGGAAGTTGTTTGCTTCTCCACTCTATGGGACATCAAGCAAGTCTACTACATAGATAGGCCACCAAGAACTTGTTTGCTTCTCCATTCTACGGGACATCAAGCAAGCCTACTATATAGATATCATTCTGATTGAACCCAATAAGCAGAAGGTAGAAAATACTCTAGATATCTTGTCCAGAGATATGCATGCCAGAGGCTTGAAGAATAAACCCTATAAACATTCACGAGCATGTAATATCTGTGGAATTTGTAGGAATTAGGGCCTGGTGCATATTGAAACATCTCTTATCAGATGGAAAACATGTTTGTGTATCTGACACCTGCTATCTCTAAGAGGTGGAGCTCTGTATTTTGGTTCCAATAGATACCTGATTTGGGCATCTTACTTTAAACCATTTACCAAATAATCCAATAAGCTCTCAGTTTTGAGTCAGGCCCAGATTACAAGGTGGTTCTGCAACAGAGCCAAACTGTCATTCAACCTCTCCTGCCATGTGGGCCATATAACCCAGCAAATCCAATGGGGCTTGAGGTGTCTTATGGCAGCTAGAGATCCTAAGGGAAACCTTCAGCAGATCCTTATAGGTGATTCACAGTATACCCCTCTCAGACTTCAGAGAAAAGTTTTGTTTTCTCACAGGGAATTATTGTCCTTTTGAGAAACTGCTTCCTTCTTGTTACAGGTTCCCACCAGAGTCCTGACACTTAGTATTGGCCATCAAATAAGCAGGTGACCATAAGTATTCATATTAACAAGGTGTTGTCTGACTCGCCAAGTGTTACGTAGCAGTACTTCATCAAGTGGAAACAATAGATGAATTTTCCTCCAAAGATGTTGAAGTAAGTCATAAATAAGTTGCATAGAAAGTGGCTTAAATTCCCATGGCTTCTATTCCTGCCACACCACCTCCTCTCTCTTATGTGGAGCTGTCTATTACAGCAGAATGAGGAAGAACAATTTTATCCTTGTTCACAGTTGGTTCTGCCCTATTCTGGCACTATCTGAATTGGACGATGAGGCACTACAGGTGTGGCCTTGAAGTATAGTGGTGAAGAAAATTTTTCCAACGGGAAGAACTTCAAGCTATACACCTGATTGTTCATTTTGCCTGGCAGGAGATATGGATAGAGGTACATATCTGGAATCAGTCATGAGCAGTGACTAACAGTTTGGCTGGATGGTAAGCAAGTTAGAAGAAACAAGATTGGAAAATCAGTAACAAGGTCTAGAGAAAAAGTATACAGAAAGACTTCTCTAAATGGGCACAAAATATGAAGATATTTTTGTCTTACATAAATGCTCAAATAAGAGCAGCTTCCCAAGAGGAATATCTTAAAAATCTCATGCACAAGATTACCCATTCTTTTATTCCCATAATTGCCCAGTTGGCTCATGAAGAGAATGATCATGGAAGCAGAGATGGAGTCTATGCGTGGTCTCAGCAACATGGACTTCCATTCATTAAGGCCAGTTTGGATAGAGCCACTGCTGACTACCCAAACTGCCAAGAGCAAAGATCTACACTGAGTCCCTGAAATAGCACCATTCCCTGGAGGAACCAGCCAGCCACCTGGTGGCAGGTTGATTACATTGGATCACTTCCATCATTGAAGGAGTACCTCTTTGTTCTCACTGAGGAAAAACAACAACAACAAAAAACACTTATGTTAGATATGGTTTTGCCTTTCCCACTCCTGATGTTTCTGCTAAAACCACCAGCTGTGGGTTTACACAATGCCTTATTCACCTTTATAGTATTCCATATGACATTACTTCTGACAAAGAAACTCATTTTATAGCAAATGAAGTGCAATGTTGGGCTCATGCTCATGCAATTTACTGGTATCCTCCTGTTCCCTTCATCCTGAAACAGCTGGTCTAATAAAATTATGGAATGGTCTTTGGAAGACTCAGTTATGGCACCAGCTGGTGAAAGCACTTTATGGGGCTGCAATAATGTCTTCCTGGATGTAAGATATGCTTTGAATCACCTATAAATATGTAGCGATGTTTCTCCTATACCCAGGATTCATGAGTCTGGGAATCATAGGGTAGATATGAGAATGACTCCTTTCACATTAATCCTAATGATCCACTGGTAATATTTTTGTTCAGATTCTCTACAAATTTTGACCTTTCAGGTTCAGAGAACTTACTTCCCAAAGAAGAAATTCATGACAGAATACAACATTGTACTGGAATTCGCAACTACCACTGGCTATTTGGGGCACCTCAGACACTGAAACAACAGGAAAGAGGCAGGGGTAGCATTCCCAGTATTCAGAAGATCCTCCAGAGCATCACTTAGACTTTCAATATTTTGTGGTAAAAGTTCATGAAAAGCTACAACAACCTAATAGAGGCAGGGCTATAATGGTAGAGATGCTTCACGAACCAGGATTTGGGTCACTCTATCAAGTAAGGAACCACAATTAACTGAGACACTTTCAGGGAGCAGAGAAAATATGAATTGCCTAGTGGAAGAAGGCAGTTATAAATAACATCTGTGGTCTTATGACCAGTTATGATCCCATGACTGAACATGAGGGCTCTAGTAGATAAAAAATATTTATCAATGTATTTATTGCTTCAAAGTAAGTGTATTTGTGTGTGTGTGTGTTTCCCCTTTCTCCTAGTCTAACAAAAGATTTATTAATAGTAGTTACCTATATCTCAGGATTAAAGCTATAGGATATTCAAAGGAGGGTTTGACTGAGTACAACAGAAATGAGCATAACCCACAGATAGGTAAGTCACTTTGTGTGTTCCCTTTTGGGGAGTGGGCTAGTGTGTTTTTGTTGTACGAAATATGGTTATATCAACTGCAGGTAAAAGAATGATTTTGTTTTTGCTCTGAAAGCCGTGTTGACAAGGAGTACACTGTACTAGACTACACTATCAGTTTGGCTGACTGCAAATTACATTTCTCAGAATTCCCTTTCCTGTATTGTTCAAAGTGAGATTGGCCCAGAAAAAGGAATTATGGTGAGATTGTTAAGGTAGAAGTGAAACACAAGTCATTAAGGTTAGATACCCAGTGATTTCCAGGCTGTCTTCACTTTTCCTTACTCCACATCTAGCTTGTCTTCCTGCCTTCTGACCTCACTGACCCATGGTGGCACAGGTTCACCACCAGGTGTTTGCTCACAGACCAACAGAGCTAGAACCTACACAGAGGCACTGGTTTCCCATAGCCCCCCTTCAGAACCCCTGGCTGGGAACCATTTGAGTGATTGGACATGCTGGACTTCACAGAGCTTCAGTTCCCACTTGTCAGCCCACACCAGTGCTTCAAGTAGATGAGTGAATCTTTCTCTTATCTGCCAATTTCCCTCTTCCAGACATTCATTTTCAAGCTCCTCCTTTGTTTATGTTAGGTTAAATTTCTATAACTCCCTTATTTCCACATATTACATGGACTCTGTTTTCCTGACAACCCCAATAAATGTAGCATAAACACAAACTATGATTTCGATGTTTATTTTCTTCAGAAAGCCCTGAAAATAATCCAAATAACATATACGAGAATATGTTACAAAACACGTGGCTCGCCTATGAAATGAACAACCAAACACGAAGTCTGGAACTAAGCCTGTACGCTGCTCTAGTGATGGCTGCCCTTTGGGCTCCACATCCACTAAGTGGATTAAATGCAATTACAGTACTCTTTGTTGAGAGACTGCCACGAGGGGGCAAAGATAATATCTTAATACAAAGTAATAACAGTGAGAGTTATTTATTTAGCATCCCGTATATAAGCATTACTGTACTCTGCCGTTTATTTAAGCTTTTATCTCCACGAATCTTGCAAGTTAAATATTATTACCCTTGTTTTGCTGAGAAGAAATAAATGTCCAAAGAGTATAAGTAACCTGTCCAAGTCATATAGATAAATCCATTCTAGGTTTCCTCAATTCCAAAACAATTGCTTCTTCTAGAAAGACATATTGGTATTTACCTTATAGGAATTGTACTAATATTTGTCTTCAGTGTTCTCCCATATCCTCTTTAAGCCCCACTCATGCCTATATACCTTACACTAACCTCTGTCAGTTTTATTCCCTTGTAAGTCACGCACTGCGTTCTATGTCTTTCTTTTCTGCCTACTCTCAGGAGGCTATCACATAGGCAAAATTCTGATGAGCAAAACTGCACTGTGTTTTATTGATAAATAATGGTAGGGTGTTTTAATTTTCATGGCCTTAGAATTGAAATTCCATGACTTATTTATTTAACAAATACTTTCCATGTTTCTAATGAGCTACAAAATGATTCAGTCCCAATATTAAAGCAGTAATTAAAAATCCCATCAATCAGGCTCTGATTGGTATTTTCTACATGCATTTTTCAATGAGTTCCAGATGCTTTATCATACGAGGCAGCCACTACACTCTTGGACAGCTGTTAACTGTGAAAAAAGTCATTCCTTATGTTCTTCTGAATACTCTATGAAATGTTTGCCTCTTAGGCCCTCTATATGATACAGAATAAACCCAATTCATTTTTGTTATATGCTAGCTCTTAAAGCATTTACCCCCTCTTTCTTCCCACCACTAATTAGTGGCTTAGGAGTTCAGGCTTCAAGCAGCATCCATGGATATAAATATCAAGATTACAAAGAACTCATTGATGTACCAACACTGTCAAATAATACCAACATTGGTTGATTGGTTGTTTTTGTACACACAATATAGACCGTGAGCAACTTGAGGCAAAGTCTTGTATCTTAATCATTTCTTTATCTCTTGTGTCTAACACAGTGCATGGCACAAATAGATTATTAAAAATATTAAATAGGTGTTGAATGAAGAAATTATTAAGCTAATACTTGCTTTTATTTTTTTTCAGTCAGTGGAAATCTAGTGTATAGGTTGAGAACCTATATCAGACACTGTTCAAGGCCATGAATGAAAAAAACAGACATGAATCCTTCCTCAGACATTGGAGTCTGAAATTGCTGAAGTGAGCACAGTAATTCCACTGCAGATGACTCATATTACTAACCTTAGGGAGAAAAAACCCTACTGCTGAGCCCCAATTTCCTCATATACTACTGAGTTGTTAGACAAATGACCTATTTGATAAGATTAAGTCCTTAAATTATTATAAAGAGTATGGAATGTGTAAGGCATTATATAAATTAAGTTTTATGATTATAAAACTATTTTATAAATTCGAATACTGCCCAAAATGGATGTTCTCCCAAGGTCAAAAGCAATTCAGTTTCTCAGATACAAGCACATCATTATAAAACCACATACATAATGCAGTAACTCTAGGATTTTTTTTTAAACCATATCTCTATTGTATAATGTAACTTCCTTTAGAGCACAATATTTTACATTCAGTATCCTCTACAGGATCTAGCACTTTTCAGAAAAATAGCATTCAATAAGTGGATTAATGCAATAGAAACAACTGAAGAATCACCAAGGAATCTAACCTGAATACCATTTAGGAGATTCAAGAACCCAGTGAAATTGTATGCAAAACTGTGTGTCTGTACGCCATTTTGTAGAGTTCTTCAGTTTTATCAGAGTCTCAAAGAGATCTATTATATATAAGAGTTTCTTACTCAGTATATATGAATTGAATTTCAACTACTTGCTAGACATTGTACTACGGTTTAGGCTTAGAATATAAAACTTTTTTATAATAAATGAATATTGAGTACATCGAAATTTTTCAAGATCTGCTTTCTTATATTCACACCATTAAAATTAATGCATAACCTAATAAACACATTTACATCCTAAATCAGCATCAGATACTCTGAAGTAATTTAATATCACATTTGCTGGCAAAATATTCCTTGGAAATACATTCTTACTGGCTTCATGAAAAACGCCTCCATGATAATATAACCTATAGGGGTTTAATGTATGTCTACATAGACTTATATATGTGCATATAGATGCATACACACATACGTATATACATATAATTTAAAAAATCTTTAGTGAGTCATGCTGCTTAAATAGTTTAAACAATCTCTAATTCATCAACTATCTTTTACCACCAGTGGGCTTCCATTTATTCCTAATAATAACAATGAAGCTACTGTCCTTCAAAAAAGAAAAATGATGACATACAAAGAAAATGTCCTAGAAACTGTTTTGTAAGCAGTTTCCTCAGGGACTTTCCACTGACTGAAATAAATAGTTTTCAAATGCGCCAGAGGGAGGACAAAAATTATTTTTAAAATTGCAAGAATACCTCTGAAACTTCATGGCAGTTTTTCCCCTTTGGAAATCTTATATCTCTCCTCAGTGCATTAAGCATCAACTATCTGCAGTTAATAAATATTTATTTGAGCAGCTATTTTAGTTTTCTGAATAAAATTATTCTTACCTTTGAGAATGGCTGCCATATATTCTTGTCCCAAACTTTTAAGGATATTTCCCCAGATACAGACATAAGCACACTTAAAGACTGCAACTCTCATCCACAGTAGATGTGCACTTTACAGTATGGAAATTTTAATGTAGTATAATCCAAAATGACTATTTGAAAAAAAAATGGTTATTCTCCGGAATCAATGTTTCTAATTCATATACTCTACAGAGCTCAGTTGCAATTGGCGATAGTGGCCAGGAGATGGCGCAGTCTTATTTCCTAAAATTTACTTCATAGACACAGTGTCAACTTTAAAGAGAAATGTTTTTTAATGGCACTTGTTTTCACTCATGGAAGCTAAGATTGAAAAATAAAATACTCAGGAAATATAAATTCAAAATGCTCAAATGTTTTATTTATTACGAATCACCCATCTGCAAATCAAATGCTTTAAAAATACTTTGAATAACTTTTTTCTTTCCTATGAACCAGGAATAGAAGAAACAGTTTTGAAATGGTAATTATTTAGAATTGCCTTAATTGTTCAGTTCTTCCTTTCGGTTTATATTCTATTCTATTATGCTGTATTGCTTTACACTTACAAATGTATTTTATCACTAAAAATTCCACTTTTCAATAAAATAAAAACTAGTTTTAAAATAAAAATGTTTACAAATGATAATTTAGGGAGAAAATTCATTAAATATTTCCTGAAATAGCTTTATTCAAGGCACATATAATGTTCAGATTTACTTCTTTCACTTGATAAATCCTAATGAAGAGTTTTCAGATCTAAGACCTATTATATTGCTTGAAAAAAAAAAAACCCAGCATTTTAAGACCTCATAATCCACTCACATACTTACTGAAGTATATTAATGGATGTGTGTGTATGTGTGTGCACGTGCATGTATTGTATGCTGGAAAAACTCCAGAAAGAGAGAATGGGCATATACATTACGGATTGTCCTGATTTGGTCTGAAGTACAGTCTGCCACAAGTTATTGAGTCTTTACTGGAAAGGTAGGAAGAATCTCTAATCATCCCTGAAAAGGCATAATCCAAAGCTGGCCGAAAAGGTAAGGTTGGTACTAACCCAGGTGTTAGGTAGGGTGACATAAAACCAGATAACCCTCTTCCTGCAGAAGAATATGCCAGCCTTAATGGACTGATACCTACTCTAGGATTTACGCCGTAGAGACTTGAATCACCTCCATAAGAAGCAGAAGTAGTTTGAAGAGGAGAGAAAGCTGATTTATTACCTAGAGTTCCAAAACCAATTCCAGCAAGACTAAAACTTGAAGCTCTCTGAAAGGCTGTGTTTTCCAGTTCTTCTGAGTTTGCTAGGTTCCTGTTGTCTGGCTTGTGTTCTTTGCCATTTAAAACCTGTTCAATGGCTTGGACCACATCCCCTTTGCAGAACCGTAGAATGCCTTCTAGCCGGCTGCGCCTGTAATTTGGGAAAATCTTAGTAAGGATATCAAGAGGATCTCTTGGTCTTGAGGACACTGTCGGAAGGCTTGCCTTGGTCGCAGTCAAGTCTTTGACCCATTCACTTTCATTTCCTGATTCCAGATCAGAGGATGATAAGGACCTGGGACTCTCTTCACCTCCTGATTGCTCTCCAGGATGAGGAGACAGGATACTATCAGGCTTGTTGGAGTATTCTGAAATAGATGACCCGATACTTTGTTTCCCAATGACACCATTAGACCTAGAAGATGATCCTAGGTAAAGCTGATGGGATTTGGAGATCAGTTCTTCTTGTCCATTCTGGCATGACTCACATTTACTCTCTTTTTGTTCTGGAGAAGAGGGGGAAAAAAAAATCAAATACAGGGAAGACTTCCCAGAATGTGGTACTGCTCACTCAAAAATAATGCTGGATAATATAATTAATTCACTCCTATTAATTAGTAATATTTATACACTCCAAGACATTTTAATGAATAACTCAAATTTAAAAGATTATTCAGAAATGCAGGTGCTGGAATAGTGAAAAGTATACTATTATATCATCTCAGAATCACAAAGGTATGCAATATTAAAATGCAATTATATTTAGGAATCAGAAGATGAGAGTGTATTGTTACCCCAAATTGTCTGCATAACACCAATATGGCACACTGTCTGTTCTATCTTGGTTGTGTGGGATCTTCCTAAATGTCACCTAAGTTTTGTTGTTATCTAAGTGATATTTTTTCAGAATGACACTATGGAAAGAGAACTGAATAAAATGAATAAGGAATAAAAGGAATAATCTTAGTTTGAAAATGAATATTCTATTTAATCACTAATGCTAAATTTTAACAATTGGTTTTTTATCTCATATTTCAGGTTATAATTAATTTACTTGAATAATGTAAAAAAAAACTGTTCATTTCATTTCAGATTTAAACCAATAAGTACTATTGCTATGTCAATCCCAAATCATACTAGAGCTTGCATATTTCATTTTATGAGAGATGACACAGACGGTATTTTTCATAATCCTCTATGAAATGTACTTTCTTTTTCAATCCTTAAGAAATATCAATAACAGACTTTAAAAGCAAATTGTTTGTAAAAGAAAATTATAAACTGTCCTATTGCAATCTACACAAATCCTCAAATTGTCTTTTAAAAACAACATATTAGGCATTTGCTTTAAATCACAGCCCTCCTCCAATGTTAGGGGCAATTTTCCAAAAGTACTTTTACACAAAGTTCTGGTTTTTCTATCTCAACATGTTGAGCATATTAATCAAACAAGAATATGTTAATACCCTTTACTAGGTTAACACCACAAAAATTAAAATAGCCATATTTACTATGTAACTTTTACTTTGGTTTACATTTTCTATTACCCTAGAGATATATAGGTAAGAGTAAACTGTTAAGTGGAGTGTGCAGAGTAATTCTGTCCAACTTCCTTTTTCTACCAAGTTTATGAATGTCACAAAACAAATATTGCCTAAGACAGTGATTTGTAAATATGATTTGCAATACTCCAGTTTTCTCCAGTTTTCTTAAGAAGAATTCAGTTCTAAATTCTAAAGAAATAGCTATAGTTTATTTTAAAATTAAAGTGTATACAATTTAGCATTTTGAAGTTCAAAATGCTGTTCCTATATGCTGTTCCCATAAGCATATGAAAAAAAGAATGTCACTACTGCAAAAATTGCAAACACTCTATAGGATTTTCAACTTTAAATAACACAATAATACTTTTCTAATGAAATTTGCCAAGTGGAAATAGATTAGCATTAGTCCTCCATTCCACTTTACTTGTAAATATGAATGAGCATGCCCCCGAACATGTCAATTATCAACATTTCATCTCTATAGCAATTTATGCATGAAATCATAAAATAATGTCTTGTTATATTTTACTCACAGTACAATATATGTAATGAAATACCAATTTGCATAAGATTATTTAGAAAATATGGTGTCTTTAAAATATAATACCACTTATATCGTCTCTCTGTCTTCTCAAGTCCTACAGCTTGCTTTACTTCTATTGCATTTATCATTGTATATTAAGCCTTGCATTGTAGTTTTTGGATACATATAGTCTGCCTTCTTTTGAATATAAGGTTCTTCTGTGTAGGAAAAACTTGTTCACTTCTAAATCACTGTTAGTCTTTGTCTAATGAATGAGTAAATTAAATAGACTATTTTACCACAGTTCATGGCTATTGTGTAAGAGAACCAGTCAATTTAGAAAGCTATTGAAGTAACCTTTCAAACATTAGCTTGCTTCTTATGGGGGAGGGGGCATCATCTGAGGCAAAGAACAAAGTAAAATAATTAGCTCTATAAAACAGAACACTTTGGTACCAACTAGAAATCACATAAATCAGTGTCTCACAGGGAGATGTCAGCCATTTCACTATCGGTGTAGTTTCAGGAATTCTCACTTTTACTTCTCTTTCATAGCACTTTTACTTAATAACTGTGCTCTTTAGCACCTTCATCTTTCATGGGAATTGTAGAAAGTCTGTTTTGCCTACTCAAATAAATTAGAATATGTGCAAAAGTTGACACATGCAAACACAAAATTCACTCTGAACTGAATGCCTCATTTCAATTCACAGAATTTTTCGAATGTACTGTGTGAGTAGAACTTCAAGCAGCCATTGAGCGAAAAAATCTGTTGAGATCTGCAATTTTCATAATTCAAGGAAGGTTTCTAATTAATAGTTTACTGTATAGCTATCATACAATTTCATATAATACAGCTTTATAAGTTTTGTATAAGTTTTTGACTTATACAAAAAAAAAATCACAATGATATTTTCACTGCTTAGTAGGCCCTGTGGAGGGCTATGAAGTTCACTAAAATATATCTCCTAACGCAGGAAATGAAGGCAACTGACTCGCAGTCAAAAAATAAGAGAAAAATAATGAAAACTCCTTGGATAAAAAACCTCTAATATTGAACTTTGAAATTCTTACCTATGGTTTTACAAATTACATTTTGCGAAAACAATTTAGAGTGAAGAAACAAAGAAAGACGATGGTTTGGTAGATTTCAGTCTCTTCCCCACATCAAGCTTGCAACAAATGTTTGCCCCAACATGTAGTAAAGAACTGCATCCCCAACTATCAGAGTTTCCCACGCAAAATCAGCTCTGGTTTTACAGCTGAAAACAGTCCAGAGCAGGGAGGATCACCTGAGCCTGGGGAGGTTGAGGCTGCAGTGAGCTGTAATGGCGCCACTGCACTCCAGCCTGGGCAACAGAGTGAGATCCTGTCTGGAAAGAGTACAGAGCAGACTCAAACACAGCACCTCTTACGAAGCTTTTCGCTCAATGCCTGCTTGAAGTTCTACTCACACAGTGAAAGTCAAATCAACTTCCGAGTAAATAACTCTACTCCTAGGGTGAATTGCTCATTTGTTACCACCCATGCTTCATTTTTTCATTATCTCATCCTATCACCTGAGGGAACAACAGTAAATTCCTCCAAAGTGAAGGCGATGGGGTCTCTCACACTCTCATTAATGTCCATATTGCTGAGCAGTTCCCCAAAACTTAAAGTGTTTCTTTTAAACAACTATTCCTGCCCGCCTATGGACACGGTGGCTTGTTTCAGAGTTTCTTTCCAGAACAACCATTCCTTGAGCAAAGAGTAAATCAAAGACCAACTCACCTTGTTTTTCCTCAGGATAATCTTGCTGGAAAACTTCGAAAGCGGGGGTCGCGGAACCACTGGCCTGTCTCAAGGCACCCAGTCCCAGCGCAGCCCCCGCCGCAGGGCCGCCCGTGGACTGTGGATTCTCGGCTCTGCCGCCGCCCCCGGATGCCCGACCACCGGGGGGCCAGGAGAGCCCCGAGCACAGGAGCCTCTGTAGCCCCCGGGCTTCGCTCTCCTCCTGCGCCTGCTGCCTGCGCAGCGCCACCTGGGCGGCCATGACGCGCTGGCGCTCGGCGATCAGGGTGCACTTGGCACACGCGCAGTCCCGCCAGCGGCAGAAGCGCTTGTGGCCCTTGAGCGCTGACACCACACCATGGTTACGACAGCGGGCGCACTTGGGCGTCCGCGGGTAGCCGCAGCCCACCGCGCCTACCCCGCTCTCCAGCCCGGGAGCCGGCGGGCAGCCTCCGCTTCCCGAGGTGGCGGCAGCGGCGGCGGCGGCCGCGGCCGCTGCTCGCAGAAAGAGGCTGGGCGGCCGCAGGAACGCTGGGGGAACCTGCATCCCCGATGGTACCGGCAACGCCGGGGACGGGGGCGGAGGGGCAGCCACCACTAGCCCAGGGGCCAAGTGAGGTCGGCCGCTAACGCCTCGGTCTCTGCTGCCACACTGTGACCGCTCCATTCCCGAGAAATTTCTGGCCGGGAGTCCCAAGTGGAAAGTGCGCTGACCGCAGCTAACCCTGCTGGGAGGCTGGGGAAGCCGGGGCAGGACGCGCCGTGGTCCTACTGAGCTCCACCCGCGCACGGACAAAAGTTTTACACTCTTTCCACTCGGAAGGAGTTGGGACGACCGCGTCCTGGAGCTGGAGACGCTGAGAGGTGCAGCTGTCCCGTGAGCCTGGCAGAGACCCCGGGCGCTAAGTTAATGCCTTTGTGCCTCCAGCCAAGAAGGCAAGGCTAGAGAGGCTACCCCGCCCACCCAGGCTCCCGGCCCAGCGCGGAAGCCGGGGGAGGGCCCGGGGCGGGGAGTGGGGACCTTCTGGGAGGAGGGCGGCGGGGAATCCGTCCAATGGGCTGCAAATGTCTCCTCCCCCAAAAAAAGCCCGTTTCTACTTGCTTCCCTAGGAGTTCTCGACGTCTATTTTTGTAAACTAGCCTTTGCAGCCTCCCCTTTTACTGCCCTTTTGAAATTAAGCAGAGTTTGAATTTCTCCTTTTCCCACTTCCACGCTTCTCCTAAGAAAGTCTGAAGATTTGGATTTTGAGTTCTCCTTTCGGGTTCCCAGATGAAGTCTTCATGTCTGCAGCAGTTTGGCCAATGTTAGTGGGATCCCAGCTTGATAGACTACGAATTTGTTACCCACCAGAAAGATGCCTTATTTTAAATGGGTCTTAGGACAGCATCAAAACAATGGATAAATAACTAAGGGAAGTGATTCACATTCAGATTCTTTTCATGCATTCTATTTATTTACACATGCGAATTTGGGTTGTGTGTACTCTATTTTAAAATACTGCTACTTTAAAAAAGTTATCAAACTCTTCTCTGCGCCTATTTATAGGCAGCGATTGTGTTAAAGCTGTTTCAAAAATACTTATGTCTATTGTAAAGTATTGGGGAAAGTCGTTTAGATCATTATTTAAATATGCTGTCATGAATGCATTCTTCACATATGAATTTAATGCCTTTAATTATAAGAAAAGACCATAAGGCGTTTAAGTCAAAAGAGCATCTGAGATAGAAAATTCATGAATGTTTATTCTTAATGGAAGGTAGCGTCAGCACTCTGCCAGCTCTTCAAGATGGTATCCAACTACCTTGGACAAGTTATTCATTTTCCATCCCTAAGATAGCAATTAATAATGATATTTTTACCATTCCACCTGTTCACATTCAGAGCAGATATTGCTGATCTATCTGGCCTTTCTCCTACCAACCTACTCAACACCATCACCACCACTACCATCCTCTCATACAAACATCCTATCGTAGAAGTTTTCCACCCTTCCTAAGAACTGGAACTACCTAGGGAACTTTTAAAAGAGATGGACACTCCAATCTACGTAATGTATTCTGATTCTTTTTGTCTGTGTCTTAAACTCTGAAGGTGAAAATTACATACAATGTTTAGAACTACCACTCAAGGAATTCCTAACCTCTGGGGGTTCTATGATATCCAACCTTTCTCACAACTCTTTATCTTTGTTCAAGCTACTCCTGCCTAAAATGTACTGATGCCCTAACTGTGGACTCACATCCGTCCTTTGAGAGATGAGTTTTTAGTTCTAAATGGATCATTAAAATACAATGAATTACCTAACGAGAAAGCAATTTTCTTTTCTATTCTTTTTAGGAGCTTCAGGTTACATAATGGGAATGTTCAGCTTAATGCAAATATGTCTTTTAAATTTTTAAAATACCTTTTAATTGTGTTTTTCAATAACAACAACAAAGAGCAGCAAGTAAAATGTTTACCTAGAGTTTAGCGATATTTTTCTGTTTTTATTTGATTTTTAAAGTTATCTTATAATTATGGAAAGTGATATTGGTTTTCCTCCAAGGAAGTAAAAATAGTTTTTAAATAAATGTATTTAAGTTAAATATTTGTCAATTTAAATGAAGAATTATGCAGATAATGCATACATCGCCAAAAAATTGAGGTCTGGAAAACATTGTCTTGGTGGTTTTGGAGTCAAAAAGTGTTGCTCTCAAATTCTGGATCCACTTTTAGTAAGTTACTTTATCTCACTCTGTCCTCAATTTTCTCATTTGTAAAATGAGAATAATCATATGGTTACTTGAGGATTAAACGAGATAACTTACCTAAATCATAATGTATATAATAAAATGCATATTTTACTGTTCCTAACACCTAGGTTCTCGATATATATTACTTTTCTTAATAAAAGAGTTTTAAATATTAATATTTAGGAATGATATTTCAAGTGCTAAATGAGAATTTTATTATATTTTAGAAGAACTTCTTTGTCTTAAATGAACTCAAAAACCAGACTTGTTATACATTCAGTCAAATATAGAAGAAAGGTATCCAAAATTGTTGGTGAACCAAAATTAGATTGGTATTAAAAATGTAACCATTTTCATAGTAAGTATCCCATCTTGGAATTTGTGTGATTGGCCTACGTGGTGACAGTGCTTTCAGGAGAAAAGATTATTGGCCAGGAAATCAAGAGAGATGGGTTCAAATAAGCAGTGTATCTGACAGAAGATAAGGGCACTTCCAATGACCAGATTTGTGGTGTTGAAAAGTAACTCTATCTTTTTGGTCTCGGTTACTCAGTTGCAAAATGAAACAGTTGGGTTAAATAATTTCTAAGATTATTTAAACTTTAATGATTTATGACTTTAATACAGGCATGTCTAATACAAGATCATTGTGTTTCTGATATACTAGCAATGGAAAATCTGAAATGAAATGAAAAAAAAAAATATTTCACCCTAACACTGAAGTAGCTCTCTATTACTATAAGACAAAATAGATTTCAGAGCAAGTAATATTACTAGGGATAATATTTACTTCATGAAAATACCATTATTCTAAATACGTATGCACCTAATAACATTGCCTCAAAATACAAGAAACAAAAACAACTGTAAAAAGAAATAGATATATCCACAATTATGGTCAGATTTCAACATCCTCCTTCAATAATTGATAGTATAGGCAGAAAACCAGTAAAGATATAGACAATTTGAGCCACACTGTCAACAGATAGATCCAGTGAAATATATACAGCATTCAAGTCAACAACTACAGAATGCTTGTCTTTTTGAAGTGCATATGGAACATTTACCAATCAATCAAATTCGGGACCATAAAAGCAAGGATGAATAAAAGGATTCAAATTGTATGAAGTATGCTTTTTGACCACAATGGAATTGAAACAGAAATCAATAAAAGAAATAAATCAAGAAAAGTCCTAAAGTGTGTGGAAATTAATAACACATTTTAAAATAACCCATATTAAAAGGAGAAATATAAAGGAAAATGGTATTTAAACTGAGTAAAAATGAAAATACAACATATCAAAATTTGTGGGATGCAGTTAAAACCATACTTTGGGGAGTCATTTATATCACTAAACACCTATATTATTAATAAGAAATCTCAAACCAATGACCTCAGTTTCCAACTTGGGAAACTAGAAGTGGAGCATTAAATTCAACCAAAATAAGTAGCAAAAGGGAAATAATTAAAAACTGAAGAGAAAGTAATGAAACAACCCAAGAAAATAATTAAAAATAAAATGTAGCCAAAAATTGATTCTTTGAAAAGATCAATAAAACTGATCTCTACACTAATCAAGAAATGTAAGGAATAAAACACGTGAAAGAACTACAGATTATATAGAAAATAAAAGAGAAATATTATAGACAACTTTATGCTATTAAATTCAATAACTTAGATAAAACAAACCAATTCATTAAAAAAGCACAGTTGCCTAAGAAGAAATACATAACCTGAAGCCCTTTATCCAATAAATTGACATAGCTTAAAACATTCTGAGAAAGAAAACTCAAGAATCAGATGTCTGCACTAGTGAATTTTACCAGATGTTTAAGGGAGAAATAGTATCAATTATACACAACCTTCTGCTAAAAATTTCTTAAATCCTGGAATATTTACTGGTTCTTCCTATAACGCTAACATTACCCTGAAAACAAAATAAGACTAACATCACATTTTTTATAAAAGTTACAAATATCCCTCATCTATTTCTGATTTAAAAAAAAAACTCCCAGCAAACTAAGAATAGAAAGGACTTCCTCAACCTACATAACCTATACATTTAAAAAATAGAACAAACAGCACTTTTAATGGTGAATGACTAAAACCATTCTTCCTAAGATCAGAAACAATACAAGGATGTTCACTCTGACCACTTCAATTCAACAATATACTGGAAATTCTGTCTAATGCAATCAGGCAAGAGAAATTAGTTAGACATTCAAATTGGAAAGAATGGTGTAAAACTCTTCATTTGCAGGTGACATCTACTTATAAAATCCTATGAAAACAGAAAAAAAGCTGCTAGAACTAAGAAGTAATTTTTGTAAGACCACAAGACATAAGATCAGTATAAAAAAATCAGCTATATTTCTATAAACTGAAATAAAACCAGACAATCACGAACTGAATTTAGTAAACAAACCTATTCACAGTGGCATTCAAAATACAAAATGCTTAGGGATACATCTGATAAATATGAAGCACTGAAAACTAAAAAGTTTATTGACAGAAATTAAAGATTTAAACAGATGGAGACATATACCATGTTCATGGGTCAGAAGACTCAACATTTTTAAAATGATAATCCTCACTAAATTGATCTATAAATTGATGCAATCCCAATCAAAATTTTCATTTTTAAAATATACATGGTCAAACTCATAAAATTCATATGGAAATGCAAAGACCTATAATGGCCAAAACATCTCTGAAAAAGAATAAAGTCACAAGGTTAACATTACCTTTTTTCAATAATTATTACAAAGTTATAGTAATCAAAACAATGGAATATTGGTGTAAGCATAGAAAAATCAACCATTGTGGTAGAAGAAAGAGTTTAGAAAGAGAAACACACATAAACATACAGCTCATTCCAGACAAAAGTGGAAAGACAACTTAGTGAAGAAAGGATAATTTTTTCCCAACAAATGTTGCTAGAACAATTGGATTTCTGTATGCAAAACAAAACTAAATAAAAAAAACTTTGATCCATACTTCTCACCACATAAAAATTAGCTCAAAATGGTTTATAGACCTAAATATAAGTAATAAAACCATAAAACATAGAGCACTTTTGTGACATTGGGTTATGCAAAGATTTCTTAGATACAACACCAAAAGTATGGTCCATGTGTGTCCAGAATTGGTGGGTTCTTGGTCTTGCTGACTTCAAGAATGAAGTTGCGGACCCTCGTGGTGAGTGTTACAGTTCTTAAAGATGGTGTGTCCAGAGTTTATTCCTTCAGATGTTCAGATGTGTCCAGAGTTTCTTCCTTCTGGTGGGTTCGTAGTCTCACTGACTTCAGGAGTGAAGCTGCAGACCTTCACTGTGAGTGTTACAGCTCTTAAAGGTGGCGTGGACCCAAAGAGTGAGCAGCAGCAAGATTTATTGCGAAGAGTGAAAGAACAAAGCTTCCACAGCGTGGAAGGGGACCTGAATGGGTTGCCACTACTGGCTCGCATGGCCTGCTTTTATTCCCTTATCTGGCCCCACCCACATCCTACTGATTGGTCCATTTTACAGAGAGCTGATTGGACCATTTTACAGAGAGCTGATAGATCCATTTTACAGAGAGCTGATTGGTCCGTTTTGACAGAGTGCTGATTGGTGCATTTACAATCCTTTAGTTAGACACAAAAGTTCTCCAAGTCCCTTACCCAATTAGCTAGACACAGAGTGCTGATTGGTGCATTTACAATCCTTTAGCTAGACAGAAAAGTTCTCCAAGTCCCCACCCGACCCAGAAGCCCAGCTGGCTTCACCTCTCAATGGCACTCGCCACGGGACTTTGTGGCACCTAGCCTGGACACTCCGGCACCCCAGAGGGAGCTCATCCCCCAATCAAGCCCAGCAGTTGCCAGCTGGCCATGCCAACTGCAGGGCCTGCCCAGCCTGCACCCACCCAAAACCTGCGCTGGCCAGCGAGCACCACACATGCAGCCCCGGCTCCCGCCCGCACCTCTCCCTCCACACCTCCCCGTGAACAGAGGGAGCCAGCTCCGGCCTCGGCCAGCCCCAGAGAGGGGCCCCCACAGTGCAGCGGCAGGCTGAAGGGCTCGTTGAGCATGGCCAGAGCAGACGCCAAGGCCAAGGAGGTGCTGAGAGCAAGCGAAGGCTGCTAGTACGTTGTCACCTCTCAATCCCCACTGTAAATAGAACACCCCAACTGCTGTTGGGAATTTGGCCAATGACTGCTCTAGCTACTTCCTGCTGGATAGAGGCAACGAAGGGGCCCTGCAGTTGTAGTGTCCTCCAGAGGGGAACTCTTTAGGCCAGTGCAAGGACCAGTGGGTCGGTCCAGGGGTCCTTGATAGAAGTTGTTAGCTGAGCTCATTTGGGGTTCCATTTGTAAGACCATCTGTAGCTTGATGGCCTCGATTCTGGATGAAACAAATTTGACAAGAAGGTTAAAAATACAGGATCCAAAGCTGAGCAACAGCAAGATGGCTGCCACAGGACCTAGAAAGGGGAGAAGCCATGTTGCCCAAATCCAGAGGTTGGTATAAGAGTTTGAAAGGCATTGTCTGATTTGAGAAGCTTTTCCTGTAGGAAACCTGATGGGTTAAGGATTTTTGATAGGAAGGCTACGGGTTGTCAGTGGCCTCAGTGCTTTTGGGCTATGCCCTTGTTTGCACTGACAACAAGGTGGTATTGGAGTGTTATAGGGTCATGGAGAAGACCTCTGATTATCAATTATAGGTTTTAAATTTACCCTGGCTTCTAAAGGAATAGGGTACACTGTTTTTTCTTTACTACTTCCATCTCTCTTTCTTTCTCTTCAACTTCTCCTTTGTCTCTCTCTTTCTCTCTTTCTGACTCCCTCTTTGTCTGTCTTTTACTCTTTCTCCTTTCTTTTTTTTGTCTCTCTCACTCTTTCCTTTCTGTCTCCTTCTCTTTGACTTTCTATCTCTTTCTCTTTCTCTCTCGCTTCCTCTCTCTCTGACTTTCTGTCTCTTTCTCTCTTTCCTTCTTTGACTTTGTCTCTCTCTTTCTCTCTGCTGGTCTTTCTCTGCCTCTGCCAGCTGCTTATGCTGCTGTTCTCCCCTCTCCTTCCCCTTTTTGATGGCTTCGGTAGTGTAAGACTGCCACTTCTTTGGGTTTTTGCACTGCATGCAATAACTCCATGATTTCCTTGTGGCATTTAATGGGGATTCCCCCAGAGGTTAGGAACTCCCTTTCTTTCCATATTGCAGCATGGGCATGTAGGATTAGATAAGCATACTTGCTATCTGTATACACATTTATTCTTTTTACCTTTCCCAGTTCTAAGGCTCAGGTAAGTACCACTAGTTCTGCTAACTGGGCACTGGTCCCTGGGGCAAGAGGCTTACTTTCAAGTATGGTTACATCACTAACTATGGCATAACTGCCCTTTGTATCCCATTCTCCACAAATGAACTTCCATTGGTATATAGGTTAAGGTCAGGATTAGCTAAGGTGACTTCTAAGAGATCATCTCGGGTGGCATAATTCTGGACTATAATTTGTTGTCAGTCATGCTCAATTGGTTCCCCATTCTCTGGGAGAAAAATGGCAGGGTTGAGGGCCACACACATATGTATTTGAAGCACCAGTCCCTCAAGTAGTAGCTCCTGGTATCTCAGTAGTCGGTTATCTGATAGCCATAAACTTCCTTTGGCACCTAATATGCCATTTACATCATGAGTAGTCCAGACAGTGAGATCCTTTCCTTGTATTATCTTGATAGCCTCTGACACTAAGACGGCCACCACCGCAACTACCCATAAACAGTGAGGCCAGCCTTTTGCTACTACATTAATTTCCTTACTTAGGTATGCTACTGGTTGTGGGGTTGTCCCATGAGTCTGAATAAGGACTCCAAGAGCTATCCCTGCTTTCTCTGTGACGTATAAAGAGAAGTTTTGTCCTGTGGGAAGGCTTAAATCTGGAGCTTGTACTAGGGCCTGCTTTAAGGTTTTGAAGGCTATTTCTGCCTCTCATTCCCATTCTACTAGATGAGTATTTGCTCTCTGGGTCTCCTTGATTAGAGTATAGAGGGGCCTGGCTATCTTGCTGTATCTGGGGATCCATAGTTGGCAAAAGCCCATGATTCCAAGGAACTCCCGCAACTGTTTTAACGTCTTAGGGCAAGGATAAGCCAGTATGGGCTGTATTTTTTCCTTGCTGAGGGCCCTGGTCCCTCTGGCTAAGATTAGGCCTAGATATTTGACCTGCTATAGGCAAAGCTGGGCCTTCCACCTAGACACCTTGTACCTTTGATTAGCTAGAAAGCTCAAGAGATCTAGTGTAGCCGGCTGGTACGAGGCTTCCAAACTGGTAGCCAAAAGTAAATCATCCACATACTGAAGGACCAGAGTGCCTGGACATGAGAAGTGGCCTAGATCTCGGGCCAGTGCCTGACCAAACAGGTGAGGGCTATCCCTAAATGCTTGGGGCAAGACCATCCACGTAAGTTGGGAGGTGTGGTCTCTGGGATCCTCAAAGGCAAAGAGAAACTGGGAGTCAGAGTGCAGGGGAATACAGAAGGAGGCATCCTTGAGGTCCAGAAGAGTGAACCATTCTGCTTCCTCTGGTAGTTGAGAGAGCAAGGTATAGGGGTTGGGTACAACTGGATATAGAGGAATTATTGCCTCATTGATGAGTCTAAGATCTTGCACTAGACTCCAATGACCATTCAGTTTTTGTACCTCTAGAATTGGGGTGTTGCAGGGACTGCTGCATTTCCTTACTAAGCCTTGAACTTTTAAATGTTTAACAATATCCTGTAATCCTTTATGAGCTTCAGGCCTTAAGAGATATTGCCTTTGATAAGGAAAAGTAGTGGGGTCTTTTAGCCTGATTTGGACTGGGCAGGCATTTTTTGCCCTTCCAAATTGTCCTTCCAATGCCCAGACTTCAGGGTTGATTCCCTCTTCAAGTAGGGGACAACAAATGGGTAACTTGTTCCCCATATTCATGTAGATAATAGCTCCAGTCTTGGCTAATACATCTCTCCCTAATAAGGGTGTGGGACTTTCAGGCATAACAAGAAAGGCACGTGAAAAGAGCAAAGTCTCACAATTACAACTGAGGAGGTGGGAGAAACACCTGGTTACAGGCTGTCCCAGGATTTCTCGGATGGTAACAGACCTTGAGGACAGTCGTCCAGGACAGGAGATTAACACTGAGAAGGCCACACCAGTGTCCAGGAGGAAGTCAATTTCCTGGCCCTCAATGGTTAAACGTACCTGGGGCTCAGTGAGGGTGATGACATGACCTGGCACTTGCCCTGGGCACCCTCAATCCTGTTGTTGGATCATCTGGTTGGGGACTTCTGACCCAGAGAACCTTTGTCCTCTGGGGCAGTGCACCTTCCAGTGATTGCCTCAGCATAGCGGACATGAACGAGGGGGCAGCTTGTTTCTCATTGGACAATCTTTTTTAAAGTGTCCTTGTAAACCACACTGATAACAAGCCCTGCCGGGTGATTGGCCTGCTCCATTTTCTGTCCTCTCTGAACTACCAAGGTTTGTTTGTCTGAGGGCCATGAGTAAAGCTGCGGCCTTTCTCTGATCTTGCTTTTCCTTTTGGGCCTGTTCCTCTTCGTCCGTATTATAGAACACCAAGGTTGCCAGGTTTAATAATGCCTCCAAATTTTGTTCAGGGCCCAGGGCTTGCTTTTGGAGCTTTCTCCTGATATCTGCAACTGATTGTGTAATAAACTTATCTTTTAGGATCAATTGACCCTCGAGTGATTCAGGTGACAGGGGAGTATATTTTCTTAAGGCCTCCCCATAGCCGCTCAAGGAAGGCAGAAGGATTTTCTTCCTTTCCCTGAGTTATGGTGGACATCATTGAATAATTCATGGACTTTTTCCTAATTCTCCTTAGTTCTTCTAGAACACAGGTCAACAGATGTTTACGACTCCAGTCCCCATGATCTGAGTCAAGGTCCCAGTGGGGATCCATACTGGGGACGGCTTGCTGACCAGTGGGGAATTTGTCCCTTTCTTCGGCTGTCATTCTATCATTTACTAGACTAAGATACCAGGTATCTCCAAACTCTCGGGCTGCAGCTAAAGCCGCATTCTTTTCATTAAAGGCCAGGATTTGATCTAACAGTAGTATGACATCTCTCCAAGTGAGGTCAAAGGTTTGCCCTAGACCCTGTAGGACATCTATGTACCTATCAGGATCATCTGAAAACTTGCCCAGGTCTGCCTTGATCTGCTTTAAATCTGAGAGGGAGAAGGGGACATGTATCCGGGTTGGGCCAAATTCCCCTCCCCCTACAGCTTGAAGGGGACATAACCAATAGCCTGGGGGGTTTTGTGGTCCTTTGGAGATTTCTTTGCTTATTTCCTTCTGGGCAGGAGAGATTAGAGGAGGCTTATGATTAATAGGAAGGGGACCTATAGGGAGGCTAGGATATGGGGGTAAGCTGAAATATCCTCCTGTGGGATGTAAACTGCAAGCTTTGCATAGTTGTGTATTCTCCTTCAATGAAAAGAAAGCTTGGACATAAGGTATTTCACTCCATTTGCCTTCCCTCTTACAGAAAAGGTCAAGCTGCAGGATAGTATTGTAATTTGTACTTCCCTCATGTGGCCATTTTTCCCCATCAGAGACAGAATATTGGGGCCAGGCCATAGCGCATAAAAAATGAGCTGCCTCTTTTTCAGGGTTTATGGGTCAAATTGGTCCCAAAGGCTTAGGATGCATTTCAAGGGTGAGCCTGTTGATACCTGAGTGTTTCCCATCTGAAAGACAAAACCGTCCACGGTTTTGGTTTGTTTTTTTCTCCCTCTGCCCAAGAACCCGTAACAGTCCCTGGACCCTGCTGATCGGAAGAGTCGCGCTCACTGACGCAGCAGCAGAAACACTAGTTTTCCTCCCAGACCACAAGGAGGACAGAGGAAGGTGGGATTTAGTGGCCCTTACTGATGCATTCTCAGAAACCTGCACCCTTGCCTGTCCTCCTAGACCACAAAGAGGACCGAGAAAAATCAGATTTAGTGGCCCTTACCGACACATTCTCAAAAACCTGCACCCTTGCCTGTCCTCCTAGACCACAAAGAGGACCGAGAAAACTCGGATTTAGTGGCCCTTACCGACGCATTCTCGAAAACCTGTTAGAGTCCTAAGCATTCTCCTGTTAGTATTGGGACCTTACCCATGTCCTATAAAGATGTTATGCCCCAAAAATGAAGTGGAGGGCCATACCCTGAGAGAGGGAAGGGATCTCCAGAGTTGGAAGAGTGATGCCTTTTGTCCTCACTTATTTGAATAGAAAGGATACAATTTCTGAGGCTCCCCCTATCCTAGCTTCAGGAATAGTTTTGTTACGCCTGCTAGTCTGAGGAGGGATCCTAAAATTCCAGATAGTCCCCCCTACAATGGGGCTTTGGGCAAAAGTTATGTCTTTCTGATTGGTGAGCCTGGGTGCCTAAAGAAGGTAACAGAGTCCTGAAGTTTATACTAGAAATCATTCTTATAGGAGAAACTAAAAAAGCACCAGAGACAGGAGTAGTTTTTAGAAGCAGGGCTAGCCTCAGAGAAGAGAGGCAAGAGGCTGGCATTAGGACCCAGGGGGCAAGGGTCAGGATAGATAGGATAGATGGGCAACTCTCACTTGGGCGACATGCCTTTGAGAGTTCTGCTCATGGCCACAGGGTCAACCAACTTGTTGTCGGGAGCCCAGAGCTGAATGGCTTTCCTCTCTGTCAACCCTCGGCTCAGCCCAGAAGTACAGGAAAAGTGGAAGCTGGTTCCAGGCAAACCAATACTCCCAACTCCGAAGAGTTAGGGGTTGTTAGAGAACCCTTTCCCAGAAAGCCTCACACCCGTGTCTTTATTCCGGCAGCAGTGCTAGTTGCTTTTAACTGGCCAACAGGTGCCCGGTATTTAGCCCCCGAATTCTAAGGAAAAATAGGACAGAATAGCAAGCAAAAGGGATCTGATGGTACTCATCGCTTGGCAATAGGCGATGGTCTCACCGACAAGCAATAGGCGATAGTCTCACCACTTGGCGATAGGCAATAATCCCTTCGTGGTCGCCAAAATGTGTCCAGAATTGGTGGGTTCTTGGTCTCGCTGACTTCAAGAATGAAGCCGTGGACCCTCGTGGTGACTCTTACAGTTCTTAAAGATGGTGTGTGCGGAGTTCGTTTCTTCAGAAGTTCAGATGTGTCCGGAGTTTCTTCCTTCTGGTGGGTTCGTGGTCTCACTGACTTCAGGAGTGAAGCCGCAGACCTTTGCGGTGAGTGTTACAGCTCTTAGAGGCGGCACGTCCAGAGTTGTTCATTCTTCCCACTGCGTTCGAGGTCTCACTGGCTTCAGGAGTGAAGCTGCAGACCTTTGAGGTGAGTGTTACAGTTCATAAAGGTGGCACGTCCGGAATTGTTCCTTCCTCCCATCCAGAGTTGTTCATTCCTGCTGGTGTGTTCATAGTCTTGCTGGCTTCAGGAGTGAAGCTGCAGACCTTCACAGTGAGTGTTACAGTGCTTAAAGGCAGCAGGGACCCAAAGAGTGAGCAGCAGCAAGATTTATTGTGAAGAGCGAAAGAACAAAGCTTCCACAGTGTGGAAGGGGACCCGAGCAGGTTGCTGCTGCTGGCTCTGGTGGCCTGTTTTTATTCCCTTATCTGGCCTCACCCACATCCTGCTGATTGGTCCATTTTACAGAGAGCTGATTGGTCCATTTTACAGAGAGCTGATGGGTCTGTTTTGACAGAGTGCTAACTGGTGCGTTTACAAACCTTTAGCTAGACACAGAGTGCTGATTGGTGTGTTTACAATCTTTTAGTGAGACACAAAAGTTCTCCAAATCCCCTACCCAATTAGCTAGACACAGAGTGCTGATTGGTGTGTTTACAAACTTTTAGCTAGGCACAGAGTGCTGATTGGTGCATTTACAATCCTTTAGCTAGACAGAAAAGTTCTCCAAGTCCCCACCCAACCCAGAAGCCCAGCCAGCTTCACCTCTCAATGGCACTTGCAGCGGGACTTTGCAGCACCTAGCCTGGGCACTCCGGCAGCCCAGAGGGAGCTCATCCCCCAATCAAGCCCAGCAGGCACTGGCAGGCCACGCCAAGTGTGGGGCCACTGAGCCCGCACCCACCGGAATCCCGCGCACGCAGTCCCACCTCCCGCCCATGCCTCTCCCTCCACACCTCCCCGCGAACAGAGGGAGCTGGCTTCGGCCTGGGCCAGCCCCAGAGAGGGGCCCCCACAGCGCAGCAGCAGGCTGAAGGGCTCCTTGAGCATGGCCAGAGCAGATGCCAAGTCCAAGGAGGCGCCGAGAGTGAATAAGGGCTGCTAGGACACTGTCACCTCTCACATAATTTTGGAGTATATAAAAGAACAACTAATAAATTGTGCTTCATCAAAATTAAATATTTTTCTTCTTCAAAAGACTCTGTTAAGATAATTAAAAGTCATGCCATAGACTGGAAGAAAATAGAGGAAACACATATATCTGATAAAGAACTTATACACAGAATATACAAAGAACATTCAAAACTTGATAGGAAAAGCAATCCTTTCAGTGGGCAAAATATTTGGATAAACATGTCATCAGGGAAGATATATGGATAGAAAATAAGCACAAGAAAATATTCTACACACCATTAGTAATGAGGGAAATGCACATTAAACCAAACATGAAATACTACCGTATACATATCACAATGACTACAATTAAAAAGATTGATCATACCAAGTATTGACAAGGACATGAAGCAGCTGGGACTTTTATACACTGCTGGTAGAAATGTAAAATAGTACAACCACCTTGAAAAATAGATGAACAGTTTCTTAAAAAGTTAAATATCATCTACCATATGATCCAACCGTTACATTCCTAGTTATCTACCCAAAAGAAACAATCAAATGTCCATACAAAGACATTGACATTTTAAAGTAGTTTTATTTGTACAGCTGCAAATTGGAAAACATCAATCATCAACACATGAATAGACTAACAAACTGTGATGTATCCATATTATAGAAAACCTTGAGAAGACGAACATGAACCTAGTCAGAAACAAAGTATACCTGTGTTACATAATTGAGTGTGAAAAAACACAATATATCACAAGAAATTAGCCAAGAAGGCAAGTGACAGAAGATGAAAAGAAAAAAGATCATAGAATATCCTCAGCTAAACTATTGGTAAGAGAAAGGTAAAGTGTATATGCAGTTTTGGAGGGAATTTTGAATTCTATTTCTCTTTTCCTGGGATACTTCAATGCATTTGAGCATTATCATGGATGGGAGGCCACAGTCTGCTGGACGACAGGAATTTCAGCCCTTGGACTGTAGGTCATTAAATGGCTAGGCACCTCAGGTCTGAGCAGAAATCGGCCTCCTCTGGGATATTATTCTTTCCTGGAGTATTTTTGGGAAAGGGATGGACATGTTTGGTGATATATATATAACTGGCCAAGAAATATCACTCTAAGAACCGATTCCTACCAGTACTTACATCCCCCTGGGGATACCATGAGGCTGGGGAGAGATAATTCATTACACCAAAGCTTCAACTAACCACAGTATTGTGGCTCTTAGGAAATAAGACATCCTGAGAGGACATAATCTCTGATTCCTTGCTCTGGGATAGCTGGAAACCAGTTGGATGCTATAGACATTGTTCCCCCACTTTCAGGGGGATACAAATTGTGAAACAGAATAGAATGTGTTCTGTTTTGTTGCTTTACAAGCTCTTTCACACAAGTTGAAGATGCTTACTTGGAATCATAAATAACTAAGAAATACATAAGTGGAGATGTATCCTTTTTTATATGTTTTTTTTCTAAATTCCTAGTACATAGTAAATGCTCAATATGTCTTTGAAAACAAAGAATGGATGTCACAGGACTTACATTTAAGTTGGCTGAATAGGCATTAACATCACATTGCTTTGCCTTTATGTTATAAAAACGGTTGAGAAGTAATTTCCAGCACACTAAAAACTAATCTTTTCCTGTTTTTCAACCTTGAGTTTTATATAAGTTGGAGTGTAATTTCTTTTTTAAGCATGGTTTATTGTTTACTTTATTTTACAACTTTCATTAATGTTAAATCAAAGTATTTTATGTTTTTCTTGTAGGAAAAATCTTACAAAACTCCACAGTTCATGCCAATGAATGCATTTCAGTATTTTTCAAAATGTTTAGATACAAACACATATAGTTGCTTATGAATATGATGGATTAATGTGTTAGTGTATTTACTTCTACATTTTTTCTTCATATAAAAAGTTATGATAATATTGTTTATATATAATACATTTAACTTAATTTTGTGACACAAAGATTTCTCATTTTAACAGATTTTGCAAATGTCAACTTTAATAGCTATGTAATTTTCCATTATTTCGTCATAGGACAATTACTTAATTCTTCTAGTTTTAGACATTCATAGTTTCATCTTCTCTCAGTTGTAAATAATGAGATGAACATATAAGCATAAAGCACTTTCTGTATTTCATATTACCTCCTTAGAATAAATCGCTATACATACAAGTACTGAATTAAATGTTGTAAATACTTTTAAAGCTTTTGATTATGTTCTTGGCTTTTTTTTTCTAACAAGGCTGTATGAATTTGAATTCTAATACACAGCTCATTTCATCATCATCCCACGTATTTTTTCTTTTTCTCTTAAGTGGCAGTGTTTTTTCTTAGTAGGAAACCAATTCTGCCTTCTAAAATAATAGCGATAACCCAAAACTCCATAAGGAAAATAATTCTATAACACCTCAGTTCATAGAAAGATAATCACCATTTTGCAAATTTCTGGTTAAGTATGACTGGGGGGAATTGAAGCAAAGCATAGCAAAAGCTCCAATCATTGTAACGTACCCTGCCTGATCCTTCTTTGAGTAAATTACACAGACTATTGTGAATGTGATGATTTAAGCAGTTCTTTATAAAGGAGTGTTGCTGATTTAAAGACTATAACAAGAAACCTTGGTGCCATTGTGGTTAATTGTATATCTACATGTTCAAAAGCTATGCTCTTTATTTAGCTTCTTTGACCTAATGGGGCTAACTCTACCATGTAAATAGGGCTCAGAACTTTGAAACTCTTGTTTTTTGTTTTTGTTTTTTTTAACTCATAGGATATTTAAAGTAAATCCATGCTTAGGGATTGAGATAATCATTGTGATTTGTCTTACACTGAGTAGAACCCACCTTCATAAATTAATGTATGTGAAACATTTCCTCACAATTCAGTCCTTAGACAGCAATACAGTTTCATTCAGAAAGTATGTGAAAGCTCTCTATGTTGCTATTAGAAGTTATAGCAGAATAAATAAGCACATATTAAATACTGAAGCATGTTAGTAAGAAATTTAATTAAACATTGCATCCTAGGTGAATTAGTTAAGAAAAAAACTATAGACAACCAAAAAACTTCTCTCATAAAATGTTACCATCCTAAAGAATCTTCTGAATATGACAGACATCTCTTTCTAATTATTATAGCTACTTTATAAGAGCTGCTTATTATGTTTCATGCTCTGTGGTTAGGGCTTTAGATACATTATGTCATTTAATCTTCACAGTCACCTTATTGAAGCCAATTATATTATCCTAATTTTACAAATAAGAAAACAGATTTTCAGAGTACAAATCCCCAAGGTAGTCTAATATTAAAACTCTTACTAAACTCCTGATTCTCCCCAGAAATCAGGGCAACTACCTCTGTAATACAGACTCACAAAGGAATCTGTTAGGTAGAGTTCTTCATAGCAGAGTTATGCAGAAAAGGCACTTACTGGCTGACTCATTAGCAACCCAAAAACGCATCTATTCTTTCAGCTAACAACAGTCTCAATTTAAAAAGAATGTATGAAGTTTTAAAAAGGATTTAAAAACTTCAAAACTCCATACTTTACATGTCTCATCTTAGCAAACTTTAATGATGGCATTCTTATTCCACCTTTCTCTTTCTTTCCCACACACCCCTATAAATAGCAGTAAAACAGAAGTGAAACTTCTTGTTGATACTTTTACCACTGGAAATTTGAAACATGCTTTCCTTTTACTCTCCAGAGTAACCAAATTCAGGTTAGATACCTTTCACTCCCTTCAAAACCTGATATTGGATTCAATGGTTGGTTTTCCCTCTCAAGGTAATTGTGGTGAGACCCTGCCATTAGGCATTAGAAAAATACTTAAAGGCTTTCATAAAATAAATAATTGCAAAAAAACAGTTCATAAATGCCCATTTTGGAAACCAAATTGTTTAGCTTAAAGCAAAAGATATATTTTAATGTTAGGTCCTACTATATTCCACTGACTGAACACAAACAAGATGTACAAATCAATTCCTTAAATATCTCCAATCCCTATTTCTTCAGAAGGAATTGCTATAGGAACTAAAAAGATAATTTTGCTCATTTTTGTTGTAAAATATGATGAAACTGACTTTCAAAGATATTATACATTTCTGTCATTTGTTTTTATCTTTTGCCCTGCCAGAGTCTGTCTTCTGGAGCTTTTCTTAGAAGTGTCCCAATTAAAAATCCATGTGAGTAAAAAATGGCTTTCATTCACAACAAGGATTCTAAATAAGAGGTAAATTTGGTAAACCAGTTCCTTCCTGGCTCCTTGCCATTCACATCTTTTGGTTTTGAAATTCATTTCTTTGTGAGCGTAAGGTGGTTGTTATGAGGTGTTGTCAAGCCTCTGACAGGGTTATTGTGCATGGTAGAAGGTGGTAGTTTTTGATCAATGTCTTCAAAGTCAAAGCTTGGAAAATAATAGCTGCACATCAAAACCCAGTGCCATAATGCAGTTAACACTGGACTCTTTCAGGTGGCCCCAGGGAATGATTTAATTCTCATGTTGAGCTTTACCATAATTAGTCATTTATAATGGTGTAATGAGATTTATGTGAAGACATATAACTTGAATTCCATTATCAAATGAGGGTCAGAACAAATATTACCAATAAATAAATAAATAAGCCTATTTGTTGATGTTTCTCTTCCCAATTTTTTTTCTGAAACCCTAATTAATTGCATTTCTACTCTTAAAAAATCCTTTATTGGTTCAATATCTTTAAATTATAATTATGCCTAATTCCTTAGGCCATTCATGCAATTATTTCATGATACTCTAATAAATAAAATCACTGACCCAAACTTTCTTGTTGCACCTTTTTCTATATTGTTAGTACTTTTCCAAAAAGCCTTAAACATTTACAAATGCTTTAAAATTAGGTTGTCTTTTATGTTGTTTATTTAGCCTTTTCCTCTAGAACATAAGGTTATTGGTAATTTCTAAGAAGATAAAGCCATTTCATTCATATATTCATGCAAATAGTACAACTGGCATATATATCATATATATTAACATACCATATTTTATATATATATATATATATATATACATATATATAATTTCTTAAAGAAACTATAAAATCACAGGAGAAAATTACACAATAAAACATTTAATAAATTCATACTTAAAAGTTAAATGTGCCATATGTTTCTCTAATACTGAGACACAATGGAGTGCATTAAGAAACTCATTAAGTCAATGAAAATGGCAGCTGAGCTCTATCGAGATATCTATTCACTTCACTTTTGAGATAGAAAAACAGAAAAATAGTGGACACATTCCATTTATTCTCAGGTTTGAACTAATCATGTTAGCAAAGGGTCAGTGCAATGCAAGATGAGAATGTATATTTCTTCTCAGCATCTAATTTGATAAACTTCACTTTAATAGTTTCTGTTTATTTTTTGCATCAAATGCAAATATTTCTATTTCCTCTAACATTTTAAGTTTTTCTCATAAAAAAATTAAAGCTTTGCGAAAGTACCTAACAGTCGAGTACAGCATGCAACAAATTTAACCTAACAAATCACTTGAGCAGTAAAGAAGATATTAATATGTTTGGTTTGATTTCATGGATTTCAGAGTAACAAGCATGCCATAATAATGTAAATCATCCTACTAGAGCTTTGTGTGATTTGGGGAAAGGCCTTGATTCTCAAGGCATTAGTTTACTCTTCTGTAAAATGTAATTTTAGATTTTTTTAAAATTTTAGTCACTTTAAGAATCTGATTAAAGCCATGAGAATCTAAACAAATGCAAATATGAACAAAATTTTACATAGTATTTCAAGCCCACATTGAGATTGAGAGCCATAAAGTATCGAGAGCCATAAAGTATAGGATTCCTGAAGTCTCTTCCTGGTTTAAATTTCTATAATTCTATCAATACAACACCTCCTAATTCATAAAGCACATATGCAAAACTGAAACCATGTCTCTAAAGGTTATTATAGATGGAATTCAACGCAGCATCATAGAGGGTTAGAGTTCAAAGTACCCTTAGTATTGATTGGTTTTCTATGTTGATAGAGTACAATTAATAATATCTATATTTGCGTTTTAACAAAAAACAATAATCTGAAACAGAGCGAGAAAATAAGCCTGAAAAAACATAACACCTAGTATTTTGGTTCAGTAACAACAATTTGTAATCTTTAATTTACAGTCTTCTGATATATTCAAAATTCTCATTGAGTTGAGAAATATTTAACAACTAAAGGGACAAAACAAATAGATTTTCCCAGCTCGGTCATCACCACACTGCAAATGTTGAAATCCTCAGAGATCACTCAAGTTTTCATGCCTCAATAATGAATCCAAAAGCAAAAAAGCTTCAATTCTAAATGCAAAATGTACACTATAATCAATAATGTCTACAAGCATTTAAAATATAGAATGATATCCTACAGTCTTTCAAATTCTAAACTTCTGAGGGGTTGATTCCCTCTTAATGTTTTCTATGGGTATCTCTGGAGTTTTAAGAAATCAGTTGAATGGTATGAACTTTTAGACATGAATTGCTTCCAGATTATTTGAGCTTGTATAGTTTTTAAAATATACACAGTTTTGCTTACCTGAGGTCAGTTTCTGCCCTGCTCAAATACCTGCTCTCCTCTTTAACTACATGTAGTCTATCAGGTTTCACACACTGGCAGATGGAGAGATGTGTCTTTATGTCAATAGTTTCTGAGATTGTCAGGTTCTCAACAGTGCTATGGACATTTGAAATTTGATTTTAGGTTAAAAGTAAGAGAATGAGTTATGATGGAAAAAAACCAGGTATCCTCATTCTTTGCTATCTTCTTAGTTTCTGGTTGTTGACCAATTCCTTGTCATAGGCCACCAACATGCTCTTCTTGTACATTGCAGATTCCTCCTTCAACTCTGCTAATATGCCATTTCTTTTTACCTCTCTCCTTCACAGCCAAATCCCAGAAAATTTTCTGCATATTCTATCTCCACTTCTTCATCTCATATTAAATCAAATCACACATACATCAAACCTTTCTCTAATCCCACATTTACACTCATTTCATGAGGTCACCAATGATTCTCATGCTGCCAAGTCAAAAGACTCTTTTCAGTCTTCACCTTGTACAACACAATTGAGCTCAGAGTACTTAGAATTCTCTTCTTTTGACTCGCATGATACCATAACTTCTTGTTGTTCTTCCCCTCCTACTTCTCTACTTCTCAATCTTATTCACTCACTCCTCCTCTTTTCCTTTTTCACTTATAAGCTTGTCATGGTTGATTTTTCTTGTTATGATTATTTAATGTCTACCTCCTCTCCTAAGAATAGGAAACTATTCTTATAAAACTAATGACTGTTTCTTTGGTATGTTGATCACCTAATTGATAATCAATAAGCATGTGTCAGTGACATGAATTAGAAATGCATGGAAAAGATCAAGGTGTGACAGTTCTTATGGGCATCTGGAATCACTATAGGAAACTCTGACAAAATAACTCATTTCACTACAGAGTGCTTCAAGTGTATGATATAGAAAAAAGAGCCTTAGTTTATTAATTATAGAGATTGTTGAAATAAAAAGGAATTGCCAGTTATATGAAAAATTTAATAACATAATGTTAATTAGTATGTAATAATTAATTATTTGGTTAGCAGTCTATCTGTGGTCAATTCAGGTTCTCTGGGAAGGAGACATTAAGATAGAATTAGAAGAGCAAGACATTATTCTTTGGAGGAACAGCTGTGAAGGATAAAGGAGAGTAGGAACAATAGTAGGTATTAGAGCCTCAGACCATAATGCATGTCGGAACACCAGCGAACAGAGAGAAGAAAGAAGGATTAGGTAGGAAGAACTTCAAGCTGTAGTGTACCTCTGAGAAAGTCTCAGTCAGGCCAGTAGGGATCCACATAGCAAAGGCTGTCTCTTAGAGGAATTCTGAGTCAGGCAGAAATGGCCTGAATCTAGGCAAGTTGAGAAGCCTGGGGAGAGTGTGAAGTCAGTGCGAATGCTGTGGTGCAGCCTTGCTTGCAGCAGATTACCTCTCAAAGGGAGAGCTGAGTGGTGCATTCGCATGGCTTCCACAGTCTGAAGATTTTTGTGAGTCACATGTAAATATGTGAAATGGGATAGCTTGTAACAATATTATATAGAGAAGAGACACATTCTTAGAATTGACTTCATAATTATAAGACAAAATAATTTATAATTTTTTTCAAAAATAGCAAATACATACAAAAGTTATAGTTAAATACTGCCATAACTTCTGAGTTCAATTGAAGGTTTCCGGAGTATCAGCGTGTTGAAAATTGGGCTAAGAACTGGGGCCATAGACAAAATCTCTGCCATGTTTGACTAGGTTTTTTTCTCAAAGGATTATTTTACTCTAGATTGAAATAGCAAGCAACCTATCCCATGAATTTGACAGTGAGTGTTTCCAGGCACTATTTTTTTGTAGTAAATATATTTTTTATTTTCTTTCTCAAACTACTGTTTTATTTTTTACATTGCTACCTAACTCTACATTCTGTTTACATCTTCTCTCTGCTAAAAGCAGAAAGAAAGATAGCTGATTACTTTTTACATAAATTTCTCATGTGTTTGTTTAAGCCACAAATATTTATCAATGTCTACTATATGCCAAAAACCATACTAGATGTTACTTAGTAACATCATCTCATTCAATCCCCATACCATTCCAATGAAATTATCATGCCCACTCTTTTAAGGTGACAAAACAGGTGCAGAAAGTTGATGTATTTGTGCAGATTTGCCTCATGTCAAAGCTCATGTTCTTTCTACTGGACCTGCATACTTGTTTAAGGTTACTATGGAAGGAGGGCCACTTGAGTTGTTGTCCCATGTGTCAGCAAATATAGTATCAAATATGCTAGAAAGGCACATTTCTTTCCAGTTCAGAGCCTATGAGAAATTCTAGAACTAGAAAGGTGTCACTACTTCAAGTATTTTGGCTTTCGGCCATTTGATTCCAAAATCAAAAGAATCTCACTTTAAAAAGTTTCCTGAACGAGGCTCATGAAAACTTCAACAAAGTGTGATGAAAGTGTTCTGATGGCAGAATTAAGATGCCTACCTGAATCTTTGGCTTTAGAACAATGAAATTTATCCTTATATAATTCTATAGGAAGTATATTAACATCAGATTAAAAGTAAGAGCAGTAGTCTCTTTCAACTATAACCACTTTGTAGATTTACTTAGAGTGGTTTCATGTTAAACCCTGATTTTATACTCTATTAGTTACAAAATGACTTATATTTTGGTCTGGACAAGTTCAAATGAGATCTGGCTGCCCAAATCTCAACCCACATTTATATATATCTCTTATAATACAAAAATATCTATCAAAAATATTTCTACATCTATTAATATAATTTATATTATTTTAATTGAAAAGTGGTGTATGATTCCTGAAAACCTATCATCACATTTCTTGTCCACTTTGGCTACTAACCTCCTCAAAGTAAAATTACTTCAGTCTACAATACAATACCTAACAATACACAGAAGATTTATAAAACAGAGAAATACCAATTAGAAAACAAAAACTCAGTATTTTATCCTTTAGTGATTAAATATAATAAATAGAAGCAGAGTAGCTACATAAATTGGGGGTCAATAAATGCAGAATAATATTGATAATTGTCTCTCAAGGTGCTCTGGCCATTAATATAATTTTAGGGAAATAACTTTTACCACTTGTTTAAAAAAAAAACACCACTGTAATTCCTCACTCTAATAAACATAACAAAATGTAAAAAAATTGTAACAAAGAATCCTCTCTCCTTTTTTTTTTTTTCAGTACACTTAAGATTCTCAGGATAATTTTTTTTCCTCTGGAATGTCAATGATAACTGTGACTATTTCGGCAAATGGAGAACAAAGAATACTCAGATGGGAAGCATGGTTAATTATCAATTGGAAATGACATGAGTCAGAAAAACCAAGTTCAAACCCAACTGTCATCCATCAATAGCATAAACTTAGCAAGACTCTTAACTTCTCTCAATCTATTTCCTTCCCATGTAAAAATAGGGAGTGTACATGGGAATTAAATGACATAATACATACCAAAATACCTAGAGAAGTGCCTGACACATTTAGGCATTCAGAACATAGAGTTGCCTTAATTATATCAGCAGTGCTAGTTATGCTGTTTCTTCTGCAAAACTGTCAAAACACAGGGAATTCATTGCCGTATTTCTTAAGATGCTGTATTACTCCATCCTTGCATTGCTATAAAGAAATACCTGAGGCTGCGTAATTTATAAAAAAAAGAAGCTTAATTGGCTCATGATTCTGCAGGTTGTACAGGAAGCATGGTGCTGGCATCTGCTTCTGGTGAGGCCTTACGAAGCTTACAATTATGGTGGAAGAGAGCCAGCATGTCACATGGTGAGAGCAAGAACAGGGGTGGGGGTGAGGAGAGTGCCACACACTTTTAAATACCCAAATTTTGCATGGACTCACTCACTATCATGGAGATGGCAATAAGCCATTCATGAAGGATATGCCGCCATGATCAAAACACCTCCCACCAGGCCCTACCTCTAACTCTGGGGATTATATTTCACCATGAAATTTGGATGGGACAAATATCTAAACCATATCAGATGCTAAAAGTCTAATAAAACTAGAAATACCAGCATCAGAGAAAAGCATTAAATGTGAATAAATAAATACTTTTAGAGATACCAGTTTCCACTCTGACCTGTAAAACTCTTGGAAGTCATAATTCCATTCTAATAAATAAAAAACTGAACAAACTGAAAAATCAGCACCTTCTTATATCCATTAGGGAAGTGAAATCACAGGGCACACTGCTGCCCCCAAAATTGAAGAAACAGGCAAGCAGACCCTGAGAATCATATATATTGGAGAAGAAACCCAGAAGCAGAAACCTCTGTAGGAACCAGTACCAGTAGAGAAAAACCTAAATTCTAATTGATGAATTGCTGGAGGCTCAATGTGCACAAGTCTGAAAATTAAAAACTCTAAAAGGCAACCACATTTTTTGTGAGCTTCACCTCCAAGATCTCTACCAAGTTCTCACATGTAATGCTGGAGAAAAACCCTCTTTCACTTTTGGTGGGGGCAGGGAGAAATAACCATTTTGAAACATGACAAAGCATCCTGTTCTTATTAACAAAGCCTACTCTCAAGAGAAACTGCTTTACCAGAGCCTAATCTGCTGGAGTTTTATCAAAGCCTAACCAACATGGGGAAGAGAAACATGCAACTCCAGCTTCCTCTAGCTGTCCTTGTCTACCTAAGGGAGAAGTAGAGAAAGGACTGAGAAGTACTGGTACAATTTCCAGCCCAGAGACATAGGCTCACAAAAAGTTGACCTAATTTTAAAAAAACAATGGGGCCGGGTACAGTGGCTCACGCCTGTAATCCCAGCACTTCGGGAGGCTGGGTCAGGTGAATCACTTGAGGTCAGACATTAGAGACCAGGCTGACCAACATGGTCAAACTCCATCTCTAACAAAAACATAAAATTAGCCAGGCATGGTGATGCATGCCTGTAATCCCAGCTACTCGGGAGGCTGAGGCAGGAGAATTCCTTGAACCCGAGAGGTGGAGGTTGAAGTGAGCCGAGATCGCGCCATTGCACTCCAGCCTGGGCAATGAGAGTGAAACTTCATCTCAAAACAAACAACAACAACAACAACAACAACAAAAATGGAACACTTTTTCTCCCCCCACTTATTACTATCACATTATGAAAGGTCTATATATCAAAGTTCCTCCTACCCAGTACGTCATGTCTGACTTGCATACAAGGCAAAAACACAGCTTGAAGAAACAGAGAAAACACAAGAACCAAATGGAGAAATGGCTGGAATGCTGGAATTATGAGATTGGAAATTTAAAACAACTCTGGTTAATATGCTAAGGGCTCTAATGAAGGAAATAGAAAATATGCAAGAATACAATGTAATGTAAGCAGAAAGATGAAAATTCTAAGAAAGAATAAAAAAGAAGTGCTAGAGATTTAAAAAACTGTAACAGAAATGAAGAATGCCTTTGATGGACTCATTAGCAGACTGGACATGGCTAGAAAATAATCTCTGAGCTAAAGGATACATCAGTAGAAACTTCCAAAACTAAAAAAGAGAAAAATGACAAAACAAAGCACTACTAAGAAAAAACCAAAGGACAGGAAATCCAGAATATCCAAGAACTGTGAGACAAATATGAAGGATGTAACATAAGAGGTAATGGCAATACCAGAAGGAAAAGACAAAAGGAAGAAAATAAATATTTGAAGAAATAATAACTCAGAATTTTTCCAAATTAATGTGAAACACCAAGCCACAGATCCAGGAAAGTCAAAGAACACCAAGCAGGATACATTCCTAACCCTCCTTCAGTCCCCGCAAAATCACCCAAAACCACAAAAATACAAACCAGGAAAACTAAAGCAACATCAACAACAAAAGCTGCACCTAGGCATATCATTTTAAAACTTCAGAAAACTAAAGATAGGGAAAAATCTTAGAATAAGCCAAAGTGAAGTAATATTATTTTTTACCTATTGAGGAACAAAGACAAAAATTACATTCCACTTCTCAGAAACCATGCAAGCAAAAAGAGAATATAATTAAATATTTAAAATGTTAAGAGAGAGAGAAAAAAATCACCAACCTAGAATTCTATACCTTATTATATTAACCCTCAAAAACAATGGAGAAATAAAACTTAGATAAAAATTAAGACAATGTGTTGCCAGTAAACTTGACTTGAATGAAATGTTAAAGGAAGTTTTTCAGAGAGAAAGAGAATGATATACATCAGAAACTCAGATCTACATTAAGAAAGGAAGAGTATTAAATAAGGAATAAGTGAAGAGGAAAGCTTTTTTTCCATTCTTATTTATTCTAATAGATAATAGTTTGTTCAAAGTAATAATAGCAGCCATGTATTTGATGGTTATGGCTCACGTATAAGTGAACTGAATAACAGCAATGATGCAAAGGGCAGGAAGTAGTTAGAAATATTTTGTTATAAGGTACTTGCACTACCAATGAAATAGTATAGTATTACTTGAAAAAGTACTTAGATGAGTTGTAATTGTATGTGCAAACTCTAAGAAGATCGCTAAAGTAAGCATAAAAAAGTAGCATTAAGATGCTAAGAAAGAAAAGAAAATGGAATTATATACAATTTTCAGATAAACCACAAAAGGCAGAAAAAGATTGAAAGACTAAAATAGGATCCATGAACAAAGATAATGGATAGAAAACAGTAGTACATATCATAGATATTAATCTAATGATATCAATAATTACATAAATGTTAATGATTTAAATACACAATTAAAACAGAGATGGTCAGAGTGGAACAGAAAACAAGACTGATAAGTTGTCTACAAAAAAACCCACTTTAAATGTAAAGACACATATTGATTAAAAGTAAAAGGATAGAAAAAGATCTACCATTATAACACTAATCAAAAAAAAGTAGAAGTACAATAATAACAACGTTCATGCTGAATGTTCCTCCAATACCAAGAAAATTGTTTTTAATACTTTAAAAGAATACTCAAATATCTACTTCCCACCTTCATGAAGTGACAGAAACTAGATTTACACTCCCTCCTGACACAATTTTAAAAGCAGACAAAAATATACTCAACAATAGTTTTTAAATGCCACACATTAAAAATAGTACACAGAAGGCAGTTTTTTTTAATGAAGAAATTGAAAGTTCATAAAAGCTAAGGAAAAAATTGTGTGAAAAACAACATAGTTAACAATGTCAACATTCAAAGAAATCAAGCAAATTTAAAAAAATGTGTTCATTGGTTTTATTTCTTTAAAAAGTGAGGTGCATTCTTGAAAAGTCAGGAATGGTTTAGGCAAAACATCACAAAATACTTCTTGTTCATAGTTTTAGTCCTGACCATAAATGCTACCATATCATTAGATCGAATAAAAAGGAAGAAAAAAGTGCTGTAATCATTTGTTGGAATGATGTGAAAGCATCACATGAGATATGGATAGATTAGGTCCTCAGCAATATGGTAACATCACATAATTTTCAACATACCCAGTTTCCATCAAAAGCCCAGGAGCTATACAACTCCGATTCTGTGGTCACATCATTTCATACTATCATGTAAAAAAAAATTCTCATTTATGGACTATATTCCTGTGACTGGGAGAAACTATAAGCTCTTTCAAGGATCTCCTCTATTTCATTCTTCAATTATTTATGACATCGAACACAGGTTCTGATATAAGTATGTGCTCATTAAATGTGTGTTGAGTAATGAATGAATATATAAAAGAATAAATGAAGTAGATATTGATATGAAAATATTTATTAACATGTTCAACTATGCTTTATTGATTATAATCTGCAGATATATTATTTTCTTCATATTTAATAATACTTTAAGACGTTCTTCCGAATCAACAGTTTGGTTCCATAAAAAATACACTAGTATTTCATTAAAACTACACTAGGGGCTGGGCATGATGGCCCATGCCTGTAATCCCAGCACTTTGGGAGGCTGAGGCAGGTGGATCGCCTGAGCCCAGGAGCGTGAGACCAGCCTGGCCAATATAGCAAAACCTTGTCTCTATAAAATATACAAAAATTAGCCTGGTGTGGTGGCGTGTACCTGTAGTCCCAGCTGCTTGGGAGGCTGAGGGAGGCCTGGGCTTTTAAAAAAAAAAATAATAATAATAATAATAATAAAAACCACTAGGGTTTGTTTATGAAAAATGTCCATTTTCCTTACACCAGTCACAAAAGATAAAAGTTTCTCCTTTTTTCTGTAATGGAACAATATGATACTTCATTATGTTTGTATTTCATTATGTATATGACTCTTATTTTGTGATACCAGTTGCTTCCACATACTTCAGAGTACATCTCCGAGGCAAAATGAACAATTAGAATGACCTGACAAATTTATTGCAGCCTCCAATACAATTGTTAAAATGTACTTTACAAAAATAATGTTAGTTTAGCTTAAAATTAATAATACCATACTGAAATTTAGGAAAGAAATTAAAAATAATAAATACAGTATCCACTGTGAAAGGTGAGAAAGCCTCTAAACATAGGTACAGAGTCGTGAGTGACTTTTTGCTTTGAATATCTTATCTCTTGACAGTTTTATCACTTTTGCCGCTATCATGCAGCAGTAATATTTTATCCATTGACTAGTGTAATACTTAGTAATGGCATTATTGATATTAATCATCAGTGTAACTACACCATGTCCCTTAGCTACTGATGTTATTTGAGGTTTTACACTCCCTTCTTTTTCAATATTGTAATGAGACAACTGAGTTTCATTCCTGGCTCCATTATTTATGATGGAACTTCTGTCAAGTTGCCTAATCTATTCAGTTATCAACTTCCTCAACTTTAAAATAGGGAAAAAATGGTATTTTCTTCAGTATATATTTGTGAAGATTAAACAAGATAATTTAATATATATCTTCTATTACTTTCTCTTAAGGCTAAAAAAATGCAAATTTCTACACTTAGTGACTAAATTCTTAAAGAGATATTCTTTGCCAAAATCACAATGTAGGAATTAACTTTTTTGCTTGTTCAAGAGTAATAAACTGACATACAATTTGCCTTGCAGGAACTTTTGTAAGTCATCCTATATTTTATCAGCCCTCAAACTATTTTTTTGCCTAATGCAACAGATTTTTTTCATAAATTCCCACAAAAGTCTCCAGAGGCCTTTTCAACTGGCTAGCTTTTTATTCCATTTGTTTTTATATGACTCAGCTCCAATCAGTTTCTTCCAGTACCTGAAAACTGATAATTCAATGTTAAATTTTTTGAAATCAAAGAGGAGCCAAACAGTAAGAGATTCTGAAAAAAAAGTGCTATATGGAAACTATAGGGAATATTCCAACTTGATATTTTACAATTAGTTCACTGCTACTGATTTGCTGGTTATGGTGATTCAAAGAATAAAAGTAGATCCAATCGGAGGACAGCACCTGTCTACTAAACATCAGACATCCAAATCTTATTAAGGTCAGTCAGTTTTTATCTTACTGAATTCTATAACATAAAATGGTAGACATTTCAGGGGTCAGTGATGCTGTATAGCAGCCTCTTATCCCAAAGTCATAAGGTTTAGTACAATTCCCAGGATCCCAGGTATTCCTATTACATTTCCATGAAGCATTCTCCTTGGAGTCTCGTGCTCCTACACTAACCCCAAAATATGTTATTAGTAACAATCCCAACTACCAAGAAGACACACCAGCAACACTAATGAATGCTATATTTCTTATGCATTTTATACACTTAATTTCTAGTTCTTACAACAAGATATGTATTATTGACACCATTTTACAGATGGGGAAATCAGACTTCAGAAATACTGAATTGTTTGCCCAGTACCAAACACCAAACACATAATTTCCACTGCAAAACAGCCAAACAAACAAACAAAAATAGCTTCTTAGAAAAATTCTTCTCTGGATATGGCCTACAAAAACTTACATAACCAGACCAAATGTGCTTAGTGCCCACCAAAGTAATCAATATAAGAGATAGTATAAAATGTGTTCTCTCTGTCTGCTTAACTAGCACTGGCCTAGTCTTTTTCTCTAGACATCTTTCAAAATCAGTAAGTTAACAGCTATTGTCTCAGACTGCAACAATGTCTCAGGCTGCCACATTGTTACTTTAAGTCTTAGCCTCTATTTCGGCACATCAATTGCTCATGCACTCATGTGTAACAGGACTCTTTACTTCCTCTCCCTCATCTGTTCTTCCTTCCCACTGCACCTCCACCCCTTCACTAAATGACAGACTGACAGACATGGCTAAGTGTATCTTGTTTAAACATCTGCTTTATTACTGATGAGTGACTGGCTCATGGGTAGGCAAGGTTTTTTTCTTATCTTTCACTCAGGAATTCAGATGGCCTGATTAGGAAGTTGAACTGTTTGGAGGATCCTGACAGATGCCTCTTACTTTCTCTTCAGACTACTGTGAATGCTTTAGGCATTTCACTCAGACCATTTTCAGGGGTGAAACAACTGTCTGTTTAGGTACCTGGCAATGTCAAACATATATTTAACTGAGGAATCCCACTTACATACGCAAGGATTAGTTTTCTCTTGGGAAATAATTGCATGAAGAACCATTTATTCTGTAAACGTTGTAAGTGTGCTAAGGGTCACCTGCTGCAATTGTATAGTGGTGTGACTGCCGAGAAGAATGCCTACTGAAAGAACAAAAATAAAACCCAGAGAAACCTAAAGACAGGCAAAAAGTAAGAAAGGAAGCTCATAATATTCTTTTTAATAGGAAGTACAAGAAAGAGCATGAGTTTCATAAAATAACCCATCCGTCTTTTAAGATGTGTAACTGTTTTAAAGCACCTTTGTGAAAATGAAGAATATTTTGGGTTCAAATATCAGGAATAATAATTTTTGATTCAGTGACACAGATGAAAATAAATACAGAATTCAAAAAAATACAGATTATTACACTCTAAAAATATTTCAGGGAAGAAAAATATGACTCATTCTGACTTTACGTGCAAAGGTTACATTCTATAAAAATTAGTTATATCAGGGAGTTCTATAATACAATGTGAAAACATTGAGGCTCAGGAGAAAGAAATCAGTTGTGGAAGGCACTAATAGAAAATAAGTACAGGAGGGAAACAAAAAGGGGAGTCAGCAGTGCTACTACAAATTACTTTAGAGGATGCCCTTTATCTCTTACTTCTTCCCTCAACTAACCACTCACTGGTCTCCCTTCTGCTGTATTAAGCTCTTGGGCTTCTATAGAGGCTGTTTTCTCCACCAGTGTCACTCTCCAGATCTTCCCTTATGTGTTTCCTTCACATTTAGTTGCTCCCTCATATTAAACTGTGTCATTTAAGATGAAGCTTAAACAGCACCTCTTAGAACGGGCTTCCCTATATATGCAATAGAAAGAGCTCTACAGCCAATCTCTATCACATGACCCTATTGTATTTTTATATTCTTGGGTTTTTAAATTTTTTAATGTTTCAGAAAAGCTTTTCCATTCCCCATTATATTTTCAGCACTTAGCACATAATAGATGTTCAATAAATGTTTGTTGAATGAATCAAATAAAAACAAAAGTAACAAGGAATCAAATAAAGGAAAAGTATTTCTTTTAATAATTTTGGGACAATTATCCTCAAAACACAAGGCCCACCAAAAGAGCTAAATTTGGTGAATGCATCATCACTTCTTGAATTGAAGAGAATTAGGCTGTAGGGAAAGTATGAGCTAACATGCTTTTCCAGTTCCTGGAAGAGATTATGGAGAGTAGTGCTTTTCTAACACAGAGGGCCCAGATCTAGAGGACTTAGCATGTAGTTGGTTGAAGTAGAAGTGCCTACCTCATCTGGTGCAACTAGAGCTAATAAAGTCAGAGATAAGAAATAGAGTATCTACTCTATATTGTCTTTCAATGAACTAACTCTGCCTAAAATACATTACCCAAGAGATCTCAAATTCTCACCAATTTAACAAGAACAGTTACTCATATTTCTAATGAGTGAATAGATACTTCGAAAGATTTCATTCCAGTACTTCCACCTATGGGAATTAGATATAAATTACCTTCCCTCAGTGGAAATGTGAAGACATGGAATAAGGTTATCTTCGATGGAATGCTGACACATGGAATATAGTCTGTAAGTTATTAATATTTTATTGAAAAATAGAAACAATATCTAGGACAGTTAAGGAAGGGGATCAAAGATGGAATGGAAAAAATGTTTGTGGTCTCTGTTCTCTTATCCATAAGTACAAGAGAAAACAAAAGAATAGAGGCAAAACAAAATTTTGTCTCATATATGATCATAAACATATAGAATACATCAAATTATCCCATTATTTCCTTTAAGAAATATTAATAACTGTGAGCTTCTTGAGGATATAGACCCAAGTCTTTTATTTTTTGAACCCTAGCCCTTTATTTGCTATCATCTGGAACATCATAAGGGCTCAATAAGTAATTGTTGAATTGAAATTATTATTATTTGAGACAGAGATGATGAAGACTTGCTTGAGACTTACTGGTTTCTTCAGAGAGCCAGAAAATATATCAGATGTATTCTGTAGCACTTTGGGGGACATTTGCAAAGTGGAAAATTTAACATAGTATATAGAAACATTCTCTTAACAAATTCAGGCTAATCACAACACAATTGGTTGCTTATTTATTGCACTCTACAGATGTGTGGACTAGGAAATATGACTGGAATTGCATCTATCTACACCGGGGCAGAGCTAGCTCTCCTTACTCTAGATGCCTTGGAGAAAAAATATAATACCTTTCTCTCTGAAGCCCAGGAAGTAAAAACCCTCAGATATGGCAACTCCTTTCCTCCAGGACATGAGGCTTTTGGAGAAAGAACCAAGACACTGCTTGACATTCAGCACTTCTTCCAATTGGAATGGAGACTGACTCCTGTGATTACCTTTGTGGTACCATCCCCCTGCACGGGGATTTTGGACATGAAATATACAAGGTGTGGCATTTTTTGTGCTTCTCACAGTTTGGTGACTCCTTCAGCTGTTGGTCTTATGTTGGCAACCTCCCTCACAAATCATATAAATCTGGTGACTATATGAGAGTACAACACTGTATGAGTCATGCAGTCCCCTGACTATGCATCAGAAAATTACTTGGGACATTGAAGTGAAAATTTATGATTATATTAGAACAAGTGAGAAGAAAAAGTGGTAGCTGCTTCTTCTTCTTCTTTTCTTCTTCCTCTTCTTCCTCTTCTTCCTCTTCTTCCTCTTCCTCTTCTTCCTCTTCTTCCTCTTCTTCCTCTTCTTCCTCTTCTTCTTCTTCTTCTTCTTCTTCTTTCTTCTTCTTCTTTTTTTTTTGGATGGAGTTTCGCTCTTGTTGCCCAGGCTGGAGTTCAATGGCACAATCTTGGCTCACTGCAACCTCTGCCTCCTGGGTTCAGGCGATTCTCCTGCCTCAGCCTCCCAAGTAGCTGGGATTACAGGCATGTGCCATCACGCCAGGCTAATTTTGTAGTTTTAGTAGAGACAGGGTTTCTCCATTTTGGTCAGCCTGGTCTCGAACTCTCGACCTCAGGTGATCTGCCTGCCTTGGCCTCCCAAAGTGCTGGGATTACAGGCGTGAGCCTCCGCGCCCAGCCAGCACCTTCTTGATATTTATTTTGTTTGTCAAACTTATTAAGGTATAAAAAAATACATCAACATGTCTGATCATTTTCTTCCCTGCATATAAGTGAGCTGTTAACTTCTCACAAATAAAGATAACGTAAAATGTACCGTTAATTAGAGTACAATTCAATACGTTTTGACAAATGTGTACAGTCATGGAATCACCACCAGAATCCAAATATAGAACATTTTAGTCACCTTAAAAATTCTGTTGTGAAAAAATAAAATAAGATAAAATTCTGTTATGGCCCTTTCCAGTCAACCCCCTACTCCCATCCCCAACTTCTAACAATAAATTATCTGGTTAAAGTCCCTGTAGGATAGGGACCTTTTTTTTAGCATGTCTTCTAAATGGACATAGAATATGTAGCCTTTGTATCTGGTGTCTGTTTTATGTTTTGTTTTGTTTTGTTTTGTTTTTAATTTCAACTTTTACTTTAGATTCAGGGGCTGCATGTGCAGGTTTGTTACATGAGTATATTGCATGATGCCAAGGTTTGGGGTACAGATCCTGTCACCCAGGTAGTAAGCATAGCATCCAATAGGAAGTTTTTCTACCTATGCTCCCCTCCTTCCCTCTCCCATCTAATCAGCAGTGTCTATTGTTCCCATCTTTATATCCATATGTTCTGAATTTTTAGCTGCCACTTGTAAATGAGAACATGCAATATTTTGTGTTCTATTCCTGCATAAATTTGCTTAGGATTATGGCCTCCAGCTGCATCCATGTTACTGTAAAGGACATGATTTAGCTCTTTTTAATGGCTGCATAGTATTCTATGGTGTATATGTACCATATGTTCTTTATCCAGTCCACTATGGATGGGCACCTAGGTTGGTTCCATGTCTTTGCTACGCAGTGATGAATGTATAAGTGGGTGTGTCTTTTTGGTAGAATAATGTAGTTTCCCTTGGATACATACCAAGTAATACGACTGCCAGGTTGAATGGTAGCTCTGATGCAAGTTCTTTGAGAAATGTTCAAATTGCTTTCCATAGTGGCTGAACTATTTATTTTCCCACCAATAGTGTATAAGTATTCCCTATTCTCTACAGCCTCACCAGCATCTGTTGTTTTTGATGTTTTAGTAGTAGCCATTCTGACTGGTGCGCGATGGTTTTTCATTGTGGTTTTAATTTGCACTTCTGTGATGATAAGTGATAATTAGTATTTTTTTGTATGTGTGTTAGCCATTTGTATGGCTTCTTTGGGGAAGTGCCCATTCATGTCCTTTGCCCATTTTTAATGGGATTTTTTTTTTTTTTGCTGTTGATTTGTTTAAGTTATAGATGCTGGATATTAGACCTCTGTTAGATGCATCATTTACAAATATTTTCTTCTATTCTTTGGGTTATCTGTTTACTCTGTTGATAGTTTCTTTTGCTGTGCAGAATCTCTTTAGTTTAACCAGGTCCATTTGTCAATTCTTGTTTTGTTGCAATTGCTTTTGGAAACTTAGTCAAAAATTCTTTGCCAAGGTTATGTCAAGAAGGGTATTTCCTAGGTTTTCTCCTAGGATTTTAGTAATCTGAAGTCTTACATTTAAATCATATATATATATATATATATATATATATATATATATATATATCTCATATGAGATATATATCTCATATCATATGAGTTATATATATATATGTATATATATACACATATATGTGTGTATATATATACATATATATATATATGGTGAGAGAGAGAGTCTCACTCTGTTGCCCAGGCTGAATCGAGGTGGCACAATCAGCTCACAGCAGCCTTGAACTCCTGGGCTCAAGTGATCTTCCCCCAACAGCCTCCCGAGTAGCTGGGACAACAGGCACGTTGCACCATGCCCAGCTAACTTTTTTTATGTAGAGAGATGAGGTCTCCCTATATTGCTCAGGCTGGTATCAAACTCGTAAACTTGAGTGATTCTCCCACCTTAGCCTCCCAAAGTGCTGGGAGTACAGGCATGAGCCACCATGACTAGACACATTTAAATATTAAATCCATCTTGAGTTAATTTTTGGATATGGTGAAAGGTAAGGGTCCAGTTTCATTTTTCAGCATATGGCTACCCAATTATCCCTGTACCACTTATTGAATAGGGAGTGCTTTCCCCATTGCTTGATTTTGTCATCTTTGTCAAAGATCAGATTATTATAGGTGTGTGGCTTTAATTCTGAGTTTTCTATGATGTTCCATTGGTCTATGTGTCTGTTTTTGTACCAGAACCATGATGTTTTGGTTACTGTAGCCTTATGGTATTATCTGAAACTGGATAGTGTGATAACTTTGGCTTTTTTTCTTTTTGCTTAGAATTGCTTTGGCTATTCCGGCCAGGCGCGGTGGCTCACGCCTGTAATCCCAGCACTTTGGGAGGCCGAGGGCAGATCACGAGGTCAGGAGATCGAGACCATCCTGGCTAACGTGGTGAAACCATGTCTCTACTAAAAATACAAAAAAATTAGCCGGGCGTGGTGGCGGAGCTTGCAGTGAGCCGAGATCGCACCACTGCACTCCAGCCTGGGCGACACAGTGAGACTCCGCCTCAAAAAAAAAAAAAAAAATTGATTTGGCTATTCCACCTCTTGTTTGATTCCATATAAATTTTAGAATAGCTTTTTTCTAATTCTATGAAGAATGACATTGGTAGTTTGATAGGAATAGCACTGAATCTGTAAATTGCTTTGGGCAGTGTGGCCATTTCAATCATATTGATTTTTCCAATCTATGAGTATGGAATGTTTTTCCATTTATTTGTGTCCTTTATGATTTCTTTCAACAGTGTTTTGTAGTTCTTCTGGCAGAGATCCTTCACCTTTTTGGTTAGTTGTATTACGAGGCATTTCATTTTCTTTGTGGGTATTGTAAATGAGATTGTGTTCTGGATTTGACTCTCAGCCTGAACTTTATTGGTGTATATTAATGCTACTGATATTGGTATATTGATTTTGTATCCTGAAACATTACTAAAGTTGATGACCAGTTCTAGGAGCCTTTTGTCAGTATTTAGGGTTTTCTAGGTATAAAATATACATATTGTCAGTGAAGAGAGACAGTTTGACTCATTGTTTTTTTTATTTGGATGCCATTTCTTTATTTCTCTTTCCTGATTGATCTGGCTAGGACTTCCAATACTAAGTTGAATAGGAGTGGTAAAAGTGGGCATCCTTGTCTTCTTCTGATTCTCAAGGGGAATGATTCCAGCTTTTGCCCATGATGTTGGCTATGGATGTGTCATAGATGGCTCTTATTATTTTGAGGTATGTTCGTTTGATGCCTAGTTTGCTGAAGGTTTTTATCTTGAAAGGGTGCTAAATTTTATCAAAAGCTTTTTCTTTATTTATTGGGATGATTACATGGTTTTGCTATTAATTCTGTTTATGTGGTGAATCACATATATTGATTTGCTTATGTTGAACTAGCTTTGCATCCCAGGAATAAAGCCTACTTGATTTTGGTGAATTAACTTTTTGATGTGCTGCTGGATTCAGTTTGGTAGTGTTTTGTTGAGGATTTTTTAACCTATGTTTATCAGGGTTATTGGCCTAAAGTTTTCGTGTGTGTGTGTGTGTGTGTGTGTGTGTGTGTGTGTGTGTGTGTGTGTGTCTGACAGATTTTGGTGTCTGAGTGATACTGACTTCATAGAATGCGTGAAGCAGAAGACCCTCCTCCTTTTTTTCTTTTTGGAATAATTTCAGTAGGATTGGTACGGTTCTTCTCTGTATGTCTAGTAGAATTTGGCTGTGAAACAATATGTTCCAGAGCTTTCTATAGTTGGTATGCTTTTTGTTACTAATTCAATTTCAGATCTCTATATTAACCTATTCAGGGTTTCAGTCTCTTCTTGATTCAATCTTCGGGGAGTGTGTGTTTCCAGGAATTTAATCACTTCCTCTAGATTTTCTAATTTGTGTGGATAGCATTGTTTATAGTACTCTCTGATGATCTCTTGTATTTCTGTGGGGTCATTTGTAATATCATCTTTGTCATTTCTGATTGTACTTAGTTGGATCTTCTCTGTTTTTTTTTTCCTTGACAATATAGTTAGTGGTCTATCAATATTGTTTATTTTTTCAAACAACTAACTCTTGGTTTAATTGATCTTTTGTATGAATGTTTGCACTCAATTTTACTCAGTTCTTCTCTAATTTTAGTTATTTATTTTCCTCTGCTAGCTTTAGCGTTGGTTTGTTCTTTTTCTTCTACTTCTTGTAGGTGTAATATTAAGTTGCTAATTTGAGATGTTTCTAACTTCTTGATGAAGGTATTAGTGTGGTAAACTTTCCTCTTCACACTGCTTTAGTTGCATCCCAGATATTTTGGTAACTTGTGTCTCTATATTCATTAATTTCAAAGATTTTTTAAAATTTCTGCCTCAATTTTGATGTTCACCAAGGAGTTATTCATGAGCAAGTTGTTTAATTTCCATATATTTGTGTAGTTTTGAGAGACCTTCTGATATTTCTATTTTTATTGCACCATAGTCTGAGACTGTGCTTGATATGATTTCAATTTTTAAAAAATTTATTGAGACTTGCCTTATGACTGAGCATGTGGTCATATTACAATATGTTCCACATGCAGATGAGAAGAGTGTACATTCTATAATTGTTGGGTGGAGTGTTCTGTGGATGTCTCTTAGGTCCAACTGGTCAAATATAGAGTTTAAAAGTTCAGAGTTTCTTTGTTTTCTGCTTCGATTATCTGTCTAACACTGTTAGGGGGGTGTTGAAGTCTCCCACTATTGCCATGTGGTTGTCTAAGTCCTTTCATAGGCCAAGAAGAACTTGTTTTATTGATCTAGGTGCTAAAATGTTGGGTGTATATTTAGGATTGTTATGTCTTCTTGTGGGATTGTACCCTTTATTATTATGTAATGCCCTTCTTTGTCCTTAATTTTTATTGGTTTATAGTCTGTTTTATGTTTGTTTCTTTGTTTGTTTTTTGTTTTGTTTTGTTTTTTTAGATGGAGTTTTGCTCTTGTCACCCAGGCTGGAGTGCAATGGTGCAATCTTGGCTCGCTGCAACCTCCGCCTCCCGGGTTCAAGTGATTCTCCTGCCTCAGCCTCCCCAGTAGCTGGGATTACAGGCACCCGCCACCATGCCCAGCTAATTTTTGTATTTTTAGTAGAGATGGGGTTTCACCATGTTGGCCAGCTGGTCTCAAACTCCTGACCTTAAGTGATCCACCCGCCTCGGCCTCCCAAACTGCTAGGATTACAGGCCTGAGCCACCATGCCCAGTCTGATTATAGTCTGTTTTATCAGATATAAGGGTAGCAAGACTTGGTCTTTTTTGTCTTCTGTTTGCATGGCATATCTTTCCCCATACCTTTACTTTGAGCCTGTAGGTGTTGTTACATGTGAAATGGCACTCCTGAAGACAGCACATGGTTGGGTCTTGTCTTTTTATCCTTGTTGCCACTCTGTATCTTTTAAATGGGGCATTTAGTCCATTTACATTCAAGGCTAGTATTCATATGTGAGACTTTAATTCTGTCTTCATGTTGCTAGTTGGTTGTTTTGTAGATTTGATTGTTTAGTTGCTTTATAGTGCCCATAGGCTATGTGCTTAAGTGTGTTTTTGTGGTAGCAGGTGTTGTTCTTTTGATTCCATGTTTAGTGTTCCCTTAAAGACCTCTTATAAGACTGGTCTAGTTAAAATGAATCCCTCAGCATTTGCTTGTCTGAGGAGGATCTTATTTCTCCTTCACTTATGAAGCTTAGTTTGGCAGAATATGAAATTCTTCACTGGAATTTCTTTGCTTTAAGGATGCTGAAAATAGGTCCCCAGTGTCTTCTGGTTTATAAGGTTTCTGCTGAGAGGTCTGCTGGTAGCCTAATGGGGTTCCCTCTGTACATGACTTCCCCCTGCTTTCTAGCTGCCTTTAAGATGCTTGCTTTTGTGTTGTCCTTGGTAAATCTGATGACCATATGCCTTGGGGATGATTGTCTTGTATAGTACATAGTCAGGGTTCTCTGTATTTCTTGAATTTGCATGTCAAGTTCTCTAGTGATATTAGGGACATTTTCATGGACTATATCCTCAAATATATTTTCCAAATTGCTTATTCTCTCTTTCTCAAGAATGCCAAAGAATTGAAGACTTGGTCTCTTTACATAATCTCATATTTCCTGAGTTTTTGTTCATTTTTTTAAAATTATTTTTTCTTCCTTTTTATTTAAGTTGATTCAAAGGACAGGTCTTCAAGCTCTGAGATTCTTTCCTCAGCTTGGTCTATTCTTCTGTCAATACTTCTGATTGAGTGTATTATGAAATTCTTGTAGTGAATTTTTCAGCTCTAGAATTTCAGTTTGGTTCTTTCTTAAAATAGCTATTTTGTCTTGGATTGTTTTAGTAGATTCCATGGATTGAATTTCAACTTTCTCCTAAATCTCAATGAGCTTCCTTGTCATTTAGATTCTGAATTCTATATGTCTCATTTCAGTCATCTCAGACTGGTTATATACCATTGCTTGGGAGGTAGTGGATTCATTTGGAGGTAAAAGGACACTGGCTTTTTAGCTCAATCAGATGAGATCAGCACATTTTAGGTGATATAGCCATAGACATGAAATTGCCAGAGTTCTTGCTGATTCTTTCACATCTGAATTATTGCCCTTGGTTTCACAAAGGAATATGCTATCAAAATATTTTTAGTGATGTATTATAGTTTGGGCTGTGATCCAGTAGATGGTGCTTAACAGTAATGGGCAGTAAACAGGCTTTTAGCCACAGAGCTCCTCTATATTTCCTTGCATTTGCAGCCATGTTAATTGCTAGAGGGAGGCAAAGAGGTGACTCCTTCACCAGGTCCATTCCTGGGCCTCGTGGACGCCCTCTCTGATCACTGGCACTGACCTGCATTTCTTCTGTTAGGTGTTCCAGGCCATGGGGCTCCCTGGGCAGAGGTCAGTTCCAGGTCAATCCTGCAGAAGGAGGCACAACCTAGTCTTGCTCTAGCCCATGAACTTATGCATCTCAATCCCCTCAGTTTTCTGGGAGTGTAGACTCCCACTTGAGTGCTGGCCACAAATCGCAGCTTGGCACTCCCAAGCTGTGCACTGCAACCCTGAAGTGCCAGGATCAGCTTGTGACTTTGACCTCTGGACCCTTGGATTCGAGTTCTGGGTGCCCTAGGGAATCCAAAGTGTTCTCAGCCTGCTGGAAAAGTGAATCGGTGGAGCGAAGCAACCAGACCGGGTAGCAGAGGCTGTGCTGTGCACATGTTCCCGCACGGCAGCCAGACAGGGGCCCTGGGAGGAGCTGGCAGGCAGGAGGGCCTGCTGAACAGATGTGCCCCGGTCCCACAGGGAAATGCCCCACTTTCTCCTCGCCTGTCAGTCAGCAGGGGCTAGAACTTCTCGGAGGGAGATGGGGAGCTCTGAGGGATGAGCGCCTGTGGCCATGCTCAGCCAAAGCTGCACTGTGCACAAAGACCCGTGGGTTCCTCCACTGCTAAAGCTCCTCTCTGTCTACTCTCTAGGAAGAACCTCCTGTCAACTTAAATGTCCATGGGGGATATGGGACTCGCTGTAGCCTGGATCCCAGAGGTCCATGGCAAAGCTAGGGAGTCCCACAGTCCCTTAACTCACCCATTCCCAAGGAGCCATTTAGGGCAAGGAAGCAGCTTCAGCATTTTGGTACCCAACAAAGGGTCCTCTTCTCTCTTCAGCCTCAGTGTCTGCATCTCATCTTTATCCATTCTTAGCATTTTCTCTTTGAAGATCAGTCCAGTATGTTGGTTTACTTAAAACCTTGGTTTCTCTTGGTAGGGGCAGTGCTTTCTGGTTGTGTCTAATCAGCCATCTTGTCCCCAGGATCCTGTTTGGTTTCTATACCTAATAGAGTTCTTTTACAATTCTCTCACATTACTGCTTATAAAAGTGGTTCATTCCTTTTTAATGCTGAGTAATAGTCCATTACATTGATATTTTTGATTTGTCTTTTTGCTCATCAGATAATGGATATTTAGGTTATTTCTAATTTAGGGCTATAAAGAATAAAGCTTCTATAAATATTCTATACAGATCTTTGTGCAGACATCTGTTTTTATTTCTCTAGGGTAACAACTTAGGAGTGGATTTTTGCCTTATTGTGGTAAGCGAATGTTTACCCGTCCTTTGAATCAACTTAGATAAAATATGAAGAAAAAAGAATTTTAAAAAATGAACAAAAATTCAGGAAATATGAGATTATGTAAAGAGACCAAATCTTCAATTCTTTGGCATTCTTGAGAAAGAAAGAGAGAATTAACAATTTGGAAAATACATTTAAAAGAAATTTTTGAACTGTTTAATAAAAGGCCTGAACCATTCAACATTTCTGCTAGCAACATATGAGAGTTGCATTTGCTTTGTGTCTTCACTAGCAACTGGTATTACAAGTCTTAAATTTTAGCTATCCTAACAGGTGTTTGGTGATATCTGATATGATTTTAATCTACATTTCTCTAATTTATAATGTTGAGCATCTTTTCATGTGCTTGTCATTTATATATCTTTGAGGAATTATCGTTAAATTTTTTGCCTATTCTTGAATGGATCATTCTATTGACTTGGAAGAGTCCTTTGTTCTAGACACAAGTCCTTATCAAATAAAAATTTTTCAAGGTTTCCTACCATTTCCTAACTTGGCTTTAAATGTTCTTAATAGTTTATTTTGGAGAACAGAGGATTTTAATTTTAATGATGTTTAATATATCAATTTTCTATCGCTTTAGTTTTTTATGACCCATCTATGAAATCTTTGCCTAATTCAGGCTCACAAAGATTTTTACCTTATGTTTTCTTCAAAATGTTCAGAATTTTAGCTTGTAAATTTAGATCTATGACCCATGTCAAGTTGTTTTTTTGTATGGTGCAAGGGAAAAGTCATTATTTCTCATATGGATGCCTGATTGTTCCTGCACTACATTTTTGGAAAATATAATCCTTTCCCCTTCAATTACCTTTGCTTCTTGCTGAAAGTCAATTGATGCTTGTGTATGATCTATTCATGAGCTATCTATTCCATTGATTTATACGTGTATCTGTACACCATACCATACTTTATTGATTAGTGTAGCTTTATAGTAGATCTCAAAATCAAGTTGTGAGATTTTTCTAAATTCCATCTTCTTTTACAAAATTCTTTTGCTATTTAGATTGTTTTTCTTATACATTTTGGAATATGCTTGTGGATTTTTATGTATATTTGTAAAAGCCTGCTGAAATTTGATTGCATTTTTTTAATCGAATCCAAATATCAGTTCAGAAAGAATGAACATCTACCTTTAAAATTTTGGCTTTTAGAATTTGTAAGTCAGTCTAAATTATCTAATGTATATCTTAATTTTATAGTTTCCAGTATATGCATTTTGCATATACTTATATTTATCCCTAAATAGTCAAAGCTTTCTAAAACTTTTTAAAATAATATTTTTAAATTTTTATTTGCATGTTTTCTTATCATTATGTGAATTAAAATTGATTTTTTACATTGAATTTGTAGCATTCTACCTTGCATTATTTACTCAGTTGTAGTAATGTATTTGTAAATACTTTGTGACTTTCTATGTAGGAAATTATATCATCTTCAATAGTGATAATTTTATTTCTTACTTTTAAAATGTTTTTGCCTTTAATTTATTTATTTAGGCCTTATTACTTTACCTTGCTCTCCAATATTGAATGTAAGTGATGATAACAGACATCTTTGCCTTCTTCTCAATCTTATGGGGAAAAAATTCTCAATCATTGTCAAGTATAATGTTACTTACAGGTTTTTTGGAGGCACACTTCATTGAGTTCAGGAAGTTCCCATTGCTGAAGTTTTTTTTTTTTTTTTTAATAACTATACCTTGATTTTTGTAAAATGCTTTTCCTTAACTATGGGAAGATGACTATATGGTTCTTGTTTTCTAGTCTGTTGATAAGATGAATTATTAATTGATTTTAAAATGTTGAGCCAAACCTTTATTCCTATGGCAACCCCCATTTGGCCATAACTTATTACTCATGAATTAATTTAATTTGATAATATTTTGTTAAGGATTATCATGACTATATTAATGAGAAATTTTTTGTAATATCTTTGGTTTGTTATGAGTTTGGAAGAGCTCTCTATTCTTCTATTTTATGGAAGAGTATACAAAGAATAGGTATTAGTATAACCTTAAGTCATGGAATTCAATAGGGAATCCACAGAGAAATTCAATTTCATATATATAAGACTGTATATATATATATATATATATATATATATATATATATATATATATATATATATATGAGACAGGTTCACATACATAAGACAGGTTATTTGTCTCTTCTTGAATGAGCTCTTATAGTCTGTATCATTCAAGGAATTTGTCCATTGTGTCTACATAGTGAATTTATGATCATTAAGTTGTTTATAATATTCCTTTATCATCTTTTCGTGTATGACAGATCTGTAATGATTTCCTCTTTTTCATTTCTGGTATTGGTAATTTCTCTCTTCTTCTTTGTTTTTTGGTTTGTTTGTTTGTTTTTTGTTTTTTTTTGACAGGGTCTTGCTCTGTTGCCCAGACTGGAGGGCAGTGGCAAGATCATGGCTCACTGCAGCCTGGAACTCCTGGGCTTAGGAGATCCACCTACCTCAGCCTCCCAAGTAACTAGGACTAGAAGTATGTGCCACCACACTGAGCTAGTTTTATTTTTTTTAATTTTTTGTAGAGATGGGGTCTCGTTATGTTGCCCAGGTGGTCTTGAACTCCTGGCCTTAAGCAATTATCCTGCCTCAGCCTCCCAAAGTGCTAGGATTACAAGCATGAGCTACTGTGCCTGGCTTCTATCTTTCTAGTTTTATCAACTTCCTATATTGAATGTATTCCATTTTTAAAGGTATGCCTCAAATACTAACCACATATCTATTTATGGAATTATTATAATCTGCTTATATTTTAGCTGGTTTATACAAATTTATCTTCTCCACTGGACTGTGAGTTTCCTGAGTGCCATGACAATGTTATTAGATAGTGCCTATTATATAGTTAACAATTCCTAGAGAACAACAGGATTCTGTTTTGGATAGCTTATGTTCTTAAAATATCGTGTGGTTATTCCCCAAATGATATTTACAACCTTAGTATGTTATTTTAAATAAGAACATCCTTCCTCTTAAGAAACTTGATTAATTGGCATCATCATTAACTGGCACATTTAGTTTTCAAATGTTCCATCTTTAAATTTTGTTTTCCTTAAGGCTATTTTTATCAATATTCAGCTTCATTTTTTGGTGGTGACCCTTGTTAGGTGTTGATATCTTAAGTCAGTTTATTACTCTGCAGGCATCTTAGTCTGTAGCCATAGAGAAACCATAGCCTATCCAGACATTATAAATGTGGCATCTATGTTCTATAACTTAATTTAGATAAAGTAGTCTAAGACATGTTATGATCTAGCTCCTGTGGATCCATAGAAGATACACAGGGCCATGCTTCCTTTCCTGCATAATAATAAAGTTTCTTTTCTCAGAACAGAGTCAGGTGGATTATTCGATGTGCTTGTTTGTTAATGTTTTTCTAGCAAGATCCTTGGAATCTATCCTAGAAGTAAATTTCCACGTTTACAAATTGGAGATTCTTTTTCTTTCCAGGGACTTTTGGGAGATTCCTGTGGTAATGTTTTCATGGTGTTTTAATCTTGGTCAGTCAGCACACTCCCATCATTGTACTGCAGACTCATGCAATGAGAATCTCTTTCTCTATATTACCTAGGTGCTACAGATATGGAGAGAAATTAGATACAACTCATTGAATTATAAATTTCTAGGTTCTATCCCTGAGCACATCTGATTAGGTAGGTGTGAAGTGGGGGCTAAATATTTGTTCTCTGTTCTTTTTTTTCCTTAGTGAATCCAGATGATTCTAATGCAAGTTCCTGAAAAACATTTCTAGAAAAAAATGTTCAGATTTATACTTAAGTAGAGAAATCCCTAGTTGTAAATTAATAGGTGTAATTGCATTTGATAAGTACCACGATGAAGACAAATTATGCAATACAGTGGAGGCCCAAAATTCAGAACTGACATTGTCCTTGATTGGCATGGACAATGAGATCCAAAAAGGCTTCATTCAAAAGGCAACACCTAAAATAAGTCCTGGAAGATGAGTTTGACAACTGGAAAGGAAGAAGAGTAGAAGAGGAAGGGGCTTCCTCAGTGTCTGCAAAACTTGCCTGATAATTAGACTTATTTTTTTGTTCATGCAACTTTTCAAATTCTTCTCTGATTCTTAGTAGAGGCCAGTTATGTTCAATATGCATCGCATGTGATTCTTATCATCAGAAATGTTTAGGAAAAATTTATATAGAGTAGAAAGAGAACAAAGTAACTGAAACATAAAATAGTGTTGTATGATTATAAAACTGCAGATAGTTCAGTGGAGTGAGAACATAGGATTCATGGCAAGCTGTGGCTAGATAGCTTAGGCAGCAATGTGAAAGGCGTATGAAAAGAAGAAAAGGCTGAAGGCAAACAGACAAAAACAATAATTCAGGCAGAGTAAAATGGGATGGATATTAGCTAAGATATCATTGAAGTAGCACAGTAGGGTAGGCAGAATATTTCCCCCGCTACCAACATCACAACCAAAGATGTTCAGGTTCTAATCCCCAGAATCTGTGGATGTTACCTTACCAGCAAAAAGGGACTTCGCAGGTGTGACTAAGGTTAAGGACCTTGGGATAGGGAAATTAATCAGATTATCTGTACTAATTACATGAGCCCTTAAAAATAGGTAGAGGAAGAAGGTAAAACGGTGGTTTCTGAGTACTGCAATGTGAGAGGAATTCAATCCACTATTGCTGGCTTTCAAAGTAGATGAAAAGAAAACATTGGACAAGGAATGTGGTAAAGAATCTGGGAAAAGTCCTCAGTCTACAGGCAGTAAGAAAAAGGACCTCAGTTCTACAAGTACAAGGAATTGAGTTCTGCCAGCACAAATAAGCAAGGAGTCCTCTTCTAGGGCCTACAAAAAGTAATACAGCTTTGCCAAGACCTTGATTTCAGGCCTGTGAGACCTGTGAGACTGTATTCTCACCTACAATACTATAAGATAGTAAATTCGTGTTGTTTAAGCTGCTTAAATTTGTCGTAATTTACTATTGGAGAACTATAAAACTAATACACTCAATAGAGATATTAAGACTCCAACAGGTAATAGCATACTATATATGGGTTACAAATTCACAAAGTATTCCTTATAATTTTTAAATCCACAAATGGAGGACATTCCAAGGCCAAGATGAAGTAACAGAAACCAGATATAGTGCCACCTGAAACAATCAAAAAACAAAATGAGCCCAGGCACAGTGGCTCACACCTGTAATCCCAACACTTTAGGAGGCCGAGGTGAGTGAATCACTTGAGGTCAGGTGTTCGACGCCACCCTGGTCAGCATGGTGAAACTCTATCTCTACTAAAAATACAAAAATTTGCTAGGCATGGTGCAGGTGCCTGTAATCCCAGCTACTTGGAAGGCTGAGGCAGGAGAATCACTTGAACCTAGGAGGTGGAGGTTGCAGTGAGCCAAGATCGTGTCATTGCACTCCAGCCTGGGCAATGGAGTGAGACTCCCTCTCAAAAAATAAATAAATAAATAAATAAATAAATTCGAAAAAATTTTAAATGACAGTTTTGCAGACATTGGACAGTAGGTAACAAAAGACAGTGATGACTGAAAGATGGAAAGGAAGACCTATGACTGCCCCAACGTTCTCTTGTGGGAACTTCCAGGCCCTGGAGCAAGGATGGGAAATGCAGGCCAACAAGGATGGAAAATGAAGGCCGACTCTTTGAGTTGAAAAAAAGCTGAGAATTGGGAAAGAATATCGTGACTAGAGTTCTCAGGGCTGAATGCCAGAGAGGAGAAAGAGGAACACAGAGAGAACCCCTGAGATGTACAAAGGGTCTCCCTCAGCTATTTAACAGAGTATTGATCAGTGCATGTGTGTGAGGAAACTGCACAAGAAATTGTATATTTACAACCCTTGGACTTATCTAATTCTGTAGGCTCATTTTATTTCTCCTAAAAATGTTATTTCTAATAATGATTTATGGAACAAAGATATCATAAGAATGTGTCCCCTTGTTTAAGAGTTGCTATGTATTTTCTTTCAGAAATAATCAATATGCTTTCCAGACTCTATCCAATATACCTTCTAAAAATCTTTACAAATGTTTCTAAGTGGAGAGAAAATGTCCAGAGAAATGAGATACATGAACAAAGGCATTTTGGAAAAAGAGGCTTTTTCCATTATTTATTAAAGTACATATTTAAGTGTTCTCAGCTGGCCCTAAAACTACTATCCCAGGAGACTTCTAAAGATTCCTTATCAGTAAAATGCCCCAAATACAATGACAAAGTTAGAATATCCTGGCCTTGAGTTCAAGTACCTGGTAATCCCAAAGGGTCCACTAAACTTGTCCCCAGAATGCCCCAGACAAGACTTCAGCAAAATTACATTCAGGAATAATTTCCTACCACAGCAAAGAGTTATAGAGGAGATTGTAAATGATCTGGCCTTTGCTTTTGGCTTTCCCAAACCAGATCTGAATTCTGTGCTTTCATATAAAAGAAAAAAAAATCTTCAAAAGGGACTTTATATACATATAACTGTGACCGTTCTCTAGTGTTTTATTTTTGTTTATATTTATAGTAAAATAAAATATATCTCAAAATGTGGGCCTTTCTGGGAATCTTAATTTTATTAGCCCTTACTGGTTTATGAGAAAAATAAACACATAGATCCTAACACTCATATTTGCAGAGCAAAGCCATGGTAGCTTGCCTGAGATTTGATGAATACATACACTGTACCTCTTTGTTTCCGAAGAGCTGAGAGGTCTGAAAAGTCATTCAATCTTCTCAACAGCAAGACGGATTGGAAATCAGGAAAGCTCATCTCATCACAATTTTAGAGCCACTTAATTATTAGGATGGTCACATATATATATCCCTAGCAACTATGAATGCCGACCAAGTTCAGATTGTTTATCGATAACAAGAAGAACCCAGATAAGGCTTTAGGCGCAGAGGAAACAAAGCTGCCCTTCTGGGCACAATGGCCTGTGTGAGACTTTCCCATTGGTGACACCAAGCGTTATCTTAAGAAGCACATTTTGTTTTCTCAAATAAATATAGCTCTCTTTATGCAATCTTGCCTCTATTTTTTGTTCATTGCATAATACTGAGATGCCTTGGGTTTAAAATTTGATATAGCACTTATCGCATCTTAATTTTCAGTAAAAGGAAATGAGAAGAAGGTCTTTATGTAAAATATTCCTGCTTATTTACCTTTTTAATGCCAGTACCATGTTTCAAAAGAGGTCTTATTAAAAGAATTATTTGTTTCTCAATCTCAGTTTGTTCTAATCCTTAAAAAAGCCCAACTATACTATATAATAGTATGTTTGTAACAAATAATAAAATAAAACAAAAATAAATTCAGTTCTTTTTGTGGATCATGTGGACTCAGTAGATTTGATGTTTGCATTCAATGTTATATTAATTCATTCATGCATGCTTTCAACAAATGCATGCCTGAACTGTGTTGGGTGTTAAAGATAAAAACATTTCCAGCCTCAAGGACCTTGTAATTTAGGGAGAGACATAGGCAAGTAGAACAACAATTCCCAAAAATAAAATATAACATGATAATTTCTAAGACAAAAATATCATTGGGATTCTAACAGGACAGAAAAGGATGGTTAATGATCCCGGAAAATGTTAAAGAAGGCTTAGCACAAGGGGTGGCACTTGAGAAGGAGTTTTAAATTTGTAGTACTATCTGGAGTATAGCTCAGCTACTACAGCTCCCCTCGAGGTGTTTGCGATATGTGTGCAGTTTAGAGTTGTCACAATAATTGGGGAGAGTGTTACATGCATTTGAAGAACAAGGGCGAGGGATACAAGGCGTACTGCCATGAGAGGAAATTCTTCCATAATGAAGACATGTCCTGCAATTCACATGGTTTTTTAATATCTGGAAATTCTTACAGATAAAAACTCAATGTATAATTATCTGACATTTAAATTCAACTGTTTTATTTATAAATATAAAATATGTTTTTCATAGTTTATTCACTAAATTTTCCAGAATTAAAACTACTGTGTAAATTGAGGGAAAAAATTGCAAAAATTTTAGTGAACTTTTCCAAGAGTAGTCCATCAATTCAACAACAGTAGTCATGATATTAGTGAACCCAATATGATACGTTGTACCTGTCTGCATTTACAGCTGACCCATTCTAAATGAGTCCCTATGTATACATGTGTGAATCATTTCTTCAAAATGTGATATAAAAAGAACATTTTGACAATATTAAATTACCAATTGAAAATCCAAATTTATTAATAACAGATGGAAGTATTTGAATATTTTATTTTGTCTTCAAGTATACATCAGCCTAAACATTAATATATATATACCATGTTAAAATCCTTTTATTTCTCCTGTAAATTAATTAGTTTTACATTGGCTTTTATTTTATGAGGTATAATTACAAACAGTAAAATGCAAATTTTGAGTGCACATCTTGATGAACTTTGACACATATATACCTCATACATGTAAAACTCCATCAAGATATGGAATATTTCTGTCATTCTACTCACCTCATGCCTCTTTATTGTCAATCCTCTCCCTTCTCCCCTCTTAAAGACAACCAGTGTTCTGATTTATAATCCCATCGATTGATTTTGCCTGCTCTTAAATATCATACAAACGGAATCACAAAGAATGCACTCTTGTGTTTGAATTGACTTAACACAGTGTTTTTGGGATGTATCCATATTGCTTTGAGTGTCAGTAGTTTTCTCCTTTTTATTGCCAAACAGTATCCCATTGTACAACTTTTAAAGTTTTGTGTGTAGATAAATGACATTTTTGATATATTTTATTTCCAGATAGTAAAGAGAGTCTTAAATATTTGTTTTAAAGGGGTTGGGAGTGTGGGGCCTGATACGTTGGGAACTGCTGATACCGTGGTTAATAGCACAGTTTTTAAAAGAATGGTCTGATATGGTTTGGCAGTGTCCCAATGAAATCTCATCTTGAATTGTAGCTCCCATAATTCCCATGTGTTGTGGGGGCAACCCAGTGGGAGATAATTGAATCATGGGGCCAGTTTCCTTCCTATTGTTCTCATGGTAGTGAATCAATCTCATGAGATATGATGGTTTTATAAGGGGTTTTCCCTTTCACTTGTCTCTCATTCCCTCTTGCCTGCCACCATGTAAGATGTGCCTTTCCCCTTCCACCATGATTGTGAAGCCTCCCCAGCCACGTAGAACTATGAGTCCATTAAACCTCTTTTTCTTTGTAATTTACTGAATCTTGGGTATGTCTTTATCAATAGCATGAAAACAGACTAATACATGGTCCAAGGTTAGAATGCAGTTCTCATTTTACTCGTTCTTTGACAGTGAGTCACCTAACCTCTGTAAGCTTTGTTTACTCATCCTGCAAACTAAGGGATCATAAGAATCCCTACCTCGTTAGGTTGATGCAAGGATTAAATTAAATAACTCAAGTAATGTATAAATGCCTGACATTAAATTCTTTGAGCATATGTTATGGTAGAAAATGCCTCATTAAGTATTTGGATGACTTTGTGGATCTGCCTCTCTCTGAGCATATTCATCTCCAATGAAATATGCTTACTGAGTAGATTCCACTGAAGCTGGCCACTAGTATGATTTGGCTTCTTTCCCAGCAGGAGATTTATCTCTATCATATGGTTACCTCCTACCAGTATCACTTGGTGACTGATGCTCAGATTACATTTTTGAAAGAAGATGCCTCACCTCTTACAAGCTGAAATGGAGGGCAGCATGCAGCTCAGAGAAGAGAAGATAAGCCTAAGCTAGAAGTAACAAAGGGATCCCTGGGGCTCACAGGTGGCATAGCCTCAGCTCCCCAGTCACATGACCACATAGGGATTTTTAACTAAGGCCCAATTAGCCATAAAAAATTCATTTGCGGCCAGGCGCGGTGGCTCACGCCTGTAATCCCAGCACTTTGGGAGGCCGAGGCGGGCGGATCACGAGGTCAGGAGATTGAGACCATCCTGGCTAACACGGTGAAACCCCGTCTCTACTAAAAATACAAAAAATTAGCCGGTGCGTTGGCGGGCGCGTTGGTGGGCGCCTGTAGTCCCAGCTACCGGGAGGCTGAGGCAGGAGAATGGTGCGAACCTGGGAGGCGGAGCTTGCAGTGAGCCGAGATCGCGCCACTACACTCCAGCCTGGGTGACAGTGCGAGACTCCATCTCAAAAAAAAAAAAAAAAAAAAAATCATTTGCCTGGAGTATGACCTCTGAAGAATATGTGTCCATCAGGGGTCAAAGTTAGGACTCACTTTCTGATGCCAGAGTAGGAGCAAGAATAGTTTTGTGTCTTTTTAGATGAGTGGCTTTTGTATAAATATATGGATTCACAGAACATGTACAAGAAGGTTTGAAGCCACTTTCTATTAAGCAGAAACAAATAAAATTTCGGTGAAATTTTACTAAAAGGGAAATTTAAAGTTTAAAAAATATTTCAGAAAGATTACTATATAATCTTGCAGTGGAGAAGGGTCAGAGCTTTATCCCAAGAGCTTTGAGCTTCTAGAAATCTGGATTCTTTCTTATCACGCCCAAGGCAGAATCAGAATTTCCACTGAGGTCCAAAAAGGTACCACTGGAGCAGCAGCACAAATACATGACCTATTGCTTCAGAACTTCCTAGAAAGAGACTGTCAGGCACCCTTTCCATACTGGGCCACCTAAATCTAGCTTGACTCTTCTGGGGAGTGTTATTAGGCAAGATCCAAGCAGCCAAATCACAGATGATAACCACTGTTTGAAAGTTGTGCTGACCACACTGACCAGGGAGATAGAAATTGAAACACCCGGGACAAAATAAACCATTATCCCTTTAAAACATGCAGTTAATAGCTAATTGTCCACATAGAACATGTGCCTAAAATCATAGAAATGTGCACAAATTCAAGAACTATAGTATAGTATTGCAGAGTTTTGCACCGAAGGTCTGAAAATGTCAACTGCTTTAGACCAATGATTGTCAAATTCCAGCACGCACTGGAATTACTTGGATGGCTTGTTAAAACATGGGTTGTTGATCCCCACTCCCAGAGTTTATGATTATTTCTTGGATGAAATCTGAAAATGTGCATTTTTAACAACCCTTTAGGTAATGCTGATGGTGCTGGCTGGGAAACCACACTTTGAGAACCACTACTTAGGGAAGTATCTGTGGCCAAATAAAGAGTTATTACAATGTGACTTTTGCTTGGATGCTTCTAGGACCTGGAAGGAGGAAACCATCCTGCAGACTTCTTACAAGGGAAAGTGGGCTTTCGGACCATGTCTAAGCTCCAACCAGAAAGAAGACCTACTTACTCTATGCTCAAGTTCTCATGATACTAAACAACTTGCATCCTAACTTCATCTTGTCCAGGACTCCTCCTTTAACTGTCATAAGTCACCTCCAGAAAGTCACCACATTTTGTACCTATCTCTCTGCACCAAGTTATCAACCCAGCTCTGGGTCTGAATAGCTTGGTTTTCAATATTCCCACCACTCCTGGGAACCTGTATTTAGGCCAAGGACAGTCAATCTAAAGAGAGCAGTTTTCCACAGATAAATCTTTGGCTAAATTAGCTAAAGACAGAAAATTAGAATAGTTCCAAGCATCAAATATTTATAGTAAATTAGAAATAGCAGTGCATATGCTCTGTGAAGACATATTTTTCTTGAATTAATCAATTTAGAAGATAGTGTAAGGTAGTTTTGTATTTCAAGATAATATAAAAATATAGTCTTTTGTTCCCCAAAATTTTCTTTTTTCTTTTCTTTTTTTTTTCTTTCTTTTTTTTTTTTTTGAGACACAGTCTTGCTCTGTCACCCAGGCTGGAGTACAGTGGTGCAATCTCCACTCACTGCAACCTCTGCCTCCCAGGTTCAAGCGATTCTCCTTCCTCAGCCTCCCAAGTAGCTGGGATTACAGGCTCCTGTCACCACACCTGGCTAATTTTTTTGTATTTTTAGTAGAGACGGGGTTTCACCATTTTGGCTGGGCCGGTCTCGAACTCTGGTCCTCAAGTGATCTGCCTGCCTTGGCCTTCCAAAATGCTGGGATTACAGGCATGAGCCAACTCGCCTGGCCAACTTTCCTATTTTGTATGAAAAATATACACCAAAACAGTGAGCCTGCTCAAGATAAACAGCGAGCCTGCTCAAGATAAACAGCATGCATTCATAATTTTTACTTTGAAAGGCACAAAATCAAATATGTTATATTATTATTTTTCTTTTTACACTAAGATTTTAGCATGTATAGCTGGACTTGCTTGAACAATTTGTACTATCAACTACACATGTGAGAATCTGCATTAAAGAACAAATTACATTGGCTTTGGGACAAACTGAAACAATCAGTAATTCTTAGAATGTGCACAGTCTTCTCTGCCCTTCTTATCTTGGAAGTCACCAGTAATGTTTGTCTTTCTTTTGTTGTTACCTGGAACCTATGTTCCTCCTTTCAGAGTGGAAGCTACATTTGCCAAGATTAAAATTCACTTGCTCTTTAGGCCTTTTGTAATGTTAGCAAAAGTAATTTCCTGATTCCTAGCAAGAAGAGCCAACAAGTCCACTGAGGCAGATACATATGGGTTGAATTTCCTTTCAAAAATAAATATTGGTTTAAGCCTTAAATGAGAAAGGGCTCAGCCAAATGCGTTACACTAGACTTCTGTAATATGTGGTGAAACCACCCAACACTTCCCGGTTCCCCTTTCACACTCACAACTAACAAATCACTCTTGAACAAAGACAGATATATTTTATTCTTTCACAAACAACCTGGAATATGTAACTGTTCTTTTAATGGAGAACAAACTCTTTTATGGCCAAAAGAAGCTACCGAGCACACAATAGACAGATTTAAACTTGAGTTATCTCACATGGGCAGGACAGGGTCAATCTGAGAAGAAGTTATTAATCTTGACATGAAAAAAAAAATAGTAAGTCCCTAGCCCTGTATCTCAAGGGACTATATAAGTTAATCTTTGAACAAACCCTAGAATGGATTTTTAAATAAGGAATGTTTTCATTTTAGGGGAAATACCATTCAGAAAACATAGAAAATTCCCTAAGCTGCTGTGGTTGCTTGCACTGCATTTTTTAGTGTTAAGTTCTTTAACAGTAAAATTTAGAAATTTCAAGTTGAAATTAAGTTTTCTGTTTCACTCCCAGCACACTGTCTTTCTCTGATGTTGTCCTACAGATGTTTAGGGAAAACGGTAAGGCCTGAAACAATAATTAATTTGGAAATTTTTTTCTCTTTTTGAAAAATTAATACTATCATTTCTATTGTTAAATTTTCTACTCTCAGTCCCAAACTACCAATTCATTCCCCCAGCACAGTTCACATAGAGACACAATACAAAAAACTTTTTGATCTTTCTCTCTCCATGCCTCAGCCAGTTTACCTTACTCTACTGAGGTGTAGAGCAAAGAATGCAAGATTCAGAATGGAGAAATGGGGAGGATCATATTCAGGTCCTGGCCCTGCTACTGACTAGCTAGGTGACCTGGCCCAAGTCACGGTGTTCGAAGGAACAAGTGATAATGATGTCTGCACACTAATCTTATGAATAGAAAATGCCATATATACATATTATTATTGCTACCAACTCTCTCCTTGAATAAGAGACTGTACTTCCAATGGGGGTCATGGCACAAAAACAGCATCTATGGCCTTTTGAGCTATGGTAAAGAAATAATCATTGAAAGTTACAAGTGGATTTTTTTTTTTATTGATGAGGAAAATGAGGCATGGAGATGTTAAATTACTTACCAAGGCCACCCAGCTAGAAGTAGAACCTTTATGTATACCCCTATACCCAGATACTCTATTGTATTCTCTCCCAGCTAACTCTGGTTTCATGGAAGAAAGATAAAAGGTAGAGGAGGAAGAAGTGCTTTTGAAGGATAAGGAAGAGGATAATGTCAAAAAGTAATAGAGCATAACCAGCAACACAGGGCTATCAGTCCTACAGAGGCAGAAGAACACCAAGGCACCCATGGGTGAATGAAGAGAAAGGAGATTTGAGCTGGAATATGGTGAAGGCAAGAATAAATGATTACCTTTGGAATGCAAAGATAGGATAAAGAAGAGAAAATAAAATGTGGTATATGAGAGGTAGATCTCATCTGCATCACAGAAATAACCATTAGCCATTGCTGAGTTTGCACAAGTATTAAAAAAGATTACACTGTGATAGAGGTGTCTAGAGAAAATCATCGTGGTAAAGAGGAAGTACTTGAATCTATCCAATAATATCAAGACTAAGTCTGGTATATTTAATATATACATCACATATTCACCCTAGGAATTAATCAGTCAGGCAAAGTTGGTAACTCTTCTCTTGTACTAATAAGTCTACTAACCTTCTGAATCAGAAGATTTTGTTGCACAATTTCTGAGGATATAACTATCTCAAAGCAGACTTAGGTGAATAAGATATACCATAATTCTCAGTTGTATTATACGCTTTTGAGACTTGACAAACCGTTATTTGTATACCTGCTTCATCACTTCCTTTGAAACCTTGAGCAACTTACTTAACCTCTCTGAGCCTCCATTTTCTCATCTTCAAGATGGGAATAATATTATGCCTTTGCAGAGTGTGTACAAATATAAACTCCGCCCAGCAGAGGGCTAGGTATGTAGCGAAAATGCCAGGTCCCCTTTCAAGCTAAAGAAAGAAATGGTCCCAGAGAGAGAAGAGATCTGAACTCATATTTTCGAGCTATGAAGTCAAAACCTTCCAAGCTTTGATTTAGTTTATTATAAGGGAATTAAGAACTGTGGCCATTTTAAAATATAATTTATCTAAATTGTAATGGGCACTGCATTAAGCACTTTTAATATGTCTTTTCATCCTTACCACAAACCTGTAAGGTTGATATTATTTCTATTTAAGATGAAGAAACCAAAGCTCAGAAGGGCTAAGCAATAGTAGGTTACCAGGGTTAAAGTAGGGATTCTAACCCAGATCTGAACAAAGAAAGCTACTTCAGTATTTTCTTTTTACCTCATTTTTTAAGTCCAACTGGATATAATATCACATGAGTGGTACATAAAACTTTTGGTAGAACAGGATGCTAAAGTTTTAATTATAATTTTACATGAACACTCTCACAGTTTTCACTCAAAAACTAGTTTCCCATCTTTTCTCTGAGTTTGAGCTGCTTACATCTGGCCTTGACAAGGGAAAGCCTGCAACTAAATCTCAGCTCCTTCTACTTTTCAGCTAGATTCCTCCTTGGATTGATGTGGGATCATTATGAGGCAATCAATGCCAAATATTTTTGTCAATTTTCCAGAGCCTTGGCTTAAATAAACACTTAATGTAAAGGAGGGGCACGGGTAGGGAGCACACTCACTCACACAGATGCACTGTTGCACAGACACACACCTCACAAAGACACACTTTGTCATGGTTCACTTGGAAAAATCCAAATGAAAAAGGAGGAGGTGGATGAATAATAAACCAAAGGAGAAAGGGGAACTAATTTAGAGATAATGAGTGCAAGACTGCCTCAATAAAGAACAACCGTGTGTCATTAGGTGGCAAGCTTAGCCTTTGGGCAAGATTACACTTTGAAGCCCTGCTCCAATTACCTGTTTTTAAGCATAAGTGAAGGGGAAATATAAAGGAGAGGGAAAAATACTTATTCTCCCTAAACTGTAGTAACATTCACAGAGAATTAACTATTGCTCTCACAAAGAGACTCTTTTTACAATTCCAATTGTGGAAGGTAAGACTCAACCATGCCCCTATGAAACTGCATTCGGTCACCAAATAGAATCCCATTTTGAACGGAGGAGCAGTGAAAGCCTTTCTCCATATTTGCATCTTGCCACAACATCTGGGAATCTCAGAAGCCTCTGAATAAAGCAGCAAGCCTCCATCTGAGGTGACCTGCTCGCAGCATGGGTCAGTTCATGAGAAAGAGCCTCTTTTGCCACCAGGCCTAATGACAGGGCAGGAAAGCCTGCTGATAAGAAAGCTGTGAGCCTCGGACAATGCACACAAAAGCCTGGTTAAGGAGCACTTCCAAAGTCATTCCTTCCTCACCCCACCAATGACCACTATGCATAAAGGTAGGCGTGGGGTAGAAGGATAAAGATGATCAAGGAAAAGAAACCATAATAAGAGGTTTATCTCTGAATGACTCAAACTTCCCCTTCGCAGATATCAACTCTATTACAACTGATTGCCTTATCTAATCCTAACCCAATTTGGGGGGGTAATTGTTGGCTTGTACAAAGGTAAGCAGGTATTCTTTTCACAGTTGCTTGCTTTTCTCAAGTGTCCAGCTTCTTAAAATCCCCTTTAATAAGTATTATTCACATGTAAGTCAGCTTCTTTTTTTGATGGCATAACAACAGTGTTTTTTGTAATCTGGCCAAGTACAGCCTGTTTCAAAAAACATGTAGCTAACAGGTGTGTTCTCCCTGCCCACAGGTGAAATTGGCCGCAGATCCTCTGATTCCAAAATATGTGTAAGCATTGCCTCCAGGGAGGATTGGGACTCATTTTCTTTTCCTCACTCTGTTTCCCACAGGAAAAGCCAAGTTTGAGAAGGAGAATTTCTTAGATGTCCTGGACGTGCTCATCCTCACCCTCTCTAGAAGATTCAAGGTAGAATCATTTTAGAAAGATTTCATTGTGTGCATGTATTTGTCAGCCTAAGTAATCATAAAAAACATAAAAGAAATTTTAATTCGAGTTTTGAATTAGCAACAGATTCTCCCAAGTTATATAAAAGGACATATAATTATTACTATAGTTACTACTTAGCTATGTAGTGATATGGTTAAAATATGGTTTAGCCTAGTGTTTCTCAAATAAAATATGGTTTAGCCTAGTGTTTCTCAAATTTGAGGATCTGTCAGAATTTTTTCCAGAGCTTGGTTAAAAAAAAACAAAAAAACCCACAGAGGTCCAGATTTTACCCTACTGGGCCTCTATTCTCTATTAACTCTCCAGGTGATTCTGACACACACCAAAGCTTGAGAATTTCTGGTTTAGATAATCTTGAGGAACACAGGCTGACTTCTACCCACATCTCCTAATGGCATGGCATCTTCTATGTCGTAGCTACATCAGTCTTCTTTAGAGAAGAACCTCCCACATGTCAAATTTGTCCTTTCTTAGTTCCATAACCCCAACAATCACTCTGAGAATGGGGAAAACAGGCCAAAGAAGGCCAAAATTTGCAACTATTGTTACGTGTTCCCAAACTTCTATCTCCAGTCCTAGTCACTCTTTCTGGCAATTAGGTTCCAGATATTCGATTTCACCTGGTTGTATGACAGACACTTGAAAAGCTTGTTAAAAACCAAGCTCTTCATCTCTCCCATCAAAAGCCTGCTCTTCCACCTCTAGTCCGTATTTTGGGATATAAAAGAAGAATGAATCATTATCCTTACATAATCTTTTAATCATAAAAATAGTCATGTAAGAACTCTAGCAAATCAATGTAAAACTCCAATATCCTACCAGATTGGAAAGAATTAATGTTTATAGCTAGGCAGACCCAGGTTATAATTTCAACTCACTCATAAAATAAGAATATAGAAAAATTTATCAAAACTTTCTGAGCCTCCTTTTTTCTAAGCCCTAAAATGACGACAATCAAACCCATACCATTTAAGTAATTAAATGAGATTTCTATAAAGTACATAAATGGACATAGTTGACTCACAAACATTATATTTTTTCCCTAAACAGAAAACAAAATCAGAGGTTAAGAAAGTTCAGCTAATCACTAAATTCTTCCTAGACAGATAAAGTTATGACCAGAACATATAGGTAAAGGAAATAGAAAACCCCTATCTCCACAGCCTAGGAAAGAAGAGAAAATAATTTGTGGAGAATGTTTTATTATTGAAGAAAAGGGGTATTGCCTCTTTTCATTCAAGGCCACATCTAAAGAGAATATAAAAGAGACTGGAATCAGATTCCTTAACTAACAATTTTAGTGACAAATTAGCAATGTAAGCACTCCACTATGCACTAAACAGACTGACGCAAATGTGATATATAGTGCCTTATTCATCCTAAAATACAGCATTTTTTATTAGAAAACAAAAAGAACTAAAAAAATTGCTGGGTTACAATTATTAGTATTTTTTTACCCTAGATATATTATTCTGTACTACTATATTTAATCACTAATAATATTCCCATATAGTTGCTATAAATGTGCTGCTTATTTTTAAAATTTCAAATTGTTTCTTTTATTGCCAGCATCTGCCCTCCCAGACAATTAAAAAAACATTTAACTTAAATATTCTCAGTGGGAAAAAACTTCCCAGGAATATACAGTACTTCATTTTACAGCTCACAAAATTTACAAAGCAGGCCTGATAACAACTATGATAACCTCCCCTAAAACAAAGAAATTAGCACACAATGTTTTCAGTCTTCACCGTGGCAAAATGGTGGCTATGTGCCTGTAAGACAAACTGAGATGATTAACTGAATATGCATGGAGATTTAAACCATGTGCCATAAGACATGCATGAATCCAAAAATCCTTTGGTAAACATGAAGATCAAGTTGAATGCATTTTTTAAAGTGGGATCTATTCTCCCTGGAGTCTAAGTCACTCACTGGTAGTTGGTTGGGCGCTTAGGAAATCATATTCATGTCAAATATCTAAATATCAAAAGGTATTATTATGAATCAGGCTGATGGTCTATTCTAAGATGAAAGAAAAGAATCAAAAAGGAAGTATTTTTCAAATATCAGCTATGTGCCATATTAACTTTTCTCTGTTTTCTTACCTCTATGGACTTATGCTGAATCATTACACTCAAACATTATTTCCATTCAATTTGTCATTAAGGAAAACTGAAAGTAATTTACACTTAAACAAATATCCAAAATTTAAATTAATAGTACTTTATGATATTAAAAAGCATCCCAACTGCAAGACATTTTCACAGATATTGCCACATTTCTACTTCACTAAAGAAGGGGCCAAGGGTGCGAAGTATCCCTCAACAAGAGCAGAATTAAGTAGTAATAAGGAAATGGAATCAATATGCTGATCACTTTACAAGCATGGATTTTTATCTTACCAGCAACCTCGTAAGTACTCATATCTATTTTATAGATGAGGAATACAGACTTAGAGCGACATAAGTGATTGATATTGTCAGGATGTAAATCTTCATTTGTCTTCAGAATTCTTCTCCTACGTCATGTTACTTTGCCTCTAAGCCATGTTCAAGCCAAAAGAGATAAAAACAAAGGAAAAAAAAGAAAAAGAGAATCTTGCAAATACTTTAGACTTACCAGGTTAAACTCAAAAGATAACTCCTCTCAAAACTTCTCTGATTATCTCTCTTTACCTCTCTTAACCTGAGGATTGTATCTTACACACTTGCTACATGCTGCAGAGTCTAAGAAAACAAGGAGCACATTGTTCCTGCCCTCAGGAGTTTACAATCTAGGAAGGAGGAAAAAGACTACCATTGAATGGACTCTAATATTGAAGCATACATTTATTTATTTATTTATTTATTTATTTGAGACAGAGTCTCGCTCAGTTGCCCAGACTGGAGTGCAGTGGCACCATCTCAGCTCACTGCAAGCTCCACCTCCTGGGTTCACGCCATTCTCCTGCCTCAGTGAAGCATACATTTAAATAAATGCTAAGTGAATTAGAATATTAAAGGCAAAACAAAATATAAACTAGAAAAAAATGTAACCTTGAAAGGAGGATCTATTTTACAAGCAGAAAACAGTGAAGAACACATAGAGAAAAAAACGCAATAGATCTGTGACTTTCTTTTCATGTTATGGGTCATTCTTTACGAATTCCCTTTCCATAATCTGTGTCAAGTTTTCTATTGGGCTGCTCCTTTCTCTGCTGATTTGTAAGAGATTTTTATATTTTAACGACACTCTCACTTTGTATACCATTTACCTTGGAAATATTTTTTCCTAGATGGCTCTTTGCTTTTGAATTTTGATCACAGGTTTTGTATTTTATTTTTAATATTTATGTTATGTTTAATCTTTTACATTATCCTTTATTCCTTTCCTTTATTATTTTCACTTAAACCTTTTTCATTTTGATATTACATAATTATTTCAGACATTTCTCAAGTATTTTTAAGAACTTTTTTACATTTAACATTTGAATTAATCTGAAAGTTATTTTGGTATTTGTTGGAAAGTAAAAATTCAACTTAAATATTTTCCAGCATTGTATTCACAACTATTACATGAAATATAATTTATGCGTTGATTTGAATTGCCGTCAATACTTTATGTTCAATTCTTGTATATAGCAAAATTTCTTAGCCTTCTATTCTCTTCCATTCCAGCTCTTCCTTCTCCTCCTACTCTTCTCCTTCTTTCTTTACCTTCTTTTCCTGTCCTTTTTCTCCTTTCCTTCCTTATAGTTACCTCACACCATGGAAAGTTTGTGAGCTATAGAATAATACAATTAGTCCTGATCTCCAGAATTAAGACTTGTGCCGGTAACAGGAAAGAGAAAACTAACAACAGTCTGGTTGAGGGTAGCAGTGAAAGAGAAAGGAGAGGGACATAGGAGACACTGTGGAAAGAGAACCTGCCTGATGAAGCAATCATCTAATGGTAGGACACAGCCAGAATACCTCACAGACATAGAAAACCGTTGTCAGCATGGGTGGTAGTATTCATACGAAATAGGGGATCCCAGAAGAAGAAGGTGAGTAGGAGGAAGACAGAGATGATGAGATTTGGAAGGGACTGATAATTGGCCCCTCACCTTACAATCCTAAATGAATAAATCCTCACCTGTGCCTATGACTTTGAGAATGGTGCCATGTCAACAGATAAAGTAGCATTTAATATGGAAAAGAAAAGCTTGCTGTGCCTATGATTTAACTGAAAAATCCATTAAATTAGTAAGAAAATAAATATCCACACACTTTGGGAAAATCCCAGTGTCATTTTACTTACTAGACAACTTGGAAAAATATACAAAGAGACAATATGTGTATTATCAATAATGATATTACAGATTTTAGTTTAGTTTTTCCTTCTTTCTATGAAATACAAAATACTATGAAACAAACAAACAAAGCAGCATCCTGTTTTGAACACCATTGAACTTTTGAAAACTAGTTGTTTCTCTTATTTAATGATATGCTATAGACTCTACAGGAATTATTTCTCTTGGGAGGTTGTTGAATCTGTTAAGATTATCAGGACGCTGTATAGAAAAGGAGCATCTAGAGCCCTTTTTAGTCTTCCAAACCATTCACTTCCATTGGCACTCTACTTCCCAGGTCTCTTACACATCACCAAATTCAATACTCTTCAACGAAGTCTCTCCTTCACTGAGCAGCTGCAAAGCAAAAGGAAGGATAAAGTGGGATCAGCAGACAACAGGGAGGGATAAAGGCTTGACTAACTAAGGCTTTGGGCTGGATGAAACTGTTATCTCTATTTGGTGAACCAGATGTTAACATTCCATGCTCATTCGGAGAGAGTTCTTTGACTGATTTGACAAAGGTTTTTGAGGAATGTAATTCATTAGTATGAAGACTTTGTCATGGTTCAGTACCTACAAAGCTCTCTTCATTGTGTAATCCTGACTGCACCTATGCAATAGTCCCTGATTTATTACAGTAAATTGTTTTGTCTCTAAAAGGGAATTCTTCATTTACACACAGGCTCATGGATGAAAGCAGAAGTTTGTTTTTTTTTTTTTTTTCCTTTCTTCATCTTCATTCTCTGGTATTGACAAATTTCTCTATTTTTGCATGGATTTCTTTCTCTTTTTAAAGTTTTTTTAACTTTTCTTTTAGTTTCAGGGGTACATGTGCAGGTTTATTTATTTTAGTTTCAGGGTTACATGTGCATGTTTATTATTATATTTTAGTTTCAGAAGTACATGTGCAGGGATTTAGGTAAACTGGATATCAGAGGGGTTTGGTATACAGATTATTTCATAACCCAGGTAATAACCATAATACCTGACAGATTTTTTCCTGATTCTCACCCTCCTCTCACCCTCAACCCTCAAGTAGGCCCTGGTGTCTGTTGTTTTCTTCTTTGTGTCCATACATTCTCATAGTTTAGCTTTAACTTATAAGTGAGAACGTGTAGTATTTGGTTTTCTGTTTCTCAGTTTGTTTGCTTAGGATAATGTCCCCCAGCTGCGAAGGACATTATCTCATCTTTTTTATGGTTGCATAGTATTCTATGTTGTATAGGTACCACATTTTCTTTATCCAGTCTACCACTGATAGGCATTTAGGATGATTCCATGTTTCTTTTCTTCTTCCTTCTGTACAATTTCTACAATTCTCATATATATATATATATGGAGAGACAGAGAGAATGAATGAGAACTGTAGAAATGAGAATATACATATGTGTGTATGTACATAAAAGTATGTATATATGGTTTTTGCTTGGTTTTCCTTTCCACTTACTACCTGATTCATCCTCCCACTTTCCCTGAAGCATTATGACAAACAAAAATATAACTTAACTATAGCCAGGCCTGTGCCCTGGTGCCAGTTTTGTCCCTAATTAACCATGTGACCTTGAACCAGTGCTCTCATTATTAATTAAGGTGATGAGACTTTGCCCCTTTCATCTGTAGACTTCTATTATACTAAGTCAAAAAATATTTTAAAAATCAACAAATGTACTCAAATTTTTATCAATTTGATGTGAATCACGAAATGAGTGAGAGCTGCACCATTCAATATACTAATCACTAGCAATATATGGCTATTTAAATTTAAATAATTTAACGGTAGTTAAGATAAGGGAAATAAAATGAAACAACTTTAAAAATCCAACTCCTCAGTTACACTAACCACATTTCAAATGCTCAACAGCTGTATTTGGCTAGTGATTAACATCCTAGACAGCTCAGAATGTAAAAAATTTACTCCACCATAGAAAGTTCTAATGGGCAGAACTTAGTTAGAACAACCTTGTATATATAAGCCACCATGCAAAATACAGACACAGAAATCACAATCCTTGCCTTCCAGAGCTTACAACTGTGATAATCAGACATATTTGCAGTATTAAACAAATATATTGTTCAAGACTGCATTAGAGAGGATGTCAAAATGTAGGGTATAACCTGCTTTCTTATCTGAGATCTCCTTTATCTTCAGTTCCCACATCTATAAAATGAGGAGACTATACTAAAAGATCTCTACATTTACTTCTGGTTTTAACTGATTAAGATTGTGTAACTGTCTGAATTTATAGGCTTACATGATTGCCTTTAGTTTAAGAAAATGGTAGAATTTAAACTGGATCTTGGACAATGTTTAAGGTTGGGATAAGTGGAGAAATGAGGACAGGGCATAAGTAGAGGATGGTGAATAAAAGACAGAATGTACCAAAAAAGGTTTAAGGTCACCCAAGAATGTCCCCTGATGATGAGGGTTTTAAGTAAGATTTAAATGATTGTCAGTCAGGAATGGAGCTTTCTCCTTAGGTTGGAAAGTTGACTACTAAAGTCTTCAACTCTAAGTATCTTCAATCATGAAAGCATGAATTGGTATACATGAATGCTGTTAGAGTTGAGGGCATATGAAAAAAAGAGGTGGCAGAAATTATTACTTAGGTTATGGTATCCAAATCAATATAAAGTGAGCTTGGATCTTTCACCCAATTAAGGGTGGGCAAGTGAGGAGGGGAGAACCATGGCAAAATACAATTGGAGCAATCTCAAGAACAAACAATGTAAGAAAATCATTAAAGTCTCTTTATCATGTTGAAGAATTTTATGAAGATAAGAATGCAATAATTTTGACTATCTGAAATTATTACAACTTCCCCAGATAAACCTAAACTTCATCTTAGACTAGATTGGCTCAGAATCTCCTGCAGCATAGCTCTGGTCTCAGGGCTGAAACCATGATCAAGTCATTCCAGAGAGCAAAATAGTGTACTTTCCCAAGGACAAAGAATGTGTTCCCTGCCTACTTAGAAGGATGTTCTTTCAACATGTCTACCTTCCTGGTGGGAACCAGTTTCAGAAGTCTGTAATCTCATCAAAGGAAGCCAAGTGGCAGAGACGTTCTCCACAGGGGAAGCTAATCAGCAAGGCTTCCTTTCTTTCTTCCAAGCCCTTTTCATTGGTTTTCCTGGGGGCTAGCTTCCAACCTATTGAAATTTCCCTTGATCCCTCTCAACCTTCAATTAGATTTGAGGAAATGGCAGTTTCCCTTGGTTTCTTTCTTTCTTTTAAACTCATCCTTTTGAATCAAAGAGTTTAGCTAGGTCTTAGCACAATGCAACGTCAGTCTGACATTTGGCATTTTGCAGTCTTGGACATTGGTTTGAAACAGGTCTGGCTGCAGAGGCCTCCAAAATGGTTACCTTCATTAAGAAAATTTTCCTTCGGGTCCTGCAAAACAGTCTGGACACACGGTAATCTGATGCCCTCAGGACGTATCAAGAATCTTCAAGAGTGACAGCCACATAGAGTTGGTTATACCCCAGCTAAATGAGTCAAAGCTGAAACTCTCCATCTCATAAGGAAAGGGCACTGCGGCAAACCTCAGGAGTTTAAGCAAGTTTTTTAGCGAGGTAATTGAGTCTGTAAACTTTTAGTCCCAAATCCACAGGGAAGTTCTAACAATCCATTTTCTTATACTAAAGAATGTGGCAATCCTGACTTCTGTTTTCATTCTTTCTTTTTCTGAAACATGGCCTTGCTCTATCACCCAGGCTGGAGTGCAGTGGTGTGATCATGGCTCACTGCAGCCTTGACCTCCCAAGCTCATGTGATCCTCCTTCTTCAGCCTCCCAAGTAGCTGGGACCATAGGCACATGCCACCATGCCCAGCTAATTGTTTGTACTTTTTTCATAGAGAAGAACTTTCACCATTTTGCCCAGTTTGGTCTCAAACTCCTGACGTCAAGTGACTTGCCCAGCTCGGCCTCCCAAAGCGCTGAGATTACAGGCGTGAGCCACCATGCTCAACCAGTCTTTTTTCTTTTCTTTCCTTACCTTCCCAACCGATCAGAGAGGCACAGAAATACTCCTCTCCAAAGAAAATGGGAGATCAATGGCTTCTCAACTAAACACAGATACATGCTTAGTAGGTGAGCCATAATTTCCCTACCCCTACCCTGACGATTACTAAGCTTTGGCTTCCATTTGCACACATGTTGGAGAACCAAGCTGGATGTCATTTTAGAAGCCATGAGACAGATTGCTAGGAGCTTAGTAAAGGAAAAGAGGAACTTCTGAGCTTGTCCTTTCGAATTTAAAGGCTCAGGTTTTAAAATATTACTTTGATAAACTGGTGCTGCACAATAGCCATTTTGATACTACTTTCAGGTCAACAATTGACCAAGTCATCGCTTTCTTTAGTCAGTGAGGAAGTGGTTGCACAGAATTACGGCAATGCACATTTTGTTCCTTGTTATAAATAAAACATGGAATTGTACTGTTTCTGACATGAATTATCCTGCTACCTGCTATAATGTCAGTTATATTACAATGCAGTTAGCCAAAACAGACCAGACATTGTGTGGCTTCAAAGATCTTATTTTGCTTTTCCAGCTCCTATTTAAGTAAGGCACTAGCTAAAACCTGAGAAGGAGAAGCACTTCTGAGTTGGTCTACAGAGACCGCCCACTTAATTATAATCTTTATAACCAGCACTGAGGGAATGTAACACTATCCCAGTCACACAATAAATGTTAGCAATAGCCAAATGATAAAGTTTCCTTTCCTTCTTCTTACAGTTTTCCCAATGCTAGAAAGGCATCCTGTTTTGTGTACTTTTTTTAAACAATGTGTTTAAGACATTTAAATAGTCCTATTTACAAGCACCAGAAAACAGCTGTTCAGCTCGAAGTTATAGATCTTGGAGGGTGCCAGGGAAATAAACACTGAACCTCATAATGATTCTCATAAACAGTTGAATTTATCTCTTGGCAACTTTTCACAACACCTTTAGCAAACAGGGCACCCATGCGTGAAACAGAAATAATTAGGCACATGCCCCTAAGTGACAGGCTTTCGCATGCACAAGAAAGGCAGTCTTTTTATTCGCCCACTCCCTGCTGTCCACCAACGCCTCCACCTTCAATGCCATTTGAGAAATCAATCAGTATACAGGTTCAAACAAATCTCACTCCCTCCAGAAACTCTTTTTTGCACCTCAGGATAAAGTTTTTCTCCTGGCAAATCCTCTAAAGATTCATTCCAAATGCATGTGGGCTGTGTCAGCAAAAACACCATGTCATTCTCTTGTTTGTTCAAACAAAAGATATGGTCTTCTAAGGTTCTTCTTCCTAGCACTGCATGGGAGTGGTCCATAATACCTTCTGGATTTAAAAATTTCTTGAGGCCCTGTACATGTCCGTAGATATTGTTTGTGGAGAATCAGTAGTTAGGCTGAAACTCTCAGCTCCAGATGGTGGCCTCACTTCCTAGACAACATCCAACTTCAAACTGGACAAGTAGTTCTCCAATCATTCTAATTTCTGGACTAATATAGAAGAGTTGACATAAAATTCATAGGACAGGAGTCCTCCCATTTAAGTGGAGCTTATTATACTGGAAGTATCAAATGACATCAAAATTCTACACGAGTGCTACAGCAGGAAATATCAGGCTTTCCATCACCCAAATTAGTACTGTCAGTGAGTGATAACAAAGGTAGGGGGTGTGTGGGGTAGCGCTCCAGCTGAACCATGCTCACTTTTTTAAGAAGAAGAGTCAGCTTTTAGGGGACTTAAGATTTTCCAAGAAAATTTGTGAATTATCTTGAATGTACATATACTACCCCAAACCCCTAGACCTAGTGTTAAACATTTTGTGAAGAGTGTTTTCTACTATTCCATTGGTATTTTAAGAGTCTCCCGTCCGGGCTAACATGGATGGCCCTAATATATGCAATGATGACCATCTTATTGATGAGATGGGCATTAGCAAGCGTTTGGGCTTTCTGTCACAACACAGTTTGGGGAAATCTCTGAATCCCAGCCCGGATATCATTTAGCTAAAAATGAGTCTCTGTTGCTCATGCAAAACACTTTGTCCTTTTTGTGATTTCATCATGAACATACAAAGTGAGGTAAGTGATATTATCCAATTTTTCTGAAGAATGTGCTAAGACTTATAAAGGCTAAGTGATATATCTGAGGTTGCATAATTACTAAGTGTCACAGCTCAGTGTGTTCTTCCACTTTGGTACTGCTTCAGTAGCTCACACAGGCTTCAATATACTACACTTGAAGGTTTAGATTGTTCCTGGCACACGATAAGTACATAATGAATAACTAGCACATATTCTTTCACATATACTTAATATTAATGTTTCTTATTCTTTCTCCGTTTACCTCCCTGCCTTGATGTTTTTTACATCCCTTAATTATATCAGCTTTTAGATGATAAATAAAACTATTCTATATAAAACTGTTAACCTTATTGTTAACAATAAAGCAGTGCTACTTGGCATTTATTAAAGCCCTAGGAGGTGTGCCATTCACTTGACATATATTATTTCTCTGCCTCATAACTACACTTATATATGTAAAAATGGGCTCAGAGAGCTGACTCAGCCACAATAAATGGTAAAATACGGACTCAGGTTCACCAGAGTGGCATTGCTTAAGGTGCTATATGTACTTACGTTTCACAAGTTTATGTGGCTGTGCAAGTAATTCTGTTTTTTTTAAATTATAGAATTAGAAAAGAAAGTGTTCCTGAGTAAGTAAAATTGTGAGTTTGTTTAGCAATGTTTATTTTAACATAGATGATTAGACAATCTAATAGAGATGTCTTGTAGGTCATTGAGAAGACGTCAAAGAGAGAGTGACAGGACGTCTTTGAGACCCATACTAACATGAAGTTGAAGCTTTAAGATGCTATTAATTTTTATTGAGCAACATTTATTGAAAATGAAGGCTGAAAATACAGAGTTGGGAACTATCCAAAGTTATGAAAACGTTGGAAAGGAAAATATTTCTTGAGTGCCAACAATCTACTACATGTTAACCCTTTCTTTCCACACAAAACACGTGTAGGCTGATATAATTTTCCCATTTTACAGATTGGAGCAAAATTGAGACCATTATATGCACCTTAACATAATAATATAGGTTATTTTATAGGTTATTAAACAATAATATATAATATATGGCTGACTCCAAAACACATCATCTTTCTCCTAAATCCCTTTATTCCAAAGGATGAAGGAAAGACAACAAAGGAGGCAGAAAAGAATGATGACAAATATAAGAAAACACCCAAAATAATACAAGATCATGAAATTCAGGGATGAGATTCTGAGGGAGGAAATGATAACAGTGTTGAATGCTGCAGAGATGTTACAAAATGAAGATAATGAGCTAAAGCCACATTTTAGTAGTTTGATCTGTCTACAGTTGGAATACCTCCTCTGATTAATATATCACACAATAATACTAAGTTCCAGGGTTTTGTCTCTATTTATGGCAGTTAAACTTCGCTGAGTGCATCAGGCAGACTGTAATCCTCCTGAGGCTCACCATCAAGACCATGTTTGCTCTTGTTTAAAGGGTAAAGCAAGCCATTTTGGATAGGTAAGCAGAAATCCATCACCAATTCTGGAAAATACATACAAATAGTACGTCTTGCTAAATCTTTGTGTAGAAATGGCTAAAAATACAGTCTTAACTTAAACATGTAGACAAATTTAAAAAGCAACCTGTTGCATCCACCCTCTTAGGATATATGTCATTTAGAACACTCTTGGCTGCAACGAGAATATTCAAATTAAATTTGGCTTAATAACAGCATTTATCACCTCCATAAGAAGAAGTCTAGATACAGGACAGTTACTGGGTTAGTTCAGTTGCTTGACAATGCAGTCAAGGACACAAATATTTCTATTTTCCCAGTCTGCCGTCCTTGGTATGATGGCGGTCTCTCCCCTCAGGATGGCAAAATGGCTGTGGTAGTTCTAGGCAGACACAATCTCTTCTAGAAAAAATAAAACGAGAACTTACCTCTCATAAGGTTCTTTTCAGTAAAGATGTGTGCTTTTTCCAGAAAGTTTTCAGTTAACATCCCTTCCAGTCTCCTAGACCATGTCATGTGGCCATACTCTAGCTCTATAGCTCATCGGCTCTCAAACAGCAGTGATTCTGCCATCCCCACCCCCAGGAACACTTATCATGTCTGGAGATACTTTTTTCACAACTAAAGGAGTGCTACTGGCATGTAGGTGCATAGAGGCTAAGGATGCTGCTAAAACATACTAAAATGCACAGGGCAGCTCTCCACAACAAAGAATTATCTGGCCCAAAATGTCAACAGTTCTAACATGGAGAAATCTCATTTCTGGATATTAAAAAAAAGACTGTGAAATAAACAGAAGCCTTCATCTGGCATTTTGGAGGCAAGTTGTCAAAACAAGGAAGACCTTTTGGGAAGAACAGCTTTAGGGTAAGCAAGCAACACTGTCCACTACAGCATAACAAGAGCCTTCTCTAAGGAGTTAGAAGAGGAAATGGAAAGTGCCAAGCAAAGATAATTTGCATAGAAAGAACTAAAGTTTGGTGGGTTTGGTGGGATGGAAGATGACAAAGTAAGAGAGTGAAAGCAATAAAGAAATGGTCTTTAGGTTAAATATTGAGACTTACTGTGTTCTTCAGTCTAGTTCAACTCATACATTAAACTTGCCAACAAACAAGGCATATTCCCACTAATAAGTCTGTTATAAATTGAATTGTGTCCCCAACAAATTCATATGAAGTGCTAACCTCCAGTAGGTTAGGATGTAACTTTATTTGGAGGATAGCATTTTTACAGAGGTAATCAGGTTAAAGTATGATAATTAGAGTGTGTTCCATATCCAATATGACTAGTGTTCTTATAAAAACAGAACATTTGGACACAGGGATATGCAAAATGGAAAACAATGTGGAGACACCCAGAGTAGATGGACATCCACAAGACAAAGAGACTGGTGTGGAACACATCCTTCCCTTGAAGCCCTTAGAAAGAGCCAACCCTGCCAACACTTTGATTTCAGATTTCTAGCCTGGAACTCTAAAGCAACAAATTTCTGTTAAGCCACTACTTTGTGGTTCTTTGTTACAACAGTCTTAGAAAATGAATACAGAATTGTAGAATAGAACAGCTTTTGACTTTGACAGCAAACCTCTTTGGTGGAATAGCTGAAGGAAACTGGTTTCTTTGGCACTAGACATGGATAAAGATGCTCAGCACACATATTAAGTGAAAAAAGGGAATGGCATTGGCTAAATTATCTGTGGCTACTGTTCTATGAAGACTGTAAGAAATAGTTTGAAATCACTGTCACTGTTGAAATACTAATGCAATTGAGTGCAGTTTTATATTTTTTCATGTAGTCAGGAGTTTACCGATTTGGTAAAAACAAAGTCTGAACACCCAGGTTTAATCCTAGCTCCACAAGTGAATTTGGGAATAATAGTTAACCTCTCTGAATTTCAATAATTCTTATATCATAGAATTAGTAGCTATGAAGTCCTTGGCCTAGTTCCTGGCACAGAATACAACTTTAAGAAGTAAGTATAATTATCAGATTAAAAACCTAGCACAGAGTATGGTAGTATGTGGTATAAACCTAACAAATGTAAATTTGGCCTACTTAATTTTATTTTTAAAATTAAAATTAATTGAGTACTTTTGCCAATGCTAACGGACTTATGTTAGCACTTTTACATGCCTACATAATTTCATGTAATTATCATAAGCCTTTAGAAATGAATGCATGATTATTAGCAATATTATCTTCATTATACAAATGTAAAACATTGAGGCTTACGGTAAGGTAATTCAGCCGAGACAACTTAGCTAATAAGTAGAAGAATCAGGCCAGGAATCCAGATCTATTTGACCCCTTCACCCATGTTTTAAACCACAACTAGAATGGCCCTCTAGTTGTTTTCTTATCAAAGAAAGGGCAGAATGATTCCACAGCTATACTTGGACCTGTAACAAATGCAAATTATCAGGAACTGTGGTGTTTATCTGAGCACATGGGGTTTTGATGTTGGCTTGTCAAGCTGTATTTCTTACATGCTGAGATGTAACAAAGACGACCTGGTATTTAGACTTTGGGGAAAACTTACAATTAGATTTAGGAAAACATGAGAATTGTCTCCTGTGACATTTCCCAAACAACCAGGCTAGTAACTTGGTGGGTTGAGGAGGTGGGGGAGGAAAGCATTATGAGCTGAGCCAGAAAGGTCTCCTCCTTCCACCCCCTCACCCTCTGGTGCAAAAAGCACAGCTGGTGCATCCGCCTGCCTTCCAGGCAATATGCTTTTTCTGACCTCAGGCTTTGGTCCATATGGCATTGCCTCCCTGAGTAGAAAAGGAAAGCTGTTTTGTTTTATTGAAAATTAGGTTCATGTATACAAAGTGTTGACAAAGACATTACAGGAGTAAGAACCATTTGTTAACTTGTAACTTAGCAAGATACCCTAAGAGAAGGAAAGAGGGCTTCAAGGAGGCAGGAAAGCGCCTGCTTGCTGTTTGCTCAATACAAATCCCCAAAAATCCACTGCCTGAAACCAGACAAAAGACAAATTACATGGCTGTTGAGGAGTTTATTTTTCCAGATGGCCAACCTGAAGCCATAGTTCACTGGCAAATTAAGTCTCCTACTACAGAGAAATCCAGCCCGATCATGTGTTTAATAAAAAGTGCAAAGTGTGCTTCTCAAATGAATAATTTAGAAATGTGGAATATGCCAAAGAGAGTGTAAAAAGGGGAGCCCTTGGCACATATTGGGTTTTATCTTTCATGTTTGGTCAGTTGGTAAGTAAACAAAGCTGTGAAAACAACTTCCCAATTGTCCCAGGGACTCCTGCTCATATTGGTCTAATTCTTTAAAGACAGCTCTTGCCCTACTACCTCATGAAGATCAAGCTGTTTCTATTTCTGGATACCCAATGAGCTGATCTTTTTTAATGTTTCCCTATGGCGAGGAAATATACATGGATATATGATATATAGGATAGATTTTATATATATATCCTATATATGATACATAATTATTTATAAATATATATTATAAATATAAATATATATAATTATTATATATATATATACAAAATCTGTCATTCTTTTGCCTTTGCATCCTCATAGCTTAGCCCCCACTTATGAGCGAGAACATACAATGTTTGGTTTTCCATTCATGAGTTACTTCACTTAGAATAATAGTCTTTAATTCCATCCAGGTTGCTGCAAATGCCATTATTTCATTCCATTTTATGGCTGAGTAGTGTTCCATGGTGTATATACATATATATATATACCACATTTTCTTTATCCAGTCATTGATTGATGGGCATTTGGGCTGGTTCTGTATTTTTGCAATTGCAAATTTTACTGCTATAAACATACATGTGCAAATATCTTTTTTGTATAATGACTTCTTTTCCTCTGGGTAGATACTCAGGAGTGAGATTGCTGAATTAAACGTAGACCTACTTTTAGTTTCGTTTGTTTGTTTTTGAGATGGAGTCTCGCTCTGTTGTCTAGGCTGGAGTGCAGTGGCATGATCTCTGCTCACTGCAAACTCCACCTTCCCAGATTCAAGCCATTCTCCTGCCTCAGCCTCCCGATTAGCTGGGACTACAGGTACCCGCCACCATGCCTGGCTAATTTTTTGTATTTTTAGTAGAGACGGGATTTCACCTTGTTAGCCAGGATGGTCTCAATCTCCTGACCTCATGATCTGCCCACTTTGGCCTCCCAAAGTGCTGGGATTATAGGTGTGAGCCACCAAGCCCAGCCAACTCTTAGTTATTTAAAGAATCTCCACACTGTTTTCCATAGAGGTTATACCAGTTTACATTCCTGCCAACAGTATAAAAGTGTTCCCTTTTCCCCATATCCATGACAAAATCTATTATTTTTTTATTATGGCCATTATTTCAGGAGTAAGGTGGTATCACATCATGATTTTGATTTGATAATTGGTGATGTTATGCGTTTTTCCACATGCTTGTTTGTCATTTGTATAACTTCTTTTGAGAATTGTCTATTCATGTTCTTAGCCCACTTTTTGATGGGATTGTTTGTTTTTTTCTTGCCGATTTGTTTGAGTTCTTTGTAGATTCTGGATATTAGTCCTTTGTCAGATGTATAGATTTTGAAGATTTTCTCCCACTCTGTGGGTTTTCAGTTAATGCTGCTGACTGTTTCTTTTGCTGTGCAGACGCTTTTAATTAACTCCCATCTATTTATCTTTGTTTTTGTTGCATTTGCTTTTGGGTTCTTGGTCATAAAGTCTTTGCCTAACCCAATGTCTAGAAAGGTTTTTCTGATGTTGTCTTCTAACATTTTTATGGTTTCAGGTTTTAGATTTAAGTCTTTGATCCATCTTGAGTTGATTTTTGTATAAGGTGAGAGATGGGGATCTAGTTTCATTCTTCTACATGTGGCTTGCAAATTATCCAGAACCATTTATTGAATAGGGTGTCCTTTCCCTACTTTTTGTTTTTGTTTGCTTTGTTGAAGATCAGTTGAATGTAAGTATTTGGCTTTATTTCTGCATTCTTCATGCCATTTCATTGGTCTATGTGCCTATCTTTATACTAGCATCATGTTGTTTTGGCTACTGTGGCGTTGTAGTATACTTTGAAGTTGGGTAATGTGATGTCTCCAGATTTCTTCTTTTTGCTTCATCTTGGCATGGCAGTGTGGGCCCTTTTTGGGTTCCATATGAATTTTAGGATACTTTTTTCTAGTTCTGTGAAGAATGATAATGGTATTTTGATGAGAATTGCATTGAATTTGTAGATTGCTTTTGGCAGTGTGGTCACTTTCACGATATTGATTCTACACATCCATCAGCATGGGATATGTTTCCATTTGTTTGTGTCATTTATGATTTTTTCAGCAGTGCTTTGTAGTTTTTCTTGTAGCGGTCTTTCACATCCTTGGTTAGGTATATTCCTACATTTTTTGTTTGTTTGTTTTGCAGTTATTGTGAAATGGGTTGAGTTCTTAATTTGATTCTCAGCTTGGTTACTGTTAGTGTATAGCATAGCTACTGATTTGTGTACATTAATTTTGTATCTTGAAACTTTGCTGAATTCATTTACCAGTTCTAGGGCTTTTTGAATGCGTCTTTAGGGTTTTCTAGCTATACGATCATATCATTAGCAAACAGCGACAGTTTGACTTCCTCTTACCAATTTGGATGCCCTTTATGTCCTTCTCTTGTCTGAGTGCTCTGGCCAGGACTTCCAGTAATATATTGAATGAAAGTGGGCACCCTTGTTTTGTTACAGTTCTCAGGGGGAATGCTTCCAACTTTTCCCCATTCAGTATAATGTTGGCTGTGGATTTGTCGTTGATGGCTTCTGTTACCTTAAGCTATTTCCCTTCTACGCTGATTTTGCTGAGGATTTTAATCATAAAGGAATGCAGGATTTTGTTAAATGCTTTTTCTGCATCTATTGAGATGATCATGTGATTTTTGTTTTTAATTCTTTTTATGTGGTGTATCACATGTGTTGACTTACGTATGTTAAACCATCCCTGCATCCCTAGAGTGAAACCCACTTGATCATGGTGGATTATCTTTTTGATATGCCGTTGGATTCAGTTCGCTAGTATTTTGTTGAGGATTTTTGCATCTATATTCATCAAGGATATTGGTCTGTAGTTTTCTCTTTTTGTTATGTCCCTCCTTGGTTTGGATATTAGGGTGATACTGGTTTCATAGAATGATTTAAGGAGGATTCCTTCTTTCTCTATCCTGTGGAATAGTGTCAACAAAATTGGTACCAACTCTTCTTTCAATGTCTAATAAAATTCAGCTATGAATCCGTCTGGTCCGAGACGTTTTTTTGTTGTTGGCAGTTTTTAAACTACCATTTCAATCTTGCTGCTTGTTATTGGTCTGTTCAGAGATTCAATATCTTCCTGGTTTAATCTGGGAGAGTTGTATATATATTTCCAGGAATTTATCCATCTCCTCTAGCTTTTCTAGTTTATGTGTGTGAAGGTGTTCATAATAGCCTTGAATTATCTTTTGTATTTCTGTTGTATCAGTTGTAATATCTCCCATTTTGTTTCCAATTGAGTTTATTTGGATCTTCTCTCTTATTTTCTTGGTTAATCTCACTAATGGTCTCACAATTTTATTTATCTTTTCAAAGCACCAGCTTTTTTTTCTCATTTCCCTTTTATATTTTTTTGTTTCAATTTCATTTAGTTGTACTCTGATCTTAATTATTTTTTTCTTCTGCTGGGTTTGGGTTTGGATTGTTCTTGCTTCTCCAGTTCCATGAGGTGTGACTTTAGATTGTCTATTTGTGCTCTTTCAGACTTTTTGCTTCAGTTCCATGAGGTGTGACTTTAGATTGTCTATTTGTGCTCTTTCAGACATTAATGCTACGAACTTTCCTCTTAGCAACACTTTTGCTGTATTCCAGAGGCTTTGATAGGTTGTGTCACTATTATCATTCAGTTCAAATAATTTTTTTTAATTTCCATCTTGATTTCATTGTTGACCCAATGATCATTCAGGAGCAGGTTATTTAATTTCCATGTACATTGTTTTGAGGACTTCTTTTGGAGTTGATTTTCAATTTTATTCCACTGTGGTCTGAGAGAGTACTTGATGCAATTTTGAATTTTTAAAATTTATTGGGACTTGTTTTGTGGCCTGTTATATGATCTGCCTTGGAGAATGTTCCATGTGCTGATGAATAGAATGTATATTCTGCAATTGTTGGGTAGAATGTTCTGTAAATATCTGATTAGTTCATTTCTTGTAGTGTATAGTTTAAGTCCATTGTTTGTTTGTTGACTTTCTGTCTTGATGATCTGTCTAGTGCTGCCAGTGGAGTATTAAAGTCCCCACTATTACTGTGTTGCCATCTATATCATTTCTTAGGTCTAGTAGTAACTGTTTTATAAATTTGGAAGCTCCAGTGTTGGGGACACATATATTTAGGATTGTGATATTTTCCTGTTGAACTAGTCCTTTTATCATTATAAAATGTCCCTCTTTTATCATTATAATGTCCCTCTTTGTCTTTTTTAACTGCTTTTGCTTTAAAGTTTGTTTTGTCTAATAAGATTAACTACTCTTGATCACTTTTGGTGTCCATTTGCACAGAATTTCTTTTTCCACCCCTTTACCTTAACTTTGTATGGGTTCTTACGTGTTAGACAAGTCTCTTGAAGACAGCAGATACTTGGTTGGTGAATTCTTATCCATTCTGCCATTTTGTATCTTTTAAGTGTAGGATTTAGGCCGTTTACATTCAATATTAGTATTGAGATGTGAGGTGCTATTCTATTCATCATATTATTTGTTGCCTGAATGCCTTGTTTTTTTTTTCATTGTGTTATTGTTATATAGGTCCTGTGAGATTTATGCTTTAAGGAGGTTCTATTTGTTGTGTTTCCAGGATTTGATTCAAGATTTAGAGCTCCTTTTAGCAGTTCTCGTAGTGCTGGCTTGGTGGTGGCAAATTCTGTCAGCATTTGTTTGTCTGGAAAAGACTGTATCTATCCTTCATTTATGAAGTTTAGTTTTGCTGAATAGAAAATTCTTAGTTGATAATTGTTTTGTTTAAGGAGGGTAAAAATAGGACCCCAGTCCCTTCTAGCTTGTCGTGTTTCTGCTGAGAAATCTGCTGCTAATCTGATAGGTTTTCTTCTATAGGTTACCTGATGTTTTTGCCTCACAGCTCAGAAGATTCTTTCCTTTGTCTTGACTTTAGATAAACTGATGACAATGTGCCTAGGCAATGATCTTTTTGCAATGAATTTCCCAGGTGTTCTTTGAGCTACCTGTATTGGGATGTCCAGGTCTCTAGCAAGGCCAGGGAAGTTTTCCTCAATTATTCCCTCAAACATATTTTCCAAACTTTTAGATGTCTCTTCTTCCTCTGGAAAACCAATTATTCTTAGGTTTGGACATTTAGCATAGTCCCAAACTTCTTGGAGGCTTTGTTCATTTTTTAAAAATCTTTATTGTTTGTCTTCGATGGATTTGGTTAATTCAAAAGCCTTGTCTTTGAGCTCTGAAGTTCTTTCTTTTGCTTGTGCAATTCTGTTGCTTGTTCAACTCTTTTGCTGAGATGTTCCCATGCAGTTTGCATTTCTCTAAGTGTGTCCTTGATTTCCAGAGGTTGTGACTGTGTTTTATTAATGCTATCAATTTAACTGAAAATTTTTCCTTTCATATCCTGTATCATGTTCTTGATTTTTTTAATTTGGGCTTCACCTTTCTCTGGTACCTTTTTAATTAGCTTAATAATCAACCTTTTGAATTCTTTTTCTGGCAATTCAGGGATTTCATCTTGGTTTGGATTCATTGCTGGTGAGCTGATGTGATCTTTTGGGGGTGTGAAGAAACCTTGTTTTGTCATATTACCAGAATTGTTTTCTGGTTCCTTCTCATTTGAGTAGACTATGTCAGAGGGAAGATCTGGGATTCCAGGGCTGCTGTTCAGATTATTTTGCCCCATGGGATGCTCCCTTGATGTGGTATTCTCCCTCTTCCCCTAGGAATGGGGCTTCCTGAGAGCCTAACTGCAGTGATTGTTTTTGCTCTTCTGGGTCTAGCCATCTAGTGGAATTACTGGGCTCCAGACTGGTACTGGGAAATGTCTGCAAAGAGTCCTGTGATGTGATCCATCTTCAGGTCTTTCAGCCTGAATACTAGCACCTATTCTGGTGAAGGTAGCAGGGTAGAAAAGTGGACTCTGTGAGGGTGTTTGGTTGTATTTTTGTTTAGTGCACTGCTTGTGTGTTGGTTTACCTCCAGCCAGGAGGTGGTGCTTTCAAGAGCGCATCAGCTGGGTGCAGTGGCTCACATCTGTAATCCCACCACTTTGGGAGGCCAAAGTGGGTGGATCACAAGGTCAGGAGATCGAGACCATCCTGGCTAACACGGTGAAACCCCATCTCTACTAAAAATACAAAAAAATTAGCCAGGTGTGGTGGTGGGCACTTGTAGTCCCAGCTACCTGGGAGGCTGAGGCAGGAGAATGGTGTGAACGTGGGAGGTGGAACTTGCAGTGAGCCGAGATCGCACCATGCAGTGAGCCGAGATCGCACCACTGCACTCCAGCCTGGGTGACAGAGCGAGACTCTGTTTCAAAAAAAAGGGAAAAAAAAAGAATGCATTAGCTGTGGTCCTACAAGAATGATGCAAACTTGTCCTAGGGATGCCTGGTTAAGTATTCAGGTTTCTTAGGTGATGGGTAGGGTCATAGAGCTCCAGAGAGATTATGACATTTGTTTTTGGCTACCAGGGTGGATAGAGAAAGACCACCAGGTGGGGGCAGGGATAGGCATGTCTGAGCTCAGACTCTCCTTGGGTGGGGATTGCTGAGGTGGCTGTGGGGGATATGGGCATGGTTCCCAGGCCAATGGAGTTATGTTTCCAGGGGGATTATCACTGCCTTTGCTGAGTTATACAGATTCCCAGGGAACTGGGGGAAAGCCAGCAGTTACAGGCCTCAACCTGCTCCCACATAGCTGGCAGTCCTAAAGGCTTGTCTCATTCCCACTGTGTTCCCCCAACAGCAGCAAGTCTATTTCCAGGCAGCTGGAGACCAGGGCTAAGAACTTTCCTCAGACCATGGTACCCCTGTGGAGAAAGCAAGCAGACACCTTTTTTTTGACAACTCAGGGAGCCTGCAGAAGTGATCCATTCCTTCAAAGGGTCTGTGGATTCTTTTAGCTTTCCTGGTATGTTCTGGCAGTGGTTCTTGGAGCAAAAGTTCAGGATGTGAGTGCCCACATGCTGCTCTGTCCATCTGAGTGGGAGCGGCAAGTTAGCCCTGCCTCCTATCTACCATCTTAACCCTAAATAACTAAAATGTGTATATTCTAAGATTCATTGATTGCATGGAGACAGATAATGACAGAGTAAGCTATAAAAATAAAGAAAATAAAAATCAATCCATCCTACTGTTCATCAAGTTTAGTTATTATAATCATTGATTCCATCAAAGCAATTTTCCAAAGCAGAATTATATTGGGCAGCAGAAAGTAGAAGGTGGAAGGAAAATGGTTCCTCAGAAATTAAGAGTCCAGTGTCTTTATGATAATAATATTGATAGTAATAGTGGCAGCTCTCATTTAATAAAATAAATGCTGATTGTGTGTCAGGGAGAAGGCTAAGGACTTAGCATATATTTGTGTCATTTAACTTCACTGCAACTCTTTAAAATTGTAATTTCCACTTCATAGATGAGGAAATAGGCCTAGAGGTTTGTTATTCTGCTAGTAATTGATGGTGCAATCAGGACTCAAAACCTGTCAGTCTTACTTCAGGGATCTCATGATTAACTCCTATGCTCTCATTTGTTCATTTATTTATGAAACAAGCATTTACTGAATTCCATGCATCATCTAAATATTTGGGATTCAGAAAAAGACAATCTTCATTCAATGAACTCTCCATTTATTGGGGGATACATACATGAAAAAAAAGTGTAACAAGGTGAGGTATGTGCTAGAAATAAGTTGTGGAAAGATGTCCAATGGCCCCAAATAAAGTGACCTATACTGACTCTCAGGAATGGGGAATGGAGCGAGCTCAAAGGCAGGAAGTTAACATCTAGAATCCCTACCTTTTGGCTGCCCCAAACCTAAGAGAAATGTTCTAAATAGGATTTGTTCACTAAAACTGCTTAGTTGTGTTCTTGATTTTTCCTAAGGTTCTGTTTTTAAATCCCATGAAATAGCCCTGTTTAAGATATGGTTAAAGTAGAAAAATGTATTCTATATTAAAAATTTTTCTTGTTTCTGTTCCGTGTCCACAACCCCTCTTGGCCTTATCAGCCTTCTTCCTCTACTTAATAATTCCTAATAGATACACTATCTTTCATTTAGTCCCCTTGAAGCCCAGTCTCCATCCTGCTACCAAGATGAACTTTCTAATATGAAAACCTGATATCACATATCCCTGTTAAATATCCTTTATTGTTTCCTCTTATCCTTTTTTGAGTGTGTAAATTACTTTTGTAACTTCAACTTCCTCCACACACCACCTTCATGATAACAACCACTTTATTCAGCGACAATTTCTTTCAAGCATTGTATGCAGTCCTTCTCTAAATAATCACAGAAACCTTGTAATGTAGGAGATTTTATCCTTATTTATAAGCGAGGGAATAGAGGAGCTAAGCAATTGAGTGATTCACTCAAGTTCATGCCACAGACTTCAGGATGACAAGCAATACTGTCTTCACCAGTAAACAGGGTGCACTTTTAGGCAATGTACTGTCTTATTCATCTATTGACAATAATTAACAAAATGCCCGATAGTGAAAGAATCAATGAATGAATAAATGAGTATGTTTCCAGTTCTGCTGCATATAAAATTTGGATTTCTATTCCACATTCGTTGCATCTTATTCTCTGGTTGACTGCATTTCATAGACCTCTTCAAATCCCTATTACAAAAGAAAGCCAGCCTTTGGTTTTATTGGTTCTTTCCTTTATTGGATTCCATGTGAAATCACCAATCTACCTAGACTCCTCTTCCTTGTAGGTAGAAAGCCTAAGTGTGCATGATCATGCAAGTTCTCTGTTATTCACTGTAAACGGTTGTCAAAATCTGTGAGACGTCAGTGTTTTGCGGATCAAAACTACCTCAATCCATATTACAGCTCTATCATTAAGTTATAAATGGCCAAACATGGAGAATTATTGTTGGAAAATATAGGACAAATTAGAAAAAACAGATGTTGCAATTGCCCCATTGAGATGTAGTGTCCATCTTAATAGGAGTTTTGGAGAACAGATAGGTTAATACATGTAGAACACTCAGAACAGTGACTGGCATAAAGGAAACATTCCAACTGTTTGCTGTCATGAATATAAACCCATCTTACCCTTATGCTCATGCTGCAGTAGGTGGTGTAGATATTATTATTACCTTGATTTTCCTAATAGTGGCATAAAGAAATTAAATTCCAAAGTTGCTTAATTCTAATAAGTAGAAAGCCATTTCCACAAGCTTTTGGACACATGATACACAGGAGTAAAGGGGGAACATGCAACAATGAAGGAATTTCTCTCCTGTCGGTATGGTAAAGAAGCCCCAGATGGAAACACCCAGGTAGTCCTTAATAGGATTTTATATTAAGAGTTTTTCCAATTGCATTTCCACTCTGTTCATTGAGTACAGACCCTGAAGATGAAACGAATAAACCAGTTTTTTTTGAAAAAGTATGTTATTTCATAAATGGTTGCCCTTAAATCACAAAATAAATTATAAAGATGTAGACAGAGGCCACTATATATTGACCCCCACTTCACCTCCACTGACTAATTCTACTTACTAAGCACTTTATGCACATTGTCTTATTTCATCCTATTTTTCAGATGAAGAAACTGGGAGACTACAGCTCAGTATAAGTAGAAATAGTGAGAGGTGACCACGGGCTAGCAGCCCTGGCTCGCTCTCAGCACCTCCTCAGTCTTGTCGTCTGCTCTGGCCATGCTCGAGGAGCCCTTTAGCCCACCACTACACTGTTGGAGCCCCTCTCTGGGCTAGCTGAGGCTGGAGCCGGCTCCCTCTGCTTGTGGGAAGGAGTGGAGGGACAGGCACAGGCGGGAACCGGGGCTGCGCACCACGTTTGCGGACCAGGGCAAGTTCCGGGTGGGCGTGGGCTCGGCGGGCCTCACACTCACAGCTGCCGGCCAGCGCCTCGGGCCCTGTGCAGTGAGGGTCTTAGCACCCTGGCCAGCAGCTGCGGAGGGGGCGCTGGGTCCTCGAACACTGACAGCCCACCCCCACCACGCTTGAATTCTCGCCGGGCCTCAGCCGCCTCCCCGCGGGGCAGGGCTTGGGACTGCAGCCATGCCCGAGCCTCCCCGCTCCCCGGGTGGGCTCCCAAGCGGCCCAGGCAGCCCAAGACTCCCTGACAGCCACAGTCCCCTGCTCCACGGCGCCTAGTCCCATCGACCACCCAAGGGCTGAGGAGTGCAGGCATGTGGCATGGGATTGGCAGGCAGCTCCCCCGCCCTGGCGTGGGATCTACTAGGCAAAGCTAGCTGGACTCCTGAGTGGGGTGGGGACTTGGAGAACTTTTATATCTAGCCATAGGATTGTGTATGCACCAATCAGCATTCTGTGTCTAGCTCGGGGTTCGTGGATGCACCAATCAGCACTCTGTATCTAGACAATCTGGTGGGGACCTAGAGAACTTTTATGTCTAGCTAAATGCACCAATCAGCACTCTGTGTCTAGCTCAAGGTTTGTAAACGCACCAATCAGCACCCTGTGTCTAGCTCAAGGTTTGTAAATGCACCAATCAGTGCTCTGTGTCTGGCTAATCTAGTGGGGACTTGGAGAACTTTTGTGTCTAGCTAAAGGATTGTAAATGCACCAATCAGCACTCTGTGTCTAGCTCAGGGATTGTAAATGCACCAATCAGTTTTCTGTGTCTAGCTAATCTAGTGGGGACTTGGAGAACTTTTACCTTTTGCTAGAGGATTGTAAATACACCAATCAGCCCTCTGTGTCTAGCTCAGGGATTGTAAACGCACCAATCAGCACCCTGTCAAAATGGACCAATCAGCTCTCTGTAAAATGAGCCAATCAGCAGGAAGTGGGTGGGGTCAGATAAGGGAATAAAAGCAGGCTGCCTGAGCCAGCAGCAGCAACCTGCTTAGGTGCCCTTCCACACTGTGGAAGCTTTGTTCTCTCGCTCTTTGCAATAAATCTTGTTGCTGCTCACACTTTGGGTGTGCACTGCCTTTATGAGCTGTAACACCGTGAAGGTCTGCAGCTTCACTCCTGAGGCCAGCGAGACAACGAACCCACTGGGAGGAATGAATGACTCCGGACGGGAGGAACAAACAACTCCAGACGTGCCGCCTTAAGAGCTGTAATACTCACCATGAAGGTCTGCAGCTTCACTCCTGAAGCCAGCGAGACCACAAACCCAACAGAAGGAAGAAACTCCAAACATGTCCGAATATCAGAAGGAACAAACTCCGGACATACCATCTTTAAGAACTGTAACACTCACTGCAAGGGTCCGCGGCTTCATTCTTGAAGTCAGTGAGACCAAGAACCCACCAATTTTGGACACAATAGGACTCAAACCCAGGGCTGCCCGACTTGCAAACCAGTGTCCTTAAATAGTTTTCTGTCATATATATGTAATCATAAAAACAGCTCAAACTTAATATTTAAGTATGGATAAATGAGAAACATTATCTTTATATTCTTTCTTGTAAGTTAAAGATTGTGACACGCTTCTTTGTGATAGTGGGCCACATGCCTTGTCCTGCTTTATCTCACTGGTAATACTCATACTACAATAGATTTTTCAGATGCCTAATATAAGGCTATCAGTTTATGCTAATTCCAAAACTAATAAGAATGTTTAAAGGAAATCAGAATGTCATTTGAAATAAAAAATATGATGCAATGTGATTTTGTCATTACACTATCAAAGACATTCCCTACATCGATGAGAGAAATTGTCTACTACAAACAGAATCACATATGAGGCCCAAATCATGGAAGACCTAGATGCTCCTTTCATTCATTAATGGATCTTGAAAATCAAACTTTTCAAGGAATATTGATGGATACGTAGGGCATTTCCTGATGATTAAAGGACTTCCAGGAGCTACAGACATACAAAAGCCTACTCACATTAGTTGCTCAAGTAATTCTTTAGAAATAAATGCTAATTTCCAGAGTTGTTTTGCACTCATAGATTATCCTTAGGAGATGAGGAAGGTAAAAGTCCTAACAAAGAACACATGAAGACCCTTTTGAACTAGTATGCAAAAATGCAATCTATGTCCAGAGAAATCACAGCATAGTACTGTAAACCTTTATTATCAGACAATCATCATTTCAGAGTTGGAAGGGGCCTCTGAAAAAAAATTACAGAAACTCCATCCCTCTTCTCCTAACTACTCTATCCACCAACAACAAAACATGAATGCATGCTCTGTATAATATTCTTTGCATGAAGTTTGCCACTCTTTATAGTCCCACTGCAGTAACTACCATTTGATATGTGAAGGCAGTAGGTAGATAAGCAATGGTATTTCATCCTAAAACTTTTGAATGAGACATAGGAACTGCAATGTACCCTCAGAGATTCTATTAGCAGCAGTGCTCATACATTTAATAGACAATTACCTACAATCTATTCTGTGTCTTTTCTTTTATCTGTGTCTCTTTTCAATCCATCCTAACTCTATCTATTAGTAATAGTTCTCTTTTAACATGCCTCATCCAAAAAGGTTTTAATGACTATCCCAAACTATGTGACCTTTCTGAGTTTCTACAGTATTTAAAGGCCAACCTTGCATAACCTTTCATATTGTTTGTTAGATTAAAAATTGTTTGTACTATGTTTAGTAGGATCTTATCTTTCTTCTTCTATTCTTTCTTTTAGCCCTTAGTACCTACCTTCATCTAGAGCAAAGACAGAATCTTCAGGAAATGCTTAAAGTTGGAAATTGTGATTTTATGGGAAAAAACTCATTCAGTAAGCTCATCTAAAAACCTTTATAGTGCTCAAAATTCCCACAAATTAACTGTATCTTTGGCATGTCTCATTAAAACAATTCAAATGCAAACATCATGAAGAAAGAGAAAACATCATATTCTCAGTCATGAAGATCTCAATAGGAGTGCATTTGTAAAACCAACTAGTCACTGATCAACAAATCCCTGGGTAACTGAGACCCAGAACTAATAATTAAAATGGCTAAAAATTGCTGAAATGTATTAAGGACATGCCAGGCACAATTCTGGCTGCTTCATATGCATTGACTCATTTAATTTTTAATCACAATTGTATGATATTGGTTACGTAATCAAACATACTACAGATGAGTAAACTAAGGCACAAAAATGTTAAATAACTTAAACAGAGTTACACAGCTTGTAAAACCTGGGGGCAGGATTTGATTGCAGTTAGTTGGATCCCCAAGCTTTTAACTACATTTCACTGCAATTAAGTTTGAGAGAAATAAGAGGAATCAAACTCCTGGACTCGTAAGTTCTCCATTAAGAAAGAGAGGCTTGGGTAGCACCAAGGGTAGTTAGAAGACAGCATGAAACTGCTATGTGGATGACCAGGAGTGTAGCATCAGCTGCTTACTTTATAGTTTTTTTATTTTTATTTTATTTTTTGGATGGATTCTCGCTCTGTCACCCAGGCTGGAGTGCAATGGAACAATCTCGGCTCACTGTAACCTCTGCCTCCCAGGTTCTAGTGATTCTCCTGCCTCAGCCTCTGGAGCAGCTGGGATTATAGGTACCCACCACTGCGCCCAGCTAACTTTTGTGTTTTTAGTAGAGATGGAGTTTCACCATGTTGGTCAGGCTGGTCTCGAATTCCTGACCTCAGGTGATCCGCCCACCTGGGCCTCCCAAAGTGCTGGGATTACAGGCGTGTAATTTTATTTAGTGTAGAATGATTCTAGTTGCTTTTAATTTATCCATCCATTCAACAAATGATTACTGAGCATTCAATATGTGCTAGGCTCTAAGCTAGGTAATGGAACATAAAAATAAATAAAACTCAGTTTCTTCTCTCAAGGAGCTCATTCTCATGATGTAGCAAATACTAAAAAATAATACTAAATCTTATAGTATAGGTATATAAATTTAACCCATGAGACCAGTTGATTGCCTTTCTATCTGAGGGAATCAAGGAAGATAATTTATATGGAAGTGATATTTTGGAAGACTTTGAAGGATGAATGTGAATTCTCTGCGTAAAGGAGAGAAAAGTCAATCCAGAAAGAATAAAAGGCAAATCTAAGGCTCAAAGATAAGAAAGCATAAAATATGTTCAGAGAAATACAACAGAAGTGTAGGGTTTGTGGAGGGGGAAGGTGGTTCATGATCCTGGAAGGCAGGCTTGGTCCTGATGCAGGATCTTGGTGACTCATTAAGGAGTTTATACCTGATTCTATACACAAAGGGGAGACATCAAGATTTAAAATTAAGGAAATAATTTCTGTATTTTTGGAAGGATTATTCTAGGAGCAGTGTTCACTATAGGATTGAGATTACTAGAATGGAGACAGGAGGCTAGTTAAAAGGCCATTGCACTGAGATAAGACACTGAACTGAGTGTGAGTGGGAAGAGGAAAAGTAGGTTTTGAATTAAAATTCAAGAACTAGATGACAAACTAGGAATGGTGGCTTGGGAATGGGAAGTAGGCAACATAATTCTTAGATTCCTACCATTTATGACCAAGTAAACGATAACAACATACACTGACATGTAAAATACACTTCAAGTAAGCTGAGGGGTATCAGTCATAATTACACCAAATTGTTATGGTATCTTTTTATTTTATTTCAGATGTCAACTCAAGCTGTTATTTTCATCTTGATGAATATCTAACTGATTCTTATCATTTGGATTTGGAGTATTGGCCATAAACAGCATGTTGAATTATTTAATGACAAAACACATGTGACTACATCCGTTCCTTATGCAGTTTTCTAGGAACACCAACACACAGAGTAGAATCCAGCTTTATCATGAATGGACCATATCTAAAAGATGGGGCCAATTCTACTTTCCCAAGTATTTATTGCACACCTACTCCCTAAAAGAAACAACAGGTTTGAAACCTTACCCAACTCTTCAGATCAACTTGCTATACAAACTTTCAGCTGTCTGCATGAAAAATTATGTTGGCAACTTTAATCTAACATATATATTTTGATATTTAAAACAGCTCATTGGGATTTAAAAGCATTTCATAATGTTTTCAAGTATTTTGGATCATTTGTTTCGGTGGCTATATTAATATTCTATCCCCACTATTCCGTTTGTTTATTATTAAGATGTCAATTATCATCATCAGTTATAGACAAACTGAATATCACAATCACGTAGATAAAGCAAACTATTTTTGAGAATATTTATATGTTTATCTTCCAACACAACAGCTATAAAATTTGTGAGACTATTATACTGTTAACCAATCATATTTAAGAGTTGTTCCTAATCAATGAAATTATTACCTACTTTCATATTACCTTCCATAAATCTCAAAAATACAGTCTCAAAAATAAAACCTACTAAGATTTTTCCCCACAATTTAGAAACTTGACTTTTTGAGGCTCTTATTTATTACCAATATGTAATAATTGTACATATGACTTTGTCCAGCAAACATGATGAAATAAGCACACTGAAGAAGAACAAAAGGAAGAATGAAATAATCTTCATTGTGAACAATAAAAATCATTTTACAAAGCAAGCTTAAGCAAATGCTTAAGGATATTTTATCTTGTCTCTAAATATATAACACTTTTAGAATTTCTTGGGGTTCATAATTGTCTTTAAACAGCAAACAAGACAAAACAAAAAACTAAACAAAAGACAGCTATAATCTATGCTTTGATTTGGAGGGAGATAGAATAGGATAAATACTCTTTCACACAGATATTTTACTGTGAAAGATAACATTTTGATGTATTTATTCAAATTGAATCTATTTTCTGAAAACAGCTTTATTATCACCTGGTGTTAGTATCTCACTATGCTTTTAATTACATATAACTGAGTAGTATTCACTATCATTTGCAAGCCAACAAACACAGGCACTATGTTTTTTGAAGAACAATACATGCTCTGCTAGTCTTTACACTGAATTGTTCACCTAATAGAAAATGAAAATACATACCTGTATCTTTTTGTGAGTTTCCTGTTGCTATTTCTGCTCTGAAGAAAGTGTCCTAAGTTAACCAATAAATTGGCAACCCCACTAGCTCAAAAATACTTCCCTGGGGAGAATTGTGTTAAATTAGCATTGCTGGTAAATGCTTTCAAGAAGACTATACAATTATGGCCAGATGAACACATTCCTCATACAATTTCAGGATTAATATTAGTCTCCTAACAACCTAGAAACCAAGATCATAATTACCGACTGCCATTTCCCCCCATTGTCCAGGTAACTGGCCCACAGTATATGACCAATTTGAAACCTGGGAATCTTGAGAGAAAGCATCAGGTCTGCTGTTGGAAAATTGAATTCAAGTGCAGCCCTGCTCCCTGAACGCTCATATTCTTCCTTTCTTTTTGTGCTATTTGTTCGTCCCTATTGTGCAGAGCTATCGTTTGTGCACACATTCTGTGTTAGATTTTCTACCCGATTGAGCTTGAAAAACCAAAGCCTAAGTACTAAATGTTTCCCTAAGGCCTGAATGGACTTAAAAGGACATAGGTGCAAAAAGAAAAGAAAGGAAAATAGGGGGAGAAAACACGGCTTGTTAAGTTGTTGCAATAATCTCATGCTGAGAATAAAGACCTTCAGAGTTAAGAGAATGAAAAACACTCTTCTAAATAGATTGCTTGCTTTTGTTGCACAGGTGGCAAGGCCTGGAAATATAAGATACGGGAACAGCAGGGCAGCCTGCTAGCATTTCATTAAGCTTAGAGAATAGCAGAATTGTGGAGTGGTTTCTTCCCACTTTACAAGAGACACAGGCTTCCTGACAACTTGGACTTCAGAGGGCTGATTTGCTGGTAGAAAACCAGGAAATACTCTGGGGAAAGGGTATAACTTCTAACATTTTGCAGAGACTTACCCCTTTTCCCCTTTACTAAAACAAAGTCCTTTCACATGAAACATGAATTTGTGATCATCACTGTTTTGGACTTTCCATCATTAAGTAACTCTCATACCCTTAATATAAAGTCAGTGTCAAATAACATGACTTCAGAGAAAATGCTGTCTCTAAACATTGCCATTTAAAATTATATAAGGTTAATGTACCATGGCATTGGGCAATCCCATTGATTCAGGTACTAAATCACCCTACTCAATAAATGAACAATAAAACAAAATGAAAGAATACTGAATATTGGTGACCGTGAAATTTAAATTAAAGCATACGTGTTGGTTGGCTGCTTTCATCTGTCTCCAGTACAATGTAAAAAATAAAATTAGTTGGCCTCAACTCCTAAGTTCTTTCTCTACCCAAATTTAAAGAGTTTAGGATCCTTAATCTCATGCTCCACTGATTTTAATTGGTGGTTATTTCCAATCAGATTGAGTATTTGCGTTTTGATGTCATTTTATTTTCGAAACAACCATTTTTAACTTTGGGAATTCAATGTGAATATGAAAATTCAACTGGGGAAAGAGCAGTAGCAATTAATATTTATTGAAGGCTTAACTAAGTTCCAAGCCCTTTGTGAAATTATTTTCAATGCTGCATTTTGTTTAATCCTCACAAGAAATGGCTTTCTTATTTCCTGTATTTCAGGAGGAGAACGTTAATGGTGTGAAAGGTTGTCACTGGCCCAATGTCACAATGTGTTTGGGACTTCACAAAACAACTCTACCACTGTCCCCATGCTCACCCATAATGTCAACACTTCCCTCAAATTCAAAACGCTTATGATCTCTGCATATCAGAAAGTCACAAGTACTTCTCTTTTAAAGTCACAAAGTGTCTACAAAGCAAAAGTTTTAGTACACAATGAAGGGAGGGGACAAAAGAGAGAAAATTAATTCATGTTTACTGAATATTACAATGTGCTAAATTCTGTGGCACGTGCTTCCTATTTGCTAACTTATTTCATCTTCACCATACAAAAGGAGTGTCATCTCTACAACGAAAACAGAACAGAACAAAAACCTAAGGCTTTAAAGTTGTGAGGTTAAGTAAACTGCATGAGTTCTCACATTTCATAGAGAACCAGAATGTGAAACCAGGTCTCTCTACTCCTGTCTTTTCCACTTACCAACCTCTTTTTCCAACTAAACTAATTCTATCTACACCATTTTGCTTCCTCCCCTCAGCTATCAGTCTTCTCCCTACAGCAGAATCACTTCACTGGCATGTTCAGCGAGATATTTGCAGTAATTCTTTGCACCAGAGAAATTCCTCACTCAGCTATTCATTCACCCAATCGTTCATTCAGGAGTATTTATCAAGGACTTACCATCTGCCAGGTACCAAATAATGAGATTCATCTATATTATCTTCTTAAGCTTCAGAAGGACCTTATTTTATTTATGTAAAACAGAGGCTTCGAAAACTGATTACCTGTCCTAAGGTCACATAAGTAGTATCAAGTCCCATCCACCATAATCCACTGCTTACGTTGAGAAAATCGCCAGAACAACACAAAAGAAATTAGGTATTAAATACAGTGCTTCCATGTGGTAAGCTATTTCAGCATTATTTTACAGATAAGAAAGAAAAGCATGACTCAGAGAAAATAAATGTGTGTGTTTAAACAGATAGTTTAATGACCTTGTGGGAATGAGAACATTATTGTTCTTGAGTTTCTGGCTAGCTGTTAAATTCATGTTCTTCAATACTTACTGTCTTACAAAGCTCTTTAGGCTGTCATAAAAATAATTCAAGGAAATGCAAAGGAACACATAAGAAATAATTTCAACTTATTTCAAAGAATGATTAAATATATGATTCAAGGTACAATGAAAGTTTAGGTGAAATAAAGCAGAGGATTGTGGCTTTACATAATACATATTAGTGTAACCTTCTTGTCTATACTAATAGACAAGGTGAGAGGTCACTCTCTCTCAAAGAAATCTGATTCCATTTGGGTCAGAGGAGCCAAGATGGCCGAATAGGAACAGCTCCGGACTACAGCTCCCAGCGAGAGCGACGCAGAAGACGGGTGATTTCTGCATTTCCGTCTGAGGTACCGGGTTCATCTCACTAGGGAGTGCCAGACAGTGGGCGCAGGCCAGTGGGTGCGCACACCGTGCGCGAGCCGAAGCAGGGCGAGGCATTGCCTCACCTGGGAAGCGCAAGGGGTCAGGGAGTTCCCTTTCCGAGTCAAAGAAAGGGGTGACGGACGCACCTGGAAAATCGGGTCACTCCCACCCGAATATTGCGCTTTTCAGACCGGCTTAAAAAACGGCGCACCGCGAGACTATATCCCACACCTGGCTTGGAGGGTCCTATGCCCACGGAATCTCGCTGATTGCTAGCACAGCAGTCTGAGATCAAACTGCAAGGCGGCAGCGAGGCTGGGGGAGGGGCGCCCGCCATTGCCCAGGCTTGCTTAGGTAAACAAAGCAGCCAGGAAGCTCGAACTGCCTGGAGCCCACAACAGCTCAAGGAGGCCTGCCTGCCTCTGTAGGCTCCACCTCTGGGGGCAGGGCACAGACAAACAAAAAGACAGCAGTAACCTCTGCAGACTTAAATGTCCCTGTCTGACAGCTTTGAAGAGAGCAGTGGTTCTCCCAGCAGGCAGCTGGAGATCTGAGAACGGGCAGACTGCCTCCTCAAGTGGGTCCCTGACCCCTGACCCCCGAGCAGCCTAACTGGGAGGCACCCCCCAGCAGGGGCACACTGACACCTCACACGGCAGGGTATTCCAACAGACCTGCAGCTGAGGGTCCTGTCTGTTAGAAGGAAAAATAACAAACAGAAAGGACATCCACACCGAAAACCCATCTGTACATCACCATCATCAAAGACCAAAAGTAGATAAAACCACAAAGATGGGGAAAAAACAGAACAGAAAAACTGGAAACTCTAAAACGCAGAGCGCCTCTCCTCCTCCAAAGGAACGCAGTTCCTCACCAGCAACGGAACAAAGCTGGATGGAGAATGATTTTGATGAGCTGAGAGAAGAAGGCTTCAGACGATCAAATTACTCTGAGCTACGGGAGGACATTCAAACCAAAGGCAAAGAAGTTGAAAACTTTGAAAAAAATTTAGAAGAATGTATAACTAGAATAACCAATACAGAGAAGTGCTTAAAGGAGCTGATGGAGCTGAAAACCAAGGCTCGAGAACTACGTGAAGAATGCAGAAGCCTCAGGAGCCGATGTGATCAACTGGAAGAAAGGGTATCAGTGATGGAAGATGAAATGAATGAAATGAAGCGAGAAGGGAAGGTTAGAGAAAAAAGAATAAAAAGAAATGAGCAAAGCCTCCAAGAAATATGGGACTATGTGAAAAGACCAAATTCACGTCTGATTGGTGTACCTGAAAGTGATGCGGAGAATGGAACCAAGTTGGAAAACACTCGGCAGGATATTATCCAGGAGAACTTCCCCAACCTAGCAAGGCAGGCCAACGTTCAGATTCAGGAAATACAGAGAACGCCACAAAGATACTCCTCGAGAAGAGCAACTCCAAGACACATAATTGTCAGATTCACCAAAGTTGAAATGAAGGAAAAAATGTTAAGGACAGCCAGAGAGAAAGGTCGGGTTACCCTCAAAGGGAAGCCCATCAGACTAACAGCAGATCTCTCGGCAGAAACCCTACAAGCCAGAAGAGAGTGGGGGCCAATATTCAACATTCCTAAAGAAAAGAATTTTCAACCCAGAATTTCATATCCAGCCAAACTAAGCTTCATAAGTGAAGGAGAAATAAAACACTTTACAGACAAGCAAATGCTGAGAGATTTTGTCACCACCAGGCCTGCCCTAAAAGAGCTCCTGAAGGAAGCGCTAAACATGGAAAGGAACAACCGGTACCAGCCGCTGCAAAACCATGCCAAAATGTAAAGACAATCGAGACTAGGAAGAAACTGCATCAACTAACGACCAAAATAACCAGCTAACATCATAATGACAGGATCAAATTCACACATAACAATATTAACTTTAAATGTAAATGGACTAAATTCTCCAATTAAAAGACACAGACTGGCAAGTTGGATAAATAGTCAAGACCCATCAGTGTGCTGTATTCAGGAAACCCATCTCACATGCAGAGACATACATAGGCTCAAAATAAAAGGATGGAGGAAGATCTACCAAGCAAATGGAAAACAAAAAAAGGCAGGGGTTGCAATCCTAGTCTCTGATAAAACAGACTTTAAACCAACAAAGATCAAAAGAGACAAAGAAGGCCATTACATAATGGTAAAGGGATCAATTCAACAAGAGGAGCCAACTCTCCTAAATATATATGCACCCAATACAGGAGCACCCAGATTCATAAAGCAAGTCCTGAGTGACCTACAAAGAGACTTAGACTCCCACACATTAATAATGGGAGACTTTAACACCCCACTGTCAACATTAGACAGATCAACGAGAAAGAAAATCAACAAGGATACCCAGGAATAGAACTCAGCTCTGCACCAAGCGGACCTAATTGACATCTACAGAACTCTCCACCCCAAATCAACAGAATATACATTTTTTTCAGCACCACACCACACCTATTACAAAATTGACCACATAGTTGGAAGTAAAGCTCTCCTCAGCAAATGTAAAAGAACAGAAATTATAACAAACTATCTCTCAGACCACAGTGCAATCAAACTAGAACTCAGGATTAAGAATCTCACTCAAAGCCGCTCAACTACATGGAAACTGAACAACCTGCTCCTGAATGACTACTGGGTACATAACGAAATGAAGGCAGAAATAAAGATGTTCTTTGAAACCAACGAGAACAAAGACACAACATACCAGAATCTCTGGGACACATTCAAAGCAGTGTGTAGAGGGAAATTTATAGCACTAAATGCCCACAAGAGAAAGCAGGAAAGATCCAAAATTGACACCCTAACATCACAATTAAAAGAACTAGAAAAGCAAGAGCAAACACATTCAAAAGCTAGCACAAGGCAAGAAATAACTAAAATCAGAGCAGAACTGAAGGAAATAGAGACATAAAAAACCCTTCAAAAAATCAAGGAATCCAGGAGCTGGTTTTTTGAAAGGATCAACAAAATTGATAGACCGCTGGCAAGACTAATAAAGAAAAAAAGAGAGAAGAATCAAATAGACACAATAAAAAATGATAAAGGGGATATCACCACCGATCCCACAGAAATACAAACTACTATCAGAGAATAGTACAAACACCTCTACGCAAATAAACTAGAAAATCTAGAAGAAATGGATACATTCCTTGACACATACACTCTCCCAAGACTAAACCAGGAAGAAGTTGAATCTCTGAATAGACCAATAACAGGAGCTGAAATTGTGGCAATAATCAATAGTTTACCAACCAAAAAGAGTCCAGGACCAGATGGATTCACAGCCGAATTCTACCAGAGGTACAAGGAGGAACTGGTACCATTCCTTCTGAAACTATTCCAATCAATAGAAAAAGAGGGAATCCTCCCTAACTCATTTTATGAGGCCAGCATCATTCTGATACCAAAGCCGGGCAGAGACACAACCAAAAAAGAGAATTTTAGACCAATATCCTTGATGAACATTGATGCAAAAATCCTCAATAAAATACTGGCAAACCGAATCCAGCAGCACATCAAACCGCTTATCCACCATGATCAAGAGGGCTTCATCCCTGGGATGCAAGGCTGGTTCAATATACACAAATCAATAAATGTAATCCAGCATATAAACAGAGCCAAAGACAAAAACCACATGATTATCTCAATAGATGCAGAAAAAGCCTTTGACAAAATCCAACAACGCTTCATGCTAAAAACTCTCAATAAATTAGGTATTGATGGGACGTATTTCAAAATAATAAGAGCTATCTATGACAAACCCACAGCCAATATCATACTGAATGGGCAAAACCTGGAAGCATTCCCTTTGAAAACTGGCACAAGACAGGGATGCCCTCTCTCACCGCTCCTATTCAACATAGTGTTGGAAGTTCTGGCCAGGGCAATCAGGCAGGAGAAGGAAATAAAGGGTATTCAATTAGGAAAAGAGGAAGTCAAATTGTCCCTGTTTGCAGACGACATGATTGTTTATCTAGAAAACCCCATCGTCTCAGCCCAAAATCTCCTTAAGCTGATAAGCAACTTCAGCAAAGTCTCAGGATACAAAATCAATGTACAAAAATCACAAGCATTCTTATACACCAACAACAGACAAACAGAGAGCCAAATCATGAGTGAACTCCCATTCACAATTGCTTCAAAGAGAATAAAATACCTAGGAATCCAACTTACAAGGGATGTGAAGGACCTCTTCAAGGAGAACTACAAACCACTGCTCAAGGAAATAAAAGAGGATACAAACAAATGGAAGAACATTCCATGCTCATGGGTAGGAAGAATCAATATCGTGAAAATGGCCATACTGCCAAAGGTAATTTATAGATTCAATGCCATCCCCATCAAGCTACCAATGACTTTCTTCACAGAATTCGAAAAAACTACTTTAAAGTTCATATGGAACCAAAAAAGAGCCCGCATCGCCAAGTCAATCCTAAGCCAAAAGAACAAAGCTGGAGGCATCACACTACCTGACTTCAAACTATACTACAAGGCTACAGTAACCAAAACAGCATGGTACTGGTACCAAAACAGAGATATAGATCAATGGAACAGAACAGATCCCTCAGAAATAACGCCGCATACCTACAACTATCTGATCTTTGACAAACCTGAGAAAAACAAGCAATGGGGAAAGGATTCCCTATTTAATAAATGGTGCTGGGAAAACTAGCTAGCCATATGTAGAAAGCTGAAACTGGATCCCTTCCTTACACCTTATACAAAAATCAATTCAAGATGGATTAAAGATTTAAACGTTAGACCTAAAACCATAAAAACCCTAGAAGAAAACCTAGGCATTACCATTCAGGACATAGGCGTGGGCAAGGACTTCATGTCCAAAACACCAAAAGCAATGGCAACAAAAGCCAAAATTGACAAATGGGATCTAATTAAACTAAAGAGCTTCTGCACAGCAAAAGCAACTACCATCAGAGTGAACAGGCAACCTACAACATGGGAGAAAATTTTCGCAACCTACTCATCTGACAAAGGGCTAATATCCAGAATGTACAATGAACTCAAACAAATTTACAAGAAAAAAGCAAACAACCCCATCAAAAAGTGGGCGAAGGACATGAACAGACACTTCTCAAAAGAAGACATTTATGCAGCCAAAAAACACATGAAAAAATGCTCATCATCACTGGCCATCAGAGAAATGCAAATCAAAACCACAATGAGATACCATCTCACACCAGTTAGAATGGCAATCATTAAAAAGTCAGGAAACAACAGGTGCTGGAGAGGATGTGGAGAAATAGGAACACTTTTACACTGTTGGTGGGACTGTAAACTAGTTCAACCATTGTGGAAGTCAGTGTGGCGATTCCTCAGGGATCTAGAACTAGAAATACCATTTGACCCAGCCATCCCATTACTGGCTATATACCCAAATGACTATAAATCATGCTGCTATAAAGACACATGCACACGTATGTTTATTGCGGCATTATTCACAATAGCAAAGACTTGGAACCAAGCCAAATGTCCAACAATGATAGACTGGATTAAGAAAATGTGGCACATATACACCATGGAATACTATTACTATGCAGCCATAAAAAATGATGAGTTCATGTCCTTTGTAGGGACATGGATGAAGTTGGAAACCATCATTCTCAGTAAACTATCGCAAGAACAAAAAACCAAACACCGCATATTCTCACTCATAGGTGGGAATTGAACAATGAGATCACATGGACACAGGAAGGGGAATATCACACTCTGGGGACTGTGGTGGGGTGGGGGGAGGGGGGAGGGATAGCATTGGGAGATACACCTAATGCTAGATGACGAGTTAGTGGGTGCAGCGCACCAGCATGGCACATGTATACATATGTAACTAACCTGCACAATGTGCACATGTACCCTAAAACTTAAAGTATAATAAAAAAAAATTTTTTTAAAAAAAAGAAAGAAAGAAATCTGATTCATCTCAAAATATCTGAAGCTTGCCCCACTTGAAGTTTCTATCTCCTACCCTATTTCTCATTTACCTAATCAAAATTAGTCATTAATCACTTAACAGGTGCAAATCACGAATAACCCTAAATATTTTCTTGCACTAAATGCCCCAAACAGATTATGGTGATAGTGGCCCAACTCTGTAAATACACTTTTAAAAACTTCTTGAACTGCACATTTACAATAAGTGAATTTTATGGTATATAAATTAAACTTTGATAAATGTTATCCCTTTGAATTAGGCATATAAGGATGGAAAACTTTAGAAAGACATTGTCACATAGTGAAAAGAACATAAGCTTTGGAATCAGACTTAGTTTACATCTTCTCTCAATTTGGTCATCTTGAAAAATTTAATTCACCTCAGAGTTTTATTTTTCTCATAGGTAAAATGAGAAAGACAATGTGTGCCATCACAGAATAATTATGAAGATAAAAAGAAGTAATACATTAATAAGTGCCCAGTAGAACATAAAACCTTAAAACTCAGCAAGTCCTTATTTTAAGAATTGATAATGGACCTTTTGGAATGGAACTATAAAGGGATAGAGACTTTAAAGTCTTCCATCCTCTTCACTACTCCAATGTTGGCTCAAGACAATATCAGCCTCAGCCTTCATAGTGGTGGTATTCCTCACCTCCTTTAACTATTCATGTCATCCAAGCCAGCAGTTCCATATATCTCCTTTTTCTCACCCTTTAATAAGTGCTCACAGCTGGGCGCGGTGGCTCACGCCTGTAATCCCAGCACTTTGGGAGGCTGAGGCAGGCAGATCACAAGGTCAGAAGTTAGAGACCAGCCTGGCCAACATAGTGAAACCCTGTCTCTACTACAAATACAAAAATTAGCCGGGTGTGGTGGTGGGTGCCTGTAGCTCCAGCTACTTGGGAGGCTGAGGCAGAAGAATCGCTTGAACCCAGGAGGCAGAGGTTACAGTGAGCCAAGACAGCGCCACTGAACTCCAGCCTGGGTGACAGCCTGGGGGACAGACCGAGACTCTGTCTCAAAAAAAAAAATAAGTGCTCACAGCAATGTCCCTGGTGAGCCTTCTAGTTGTTGTCATACAACTTCCTAAAGTTGGGTCAGGGAAGTTCGTCTATGTCGCACCATCCTTTGACAACAGACCTGATGTCCAGACACTTCCAGTCATTCCCCATAGCAAGGCATAGATTCTGACTCGAATTCAAAGTGAGCTTTATTCTTAGTAAGGATAACTGCCAGTGGTATAGGATTGAGAGATTCTGTTGAAAGTGGTTTACATGCAGATTTACTTGCCAACTTACAGCTGATATTCTTATTTCTATGACTCTGCGGCTCACAGGGAACCAAATGGGAATCATCTCTTTGCATTCCACAAGAAATAGGCAAAGAAAACACTAAAAGGAATTTTAAGATGCCTTCATTATTAATATTCAAAGTCAATATTTTAATTCCCAATAATGTATGCTCCAAGAATTATGGAACAGTTTAGACAAAGCTTTTAAATTAAGTAAGGATATTTTTTCTGAATTTTTGACTGAGAGCAATTTACTTACTTTGTCAGGTCTAAAGATGAGATGTGACTTCATAGCCAAATATCAGTGATTCTGATTGCTAAAAAATAAAGGAACTTTTTAAGGAAGATGGCTATTCTAAAAGGTTTAAACTGCACAGATCTTATTTGAAGAAACATCAGACTCTATTTCCTTTCTGAAAGCTGTTGCAGCTTTAGAACAATACTAACTTTTTTAAAGTCCCTGCATTTTCAACCGTGGAATACCCCTTTTTGTAAAACTGCTGCATGTGTACAATGTTGGGAAAGCTAAGACAAGTTGTACGCCTACAAGTTGTATGCCTCATTTTGTGCGTGTTTGAATAAACATATGGATCATAAAAAGTAGTTTGGGAAACAATATATTGTTAGCCCAACCTTCTCTGTGACAAATATATGGCATTTGCTCATTGTGATTAGTGGGATCAATAAGGCAATGTTCCTACTTTGGACTATGCCTTCTCCATTTCTTTCAGTCTTGTTATCATTATGCTTAAATTTTTTTGTTCCCCAGGCTCTATCTCCAGTTTCTTCTCATCTTAAAAAATAGTCTCTTTTGTTGATCTTGTTTATTCCTCTAGTTTTGACTACTACTTAGAATTTGATAACTACAAATTTAAGTGTTTCATACTTGAACTTTCTTTTGAATTTATTATTCATATAACCACTTGTTTATTAAAATTTGTAGCCTAATAATTCCATATGTATCTCAAATAAAGTGTGTCCTAAATCAAACCAATCATCTTTTTATTCTTTTCCCAAACATGATTTTCTTTCTGTGTTCCATACTTTTTCCCACTTTTTAAGCTGAAAACTTCAGGGCCACCTGGTTCTTTCTTATCTCTTAACTACACTTTCATTTGCACAACCAGGTCCCTCTAAATCTATATCTAAAATTTCACTGGAATCCATCTTTGTTTTCTATCCCCTTTCTCTTATTGCTGCCCAAGTTCATCATGTTTCTCGTAAACTGTTACAAGAACTCCTTCCCATTCATGCTATTTCCAATGCAACCTACCTCTAGTTGATCCTTCACATTGCTACTCTATTGATCTTTCTAAATACAGAAATAATCAGGTCAATTATCTGGAGGTAAAAAATTGCAAAACTCAGGATATGGTGTTCAAAGCTCTTCATAACTTGCCTAAATGTGCCCCTCCCAAAATCATCTCCACACATTCCGTATCATAACCTTTTGTGTTCCGCTGCTTGCCACAACTGATGTCTCAATATTCTCTGACCAAATTGTGCATTTAGTGGGCAATGAATAACAGTATTTTCTCTGAACATGTGGTATATTAAGGAAGGCCACCAATATTCTGGGAGTCTTTTTCCCATTTTCTTAATTTTGGGCAAACACACAGAAATGATACTGTCTTTCTAAGTGCTAGCCTTAAGAGGCTCACAGCTTCTGCTTCCTGTCTCCTGGAATACATGGTCTTGAAACCCTCTGCCATGCTGTGAGAAAGCCCAGGTAGTTTCATAGAAAGGACCCCAGATGGCAGCCCTAGTTGATCTGCCAACCAACAACTGGCCAACAACTTACTAAGCCAGCCACTCCAGCTGAAGCCACACTGAGTAGAAACAAGCTGTGACTGTCAAGTCCTGCTCAAATCGAAGATTTATGAGCAAAATAAATAACTGTTGTGGTAAGATACTATGTTTGGGGGGTTTGATATTGCAGCAATAGATACCTGAAATAGCACTGAATGAATACTTTTCCATCTTTCTCTGCCTGATTAATTTTTTCTTGTTCTTAAAGATACAGTTCAAATGCCATCTTACTTCAGAGTGCAAAGCCTTCCCCAATCTGTTGAGGCAAGGTTAATTACTCTATTTTGTGCTTCTCCACTACTTAGTACATTCCCCTCTACAGTGTTGAATGTCCACCCTCCAAAAAACACTGTAAATTTATTTTTTCTTTTTCTTTCTTTATTTTTATTTTTTTTATTTTTTGAGATAGAGTCACACTCTGGTGTCACCCAGGTTGGAGTGTGGTGCTGCTATCTCAGCTCGCTGCAACCTCGCCTCCTGGATTCAAGCAATTCTCGTGCCTCAACCTCTCAATCCTGAGTAGCTGGAATTACAGGCTTGTGCCACCATGCCCAGCTAACTTTTGTATTTTTAGTAGAGACGGGGATTTGCCATGCTGGCCAGGCTCGAACTTCTGACCTCATAAGATCTGCCTGCCTTGGCCTCCCAAAGTACTGGGATTACAGGCATGAACCACTGCACCCAGACTGTAAATTTCTTATGAGCAAGATTTGTATTTGTACGGTAATGATTAAAATAATTGAATTACTTGAACATTTAATGTGGTTAATCCTATACTGTGCTAACTTCTATTTTTAACTTTATTCTGCTATCCACGAACATTTATTGAGCTCTGTATACCAGGCAGTATATTATGTGATAAAAATGCAGCATGAATAAGGTATGGCCTCCTGACCTTAATAATCATGTCACCACATTATCCCAAATCACTTTTTCTGTGCTATATGGCACAGATTTCTGGGAAGTCAACCAAGCGCATGTCCAAGGGCTCAAGTACATTCAGAGATCTTACTGGGGAAAAATATTGTCCTTTCTATTGATCCTCATGAGTTCCAGGAAGAACAGATGGTGACTGTTCCAATGTCTTGGCAGAAAAACCCAAAAAAACTCCACAAGAACTCTTCAAAGTTTCACAAGAAAATTGAAAGTCAACTTTCTAAATGTGTACTAAAGTCTTCAGTCACCAACACATAATATTCAAGACCTAGGCACATGCCTCAAAAATAAGTCATGACTAGCCTGGGATCCAAATTTTACCAAAAATTTGTTTTACATATTTGATATATAAGAAAAACAGTGCAATGAACATTGAAACTATTGTTTCCAACTCTCCATGCTCTAGGCTGAATGTGTGGTCCTCAAACTACTGTCTCAAATGTCCAAGGAATAACGTTCATAAATTCAGATTTAATGTAATCTCCCCAGGTTTATACAGAAAAAGAAAAATACCATTTGAATTAAGTTGCACTTTTATAAAATCATTACGCATTGTTTTATTTATATAGACTGTTAGCTTTCTGAGGATATGTACTTTGTCTTATTAGTCTATAAACCCCAATATCTAGCACAATGCCTGGCCATATACTGGATGCTCAATAAAATAAGAGAATTAATTAACTGACTTGAACTAGTAAATATATAAACAGCAATAACTTTACCTTCAGTACACTGTCAGTAAAGTGTCCCTGCTCAGAAAATTGTGTGTTTCCTCTTATTTGACAATGAGCAATACATATTCCAAGAGTTTTCCCTTTTTGTCTTAGCTGTCAGGAAACTCCGGGCTAAATTTTATGTTCCACCATAACTTTTGTGGAGATGTCAAATTTTGAGGAAATTACAGTGCATTCTTGTTCATTCAACTAAAAGATTATTAGCTTGATTCTCATTGCCAAATGTACTTCAATGCAGTAAAGCTGCATTTCACTTAAAATAATCCATACTTCTCAGTGACATTCCCCTTCTCTCCCTTTTCCATAAATTTAAGCCAGTGAGATTCTATCATATGTATATTCTAACTTAATCTGACTTTAGGAATAGAGTCCAGAACAAAACTAAGAACACAAAAAGCCAATGTGCTGAATATTTCTAGAAAGAAAGAAAGGTATTAATTCAAAATGAAAAAATTTCTTTTGAGGACCAGATGGACTACATGAAACAAAGTTTTACATCTGTGTAGCTTACCTGTGCTCCACATTTATAGGCACATGGGATGGGTTGTAACAGAGTGGGTTCCCTAATACAATTTAAAAACCTGACATCGGCAGTTTCTCCTACAGTACTAGCATGCTGGTTTTCAAGAAGAAAGAACTGTATCAACAGAATCAAGTAAGACCATGGTCTCCAAGAGGCAGACAGATGGTCCTCAAAACATTAGACTCACAAAAGCAGACAGCTCAAAACAATTCTGATGTTACCAACTGAATATAATTCAGTACTTATGGTAGCTCACCAATAAAGAATGATAATCTCTTCTCCCTTATAAAAGGGATAAAACTGAGGTTGTTTGCACAGACTAGGGTTACAGAGAAGGCCTAAAGTATGGAGGGCTCATAAGCCTATTTGGTTACAGATATGATCTTTAACTTTCCCTAGACGAAAAAGCCAAAAATAAACATTTCATAACTTTTAATGTGTGGTTAGCAAATATAGTTGGCCCATGGTCATGTTCCCCGTAGCCCAGAATCCTGGACAGAGTCAGCTGAGCTGGATCACTGTGGCTGCTGGCTTAAAGCCTTACCCTGTAGTTTCAAAAGAACAGGGTCTTTTTTATCCACTTAGCTCAGTTGCTATAAACACTTGCTGTATGTTAAATGACTTCTCAGGTCCATCCAATCTTATTTGCACATCATTAGTCTGTGAAGGATGAAATGAATGCCTTAGGATAGCTAAGTTTGCTAAATACTGAGACCTTTGTAAATGAAAAGCCCTTCATATAAAATATTACATCAGGGTTGGCTAACATTCCTGTTTCATGAGTCACTGGGACCTCCAAGTCATCCTTGAAATTTCAGATTCACTGAAGACACTTCCAGACACGTACAGCCCTTCATTTTTCTTTTTACTGTATTTATTTATGTTTTGATTTGGGTGCCAACTCTGCCAGGACAGAATGTGCAATATTTAGCATCACAGCAAATGACCTTCATGTACATGAAAAAGGGAAAAGAAAAGCAGCAGTACAGATCAGAGGGGGAAAACAATGCTAGTCTAAAAGCCAAAAAAAATCCATCATAGATCTATGCTTTACCCTGACTTACCATGCTCTTATTCAAGGACCATCACTCAACTTCTCTATTTCTCATTGGTAATGGCCATATTAATATCTGCTACAAGCCTTCACTTTTTATGTACATCCAAGTCTGAGTTTTAAAAAAACTGAAAAATTAAAATTATATGTAGTTGTAAAATTTTCATTTTGAAAAGCTCATGCAACAACTTGATTATGATTACAAACAGGACAGATGATCACTTTTTAAATTTTAATTAAAATAATCAACCACCAGGGCTTTAAAAGACACTGTATGATATTATCACATTGAGGTGACTGTTGTTTCATGGCCTTTATTGTGATGATGTGTTAATTGTTGTTCTGGGACCTACCTTCACTGAGATGTCATTGAGGTAAGGAATTGCAACTGCAGCAGCTACACAACAGAGAAGAAGCTTGATAGTACAAACACTGTCACTATTGTTTCTTGGGAATACCCTAATATCATTTTTCTCTTGAAGTTTTCCTGCTATTAGATTATAGCCAAGGGGTCAAACCAATCTGGAATACTTACATTCTGCCTGCAGTGTTTCTGGTAGTAGATTTTACCTGAGAAAAATCAGATACTGCAGATGCTTTCAAAATATGATCTACTCTATACCAATAATACTCACCCCAATCCTTGGATTGGAATTTTTTTAAATGAGGTTTAGTTTTTGTTAAGGTTGAGGGGAAAGGAGGTTATTTAATATTTACAGAGTGCATTTTATGCCTCAGTATATTTATGATAAGATACATGTTTGTCTCATTTAATTAAACTCCAAACAGCCTTGTTAAAAAGTCTATCATCATCCTTGCTTTACAGCTACTGAACCTAACAGGGAGGGGTCTTACTAAATCTTTATTCTAGAAACTATTTTAAGTGACTTTCTGAAAATATTACCCACCATTCTATTGAAAATTACCAAAAAATGGCAGAATTTTTTTAATTCAAGAAATTGTTGGGAAGCAAACAATTTCCTGAATGATAAAACGTTGATGGAGTTATGTCTCAGAAAGTCAAAAACATAAGAAAGCATAGCTCAAAATACACAGATGTGAAAATGAAAATCATTGCAGACAGAGATAGAAATGGTTGGAAAACCTCCAAAGCCAGAGTCAGTAGATGCAGGACATCACATTTGCTCTGGGGAAAGCATCAGGTGAATCTTTGGAGAACTGCAAAAGTCAGTGACATTTATACCCAGGTGAAAGCCAGGATTATGAGCACTGAGGCAAAAATAGTGAGAACATTGCTCCAGATAGCTGTGACTATAAGACGTCCCCATTCCTGGCAGATAACTAGTGGCAAAACCAGCAGCATGTTCTACACCTTCCCCATAAACTGGTAGCAACCTAAACAGAAATGTCATCCATAGACAGATGAACAGGGAATCTCAAGCATAATGATGATTGCACATCCAAGAGTCACTATGCTCAACATTGAAGAGACAAACATTCTCCATAAAATAATTATAAATTCAATATGATCCCAAACCAATCACATTAGGATTTTTATGCAACTAGACAAGGTTATTTGGGAGGGACAATTGGGGTGACTAGCCATAACGGATATCAAAACATACCATAAAGGTATAAAAATGCAAACAATGTATTAGCACAGGAATACAGGAATAGATGAATAGATCCCTGGAACAAACTGAAGACTTGAAAACAAAAAAGGTACATGTGTGTATGTGTGTGTGTGTGTGTGTGTGTGTGTGTGTGTGTGTGTGTGTAATACATGAAAAAATGGAAATTTAAATTAGCAGAGAAAGACTGGTTTAGTAAATAAGTCCAGTTCATCCCATACATTAATATTAGATTAGAACCCTACTGAAATACACAAAATAAATTACAGAATGATTGAATAACAAATTATAATTTTTTTCATGGACTACTGACTTTTAATATTGAGGATTGGGAAAGGGTTTCCTAAGAAATATATAACAAACACAAATTAAAGAAAATAATTAACAGATTGACTACATAAAAATCTTAAAACTTCTTTTTGACAAAAGTTAATAATAATGATTATGATAAACAGTAATATGGAGAGATATTTGCAAAATCTTTAAGAGACAATGTAGTAGTTATCACTGTATGTATATACTCCCTATGTTAAGAAAAAGGTAGTAAAAATTGATAAAAGATGCAAATAAATAATTTATAGAAAACTTTATAATAAATATATGAAATTACACTAAACCTTAATAGTAATCAGAGAAATTGAAACTAAAACAAAATTGCTATGTAGTTTTACTCATCAAATTACATAAAAATTATAGTTTGAAAATATTCCTTTTAAGGAGAGTAGGGAGAAACAGCCACTTTCTTTTTTTTTTTAATTTAATTTTATTATTATTATACTTTAAGTTCTAGGGTGCATGTGCACAATGTGCAGGTTTGTTACATATGTATACATGTGCCATGTTGGTGTGCTGCACCCATTAACTCATCATTTAGCATTAGATATCTCGCCTAATGCTATCTCTCCCCCCTCCCCCCACCCCACAGCAGTCCCCTTCCTGTGTCCATGTGTTCTCATTATTCAATTCCCACCTATGAGCGAGAACATGCAGTGTTTGGTTTTTTGTCCTTGCCATAGTTTGCTGAGAATGATGGTTTCCAGTTTCATCCACGTCCCTACAAAGGACATGAACTCATCCTTTTTTATGGCTGCATAGTATTCCATGGTGTATATGTGCCACATTTTCTTAATCCAGTCTATCGTTGTTGGACATTTGGCTTGGTTCCAAGTCTTTGCTATTGTGAATAGTGCCACAATAAACATATGTGTGCATGTGTCTTTATAGCAGCATGATTTATAATCCTTTGGGTATAGACCCAGTAATGGGATGGCTGGGTCAAATGGTATTTCTAGTTCTAGATCCCTGAGGAATCGCCACACCGACTTCCACAATGGTTGAACTAGTTTACAGTCCCACCAACAGTGTAAAAGTGTTCCTATTTCTCCACATCCTCTCCAGCACCTGTTGTTTCCTGACTTTTTAATGATCGCCATTCTAACTGGTGTGAGATGGTATCTCATTGTGGTTTTGATTTGCATTTCTCTGATGGCCAGTGATGATGAGCATTTTGTCATGTGTTTTTTGGTGAAACAGCCACTTTCATAACACACTGGTGTGAGTTTAAGGGCACACCATTTTCAGAGGGTACTTTTGTCAATATCTATCAAAATTTAACGTTTTTGTAAACCACATGCATGAATGTGGTTTACATTCTCTTAAGAGTAAATAAATCAAATCAATCTATTTTGCTGTGTACATTTATAACAGGTATTTCGATTATCTAATAATAGCTTCTTACACATCCTTTTACTAAGGTAACCAGTGGTGTTTGTAATGTTTCACAGAATGGATAGTATTTTAAATCCTTAGCAGACACTATAATTATTGGTCCTGATTTTAATTAATAATTTCTATTGATCAGAGAGTAGATAAATCACGGCATGACAGTTCTATGGAATAAAATGCACGTAGTATAATGATGTATAGCTATATAGACTGACAAATACTAAAGAGTCATCAAGACAAACTAATAACCCATTTCATAATGTGTGTGGTAGTATCTCATTTATACTTTACTTTTCAAATGTATATGAGTGTGCGTGTTTATGTGAAAGAGAATGTCTGTAAATGCATAGGTAATGATGAATAAAAATACCTGTTTATACCATTTCAAGAAGAGTATTATAGATCACTTTGGACTAAATTTTTGATGGTAGAGAAATGGCTGGATTTGTGAGATAACTAAGAGGTTAAATCAACAGGACACAGTGAGGAGTTGAATATAGAGGTGAGGAAGTGGGCAATGTAAGACTGACCACTGGGTCTACAGGAGACAGAAGAAGTTGAATAGTGGTGACATCCACTGATATTGAAAGATGATAAAATCTTGGGGAGGGTTTATGATTTTGGTTGTGAACATGCTTATTTTCAGATGTCTGTGAGGTATCCATGAAGTGATGACAAGGAGGCTGATGAAGTTCAGGCCTGGAATTGAAAGGAAAAATCAGGCCTGGTGATCGATAAATACATATCACCTGCACAAAGATAACTGAAGATGTAAAGAAGGTCCCATAGGAAATGAGGAAAGAAGAGAACCTTGAGGTATATCAACGTTAATGGACAGACAGAAGATGAACTTGAAAGGACGCAGAGAACAGGTGGCCAGATGATAGAAAAATCAGAAAGAACTTAACGGTATAGGATCCAACAGAACAGAAAAGTTCAAGAAGAGACGGATCAAGGATTTTAATGTCTGCTGAGGACTTAATGTCTATTGTTTTGAACATTACAAACATCATTGGTTACCTTAGTGAAAGGATGTGTAGGAAGCTATTATTTGATAAGGAAATATCTCTTAAAAGGCATACAGCAAATTTTAAGTTATCATCTCTCTATATGCAGTTACCAGCTAAGATACATAAGCTTTGTCTTATAGGCATCCAAAGGCCAAAAATAAGCCTTTGAATATTAGCTAATAAAAGTTCTCTAACTTTATAAGCTTCACCTAGCAAATAAAATTTATTTCTCCATTCCTCATAGAAATTTTCTTAAAAGAAATTGTAACATAGATAAAGCTTAGGTGATCAATGATTTTCTTTAAAACATAATACTTGCACTTCAACAGTAATTCAACTATGTAGAATCACTTTTCTTTTTTTGCTTTCAAAATTAAGAAAGCAAAATATTTAAATAAAAAATAAAACATTGGAAAAAACATTGGCCAAAAACTTAGCCATCTCTTTTTAAATTTTACCCCAGCTTTTCACTAGACCTTAAATCATTTTAGCACTTATTCCATGAATAGAAGTTCTCATTTAGCTTCAATAACTTGGATATTTGTGACCAAATGAATTTGAAGTATGAATAACAAAAATAATTGCTGTAAACCTTCCCTCTATTTTGGCCTGGAAAACCATCAAGCTCATACTTGGCAAGATTTTCTAACATAATCTAGTACACAAACCAGCTAATGCACTTGGCATTCTTCTGTGGACCCAATTTATTCATTGGTGTCATAAAATAACATTCCAGATGGGGTAATCTTATGATTTTTCTTAAAAAATTAAAGATGGGATAATCTCTTACTTTATTTTGTTGTAAATCTTCGGAACAAAAATAGTTGAAAATAAGTATTTGTATGATTTCAGTATCAGTACTCAATGAATGTTACATAATACCTGGGAAATGAAACAAAAAACGATATCATTCTTTTTTATTATAAAATCTCTTTAAGAAAGATTTTTCTTTCTTAGTTCTAATTAGAATTCATAAAATCCTCTTTTGTATGTGTGTATTAGCTTTAAGGCCTTTTGCCATGCTCATATAATGCCTAGAATTAGGAGACATCTGGGAACTTAGATAGAATTTGTCAAATTATTTCTCTTCTTGCATTTTGATTTTCAGCTCCTTCTTAAGGATAAAGTTGATTTCCACATTATTTACCGAGTATTGGTCTTTGGTGATGAATGGGCCAAAAGCAATATATGGGGACCAGAGTAAAGGTACAGCTTTGTGTGCAGAAGGCACAAGTGAGGAGATTTTGAATTTAAACTTAAGCTATTGATCAGGAGTTTGGAGTGAGGCTAACTGATCTCTGAGAAGATGTGAACAAACCTCACTGCAATTAGACTATATAATTAAGACTTATTGGTCTAAAGTTTTAATAGTTATTTTGCAAGAGCATATTTTAAATGTGACTTTTGTAATAGTCAAGTAATAATTTAGATTCTGAAATGCACATAATTGTTTTCCTTTGTAGATCTCTTAGATCCCTCTCCCTTACAAGACTCTGAGTTCCATGGGAATGGTGATAAGATTTTGGAATTTTCAGCATCCCCAGGGCCTAGTACAGTAACTGTTAGACAATGATTGCTCAACAAAAGGCTGGGTAAATACATTAATGTATTAATCAATCAATCAATTAGAAGTCAATTCAATATACCCCTTCCAAATTCTGAACAATCATTCTGCTTTATAAAAATTGGTAGATAAAACATATTTTAAGGGCTTACCATTTATTTAGTCAATGCTTAACTATATTTAAAAAATTTTTAAGTATATAAACAATGGAGTTCAAGACCAGCCTGGGCAACATAATGAGACCCCATTTCTACTAAAAAAATATTTTTAATTAGCCGGGTATGATGGTGAGTGTCTGTATTCTCAGCTACTCAGAAGGCTGAGGTAGGAAGATCTCTTGAACCCAGGAGTTTGAGGCTGCAGTGAGCTGTGATGGTGCCATCACCCCACTGCCCTCCAGCCTGGACAACAGAGAACCTGTATCTAAAAAAAATGGAGTGGGGGGTTGATAAATACTGATTTATATTTTCAATAAACTACAATCTAGTCAATGAAAAGATAAAGGATAGCACTATGAACAACAACAGCAGCAACAATAACAAAAACCTACCATGTGATAAGTAAAACTGTGTAACAATTCAGAATAAGAAAGGCATGTGTCACAGCTGCTAGCTGAGCCCAGCGTAGACAGCCAGCTCACAGATGTGATAACTAAATAAATGTTTATGGTTATATGCCATTGAGATTTTATAGGTGTTTGATGTGCAGCAATGGTTTATTTAAGCACCTCCAACTTCCAATTTACCATGAAATTCTGCAGCTTATTTCCAGAGGTCCTTTACCATCCTAGTCTAAGTCATCTTCATCACTCACCTGAACAATTGCTACCACCTTGCAGTTAGTCTCCCTATGTCCATTTTTCTCTCTCTGGTTCTTTGCCCACTGCACCCAGAGTGATCTTTTACAATGCTAATTGGAATATAATTCCATCTGCTTAAAATATTTTAACAGCTTCCCACTGAACTTAAGATAAAGTCTCACATTTTTACATGGTCTACAAGATCCTGTATAATATGTGTCCTGCCTATGGGTCCAGCCATGTTCCAGGTCTCTGTTTCTCACTGGACACTGTCTAGCCACCCTGGCCTTTTTTTTTAAGTTTTAAGAACACACAATGTGTCTTCCTTCTTCTGAACCTTTGCACAGATTACTCCTTAGCTTGCAATGCACTTCTCTAAAGCCCACTTTTCTACCCTAATTAAATCCTACTTACCTTTCAAATTTTGCTAAATGAATCATTGTGAATTACAAATTGAAATCCAAATAGCTATACAGGACTTTGTGGAGGCATTGAGTTCAGAGGCTCTCAACCTTTCCAATCTTATGGACCCCAGTCATACTGAAAATTGAGTCTTATCATCATGGGAATGAAAAATTCTTTTTCCCAAACAAGATGAATCATATTTACATTCAAACTTTTATTATATGTGTATTTTATGGTAAATAAAGTGACATAAGATGCAGAAGCATTTACATTTTGGGTAGATTTTGGGTCATTTTAATGCCCTTTCTGTCTATACTCTATAAGAATGCTCCATCCTACAAAGTTCCATGGCATTTTATATTTTTCCTTATGTCACTTACCAAAATCAGTCATTATGTATTTATTAGTGCATTTACAGATTAATATCAGTGTTTTCCACCAAACTCGGATGGCAGGAATCATGTGTCTCTTGTTGATCACTATATATCCAGTTTCTCTTGTATATTCTGGCCCATAATATGTCCTCAATAAATATTAGTTTAATTAATTTTGAGATATAAGGGATGTGTCCAGGTTATCTTCTACACCACGAAGCACATCAAGACTATCTGAAATATTAAATAAAAATGTTGCCTCTATTCCTTGCTGCTTTGACATTGGAAGTTATCTTTATAAAAGAAGATGTATATTTATGTTTTTTAGATTACTGTACAATTTTATGCCTTCTTTCTATTCACAGTCCACAGGAGAGTGTTAGATAAATAACCTCTTACTCTCCTGTAAGGAATCCAGATTCATAAAAATTTTAAGCTTTAACCCACAACAAATTTGGGAGAAGATAGATACATAAAGAAATAGGTAGCTAGCTAGATAGATAGGCAGTGTATTTAGTTAGATTGGCTTACTCATACATTTGTGGACCCATTGGAAATCAGCTGATCAGAGTTGGGCATGCTTGGGGCAGCCACCAAGTTCACTGATAGCCTAGGCTCTGAGCCGATACACTGTTATGCCTTACTTTTTCTATTGGCCAAAGCAAGTCACATGGCCAAACCAAAACTCAAGGGCCAGAGAAACATGCCCTGCTTCTTTAATATGAGGAAACACAGTCAAATATAAGGAGCATGGGAAGGAAAAGGTTAAGGTTTAAGGCCAATATGCAATGTCCCACAAGAGGCGAGGAAATAAAAACATCAAGTACAAAATATACATACTACCAGTTAGACACAAAAGTAGTCTAGCTAAGATGTAGGGTTTTCACGGCACTTGTAAAGAATGTATTCCCTATGTTATCTTATTTTATGTTGATCTGAAAAAATAATTACGACATTTTGTGTTGATTCTCTTTTTTGTTTTGCACTTAGGTATTATGAAATGTATGCTGAGCACTCTTATTCTAGTCTTCAACTTCAAATGGGATAACATTTTCATCTATTTAGCATAAATCATAGCACTAAAATCTACCCAAAATGTAAATGCTTCTCCATCTTATGTCACTTTATTTACCATAAAATACACATATAATAAAAGTTTGCATGTAAATATGATTCATCTTGCTTGGGAAAAAGAATTTTTCATTCCCATGATGGTAAGACTCAATTTTTAGTATGACTGGGGTCCATAAGATGGGAAAGGTTGACAGCCTCTGAACTCAATGCCTCCACAAAGTCCTGTATAGCTATTTGGATTTCAATTTGTAATTCACAATGATTCATATATTTTATAATTTCCACATCAATATCATGTTGGCCAACTATACTGTATCTGTAAGCCTGGGCTGTATAAAAATAGTCCTTCTTAACTATTTTCAGTCCCAATAACCATTTTTTAAATTTATTTATTCTGTTAGTGTCGCAAATTATTACATGCTCCAGAGAAAACAAGGAAATCTAAGCAATCTGCATGATATTACTTACAGTAGGAAACACCATATATTGAGCCACAAGAATTTAAAAATTGGACCCTATATGGTATATTTAAAAGACAAATCAATATAGGAGAAACTGAATGAATCAAATCTTTAAAAGATTTAAGAATTGTAACCTGTGGGAGTGTCAATGAAAGTTCAGAGAAAAGTGAATGGCTATAATTAATACCTGTTAACTGCTTTTGGCCTTCAGGCTCACCCTGCCCAATGATGCATAATAATTAGAAAACATTTCATTACCAGCTGGCATCAAAGGATTAAATGTGTGTGAAAGAGCTTTGAAAACTATAAGTTATAAAACAGGACAGCTGTTATTTTCATTATTACTATGAAATGACGCACCAAGTGGGCAGGCCATTTGAAACTTCACCAATAAATATTAGTGATCAGTAAACTTTGAATAATGTGCACACACCATAGCTAAGGGAATGTATAGGTTATCCTTCCCATTTATTATAAAAGCGCATGTCAAATTTGAGATTTGACTAAGAGTTTTCTAATTTTGTGAAAATAATGACACCAGTTTATTTTCAGATATAAATTTCTCACAAAATTAATATGAATAAAAGAATATACTTTCCTTATATTTTTACAGAGGAGAAAGGAATCTTCAAAACAATACCATGTATCTATCATGTTTATGCCTACTTGCGGATTTAAAAACAAAGTGAAACAATTAATTATCAGAGAGGCTCAAATATTGCCTACTGTCATGTTACCAATAAATATTGGATGTGAGATTTCAACACAGGTCCATCATATATTTTAGTCCCATTTAGATATGAGGCCTCTGACAGATGTAAAAGAGGTGTGAGGCTGTAAACTACTAAATCTTTATATCTCCAGCATTAATTCTTTAAAGAGTAGATCAATAACCATTAGGTTTGCAATCAATTGTTGGATTTGCTTCTTGAGATGCTTTCCCATGTGACCTGATGACCACAGTACACCATTCTATACTCGGTAGTTAAACATAATCTATTGACTTGCTTGTCCAAAGTGCTTATGACAGGCTTGTTCCATTCAATCATCCACCCACCCATCCATCCATTCATTCAAATGCCTTCCATGTGCCAAGTATATAAACAATGACTAAGCAATAGGATAATTATTGTAGTGAAGAATAGATCTACCTAGGAAAAGATGAAAAGTCATTTATCTGAAAATTTGTGGATGTAAATTTTCAGGAGTGTTCCAGGCACATTTAAGGCAGAGATATAATAGAATGGTGGTTTGGGAGGAAACAGTTGGTGGTTCTTTATGGCTGGACAGTAAAATACAAAGATTACAGCATATGAGAAACTGACAGACCAGATAGTCAGAGGCCAGATAGCTGTTTATTCTACTCAAATGTAAAAGGTAAAGAGTAATTGGTCTATAGAAAATACTGGATACTTCTAGATAATATAATAATACACAAAGGCATCTTACTAGACCTCCCTACTGAAGCATGGGGTCCACAGAATAAAAAAATAAGCAATAATTTTTATCAGCTGTGAAAACTAGAGTTGTATCCATCTGTCTGAAATATAATGGTTTTCTGCCAGGCAAAATGTAGCCTGAATGAGACAGAATTCTATATAGAAATCAATAAGTAGAGGAAACTAACTGAAACCAGGACTGAGAGGGCTTACAAAATGTCAGGCCAAGGCCAGTAGGGTGGAGCTTCCTTCAGGGTCAATGACCAGGAGAAGGCCAAAGGAGTGTTGGAATGGCAGCTATCTCCATTCATCAAGATAGACAAACAGCAGAAAAGGAAAATGGTGTAAAAAAAATCAAAGGAAATGCTTTTAATAAAATCAATGAACAGCAAGAAGCAGGAGGCTAATGCAAGAAAAGTTTCAATTCATGTTCTCAATAATCAAGAAAATATTGTACTTTCTGATATCAAAGTAGGCAGTCATGAAAATAGGTGAGATTAGCATGGAAGCTAAAAACTCAGTTGTTAAATTAATAAATACAATGGAGACAGTATATAACAACTACAACACATACGAGAACATAGATAATGCAATTAAATGTTACAAGACAAACTTTTGAAATTTTCTCAGAATTCAAAATTAATAGGTAAATAAACATGATGAAAGAAAAGAGATTTGGGTGACAACAATGTGTATGGATAGTAAGACAGCATGCTCAGTAGTTAAAAAATAAAACAATATTTACTGGAATAAAGTGAGACACGACTCTTCAGTTAAAAATGGTTTCCTAAGTACCAAGTACTAGTAAGAAGAATGTTCTTTTTTTATACAGAAATTATTCCTATTTATAGGTTATGATTTGGGGAGGAAGAAAAATAGATGCCACATGATATACTGAATTCTTTAAGATTTATTCATGCAGTAATCAGTAACATGGAAGCAAGTGTATATCAATTTTTAGGTATACAGTGAATGGGAACAATGTTATAAATATTGTTTAAAAAGTATTGCATTTTAAAAGACTTATTGTAAGCTACTTTCTTCACAGAATTAGAAAACTCTACTTTAAATTTCATATGGAACCAAAAAAGAGCCCACATAGCCAAGACAATCCTAACCAAAAAGAACAAAGCTGGAGTCATCACCCTACCTGACTTCAAACTATACTACAAGGCTACAGTAACCAAAACAGCATGGGACTGGTACCAAAAGAGATATAAAGACCAACAGAACAGAACAGAGGCCTCAGAAATAACACCACACATCTACAACCATCTGATCTTTGACAAACCTGAGAAAAACAAGCAATGGGGAAAGGATTCCCTATTTAATAAATGGTGCTGGAAAAACTGGCTAGCCATATGCAGAAATCTGAAACTGGACCCCTTTCTTACACCTTATACAAAAATTAACTCAAGATGGATTAAAGACTTAAACATAAAACCTAAAACCATAAAAACCCTAGAAGAAAACCTAGGCAATACCATTCAGGACATAGGCATGGGCAAAAACTTCATGTCTAAAACACCAAAAGCAATGGCAACAAAAGCCAAAATTGACAAATAATATCTTACTAAACTAAAGAGCTTCTGCCAAGCAAAAGAAACTATCATCATCAGAGTGAACAGGCAACCTATAGAATAGGAGAAAATTTTTGGAATCTATCCATCTGACAAAGGGCTAATATCCAGAATCTGCAAGGAACTTAAACAAATTTAGAAGAAAAAAACAACCCCATCAAAAAGTGGGCAAAGGATATGAACAGACACTCCTCAAAAGAAGACATTTATGCGGCCAACAGACATGAAAAAATGCTCATTATCACTTATCATTAGAGAAATAACAGTCAAAACCACAATGAGATACCATCTCACCCCAGTTAGAATGATGATCATTAAAAAGTCAGGAAACAACAGATTCTGGAGAGGATGTGGAGAAATAGGAACACTTTTACACTGTTGGTGGGAGTGTAAATTAGTTCAGCCAATGTGGAAGACAGTGTGACAATTCCTCAAGGATCTAGAACCAGAAATACCTTTTGACCTAGCAATCCCATTACTGGGTATATACCCAAAGGATTATAAATCATTCTACTATAAAGACACATGCACAAATATGTTTACTGCAGCACTGTTCACAATAGCAAAGACTTGGAACAACCCAAATGCCCATCAATGATATAGTGGATAAAGAAAATGTGGCACATATACACCATGGAATACTATGCAGCCATAAAAAAGGATAAGCTCACTTCCTTTGCAGGGACATGGATGAAGCTGGTAATCATCATTCTCAGCAAAATAACACAGAAACAGGAAACCAAACACCACATGTTCTCACTCATAAGTGGAAGTTGAACAATGAGAATACATGGACACAGGGAGGGGAACATCACACACTGGGTCCTGTTGGGGGTTGGGGGGCTAGGGGAGGGACAACATTAGGAGAAATACCTAATGTAGGTGATGGGTTGATGGATGCAGCAAACCACCATGGCACCTGTGTACCTATGTAACAAACCTGCACGTTCTGCCTATGCATCCCAGAAATTAAAGTACAATTTTTTAAAAAAAAGATCACTTTAAAAAAAGGCTTAAAATTGCAGCAAATAAATGAAAAAAATTAGTTTAAAAAGATACAAAATCAATTGGTTTGGAATAAGACTTTTCTTCTATGGGATAAAATAACAGGAATCAATGATTTGTGGAGGAAATGATTCTGAAACAAGAAGTGTATGTCCAATCAATTTATCTCACATGTTCAAAAGTTGCTAAAACTTTTCTTAGACAAGAACTCAGAGAGTGTGACATCTATATGCTGTTGCTGAGAAATTGCTCAGACATATTCTAGCTAAGAGGTGAACCCAAATGAAGAATTCAACTATAAAAATTTCAGTATTAAAGAATTAATACTGATAATCAATACTCTTTGCAATTATAAATATGATAAATCTTGTAATTAAAATGTATTAATAAAGTTCTTAAACTTCAAAATAAATATCAAAATTATATCTAAACATGAATCACTTAAAAGAAATATTACTACTCTGGATCTAAATCCCAGATGACATAAAAAAATTGAGATGAGTCCATCAATGATAGACTGGATTAAGAAAATATGGCACATATACACCATGGAATACTATGCAGCCATAAAAAAGGATGAGTTCATGTCCTTTGCAGGGACATGGATGAAGCTGGAAACCATCATTCTGAGCAAGCTATCACAAGGACAGAAAACCAAACACCGCATGTTCTCACTCACAGGTGGGAATTGAACAATGAGAACACTTGGACACAGGCGGGGAACATCACACCCCAGGGCCTGTTGTGGGGTGGGGGAATGGGGGAGGGATAGCATTAGTAGAAATACCTAATATAAATGACGAGTTAGTGGGTGCAGCACACCAACATGGCACATGTATACCTATGTAACAAACCTGCAAGTTGTACACATGTACCCTAGAACTTAAAGTATAATAAAAAAAAGTTGAGATGGGAGAAAAGGAAGGAATAATTACACATCAAAGTTTCCATCATATTCAAGATAAATGATTGTCATGTTTTCATCATATTCAAGATAAATCATTGCCATGATATTCAAGATAAATCGTCATATTTTATTCTTTATAATTACAGAAATATATTCAATTATATTTTGTATTTCCCAAACTTTCTCACAACAAAATGCCCTGTTTATAACGTTAGGAAAATAGAAAATATCTGCAAATGTAAATGAATTAAAGAAAAAATAAAAAATCAAATTATTACTCTTGTGTTTTTTACATCTGCGTCATTTATCTAAGTGCTGAAAATCTACTGGAGCTTCTGTAAATCCTAAGATCTCCTTCCTTGCTTCCATATTGCCAAACACTAAATGAATAAATCTTAAAGAATTTAGGATATCATGTGGCCTGTCTCTATTTTTCTTCTTTCCCAAATCATAACCTTTCCATAAGAATAATTTCTGTATTAAAAAACACAACATTCTGATTGCATTAAACAATGCTGGACTTGAAAGAATTACTTTGAAATTTTTGAAATTTTATCATGTATTCTTAAGGAAACAGTGCTTGATCTAAAAACAATGCTAAAAAGTAAATTATAGCATTCAAAGATTTATGAGAAGCTATAGAGCTTTAAGCAGGTAAAGCAATGAAACGAAAGAATGAGAAAGCATGATACAAGAGTATAGTTAATGTTTATCCATAGTGGAATATACTGCTGTGCAGAATACACCGCTTGAGATCCTAGGTCTCATTTTTGAAAACTGATTACAGTTACTTAGGAAATGACAATTCTTTCTCTGAGACTTAGAAATCATTTCCTACAGTAATGTTACTGCATGTCTTGTGGCATTGGGACCTTAATGTGCTCTGTATCATAACTCTTACCATGCCTCTATTTTCATTTGTTCAGAATGCTAAATGCAATGCCATAACAAATCAGTTTTCTCTATCTATTAATCATAGACTCAATGGTCTGTCTATAGCTCTTTCATAAAGAAAGAAACTGATGTTTTACAAATATAAGCCACAGTTCTGAGGCTTACTTTTTACCTGTGTAAAGTTAAGATGTCAAATTAAGTGACCTCTGTGAGTCTCTAAGTCTCTCTGAGCTCCAAATTCTGTAATTCTACCATCCGGTCGCCTCAGGCTTTAGAGTACAGTGAAGTACTTATCATGCAGACTAAGTGAAAAGTATTTATGAATAGTAAAATAAAAGCACTTAAACATCTAGATTTTTTAATTAGTATAATCTTAACTAATACAGGCTTAACTTTTAAACAGCAATATGATTTCCCATTCTTCTTCTTTTCCTATTCCATAAAACAAAGCATATTTCAAGTTAAGTAAACACAGTCTTTTCAATAAGCTTGTTTAAATTTGTAGCTTGGCAATTTGTCAAAATACTGAATCTAAGGCATGAAGAAAGAACTCAAGTTTTCTGTAGAAACTATAGAAAAATAATTATAACTATAAATACTACATGTAATCTGCAGGTAATACAGTTGATTAGATCAGTTATCATTGTAAAAAATGTGTCAAAACATAACAATCCATCAAATTAGATTGTGCTCTATCATACGTGATGTCAAACATGTTTCAAGTTTTTGAAGATCATTTACATAGTAATTTATCTAAACAACTACACCTAGAGAGTCTATTACATTCATAACTCTATACTGTGCTCAGTAAATGTAACGAATATTTTATTTAAAGTAACAGGTCAAATGACATAAAAATTTGACTCTTTATGCCCACCTCCACCACCTTACTGGCACCCACATTAACTCAGATCATCCAAGCACCATATGTTATAAAGCAAGTGTTAATGAGATGTCAAGTTGTACAGTTGAGACTTGTTACTTTGATGATCCCATGTTAGGCTTTTAAAAATGAAGCTAATTAAGCAGACCCTGAGTGTGAATTTCACTAGTATAAGGGGGAAAATTTACATATTGAAACCAAGTTAGACTTTAATGTCCAGAGCTCTTGAAGGCTATAACCTAACTTGTGCAAATTTAAAATGCTTCACCAAGGATGAGTTAAAAAGCAAGAACAAGATTAGAAACCTCACAGCTCAGGCTTCTTTGTGTCCCCAAAATGCATTGAATTTGCAACTGCAAGGAAATCATGGAACTTTGGAAGTTGGAATTATTTTATAGCATTCATCTGTAGAAATCTGGAAATAATAGAAATAGAAGAAACAAATTTCTTTCCTCCTGTTGGTCTAGGATTCATCACTGTGGCTTTTTCTCATGGTTTTGCAGAAGGATCAAAGTATTTTAAGGAGCAAGAGAAAAAGGAATGTGTCTTTCAAAGTTTAATAAGATTAACAATATTATAAATTAGTATTTGTATAACACTTTAAAGTTTACAAATTATTTTTTGAAGGCTAGACAATATTGAGGAGAAATGGTCAAAAACAAACACTCTGAGCTGAGAATGTTTAATGATTTTTCATAGGATTTTCCCCCTGGTTGGAGATAAATAAATTATCAGGTTGATTCCTGCACAAGTAAGTTATTGTGCTTGCTAAATAGAATAAAATACATAGACTTTCCAATAACTGCAGTGAGAAAGCCAATATTAAAAAAAAAAAAAAAACTTAGGAGAAAGAATGTCACTTCGTGTTAAAAAAAAAACATAGTGTTAGTAACTATACAGATTTTAATGAAAGAATCACACATCAAAAACAAATAACAAAGAGTTGAACTTCAAACAATAACTTAGGCACAGTCTAAGAATAATCTACAACAATATTATAAAACAATTAAGCAATGAGGCATCAGACCTCATTGGAAAAAAAAAAAAAAGAATTATTAGCACTCAGGGAAAAGATGAACCCACACCAAAACAGAAGCACGACCTTAGTCTCAATCACCAACTTTTCTCACCAACTTTTTCATTTTCTTTGTGAAAAAGAAAAACTAGAAAATACCAAAACTCTACTTCACAGGATAATGTATTTATGTATTGCCTAGCTGTGTCACAAATGTAGTTCCTGCTGTGCAGTTTGTCTTTCCTTAGTCTCAATAGACCCTTTTGTTGTCATGAGAGGGTTTTGACTGAAAGAACTCCTTCAATTACTTTTATAGATGGATGTGAACTGGGTAGGACCTTGGAGATTGTTAACAGTTAAGATTTGGTGTCCTTAGTGGATAAAGCATCTTAATCAAGTTTAATTCTTTCCAAATATTTTTAAATTATCACTAACATAATTACATTTTCTGTTCACAAAAGTCGTGTGGAATAGGTTTGTCAGACATTAATTCTACTTTAAAATAATGCTATTAAGTGACTTATTCAAGCTCATTCAATTTGTTATAACTTATTCTATATTAAATACTATACACCTAGAACTAGTTTCAAATCTAGAACATTTTGCTTTAGTTTATACCACGCGGAAGGACTAAAAATTGTTCAGGTGAAAGCAACTTAATAGCTTTCACTCTTTCATTTAATTTTAAATGTCACTGTTCTCAATACCAGGCCAAATTCTAGTAATTTTTTTTAATTCCAGTGCCTAAATCTTCTGAATTTCATTTCAGATCATATTTTGCATAAAATAATACAAACCCAAGAATAATCAATGTAATTTATATGTTCAAATGTCAGTATGCACCCCTGATTTTCCCAGTTGACTTATCAGAAAAAGGTTTAGGGAAATACCATTATGTACCCACCAAAATGCCTAAAATGTTATTAAATGTAATGGCCAAAACCACAATTACTTTTGTACCAACCTAATATTAACTGTAAAATTCAAGTGTTGATAAAAACATCGAGCATCTACACTGTTCCTAAAAGTCATTTTGGAAAACTGGATAGCATTTGCTAAAGCTGAAAAAGCAATTTACTTCTTGCTGCATATGTAATAGAAACACATACACAGGAGTACCAAGAGACATGTACAAGAAACTTCATAGTTCTGCTCATGATAGCCTCACACTAGAAACAACCCAAATATTTAAGTGTGACCCACAAGCCAAATCCACCCACTGCTTATTTTGTAAATTTTCTTGACACAGTCACACCTCTTCACTTACACATTGTCTATGGTTGCTGTCGTTCTACAATGTTAAAGTTGAGTCATTGCAGGAAAAAAAAGTCATGTAATGCCTAAAATGCTTCCTATCTTGCTATTTACAGAAGAAGTCTGATAACCCCTGATATTAGCTTAAACATTTTTTGGCATAGTCATACAGTGAATACTATACAGCAGTGAAAACAAATGAACTACAACTACATGCAATAATACTGATAAATCTCACACAGATAATGTTGAGTGAAGACAGAAGATAGAAAAAATACATACTGCATAATTCCATTTATGTAAATTTCAGAACATGGAAAAACTTATCTTTGGTGACATTGAATACCTCTGGGGAAAGAAAGGCAATAGTGATTGAAAGGGATGTGAAGGAATTTCTGGATGATGAAAATATTGTTAATTTAAGTGTTGTTAGAAACATTTTTAAATAATTCATTTAGATGTTCATTTATATTTTGTGTACTTTTTTCAATCTATATTATACTTTGCTATGAAAGCATAAAATTTTAAATACAAATTTTACACAAATGTAACCAAATGGAGAAAAATGTATCAGCCTTTTTTTGTAGGAGAAGTAATTGCTCAGCTACCTGGGGTAGGAAATGGGAATCAGCTCCCCACTTCCACAGGAATGTGGTAGGCAGAATAATGAAATCACTTCCCTAATGATGTTCACATCCTAAAACCTGGAACCTATAAATATGCTAGCTTACAGGCAAAAGGGGACTTTGCAGATATTATTAAGGATAAGCACCCAATGTAATCATGCAAACCTTTAAGTGAAGAACACTTCCCAGCTACAGTCAAAAACCCAGAGGGGTAGCAAGGAAAGAAGTCAATCTACTGTTTCTGCCTTTGAAGGTGGAGGAAGGGGACCTTAAGTCAACAAATGGGAGTGGCCTCAAGAGGCTGGAAAAGGTAAGGAAACATCTTCTATTACAGCCTCGAGAAAGAAATTCAGCCCTACTGACATCGTAGTTTTATTTCAGGGAGAACCATGTTGGGATTATAACATGCAAAACTGTAAGATAATAAATGTATATAATTTAAACCATGAAGTTTGCAGTAAATTCTTAGAGGAATGATAGAAAATTAGGTCTTGAGGCTAATAGGGGTGGTAGGAGAAGGGTCTGAGGAGAACAGCAGTGCCATTATAGGTTTTTCATGAAAAAAGAGAACTAATCTTTCCAAGCAGCAGTTGCGGGGCTACTTCCACTGATTGAAAAGACTTGACAGGTTTTAGAGGTTAAAAATCCCCAGCCTCATTGTGATCTGTATGAATGTCTCCAGCCTAATTTTCAGGATCTCATTTCTTCCCAATAAATGCCTTAACTTTTTTTTTTAATTATTATACTTTAAGTTTTAGGGTACATGTGCACAACGTGCAGGTTAGTTACATATGTATACATGTGCCATGTTGGTGTGCTGCACCCAGTAACTGGTCATTTAACATTAGATATATCTCCAAATGATATCCCTCCCCCTTCCCCCCACCCCACAACAGACCCTGGTGTGTGATGTTCCCCTTCCTTTGTCCATGTGTTCTCATTGTTCAATTCCCACCTATGAGTGAGAACGTGTGGTGTTTGGTTTTTTGTCCTTGCAATAGTTTGCTGAGAATGATGGATTATAAATCATGCTGCTATAAAGACACATGCACACGTATGTTCATTGCGGCACTATTCACAATAGCAAGGACTTGGAACCAACCCAAATGTCCAACAATGATAGACTGGATTAAGAAAATATGGTGCATATACACCATGGAATACTATGCAGCCATAAAAAATGATGAGTTCATGTCCTTTGTAGGGACATGGATGAAGCTGGAAATGCCTTAACTTTAAAAGAAGACAACCTGAAAGGTTGAGAGTTCAACTGGTGTTGTAATACAGATTACTCGCAGAATGAGATTCTAGGTTTGGTTTTCAGAAACCTCAGCCCTGTAGCTTCAGAAGAGAAGAATTTCACTTAGGACAGATACAGAAGTTTTTATATCGTTTATGTGGAACTTGAGCTAAAACTTTGAAGCCCTAATCTCATCCTTCTCTTTCCCCACTTTCTCTAGAGCAGTTAGAAGCAAGCAGTTATCCCATCATACTTCTTAGTTCGGATAAAATCTTCTAAGGTAGCCAATACATGATCACCCAGAAACTCCCCTTCTCTAGGCACTTGATTTGGAGTATCAAATGGCAATATTTTGCATATGTCTTTTGCCACATTATGTCATAAACAGCAAATGCCCTCTATACCACTGAAAACAGTGTCATAAATACAAATCTAATTAGATTAGAGAACCAATTCCAAAAAATCAGGGTCAAATTCAGAAACCTCATCCTTAAGGTACTATCCTCTAGAATCACTTCTGGTACCAAAATTTATATCAGTAATGGTTCAGTGAGAAAAGCAGAACCAGTAGAAAATGTACATCAAGAGACTCATTACAAGAAACTGGATTATACATTGGTGAGGGATAACGAGGCAAGTCCAAAATCTATAGAGAAGGCCCATCAGGAAGGACATGCTGGAACTGACAGCCATGGGCTGAAGCTGCTGTCCAAAACTGAATTTCTTTTTCTTTTGGGGAAAACTTAGCTCTGGTTTTAAAGACTTTCAATGAATTGAATCAGGCCCATCTACATTATCTGGCATAATTCCCCTTACTTGAAGTCAATAGATAATGCACTTTATTCACATCTTCAAAATACCGTGACAGCAACATCTAGATGAGTGTTTGATTGAATTCACTATAGCTTAGCCAAGTTGACACATCAAAAGGCCATCACAAGGCATATGCTCAAGTAATAGTAGCAGATTGCCAAACTGCCTTCTTGGGATAGAGCAACAAACTGTAAACCCTTTATATACTTGAGTGCTCCATTACAGTTCAGAGTCAGGGATAGATCTCTAGGTAGTAGAGGATTCATTGAAAACTATCATGTTCACTCTTTCTTCTCTTCCTTTGTCCCTCAAATGGTCAGCCTTCCCGCAAATATATGTTGAAGAAATACTTTTAAAATATGGATTTGAAGGGACACTGAGTTACTAGACTTTCCAAAATGTACGCATGTCTCAATCTGGCCATGATTCTAACTGACAGATGCTCCCTGAATTGGTCACACAGAAAGCAAAGCTACTTGTAAAACAACTGGCCAAAACTTAGGTAAATGATTTGTGTTAGTCATCTCAGATTGCCGTAACAGAAAATCATAGACTAGGTTGATTTAAAAACAGGAATTAATTTTTACACACTTCTGGAGGCTGGAAGTTTCAGATCAAAACTGTCTGCAGGTTTGGTGTCTCCTGAGGTTCCCTTCTTGGTTTGTGGATGGCCACCTTATTTCTGCCTCCTCATATGGCCTTTTCTCTGTGTGTATGCATATCTGGTGTCAATCTGTCTGTCTAAATTTCCTCTTATAAGAAAACCATCTGGATGCATTGGTTCGCACCTGTAATCCCAACACTTTGGGAGGTCGAGGCAGGAAAATCACTTTAGCCCAGGATTTTGAGACTAGCCTGGGCAATATAGAGAGATCCCCATCTCTACAAAATATAAAAATAAATTGGCTGTGCATGGTGGCATGTGCTTGGGTCCCAGCTACTCAAGAGGCTGAGGCAGGAGAATCACTTGAGTCTGGAGGGTTGATGCTGCAGTGAGCTGTGGTCATGCCACTGCACTCCAGCCTGGACCCTTTTTAAAAACAAGAAGAAGAAGAAGAAAGAAGAAAGAAGAAAGAAGAAGAAGAAGCAGAAGCAGCAGAGCAGCAGCAGCAAGAAGCAGAAAAAAGAAAATCAGATTGAATTAGTGCCCACCCTCCTATCTGCCTCACCCCTTTAAAGCTAATATCTCCAAATACAATCATATTTTGAGGTACTGGGTATTAGGACTTAAATATATATGAATTTTGGGGATGGACACAGTTTAGCCTATAATCTGATTCTTAAATTTATGATTTATAATTCATAAATCAGCAGGTTAGGCATTTAGGGTGTTGATATATGTCCATCCACTTACTTGAAGGGAAAGAAAGTATTTACAATCTAGGGTAAAATGTGTAACATTCATGGCACCGTTATAGTTCAAATAAAATTTAAGAACTAATTCCTAGAACTAGTTTGTAAATATGAATTCTTTGGATCTAAATGGGAACTTCAAAACAAAATCCAAAACAGATTTCTTGTTTCGACTCAAAATTCTGAAATGTACCTCATTTACTCTTATCATTATGCAAAGCACACACTCATTACAAATTATGCATATATCGTTATTCAAGAAGAAAGCAATAAGACCACCCAGAAAGGATCAAAACCAAAAGCTCATTTTAATCATTCTTGGTCACATACCAGTACCACTGTTTATACTGATCAATAAATATGAGGATGCTGGGTAATACCTTCTGTATAAACAAAGTGAATTGTAAATAGTGTCAATGTGATCTGAGGCCTCTTGTAAACAGATTATCATTCAGCAATTAAATCCAGGATTTCTGTGATTCCTATTTTGTCTAACTTTTCTCTTTTAGTAAGAATTCACAATATATTTAGTGAGCACTCAAATGCATTGAAGTGAATTCAAATATTTATTGGAAATGTAAAAATTTTCCTTGTTCCATAATGTATTTAATACAGGTGTTTATTTACTTGATGTAATTAAATATAAAATAAGTTAAAGCCCTCATTAAAACTTAGGTTGAAAATGAGCCACCCCTTCTTTGAGAAAAATCTTCTTCCTAAACCTTTGTGAATATATGTTAGGCTTAGAGGCAGCAATAGGCAAAGGCAGGGCATAGCCACAGAGGACAAGAGCTCAGATCACTTAGCAATAAGGGTTAACCTAATTCCATTGTTAGGCAATATCTGCAATTTATGAAATCTTTTCAAAAAGTCTGTGGGTGAATTCTAGCTCTTGTTTTATCCCATTTCTGAACCATGATAATAAATTATTTATGTTTACATTGAGTATACATTTCTTAAAAACCTGATCTTCTTCTAATATACTTCAGGGTGCTAGGAATGCAAAATCAAATATGGATCTTACTCCATAGATTTTACTGCCTACCAGGCAGGGTCCCAGCATTTTCATTTTTAACAATAAAAATTCTGCATCTTGGGAAGACCCTCAGCAGGAAAACCAAGATAATTGGTTATATTGCTAACAGGAAATACAGGATTTCAAAAAATTTATCCTTCAGATGCCAAGTGTTTATTATATTATGTGTTATTGAGTTATTTCAATGTCCATTATCCCATTGGTACCTGTGGGATAAAGTGGCTTTTGGCACAGATGTAGTTTTGCTTGAATATGAGATGAACATCTTAAAGTCAATTAACAGGAGAGGAAAGTTGTATCATTTCAGTCAGAAATCAGAGACAGATCTTAGTAGGCATAGAAACAATTTGGTTTTTATTGGTTTCTTTGAACTAGTTCTGAAGGAAAGTAGCAGCAGGCCTTGTTAATGGAGTAAGGAGCACATGGAGGAGATCTAAAACTGAGTAGGAAGGTTTTCTCAGGGTAGATGCAAGCTGCAAGCTATCTTGTACATCATGTTATATGATGTAAAGACTGGTGCAGGCTCACTAAAATATAGCAGCCTTGTACTTGTGCTATGGAAAGTCAGTGGTTCTGGCCCTTGCTTTTCTCATGTGACTTTTCTTAAGAAACTAAAAAATATATTTTAGAAAGCTAGGTACCTTCTCCTACTCCTAAAATATCACACAATACACAATTTTAAACCTTTTTTTTGATTATGTTCAGACAACCATGAAAGTAGAAAAGAACAGTAGCAAGAAACCTGATGCTAATGGTTCATTCATTACTTCTATTTATCAATGATTAACATTTTGCCATATTTGTTCAAGTATTCTAAAATAAATTAGAAACATCATGGCATTTTTCTTCCTAAATACTTCAGTATTCATCACTTAGTAGTTAAGGGCATTTTCCACCATATTCTAATACCTAATAGTACTGCCATAAAAATTAACAAGTGAAATTCTTAAATATCATCTAATATATATCTAATATAACTCCATATCAGATTTCCATAACTGCACTAAGAAGATTTTTTATAATTATTTTGTTTAACCCAGAAGTCAAATAATATCCATACACAGCATTTGGTAGAAAAGAAAATTTGCATATTATTTCAGGAAATTTTATTACTACATAAAGCTCACATATTGTCCTAATTTTAAGAACCTGCATACTAAATCAAGGGCCTGATGAGGTATTTAGCAATCTTGCTAAAAGGAAGAGACCCTTTCCTTTGAGGCCAGCAAAGTGGGATAACAGTAACAGTAAAATATTCCCAACTAAAGATTAATCTCTTATAATAGTCCATTTTCACATTGCTATGAAGGGTAATTTATAACGAAAAGAGGTTTAATTGCTCAAGTTCTGCAGGCTGTACAGAAAGCATGGCTGGGGAGGCCTCAGGAAACTTACAAACATGGCAGAAGGGGAAGTGGAAGCTGGCATGTCCTACATGGCTGGAGCAGGAAAAAGGGAAAAAGAGTGGGGAGGTGCTGCAAACTTTTAAACAAGCAGCACTAGGGGGATGGTGCTAAAACAATAGAAACCTCCCCAGTGATCCAATCACTTCCTACCAAGACCCTCCTCCAACACTGGGAATTACAATTTGACATGAGATCTGGGTGGGGACACAGAGCCAAACAGTATCATTCTGTCCCTAGCTCCTCCCAAATCTCATGTTATTCTCACATTGCAAAATACAATCATCCCTTCTCAACAGTTCCCTGAGACTTAACTCATTCAGCATTAACTCAAAAGTTCAAGTCCAAAGTCTCATCTGAGGCAAGTCAGGTCCCTTCCACCAATGAGCCTGTAAAATCAAAACAAGTCAGTTACTTCCAAGATACAATGGGGTACAGGCATTGGGTAAATTCTCCCTTTCCAAAAGGGAGAAATCAGCCAAAACAAAGTGCTGCACGCCCCATGCAAGTCTGAAACCCAGAAGGGCAGTCATTAAATCTTAAGGCTCCAAAATAACCTTCTTTGAATCCATGTCTCACACCGAAGCCACATTGAAGCAAGGGGTGGACTCCCAAGACCTTGGGCAGCTCTGTCTCTGTGGCTCTGCAGGATACAGCCCCAATGGCTGCTTTCATGAGCTGGCATTGAGTGCCTGCAGCTTTTCCAGGTACACAGTGCAAGATGTCGGTAGACCTATCACTCTGGGTCTGAAAGACAGTAGCCCTCTTCTCACAGCTCCACTATGCAGTGCCCCAGTGGGGAATCTGTCTGGGGGCTCCAGTCCCACATTTTCTGTCTGCACTGCCCTAGTAGAAGTTCTCCATGAGGACTCTTCACCTTCCGCAGACTTCTGCCTAAACATCCAGGCATTTGCATACATCATCTGAAATCTAGGCAGAGGCTCCCAAGCCTCAACTCTAATCCTGTGCACACCCACAGGTCCAACACCACATGGAAGCTGCCAAGGTTTGGGGCTTGAACCCTCTGAAGTCACAGCCCAAGATGTACCTTGGCCCCTTTAAGCCACAGCTGGAGCTGGAGCTGCTGTGATGCAGGGCACCATGTCCCAAGGCTTCACAGAGCAACAAGGCCCTGGGTCTGGCCCAAGAAACCATTTTTTCCTCCTAGGCCTCCAGGCCTGTGACAGGAGGGGCTGCCGTGAAGGTCTCTGAAATGCCTTGGAGGCATTTTCCCCATTGTCTTGGCTAGTAACATTCAGCTCCTCTTTACTTATGCAAATTTCTATAGCCAGCTTGAATTTCTTCACAGAAAATGGGTTTTTCTTTTCTACTACATGGTCAGGCTGCAAATTTTCCAAACTTTTATGCTTGGCTTCCTTTTTAAATATAAGCTCCAGTTTCAGATCATCTCTTTGTGCTCGCATTTGAGATTATGCTCTTAGAAGCAGACAGACCACATCTTGAATGCATGCTTTGCTTATTATAAATTTCTTCTGCCAGATACTGTAAATCATTTCTCTCAAGTTCTAAGTTCACCAGATCCCTAGAGCAGGGGCACAATGCGGTCAGTCTCTTGGCTAAAGCATAGCAAGAGTGACCTTTACTCCAATTCCTGGTAAGTTCCTCATCTCCATCTAAGACCTCAGCCTGGACTTCACTGTCCATATCACTATTGGCATTTTGGTTGAAACCATTCAACAAGTCTCTAGCAAGTTTCAAACTTTTCCTCACCTTCCTTTCTTCTTCTGAGCCCTCTAAAATGTTTCAACATCTGCCCTTTTACCGAGTTCTAAAGTGACTTTCACATTTTCAGGTATCTTTATAGCAATGGCCTGCCTCTCTAGTACCAATTTTCTGTATTAGCCAATTTTCAAGTTGTTATAAATGACTACCTGAGAGTGGGCAATTTATATTTTAAAAAAGAGGTTTAGTTGGCCCACAGCTCTGCAGGCTGTCCAGGAAGCATGGCTGGGGAGGCCTCAGGAAACTTACAGTTATGACAGAAGGTGAAGAGGAAGCCAGTATGTTCTACATTGCTGAAGAAGAAGGAAGGGAGAGGAGGTAGGTGCTACACACTTTTAAACAAGCAACATTAGGAGGATGGCGCTAAAACAATAGAGAGTACCCCCATGATCTAATCACCTCCAGCCAGTCCTCTCCTGCAACACTGAGAATTACAATTCAACGTGAGATTTGGGGAAGGTCAAGACTGGGGTATGATGGTCCAGCTGATCTTTCTACATGAAGCCTTTCCCTCTCACTATAACACTCAGGGACAAAGTTTTATTTTATTAAGGGAAGTGGGCATTGCCTTTCAAAAGGTATGTCACAGATAAACTAACCCAAGACAGAAAGTACCAGAGAAAGTAAAATGAGAAGAATTTTGGGTAGTTAAGGCAATGGTGGCCATGTAAAAGCAATATTCTCCATTTCTTCCCAAATAGAATAAACAATATCATAAAGCTACAGAAAACATACTCCCTCAATACAATTAGAAGACAAGGAATATCAAATTTCAAATGACCTGTGAGTAGAAGAATAAATACCAAATGTCCTTTTTCCTCCTCTACTGTCTCAAAAACGTCCAATTAAAAATAAAATAAACCAACTTTCCTACAGTTAGAAGAGTGATATCTTGAAATAGAAATCTTGTAACCTACTCAAACTCTTAACTTTGTTATATAAATTTAGAAGCACACACCAAAAAGTCCTTATCTATAAAAATACTACAATAAGTAAAACAGAAAATGAGAATTAAACAAAGTTAGTTGATAAAAGTTTCTCCTCACTCTTCCCCCCAAAATGCTGAAGAAGAGATGTGTAATACAACACTTCAAACTGAATTAAATATATTCAAATAAGTATTGGGGGGTATGAGAGAACACTGAATCAGCAATTCAAAAACTAAGAGCAGAAATGGACAAAAAAGAGAAAATCATAAAATAAGAGTTTATTTTACTGAGAAAATCAATAAAAAGAAAAAAATTACATTAGAAAAATGTCTACATTATCTTGTGTCCAAAAAAGAACAGATTTGAATGAAAACATTATAAGGCAAATAGAAGAAAAGGAGAGAAAAGGCCAAGAGAATTTTTAAAAAGTAAGTAAAAATTTCAAAGAGAAAATGAAAGACAGGCAAATAAGAAATAATATATACACAGTTGAAGTTTCTGATGCAGAAAAATAATGTAACAAAACTACTATTTTAAACTATAATGAAAGAAAATTTTCTAAGAATTAAAAATAAAATACCTGACTGACAAAACTATACACACAGTAAGCAGATCAGTAGTTGCTATGGTTTGGAAGTTGGAGGGATGAGCTGGTGGAGCTCAGACCATTTTCAGGGCAATGAAACTATTCTATGTGATACTGTAGTGGTGGTTACATAATATACATTAGTCAAAACCCATAGATATACAAAACACAAAAAGTTAACTCTATTGTAAATTATGAACTTTAGTTAATATGTCATTATTGGTTATCAACTGTGACAAATGTATCACACTAAAACAATATATTAATAATAGAAAAAACTGTGAGAAGAGGGGAGAAGAGAAGAAGAGAAAATATATGGCAACTCTCTACCCTTTTTACTCAATTCTTCCAGAAACCTAAAACTGTTCTTAAGAAGTTTATTAATATATATTTAAATATCAGATTCTATTTATTGCAAGGACTCACTGATGACAAGGGAATGCTGACATACAATGATAAATTCTAAGATATATTCTAGTAAGACTATAGATTTAAATATAAATAAAAAATCTTAGGGCCCCAATTTTAAAAGAATGATCAAATACTCACACAAGGGACCATGAATTAGACTGCCATCATATTTCCCAAAAGCAACATACAAAGCAAAGTAATAATAAAAAGGCATTTTCGACAAACTCAAGGTATAAAAGTATGAATAAAATATTTTATACCCTTCAAGTATCAAGCTATAGAAAACAGATTTTAAATTGCAAGAGTTTTAAAAATTCTGTACCCATAAGCCATTCTTTAGGAATCTACTGGAAGCTAAACCTCAATAACCAAAGGTTGACTGACATACAAATTCAAGAGATATATCTAAAGCAAAATAATGTTGGAAAGCTAAAAGATGGGCAATAATATAGCAAATAAATAAAAACAATAAGAAATCAGTGATAATAATACTGATAACAAAGTAGAAATTAAACCAAAAATAAAATGATTAAATGCAAAAAGTACTGTTAGCACTAAAAATCACAATTCAAAATATGATGTAACAACACAATATCTATGCAAATATTGATGCAATGTCTACACAACATTACATAATATACCAATCTTTAAAGAGCAAAAAGTTACAAAGCATAAAGAAGATATAAATACAAACACATTAATAATAGGAAAATGTAATATGTCACACTCATTAACAAAGAGATCAAGGGGAAGGGTTGGATATGAATAATATAAACAATATAAAAATGAATACTTAAAAATTTTTATATGTTCATAAAAGAAAATGTACTGTTGTTTCAAGCACTTATGGAACATTTACAAAAGATTATACATTAAGTCACAAAGAAGATATTAGTAAGTTCTATAAAATAAAAATATTAATGTAAAATTCACAGATCCCCAAACAAACACATGATAAATTCTCTCAAAAAATAAGTGAAACCATCTTATCAGCCAGAAATTATTTTTATTTAAAAATCTCCTCTGAGCAAAGAGAATTATATACCAAAATAACAGATTTTTTCCCAAAATATCATAGTTAAAACATTGGAAATGAGGATCTGTGAGACATATTTAAAGCAATGATGAGAAGAAAATCTACAGCCTTTATTACTTTGACCAATAAAAATGAAAGATAAAAGTAAATCAGGTAAATTTGAAGCTCACAGAGGTAGAATAAAAACAAGAAAATAAACCAAATGAAGACATGAGATGAGAAACATATAGATAAAATCAGAAATTAATAAGGCAGAGAATAGAAAATTGACTTCAAATAATCATTTTTAGAAAAAATGGGTGAACCAAAATAAAATGAGAAATCATAAATATTAAAATGAGAAATTATAACAAGAAACAATAATTTAAACATAATATTTTTGTAAGAAGCCACTATGTAACCTTGACATAATTAATTTGAATATATAAAGCAAAAAGATAAGTTCTTGAAGAACTAGCATTTACTAAACTTGACCACATCAGAAAAAGAAGGCAAAACTTGGATATTTTCTCAGGAAGAAACAGTAAGTTTTCAAAGAACTACCTGGCCATACAGTACCAAAAAAGATGACTCAAAAGTAAACTTCCACAAACTTTCAAAAATTAGATGGTCTCAATGCTACATAAATTGTTCCAGAACATTTAAAATACAGAAAATCAAGTAAAATATTGATAAAATACTATAAAAAACAAAATTGCAGATTGATATAATGTATGGATATTGATGTAAGATTCTAACTAAAATATTAGCAAACAAAATACAATATGACTTTAAGAAAGTAAAATTTAATCCAGAAATGCAAACTGACTCAATATTGAATATCATTAATAAGTGACAGACCATTAATATAATACAGTATCTTAAAGATCTAAGGGAGAAAGTAATTTAATCATCTGTAGAGATGCTTTAAAGCCTTTGACAAAATTCTACACCAGTGTCTGATAAAATATTCAACAAAATAACAATAAAAGTATGCTTTATTCACATGATAAAATACATCAAAAGCCAGCATCTTACTAAGACAAAACCCTAGAAGCATTTCCATTAACACAAAAAACAAGATAACGGTTGACCACTGTCTCCACTACTATGCAACATTGAAATGTATGTGTTAACCAAGGCAATTAAGCAAAAGAAGTCAATTAAAGGCATAAAAAATGGTAAAGACTAAGTAAAACTATCTCTGTTAGCAGAGGGTATGATTACAAAAGCCTTTAGAGAATCATTAACAATAGTAACTCAAACTATAAAAGAATTTGATAAACTAGCAGGCTTTAAAATTGTCATAAAGAAATCAACAGCAGCCAGGTCACAACAGCCAAGTGAAAATAGAATAAGAACCTCCAAAATTTATCTCCTCATAAAAACAAAATGTTGGACCAAAAAATGTCAAAATACACCTTTTCAGAACTCTGGGCATTAAAGTTTTGCGGCAATCTATGAAATATGTACTCAAGAAAAACAACTCACCGGTGACATCTGTGGTGTTTTAACTTAACCCGATCCTATCCCCTGCTCTTCAATTCCACAGTAGCATTGAAAAATTACAATCTGCATTTTTTGTACTTTAAAGATAGAACACAGCTGGACCTTTCAAAACCCCATTAACAGAGAACTTTCATTATTTGACCTATCTGGACCTGGTTTGGACTTCCCCCAGTACAAAAAGCTCTTTTTCCACAGATGAGAAGGTGTTGCTGAAAACAATTTCAGGCAAGTGATTAACTTTGCAGCTGTCTAAAGTAGTTGATAACAATTGAGAGAAATAATAGACTAACCAAAAAGCTTGAAAAGGAAACAGCTGGGGATTAAAATCTCCATAGGGGTTTTGAAAGCTCTGACATGTCCCTGGCAATCTAGAAGTCCACATCCATGTCCAGAGCTGTGCACAGTTTTGCATATGCTCAGTCAGGAAAGACATGCAGAGACTGCTCAAGACGCTGTATGTAAGCAGCAAATGTGGATTAAACAAGATACCAAGAGTTTCACTGAGTGTTAAATTCATGCCCTAAAGTGCACAGACAGCCACTTGGCAAAGACTGGGAGACGTGCTGGTTTCAGGAACTCAAAAAATTTTCTTTCCAATTATCAACTCACAACTAAGCTAACAAAGCAGAGACTTCAGGTTTACACATGACAAAGAATACAGACTTTATATAATCAATTTAGAAAAGTCACATACACACACAAGAACTACTACTGAAATTGTCTTTGCAGAATTACGACAGTAAGGGAAATTTGACATACTTGATTCCATCTTGCTTCTGACTTCCAAGCTGTTCTTGGTCATTCCTGAGCGTAGACAAAGCTAACTTGGGGAGGAATTTAGTTCATAGTTTTACCTTAAAGCAAAGATGATAACAGCCCTTCCCAAAACTAAACTGCCTTTGTAAAACTAACAAAAGCCTACAATGTTTGGATTATAACAGTGGCTTGAATTCTCATAAAATAGCTATAGTTTCTATAATGTCTTACTGCTCAGAGATCATGTGGCCAGTAAGCACAAGATTTGTGACTTTCTGAATTGCTCCTATAGATAGCATCACTATTGAAGAACCTAAGATTGGTTTTCTGACATATCTTTCAGAATGACCCCACCCAGACTCATGACTTATGACTCCACTGATCCTGTGGCTCCACCCAAAGGTGGAACCAGCACAGGAGGAACTTTTTCAATACCCCTATAGTTTTACCCCCCAACCAATCAGCAGCAACCATTCTGTTTTCCACACCCCTATAATTTCATTCCTTAACCAATAAGCAGCACCCATTTCCTAGCTCCCTGTCCACCAAATTGTCCATAAAAACTTTAAGCTCCAATCCTTCAGGAAGACTAATTTGAGTCATAACTCCAATTCTCCCATATGGGCCCACAATATGTCAATTAAACTCTCTACTGCAATGCCATAGCCTCAGTGGACTGATTTTTGTATGTGCCGTGAGCAGGAAGAAACTGCTAGGCAATTACACTACAACAAACAATAACAAAAAAAACCTTGGGAGAGGTGAAATCTGATTTTCAGAACTCTTACATTATATTATTTATAATATTAATTTTTCAACAAATTATGAGAAATGCAAAGAAATAAGAAAGAACAGTCCATACTCAGGAAAATAGTTATTTGAAATTGTTCCTGAAACCCAGACATTGAATTTAGTCTAAGGGACATTTGGAATCTTTCAGGCTGAAATTAAAGGCCATTAGGCAGTAACTCAAATCCACATGAAGAAATAGAGTCCCAGTAAAAGTAACAAGATCAGCATGGAAATTAAGAACTTAAAAACATTATAAATCCAATTAGACTTGATGTAAATCTACAGAGCACTCTGATACACCCTACAGATTAGGGTGGCTGTTGTGAGTGGTGAGAAGTAAGGTCTGAGAGACAGCAGGGCCCACATCCAGATGAGGTCTTATAGGCCAAGGTAAAGATTGGATTTTATTCTGAACAGAATGGAATGAAATTATGTAGGATCTTTCTGCCTATTGTATGTAAGTGCATCAGGACAGGGTATGTAGGGTGAGAGGGACACTGGAAGAAAAGATACCAACTGGTTGCAGAGGTCTGGATGAAAATTGATGGTGGCTTGGACCAAAGTTTTAGCAATAGAGATCAGAAGAAGTGGCAGGATTTGGGACATATTTTCGAGATATAGCCAACAGGATTTGCTGAGAAATTAGATATAAATTATGTAGGAAGAAAAGAATCATAAATAACTCCTAGGATTTTGGCCTGAGCAATTGAATGGATGATGATTATGCCCCTGGTGGAGCTTGTGGAGGAACATATTTGCAGACAGATATATTGATAGTTCAATTTTGATTACATATGTTTGATATGGCACTTGAAGGAAAGTGTTTTGTAATTCGCTTACCTTATTAGTCATATATTATTTTGTCTCCTGATTAACAGGTTCCCTTGGCAAACCATTAACCAAACTAGTAATACCTATCAATAGTAAGCTAATCCACAAAATAGTGACTGTGCAGTAAGCTGAATCCTACATCAACAAAAGCCAGAAGTTGAAATATGAACCACATCCAATTGTCAGGAGGCCATGTTCAACAAATGCTGTTGAGGTGAATTACTGAATAATATTAAGAGAAAGATCCCATGAATTGCAAATCATCTGATCCTGCCCAAGTGGCTGAATAATTGCTCACACCTTCAATCATATGGAATATGGAATTTATTGCCAACTATGTTTGAAACATTCTTGAAGACAGATATCTATTGTTCCTGCACAATTTTCCAGATAAAAATGAAATTGGTTCACATGGTTTCCTTTGAAGGTATTCCTTGACCCTTCCCCACTACACAAGTTGGGTGAAACGCCCTTTTCTTATATGATCCATAGCACTCTCACCATCACATTTAGTTCACTTACTGTTTACTGTCTGCTGTCCCACTAGATTGGAAATCAGTTGAGAGCAAGAGTCGTGCCTACTCTCTACCACACCCCAAGGCCATCCAAGCAGCATCCAAGGAAGAGGATGTTGGCTCCCAGGTATTAAACATTTCTATCCCATGGGAAAAGCTATCCCTGCAGTAGAAAACAGTCTTTCAAATCACTTAGCTGGGGGGAAAAAAGCAAAAACCCTTTTAGCTAACCAAATCAGCCCTTTTATTCTGATTGTACAGATATATAAAACAATTTGATTAAACATAACATACCTGGGAGGTTTTCATATTATGAAACAATTCACTGGTCATATTGATTTCAAAATTCAAGGTATATTTCTCATTGTGTTTAATTAATATATTGATTATTCCCTGAAAGATTAATTCATTTTGAAAGGGTTGATGAACCCAGGTTCTGATTTCACAGGCAATAGTGAATACTCCTTTGTGTAGACACTTTGGGAGGTAGCCAGTTGCCCTCTCCTGGTAACAAACTTGAACTCATTGCATTTCATTTAATTCAAACTTCAACCCTATGACTTGGCATTTTGTGGTTTGTTTCATTACTGATTTACTAATAGCAAAATATGTCCTTGTTAATGGTTGGTGAAAAACAACCATTATTTTCCTTTAACTATTTGTTTTTAAAAGATATATTGCCTTAGTAATTTCAATGTGAATTGAGCCAAAAATGTATACTTTGAAATGCATTTTCAATTTTATTATAAAATTTAATGAGAAAATTCTATTTTATATGATACCAACTCAATTTACAAAAAGCTTTTCTGGAAAATAAGCATTCCATGAAATAATTAATACTTACAATACATTGACTGGATTTATAATTGTACCTACTTTTCAATTGTAATATAATATTTATAATAAAATACTAGTAGCCAAAGTTTGTCTCTTCTATTGACTATGTTGCTTTACATGCAGATGGGTTTGTTCTTTTTAGACATCTCCTTTTGGATCATGTTTGTAGACCTTAGAAGTATGCCACGTCATAAAATGAATAACATCAAAACTGAGGACCTCTCCCTCTGCCATTGTTTCATGCTGCATTCTACCCATCCCAATTCTCCACCATACACACGTTCAGTCAGACACACACACACAAACACACACACACAACTGGTTTCTTCATCTCTGACAGTCCACAGAATTACATCAGATAATAAGCATGTTGTTAAATGTGTAAGCATATACCTCTACTCTACTCTTGCTCTCTGGATGATTAACTGAATTCAACTGTGATCACAAATGCCTAAACTGTGATATTCCTAGCTATCTCATAAAGCAGCCTGGGCTAAGTGGAGTTGGATGACATTAGTGGATAATCATCTCTCAATGCTCTTTTCTAAGAAGAGAATATTTGGAATGGGTGTTAAGCCAGAAAGATTAATCTGGAAATGATTGCAGCAGTTACTTTTCCTTTAAGGGAGCTGGTTAAAAGGGATTCTAGCCAGAATTTTCTCAGACACTTTCAACCACACTAAAGGAGTTAACTTTGTATTCCCCAATGATTTTTCTTGAAGGAATTTATTTCCCTTAATCCATTTTCTTCATCACACCTCACCTCCCAAACTACTGCCTGTTTTGAATAAGATATTAAAAAGCTAACCAGTAGTGCCTAAGAAGTGCATGAGCTCCCTCTCGTGGGTCTTGGAAGTTACTTCTGAAACTTGAAGCTCCCACAACTGAAAGTCCAGGTGGAAGAATTTGTAATTTAGTCTTTGTCTCCAAGAGAAGGTGTGATGTCTTGGCCCATCTTCGCCAACTAACAATTCATATTTCAAGCTATGCTTATTTTCACCAGCTACTTCTCTTGACTCTTCAAATTGATAGAAGCATTATTAGTATGAAAAATAAAAGTTGTATTGAAGATTTATTTATATAGCCTCAACATTAGTAATTCGGTTGCAACAATAAATGCCTGCCATTTGCTTTACTAAATTTACATTTTATACAGTATATTTTGTGTAACACTATTTCATTTAAATTACACAATAACTCTGAAAATGTGGTATTATCATTCTCAGTTTCAGGTTTGGATTAAGCAGGAAACAAAAATAAACCTGCATCTTCTGGTACCAAATCCAAAATTCTTTCCATCCAATCCTTTCCCTTCCACATTCTCAGTCTTGCAATTCCTCCTCACAGGGTGAGATTATTTCTCACGTTTTAAAGTCTAGGATCACTGTCCTAATGTCTCATTTTTCAAAACTTTTATGCCAGATATAAGAGAGTAAAACTTTTTTTAAAGCCTGGCTTAGAAGGCAGATGTTTCTAATTTTTAAAAGTAAAACAGTTAAAACTAGTATCCCTCTCTAAAGTGAAAATATTTTTAAACAACAATTTAAGACAGTTTTGGTAAGTACGGGACTATGTTTGGGAACGTGTTTGAAAACAGTCTCCCAAAAATTGGACACTTAAGATTTTCACTCCTATACTCCTTTTTGTTTGATTATGCAGAAGCAACTACCAGATTTTCAGGAAATTAGGTTGAAATCTCCTTTATGCAAACAAGGTCATTGACTGAATCTTGATCAAATGATAAATGATACCCGTTACACACCAGGAAATGCACTGCAAGGCTTATTACAGGGAGCTAAGTGACATTTTACTTATCCCCTGACTCCCCCAGTCCAATTTATATATTCCTACAACCAGAAGCCATTATTGAATCTGAAAACCAACTCTTTCAATTGCTGAATGTGTCCTTGCATAGGTTATTTGACCTCTCTGAGACTTTGTTTCCTTGTTTGTAAAATTAAGGTAAATGTAGGACTTACCTCATAGGGTTATAGTAAGGATTGAATGACCCAATGTATGGAAAGTACTTAACAGTATCCAGTACAAATTAAGAAATCTTTTCTTTTCTATTTTGTTTTGTTTTTTTTTTTGAGATGGAGTCTCGCTCTTGTTGCCCAGGCTGGAGTGCAGTGGTACGATCTGGGCTCACTGCTACCTCTGTCTCCCGGATTCAAGGAATTCTCCTGCCTCAGCCTCCTGAGTAGCTGAAATTACAGGCACCCACCACCACACCTGGCTAATTTTCGTAGTTTTGGTAGAGATGGGTTTTCACCATGTTGGCCAGGCTGGTCTTGAACTACTGACCTCAAGTGATCTGCCTGCCTTGGCCTCCCAAAGTGCTGGGATTACAGGCATGAGCCACCGTGCCCGGCTTGTAATTCTTAATAGTAATATTAATATTATTAATCCATGAATTCTACACATGACTCAGTTTTTGCTGCTTGTGTCTCAGTCCTGATATCCAAACATCTTACCTGCTTTTTGACCTCTCTTGGTACATATCTATTTGTCCTGGTCTCCTATTCTTTGTTCTTTCTTGGTTGCCTTTTGTCATACACTGTGGCACTTAATAGTGACTTATAGTGCCTCTCTGAGCTTCCCTGCCAAGCTGACTTCCATTGCCTTAGTCACTGGCCCTGCCACCTCCTCATTGGTACAGAAGAAACTCCTAATCCTGACTCTACATAGTCAAACTTACATTGCTGCTTCAACCTTTTTGTCTTGTATGAAATCAAGACAAGGATATGGGTACCAACTCTTGAATTACGTGTCTCTTTTGATAAACAACTTTTTCCCATACTTTTCTAATATTAGCCATCCAATTTAAAAGTCAGATTAACAGAAACCCAGGAAGACACTATGTCATTTAGTCAATCATTCGCTCATTACTTATCTATTTAGACACACTGAAGACGAAAGAGCTTACTGCAACCAGAGTAAAGATTACTCCTCAACCCCAACTACTTTCTTCTTTCTTATCTCTACAACTATGACTCAAAAGAGCATAAACATGTACAGGAGTGACACATGTAGAGTATTAGAGCACTCACGGGAATATTGAAAATCTCAAAAATATAAGAGAATGCCATGAACTTGCCTAATACAAGAGGAAAGATCAAACCCCAGGAAAAGGGGGGACATAAAGCAGGAACTTTAGAAGTACCAAAATAATAAGAGCTGAGATACAGGAAAATGGGTTTAGGTGGTATGAGAAACAAAGAAAAGGCATTTCTGCATAATAAACATTTATTTAGGGATCACACAGAGATTTTGGCAGTGAGGTCCCACACTCTTTGGTAGTGAATAGAAAGGAATTCACTAGACTAAAACAAACATTGATGACTTTTTCATGATATTTCCCCATTCCATTCTGGTTTGAATTTATTCACCGGGAATATTGAATAAAGAGCCGCTTAGACATGATCTCAAAGACATGTGCACACCCACATTCATTGCAGCATTTCATACAGTAGCCAATTGATGCAACCCAATGTCCATCAACAAATAAATGGATAAAGAAAATGTGGTATATATATACAATGGAATATTATTGGCCTTAAAAAAGAAGGAAATCCTGTTACATACTACAACACTGGTGAACCTTGAGGACGTTAGGCTAAATGAAATAGGCCAGTCATAGAAGACAAATACTGTATGATTCCATTTATATGAAGTATTTAAAGGAATCCAATTCATAGAAACAAAAAGTAGAATGGTAGTTTCCAGGAACTGGAGGGGAGGGGGAAATGGGGAGTTGTTCAATGGATACAGAGTTGCCGTTTTACAAGATAAAAAGTGCTGGAGATCTGTTGCGAAACAATGCGAAAATACTTAACACCACTGAGCTGCACACTTAAAATGGTTAAGATGGTAAATTTTAGGTCATGTGTTTCTTACCACCATTTTTTAGAAAATTGTTGATTAAACCTTTTTCAGCAGTGTGTGTGTGTGTGTGTGTGTGTGTGTGTGTGTACGTGCATGCATGTTTTCTTTTGGTTGAGATGAGTACATTGCAGTAAACAACCTCCACAACTACCCCCAGCAATAGTAGTCTATCACGACCCTTTAATGTGGATGATGTAGTGGCTGGGGAATCCACCCATGGAGACAACCCAGCGGGAAGAAATAAAGCACAATCTCCTCTTTCTCCCTCCATAGAGAAGAACATATAGGTACAACTTACAGACCAAAGATAGCAAGCCTGCTGCTATGTTACAAGGATTCAAAGCAAATTCGATATAAGGTTGCATCCATCATTCGCTGTTGATTTATAAGTGGTAAAGAGCATTCCTATCGTACTATATTAATCAGGGTCAAAGCTCCATTTTTTTCCATTTTTTTCAGTATGCCCAAAAAAGTCTTTAGCCACTCATCCTCCAAAGTCTCAGTGCCTCCCCCACACCCTGTCACACACATACATGCTATTCTAAAACATCTCAGGATTCTCTTAAATAAAACTCTATTTCACCATTGTGATTACACTTCTGATCATTTTATAACTTTTGGACATTTAATCCATATAATGGCTGTATTCATTTTTGTTGATGTTCTTGCTATTTTTTATAATGTCATATATGTACCTATATATATTATGAGGCATATCCAACTTGGTCAAATTTTGTGTTTTTTTCTTTAGTAAAGACAGCAGGCATGAAGGTAACTCATTATCAGTACATATCACAGGCTAAAATCTTTGAAAATGCAAAAGTTATTTTATAAATTTCTACTAGTTAAATTTTTCTGCCTTTCTAAAGCCTCAACTGTAGATGCTGGTATTTTCTGACTCTCTTTTGAGACAAAATTTCATTTTAGGATTAATCACCTCATAGCAGACAGCAGCTTCATAAATTCTTACAGCCAAGTAGCAGGCACTCTGCTAAGCACTTTACAAACATTATCTTTTTCATTCCTCACAGTAAGCCTATGAGAAAGGTATTATCATTATTAACCCTAATTTATGAATAAGAAAATTGAGATTAGAGAGATTAAATAGATTACCCATGCTCTGGTTTCTCTTCAGATCGTATAAATCTTTCACCTTTTACTAAATAGATTACCCAAAGTTACATAATAAGTAGAAGAGCAAAGATTGTAACTCATTCACCATAAACTTTCTGCTTAGTCCAAACTTTTGCGGAAAACTCGGGTTTAATTCATTATTCATTTCACCAAACAAGACTATAACCTTCTCAGTAGCTATCAAAATGTCTTGGTACATTCATCATTTGTTCAGTCATTGCCTTATTCATTCAATGAGCATTGTTCTAGGTACTAGGTACAGCTATGAACACACATCCTACTCTCATGGAACTCATGGTCTAGTTCATATTGAAGGGGCTCCAGTATCTGCACTAATAAGAAGAATTCTCATAGAGGGACAGCGCTCTTTGTCTTCCACGCTAGGATCAGAGAGCCAGTGCAAGACAGAAGGTTTTATGTTGTGTGGTGTAAGTAAAAAGCAATCACTCCTTGTGAAGAATAGTGTTTCCTCTTTTCCATTTGTATCAAAGTTTACAGACACAACTTACCTAAGTTACATGAATTTTCACAAATATGCCCTATGATATTGATTTAGTTGTGTATGAGGTGACTTTTTGAAAAGAAGCATATATTCCGACTCTTCACATATCTTCTTTAGCTGTTATTAAAATCTTAAAGATAAATATACTAGGAGTATAGTTGGTACTCTTTTTCCCTAAACTTCTTGCTTTTCACTTGCCCATTTACGAGTTCAAAGAAGTTCCTTATCCAACAAATGGGCTTTCACAAAACATGCAATGATAAGAGACAAAGCCAGTATCTTGACAAATGGAGATTCATTTTTCTCAGCACAACATATTAAAAAAAAAAAAAAAGGGTTAGAGCCTCCAAGTGAAAAACCCTGAAGGGGAACAACTCGTAAGTTCACAAGTCTTAAAACTTCAGAATTGCTAAATCGTCAACTTTCATGTCCCATTAAATGTGCAGACTCAAAAATCCTGGATTTACTCTTGTTTTATTTAACAAGGGCTGATTAGCTTTGCAATTAAGCCATATAGTTCTTAGGCTTTGCTCTGAAAGAATACCCATCTACTTACTGCCACTTAAAAAGTCTTACTTTCTTTATAATAGCCTTTTTGGTTAGTTTCAATTGGGAAGAACAGCCAATATCTCACAGCACCATTTAACACAAACTCAGTCTACAAGTACACTAAGGAACAAGCAATCGTCTCAGCTTGTAGTTAATGAATCAAAGTTTAAGACGACAAATTGGCTTGCTGAGGCAAAATAGTTAATTAACTTTTAGTCAGAAATATTCATCTTGCTTTCCTGGCATAAACAAGTCTCATAAACTCTGTTTACTTACTCAAGTGTTTTTCTCCTCTTCTACATCCCTAGGCATCATTCAGAGCTCTTAATATATCATGTCAGACTATCTTCATAATTTTCATCCAATTTTTTAAGTTTTCAGCCTCTAAGACAAAAAAAAAAAATACATCCCCTCATTAATCTGGGTTCTGTAAACAGTGGAGTACACATTAAAACAAAAAAGAAAAGAAAACCTCCAACATTAAATTCTGTAGGCTCCATGACTTTGGAGGCTAATTGAATCAGACTTCGTGTTCCTTAAAGTAAACACATTAATTTCAGATGTTCAGTTAACTCGGTTTGTTTAGCCTGTCAGGTAAGCCTGTAGACTAATGTAGCAGTGGCTAGCGTGTCCAATTAGCAAAGAGGTTTAATGGCAACTACTCCAGACCCTCTTGCCTCTGGTACTTTACAGATGTACCATTTCCTTAAAACAAAATTTTAAATATTAGCTAATAAGAGAACTATGTCAACAGCTTTGATGAATATATACCTGAACAGCGATTACATTATATACTCCTTAACCAATCTTCCAAGCTGGCCTTTTGCTAATTTTTCCCCCAATTTTCATGTTTCTTCTGGAGAAACACTCATACTTTCACTGGCAACAACATCTATTTGTTATCCTCTGTCATTGCCTGTGTTTTCTAAGGGAAGTCTGTCTGCTACAGTGAATGCTTACATTTAACAGCTACTAACAACAAATGCTGCTTAAATTTTTTTCTTTGCTGTGTTGCCACAACGTTTACATTTTTTTCCTAGCTCTGTGCCAGTTTTCTGAAACCTCAAGTCAACATCATTTTATGAGATGGTTTTTCCAAAAGCAAATTATAGGTTCATAAATTAAGTAAGTGTGGGACCAGAAATGGTGCTTATTTTTGAAATGACTCATTTGTGTGTCTGTATGAAAAGTCAGGTAAATGCCTTCCTACATACATTTAGAGACAAACATAGTGTGCTAGAGAAAGCAACCCTCGACTAAAAAATAAATTATGCTCCCACAAAGTTTATTTGTATGTTGTCATATTTTCCCATAAGTTAAACATATTTTAACTTAGGTAAGTATTTAACTTATGTGAGTTAAACATACTTTCCCATAAAACCAATCCAAAATAAGGTTGATATTGTTTAAGTCAACAAACATTTATCTGACTCCTACAATGCACCAGGTGAAGTTCTAAGAGCCAGGAGTACTAAGATGAATAAGACAGGGTGCTGTCCTCAAGATTTACAAGGTAATAGGACAGAATTTATTTTTATGGGAAATGTATTCAAAGATTTTCCTTAGGAGTCTAAGCATGTATTTTTTTCACTCTACTGATGGATACTCATATACCTCTAGCTACCACCTTCCTAACACCTAACACCTGGAGCAGACTCTCCAATGTGGAATGATAAGTGCATGAGTTATTAAGTGAAATAAAAAAGGTACTCACCCAAGGAAAGGACGAGGGGAGTATGAATGGATAGAAAGCCTTTCTGAAGAAGACGATAGATCAGTTGAATCATGAGGGATGGGTGAAATTCATTACACCACGGAGTCTCAAAAAGTGTGAATTCAGACCATCAGCATCAACCTGATGTAAGAACTTGTTAGAAATCTAAACTAGGAGGTGGAACAAGATGGAAGAATAGAAAGCTACACCAATGGTTCCCCCAAACAAGGATATCGATTTAACTACTATCTACACAGAAAGAGCACCTTCATAAGGACCAAAAACCAGGTGAGCACTCACAGTACCTAATTTTAACTTCACATCTCAGAAAGAAGCACTGAAGAGACAGAAAAAACAGTACTGAATTGTGGATGCCATCTGTCTCCCACCACAGACAGAAACAGCATGGTTCAGAGAGCATCTCTGGGCACTGGAAGAGGGAGAACTCAGAAATTGTGAGGCACTGAACTCAGTTCTCTCCTGTTAGAACAGAAAGGAAAAGCAAATCAAACTTAGCAGATGCCCACACACAGATGGTGCCTTTAATCCATCCCTTGCCAGAGGGGAATTGCTAATCCCAGCAGCCCAAACTTGAGTGCCCACAAACCTCCCCACCAAGGGGCAAAAAGCCTTTTGTCTCTAAGTAAACTTAAAAGGCAGTCTAGGCCATAAGGACTGCAACTTCTAGGTGGATCCTAGGGCTGAACCGGGCCCAGAGACAATGAACTGAGGGGACATGTGACATACTGAGACACCAACTGGGACAGCCAAGAGAGTTCTGGCATCACCCCCTTCCCATTCCCAGACTGAACAGCCTATGGGTCCAAAAGAGACCCCTTTCTTCTGCTTGAGGAGAGGAGAGGAAACAAAGGGGAGAACTTTGTCTTCCATCTGGGATGCCAGCTCAGACACAGCAGGATAGGACACTAGTCAGAGTCATGGGGTCTCTGTTCCAGACCCAAGCTCTCAGACAACATTTCTACACACACCTTGGGCCAGGAGGGAACTGGCTGTCTTAAAGGAAATGACCCAGTTCTGGAAGTATTAATCACCTGCTAACTAAAGAGCCCTTGGGACCTGAATAACAAGCAGCAATACCCAAGTATGACATCGAAGGCCTTAGTGAGCCTCTGAGACTTACTGGTTTCAGATGAGACTCAGCACATTACCAGCTGTGGTGGCTAAAGGGAAAAATTCCTTTCCTTCTGCTTGAGAAAACCAGAGGGAAAAGTAAAGGGGACTCTGTCTTGCACCTTAGGTACTAACATGGCCACAAGGGGGGTAGAGCACCAAGTGGACTCTTAGGGTACCCAATTCCAGGACTTCATTATTTGATGGTATTTCTGGACCTGCCCTGGGCCAGAGAAAAGCCACTGCCGTGAAGGGTAAGTACTAGGCCAGGCAGCTTTCAACACAAGCTGACTTAAGAGACCTTGGGCATTAAGGGAACACTGGTGGTAGTCTATCATTATCCCACATGGCCAGGGGTGTTGGTGGCTACGAGGTGAGGCCTTTCTGCCTTTGGAAAGGCAAGGGAAGAGTGGGAAGAACTGCATCTTATAGTTTGAGTACCAACTCAGCTGCAATAAAAGGAATGCCAGGTAGACTTCTAAGGTTTATGACTCTAGTCTCTGACTCCCAGATGACACTGCAGTACCCACCCGGGGCCTGGGGGAACTCACTGACCTGTAAAGAAGGACACGGGCCTGGCTGGCTTAGCCACTGCCTGATTATAGAGCCCTGGGGCCTTGAGCGAACACAGGCAGTAGCCAGGGAGTGGTTACAGCAGGCCTTGGGTGAGACCCAGTACTGTGCTGGCTTCAGGTCTGACCCACTGCATTCATAATGGTGGTGGTTACAGGAGCGCTTGTATCACTCCACCTCTGCTCCAGGTGTCTCAAAACAGAGAGAGAGTCTCAGTACGTTTAGGGGAAAGTAAGGGAAGAGAACAAGAATATCTGCCTGGTAATCCAGAGAATTCTCCTGGATGTTGTCCAAGACCATCAAGGTGATACCTCTGTGAGTCTGCAAGAACTACAGTGTTACTGGGCTTGAGGTGCCTCCTAAAGCATATACAGCCTTAGATCACAACACCCAAGTCCTTTCAAATATCTGGAAAGCCTCCCAAGAAGGATGGCTACATATAAGCTCAGACAGTGAAGACTACAATAAGTACCTAACTTTTCAATGCCCAGACACCCAAGAACATTGACTAGCATCAACACCATCCAGCAAAACATGACCTCACCAAATGAACTAAATAAGGCACCAGAGATCAATCCTAGAGAAACAGAGATAAGTGACCTTTCAGAAGGAGAATTCAAACAGCTGTATTGAGGAAACTCAAAGAAATTCAAGATAACACAGAGAAAAAAATCAGAATTCTATCAGATAAAGTTAACGAAGAGATTGAAATAGTTAAAGGAATCAAGAAGAAATTCTGGAGCTGAAAAATGCAGTTGGCACACTGAAGAATGCATCAGAGTCCTTTAATAGCAAAATGGATCAAGAAGAAGAAAGAATTAGTGAGCTTGAAGACAGACTATTTGTAAATACACAGCCAGAGGAGACAAAAGAAAAAGGAATAAAAAACAATGAAGCAAGTCTACAGGATCTAAAGAATAGCCTCAAAAGGGCAAATCTAAGAGTTATTGACCTTAAAGAGGAGGTAGAGAAAGGAATCGGAGTAGAACGTTTATTCGAAGGAATAAAAATACGGGACTTCCCAAATCTAGAGAAAGATATCCATATGGAAGTACAAGAAGGTCATAGAACTCCAAGCAGATTTAACCCAAAGAAGATGACCTCAGGGTATTTAATAATCAAAATCCCAAAAGTTAAGAATAAAGAAATGATCCTAAAAGCAGCAAGAGAAAAGAAACAAATAGCATAAAATAGAGCCCCAATGTGTCTAGCAGCAGACTTTTCAGAGAAAATGTTACAGGGCAGGAGAGAGTGGCATGACATATTTAAAGTGCTGAAGGAAAAAAAAAAAAGCCTTTTAACCCTTTTAACCTAGAATCCAGTGAAAATACCTTTCAAACACGAAGGAGAAATAAAGACTTTCCCAAACAAAAGTTAGGGGAATTCATCAATACCAGACCCATTCTACAAAAAATATTAAAGGAAATATTTAAATCAGAAAGAAAAGGACATTAATGAGGAATAAATTATTACCTGAAGGTACAAAACCCACTGGTAATAGTAAGTACACAGAAAGACACAGAATATTATTATTGTAACTGTGGTATGTAAACTGCTTTTATCCTAAGTAGAAAGACTAAACAATAAACCAATTAAAAAATAATAACTACAACTTTTCAAGACATATTACAATAAGATTTAAATAGAAACAAGAAAAATTAAAAAGTGGAAGGATGAAATTAAGGTGTAGGGTTTTAGTAGTTTTCTTTTTGTTTGTTTGTTTATACAAATAGTAAGTTGTTAACAGTTTAAAATGAATTATAAGACAGTATTTGCAAACCTCATAGTAACCTCAAACCAAAAAACAACAGAGACACACAAAAAAGCAATAAACTATATTGTATTTAAAGAGAAAATTACTTTCACTAAAGGGAAGACAGGGAGGAAAGAAAAAAAGGAAGAGAAGACCACAAAATAACCAGAAAATGAGTAACAAAATGGCAAGAGTAAGTCCTACTTATCAATAATAACAATAAATTTAATGGACTGAACTGTCCAATAAAAAGACATAGACTGATAGAATGAATGAAAAAACAAGACCCATTGTTCTTTTGCCTACAAGTAACACACTTCACCTATAAAGACACATATAAACTTAAAATAAAGAGATGGAAAAAGATAATCCATGCCAATGGAAACATAAAAAAGTGTAGGAATTGCTATACTCACATCACACAAAATTGATTTCAAGACAAAAACTGTAAGAAGAGGCAAAGAAGGTCACTATATAATGATAAAGGGGTCAATTCAGCAAGAGAATGTAACAACTTTAAATATAAATGCACCCAATACTGGAACATTCAGTTATATAAACCCAATACTATTAGAGCTAATGAGAGAAATAGGCCTCAATACAATAATAGCTGGAGACATCAACATCTCATTTTCAATATTGGAGAGATCTTCCAGACAGAAAATCAACAAACATCACACTTAATCTGCACTGTAGACCAAATGAATCTAATAGATATTTACAGAACACTTCATCCAATAGCTGCAGAACACACATCTTTTTTTTTTTTTTTTTTTTTTTTTGAGACTGAGTCTCACTCTGTCGCCCAGGCTGGAGTGCAGTGGCGCGATCTCGTCTCACTGCAAGCTCCGCCTCCCGGATTCACGCCATTCTCCTGCCTCCGCCTCCTGAGTAGCTGGGACTACAGGCGCCCACCACCACGTCCAGCTAATTTTTTGTATTTTTAGTGGAGTCGGGGTTTTGCCGTGTTAGCCCGTATGATCTCGATCTCCTGACTTTGTGATCTGCCCGCCTCGGCCTCCCAAAGTGCTGGGATTACAGGAGTGAGCCACCACGCCCAGCCATAATACACATCTTTTTCCTCAGCACATGGATCATTCTCAAGGACAGACCATATGTTAGGTAACAAAACAAGCCTTAAAACATTCAAAAAATTTAAATAATATCAAGCATCTTCTCTGACCGCAATGGAATAAAACTAGAAATTAATAACAAGAGGAATTTTGGAAACTATACAAATAGATGGAAATTAAACAATATGCTCCTGAACAACCAGTGGGTCAATAAAGAAATTAGGAAGGCAATTACAAAATTTATTGAAACAAATAATAATGGAAACACAACATATCAAAACCGATGGGATACAGCAAAAGTAGTACCAAGAGGGAACTTTATAGCTATAAGTGCCTACATCAAGAAAAAGAGGAAAAACTTTAAATGATCTGACAACACATTGTAGAGAACTAGAAAAGCAAGAGCAAATAAATTTGAAATGAAGAAAACAATATGAAAGATCAATGAAATGAAACAAGTTGTTTTTTAAAAACTTAAGCAAAATTGACCAACCCTTAGCCAGACTAAGAAAAAAACAGAGAAGATTCAAATAAATTAAATCAGAGATGAAAAAGGAGACATTACAACTTATATTGCAGAAACTCAAAGGTTCATTAGTGGCTAATATGAACAAATACATGCCAATAAATTGGAAAATTTAGAAGAAATGGACAAATTCTTAGATGTAAACAACCTACCAAGAATGAACCAGGAAGAAATCCAAAATCTGAATAGACCAATAGCAAGTAACAAGATTGAAGACATCAGGAAAAGTCTTCTAGTAAAGAAAATCCCAGGACCTGAAGGCTTCACTGCTGAATTCTACCAAACATTTAAAGATGATACCAATCCTACTTGAACGATTCTGAAAAATAGAGAAGGAAGGAGTACTTCCAAACTCAATCTACGAGGCCAGTATTACTCTGAAACCAAAACCAGACAAAGACACATTAAAAAAAATACAGGCCAATGTTTCTAATGAATATTGATGCAAAAGTTCTCAACAAAATCCTGGCAAACAAAATTTAACAATGCATTACAAAGGTCATTTATTATGGCCAAGTGGGATTTATCCCTGGGATCCAAGGACGGTTCAACAAATGCAAATCAATCAACATGATACATCACACCAACAGAATGAAGAATATAATTATACGATCATTTCAATTGATAGATAACTAAAATTTGATGAAATTCAACATTTCTTCATGATAAAAATCCTCAAAAAACTGGGGATAGAAGAAACATACCTCAACTTAATAAAAGCCATATATGACAGACCCACAGCTAGTATCATACTGAATGGGGAAAATATAAAAGCCTTTCCTCTAAAATCTGGAACACAACAAGGATGTCCACTTTTAATACCGTTATTCAACATAGCACTGGAAGTCCCAACAAGAACAATCAGACAAAAGAAAGATATAAAGGGGATCCAAATTGGAAAGGAAAAAGTCAAATTATTCTTGTCGGCTGATATGATCTCATACTTGGAACAATCTAAAGACTCCACAAGAAAACTATTAGAACTGAGAAACAAATACAGTAAAGTTGCAGGGTATAAAATTAACACACAAAAATTAGTAGCATTTCTATATGTCAACAGTGAACAATCTGAAAAAAAGAATTAAAAAGTAATCCCATTTACAATAGCCACACATAAAATTAAATACCTAGTAATTAATTAGTAATTAATTAATTAAGTAAGTAAGTAATTAATTAGTAGTGAAAGATATATATAATAAAAACTACAAAACACTGATTAAACAAATTGAAGAGGACACCAAAAATGGAAAAATATTGCATGTTCATGGATTGGAAGAATCAATATTGTTAAAAATGTCCATACTACCCAAAGCAACATATAGATTCCATGCAATTCCTATCAAAATACCAGACATTCTTCATAGAAATAGAAAAAAAAATCCTAAAATTTATATGGAGCCACAAAAGACGCAGAATAGCCATGCTGTCATGAGCAAAAAGAACAAAACTGGAGGAATCACACTACCTAACTTCAAATCATACTACAGAAATATAGTAACTAAAACAGCATAGTACCGGCATAAAAACAGACATATATACCAATGGAGCAAAATAAAGAACACAGAAATAAATTCACACACCTACAGTTAACTCATTTTCAAGAAAGGTGCCAATAACTTACACTGGGGAAAAGACAATCTCTTCAATATATGGTACTGGGAAACTGGATATCCATATGCAAAAGAATAAAACAAGGCCCCTATCTTTTACCATATACAAAAATCAAATGAAAATGGATTAAAGACTTAAATCTAAGACATTAAACTATGAAAGTAATACAAGAAAACATTGAGGAAAATCTTCAGGACACTGGTCTCGGCAGATTTCTTCAGCAATACCCCACATGCTCAAGCAACCAGAACACACATGGACAAATGGGATCACATCAAGTTAAAAAGCTTCCGCATAGCAAAGAATACAATCAAGAAAATGAAGAGACAACCCACAGAATGGGAAAAAAATATTTGCAGACTACCTCTCTGACAAGGGATTAATAACCAGAATATATAAAGATCTAAAACAACTATATAGGAAAAAAATCTAAGACTCTGATTAAGGAACGAGCAAAGATTTGAATAGATATTTCTCAAAAGAAGACGTACAAATGGCAATGAGATATATGAAAAAGTGCTCAATATCATTGATCATCAGAGAAATGCAAATCAAAACTACAATGAGATATCTCACCCCAGTTAAAATGGTTCATATCCAAAAGACAGGCAGTAACAAATGTTGGTGAGGATGTGGACAAAAGGAAACCCTTGTACACTGATGGTGGGAATGTAAATTAGTTCAACCATGCTGGGAAACTGTTTGGAAGTTGCCCCAAAAAACTAAAAACTGAGCTACCATATGATCCAGGAATCCCACTATGGGGTATACACCCAAAAGAAAGGAAATCATTATATCAAAGAGATATCTGCACTCCTATGTTTGTTGTGGCACTGTAAAAATAACTGAGATTTGGAAGCAACCTAAGAGTCCATCAACAGATGAATGCATGAAGCAAACGTGGTACATATGCACAATGGAGCCCTATTTAGCCACGAAAAAAGAATGAGATCCAGTCATCTGCAACAACATTGAAGGAACTGAAGATAATTATGTTAAGTAAAATAAGCCAAGCACAGAAAGACAAACATTGCATGTTCTCACTTATTGTGGGATCCAAAAATCAAAGCAATTGAACTCATGGACATAGAGCATAGAAGGATAGTTACTAGAGGCTGGAAAGGTAATGGGGATGGGGTAGGAGATGGAGATAGTTAATTGGTACAACAAAAGTGGAAATAATGAATAAGACAGCCTGTTTGATAACACAATAGGGTGGCTATAATCTATAATAACTTAACTGTATATTTTAAAATAACTTGGAGTATAATTGCATTGTTTGTAACTCAAAAAATAAATGCTTGAGGGGATGGATATCCCATTCTTCAGTATGTGATTATTTCATGTTGCCATGCCTGTATCAAAACATTTTATGTATCCCATAAATATACACACCTACAATGTACCTACAAACGTGTTTTAAAATAACGTTTAAAAATGAAAAATTTTGAGAAATAAAAATTACACCAAAAGAAAGAAAGAAGTATAAATTACTAGGCCCAGTCTAAGAGCTACTGAATCAGAAGCTCTGAGGGCAAGAGTAAGCAATCTGAGTTTTAACGAATGCTCAAGGCAATTCTGATGCACACTAAAGTTTGAAAAGCACAGTATAGGTCAATTTTTAAGCAATAAAGCATGAGGAAGGGCTGATGAATTTTCAGGGAGTGAATGCTGTAATTAAGCACTTAGGAAAGTTGTTAATAGATCTTCCAGTCGCTCTCAGTATTGGTTCTTAACAGTTCAGAGCTGCACTCTGCTCCTGAGACTCATTCTCAGCTCATGAGAGGTGGCTCATCTAGGAATGGCAGGGTATGCCCTTTTCAAAAATAATCCTCAACCAATGACTGAATGATATGGAGAAATAAAAGGCTAGTCCAATTACCTTAAGACAGAAAAACTTTGTGGTATTCTTCATGTTCCAGAGCTCCCCACAGGGTCAGTTGAACCCACATGTTTGCCTGATGTCTTTCTCTGTTCTATCCTGCTTCCCTCAATCCTCTCCAGGTTTCTCCTAAGAGCACTCCCTCAATAAATTACTGGCACAGGCTGTATTGAGGAAACCTCAACCAAAGACAGTGGTACATAGTAAGAGAATGCATGTGGAAATACAGGAGGCTTGCACTGATGAAGCAAAAAGTGTAAGTAAGGGAGTGGTGAGAGAGGAGGCTAGGATGAGAGGAGCCAATCTATGAGGTACTTTGGGAAACAACACATAAAATTATCAAGATATACACACACATAGACACAGATTGAACTTCAATACATATAAAGTATTCACACAGGTGGGGAGAAGGGAAATTTCTCAGACTGCTATGTTGCATTGCCAGGAAAATATCTTTTCTATTTACAATAAACAATAATTTACATTCCATTTCTCACCATACACCGGAAATAAGGAGACTCCAAACCCAAGCCACAAGTCAGGGGCTATGTAATCATTTGCAAGGACAGATAGATATTCTTGGAGTTTTGGAAGGGAAAGCAAGACTGGCAAGGTGAAGAACTGGAATAACCCTACAAGTGATGGAGAATTGTGAGGAAATAGACGCTGGAAAGAGGAGAAATCATAGAAGCCAAAGGAAGGAGATTCTGTGAGGGTCAACCATGGGCTTCCCTTCTTCCTTCTCTATCTTCATCCTCTTCTTTCTGTGGCTCTGGGGGCTCCTGCTAATGCAAATTACTAAGGCCATATTACGGCATTTGATGGTCAATACAATTTTTTTTCTAAGAGCTTCTGCTTTCCTTTCCACTTGTGATACTTAATTTTATCTGTCAATTTGAATGGGTTAAAGGGATGCCCAGACAACTGGTAAAACGTTATTTCCAGGTGTATTTCTAAAAGAGATTAGCATTTGAATCAATAGACTGAGTGAAGAAGGTCCTCTCTCCAACGTGGGTGAGCATTATCCAGTCCACTGGGGATCCAGAGAGAACAAAAAGGTGAAGGAACAGCAAATTTTTTTCTCCTTGAGTTGGGACATCTATCTTCTCCAGCTGTCTGATAAAGGAGTGCCTTGTTCTTGGAATTTTGGGCTCACACTGAATTACTCCACAGGCTTTCCTGGTTCTCCACCTGGCAGATGGCATATTAAAGGATTTCGCAGCCTTCATCATCATGTGGGCCAATTCCCATAATATACCTTCATATATATATATATATATATATATATATATATATATACACATACATATATATATATAAATATATAGACATATATATATATATATATATATATATATATATATATATATATATATATATATATATATCTGTTTCTCTGGATAACCCTAACTAACACACTGCTCCATTGATGGGTTATCCAGAGAAACAGATTGCTTTTCTCTGGATAAAAGCAATGATTGCTTCTAACCAGGATCTCTTTCCAGTTTGTCGGGATGCAGTATGGGAATCCAGTCAACCAAGCTTATCCCTTTCTCCTGATGCTCAAGTAAGCACATGTAACTTTGAAAATGTTTTCGATATTTTTTCCTGTTAGCACAATATAAAAATAGACCAGGGAAATGTACTCAATTTGAATGTGTCTCCACCACTAGCTCCAGCTAGCGTGGAGGGAAAGAGAGGGTCTCTTTCCCACTACACTAGATCCTGAAAATATAAATGACTGAAGATTTTACAGCTGTCATGCTGCCACATATGGATAAGATGGGTTTCCAGAGACTATACGAGGATTCTGAGAATAATGGTAGAACTAAAAGTAAAACATTTCTTTATTTTAGAATTTAGCAGTGTCTGAAGCGAAGTCTACCCTGAATTTTTCAATGTGAAACACTAAATTAACATTTTTGCTTTAAACCACTTTGAAACAGTTTTTCTGTCACTTTCAACAGAGACATCTAACTAATATAAAATACCATATATTTTTCAGAAAGTAAATATTTATTAGAATCTCATCTTCTCTAGGCTTTACTCTTTTGCTGAAGGACCTTTAAATATCTTTACCTAACTTCCTTTTATTCATATACAGTATTGCCAAAAAATGTGTTCCAACAACTATTAGTTTGGGGTGTTGATCATACAAAATGTAAAAGATGAGAGGCTCTATGATCATATAAATGTGGAAGTTACTACTTCCACAAATTTAAACCAGTTTCTTTACTGCAGGAGTTCTCAGAGCCTTTAACTTGTGTTTTACAAGCTAAACCTCCAGGAAATAGTGATAGTATGCCTAACTGTCCCAATTTGTTTGGCTTTGAAAATCTTGTTTTTGTCGAGCAACTGTGGGACAATATTATATTAAGTACATTTCAGAAAACTGAGATTTAGTTGGAATTCTAGACGTTCACTATTTCAAATTGTTTAGGACGTAGGGGCCTTTTGACTCTACCACATGGGACTTTCGGCCATTCCATCTAGTGAACTGCCGAAGAGCTCTATGGGAGACCAGGGTGAAGGAAAATGTTAAACACAGGAGAGGTACAAGTAATTGTGCTTTCCCCTGTGCCAGCATGGAAAAAGGTTTCATCATTTTTGGACATATTGTAGGTCTCCATTGTATCATGGTCATTTTTATTTTTATCACTGCATGTGGTGTCCATTTGTTAAATTTAAGGTAATATATCTATGAGAACACCTGAAACACATTTATCAACTTAAAAAAAACATACTCAGAACATGAAAAGTACTATGCCAATTAATTATCTTGAATACATCAGAGCAGAACAGATTTTAGAAAGTCATTTGTAAGGTTTTGGCTGTATTTCCTGAAATGTTTTTGATGGGATTTTAATGTTTTAAATCTGACAGCTGCTCCTGAAAATGGAATACTGTTTGTCAGCAAGCTACAGTTAACTCATTTCGATAAATAGGTAATTTGTTCCCTTAGAAAACAGTTGAAAGCATTCACTGACATTTGAGTAGAAAGGAAACACAGGCAATCTGTGGTGGGGGGAAGATCAAATCTTGCACACCATCTCATCCCAAACTCTAGGAAGGTGAAAAAGACATTGGACACATAAGGGAAGATTGCTCTTGTGTCTCTAGTGAAAGGGATTAAATTGCAAGTAATTCTCTTTTACCACCTGAGATAGTAAAAATATGCTATAATATGGAAATCTGGTTCCTGTGTGCCATGATTTAAATGTTTTTGACTCCTTTAAAATTCATGTTGAAACTTAATTTCCAATGCAACATTATTAAAAGGTGTGACCTTTAGGGGTGATTGAGTCATGAGGGCTACGCCTTCATGAATGAGATTAGGTAGCCTTATAAAAGGGCTTGATGGAGGAAATTCACCCCTTTTTGCCTTTCCATCCCTTCTGCCATGTGATGATACAGTGTTCTCCCGCTCCAGAGGATGCAGCATCAAGGTGCCATCCTAGAAGCAGAGAGCAGCCCTCACCAGACATGATGCTGGTGGCTTGATCTTGGACTTCCCAGGCTCCAGAACTGGGAAAAAATAACTTTCTCTGCTTTATAAATTACCCAGTCTAAGGTATTTTGACATACCTGCATAAATGGACTAAGACACTGTGTGTGACTTTTTGCATTTACTTTAAAGAGACATAATATTCAGAGCCTCTTTCTAGATCTCATGCCTTCATGCATTAAGAAACGCTCTTACTGTGGATGACATGAAATTCAGACATTTTCTTCCAAAGGCCTCTCGGTCAAGACAACTCCTCTTCTAACAATCCATTGATGCAGCTAGCAGTTTGCTGGGCCAAATTAAAGACTTTTATTTTTCTCAAGCCTTTGGTACTCCCAATTGTCTATCTACTCTCCATGTTAGCCATACAAACACACACCATCAATTTCTGGTCAGGAAAACAAAAACCATCATAACATTTCAAAAACAGAGGTTTTCATACAAGGAATTCGGTGCAAAGGGCATTGTACAACTGAAAGAACAAAAAAGGGAACACTGAGGTAGCCCAGGGAGGAAGCTGCTGCCACTCTAAGGCTAGAAGAAAGGGAAGAAGTGGGGCTACAACAACTTAGGAGCTTGGACCGGGAGCCCCATGGAGTTGGTTTGCAGGCTTCTGAGGAGGGAGCACACCATTCCCTGCAGGTGATTCCTATGAGGGAATATGAAGACACTGGTTCTTAAAGTATTGGAAATCCTCAGATGTTGCAGCCAACAACTGCTGCTAGGGCTGACACTGTTTCTGGTCCCACAGTGTAGGAACAGGCAAAAAGATAAAGTGCCTCCTCCCTTGCACCCACTTTCCTGTCTCTCTACGGTACCCCCTATTGGCTGGTTCTATTAAAAAAAACCACCTAGACAAAGGAGGCTAGAAAATATAGTTTGCAGGGCCCCACAGCAGTATCAAACAATGGAGCATAAGAGAGTTGACTTGGAGCTAAAGAAATTATTAAATAACAAGTCCTACATCAAACTTTCTTTCTCCTTCATAGCTAGTTTTACTCTCTTCCCTCCTGGTCCAAATCTAAACAAAAGGATAGAGGTAAAGGGCTTCCCTAAGTACCAAACATTTAAGTGAATCATCCTGGGTCACAGTGCCGCTGTCACAGTGATAACAAAATCCCCTAAGGAAAAAAGTGACTGACTTTGGGCAAGTTGCGTAAACTCACTGGGCATTAGTTTTTTCTTCTGGGATAAGTATAACTACCTTGGAAAGTAGAATCAAGTGCACAAATAAGTCATCTGAATATGGGGCTTAGCATAGTGCCAGAGCCATGATAGATGCACAGCAAACATTAGTTGACTTCCTTCTTTTCCTTCCCTATTCTGCATCTTTCCTTGTTGAATAAAAGGCTTTGTATATTGTTGCTGGAATTTCAGGCATCAGTAAACACCTATGAGATCACTGGCAGGGAAATATTCCCTTTTAGCTAGAGAAGTTTTACTAGTCCAGCAGGCCAGACTCTTGTGAGTTCTAAAGAAGAGATACACAAATTGCCTATAAGGATAAATCTATTGCAAGGATATATGGGAAACAGAAAAAGAGGACTTAGCAGAACAATTTCCTGCTCAGGAATATGTAGCAAATTTCATAAGACACTGGGAAATTCTACCTAACTTTCCTAGGAACAAGAACCTGTGCTTTCATGTTCTTTTCTTTGCTCACCTGGCATTTGTGTTTTCCAAAACTTGTGAATTTGAATGGGCCCTTTTGTCCGACTAAATATAAAGCATTGCTACTGAGCAGAGTTCACATAATCACTTCAAAGATTATTGGCCTCCCAAACCCAGCCTACCTGTGGTTGATTCCAACACATATACCTTCCCCTTCATAATCACCATGCTACAGCTAACACAGCAAAATTTAGACTGGTCTGTGAAAGGCCATCTAATCCATTCACCAAAAAAAAAAAAAAGCTATCTAAGCATTGTCTCATAAACCAGGTCTCACTGGCTCTTTCCTTCTATCCTTGGACTTCCCAGGATTAGGTACCTTTATAAAGAAACATTTTCTACTACTCTTCCTTTATAATTATCATGTCCAAAAACCATTTTATCATTGAATGGGGCTTCATAAAACATTCTGAGCAGTGATATACCCAAAGACCACCAAGGTAAGTAAGATTTATAAAATGGAAGATACTTTGTCTTTCAGCCATGTCATCACATGGATCTCAGATGTGGAAAACAAAGAAGACGAGAAGGGACTAATGCTTCCATTTCTGAACTGAACAATTTAAATGAATGTGATATGACTTACAGAAATAGAGAAAATAGTGATAGAGTTCACTTGTGATGAATTAGTCATTTAAAGTGGAATAAGGTGCTTGTGGGGTGTCCAAATACATGTTTAGGCATAGAAAGATGATAGCTTAAAATCAGAAAATAAATGAGTCTTTTTTGTTTTAATATAATAATTCCTAAACTTTTGTGGTCATAGATCACTTTGAGCATCTAATGATAGCTATGGACAATTCCCTCTGGAAAAAGAAAAGAAAAGAAAGAAAAATGTACGAATGTATATGTATCCAAAATTATGTATACACTTTTATGTGATTTCCACAACTCCCAGGTAAAATTTTGCCCCTCTCCACCTCCCTGGTCCATCTAGTGAAAAAACTTTCATAAAAAAGTCTGAGTGCTGAGTCTGTAAGGCATTAGGACTTAACACTTCTTCATCTTGTAGTTTACCTTCCTCAACCCAAACAAGCTAAAACTCTTTGTGTACCAAATAGCTTATTTCCTAGCAATATTTATGAGAGAAAACAAGAAACAAAGCAGGGCAATTCAATGATAAGAGTTTCTAACCATTGCCAGCAAGAGAAAGACCCAAGGTGCTCATTTTCTCAATTATTGCAATGCTCATTTTCTTGTTGGATGGGCAAAGGCTCCTAAGCAAACCTTGGGGGTAATTGTGTATATCCTGGCATCTACAGTGTGCCCCAAGCCTAGAGGCAGCAACCAGCAATTATATTCCACGGATTAATGTGCAATTGTAAATTTATAAGCTTGATGGTCCAAAGAGGCTCCCTGCTATGTGAGATAATGAATAGGAAATTGTCACAATAATGAGCCAAGTCAGATCTCACAAGCCTAACTGTGAGTTGAGAGTAATGAAAGAAACACACACACACACACACACACACACACACACAAATGTCTGTCATTTAACAGAATTCGAGTTTGAAAGATGGAGTGTTGGAATGGAACAGCACAGTGAAAATATTCCTTGTTATTTTTGTTTCATTTCACTCACCGGCCACAGTGTTTGTAGTGAATATGAATACAGTGCTACTTCTCTCAGATCCCACGTCAGGATACCAAGACTTATTCCACCAGCTGCTGGAAGTAGTGCTATCTCTGTGGTCAGCCCTATCAGAATTTGCCATGAGCTGGAGAAAGTTGCCTTGTCCATGGTCAGGCCACCTTCCCAGGGAGGGAAGGTAGCAGCCAATATTCAGTGACTAATCAATGACAGATTACAAAGACCTGAGGCCTCTCATCATAACAGGACACAAACCGGAAGGGCCAACTCAGCCTCAGAGCCCCTCATGTTGTTGGCTAAAACTCTGGGTGACACTGCGTTGCCAACCAGCTTCTCCCTCTGCCCAGCCCTAGGAGACATCCTAGTAAATCTCCTGTACTTTGCTTGCTATCTGAGTCTGTTTTCCAGAGAGTTCAACTTGCAAAAATGTCAAAGATTACTGCAAAGAAATGTTCTTGACACAAGAAATAGCCCATATAATTCAGTTTAACAAATATTTTGTTTGCCTACTCTGTGTAAGGCAAGTCTGAAACTACACTGAAGTAAGTTTTTTGTTGTTGTTGTTTGTTTTGTTTTCTTTCTAAGAATCTGTTTTGTTGTTTCTTCGATTGGTTGGCTGATTCTTCTGAGTAAACACCTCCTTTTGGATTTTCTCTAAACTACAAAAAAAAAAAATTATAGGCTTTAAAAAAATTTCCCCAAAGGAAAAACTGTTAATGATAAAAGTCAATAGTATTTCTATGTTGCATTTGAACTGCATAATTATAAGTACAGTTTGGCTACAGGTTCTAAAAGATCAGAGGAAGGCATAAAAGGACATTATAGATTAATATAGTTTGGATATTATGCCCCTGCTTCCACATCTCATGTTGTATTGTAACCCCCAGTGCTGGAGGTGGGGCCGGGTGGAAGGCATTTGAATAATGGTGGCGAATCCTTCTTGGCTGGGTGCTGTCTTTGTGATACTGAGTTCTCACAAGGTCTGGTCATTTAACAGTGTGTAGCACCTCCCATCTCCACTTTCTCCCTCTCTTGCTCCTGCTTCTGCCATGTTATGTGCTCTGCTCCCCTTTTACCGTCCACCATAATTGGAAGACTCCTGAGACCTCCCCAGAACAGATGCTGCTATGCTTCCTGTACAGCCTGCAGAACCATGAGTCAATTAAAAACCTCTTTTCTTATAAATTTCTTCACAGCCGTATGAGAATGACCTAACATAGAGGTCAACTTGGTTTGATGTAAATACCGTTATAAGTTATCAATACAATAAAGACAACCACAATCTTCATTAACTATAAAGACAGAGAGTGGTGAAATGTATGAATTATATACAGTGAAGGATGGCTCACTTTTCAAGTGTTAGATGGATATAGTTCCAAATGGTGAAGATGGACCCCACCTTAAGCAGACCTGATATCTGAAAACCCAGATTATTATGAAGGATAAATTAGAGACTAACTTTTAAAAGAATTCATTATGGGCTTTAAAAAAGTATTTTATTAAAAACATGTTCCAAATTTTAAAATATATTATATTCAGTTTTTTTCAGTGTATTGTTAAGATCTGTGTTTTAGTATTTGGTGCTTTATTTTTTGGTTTCTATCTTCTGGAAATATTATAATTTGTACCATGGTTTTCAGTTTTTTAAGTTATACTTAATATTCTCCTGCCACTTATCAGCAATGTGATCCTAGGTGGGTTATTTACCCACCAAAAGCCTCAATTTCCTCTTCTGTAAAATGAAGTTGGGAATAGCTGAGAGCTGTCGAGAAGACTAATGAGAACTATGTGAGAAAATGGAGAAAATGCCTAACACAGTCCACAATGGTTATTATTTGTTGTCAGTAATGCAAAGGATTGACAAAATATCCCGAACAGAAATTTAAAAAGGGGTATGCCCAAATAATGGAATCAGTTAGAACACATTCAAATCCCTTATAGTTTACATGGCTATATATATTTGAACAAAAAGAGAGTTTTTTTTAAATAAACCTTTTAACTCTATATTTACAAATAATGCTCTGATGCAGAACAACTCTTTATCCCTTCTTCAAAACAGCCTAAGAAAAAGAAAACTGTTTTTCAGGTTAAGAATATTTGCGTGAGTCCTCTCTACCCAAATACATAATACTCCTTTTACATTTTGGTGCTGAATATAAAAAAGCTTTATGAAAAGAGGGAACAGTCTCACTAAATACCCAAGTATTTTGTACTATAAGGATCTAGCAAGCGTAATAGGCCTTAAATAATCTATCTAGAAGAAACTGTGCTGTGTTTAGTAAATAATTTTGACTACTGGGATCATTTGCTTTAAAGCTGAATTTGCTTAAAAGCTTCAGGCACAATTTTAGCAGTGTCCCAAAGCTCTGTAATTGGGCAATTAGTGCTTAATGATATAGAAGAAGGGTGCAGCACTATCCTACATAAAATTGAAAGGAAGGTGCTGGTTGAGCTGTTAAAACCATGGAAGCATGAATTTTCTGCTGTCAGCATTGCGGGGTGTGTGTGTGTGTGTGTGTGTGTGTGCGCGCGCTCGTGTGCATGTGTGTGTTTTAACATATAGCAATGAAAATATATTTCATCTAAAAGTAATCAGTCAGCATTTAGAAGCAAAGATGTAAAAAATGAGAAAAGAGAAACTTCAGTTTTCATATTCAATGAGAAATCCAGTTGAATGTGTAGCAGATTTAAGTGTTTGGTGAGCTTTCCTTCACTATTTCCTAATCGTGTTTTATGTGTGATATTAGAATTAAGTATGTTTTCGAGTTTTATAGTTTTAAAACTCTTCCAGTTTAGGACTTTTCTCCTTTATGAAGGTTAAGCGTTCTGTAAAGTTTTGAAACTTTAGGAAATTGTTTCTTTATTCAAACTCTGCTTCCACAAGGCCTATGTTGTGACATTGTGAAATAATTCAATTAAACCAACATTTCAGTGCCATGCTCTCTGCTAGGCACTAGGAACATAGAAATGACATCATGTGCAAAGTAGAGACATTCGCTGTGGCATTCCTGGCAATGGGTTTTTATTATAACTATAACCCTTTATGCAACTAGTATATGGAAAATTAGGTAATTCTTTTGCAAGGCTAATGTGAAATGACCTTTCATACATGAATTGTTCTGAAAAGTGACATCAAACAGAAGCACTAATTTATATGAACTTTATTTAAAAAAATAAAACAACTACTTTTCTCATGAGAGCAAACTGGTTCTCAGGCATAATTCAGACTAATCCTGGTTTAGAATCCATAGCAGAGATAGGTAGTAGGACTGAAATAAGGCCAGGAACAGACCTTTGGCAATATTAAATCATGATGATATATATTGTTGTTAAATAGTTGTATGCTTCAAGTAATTATTCAATTTACCTACATAAGTATAAAGGAATAAAATGGACTTTTGAAATACATTTGGAAACTTATGCATCACATAAAGATTGGGAGACCTGAGGTGGATTCTCAGCTCTGTCATTTATCAACAGTATGTTGCAATTCTTTTAGCCTCAGTTTCCTCACCTGTGAGTTTGGCATAGCAATGTTTGCCTTTTATTCAAACTGCAGGTCATTAATATGAAAACCTTTCATGAATTAAAACGTTATACAAATATGAGGAGGTAAACTGGCAGCCACTCTGCGTATTTCCTTTTAAGAACACATATATTTATTTTAAAATAGTTTTTAGACACAGAACTTATTTTAGAGATGTACTCACTCTCAATTCTGCTGAACCAACCTCAGGTGGTGCTATGTCTGATGAAAAAAACAAATGTGTTAAATTGTAAAAATCAAATCAATAATTAAATGTCTGGATAATAAAAAAAAAGTCTATTTTGAGGCAAAAAGTGGAAACTAAATTTCCAAATTAAGGGACAAATTAAGGACATGTGATATGGTTAGCTTTGTGCCCTTACCCAAATGTCAACTTGAGTGGTAATCCCCAGGTGTTGAGGGAGAGGCCTGGTAGGAGGTGACTGGATCATGGAGACAGTTTCCCCCATGCTTATTCATGATAGTTAGGGAGTCCTCTCAAGATCTGATGGTTTTATAAATGACAGTTTTTCTTGGACTTTTCACGTGCTCTCTCTCGTGCCTGCTTCCCCTTCTGCCATGATTGTAAGTTTCCAGTGGGCTCCCCAGCCATGCAGATCTGTGAGTCAATTACACCTTTTTTCTTTATGAATTACTCAGTCTTGGGTATTTCTTTATAACAGTGTGAAAACGAACTAATACAGCATGCATTTAGAAACAGAAAATATATGTCAGAGACCAAACACAGTGCTTCCTTCCCTAACCCTTCCCACCTGTTGCTCTTCAGGTATAGGGTTAAGATGTTGATCATCCATCCATCCAAGAGCTAGAAGGACTCTCTGGATAATGGTGATTTAAATATATTCCATGGCCTTATGCTTCTTTTAAATTTTTTTTAAATTTTTAAATTTTTAAATTCAGGAGGGACATGTGCAGGTTTGTTACATGGGTAAATTGTGTAATGCTGAAGTTTGGGCTTTAATTGAACCTGTTACCCAAATGGTGAACATAATACTCAGTAGATAGTTTTTCAACACTTTCCCCACCCCACTTTCCCCTTCTGAAGTTCCTAGTGTCTACTGTTCCCAACTTTATGTCCATGTACCCAATGTTTAGTCCTACTTATAAGTGAGAACAAGTGATATTTGGTTTTCTGTCTCTGCATTAAATCACTTAGGATTATGGCCTCCAGCTGCATCCATGTTGCAGCAAAAGACATAATTTTGTTATTTTATGGCTATATCAATTCCATAGTGTCTATGTACCACATATTCTTTATCCAGTTCACTGTTGATGGGTACCTAGGTTGATTCCCTGCCTTTGCTACTGTGAAAGTGCTATAATAAAGATGAGAGAGCAAGTGTCTTTTGATACAGTGATTTATTTTCCTTTGGGTATATAACCAGTAATGGGATTGCTGAGTCAAATGGTAGTTCTATTTTTAGTTCTTGAAGAAATCTCCAAACTGCTTTCCACAGTGGCTGAACTAATTTACATTCTCACCAAGAGTGTGTGTAAGCATTCTCATTTACTTGCAACCTTGCCAATATCTGTTACTTTTTTACTTTATTTAATAATAGCCATTATGATGCGTGTGAGGTGGTATCTCATTGTGGTTTTGATTTTCCATTTCTCTGATGATTAGTGACAATGAGCATTTTTTCATGTTTACTGGTAGCTTGTGTGTCTTTTGAGAAGCATTTGTTCATGTTCTTTGCCTACTTCTTAATGGGGTTGCTTGTTTTTTTCTTGTTGATTTTCTAAGTTCCTTATAGATTTTGGATAATAGTCCCTTGTCAGATGCACAGATTGCAGATATTTTCTCCAAATCTGTAGGTTGTCTGTTTACTCTGTGAATAGTTTCATTTTTTGTACAGAAGCTCATTAGTTTAATTAGGTTTTAATTGTCAATTTTTGTTTCTGTTGTGTTTCCTTTTGAGGACTTAGTCATAAATTCTTTGCCTAGGCTAATGCCCAGAAAAGTATTTCCTAGGTTTTCTTCTAGAATTTTTATAGTTTGAGGCCCTACCTTTAAATCTTTAATCCATCTTGAATTAGTTTTGTCTGTAGTGAGAGGTAGGGGTTGACCATGTTTCTTAAACATCATTCTAGTTCCAATGTCCAACTTCCTAGACAGTCTGATTTTATTTCATTAATTAGGTTTTTTCAAACAAATTTGTAATAAAAATATTGTTTCCTTTTTCTGAGTGACTAGGCCAAGTAAGTACATATAAAGAGTGGATATATTCCAGTAGAAAAGCTAATGTATAGCTCATACCATCCCTTGAGATTCAGATCTCTTTCAAACAAAGGTGTAATACAGTTTTGTGTTAATGTCAAGGCTCAAGCTCAAGATTAAAAGTTGAATTGTCCTTCAAATGACTATCTCAGAGGATTAAATATCTCAACCAGCAGTTTATTATCTGAAATCTCTGGACTTCAGGGAAAATGGTATGTCAAGAATGCCCCAAAATAGTGTGAAAAATATTGTAAATATGAGCATTTTTCTCAGAAGAGAATCCACTTCTGTCATCAGGCTCTCAAAATGCTCTAAGACACACACCAAAAAAAATGTAAGAATTATCGCCTTAGGCTAAATAAGAATGAGAATTTCAGACCTGTTAAAAATCTTGTAAAAATTGTGTTTTTAATATGCCTTTATCCTGTAAAGGACAAATTGGCAAACAATCAGCAAAGGCTGCTTTTCTCTTATGTATTTTTTTAACTTAGGCTTGGCTCTGCAATTTTGAGTGGTGATGAAAAACTATGCATTGAATTGAATCAGTGAGTAGTTCTTCAGCCACTCTGTACAATCCAGACTCTAACTCATCCCATTGCTCAATTGAGCTTTTATTTCTTGGCACAAAAATAAATGAGTGTGAAGGTTTTTTTCACCCTACATTTAAGATTAAAATGTTTTTAAAATGATTTCTCTGACTGATGCACACTGGCATTTTAATGAATTTTTTAAAACATAAGCTCCTGACTTCCTAGCAAAGAAAGCGTGACAGTATTGAAAGATTCGAATTAATAAAGCTGTCTTCATTGCTTCAGTTTAACCTTGTTAAAGCATTTGTGAATGAAAGTTAAAATAAAATTCTCTGGAACTGCTGGAAATGAAGTCATTTTGGATTAGGAAAAATATTTCTTTCCCTTTTGACAGCATTTCCTTCTTTGCTCATACATGAAGCTTCACAGAGCCTGAAAATTATCATTCTACCCCAAGCTTATGCATTTTAGAAAGTAAATATTTTCAAATTAAATATAAGGAAGAATAACTCTACAATGTAATGTTTGTCTTCAAAATAACAACTGCTGTGGTGATGACAACAATAACTAACATTGGTATAGGAATTTTCCAATGAAAAGATTTTTGATGACAAAAAGACCAAATCTTTATTTCTGCCTCCAATCTTCCTCCTGAATTTTTACACATAATGACAGCTATTGATTATACATTTTCACCCTGTGTGCTCCATAATCACCTCAACCTCAGTATGTACAAAGCCAAGCCAAGATATTTTTCTAATCAGGCTTTCTACTTTTCCCGCATTCCTAATTTTAGGAAGGGCACCATCTATCCAACCATTCGTACCAGTGGGAAAAGATCCTGGACTTCTCTTCTCCCTCACCTCCACATTTTATCAGTCATTCAGTCCTGTCAGTCATTCAGTCCTGTCAAGTCTGTCTTCTGACAAAGTGATTCTTCCAAAAAATATGTTGTGATGACCAACGCTCCTATGTTTAAAATCCGTCAGTGGCTCCTATTAATTTTAGAACAAAATCTTAAGCCTATAAAATTATAAAAGACTCTTGCCTACCTTTTCAAATTCATCTCTCACTGTTCCTAAACACACCTTGCAAACTAAGTATACTTTATTTTCCTATTATATTATACTTGGCCTCACCTCTTTGTCTTTGTATATGGTGATTCCTCTGCCTAGAACATTCTTCTCCATATCCAACACTTTTCTAAAGTGATTTTCAGATAGGATTTGAGCTTCTTCCTCTCTATCTCTCAGAAGGAAAAGTCATGGCAGTAGTAATTGCTGCTGATTAATACTAACAAAAATATTCATTGCTAAACTATGGTGATGTTGGTTATAGATGAAGCCCCATGATAATTGTTTTATATGGATTAATAAATGTATTACCAACCTAACTTTGAGATAAGTAATATTTGTATCCTCATATTATAAACGTTGAATCTGTGGCTTAAAGTGATTAAGAAATTTATCAGAGTTCACCAAGCTTGGAAGTTGAGGAGAATGAGATTTGAATCCAATTAGCAGATTCCAGAACTTCAGTTCTTAACCTCTTCACACAAAGCTTCATATAGTTATAGCAGTTGCCCCAGCCTCACCACTCACCACTCCTCAGATCTACCACACCACACACTCCAATTACATTAACCTTGTGATTCACTAAATGACATCTTTTAGGGTTCAGCAGCTTGCATATATAAGGTAGAATGCCCTTGTATTGCTTTTCTATATTTGTCTTATTTTTCAGGCAATCCCCTCCTAATTATTCATGATCTAATTGGGAAGTGGGGTGGAAAGAACAGGTTACAAACTAACATCATCATTTTTCATGGTAAGGAATTTTAATAGACCGTATCTAATAAATGAAGAGACTGAAGATAAAATACAACAAAAACTAAAACTTACTAAATAACAAAAAAATGCTAAAAATAATAGAGAGAAAGCAAATGAAAAGACCTATTGGTGAAAAAATACACATGTATATAGTAGTATATCATAATATAATGGAATCTAATTTAAACATATTGCTTATATCCATAAATGTAAACAGTTTAACATCATCTATTAAAAAAGAAAACTTTTTAAATTGTTAAATAAAGCAAAACCCAACTCTATGCTACATGTGAGAGATAAATCTAAAACAAGATAATTCAGCAAGATTAAAAAATAAGGGAAGTTTGGTAAACATATACACATTCCAGGAAAATACAAATAAAAATCAGGTATTATCATCTTCATATCAGGTACAATTCAGGCCAAAAATCATTAAATGATGGTAACTTTAATACCAAAAGCTATAATTTACAATGACAACAAAAGTTGTTAACATTTATAAAGCAAATGTAAAGTTAAAACTTTTATAAGGCAGAACTACAAGGGAGGCAAGAAGAAAACAGACAGAAACCACTAATAATGAAGGCTTTAACACACCTTCCTGTCCAAGACAAATGAAGAGAACAAAACAATAATGAGTATAAACAAAACCTAAAAACTTAATCAGCAAGATAATTCTACATGAATGGATATATGTTAAACTCTGAATTCCAGAAATAGAAAACACACATTCTTTCTAAAAATTTACCGTATATTAGATCTCAGAAAATCACTAAATTTCAAAAAGATAATTAATAGAAGTAGTAATCTTCATCACAATACAACAAAGTTATAAATTAATGACAAAATCAAAAACCAAAACAGTCCCCTCTACCTAGAAAGTAAAACCACCTCCTGTTAAGCTACTTAGGTGAAGGAAAAATACTATTGAAAATCACAAAATGGCCAGGGATGGTGGCTCATGTTTGTTAATCCCACCACTTTTGGTGACTGAGGCAGGAGGATTGCTGAGGTGAGGAGTTTAAGAGCAGCCTGGGCAATGTGGCCAATTAAAAAATTATCTGGGCATGGTGGCTTATGCCTGCAGTCCTAGCTACTAGGAGGGTTAAGGTGGGAGGGTTCATTTAGCCTGGGAGGTCAGGACTACAAAGAGCTGTGGTCATGCCACTACATTTCAGCCTGGGTGGCAGAGCAAGACTCTGTTTCAAAAAATAATAAATAAATAACAAAACATAAAAAATAAGGACTACTGCCTATGTTCCCTCAAGACCCAGGGCTCTATGATCAGGCAATGGCAAAACCAGCCAGGCCTGTGTCCTTCCCTTCAGGGCAATGCAGTTCCCCAGGTCCCTGGGGGGTCCACAGTTACCGTCAGGAGTCAAGGACTATAGTCAAAAACCTTAGAAGTCTACCTGGTATTCTATTGTATTGCAGCTGACATGGCACTCAAACCACAAGATGCAGTCCTTCCTACTCTTCCCTCCCCTTTCCACAGGCAGAGGAGCCTCACTCTGTAGCTGCTGCCACCCTCGGTTATGAGGAATACTGCCAGACGACCACAGAGGTTCCTTTAAGGCCGAAGGCTCTCCTAAGTCAACTTGTGGTGGATGCTTCTTGGGCCTAAGACTCATTTTTCAGGGTAGTGGGCTCCCCTCTTGCCCAGGGCAGGTCCAGAAATGCCAACCAAGAGTCAAGTTCTGGAAATCAGTGACCCCAAAATCCCGCTTGGTGCTCTAACCTCTTGTGGTCATGCTGGTACCAGAAGCCAGCAAGTCTCAGAGACTCACCCAAGGCCTTCAACATAGCACCTGGATATCATTGCTTGTTATTCAAGCTCGAGAGCTCTTCAGTTAGCTGGTGATGATGCATGTCGCCAAGACTGGGTAATTTCCTTCAAGGCAGTAGTTTCCCTTCTGGCCCAGGATGTGTCTAGAAATGTTGTCAGGGAGCTGGGGTCTAGGATGGTGGACTCATGACTCTGACTGGTGCCCTATTCTGCTGTGGCTGAGCTGGTGTCCAAGTTGCAAGATAAAGTCCCCCCAACTCTTCCCTTTCCTCTCCTCAAGGACAAGGAAGGCATCTCTTATGGAACCACAAACTGTGCAACCTGGGGTTAGGGGAACGGTGATGCCAGTACTCACTTGGCTGCCCAGCTGGTGTCTCAGTAGTTGTGTGCTCCCCCACAGTCTACTGTCTCTGGGCCCAGTTTAGCACTAAGACTCTCCTAAGCATTACACTCTTCATGGCCTAGTCTGCTTTTCAAGTTTATTTAGAAACACAGAGCACTGTAGCCCTCAGTAGCCATGTTTGTGGGAACTCAAGTTCAGACCACTGGGACTGACGATATCTCCTCTGGCTAGGGCTGGTTTAAATGTACCCTCCATGTGTGAGTGTCAGCTTAGTTTGGTCTGGTTTTCCTTTCTTCTCTAACAGAACAGCATTGAGTTTAATGCCTCATAATTGCCTCACAATCTCCCTTCCCCAGTGCCCAGAGAGGCTCTCTGTGCTAAGCTGCTGCTGCAGGGGTGTGGGGGAGGGGTGGCACCAGTCATTCAGGACTGTTATTTTTTCTGTCTCTGCTTATTCTATCTTATCTGTTTTTTTTCTACTACTATCTCTTCAACGCTGCTTTCAGTGATACAAAATTAAAACTAGGTACTATGAGTGCTCATCTGATTTTTGGTTCTTATGAAGGTGTTTTTTCTGTGTAGCTAGTTGTTAAATTGGTTTCCTTGCGTGGAGTTTTCTCAATGGAGTTTTCTATTCTACCATCTTGCTCTGCCTCCCAGGCCCTCCTATATGCTTTATATTATCTCTAGATTACTTATAATACCTAATCAATGTAAGTGCTATATACATTGTTGTTACATCATATTTATTATTTGTATTTTTCGATTTTATTTTTTAAATTTTTTTATAATTTCAAATTTTATTATACATTAAAAGGTACACATGTAGGTTTGTTACATGTGTAAATTGTGTGATGTGGAGGCTTGAGGGCCCAACCATCTGTCATCCAGGCAGTAAGTATCCTACCCACAGGTGGTTGTTCACACCATGCCCCCATCACTCCTTCCCTCATGTAGTGGTCCCTAGTGTCTTTTGTCCCATCTTTATGTTCATGTGTCTTCAGTCTTTAGCTCCCACTTATAAATGAGAATATGTAGTATTTGCTTTTCTATTCTTGTGTTAGCTCACTTAGGATAATGGCCTCGAGCTCCATCTGTGTTACTGCAAAGGACATGATTTTATTCTTTTTTAAGGCTGCATAGTACTCCATCTTTTTTATGTTTTTTCCTGAATCTCTTTTCTCCACAGTTGGTTGAGTATGCACATATGGAAACTGCAGATACAGAGAGCTGACTATATAACCATTTTAATAGAAGTAAAGAAATTTGTGAAGAGTTTCCAAGGAGAAACCAAACCACCAGACTTAGATAGCTTTTTGTAGACAATTCTAAGAAGCTTCAAAATCAGATAGTCCTAATACTACTTAAATTTGTCTGTTGTATAGGCAAAGAGTAAAACATAATAAATCTTTATGAAGATAGCATAGATTAATATAAAAACCTTAAGAGTGATAATAAAAAGTCAAATAAAATCTCAGCAAACAGAATGTAATATACTATTAAAAATGCATTCTGGGGCTCATTTCTGAAAAGGCTCGTTATTAACAAATATAGCAATATAATTTATTGTATGAATAGAACCTAAGAAAGAAAAAGATTATCTTTGTGTCACAAACATTTTAATTTTACACTATTCATGATTCAAAATAAAATACTGAATACAATTTAAATTATTGTTTATGTTTTTATATTCTCTCAACATCACACAATGATGAGAAAGAGAGCAAGAGGAAGGCCTTGCTTTTCAGGTAAGATGACATTAAACATTTATGATAAATTATTTATAATTAAAAGTTAAATAGCCTTTGAATAGGCAAGTAGGTGAATGGAACACAATAGACAAAATAAAAATAGATCCAAGTACATATAGAAATTTAATATGTAATAAAGGTGACAAATAAAAATAGTGAGAAAAGTAAACTTTAAAAAATGATCTCCAGACAATTGCATAAAACTTCGTGAGAAAATCTAATCTAATCTATAATTTATACTAGGTACTGTATAAAATACAAATGGATTAGAGATTTAAATATTAAAAAATAAAACTTTATGAGTTCTGTGAGAAAATATAGGTTTCCTTTACAAACAAGGAAAGCTTTAAATCTAGAAGAAATAAAAGGGAAGACTAGCACACTCAATAAAATATCATTTTAAAAACTTTTGTATGGTAAAATATAATACGAGCAAAGACTGAAAAAAATTATTAACTATGAAAAAATATTTGCAATCCCAGCACTTTGGGAGGCCGAGGCAGGTGTATCATGAGGTCAAGAGATCGAGACCATCCTGGCTAACACAGTGAAACACCATCTCTACTAATAAAATACAAAAAATTAGCTGGGCATGGTGGCGCATGCCTGTGGTCCCAGCTACTTGGGAGGCTGAGGCAGAAGAATTGCTTAAATCCAGGAGGCGGAGGTTGCAGTGAGATCGCACCACTGCACTCTAGCCTGGGTCATAGAGTGAGATTTCGTCTCAAAAAAAAGACAAAAAAAAAAGAAAGAAAAAATATTTGCAACCTTTATTTCAAAAGGTTCTATTAGTCCATTCTCACAATGCTGTAAAGGACTACCTGAAACTGGGTAATTTATGAAGAAAAAATGTTAATTGACTTATGGTTCTGCAGGCTGTAAAGGAAGCACAGCTGAGGAGGCCTCAGGATACTTACAATCATGGCAGAAGGCAAACGGGAAACTAGCATGCACTACACTACATGGCTGGAGCAGGAGGAAGAAAGGGGGAAGTGCTACACACTTTCAAACAACCAGATCTCATAAGAACTCACTCACTATTATGAGAACAGCAAGGATGTAATCCACCCCCATGATCCAATTACCTCTCACTAGGTCCCTACCCCAACACTAGGGATTCAAATTCAACATGAGATTTGCACAGGGACGCAGAGCCAAACCATATCAGGGGTAATATCAATATATTAAAAATTTTGACAATCTTCAAAACAAAGAGAAACAAATCCTTTTCAGATTCAATATATTCATTGTGGTGGTAGTTAGATGATAATGCATGACCATACACATTTGTGAAAATTTATGAAAGTATACATCTATAAAGGATGAAGCTTACTGTAAATATATTATAACTCAATAAACTTATTTCAAAAAAGAGAAAATCTAACAGAAATATAGATACTATATATGAATAGACATTTGAAGATGAAGAAATACAAAAGCTGCAACATTTGAAAGACATTCAACTGCACTCATACGTGAAGTAAAACATCAAAACTATACTGTAATATAATTTTTAACTTATCAGATAGGCAAAATTCCAAATGTTTGTCAACATACTCTGTTAGCAAGACTGAGGGAAGACAGGTACTGTCATACACTGTTGGAGGAAATGCAACTGTTATGGCTCCTTTGAATAGAATTTAGTGATATTTAGTGGTATGTTCTGAAGACATACCACATACCAATGTGTCCTACAAGATTTTTATGTTGAAATACTAACTCCTCAGTTGATGCTATTCAGAGGTGGGGCCTTTGGGAGGTGATTAGGTCATGGGGATAGACCTCCTGAATGGGATTAATACCTTCATAGAAAGAGATGCCAGAGAGATTACTTGCTCCTTCTACCATGTGAGGAGATGGAAGGAAGACACCATCTATCAACCAGGAAGCAGGCCCTCACCAGATACCAAATCTGGTGACACCTTGATCTTGGACTTCTCAGCCTTCAGAACTACAAAAAATAAATATCAGTTGTGTATAAGCTGCCCAGTCAACAGTATTTTGTTATAGCAGCCCAACTGAACTAAGATACCCAGTGAAAGTAAATATGCATTTACCCTTTTGCACATCAACCTCACTTTTAGGAATCTGTCCTGAAAATACACTTGCAAAGCTATGTATGTTATTCTTTCTGATGTTTTTAAATAGCAAAGGATAAGAAATAAACCAAATGTTAAATAACTGGAGCATTCACATGATAGAAGACTATGCAGCTGTAAAATGTAAAAAGAGCAATGTACAGAACAATGTACATGACCTACCTTTTGTAAAGAAAGGAGAGGAATACAGATTACAGTTAGAGATAGATGATGATAGATGATAGATAGATAGATAGATAGATAGATAGATAGATAGATAGATAACAGATAGATATAGATATAATTGCTTCATTGTTTAAAAAAAAAAAAAAAAAAGAAAATCCTGGAAGAATAAAGCAAAACAAATAGAAAGGATTAACTACTTTCTATCTATAGAAGAAAGGTAGAGGAAATTAGGATGAAGGCAAAAATTATCTGACATACTTTGTAATATACTTTTTGTGTTACACTCATGTAATTGTTTTTAATAATCAAGGAAACAAAAAAAAGTTAAAATCCCCCAAAAGTAAATAAAAATAATAAAACAAATAAATTTGTAACTATATGTTAAGATCATGGCATAAACACATAGAGAAAATAATTATTCCAACTAACACCAGTATTTTCCCTATGCATTTTCAATGAGATATATTCTATGGACAAAAAGAACAAGAAAAAAAACCTTTATTCAGCAGTCTTTTATTAATAACTTTTTTGTAAAATAATGAAAATTAGTAATTTTGTAAAAGTTGTTAGAATCTAATGTAAATTATATTTAACTATAAAATCAAATATTTTAAGTAAAATCTCTTAAATTTGAATCAGAAAATATCACTGTAAAATAATGATTTTCCCTCTTTATGGAAACATTGTTTCCTTGCCCTATTCATTAAAAAATGCTAGAAGCAGTGGGCAAATGGTATCAATACACAGTCCTATTTCTAAGATTATAATTTCTAAATAAGTTCTAATAAAGGGAATCTTCTTTCAAAACATCTGATTGTAAGCTTAGGAAAGAAATGTTCACAAGGAGCCTGAAATATCTCTAGGTGCCAGTAAGCAAAGATACTGTCTTAGTCTATTCAGGCTTCTGTAACAAAATACCATAAACTGATGGATTATAAAACACAGAAAGGTATTTCTCACAGTTCTGGAGACTAGGGGGTCCCAGATTAAGGCATTGGCAGATTCGGTGCCTGCTGAAGTCTATCTTCCCGGTTTATAGACAATGTCAAGGCTCTGTCTCATCACATGATGGAAGAGGCAAGGGATCTCTCTGGGATCTCTTGACAAGCACACTATCCCAGTCATTTAGCTTCTACCCTCATGACCTAATTACCACTCAAAGACCTTACCTTCAAATATCATCACGCTGGGGATGAGGTTTCAATATATGAATTTTGGGGAACATAAAAATATAGTCTATTGCAGATACTATCAAAGTAAAACAAGATCATGCCAAAAGAACAGGAGAGTAATAGGGCCCTCACTGGCCAAATATGGGCCAATATTAACATCCAAAAATGATTTTAAAATGTTGATTATGTAAAAGACATGGTTTATAATAATATAAAGAAGGAGAAGGAATAGAAAAGTACAAGGAGAAAAAACAGGATTAGAATGTAGAGAGGAGAGAGAAGAGAAAGAAAGACGAGTAGGAATGGCGGAAAGTGAAGAAGGAAAAAGAAATAAAATTTATTGGACAAGATTTTAAGTTGTTAGGGTATAATCTTTTACTCAGATATTAGATAATTCCAGCATTTATCCTACCTTTTGGTGTAAAATGTATTATAAGATAAAATGTCACCAGTAGATGAGAGAAAACATATTCAATGCAGAAGAATTTCAGGTAATGTATGCTGAAGAAATAATAGAATTAAGAAAATAATCAGTTTACAATCCTTAATGAAATAACTGATTCTGGCAATGGTCATTAATGAATCTTAAAACCTTTAGGCATAAGGCTAGTAGGGAATCACACACTCCTGCCATCTTAATTTACTGATGTATTAAAAGTGAGACTACCAGCATTGTTTGATTCCTGGTGTGATGCAATGTGAGATACTCAGCACTAACTACAAAACATTTTTGACCCTTCCCCCTAAAAAACACGGAATCTAAAAAAGCCTTTATTCTAGCTTTCAGTCTATAGAAGCAGACTAATATAATAAATGATATTAAGAGAATTACTTATTTCACCAAATTTAGATCAGTGGTATCTTAGGTCGGATTCCCTCAAAATAAAACCTTGAGAAAAGGTTTATAGGTTATTCGTGGGATATCACTGGCAGAGAACTGAGGGAGCAACGTAAGCATGGAAAAACAATGAAGCCACTACAAGAGTATTATTGAGCATATGTACTACTGCAAGTCACTTGGGTTAAGTTCCACTAAGGGACTCTGAAATACAGAGTAGAATATATCTCAGAGTTATCCCAAATGAAAATGAGAGATCTAGATTATTTACTCTTATCAACCACTGGTTGAAGACTGTTGAGGATGGGTGAAGACAGAGGGAAGTGTTAACTAAGGCATGAATGTTGGCATGGCTGATGGTGAGGAAAGGCAAGGAAGCTCAAAGGCAAAGTGACAGTTGCGATTTTTTTGGAAGCCACTAAGTTATTATTCATGGGAACAGTGAATGCCACAGGAATATGATAGAGCAAAATAGTACTTGCTACAGTGAAATAATCTATAGGAAAACTGACATTTCAATCAAACTATGGGAAAAGGGAGTGAGATAAAGGCACTATACCAGATTAAAGGAGACTTTTAACATACTTCAGTGAAATAACCAAATCAGCAACTGGCTTGATTGAATCCTGATTTAAATAAAACAAAATATAGGAAGACAATTTGGAGAATTTACATATGGAAACCCATACCCAGGAAGATTCTAAGGATTAAAAAATAACTTAATTGGACAAGCTTTATATCATTTTTAAACCCCAAATGTATTTTAACCTTCTAATATATTGTTATTTTCTAGTATTAAAATATACTTCAATATACCTACTAATCCAGATCTATCAGGTAGAACTTTTTGATTTATTGTGAATTGTTTTTCTCTCCTAACTAGAAAATAAGCTATACGGAAATAGATGTTATTGACATTTTTATTCACAGATGTATCCTAAGCACCAGAACAATGCCTAGCACACAGAAAGTACTCATTACATATGTATTGAAAGAATAAATGCATTTGGGGATTATAATATCATTCATAGCTATAGCAGCCAATATTTTGTTTAATGAAAATAAACTGGCACTGTTACAATGAAGTGACCCTTTACAATTTAGGTTTAATTGGAAAATCACTCTTCTTTCTAAAACCCAAAATAAAATATACAACTTTTCCACCACCATTGCATGATTTAAAAAATAATGCAGAACAAACCAAGGAAAAGACACCTAGAGAGTGGGGTCATAGCACCATAAGAATCGAGCAGGAGTCATTCTCCAGGAGGTTGCAGTTATGAGCAGATGTTTTGCAGGACATATTCAGAAAACGTATGTCCAATTTTACAGTATAACAAAGACTCACTACTTAAACAGAATGTGGTGCTATGGCACAATTATCTGGAAAAAGTTAAGATTGTTAATACAAGCAAGAACATTTTAGAATAAAATAACATGATAAAAGAGGAAGCTCTACAATAATGTTCCAGGAAAAGAACTAAGATTAATTGTTACTTTTATTTTGACTATATTTCCCATAGTATGATTGTACACCATGGTCAGGAGACACTTGGGCTTTATTATGAATTGATCTTATGCAACAGTTAAAATAAAGTAAGCACATTTGTTGCAAATGACTAAATTTAGGACTAAGGTGTTTGTTTTAAAAAATAACTTAGGCATGCAGCCATCTTGAAGCAGGACCCACAGCTAGAGAGGGTCGAGTCTTGCAGCCAGTAGCCTCTGACTGCCTGTATACCTGAGTCCCTGCCATTATGGTACCTGCAGCACCAATAATCCAGCTATCTAGATCCTAGGCCTAAAGAGATGACCACATCACCTGAACCCAATGGGCATCCTATCCTTCAGAGAAACAGGCAGATCTGCATAGGAGACTGTACCATTGTCATTACAAATTCCCACAGCCTAGACCAGTAAGACAATCACAGTCATTGCAGATACAAATTATAGCTGAAGAATCTATAGAAAGTCCACACTACTGAGTCCACCCAGAACCAAAGCCAACACACCATTCTTACCCAAAATCTTGGGACACACCTACACAAAAAGTATTTTTCTATGAAAACGACTCCAAAAAATTAGATAAAATGACTGTTTGAGTAGATGTGCAAATATCAATGTAGAAAGACAAAAAAAACATTAAAAATCAAGAAAATGTGACAATCCCAAAAGAAGACAGTAAGTCTTCAGTAACAGAAAAGGCTATTTATGAAATGTCTGGAAAGGAGTTCAAAACAATGATGTTAAGAAAAATCAGTAAGATACAAGGGAATAAAGAAAAACAGTTCTATAAATTGGGAAAACAATTCATAATCTGAATGAGATTTCAACCAAGAAATAGATATCATAAAAAATAACCAAATAGAATTCTTGAAGCTAAAGAATTCAAGAACAAAAAAAAATACAATTTAACACATCAACAGCAGACTAAACAGAAGAAAGAATTTCTGAACTTGAAGACAGTATTTTGAAATATTCTCTTCAGAGGGAAAAAAATAAGAAGAAGAAAGAATAAAGATTACAGGACTTATGGGACGTCAAATTATGTAGAAAACAGTTTGCATTATAGGTGTACAAGAGAAAGAAGAAATGGAAAAGACACATAAAACCTATGTAGCAAAATAATAGTTGAAAAATTACCAAGCCTTGGGAGAGAAATGGACATTCAGATCCAGGAAGTTCAAATATTCCCAATGAGACACACCTCCCCGCAGAAAATCTCTCTGAAGCACATTGTAATCAAACCGTCAAAAGTCAAAGATAAAGAGACAAACTTTAAAGTTATAAGAGAATAATGTCACCACATAGGAATCATGATTAGACTGTCAGCATATTTCTCAGCAGAAACTTTATATGCCAGGAGAGAGTGGAATGATATATTCAAAGTGCTGTAAGAAAAAAAAAAATGTCAGCCAAGAATACTATATCCAGCAAAGCTCTCCTTCAGTAATGGAGAATTAAAGGCCTTCTCAGACAAGCAAAACTGAGGAAATTCGTCACTACTAGACTGGTCTTAAGAGAAATGCTTAAGAAAATGCTACAACTAGAAACAAAAAGCCATAATTACTATTATGAAAGTATACAGCTAACTATTGCAGGTAAATACATAATCATAATCAGAATATCCCAGTGCTAAAATCCTTTCAATCCTCTAGTATAAAAGTTTAAAGTCAAAAAGGAAAAAAAAGAACAACCCCAATTAGTGACTAAGCAACACACACAACATAAAGTAAATTAAGGCAACCCAAATCAGAAAGTAGTGGTAAGGGAGAAAAGTCCTGAGTATTTTTATGCAACCAAAGTTTATTATCAGCCTAAAATAATGTCTTAACAGCTACAAGATTTTTATATTAGCCACATAGTAACCATGAAGAAAGAAATTACAGCAGATACACAAATGAGGAACAGAGAGGAAACAAAGATTAGCACCACAGAAAACCACCAAACCTCAGAGTTAAACAAGAAAGGAAAAAAAGAGCAAATGATCTACAGAAGAGCACCCCAAAAAAACTAACAAAATGGTAGGAGTAAGTCATTACCTATCAATAAGAACCTTGAATATAAATGAACTAAATTTTCAATTAAAAGATATAGAATTGCTGAATGGATTAAAAAAATAAGACCCAACTCTATGTTGTCTACAAAAGACTCACCTCACCATTGAAGACAAACAGATTGAAAGTGAATGGACTGAAGAAGATATTTCATGAAAATGGAAATAAAAAATGAGGAGTAGCCATATTTATACTAGGTAAAACTTTAAGGCAAAAATTGTAAAAAAAAAAAAAAAAAAAAAAAAAAAAAAAAAAGACAAGGTTATTATATAATTCAGTAAGATAAAATATCAGTTGCAAATATATATATATACCAAACATCAGGCATCCTAATATATGAAGAAAATATTAAATCTAAAGTGAGAGATAGACTGCAATATAATAATAGCAGAGGACTTCAACAGTTCGCTTTCCACTATGGAAGATAGTCTAGACAGAAAATCAACAAAGAAACATTGCACTTAACCCATACCATAGACCTAATTGACCTAACATACATTTACAGAACATTCCATGTAACAGCTGCAGGATACCCTTTCTTCTTAAGTGCACATGAAATAGTCTCCAAGATATATCATATGTTAGACTAAAAAACAAATTTTAACAAATTTAAGAAGATATAGATCATATCAAGTATTTTTTTCAAACCATAATGGCATAAAACTAGAAACCAATAGCAAGAAATATTCACAATACTCAAAAAACAAAAAATGGAAATATCAAATAATCCAGAAATCCCACTACTGGATATATATCCAAAAAGAAGAAAATCGGTATGTTGAACAGATATCTGCATTCCCATGTTCATTACAGCACTATTCACAATGGCCAAGACACGGAATCAACTTAAGTGTGTATCAAAGGATGAATAAAGAAAATGTGGTATATATGTGAAATAGAACATTATTTATTCATAAATAGAATAAAATTCTTTCATTTTCAGCAACATGAATAAGTCTAGAGGACATTGCAAGTAAAATAAGCCAGGAAAAACAAGACAAATATTGTATGTTCTCACTAATATATTGGAGCTTAAAACGTTTATCTCATTAAGGCAGGTGGTAGAATGGTGACTGCAAGTCTGGGAAAGGTAGGAGGATGAAGGATAAACAGAGGTCAGTTAGGGGGTGCAAAAATACAAACAGATGAAAGAAATAAGTTCTAGTGTTCAATAGCAGAGTATGGTAACTGTAATAACAATAACATTGAATATTTCAAAATAGCGTAAAAAAGATTTGGAAGACTTTAAACATAAATAAATAAATAAATATTTAAGGTGGTGGAAATCCCAATTACCCGGATTTAATCACTGCACATTGTATGCACATATCAAAATATCATACATCCCCATAAATCATTATTATACATCAATAAAATAAAAATTTTTGAAACCTTACAAAAGTTTTCATGGAAATTATACAACATAATTCTGAATGAACAGTACATCAATAAATAAATTAAAAATAAGTTTAAAAAAGTTTTTGAGACAAGGATGAAAAGACATTATGCCAAAACCTATGGGACATAACAAAAGCAGTTTTAAAAGGGAAATTCATAGCAATATTGATGCAAAAAGAAGAAAGATTTCTAATAAACAACCTAACTTTGCAAATCAAGAAACTAAGAAGTCAAGAACAAATTAAATGCAAAATTGTTTGAAGAAAGAAAACAATACAGCACAAAAGGAAATACATAAAATAGGAACCAAAAAAGAAACTCAACAAAGAGTGGTCTTTTTGAAAAGATGAACACGATAGAACTTTAGATACAGTAACTTTAAATAAAAGGAAGAGAAGACCCAAATAAATAAAATCAGAGATGAAATAGAAAACATTAAAACTGGCATCACAGAAATACAAATGATCATAGCAGACTAATATAAACTATATACCAATAAATTTGAAAGCATAGAAGAAATGGATAAATTCCTAGAGACACACAACCTATTAAAATTGAATTATTTTAAAAAATTGAAAATCTGAACAAATGAGTATTATGTGAGGAAATTTAATAAATAACAAAAAGTCTTCCATCTCCCCTACAAAAAAAAAAATTAGGAATTGACAGCTTCACTGCTGAATTCTACCAAACGTTTAAAGAAGATCTAATACCAATTATTTCAATAATATTTCAATAATAATCCAATAATTCTTCTCAAATTATTTCAGAAAAAAATTGAAGAAGAAATACTTCCAAACTAATGTTACAAGGCAAGCAATATCCTGATTCCAAAAATAAATCAGAACACAACAACACAAGAAAAAGCTGCAGGCCAATATCCCTGATGAACAGATGCAAACATTCTCAACAATATACCAGCAAACTGAATTCAACCACTCATTAAAAAGATCATTTACCATGATCAAATGGAATTCATCTAGGAATGCAAAGATGGTTCAACATAAACACACAAAAAATGTGATACATCACATTAAAAAGAAGAAAGACAAAGACCATATGATCATTTCAATACGTATATAAAAAGCATTTGACAAAATTTAACACTGCTTTATCATTTAAAAATTCTCAATAAGGTATAGAAGGTATTATCTCAATAAAGTAATGACTGTATATGACAAACCCACAGATAATATCACACTGAATGGAAAAAGCTGAAGGTTTCTCTCTAAGATCATGAATAAGAAAATGATGTCCACTATTACCACTTCTATTCAATATAGTAGAGGAAGTCCTCGCCAGAGCAATTAGACAAGAGGAGAAATAGAAGAAATCCTAATTGGAAAAAAAGGAAGTCAAATTGTTCCTGTTTGCAGATAGCATGATCTTATAGAGATAATACCCTAAAGATTTCAACAAATATCTATCAGAACTAATAAACAAAGTCAGTAAAGTTGCAGAATATTAAATCAACATAAAAATATCAGAATCATTTCTGTACACTAGTAGCAAACAATCTGAAAAAAAAATCAAGAAAATAATTCCAATTTCAATAGGAAATCTATTTCTATTTGAAATAGATTTCAAAATAAATAAGTAAATAAGATACCTAGGAATAAACTTAAACAAGGAGGTGAAAGATCTTTACACTGAATACTATAAAATATTGATGAAAGAAATTGAAGACAGAGAAATGAAAAGATATCTTACATTCATGAATGGGAAGAATTAATATTGTTAGATGACCATGCTACCCAAAGCAATTTACAGATTTCATGGAATCCCTATTTGATTTGATATCAAAATATACATGAAATTCTTCACAGAAATAGAAAAAAATCCTAAAATGACAACAACAACAACAACAAAAAAGCTGGTGACATCACATTACTATACTACAAAGGTATAATAATCCAAACAGCATAGTACCAACATAAAATTGGACACATGGACCATGGAACAAAAGAGAGACCAGAAATAAAAATCACATACCTACAGTGAAATTATTTTTTACAAAGATTCCAAGAACATATACTGAAGGAAATACAGTCTCTTCAATAAATGATTCAAAAATTGGATATCCACATTCATAAGAATAAAACTAAACCTCTATTTCTGAACATATTTGAAAACTGACTTAAAGAGTTAAATGTAAAATCCCAAACTGACAATACTAAAAGAAATCATACCTTAAATGCCTTAAATGACAAGTGAGCAAAAGTTTTTAAAATAATACTTCAAACATTCAAGAAAAATAAGCAAAAGTGAACAAGTAAGTTTATCAGGTCATTCTTGCACTGCTATAAAAAAAAAAACTTGAGACTAGGCAATTTATAAGAAAAGAGATACAATTGGCTCATGGTTCTGCAGGCAGTACAGGAAGCTTAATGCCATCTGCTTCTGGGGAGTCCTCAGGAAGCTTCCAATTATGATGAGAGGCATAGGTGAGCAGTCACATCACATGGCAATAACAGGAGTAAGAGTGAAAAAGAGTCACGGAAGGAGATGCCACACACTTTTTAATGACCAGATCTCATGAGAACTTACTATCACAAATACAGCACCAAGCCATGAGGGATCTGTTCCCATGATCCAAACATCTCCCACCAGGCCCCACCTCCGGCACTGGGGATTACAATTTGACATGAGATTTGGGTGTGGACAAATATCCAAACTACATCATTCTGCCCCTGGCCCCTCCCAAATCTCATGACCTTCTTACATTGCAAAATACAATCATGCCTTTCCAAAAGTCCCCCAAAGTCTTCACTCACCCCTGCATTAACTTAAAAGTCCAAAGTTCAAAGTCTCGTCTGAGTTAAGTCCCTTCCAGCTATAAGCCTGTGAAATAAAACAAGTTATTTACTTAAAATATACATTGCGAGTAGGCATTGAGTAAATATTCCCATTCCAAAAGGAAGAAATCAGCCAAAAGAAAGGGGCTACAGGCCCCATGAAATTTCAAAACCCAGCAGGGAAATTATTCATTCTTAAAGCTCCAAAATAATCTCATTTTGTTCAATGTCCCATATCCAGGGCATACTGATGCAAAGGGTGGGTTCCCAAGGATTTGGGCAGCTCCATTCCTGGGGCTTTTCAGGGTTCAGCCCCTAGGCCTGCTCCAGTGGGTTGAAGTTGAATGCTGGTTGCTTTTCCAGGTTGAGGGTGCAAGCCACCGGTGGATCTACCATTCTGGGGTCTGAAGGATAGTGGCTTTCTTCTCACAACTCCACTAGGCAGTGCCCCAGTGAGGACTCTGTATGTGAGCTCAAACCCAAAGTTTCCCTTGGCAATGCCTTAGTAGAGGTTCTCTGTGGGGGCTCCAATCTTGCAATAGCCTTCTGCCTGGTCACCCAGGCTTTTCCATACATCCTCTGAAATCTAGGCAGAGGCTCCCAAGCCTCAACTCTTGCACATTGTGCACTCACAGGCTTAACACCATGTGGAAGCTGCCAAGGCTTATAGCTTGCACCTTCTGGAACTGTGTCCAGAGCTGTACCTGGGCCCCTTTGAGATGAGGCTGGAGACTGAGTAGCTAAGATGTGGTGAGCTGTGTCTTGATGCTGTAAAGGGAAGCAGGGTCCTGAGCCAGGCGCATGAAGCCATTCTTCTCTTCTAGGCCTCTGGACCTGTGATGGGAGGGGCTGCTGCGAAGACCTCTAAAATATCTTCAAGGTCTTCTCCCACTGTCTTGGATATTAGCACTTGGCTCCCATTTAGTTGGGCAAATTCTCTAGCAAGAAATTGCTCCACAGCCTGCTTGAATTAAAAGCTTTTTCTTTCTCTGCCCCACGGACAGGCTGTAAATTTTCCAAATATTTTTGCTCTGCTTCTTTTTAAAATATAACTTCCAAATGTAAGTCATTCCTTTGCTCATGTGTCTGTGTACAGGCTGTTAGGAGCAGCCAGGACACATCATAAACAATTTGTTGCTTAGAAATTTCTTCTGCCACATACTCTGTCACTATGAAGTTCACACTTCCACAGATCCCTAGGGCATGAACAGAATGCAGCCAAACTATTTGCTAAAACATAACATGCATGACCTGAGCTTCAGTTCCCAATAAGTTCCTCATTTCCATCTGAGACCTCGGCAACCTGGAATTCACTGTTCACATCACTATCAGCATTTTGGTCATAACCATTTAACCAGTCTCTAAGAAGTTTTAAACGTTCCCTGATCTTTGTGTCTTCTTTTGAGCCCTCCAAACTCTTACAACTTCTGCCTGTTACCCAGTTCCAAACCTGCTTCCACATTTTCAAGCATCTTTGTAGTGATTCCCCACTGTTAGTATCAATTTTATGCTAGGCTATTCTTGCACTGCTACAAAAAGTACCTGAGACTGGGTAATTTATAAGAAAAGAGGTTTAATTGGCTCATGGTTCTCCAGGCTGTACAGTAAGCATAGCAACCTCTACTTCTCAGAGGCCTCAAGAAGCATCCAATTATGGTGGTAGACAAAGGGGCTCTGCTTGCTATGGCTGTTGGCAGGGGTGAGGGGATGGGCTTCATCCTATTGTAGCAGTGGCAAGGCAGGGTGCACAAACAGTCACATGCTGGCAGAGCAAGGAAAGCAAAAGTCACCCACGCAGACATGTGCGAGCAAAGTGATGTGGAGTTGCCATGGGCCCAGAAGAAGCTGCAGTGGGGTGAAGAAGTGTGTGGGCTGGTGCATAGCCATGGGGGACACCCTGCTGAAGTTCTTCACTGTTCAGGCACAGTCCATCAGTGCAGAAGCTATGATGCAGGCCCCCAGGGCTTCTGAGGCTGCCTTGAAGGCAAGCATGGTCAGACTTTGTTCCTAGGACAGGCCAGAAGACCAAGGGGTGCTCAGGTCAGACCAAGTTATCTGATGGGTCATACCACCCTGCAGAGTTCAGGACCAACAGTTCTCCTAGGGCTTAAGTCTCCTATGTGAGCAAGTTGAGCAGAGTAGGGTAGAAGTGGGAGTGATTTTTAATGGATACAGAGTTTCAGTTTTACAAGATGAGTTATCACATGGATGGTAGTAATTATTGTACAACACTGTGGGTGTATTTAGTACCACTAAACTGTAGACTTAAAATGATTAAGATGGTAAATTTTATGCTATGTGTACTTTACTACAAAAAAAATTGGAAAAAAATTGTCTTCAAAATGTTGCATCCTTCTGCCTTAAAAGGATTCTGATGAGAATCTCCTGCCTGGCCATGAATACATAACAGTTGTCAGATGATCACTTTACCTATAGTTCACTAAAGGCCTAATTAATGTGAAAAATTGTATATCTAGCTTTATTCTTATCACACACACACATTACTTTCAAACTTACATTCTATCTTTAGGATATGTAGAATTTCTCTCAATTCTTTGAACATGACTTACTTCTTCTCATTCAGATCCCAGAGAGCAGAACACCAGCAAACAGCCTCTGTGGTGTTCAGTTGATAAAAGTGACTTAAGCTCCAGCATGTGAGAGAGGAAGACAGCCTCCCTCTGGAACTCACCTTTCCACTGTGGATCTGAGCAACCCAGGCTGAGGGAAAGCACTTTGTGTCTCCCACACCCTGGAGCTAACTTGGGAAGAGGCTGAGAGGCTTAGAGATGCTGTAAAGAAAGATACCATGAAAACTTGCATACACTTTCAGTCCAGGGTCTCAGTCCAGACCCAGAAGTGAGAGCAGGATGCCATTTTTAATCTGAATGTGTACAAAGTCAGCCATTCTTTGTCGACACAGCAGTGTGGCTACACAGGCATTTTAGTCTCAGGCCAGGGAGCACCCGCTCTCAGTGTGGTAAGGGCCTCCACAGCCAGAACTCTGGAAAATGCCTCAGCAGTAAGGCAAAAATTGTGTTTTTCCCCTATCACAACCCTGGGGCAGGAGGAGACCTGCTACAGCTGTAATTTCTCCTAAGTGGCAAGATTTGCTGCCAGGGCCAGCTTGACAACCTGGAACTGATTGATATGTGCCATTGCTGGATTCCCTACCCTGCTCTCCTGAGATTGTAGCTCATTGGGGGGCCCTCTCTGTTCCACCCCTAGGCTGAAATCCAGGCATTTGGAGCATTCACTTCCCTGGACCAGCAGCTTGAGCTGCCCCACCCTTCCTGGAAATAGATCATGTTGCAGAGAGGCTCTGTCTTCTCCACACCCAAGCAGATATTTAAGAATTCAGAGCACCTGTTTGACTTGTTCAGCAGACTGAGCCACCCTACCCTTCCTGGACATAGACTGCAATGAAGTGGAGTTTTCTCTTCTCCATGCCCAGGCAGGTATCTGTCTCCAGGCATTTAAAGCACTCATTTACTTGGTTCAGCAGCCTGAACTGCCTCACCCTTCCTGGACCTAGATCTTGGTACAGTAGGGCTTTCTCTGTGCCCCACCCTCACAGATCTCCAGGTGTTCAGAGCACCAGCTCACCTGGATTAGCAGGCTAAGCTGTCCCACTTTTCCTGTGCAGATATCCTGGCACACCTCTCTACTACATGCTCAGGCAGATCTCTAGGCATTAGGAGCACCTGCACAAGCAGATATCCAGGCATTCAGGGCACCATTCATCTGGATCAGCAACCTGACCTGCCCCACCCTTCCTGTGCAGAGATCCTGGTACAGGGATAATCTCTCTGCTTCATACCCAGGCAGAATGCCAGGCATTTGGAGCAACCACTCATCTGGTTCAACAGCCTGAGCCACCCCACCCTCCTTGGACATAGATCATGGTGCAGCAAGTCCCTCTCTGCTTCAGGCCCAAACAGATCTCCAGAAATTCAAAGCACATGCATGCCTGGTTAATCAGTCTGTCACCCAACCCTCCTGTTCAGAGATCTTGGTTCAGGGGATCCTCTCTGCTCCATGCCTATACAGAGCTCCAGGCACTTAGAGTGCTTACCCTTCTGGATTAGAAGCTTAGGCCATCCTCCAATTTTGTGCAGAGAACCTGGAGCTGAAGCACTGTTCCAGCTCCATCCCTAGGCACACCTGTGAGTATTTGGTGGCTGCTCACAGGACTCTCCCTTGGTGCTGGTGCCTTCGCCTGCCATCAGGAGACCAATAGGTGGACCTGCCCAGTCATCCCCTGACCCTTTATGGTCTTTGCTGCTCTGGGGCTGGTCAGGGAGCTCAGACCACTGTACACGCCATGAATCAGCCTATTGTCTTAGGCAATAGGGAGTTTCTGCCAGTAAATAAGAATCAAGTATATACCCAGACACGTTGGCCACAGCCAGCTCTTACCTGTAAATGCCATCAATAGCTTGTAGGTTGAACTCCACAGCCCAATATAAAATCAGCCAAAGTAAATGAATAAGGCTATGAAAGCAAAGCCAGAAGACCCTATCCAACATTCTCTACAGTCACATCCCCCCAAAATGGAGGGAAAAGGGAAAAGGAAAGAATAAAAATTATAATAATATTAACATTATAGAGAAAGCAAGAAGAAGAAAAAACTCTACCCACACAAAAATATTACAAAAATTTAAAGAGCTAGTGTCTCCATATGAGAAGGAACCAGCATAAGAATTCTGCCAGCATGAAAAATATGAAAGGAGTGACACCACAAAAAGACCACATCAGCTCTCCAGCAATGGTCCCTAACCAAAATGGAAATTCAGAAATGACACATAAAGAAGTCAAAGCATGGATTGCAAGGAAGGTTAATGAGATCCAAGACAACGTTGAAAATCAACACAAAGAAATTTATAAAGCAATCTAGAAAATGAAGGAAGAGATAAAGAAGTCAATTAGAGATTCTGGAATTGAAAAACTCACCTAAGAAACTTCAAAATACAACTGAAAGCGGTATCAACAGACTGTATCAAGCAGAAGAAAAAAAATTTAGAGCTTGAAGACTGTTTTTCTGAGCTGACACAGTGAGACAAGAATTAAAAAAAGAAGAATTTTTAAAAAATGAACAAAGTACTTGAGAAATATGTAATCATTCAAAGCAAACAAACATACAAATTATTTGGCATTCAATAATAGGAAATATATTTGAGGGAATAATTCAAGAAACTTTCTTAACCTTGCTAGACAGGTAAAAATCCAGATACAAGAAACTGATAGAACATCTGTAAGATACTATGCAAAATCAACATCACCAAGGCATACAGCCACCAGTCTGTCCAAGATCAACACTGAAGAAAAAATCTTAAAGGCAGCTAGAGAAAAAGGGAAGATCATGCACAAAGGGAACCCTGTTGGGCTAACAGCAGACTTCTCAGCAGAAACATTACAAGCCAGGAAACATTGGGGGCCTGTTTTCAGCATTCTTAAAGAAAAAATAATTCCATCTAAGAATTTCACATTCTGCCTAACTAAGCTTCGTAAGAGAAGGAGAAATAAGATATTTTCCAGACAAGCAAGGACTAAGGGAATTCATTAGCACTACACCAGCAATACAAGAGATTTTTAAGAGAAGTCTAAATATGGAAATGAAATAACAATATCTGCTACCACAAAAATACACATAAATACATATTCTGCAAACCCTATAAAATGATCACACAATATGTGACCCTATAAAGCAACCAGGTAACAACTTCATAATAAGATCAAAACCTCACATACCAATATTAACCTTGAATGTAAATGGCCTAAACACCTGACTTAAAAGACACAGAGTAGCAAGTTGAATTAAAAAAAAAAATCCATTAATCTGCTGTATTCAAGAGACCCATCTCACACATAACACCCTACGCTCAAAGTAAACGGTTGGAGAAAGATTGGCTGCACAAATAGAAAACAAAAAATAGCAGAGGTTGCTATTCTTATAGTAAAAAACAGACTTTCAACCAACAACTGTAAAGAAGAACAAAGAAGGGCATTCCATAAAGATAAAAGGATTTAATTCAATGAGAACACATAACTATACTAAATATATAGGCATCCAATATTTGAGCATCCATATTTATAAACTTAATAGACATCTACAGTATACTACACCTATCAACCCCAGAATATATTCATTAGCACACAGAATATACTCTAAGACTGACTACACGCTCTACCATAAGGCAAATCTCAATAAATTCAAAAAAATTAAAATTATACTATCAGACCACAGTGGAATGAAAATAGAAATTAATACTAGGATGTCTCAAAAACCACATAATTTCTTGGAAATTAAACAACTTGTTCCTGAATAACTTTTGGGTAGACAATGAAATCAAGAAAGAAATTTAAAAATTCTTTGTAATAGAGAAAAACAGGGACACAACATACAAAAATTTCTGGGATACAGCAAAAGCAGTGTTAAGAGGAAAGTTCATAACACTAAATGTCAACCTCAAGAAGTTAGAAAGATCACAAATTAATGATGTAACACTGCACCCAGAGTAACGAGGAAAACAAGAACTAACCCCAAAGACAGCAGAAGAAAATAAATAACTAAAATCAGAGCTGAACTGAATAAAAGAGAGACCCAAAAACTCCATATAAAAAAATCAATAAAACCAAAAGTTGATGATTTGAAAGGATAAACAAGATTGATTGACAGCTAGCTAGATTAACAAAGAAAGACACTATTTAATTTTTTTTCTTAGGGATACACCAGGCAGAATGGAGCAACTGAGATATCCTGGCAAATTTGATGAGGTCCCCAAGGTTTCTGATTTGGAAAACCTCCTCTAGCAATTACCTGAGGCTTAACATCTGGTAATTCTGTGCTACTGTAAGATAGTTCTTAGTTTACTGGGTCTGAAAAGCAGGATTTTTTTTTAGCCTCTGGTATTTCTTAACAGTTGATGGCTGTGTTATGATTACCTGATGATGTACTTTTAACCAACTGTATGTCATCCCAGGGGTTTGTCTGTCTTAAAGAACATTCAAAGAAAAGGAATGGCTAATCATATATAGGAGATCTTGTTAGCTGAGATTTAAGGGAGACTTAGAGAAAAGCTAACAGGAAAAGGATGTGCATTGTGGAGGAAGGGGTGGCGGCTGTAACAATACAAAAAACCATTATAAATAATAAAACTAGAAAAAAGATTTATGAAAACAGGTAAATGGCCATTTTAGCTAGTGGTCAAATCCTTGGGATTTGGAGCGACAAGGATAATTATGTGGATCTGCAAGCACTCTTAGTCAGAAACAGCAAAGGGTGTTTGTCTAACAGGCTGCAGGGGCAGAGAAGTGGTAGTGATAGCCACGGAAACACCATCACTGGGACAATTGGGTGCGACGAGGGGCAGCTGGATGGCCTGTGCACGCAGTGGAAGTGGGCAGGAATTTTAACATAACTGGTCACATCCATGGCTCTCTGCAGCTAGTTGTAAATTGAATTTTGTTTCTTTGGTATGTTTTTCACTGGGAAATTCAAAAAAAGATTAGCAAAGGAATTCACAACACTGACATGTTTTGGATGCTATGTAAAATGGATAAAAGAGTCATCAAGATTCAGGCATTTAAACCAATTCACCTGCTTTACTCCTTGGGATCTTTTATTATTATTATACTTTAAGTTCTGGGGTACATGTGCAGAATGTGCAGTATTGTTACATAGGTATACACGTGGCAGAGTTTAGTTTTGGAACTAAAATATTTGTATATTCACAATGCTTTCCCTGTGTCTAATAGCCTTAAGAGGTAAGTTTTTTTTCAAACATTATTATTGTGGATGTTCAACAAGGGTAAATATGTTTTTTTAATCAGATTTTCTTTTAAAAAGTACAACATGAAGTCTATGGATTATCAGAGTACTTTTTAAAATTAAAGTTTTTCTTCTTTTTCTATATTTTAAGTATAAAAAAGCAAGTGATTTTTAATTTGTGCCTTCAGCTACTCCTGATGCATTAATTTAAACTGTATTAAAAATCCATTCCTACTTTCCAGGTAATATAAATTGTCATGCTCCTAATAAACAATTTTATATCACAAAAAAAGAAAGAAGATCCAAATAAGCATAATCAAAAACAACAAAAGTGATATTACTACCAATCTCACAGAAATACAAAAGATCCTCAGTGATTGATATGGCTTATATATCTGTCCCAATACAAAACTCGTGTTGAATTATGATCTTCAAGTTTGAAGGTGGGCCTGGTGGGAGGTGATTTGATCATGGGGTCAAAGTTCTAATGAATACTTTGGTATCATTTCCTGGTGCTGTTCTCATGATAGTGAGTGAGTTATTGTAAGATCTGGTTATTTAAAAGTGTGTGGCACCTCCCCCATCTCTCTCTTTCTCCTGCTCCAGCCATTTGAAGTGCTGGCTCCCCCTTCACCTTCCACCATGAGTAAAGGTTTCCAGAGGTCTCCCCAGAAGCTGAGAAGATGCCCGCATCATGCTTCCTGTAAAGCCTGAAGAACTATGAACCAATTAAACCTCTTTTCTTTATAAATTACCCACTTTCAGGCATTTATTTATAGCAAGGCAAGAATGGACTAATACAGAAAATTAGTACCAAGTAGTGGGGCATTGCCATAAAGATACCTGAAAATGTGGATGCACCTTTGGAATTGAGTAACTGGCAAAGGTTGGAAGACTGTGGAGGGCTCAGAAGAAGACAGGAAGATGAGAGAAAGTTTGAAACTTACTAGAGACTTATTAAATTGTTGTGACCAAAATGCTGATGGTGATATGGACAATGAAGTCCAGGCTGAGGATCTCTCAGAGGGAGATGAGGCACTTATTGGGAACTGGAGCAAAGGTCACTTTTGTTATGTAGTAGCAAAGAGATTGGCTGTATTGTGCCCCTGATCTAGGGATATGTGGAACTTTGACAGATGATGATTCATGGAATATGGCAGAATAAATTTCTAAGGAGAAAAGCTTTCAAAATGTGACCTGGCTGCTTCTAACAGCCTATGCTTATATGCATGAGTAAAGAAGTGTCATAAAACTGGAACTTATATTTAAAAGGGAAGCAGAGCATAAAATTTGGAAAATTTGTAGCCCAGCCATGTGATAGAAAAGAAGAGCCCATTTTCAGGGGAGAAATTCAAGCAGGCTGAAGAAAGTTGCATAAGTAAAAATGAGCCAAGTACTAATAGTCAAGACAATGAAGAAAGGGCCCAGAAGGCATTTCAGAGACTTTAACAGTAGCCCCTCCTACTACAGTTGCAGAGGCCCCAAAGGGAAAAATGGTTTTGTGGGCCAAGCCCAGAGCCATGCTGCCCTGCACAGCCTTCGGACACTGAGCCCTGCATCCCAGCCACTTCAGCTCCAGCGATGGCTCAAAGGGGCCCACGTACAGCTCAGATCGCTGCTCCAGAGGGTGCAAGACATAAGCCTTGGTGGTTTCCATGTGGTGTTAAACCTGCAGGTACACAGAATGCAAGAGTTGAGGCTTAGAAGCCACTGCCTAGATTTCAGAGGATGTATGGAAAAGCCTGGAGTTCCAGACAGAAGCCTGCTGCAGGGTTGGATCCCTCATAGAGAGCCTCTACTGGGGCAATGAGGAGAAGAAATCTGTGTTGAAGCCCTCGCAGAGAATCTCCACTGGGGCACTGCCTAGTGGAGCTATGAGAAGAGAGCCATTGTCCTCCAGACTCACAAATGGTAGATCCACTGGCAGCTTGTATCCCCAATCTGGAAGAGCCACAGGCACTCAACACCAGCCCATGAGAGCAGCTGTGAGGACTGAACCCTGCAAAGCCACAGTGATGGACCTGAGTAGGCTTTGAGAGCCTACCCCTTGCACCAATATGTCCTGGATGTGAGACATGGATTCAAAGAAGATTATTTTGAAGGTTTAAAATTTAATGAATGCCCTGCTGGGTTTTAGACTTGCACGGTGCCTAGAGACCCTTTCTTTTGGCCAATTTCTCCCTTTTGGAACAGGATTATTTACCCAATGCATGTAGCCCCATTGTATCTTGGAGAAATACCTTGTTCTTTGATTTTACAGTCTTATAGGTAGAAGGGACTTGCCTTGTCTCAGATTAGACTTGGAACTTTGGACTTTTGGGTTAATGCTGGAATGACTTAAGACTTTGGAGGACTGTTAGAAAGGCATGATTGTATTTTGCAACGTGAGAAGAACATTAGATTTGGGAGGTGCCAGGGGCAGAATGATACAGTTTGGATCTGTGTCCCCATTCAAATCTTATGTCGAATTATAATCCCTAGTGTTGGAGGTGGAGCCTGCTGGGAGGTGATTGGATCATGGGGGTGGAGTTCCCATGAAATATTAGCCCTATCTCCTGGTCCTGTTCTCATGAAAGGGATTGAGTGAGTTTACATGAGATCTGGTTATTTAAAACTTTGTGGCACCTTCCCCTCTTTCTCTTTCTCCTGTTCTGGCCATGTGAAGTGCTGGATCTCCGTGTGCCTTCCACTATGAGTAAAGGTTTCCTGAGGTTTCCCCAGAAACCAAGCAGATGCCAGCATCATGCTTCCTTTTCAGCCTGTGGAACCATGAGCCAATTAAACCTCCTTTTTTAAATAAATTACATAGTTTTAGGTATTTATAGCAATGTGAGAATGAACTAATACAGGGACTATGAGGATACATACTAGAAAATTTACAGGAAATGGATAAACTCCTGGAAGCACAAAACCTTCCAAGATTTAATCGGGAAACAGTTGAAACACTGAATAGACTAATATCAAGTTTTGATATTGAATTAGTAATAAAACCTACCAACCACAGAAAGCCCCAAAGCAGATGACTTTATAGCCAAATTCTACCAGATGTACAAAGAAAAGCTAGTACCAATTCTACTGGAACTATCCCAAAAAATTAAAGAGAAAGGACTTCTCCGTAAGTCATGCTATGAAACCAGTATCACTCTGATACCAAAACCTGGCAAGGACACAGCTAAAAAAGAAAACTACAGGCCAATACCCCTGAGAAAAATAGACACAAGAATCCTCAACAAAATCATAGCAAACCAAATTCAACAATATATCAGAAAGTTAATCCACGATGATCAAGTAGGCTTCATTCCCAGAATGCAAGGTTGTTTCAACATGTGCATATCAATAAATGAGATTCACCAAATTAACAGAAGTTAACATACACACACACAAAGATCATCTCAATGAACTTGGAAAAAGCTTACATAAAATTCAACATACATTCATTATAATAACTCTCAAGAAGTTAGGCACTGAAGGAACCTACCTCAAAAATAATGAGAGCCATCTATGACAAACCAACAGCCAACATCACACTGAATGAGCAAAAGCTGGAAGCATCCTCCTTGAGAACTGGAACAAGACAAGAATGCCCAGTGTCACCATTCCTATTCAACATAGTACTGAAAATGCTAGCCAGTGCAATCATGCAAGAGAAATAAATAAAAGGCATTCAAATAGGAAAAGAAAAAAGTCAAACTATCTCCCTTTGTTGATGATGTGATTCTATTCTCAGAAAACCCTAATACTCTGCCAAAAGGCTGTTAAAACTGATAAGCAATTTTAAGGTTCCAGGAAACAAACTCAGTGTGTACAAAAATCAGTAGCATTCTATACACCAATAATCTTCAAGCTGAGAGCCAAATCAAGAATATAATCCCATTTACAATAGTCAAAAAATGATAAAATACTTAGGAATACATCTAACTAAGGAGAGCCATAAAACACTGCTAAAAGAAATAATAGATGACACAAACAAATGGAAAAACATTTCATGCTCATGGATTGGAGGAACCAATATCATAAAAATGGTCATATTGCCCAAAGCAATCTACAAATTTAATGCTTTTCCTATTAAACTACCAACATCATTTTTTCACAGAATTGGGGGAAAAAATGCCAGAATTCATATGGAACCAAAAAAGAGCCTGAATAGTCAAAGCAATCCTAAGCAAAAAGAACAAAGCCAGAGGCATTACATTACCCAACTTAACTATACTATTGGGTTACAATAAACAAAGTAGCAAGGTACTAGTACAAAAACAGACATGTAGACCAATGGAACAGAATAGAGGACCTGGAAATAAAGCCACATACCTACAACCATCTAATCGCTGACAAAGTTGACAAAAATAAGCAATAAAGAAAAGACTCTCTATTCAATAGATGGTGCTGAGATAGCTGGTGAGCCATGTGAAGAAGAATGAAACTGGATCCCTACCTTCTGCATATGCAAAAATTAACTCAAGATGGATTAAAGATTTAAATGTAAGATATCAAACTGTAATCATCCTAGAAGAAAACCTAGAAAACACCATTCTGGACATCTACTTTGGAAAGTAATTTATGACTAAATCCTCAAAAACAAATGCAAAAAAAATCGACAGTTGGGACCTAATTAAATGAAAGATCTTCTGCACTGCAAAAGAAACTATCAACAGAGTAAGCAGACAACCTACAGAATGGTAGAAAATATTTGCTGTGCATCCAAAAAAAGGTCTGATAGCCACAATCTATAAAAAATCTAAGCAATTCAACAAGCAAAAAGCAAATAACTCCATTAAAAATGGGCAAAGGATATGAACAGACACTTCCCAAAAGAAGACATACAAGTGGCCAAACAAGCATGAAAAAGTGCTCCACATCAGTAATCATCAGAGAAATGAAAAATCAAAACCACAATGAGATACCATCACACACCACTCAGAATGACTATTATTAGAAAGTCAGAAAACAACAGAGGCTGGAGAAAAGGGAATGCTTATACACTGTTGGTGGCAATATAAATTAGCTCAGCCACTATGGAAAACAGTTTGGAGATTACTCAAAGAACTTAGAATTACCATTCAATCCAGCAATCCCATTGCTGTGTATATACTCAAAAGAAAACAAGTTATTTTGCCAAAAGACCTACGCACTTGCATGTTCATCACAGCACTATTCACAGTAAAAAAAAAAAAAAAAAAAAAAAGACATGGAATTAACCTAGGTGTCCATCAATGGCAGATTGGATAAAGCAAATGTGGTACATACACATCATGGTATACTATGCAACCATAAAAAAAAATTAAATCATGTCCTTTGCAGCAACATGAATACAGCTGGGGCCATTATCCTAAGCAAATTAACACAGTAACAAAAACCCAAATACCACATATTCTCACTTATAAGTGGGAACTAAACATTGGGTACTCAGACATAAAGATGGCAACAACAGACATTGGAGACTACTAGAGGGGGAACAGAGGGAGAGGGGTAAATATTGTTCAATACCTGGGTAATGGGATAATTTGTACCCCAAATGTCACACCACATACCCAGGTGACAAACCTGCACATGTAGCCCTTGAATCTAAAATAGAAGTTGAAAATAAGTAAGTAAATATGAAGAAATGAAGGCATTAAAAAGAAAAAAGACTTCGACCTTAATGTTATTTTTCTCCATGAAAATTCCATAATTCCCTATTTGGAGGTGGCTAACTCTGTCTACTCTCATGAATTCCTCTCTCACAGTACCCAGTACGCTCTTTGCGAGTCCCTCTATAACTCTGAGGTCTACAAGGAGAGGAGCCATATCTAACTTGTCCAATATCATTACTACAAAATTAGCCCAGTGCCTATAAAACAACATGCACTCAGTTAATATATGAGATCAACAAATGGATAACTAATTGACTAATGTTAAGGATATAGATGGAAGGCAAAATAGAATTTTGATCAAATAACACAATATGATCTGGAAATTCTTGCCTTGGCAAAACAGAGCTCAAGTTTTATCTATTTCTTTAAAAATTTTACATTCTATTGATGAGGGCGTTGGGGAAAGGCTAATGCGTGACATTCTCCGTTGCCACCTAGGCATAGCACCATAAGCATTAACCATAACAGCTGACATGATGAAAGGCTTTCCAATCAGTGCTCCAAGTGCATTATGAGTGTTCACTTACCTGGTCCTCACAACAACCTCTTAACATAGATACTAATATATCCATTTTACAGATGAGGAAAACGAGGCATAGATTGGTTAGTAAGCTTGCAAAAAGGTGCACAGCAGAAAGTCAGTATTTGAATTCAAGAGATCTTAGCTAGTAATAAGACCCATTTCAATTGATATAAAGAGAACAGTTTTAGCATCAGGGAAATGAGAAATATGGGGAAATTATATCATGGTTTTGGTCCAAAATTGTGCACCTTCCTCCATCATGTTTAGACTAAAAAACACATCTACCTGATCCACTGTTAGTAAAGGACTATGGGCAGGAAAATCTCCTTCAAAATGGAAGAAACTCCAATTTCAAAGTACAATTTCCAACTACAATTTCACTTTTATTTACTACTAAGTAAAGAAAATCAAAGAGGTATTAAATTTTGAATGCTCTTTTTTTGTTCCAGAGGTAAAATATTGATGCTAGCTAATATAGTAATTTAATATAAATGACTGCCTTGAAAAAATTTTAAGAATAAGAGAAAATATGTATCAGATATGGCTCATGGATATCAAGCTCTGCACAGTATTATAGAGAAAAGGTCATAAAAATTTGAGAATACCAGGTGAAAGTTAAAAAAGAAACATAACTGCAGGCCTTCTCATAGCCTTTACTATGCTATTCATTGTGAACCCCCATATATAATATGCGATGTTACCTAAGCTATTTAATCATAAAATAATTTCCTTAGGGAGTTTTTTTAGGATTTGTATGCTACTGAATTTATTGGGGAAATTATTGGTCTAGCAAATGATAATACTCTTATTTTAAAATACCTACAGTTTAGCCATTGGAAAATCATCATCTGGTTTTTACCAACTAAATATAGTACCATATGAAAATGGTACAGAACCATCTATTAATTGCTATGAACACTGATGTTTGGAAAAGTTATTAAAACTGATTTATTCTGACATCCCACCCAGGGTGAAGGATAAAATGAAGATTAAGATTTAGTTTAACTTTCCCAGTTAAGGTTTGGTTCAACTTAACTATTACATGGTACTAGAGTAAAATACCCCTCTGGAAAGAAATCAACACTACTTTACAGAAATAGAGCTACCTCACTAAGCTAATTATAAAGGGAAAAACCTAAGGTAACACTGTAATAAAACATGAATTTCTATTATTGTTTTCCTTTAATTGAACTAAATACAATTAACAGTAACTCGGCATCCTGTAAGAAATTATGTCAGGAAATTAACAATGAACTTGAGCCTATGTAGAGGACACATTTCAGGTCTCCAGTAGTCTGTAATTAATGAACATCTAGTAATAGTCCATAATTAGCCAAAATCTATAGAATTCAAAAACACATGCTGGACAAAAGCATAAAGAACCAGTCAATGACACAGATCAGAATAATTCAGGGGCCAAAATTATGAAAAATTCAAATGAAAATGTGTCTTTCAAGTTGGTGCCTGTTCCTTCCATTTAATGGATGAAGAAAATGAGACCCCAAGAAGACAGGTGACCTACCAAAGTCATAAGGAAAGTCAAAAGCAGAGTCAAAACTATTATGGTTATGATTCTGCTTTTGACTTTCATGTGAACTTGGTAAGTGTAAAATTGGTTATGTTGAACCAATTGCAGTTGCTGATATTCACTGTTTTAATGTACAAAAATTATTTTTAAAACAAAAAAAGAAAAAGGAAAGAGAAGAAAAAGAAAACTTCCTCACTGCTAGTCCAGGACCTTTTTTCACAGAATGCCAGACCTTCGGCGTCTGCAACCACATTGCACTTAAAAGAAAGGAGGGTGAGGGTGGGAGGGTGAAGAAAGATTTGGGGTTTTGAGTCTCAACTACCAAATAGAGATTTCACTTAAATATTTAAAATTGTTTCTAAGTGTTGGGAAACTGAAAGAAATAAAGTATAAAACTTTTCCACTTCAAAAATAATAAGGTAACCAGTAGAGCAAATAATTCACTGGAGAATGAATGTAATTAAATAATTGATGCGAATAATGCACCAGTTTGCAATCTTTAAAAAAAAAAAAAAAAAAAACAACTTCAAATTATTTTGAGTACGATCAGAGGGTTGGTAACAGTAGTTCCTGCTTCTTTGGAGTTTCCCTGCAAGGCTTCTTGGCTCCACCTAGTGTCAAACAATCAAAAAACACACCATTAAATGGCAGAAATCAGCATAATTGTACTGCTGGTTTCTTCTTTTCCTTAGAAAAGCAAGCTACCACCTGTAGAATTATTAGCCTCTTCTGCCTAACTAGAAGCTGTGAACGCATTTAAATTTATTGTAAACTTCAAAGTTTATGGCAACCTTCTATAGTTGGACCTGTCTATACAATCGTATTCTGAAAAAATGAATTCAAAAATGAATAAATTGTATATTCAACCCAATATATAATTTTTTTATTTCATTCCATAGACCTTACTGAGCACCTCCTTTGTACCAGGCAATGTACAATGGACTAAGGACAGGAAATAAAACATAACATTATTGTGGGGAAGAGAAATAAGGAATCAAATAAAATGGAATATATTAGGTGCTTATTGACTGAAATGATTTTTAGTAATAATAGGTGTCCAAGTGAAGATTAAAGAGAAAAAGCATAGCTTGCAGAATAAACAATCTTGTGATAGCTTTTAAGCACAGAATGAGAGCCTTCGAAGAGCTGAATACGGCAGGGGGCGCTGAGAGATGGCAATAGTTCAGAGGTACGTTCTGAAGTCAGATGGGCCTAGTCCTGACTCTGCTATTTCACTTCTCTGTGATTTGGTTTTCACATTTGTTAAACTGGGATAATAATAGTATCTCTCACATTTGGTAGTTGTAAGGATAAACGAAATTAATACACAGAATGCACTTAGAACAGTGCCTGGCACATTGTGAGCTCAACATCACCGGTTGCATCTATTTTCGCTGGAGTTTAAATGCTGTGGACTGAAATGGGAGGCAGTCACCAAAGATGCATAAATTCTCAATTTGTGGACAAATGGGAACTGACACCCTTCTCTCTCCATATACATGTTCTATAGTGGAGCAAGCTCACTAATGCTTACAACCAGAAGTTTATTTACGGTGGGGAAGTCTAGAGAACCAGCTGCCTCAGAGGTAATCACTTTCATCTTTCAGCCCTAGTATGAGAAAAATTTCTGCCAGAACTTCTCTGTATACCTTAAAGTGACCAAGGACTCAGTGGTTACTTGAGGCCAAGAGTCTCAGAGTGGAGAACTCTATGGTTCTCGCAGCCTCCTCTTTGCCAGGACAGAGGGTGATTGACAGGGCAGACACAGAAGTATGACAAAAGACCACAGTTCCAGAGGAATTATCTCTTGTATCTGCCAGAGTTTACTTTCTGATGTTTCTTGCATCTTCTGATACAGTCTTGTATTCCTTCTACCAGGAAACAAAGAAAGAACCAAAAGAAGGGGAGAAAAAGAAGAGAAAAAGGAAGAAGAGAAAGAAGAGGAGGACAGAAGCTAATATATATTGAGTGCTTATGTCCTAAGCATTTTATATGTATCAATCTCCTTTAATTAACACAACAACCCTATGAGAGAGGCCTATTATTATTTACATCTTACAAATGAGAAAACTGAAATTGAGGCCCAGGGAGATTAAACAACTTACCCAAAGTCACACAGCTGGTAAGTGCAGCAGTGTATTTCTAATACTTTTTAACTACTACACTTACTGTTTTTCATGAACCTTCCATCCTCAAAGGCCCTCAGAATGATGGACCACCCAGTCAGGCTTGCCTTCCTCATTATCCTTCCCATCTGCCGCCCAGACCTCCAGCCTAAATAGCCGTTCTTTCAAACTGGCTAAATTCAGCTAGGTAATAAAAACTATACATGCACATGTATGTATGTGTGTTTGCGTTTGAGCAAATTGGCATTAAAATAAAGAAGAGTTCTAATGCAGCCAAACCACACTCATATGTACATGCACGCACACACACACACACACACCTACCTTGACACCTAATTCTCCCAGAAATATTTGACTTTTAAAAAATTGTTAGTTCAAATTGTTCCTGTGTAAAATTTCTCTAAATTTCTCATAAAGTCTCAATTTCCCTTGAGAACACCTTACTTCATTTCTGCAGCCTTATCTTCACTACCCATAGACATCCATAATTGGTTTTTCTATAAGGACTGAAGAAGGCAGACTAAGTGAGAGTAAAGTCTCAGATTTTGAAAAAATAGAATGGGTCAAAACTCAAGAGAATGATTATTTTTACACTAAGAATTTAGTGTTTGACCCTAAGAATCTCTGGATATTGCTTTTTTCAATAGACATGTATGTTTATATTGTAAGAGCATTTCAGATCCCACCAAAGGTGGGCTATAAAAATAACAAAGAAACATGGAAATAAATAATAAGGATTATGTGAAAACATAACAAGATTTACAAAAGTTATTATAATGTAATCAGCTCAAAATCTCCTTTTTGCAATATGTGAGGATACTTTCTTACATCAACCAAACACACATCAAGATATCTTTGTTTTGTGGATACTACTACACACAATAGAAGAAATACTAGACAGGCAATGACTACAGGGGCTTTCAAAACTAGTTTCTCATTCTAAATCTAATTAGATTCATCTAGTGCACCACCTGCATTTTCTCATTTCTCACTTCTGTTGAGACAGCCCAAGTCACTATTTTGATTTAAAATTTACAAAAGAAACATTCTCTGAAGATACCTGGCAAATGGGCTCACTGATACTTCTATACCTAGAGTTTCTTAAATAGAAATGCAATCTGCAGATGCCCACCAACTTGAGTTAGAGATATATTTATAGCCCCATTTTCTTAGAGACAAGAGGAGAGTGTAGGGGTTTTCCCTTAGAGTTACACAAAAGTTTTGAAAGCATGTACTATACAAGACATTATAGTAGACAATGAAATATAAGACTGAATAAAACATAATCTCTAAACTTAAGGACCTTCATGTCTACTTGAGGAAATAAAACATATTAATTTTATTAAACATGTATTGTGTTAAGGCAATGATACTGAGTGCTAATAAAATGTGGGCTACTTTGAGAAGCATGGTCTGGTGGGGAGAAATAAATTGACAGTTTAGCATGGTAAGTGTTACAACAGAGTCATACACAGAGTAATATAAGTGTGCAATGAAGATGAGGATGAGGAAGTGGGAGAGACTTAGGCAACCAGTGGGTTGCCTAAGCTAAACCTTAAAGGATAAGTGAGAATTAGAGGTTTGCAGAGTAAAGCAGTTAGGAATTAACTAGATTGTTTTTTTAATGGAGAAAGACAATCCAGAAAGCAGAAGAGGTCCAAAAATGGGAGCTGAATGACATAGCCAAATATCTGAAAGACAGGTTTTGATAAAGGCTACTAAAATGGTATTACAAAGAACTATAAGAGTTCAGAAATAAGAGAAATTACTTCTGACTGGAAGGATCTGGGAAAGGTTAACCAAACAATTCACCAGTTAAATTGAAAAGAATCAAGCTAAATGAACAGCAATTCCAATTTTGAAAAAGCAATATTAATCACATATACAAAACCAATTTTAAAACCATGCTATAATGATTATCAAATAGGTAGTCCTGGAAATTTCAATTACCTGGGAGTTTTACAATTGCCAAGACATTGTGCCAGCCTAATACGGTAAAAGAAGGAGAAATTCAAATCCTCATGAAGCTTGATTAATACTCTGGTGCTTACGAATACCACATTTTAGCACTCCTTAATACCTTCCTTAATAGTTCACTAGTAGGTAAGGCTTAGTCACATGTCAAGAATAAGGTCTATGGAACTGCACATTATTCACTGACAAGAATCTAGAGAACAGACTTCAACTTTTTAGTCGTTCTCAGCCCACAAACTGAGGGCTTGAAAAAATCTTTTCATTGTGCAAAGATATCTGTTGTGAGGGAATTTGTACCAATGGGATTTGAACTATTATAAGTTTGCACAAAAGATATGTTAAAAACCTACACTGAATTGCCTGTTTAAGAAGAAAAATAATTTTTTGAATGGAGAAAAATGAAGATTATTTTAAGAAATCTTTCTTATAAATCAAGATTTGCTGAATTGAAACCGTCAGTAACCAAAAATAATCTGAGGCAAGGGGATTCCCCAGAGGGCTACTAAGCAAAACAAAAGTTTTGTCAAGGGAAATGTGGAGTGTGTTAAAGTGTAGAAATGAGTCATAGGGCCATTGACTTTTTTATTAGAAGGGTTGAGTTTCAGCCATTTGATACTGAATGCCCTGCATGAACCAGGCACCTTGCTAGACATTGGAAATAATGCAGATATGTCCCTATTCTCATTGAGTATACATTTCTAGTGAGGACACAGACAATAAATGAACAAATAAAATCACAAACACATGTTTAGAAATTATAATAGGAAGGAGGAGTATAAGGAGAGAGAATAAAGGAAGAGACCAAATTTAGATTAGGGTCAGAAATAATCTCTCTGATAAAGCAATATTTATGCTGATGCCAAAGGATGAATAGGAAGGAATTAGCCAGATGAAGAATAAAACATGGAGTCCAAAAAGAAGAAAACTTATGTCTAGTGTCAAAAGGTAGCAAAGAGCTCAGTGAGTTCAAAAAGAGTTTTTTAAATGAATGGGTAGGAATATAATGAGCAAGGCAACAGTGACCTAAGATAAATCTAAAGAAGTGAGTAGACTAGAGTGGCTCTTTGAGACTGAATTAAAATGTTTGAACTTTGTTACATGCAGTGAGGATCTTAGAAATCACCTTGTCTAAATTTACATTAAATGAAAAATATAGATATCAACAGCTCCCATGTCAACAAGCTGAACATGTCACTTCTTGAACCCATGATTATCAGGGAATTTACTGCTAAAATAGCCAGTTTTGATGCTGCTTATCATAACTATCAGAAACTCTGCCTAACAAGTTATTTTGTGTGATTTACCTTGATCTTATAGAACAGGTTTGTATGAAAGATCCAGGGCAAGTCAGTAGATCAGAATTACAAAGCTGTGAGATGTGGTTTGCTCCAAAGACTCAGATGAAGATGGATCAGAGTGGCATTTGCAGGGCTCTGGGTGAGGCAGTGAACACTTTTGCCCAGAAGACCACTACAGCAAGGGCCATGTCGAAGGCATGGGGTGAAGTGAGGGGAGTAGACAAGGGGTTTTAAAAATTTTTTAGTGTCTTCCAGATACTAGACACTATGTGAGTTGTCTTCAGGTTTCATATCATCATCACAACCACCTTATGAACTAAGTATAATCACCTTCATTTACAAATGAGGAAAGGAAAACTCAGATTATTAGGCCCTCGTCTCTGAGGACAGAACTGAAGTCTTTCACCACCAGCATTTGAAAAAGACCTGCCCTCTTTCCACCGATGAAGATGCTACCCAATAAAATTCAAGCCCAAACAGAATAAAGAGGTCAAAAGTTCCCTTTCACGTAAACCTTTGTCTTATCTTAGTATGACCCTCAAAATATCCACCCAAAGCAGGCTATCAATATCTGTTAATTAGTTGATGAAATGACATGATTGTGGCCATTCTGTAGTCTTTAAAAGGAGATCTATTTGTGTCAATAAACAACGAGCTCATTAAAAACTACCCATAAAACAATTAGGCCAAGGGAATTTTGTCTGATAACAGTGAAAGAAGGAAGTGAGGATTTAGCTGCAGATTCTGGAATGAGCCTGTTTATCCTCCAGGACCACAGCAGTTTTGTCTTCAGGCTTAAGATAAATCACTGTAAGTGTGAAGGTGTTCAGAAAAATAGGTTCTGCCATTGCTACTATGTCCTGAAGTTTCTTCCAGTTTGCCTTTGAAGAACACAGCCACTAAACCGCCGCTAGATGTCCTCAAAGTAAAAAAAAAAAAAAAAAAAAAATTATGGCAGAAAAGTACTTCGGCACTTTTAGGAACTACATTGACTTATTTGTCTAGATTATTTGACTCCTGAGCTCTAAGTGAGATAGAGGGATTTGGTAGTTAAACACGAACATCCGACCTCTGTAAATGAAATAGAGTTCTGTAAAGGAAAGGGCATTTTAGTAACTTCTCATTTTCATTTTAATTAGGATTTGTATTACTCTCCTTCAGGAAAGCAGGCCAAAGAGACTGAAGGAGCAATGGAAACATTATCCTCACCAACACTGACCAGTCACCTGAAGAGCACTGTGAGTGAATAACCCGTGGGGCCAGCTACTTAGCAATTTCAAATGCACAAAACCTGTGCTCTGGCCTATCTTTTAACATCAAAACAGCTGAAAAAAAAATTGAATAGTTGGATTGCGATTTCCTGAAATAGAAGCTGCAATACCTTTGGTTTTTTAGTTATGATATTAGCTAGTGAAAAAGCACAACTTAGCAAAGTATGTTCCCCAGTTAGTCTTTTAAATAAACTCAGACTTCCGTAGTCCCCATTGGTCTCTACAGGCTCAGAGGCCCATTTCCTCCTCGCCCCTTACCTTCCTTTTAGTCTCTTTTTCTTTTCCAGTCCTTTTCCCATCTTTGGTTCTTCTGTCTCTCCTCTTCATTTATTCCACTCTTTTAACAGTATCTTAGTTCACCATTTTTATACACAAAAAATCAACTTCTTGATAACAATTTTTAACATATTCAACTGAAATAATAAGCACTTGCCATGGTTTTCAAGAGTCAGGAAAAGGAAACAAAAAGAGGGGGGAAAAGAAGAATAAAGAAAGAAGAGGAATGAGAAAAAGAGAAAAAGATTAGAAAACAAGTTGTTCTATCTGTACTTGTTCGAAACTTGAGAAGAAAAATTAAGTTACAGAGAGATGGGGGTTGTGGGGGTAAGAGCTGTAGAAAGCTGTTTTCCTTCATTTTCTCTGCCTCCTGGAGCACTGGCCTCCTATATCATGTGTTAGGAATTTCTAATCTTACCACAGCCAGATGACTCATGCCCACTGACTGAGTCTTTAGACTTCTACAAAACACCTGAAAAGATAAATTTTAATTGAGAAAACAACCTCTCACTCCAGGGTATGCTTTCAAGATAGGTAGGGGGATTTTCAGCATTTATTTCCATTTTGTTCACTGAAGACTCATAGGGCTTAATCTTAATTTCAGACATAGTTGTGTCTGACAGCCAGAGACTATTTTCAGATCAAGGGATAAACTGGCATGGACTAAGACTTGCTTCTGCCTAGGAATAAAGACTGAAATGAGTCAAAGTTGTCCTGATTTGGGACACAAAGCATGAGGTTAATGTGGGGGGATACCTTGTCTCCTTGCGGGAGCTAGCTCATCAAACTACCCCTCCCCTCACTCACTTCACTAACTGATGTGGTTAACTATCACATCAAAGGGCAACTATCACATCAAAGGGCAACTCCAGGTTGCCCTTTGGGGATGTGTTGTTTATCTCCCTCAAGACCAAAGTGACTTTCTAACCAAACTCTCTGAGTGCAAGTCACTAAAAAAAAAGAAATGTGGGGTCCACAACATCTAATTCAAAGTGTGTTAACTAAACCCATAGTAATAATCATATAACAGCGTGCCTCTTCGTTTTTGTGTAAAAAACAAATAGCGAAAAAGAATCAAGGAAGTATTTTCTGAATGTATACATGGAAGCCTGGACATAGAAGTAAACCATACATACAAACAAGTAACCACCTATCCAACTTTCCCTTCCAAGGTAAAAACTAACATTAAGGGAGCACTTAGAATATCACTGAACCTGTGCTAAGAGGATCTATAAGCATTAGTTCTAAAACTCTAAACAGCTGTAAAAGGTGTAGACAATTATTTATATCTACGATCAGAAAAACTAATGCTTAGAGAAGTTTGAACTTTCTTTGAAGTGAATAGCGATTTCTTCTGACATAACTTGAACGAGGCCCTGTGCATGCCTGAGAGCCTGAGAGACCTGGGAATTAGGAAAAAACTGAACCTGAAATTAAGATGGGAAATTAGGCCTTTTATTATTTCTTGGATCTTCAGAAACTGAAATTCCCAATATGTCTCAGTGTATAGAGACAGGAAACACTCTGTGATCATCCCTGCTTTTGTCTCTTTCTTTCTTTTAGAAGATTATCCATATTCTGTTCCAGTAAACTCCATTTCCCATGGAATGAAGTCTTCCCAAAGCATCCATTAGCACAGAGCTAGTGGGCAGAGCTTCAAGGTTTGACAAAGAATGGTCAAGTCTGAAGTCTGAACTCCTTCTCTTCTGCAAGACTAACTTGCCACTGCTGGTTCCCCTTATTCTGCTGCCATAGAGACCAATTTTTAAGAGAGAAAGGCTGAAATGTTTAAGAGTAGAAAGGCTGAAACTTTTAAAAATTGGAGTGCTCTTGTATGAATGGAGGAGAGCAATGATGAAGTGCCAATAGAATGAAGGAAAATTGATTCCCAGAGCCAACTCCCTTTCAAAAGTAGCTTGTCTGTAGCACTATATCCCATTGCTGAGATTGTCCCTGAGATTATTTATTTCAGTGTTACCTAAAGTGTAGTCCAAGGACCTACCAATCACAAATTGTTAATTAGCAGTCAGCAATGAGATAAGAACCAAAATTGACTGTGTGTAGAAACTTTAATATTGCCACATCATCCAAGCAAAAGATTTCATATGTTCAAAAATATCTGTGTGCCTGTATTAGAAAGTAAAACAATTAGGCCTTCATGACCAACAGTTTATAAAGCACTAGTTTACTACATTAGGGTCTTGATAGCTGTCTCTAGGTTTCCCTTATAAGTATTAAGAATTAGTCGACAAAATTCAAGTTTATTGTCTTCCTTCCCAAATAGAACCAGTCCCAATAGAACAAATAGTCCCAGGGTGGGACTTTGTTTTGTTCACTGTTCCATCTCCACTTCCTAGAATCATGCTTAATGCTTAAAGAGTATTTGTTGAATGACTGAAATATACTCATCCACCTCAGTGGGAAATGCCCAAGTGTTGTCAGAAGTTTCCCTGGACCACTTTGAAAACTCAGAGACTACAAGACTCCAGTGGTGGCCCATCCTCTGCCACGAGCCTGTGTACTTACCTTACTGCCATCTACAGCCTCCTTACCCAGCCCAGTCCTGCATCTCCCCAGGAGGACAGGCAGGAATTATCTCTACTTATTTTTCCAGATAAGCTTCAAAATAATTTGGGCACATCTCCTAAAAGAGGTCCATTGAGATTTTGATTGACATTACTTTAAATAAATATATCATCTTTCCTTTGAAAAGAAACATATCCTAATAACACAGAGTAATCTCAATCATGAGCATGATATGTCTGTATTTCTTGTATTCATTTATTTATAACTCACAGTAAAATTTTATAGTTTTTCATATAGTTTCCATACATGTATTGTTAAGCTAATTTCTGGGCTGCTTTATTTTCACAGTTGCTATTGTGTTTGGGGATCTTTCCATGCCCTTTTCTTTTCTTTTTTTTTCTTTTCAACTTTTATTTTATGTCCCAAGGTACACATGCAGGATGTGTAGGTTTGTTACATAGGAAAACGTGTATCATCATGGTTTGCTGCACAGATCAACCCATGACCTAGGTATTAAGCCCAGCTTCCATTAGCTATTCTTCTATCCCACCCTCCATCCTCCAAAAGACCCCAATGTGTGTTGTTCTCCCCTACGTGTCCATGTGTTCTCATCAATCAACTCCCAGTTATAAGTGAGAACATGCAGTGTTCAATTTTTGGTTCCTGTGTTAGTTTGCTGAGGATAATGGCTTCCAGTACCATCCATGTCCCTGCCAAGGACATGATCTCATTCCTTTTTATGGCTGCAGAGTATTCCATGGTATATATGTACCACATTTTATCAAGCCTATAATTGATGGGCATTTGGGTTGATTTCACATCTTTGCTATTGTGAATAGTGCTGCAATGAACATACTCTTGCATGTATCTTTATAATAGAATGATTTATATTCCTTTGGGTATCTACCCAGTAATGGGGATTGCTGAGTTTAATGGTATTCGGTCAATAGTCTATGTGTCTATTCCATTGGTCTATGTGTCAAAAGATATTTGACCCAGCAATCCCATTACTGGGTATATACCAAAGGAATATACCTCTAGGTCTTCGAGGAATCACCACACTGTATTCCACCATGGTTGAACTAATTTATATTCCCAGTATAAAAACATTTCTTTTTCTCCACAACCTCACCAGCATTTGTTGTTTCTTGACTTTTTAATAAGTGCCATTTTGACTGGCACGAGATGGTAACTCACTGTGGTTTTGATTTGCATTTTTCTAGTGATCAGCGATGTTGAGCTTTTTTTCATATGTTTGTTGGCCACATGAATGTCTTCTTTTCAGAAGTGTCTGTTCATGTCCTCTGCCCACTTTTTAATGGGGTCATTTCTTTTTTTCCTTCTAAATTTGTTTAAGTTCCTTGTAGACTCTGGATATTAGACCTTTGTCAGATGGATATATTGCACATTTTTTCCCATTCTGTAGGTTGTCTGTTCACTCTGGTGATAGTTCATTTTGCTGTGCAGAGGCTGTTTAATTATATCCCATTTGTCAATTTTTGCTTTTGTTGCTATTGCTTTTGGCATTTTCATCATGAAATCTTTGCCCATTCCTGTGTCCTGAATGGTATTGCCTAGACTTTCTTCTAGGGTTTTTATAGTTTGGGGTTTTACATTTAAGTCTTTAATCCATCTTGACCATCTTGAGTTCATTGTTGTATAAGGTGTAAGTAAGGGGTCCAGTTTTAATTTTCTGCATATGGCTAGACAGTTATCACAGCACCATTTACTAAATAGGAAATCCTTTCCCCATTGCCTGTTTTTGTCAGCTTTGTCAAAGATCACATGGCTGTAGGTGTGCAGTCTTATTTCTGAGTTCTCTAATCTGTTCCATTGGTCTATGTGTCTGTTTTTGCACCAGTACCATATCACCTTGGTTACTGTAGCTTTGTAGTATAGTTTGAAGTTGGGTAGCATGATGCACCAAGCTTTGTTCTTTTTGCTTAGAATTGTTGTGGATATGCAGGCTCTTTCTGGGTTCAATAAGAATTTTAAAATAGTTTCATCTAATTCTGTGAAGAATATCAATGTTAGTTTAATGGGAATAGCATTGAATCTGTAAATTACTTTGAGCAGTATGACTACTTTCATGATATTGATTCTCCCTATCCATGAGCATGGAATGTTTTTTCCATTTGTTGGTGTCCTCTCTGATTTCTTGGAGGGGTGGTTTGTAGTTCTTGAAGGGGTCCTTCATTTCCATTGTTAGCTCTATTCTCAGGTATTTTATTCTCTTTGCAGCAATTGTGAATGGTAGTTCATTCAAGATTGGGCTCTCTCCTTGTCTATTGTTAGTGTATAAGGAATGCTAGCAAATTTTGTACATTGATTTTTGTATTCTGAGACTGCTGAAGTTGCTTATCAGCTTATGAAGCTTTTGGGCTAAGACTATGGGGTTTTCTTGATATAGGATCATGTCATCTGCAAACAAAGATAATTTGACTTCCTTTCTTCCTATTTGAATACCCTTTATTTCTTTCTCTTGCCTATGGCCTGGCCAAAACTTATCATATTTTGTTGAATAGGAGTGTGAGAGAGCGCATTCTTGTTTTGTGCCAGTTTTCAAGGAGAATGCTTCCAGTTTTTGCCAGTTCAGTATGATATTGGCTGTGGGTTTGTCATAGATGGCTCTTATCATTTTGAGGTATGTTTCTTCAGTAGCTGGTTTATTGAGAGTTTTTAATATGAAATGGTGTTGAATTTTGTCAAAAACTTTTTCTAAGTGTATTGAGATAATCATGTGGTTTTTGTCTTTCATTCTGCTTATGTGATAAATCACATTTATTGATTTGTGTATGTTTAACCAATCTTGCATTCCAGGGTTGAAGCCAACTTGATCCCCATAAAGTTAATTCCAGGGTTGAAGCCAACTTGATCCCCATAAAGTTTATTCCAGGGTTGAAGCCAAGTTTATCCCCATAAACTTTTTGATGTGCTGCTGTATTCAGTTGGTTGCCAGTATTTTCGTGAGGATTTTTGCACTAATGTTCATCAGGGATATTGGCCTGAAGTTTTCATTTTGTGCTGTATCTGTGCCAGGTTTTGGTATCAGGATAATGCTGGCCTCATAAAATGAGTTAGGGAGGAGTCCCTCCTTTTCAATTGTTTGGAATAGTTTCAGTAAAAATGATATGAGCTCTTCTTTTCACACGTGGTAAAATTCAACTTTGAATCCGTCTGGTCCTGGGCTTTTTGTTGGTGGTGGTGGTGCTGGTGGTAGGCTATATATTTGAGAACTTGTTATTGGTCTAGTCAGGGATTCAATTTCTTCCTTGTTCAGTCTTGGAAGGTGTATGTGTCCGGGAATTTATCCATTTCTTCTAGATTTTCTAGTTTATGTGAATAGAGATGTTTAAAGTATTCTCTGATGGTTGGTTGTATTTCTGTGGTGTCAGTGGTAATATCCCCCTTATCATTTCTGATTGTGTTTATTTGAAACTTTTTTCTTCTTTATTCGTCTAGCTAGTGGTCTATCTATTTTATTACTTTTTTCACAAAACCACCTTCTGAATCCATTGATTTTTTGATGGGTTTTTGTGTCTCTGTCTCCTTCAGTCCCACTCTGATCTTCATTAATTCTTGTCTTCTGCTACCTTTGGCATTTGTTTGCTCTTGGTTCTCTAGCTCTTTTAGTTGTAATGATATGGTGTCAACTTGAGATCTTTCAAGCTTTGTGATGTGGGCATTTAGTGCTATAAATTTCGCTCTTACACACGTTAGCTGTGTCCCAGAGATTCTGGTATGTTGTGCCTTTGTTCTCACTACTTTCAAAGAAACTCTTGATTTCTGGCTTAATTTAATTATTTACCCAAAAGTTATTCAAGAGCAGACGTTCAATTTCCATGAAATTGTATGGTTTTGACTGAATTTCTTAATCTTGAGTTCTTATTTGATTGTGCTGTGGTCTGGGAGACTGGTATGGTTTCAGTTCTTTTGCACTTGCTGAGGAGGGTTTTACTTCTGATTATGTGATCAATTTTAGAGTAAATAACATGTGGTAATGAGAAGAACGTATATTCTGTTGGTTTTGGGCGGAAAATTCTGTAGATATTTATCAGATCCTTGTGATCCAGAGCTGAGTTTAAGTCCTGAATATCTTTGTTAATTTTCTGTCTCAATAATCTGTCTAATATTGTTAATGGGGTGTTAAAGTCTTCTACTATTATTGTGTGGGATTCTAAGTCTCTTTGAGTGTCTCTATGAACTTGTTTTATGAATCTGGGTGCTCCTGTATTGTGTGTATATATCTTTAGAATAATTAGCTCTTCTTGTTGAATTGAACCCTTTACCATTATGTATGTCCTTCTTTGTCTTTTTTCATCTTTGTTGGTTTAAAGTCTGTCTTCCCAGAAACTAGGATTGTGACCCCTGCTTTTTTCTGATTTCCATTTGCTTGGTAAATTTTCCTCCATCACTTTATTTTGAGTCTATGTGTGTCTTTGCACATGAGATGAGTCTCTTGAAGACAGCATAGTGATGGGTCTTGACTCTTTATCCAGCTTGCCATTCTGTGTCCTTTAATTGGGGCATTTAGCCCATTTACATTTAAAGTTAATATTGTTATATGTGAATTTGATTCTCTTGTCATGATGCTTGCTGGTTATTTTGCAATCTTGTTTATGTGGTTGCTTCATAGTGTCACTGGTGTCTGTACTTCAGTGTGTTTTTGTAGTGGTTGGTAATGGTCTTTACTTTCCATATTTTGTGCTTCCTTCAGGAGCTCTTGCAAGGCAGGCCTGGTGGTGATGGATTCCCTAGGGATTTGCTTGTCTGAAAATAATCTTATTTCTCCTTTGCTCATCTGTTGGGAAAAAGCTGAGTGTTGGGAAAAAAACTGAGGCAGGGTGGGCATGTCTGACATAATGTCCTCGGGAATGTGTCTAGACTTGCTGGCTCCTTGCTTCTAGCCTCCTAGGCTCCTAGATTGATTGTATTCCCATTATCTCAAGTAGCAGAACATGTTCCTTATAAATGCTAAACCATCACAGCTGTAGATCATGTGCCTGCCCTTTTGACCCCCACATTCTCACCACTTGTTTCTTTGTTGGATTACCAATAAATAGCATGGGCTCCCGGAGCTCAGGGCCTTTGCAGCCTCCACAATCGCGATGGCCCCCTGGTCCCACTTTACTTCTCAAACTGTCTTTTTCTCAATCCTTTGACTCCACCGGACTTCGTCGCCCCCATGACCCGGTGTTGGGTCTGATCACCCCAACATTATCAAACTTAGTTTGGCCAGATATGAAATTCTGGGTTTGAAATTCATTTCTTTAAGAATGTTGAATCTCTTCTGGCTTGTAGGGTTTCCACTGAGAGGTCCGCTGTTTGTCTGAAGGCTCCTGTAGGAGGTGTCTGCAGACCCCTGTTGAGAGGTCTCACCCAGAGAGGAGAAATGGGATCAGTAACTTGCTTAAGGAAGCAGTCCATTTGCCCCTTGGCAGATCAAGTATGCTGCGCTGACCACCTGGCCTCTCCAGAGCCAGCAACCTGGAAAAAATAAGTTGGCTGAACCACAGAGACAGCTGGCTGCCCCTCCCACAAGGGACTCCATCCCAGGGAGAAATCAGAGTTCAGTTCATATAACCCTGGCTAGAGTTGCTGAAATTTGGCAAGGAGGCCCTGCCCAGTGGGGAGGGATGGATGCAGGTCCCACTTAAAGAAGCAGACTGGGGCCATGCACGGTGGCTCACACCTGTAATGCCAGCACTTTGGGAGGCCGAGGTGAGCGGATCACAAGGTCAGGAGTTCAAGACCAGCCTGGCCAACATGGTGAAACCCTGTCTCTACTAAAAATACAAAAATTGGCCAGGTGTGGTGGCTCATGCCTGTAATCCCAGCACTTTCAGAGGCCAAGGCAGGCAGATCACCTGAGGTCAGGAGTTTGAGGCCAGCCTGGCCAATATGGTGAAAACCCATCTCCACTAAAAATACAAAAATTAGCCAGGTGTGGTGGCGCGCACCTGTAATCCCAGCTACTCAGGAGGCTGAGGCAGAAGAATCGCTTGAACCCAGGAGGCGGAGTTTGCAGTGAGCCAAAACTGTGCCACTGCACTCCAGCCTGGGTGATAGAGCCAGACTCCATCAAAAAAAAAAAAACTAGCTGGGCATGGTGGCGGGCACCTTTAATCCCAGCTACTCCGGAGGTTGAGGCAGGAGACTCGTTTGACCCCAGGAGGCTGAGGCTGCAGTGAGCCGAGTTCAGGCCATTAACTCCAGCCTGGGTGACTGGGCGAGACTCCGTTCTCAAAAAAAAAAAAAAAAAAAAAAAGCCTGGTGGCTGTTGCCTGTAATCCCAGCACTTTGGGAGGCAGAGGCTGGCAGATCATGAGGTCAGGAGATTGAGACATCCTGGCTAACACGGTGAAACCTCGTCTCTACTAAAAAATACAAAAGAATTAGCCAGGCGAGGTGGCAGGCGCCTGTAGCCCCAGCTACTTGGGAGGCTGAGGCAGCAGAATGGTGTGAACCTGGGGGGCGGAGCTTGCAGTGAGCCGAGCTTCCGCCACTGCAATCCAGCCTGGGTGACGACAACAACAACGACAACAACAACAAAAACACAGAAGAAGCAGATGGGTCATGTTCAGGAACAACAGCTGTGCTGCATTGTGGGCAATTTCTTCTGGTCCCGGTGCCAGCAGGCTAGAGCATCAGACTGGAACCACAGATATGGCAGCTGCCCCTCCCCCAGAAAACTCCGTGGTCTCAGGCCCTTTCCAGCCTACTGCTGCTGGCCAGCTGGAATTCCAAGCCAGTGCTTCTTAACTTGTGAGGTGACATGGGAATGGGGCCTGCAGAACAATGTCACTGGGCTCACTGGATTCAGCCCCATTCCTAGGGGAATGCACAGGATTCTTTGCTGGAATTCCTAGGGCTAGAGTATGCAAAACCCCTGAGTTTCCCTGCGTGCCAAAGTGAGGGAGCAGCCACTCTGCTGAGACTCTGCACAACTCTGTGCTTCATACCCAAGGCTCTCATGTGAGAATCTGGATACCTCAGTTGAAGGTGCAGAATTTTCTTGCCATTTTGTGAGAGCTGCAGACCACAACTGCTTCTAATAGGCCATCTTGGTCCCTCCCCGCCTTTTTATCTTCTAATTGTTGGTATAGACGAATGAAATCAATTTGCAAATGTTTATTTTTTTAGTCATTCAATTCAACTAATTCTAAGAATTTTTTATTTGAATAATTTGGGCATAATATCACATTATCAGCAACTGAAATTGTATCTTCTGTTTTCATCCTCTAGGTGTCCCTCTTTCTGAGTTCTGTTTCTTATCACGTTCAGCAGAGTGAATTCTTCTTTAAATATACTACTGTTAAGGAAGATAACTTAGGATGCAATAGACTATCTAAAGAATAAAATCATGAAAGTGCCACATCTCAATCTGGGATGCTGCCAATGCCATACTTAAAGTTCTCAATGCTTGTATCAGGGATGGACAGAAAGATAAACAATCATTGTCAATACTTTATGAGCCAAGAGAAAGAAGAAAAAGCTGAAGTATAAATTTAAACAAAATGGAAGAAGAGAATTGATAAATAATAAAAATAAATTCGTCACCACAAATAATTTAAGAAGCGCCAGTTTACTTCCCAAGCAAGAGTCTTAATATCACTGGGTCTCCTTTATAAAGCCTAAGAATCATGAAGAAAAAGACACTTGTAAAGAGAGATTTTCCATCCACCAACAGAATGCTTCCTGAAGTTTATGAACCCTATAGACCCTAAAATAAACTAACTGATATTAAATAATATTTATATTATAACCTAATATAATATATAAATATAAATAATATATAAATATAATATATAAATATAAATAATATATAAATATAATATATAAATATAAATAATATTTATATATATTATTTAATATTAGACCAACTGCAAGAACTGCCTTTCCTCTCTGGCCTGGGTGAAAAAGGGTTGACACAGTCTTCTTAGAGATACAGAGGCTGTGGAAAAAATGCCACCTTCACATCTCTGCTACCAGCATGCACCTAACCCTGACTAGAGTGTGAGCAAATGTAATTTGTAACTTGTCTGTATTAAGCCTTTACTCAGTGAAGAATAATACTCCCTTAAGAATTTTGAAATTCTAAGCTTCCCATCAAGAAGGTTGGGAGGTAGAGGGTTCATTCCTATGTCTGAAAAGTCCTGGAACTCTGAAGCCAATGTAATAAATTGAATGCACTTCTAGGTTGATAACACCCCGGGTCTTGTCAAAAAGAAACACAAATCCTTCTGGAACTTAGGGCATTCTTATCATCATCCATTTAGTAGTAAAACAAAATTATGATCAGCCAAATATGAGGAATTAGAATTTGTCAAAAATGAGAAAAGGATGTGAGAAAGTAAATAAATAGAATTTCAGTTATAAATAGATAATAATAAATACATAATCTAAATACCAGGTTATAATGAAACAAAGAAGAATTGGTAAACTATGAGCAAGATCTGAATAAATTATACTTACTAATTCACAGACAGAAAAAGCATTGGGAATGATATGTTTAAAGACAAGGGAGATAGATTGAAAAATGTCTAATAATTGTACAATTAGAGTTCCAAAAAGATAAAATAGAGAAAATGAGATTGTGTTAGTTATCTACTGCCATGTAACAAATTACCCCAAAATGTAGCTGCTTAAAACAACAAGCATAAGTTGTTTCTCATGGTTTCAGAGTGTGAGGAATCTAGAAGGAGCTTATCCGAGTAGTTTTAATGCAGGCTCTCACATGAGGTTGTCATACTGTCAGCCAATGCTGCAGTTATCTAGAACTTGACTAGTTCAATTCACCAGGATCATATACAAATTTTAAATATGTATATACATATCAACATAGCCTCATAATATATACAGCAAAAAAAATTAACAAAGCTGCCAGGAAAAGATGATAAAATTCACCATCAATAAGCTGAATTTTAACATGCTTTCTACAAGATGAACAGATAAAACAAAATTATGATAGGAATAAAGAATATTTGAACAGATTAATTAATAATTCATCTAATGGGCACAAATCAAACCCTACATTTCTAATGATAAGAGAATATACTTTCTTTTCCAGCATAAATGAAATCTTTATAAAAATTGGTCACACATCAGTCCATAAAAAAACTCTCAGTAAATTTCAGTAAGCATCATTCAGACCATGTTGTATGTCCTTAGTGCCATTATATTTGAAATCAGTAAAAATAATTATTACAAGAAAATAGATTTGGGGAAAATCATAAACCTACTTTGTTAAATAATTAAAGGATCAAATAAAAAGTCCTAATGAAAGTTAGAATATACCTAGGACTGGACTACAACACTTACAAGAGCAAGGGCCATGTCTATTTCTTTAAGAAATATACACTCTAGCACTTAGCTGGGATTTCATGGATAGTTGCCAAATAAATATATGAATGGATTTAAAACATTATTTAAAATATTTTATGTAAATTTTTAAATACCATAAAAAGTTGAAGTAACTATTTTTATGAATTATGTTTGTAATTAGAAAAAAGAAAAAGGGGGAGGAACCAAGATGGCCAAATAGGAACAGCTCTGGTCTACAGCTCTCAGCGTGAGTGATGCAGAAGACGGGTGATTTCTGCATTTCCAGGTGAGGTACCAGGTTCATCTCAGTGGGGAGTGCCAGACAGTAGGTGCAGGACAGTGGGTGCAGTGCACCGTGCGTGAGCTGAAGCAGGGCCAGGCATCACCTCACCTAGGAACTGCAAGGGGTCAAGGAATTCCCTTTCCTAGTCAAAGAAAGCAGTGACAGACGGCACCTGGAAAATCTGGTCACTCCCACCCTAATACTGCGCTTTTCCAACGGGCTTAAAAAACGGCACACCAGGAGATTATATCCCGCACATGACTCAGAGGGTCCTATGCCCACGGAGTCTCACTCATTGCTAGCACAGCAGTCAGAGATCAAACTGCAAGGCTGCAGTGAGGCTGGGGGAGGGGCGCCTGCCATTGCCAAGTTAGTTGTTTGATTAGGTAAACAAAGCGGCCAGGAAGCTCGAACTGGGTGGAGCCCACCACAGCTCAAGGAGGCCTGCTTGCCTCTGTAGGCTCCACCTCTGGGGGCAGGGCACACACAAACAAAAAGACAGCAGTAACCCCTGCAGACTTAAATGTCCCTCTCTGACAGCTTTGAAGAGAGTAGTGGTTCTCCCAGCATGCAGCTTGAGATCTGAGAACGGGCAGACTGCCTCCTCAAGTGGGTTCCTGGCCCCCGAGTAGCCTAACTGGGAGGCACCCCCCATTAGGGGCAGACTGACACCTCACATGGCCAGGTACTCCTCTGAGACAAAACTTCCAGAGGAACAATCAGGCAGCAGCATCTGCGGTTCACCAATATCCGCTGTTCTGCAGCCGCTGCTGCTGATACCCAGGCAAACAGCGTCAGCAGTGCACCTCTAGCAAACTCCAATAGACCTGCAGCTGAGGATCCTGTCTGTTAGAAGGAAAACTAACAAACAGAAAGGACATCCACACCAAAAACCCATCTGTACATCACCATCATCAAAGACAAAAGGGTAGGTAAAACCACAAAGATGGGAAAAAACAGAGCAGAAAAACTGGAAACTCTAAAAATCAGAGTGCCTCTCCTCCTCCAAAGGAACGCAGCTCCTCACCAGCAATGGAACAAAGCTGGACAGAGAATGACTTTGACAAGTGGAGATAAGAATGCTTCAGATGATCAAACTACTCCGAGGTACAGGAGGAAATTCGAACCAATGGCAAAGACGTTAAAAGCTTTGAAAAAAAATTAGACGAATGGCTAACTAGAATAACCAATGCAGAGAAGTCCTTAAAGGACCCAATGGAGCTGAAAACCAAGACACAAGAGCTCCGTGACAAATGCAGAAGCCTCAGTAGCCAATGCAATCAAGTGGAAGAAAGGGTATCAGTGATGGAACACGAAATGAATGAAATGAAGCGAGAAGAGAAGTTTAGAGAAAAAAGAAGAAAAAGAAATGAACAAAGCCTCCAAGAAATATGGGACTATGTGAAAAGACCAAATCTACATCTGATTGGTGTACCTGAAAGTGACGGGGAGAATGGAACCAAGATGGAAAACACTCTGCAGGATATTATCCAGGAGAACTTCCCCAATCTAGCAAGGCAGGCCAACATTCAAATTCAGGAAATACAGAGAATGCCACAAAGATACTCCTCGAGAAGAGCAACTCCAAGACACATAATTGTCAGATTCACCAAAGTTGAAATGAAGGAAAAAATGTTAAGGGCAGCAAGAGAGAAAGGTTGGGTTACCCACAAAGGGAAGCCCATCAGACTAACAGCTGATCTCTTGGCAGAAACGCTATGAGCCAGAAGACAGTGGGGGTCAATATTCAACATTCTTAAAGGAAAGAATTTTCAACCTAGAATCTCATATGCAGCCAAACTAAGCTTCATAAGTGAAGGAGAAATAAAATCCTTTACAGACAAGCAAATGCTGAGAGATTTTGTCACCACCAGGACTGCCCTAAAAGAGGTCCTGAAGGAAGCACTAAACATGGAAAGGAACAACCAGTACCAGCCACTGCAAAAACATGCCAAATTGTAAAGACCATCAAGGCTAGGAAGAAACTGCATCAACTAACGACCAAAATAACCAGCTAACATCATAATGACAGGATCAAATTCACACATAACAATATTAACTTTAAATGTAAATGGGCTAAATGCTCCAATTAAAAGATACAGACTGGCAAATTGGATAAAGAGTCAAGACCCATCAGTGTGCTGTATTCAGGAAACCCATCTCACGTGCAGAGACACACATAGGCTCAAAATAAAGGGATGGAGGAAGATCTACCAAGCAAATGGAAAACAAAAAAAGGCAGGGGTTGCAATCTTTGTCTTTGATAAAACAGACTTTAAACCAACAAAGATCAAAAGAGACAAAGAAGGCCATTACATAACGGTAAAGGGATCAATTCAACAAGAAGAGCTAACTATCCTAAATCTATATGCACCCAAAACAGGAGCACCCAGATTCATAAAGCAAGTCCTTAGAGACTTACAAAGAGACTTAGACTCCCACACAATAATAATGGCAGACTTTAACACCCCACTGTCAACATTAGACAGATCAACGAGACAGAAAGTTAACAGGGATACCCAGGAATTGAACTCAGCTCTGCACCAGGCGGACCTAATAGACATATACAAAACTCTCCACCCCAAATAAACAGAATATACATTCTTTTCAGCACCACACCACACCTACTCCAAAATTGACCACATAGTTGGAAGTAAAGCACTCCTCAGCAAATGTAAAAGAACAGAAATTATAACAAACTGTCTCTCAGACCACAGGGCAATCAAACCAGAACTCAAGATTAAGAAACTCACTCAAAACCGCTCAACTACATGGAAACTGAACAACCTGCTCCTGAATGACTACTGGGTAAATAATGAAATGAAGGCAGAAATAAAGACGTTCTTTGAAACCAACAAGAACAAAGACACAACATACCAGAATCTCTGGGACACATTCAAAGCAGTGTGTAGAGGGAAATTTATAGCACTAAATGCCCACAAGAGAAAGCAGCAAAGATCTAAAATTGACACCCTAACATCACAATTAAAAGAACTATAGAAGCAAGAGCAAACAGATTCAAAAGCTAGCAGAAGGCAAGAAATAACTAAGATCAGAGCAGAACTGAAGGAAATAGAGACACAAAAAAACCCTTCAAAAAATCAATGAATCCAGGAGCTGGTTTTTTTAAAAGATCAGCAAAATTGATAGACCACTAGCAAGACTAATAAAGAAGAAAAGGGAGAAGAATCAAATAGACACAATAAAAAATTATAAAGGGGATATCACCACCAATCCCACAGAAATACAAGCTACCATCAGAGAATACTATAAACACCTCTACGCAAATAAACTAGAAAATCTAGAAGAAATGGATAAATTCCTCAACACATACATCCTCCCAAGACTAAAGCAGGAAGAAGTTGAATCTCTGAATAGATCAATGACAGGCTCTGAAATTGAGGCAATAATCAGTAGATTACCAACCAAAAAAAGTCCAGGACCAGATGGATTCACAGCCAAATTCTACCAGAGGTACAAAGAAGAGCTGGTACCATTCCTTCTGAAACTATTCCAATCAATAGAAAAAGAAGGAATCCTACCTAACTCATTTTTATGAGGCCAGCATCATCCTGATACCAAAGCCTGGCAGAGACACAACAAAAAAAGAGAATTTTAGACCAATACCCTGATGAACATCGATGCAAAAATCCTCAATAAAATACTGGCAAACCGAATCCAGCAGCACATCAGAAAGCTCATCCACCATGATCAGGTGGGCTTCATCCCTGGGATGCAAGGCTGGTTCAACATATGCAAATCAATAAATGTAAACAGAACCAACAACAAAAACCACATGATTATCTCAATAGATGCAGAAAAGGCCTTTGACAAAATTCAACAACCCTTCATGCTAAAAACTCTCAATAAATTAGGTATTCATGGGATGTATCTCAAAATAATAAGAGCTATCTATGACAAACCCACAGCCAATATCATACTGAATGGGCAAAAACTGGAAGCATTCCCTTTGAAAACTGGCACGAGAGAGGGATGCCCTCTCTCACCACTCCTATTCAACATAGTGTTGGAAGTTCTGGACAGGGCAATCAGGCAGGAGAAGGAAATAAATGGCATTCAATTAGGAAAAGAGGAAGTCAAATTATCCCTCTTTGCAGATGACATGATTGTATATCTAGAAAACCCCATCATCTCAGCCCAAAATCTCCTCAACCTGATAAGCAACTTCAGCAAAGTCTCAGGATACAAAATCAATGTACAAAAATCACAAGCATTCTTATACACCAATAACAGACAAACAGAGAGCCAAATCATGAGTAAACTCCCATTCACAGTTGCTTGAAAGAGAATAAAATACCTAGAAATCCAATTTACAAGGGATGTGAAGGGCCTCTACAAGGAGAACTACAAACCACTGCTCAATGAAATAAAAGAGGATACAAACAAATGGAAGAACATTCCATGCTCATGGGTAGGAAGAATCAATATCGTGAAAATGGCCATACTGCCAAAGGTAATTTATAGATTCAATGCCATCCCCATCAAGCTACCAATGACTTTCTTCACAGAATTGGGAAAAACTACTTTAAAGTTCATATGGAACCAAAAAAGAGCCTGCATCACCATGTCAATCCTAAGCCAAAAGAACAAAGCTGGAGGCATCATGCTACCTGACTTCAAACTATACTACAAGGCTACAGTAACCAAAACAGCATGGTACTGGTACCAAAACAGAGATATAGACCAAGGGAACAGAACTGAGCCCTCAGAAATGATGCCACATATCTACAACTATCTGATCTTTGACAAACCTGACAAAAAGAAGAAATGGGGAAAGGATTCCCTATTTAATAAATGGTGCTGGGAAAACTGGCTAGCCATGTGTAGAAAGCTGAAACTGGATCCCTTCCTTACACCTTATATACAAATTAATTCAAGATGGATTAAAGACTTAAATGTTAGACCTAAAACCATAAAAACCCTAGAAGAAAACCTAGGCAATACCATTCAGTACATAGGCATGGGCAAGGACTTCATGTCTAAAACACCAAAAGCAATGGCAACAAAAGCCAAAATTGACAAATGGGATCTAATTAAACTAAGGAGCTTCTGCACAGCAAAAGAAACTGCCATCAGAGTGAAAAAGCAACCTACAGAACGGGAGAAAATTTTTGCAACCTACTCGTCTGACAAAGGGCTAATATCCAGAATCTACAATGAACCCCAACAAATGTACAAGAAAAAAACAAACAACCCCATCAAAAAGTGGGCGAAGGATATGAACAGACACTTCTCAAAAGAAGACATTTATACACCCAAAAAACACATGAAAAAATGCTCATCATCACTGGCCGTCAGAGAAATGCAAATCAAAACCACAATGAGATACCATCTCACACCAGTTAGAATGGCGATCATTAAAAAGTCAGGAAACAACAGTTGCTGGAGAGGATGTGGAGAAATAGGAACACTTTTACACTGTTGGTGGAACTGTAAACTAGTTCAACCATTGTGGAAGTCAGTGTGTTGATTGCTGAGGGATCTAGAACTAGAAATACCATTTGACCCAGCCATCCCATTACTGGGTCTATACCCAAAGGATTATAAATCATGCTGCTATAAAGACACATGCACACCTATGTTTATAGTGGCACTATTCACAATAACAAAGACTTGGAACCAACCTAAATGTCCAACAACGATAGACTGGATTAAGAAAATGTGGCACATATACGCCATGGAATACTATGCAGCCATAAAAAATGGTGAGTTCGTGTGCTTTGTAGGGACATGGATGAAACTGGAAACCATCATTCTCAGCAAACTATCGCAAGGACAAAAAACCAAACACCGCATGTTCTCACGCATAGGTGGGAATTGAACAATGAGAACACATGGACAGAGGAAGAGAAACATCACACACTGGGGACTGTTGTGGGGTGGGGGGAGGGGAGAGGGATAGCATTAGGAGATATACCTAATGCTAAATGACGAGTTAATGGATGCAGCACACCAACATGGCACATGTATACATATGTAACAAACCTGCACATTGTGCACATGTACCCTAAAACTTAAAGTATAATAATAATAAAATTTTAAAAAAAGAAAAAAGAAAAAATATTAGTTATAAAATAAAAGTAGGAAGTAATCAGTTTTCACGAGCATAACCTACACACATATGAATGCTATTGTCTCAGAAAATGAATCACATATCACAACAAGTTAAATGGCATGGAAATGTTATATTCCGTCAAATCTCCACGCCACTCCTAAAACAAATGGAGGCCAGACAGAATAACTGTCTTTCTCAGGATCTGATGACTATTTAATGCAAAGGACACATCTCTCGATTCCACTAATTTATCACTGTCTCATGTCTACATAATGTGTCTTCCAGACCTACATGATTCCTGCTTTCATGCTTCGTGATCTCTCCCTGCACACACCTGGCAAGTGGGTGAGGAGTTCTGAAGAACTTGACATGAGAGTAATAATCACAGCCATTTACAGGAGTGGCTTGCTATGTGAACCTAATTAAATTATAACAAAATCATGTATGCTACTAGGAAATTCTCGGCTGAAAACAAATATAAATTGTATTTATTCACAAAATGATATTACCCTGGTGTACTTATTCTTCATAATTTCTACCATTTTTATATGTTCCCAAGGAAACATTGGCACAAATATTTCTGAACTGCCTATGTGAGCGTTCCAAAGAGGAAATAGGATACCAGAGCTGGATAATAAGTATTTATTCTAATTTAGGATTATTAAAATCCTAGGCACTGGGTTTACTAGCATGTTTTTTCAAATTTCTTTCCATAGATTTGTTTTTTCACTGTGAGATGTGAAAACAGATCTTCCAAGCTCAGATCCAAAATTGTCTACCATGCTCTCCTGCCCAAGTGCTTCTGTGAACATGCTGTTGGAATTCAGAAAGACTGTTTATGAGTCCATTTTTTTACAGAAAAGAAATTTTCTAAGAAGCAGTGGTGGGGGGGTGCAGTCTTTTGCGATTCTCAGCCCTCAGCATGTTAGAAAAGTTCTTTGCGGATGAAATATGATAATGGATTTCTTAATTTAAACATCCTTGGATTTTTAAAATAAACCCTATTTGGTTATTATTTGATTAATACAGTGCTAAATTAAAACTGTAGAGCCTTGGGGGGAAAAGAAAAGCTCTTTTAGAATTGGAAAAGAGATTTCATTTTCAAATTTCCACATTATTTTAAAAATATATCCTTTTGTCATGAGTTCCTAAAGACTACATACATGCAAAGAATATGCAAATTTTAGAACTTTGAGAATTTTTAGCTTGCACCAATTAACTATGTCTAAAAGGCCTCATCTTTGTTATTTAAAAAGCTAACATTTTCTCACTACAAACTGAAGAGAGGTAGCATTTGCTATCAGAATTTACCTCATTATTCTAAGGCCCTAATTTCCCACAAATAAAACCTGTTTAATCCACTTTAGTTCAAATTTGGATACAGCATACTGAGAAAAAAGAACTAAATGATTATCTTCATAAAAGAATAAGCCTATATTATATAACTATTGTCACAAGATAGATCACAAAAAGTTATATTAAGATCTGATTTTACTACATATTAACTAAGTTTAGAGAAAAAAAGCAATATGCTCCTGGGAGCCAGAGAAATTTTCCAGTCTTATGGATTAATCAACTTATTCATTCATTTATCCATTCTTTCATTCTTTTTATTTTATTTTTTATTTTTATGGGTACACAGTAGGTGTATATATTTATGGAACATGAGATGTTTTCATACAGGCATACAATGCATAATAATCACATCATGGAAGATGGGGTATTCATCCCCTCAAGCATTTTTGCTTTGTGTTACAAAAAATTCAACTATGCTCATTTAGTTATTTTTAAACGTAGCATTAAATTATTATTGACTATAGTCACCCTGTTGTGCTATCAAATACTAGATCTTATTCATTTATTCTAACTATTTCTTGGTACCAGTTAACCACCCCCACTTCTCCCTCAACCCCCCACTACCTTTCGCATCCTCTGGTAATGACCTGTCTACTCTCTTACTCTCTATCTCCATGGGTTCAATTGTTTTGATTTTTCGATCCCACAAGTAAGTGGAAACGTGATGTTTGTCTTTCTGTACCTGGCTTATTTCACTTAACATAATGACATCCAATTACATCCATGTGGTTGCAAATGACTGAATCTTGTTCTTTTTATGGCTGAATTGTATTTCATTGTGTATAAGTACCACATTTTCTTTACCATTCATCTGTTGAAGGACATGCAGTTTGCTTCCACATCATAGCTGTTGTAAACAGAGCTGCAACAGCTAATTTCCTTTCTTTGGGGTATATACCCTGCAGTGGGATGGCTGGCTCATATGGTAGCTCTATTTTTAGGTTTTCTGACAAACCTCCAAACTGTTCTCCGTAGTGCTTGTATTAATTTATTAATTTACATTACCACCAACAGTGTACGAGGGTTCTCTTTTGCTTGTGGCTGAGTTGACACTCGAACTACAAGACCCAGTCCTTCTCACTCTTCCCTCCCCTTTCCAAAGGCAGAGGAGCCTCACCCAGTGGATATCACTACCTCAGACCCCTGGGGACTGCTACTAGACTACCTCTGATGTTCCCTTAAGGCTTAAAGGCTCTTCAGTCAGCTTGTAGTGAATATTACCTGGCTAGGACTCACCCTTCAGGGGAGTGAGCTCCTCTCTGGCAATGGGAAGTACCAGAAATGTCATCCACAAGTCAAGTCCTGCAACTGGGGTCCCTAAGAGCCCACTTGGTACTCTATTCCATTGTGGCTGAGCTGATACTTAAAGTGAAAAGCAAAGTTTCCTTTACTTTTCTGTTCACTTTTCTCAAGCAGGAGTCTCACCCTAATCAGCTACAACAATTGGAAATGTGCCGAGTCTCTCCTAAGTCCAGCCAGTCTCAGCATCTCACCTAAGACCTTTGATGTAGTACCTGGATATCCCTGTTGGTTATTCACAGCTCAGGGTCCCTTCAGGCAGCAAGTGATGAATCCTTCCAGGAATGAGTCCTTCTCTTCAAGGCAATGAATTCCCTTCTTGCCTAGGGTGTGTCCAGAAATGTCCAGGAGCTAGGGCCTGAAATGAGGGTCTCACAACTCTGACCGGTGCTCTATTCTGCTGTGGCTGAGCTGGTATCCAAGATGCAAGACAAAGTCTTCCCCACTATTCCATCTCCTCTCCTCAAGCAGAAGGAAGGAGTCTCTTTTACAGCCAGGATTTTTGCAGCCTGGGCTTCGGGGATGGGTGAGGCCAGCACTCCCTTAGCTGCCCCAGCTGGTGTCGCAGTAGGTCGCATGCAACCACAGTCTACTGTCTCTTGGTCCAGTTCAGCCTATGACTCACCTTGGTGTTGCAGTCCTTGAGGCCTAAATTGCGTTTCAAATTTATTTGAAGCCCCAAAGCACTTTTGCCCACAGTGGTGAGGCTTGTAGGAACTCAAGTTCCAACCGCTGGGATCAGCAATTCCCCTCTGGCTCCGGCTGGTTTAAATGCTGTCTTTGCGGGAGGGTGCCAGCTGAGTTTGGTCCGGCTCTGCTTTCAGCTATAACAAGGGCAGCACTGAGTTCAATGCCTCACAGTTGCTGGCTCTCCCTCTCCCCAGGGTGCAGAAAAGCTCTCTGCACCACATTGCCACTGCCAAGGAAGGGGGGAGGGATGGCATAGGCAATTCAAGTCTGTTTTTTCTACTTCTTCGGTGCCTCTTTCAGCGATATGAATTTAAAACCAGGTACTATGAGTGCTCACCTGATTTTTGGTTCTCATGAAAGTGTTTTGTTGTGTGTGGATATTTGTTAAATTGGTGTCCTTGCGGAGGTAGGTTGGGGGATGATCGGTGGGGCCTTCTATTTCTTCACCTTGCTCCAACCCCCTTTCATTCTTTTATTAAAAGTATTAAGTGCTCAGCAGGTAAGATGTAAGCATTAATCTAGGCACTATAGAAACAGTTATAAACAATATGAAGTACTTCCCACACTACTACCACTCCATCTCATGGAGTTTACGTTCTAATAAAGAAGAAAGATAAGTAGATAGACAAATTAATGTGTTAGTAGAGTTCGGTTTTATGAAGAAAATAACAGCACGGCTAGAAAGTGAGTGAGGTGATACTATAGAAAATGTGGCCAGCTGTGGTCTTTCTAAGAAGGCAAGACTTTAACAAAGACTTGGAAGACATAAAGGAATAAGCCACAAAATATCTCAGAGAAGGGTGTTCTGGCTACAAGGAGTGACAAATGCAAAGGTCCTGAAACAAGAACATGAAGGATGTGTTAGATTTTTTTAAAAGGACAATATTTTATGATTTGAGTAATATTTTACCTATAGAATCTTAAATTTTTAACACAGGATTGATGCACTACACACCAGAATATACTAACAGAGCACCTGCTCTGCCAATGCCAGGCTGATTGCTCTGGAGACACAGACTGTTTCAAGAAACTGAGTGAGTAGGCTCTGGAAATTGGAAGTGATCTTAGTATTTAAGTTCAGTCACTCAACTACAATCTCTGAAACTGGGGGAAATATGTTCTGTCTGCATCACGTAATCAAAGTTTAATTTTTTTAAGGAACAATAGGAATGTCACTTGCAAAACAGAAATGGAGGTTTATCTTTCAGAGACTAAAATATTTAAGTAGTCATAAATCAACTGCTTATTTCTCTACTTAGTGATTTACTGCCTTATCAAAGGCATCTCCTTGTTAGCTTTTTATGAGGATTATCGTCTAAAGCCAGCTTCCAAAATTAGAGGCTAATAAATGATTAGTTACATGTCTAGATGTGCCACAGCTGATGTAGGAGTAATAAAAAATCCTCCCCCATTCCCCCATAATTCAGCGGGTGATTAGTCTGTGTCCACTGGCACAATCTTGTAAAGTTCTGGAAATCATTCTGTTAATACGTTCAATACAGACAGCTTGGGGAAAAGCCTCTTCAAAGTGGCTTTTAAGAAATTTAGTAATCTAATTTGGCTGTTAATACTAATCATATTTTGAAGTCTCAAACGTCTGCCTCCTTCTGTCATCTGTTTGTAGACAGAGGCAGATATTGAGGTTTTGATATTTATTTATAATTTTGAAAATCATGGTTTTCTCTAGTGTGCCGTTAGATTTCACCCATCTGGATTCAGATTCCACTAATTTTGGAAGTCCACATAATGCTGACAGTATCATTAAAAAAAGTGATGTCTTTAAGGTAAATCTTTTTTTCTGGAAAATTTTTAAGTACTTTATGCAAAACTATTAGCAAGGGGTGGAGATATTTTATATTGCATTACAGAGCAAAAATGTTTATGTACCTCAGAATTATCCTTTCCAGCCCACTTTAGACATGTTGGTATGTCCTGTGTTGGAAGACATTTAGAAAATAAGTAGGTTAGAGAGACAGACAGACAGACAGACAGACAGACAGAAACTGTTGAACACTCATAGCATGAATACTATAGATCACTAGGACCTCAGGCCTCTTTCTCAAGTTTGCAAGTCTAGAAATTTCATATGTTCAATTTTCTCAGGCTTGATCAGCTTCCTGGAACCTGACTCATTCTAACAATCTCACACAAGAATATTTACAGAAAGTTTACATTTGCAGCCACTTAAAAAATTCATTAGAAGAAATCTCTCAGAGCAAGATCTAAGGCCAATCACCTTCCTTCTCATGGGAGGAAATATTCAGTTGTAATGTTTAGTTGGTAGAGAGAGAATTCAAACCAGAGAAGTTGGTATTCTGTAGCAGATGTCACTATTGATATTAGAAAGAATGGAAAACAGAGCTGCTGCTAAAGTAAGCAAGCTGACAGCTGAGGCAGAAGTGTATCAACAGCAGTATGTTCACGGGATCACCACATTGACGATTCAGCCCAGTTATCTGGCAGTGCATAAACTCAGTGCTGTTGGTACAATCACAGAAGATCAACCAGAGGTAGAATAATTATTGTTAATCTAATTCATATGGGTGTATATGCTGGTTAGTAGTGTTCTTCAAGAAATTTTTCTGGCTTTCCAGTTTCCTGGTACATAGTAGGACTGCATTTCCCTACCTCGCTGATATTAGATGTGAATTCATTGCTTTCGCCAAAAAAAAAAAAAAAAAAAAAAAGTGGATAGAAGTAAAATGTGTCACTTCCAGGCAGAAGCTCTAAGAGGCAGTGTGTTATTTGCTACATCTTTTGTTACGGTTATCATGGAAACACAGGTTGAGATGACTGTAATAAGCAAAGCCCTATGTCAGTCTTTGTTAGACATATATGTGAGAAAGAAATAAGTGATTGTTGGATTAAGCCATTGAGACAGTGAGGTTTTTCCTACTGAAACACAATCCAGTCTATGCTTCCTGTTGTAGTATTCAACCCAATATTTAAAAGTATTTATTTTAAATTGAGGCACCACATTTTTGGAATCAAGATTCACTGACAAGCTAATTAATACATACTTGGAAGTTGACTTGATATTTATATATCTAGAAAAAAAGGGAATTAGAGAGTGTTATAAATGGAAAAGCATGATGAACAATTACTGCAATGTAATAGAGCATTTTCTCTGGCGATTGCATTAGACCTACTTGCCAAGCACCATAGCTCATTCACTGATTCATTTACTTCTTCATTCACTCCACAGATATTTATCAAATGCTGATTATATGACAAGACCTACACTGGATCCTTGGGATACAACCATAAGATAATTGTGACAGTCCCAATCCTTACAAAGGTACCATCTTAGTCTCTTTATTCCTATTTTTTAGATCCTGTGATGATTGCATACTTTCTGCCAATGCATGTTCTTTTTCCATAACTGCTTAGACTACCACTTTTCTTAGTTTTGTTCTTGTTCTAAATATATGTTTTAGATCAATCCCTCTCAAATGATTAGGTTTTCCCCTAATTTATCACAGAATGACACTTTTGTAAAATACCAAAAACAATTACTAGAAAAATATATTGTGCAATTGGATATGAAAGCAATAAGCTATAAGCTATAAAAGCTATAAAAGTTTCTAAATGGTTACTCACGAGTTCTATATTTATTTTTTTCCAGACAGGCAAAAAGTTCATAGACCATCATTTGTCTATGGACCACACTTTGAACACAACTGCTCTGGACAAGCAGGTAGATCTTAAACAAACTATATTTTTTGTTTTCTTTTATGAAACCATCTGCCTCTTAATCACTAAAATTGTGAAGTTTTACACAGTGGATAATTTCTTCAGGGTGGTGTCCCATTGCCCATTCAGCTCACTACATGTATTATTTAGTTAATATTTTTAAATCAATTAATATTTCATATGAATACATTTTTAATATCTACTCCATATAAATGGAAACCAATTTCACTTGCCAGAAATAAAACATAATAAAATGTAACTCTAAAAAGGAGTGTTATGAAGGGAGATGTTGCCTGCCCTGAGAAGAGCTAACATTTCACTAACACCACACTGAAACTTCCTGCTTGACATACTCAGAAAACTGAAAGGGAATTAAAAAGAGAGAATTTTCTCATTATGTGTTTTAATGCCATTTAATGCCTAATTCATGATCCACCTAACATCATTTCAAGGACCAAACAGTAGTCACTCTTTATTTTTTAAAAATAATTTAACTCTCCCATTTTGAAGATTAACTTGAAATTGTCCTCTATGAATACGTCTGTTGACAGTCACAAATCAGTCAGTCATATCATATGGATAACTATAATTGAACAGGGGTGTTAAATACCACCATTTCTTTTCTTAAATCTCTGTCTTATGGACTACTGATGCTGTAGACCACAAACTCGCTTCAGTTTCTGAAAGTAGTATGTTCGCCAGATCTAAATGGTCTCTATGGAATTTTTTTTGAGCCCTAGTACAGCGTCTGGCATATACTAAATACCCAACAAACTTGTATTTCTTCCTTCTTCCATTAACAATCAGCTCCTTTTCCTGATGAGATAGGAAAATATGTATTAATTACTGGAATTCCCTCTTAGGCTCTCTTGTTGTTACAAAGAAAAAGACTGTCAATTTTCACCCACTTCTTTTTTTTACCATTACAAATATTTAATCATAACCCACAATTACAGTATTAGTTATATTACCTAACAGGCCTCAAAAGGTTTGGCTTGGTCTTTGTGTTTTCATAAATGTCCACAACTCTATCCAGCTTACTGCATTGATTTGACATTAGGGAGCAGACTCCAAGGACAGAAGAAGACTCATTTAGCCAGTTGTTTATTCCCCATGAATTGCCTCAGCTAAACACCAGACCAGAGCTTCTGTGTGCACTAGGTCAAGCCATGAATATGCACAGGTCAAATAATTAAACTTGTATAATATTCCCAGAGATGTGAACATGAGAGGAATATTTATCACAATGGAAAGATCCTGCCGCAGATATTTCTTACCTAATGTTGAACTTTTATCAAAGAATTTTTTTTTCAACTAGCTGTTTCAAAAAAAAAAAAAAAGGCTAAACATACAGTGTCTCCTCTCCCCCTTCAGGATACAAACCACAGAATTCCGATGACTCACCCAAAAATAGCTTATGAATATGCCACAGGCGGAAGGGCATGCTGTTTAGTTCTTTAAAACTTCCTGCCAAACTGAAGAAACTGAACATACACAGATATTTGGGGACTAACTCTGAGGAATAATGAGAATTTAATCCCTTGTAGTCTTCAGGGTTAGCAACAGCTTGCCTGACATGTCCGGTTACATCCTGTTTGCTACACATGTGACTCCTCAAAAAAATAATAATATAATATTAATAGCACAATGTTTCATTGTTAAGATTGCTGTCACTGTGCTAATGGCTCCCCAGTATTTGCAGCCATAAGTAGACTAAGTCACTTCTTGGATGAATTCTAAATGAAAGGTTTTATGAAACAAACATATTGCCATTATGACTCTAAAATAAAAAGCCAGGATTCAATGTAAAGAATTTGACGGCAGCATAAGCCCCTAAAAAGGAAAGACAGTAAAGCATAGTGATTGAAATCTTGGCGGTGATTCCCAGTTCTTACACCGATTATGTCACCTTTAGCAGTTACTTGAACTCTCTAAGTTCTAATTTTCCCATATGTAACATAAGGATGATAATAATTCTATCTATGTCTAGGGTTCTTGTGAGGACTAAATAAAGGCATGTAAGCATACAAGGAATACTGCTCAGAAAATAAATTATCCCATGCATTCTCCTTCTCATAAATGAATCTGAAAACCAAAACCATTAGGTGACCTAAGAAAGATCACACACCTCATCAGTGCAGTGCCAAGACGGGTCAGTATAATGCTGTGGTTAAAAACATGGGCTCTGGAACAAGTCCATCCCGAGTTTAAATCTCAGTTTTTCTACTTGCTAGCTGTATAAACTTGGGCAAGTCACTTAACTTTTCTGTCTCTCAATTTTCTCATCTACAAAAGTCAAATAATAATAGTACTTCTCTCACCAGGTTATTATGACAACTTAAAAACGTAATACATGCAACTGCCACATAACAATCAAAAAAATACGATCGATTACACTAACATTGGGAATATCTGGTTCTTCCAAAAGCAAAGGTTAATGTAAAATATATGTCAACAATGCCAGACTTTTTAAACTTTATCTATAAAAACAGCCCTCACTTAAAAATAAACAACTTAAAAATTGGATATAGTTTAATAGTGACCAGAATATTTGCAGATGTCTTCTCAGATGAAGGTACACGTCTTCAATCATGGCTATGTGTCGTATTTTTCTTTTCCTATGAGGGAAAGATAGAAGACAAGCCATTCAAAAACATTTCAAACAACAACCCCAATTGCTGAAAAGTCACTTTGCAGTTTGAAAAGAATACTAACATTCAGCTGCTCTTGACATTTACAAGGAAATGTAAAGCAATGGAAAGGGCACCACACTCCCCTTTCCAGTTCAGGTTCTGCCACTTGGCCAGTCATAATGAAATTACTTGACCTCTGAGTCACCATCTACAAAATAGGGCATTTAACGATGTCTGCCTTATTACAGTTACTACACAGAACAAGTGTGTGCCATGTTTCATGAAATTTAAGATATTGTATTCATGTTGAAGACATAATATTATGCTATTTTAACTAATATATTCAAAACTATTCTGAAACAGTTAAAGGTCAGAAAACTACTTTTGTTCTTTGCTTATTACATATTCACAGGACATAGAGACTCTCATCTTAAGAAATAGTGAAGAAAAGAAACAGGAGAAAATCTTCAAATCCCAGAGGAAAAAAATTGTTTTAAACTTATCACCCTTGACAGGTGATAAAGAGGCATGCAAGACTACACTTTTTTTTTTCTTTTTTTGAGATGGAGTCTCATTTTGTCGCCCAGGCTGGAGTGTAGTGGCACAGTCTAGGCTCACTACAAGCTCCGCCTCCCGGGTTCACACCATTCTCCTGCCTCAGCCTCCCGAGTAGCTGGGACTACAGGTGCCCACCACCATGCCCGGCTAATTTTTTGTATTTTTAGTAGAGACGGGGTTTCACCGTGTTAGCCAGGATGGTTTTGATCTCCTGACCTCGTGACCCACCCACCTTGGCCTACCAAAGTGCTGGGATTACAGGCGTGAGCCACCGCGCCGGCCAAGACTATACATTTTTATATCTCTTGACAAGAATTAACACAGAGTCCCTCACATAGTAAGTGCTTAAGGCATATTTGTTAAAGGAGTAGATGGGACATAAATAAAATTTTAGGAACCAATTTACAATGGACACCACTATAACCCTATTCCAACCCTATTAAGACCTAATTTGAAAGTCACAGATCTAGACCCAGCCATCGATGGCCTAATAGAATTATGTGGCTATAACTGCCAGTACCTCCAAAAAAAGGTTAAAAAGTGGCATAGATAAAAAAGGTCTCCCCATCCCATGATTTTTCTTCCAGGAATAGACTAGACTTTGCCTTTGCATTGTCTGAAATCCTGCAAGTCAGTTGCAATCCCAAATTGTAACCAAATGGTCAACAAACCCTAGAAACCACATTTCCTACCCTCAATAGATAGGATTTCCAAAATGAAAGTGAAAGTATTCAATGGTCTTTGTACTTCATATGTAACATGAAGCACCAGAAGACACAAATGGGAATGTTTAGTGATGTGGGGGTTGGATGGGGGCTTGAATAGATCATGACCCCTCAGGACCCCTCCCACCTTCCAGGAGAGAACTTGCGGACCAGAACCCTGCTTGAAGACTTCAGGGAGCCCCACAATTCAGACTACTCCCTCCTAATCATATCACAACCAAAGATCATATGAAGACTATTCTTCAGAGTTTCATATATCTGCTGGCAGAGCACTTTGGGTGTGTCAGAACCTCACCAGACAGACACTGACTCATTATTGGATGAGAAGCAAAGTGATAATTAGGTTGGTCATATGTAACTTGCCATTGCCAGCCAAGTATTCAAAGCCCTTTCAGAAATTATTCATTAGCTTACTTCCTTGATACCCTGAAATATTCCTAAGACCACAGCCACCACAGACTCCTGCATCCTCTTACCACCATGAGTTTGCTTCTGTCTCCTCTGATGGCTCTCCTAGCATGTTACAGCGACTTCTGTACAAATCTAATGCAGAATCTTGGAGGCTCTTCTTAGTAGACTCTCAGTAAATATTTATTCAATGCAATTCAGTCACATTTAGAGATAGCAGATAGTAAAGATCACTAGATTTCCTAAGTGCATCTGTAAATCTGTTGCCTAGGTCAGAGTGATAGCAAGTTGTTTCCTTACAGAAAAAACAATGTTCTCAAATGCACTGCACTGAGCCTCAACACTGATACTCTATTCACGCATTATAAAAATTTCAACATGTCTGTCACAGCAGCTTAAGGCCTCTAGGCAGAAAATTTGACTCAGTAAACAAAATTCTCAGAAAGTAATAGAAGCTTCACACACATCAAAGAAATAGTAAAACCTATCATTAAATACATACTGAACAAAAACAGCATGAAACTATTTCTTATTTATTGATGTATTCAAACAGCATGTCCTCCCATCTTCCATGGCAGAGTCCATATCTTATGAGTTTGTGTACACCCTATGTCTGCAAAGTGCTAAGAACAAAGATATTTTGGAACTTTTTGTTACAGAAATAAAGAATGAATGAATATACAATAAAGGAAATTTTAAAAGGAAAGGACAAAAAGACACAAACTCCGGGAAATTAATATTTATTTTATGAGCCTAAGCATTTTAGTATTATTTTTGTGTATATTAACATGTTAAATCTAAAAACAAACCCATGAAGCACAATAAATAACATCTAACCCTTGAACTCCAAAGAATTAATTGGGAAAAATATCACACACATTGTTAAAAGAAAAAAGTTCAAGATAAAAATACTGGATTTGTAGCGGGATCAAACAGCTAATTTAGTAAGAATGATATATTCAATACTCCTACAATTTGAGAGGCAAGAGAGACCATGGTGAGCAAGAGTACAAATAAGTAAGTACATAAATTTTAAAAAGCAAATAAACAAGGGTAGGTGAGCATCAAAGAATTGTTGCTCCTTGAATACAGGAAATAGAAACAAGAGCATTTCAGGGACAAACTGGGAAAAGTGTTTGCTAGGTGCATGCATATTAAAGGACTTAATTAATACATGTAATTATCAGGGGTGAGGAGGAGTTAGAACCATAGCTGTTCCTCTCTCTTCCTGGAGAAATAAATTACACCTTAATTGTAAACAATAAATCATCATATCTATTAGTAATTAATAGATACAAATCCAAGCTGGGAGGAAAAGGATGAAAAAAGAGAAAAATGTTGAGGAACAATGAACCTGGTAAGGCTGTTTGTGAATAACTGGAGAAGGTAAGAGAAGGTAAAAGACCCCCTAAAGCTAGGATTTCCAAGAAGCCACACCTTCGAAGGAACATTGATATACTTTCCTGACTCCTCTCTGGGGAGCCATCCCTGCCCACACCAAAGGGAGCAGTTCTCCGGTGGATGCTCCCATGGCTGCATATATATCAGTCATAGCAAGTATTCCATACATTACTAATTTCTTTGCTGTCCCCTGTGAATTTTACCTCTTCCTCGCATAGCATTAGTTTATAGTAGGTATGTTACTTAACAGTTTTTGACTGGAAAAACATCAACTGATAATAGAGACATTGACTGACAGATTTCTCAAGGCAGTTTAGGTGGGATTAAGTTCAGCCACTGGGACATGCTTTTTAAAAAGCTCGAGACCTGCCTGTAAATGTGAGCCTATGCTACAATAGCCCAAACAAGGAAATTCAGTAAGAATAGTCTCCCAACCTGGACAAAGCTAAATACTTATCTATTCTCTGCACCTGTAACCGCTTGACTTATAAATAGTTTGCCCTTTTACTTTGCTTCACAGTCAGCTGCACAGGAGAAGAAATGCCTAGGATCACGTTGTTGTTGTTGTGACTAATCTCTACAAAGAATAGTACAGAAGATGAAAGGGAGCCACCTCCGAAGCTCTCAAAACCAGGAGCGGGGAACCCATCAGACCAATGTGACAAGTTGAAATGCAGGAACTTCATGATGTGATGTGATTTGATTTAAAAACAAAACAAAACAACACTGAAAAGGATTTAGGCAATGTGGGACAGAGACACAGCAAGAAAGAAAAATAATTGACTGGTTCCTGAGTATTGTTTGTCCTTATAAGATAGCTCTTACAATGACATCTTAGTACATATAGATTTTTTTTCTTAGACTAAGGTAAAAACACAATGATCTTCAAAAAAGAGATTCTTAATTAACCAACTCAAATGGCTTGTTAAGCAGCCTCAAAATTTATCATTATGAAGATTATGTGGTAGCGTAAAAATTCACTTATTTGTTGATCAAATGAATACTTACTGACCTTCTCTTGTGAGTCGGCTCTGCTCTAGATGCTGGTTGTATGTGAGAGGGCAAAATAGACAAAACTCTCTGATAGAACAGACCTAACATTCTGGTATAATGTACATGGTATAACGCTGTGTTAAAGCCCAGAATGAAAACCAGGGGAGCAAAAGGCAAAGAACATGAGTTCTTCTGCCAGTGGCCTAGCAGACATTGTTTGAAATCCCACCGTTGCCACTGATTTGCTATATAATGTTGAGCAGTTTAGCTGCTCTTGCTGACTCTCTTTTCAACATTTATAGCTAAAGGGGACATGAGAGATACCTCACAGGATTATTGTAAAGATTAAACAAAATTAAACAAGATAGAATGTCAATCAGAACCAAATCTTACAAATGGTGTTCTAGCTATCCAAAGAATTCCTCCCAGTAGAGAATATAACCAAATTTTTAAAAAGCTGTATAAAGTAATTTTTTATGAACTAATGCAAGCCTGAGTAGGCAGGAAAGTTAGAGAAATTCTCAGAGGCCAAAAACAATGAAAAACAGACATGACTAGAGAGTTAAGCAAGTACTTGGGCCTGCATTTGCCTGGTGAGCATCTGCTGACCCACTATGGGACCCAGGGAGTCAATAAGATGGGAAAAGACACCTAAATCTGGGATTTCTAAAAGGCCACACCTTCAAGGAGACATAAAGATACTTTCTTGATTCATCCTTAGATCTGGGTCAAAAAAAAGGAATCTATCCAGAAAATTACTAACTATAATCCTGCACTCACACACAGATTTAGGACCTTCTGGTCACAATACTTTTGTGGATCTTAAAAACAAAAATAAAGCTGAAATTTTGGTTTAAACAGTTCCTGGGTTGGTAGTGTCTCCAGGCACCTGAAAGAAGTAAATATAAATCCTTTCTAGAGAAAAATCACATAAAATCAGGCCTCAAAGAATTCCCACAGGTAAAGTGGGAATTACCTTATTACATTTGACCATGCAAGGCACATGGTCAAATGTAATACATTTATAAAATGTATAACACAAAATTAATAAAACATGCAATGAAATCAGTCACTATGGATAAAAGTCAGTAGAAATAATACATTTAAATAAATATTCAAATTAATAAATGTGATAAATATTTTTAACAAAATATATAGGTATAAAAGTATATGACAAGAAATTAGATATAAAAATTATCAGTTTAATAAAATTCCTAAAAATGAAATCATTGAAATTAGAAATCACTAAGGTGGTGGGCGACCAACACAGGAGGACATATTTATTTTTGTATACTTGTATCTTTGTTTCATATTTATATATTAAGATACCATAAAATATAATAATTCCTTAGAGCAGAGTTTCCTAAATGGGGTCCATAATCCCTAGAAATCAGGGAATCTGAGAAATAGGAAAAATTTAAATATTGATTTTGACTAACTGGAAGCTGTCATTTCATTTAATTATGAGCATTAAAAAAAACCATAGAAGTAATAACAATAACTTTGACTTTTTCACCAATGTAAATTTAAGATATTTTTATAGCATGTAACTATTGTCACAAAATAATATTGTTTATATTCACCAGTATCATATTACTCATTATAATAGACCTAAAGTTATTTCCCTGTTATTTATTCTGTTAGAGTGTATATATTACCATATTACAGTTTTTTTAAATTTTTTGGTAGCTATATTTCAATTTAATTGACTTCTTTAGTAATTCTGTGTATTTTGTTACATCCATTTACAAATCACTATTTGAAGGCATCCCTAGGCTTCATCTGACAGCCAAAAATAATACTACAGGACAAACTCAGGGATGAATACATATATCAAAACACTGCGCTGTTGCCCATAAGTAGATACAATTATTTGTTTATTTAAAAAAAAAAATTTAAGCTCAGAAAAAATGTTATGACTATCTAAAAATTTAAATCAAATTTAATTTCCCTTTTATTTTTTAATTCTAAGAAAACCCTTAAATACAGCCCATTCAACAAATTTAACCAAGTATATTTTTCTCTTGGCCTTCAGGTTTTATTATAGATGTTTGTCACAAATTCAATAATGAAAGAGGAAAGGAGTAAACAGAGAAAGAAGAAGTGGGAAAGGTGTTCTGCAATTGATCACACTATAAGCTCTTACATCCTGTCTTACCAAAAAGAAAAATAATTACTTGAATGTGTCTACTTTCTTTCAGTTAATTCTAAATTACTCACCTAAGAATTTATACTGGCGGCGAGGCATATTCTCAGCCTAGTAAGGAAGTAAATTACTTATATTTACTACCTGATATTTAAAATATAACTTAATTTTCAGACATATCTACTCAAGAACTTGAGTTTGGGTATTCTAGGATTTGTTTAATAAGGCTCCTTCATTACATCTCATCCTAGATCTCTTTCCAAAATATAGAAGTCAAATTCAAATATGTTCCCTTCATGCTTATATTTTACTCACTTTAACTCCTTCTCTGGACCTTTTCTATGCCATTCTATTCCAGGCCTTGGATTTCTACGTGTTTGTGTCTTAGATCTGTTAAACTCAGCTGACCCACCACACCCAAGCAGAACTTCAAAAGAAGCTGTGAAAAGCGTGCTTGTTCTAGCTGGAAGATCATCCTGAGTCCCTCCCTGTTTATTCTTGAAATGTTTGGGCCTCCTTTCATCTCCAGTTCTCAGATTTGGGCACAATAACCGAGCTCTGATGTCTACATCTAACCCTGTGGATCCCAGGCTGTCAATGAAATGTTTATTTCATGCGGATTCCGTGGCTCTGCTGACTCAGCTTATTTTGCAGTCTCTATTACCCTATTGCGAAATCTCCCTGTCTATGACTAGCCTCGAAATCCCAATTTCCAGAGGACAAGGATCTGGACATCCACTGCCCCTCTTCTTGCAGCACAGCCAGCCCTGGAAGGACCCTCTAACTTTAGCTACACTTGAAACAGAAATTTTACATGACTCACCATATGATAGCATTGATGCTCTCCTGTAATTCAAATTCAACCTTCGTGTTTCACTTTCAAACCTGCTTCATCAAAGTGACATATTCAATAGAACAGAAGAGTGGCCTTTTCTGAGATTTTTATTAGGGGAAAAGGATGTACAGTGAATTACACCTCACACCTCACACCTCAAAGAAAACTTCCAAAATATGTTTTTTACCTATCTTCTTTCCCCAGATTCCCACATCATACAACAGTAGCTTTATCTCTGTCTCTTTCTCTCTCTCTCTCTGTCTTTCTCTCTCTCTGAATCGCTAGCTTATTGTTGCTCTCTAAGTTCCATGAAGCTGTAAAAAAAAAAAGAATAAGATACTTATGAACTAATGTGCAGCAATTTCCCAGACATATTGTTAAATGACCAAAAGCACGGTGCAGAAGAATACATATAGTATGCCACCTTTTGTGTAAAAAAGATTAGGAAGTAAGAAATCAGGCATATCTTTACAAAAAGAAAGAGGAAAAGTGAAAACTATGAAGTTTTCAGGGGAAGCGTATGGAACATATATGCAAAGTGTGACACTTCCCTGACAATTCCTGTTTTTACGGTTTGACATGAAGTTATCTTAATATTCTACATACTGAAAGAATAAACATAATTTGAAAAAGGATAAGAAAGGAAAGAAAATGAAAGCAAACGCAAACATGAACCCAATGTTATTTCTAAAGAAAAATGTAGCATATTACAGGGACGGTGTGGCAATGAAAGGACAACCCTGAGTAGCTTATGATCACAGTATTTGACTATAAACCCTTAGCTTTGGGCAAGTTACATGTACAGGGTAGAGAACACCAGACAAATCCTGAAGGGTTTCAGAGGTATGGGCAAAGCAATTCTGAAATTATTTTAGATCTATTATAAGAGTAAACAAATTAGTAAATGTATCGAAGTTGTTGGGAGCTACTTGTTTTCTTGCTGTGGAAAAGGGGGCTAATAAACATGAAACAGAGAAAGCAAGCACTTAGTGAGGCTGGATCAGAATCAGTGGTATCAGCATGGACTCAAGATTTCTAAATAGATACATATATACACACACACACGTATACATTTATATGCATGTATATATGTGTACATGTATATGTATCTAATTTATGTGTATATAAAAATACATGTAGTAAGTATATATTTAGGTGTTTATATGTCTATATACCTGTATATATTTCTTATCTCAGACCACAAAAAGACCTAGAGGCAGAAATACCACAGTAGCATTGAACACACTTGGTGCCCAGATTTTAGCCCCTAATATCAGTCCCCACTAAAGAGAACAAGGGGTCTCGTTTTCTTGCTGCTGGTATTCACTCAACTGCTCAAACTAAAACTTTGTCATTCGTTTTTAAAAATTAATATTACTATTAATCTTTAAAGATTACTAAGTGTTCTCCAAATTATTTTGCATGGTATACAAGGACCCTCAAACTTTTAAACTTTTAAATCAAATTAAATTTCTAGAGTACTTTAGCAAACGACTTGCTAAAATCTCTAAAGAGCCCTATTTTATAATTCAAACAGGAATAAGCTGTTAATTTGGGCTTATTGGGTTTTACAATACCAAAAATGTCAATATGCTTAGCGACAGACTACTCTATTATATCTATGTCATTGAAGAAACTATTTAGGAAATGATTTTAACTTGCAAATCGAGTAGTCTTTATGAAAAAAATACATCTCTTTTGCTTCAGTTGGCTTTTTCTAGATGAGGTAGAAGTTATTGAGGAAGATCTCTAAGCTATAGGTTAATTCCAAGGTTTATCATTAATGCTTATGCTGACCTTTTTGAGAATAACTAAGTGAATTTTTTTAAAATCCGAGAAAGTTGACCATAAAAGGATTCCAGGTATAAACATTTTTCCATTCCAGGTGACCTCCTGTTTTTCATTCTATTTCATTTGATTTAACTTTTTGGCACAAAACTTACAGGTTCTTTGTCAACAATACTTAACAGACTCAGTAAATTAGTAGATTTTGAAGAGTGGTTTAATCATAAAGGAAAGAAAGTACATGGTCCTAACATCCTCTCTTGTAATGGGGTAGGATCATGGATTTCTTCTTGGGAATCAGGCAGGAGCACTGCAAACTCCCATGGACTAGCAAGTGACTCACCCTAAGGTCACTGAAGAAAGGAGTGGCCAAGGTCCAAGGGTGGGAAAAAAACCTTCTAATTAATTAAACTTATACTTGACCTAGTGTGACTAGCATTGGAGCATTACCTGCTTCAGCGGTTTTACAAGGCTGTTGGGAAGATGGGGCTGTTTTGTTTTTTATTTTGTTTTGTTTGTTTACAACAGTGCCCCCCAAAGTGCCTCTTTATTCCTAAGGACTTTAATCACAATTTGAAAACCACTCATCTATTCAGCCTCTTGGTTTTATTTATTGGGAACTAAGAACCAGATACTGTGGACTTCCAGTATGAGACAAAGGTGTTATTTAAGCAAGTAATGAAACAAAAATACTTGTTGAATACTCTCTTTCAACACTTCAAAGAAGCCAGGAAGGGAGAAGAAAGAGTTTTGGAGGGGAATCACCACCACACCTCTCTGCTGAGTGGGTTGGGGCATTCAACTCTAAAGCAGAGGCAAAGGAGCCCCGGGCAAGCCTGGCCATCCCCCTAGGCTCGATTTGCACCCATAGGAGACTTTAGCCATAGGGGAACTGTCAGTTCTGAATTCTGTAGGGTGGTCTTGTCCATCAGATGGGACCAGTACAACCTGAGCACCCCTTGGTCTGCTAGACTCTCCTGGGGCCACAGCCTGGCCACACATAGTTGCAGGGCAGCCTTTGGTGCCCTGAGGGCCCACACCATAGCTTTTGCAATGGTGGATCACGCCTGACAGATGGAGAGCTCCAGTGGGCAGTGCCTATGGACACACACCAGTCCACACATTCCCTTCCAATACTGCGGCTTCCTCTGGGCCCCTGGCAACTCCTCACATTGTTTTGCTGGCATGTGGCTGCACAGGGCAGGTTTTGCTTTTGTTGCCTCACCAGCATGCAGGAGTGCAGTCAGCCCCTCTGCCGCCTGCTGATTGCTATTGCAGATGGAGCATTGATGGGCACAGAGCAAACCAGCCCTCCCCCTGCAAGCACCCTGCCTTATGCAAACACTATACAGAGAAAAGTGGATCCACCCCTGCCCTGAGGGACCACTCCTGCTTGTAGGGCACAAAGAAGGCACCCAGACCAGTGCCTGCCAACATCTTGCTCCCAAGCCAACACCACCTTGAGTGCGACTGCACAGTCGCAGGCAACACACACCCCTCTAGCTGCATTGCCTCCACCACTGCGATGAATGCTCACAGGGAGGCAGGACCCCCAGCACCCACTAGCACTCTGCCACAGCTGCTGCTACCAATGCTGCTGAAATGCAGACAAGAAGGATCCCACTGTCACTACACCACGAAACATTTTGGCTGACATCACCCATCAGAGTGCAGTAAACAGTGGTCCAGGAGCACCTCAGTGCCCCCAGGATAGCAGATTCCTAATCTCAAGGAGACAGAGAACAAAGTGGGGCCCAACACAAGTCCTCCAAAGTTAGAGAACTAAGCCCAGGAGTTGAGAGCTGAGGACCAAATCTCTAAAATCTTCCAGAAATGAAGCCAGTTAGCTGACTGCACCTTATACCACAATCAAATCCTCAAGGTCATTAAATAGGATAAAAGAAAAAACACTCATCCAAAGGTAAGCATCCTCAAAGACTGAAGGAAGATAAGCCCAGAAGATGAGAAACAATCAGTACAAGAACCCTGATAACGCACAAAGCCAGAGTACCTTTTTACCTCCAAAAACACACATCACCTCTCCAGCAAGGTTCTGAACTGGCTGAGATGGCTGAAATGACAGAAATGTAATTCAGAATATGGATAGAAATGATTGAGCTATAGGAATAAGGTGAAATCTAATGCAAGGAAGCTAAAAAATCATAAACAATGCAGGAACTTACAGACAAAATAGTCAGTATAGAAAAGAACCTAACCAACCTAATAGAGCTAAAAAATACACTGCAAGAAATTTTACAATGCAACCACAACTATTAGTAGCAGATTAGGCCAAGTGGAGGAAAGAATCTCAGAGCTTGAAGACTGTCTTTCTGAAATAAGACTGTAATAAAGAAATAGAGAAAAAAGAATAAAAAGAAATAAACAAAATCCCTGAGAGATGTGGGATTACATAAAGAAGAAATCTATGACTCCTGGGTGTCCCTAAAAGAGATGGGGAGAAGGGAACTATATAATCTATTCTCATGCTGCAAATAAAACATGTCTGAGACTGGGTAATTTATAAAGGGAAGAGGTTTAATGGACTCACAGTTCAGCATGACTGGGAGGATTCACAATCATGGTAGAAGGTAAAGGAAAAGCAAAGGGAAGTCTTACATGGTGGCAGACAAGAGAATATGTTCAGGGAAACTCTCCTTTATAAAATCATCAGATTTCATGAGACTTATTCACTATTGTGAGAACAGTATGGGGGAAACCACTCCCATGATTCAATTATCTCTACCAGGTCCCTCCCATGACATGTGGGGATTATTAAACTTCAAGGTGAGATTTGGGTGGGGAAACAGCCAAACCATATTATTCCACACCTAGCCCCTCCCAAATCTCATGTTCTCACATTTCAAAAACAATCATGCTTTCCCAACAGCTCCCTGAAATCTTAACTCATTTCAGCATTAACTCAAAAGTCCACAGTCCAAATTCTCATCTGACAAGGCAAGTTCTTTCCACCTATGATCCTGCAAAATCAAAAGCAAGTTAGTTACTTCCTAGATACAATGGGGATACAAGCATTGGGTAAATACACCCATTCCAAATGGGAGAAGTCAGCCAAAAGGAGGGGACTACAGGCTTCATGCAAGTCCAAAATCCAGCAGGGCAGCCAAATTTTAAAGTTCTGAAATGATCTCCTTTTACTCCACGTCTCATATCTAGGTCCTGCTGATGCAAGAGGTGAGCTCCCATGCCCTCTTGGGCAGTTCCACCCCTGTGGCTTTGCAGGGTACAGCCCACCTCTCAGCTGCTTTCACAGGCTGGCATTGAGTGTCTGTGGCTTTTCCAGGTACGTGGTGTAAGGTGTTGGTGGATCTACCGTTCTGGGGTCTGGAGGACGGTGGCCCTTTTCTCACAACTCCACTAGGCAGTGTCCCAGTGGGGAATCTGTGTAGGGGTGCCAGCTCCACATTTCCCTTCCACACTGTCCTAGCAGAGGTTCTCCATGAGGGCCCAACCCCTGCAGCAAACTTCTGCCTGTTCATCCAGACGTTTCCATACTGCCTCTGGAACCTGTGTGTTCCAGGTCCATACATCCTCTGAAATCTACGTGGAGGTTCCCAAATCTCAGTTCTTGACTTCTGTGCGCCCACAGCCCAATACCAAATGAAGGCCACCAAGGCTTGGGTCATGCACCCTTTCTGAATCAATGGCCTGAGTTCTAGCCATGGCTAGGGCACAGGGCACCAAGTCATGAGAATGCACAATGTAGCAAGGTCCTGGGCCCAGCCCACAAGACCACTTTTTTCTCCTAGGCCTCCAGGCCTGTGATGGGAGGGGCTTCTGGAAGACCTCTGGCAGGCCCTAGAGACATTTTCCCTATTGTCTTGGTGATTAACATTTGGCTTCTCATTACTTATGCAAACTTCTGAAGCCAGCTTGAATTTATCCTCAGCAACCGGGTTTTTCTTTTCTATTGCATCATCAGGCTGTACATTTTCTGAATTTTCGTGCTCTGCTTCCCTTTTAAACATGTTTCAGTTCCAAAGCATAAATCTGCGAATACATAAAACTCAATGCATTTAACAGCACCGAAGTCACCTCTTGAATGCTTTGCTGCTTAGAAAATTCTTCTACCAGATACCCTAAATCATTTCTCTCAAGTTCAAAGTTCCACAAATCTCTAAGGCAGGGGCAAAATGCCAGTCTCTTTGCTAAAACATAGCAAGAGTCACTTTTATTCCAGTTTCCAACAAGGTCTTCATCTCCATGTGAGACCACCTCAACCTGAACTTTATTGTCCATGTATCAATGTCAGCATTTTGGTCAAAGCCATTCATCAAGTCTCTAGGAAGATCCAAACTTTCCCTTCAAACTTCTTCCTGTCCTCTTCTGAGCCCTCCAAACTGACCCAACCTCTGCCTGTTTCTCAGTTCCAAAGTCATTTCCACATTTTTGGGTATCTTTACAGCAGCACCCCACTCTACCAGTACCGATTTACTGTATTAGTCAGTTCTCATGCTGTATAAGACATACTTCAGACAGAGGAATTTATAGAGAAAAAGAGGCTAAATAGACTCACAGTTCCACATGGCTGGGGAGGCCTCACAGTCATGGCAGAAGGCAAAGGAGAAGCGAAAGCTTGTCTTAAATGGTGGCAGGCAACAGAGGGTGTACAGGGGAATTCCCTTTTATAAAACCATCAGATCTTATGAGACTTATTTACTACCATGAGAACAATAGGAGGGAAACTGCCCCCCTAATGCAATTTCCTCCACCTGGCCCCACCCTTGACACATGGGAATTATTACAATTCAAGGTGAGATTTGGGTGGGGACACAACCAAACTATATCAGGAACGAATCATGGAAAGAATATTTCAGGACATTATACATAATTTCTCCAACCTTGCTAGAGAGGCCAACATTCAAATTCAGGAAATGCAGAGAACCCCATTGACAAAGAGACATATACTCCCACATAATAATAGTAAGAGACTTTAACACTGTACTGACATTATTAGATAGATTATCCAGACAAAAAAATTAACAAAAATATTCAGGACATGAACTCAGCACTAGATCAAATAGACCTGATACACATCTGGAGTACTCTCCACCCAAAAACAATAGATTATAAGTTTTTCTTATTGTCACATGGTACAGACTCTAAAATCAATCACATAATTGCACATAAAACACTCCTGAGCAAATGCAAACTACTAAAATCATTTACAAAGTCTCTCAGACCATAGCATAATCAAATTAAAAATCAAGACTAAGAAATTCACTCAAAACAATACAATTACATGGAAATTAAATAATATGCTCCTGAATGCCTGTTGGGTACATAATGAAATTAAGGCAGAAATGAAGAAGTTCTTTGTAAGTAATGAGAACAAAGATAAAACATACCAGAATAACTGGGACATAGCTAAGAGAGTGTAAGTGGGAAATTATAGTGCTACATCCCTACATCAAAAAGTTAGAAAGACCTTAAGTTAACAACCTAATATCACAACTAAAAGAATCTCAAATCTAGCTGAAGATAAGAAAAAAAAACAAAATTAGGGATAAACTGAAGGAGACTGAAACAAGAAAAACTATTCAAAACATCAACAAAACTTTAAAAAATAATAATAAAATAGACCACTAGCTAGACTAATATGGAAGAAAAGAGAGAAGGTTCAAATAAACACAATCAGAAATAACAAGGGAGATATTACCATTGACCCCACAGAAATACAAATAATCATCAGAGAATATTATCAACATGTATATGCATGTAAACTAGAAAATCTAGAAGAAATGCATAAATATCTTGACATATACACCCTCCAAAGACTCAACCAAGGAGAAATTAAATTCCTGAACAGACAAATAATGATCTCTGAAATTGAGTAGTAATAAATAGCCTACCAACCAACAAAAGCTCGGGAAAAGCCAGATACACAGCTGAATTCTACCTGTTGTACAAAGAAGAGCTGGTACCATTCCTACTGAAACTATTCCAAAGAATTAATGAGGAAGGTCTCCTCCCTAACTCGTTCAATGAGGCCAGCATCTTCCTGATGCCAAAATGTAGCAGAGACACAATGAAAAAAGAAAATGTCAAGCCAATGTCTATGATGACTATTGATGTGAAAATCCCCAGCAATATACTAGCAAACCTAATTCAGCAGCACATCAAAAAGCTTATCCACTACAACCAAGTAGACTTTTTCTCTGGTGTGCAAGCTTCATTCAACATATGCAAATCAATAAATTTGTCTCATTACATAAACAGAACTAAAGACAAAAACCACATGATTCTCTCAATAGATGCAGAAAAGACTTTCAATAAAATTCAATACCTCTTCATGTTAAAACTCTCAATAAACTAGGTATTGAAGGAACATACCTCAAAATGATAAGAGCCATCTATGACAAACCATGACCAACATCACACTAAGTGGGCAAAAGCTGGAAGTATCCCTCATGAAAACCAGCACAAGAAAAGGATGCCCTCTCTCACCACTTCTATTTAATATAGCATTGGAAGTCCTGGTCAGGGCAATCAGGGAAAGTAAAAAGATAAAGGCATTGAAATAGGAACAGAGGAATTCAAACTGTCCCTGTTTGCAGATAATATAATCCTATATCTAGAAAACACCATAACCTCAACCCAAAAGCTCCTTAAGTTGATAAACTTCAACAAAGTCTCAGGATACAAAAATCAATTTGTCTTCTGAGATAGAAAAATGTTAGTAATGCAAAAATCACAAACATTCCTATACACCAACAACAGTCATGCTGAGGGCCAGATCAGGAACGCAATCTCATTCACAATTGCAACAACAAAAAATTAAATATCTAGGAGTATAGCTAACCACAGAAGTGAATGATTTCTACAAGAAGAAGTAAAAAACACTGCTCAAAGAAATCAAAGATGACACAAACAAATGGAAAAACATTCCTTGCTCGTGAAGAGAATCAATATTGTGAAAATGGCCATACTGCCCAAAGCGATTTATAGATGCAATGCTATTACCATCAAAATGCTATTGACATTCTTCACAGAATTAGAAAAAAAACTATTTTAAAACTCATATGGAACCAAAAAAGAGCCCAAATAGCTAAGGCAGTCCTAAGCAAAAAAAACAAAACTGGAGACATCATGCTACATGGCTTCAACTATGCTACAGGGCTACAGTAACCAAAACAGCAGCATGATACTGGTACTAGAACAGATGCAGAGACCAAGGAACATAATAGAGAACCCAGAAATAAGACTGCAAGCCTACAACTATCTAATCTTCAATAAACCTAGCGAAAACAAGCAATTGGGAAAGGATTTCCTATTCAATAATGGTGCTGGGATAACTGGCTAGCCATATACAGAAAATTAAAACTAGACCCCTTCCTTATATCATACACAAAAATCAACTCAAGTTGGATTACAGACTTAAAATGCAAAACCCAAAAATAATCAAAACCCTAGAATAAAACCTAGGCAATACCAAACAGGATATAGGAATGGGGAAAGATTTCATACGAAGATGCTAAAAGCAATTGCAACAAAAGCAAAAGTTAACATATGGGATCTAATTAAGCTAAATAGTTTCTACACAAGGAAGAAACCATCAACAGAGTGAACAAACAACCTATAGAATGGGAGAATATTTTTGCAAACTACATACCTGAAAAAGGTCTAATATCCAGCATCTATAAGGAACTTAAACAAATTTACAAGAAAAAAATAACCTCATTAAAAAGTGGGCAAAGGACAAGAACAGACACTTCCCAAAAGACATACGTGAGGCCAACAATCATAGGAAAAAAAACTCAACATCACTCATTATTAGAAAAATTCAAATAAAAATCACAATAAGATATCATCTCACACCAGTCAGAATGGCTATTAAAAAGTCAAAAAACAACAGACGCTGGTAAGGCTGCAGAGAAAAAGGACACTTATACAAAGTTGGTGGGAATGTAAATAGTTCAACCATTGAGGAAGACAATGTGGTGATTCCTCAAAGACCTGGAGGCTGAAATACCATTTGTCTCACCTATCCCATTACTAGGTATATACCCAAATGAATATAAACCATTCTATTATAAAGACACATGTATGCATATGTTCACTGCAGCACTATTCACAATAGAAAAGACAGGAATCAATCTAAATGCCCATCAATGGTAGACTTGATAAAGAAAATATGACACAGATACACCATGAAATACTATGCAGCCATAAAAAGGAATGAGATCATGTCATTTCCAGGGACATGGATGGAGCTGGAGGTCATTATCCTTAGTGAACTAATACAGGAAAAGAAAACAAAATACCACATGTTCTCACTTATAAGTGGGAGCTGAATGATGAGAACACATGGACACATACAGGGAAACAACACCTACTGGGGCCTCTCAGAGGATGGAGATTGTGAGGAGGGAGAGGATCAGGAAAAATAATTACTGGGTATGGGGCTTAATACCTGGGAGATGAAATAATCTGTACAACAAACCCACATGGCACAAGTTTATTTATATAACAAACCTGCATTTATCTATATAATAACCTACCCCTGAACTTAAAAGAACAGTTAAATTAAAAATCAAAAAAAAAAACTTTCCCAGGCATATCTATGACTCATTAATCATTCATGTCATACAAGAAGTTTTTATTGGCTGCCACATTCAAAATACTATAGGAGATACAAAAGAAGTCTACACAAGGCATCTTCTAACAATCTACTGAAGAAAGAGTATGTTTTCGTACTATCTTCATAACCCATTTATGTGCAAATCATTGCAGTGTTATATGCCAAAGTGAACATAAACGTTTATATGTAATAAAGTTGCTATTAAAAAATAGTAGGGAAAGAAAATATTATTCATTACACAACATGGAAATAAAATAACTGGAAAATGTTTTCAGTGCCTCCCCTCATACGATCTTTCCAGAAGGAATAAAAATTTAAGTACTTTTTAAATCATAAATCAACATGAAGCAAATTTAAGTATATGTTTATTGTCTTAAAATGAGAAGGACTTTCTTTTTTTTTTTTTTTGAGACGGAGTTTCACTCTGTCGCCCAGGCTGGAGTGCAGTGGCGCAATCTCGGCTCACTGCAAGCTCTGCCTCCTGGGTTCATGCCATTTTCCTGCCTCAGCCTCCCGAGTAGCTGGGACTACAGGTGCCCACCACCATGCCCAGCTAATTTTTTTTGTATTTTTCAGTAGAGACTGGGTTTCACCATGTTAGCCAGGATGGTTTTGATCTCCTGACCTCGTGATCCACCTGCCTCGGCCTCCCAAAGTGCTGGGATTACAGGTGTGAGCCACCGCACCCGGCCTAAATGAGAAGGACGTTCTAAGTATAATCTTTGAAAGTAATAATAATAAAAACCACTGTAAAAACTCTTCAGGAAAAAATAAAATTAAAAGAAAAGGCTGGAAAAATAATTGACAGAAGATACTGTATTTGTATCTTTACTACAGACAAAGACTTTACAAATCCATAAAATGAGTCCTAAAATAGAAAGCTAGGCAAACATTATGAATAAATAGGCAAACAATTATGATTACAGATAGAAAATTTACTTTTTTTTTTTTTGAGACAGAGTCGCACTCTGTCACCCAGGCTAGAGCGCAGTGGTGCAATCTCGGCTCACTACAACCTCCACCTCCTGGGTTCAAGTGGTTCTCCTGTCTCAGCCTCCCAAGTAGCTGGGATTACAGGGGCATTCCATCATGCCTGGCTAATTTTTGTATTTTTAATAGAGACAGGGTTTCATCATATTGGCCAGGCTGGTCTTGAATTCCTGACCTCAAGTGATCTGCACCCCTAGGCCTCCCAAAGTGCTGAGATTACAGATGCGAGCCACTGCACCTGGGCAAGATACAAACATTTTTAAAAGAATTTTTTAAAAAACATCAAAAAAGAATTAATTCTCACAAAAAATTAAAGAAAATAAAAACATGTAATATTTCATACAACAATTAATCAAAAAGTAACATGTTAATATTTTATACTCATGCAGTTGAATTAAAATGGGTAGTCATTTTCTGGAAACGGAATTAGAAGAAAATTTCTGGGGGATAATCAGGCTATAGATACTAAAAATCTTAAAAGTATGTATACTCTAATATAGGAATCCCATTTTAGATAATTATGCTATTGAATAATCATAGATTAACACAAAGATATGTGAATACGTTAATCGCTGTCACCAATGACTTGGAAAATGCATAAAATAAATTGTAAATTGAAATGAGTGGGTTACAAAGAAATCCTTTTTTGGAATATAAATCATTCTATTATAAAGATACATGCATGTGTATGTTCATTGCAGCACTATCCACAATAGCAGAAACATGGAATCAAACAAAACGCCCATCAGTGATAGACTGGATAAAGAAAATGTGGTACATATACACCATGGAATACTATGCAGCCATCAAAAGAAATGAGATCATGTCCTTTGCAGGAACATGGATGGAGCTGGAAGCCATTATACTCAGCATACTAACACAGGAACAAAAACCAAACACTGCATGTTCTCACTTATAAGTGGGAGTGAAACAATGTGAACACAAAAGCCCAGGGAGAGGAACAACACAACTGGGATTGGGGAGGTGGGCATAGGGAGGGAGGGCATCAGGAAAATTAACTAATGTGTGCTGGGCTTTGAACTTAGATGATGGGTTGATATGTGCCGCAGTTTTTTTTTATTTCAAATTTTTATTTTAAGTTCCAGGTTACATGGGCAGGATGTGCATGTTTGTTACATAGGTAAATGTGTCCTATTGTGGTTTGCTGCACAGATCATCCCAACACCCAGGTATTAAGCCCAGCATCCATTAGCTCTGCATCCTGATGCTCTCCCTCCTCCCACCTCAGTGTGTGTTGTTCATCCCGATGTGTCTATGTGTTCTCATCATTCAGCTCCCATTTATAAGTGAGAACACGTGGCATTTGGTATTTCTGTTCCTCTGTTAGTTCTCTAAGGATAATGGCCTCCAGCTCCATCCATGTCCCTAAAAATGACATGATCTCATTCCTTTATATGGTGGCATAGTATTCCATGGTGTATATGTATATATGTACTACATTCTCTTTATTGAGTCTATCACAGATGGGCATTTAGATTGATTCCATGTCTTTGCTATTGTGAATAGAGCTGCAATGAACATATGTGTGCATGTATCTTTAGAATAGAATGATTTATATTCCCTTGCATACATACTCAGTAATGGGATTGCTGGATCAAATGGTATTTGGTATTTGTGCCTCTAGGTCTTTGAGGAATCGCCAGACTGTCTTCCACAATGGTTGAACTAATTTATACTCTCACCAACAGTGTAAAAGCATTTTTTTCTCCAGAATGTCACAAGCATCTTCTTGACTTTTTAATAATAGCCATTCTGACAGGTGTGAGATAGTATCTCATTGTGGTTTTGATTTGCATTTCTTTAATGATTAGTGATGTTGAGCTTTTTTCATATGTTTGTTGGCCACATGTGTGTCTTCTTTTGAAAAGTGTCCGTTCATGTCCTTTGCCCACTTTTTAATGGGGTTGTTTCTTTTTTCCTTGTAAATTTGTTTAAGTTCTTTATAGGTGCTGAATATTAAACTTTGTCAGTTTCATAGATTGCAAAAATGTCCTCCCATTCTGTAGGTTGTCTGTTTACTCAGTTGATAGTTTCTTTCGCTGTGCAGAAGCCTTTTAGTTTAATTAGATCTCATTTGTCAATTTTTGCTTTTGTTGCATTTGCTTTTGGCATCTTTGTCGTGAACTCTTTGCCCATTCCTATGTCCTGTTTGTTGTTGTCTACGTTTTCTTCTAGGGTTTTGATAGGTTTGGGTTTTACATTTGAGTATTCCATCCATCTTCAGTTGATTTTTGTTGATGGTATAAGAAAGTATACCATCTGTATATGGCTAGCCAGTTATCCCAGCACCATTTGTTGAACAGGAAATCTTGTCCCCATTGTTTGTTTTTGACAGCTTTGTCAAAGATCAGACGGTTATAGGTGTACAGTCTTATTTCTGGGTTCTCTATTATGTTCCTTTGTCTATGTATCTGTTCTTGGACCAGTACCATGCTGTTTTGGTTACTGTAGCCCTGTAATACAGTTTAAAGTAAGGTAGTGTGATGACTCTAGCTTTATGTATTTATTTATTTATTTATTTATTTATTTATTTATTTATTTTTTGCTTAGGATTGCTTTGGCTATTTGGGCTCTTTTTTGGTTCCATATGAATTTGTTAAAGAGTTTTTTTCTAATTCTATGAAGAATGTCAGTGGCATTTTAATGGGAATAGCATTGAATCTATACATTGCTTTGGGCAGTATAGCCATGCTCACGATAGTGATTCTTCCTATCCACAAGCATGGAATGGTTTTTCATTTGTTTGTGTCATCTCTGATTTCTTTGAGCAGTGGTTTGTAGTTTTCCTTGAAGAGGCCCTTCACTTCCCTTGTTAGCTGTATTCCTAGGTATTTTACTCTTTTGTGGCAATTGTAAATGGGAGTTCATTCACAATTTTGCTCTCAGCTTGACTGTTGTTTGTGTATAGGAATGCTAGCAATTTTTTCACATTGGTTTTGTATCCTGAGACTTTGCTGAAGTTGCTTATCAGCATAAGGAACTTTTTGGCTGAGACTATGGGGTTTTCTATATATAGAATCATGTCATCTGAAATCAGAGATAGTTTTACTTTCTCTCTTCCTATTTGAATACCTTTATTTATTTCTCTTGCATAATTGCCCTGGCCAGAACTTCTAATGATGTATTGAATAGGAGTGGTGAAAGAGGGCAACCTTGTCTTGTGCTAATTTTCAGAGTAATGCTTCCAGCTTTTGCTCATTCAGTATTGGCAAAATTGATATTGTCTGTGGGTTTTCCATATTTGGTTCCTAATATTTTGAGGTATGTTCCTTCAATACCTAGTTTATTGAGAGCTTTTAACAGGTAGGGATGTTGAATTTTATTGAAGCCCTTTGCTATATCTATTGAGATAACTATGTGGTTTTGTCTTTACTTCTGTTTATGTGATGAATCACATTTATTGATTTGTGTATGTTGAACCAGGCTTGCATCCCAGGATGAAGCCAACTTGATTGTGATGGATAAGCTTTTTGATGCTCTGCTGGATTTGGTTTGCCAGTATTTTGTTGAGGATTTGTGTATCAAATTTTATCAAGGATATTGGCCTAAAGTTTTTTTCTTGTTGTTATATCTGTGCCAGGTTTTGGTATCAGGATGATGCTGGCCTCATAGACTGAGTTAGGGAGGAGTCCCTCCTTTTCAATTTTCTAGAAATTTTCAGTAGAAATGGTACCAGGGCTTCTTTGTACCTCTTGTAGAATTCAGCTGTAAATCTGTCTGGTCCTGGGCTTTTTTTGGTTGGTAGACTATTTATTACTGCCTCAATTTCAGAACTCATTATTGGTCTTTCGGGGATTCAGTTGCTTCCTGATGCAGTCTTGGGAGGGTATACGTGTCCAGGAATTGATACATTTCTTCTAGATTTTCTAGTTTATGTTATTAGAGGTGTTTACAGTGTTCTTTGATGGTGCTTGTATTTTTGTGGTGTCAGTGGTGATATCTCCCTTATTGTTTCCAATTGTGTTTATTTGAATCTTCTCTCTTTTCTTATTAGTCTAGCTAGCAGTCTATTTTATTAATTTTGTCAAAACACTAGCTCCTCGATTTGCTGATTTTGTGAAGGGTTTTTCATGTCTCTACCTCCTTCAGTTTAGCTCTGATCATGGTTATTTATTGTCTTCTGCTAGCTTTTGGGTTTGTTTACTCTCGGTTCTCTAGTTATTTTAGTTGTGATGTTAGGTTCGTAACTTGAGATCTTTCTAGCATTTTGATGTGGGCATTTACTGCTATATATTTCCCTCTTACATTGCCTTAGCTGTGTCCCAGAGATTCTGGTACATTGTATCTTTGTTCTCATTACTTTCAAATAACTTCTTGATTTCTGGCTTAATTTAATTATTTACCCAAAAGTAATTCAGGAGCAGGTTGTCCATGTAGTTGTTTGTTTTTGAGTAAATTTCTTAATCTTGAGTTCTAATTTGATTGTACTGTGGTCTGAAATATTGTTTGGTATGATTTCAGTTCTTTTGCACTTGCTAGGAGTGTTTTACTTCCAATTATGTGATCAGTTTTGCAGTAAATATCGTGTGGTATTGAGAAAAATGCATATTCTCTCATTTTTGGTTGAAGAATTCTGTTGGTATCTATAAGGTCCACTTGATCTTGAGCAGAGTTTAGGTCTAAAATAGCTTCATTAATTTTCTCTCATGATGATCTGTCTAATATTGTCAATGAGATGTTAAAGTCTTCTACTATTACTGTGCAGGAGTCTATGTCTCTTTGAAGATCTCTAAGAACTTGCTTTATGAATCTGGGAGCTCCTGTGTTGGCTGCACATATATTTAGCATAGTTAGATATTTTTGTTGAATTCAATCCTTTATCATTATGTAATGTCCTTCTTTGTGTTTTTTTTAAACTCTGTTTGTTTAAAATATGTTTTGTCAGAAACTAGGATTGCAACTCCTGCTTTTTTCTGTTTTCCATTTGCTTGGTAAATTTTCCTTCATTTCTTTATTTTTGAGCCTATGTTGCTCATTTACATTTAAAGTTAGTATTGTTATGTGTGGATTTGATCCTGTCATAATGATGACAGCTCCTTATTTTGCAGAGTTGTTTGTGTGTTTTTTTCATAGTGTCACTGGTTTGTGTATTTCAGTGTGTCTTTGTACTTGCTGGTAATGGTTTTTCCTTTCCATATTTAGTGCTTCCTTCAGGAACTCTTGTAAGGCAGGTCTGGTGGTAACTAATTCCCTCGGCATTTGCTTGTCCGAAAAGGATCTTATTTCTTTTTTGCTTATGAAGCTTAGTTTGGCCAGATATAAAATTCTGGGATGGAATTTCTTTTCTTTAAAAATGTTTAACATTGGCCCCCAAACTCTTCTGGTTTGTAGGATTTACACTGAGAGGTTCACTGTTAGTCTGATGGGCTTCTCTTTGTAAGTGACCTGGCCTTTCTCTCTTCTGGCCCTTAACAATTTTCTTTCATTTCAACTTTGGAGAATCGGATGATTGTGTGTCTTGTGGATAATCTTCTCATAGAGTATTTTATTGGAATTCTCTGAATTTTCTGAATTTGAATGTTGGCCTGTCTTGCTAGGATGAGCAAGTTTTCCTGGATGATATCCTGAAGTATATTTTCCAAATTGGCTCCATTCTCCCTGTCTCTTTCGGGTACCCTGATGATTCGTAGATTTGGTCTCTTTACACAATCCCATATTTCTTGGGGGTTTTGTTTATTCCTTTTTATTATTTTTTCTCTCTTCTTGTCTGCCTGTCTTATTTTAAAAAGGTAGTCTTCAAATTCTGAGATTCTTGCCTCCACTTGGTCTATTCTGCTATTAATACTTGTGACTGCATTGTGGGGTTCTTATAGTATGTTTTTCAGCTCTATTAGATCAATTATGTTCCTCTCCATACTGGTTACTTTTTTTTGTTACCTCTTGCATTGTTTTATTATGATTCTTAGTTTCTTTGCATTGAGTAACAACATACTCCTTTAGCTCAGTGAGGTCCCTTTTTATTCATATTCTGAAGCCTACTTCTGTCATTCCAGCCATCTCAGCCTCAGCCCAGTCCTGAGCACTTGCTGGAGAGGTGTTACAGTTATTTGAAGAAAAGGGGACACTCTGGCTTTTTGAGATTTTAGCATTTCTGTGCTCATTCTTTCTCATCTTTATGGGCTTATCTACCCTGAAGCTTTTAGATTGCTGACCTTTGGATGGGCTTTTTGTCGTTTGTTATTGTTGTTCTTGTTGGTGTTGGTGGTGGTGGTGGTAGTGGTGGAGGTGGAGGTGGTTTGTTTGTTTCTCTTTTGACAGTCTGGCCACTTTTCTATAGGGCTGCTGTAGTTTGCTTAGGGTCCACTCCTGACCCTAATTGCCTCAGCTTTTCCCATACCTGGAGGTATCACCAGTGAAGGCAGCAAAACAGCAAAGATGCCAACCTGCCCCTTCCTCTGAAAGTTCCATCCCAGGGGGTTACTGACATGTTGCCAGCCTAAACACACCTGTAGGAGGTGTCTGGTGTGACCCCAGTTGGGTGGTCTTACCCAGTCAGGAGGAACGAGATCAGGGATCTGCTTAAAGCAGCAGTCTGGCTGCTTTTTAATAGAGCAGCTGTGTGGTGTTAGGGATCCCTTCAGCCACCAGTTGGTTTGGGCTCACCAAGGCACACAGGCTGGACTGGCTGAAGCAGACAAACAACCAAGGTGGCGGCGTGCCCTGCCCCCCAAGCATTCCAACCCAAGGAGAAATTAAAACTCTGCAGGCTATACAACACGAGCAGGTGTGGCCAAAGGCTCTAAGAGGATCTTCCCCTGGAGGAAGAGTGAATCAGGGTCCCACTTAAGGACGCAGTCTGTCCTTGACAAAACAGTTGTTGTTCCCGGGAGCTGCCCCTGCCTCTGTTGGCTTGGACTCTCTGAAGCCTGCAGGCTGAGTTGTCCAAACAACCAAGGTGGCGGCCCTTTCCCCATGGAGAGGGCCATGGGCAGCACTCTGTCCCATTGAGAGATCAGAGCTCTGTCTGTAGAATATATGTGGGCAGGGGTAGCTGGAGGCCTCAGCTGGGAGGTCCCGCCCAGTGAGGAGGAATGCATCTGGGTCCCACTTAAAATAGCAGTCTGGCCACATTCTGGCAAAGCAGCTATGTTATGTTGGGGGGACCCTTCCTCGTCTGAAAAGTTTGGACTCTCCGAAGCCTGCAGACTGGAATGGCTGAGTTAACCAAACAGCAGAGATAGTGGCCTGCCTCTCTTTCCAGGGGCTGCCTCTCATCTCAGGCAGGCCCTACCCTGCTGCTAGTGGCTGGCTGGAATTCCAAGCCAGTGGGTCTTATTTTGTGAGGTGCCATGGAAGTGGGGCCTGCACGCTGATGCTATTTGGCTCCCTGGGTTCAGCCCCCTTCCTAGGGTTATGTACAGACATCCTGCCTTGTCTGAGTTGCAGACACCTTTGCTGGGGATCCTGGGGCCGGAGTATGTAAAGCTCCTGGGTCTCTGTGCATACCTGAGCAGCTGCTCTGCTGAGACTCCATACAGCTCTGTCTGTTGGAATCAAGGCCCTAGTGGCATGGGCTCAGGCGGGGATCTCCTGAACCACGAGTTGCAAAGATCCATGGGAGAAGCATGGTTACCTGGGATCACACATTCACTCACTGCTTCCCTTGGCTGGGAGTGGGGGTTCCCTTGGCTCCGTGTCACTCCTGGGTGGGCTGTCACCCTGCCCTGCTTTTTTCATGGGGTCGAGTTGTTTCTCTAGTCAGTCCCAATGCAAGTACTTGGATATTTCAGTTGAAGGTGGTATATTTTTTCACCCCTTTCATTCCTCTCTGTGAGTGCCATGGACCACAGCTGCTTCTAGGTCCGGCATCTTGGCCTCCTCGGAAATCCTAGTTTTATGCACATTACACACACTTGCATATATCATATGTATATATCCACAAAGAAGACTGTGGGAAATATCCCAGGATGTTGAGTGCTTACCACTGGGTGATGAAATTATGATTTATTTCCCAAGATTCTTAGATTTTTTTTAGGAAATCAAAGTTTTACTAAAAACTAAAAAGCTAAAACTTTTAAATTGACTTTCTAAAGAATGTAATTTAAGACCAAAGATTTTTGCAGCTTAATACCAAGGACAATAATTATTTTTGCTACAATAATCACAAGCCTATCATTATCCTCATTATCATTTTCATCATATTACCATTAGTATAAATGTTTCTTCAAATGTCTTTTATGATTTCCAATCATTCACATTGACTTTGCTTAATTCTAATAAATGGGATATATGGTTAAAAATATGTGAGACGATCCAGTAAATTTAAATATGGATTAAATATTAGATTAGATTAAAATATTGTTAATTTTGTAAGTTATGGTGATAACAGTTCATACATAAAATATGTTCTTTCAGTTAGAAATGCACAGTGAAGTATTTATGGGTGAAATTATGCAGTGTTTAGAGTCTGCCTAAATACTTCAAAAAAAAAGTGGGAAACTAAATGAAATAAGATTGTCAAAATGCTGATAATTCTTGCAGCTGATTGAGAATGTCCATGATAATTTAACATATTTTTTCTCTATAATATAACTATAAATTTAACTATAATCTATAAATCTAAATTTATAATTTTTCTCTATAACCTAATCTAAATGTACAGATTTTTTTCTGAAAAATCTAACATATTTTTGGTACATGTTAGATTTTCACAATAAAATTTTTAAAATGTCAAAGGAATAATTTTAGTATTTACTAATAAATATATTTAATAAATACAAAAACATTGTTCTAAAGAATTCAGACAGAATTATATCTTCAAAGGGAGGAAAATTTTTCTCACTACTCATATTGTTAAACTGCAAAATATCACTGGCTTTTGAGTTATCTCCCTTCCTCTGGACCCCGCACACATTCTCTTCCTTTTTTATTAACATTAGATGTGACTACATGAATTCTAGAAATAGGTTAACAGCTGTGATTAAAATCAAGATTTTTAAAAATCTCAACAAATTTTAATGCTTTTTATCACATTTTAAAGGAAGCACTTTGTTCTTGTTAAACAAGTCAATGCATCCATCAGTGATAAATGGGAACAAAAAATTTTTTTTATTATACTTTAAGTTCTAGGGTACATGTGCACAACGTGCAGGTCTGTTACATATGTATACATATGCCATGTTGGTGTGCTGCACCCATTAACTCATCATTTACATTAGGTATATCTCCTAATGCTATCCCTCCCCGCTCAACCCACCCCACAACAGGCCCCGGAATGTGATGTTCCCCTTCCTGTGTCCAAGTGTTCTCATTGTTCAGTTCCTACCTATGAGTGAGAACATGCAGTGTTTGGTTTTTTGTCCTTGCAATAGTTTGCTGAGAATGATGGTTTCCAGCTTCATTCATGGCCCTACAAAGGACATGAACTCATCCTTTTTTATGGCTGCATAGTATTCCATGCTGTATATGTGCCACATTTTCTTAATCCACTCTATCATTGATGGACATTTGGGTTGGTTCCAAGTCTTTGCTATTGGGAATAGTGCCGCAATAAACATAACGTGTGCATGTGTCTTTAAAGCAGCATGATTTATAATCCTTTGGGTATAGACCCAGTAATGGGATGGCTGGGTCAAATGGTATTTCTAGTTCTAGATCTTTGAGGAATCGCCACACTGTCTTCCACAATGGTTGAACTAGTTTACAGTCCCACCAACAGTGTAAAAGTGTTCCTATTTCTCCACATCCTCTCCAGCACCTGTTGTTTCCTGAGTTTTTAATGATTGCCATTCTAACTGGTGTGAGATGGTATCTCATTGTAATTTTGATTTGCATTTCTCTGATGGCCAGTGATGATGAACATTTTTTCATGTGTCTTTTGGCTGCATAAATGTCTTCTTCTGAGAAGTGTCTGTTCATATCCTTCACCCACTTTTTGATGGGGTTGTTTGTTTTTATCTTGTAAATTCGTTTGAGTTCATTGTAGATTCTGGATATTAGCCCTTTGTCAGATGAGTAGATAGCAAAAATTTTCCCCCATTCCATAGATTGCCTGTTCACTCTGATAGTAGTTTCTTTTGCTATGCAGAAGCTCTTTAGTTTAATGAGATCCCATTTGTCAATTTTGGCTTTTGTTGCCGTTGCTTTTGGTGTTTTAGACATGGAATCCTTGCCCGTGCCTATGTCCTGAATGGTATTGCCTAGGTTTTCTTCCAGGGTTTTTATGGTTTTAGGTCTAACATTTAAGTCTTTAATCCATCTTGAATTAATTTTTGTAAAGGTGTAAGGAAGGGATCCAGTTTCAGCTTTCTACATATGGCTAGCCAGTTTTCCCAGCACCATTTATTAAATAGGGAATCCTTTCCCCATTTCTTGTTTTTGTCAGGTTTGTCAAAGATCAGATGGATGTAGATGTGTGATATTATTTCTGAGGACTCTGTTCTGTTCCATTGATCTATATGTCTGTTTTGGTACCAGTACCATGCTGTTTTGGTGACTGTAGCCTTGTAGCATACTTTGAAGTCAGGTAGCATGATGCCTCCAGCTTTGTTCTTTTGGCTTAGGATTGACTTGGCGATGCAGGCTCTTTTTTGGTTCCATATGAACTTTAAAGTAGTTTTTTCCAAATCTGTGAGGAAAGTCATTGGTAGCTTGATGGGGATGGCATTGAATCTATAAATTACCTTGGGCAGTATGGCCATTTTCACGATATTGATTCTTCCTACCCATGAGCATGGAGTGTTCTTCCATTTGTTTGTGTCCTCTTTTATTTCGTTGAGCAGTGGTTTGTAGTTCTCCTTGAAGAGGTCCTTCACATCCCTTATAAGTTGGATTCCTAGGTATTTTATTCTCTTTGAAGCAATTGTGAATGGGATTTCACTCATGATTTGGCTCTCTATGTGACTGTTATTGGTGTATAAGAATGTTTGTGATTTTTGCACACTGATTTTGTGTCCTGAGACTTTGCTGAAGTTGCTTATCAGCTTAAGGAGGTTTTGGGCTGAGACGATGGGACTTTCCAGATATACAATCATGTCATCTGCAAACAGGGACAATTTGATTTCCTCTTTTCCTATTTGAATACCCTTTATTTCTTTCTTTCTCTTGCCTGATTGCCCTGTCCAGAACTTCCAACACTATGTTGAATAGGAGTGGTGAGAGAGGGCATTCCTGTCGTATGCCAGGTTTCAAAGGGAATGCTTCCAGTTTTTTCCCATTCAGTATGATATTGGCTGTGGGTTTGTCATAAATAGCTCTTATTATTTTGAGATACATCCCATCAATACCTAATTTATTGAGAGTTTTTAGCATAAAGGGCTATTGAATTTTGTCAAAGGCCTTTTCTGCATCTCTTGAGATAATCATGTGGTTTTTGTCTTTGGTTCTGTTTATATGCTGGATTATGTTTATTGATTTGCATATGTTGAATCAGCCTTGCATCCCATGGATGAAGCCCACTTGATTATGGTGGATGAGCTTTTTGATGTGCTGCTGGATTCGGTTTGCCAGTATTTTATTGAGGATTTTTGCATCGATGTTCATCAGGGATATTGGTGTAAAATTCTCTTTTTTTGTTGTGTCTCTGCCAGGCTTTGGTTATCCGGATGATTCTGGCCTCATAAAATGAGTTAGGGAGGATTCCCTCTTTTTCTATTGATTGGAATAGTTTCAGAAGGAATGGTACCAGCTCTTCCTTGTACCTCTGGTAGAATTCGGCTGTGAATCCATCTGGTCCTGGACTTTTTTTGGTTGGTAAGCTATTAATTATTGCCTCAATTTCAGAGCCTGTTATTGGTCAATTCAGAAATTCAACTTCTTCCTGGTTTAGTGTTGGTAAGGGGTATGTGTCCAGGAATTTATCCATTTCTTCTAGATTTTCTAGTTTATTTGCATAGAGGTGTTTATAGTATTCTCTGATAGTAGTTTGTATTTCTGTGGGATCAGTGGTGATATCCCCTTTATCATTTTTTATTGAGTCTATTTTATTCTTCTCTCTTTTCTTCTTTATTAGTCTTGCTAGCAGTCTATCAATTTTGTTGATCTTTTTAAAAAACCAGCTCCTGCATTCATTGATTTTTTTGAAGGGTTTTTTATGTCTCTATCTCCTTCAGTTCTGCTCTGATCTTAGTTATTTCTTGCCTTCTGCTAGCTTTTGAATGTGTTTGCTGTTGCTTCTCTAGTTCTTTTAATTGTGACGTTAGGGTGTCCATTTTAGATCTTTCCTGCTTTCTCTTGTGGGCATTTAGTGCTATAAATTTCCCTCTACACACTGCTTTGAATGTGTCCCAGAGATTCTGGTATGTTGTGTCTTTGTTCTCATTGGTTTCAAAGAACATCTTTATTTCTGCCTTCATTTCGTTATGTACCCAGTAGTCATTCAGGAGCAGGTTGTTCAGTTTCCATGTAGTTGAATTTCTTAATCCTGAGTTCTAGTTTGATTGCACTGTGGTCTGAGAGTTTGTTATAATTTCTGTTCTTTTACATTTGCTTTACTTCCCAACTATGTGGTCAATTTTGGAATAAGTGTGATCTGGTGCTGAGAAGAACGTATATTCTGTTGAATTAGAGTGGATAGTTCTGTAGATGTCTATTAGGTCTGCATGGTACAGAGCTGAGTTCAATTCCTGGATATCTTGTTAACTTTCTGCCTTGTTGATCTAATATTTGACAATGGGGTGTTAAAGTCTCCCATTATTATTGTGTGGGAGTCTAAGTCTCTTTGTAGGTCTCTAAGGACTTGCTTTATGAATCTGGGTGCTCCTGTATTGGGTGCATATAGATTTAGGATAGTTAGCTCTTCTTGTTGAATTGATCCCTTTACCATTATGTAATGGCCTTCTTTGTCTCTTTGGATCTTTGTTGGTTTAAACTCTGTTTTATGAGAGACTAAGATTGCAACCCCTGCCTTTTTTTGTTTTCCATTTGCCTGGTAGATCTTCCTCCATCCCTTTATTTTGAGCCTATGTGTGTCTCTGCATGTGTGATGTGTCTCCTGAATACAGCACACTGACTGGTCTTGACTCTATCGAATTTGCCAGTCTGTGTCTTTTAATTGGAGCATTTAGCCCATTTACATTTAAAGTTAATATTGTTATGTGTGAATTTGATCCTGTCATTATGATGTTAGCTGGTTATTTTGCTCATTAGTTGATGCAGTTCCTTCCTAGCATTGAAGGTCTTTACAATTTGGCATGTTTTTGCAGTGGCTGGTACCGGTTGTTCCTTTCCATGTTTAGTGCTTCCTTTAGGAGCTCTTGTAGGGCAGGTCTGGTGGTGACAAAATCTCTCAGCATTTGCTTGCCTGTAAAGGATTTTATTTCTCCTTCACTTACGAACCTTAGTTTGGCTGGATATGAAATTCTGGGTTGAAAATTGTTTTCTTTAAGAATGTTGAATATTGGCCCCCACTCTCTTCTGGCTTGTAGAGTTTCTGCTGAGAGATGTGCTGTTAGTCTGATGGGCTCCCCTTTGTGGGTAACCCAACCTTTCTCTCTGGCTGCCCTTAACATTTTTTCCTTCATTTCAACTTTGGTGAATCTGACAATTATGTGTCTTGGAGTTGCTCTTCTCAAGGAGTATCTTTATGGCATTCTCTGTATTTCCTGAATTTGAATGTTGGCCTGCCTTGCTAGGTTGGGGAAGTTCTCCTGGATAATATCCTGCAGAGTGTTTTCCGACTTGGTTCCATTCTCCCTATCACTTTCAGGTACACCAATCAGTTGTAGATTTGGTCTTTTCACATAGTTCCATATTTCTTGGAGGCTTTGTTCGTTTCTTTTTACTCTGTTTTCTCTAAACTTCTCTTCTCGCTTCATTTCATTCATTTGATCTTCAATCACTGATACCCTTTCTTCCAGTTGATTGAATCAGCTACTGAAGCTTGTGCATTCGTCACATATTTCTCGTGCCATGGTTTTCAGCTCCATCAGGTCCTTTAAGGACTTCTCTACACTGGTTATTCTAGTTAGTCATTCGTCTAATCTTTTTTCAAGATTTTTAGCTTCTTTGCAATGGGTTTGAACTTCCTCCTTTAGCTCGGAGAAGTTTGATTATCTGAAGCCTACTTCTCTCAACTTGTCAAAGTCATTCTCCATCCAGCTTTGTTCCATTGCTGGTGAGGAGCTACGTTCCTTTGGAGGGGGAGAGGCGCTCTGATTTGGAGAATTTTCAGCTTTTCTGCTCTGTTTTTTCCCCATCTTTGTGGTTTTACCTACCTTTGGTCTTTGATGATGGTGACGTACAGATGGGGTTTTGGTGTGGATGTCCTTTCTGTTTGTTAGTTTTCCTTCTAACAGTCAGGACCCTCAGCTGCAGGTCTGTTGGAGTTTGCTGGAGGTCCACTCCAGACCCTGTTTGCCTGGGTATCAGCAGCGGAGGCTGCAGAACAGCGAATATTGCTGAACAGCAAATGTTGCTGCCTGGTCATTTCTCCGGAAGTTCCATCTCAGAGGGGTACCCGGCCGTGTGAGGTGTCAGTCTGCCCCTACTGGGGGGTGCCTCCCAGTTAGGCAACTCGGGGTCAGGGACCCACATGAGGAGGCAGTCTGTCCTTTCTCAGATCTCCAGCTGCATGCTGGGAGAACCACTACTCTCTTCAAAGCTGTCAGACAGGGACATTTAAGTCTGCAGAGGTTTCTGCTGCCTTTTGTTTGGCTATGCCCTGCCCCCAGAGGTGGACTCTACAGAGGCAGGCAGGCCTCCTTGAGCTGCGGTGGGCTTCCCCCAGTTCAAGCTTCCTGGCTGCTTTGTTTACCTACTCAAGCCTCAGCAATGGCGGGCGCCCCTCCCCTAGCCTCACTGCCACCTTGCAGTTCGATCTCAGACTGCTGTGCTAGCAATGAGTGAAGCTCCATGGGCGTGGGACCCTCCAAGCTACACGCAGGATATAATCTCCTGGTGTGCCGTTTGCTAAGACCACTGGAAAAGCACAGTATTAGGGTGGGAGTGACCCAATTTTCCAGGTGCCATCTGTCACAGCTTTGCTTGGCTAGGAAAGGGAATTCCCTGACCCCTTGTGCTTCCCTGGTGAGGCGATGCCTCACCCTGCTTCGGCTCACACTCGGTGCACTGCACCCACTGTCCTGCACCCACTGTTTGACAAGCCCCAGTGAGATGAACCCATACCTCAGTTGTAAATGCAGAAATCAATTATTTGTATAACTTGTGTCAACATCAATCTACAAAAACTTGCCATCTAAAATATTGCTCCTACCATTGATACATCCTGTAACATGTTCCTCATCATAGTTGGGGACAGAGGTGGAGAAGACAATTATGATGGGATACGATGATACTTCTCTTGTTTAATTTCAATTTTGGTCTCTTATTCTGCTATATATTTGAGTAGACAGTAGTACATAAATATCTTATTATAGAAGATGAAGCCTCTTGTTTATGAGAATTTCTCATGCCTTCCAAACTGATATGAGTCTTCTGCTTACATATAGCAAGACTTGCCTCAGGAATTAATGTGTCCTGCCTCAGAGTATTAAGCTGCTTGGTCTGCTTTAGCAGTGGACTTGCCATGCATGATCTGCACACATAAAGAGAGTTAGGCCATCAGGTGTGTGCTGTCACATCCTCATGTTCTTTACTCAGCTCTGAACTCTTAACTCTGACCCAGTCTCCAGTATCCTTGCCAGTATCACCACAAGTGTTGTTTATAAGTTCTTTCCCTGATGTGTAAACCTTAGATTTACTCCAATAGACCATGATTTATCATGCTTTCAGTTATTCCTACTGCCTTAACCTTGGTTCCATTGAATTCCTCACATCTCTCCTTCCCCAGCCTTTCTAGCCTTCCTACTCTACCCCCTCCTCAGACTCCCCATTCACAAATAGATAGAGCTCCACATTGGTATCTGATGCTACTAAAGCTGTAGTTCTTCTGCCTCATCCACCCACTCTAAACATGTGATTCTCACAACAATGTCCCTTTGACCAAAGTGTATAAAATACATGCTTACAAAATGTATTTTCTGCGGTGTTTTTACCATTACCTTGGCCAGAAGAAAAGGATGTGGGTTTCATTTACAGTTGTGAGGATAATGAACTACCTTTAGAATGTGGTGCATTTCAAAAGTATGACTTCCCTCTCAAACTATCAGTACAGGCATTACTTCCTGGCAGCAAGGAAAATGAGCAAAACTCACACCTGAAGCTAAAACCGAAAGCTTCATTTGAGTCAATAATAATCACATCTCACACCAGAAAAGTTTGCTAGATTTAAAAGAAACAAAACCTTTAAATTGAATTCTACTTCTCTTCCACACTTTGCATTTAAACATTGTAAAATGTAAAATATTTTGTTTTCAACTACTAACCTATCTCATGAAACCTTTTCTTGTGACTGTTAACTATTCAACAAAAAATTGCTAGGCATCAATTATGTTCAAAATGCTGGAAATATAACTGTCCTAATAATCATAGCTAGCAATTACTGAGCACTTACTCTGCACTAAGCACTATTATCATATATTATTTATTTATGCCTCACAACAACACTGTGAGAAAGAACTGCTATTATTTCCACTGCTATACTGAAAATTCCCTCTAAACTTATAGGACTATATATATACATATACACACACACACACACACATACACACATATATATACACACACACATAAATATACACACATATATATACCACACACATATATATAAGAATGTCTGAATATATATAAATTCTAAAATATTATAAAAATGAGTTAAATTTTTTAAGCTGACAAATGACATGTGAAACACAATAAGCAAATATGTAATCCCAGGGGCAAATATGCAAAGAGCAATTTCCACTTACTAAGAGTTTGAATTTATGAATGGCCTTTGTCATTGACGTTCTACTACAGATGTTTTATTGTTTGTTAGCATTTTTCCCAGTAGTTGGGAAGGTATAGGGATAGAGGGAATGAGGAGACCATAATGGAATTTAATGTTTTTTGGCTGCTAGATGTTCTGGTGAAAATTTTGCTAAAGTATGCTATAACTAGAAATGACTAGTTCAATCAAGATTTTAAATTCACCGTAATTCGAAAGAATTCACCAGTCTTATAAATCAAATATGGTAACATGTGAAGTAGAAAGCATCCACATTTTTGACCACCTACAAAGGTTAAGGGCTGTCTGTATATTTTCCAATTTAATCATCAACTATATGTCATAGGTATTCATACTCCCATTTTATGGACAATGAAACTAAGATTCACAGAGGTAAGGGAAGTGATGTCTTCAAAATAACAAAGTTGTGATGTCAGATGGCAGGGAATCCCCAAGAAAAGTCTGAGTTTTGAAGTCAGATAGATGTGTGTTCAAATTAAGCCTCTGACACATTCCTGGTAGATAAACTTGAACCATTTCCTTAACCTATCTGAACTACTGTTTCCTTAACTATAAAATTGAGATAATTATCCATAGATTTATTGTAATAGTTAAATGAGATAGAATATGTACAATTGACTCTCAAAAATAATCATTCTAATTCCCACCCAATAAGATTAATATAAGAGTAAATCCAAATCTGCCTCAATTGGGCCAAGAATCTTCCTCAAATGGCAATCGCTATACTCTAGAGGCAAAATGTAGACAATGGAAGAAAAATGAATGCAATTTTCATGAGGACAGGATGAAGGTATAGGCGGAAAAAGGAGAATTAGAGAGAGCTTTGCTATTGAATCTCCGATCATATCAGGGATTCTTTGTTTTAAAATAATGTAAACTAAAATTTTTAAGGAATTTATGGAAAGATATGGGATGAAGTAGCTTGTTCACAAAATCAAAGTAAACTTTAACAACTAGGTTTCATGCAGGACTAGGAAGTACCGGTTGTCAAGGCAGGTTGGATAATCTCTTTAGGATGTGACCATGGGAATTAAGCCTCCAACCACTCTCACTTCTTAAGTCACTGACTAAGACTCAAGTTGGTGGAAGAGATGTAGGTTAGCCTCTCTTGGGTCAAATATCTGTCCCTTGGTTAAAGGAATACAGTCAACCTTGAATGACAGCCTGGTATACTTCAAATGACAGATCATAATTGGAAAGGTATGATTCACAAAGGAAAATTGGGGTCCTGGTAGAGAAGATGCAAGGAACGCTGAGCAGGCAAAAATAATAGGGCCTATGACAAAGCATTTGTGGGTGGTGCAAGAAAAGCTAGAAGAGGAAGCATAATTCTGTGCAAAACCCTTTTATATCATTGTTTAAAATATACTACAAGTGTTCCTTTTCCTGGGTCCCCCATGAGACTGTAAACTCCTAGAGGGCAGAGGACTGCTTTAAATATTTCTTTTTTTATTATTTTTTATTTTTGAGATGAAGTCTCACTTTGTCGCCCAGGCTGGAGTGCAGTGGCGTGATCTCGGCTCACTGCAACCTCTGCCTCCCGGGTTCAAACGGTTCTCCTGCTTCAGCCTCCCGAGTGGCTGGGATTACAGGCATGTGCCACCACGCCCAGCTACTTTCTTATATTTTTAGTAGAGACAGGGTTTCACCATGTTGACCAGGCTGGTCTCTAATTCCTGACCTCAGTGATCCACCTGCCTCGGCCTCCCAAAGTGCTGGGATTACAGGCATCAGCCACCGTGCCTGACCTAAATATTTCTACATCAGTGCCTGGCCTATGGGAGGCCCTCAGCAAATCTTAGACCCACAGAAACTTCCATTTCACTGCACAAGAGTGTCACAATGGAACCATTATTTAAGTTAGGTCCCATAAACAAAGAAAAAACATTCATTTACACAAATCCTGCATATGGATGAGTAATGTTCAAGATGAGATAATGAATAGAATTAGTTAGAAGTTCAGTTTTCAGTCTCAACAATTTGTAAGTAATATAGATGAGAGAGAAAAATGATTTTAAACATCTAATAAACAATAGTAGCAACATTTATTGTATACTTTGATACACACAACATAAATGCATTACTTGCTAGCTGATTTCAAAAGAAAGTTAAAATGTCATTTTTTTAATGACAGAAAGGATGATGCTACCTCTTCATATTCATCCATGACATAGCAATGACATAATTTACCCACCACTACATCTCAACTGCCTGTAAGTCTGAGTTGTTTTCTCACAGGAGCATTTGCACATATTCATTTACCCATAACCTCTTGCTACGTTCCCTTAGTGGCTAAGGATATATTTCAGAGGGGTGGAAACATAGGCTAAAACCTTGGAATGTAACCTAAAGCATAGGCCTTGAAACCAAATGGCTCATGTCAGACTCAAACTCATGTTTATTAGCACTGGACACTATCAATTGATAATACACCATTTGCTCTTGATGCTATTTATTTTATTGAAACTTGATCTGAATGAATTTGAGTCAGAGTTTAAATTAAAATTTATGGAAAATCATTAGAAATCGTTATGATTATTTTTGTTTCAAATAATGCATCACAAAGTGACCTTTAACTGTCTTATAATTAAATAATGAGCCAGCTGGGGCAACATAACAAGACCCCACCTCCAAACAAATTTTAAAATTTAGCTGGGCATGGTGGCAAACACTTGTAGTCCCAGCTACTTGGAAGGCTGAGGTGGGAGGATCGCTTGAGCCCAGGAGTTCAAGCCCAGCCTGGGCAACATAGTGAGACTCCACCTTTACAAAAAATAAAAAATATAGCTGGATATGATGGCACACAGCTGTAGTCCCAGCAACTCAGGAGGGTGAGGTGAGAGGATCATTTGAGCCAAGGAGTTGGAGGCTACAGTGAGCTATGATCATTTCACTATACTCCAGCCCAGACAATAGAACAAGATCTTGTCTCTTTAAAAGAAAAAAAAAAGTAATAAGTAAATAAATACCATTTTTTTCTAAGAAACTAGTTTTTTTCTTGTCAATCTTAGGTGATATTTAATAAGCTTGGGGCTGTATATATATTAGGTTTCTCTGTTGTTTGGTATATTTATCACCAACCATGGTATATTTATCACCAACCATGGTATATTTATCACCATGACTCCACAATGTACAGGGAAAGACTTCTAAAACTAGAAAGTAAGAAGGAAACGCTCCCTTTTCTGTCCTCAAACAAAATTGTTAACGACCTTCCAAAATTCATTCCAATATTCTTTTTCATCTTCTTTAAACATGGTCATATGGGTTTTGTAAATATTGCCTTCTAAGAAGAAAAGATTGTTCACTAGCAATGAAGGCATTCATTTTTTAATTAGCAAATTAATAAAAACATCAATTAGTAAGTTTCTTTAATGTCAATAATGAAGTTAGGGGACATCAGCCCTTATCACTGACTTATCACACAATAAAAAGGTTGCGTGATAATAGGACAAAAAGGGTTGTGTTCAAATAATCATGCTTATCACCTTAGACTTCCAAGGGGCTATAAAGTGCTCTAGCTATCTTATGCCTCCCCTTCCAAGTGTGAAGCTGATAAGAAGAGCGGTCCTCTCTCTTACTGATTGCAGGCCTAAAACAAAAACAGTCAATTGCCTTTCCTGGCTAACAAAGTCACCTCTAAACTGAGGGTGATATCATAAATTCTTTATTATCTGGAATGGTTAATTTTCTGTGTCAATCTGGCTAGTTGACGGTGCCAAGTGTTTTGTCAAACACCAGGCTAGATGTTGCTGTGATGCTATTTTTTAGATACAATTAACATTTAATTAGTAGACTTTGAGTAAAGCAGGTTGCCTTCCATAATGTGGGTGGGCCTCATCCAATCAGTGGGAGGCTGTAACAGCACAGACTGAGGTTTCCTGAACAGGGAGAAATTCACCTTAAGATTGCAACACAAAAACCCTGGCTGAGTCTCCAGCCTCTTGCCCTGTGGAATTCAGGCTCAATACTACAATATCAACTGTTATCTGAATTTCCAGGCTTCAATCACATAAGCCAATTCATGTATATTCACACACTATTTTAGGGTTTCCAAAGTTTTGGTGAATGAAAAACAAATGACTCTTTTTTAAATTTAAAATAGTTCAAGCAGATGATGTTTCCAATTTCACATTTTATACATCTATAAATAGCACCACATTTTTCTCTCACTTCCTCCTTTGAAATACACAAATGGCTTCCCAACCCTCCAAATCGCTACTGTGGCCTAACTAGGCCCTGTGTGATCTGCCCCAGATAGAAAGTTCAACTAACAGTACCACTATCAACAGACATTTGCACAAATGACTTTCTCCTGCTGGGTATGAACAATCAGTAGAACAAACAGCACCTCAGTCTGTGCCCTTGTGAGCACAGAATTAAAACAGCTGGACATGCATGCTCTTAATCAATCGTTTCCATAGAGTAGAGTATCTGAATGAATTGTCCTTTTCCTAGATAGTTATTTCTATGCAGTCAACTGGGGCCTGTCCTCAGAATCAAATTACCTTGAATTCTGAGAACTTCTGGCTGCCTGATGAAAAGGCTTTATTTATCGGCATTCACTTTTCCAGACTCCATTTCTATAACTGGATCTGTTTCAACCACATGACATTATCATATGAGTGTTAAACTATGACTGTTCTGTTTTTCTAAGGCACACACCCTGATCACTTTGGGGGAACTTGAGAAACACCTTGGTGCCTATGACTAATTAGGATGGCCATCTTGGTCTCATCAGCAGCACATTTTGAAAATTTACTTTATGGTATCATTTTAACTTACTGCCCTAGAGGGTATATTATATCCACTTTTGATCTATTTATTTATTTCACTGTGAGCAGGAAACGTTTTCTGATACAGTCCCTATATTTGGAAAGTAATGCTTCCATTAGGACCTCATGCTCCTCATATACTAACTAAGCATTATTTTCCTTGAATCCATGTGGATTGTCCCTATCTCTGAGCCATCCAGCAGCCTCTCCTAAACTCATCTAATAATCCTTCTATTGTAAACACATTTGGAAGAGGTTAGGTCATCCCATTCCCACCCATTACCAGGAACAGTGCCATGTTTACCTTTTGAGCAATATACTAGTAAAATTTCACATGACAGAAGCAAAAATCTGTAGAAATTAACCAAAAAGAAAGATTAGTCAGAAAATAAATGTCTGGAAAGTTGCAACTGCACCTAAGTTATCAGGGAGACTGTAATACCATATTTCAGGACCTCAACTCACACATGCAGGCACCCACAGACACTTAGGCACACACATGACCACTACAACGACAACAAGAAAAGGGGACAAACTTCACATAATCCTAATCACTTAATAATGCAGGAGAAAACATTTATCTAATTTATCAAAATCTAAATTTGTGGCTATAAGAATTAAATACATCAACAGAAAGAAGAAGGTTTATATAGGACCCAGAAAAAGAGAAGTAAAAAACAAGAAGTGGTCAGAGTACATCTCCTACATCATCCAAGGAGGGGGTGCCTTGAACCTTGAGCTTGGAAATGTTTTTCCACTAGGCAGATAAAAAAGATAATAGTTTATACTCTTATAGTTCCTATTTTATGCCAGGAAAAAGTTTTAATACTATACATTCACTAACTCATTTAATATGCATAACAGTCTATAAGTAGGCACTATTAGTATCCCAATTTTCAGATTTAAAAGCTGAGTCACAAAGAGTTTACTTATATCACTTGCCCAAATCCAAGAGTAGAGCTGGATTTGAATCTAGGCAGTCTGATGCCAGAATTGGCTCTCTAACATTAGAATATAGTAAAAATGGAAAAGACAGCTTCCTTTTATTTTTGGGAAGAGAGAAGAGAAAACAAGCATTTGTTGCAAACTTTTTGATTGCTAAATATCGTGGCAGAAATTTTACATACATTCTGCTGGCAACAGCCCTATGAGTCATATCATCTGATCCTTATTTTACACTGATAGAAACTAGGCCACTGGGATTTCCTGGAGGATCCAGTTACTTTCTTGGGGATCACTGGGAATTTATAAAAGTAAAAACCAGTGTGTTTGTTCCCTTCATTCATCATAAAACTAAGCAACAAGCAAAGTTCCTTTCACTCATTGCATCAGCAACAAGCAAACTGGCCCTAGCAGGAAGACCGAATCTTGAGACTGTGGTTCATTTCTTCATCTGATATGGATCAATGGATCAGCTGATAAAATACACACACACACACACACACACACACACACACACACAAAGACACAAAGGTAATTCAGTTATCTGTTTTCTGAACTGGTCAAATTGAGATGAGTATGACTTAATAAGACCATATTCTTATTATGTGAGTCAACAGAAAGAGTTCTGTTTAACTAAAAAGATGTCTCAGAATCTACAGAATTGAGCATGTTTTCAATCCATCCAGTTGCTCGGTTAGCACCATGAAGACTGGTTTAGATGTAGGAGATAAGGTTCAAAGTTATAATAAAAATTAAAAATTAAGCGGGAGCAAAGATCAACACCCATGAATCTCTCCATGTATGATGATCCATCCAGAGACCTTCCTTTTAAACAAATTTACATTTTCTTTTAATGACAAAAATCATGTATTTTATAAAAGGTCCTATAGAAAACAAAGATTCAAGTTGGAAGACCCTAAAACTTACAAACCTATGATAATCATGTTAGTGTCTGAGGCTAAGACAGCATTCTACAATGCATATATTTTAGATAACATTTGAATCACACTATGTACATATTCTGGGGTTTTTTACTTCCACTTTATCCTGAATATTTTTCTGTGTTATTAAATATTCTTTGAAACTTAAAGACTGCACAATATTTACAACATGGCTCTCCGGCATGGGCATACCACAATATATCTTCTATTTTTGGACATTTATGTTATTAACCAGTTTTCTCTATCATAAACCAACAAGATGGAGGTTGCAAGGTCACCAACTCATTATTCTGAAAATCGATTCATAGAGGGGAAAAACAAGTGTATACATGCTTTTTCAGCATGAACTGTTTTAGGGTAAAAAATTGTTGGAGAGAGAAAGATTTTCTTTACAGAAAATTACTATCTAATTAATGTGAAATAATCAACAGAGTTAGAAAAATACCATTTTATAAATCTTAATGAAATTATAGATCTAGGAAACAGTCACTAATGAATGTTATAACCATTAGGTAAAATTTCAGTGAGGACCTCGATAATGGAGGACTCACCAGAACCTACTAATAAATCTTAACATCACTAAAAGTGGAGTAACCAGAAGTTACATGCCTTCTGGTGTCGTACAACAGGAGTACAGAATCTCAGATATAAAGTATTCTTGCCAAAAAATAAAAATAGAAATGAGCCTGACTCTAATCAATCCTTCCACTTTAAATACTAGCTGATGGAAAATAAGAGTGATACAGGAGGAAAAAAACAAATGATACCATAAAGTAGCCATCAACTAGATCTAGAATGCGAGACATTCTACAGGACAAAATACTTAATTTATTTATCAAATAAGTAACAGGAGAAAGAGGGAAGGGGAAACTGTTATACATTGAAAGAAACTTAAGAGGCCATATGAATACCACATGCAATATGTAGACCTTGTTTGGATTCTAATGTGAACAAAACAGTTGTAAAAAAGACATTCTTGAGACAATTGAGAAATTTGAGCCTAAACTTGTTCAATTCTCTTAAACTTAATAATAGCCTTTGGTTACTTTTTAAAGCTTTTATTATACAGAGAGCTTACAAATAAAATAATAAGAAGCTTTGGATTTGCTTTAAGGTAATCCTGTAGAGAGAGAGAATAAAATAGATAAAATAAGACTAGAAAAATATTAACAATTTTCAAAACTGGGTAGTGAGTACATAGAGATTTATTATAATACTCTTTCTACTTTTATGTTGATGGAAAATGTCAATAATAAAAAGCTTTTTTAAAATATCAAAATACAAATATATGTACATTATATATTTATATTTTGTTGTTGTTTGTTTGAAATTTCAACTAAAATCATAGAGTATATTTAAGGAAGGAGCATTATAAGTCAAAGACATGAAGTTCTTTGAGGTTTTTATTTTTTTGTTTTGGGGTTTTGTGGTTTTTGGGGGTGGAATTTTTTTTTTTTTTTTTTTTTTGAGACAGATTCTCCCTCTTTTTTCCAGGCTGGAGTACAGCGGTGCCATCACAGCTAACTGCAGCCTCGGCCTGCCGCCAGGCTCAACAGATCCTCTGACCTCAGCCTTCCACGTAGTCTGGAGTACAGGCACATACCTCTACATCCAGCTAATTTTTGTATTTTTTGTAGAGACAGGGTTTCACTATGTTGCCCTGGCTGGTCTCAAACTCCTGGGCTCAAGCAATCCACCCACCTCTGCCTCCCAAAGTGCTGGAATTACAGTCATGAGCCACAGCTCCCGGCCTCTTTGAGGTTCTTAAAAACTATTTTAAAAATACATTCCAGAAAGTTTGCACAAAATTATAGTCCCACCAATATATATGCGTCCATTTCACTATACCATGACCAAAATTAGATATATGTATCTTGAAACATCCATTCTATTTTTATAAAGTACAGCTTATTGTAATTAATGTTTTCTTTACAAAATGGGTTTAAATATTTTAATAAAAAGCCATTTGTATGTCTTCTGCATTAAATTGTCTGATTATATTTTTTACCCATGTTTTAATTGTAGTCTTGGTATTATATTTTTTTGTCTTTGATTTGTAAGGGCTTTTGATATTTTAAAAATAACAATCTTTTATCTGATGCCAAATAGTTTCCCATTTGCGCTTGATTTTTATTTTGTTTATTATAAATATACAGAATTAAATGTTTTATGTGATCATATCTATAGATTTGTCTATAGGCAGAACCTCCCTTTGTTACATTTATGCTTAAAAAATCCTGCCATCTCCTGAGATGAGCTAAATATTTATGTTCTTATAGGATTTTTTTAATGACTTACTTTTTACTTTTACACTTTTTATCCATCTGGAATTCATTTTGTTGTATGGCTTATGGGATCAGTTGGGATCTTAGTTTATTATTTTCTAAATAGTAAGCCAATCATTTTTTTCTTTTTCTTACTGATTTAAGATATCACCTGACCTAATAGATCTCTATATATATACTCTGGCATGTTTCTTACCTTCCTGATAACATGACTTCCTCTTACTGTTGAATGTTGTGCCTGTACCACATTACTATGATTTTGTAACTGGTGAATAGACTTGTTAAATGAACTGGGAAAAAATGAGAGATAAAAGGTAAGGGCAAGAGACTATTATTGCAAAGACAATAAATTCATTTCCATGAACATCATCTATATCACCCCATATTTTGTCAGCATCTATACAAAAGCTGTATGCTCTAGGAGAGAGAGGAGAGATTCTGGGGTAAGTGTACAAAGATTCAAAAGCTGGTTTTATTTCTTTACTGACTCTGTGTTCTTAGAAAAAGTACTTAACTTCTCTGATTCTGTCTTCTCCACCACAAAATGGAGAAAATAATATCTATATCATGAGTTTCCTGTAAGGTACAAATGTAGGTGAGAGGTTGCTGAGGAATTCTTGTAAGGTATAAAGCAGTGTATTTTTAATTTTTAAAAAACAGAAATGTTGATAATGTCTGATAACTGTGGGAAAAATTAAAAATAAATTCATATTCACTGGGAAAGCGCTGAAAATGTTTGCCATGTCTTTTTCAGTAATTTCCGGAGTAAAGATGCCAGCTTTTAGAAAAAAATGGGTATTATGTAACCTGTCAAATACACCAAAGGGGCTTAAGAAACACACGAAAGATCTTTTTAGCTTTTGAGCACTCTGCATTAAACGTTTTTGCAATTAACTTCAATTCTAGGTGATCAATTTGACTGAAGCAAGGAATAGAGTAAAACCTAACATTATTACTCTGTGCCTTTCATCAATGACCACCTCTGAGTCACTTGTATAATGAGGAATCGTGAGCAGAAGACATAAAAATCCTCACCATAGTCATAAACAAATAGGGCAAATATCATGCTTACAGTCATCCTTAAAAGCACATTCAACAAGTGAACTTTGCATAAACTCTCTTCTCTGTTAATTCCAACAAATCTGTAGATTGCTGACATATGGTATCTTAAGCTGTGATCTGTGCCTTTTAAAAAGTGGAAGGATCACACACTAGGGCTGCCAGGATTAATGAAATGGCTATGCTCTGGGGAAGCAGCCAAGCTTCCAGCAGTAATTTGAAGTGTTGCCCTCCCTCCTCCTGCTTTAACAATTTTGCAGCTACCTACAGCTGAGCATCCTGCTTTCATAATCATCAATCCTCATTTTTACCCATGCTGGCTTCTCTTCTTTCCTACCTGACCAGGCACTGACTCCTTGATGGTTTCCAAAATTTCTATGTCCTCACTTGGTGTGCTAGGCTTTATTCCTCTTGTCAACAAGTCCCAGCATGTGAGTTGCTGGAAACAAACTTTCAATAAGTATTTTTGATGAGTGGTACTGAATTTCAAGAGCATAGCAAAAAAAAAAAAAAAGGGGGGGGGGAAGATATCAGTCTCAAAATGGAGTAATGCAGCCACAGCCCACAAATTATGTTACAGTTAAATTCTAACGAATCATGAATTCCCTGACTGCTCACATTTGCATTTTCCTCAGATCAGAAAGAAGTGGTTTAAGAAAAAAGAACAAGTGCTAAATAAAGAAAATACAAATAATGTCTGAACCTAACTTGGCTTTCTTTACTTTTTGTAAGAAAATCTCAGAGAAATGTATTCATCTTAAATTGAGAGGAATTAAGATGGGAATAGAGTAAAAAGCATATTATTTTGGTGAAAACTATCATGGACAAAAACAATTCTTTATACATCTCATACTTAAATTTAATTTATCCAGTGTATTCCCTGTTGATCTAACTAGATTCATACTTATACGCATGAGACGGAATTGAAGGTAAATGAAATACTGACATGTGCATCCTCCTCCTCTAAAACTACATTTGTTTATTATGTTATAAATATTCAGAAGTAAATGTTTTATGTAATCATATCTATAGATTTGCCTACAGACACATCTTTCGTTACCTTTATGCTTAAAAAAAAATATCCTGTGCGTCCTCCTCTAAAACCACCGAGCACAAACCAGAACCCCAAATTAACTAGTCTAAATAAATAAATAAAGCCACACCCTTTTTTCTTATACTTAAGTCTTGAAACATGCTTCTTAATTATATTTTCTTCTAATTTCTCAAACTCCATTAAATATCTACCATGTGATAAGCATAGCTACACATTTGCCTATAATTTTTCTCATTTAAACCACATAATAACTCATAATATTAACAAATATTATCATTTCAAATTTACCAGAGAACACAAGCTGAGAAAGGCCAAGCAGCTATAATGAGCAGAACTGAAATTTTGACTCAGGCCTTCTAATTCTAAGATTTTTCCATAGCTTTACCTTTTTCCTAAATTCCTTGCTAAGTTCAGTCAGTAACAATAAAAGACACAAGGAGAAAGTATCATTATAGATTATACTTTAAAATTTGAGACACTGTTTTCCATCATTTTAAATTGGATCATAGATTTTAAAATAGAAAGAAGACTCAAAACCCTACATTCTCACCACCATGTAAAAGCAGAGAAAATAGCAAAAGCCCAGCAAAGAGAAGAGCGTAGGCTCAGAAGATGAACAGACATTTCTGAGAACAAATTCTGTCTCTGCCTGCTTTTATGATCTGCACGTCTCTGGGTACCTCATTTCACTTCTCAGAACCTCAGTTTCCTCATCTATGAAATGGAAAAAATTTCTCCCGAAGAGTTTTCTCTCAAGTATTAAATAATAATTATAATTGCAATCAAATTGTTACTTACAATTGTAATACTTGTAAATAACAGTTTGCAATTGCAAAGATAGTTAACCAACCTAGGTGCCCATCAACCAACTAGTGGATAAAGAAAATTTGATATATATACACACCAAGGAATACTACTCAGCCATAAAAAAAAAAAAAAACAAAATAAAGTGTTTTGCAGCAACTTGGATGGAACCGGAGGCCATTATTCTAAGTGAAGTAACTCAGAAATGAAAAACCAAATACCGTGTGTTCTCACTTTTTTTTTTTTCTTGAGATGGAGTCTCGCTCTGTTGCCCAGGCTGGAGTGCAGTGGTGGCATCTCGGCTCACTGCAAGCTCCGCCTCCCGGGTTCAGGCCATTCTCCTGCCTCAGCCTCCTGAGTAGCTGGGACTACAAGTGCCCGCCACCACGCCCGGCTAATTTTTTGTATTTTTAGTAGAGACGGGGTTTCACAGTGTTAGCCAGGATGGTCTCGATCCCCTGACCTCGTGATCTGTCCGCCTCAGCCTCCCAAAGTGAGGGATTACAGGCATGAGCCACCGCGCCCGGCCATGTTCTCACTTATAAGCAGGAGCTAAGCTATGAGAATGTAAAGACATGCAGAGAGATATAATGGACTTTGGGGATTTGGCGGGTAGGGGAAGAGGTTGGTAGAGGAATGAGGGATAAAAGACTGCATATTGGGTACAGCGTACACTAAAATCTCAGAATTTACCACTAAAGAATTTATCCATGTAACCAAAAACCACCAGTACCCCCAAAACTATTGAAATTTTTTTAAAAATAAGAAAAAATCAAATAGCATATACATTACCCTAGTACATGCCTAGAAAATCGTGGCTGATACGGTAAACTCTAAATTTTTCAGGAGCAAGTTAACTGATTTGCAAATTTAAGATGGGTTGAGTTAAAAACACATCTATACATCTAATATCACATTTTAGTATACATGTATATACACACAAATAAATTAGGAAACTATGCGGTAAAAATCATAAAAATTATTTCCTTATTAAGGATCAAATATGCAGTGTTTTTGTTTTGACATACAACTCCTCCCCAGTTGCAGCTTTATCTAGGCAGCCACCCGCTCAGCTCCTTCCCTTACTTCACTTCTCACCCTCTCCCATGCCATCATTCTCCCGGTCCTGGTGAAGACATGGTCTCTCTTCCCCCTTTCATAATAGCTGCTTCTTAACCTCCCTACTCATGTAGTGCATTGGGAGATGATTAGGGTCTAAGTCTTCTCCAAGACCCCCAACAGTAGCTAACTTGCCCCCAGATGATACTAAGCTACTCTGGTTATGTTTATGGGTTATTTGGGATTATTGGTGACCTTCCAACACTTTGCCCCCACTCCACCCGCAGCACACACACACCACACACCACCATCATCAACACTTAATTTATATTTGACTTTCTAGAATCAAATATATATCATTTAATTTATATTTGACTCTCTAGAATTTTTCTGCATTTCGCATTCCAAGTGGCTCTTTAGCTTATATTTCATTGTACTTAATGACAAGAAAGTAATTTCCTCTTGAAGATACATCCTATTTGATAGTTTGAAATGCTGAAAAATAATTCTCATACAAATCCAAACTCTCCTTTTGGATGATATTAATCTGAGTTTTATTTTTCTTCCCCTTGATCAAAAATTAAAAATAAAAATAAACACCTCCTCTAATTCCTTTTCCGTGGTGAAATCAGCTCTTCAGATAAGAGCCTAAGAAAATCAGGTTGTACTTCAAAGACATTATACTAGGTCTCAAAAGATTACATATGGTATGATTCCATTTCTATGGCAGTCTCAAGAAGCAAAACTATAGGAACAGAAAATACATCAGTTGTAGCGAGGATTTGGTGGAATGGAAGGGAGGTGATATGTCTGAAGATAAAGAGGCAAAAAGAATTTTGGGGAGTGTGGAAATTTTTCTGTATCCTATTGTGTTGATGTTTTGTTGGTTACAATAAGCTTTGCATGTATTAAAACTCAGAACTGTAAACCAAAAAAGGCAAATACTACTATATATATAATTTAAATGTTTTAAAATTTCTATTTTGATCTCTTATTATATGCCAGATCTTTACATAATTTTTCATCTTAATCATCATAAGAACCCAGTGAAATAAGTAACAGTATTATCTCCATTTTTCAGATAAAGAAACTGAGACACAGATTTACTAACTTGCCCAAGGTTACAAAGCTTAATGGAGGTGACCTTGGATTTTAATCCAAGCAGACTGACTCCAAAACGAAATATCCTTACCACTACCCTATGCTATCTCTGAAAAGAATGAAAAAGAACTTCATTTACCCTCTATCAATGAAACTAAATGACTTATTTAAGGAGCAGAATACCAGATATAACTATATGGGCATAATTTAATGTGCAAATGGAGCAGAGCACATGCCACCAAGGCAAACACACACATATATCTAAGCCCACAAAATGTCTTAATTGCTGTTTTAATAACTAATTACACTTTCCAATTTCCAATTGTCTTTGCAATAAAATATCTTCCTGTTTACATAATAAATGAATTTCAAAGTCAATTTCTAATTTCCTTTTTTTTTTTTTTTTTTTTTTGAGACAGAGTCTCGCTCTGTTGCCCAGGCTGGAGTGCAGTGGCGCAGTCTCAGCTCACTGCAAGCTCCGCCTCCCTGTTCCCGCCATTCTCCTGCCTCAGCCTCCCAAGTAGCTGGGACTACAGGCGCCCACCACCATGCCCGGCTAATTTTTTGTATTTTTAGAAGAGACAGGGTTCCACCGTGTTAGCCAGGATGGTCTCGATCTCCTGACCTTGTGATCCACTGGTCTTGGCCTCCCGAAGTGCTGGGATTACAGGCATGAGCCACCACACCTGGCTGTCAATTTCTAATTTCTAAAGAAAATCTTTCTGCAACTACTCCTTAAGAAATCAGTATTCCAATGCAAAGAAATTACAATATATCAATTGGAAGCTCAAATTACTTGTTTAAAAATTCAAAAAATTTAATTCCACTCCCCCTGCCTCTCTAGTTCCCCAAAACTAAATTCTTCTGGATATTTTTTGGAACTAAAACCTTTTAGTAATGAGGCAAACGGATAAATACACCCACATCTGGTGGCTTGTGGTCATTCTTACATATTCATCTAGGTCTTTCAGTGCCTGCAATCAATATACCCACAAACTCCATTCCAGGCACTTTACAAAAACAAAGCTGTCTTCTGCAAAAGTGATACATGGTATACCTTATATTTTAGCAGCAACAGCAGCAGTAGCAGCTCAGGAGAGAAAACAGAGGGAAACAATTATTATGGTTTTTAAAACTAAGAGTTACAAAGAGTGACTATATTTAGTAAGCACTATTTTGAGATGATAAAGTCTACTTAGTTTTGGTGCAAAAAGTTGGTTGAAGGATATTTGCATTTGGATTTTAACACTCAACACTCAATCATGATTAATTTAATCACCTTAGTACTATGTCCAAGATGGATTACACACATAATTATGTATATGTTCTTTTCCTCCAGGCAAGAATTATCTGGGGTCCATGTGACATTTCTGCCTTGAATCTGCCTTTCCTGACACATTCAAGGGTTTGATGAAGCTATTCGCAGCCCACCATGAAGCTCTTTGCAGCCCACTATCATCAGCCTCCAAACACCTTTAGTCTGAACCCTAAGATTCAGAAATAGTTTTTCTAATGAACTCTACTGCACTTTATGTAAATACAATTATATTTCATACAGTCATATCAAAAAAGGGAACCAAAGAGAGATATGTGGAAAGAACCTAGTTGATCTTTGGAGTCAAAGGACCCTATTCATCACTCATTTACCATCTGTGCAATGCAGAACATGTTTGAATTCTCCAGTTTTTCTTCTGAAAAAGCATTATACCTATATTTATCTTTTAAGGTTACTACTACAATCAAGTAAGATGTTGTTGGCCTAACAAAGTTCTTGGTACAGACTGGGTAACATAAGAATCATAATTATATTTACAACCAGTAAAAGAATTTATAATTACAATCAAGAAAAGAAATCCTATAGATAGAAAAGCATTCATCTATAGCCATTTGCAACTTTATTTCACAATATTTCCTTGGGCAAATTTCTCTACACCCTGCCCCAATATCAGGTTTTATCTTGTTATAAACCCGTAGGATTTTTAGTGTTTATCATGAGTTACCAGCATGTCCACCATGGAATACAATGATTTTGGTTTATCAAGTCAGGCTGGCTAGAGGAATATTTTAGAGAAGTAAATGACTTTGCAACCTGATGCAGCTAGCAGGGAGATTGCACAACCTTAATTCACAAGCACAAGCACACACACCCACACACCCAGGAAGCGTGGGGGTCTTGTGGAAGTCAGTAGCTTATCTATTATGTACACTCCGGAGCTGTAAACAAGACCATGTGAGGACTCAGCTAGAATGCTTCCTCTGAGTCAGTATTAAACAAACTTCCGAACTATTAGGGAAGGAAATAAAGCCACTGTACCCCCAAAGACACCCAGGACAGAGTGCCAGGGATTATGGGAGTTGTTTTTAATATTCTGCCAGAGACTGATGCAATGATTAAAGGAGGTTTTGTAATAAAAACAACATACTGCTTAACAATAAATAGCTAGCATAAATTAGAATGGGTTGTAATCTCATAAGGAGTGTCCTACCAGAAATTTACATGACCAATTATGTAAAAATAACAAAATGTTTTGAAAATCTTTAGTGCTGTACTTCATAAGAATGCTAGCACAACTTTTTGTTTGGTAACAATTACTTTAGTATCATATCACAGTATCTATTTTGATTCAGGATAAATCACAGGCAAAAATCTCATCAATGGTAAAAATAATACAACACCAGGAAATCACAAATTCTCAAAAACAGTACAGCATGGGGCAGTGGAGAAGACTCTGGCTTTGAAATCAGAAGTGTTCAAACTACATTTTCTAGTTTTGTGATCTTGAGCAAACTGTATCTTATGAAGATATCATTTTTTCATCTATAAGATAATGACATTCACAAGGTTCTTATTAAGATCATATTAGATATTAGATGAGTAAGCACTTTGACAAATATGTAGAGCTGTATGAATGTGAGATATAATGACTCACTGCTTTAACCTGTAAAAGTCCTCAGGTCAACTCAAACAGAGTTAGAAAGAAATCAGGTTTAGAATGCTCTGGAATTGTTTTTCTTGAAGGCTAATGAGTTCTAAAGCTTGCCTCTCCTTTGGCCTGAAGTAAGTACATTTTTATTTTTAGGAAGGAAAAAAAAGATGGATATCACCTGTAACTGAAAATCTGCAGTTATAACTTGATCCTGAGAATGCAGATGCTCTTACTTACACATAGTCTTGTTTCTGAGTTTTAGAAGACTGAATACAGAAATCACCAATCATAAAAAGGAGGAAACAAAGCATTTTAATTTCTTTCAATGTCCACAAAGTAGAATGTTTCATTAAGTGTTGTCTGGGTGTTCAGACAGTAAAGGACATTACCATTTCCGGCAACCCAAAACTTGACCTCACATTTGGACTTCTGACGGTAAACTTCCTGAGAGGAAATTAAATACAGAGAACCTCTTCCAGTTTGGGATACCGGTTCTGCCAAAAACACCGTGAGAAACACTTACACTAAATTAACTTTTTGAAATTTACCCTTAAAATACTAAAGCTAACAGAAAGGGCAGTGTATTTTTTTTTATTTAGAATAGGGAGTGAAATCAAAATCAAATATGTCCAATATATCCTTTTCTCCTTTTATTCCTCTAAAAATTTGTTCTACAGTAAGATAAAAGAGTTCTTCCTTGCTTTCCTATAATATCTTTACTTGAACTCTAATCTCTAGGCCTTAAAAATGAAAACATTCAATTGAAAGAAAAAAAGGAATTATAGCAGACATAATTTACATATATGACATATATAAATCAAAATAAATATGACTTGTTCACCCTACTTTTATTACTCAAGCTACCCAGGATCATTCAGGCTCTCTTTCTTATCTAAGGTGTGGTTCACCTTCTGAGTTCAGTAGACAATTTGAGAGGTCAAATAGAGTCCATCCTTCAGGCAGATGAGACACTGCCCTATTTTTAAAAGACTTCTAGAGAAGGAAATTCCACAAGCTTCCTCAGTTACACATTCCAGTATCTATGAACCTCACTGTCTGAAAATTTTTCCTTTTCTCTTATCTAAATCCCTCATACTGCAGCTTAAGCCTATTGCCTCCTGTCTGGTCCTTAATGGAGATCATCATCATCCTTCACAGATCAACCTCCTCACTCTAGGCTCCTTTCAGATTCTGCAAGCCTGGAACCACTTGATTCCTAACTCTCCTTATTCACAACTCTTCAATCATTATTGTTATTTGCCTATGATTTTCTTCCAAGTTGTTTTTCTCCAATCTTGTTTTCATTTCAAATACCCTTTACAAATAATTCTTTAAAGAGCAAAGGAAATGAAAATTATCCAGTAATTTTACTACACTAAAACAATCTTCTTTCAATTTTCTTTGTTCTTGCCCTGACTCTGTAGACAGACATTGTAACCATACTATGTCATTTTATTGAATTTATTCCAAGTTTTAAAATTGTTAAGTTTCCCAACCCAGGACGCGCTTAAAATGAGCTACTTTATCATTATAATTTTGACAACGCTGGTATAAGGTTTGTGATCAGAAGAATTTTCTCTATCATTCAATGTATTTAAATGATGACTAGCAAGTACTGGGCTGGGTTCTAAGAATTTAGAGTATTTAACAAATAGTTCTTGCCCACAATCAGGTCTTAACAAAACACTCAGCCAATTAATTCGAATTTTAAAACGATTCTGTATTGGTGATTTCAGCATGTACCTAAACTGTGCAACCTTAGATGGGGGGCTGAGAGAGCTGGATCTTGGGGAGAGCAGAGGCTGCAGAAGCCAGGAGTGAAGAGTCACCTGGCAGGTAATCGGAGGGGTAGAGGGTTGTGATAAATTACCACAGCATCCGCTATCTACTGGGAGGCCAGAGCACCTAAGGACAGAATGCTCAGTGCAATCCATAGTTTAACTGGGCCTCTGTGGGAGGATATTTTGTCAAAGTCTGGGCTCAGTGGCAGCTGCCTCCCAAATATTTTCTGAATTGTAGTAAGAGAGCTTTGTTACCAGAATGAAATGGCAAATTGGTACAACTGGAGAATAAGTTAATAGGGTAATGTGACTTCGAGGTAAATCTTGGGAATTTACTTAGTAATTGATGAAACCATCTAATATCATCAAGAGAGCAACAACATTAAAGTAAAAATTGGTTCCACTACCATAACGTCTTCAGATAAATCCCTCTTCAGTTCTCACCCTCAGTTTCTTCACCTATAAAAGCAGACATTTATGGTGTATCCTAGAACTAAGATTCCAGGAAATAGCAAATATTAAAAATGACACATTATCCTTTCAAAAACTGAACATATAATCCCTTCCTTAATGTTGGGATTTTCACTAATTCTTAGGCCTAAATTTTTTTTTCCAGAAATCTCTTTTATTTCTTTAGATATATAAAACACTGTTACTTTATATTCTCTCTGATAATTCCAGTATCTGGGTCTACAGAGTCAATCTGTTGCTTCTGCTGGATCTCATAGTGTATTGTTTCCTTGTGGTGTTTATGAATTTTTAAACCTGGAGATCTCATTTTCTTTTCTTTCTTTCTTTCTTTTTTTTTTCTTTTTTTTTTTTGTAGAGATGGGGGTCTCTCACTGCGTTGCCCAGGCTGGTCTCGAACTCCTGGCCTCAAGTGCTGGGATTCCAGGCGTGAGCCACCACGCCTGGCCGAGATGTTCCTTTTCCTTGGAACTTGATCAACACAAAATCCTGAGGCCTGTCGTGGTCGTGTTCCTCTGGGACAGATTCTCAACCGGGGACACTTCTGCTCCCAAGGACACATTTCGACGTCCTGAGACATTTCTGGGTGTCATAACAGTGTGCACGCATGTGTATGTACCTGCACACGCTACTGGCACCTCGCGGATAGAGCCCAGGGACGCTGCTCACATCCTGCACGGAGACTGACCTGCCCAGCGTCCCTAGGGCGGGCTCCAGGTAGGGTCTGCATGTGCCTCTGCCAGCCACCTAGACCCTGCCAGCCGGGGCCACTTTAAATTCTCCCCTCGTGGTCTCCAGGGCCACACAGTAGCCTGATTTCAAGCTGTAAACTTGGAGGACCTATTTTTTTTCACCTTGCACGGAACACCAAGGCTGAAAGGCAGTTTTTCCGGAGGTGCCAGCCTGTCTCACATTTCCGCTTCAGCTGCGGGGTCCAGCTCTATGTGGGCGGTCTCCTGATGAAGTCACCCCGGGACAGACACTGTTCTGTCTCCTGCTTCCAGTCCAGTAAAGATACCAGGATCCCCCAGGGCATGGCAGGCACCCTCAAAGGCAGACGTGGGGAGGCCCTGGTGGGCAGACCCCAGCCTGCTGACGGGGGGCTTCTCCCCAGCTGCCACTGGCCCACCCACTGCGCTGCAGTCCACCTGGTGCTGGGGCTGTGGGGCACAGGCCCTCAGGACCTGCTCCCTTTCCTGCCCAGGAGGTCCAGGCCTGGCATCCTTATGTCCCCTGGAAAGCCCACTCCCTTCTTCAGGGTAGGAGGGCAGCTGCATGCTGGGCTGACTTGGGCCTGTCCTGGGACACTCCTGCAGGCCAGGTGCAGCAGGGGATGTGGCTCTGTGGGGTTGCTGTGGGCAGGTTAGCATGGAGCTGGGCTCTGGAAGGGAGTTGCCACACTGCCTGCCAGGACCCCTCCTCTGAGACAGGTGCCTTGTGGGACAGTGTACCAAAGTGCCCTGGACACGAGGGGGCCCTGCGCTCCACACAATCTGACCCCGCATCGGGGGCCCTGCGCCCCACACACTCTGACCCCGCATCGGGGACCCTGCGCCCCACCCCCACTGACCCCGCATCGGGGGCCCTGCGCCCCACACACTCTGACCCCGCATCGGGGACCCTGCGCCCCACCCCCACTGACCCCGCATCGGGGGCCCTGCACCCCCACACACTGACCCCGCATCGGGGGCCCTGTGCCCCACACACTCTGACCCCGCATCGGGGACCCTGCGCCCCACCCCCACTGACCCCACATCGGGGGCCCTGCACCCCCACACACTGACCCCGCATCGGGGGCCCTGTGCCCCACACACTCTGACCCCGCATCGGGGGCCCTGGGCTGCAGAACCCATCAATGATGTTGCCGTGCCCCTGGTTGTGGTGACACTGGGGCCCTCCAGGCTGGGCTGAGCAGGGTCCCCCCACCAGTGCGTACTCCAGCACCAGTGGGAGTGGGCCTGGGCAGGGGGTGAGGGAGTGACACCCAAGGGGACCTGTCCCAGCTTCCTCCTGTACCCTGGGGGTTCTCGTTTTCCTTGGCTAAGGGAAGTGGCCTCTCCCAGCTGAAACCTGGGGTCAGGCTGGGCATGAGAGGAAAGCGGGGTGAGCGGGACCCCAGACCTTGGGAATCCTGAGTGGGGGGGACAGGCTTTGCCTATGAAGTGCCTGGGAGCTGTCTGGGGGCCCTCCTGGGGAGCCAGACTCACAGGTTGTTGTGTGGGACTCAATGTGGGGCAGTGTCCTGTCTTAGGCCTAAATTTTAAAGAGATATAGATAGACTATGCTCTCAAGAAGTTTAGTTTTTAAAAACTGAATTTTGGGTTTAAAATACTGAGGGAGTGTATAGCTTAATAGATTCTGAATGAAGAGCAAAAGAGCCTATTAATTCATCCATTCATTCAACAAATATGTGTTGAACGTCACCATGTAACAGGTTCTGTGCTAAGGGCTGGTAATATTTTGAAGAATAAAATTCAAGGTCCCAGAAAGACAGATTTGTCATACTTGAAACAAATCATTAAAGAGAATTTAATGAAGAGTCTGTTTTTAAAAGATGTGAACTGCGTTAAGGGAAACTGAAGCACCCTAAGGCTAGCAACAGTGAGGAGGACAGAAAGAGAAAACAAGGAGCCAAGTTGAATTACCGGAGATCATCAAGGAGAAGAAATAGTTATGGAACCCAAAAGCTGTAGAAGAGGACTGCCTGAAAGGAGCTATAACCCTCAGTAGAAACACACAGTAGCCTTCTTTCTTATCCTCTGGTCTTTACTTAACTGAACTCAACTGGAGGGCAGAGGCAGGGGACCCCAACTGATGCAGCTCCTAGAGGTCAACAAAATGAAGAATATATAGCCCATTCCTGCTTTAAAAAAAAATGTATTGCTTTGTGACAGAGAGAAACATTAAACAACAAAGAAAGAAATATAATAAGATAATTTCAGATAATCATGAGGGTCTGAGGAATTTAAAACAAGGTTGTGACTGAGGGGGTGAAGGTCCCTCTAAGGAGATGATATTTTTACTAAGAACTTAAAAGAAGGAGCCATCTATAAAGATAAGGAGGGCATTCGAGGAAGAAGATAGAGCAACTGTAAAGTAGTAGGCCTTTGGAGGGTTTTTTGCAGTGTTTGAGAATTGGGGGAAAGGTCGAATACTTTTGGCATATGTTAAGGCAGGGAAGAGTGTAATAAATGAGGTCAGAGTAGTAGGCAGTGCCCATACCTTGTAGGAGAGGAGACCTTATTGATCATGGCAAGGACTCTAAAGAAAGGGTTCCACTTTAGTGCAATGGGAAGCTATTGAATGATTAGATGCAGGAAATTAACGTCATTTTGTTTATATACCCTAAGACCTCTTAGGCTACTGTGGAATACTAAGGTTTAAAGGTACAAGAATGGAAGCAGAGAGACCAGTTACAAGAATATTTCAGAAGTCCAGAGAGAGTTGGTGGTCGTTTGAGAAAAGGTGGTAACTTGAGAATCAAAAAGAAGATAATGTACTTTCACATTGTGTCTTAGTCCATTCAGGCAGCTATAACAAAGTACCATAGACTGGGTGGCTTATAAAAAACAGAAATTTCTTTCTTTTTTTTGAGACGGAGTCTCGCTCTGTCACCCAGGCTGGAGTGCACTGGTGAGATCTTGGCTCACTGCAAGCTCCACCTTTCAGGTTCACGCCATTCTCCTGCCTCAGCCTCCCGAGTAGCTGGGACTGCAGGCACCTGCCACCACACCCAGCTAATTTTTTGTATTTTTAGTAGAGACAGGGTTTCACCATGTTAGCCAGGATGGTCTCGATCTCCTGACCTCGTGATTCGCCCACCTCGGCCTCCCAAGTGCTGGGAATACAGGCGTGAGCCACCACGCCCAGCCATCAACAACAGAAATTTATTTCTTACAGTTTTGGAGACTGGAAAGTCCAAGATCAGTGTACCAGCATGCTCAAGGTTTGATGAGGCCCTGCTTCCAGGCTCATAGTTGGCTGTCTTCTTGCTGTGTCCTCACATAGTAGAAGGGGCAAGGAAGCTTTGTGGGGTCTCTTTTATAAGGGCACTAATCTCTTATTGTCCTTATAAAACATAAGTAAAGCAATGAAATAGAAACAGATAATTTAGTCAAAACTGAAACTGGAGGGAGAAGAATAGCTTTCGTGGAGGAGGTGACATTTTAGCTAGATCTTAAAGAATAGGCAGGATTTGGGCATTCAAATGTAGGGGGAAAAATGTATTCTGGATGGAAAACGGTATGAGCAAAAGAACATGGTGAAACATAATATTTGAAGGCATGCTCAATATTTCAATATTTCAATGAAATAATATTTCTTTGTTATGGGAAACAATGAAAAAATAGAGTACATGCAGTTTAAGGAATATTTTCTATTTGATAAACAATAAAGAACCACTAAAATGTTTTAAAGAAATGCATGACAATGTCACAGCTACATAAGAGTGGAGTAGTCTTGTTCTAGAAATGACAAAATATCTTGTGTTAGACTAACACTCCTCATAGATAACAATTATAAACTCTGGACCAGTATTAAAAATAATTATTTAAGGTACAAAATAACAACCAACAGGGATTCAAAAAGAAGGTGATTCAACCTTTGAAAGAAGGTAACTGCATTGAGTGACATGTTTTAATGTAGATTTTCTCTGGAGAGCATCTTGCAGCCCAAGTGATGCAGGGTAGCTAAAATTCATAAAGAAAGTCATTGTCTTTCTGAGTTGTGGAGTCAGAGAGTGAGCTCAGGGATTCCAGGGTGACTGAATTTAAACAGAAAAATTGCTGAAAGGAGAGACGCACAGAGGAGGAAGCCACAAAATCTGTGTATCAACTCCCTTCAAATCCTTGACTAACTACTGGACTATGCATGCATGGTAGAGACTCCAAAAAGCCCAGCAGATAGCAATAGTTAAAAGACTAGGCCGGGCGCCGTGGCTCACGCCTGTAATCCCAGCAGTTTGGGAGGCTGAGATGGGAGGATCACCTAAGGTCAGGAGTTCGAGACCAGCCTGACCAACATGGAGAAACCACGTCTCTACTAAAAATACAAAATTAGCCAGGTGTGGTGGCGCCTGCCTGTAATCCCAACTACTCAGGAGGCTGAGGCAAGAGACTCTCTTGAACCCGGGAGGTGGAGGTCGCGGTGAGCCAAGATCACGCCATTGCACTCCAGCCTGGACAACAAGACAACAAGAGCGAAACTCCATCTCAAAAAAAAAGAAAAGAAAAGAAAAAAAGACTTGTAAACCGAGCAGAGATTTCACTGATGCCCTGCTGCTACAACAAAAATCAACATTCTTCAGAGAAAGGTAACAGACTCCAAAATCTCTACAAGTTATTTATTTTTTTTGAGACAGTCTCGCTCTGTCACCCAGGCTGGAGTGTAGTGGCGCGATCTCGGCTCACTACAAGCTCCGCCTCCCAGGTTCACGCCATTCTCCTGCCTCAGCCTCCCAAGTAGCTGGGACTACAGGCGCCCGCCACCATGCCCAGCTAATTTTTTCTTTTTTTTGTATTTTTAGTAGAGACAGGGTTTCACAGTGATAGCCAGGATGATCTCAATCTCCTGACTTCATGATCTGTCCGCCTTGGCCTCCCAAAGTGCTGGGATTACAGGCGTGAACCACCGCTCCTGGCCAACAAATTATCTTTAATGCTTTGTGTATAATTTAAAAATTATTAGACACTGGAAGAAAAAGCATACTCAAGAGACAAAGTAGTCAGGAGAAACTGAACTCTGAAATGCCCCAGATGTATAATTAGTAGAAAAGGACTTTAAAGCACTTATTATAAATATGCTCAAAAATGTATAGAAATTATGGTCATAATCAGTGAATGCATATGGGATAGCAGCAGAAAAATGGAAATTTTAGAACTACAGCGTATAATATCTGAAGTGGAGAAATCCTGAATGAGCTTAACAATGGATTGGAGACTTCACGGGGGGAAAAGGAGGTGCAGAGTGCAGTGAATTTTAAGTTCAAGCTGCAAAAAGAAAAAACTATTGAAAGAAATTAATAAAGGCTTTGTGACAATGGAACAATATCAAGGAGTCTCCATGTATATCATTGAAGTCTTAGATGAAGAGAAGAAGAAAATATTTGAAGAAATAATGGTCTAATGTTTAAAAATTTATTTAAAACATCAACCTACATATCCAAGAATTTCAGGGAACCTGAAGCAGGATAAACATAAAGAAAACGAAGTACATCACAATCAAACTGAAAAAACAAAGACAAGGGGAAACTCTTGAAAGTAGCTGGAGGGAAAAGAACATATTATATACAAAGGAACACTGATACCAATAATGACTTCTCATCAGAAACAGTGGAGACAGAAGAAACTAGAATATATGTAAGTACTGAAGTAAATTAACAACAACAACAACAACAAAATACTGTCAACCATAAATCTATATCCAGTGAAAAGATCCTTTGAAAATAAAGGTAAAATAGACTTTATGGGATAAATGGAAACTGAGAGAATTTATAAGCAGAAAATATGCAGTAAAAGAAGTTATTCAGGTGAAGAAAATGACATTAAATGGGAACTAAGAATTACAGGAAAGAATGAAGAGCAACAGAAATGGGAAATACATGAGTAAACATAAAAACTGCCTTTTTAAAGTTTTTTCTTCTCTTAACTTACTTAAAAGATAACTGAAAATTTAAACACTTCCAAGGATTACCAAACATGTGTGGAAAGTTTTAACATGGAGAATAGAAACCAAGCAGCAGACCTTAATAAGGGTATTTCTGTTGAAATTTCAGAACACAGGGGACTAAAGAAGACTCCACATGCTTCCAGAGAAGAAAAAAAATCACATACACTGTACACAGAATGATAAAAAGAGTTGCATTAGGACTTTTTAATAGCAACACAGAAAATAAGACACTCCCTTCATGTATTTGAAAGAAATAGTTTCTAACCTATAAATCCATAATCATTCAATCAGGTCAAAGGAAATAAAATAGAGACTTCATTAGATGTTTGAGGCCTCAAAAAAGTTACCTCCCATGCATCCTTTCTAAGACTATTTAGGAGGTGCTCCAAGAAAGAAAACATTACAGGGATAAGAAATAGAAGTTTTGGCACAAGAGAATAATAGTAACAAGGCATCTCATGAGGACAGCTGTACACCAGATGTAGAGATTAAAACAAACCAGGGAGAAAAAAACTTCAAAACAACCAACTTTTAAACTATTTTCTGGGCTACTTAGTGGATCCTTTCAATCTGACAGCTTAAGTCCTTCTGGAAATTCTATTAAAGTATTTGTTGATAGTCCCACCCTTCTATTTCTCCATTTATTTTCTTGGCATATATCAGGGAAACAACCAAAAGAAACAACACAAAATTGGGTAGAAAGTGGAGGACAGAGGCATACTGGAATTTAAGGACTTTTGTTTTAGCTTGAGTTTTCCCAAAAGCAGAGCCTGCTGCAAAAATTTATGAACAGGGAGCAGGAGTGAGAGACAGAAGAGGGAGGGAATGTGAAAAGGCATATATATAGATGCATTATTAATATCACCATTGTAGGCAACTTGTGCTCAGCCCTGCCTGGAATCTTCTAAGGAGTGTTTAGAATACCTTTTGGAATTATGTACTTAAGGTTTGACTATTTTTATCCATCAACTTGTATCCTCCATTAGTTAAGGTTTGCTTTGGGGATGTAAACCCCTGTTGGCTTCTCGACTGAGCATGCCTGCTTGAACAGAGGGCTTCCCAATGGCAATTGTGGCATTGGAAAAACCCAAGGGCAAAAGTGCAAAACATCCAGTGCTTGAGGAAAGATGTCAGCCTGACGTAAGCCAAACTACCCACTGCATCTACACTGTAATCAGAGATGAAGCCAAGAGGATATGAGTCAGAAAGCCAAAAACAACCCATACAGTCTATCCTTTGTACCACACAGATACACCTACGCCCTAGAATAAGTTCCAGCAACCTCTAAGTCTTCAAGGTGGTAGTTAGCCACAATCTCTACATGTGACTTAACACACAAATATTAATGGAATAAGTTACAGCCCTCACTGCTACAACTGCAGGTCCTGCAGTCATGTTTTATATGTATCGTCTCCTTCCTCCACAATCCATATTAGATTTTCCTCACCCTCCATCAGCACTTCTACTTTTCTAGGTTTTTAGCCTAATGGGGTGACTCAGACCTTCAGCTCCAAACAATCTAAGCTCTTGATGACCTTGCTCTTGTCAGGCCATGGTTGCCGCAATTGCCATTCACCACTACATTATGAGCACATAAATGCCAGAAATTGCGAGTGCTTTAACTATCTGAGATGTCCAAAGCTTCAGTTTTCAACGCCTCCTCGTCCTAAATCACTCCTGGTGAGAGAGTCTAGTACTATATGTCATAGCTTAGGTTCTACTAGAAAGCAAAGCCCAGTCAATGAGATAATCCTATGGAGTACAAAAGGAGACTAAAGAGAGTAAGGGAAGGCGGGAAAGTCTATACCAAGGTGCATTTTTATTATATAGCTTTGGGACACTGGAACTCAACCCTGACATCTAGGGGGAATAAGCATACAGAACGTACCTTAGAGCTGTTTGTTAGAAGAATAACTTGGGAAAGCATGTTTTCCTATGTTTCCATCCCTCATTGGTTGGACATTGCTCTCAAAAGTTAAACTTCCTTGCATTTTGGAGCTCCATAGGTAAGCTTAACAAGTAAAACCCCATTCCCAGGTGTGGCACTGAAGAAGCCCAGTGGAAAAAAAGTAAAAAGTGCATGGTATTCACTTGAGATTATTTTGTTGTTGTAATATGAGTCAAATCCAGAATGCCCATTGCATCCAGGCTGGAATCAAGAGATGAAGCTGTGAAGATGTGGGTTAGCGTTTCAGAGGCTCTGATACAACCTTGTATGAACTTCTCAAGGAGTTTGGATTTAATTTGGTAAAACATTTAAAGACTGTAAACAGAGGAGTAACATAATTAGGTTTGTATTTTAGCAAGATTACACTTGAGACACTGGAGAAGATGAATTAAGGCAGAAAATGGGATAGTAAAGTACAGGAGACCAGTTTAGAGTTTTCACCTACAACTGATTGGCAGTGTCAGTGGAAACAAGGAAGGAATGAATTAATAAGCTATTTCAGATACCGAATCAACAAGAAAAAGTTGAGAAAAGCTTCACTTTGAAAATTTGCTCAAAGCTATCGCTGTAACCAAGTATTAACAAAACTAGTCATTACCTATCAATTAGTAGGTGGTATAGAGTTTGTTGACTGAATCAATGTGGTTTCAAACTTAGGCGAATGGGTGGATCATAAGGCCGGTCACAGTAGATTCATTTAAAAAAAATAAATCAACTCATGTTAACTGTGGTTTTGAACGAAAAACAATGGTAGAGGAGAAATTAATGTAATTTTTCATTTTCACTTTCTAAATTATTATTTTGTGGATTTTTATCTTTCAAAATGAGCTGTTAGTCAATATTAGGCTCTAAAGTCAGGGGAAAAAATAAAGACATAGGAAATTTAAAGGTTAGAATTGCATACATGCATGCAAAAAGCAACCTTGTCTCTTATGCCCAGAAAAATGTGGTGTTCTTGCTTTTTAAAAGTATTTTTTAAATGACATACAATAAAATTTTAAAATACTGTATTAATAGAACTCTGCAGGAAAAAAATCAAATGCCACTGAAATACTGCAGGTACCAATGTCTATCACTTGATATGATGATGATTTAAGATGGAAACAAGTCTAATACATCTTTTAATTTCAGCTTCTCAATTCTGAAAGAGCTCTGCAGTATCCTATGCATCTCTTTAACTATTATTTGAATACTTATCAAATGAATATGTATATACACCTTTATTCTCCTTCTTAGAATTCTTATTCTTCCAAGTATCTAGCACCACTCTTTTCATTTCTTTTACTAAATAATATTCAATGAGCAACTACTATGTACCACTGTGCTACCATGTTAATACTATCATGAGTAACGTAGGTGGAGGTAGTAGTTGCCCTTCTGATGATTAAGTTCTAGATTCGTGTTCTGGCTTCAGTAGTTTAATTAATAATATAACTTCAAGTAATTCACTTAATCCTTCTGAGCTCAAATTCCTCATTGTTAAAGGTAGGGAAGAGGAAGAATATTACATATACTACAGGATTGTGTTGAAGTTGATATTACTAATCCTTTGATGCATTCATTGATTAAATAAATACTTAATAAGTGGCTTCCATGTCTAATAGATGCCAGGCTCTATATGTGTTTTGTGAATCAAAAATAATATGCCAGTGCTGTGAGTTACTATTGTGTCTATGCAACAAACTAATTGAGATTTTTTGTTTGTTGATTTGTTTGTTTGAAATGCTTTTTCAGTCATTATATTCAGTAAATTCAAGTACCAAAAGGACATTTTCCAGTTCAACCACAGCGACAATTTTAATTGCTAAATTCAATAAATAGTTTGCAAACCTGATAAAGAAGATAGCATCTTACTTCAAAGCAGTTAAAAAGGCACTCAGCCAAGAAAACCAGAAAGTAAACTGAGGTAAAAAGAAAAATAATGAGTAAAAAGAGAAGAAACTGCAGCAGGAAATTTGGGAAGGTGGTTTGAAATGTACTTTCTCATGATTATGTGAGCTCAAACTCTTTTTCATTAGCTTTCTTAGTGTGAGGACTACCTGAAAATATGAGATACTTCACTGATAATCAACCTGTTTGTTGGCTGGAGTTCTGCAGAGCACTTTATCTGACTGACTTATCATAAGGTGTTTGAGAGATCACCTGTTTTTTGATATTTGCATTACCTGACTTTTGAAACCAAGTTCCACACATATCTTTATATTATAATATAGCATTTGTTCCCAAGTACAAGCAGTAGACATGGCAGAAAATTAATTGTACAGAGTTGAACTTATTTTACTGAGAACAGGTAAGGAGTGAATATAAAGGGAGAGAAATATTTTATTATAATGCCCACAACTTTTATCGAACCTTACTTCTTTACATATTTTGATGGGACTAATTCTACATAAGTGTTTTATGCCATTTGTTATCTACAATGCAATATCAGTTTTTCTGCCTGTTCAAGGCTTTATTTTAAATATATGCACATACATATATATTTTATGACCTCAAGGAATTTGAAAGCCTCTCACGTATACCACCTGTTTCCTTTATTACCACTTTAGTTTCAGGACTGACAACCAGGAACAATAAATAAATCCGGATTAAAATGCAGTGAAATAAGAGTTAAAAATCAGGAGAGGAACCTAAATAACTTTGGAAACGAGTGGAATCTCGTTTGACAGTACATAAGCATTGTACTCTAGTTAACAAAGTTATTTCTTGGTTAAAATAACTAGAGTACAAGTTAAAAATTCTGATATTCCAATACCTGTATACTGGAATTGACAGATGGCAGGAGCCAGGATTATCACTGTTGGGATGGGAGTGTACAGATAAACAAGGGGATAAGGCTAAAATGATACATGTGATACTGGATTAGAGTTGGAGACACCAGTATGAACACTCATGTTTAGCTCAAAATTGATACAGATGGCTATGTATAGAAATATATGTGTGTGCATATATATATATATATTTTTTTCTGTGTGTGTATACACAGCTTAGCATACACACACATAGCATAGTATGGTTCCTTGCTCTGTAAGCTGAGAGGGCCCAGAAGTAACTACATGCTTGTACAAATAAGCATAACCAGTGTCCAGATATTGGTTCCTAATAAAAGGAAACTGACTAAAGGAATCAGGGCACATTGTAGAAATGACTAATCCTAGGACTGGCACAGGAAATAAACAAGATGAGCCTGGAGGATCTTGTAGTGCCAGAAATGAAAAATGTGCTAATAAACACACACACACACAAATCCTACATTTGCCAAGGTATGTCAAAGAAATACGGAAGTCAACTGAAAGAGCTCCCAGTGGCCAAATCTAGAAGTATGTAAGCAACAAAATAATAAAAAAGTATTAGATTATAACCCAAAGTATAAAATTAATATCTATGAGCTCATACTAAATGACTGAATAAATAAATAAAAGGAGAAGTAGAAAAAATCTCCCATGCAGAAGAATCCCCAAAAGTTTATGCAACAACTTCACCCTCAAGATGGGGAAATAAAACTTCCTATTCCTAAAATGTGGACTGCTCACAGTGACCAATTCTAATAGAAAGGAGTTTTACAAAATGCCTAGTCAATACTCCTTAAAATTGTCAAGGTCATCAAAAACCAAAAAACTATGAGAAAATATAACAAGCCAAGAAAAACATAAGGAGACATAACAACTAAATGAATGGTTGAATGGTGGTATCTAGGACAAGATACCAGAACAAAAAGTATATTAGGTAAAAACTTAAACAATTCTAATAAAATATGGACTTTAGGTAATGACAATGCATCAATCTTAGTTAATTGATTGTAACGAACATACAATACTAATGAAAGATACTAATGACAAAATGCTAATGAATGATGTTAATGACAGGGAAAAATCACTGTGGAGTTTATGAGAACCCTTTGTACTATCTTCTCAATTTTTCTGTAAGTCCAAAACTATTCTAAGAACAAAGTATGTTTTTAAAAATAGACACTCAAGAGGCCTTTCATAAAATATCAATCCTTATAAATTTTTAAAAAATTAAAAATGATAAGATACTTCCTCAGCATGATATATTGGAGCTTGGAAAGGAATCACAGAGGAAATTTTACACTGATTAAACAACTTTCAAGTTTCAAAAAAATCTCTCAAATTAAAGGATTAAAAAACTGAGAAAATATAGTCAAAGTAAAAACAATAAGAGTTGGTATTCCGCATCTATATAGAGCCCTTACAAATTTATTTTTAAAAAAACCCTCTATTTAAAAAGGGGCAAACGTCATAAGAAGGCAGTTGAAGATAAAGAAAATTAAAGAACTAAAAAAATGGAAAATCATTTTGTCTAACTGCTACTCAAAGAAATAAATATTAAAGCAAAAAAGAGATACACTAACATTCTATGTCTATTAAAATCCAAAACTGTATACATATAAAATTATACATATATATATATAGCTGGCTATTACATATATATGGTTATATATGCATAACCATATATATTTACCATATATATTGTTATAGGCAATAAAACAGTTTCATCAGACAATGCTAGTTAAAGTATCAATGGCTGTATAAACTTTTGGTATATTTTTGTAAAATTCTATTGTGTTCATATGACTCTAATAATCTATCTCACAAACTGGAAAACTGTTTCTATAAAGGTCCAGAGAGCAAATATTTCAGGCTTTGTGAGTCACTTAAGCTCTGTAGCCGCCCTCAATTCTATTATGGTACAGAGACAGCAGTCATACACAATATGTAAATGAATGCATGTGGCTGTGTTCCACGTGTAGCAGTAGTCCAGATTTGGCCTATAAACCATAGTTTTCCAATCACTGAATAAGGAATAACAAAAGTGAAAGAAAATGAATGAAACAAGATTACATATACCATATGATCTTAACTACATAGAAAGTATTTGTAGAGAAAAATGCCAGCAGAAACAGCATTAAAATGTTGACCAGCTTTTTGTCTGGATAATAGAATAAAGACTTTTTCCCCATTATTCCGGCACTTGCAACTTTTTAATGTTTCAAAAATAAGAAAAAGAAGTCCTAAAGGTAGTTTCTTTGATTTGTTTTTATCAGCAAGCTGGAGATCCCCGGGCCAATTTAAGACTTGAAAGTATTCTTATATGTAATATTTATACACATTCAAGAAAATATCTAAGTTAATCCTCATCCAATTCTCTACAAAAATGGGCTCTTTTCAACATTCAAAAATTACATTTTAAATATTACTTTTTTTCATCAATTCAGATTTTGATTCTGTGTCTATTGTTAGTTATTAATGAGATGCTTTACTTCTTCCGGAACTTCTGATACTTTCCAAAGATCCCCTAAAGCCACTGTATTGGAAAATGTTGCCTGCTTTTCTAAAGCTCTTTTTAATGACTCATATTCTTAATAACCTCTGTTTAAGTGACAAAAGGACCACTGTTGTTAGGAGTGGTGTACAGTGCATTACACAAGTTTACCCTGGCAAGCTGCAGGGGCTAATCTGCAATCCTGTGTCAGCACTTTTCTGCCCCACCAGTATGGACACAGATGGGTGTGCAAACTGCTCGAGGCTTCTCACTGGGCCAATCAAAACATGGAAAACAAAGGTCTTTATCAGCTCAATGCTGGCCACAGTTCCCTACTGGATTGCTAAAAAAAAAAAAAAAAAAAAAAAACATTGCATTTCTTTCCTTAGCTTTCCATATACAAAATACCTCTCACCTGAGAGAAATCAAATTTCATTCGCAGCCTAGGACTTAAGTTTATTATTCCAGTGACAGTATGTAATTGCTCCCTTTGGAAAAAGGGAAAATGAAGCCTTTTTCAGTCCTTCTTTAAGAACTTACAAAACAATCCAATAGCTTTCTGAATACACGGGATGCAAACCAAGGACAACTGGTTAGCCTGGAGCTAAAGTACACTGTTGGCCTGACACTACATAAATAAAGGAATATGGAAAACTGAAACCATTATCTGAGACCACTGAGACCATTCCAGGGAGAGAAATGTGTACTTCTTTTTCTTGAAGCATCTTCTCTGCTTTGCAGTCTCTCAAAGAGCTCTACCCCTGCCACCTTAAAGGTATTCATCTCCTTTCCTTCCCCTCACCCATTATTCTCTCTCAAAAGACATTTGTGCTATAGAGTTTGCCATTTTCTATAGTTTAGATTTATGAATTTGTATCTCTTTCCCTCACTAGAAACATATTCTCCTTGGGGGCAGAGACCACAGTCTGTCTGTTTAATGATGTGCTGTTTTCTACAGTAAATATATGATTAAATACTTGTTGAATGTGCAGATGAATAACAGAATAATTTAGTAAAAAGACACTATATTGCTAATCAGATAACGTGTATTCTAGTTCTGCCTTTATTATCAACCATCTAGGTGTATTAGTGAGGTTTCAACTATGCTAATGCTGGGTAACCACCACCCCAAATCTTGGTAACTGACATCAGCGAGCATTCACTTCAGGTTTGCTGTGATCCTGCTATGTTTGTTGGCATTCAGCCTTCAAGTTGGGTTCAGGTTGGCTCCATCTGTCTCTTCATTCTGGGACCAACAGCTACTCAGGGAATGTTTTCACGGTGAATGTCAGAAGCACAAAGAAGAAAGCAGAAATATGTGAACTTCTTACAGCCTCAGTTTGGAACTGACATGTTGTCACTTCCACCTGCCTTCCACTGGCCTAAGCAAACCACACGGCCAAGCCCAACATCAGGAGGGCAAGGAAGTAAACTTCACCAACAGTGACAAACAATAATCGACCACATTAAACACGTAAAATTCATAAAGTTGCCATTTCTGGAATAAAGAATGACAATTCTAGTCCTGACTCTTAGGGCTCTTTTGAAGGTCAAACGGTTCGATGTAAACACTATTATATTAAAATTCAGTTTAACCCAGAGTTAGATATTGCATAGGCACTAGATGATTAAAAATGACCAAGTCATTTTTTTCTTATAGAGAAAAAGTGACTACAATTAAAATACAATATGATCATTCCTGTAATATAATTTGTGTATAAAATATTGTGGGAATAGGTGATAGAGTTAAGTAAATCTGAGTGATAATGGGAAGGCTTTACTAACAAAGTGATGCCACTTTAAAAATAAATAAGAATTGGAGTGGGGCATGGTGGCATGTACCTGTAGTCCCAGCTACTCAGGAGGCTGAGACATGAGGATTGCTTGAGCCAAGGAGTTTGAGGCTGCAGTGAGCTATGATTGTGCCACTGCACTCTAGCCTGGACAACAAAAAGAGACCCTGTCTCTAAAAAAAAAATTAAAAATAAATAAATAAAAATTAAGGATGCGAACAGTGAAGTGAAAGAAAGTATGAAGAGAGGAGACTTTCTCTCTCTCAGTAATATTTTCTTTTTAGGGTGAAAAGGAGTGATTTGAAGCAAATATGGCAAAAAGTTGTAATCTGATGAATGTAGATTTTAGAAGAATACTGTCATATTATTTTCTGTGTTTGCTTGAAATATTTCATAATCAATCAAAAAAGTTATGGGGAAGGGGTGGGTGTGGGTGAAGATTAAAAAACTATCAGGTACTATGCTTAAAAACTTTTTTCTTATTTTAAAATAGGTCCCTGGAGACAAAAAAAAAAAAAAAAAAAAAAGAGGAGGCTATTCTGGGTTGAAAGAGTACAAGTGGTAGAAAAAGCAATTTGGTTTTCATCGATTGTAGTGTGTGAGACAAAACGGTGGAAAAGAATACGACAAGAGGAATGGGAAGGGGTAGTTTTCCTTTTCTACGGCTGCCCTAATGAGTACCACACACTGGGTGGCTTTAAACAGAAATTTATTATATCACAGTTCTGGAGGCTAAAATTCTGAGGTCAAGGTGTGGCAGTGGTGGTTCCTTTGGAAGGCCCTAAGGAAGAATCTGTTCCATGCCATCTCCCAGCTTGTGATGACAGGCATCATGCCCTAGCATTTCCTTGATAATAGATATATCACTTCAATCTTTGTCTCCTTCTTCACATAATATTCTCCTTCTGCAGCTCTGTATCTGTCTTTTTTCTTTTTGTTTTCTTTTTCTCTTTCTTTCTTTCTACTTTCTTTCTTTTTTTGACAGGGTCTTGCTCTTTTGCCCAGGCTGGATTGCAGTGGTGAGATCACTGGTCACTGCAACCTTGACCTGCTGGGCTTAGGCAATCCTCCCACCTCAGCCACCTCAGTAGCTGGGACTACAGGCATGCACCACAACACCTGGCTAGTTTTATTTTTTGCGAAGACGGGGTCTTGCTATGTTGCCCATGCTTGTCTCAAACTCCTAAGCTCAAGTGATCCTCCAACTTTAACCTCCCAAAGTGCTAGGGTTACAGGCATGAACCACTATGCCTAGCTTTTTTTTCTTTTTCTTTTCCTTTGAGACAAATTCTCACTCTGTCGTCCAGTCTGGAGTGCAGTAGCATGACCATGACTCACTGCAGCCATCTTTGTATCTTTATACAGCCATCTTCCCACTGTGTTCAAATTTCCTCTTCTTGTAAAGACACCAGTCGTGTTGGATAAATGGCCCATGCTATTCCAGTATGACCTCATCTTCATTTAACTAATGTCATCTGCAATGACTCTGTTTCCAAATAAGACCACATTCTGAGCTACTGGGGATTAGGACTTAACTGATGTTTTGGTTTGGTGGGGGACATCATTCAATCCAAAGAGTGGTAAGGATATCATTACTATTGTTTGGCTATTAACAAATTTTCAAACTAAAAATTCAAAGGAAGAGCATAATATACTGTTAACCATTTGGAAGACCTCCTCAGGGCACCTATAACTTAGCTGACTCTGTGGAAGAAAGGAAATCCTAAGAAGGATGATGCTTTATGTTTCTTCCATCTTATTATTCATGTGCATCCCAGGTTCACTCACATTATGCTCTGTTTCAAACCAGCCCACCCTGGGTGCCTCACTACCCTGCTCCACTGTCATTTGCCAACCAGTTTCATCATCCAAAGGCAAAACTCTCTGGCTATTACCACCACTCTCTTGAACTGCAATGCTTTGCCCTGAAGCTACTTTTTTTAACCCTGGACTCCCCAGAACTAATATGACCACCATGATCTAGCACTAATGGTCTGCCTCATGTTTCCATCTCTAAGAAGATTTCATTAGTAAACCCTTCACAATGCATGGAGTACTTAGGGAGAATTTTAAGTCCCTGTAATCTATTTTCCAGTTTACAGCTATAAAAACACTGAATAATTTCATATCTGTTCTACAGAGTACTTGGTCCATCCCTTACTCTAGCTAAGTGGCTTTTCCCCTCCCACTGCTTGATCTGGCTCTTACCAATTTCTCTATGCCCCAAGTCACACCCTCTCTTTTCTGCTTGCTAGCGTCTAAATCCACTTCCTTCCAAGCCTTGAACATGCCAAGGCCTTTCTCCCCTCCAAGCCTTTCCACTTGGCCTAGACTTTGGAGTGTCCTCCTTCCAGCTCCTCATGTATCTGCTCATTCTCAAACTTAATTCTCATTCTCAAACATCACTTCTTTGGATAGGCTTTCCCTGATCATTCTATCTAAAACACCCTCCCCTAGATTATCTGATTTATTGCCCTTTTTATTTCCTTCTAGTGCTATTTGTTCACTTCTTTATTTACTGGTCCACGATACATCTCCTTTATAAAAACGGATAATATGTCCATTGAGATCACCAATAGTCCATGCTCCTAATACAGTGCCTGGCACATATAGGTGCCTAATAAATATGAATTGATGAAAAAATAAATCTGTGGGCTCAGGCCTTCTAAAAATTTTCACAAGTTTGGACTCAAAGCAGGAAATGTAGAAGTACTTGCCTTGGCCACCAGTTAGTGCTAGTGCCCTAGGAGATCCCTGGTTCTGTTACCCAGATTCTTGGCCTGGGTTAGACTTTATTCTAAAGCCTCTTACCTTGGGCTCTTGAAACAGATCCAAAGTTCTGGTTTCCAAACTTTGCTTACAAGAAACATGGACCTAGAATATCAACTGGTCTCCTCCTTGGCTCTTCCTGAACTTGACCACTTGTATATTGAGTTTTATAATATCTGCTGCTCCTACTTAATTAACAACCACAGAATTAATCACAGACTTTCCAGAATCTTTGTTTGACTCAATTCCTGTCCTCCCTATCTCTTGTCTCTATCTTCTCACTCTAAATTTTCCTTCTGCTTCTACCCCTATCTTGGCATAACTGTAAGTATTAGGTTGGTGCACAAGTAATTGTGGTTTTTGCCGTTGAAAGCACAATTACTTGTGCACCAACTTAATATAAAAGGGTGGTTAACATGTATACATCTTTAAAAGCTAATCATTCCAATTCACAATAGACTCTTATTGGTGGTTTGTGGAAAACTCCAAGTATATCTGTCTCATTGAATACAATAAACCTCCATGTCAATGATTAAGATTTATGCATTTATCAACTTCAATACAGATAGGAGCTAAATCTACACTGTTTCAGCCATGGGTACTTTTGAACAATGTTCAACATACAATTGAGGCCATTTACGACACTGACAATGGGTATGCCTTAAAGACTCTCTTCTTGTTCACCTAGTTCTATCACTTTCCTTACATTCCAGTGTCCATAATGCATTTAAGAAAAGCTACTGTGGGTTGCCTGGATATTTTCCAAGCTCTGGATACCATGGTTAGTCACACGGAATGTGGAATGGGCTAGACATCTTGGAACTGCTCTTGTTAAATTAGTGTAAGAGACTGACCCAATTGCTTTAATAATCATTATTTATTTAACAAGTTCCTGTGAAGAAAGCTATGCAGTTGTCTTGTAAAGTAGCTTCTTAAAAGGTTTTTATTTTTGTCTGGATATGATAAAGATCATGTCTAACTGATGACTTAGTGCTCTTCTAGTACATAGACACTTCTATGAGAAAAAGAACTAGACAATAAGTAGTAATGACTTAATACATGCTATGTTTCCAATTCAATTTGCTTGATAATAATCAGATAATCCCCAGGAACACAAATATTTATCTACAGTGATTGGACAATCTGTTAAAATTGGCATTCTCAGTCCATCCAAACATTCATTTGTCCTTTATACGACCCACATATTGTCAAGAGGTTAAAAATGTTGAAAAATTCCTGTGGCGTCCTTAGTTTTTGTCCTATCTGGCAGAGAAACATCAGGATCCTTAATTTTCTTTTCAACATAGCATGCTATTTATTCACAAGCAATGCTTCTCTGTCTTAATCAACAAAATAGGAAACAGATTTTTAAATTCTAAAAGCATTATAAATTCATAACATTTTTCCTTTGAAGTAAAATGTTTTATATAATTTCAATGAAATATGAAAAGAATTCATATGATCAGAAGGCTTAACAATTAAAAATATAATAACTTGTCCTCTGTGGGAAAGACCAAGATTTTAAAGGTAAACAGGTATTATTAGAGAGCTTGGTAAAGTAATTGTAAAATATAGTAGTTTTTATATTCTAGAATATATTTCAAAATATGAATCAACCCTAAATATAACTATATATGACAGTTCCTATTTAGGCATTTTTTAAAGTATTACATTTTACCTTGGTCTCAAGTTTCCTGGTACCAAGGTAAAATATACTTTAAGAAAAGATAAGTTGTCTATTCCAATAAAACCATAGTAGACAAAGCCTTTATCAAATGTGTCAAGTACCTGTTAAATTTTAAATTATCATAGGACTAACTATAGAGGACACCTTCATACTTTCAAGTAGTATGCTGCTGCTCCTACTTAATTAACAACCATAAATAAAACCATAGTAGACAAAGCCTTTATCAAATGTGTCAAGCACATGTTAAATTTTAAATTATCATAGGACTAATTATAGAAAACACGTTCATACTTTCAAGGTTAATACCTTTATATACACACCTAATGTGCTTTCCAACAAGACTTTAAAAATGCAGATTCACTATTAGTAATACATGACAATTAATATTAGTCACCAAAATCAAAAGCATAGGTGGGTTTCACTTCTTTCCATCAATGTCAAGTCTTCAGAAAAAAAAAGTGCAACATGAAGGAAATTTCTCAGATCATTATCATTGGAAAAGGAAGTTAGAACTCAGCTCTAATCCGGGAGATGGGAGCCCTTAAAACAGTGTATTGGATAGAATCTTATTAAATTGTATAATAAGCATGTTGCTACTAAAGGGCAAAGCAATAGACCACCACTTCTCCTAAAGTGATTTGAAGCCTAAAGTGGATGTCTGAATTACCACCTTTATTTACCTAGTCCACTACCTTTATCTACCTAGTCCACCCTTCTTCTCTTCACACAATTTTCCATCTCCTTTGCCCCCCACAACCTGGTCTTGCCCAGTGAGCCCATCCTGATTAACCCCAACCAGCACTACAGCTTCACTCTCACACTGTTCCTCTACTCAAGGATATTTTGCCTTGGGTCTATGTTCAGCAGTTGTCTCTCTCTCTCTCTCTCTCTCTTTGCATGTGTGTGAGTGGGTGTGTGTGTGTAAGTTCTGGAGTCATTCATGCTGTGCTCAAATCCAAGCTCTGCTTTTACTACCATGAAGCAGGTTAACTAACCTCATCAAGCCTCAATGCCCCCATCTGTAAAATGGGAATTATAACTGAATTTACCTAATAGGGATATTGTGAGGAGAAAATGAAGCAATGCAGGTAAAGCACTCAATACAGTGCTAGTAGATAGTGAACACACAATAAGTATCACTAATTATTATTTTTGTTTATATGTATTATTTCACCAACAGAGAGGCACTTCTGTTTAGTACAAAGGCAATATATTTTATATTATTTTGTATCATTCTGCAAGTATGATGACTGCACTGTTTCAACTAAAATCAGGACAAATGACCTGGCAAATCACAGGCATTTACATGGCAAAGAAACAGAAGCACTGAAATAAAAAACAGTGCCAGGTAATCAGGATGGGAAAATCACTGTGCTTTGCTTTTCTAATAGAGTGAGTTTTCAGATAAGAGTATGCCAGAAACCTGGCATACAAGTTAAGGGGCAGGATTCTGAATTTATGGACAAGTTCAGACAAGTATTTTCTCTTTCTGTGTGGGATGCATGAATACAGGCACCTGTGCAGTATACTAGGTTAGTGCTCTTAAGGAAAACCTCATCTTTTTTTTTTTTTTTGAGATGGAGCTTCACTCTTGTCGCCCAGGCTAGAATGCAGTGGCCCAATCTCAGTTCACTTCAACCTCCGGCTCCCAGATTCAAGCAATCCTCTTGCCTCAGCCTCCTGAGTAGCTGGATTTACAGGTGCCGCCACCACGCCCAACTAATTTTTGTAGAGATGGGGTTTCACCTTATTGGCCAAGCTGGTCTCAAACTCCTGACCTCAGGTGATCCACCCACCTTGGTTTCCCAAAGCGCTGGGATCATAGGCGTGAGCCACTGCACCCGACTGGAAAACCTTATATTTACTTCCCAAAATTTGTTCTGAGAATATCAGTAAAGTCAAAAACCTTCCCCATCCTGGGTAGGAGGAGCCAGAAGACAGATCAGGAGGGTAATAGACTTACTGTCATGAGAAAACTAAAGCTGGAGGTGAGCTGCTGACAGGGCAAGAACGCTTATTGACAAAGAAAATGGGCCGGAAAGGTTATGGTGTTCTAATGTCTTCATTAGACAGAACTGATAAGTGCTTTCAAGTCTGTTAACAGGATTATTTTGGAAAATCCCAGCTTAACTCTTAGAATTTCATCTGCTTAACTGAAACTTTGTCAATATTGTACATTTTTGTTTATATTAAGTAAGGACTAAAACCTTTTGAAACCCTGCCAATAAGTAATATGAAAGACAGAGAGGTGGCTGAAGGTTGGTAGAACAAGAAAACAGCTCCAACAGGATCTGTTCACGATAGAATGGCTCCTTTAAAGAGAATAGCCAGAATAGACACACCTCTAGACAAATGTAAGTACAATACATTCCAAAGTCAAATACAAATGCTTTTTATTATCTTACATCTTTTATAATCCATGCCCCTGTTCCAAAGAATTTATGCAGATAATTGAAAAATAACAAATTTCTTTCCTTGAACCTCTGTTTCTCACAGAGCTGTAATACCTAGGGCAGATGCTCCATGTGGCAAAGGACAACTGTGGCTCTCAGATAATCCAGTGGTCTTATCCTTATGGTTATTCCCTTTTACTGCTCTTCCCTACATTGAATGGAACCAATACACATTCACTCATGGGAATAGAATGGCTCCCAATAGTCGTTTATTTTCATGCTCCTAATCTTCACAGTCTTCACACTCTTCCACTGACTTTGCTTTATTTCCAAGGTGAAATATTTATATACCTACTTTATCTTATTTTAATAACTGATTTATTGTTGCGTCTCATATTGTGTTTTTAAAAATGTCACTGCCGACAACGCTTTAGATTTTGTATTGGAAGAAAAAAACAACCATCTTATACTGATGTAGAACTACAGCCTAAAAGGTAAAAATCATGTGGCCCATTATGTACTCACCACCAAATACATACAAACTATACTTTATGTCAACATTAGACAGAACATAAAATTAGAAATTATTGAAGCCAGATTTAAGTATTCAGTTGTTCATTATACTATTTTCTCTACTTAATGTATGCTTGAAATTTTCCATCATAAAAAATTAAGAAAAAAAAGTGCTCTGGCCGGGCGTGGTGGCTCACGCCTGTAATCCCAGCACTTCAGGAGGCCAAGGTGGGCGGATCACGAGGTCAGGAGTTCGAGACCAGCCTGACCAACATGGTGAAACCCCATCTCTACTAAAAATACAAAAATTAGCCGGCCATGGTGGCGTGCACCTATAATCCCAGAGGCTGAGGCAGGAGAATGGCTTGAACCTGGGAGGCGGAGGTTGCAGTGAGCCGAGATCATGCCATTGCACTCCAGCCTGGGTGATAGAGCTAGACTCCATCTCAAAAATAAATAAATAAATAAATAAGTGCTCTAGGTGATATATTTTGATTTTAGATAACACCAGAGAGCATCTTAGGCATATTAGAGCTTCAGGGTTCCTCTCTTCAACCTTGGGAAGCTCCTGGGAGGAAGAAGGTGTTTGTTTTTAGTATGAGTTACTTCAGAGAGAAAGTGCCCAATTTTCTCATACAGGTGGTCCAGACATGAAATGCAATACATTCGATTTTTCTTTTATTTTCTCTCTCTCTTTTTTTTTTTTTTTTTTTTTTTTTGAGATGGGGTCTGTCTATCACCCAGGCTGGAGTGCAGTTGTGTGCTCATAACTCACTGCAGCCTTGAACTTCTGGGCTCAAGTGATCCTCTGGCCTCAACCTCCCAAGCAGCTGGGATTGCAGGTGCAAGCCACTATGCCTAGTACATTTATTTTTTAAACTAGATGGATGCAGGGTAATGAAAAGTACGGAGGCTTTGGTGTTGGACAGACTAAATTCAAATCCTGCTGTCTGCACCACTGGAGGTAAATTACTAATTCATCTATCTTTTTATCCATTGTAAAGTTAATATCAGCTTCACAAAGTTATTATAAGTAATGTGCATAATGATAAATCTTGAAACTAGTAGATGCTCAATTCATGTGGACTTCCTTCCTGTCACAGTTTTAGTTGCTAATCACATAACATTAAGAAACCCCAAAGACTTTCTAGATATAACTCTGGAAGCTTTTTTAGTTCCCCAGCCAGTAACAGCTTGGCATATCTAAAGCTACTTTACATTATTAATAGGACTATTAATAGATAAGAAACATGTCTTTAGACAGATTAGCTACTAGATAGTACAGTATACTAGGAAAGACAATAAACTCTTTGTTATGAATGTGAATTCTCATTTCTACTCTCTCATTAAGAAACTGTTGCCTTGGCCGGGCGCGGTGGCTCACGCCTGTTATCCCAGCACTTTGGGAGGCCAAGGCGGGCGGATCACGAGGTCAGGAGATCCAGACCATCCTGGCTAACACGGTGAAACGCCGTCTCTACTAAAAATACGAAAAATTAGCCAGGCGTAGTGGCAGGCGCCTGCAGTCCCAGCTACTCGGGAGGCTGAGGCAGGAGAATGGCTTAAACCCGGGAGGTGGAGCTTGCAGTGAGTCGAGATGGCGCCACTGCACTCCAGCCTGGGCGGCAGAGCCAGACTCCTTCTCAAAAAAAAAAAAAAAAAAAAAGAAAAGAAAAAAGAAAAAGAAGAAGCTGTTGCCTTTAAAAGGGACATCTAATCATTTTATGTTTATGAAGAAGAAATCTTTCTGAAGTAATTTTAAATTCTTTACTTTCTAAAACATAGAGAATGATAAACATAGAGGTTGACTAAGATATATGAAAGTAACAATTTGATATGTCACTATATCAAATGGAGACAGATCAGTTTGGTTTACGTCAGATATGAAAACTATCCTTATTAGATTTTGACAATATAAAATACTATACAAATAGAAGGTTTTGACTCTGAATCAAATGGCCTTAGCCAGAGCTCACTGAAAATAGTTGTGTTGTATGATTATTATTGTTTTTATTATGATGAAAGCAAGGATTGTGAATTTAATGCAACAAGTAGCTGCAAATTAATTGAAGCCCAGCATACAGTGTGTGATCTCAGGTGTCAGAGACACTAGACACGTGGCTGGCCCTGCCCTTAACCATAGCCTTTGCAAGTTATTTCACATTTCAGAACCCCAGTTGCCTCTTCTATAAAATAAGACATCTCTATCTCTCAAACTTGTTTAAAAATTAAATGATAATATGCTGGTAAAATATTCCTGGCATTTAGTAAGTGCTTAAGAATCAATTTTCTGCATGAATTTCCACTTTTAGAATATCTTACCAGCTTTTTATGAATAATGCTGATTTTTCTTCAGTTAAAATTCAAATTTTTACTTTTCATGTTTATGAGTTACACATCATTGTCTGTGTATGTGCATGTGATCACACATTTATATTTAAAAACAACAACAACAACAGTCAAATCTTAACAAAATAGCAAGAGGATGGTGTTGAATATGGCTAAATAGTCCGTATGGATGCAACATGAGATGCAGGAATAGCCTAAAAGGCTTCAAGGACTGTATAAGTCTTAGGAGGACACTGATTTTTTTTTTTTCCCATCAAAAGCCACAAATGTGGCTCTAAAGCATTTCCCATTACACCCTGAGTTACAAACAACTTGTGCAGGCACATTGGCTGAGGCAATTTGGAAATCACTCTTGAATAACAGAGGAATCACACCTCTGGAATATTTCTAGAGAATTCAAAGCTAAGAAGATAGATAGCCTGCACAATACATATACATACAGTTTAGAGTCTGCACTTGAGATGCTAGACTTTGAACAATTGCAGAAGGAGACAGAATTCTCTTTAAGTGGAAAATCAGCTTTAATTTAAGAAAGGGACCAATAAAACCTGGACAATGCAGGATGTGACCCAGTGCTCTGACACTGACACAGACAAACAGGTGACTCAACACCCGAATGATAGAAAGAAACAAAAACACAAAGTGAACAACCTAGATCGAGCACTTCCCCAGACCACATTTATCATAAAACTAATGGGTTGGAGTAAAGTACAGGCTGCTGTTACTATCTAAAGCATCCTTTGGTTTTGTTACATGCAAATTACATGTGCAGCTACACATTTTTTTCATTGTTTATACTGAGTTTTTCTCAAAGATGACCTGCAGTTTTGTCTAACGTTATACCAATCAATACAGAGAAACAACACCAATAACAGAAGATGCCAAGAGTAGGCCTTAATCCTATTTGAGACACCACGTCTTATGCATATACTCCAAGTATTGACTCTAGCTATTGCAATTTTCAGGACTCTCACTACGAGATGGAATTTAGAACACTTGTGGATGTTGACTTTCTTTATTTAGAGGCTCAATATAATTGGTGCTCCCAGAGCAGAAGAAATACATGGGCTTTATTTGTTTAGTAAGAAAAAATTTTTACTGTCCCCATGCCAAATTGAAAGAACAAATTACCTGCCTTTATACTTTATCTGTCTCATAAGTCTTCCTCAATGTTCAACCCCTTATTTTTCTTCTTCCCTTGTATTCTCACAGTTACTTTTCCCAAAAGTTGTTCTTCTTTTCCTCACCTTATGTCAACAAGGAAATCATTTAACTGATGAGACTACTTGCCCAGTTTACATTTCTTTTCTAAAGACAGACTTTCCCCCACAATGAAATCCCTGCCAGGAAGACAACTCCACAACTACCACCACCACTCCATCACCCCCACCTTCTTATCCTTGGAGTGAGAAAACCCAGACATTTATCTGGAGTTAAAAGTGTCCTTGCCTGAGAAAGTATGAACCTCCGAGACAAGAGAGGAAATGCTGTAGACAATAGCAGAAGCTGCAAAATCCACAAATGCTAAACTTCACACCACACCCATTGGTGGAATCTGTTACCAGCAACACTCATTGCTGTAAGCACCATTATTTATTAGGGATAAAAAAGAAAAATTATCTGTTTTTAAAGTCAGCTCAGCTCCAATTATCATACATATGAAAGTAGAATATCTTTGCTTTTCTGAGCTAGAAACTAGACAGGGAAGCCCTTCGCTTTCTAAACTTTCTCTTCTCATGTACCCTGAGCACAATTTCTCTCCTGAAACCCCAAGATTAACTGGAGTAATTCCAGACCAAACTGTGAACTAATAACAGCAGGGAACACGATGATAAACAGAGGGAACACTGCTTGGAAATTTTATCAAAATTCTCTAATAATTATATCTACAAATGAAATCTTAGTGTTTAGTCTTATAATTAGAAAAGGAAGCCTGACTAAACAACAGGAAGTGTTTAACATCTAACCTAGGTAAAATAATGAAAAGAATAAAGAAGAATAAGGAAAAAGAACAATGAAAGTACCAGGCATACTCCACATCCTCTGGAGATCCCTGCTTCCTTACTTGTCTCCCCATAAGTGAAGCTTATCTCCCCATTAGTGAAGTGAAGCTTATCTCCACATAAGCTTCTCTCCCCATGAGTGAAGTTGCTCTCTCAGGCTCTTCTTCCTCCTTTCCATGGCATCTCTCAACTCAATCGAGTAACCACACATCTGCCTCTCTCCACCTCATGTCTAACGATGCCATAGCCATATGGTCTGCCACATTCCCAAACATAATTCACCACTGGAATATATAGGGCTCTGTGGTCACAGGCTCTGCAGCCTATGGGCCAAACTAATGCCCCTCCCTGTCACTTTGGAACCTGGTCCATTGCTTTATGCTTCTAGTTGTTTGGAAGACAAAGTCAAATCTCAACTTTACTCATTATTTCAACTCTCTTGGCTTCAGTCTTCGTCTATAAAATGGGCTAGACTGAGCCATCTTAGATAGTTTTCAGGTTTAGAAATACTTCATATACAACACCTAGAGCAAGGCTTAGAGCATATTAGGTACTTCATAAAGAGTTAGTAGCAACAGCAGTAGCAGTATAACAGCAACAGTAATAATGACAATACTAGTAAATTAGAAGTAAACAATCTCGTTATGAAATAAGTACTAACTTCATTAATAAAAAGTTGATCATTTATTGCAAATATATATTGATCCAATATAATGCATAGGTATCAGAAATGTTTTAATATTATATCTAGTCTGTACACACATCTCATAAGTTAGTATGATCATCATTTTCCAGATGAGCGGAATGAGACATGGAAGGATTAAATAATTCTCACAGGGCTTACCAGTTGTAGCATCCTTACCCTTTTTATGCACCCAGTTGTCTGACCCTGGAACCCACACTCTTATTTCACCACTCTACTTTTCTTACATTGAGAAATTTGCATTCACTTCAATACTAGAGAAGTAGACAAAGGGCTTCTGCTACTGAAAGCCAAGTCAATTCAGTCTGAAGTGAGTTCTACAATTAGAGTTTTCATGGTTCAACATCTCATCAATGAATCCACAATCTTTCCCTTCTAGTAATCATCCTCGTTAAGTCAAAGTTCGTATTTGGGACCCTCCTGTCTCCCTTCCTCACTCTCATCCCTGCCTTCCTTTTACCCCGCCCAGAGATCCTCAGTGGACACAGGTGCAACACTCATTGCCCTCAAAGTTCCCCTCCAAAAACACAAAAATGCTCACCCAAACCATCCTTCTCTGTTAAACAATGACCATCTTTTCCTCGTTAAAGCTCTTGTAAGCTCACTATCGTTCTAATTCACCAGCTGTGAGAAAGGGAAGCAATTTAATGAATAATCCATCCTCAAAAATTACTAAGAGGCAGTGCATCTAGGCATACTTACCTTGCTTTTAAAGAAAACATTTAGGCTGGGCACAGTGGCTCATGCCTGTAATACCAGCACTTTGGGAGGCGAAGGCAGGTGGATCACAAGGTCAGGAGTTTAAGACCAGCCTGGCCAAAATGGTGAAACACCATCTCTACCAAAACTACAAAAATTAGCTGGGCGTGGTGGCAGGTGCCTGCAATCCCAGCTCCTTGGGAGGCTGAGGCAGGAGAATCGCTTGAACCTGGGTAGCAGAGGTTGCAGTGAGCCGAGATCACGCCACTGCACTCCAGCCTGGGCGACAGAGTGACACTACATCTAAAAAAAGAAAAGAAAAAGAAAAAAGAAAACATTTAGCTCCAACTGGCTGCTAATTGGTCATATGTCAAACAACAAAAAAGTATCTTGTTTTGTTTTTAGGTAAAAGAGATCAAACAATGTAAAAGATTTGATGCATAATGTCATTCTTCTAGTCTTAATACTTCACCTACAAATAAGCTTATGACACCTCCCCACCTTCTGTTTTAATCACTGTTCTCGATACTCCTTAGAATTCACTCACTTCTCACGCCTGTAATCCCAGCACTTTGGGAGGCCGAGGCGGGCTGATCACGAGGTCAGGAGATCCAGGCCATCCTGGCTAACATGGTGAAACCCCGTCTCTACTAAAAATACAAAAAATTAGCCGGGTGCAGTGGCGGGCGCCTGTAGTCCCAGCTACTCGGGAGGCTGAGGCAGGAGAATGGCGTGAACTCCGGAGGCGGAGTTTGCAGTGAGCCGAGATAGCGCCACTGCAGTCGGCCTGGGCGAGCGAGACTCCGTCTCAAAAAAAAAAAAAAAAAAAAAGAATCCACTTACTCCATCCCCATTCAAGTATACCCAAAGAGAAAAAGGAAAAGCTTAGTTCACCTCTTTCGAAAGATAAGCAAACTTTGCTCTCAACTAAACCTTGGCCAATGCATTTCCCCTTGTATATTTTAATCGTTGTTATTGTTTTTATTATTTTGAAAAGAATACATACACATGACAAAAAAATAAACCTACAAAAGAATATATAATAAAAAATTATTTTCTCACCTATGATAGACCTCTCATTTTATTCTCCAGAGGAAACGACTATCACATTTTCTTATGTACCCTTTCACATATTCATCATGAATATGGACATGGATGTATGATTGCCCTGGAAAAACATAGGTTGGAACTTCAAGGGTTCACTTATAGGTGGCTTTTCTTCCGCCTTTGCCACCCTTGAGACAGTAAGACCAACCCCTCCTTTTCCAGTGTTAATCAACTGTTGATGTTGTTGATAAGGCTTCCAGTCAACAGTAGGCTATTAGCAAAGTTTTGGGGGAGTCAAAAGTTATATGCAATTCTTGACTGCGCAGGAAGCTGGTGCCCCTACCTGCTGCATTATTCAAGGATCAACTGTAAGTAGTTTTTTCTGAATTTTCTTTGGCTATAGTATGAAAGAGAACTATAAACAATTTTGTATCTAGATTTTTCGTTTAACAATATGTCTGGCAGATCTTGGAATATCTGCTTATATCAACTATTTTATTTTTTCAGTTGTTATATATTATTCTTTTTTTAGATATACTGTAATTTGTTGAACAATTTCCCTATTGATGAACATTTGGTTTGTTTTTAGTATTTTTCTAGCGCAATACCACAGTGAACATAATTGTGCATACATGTTTGTATATATTTGTGAGCATAGCTGTAAAACAAAGGGCTCATAATTGCTGAATAAAACAGAAAGTGTGTTTTGATTTTTGACATTCTCAACTTATCTTCCAAAAAGTTTGTCCAATTTACATTTCCTTCACTACTGTATAAATGTGACTGCTTCTGCATACTTTTGTCAACACAGTATTTACCATATATCTTGCTTACCTCTGCGAGTGGCTGCTTTTCAACTGTTGATCATATGGTTAGTATGAGGAATGACAGTAGGGTAGTGACCATAAATTTGGAATGAAATGATAGCCTAAGAAGTGTCATACACAAGTTGGAATATGAAGCAGAGTTAGTTTATTTGTATTTTATAAATATTTCAATAATTCGACATTTAAACATCTCCTCAAAATAGCATGAAGGTCATTCTTTATTGGATATTACCAATATTCCAAATATCTTTGCAGCTCTACTTCGGGTATGATCTTCAGAGTCAGCAGCCCATTCTTTTTTTACTTCTTCAGTAGTAACAGTGTCTTTTAATTTTGATTTGATTTTCCTGATAGCCAAAGGCATTTATAGCCAAGTCATCTAACAAATAAAATTGGTTATCAAGCAAGATAAAATGGTTTTGGTTAAAAATGAGATGTATCTTAAAATGATGTGAGCATATGTGTGTGTGCACACGTGTGCGTGCATGCACGTACATGTGAGAGAGAAACATAGAGAGAGACTGAGAGAGAAACTAGGTCTGAATAATATTTTCAGTGAAGAGTTTAAATATGTTTTATGCTAGTATGTGTGAAGAGTTTCCCAAGGTCACAGCCCTGAAGGACAATTCTCATTTGCGTGTAGACATTGTGGTGTGTTTGCTTTAAAAGATTGATTGTTTTATAGCTATAACTCATAAAGCCTGTGGTCATAAAACACCTCACCCTATCTTGAAGGCAGGCCACACTTGTGTAAACAATGGTATCACATTCTAACTTAGCTGAGACGACTTCTGGCCCTGACATGGCTAGACTCCACGCTGTTCCCAAGTAGCCAGGACTACCTCTAGTTCCACATAATAAATATGAATGATAGCTCAACTAGAAAAACAAGAGAAAAGTTAGTTTTTTAAAAAATAGAGGTTAAGTGATGAGAAATTACTACAAAAAATTTAAAGACAGAAATAAGCATAATATTTGTTTGTTATAAAAGGCGTTACAATTAAAGAGAGAGAGAGAAGGAGAAACTACTCTGTCTTGATTCTGCATCGCTGCTTACCGGAATGACCACACCCTGACTTGTCCCACAGCCCTGTCTGGCCTCAGTTCAGTTCCAACTAACTTAACTGTCCTCTTTGTCACTTTCCAGTGACACTCCACAAATTGGCTGTTTGTTAGTTTAGAAGCTTTTAATTTCTTGAAACTTTGTATTCTGTACCTACTACCTCTACATTTTGTCTACCCATCCCTTTCTTAATGCCCTTAAAATGTGGGATTGTGGTTTGCTGAAAAAAGACCAGACTTTACATCAAATAGAAATGGATTAAAATCTTGGCTTTTAGTTGCGACCTCAGAAAGTGTAATTAATCTTCCTAACCTTTTATAAATGAAATATATATATATTGCCAAATGTTCTAAATTGTTTGAGTAATATATGTTCATAAAAAAACTACAAAAAGATTATACAAGGCAAATATTCATCAGTTTGGTGTATTTGTCTATGCATATGATACCTGTATAAGTTTTACAAAATGAGAACTAATACAATATTTATTGCCTGCAATTTGCTTTGTTTTTATTTATATTTTCAGTAAATGGTTATTCAGCGTCTGCTTACACATCTATCTATAGAGAACAAGAGCTACATAATTGCAAAAATAGTCCTTTCCGTTGTCATTGTTTACGCTCATTGTAGTTGATTTTAGAATGTCTTCTCCATTTGTTTTAAATCTTCCTCACTCTATTTGCATCCATTTGTCCTATTTCTGTCCCCTGGAACAACACAGATAAATCTAATCCCTTTACCACATAACAGACTTTAAACATGAAAAGTAAGCCCTCACTTCTCTCTGACTGTCTTCTTCTTCTAGTTAAACAATGTCAGGGTTTTTTTAATCCATCTTCTCATTCATCATTACTTCTGGATCATTGGCCATCCTAATAGCAGCACCTGCCAGCTCTTTGGCCTCTCTTACCCCTCGAGACCTCCCTCAGTTCCATCCCTCACCTCTTTTGGTGCAAACACATTTCTCCCCAACTTCTACTGAAGTTTTTATTCTGTTTTCATTTCTCTCCTCAGCTACACTAGCATTTCCTCTAAGAACTGAAACAAGACAAGGATGCCCACTCTTAACATTCTTATTCAACACAGTAATGGAAGTCCTAGCCCAAGCAACTAGGCAAGACAAAGAAATAAAGGACATCCAAATTGGAAAGGAGGAAGTCAAATTGTTCCTGTTTGCAGATGACATGATTTTATATACAGAAAAATCTAATGACTCTACCAAAAAACTCAGAGCTAATAACAAATTCTGTAAAGTTGCAGAATACGATATCAATATACAAAAATCAGTAGTATTTCTATACATGAACAATGAACTAGCTGAAAAAGCAATCAAGAAGGCAATCCCATTTACAATAGCTACGAAAACAATAAAATACCAAGGAATAAATGTAACCAAGGAGGTGAAAGACCTCTGCAACTAAAACTACAAAATACTGATGAAAGAAATGGAAAAGGACATAAACAAATGGAAAGATATCTGCTGCCCAAAGCAACCTATAGATTCAATGCAATCCCTATCAAAATACTAATGACGTTCTTCACAGAAATAGAAAAAAAAATTCTAAAATTTATATGGAACCACAAAAGACCCCAAACAGCCAAAGCAATCCTAAGCAAAAAGAACAAAGCTGGAGTTATCACACTACCAGACATCAAAGTATACTACAAAGCTATAGTAAACAAAATAGCATGGTACTGGTATAAAAACAGACACATAGATCAATAGAACAGAATAGAGAACCCAGAAATTAATCCACATATCTACAACCACCTGATTTTTAACAAAGATATCAAGAACACTCAGTGGGTAAAGGACAGTCTCCTCAACGAATGGTGCTGGGAAAACTGGATATCTATATGCAGAAGAATTAAACTAGATTCCCGTCTCTCACCCTATATAAATATCATTGCAAAATGGATCAAAAACCTAAATGTAAGACATGAAAAATAGAATTACTAGAAGAAAACATAGAAGAAATGCTTCAGGACCTTGGTCTGGGCAAAAATTTTCTGAATAATACCTTAAAAACATAGGTAACACAAACAAAATACACAAATGGGATTATATCAATCCAAATAGCTTTTGTACAGCAAAGGAAGTAATCAACAGAGTGAATATACAAACTACAGAATGGAAGAAAATATTTGCAAACTACTCATCTGACAAGAGATTAATATCTAGAATATATAAGGGACTCAAACATCTCAACAGTAAAAACAATCTAATTAAAGAGTAGGAAAATGATCTGAACAGACGTTTCTCAAAAGAACACATACAAATGGCCAATAAATATATGAAAAAATGCTCAACATCCCTAATCATCAGGGAGATGTGAATTGAAGCTGCAATGAGGTATCATCTCACCCCAGTTAGGATGACTATTGTCAAAGAGACAAAAAAAAAAAAATAACAAATGCTGGCAGGGATTTGGAGAAAAGGGAATTCTTATACACTGTTGGTGGGAACGTAAACTAGTACAACCACTATGGAGGACAGAATGGAGGTTCCTCAAAAAACTACGAATAGTACTATGGTATGATTGAGCAATCCCATTACTAGCAATTTATCCAAAGGAAAGAAAATCATTATATCAAAGAGACATCTACAGACCATGTTTATTGCAGTACTATTCACAATAGCCAAGTTATAGAATCAATCCAGGCATCCAAAAACAAAGGAATGGACAAAGAAAATATGGTATATATACACAATGAAATACTATTAAGCCATAAAAAGCAATAAAATCCTGGATGGATGCTCTTGGAGGACACTGTGTTAAGTGAAATAAGCCAGGAACAGAAATTTCCTACTAAACACCGCATGTTCTCACTCACATACAGAAGCTGAAAAAGTTGATTTCATAGAAGTAAAAAGTAGAACAGAGGATACTAGAAGCTAGGAAAAGTAGGGGGAAGGGAGGGATAGGGAGAGAATTGTTAAAGGATACAAAATTATAGCTACATAGAAAGAATAAGTTCTGGTGTTCTATACCCACTATAGGATGACTGGGTATGCGAATTACCCTGATCTGATCACTATACATTATATATATCAAAGCGCCACTATGTACCCTATGAATTTTGTACAGTTTTTTTTTAGTTTTAAAAGAATAAAAATTACTTTGAGCAAAGCATCAGGATCCTTAAAAGAGGATATATTTTGTGTTTCTTTTTGAGCAACCTCTACCCATCTACCCATCACCCTTGCCATTATCAATCTAATCTATCTCCAAGTTAGTTTGGTTGAGGTAAGTGGCTATTTCCTCTTTTTTTTAAAACCAGTACATTTTATGTGCATTGTTTTGATCTTTAAAACATTAGTGATTATGTGTTATGGGGTGAAAAAGTATTATAACATGAAAAGAGAGCTGTTTTTATTGTCTGAGCCCAGTTTTATTTTGTAAATTTGTATGTATATAGCATAGTTGTTAAAATCATTACTCTAAGGTTAGACTGCTTAAGTTCAAATCCCAGCCAATTACCAGCGGTGCAACTTCTTTATGCTTCTGTCTCTTCATATGTAACATGGGGATAATAGCAACCACCTTATAAGGTTGTTATGAGGATTACATGAGTTACCAGTAACACATGTAAAATGCCTAGACAGCATCTGGCACTAGGTAAGCATTACATGTTCACTATGGTGATGATAATGATGATGATGATGATGATGATGATGATAATGATGGATATAATGATGATGGAGATGATAATGATGACAACACAGGAAAATATACCAGAAAGACATATGCCAATATGTTATTACTGGATAATTTTTATTTTCTTCATTTTGTTTATCCACATGTTTACCTTTCTTGTGACTTTTTAATATTTTTGAAACAAGGTTATTTTTTTAAAAAAACCATTAGTAGAGAGATATAGGTTCCAGTCCTGGTTCTGCCACAGCTTTGATCTATATGCTTGGGCAAATCACTTTTCATCTTTCTGTATTTCAATTTCCTAACCTGTAAAAGGAGAAAAAAAAGGTAGAAGTGCTTACAATAGTGACAGTAATACCATATAATCCTGGAGCCCCTGACATTTTACAAAGCACTTACTTATGCAGTAGCTCACAAGGAAACACACATTAGTATCTCCCATGCTCTCAGCCTCATTTAAAAATCATTTAATCTGATTTGCAAAAACAGCTGACCAGTGTGCTGCAAAGCATAAATCTTGACTCTGGCCCTAGCCTCCATGTAGCAGAAAGCTGCAAAGGCCTCAATAGCTCATGCATCCCACAATGTTCAACTTGCTGTCTGTAAGATACTGGGAAGAACGAGACAAGGAAAGAATAAAATGAAGGCAATCATATTTATGAAACAACTGTAATATAGATCATTATAGTGTATACAATCGTTACAACTCATTGAATCTTCACAACAACCTAAGTGGAAGGTTTATTTCCCATATTTCAGACATAACTTTCTCATAAAGGTTTAATATCAGTGCCCAAGATCACACAGCTACTAACTTCAAACAAGGATTTATATGAAAGTCTAGCTGAACCCAAGCTCAAGTTCATGCTAAAGTTCTATGCCACCTCACTGAAATTTGACAGCCACTGGGTTTGGGATGTTGGTTATTGTTTTAACTTGACTGCTAAGCCTCAAGCCCACTGAAGAACTCTGCTAGATAAATGGTACCAAGAACCTAATGCAGTGAGGGAAAGTATTTTACTACAAACAACTAGCCTATAGATGGCGACAGCTTTCAACCCTTTTGGACCCAGACTGGCACTCATCATGAAAGCTTTAATCCAAAAATGTCACTGTATGTCAAATGCGCCCTGAAATAGCCAGACCTCCCAAGTCTATCAGGTAGTGACTGAGACAGCTATTGAGCAATGATAATTCTTCCACACCTACAGTATAATAGAGAACAAACACTTCTGAAGGATGGTCATTGTTCCATATAATAAATATTGGCAGTGAATAAGCTCATGACCCTTTTTTTCTTCCTTGTTCTTCCTCATTTCTCTTTCACCAACACACTTCTTTGCTCGCCTAACTTGATGAATTATAGCCCCAAGAGCGCATAAGAGTGAAGTCAGCATAATATACATTGCTAAAAAGTTCCGAATCAGTCAAATGGAACTTGACTGCCTCTTCAAAGGAAGTAGCATAAAAAGGAAAGAGCAATGAATTTACTGTGTTTGCCTAACTCCATTAAATTGGAATGCTTGGCCTTGAATAAGCAAAATCATAATTACATGTTAAGATATATCTGTGTTATCTTCATGTCATCTTAATGAATGCTTACTAGATGCCAGACACAGTGTACTATATATTATTGCACTTGGGCCTCACAATAATCCTACAAGACAGGCACAGTTATTACACCCATATTGAATGAGGAAACTGAGGCACAAAATTCTACATAACTTTCCTAATGTAACAGAGCAAAAACAAATGAAAAATGATAGCATAGTGATTCATACTCCAGCAGCCTGACTCCAATGCCTACCTTTTCTTAAAGCAAGATCCCGATTGCCTAAGTACAATGGTCAGATAGGCAGGTATGCACCCCTAAATAAGAACTTTCTTCTTTAATCATTTTCATGATATCTCCCCATCCATTTAACAATCCTATATTCAGCAGTTCGTGTGATGAAAATGGACAAAAGGATTACAGCATGCTACAAAGCAAAGGCCACTGTGAAATTCACATACATGTGAATTTCAGCAGCAGAGTCACTCACCTACTGGATCACAGACCATACTTGCACTGGAATTGCTCTGAGCTAACTTATGGTGAATCTACTTAAGGGATTAAGTTTTATTCTTCTTATTACTTGTACTCCAAGTCTGGACTGTGAGACATAGCTGTTAAAAAACGAAAGGTAAAGGGAAAACCATCAGCCTGTGGAACAGCTGTCACTGATTTGTTGCAGGGAAAAAAGTTCATAAACCTTTTAACTCCACAGAGGTTCTTCTCTCTCCATAAAGTTACCCTTCCCAAAGCCAAGGACTGAGAAGGAATGATGACAGGAAAACAGGTTCCTTGTTGTCTCGAGTGGCTTATTGACATCTTTGAGATTTTTCAGACTAAGTGACACCCATTTAGCTGGCTATGCCCTTCATAGCAATGATTTTCTTCAGGTACTTTCTCCCTGTTGAGAGGGAGTGGAGTGGGGTGGGGCAGGGAACATACCATAATATGAGTCTCTCTCTCTGTGTGTCTCTCTTTCTCTCTCTCTCTCTCTCTCCCCATTTTCACTTTTAGTACATGTTAGCATAAGAGTGAGCCTATTCGCACAGCTAATTGAAGGTGACTATGTGGTGCAACTAAAAGGCAATGTGGAGAGAATGGCTCATGACAAGGGAGCTAGCAGAGCCCCACCCTGGGCAACTCTCTCCTTTGTTAGAAACATCTGCCAAGAAGGCATGTGATCATCTGAAGACAGCACAGTCCTAGGAGTCAGAAAGTCAGGATCCAAGCGCTACCCATCCTGCAGTTTTAGGCAAGTTCCTTTCCCTGCTGAGACTCCAATTGCCTCACTGTTACAGGACGTAAAATCTCATTAGATTGGCAGGAGGAACTAATGAAATCACACACAGGCAGATACATTCTGTAAACTCCAGAGGCCTGTGCCAAATGCTGGTTGTGAGTTTATTTTTCAAAGGTTTGAACTTGCCTCTCACTCTAACCGGGAGCTTGTCCTTGATCCTTGAACCTCTTCCCAGGCCTGGGAGAGGTAAAAACCTGATATTGCCTTGGGTGTGACCCCAGTCAGTCTTGCTAATAAACATTCCTTCCTGTTTCTCCACAGTGACAAAGGAGGAGGGCAGCAAGGTCCGAGGAGAGCGGCAGGGGCCACAGCAAGTGCGGACCTCAGCAGGGGATAGCAAGAGTTTGCTCAAGCTGAGTCAGCCCCCTGTTTTTTCCTATTTAAATGATTCACTTGCTAAGGCAAACCAGTCCGAGATGTATGAATCCTCCTCTCCTCTCCCACGAGCTTCCAAATGAGTTGCTGCTTTTTGTTTTTGTTTTTCCTATTTTCCTTCTCCTTCCTTGGAAACATGATTTCAGGGTTTTCAATTTCAGGTTAAGATTCCCCCCCAACCCTTCATTTAAGTGCCCTGGGAGGAGGGGTTGTCATATCAAAGAAACACTATGCTGATATTCTTTACTTTGAATCTATTTAAATGGCCATGTTAAATAGTTGTTTATATTCCTTAAGCTTCCTTATTGATTTTGCACACAAGTAGGTTAAATTAAAAATAAACAAAATTTCATAGCATATAATAAACTGAGAAGTCTGAGCTCTTTAGAAATTAAGCTCTAAATATGTGAATTTTCTATATCTTAAAAGGTTTATTATAGTAAACACCCAAGACATTTTCCAAGTCTTTTGAATGGGAATTTCTTCTGCATGCATAAGATGCATAACATTTTTCTTCATAATAAAATAACAGCTTTTTGTTCATTATTAGAAGTCATTCCCCTTACATTCTTTCAACACTCCCAGCTTCCATTTGATCTTCCTCCCATATTTATGTGAGGTCAAGTTTACTTGAGGCCTTTCTTCCATGTTCTGCTTAATCTTCATGTACATCTGTAGTCATAATATTCCTTTTAGCCAAGTTATTCAGGAAGAATGGTTTTACTATTTGGTTACATCTGGACAGTTATGACATTCTCCAGTTTAAAACTCCCCAGTAACATCTCACTGTCATTAGAATGGTAACCAAATGTCTTTCCATGACCTATAGGACCTTTTATGGCCTCAGCACTGCCTATTTCTCCAATCAGCCTCCCTTTCATCCCCTGTGGTCCCACATTGGCTTTGTCTCTGTCCCTCCAATGGGCCAAGTTGTCTCAAGTTCTCTGTATTTGCCATTGCTGTTTCCCTCATTTTCATCTCACTGTCTCCTTCTCCTCATTTAGGTCTTGGGTCAAATGTCACCTCCTCAGAGAGGCTATCCCTGTCTTCCACATCAAGCAGGCTATATTTTCCTTCCTGCTCGATTTTCATCCCAGTAGTTATAGCACTATCTGAATACTTTTATTTGTTTTCTTATTTACTAGTTTGTATGTACATTCATACTCTGTTGGGTCTGTTATGCATTGTGAGGGAAAGGCTTTATCTGTTAATTAATGTATCACAGTTTCCAGAACAGTTGTGGCACATAAGACCATTCAGTAAATACTAGTTGAAGAAATAAACCCTGGCTCATCTCCATACCTACTCAAACTTATATCCGTTTGATATACACCGTTTGAGTATATCAAACAGATATACATATCATGGGGAGTACAGACTACCTTGTGTCTCATCACACATTGCATAATCTAGTCCAAATTATCAATTATAAAAGTATCCTCAGATGTTTGTCAAAACAGTAAGAAGTTGATCATGTCCAATGTCATTTGATCCAATTTTGGAAAGAGATAAAGAAGCTAAGAGAATGTTGAGCATACACTCTAATTTATTGGGCAGCTCTTTTCATACTTTTTCAACAAGACATAACTAATAGCTGAAAATAGTAAATAATCATGCTTAGCTGAAGGGATCCGAACAGGAGTAAAAAATGGTCCCAAGGGCTAAGTATCTTTGAGTTCTCATGATTCACTTATAAAATTCAGATGAATATGAATTTTTCATCCTAATTCATTACATATCTCAGTTTTATTTAATATAAAAGAAAATTTCCCCAAATTGTTACATATAAAATATGTCCTCCAGCACAATATGCCCTGTTTACCCTAGAAAACCACCAATAATCCCCAAGTCCATGTGATCCAAGCTGATAATCACATAGAAATGATTCTGGAAGAACCTTAATGGGAGCACAGGTCCCACCCACCCCTTGCTACCCCATGTACTTGTTCCCATCTTCACCCAAGAGAGGAAACACTCTGGAACTAGGGCAGCTTAAGTGAAGCAGAGTGAAAAGGAATGTGAAGTTTTGAGAAGAAAGAAAAGGCTAAAGTGTCTATCTTTCCACATTGCTTTTTTCAGGTTTCTCTTCGGAATCACTTCCCTGCTGTCTTTCTTTCCATGTACTTGGTGATGTAAAAGGTTTAAGTCTCCCTCGCTTCTGAGAGGGGAGACCCTGGAGTGATCATATATCGCAGTTTTCTCAGAACCATCCTAGTTTATGCATGCGTCCTGGCATAAGTGTTAGTACCCTGTTTTCATTTGTACAAAATATGCTCACTAAGGGACACCTTCCCCAGTCTTCCCTCCTTGAAAGTATAAGTAGAACCAAACTAAAGAGGTCATGCACAACATAATGTAAATCTTCTTCAGCCTAACTTTAAGCCACCAAGGAAGAGGAGTCCTTGTGACTCAGACACAAAAGCATTTGGAGTCCAAACATTGGTACATACTAATGAAGTTTCCTTTGTCTGACATAGCTCTACAGCTGGGAATCTATAATTACCATTTGGTGCTCATTGAAGATGGGGGGTTCAGGATTCAGGCCATCTTGCAAATACTACAATAACATTTCTAAGGAAAAGACAGAAGGGGCAACCAGGATAGTAAGGGAGAATTTGGTTAACTGAAAATCATCGGGCCATGAGTTAAAGTATTTTAAAATAAAGTATGATAAATGAAAGTATTTAGTCAGTAATGCAGCATAAATTTGAATGATTAGCTCTTTCAATGACATGGCTCTTGAAAGCAGGAAAGAAAAGACCATTATCTCATGAATTCACACACAAAAAATTGTTTGCTCTGATAGTAATTATGACAGCTATTGCAAGGAAAATAATAGACTGATGGTCTTAGCCGCTGCCTCTGAAATTCATCACCAAGTTTGTACTGAGTCCATGCTTTCTATGGCTGCTCCCAGCCAATTACTAAGCACAGCAGATGTACTAAAGCAAGTCCGTTCCTGAAAGATGCAGTACTCTTCTGGTGGGCAGCTTTGCCTTAAATACTCCTAATCAGCTTTGTCAAAACGTTCTTAGAATTGAAATCTTAAGGTTTTTCTTCTTTGCCTTCCTCTCCTTTCTCCTTCATGGGGATGAGTCTTACATAGTAGCCACACAGTCTGCCCAGGCTCCTCTATGTACCTCTCCATTTTCTCCCACAAGGTTTACCTCGGCGAATCTCTTGCACATCTAATTTCATCTTAACATCTTTCTCTCAGAGGACCTGAACTAACACAGTGATTCAAGTAGAGATATATTTAAGGGACAGGAAGAATCAGGACTTTTAATGTATTTAGGATGATTTGATCCAAGACCAAGAGGGAAAGTCACAGGTGATTGTAAGAGAAGTTTGACCAGGTATAAGAGGGAACTTTCTGAGAACAACTAGGTCATGACAGAAGTGGCTGTGACAGTGGGAGAGGAGGTTGGAGTAATCAAGGTCTGAAGTTGTTCATTTGCATACCTGATGCTACATAAGTTCCAAAGGCCAATTAGAGAATCTGAAAAGATTCCATTGTTTTTGGTACCATGTATATCAGTTGATATATGTGGTTGGATCCTTTTAAAAGGACTCGACGTATTTTCATTTGGACTCTATAGAGTCTTTTTAAGAGAATTTTACAAATTTTTATTTGGCCTTAGGGGCATGTGGCTTGCAATTTTTACATTTGTGATTACAAGGTCTTGCATAATTAGAAAAAGTAAAATAGAAAGTTGACTATTTGTATCAGATATTGAAATTTTCAGCCAATAGGAACACATTTATTATAAAAGCAATACTTACATTTTTATATTCCTTCACCATCTTCAAGTGTGTAGAGCTTCGTATCCCCAATGAGATACAGTAATGTTTGTATAACTGGAGTTACACATTGTTTGACATGCTATTGCATTTGATCTTACGTCTATGTTAAGATCCTGTGAGGCAAGCAGGGCAAAGAGCATTAAAACTCACTTTTGCAAATAGTGAGACTGAGGCTTGGGAGATTTAGCAAATATATACTAGAGTCCAAGCAAGAAACCAGGCTGCAGCAGGCAGAATTTCTAGGAATGACCCCGAAGATTTTATACCCTAGTCTCTGCAATGTGCGAATGTGATTGGCTATGTTATATAGCATAGTTGACCTTTAAGTAAAAGATTATCCAGACGGATGTAATCTAATCCCATAAACTCTTAAAAGCCTCTTCTGCTGGTGGCAGAAGAGAAAAGAAGTTACAGAGCTGTGACAGAAAGGGAAGTCAGAGATTTTCAAAGAATGAGAAGGATTTGACAGGCCATTGCTGGCCTGAAGATGGAGGGGATCATATGGATGGCTTGATAAGGAAATAAATTATGCCAGCAGCCTGAGAGTTTAAAAGGGACACAGGCTCCAGCTTGGGAGAACTGCAGCTCCCATTGATACTTTGATTTTGACCTGTGAGATTCTAAGCAGAGAACCCAGCCGAGCCACGCAGTGCCTGGAGGTCTGACACACAGGAACTGCGAGATAATACATGGGCGTTATTTCAAACCTCTAAGTTTGTGGTGACTTGTTATAATGCAATAGAAAACTAATACGTCAGTTTTCTCACTTCGTCACTATTTTTATCACATCACCCCTCCTCTTAACCAAACAGCAAGCAGTAAACTGAAGCACAGTACCAACCTTCTAGTTTTGCCGATGTGACTTTGTCTAGAATTTTAGCTTTCTTAGCACAATTTATTTTAGGCCTTACCTCATTTTCTTTTGTTCTGAACTTGTGGACTTTTACTCATTTTTTTAAGAAGACAGGGCTCTCATTTTCTCACATTGATTGCTTTTTGGAAAATATTTCAGGTAAATTATACATAGTTCAAGAAGAAATTATTATAAGATTAAATTTTGCTATAATAGTTTGGAAACACTTTAGAACTCTCTTTATAATATACTAAAAATGTCATGGGGATTATTTGAGCAATATAGTGAAGAATTATTGTTTTATCTGCCTATTCTACTACCTTCTATAAATTGCACTTCCTTTGTTTTGAGAATGGTCTTCTCCCAGTCAAACCAAGTGATTCCAAGAAAATATCCATGTTTTTATATAGTCAGCCACACATAATAGTGTATTGGTCCAGAGATGGGCAACATCTCCAATCTGAGACAATCAGACTTTTCCCAGGTAATTTTTGACTTTTCAACAGAAAAACCATAAGTTAATCTCTCACCAGTGGTGGATGTTGTAGAACGTAGAACTCGGGAAGTGCTAGCAGCAATGTTTCTTGCCATGTGAGAGAAGCCAATCTACAGTGAAAGAGAAGAAAGTCAAGCCAGGGAGAAAAGCCTGAGCAAGAGTTGGAGAGAGATCCCTCGCAGTGGTTTAACCCCTTGTTTTGGCTGTTCTAGAGTCCAGCTCTATGCTGTCCTTCAAAATGGTTTGATTGTTCAGTCCTTTCTGGAATTCCATTAACCAGTATGTTTCTTCTCTTACCTTGGTAGTTCAAGATGAGTTTCAGCCACTTACAACCAACAGAGATGTGACTCATACAAGAGAAAAATTTTACTTTGTTTTCCTTTGAAAATACTTACTGTGGTGGGAAAAACCTCTAGCCAAGAAACTCATCCAAGTTTCTCCAGGACACTTGTGATTTAGCTGGACTTCCATTTTTATTCCTTTCATGTCAAAATCAGAGCTTTAACACTAACTGCCATAGTTACTGGGTTGTTTTGCTCACTGCCACACCAAACACTCCTTCCAAAATGGTTTGTTCATACAAACACTTTAAAATTTTTAATGCTATCTTGATTATAGCAGCCCATAATTTGTCAGTGTCACATCATAAACATTTACTGGGTGCTTGTCTCACTTATTATCTACTTTCGAATTTCTTTAATTGGCACTGAAATTAAATGCATTTATAAGTGTTAGGTATTGCGAAAGAGATTTGGTAGGCTAAAGAGAGAGAAAAAAAATCTATTTCACTGTAAAAACCTGTCTTTCTATTTCTACTCATATTCCTAAAGGAAAAATGTCACATATATATGGATAATGTGAAATGTATAGTTTTCACATTTTGACATCTGATCACTTGTAAGAAAGAGATAGTAGTGCCAAGTATGAACTCATTCTCTTGTAATTAGCTAATACTTCACAAATAGAATCATAATATGTGCTTTGGGTGATTTTTTAAAAATGGAAGGCATTAGTCAGACTGAGCTTTGTTGAATCCCTGCTCTTTAGGAAGTTATTTTAAATTCTCCAGACCTTCCTTTTTAAAATAAGGATTCATAGAGTATTGTGGTTAAGGATGAAAACTATGGTAACAGACTGCTGAATTCAGACTTTGGCCTCACCACCAACTCACTCTGACATTAAACAAGTTGCTTGGTGACTCTAGGCCTCAGTTTTGTAGTGCATCTTAAGATGAACAGACAGACAGATACATACATATACACGCCAGGTAGTATAAGAATGTTCAAAGCCACATTGTTCATAACAGCAAAAAAATAAAATAAATAAATAAAATGGGAACAACTCAAATATCCAACAATGGTAGAATAAATTGTAGCAAAGTCATCCAATAGAATATTTTTCAGCAACAGCAATGAATAAACTATAGCTACACACATCAATATTGATGAATCTCAAAATAAAATGTTCATAGATTAATCAAGTCTTAGAAAATTCATACTATAGGATTACATTTACATCAAATTTAAAAACAAGTGTAACTAAGCCATGTATTACCTAGGGATACATACATAGATGGCAAAGCTAAAGAAAACAAGTTAATGTTTGGCACAAAATTTGGATAGTGATCACTTTCAAGAGTAGGAGCGGGATGAGATTGGGGAGGAAATACAGGGCATCTAAAGACAGGTAAAATGGTATTTTTTAAAAATGAGAGATGAGTATAGGGTTTTTGAATTTTAATTCTTCTATAAACTCTAGATACATGGTTTACGCACTTATACACAATGATTGCAAGACACAAAAAATAATCATAGTAACTACAACATTTTGAGAAAACTAAACAAGATCCTACATGTTTAGTGACAGTGTGTAGCATATACTAAGCTCTCATTAAAAGATGGGATCCATAGTGATGATGTTATGACATGCAGATATTTGTAACACTTGCAAAAAGAAAATACCAAAAAGTACTGTATCTTCATCTGTGTACACTGTTGTATTCCAAGACTTCTGGGAATCTATGTTAAATCCACAGTCCTATTAGAAATGTCAACTTAATGGTTTTCAAACTTTACTCATCCAAGTGATAGTACCAGAAGAGATACCTAGATTTTCAATCACAGCTAAGAATTCTACCTGGTTAAATAACAGGCACCCAGTGGATGTTCATACTGACAAATATGAGATGTTTAGTTGCTGATATCAGAGAATTCAGTTCAGCCTTTAAGGAAAAGTATGATCAACTAGTAACTATATCTTAGAAGAGAGAATAATAGTGGATTAAGTATCTATTTCAAACTATCCTAACTAGGGTCTATTCATAAAATAATAGAATTGTAAAATTAGTAAATCACCTTAACCATCACCTCATACAATTACTTATTTACAGCTAAAGAAGCTAACATTCAGGGAAGTCAATTGACTTCTAGGTAACAGTGAGTTTGTTGCAGTGTTAAGGCTAGAATACAAGTTAGGATGGAAGCTGCAGAAAGGATCCTATTGTTGGTGTTTATCAGACCAAATAGAAGGAAAGATGGGAGGTCATTGGGAGAGCAAGGGAAAATGAGTGTGATTAGGCATGGAAAATCTTGCACCAGCTCCCTTCAAAGGGACCATAGCAGTTGCAATCCACTTTAGGTTCCCCACAATAAAGCCTGATAAATCACTATTTGGGTAATACTTTTGAATGATCTCTTTTAAGGCCAAATTCCTGGAAAAAAGACAGACACAGCTAATACTAAATGGCAGATGACATCTCATATGTAATTTCAGAGAACTCAGCCTCTATCACACTCTTACCTCCATCACCAGCATCGAATACATTTGATGGGCATACAATAAAATACTTGCTCTTACTTATTCAGCTCTTGAACCATGTTTCTCCCTAGCCAGTCACCAATCTAAGGCAGAGTTTGTCATTATTCCTTCAATAAGTACACGCAGGAAACGTATTAGGGTTAAAAGCTCTGTACTAGGCACTAGGAATTTGATGAAAAGTGTTTAAACAAACTCTATTTACTCTATCCAGTCAGGGGAGACAGCGATTTATTCCAAAGAAAAAATAGACCAACAAGAAGTAACTCTGTACAGACGAATCCCCTCAACCCTTATGTGGCAAGGACAATTAAATAAAAGCTCATAAAGAAGCTTTGCTTGCTTCAGGACCTTATCAGCTTGAGCCAGCTGATAGGGAAAGTAGGTATTATGGCTGAACTCTTGAACCAGGAAAGGACCAGTCCAAAGTTTCTGTCAGGTGACATGACCTGCAAAACACTTTCATTCCTTGGCTTATCTTTATGACTGAAGAATGATGATCGCCTCTTATTTGCTGTAATGCTTAGAAAATGTTAAATTGCTGAAAGTGTCCCTAAGAGAATTTTTCTTCTGGGGAAAAAAATAATCTCATAAATTCAAGGTTAAATAAAGGAAGAGCAGCTTAGATTATCAAACTATGTTTTCATCTTTCAGTTTTGGGGTTTTTTTTATTTTGTTTTGTTTTGTTTTTGGTTTGGTCTGATGTTCAAAGGTTTGGTAGCCTTTGTAACAAGCAAAACGGCTTTTGAACAAAAACTAAACCCTTGCTTAACCTTTATATTCTAATCTGTTGTTGCTCCGTGGTGTTTGTAGTAGTCCAAAACAAGAAAGTATGACCTCATCAGTTATTCACTCACTGCTATTTACCAATTTAGTGAGTTTCATTGGAAATGGACAATTAAATATAATCCATTTGGGAGACTTTTTAAATTGTGAAACTGCTCAAATTTGTTTCTTTGTAAATGAAAAGGATGAGTTGTACACCAAGTATTTTTCTAAAGGAATAATTCAGTGTGCAAAGCCAAGATTAAGCCTCCATGTTTGTTAAGGGGAGCTAGGTTTGAGATCCTCAAGTAGGACTGTGACCAAACTGTATGATTTTGCACTGGTGTAACTTAACTACCTTATAACTTAAATACTGGTACAGCTGAAGGCAGAGTCGTAACCATTTATTGTCTATGGCCATACCACCCTGAACGTGCCCGATCTCACCAATAACTACTTATTGAATGACCAAGCAATGTGCATAGACAAGTGTTCAAACCGTTAGAGTAATACTCCCTTCTCGACTGATTTATTGTCAGAAATACTAAGTTAAATGGAGTACCCAGTCTACCTAAAACAATCAATACACAAAAGCTGTTCAATCAAATGCCAATCTCCAGAGCCCATTCGGAGAAGAACTGACTTATTCAAAATGGAGCATCAGAATACAGTAAAGTTACTTTTCAGAGATTAATTCTATTATAAAGAAAACAAAGTAGGAGAGATAGAAGGCCCAAACTAATATATAACAAAAAAATACATCTATCAGACAAAGTCACAGCAACTTCTTTTTAATCTCAGAAATTATTTCAGTTTAAGAAAACATAGTCAGAAAAACTAGGATTTGGGGTTGTATGTTGGGTTCTTCATTTTAGTTAACTTTCCCATTGACGGCTGGTTTGTTTCTTAGACCTTGACCCAACAATTCATTGAAGTTCTTTATCTGAGATGTAGAATGCCTTACCTAATACATTCCTTCTCTGTCCTTCTAAGCACATATTGTCCCTCCACAGGAAGTTCACCTAAAACTAAGTAATACAGTCAACAAGTACCTCATATGGAGATTCCCCCTGGCTGCCTGAAGGCCACATCATGACACTAATCTCTTATCCTTTTGGAAGACTATAATGACCAGTCAGTCATTCTCTACAAGACCAGAAAATTGTATGTATGGTTGCAGTGCTGGGTGGAGAAAGTCAGGACAGGAGAAAGCAGCTTTAGGTCATCCGCTCCAAGGCCCCTGATGTGGAAGGAACAATCACCTAGTACATACAAATGATCATTGTAATCCCCAGTACAAGGACTCGGGGTGTGGGAAAGGAAGCTCAGCTTGGAATTTGAAAGCTAGAATTGCAAGGTAAGAGATCTGAGAGTTTCAAGTGGGGAAAGTTTCCAGCATTTCAGAGGAGGCTGCTTTGTTTGTTTTTAGTCTAGACTGAGAGTGCAAAGGCTTAGGAAATATGCTTTAGGTTTGAAGACACCCTGGGGTTGTTTTCTTTCTCCACTTAGAGCCCTGGGTAATAATGCACATGCCAGTGCCTGCACTCAGAGTTGACTAACGGCTACCAATGCTACCTCTCTTTCTCTCCACGCCCAATCAGTAATGAAGGATGATTGCCGCTAGTTTCTTAGAACCACTTTCACATCACCCACACTACTGATGTCTTCAATATTTCAGATGTCTCAGTATTTCTCAACTGAATTAGAGCAACCATCTTCTAACTGATCTCCCTGCTGCCAGCATCTGATCTGCACTCCATACTGCCTTCTAAAGAGCAAATTTGACCACAAGACTTCCCTTTTTAAAAAGTTTTAGTGGCATCTGATAGTCTTTACCATGAAATGCAGACTATCCTAGTACAGTTTCTGATAGGACAATTACCTTGGTTCGAATCCTGTCTTTGCTACTGATCAACTTGGGAAAGTTTCTTAACCTGTTTGATCTTACATTTCCTCATTTATAAAATGAGATAACATTAGTCCTGCTTCATAGCTTTGTTGTTAAGATCCAATTAGATACTCCTTTTAAAGAGTTTAGCACTGTATTTAGTTTTCAGTAACTTTTGGTTATTATTACTATTATTATTTTACCACCTTACTATTAATAACTAAAAAAGCATTCCCACAAACTGGCCCCTTCTCCTTCCCCAGTTATGTACCTCACTACTGGTTCATCAATAATCACAGCTTTTATATATGAAGTGCCTACTTTGTGCCAGTCCCTTATGCCAAGGCATTTACATATATTATTTAATCTTTAACAACTCTCCAAATTAGTACTAGTACCTTCATTTTACAAATAAGAAAGCTGAGAATTAAGAGTCAGACAACTTGGGCTGGGCACGGTAGCGCATGCCTATAATCCGAGCACTTTGGGAAGCCAAGGTGGGCAGATCACCTGAGGTCAGGAGTTCCAGACCAGCCTGGTCAACATGGTGTAATCCTGTCTCTACTAAAAATACAAAAATTAGGCCGGGCACAGTGGCTCATGCCTGTAATCCCAGCACTTTGAGAGGCTGAGGCGGGCGGATCATGAGGTCAAGAGTTTGAGACCAACCTGGCCAACATGCTGAAACCCTATCTTTACTAAGAATACAAAAATTAACCTGGCATGGTGGCGTGTGCCTGTACTCCCAGCTACTCAGGAGGCTGAGGCAGGAGAATGGCTTGAACCCAGGAGGTGGAAGTTGCAGTGAGCCGAGTTCATGCCACTGCACTCCAGCCTGGGTGACAGAGTGAGACACGGTCTCGAAAAAGAAAAAAAGTACAAAAATTATCCAGATGTGGTGGCAGGTGCCTGTAATCCCAGCTACTCGGGAGGCTAAGGCATGAGAATCGCTTGTATCCGGGAGGCAGAGGTTGCAGTGAGCCAAGATCGTGCCATTGCACTCCGGCCTGGGCGACAGAGCTGGAGTCTCCCAGACTGACTCCATCTCAAAAAACAAGAGTCAAACAACTTAACCAAAGTAACCCAGTTAGTAAGTAATAAAGCCCATAGTTGAAATCAAAGCACATCATGCTCCTAATCTGTTTTTTATGACTACACTATGCTGTCTTTATCACACTTGATTTTCAAAAAATTGCCACAACAGTATTTCTGGGCCCACATGCTTTTTCAGGACATTGGCACTTCTCCATTCAGAGGTGAAATTTATGCTCCCTACTGAACCTGGACAGGCTCTTATAACCACCTCAACACAAGAGAGACTAGTGATTTCCAAGGCTTGGTCACAAAAGGCAATATAGCATCTGCCTGAGTCTCTCTTTTCAGACATACACTTTCAAAGGACTAAGCTGCCCTGTCAGAAGTTCTGCTACCTGAAGCTCCCATGCTTGAGAGACCTTGTGAAAATATCATGCAAAAATAGAGATTCATGAAGAGCTCTAGCTGCCCAGCCCCGCTTCATGCAATCATGCAGTCCCAGCAGACACTGCATGGAAGAAAGGTGAGCTATCCCACCCAAGTGCTGCACAACTTGCAAATTCATGAGCTAAATAAATGATCATGTTTATTTAAGTCACTAAATTTTAGGGTGATTTGTTATGCAGTAATAGAAAACCAGAATATGCACTGAAACCTCCAACACTAATCACTTTCATTTCCGCTGATGATATACCCTCCATAGTCTTCATATGTGCAGCTGCCTCGGCCTACAAGTCATCATGAGCCCACAATATCCCAGCCAGTATACACATACCCTCATTTAACGAGTTACTTTGCTTTCAAGAGTCAGTGTAGCTGTTGCAGTTTCAATCATCTTTCTTCAAATTGGTGAGTAGGTGGTTAAGGACCCAAGCTTCTAGTCAGAATACCTAAGGCTGAGTATTTTTTTGTTGACTCCTTCCAGGCTGTGAGACTTAACCTCTATAGACCCCTATTTCCTCCTAAAGAGAGTAATTATAAAACTTCTATCTTAGATGTACTGTGGAGATTAATTTATAGCTCCTAGCAAAGTCCCTGGTATTTAATATTCAGTGGTATTCAATATATGTTGCTCTTATTAGAGCACTATTATATTGCATCACAAGTGTCTATTTATTCTTCCATTTTCTCCTCTAAACTGTCAGTCATTTGAGAACAATAACAGTGGTTCTTCAATGCCTGGCACCTAGAATATGCAAAACACAATTTTTATTAAATAAGTAAATGAACAAAAAACAAACAAATGGTAAATGGATGAATAAATGAATGAGTGAATGAATGAATGAAAGAGTAGGTAAATATAATCTGGCTTCCCTTTAACTTCTTATACCCAGCATGTAGGAGAGGTACGGTGGTAGAGATTTCCAGTCCTGTGGGAAGTAGTCTTAGTGGCTGGCTGCATGCTTTTCTTCATGTCAGGTCCAATTTTTCTCTTTTCCTAGTGGTGCTACAGTACCACAAACATTATTTCTGAGTCTCCCTCATCCCCAAAACCATGTAGAGAGCATCCTCACTTGGGCAAGTGAAATGTTTTGATCCTGACAATCCAAACCAGATGGCAGGATTGTAAGAAAAGTCACTTCCATAATCTCACATGGCCTCTAGCTACAGGTTTCCTTTGCACTTCTAACCATTTTATAGCATGCCATCTAGGTGCCTGACCTTGCCAAGTAAAATCCAGTTAATCTTTACAATGTCATTCCTCTTTATGGCCTCCACGATATGGCAATGCCATATGGTGGCAATGCTATGGAAGGGACTCTGCTCTTACCTGTTAAGCAAGTTTGCATTGCACTAAGCAAATAATTTGCCTTCTGCCTCATGTATATTTCCCTAGTAATATCTGCTTAATGAAAAAATTGAGAGAAATTATTAAAGAGTAGCACAATATTGACTAATAAGAAAGATGAGAAGATTCTACATTTTATTTTTATTTCACAATAGAATTTACGTATATGTATATTTATAGATAAAATTCTGATAAGAAAAGCTCACAAGCTACAGATATGCTGGCTGAGTTGCAATAACCGTCACTGGAACGCAGTGCTATTCCAGTACATCAGTGTTATGTAAGGACATTTTTATTTCAATAGCCAGAAAACCCCAATGTGCCTGTTAGTGTTTGGTATGTCCCCTTGCCTCAGCATTTAAAAAGCCTAAAATATTTTTTAAAGGAGTACAATACAGGGGGTTGGCTGTCTACTCAAATAAATTGTTTTAAAAGCAAATGTGGAGTTTATCTTATTGCTGTTATTATTATAGGCTCTATGCTTTTTATAACTTTAATCTTATAAATTTAATTATTTCTACATTCTTTCTCAGGAGGAGTTGTTTGAAGTCTACAGAATGCTGAGGTTTAGAAAGATTTCTGAGGTGTGGCATCACATCTTCTGATTGGGCAGCATTCTCGAACGATGTGGGCCTTTGCTGCTGACTCACCAGAGGGCAGCAACTTCGAAGCTTGATGTCAGCATGCAGGAATGCCAGGCACTTCTCTCTGGCAACCCCCAGCTGTAGCCCAGAGTTAAGCAAAGCTTTTTGGGTTAGCCTCTGACCAACCTCCTGGCTGGACTTCTCAATGCCCCAATAGCCAAGCTCCAGAAAAGAAAATCCAGATCTTAGCAGGGCAACACTAAACTCTTCCAGCTATATATCAGTGGTGATAATGACATAATTGCCCAGTCATAGTTGGGATATGTGGGAAAGTGGGTATGGTTTTCTGGGCACCCCTCCCCTCTCTTCACGCACCACACACACACACACACACACACACACACACACACACACACACACACATCTGTTCTAGAATGAAAACCCCAGAATGCAGAAAGTAACCTGTGAATAGTCACTAGTAAGATTTCTAGTTTTCTGGATAGATTGTGTTTGTTTGTACTCCTGGTTATTTGACCTGCCTCAATTTTCCCACATTTCTGACTGGCCCAACTGAAGCCTCAGATGAGAGCAAGGACCATCTCTGAGGTCCATTCCACCTTAATAGTCTATAATCTCATGAATTTAGCTAACTGGGCACTTTCTGAGAGGACTGGCTTTCTAATGCTGATAAAGCAGGGCAGAGTTGCTGGCCACACCCTTGTTAGGCCCAGATCTATGAACACCTATTTTTGTATGCTATCTAGTTTCACATCTTTCCTGCTCTCTGCACCATGCCCTCACTTAGCAGAAAAGAAAATCTTAACTCTAAGGTAATTAGAATGTTCATATTTGCAAAATCTTTTAGATTGTTTTTGGGTTTTAGGTGAGTGTCTTATAAGAAACAGCCTAAAGGAGAGACTAAAGGAGCAGAGTAGAAGGCCATACGAAAACAGAGGCAGAAATTGGAGTGATACAGCCACAAGCCACAAAACACCTGAAGCCACCAGAAGGTGGAAGAGGCAAGGAACAGATTCTCCCCAAGAGCCTCTGCCGAGAGCATGGCCCTACCAGCAGAGGCTCTTGGACAGACTAAAATCAGAAGTCTTGATTTTAGACCTTCTGCCTCCAAACTGTAAATACATTTCTGTTGTTATAAAGCCATCAAGTTTGTGATAGTTATGGCAACCATAGAAAACTTACACAATCCCTTACACAGAATCATGTAGGTAATGTAATGAGCAAGCCATCTAGCAGAGAAATTCTGGTTTTAGTATCCTAGATAATTTTTCAGTACTAAAACTGATCGTTTCAAAGCCGGGGAAAAAAACAGAAAGTGAGAGTGGCCTATAGTAAAAACAAGAGCAAATGTGCAATTCAAAGGAATGCCTGTCATTCAGATGCATCTCAGTTACCATGAGCCCAATACGGCCAAATCTTCCCATTTTTATCAAATTTTTATCTTAAATTCCCTGCATTTTAAGTGTTGGTTTAAAAACCAAACAGGCAAACAGCACTCTGTGGGCACAACAAAATGTGTCTGAGAGCTGAGTTATGACCATAGGCAGTTGGTTGCAGTCTCTGGAGCTAACGGATCCTTCCAACAGTATTTAAGGTATGTGCCATAGACAGTTCATGACCGAACCAAGAACATGGCCATGTTGTCCTCCTTCAAAACCCAGTCTGCTAGCCCAAGCCACTTACATGCAAGCTCTGCCCATCCTTGGTATAGTCAGAGATAAATATTTTGTTGAAGCCTGAGATAGTGTATCAGCCTCTTGCTTCTAGGCCTCTCTTCTTAGTTTTTCTATGGTAGTTTGATTTGCACTCTTGTACATGTAGAATCTAGAAGCCATGTGTGTGTGTGTGTGTGTGTGTGTGTGTGTGTGTGTTGAAGAGGGTTAGGGTTGCAATGAAACGTGTGATTATTTTAGAAGGAAAAATAAAAGAAAACAAATTATTCACCAGAGAAAGCTGAAAATCAAAAACCATTTTTCTGTTCTTATTTTGCCACAAAGCTTTAATAGATATTTTACTAAAGGGAATGATATTTAGGTCAGGTAACAAGATATAAAACTGAGACATTACTTAAAATTGACATAACATCCATAATTTAATTTATTAAAAGTTGTTACTTCTGTGGCCATTTATCACATTTCTAGAGCTACCTATCTTTCAGTTTCAGACTGAGTATCTTATAAAAGCATTATAAAGTAAAACAATTCAACTAGATTGACTTTTTCAGTCTGCTTATGGTGGTTAAGAAGATTGTTATGAGCATTGAAAGTAATACACAGATTTATAACTCTTGGTTGAGTCTGCAGTGAGGAGGGAAAGTTGTAATTAATATTTATAATTGATACTTGTGTTATCATGGAAATACATACTCTGAAAATAAGAAGCGCAGTCTGTTGAAGGGTGTCTCTGAAAGGTAGAGGAATTTTAAAGATTTTCATAAATACAGAAATAAATGCATCTCTTTACTGGTGGATCATTATCCTCAGTCAAATTAAAGTTAAAAATACAAAGAATCCTAACAAGTCAAGAATAGGGAGGTAAACAACCCAGTTTTAAATTGGGCAAAATATTCAAATAGACATTTCATCACAGAAGACACGTGAATGGTTAATAAGCACTTGAAAGATGTCCGAAATCATTGGTCATTAGGGGAATGGAAGTCAAACCCACAATGAAGTACCACTTCACAACCACTAGGCTTAAGTCTGCCAAAAAGACAGGCAATAATAAGTGTAAGCAAAGATGTGGAGAAGTGGGAACCTCCATACATTGTTAGTAGAAGTGTAAACTGTTACAGCCACTTTGGAAAACAGTTTCTTAAAAAGTCAAACATTAATTTTCCATACAACATCCTACTTCTAGGTGTCTACCCAAGGAAATGAAAAAATACTTCCACACAAAGACTTAAACATAAACGTTTATAACAGCATTATTCATAAAAGTCAAAAAGCAAAAACGGCTGCAATGTTCTTCAACTGATGAACAGAAAAACAAAAGGTGGTATATACATAAAATAGAGTATTTTGTAGACACAAATAAAAAGGAATGAAGTATCATACTGACATTTGCAACATTTATAAACCAGAAAACATTATCCTAAGGGAAAGAAGCTAGACACAGAACACCACCTTTTGTATGATTCCATTTGTATGAAACATCCAAAAATAGGCAAAGCTATTTTAAAAACATGGAAGATTATGGTTGCCTGGGGATGGAGATGGGAATGGAGATTAAATAAATGAGCATGAAGGATCTCATTAGGATGATAAAAATGTGCTATAACCATTGTAGGAATGGTTACACTACTCAATGACTCTACTAAAAATCACTGAATTCATGCACTTAAAATGGGTGAAATTATACCGTGGAAGTTATACCTCAATAAAGTTGTTTTAAGAAATTAGAGGAATAATTAAAAGAATAAAATATAGTCAATAAAATACTATCGCCTTTATCCCATAACCAATCTGTCAACAAATGTGTCAATGCTCCTTTCTAAATATCTCTTACTTTTTATCTTTTTACATATTTGAAGTGCATAATACGACTAGTTCAAACTATCAAATGTACAAAATAGAACACAATGAAAAATTTTCCTACCGCTGTTCTCCCTCAGCCACCCAATGCCCCCCACTAAAAGCCACGGGTGTTATTTGTTTCTTGTGTATCATTCTAGAGACGCTTTATGCATCCACATTAACTTTATGAATACATACATGTGCATCTATCCATGCACACCTTTTTTCCACAACTTGTGGCATACTGAATATGTACTGCACATTCCTTTTTTTTACTTAATAATTAATACCACATCAGGATCTAAATGTGGCTCAAATCTTTTCCCTCTTTACCACCCCACCATCTCAGTATTTCTTGCCTGGACTACTGTATTTCATCTAATTTGAGATGCTATCAGTTATGTGACACACTATTATTTGGGGGCCCTTAAGAGACAAATAATGCTGCCAATGAAATTATAACATGCCATTGATTGTAAGATTCATTCCAATTTCAGAAAGAAATGACCAGCTAAAAAAGTACGTATATGTGCATCTAAAAACAAGAAAATATGTAATTAGAACAGTCTCCCAAACAGTTTCTTGCTATCAAACCCAGCTCCCCGTCAATTCATTGTCTCTTATCCTGCCAAAGTAATTTTTCTAAGTTTTAGATGGAATCTTTTTATTCCTCTACTTAAAATTTTGTAGGCTCCCATTGCTACAAGATGAAGTCCACATAACTGAATGTGGCATTCAAGTCTCTTCCCATTTCCGGCCTCCTTTCTCTCTACTACCCTATGCTCTAGACGTGCCCAGCTATTGGCTATTCCTCAAAAATGGAGTGTTCTTTCAAAACTGTGCTTTTGTACATGTTGTTCCCTCTCCCTGGAATACACTTGACCCCCTTTCCTCCTGGCTAAATACCATTTGTCCTTCAAGACTCATCTCTGGGAAAACTGCCATGAACTTTCCCAGTTCAATTAAATGTCCTTTCTGTACTAACACCCTCATTGTGCTTAATTCCATCAAAAGCACTTCTTGCCTAGTATTAGGCTTCTTTGTTTCCTTGACTGTCTTCACTACTCTTATTTTTCTTGCATTACAAAAGATTGCCACAGTGCCCTGAACACGGTAAGCATTCAGTAAGCATTTATTGGATGAATGTGTACTTTGGCCCCTAGATGTAATCAACACATCTGTAGTAATGGAGGTGTGGTCAGCACAGTGTAGGGGAAAGTACATGGGATCTGAAGTCAGAAGATGCCAGTTCTGGGCTCTGACATTTCTAACTCTCTGATCTTAGTTTGGCCAGTTAATGTTTCTAAGACTTGGTTTCCTCATCTAAGAACATAAACCTAAAAGGGCTTGCTGAAGGGACTCAATGAGAGAAAGTGTCTGAAGTAACTGATACAGAGTTGGTGTTCCAAACAGGACATCTTTTGTTAGAGTGACTGGAACATCCTGTGCTATAGAATGCATTTGATGTACCCTGAAAGCAAACATGCTACTGACATGTGGTTACAAGTGGACTTTGTTTTTCATTTTTTATTTTATTTTATTTTTATAAAGGTGATACATATCGTGTTGTTTCAGAAAGCATGGTGATAAAAAAAAAAAAAATTCTTGCCCATGGCATTTCCCATAACCCCTATAAGTAATAGTTTCTTTTAGATATTCCTGTGTTTTCTTTTTAAAATAAATGCTAACATATAAAGATATATTATAGTCCCCTCTTTTTTACTATATATAAATACATGTGATATATTTACTATAAATACATATACACATATAAATGTATACACACACATATATAAATATACACATATATAATATAAATACACACATATATAAATACACACACACACACACACACACACACACAGAGACAGAGAGAGAAAGATATTCCATCTACATTATCAACATTCTGTTCTGAGTGCTGGTGTTTTTTCACTAAATATCTAAATGGACTTTATGAGCCTCTAAATTTGCCCAGAATGATTCTAATCAAGGAGACAAGTATGTGGAAGGAGGGATTTTATTTATTGCTTCACATCACAACTCTGAACTATCAGCAAGACGTAAAAGCTTTGACTCATAGCCTCAAGTCTTTCTAAAGGGAACCACAAAGAAACTGCATGACTAGAACAGTGAAAAACCAAGTTTGCCTTTTATATCAGGCCAGGGTCAAAGAAATTGCAACAGGGCTGAAAGGGCTGTGAAGATGTTATCTCCTTATACTGCCTTGAGATTAGAGGAATGCAGCAGAAAGCACAAACATGCAGTCTAGTAAGTCTTTAGCACTACCTGCTACCTGCTTTTTATCACATGAATGGCATGTTTTCCAGCGAGCCTTCACCTTTAAAGGACAATATTATTCTTAGAATTGTAAACAAGTTCCCTTTTAGGGTTGTGGCTCAGGTACAGAATAGGATTTGCACTTTTTAAAGCTATGTCTGTACGGAAAGCAAAAGCTAGTGGTATAAGGAGGTGATGTGGGCCTTGTAAGTAGTTATTATTCTTTCAACTTTGTTAATCACAGCAAATGATGAAGTTATAAGCACAAAGGTTTGGCAAAATGTAGGCATTAGAATAACAGACCTTCATTTCATTGACAAGTTTAATTATGGCCCAAGTTGCTCTTATCCTCTTTCCCTTTTTCTGATATTTTTACTCACCTAAGTCACTGGTCTGAGTTCTTAAACTCTCATATGAATGGCCCCAGTTTAATCACTGTGCTCCTCATTCCCAAATTCCTGCCACTTCCTCTACTGAAGTTCTCCACCTGGGTAGGGAAACAGACTAGTTAGGGGAAATCCAATGGGCTCATCAGCACAGGCAGCAAGTTCACCATCTCATGCTGTAAATTACCATCACCTTGACCCAATTTGTCACGCGCACACAGTGCAGAAAATTTATCAGAAAGATTAAGAATGGGCTGGTGAAGAGGACAAAAGAAACTCCCTGATGGCCTTTGGTATGGATGGAAGACAGGTCTGCATCTGACCACATAAGCCCAGAGAAGTGGGAGCCTGAGCTGGTTTTCTACACCATATAGGACACAACACTGCAAATCCAGCAGGCAAAGAAAAATAAGGGCAGGGATCTCTGGGAACCAGCAAGCAAAGGCACAGAATCCAGCAAGGTGAGCGGGGTGGGGAGGGTTACGAAGGCAAGCAGATGATGCCTGAGTCTAATAGATTGATGAGTGAGCTGGAGAAGGCCAGGTGGAGGAGGGGAGAGGGAACAAAACAGGCTGAGGCACTAAATCTCTGAGTCTTGAAATAACATAGGGCATTTTAATAACTCCACATAGTTCCGTGTGATTGGAGATGGAATGCCAGTGGGACAGGGCCAGGGTCATGGTGAAAAATTGGAGAGGTGGCCAGAGACAAATAACAAAGGTCCTTGAGAGGTCATACTATATATCTTGTATTTTAACCAGAAGGCACTACTGGGAGCTACTGCAGGATTTTAAGCAGGGAATAACAAGATCAGATTTAAGTTGTAGAAAAGTCACTCTCATACCTATGTAGATCATGGATTTGAGCACTGTGTCCATAGCACCTTCCATACCATAGTGCGTTAGGCATCTGTGTGTCTCCACACTAAGCTGTAACCTCAATGAGGGGAGGGAGCATGTCTGTTTCTCATTATTATATCTCTGGTACCTAGAACAATGCCAAGTTCATAGTCAGGAATGAACGAATGGTGTCCAATCTCATTCATCTTTTTCTCTCTAATGCTCACACAGTACTTAGTGCAATGTAGGTAATAGATAAAGGTCTGCTGAATAAATGAATAAATGCTAACTTCTGCCTCACTCTCCAGTTCCATCTCTCAACATTCCCCAACATTTGTCCTATAACAATAAAATTGTATAGCTTTCCCAGATGCACTGTATTGTTTGCCTTACATGTGCTATTCCCTCTGATTAGAATTCCCTACCCCTATCTCCTATCTATCTAGTGAATTTCAATTATGTCTCAACACTCAGCTTAGATTTGACCCACGGGGGAGAAGCTTTTTGTAATACCAGTACCTCCCATCACCATGTGCAGAAACACACATAGGCTCAAAATAAAGGGATGGAGGAAGATCTACCAAGCAAATGGAAAACAAAAAAAGGCAGGGGTTGCAATCCTAGTCTCTGATAAAACAGACTTTAAACCAACAAAATCAAAAGAGACAAAGAAGGCCATTACATAATGGTAAGGGATCAATTCAACAAGAAGAGCTAACTATCCTAAATCTGTATGCACCCAATACAGGAGCACCAAGATTCATAAAGCAAGTCCTTAGAAACCTACAAGGAGACTTAGACTCCCACACAATAATAATAGGACACTTTAACACCCCACTGTCAACATTAGACAGATCAACGAGACAGAAAGTTAACAAGGATATCCAGGAATTGAAGTCAGCTCTGCACCAAGCGGACCTAATAGACATCTACAGAACTCTCCACCCCAAAACAACAGAATATACATTCTTCTCAGAACCACACTGCACTTATTCCAAAATTGACCACATAGTTGGAAGTAAAGCACTCCTCAGCAAATGTAAAAGAACAGAAATTATAACAAACTGTCTCTCAGACCACAGTGCAAACTAGAACTCAAGATTAAGAAACTCACTCAAAACCGCTCACCTACATGGAAACTGAACTACCCACTCCTGAATGACTACTGGGTACATAACAAAATGAAGGCAGAAATAAAGATGTTCTTTGAAACCAGTTTGAGATCTGAGAATGGACAGACTGCCTCCTCAGGTGGGTCCCTGACCCCCGAGTAGCCTAACTGTGAGGCACCCCCCAGTAGGGGCAGACTGACACCTCACACGGCTGGGTACCCCTCTGAGACGAAGCTTCCAGAGGAACAATCAGGCAGGAACATTTGCTGTTCAGCAACATTCGCCGTTCTGCAGCCTCCGCTGCTGATACCCAGGCAAACAGCGTCTGGAGTGGACCTCCAGCAAACTCCAACAGACCTGCAGCTGAGGGTCCTGACTGTTAGAAGGAAAACTAACAAACAGAAAGGACATCCACACCAAAACCCCATCTGTACGTCACCATCATCAAACACCAAAGGTAGATAAAACCACAAAGATGGGAAAAAACAGAGCAGAAAAACTGGAAACTCTAAAAATCAGAGTGCCTCTCCTCCTCCAAAGGAATGCAGCTCCTCACCAGCAATGGAACAAAGCTGGATGGAGAATGACTTTGACGAGTTGAGAGAAGAAGTCTTCAGATGATCAAACTACTCCAAGCTAAAGGAGGAAGTTCGAACCCATGGCAAAGAAGTTAAAAACCTTGAAAAAAAATTAGACAAATGGCTAACTAGAATAACCAACGCAGAGAAGTCTTTAAAGGACCTGACGGAGCTGAAAACCAAGGCACGAGAACTACATGACGAATGCACAAGCCTCAGTAGCCGATTCGATCAACTGGAAGAAAGGGTATCAGTGATGGAAGATCAAATGAATGAAAAGAAGCAAGAAGTTTAGAGGAAAAAGAATAAAAAGAAACAAACAAAGCCTCCAAGAAATATGGGACTATGTGAAAAGACCAAATCTACTTCTGATTGGAGTACCTGAAAGTGACGGGCAGAATGGAACCAAGTTGGAAAACACTCTGCAGGATATTATCCAGGAGAACTTCCCCAATCTAGCAAGGCAGGCCAACATTCAAATTCAGGAAATACAGAGAATGCCACAAAGATACTCCTCAAGAAGAGCAACTCCAAGACACATAATTGTCGGATTTGCCAAAGTTGAAATGAAGGAAAAAATGTTAAGGGCAGCCAGAGAGAAAGGTCGGGTTACCCACAAAGGGAAGCCCATCAGACTAACAGCTGATCTCTCGGTAGAAACTCTACAAGCCAGAAGAGAGTGGGGGCCAATATTCAACATTCTTAAAGAAAAGAATTTTCAACCCAGAATTTCATATCCAGCCAAACTAAGCTTCATAAGTGAAGGAGAAATAAAATACTTTACAGAAAAGCAAATGCTAAGAGATTTTGTCACCACCAGGCCTGCCCTAAAAGAGTTCCTGAAGAAAGCACTAAACATGGAAAGGAACAACCACTACCAGCCACTGCAAAAACATGCCAAATTGTAAAGACCATCAAGGCTAGGAAGAAACTTCATCAACTAATGAGCAAAATAACCAGCTAACATCATAATGACAGGATCAAATTCACACATAACATATTAACCTTAAATGTAAATGGGCTAAATGCTCCAATTAAAAGACACAGACTGGCAAATTGGATAAAGAGTCAAGACCCATCAGTGTGCTGTATTCAGGAATCCCATCTCATGTGCAGAAACACACATAGGCTCAAAATAAAGGGATGGAGGAAGATCTACCAAGCAAATGGAAAACAAAAAAAGGCAGGGGTTGCAATCCTAGTCTCTGATAAAACAGACTTTAAACCAACAAAATCAAAAGAGACAAAGAAGGCCATTACATAATGGTAAGGGATCAATTCAACAAGAAGAGCTAACTATCCTAAATCTGTATGCACCCAATACAGGAGCACCAAGATTCATAAAGCAAGTCCTTAGAAACCTACAAGGAGACTTAGACTCCCACACAATAATAATAGGACACTTTAACACCCCACTGTCAACATTAGACAGATCAACGAGACAGAAAGTTAACAAGGATATCCAGGAATTGAAGTCAGCTCTGCACCAAGCGGACCTAATAGACATCTACAGAACTCTCCACCCCAAATCAACAGAATATACATTCTTCTCAGAACCACACTGCACTTATTCCAAAATTGACCACATAGTTGGAAGTAAAGCACTCCTCAGCAAATGTAAAAGAACAGAAATTATAACAAACTGTCTCTCAGACCACAGTGCAAACTAGAACTCAAGATTAAGAAACTCACTCAAAACCGCTCACCTACATGGAAACTGAACTACCCACTCCTGAATGACTACTGGGTACATAACAAAATGAAGGCAGAAATAAAGATGTTCTTTGAAACCAAAGACAACAAAGACACAACATACCAGAATCTCTGGGACACATTCAAAGCAGTGTGTAGAGGGAAATTTATAGCACTAAATGCCCACAAGAGAAAGGAGCAAAGATCTAAAATTGACACCCTAACATCACAATTAAAAGAACTATAGAAGCAAGAGCAAACAGATTCAAAAGCTAGCAGAAGGCAAGAAACAACTAAGATCAGAGCAGAACTGAAGGAAATAGAGACACAAAAAACCCTCCAAAAAAATCAATGAATCCAGGAGCTGGTTTTTTGAAAAGATCAACAAAATTGATAGACCACTAGCAAGATTAATAAAGAAGAAAAGAGAGAAGAATCAAATAGACACAATAAAAAATTAAAAGGGGATATCACCACCAATCCCACAGAAATACAAACTACCATCAGAGAATACTATAAACACCTCTATGCAAATAAACTAGAAAATCTAGAAGAAATGGATAAATTCCTCGACACATACATCCTCTCAAGACTAAACCATGAAGAAGTTGAATCTCTGAATAAAGCAATAACAGGCTCTAAAATTGAGGCAATAATTAATAGCTTACCAACCAAAAAAAGTCCAGGACCAGATGGATTCACAGCCGAATTCTACCAGAGGTACAAAGAGGAGCTGGTACCATTCCTTCTGAAACTATTCCATTCAATAGAAAAAGAGGGAATTCTCCCCAACTCATTTTATGAGGCCAGAATCATCCTGATACCAAAGCCTGGCAGAGACACAACAAAAAAAAGAGAATTTTAGACCAATATCCCTGACGAACATCGATGCAAAAATCTTCAATAAAATACTGGCAAACTGAATCCAGTAGCACACCAAAAGGCTTATCCACCATGATCAAGTGGGCTTCATCCCTGGGATGCAAGGCTTGTTCAACATACGCAAATCAATAAACATAATCCAGCATATAAACAGAACCAACGACAAAAACCATATGATAATCTCAACGGATGCAGAAAAGGCCTTTGACAAAATTCAACAACCTTCATGCTAAAAACTCTCAATAAATTAGGTATTGATGGGATGTATCTCAAAATAATAAGAGCTATCTATAACAAAACCACAGCCAATATCATACTGAATGGGCAAAACCTGGAAGCATTCCCTTTGAAAACTGGCACAAGACAGGGATGCCCTCTCTCACCACTCCTATTCAACATAGTGTTGGAAGTTCTGGCCACGGCAATCAGGCAGGAGAAGGAAATAAATAGTATTCAATTAGGAAAAGAGGAAGTCAAATTGTCCCTGTTTGCAGATGACATGATTGTATATCTAGAAAACCCCATCGTCTCAGCCAAAATCTCCTCAAGCTGATAAGCAACTTCAGCAAAGTCTCAGGATAAAAAATCAATGTGCGAAAATCACAAGCATTCTTATACACCAATAACAGACAGAGAGCCAAATCATGAGTGAACTCCCATTCACAATTCCTTCAAAGAGAATAAAATACCTAGGAATCCAACTTGCAAGGGATGTGAAGGACCTCTTCAAGGAGAACTACAAACCACTGCTCAATGAAATAAAAGAGGATACAAACAAATGGAAGAACATTCCATGCTCATGGGTAGGAAGAATCAATAACATGAAAATGGCCATACTGCCCAAAGTAATTTATAGATTCAATGCAATCCCCATCAAGCTACCAATGACTTTCTTCACAGAACTGGAAAAAACTACTTTAAAGTTCATATGGAACCAAAAAAGAGCCTGCATTGCCAAGTCAATCCTAAGCCAAAAGAACAAAGCTGGAGGCATCACGCTACCTGACTTCAAACTATACTACAAGACTACAGTAACCAAAACAGCATGGTACTGGTACCAAAACAGAGATATAGACCAATGGAACAGAACAAAGCGCTCAGAAATAATGCCACATATCTACAACAATCTGATCTTTGACAAACCTGATAAAAACAAGCAATGGGGAAAGGATTCCCTATTTAATAGATGGTGCTGGGAAAACTGGCTAGCCATATGTAGAAAGCTGAAACTGGATCCTTTCCTTATACCTTATACAAAAATTAGTTCAAGATGGATTAAAGACTTAAATGTTAGACCTAAAACCATAAAAACCCTAGAAGAAAACCTAGGCAATACCATTCAGGACATAGGCATGGGCAAGGACTTCATGTCTAAAACACCAAAAGCAATGGCAACAAAAGCCAAAATTGACAAATGGGATCTAATTAAACTAAAGAACTTCTGCACAGCAAAAGAAACTACCATCAGAGTGAACAGCCAACCTACAGAATGGGAGAAAATATTTGCAATCTACTCATCCAACAAAGGGCTAATATCCAGAATCTACAATGAACTCAAACAAATTTACAAGAAAAAAAAACAGCCCCATCAAAAAGTGGGTGAAGGATATGAACAGACACTTCTCAAAAGAAGACATTTATGCAGCCAAAAGACACATGAAAAATTGCTCATCATCACTGGGCATCAGAGAAATGCAAATCAAAACCACAATGAGATACCATCTGACACCAGTCAGAATGGCGATCATTAAAAAGTCAAGAAACAACAGGTGCTGGAGAGGATGTGGAGAAATAGGAACACTTTTACACTGCTGGTGGGACTGTAAACTAGTTCAACCGTTGTGGAAGTCAGTGTGTCGATTCCTCAGGGATCTAGAACTAGAAATACCATTTGACCCAGCCATCCCATTACTGGGTCTATACCCAAAGGATTATAAATCATGCTGCTATAAAGACACATGCACACGTATGTTTATTGTGGCACTATTGACAATAGCAAAGACTTGGAACCAACCCAAATGTCCAACAATGATAGAGTGGATTAAGAAAATGTGGCACATATACACCATGGAATACTATGCAGCCATAAAAAAGGATGAGTTCATGTCCTTTGTGGGGACATGGATGAAGCTGGAAACCATCATTCTCAGCAAATTATCACAAGGACAAAAAACCAAACACTGCATGTTCTCACTCATAGGTGGGAATTGAACAATGAGAACAAATGGACACAGGAAGGGGAACATCACACACCGGGGCCTGTTGTGGGGTGGGGGGAGGGGGGAGGGATAGCATTAGGAGATATACCTAATATTAAATGACGAGTTACTGGGTGCAGCACACCAACATGGCACATGTATACATAGGTAACAAACCTGCACGTTGTGCACATGTACCCTAAAACGTAAAGTATAATTAAAAAAAAGAATTTAGTAATTTATAAATGTTTGAAATTAGTCATTGGCTCAATCTAATACCAAATTAAAAAAAAAAGTAAGACGTCTGCTAGGGGGCAAAGTAGCTCATGCCTATAACTCCAGCACTTTGGGAGGCTGAGGTAGGAGGATCACTTGAGCCCAGGAGTTCAAGACCAGCCTCAGCAACATGGAGAAAACTTGTCCCTACAAAATAAGGGGAAAAAAAAAGAAAAGAGAGATATTAGCCAGGCATGGTGGCATGTGCCTATAGTCCCAGTTACTTGGGAGGCAGAGGTGGGAAGATCACTTGAATCTGGGTAGATCAAGGCTGCAGTGAGCTGTGATTGAGCCACTCCGGTCCAGCCTGGGTGACAGAGTGAGACCCTTTTAAAAAAAAAAGTTTAGTAAGTTTTTGTGGTTCTTAATATAAAGCAAGTAACTTCACTTGAAGATAATGAACATCTTACCTATGAAATTTTTCTAATTCTTTTAACATTTGTTATGTAAATAATTGTATCAGATAAATATCATCAATTCAAGATTTTGTCTTCAACATTATTTTGATCAAGTATCCACTGAAATTTGCTCCAAAGACTATTCTGGGTCTTATTACATAGTTAATGTGTTAGTCCTACAGTTGAATTTTTAACTATTATCTTTTGAAATTAGAGATTGAAGTGATCTACCTAATCTTGTTGCTCATCCTGTGCCTTTTAAAGGAAAAATTATTTGGCTAGAAAAATGTCAGGGGGTGTTTTTAAAACTCATGGACCCTCATAAATTAGAATCGTGATATTTTTGCACAGTTGACAATGTAAAAAACAAATGCCAAGTCTTTGGGTTTCTCTTTGGCTGGACAAGCAGGTGTGTGGTATGCTGCTGATGCTGATCCATCCAGACACTCAAGTTCAGACAAAGGCAATCCAAAGTTCCCAGTCACTTCTGTTTATTTTAGCAAAGGGACTCATGTGAACTCCACCCAGGCCTGGGAGTCTGCTTACCCAGGAATAATTTTTACTAGGTACATACAGTGGTGTTTCAAAGTTCATAAAGATGACTTTATAGGGTTGGGTGATTTTCTTTTATAGAGCCTGATCTCATTTCTTGAAGCCTCCTGGAAGGCAATATCACTGTAACTTATGTCTATTTAAAGTAGCTATTGAGAGGACAGTAATTCTCCACTTTGGTGTATTTAAATTAACATACCACTCTTACTAATTGATAGAAATATTCAAAACCATGTTTTGCACTTAACCGCAGTTTGGAGTGAACTGAATCACACGGTAACTTGTAAGAGAACACATGTAAAATATACAGAATGCTGGTTCTTAGCCTAGGGCCTGTGAACCTACTGACCTTCTGTGGCAATTCTGTGTGTGTGTGTGTGTGTGTGTGTGCTTGCACATTTGTGTATGTGTGCAATTGTGCATTCTCCTGAGTAGAAGAACCATGGTTTTCCAGAAATTCTCAATGGGGCACATGATTCCAAAAAGGTAAATACCACTGACATGGAGAGAATAATAAATTATTACTTGTCCTTGCTTCAATATCAAGTATAATAAAACATTGCAACATTCGCTTCTTACGACCTTTCATAATCCCAGCAATCGAAGGCTGATTGCTCTTTAAGCCCTTCTCTTCTCCTCAGGGTTTCCTGGAGCTTCACTCCAGTATGTATTGTTTGGGATGCCAGGCCTAAGTCACCTCCAAGGGGAAACAGAGCACACCAGATGATTTTAGAAGTCACTGCATGACATTTAGATAAATTCATATATTAACAGATATCCTCCTTTCTTTTAGTTCTTCTGATTGTGGCAAGGAAATAGTCTCAGTCAGTGGAAGGATTATTTTACCACTTCTATAACACTCCCTAGTCTCTCCTTTCAACAGAGACAGCAAGCCACAAGCTCAGAGTCTTCATAGGAAACTATATCTGGCAAATATTTAATAACATTATTTCACTCATGGCATTTCTTTTTATGACAATCTTCTATTTAAGGCAAATGATATCGGTTTTCAATTTATAGTTAGTGAAAAAGTTTCTCTTCAAAATAAATGGATATAATTTTTTAAAGGAGAGACAACTTAAGGAAAAATATTTCTATTAGTGCAGATGATACAAGGATATGACAAAATCAAAGAAGTGGTATGCAAATGACAGAAATTAGGAAAACATCAGACTAAACAATTGCTAATCAAGTCATGCTTTTATTTTCAAAAGATTGACAGTCTATTCAATTTATTTAGGACAAATATTATAATCAGCAATAGAAATTTCCACTAGGCATTTCTGAAAAATAAGCATAAACTGTGAGAGATGCATTTAGCATTGATTAGTTAGGATGCTTTCAGGTACTTGTAATAAAAAACACAACTAAAAGCATCTTTAAAAAACTAAGGATTATTTCCTGATGGTTCCAGGGTAGATTCAGTCAATGGTTCAATGTCATCAGGGATCCAGTTTCTTGCTATACTGTCCTCTGCCACCGGTAGCATGTAATTGTATCCTCAGACTTGTCCCCTCATGGTCTGAAGATGGCTTCCATAGCACCAACTCTTCACCCAACAGTGACCAGAGTCAAGAAAGTATAAACCACAACTTTTTGGTCCCCTTCAAGGGGAAAGAAAACTTACCTTAAAGTTTCCCATATTTGCCCTCCCATTTCATAAGCAAAGTTGCACCTCTTCTCCATATCTAAATCAAACATTTCCAAGAAAAAGGGGAGTTACCACCATGGCCTTAGGCTACTCCTGATTCACTACAGGGGCTAAGGAGGGGCTAAAGAAGATCATGTGACTAGTAACTGACCAATAATGGGGTTCTCTTGGCAAGGAAGTATGAAGAAAACTTCCCTGCGTAGGCAATTCACATGGCTTGCCATAGTGTGCATTAACATAGGTTGTAACAATTCTGGAGGGGCACAGAGAGGCTGATAATTAATGTTGGAAAAAATATTATTCAGAATCACAAATAAGTAATACAAATCTGGGCCATATGGATAAAATACACACAGTAGATACAGTTTGGAAACTAATCGTTTATTAAGATTCCAGATAAAATAAGATCTCAAAATAAATAAATGGATAGATAAATAAATAATCTCTGGGGTTCAAAAAATATTGATTGGCTGGTAATCATTCTCCCCTATCCCAGCTGCCTCAGACCCTGTGAGCAGGAGAAAGATAAGATAGGGCAAACCAGGGCAATAAAAATGTGGGTTACTGTTATTGTTTTTAAGAATTTCATATTTTCTAAAAGCTTCAGAGAAGTCATGGGAAAAAAAGAATATTATTGAACTCTAGTAGACATTTTCACTTTTTAACTTTCAACTTACATGTGAGATAAGTGAGGGGCATCTTCATCTCACGTGTGCTTGGGACTTGTAAATGTTTTAATCTGGCCCTGACGGGTAAATTTCTCTCCAAAAAAAACTGAGGTTAGATATAAACTTCCAACTCACCTTTCTCAAGTTACTTGTGTTTTAAATACTTTTAATTATGCTACTTTTTAAGCATAATTCTTGGCTTTATTCTCTACTCCAAAAGGAGCAGAATAAAATAAATGGCTGAGTAGGATCTGAACTGAGATATGAGAAGAGAGGAAGGGCCATTAAACAAACACTGATCAAGCTCCTTGGGGCTATCAAGTTCTTTGTATCTATTCTGATTTTCATCTCAATAATAACTCTACCACATTGAGATTTTTATTCCAATTTTAAATATGTTGAATTAAGGGATAGAGTAGGAGAGTGATTTGATAAAGTTTATAAATCTAGTAATAGCAGAATGAAGATTTAAATTCTGGAAGTTTGAATCTTCTGACCCCCAAGGTTCATCTTCTTTCTGTTGAACTATCCTGCCTCTCGAGGGTTTGTGTTGCCAAATACTTAAGGACAAAATCAAGAGATTGTGAAATTGAATCAAAGAAATGGGCTACGAGATGCAAAGAAATAGAAAAACAAGTCAAAACCTAATCCAGGCAACAAATAGACATTTGGCACAGGAGACCTGGACACTTGTCTAGACATGGTCAGAGAAAGGAGGGAGGTCAAGGATCAGTAGTGACTCCAAGATACCCTGAGATATAAAGAGAGGGACTTTTTTTTTTTTTTTTTTTTGAGACGGAGTCTCGCTCTGTTGCCCTCGCTGGAGTGCAGTGGCACGATCTCGGCTCACTGCAAGCTCCTCCTCCAGGGTTCACGCCATTCTCCTGCCTCAGCTTCCCGAGTACCTGGGACTACAGGGGCCCGCCACCACACCTGGCTAATTTTTTGTATTTTTTAGTAGAGACGGGGTTTCACCGTGTTAGCCAGGGTGGTCTTGATCTCCTGACCTCGTGATCCGCCCGCCTCAGCCTCCCAAAGTGCTGGGAATTACAGGCGTGAGCCACCGCGCCCGGCCAGAGAGGGAACTTTTATATGTTCCTTGGTGTGGGGCCAGAACAAGATGTAGGTGTGGCTAGGTCCTTGGGATAAACAGGCACACCTGAGGAATAAGGAATGCACTTGGCAGGGTGGGGTTGGGATAAGCATACCTTGAGGGTAAGCTTGCTTTTTCCCAGTTAGGTGAGATTTCCTTTACCTCATACAAATTAATCTGTGGGCAAACTAGCTACCTAACTCTTAATTAACTGATAAACTTTTTTCTCCTTGATCATAACCCAAGTATTGGAAATGTATAAAGAAGTTCTTTATAGATAGAAGTTCTTTTTGTCATGCATTTTAGTAACCACAGTTTATTGGGGATTATCAAAGCTATGAGAATGTTACCATATTTGAGTTCTCTGTGGAAAAATGTTCACTCTACTAACATTTCTCCTGTTCTCATACCAAAACACTGTGCTGGGGTTGCCTGAGTTGTCGTCTGGGTGTTCGTGTTATCTTAGATATCTGTCACTTATGGAGATTAAGTATCATATTACAGCTGCTGGCTCAGATGATTCCACAATTTCAGCTGTATGACTCAGCTTGTGGAAAAGAATGCAATTTCTTTAGTGTATCAGTTTTAACCAGCCAGTCTTCATAATGAATGCCCTGTGCATTTTTCACAGCCCTACTCATTCTTACAGTGCTACCAAGAAGACATGGCAAATGTCTGTATTTACCTAAACCTAAAGATAAACAATGTTACTGCTGAGACATATTTTCAATCTGGGATTACCAAGAACCCATTTTAGTTTCAACCCAAAGTTGGATATGCCCCACAAAACAATTTGGGAGGTCAAATCATGCAACAGAACTCCCAGAGACAAAAACCCATATCACACCCCTGCCCACCCCCTTTCTCTGAGAGTAAAAAAAATGTAGCCTACCCACATGCTGTTAGACAAAGGCTGAAAGGTGCTTTGATCAGGCCAATACTCTGCTCCCTGGGAAGTACACAAACTCTTCTATTAAATATAATTTACTACATGGCCAATTTCTCAAGAGAAATTCAACTGAGTTTTAAATAAAGTTTTCTGTATTTAAACATAATATAAAATTAACCTGCAAAATTTAATAGTGGTAGATTATATTGCTTCTTTTACGAAGGTAATATAGAAGTTGTCATGCCTGACCTAGGAACAGCCCTTTTGTGAAATAGCCCTAAAGCTCTAAGCCTAGAGTCAGAAAGAGACTTGGGCTCAAATTCTGGCTCAATTATTTGACTATATTACCTTGGGTGTGTTACATAACCTGCCTAAATCTCTTCATCTAAAACACAGGAAAAATAAATTTTACTTTAACAATTGTTGGTGTGAATCCAATGAAATGGTGCAAGTAACTACTTACAACAATGCATGAATCTTAAGGAACTGTTAAGAAAGGTAATGTAAATTTTAAAAGCAAAAGTTTCAATCAATGGTCAGAAAGAGATTTAAGATCACAAAGATGTAAAGTGATTAATTATTGAGGGAAAACTGAAGTTTTGAGTATTTTGAAAATTCCATGTAATATATAGCGCCATCACCACCCAAACACCAGTGTCCTCCATATCTAAATCTACAGCCTTGACCTCTGTTCTAAGCGTTAGACTCTAATATCCAACTAAATCCACAGGACCAGTCCATCTCAACACATCCAAAACTGAACTCAGCATCTTACCTACCCTCCAAAAACTTCACTGAGTCACAAAATTCAGAAACCTGGATGCCACCCTAAAATCTTTTCTTTCTCTCATTCTCCACCCCAAACATCTAAATATAGGCTGATCGAGCTGTGGTTCTTGAACCTGGCAGAGCTTCAGCATCACCTAGGGTGCTTTATAAGAATACCAAGTTGTATTCCAGAGATTCTGATTCAGAATATTCAAGGTATGCCATGGGAATCTTCATTCAAAAATAAAAACAAAACCTCCATGAGAACTGGCTACTCATTGAGATTTGGGAGCCACTGTTGTAGTATACCTTCTTACCATATCTCATATCTGTACCTTCCTCTCTGTCCCAGCGGTAGCATTCTTACCTCTGACCCTCCTGTCTCTCTTGAATGAAATCATTCCATAAGTGGGCACTCTGCATCCCCTGCACTCCATCCCATTAATTCATCCTTCCCAGTGCTTCCAGATCCATTTATCTAAACCCAGCCTTCAGAGAAAAATACATCTAAATTCAAATCCCTGCTTTGCTAATTACCAGGTCTATAGCCTTGAGCAAGTTAGTTCATCTCTGTATGATGCAATTTTCTCATGAGAAAAATGGGAATCTATTAAATGTGATTTAGATGGGATAACATACGTATAGTTCTTAGTACAGGGCATGGCATATAACAAGCTATTAGTGTTATTATCATTATTGTTTTTGTTATTATGACACAAATCTAATCATGTAATTCATGTTACATGTCCTCTTCCTGCTACCAGCCTTCTTTTCTGTGACAGAACCCCAGGATTAGGCCTTCTTGATTCCAATTGGCTTTCTCAAGCCTGAACCTCTAATGATCACTATCATGAGCCATCTTCTAATATTGCACCTGTCTTTCCAGATTTCTTTCCGTGGCTTACACCTGATTATATGGCTTAGTCAAATGGAAATAGTCTAATTTGGTTTATCCCCTGCCCATGTCTGACTTACCTAACTACCAGCAAGCTAGAGTCGGGTATCCTCACTCTACATGAAGTTGGTAAACACAATCCTCTACATGTTTTCTATAGTTCCCAATTTACTACAGGTATAAAATATACATAATTATATGCTCCTCCTTAAAAATAAAGTTCTGACTATTTCCTAGCCAGTACTTAAAGCTTAAGCTCCGATAGCAATAAAGTACTGGCTACGAATTAGTCAGAACATCAAAATCATGATACGTTTATCTATTCCTTCATTCAACAAATTTTGGAGTGCAGTGGGATTAAGATATAATGGACTCAGTTCCAAGTCTGGCTCTGTAGCTTTCCACATGTGTGATCTTGAGCAAGTTACCTAATGTCACTGGGCCTCTATATCATGATCAACAAAAGGAGGAAATAACATTTTCTGATGAGATTGATGTGAATAGTGAGCCACTAGCACACTTTATGCCTTGTACAAGAAATCAAAACACAGTTATGCTGCTACTGTTATATAAAGAGCAATAATGAGGGTGATGACAATGTCATAACATATCACTGCTTTCAAGACCCGCTATAACTAGCAGACCAGCAGAAAGAGAAAAGTACAACCAGACCAACAGGCCCAAAATTATAAAAATCAACTCTGCAGTAAGACTGGCCTGTAAGGGAAGTGATTAATCTTGTGAATTAAAATGTTAGGGAAAACAAGTGAACTGGGGACCAGTTTAAAGAGATGTCATTTTCTTAAGTATAGGTAGGTCTGGAGGATGAGACCAACAAGAGGTCAATACCTTTATCAGGGAGTAAAACTTGGGTTTCAGAAAGGTGCATGGTGGTTGAAGCAAGACCCCAGCCACAGGCTGGGGGTATATGAAGGAAAGAGGAGACAGAGTAAAAAAAACTCCTGGGAAAATACATTTGTAGAACACAACAACCCCAAAAATGATGATGATAGCCAGCTTTCACTGAGTGTCCATTAAGGATTGGGTGCCATGTTCTTCCTTTCTACATTTTCCCTATTTTTCATAACACTGTAAAAGATTGGGTGCCAGATGGGGAAACTGAGTCAGAGGGAAAAGTGTCAGAGATTTTTTCAAGATTACACAACTAATAGACAAGCTTCCTAGGCTGGAGTCTAATCATGAAAGCACTTGAAGGGGGAGTTTCAGCTCACTGATCATGGGCCTGTCCCAGGGGCTGTGTTGAATTAATTTGCATGCTGTGCTCAGACCCACAACTTGTTCCCATTTCTGTAATCCCTAAAATCTCTTTTCCTGGGATCAGGCCAGGCAGGGCCAAGTCTCTGGAGTAGAGAAGAACTTAGGTGACTCAAGTGTCAACTTTGGGTTGGTAATACCTAGCCTAAACAACTCTATATTTCCAAATCAGACAAGAGTTCACTCATAAATCTCCTACACTCTGTCCATCACTTCAAAGTAAATAACCTCCCCAAGAATCGATTCTAGAGAGTTAATTCAAAATACTCAAGACACATTGCCTCATTAGTTATAATGTAAAAAAAAAAAAAAAAAAAGCTAAAGAACAAAATATCTGATAACATGGGAATGAATAAGTAACTTGGGGCACAACCCCATAAAAACAGTCATTAAAAACTTGTATGACAAAATGTACATGACAACTTCAAAACAACATCAAATAGACTTATGATATAAGCTACAGTTTTAAAAGGAGTCAAAATTATATTGCCATATGGACCTAATTGTATTTTTATTTAAAGCATAGAACAGAACTAAAAGAAAAAAATGTACTGCAGTATGAACAAGGGTTGACTCTAGGTAGTCGGAGTGGAGATTAAACTCTTTATTTTTCTACTAGCTGACATTTTATGATATTTTTAAGAAGCATAGGCTAATTCTCATGCAAAAAAACACAAAATATTTCAAATAAAAAGAACTAGCTTCCTAAAAAGTCATAGTACTTTTGGAATAGTTTCTGAGTCTGGCTCAGCCCACCCTCCTATTTTCTTTGTCATGTAGCTATAATTCCATGACCCAGCAGTCTGGTGGCCTGTGGTCATCAGAACTATCAAGTAATTTCCCTTAAGTTTTAAAGGTTTTGCCATTTTCTCCACTACCTTACAAAAAGCCTTCAACAGGTTTTTGGCTCTGCAAACTGTCAGAAATACAGTCTTCCTTCCAACAGCCCATTTCCATAGAGTGATGTGGTAAAACACAGGACCACACAGGCAAAGCCTGGTTTTAATTGTTAAACATTTCCCATTGTGTTTGATTTTCTTCTCCCTGATGGGCTTCACTAGAACTCATCTGTAAAGCTCTCCTTAAAGACTCTCAACCCAAATAGGGCTGCCCCCGCTGCCCCTCCACAGTGTATTGTGAACAGAAGTAGCTAGGTCACAAGCTCACATCAGCCAATGATAGCTCAGAATCTTTAGCTCAGAAGGAAACGATGCCAGCTTGATCATAGTGAACACGGAAAATATCAAAGGACCCTTGTTACTCTCTTCTAGTGGTCGGTACATTTCTAAGTTTCTGTTCCAAAATACTTTGGCAGCCATTTTACTCCAGGGAGCCAGGGAGGGGAAAGTCTGTTCTTGCAACATTACCAAACAGCTTGGGGAAAACCCAATCCTTTCACACATAAACAGGGCTGGCTACATCTGACTGCACAGAGCCAGCCAAACTGGGATTCCTTAACAGCTCACGCCTTTGGTGATTATTCATTCAGTACCATCTGAGATTTAGTCAAGAGCACAAGACACCCCAAAAGGCTTCATTGAGACTGGTGTGGGACACACCTGGTTTTTCTCACCTCCTGTCTGGCCTCCTTTGATGAACAGGCAGATTCTGTAAAATTCGTTTTCATAAGGCATTGCTGCTCTGTATGACTCTACCGAAACCACACCAAAGGCATGGGGGAAGAGATATCTGGATTACTAGAAAGACACTTTGACAAACAGTAGGTTTTCAACGAAGTGTGACAAATGCAATGTGAGGCTAGATGAACACAAGAAGATTAAGAAGAAAACAAGCTATGCCGGTGGAGAAGGGACATGGGCATCTGAGGTGAATGTCGATCAAGGATGGTGAAGGAATCAAGAGAAGAGTAAGAAAATCTGGAGTAAAGTCCTATTCTGAAAAAAAGGAAACACTCGCTTTTTACCTCACTTTTGGTCTGTATCTCAGAGTGCCAACATTATTGAGGAGCCCCAAACATTCCGATAAGCCTCAATTCACTTTTCCACAAGTTGTTCCCTCACCCAGGACAGGACCCAGCACACCCTTCAGCTTTTCTTTTTTTTCTTTCCCTTTTTTTTTTTTTTTTAGATGGTGTTTTGCTCTGTCACACTCTGTCTTGCTCTGTCACCCAAGCTGGAGTACAGAGGCACAGTCTCGGCTTACTGTAACCTCCACTTCCTGCATTCAAGCAAGTCTCCTGCCTCAGCCTCCCGAGTAGCCGGAACTACAGGCACGTGCCACCACGCCCAACTAATTTTTGTATTTATTTTTAGTAGAGATGGGTTTTCACCATGTTGGCCAGGCTGGTCTCGAACTCCTGACCTCAGGTGATCCTCCCGCCTCGGCTTCCCAAAGTGCTGGGATTACAGGCGTGAGCCACTGCACCCGGCCACTTTTCAGCCTTTCTATCCTTTCCAGCCTCCAATGAAATCAAATGATCTCCAATATTTATGTTTTTCATTGGTTTCTTTTTAATTGTGATAAACTGAATTAGAACTGAGGAAAATAGAAATGAAATATAAGGCCAACTAGAAAAATATCTTCCAGATATTGACAACTGCTTTGGGGCGACTTGTCCCCATCTCTCTGATAAGGCTTCCATAATGGTGACTTTTTCAGTTCTCTGTGGGATCCAAACAAACTCAGTAAAAGTGAGTGCCGTTTAGTAATGCTCCTCATTTTACCAGACAATGGGGAAACCCAAAAGAAGATCATACATGGCTCCTCTCTTAAGCAAATAAGAGTTTCAAAACTCTGCATACCCAAACCTCAGCTAAGATTATAGAAGATCTCAGAGCTGATTTACAGAGTGAGAAGATGTATATTTTACTCCTAATGAAGAAGATTTTGAAGGGAAATCAGTTATTTTAAAAACCTTTCAGACACTCTAAGAATTTGTTGCTCAAAACATAATCCATAGAAACTTACTAGAAATGTAAAATCTTGGACCCTACTCCAGACCTGCTGAATCAGAATTTAGCATTTTAACAAGATCTCCTGCAGATCTGTTGTTTGTTTGCTAAAGCTTGAGACACACTTCCCTAAGATTTCTCAAGCCTTTTTATTCCTCTTGTTCAAATTGAATGCAACACTGCTTAAAATGTTGGAAGAAGTAAGTAAAGGCCTAACTGCCTCAAATAGTATAGACACAGAATCAATGGCATTTGTTATTTTTATTTTTTTGGTCAAAAACAAGTGAGAAACATTTCAGAAAGCGCAACAAAACTAGTCAAATAAGCACAGGAAGAGGGAAAATGGGGGTTTTAGCTACTGATAAGTTTGATACGAGTCAAGTAACAGTGGTTACCAAAATCTGAAAAAAAAAAATTGAAAGCAAGCAAATACAAAACTAGCAACTGCATTAATAGAAGGATAGCATCTAGTCTAGATCAAAGAAGATGACTGCCCTATTCTATCTTATGCTAGTCAAGTCATATCGTAAGTACAATCAGTTCAAGACACTATAAGAAATATAGACACAAACAAAACACATTCAATAGAAAGGGACCAGGATAGTAAAGTTGAAGTCATGTTTGAGGGAGAAAAAAAGTTTCAGGGCTTGGAGATAGTAAAACAAAATATTTGGTGAAAAAAAACTTAAAAATATGAAGCAGTGTCATGTGGGGAAAAATTATGGTCTATGGTAAGCATTTGAGAATCATTGGTCAAGATATCTGAGGACCATTCAAGCCACAGAGATCTATTGTTTATAGATTTTATTGAACTTTCAATACATCATCTGTAAAACCCAACAAGATAGAGAAGCAGGTATCATTCTCCTCAAATTACAGTAGAGACAAATATAATACAGCTAATCAGTGATGGATCCTGGTATAGAATGAAGCTATCTGTGTTTTTGTCCAATGTCCTTTTATCACCCAGCTTCGTAGGAAATTCCTAGCTCCGTAATCATCCTGGAAGAAAAGGAGCTAAATGTGACCAAGAAAAATTATTTTGATTTTTTTTCTTCTTTCCTGTGATCCAAAAGCGTTGTCACTAGCCTCAGGTGACTATTCTGCTCCTGAACCATGGCTAATGGAACCAAAGAGCTGAAATTTTATTTTCATTTACCCTAATTGTTTATATTAAACTGATAAACTGATATTTAATTCAGTTATTGGAAAACTTTAAGTATGTTGAGAGCAACTTGGATACATGTATCTACTTTTTCAACTGCAAATGTTATAAAATCTGAATATTATTTCCATTGGCAATTTAATGTCCTAAATGGCATGTACTATAACATATACCCCAAATTTTAAATATTTACATGAAAAAAGTGCAAAACATTTCAATATTTTTACATTCATTGTATGTTAAAATACTTTAAATATATTGAGTTAAATGAAGTATATTATTTAAATTATATTAAGTAAAATATGCCAGATACAAAAAGAAAACTATTGCATTATTTTACATATATGTAGAATTTTTTTAAAAGTCAAATATACAGAAATAGAGAATAAAATAGTGATTACCAGAGGTAGGGTGGGTGGAGGAAATGGGTAGATGTACCTCAAAGGATACAAAGTAGCAAATATGTAGGATGAACAAGTCTGAAGATCTAATGCCCAACCTGCCAACTATAGTTAATATTAGTGCATTGTAGGCCAGGCATGATGGCTCATGCCTGTAATCCCAGCACTTTGGGAGGCTGAGGTGGGCAGATCACTTAAGCCCAAGGAGTTCGAGACCAGCCTGAGCAACATGGTGAAACCCTGTCTCTACAAAAATTAGCCAAATGTGGTGGCCCGTGCCTGTAGTCCCAGCTACTCGCAAGGCTCAGGTGAGAGGATTGCTTGAGCCTGGGAGGTGGAGGTTGCAGTGAGCCAAGATTGCGCCACTGCACTCCAGCCTGGGTGACAGAGTGAGACCTTGTCTCAAAAAAATAAATTTAAAAAATAATAAAAATGGTGTATTGCGTTCAGGATTTTTGCTAAATGAGTAAACTATAGCTGCTCTTGCAATGAGGGGTTTGGAGTGGGAAGGGAAGCAGGTAACTATGTGAGATGATGGAGATGTTAATTTGTTTCATTGTAATAACCATTTTACCCATAGCACCGTGTTGTATACCTTAAAATATATTTTTAAAATTAAATTAAATTAATTTTACCTGTTTCTTTTTACTTTTGTAATGTGGCTATTAAAAATAAATAGTTATATATTTTGATTAGACAACCCTGTTCTTTGCTATTTTGAGAGATTATATTATTTTTATTTCTTTGTTTATGTTAAACTCAGGCCAGGTGTGGTGGCTCACACCTGTAATCCCACACTTTGGGAGGCCCAGGCGGGTGGATCACCTGAGGTCAGGAGTTCAAGACCAGCCGGGCCAACATGGTGAAACCCTGTCTCTACTAAAAATACAAAAATTAAGATAGGCATGGTGGCAGGTGCCTGTAATCCAACTACTTGGGAGGTTGAGACAGGAGAATTGCTTGAACCCAAGAGGCAGAGGTTGGAGTGAGCTGAAATCGTGGCATTGCACTCCAGCCTGGATGACAAGAGCAAGACTCCATTAAAAAAAATAAAATAAAATAAAACCTCTCCAATCTGAGGATGCCAGTACTTGACTTTCCTATCAATCATACCTGACTTTAAAAGGACAGACACAAACTCTTCCAAAAAGAGCAAGATCACCACTGCTTCCTGTCCTCACCCTTCTTTGTACTGTAATACAAAGATTTGAGCAGAGCCCCCATTCTTAGAAATATATAGTTTCCCTGCTCTAACAGTCCCAGAAAATAAAGGGGTTCATTTCTGGGATGTATTAAATACAAACGGGCATTTCTTCTCATCCCTGCTTCATTTCACGTGAACGGTTGTCCCTTAGGTGTCCCACCTCCTTTGCTGTTGCACCCATAAATGCAACTGATCACAGAGGCACCATCACCCTGTTCCTTTCTTCTTTTGCAGAGGAAATCATAAATGTCAAGTTACATGCACTTGAAAGCCCATGTCAGGAAAGAAGTCACAGATAGATTGGCGCTTCCCATCCCCACCAAATTAAGACCCAGAGCTCACAATTTGGGGGTTGTGGTTTTAAGAAACAAACTTGGCATATGTCATTCTTCTCCTACTTTTCTCCACAGGATAATTCCTGTTCATCCTTTGAAGCCCAGTTAAGACTTTATTTTTACAGGAAACCTTCCTACATCCCAATCGCTGAGTCTCAAAGTCCTCTCTGCTTTGATCATATACTATGACTCTTTCTTTCATATTCATCACCACTCTTTAAGTTAAAGGTCTCCTACAATCTCCTCAGGTGTGATTCCTCATCATTGCCTGACTTTCTTAAGGTGAAGGCCAACAGGCAAAGACATCCTGACTCTTGAGAGAATTCAACTAGTTAACTGGCCTGGGGATAGGCAGGGAGCTAGCCTAGAGTCTATAACATTGCAGTGCTTTCTAAACCTCAACTACTCACATGTCACCTTCATGTATTTTGTCATGCCTGAGTTTCCCCAGAAGTCTTATTAATATTTCTCTTTAAATCAACTCACATTTTTAAGTAAATGTATTTAAAGAAGAAACTGTATATTGCTACCATGAATGGAAAACATTTTTCTCATATGAATTAAAAATACATAACAATCACAATAAAAACATTTGTCTATGTACCATCTAAAATTCTCTCTTCCACCACCAATGGTATACTCATTCATTACTTGGAGAAACAATAGCCTAGAATGTCAGTAGCAGACCAGTTGGAAGTCTAAAGTGTGGACCAGAGCCTATGAAAGCCTTCATGGCAAGCTGGTCTGTCTGGCTTAAGAGAAACCAGATAGAGCTTTCCAGAACAAAGGCTTTCACTTAACCATAGTCCACAGATATGCATCTCACTTGCCTGGAATCAGTGCCCAGGAGAGGTAGTGGGTGGGGAAGAACAGGAACCTAGTAAAGTGCAAGAAAAGCATAATAGTCCCAAGAAAGTCGCTCCCCAGCCCACTCTACTCTCAGCTTCCAGCTCTCAGCAGTGGAATCTACATGAGCAGTGTACTGTGATTGTCAGCTTGGATAAAGATTTTCAACAAGGAAACAAAAGGAAACAAATATGTGAAGTCTGAAGTTTACTTGGATATATATATTTATGTAAATGTGTTATGTATTCGAGAGTGACCAGATGCATCTCTGAAGTACTCCCTACATCCCCCTATGTCCTCTTCATCAAAGACTTTATGTGGTGATAGTTTTATAATCCCCCTTAAACCAAGTCCTGCAGATAAAATAAATTGGGCTTGACTTTTTCTTCTAGTCAAGGGACTAGACTACTAGGGACTAGTAGGACCTCTTTCTTATTTGGGACTACTAGTTTTACCAAAACAATATAGTTGCTCATTGTCCATGCATTTGAAAAGAAGCAAAACTCCTTCCTTTGGAAATGTGATCTTAAAATTATAGGACCTCAAATTTTATTGAAATCCTCTAGGTGCCAAGCACAGTGGTTCACACCTGTAATCCTTCTCATTTGGGAGGCCAAGATGAGCAGATCACTTGAGCCTAGGAGTTCGAGACCAGCCTGGGCAACATGGCAAAACCCCATCTCTACAAAAATACAAAAATTAGCCAGGTGTGGTGGCACACACCTGTAGTCCAAACTACTAGGGAGGCTGAGGTGGGAGAATCACCTGAATCTGGGAGCCAGAGGTTGCAGTAAGCTGTGATCATAACACTGCTCTCCAGCCTGGGAGACAGAGCAAGATCCTGTCTCAAAAAAAAAAAAAATTATCTAGGTATGTACAGTGACTTTAGATCTAGACTACATTGTATTTTTATTTACATGATCTTATTTCAACCAACTCTCAAATAGAAATAGTAAGAACAGTCAAAGGAACACTGGTTTTAAAAATAAATCTAAACTAAAATAAACAGATACTGCCTAATTTATCCATAGGGATTTAGGCAGTTAGGGTAGTAAATAGAGTTCCTAGTAGCTAAATGGGTCAAAACAGCAGGCAGTTTCTTCATATCAAATAAAACTAAGGGTGCTGCAAAACAGGTTATTTTGGAGGGCAGATTTCCACGAACTGTCAATCACTCTCAGTTAACAGAAAATTACACCCATATATTCTTAGAAATCTCTCTGTCTCACCTCACTCATAGTGCTAGGGTGGTAATGTTCCTCTTTGAGGTGGTGTATATTAAATACACATGGCTTGGTGTGAAAATGCTAGGGGATTTTTGCTAATTTTGCATACTTCCCAGCCTAGATGCACAGTGCTTTTAGAAATATTTTGCAGGGGTCAGTTATGGTTGGACACATGCTCAGATAATCTTTTTGAATCGTGAAAATATTGCTCTAAACAGTAACAGTTCTTTATAGAGAAGGAATTATTTTCTTGGTAGGAAAAATATTGACAATAGCCATCTATTTTCAAGAGTATACCTATTCCTTTTTACTCTTTAGCCTGAAACATTAGACAAATATTGGTTTCCTAGGTCCCTTTATAAAAGTATGAAGGCAGTATTATTCTCATAGAAATTAATAAGAGAAAATAATATTTTAATATGTGACAGGGGCCAATATGGATATAAAACAATTTTCACTGTGCAAAAAAGGAATGGTCTGTAATATTAACTTTCAACATCAATTGTGCCATAATAGCATGAACTTTCACACTCATGATTTCTACTCTCATAAACGCTTTCATACTTATCTCCTTTCAATTTCTACGAAATGAGAAAGGAATATTATTCCCGATTTAAACATGAAGAAATAGAAGTCTGGAGAGCTTAAATATTTCCCCAAAGACACAAAGTTAAGACAGTAGTCAACCAGGGACAAATTCTACCACTTATTCTTCTAGTCAACTGAAATTCTAAATCTGTGGTGCATCTTCACACTGTACATCAACTCACAAGTTAGGCTGCCTTGTGCTCCTAGCATTTTGCTTCTTTGGAGTCTAATATGTCACTAAAACATGGTCCAAGGAAAACCTGACTGAGACTATATCATCTAATAACATTTATTCAAGCTGTGCTATAAATAACCACCATGTTGTACAACCCTTAGAGGGAGATATCACTATTCCCCTTTGACTGATGACAAAACTAACTAAGGCTTAGATAGCTTAAGCTACATGTGCAGGCGCACACAGGCAAAAATTATTAGAGATGAAATGGAACCTGGCTCTAGTAAACTGCATAACTAGTGTCTCTGTCTGTCCCCTGGACTCTTCAAATGAGATTGAAAAGCTCCAGGGTCATTTTCCAGCAATGGAACTACTCAAATGTAGACAAGCTAAGAAATAGGCCAGATCTGGTCTTTATATAAACTAGAAACTTACTTTCGTGAATCAAATTAATTGCTTCATTATAAAAAAATTATCTAAAAGAACCTATCAAGGAATTAAGTGCCTATGATAATGTCATTTAGAGAAAATTGCTAGCAAATTTTTATTTCCCTCAGAGGCAAGTACTCTAAATGGGCCCAAGTTACCCACAGTGATGGTACAGATCTTCTCAAGGCCTGTGATCCAAATGCAATGACATTTAGGCATGAATGTGCTTTTGTAGGCATATTTAGTTCTTAATCCACCTGCACTGCTCAGGACTTTCCCCTGTCCCTTCTTCTGACTGCTGAACACTTATGGTATTGCCTCTCAGAATGATGCAAAGTGGCAGTCTAAAACTCTTTGTAATTCTGCTCTTATTTGAAGATTCCACATGTCCTAGATTAAAAGGCATTGTTTAATGCTTTGGAACTACAAACAATATCAAACTGCACTGTGGAATACAAAAGTAAGTAAGTAATACTGACTAGAAGTAACTATTCACTTTTACATCACCTAGCTCATAGTTGGTGTTCAGTAAATATTTGTGAAGTTGAACTCATTAATACGAAAAATAATTCAAAAGGAAGATTTTCTCAGGATACATAGCAGTATATAAAATCCACAATGGATACTTGAAAATTGAGTGTACTTCCATTTAGAATCATAGAAGTTGAAGAAGATTTAGAGATACTCATATCCAATGAATACAGTCCCAGAAAGAAATACCCAGGGTCACAAAAATAATTAGTGGCAAAAGTGAACTATGAACACAGAATGCCAGATTCTTGATTCAATGCAATGCTCTTTTGACAGCACTACCACTTAGAAATGTCATCTTTAAACTAAACTCAATCACTCTATCAAATATATAGTTGCTGCAAAATAGATTTCTAGGTACTCGTATACTTAGGCCCTCACATGTAGATGCTTTAAAAATTTGCTGTGAGCCAAGATCGCGCAACTGCACTCCAGCCTGGTCAACAGAGCAAGACTCCGTGTCTAAAAAAAAAAAAAAAAAAAAAAAAAAAAAAAGCTAGATATTTCTAAGCCTGGCCTCTGAGTCATTAGATCTGGGTCCTGGTATCAGTTTTTAACCAGCCATTTGGTGGCAAGTCACTTTGTCATACTAGATATTAGTCTCCTAAGTTGTAAAATGAAGAGGCCAGATGTATCTCCTAAGTTGCAATTGAATTTTTTAAAAACTGACTTAAGCAAATAATTCAAACTAACATCTCTTGTAACTGAAGAGTACAGAAATAGACGTTTCAGATGTGGCTTAATCCAGTGGCTTGAATCACATCACCAGGACCTAATCTTCCCCCATTGGTCCACTGTGTCCCTGTACCTTGCTTCCAAGGCCCATGTATCACAAGATAACTGACAGCTACTCTAGGCTTACATCTTCCTAAATTCAAATCCTCTGGGTCAGGCAAAATCAATAACTATGCTGAACAAAATGCCTCTTAGGTCACTTACATTTGCATTAATTGATTCTATGAGCTTCTGTTAATGTCTATCTTAATTTATAAAATATATGAACTGTTTTGAGGAATCTTAATATCTTGCTGTGCACCAGAGGCAGGCATTTGTTACACTACTGTCATGGCTGGGACCGGTAACTAGCACTTCACCATGTGCCAACATTTCAGCTCTGCCTGATGGTAGTTTCCTTCATGTACAATGTTGTCATATGTCACTTGGCCTTTGTACACACTCCTTCCTCTGCCCAGGACGCCCTATCCTTCCTTGTCTCTTTGTAAAATGCTTACTTATTTGCCCAAGCATCACTTTCCCTGGGAAATCTTCCCTGATCATTGCCCTTCCCTGAAGTGAAATTGACCACTCAATTGTACTTAGACCTTCCTACCTATCTTGACTGGACTATGTGTCACTTTATATTCATTGTTTACATGTCCTTTCCAAGGACTACTGACATTTGGAGGGAAAAAACTATTTTATTAATTTATAATACAATTATATATTATTTATCTGTGTTTTCCCAGGACCAAATACAGTGTCTGAAACAGCAGTCATTCAATAAATTTGACTGAATCGAATCAATCAATTAACCAATTAACTCTAATTCCTCCAAACTGGAACATTACTGACTCCTGTTCTGTCATCTAAAACACAATTTAAAATAATGCATCTTTCTGTCAACTCCACTCCAACCACTTGGCAATAATAAATGGTTTTATAGTCATATTTTCATAAAGTTGAGCTGATCTTGCTTTCTAACCATTGTGAGGATAGTGTTCATTTGGTTTTCATAAAATGAGTGAGATTTACCACCATTAAATCTGAGGCACCTAAGTATTAGATAACGCACATTCCCAAAAAATAGAAAGAATCACTTGAACCTGGGAGGCGGAGGTAGCAGTGAGCCAAGATTGTGCACTGCACTCCAGTCTGGGCGGCAGAGCGAACTCTGCAAAAAGAAAAAACAAAAAAAGGAATAGAACAGTGGTTACCAGAGACTGGGGAAGCAAGAAGGAAGGGGAAGAAGATGGGGAGAGGCTGGTCGACAGGTACAAAGTTACAATTCAATAGGAGGAATAAATTCTAGCATTCTATTGCACAGTAGAGTGACTATGATTAACAGTAAGGTATTGATATTACGAAAGAGCTAGAAGAGAGGCTTTTGAATGTTCTCATCAAAAAGGAATAATAAATGCATGAAGTGATGAGTACACTAAATATACCTTGATTGGATTATTATACAACATAAAAATGTATCGAACCATCAAATTGTATCCCATAATTATGTGTAACTATAATGTCTATTAAATAAATAAATAAAAAGCAAAAAAGAAAGACTGTTTCTCAATACTTATACAATCGTATATCTCTCAGTGAATCATTTTCCTAGGAGTTTTTTCACGGGAATAATGAAATACTTTTAATAGAGTTGGTTGAGTGCACAATTTTGTCACTAATCTATATTCCTCAGCTATAGTGGTTATTCGAGAAAAAAATTTCTATGTACTTTGTGAATTTGTTAGCTAATCATAATATTCCTGCTACTCCTCCATTACCCATGGGTTTTGCTACTCCTCTATTACCCAAGGGTTTGTCAGAGGTTACTATGCCAGAGGAGTGCCAGGCGCAAAACTTTACTTAGGGAGCTGCAAGACAGGGGCCCAGGAATGAAATTATCGCTCTGTATGACCTACCCATTTCCCACGCATTATTTTCACACAGGAAAAGTAATAATGTAAAAGAGGCATCTGAAAAAGCCTAGAAAAGGGAAAGAAAGCTAACATGCAATGACAGGGGACTAACCATTGCCCTTATCTTGGTTATAAGAGTGTGCAAATGAGTTTCTGATGGCATCTATAGCTGCCAGGAAGGACGAGTCCCCAAAGCATAGGTCCCTGGGGTAATTCCCATGATTCACTGTAGGCCAGGGGCCCTGATTGCCTGTACTGTTTGTTGACTTGGATGTGGCTACTACTTGTTAAAGCCCATTGAACAGGTTGACCATCAGTTTACTGTCAGTCTTACTTAAGACCAAGGAAATTAGTGGAAGATACTATCCAAGCTTGATTATGTTTCATTTGCTTGATTCACTGTTTATGACTTGGGAAAAACAAACAAATAGATTCAGAAAGCACATATCCACGTTTACTAAAGGAGCTCATTCAGTAATGCAATGCTGATCTTACTATCATTGCAAAGCCACTTAAAGACCACACACTACGTCACTGGAAAAGAGTTCAATAGAGGCCTCCTACGAGTAACACCCTTACACTTCTGCTACAGAAACTACACCTTTTAGATTCCTTCTGTAAACCACGCTCTCTGTCAAACTCGGGCTTGGTACATAGTGTCTCATCTGCCGGGACATTCTTCTCCGCCTGACTCCCTGATCCTTCAATTTCCCCTAATCAAATCTTATTTTTCTTTCAGTTCCAAATTCCCCAGTGATATTTCCCACGATCTCCTAGATTAGATTATATTCCCTTGCATTCTGAGCTTTCCTTCCCTAACACTTATCAGACTGGACATTATATGTTCAATGTTTGCCTTCCCAGATTGATTGTAAAGTCCTTGAGGTCCAGCAACTTTTCTGTCTTGTTCATAGTTGTGAACAAAGATGTATGTATGTGGAGTTGTCTGATTAAACTTGGAGAGAATGAAAAGAAAGATTTCTTCATGCTTATACAAGTAGGGGAAAAGGGAGATCTCTGAGAAAGAGAAAAAAGTGAGGACAAAACTAACATTTAAGTGTAGAGTAAGCCCCTCTTATGTGTCAGATATTGAACTATGAAGCTTCGGGGCTACACAGACCCAAAAGTCATGGTTTGTGCTCAATAAATTATTGTTGTTATCTTGAGTCAGAAAACAAAAGATTGATGAAACAGGATATTTGCATTCCTGAAATAGGGAGAAGAGAATGAGAGAAAGACAATCTTAAGAGAAAAGGCAAATTTGGAAAGCTTTTACAATTTCATTGATTCCTTTGCCTTCTTCACCTGAACCCTAACGTACAGATTGCCTTCAAATTTGTGTTTTGCTGAACTGGAACATAAAGCTACCACTTAAGATTTATGAAAACACTTTAGGCTCTTTGCTTCTACATTATTGTTTTCAAAAAAAAGAGTTTAATCAACAAGCATTTATGAAACCCCTGCTATGTGGCCAGCTCTGTGCTAACCACTGTAGGCTGTATACTTTGAAAAAGATGTTTTATTTTGCCTTCATATTTCAGCTCTCCACATCCTTCCTAGACATGTAGCTACATGTGTGTGTGTGTGCGTGCGTGTGTGTGTGCGTGCGTGTGTGTGTGTGTTCTTTTTATTTTTCTTTAAATAAGCACTCTGTAATGACAATAACACATTTTGGTGCTAAGTTAGGTGAGGAAGCTGAAACAGTTGCCTACATGACTCAATCCTGCTCTTGTTCTATGAAGCTTCATTTATTTGACATCCTATCCTCATTGTGAACACACAGCCTTGGCAGCACTAAGTACTAAAGATAACAGTGATTAACTCCAGTCTTCTGAATAAAAGATACAACATTCTGATCTGCTCTTTTATAAGAAAAATCATGCTTAGTCTCCATCTGAATACTAGAGATTGTGCAGTGGTTTTTTTTGTTTATTATTATACTTTAAGTTCTAGGGTACATGTGCACAATGTGCAGGTTTATTACATATGTATACATGTGCTATGTTGGTGTGCTGCACCCATTAACTCGTCATTTACATTAGGTATTTCTCCTAATGCTATCCCTCCCTCCTCTCCCCACCCCACAACAGGCCCTGGTGTGTGATGTTCCCCACCCTGTGTCCAAGTGTTCTCATTGTTCAACTCCCACCTATGAGTGAGAACATCAGTGTTTGGTTTTCTGTCCTTGCGATAGTTTGCTCAGAATGATGGTTTCCAGCTTCATCCATGTCCCTACAAAGGACAAGAACTCATCCCTTTTTATGGCTGCATAGTATTCCATGGTGTATATATGCCACATTTTCTTAATCCAGTCTATCATTGATGGACATTTGGGTTGGTTCCAAGTCTTTGCTATTGTGAATACATTTTCTGCCTTAGTAACGCTGCTTTTCCAGCTTCTGAGAATTTCTAAGACCCGATGGTAACTCTATGCTAAAATTAAAATACGAATGTTCTTTTTAAAACTGCACAATCTCTTTGCTATTTTATGTTTATTGAGACATTATTGACAATAGCAAAGATATTGTGCAGTTTTGAAAAGGACATTCGTATTTTAATTTTAGCATAGAGTTACCATTGGGTCTTAGAAATTCTCAGAAGCTAGGAAAGCAGCATTACTAAGGCAGAAAATGTAATTTGAACAAGAGTTTTTGGCTTAGTGCAGTGGCTCATGTCTGTAATCCCAGCACTTTGGAAGGCTGAGGCAGGTGGATCTCTGGAGGCCATGAATTTGAGATGAGCCTGGGCAACATAGTGAGAACCTCTATCTACAAAAAAAAATTAAAAAACTAACCATGCATGGTGGTGCATCTGTAGTCCCAGCTGCTCAGGTTTGAGCCTGGGAGTTCAAGGTTGCAGTGAGCTGTAATCATGCCAATACACTCCAGCCTGGGTGACAGAGTGAGACCCTGTCTTAAAAATAAAAAAAAAAAAATAGAATTTTTAAAAATCTAATGTTTACCTAGAAGATTTCAGCTCTTCATCACCCACATTGTCCTCACTCTAGACATGTAAAAGAAACTTGCAGGTGATTCAAATGGATATAATCAGACAGAGGGAGATAATTCAATATGAGCTATTACAGAAAGAAGGCACTAAGGTTAATCAGCCTTCCAGGGGAACATGAAGGCTTAAACAAAATCAATGCTATTTCAAAGAACTTCCGTGTCCAGGGAGTGCTCATGAGACAGAGTTTCTACCTGAAGCCAAAAGGTCACATTTATGCTCAGAACAAAGAGCTACGGGTACAAAAAGATGCTGAATAGAAAAAGAATACATCACAGTATGTTGTAAATCAAGTGAGTAAAAAGAACATATAGCATAGATTTGTTTTCCCCAAGACTGACTCACATTTTCTAAAAATAATGTGTGCACCTCTTAATAGCTGACCTGGAGTGTTGTACTGCACTGAATAATTGAGGTAGGTGTAGCTCATTACTCCAAGGGATGTGGTTTCTGCAGAAAAGCAGTCTCCATGTCCCAGGCCTTCAAAGGAAAAAAATCACTGTCAGTAGAAAAGTGATAATAGAACAAAGCTACTGAACCTGCTTGGGAGCTACCTTAACAAAAAGTTCGTTCAATAGCAGAAGCTTCCTTTCCCCTTCCAAGAAATTGTAACGTCTCAAGTACAGTCTCAGTTACATTTCAAAGGAAGTAGGAGGTATTAATACATCTTGGTTAGAATCATATTTGCCTATCTTCATGAAAGTCTAGAAGACTCTAGACAATGTAAAACTGCAATTCTCAAAGTCTAGTGGTTACTTTATTGTCGAGTCAAGGGAGACCTGGAAAACTAGACCAGGCTGGCAATCTTTGCTTAGGGCATGTCAGTCCACTCCATCTCACAAATGAGCCAGGAGCTAAAGATGTCCTTAAGACTGGAAAGAGGAACCTGGTGGGTGGCCTAGATGGGTGTCTGGGCTTTGTAATAGAAAAACACAGAGATGGAACTTCTGGACGGGAGAAGTGCTGACGGAGGTACTCAAACTCCAGGGAAGAATGCCAGTCCACATCAAAACTACATAATCACTAGAGAGAATCAGCCCAGGTGCCAGCTTACCACTATAAATAGAATCTTGGCTTTGTTAAAGGGTAGCCCTAATTATCCTAGGGAATGTGTTACAGATACAGTGAAGAGTACAAAGAGAAATACATCAAAGGTGTGGGTAACAATAAAACCTAGCATATATATCGTAATTTAGAGTTGTTAAAGTGCTTTCCCACAAACAATTGCATTAAATCCTCACAACTCCAAGGATGGGAGAAATGCAGATGTTTTATTAACATTATTGTTATGCCCACCTTTTAGGTTTGTCGTTAGGCTAGAAATGAGATGTTAAATGAAAACCATTGTGTGTTTGGCCACTCAGCTCATCATGAGTCCACCCCAGGGAGAACAGGCCAGATGCCTCCACCGTGCACACAGGAGGCAGCCCATGTTCAGATCCTCAAGACCCCAGGCTCCACACAGTGAACCCACCCACACACGACTGGGACAAATCCTACTTCAGACCCTCAGACCCTCAGATATCTCTGTCTCGAACTGATTCACTCCATCTTTGGAATATTTGTGGTCAATTAATTCCAATTAAGGTTTCCATTCCTATAATCCTCATATGCTGAAAGAAAGTCAATTTGCCTCCCCTCGTTCTTAACCCTTTATTGACCTTCCTCCCTTTGGTTTCTCCTCTTTTCATACCACTATGCCTTCTGAAACCTTCTTCCTTTATGTGAAAGACCCCATCCCCAATAAGCCCAACATTTTCTCCCCACACTATGCTGTGTATTTCATCTGACACAGAGCTAAGGTAGGAATGACAATTTATTGGCTCCTTAATGCCACTTTAGGACCACCACACTTCCACCTTGGTACTCATGCCATCTGACTATACCAGTGTGTATACTTCTATGTTTGTGTCATTAGAAATACCTCCTGATCACATTCTTCAAGACACAATAGAACTCTTCTCCCCCCAAACTCCAATTTCTGTCATCATGCTAGAAAACCCAGTGTCTTAGTGGGCAATCCACCCAACACCCTCAATCTGTTCCTAGACCTTAAATACTCAGTAACAAATCTCCTACTAAACTTATACCCCCTGCCACTTCCAGGGATACATCCTGTGTACCTCCAGTGTCTTCTCCAAGGTGGCCACAGGCAACGTCACCAGTGGTTTTGTGGCAAAATAAAAAGCCTCCATCACCTATGGGAATAATAAAAAAATACATCCTGAGCTTTGCTGCCACCAAAAATAGCTCCACACCCAATATCATAACTGCAAATAACACACTCTCTTCCCCAGCTGCCTGTCCTCCAGTGCTCACAAAACCCTCACTTGCACACGTCTGCTCTCCAAACTCTTTGAGTCCTCCAGCTCCGGGGTCTTCGTTTCCTCACAGGCCACTAGCCTTTCCCAAAACAGACAGTTGAAGTTGAAGAAAGAGTTGAAGAAACAGTAGTTGTCATCTAAACTGGTCACTCATCAGCAACCTCAAATCCCTTCATGTCTTTCTCACTATTGCACACACCTGGCAAACTCCTAACACAGGATCAATGCAATCTTGGTACCTACAAGGCTAAATACTCCTAAACACATTATTACAATAATTTGGATTATTGTCACAACAAACATATGGTCTCTGATGTTAAGTCCTCAATTAATCTCTTCAATTTTTTTACTTGATCAATTCTATCTCCTACTCTTGTAGGTATTTTAAACCTCTATATTTCTATTAAGGAATCCCACCAACACCTGCTTTCCTTACTTTAAGCAGGCAACATAATTTTCTTCTTCATTAAAAAATTGGTGTCTCAAGAGGTAAGAGTAAAATCAGGGGAATGTGGTGTCACAAAACTGAACTTTTTGTGAAGAATCCTCCATCCCCTCTATGAGGACACTAAATAGCAAAGTTCTCAGAGCTACCCTAGGCTTTCTTCTTGTCTCATCTTTACAGGTGTGCCTCATCTGCTCCTATAGCTTCAGTTATCCTCTTGATGTAAAGGCCTTTGGAATCTCTATTATCGTTCACATCTCTCTCCTAAGCACCATTAAAACTTCAACTGAACATTTACACTTATGCATCCAGAAAAGTGCCTTGAAACCATATATCCAAAATTTATAAGTCTCTCTCTCTCTCTCTCTCTCTCTATATATATATATGTGTGTGTGTCTGTCTTTCACACACACACACAAGTCACTTTTCTTATCTCCTCAAAGGCATCACCACCTACTTGTTTGAGACAGAAACAAAGGTAGTCAACTTTGCCCCCTCCCTCTGCTTCGCCCAATTCATCAACAATATCTACTAATATTATCTCTAATCCTTCTCTCAAGCCCAATTTTTAACCCTGTTCAAATAAGGAAACTAAAGCTGAGAAAGGTTTAAAAAAAAAACTACACAATATTACCCAACTGGTAGGTGGTGGAGCCAACCCAGACACCCCTCAGCCTCCAAAACCCATGCATGAGATGACAGAATATCACCTCACTTAGGGGAAATTTTAGAGCCAACGATATCTCCAAGAAACACAGAGACTACCTCAGAACCCCAGAGAAAGACTCTTGGAATCATGTAAGGAAATGTCTTCCTCATGTAGCCCCATTAAGGGCTGCCAAGTCACAAGTGACACAGCCCACAGCCCTGGCTCTAAAAGAAAAGAGAATAATGTTTCAGCAGAGCTAGCCCAAAACATAACACCAACCTAAATTTTCCTCAGATAAAACACAAACTATACCTCCATATCAAGCTGTGCCCAGAAATGAGGTATTAGTGCCAGGGACCTGTATGCTGTAAAGATTTCCTTTTCAAGAATGTAGTATCTTCAATTGTATACATAAAGACCCTTTTGAAAACTACTAACTTTCTGTAAGCTAAACAAAAATAAATTCATTCATCATGCTAACAATAGCATGGTGCATTTTTATTGTCCAGAGGTTATGGAGGCTTCACTTGAACTAGCTCTAGAACTGATAGGGAGCCAGCAGAGATATAGAAATATCATGGTCCTCTGCAAACACTGGCCCAGTTCCACCTGTATCTTCCCTTCACAGACCCATTTCACTCACAACGTCAGTAACAGATGTCTAGAGACTCTAAAAAATTGTTCCAAAATTTGTTACCTTGTGAAAAGATTATCTTCTTTTAATTTATGAGTTCTTCGTAGGCTTCTGTTTAAATTATGAATGTGTCATATCTGATAATATGAGGATAAAAATAATAGCTAGTATTTTTTAGTATTTAATGTCAGGCACAAGCCTACATATTTTACATACATATATAAGTGTATATATAGATATATAGATTTATATATGTACAAATTTAATCTTCACAACAAAAGTAAAATCAGGTGCTATTATTCCCTCCCCCCTTTTGTAAAGAAGAAAACTCAGGCATATAGAGGAGAAATACCTTAACCATTACCACACACCTTGTAAGGGCTGGGACAAATAAACACAAGTAATTTTCAAATATATTAATAATAATATTCTGAGTATTAATTCCTGTTTCCAAATAGATTACTCTTTTAAACATAGCACTACTACTTACCTAATGAAATTTAGTTGCTATTAATGGATGAATTTTGTATCTAACAGGCTTGATTTTGATTATGCATTTTAAATGTCAGTCAGACACATATTAATAATGATCCATGTTTGTAGCTAATAGGCCCAATATATACTTTTTAAAGATCTTTATATTTTTCTTCATGATGCTCAACCCTCACTTTCTTATAAACACACAATTCGTTCTCAGATTTAAAAGTATAAATGGGAGAAAATTGAATTTATTTGCTTATTGTTCTCCCTTTTGGCTAGTAAAGGAAAAAATGTCATCAGATTTTGGCTAGTAAAGGAAAAGATGTCATCAGATTCCTGGATTGTTGTTCTCAGAGTTCCAGAAATGGGAGGCCTGGGGAAGGAGTTCCAGACTGAGAACTTCCAGCTGTGATGGTCATGGTTGCTGTTTGCCAAATATTTCAGTTCTCCCCCAATGTTGGCTTGGTGGGGCCATCTAGCTGGTTCTGGCCAATCAGTTGCAAGAAAAAGAAATGTGCTTCACTTCCAGACCAGATATTAATTATCAGTACAAGATTCTCAAAAGTTTGTTTTTTTAAAAAAACTTGTGGTATAGTGATATGGTTTGCCTGTGTCCCTACCAAATCTCAACTTGAATTGTATCTCCCAGAATTCCCACATTTTGTGGGAGGTATCCAGGGTGAGGTAACTGAATCCCGAGGGCCGATCTTTCTCGTGCTATTCTCCTGATAGTGAAGTAAGTCTCACGAGATCTGATGGGTTTATCAGGGGTTTCCACTTTTGCTTCCTCCTCATTTTACTCTTGCCACTGCCACATGAGAAGTGCCTTTCACCTCCTGCCATGATTCTAAGGCCTCTCCAGCCATGTGGAACTAACTGTAAGTCCAATGAAACCTCTTTTTGTTCCTAGTTTCAGGTATGTCTTTATCAGCAGCATGAAAACAGACTAATACAGTAAATTGGTACCAGTAGAGTGGGGCTTTGCTGAATAGATACCCAAAAATGTGGAAGTGACTTTGGAACTGGGTAACAGGCAGGGACTGGAACAGTTTGAAAGGCTCAGAAGAAGAAAGGAAAATGTGGGAATGCTTAGAATTTCCTAGAGATTTGTTTAATGGCTTTGTCCAAAATGCCAACAGCGATATGGACAATAAAATCCAGGCTGAGGTGGTCTCAGATGGAGATGAGGAATTTGTTGGGAACTGGAGCAAATGTGACTCTTGTTAGGTTTTAGCAAAGAGACTGGTGGCATTTTGCCTCTGCCCTAGAGATTTGTGGAACTTTGAACTTGAGAGAGATGATTTAGGGTATTTGGCGGAAGAAATTTCTAAGCAGCAAAGCATTCAAGATGTGACTTGGGTACTGTTAAAGGCATTCAGTTTTAAAAGGGAAACAGAGTTCAGAAAATTTGCAGCCTGACTATGCAATAGAAAAGAAAAACCCATTTTCTGGGAAGAAATTCAAGCTAGCTGTAGAAATTTGCATAAGTAGCATGGGGCCTAATGTTAATCCCCGAGACCATGGGGAAAATGTCTCCAAGCCTTGTCAGAGACCTTCATGGCAGCCCCTCCCATCACAGGCCCAGAGGCCCAAGAGGAAAAAGTGGTTTCATGGACTGGACCCAGGGTCCCTGCGCCATGGGCAGCCTAGGGATTTAGTGCCCTGTGTCCCAGCTGCTCCAGCTGTGGCTGAAAGAGGCCAATATATAGCTCAGGCTGTGGCTTCAGAGGGTGGAAGCCCCAAGCCTTGGCAGCTTCCACGTGGTGTTGACCCTGTGGGTGCCCAGAAGTCAAGAATTGAGGTTTGGAAACCTCCACTTAGATTTCAGAAGATGTATGGAAATGCCTGAATGCCCAGGCAAAAGTTTGCTGCTGGGGCGGGGCTCTCATGGAGAACCTCTGCTAGGGCAGTGCAGAAGAGAAATGTGGGGTTAGAGCCCCCACACACAGTCCCTAGGCACTGCCTAGTGGAGCTGTGAGAAGAGGGCCATCGTCCTTCAGACCCCAGAGTGGTAGATCTACCAATAGCTTACACTATTCATCTGGAAAAGCCACAGACACTCAACACCAGCCGGTGAAAGCAGATTGGAGGGAGGCTGTACCCTGCAAAGCCACAGGGACGGAGCTGCCCAAGACCATGGCAACCCACCTCCTGCATCAGCATAACCTGGATATGAGACCTGGAGTCACAGGAGATCATTTTGGAGCTTCAAAGTTTGACTGCCTCGCTGGATTTTGGACTTGCATGGGCCCTGTAACCCTTTTGCTTCGGCCAATTTCTCCCATTTGGAACAGCTGTATTTACTCAATACTGGTACCACCATTGTATCTAGGAAGTAACTAGCTTGCTTTGATTTTACAGGCTCATAGGCAGAAGGGACTACCCTTGTCTCAGATGAGAATTTGGACTGTGGACTTTTGGATTAATGCTGAAATGAGTTAAGACTTTGGGTGACTATTGGGAAGGCATGGTTGGTTTGGAAATGTGAGGACATGAGATTTGGAGGGGCCAGGGGTGAAATTACGTGGTTTGGCTGCATCCCCACCAAATCTCACCTTGAATTGTTTCTCCCAGAATTCCCACATGTTGAGGGAGGGACCCAGAGGGAGGTAAATTATGGGAGCCAGTCTTTCCCATGCTATTCTCTTGATAGTGGAATAAGTCTCATAAGATCTGATGGGTTTATCAGAGGTTTCCGCTTTTGCTTCTTCCTCATTTTTCTCTTGCTGCCACCATGTAAGAAGTGCCTTTCGCCTCCCACCATGATTCTGAGGCCTCCTCAGCCATGCGGAACTGTAAGTCTAGTTAAACTTCTTTTTGTTCCCAATTTTGGGTCTTTATCAGCAGGATTAAAACAGATTAATACATATAGTGACCAAAAAGTGGCCGTTCCATCAGTCCAAGTTCCTAAGTGACTTCAGTGAGCAGATCCCCTGCAGATGATAGATGGATATGTGCCATGAGTAAGAATAATTCTGTATATTTTAAGCCAATGAGATTTTGAGGTTGTTTGTTACCACAGCATAATTGGGCTTATCGTGACTGATTCAACCTCTTTCTGTTTACATTTGGGCTTATATGATAGGCTCATTGTCAAACCTAGAAAGAAGCAAAGATTCAAATGGCAACAGAATAGTGTTCTTCTGCTAGAAAATGTTTCTAATAATTCCATTTGTCCTGTGTTAGGTCTATGTTTTTCCCTGGTGTGTCCTTCATGCTTTGGATATCAGTGAAGGCGTTCATTGGAGAGACTGAGAAGAAATGAATGTAAGGGAAAAAAGTAAATAAATGGAAATTTGTCAGTACCCGCCAAAATGAACTTATCTTGAAAATTACGTAAGAACAGACCATGAAGCAAGGGAGAGGCAATCTATTTTCAATACTGGTTTTCACTGGGTTTGTTTGTTTCATTTTTGAGATGGAGTTTCGCTCTTGCTGCCCAGGCTGAAGTGCAATGGCGCAATCTCGGCTCACTGTAGCCTCTGCCTCTCGGATTCAAGCAAATCTCCTGCCTCAGCCTCCCCAGTAGCTGGGATTACAGGTGCCCACCACCACACCTGGCTAATTTTTTTTCAAGCAAATCTCCTGCCTCAGCCTCCCCAGTAGCTGGGATTACAGGTGCCCACCACCACACCTGGCTAATTTTTTATATTTTTAGTAGAGACAGGGTTTCACCATGTTGGCAAGGCTGGTTGCAAACTCCTGACCTCAGGTGATCCACCCGCCTTGGCCTCTCAAACTGCTAGAAATATAGGCATGAGCCACCTTGCCCAGCCTATCACTGGGTTGCTTTTTTTTTTCTCAAGACAGGGTCTCACTCTATCGCCCAGGCTGGAGTGCAGTGGCACTACCTCAGCTCACTGCAACCTCCACCTCGCAGGCTCAAGCAATCCTCCACCTCTGCCTCCTGAGTAGCTGAGACTCCAGGTGCCCACCACCACACCTGGCTAATTTTTGTATTTTGTAGAGATGGGGTTTACACCATGTTGCCCAAGCTGGCCTCGAACTCCTGAGCTCAAGCAATCAGCCCACCTTGGCCTCCCAAAGTGCTGGGATTACAGGTGTGAGCCACCACACCTGGCCAATACTATATCACTTTCTACAACTATATCTTTATGTCTTCCTGAGTGTGGCCAGCAGAAATATCCTTTTGACTAGATGCTGCATCTACCTTTATTCTTTGGCTTAAAATATTTAATTAATTTTGATTAAAAATACGAGCTTTGGAAGATCACAATCATAATTGTTATGTTCACTATATAATAGATATACAGGAACATGTACTTGTGTATCTAATCCATAGCATCTGAGTCTGTAAGCCAAGAGAATGTGAAGGCCTTTTGGAAGATGGAACGAAATTATAACATACTGAAGAATACATAGCTCTGCTGAACAACTTATGAGTTAACTTTTGGAAAGAAATCAAGAGACAATCCCTGTAAAATTAATATTTTAAAAATAATATTTATTTTTATCAAAATAATTCACATACACTCAGAGGCAAATATTACTATCTTATAACAAAAACAGCAGTTACCTATTTGGGGTCGGGTAAAGGTAAACTCAGAATAATATGTTATTATATGGCAAGAGTAAGAAAAATGACTAAATCTAGATTAATCCCTAGTTTTGAGGACTAAGCTACTAGGTGAATGTCAGGTTCATTAATTAAGATGGGGAAGACTGGTAAGAGCAGGATTTCCAGGAGGGAGGGAAAGCAAAGAATCAAGAATTCTAAATTGGACATAGAGATTTAGACATCAAAAGTGAAGATGTTGAGTAGACAGTTTTATATACAATCCGGAGTTGAGGAGATGGGTCATGGGTAAAATTACTGGTTTAGAGGTCACTTGGATGTAGATGATATTTAAAGATATTTAAATGATAGCAACTTAAGAGAAGAGAGGTTAAGAAAACTGAAGCTGACATCACTTAACATGTAGCATTCAGGCCAAGGAAGAGAAGCCAGAAAAGAAGACCGAGAAACTGTGGCCAAGAAGATTGGCAGAAAGCCAGGAGAGGTGGTGACTCTGGAGTAAGCAGGGGTTCAAAAAGGAGAAAACAGTCACCTGTGTCCATGCGGCTCACTGTTCACTATATAAACTTAGCCGTCCTTTATTTTCCTGCCTCTAATCTATGTGGCAATTTTCACAGTTCCCCTCCAATTTCTCACCACTGTGCTTTTGCTCCTATTATTCTTTTGCATTGGAATACCTCCTCACCTGTCAAAATTCTCTCTATCCGCCGGGTGTGGTGTCTCACACCTGTAATCCCAGCACTTTGGGAGGCCGAGGCGGGCGAATCACGAGGTCGAGAGTTCAAGACCAGTCTGGCCAACATGGTGAAACCCCGTCTCTACTGGAAAAAAAAAAAAATATATATATATATATATATATACACACACACATATATAAATTAGCTGGATGTGGTGGCAGGAGCCTCTAATCCGAGCTACTCAGGAGGCTGAGGCAGGAGAGTCACTTGAACCCGGGAGGTGAGATTGCACCACTGCACTCCAGCCCAGACGACACTGCAAGACTCCGTCTCAAAAAAAAAAAAAGAAAAAAAAATCTATGTAACCTTCAAGACCCATCAAGAATGCTATCAACTTTGTAACGTATTTCCTAGCTCCACTAATAAAATATGCTTTCTTCCTCCATACTATCTGATAGCCCGTTGCATGCCAAATTTTATTCTGATTTGTACTATAATTGTTTGTATTCTTTATTCATCCTCCCTATATGCCAATATAGGCCCCCCAAACCTCTCATAATGTAGCCGAGTGTCTGGTATGCAGTAGGTCCTCAATAAAAATTTTCACTAAATCAAATCCAAAAATATAAAACCCAAGCCAGGAAAAGTATCTTCAAAGGACAGCCTCTTTTGTCCCTTTAGATTTCTGTCTGCCAGCACGTGGATCATCTGCACCCAAGCCCAAGAATTATTTACTCATATTCCTGGCCCTCTATAAAAAATAGTGAAAAAGATCAATCACAGAAAACCAAGGTTTTTTTAAAGTTATATTTTTTAAAAAGACTGTGGCAAAAAAACAAAAAACAACCAACCTACCTACAGAAGAATGCTGGCAAAACTACTTATCCTGCCTTGGCTGAGTATGTCCTGAGCTAATGGCTATTTTAAAAACCACTTAAACTAATTTTTCTCCCAGATCTTCATTAAGAAAATGGCAAGTTGCAAAAGCCCAAAGGATAAAACAACTTTTGTTATCCCTGAACCTAAAACTAAGCTACAAAGACTGTCCTAATCCAAGCCTTGGTTTAAAAGTCAAACAGCAGAATATTAAAAATTGCTAAGAGAGTAGATCATAAATGTTCTCACCACAAAAATATGGCATGCATATGAGATGACAGATATCTTAGTTTGATTTAACCATTTCACAATGTATACATATATCAAAACATTCCACTGTACACAATAAATATATAGAATTTTTATTTGTTAACTATACCTTAATAAAAATAAATTTTTAAAAAATAAAGTGGCAGAGGCATCTGATAAATAACAAATATGAATTTAATAATTTTAAAAATCAGGCAGGCTGGGCGTGGTGGCTCATGCCTGTAAATCCCAGCACTTTGGGAGGCCAAGGCAGGCAGATCACTTGAGGTCAGGAGTTCGAGACCAGCCTGGCCAACATGGTGAAACCCCATCTCTACTAAAAATACAAAAGTGAGCCAGGCATGGTGGCAGGTGCCTGTAATCCCAGCTCCTTGGGAGGCAGAGGCAGGAGAATTGCTTGAACCCGGGAGGCAGAAGTTACAGTGAGCTGAGACAGAGTGAGACTCTGTCTCAAGAAAAAAACACCAGCAACAACAAATAAAGTAAAATAAATAAAAATAAAAAGGCTTATAAAATAAAAAAATAAAATAAATAAAAATTTAAAAAAATAAATAAAAAATAAAAAAATAAAAATAAAAAAAGCTGAAAGAACACAGGTTTTCACATAGAAAGGATATGGATTTGATTTTCAATCCTATCATTTGATATTTTTGTAATCCTAAACAAATTTGTCGGCTTTTTTGAGCCTCAGTTTTCTCACTAGAAAAATAAAAATAAGAATAAATCTCTTAAATAATGACTGAAATACTATGAAAAGAAGTGCCTGACACAAGGTATGCTCATAATCAGTTATAATTATTAGTATTGTCACAAATCCTAAGAAATTGTTTGTGGCCTTTCAAGTATTGCCTGGTGATTATTTATAGTCTGATTTAATAATAGATACCACTAACTGAGCACCTCCTATGTGTCTTACGTGTTTTAGATTTGTAGACAAATGTAGTGACTAAGAGCATGCACTCTGGCGTCAAACTGCAGAGATTCACATTCCAGCTCCATCATATGGTAGCTGTGCGACCTTGAGAAAGTTACTTAACTTCACTTCTTATGTCTGGATTCTTCATCTGTAAAATAGAAATGATAATAGTACCTATCTCACAGGATTGTTGTGAGGATTAAATGAGATAGTGTGTATAAATTGTTTATCACCAGCTTATAGTATGTGCACAAGAAATGCTAGCTAAGGTTATTATTATAATTTCCGTTTTGCAGATTAGGACCCTAAGCCCTAAAGAGGGTCAGTAACTTATCCCAGGTCACACAGTTAGTTATGAGTTAACTTTTTTTTTTTTAATTTAAGGCTGCTTATTGCAAAGCCTGTGCTTTTTTGCTAAACCATCTCTTTTTCTGTTACGTATGTCCTAAGTAAAAATCCTTATTTTTTCCTTCGATGGCTGTAACAATTAGCTAGTGACGGTCTACAAGACATCAAGGAGGACCTAAGGAATAAAATACAGCAATCAGGTCTAAAACAAATATATGTTGCTATTTCTTCTTTGTATGCACCATAGTAGTATACTGTATTTCCATTAGAAGTTATGTTAATAAGAAAATTTTTGAATGTTCTTGCTCCAAACATCAGCATATACTTGCATTCTCTTACACTGGGAAGAAAGAAAGTGGTAGAAAGAAGTCATCTGGAAGGTAGCTCTGGCTACGAGTTGGAGGAAAAGGGAAGAGAGAGAAAAACAAGTTATCAGTGGTACACATAGTCAGGGCCAAAACTTTATAAACCAAACAGAATTTCCACAGACCTAATGATCACTGGGAATTATCTGCCAAGCTGCTAGGTGAAACATGCTGAAAAACAGCCTGGGCCTATGGCAAACATGTTTAGCTTTATGATTTTCTTCATCCCCTCTTCTGACTTGCACAATGTTGCCCCCAACTGTCTTCTAAAACTAATCACTCTTTCATGGTCAATGGAAACTTAGAAACCTAGATTCTCAAACGTTTGCTAAAAAAGCCCAGGTCTTTCTAGACATCTGTAGATAGATAAATAACCTAGTGATAAAGAATATACATTCTGTTCAGGTCCATCCTCCAGCTCCGTCCCATATTAATTGTGTGATAATCCAAACTGGTTGTTTTGTGCTAAGATTCCTACTTCCTGCACTTTCAGATTCACATACTCAGAGCTAGAAAACTTTTGAGAGTACAAGGTGATAACTACTGCAAATTCACAGAAGATTACATAAGTATAAATAGTCAACCTAACCTCCCTCTTCCTCTAACATTTTCTCACAAAACTAAAAAGTTTGGAAACTCCTTTTCTTAATGCTGGCGCCAGTTCAGCCACACTCTAGAAGGTATTGGTTTCATGAACTACAATGTGGAATCATCAAAATAAAGGGGCAGGATGAGAAAAAATGACAGCATGGGGCTTTGTGGTGTGTAGATTTAGTTGCTCATACAAGAACCTGGGAGGGGGAACCCCCCAAAAGATTAGTCACTTCATTTTATGTTGAGAACCCAATTCAGGTTAACAAAGTGTTGCCAACAAAGGAGATGAGAAAATGGCAGTATTCACTTGCTCTGGACTGAATAAACAAATGCGGGATTTGTGGGCTGACTAATGTCCTGGGATAAACCAGGCAGTCAGCCAAATTCTACGAGTTTTGATGAAAAGACAGCAAGCCCACACTTTTCTTCATGAAGAGTGCTCTGTGGGAGTATTGATGTCCACATGGGCAGCCTGGGTCTTCAACTTGCCTTAAAGATTCGCCCTTATCCAGCCACAGGAAATTCTCAATGCTTCTGTAATTGAAAACCTAGATCAAATGACAGAAGCTAAATTCCTTCTTCTTGAGAAGTGTTATCTGTCATGCATCTCTTTGTAGAAACGTGTTATCATTGTCCTTTTTTAAGCACTACATTACTCTGAAAATATACAGTTAGGTCACTAAAATGTGACTCTAGCTTTTCATTCATTCATTTCATTCACTGAATGCCTGCTATGCTCTAGGGACCATGTAGGGCTTTGTATATAGAACACTTAATGAGTCAGACATTGAAGCCCCCCATCCAGCCTCGAAATTCCAAGGGCACTGAAAAAAGTAAAATAGTACTTGTAATTTCATTGGGGGAAACTATTAAAATTTGAAATATTTTGGTGAGAGAGGCAATAAGTTTTTCAATTAAGGTCTTAATACAAGGTTGTAGGGAAGTCAGAAATGAGAATGTGGAGTTTCCTTTAATCTGGCCACCAGGATCCCCCACCATGATGTGAGGACCACAGTCATGATTTAACCTCAGGCTAAAATGGATTTTATTACAAACTGTGCAGCTAGTGAAATGTCAAGGGTTGTTTCACAGGATCTTAACTAACACAAGAAAAACTTCCTAGCAGCAGCTGATGCAAACTCCTTTAAATGTATACGTCTAATTTATCTATCCAGATAATAAATATACGTGGTATATGCAGGCTGAAAACAAAATCCCTGGAGTGTTTCGATGTGAGTATAATATACCTAGAAGCAAAAACTTCACTGATATAAAGGATGCATTTTATGAGTCTCCACAAAAATCTCCAACTTTTTATGAAATGTAAGGCCTTCTTAAGTAGTGTTTACTACATACAGCTTTCATAGTTCCTATATGAATACCTACTCTCCATGATTTATCAGCCTTCTAGAGTCCCAGTAGGATGCTGCCAAATTGCAAATTTGGAGAATTAGTTTTAAGAAACATTGTATATAACTGCCTTTGGAAGAAAATTCAGGTAGATTAGCAAAGATTTTAAGCAAGTCCTTTCACAAAAACCTGCAGAATTTCAAGGAGTCTGGGGTTTATGAAATCATCAAATCAATACCAAGTTTAACACATTTATGTTACTCTTATAAGCATAACTCTTTGGGAATAAAGGTATTACAAAAACAAGATTTGGAAAAGGAGGCTAGCTCTTGTTTAATTACTGTGAAGAGCAGAGAATTGAAAGAAAAACTACACACTAGTTGGAAAAGTGCTACTCGGGTTTAAAAAATAGAAAAAGAAAATCTGAGATTGGGATTGGACGATAAGCAGGTAGCAGAAGCAACAAAATGTCTCTTTCATTTTCAGCTCAGGGGGCCCCTTAAAGGAGCAGGCTGAAATGTACAGCCCACAAACCAGAGGAAGGCCTGCACAGGAAGTAGAGTGGAAATTACAGTTGAATGGACTCTGAAACAGGATGAAGCCAGTCCATGTGAGGTTCATGAAAACCAAGTAGACAATATGAACATCCAAGTGTTTCCTTGTGTCATTAACTCAATATTACATTCTGATTTCAAACACCATGGAACCACAGTGAAAAAGCTGCAAAAACGGTAGCCGTTTTTTCAAAACTTCTTTCTGCTGTTTGCTTGTCAGAGCTGATCAGACTCTTCCTTGAGCACTTTGCAGGTCACACACTGGATCCCACTGAGGTGAACTATTTGAAGGGTGATATCAGATTTCCCAGCAAAATTAGATAAGCAGATTGACATGGCAAGAAGCATGAGTTAGCATAAGGAGCTTCCCTAGACAGTGCCAGCGAATTAGGTGCCAAAAGCCTGAGGTGGTTATTAGAAAATGATTACCACCTCCAATTGTCTTAGTACAGACTTTTCACCGCCAGAAAACTGCTACAGAAGAAGCTAGCCAAAGCAATCACTGCTCTCCTAGGAAGCATTCACTGGGAGCTCTTGCTAACATCCCCACCGTTTGAAAGTGGCTAGACAGGACAGTGACAGCAATTCCTGTTGTCAATTAACGAGAAATTGCCCAACGGGATTTTAACTGTTAACTGGATTTCAGCCATGCTGCTCCCAAATACTCCTTTCCTTTGGTTACCTTTCAGCTGGGACTTCCTTGGCAGCCAAAGAAGTACTTCACTTCCACAGTCATCACAGCAGTACAGAGGAAGAAAAACTGAAAAGGGGTCAGGACTCCCTGGCTCTATACGTAATCAATTGCAAGGCCTCTGGCCAAGCCAGGCTGCTTTTCTGTCTTCCCTTCTCCTTTAATCATAAAATAGGATAATATAAAACCTACTTCACAGGATTATAGAAAAGGTCATAGGAAAGAACAGATGAGCTAAGTGCTATGGAAGGTACATACACATTTATGTACTTAAGTCTATGTGTGTGCATGTATGTGTACAGTATATACATTCAACTTTTTAATGTTTCCCAATTGCATAAAAGAGAAATACAGACTTAGCAATCAACTGGTTAAGTGATATGGACAATCTGGATATTTTAGAATAAAAATTCACCCCTTGGTTTGAGGACAAAAAGGCAATGTCTAAATTGTTCAGACCATTTTTAATTCTGCAAGTCCTAGCCATGGAGTCTATACAAGACTAAATTTTATGATTGCTAGGAAGCCAGAAAAAAAATATTTAAGGAAAAATAATAATAGCTACTAATTATTAAATGTTTACTATATGCTGGCCAATCTATGAAACGCTTTACAGATATTATTTTGCTTCCTCTTAGTTACAATCTTGTAAAGTATCTATTTAACAATACTATACATGATGCCTTAAGTGTATAAACAAATTTATTGTTGGAATTGAGATTCAGACTCAGGTCTGTCTTACTTCAGGGCCCTTGATCTTAATGTGAGTCATCCCAGCTCTCTGAAGAATGCCATTTTTCTCATCTGCCCTACTCTAGGATTTAGCATTTCCTTTTGCTGTTAAAAGTTGGCCCATGTGCCCTGGCTGGTGTGTGGGCCAGTCCCTGTGGGGCCCCTTGTGTAAGAGCAGATGTACTGGAGGGTGACATAGAGGATGCAGTGTGCAGAGAGTCCTAAAAGCAGAGGACAAAAGAAGCTTCACAAGGAAAGCACCTTTCGGACTTATACCCAGATTTAAAGGGCTGCATTTCTTTGATAAATGTCACAGAGGCTTGTGTTTGGACAGAGTAGGAAAGAACTCTTCCCATACTCTCCAGCCATTCCACTTAGACTAAAACTCTTCTTTAGATGTTTGGGAACAGTTGTTTGGCAACTTTTATTCAATTAGGGTTCATATCTAAAAGGTCGTTTCATATCTCCTACCTGTTACCTCTGATGGTTTCTTTGGAGTTAGATACATTCCAAATAGATCTCCCCGGTTTTCTTCTAGAAAGCAGTACTGACTCGGGAAAGGATTCCAGCACACCTAACAGTGATGCTTGAACCCTAGAAGAACCACATAGTGTATTAGCCTAGTCATTAGATATTATTTAGAAACACCACTGGAAAATATTAAATAATAGAATTTTAGAATTAAGATTGATACTAATAGGTAAAAAGTGAATATTTGTTGAGCTCTTAAAGAATGGCAAGCATAGTACTATACCTCTTACATGGATTATTTCACTTGTCTCACACTATCCCTAAGAGGCAAGAACTGTTATGATTTCCATTTTCAAATTAGAAGACTAAGTTTGCCATTAAATATTTCTCATTGTCAAAACAGCCACCAACATGACAAGGAAGAGTAGACCTCAGGCAAGAGTAATGCAAAATTTTCACAGAGCTATCCCTCCTTAACCTCCCCACTTCTCCTGTGTTCTCCCAAATGTCTTATTCCATCATCCAAGGTTGGTTACAAATTTCACTCATTTGTTGTACTTTTCCCCGATATGGATTGGATTGGTGACTGGATATCTCCCATGAAACTCGAAAAACAAGAAATTAAGACCTTAAAAGAAGAAATGAAAGATATTTAACTCTAAAAGACCTGAGAATGAACTATGACTCCAAGAAAAGTATGTACGTATATGTATGAAACTGATTGCAAAATGAAAAAATCCAGTGGAGACCTCTTATCTGCCAGACTAACCCCATGAACAGCCTCTTCCATGCAATTCAATGGAAATTATTCCACGGGAGTTATGTGAAAGAGAAGAGCAAAAAGTTTTGTTGAGAAATGCAGGATTGGGAGAGTTAGGCCAGCATCATGAGGAGCTTTGTTTGGTATGAGCACTTTAACCAGATCTCTCCCTTTCAGAGCCTGCCCCAGCTGAGATATTTCATACCAGCATCCACCTTAGAGGCACACACTTCTGCTGAGTGCATGGGCAATGGGATTAGGACGGAAAGACATTTACAGGATGACAGTGTTGAAAAGTTGTTGAAATCCAGCTCTAAAATATACCAATTATTTATGTCATATTTTGGGTTTCCAACTCAATATTTTCTCATCCAGGTCAGGCGCACTGACTCACGCCTGTAATCCCAGCACTTTGAGAGGCTGAGGCAGGTGGATACCTTGAGCCTAGGAGCTCGAGACCAGCCTAGGCAACATGTTGAAAACCCATCTCTACAAAAAAAAAAAAATACAAAAATTAGCCGCACATGGGAGTGCACATCAAATAGTCCCAGCTACTCAGAAGACTGAGGCAGGAGGACGACTATAGCCCAAGAGGTTGAGGCTGCAATGAACCATGATTGTGCCACTGCATTACAGCCTGGGCAACAGAATGATTCCCTGTCTAAAAAAAAAAAAGAAAGAAAAAAAAAGTTTTCTCATCAACAGTGTCTAACCACAGCAAAGCTGGATTGCAAAACCTCCTTAAAGGGAAAATATTTAGAAAAGAGTTATTTGGTTCTATAGTCTTTGTATCTAATTAGCTAAGTTTTGTTATGTATATGTGTAACATCTTCATAAAATGACAGAAGAATTTTGTACAGTATAAATGAGCTATAAGAATCATAATAAATAATAACTAATATATTTCAGCATTTGTAATGTACTATAATGTTATAGATTACTCGCTTCATAATTTTTGCTTGACTAATTCATCACAAGTGCTAAGTTCTTCAGCTCATTAGTTCTTGGAAGCATGGAGTTACCACTAGTAGTGAAAGGGTGCCTCTTTAATGCTCAGGTTGAAATTAAATCACAGAAATAGTTGCTTCTTTCTCACCAAATCACCAGCATGTGGTCTTTCCCTCTGAAACTTGTGAGGATGAAATATTTATATCAGCATATAAATGGATGCAAATAATGAGTGTCTCCTTTATGCATTTTGCTGCAACAATATACCTATACATAGTTTTAAGGCTTGGGAAAAGCTATTGGGTACAGACAAAATAAAGAGGAGAAAAGAAAAAGGAAGGGAAAGGAGGTGAGAAGAGCAGAGCAATGCTTGAGCAAAGGAGGGAGATGAAAGACTATTTGTTTCATGTCTATTATTGTCATGAGTTTACCTGTATCACATGGATTTAATCTTTATTACTACTCCAGACGTAATTTAGATCACCCTCATTTTCAGAAAAATAAACGAGGGCTCAAAGAAATGAAGTAGGCTACATTACTAAAAAGTGCTAATCACAGGATTTGATCCTAGGTCTCTGTGATTTAAAGAATCTCCATTCTCTTTCACTGTATCTCATTACCTCTCTTTCCAAGAAAATTCTCCTTTGATGTGTGTTTTTCAATTCTTTAAGCACAGATAACATATATCTGGTGGCCAGAAAACAGAAGTCTTTTCTTTGATCTCTGCTGTTGAATCAGAATGAGGCTTATTCTTCTCATCAAAAGGGACACTGGATGTAGGAGAAAAAAGAGGCAAATGTTAATTAATCCTTTGGTTGGACTATGACCTAAACACAGCAGATATTTCCTAATCCCTCTTCATAAACACTTTTATCACCTTGGATAGTGTATGAAGCAGAGAAATACATTGAATATGGTATACCTATACTCAATAAATAGAACACAATAATAGTTCCACCTTTCAATTCTAGTACAGATGCCAATGCCTGATTTAAACATATGCCCCAGATCCTCCTGCCTTTTTTCTCTCTTCAAACAACTATCTATACACAGTCAAGACTCTATGACAACCTTAGCTGTTCCTCGACAGGGCAGGCAGGTAGTCCAGTGGTTAAGTACATGAGCTCAAATTCTGGCTTCATCATTGATGTGGTCTTTGACAGGAAAATTATTTAACTTCTCTCTTTCTGTGGTTTCTCAATATCTGAAATAGTGATTTATTATGATGATTTATTTCATGAAGTTGCTATTAAAATCAAACAAAATGATATGCATAAACTTCCTAGCATAGTGCCTAAGATATAATGGGAGTCACTGCATTTTTCTTGAATTATTGCTAGATATAGTCCTCCACTTTGTGAAGTAGACAAATTACAGTACTTTGAGGTAGCTAGGGAATCATTTGGATGGCTTCCATTTGCTACAGAGAAATTTATTTGGAGGAAAAGAAGCTGAAGGGTTTCTCAAGAGACCTCAACTATTCAGGTTGTCCCAAATTTTCTTCTTATATTCTAAGTCCAGTGCAAACAAAATTTCTGCCTATTTAATGTTTAATATTTAATATAGCAAGAGAATTCATTTTAGGTCCAATTTGTGTAGTATAGTATTGTATTATTATAGGTACATATAAAATATTGTTTAATAAATACACCTTCTGATTTATGAGCATTTTGAAGAGCTTGGACCACAATCTTGAACAATTTACTTTATGGTGGAATTTTATAGTGCTATATCTTCACTTTTATAGCATACTGCTAAGTCTATATGTATAAACATAGTTTTTGGTGAAGAATATGACCCCCAAGGTTAACTTTAGACTTTAAGTGATCTACTTTTTGACCTTCATTGTGGCAAAAAGCATGAGCAGCCTATGCATTCCACCACTTCCTCCATCAGCACCACAGCTGCCACCAGTACAACTACTGTTCCCCCAGCCTGTTTTGCTTCCTAAGCATTGATGTTTAGAAAAAAAAAATTGACTAGTTTAGTGAAGCTAAACTATTTGTACATTTGCTGAGATAATACTATGCATTTCCATTAATAATGAATACTTGTGCCAAAAGCAAACTATAAGGGTTATAGTGATGATGTGCTGGATGAGAAAACCAGAGGAGTAAAATTCTACTTTCACCAGTAATTAGCAGTGTGGAGTTGAGTAAATAAACCTCTCTAAGTCTCAGTTTCTACATCTACTAAATCTAAGCAAATTCAAAACAGTGATTATTTCATTAGATTAGATATTTTGATTAGTCTTAAATGTCTAATATATAATAAACACTCAACAGGTAGTAGCTATTCTATGTTAGAATACAAGCAATTCATTTTTACCTTATCATGATACTCATATTTCCCCTTCTCCTATTTTTCCTTTATCCTCTTAATCCTATTGCTTCTGTTTATAAAATCAAATCCTTTGCATAGGGAGACCACATATTAAAAGAAAATAAATACACACACACACACACACACACACACACACACAAATAAATAATATTTTTCCAAAAGAAAAATACTTCTCCTCAAAGAAAAAAGTTACAAAATAAGTATTGATCATATGAAATGTATACATGGTGGAAATAGATCATTTAGCACTTTATAACTTGAATATAGAGTAGTATTCTTAGGAGAGAGTCAAAAAGGTTGTGTCAGCATCCTAGTGAAACATATTCAGGCACCTTTTGCCTTCAAACTTCTTTCCCAGCCAAGATGACAAATGTGGGTTAAACATTTCCTCTCTTACTGACTCATTTGGCAGAAAAAGAAGTCCAGATACCAAGAGGAATAGAAAAAAAAATGATGGGGATACAGGCACAGGAAGGAGGGGGAGGGAGGAGAAGCAAGTCATATTTCATCAAGCTATGCAAAACCAATGCAGAGGATTAAAAGAAGGATGCATTGACTTTCACAGGTAAAAACCAGGTTCTGGAAATATAACAATTTTTAATGTGAACTTCACACCAAAGAATATTAATAACTAAAGTGTTTTTTACAGAATCACTGTACTATAATTCAGTTATTTACAGGATAATAACAAAAATATATATGAACTTACACAGGAAAGCCAAAGATCAAATCTCCAGAGTATTCACACTCATGTATACTAACAGACCCAAAGTTACACTTTGATTGAACTACTGTGAAAAATAATCAGAGTAATTGTTTGATAACTTAATTATAGGATATTCTAGGATATCCTACTAGGATATTCTACTCTGTTTCTAGGCATTTTACAACCTTTAACTAATTTGTCCCATAATAATTGCTAAAAGTAATTATGTTAATCTGCCACCATCACATCCAAATTTTTGTAAAATAGTCAGGTGTGAAATCTGAGCTGACTAAAAATAAAGTACAAATACTAAAACATCTTGTCGTGTTAGTTATAGCTGACCTAGGCGAAAAAAAGCTTGACTTCCACTGTTCCTTCTTTCCTGCCCTTTTGCCTCATATTTATCTGATACTCATGGCTAAAATTTGTTGTGAGGATAAAATAAAATTAAATGACATACGTAAAGTCCTCAATAAATAATAGCTCTTATTACCATTGCTATGGTTACTATCACTATTTCTGTATTTTCTTTTGCCATTCCTCATGCTTGAATATGAATCTCATGGGTAGAGTTTCCCAAAGCATGATATGTGTAGTACTACTAAAGGCAAGATTTTGGGTGCATACAGACAAAAAAATAATTTAGTAGTAACATATTTATATTAAAGTATATTTAAAAATTTTTAACTAGCACATCAACCTAGTGATGTAACAGCTACTGTTATTACTAAACAAATTTAATTAAGTTGAAAATCATAGTATATTTTCAGAAGCATAATAGTATAGGTGGTATGTGAATAGCATAATCATGAAGATGGCACATAAATAACTAAAGTTTGGAAAACAATGAAATAAAGCGTAAACAACTGCTTTCACAACCTAAGGAGTGGGGAAGTAGAGTCACATTTTGAAAGAAGCAAATCTTTCACCTGCTAGATTATAAATTCCTGAGGACACATAGTCTTCATCTAGGCAAGTATATTAATATGTGCCCAAGAACTGAACACTGGATATATTTGAAGAAAATCAAAACAGCGCATGTGTGTCTGTGTGTGTGTGAATAGATTTTGATGAAGAAAAAAAAATCTTATAAAGGCAGCGAATGTGGAAAAGCCTTAATTTGTAATTCATACCTTATTCAACATCATATGTTTCTTACCGTAGAAAAAAATCTATGAATATGAAACAGCCTTTACCAGTGACTAAAATCCATGGAGAAAAAAACTCTCAAATTACTAATAAAAGTGGAAAAGTTTTAGCCAATTATCCTTCACAACATTGGAAAAATCTAAGCACATAGTAGCACTCAATACATGTTTGCTAAATGAATAATTGATATGGCTATTATAACTACAAATAACCTAAAACTTCAAAACCAAATAAAATACAGACCTGATAGCTCCTTAAAATTTGGGGGATGGAGAGAAAAGACGCTAAAAATAAAAACAGATAGAATTACAATTCCTGCATAAACAGTGTTACAATGACAGCCTGTTAACAGGAATATCATAAAACTCTATTGTGAATAGATTTTCCAAACATGTATACATTTCATAGTCATGAAAACACATCACTCAGTCATACATATTAAGGATATAATTGATTAGAAGGGTTTAAGTATAGCCATTCTTGTGTGATTGTGTGACAAGAGTCAGAATTCAAGAAACTTTTGCAGGAACGCAAGGTTTTTTTGAGAAGTAAACTCAGTGATATCTGTTTTGCTTTCTTTAACATAATAATGCCAAGGTTAATATTATGGACAATTTTTAAAATCTTACTGTTGGGTCTGAGTACTTGTGAAACAACATTCTGAAGACATCCAAAGACAGCATGAATGGAGACCCCCTGGACTGGTGCTTCCATTGGGCCACAGTGGTGGCCATGGGGCAAGGTAGAGTCTGAGTACTTCAGGGAGGGTGGGATTTATTCTTGACTCACAACCACACAGATGAACCAGTCTTCATGCATTCCTTAATTTTATCTGTTGCAATGCATAAATACATTTCTATGCCATCCTCTTTTAAGAGCATTTTTCACTTTCTGCTTTTTAAAGACAGAAATAATAAGGATTTGGATTACTGAGCTCTGTGAATTGTAATATTTTTCAGAATATTATAATTGTTCATAGACCCTTGAAGGCAGAAAATGTCTAGTTCACTATTATATTTCTAGTGTCCAGTGCCTGAAACATGGTTGGTAAATATTTGTTGAATTAGTTAATAAACGTATGAACAAATGTTTTAGCCCCTAGACAGCTGGTAGAAGAAAGGGTTTAGGAAAGAAAATAGGAAAGAGAACTTCTGAAGCCCAAATTCACATTATTTATTTCTTGGCCTCTTGTGCCTACCAGGCCCAGCAGTGAATGAGCTAGCAGTGATCTCACCCGTAGAACCTGCTGGGCTAGTCCTTCAGCAAGTGAGGTGAGTCTGTCAACTCATGTAAAACATAGTAAACTTGGCTAACATATTCCCAGAACAGTGTGACTGCTCTCACCATCCAAATCTGCCCTGGTAAGCTAGATCTAATTATCCACCATGGAATTTGGCCAATTACACAGAGATTATGGTATGTTGAGAAATATGAACTTTAGCTACCCATAAATACAAGAACAGGAATCAAGGCCACTCCCTATTGCTTCTGGTGATTTCTGAAATTTTTTTCAAAACAGACAACAGTTGCTTTGGAGTCTGTGAGTTTCCTTCTCAAGTAGATGAAAACATAAGTCAAAATGCTTTAGATTTTTATGTAAAGTATCTTCAAATATAAAGAAAATAGAGTCTGTAGTGTTTTTTCAGTAAGATTTCAAATGAAGTTCAAAGCCCTAAGAAAGTGTTTTCACCTTTCAGCAGTAGATTCAGAGAGCTTAACTCTTTCCATTTACAACAGAAGGTCACCATGCACATTATCACATGTTTATGCAGTAGAACTAGACAAAGTTTAATGTTCCCTTTTATATGTTTTCCTGGTAAACAAAAATTGTCTCAGGGTTATTATGCATATATGATATTGTCAAGAAACTTTCTGGGTACTGTGGGGCAAAGTCTTCTCCATAAATAAGCTAGGGTTGATTGGAGTTTTCACTTTGAAAAATATCGCACAGGAGGATCTCAACAGCTAGACAATTTCCACAGTACATTTTATTTTTGTTCATTGTTGTTATACACAACTCTTCAGGATCACACCTACTGAAGAGGTTCAGGTACATCTGTAGCATTTGCTCTTCTCATCACTTCAGATTGTCTATTTTTCTCTCTTTTCTTTTTCTCCCAATATACTTTTCTGTTGCATTAAAGGACACCACTTTCCAACACATTTTCTCTTTATCCCAGTTTTATCTCTTACACCATCAACATTTCTGGTACATTTGTTTTCTGTTTTCATGGAAATTTTTACTTTTGCAGGCAGTTATTTAGTGAGAGAGGGAGTGGTACAAAACCACAGAAGTGACTAAGAAAAGTCAGAGAAATCAAATCTGATTCTACACGCAGTGAGCAATAGTATAATGAATGCTGGGTTGAGATGAGAAAGCCTAGAGATACATTCTGGCACCAAAGCTTACTGTGTGGCCTGGGAAGTCAGGGAACCTCTTGAGTATTTCAGTTTCCACATTTATATAATTAAGATGCTAACACTGACTGACAGAAATGTCAGTAAGATGAAATCAGACTGCATGGGAGTTTTATGTTACATTAATTTGTAAATTGTGTATCTCTGTATTCATGTGAGTGTGGCTATCATGATGTTAGACATCCAGCTACAAAGGAGGCATTCGTGCACACACACAGTCTCCAATCTTCTGTTTACCTTCTGTTTACTCCTGCCTAAACTGGACTAACTCAGGAATATCAAGGAGTTCATTCCTCAGAAGATGGAATCCATACACATGAACAATCTGACCATCTCTACTGTACCTTGCACAGCTGCTTGGCTTCATAAAACTTCTCCCAGTCTGCTTCACTGACAGTCTGATGTTGGTTATGATCTCCTTCTCAACCCACCACCCACATCTCCACTATAGTCTGGTTGTTTGTGAACATCTGGATTGAACTAGAATTGAGTAGAGTAATGATGTTTTGGAGTCAAATTGATTTGTGTTCAAACACTGGCACTATAATGAAATAGCCATGACACCTTGAACTTGTCATTTAATTTCTATGAGGCTCCATTTCCTAATTTGTATATAGATGGCACTAATATCTACACCATAGAATGCTGATAAGGAATAAGCAAGATAATACATGATCACAGGCTCTTGCCTTGATCAACAGTTAGAGTGGTGTGTTAGTCGGCTAGGACTGCTGTACAAAGTGCCACAAACTGAGTGGCCTAAAAAGAGAAATTGTCTCACAGCTCTGGAAGCTAGACGTCTGAGATTAGCAGTTGGCTGGGCCATCCTCTCCCTCAAGGCTACAGGGAAGAATTTATTCAAGGTCTCTTCCGTAGCTTCTGTTAATTTTGTGACTTTTAGCAGCATAACTCCAGTCTTCAGAGAGCATTCTCCCAGTGCATGTCTCTATGGCCAAAATTCTCCTTTTTATAAGGACACCATGATTAGGAGCTTCTCCTATGTCAGTAAGATCGCATCTTAACTAATTATATTTGCAATGACCCTGTTTCCAAATAAGGTCACATTCTGAAGCACTAGGAGTTAGGACTTCAGCATAGTCATTTCGGGGGAACACAATTCAGCCCATAACAAATGGAATGAAAAAATTTTGAGGGCCTGAAGATTTGGCAAAGTTTATTTAGGAGCTGAGAGGTCAGAAAAACCGTGCAGTGTGCCATAGCTAATTGCTCAGCCACTTCTTACTATAATCTGTTTTTTTAAGAGACTATATAAATTATCCAAATAACTACTATAAGCTGCCATTCTACTTTGATTGTGGTAATCTGTATTTTCTCATTCCAAAAATGGAGAAAATAATGCTGGCCTCTACCTCCTAGAAGCTTACAGTCAAAATATTACAACAACAATGCTATCCACACAGATGTTAAAACACAGAGTAAACAGATGTTGCGCAATTAAGACACAGCTAAAACAGGGGCCGAGTATTTATATATGGAGAATTGACTCTTGTTGCCACAGGAAGGTGAAGGACAAGAGCGAAAAGAAAAATTATACTGGTTTCATAAAGACAGGACTACTGAGGGATTTGAGGTGGTCCTTGCAGGGAGAGAACATGGGAAGCTCACAGGAAATTAAACCAGTAAGTTGACATGGCTTCCCCTGACTGAGATATTAATGATTCTAGTTCCACCGAGCAACAAAGTCTAAAGATTTGGATCCCTTTTTAATGATTCTTGGCCTTAAAAAATTAGATGTCATTTTAAGTTTTTGTCATTTTGAATATTTTTAAGGTACTGTTCCCTAGAGTTATTTAGTAAAGAAATTTCTAAATCCCTAAACCCATTTTCTAAAATTCTAAACACATTAAGAATAAATATTGACAAGGAAAAAATTTCCATGTCCTAACTGGAAATTTTCTCAGATAAATGAAAGTTAGGATCTCTTCCAGAGTAAGTTCCACTCCAATATAATCAAGTCAACAATGAAATTACTATTTCTAGAATACTTACTATGCATACACTATACCAGATATTGCTTGTAGTACAAAAGGAGATAAGCAGTTGTTTTTTAACTTTAAAAATAATTGAAACAAAGGAATACATATGCATACTTTGTCTTTACCAAATAATGGATTTTTTTCTAGACATTATCTCCGTCATTAAAAATGCATCAGCATTGTTGGTCTCTATCATTAACCTATTATCCTGTGGGTTCCTTGACAGAAGAAATTACATCTTGTCCATATCCAACTTGTTTCTTAAACATTAAAAAAGAAAAAGTAAAAGGACTGAATTAGTACAAAAGAATAAAGTTTTATTATAGTGCAAGAGCTCAAAGTAATATCCATCCCAAGTATGGATATTTAGAGTTGTTCAGATATTTGTGCTATACTCTCTTAAAAGTAAAAGATTTTTAAAAGAGGCAGCTGAGCAATTAAAGTAAGATGCACTTTGTGGTTTCTTTGAGCTCATAAATCTTGAACAGATTTATCAAATCTGCGCTGGCAAAATAGTTAAGCTTGGTAGATAATTATTTTTGAATAATTAAACGAGTAAATAATTAAATAAATTAATGAATTATACTAAAGAAATTGGAGAAAAGTTGAATTTCACCTCTCTCCTCTAGGTGGCAAACTCATACCTCCTACAGTGTTTCACATTTCCTGTCTCCTAGAACTGACATATGAAAATTGCACTGAAAAAAAAATCCATAATTTTATGTCTGTTGTAGTGTAGAAGTAAGCAAATATAAAAGTATTTTCTCCCAAAAGTGCTTCCTTCAGTTTTGTATCTTTAAGCTTCTTGTCAAGAACATTGTTTATAGCAAGTCATTATGAAATATGATTGTGTAAGTACTATAAAGAAATAAAATTGTGCAAGAGGCTTTTCAAAGCACTTGTGCAAGACTGCTTTGAGTACCTTCAGATTTTCATTGCCTACTCTTAGGAAAACATTATTTTCCCTAACTTTTATTATTATTCTCTAGGATATTCATTTTCCCCTAAATATGAAAACTAAGCCCCATATATATTTTTTTCCAGATTCACTGTGACCATAACAGATAAAATTGAATAAAAGCTTAATGTGTTATCCTCTAAATGGAATATAGAACCAAATGAGGTAAATTAATCCAAATACCTTGCTTTAATTTCCATTCACACCAAAATATGAGTTCCCTGAATGAATTAAATTATGCCCCCCAATCTCCACTACCCTTTGTGGTGACATAGTCTGTATTTTCTTATACAGGAAATATGACTGGAAAATGTCTTGAAGTGTCATGAAAGCTGAAGAGGAAAGTTAAAATTAATCTAAGAGCACACCAAACAGGAACAGCAAGTATTGAAGATGCCTGCCCTGTTTCCAGAAGTAAGAGGAGATAAGTAAAAAGAACAATGACATGTTATAGCCCAAGAGCTAAAATTAAATGCATATAAACAATTCTTGTGGAAACTAGAAGCCGATGTAGATTACGCAAACCAGGTAGAGTCTTGCCAGAACATGCCAGGAGAGAGTCACCCAGCACTGAGACATGGCTAGAGATAGAAGTGAGGTTAACACTGGGAAACTACAGAGGATTCTGCACTTGGATGGCAGCTGTTAAATTCTACATTAATACTGAATAGTATGTACTTTAAACCCCATTTTTCTTCTTTATCCCACTGAAGAAGCTGAAAGTTAGTTGTTCAGATACAGGAATCCAAATGAGAATTGCTAGTTTATGTATGATTTCTCTAACACACATTTCTTGAACAACCACTTTAGGCCAGGCCCCATAATAGAACCCAGAGTAGAATCCTTGAATAACACAAATATGAATAAGGCATGCATGATCCTTGCCATCAGCGTAGTGACGAAACCAGACATGTACACAAACAATTATATGAGGGTGGTAAAGGGAGAAGGGGAGAAAGAATGCACAGAGCCAAACTGGTACATTGATGTCAGGGTGTGGAAGAGCCACCTTTCAATCCCATTCTACATCTGGATTAATGGCAACTTGTTTGACCAGAATCTAACCACAGTATTAGTTTTGGTGGATTTTGAGTTACACCTACACAGCTGGGCCTCTAATGCAGCTAAGTAATGGAAAGAGGCACAAAGTAGATATGATCATCTATAATACCTCTCCAAAGGCATTTTAGCCTTGTTTCAAGAGATTGTTCTCAAAGGTTTGCATGAAGGCAGAGGAGTTACACAAGAAAACACCACCTGTTAAATGGACAGATGACTCCTAACTTTGACATTAGAAGGCAAACATAAATCTTTTTAAGTAAACTAATAAGCTAAAAATATATTAATAGGGGAATACAAATAAATTATAGAATATCTCACAATTTTAAAAGAATGAGGTAGCTCTAGCATGGAAGTATAAAAATATGCATAGAAGTGAAAAAAGCAGGACGAAACAATTTAGGCTGTAGACTAACTTTGTTATTTGATGCAACTTACACACTGTTGTTATACCTCTAGAATTAAAATGACAATTTTTTAAATAATTTTGGGGGGCCTAGATTTGCTATTTAACCTATCAAAGAATTGTGTCTTACAGTATTATTCAAATGTAGTGTGTAAAGACTTATACTATTGGTCCTAAGCACTACTGGTTGTTTTAGGCTTTTTCTCTTTCTCTGTAGCTACTTTGCAAGCATTATCTTCATGTTTACAGCATTCAATCTAATTAGCCCATGCACAATATAATTTCAATTCAAAAGGAGAAAAGTGAATTTTGACCCACGTTTTATTATTAAATGGATTCCCTGCCCTGTATCAGCCTAAGGTAGATCTGTTCTCATTTGTCTTTATTCTTCATGATAAGAAAGGAGAGAGAAAAAGAAAGGTGAAAAACGGGGCTCAAGAAAATAGAGGAGGGAAGGACTGATCATCCCTTCCAATAGTGGAAACTGAAAGTTGTCTGTTAACTGTAGCCCTTACATCTGTGGCTAAGCCAACACCTCAGGCCCTGTCCTGTGGCATCTCCTTCACCGTGATTGATGCAATTCTCCTTTAGTCAAAAAATTCTCTTTAATTCAGTACATGTCTACAATGACTCAGGATCCTCAGATGTGATCATGGCCTCTTCTCCTTCTAGAAAAATCTATAATGATAAAAAGCCACAGAGTCTGACTTCTATCAGGCAAACTTATCTCTGGAAACACCACAGAAAGAAAGCCAGTGTGGCATGCACAGGATGTGGCATAAACAGCCCAATAGCTCAAACCAGCCAGTGACCTTTCACAAAGAAGACAAAGGCAAATACTCGGAGAAGCAGCCAATATATTGGTGCCAACATTCCACAAGTAGAACAGATGCATCCAACCCCTCGTGGAACCACAGACCAAGCTAGGCACACCTAGACTTTCCCACTCACAGGGCCACCAGGGCTAGTCTGAATTCAAATCAATAGAAGCTTACTGCCATGGGTATAGGTGAGACCCATGTTTGACGCCAATCAACATATTCACGATTACCCAACAAGGAAAATAAACAAACACATGCACCCATATCTATGTAATTCTTTTCAAAAGAACTTGAAGTAAAGCAATAAGAACTGAGAGAGAATGGTATTAGTTCTATCTTAGTTCTTGTTGCTCTACTTCAAGTTCTTTTCAAAAGAATTAGTTTCATAATTATGAAATAAGCACCAACAAGAACTAGAATTTCAGTGATGAACCAGCAAAACAGTTCCAGCTGCCCTCAGCAGCACTTATTTTCTCTAAATACCTTAGTTAGACAACAACCTAAAAAAAAAAGATAAATGTTTAAAATAATACAGTAATGATAAGAATCATTATAGTCACCATTTATTAGGCATCTATTAGATGCCAGATATTTTGCTATATTTAGCTACATAGCTTACTCCTCATAGTAGTCTTGTGAAGCAGGTTTTATTATCCCCATTTTACATATGAGAAAACTACATCAAATCTAAATTAAATAACTTTCCTAAAACTACCCAACTAGAATGGCACAGCCATAATCAAACTCTAGTTGAACTCCTTTCACTATACCACAGGTTAGCAAATTATGACCCTTATGTCAAATCAGTCTTGCTGCCTAATTTTATTTTTAAAAGTCTTATTGGAACATAGATACTCCTTCATTCATGTATTGTCTATGGGTGAGTCTTTATTACAACAGCAGAGATGAGTAGTTGTGACAGAAACTCGATGGCCCTCAAAAGCGAAACAAGCTACTATCAGGACCTCTATAGAAAAAGTTTGCCAACCTCTACACTGTAGTATGCCTTAAGGATTTTTAGAAGATTGAGTATGATAAACACTTTCAAAGAATGATGAAATTCTGAGAAATGGGAGTTAATTGTCATCAATTTCTTTGTTAACAGCTACACTAAGACATTCTGTCCAAAACCAAGTTGGAGAAAGAATAGTTGCGTTTCAGAATACAAGAATTTGAATTTTATTGACTACTTCATCTCTTCCCTAATCCTAACTCGGGCTTCTTTTCACCTCAATTTCTCCCAGGATATCTCACCAAAGTAAACACCTAAGGCAGAAAGTCAGGGGGGAACACAATGAAAAAGTAGTGCTATAGCTTCACAAAACTTTTAATTCCATTTTCATTTCTACCACCTATCATAGAGGCACCCCAAAAAAGAGACATGCCAAACTTCAGGGTTTAATTAGTTTAGGCAAGTCTGGGTGGGTGAATTTATAGACCAGAATAATAGAATTTTAATATGGAAAGCACATAAAGTAATAACCAATTGAGAACCAGGTAACAACAAAGAAGAACCTTCTCTTATCTATCCCACCACATGTTCAACATGATCTGGCCTAAGGCCACATTGTATCTGTATCTATTCACCATCTTTCATATATTCATTAACTTCATGTCTTTTATCGAAGTTACACCTTTGATTTTTTAAAAAGCATGGTTTGGGGAATCAAGCATACTTGGGTTCAAACCCTGCTGTAGCCACCTACTACTTGTATAATCTTAAGCAAGTCAGTAAACCACTTTAAGCCTCAATGCAATATAAATGTAGTTGGTTTTTCATTGAGTATAAAGAAACTGGAATGAGATAGCACATTCAGTGCCAACAAAGCATCTGGCACGTAGTAGGCACTCTGTCAATAGATGGCAAACACCAGCGTTATTCTTACAAAACAGGTGAAACTGCATCACCTCAGTCTCTTCTTGGACCAACATCAGCAGGTGTTAATTGTTGGAGCAAGTGGCATCTCACTACTCAAACTATGGATGATAATCTGCTGGCTGCATACTGTATAGGAAAAGCATTTTTACCTGAGAAAGATAACTTTCAACTTTCTAATCTAGCCTTGTACCAGTTGCAAATAATTGTTATTATATGTTATGCTTTATAGACAGCCTTGTTTTTAATTATGAGGTTTTTATTGGAGTGGCAGGTTTCAGGGTAAGTCTGCCATCTGACTTGCCAGTACTTGTTAAAAGTTTTTATAGTGTGACTCATTTACATATGCATGTGTATGTTTAGGTGCTATTATTAAATTTTGCTGGCATATAGTGAGGAAATTGTGATTCAAATTCGTCCGTATGTACTCCTCCCCCACCATCTGCTCTGCCCCTCCATTTACCAGAAGGCTAGCTTTAGCTACTTGTGCATGTAAAACAGAAGCAAGCAACACTGTGAAAGTGAAAATCTTTTAGGTAGTGTAGTGCAGCGGTGGTCCCCAACCTTTTTGGCACCAGGGACTGGTTTCGTAAAAGTCAATTCTTCTGCAGGTGGGTGGGGGGTGCTCTGGGTTGAAACTGTTCCACGTCAGATCATCAGCCATTAGTTAGATTCTCATAAAGGGCGCACAACCTAGATCCCTTGCGTGTGCAGTTCACAATAGGGTTTGTGCTCCTATGAGAATCTAATGCCACTGCTGATCTGACAGGAGGCGGAACTCAAGCAGTAATGCTTGCTCACCTGCTGCCCACCTTCTGCTGTGCAGCCTGGTTTCTAACAAGCCACAGACCAGTACAAAATTAAAAACACTGGGCATGAGGAAATAATATTCACGCTTTAAATTGTCTTTTCTATTCACTACACTAGGGCCACAGTCTGTGGCCTAGGGGTTGGGGACCCCTGGTGTAGTGAAGAGAAAAGACAATTTAAAGCATGAATATTATTTCCACATGCCCAGTGTTTTTAATTTTGTAGAGGGAATCCCTGCAGGAAAAATCATCTTCACATCCAAGACAGCAAGTGGTATTGATGACAGATCAGTGCTATAAATTGCCTGTGGAAGAAAAGAGAGAGAGAGAAAATGAGTGTACAAACAAAGCTCTTTAAAAGAATAAAGACACTCCCATAAATAAAAAAATGAAAACTCAAAATGGCATGGACAACAATGAATAAACTCCACAGTGATTCAATAATACCAACAGCCAAGCCTTTGTTGAGCACCTTCTACAGATGCACCTCAGGCATGAAGCCCTAGGCAGCACACTGTGGATACAAAGTATAAATAATGACATTTTGTAGATACAGACATTGCTTTTGTGTTTCCAACTGCTCTATTAATTTAAAGTACGGAAAAAGTAGAAGGAATGAAGGGAAGGAAGGGAGGAAAAGGGGAAAGGAGAAAAATGGGAGAATAAGAGAAAAAGAAAAGGTGTCCAGTGTTAGAAGTCACAATTCTATCAGAACTCCAAGTGCCTGGGGCTCACAACCACATGATTCTACCTCCACTGAATCACTTCTGGAATGACTTTTGTAGACTTATGTATAGCTGAATCACAAATGACCATTCTCCCCCCAAAAAAAACCTCATAGCTTAAAACACCCATGAATTCTGAGAATAGCTCTGCTTCACAATCTCTCACAAGACTGCAATCAAGGTGTCTACCAAGGCTGGGGGCCTCATCTGAAATCTCCCTTAGGGAAAGATTTGCTTCCCAGCTAACACAACTGGCTGTTGGTAAGATTCATTTCTTTGAGGGATATTGAACTGAGGGCATCTGTTTACTGCTTGCTGTTGGCCAGAGGCTGCCCTCAGGTCCCTGCCATGTGAGCCTCTCTTCTGTGGCAGCCTGCTTCATCAAAACCAGCAAGAGAGGAAGTACTCTGGCAAGACGGAGGTCGCAATCTTCTGTAAACTTATCAGAGAGGTGACCTCTACTCTACTACCATATTCTATTGGTATGAGCAAGATACTCAAGTGGAGGGGATTACACAAAGCTGTGAATAGTAGAAGGCTGAGAAAACCAAAAGCTATCTTAGGCTAACCTACCGCAACTTGGTGATCTGCTCTCAGTTTCTTTGTTTCATCTTTTATTTTTTTTCATATTGACCTATATTCAAATTACCACAAAATAATCAGGTCTAAATACAAAAAATTTTACTTTTAGCTCTAAGTTTCCTTAAAGAATTTGGTATCAATTACAGTAAGAGCACTGGGTTGATCTAAAGAAAGCATGAGTATCAGGACCAATTCTAGCAATTTACTATGAGATTTTATCCATGAACCTGCTTTTCTCATCTTTAAAATGGGTATAGTTATGCCTTCTCTATTCACCTCATATAACTATTATAAAAACTAATGAGAATAATGTATGTTAGTGTTTTCCAAAGTGCAGTAACAAGCACTGGAGGTACTTGAGATGATTATGGGTGGTATATGGACTGTAGGTGTAACTCTTTTAAGGTATTTGTTTTAGAGTGTATTAGAAAAACAAAACTTGCACAACAAACCCATGATTTTACAAATTATGTGCTTAAGTGAGACTTCAGTAAAGTTTTTAAAAGGGTGAGTGAATTTGAAGAAAAATGTTAAGAAAATAACATAATAGGTGGTCTGAGAATGTGGCATGCATTGTGAAGGTGATATATACAAATGATTGCATAAAAAATAAAATGCCCCACAAATACATTGAATTCTGTTTATTAATTAACGTTCCATGATGCCGGTTTAAGAAGCTAAACAAACATATTCATTGTTACCATAAGAGCAAACCTAACTACACCTGGTGAAAGAAATGACCCCTTGAAAATTCAATTCTAAATTTTTTTGTCCACAAGAATCCATCCCCTGTTATCAATAAGACAGTTATATCTTTTGTTCCCTGATGTGTTTTTCTTTTCCTAGCAATGTATTAATGATAAGTTCCATTTATTAGGGGATCACTGTATGCTAGAATGTACATATACTATTTCAATTAATACTTACCTCATAAGAAAAATAGTATTATTATATCCTGTAATGAGGAAACTAAATCTTAAAGAGGACTAAAGTCACTTACCTAGTAAGTTGCAGAGCTAGACCTGAATTTACATTCAGGTCTACTTAATTGAAGCCTGAGTAAAATCTACTCTGCCAGTAGTTTTAAAGGGCTGAACTTCCATTCACTATGTCCATACCTCATCTTTTTCCACCTCTTACAATTTTACATTGTGTCACTGTAACATTTTTTCTCTGGCATATGGGAAAATTTTTCAACACCAGGGCAAACAAAGAGAATGAGTCATTTATTGTCAAATACCCAGATAGGAAGTACAAACTAAATAGAGTAAAAGAAGCAATCTCTTCCTAGCCCAAACTCTTACACTGACCCCCTAAGGGCAAAGGAACACAGAAAAGATGAAGTTCAGACACTTCCTAAGGTTCCTGGTATTGGCTACATTTTTCACTACTTCCCCTGTATAACCTCCACGCCAATGATAATTCTACAAGCAAAAAGCTGAAATCTACATTACAAAAGAGGAAGTGTATTGTCTATGTACTCTAAACATGTGGTGAGCTGTTTAACTGCAGAGAAGTCTCTCCTCAAGAAAAGACAACATCTCCCTTCTGTTTTTCAGTATGACATGTGAGTTTTGAGTAAAACCAGATATTTCAAGTTATAAACGTAACTGAAATGTGCTTCTCTTCAAGAAGAACTTTTGGCTTTATGTCTTTAGATCTAACAAAATAGACTTAAAATCGATTGTAAGAAAACTGATTAGTAAAGTTATAGCTCACTACAGTGGGAATTAGAATTCAGGATATTACAGAGAGTGAAATAGTCCCATATAGAAAATATTACTTTCTATACTTAAATTATCCACTATCCATTTTGTAATAGAAAACACATTTTTCCTAATTTAAATCATGTAATATTAATATTACAATACTAACATCTTAGTGATTATAAATACAAGATAAAATAAACTGTCAGAATAAACACATGAAAATGGAAAGTTATAAGAAAATATTTGAAAACAGGTCATCAAAATATTTTCTAATAATGTAAAGATTAAATTTGGAAGAGAACATTTCCCCAAGGCTCTTCTTTTATCACACAGACCTGAAAGATGATGGTTTCCCAAACAGCACTTACAGCAATAGGTGTGGGCCTCAGTGGCACATACCACACCCTAACTACCACAAAGAAAGTCATGGGGGCCAGGACGGAGATCAGATGAGAGGAGCTGAGGAATCATCACAGCATGGACACCAATATTCTCTCTTGGAATCCTTTGAAATGTCGTGGCAAATAGTCCTGCAAAACATCCAAAAAATCTGGATTTGTCAGACAAGTCTCTATGTGATTAGATTCAGACTAAACATTCCATCAGGAATCCCATTAGATAAACTTCAGACCACACATGATCAGGCTCTCCTATTTGATAAAGACGGTAATAGCTTTCTCTCTCTCAAAGCACATTTTCTCTTTTTAATTAATGAATAAATCTACGGAGTGATATCCTGAGACTATTCTGTTTCTCAACCACTGTCTACCAATGGTTTTGTCACCCTTTGGGGAAGGGGATCAAAATATAGTGATTTTCTAATTCTAAGATTCGTTCTGTGTATATTAGCTGCTATTCTTCTAGAAAGAAGACTTTCACCACCGTCCCTTGGATTTTTTTTTTTAATTTTTGTATGGTTTAAATTGCATCATCATTCTTTTTGATGTCCAAATTGTCCCAAATTAAGCCAGTTAGAGAAACAAGTTCATTTTCAAAAATATGGAGATGCTAAATTGTATTATACCATAATCAATCTGTGTTTCATAGTAATATGGTGGTATTGTCACTTATATTTATCATTGTTACAATTATACTTTAGTAATTTATTTGTATCATGCCAAGGAAAGGAGTGGATATCCTTAATCAATTCAAATCTATAATGGCAGAGTTTTCTGAAGTGACACTGCATAAATGTTTCACAAACCATACATAAAGATCAGTCACATTGTTTTATAAATGAATCTGATACTTTGCTGTTAAGTTTCAGGTACTATTTTGAAACTACAGTGCCAAATTAAACACCTTAAAATTGCCTTCATATTTTTTTCTTAACTTTTGATTTTAATTTGTTTTGAAACTTTCACTCCAGCACTGCCTAGCTATATAACCACATTAAGTACAAATTTGAGACTAGGGTGTCAACATTAAAATCCTAAAACTGCCATCATGATGATACTGAAGTTTATGATTCTTTTTTTAAAGTTTCATTTTAACTATGTCTTGTTTAAAACCCTAGCTAGTATTAGCTACTGAATTTTGAAAATTCATTTAACATGTGAATAGCAAAATTAGAAACCTAACACTGCCTTAATTTTGGTACTAAGTTCTGTATTTTGAAACTTTTATTTTAACTCTGCCAAGGTTTTTCTGAGATGAACAATCAGTTTGCAATCAGTTGATGATTATTGAGATAGTGGTTTTATTATTGATTCACTCATATAACAAAAAATATTTTAAATATTTTTATATGTTTTATATGTATAAGAAATCAATATTTTATCAGATGGGAGGAGCTGAGGAATCATTATAGCATGGACACCAATATTATTTCTTGGAATCCTGTGAAATATCCTGACAAATAGTCCTGCAGAACGTCCAAAAAATCTGGATTTGTCAGACAAGTCTCTATGTGATTAGATTCAGAGTAATCTAATCTAGATGAGTCTGAATGAAGATATTGATGAAGATATTGATTTCTTAAAAGCCAGATCTTGTATGTTTTATGATATAGTATAAAACATGGAGCATATTCAATAAAACATAGCCTCTTTTATTTTTATTCAATAAAATATAGCCTCTTTTAATTATTCCTTCACATTTCTTTTTCAATTTATTTCATTTATTTTTCCTTTCCTTACAGCATCAATATTATTTCACATTTCTGTTGTGTGATTAACTTTACAAAAGAAATTGCTATCCCTCCTGGAATGTAAGAGCCATGAACAGGAATCTTTTACTCTTTGTCACGGATGTATTTTGAGGACCGAAAAGAGTGCCTGTGACATAACAGACACTCAATAAATATTTGCTGAATGGCTATTTGATAAATTGGATAAATCAACATAGAACTGTACCCCAAAAAGAGTAACCATGAAAAAAGCAGTCTTCATTCAGAAAGGTCATTATTTTTGGATGTTTTTTCTAATACTAATATTGTTTTGTTCACTTTCTATATTTGGTAAGAATGAATAGAGAGAAAAATTTTCGAGAGACTCTTATCAGCGATATTATGTGATAAACGCCTTCTCCTGGCATTTTTTCTGAGTGCTTTTATCCTGTCCTCTGAGTTTTTTCCAATAGATTCTTCTGCATTTGAATGTGAATTTTATTTATTTCATGAGATATGTTCCTTATATAAAAGCAATCCAGGAAGAGCTGGACCTAGAATTTTTAAAATAAAACAGCTTAACAATGTAAATAAATGTAAAAAAATTCATAATGATTAAATAAATTTAAAGAGAGAGAAGCGGTAGATCAACATGTTATTAATTTTTTTTTTTTTTTTGCTAGAAAGGTTTAGGGCAGGAGTGGCCAAGATGGCCAACTAGAAGCAGTTAATGTGTGTGACTCTCACAGGGCGGAAAGAAAGGGGTGACTAAATATAGCACCTTCAACTGAAACATTAAGGTACTCTCATTGGAAGTAATCAAGGAAACAACTCGACCCACGGAGACCAGAGCAAATCAAGGCAGGAAGACAGCCCACTTGGGAAAGACGTGGAGTCAAGGGAAACTCCCCTTCCCAGGGAAGTGGTAAGTGAATGCGCAACTCTGGGAATCCACACTGCTCTCACAGATCTTTGCAAACCTCAGATCAGGAGATCCCCTTGTGAACTCACTCCATTAGGCCCTTCACACACAGCCACGTGGAGTCTCAGCAGAGCAGCCACTCAGGCATGCATGGAGACCCAAGAGCTTTAGCTACTCCAGCTTTCTGGGTGTCTGGGCAAAAGTAGCTGCGACTTTGGCAAAGCTGGAGGTTAGACCCCCAAACATACCCCAGGAGGTTAGACTCCCATACATACCCCAGAAAAGAGGCTGAATCCAGCGAGATCAGCAGAGAAGGTCTACAGGCCCCACTTCCACAGCGCCTCACAGGATAAGACCCACTGGCTTGGAATTCCAGCTAGCCACCAGTAGCAACATTGTGCCTCCCTGGTACAAAGCTCCCAGGAGGAGGGGCAGGCCCCCATCTCTGCTGTTTGGGCAACTTAGCCATTATGGCCTTTGGGCTTTGGAGAGTCCAAACTAACCAGGGGCCAAAGAGATCCCCCAGCACAGCACAGTTGCTCTATTAAAATGTGGCCAGACTGCTGCTTTAAGTTGGTCCCCGATCCCATTCATCCTTACAGGCGGGACCTCCCAACTGGGGCCTCCAGCCACACCTGCCAGTGTTCTCCAGCTGACAGAGATCTGAAAACTCCCTGGGACAGAGCTCCCAGAGGGAGGGGCAGGCTGCCATCTTTGCTGTTTGGGCAACTTACCCATTCCAGCCTTCAGGCTTTGGGGAGCTTAAGCAGGGGTGGAAGGGGAACCCCAGCACAGAACAGCTGCCCGACAAAAATGTGGCCACACTGCTTTTTTTTTTTTTTTAGCAGGTCCCCAATCCCGTTCCTCATCACTGGGTAGAGTCTCCCATCTGGGGTCCCCGGCTACCCCAACTGGTGTTCTCTGACTGAGAGAGGTTTCAGACTTCCATGGGACCTTTGTCCCAGGGAGAGGAGCAGCCCACCATATTTGCTGTTAGAACAACTTAGCCATTCCAGCCTTTGGGCTTCAGAGTGTCTGAGGCAATCAGGGGCTAAAGCATACCCCCAGTATGGCACAACTCCTCTATGAAAATGGGGCAAGACTACTTTTGAAAGCAGGTCCCTGATCCTATTCCTCCTGGCTGGGTGAGGTCTCCCAACTAGCGTCTTCAGCCATGTCCTACCAGTGTGTTCGGGCCAGCAACAGGCCTGTATTTCCCAGGGATGGAGCTCCCAGAGAGAAAGGAAGGCCACCATCTTTGCTGTTTCGCAGCTTTCACTGGTGACACCTCCAGGTACTGGAAAATCTAAAGTGACCAGGGACTGGAGCTGGCCCCCAGCATACTACAGCAGCCCTATGGAAAAGTGAACAGACTGTTATGTGGGTGCCCATTCCCACATCTCTTCAACGAGCAGGTCCTCCAGGCCTGGACCTCTAGCCACACCCCACCAGAGATATCAAGCCAATAGCAACTCAGCAACTCCCTGGACAGAGCCGCCACGGACAACTGAAAGCCTCTCTGCCACTACCTCTGCAATGGAACTGTCCTTGCTACCCTCTGACTAATAAAGGAGCAAAGACCCTAAGTGTCTCATCCACACCTCCAATAAGCAGCAGTTGACTCAAGGAGAGGAGGCCAGTCCATCTCCCACAGGTCCCACCCCACCCCCCAGCTGCTCGTCACCAGACAGAGAGCCCCTGGCTTGGGCCCATAGCACAGACTCTCCATCCTGGGCTGATTGAACTGAATGATTGCTGACCCACATCTCTCTGGGGTGGAGCCCCCAAGAGACAAGCAAAGTGGTAGAGCAGCAAGCCAGCTGATGTGGAGCCCAGAGGGTTTAGTGCAGGAGTGTCTACAGCAGTGCATGGACAGGGATGGCGATCCCTCTAGGCTCAACTTGCTCCCATAATAGACTTTGGCCCTAGGGGAATTTTCAGACTTGATATCTGCAGAGTGGTCTTGTACATCAGTCAGGGCTGGTGCAACCTGAGCACTCCTTGGTCTGCTGGCCTCTTCTAGGGCCATCTTGGGTGCTGTGGTGGCCCACAGAATAGCTTCTGCACCAGTGGGCCATGCCTGACCAGTGGAGAACTCCAGCAAGACAGCCCTTACTGCGCACACCAGCCGGGTGTTCGCTACCCATACTGCAACTTCCCCTGAGCCCATGGCAACTCCCCACATCACTTTGCAGGCACATGTCTGCACAGGTGGAATTTGCTTTAGTTGCCCCACTAGCATACAGGAGGGAAGTATGCCCCTTGACCTCTGTCAACCACCATTGCAGACAGAACCTTAGCAGCACACAGCCAGCAAGCCCTGCAGCTGCCAGTGCCTCACTCTTGTGGTAATGCTGCATGGAGAACAGAGGATCCTCCCACACCCTGAGCAATCCCTCCTGCTTGCAGGTGACCAAGAAGGCACTCAGATCTGCACTGGTCAGTGCCTCTCACCAAACCAACACCATCACCAGTGCAAAAGCACAGACAGTCTATAGCAGGAGCCTCCTGTTCCCCACAAAAATGCCTTGCCTTCACTAGCATGGTGAATGCCTGCAGGGAGGCAGGCACCCCTGAATCCGCTAGCACCCAGCTGGAGCTGCCACACCTTGGTCCTCCAACAAAGTAGACTCCAAACCTCGAGGAACCAGAGAACAAAGTTGGGGCCCAATACAAGTCATCCAGAGTTAGAACATGCAGTCCAGGAGTTGGGAGGTGAACGATGGCCCCCTAAAGTCTTCCAGATACAAAGCTAGTTGGTTGAATTGACCTTATAACACAATCAAACCCTCAAGGTCATCAAATAGGATAAAAGAAAAAATAATCCAAATGTCAGCAACCTCAAAGATTGAAGGTAGATGAGCCCACAAAGATAAGAAATAATCAGCACAAGAACACTGAAAACTCAATAATCAAGAGTACCTTCTTTCCTCCAAAGGACCACATCACCTCTCTGGCAAGCGTTCAGTACCAGGCTGAGGCTGAGATGGCTGAAATGATAGAAGCAGAATTCAGAATATGGATAGGAATGAAGTTCGCAGAGTTATAGGAGTATGTTGTAACAAAATGCAAAGGAACTAAAAATTCTAATAAAGCATTGCAGGAGCTTACAGATAAAAAAGCTAGAATACAGAAGAATGTAACTGACTTGATAGAGCTAAAAACAGGCCACAAAAATGTGTAGGTTTGCTTTTGATACGGACTCTCAACTCACCCAGGCTGGAGTGCAGTGGCACGATCTCAGCTCACTGCAACCTTCATCTCCCAGGTTCAAGCAATTCTCCTGCCTCAGTCTCCCCAGTAGCTGAGATTATAAGCATGTTCCCCCATGCCCAGCTATGATTTTTTTTTTTGGTATTTTTAGTAGAGGTGGGGTTTCACCACATTATCCAGGCTGGTCTCAAACTCCTGACCTCAAATGATCCACCCACCTCAGCCTCCCAAAGTGCTGGAATTACAGGTGTGAGCCACCACTCCCAACCCCCAAAATTTCATAATGCAATCACAAGTATTAATAACAGAATAGACTAAGTGAAGGAGAGAATTTCCAAGCTTGAAGACTACCTTTCCAAAATTAGACAAGCAGACAAGAATAGAGAAAAAAGAATAAAAATGAATAAACAAAACCTCCTAGAAATATAGGATTATATAGAGACCACATCTACAATTCATTGGTTTACCTGAAAAAAATGGAAGATAGTGGAACCAACTTGGAAAGCATATTTTAAAATATCATCCATGAGAACTTCCCCATCCTAGCCAGAGAGGCCAACATTCAAGTTCAGGAAATGCAGAGAACCCCAGTAAGATACCCCATAATAAGTTCATCCCCAAGACACATAATCATCATATTCTCTAAGGTCAAAATGAAAGAACAAATGTTAAAGGCAGCCAGAGAGAAAGCCCAGGTTACAAAGGGAACCCCATCAGACTAACAACAGACCTCTCAGCTGAAACCCTACAAGCCAGAAGTGATTGGAGGCCAATATTCAATGTTTTTAAAGAAAAGAAACTCCAACCCAGAATTTTATATCTGGTCAAACTAAGTTTCATAAGAGAAGGAAAAATAAGATCCTTTGCAGACAAGCAAATGCTGAAGGAATTAGTTACCACCAGACCTGCCTTACAAGAGCTCCTGAAGGAAGCACTAATTGTGGAAAGGAAAGACCATTACCAGTCACTATAAAAACACACTGAAGTACACAAATTAGTAACACTATAAAGCAACCACAAAAACAAGTCTGCAAAGCAACCAGCTAGCATTATGATGACAGGATCATAACCTTAAATGTAAATAGGCTAAATGCACCAATTAGAAGACAGAGCGGCAAGCCAAGTAAAGAGCCAAGACCCATCGGTATGCTGTCTTCAAGAGATCCATCTTACATGCAATGAGATAGGCTCAAAATAAAAGGATGGAGAAAAATATATCAAGGAAATGCAAATCAGAAAAAAGCAGGGTTCCAATCCTAGTTTCTGACAAAACAGACTTTAAACCAACAAGAACAAAAAAGACAAAGAAACGCATTACATAATGGTAAAGGGTTCAATTCAACGAGAAAATCTAACTATCCTAAATATATATACACCCAACACAGGAACACCCAGATTCATAATCATGTTCTTACAGACCTTCAAAGAGACTGACTCCCACACAATAATAGTGGGAGACTTTAACACCCCAGTGAGAATATTAGACAGATCACCGAGACAGAAAATTAACCAAGATATTCAGGACCTGAACTCAACACTGGATCAAATGAACCTGATAGATATATACAAAACTCTCCAGTGAAAAACAACAGAATCTACATTCTTCTCATTACCACATGGCACATACTCTAAAATTGATCACATAATTGGAATTAAAACACTCCTCAGCAAATGCAAAAGAACTGAAATCATAACAAACTGTCTCCCAGACCACAGCACAATTAAATTAGAGATGAATACTAAGAAATTCACTCAAAACCATACAATTACACGGAAAGTGAAACGCCTGCTCCTGAATGACTTTTGGGTAAACAATCAAATTAAGGCAGAAATCAAGAAGTTCTTTGAAACTAATGCTTGCAGCATTAGTTTCTATTCAACACTTCTATTCAACATAGTATTGAATATTCTGGCAAGGGCAATCAGGGAAGAGAAAGAAATAAAGGCATCCAAATAAGAAGAGAGGAAGTCAAACTATCTTTCTTTGCAGGTGACATGATCTTATATCTAGAAGACCCCATTGTCTCAGCCCAAAAGCTTCTTAAGCTGATAAACAACTTCAGCAAAGTCTCAGGATACAAAAAAAAATCTCTACAAGGAGAACCACAAACTACTGCTCAAGGAAATCAGAGATAACATAAACAAATGGAAAAGCATTCTATGCTCATGTATAGGAAGAATCAGTATTGTGAAAATGGCCATACTGGCCAAAGCAATTTATAGATTCAGTGCTATACCTATGAAACTACCATTGAATCTCTTCATAGAACTAGAAAAAACTATTTTAAAAGTCATATGGAACCAAAAAAGTGCCCTAATTTTCCAAACCAATCCTAAGCAGAAAGAACAAAGCTGGAGGCATCACATTACCTGACTTCAAACTATACTACAGGGCTACAGCAACCAAAACAACATGGCACTGGTAAAAATAAATGAATACATGAATAAATAAATAAATAAAAGTTAAGAACATAAAAAAAAGCAGACACAGACTAATGGAACAGAACAGAGAACCCAGAAATGAGACTACACACCTCCAACTATCTGATCTTCAACAAACCTGACAAAAACAAGCAATGGAGAACAGATTCCCTATTCAATAAATGGTGCTGGGATAACTGGCTAGCCATATGCAGAAGATTAAATCTGGACCCCTTCCTTACACCATATACAAAACTTAACTCAAGATAGAGTAAAGACTTAAATGTAAAACCCAAAACTATCAAAACCCTGGAAGACAGTCTAGGCAGTACCATTCAGAACATAGGTACAGGCAAAGATTTCATGAGGAAGACACAGAGCAATTGCATCAAAAGAAAAAATTGACAAATGCAATCTAATTAAACTAAAAAGCTTCTGCACGGTAAAAGAAACTATCAACAGAGTAAACAGACAACCTACAGAATGGGAGAACATTTCTTTAAACTATGCATCTGACAAAGGTCTAATATCCAGCATCTATAAAGACCTTAAACAAATTTACAAGAATAAAACACCCCTATTAAAAAATGGGCAAAGGACATGAACAGACACTGTTCAAAAGAAGACATACATGTGGCTAACAATCATATGAAGAAAAGCTCAACATCACTGATCATTAGAAAAATGCAAATCAAAACCACAATGAGATACTATCTCACACAAGTCAGAATGGCTATTATTAAAAAGTCAAAAAAAATAACAGATGCTGTTGAGGTAGTGGAGAAAAAGGAACACTTAGACTCTGCTGGTGGGAGTGTAAATTGGTTCAACCATTGTGGGGGACTGTGCGATGATTCCTCAAAGACCTAAAGACAGAAATACCATTCAACCCAGCAATCCCATTACTGGGTATACACCCAAAGGAATATAAATCATTCTATTATGAAGACACTTGCATGTGTATGTTTATTGCAATAGTATTCACAATAGCCAAAAAAAATTGAATCAACATAAATGCCCATCAGTGATAGACTGGATAAAGAAAATGTGGTACATATACACCATGGAATACTATGCAGCCATAAAAAAAGAACAATAGCATGTCCTTTTGCAGGGACATGGATGGAGCTGGAAGCCATTATGCTTAGCAAACTAATGCAGGAACAGAAAACCAAATACCACATGTTCTCACTTATAAGTGGAAGATAAATGATGAGAACACATGAACACACAGAGGGGAACAACACACACCGGGGCCTATCAGAAGGTGGAAGATGGGTGGAGGGAGAAAATAAGGAAAAATAACTAACTAACAAGTACTAGACTTAATACCTGGGTGATGAAACAATCTGTACAACAAACCCTCATGACAGAAGTTTAACCTATGTAACAAACCTGCACATGTACCCCTGAACTTAAAAGTTTTTTTTAAAGGGTTTGGTATTAATTCCTAGGATTAAATATTATTCTTTATACTCTACTATTCTTTTTCTGAAGGAAAGTAAATCTTTCTTCTATATTCAAATGTCTGCTAATTTTCTATACTCAAATGTCTGCATTTCAGTATAGAGAAAATTGCATTACTACAGCTGTTAATGCAAATTAGTCTAAATTAGGGATACACACTCCTCCCTGAGCTCTAGACCCCTCTCTCTAACTTTCACTGGATATCTCCACCTTGATAGTTCACCATGTCTCAAGTTCAGTTTTGCTGAACCTGAACTCATAATCTTCACCTTAAACTGCATCCTCATCCAGCATTCCCTACCTTGGTGACCATGATCACCAACCTCTCTCATTGTAAAAACCTGCCTAACACCTTCCCTTCCCTCATCTTCCATCTCCAGTTCATTGCTAAGTGCTGATGTTATTCTTTAAATATGTCTTAAAGCAATCTACTTCTCTCCATCTTGGCTCAGGCACTTTAGTCCAAGCTACCATAACCTATCCTCTGAACTACTGGCCCACAGAATCCACTCTTGCCTCTCCCCTAAACCATTCTCCAAAATGCATTCCAAGTATTTTTTAAATTTAACTGAAAATCTGATCACATCATGTGTCTTTATAAACACATCAATGGCTTATCCTTAAGATAAAGACAAAAGTCCTAACATGGCCTATACAGCTCTACAACATTTTTCCATGCTTATTTCTCAGCTAGCTACAATGTTTTCCTCCATCCCTATGCTCCAGTCACAATTCCTTCAATATGTCCTTGCTTTGTCCCACCTCAGAGCTTGCCACATGCAGTTTCTTCTGACTCACATCCCCTTCCTTGGAATGACTGCCTCTCTTTTGATTAGTTAATTTTCTATAATACTGCAGACCTCAACTCAAATATCTCTTGATTCCCTCAACCACCAGACCAGATCAGCTCTCTCACTATGCACTTACCATGTTTTGAAATTAATACTCTCTGAATTGTTTATCACCTGTACCTAGAATATAGTGTATGATATTTATTGGGGGGGCTCAATATTTTGAGTGGATGAGTAAATATATTACAGATAGCTAATTATTCAAGATTTCATGTTCACATTATTGCTAAAAATGTAGATGAAGTAAAAGTAGATTGAAATAGGAGGATATAAACATGTTGGCGCTCTTTACATCACATACATGGATTATGTTTTTCTTTGTTTGTTTTTAGATGAAGTCTTGCGCTGTCACCCAGGCTGGACGGCAGTGGCCCGAGTGCACAGGCAACCTCTGCCTCCCAGGTTCAAGCGATTCTCCTCCCTCAGCCTCCCGAGTAGCTGGGATTACAGGAGCCCACCACCAAGCCCAGCTAATTTTTGTATTTTTAGTAGAGACGGGGTTTCGCCATGTTGGCCAGGCTGGTCTGAACTGCTGACCTCAGGTGATCCACCCGCCTCGGCCTCCCAAAGTGCTGGGATTACAGGCGTGAGCCACCATGCGCGGCCCATGGCATATGTTATCAGTAATATGTAAGTATGGCTTCAGTCAAAGCAAGGAAGTTGAAAGTAACAATTAAAAAAAAAAAAGTCATCAGGATCCAAAGCTGTGGAGAAAACTCAACCTCTGCCTCCTGGGTTCAAGCAATTCTCCTGCCTCAGCCTCCCTGGTAGCTGGGATTACAGGTGCCTGACACCACCCCCAGCTAATTTTTGTATTTTTAGTAGAGACATGGTTTCACCATGTTGGTCAGGCTGGTCTTGAACTCCTGACCTCAGGTGATCCACCCACCTCAGCCTCCCAAAGTGCTGGGATTACAGGCGTGAGCCACTTTTAGAAAATGTTTTCATCTATCTCAATACCTCACTACCCCTCCTGATATTCCATCTATAATAGCAACAGTTGTGAAATGCACTAGATTCTAACATTAACACTAGATCCATTAAGAACAGAGCAGAAGAGAGTCTGGATACACAAATTTCACAATTATTGGCTCCCATCAACATATCTAACTCAAGCATAAAGTTGTTTCAGCAGTAGTTTAAGGTTGGTTACTAATGCAACACCTCTTTGCATGCAATGGCCCATTAAATTATCTTCAACTTTAAAAGGTTCCTTTGTTTTTAAATGCTTATAATGAACAAATATATACCAATACCTTGGCAGAATTCATTAACTTAATAACTTCAATATGTTGTTCATATAAAAATTTCTGGTAAATGAGAACTGTACATTACTGATGTGACAAGGTACACAAGCCAATGTTGACATAATGTTTTCAAAATGGGGTGTCTGCTGTAACTGAACTAAATATAATAACTTTATTCAAGAATGAGTTTCAATGATAGGACAAAACTTGATAAAATGAATAAATAAATAATTATATGCCAGAGTTCAGTAAACCCTGTGTGTACACCTGAAAAAGCTCAAACTTGCCTAGCACATATAGAGTCCGAATTCAGTTGGGTTTGTGTGAAACGGGTAGGTTGAGCCCTAAAAAAGAGGTAGATAACCCATATAGGCAGACTTCCTTATTTTATTTATTTTTTTCTGCTTCAGCCTCCTGAGTAGCTGGGACTACAGGTGTGTGCCACCACGTCTGGCTAATTTTGTTTGTTTTTAGTAGAGATGGGGTTTCACCATATTGGCCAGGCTGGTCTCGAACTCCTGACCTTGTGATCTGCGCGCCTCGGCCTCCCAAAGTGCTGGGATTACAGGCGTGAGCCACTGCGCCTCGCCAACTTCCTTATTTTAAATGCCATTTCCCACTAAAAATAAAACCAGTAATTCTTTGAAAAAAAGTTAATATTATGTATAGGACTGGAAGTATATAAGATAAAACTGGAATATATTGTCATACCAGAAATCAAAGATTTTGTCAAAGACTAATAGTTCCATGTCAAAAAGATTCACTAATCAATTTGCAGAGGCTCCCACTGGCCAAAGATAGAGCTTGATCATCAACAGGAATAATAACTATAATGGGTTAAAACATAGCAATTATGTTTAAATCTATAGGTTTATAGTAATAATGTTAAAATCATTAGTCACCTTTGAAAGATGCTACGACTCTTTAATCCATCTTGAATTAATTTTTGTATAAGGTGTAAGGAAGGGATCCAGTTTCAGCTTTCTACATATGGCTAGCCAGTTTTCCCAGCACCATTTATTCAATAGGGAATCCTTTCCCCATTGCTTGTTTTTCTCAGGTTTGTCAAAGATCAGATAGTTGTAGATATGCGGTGTTATTTCTGAGGGCTCTGTTCTGTTCCATTGATCTATATCTCTGTTTTGGTACCAGTACCATGCTGTTTTGGTTACTGTAGCCTTGTAGTATAGTTTGAAGTCAGGTTGCATGATGCCTCCAGCTTTGTTCTTTTGGCTTAGGATTGACTTGGCAATGCGGGCTCCTTTTTGGTTCCATATGAACTTTAAAGTAGTTTTTTCCAATTCTGTGAAGAAAGTCATTGGCAGCTTGATGGGGATGACATTGAATCTATAAATTACCTTGGGCAGTATGGCCATTTTCACGATATTGATTCTTCCTATCCATAAGCATGGAATGTTCTTCCATTTGTTTGTATCCTCTTTTATTTCATTGAGCAGTGGTTTGTAGTTCTCCTTGAAGAGGTCCTTCACGTCCCTTGTATTAGACCTAAAACCATAAAAACCCTAGAAGAAAACCTAGGCATTACCATTCAGGACATAGGCATGGGCAAGGACTTCATGTCTAAAACACCAAAAGCAATGGCAACAAAAGCCAAAATTGACAAATGGGATCTAATTAAACTAAAGAGCTTCTGCACAGCAAAAGAAACTATCATCAGAGTGAACAGGCAACCTACAAAATGGGAGAAAATTTTCGCGACCTACTCATCTGACAAAGGGCTAATATCCAGAATCTACAATGAACTCAAACAAATTTACAAGAAAAAAACAAACAACCCCATCAAAAAATGGGCGAAGGATATGAACAGACACTTCTCAAAAGAAGACATTTATGCAGCCAAAAGACACATGAAAAAATGCTCATCATCACTGGCCATCAGAGAAATGCAAATCAAAACCACAATGAGATACCATCTCACACCAGTTAGAATGGCAATCATTAAACAGTCAGGAAACTAATGGTAGATGATGAGTTAGTCGGTGCAGCGCACCAGCATGGCACATGAATACATATGTAACTAACCTGCACATTGTGCACATGTACCCTAAAACTTAAAGTATAATAATAATAAAGAAAAATAAATAAATAAATAAAAATAAATGGGGGAATAAATTCATGTTAATGAATTGAAGATTCAATATTTTTAGATGACAGTCTTCCCCAAATTGATCTATAAATTCCACACAATCCCAATTAAAATTCAAACAAGATTATTTGGCAAGATAATTTTTAAATTTATATTAAAAAGTAAAGGATTCAGAATGACCAAACAATTTCGAAAAGGGAGGATGAATTTGGAGGGGTTACATTACCTGATTTAAAAACTTCCTATAAAGCTACCTTAATCAAGACAGTGTAGAACTGACTAAAGAATGGACTTTTTCATAGGAAAATGAATCTTAATAAAGAGTCTAGAAATAGAAAAAAAAAGTCAGGAAAAAACAGGTGCTGGAGAGGATGTGGAGAAATAGGAACACTTTTACACTGTTGGTGGGACTGTAAACTAGTTCAACCATTGTGGAAGTCAGTGTGGCGATTTCTCAGGGATCTAGAACTAGAAATACCATTTGACCCAGCCATCCCATTACTGGGTATATACCCAAAGGATTATAAATCATGCTGCTATAAAGACACATGCACACGTATGTTTATTGCGGCACTATTCACAATAGCAAAGACTTGGAACCAACCCAAATGTCCAACAATGATAGACTGGATTAAGAAAATGTGGCATATATACACCATGGAATACTATGCAGTCATAAAAATGATGAGTTCATGTCCTTTGTAGGGACATGGATGAAATTGGAAATCATTATTCTCAGTAAACTATCACAAGGACAAAAAACCAAACACCGCCATGTTCTCACTCATAGATGGGAATTGAACAATGAGAACACATGGACACAGGAAGGGGAACATCACACTCTGGGGACTGTTGTGGGGTGGGGGGAGGGGGGAGGGATAGCATTAGGATATATATCTAATGCTAAATGACAAGTTAATGGGTGCAGCACACCAGCATGGCACATGTATACCTATGTAACTAACCTGCACATTGTGCACATGTACCCTAAAACTTAAAGTATAATAATAATAATAATAAAAGAAAGATTCTAGGACTCAACTCATTATTTTGAAAATTTATAAATACATTTCAAAATCTAGTGGTTTATCCTGTCTTTCTTACATATACCTGAAAGCAATGAAGTAGATAATGAAGAGAACTTTCTATATAGAAATATTCCAGGCCAGGCACAGTGGCTTATGTCTGTAATCCCAACACTTTGGGAGGCTGAAGCAGGAGGAGCTTAGGAGGCTGAGCCCAGTAGTTAGAGACCAGCCTGGGCAAAAAAGCAAGACCCTCATCTCTACAAAAAATTTAAAAATTAGCCAGGTGATGTGTGCCTGTAGTCCTAGCTATTGGGGAAGCTGAGGTGGGAGGATCACTTGAGCCTGGGAGTTGCAGGTTGCAGTGAGCTATGATCACACCACTGCACTCCAGCCTGGGTGACAGTGCAAGACTCTGTCTCAAATAATAAATAAATAAATAAATAATTTAAAAAGACATTCCAGCTAGTAAATGAAGGAATAGTAAAATTAGAATATCACCATTTTGCCATCCCCAAGAAAATAATAATCTATGAAATAATTATCCATGGCTGCTAGAATCACAGAAAGAGACAACCATATTATGTGTCTCTTGGTGAAAGTACGTAATCCCACTTATTAAATACTTTTGCCCAAATATCAAACCTGAATCACATACAGACTCTAGGCCTAAATAATAAGTTATGAGAAATACAAATGACAAAGAAAAATGTTAAGTGTCATTATAAAGAAGCATTCAGCAAAATCCAAGCTTTAGAAAACTACAGATAAAGCCAATTTCTGCAATAGATAAATTGAAAGAAAAAAAAAGAAGGCAAAAGGGGGAAACTGTAGATTAAGAGGAAACAAGACGCCAGGTGCAGTGGTTCACACTTGCAATCCAGCACTTTGGGGGGCCGAGGTGAAAGAATTGTGTGAGCCCAGGAGTTCGGGACCAGCCTGGGCCAGATGGCAAGACTTCATCTCTTCAAAAAAGTAAAAATATTAGCCAGTCATGGTGGCCAACACCTGTAGTCCCATCTACTCTGGAGGATGAGGCAGGAGCATCCCTTAAGCCCAGGAATTCGAGGCAGCAGTGACCCTTGCTCACAGTATTGCACTCCAGCCTGGTCGACAAGGTGAATGAAACCTGTCCCTTATAAGAAAAAAAAGAGAGAGAGAGAGATACAAGAGACTGTAGCAATTTCAACCAATTTCAATATCCTAGCCTTATTTTAATCCTTATTCAAATGAATAAATTATTAATAACAGTTTAAAAAGAAATGAAAAGTAAAATGTGTAAAAATTAAGATGCTGTTGTTATGGGTTAAATTCTGTCACCTCTAAATTTTTATATTAAAGTCCTAAGCCCAATACCTCACAATTTGACCGTATTTGGAAATAGAGCCCTTAAAGAAGTGACTAAGTTAAAATAAGGCCATTGGGGTGGGCCCTAATCCAATCTGACTGGTGTCCTCAAAAGAGGAGGAAATTTGGACACACACAAGAGATCCAGGGGCACGTGTGCACAGAGGGATGACTATGTGAAGAGGCAGCAGTAGGATGGCCATGTGCAAGTCAAGAAGAGAAGCCTCAGGAGAAGTTAAAACTCTGAGAAAATAAATATTTGTTGTTTAAGCTACTCAGTCTGTGGTATTCTGTTATGGCAGCCCTAGCAAACTAATACGGATACTAAAATGATGAACAAGTCCACCATTTAATTAATCTTGAAAAATACATGGGAATATAGAAGTGGATATACTGTGGATCACGGAGCAATAAACCCAACTCATAAAATGGAGAAAATCAAACCTCTTGGTGGGAAGGTGTGTTCATAAAAAATTTGAAAAAGCCCCAAAAGTGATTATGAATTTCCTTCTCTTCTCACTTATAAACACTATCTTAGTCCTAATCATATGCAAAAGTGTGCATAAATGAGGGCAAGGTTAGGTCGCTGTTTCTCTTGGCCAGTCAACCAGTTCTATTCATACTTTTTTTTTTTCCAGTCAATGAAAGGGACACTTTATTGAGGCTCCAGGGCCATGGGGCCTGGGCAGGAGGCTGCCCTCCGAGGAAGGAAGAGCCTTATTTGACCTTCTTGGGGTGCAGGTTGTTGGTGTGGCCACACTTCTTCTTGCGGCAATTGACAGCATAGGGGTGCAGGAGAGCATAGCGCTTATGGCAGATCATCTTGTTTCAGCTGTATTTCTAGGTGAGCTGGAAGAGTGAAGGCTCAATAATGCCACCTCGCAGGTGCAGCACCAGGTGCGGGGTGGGCTGTTTCTGGACGTTGTAGTCTGAGAGAGTGCGGCCATCCTCCAGCTGTTTGCTGGCAAATATCAGACGCTGCTTGTCAGGGGGGATACCCTCCTTGTCTTGAATTTTCGCACTGACATTCTCAATGGTGTCACTGGGCTCGACCTCAAGGGTGATGGTCTTGCCCGTGAGGGTCTTCACAAAGATCTGCATCTCTGTGTCTGCAGCTCGGCTGCCTCGCTGAAGAAAAAGAGGATGGCAGATCTGTTCATACTTCTATATCAAGGTCATATACAGACAATTTCACCAACTAGAATATAAAAATATTATTACTAGTGATCTGAGTTATGTGCAACATTGGAATGGATGCCACTCATTCCCTTCTACTGACCTCCAAAATTCTATGCCAATTTACCATTAACTTTCTCTTTCTTTCTTCTCAATTATAAATTCTCCACCTTATTAAAAGACATGGCTCTGACAATTCCAAGTTTCAGCTGCCCACTATGTTCCCATCCACTTCATCTTTTAAATGTGTTTAAAGCATTAACAACAGATTGTGTTTCACCCTAGAGACAGCTGGGTTTCAAGGAGAGGTAAAATGTTTCATAATCTCACTCTATTGTCCAAGACAAATGTGCTATTGTATTACATGTGAAATGTCATCTTTGAAGTCTGGTAAGGGTGTGCTGTGAGGTGAGCCATCTGGAAAACACAGTGTAGACTGAAAAATAATTATAAGCCAGTTTATTACTTTTTTCCAGTTAAGCCTACCATGACAGCTGCTAAAAAAAACACTATGTAGTATAAAGGGTAAAAAGACTCTGAAGTCGCAAAAGTTATACCCACCTCCAACAATGATTAGCTAGTATACAAGTCACTCAAATTCTCTGATCCTTTTGGCTTGTCTGTAAAATTGAAATATGGACACATGCCACAGAGGAGTTTTATGAGTATTAAATGAAACAACAGCTGTAAAGCACTTCGTACAGAGTACACAATAAGTTTGATTTCTCTTCTCGTCTTCTAAATATAGACTATATAATATTCTTTATACAGAGAATATTAGATAAAATCCAATCATATTTGAAAACCAGGTTGAGCAGGTTGGTTTTTCAAAGAAATTCATTGAGCTTCCATAATGTCCTTTCTATTTGACGGGAGAAAAGGGGCTTTGGAAGATCAAGTGTGAAGCTTTAGAATTCTGTCTGGAGCTGGTTAGGACCACCCAGGCCTGAGTATAAGCAAAGCGCTGTCCGTGGTGCTAGTAAGCGCGAATGCCCCCGGCAACGTTTTCCCTACCCAAAGTTGTTTTTCATTCAGTCAACTTGCTTCGCGAAGCTCACACATCTGCCTCGTGCAAGATTCTCAGTCATTTTACTTAGTCATTGGTTCTTTCCCTATCACCATTCTTTATGTCCCCCTCAAAGAAAAACATTATCTTCCATTTCCTTATCAACTCCAAACAGCTTTCATTTTTCTGACATATTTACTACCTAAGAAAATGGCTCAAGAATTGGGTCAGACTATCTTGTCCTAACTTTTCTGATAAGTTTCAGAGAAACTCAAAGGTCAAAACAAGAGCATAAGAGTAAAAGGTAGAGAAATTAAGAAACTGAAGACTAGGAAATGGGGGTTGGATGGGAAAGAAAAAGAAATTGTTATTAATGCTACCCGGTTCCCTTCCCTGTCCAGGTGGATTTCAGCTCTGTTGAGGCTCTGTCAGTAGATTTTCAGCCCTAACCAGCACTTCCATGGTGGTGGCACTTCCACTGCCTTTAAAAGAAAGAGCTTTTTTTAATTCTACAGGGATTTGGGGGATGAGGAGTCAGAGCTAAGGTATCCTAAAAAAAACATGTGAAGACTCTCATTTTGCAATACACAAGCAATTGCCCTCCTGTTAAGACTTTGTCTTCCTCAGCACTCCGAACCAAAATGATTCTGTAAACAAAAATTGTTCACTTTTAGGAGAGGTCCACTTATGCAGTTCCTCACCAAAGTTTTTAGGCAACAAATCCATAACTTGCGGTTCTCTTCCTATCCAATGTAGCATCCGCTGAAATGTTTTAAATATTTTAAGTAATAAATGTTGATTCAAACTCACCTAGGAAGATTAGGAAGGGGAAAAAAAGCACTTGGCATTTAAATCTTCAGAAGAGAATTTAATGACAGGTTCAGCCTGTTTAATGACAAGCCCAGCACCACACCCCTCTCTTATGATGTTTCATTATTACTGCATAAATTTCCTTTATTACTCATGATAAATAAAAATAAGATACCTGACAAAGTGGGTTTAAATAGGTAAGAGTGCAAACAAAGATTTACTGTACAAATATGATGAAACTGGGATCTCAGATTCTTAAAGTATAATTTTTTTTTGTCTTATGTGTGCCAGGTTGCCACTCTCAATCTCGAACTAGTTTTTTTCTCTTTTAAGGGTTGTATCCATAATGCAAAAATGGAAAGAATTAAAAAGCACACGCAAAACATGATTCTCGGGATTTTTCTCTATTTTTATGGTTGACTAATTCAAACAGAAAGACACATCCAAGAGAAAATTGCTAAGTTTGATACAAGTTATGAAACTTGTGAAGCCCAAGTACTGCCTGGGGATGAATTTAACTTGTATGACAGGTGCAGAGCTGTCGCTTTCAGACATCTTAAGAAACACGGAGTTATTTTGAATGACTTTCTCTCGGTCACAAGGGAGCCACCAACGTCTCCACAGTGAAACCAACTGGCTGGCTGAAGGAACAGAAATCCTCTGCTCCGCCTACTGGGGATTAGGAGCTGAGGGCAGTGGTGAACATTCCCAAAATATTAGCCTTGGCTTTACTGGACATCCAGCGAGCAGTGCAGCCAGCATTCCTGGCGGCTCCCTGGCCCAGTCTCTGGCGCATGCGTCCTAGCATCTTTGGGCAGGCTTCCCCGCCCTCGTGACGCGTCGGCCCGGGCCTGGCCTCCCGGCGATCACAGCGGACAGGGGGCGGAGCCTAAGGGGGTGGGGAGACGCCGGCCCCTTGGCCCAGCTGAAAACGGAATTCTTTGCCGGCTGGCTCCCCACTCTGCCAGAGCGAGGCGGGGCAGTGAGGACTCCGCGACGCGTCCGCACCCTGCGGCCAGAGCGGCTTTGAGCTCGGCTGCGTCCGCGCTAGGCGCTTTTTCCCAGAAGCAATCCAGGCGCGCCCGCTGGTTCTTGAGCGCCAGGAAAAGCCCGGAGCTAACGACCGGCCGCTCGGCCACTGCACGGGGCCCCAAGCCGCAGAAGGACGACGGGAGGGTAATGAAGCTGAGCCCAGGTCTCCTAGGAAGGAGAGAGTGCGCCGGAGCAGCGTGGGAAAGAAGGGAAGAGTGTCGTTAAGTTTACGGCCAACGGTGGATTATCCGGGCCGCTGCGCGTCTGGGGGCTGCGGAATGCGCGAGGAGAACAAGGGCATGCCCAGTGGGGGCGGCAGCGATGAGGGTCTGGCCAGCGCCGCGGCGCGGGGACTAGTGGAGAAGGTGCGACAGCTCCTGGAAGCCGGCGCGGATCCCAACGGAGTCAACCGTTTCGGGAGGCGCGCGATCCAGGTAGCTGGGGCCCCAGGGCCTCGCCGGCAGGGGGCGCGCGAACGCGGGGCGCGGCCTCGGCGGATCGGGGCTGGAACCTAGATCGCCGATGTAGATTTGTACAGGAGTCTCCGTTGGCCGGAGGTGTGCATTCCACGCGTAAAACAGGCTTTTACCCAGCAAAAATCCTAAAGAGAGACATTGAAAAACCCACTGTTTAAGCTTTTTTTAGTGGTTTTTGTTCTGCCATCTCATGATCAGAGATGCAAGGAATAGACTGAATTGGGGAGAAAAGGAGAAAAGGAAAGCTTATTTAGGGAAGAAGATTATCTTGTCTGTCTGCTTTCAACGATAAAGATAAGTAAAGTATAAGTTACGCATTCTAGATTGGATTTAAGGAATTCTACAAAATCATAGTACATGGAAAAAATCAATGTAAACTTCTAAGCTACTATATGAAATCTGTTGTATTGTTTTCTCATAGAGGTTAATTGAGAATGAGACGGGATTCCTCAACCACAGTACTTAGTTCCTTTTATGTTAGCAGTGTCTTATGAGTGATGCATAAGAGAAAAAATATATAGTTCTATAGGTTTCTCATTCTTTAATTATCATACTCAGTGCCCAGATTACAAAAATATTCCTGCAGCAACTGTTAGGTCCTTTTTGAATGGCAAAGGATCTTCATAAATAATGCATCTTTATCTTCATTGTTAAAATACACTTATTCAATGTTTAAGTACGAATCCTGCTTTAATTAGTACTGATATTTTTTATTTCTTTTACAATCTCGGACAACTCTTTTGTACTTTACCGTTGGCTAGTGGTCATATTCAGTACTCACCTCACTATCACCCTCTAAAACTAAGCTAATATTAAGGGATCTTGTTAATAGTATAGATTTTAAAGAAGTGTTCATTTCTTTTGAATTCTTAGAATAATGGTATAACAAATGAGGGATTTTTAAAGGAGCAAAAATATTGTAAAGTGCATCTTAAAAACTTAAAATTTTATTAATAATTATAAAAACAAGTTATATATGTAATTCACCATTTTCTGAAATACTAACAGCAGCTATTTTCCCCTTTTTTTCTATGTAAAATATCCTTACATCACTAGTAGATATAACTTATCACGGTTTTTAAGAGATGAAATGAACATTTCTAATATTAATGAAACAAGCCAACAAAACATGAGAAGTATACTGCCTTTCAATTAAATGGTATATTTTAAAGTGCATAAACCCATAACAAATAACTCGATTTTAGACATTTAGTTACCAAAAATTGTCTTATAATTGACTTTAAATATGACAGCAAATGTTTTCATAATGTTCATGTACACAAATGGCTGCTACAGGATTACTCCTGCAAAACATCATTTTTTCTAAGTTATGCATCATCCTGATTGACTGCTAACATCCAAGCTCTATTTATTTATTTATTTATTTTATTTTTTTTGAGATGAGGCCTCACTCTGTCGGACAGGCTGGAGTGCAGTGGCACAATCTCAGCTCACTGCAACCTCTTCCAGGATGCAAGCGATTCTCCTGCCTCAGCCTCCTGAGTTGCTGGGACTACAGGCACGCCCCACCATGCCCAGCTAATTTTTTATTTTTTGTAGTAGAGACGGGATTTCACCATGTTGGCCAGGCTGGTCTCGAACTCCTGACCTCAGGTGATCTGCCTGCTATGGCCTCCCAAAGTGCTGGGATTACAGGCATAAGCCACTGGGCCTGGCCCAAGCTCTTTTTATATAGCAAAATATTTACTGTTTAACATTTTTAAATCTTAGCTATTATAAAATCCTGTAGTATACAAATATAGTTAGTTTTATATTACATTAAAAATATTATAGTCTAAATTTAAAATGATGAACTGTTAAGGAAAAATCATTTATTATAATTTTATAAGATTTTGCATGATTTAATTTACTTTTCCCTTCTAATCTCCAACTTTGGCTCAAATTATCACACTACAAGCCAGTTATGAGCTCAGACACATGACAAACAAAAGCCTTCCGCACGGGATTTGCTATGAGAACTAAATAAATTAAAAAAAAAAGAAAGAAAAAAACTTAGTTGTTTATTTTCTCCCCTAAACCATTACTCCCAACTTCTAACAAACAGTAGTTGACTACCTAATAAATATTTGTAGACCTGGATTATGGAGGAGGGGTCAGCAAGGCAAATAATTTAAAACTTTAAAAGCCGAATAAATTTAACTCTGCCCCTAAATCATTTAACAAAATAGATTCCCATGTTCCAATGGAAATCAAGATTTGTTTTTCCATAATGATGATCATCACTTTACCATCAACTTTCTTGTCTCTGCACGTTTAGAGAATAAAATGGCATTTAATTTGTACTGAGTATAACCTGAAGGTGGGGTGGGAAAGTGGATTGCATCAGCAAATGAAGAAACACCAGACATCAGAGACCTGAACACCTCTGCACTGGGTGAAAACTTTGCAATTAGGTGTTTCTTTAAATGGCTCCACCTGCCTTGCCCCGGCCGGCATCTCCCATACCTGCCCCCACCCTGGCTCTGACCACTCTGCTCTCTCTGGCAGGTCATGATGATGGGCAGCGCCCGCGTGGCGGAGCTGCTGCTGCTCCACGGCGCGGAGCCCAACTGCGCAGACCCTGCCACTCTCACCCGACCGGTGCATGATGCTGCCCGGGAGGGCTTCCTGGACACGCTGGTGGTGCTGCACCGGGCCGGGGCGCGGCTGGACGTGCGCGATGCCTGGGGTCGTCTGCCCGTGGACTTGGCCGAGGAGCGGGGCCACCGCGACGTTGCAGGGTACCTGCGCACAGCCACGGGGGACTGACGCCAGGTTCCCCAGCCGCCCACAACGACTTTATTTTCTTACCCAATTTCCCACCCCCACCCACCTAATTCGATGAAGGCTGCCAACGGGGAGCGGCGGAAAGCCTGTAAGCCTGCAAGCCTGTCTGAGACTCACAGGAAGGAGGAGCCGACCGGGAATAACCTTCCATACATTTTTTTCTTTGTCTTATCTGGCCCTCGACACTCACCATGAAGCGAAACACAGAGAAGCGGATTTCCAGGGATATTTAGGAGTGTGTGACATTCCAGGGGTCGTTTGCTTTTCAGGGTTTTCTGAGGGAAAGTGCATATGAAATCCTTGACTGGACCTGGTGGCTACGAATCTTCCGATGGATGAATCTCCCACTCCAGCGCTGAGTGGGAGAAGGCAGTGATTAGCACTTGGGTGACGGCAGTCGATGCGTTCACTCCAATGTCTGCTGAGGAGTTATGGTGAACCCACAACTTAGGCCCTAGCGGCAGAAAGGAAAACCTGAAGACTGAGGACAAAGTGGAGGAGGGCCGAGGTGGGCTTCAGTAAGTCCCCGGCGGCGCTTTAGTTTGAGCGCATGGCAAGTCACATGCGTAAACGACACTCTCTGGAAGCCCTGGAGACCCTCGCCCAACTCCACCAGATAGCAGAGGGGTAAGAGAGGATGTGCAAGCGACGACAGATGCTAAAATCCCTGGATCACGACGCTGCAGAGCACCTTTGCACAGGATGCTGGCCTTTGCTCTTACTACACTGAGGAGAGATTCCCGCGGGTTCCGCAGGCAGACTACACAGGATGAGGTGGTGGAGTGGAGTGAGAGCAATTGTAACGGTTAACTGTAACGTTTTCTTTCACACACACACACACACACACACACACACATGCTAGGATGCGGAAATCCCCTTATGACTTGCTACTTTTTGATTTTGTGATATTTTGTACTTTTTAGTTGTTCAGCAACTGTCTTATTTAATGGGGAGATTTTAAGTAACATAACTAGTGGCTCTCAGTTAAAATGTGAGGAAGAACTACAGCTCTTAAATGTAGCAATGGCACTGTTGCAAACTCAGTGCAAACGCCTAGATTGCTTTCTTCTTAACCTATTTATTTCTTTGTTAAATTTTTCTGATTGTTTCCTTTATAGAGTGTCTCAGGGTGCAGAGGTCAGACTAAGAAATATTCCAAATGTCTTTTAGAAGATAGATGCACTTATGCAGTAAATTATCTTGGGATAGTTCCCAAAAGATTGCTGAAAAAGTAGATTGAGTATAAAAACTTGAAAATATATGATGGCTCGTGGGATGTCCTACTATCACTGAACAAACTAAAGGTGCACTGCTTTGGGATTTAATTTCCAGGGTTGCTTGATCATTATATCATTGGAACAACTGATACTTCACTACTTTAATAAAGAATTAACAGAGATTGAACTCCAAGAGGTGGGTAATTTGGTTTAAAAATACATGTTCATGGGTTTACCACTAACTCCTGAGAAATGTTAAAGGTTCACAGGGGTTCCCTTCTCTCAATGTTTGTAATAATTGCTCATAAGCAATACCAGCAATTCATAAAAACTGCTTACTTATGCCATAGAAAATTAAACACAAAGTGTATACATGTATTATGCTTCTAAATGCTCATTCTACCAGATACACATTTAAAAGAGAAAAAAGGAACAGAAACAAGTCATTTGAGAGTGGAGACTTATAAGAAGGAGTACATTTGAGTTGAATACACAAATCTTTACTTCTCTACCAATTCCTATTCCCAAAATGAACATATTACTGGGGAAAGTTAGTTGAGAATCAGAGCATATGTTATTGGGGAAAGGATATGTTTATTGACACATAATCTGTACCAGGTATGCATTAAAATATATTTGTTAATTTAATATTTAAACCTGAGAGATAGGTATTGTTTCCCAGATGAGGACAATGAGGCAAAGAAATATCAAGTAACTTGCCAAAGGTTACAAGATATTCATTCCATGGATGCACAAAGAAGTGCATCTAGTTCCACAGCTGATTATGGTTGTCTTGCTTTTCTTCCCATTGCACCAGCTTGTCCTCCAAAATCATGAATGATACACATGAAGATAACTTTTTTTAAAAAAAAGCAGAAATACACAATGATCTCCCTTGTAAGCTCCTAAGGTGGCTTTTCTTTCTCTAACTTCTAGTAAATATAAACGGTTTGTTTGAAAACTATTTTAAAATGTCAACAATATGGAGAATAACCCCCCCCAACACACCTATAAAAACCCAAATTTTTGGAACAAAGATAATGGAACCTCCATTTTCAAACTGAAGCACAGGGACAGAAAATATATTTCTAGTTATCACTTAAGCACTCAATCATTAGAGGCTACAAGAATAATATTTTTAAAGTTACAGTATTTTACAATTATTAGAAAACATTCTATATAAAAGAAGTCAGTTGATACTTTAAAATCTCCCATTTGGTTTATAAAATCCCTTAATTTGACCTCTATATCTTAAATTCCAAGATGTTTAAATTTGCTAGTTGCATTATACTGGGTCATGAAAAATTATCCCTTGAAATAGATATGAAACATGTTACTTCATTTCTGGTTTAAATAACTTGTGGAATCTTTCCTAATGACAACCTGATATTAAGGGAAACTAAAGAAAATGTTATTGTGGATCCCACAGTACTATATTACACTGTTTTTTTTGTTTGTTTTGTTAGTTTTTTTTATTTAAAGCAAACCTCAAACATTATTGGGTATCAATTACCACCTGGTTGTATTGAAATAGTAACTTATCAATGCCATGTAAAAATTAATTCCATTTTCGAAGCCACCTGGCAGACAGGTTTAGCTGTTTCATCAGCAGCCTAATATATACTGTTAAATTTGTTAAGGATTTCACTTTGAAGGATACATGCAAAACATATAGTTACTATTTTCATGAGTCCTGCTTCTAGCTCCATTGTGGAATACAGAAAATTAAATATACCTGTTAAGTTCGTATCTAAACCTAAGACATTACCAAGGTTTGTACAAATTCTACTACCTGACATTTATTCCAAGAAGATCTGGAAAGTTAAATAAATTTATAAATTTAATAACATTCATTTGGCTTCATTTTTATCTTTTATTTTTCACCTAAGTGGATGAATTTTTTAAAGGGTGTTTTGCTGTTAAAGCAAAATCTATGTAAAATTTCCTATGCCTTAAATGGTTAAAATTAGTAATTTCATAACTAAGGAATGAAACAGTTTCAAGAGGAGAGCTCGAGACTGATAAAACCCCAAACGCCTCTGGGAAAATGTATACTTAGGAATACTTTCATGATATTTTATTTCCCTAATATGGCAAGCACAATATTGTGACCAGCACCAAATAATTTATCATATGAAGCTAGGTAACTGATCTTCAGCAAATATATACAAAAACTAATTTCATTTACACTTACACTGAGATTGCCCTCCCTTTTTTGAAAATATTAACACACTGTGTGCATTGATATGTAATAGTCAGTAGGGTTTTTTTTTCTTTTTGCTGATTCTATAATTACCCCTCAATTATTTTAAACAGTAAAACATATACTCATTTTATGCTTTACCAGAGATGGATTTTTTAAATCATAGAGCATAATTTTTACAATGTTCAATACATTGCCACTCTATCAAAAGTGGAGCAAGTAGAACTAATGATATGCAAAACTTAGAGACATTATCTGAAGAAGCACTCATGTGAACTACCTACTGGGGCAAATGTGAAAGCCAGTATCTTCTAAAGTACAGTGAGGTCTGCCCTCATGTTTTATGTCAGCAACTAATCATAACCAAATTCTGACACGTTTACTAGATTTTCAGTATTAACAGAAACTGTCTAGTTATTTGATGAAAACTTGGAGAATAATGCTTAGGTTGGTGTAGTTCACAGTGTTCAATTACTAAGCTACAAAGAGATACCTAGATACACAATCACACATATATGAAAATAAGACAATTTTAATTTTAGAAATTACTTAAAGGGGCAACAACAGTTGAGCCTCAATACTTTCAATATTTTCCTATTCTACTTATAACGACAGGAAAGAAAGAGGGAATGAAGAAAAGTGAAACAAGGACTTGACTGGAAGATAGAAGACCTAGATTCCCACATTGGTTCCTTAACTAATTCAATATATGAGTGCTAACTCATGTAACATCTCTACTACTATCCTTCATACCTGAAAAGTTTCTATAAAACGTTTCTCAATTTCAGCTATCCAAATGAAATTACTCCTTTCTTGCCTCTTAAATTCCCTACTCAGAAGATTTTAATGTCATTCCTTGCGTAAGGAAAAAGAATACTTCATTTTACAGAAACACAGTAACTTTCACATATAGGCCCTATTAATTACATAATAAAAGAAAATATGAACTAATACTAGTGCCACTAATTAATAATATGTAATTGGCATGGATTGTATATTAAGCACAGTAATGAAAATTAATGTATGGGTCAAAAAGCACCAAGCCTGACTTACTAATTTGTGGTGTGAACTAAATGTAAAACAAAAGAGTTTGCTGGAAAAAGAACTAAGAACAATGTATTAAGATGACACACTGACTACCTCACAGCTATTCACATTACACTAGAAGTTTACAAAGGACCCCAAACACCTATTAATCCACTTCACACTCAGAAGCCCCTGGCATTAGACTTCCAGTAGATATATGGAGTCAGCTCTGGCACAGAAAATATTTTACAACAGAGTTCCACTCAAAACTTTAAGACCAATTACAGTAAGTAAACCATGTCTTATTTCTCATATTTGGCCTCCTCCCCAAATGCATAATCTATCTATCCTCTCATTATCAATGTTCTCTATTATGATGTTGTTGGGGCTACTTCCTCTGAACCCTGTCTTATGTGACCTCTGGGTCTCCATTCCATTTTAAACGAATTCCCATCTGCCGTCTATCTATGCACAAATTCTTCCATCCCCTTGGCTAAAACCTTTTAGTCTTGGCTAAAAACTGGGTCTCCCTGATAATTCCATTCCACTTCTTTCTGCGCCAGATACTAGGTACTGAGCTATGGATAACAGAGTAGGAGTCAGGACCAAGAATGAGTGTCTGGTATTTAGGTAGCTCTCAATGTAATCCCAAACCAAATATGTAAGGATAATCCATTGTTCTTCGGGTTTCTCTCTTCTCTTAGTATAAATAAGATACTTGCATTTTTTCTTTAATTAAGCTGCAAGTACTGTTATTGTTTGTTATTATATATTTTAGAATATATTTATAAGCAATAATACACAAACATAAAAGAAGAAACAGTTTATTCTGTTCAAAAACCCACAGACAAGTCAGCAGATTATTGTCAACACAGAGTTTTCTTCTAGAGGGTGACTGTTGTAAAGATGTATATGGCATGGCTCCTCATTCCATCTGAGTTCTGAGTTTCTAAGCTCTATCACCTTTCCTAGGGCACAGAGGCACCCTCTCACCATTCTCAGAATCTCCTGCCAAAGTGCCACCTATAATATTTTCTGAAAAACATTTGATCATCCTCTATTATTTGCTAATCTCTGGACTGCCTTTGATAGTTAGACTTATCACAGTAAGACTATTCCAAAATTAGTAGTTTTTAATATGTTTAAATACCACCATAAACAGAAAGATTTAAGGTCGTCCCCTTTCTAGGGAAGCATACCACTTTATTATACATTTGCTCCCAAGTATGTCTTATGTCTATAAGAATGGTGTTTGCCTCAGTAGTCATTTGAGGACAACAAGTTTAAAACCCCTTCCATTTCAGAAAATTGTTTCTCAATCCTGGCTCCATGTCAGAATCACCCGTGAGGATGTTTTAACATTTAGACTTGTTGATCAGCTCCAGGTCTACAAAATTAGAATCTCTAGGTTTGAGCCCCAATATTCCTGTGGTTGTTATTTAATAATTCTTGCTCATGGTAAACTTTCAAACAGTCCAGAAAGCAAAAAGTAGTAAGCAAAAATCTGAAATTTTTCCCACCCTCATTCTTACTACCCAAAGGTAACCACTATTACAAATATTTAATTATCCTTCCAGAAATATAAGTACATATAATTGCAAACATCTCTCCCCCAGCATGCATATTTGGAAAACATGAATGGGATCATACTATTCTGTCACTTGCTTTCTTTAATTAGCAATAGATCTTTGACAACTTCCATTGTCAGTGCATATAGATGTGCTTCATTATTGTTTATGGATGCACAGTTTTATTATTTTATGAATGAGCCCTAACAACAACAACAACAAAAAAAGTCTCCTCACAAGCATGTCAATCATTTTTCTCTTTCTTGCACTTTGTTTGCTAATACACACTGCTATAAAGAAACATTTCTGCATACTTATACAAGTTATCTGTAGCAATTTATATAGGAGTGAATTGCTTTAGCTGAAGTTACATATCTAAATGTGTCTGTAGGTGTAAAATCTATCCATATATACATATGTATCCATACATAAAATACATATATACATATGTATGTATATATATGTGTACATGTGTATACATCTTCCCATACTTACAGATATGTGTGTACATATGTGTATATAAAGATATGTATTATATATGTTACATACATGAGTTATAGGAATAGAATTGCTGAGTCAAAGGGTGTATATAAGTATATAGATATATACACAAACATATAACATACATATGAACTATATATACTATATAGTATATATGTGTATATATATTTCCATACATTATTTGTGTGTGTCTTTACATACTTAAAATAGTGGAATAGCTGAGTCAAAGGGTACCTATATTCTCATACAGTTTTGACTAGATATTGTAATGCTGCCTTTCAAAACAATTACACCAAGTTGTAATAGTAAGAGTGATTGTTTCCTGACAACTTTGTCAAAGTAGTCTTTTTTCTTTTTGCCACACTTGTGGTTATATGCCATTGTTTCTGTTTACATTTATTAATGAGTAAGATTATCTTTTTATTTTTTACTATTTGCACATATTCTACTATAAACTATTATATCCTTTGCCTTTTTTATTGGATTGTTGTTTTACTGGATTATGTATTTATTTATATAGTCTAGTAATTAATCTTTTGACATATATGATCAAATAATTGTTTTTTATTCTTGCTTATGTTATCTTTTTTCTTATGACTTTGGGGTTTTGAGTTTGAGCATGTGCAATGTTAGGAAAGTTTCTCATGAAATTTGGATAATCAAGAGTTACCTAAGGGATAAAGCTAGTGTCATAGGACATTAAGTTTGGGGAGGAGGAGAACAAGACAAGGGATATTCAGTAAGATTTTTCTCCCCTATCCCTGCCTATGGAATGAATTTGCTGATCTAAAACAGAAAATTATTTACCCCTGTTAAAAAAAACTCAATTAACTCAGGTTTTTAGGCCAGTGGAAGAGAACCCCAAAAACTTCCAATATTCAGTGATTCTGTCTGCATAAGTGACCCACAGATAACTCACTCCCTATTGACCCTGGCCTTTGGGACAACAGAAAAGGCACAAGGCTTGTAACCCAAAGGCCTGCCTGATGATTCCAGCCCTGGCTCTTGCTGGCCATGAAGTGTTCAAGATTTGAGCCTTTCTAGGCCTCATTCTTTCCACCTGTAAAACAGGAGTAATAATCCCAATTTTGAAAGGCCACTGTGAGGATAAAATAAGTAATATAAGTGAAATTACATGCTCAGTTCTTCATTATTAATTTTTTGAAGAGCACATAGCCAATAGTCACTCCGCATTCCAAAAGTATTTGGAATACCACATACCCATTGTTATGCTAGAAAGAGTCATCTTCACCATTGTATTTTGCTGAGACTAATATTAAACTTAGAATTCCCCTGCATACTGCAACTGAAAGAGAACAGGTATTGGGCAGCGGCAGTGGGGGAAACCAAGATGGAATTTAGATGTTCAAACTTTAATATTTACATTTTTTGAACAGAGAGCTTACTATATAATTATCCTTTTATTCAGATGGCATTCCTCTGAAATAAGCAATTACCCTTATCCCTAGGTCTAGTTCCTGTGGAGAGAAAATGATTATACTTTGAGCTATATGGCTCCAATAAACAAAGATAGATCCCTCAATTTAAATTTGATCCTCAGAAAACTGAGGGTCAGAGAACCCCTCAGGCATGACGGGATAATGTGACAGTTAATTTGGTATGTCAACTTGGCTAGGCTGTGGTACCCAGTGTTTGAGTCAAACACCAGTCTAAATATTGCTGTGGAGGTATTTTTTAGATATGATTAACATTTAAGTCAGTAGACTTGAAAAAGCAGATTATCCTCAATAATATGGGTGGTCCTCATCCAAGCAGTTGAAGAGCTTAAGAGAAATGACTGAGGTCCCTCAAGGAAGAAGAAATTCTGCTTCCAGATTGCCTTTGGATTCAAGTCTTGCAACAACAACTCTTCCCTGGGTCTCCAATTTGTCAACCCCCACCATTTTCTGAGACAATTCCTTAAAATAAGTATTTTCTCTCTTTCTCTTTCTCTCTCTCTCTCTCTCTCTCTCCCTCCCTCTCTTTCTCTCCCCCACATATGTGTGTGTAGACATATAATGTACGTATATATAAAATTGTATACACACACAGAGTCATGTGCTGGATAACGATGCTTCAGTCAACCACAGTCACATATTGGTGGTGTCCCATAAGATTATAATGGATGTGAAAAATTCCTATCCCCTAGTGATGTCATAGCTGTCCTAAAGTTGTAGCACAACATACTACCTTTTCTATGTTTAGATGTGTTTAGATATAAAACTACATTTTGTTACAATTATCTACAGTATTCAGTATAGTAACATGTTGTAAAGGTTTGCAGCCTAGGAGCAATAGCCCATACCATACAGCCTAGATGTATAATAGACTATACCACCTAGGTTTGTATATGATGTTTGCACAACAATGAAATCGCCTAAAGATACATGTCTGAGAATGTATCCCTGTTGTTAAGCAACCCCATGACGGTGTGTATATACATATACATATGTGTGGTACTGGCACGCACACACACACAATGGGTTCTGTTTCCCTGGAGAACTGACTGATATAGATAGCGACTTCAAAAGATGTTTAATACGTGCCTTTTCTCCTTTCCCCACCATGCTTTATTGCAACAACTAGTTACATTGTCTAGGCCCAAGAAACCCTCACCGCTCCCACTCCATTCCTCCAGTATCTTTAAATGACACTATGCTGGCATCCGACATCGTTTTTCTTCCAGGATGAACTAACCCTTTCTAAAGCGCCCTTCCTCTGTGGGACAGAAAACCTAATGCCCCCCTACAGAGGCGGAGGCCGGCTGAAGGTGGTGGTAGGAGGGGAATGCTGGGGGCGTGGCATAGGTGCAGAGGAAGACCCATAAAAGGATCTGGTTCCCATAGAGCTGACATTCTACACAACAAACAAGTAAACAAGTACATAAGTAAAATAATCTCTTCGTCCTAAGTGCTATAAAGAAAAAAATCACGGTGGTATGAGGGTGCCTGAAAAGGGAAGCATTTCTGAGGAAGGGCTACTTACTTCAGAAGAGACCTGAAGGAAAAAGAGCTATATTTGCGAAGAGGGAGAAAGAGCAGCCATACTAGACAGAAAGGTGGCATGTGGCCCCAGCACAAAGCACGGTGTTGGGTAAATTCTGAGTGAAATCTACCTACCGGGGAGGTGCATTTGTAAATATCTAGATAGATATTTAGAGTGGCTACGTAAGAGTGATCGCTAAATCTCACTTTTTCCAAAGGGCCCCGTTTTGTCTTGGGTTTGTACCGAGGTCCGGCAGCAACGTCAAGTGATGGGGCGGGGGATGGGGAAAGAGAAGTCTGCCGCTCCTCTAGGCTACCGCACCGCCTTAAGTGGGTGGCTCGGCCAGTGCAGGCCTCACTTTCCTCCCCTGTAAGGTCTGGGGGGCTTGACGTCTGATCTGTAAGGCCCTGTCGGCTCACGCTGTGGTTCCACTTCTTCAACTAGGCCACTAGGCCCAAGCGCATGAACAGGAAGCCACTGAGAAGCGGGCCACATTTCCAGGTTCCCGGAGCTGGGCCTAGTCCCGAATCCTCTGGCACACACCCACCCACTCAGGCCGCGGGTCCAGCCCGCGAGGTTTAGGACGGATCCAGGCAGACCGCAGGCTCCGGGTCGGGGCACCGGGTCAGCGCGCCGGCCTGAAGGCGGCGTCCTGGGCTCGACTTCCCGCGCGCGGAGAGCCGGCGAGCCCGCGTCCGAGTTCCTGGACGAGAGCCGAGCCTCGCTTAGACCGCGCTCAGGACCCGGCTCCTCCGCATTCTCCGGCTGCCCCTGTGTCCTCGACTCACCCCTCCTTTCTGCCGCTCCTTCCTTTCCTTGCCCTGCTTTTACTGTTCCCAAACAGGACCGCTTTTCCTGTCTCCCAGCTGGAAAGGAGGAAGGGAGAGAGTCCAGAAAGGATCGGTGATGTGGAAGAAAAGGGGAGGAGGGGACATGGAGGGGGAGACCGGAGAGAGAACGTACGCCGAGGAGTCAGGCGGCGGGATCAAGGGGAGTCGGGGTGTCTGGGCGCGGGGCAGAGCGTGGAGGCGGCAGCGGCCAACGGTCGCCAAGACAACCATTCTACGCGAGGACGCGGCGACAGGAGGGGAGCGGCCAGCAGGGGAGGGGAGCGCGGGGGAAGAGGAAAGAGGAAGAAGCGCTCAGATGCTCCGCGGCTGTCGTGAAGGTTAAAACCGAAAATAAAAATGGGCTAGACACAAAGGACTCGGTGCTTGTCCCAGCCAGGCGCCCTCGGCGACGCGGGCAGCTGGGAGGGGAATGGGCGCCCGGACCCAGCTGGGACCCCCGGGTGCGACTCCACCTACCTAGTCCGGCGCCAGGCCGGGTCGACAGCTCCGGCAGCGCCAGCGCCGCGCCGTGTCCAGATGTCGCGTCAGAGGCGTGCAGCGGTTTAGTTTAATTTCGCTTGTTTTCCAAATCTAGAAGAGGAGCGGAGCGGCTTTTAGTTCAAAACTGACATTCAGCCTCCTGATTGGCGGATAGAGCAATGAGATGACCTCGCTTTCCTTTCTTCCTTTTTCATTTTTAAATAATCTAGTTTGAAGAATGGAAGACTTTCGACGAGGGGAGCCAGGAATAAAATAAGGGGAATAGGGGAGCGGGGACGCGAGCAGCACCAGAATCCGCGGGAGCGCGGCTGTTCCTGGTAGGGCCGTGTCAGGTGACGGATGTAGCTAGGGGGCGAGCTGCCTGGAGTTGCGTTCCAGGCGTCCGGCCCCTGGGCCGTCACCGCGGGGCGCCCGCGCTGAGGGTGGGAAGATGGTGGTGGGGGTGGGGGCGCACACAGGGCGGGAAAGTGGCGGTAGGCGGGAGGGAGAGGAACGCGGGCCCTGAGCCGCCCGCGCGCGCGCCTCCCTACGGGCGCCTCCGGCAGCCCTTCCCGCGTGCGCAGGGCTCAGAGCCGTTCCGAGATCTTGGAGGTCCGGGTGGGAGTGGGGGTGGGGTGGGGGTGGGGGTGAAGGTGGGGGGCGGGCGCGCTCAGGGAAGGCGGGTGCGCGCCTGCGGGGCGGAGATGGGCAGGGGGCGGTGCGTGGGTCCCAGTCTGCAGTTAAGGGGGCAGGAGTGGCGCTGCTCACCTCTGGTGCCAAAGGGCGGCGCAGCGGCTGCCGAGCTCGGCCCTGGAGGCGGCGAGAACATGGTGCGCAGGTTCTTGGTGACCCTCCGGATTCGGCGCGCGTGCGGCCCGCCGCGAGTGAGGGTTTTCGTGGTTCACATCCCGCGGCTCACGGGGGAGTGGGCAGCGCCAGGGGCGCCCGCCGCTGTGGCCCTCGTGCTGATGCTACTGAGGAGCCAGCGTCTAGGGCAGCAGCCGCTTCCTAGAAGACCAGGTAGGAAAGGCCCTCGAAAAGTCCGGGGCGCATTCGGCACTTGTTTTGTTTGGTGTGATTTCGTAAACAGATAATTCGTCTCTAGCCCAGGCTAGGAGGAGGAGGAGATAACCGCCGGTGGAGGCTTCCCCATTCGGGTTACAACGACTTAGACATGTGGTTCTCGCAGTACCATTGAACCTGGACCTCCCTTCACACAGCCCCTCAATCGTGGGAAACTGAGGCGAACAGAGCTTCTAAACCCACCTCAGAAGTCAGTGAGTCCCGAATATCCTGGGTGGGAATGACTAAGACACACACACACACACACACACACACACACACACACACACACACACAGTAGGAAAGGTGTATTTCAAGCACACTTTCTTTCTCCTTGGGGAGAATTATTGCTAACCATCTAAGTTTTCTGGAGGCGGCCTTTTTTCTCCCCAGCCTCCCGGCGGGGTCACCCTCTCCCACCTTCCAGGAGAGTGGAGGACCCGTGAGATACGGGGCACGCAGGCAGCGACTTCCTGAAATGCTAACAAGGATCGTAGGATCAGTTACTGCTGCGAGGAGCAAGCACTTGCTTCTTGGGGGAGTTTTGCAGCCAACAGGGAAATGGGCTTTCTTTGTGAGTTAGAGGTAGAGGTCCGGCGGCCTGAGTGATTGAAACTGCTCGGGACAATGCTCGTATGTTTAGCAAACGACAGAACTGTAGAACTGTTCCTGAGAAATCCCAACTGATAGTATTTTAGTCATCTCAGACGACAGTTAGCACAGTTTAAAAATGAGGCCTACTTCTTGAAAAACAGAATCCAAGGTAGTTTTGTCCTCACATTGACAAATGTTGACACAGCCAGTGTAATTTCCTATAACCAGGAAAACTGAAAGAATATATGTACAGTTAAAATATGTACAATGCTAATTAAAACTTGTGTAATAAGTCTAAAAGTAATTTAATGAGGCTTCACTTTTATGACCGTCCTTGTGGTATGCTTCGCCAGGAATATATAGCTTCAAAAAGCAAAGGCCAGCGGAGGGGTAATTATTTTTTTACTGCAATGTTAATTGTCTCTTTGACATGGAAATATAAACCTGTTAAAACTATCAGTGTTTAATTTAGTGTCTCAATTTCTATTAGCAAAAATTTATAATCTATAGGATAAATGCACATTTTATTTTTTACTTTTCATATTATGCAAGTTAATTTTTTTAATTTAGTCAAAGGAGCTTATAAAGGATTTCAGGGCCTGTTGCTGGATTTGATTTTAATTCATTTTGAAACATTGACAAGACCCTGGTTGTTGTTTTTTTTAACAGTGGTTTATCCGTATCAGCAAAAGTTTAGCCACTGTGACCGGTAACTGTATGAATATAGTTCTTAATATTATTGTCTATATAAAAATATTTATTACTCTAGTTAATATTATTCTATATAAAATCATTTTGTTTAAATTATTAAGTTGCCTCTGAAAATCTGTAGTAACAAAGTAGAACATGTCAATGTATATAAATGCCATAATTATGTATTTTTTAGTTTAGGCCTATAAAACATAACATTGTGGTGATTTTAAGTTAGAGAAAATATTTTATAGTATGTTAATGTATATGCATGAAATGCAAAAATATTTAAATGATAGGTTCATTGAAATAGATCATTTTTTGTTATTTAGGTATAAATCAATTTTCAGGACGTATGTGAAAAGCGCAATCTTCAGGAAGTTTCTCAAGATAGAACACAGCTTGGATAGAATGTCTTGAAATATATGCAATTTTCCAATTTCATATGTAAAATGATATACATAATATAAAATCTAGCGGTGTTAATTATAATGATATGTAATTATATATTTCACATTAATATATTTTATGCCCATGGCTATATTGATTTGGGAATATATATGGATACTAATTATGTTAGGATTCATACAATTCCTTGAGAGGCACAAGTGCTAAAAATTACTTGTATGAATTATTTAATATCATTGCAAATAAGATGTTATTTTAACTTTTTTTAAGTTTCTGCAAATATGTTTATTATGACTTTTTATTTTTATATGATTGGAAATACATATACTAAAATTCCACGTTACCAGTTTCTTAACCACAGAAACCTGAAAAATTGCCATAGTTGATTTGTTACTTCTACCTTGGTGCATTTACAAAATAGTCATATTTTTATTATGAAGTTAAATATTCATTTGTTTATAGCTACTTCAGAAGGCTCAGGTTATTTTTTTCTTTAATAGCACAGAGTCCTCTCAAGGTAAGCACTGTGCAGTTAGTATAAACCATTATTCCCCATGTGTACATGATTCACAGTTTGTATTGTGTTCCAAGTGAACCATAGCCCTTTCAGAAATCAAGACTTATATTCATTTTACTTCTTTGAGTACTCTTGAATTTTAGAAAGTCCATTATGATCCTAAGGTAGCAACAACATAGCCTATTACCGTCTATGATGGTTTACAGATCTATTATTCCACGTTAGTTCATCACTATCAACTACCATGATAGAGTTAAGCTAAACCATTTTCCCAACATATGAAAAACTCCTATTACTAAAGTGATACAAATGGTATCAAAAATACTTTTTTATAGCAAGGTTCAACAGTGGGCCCAGTGCTTTTACACTTTTTCAAAAGTCCTTGGAGAAACAGAGAAAATCTCACTTGCCTTCTGTACTAAAACATTCTAGGCCGAACTAAAACTGAAACTTCATAGTAGAACACTGTAGGCCAGGGGTGTTCAATCTTTTACCTTCCCTGGGCCACATAGGAAGAAGAAGAATTGTCTTGGGACACACATTAAATACACTAACACTAACAATAGCTGATGAGCTTAAAAAAAAAAAAAAACTCATGATACTTTAAGAAAGTGTATGAATTTGTGTTGGGCAGCATTCAAAACCATCCTGGGCTGCATGTGACCCTCGGGCCCACAGGTTGGACAAGCTTGCCCTAGCTCCTCCATCTGCTGCAAAGCCCAGCCTGATACAAAAACCAACGTGATAAAAAGTTTTTGTGGTGCTTTATTTTGGCAGTTTAAGTTATATAAACAATGGGTACAGTTTCATTTTCTAAATATAAAATTTTTACATTGAATATGAATTTTTAAGACAAATTATCTGAATTCTGATTCTCATATACCTAACTACTAATATCTTCTCTATTTGTTGCCCAATGAGATTAATCCACCTCTTAAACACTTCACCATCAAGAAAAACAATTTTGTATTTTAAAATGAACCCATCCACTTTCATTCAGCTATTTTATATTCAGGCATCATCCTAAGGAAAGAAAGGTTCTGACAAAGATTAATACAGATGGATAAGTAGTAGCAAGAAATCAAAAACTGCATAAAATTCTAGCAATAAAGTGTTAAATTATGGTACAGTTACATTCTGGATCATCAGGTATCTGAAGAATATTTCATAGACTGTTAAATGATTGCATTATAAAGTCAGGTTTTTTTAAAGCAAGATTCCAAACAGTAAACAGTTTCTCTCTCTCTCTCTCTCTCTCTCTCTCTCTCTCTCTCTCACCAAATTAGTTATAATGGTTTCCGCAGGATGAGAGGGGTTGGGAAAAAGTTTGGTGATATTTATTTTCTTCGTTTCACTTTTGAGTTTTCCAAAGTGCTATGACCATCATCAGTAAAATATACATTTCCAAAGCCTTTGACACACGGTAACAGTCCTACACAGTGGATGAACTAAGAGCTTCTCTACCCTTAGATGGGTAGGGAGGGAGGAAAGACAAGGAAACTGAGTTGTTTAAGTGTCATACACGAGAACGTGGCTTTAAGGTCTGGGAAAACCTGCGAGGGCTGTGACGTCAGACTGTGAAATGCACGCTATGTCCATTCACCAAGACGTTCCATTTTAAAACCCATAAATCCGTAGCTATACCTGTTTCCAAGGTGCCTCGTGTTAGGCCTCTGGTCACAGCACTTGGCGCCCTTCTTGGGATCTCTTCTCTCCGCCCCCACTACCCCACCCCACAAGCACACTCTAGTCCCCTCCAATCAATTTCAGGCAGGTCTCGCCGCCTCCGGAGCCACGCTGGGGGTGCAAGGGCCCTGGACCCGAAAGAGCGCCCGCCCGGCGACAAGAGATGAGATGCACGCTGCTCCTCCACTCCTCAGCCCCCACCATCCTCCTCCTGGATCCTAACTTCCCCACTCTCTCAATTCCTAGAGACGCTGCGGATCCCAGAGGCTTAACTGGCAGCTGGAACGAGGTCCTCCAACAAGAATTTAGACGCTAGGTCCAATTATCACTCCACCGCGCGCACTTTCCGCAGGAGCGATGTGATCCGTTATCATAACTGCGGACCTGGGGTTCCACGTGGAAGACGATTGGGATTTCACTGGCCGCGGTGGGGGTGGGAGCAGACAGAGTCTGAGTGGGGTTAGTGGACTCGAGACGAAAGGCAGGACATGACAGAAGGCAACTCTGGGTCACCTCTCCAGCTTGGAACTGGCTAGGCCTTGTTTTGGAGGGGATGGGTAGATGAAAAGTGAGTCAGGGTTACCCGGAGGAACCACGGGGAAAGTGCGCTTCTGAGACTCTTGACAGCCATTTCGTTCCCTTCCAAGCCAGATGGAGACCCAAGAGTGTTGAAAGGCCACGACTTCCCTCAGTTTCTCCATCTGGGGGTGCAGGATGGTATAGAGAGTGGCCCGTAGTATTTTTCCAGTGACGATGTCTCTCCATTGTTTTCTTCTTATATTGCAGCTTTCCCCATGTTTGAAAATTTTCTTTTCAAATGAAATCATTGATTAGAATAAAAAAAAGTAAGTAGCTATTAAAACAAGATCAATTTCCATGACAGTAAGCCAACCGATGGAGAAAACCTTGGGAATTAATAAATGAAGGATTTGTTTGGTAGATGATAAAAGGTCCTTTTAAAGGGTCTGACTCTTCCTAGAAAAACCCACCAACTTGGGACCGCAACAGATTTACCATATCCTAATTCATGCTATTTTAATGTGTATTCAGCAAACCCACATGTGTTTACAATTGTCGAAGCTACCAAATGTCAATAGCGTTTTTTTTCTATTTGTTGAATGTGAATCTCTTGTACGAAGCCATATAAACAGAAGAAATTACAGGAATGATTTTAAATCACATACAAAACCAATAGTATTGCTAGAGGAGAGTTAGTCAAGGACGGCATTATGAAGAAAGTGAGGGAGAATTTCCAAAGAGCAGAACGATAGGGCTTGGTGGACCAAAGAACGTTTCCATCTAAAGGGAATGGCAAATACTTAGAGTCTCTGAACCCACTGAATCTTGGACTATTTAACTAATATTTGTAGTTCCAGATATAGCACAGTGCCTTGTACATAGTGGTATTTTTAAAAATATAGTGCCTCGTAGATTTTTTTTCAACTTTTATTTAGGAGGAGAGGGCACATGTGCAGGTTAATTACAAAGGTATATTGCACCATGCTGAGGTTTCGAGTACGACTGAATCTGTCACTCAAGTAGTGAGCACAGTACCCACAGTAGGTAGTATTTCAGCCCTCGCTCATTCCCTTTCTCCTCCATCTAGTAGTCCCCAATGTCTATTGTTCTCATATTTATGTCCAATTAGCATTTGTTTTTTAAAAAGGGTGGTTGAAGAAATTCTCAGTGCTTGTCAGTGTCTCTCAGTGCATTCATTTAATTCATGAGCCCTGGAATGATGGTTTCATTTGGGCAGAACTCTACAATCAAAAAGAAGTAATAAAAGGGAAAAAAAAGTGAAAGCCATCAACTACAGGATTGAAATTCCCAAAGCATCAGAGGTCCTTTCAAAAAATAGTATGTTGATTTTTAATTTTTATGACTTATTGGCTTTGTTCATGAAAATATAAACATGTTATCACAAAGGATTTTTTAATTCAACTATTTCTCAGTTTTCTCTTTCACCTTCAAAATAAAATATCATAAATTATTTAAATGGTTGTGAAGGCAGTAGGATTTTTTTAAGAGAGAAAAGTTTTATAGAGGTTCAGAATTACATGAACAAAGACATGTAATCTCTTAAGCAAATTGAAACTAATAAAATCGTACAATCAAGGTAACGTAAATAAAAAAGCCTCTGCTTTCTTAATTGAATTATGTGAGTAACTAGAAATTTTAAAAGTATGGCAAAGGTTAACAACAGCATTATTACCTGGGCTGCCTTTAAAAATACATATTTCTGGGGTTCACGTTCAGAAAATTTGATTCAGATTTGCTGTGGGTCCCAGAAATCTGCATTTTAAATAAACACTTGAAGGAGATACTAATACAAGTGGCCCATTGGGACACAATTTGACAAATATGACCAATTTTACTTTTTAAACCTTATTTCTGCTTCTTTATCTTTGAATTGAGGTCCAGGATTTTAGGTAAGATTTTAAGTTTAGAGTCAGTTTACTGGATCCCAGGGAGGAGAGTCTGAGTAATCAGTGGAGGAGTTATTTCACCAAATGAAGGAGACCCTTTATTATTATGTGACCCTTTGTATGAATTGGAAAAGAATGTCTTGTAGATACCACATTTTTACAGTCAGAACATAGTTTGAGAGAAAAAAATATAACAAGATATATTTGTGTTTTAAAGCTTACAGAACCAGACAGAAAATTTCCACATAAGCTATATAAGATACGTTGTCTTTTTAAAACACTATATACACTTCTTTCTGTTCGTGCAGGATGAATGGATCTCTCTCTCTCTCTCTCTCTCTCTGTGTGTGTGTGTGTGTGTGTGTGTGTGTGTGTGTGTTGTAATAAGGGGTTTCTTTCATTTTATGATCCAGACCAGGCTCGTAATAAACATGACAACCTAAAATTATGTAAAAAAGAAAAATCAAAGCACAAGTGTTTCACAGGTTTAACTTATGCTTATCTAAGATCAGGGCAAGATTGCAGGAAAATGTAGCCATAACAGAATAAAGCATTTATGGACAAAATGATGGGTCTTTATGTCTCTGTAAAAGCACAGTGATGGGGGGGGAAATATAGATGAAAAATGTAAGCTAAAAAGTAACAATTATAAGAAAAACTAAAATATCATGCCTTTCAAATGATCATTTTTCTGCTTTTAAGCTAAAATTTGTCTAATATTACACCAGTGACTTTGCTGATGTATTAGGAAAAAGCTTGTTTTGCTTTCTTTTCTCGAGTGCCACCATTTTCTTGCTCTCATTCTCTTTCAGGCTGCCAGATCATCTGACTCAGCAATTGTATAACTCTCTCACCCAATTTAAAGAAACAGCAGCTGTCTAGAGAACAATGACTCCCCCAGTTGAACATCTAATTGTTAAATGTCCAACATCGGACACTTTGAATTTTACTCCATGCAATTTACATGCTGAATAGTTGAAGTTGAATATATTATATTTAACATTTAATTTTTAAAAGCTTATTGAAACTTTCTTCCTAAATCACATGGTAAAGTTATTGTTTTCTTCAAAAACAATTAGGAGGAGCTTAACAATAATAGGACACTTCAACTTCCATTATCTAATTTAATTATCACAATATCCTTATGTTTTCAATGTTTCATTTTTTCATTTTGTAGATCTGGAGACTGAGGCTCAGATAGGTTGCATGGCCTACCAAAAGTCATTGACTAGTAATTCATATATAGTTGAACTTGGTTGCCCATGGAGTGCTATAAATATGTATATGGTTTCAGTTCCATCTCTTTTAGTTAACTATTATTTTGAAAGTCGCTTAACCCCTTTGGGCCTCTACTATACTCAAGCATCAGCCGTATAAGTCACAGTAAATATTTATTGGTTGAAAGGAGGTTAACATCTTTCAAAAATTTATTTTTTGACCAAAATAAAACCAGTGAAAAATTCTCATATGACTGTACATATAAATTACTTATTCCTACCTTAATTTAAAAGCAATAAGTGGGATACCTATTCACCAGCACAGGAACCACTTGAAGCGTGCAGTTGAAAGATTACTTTCTTTAGCATTCACATGACCTGTGAGCAGATTCTATTTCTTTTGCTTATTAGCTGTCATGGTACCAGAATGAAGTATGAGAAACTCTCAGTGCTTTCATGTTCTCATCTGTAAACCTGAGACCCTATGGTAGTCCCGTAATAAGAGGTAGATAAAATAGTATGTGTGAAGAGTCACTGTAAACTTTTACACAGTGTACGTTTGTCAGTTATTATAGTGCCTAATTAAACTATGCCCTTAAGAAAGCACATTAGTTTTTTACAGTAAATACCTACTTCATTATAATTTTTCAGTGTAGCTAGAAATTTCTAAACTCCACTTTAAAAATATACATATCATAATAAAAATATATTTATGTATTCAGACTCCTGGTATGTTCCAAGGTGTTAGGTAAAATCAGTGTAAATTTGCATACTTTTAAATTCACATCTGTACAGAAGATCTATATGGTGGCCTTTAGGGTATACCTCTAAGCTATTCTAGTATTCATAATCATTAAAGAGATATTAAGCAGTGTTTGTGAACCCCTGTTTTCTAAGACAGGAAATCAAGGTAGCTTTAGAAAACTGGAAAAAAAGTTATTAGTCTATCTATCTAATAACCCAGAATAATAATTTCCAAAGGAATCACTGAAGATAACTGGATTTTTAATTCCTTCAGAATGGTTGTCACAGTCTGAATATCTGAATCAACAGTTTTGACCAAAACAATTTTCTAAAAATTCTTTAGTATAAAAAATTATGTGTGTGTGTGTCTGTGTGATGAAAGGAATGATAGGCAGAAACATTACTGTCATCCTTACGACATTCAAAATGCCTACCTTGGAGGGTGACCTTCAGTTATTTTTATGCAAATGTGAAGAAGTTATTTAGAAGTAGGATATCAAAGAGTAACACAAAATACACTAAATAGTATGCTTTCTTAAGGCTAAATTGACTTGGGGGTTTTAAATCAGTACAGAGTAAACATACAGTATATTCTGTTATCATTGCCTTTTTGAAAAATTAATTATGGAAGTTATCATCTTAACCGTAACAACACAAAAGATAAAACTCTACCCTCAACCCAGAGACTCAAAGGAAAACATGAGTGGAAATGTTAAATCTGTATGTGAAAAGTGCTAAAACATGAATAGGAAGCAGTTACTTATTTAATCAAAGTTGATTATATTTCATCAAGAAGTTGATTCCCTTGAGTGGAGTTGAATCACATATCAGGTGAAGAATGTGATTTGGGGAAGAATGGTCTAACACAAGAAAATTTTCTTGCAATCTTTAATAATATCAGAGGGGAGATTGGCTTCAGAACTCTCCTAAGTTCAGGAAAGGACACAGAAAATTGAACATAACAGTAAGACTATAGAGTCCCAAGAAAGCAAGCTACTTTTAAAGGATAGTTTTTTAGAGGGGCAAAAGGGGGACAACCATTCTCCATTTGATGAGAAAAGCTTCCATGTAGATGGTGCCCCTGAAATTAGAGTATCCTAAACCAGTGTTAAACCTATCAGTGAAACATGAATATTAAACCTCCACTCCCAGTAGTGAAAACCGAATACATTATTATTTATCTGTGACTTTCAACATTATCTCAGAACTCTAACAGCACATGCGTACATCAGCAGCATAAGCAGAAATGAGATATTATATATGCTTGTGTTAGCAATTAAAAAGGACAGCATATTTGAGAGGGGAAAATCTGTCCTATCAAGAATGAAAAAGAGGGAGGTTAGGAAAAGTAGTTTAGAGAAAGTAAATTTTGCAATTCCTCAGTTTTAACTGTAGTTTCTCCATTGTACCTTCCACTTGAAATGCACTCCAAGCAGTGGAGGTGGGTAGCAATGAATGCAGAGGAAACACTGAACACAGTGACACTCTCCAGTGTCACTTCTCATGATTTAATGAGGGGTTTTTTTTGGAAATTCTTCTGTCATAACATGGGAAACTTTGTTACAAAGAAGCTGTTTTTTCAGAGGGTTAGAATTCAGAGGTAGCATCATACCTTTTAGAAGAGAATTTGCTTGTTGAAACCACAGATACCTGCTAGAATGTACAGGAATTAATGAAAAATTACTCAAAAGGACATTTATTTTGATGACCTAAATGAATAACTTCATAGTAAATGTCATATATATTCTCAAAAAATTAAAAAGCACCATTTATTGAGAGCCTACCGTGCACCCGGATTTTTATATATCTGACATTCTTTATTCCTCACAGTAACCTTATGGGGTAAATTTTATTTTCCCCACTTTGTGAGGTGAGGAAATAAAGGCTCAGAAAGTTTACATAACTTATTCAAGCCCACAGAGCTGGTAAATGAGAGGTCAGTTCTATCTGAGTTTAAAGACTAGGCTTGTCCCACTTGCATATGTGTCATTTCCAAAATTATGATTAAGGATATGGTTGGCATTTCCCGCCACCCACATTAAGTCCAATTAAGTAGCTGTGGCCATAGAAAGAATGGAGAATGGAGAGAGGAACTGACTTCAACAGCTACAGCAAACATTTATTAGCTGAGTAACCATAGCTACATAGTTCCTCAATATGTACCACTCCTCCATTTTGTTATCTATAAATCAAAATGGTGGCTTTTTAAAAAGCAGTTTTACAATATATTCAAGAGCCTTCTACCCTTTGAAAAACTGCAATACTATTTTTAGTAGCAATTAGAAACACCTTAAATATCTGACAACAGGGACATCATTAAGTAAATTATAACTTTTTCCAGTGGGATGTGTTACAGCTGTTAAAAGTAGCATTTATGAAGTGTTTTTGGAGAAGTTTGGAAAATGCTGTAATAAGTTAGAAAAAGCTCATTTCAAAATTGCATAATATTCACAATGTAAAGATTAAGCAAAGAAAAAGGAAGAAGTATTTCAAAATGTTAATAATTATTGCTTTGTGTGGGGTAGTTTTTCATTTTCTATGTGCAGCTAATTCCTTAATTATTTTTAAATATGTGAGCTTTAATCAGGAAAGCAAATCATTCAAAAATGAGGGGACTGAATTAAGTGACTTTCAGGGGACTTTGCGTGTCTTTGAGTTCCAAATTTCTATCACTATGTATTACTACTGAAGAATAATCATAGAAGCACAGTAGTTTCTGAAAATGGAGAGTCAGTAATCTTGGCCCAGGTTTTGCAACTTGCTCTAAAGCAGAGTCCTCAAAGAAAAGGAAGCATTGATGAGTTGTCCACAATGTACTGGATAAATTATCATTAGGAAAACATATTGTAGTAGGGAGAGTGAGGACCTCTCAAACAGAACTGAGAACCTTAAGTTTGAACTTTTCTTTTCCTTATTACTTAAGCACTCTGAGCTTTTTTTTTTGTCTGCATTATGAAGAAAGAATAATACTCTCTATCCCATGGGACAGCTGTGGAATTATAAATTACACATATAAAACTGCTTGATGCTTGTCACATAGCTGGGGGTTGAAAAAATGATAGCCATTATTTTCTTGGCAACTTTTAATGAATTTTTTATTATCTCTATTTCTTTCTGCCTATCTCCTCTAATTATGTTTATTACTTATTTTGTTCCTCAGGATGAGGTCAATTCTCAATATCTGTGCTGTACATAATATACATATATACCAAATATGTGCATATAGTATGTACATACATACATACTGTGCTAATCTTTTAGTGTTCTCAGCTGATCAAATAGCTACAAATAGATATAAGTAATTCGCCACAAGTAATTTATCAACATAAAAAAAATTTACAAAAAAGTTAAGGAATAATTGTCTCCATGAGCTGCAAAGATCCCTCATTTCACAAGAGTACACCCTAGAGATATTTTAATAGTAAATTTCTCACATAGATTTAAAATCACATTTGTTTTGCACATAATTTAGAAAAGATACCTGCTATATAATAAGTAATATACTTTTAAGTTTCCTTCAAAATATTCTTGGGAAGATGATAATAGGTACTGCTAATTCTATACCCAGTTAACATTTTGGAAACTAAGGTTGAAAATTGTGACTTAACTATAATTATGCATTAAATCTACAACACATCAAAGAATTTTGCATTTTGTACTCCTTACTAAGATCCAGTTTGAGTAGGAAGATAAATTTTACAGTAATTCTGAATGAGGGAAGTTGGCACAGAGTTTCTAAAAGAGTACCTTCCTTATAGCAAATACTAAATAATTGTGCTATATTGAATTTAATTAAATAGAGAATAGTAAAAGGGAGAAAGAAACATCCAATGTTTTGAAACTTCTAGAGATCTACTCCCAGGGACACATTGTTTTTTCTTAGCAAATCTGTTTGGAGGTCTGCTCTACTTTCTCAGAGGTCTCCCTTTCATGCTGAAGCTATCTTTTTTCCTTGTGGAACATAAGTAATTAAATACCTTGCAATTATTTACCTAAGAAAGTGTTTCTTTCCCGTTTAAAATGCTCTTACCACCCACATTGGACTCGATTATCAGAATTTTTATCCGGGGCAGCTTCAGGAGCACTTTGGCACTTCGGGGCTAAACCACAATCTGTTTTTACATGTTTGTGATTATACCCGTTTTGTAGATCAAGACATTGAAGCTAGTAAAAAAAAAAAAAAGTCATTTTTTCAGGGTAACAAAGTAGGTGGTAGAACTAGGACAGGGACTCTAATTTCCTTACATTATTGCTTTTCTAAATTAAAGGGATGCATGGAATTATTCCTCCATTGCCTTTGCCTTCAAATAATTATCTATTGCACCCAACATCCTATTCTAGAACTCATCTATGAAGGCTTAACACAGCTGTACCTGGGAGCTCCATTACAGGGCATATATCTCGCTCTCATAAGCTACTTCCTAAGGAATTCTCTTTAATTATGGGAGCTTTTCCAGACTCTGAAATCTTTTTTTCCTGGTAACACAAGTGTGAGGTGTCATTTATCAGAATGCATCACCCCAGTCTTCCCTCCTCAAATGATTACTGTAGGCTCCACTCAAGAGCTCATCCCAGTTCAAGACCACCTTCCTCCTCCAGAGAAGCAAATATATATATACACGTATATATATATATACACGTATATATATATATACACGTATATATATATATACACGTATATATATATATACACGTATATATATATATACACGTATATATATACACGTATATATATATATACACGTATATATATATACACGTATATATATATATACACGTATATATATATACACGTATATATATATATACACGTATATATATATACGTGTATATATATATATACATTTTTTTTTTTTGAGACGGAGTCTCGCTCTGTTGCCCAGGCTGGAGTGCAGTGGCGCGATCTCGGCTCACTGCAAGCTCCGCCCCCCGGGTTCACGCCATTCTCCTTCCTCAGCCTCCGGAGTAGCTGGGACTACAGGTGCCCGCCACCTCGCCTGGCTAATTTTTTGTATCTTTAGTAGAGATGGGGTTTCACCGTGTTACCTAGGATGGTCTAGATCTCCTGACCTCGTGATCCGCCCGCCTCGGCCTCCCAAAGTGCTGGGATTACAGGCGTGAGCCACCGCGCCTGGCAGAGAAGCAAATATATTGATGGTTGTTACCAATACATGCTCTTGACTAAGAAACCTTCTTTCTTAATTAATATTGACAACTTTAAGCCGAGTGCCTGACATATATTAGGTACTCAGTTACTCTTTTTCAACTAAAGTTATGAATGATGATTCTAATAAAAGTAACTTATTTGTCTACTAGTTTTATTATGTTTATTTAATTCATTAGAAAGGCCATGGACATAGTACAAAATTCAAACAATATAAATCATGGAATGTGAAAAGTAAGTCACATGCCCATCCCAGTTCTTCATTTCCTTACCTCACAGGTAACAGCTTTTCCTGTATCTCCCCAGAGATATTCTATGTATATTTTGTTTTTAACACCAAGCTATATTTAAAACAATTATCTTTAATAATAATGTTAATATTGAAACTGGTAAAGAAATATGTGTGTATTATCTCACCTCAAGCGTAAACAATAGAACAAGAGAGAGCCCATTTTGAAAATTATGGACAATGAATCTAGAAATAATCTCAAAAGATTTTGCAGTCAAAAAATAGTTCATTAGATACATGAGAACTGTCACTTGGTCTCAGTGTAGAGCTATTGCCTCAACTCCCTTTATTTTCCTAACAAAATCATCTTGCTTATCCCATGAAATACGTGCATATTGCCAATCCTACAATGCCGCATCAGAACCAGAACCCAACTCTGGAACACTACCTTCTCAAGTATCTTTCTGTCTCTTTATGGTAATATGTTGAATTAATATTCACATCTATTATGACTAGTCTTTGATTTGTAGGGTTGCTGAAGTAGTAGCACCACTGCAGGGCTTTCTTTAGTTTAAAGAAAGTAATCAGGTGTCCCTACTGTGTCATGATCTCCACCCTCAGCTGGGTTCTCCAGTCTGGTTTTAAAGAACAAAACAAAAGGCTTCTCTGTCTGAGTCTTACTCAACCCATCCTCTCTACTCATAAGAGGTATTCCAAACCTTTACGATTCTCAAACTTCCTAACCGACCATCTTATTTTCACTCTGCAAACAAGCTAACCTCCTCATTCATAGAAGGAAGTGCCTCAACTTCCTCCCCGTTCTGACCTTTTCTCCCTCCCAAATCTATGTATCTCTTGTGACAAAATCTATAACCACCGCTGTACTTTGAGTTCTATTTCTTCATTATTTTTGAGGGACCTCAAGTCCTCAAAAATATCCTATCTTGCCTGTGTACTTAACTTTTCTTTTATTCTTTTCTAACTTTCCCTTCTCTTCACTTGGCACTTGCCCTTCCAGGTATATGTGTGCTCAGGTCTCCTCCACCTTCCATCTGCCTCACTTCATGGCATAGGGCCTTGAACTATCACAACCAAGCTATGAAAGAGTAGTCAACGCAGTGTCCCCACTTCCTTGCCATCCCATTATCCTAGTTTTTCTTTTGGCTCTCTGAGGAGTCCTTCACAGGCTGGTTTTCAGGAATAAGTCTAAATGAATCACTTTCAGTTTTCCTAAACTTCTATGCCTTTGCACATCCTCTTACCTCTGCCTAGAATATCTTTCTCCTTCTTTTCCATCTTTAAACTCTCACATCATTCTTCAAGACTGGGATCAGCTCTCAGCATCCGGAAGCCTTTGCCTACTAGAGACAAATGAGAATGAGTTTGGTCACCTTTTCATTTTCTTGTATCATTCTGTGCTTTATTTTGCTCTTCTAAGAGCGTTACATGCTTCATTTAATCCCTAAACAACTGTTTGAGGCAAGTACAGTTATTATCCTAATCATGCAAATGAGAAAACAGAGGCCCAGACATGTTGAGTAACTTTGATAAAAGTTAAAGAACCAATAAGTGGAACAGTTGAGGTTTGAACCCTGGCAGTCTGACTGTAGAGATACTATGTTTGACCTACTCCCCTCTGCCCCCACCCCATGTCTGCCCTTAGTTTCTGAGCTTGTTGAATGAATGAACAGGTGGTAGTCTTTTTTTGTTATAAGACTGATCAGAATTAAGACAGGTTTAAATTTCACGTGTAGAATTTTCAAAACTGCAAAGGCAGTGCAAATCTAAAAAAAGAATGGCATTCTCAGGAAAGAGGAAAAGTAAGTGTGAGAATAATAATAACAATAACCAACAAACTTTAGTAAATTTAGTAAATGTAGTAAATTTTTACATTAAAAGCTTTTGGACATACATTATCATATTTTATGGCCACATGAAATATATTATAATCCCATTTTGCACATAGGAAATCTGAGACTGGCATAAGGAGCACAGAGATCCAGGACTTTATATTTTCATTCTTCTAGGATTTTGCACCTCAGGTCGATATGTATGAGTAAACTGGGAGTATAATGGGCTCTTTAACAGAAAAACTAGGAAAGTTTTCCCACTATTATTAATTATTTACATAATATTTTTTTAATTTTATTATTATTTATACTTTAAGTTTTAGAGTACATGTGCACAATGTGCAGGTTTGTTACATATGTATACATGTGCCATGTTGGTGTGCTGCACCCATCAACTCATCATTTAGCATTAGGTATATCTCCTAATGCTATCCCTCCCCCCTCCCCCCTACATAAGATTTATAATGGATAATGGACTTCAATTTCTAGAGCAAAATGGCCCCACCCAAGGATGCCATAATCCTTCCAGAGCTCTACTGCAAGATATGAGATATACATATCTAAAACTTGTTCTTGGTATTTCCAAAGCAGTCAACTTTTACACCTGTTTATAATGCATCCAAATGTTGTTTTTATATGGTTGCATCTCCCATCTTCTTCACCAATAGCTATATATATTTTTCACAAGAGCTGAAAGAGTTCTTGATGTAGGAATCCATGGTAGAGTTTCAGAGAAATCCCTGAATTCACTGAAAGTTTTATCTAGAAATACATGTGCAAGTGAACACATCTTTTTTAAAAAAAATCATTACCTACTTTCTTTTTTGAGAAGAAGGTATTTATTTCAACAGACTCTTGAAGGAGCCTACTCTTCCCACTCTCCCACCCCCATTAAGAACCACTGTAGGCCGGGCACGATGGCTCATGCCTGTAATCCCAGCACTTTGGGAGGCTAAGGTGGGTGGATCACCTGAGGTCAGGAGTTCGAGACAAGCCTAGCCAACATAGTGAAACCCCGTCTCTACTAATAATACAAAAATTAGCTGGGTATGGCAGCATGTGCCTGTAATCCCAGCTACTCGGGAGGCTGAGGCAGGAGAATTGCTCGAACCCGGGAGGCGGAGGTTGCAGTGAACCGAGAGAGATCGTGCGGTGCCATTTCACTCCAGCCTGGGCAACAGAGCGAAACTCCATCTCAAAAAAACACACAAAACAAACAAACAAAAAGAAAGAACCATTGTATTAGTGATGGAAATGTGTTCCCTCCCTCCCATCCTGGCAACCACTTTCTTCCTCCTCCATCATAAAATATCTTAAACTAAACTAAAATAATTTTATTTATCGATAGTTTGAATTTTCCCTATCATTGCTACACAGCTAATTGAGAGGTACCCCGAGGAAAATATAAATGGTACAGTAATGCATTGTAGATTTTAATAACATACTTGACATCCCAAATTGTTTTCATTGGCTTCATTTTAAAAACTACATGTTTTAAAATCAAGCAGACACTAAAAGTACAAGATATACTGGGTCTACAAGGTTTAAGTCAACCAGGGATTGAAATATAACTTTTAAACAGAGCTGGATTATCCAGTAGGCAGATTAAGCATGTGCTTAAGGCATCAGCAAAGTCTGAGCAATCCATTTTTTAAAACGTAGTACATGTTTTTGATAAGCTTAAAAAGTAGTAGTCACAGGAAAAATTAGAACTTTTACCTCCTTGCGCTTGTTATACTCTTTAGTGCTGTTTAACTTTTCTTTGTAAGTGAGGGTGGTGGAGGGTGCCCATAATCTTTTCAGGGAGTAAGTTCTTCTTGGTCTTTCTTTCTTTCTTTCTTTCTTTTTTTCTTGAGACCAAGTTTCGCTCTTGTCTCCCAGGCTGGAGTGCAATGGCGCGATCTCGGCTCACTGCAACCTCCGCCTTCTCCTGGGTTCAAGCGATTCTCCTACATCAGCCTCCGAGTAGCTGGGATTACAGGCATGCGCCACCAAGCCCCGCTAATTTTGTATTTTTTAGTAGAGACAGGGTTTCGCCATGTTGGTCAGGCTTGTCTCGAACTCCTGGCCTCAGGTGATCCGCCTGTCTCGGCCTCCCAGAATGCTGGGATTATAGACGTGAGCCACCGCATCCGGACTTTCCTTTTATGTAATAGTGATAATTCTATCCAAAGCATTTTTTTTTTTTTTTTTGAGTCGGAGTCTCATTCTGTCACCCAGGCTGGAGGGTGGTGGCGCGATCTCGGCTTACTGCAACCTCTGCCTCCCGGGTTCAAGCGATTCTCCTGCCTCAGCCTCCTGAGTAGCTGGAATTACACACGTGCGCCACCATGGCCAGCTAATTTTTGTATTTTTAGTAGAGACGGGGTGTCACCATTTTGGCCAAGCTGGCCTCGAACTCCTGACCTCAGGTGATCTGCCCGCCTCGGCTTCCCAAAGTGCTGGGATTACAGGTGTGAGCCACCGCGTCCTGCTCCAAAGCATTTTCTTTCTATGCCTCAAAACAAGATTGCAAGCCAGTCCTCAAAGCGGATAATTCAAGAGCTAACAGGTATTAGCTTAGGATGTGTGGCACTGTTCTTAAGGCTTATATGTATTAATACATCATTTAAACTCACAACAACCCCTATAAAGCAGGGGGCACTCATATTCCCTTCCCCCTTTATAATTACGAAAAATGCAAGGTATTTTCAGTAGGAAAGAGAAATGTGAGAAGTGTGAAGGAGACAGGACAGTATTTGAAGCTGGTCTTTGGATCACTGTGCAACTCTGCTTCTAGAACACTGAGCACTTTTTCTGGTCTAGGAATTATGACTTTGAGAATGGAGTCCGTCCTTCCAATGACTCCCTCCCCATTTTCCTATCTGCCTACAGGCAGAATTCTCCCCCGTCCGTATTAAATAAACCTCATCTTTTCAGAGTCTGCTCTTATACCAGGCAATGTACACGTCTGAGAAACCCTTGCCCCAGACAGCCGTTTTACACGCAGGAGGGGAAGGGGAGGGGAAGGAGAGAGCAGTCCGACTCTCCAAAAGGAATCCTTTGAACTAGGGTTTCTGACTTAGTGAACCCCGCGCTCCTGAAAATCAAGGGTTGAGGGGGTAGGGGGACACTTTCTAGTCGTACAGGTGATTTCGATTCTCGGTGGGGCTCTCACAACTAGGAAAGAATAGTTTTGCTTTTTCTTATGATTAAAAGAAGAAGCCATACTTTCCCTATGACACCAAACACCCCGATTCAATTTGGCAGTTAGGAAGGTTGTATCGCGGAGGAAGGAAACGGGGCGGGGGCGGATTTCTTTTTAACAGAGTGAACGCACTCAAACACGCCTTTGCTGGCAGGCGGGGGAGCGCGGCTGGGAGCAGGGAGGCCGGAGGGCGGTGTGGGGGGCAGGTGGGGAGGAGCCCAGTCCTCCTTCCTTGCCAACGCTGGCTCTGGCGAGGGCTGCTTCCGGCTGGTGCCCCCGGGGGAGACCCAACCTGGGGCGACTTCAGGGGTGCCACATTCGCTAAGTGCTCGGAGTTAATAGCACCTCCTCCGAGCACTCGCTCACGGCGTCCCCTTGCCTGGAAAGATACCGCGGTCCCTCCAGAGGATTTGAGGGACAGGGTCGGAGGGGGCTCTTCCGCCAGCACCGGAGGAAGAAAGAGGAGGGGCTGGCTGGTCACCAGAGGGTGGGGCGGACCGCGTGCGCTCGGCGGCTGCGGAGAGGGGGAGAGCAGGCAGCGGGCGGCGGGGAGCAGCATGGAGCCGGCGGCGGGGAGCAGCATGGAGCCTTCGGCTGACTGGCTGGCCACGGCCGCGGCCCGGGGTCGGGTAGAGGAGGTGCGGGCGCTGCTGGAGGCGGGGGCGCTGCCCAACGCACCGAATAGTTACGGTCGGAGGCCGATCCAGGTGGGTAGAGGGTCTGCAGCGGGAGCAGGGGATGGCGGGCGACTCTGGAGGACGAAGTTTGCAGGGGAATTGGAATCAGGTAGCGCTTCGATTCTCCGGAAAAAGGGGAGGCTTCCTGGGGAGTTTTCAGAAGGGGTTTGTAATCACAGACCTCCTCCTGGCGACGCCCTGGGGGCTTGGGAAGCCAAGGAAGAGGAATGAGGAGCCACGCGCGTACAGATCTCTCGAATGCTGAGAAGATCTGAAGGGGGGAACATATTTGTATTAGATGGAAGTATGCTCTTTATCAGATACAAAATTTACGAACGTTTGGGATAAAAAGGGAGTCTTAAAGAAATGTAAGATGTGCTGGGACTACTTAGCCTCCAATTCACAGATACCTGGATGGAGCTTATCTTTCTTACTAGGAGGGATTATCAGTGGAAATCTGTGGTGTATGTTGGAATAAATATCGAATATAAATTTTGATCGAAATTATTCAGAAGCGGCCGGGCGCGGTGCCTCACGCCTTGTAATCCCTTCACTTTGGGAGATCAAGGCGGGGGGAATCACCTGAGGTCGGGAGTTCGAGACCAGCCTGGCCAACAGGTGAAACCTCGCCTCTACTAAAAATACAAAAAGTAGCCGGGGGTGGTGGCAGGCGCCTGTAATCCCAGCTACTCGGGAGGTTGAGGCAGGAGAATCGCTTGAACCCGGGAGGCTGAGGTTGTAGTGAACAGCGAGATGGAGCCACTTCACTCCAGCCTGGGTGACAGAGTGAGACTTTGTCGAAAGAAAGAAAGAGAGAAAGAGAGAGAGAAAAATTATTCAGAAGCAACTACATATTGTGTTTATTTTTAACTGAGTAGGGCAAATAAATATATGTTTGCTGTAGGAACTTAGGAAATAATGAGCCACATTCATGTGATCATTCCAGAGGTAATATGTAGTTACCATTTTGGGAATATCTGCTAACATTTTTGCTCTTTTACTATCTTTAGCTTACTTGATATAGTTTATTTGTGATAAGAGTTTTCAATTCCTCATTTTTGAACAGAGGTGTTTCTCCTCTCCCTACTCCTGTTTTGTGAGGGAGTTAGGGGAGGATTTAAAAGTAATTAATACATGGGTAACTTAGCATCTCTAAAATTTTGCCAACAGCTTGAACCCGGGAGTTTGGCTTTGTAGTCCTACAATATCTTAGAAGAGACCTTATTTGTTTAAAAACAAAAAGGAAAAAGAAAAGTGGATAGTTTTGACAATTTTTAATGGAGACGGGAGAAGAACATGTAGAAAAGGGGAAATGATGTTGGCTTAGAATCCTAACTACATTGGTGTTTAATATAGGAACATTTATTTATATAACATTTTAAAGTACTAAATTCATATTAGTATATTATCAAATGGATATATTATCAAATGGGTTTAAGCATCCTACACATTTTAATTCAATTGATTCATTTTCTTTTTGCTTTGGATTTCTATCATGATTTAAATATTTACATATGGGTTACTTTTTAGATTTTTCATACTATGAAATATAAGAAAAACCTTTAAGGCTAGTTTTATGACCAAGACGAAGGACTTCATTGAATACACAAAACAATAAATATACTGCAACATTTTGTCTTTCTTTTTGTAGCTGCAATTTGGTTTGCTTATACTTTCTCTTTGTCTCTTTGAAAACTGAGTCAGTTTCACTTTCTCAGGACAGGATTTAATAACCATAATATAATTTAGTATAATTCCTTGATTTAGGCAAATTATGCAATTTGTGTTTAGTATGAAATGTACCTAAAAATAAGTAACTCCTCTTTAACACCACCATCCTCAAACTAATATAACAAATAACAGTTATCCTAAAATAAATTGTCTACTTCCACCATGCAGCACTCAAATTTTAAGGTTGCTATGACTGCAGACAGTATTTTAAAATTCCTCTCTGGAAATGGCTTTGTTTCCAAGATGATTTAGGAACCAAAGAGGTGACCATCTCTTGTTTAATGAACTCTCAAATCATAAACCTGGGAAGTGTTTTAGTTTCCTACTGCTGCTGTTACAAATTATCACAAATGTGTTAGCTAAAACAAACACAAAATTATTATTTTACAGTTCTAGAGATCAGAAGTCAAAAATGGGTCCACAAGGTTTCATTCCTTTTGGAAACTCTAAGGGGCAATCTGTTTCCTTGTCTTTTCCAGCTTCTAGTGACCATCAAATTCCTTGGCTCATGGTCTCTGTATTTTCTCTGTGGCCTGTGCTTCCATTCTTGTATCTTCTCTCTGACTGTGACCCTCTAATAAAAACACTTGGGGTTATGTTGGGCCCACCCTGAAAATTCTGGATAATCTCCCTCAAGACCATTAATTAAATCACATCTGCAAAGCCTCTTTTGCCACATAAGTTAATGTATTAAAAGTTTTTGAGGATTAGGACATAGACATTGGGGGTGGGGGGGCATTATTCAGCCTACCACAGGAAGGAATTTTAGGGTTAATTAAACTAGCCTTCTTATTTTATACTTGAAGAAATTGAAGTTTTGGAATTGGAGAGCATTATGCTAAATGAAATAAGCCAAACACAGAAAGACAAATATCACATGTTCTCACTTATCTGTGAAATATAAAACAATTACATTCTTAGCAGTAAAGAGTAGAATGGTGGTTACTAGAGCTGGGGGGTGGGAGGAATGGGGAGATGGTAATCAAGATATAAAGCCTCAGTTAAGATGGGAGGAATAAGTTTGATTGTTTTTTTTGAGATGTGTTTCATAGCATGATGAATATAGCTAAATAGTAAATCCCAAATGCTCTCATTTGACAAAAATGTCAAATATTTGAGATGATGGATAGGTTACTTAGCTTGACTTAATAATTCCCCATTGTGTTCAAAGATCATAACTTCATATTGTACCACATAAATATATACAACTGTACTATCCCAATATATAATTTTAAAACTAATATAATGAAAAAGAAATTGAAGTTCAACATTCCCAGAAGCTAAGTGTAACTTAAAAGTTTTGTGAGAATTTGTTTTAACAAACAAACAAGTTTTCTCTTTTTAACAATTACCACATTCTGCGCTTGGATATACAGCAGTGAACAAAAAAAAAAAAAAAAATCTCCAGGCCTAACATAATTTCAGGAAGAAATTTCAGTAGTTGTATCTCAGGGGAAATACAGGAAGTTAGCCTGGAGTAAAAGTCAGTCTGTCCCTGCCCCTTTGCTATTTTGCCCGTGCCTCACAGTGCTCTCTGCCTGTGACGACAGCTCCGCAGAAGTTCGGAGGATATAATGGAATTCATTGTGTACTGAAGAATGGATAGAGAACTCAAGAAGGAAATTGGAAACTGGAAGCAAATGTAGGGGTAATTAGACACCTGGGGCTTGTGTGGGGGTCTGCTTGGCGGTGAGGGGGCTCTACACAAGCTTCCTTTCCGTCATGCCGGCCCCCACCCTGGCTCTGACCATTCTGTTCTCTCTGGCAGGTCATGATGATGGGCAGCGCCCGAGTGGCGGAGCTGCTGCTGCTCCACGGCGCGGAGCCCAACTGCGCCGACCCCGCCACTCTCACCCGACCCGTGCACGACGCTGCCCGGGAGGGCTTCCTGGACACGCTGGTGGTGCTGCACCGGGCCGGGGCGCGGCTGGACGTGCGCGATGCCTGGGGCCGTCTGCCCGTGGACCTGGCTGAGGAGCTGGGCCATCGCGATGTCGCACGGTACCTGCGCGCGGCTGCGGGGGGCACCAGAGGCAGTAACCATGCCCGCATAGATGCCGCGGAAGGTCCCTCAGGTGAGGACTGATGATCTGAGAATTTGTACCCTGAGAGCTTCCAAAGCTCAGAGCATTCATTTTCCAGCACAGAAAGTTCAGCCCGGGAGACCAGTCTCCGGTCTTGCCTCAGCTCACGCGCCAATCGGTGGGACGGCCTGAGTCTCCCTATCGCCCTGCCCCGCCAGGGCGGCAAATGGGAAATAATCCCGAAATGGACTTGCGCACGTGAAAGCCCATTTTGTACATTATACTTCCCAAAGCATACCACCACCCAAACACCTACCCTCTGCTAGTTCAAGGCCTAGACTGCGGAGCAATGAAGACTCAAGAGGCTAGAGGTCTAGTGCCCCCTCTTCCTCCAAACTAGGGCCAGTTGCATCCACTTACCAGGTCTGTTTCCTCATTTGCATACCAAGCTGGCTGGACCAACCTCAGGATTTCCAAACCCAATTGTGCGTGGCATCATCTGGAGATCTCTCGATCTCGGCTCTTCTGCACAACTCAACTAATCTGACCCTCCTCAGCTAATCTGACCCTCCGCTTTATGCGGTAGAGTTTTCCAGAGCTGCCCCAGGGGGTTCTGGGGACATCAGGACCAAGACTTCGCTGACCCTGGCAGTCTGTGCACCGGAGTTGGCTCCTTTCCCTCTTAAACTTGTGCAAGAGATCGCTGAGCGATGAAGGTAGAATTATGGTCCTCCTTGCCCTTGCCTTTCCTTTTTGTGATCTCAAAGCATCCTCCCTCCGCCCCCATTCCATGGCCCCAGTTCCCTACTCCCACAGCTGTCTGCTGAAACTGCCAACATTACTCAATTGTTTCTGGGGGGAGGAACATTTTTTTTTGAAACAAAATAGATATATGAAACAGTACACGGGAATTAACACGAATATTTAAGGTAAAACATGACCTTGAAGATTATGAAATCCATCTTATTTTGGCCCAGAACGGGGGCATTGGGCTCCTTGGGCCATAGGGGAGCTGGGGAGGACAGGGTGAAGAGTTAGCTCTAAGCCCTCTGCTTGGAGATGCTGTAAATACAGAACGCAAAATCACCTTCGAAGTTAAAGACGCGAAGTTCTTCTTTACTCGGCCCCTCCTCCCCTCCCCCCCGCCAATTCCCTCCAGTTACAGCTAGCATCCAGGTCCCGGGAGGTGAAGAAGGAGACTTCGGCTCCAGTTACAGCTAGCATCCGGGTCCCGATTTAGAAGGAGCTGCCAATTACAGCGCGGTTCCAGGGCTGAGCAAAAAGCCTGAGGAGCCAAGTGGGAGAGGGAGTAAAACTACTGAATTGGGCCACAAGCAAATGAATAAACTGAACGACTCTTAACCAAACCTAATATATTTAATCCAAACACACAAGTCTTTCATTTCTTCCCTCCTCCCTTCCTTCTCTTACTCCCCAACACCCCCTCTTCAAGCACAATTAATTATATGGTTAGATTCTACTGCGTGATCAGCCCTGTTCTAGGTGGTGGGCACGCCAAGGTGAATGAGACCAAACAAGAGTCTTGCCCTCATGGGGTTTACATTTGGAGACAGAGTCGATCTGTTGCCCAACCTGGAGTGCAGTGGCGCGATCACAGCTCACTGCAGCCTCAAACTCCCTGGCTCAAGGGGTTCTCCCACCTGAGCCTCCCGACTAGCTGGGACCACAGGTGCACGCCACGACGCCTGGGTTTGTTTGTTTGTTTAATAGAGACGAAGGTCTCACCATGTTATCTGGGCTCAAGCGATCATCCCCCCTCCTCCTCCTAAAGTACTGGGATTACAGTCCCAAGCTATCTTGCCCGACCTGGGAAACAGACGTTAAGGAAGATAACAATCTATTTTCAGAGAGCGAGTTTATAAAACCAATGCAATGGGTAAATATGAAGTGTGAATAGGAGGAGAAGCTAAAGAGTGGTCGGAGAATCTAATGCAAGCTACGGGAGAAAGAAACTCAAGTGCAAATGCTGCCTCAGGAATAAACGTAAAAAGAGACTTTCAAGTGCAAATGCTCCCTCAGGAATAAAATAATCTTGAGACTCTCAAGTGTAAATGCTGCCTCGGGAGAACCGAACGGCGAGCTGGAGCCCATACGCAACGAGATTAGAGAGGAAGGCAGAAGCCAGAGCACATGAATAAATGAGCATCCATTTTGTTTCAGAAATGATCGGAAACCATTTGTGGGTTTGTAGAAGCAGGCATGCGTAGGGAAGCTACGGGATTCCGCCGAGGAGCGCCAGAGCCTGAGGCGCCCTTTGGTTATCGCAAGCTGGCTGGCTCACTCCGCACCAGGTGCAAAAGATGCCTGGGGATGCGGGAAGGGAAAGGCCACATCTTCACGCCTTCGCGCCTGGCATTGTGAGCAACCACTGAGACTCATTATATAACACTCGTTTTCTTCTTGCAACCCTGCGGGCCGCGCGGTCGCGCTTTCTCTGCCCTCCGCCGGGTGGACCTGGAGCGCTTGAGCGGTCGGCGCGCCTGGAGCAGCCAGGCGGGCAGTGGACTAGCTGCTGGACCAGGGAGGTGTGGGAGAGCGGTGGCGGCGGGTACATGCACGTGAAGCCATTGCGAGAACTTTATCCATAAGTATTTCAATGCCGGTAGGGACGGCAAGAGAGGAGGGCGGGATGTGCCACACATCTTTGACCTCAGGTTTCTAACGCCTGTTTTCTTTCTGCCCTCTGCAGACATCCCCGATTGAAAGAACCAGAGAGGCTCTGAGAAACCTCGGGAAACTTAGATCATCAGTCACCGAAGGTCCTACAGGGCCACAACTGCCCCCGCCACAACCCACCCCGCTTTCGTAGTTTTCATTTAGAAAATAGAGCTTTTAAAAATGTCCTGCCTTTTAACGTAGATATATGCCTTCCCCCACTACCGTAAATGTCCATTTATATCATTTTTTATATATTCTTATAAAAATGTAAAAAAGAAAAACACCGCTTCTGCCTTTTCACTGTGTTGGAGTTTTCTGGAGTGAGCACTCACGCCCTAAGCGCACATTCATGTGGGCATTTCTTGCGAGCCTCGCAGCCTCCGGAAGCTGTCGACTTCATGACAAGCATTTTGTGAACTAGGGAAGCTCAGGGGGGTTACTGGCTTCTCTTGAGTCACACTGCTAGCAAATGGCAGAACCAAAGCTCAAATAAAAATAAAATAATTTTCATTCATTCACTCATTTATTGTCAACATTTATTGAGCACCTATTACAACAATTTCATCGCATGGAAGACAGCATCGTTTCTGACACTGTTGTTTCATGTATCTCTTAGAAAAACGCTGCTATTAGACATCTAACACTATTTATCTTGAGGTGATAAAATATCAAAAGCCGTGTCTCAAGATCGATGAAATGCGGTTAAAATGATGAATAGAAACTCTAGGGGGACCTCATATCGATAGACTCGAGACTGGCACATCTGGAGATCCGTATTTATCCGGCTTCCCCTTCCAGATCACGCGAGGTTTGGGATATTTTGCTCACCAGGCCTCAGCCAGGTAACTGAATCCAGCCAACCCTGGCCCATAGTCTCGGAATCCGACTCGGCTCCCAGTCCCCGCCTCGGCGTTCTGAGACCCCCAGGCTGGGGTTCCAGAGGGCTGTGAGGTTGCGAATGACTGCTGCCAAACCGGAAGGAACTCTGCGGTTCTCTGCCACAGTGGGATTGTTGCAGGCACGCGGCTCAGACTTCACTGAGGTTGGGAGATGCTCCTGTCCACGCTGCCTCATCCCGTGCTGGAGCACTGCACCTCTATTTTTTTTTTTAGGGTACACGCCACATAACATAAAACTAAAAATTTTAAAGAGTAGAATTCAGTGGCATTTAGTACAATGTTATGCAACCATCACTCCTATCTAGCCCAAAACATTTTCGTCAACTGCATAGGAGGCCCCATTAAGCATACCTGTTAAACTCTTCTTGCCTCCAACTCCTGGCAACTACAAAACTCCTTTTGTCTCTATGGATTTACCTATTCTGAATATTTCTTATAAATGGGATCATACAATATGTGACCTTCCGTGTCTGGCTTCTTTCACCAAGTGTAGTGTTTTGGGGGTTCATTCCTGCTGCAGCATGTATCAGTACCTCATTTCATTTTATGGCTGAATCATATTCCATTGTATGAATATACTGGAAATTGCTCGTCTACTCATCCAGTGATGAACATCGAGTTGTTTTTTGGCTTAAAATTATTCATAGTGTTCTCATATAAATATAAATATGTAATTATTATTTTTATCCATATTTATTACATTATTTATATTTTTATATTTTTATTGTATTATAATAATTTTATAATATTATACTATGATAATATAACAGACTGACTCCTATGGTCTGTCAGTGTGCTCTTCCACTGGCGTGCTCCCTTCCGCTGGGGTGCCCCGCTCCACGTCCAGTTCCTCCGATGAGTTCCTCTGGACATAGAGCCGCTTGTGTGTCTGCCTGCTAGGGTCTCAGGGTTTTCATAGGCAAAGGATGGGGGCGTGGCGGGACAGGGTGGTCTTGGGATATGCAACATTTGGGCGTGAAGGAAGGAGTGCCTGTCCTCACCTAGGTCCAGTGGGCACAGGCCCAGGGGAGGGCCCTTACCAGGGACCCGCCTTTGTCTACCCAACACTTCCCTGCCCCTCTTCTCTATCATTGCGTTTCAGTTACCTTTGCCTTGGTTCAGCACTCACTTGGTTGCTGTAAAACTTTCTTACTGTTTCCCAGAGTTCCCACGAAGTCAATTCTGGCAGCTTTTGCTTATTTTTCTGTGTTTCTATATAGGAATGGGCCCTGCGAGCTCACTACTGTGCCACTTTTGCTATTATCTTTTGTTGTTGTTGTTGTTCAATTTGTTTTGTTTTAGGGCAGGATGGTCAAATGCTTATGATGTGCCAATTTCCTGCCTCCATATATCTCCTGTGCCTGGTACGCAGTGCCCATGCCCGGCATCCTCACTTTCTGGGCATCTGTCTGTCAACATTTCTCTGAAGCTCGCTAGCTCTACCACTCAGCTGTCCCCCTGAAAATTTTCTCCACCTTCCCCCGCAGCTGTAGGAAGCTCACCTTCCTCCTTACCCTTCCTCAACCCCACTCCTGTTCTCTCCCTTTTTCCCCCTTCCACCCCCATTTCCCCGACTTCTGCTGGGGGTGGGAGGGATAACCGATTCACAGACATTCCCCTCCCCCTCGCCGCTTCTCGGGAGATTGCTGGTTCGCAGTCCTACGCTCCACTCGCCAGCAGGCTCCGCTGTGGTGTGAGCACCTCCGGGAGCGCAAAGGCGTCCGCTTTGAGGCACTGGGCCTCGGGCCAGGCAGAGGCTATCTCCGGGACCCTTTTATGGAGATCTGCTGTTAAAGCCCACGCGTGTTTCCCGAGCACACTGAGCACACGCATACTGGGCCTGACGACTCCAGGGAGGGACCTGCTCCGGAACCGCGGACTAGACCCGGGTCCCAGAACTACCCGTGGAGGAGGCCGCAGTAACCTCCGAAGCAGGCTGAGAGACTCGGGTGGGCTTTCTCCAGTGAAAAAAAAGAAGCCAGAGGGGAAGGGTAGATGGAGCAGGAAAGAAGGACGGATTCTAAGCATGGCTGTTCGAGGCCCTGAGGCTGCAGAACTGACTGCGGGACTGCGGTTTGGAGGCGGGGACTTTCCAAAACCACGGACGAAAGAAACCTCCCAACCAACCGATTAAGCACGGGGGCTGTGGAGCAGAAGGGCAATAAAAGGCCCTGCCCACCGAAACCTGTAAAAGTTTCCTTTGTAAGCACGCGTCACGAGCGCGGGTGACGAGGCCCAGGCGCGCCCGGGTGCGGCGACCTCGGAGCCCGCGGGACGGGAGAGCAGCCCTTCCTTTGGCCGGGCCTCCAGCACCAAAACTGGCTGGGATCCTTCCTGGGGCCCACGCCAGTGCCACACCCCAAGTACTCTGGATGCAGGCCAGGTGGGAGGGTCTTCACCTCCACCTCCTTCCAGATCTCACGTGTCTCATTTACGTAATAAAGTTCAGGAAATAGCAGAAAACAACTTTTTTTTTTTTTTTTTTTTTTTTGAGACGGAGTCTTTCTCTGTCGCCCAGGCTGGAGTGCAGTGGTGCGATCTCGGCTCACTGCAACCTCCGCCTCCCGGGTGCAAGCGATTCTCCTGCCTCAGCCTCCTCAGTAGCTGAGATTACAGGCGCCCGCCACAACACCTTTTTAGTAGAGACGGATTTTCACCATTTTGGCCAGGCTGATCTCGAACTCCTGACCTCAAGTGGTCCGCCCTCCTCGACCTCCCAAAGTGTTGGGATTACAGGCCTTAGCCACCGTGCCGGTCCAGAAAAGCACATTTAAAAACTACAGATTGATATCCTTGTTGGGCATTGATGCTAAAATCCTTAACAAAATACTAGCTAACAGAATCCAACAACATATCAAAAAATAATCCACCATGACATGATCAAGTGGGTTTCATACCAGGAATGTAGGGATGATTTAACATATGTGATACACCACGAAAACAGAATTAAAAACAAAACATCACATGATCATCTCAATAGATGCAGAAAAAGCATTTGACAAAATTCAGCATCCTGTTATGATTAAAACTCTCAGCAAAATTGGCATACAAGGGACATACCTTAATGTAATAAAAGCCATCTATGAAAACCCACAGCCAACATAATACTGAATGGGAAAAGTTGAAAGCATTTCCTCTGAAAACTGGAACAAGGATGCCCACTCTCACCACTCCTCTTCAACATAGTACTGGAAGTTCTAGCCAGAGCAATCAGATGAGAGAGAAAAATAAAAAGGGTATCCAAATCAGTAAAAAGGAAGTCAAACTGTCACTGTTTGCTGATGATATGATCGTTTACCTTGAAAACCCTAAGGACTCCTCCAGAAAGCTACTAGAATTGATAAAAGAATTCAGCAAAGTTTCTGGATACAAGATTAGTGTATACAAATCAGTAGCTCTTCTATACACAAACAGCGACCAAGCAGAAAATCAAATCAAGAACTTAACCCCTTTTACAGTAGCGGCAAAAAAAAAAAAAAAAAAATCAAATCAAATCAAATACTTAGGAATATGCCTTACCAGGGAGTCAAAAGACCTCTACAAGAAAAACTACAAAACACTGCTGAAACAAATAATAGACAACATACAAATGGAAACATATCCCATGCTCATGGATGAGCAGAATCAATATTGTGAAAATGACCATACCGCCAAAAAAATCTACAAATTCAATGCAATCCCCATCAAAATACCACCATCATTCTTCACAGAATTAGAAAAAACAATTCTAAAATTCATATGAAACCAAAAAAGAGCCTGCACAGCCAAAGTAAGACTAAGCAAAAAGAACAAATGTGGAGGCATCATGCTACCTGCTTTCAAACTATACTATAAAGGCACAGTCACCAAAACAGCATGTACTAGTATAAAAATAGGCACATAGACTGATGGAACAGAACAGAGAACTCAGAAATAAACCCAAATACTTACAGCCAACTGATCTTTGACACAGCGAACAAAAATATAAAACGGGGAAAGGACACCCTTTTAAACAAATGTTGCTGGGATAATTGGCTAGCCACATAATAGGAGAATGAAACTGGATCCTCATCTCTCACCTTATACAAAAATCAACTCAAGATGGATTAAGGACTTAAACCTAAGACCTGAAACTATAAAAATTCTAGACGATAACATTGGAAAAACCCTTCTAGACATTGACTAGGCAAGGATTTCATGACCAAGAACCAAAATGCAAATGCAATAAAATCAAAGGTACGTAGCTGGGACCCAGTTAAACTAAAGAGTTTTTCCACAGCAAAAGGAACAGTCAGCAGAGTAAATAGACAACCCACAGAGTGGGAGAAAACCTTCACAATCTATGCGTCTGACAAAGGACTGATATCCAGAATCTACAATGAACTCAAACAAATCTGTAAGAAAAAAAAACAAACAATTTCATCAAAAAGTGGGCTAAGGACATGAAAAGACAATTCTCAAAAGAAGATATACAACTGACCAACAAACATGAAAAAATGCTCAACATCACTAATGATCAGAGAAATGCAAATCAAAACCACAATGCTATACTCCTGCAAGAATGGCCATAATCAAAAAATCAAAAAACAGTAGATGTTGGCATGGGTGTGGTGAGCAGGGAACACCTTTACACCACTGGTGGGAATGTAAACAAGTACAGCTACTATGGAAAACAGTGTGGAGATTCCTTAAAGAACTAAAAGTAGAACTACCATTTGATCCAGCAATCCCACTACTGGGTTTCTACCCAAAGGAAAAGGAATCATTATTTGGAAAAGATACTTGCATACGCATGTTTATAGCAGCACAATTCACAATAGCAAAATCGTGCAACTAACCCAAAAGCCCATCAATCAATGAGTGTATAAAGAAACTGTGGTATATATATATATATATAATGGAATACTACACAGCCATGAAAAGGAATGAATTAACAGCATTTGCAGTGGCCTGGATGAGAATGGAGACTACTATTCTAAGTGAACTACCTCAGGAATGGAAAACCAAGCATTGTATGTTCTCACTGATATGTGGGAGCTAAGCTATGAGAATGCAAAGGCATAAGAATGATACAATGGACTTTGGAGACTTACGGGGAAGAGATGGAGGGGGCGAGGGATAAAAGACTACAAATATGGTTCAGTGTATCCTACTCAGGTGAAGGGTGAACCCATATCTCACAAGTCACCACTAAAGAACTTACTCATGTAACCAAACACCACCTGTACCCCAATAACTTATGAAAAATAAAAAAATAAATAAATGGGCAGCATTTGCTATCCTATGAAATTGGAAAAAATAGAACAAAATAAATGGATACATCATCATTTCCCTTTTCCACTATTTGAACTGTTCTTTGAGTGAGTTGTCTTACAACATTTCAGTAGTTTTTTCTGAATTCTCAACCGTCTCTCAAATAGCTAACATCATAATTGACTGTTGCTACAATTCTATCTATAGACTGTTTGGTCTTAGAGAACTATTTCTCTAGGGAATAGAAGCCAAAGAACAGATCAGAGAACATTGCTGTTACATATTCTGTCTATGGATTACTATTTGAGATTAAGTTGTTACCTCCATTAATATCTTTAAGGCATTTCTGAAGAAATTGAAAATAAGCATTGCGAAATCCCTGTCTTGATTCAGAAGGATAATGTAGCTGCCCCAGAGCCTGTTTGCATTCATTACTAAAAAAAGATGTATGAAATCTGGAAGGAAGTAATGCGCAGAGCTCTAACTCTGTAGGTAATATTCTCATTCCTTACTTCATTCAAGAAATAATCAGTGGCCACCTACTGTGTGCCAGATATTGTGCTAGGTAATAACAGTAAAGGACTAAACGTCTATCTCAAAGGGAAGATAAAACAAAAGTATGAAGTACTGGTGTTGTTTATAAACTTTTCAATGTTCTGTTCTAGATGCTACCTTCTGAGAGAGTCTTCCCCATGGCATGGAGAAAAATTTATTAAGACTAAATCCCTTCTGTTCCCCTAACTAAGAAGAGCCTTCGTGATTTGGTAGAGTGCCAAAAAGATTTAAAAAACAAATTGGGCTGGATGCGGTGGTTCACGCCTGCAATCCCAGCACTTTGGAAGGCAGAAGCGGGTGGATCACATGAGGTCAGGAGTTCGAGATCAGCCTGACTAATATGGTGAAACCCCATCTCTTCTAAAAATACAAAAATTAGCTGGGCGTGGGGGCACTTACCTGTAATCTCAGCTACCCCAGAAGCTGAGGCAGGAGACTCGCTTGAACCTGGGAGGTGGAGGTTGCAGTGAGCAGATTTTGCAGCATTGCACTCCAGCCTAGGTAACAAGAGTGAAACTCCATCTCAAAAAAAAAAAAAAAAAAAAAAAAAAAAAAAAAAAAAAAATTGAATAGCTCTACCCAGAAAAAGCTGGGAATAAGTATCTTCTCATAACTGGAGGTGGGGAGAAAGAGAAATAGTACTCTCCCAATTATAAATCATTTAATAAAATAATTTTCGATGTTAATGACTTAAGTGAGAAAACTGTTGATACAGATGAGATTTGAAGTTAGCAGCCCAGGAATTAAATTTTAGGATCCTTCTACCTGTCAACCTCTACGTCATCAAGACTGATTAACTGCTATCTTCTTTTAAAGCTAACATTAAAGCTAATTTAACATGTGGAATGTTTTTATTAATTACCATACTTTCAAGCTTTAGATAGGAATAGTAAAGCAAAACAGATTTGACCTCTAAATCAAAGACTTTATGGATGGGGAACTGAAGAAATAAGTATTACAAAGCTGAATAATAATCAAAAAAAGTGTTTTCTAAGGACCATTGAAATGAGAGTCATGAAAAGAGCAAGCAGAGAAATGGAATGTATTTCACGTTGTTAGGGAAAATACCTCAAGGAAGTAGTTTACAGGCAAGTGAGGTTGTCCACTGGGTACTACCACAGGACCAAAGACGAATACTTCAAGAAAGTGCAGTCAGAAAGTGACCCAGTGTGTCCGGAATTGGTGGGTTCTTGGTCTCACTGACTTCAAGAATGAAGCCGCGGACCCTCGCGGTGAGTGTTACAGCTCTTAAGGTGGTGCGTCTGGAGTCTGTCCCTTCTGATGTTCAGATGTGTTCGGAGTTTCTTCCTTCTGGTGGGTTCGTGGTCTCGTTGGCTCAGGAGTGAAGCTGCAGACCTTCGCCGTGAGTGTTACAGCTCTTAAGATGACGCGTCTGGAGTCTCTCCCTTCTGATGTTCAGATGTGTTCGGAGCTTCTTCTTTCTGGTGGGTTCCTGGTCTCGCTGGCTCAGGAGTGAAGCTGCAGACCTTCGCGGTGAATGTTACAGCTCTTAACGCAGCGCGTCTGGAGTTGTTTGTTCCTCTCCATGGGCTCGTGGTCTCGCTGGGCTCAGGAGTGAAGCTGCAGATCTTCGCACTGAGTGTTACAGCTCATAAAAGCGGCGTGGACCCAAAGAGTGAGCAGTAGCAAGATTTATTGCAAAGAGTGAAAGAACAAAACTTCCACGGTGCAGAAGGGGACCCGAGTGGGTTGCCAATGCTGCCTCCGGCAGCCTGCTTTTATTCTCTTATCTGGCCCCACCCACATCCTGCTGATTGGTAGAGCCCAGTGGCCTGTTTTGTCAGGGCGCTGATTGGTGCGTTTACAATCCCTGAACTAGATACAAAGGTTCTCCACGTCCCCACCAGACTCAGGAGCCCAGCTGGCTTCACCTAGTGGATCCTGCACCAGGGCTGCAGGTGGAGCTGCCTGCCAGTCCTGCGCCGTGCGCTCGCATTCGTCAGCCCTTGGGTGGTCGTTGGGACTGGGCGCCGTGGAGCAGGGGGTGGTGCTCGTCGGGGAGGCTCGGGCAGCACAGGAGCCCATGGAGTGGGTGGGAGGCTCAGGCATGGCGGGCTGCAGGTCCCAAGCCCTGCCCCGCGGGAAGGCAGCTAAGGCCCGGCGAGAAATCGAGCACAGCGCCGGTGGGCCGGCACTGCTGGGGGATCCAGTACACTCTCCGCAGCCACTGGCCCGGGTGCTAAGTCCCTCATTCCTCGGGGCCAGCGGGGCTGGCTGGCTGCTCTGAGTGCGGGGCCGCCAAGCCCACGCCCACCCGGAACTCCAGCTGGCCCGCAAGCGCCGCACGCAGCCCCGGTTCCCGCTCGCGCCTCTCCCTCCACACCTCCCTGCAAGCTGAGGGAGTGGGCTCCAGCCTTGGCCAGCCCAGAAAGGGGCTCCCACAGTGCAGGTGGGGGCTGAAGGGCTCCTCAAATGCCGCCAAAGTGGGAGCCCAGGCAGGGGAGGTGCAAGCGAGGGCTCTGAGGACTGCCAGCATGCTGTCACCTCTCACCAGGGTTGCAAGAGGCCAATCTGCTTGGAGGCAAATTTGCATAATACACAGATGAGCAGAATGAACAACCTCCATCCCAGTCATATATAAAGTAGGCCAGTATTATATAAAATAGAAAAGAAAGAATGTGATCTCAGAGTTTCAGTTGGAAAGTAGTATTAATATTATTCCAGGAAATGGGGATGGTGAGGGTAGGGTTCACTGAAATGCATAACTTCTGGGCAAGGCCAAAAAAAAAAAAATCTTTAGGTGCCTATAAGCAAATTAGATTGATTTTTCTTTCTTTCTTTTTCTCTTGTACAAGAAAGGGTTCCCTTAGTATTGGAAAGGGTATGGATAAACATTGCTGAGGGGAAGTATATTTGTATAACATCTATGGATAAAAATTAGCAATATCTATGAAGAGTTTAAAGACTCTTTGCCTTTAAATTTGACTCAGCAACTCTACCTCTAGAAATTTATTCTGCAGATATATTTCCACATGTGCAAAATGGCCTATTTATAGGAATGGTCACTGAAGCTTTGTAATAACAAAAGATATGAAACAACAATCATAAATGAGTAGGGATTTGAATAAATTTTGAGGCTTTCCTACAACAAATAACATATAGCTATTAAAAGAAATTCAGCAGATCTAGTAATATATAATGATTTTCAAGATATATTGTCAAGTGAAAAAAAAGATTTGGAGTATGTAAAATACTCCAAATTAAATTTTAGAAATATTCGTATATGTGTTGTATACACATAAAATATTTCTGTAAAGACACACAAGAAGTTGTTGACGGTTGCCTGAGGGTAGTGTGTGAAGGAAGATTTACTTCGTGCTAAATACAATTTGCTACCAGTTTTTGATCCAAGAGTATGAATTATCTAATAAAAAATAAAATAATAAAATAAACACTGGTAGAATGAAGTTTCTCTAGAACTGGCTACATTCTATTTAGTAACAATTGTGTAACTGTCAAATTGCACTAACAGGAAAAGAAAAAAGAACACACCAGGATAAATGAGTTAGTCTTAGTTTCCTCATTTATAAAATGGGTACAAGGGTGACTACTTTGTAGTGTTGTTGTTTAGAGTAGACATAAAAAGTATAAACTACCATAGTGTCAGATACACAGTAGTTATTTATTACCTACCAGTACACACACACGCACGCACGCATGCACACATGCACACAGTCCTCTGGTTCAGGCTTCCAGTTTCCCCAAGCAATTCCCAGACCTAGCTGGGCTTGAAGCAGAAAGAATTAGGCATAACCAGAGCATCTTCTCACCATCACAGGATTTAGCATTAACCGTATGTCCATCTCTTCGACTTCCTAACATTACCTGTTAAGGTACTATACTGGGTGTTTGGATACAATGATGAGCAATACAAAACTCCAATACCTTAAAAAATATTATGCAGTTTGTACATGGATGTATTTACATTCAAACAATACAAAATAATGTTTCTCCTCACTACTAATCCTTTCCCTAGAGGTCACTGGTGATATCAGTCCCTAAGAAAAATGATAAAAAATTATAAATTCAAAACTAAATATAGGCCTTAAAAGGGAGTGATACAGCTGAGGTGTCCTAATGGTTAAATGGAAGTTTACCTTCAACTTCAAGGGAAGTTTACCTTGATCTCTGGTAATCCTATAATCCAGTGCTGTCCAAAAGAACTATCTACAATGATGGAGGTGTGCTATATCTACAGTGTCCAACACAGTAGCCATATGTAGCTATTTAATATTTGCAATATCTTTAATGTGACTGAAGAACTGAATTTTATTAAATTTAAAAAGCCGCATGTTCCTTGTGACTATCATATTGGACAGTATAGCTGTGGAATAAAGATGTGTGGAATAAAGATGTTCAGAATAAAATAGATAGGCTATAGCAGAGAGGAGATACAGAAAAAGAGAACATCTTGGGCTTCCTATAGCACTGCAGTTTCCAGTTGTAACTTTTACCTGCATTTCTGTCCTCTTTCTGCTATAATCTACCTACAGTTGATTTCTATTACTTACAATCTAAGATTTTGTTTTAGTTTACTAGGGCTTCCCTACAAACACCATGGTACATGGTATACCACAGACAGGGCGGCTCAAACAATAGTTGTTTTTTCATAGTCTGGAGGCTGGAAGTACAAGATCAAGATGTTGATGTTGACAGATTTGGTTTCTCCTGAGGCCTCTCTCATTGGCTTGTAGATGGCCCCTTCCCACTGTGTCCTTACATGGCCTTTTCTCTGTGCCCATGCACCTTTGGTGTGTCTTCCTCTTGTAAAGACTCCAGTTCTACTGGATTAGGGCTCCACCCTTACAACCTCTTGTAGCCTCAATTACCTCTTTAAAGGCCCGATCTGTAAATATTGCCACATTGGAGGTTAGCGCTTCAACATGTAAATCTTGGGGGAACACAATTCAGTTCATAGCAGATTCCTAATTAATACATCTAATTGATTTGTTTTTTTTTTTTTTTAAGAGTTGGAGTCTCGCTCTGTCGCCCAGGCTGGAGTGCAGTGGCGCAATCTCAGCTCACTGCAACCTCTGCCTCCCGGCTCCCAGCAATTCTTCTGCCTCAGCCTCCCGAGTAGCTGGGATTACAGGCGTCTGCCACCACACCCAGCTAATTTTTGTATTTTTAGTAGAGATGGGGTTTCACCATATTGGCCAGGCTGCATCTAATTCATTTATCTGTATCTTATTCTTACCACAATTTAAAAACCTAATTAGATGAAGAAACTCTGGTAAAAATATGTATTTATAGGAGCCCATAGCTTGTGGAAAGGTCTAGTTTCAACAAAATTTTTGGTGATACTTATTTGGGAATATAATTCTCTTGACAAGATGTCTAGTGGAAGTATCAATCATACTTGTGGTTTGTCTCTTTAAGATTGTACCTACTACGTATAACCTCATATGTTCTCATTTATGTTGCAAATAATTCCCACATTTTTGATAAGGAATGTGTGTACATAGCAATTTGCTAGTAACTGTTTAATAACAAACTGCAAAAAATAAATATGTACATGTTTATTATAAATTTTACTGACATAAAGGATATGTAATACAAAACTTACAAATAATAATAAAATATATAATATTCTCTATTCTGTATAATGAACTTATTCTCATACAATGTTCTCACTGATTTAGCCAAACTCTTGTATCTTTAGTTAACCTATGGTTGCAATTAACAAATGAGAGTAACTCTCAAATGAATATCAATTGACATTTTCATTTATATTGACGAGTAAGATGAGAGTATAACAATAGAATTGAATGAAGTTGAATCTTGTTAACAATATCAGTTAACCTCTTTGCTGAGTTTAAAACTGTTTTCAAACACTTAAAGAATATTCCTCAATATTTTGTGCTATTCAAATGTAACAGCTACAAACATTTTAGAGCTTAACCTACAGTATTAACCGTGATAACATTTTCCCCCATCTTTTTAAGGCCGGTTATTAAGCACATCCATCTTTTTAAAGTAGAAAATCAACAAAACAATAACTCAAGCTCTGATTTAAGTTTTTTCAATATCCATGGTACAAATACTCCACCCATGGTCTATTTCATATCATATCAATGATATGATGTCATATCAGGGTGACATCACCAAATACGGAATCAAGAAGTAGCACACCAGTATGTAGTAATTCCATTATAGAAATACAGTAGACTTAACCTCAAAAAGTATAGATAATAGTAAAATAAATAGAAGTAATGATATTATTTATAACCTTTCTTTTTAATATGATTTACTTAATTGTAACTTTATCCTTTAATTTTTAATAATGGATGTGCTTAATAACTGGCTTGCCTCATTCTTGAATATTTAACAATTGGGTCTCTCTAGCTGGTCTGACACAGTTTCAGCACACCACTGTATATGTATGGGGATGTGTATGTGTGTGTGTTTGCCTGTGTGTGCACATCCCCAACTCAATACCATACTAGAGAGTTAGGATAGCGAATGGAAGAAGGTAGAATATAACAGGGGGCAAGCCAATAGTTGACATTAAGAAATTTTTAAATCTGAGCTGAATGATTAAAGCAAAGAAAAGCAAAGAAGTATCATTCAAACCTCCAGAGCTGAGCCAAGACACCCAAGCTAAGCTGCCACTGGATGTTTTTAAGAATTGGGCTCAATGGGAAAGAAAAGTAAATGGAAATGGCTGGACAATGTGGCTCATACCTGTAATCTCAGCGCTTTGGGAGGCCAAGGTGGGCGGACTGCTTGAGCTCAGGAGTTTGAGACTAGCCTGGGCAACATGACAAAACCCCATCTCTACAAAAAATATAAAAATTTGTTGGGCAGATGCACATCCCCAACTCAATACCATACTAGAGAGTGACTATAACGAATGGGAGAAGGTAGGATATAACAGAGGGCAAGGCAATAGTTGACATTAAGAAATTAGGCGTTGTTTTTAATCTGAGCTGAATGATTAAAACAAAGAAGTATTATTCAAACCTCTGAGGCTGAGGTGGGAGAATTGCTTGAACCCGGGAGGCAGAGGTTGCAGTGAGCCAAGATCACCCCACTGCACTCCAGCCTGGGTGACAGAGGGAGACCCTGACTCAAAAAAAAGAAAAAAAAAAAGTAGTAAAACAGAACCAAGACAGTCAGTAATATTTTTAAAGTAAACTTGATTTTTACAATAGTTTTAGATTTACAGAACTATTAGAATATAGTCTAGCGAGTTCTCATTAACTCTGTACCCAGTTTCCCCTTTATGAATATATTACATTAGCAAGGTATATTTATTGCAATTAATGAACCAATATCAAGACATTACCATAACTGAAAGTCCATGTTTTAATCAAATTTCCTTAGTTTTTGCATAAATTCCCTTTTGCAAACCAAGAACCCATCCAGAATATCATATAACATTTCATCATCATGTCTTCTCAGGCCCCTCTTGGTTATGACAGCTTTTCAGTTGTTCCTTGCTTTGGTCATCTTGACAGTTTGAGAAGAATGGGTCAGGTATTTTTTAAATATCTATCTTTTGGGATTTGTTAGATGTCTTTGTCATTATTAGACAGGGATAATGTTTTTTTGGGGAAGAAGACTACAGAGGTTAAGGGCGATTTTCAGCCAAGCGCGGTGGCTTACGCCTGTAATCCCAGCACTTTGGGGGGATGAGGAGAGTGGACCACCCAAGGTCAGGAGTTCGACACCAGCCTGGTCAAAGTGGTGAAACCCTGTCTCTACTAAAAATACAAAAATTAGCTGGGCATGGTGGCGGGCGCCTGTAATCCCAGCTACTCGGGAGGCTGAGGCAGGGGAATCGCTTGAACCCAGGAGGTGGATGTTGCAGTGAGCCAAAATCACTCCATTGCACTCCAGCCTGGGTGACAAGAGCAAGACTCCATCTAAAAAAAAAAAAAGGATGACTAGATGATTTTCATCGTATCATATCAAGAGAACATACTGTTGATATGATTTATTACTGTTTATGTTGACCCTGATCACTCTGCTGAGGTAATTTGTGCTTGTCAGGCTTTTCCATCACAAGTTACTCTTTTATTTCCCTTTTTCATACTATACTCTTTGGAAGAAAGTCACTATGTGTGGCCTGAACTGAAACAGTGAGGAGTTATGCTTTATCTCCTTTAGGTTGGCATATCTACATAAATCATTTGGAGTTTTTCTGCATGGAAGATTGTTTCTTTGCCCCCATTTATTTATTTATTCACTTATTTACTTATATTAGTGTAGACTCATGGCTATTTATTTTATACTTTGTGTTACAATTCAATACTGCTTTATTTGTTTCCCCAAAGTGTTCCAGATTTGGCGTCAGGAGTTCTTGGTATTGGCTCTTTCAGTACATCTATTTGACACAGCCCCATCTTTGTGGGCTTGTTTTTGTTGTTAGCACTTCTTTCCTTTCTGGCACTACAAAATGTTACAGGCTCATCATGTATATTTCCTGCCCTAGTCCTAGAAACACCAATTTTTCTAAGAAGCCCTGTTTCCCTTTATTGCAGAGTGCTATTACAAACCATGAACTGGATGCCAGATGTGCTTGTTACTACTGGGGTACTGTTGCTTCTAGGCCTTCTCATTTGTCAATGGAAGGGAACGTTTGTGTATACTAATCATGTATGTACACATATCTATATGTGTCTATATGTAGCCATGTGTACGTGTATGTAGCCATGTGTATCTACATTAAGCCAAATATGATTTAATATTAATATATCCAACTGTAATCCATTACCACAGAGATTATTTTAGCTCCCTCCCTTTGATTAGGCATAAACTCTCACTCCAGCAGAGAGAAACCAGCCTCACTACCCACAATTTACCATAATTTACTTAACTGCTCAATTCCAATACACACGTATAGAAGTATTAGAATTGTTAACCCATATCCCTGTGAAAAACAAGAGTGTGGCGTTTATAAACAGTTTTTCATTTAGTATTACAGACTCCACTAATTTCCAAAAGTTACTTAGGTCTGCACTTCTTTTACCACCACCTGCAGTGAGGTTGTTTCACACATTTGTAATACAGTTAGATTATTTTGTCATATTCTACACTCTATCCTTGATATAGTTTGGATCTGTGTCCCTAAACAAATCTCATGTTCAATCATAATCCCCAATGTTGGAGGTGCGTCCTTGTGGGTCTGGTGATTGGATCATGGGGGTGGTTTCTAATGGTTTAGCACCATCCTCCTAGTGCTATTCTTGTGATAGAGTTCACACGAGATCTGGTTGTGTAGGTGTGTAGCCCGTCTACCTTCTCTCTTCCTCCTGCTCTGGCCATGTAAGACATGCCTGCTTGCTCTTTGCCTTCCACCATGATTGAAAGTTTCCTGAGGCCTCCCCAGAAGCTGTCATGCTTTCTGTACTGCCAGTGGAACTGTGAGCCAATTAAACCTCTTTTCTTTATAAATTTACCCAGTCACAGGTGTTTATTCATAACAGTGCAAGAACAGACTAATACAATCCTGGAATTTTCTGACATTCTAAATGATTTTTAAAAATATGTATTTACTTATTGTAATAGTTATTTTAGGTTCAAGGGTACATGTGCAGACTTGTTATATAGATGAACTGTGTGTTAGAAGGGTTTGGTGTACAGAAAATTTCATCACTGGGCAATAAGCATAATACCCAACAGGTATTTTTTCTGATCCTCTCCCTCCTCCCACCCTCCGCCCTCAAGTAGGCACCAGTGTCTGTTGTACCCCTCCTAGTATCCATGTGTTCTCATCCTTTAGCTCCCAATTATAAGTAAGAACATGTGGTATTTTGGTTTTCTGTTCCTGTGTTAGTTTGCTTAGCATAATGACCTCCAGCTCCATTTATGTTGCTGTAAAGGACATGATCTCATTCCTTTTTATGTCTGCATAGTATTATGTGGTGTATATGTATCACATTTCCTTTATCTAATCTACCTTTGATGGGCATTTAGGTTGATTCCCATCTTTGCTACTGTGAATAGTGCTGCAATGAACATTTGTGTGCATGTATCTTTATGGTAGAATGATGTCAGCTTTGTCAAATATCCAGTGGTTGTGGCCTTATTTCTGGGCTCTCTATTCTGTTCCATTGGTCCATGTGCCTGTTTTTGTGCCAGTACCATGCTGTTTTGGTTACTGTAGCCCCGTAGCATAGTTTGAAGTTGGGTAACGTGATGCCTCCAGCTTTGTTCTTTTTGCTTAAGATTGCCTTGGCTATAAGGGTCTTTTTTGGTTTCATATGGATTTTAAAACAGTTTTTTTATTTTTTTAGGTTTTGTGACTAATGGCATTGGTAGTTTGTTAGGAATAACAATGCATCTGTAAATTGCTTTGGGCGCTATGGCCATATTAATGATATTGATTTTTCTTATCCATGAGAATAAAATGTTTTTCCATTTGTTTGCATCATCTCATATTTCTTTGAGCAGTGTTATATAATTCCTGTTGTAGAGATCTTCCACATCCCTGGCTAGCTGTATTTCTAGGTATTTTGTTCTTTTTATAACAATTGTGGTGGGATAGTGTTCCTGATTTTGCTATCAGCTTGAAAGCTATCGGGGTATAGGAATGAAACTGACTTTTGTATGTTGACTTTGTATGCTGAAACTTTGCTGAAGATGTGAATCAGATTAATGTGCTTTGGGGCAGAGACTATGGGGTTTTCTAGGTATAGAATCATGTCATTTGAAACAGGGATAGTTTGACTCCCTCTCTTCCTATTTGGATGCCTTTTATTTCTTTCTCTTGCCTAATTGCTGCAGCCAAGACTTCCAATACTATGTCAAATAGGAGTGGTGAGAGAGAGCATTCTTGTTTGTGCCAGTTTTCTTTTCTTTCTTCTTTATTTTTTTTTTATTTTTTATTTTTTATTTTTATTTTTTTTTTGCTCTTGTTGCCCAGGCTGTAGTGCAATGGCACAATCTCAGCGCACTGCAACCTCTGCCTCCTGGATTCAAGCGATTCTCCTGCCTCAGCCTCCCGAGCAGCTGGGATTACAGGCATGCACCATCACGCCCGCTAATTTTGTATTTTTAGTAGAGACAGGGTTTCTCCATGTTGGTCAGGCTGGTCTCGAGCTCCCAATCTCAGGTGATCCGCCTGCCTCGGCCTCCCAAAGTGCTAGAATTACAGGCCTGAGCCACCACGCCTGGCCTCTTTCTTTTATCTTTTCTTTTTTTTTTTTTTGGTCAGGGTTTCACTCTTACCCAGGCTTGAGTGCAGTAGTGTGATCATAGCTCACTGCAGCCTTGAGCTCCCAGGCTCAGGTGATCCTCCCATTTCAGCCTCCCGAGTAGCTGGGACCACAGGTGTGTGCCATCACGCCTGGCTAATTTTTCTTATTTTTTTGTAAAGACAGGGTTTCCCTATGTTGACCAGGCTGGTCTCAAACTCCTGGGCTCAAGTGGTCTGCCTGCCTTTGCTTCCCAAAGTGCTGAGATTACAGGCATGAGCCATCGTGTCTGGCTGTTCTAGTTTTCAAGGGAAATGCTTCCAACTTTTGCCCATTCAGTATGATGTTGTCTGTGGATTTGTCATACATGGCTCTAATTATTTTCAGGTATGTTTCTTCAATGCATAGTTTATCGAGAGTTTTTAACATGAAGGGATGCTGAATTTTATCAAAAGCCTTTTCTGCATGTATTGGAATTATCATGTGGTTTTCATTTTTAGTTCTGTTTGTGTAATGAATCACACAAACATATGTTTTGTCTATGTTAAACCAATCTTGCATCCCAGGGATAAAGCCTGCTTGATAGTGGTGGATTAGCTTTACACTGTGCTGCTGGATTCAGTTGCTAGTATTTTGTTGAGGAGTTTTGCATCTATGTGCATCAAGGATAATGGCCTGAAGTTTTCTTTTTTTGTTTTGTCTCTGCCAGGTTTCGTTATCAGGATGATGCTGGCCTCACAGAAGGAGTTGGGGAGGAGTCCCTCTTCCTCAATTTTTTGGAATAGCTTCATTATTAATGGCACCAGCTATTCTGTCTACATCTGGTAGAATTTGGCTGTGAATCTGTGTAGTCCTGGGCTTTTTATGTTTAGTAGATGATATGGTTTATACCTGTGAACCAACCCAAATCTCATGTTCAATTTTAATCCCCAGTGTTGGAGGTGGGGACTTGTGGGAGGTGATTAGATCATGGGGGTGGTTTCTAATGGTTTAGCACCATCCCACTACTGCTGTTCTCGTGATAGAATTCTCACAAATCTGGTTGTTTAAAAGTATGTAGCACCTCCCCTCTCTCTCTCTTCCCCCTGCTCTGGCCATGTAAGACATACATGCTTTCCCTTTGCCTTCTGCAATGATTAAAAGTTCCCTGAGGCCTTCCCAGAAGCTGTCATGCTTCCTGTACAGCTTGCAGAACTGTTAACCAATTAAACCTCTTTTCTTTATAGTTACCCAATCTCAGGTATTTCTTTATAGCAACATAAGAATGCATTAATACAGTTGGCTTTTTACTACTGATTTAACTTTGGAACTCATTGTTTGTTTGTTTAGGGATTCAGTTTCTTCCTGGTTTATGTGTCTTGGAATTTATCCATTTCTTCTAAATTTTCTTTTCTTTTTTCTTTCTTTTTTTTTTTTTTTGAGATGGAGTCTCACTGTGTCACCAGGCTGGAGTGCAGTGGCTCAACCTCAGCTCACAGCAACCTCCGCCTCCCAGGTTCAAGTGATTCCTCTGCCTCAAGCCTCCCAAGTAGCTGGGACTACAGGCACATGCCACTGGGCCCAGCTAATTTTTTTTTTTTTTTTTATATTTTAGTAGAGATGGGGTTTCACCATGTTGGCCAGGATGATCATGATCTACTGACCTTGTGATCCACCCTCCTTGGCCTCCCAAAGTGCTGGGATTATAGGCGTGATCGACCACACCCAGCCTTCTAAATTTTCTAGTTTGTGTGCTTAAAAGTGTTTATAGTAGTCTTCAATGTTTTTTTTTATATCTGTGGGTTCAGTGGTAACGTCTCCTTTGTCATTTCTAATTGTGTTTATTTGGAACTTCTGTCTTTTTTTCTTTATCAGTCTAGCCAGTAGTCTATCTATCTTATCAATATTTTCTAATAACCAACTCCTGGATTTGTTGATCTTTTGTATGGTTTTCAGTGTCTCAGTTTTCTTCAGTTCAGCTGTGATTTTGGTTATTTCTTGTCTTCTGGTGGCTTTGGGGTCTTACTTTGCTCTTGCTTCTCTAGTTCTCCTGGTTGTGATGTTAGGTCGTTAATTTGAGATCTTTCTAAATTTTTGATGTGGGTATTTAGTGCTATAAACTTCCCTCTCTTAACATGGCCTTAGCTGTTTCCCAGAGATTTGGATATGTTATATCTTTTTCTCATTAATTTCAAAGAATTTCTTTATTTCTGCCTTAATTTTGTTGTTTACCCAAAGGTTATTCCAGAGCAGATTGTTTAATTCCTATGTAATTTTATGGTTCTGAGTTATGTTCTTAGAACTTATTTCTATTTTTGTTGTGCTGTGGTCTAAGATTGTGGTTGGTATAATTTCTGTTTTTTTTTTAATTTGCTGAGTATTGTTTTATGTCCAATTTTGTGTTTGATTTTGGAGTATGTGCCATGTGGCAATGAGAAGAATGTATTTTTTGTTGTTTTTGGATGGCAAGTTCTATAGGTATCTATTCCGTCCCTTTGGTCAAGTATTGCATTCAGGTCTTAAATATGTTTGTTAATTTTCTGCCTTGATGATCTGTCTAATTCTGTCAGTGGGATGTTGAAGGCTCCCAATATTATTGTGTGGGGGTTCTAAGTCCCTTTGTAGGTCTCTAAGAACTTGTTTTGTGAATCTGGGTGCTCTTGTGTTAGATGTCTGTCATATTTAGGAGAGTTATACCTTCTTGTTGAATTGAACCATTGAATTGAAGGGTATTATATAATACCCTTCTTTATATTTTTTGATGTTTGTTTGTTTAAAGTCCATCTTGTCTGAAATTAAGATTGTAACCTCTGATTTCTTCTGTTTCATAGACTTTTCTCCGCCCCTTCATTTTGAGCCTATAGATGTCACTGCATGTGAGATGGTTCTCTTGAAGACAGCATACCATTGGGCCTTGCTTCTTTATTCAGCTTGCCACTCTGCGCCTTTTAATTGGATCATTTAGCCCATTAGCTTAGTACTAATATGTGTGGATTTGATTTTGTAATCATGCTTTTAGCTGATTATTATGCAGACTTTTTTTTCTGTGGGTGCTTTTCAGTGTCATCGGTCTGTGTACTTAAATGTGTTCCTGTAGTGGCTTGTAATGGTCTTTCCATATTTAGTGCTCCTCTCAGGACTTTTTATAAGGCAGGTGTGTTGGTAATGAATTCCCTAAGCATTTGCTTGTAAGAAAATGATCTTATTTCTTTTTACTTGTGAAGTTTAGTTTGGCCAGATGTAAAATTCTTGATTGTAAATTTTTTCTTTAAGAATGCTGAATATATGGGGAGGCCGAGGCGGGTCAGGAGGACCTCCTCACGAGGTCAGGAGATCAAGACCATCCTGGCTAACATGGTGAAACCCCGTCTCTACTAAAAATACAAAAAAAAAAAAAAAAAAAATTAGCCCCGCATGGTGGTGGGCACCTGTAGTCCCAGCTACTCGGGAGGCTGAGGCAGGAGAATGGTGTGAACCCAGGAGGCGGAGCTTGCAGTGAGCCGAGATCGCACCACTGCACTCCAGCCTGGGTGAAACAGCGAGACTCTGTCTCATAAAAAAAGAATGCTGAATATAGGCTCCAAACCTCTTCTGGCTTGTAGAGTTTCTGCTGAAAGGTCTCCTGTAAGCCTGATGGGATTCCCTTTGCAAGCGACTTGCCCGTTTTCTCTAGCTGCCTTTGTCTTTTTTTTTTTTTTTTTAAATTTCAACCTTGGAGTATCTGATAATTATGGGTCTTGGGGATGGTCTTTTTGTGTAATGTCAGCAGGGGTTCTCTGCATTTCCTGGACTTGAATGTTAGCCTGTCTCATGAGGTTGAGGAAGTTTTATGTATGACATCCTAAAATATGTTTTCCAAGTTTCTTGCTTTCTCCCCATCTCTTTCATAGATGCCAGTGAGTCCTATAATTGGTCTCTTTACATAATCTTCTATTTCTTGTAGGTTTTGTTTATTCTTTTTTAATTTTTTATCTGAATGAGTTATTTCAGAGAGCCAGTCTTTGAGCTCTGAGGTTCTTTCCTCAGCTTGGTCTGTTCTGCTGTTAATATTTGTAATTACATTGTGCAATTCCTGTAGTGTGTTTTTAAGCTATATCAGATCAGTTGGGTTCTTTTTTATGATGGCTATTTCATCGATCAATTTCCGTATCATTTTATTGTGATTCTTAGCTTACTTGGATTGGGTTTCAACATTGTCTGAATCTCAATGATCTTCATTCTTATCTGTATTCTGAGTTTTATTTCCATCATTTTAGCCATTTCAGCCTAGTTAAGGACCCTTGCTGGGAAACTAGTGCAGTTGCTTGGAGTAAAGAAGGCACTCTGGTTTTTTGAGTTGCCAGAGTTCTTGTGCTGGATCTTTCTCATTTGTATGGGCTGTTGTTCTTTCAGTCTTTAACATTGCTGTAATTTGAGTGGATTTTTTTTTTTTTTTTTTGCTTTTTTCTTCTTTGATGCCCTTGGGGGTTTCATTATTGTATAAGGTGGCTTTGGTTGACTGGTTTCAATTCTAGTCCACTCCTGGGTCTTGGAGGAGCCCCCTCCAATTACTGTCTCTGTGCCTATGTTTTTTGTTGGGTTTTCGGGTCCATGGTGTTCCCTCAGGCAGGAGCTGCTGTTGGCAGACAAGCTGTATCCTTGCCAAGTCAGCACTAATATACTATCCATGTGCTTCTTGGAGAAACACGGGCTTGTGCCTTTTCACAGAGTGCAGGTAGAACAGAACTGCTGGGTTGGAAGCTCTATTGGGTGGGCCCTGTCTGGCTATGGGAGGCAGGTGTGAGTGGAGTTGCTCACCCTGCTCTCTGGGTGTTTCCAGGGCAGCAGGAGGTTGTGACCCTCAGCAAATTCTGGCAGAAGTAGGACCACTGAGCCAGAAGTTCTAACAGGCATGGCTCACCTGGCTTCCAGCAGCAGGGGTGTTTGGGGACACCCACCCTACCATCCAGATACTTCCTGGGACAGCAGGAGGCTGTGCGCACTGGCTGAGTTCCCACAGATATAGGACCTCTGGGCCAGAAGGTCTAGGAGGCATTGCCCGCCTGTCTACCAGTGGCAGGGATGGTTGGGGCTACACACCCTGCTGTCTATGCATTTCTTGGGACAATGGGAGGCTGAGCCCTCCAGCTGAGTCCCCATTGAAGTAGGAGCACTGGGCCACCTGGCTATCAGTGGTGAGGATGGGTACATTCTCCTGCCCTAATGTCTGAGTGCTTCCTGGGACAACAGGAGGCTGTGTCCATGGGCTAAGTTGACACAGAAGTGGGACTACTGGGCTGGAAGCTCTATCGAGGGTTGCCCGCCAGGATACCAGTGGTGAGGGGTGATTGGAGTGGCCAGACAAGTTCAGGCTGAAGTGGGACTGCTGGGCCAGAAGCTGCCATCAAGCCCTGTCCAGCAAGAGGGGGCGGGGCAATCTTACTTCTCCCAGGCACTGCAACTGTGGCCTCTTTTGGGGCTGTGGAACCAGTGCTGGTCTACTCAAGGGGCCAAGGCTTGTAGAGGTCCCCTTGGACTCAAGAGTTGCCCCTGCAAAACATCTAGTTGGCTCTCTGCCTCAGTCTAGGAGCATGGTGGTGGCAGGTGTCCAGGGGGTCCAGGGGGATTCTCCCATTCCAAGTCTTGTGTGGGTCCCTGTGCAGAGTGTGAATTCCTCTGGGGGCTCTCACTCACTCACCCTTTCCCATGTTGGAGAGGTTCTCTTGGCTTCACTCTGAGTCCTGAAAGGCTGGTGCCCAACTTTGCTCATCTCTGTACTCTGTGTTCACCCACTGCCTTGATGGATCCCAGCATGGTTTTTCAGATGATCAGCCTGGAGGGTCAATGTTCACTAGCCCTTTTGTTTCCTCTCTATGAGAGCAGCACACATGAGCTGCTTCTAATCTACCACCTTGGCCCTGCCCCCTCCTAAGTGATTTTTAAATTTTGCATACCTTAAGTTCATTCTTTGTATTGTAAAGTCCAATGGGTTATGAAAAAACATGTCATGCATACACAATTACAGTATACAGAATAACTTCACTGCTCTAAAAAATCCCCTGTCCTTCACCTATTCAATATTTCTCTCCTTCTCTTGAACCTCTGGCAGCCACTAATCATTTTACTCTCACTATTCACAGGTACTGGGGGTTAGGTCTTGGAAATATCTTTGTGGGAGACGCTATTCATTGCTTTTCCTTCTAGAATCTAGAGGGGGAAAAGTGCACAGGACCAGAGGTAGATTTTCCAGAGACTAGCCCAAAAGATGAAGGCCCTGGCAAGATCAGTATAAAACATGCAGAATCTCTGGGGAATAAAACTAGAGCCCTAACTGAACAAGCATTTTTGAGTAAAGCCCAAAGAGGATAAGGATTTGACTTTTTTGGCCATTAGGAAAATCTGGACAAGACTTATCTCCCATAAACTGAAGTGGAGCAACTAACTGAAATGGCCCTTTGATAGGACCAGGTGGATTAAGGAAAATAAATCAGCACACAGGATGAACTCACACTAGGAAAGAGGAATGAGATAGAATGGAGTGGAGGTGCCTTCCCTGGGCGTCCTCTCATGGTGCATTTAGACACAGTCACAGAACACAATCCTGGCCCAAAATAACTAGGAAAAAAGTAACTAGGTGTTACTTTTCTATTTCTCAAATTACTTTTTATAAATAAGATCTCCATAAGTTGTTATTACAGTACTCTAAAGCATTACTATGACAGTTTTAAAATCAGAAAATAGAGGATCTGAGAGATCACACAGTTTATCGAGGGCATGAGAATCCTCCAGCCCTTCAATAGTGATACTGAGACGTACTACACAAGCTTCCTCAACTAAGTGTTATTATTATACTCATTTTAAGAATGAGAAAGCTCGGTCTTAGAGAGGTACTGTAACTGGCCCAAACGCACACATCTAGTGAATGATGGAGCCAGTAATTGATTCTAGTTCTGGCCAGGAGAACAGAGACTATACCTATTGGGACTGACATTGTTCTGGACTGGGCAGTCTAAATTCTTTGGCCTTTCTCAAGAAGGCATTTGAGACTAAAGCCATCACACTTCTCACTCCCATTTTCATCAGGCAGAGATATGAATAGAAGCAATTAATCCTGGCCAGTTTATTTTACCTTCCCATCATCCCAATAATGCTCTCTATACTTCCTTATTTTTGACTCAAACTTCTCCACCTCCCAAACTTTGCACTGTGCTCCTTTGTACTTTTCTCAATAATCAATCTGTATAATCTTTATAGCCTGAACCTCCTCCTCAGATAGTTTCAGCCCCCTTCTTGGTATAAACACAATCCAACTCTCCTTTGAGAACACTGAATTTCCTGAAGCGTTTTCAAATGAAAGCTTTTTGTTCTCTCATGATTAACCTAGCTAAGTCAGCAGGTAAATTTCAAATCTTCTTTGCTCCCATTGTCTCTTTCTCAACTGGTAAGAGTTGTATTGTGTCTCCCCCAAAAATACATATGTTGAGGTCCTAACTGCAATACCTCAAAATGTGACTTAGTTTGGAAATAGAGTCATTGCAGGCATAATTCATTAAGATAAGCTTATACTGGATTAGGGTAGACTCCTAATCAAATATGAGTGGTGTCCTTATAAAAAGAAGAAATTTATTCACAAAGACACAGAGAAAAAAATGCCATGTGGAGATGAAGGCTATCTCAGTCTGTTTGGACTAACAACAAAAATACCATAAGCTAGTGGCTTAAACAACAGAAATTTATTTATCATGGTTCTGGAGGCTGGGAAGTCCCAGATCAAGGCACTGGCAGAATTAGTGTCTGGTGAGGGCCTGCTTTCTGCTTTACAGATGGCCCCCTTGTCACTGTGTCCCCACATAGCAGAAGGGATGAGAGAGCTTTCTGGAGTCATTTTTCTAAGGGTACTAATTCCATTGATGAGGGTTGCACACTCATTACCTAATTATTTCCCCAAAGAAGAGCCACCTCCTAATCCCATCACACTGGGGGTTAGGATTTTAACACATAAGTTTTAGGGGGAGACAACATCAGTCTATAACAAAGGCAAAGGTGTACAAGTCAAGAAACACCAGATTTCCAGCAAATCACTAGAATCTAGGAGAGAGTCATGAAAAAGAATCTCCCTCATCAACCCAGAAGGAAACAGCCTTACCAGCACCTTGATCTCAGATATTTAGCCTCCAGAGCTTAGAGGCAATACATTTCTGTTATTTAAACTACCCAGTTTGTGATACTTTGTTATACACCCCTAGTAAACTAATATACCAACCCTCAGGTATAAACCCTGTCTCATTTTAAGATTTATGCCATTCAACCCAACTCTTCCTTCAGCTCTCAGTTTAATGATTATTTCCCCTAGAATACTTCTTTGATCAGGATCTTTTGATATAAACTTTTACAGAACCTTTTTTTCTTGAGCACTTATCTACCTCAGTTTACAATTACACAAGATTTAATGTTGCTAGATTAATATTGGCCTTACCTCTATATTCTAAACTCCATGATAGCAGCAAAAATTTTTTTACACACCATCATATCCCTAAAGTAGGTACTTGGCAAATATTTGTTGAATGAATTAAAGCATTCCTTTGTCTCAAAAGTTGATTCCTTTTTGAAATACAAATAACCTTTGTCAAATATAATCCACCAAGCCTTATCAGTTCTACAATATTTAATATGTACATGAATGTCAGCCCTAAGAGGGCACTGAGCTTTGTTATCAGATAATTGTTTCCTAAATGACAATTGGCTTCTTTCTGAATCCTAATTTTTTTAAATCTTGTCCACTTTGACCATTATTTTATTGACTTCCACAGGCCTTTGTCTCCAGAATCATCTTTATGGTCTTTTAGCAGCAGTTGCCTCCGATAGTTTTGTGGGTATCTTGGCAGCAATCGCCAGATTTTAATTTGTTATAGGCGTTACCTGACATGTTGGCCACATTCCTACCTTTGACAATGTTTGTCTTCTAGTAAGGTTTTAGAACATTCGGAAGCATATAGTCTGCCATAAATTTTAGTTTCAAGTAGAGAAAACTTTTTTTTTAACTTCCAATACTATGTTGAATAGGAGTGGTGAGAGAGGACATGTAGAGAAAACTTTTCTAAATGGTATCTACAGACAGCTAGTGCTAATCTTGATATTAGCCAGGGATATACTATTACCCACCTTGGGGAAGATAATACCATGATAATGAGTGTGGATGCAAGGGAACCACAACCTATGAGATGCTTCTTAGATTTTTTCTTTAAATGTATTTTCCCAATTGGATCTCCAATGGCAGATATTGTACAGGGAAATGATGGTGGATTCAGATACCAGACAAAGCCAAGGGAAAAAGTACCAAAATTCAGCTGCATAACTGGTACATTTTAAAATTTAATTTAAATTTTAAGTAACTATTATACATGCAGAGTTTGAAAATCAAATATTACTATAGGATGTCATGATTTCATGCAAATATATGTTTGGTCTTTGCTCCAACTCACTTTGAAAGTTGTCACCTGAAAGCAAATATAAGAGGGTTGTAACTTTTAGCACCCCTTTCCACTTCTGGGGGTTGGGGGAAGAAAGGCAGTAAAGATAATGTTCAAGCACCAATGGTTGGCAATTTAACTAATCATACCTATGTAATAAAACCTCCATACTAACCTCTAAACTTTGGGGTTCAGAGAGCTTCTGGGTTGGTGAACACAATGAGGTGCTAGGATGATGGTGCACCTGGAGAAGGCATGGAAGAAAGAGCCCCCATACCTTGCCCCATGAATCTCTTCCACTTGGCTATTCCTAAATTGTATTTTTCATTATAAACTGGCAATCATATGTGTTTTCCTGAGTTCCCGTTAATTGTCCTAGTAAATTATTGAACATGAGGAAGAGGTCAAGGGAACCCTCAAATTTGTAGTCAGCTCGGTAGAAGTCATAGCCAGATACTGGAGGAAATTAGAATTCAGGATCCAGTTCAGTTTACAAGTAGATAACAAAACCTCAAAGACAGTGAACTAGGCTAGAATCTAACAATGGGTGTGCTATAGTTTTCTACTAATATATAGTTTTTCTCTTTATAGTCATGCCCATTCCAAAAATAATCACAGTAAAACTGATTTGTTTGCAAAATAGGCCTAGTCCCGTTACACTTGGCCTGATTACTTACATAAGTATAGTAAGAATAGTGATTCATTACATAAGCTTTTTCAAAGTATACTTTGCTGGGACTTTTAATAAGGAGTCTCAAATTAGAATTTAAAAAGTCTTTCCAAGCTAGGAAGGCAAGCCAAGGACTTGTCATCAGACTTCATCTGCAATGCCTATAATTTTGGGTGAATTCTCTTCTTCATTAGGTTCTTAAAATCTCCTTAAGGGTCCTTAAGGGTCCTGTTGGCCAGGCTTGGTTTCAAACTCCCGACCTCAGGTGATCCACCTGCCTCGGCCTCCCAAAGTGCTGGGATTACAGGCGTGAGCCACCACACCCGGCTGGTCATATAAAATTTTACACATATTTTTAAGTATGATATTCTATTTAAAACCTTGGTAATATAACCAGTGTTTCTAATTGTGTCCTGTTATAGGAAGAATATATTCTTTTTTTTTTGAGACAGAGTCTCACTCTGTCACCCAGGCTAGAGTGCAGTGGCACAATCTCAGATCACTTCAGCCTCCACCTCCCAGGTTCAAGCAATTCTTGTGCCTCAGCCACCTGAGTAGCTGGGATTACAAGCGTGCACCACCATACCTAGTTAATTTTTGTATTATTATTATTATTATTATTTTTTCATAGAGCTGGGGTTTCACCATGTTGGCCATGCTGGTCTCAAACTCTTGGCCTCAAGTGATCAGCCCTCCTTGGCCTCCCAAAGTGCTGGGATTACAGGCATGAGATACTGCGCCCAGCCCAGAAGAACATATTCTTATTGCAGTTATGCATATAACTATATTGCCTTGGAAATAATAATACTTGCTAATAGTTTCTGAATTCTGGAGGGATCAGGTAAGAGAGAAAGTATATGCTTCTTTTCTGTTGATAAAGGTATAATCTGCTAAATTTCTGTAAGCTATAGATAGCTTAAGGAAAGAAAGAAAAAGTTACGTTAAATCTGAAAAATTAGACATTAAAGAAACAGCAATGTTTCAAACGAAAAGTCATAAAATTATCATTATTATCAATACATTTTATCCCATGTGCATTAGTCCGTTTTCACACTGCTGATAAAGACATACCAGAGACTGGGAAGAAAAAGAGGTTTAATTGGACTTACAGTTCCACGTGGCTGGGGAGGCCTCAGAATTATGGCGGGAGCTGAAAGGCACTTCTTACCTGATGGTGAAATGAGGAAGAAGCAAAAGCAGAAACCCCTGATTAACCCATCAGATCTCATGAGACCTATTCACTATCACGAGAATAGCATGGGAAAGACCAGACTCCATGATTCAATAACCTCTCCCTGGGTCCCTCCCACAACATGTGGGAATTCTGGGAGATACAATTCAAGTTGAGATTTCAGTAGGGACACAGCCAAACCATATCACCATGTAATTAATTTTTCTTCTACTTGATCTTGGGTTAGCAATTTTATAAATTTAGTTTTTCCAATAGAGTCCTGGAAATTCTTATGCAGTCCAATGTTATGATCTTAAAGTTACCAGAAACCCACACATTTCAATATTTTCCATAAATCTTCCTGCAAACAAAGCATTTGGAATAACTTTCAGGAAAGTATCAGAGTAAAACTACTGTTTGTGGATGACAACAGACTTAAAAATGGCCATGGTTAAAGATCTGATGAAAGTTCATTATAATGCAATTGACAATGTAATTTGTTATTTCTGAGAAACACAACATTTTAAGGTAACTAAAATTATGACTGATAACATATCAGGACATATCGGAGTTGTAGAAGTTCACAGAACATCTGGAAAACTTACATGAATAATATTATAACATAAGAAGGTTAAACATCACCCTTATTTGACAACTTCCTATGCAATTCTCTTTTTTTCTTTCTTTCTTTCTTTTTCCCTTTCTTTCTTTCTTTTTTTTTCCAAGGTCTCACTTTCTTGCCCAGGCTGGAATACAGTAGCATAATCATGGCTCACTGCAGCCTGAACCTCCTTAGGTTCAGGTGATCCTCCCACCTCAGCCTCCCAAGTAGCTGGGACTACAGGCATGACACCATGTTAGGCTAATTTTTTTTTTTTTTTTTGAGAAGGACTCTCGCTCTGTTGCCGAGGCTGGAGTGCAGTGGTGTGATCTTGGCTCACTGCAACCTCTGCCTCCCGGATTCAAGCAATCCTCCTGCCTCAGCCTCCCAAGTAACTGGAACTACAGGCACACGCCGCCATGCCCAGATAATTTTTTGTATTTTTAGTAGAGATGGGGTTTCACCTTGCTGCCCAGACTGGTCTCAAACTCCTGAGCTCAGGCAATCAGCCCACCTTAGCCTCTCAAAGTGCTAGGATTACAGGCATGAGCCACCACGCTGGGCTGCCAGGCTAATTTTTGTAGAGAAGGGTCTCCCTATGTTACTCACGCTGGTCTCAAACTCCCAGGCTCAAGTGATCTGCCTACCTTGGCCTCCCAAAGTGCTAGAATTACAGGCCTGAGCCACTGTGCCTGACCTCTCTTTCTATAAGGAAAGAAAACAAAGTCTTTTGAGATATTCCAGGAATCCATCTGGAAAATCCTACTTAGCTTGAGGTTAAAAAAAAGATTTAGTTTAGAATTTGGTTTTAGGAAGTCTGGCAAAAATATCAAATGTTTTAAACACTTGATTAAATATATCAAAAGTCACTGTGAAGACACAAAAAGTAACAACTAAGAGGTTTCAAAGGCAAATAGAGAAAGTTTAATAACTGTAAAAACAAAACAAACAAAACTAGCTCTTTTGTTGGGAAGATTCAATTTTCTTAAGTAATTAAAGACCAAAAAAAGGCAACACGAAGCACAAAGAATTATTTTGAGAAAACACAAAATCTTCATTTTGTAGGCCGATTAGTTACAAGGGAAAGGAAAATTTTTCACAATCACTTTTAAAAACTGGAGCAATACTCTTTAAAAAGAAAACTGTCATTTTCACAGAGAAGACCAAATTCTAGTTTTGCATCAGTTTACTTTTGATATTAAGACTCTTTTTTTTTTTGAGATGGAGTCTCACTGTGTCGCCAGGCTGGAGTGCAGTGGTGTGATCTCAGTTCACTGCAACCTCTGCCTCCTGGGTTCATGCGATTCTCCTGCCTCAGCCTCCCTAGTAGCTGGGACTACAGGTGCGCACCACCACGCCCAGCTAATTTTTGTATTTTTAGTAGAGATGGAGTTTCACCATGGTCTTGATCTCTTGACCTCATGATCTGCCCGCCTTGGCCTCCCAAAGTGCTGGGATTACAGGCGTGAGCCACAGTGCTTGGTCAAGACTCATTTTTAAAACCTTATAATACATTCAGTTCTAGCCAACTTGTCCATACAAGAGTCATTCATTTTGTGTGTGTGTCATCTCTCTTCCTTTTTGTATCCATTTAGATTTTATCTTTCATTCATTCTGAAACAACCTTTAAATAACCTCCAAACTAGACCAAATTATTCTTCCTTTTCCTTAAAAAAAAGCACATCCTTATACCTTATGGCTTTCCTTACCAAAAACATGTCTTACTTTCTTTGCATATAGTTATCTCCCTTATTATTTTTAGTCTTTTTAACTACTCTATATTAGTTAAAATTGTTAACTCTTAGTAACTTCAATTTCTAGTGAAAACTAGGAAATAAGAAATTGTGAACGGTTATGGGGTATTCCATAAAATGGTAAATCTATAAATATACCATTTTATAATTTCTATAGAAGTATATTCTTTCTCATAGTACAGTTTAAAGTGTTTTTTAACAGATGTAAATATATTTAGTTCCTTTGTAATAAAAACCAAAAGTAGATTAACTTATGTTAAGCAATTAATGTTTCAGCATTTTATGTTATTTGGAAATGATCTAAATATTTAATAAATGTCCATTATCTAATTTAGTTTAGCAAAACTCTACAGGCATAAGTTAACAATGAGAAGCTATTGAGAAAGAAAAGTAGCCCAGAGCAGTCTGAACTATGTGAGATATGCAAAATTTATCATCATCTGTCTGGATAGATATGTCCAAACAATACAGTGTGGTTCCAGGAGATGAAGACATCAAATAGCATGGCCTCCAATGTGGAATGCCATCAAATACAAAACTCCCTCCAAACACCTTGGAAGCGACCATATCTGTATTGTTAACCAATACTTGTGGAGTTAAATTCAAATACATTGACTTATGCATTCATAATTTTTATTTTAAAAAGGCAGCTCTGCCTGAGTGGACAAACTCATCACTGGAGATCTCCTATACATTGATCTTTAGATCAGCACAAGAAGTAGAAAACATATTTATTTGGTCGCCTTCGGAAATAAAAACATTTTTCAGATCTGGCTTTTGTTAGTAATTGTCTTTATTTGCATCATGTCTTTTATTCTCAAATTGATTATACTTTGCACTTCTAGATGTCCAAAATCAACAAAAACACTAAAATAATGATAGCTAGATGCTTAGAAATGATCCAACATGCCATAGCTCCTTTGTAAGCAGATGACCTGAAATACCATTGCCCTGTCCCTTTGTGTTGCCAATCAACTTGGCCTTGAGACTTCACTGCATTCTTAAGCCATTTTATCTCTCCTCTCTTCCTCCAATGTGGGATGAGACTAACTAAAACTAAGTCTTCCAGTGACATGGGACAAACTTACATCTAAAATGTTGATCATCAATACTTTCAGAAGAAAAAAAAACTCAACCAAAAGGAAGAGAAAGAAACGTAGCTCAGAAGAGTCTGAACTATATAAAGTATGCAAAATTTATCAGGCCCAGAGAGACATGAGTATGAGATTTTTGTCACATCCTGCCCCAAATCCATGCCCAGGGGATGTGACCCTCACCCATTATGTTCATGCTCCTGGAATTTATGGTTAAAAAAAAATGTATAGCCAATCAATAGTTTATATGCAACTAAAGAACTGCCCCTTCTTTAAAAAAAAAAAACCGCTTGTAACTGCTGCTAATTGGAGTTTATATTCATAGCAACTTGAAGACGTGTCTCCCACATTGCAGTTCTCAAATTTGGCCCAAATAAACTGTTTATACTAATTTTGCCTCCATTTCTTTTGTTAAGAAGTTGACACAATTTTAAGTACCCGTATTAAAAAATAATTACTATTGAAAAGTTCATTTATAATTTCTATTCTATTTACAATTCAATTGTTGTATTCAGCAAGTGTATTCAATAGAATTCAATTGAATTCTATTCTATAATTCAATTGTTCTTAATTTTAATTGACTTATGAAATTTCATTAGACAGACAAAGCTAGTCAACATCTCATTATTAATATTTTCCTATTAACAATTTTTACAGCATATGTATGTTAGCCAAATATCACAAAAGCAAGAACCTAAAAAAAAGTTAAGGCCGGGCTTGGTGGCTCATGCCTGTAATCCCAGCACTTTGGGAGGCCGAGGCGAGCAGATCATGAGGTCAGGAGCTCGAGACCAGCCTGACCAACATGGTGAAACACCATCTCTACTAAAAATACAAAAATTAGCCGGGCATGGTGGTGCACGCCTGTAATCCCAGCTACTCAGGAGGCTGAGGTAGGAGAATCGCTTGAACCCGGGAGGTGGAGGTTGCAGTGAGCTGAGATTGTGCCACTGCATTCCAGCCTGGGCAACAGAGAGAGACTCCGTCTCAAAAAAAAAAACCAAAAAAAAGTTAAATACTTGTTTTTTTTTGTTTTTTTGCTTTACTGCTATACTTAATATATACTTGCTTTACCGCTGTACTTAATAAAATAGCTACCACATTTTCACTTTTGCTCTTAGATTAAACTGACAGTTTTATAATCTTAAACATCTAGTTACAATAACAAACTTATTTGCCTAGTAACCCCTGGTAGAAAAAAACTGTATGTATGTATTATATTTAATGTTGACAACTCTGAAGACATGCCTGCTTTAGTTAATCCAACAAACTTAAAGAAATTTTTATTTACTGAAGATTATCCCGTATCATACTGTTAAAGAGAACTGAAGATAGCCTGAGAAGGACTCCGTACTTCTATATTTGAGTCCTTGTGGATGAACTGTAACCTAACTTAACAGGTAGACAAGATTGAAAACCTAATTTAGGAGTACGTTCCTGTAACAATAGCCGAGTCTTGGCCAATTCTAGTAGCCATACTTCAACCACTTAGACACTGCTGAGTGTTCAAACTGTGTTCAAATAAGGCAAACACCAACCTGTAACCAGTCCAGCTCTTTCTGTACTTCACTTCTAATTTCTGTATGTCACTTCCCTTTTTTTGTCTATAAATTTGTTCTGACCATGAGGCATCCCTGGAGTCTCCATGAATCAGCTGTAACTCTGGAGGCTGCCTGATTTGTGAATCATTCATTGCTCAATTAAACTTCTTTAAGTTTAATTTGGCTGAAGTTTCTTCTTTTAACAATATCAACTTGAAGAACATTTGCGCTAGGTCTTATTTTTCTGAAAGTTTAAAAAATACTTAATTTGTATAAGTGCTTTTTCTTTAAGGCAATTAAATACAGCTCTTTATAAGTTAATTTTAGGATAGTCTCTAGAGGTAGAAAAATATTACACATACATGCATACACAGACATACATAAAATACAGACAGAAGCAGATTTCACAGTTTTCATTTGAAAACTGTAGCCATGTGCCAGGTACAATAATACAAAAACAGTTCATAAAGAATTTCTGAATCCAAATTGTGTTTCTGGCAGATGGAACAAGTTAAGATTATCTAAAGGATGGCTAAAGCTTTTCACTGTTTCTGGGAGAAAAAACAAGATTTTTTTATTTGCTCAATTTCCAATTAGCTCTATTTCTTCTTCTTCTTCTGGTGAGTAATCTCCCTGGCATTTGCATATCAAAGAGATAACCCTCAGGTCCTAGAGGAGACAGGGTGGAAAATGTAGATCTTAATGGCAGAGAGCCAGAAAAAGCACCTTAAACAAAGGTAAGGTTTGTTACTTAAACTCCTTCTCCATTGGTTAAGAGTGTCTGGTGATTTAGTCCTTCTTTTCTTCCTGATGCAGAGAGACAAGCTTATAAATGGAGACTTCCTTTGTAGATATAAATTTCTCTTACAAAGAGTCTCAAAATAACTCTCTCAAAATAATCTTTATGCCAGATAGCATATTTTGGCAACTAATTCAGCTAGATCTGTGTCTTCCCCATCCAGCTTCAAAAGAAAAAAGCTAGATTACTGAGTTCAGGATGGTGCCCATGAATAAATAGGGCAAAGCATGTTCTATACCTACACTCAGTGTGGATAGCTTCAGCAAATTTCTGAGAGTTTTCCTTTGGGATAAGAAAGCCTTTCACTATTGCCTCTGAGCTTAGATTTTGACTAAAGCATACAGGTGGCTAAAGAAAGCCCAGCTGGTTTATTCTGAGGGACTAATTTCATAAGGCATTTTTTTTTCTAACTTTTTGTCTTCAAAGTGGAAAAATAACTGAGTGAAAAAGTTAGTAGATTCAGAGTAATTAGGCAGAGGAGGGTAGAAAGAAGGATATTGTAAGGACTCAACGGGTTCTTCTTGCCTGCTGCCCAGATAGAGCTGATTTATCATTTATCAAGGCAGGGGAATTGCAATAGAGAAAGAGTTTTATACATGTAGAGTTGGCTAAATGGGAGACGTATTTTATTATTGCTCAAATCAGCTTCCCCGGAAATTTGAAAGCTAGGGTTTTTCATGGATGGTTTGGGGGATGAATGGGGCTGTTTTAGGCAATAAGTCCTTGCTGCTAATTGGTTGGGGGTGCAATCATAGGGGTGTGGGAAATAGTCCTTATGCATGCTGAGTTGCTTCTGGATGGGGCCACAGGAGTGGTTGGTGGGTCCAGGTGGAGCCATCGGTAGTCAGACACACAAAAAAACCTGAAAAGACATCTCAAAAGGCCAATCTTAGGTTCTAAAATACTGATGTTATCTGCAGGAGTAATTGAAGAAGTTGCACATTTTGTGACCTCCAGAATAATGGCTGGAAACTGTTTATATCTACACCTTAGCAGAATTTAGACTCCTCTATCCTCCTTGCCTGGTGGCCTCTCATCAGCTTTGCTGAGGTGGTTGAATTTTAAGGAAGGACTATTATCATTTAAACTATAGACCAAGTGTCTCCCAAAGTTAGCTTGGCCTAAGCCCAGGAATAATTATGGGCAGCTTGAAGGCTAAAGGCAAGATGGGGTTTGGCTTGATCAGATCACCCCTACTGCCATAATTTTCTCACTGTTATAATTTTTGCAAAGGTGGTTTCAATTGAGGGAAGAAGCAGTTGGAGTTAAGTCAGTCAACGTACATTTTTAGTTCCATTATCATTTTGCCTTTTGTAAAAAGTCTTTTTAAAAGAAAAAAAAATAGAGTCTCATTCTGTTGCCAGGCTGGAGAGCAGTGGCATAATCAAGGCTCACCGCAGCCTTAACCTTCTGGGCTCAAGTTATCCTCCTGTTAGCAGCAGCAAATCTGTATGGGTCTGCAGCAGCTTGCTTTTTGCCATCTTGAAGGAAATAATTCTTCCAAGGGGCATAAGGCAGAGTGAAAGACTGAGGCAAGTTTTTGAGCAGGAGTGAAATTTAAAAAGTTTTAGAGCAGGAATGAAAGGAAATAAAGTACACTTAGAAGAGGGCCAAGTGGGCAACTTGAGAAATCCAAGTGCCCTGTTTGACCTTAGACTTGGGGTTTTATATATTGGCATGCTTCTGGGGTTTTGCATCTCTCCTCTTTTGATTTTTCCTTGGGGCAGGCTGTCCACATGTGCATGAGTCATGTGTTTTTAGAGGAAGTCTGTATACCAGTTAAACTCCACGATTTTGCCTCTTAGTGCCCATGTTTGAGCCTGCTTGCCCAAATCCTGAGATCTTACTAGGAAGCTGCTGATCACCAGCTTCAGGACTTTTCTATCTATTGGGAGATTGTCTTTCCCTGCTGCCAGTTGCAACCTATTATTATTTTAGAGAGAGAGTTTAACAACCACCTGATGATCATCTGATGCTCACCTGACATTCCTAGTTGGAGGGGGTCTCTCCTCCCTTACTCATGTCTGCCTAATTACCTACTCTAACATTTTCCCCCGCAAAAATCCATGACCCAATTCTTTGGGAAACTGGATGAAGGTCAGTCTTCTGTAACTGCTTCCTGCTGACAGAGGTGTGATGGTGATTGTTCTGTGGGTCTTGGCCTCTTGCTAGCTGTCAGGGCAGGGTGGCTGCATGGGTTGTTGGAAGCAGTATCCAGCCAGGTCTAAGGGAGACAGGGGCAGGATTTCACCTCTGCCATGTCCCACTGATGGGAAGTCTAGGAGTCCTCTGTAGAAGGGTGACTCTTGAATATTGAAAGGATGGTATCCCTCACTGAGGATCATCTGGAACTTGATCATCTAAAGGTGAGAGAAAGGAGACAAATTGGGTTATTAGATTTTTGAAGACATGGACTGAAAGGAGCAAAAGTAGAGGCTAACATGTGGGCCTAAAAAGGGAAGAACCCAGGGAAGATCCCATTTCCAGGTTCCTTACCAATCTAACTAACCACGAGAGGCTTGTTCTTGTAAGCTGGAGGCTCGATTTAGGAGTTGTCTGATGTTGTTTTGTACTTTTACTGATTGATTTACCCAAAAGCAACATTTTTCATCTAAAGCTAAACAAATTCCTCCCTGTGCTGCCATTAACATATCTAGTCCTTGACAGTTTTGGAGGACTACAACTGCTAAAGTGTTAATTTGCTCTGGCCATGGTTGAGGTTTTAGCCATGATATTAAACTTGCTGGCTATTTCCTTTCAGAGTTGGCTATAGGTCAAGGAGGCTTTTGAGATTCCGGCAGTTTAGGTTCCCATACCAGCTATAATGCTGAGGCCCATAAGAAGGGGAATTAATTGGATAGCCCTTTTCACCCTGGGCAAGATAGAATTCCCATGGATTGGTGCTGGAAGAGAGAGATTGCCAGGGAGTATAAAGATGTCCAGGGGTACATAATCTATGGTACAAGTTCCAGTCCATTTAATGAGGAGGCATTGGTAAACTGATTGGCCACAAACACAGAAGGCTCCTTGGGTTTTAAGACAAGTAGAGATGTCAAAACAAAAGAAGAGATGAGGACAGCCCCCAAAAATACCAAGGATGACAACACACCCAGGTAGCTGGTAGCTACATTCATGCCTGCTAACACTTGGGTACATGGGGTTTGGCTCTGATTAGCTCCCTTGGTTTCATTTTCCCAAAAAAAGAGAATTTTGAGTTTACTCCATTAGAACCCATTCTGCTGTGGAGCTGAGGTTGGCAATTTGCAGACATTGGTTATAATCATCAGGCTGGAACTAGAAATTTCAAGTACTGCATGAGCTTGGGCATTGCTGGCAAAACTGAATGGACTTAATTAGCAAAGTTGCCTGAAGAAAGATAATATTTGAAGGTTTGGGGAATCTTGGTTGATGGTGGAATTGGTTTTCGGTGTATGTTCCATCAGTCTGTTGGTTAGAATCTACAGAGAGAGTAACATTACAAGCTATACTGGGAAAGAGCCTACATCCAATCCATCTTTTTCTTTTGGCCATAAGACAAATAGAGGTTATTCCCATTAAAGTGATATTAGAAAAGATTGATCCAAAAATGAGAGGTGCCTTGTGGATGTCAAGTAAATACTGCTTTGCTTTTGCAAAAAATGTTATTTGCAGACCCAAATAGCTCTTTCAGATTAGGGTCCTGTTGAGAGGAAATACGTAACTCTATGTCTATGCTTGTCCAATCTCTGGTACAGGCTGGATAAGCTCTCCCTGGTGTTTTAGAGGAAGAGCTAGTACATAACCAGCATTTGGTGGAGTAAGGGGATCCTGTGTTTTGGAGCAATTGCTGAGCTTTTTCTCATAACAGGAAATCAGGATGGCAGTGTGCTGCCAGTAAAGCGTTGAGTATGAGAACCAACAGGAGCAGAGCCATGGTGACCTAAGGTGATTGTGAGAGAGAGAAATTGATCACAAAGCAAGCTGCCACTGGAACTCCTGGTGGTGTACAAGTTGGGATTAAAATAGTGATAATAATCATAACAATTGTTAGTAAAATTCCTAATACTAGGATCACCTTACTTTGAGGTGAAAGGATGTTGAGGGGGCATTACTTATGTTTTCACTAAAAGAGGAATTTCAGGTCTTCCAGTGCCTCACAAGTGTATTCTGGAGCTGAGGGTGTTGGTTCTGGCTCTGGTGTTGCATGGCCTTTCCATGACTTCACCCAGGCATGATGTATCCAGCTGGCTATCTCTGGTACTTTAATGGCTGTGGGAATAGATACTGGAGCAGTGAAGTGGCCCCCCCAGAATACAGTTAGTTAGGAATTTGGGGTTTCAACCTTCCAAGCTTTAATGAGAACTAGAGCCTGGAAGATACAGAGGCTGGGATTGTTTCCCCTTCCGACGTTGGGTTTGTTTTTAACCCATATTCCCAGAGAGTCTGTTGGAAGCCTGCTAAAGAAGAAACATACTGGGTGATTTTGGCAGTTTCTTCATCTAGTATCAGATAAGTCTGAATATAGAAATGGCCTACAATATAAGATCTCAAAGGGGCTTAATTGCTAGGGAGCCTTAGGGGCAATACAGATTTGAAGGAGGGTTAAAGGTAAGAGGTCCACCCATGACTGCTATTTCCTGACAGAGATTATTGAGGATGCATTTCAGGGTTTGGTAAATTCTTTCCACTTTTCCTGAAGATTGCAGTTCTCAGGCAAAGTGAGGGTACCACTTCATGCCTAGGGCATTACTAACCTGTTAAGTTACTTGGGGAAAAAAAGATGAATCACTGTCACTCTGCAATGACCTGGGGAGTTCAAAGCAGGGAATGAGTTCCTTTAGGAGCAAGTCAGCTATCTCCTGTGCCTTTTCAGTCCTTGTGGGGCAGGAGTCTTCCCGTTCTGTGAAGGTACCTACACAGACCAAGAGGTACTTACACCTGTGGCATGTGGGTAGCTGAGTGAAGTCCATCTACCAGTCCTCCCCAGAGTATGTACCTCTCCTTTGGATTTGACTTATTATGGAGGGGGCTTCCCCATCTAGGGATTATTTGTGGTTCACAAGGTGCAGGCTTGACAAACCTATTGAATAATTTTGGTTAGTCCCTTCCCACTGAACACCCATTTACAAATTTACCCTAGACTGTCCTTTTCAAGGTGGCATGAGTCAAGTAAACACTTGATGACTTTCCACTGGGAAGCATTAGGTAGATGGAGAAGTTCTCCCAACATGTACCATCCATTGGTTTCTTCTTTATACCCATGCTGGATGGCCCAATCTATTTCTTCCTTAGTGTATTGGAGAAGGGCAGTTCACTGGGGAGAGAGGGGAGTAAAGTCCCCACAGAGGTGTCTTTTGAGATGGCTGCCTCTTTAGCTTTTTGGTCAGATAACATATTTCCCCATGCAGTTTCATCAGAACCCCTGTGGTATTCTTTACAGTGCACTGCTGCCACTTCCTGAGGCAAATGAACAGCCTCTAGTAGCTCTAAGATTGGAGGTCTCTATGTAATAGGAGTATTCCAAGCTGTTAGGTATCCCCCTTCCTTCTGGTTAGCCATGTGGGTGTGAAGCACCAGGAAGGCATATTTGGAATCTGTATATGTGGTTATTCTTTTTCTTTCCCCAAGTTTTAGGGCCCTGGTCAATGTGATGGGTCAGCTAGTTGCACTGAGGTCCCCAGGGACAGAGCTACCACCTCTGTAACTGGGTGAAGGGACATATAGCATACCCTGCATATCTATCTCCATTCTTGACAAAGCCAATCCTATCTGAAAACCATATTTCATCTAGATAACCTAGGGGCTGATATTGTAAGTCTTCCTGGCTGGCATAAATTTGGTTAAGTATCTCACAACATGAATGTGTTCAGTTATCCTCTTCTAGTAGTGGCAGTAAGGAGGCTGGGTTAAGAGTGGAACACCACTCAACTGTTACCTGTGGGTTTTCTGACAACAAGACTTGGTAGTTTAGCAGTCTGTTGTCAGTGATCCATTGCGGTCTTTTTATATCCAATAAGGGGCCTATTAGTTGGAATGTCAGGAGCCTGACCGACTGTCCCATTGTGATTTTGAGGGCCTCCTTGGGTAAAAGGGCTGCTGCAGCCACTACCTTTAGGCAGTGTGGCCACCCTTGCACTACTGGGTCTAGGTTCTTTAAAAAGTAACCTATAGGACATTTGATGGCCTGATGGTTTGAGTTAGAACTTCCAGGGCTACAGCTTACTTTCAGTGATGAAAAGCTGAAACGGTTTGGTTAGTATGGGTAGCCCAAGGGCTAGGGCTTGTGAGAAGGCAGTTTTTAGTTCTCTAAAGGCTTGCTTCTGATCTTTTTCCCAGAGAAGTGGGTCCTGATGAGTCCCTTCTTTTAGAACCTGATATAAGGACTTAATAATTCCACCATATGCCAGTATTGAAAGTCTGGAATATCTTGTGATCCCCAGAAAAGCCCAAAGTTGCTTTTAGGTGGTTGGGGTAGGTATTCTAAGGATGGCCTGTATCCATTCTGGAGAAAGCTTATGTTCTCTGTGGGATCAGGATTATCCCCAGGTATTAAACCTCTTTTCTTAATCGATGTGCCTTGGCCTTAGACATCTTGTACCCTCTGTGAGAAAATCTAGTGTCTGGACTAGATGCAGGATTCATAACTCTCTTGTAGGGGAGCAGATTAACAGGTCATCTGTCATCTATGTACTGTAGGAGACACCCTCAACCCTCAAGAGTTAGGTCCTGCAAATCTCTAGCCAAGACTTGCCCAAACAAATTGGAACCATCTCTGGAACCTTGCGGAAGTACTATCCAGATTAGCTGTAGACTCCTTCCTTTTTCATTCCCCAATTCAAGTGCAAATACAAATTGGGAGGATGAGTCTAGGGAGACACAAAAGAAAGCATCTTTGAGCTCTAAGACTGAGAACAAATGAGCATCTGGGGGTACTTCTCCTAGAATAATATATGGGTTGGGGACCATTGGGTGTATTGGGACTACTGCCTCATTTATGATTTGCAGGTCCTGGACTAGCCTATATTGTCCATTGCTCCATTGCTCTTTTTAACAGGTAAGACAGGGGTGTTACATAGCGAGTTATAGTATATTAATAATCCATGTTTTAGACATTTTTCAATTAGGGGATGAAGTCCCTTTTGGCCAGAGGTCAAAGAGGAAGCTGCCTTCTACAAGGTTAGCTAGAAGGATCCATGAGCTGAGTTACTATAGGCATTATCATTATGACCTTTCCTGATATTCTTGAGCCCCAGACTTCTGGATTAATGGAAAAGTCTGGGAAGTTCATCCTTGTGTGTGACTTCCTTGAGGCATAAGATTGCATTTGGAAAAGGTTAACTAAGCCCCTAGTCTAAATAAAATATCTCTACCCAAAAGCAGTGTAGGACATTCTGCTATCATTAAAAATGAATGAGAAAAGACAGTCTCCCCTCACAGGCAGCAAAGATGAGGAGTGAACCTTTGGGTTATGGGCACCCAATTTAACCCCATCACCTTGGAGGATAATTGCCCATGAAGACATAAGCACCAAGAAGGCCATTTCCCAAAGAAAACTTATAGTCCTACCTGCCACATCCAAAGCAGCCCTTAGCTCTGTCCCTTCAATAGTAATGTTCAGTCCAGGAGCTGCTGGAGTGGCGGGCCTTTTCAGCTTAAGGCCATCAGGAATTGGGATTCTGTTCTAGGGGCCCTTCAGCCCTCAGGGCAGTTCCATTTCCAGTGGTTGAGTTTGTGACAGAAAGGGCAAGCCATGTAGGGATTTTTCCCATCTGTCCCACTGCGGCAGTTTGTCTTCCAGTGTCTTGGCTTCCCACACTGATGGCAGTTAACTGGGAGAGTATTCTGAGGGCAACTTGGAGAGGGCTGGTGGATTTTTAGGGCAGCCAATAGTTGGAGCTGCTGCTTTTCCTTTTACCTCTTCTTTCCCTGAGCCCTTTCCTCTTTCTCCTAGTCCTGGTTGTAAAAGACAGAGGAAGCTATGTTGAAGATGTCAGGCATAAGGGTTTTGGGGTCCAGTGCTAGTTTTTAGAGTTTCCTCCAAATATGTGGGGCTGCCTGAGTTAAAAAATGGTCCTTCAGGACCAGTTGCCCTTGTGATGTCTCTGGGTCTAGGTTAGTGTGTTTCACCAGGGCCTCTTGTAGCCTCTCTAGGAAAGTGGTGGGGTTTCCAAGAGGTCCTTGATCTATTAAGACCAATTTTATTATAGTTTACAGGCTTGGCTCTTCTAGCTTTCATTCCTTCTACGAGACATAAGAACATGCAATTCTTTGCCCATATGCCCCCATGGGTATTGTAATCCCAATTGGGGCTGACCCAGTGAACTGTGGTGGCCCATACAGGGTAGCCACCAAGGTCAGTCATGTGTATTGCATTTGCAAATTTTTGGGGTGCCTCCATAATGGAGTCATGTTCTCCCTTAGACAGGGTTTGTCCCAGTATGACTGAGAGATCCCTCCAAGTGAGTTCAAATGTTAAGCCCAGTTTATGGAACCCTTTGATGCATTTGTCAGGATCCTCCATAAACTTCCCTAGTTCTGTTTTAATTTGACTCAGGTCTTGCATATTAAATGGAGTCTGAACTCTAGTAGGTCAACTAACTTCTTGAAGGGAGCATAACTTGAGGGGGTGGTGTCCAGAGGATGGCCCTGGGTAGGGAAGGGAAGGCTCCAGGGCCAGGAGACTTGGATATAATGGGGCCAAAGGGTAGGGTTTGAGCTAAGCTCCACTCTTGGTTCCTCCAGGGCTTGAGCCCTGGGTAAACCCAATGAGGGGTCTCCCGAACCAACCAGATGGGGCAGCATGATTATGGCTGCTATCATCACTGGATCAATTTTACAAGCCCAACAAAGGTCTGGGTTGTTTCTTAGGGCCTGTACATAGGGGATTTCTGTCTATTTTCCCTGCTAGTGGCAAAACAGATCTAGCTGATAGAGCATATTAAAAATTTAAAATTTATGCTTCCACTTTCTGGTCAAGATTCCTGCTCCTGGAGCTTGTATTAAAACCAGGCTGTGATACAGAAAAATATTAGCCTTTTCCTTTTCAGGGTTTTGGGGTCAAACTTTCAGTTCTTGAGGATGCATCCAAAGGGTTTGTACTGTAGTAGGGAGATGTGATTACCCATCTGTGAAGATACAACAAAGGAGAAAAAAAGGAAAAAGAAGGTATCTCCTTTTATTTCCCTATTATCCTTTCCTGAACAGGGCATCCCCCATTCATCCTTAGGGTTCCAGAATGAACCTGTCTTACTGGGTACCCAAACCTGTGTCCCATCTCATCACAATTACCCACTTGAGAACAGAGGAAATACCCAAGTGAACAGGGGTCCCCTATTTATCCTTGGAGTTTCAGAATAAACCGGTCTTACCAGGTACCCCTAAGCTTGCCTTCATCTCTGTTCTAATGGTAATCTGTTCTGTGCCTGTGGCCTGTGACCAGCCTTTATCTCTCTCTGTCCTATGGGTACTTTGTCTCTTGCACCTGCAGCCTTGGGCTGGCCTATATCCTTATCTCCATGATCTTATAGTGACTCTTACTCACAGCATTCTGGCAACAAAATGATTACCTCTTTTTTTTTTATAATCCATTTCCCATGTTCTTTAAGTAGATGAGAAGCTTGTTTTTCAGCCAACTGCTGCAAGAGGCTGCACTTCCCTCCCTTTAAATATGACCTTGAGAGTCCTTAAGCACATTGAGGAGGGTATGGAAGTGATTAGAGGAATGGAGAAAATTTTGTATTAGAGGTTCCCTGTCCTCCTGGGGTAATATCCAGAAGAAATGCTTGAGTAGACAGGACAACCCCTCTGCTATAGGAGAAAGTGGGAGGAAGCATGAGGAATACTGACGGAAAACCTTCATATGCTCACATAAACAGCAGCCCTGGGATTCAAAACAGCAATGTTTATTTGCCCTCTTGACATAAAGAGGAATCTTTGGAGAACTCGGAGCTTGGGATAAGAGCCCACAAATGGCAAAGGAAGAATTTTCTCTCCTCCCAAAGGGGGTGCTAACTCAAAAAAAGCAAGTAGGTGAGATCCTTAAAGAACCACAGAGTGATGTCCTATGCAGCCATAAAAACTGCTTCAAAAGCCACCAAAAACTTGACCCTGGAGCATAACAGGGATGAAAAGTGTATGGTAAGTCATAAGGAGCTGGAAGAACTGGGGTTCTAATTAGTGTCTATCCTGGCAATGAGCCAATGGACATCTGCAAGGGAGCCTGTTTCTCTGCTGCTGTACAAATGCAACAAGAGCCATGGGTGAACGAATAACAGGGAGTGTGTGTTTAACGTAGAGAAGGAAGTTGCGTGGCATACAAAGTGAAAGAAGAGAGACAGACTTGCCCCTGAGGTAGACAGTGTGGTGGGCACACAAGGCCGTTTCAGAACACACACAGAGAAAACAGGAGAATAGGTGGTGTGGGTTTTGGGGAAAAAGACAATTGTATTTGAAAAAGCAGAGGAAATTGCAGACATTGCACAGTGTTAGGCTTTAGCCCTACCACTCTCATGAGCCTCCTGTCTAGGAGGGCCATTAGTATTTCAGGTCTACATGGTGTGGACTCCAAGGTCCTTCCTACCCCTGTAAGCCACCGGTCAGGGTAAGCTGAGAGATCAGCCAGCGGGTGCAGAGCCACTGTGGCTGAGAGTAATAGTTCTGGGAATTGGTTGGAAGGCAGGAGAGTGAAAGGGGAGAAGAAAACTGTGTACAGATCTCCTTCTTCTCCAGCCAAAGAAGGAGAGGCATAGAGATTTCTTACCACTGGGGAACGTATCCAAGCCATGTGGCATCAAAGTATGTTAGCAGCAGTGAATCTGTATGGGTCTGCAAGAACTTGTTTCTTGCCTCTTCAAAGGAAAGAATTTGTCTGAGGGGCATAAGCGAGAGTGAGAGACCAAGGCAAGTTTTTGAGCAGAAGTAAGAGTTTATTAAAAACTCTTAGAGCAGGAATGAAAGAAAGTAAAGTAACTTGGAAGAGGGCCAAGTTGGCAACCTGAGAAATCCAAGTGCCCTGTTTGACCTTTGACTTGGGGTTTTATATGTTGGCATGCTTCTGGAGTTTTGTGTCTCTCCACTCTTGATTTTTCCTTGGGGTGGGCCATCCACATGCACAGTGGCCTGCCAGCACTTGTGAGCGGCCACATGCACAGTGTATTTACTGAAGTTGTGTGCATGCTCACTTGAGGCGTTTTTCCCTTGCCAGTCAAGTGTTCCTAGAGGAACTGGTCATACACCAGTTAAACTCTGCCATTTTGCCTCTTAGTGCATGCTTGAGACTGCTTGCTCAGCTCCTTATTGGGAAGCTGTTGGCCACCGGCTTCAAGTGTTTTCCATATATTGGGAGACTGCCTTTCTCTGGCACTGACTGCAACCAATTATTATTTTAAAAAGACTGCTTAACAACTACCTGACCATCACCTAATGGTTGCCTGACATTACTGGTGGGGGATGGGCTTTTCTTCTGATGTTCATGTCTGCCTAACTACCTACTCCAACACTCCCACCTCAGCCTCCTGAGTAGTTGGGACTGCAGGCTTGTGCCACCATGCCTGGCTAATTGTTATTATTATGTTTATTTTTAATAGAGATGAGGTTTCCCTATGTTGTCCAGGCTGGTCTCAAACTCCTGAGCTCAAGCCATCTGCCCTCTTCAGCCTCACAAAGTGCTAGGATTACAGGTGTGAGCCACTGCTTCTGGCCAGAAGTCTTTAAGAGAGGCATATTTTGATTTATTGAGTCTCTTGTAAGGCTCTGCATGATAATCAAAATCTACATTCCATTGTTCTTGAGGAATTCAGAATTTCTTCTTTTCCAATCCACTTCATAAATGAACAGTTTTGTCTAGGTTAAAACTTTCTTACAATGACCACTGTATTTCTATATTATCTTTGAACTTCAAATTAACAACCTAATGATGCACCTCAGGGAGCTAGAAAAGAGAACAAAACAAAACCAAATTTAGTAGAAAGAAAGAAATAATAAAGATCAGAGCAGAAGTAAATGAAATTGAGAGTAAAAAATACAAAATATCAACAAAAAGGTTTTTTTGAAAAAATAAATTAACAAACCTTTACCTAAACTAAGAACAAAAGAGAAAAGACCCATGTAAATAAAATCAGAAACAAAAAGGGAGAGTTAACAAATGAGACCACAGAAATACAAAGAATCATTAAAAACAATTATGGACAACTTTTTCCAAAAGAAACCACAAGTTTCTTTTGGAAAATCTAAAAGACATTGATAAATTACTGAACACATACAACTTACTAAGATTGAATCATAAAGAAAAAAATAACTTGAACAAACAAGTAATGAGATCAAAGCTGTAATAAAAAGTCTCCCATTAAAGAAAAGCCTAGGACCTGATTGCATCAATGCTTAATTCTGTCAAACTTTTAAAGAAAAAACTCAAACTCTTCCAAAAAAAATGGGAGAAGTGGTAATACTTCCAAACTCTTTCTACAAGGTCAGCATTACCTTGATACCAAAATTGGACAAAGACACAGAAAAAAAGAGTGTTAGGCCAATATTTCTGGTGAACATAGTTGTAAAAATCCTCAACAAAATGCTAGCAAACCAAATTCAACAACACATTAAAAAGATCATTTAGCATGATCAAGTGGGATTTATCCAAGGGATAAATATTTCCAGATTAATACACAATTTCTGGCTTCCAAGGCATGTTTACCACTTAATAATTATTTAATCAAGTTTGACCATATTGTTTGCTCAGAAAGCCTGGATCATGCAGAAAGGTGAAAATATCCATAGAGAATTGTTTCCCAATAGCCCCTTTCGAGTGGGCTATTGGAAGGTAAGTGGATAATGGGTTTGCATAATTGCACTTTTTTGTTGGTAAAATCTGGGAAAATAAAAATTTTACAGTCTTTCCTTAAAGAAAGTCCTCCAAACTAAGTAAGTTTCAGGTCACATAAAACCTGAATTTGCCCATGCTCACAACTGTGCCTGCAATTGTTTATGGTTGAGGGAAAAAAACATGTTAAAAAAGCGTCACGCAGTGGCCAAGGAAAATCTCTTTTCATTGCTCTAATGGAATTACAGCTCTCCCTCCTGCTTATCTTACAGTCTTCTTAGGTGGGCACTGTTTATTTATACTCTCACAGCTCTCTCTGGTCATGGGCTAATTTTTTCTTGATCCTCATTGCTATGTTCAGAATATACTCCCTCCTTTCTAAAAGACACCAGCCACTCCCATTCTGTAATTCAACTCATTTCTCTATGATTTTCGCTCTTGAGCTTAGTCTCCTTATCTATAAATCTACTCTAGTCTAATTCCTTAACCCATTTCCTGTTTGCCCCAAGAATATTCTTGTTCTCTTGTCTCTAATCCTAATGTAATATCATATACATTTCTGTTACATTAGGATTAGAGACAAGTTCTGTTTAGAAATAACTCCATGAAGAATTTTTATATTTTATTTTCACATTGAAAAATCAGTCAGATTTGCTTCAGCCTCAAAGAGTGTGTTTACGTAAAATTCAGTGAGTGCTGGCAGCAAGCCACACTTTTTTTTTCTAAACAGGAAATGGGTTAATATACACGTTGATGAACATTCTCTGGCTTATTTCCTGTAAACCCGCTTCTCTGACTAACTTGTGCTCTTTGACCACCACCACTTTATTACTCCACCTTGACCTCTAAGCTATGATTCTATCACCTTGTCAGTGTATTTCACCCACTTTATGTCATCACTCCACTCCTTACCCAGCTAAAATGCTTATGGTCACATAGTCAATTATCAAAGGATAGTAATCATTCCTTTGCATACACCCTTGAACCTCACAGTGTTTTATACATGGCAAAACCAAAACCCTGGTTAAATCCAACTCTCTTGCTAGTCCACATCTGAACCCAGGGATCCAAAAGTGGTTTACAAATATCTTCTCTTAACCTCACTTCCACCTGCAAATTACCATCTGTTTTTTTGCTCCTTTTATAGAAAAAGAAAAAATGCAAGAGCCTTAAAGCAGAAGTCTAAATTTTTATGAATGAAGTTAAATTATTTTTTCAGAGTATCTTCAAAATAATCTGGTAAGGTAGGGACAGAGGGAGTGGGGAAGTAGATGAACAACATTGGCTATCAGTTAAAAACAATTGAATGTGGGTGATGGGTTTCATTTTTTGTTAATTCATATTTTTATATGCTTGAAATCTTCCCTGATAAAAATTTCAAGTGTCTGTAATTGCTGTCTCCAATTTCCTCTCTTTCAGCTACAAACCCACTAACCAAGATTTTACTTTAAACACTCTGCTGAAACTATTGTTCATCCTAGTCACAATAATATTTATATTGCTAAATTGAATGCTCAATTCTTAGTTCTCACTTTTTCCTATCAATAGTGTTTGATGGACCATCAAACTATGCTTTCCTATGTCACACCTTGGTGATCAATTTGTGCTTCCCTTTCTTCAAGTGGATTCTAGTACAGGTATCATTTTATTAGTCTGTTCTCACGCTGCTAATAAAGACACCCCCAAGACTGGGTAATTTATAAAGGGAAGAGTTAATTGACTCACAGTTCACATGGTTGAAGAGGCCTCACAATCATGGCAGAAGGCAAAGAGGAGCAAAGACACATCTTACCTGGCAGCAGGCAAAGAGGGCATGTGCAGGGGAACTCCCCTTTATAAAACCATCAGATCTTGTGAGATTTATTCACTATCACGAGAACAGCACGAGAAAGACCCACCTCCATGATTCAATTACCTGCCACCAGGTCCCTTCCATGACATGTGGGGATTATTGGGGCTAAAATACAAATGAGATTTGGGCGAGGATGCAGCGAAACCACATCAATCACAATTTTTTTTTAATTTCAATAGTTTTTGGGGGTACAGATGGTTTTTGGTTAAATGGGTAAGTTCTTTAGTGCTAATTTCTGAAATTTTAGTGTGCCTGTCACCCAAGCAGTTTATACTGTACCCAATATTCTCTTATCCCTTAACCCCTCCAAACCTCCCCCATCGAGCCCCCAAAGTCCATTAATCACTCTTTTTTTTTTTTTTTTTTTTTTTTTGAGACGGAGTCTCGTTCTGTCGCCCAGGCTGGAGTGCAGTGGCGGGATCTCTGCTCACTGCAAGCTCCGCCTCCCGGGTTCACGCCATTCTCCTGCCTCAGCCTCCCAAGTAGCTGGGACTACAGGCGCCCGCCACTACGCCCGGCTAATTTTTTGTATTTTTAGTAGAGACGGGGTTTCACCGTTTTAGCCGGGATGGTCTCGATCTCCTGACCTCGTGATCCGCCCGCCTCGGCCTCCCAAAGTGCTGGGATTACAGGCGGAGCCACCGCGCCCGGCCCATTAATCACTCTTATGCCTTTGCATCCTTATAGCTAAGTTCCACTTGTAAGTGAAAACATACAATATTGGGTTTTCCATTCCTGAGTTACTTCACTTACAATAATGACCTCCAGCTCTATCCAAGTTGCCGCAAAAGACATTATTATTGTTCCTTTTTATAGCTCAGTAGTATTCCATGGCATATACATATATACCATATTTTTATTATCAACTCGGTCGATGGGCACTTAGATTGGTTCCATATTCTTGCATTTGCTAATTGTGCTGCTATAAACATACATGTACATGTGTCTTTTTTATATGACTTCTTTTCCTTTGGGTAGATACTCAGTAGTGGGATTACTGGATTGAATGGTAGTTCTACTTTTAGTTCTTTAAGGAATCTGCATATTACTTTCTATAGTGGTGGTACTAATTTACATTCCCACTAGCAATGTAAAGATGTTCCCTTTGCACCACATCCATGCCAACATCTATTGCTTTTTGACTTTTTAATTATGGCCATTCCTGCAGGAGTAAGCTGGTAACTCTTTGTGGTTTAATTTGCATTTCCCTGATGATTAGTGACAAGCATCACAATTTCTTAGTCTTCCTTTTTCCTCACCAGTTGCTCCCTTCTAGTCTCCTTTGCTGATTTCTTCTCTTTTCCTTGACCTACTAACATTGCAGTACCCAGGGTAGGCCTTGCTTTCGTCTCTGCTCTGCATTCCTTAGTGATCTCTTTCAACCTTGTGCCATCTAATGGCTGAAAATGCCTCTGTTATGTGGACCACTCAGAAATTTATATCTTTAGCTGAGACCTCTCTCCAGAATTCAAGACTTTTATGTACAACTGCCTACCTGACATCTCCACTTGGGTATTAAATAGGCTTCTAAAAGTTAACAACTGGACTCTTTGTATTTCCCCTGAGTGCTGCTCCACCCAAAGCCTTCCTCATTCAGTTTATGGCAACATCTTTCCAATAGTTTAGATTAAAAGTCTTGGATTATTCTTGGTTCCTTTATTATTCCCTCAAAACCTACATTCAATCCTTTGGTAAATCTTATAGCTCTACTTTCAAAATAATTCTAGATTCTGACCTTTTTTCTTCACCTTGACTTCTATCACACTAGTCTGGGCCAACTCTATTTCTCACCTAAATAACAACAATATCCTCCGTATTCATTTCCTCGGGCTGCCGTAACAAAGTACTGCAAGTTGGGGGACTTTTAGCAACAGATTTTTTTTTCTTTCACAGTTCTGGAGGATAGAAGTCCAAAATAAAGGTGTTAGCAGTGCCTTGCTCTCTACGAAGGATCCAGGAGCGATGTAGGTTCTTCTTTTCTAGATCTGGTACATCTAGTGTCAGTGACATCAGGGATTTCTTGGCTTGTAGATGCAACATTTCAATCTATGTGTCCACCTTCACATGGATTTTTTTTTTCCTGTGTTTGTGTCCAGATGTCTCATTCCTTTTTTTGAGATGGATTCTCACTGTCACCCAGGCTGGAGTGCAGTGGCATGATCTCGGCTCACTGCAACCTCCATCTCCTGGGTTCAAGTGATTCTCCTGACTCAGCCTCTGGAGTAGCTAGGATTACAAGTGCCTGCCACCATGCCCAGCTAATTTTTGTATTTCTAGTAGAGATGGGGTTTCACCATATTGGCCAGGCCTGTCTCGAACTCCTGACATCAAGTGATCCACCCGTCTCGGCCTCCTAAAGTGCTGGGATTTCAGACGTGAGCCACCATGCCCAGCTAAAATGTCTCATTTCTTATAAGTAAACCAATCATTAGATTAGGGTCCACCTCAACCCGGTATGACCTCATCTTAACTGATTACATCTGCAAAGAACCTATTTCCAAATGAGGCCACATTCAGTTTCCAGGTATACATGAATTTTGGAGGGAAGCTATTCAACCAAGTACAAACTTTTAACTAGGTTATTTTCCTTCCTTCCCTCCCTCCTTCCTTCCTTCCTTCCTTCCTTCCTTCCTTCCTTCCTTTCCTTCCTCCCTCCCTCCCTCCCTCCCTCTCTCTCCTTCTCTCTGTCTTTCGAAACACAGTCGTGCCTTGTCACTGAGGCTGGAGTGCTGTGGTGTCATCACAGTTCAACCTCAACCTCCTGGACTCAAGTGATCCTTCCATCTCAGCCTCTCAAATAGCTGGGACTACAGGCACATATCATCATACTTGGCTAATTTTTGTATTTTTTTGTAGAGACATAGAGGGTTTGTCTATGTTGCCCAGACTGGTCTCAGACTCCTGGGCTCAAGTGATCCTCCTGTGTCGGCCTCCCAAAGTGTTGGGATTACAGATGTGAGCTGCCATGCTGGGCTGCTCCGCTTTTTAAAAAATTGTTATCTTACAGTATATTCTCAACACCATAGTCTGAGTTATCTTTTAAAGTGCAAGTCAGATTATATCACTCCTCTTTATACTTATTGAAATAAGTATACTCAGAGTAAAATTCTAAAACTTATGTGGAGTTACCATATAGCCCAGTAATTCCACTCCTAGGTTCTCACTCAAGAGAAATGAAAAATATACCTATGCCAAAACTTGTACAAGAAGGTTTATAACAGAATTATTTGTAACAGCCAAAAAGTGGAAACAATCCAGGTGACAAATGAATAAACAAAATGCGGTATAACCATAAAATGAAATATCATTCAGCCATGAAAAGGAACAAAGTGGCCAGGCACGGGTGGCTGACACCTGTAATCCCAGCACTTTGGGAGGCCGAGGTGGGTGGATCATGAGGTCAGGAGATTGAGACCATCCTGGCTAACATGGTGAAACCCCATCTCTACTAAAAATACAAAAAAAAATTAGCCGGGCGTGGTGGCGGGTGCCTGTAGTCCCAGCTACACAAGAGGCTGAGGCAGGAGAATGGCATGAACCCAGGAGGCAGAGGTGGAGCTTGCAGTGAGCCAAGATCCCACCACTGCACTCCAGGCTGGGTGAGAGGGCAAGACTCTGCCGAAAGAAAAGAAAGAAAGGAAAGAAAGAAAGAAAGAAAGAAAGAAAGGAAGGAAGGAAGGAAGGAAGGAAGGAAGGAAGGAAGGAAGGAAGGAAGGAAGGAAAGAAAACAAAGTATTGATATGTGCTACACTATGGATGTACCTTGAGAACGTTATGTCAGATGGAAGAAGCCAGACACAGAAGGCCATATATTATATGACTCTTTTCATATAAAATGTCCAAAATAGGCAATTTCTTTTTTTTTCTATTTTTCCATTTTATTTACCATATTATCTATATGATTCCCAGGGATACCATTTGTTTATTATTTTTTTTTTATTATTATACTTTAAGTTCCAGGGTACATGTGCACAATGTGCAGGTTTGTTACATATGTGTACATGTGCCATGTTGGTGTGTGCTGCACCCATTAACTCATCATTTACATTAGGTATGTCTCCAAATGCTAACCCTCCCCCCACCCCCACCCCATGAGAGGCCCCGGTGTGTGATGTTCCCCTTCCTGTGGCCAAGAGTTGTCATTGCTCAATTCCCACCTATGAGTGAGAACACGCGGTGTTTGGTTTTCTGTCCTTGTGATAGTTTGCTGAGAATGATGGTTTCCAGCTTCATCCATGTCCCTACAAAGGACATGAACTCATCCTTTTTTATGGCTGCATAGTATTCCATGGTGTATATGTACAACATTTTCTTTATCAGGTCTATCATTGATGGACATTTGGGTCGGTTCCAAGTCTTTGCTATTGTGAATAGTGCCACAATAAACATATGTGTGCATGTGTCTGTATAACAGCATGATTTATAATCCTTTGGATATATACCCAGTAATTGGATGGCTGCGTCAAATGATATTTCTAGTTCTAGATCCTTGAGGAATCGCCACACTGTCTTCCACAATGGTTGAACTAGTTTACAGTCCCACCAACAGTGTAAAAGTGTTCCTATTTCTCCACATCCTCTCCAGCACCTATTGTTTCCTGACTTTTTAATGATCGCCATTCTAACTGGTGTGAGATGGTATCTCATTGTGATTTTGATTTGCATTTCTCTGATGGCCAGTGATGATGAGCATTTTTTCATATGTCTGTTGGCTGCATAAATGTCTTCTTTTGAGAAGTGTCTGTTCATATCCTTTGCCCACTTTTTGATGGGGTTGTTCGATTTTTTCTTGTAAATTTGTTTGAGTTCGTTGTGGATTCTGGATATTAGCCCTTTGTCAGATGAGTAGATTGCAAAAATTTTCTCCCATTCTGTAGGTTGCCTGTTCACTGTAGGTTGGTAGTTTCTTTCGCTGTGCAGAAGCTCTTTAGTTTAATTAGATCCCATTTGTCAATTTTGGCTTTTGTTGCCATTGCTTTTGGTGTTTTAGACATGAAGTCCTTGCCCATGCCTATGTCCTGAATTGTATTGCCTAGGTTTTCATCTAGGGTTTCTATGGTTTTAGGTCTAACATTTAAATCTTTAATCCATTCTGAATTAATTTTTGTATAAGGTGTAAGGAAGGGGTCCAGTTTCAGCTTTCTGCATATGGCTAGCCAGTTTTCCCAGCACCATTTATTAAATAGGGAATCCTTTCCCATTTCTTGTTTTTGTCAGGTTTGTCAAAGATCAGATGGTTGTAGATGTTTGTTATTATTTCCATGGGCTCTATTCTGTTCCATTGGTCTATATCTCTGTTTTGGTACCAGTACCATGCTGTTTTGGTTACTGTAGCCTTGTAATATAGTTTGAAGTCAGGTAGCGTGATGCCTCCAGCTTTGTTCTTTTGGCTTAGGATTGACTTGGCGGTGCAGGCTCTTTTTTGGTTCCATATGAACTTTAAAGTAATTTTTCCAATTCTGTGAAGAAAGTCATTGGTAGCTTGATGGGGATGGCATTGAATTTATAAATTACCTTGGGCAGTATGGCCATTTTCACGATATTGATTCTTCCTATCCATGAGCATGGAATGTTCTTCTATTTGTTTGTGTCCTCTTTTATTTCGTTGAGCAGTGGTTTGTAGTTCTCCTTGAAGAGGTCCTTCACAACCCTTGTAAGTTGGATTCCTAGGTATTTTATTCTCTTTGAAGCAATTGTGAATGGGAGTTCACTCATGATTTGGCTCTCTGTCTGTTATTGGTGTATAAGAATGCTTGTGATTTTTGTACATTGATTTTGTATCCTGAGACTTTGCTGAAGTTGCTTATCAGCTTAACGAGATTTTGGACTGAGACGATGGGGTTTTCTAGATATACAATCAGGTTATCTGCAAACAGGGACAATTTGACTTCTTCTTTTCCTAAGTGAATACCCTTTATATCTTTCTCCTGCCTGATTGCCCTGGCCAGAACTTCCAACACTATGTTGAATAGGAGTGGTGAGAGAGGGCACCCCTGTCTTGTGCCAGTTTTCAAAGAGAATGCTTCCAGTTTTTGCCCATTCAGTATGATACTGGCTGTGGGTTTGTCATAAATAGCTCTTATTATTTTGAGATACATCCCAACAATACCTAGCTTATGGAGAGTTTTTAGCATGAAGCGCTGTTCAATTTTATCGAAGGTCTTTTCTGCATCTATTGAGATAATCATGTGGTTTTTGTCTTTGGTTATGTTTATATGGTGGATTACGTTTATTGATTTGTGTATGTTGAACCAGCCTTGCATCCCAGGGATGAAGCCCACTTGATCATGGTGATTAAGCTTTTGGATGTGCTGCTGGATTCGGTTTGCCAGTATTTTATTGAGGATTTTTGCATCGATGTTCACCAGGAATATTGGTCTAAAATTCTCTTTTTTTGTTGTGTCTCTGCCAGGCTTTGGTATCAGGATGATGCTGGCCTCATAAAATGAGTTAGGGAGGATTCCCTCTTTTTCTGTTGATTGGAATAGTTTCAGAAGGAATGGTACCAGCTCCTCTTTGTACCTCTGGTAGAATTCGGCTGTGAATCTGTCTGGTCCTGGACTGTTTTTTGGTTGGTAAGCTATTAATTATTGCCTCAATTTCAGAGCCTGTTATTGGTCTATTCAGAGATTCAACTTCTTCCTGGTTTAGTCTTGGGAGGGTGTATGTGTCGAGGAATTTATCCATTTCTTCTAGATTTTCTAGTTTATTTGCGTAGAGGTGTTTATAGTATTCTCTGATGGTAGTTTGTATTTCTGTGGGATCGGTCTTGATACTCCCTTTATCAGTTTTTATTTCATCTATTTGATTCTTCTCTCTTTTCTTCCTTATCAGTCTTGCTAGTGGTCCATCAATTTTGTTGATCTTTTCAAAAAACCAGCTCCTGGATTCATTGATTTTTTTGATGGGTTTTTTGTGTCTCTATCTCCTTCAGTTCTGCTCCCATCTTGGTTATTTCTTGCCTTCTGCTAGCTTTTGAATGTGTTTGCTCTTCCTTCTCTAGTTCTTTTAATTGTGATGTTAGGGTGTCAATTTTAGATCTTTCCTGCTTTCTCTTGTGGGCATTCAGCGCTATAAATTTCCCTCTACACACTGTTTTAAATGTGTCACAGAGATTCTGGTATGTTGTGTCTTTGTTCTCGTTGGTTTCAAAGAACATTTTTATTTCTGCCTTCATTTCGTTATGTACCCAGTAGTCATTCAGGAGCAGGTTCTTCAGTTTACATGTAGTTGAGCGGTTTTGTGTGAGTTTCTTAATCCTGAGTTCTAGTTTGATTGCACTGTGGTCTGAGAGACAGTTTATTATAATTTCTGTTCTTTTACATTTGCTGAGGAGTGCTTTACTTCCAACTATGTGGTCAATTTTGGAATAGGTGCAGTGTGGTGCTGAGAAGAATGTATATTCTGTTGATTTGGGGTGGAGAGTTCTGTAGATGTCTATTAGGTCTGCTTGGTGCAGAGCTGAATTCAATTCCTGGATATCCTTGTTAACTTTGTCTCATTGATCTGTCTAATGTTGATAGTGGGGTGTTAAAGTCTCCCATTATTACTGTGTGGGAGTCTAAGTCTCTTTGTAGGTCTCTAAGGACTTGCTTTATGAATCTGAGTGCTCCTGTATTGGGTGCATATATATTTAGGATAGTTAGCTCTTCTTGTTGAATTGATCCCTTTACCATTATGTAATGGCCTTCTTTGTCTCTTTTGATCTTTGTTGGTTTAAAGTCTGTTTTATGAGAGACTAGGATTGCAACCCCTGCCTTTTTTTGTTTTCCATTTGGTTGGTAGATCTTCCTCCAACCCTTTACTTTGAGCCTCAAAATAGGCAATTTCTTAGAGGCGGTGAGGAAATCTGTGGTTTCCAAAGGCTGGGGGATGCGGACTTGAAGAGTGGTTGCTAATAGATATGGTGATTTTGGAGAGCGATGGAAATACTCTGGAGTTGGACTGTGATACTGGTAGCACACCTGTGTGAATATATATAAACTACTGAATTGTATACTTTATAAACTTTATGATATGTGAATTATATCACTGCTATTAAAAAACCAACAAACAAGGACTCCCCCCACAATATCTCCAAACCTTTCAGTGATTTTCATGATTATACATGTCTCTTTTACTTTATTTCCTACTACTCTTTCACGGGATCATTTACTTCCATACACTAGCCCTCTTGCCAGTCTTCAGGCATGCATGTGCTTTCCCAATTTAGGGATATAGAATTGTCTTCTCTAGCTGGAATCTTCCTCAAAGACAAATTCTCTCATCATCATATGTCATCTTCCAATAGTGACCACCCCATTTAATGTTGCTTGCTTCTCTGATGATCACACTTACCTACACTAGTTTTATTTTTTTCATCTTCACTTTCAAATATACTATATAATTTATTTCTTTTTTTTTAGCTATTGTTTATTTTCTTCCTCCCTCATGCTAAGATACAAACTCTTTAATGGTGTGAATCTTTGTGTGTTTTGGTAATTTATGTATCTTATCTACTTAGAACAATGCCTGGCCCATTGTAAGTGTTTTATACATATTTTTAATAAATGATGGATTTCCTTTCAAACAATATCTTCTTATGGAGATATTATACAATGGTGATTGCTACATAGCAAATGAATAAATGAAAGAAACAAATACCATTTTTGAATACTTAAAAGTTGACATTTTGTCCCTTTTCTGACCCGGGCCAGATGGGTTAGAGTTCCCTGGTGCAATTTAATGCTGTAAAAGATATCTTTGTCATGTAAAAGTTAAACAGGATAGACAGCATGGAATCAAAGACAGACTGTATGGATTTAAATTCTGAATTCTGGTTATGCCACTGTTATTATGTGTGGCTTGGGCAAGTTACATAACATCCCGAGCTTTAGTTTTCTCATCTATAAAGTGGGGAAATTAGTATTATCTGCCTCAAACAATGTATTGTGAGAATAAAAATAGTTAACACCTGTTAAATGAATGCCATACTATCTGGCACATGGAAAGTGTTAAATGAATGTTAGCTATTTTTATGCTTAGCACAGTTATTTTAATACTTACCATTAATCTTTCTCTCCCTTTTCAGGCCACATAGATTCTACACTGAATGGGCATCTAGGCTTACTTATTAGCTTAGTATGCCTCTTACACAACAAATTCATAACACCACAAGGTAAATATATGCCTTAGAAATATAACACACTACATATCAAGCATGTTTGTAGTTGGTTTTGAATAGCTTAATGCATGAAGATTAAATTTGAGAATGCCCAAGCTCTATACTGAACAGCAAAACCATTATAGAGTACCCCACCATGACACAGATTTAATTCTATATGGACTATATACATTCTCTTGCACTCTCTTTCAACATTGGATATTTCTCTTATTCCTTAACATCAGCAATATAAATGTCTTATTCACGGCAGGAAGGAAGTGGCACAATATTTTTTTTAAATGCTAAAAGAAAAGAATTGTCAACCCAGAATCCTATACCCAGTAAAAATATACTTCAGAACTGAAGGGAAAATTAAGACATTCTCAGTTAAAGGGAAACTAAGATAATTTGTCACTAGCAGACCTACTCCTTTTAGGCTAAAGGAATTTTTCTAAACAGAAAAGGAATGATGAAAGAAGGAGCCTCAAAACAGCAAGAAGGAATAAAGATAGTACACAAAAATATGCATAAATGTAATTAGTTTTCCTTTTCTTCTTAAATTTTGTTGTTATGTTTACCAGATTAAGCAAAAGTTATAACACTGATTGATGTGGTTCCAAATATATGGGCAGGAAATAGTTATAATAATTATACTATAAATGGGGAAGGGGAAGGGAATATAAAGAGATGAGACTTCCATATTTCATTCAAAATAATGACACAATAGACTGTGATAAGTTATGTATATATAATGTAATATCAAGTATAATTTAATATCACTAAAAAAGCTATACAAAGACATATGCTCAAAAACACTGTACCTAAATTAAAATAAAGTTTTAAAATATTCAAGTAACCTGTAGGGAAGCAAGAAAAGGAAAACTAAAACAAAAACTAGAGAAAACAAATAGAGGAAAACAACAAAAAATGTCAGTGTTAAGTCATAACACTATTCTAACTACACAAATTAAAAGACAGAGATTGTCAGAGCGGATTTAAAAACATGATCTACTATATAAGAAACTTACTTCAAATGTAATGATATGAAGTTGGAGCTTGTTAAGAAACTAAACATGCAACTACCATATGACCCAGCAATTTCACTTCTGGGCATTTATCTCATAGAAATTAACACATTTAACACAAAAAACCTGAACATGAATATTTATAGCAACTTTACTTACCGTAATCAAAAACTGGAAACACACAAATGTCCTCCAACAAGTGAATGGTTACACATATCCATACCATACAACACTATTTAGCAATAGAATGGAATAAAAATATTGATACAGGCAACAATCTAGGTGAATCTCCACAGAGTTATGCTAAACAAAAAAGTCAATCCCAAAATGTTACATACTGTATGATTCCATTTTATATAACATTATTGAAATGATGAAAGTATAGACATGGAGAAAGAATCAGTGGTTACCAGGATTAAGGAAGGAGTGAGGGAAGAAGGAAAGTGAGTGTGACTATCAAAGAACAACTTCAGGGATCCTTGTGGTGAATGAAATGTTCTGTATCTTGACTATATCAATGTTAATATCATGGCTGTGATATTGTACTATAGCTTTTCTTTTCCTTTTTTTTCTGTGACAGCCTACCATTGAATGTACTATAGTTTTTCTATACTAAAGGTACTAAAGATGTTACCATTGGGAGAAACTGGGTAAAGGGTGCCCAAGATCAGTCTATTATTTGAGACTTGCATGTTAGCAATTATCTTGAAATACAAAGTTGAATTAAAAAAATTAAAATCAACTTAAAATGTCCTAAAAGGCTGACCAATATTTTCTCTGGGTGGTAAGAGTAAAGGAAATTTAAAATTTTTTCTTGTGACTTATATATGTCTTTCAGATTTTCTATGACCACCAGGAATTACTTTTGTAGTAAAAAAAAAACACCCACACAGGTATTATTTATGAGAAAGGATATCCCTGAAATTTAAGGAAAGTATGTGAAACACATTGCTAGCTTTGGTTTATTACATACAAATAATTTTTTTTGTTGTTGTTTTTGAGACAGGCTCTGACTCTTTCACACAGGCTGCAGTGCAGTGGTGCTATCTTAGCTCACTGCAACCTCAGCCTCCCAGGCTCAAGCCATCCTCTCGCTTCAGCCTCCTGAGTAGCTGAGACTACAGCACCTGCCATCATGCCCAGCTAATTTTTGTAGGTTTTTGTAGAGATGGGTTGTTGCCATGTTGGCTAGGCTGGTCTTGAACTCCTGAGCTCAAGCAATCTGCCCACCTCGGCCTGCCTTGGCCTCCCAAAGTGCTGGGGTTATAGGCAAAAGCCATCGCGCCTAGCCTTATATACAAACTATTTAATCACTAAGAGCATTATGTCACAGCCTTTACAGGTTAGTGCATTAGAACCTAATATAAGTTAAACACTACTGACCACCACCGGGTTCACATAGTCTAAATATCCAAACTCTAGATGAAATGACTTCAACATCTGGGATTGTGCTTTGTCATCACATGCTATTTCTTCAATAAGCATACCCACTCACCTCCCTTAACCCAACCACATTCCTTCATACAATCATATACCCTTAGTTGGTGGAAAATAACTATGACATACAGTTTAGAATTACTGGGTTCATCTTTCAGTTTCCAGGACATTCTGTTAATTTACTGAATTACTGCCAAGCATTCTTTGACAGGAGATGATTCCATCTTTTTTCTTGGCAAAAAGCATTTATTTTTAAAATCAAAGGGCATGTTTTACTCTATATTCTGGTAATTGTTTCCATTAATTTATATCTGTATTACTGCTACTGACATAAATAATTGCTGTTATACCAATAAATGTTCTTTTATAGATAATCATTATCATTTTATCTTTAGTTGCTTTTAATTTAAGCTAAATTAATTTCATTCCTCCAGCTTGGAACTTACTTTCTTTTCTAAATCTAAGTATTTAAGTGTTTCTATAATTTGGCAAAGATTTTCATTCATTGAATTTCCTTCAAATATTGCCCACTAATCCTCCATTTTCTCTGTTCTTTCTGTCTGGCCCTCTTAGTAGATTTTATGTCAGCCCTTCAGTCCTCTTGCATCTTCTCTCTCCTCTCTGCTCTCCTCCTCTCTCCCCTCTCTGCTCTCCTCCTCTCTCCTCTCGTGCATTCTGGGTAACTTCTTCAAATCCATTATCCAGTTAACAAATTCTCTCTTCAGTTGTGTTCAGTCTGACGTTTAACCCTTTCAATGATTTTTATTTTTAATGTTTTTTTTCACGTCTTCAATTCTACTTTGTTTTCTAAAGTATATTTTAAAAACATATATACATATTTTCTTTTATCCCGTTTTCATTTCCTGCTTTGACATCTTATCCTTATTTGGAAATTTGAGCTGATAATTCTATCTCTTCTTCTGCTAACATTTGTGCGTGGAAGATTGTTCCTTCTTGAGTTTTGTATTTTGGAAGACAAGTTCATTTTAAGAAGTGTTTTACCTATAGAAATCTTGTGTAGTCTGGGTTTTAGGTGAATTCTTTAGAAATGTTTTGCTTCTGTTTGTTTCTTTCTGGCCTCACAAAAATACTGCCAATTTGTAACCAGTTATTCAGTTAATTTCTCAGCTTGAAGGTACTCATACCATGTAACTAAAATAAATACCAAACCCACTTGAAAGCTGCCTTTTACACAAAATATTTCTCCCCACCCAAAGCCACTATGGTAATATAAGTGTTGTCATCTCCCTTTGCAGTATTTTCTAGGATCTCCTTGCCATCATTGTATAGCTCTCCAAATGATCTGGTTCTGTGTAGGGATTTCAATTCTGAGTCCTTATTTTCTTAGTCTCAGAAAGTCTTGTCTCCATCAGGGAGCAGCAGGTATAACCCAAATCTTGATTCCTAGTAACAGAAGCTCCTTCTTTCTCTCTTAGTGCTGTTTTTCAGTTCCCTCTTGTTTTGGGTCACTTGGGAATTATTTCACTTTCCTGAACTCTCACCTATGCACTTAACACAGTGTTTGCTACATTTTGTCCAGCATTTCTAACCTCCTGTAGTGAAAAAATTTTATATTTTCTAGTCTTCCATGTTCCTGGAAAAGACAGTGATTTTATGTGTGTGTGTTTTTTAAGTTTGCAGGGGAGAAACATAACTAATTTAAACTTTTTTTCAATTTATGCTGGTTTTAATTTATTGCCTTATGTTTAAACTGCAGTCTATTTGATACAGGGAGGGGGGCAGGGAAATGCCACGCCCCCCATCCTGTGCCTGTAAAAACCCCCGAAACCCTAGCGGGCACACACACAGGCAACTGGACGCTAAGACACTCCATTCCCCTTCTGGCTCACCACCCATCTGCTGAGAGCTACTTCCACGACTCAATAAAACCTTGCACTCATGCACTCATTCTCCAAGCCCACGTGTGATCTGATTTTTCCAATACACTAGGGAAGGAACCCAGGATACAGAAAACCCTCTGTCCTTGCAATAAGGTGGAGGGTCTAATTGAGCTGATTAACACAAGCTGCCTGCAGATGGCAAAACTAAAAGAGCACACTGTAACACACGCCCACTGGGGCTTTAGGAGCTGTAAACAACTCTAGACACTGCCATGGAGTTGGAGCCCCAAAAATGCTCCCCCTAGAGGTTTGAGCAGCGGGATACCAAAGAAGTGAGCCACACCCCGTCACATACCCTGTGAGAAGGATAAGAGAACACTTCTCCCATTTCATATTCACTAAGGAATAATGAGTAGGTAAAAACTTAATGATAATAGCTATAAGCAATTTTGGACATTTTCCACCATAAAATTACAATCCCTGGACAAATTATGTTGACTTTAATGATGTTCTAAGTAGATCGAGACAATTATATGCTGAAAAATTTGGTGTTAAAAAACCTTACTAATCAGCAACAACAACTAAAACAATCTCATGAGTCAGATAAATCTCTTTTTGCCCTGTTTTCTCTGTTTCATACTGGCTGATATATTTTTCTTTTTAGTGAGTCATGATAATTTGTTCATGCTGTTCAACAATGACTGAGGCCTGTCTGGATTGGTGGTAGAAAGTGACTTATACAGTGTCTGTGTTCAACAGAGTACGACCAGCAGAGAAGTGGTTTTTGATGATACTATTGATATGGGAGTGCTGGGAAGGGAAGAGCATGGTCCCTTTAAATGATACGGAAGTGGGGAAGGGAAATGCTGGGTAGAGGAGGAGGTCGTGGTCCCTGGCTAGGGCTCCACCCCAATGACCTGGGCGAGGACAGGCATTTTTGTTTTCCTGCGCAAATGTTGCATTTCCCAAGACCACCCTGGCCTGCCATACCTCTAATCCTGTGCCTGACACCCTCGCAGGCAGATACACAGGCGGCTGAACGTGGAGAGGACCACATCAGCAGAGGAACACACAGGCAGCTGGATGTTGAGAGGAGCACATCAGCAGGCACCAGCACACTGGCAGGCCACTGACCAGCAGAACGCCTTGGAGTTTGGCCAGGGCAGTCGGAGGACAGCCCAGGCCGCCCAGGCTGCCGAGTGGCCTGACCCAAGGGGAAAACCATTCTCCTTTCTGGCTCCCCCATCTGCTGAGAGCTACTTCTACTTAATAAAACCTTGCACTAATTCTCCAAGTCCACGTGTGATTCTTCCAGTACATCAAGGCAAGAACCCGGGATACAGAAATCCTCTGTCCTTGTGATAAGAAAGGGGGTCTACTTGAGCTAACACAAGCCGCCTACAGACAGCTAAACTAAAAGAGCACCCTGTAACTCATGCCCACTAGGGCTTCAGGAGCTGTAAATATTCACCCCTAGACACTGCCATGGGGTCGGAGCTCCGCAACCTGCCCATCTGTATGCTTCCCTAGAGGTTTGAGCAGCAGCGAGCCACTCCCTCATCGCATGCCCTTTGAGAGTGACAAGGGAACTTTTCGCATTTCATTATAAGGGTAGCTCAGAGTGTCTCTGGAACAGGAGCAGCAATGTGAGAAGCTGAAAAGGATTGTCTTCTCCCAATGAGTCTGTTCAATATTTTCAGGAAATGACTCATACAGTGCCTGGGTTCAACAGAGCAAGACCCCCAGAGAAGTGGTTTTAATGATGTTATGGGGGTAGCTCAGAGTGTCTCTAGGACAGATGGCAGCAATGTGAGAAGTTGAAAAGGACTTTCTTCTCCCAACAACTCTGTTCAATATTTTCCATCTCCTCTATCCAGAAGCATTTTCTTCTGGAAATTCTCCTTTGCATATTATCAGTAAAGGATGTTTCTGAGTTGGGCCTGAAGATTTTTAAAAAAAAATCTTTTGTCATATATTTCAGGATAACTTGTTCACGAAAGCCATGGATCGTCGTTTTGCAGCAAGCCTAAGTATGCCTCCCCCAGACTCACTGGCAGCTGGAGTCTAAATATAGTATAGTCCATGTATCCACCTTCTGAAATATCCTGCAATTGAAGTCATCTAACAAAGCAGGCCCCATTCAATGCTACAGAAAGCAGCCGGAAATCCTCCAATCCTCCTTCCTCATTTGTAATCACTATACTTAAGGAGAAGACAACACAGCCTCATTTTCAGATAGCTGCACATTTAGTTGAATTCATCTTTTCCACAATGCCTTTTTATAATGTTTACAATTTACCTTTTAAATTCTTTACATTTTGGTGGGAATTTCAGTTTTTATTTATATAGAAGATAGTTTCATTTTAAAGTAAACAAGCATAATGTGTTGATATTTCTGTTCTTACCTTAATCATTTGCTTTTGTAACTGGTGAATTCAGTTTTGTTTAACAGCCCTTAAAGGTAATAAAAGAGATTTTCTATTCTATCCACACCTCCAGGCATTCTGGGTTCTGTTCTGGTAGATCCAAGAATAACCTAGACCAAGTTAAATTGATCCAAGAAAGTTACATATATGGATGTATTAAAAACCCTGATGAAAACAGTAAATAAATGCAGGATTATAACTACATTATTGGATTGAGAATACTTAGGTCAGAAAGTTCATAAGGGAACAAGTAACAATTTGTAATCTTAATTTAAGTCCCTCTAAGGATTGACTTCACTGGTTATGTAGAAAACTTGAAAGTGGATGGTGTATGGTTATTGTCACATTTGTCATGTTGTTTTGGTTGTGTACCAGTATAACTAGTTTTTATGTTTGGGGAATTCATAGTATTACAGACATGTGCTAAGTGTGGATGATCCATTATAGGAGCTAAAAATACCAGATGCTTACTTTTCCTTCCTCTTTTGCAGGTAGGGCATAGGCATGCGACTTAAGACTCTGAACTAAATGCTACCAGATGGGATCTGACTCATGAGCTACAGGAAACAAGGGTTTGAAGGGACACTAGCTTAGCAGGTGGAAATGGTAGTATCTGTGGAACTGGAGGAAGCTGTTTTATCTCCAGACCAATTCTAAAACATGCTTCAGTGTGTCTTTCCTAGTGGCTTAGCCTTGAGCCTCTACTTCAGTTCTTCCTAGTAGATTTTGTGAGCTATTGCAATATCGTTTAGCGAATTACTCTTTTGCTTGACTCAGCTGGAGATGGCACCTGTTCCTTGCCTGTAGGAACCCAGACTGAAAGCTATTTCTCATACATTCTACTTAGGGATTTCATGTGGACTTAACATGTTGCCTCATTTCTACTTTTGAACACTGTAACATTTGTCATATTTTCCTTTTTGTTATTTCTAGCAGCTAGAAAACTCAAACAAATTTGGAACTTGATCATAGCACACAGAGTAATCTCTACAATCAGTAAAACTAGCTTACTTCTGTTTTTCTTCACTGTTTTAAATTTATTTGTATTGTGATGGCATTGGCTGTAAATAGCCTATGAGAAAATGTCACAAGCTTCTCCAGGCCCATGTGGGTTCCTCATAACCTCATTTCCTCCTTGTGGCAAACCCCTGAGACTCAGTTGTTTTCCTTTGCCCTTATAGCTGCTACTAACCTTTTTTAAAAACTCCATACACCTGGCAAAGGAGGTTGAGGTATCCTCCCTAGTCCTTTATTCCCTTTCTTTGATTCCTAATAAAAGCTCGTTTATAGGTTTTATAGTTAATAATCATATGAAAAACTAGCAAAATGCAAGTAGCCAAGAATCTAAAATGTGGCAATTTTCTGTGCCTGATGTCTGATTCTTTATGAGATAGTCAATCAAAGTGTCATTAGGATTCTGTATCCCTTTTAATTTTCAAGCTTCATTACTTTTCCTCCTGTGCTATTAAACTTAAAATTGTTTTTGTTATGAATACTAAAAAAATTTAAAAGGCTCAACTCTTCAATTTTTTAAACTGGAATTGTATTGGATAGTTTATATTAAGGAGAACTAACATTTTTGTAACATTGAGCCTTTCCATCTATGAAGACCTCTCTTTATTTAGGTTGTCTTTAGTATCTTCTTTTTCTTTTGTCAATGTGTATTTTGGTATTTTCTTTACAAGTTTTGTTTTAGGGATGCCTGTGCAGGTGTGTTACAATGGTAAACTGTATGTCATGGAGTTTGGTATACAGATTATTCCATCACCCAGGTAATAAGCATAGTACCTAAGAGGTAGTTTTTCAATCCTAACTCTCCTCTCACTCTGCATCCTTAGGTGGGCCTTGGCATCAGTTGTTCCCTTCTTTGTGTTCATGTGTACTCAGTGTTTAGCTTCTACTTATAAGTGAGAATATGAGGTATTTGGTTTTCTGTTCTTGCGTTAGTTTACTTAGGATAATAGTCTCCAGCTACATCCATGCTGCTGCAAAAGACATTATTTTGTTCTTTCTCATGGCTGCATAGTATTGCGTGATGTATATTTACCTCTTTTTCTTTACCCAGTCCACTGTTGATGGGCATCAAGGTTGATTCCATGTCTTTGCTATTGTGAATAGTGCTGTGATGAACATAAGCATGCATGAGTCTTTATGGTTGAACAGTTTATATTCGTTTGGGTATATACCCAGTAATGGGATTGCTGGGTTGAATGGTAGTTTTGTTTTTAAATCCTTTGAGAAATCTCCAAACCGCTTTCCACAGTGGCTGAACTAATTTACATTCCCACCAGCAGTGTATTAGTGTCCCATTTTCCCTGCAATCTCACCAGCTTCTGATATTTTTGGCTTTTTAATAGTAGCCATTCTGACTGGTGTGATATGGTATTTCATTGTGGCTTTGATTTGTATTTGTTTAATTATTAGTGATGTTGAGCATTTTTGTCATATGCTTGTTGGCTGCATGTACATCTTCTTTGGAAAAGTGTCTGTTCATTTCGTTTGCCCATTTTTAAATTTTTTTCCTTGTTAATTTGTTTAAGTTCCTTATAGATTCTGGATATTAGAGTCAGTTGCATAGCTTACAAATATTTTCTCCCATTCTGTAGGTTGTCTGTTTAATCTGTTTATAGTTTCTTTTGCTGTGCAGAAGATCTTTAGTTTAATTAGGTCCCACTTGTCAATTTTTGTTCTTGTTGCAATTGCTTTTGGAGTCTTCCTGATGATATATTTGCCAAGGCCTATGTCTAGAATGGTATTTCCTAGGTTTTCTTCTAGGGTTTTTATAGTTCTAGGTTTTACATTTAAGTGTTTAATGCATCCTGAGTTGATTTTTGTATATGGTATAAGGAAGGGGTCCAGTTTCAGTCTTCTGTATATGGCTAGCCAGTTATCCCAGCACCATTTATTGAATAGGGAGTCCTTTCCCCATTGCTTGTTTTTGTCAACTTTGTCAAAGATCAGATGATTGTAGGTGTGCAGCTTTATTTCTGGGTTCTCTACTCTGTTCCATTGATTTGTGTTTCTGTTTTTGTACCAGTACTGATATGGTTTGGCTCTGTGTTCCCATCCAAATCTCACCTTGAATTGTAATCTGCATAATACCCACGTGTCAAGGGCGGGACCAGGTGGAGATAATTGGATGGGGGTGGTTTCCCCATGTTGTTCTCATGACAATGAGTGAGTCTCACAAGATCTGATGGTTTTATAAGCATCTGGCATGTACCCTGCTTGCACTCACTCTGTCCTGCCACCCTGTAAAGAAGGTGTCTTGCTTCCCGTTCACCTTCCACCATGACTGTAAGTTTCCTGAGGCCTCCCCAGCCATGCTGAACTGTGAGTCAACTGAACCTCTCTCCTTTATAAATTACCCAATCTTGGGCAGTTCTTTCTTTTCCTTCCTTCCTTTCCTTTCCTTCCTTCCCTCCCCTCCTTCCCCTTCCCCTTCCCCTTCTCCTTCCTTCCTTCCATTATTGTACTTTAAGTTATGCGGTACATATGCACAACGTGCAAGTTTGTTACATATGTATACATGTGCCATGTTGGTGTGCTGCACCCGTTAACTTGTCATTTACATTAGGTATATCTTCTAATGCTATCCCTCCCCCCTCCCCCCACCCCACAACAGGCCCCGGTGTGTGATGTTCCCCTTCCTGTGTCCAGGTGTTCTCATTATTCAATTCTCACCTATGAGTGAGAACATGCAGTGTTTGGTTTTCTGTCCTTGGGATAGTTTGCTGAGAATGATGGTTTCCAGCTTCATCCATGTCCCTACAAAGGACATGAACTCATCCTTTTTTATGGCTGCATAGTATTCCATGGTGTATATGTGCCACATTTTCTTTATCAGGTCTATTGTTGATGGACATTTAAGTTGGTTCCAAGTCTTTGCTATTGTGAATAGTGCCACAATAAACATACATGTGCATGTGTCTTTATAACAGCATGATTTATAATCCTTTGGGTATATACCCAGTAATGGGATGGCTGGGTCAGATGGTATTTCTAGTTCTAGATCCTTGAGGAATCGCCACATTGTCTTCCACAATGGTTGAACTAGTTTACAGTCCCACCAACAGTGTAAAAGTGTTCCTATTTCTCCACATCCTCTCCAGCACCTGTTGTTTCCTGACTTTTTAATGATCGCCATTCTAACTGGTGTGAGATGGTATCTCATTGTAATTTTGATTTGCATTTCTCTGATGGCCAGTGATGATGAACATTTTTTCATGTGTCTGTTGGCTGCATAAATGTATTCTTTTGAAAAGGGCCTGTTCATATCCTTTGCCCAATTTTTGATGGCATTGTTTGATTTTTTCTTGTAAATTTGTTTAAGTTCTTTGTAGATTCTGGATATTAGCCCTTTGTCAAATGGGTAGATTGTAAAAATTTTCTCCCATTCCATAGATTGCCTGTTCACTCTGATAGTAGTTTCTTTTGCTATGCAGAAGCTCTTTAGTTTAATTAGATCCTATTTGTCAATTTTGGCTTTTGTTGCCATTGCTTTTGGTGTTGTAGTCATGAAGTCCTTGCCCATGCCTGTGTCCTGAATGGTATTGCCTAGGTTTTCATCTAGGGTTTTTATGGTTTTAGGTCTAACGTTTAAGTCTTTAATCCACCTTGAATTAATTTTTGCATAAGGTGTAAGGAAGGGATCCAGGTTCAGCTTTCTACATATGGCTAGCCAGTTTTCCCAGCATCATTTATTAAATAGGGAATCCTTTCCCCATTTCTTGTTTTTGTCAGGTTTGTCAAAGATCAGATGGTTGTAGATGTGTGGTATTATTTCCACGGGCTCTATTCTGTTCCATTGGTCTATATCTCTGTTTTGGTACCAGTACCATGCTGTTTTGGTTACTGTAGCCTTGTAGTATAGTTTGAAGTCAGGTAGTGTGATGCCTCCAGCTTTGTTCTTTTGGCTTAGGATTGACTTGGCAATGCGGGCTCTTTTTTGGTTCCATATGACCTTTAAAGTAGTTTTTTCCAATTCTGTGAAGAAAGGCATTGGTAGCTTGATGGGGATGGCATTGAATCTATAAATTACTGTGGGCAGTATGGCCATTTTCATGATATTGATTCTTCCTATCCATGAGCATGAAATGTTCTTCTATTTGTTTGTGTCCTCTTTTATTTCATTGAGCAGTGGTTTCTAGTTCTTCTTGAAGAGGTCCTTCACATCCCTTGTAAGCTGGATTCCCAGCTATTTTATTCTCTTTGAAGCAATTGTGAATGGGAGTTCACTCATGATTTGGCTCTCTGTTTGTCTGTTATTGGTGTATAAGAATGCTTGTGATGTTTTCACATTGATTTTGTATCCTGAGACTTTGCTGAAGTTACTTATCAGCTTAAGGAGATTTTGGGCTGAGACAATGGGGTTTTCTAAATATACAATCATGTCATCTGCAAACAGGGACAATTTGACTTCCTCTTTTCCTCATTGGATACCCTTTATTTCTTTCTCTTGCCTGATTGCCCTGGCTAGAACTTCCAACACTATGTTGAATAGGGGTGGTGGGAGAGGGCATCCCTGTTTTGTGCCAGTTTTCAAAGGGAATGCTTCCAGTTTTTGCCCATTCAGTATGATATTGGCTGTGGGTTTGTCATAAATAGCTCTTATCATTTTGAGATACATCCCATCAATACCTAGCTTATGGAGAGTTTTTAGCATGAAGGGCTGCTGAATTTTGTCAAAGGCCTTTTCTGCATCTATTGAGATAATCATGTAGTTTTTGTCTTTGGTTCTGTTTATATAATGGATTACGTTTATTGATTTGCATATGTTGAACCAGCCTTGCATCCCAGGGATGAAGCCCACTTGATCATGGTGGATAAGCTTTTTGATGTGCTGCTGGATTCGGTTTGGCAGTATTTTATTGAGGATTTTGGCATCGATGTTCATCAGGGATATTGGTTTAAAATTCTTTTTTTGTTGTGTCTCTGCCAGGCTTTGGTATCAGGATGATGCTGGCCTCATAAAGTGAGTTAGGGAGGATTCCCTCTTTTTCTATTGATTGGAATAGTTTCAGAAGGAATGGTACCAGCTCCTCTTTGTACTTCTGGTAGAATTCGGCTGTGAATCCATCTGTTCCTGGAGTTTTTTGGTTGGTAGGGTGTTAATTATTGCCTCAATTTCAGAACCTGTTATTGGTCTATTCAGGGATTCAACTTCTTCCTGGTTTAGTCTTGGGAGGGTGTATGTATCCAGGAATTTATCCATTTCTAGATTTTCTAGTTTATTTGCATAGAGGTGTTTATAGTATCTCTGATGGTAGTTTGTTTTTCTGTGGGATCGATGGTGATATCCCCTTTATCATTTTTTATTGCATCTAATTGAATCTTCTCTCTTTTCTTCTTTATTAGTCTTGCTAGTGGTCTATCAATTTTTTTGATCTTTTCAAAAAACCAGCTCCTGGATTCATTGATTTCTTGAAGGGTTTTTTGGTGTCTTTATCTCCTTTAGTTGCTCTGATCTTAGTTATTTCTTGCCTTCTGCTAGCTTTTGAATGTGTTTGCTCTTGCTTCTCTAGTTCTTTTAATTGTGATGTTAGGGTGTCAATTTTAGATCTTTCCTGCTTTCTCTTGTGGGCATTTATTGCTTTAAATGTGTACCAGAGATTCTGGTATGTTGTGTCTTTTTTCTCATTGGTTTCAAAGGACATCTTTATTTCTGCCTTCCTTTCGTTATGGACCCAATAGTCATTCAGGAGCAGGTTGTTCAGTTTCCATGTAGTTGAGCAGTTTTGGGTGCGTTTCTTAATCCTGAGTTCTAGTTTGATTGCACTGTGGTCTGAGAGACAGTTTGTTATAATTTCTGTTCTTTTACATTTGCTGAGGAGTGCTTTACTTCCAACTATGTGGTCAATTTTGGAATAGGTGCAGTGTGGTGCTGAGAAGAATGTATATTCTGTTGATTTGGGGTGGAGAGTTCTGTAGATGTCTATTAGGTCCGCTTGGTGCAGAGCTGAGTTCAATTCCCAGAGGTGGAATCTACAGAGGCAGGCAAGCCTCCTTGAGCTGTGGTGGGCTCCACCCAGTTGGAGCTTCCTGGCCGCTTTGTTTACCTACTCAAGCCTCAGCAATGGCAGACACCCCTCCCCCAGCCTCGCTGCCGCCTTGCAGTTCCATCTCAGACTGCCGTGCTAGCAGTGAGCGAGGCTCTGTGGGTGTGGGACCCTCTGAGCTAGGCATGGGATATAACCTCCTAGTGTGCCGTTTGCCAAGGTCATTGGAAAAGCACAGTATTAGGGTGGGAGTGTCCCAGTTTTCCAGGTACCATCTGTCACAACTTCCCCTTGCTAGGAAAGGGAATTCCCGACCCCTGGCATTTCCCGGGTGAGGTGATGCCCGGCCCTGCTCTGTGGGCTGCACCCACTGTCTGACAAGCCCCAGTGAGATGAACCCGGTACCTCAGTTGGAAATACAGAAATCACTGGTCTTCTGCATTGCTCATGCTGGAAGCTGCAGACTGGAGCTGTTCCTATTCAGCCATCTTGGAACCTTGGGGCAGTTCTTTATAGCAGTATGAAAATGGACTAATACAAGTACCATGCTATTTTGGTTACTGTTGCCTTGTAGTGTACTTTGAAGTCAGGTAGTGTCTGATGCCTCTAGCTTTGTTCATTTTGCTTAGGCTTGCTTTGGTTATTCTGGCTTTTTCATGTTCTGTATGAATTTTAGAATGGTTTTTTCTAATTCTATGAAAAACGTCATTGGCAGTTTGATAGGAATGGCATTTAATCTGTAAATTGCTTTGGACAGTATGGCTACTTTAATGGTGTTGATGCTTCCTATCTATGAGCACGGAATGTTTTTCCACTCGTTTGTATCATCTCTATTTCTTTGAGCAGTGTTTTGTAATTCTCCTTGTGGAGAACTTTCACCTCCTTGGTTAGCTGTATTACTAGGTATTTTATTCTTTTCGTGGCTATTGTGAATGGGACTGCATTCACGATTTGGCTCTCAGCTTGGATGTTATTGATGTATTGAAATGCTGAGTTTTATACATTGATTTTGTACCCTAAAATGTTGCTGAAGTTTTTTTTTTTAATCAGATGCAGGAGGCTTTGGACAGACACTATGGAGTTTTCTTTTATATATATATATTTTTTAATTACACTTTGAGTTCTAGGGTACATGTGCACAACGTGCAGGTTTGTTACATATGTATACATGTGCCATATTGGTGTGCTGCACCCATTAACTCGTCATTTACATTAGGTATAACTCCTAATGGTATCCCTCCCCCACCCCCCACCCCACAACAGGCCCCAGTGTGTGATGTTCCCCTTCCTGTGTCCAAGTGTTCTCATTGTTCAATTCCCACCTATGAGTGAGAACATGCAGTGTTCACTATGGAGTCTTCTAGGTACAAAATCATGTTTGTGAAGAGAGATAGTTGACTTCTTTTTTTTCTATTTGGAAACCTTTATTTCTTTCACTTGCCTTATTGCTCTGGCTAGGACGTCCAGTACTATGTTGATTAGGAGTGGTGAGAGTGGGCATCTTGGTCTTGTTTCAGTTCTCACGGGGAATGCTTCCAGCTTTTGCCTGTTGAGTATGATGTTAGCTGTGGGCTTGTCAAAGATGGCTCTTATTATTTTGAAGTATGCTACTTCAATACCTAGTTTTTTTTTTTTTTTTTTTAACATGAAAGGATGTTGAATTTTATCAAAAGTCTTTTCTGCATTTATTGAAATGATAATGTGGTATTTGTTTTTTGCTTTGCTTTTGTGACAAATCATATTTATTGATTTGTGTACATTGAACCAACCTTGCAGAACAAGAATAAAGGCTACTTGATCATGGTGGATTAGCTTTTTGATACAATGCTGGATTTCGTTTGCTAGCATTTTGTTGAGTATTTTTGTATACATGTTCACCAGGAATGTTGGCCAGAATTTCTGTGTGTGTGTGTGTGTGTGTGTGTGTATCAGAATGATGCTAGCCTTATAGAATAAGTTAGAGAGGAGTCCCTCCTCCTTTGATTTTTTTTTTTTTGAATAGTTTCAGTAGGATTGGTAATACCTTTTGTTTTTTACATATGGTAGAATTCAGCTGTGAATCCATCTAATCTAAGGCTTTTTCTGTTTGACAGGTTTTTGTTACTGATTCAATTTTGGAACTCATTAATGGTCTGTTCAGGGTTTCAATTTTTTCCAGGTTTAATCTTGAGAGGTTGTACGTTTCCCAGAATTTATCCATTCCTTCTAGGTTTTCTAGTTTATGTGCACAGAAGTGTTCATTTAGTCTTTGAGGGTTTTTTATATTTCTGTGGGGTTGATGGTAATGTCCCTTTGGTCATTTCCGATTGTCTTTATTTAGATCTTCTCTCTTTTTTTGTAAGTCTAGCAAGCACTCTTTCAATCTTATTTATTTTTTCAGAAAACCAACGTTTGGTTTCATTGATGTTTGAAAACAATTGTATGTATTTTGCACATTAACTTTGTTAAGTTCTGATTTTGGTTATTTCTTTTCTCCTTCTATCTTTTGGGTTGGTTTGCTCTTGTTTTTCTACATCCTCTTGGTATAATGTTAGATTGTTTATTTGAGATTATTTGTGTTTTTGTTTTTGTACCAGTGCTGATATGGTTTGGATCTGTGTTCCCACCCAAACCTCACCTTGAATTGTAATCCCCATGATCCCCATGTGTCAAGGGCAGGACCAGGTGGAGGTAATTGGATTGGCAATTTTAATGTCAGCATTTAGCACTGTACATTTTCCTCTTAACACTGCTTTCACCATGTCCCAGAGATTCTGGTATGTTGTACTTTTGTTTTCATTATTTTCAAAGAATTTCTTGATTTCTGCCTTAATTTCATTGCTTAGCCAAAAGCCATTAAGGAGAAGGTTGTTTAATTTCCATGTAATTGTATAATTTTGAAATATCTTTTCACTATTGATTTCTATTTTCATTGCACTGTGGTCCGAGAGTGTAGGTTGGTATGATTTTATTTTTGAATTTGTTGAGAATTGCTTTATGGTCAAGATGTGGTTCATTTTAGTCTATATGCCATGTGCAGATGAGAAGAATGTATATTCTGTTGTTGTTGGGTGGAGTGTGCTGCAGATGTCTGTCAGGTCCATTTGTTCAAGTGTCAAGTTTAGGTCCTGAATATCTTTGTTAATTCTCTGCCTCAATGATCTGTCTAACACTGTCAGTGGGGTGTTTTAGTGTCCCACTATTATTTTGTGGGAATCTAAGTCTCTTTGTGGAATCAAGGTCTTTAAGAACTTGTCTTATAAATCTGAGTGCTTCAGTATTGGCTGCATATATATTTAGGATAATTAAGTCTTCCTGTGGAATTAAACCCTTTATCATTATATAATGCCCTTGTCTTTTTTTATCATTGTTGGTTTAAGGTCTGTTTTGTCTGAAATAAGAATAGCAACCCCTACTCTTCTCTCTGTTTTTCCTTTGCTTGGTAGATTTTTCTCCATCCCTTTATTTTGAGCCTATGGGTGTCACTGCATATGAGATGGGTATCTTGAAGATAGCATAGAGTTGAGTCTTGCTTCTTTATCCAAATTGCCACTGTGTGCCTTTTAAGTGGGGCATTTAACCCATTTATACTCAAGGTTAATATTACTATGTGCAGATTTGTTCCTGTCATTGTATTGTTAGCTGGTGGCTATGCAAACTTGATTGTGTAGTTGCTTTATAATGTAAACAGTCTATATACTTAAGTGTGTTTTTATGGTGGCTGGTAACAGTCTTTTGATTCTGCATTTAGCACTTCCTTTAGGACTTGTATGGTAAGTCTGATGGTAACAAATTCCCTTAGCATTTGCTTTTCTGAAAAAGATTTTATTTCTCGTTTTCTTATGAAGCTTAGTTTGGCTGGATAAAATTCTTGGTTAAAATTTCTTTTCTTTAAGAATGTTGAATATAGGCCACATTCTCTTCTGGCTTACAGTGTTTCTGCTGAAAGGTCCATTGTTAGCCTGATGGGGGTCCCTTTGTCAGTGACCTTCCTATTCTCTCTAGCTGCTTTTAGTATTTTTTTCTTTTGTGTTGACGCTGGAGAATCTGATAACTATGTGTCTTGGGGATGGTCATTTTGTATAGTATCTTACAGGGTTTCTCTAAATTTCCTGCATTTGAATATTCGCCTCTCTAGCAAGGCTGGGGAAACTTTTGTGCACAGTCTCATTAAATATATTTTACAAGTTCCTTGCTCTTGCTCCCTTTCTGCCAGGGATGTCAGTCATTCATAGGTTTGGTCCCTTTATATAACCCCACATTTCTTGGAGGTTTTGTTCATTCTTTTTTATTTTTGTCTGAGTTGATTTGAAGAACTGGTCTTCAAGCTCTGAGTTTATTTCCATAGCTTGGTTTATTCTGCTGTTAATCCTGATGGTATTATGGAATTTTTGTAGTGAGTTTTTCAGCTCTATCAGATAAGTCTGTTTCTTTCTTAAAATGGCTATTTTGATCTTTTAGCTCTTGTATCATTTTACTGTATTCCTTAGATTCCTTGGAGTAGGTATCACCTTTCTCCTGAATCTCAATGATATTCATTGCCATCCAGATTCTGAATTCAATGTTTGTCATTTCAGCCATTTCAGCCTGGTTAAGAAACATTGCAAGGGATCTAGTGTGGTCATTTTGAGGTAAGAAGACACTTTGGCTTTTTGAATTTCCATTGTTTTTCTTCTGGTTCTTTTTCATCTGTGTGGCTTGATGTTTCTTGAATCTTCGAACTTACTGCCTTTTGGTTGGGAATTTTTGCTTTTATATTTGTTGGTTCCCTTGATGGTTTGACTATGGCCAGATAACCTTCTTTCAATTATGCTAGAACAGTTGTTCTCAAACTACGGTTCCTAGACCAGCAACATCAAAGTCTCACGGCAACTATCAGAAATGCAAAATATTGGGGAAAATCGTGGCTACAAAGCAGGACTAACTTGCAGCTCCCACTTGGACGAACAGAACAGTATGTGGAGGCTTACATCATAAACTTTTGCTCCAAGAACGACCACAAGAATGTACCAGGAAAACTGAAATAATTCACAGACCTTTTGAAGGAAACAGCTTGCCACTGCAAGCTCTGTGAGACAGCCAAAAAACTGGGAGTGCCCAAAGTGTCAGGGGGAAGGTCCATCTCCAAACACACATCCTCACTGGGGAACCTGAAAATTCAGATCACAGAAGAAGGATTTAACCTTACCTAGAGTTGAAATGAATTTAGAGAGCCCAGCAAAATGTAAAGGTAGAAGAAGCAGCAGTAAGAGCCCTGTGGACACTCCTGATCCCCAGGGAAGCCATTTCTGACTTTTTCTCACAAGGGTCCTTGGGGAGGGCTGCCAGTGGAATTCGGAAAGAACCACAGAGAGAAGAAAACGTCCAGTTGAACTCTGTAATAATTTTGACCAATCATGAACTTTCCTGGGCAGAATCCAGAAGTGAGAGATCAATGAGAAGTGCAGATATGAGCACAGAAGCCATGGCAGGTGAGAAGGGACTGGGCCTGAAAGCCCTGCTTGAATTCTCAGCAAGGAGACATGTAGCCTGGGGCAAGATCTCAGCGGTGATTGCTGGTTGCCTGAATATAAACTTGGGGCTGGTGGTGGGAGTGAGACTGGCCTTGCTGGCTGCGTGGGAACTGGGTGAGGCTGGTCACTATCAGCTTTCCCCCACTTCCAGGTGACTTATATGATGCAGGAGAGGCAGCCATAATCCACCTGGGAACATAACTCCATCGGCTTAAGAACCATACCCCATCCCCCACAGCAGCCACAGCAAGCCCCACCCAAGGAGAGTCTGAGCTCAGACACACCTAATCCTGCCCCCACCTGATGGTCTTTCTCTACCTGCCCTGGTAGCTGAAGACAAAAGACATAATCTCTTGGGAGCTCTATGGTCTTTCCTATCACCTGAGAAACCTGAATAGTTACATGGGCAATTTTAGGGCAAGCTTGTATCAGCTAATGCTGTCTTGAGAGAGCCACCTTCTGGCTAAAGGTCAACTAACCACTAGCACAACCAGCATTAGAGAAAACCAGTGCACTAAACAAACATACAACCAAGGACCTTCACAGAGTCCACTTCACTCCCCTGCTACCTCCACTGAAGCAGGTGCTGGTATCCATGGCTGAGAAACCCAAAGACAGATCACATCACAGGACTCTTTGCAGACACTCCTCGGTACCAGCCTGGAGCCTGGTAGCTCTGCTGGGAGGCTAGACCCAGAAGAACAATAACAATCACTGTAGTCTGGCTCTCAGGAAGCCCCATCCCTAGGGGAAGTGGGGGGATAGGACCATATCAAGGGACAACACCCCATGGGACAAGAGAATCTGAACAGCAGCCCTTTAGTCCCAGACCTTTCCTCTGACATAATCTACCCAAATGAGAAGAAAACAGAGAAACAATTCTGGTAATATGACAAAACAAGGTGCTATAACACCCCCAAAAGATCACACTAGATCACCAGCAATGGATCCAAACTAAGTCGAAATCTCTGAGTTTCCAGAAAACAAATCAGAAGATTGATTATTAAGCTACTGAAGAAGGTAGCAGAGAAAAGTGAAAACTAACTTAAAGAAGTTAAAAGAATAAAATAGGATATGGATGAAACAATTCAACAATAGGCTCAAACAAGTGGAAGAAAGAACTGCAGAGCTTGAGGACAAGGCTTTTGAATTAACCCAATCTGACAAAGACAAAGAAAAAAAAATTTTTAAAAATGAACAAAATTCAAAAAGTTTGAGATTATGTTAAATGACCAAACCTAAGAATAACTGATTTTCTTGAGAAGGAAGAGAAATCTAAGTTTGGAAAATTTATTTGAGGAAATAATCAAAGAAAATTTCCCTGGCTTTGCTAGAGATCTAGACATTCAAACAACTTATTTTGCTTAAGGAGGCTAAAGATAGGACCCCACTCTCTTCTAGCTTGTAGGGTTTCTGCTGAGAAATTTGCGTTAATCTGATAGGTTTTCCTTTATAGATTACATGATGCTTTTGCCTCACAGTTCTTAAAATTATTTCCATCATATTGACTTTAGATAACCTGATGACTATGTGTCTAGGTGATGATCTTTTTGCGACGAATTTCCTGGGTGTTCTTTGAACTTCTATTTGAATGTCTAGATCTCTAGCAAAGCCAGGAAAATAAGTCTTCAAGAGACTCACCTAACACACAGGGACTGACATAAACTTAAGGTAAAGCGGTGGAAAAAGATATTCCATGCAAATGGATGCCAAAACAAGCAGGAGTAGCTATTTTTATATCAGACAAAACAGACTTTAAACCAACAACAGTTCAAAAAGACCAAGAGGGACATTATATAATGATAAAAGACTAGTCCAAGAGGAAAATATCATAATCCAAAATATATATACGCCTAACACTGGAGGTTCCAATTTTATAAAACAATTACTACTAGACCTAAGAAATGAGATAGACAACAACACAGTAACAGTGGGGCCTTCAATACTTCACTGACAGCACTAGACCGATTATGAAGACCAAAAGTCAACAAAGAAACAATAGACTTAAACTATACCCTAGAACAAATGGAATTAATATATTTACAGAGCATTCTACCCAATAACTGTAGAATACACATTCTATTCACCAGTACATGGAACATTCTCCAACATAGAGCATATGACACACCCCAAAACAAATCTCAACAAATTTAAGAAAATCAAAATTATATCAAGTACTCTTTCAGACCACAGTGGAATAAAAGTGGAAATCAACTCCAAAAGGAATCCTCAAAAGCATGAAAATACATGGAAATTAAATAACCTGCTCCTAAATGATTGTTGCTTTTCACTGATGATATGATGGTATACATAGAAAACCCTAAAGACTGATCCAAAAAGCTCCTAGATCTGACAAATTAATCCAGTAAAGTTTCAGGATAGAATATCAATGTACACAAATCAGTAGTACTGCTATATCCCAACAGTGACCAAACTGAGAATCAAATCAAGAACTCAAACCCTTTTACAATAGCTGCAACCCCCCCACACAAAACTTAGGATATATCTAACCAAGGACGTGAAAGCTCTCTACAAGGAAAACTACAAAACACTGCTGAAAGAAATCATAGATGACACACAGGAAACAACAGGTGTTGGAGAGGATGTGGAGAAATAGGAACACTTTTACACTGTTGGTGGGACTGTAAACTAGTTCAACCATTGCGGAAGTCAGTGTGGCGATTCTTCAGGGATCTAGAACTAGAAATACCATTTGACCCAGCCATCCCATTACTGGGTATATACCCAAAGGATTATAAATCATGCTGCTATAAAGACACATGCACATGTATGTTTACTGCGGCACTATTCACAATAGCAAAGACTTGGAACCAACCCAAATGTCCAACAATGATAGACTGGATTAAGAAAATGTGGCACATATACACCATGGAATACTATGCAGCCATAAAAAATGATGAGTTCATGTCCTTTGTAGGGACATGGATGAAGCTGGAAACCATCATTCTCAGCAAACTATTGGAAGGGCAGAAAACCAAACACCACATGTTCTCACTCATAGGTGGGAATTGAACCATGAGAACACATGGACACAGGAAGGGGAACATCACACATCGGGGCCTATTATGGGGTGGGGGGAGAGGGGAAGGATAGCATTAGGAGATATACCTAATGTTAAATGATGAGTTAATGGGTGCAGCACACCAACATGGCACATGTATACATATGTAACAAACGGGCACGTTGTGCACATGTACCCTAAAATTTAAAGTATAATAATAATAAAAAAGAAATCATAGATCACACAAACAAATGAAAACACATCCCATGTTCATGGATAGGGAAAACCAATATTGTGAAAATGACCATACTGCCAAAAGCAATGCACAAATTCATTGCAATTCCTATCAATATACCACCATCATTCTTCACAGAACTAGAAAAAACAATCCTAAAATTCAAATGGAACTATGAAATAGCCCACATAGCCAAAGCAAGACTAAGCGAAAAGAACAAATCTGAAGGTATCATATTATCCAACTTCAAACTATTCTATAAGGCTATGGTGACCAAAACAGCATGGTACTGGTATAAAAACAGGCACACATACGCCAACGGAACAGAATAGAGTATCCAGAAATAAAGTCCAATACTTATATCCAACTAATCTTTGACAAAGCAAACAGAAACATAAAGTGGGGAAAGGACACCCTATTCAACAAATGGTGCTGGATAATTAGCAAGCCACATAGAAGAATGAAACTGGATCCTCACCTCTCACTTTATGCAAAAGTCAACTCAAGATGGACCAAAGACCTGAAACCATAAAAATTCTGGAAGATAACATCAGAAAAACCCTTCTAGACATTGGCTTAGGTAAAAAGTTCATGACGAAGAACCCAAAAGCAAATGCAACAAAAGCAAAGATAAATAGATGGTACTTAACAAAATAAAAAAGGTTCCGCACAGCAAAAGAAATAATCAGCAGAGTAAACAGACAACCCACAGAGTGGAAGAAAATCTTCAAAAACTATGCATCTGACAAAAGACTAATATCCAGAATCCACAAGGAACTGAAACAAATCAGCAAGAATAAAACAATCCCATCAAAATGTGGGCTAAGGATATGAATAGAAAATTCTGAAAACAAGATATACAAATGGCCAACAAACATGAAAAAATGCTCAATATTGTTAATTATCAGGGAAATGCAAGTCAAAACCACAACGTGATACGACCTTAATCCTGCAAGGATGGCCATAATTAAAAAAAAAAAAAAGATGTTGGCCTTGATGTGGTGAAAGAGAACACTTTTACATTGCTGGTGGGCATGTAAACTAGTACAACCACTGTGGAAAACAGTGTGGAGATTCCTTAAAAAAACTAAAAGGACATCTACCATTTGATCCAGCAATCCCATGACTGGGTATCTATGTCTACCCAGAGGAAAAGAAGTCATTATATGAAAAAGACACTTGCATAGGCATGTTTATAGCAGGACAATTCACAACTGCAAAAATATGGAACCAGCTCAAATTCCCATCATTCAACGAGTGGATGAAGAAAATGTGATCTGTATACACACACACACACACACACACACACACACACACACACACACCATGTAATACTACCCAGCTATAAAAAGGAATGAAATAATGGCATTTGCAGCAACCTGGATGGATTTGGGGACCATTATTATAAGTGAAGTAACTAAGGAACAGAAAACCAAACATCATATGCTCTCACTTAGAGCTAAGCCACGAGGATGCAAAGCCACAAGAATGATATAATGAATTTTGGGGACTCACTGGGGCAGGGTGGGAGGTGGGTGAGGGATAAAAGACTAGATATTGGGTACAGTGTACACTGCTTGGGTGATGGGTGTACCAAAATTTTGGAAATCAACACTAAAGACCATCCTCAGGTAACAACACCTGTTCCCCAAAAACTATTGAAATAAAAAAAAATGCAAATTATTGGGCCCCACCCCAGACCTACTGAATCAGAATCTTGGGGGATGGTGCCCAGAACCTTTAGGTTATAGTAATCCTGCCCAACCTCTTAAGAACAAATATATTGGAGTATACATGATTCAAAGAAGAGCTTTCTCCAAAGTATTCTTTGGAAATAATTGCATAAATTAGGATTATTCCTTCCATCAATGTATGATATACTTTGCCTATAAAATCTCTGGGTGGGCATGGCTGGATTTTGTTGTTTCCTGGCATAAACTGTTTTTCTTCTTAAAAGATGTAACACATATAGACAGAAAAGCACATAAAATTTATATATAAAGTATGAATCATAAATAAGCATTGATAAAGCAAACATCAGCTTAACTATCATCACATTGAGATAGTTCCGGTACCCTGAAAGCCCTTCCCACCATATATTCTTTCTCTATCATAACCCTTTCCCTCCCTTCTAAAGGTTAGTAAAATCCTGAATTTTATGGTAGTGGTTTCCTTACTTCTCTACAGTTTTACTAATTGTGTATGCAACCTTGAATAATATAGTTTAGTTTTGCCTAGTTGGGGACTTGATATAAAGGGAATCATGCAATTTTATAGACTACATGGTTTCTGTCTCCCCAAAGTTCATATGTTGAAACCCTAACCCTCAATGAGATGGTATTCAAAGGTGGGAACTTTGGGAGGTCACAAGGTTTAGATGAGGTCATGGAAGTGGAGCCCCCATGATGGGATTAGTGTCCTTATAAGAAGAGAAAGAAACTAGAGTTCACTAGCGGCCATGTGAGGCTACAGCAAGAAGTCTACAAGCCAAAAAGTGGGGCTCCACTACATACCACATCTGCCAATACTTTATCTTGCACTTCCCAGCCTTTAGAACTGTGAGAAATAAATGTTTGTTGTTTAAGGCATCCAGTCTATAGTATTTTTACAATAGCTTGAATTGACTAAGATATGTAATTTGTATTATACAGTGTCTTGCTTTTTTCCACTTAACATTATGTTTGAAAGGTTCAGCCATATTGTTGCACAAGCTCTACTTTGTTGATTTTAATTGATGTTATTATTCCATCATATAAGTATACCACAATCATTTATCCATTCTGAGCATTGTGTTGTGTCCATTTGGGGCAATTAAAACAAAACGTCTATGACCGTTTTTATATATGTGTTGGTGTATCCAACACAAATTCATGCATTTCAAATTACAGGGTATTTCCATTAGCAATTGATCACTTTTCAGCTCTAAATGTACCCTGCAATATATGGTCTACAACTAATAATAGAATTCTCTCAAGTACTTCTCTTTTAAAGTGAGCATTATGTTAACTTTTTTTCAGTGAGGATGTTGAAGGGACATTGCAGGATAAAGAAACTTCTTGCAATTTTTTCAGAGGTGTGGATGTGACGACATCCACTAGAAACCACCAAGGCCTGAGATTACTCTGCAATATTGCAGCTTCACAGCCCTCTGGACATAAAAACCAAAGCTCCCACATGACCTTCACAACAGCCCCCTGTGGCACAGAGGCTCACAACACAGAGCTGCCACTTCCTGTGCGGGCTAGTGTGTATGGGTATGCTCTGGTCTTCTGCTTTCATCCCCAGCTTCCTATTGCAGGCCACACTAGGTATTGCTGATTGCCTGCTTCCCTACCTGTACACTAGAGGGTTCCCTATTGTTTGCTCAGAAACTCCAGACCACCTGTGGTCTGGCTACATCAGCAGATTTTTTTTTTGCTATCTAGTGGCCAAACACACGTTCTCCAATGAGATCTGAAACTCTTTCACGTTTGTCTTTCCTTAGGTACTCTTTCCTCATATTTTATAGTTGCTATTTAATCATAGGTATTAAGTCTGATATTAAAGTTCCATGTTTAGGCTATTGTGGGGTTTCTATCTCCTGATTGGATCCAGACTGCTACAGTAGGCTTATCTTCAATTTAGTTGGATAATGTCACATTATTTTCTCCATGTGGTTCTATCAATTTATGCTCTCACTAGCACTGTATGAGAACTCTTGATGCTCCACATCTTTGCCCAAACTTGGAGTTGTCATACTTAATTTTTTGTTCAACTGATGGGGTGTAGAGGTATCTCATTGTGGTGTTTTAAATTTTCATTTCTCTTATCACTAAGAAGGTTGAGCATTTATTCATATAGTGATTCACCATGCAGAGTTTCTCTTTTGTTGAACTATTTAAATCTTTTACTCCCTTTTCTAATTGATTGTTTGCCTTTTTGTCAGTGATTTGTTAGGGTGTTTTTGGATATTCTGGACACCAGTTTTTGTTTTTTTTTTCAGTTATAAGTATTGCATATATCTTCTCCTGTTCTGTAAGTTATTTTTAAATGTATCCTCCTTGTTTTCTACTTCATTAATTTAATTAAGTTCTGCTTTTCTTTTTTAATCACTTCTTGAGTTAGGGGCCTCACTTCTTAATTTTTTTTCTTTTTGAAAATAAGCATTAAAAACTATAAATTTCCCTCTGAACATATTTGGCTGCATCTCATGGTTTGACAGAAAACCAAAATTTCCAGTGACACTTTATTCTTTGATATATGAATTATTTAAAAGTGTACTTTATAACTTCCAAATAAAATTTTTAAAATTATTTTTTACTATTAAACATTAATTTTGTGTTGTGATTAGATAAAAACCCAGAGTTACTTTAAAATTTATTGAGACAATTTGTTCTAAAACATCATCAGTTCTGGTAAATGTACCATGTGTTCTTGAAAGAATGTATAGAGATATTTTCTGATTATTGCATATAAAACGTTTACTTAATCAAGTTTGATAATTATGTTGTTCAAATTTTCCATATCAAACCTTAAGCTCTCTGTCTGACACATCAATTTGTAAGAGAGAAAAATAGAAATCTCATGCTGACTGTAGTTTTTGTAAATTTCTCCATTTAATTCTGTGTTGAATACATAGATCAGTTACAAGAATATTGCCATCCTAACAATCTAATATTAACTCTTCGGATCAATAAACACAGGATGTTTTTCTATTTATTTATTCTTTATGTGAACAATGTTTTACAATTTTGAGAATAAAACTTTTTAAAGGTTGTAGCAAAACTCACCTAATCCTAACAATTTTTAAGTACACAGTTTAGCAACAGGGGTAGCATGCAAACGTAGTATAAAATAAAATATTATCGAACCTTAAAAAGGTTTTCCTTCCTTTACAGTTGTTCGTCTTGTGTTTAAGTTTTCAATCCACTTTAATTTTTTTAATATGGTGATGAGTCCAACTTCATTCTTTTGCATTTGTATTTGCAGTAAAAAGGAAGGAAATCCTTTTTAAGGTTGAATATTTTATTTTGTACTACATTTGCATGCTATACCTGTTGCTAAATGAAGGAAATACTTCTTAAGGTTGAATAATATTTTGTTTTATACTACATTTGCATGTAAATTGCATTTTCTTTATCTGTCCATCTCTTGATGAACATCCATCTCTTGGCTCTTCTTAATAATGCTGCTATGAATATGGGTGTGCAAATTTCTTTGAGATCCTGCTTTCAATTCTTTTAGAAACATATGCAAAGATGTGATTGCTGAATCATATGGTATTTCTATTTTTAATTTTTGAGAAAACCCCATACTGTTTTCCATAGTGGCTGCATCATATTATATTCCCAATAAAAGTGTGGAAGGGTTCCAATTTTTCCACATCTATGGCAACATTTTCTGTTTTTTTTGATAGTAGCCATTGTAATGGGTGTGAAGTGATATCTCAATGTGGTTTTGATTTCTATTTCTCTAATAATTACTGATGTCAAGCAGCAATGCATGTTTATTGGTTATTTGCTATCATCATTGAAAAAATGTCTATTCAAGTCTTCTGCCCACTTTTTAATTGGATTATTTCTTGTGGCATTACAAGAGTTCTTTTCATATTCTGGATATTAACCCCTCATCAGATATATGGTTTGCAAGTGCTGCTCTTTTACAATGTTGATTGTGTCCTTTGATGCACAGAAGTTTTAAAGTTTGATCTAGTTCCATTTGTCTATTTTGGCTTTTGTTGCCTGTGCTTTTGATGTCATATCCACAAAAATAATGCTAAATTTAATATCATAAATCTTTCCCCTGTATGTTTTCTTCCTTCTAGTGCTTTCATGGTTGTTGGTCTTGTGTTTAAGTTATTAATCCATTTTGAGTTAATTTTTGTGTATGGTGGTAAGAGTCCAACTTCATTCTTTTGCATTTGCATATCCAGTTTTCACAATAGCATTTGTTAAAGAAACTGTCTTTTGCCTGTTGAGTGATTTTGGCACCCTTGTTGAAGATCATTTGACTATATATAAAAGGATTTATTTCAGGGCTCTCTATTCCTTTCCATTTGTCAATATGTCTGTCTTTATGCCAGTACCACACTGTTTTGATTACTATAGTTTTGTAATATATTTTGAAATCAGGCATTGTCAGACTTCCAATGTCTTTCTTTTTCAAGATTGTTTTGGCTACTGGGGGGTCCTTTGAGATTTCATGGAAATTTTAGAGTGAATTTTTATGTTTCTGCAAAAAAAATGCCATTGAGATTTTTATAGGGATTGTGTTGAGTCTGTTAGATCACTTTGGGTAGTACTGACATCTTAACAATATTAAGTCTTCCAGTGTATGAACATAAAATGTCTTTCCATTTATTTGTGTCTTATTTCTTTCAGCAATGTTTTGTAGTTTGCAGTGGACAAGCAGAGTATGTTTTGCAGTTATTTTGTTAAGTTTATTCCTAAGTATTGTATTCCTTTTTATAATATTTATAATAGGATTATATTTATAATTTGATTTTGGATTGTTCATTGGAAATGTATGAGAATACAGTTGAGTTTTGTATATAAATGTTGTATCTTACAACCTTGCTGAGCTTGTTTATTAGTTCTAGTTGTCGTTTAGTGGAATCTACAGGATTTTGTAAATACTGTATAAGATTATGTTGTCTGGGAATTAGAAATAGTTTTACTTCCTTTCCAATCTAGATGGCTTTTATTTCTTTTTCCTGCCTAATTGTTGTCTTAGCCCATTTTCTGTTGCTGTAACTAAATACCATAAACTGGATTATCTATAATGAATAGAGGTTTAGTTTATGGGTTTGGAGGCTGGGAAGTCCAAGAGTATGGCACTGGCATCTGGTGAGGGCCTTCTTGTAAAATGATATGGCAAAAGGCATCACATGGTGAGACAGAACAAGTGTGCTAACTTAGCTCTCTTACTCTTCTTATGAAGTCACTTATTCCTTTACGGGGGATCCACCTTGATGACTTCATCTAATCCTAATTACTTTCTAAAAGCTCCACCTCCAAATGCCATCAATATATAAATTTAGAAATTAAGTTTCCAACAAATGGAATTTGTTGGAATACACAGAACTCTTGCAAGATTTTACAAAAGATCATCGTGAAGACACATAATCCTTAGATTTTCCATGACTGAAATAAAAGAAAGAATGTTAAAGGAAGCCAGAGAGAAAGGGCAGGCCGCCTACAAAAGGAGCCCCATCAGGTTAACAGTGGACCTCTCAGATGAAATCCTACAAGCCAGAAGGGATTGGGGGCCTATATTCAACATTCATGAAGAAAAAAAATCTTCCACTGAGAATTTCATATCCAGCCGAACTAAGCTTCCTAAGCAAAGGAGAAATAAGATACTTTACAGATAAGCAAATGTTGAGGGAGTTTGTTACCAACAGATCTGCCTTGTAAGAGATCTTGAAAGGAGCACTATATTTAGAAAAGAAAGACCATTACAAAAACACATTTAAGTACCAATGACACTATAAAGCAGTCACACAAGCCAGCATAGTAACCAGTTAACAACACAATGACAGGATCAAATCCACACATATTGATACTAACCTTGAATGTAAACAAGCTAAATGCCCCACTTAAAAGGCACAGAGTGGCAAGCTGGATAAAAAAAACAAGATTCAGTGGCATGCTGTCTTCAAGAGATCCATCTCACATGTAATGACACCCATAAGCTCAAAATAAAGGGATGGCGGAAAATATACCAAGCAAATGGAAATCAGAAAAAAGCAGGGGTTGCAATCCTAATTTCAGACAAAACAGACTTTAAACCAATAAAGATAGAAAAAGATAAAGAAGGGCATTATATAATGGTAAAGGGTTCAATTCAACAAGAAGCCTAAATATACTAAATATATATGCACCCAACACAGGAGCACCTAGATTCATAAAGCAAGTTCTTAGAGACCAACAAATAAACTTAGACTCCCACACAATACTAGCGAGAGACTTCAGCACTCCACTGACAGTATTAGAACATCAAGGAAGAAAATTAACAAACATATTCAGGACCTGAACTCAACATTGGACCAAATGGATCTAATAGACCTCTACAGAACTCTCCACCCTAACCCAAGAGAATATACATTCTTCTCACTGCCACATGGCAAATACTCTAAAATTGACCACATAATTGGACATAAAACAATCCTCAGCAAATGCGGAAGAACCAAAATAATATGAAACATACTCTAGGACTATAGCGCAATAAAAATATAAGTCAAGATTTTAAAAATTGCTCAAAACCATGCAATTACATAGAAATTAAACAACCTGCTCCTGAATGACTTTTGGGTAAATAATGAAATTAAGGCAGAAATCAAGAAGTTCCTTGAAACTAATGAGAACAGAGATACAACTTGCTAAAATTTCTGGAACACACAAAACAGCATTAACAGGACAGTTTATGGCACTAAACACCCACATTAAAAATTTAGCAAGATCTTGGCTGGGTGCAGTGGCTCATGCCTGTAATCCCAGCACTTTGGGAGGCCAAGGCAGGTGGATCACTTGAGCCCAGGAGTTGGAGATAAGCCTGGGAAACATGGTGAATCCCTGCCTCTACCCAAAATACAAAAATTAGCCAGTCTCATAACCTGGTCTCTAAATAAATAAATAGAATAAAAATTTTAAAAGTTAGAAAGATCTCAAATTAACCACCTAAAATTACAACTAGAGGAACCAGAAAAACAAAAGCAAACCAACCCCAAAGCTAACAGAAAACAAGAAATTACCAAAATCAGAGCTAAACTGAACAAAATTGAGACATGAAAGAACATACAAACCATCAACATATCCAGAAATTTTTTCTTTAAAAGAATAACTCAGATTGATAAACCACTAGCTAAACCAATAAAGAAAAACAGAGAATATCCAAATAAACACAATCAGAAATGACAAAGGAGACATTACCAATGACCCCACAGAAATATAAAAAGAAAACCTCAAAGATTCTATAAACACCCCTATGAACACAACTAGGAAACAGAAGAAATGGATAATTTCCTGGAAACATACACCTCCCAAGACTGAACCAGGAATAAATTAAATCTCTGAACAGAACAATAATGAGTTCTGAAATTGAAGCAGTATTAAAAGGCCTTCCAACCATAAAAAGCTCATGTCTAGACAGATTCACAGCCAAATTATACCTGATGTGTAAGTAAAAGCTGGTACCAGTCCTACTAAAACTATTCCAAAAACTGAGGAGGAGGGACTCCTCCCCAACTCATTCTATGAGGCCAGTATCATCCTAATAACAAAGTCTGGCAGAGACACAACAAAATAAGAAAACTTCAGGCAAATATCTTTGATGAACATTGATACAAAAATCCTCAACAAAATACTAGCAAATCGAATCCAACAGCACTTCAAAAAGCTTATCCACCATAATCAAGTTGGTTTTATTATTGGGATGCAAGGTTGGTTCAACATATGTAAATCAATAAATGTGATTCAGCACATTAACAGAAGTAAAGATAAAACCCACACTATTACTTCAATAGATGCAGAAAAGGCTTTTGATAAAATTGAACATCACTTCATGTTAAAAACTCTCAATCAACTAGGTATTGAAGGAACATACCTCAAAATAATAAGAGCCGTCTATGACAAATCCAAAGCCAATATCATACCGGATGGGGAATAGCTGGAAGCACTCCCCTTGAAAACCAGCACAAGACAAGAATGCCCTCTCTTACCACTCCTATTCAACATTGCATTGGATGTCCTGGCTGGAGCAATCAGGCAAGAGCAAGAAATAGAGAGCATCTAAATAGGAAGAGAGGAAGTCAAACTATCCCTGTTTGCACATGACATGATTATCTATATAGAAAACCCCAGTCTCAGCCCAAAATCTCCTTCACCACATAAACAACTTCAGCAAAATTTCAGGATACAAAATCAATGTACAAAAATTACTAGCATTCCTATACACCAATGACAGTCAAGCAGAGAGCCAAATCAGGAATGCAATCCCATTCACAACTGCCACAAGAAGAATAAAATACCTAGGAATACAGGTAATCAGGAAAGTGAAAGATTTCCACAAGGAGAATTACAAAACAATGCTCAAGGAAATCAGAGATGACAGAAACAAATGGAAAAGTATTCCATGCTCACGAACAGGAAGAATCAGTATCATTAAAATGACCACACTACCCAAAGCAATTTATAGGTCGAATGCTATTCCTATCAAACTACCAATGACAATTCTTCACAGAAATTTTTTTTTTTAATTCACATGGAACCAAAAAAAGAGCCCAAATAGCCAAGGCAATCCTACGCAAAGAGAACAAAGCTGGAGGCATCACGTTGCCCAACTTCGAACTATAATCCAAACTGCAGTAACCAAAACAGCATAGTACTGGTAGAAAAAAGGATACATAGACCAATGGAACCGAATAGAGAGCCCAGAAATAAGGCTGCACATCTATAACTGATCTTTGACAAAGCTGACAAAAACAAGCAATGGGGAAAAGATTCCCTATTCAATAAATGGTGTTGGGATAACTGGTTAGTCATATGCATAGGATTGAAGCTGGACCCCTTTCTTATACCATATACAAAAATCAACTCAAGATGGATTAAAGACTTAAATGTATAACTCCAAACTATAAAATCCCTGGAAGACAACCTAGGCAATACCATCCTGGACATAGAAATGAGCAAATATTTCATGACAAAGATACCAAAAGCTATCACAACAAAAGCAAAAATTGACAAGGGTGATCTAATTAAACTTAAGAGCTTCTGCACAGCAAAAGAAACTATCAACAGAGTAAACAGACAACCTATAGAATGGGAGAAAATATTTGCAAACTATGCATTTGACAAACATCTAATATACAGCATCTATAAGGAACTTAAACAAATTTACAAGAAAAAAAAACCCCATTTAAAAGTGGGCAAAGGATATGAACAGGCACTTTTCTAAAGAAGACATACATGTGGCCAACAATCATACTTTAAAAAAGCGTGATATCACTGATCATTCGAGAAATGCAAATCAAAACCACAATGAGACACCATTTCACAGCAGTCAGAATGGCTATTATTAAAAAGTAAAAAAATAACAGATGCTGACGAGGTTGTGGAGAAAAGGGAACACTGATACTGGTGGGAGTGGAAATTAGTTTAACCATTGTGGGAAGCGGTGTGGGGATTCCTCAAAGAGCTAAAAATAGAACTACCATTTGACCCAGCAATCTCATTACTAGGTATATACCCAGAGGAACATACATCAATCTACCATAAAGACACATACAGCACTACTCACAACAGCAAAGACATGGAATCAACCTAAATGCCCACCAATGACAGACTGGACAAAGAAAATGTGGTACATATGTACCATGGAATACTATGCAGCCACTGAAAAGAAGGAGACCATATCTTTTGTTGGAACATAGATGGAGCTGGATGCCATTATCCTTAGTAAAGTAACACAGAAACAGAAAACCAAATACCACACGTTTTCACTTATAAGTGGGAGCTAGATGATAAGAACTCACAGACACAAAGAAGACACTGGGGCCAACTTGAGGGTTAAGGGTGGGAGGAGGGTGAGGAGCAGAGAAAATAACCAATTTTTGCAATCTACCCACCTGACAAAGGGCTAATATCCAGAATCTACAAGGAACTTAAACAAATTTAGAAGAAACAAACCACCCCATCAAAAAGTGGGCGAAGGATATGAACAGACACTTCTCAAAAGAAGACATTTATGCAGTCAACAAACATGAAAAAAAGCTCAACATCACTGGTCATTAGAGAAATGCTAATCAAAACCACCATGAGATACCATCTCACACCAGTTAGAATGGCGATCATTAAAAAGTCAGGAAACAATACAGTGTGGTGATTCCTCAAGGATCTAGAACTAGAAATACCATTTGACCCAGCAATCCCATTACTGGGCATATACCCAAAGGATTATAAATCATTCTACTATAAAGACACATGCACACTATGTTTATTGCGGCACTATTCACAAGAGTAAAGACTTGGAACCAGCCCAAATGCCCATCCAATGACAGACTGGATAAAGAAAATGTGGCACATATACACCATGGAATACCATGCAGCCATAAAAAAGGATGAGTTCATGTCCTTTGCAGGGACATGGATGAAGCTGGAAACCATCATTCCAATAGAAAACCAAACACTGCATGTTCTCACTCATAAGTGGGAGTTGAACAATAAGAACACATGGACACAGGGAGGGGAACATCACATACCGGGGCCTGTCAGGGTGTGGGCTAGGGGAGGGATAGCATTAGGAAAAATACCTAATGTAGATGACGGGTTGATGGTTACAGCAAACTACCACGGCACATGTATACCTCCGTAACAAACCTGCATGTTCTGCACATGTATCCCAGCACTTAAAGTATAATTAAAAAAAAAAAAAAAGAAAAATGATTAAAAAAATAATTTTCACTAGTTTTTCTGGGAACTGAGTCCAGAGTTCTTTTCTGCACAGCGGAAGAAACTACCATCAGCATTAACAGGCAACCTACAGAATGGGTGAAAATTATTTTAAAACAACCAATCAAAGTCTCTGGAAATGGTCCATGAACATACAGCAACTTAAGAAACATTCAAGGACATTTACTAAAAGAGATGGCCTAAAATAAAAGAAACACAAAATATGTATTAACCAATTGCAATGTATAGACTTTACTTGGATCCTGATTTAAATAAACAACATGTAAAACATGGCATTTATAACACATTTGAAATTTTGAATAGTCACTAAATATTTTCTGACATTAAGAAATTTTTATTCTTATCATGGAAATATTCATAGATGAAATCATACATGAGAAATGCTTCAAAATAACGTCGGAGGTGAACAGTCAGTGGGATTATAGAATAAACAGATTGTCTATGAAGTAATTCTTGAAGCCGGGTGGCAGACAGGGGTTCATTATATTGATCTTTGTATTTCTGTATATATTTGAAGTTGACTTTCCTATTACTTACTGCTTTAGCCTTGTAATCTTGATTCCTAAAGGGTGGGAATTCGTAAACTAAAGTGAGGTCAAACAGAGCAGCTAATGAACACATCATCACATTCCGATGTGTGGAGTTTTTAAGACTGAGTCATCTATAAAACTGAGGGCACAGTTTGATAACACTATTTCCTGTTAATCTTCCCTAAATGAAATAATCAAATTTTTTTTATTCCGAAAAAAGTGCTCTGCAACAAAATGATTATTAAACCAAGAACATGTCCTTTTTTCACTTATACACTGAATTCTGAAACCTTTTCATGTTGATATTTATACTTTTTCAAAAATAACTTCCTTAGGAACCATTTAGTACGACTGTTGTTCAACTTCTATAGCTGTTCCTTTTAAATTGCTGATTGAGGTAAAATGAACACTTTTTAGTGGCTGCTGTCTTAGTCCTTTTGGGTGGCTATAACAAAGTATCTTAGACTGAGTAACTTAAAAACAATAAAGTTGTTTCTCACAGTTCTTGGGGTGGGGGGCGGGGGTGGAAGTCCAAGATCAAGGCACCAACAGATTCAGTGTCTGATGAGGGCCCACTCTACTTCATAGATGCCACCTTCTAGACGTGTTCTCACATGGCAGAAGGGGCAAAAGAGCTCCCTCGGGCCTTATTTATAGAGAAACTAATCTCATTCATGAAGGAAACACTATCATGACCTAATCACCCCCAAAGGCTCTACCTCTTGATACTACTGCATTGGAGATTAGATTTCAATATATGGATTTTAGGAGGACACAGAAATTCAGACCAAAGCAGCTGTTCATTAAGTGCAAATCATGTGCCAGGCCCTCAGGAGTGGCATCTAAATTAGTTCACAGTTTATAGACGCCTACAGTCTCAAGAAGACAAACTATAAGATAAAAAACAAAGTAAATAACTGCCAAGACAATAGAATACATTTTATGTAACTTTTTTTTCCAACTTAAAACACAATATTCAGAATTCCAAATCCCTTCCATCCTAGGTACTTTTTCAATTTTATTACATCCTGATTAACTCCCACCTCTGTTAAGGTAATAAGGGGGCATGAATTAGGAAAAGAGGAGAGAATAGGAAGAGGGCTCTAGTAACATCAAGGAACCAATGTATTTGTAAACATTCATTCCCTTGGAAAATGTGGACTTTTGGTGTCTGTCATGCCAGGACACCATGATCCTTACCAGGCATGAACTGTTAGAGAGGACCAGATACCAGACTCACATTCCCTCCCGAGGGAGTGCTCACATTGCCTCTGGGGTTCTTTATCATTAGGACTGCAGTCATAAAGCATGAAAAAGTTGAAAGGTCTGATCTGTCTACAGTTAATTGTTTCTACTTCTCTCTTTTCTCCTCCAATCTGGCACAGAAAAAAAGGGTCATTAATGCTTGCTCTACACCTCACAGAACAGACTGTGTAGTATAGCATTTTCATAATGCAATTTGCTTTTTTCTTCTTTAGCTTGACTATTGGAAGATACTATGCAAAAGGGAAAAATAAGCTTTGATCTTATTTAGGATTGAGCCCATTAGTGATAATAAAATGAGTAAGGTTTGTATATAACACTGATGAGTGACAGTGTATATCTGTAGACAGATGGACATGAGTATCAACCGAATCAACAATGAATGAAAATGAAGTTTGGGATATAAATGACATTTGATTAATGGCCAACTACACAGACACATAGGTAGATAAGGTCATTCGGGAAGTAGCCTTCCTTTAAAAAAAATATTGGTTTTACTATTCAATCAAAAGATTGAGAGCAGACAGTTTTTGGTGGTTGTTTGTTTTGAGATGGAGTTTTTCTCTATTGCCCAGGCTGGAGTGCAGTGGCGCAATCTTGGCTCACTGCAACCTCCCGCCTTCTGGGTTCAAGCTATTTTCCTGCTAAGCTCAGCCTCCTGAGTAGCTGGGATTACAGGTGCCTACCATCATGCCTGTTTAATTTTTGTATTTTTAGTAGAGATGAGGTTTTGCCATGTTGGCCAGGCTGGTGTTCAACTCCTGACCTCAAGTGATCTAGCCTCAGCCTCCCAAAGTGCTGGGATTACAGGTGTGAGCCACCACGCCTGGCAGAGAGCAGATACCTTTTAGCATAATGGTTAAAACACACAAAAATTTTCACTGGTTTTACTGAATTACCTCAGGAAAAGTAATCACCAGACATAAGACTGAAATCAGACAATATATTTAATAAGTCATCAAGTTTTTATTGAACACCTAATATGTAAGTCATTTTCTTTTCCAGAATTCCTGCTCTTCCAGTTTTCACTATCTGGGGAGGTAGAATTTTACGTAGTAAAATCATGTATTACAAATGGCCTATGAGTAATATGAGCTGCAGGTGGTTTGGGAGTACAAAACAGGAAATATTTGCTGTGGACTGCTCTGACAAGAATCCTGGGAAGAAGGGATTTGAGGTGGAAACCGAAGGATGGCTAAAACTTCTATAGGCATAAATTTCATAGATTTATAAATTTATTTAACAAATACATATATGTATATATAGACATACACAGTATCTCTTATATGAAAGGTAATGTCCGAAGAGTCTGGGGACACAGAAGTAAACAAGGTAGAAATAATTCCTGAACCATCACACAATGAATCAGACAATTATAATACAGTGTGACTAGTAATGTAACAGAATAGGGTGTTTGCAAAGTGCAGAGAAAGGGCTAATTCAGACAGTGAGTCAGATAAAAAGAGATGATGGTGGAGCAAAGAAGAGTCTTCCAAGTGGAGGGACAACTTACAAAAGGCCAGAGACAAGGAGGAGCCTGGTCTGCTTGGAGCTGGGGTCAAAGAGTTGTGCTAATACATCACTAGCCAAGTGTGGCTGCTGAACACTTAAAATGTAGCTAGTGCAACTGAGCAAATGAAATTAATTTTATTTAGTTTTAATTAAGTTAAATTTAAAAGTTGACAGCCGCTTCAAAATCACTGGAACAACTTAGGTATGTGAGTCTATTTTTTCAAAGTAAATTTTACAAAATTTAAACACAGATAGAACATTTCTTATAAAAATTTAGCCTCACAGCCAGGCATGGTGGCTGATGGCTGTGATCCTAGCACTTTGTAAGGCCGAGGCTGGTGGATCACTTCAGGTCAGGAGTTTGAGACCAGCCTGGCCAACATGGTGAAACCCTGTCTCTACTGAAAATATAAAAATTAGCTGGGCATGGTGGCAGGCACCTGTAATCCCAGCTACTTGGGAGGCTGAGGCAGAATTGCTTGAACCTGGGAGGTAGAGGTTGCAGTGAGCCGAGATCATGCCACTGCACTCCAGCCTGGGAGACAGAGAATCCATCTCAAAAAAAAAAAAAAAAGAAAAAAAAATTTAACCTCTGAATTGAGATGTACTGTTAGTATAAAATATCTGATCCCAAAGATTTAGTATTTGAAGAATAAAAATTTCATAATTTTTAAATGTTACATCTCCATAACATTTTGGATATATTATATTAAAATATATTATAAATAATTTCAACTGTTTTTTACTTTGTAAATGTGGCTCCTAGAAAATTTAAAATTACATATTGGCTCACATATTTCTATCAGACAGCACTGATTTAGAGTGCCATGAGGTGTGGGAGGTGAGAAAGAGGCTGGAGTAAGTCAGAACATACACGGCTTTGCAAGCCATATGTATTGGGAAGCTGTACATTCAAGATAGTATTGGCTGGAAGCCTACTAAATCCCAAGCACTAGTCTGGTCATTTAGGATATCAGTAAATGACAAGTTTCCTGCTGTCACAGAGGTTGTACATTTTGGAGGAAGTGTGTGTGTTGGGAGTTACAAAACAATAAACAAATATATACAAATACTAGAGTAAGTAGGGAGAAGTTAAGAGCTATGGGAAAAACAAAAAAGCTGTGCTTGTAAGAGTCCTTAGGAGTACTTTGGGCATGGAGTGAAGGGCATTATCATCTGTTAAAATACGATGTTTGGGGTTGACCCACTAAGGTGATTTTGGAGCAAAGATCTGAAGGAGCTGCTGTAGTGAGGCCAGGTGGTTATCTGCTGGGAGAGTGTTCCAGGTAGAAGGAACACAAACCAAATACTCTAATGTTAAAGGCAGGAGGGGGCCTGGTGTGTTCTTGGAAAAGGGCTGGAGCAGAGTGAGCAAGAGGACAGTAGTGAGAGGAAGTCAGAGAGATAGGAGGGCAAGTGCAAATCACATGGGGATTCATAGGCTATCATAAATGTGGGATTTTAATACAAGTGAAATAGCATTTTGTACAGATCATTCTGCCTCCTGGGTTGCTTGCTCTAGGGAACAAAAGTAGACACAGGACCTGTTAGGGGTTATTACAGTATCCAGGTGAGATGAGAGTGGCTCAGACTAGGTTGGAAGCAGTAGCTGTAATGAGGAATAGTCAGTATCTTGACATATTTGGATGGTAAATAAATTTTTCCTGGTTTTAATGTGGGTTTTGAAGAGAAGAGTCAAGGACTTCAAGTTTTTAGTCTGAGGAACTAGAAGGATGGAACTGCTAGACTGGGATGGGAAAGCAGGTGTAGGGGAAGTTGAGGAGTGACCACCAAGGAACAAGTGAAGATGGAGAAATCCAAGGATTGAGCTCTAGGGCAGGCAACATTAAAAGATCAGGGAGAAGGCAAGAAATCAGCAAAGGAGACTAAGAAGCAGCAACCATCAATGAAGGAAGAAAATCAAGAGTGTGGTGTCCTTGGAAGCCAAGTAAAGAAAACTTATCAAAGAGGAGGAAGGGGTCAAGTGTATCAAATGCGGCTGATAGGAAACTAAGGGTTAAGTGTGAAAATTGACATGCAGTAAATCGGTGACCTTGAGAATCTTGTTGGTGCTGAAGATGGTGCACTGGCAAAATCTGAAATGAAGAGGACTAAGGAAAGACTGGAGAAGAGGAATTGGAGGCAGGAGAAACAATAACTCGAGGGATTTTATGCCAATGAAAAGCTTAAAAATGAGCCAGCACATAGAATTGGGGTCAAGAATTTTAATGGGAGAAATAAAGTATATTTGTGTGCTGAAAAAGTGATTCAATAATAAGGAGAAAAATGATTATGAAATGGGTAGTTACTAGACTGATGTCCTTACTAGGTGTGAGGTATGGGGTCTGGTGCATAAGACAATGATCAGGGAGAAACATCTATGACAGTAGTTCTCAAAGTGGGACCAGCATCATCTGGGAACTTGTTGGAAATGCAAATTATCAGGCCATGCTCCAGATATCCTGAATCGGAAACTCTGGGGTGGTGCCATGCAACCTGTTTTAATAAGCCCTCCAGGTGATGACGATGCGTGCTCCCGTTTGAGAAGCACTATCACAGATGGTAACAGGAGGGAAAACAGTTTGGGAGAGAGCAGCAGAGGGGGGTCTTGAAAGTGTTCTGCTGATGCTTCAGTTCTGTCTGTGAAGAGGGAACTAAAGTCACCTGCTGAAAGTGAACATGGGGAGGTGTTTGGGAGAGCTGATGAAGGGTTTTAAGTAGGAAAGAAACGTAATCAGATTTTTATTTACACAAATATTTGTTGAGTTTGTGCTAAATACAAGGAAAAGAGGCTCCTAAACTGATGAGTTAAAAAAACAACTCCTGCCTTTACAAAAGCTTACAGAACAGTGAGGGAGGCACATGTCTGTAAGAGAATGACAGCCCCTAAACAAAGTTCTCATTGAAGGCTTTCTCCTAAGTAGTTAGATATACTTAACCCATTTAAGTATTACATATGTGGCATGGTTTTTTCAGTCCCTTCACTCTTCTCTTGGTGCTTTTTAGATAGTCATCCTCCTGAAAGCATTGTGCCCAGAACTGGATATAGTGCCCCAAGCACAACCTATCAGAAGTTAATGCCAAGAATCATATATTTTATCTCATGTTACATAAACTGCTATGAAGCTAGGTCTCCTCTAGTATCCATTCCTTAAAATATATCAATTAAAGGAACAGTTGCCTGTGGTGAAAAATTCAACCACTATAGAAAGGTATGAAGTAGACAGTTTAAGTCTCTTGATTCATCCCTCAGAAGCCATCAATAAGTTTCTTTCCAGAACCTTTCTGGAAATATGAAGTATAAACATCCTATCTATACATCACCACAAACTTATTTTACTCTATGTATTTTTGATTTCCCCTTTTGTCATGAACATTGTTCCATACTGGTGCATAAACAGATATCTATTCTTTTTGACAACTGCACATTACTTATTTGAATTGATGTACCTTAGTTTATTTAAAACATCCTATGACACTGAGAATTTTAGCCATTCCCAAGCTTTTGCCTATAACAGTTCCAAGATGCATTTATAGCTGCAAAATATTTTCAGGTATCAAATGTAACCTGCTGTTCCAGCCTTTTTCAATCTTTTTGGTTAACAAATTCTGTATATAAACAACTCAGGCTGTCGTCATCTTTTTTTTTTTGAAGTTTATTTTTATCTTAAAAATATATGTTTGTAAATGTGTCAAAATTAACCAAGCCCTGACACCTGACAAGACTTACAAGAAAGGAAAATCACAGACCAATCTGTCTCATGAGCATAGATGCAAAAATCAAACAAAATATTTGCAAACCGAATCCAGCATTATATAAAGGGGATAACATATCATGACTAAGTATGGTTTATATCAGGAATGCAAGATCAGTTTAACATTAAAGAATCTACATTAACAAAATAAAAGAGAAAAGTCAAGATTCTCTCAACAGATGCAGGAAAAAGTACTTGGTGAAATTCAACATGCATTCATGACACTCTTGGCAAAATAGGAATAAAAGGGATCTTCAATCTGATAAAAACATGAAACGGAAAAAACCTATAGCTAACATATTTTAATAGTGAAAAACTAGACGCTATCCTCTGCTGTTGAGAATAAGACAAGAGTAACAACTCACACACCGCTTCTATTCAACATTAGGTTGAAGGTCCTAGCCATTACGACAAAGCAAGAAGAAACAAAAGGTAAACTGTTGTTATTCATATATGACATGATTGTGTACACAAGGTATCCCTAAGGCACTTGCAATAAAATAAAAATAAGAACTACTACTGAACTAAGTGAATTTAATAAGATTACAGAATATAAAGTCAATATACAAAAATAAAACATATTTCTGTATACCAGCAATAAACTTAAAAATGAAATTAAAGTACTATTTACAGTAACATTTCCACAAAATATTTAGGAATACATTTAACAAAAGATATATACAAGACTTCTTCACTAAAACTACAAAATATTGCTGAGATAAATTTTAAAAGGCCCAAATAAATGCAGAAACATACCATGTCCATCGATTGAAAGGTTCAATATTGTCAATTCTTCCCAAATCGACCTAAAAATTCAGTGCCATTCCAGCAGATTTTTTCTTAAAGAAAAATGGAGAAGCTTAATATAAACTTTATAAAGAAAGGACCTATAGCCAAAACAATCTTGGAAAAGATTGCAAAGCTTAACAATACTTAATTTCAAGACACCATAAAGCCACAATAATCAAGACAGTGGGGTACTGGCATAAGAAGAGACACATAGATAAATGACATAAATAGATCATCCAGATTCACAGATAAACAGTAAATTTTGACAAGGGCACACAGGTAATTAAATGAGTAGGCAAGGTAATTAAGTGAGTAGTCAAAATTAAATGATTTTGACAAGGGCACACAGGTAATTAAATGAGTAGGCAAAGATTTCTTGGAACACACAAAAAGCACCAACCATAAAAAAAATTGATAAACTAGGCTTCGTCAAAATGAAAAACTTGTTCTTTGAAAGACATAATTAAGAAAATGAAAAGGCAAGCTAAAGACTAAGAATAGTCACAACACACATATCTGAAAAAGAGTGTATCCAGAATATATAAACAATTCTTACTATTCAATAATAAAACAAAACAATCTAATTTTTTAATAAACAAAAATATTTGTACAGATAGTTCACGAAATATGTGAATGGCCAATAAGCACATGAAAAGAAGTTCAACATCTTTAATCAGAAAAATGCAAATCAAAACCACGAGATATCAAAATATACCCAATAGAATGGCTAAAATTAAAAACGCTGACAATACCAAGCTTTGTCAAGAATTCTTACAAATTACTGGTGGGAGTATAGGCATTTGCACAAGTGAAAATATGTTCACAAAAAGACTTGTAATTTCATGCTTATAGCAGCTTTATTCATAAAATTCCTCAAATGGAAAAAATTCAAACATTCATCAACAGGTGAATAGATAATCAAATTGTAAGATAGGCATATGACAGAATACTACTAGGCAATAAAAAAGGCACAAGCTACAGATGCATGCAACATGAGTGAATCTTCAAAACAAAGAAATAATGCATGCCGAGATTGTCTTTCTGAAGAAATTCCCCTCATTCTTTGGGATCCCGAGGTTCTCAAAGGCATAGCTGGCAACAGGCCCTGAAACAGCTTCTTCTGGACTACCCTACTAGTCTTGGTAGATTTCCTCGATCTTTGGCATTCCTTCTTTTCTTCCATGGTCTTCATTTACTGCTGTCCTTCTTGCCTATCTTGAATTATTCTATACTATTATGAGGAGAACACAGGTTCTTCCATCCTGGAACTTCAGTTCTTTGCCTTGCTGGGCCAATATATACATTGAGCCAGATTGTGTGCACACTGGTAGTTCCAAGGTGCAACAATCTTCAAAACATTTGAGGAGTGTATTAGTCCATTCTCATGCTGCTGTAAAGGACTGCCCATGACTGGGTAATTTATAAAGGAAAGAGGTTTAATTAACTCACAGTTCCACATAGCTGGGAAGGCCTCAGGAAACTTACAATCGTGGCAGAAGGGGAAACAAACACGTCCTTCTTCACATGATGGCAGGAAGAAGTGTTGAGCAAAAGGGGGAAAAGCCCCTTATAAAACAAACAGGACTTGTGAGAACTCAGTATCATGAGAACAGCAGTGTGGGGGTAACCACCCCCATGATTTAATTACCTCCCACTGGGTCCCTCCCACAACATGTGGGGATTATGGGAACTACAATTCAACATGAGATTTGGGTGGGGACACCGCCAAACCTTATCAAGGAGGGACTCTGCAAATGTGGCAAGAACTCCTCATTTCGTGACTTCCTAACCCATCAGATACTCCTTGAAACCTTATCAAATTGTTTCACTGGATAAGTGCTGGCTAAATGCTTGTTGAGAAAATTAAAAACATGTTCAGGCCACTGTCACAAGAATGAATAATTATTTGGAAAATAGGTGTTGGTGGGGCCACAACCATGCCCTGAGGTAGCAGCCAGAGAAGAGGCTCCAGGAGCATCCTGTGGATGCCAGAGCAGGCTCACGTGGCACCTGCAGGGCAGCTGGCTCAGGGCAGGTTGGAGGTCACCTTAGTCACTCCCTCTTCAAGGAAGTTCACTGTCCTCCACTCCTGAGGGTGCCACCGTACCAGAGTTTCCTTCCTTGAAACAAGCCATGGTAGCTACCTCCAGCCCTGCACAGCAACTCGTGCTAGCGAAGGGGGCAGTGAACAGGGGCCAGGTCACAAGGACCATGACCCTCGGGGACCACAGGGCCAGGATGTCATTCTCAAAACCATGAAAATCCATGCCAAATATAACAGCAGATTATAAGGCCAACAAAGACTTCTATGTACATGCAAATCTATTAATCACTAAGGGCTAAGTCACTAAACTACAGCTTTCCCATGATGCTCACCATCCATCCTTTGCGGAAACCAAAATGCTCACAACTGACCATGGTGTTCACTTAGTATACTAGCTTAAATTAAAAAAAAAAAATTAGTACAGCATCACAAGTGAGAAGTGTTCCAGGAAGTGTTCTTCAACAATATCCTCAAGCATAAGGTATGAGGAAAATTATATTGGCTTTGCATAAGGAGTGAATGATTGAGAACAAAGAAAAGAGTATACTGCATTCATTTAGTTAGTCTGAAAATGATGTTGCTAGAGAAGGCTATTTAATCAAGAAAAGTACCTCTGCAAGTTGGAGAGAACTGTACTTTCTGAACATAGCAAGAAAAATGCCCATACTTTTGCCCTGACATTCTTAGACACCTATTAAGAATGAGGAAAAGTAAGGTACCATCTATGTATCATATTGTAGTGAAAACAATCACACGTTACCAGAGCTAGAGAAGCCTGGGTTCAGGTTCATTAAGTTCTCTACAGATTGCTAATGGATAACCAGAGTTGAAATTTAATACTACATCAGGAAGTCCAAGGGTCATAATCATACTTGACCCAAATGGCTCACACTAATGAGTCATATTAATACTGGAGGGTAACTGTTTTGTTTACAATTAGCAGCTTATTATCTTGAAGTCAATCTCAGAGACACAAACAAACACATTGACTTTACAAACTCTTTAAATAAAAGGTTCTGTATCTTGATCCTGAAGTATCCTGTAATAGCCTACAGTGAAAAGAAAACAATTCTGAGGAAAAAGATCTCCCCATGATAAAAAACTGAAGCAAACAAAAAGCATTTCACTCTTTTTTTTTTTTTTGAGACTGAGTCTTACTCTGTTGCCCAGGCTGGAGTGCAGTGGCACAAGCTCGTCTCACTGCAAGCTCTGCTCACTGCAAGCTCCACCTCCCAGGTTCACACCATTCTCCTGCCTCAGCCTCCTGAGTAGCTGGGACTACAGGTGCCCACCACCACGCCCAGCTAATTTTTTGTATTTTTAGTAGAGACGGAGTTTCAACGCATTAGCCAGGATGGTCTCGATCTCCTGACCTTGTGATCCACCCGTCTCGGCCTCCCACAGTGCTGGGATTACATGGATGAGCAACTGTGCCCGGCCAACAAAAAGCATTTCTATAAAATAACAATAAAAAAAGAGTTAAAAAAGCAAGCTTCCACTTTATTAAAAAGCAAAAATTACCAACTCGTATAAAATAATTTAACTCATAAAAAGGAGAATCAAACATTACTTTTTAAAATATCAGATACCATAAAATGTGCATTTAGTCTTTTAAATAGTTAAACTTTCAGTTAAACTATTAAACACCTAGCTTTTCTCAGAAAGCTGTTGCAAACCCAAGTACTGTTCTGACTGTACAGAAATCAATGATCCTCTTCTTTAGCAGAATAAAGATGTAACTCCCTTAAATGACATTCACCTTAATATTACCAACTTAAATTCTGCTTCATTACCAGAAACAGTGTTTTCAAGAACTGGATCTTTCTAAATCCACTTTTATTTTTACAACAACTTTACTATTTGATTAAATTCACTGTAGAAAAATGTGAAGACACAGAAAGATTCAAAGAAAATAAAAATTATCCCAGTATCCCTCCCCCAAATACAATAACAAGGTTATATATATTTCTTTCTAGTTTTTTTGTATATTTACATAGCATTTTAAAGCAAAACTAGTACTATAAAATGCTACCATATCCTTTTTTCACTTCATATATAGAGCAACCGTGTCTTTTTAGGACATTGAAATATGCAAAAAGGATTTTCAGTTGGCTGATTCACAATCTAATTATAACTAAGACATAATTTACCTCCAATTGCAAGGGATTCAGATTGTTTCAATTATTTATTATTATAACTATCATTATTAAACACCCTTCTTTATATATAATTCTTTGTATGCATCTCTGATATGGTTTTAAAGAGAAATTGCTAGATGTAGAGTTCCCAGCACAAAGTACGTCCGTATTTTTAAGTCTTTTGATGCATTTTACCAAATTGCCCTCCAGAAATACTGTACCAATTTACAGTCGCATCAATAAATAACCAAAGAGTCCCATTTCTTCCTCACATTCTTTGGCAGTATAGGAAAGTAGAGATTACCCTCCACCCTTTATTGTTGCAAATTTAATAGGGGGAGAAGAGAATGGTGGGTTTTTTTTTCCCCCTTAAAATGTAATATTTTTTCCCACATGTTTACTAGTCATTTGCTTTTCTTCTGTATTTTGAAGTTGTCTAAATCATTCAGGAGTCTCTAATACACACAATGTCTTGTCTTTCTTACAACATACTCTTTGATAGGCAAGGGCATGAAAGCTGCATGTCTTTCCCATATTTTTTTCAAGTTAAGCAGGAATTCCCAAAATGACTGGAATTAGAATGTCTTCTTTTCTCCTGGGCAGCCATGCTACTTTAATGTCTTGGTAATAAAACAGAAAACTGGGCCATATTCTGAAAGGAAGAAAGGAGGCAGTGATATTCACATGTTGGCGTAATTACTGAGATGTTTGTTAAAAAAAAAAACAGATTTTGATTTTCTAGATCAAAGTGAGGACGCAGGAAACATACACTTTAAATAAATTCTACAGAAAATTTTCAAGTTCACTAACCAGATGTGGAACTTCGGGTACTCTAAACTCTTGGTTCCTCACCTCCCTTTCCTGTAAAGTGAGGTTAATAATGCTTATCTCAGAGCATTGTTCTGATAATCACTTATTGCCATACCAGCCCCCAGCCTGGATTATTGTTTATGCAACCTCTATCCCTTATCCTTACCCCACTGTAAGAAATCATTGAAATTTTTATGTGTCTATATCTCCAAACACCATAGGATCATCATCACAACTCTTTATCTTTGCAAACCAGACCTTGACGTATAGCAGGTGCTAAGTGTTTCTGAAATGACTTAGTGAGGGAATGAATGATACACATTTCAGTGCTAACAATACTACCCCAGAAAAAGGGATTATTAGTATGGTGTTCCTTAATGCTGTAGCATGAAGACCAAGATTCTCAGTTTTGTCTAGAGCAGGAATTCCTCATTTTCTCTCTTTAGGTTTTATATGTGTGTGTGTGTATATGTATGTATGTGTGTATATATATACACATATATATAAAATCCTCCTTTGAAAATCCGATGAAAGCTACGTAAACTAAGCCTCTTTAAAAATGCATACAAATAAAATCACACAATTTTACAATTTCAGAAGCTCCAGGAAAGGAGAACACTGATTTCTACTCTTCAAGCATTTTTACTTAAAAATAAAGCTAAAACAGTAAATATATTATTTGAGAAATTAACTTCAAGCTTTTGAAAGACTATGGTCAAAGTGGGGTTAGTTGGGAGACTTAAAAAAAATAAACTTGGCTGGGCGCAGTGGCTCATGCCTGTAATCCCAGCACTTTGGGAGGCCAAAGCGGGTGGATCACGAGGTCAGGAGTTCAAGACCAGCCTGACCGACATGATGAAACCATGTTGGTCATCTACTAGGTTTAGTCTCTACTAAAAATATAAAAACTAGCTGGGCATGGTGGTCCATGCCTGTAATCCCAGCTACTCAGGAGACTGAGGCAGGAGAATCGCTTGAACCAGGGAGGCAGAGGTTGCAGTGAGCTGAGATCGTGCCACTGCACTCCAGCCTGGGTGACAGAATGAGACTCCGTCTCAAACAAACAAACAAATAAACAAACAAACTTCTATGACATTTTGCTAACAATAGTACAAGTAGGAGTCACATTTCTGGCAAACCAACATGCGTTTTTTTATGCAAGCTCCAGTTGTGCCATTTGACTGCACTCAAATGTATTTTTTCCCTTTTAATTCTAATAATAAGGGTTTCCTGCATCTCTATATATTATGATAAAACACTTCATGGGGGAAAGGAGTATCATTTATTCATTAAATAACATTTAGGTCCTAGGTATACAGTGTTGAAACCAATAGATTTGTTTCTTAGTAGGGAAGATAAGCTACAAATTCCAACATTCTTGACCGTCAGTCCTAACTGCTGAGAGACACCTTAGTTACAGTGGTGTGCTGGATTCTGTTCGTACCAGCTTGCAAGAGCTGTGTGTATCACTTCTCAACTCATCAGTGGCTTCACATTAGTAGTGTGAAACTGGCCGTACTGGAGCACTTGTACCACGTAAATTAGCAAACATTACAAATCAAGGCTCTGCCATGCCCAGTGATTGGCAGTCACTTACCACCATACAATGTCCTCATTATACTAAAACTGTGGCTCTCTCATTACAGAGCTCCTAGGTGGTAATTCAGGTAAGGAGGGCTTAGATCAACCTTTCAAATCCTCTCTCCACCACCACCAGAAGACCCAAAAGTACAGGTGTATTCTAGGAGACTTTGGGGTATGGTCCTCTTTGGATAGTAGGAGAATGCAATATCTGATCAGTTTGAGACAAGTCTTTCCCTATGTGGTTAAGAAGAGTCACAAAGTGCCCAAAGAAAAATCATGCAACTCCGAGTTTATCAGTTAGTTTAAATTATATTCTGAGAATACTAGAGTTGGTTTATCATTAATTACTGTTTAGTTTGATGCATGATTAACCTTAAGCAGATATTTTCTGGCACCATTTTGGTACTATTGTCAGAGTTTTGGCTTTAAAGGATTGCCACAAATTTGAATGGATCTGCCAAAGAGAAAATAGCTTTGTCAACAATGTAAGCGATATGCAGAGAAAGCACTATCAATCTTCTGAAGTAAGACTTAGGGATACTACAGAGCAGGGCAATGTGAAGAATCTGGTACACGAGATAATAAAACTCTCTCAACCCTAGCCTTCAGTGGTCTTGCACTACCAGCCAGAAAATAAGACTACTCAGTTTCACAAGTGGTTGGTATGGTAGTAGTAGATGTCACAAAAACTTGTTGAAAACATCTAGGCTGGCATAAAATACATGAGGACCAAAGGTGAAATGCAAGTAAGAAAAGAAGACAATAGAGAGTCTACAGACATGCCTGATTGTCCATGGCTGACACTTACCTTCAGGTTATGGAGGGTTTCTGACCATTCTGTGGACCCTATCTGAGGTATGGTAGTGAGCAGTAAGCTTTTGGCTTTATTAGCGTTTTCTTTCAGGGTCTTTAAGACCCGGTCCACCGAAACCTAGAGAAACAATAGCACTGGAGGTTACTAGAACTTAAAATTCCACTGCTTGTCATAAAACATTTTTCTGAGCTCCAGCCTTGCTACAGCCTAAATGTTTGTGTCCCCTCAAATTTATCTGCTGAAACCGAATCCTCAATGTAGGGTATTTGGAGGTTGGGCATTTGGGAGGCAATTAGGTCATGAAGGCAGAGTCCTCGTGGATAGGATTAGTGATCTTACAAAAGAGGCCCCAGTGCTATTCTTCGAGGGCCCCTTCCACCGTGTGAGGTTCCAGTGAGAAGATGGCTGTCTACCAGAAAGTGGGCTCTCACTAGACACCAAATGTGCCAGTCCCTTGATCTTGGACTTCTCAACTTACAGAAATGTGAAAAATAAACTTGTTATTCAGAAGCCACCCATGCTATGGTATTTTGTTACAACAGTCCAGACAGACTAAGAAAAACCTGACTTGTGAAGTCTGTTTATTCTACGTTTAAACCCCTGAGTTCAAGCTCGGCATTTATCAAGATGGTCTTAGTCCTAGCACGGAGGTCCTAGAGAAACTCAGTGACATCTCTGAAAAGCACTGATGAATTCTGGTATGGTTTGGATTTGTGTCCTCACCAAATCTCATGTCGAATTGTGGGAGGTGGGGCCTGGTGGGAGGCGGTTGGATCATGGGGTTGGATTTCTCACGAATGGTTTAGCAGCATCCTCAGGTGCTGTTTTACTGATAGTGAGTTCTTGTGAGATCTGATTGTTTAAAAGTGTACAGCACCTCTCCTCTCACTCTCTCTTGCTCCTGCTCCCACCATGTGAGATGCCTCGCTCCTTTTGCCTTCCAACATGATTGGAAGTTTCCTGAGGCCTCCCCAGAAGCTGAGCAGATGCCAGCATCACGTCCCGTACAGCCTGTAGAACCATAAGCCAATTAAACCTCTTTTCTTTATAAATTACCCAGTTTTAGGTATTTCTCCATAGCAATGTGATAACAGACTAATACAGATTTCAATATGGTATCGGAGAAAATATCTCAGATGTATAATGGGTTAATATGGTCTAGAAAGATGTGGCTGTTCTCTTCATGTCCACAGCCGAAGGGATTACAATGTTAAAACTGTTGCTACACTGGAAAACCAAACAGGTACGTTTCTCCTTAGAAAATTATTCCAGCTACTAAAGAAAAATATTATGGAATTAAAATACCACCATTTTTATGGCTCCCAGTGAATTAATGGATTGGCTGCTAACATCACAAACCGAACCAAACAAAATCCCAAATAAACCACTCATTATGTGCTTCCTGATGAAAAAATAAAATGCTACCTTAAGACACCTGAATCTGATTAAATTTCTAAATCTAGCTACCAATTTATAGACAATACAGAGGACAGAGAAGCCTATTAAACTACTCCAAGGAGATGATTTCAGCAATTCAGACTGTGGGAAACTCAACAGGACAAATGATCTGGTTCCTTCATAAAAAGCTTGCAACCAAAAGAATAATTTAAGGCATTTAACCAGAAATTTAAATTCTGGCTGGGTATATTAAAGAATTATTATTGGAGAATGAAAATGATAATGTGCTCATGTTAGATACCTCCTGAAGTGTTTATGGATAAAATTATTGATGGGAGTAATAATCATATTGGTTGTAAGTTAATATAATGGTTGAAGCTAGATGCTGAATTCATGGAAGCTCGTGCTATTAGCTACTTCTGTATATGACTAAAATAGCTTCATAAGAAAAAGTTGAAGAAAGTGAACACAAAATTACCATCAGAGATAGAGTACTTGACATGCCTTCCTATGCTTCGAAGAAATCCAGCATTCAGGGACACAAGGATTACATCTTTCTATTTCCTTAAGCATAGTCCAGATCCCACCCACAAACACCAAGATGTGTATAGGAAAAAATGATGAACACTGTAGCAGAGGGGAGTTTGCACTACTATGGGAACACAAAGCAGTGACAGGCTGGGTATCTGCCAGGCACATGTAAATGATATGTTTTAAGCTGAGTCTTTGAATGCAGACATGAAGCATCCAAGAAATTTGCCTTGTATTTACTCATTTCCTTATATATTTTTCCTGTGACTGGTTATTTCTGTATAGACACTGACCTCCCTTCTCTTTGTTCCAGCTGTTGGGCTTCACCCAAAATGTCCTTCCTACTGACCTTCCCAAAATAAACCCTCTCTTCAAGGTGCAGTTTAAATGCTTTTCCCTGATACTACCCACCTCTCAGGCCCCCCACTCCATCAGAGCCACCATCTGATGACCACCCTCTTACAAGCCAGCATTATACTAGCTTTTTTACATATCTCATTTGGTTTAATTCTTCCAGTAATCTTTCAAGGTCTAACTGACTAAACAATGACTAAACAACCTCCACTCCTCACCCAGAGCCCTGGCTTCATTCTACAGAAGAGTAAACAAGTGAAATAACTCGCCCAATGTGACAAGCAAATGGAGCAACTCAAATCTGAAGATGGGTTTAGAGAACTCCAAATCCTTTTTGCCATGCCAGGCTGCAACACACGATTGGCTGAAATAATGCCATCTTTCTGTGGGCCTTCCTTGTAGCATTTAACACTGTCTTCAAGCCTTTCCACTTACAGAGCTTAATTTCTCTGCTTTTCAATAAAGTAGCTCCAGCTGACTATTTCCCCAACCTCATTTGGCTACTAAAGGAAATCACTGCTGGTTCTACAAAGGAGGAGACATATGTTATTAGACTGAGCAGAAAGCCACAGGCAGGAAGCAAACCGCTCTCAGGGTGTGGCAGGGGCTGGAGTTTCCTATTAATTGGAAGCAGCTTCTTGACATTACGAGGCTGAGTTGTTCCTTAGGTTACCAAAGCTGCCAAATAAGATATTATGTTGTGACTTAATGTAATAATTTGCGAATCTCTTACATAAAAGGCATCCTAGTACTAAGCAAACAGTTTATTACACTGAAGAGTCATCATAAGGAATTCATGAAAAACAAAGAACCTGTGTTCATCTATGACCCAAAACACTGTACACATTAGATAGTAAAACAAACTCTCTAAAACGGTGGTACAATATTAGGCCTCTTTGGAGATGTCACTTACCCTAAATGTGCTCAGAAAGTCACCCCTAAATGTTTTCCTTACTTCAAAAGTGACTGCAGTTTTGTCGTCCCTTTATCTTAAAATGAGATAAATGACAGGACGAACGATCTAGTTTATTCAAGTAACACAAGGAATAAAAAGAGAAAGAGGTGAAAATTAGATTAAAAGAGACAAGAGGTAATCATTAAAATACAACATATGGATTGTAAGGGATTCTGATTTGATCAAATTGTTAAAAATTATGAGACTGAAGGAAAAAGGAATAGTCTGAATATTTGATTATATTAAGAAATTAATATCATTATTTTTGTACAATGATGGCATGGTTATAACTTAATTTTAAAAAGACCTTTTAGGAAAATATTTACTTCACAATGAGGGCAGGGGAGAAATAGGTAGGGACATACCTATCACACAAGATTGGCCATGGCTAATTGTGGAACCTAAGTGATGGGTACCTGGAATTCATTATATTCCACCCTGTACTTACACAGATGTTTAAAGTTTTGTTTTGTTTTGTTTTGGAAGCTGACCTCATTGTTCCAGTGTCCTCAAATTCCAGCTGGATCCTGCTGCCTTCCCTGCCTGAACCCCTCACTGTCCTTCCATCTGAAACCCTTACCATGGTCTGTATGGCCTGGCCCTACTGTATTGCATCCCTCCTCTCTCTCCCTTCTCCCCAGTCTCCCTCCTTTCCACTCTACTCAATCATGCCCTTCTTGCCCATCACACTTAAAACAGGAAGGCTTCTCATACTTCAAATATTTGGTCTGGTCAACTCTATTCAGTTGACCTAGTGTACCCTTGTACCTCACCATTCTATTTCTTTATAACCGTTAGCTTTCTTATATTGGTTTGCTTAACTTCTATCTCCATCCGACAGAATGTCGGCTCCTTAAGGACTTCTCTGTTTGTTGTCACATTTCTATGCTGAACAGAGTATCCAGCCACGGTACGTTAAATAGATGGATGTGAACATACAGCCCTCTCATGAGGAAAGGGTTAATAGATTTTTTTCCTTCTTGAAAACAAAAAACAGTAGCATAGCAGCAGAAATTGGCAATCAAAATACACCTTTATCCTGAAAATAAGGCCCAAGTCTTAGTATGATTCTCAACACATCTACCTGCCTACAATGTACTATTTTCACTACTGATCCTTGGGTAAAAGTGTCTCTTTCTTTCCTTTGATCTTTGTTCTTACCTTCCAATGGAACTACAGAAAATATTAACAACTTCAAAACCTTGTAGAAAGGCACTTTCTGAAACTAACGTAATAGAAACAAACAGTTAAGACACCCTATTGGCACCCAGAAACCCATGCTATATGTGCTTAGAAAAGAATTCCACCTACTGCTTCCTCGTGCTCCTTCCAGCAGTCATAATCTGTCGCCATGGCGATACTTGCGTAACAAATTCCAGCCTCCTTAGCAAGAACCACCTCTGGAACTGTGGTCATGTTGATAACATCCGCCCCCCAGGTGCGGAACATGAAGCTTTCTGCCCGGGAGCTAAAACGAGGTCCCTCGATTGTGACCATTGTCCCCTTTGAGTGGCACCGGAGTCCTAGCTTCTTAGCAGTCTCTATAAGAACCTAGAAAAGAAAAACCAGAAACTTCAAAACATACTAGCACATGCACAACTTAAGGCTGCACTTCCCCCCAATGTTTACCAAGTTGATTTCTTAAAGATGATTTGTCACTATAATAAATGCCTACTATCTGCCAGGCTCTCAGAAAAAACCTAGAGGACCACAGAAGGGTGTTTCCTGGACCCTTTCTCATTCACATAATCCTGTTTCCCCAGCCCTTTGCATGTAGAAACTAATAGCTACACAAGCAAGCACTGAGCTCTTTCTACTCGCCAGGCATTTGTTTATATGCTTTAATCTCATTTGCTTCTTAACAACTTTAAGAGACTAAGCTGGTTTGAGAATACAGACTGGAGTCTTAACTTTTAACCTCGCAGGCTAAGCTAAGGTGCCTCTCGTCGCTTATCTTCTCAAACAGGTGTGTTGAGTTCTATTTCCAGGCTTCTGAAAAGTTAATTCTCATTACTTTTAAAAATACAGAATCTGAAGACTTCTGTAAAAGCTTTTGCTGGTTAGAAAGTGATTTCTCTTTTGCCTATTGCCTTTCCACAGAGTTGTGCTGATTGTTTTTCTGTTCACAGGGATAAACATCTTGGAATTCCTTTAGTGGCAAGGCTAGGCATGGATTTTTAGAAACATCATTGAAAAGTTCGATCCTTTTCTCCAGTGTTTTATTTAATACTGCACATCTAATCTTCAAGTTATTAATTACCTTCATTTTTTCTTAGCTTATTCAATATTCCCTTTTAATTAAAAAAAAGTCTTTTCAACTTAACTGTTAACTTACTGAAGCACTGTTGAAAAATCATCTCTGTATGCCTTAGTTTTCTCAAGTGTAAATTGAGAATAATGATATCGCATAATTCAATTGTATGAGGAAGATTAAATGAACTAAGGTATATACAAGCATAGAAGCATGCCAGGTGCGCTGTAAACACTGTATGCACTAAGCTGGTCTTCTAACAATCATTAATACTGGCAGCTTCTACACATATTTGGCTAACCTTCCTGGGATACTATATAAATAAAGTGGAGTGACTCAAAGTCAAAGTCTCCAATCTGGGCAAAGTCTCACCTGCACATGTGTTCATCACATAAACAAATTAACCTATTTCCTTAAAAAATAACTTACACTATGCCACTGCAATGGGAAACAGAATTTTCACAAGAGTCTTGGCAACTCAAAATTTAGCAAGCTATGGACAATGAACAGTTGATGCTACATCATGTTTATCTTATAAATGCTGAAAATAAAATTATGCTTAATTAACACTTTTCCCTAAAAAGTATATGTTATAAATGCAAAAGCCTAAATCTCTACCCCACCCCCTTTTCCCCCCTAAAGTTAAGACATAACAAGCCCACTCCCGCTGGTTCAATAATGTCTTTAAAGATCCTGAATAACTGAACCATATGCTTGGCTAAAGTTCACAGTGCTTCTAGAGATGAATGGCTCTTGACAAGTCCTCACTGTCACTCTGGCACTTTGGGAGATAGGTACCATGCTTATGAGGAGGAGGAAGAAATGGAGGCTATGAATATATGTCAGCCACCTGAACCAGCATTTTGCATTCCTTCAAGAACAGCTAACACTATCTTAAGGCAGCAAAAAATATCAAATACAGGGTCAAGGTCCAGGTCTGAGTTTAAGATGATTTCATTTTCTTACCTCGTGTAATCACTGAACTACTAAACAGACGGATGTGGTAGTGAAAGTACCACAACCCTCACCAAGGAACTAGCAATATTAGATCACCAGCCTAAACAGATTTAATGTCAGGACTTTCATATTAACTCCTAAAATGAATAGAAGTAACACTGCTTTTGGAACACGTATTTGTACATGGTACAAAACTTAAATAGTACAAGGAAAACCACTGTCCCTTCCCAAGGGAAACCATTATTACCAGGCTTTTTTTTTTTTTTCATTTCAATAGTTTTTGGGGAGCAAGTGGTTTATTGTGATGTATATAAGTTCTTTAGTAGTGATTTCTGGGATTCTGATGCACCTGTCACCCAAGAAATGTACACTATACCCAATGTGTAGTCTTTTATCCCTGATTCTCCTCTCCCACTTCCCCCAGAGGCCCCAAAGTCCATTACATCATTTTTTTTTTTTTTTTTGAGATGGAGTCTCACTCTGTCGCCCACGCTGGAATGCATTAGTGCGATCTTGGCTCACTGCAACCTCTGCCTCACGGGTTCAAGCAGTTCTCTGGCTCAGCCTCCTGATTAGCTGGGATTACAGGCACCCGCCACCACGGCCAGCTAATTCTTTTCTTTGTATTTTAGTAGAGACCCCTTTCACCATCTTGGCCAGGCTGGTCTTGAACTCCTGACCTTGTGATCCACCCACCTCGGCCTCCCAAAGTGCTGGGATTATAGGCATGAGCCACTGCGCCCGGCCCTATTATATCATTCTTATGCCTTTGCATCCCCATAGCTTAGCTCCCACTTACAAATGAGGACATAACGATATTTAGTTTTCCATTCCCGAGTTACTTCACTGAGAATAATGGTCTCCAACTCCATCCAGGTTGCTGCAAATGCCATCATTTTGTTCTTTTTTATGGCTAAGTAGTATTCCATTGTATTAGTCAGAGTTCTCTAGAGGGACATAACTAATAAAGGGGAGTTTATTAAGTATTAACTCACATGATCACAAGGTCCCACAATGGGCCATCTGCAGGCTGAGGAGCAAGGAGAGACAGTCCAAGTTCCAAAACTGAAGAACTTGGAGTTTGATGTTGGAGGGCAGGAAGCATCCAGCATGGGAGAAAGATGTAGACTGGGGGACTAGGCTAGTCTCTCTTTTAACAATTTTCTGCCTGCTTATATCCTAGCCATGCTGGCAGCTGATTAGATTGTACCCACCCAGATTAAGGCTAGGTCAGCCTTTCCCAGCCCACTGACTCAAATGTCAATCTCCTTTGGCAACACCCTCACAGACACACCCAGGATCAATACTTTGTATCCTTCAATCCAATCAAGTTAACACTCAGTGTTAACCATCACAAGTCCACATGAATCCATACACATCTCCTGAGATCATACATAATCTTCAAATAAAGACAATAATAAGGTCATAATTACACGTAACATAATACAGCTATCCTTTGTGCAACTGGAAATGCACCAAACACCAACCCAAATACTACTACATAAAGTTAGCAATACTTAAATGTTGATGTGAAGTCAATAAATCTCATGTCATATGATAAAGGAGAAAGAAAATACAATGAAGATATTTTCTTAGTACAACTGTATATATGCACAAACATGTTTTTAACAAAAGGAGGAGGAAATACTCATGACAATTACAGTCCTCATTTCTGTAGCTGGTCACATGGTTGTAGCTGGTATCGATGACTACCTTCTTCTACTACCCATTCTGTATTCCCTTTGCCTTTATCAAGGACCTCAGTAGGTTGTGGTTTTTTCCTTGTGGAGTGACTGAAATCTTCATTCCTGAAGAGTCTGGGTCATTTGTAGTCCTGCCTGGATTGGGCTGTTGTAGTTTCCCAATGACCTTAATTACAGGGCATGGTAATACTAAGAGACACCCTAATGGATCTCCTGTATTCCATGTGTACTCTTCTTTACTTCCATTGTGGAGTAGTAGACTGATTTCATCTTGATAGTCTGGGTCAATCACCCCAGCCAGCACTGTAACTCCCTTCTTAGCCTGTTGACTTAAAGGCAGGAGGAGCCCAAAGTGTCCAGGTGGCAAGGATGGAGGCCATGCACGGGCACAGCAAAGTGCCTTCAGGACCTGCTTGAGCCCAGTCATATATATACCATTTCCATTTGATAACTGAATGCTGCTGTGCACAACCCACTTTATGGCTAGATGAGTCAGAAAGCCCCCAGTTCATGATAGGCAGTTCAGGTCGCATGGTGACTTGATGACCCATAGTCAAAAGTTCACTTTCCACCAAAGTCCAGTAACAGGCCAAGGACAGTCTCTCGAAAGGAGAATAGTTATCTGCAGAAGATGGCAGGACCTTGCTCCAAAATCCTAGAGGGCTCCACTGTAATTCACCTATGGGGGCCTGCCAAAGGCTCCAAACAGCATCCTTATCTGCCACTGACACCTCAAGGACCATTGGATTTGCTGGGTCATATGGCCCAAATGGCACAGCAGTTTGCACAGCAGCCTGGAACTGTTGCAGAGCCTTCTCCTGTTCTGGACCCACTCAAAATTGGCACCCTTTTGGGTCACTCAATAGATGGGCCAGAGTAACACACTCAAATGAAGAATGTGTTGCCTCCAAAATCCAAATAGGCTCACTAGGCATTGTGCCTCTTTCTTGGTTGCAGGAGAGGACAAATGCAGCAACTTATCCTTCACCTTAGAAGGAGTATCTCCACAGGCCCCACACCACTGGACCCCCTAGAAATTTTACTGAGGTAGAAGGTCCCTGAATTTTAGTCAGATTTATTTCTCATCCTCTGGCATGCAAATGCCTCACCAATAAGTCTGGTGTGTTTGCCACTTCTTGCTCACTGGATCCAATCAGCGTACTGTCATCAATGTAATGGACCATTGTGATATCTTGTGGGAGCAAAAAGCGATCAAGTTCTCTCTGAATAAGATTATGACACAAAACTGAAGAGTTGATATACCCTTGAGGTAGGACAGTCAAGGTATACTGCTGGCCTTGCCAGCTGAAGGCAAATTGCTTCTGGTGGTCCTTATGGACAGATATAGAGAAAAAGGCATTTTCCAAGTCAATGGCTGCATACCAGGTACCAGGAGATGTGTTAATTTGCTCAAGCAATGAAATCACATCTGGTACAACAGCTGCAATTGGAGTCACCACTTGGTTCAGCTTATTGTAATCCACTGTCATTCTCCCCAAGACCCATCTGTCTTCTGTATGGGCCAAATGGGAGAGATAAATGGGGATGTGGTAGGAATCACCATCCCTGCGTCTTTCAAGTCTTTAATGGTGGTACTAATCTCTGCAATCCCTCCAGGGATGTGGTATTGTTTTTGCTTTACTATTTTTCTAGGTAGAGGCAGCTCGAATGGCTTCCATCTGGCCTTTCCCACTGTAATAGCCATCACTTTACCAGTCAGGGAGCCAGTGTGGGGGTTCTGCCAGCTGCTAAGTATGTCTATGCCAGTTATGCATTCTGGCACTGGGGAAATGACCACAGGATGAGTCCAGGCACCCATAAGACCCACTGCACGTCAGACCTGAGCTAAAACTCCATTAATTACCTGACTTTCATAAGCCCCTACTTTAACTGGAGGACCACATGACAGTTTGGGTTCCCTGGAATCAACATCAGCTCAGAGCCAGTGTCCAGTAGTCCCTGAAATGTCTGATTATTTCCCTTTCCCCAGTGCACAGTTACCCTGGTAAAAGGTCGGAGGTCTCCTTGGGGAAGGACGGGAGAAAGATTCACAGCATAAATTGTTGGTAATATAGTGGGGTCCTTCCTCAACGGGACCTGGCCTCCCCTTCATTCAAGGGGTTCTGGGTCTGTAAACTAGCTCAAGTCTGGAAATTGGTTGAGGGGCTGTGAGTCTGTTTTTATAATTCAAATTAGTTTTTTGTCCATTTGACCTAGAAGTTTCTGCTTATGTAAATTAAGTAGGAATGCAGTAGGCCTCCTATGAATTTTACTTCTAGGAATGCTGTGATTAATTAGCCAGTGCCAGAGCTTTACACGAGTCAGACTGTTCTGATTGCCGCTTTGCCTCTGCTGCCCATTATGGTAGCTATGCCCACCTTGCCTTTGACAGCTGAGTGCCGCCATGGCCCCTGCTGCCTTGGAATCCAATTATTCCCACTGTATTTAAGTTTTGTAGTTGAGTGACTGCGGTTCCCACAGTTAGATCTGACATTACCACAGTTAGATCTGACATACAGAGAAGAGCAATTACAGGGCTCTTCAAAGATCCCAGTGCTGCCCTCACATATCTGTTTTGCAAGGCATTGGTCAAGGGCATATTTTCTGGACCAGCAGGGATAAATAGGTCTAAAGTGACTAATCTACTCCACCATCTGAATTTCCATAAGCCTTTGGATCCCCTCCTCTAAATTAAACCAAGGGAGATCAGGCATTTCCAGCTTGTTCACAGTGGGCCACCTTTTAATCCATATTTCAGCAAACCAAGCAAGTAAATAATTAGAACCTTTTTTAACTCCCAGAGCTGCAACATTAAATGCAGAATCCCTACTTAGTGGGCCCAAATCAATAAATTCAGCCTGATCCAACTCCATTTTCCTTCCACCATTATCCCACACCCTTAGTATCCATTCCCATGCCTGTTCTCCAGATTTCTGTTTATATAAATCAGAAAACTCAAGCGGTTCTTTTTGAGTGTAGCACACCACCTCATGGGTCACAATCTCAACCTCACCTCTAGGGGCCTGCTGGAACTTCAGTCCAGTTATAGGTCTAGAAGCAAATGGGAGTCTTAGGGGTGGCTCCTGAGAAGAATCAACATTATCTTGCCTGGCAACTGCCTCAGGGGAGGCCATCACTGTTGCCTCAGGCCGCACAGGGTTTATCTCCTCAGACAAAGGTGAAAAGGCTGATGGCAGCATAGGTCAGGGAGGGGATGCTGCCACTTCTGGGGATGGGAAAGCTGTTTCTTCTGGTAAATAAGGTTCATCAGAGTTTTCAAACTCAGTGTCCCCAGCTTCATCAGGGTCCTCCCACACATCCCAGTTCCAAGTTGCAGGGTCCCATTTATTTTCAATCAATGCTCTCACTTTAACAGTAGACACCTGGCGAGGCTGTGCATGTACCTTTCATTGCAGGTCAGCCACTCACATGATAAGAGCTTGTGTCTGTTTTTCCACAATTTCAGCTCTTTCTCTACAGGAGATAAGTCTTTCATTCAGAACAATCTTAGCAGATCTGAGGCTCAGTATCTGCTGCTGGAGCTGGGAGATACAATCCCTGAGTTCATTATTTTCTTTCATCACTTTGTCCACTGAACTTAGGAGCAACCAACCAGCTTCATTATGTTCCCTGGTCCTCCATATATGGTCAAAGGTATTATGTACAGAGTCACTAAGGGTGATTCCACATATGGTCAAAGGTATTATGTAGAGTCCTTGCCTCTCACGAGTGATGAATCAGGAGTCTCAAATATATTTATTTTGCATAACTCTCTAAACAGTTCAAGTCAAGGACTATTGGTGTTATCCATATTATTAGAAGTAGAGTCCTTAGCATCTTTGGGTCTAATCATATTAAGCAGTCAACTCCAGAAACCTCATACCAATAAAAGAACTCCATCCTTAATATTCTGTTCCTCTAGAACCACTCCTGGTACCAAAATCTGTATTAGTCAGGGTTCTCTAGAGGGACAGAACTAATGGGACAGATAGATAAATGGGAGTTTATTAAGTATTAACTCACATTATCACAAGGTCCCACAATAGGCCGTCTGCAGGCTGAGGAGCAAGGAGAGCCAGTCAGAGTTCCAAAAATGAAGAACTTGCAGTCTGATGTTTGAGGGCAGGAAGTATCCAGCACGGGAGAAAGATGTACGCTGGGAGGCTAGGCCAGTCTCTCTTTTCACATTTTTCTGCCTGCTTATATTCTAGCCATGCTGGCAGCTGATTAGACTGTGCCCACCCACATTAAGGGTGGGTCTGCCTTTCCCAGCCCACTGACTCAATGTTAATCTCCTTTGGCAACACCCTCACAGACACACCCAGGATCAATACTCTGTATCCTTCAATCCAATCAAGTTTACACTCAGTATTAACCATCACACCCATGCTGTATATATACCATATTTTCTTTATTCACTCATTGGTCAACGGGCATTTAGGTTGGTTCCATAGTTTTTACAATTGTAAGTTGTGCTGCTATAAACATGCATGTGCAAGTGTCTTTTTCATATAATGACTTATTTTCCTCTGGGTAGACGCATAGGAGTGGGATTGCTGGATCACATGGTAGTTCTACTTTTAGTTCTGTAAGGAATCTCTATATGGCTTTCCATTGTACTAGTTTACATTCACACCAGCAGTGTAAAAGTGTTCCCTTTACACCACATCTACACCAATATCTATTATTTTTTGATGTTTAAATTATGGCCATTCTTGCAGGAGTAAGGTGGTATCGCATTGTGGTTTTAATTTGCATTTCCTGGATTAGTAATTTTGAGCATTTTTTCATGTGTGTTGGCCATGTGTTTTGAAAATTGTCTATTCATGTACTTAGCGACCTTTTTTTTTTTTCTTGCTGATTTGTTTCAGTTCCCTGTAGATTCTGGATATTGGTCCTCTATTGAATGCATAGTTTGCGAATATTTTCTCCCTTTCTGCGGGTGGTCATTTATTCCACTGATTATTATTTTTTGTTGTTGTGCTGAAGCATTTTAGATGAATTAAGCTGCATCTATTTGTCTTAGTTTTTGTTGCATTTGCTTTTGGGTTGTTGATCATGAACTCTTTGCCTAAGCCAAGGCCTAGATAGGTTTTTCCGATGTTATTTTCTAGAATTTTTATGGTTTCAGGTCTTAGATTTAAGTCTTTGATGCATCTTGCATTGATTTTTATATGAGAGATGAAGATCCAGTTTCATTCTTCTACATCTGGCTTGCCAATTATCCTGCAACATTTGTTAAATAGGGTGTCCTTTCCTCAGTGTATGTTTTTGTTTTGCTTTTTCAAAGATCAGTTGGCTGTAAATATTTGGCTTTATTTCTGGATACTCTATTCTGTTCCACTGGTCTGCATGCCTACTTTTATACCAGTACCATGCTGTTTTGATAACTATAGCCTTGTAGTATAGTTTGATGTCAGGTAATGTGATACCTCCAGATTGTTCTTTTTGCTTAGTCTTGCTTTGGCTATATGGGCTCTTTTTTTGGTCTCACATAAATTTTAGGATTTTTTTTTTTATATTTCTGTGAACAATGATGGTGGTATTCTGAAGGAAACTGCATTGAATTTGTGGATTGCTTTTGGCAGAAATATGATACTTTTATATTTCTGTGAAGAATGATGGTGGTACTCTGAAGGAAACTGCATTGAATTTGTGGATTGCTTTTTGGCAGATTGCTTTTGTAAGAATTCTTAACAATATTAATTCTGCCCATCCCTGAGCATGGTATGTTTCCATTTTTTTGTATTATCTATAATTTCTTTCAGCAGTGTTCTGTAGTTCTCCTTGTAGAGATCTTTCATGTCCTTGGTTAGGCATTTTACTTTTTTTTTCCTGCAACTGTTGTAAAGCAGGTTGAGTTCTTGATTTGATTCTCAGCTTGGTTGCTGTTGGTCTATAAAAGTGCTATTGATTTGAGTATATTGATTTTGCATCTTGAAACTTTGCTGAATTCATTTATCTAGGAGCTTTTTGGATGAGTCTTTAGGGTTTTCTAGGTATACGATCATATCATTGGTGAACAGCAACAGTTTGACTTCCTCTTTACTGATTTTTTACCCTTTATTTCTTTCTCTTGTCTGATTGCTCTGGCTAGGACATCCTGTATTATGTTGAACAGAAGTGGTGAAAGTGGGAATCTTGTCTTGTTTCAGTTCTCAGAGGGAATGCTTTCAACTTTTCCCTGTTCAATATAACACTGGCTGTGGGTTTGTCATAGATGGCTTTTTTTTTTTTTTTGAGACGGAGTCTCGCTCTGTTGCCCAGGCTGGAGTGCAGTGGCGTGATCTCAGCTCACTGCAAGCTCCACCTCCCGGGTTCACGCCATTCACTGCCTCGGCCTCCCGAGTAGCTGGGACTACAGGCGCCCGCTACCATGCCCGGCTAATTTTTTTGTATTTTTAGTAGAGATGGGGTTTCACCGTGTTAGCCAGGATGGTCTCGATCTGACCTTGTGATCCGCCCGCCTTGGCCTCCCAAAGTGCTGGGATTACAGGTGTGAGCCACCGTGCCCAGCCCATAGATGGCTTTTATTACCTTGAGGTACGTCCCTTCTATGCCAATTTTGCTGAGGGTTTTAATTATAACTAGATGGAGGATTGTGTCAAATGCTTTTTCTGCATCTATTGAGATGACCATGTGATTTTTGTTTTAAATTATGTTTATGTGATGTATCACATTTATTGACTTGCCTATGTTAAACCATCCCTTCATCACTGGTATGAAACCCACTTGACCATGGTGTATTATCTTTTTCATATGCTGTTGGATTTGGTTAGCTAGTAATTTGTTGAGGATTTTTGCATCTACGTACATCAGGGATATTGGTCTGTAGTTGTCTTTTTTTATTATGTTCTTTTCTGATTTTGTAATTAGGGGGATACTGGCTTCACAGAATGAATTAGGAAGGATTCCTGCTTTCTCTGTCTTTTGGAATAGTTTCAGTAAGATTGGTACCAGTTCTTTGAATGTCTGATAGAATTCAGCTGTGAATCCCTCTGGTCTTGGATGTTTTCTTTGTTGGCAATTTTTTAAAATTACTGTTTCAATCTTCCTACTTGTTATTGGTCTGTTTAGGGTTTCCATTTCTTCCTGATTTAATTGGGGAGGGTGGTATATTTCCAAGAATTTACTCATCTCCTCTAGATTTTCTAGTTTGTGTGCATAAAGGTGTTCATAGTAGCCTTGAATAGTCTTTTGTATTCTGTGGTATTGGTTGTAATATCTCCTGTTTCATTTCTCATTGAGCTTATTTGGATCTTTTCTCTTCTTGGTTAATTTCACTAATGGTCTATCAATTTTAAATTTTCAAATATTTTTGTTTCATTTATCTTTTGTATTTTTTTGTTTCAATTTCATTTAGTTCTGCTCTGATCTCTGCTGTTTCTTTTCTTCTGCTAGGTTTGGGTTTGCTTTGTTCTTGTTTTTCTAGTTCCTTGAAGTGTGACCTTAGATTGTTGATTTGTCCTCCTTCAGACTTTTTGATGTAGGAATTTAATGCTATGAACTTTCCCATTAGCACCACTTTTTCTGTATCCCAGAGGTTTTGATAAGTTGTGTCACTATAATCATTCAGCTCAAAGAATATTTTAATTTCCATCTTGACTTTACTGTTGACCTAAAGATCATTCAGGAGCAGATTATTTCATTTCCAAGTATTTGTATAGTTTTGAGGATTCTTCTTGGAGTTAATTTCCAATTTTATTCCACTTTGATCTGAGAGAGTACTTGATATAATTTTGATTTTCAAATTTGTTGAGACTTGTTTTGTGGCATATGTTCTATTTTGGAGAATGTTCCATGTGCTGATGAAAAGAATGTATATTCTGCAGTTGTTGGGTATATATATTTGTTAAGTCCATTTGTTCTAGGTTATAGTTTAAGTCCATTGTTTCCTTGTTGACTTTCTGTCTTGAGGACCTGTCTAGTGCCGTCAGTGGAGTACTTAAGTGCCCCACTATTATTGTGTTACCATCTATGTCATTTCTTAGGCCTATTAGTAATTGTTTGATATATTTGGGAGCTCAAGTGTTAAGTGCATATATATTTAGAAATGTGATACTTTCCTGTTGGACTACTCCTTTTATCATTATATAATGTCCCTCTTTGCTTTAACTGTTGTTGTTTTAAAGTCTGTTCTTTTCTGATATAAAACTAGCTCCTCCTAATTGCTTTTGGTTTCCATTTGCATGGAATATCTTTTTCCACCCTTTTACCTTAAGTTTTTGTGAGTTCATGTGTGCTAGGTGATTCTCCTGAAGACTGCAGATACTTAGTTGGTAGATTTTTATCCATTCTGCCATTGCGTATCTTTTCTTAAGTGGGGCATTTAGGTCATTTACATTCGACATCAGTATTGGGATGTGAGGTACTGTTCTATTCATCATGCTAGCTTTTGCCTAAAGACGTTGTTCTTTCACCATTGTATTATTGTTTTATAGGTCTTGTGAGATTTACGCTTTAATGAGGTTCTATTTTGGTGTATTTTGAGGTTTTGTTTCAAGATTTAGAACTCCTTTAAGCATTTCTTGTAGTGTTGGCTCAATAGTGGCAAATTCTCTCAGCATTTGTTTGTCTGAAAAAGACTATCTCTCCTTCAATTATGAAGCTTAGTTTTACTGGATACAAAATTCTTGGCTGAGAATAATTTTGTTTCAAGAGGTTAAAAATGGGACTCCAATCCCTTCTGGCTTCTGGCTTGTAAGATTTCTGCTGAGAAGTCTGCTATTAATCTGATAGGTTTTCCTTTATAGGTTATCTGATGTTTTTGTCTCACAGTTCTTAAGATTCTTTCATCTTGACTTTAGATAGCCTGATAAATATGTGCCTAGCTGATCATCTTTTTGCAATAAATTTCCCAGGTGTTCTTTGAGCTTCTTGTATTTGGATGTCTAGATCTGTAGCAAGGCCAGCAAAGTTTTCCTCAAATAAGTTTTCCAAACTTTCAGATTTCTCTTCTTCTGCAGGAACACCAATTATTCTTAGGTTTGGCCATTTAACATAAACCCAAATTTCTTTTAAAATTTCATTTTAAAATTCTTTTTCTTTGTCTTGATTCAGTTAATTCAAGAGCCTTGTCTTCAAGCTCTGAAGTTCTTTCTTCTACTTGTTCTAGCCTATTGTTGAAGCTTTCCACTACATTTTGTATTTCTCTAAGTGTGTCTTTCATTTCCTGAAGCTGTGATTTATTTTTTCTTTATGATATTTCTCTGCAGAAGTTTTCATCCATATCCTGTATTGTTTTTTAAAATTTCTTTATGCTGGTTTTTACCTTTCTCTGCTATTTCCTTGAGTAGCTTAATAACCAATCTTCTGAATTCCTTATCTGGCAATTCAGAGATTTCCTCTTGGTTTGGATCCATTGCTAGGGAGCTGGTGTGATCTTTTGGGGGTGTTACAGAACCCCATTTTGTCATATTACCAGAATTGCTTTTCTGGTTCCTTGTCATTTTGGTAGACTATTTTAGTGGAGAGGTTGAAACTCAAGGCCTGCTGTTCAGATTTTCTTGTCTCATGGGGTGATCCCTTGATGTGGTGCTCTCCCCTTTCCCCTAGGGATGGGGCTTCCTGAGAGCTGGACTGCAGTGACTGTTATTGCTCTTCTGGGTCTAGCCACCCATTGAGGCCACCAGGCTCTGGGCTGTTGCTGGGGGATGTCTGCAATGAGTACTGCGATGTGATCCATCTTCAGGTCTCCAAGCTGTGGCTACTAGCACCTGCTCTGGTAGATGTGGCAGGGAAGTGAAGTAAACTCTGCAAGAGTCATTGGTTGTAGATATGTTTAATGTGCTGGCTCTCTTGAATGCTGCTTATGCTAGCAGTGAAGTTGTCATGTGGACATATTCAGGATCTCTGGTTAGCCAGGATGTTGCAGGCAGTGAAATTAGGTGTTGTCTTTTCCGTCCTGGGATCAGGGTTATTGTTTTATGAGTTGCTGTAATGGCCTCAGTTGACTGGCCTCCAGCCAGGAGGTGGCACTTTCAAGAGAGCACCAGCTGCAGAAGGAGTAGGGGGCTCTAAGCTTGCCCTAAGATGCCCAAGGTAACTATTTTGGTTTCCCAGGCAATAGGCAGGGCAATAAATATTTTGTGTTTGGCTACCAGGGTGGGTAGGGAAATACCATCAGGTTGGGGCAGGGTTAGGTGGTTCTGGGCTCAGACTCTTCTTGGGCAGGGCTTGCTGCAGACACTGTGGGAAATTGGGGGATGGGGGTGGTTTGTCAGGCCACTGGGTTTATGTTCCAGAGGAGATCTTGACTGCCTCTGCTGTATCATAAACTTTACCAGGGTAGTGGGGGAGAGCCAGCAGCAAGAGGCCTCATCCAGCTACTATGCAGTTGGTGAGGCTAGTCTCACTCCTGCAGTGCCCTGCTCAGACCTTGCCCCAGGCTGTGAGCTACCCCACTGGGAAAGCAAGCATGGCCTTTGGACCTCACCCCTTCCCACCTGCCCACTCCATCAGCAGCAGCTCCTGTACTCACTTGTATCTGCTGCGGCTCCCATTAGTCCCTTGGACTCTGCCTGAGAAAATTTGTGACCAGCTGAAACCACTACTGATTTCATTTGGGAGCTTCCTTCGCCCTGCCATCACTCTCCAATTCCACTGGCTGCCTTACCTGAGGGCCACTGTGAGATATAGTCAGGGCTGGCTTCCCTGGACTCAAGCTGGAGACTGGGAGTACATCCAAAGCACTTCCTGTTGCTACTTCTACTTTCATATTTCACATAACCCCCTAAATCCGTTTCACCTCTAGGTAAGGTTAAATTCTTCCTCCATGATCTGGATTTTTAGATTTCCCCAGTGGGGATGTGTATTCAGAGGTAGGTTCTCCCCGACTCACACTTTGGGAACTCAGTTTCTTGCCTGTTTTGCAGAATTTGCAGTGGTGTGCCACTTCTTTCAAAGGATCTTTGAATTCTTTTGGTTTTCCCGGTAAGTTCCTACAGTGGTTCTTGGAACAAAAGATCATAGTGTCTCCATATGCTATTCTGTCCGTCCTTGTGGAAGCTGCACGTTAGCCCTGTCTTTTCTTTACTTTTTTTTTTTTTTGACATGGAGTCTCTGTCACCCAGGCTGGAGTGCAGTGGCACAATCTTGGCTCACTGCAAGCTCTGCCTCCCAGGTTCAAGCGATTCTCCTGCCTCAGCCTCCCAAGTAGCTGGGACTATAGGTGCCTGCCACCATGCCTGGCTAACTTTTCGTATTTTTAGTAGAGACAGGGTTTCACCATGTTAGCCAGAATGTTCTTGATCTCCTGACCTCATGATCCGCCTGCCTTGGCCTTCCAAAGTGCTGGGATTACAGGCGTGAGCCACCGTGGTGGCCAGCCCTGTCTCTTATCTGCCATCTTCCCTGTTTCCTGTTACCAGCTTTTTTTGTTAACTTTCCAAAAATATTTTATTTGTATATAAATATTTACATACTTACTTCTTTGTATATATACATACTTTAACATAAATGGTAGAATATGGTACAACCACTGAGTATCTTGCTTGCCACTTGACAATTCATCATGACAGTCCTATTCCATCAGTACATGAAAGATCATGTGGATGTTAAAAGTGAAAATTACCAAGTGGCAGCACTATTTACTCTTCATGTTTTTGGATAATATTTAAAAATTTCTTTCTGAATGCTTATTTTGCCATTTTCTTAAATTGCCTTTCCCAGTATTCTCTCAGTCTTTATGAAGCTGAATTAATTTGGCTTCAAGGGAGGCTAACTTGGATTACTGGAAATTATCACCACAGACCCACATTTACATGTGCTCTATACAGCTCCATTGTGCTTTCCCCATCTACCTCTACTCCTAGTTCCCCAAGTCACTGTATTTTGCCTGAGAACTGACCTCAGATTCATACGAGCATGCATATTCTCTCCTTAGACTATTTCTTCCCAAGCTGCCCCCATTTTGAAGTGGACAAGAATTTTATCCATACTTCATTTCCCCCAGGATAGCAAATCTATTATGTGGACAGATCTGTGCTTCAGAGGAAGACTAGCAGCATTCTGATACATTCTGTGGATAACTATCCAGAAACATGCTATACATACATATACAAACTTCGCCTGCCACTTTTTTAAAAAAAAAAAAAAACCAAGTAAAAGACGTACTTTCCTAGAAGTCAGAGAAAATCAATGCGCAGTGGTATCTCCGAAATGGCTTCCCTCAGTACTCGGTTTTAGATTCCAAATTCTTGTTTGAGACTAGAAATATTTCTCCCAACCCTGTGTCCTCAGTTTAGGTGCCCTTGCTGTTAACTATAAGGAAATGGGTTTTCTGTGATTATGTAGGATAAAACATAAATGCTAAAAGAAATCATCTACTCTCTATATGCAGGTGTTAACATTATCTGAATAACTAACGTGTTTAGGTATTTATATTCTCTAAGTTAACTCATAAGGGAGATTTTATGAAGCAGTTAATCTCTAACGATACTTCTGATCTTTTGAGTTGCACCTGACTTTCAAACCTGGGATTATAAGAGAAGTAGCACATGTGGACCAAGCCATAGGCTTCTTAGTCATGGTAGCCATTTTTGTTGCTTGGGAACTAAAACTGTGATTCCACCCCTTATACCACCACTGGCCCTTGTGGGGCTGTCCCCATAGTTCTGTGATTTGGCTATAATGGTAGACAGAAGGCTGGGCAGTAATGGCCAAACTCAGGTCAAAGGCAACAGCTGCCAATCTGACCATTTTTAGAAGATCAATAATAGTAATTTAATTCACAAAAGCAGTTACCAGCCATTGGATGTTCCATAACTGACAGGCATGGTTCAGAGACTTCATTAAGTATTAACTCTCTCATCCCTCACACAGTCTTATAAGGTACATGCTATAATTATCTTCATTTTAGAAGTAAGATAACTGAAACCCACATATGTCAAATAATTTGTCCTCTTGGACACAGCTACTTTGTTGAAGAGCAGAGATTTGATCCTAAGTAATCTGGCTCCAGACTGCATACTCTTGAGTAATGTGATATTCTATGTTAAATCATTTTATCTAGATAGCAAAATCAAAACTTATTAAAAAGGTAGGTTGCAACTTTGAGTGGTTCAGCTTAAAATGACTGAGAGTAACAGAGGAACAGGAAATTATTAGCAACAGGAAATAACTCTTCATAAAACTTTGCATAATACAAAGCAAACTTGAGTGAGGGTATGGGGCCACTCGCTCTGCCAATTAACCAAATGCCAGATGCCACCCCAAGCCCACATGATTTATTCTGGTACACCTTCCAGAAAGACTACACACCTCTCTCGTTTTGGGGCAAAACGGCTCAGCCATTGGAATATGGCACACTCCTCTGGCACAAGAATGACTTCCATCATAGAAGGACTGAGGTCTCATAGTGGTCCTACAAAATAAAGCAAAAAAGGTTTTTGTTTGTTTTATTTTAAGGCCATCTTTCCATCCTCCGAGGGCTGGTGAGTCAACTTTATCTAGGTCAATATTTGGGTCTTTACTCCAGACTCAATTCCTCTGGATAAGCTAAAGACAATTGTTTACAAAAGCTTCAGGGTGGTATTCCGCTTTTTTGGCTCTGGGCTGGCAGCAACACACCGCACAACAAGAATTAAAGTGTCTGTGGTCTGGCAGCCGTGACGGGGTAACCACTTTGGATTGCAGGTGCAACTCAACTGTGGGCTCAGAAAGGCCAGGTAAGACACTTAAGAAGTCAATACAAAAATGTTTCATCATCACAGACGTGGAAAATCATATACTTAACACCATATACACATCACCCAGATTCAACAATTTCTTAAATTGTGTCCAACTTGCTTCCTCTATTAGCTTTTTCACAAACACAAATCCCAGGCTTTGACTCAGAGCAGATGCAAATTTCCCCAATGTCTTAAAAAAATTTGTTTTTAAACAGTTGCTTTGTTAGTTTCAGGGTCCAAACAAGGTACTTACCTTGCATTTAATTCCCATGTCTCTAAGAGTAATTCCTGCCTGTAACCCCAACTATATTTTTTCATGCCAGTGACCCACTGAAATAAAGAGCCACTTGTCTTGCTCCATATTTAGGAATCTTTGTTCGCTGCCTCATTTAGATTGTTCTTTTTCCCAGCCGTAATTAATTCTAAAGTGTCTTAGTTCAAGTCTTCTGACAAAACAGTTTTGAATCCATAAGAGAGGCTAAAATTAATCTAGCACCAAGTCACCTGGAAATTTCTTGTCAGAAGTTTTCAGAACAAGCCACTTTCTCTGTGCATTCAATTATTCTAAATTTGAACTGATGAGTAACACAGGGAGGAGGGGACAGCATGGGAGAGATGGGTCAAGGGAAGCCAACAGGGGCAGGTAGATAACATGATGTCCTCTTCCAGGGGTGGGAGGCAGCACTGAGAAATAGTTTCACTGGTTCCGTTTACACAGCTGGCAAGTCTACTGGCCAAAATTAACCTGTTACTTCTAGTTCATCACACACTAAACAGTGGCATTAGCTGGCACCAAGGCCACCTCACTCAGAAATAAGGCCTCAGCGCTCTGGAGGAACAAAAACCCCATCCGAGCTCCTCCCAACCCACTGTCATATGCGCTTTAGGGGAAATGCTAAGTTAACCCCAAAGCAATTCCAGATGGAGTTGAAGAACAGGTCAAATGACTGTTTCAGCCTGTATAAACAGAGGCTTTTCTCTTTTTGAAAGATTAACCAATAAAACGGTGACACGTACTCAACTTCAGCTCTGGCTTTGTTTCAGCCTTTGATGAGTCAAGCATTAGCAACATCCCACTTATAACTATGATATGAACAGGGCCACAAAAGCCTCCAGTGGCTATACTCCAACTGACTTCCACACCATAACACCCGCATTTCATCTACCTCTGCCCATCTCCTGTCTATCCCCACCCATTTGCCTTGGAACCCCCGCCTTTGTTTTGAACTTTTTAACCTTAAGAATAACATGTATTTAAGTTAAGCTTCATGCAACGTTAATATGCACCTGATAATTATTAACTACAGTCTTAATTTCCTCTCATGCATTTTTCTTTCTCAACAAAGCTCCCTAACTACTAGCTATGTGGACTTAAACCAAATTGCCATATCTTTTTGATTCTTCATTTTCCAATCATAAAACATAGTATTCATCCACCTATTTACAAGGATGTTAGGAAGATTAAGTCAACCAAGATGCCCAGATAACTCATAGCAGCTCACAAGTGTGGGTCTGGGCTAGAGACAGAATTGGAGTCGGCACCAGATGGGGCCTCACAACACTCAACCTTGTAAGGTGCAAGCAAAGAGGGTAGCCCTGGGGGAGAAGCAAGGGCTTAAAACCATTTTTGGGCTATACTATCAAGATACCAGAAGGGAAGGTGCAGACGAGAAACACCTCTTATAGTTTGCCCAGCTATTTGTAGTTTTCTGCGTCATCAACTTAACTGTCAATACATTCAGTATTGAAACATTTAATGATCTAAACTTAAATTCCTATAAACAGCAATACACCTGCACAGCATAACAGGATGTGTCATTGTTAATGCTGAATGAAATTCTGACCAAGAGCAATGAGGTTTACAATCACAGCTGAGGGGAGTGGATGATGCCCTCAAAAGAAATTCCAGAATGAAATGTGTATAATTTTAATAGCACCAGTCCTCCTTCTGAAGGTCTCTATCAGATAAATCAGAAGTTTTATAACTCAGCAAGAAGCCTGGAATAAGCCTGCCGATCACACCCCACAAAGTGGGGACTGTTGCCCAATTAAGCCTGCCTGTTCACTTCCAAGTTCTAGCCAAAACAGCTATATTGAAATCATATTTCAATATAGAAATATGATTCTATATTAAGAATCATATTTCTCCCTCATGCTGAATTTTCTGAGTGACATGGAGAAAACACAGGAAATATAGTTTTGTCCCTGGATTCGAATGAATTTTTGTGTGGTCTTGGGCAAATTACTCAGCTTCTTTAAGTTCTTTCTTCGTGAGGTATTAGCAACATCCCTACTGCTATGGTCTGAAGTTTTGTGTCCTCCCAAAATTCCTATGCTGAAATCCAAACTCACAAGATGTGATGGTATTAGGAGATGGAGCCTTTTGGAGGTGATTAGGCAGATCTCTCATGATTGGGATCAGACCCCTTATAAAAGAGATCCCAGAGAGCTAGGTCGCCCTTCTACCACCATGTAAGGACACAATAAGAAGGTGCTATCTGTGAGAAAGTAGGTTCTCACCAGACACCAAATCTGCTGGCAACTTTTTTTGGACTTCCCAGCCTCCAGGACTGTGAGAAATTTCTGTTGCTTAGAAGCTACCCAGTCTATGGTATTCCGTTGTATCAACCTGAACAGACTAAGACACACATATACACCCTTGCTTAAATATAAAAACAAGGCTGCAAAAACCTCCAGTGGCTACCTCCCAATAGACTGCGATGCAATAACATCTCCATTTTAGATTTCAAATAATGGCCCCTCCGAAGATGTCCACATGCTAACCCTTAGAACCTATGAATATATTACTTTAGATGGCAAAGGGGAACTAAGAGAGCAAATGGAATTAAGGTTGCTAACAAGCTGACTTTAAAATAGAAAGGTTATTCTGGATTAACTAGGTGTGCGGCATGTCTTCACATGAGTCCTCACATGTGGAAGACGGAGGCAGAAGAGTCAATGTCAGCATGATGAGAGGTGAGGACTCCATTGCCATTGCTGGCTCTGAAGATGGATGAGGGCCATATGCCAAGGTGAGTGGCAAAGGCAGGGAAAGGGATTCTACCCTAAGCCTCCAGAAAGGAATGCAGCCGTGCTGACAATTTTTCTAGTTTCAGTGAGACCCACGATACACTCCAAACTTACAGAACTAAAAGATAAGGTCTGCTTCTTCCTCTTGCTTTAACCTTTAAAGCCCTCTAGCTAGGCAAGGGGACTAATTTTTATCTCCCCATAGCTTGGGATCCTACTGGAAAACACGGATTTCAGGGACTGGCTTATCTACTGGCTTTACCACTCACTAGCTGTGTGCCTCTGGGAAAGTCACTCTCGTCTCTCTGCACCTCAGTTATATCAGTTTCCTTAAACGGGAGTAATCCCACTTACCTTATAAAGTCCCCGTGAAAACTGAATGAGACAACATGAAGCAAGTGCTTGGCACTTGTCACTATCATTTATGGAAAATATGCTTCTAAACATTTCTTCTGCCAATCCCAAAGTATGACATATTGATGGGCCTCAAATCAAGGGTATCCAACAAATTGCTTAAGGTTGTCAAGCAGGGATATGTGATAAGAAAAGCTAGTAGACAAATAAAAAAAAACAGCCTATGGAAAAGTAAAGGAGACAAAATGATGTGTGCTGGCAGGAAAAATGAGTTCAAGAGAGTGAAAGGAAGAACACTGGCACTTTCAAAGAGAGGGAGAAAAGCCTAGAAATAGACTGACTGGTAGGTTGTTTCTTGAATCAAGACTCTTACATTGGCTTGAAGATAGCTGTTAGTTAATACGTTTCCTTTGAGGAAATGTGGTGTTGCAAACAAGCTGAGGGCAAACACCCATCCCCTGGCAGAAGCAAACACAATCATCGACCTCTGAGGACATTTCAGAATACGGTCTGTATCCACAACAAGCCCCAACATGCAGAATCGTGAGTCAATTAATTTACTGGCAGAGCAGAATAACGGCTGCTCATAAGGAGGACGGTTTAGGGGAAGTGAATCTACCCATCATTTAAAATATATCCCAAGAATCAAACAGCAGCGTGAATAGGCAGTCATGAGAAAAAATTCTGACAGAAACATCAGACTAAGAAGTGGAACAATTCTGTCTCTATAACCAGAAGGAAGTGAGGCTCACACATGTAATCCCAGCACTTTAGGAGGCCAAGGTGGGTGGAACCCTTGAGTTTAGATGTTCAAGATCAGCCCAGGCAACATAGTGAAACCCTGTCTCTACAAAAACATACAAAAAATTAGCTGGGTATGGTGTCACACCCTTGTAGTCCCAGCTACTTGGGGGGCTGAGGTGGCAAGATCACCTGAGCCTGGGAGGTAAAGGCTGCAGTGAGCTGTGGCGCCACTGTACTCCAGCTTGGGCGAGAGTGAGATCTTGTCTCAAAAAAAAGAGAAGTGAAAACTTATGAATTTGGACCAATATCACTAAGATCCTCCCACTGTTCTGGTATCAAGAGTGCCCCTGAGTGCTTGTGGTGGCATGAAAAAGGAGGAAAACCAATGGATGTTTATATCCCAGTCAAGGAAGGCTGCTCAATAAACAGGTACCATAGTTTCCCCTTATTTTCTATTATATTTCATGAGATCATGCTAAACAATAGCACAAAAATAAAAATCCTCACTCTACATAGGTGGTGACAACAACCTCTTTGGGCCTCAGTTTTCTCACCTTTTGTAAAAGGGAAGGATAAGGTAGATAGAAGATGTCTTCTAGAGCTGTGATAATAAGCAGTGCCAGAAACATAGTAAGGGCCTAAGTTTCTTCAAGTATAAACTGGAATAATGACTGCTGTATGCCGTAAGTGGGATTAACTGATTGTGACACCTAATAGGAACTCAAAAACTGGTAGTGTAGGATTTTTAATAAAAGGATGTATGATGGGAAGTTAATAACACAACTAGGTTATGGAACAGAACGTAAGAATGAACCTCATCCAGGGGAATAGTGGACACCACTTCAAGGACAGCTACAGACAAGAGGATGACAAAGAACAGGGACGCAAGTAACTGGGGAAAGGGAAGGTGAAGGAAGGTGAAGAGTTTATGCTTAAGTTTCTGTCTTCTCTATAAAGGTGGAGGTGACATTCTCAGCTAAAGAGTGAGGGAAATGAGTAAGAAGAAGTAAGAACAGTAAGGGTTAAAAACAGCTTACTATTTTTAGCAATGAGAGAAAGAGCTAAACAAAGGCTTCTTGCGTAACTCTTTACCATAAAACGCTTTCTAGTCATCAAGAGGCAGAAAGAGAATGATCAAATACTTGACATCAGAGCATACTCCCAACCTCAGGGCCCAGACACGGGCCTTTATGCTATGACATAAAGTTCTAGGGGAAGCCCAAGGCAGGGCTGGTCTCTGGGAGAAGGAAACAGACTGACATAACTGATCCCTCAGCACTGTGTTTATAGCGGGACTTTCCTGATGAGTAAGAATGCGTGACAAAAGCAAAGTCGAACCTCTCCCAGTTCTACCAAGAAAATAAGTTGAAGAAATAATCTGAAGAGGGGAGGATACCAGAACTTTTAGGAATCAATTCAACACCCTCATTTAGCAGATGAGGACACTAAGTGACAAAGGAATTTCACGGCACAGCCAGGAAAGAATTCTGGATGTCCTCACTTCTAAGCTGAGATTCTTCCACTGCATTCTTTGAGAAGGCATAACCCAAACACAGGCCTTAGGCACAACAGGCCAATATGTTATTAGCCACATTTTATAGAAACTGTTTAGCACCGGGAATCACACTCTGCTTCCTTTAATATTCAGTTTTTGGTCATATTTTTCTCATTGTAAAAAAAAAAAAAATCAATATCTGCAAAACATTCCTGATAAAGAAGACTATTAAAAAAGAAATCTCATCCTTCTCCTTACTGATATGTTTGCAAGTTTCACCTTGAGATATTTCTGACAGTGATAGCAGTTGAGCAAGTCCTACTCATCTGATCCTTTTCTAAAAAATATGTAGCTGGGTGCAGTGGCTCATGCCTATAATCCCAGCACTTTGGGGAGGCCAAAGCAGGAAGACTGCTTGAGGCCAGGAGTTTGAAACCAGCCTGGGCAACATAGTGAGACCCCATCTCCTTAAAAAAAAAAAATTACCAAGCACAGTGGCAGATTCCTGTAATCCTAGCTACTAGACGGGCTGAGGATTGCTTAAGCCCAGGAGGTAGAGGCTACAGTGAGCTGCGATCAGGCCACTGCACTCTACCCCGGGCAACAGAGAAAGATCCTATCTAAAAAAACAACAAAAAAATACAATGTGGGCATCTTTTCAAATAGTTTATAGATCTAGTTGTTTTTCTTAGATTTGCATAATAAATATGGTGTACTGATTTCCTACAATCATCAGGATTAATGGTAAAGAGAAAGAAGAGCAACTGTAGAAATTGCTGGAATCCCCTGTCCATGTATCTTTAATGGCATGGACAGTTAGTAGTTGGGGGTGAAAGAAAGGCCATATCATCAGTTCTGCCATACATACAAATGAATGTGCAAAGGTATCTAACAAGAACTGGGCTAGAAAATGGAGGGCCCATGTACCACAAGTACAGGAGGAGACAACAAAATGCCTCATGACTTGAATAAAGCAGCTGGCAGGGAAACAGTCTTGCTTTGCTCCAATGGCAAAAATCTCATTAAAAACCAATCCTGTGCACCACTTTATAATGCATCATCGAAGTCGAGCTTTACAAGTCCGGTGGGTGTGGGAGGCAGGAAAGAGTCATGCCTTTCTTCTCCATGGCTGATGAATAAAAACTAAGCAAAGGCCCAGTGATGCATAGTCATGCTTCTACATTTCTCTAAGTCTCATTTACTTTGACTCTTTTATGAGGTCTTTTTTCCCCTATTAATAGAAAAACTTGCTTCAGTTTCCCATAAGTGACTCAGTGAGAGCCAGGTGTGCATACATACAAGGGTGTGTACCATAGGAGAGAAGTTCCAAAATTATGAATCTGGGAGTACATATCTTATGAGAGCCTTTTAATGTATAAACAGCCTGATGACATTCTTTTAGGACAGACTAAAGGTCAAATACTTTCCCCAGTTCAAACTGACTGTTTAATCGCTGCAAAGAAGTGGAACAAATCCCACTCCTAACCATCTTTTACCCTCAGTGGCCAAATGACTTGTGGCTCTAACAATGGGGACCTTGTACAAGTTAAAAGAAATGGATTAATCAAACACAATCCAGCAGGAGGCATAGGCACTGAAGAAACCTACTGCAGACAAGCCTCCTAGACAAAGTTCTTGGTATAGATTCTGATTTTCCTATTTTTAATTTTTGGTTTGGGAAGAACACTACACACAGAGCCCAGGGCCTATGGCAAGGAAGCATCAGGAAACTCGTCCCTGTGCAACAAAAACGGGAAAATGAAAAATATAACACATTCTTTTGGAATTTAAGTTCTAGACCAAGATATATGTTGCTTTCTATGGATGCTCTACTCACAAATGAAAGATGATTATTTTCACTTTAATTGCTATGGAATTTACTTGAATGAGAAAGACACAAAGACTGACTGCACATACCCAAACATACTTGAACCCACTGCACTCTCTACCTCTTTTTCCAGGGCAGTCACACCCAGGGCTCCCCTTTTCTTATGCCCAGGCTTTTTAACTTCATCAGCTGTAATGTAGCATGAGAGAGAGAAGAAAAAAAAAGATTTTCAGATAAGAATGACATTTTTCTTAAAAGAGCTTCCAGCATTGTCAGAGTCCTTCAAAAGTATATTTCATTATTAGAGAAGAAATCTAATGTTTCTAAAAACAACCCTAAAAATCAGCCACATGTCTTTCTTAAATCTGAGGTTGGTCCCCCCGCCCTGCTCATGCTGGCACTGAAGGAAAAGAAAATGATGTGCTTTAGCTTGGCCATCTATAAAATAAGAATAGCCGTATTATTAAACAATCTCGCTAGCCTTTGAAGAACACTTTAGGATGAGGATTTTTTTTTTTTTCTGAGACAACGTGCTGACAAACTTACGGCAATAGGCCAATGTGTGTGGTTCTAGGTAAGTCCCTGGAGAGAATACACGGGCAGTGTAGGGAAAAGGAGCCTGGCCAGGCACAGTGGCTCACACTTGCAGTGAGCCGAGATTGCATTACTGCAGTCTAGCCTGGGCAACAGAGTGGGACTGTCTCAAAAAAACAAACAAACAAAAAAAAAAAACAACAAAAGAATGAGAGAGAGAGATGGTGCAATTCAGCCCTCCATTGGGAAGAAAGAACCAACGTGTAGTGGGTAAAGTGATTTGCACAGGGCCAAACAGAGTCAAGATGAAACCTCCTGATTCAATGCTCCTGCCCCAGCTGCCCTGGAATTCTATAATCCACGGGGTGGCTTTACAGGATGTTACAATCCTGTTAAACAAGTTGGGGCTGTGGGTATGACTCTGGGAAACCCCAGGCTAAAAATGGCACAGCCTATTTGTATCTGATGCCATCAGCAAGTGGAGGTAGGAGATGCCCGTCTCAATACACCAAGATTCACTTTACTAAGAAATGTGCTATCAGTAAAACACATAGAGGGCATTAACCACAAGGCATCTTCTGCTATGAGATGTTCAAACACATAATGAATGATATATATGCAAGGCATCTTCTGCTATGAGATGTTCAAACACATAATGAATGATATATGTGCTCAAGCCTGGTTAACTGGAACCCACTCAGCTCAATCAAAGGCAGCAGCACTTAAAAGATGCATCCAACAGCAATATGATGTTAGCCACCTACATAGTTTTAAAATTTCTAGTGGTCACTGAAAAAGTAAAAGAGAAACAGGTAAAATTAACTTTAAAATCTTGTCTAACCTAATATATTCAAAACGTTATCACCCCAAATAAGTAATCAATGTAAAAATTGAGATTTCATGCTAAATTATATTCTCTTAGGGATCCTTCTTTTTTTTTGAGATGGAGTTTCACTCTTGTTGCCTAGGCTGGAGTGCAATGGAGCAATCTCGGTTCACTGTAACCTCTGCCTCCTGGGTTCAAGCAATTCTCCTGCCTCAGCCTTCCGAGTAGCTGGGATTACAGGTGCTCACCACACCTGGCTACTTTTTTTTTGTATTTTTAGTAAAGACGGGGTTTCACCATGTTGACCAGGCTGGTCTCGAACTCCTGACCTCAGGTGATCTGCCTGCCTCAGCCTCCCAAAATGTTGGGATTACAGGCGTGAGCCACTGCACCCTGCCAGGGATCCTTCTTTTAACAGATTCTTTCCTCCTGTTGTTGTAAAGTAGTGTCAACTAGTGGACCCTCCAGCCAGTATGCACACACTCTCAATAATGGCACTCAGTTACTGAGAAGGTTAACACATGCAAGATCCCACAAAAGGCACTTATTAGAGACTTTGAACTTCCAAGGAAACATTAAGAGGGCAGGTTATCCATATGTCTCATAAACAGAAAAATAGTAGAAGATCTTAAGGTTACCTGGCTAAGATAGAATGAAACCAGATCTGATGGCAATACCTGTTTTCTTTCTAGTCTCCATCTTCTGACCCAACTGCTTTCTTGAAAGAGCCAGTATGTGAAACATCTACATTTAAGACATGTGAGTAAAAGATCTGGGAAATGCAACAGCGTATAGTCATACTGTTTAAGTAACAGATTAACCCAAGGCTCAGTGCCCAATTCAGACTTTACAGTATCATCTGTAATACTTTATACATCTGGATCATCCTGAATATGGAGTTTTGTATTCCACTCTATTTAGCAATCATATTATAATCATTTTCTTAAACTATTACCTCCAAACACATGGACGTTGACAGCCATTGAGATTTTGATCAAGATGTCTCCAAAACACAAACTCCAGCCTATCTCTCTATTCAAATGACTATGTTCAAGCCCTCAAAAATTACTGACAGAGCAAAGATGGGCCAGGAACTGTTGTGGGTGTTGGTGATATGGTGCAAACTGGGCAGAAAGTGACTTTGATCTCACATGGCTTAGAGGGAAACAGGTCACAAATATATAATGTCAGGTATAAATACATTATAAGGACATAACTTGGGGTGAGAAATATGTAACCATTTTAGTCTAACCCCATTATTTATTAGGTTGAACCACATGAAACTGCTGATATTCAACCATTTCTGACCTACAGAATGGGCAATTTCAAAACAGTTTCATTCCATCAGGAAACAACCAAGAATGCTTCTGATAGACTGGAAATTATAATGAATCCCTGAAAGGCAGAAGCCACAGTGGCCTGGACTGGACAACCCTCTCTCCCATAGCAGAAGCTCTAGGAGCAGGCTGTGAGTACAGTAAGCTCAGAGATAACTGATGGGAGGAGCAGCATGGACTGAGGTGGTAGGCAGGGTGATTGGATGGGGGATTGTGGAAGGATCCCCAAATGATTTAACTCTGCGCTACTCTCCACTCTCCATCCAGCCCAGGAGGCTCCTGTCTTCACCCAGAGCATTCTGAGAGGCAATTATTTCTACCAGGAATAGGGGAGGGGGTGGCCCTAGTACAGCTGCCCCTAATCTTTTTGGCACCGGGGACTGATTTCATGGAAGATAATTTTTCCACAGAGAGGGTCAGAGGGGATGGTTTCAGGATGAAACTCTTCCACCTCAGATCATCAGGCATTAGTTAGATTTTCATAAGGAGTGCACAACACAGATCCCTTCCACGTGCAGTTCACAATTGGGTTCCTGCTCCTATGAGACTCTAATGCTGCTGCTGATCTGACAGGATGGGGAGCTCAGGTGGTAATGCTCGCTCTCGCCCCACGGCTCACCTTCTTCTGTGCAGCCCGGTTCCTAACAAGCCACAGGGGTGGGGGATCCCTGACCTAGAGACCACCACTTTCCCTTGTGATTTCAACTACCTCTAAATGCAGAAAAGGTCCAAAAATTTGGCAGTCTATTATTGTTGTTTTTTTGGGGGGGTAAAGGAACAATATATATTACTTGTGCAGTTAAATAATAATAATAATAATAATAATAATAATAATAATAATAAACAAAACCCCAGCACCTCTGGCACCTGATCGATCGCATTATGAAGGGACAACTGGACATCACATGCCTTCCGACAGGATGCAGAAGGAAGGATCCTTGCCAAGAATTCAAACCTGGTTCTGATCAGGCCACCAGAACTAAATCCAGTTTATAGCAAACACAGGGGCCGGGAGAAGACACTAAATGACACTTGATACAATTAGTAACATCCAGAATGTGGATAGGCAGTAAAAGGAAAAGGAAAAAAGAAGGTGGAATCTTCCAGACTAGAAGGCTTATTAAGCTTATGTGTGTAATGAGTGGACCCTTATTTGAACAAACCAACTATTAAAAAAAAAGTTCATGAGACAATAGAGAGAACTTCCTAGATATCTAATACTAAGGAAATACTAATTTATACTCTCTTTAAAAAAAAAAAAAAAGAAAATGTTCTCTTGAAGCTAGGAATTAGGAACTTAGAGAGTCCCTGATTATTATTCTTTTGTGTATATGTTTAAAAATTCCCATAATATAAAGAGACAGCCTATAGATAGGAAAAAAATGTTTACAAACCATACCTCGGATAAGGGGTTAATACCCAAAATACGTAAGGAAACTAAATGAAAGAAAGTTCTAAAAACACAACCTGATTAAAAAAATAGGCAAAGGACTTGAATAGACATTCCTCAAAAGAAGACACATAAATGGACAACAGCTGTATGAAAAATGCTCAACATCACTAATCATCAAGAAAATGCAAATAAAAACCACAATAAGATATCACCTCACACCTGAATGGCTTTTTTGCTGTCACCCAGGCTGGAGTGTAGTGGTGCATTCATGAATCATTCTAGCCTTGACCTCCCAGGCTCAAGCGATTCTCCCACCTCAGTCTCTTAAGTATCTGGGACAATGGCTGTATATCAACACACATGGCTAATTTTTGTTTTATTTTTTACAGAGACAAGGTCTCACTATGTTGCCCAAGCTGGTCTCAAACTTCTGGGCTCAAGCAATCCTCTTGCTTCAACCTCTCAAAGTGCTAGGATTACAGGCGTGAACCACTGTGCCAGGCCACAATGGCCATTATCAAAATGACAAAACAAAGTAAGTGTTGATGAGGATGTGACAAAAACAGAACCCTTGTATACTGCTGGTAGGAATATAAATTAATACAGCCATTACTAAAATTCCCCAAAAAACTGAAAATATCAACTACCACATGATCCAAGAATCCCATCTCAGAGTGTATAAGGAAATGAAATTTTACGTCAAGAAAGACATCAGCACTTCCATGGTCCCTGCAGCATTATTCACAATAGCCAAGATATGGAAGCAACATAAACGTCCATCAACAGATGAACAGATAAAGAAAATGTGGGAGAGGCGGTTCCAAGATGGCCTAATAGGAACAGCTCCAGTCTACAGCTCCCAGCATGAGCAATGCAGAAGACAGGTGATTTCTGTATTTCCAACTTAGGTACCGGGTTCATCTCACTGGGGCTTGTCGGACAGTGGGTGCCGGAGAGCGGGTGCAGCCCATCGAGTGTGAGCCAAAGCAGGGTGAGGCATCGCCTCACCTAGGAAGCGTAAGGGGTCAAGGAATTCCCTTTCCTAGCAAAGGGAAGGGGTGACAGACGGCACCTGGAAAATCGGGTCACTGCCACCCTAATACTGTGCTTTTCCAACTGTCTTAGCAAACGGCACACCAGGAGATTATATCCCGTGCATAGCTCGGAGGGTCCCACGCCCACAGAGCCTCGCTTATTGCTAGCACAGCAGCCTGAGATCAAACTGCAAGGCGGCGGCAAGGCTGGGGGATGGGCGCCCACCACTGCTGAGGCTTGAGTAGGTAAACAAAGTGGCTGGGAAGCTCTAACTGGGTGGAGCCCACCACAGCTCAAGGAGGCCTGCCTGCCTCTGTAGACTCCAACTCTGGGGGCAGGGCATAGCCAAACAAAAGGCAGCAGAAACCTCTGCAGACTTAAATGTCCCTGTCTGACAGCTTTGAAGAGAGTAGTGGTTCTCCCAGCACAGAGTTTGAGATCTGAGAATGGACAGACTGCCTCCTCAGGTGGGTCCCTGAACCCCGAGTAGGCTAACTGTGAGGCACCCCCCAGTAGGGCAGACTGACACCTCACACGGCTGGGTACCCCTCTGAGACGAAGCTTCCAGAGGAACAATCAGGCAGGAACATTTGCTGTTCAGCAACATTCGCCGTTCTGCAGCCTCCACTGCTGATATCCAGGCAAACAGGGTCTGGAGTGGACCTCCAGCAAACTCCAACAGACCTGCAGCTGAGGGTCCTGACTGTTAGAAGGAAAACTAACAAACAGAAAGGACATCCACACCAAAACCACATCTGTATGTCACCATCATCAAAGACCAAAGGTAGATAAAACCACAAAGATGGGGAAAAAATAGGGCAGAAAAGCTGAAAATTCTAAAAATCAGAGCACCTCTCCCCCTCCAAAGGAACACAGCTCCTCGCCAGCAATGGAACAAAGCTGGATGGAGAATGACTGACGAGTTGAGAGAAGGCTTCAGACAATCAAACTTCTCTGAGCTAAAGAAGGAAATTCGAACCCAATGCAAAGAAGCTAAAAACCTTGAAAAAAGATTAGACGAATGGCTAACTAGAATAACCAGTGTAGAGAAGTCCTTAAATGACCTGATGGAGCTGAAAACCATAGTACGAGAACTACGTGACGAATGCACAAGCCTCAGTAGCCGATTCCATCAACTGGAAGAAAGGGTATCAGTGATTGAAGATCAGATGAATGAAATGAAGCGAGAAGTTTAGAGAAAAAAGAGTAAAAAGAAATGAACGAAGCCTCCAAGAAATATGGGACTATGTGAAAAGACCAAATCTACATCTGATTGGTGTACCGGAAAGTGACAGAGAGAATGGAACCAAGTTGGAAAACAGTCTGCAGGATATTATCCAGGAGAACTTCCCCAATCTAGCAAGGCAGGCCAACATTCAAACTCAGGAAATACAGAGAACGCCACAAAGATACTCCTCGAGAAGAGCAACTCCAAGACACATAATTGTCAGATTCACCAAAGTTGAAATGAAGGAAAAAATGTTAAGGACAGCCAGAGAGAAAGGTCGGGTTACCCACAAGGGAAGCCCATCAGACTAAAAGCAGATCTCTCGGCAGAAACTCTACAAGCCAGAAGAGAGTGGGGGCCAATATTCAACATTCTTAAAGAAAAGAATTTTCAACCCAGAATTTCATATCCAGCCAAACTAAGCTTCATAAGAGAAGGAGAAATAAAATCCTTTACAGACAAGCAAATGCTGAGGATTTTGTCACCACCATGCCTGCCCTAAAAGAGCTCCTGGAGGAAAGGAACAACTGGTACCAGCCACTGCAAAAACATGCCAAAATATAAAGACCATCGATGCTAGGAAGAAACTGCATCAACTAACGACCAAAATAACCAGCTAACATCATAGTGACAGGATCAAATTCACACATAACAATATTAACCTTAAATGTAAATGGGCTAAATGCTCCAATTAAAAGACACAGACTGGCAAATTGGATAAAGAGTCAAGACCCATCAGTGTGCTGTATTCAGGAGACCCAACTCACGTGCAGAGACACACATAGGCTCAAAATAAAGGGATGGAGGAAGATCTACCAAGCAAATGGAAAACAAAAAAAGGCAGTCGTTGCAATCCTAGTCTCTGATAAAACAGACTTTAAACCAACAAAGATCAAAAGAGACAAAGAAGGCCATTACATAATGGTAAAGGGATCAATTCAACAAGAAGAGCCAACTATCCTAAATCTATATGCACCCAATACAGGAGCCCAGATTCATAAAGCAAGTCCTTAGAGATCTACAAAGAGACTTAGACTCCCACACAATAATAATGGGAGACTTTAACACCCCACTGTCAACATTAGACAGATCAACGAGACAGAAAGTTAACAAGGATATCCAGGAATTGAATTCAGCTCTGCACCAAGCGGACCTAACAGACATCTACAGAACTCTCCACCCCAAATCAACAGAATATACATTCTTCTCGGCACCACATCACACTTATTCCAAAATTGACCACATAGTTGGAAGTAAAGCACTCCTCAGCAAATGTAAAAGAACAGAAATTATAACAAACTATCTCTCAGACCACAGTGCAATCAAACTAGAACTCAGGATTAAGAAACTCACCCAAAACTGCTCAACTACATGGAAATTGAAGAACCTGCTCCTGAATGACTACTGGGTACATAACAAAACGAAGGCAGAAATAAAGATGTTCTTTGAAACCAATGAGAACAAATACACAACATACCAGAATCTCTGGGACACATTTAAAGCAGTGTGTAGAGGGAAATTTATAGCACTAAATGCCCACAAGAGAAAGCAAGAGAGATCTAAAATTGACACCCTAACATCACAATGAAAAGAACTAGAGAAGCAAGAGCAAACACATTCAAAAGCTAGCAGAAGACAAGAAATAACTAAGATCAGAGAAGAACTGAAGGAGATAGAGACACAAAAAACCCATCAAAAAATCAATGAATCCAGGAGTTGGTTTTCTGAAAGGATCAACAAAATTGATAGACCACTAGCAAGACTAATAAAGAAGAAAAGAGAGAAGAATCAAATAGATGCAATAAAAAATGATAAAGGGGATATCACCACCGATCCCACAGAAATACAAACTACCATCAGAGCATACTATAAACACTTCTATGCAAATAAACTAGAAAATCTAGAAGAAATGGATAAATTCCTGGACACACACACCCTCCCAAGACTAAACCAGGAAGAAATTGAATCCCTGAATAGACCAATAACAAACAGGCTCTGAAGTTGAGGCAATAATTAATAGCCTACCAACCAAAAAAAGTCCAGGACCAGATGGATTCACAGCCGAATTCTACCAGAGGTACAAGGAGGAGCTGGTACCATTCCTTCTGAAACTATTCCAATCAATAAAAAAAGAGGGAATCCTCCCTAACTCATTTTATGAGGCCAGCATCATCCTGATACCAAAGCCTGGCAGAGACACAACCAAAAAAGACAATTTTAGACCAATATCCCTGATGAACATCGATGCAAAAATCCTCAATAAAATACTGGCAAACTGAATCCAGCAGCACATCAAAAAGCTTATCCACCATCATCAAGTGGGCTTCATCCCTGGGATGCAAGGCTGGTTCAACATACGCAAATCAATAAACATAATCCAGCATATAAACAGAACCAAAGACAAAAACTACATGATTATCTCAATAGATGCAGAATAGGCCTTTGACAAAATTCAACAGCCCTTCATGCTAAAAACTCTCAATAAGTTAGGTATTGATGGGACGTAGCTCAAAATAATAAGAGCTATTTATGACAACCCCACAGCCAATATCATACTGAATGGGCAAAAACTGGAAGCATTCCCTTTGAAAACTGGCACAAGACAGGGATGCCCTCTCTCACCACTCCTATTCAACACAGTGCTGGAAGTTCTGGCCAGGGCAATCAGGCAGGAGAAAGATGTAAAGGGTATTCAATTAGGAAAAGAGTAATCAAATTGTCCTTGTTTGCAGATGACATGACTGTATATTTAGAAAACCCCATCGTCTCAGCCCAAAATCTCCTTAAGATGAAAAGCAACTTCAGCAAAGTCTCAGGACACAAAATCAATGTGCAAAAATCACAAGCATTCTTATACACCAATAACAGACAAACAGAGAGCCAAATCTTGAGTGAACTCACATTCACAATTGCTTCAAAGAGAATAAAATACCTAGGAATCCAACTTACAAGGGTTGTGAAGGACCTCTTCAAGGAGAACTACAAACCACTGCTCAATGAAATAAAAGAGGATACAAACAAATGGAAGAACATTCCATGCTCATGGATAGGTAGAATCAATATCATGAAAATGGCCATAGGTAATTTATAGATTCAGTGCCATCCCCATCAAGCTACCAATGGCTTTCTTCACAGAATTGGGAAAAACTACTTTAAAGTTCATATGGAACCATGAACATTGCCAAGACAATCCTAAGCCAAAAGAACAAAGCTGGAGGCATCTCACTACCTGACTTCAAACTACACTACAAGGCTACAGTCACCAAAACAGCGTGGTACTGGTACCAAAACAGATATAGACCAATGGAACAGAACAGAGCCCTCAGAAATAATACCACACATCTACAAGCATCTGATCTGTGACAAACCTGACAAAAACAAGAAATGGGGAAAGGATTCCCTATTTCATAAATGGTGCTGGGAAAACTGGCTAGCCATGTGTAGAAAGCTGAAACTGGATCCTTTCTTTACACCTTATACAAAAATTAATTCAAGATAGATTAAAGACTTAAATGTTAGACCTAAAACCATAAAAACCCTAGAAGAAAACCTAGGCAATACCATTCAGGACATAGGCATGGGGAAGGACTTCATGACTAAAACACCAAAAGCAATGGCAACAAAAGCCAAAATTGACAAATGGGATCTAATTAAACTAAAGAGCTTCTGCACAGCAAAAGAAACTACCATCAGAGTGAACAGGCAACCTACAGAATGGGAGAAAATTTTTGCAACCTACGCATCTGACTAAGGGCTAATATCCAGAATCTACAAAGAACTCAAACAAAGTTACAAGAAAAAAATCAAACAACCCCATCAAAATGTGGGCAAAAGATATGAACAGACACTTCTCAATAGAAGACATTTATGCAGCCAAAAGACACATGAAAAAATGCTCATCATCACTGGCCATCAGAGAAATGCAAATCAAAACCACAATGAGATACCATCTCACACCAGTTAGAATGGTGATCATTAAAATGTCAGGAAACAACAGGTGCTGGAGAGGATGTGGAGAAATAGGAACACTTTTACACTGCTGGTGGGAAGGTGAACTAGTTCAACCATTGTGGAAGACAGTGTGGCGATTTCTCATGGATCTAGAACTAGAAATACCATTTGACCCAGCCATCCCATTACTGGGTATATACCCAAAGGATTATAAATCATGCTGCTATAAAGGCACATGCACACGTATGTTTATTGCGGCACTATTCACAATAGCAAAGACTTGGAACCAACCCAAATGTCCATCAATGATAGACTGGATTAAGAAAATGTGGCACATATACACCATGGAATACTACGCAGCCATAAAAAGGGATTAGTTCCTGTCCTTTGTAGGGACATGGATGAAGCTGGAAACCATCATTCTCAGCAAAGTATCCCAAGAACAAAAAACCAAACTCCGCATGTTCTGACTCATAGGTGGGAACTGAACAATGAGAACACTTGGACATAGGAAGGGGAACATCACACACCAGGGCCTCTTGTGGGGTTGGGGGAGTGGGGAGGGAAAGCATCAGGAGATATACCCAATGTAAATGACGAGTTAATGGGTGCAGCACACCAACATGGCACATGTACACATATGTAACAAACCTGCACGTTGTGCACATGTACCCTAGAACTTAAAAGTACAATTAAAAAAAAAAAAAAGAAAATGTGGTATATATACACAACAGAATACCATTTAGCCTTAAAAGAGAACGCAACTCTGTCAATTGCCACAACATGGGTGAACCTGGACATTATGTTAAGTGAAATAAACCAGCCATGGAAAGACAAATACTGCATGATCTCACCTATATGTGGAATCTAACTAAGTCAAACTCATAGAAGTAAAGAGTAGAAAGGTTACCAGGGGCTGGGGTTTGGGGAGACGTTGATCAAAGCACAAAATTTCAGTTAGACAGGAGGAATAAGTTTTTGAGATTATACTGCATGGTGATTATAGCTAATGACAACGTATTATGTATTTCAAAATTGTTAAAGTAAAAATCAAATGTTCTCACCACTAAAGATGATATGTGGGGTAATATGTTAATTAGCTTTGCTAATCATTGTACAATGCATACATATATCAAAATATAATGTTATACCTCATATATACATTTATCATTTGTCAATTAAAATTAAAAAACAAAAACTCACAATGAAAAGCTTAACACAGGCTGGGTGCAGTGGCTCACGCCTGTAATCCCAGCACTTTGCGCTTTGGGAGGCGGAGGCGGGTGATCTCCTGATTCAAGACCAGCCTGACCAATATGACGAAACTCCATCTCTACTAAAAATACAAAAATTAGCTGGGCATTGTGGCATGTGCCTGTAGTCCCAGCTACTCGGGAGGCTAAGACAGAAGCATTGCTTGAACCTGGGAGGCGGAGGTTTCAGTGAGCTGAGTTCATGCCACTGCACTCCAGCCTGGGAGACAGAGTGAGGCTCCGTCTCCAAAAAAAAAAAAAAAAAAAAAAAAAAAGCAAGCGAGTCTGTGGCACTGCCCTCCCAGTTGCCCTGCCGGTTCCCACGCGTCGTCCATTTGAGCTGAAAATGACCAGCTACAATAGCCTAAAGCATTTTGTATGACTGCTTACCTGTCAATGAACTGATCAATAATGACAATATCGCCGGGCTGAATCTCCTCCCTCAAGGAGCCACAAGCTGTGGTCACTATGACATGTGTACAGCCCTCTTCCTTCAAAGCCCAGATGTTCGCCTGGTAGTTGACCTTTGAAGGCATGATGGTGTGCTGCCTTCCATGCCTATGGAAGGAGAGAAGAAATTGTTAACCCGTGATGAGTACACCACCAACTGTTTTCTCCTAGAGTCTAGAAAAAATTAAGTGATTCTCTAGCAATGACCACAGACTAACACAGGGGGTCTCCTAGAACCCAGTCCAGTGAGCAACTAAAACTAAAATTTAGGTTCACTGGATTCTGAGAAGCCACTCCTGTTTCAAATATGTAGAGTGGCAGACAGACCCTAGTGAGGACCCCACTGTCATGCTCTGTATAAAGGATCAGTGAACCTGGGACTTGCATTCAGCCAATAGAAAAATGGTAAACGTGCTATAAGTCACTCCCACGATTAGGCTCTACCTTGCAAGCATGCATAGGAGATTCTCCTGCCGGACTCCTGCATGCTTGCAAGGTACAGCTTAACCATGGAGGTGACTTCTAGCACCTTTGCCATATCCTAATAGCAAGAAGCAAGCTGCAGTCAAGTGAACAGCCTGTGGAGCAGGCCACACGGCAGGGAATGTGAACCACCTCTAGGAGCCAAAGGCCTCCGCCCTGTAACTTCTAGGGAGTGAATTCTCCTACAACTACACGAGCTTGAACAAGGACCTCAAGCTCCAGATGGGGACTCAGTCCTTGAATATGCCTTGTGGGGCCTTGTGCAACCCCAAGCAGAGGACTGGCTAAGCTGTGCCAGACTTCTGACCAACAGGAACTAGGAGATGATGTGTGCTATTTTAAGCTGCTAAATTTGTGGTAATTTGTTACACAACAGTAGAGAACTCATACATATATCTTGACTAACTTCTAACAATGGGATAAAAATGACTTGGCCTCCTCTGTAATATGGAGCAGCACCAGCCTCCTTAAGGAAACAACAGCACAGACACAAGTAACCCACTTCAGAAGCCCTAAGCCTACTTCCCACAGACATATAACTACTACCAGCAAGAGGTCATTAATGATGCATTGTTTTTCTTTATCTTTATAAGAAGGGGGAAAAAAATGAACAAAACATTTCTTCTTGCAGTTAGAACTAAAACCAGAGCTTTGATTTTAGTCATCTGATCTACTTTCCCAATGTAAGGGGCAAGAGCATGAGATCTTTGATCTCCTAAGTCAATATAACTTAACCAAAAATAAAACATTGTAAATAAAGGTTACTAAGATGTTCTGATTCTGCCAACATATAAAAGCTCAGACCTGTATCTTTACTCTTTCCAGAATTTAAGTTAAATTTAAATTATCCTTTAGTAGTAACATCCAAAAAGCTTAAAATACCATACCTTGCAAGGAGGACGCAATCAACATTTTTTATCTTCCCCAAAATTAAGGCATCAGATGGCTGCATGCAATGAAAAAATGACATTTAACTCAGTGATTTAAAAACAGGTATGTAAATTATAATTGTTCAACCACAACAGGACTCATGGAATCTGAAGAGTCTGAGGATACAACTTAGAGAAGAGGCAAGATCTGATTATCAATATAATCATTTAATCAATTACTTATTGATCCCTCTGCAGGCATAGATTCACAGGACTCAAGGTTACCATGGGCACCTGTGTAGGTACCATTTAGTCAGATCTATTTGTAACGAGTACCCCAGGGAACTCTGATGGTAGACTGGTCAAATTTAGATGTGTCAAGGTTATTGGGCAGGTTTGAGAACAGGTGTGAAGGTGAAAGGCAGAAAGGATAACAAGCCACCATCATGACACTAAGAATTCAGCACTGGAAATGTCTGCTTGTGTTAACCAGGTCTAAGATGATCATGGAAATGACTTGAGGTAACAAAGGCTGGAAAGACCCTTAGAACCGAGGGGTTTAAGAAAATGAACCAGGATGACTGCAGGACTGGGAGCACACAAGGTCAACCTAAGAATTTAGCTGAAAAGGAGGGTTTGGTTGGGACAGCCAGATAGAGAGATCTTACAGATGGACCAGAGGACGTAGCAATATGGAATTAGGAGAATGCAGACACCCTCACCCCGGCCTAGGCTGAGTGACATGGGCTTGGAGAACAAGCAACCTCTCCTATAAAAGGAGGAGCATTTTATTTCTAGCTCAGTTACACATTCAACTAACATCAGGTATGTTCTAATTCCCCAAAACAATTCTTTCCACTCAAATGCCGCTTCGTAACAATAATTCATCCTATTAGTCATCAGCCTGTCCCCTAATTAGTGTGGTGTGACCTATTGGCCACAAATTAGAAGATTTGAATGTAGATTTGAAAAGTACAGTCTGAAATGAGTCTGTGGTCTGAAATGAGTATCTGATTTCCAGCAACAGAATGAGAAGTGATTTACATACTAAGTAGCCATTTTCTCAAAACATCAAAGTGTGAGGCGCCCATCAGACACCTTCTCAGCTGATGGAACCCAACAGCAGAACTTCTGGCCCTCTCTGCTGGGAGCAGACAGCCCTGGGCTGCCAAAACAAAAGCAATTCTTTTTTTTTTTTTTAATTCAAAAATCAAGCCAGCAAGGAGAAATGAAAAAACTAAAAAACATGTCTCCACAAGTTGGATATTAACCTTGCCAAATGGAGTATCCACATATTTTTCAGTTCTTCCTTCTAAAATTTCTGGATCATCCAGGCCTGTTCCACCAATTATTCCAATCTAAGAGAGAAAAAGACAGAGAAGATTATTGTATTTGGTAATTTTTATTAGAAATAAGATTCTAAGCAAATTCATTTATTCATATGCTCTTCTCCATTCCTGCCAAGCCCTAGTTATTTTTTTGAAATCTGAAAATTACTGAACATCAATCAACAAATATTTCAAAGCCTTCCATAAAAATCAACAAACATTTGAAGGCCTTCTATATTCTATAAGTAACCAAAACGTAGGGCACCTTTTTGGACTACATCACATTTACTTCTGACTGTCTGAATTACAAGTCAGCATAGAGAGGTATTTTAACCAACTCAAGGTAGAAAATCAAACCTAAAAGTAGGCAAGTATGGTAGTGGAAAGTACCTTCTGATCAATTTTGTTTCTCTGTCAAATGGACTATAGAATAAACAATGTTCAGAAGACTGCTGGGATATAAAATATTAGGTATTCCATTTGGTATTGATTTCTCCTCACTGTTCTATTTGATAAAGAAATGAGAGATTATCTTTCCCACGCCATTAGAATCACAGAGCTAGGAGAGAATGCAGACAGAGGAGACTGAAATTGCATGAAAAGTTACCCGCATATACATTTATGAAAACAATCATTCATATATGTATGCAAATTCATATTTACATGTTGTAAATATACATATAGCATACTCATGTATATTACTCAGTAAATACATTTATGCAAATATAAATAATTCAAAAGGTAGTTATAAGTTTTTTTTAAGTTCATGCATTGTATTGCATTTTTCAGAGATTATCTTGAAAGTCCTTGTCTGAGTTAAAGAAACCTAGCACTATCCTCTGAGAGTTGATCTAATTTGATGATTAAGAAAGACAAACAAGAACAATTACAAAAATAAATAAAAATTAACTAAACTGTTAAAACTAAAAATAAGTAACAAATCATTAGGGAAATTTCCTTGGGCTGGTACCTCCTAGAGAGTAAACAGTGCCAGGCTAACTTTATTAGAAACCTAATTAATGCGAAGTGACCTGAGCATTGTTGTTTTTCAATGAAAAGCTTTAAATCTATTGTCACAAGGGTAACTAAATAAAATAAAGTAGGCCTCAAGAAAAAAATTCCAGGATTAAGAATTCAGTGAACATCTGCATTAAATAATTTTCAGGTCAGGTTACACAAGTTGAGTCCTATCAACACGTAAAAAAATGGTTACCTTTCTGGCTCAGTTTCCTGAAAAAAACAAAACACACACACAAAAAAAGCAACAACAACAAAAAACAAACAAGAAAATAAGGACAATTTAGTGAGGTTTTTACTGAAGAACTCTGCCTGTTTCCCATGACATGGTTACATAATTTGTGACTGTCCACCACAATTTCCTTAAGTGGCAAAGCCAGGCTTTGATGTTGGCGCCATCTTGTGGAGGTATATTATTAAAACCACAGCAGGTTAACATACTTTTATGTCAACGAACAAAGAGTAACCAGTATTATAGCTTTCAAATCAACAGAAGTGTTCACTTAAGTCAATACATTTAAATTACGGCACTTCAATAGAAAATAACAAAAATTCATACTGTTTTAGGAAATCCCAATCCTTCCTTAGCCTGGCTTCTCCATCTTATCCTTCATTCCGTGGACCTCTGAAGCACCACAGGTCATGAGGAGGCTAAGAAACCATCCAGCCCATATCCTCACCTGGGACACAGATATGAACTGCTGACTCTGAAATTACTCTCAGCCAGCTCCCTGGGGATTCAGCTACTAGCTTTTTAACTTATCACCACTTTGGCCTGGCTGTTTCTGGGTGTTCCCTGAGCCAGGGCATCTCAGATTCTGGATTCAACACTGGATGCTCGGGATCAAATACACAAATCGAGTTGGGCTTTGTTTGGAGCCACCCTCTGAGTTTAGGTGAACTTGCCCAGCATTGTAGCAGTTGTTGAGAAATGCTAACCAGGTGTCCCGCTGAATTTCAGAGCCCCTGAGCTCACTCTCAGCAACCCCAAGCTTCAGTCTGCACCACCTGGCTGCATAATGACTCTGCACCAGGTAGCTGGCAACTCAGCCCTCAGCAAGGAACATGTAGTAGCCCTGGACATGAAAGCAAGAGTGGCTACTGCTCTGGAATGATCTGCAGGCAAGCCCATCCAGTCACTTTACTAGGTCCAGTTGTTTACGGAAACCTACATTGTGCGAGGGATACAGGGACAAGTGTAGCAACTGAGTCCCGCCATCCCAGGAAACTGGACCTCTAAGATGGAGGCCAGCAGGGCCAAGATGTGGCCAATGTCGCCACCTGCTGGCTCCACAGCAAAGTACAACTGGGATGAAGTACCCAAGCACTGATGGCCCAATTCTATCCACATTCCTTTGAGTCTCTAAGTTTGTGTCAACTCAGTACTGCCTTAGTTATAAAGTAACTGTGTCTGTGGACTTACATGTTAAAGGCACTGTGCTAAGTGCTTCAGTGGCCTTACCTTATTTCATCATCAGGACCATAAGATGGGCCCTATAGAATGTTACCCGTTTTACAAACGAAGAAAGAGAAGCACAAAAATTAAAAACCTCGTCCAGGGGCCAATCATAAGGAGCAAAGCTGGGATACAAATCTAGGTCTTTCAGGCTTAACCACTATGATGTGCCCTCTCCCAATATCCCCTGGAGTCCTCCATAACATTATACCTTATTAGAAAAGTTATTTGTCTCCATGTTATGAGACAACATGCTCAGAGAGGTCAAGTTCATGACGAAGGTCACAGAACAAGCACAGAAACAGTGACTCCAGGTATCTGAGTGAATCATCTCAGAGGGGAGGAAAACTCTTTCTTAATGACCTCATCCACCCTCAGGAAACAATGACAAGACCTTGCCAGGCCTCCTGGGCAGGAAGCGTCAGTCCTCAGTCCAGTTAATTCTAGACTGTGTAGGAAATGTGTTCAAGACCTGAGATGGAATTTCTGCCCAGCCAGGACTTCTTTATTACACAAGATAGAGTTCTGAAATAGGGAGTCAATCAAGGTCCTTGACAGATTTTAAAAGCTAGTGGCTCATGCCACACTTTTCCACGGACTGACCATCAAACCAAACTTCTCAAAACTAGACCTTCTGCAATGATAATAAATAAAGCTCTCTATGACATCTGCCTCAGAACCCTAAAGCTGCCCACACCTACCTACAGTGACTTGAACCACCTGGTGTCTGCAGCCATGAGTGGGGTCACCATCTGTCTGCATTTCCCTGGCCAACTCAATGCTGACTTGCAGAAGCTGGCCGCAAACATGGTCCTGTTCCCCCACCTGCACTTCATGTATGGCTTCCCCCTGCTGACCAGCTGGGACAACCAGCAGTACTGGGCCCTCATGGTGCGTGAGCCCACTTGGCAGTTCTTTGATGCCAAGAATATGATGGCTGCCTGCAACCTCTGCCATGGTTGCTACGTAATGGTAGCTGCCATGTTCAGGGGCCACATGTCCATGAAGGAGGTGGACATGCACATGCTTAATGCCCAAAATATGAACAGCAGCTACTTTGTTGGTTGGATCCCCCAAGATATAAAAACAGCTGTGTGTGACTTCCCACCCTCAGGGCTAAAGATGTCCGGCCACCTTCACTGGCAACAACACTGCTATCTAGGATCTGATCAAGGGCATCTCAGAGCAGTTCACAGGTATACTTCGGTGCAAAGCTTTCCTGTACTGGTACACGGGCGAGGGCATGGATGAGATGGAATTCACCGAGGCTGAAAGCAACATGAACGACCTGGTGTCTGAGTACCAGCAGTAGCAGGAGGCCACGGCTGAGGAGGAAGAGTTTGAGTGAGCCAAGGAGGAGGTAGGTGGCCTAGAGCCTTCTGTTACTGTGTAAAGGGTGGAAGTGGTGTGAACCCTTTATTCACGCACAATCTGTTCTATGACAGCCATGTCTTAGTGTATGTGCGCTTGCTGTTGTGTCTTGACATCACATGTTCTAAAGACACCCCAAAGAAAGCATTTTCACAGTGAAAAAAAAAATTTTTTTGTTCAAGAGCAAATCAATCCAAGGGTCTGACTTCTCTGAGACTGTGAAAGCATTTATCCAAATACCAGTTCACCTGGTCAGAACAGTTACTTCTAGCAATGTGGAAAGGGTGCATAGTAACCCCTACTCTGTCTATTTCTTCTAGTACCTGGCTACAGGAGATTTTACCAACCCTTCTTTGTCCCAGAAACCATTCACCATCACTTTGAGGCCTGGGCACACTGCCGTAAGGAACCCAGCACTCTATAATGGCATTTTCAAAATACCATCACCCCAAGCGGTTGAGACTAGCTCATGCCAGGGAGATGGGCTGCCTCTGAGTGCCTCAAGCTCACGATAAGGTAAGCGAGCCAGAGCTGGAGCTGGCACAGCCCGATCTGAGCACTGCAGTCCTTTAGCTCTGGTTGCCATAACAATTTTGGCAAGCACAGCAGACGGAGGCCCTCATTATTAGGCTGACATGGCTTTGAGGCCTGTCAGGGCCTTGCAAAATCCTGGAAGCCTAGCTGTATGAGAGGGAGCAACCAACTGTCTCAGGCTGTGAGGACTGTTAAAAACCTGCAATAGGGTCCACAGGGATAGCTGGGGTCTCCATCTCTGACAAGACACCCCCTCTGTAGGCCACCCTTGTAGGTAATGGTTATGGATGGAATTGTATCTCCCCTAAGTTCATAGGTTGAAGTTCCAACTCTCAGTACCTCAGAATGTGACTGTATTTGCCGTTTTTAAAGAGGTAATTCAGATCAAATGAGGTCACTGGGATGGGCCCTAATGCAGTATACCTCATGTTATGGTTTGAATGTGGTCATCTTCAAAACTCATGTTGAGGCTTGGTCCCCAAATATAGTGATGCTGGGAGGTAGTACCTTTAAGAGGAGTTTGAGTCATGAGCCATGGTAATAATCCACCCCAATTAAGGGATTCATGCAGTCCCAGGGGAGGGTGTTCTTGCTCTCATTGGGTTGGATTAGTTCCAGTGAGAGTGGGTTGTTATGAAGCAAAGTTTGTCTCTTTTTTGTTTCCTTTTCCTATCTCCCTCGTCTCCCTTTCATTTCTTTTAAATAAACCTCTTCTCTTTATAAATTACCCTGTCTCAGGTATTCTGTTATAGCAACAGAAAACAGACTAAGAAAACTGTTGTCCTTACAAGAGATTGGGATATAACCACATACAGAGGGAAGACCCTGTGAAGACAAATGGAGAACATTGCCATGTACAAGCCAAGCAGACTGACCTTACAAGAAATCCACCTTGATCTCACCTTGATCTTGGACTTCTAACCTCCAGCGCTGTGAGGAGATAATGCTTCTGTTGCATAAGCTACCCATTCTGTAGTGCTTTGTTATAGCAGGCCTAGCGAACTAATACAGTGACTCTATATTTTAGTCAGAGAAGCTTGGATGATGCAAGCGCTCAAAACATCCATGGTTTTTATTTGAGCAAATGCCCCTTGAGAAGTACAGATATCAGTCTAAAGGGCAGACACCCTCTTAAAGACACACTTCACCTGCTGAAATGGCCAGATATTTTTAGAGGAGGACTCTCCCTAATGCATACTTTGTTAGAGCTCTCCTTTGCCTGTGGAGCAACAGTGGGAGCCACCCACCCTCCTGAACCAGCTGCTGGATACTAGGACATTCCCCTTCTCTAGCTTTCAATACCAAAGCCCAGGCCTCAGGGATTCTGATTAGTTGGGCAAGGCGTAGTTTGTTTTTAAAGCTCCGCAGGTGGTTCTAAAGTGCCCTCAGAACTAAGCAACCTGCTCTAGGGCCTAGACCATAAATTTCTTTCTTTTTTTTTTTTTTGAGACGGAGTCTCACTCTGTCGCCCAGGCTGGAGTGCAGTGGTGCGATCTCGGCTCACTGCAAGCTCCGCCTCCCAGTTTCACACCATTCTCCTGCCTTAGTCTCCCAAGTAGCTGGGATGACAGGAGGCTGCCACCGTGCCCGGCTAATTTTTTGTATTTTTAGTAGAGACGGGGTTTCACCATGTTAGCCAGGATGGTCTCAATCTTCGGATCTTGTGATCCGCCCGCCTCAGCCTCCCAAAGTGCTGGGATTACAGGCATGAGCCACCGCGCCCGGCCCCTAGACCATAAATTTTTAAAACGTGGGCTGAGTGTGGCAAGCTGAACAATGCCCCTGTCCCAAGAGATCCTAGCTACATCCTAATTCCCAGAACCTGGGAATGTTACCTCAAATATGATTAAATCCAGGATCTTGAGATGGGGAGATTATCCTAGATTACCTGGGTGGGACCTAAATGAAATCACAAGGAGGCAAGAAGGTCAAATGAGGAAGAAAGTGATATAATGATAGAAGCAGAGGGAGAGAAAAGGGGACATGATGTGGGGCCATGGGCCAAGAAGTGCTGGTGCCTCCAGAAGCTGAAAAAGGCAAGGAAATAGGTTTTCCCCATAAGCAAGAGAAACTTATCTTCTCACAGTTCTGGAGGCTAGAAGTCCAACATTAAGGTGAGATTGGGATTGATTTCTTCTAAGGTCAGTCTCCTTGGCTTGTAGATGGCAGCGTTCTCCATGTGTCTTCACATGGTCTTCCCTCTGTATGTGTCCGTGTCCCAATCTCTTACAAGCACAACATTTTTCTTAGTCTGTTTTCTGCTGCTATAACAGAATACCTGAGATAGGGTAATTTATAAAGAAAAGAGGCTTATTTAGCTCATGGTTCTACAGGTTCAGAAGACTGAAAAAGGCAAGGAAATGGTTTTTCTAAGAGGAACCAGCCCGATACACATGTTAATTTTAGCCCTGTAAGACTCATTTTGGATTTGTGGACTCCAGAACTGTAAGAGAATACGTTTGTGTGTGTGTGTGTGTGTTTTTTTTTTTTTTGGAAACAGAGTCTCACTTTGTCACCCAGGCTGCTGGAGTGCAGTGGTGAAATCTCAGCTCACTGCAGCCTCAACCTCCTGGGTTCAAGTGACCCTCCTACCTCAGCCCCCAAGGAGCTGAACTACAAGCGTGCACCGCCACGCCTGGCTAATTTTTTTGTTTTTTTTTTTTGCAGAGATGAGGTTTCACCATGCTGCCCAGGCTGGTCTTGAACGCCTGAGCTCAAGCAGTCTATCCACCTCAGCCTCCCAAAGTGCTATGATTACAGGCATGAGCCACCATGCCCGGCCTCATGTGTGTTGTCTTAAGCCACTCCATTTGTGAAAATTGTTATAGCAGCAACAGGAAACTATAACACTAAGGGAAGAACTTGTTAAAAATGTAGATGGCCACCCTTTCCAAAGCTCTCTAGGTCAGTGGCTGTCAAACTTCGGTGGACATCTGAATATTCTAAGGCTTGTCAAAACCTAGATTGCTGGGCCCCAGCCCCAGAGTTTCTGATTCACTGGGACTGGGGTGGGGCCTATGAACTTGCATTTCTAGCAAATGACCAGGTGATATGAATGCATGACACGCTTTGAGAACCACTGCTTTAGATGCTTTTGAGGCACAGGCTGGAATGCCATGACTACAACCACAGGTGAGGATCCAGAATCCACTGCATACAAACATTTTCCTTAACTGCTTCCTCAGCTGTACCTATAGGGTAAGATTTTTACTAATCCATAAAATTATCAAGAGAATAAAATGAAATAATGTATTACCATCAGTCTCTGTTTCTGTATACCCTACCACTCCTGGCAAAAATAAAAAATCAAAATAAACTTCCTCAAAGCAACAAAAAAAGCCCTTATTTCCTCCTTTTACTCTGCTGAGCAGTACAAAACCTGGCTGCTCCTACCTCTCTTCAGCAGGTAGTCTTTTTTGGGATTTAGCCTTGGGGTCCTCAACTAAATGTCAAACAGCTCTCCTGGGGGTATCTGGAAACAGGGCTATTTCTGGCTGTCATGACTAGGGGGAGTGCTACTGGCATTTCTGTGGAGGAGGTTAAGGGTTGTACTCCATGTCCTGCAATGCTTGGGACAGTCCTACAAAAGAAATAATTGTCCTGCCCAAAATGCCCTTGTGTCCCTAGGCAAAAAAAATGAAGGCTTGTTGGTCATGTGATTTTCAACTGGGGCCTGCAGGTTGTCCTCAGTTTCAGATAGCCACACAAGGACTCTCAGGCTGAAGGCCCTTGCAGGCCACACTCAAGACAGCAAAGCAGGGAGTGTAAAGGCCCATATTCCACAGTCTACAAACCATGACTTGTCCATCTCCCTTAATATCATTATGTTGATAGCTCACTACCAACCTACAATGGGACCATATCCCCTCCTTGTCACAGCAACCATGATTAACAAGTTGTTGTTATTATTATTATTATTTTGAGACAGGATCTTACTCTGTCGCCCAGGCTGGAGTGCAATGGCGCAGTCTCTGCTCACTGCAACCTCTGCCTCCTGGGCTCAAGAGATTCGCCCACCTTGGCCTCCTGAGTAGCTGGGATTACATGCGTGCAGCACCGTGCCTGGCTAATTTTTGTATTTTTTGTAGAAATGGGGTTTCACCATGTTGCCCAGGCTGGTCTTGAACTTCTGAGCTCAGGTAATCTGCCCAGCTGGGCCTCCCAAAGTGTTGGGATTACAGGCATGAGCCACCGCGCCTGGCCAAGTCTTATTTTTAATCTCCCAGAATGAAAGCTGGGAGGCTGCCCAGGGGAGCCATGGTACACTGCAGGAGCCCTCCAGAATGCCCTGTATCTGGGTGCCAAAGACTGGTTTGGCCCTCTGTCAGGAATACCACCTGCCCTTGGCTGATGCTGGAGGACAATGTCTCCCTGAGGTCCTCTCAGACAATGGCAGTGTTAATCCCATAGCCTCTGGCTCCTGCTGCCTCTCTCCATGGCTACCCCCCAGGTAATATCCTCACTCCCTGCCTGGACCATCTCTCACTGCAGTGAACCACAAAAAAGATTGCTTGAATTACTCTCACTCCAGGTGGCTTCCTCCCTCCCTCAACCTGCCACCCACTCTGCTCCTACAGCAAAGAGGCCCCTCAGCATCCCAGCCTCTGGCCCCCTAACCAGCAGTATCTGGGAGGAAGGAATCCTACACTCACCCTCCTTGGCTCCAAGGAGTCACTCGTGGCCCCTTATCGCCCACTTTGAAATGATCCACCAGTATCATCATCTTTTTGGTTTTCCAGGTCAAAAGCAGAAATCATCCTGTTCTTCTTCCTGCACTCCCCACATCTTATCCATCTCTGTGTTCTACCTGCAAATTCTATCCCCAATCTGATTATTCCTCACCACCTCCATGGCTCCCACCCTAGACTTCAGCCCCAGCACCAAGACTTCTGGCCTGATCTCTTAGCTCTTCCCCTGCCCACAGGCTATTCTGTATACAACAGCCAGAGTAATCATTTTAAAATGTAAATCAAATGCTGCCTCCCACTCTTAACCCTTCAACAGTTTCCAAAACATTTAAAATCAAAATTCTTGATCGCGGTCTACAAGGATGGCCTTATGAGCTGCATCCACCCAATTCTCACTGTGCATCCGTGATTTCCATTCCTACCACACTGAGCTCACTTCTGCGACATCTTGGTTTTCGCTCTCCTACCCCCATCTCTCTCCTCAGGTCTTCACTTGGATCTTTACCCTTTATCCCTATTTTCACTATCAGCTTAAGTCCATTCAGGCTGCTATAACAAAATATCTTAGGACTGGGTGGCTTATAAACAGCAGAAATTTCTCATAGTCTGGAGGCTTAGCAAGTTCAAGGTCACAGCAGATTCAGTGTCTGAGGAAGGCCCACGTTTTGGCTCATAGATGGTGTCCTCTCACTTAGTAGAGGGAATAAGGCAGCTCTCTGGGGCCTCTTTTGTAAGGGCACTGCTTCCATTCATGAGGGCTCCACCTTTATGACCCCAATCACGCCCAAAGGCCCCATCTTCTAATACCATCACATTGGCGATTAGGTTTCAACATACAGATTTTGGAGGCAGACTACTGCACAGCTTAAAATCCACCTCCCTAGGAGTCTTTTCTGACACCCCTCACCCAATGGAATCTTACTGCTGTTTCACTTTCATGTCAGTTGGTTTCCCACCCTGACTAGAATATAAACTTGAAGAAAATAAATAAAGGCCTCGCTTACTCAAAGCTGCATCCCCATTGTCTAGCAGGTATTCAATAAATATTTTTGAATAGGATTCCACCAGTAGATGGCTAGATTTGAAAGATATGCCAAATATACTGCCAATCCAAAACTCAGTGGAATCTTTCACTTGCATGAGTTAACTGCACCTCTAAAATTGAGAATGAATTTAAGATCCACCCCGTTAATATCTCTATTTTAAGAAGAGAGGTACTTGGGCTGACATTAAAGGAGTACCTGGAACTGGGCTGAGTGTGTTACATGTTACTGTATTTAAATCCAGCAACCTCTCAAAGGACCTGCCAGTGACACCAATGGGGTTCAGACACACATGTGCCTCCTATACCTATACCTGGGTGGTGTGCAGTGGGCACTGGAGGCAGCCTGCTTTCTGCATACCCTCTGCCTCCCTCTTCAAGATGGACATTCTATCAAGTGCTCATTTTAATTGTGCATTAGGTCACAAGAAAACAGGGCAGAGACCACACTTCAGATTTCAGAAATGCCTCACATCTAGTTGGTGGAATGCCAGGCTCTAGGCCCAATTCTGTCATTATCTAGGTCCAGCTGTGTAATTCTGGATACTTAGCTGACCTTTCTGGGCCTCAACTTTACACCCGCAAAACGGGTTTGTGTGGCTATATGGATGGTCTTGAAGGAACACTCCAGCCCCATCATTCTATAATTTGGGAATAGGATGTGGTTTTTATTAACCTATTTTGCTCTGGACACTGGCACCTCACATCTTCTATACAGAATGTTGCCTTAGAAGTCTGGGGAATACGGTGCTGGCATCATGGAATCTCTACGGCAAAGCTGTCATCTGTTCTAAATTAAAAGAGAAATCAGCAGGCAGTCCTAGCACCATATGTACCTCTTAATTTTATATCCAGAAGCTTGCCAAGACCAAAAATACACACTATTCAATATTTACATCAGGTCTCTGAGAATCCCATTGCCCATTCTGCACTTAAATGCACTGCATTAATTTGAAGGGAAACCCTGTGGCAGGGAGAATGCTAACCAGATTAAAGTAAGACTGTTTTAAACACCATTTCTCCATTTTTAATGGCGCTTGAAGTGTATTCCTGCAAGGATAAGGTGAAAAGTTGTGGCCTAATGATACCTAACACAATAACTTAATAATTTTTGGGGAAAAGATCATTCAAAATTAATCTCAGTTCCCCCACTTATAAGCACTACCACTTAATAAGCTTCTACCATGTGCAACATAGACAATATAATTCTAGCCCTCCTAGCAAATTCTGCAGTAAAATTCTCAGTTTATAGATGAGCACCTAAGAGAAGTCACATACTTCACACGAGTTTCATGAAAACCATTTCTGCCTTGTTTCCGCCAAACAATGAAGGCAGGGGAGAGGCCTTCTATAAATATTTGCTGGATGCAAGATTCTTTTCAAAATGACAAAATAAGTTTCATATATAAGTCTGGATGCAACACCCTTCACCATTCCTCTCATTCTAAGTGGCTCATTTAAACCTGCAAGGGCGTAATAAACTAATCTGGCTGATTACACACTGACCGCAGAAATTCGCCTTCTCCCGGGAAAACTGCAGTCGAGTGTAGGGAATCGAGATGCTTTGGAGAAGATCGCAGACCTTCCTATCCCATAGGCCAAAAATTTCTAAAAATCAAACAAGAACGCATTCTTAGCCAGTAATAAACTGCCTAGAAGAGGTCTTAAGTTTTATCATCAATTTTTCTTTACGTGCTGTAATTCTCTCTCGGAATACTAACCAGGAGAGAAGTGTTTAAAACCCCAGGGAAGCCAGCTGCTACTCTCAGAACTCGTGCCCTCCTCAGCACAAAGCTTCCCACCGCACAATGACCCCTTGTATCAAGGCCTCTCAGGGCCTAGGGCACAAGGAAATTGAACTCTAACTTGCAAGGCTGCAAAACAAAGCAGTTTCAAGCCAGAGGCCTCCAAACAGTGCAGCCCTAAAAACGGACGCCTGTACTCCTTTTCGAAGAAAGTCTCAGAATTCTTACAGTATTACGCTGCTGGGGAAAACTTCAGCGCGGAGAAGGCCTACGTTTGGAGGAAAAAGAAGCCGGAAGCATACAAAAGAGCAAGTAAGCAGTTCTCCCACGTGGGCCGCAGGCAACAAGCAGAGTCAGAGAGCGGAAGCTGGAGTCCCGCAAGGCACCAGGAGACGGTCACAGAAGCTGCAGGCGCCCGGACACCTCCTGACTCCAGCCGGGTGTCTTTCTTGGAAGAAGAGTGGTTCTCAGGAATGGTGGTGGCATGGGTGCAGCCTCTCCCATCCACGACCTCTCTCTCTAAAGGGGTGCCTACGCCCTACAGGGTGCGGGTGCAGATAAGCCAAAAGGTGGTGTGTGTGTGTGTGTGTGTGTGTGTGTGTGTGTGTGTGTGTGTGTGTGTGTTGGCGGTGCGGCAGGGGGATCATTTGCAAGCGTACCCTCTCCTCGCGCGGCAAGTGAGTCCCGAGTGCCGCGCCCCAGTCCCTCCCCGCGGCGGCAAGGGACGCACGGGCCGGGCGCATGGCCCCCGGAGGCGCGGTCCCCCGGCGCGGGGGCGAGAAGGCATCCGGCAGGGCGAACCGCTGCGGCTGGGAGGGCTCATCTCACCTTCACGGCGGTGGTGGTGGTGCCAGAGGCCATGTCTGCACGGGAAAGGAATCTGCAGTGGGCGAGCGCTCGGGACTAAGGGAACCAAGCGAGCCACAGAGCGGTGGCTGTGCCAACCTCACTGCGCGGGAGTGAGCAGTGCGGAGACCAGGGGCGGGCCTTGACTCCTCCTCTTCCTCCCCGGGACAGCTGGATTGGCTGCTTGTGTGGGATCTCCCCCGCCACCCCTTCCCCAAATCGAAGTTCCCGCGTTCCGCCCCTTTTGCAGACCTTTCCGGTTCTCCAGGTTTTTGTCGTTTTTTTTTTTTTTTTATCCCCAGTTATAACTAACGGATAATGATAATAATGGAGACCATTTATAGAGCGCTGTATTGTTCCAGACTGTGTGTTTTGCACTTTAATTGGCTTACTTAACTTTCGCTAAAACCTTATAAGGAAGAGCAGCACTCCCTGCTTGGCCCAATATTAGTGGCGTCGGAGGCCTCAGCTGCAAAATCTGGCCCGGCGGCATTCCAGAAGTTCTCGCGGGAGGGAGAATCCTCACCAAGGCGGGTACTGGCCGGCCACGGAGATTCTCTTAGGCAGCTAACGCGGGGCGGCCGCCGCGGCGGGGGCAAGATTTGTCCTTCCTGCGGCTGCGAACCCACCGCGGGTTTGCGTATTTCCCTTGATTCCTGGAGGACAGAGCTGGGATGGACTTGACCCAAGACTCAGGGATGACGAAAGGGAAATAAACAGAGTAACGTAGTACTGGATAATCTTTCTGATTTACGAACTATGATTTACTCATCTTCAATTTGAGGGGCCGCTTTTAGGGGGTTGAGACCTTGCACAACTCCCAGTCTGGCTCTACCTGGCTGGGGGCATCTTTAACCCGTTCTACGCCGGAGCGGCATCGAATACACCTGGATTCAGAATCCAAACTCAGGTCTCCGTCATTCAACACTAGCAGGACGCACACACACACACACCACGAGCCCTTTACAGGGATAATCCCTCATGCTTACAGCCCCCGTCCCTTCCCTACTGGGGTAATCCAATTTAACCTTCCTTGATGGATTAAGCGTTCTGAAACAAAATAATGGGTGGCAAGGATCTTAAGGGTGGACTCTGAGATGTAGAAATGCTGCAAATTAGCCTGGACGTGGGAGGAGGGCCGAGAAAGGGGATGCTTTCCTCTTTCCTTACAGCAGCAAAACACGGAAACAAAACACAAGTACAATTTAATTCAAAATACCACTGTGTGATGTTAGCCTGGATGCTGCTCATAGAACCTATTTACTTAAACAGTATAGACTTTCGTCCTCACATTACTATAAGCTTTAGGTCTAAATTTTCTCACAATGTAAAGTTTTCTTTCTTCTGTTACAATCATCTATTTCTTTTAAGTTATAAAATGCAATGGCAAAAGAAGAATGAAAGTAGAATCCGGGTGCTCCTTTGAGGAATAGGAGACAGGGAATCCTTCGCGGATGAAGACAATGTAGCTTTCTAGGGGCCTTTCTGCCGATTGCTCTATTGAGGAGCAGGAAGCCCACCACTCAGAAGTGAACCATTGAGGGCACAGGGATGCCCTAGGCTTTATGGCCGCTACCTAAGTAGGGGATCCTAGCCAACTTAAGTGACTTGATATGGTTAACAAGTCCAGTTTCTACTCAGCACTGCCTCTCTGCTAAAAGTTAGACGTTGTAACCAAGTTAGATCCTGTAAGCATAAAATACCCCTAGGCATAGGAGTTGGAAACTTGGCGAGGACCAGGCTGGACTTCTGGACTTTTCTACTATAACTTGCAGGTTAGGGCTCAAGCATTTGCTCTTGAAGATGTGATGTCTGTGAAGAGGAAATTCTTCTAAAGTTTGAATTTCATGTAAACTTACATGTGACAAAATATTATTCTACTTTTGATATTTTCTCAACCACTTAAGATTGTAAAAAAGCATTCTCAGTTCAAAGCTGTACAAAAACAGGTGGAGAGCTGGGTTTGGTCGAGGTCTTGGGCCATTGTTTTCCGCTCAGGGTAGTGCCTGAATCAGACGACCCCTTGCTACCCAGACTTGGATAACCCTTGGGCAGTCCTGTGGGACAGTGCTTTCTTTAGTGCAGTATCTTTGAAAAGGTAGGCAGTAATATTTTTGCCTTATTTCCAAATTTTGGGTCATGTTTTTTCTTAACAAGCCCTAAAATAAAAGGAAGACAAAATTTTCAATAATTTTGAATACGCAAAAATTTTCAGTGGTCTCCCTTTTTGATTACTATGTCAACAAGACAAGGAGAGTCGGTCTATTTGTGAACATAGATTTTGCCCTGCCCTTCTGTTCTTATCCTATAAATCCCCCTCTGTTAACCTGTACCCTTGCTTTTCTAAAGATAATTATCAAGAACTAGGTCACCTTACAACAATTCTGATTATGAAACAGTATAAGGATTCCAACAGCTTCTCCCTTTTTGATAATCTCTCATAAATGTCTTCCCAACTTCTAGGTCCTAGCCAACAAAGTACTGAAATGGTTATCACCAGTAGCTGACTATGTTGGGTCTTGAGCAGTGGTTCTTCAGTGTCCTACAGTTCCCTTTTACTAAACATGTTATTTTTGAAGTCGTCTCCAAACCATTCCAGAATCATCAAATCTTCAGGAGGAAGTATTCACACAAATGCATGAAATGTATCACCTCAGCCAACCATATCAGCTTTCCCACTGAATTGTTATATTTCTGCCCCTGACCAGTATGTCTGTCCTGGATGGGTACTACAAAATGGGCCCAAGCTGGCTGGTAACCCATCCTCATCTGAAGGTATTAAAGCTGGCAAGTTGTCATGGCCTAAGAAACTCACATAACTCCCCACTACCTTGTAGATATTTGGGCCAAAATAAAAATTCTAAATAACATGGAGGTGTGCTTAGAGATCCCCAATGGTGTGTGAATCACATCTTTTTACAATACACCTGTATCACAGCCACAATGAGTAGGGACATTTTGGCCACTACTTTTGACAATGGATTAGATTCCCACATTGGAAGCTTTGTGAAAAAGCTAAAGTTCTATTAGCAAGCAGCCACTCTAGATTTAGCAGAACATTGTTGAAAAAATATCTGGGGGAACAATAAGTAAACTAATTATAATAATGACAGTAATACATTTTAAAAATTATTGCATCTTCAGATTCTCAGCCAGGCAAGCCTATGCCAGCATGAAGAAGCCAAAGATGTCTGAACTGGTATAAATTCAGGTTCAAAATCCACAACATCATCGTTGTGCACAGTGTGGTCATTGGGAAGAAAAAAGTTAAACTCAGAGACTCAATGCCCTTAATAAAATTGTATCCAAAGAAACTTCTCCACAGGCAATTATCAGAATAATCAACTTCTCTTTATCCTGCCCAAGAAGGAAAAAAAATGTACTGAAAAGAAAATAGTGGCTAGTGTTTATTAAGAAGCAAAAGATATGCAAGTATGTACCAGGCCAGTCCTAAGGTACCCTTCTGAAAAAACATTGAATATAATTGGATAAATGTATAAGAGATTTGTCTGCAATCCAAGTTCTCTTAACACTCTTGATTGTAAATAACTGAACAAATTATTGATCTAAAAAATACAGCTATGTGTCTTTACCCTGACTCTGCAGTATAGACCATGATACAACATAAACATTAACATTTTAGTAACTAGAGACTTAGATATTTTTGTCATAGAAGGCCTAATTGAACCTTTCTAAATTTCTTATAGGTTAGTATGTGACTATTACTCTAAAACTTTAAGGAAATAAGAACAAAAAACAAAGAGAAGTGTTCCATTCTCCCATTATCATAGTGATAAAACAAAATAAGTAGTATGTCACAAGTGAAGAAAATATTACTGAAATCTAATATTAAAAATGCATTTATTGCAGGTACTTTATAGAGGGAATTGCAAGTGATATACTAGGTTTCTCAAAAAATATTTACATCACATTTTAGGTGGCAATTCCTTATAATGACCTTTAATGAAAGTGGAGAGTCCAGTTATAAAGTGTAACCTGGCATCTGTGTTTTTGGTTGAGGGAAGAACCCCATGCTTTAAAATGAGTTAAGTAGGGTCAGTTTTGACAGTCTGCTTTAAAGTTGGTATGCTCCAGATAGTTGGAATTAGCCATATGTTTCTTGTTGCAATAGAATCAAGTTCTCCTTCAGTTTTCTTTATTCGTTCCTTCTATTCAAAGTCCCTTTTACCCTAGAAATATCCTTCATTGCAAATCACCTTGTCTTGTCTTCAAAGTTCACTTCAAATTGTATCTCCCCTATCATTTCTGAAACTCTACTGAAGATGACTTAAGTTGCATATAATTTGGATTTTTTGAAGTAAAATCTCACCATTTTTTCACTTTTCTTAGATTAATGCTGCACATTAAAAGCATATTCAGGTTAACAGAATGGCCATCTACCCTGGACTCCCAGGATCTTCACATACCTATTATAAATAATAATAGGTATTATTATTTCTGTTATAGGATAAGCAAAGTGTAAGATTAAGCCCTGAACCCTATACCTCCCTCAGTGAAAGAGAGAGTATGTTCAATCTTGATCTGAAGAGACATGATTCTCAGCTTCTGTGCTTTGTATAGAAAAGGGCCAAAAAGTAATAGATACCCAGATGTATTTTAATATCACAGATGCAACATAATCTCTGCTTAGCGTGTCAGGATCTAAAGCTATGATGAAAGACCCATATAATGAGCTCTTATGTGACCCACTGCTCTTTATTCCACTTTAAAAACTTAAGGCAGGAAATAAGTCTAAAAGCATTGCTTTTCTTCTCTGGCAAATCCATATGTTGTCTGTACATACAATCCTAAAAACAAATTGGGAACAAAGTCATATTTGTCTTCTGAGCATCTTCAAGAGCAACAACAAAACAGCTAATATTTATTAAGAGCCACATATTCTTCATTTAATCCTCACAGATATTAATGTCATTGCTATTAATGTAATTTCCATTTTACAGAGGAGGAGAGAGAGAGAAGTTGAATTGCTGTAACTTCATCTTTTCTGCTTATTTGCCTCTCCCCAAAGCTTCCTTGTCCGTTTGGAATCTTCAGGACTTCCCTCTCTCTAGCCCATCAAAATGTCAATCAAACCTATCAAACCTGTTAAGTTGCCAAAATCACCTTAAAATGTTACCTCACCCAGGGGTTTATGAATTTTACAGGTATTAAGCCTTAAATTGAGATAATTAAATTCTAGGTAGGATGTGATGTTTGAGAAAGGACAAGTGTTGGTGTTATTATCACTATCATTGCATGAGGAACATGAGGCTCAGAGCATTTAAGAAGTCTTCTCAAATTTATATAACTAAAGTAATTGAGATTCAGTCCTGAATCTGTCCTAATTGCAAAGTCTAAACTCTTGATTAATTATTATTTTTTCCACTGTTGAGATTCAGATAACAACACCCCAAAAAGGAAGTCCTCAGAAGCAGCCTCAAAAGCGAAAGTTTTTCTCTGACCTTCTCCTGCCTGTCTTTCACGCCCATTATCCCCCTGATGCTACCATAGAAACTAGAATCCTTCTTCCCCAAGGTGGATAATAGAAACCAGAAGATCTTTTCCCTAAAGCCAGCCGTAAAACCTAAACATATTTCTCTAACCTTCCCTCTGCCTTTCTGTGTGAAGGGTAAGAACCAAAAGATATGCGAATATGGCCATGAAGAAATTGTCTGACCTATCTTGTTTGACTGTGGGTTATAATACCCCCATTCCAGAGAGAGACCTGACTCATACCCATAAGGAAGGAATCCTACACAGAGAGGCCAAGAAGAATCTAGACAGACAGCTTTGCTGGGTTTCCCCACTCAGTCTGTTAGCAGTATGTCATGCCCTTTTTGTCCAATCATATTTCTACATGGCTGTCCATACTTTGTTGAACCTGTGGAATATAAATCATTAAGCCAAGGGAAAAAATGACTAAGCCAAGGGAAAAGTCAAGCCGGGAACTATGTTAGACAAACCTGCTTCCCGTTTTATTCCTGGAAGAGATAGCTACAAATATAAGAAGCTACATACCTCCCTCACAATTTGCCCAAGGAAATTCCTTGTGGACGAAAGACAGACAGAACTCAAAGTAATCCCTCTGAGGCTCACCTGAGACAAATGCATATCTGATTGCTTTCTCTGCCCTATTGTTTATGTAAAAATGCAGATTCACTGAACCAGACTAAATTGTGTATGCAGTGGAAGGCCGATCGTGGACCTGAGGCTGTGTCACCGATGCATCCTTAACATTGGGCAAAATTATCTTTCGAAAGTGACTGAGACCTGTCTCAGATATTTTGGGTTAACAAAGCTAATCATAAAAATGGAAAATTTTCCCTGGATCTTTGGGTCTTCATTCTGAAGGCTCCCATGTGTTCACATGAAATAAATTTGTATGCCCTGTCTCCAACGGGAAAGTTTCTCTACACCATCATGTTCTGGTCCTTAAACTTAGTGCTAAGAGGGAAAGATGTATGATCTATATAGTCTCTGAGCCCTTAAGAAACTCCTGATCTGGTGAGAAGAGTCAGAAAGAGAAGTCAAATATTATAAAACAATGTGATAAGGGTAAATTTAGATACTGTGAAAACACAGAGCTGGGCATCTTTTAGAGTTTTCCTGGAGAAAGTGAGTCTTAAGGGATGAGCTAAGAAATTAGAGAGGTGAGGGGTGTGTGTGTGTTGTTAGCGGGGAAGTTGGGTATGAAGGAAATTGAAGTGCAGGAGACAGTCATTTAGATAATGAATCATGTGGTCCATTAATACTAAGAAAAAATAAATTCGATTAGATTTGATTAAGAAGTTGTTAATGACCTTTATCCTGAGCAAAAACAAAAATTTGTTTCAGAGCCAGAAAAATAGGATGAAGGAAATGCCAAAGACAATGAGATGCCATTAAAATGACTTTGCTATTAGAAGGTGGTCTCTTCCATCTGGCTCCACCATCCTCTGATCATCCCTGTGACTTTAGAGTTGTGACCTCTTGGAAACATTAAAAGCAACCCATGATGATGGTGGTGGTAACTTCTATCTACCCAAATCAGGCAATAAAGAAAGTGAGAAAGAATTAATCACAAAATCACTTTGATGGTGTAAACTTGAAGTCCCTGGTTGATGCAACAGTTATAAAAAACCTCAGAGGTCCCCCTGCAACACAGATGGAATCACTGAGGAAGCAGATCGCTCTCAGGACCTATGTCTGGTCTCACTCACATCTCTGACCTATATAGCCATATTGTGAGCATAAACACTTGACCCACAAAGCTCTGCTCGTCCAAATTGTAAGTGATTCCCTACACTTGGATCAGGAAGGAGTGACCATCAGCCTGGTTTGGCTGGGATAGTCCTGGTTTATACCTACTGTAGATCAATTAACAAGTTTTAATTATTTTTAGTGTTCCCCTTTTCCCTCTCAAATGTGTCCCAGTTTAGAAGATATATTTTATGGTCACTCTAGGTAAGTGCCTTTCCACCATGGGATGGTTTTGAATTAAATATAGAAATGTCGAAATAAAGCAAACATAGCATTTGTGCTAAATTTAAAGAAAAACTCTGTTTCTTATTTAAAACTTTATACAGTATATAAAATACATAGAATTTCAGAGGTTATCCTCATAATTCCAATTGAATATGCAATTGATTTTAAGTTTGATTTTAAGCTAAAAGGCAAAAATAATTTGACTAAGTTTCCGTATATTATCAGATTATATAAGGTACTTTGATTTGTTATATTTCCTGAGTATAAATAATTTTATTTCAAGCATTATCTGAGTTCTCGGAAACATTTTGTTTATAGGTATTGTAAATTTGTCCTGTCAGACATTTGAAATGCTTAAAAATTAAAGTCAAATTTTTGAAAAACTGTTTAAAATATTTAATCGAATATAATTAAAGTATTGAGGAAAATTATTCTGTTCAATTTAGAAATGTTAATCCAAAAATAGCTAATACAGTAATCAATAAAAAAGTAAAGGTGATATTTCTCATTATACTCAACTTGTAAACAGTATAAAAAGATTTGTAAGTTGAACAGAAATGCTTAAGGAAGACTTGTTTTTAAATTTTCTGACTTTTAATACAATTTAAAACCCAAATAGCTTTTAAATACTTCTTCACACACAGAGCTCTCACCCTTATTTTACTCCGGAATTTTTTTTTTCAAATACCCAATACAAAATTCACATGGACTATTGCCTCAAGAGCGAAACTCTGGCAAATTGGAGAGAGTGTGAACAGCCTGTGGGTGAGGAAAAGAAACAACAAACCTGTACTTCATAAAGTCTGGATGAAAAGGGAGGAGATACTGGGAGATGAACAGCAGAGGATAGGTAGTCAATGGGGTATTTTTTTTTTCTTTTACTAAGGAGAGAGTTTTGAGCGTGTTTGTAAGCAAGTGAAAAGAAGTTCACAAAGAAGAAAAAATGGAAGACACTAAGAGAGGTATGGCTAATGGCCCAAGATCCCAGAGGAATGGGATCAGAAGCTCTGACAGAAATCATAGTCCTCTATTAGAATGGAGACATGGGGCTGGAAGAAAGGAGGTAAGAATGGGGCCTCTAGATAGTTTAAGAGTAGGTGCTGTGAACCTAAGAAAGACGACTCTTGATGGTATAATTTTCTTAACAAAGTAAGAGATAAGGGTTGCATAATGAGTTTGAGAAAAGATGACAAAGATTTGACCATGTCAGATTAGGGACCATGAATTAGAAATGGTACCAATCTGCAAGGGCGTGTAATTTTTTCTGACAGCCCTTCACCCTTGTCTGATCAGATAGGACCTCAAGGAATTGAGGATGTTGGGGAAGTATAAGTTTATCTTATCAATCAAAGAAATCCAGCCCTGTGGGGAACAATGAAGCCATGAAGGACCTGGATGATGGGGGAAGGTGGAGGATCAAGGGGGTGGAGGATCAAGGGACTGGAGGACTTAAAGGAGTCTAAGAGCCATGAGGGTAGGGTGAGGGAATGTGAAAGAGGGAAGGAGAGGAGGTCCTGGAGGGAGATATCGGAGCTCAAGGTTTTAGAAGAGTAATAAGTTCTAAAGGTTATGGAAAGATCCAAGAAGTGAGCAAGTGAATTAGTCAGATGGGGGAAAGGGGGAAGGTGGTTTGTTTTTTTTTAAATCTCCATGTGTGTATTGTCTACATTCATATTACATCTCCTAGAACTGTGGCAGATAGGACTTGGGGTAAGACGAAGACCATGATACAAGGTCCAGCTGTTGGAGGGGCTGGTAAATCAAAGCCACAGGGATGATCAGAGGATGGTAGAGCCAGATGGAAGAGACCACCTTCTAATAGCATTAGTTTTTCTAGAGGCCATGGAAGCAAACCAACCTGGAGTTGGCAATGAGAAACCAGGAGATTGCTACCCTTCATCACAGTCCCCTAGTATGTAGGGAATGGAAAAATAACAACCTCCTTAAGAGAAAGCTGTAGAGTGAAAGGATAGGCAGATTTCAGTAAAGGAAAATAGATGGAAACGGTGACTTAAAATGAGGGTGAAGTATAAAGAGGCTTACTAATTACTAAACTAGCACTTCATAAGAATGCAGTGGGAAATGTATTTGTAAAGTACTGAGGGAAAGTGGAAGAGGAGTATTTTTTGCTTGCTATATCTTTCTTAATTTTATTGTTAATTGACAATAATTGTATATATTCAGGAGACATATGTATATATATATATATCCTGAATTGTATATATTCAGGAGATGTTATATATGAACATATATGCACATTATAGAATAATTAAATCAAACTGACATATTTTCTATCTCAGATACTTAGCATTTCTTTATGTAAGAACGTTTAAAATATACTCTTTTAGCAATTTTGAAATATATAAAACATTATTCTTAATTATAGTCACCATGCTGTGCAATAGATCACAGACTTATTCCTTCTGTCTAACTGAAACTTTGTGCCCTTTGATCAACATCTTCCCTTTCCCCATTCAAATAATCACTACCTCCAAATCTCCAGCTTCTGGTAGGCACCGTTCTACTCTCTACATCTATGAGTTTGACTTTTTTAGATTCCATATATAAGTAAGATCATGCAGTACAGTATTTGTGTTTCTCTGCCTGGCCTATTCTACTTAGCATAATTTTCTCCCGGTTCATCCTCATTGTCACAAAGGGCAGAATTTCCTTCTTTTCCTAAAGGTTGAATAATATTCAATTGTGTATCATCTTTATCCATTCATTCATAATGGACACTTAGGTTGATTTCACGTCTTGGCTATTGTGAACAATGCTTCAATAAACATGAAAGTGCACATATCTCCTTGACATACTCATTTCATTTTCTTTGGATGTATGTCCAGAAGTGGAATTGCTGGATCATATGGTAATTGTATTTTTGTTTGTTTAAGGAAACTTTGTACTGTTTTCTGAAGTGATTATACTAATTTACCTTCCTACCACTGTGCACAAGGGTTCCCTTTTCTCCGCATCCCCCTCCAACACTTGTTCTCTTTCATCTTTTTGATAATAGCCGTTCTAATAGAAATGACTTGATATCTCATTGTGATTTTAATTTGCATTTCCCTGATGATTGATGATGTTGAATAGTTTTTCATGTATCTGTTGGCCATTTATCTTCTTTTGAGAAATGTCTACTTTGGTCCTTTGCCCATTTTTTAAATCAGGTTGTTTTCTTGCTACTGAATTGTTTTAGTTCCTTATATATTTTGGATATTAGGCCCTTATCAGAAGACAGATTTGCAAATATTTTATCCGAATTCTTGGGTTGTTCCTTTACTCTATTATTTCCTTTGCTGTCCAGAAGATTTTTCTGTTTGATACAGTCTCATTTGTCTATTTTTTCTTTTATTTCCTATGCTTTTTATGTTGTATCCAAGAAACCACTGTTCAGACCAGTATCACAGGGCATTTCCTCTACGTTTTCTTTTAGAAATTTTACAGTTTTGGGCTTTACATTTAAATCTGAAATCTATTTTGAGTTTATTTTTGTATATGGAGTGAGATGAGGGTCTAATTTCATTCTTCTGTGGGTGGATATCCAGTTTTTCCAACGCTGCTTATTGAAGAGACTGTCATTATACCCACTGTGTGTTCTTGAAATCTTTGTCAAAACTACATTGACCACAAATAGGAGTTTATTTCTGAAATTTCTGTTGGGTTCCACTGTTCTATATGTCTGCTTTTATGCCAGTACCATGCTAGGATTTTTAAATTCTTGTTTTTCCTTTTATTTTTAGTTGGCACAAAATAATTGTATGTATTGTGGGATACAGTGATATTTTGGTACGTGTATATCATGTTGTTTAGGAAAAACTCTCAAACCATTTTTCCTGTGCTCTCACACCATAACAATCAACACAGGAGACTTCTGTGATCCAAAAATATGTGTTTATTTTCCCCCTCCAGCAAGCAAGCAGTCAATTCTGCAGGAGGACCCAGCTGGGTGTCCTCTAATTTAATTCCAACTATCTACCCAGATAAATCATCAGATCCCACAGGTTAGGAGCTTACTCCCACAAGCCCATCCCCTCCTTCCCCCCGGTTGCAAGTCCAGGCTTCTGGAACTTCGGACTGACTGGCTTCAAATTGGGGTTCCCGTGAACCTCCTCCCCCCACCTTTGGGTTCGATTAATTTGCTGGAGTGGCTCACAGAACTCAGGGAAACACGTTTACTGATTTATTATGAAGGGTATTTGAAAGGATATGAATAAATATCCAGATAAAAAGATACATAAAGTGAAGTCTAGAAGGGTCCTGAGCACAGGAACTTCTGTTCCCATTCAGCTGGGGTGCACCACCTTCCTGGCACGTGGATGAGCTCTTCATTTCATATCATGGAGATATGGCGGTCCTGTTGTACTGGTGATTGTTTCAAGTGGCTGGACTGATGAGTAGGCATGGAGTATTGGTGATCATCTAAGAAGCATCTTATCCAACTGTGAAAATATCTCTGGAGCAGAGGTGTGCAAAGGGAAATATGATGTTGCTGAGGGCTTCCTAGAGCTCCCCAAAAGTCATGTACCAGATACACAATTTTTTCCTAGACCATCTGACAATAATTGCCACAATTAAGTTAAAGCATTAGACACAAATCTTGCTCGTAAAGTAATATATTCCCATCAAGCTCATTTATCTCTTTATTTAAAAGTGTCGGCCGGGCACGGTGGCTTCCGCCTGTAATCCCAGCACTTTGGGAGGCCGAGGCAGGTGGATCACCTGAGGTTGGGAGCTCGAGACCAGCCTGACCAACATGGAGAAACCCCGTCTCTACTAAAAAATACAAAAATTAGCTGGGCATGGTGGCGCATGCCCGTAATCGCAGCTACTTGGGGGGCTGAGGCAGTAGAATCGCTTGAACACGGGAGGCGGAGGTTGCAGTGAGCTGAAATTGGGCCATTGCATTCCAGCCTGGGCAACAAGAGCAAAACTCCATCTCAAAAAAAAAAAAAAAAGTGTTAGTTTATAATGCACTTAAAGAGGAAGCAACAAGTTGTCTGTTCTGTGTGTCATGAGTGGATTATATTATGTTCACTGATCCAGCCCATCCTCTCCCTCCTCCCCTCTCTTCCCTTCACCTTCTACCCTCTTTTCCTCTCTTCCTCAGGTTACTTATAAGGGCAGCCATCACAGATTTGCTACAACTGAACTGACAAACTCAAAGGACACTTCAAAACAGATTTCAATTGAATTTTGTCTTGAGATTCTTCATTTTTCTTTCCTTGTCATGTTGGCCACAATTTGGTATCCAGTTATCTCAAATAGAGTGTAATTCATAGGTTCATGATATAGTTATGTTCATTAGATGAATGAATAAGTGAATGACTAAATGAATGAATGAATGAAGAACACATTATTATGGTTTTAGTTTTAGCAAAAGAGGAAGTTCAGAAATGCTAAGGAACCTGAACACCAGGGGGCATCAAAAGTTTGCTTTCTTTTTTTTTTTTCTCAAACCTGCCTTTTAAAATAGTCTAAAACTTGAGTCATATTGGCTTCATAAGAGAAAGTGCGAGAGAGAAAGGGGGAAGGGAAAGAGAGAAGTTATAACTTAAAGGTTAATTCTAAAGTGGTAAGTGTACTCTACTGCAGTTTACTTAAGTTGCTTCTACAACAGTGCACGTGGTTTTTCTCATAGTTATATACCAATGACCAGCAGATGACACCACTTCTTATGACCAGCAGATGGCACCACTTGACCTTATGGGTCAAGGAGTACAGTTGTAGGACCAGATTTTGGAGGATAAAGAAACATATATAGGGGATGAAATCTTTCACAAACTTTCTGTAGAAAAACTACTAAAGTAAAGTAAATATTAAGTAGAGAATTAATCCCTGTAGGTCTCAAATACCTTAATTTTTAAAAGGTAGAATTTTAACCAGAGGTATATTGTTCATTTTGAAACAGATAACTAAAATGTTTTTACATGTCAAGTTTAAGCCTCAGAAAAGGTGAGCTGTAATTGATAGAAATAATTTGGATTTCACTGTGTACTTTTAGAATATTCCTTTATCAGATTTTTCAATGACCAATTAATTCACAGATATTAGCCAAAAGAAAGACAGTTGCACACAGACACAATACTGTTAGATTACTGATTAATAGCACTAAATGATTTCCTCCATTGTCCTTGGCTATATAATTTAAGTGTCAACAGAGTACTTCAGGTTCCCTTATGCACTATCAGTTATTTACCTTTTCTAAACATTTAACTACTTTAGTTGGATACTTATAATCAGATAAAAACCGGAACAATGTCTGTAGTTAGAGTACTTGTAGTGCAAAGGAAAATGCAGACCCACTGGTTTTTGAGAGTGACAGCACTTGACCCGAAGCTTTAAACGTGCTTGTGAAACTTCCATCTGGGTGAAGGAGTAGAGGCCAGACTAGCACTTAGTTTCTTTTTAGATCTTCCATACCTTAGTCACGCAGATAAGTAGTAACTGCTTGAATGGGAATAAAAAGCATTCCGTCGGATTTCTGTGTATAATGAAAAGTCCCTGTCTTTGGCTCTTTGATTTCCCACATGAAGCTCAGCTTGGATATTACTACGATAAGAAAGAGCTCTAGAGAAAACAAAAGGGCATATTTGCTTAAATTGCTGTTTGCATCAAAAGAAACTGCTTAATGGGGTTATCGGTAGGTCAGACTGCACCCTGTTTTCACCAAGGCTGAATCAAGACCAGATGAATTCAGGAGGGCTGGGTGGGATTAGAGTCCTTAAGTGGCAGTATTTTAATAAAATTCTTCTTGGCAAAACTATCTCTGAGCTTTCTATTTTATTAGCAACTGAAAGATACATAAGAAAGAGATTGGAAATACTGAAGTGATCAACTACTAGGAAATGAACCTTAGGTTTAATTTTATTTCCACACAAAAAAACAAAACAAAACAAAACCACTGTGCCATATGGGAGAAAACATGATAGAGAAGCAAGGTCTAGACCCATACTCTCTGACTCTACACTATTTGGTGTTGAAGCTTATGACACTCAGCTTCAGTTTCTTCATCTGTAAAATTAGGGTGATTATCCAGGGTTTGTGTGAGAGTTCAAGTTAATACTTGTAAAGCACTTGGAACATGGTAAGTACTGAATGTGTTAATTATGATGATGATGATGATGGTATACTAGCTACTGCATGAGGTGCTGAGAATAGAGATTGAAAAGATACTGTCTCTGCCTTTGGGGAACTTAGAGTCTTTTAGGAGGAGTAAAGAAAATAAATAAGAGCCAAATGTTATAGATATAATAAGGACGTTATATACAGTTTTGGGATAGGGGGTGACAAGGTAGGGTATGGTGAGTTTGGCCTGGGTAGGGGTGAGGGATGCCTTGAAGAAAGGCCCTTGAGCTGAACTGTGCAATATGTATTTGCAGGCAAGAAAAGGGAACAAGGAAGGGCTTTTGGACATGTAGTGAAGGCAGGGCTGGGCAACATGTGTTGAAGGGCACCAAAGTAGGAACCAGTGTGGTACATTCAAAGAGCTGCCGTTCTTGGAATGTGGTTAGAGCACAGGGTGTGAGTATAAGGGGGCAGAGTGAGAGATGAAGCCTTTCGGGCGGACATAGGTCAGAGTCTAGCATTGGAAACAGGAATCCAAGGGTTAATTTGGAAATTAGATGAGGTTTGTTTCGCTCATTCATTCATTATTTATTTATTTATTTATTTATTTATTAGAGGCAAGGTCTCACTGTATTACCCAGGGGGACCTCAAACTCCTGGGCTCTGGGAACCTTCCTACGTCAACCTCCCAGGTAGCTGGAATTACAGACATGTGCCACCGTGCATGGCTAGTATTTTTAAAAAATAAGCTGTCAACATTTACAACTTAGAAACCTCTACATGAAAAAATAGGGATTTCCAAGCTTTCTAGAAAATTTGGAGTGTCTTCCAATATCATTCTCTAATTCCAACACAGTATCAGTGGATGACATGCGCACTGCCCAGTTTGTCCCTGGCCTCTTCGTCTCACATTCAGTCCCAGCCTTGCCTCTAGTCCCACGAGCATTGGTGTTTCTGACCTTTACATAGCACCCTAAAGACTTCTGATATTATTCTACAGGGCACGCAGAGCATTAAAATATTTTAAGAAGGAGGTTCTACTGGAGGAGGGATTGAAGGACAAGATGGTAAATTGTTTTCATGTTTTAACAAAAGTTCTATCATGAGCAATGACTGGACACATACGAGGGCAATTGAGTATCATTGGATTTTACTATTAAATTTCATTAGAAAATATAATCTATTCTTTGAAAATTGGAATATTTAATCTTATTATGGAAGAGTGACCAATCTTCTAGTCAATCCTGTATTATTCTTATTTTTTAGAGTAAGCAAAAGGTCTAAAATTTTAAGAGGAAAGCCCATCCTTCTTTGGCAGCTCCTTTAAGGATCAACAGATAGTCCTCTTGGAACTGATAATGAAATATAATCCAATCTTAACATACCTGGAAAAGGGCTAAAGGGAATGCATACCTACATTTCAACAGGGGAGGAACTGGTACAAAACAACAGTTACTAAGAGGCAACAAAGAATTTCTGGCAGAGTGGGTTTTGCTATCTAAAACCTGCTTTTTCTAATAGAGGCAACTTCTCATCTCCAGATACTCCGTGACTTTCAGGAAGAAAGGCATATAACTTAAATTGAAGTGATAGATAATATAAACCCATGGCCTTTTTGGCTTTTGGGTCAGGCCCCTGTGAAGTTAGCAAAGGCAGCAGAAGCAGCTATGCTTGCATCAGAATGCAGAATGATGCTCATCCTCAGGAAGCATTTCACACCCACTTCCTTTCCATCCATGGAGTAAGGGGACAGGGAAGTTAATTATGAGAAGGGGGATAAACTAATCCTATACTCATTCTCTGGCCTTCTATAAAAACACTGGTTGGTTTTTAGCAGGAAAGTTATGCCAGTTATATTAGGATTCTCCAAAAAAACAGAACCAGTAGGATGTGTGTGTGTGCATGTGTCAAGTGTATGTCACATATGAACACATGTGTATGTGTGTAAGTGTATGTCACACACATGTACTTATATACATATGCATGTATATATCTATATCTATATAGTTGTAGGGGCTAAGTGTGAACTTTGTGGGGCAGGTTGACAGTCTGGAGATTCCGGGAAGAGTTGATGCTGCAGTCTTGAGTCTGAAGACAGTCTGGTGGCAGAATTCCTGCTTTCTTAGGAGACCTCAGTCTTTTTTCTTAAGCCTTCATTTGATTGGATGAGGCCCACTTATGTAATAGATGGTAATCTGCTTTATTCAATCTACTGATGTAAATGTTAATCACGTCTAAAAAGAACCTTTGCAACAACATCTAGACTGGTGTTTGACCAGAGTACTGGGTGCCATAGCCTAGCCAAGATGACACATAAAATTAGTGACCACGTTGGGGCCCAGACTGGTCTGCATGATATAGGCTGGAGAGGAGAGGAAGACCCTGCTACTGAGCTATGCTCATCTCTGAGAAAACAAATTTTATCTTGCAAGTTATATCTGATATTCATTGAACAAACGTGGAACACCTGCTATGTGCAAAGTTCTTTGCCAATTATTCTCTGCTTTTAGTGGGTCTTCTGCTGTTGTAAATCGAAGGAAGAGTACAGATGCAGACAGACACCCTGGGAAGCAACTTAGTGTGGTGGAAAGGCACTGAGTTGTAGAGACAAGAGTACCGGTTTTGGCTGTGTGACTTTGTGCAAGTTTTCACCCTTCAAAACTCATTGGTGATTCCACTTTATCAAGATCTGCAAACTGTCTAAGCCTTATATTTATCTATAAAACCATCATCATCATCAGCAGCAGCAGCAGCATCATTGCCCCAGGATTTAACCGAATAAAACATGTAACAATTTCTGATATATTACGAGTCACCAACAATTGTTCTTTGTCTTCCTTCTCTATCACATTGCTAAGTAAAAAGGGGTGTGAGAAACTATGATATGAGAGGCAGAGTGAGGGAAATGGCACCAGGCATGATGTTTGTGTCTTAAGTCTGAAGGTAGACTGGAGGCAGAAAATTGGAACCTTTAATCAGGTGTACCCCATAGTCAACTGGCCAGCTGACTATACAGGGCAGGTCTGTGGTGCAGGTGAGGCTTCATATTTATCTATTATTTGGTAAAAATGAGGTGCTGTTCCTGAAATCTAGAATCATGATGGTATGACTATACACATTTCAGAATGATTCTCACCCTTTTCAATCCCTTATGTCACAATCTCCATTTATAGTTTTGAGTTTTGAATTTTAAGCCATGTTCTAAAAATTCCGAAGTTCAACTCTTAGAAAATCCCAAGTAGTCTAAGAGTGTTTTACACCAAAATAGTCACAAGATTATGTTAGACAAGTTAAAATACATGCATTTTAGTATATACTTTGCACAACCTCTCTGAAATGTCTTGTTCAAAAACAGAAAACTCAAAGCTGCTCAGATGTTTGTTATGGTCTCTTAGTTCGATAACTGAAAGTGACAGGCTATACTTTTTCCAAAGGCTCCCACACCAATTTGTGGGTTGGGCTAACATCATATTGCTTTGCTCTCACTGCATTCTCTGGCATGTGTGTGTTCTACAGAATACCTATATTAGGTCCACAGATGTCCAGTGAAAAGAAAAAGAAAAGTTTATGGTTTTTGATGCCTTATTAAAAACATGCACAACAGGTTTTCTAGTCTGTATAAGATGGGAAAAGAGATGGTAAGGGGAATCACACACATTATCTTAGTCCTTCAAAGGTGAATTCATTGCTTCACCCGGTGATTTGATTGAAGTGGACATTATTATTTTAAGTTGAACATCAGTTTCTAGTTAATAGTACCTGCACATACTATCACTAGTGGTAGATAACAATGGGAAAGCTGATACTGGTATCTCTGTAACTTTGTTAGAGTTTTGGGCAAGTGAGCCAAACCAAGTTCTACCCCCAAGTAGATCTTCACTTATCCTCAGAGACACCAAGGTGATAAGACTGGAGAGGAGCAGGTCATGATTAGAGAATAATTATGAAGGGATGACATTAACTACATTTGGTTGGCTCAGCTGTTCATAACTGTGGGTGCAGATCACACAGATAAATGCATAGCTGATTAAGCTGGCATCCCACTCTTACTGGTGCTGTGCCAATCTGGGGGCCATTTCCAAACAAGAACATAAGAATTCAACTCAAAGGAGTCAGAGTTGTATAAATTCCAGACTATCATACATGGGAAATACAGACTTCAAAACAAGATACTTAGAGAAGGAATTGGAAAAATTAGAGATTGATAAAGATGGAGGTACAGTAAGAAATAAAGTAAAAAAAAAAAAAAAGGCTTTTTGGCACATTTCCATTACCACCTTGAGCATACAAGAAGTCCTCTGCATATGCCCATTGAATGAATGAATTGAAAGATGTCCCTCTCCTCCTGCCAAAAGAAAAGAAAAGAAAAGAAAACAGAAGGACAAAACTCACAAGGCCCTAAGAGCAATTCCAGAGAAAAACAGAAAGAAAACGAAGTTATCTGAAGCTCAGATAAGAGGGGAAATAAGAGTTGAAAGAAAAGCTTAAAAATTGGAAGAAAAGCAAGAGGTTTGATTCAATTGAAGGACTCAACAAGCTTTTCCTCCCCAAATTCTTGCTACATATAATGGCATGATATAGAGCTAAGTATATTTTATGAATTATTTTATTTATTTCTCAAAGTAATATAAGATGTCTACTCATATTATGCCCATTGTACAGATGAGATCACAATCAAGTCTGGACCAAGTCTGTGTGAGACCAGAGGTACACTTGTAGCTATTGTCCAAGATTGGACAGTAAATTATATGACACCCTAGCTGTAGGGTCCACTTGAATGAATAAGACACAGATTTTGGCCTCTAAGGAGCTTATACTCTACTAGAGGAAGTCAACCTGAAAACAAATAATTTTAATTCAAAGCAGAGTGACATGAGAGTGTACTTAAGGAGCAAAGTGGGAGGTTTATGGCCCAGAGAAGAAGCACTTAATTCTGATTTGTGGGTGGGTTTAAACAACCAGTGTTAGGGAAGAAATAAATGAGAATGTAGTTTTCCCCACCAATTTTTTGTGTGTGTGTCCTAGAAACAATTCCTGAAAAGGGATCTTACAGCCGGACAGACTGATTAGAGGTGAATATATTCTAACCTCTGCCTTACATAGAAATTAAATCCTAGCAAACCCTGTATAGGTTTAAGGAAGTAAATTTCTATTCCCACGCAAGGCAGCAGGTACTTCCTAGTCATTTCAAATCATGATCACTTTAAGGAAAACCAAAAACGCTGACTGGAATTTAAAAAAAAGAACTTTCAGCTGGAGGCCTGTGAAATCTTTCCTAAATTTTTGTTTAAATTGTTATAAATTTGATGCTGAATCATACTTTATTTACAAAAACATCCTGTGTCCCAGTGAAATCTTTCTTTATGCCATTTCCAATTAGACCCACTTTCTTAAAAATAAATTTGTAACACAGTTTTTTTAAAAGAGAAATCTCAACTAGCAGATGTATATTATATATATTATCAAATAAAATATAATGTCATGTATAAAATACATAAATTTTCTCCTTCAACATAGAAATGCCTCTTAATATATTAAAATTATTCCTTTATAAATTATATCTATATAATTTGTCTCAGCGTAGCATTAAAGATGGTTAATGTAATCTAGTGTTTTGCACTTTCTAGAAAAAAAAAATCCCATTAGGAGAAATTCAAAATGTTTTACAAATATGCCAGGGAGTAGGTTTTAATCATTGCCCTTCTCTTCACCTGGACAGGAAGTGAAAACAAGACTGTTGGTTGAAATGACTTATGCAAAGGTGAGAAGCACTAACAAAGTTTAGCCCTGACTCTGCTAACGCCGTCATTCTGTCCCAGAAGCCATGTCATCTAACTGCTGGTCAGTCATGAAGAAAGCATTTCTGGAGCCTCACCCCTAAGTGAATTTGCTTGGCAATAGGTAGAGGGGATAAATTAGTGACTTCCTTTTACCTACTGAACAACTTGCTGAGTATCTTGTACTTAACCCAGGTCACTGAGATACAATCTAAGAAAAAAAAAATCAGCACATTCCAAAGAGAATGAAAGCAGTTTCTATTCCAAAGATAAATCAATGGAGTTGTCACAGGTGGAAATTAGTTTCTGTGTATTTGTTGTTTTCTTCTTCTGTCTCAGGTCTCTTTGATTATCGCTGAAGACTTATAGGAAAAGCCCCTAAAATATTTAAATGATTATATATTGGAAAATTTTTTTAAAGAATATTGATTCTTAGGAATGAGCTAGATAAGAGGACTAGTTTGGAGAGATTAATCAGCATTTGGGGTTTACTGAAAATGTCACCACAATCCAGCGGCCCCAAACTATGCAAGACAAACCAGTATATTATTTCTCTAAAAGGAATCTAAACTGAGTGTATACACACGATGACACTCAGATTTACCTTTGTTCTTGAGTGAAAGCAAAAGAGATTGGTATGTCATCTGTTAACAATGTTCAAGTTAGAGAATTCCCTGCAGGATTTTATTTATGAAAAGGTAAAAAAAGGTTGTTACACATTTTTTTCTAACCTATGTCTCTGCAATCAAGGAAAGTATGATTTTCTATAATTTGATTGTAGTTATTTCTTTAGTGTAGGAGTGTTCACCTACAGTAGAGTGCAGTGTGTTCACCAGGTAAATGAGAACATATGATAATAATCTTTGTCCCAACAGGCACGGTAGAGCTGATAGTTCCTGGAAGCTGGTGGCATTAACTCTCTTTAATCAAGGTATAGGTGAAACTGGTTTATTAGGAATGATACTAGGATGTGGAGTGCTGATCCTTGTTTTCCCAGGTGCTTTTTAGACTAAGTAATCCTCAAAGAGTTAGAGAAATACTACAGAATTTGGTAAAGCACTACAGAGATATGTTTTCTACACATTTAGCTTTTTTGGAGTGGAAAAGATTACAGAAAATTCCTTCTTTTAAAAATAATTTGAGCAATATTTCAATCATAATATAGGACAGCATGAAAAAAATAATCTATAGTTCTATTTTCATGAGGTCACATTGCATAGGTTTGAATTCCACCTATTCCCTTTTGTAGCTGAGTGAACTTGAAAAAACTTATTAAGCTTCTTTGCACTTCAGTTTCCTCACCTATAACATAGAGATATTAATAGTAGCTAACGAATGAGGTTGTTTCAGGATTATATTAGATTAAATATACAAAGTACTTAGAACAGTGCTTGACACATCGTAAGTGCTTAGCAAATATTAGCTACTACTATTATCAATTTTGAAATGAATATATTAAGAACGTAGCTCCTTTTTAAATTATACTTTAAGTTCTAGGGTACATGTGCACAACGTGCAGGTTTGTTACATATGTATACATGTGCCATGTTGGTGTGCTGCACCTATTAACTCATCATTTACATTAGGTATATCTCCTAATGCTATCTCTCCCCTCTCCCCCCACCCCATGACAGGCCCCGGTGTGTGATGTTCCCCGTCCTGTGTCCAAGCGTTCTCATTGTTCACTTCCCACCTATGAGTGAGAACATGCAGTGTTTGGTTTTTTGTCCTTGCGATAGTTTGCTGAGAATGATGGTTTCCAGCTTCATCCATGTCCCTACAAAGGACATGAACTCATCCTTTTTTATGGCTGCATAGTATTCCATGGTGTATATGTGCCACATTTTCTTAATCCAGTCTATCATTGATGGACATTTGGGTTGGTTCCAAGTCTTTGCTATTGTGAATAGTGCTGCAGTAAACATATGTGTGCATGTGTCTTTATAGCAGCATGATTTATAATCCTTTGGGTATATACCCAGTAATGGGATGGCTGGGTCAAATGGTATTTCTAGTTCTAGATCCTTGAGGAATCGCCACACTGACTTCAACCATGGTTGAACTAGTTTACAGTCCCACCAACAGTGTAAAAATGTTCCTATTTCTCCACATCCTCTCCGGCACCTGTTGTTTCCTGACTTTTTGATGATCGCCAAGGAATGTAGCTCCTTTTAATCTTAATCCAAATTCTATATGTGTTTATGGGGTGTAATCTCTGTACACATGCAATTTTAAACTTATTTTTTCTTTTTTCTGCATAAATATCTTTTTGATTTGGCTATATAGACTTCATGTGTTACTTTTAATAGCTCCATCAAGTTGTTGCATCATTTCCTGCAATAGTGCAAGAATGCCACATACCTTTTATAGTATTATAACGATACTTTTGTTGTAATATGTACAGGTTGTTCCTACTATTATTTTATTATATATGCAAGACGGCACTCAGATTTACCCTTGTTTTTGAGTGAGGCAAAATATAATTATATTTCATAACTGTAAAGTAATATCACAAGGAACATGTTGGAAAATTTATATTAATTCTATTGTTTTTTGCTTAAGGAACATAATTGCTAAAGATAAAATGTGAACTTTTAGAAGAATGACATTTCAATAAAACTTTCTAAAATGGTTGCCCTAAGTTACAATATCGTATTATGTGAATATTTTACAGCATGTCATCACTAGAATTTGTATTATTATTTGATAGATATAAACAAATGTTTATATCTCTTCTTGTGTGAAGTCTTGCTCATATCATTTGACCACTGAACTCTTGAAATTCTTTTCTTTTCTTTTTTATTGAGACAGAGTCTCACTCTGTCATCCGAGCTGAAATGCAGTGGTGCAATCATGAATCACTGCAGCCTTGATCTCCTGGGTTCAGGCAATCCACCCACCTCAGCCTCCAAGTAGCTGAGATTGCAGGCATGTGCACCCACACCTAGCTAATTTTTTAATTTTCTGTAGAGATGGGGTCTCCCTACATCGCCAAGGCTGGTCTTGAACTCCTGGGAGCAAGCAATCCTCCCAGGTTGGCTTCCCAAAGTGTGGAGATTAAGGTGTGAGCCACCTTGCTTGGGCGGAATTATTTTCTTATACACTTAAATTTAGATATGAACCCTTTTTTTTTTACATCTGATGAAAATAATTTTCCCTTCCATTGTAGTTTTTTGATTTACATAATTGTGATTTTTCAAATCTTTACGTATTTGAAAATTTTTCTTTGAATCTTTTTTATTATATCTGGTTTCATCCAGATAAAATTATCTTGTTCTTCTATTTTTTCTTATAAATGAATTCTTAACTTTGCGGTTTATTGTGATATGCCATATAAGAATGATTGAAAAAAAAAAGTTGCAGACCATCACGTTGAACATCTGGTATTTGGTTTTATGAGATAATAATTATAAGAAATACAATAGGATTCTACTCACTGTAGAAGCTGAGAGCAGAAGGCAGATTTTTTGAAGGGAATGTCTCTTTACTTTCCTTATTGCATTAGATCTCCCTGATCCAAACAACAAGCTCTGAGAAAGGGAAAAAAAAATCTATGCCCCAAATAGAGCAGAGTTTAGAACTAAAGACAATGCTGGCATCTCATTGTCTCCTTAGGTTAGGTGATCTAATTTATCTTTTCGTTTTATGAAATTAATCTCAAGCGAACACACTGTTCACACTTTTAAGTTAAGGGATGCTTAATGTGCTTAGTGCAAGCTAGAAATATTGATTTCTTAATGTAACACTTAAACACATATATTATTGCATCAATTCCTGGCAGAAACTATTTTAACTCTTTGAACTAGTAAAAAAGGAAAGTCCTGTTTGTGGTTAAAAATATGAGTGCATTTAGTAACACTTCCGGCCTGGTAAAATTACAATCCAGAAATGCTAACAAAAAATGTTGCCTTATTTGGTTACTTCACTTTAGCACAACAAAACCTTGTCTTTGGTTCTTTAAGCAGTTAACTTCAGTACCTCAAATGTTTCTTAATCTAGGTGCTGAAAATGAAAAGATACATAAGAAAAGATTTCTGCTGGGGCAATTTAAAGCTTAGTGCAGACAGATACAGAAAATTGATTGCAACATAATTTGGTAAATCTTAAGAACCAGACCATTTAACTGCTTGTGTCAAAGATTTTAAAGGAGACTCACAGTTTACAGTTAACAGTAGAGGGGCTATTATCCTATCTCCCTTTTGACACTGCCCCCAGCTCAACTTAAAAGGGCTTCAGAACCTCCCAGGCTCCTTTCACACCACCTCAAGCACCTAGCTCCTCAACCTGCTTCATCATCACATACCACCCAAGGATCCTATCCCAAGAAGGAGGATATACTTAGAATTAATTTTCCACCTTTCCTTTAGAGGCGATGGAACTAATCATCATGTTTCATACTCCTTTTGGCCTCAGTCACCATAGAAGTCCAAGCATTCCAGGTCACCACAGGAACTCTCCTCCATATGTTTCTGTATATCCCTTGATCTGACTCAATCTCCCATTCCTTCCAAAACTGCAATCCCTTCCAATGCAGCTGCTAGAATTCAGGGCTTGGGAAGCACAGTCTCTTTTATTTTCCAACTCTTCTTTGAACAACACCTTCACCTTCTTGCTCTAAGCCCTGGCTCACCACCCAACCCAACCCATATCCTGTTTACCTTCAGCCTTTGCAGGGGGTGGTGGTTTTTGCTCCCACACCCTATGCTTCCAGGTCCTGGAGGTGGGGATAGGAATGTTCCTTATTTCTCATTGTTTTTCTTCTTTCAAAAACCCTTCATCTCCTATCTTCCAAGCCATTCCACTTCATGATGGAAGATTTTAGCAGCTGGCTCATTGCATTTCCTTCTACCATGACTCCTGTCATCATATTTAATGACTTCAAAATTTATGTATGTCATTATTTTTCAAATTTGGCTGCACATTTTTATTACCTCATGATGTTTTAAAAATCCTACCTGTGTTCAGTTCATCCCCCAAGCCAAACAGGTACTGATTTAATTTAGTCAAGGTAGGATTTAGCCACTAGATTTTGTTTTGCTCTAAAAAAAAAAAAAAAAAAAAAAACCCCACAACACCTATGATCTCAATATGCAGCAGGGTTCAGCACTACTTACTTAGATCAGTTTCTCAGTAAGCCTTTTCAATTATTTGACCTTCTGACTCCAACATCTCTTTCTTTCCCCAACCCCATCATGTTCACCCTAGTCATACCCTAGAGTTTGTCATTATAAGTAGCCTCCAATATCTAGTTTTTCATCATTCCACTTTCTGATATTCACAGCATCTCTTTCTGACTCCTCTCTTAAGTACAACATCATTCAAGTAATCCATGGACCCACTCCCAGTCTTTGTCCTAATCATCTCCCTCGCTTTTCTTTACCTTTTTCCCTACTCGTCTTAGATTCCATGGTTTGTCACTATAACTCTTCTCTATGTACCCTCAACTCTTTTGTCCTTCTCTCTCTCCATTATATTTGCCTAGCAAAACCCAAACCCTGGTTATATTTAACTCTGCTTAATCTATATCTGCATTCAGGCAGCTAAATGGGATGAGAGAACAACACACACATTTACTTTACATTTTGGCCACAAATCTCTGGTGGGTCCTCAGCACTTCAATAAATTTTTTATAGTAGAATTCTCTGGTCAGTTCTTTGTCCAGACAACTGTTTGATATCTTCCCCCCTTTTTAAACCTCCAACATTCCCTCCTTGTCTTCACTCTCAGCTGATAACCTAGATTTTTATTTCATAAGAAAATAGAAGTAAGCAGAAGAGAACTACTTCCTTTTCCCTTTACCAAATCTACCAACCTCCTTGCTCCACACCCAAGTGTTCCATCTTCTCTTTGGTCACAGACGATAAACAGCTCCTGCAGCCTGGCTTCTCACCCCCTTCCACCTGTGCCAGGGCTTTACTCCTCTAATCATCTTTTTTCTCCTGAACATGACTCTCCCTTCTTACTGTAGATCATTCCCATCAGCTTACAAATAGACCCCCATCTCAGCAAAACAAACCCAATCCTTTCCTAGACTTCTGGTTGCACTCTAGCTCCAGTTGCATTCCTCAACTCTTCTTCATAGCAAGTTTCTTGAGACTTTTCTGTACTCGCTCTCACTTTCTCACTTCTCATCTCTTTAGCCCACTCAAGTTGGGATTTAGTCCTCATCACTCTCCTGAAATTGCTCTGTCAAAATCACCAGCAATCTCCCTGTTGCTAAGAGCAGCAGTTAATTTTCAATCTTCATTTTATGCAGCCTCACAGCAGATTTGGCACAATCATCATCCACCCTGAAGCATTTTCTTCTCGAGCCCTTCTGGATACCACTATCTCCTAGTTGTTGTTCCATCACACAGCTGTTGCATCCTGGTTTTCTCTGCACACTCTACCTTTCTCAATATTAGAGCACTCCAGCTTGATGTTCTTGCTTGGTCCTGCCTTCTTCACTGCCTGTACTCACTCCCTAGACCATTTCATCCAGGCACATGGCCTCACACAGCATCTTCATGCTGATGATAATCCCCCTCCGTCCTTTCTCCTAAGCTCTAGGTTTAAATATCCAATTGCCTAGTAGGTACATTCATTTGTGTATCTAAGAAGCATAACATGTTAAAACCAAAATTTTTTTTTCTTCTCACATCTGCTCTTTATATGGATTCCCCTTGGCTTATCCATCCCCTAAACTGCACAATCAAATGTCTAGGCACTATCCTTTTTCTTTATTTTCTCAAATTTGACTTTTTTCCTTCTCTTTTCCTTCCTTCCTTCCTTCCTTCTTTCCTTCCTTCCTTCCTTCCTTCCTTCCTTCCTTCCTTCCTTCCTTCCTTCCTTCCTTCCTCTCTCTCTCTCTTTCTTTCTTTCCTTCTTTTTTTTCTTAAAGCTCTTACTCTATCACCCAGTCTGGAGTGCAGTGGCATGGTAACGGCCCACCACAGCTTTATCTTCTCGGGCTCAAGCAATCCTCCCACCTCAGACTCCCGAGTAGTTGAGACTACAGGTATGCACCAGCACACGTGGTTATTTTTTTCTATTTTTTGTAGAGATGGGGTGTCTTGCTATGTTGCCTGGGCTGATCTTGAACTCCTGGGCTCAAGCGATCTTCCTGCCTCAGGCTTCGTAAGTGCTGGGATCATAGGCAAGAGCCATGGTGCCTGGCTCACATTTGGCATATCTATCATCAACAAGTCTTGTCACCTCTACTTCAAAAAGTGCCTTGAATTTGTTAATTCTCACTGTCTCCACTTCTATCATTTTGGTCCACACTATTATTATATCTGAGTGTTGTATTAATCTCCTAACATGTCTTCCTATTTCTGTTCTTGCATGCTTTCAATCAATTCTTCACACAGCAGCAGATTGTTTTCAAAATATAAATTTGGTCAATTAACCTGGTTTAAACCGTCCCATAGTTTGCTGTTACACTGAGAACATGGTAAGTCCTTACTAATGCTCACAAGGCTGTTTGTGATCTGGCCCCTGACCCACCTTTCTGATGTCATCTTTACCAGCCCTCCCTTACTCCAAGCTGGCTGAATTTGCTTCCTGCAGTGCACCAAGCTTGCTCTATCTTTTGGGTCTTTGTACTTGATCCTTATACAGCTTATTCCCTTATTTCATAGAAGAGATACCTTCCAATTCCGAGATCTCCCTTATCTAAAGTGAGGCCAAGGCTGCACATTTTATATTCTCTTACTTTCTGATATTTCCTCCATATTACTCATTTCTCTTGCTAGAATGTAAGCCTCCTGAGGTTAGAAATTTTATGTCTTGCTTATAGTAGCATCCCCAATGCTTACCTGAGAGATCCTCCGTACATATTTGTTCAATGAATTAATAAAATGTTATCACTAAAACTGATGTTAATATTCATGAAAAGAGATTACCTTACTGATGTTACCTCATTATTCATTGAAAACAAACATGAAACTATTCATGTGTTCATGTGCCACCTAAAACCATCTTGCCTAATTTTGAATGGCACTCCAGATGCAACACTTTGATTAGCACTATTTTCTATCCTGTGAACATTTCTACCCAGGGTTTGTTGGCCCTGATTGGTTCAATCAGGCATGGGTACCTGGCCAAAGGACAACCAATTTATTATGGTTTGATTATCAACCGGATTTGAAACTGACCAAAACATGCATTATTACCTAGTTAGGCTGAAGCTTGCTTTTGGGTATGGTGGAATACCTAGCAAATGACTATCATTACTGTCTTATTTATAATATTAGAAAACTTAAATTATCTTGAATGTCCAATATAAGAGGACTGGGTAAATACATAGAATGAGATGCTATATGGCCAGTAAAATGATTCGATTAAAGACTTTTGAAAGATATGCGTACTATATACTGTGTATTTTGAGTGAAAAAAATCAGAGAGCACAATTATTTATGCAGTATGACTTTAGTTTTATTAGTTTTTTCTTTTTGTATATATAGTTTCACAAAGAAAAAAAAACCTAAAATTTAAAAGGGCTTCTTTTTTCCTGGATGCTACCAATGAGGACTCTAGGAACATCCCATTGTAGGTGGTTTTATTGCTTCCATATAGTTTTATAAATAATTTCAAATTAATTTAATTAGAATAAAAATTATGTTATTTAGAAACTTTCCATAAAAAGAGCATGCTAAAATTTTATGCATTGTTTAAAACTAATTTATATTCTTGCATTATATGTGCATTGTATATAAAACTATATATAAAGTATTATATTATTATATATGGTTATGCAGTATATATTTATATCAAGTAACAGGTTAGAATGGATTGTATATATTATTTCTACACACACACATGATTTCATAGTTTAGTGAATTATTTGGCAACACTTGAGCTACTACTTCAGTTCAAATTCTGAAGAGTGTTTTATGGTGATTCCTTTAAATAATTGCCAAACATTTGCTTTTTTTCTAAAGAAACTACAATAAAGATAAATAAGTCTAAGTGCAATTATATCAATTTATGAGAATTAAAAAGTTAAAGTCCTATTGTTTAACAGTCAAACTGTGGAGTGATGAGAGCTTCATGGTAATATTATCATTCATTTTATAAATTCAAACATATTCTGGTTAGATTATAATGACCTCCTCTTTAACCTCTAGATACTGCATGCATATAAAGTAGAAAACTCAGCTGTTACACAGTAAGCCTCTAAGAGCAGTTTATTAGAATTCAAATATTAAGGCTGAGGACTGACAATTATGTGGAAGAACAGCCTAAAGATGATGTGTAAGAGCATAATAAACATAAATTTAAAGTTGAGAAGTGAAAGTAATGGGCTGAGTTTGTATTTAATTAGGAAGGCTTTCAGTTTCTCTAAAATCCAGGCTCAGCCATAATTCTTTTGTTCATTTATTTGACAGATATTTATAGAGCATCTGCTGTGCCAACTGCTAAGATTCCAGTGGTGAAAAAGAGAAATAACTCCTACCTTTTTGAAATAGACTGTATGCTAGTCAATAATTACACAATTTATCAGAAAATTATAATTATAATCCATATGAAGACACTGAAGTGGAGTAACATCCAGTCTGAGGTGAGATGTAGAGTCTCAAGGGATCTTTCCTTAGAGAGGAATATTTAAAGCTTCTCAACCCTATTGACCTAAAGCACTCTGGCAGGGGGTGAAATCTCTTTCTTTATAGCCTAGTTGGAAACTGATTGTACAATTAGACACTGACATGCTCAAAATTTCTTACTTCAATTTCCTTTATGCTATAGCACAGAATACTGAGTTGAAGAAGAGGAATGAGGACAAAGTCAGGGACTTGCCAACCAATGAGAAAGTCCCCAATGTCATGGCCCCAAAATGCCATTGATGCCTACTGACTGTTCTAAATAAACAAACAGAAACATTTCTAGGGGGAGATGCTGGGTGAAAGGACAGGGAGAAGGGGAAAGACTAAGGGTTTAGAAGAAAATCAGTTTCCATTGTTTTCAGACCCCTATTACGTGCCAGCAGTATTGCATGTATAATATCTAATATTTGCAAGAATTCTGAAGCACAGATATTGTCGCAATTTAAAGGTGAGGAAACAGGCCAAGAAACCTTGAAGGACTTGCTCAGGGTTACTTAGCAAGTACATTATAGATCTGTGATTAAAATTTAGGCCTTTCAAACTCTATACCTAGCATAATTTATATATTCTTCAGCACTAGTAGCAGAATATATACAAAGGTGAGAAATGAGGAGAATAACTACTGAAGGCCGTGCAGATGTATTATAATTATGCTAAAAATGCAAGAATTGAAAGTGCTAGCAAATAAAACCATCTAATGCGATCTCAATTTGGAACTGCCTAATTTGCTTTATTGCTGGGAACTCATAGCTCTTCCAACTGCAGTTTTTTTCTTCACTCCCCTTTACCTCAGTCCTTCCAGGAATTGGTTCACCAAGAAGCTTAATCTATTCTGTGATATGGGCCACTGTAGATTGACTTTTTGGTCTCAATTCTTCATTGTCCCATGACAGGTTTATCTTATTCCCTCTCTTGCCTTGCTCTCATGTGAGTGAAGTGTATTTTTCCTACTCTTTGACTTTGGGCTTAAACATATAACTTGCTTTGACTATTGGATGTTAGTGAAACAGAGACTAGAAATGTGCCTGAATGGTTCTGCTTGGCCTCCTGGGCTGAAGCATTCCACCATCAGAAGCACTTGCCCTGGATAGCAGGTTCCCCATCAGTCTAGCCTCAGAACAAAAACCTTGGAACAGACTTGAAGTGAACCTGCAGTCAAGAGCCAAGTCCAGCCAACCCACAGCTTGAAAGAGAGCCTCAATTAGCCAAACCATATCAGTTACAGATCCACAAGTGTAAGAATAAATGTTGTTGTAAGATGCTGAGTTTGGGGGATCATTTGTTATGCAGCTATATTGTGGCTCTAGGCAACTTATATAGCCATGATGTCCACATAAAATTACTGGAGACATACAAGAAGAAAAATACTTTATTATTTCTGAGTCATCCAAGACAGGAAAGCAATGAAGGGCTGTGACTAAGAGATTTGAATAGATGGCCTGAGCACATACGAAAGGACTGTTTCTGAATGCTTATTTGCTGGACTAGGGGAGCTTCAGAGTAAGTGGTGGAGGGGAGCCCTGCCAGTGTGAGAGCTCTTTCCCAGCCAGACTCTTAAGCTTAGCCCTAGGAGACAACCAGAAGCTGGCTGTCAGTAGAAATAAGTTAAGGAAGAAAGGATTAAGGCAATGGTTGTCTTGGCTCTCTGCTCTGCTGCCTTACAAATAAGATTAGTAAATTGCTAAACATAGTTTTTGTGTAACTAGTTGACTTCATTTCATTTCCCTACAGAATAGTGTATTCAGCCAAATAGGGCTTAGGCTTCATTGTATTTATCAGTATATACTTTGCTTATGAAGTAAGCTAGAGATTAAAGTCACTGGAACAAAGCACTAAAAATGAAAGTGCTTGAGGCAATTTTAGTCTCAGTCTAGATCATTGCCTGGTGAAGGATTTATCACAGAAATAACTAATTTAAAAATATGCAGGTGAGGTTTTACTGTAATATTTAATAAAAACACACATGGGGCTTATCATGAAGTATGCTAGTGTGATGTGTCTGTCACCCCTAAGGAATCTGGCATCAACATTAAAGCTCTGTTATATGATGCCAAAAACACTAATATGAAGTAGTTTACTTGAAGAGATATAACTACCTAATTTATAGAGTACACATCAGAAAACAGCACTTTAGCTCAAAAACATCCACATTTTATTTCCAGTTTTAAGTTATTTTCTGATAGACTTAAACCATTTTCTGATGGACTTCGTCACTTGGGTAACTCTCTTTTGTTGACTTCTTTAGTTTTTGTACTTCTTACATGGAAAATTGTACTAGAATTGTGAGGTTTTTTTTTTTTTGGCCACTTGAGCTACATGGTCTTAATCCATTCTTGCACTGCTATAAAGAAATACCTGAGTCTGGGCAACTTATAAAGAAAAGCAGTTTAATTAGCTCATGGTTCTGCAGGTTGCACAGGAAACACAGTGGCTTCTGCTTGGCTTCTGGGGAGGTCTCTGGAAACAATCATGATGGAAGGTGAAGGGGAAGCAGGCACGTCTTACATGGCTGGAGCAGGAGGAAGAGAGAGAGGGAGTAAGTACTACACACTTTTTCGGGGGTGGGAAGATGGAGTCTCACTCAGTTGCCCAGGCTGGAATGCAGTGGCACAATCTCCACTAACTGTGGAGGCTGTGAGGCTGGCTCACTGCAGCCTCCACCTCCTGGGTTCAAGCGATTCTCCTGTCTCAGCCTCCTGAGTAGCTGGAATTACAGGTGAGCACCACCATGCCCGGCTAATTTTTGTATTTTTAGTAGAGATGGGGTTTCACCATGTTGGCCGGGCTAGTCTCGAACTCCTACCCTCAAGTGATCCCCAACCATGGCCTCCCAAAGTTCTGGGATTTCAGGCGTGAGCCACCTTGCCCAGCCAACACACTTTTATTTTTTTTAATTTTTTTAATTTTTCTTTTTTGAGATGGAGTCTTGCTGTGTTGCCTAGGCTGGAGTGCAGTGGCACAATCTTGGCACACGGCAACCTCTGCCTCCTGGGTTCAAGCATGTGCCACTGTGCCTGGCTAATTTTTGTGTTTGTAGTAGAGATGGGGTTTCAACATTCTTGAACTCCTGACCTCGAGTGACCCACCTGCCTCGGCCTCCCAAAGTGCTGGGATTACAGGCGTGAGCCACCACGCTTGGCCTGCCAACACACTTTTAAACAACCAGATCTCACAAGTACTCACTCACAAGAACAGCACCCAAGGTGCTAAACTATTCATGAAGGATCAACCCCACGATCAAATCACCTCTCACCAGGCCCCTCCTCCAACACTGGGGATTACAATTCGACATGAGATATGGGTAAGGACAAATATCCAAACCACATCATATGTGATATTTATCTCATGGTTGTGAAATAAGGGATATTTTGCAGAAAAATTCCTTTATTATGAGCAGGTTAAGTTTTTAGATTTTAAGGTCGTATGCTGTATGACAATATATGCAGTCAACCAGTGCCATACATCCATTTGGAAAGATGAGGATAGAAGAAATAATTTCATCTTAAAAAGAAAAACAGGAACTTTGTCAGATTGCCTTCTTCCTAGTCCAAACTATGAGACTGCCTTTAAACAAAGTATTTGTTTATTGAGGTAATTAACTCCATCTAAGGCTCAAAATTTTACATCTAATATTCAGGACTATTATAGTACTTGCTTGTATTAGTTACCTACTACTGCTGTAACAGATGATCATAAACTGAGTGGCTTGAAACAACACACATTTATCTTTCAGTTTTGCATGTCAGAAACCTGATGTGGGTCTAAGTGGACTAAAATCAAGGTGTTGGCTGGACTGTCTTCCTTCTGGAGGGTCCAGAGGAAAATCTGTTTCCTTGCCTTTTCCAGCTTCTGGAGGCTGCCTAATTCTTCAGCTTGTGGCTTCCTTCTATCTTCAAATTTAGCAATAGCCAGCCGAGTCCTTCTCACATTGTGTTACTGTGACACTGACTATTCTGCCTCTCTCTTCCACATTTAAGAAACCTTCTGATTATATTGGGTCCATCCACATAATCCAGGATAATCTCGCCATTTTAAGACCAACTGATTAGCAATCTTACCTTCATCTGTTACCCTGTTACCCTGATCCCTAATTCCCCTTTGCCATATAACGTAACAGATTCACAGGTTTGGGGTTTAGAATTTGGACATCTTTTGGAGGCCATTATTCTGACTACCACACTCCCCTTGTATGGTTGTTATAAAAATTAAAAATGAGATAATGCATATATAAAACTGGCTACAGCAAGTATTCAGTAAGTGTTAGTTAATATTATTGTTGCTTTGTAAAGCCAGAGTTTCAGGTGTGTTACAGCAGATTGAATGCTCACCAATCACAAATACTACAACCCTTCACACTTAGATAAATATTCAAGGAGACTGGATTTTGAAAACTCCAAAATCTTACTAAGACTCTGCTGCTAGGCATTTGGAAATCTCAATATATGCCTAGTGCATAAAGGATGGGATCAGGTAATTGGGAAATGCTATGATTTGCAAAACATGGCCTTCATTGATAGGACAGTCATCTAGAAACAAATAGTTGTACGTTTTTCAGTGCCCAAAAGGATCAAGAAATAAAATGGTACTCAATCTAAGTTGGTGTTTGATAGCCACAGGAGACAGAGAAATTTCCCAAGTGATTAATGTACTTCCAAGTGGCCTGCTTGCTTTACATCAGGGCCTCTCCCAGTAGATAAAGAAGGTAGACTCCACTCACAGTAAAACATATCTTGATGGCTGGGATCCAGCCAAAGGCAACCCCAGACCCAACTGGGTAAACAGAATACACAATAGGAAACTAAAGTACAGGTTCAATACTGAACCATAGAGCAAATAAGCCAGATTCTGGGCTAAGAAAGCATCCTGGTGGATTCGTTCTGTATCTTGACCAAGGCTTCCAGAGAGAGTTGCCTGCAGGACCTCAGCATCTGTTGCCCTGTGCCACTTCAGATTTCTGCTCTCCCCATTCTGGTGCAGCATTCCTTGACCACCCCAGCTACAATTCAAGCCAGCCTCAATCCAGCTTGTGTCACTACTTTGGAAGGGGTAAGTCATAAACTGACAGCATCTACATGGGGCTAATTCTGAAGACTCATGAAATACAAGAGCTGCGGAGTCATGGCTTCTTTCACCTAGATTTTAAAAGATTTCTCAGACAGCCTTGGTGCTCAGACAGAGACTTGTCATGAGGCAGAGCCACTACAGAAAGTTCCACTAGGGCAATACCTCCTGGAGTCACGGAGGTCAGGTTGCTGTTGAGACTCCACAACTGTAGAGCCACCATCATGGAACTCCAGCCTGGGAGGGCTGCAGACAGGAGAATCCAACATGCAAAAGCTGCTGTGTGGGCTGTCCCCAGCATAGTCATAGGGGTGGGACTGCCCAAGGCCTTGGAAGCCCAACTCCTACCCGAGTGTGCACAAAGGACATTGAGTCAAAAAAGATGATTCTACTGCTTTAAGATTCAACATTGCTTACCCTGTTGGGTTTTTTACTTACCTGGGATCAGTTTCTCATTTCTTCTTGCCTACTTCTTCCTTTTGTAATGAAATGGCTATCCTATGCCTATCTCACCATTATGTTTTGCAATTATATAGCTTATTTTTATTTCACAGGCTCACAGCAGTAGAGGAATTTGCCTCAGGATGAATTGTGCCTTGAGTCTCACATATACCTGATTTAGACTCTGGACTTTTTCTGAGTTGATGCTAGAGCACATTAAGACTTTGAGGTTATTGGGATGGAATAAACATATTTTGCATGTGAGAAGAACATGAATTTTAAGGGCCAGGGGCTAAATGCTGTGGTTTGAATGTATCCCCCAAAAAGCATGTGCTGGAAAGTTAATTTCCAGTGCAACAGTGCTGGGAAGTGGGTCCTAATGACAGGTGATTAGGCCATGAGGGTTCTGCCCTCATAAACAGATTTATGCTGTTATTGTGGGAGTGGGTTCATTATAAAAGGGTGAGTTTAGTCCCCTTCCCTTGCTCTGTCTCTCACTCTCTCGTCGTCTCACCTTCTGCCATGAGGTGACACAGCAAGAAGGCCCTTTCAAGATGCCAACCCCTTGCCATTGGACTTCCCAGCCTTCAGAACTGTGAGAAATGTTTCTTTTTATTTAATTTATTACCCAGTGTCTGGTCTGCTGTTATGGTAGCACAAAACAAAGACAGTTATTAGTTTAGCAAATAGTTATAACCATTGTGCATATATTTGTATATGCTGTGGGGTCTAAGGGAAAAGTGGTGGAAAGAGTACAGGTTTCATTTATAGATCAATTGTATTTAAATTTCTTCTAAAAATTATGACTTGTGACCTGGCACAAGTTGCATACCTCTGTGAGCCTTAGGTTCTTTATCTATAAAATTATACACAAGATTGTAAGGATTAAATGACATAACATGCTAAAGCACCCAGAATGGCCTAGCACATAGTGGAAACTCAATAAATGATAAATGTATACCAATTTAGCATCTGAGGGTAAAGTTTCCTTTTTACTTTCCAACTACTTAACCAAGAATGAAGACCTTTGTCCTCGTGGAGAAGAAAGCACTCTTTGTAGAGCTATAGCAAGCTCTGTGAAGTGAGCCTCCAACTCCAAAGGTTCCCTGAACCTCCCTAAAGCCAACTCACAATATCACATTAGTATTCATCCTGTTTGAAATTCACCGAGCTTCCTGAGCCTTTGGATCAAATTAAAAAATTTGATCCACAGTTTTTAGTCAAATTTGAACATTCTTCAGCTAATATGTGTGTACAGATATAGATATACACATATTGAAATGCATTGTCTTTCTTCTTTGCTGAAACACTAATTATACACATTAGACTTGTACTGTCCCACAGATCCTTGAAGTTTTGTTAGATTTTTTCAAACTTTTTTCTCTCTCTTTGTTTAAGTTTGGATGTTTTTATTAAGTAGTCTTCACACTCATTAATCCATTATTTCTATTGTATCTAATCCATTGATAATCTTATTAAATGATTTTTAAATTTCGGATGTTAAATTGTTTTAGTTCTAGAATTTTCATTTGTTTTTGTTATTCTTTTCAGTTTACAAATCTCTCCCAGAATTTCTCCCCTTTTCATCAACTGAAACCATATTTGAAATAATTGTCATGATTATTTTAAGGTTCTTTTATGGACCAGCATTGTAGACCTATTTCTGTTAACCAACTTTATCGTTTTATGGACACATTTACTTGTTTCTTTACATTACCAATACTTTTTAATGGCATTTGGGATATCACAGATAATACATTGTAGAGGTTCTGGATTATACCATATTTCTTTAAAGGGTGTACTGGGAAACTTTTTCTATAAAGGGATATATGGTAAATATTTTAGGCCTTGTAGGCAACCTTTGGTTATTGGTATTTCTTCCCTTTCCCTTCCTCTTCCTTTTCTTCTTCCCCAACACTTCCTCTTTCTTTTCTTCTTCCTCTTCTCTTTCCTCCTCTCCTTCCTTCCTCCTCCTTCTCCACCCTTTAAGAATGTAAAAGTCTTCCTTATCTTGAGGGTCATACAAAAATAGGCCATGGGTTTTAGTTTGCTAACTCTCACACTAAATAGAGGTCGTTTTATTCTAGCAGATAGCTAAATTATAGGCAGATGATTTTGAACTTGTGGGGTTTGGTTTCACAATTTGCTAAGTTAAGCCTGTTTTAGTTTTGTCTCAAGTTGAAGAGCAAATAATCCCTTAGTCCTGGAATGTGGTCTTTACTTCATATGTGTAACCTTTCTGGAATTTCAATGGAAAACTCACAGTGTTTTCTAAGCCCCTCTAATTTGGTTGAACTTGAACTCTAAACTGTTTCTCTGCAGTAGGTAGCAGCTGAAATATATGATCGGTTTTTCATCCTTTCAATGTTTTTTCTGTGGTTTTCCTCCCGGCTTCCCTGGAGTTGCTCCCGTGCACAAGCAGTCAGCCAAGGATTTTAGGGGATATTATTATGCAACTTTTGAGGCTTCCCCTTCTGTGACTCCTCCATCTTCCCCTTCTGTGATTCCATTTCCTGGAAAGGAAATTCCTAATTTGACTTCAATAAGAAGGCAAGTTTCATTTTGTTTTAGTTCTATATTCTAAATATTGCGGGGACCAGAGAGGGCCTCTGGGGAAAAACTATAAAACCCATGTGACTCTCTAATTTCAAGGATTAATTCACCACTAGTTTCTGTCTGCTTTTGATCACTCTTTAGTGCCTTTAAATTTTTGTTTTTAAAATACTTTGTACACAATTTATAATTGTTTTCTGAGGATGGGTTCATCTGATACAAGATATTCTGTTATTGTCATACTGGAAGTCACTGCAATCATAACATTTGAAATTCCATTACAATTTTACAAAGAAAGAATAAAAACTATATACTGAAAGAAGCAGGAATGATGATCAAGGGGTTTAGACAGAGTGTTACCTGGTCTGAACTGTGTTTTAGATTCATCTGTCTGGTGGAAGAGTGAATGATAATTTAAAAGAAAAGTGAGAATTCAATGCAGAGAGTCCAGTTAGGGGAATATTGCAATAATTCAGCTGAGTGATATCAAGGGCTAGGAGGTAGATCTATATGACAAAATTTGGACTTGAGCAATATTTAGGAATTACAATTGACTGAATCCAGAGATTGACTAGATGACAGGGGTGAGGTCTAGCATGCTTCCCAGATTTTGTTTTGGTGCCTAGTAGCTAGGGGGAACCATCAAGGACACAGGGAACATAGGAGGGTAAACAAGTTTAGGGGCAGAAAAGGTGAGAAATTTGTATTGTGTCACACATACACATCCAGGATAGATCTATAAATAAGACAGATGCCAAACTCTTTACTCAGCATAGATTTGCTTTGAATATTTTTAGAAAAAATGAAACAAAACTGTAAACAGTATTTCATAATAATATATTGATTACCAGGGCTTCACATTCATTATCATTTCCCCTAGTACTGTTGGGTTTCTAAAATATATTCCTGGCATATTAATACTGATCAGGACATAATTCAAACATTCATTTTTAATATTTTTGTTTCCTTCCATCCCCTGTAACATTCATTATACGATGAAGTAAGATTGGTCTGATAGGAATTGTTGGTATGGGACCATTTTTCAGTATCTTTCTCTTATCAATAACTTGTACAGATACAGAACATATATTACATATTTTTTAAAGCACCACATAATAAACATTGACAACCCTCCTATGCCATGAATAGATTAATATTCTATGTTCTTTTGGTAATTCTTAAGATAGAATCTAGCTATGTAAATCCATTAAGTTTTTTGTTTGTTTCAATTATTATTACATAAAATACATAAATTGTGCATACCTCTTAGAAAATATATGTCGCATAGAGTATATTCTTTTTGCTGTATAATTCAAACTACTTTGCACTCAAATTTTCTCAATCTGAACTTTTTCAAATTATGCTAAGGAATTTAATATTTATACACAGATCTTTTATAGAATGTTAAATATATAAACCTTGGATTTCTTCCTACTTGTGGGGGTGGCTAACTAAACTCTGAATGAAGATGGTTATTTCACAAAAAATACTGTGAATTGAGCTTACAGCTAGAGGTGACTTAAAAAATTAAATGGCTTCTCAGCACTGAAAGACTAGTTAATACTAATAAAATCATTGAACAAGAAAGACTCTGAATCATTTATTTTTTAGTCTTTGATAAAAACAAAGCTCTATGCTTAAATTCCTGGAATCATATTTGTTTTGTTTTGTTTTGAGACAGCATCTCGCTCTGTTGCCCAGGCTGGAGTGCAGTTGCACCATCATGGCTCACTGCAGTCTCAATCTCCCCGGCTTAAGTGATCCTCCCACCTCAGCTTTCCAAGTATCTGGGACTACAGGTGCATGCCACTATGCCTGGCTAGCTTTATATTTTTTTGTAGAGACAGGGTTGCACCATGTTGCCCAGGCTGGTCTCAAACTCCTGGGCTCAAGTGATCTACCCATTTTGGCCTCCCAAAGTGCTGGGATTACAGGTGTGAGCCACCAGGCCCAGCGTGGATTATATTTTTGGTTTTTAATAAATACCCTTACTTTCAGGCTATCATCTTAATTCCTCGTATCCATTGACCAGCTTCCTTTTTTTTCTTTCCCCTTTGCATTCAATCAATCTACGGTAATTGACCCTTTAGCAATGTCCTGATTCCCTCCAGTCCTCCCTGTGTCCTCAGCTACTATCCTAGTCCAAATTGCAACTACTTTTCATAGCCTCTTACCTGGTCTCCTTACATCCTAACTCGCCCCTAATTCATTGGTCACATTGTTGCCAGTGGTGTCCTTTCCAAACTTAAAGTGTAATAATTATAAAATAAAAAAAAAGAAGACCTTCAATGGCTATTTTCCTTAGGAAAAAAAATTACAAATTCCTTAATATGGCTTGCAATTTTCACCCCAATATGACCTTGTGTTTCATACTCATCTCATATCCCCTTCACCCTGTCCATTTGAATTTCAACCATTCTAAGTTTCTGTCAGTTCCATGTTGTTCCACCATGCTCTCATTTGCACTAGTAAATGAATGCTTTCGTGAGTACTTCAAACCTCCTTCTACCTCTATTCCTTCTTTTCATGACTAATTCCAACTCACTCACCCTTCAGGCACTTTTGAGGTGGCACTTCTTCCAGAAGTCCTTTTCTTTACTTTTCCTTGATACTAGAATATCCTGAATTTCCTCTGTCATAATATAACCCAAACTTTGTCATAACTTCTTCTCTAATTAGCTGACTGATTCCATACTGCAAGCTCCATAGGAGCAGAAACAGCGTCTTACCGTCTCTGGTTATCTAGCATTTAGTAGATTCTCAATAAATATTGTATGCAAATTGTCCCCTCTTTTAAAAAATCTCTTGAAGACAAACCTTTTACTATTCTACCAGATTTAAAGACTTAGATTCAGAAATTAGATTCTTAGACTTAACTTGAATCCCATTTGTACTGATTTGAGCCTCATCTGAATCTCCCTGGTTTCAGTGGGAAAAGGGGAGCCTCCTGACATCCCACCATCATTATCTCTTTTAATTATATCTAAAGAGGCTGAAAAATTTGGGGAATGTTTGCCAAGTGAGAGTATGTAGACTATTTTTCCTCAATGGACAATTGATCAGCATCTTTCAAAAATGTCCATTGAGAATTATGACTTGGTTAAAATGCCAAGTCATGGTCGACTAGGCTGAGATCCATACACACCAACTTGTGTCTGTAGTGAAAAATCAGAAAGAATCCCACTTAAAATTCAACACTGAAAGCAACTTTGAAAACAGCAGCTGAATGAGAGCAGGGTTTATTCATTCTGAAAGCCACAGTGGTATCCCAACACTTTCACTCATGGTGATTCAGGCAAGAAGCCTAGTGGATTTGACGTTAGCCACATGAAAGTGTCATCACAGCTCTGCTTCTTGTGGTAGGGGCTAAAAAAGAGCAATTCAAAACAGAAATAGAAATAACAAGAGCAATAGAAATATGGTTGATGAAGCCTGCGTGGCTGAGATGGAAAACTTGCATTTGCAGCTACAAATTTAGAACGGTTGCAAAGTACACAAAACTCTTCACTCTTAGATTATCCTGTTACCAGGAATTGACTAGACAGGTATAGAGCAGTGTGGGGTATAGAAACAATAAACAACAAGGGTTAGAAATATAAAAATTCAGGACACAAGTGAAGGGCAAATCCAGACTAGTACTGACACAGATCCCTACTGTGGCCACAGCTGCTTAAGAACATCACCTACACATTTGAAAAAGAATTGATTGTTAATATCGGAGCACATAGCAGTTATATTTTATAACTTCTTTTTAATTTGTTATATATTTGTATGCTTGAGAGACTCTTAAAACAACTCAAAGACTCTTATGAAAAGATTTCCAATGGTCTTGAAGAAAATTGGAAACGCCAGTCGGTCATCAATTTATTATGTTCATTACATTTAGATATTCCTGAAACTTCCTGAGATTGATGAACTGTTTCAATTTTCTTTCAGATTTTGTATTTAAATTGATCGTCTTTCAAGTATTTCACATAGATGGGTATGTTTAGCCTCTGTACTCCAAACCAGTTGCCAATAAAACATGAAAACAAGGACAGATTTGAAAACTGGATGTGGAAATAAAACTCTAAAAGTGATAGTCCCGGTTCCCATATTCCATCCCCACCCCAACCGCTGCCACAGTCTAATTCCCGCACCATCTTTCTGATAGGTAGCGGTAAATGGAATCCAAGTTAAAAATTTAGGAAAATGTAAGCATGTTTTTGTTTTATTCATAGCCCTCCCACTACTCAAAAAAAGTGAAACCTCTAAATAATTAAGACAATGTGCTGCATTTTTTCCTGCTGATGGACAACATTAATTCCTTATGATAGAATAAAAAGTCTGAAGTATTTTAGGGGAAATTCTCCATAAGCTTTTAAATAAAGTGTTTGTCAATGAAACCTTACCTCTAAAAGTTTGTTTCCTCTAATGAAGGGGCATAATACTGCTCTGTACAAGAAAATGCTAGCATATATATACATATATATATATACACATACATACACATACGCAATACATATACATATACATATGCATATACATATGTAGTAGCTTGTTGAATGAGCATCCTTTAAGACAGTGAAAAAGATGGCTATCTGCTTGGGAAAATAGAGCATTTAGGATGCATGATATATAGATATAGATATTGTGTAATATATTATATATTATATATGTCATATAATATAAATAATATATATTATATAAAATACATTATGCATAATTAAATATTATATATCTATATATGTATTTATATGGACATATCTATATATCTATGTATATTATATCAATATAAACATATTGATATATATAAATATGTTGATATATATAAATATGTTGATATATATAAATATGTTGATACAAATACACATGCATGTATATATATATTTAAACAGATTCTCAGGGTCCTAGTAATGGTGATGGCTGACAGACATCTTGAATGGACACAATCATCCCTCTGAACCTATCTAGAGGTGACATCCAGCCTTACCTCCCTGAAGTACAAACAAGTGCCTTTCAGGGTTAGAGACTAGTGCAGAAGGGAGTCCTGTGGCTAGAAATGAAGGTGCTCTGTCAGCTTTTTACAGGTAAGGAATGCTTGGTCCTTGTTTTCAGCAGATTTCCCTCCACCATGGTGACTGCCTGGATAGAGAATAGCTGAAAGCATGCGAATTAACCAAAGAGCAACTGCTGCCCTTGATGTTCAAGTAAGCTTTTCTAAGATACGCTTCCTATCACTCAGTACTAACCCACTCAAAGTGGATTCAAAATATTTTCTCCACAATTGGTTGTTCTAGAGCTTTATTTTAGCTATCATATTTTATATAGCTTTCATGTCTGATTTTAGTAGTTCTCTTGAAGAAAGGTATACAATTTAGAGATCACATTAAAGGAAAGACTTTTACCTGGGTATTGGAAGGGGAAATGTATCCAAAGAAACAAGAAGGGGATAAATATTTATGCTTCATTTACTGATGTCTAATCATGTGTCTGTGGAGCAGAAACCTGAGATTCCTGATATTTGGCTTATGAGCTTTGGGTTCCCCAGTGGAAATCTCATACAGCAATTTTTTAAAAAAGGTTTGGATCAGAGATCCCTTATGAAAAGTTGATAAGTATAATAAACCCTCTCCCCAGAAAAAAAGGGGATCCCTTAAAATTCACTGGTGGGCCCTAATTTAGAAATCTATTCTATCAAGTGTAAAGGAAATAAAATGGTATAGTTAAATCTTGGTAGCATAGTTATTCTTTCTTGTCCAAGCACGATAATCTAGGTTGAGCTTCTGCAAATATGAACTTCTATAATAATCGATCTGGCCTGCTATAACAAAATACCCTATACCGGGTGGCTTAAATAACAGAAATGTATTTTCTCACAGTTCTGGAGGGTGGTAGTTCAAGATCAGGGTGCCAGTACATCCTGTTTCCTCCTGGCTTGTGGAAGGTGCCTTCTTGCTATGTCCTCACAGTGGGGAAGATCGGAGAACTGAAGCAACACAGTAAAGGCAAGTAAGGGCAAGCAGCCCTTTGTAAAACTTGTTGATGTGATTTTTTTTGCCTCTTGCAGAAATACATTGAGAAAACCTGCTTCTTTAAATCCAGACTTTGACAAAGTTTATAAACAAAAGCCAAGAACTATCTGTGATTAGTAATAAGGTCCCTGAATTAAAAGAGGATGACCTATCACAGATTAGACTGTGTAGACAGGAAAACACTAGATTATGCAAGAGAGGGAACAGATGAGTCTAGAACTATTTTCTTGGCCTCAGTGGTCAAGATTTATCAGCTCTTTCTTAGGGAGGCATGTGTAGACATATCTTTTAGAGTTAACTGAGTGAAAGAATAAATGATAAACCATTTTTGGATTTTATTTTATTTTTCATTTTTTATTTTTGAGATGGAGTCTCTCTGTCACCCAGGCTGGAGTGCAGTGGCGCAATGTTGGCTCACTGCAACCTCCGCTTTCCAGGTTCAAGCGATTCTCCTGCCTCAGCCTCCCAAATAGCTGGGATTACAGATGTGTACCACCATGCCTGGCTAATTTTTGTATTTTTAGTAGAGACGGGGTTTCACCATACTGGCCAGCTGGTCTCAAACTCCTGACCTCAAGTGATCTGCCTGCCTTGGCCTCCCAAAGTGCTGGGATTACAGGCATGAGCCACTGCACCTGGCCTTGGATTTTATTTATAATGTAAATGTTTTCTCATTTTTTTACTGCTCTTTTTTTGTTGCCATCAAAAAGTTTTTAAGTTAATAAACAATTTTAGTAGTCACATAAGTGTGCTGAGGTTAGGTAGACCAGAATGGAATATGAGAATTATGACTCAGGTTTCTTGAGTAGGTAAAAATTTGTTAGGAGTACCTCCAATAAATATCTGTCTTTAAAAGTCTAATTTATTTCCAAGCTATAGGTTGCATTTAGAAGACTGGGACTCCAATTCTGGGCTCTCTCTCTCTCCCTCTCTTAACTTCCCAGTGCCTAATTCTCCACAGCACAGGAACACTTATATATTTCTGGGACAAAGGCAAATATATGCAGGCTCCTCAGGTTAACACTGGAATGAGATCTCCTGACAGGAAAAAGGAAGCCAACGTGTTTTAGCAATCGCTTTTCCATAATAAACTGTAATGCTTTTGCAGAAGGTGGGTCCTGACACAAGGCTTTTTGAGGATTAAGTAGATTTTAGTCATCAAGCTTGATTCCAGCTAGGGCTTTGATATGTTTTCTTTATGTCAGATAATATATGTTTTTTTTTTAAAGAAGTATGATTTCTCTAGGGCAGATGTTTGATGGAAATTTATGGGCAAATTAGATCATCACTGAACTGATTTATTCTCTTGGTGTGTAACATTTAAATATTGATTGTGAGAGTCTCTGCCTTCAAAGAACTTATAGGCTAGTTATTGAGACACACAGCAAATTACAATATAATGTTGAAAATGCTATCAGTGCAATGGGAATCCATAGCAAGGGGTGCCTCAGTAAGATACTTGGGGGTAGGGGATAGGAAGACTGCAGCTTGGGCAGCATCTGTGTTGTCCCGGTAAAGGGAAAGTTATTAGTAGGTGAAGGACCTTAAGAGTGAAGCTAACACAGCCTTGGTGCTGAGGTGAAGGGTGCACACAACTAATACCTAATGATATGTGATAAGAAGCGCAGTGAGAAGTGTGGATCAGATTAGATACCTGGAAAATAGTGGAGAACCAGAAATTATTGAAAGATTACTGTTGATCCCAGTGCTCTTCAGTATAGCTTCAATGCACTTTCAAGGAGATCAGTGTGCACATCAACTTCCTTCGTTTGCCTGCACAGAGACTTTCATCTGAGTGGGCCAAAGTTAGACTCAACCATTCAGGGCCTGAGATTCATTTCTTAAGACCAGTGCTGTTCAAGAGAAATATAATATAATGCATGCCATGTGAGCTACATATGCAATTTTTTTTTACCAGTCACATTAGAAAAATAAAAAGAAACAGGTGAAATTAATTTTACTAATATACTTCAACTCAATAGATCAAAATATCTCAACAAGTAATCAACATAAAAATTGAGATGTTTTGCTTTTTGATACTGATATATTTTATATATATGTAGATATATATATAGGTATTTATACTGTCTCCTAAATCCAGTGTGAAGTTTTACACTCACAGCACATCTCAATTCAGATTATTCACACTTCAGATACACAATAGCAACATGTGGCTGGGGGTTACTGACAAATTAAAGCTACCCAGACCACTCCCTGCACAAGAGTATAACTGTGTTTTGGTTCATCTCTTCACCAGTTAAGGATGCCGAATCCTATGATGTCCTAGAAATCATTCTGTTACTCAGGCATTTACTCATTCATTCATGCCCTTGTTCTTAGAACAAACATTTATTGAGCACCTCCTATATGTGAAATACTTCACTGTGAGAAGGGGAACATTGACCATAAAAATGAATAATACCATCTAGTATCAGAAAGAGAGGCGGAAACAAATATTCACAAGATGTTATGACAACAGTAATAAGTGGAGCAGTGAAGCAGTGATTGTCCATGGAATAGGAAGTGGATATGCCAGAGTTTATGCTGGGGTAGGGGTGGGGAAGGGGAGTTGTGGGTGTTTCAAATTAAACTCATACCCTGGAAATTTCAACCTCACAAGAGAGAACCATTGTTGCCTCACCCATAGAAAGCCCCTTCTCATATAAAACCCCACTGAGACAGCATTACTGATAGGATCATGCCAAATCCCAGGGGTGCTAATGTGCAAAGAAGGTTGCAGGACATTGAATTAAGAGGATATGCAAATTTCTATGGGACACTGGGGGGATTCTGAAGGACTTCATTGAAAAGGTGGTATTTTTGTTGCATTTTGAAGGATAAGTTTATCAATTTAAAGAAGAGCATTCTAGGAAGAGGATACAAAGAATACAATGTGCAAAGGCACGTAAGTGGGGAAGGAGGAAATGTATTATGTTTAGTAAACAATAAAGATTCATATAACTGCATCGTAGGGTGGTGTGTGTGTGTGTGTGTGTGTGTGTATGTGTGTAAAGTGGGTTAGACATGTTTGATAATATAGTTTGGGACTATATTTTGATGAGTAATGTGTACTCCATTAAAAAGTTCTCACCCTGTGTTTTAGGGAATTAACATTATTTCTCCCCACAATCAATACTTTCTTCATAGTCAAATTCAAATTTCAGGAAAATCCTTGATTAGAATTATATCTCTTTGGCTTCTCTTCTACCCCTATCTCTTTTTTTCTGGACAACTGAATTTTCAGACATTAATATGAACCAGTGACTGAAAAACATTTCCTCTGTCAACTAATTTATCTTCTTACTGAATGAATAATCAAATTCAATTGGATTAAACAAGCTGTAATACCACTGTCAAAAGCCATTAGCAATATAAGAGCTTCAAGCCATAAAGAACTATTTTTGTATATCTTAGAGTTTTCTTCATGAAAGGAAAAACTCAAACTAAAGGAAATAATGTGTGTCATTACAAGCTCTGAGTCCTTTAGGGTCTTCTCATCAGCTCTGTGGTTTATTTATTTTTTCTTTTCTTTTTGTCAAGATTAAGAGTAGTGCTGTCTACTTGATTATCTCAAAAGTACAATGTTTTCTTGGCAGGATTAAAAACCTGGATGTATCAAAGCTTGCACATTATTCGAATTTTGAAATAAAAAACAATGAGGGGACATAATGAAAACCAAGGAGGAGGGGTGGGGAACTTGATACCCCCTTCTTCCTTTTGAGAGATCATTTTATCCACTTCCTGGAGCTATTGTACCTTCCCTGAAAGAATGACACCTTACATTTCCTAAATTTGTATCTCGGCCAATTTCCTGCAGATATACAGGTAGAGAGGTTGGCTACTGTAATTGACAAGATGTCAGTGACTCATGGGACTGTCAGGAATACAAAACATTGGCAAAGCTACATAAAAACTGTAAATGAGCCATAAATGGACCTACACTTAAACAATCCTACTGCCACTTTCAACTGATCATTTTTCTTTAAAAAATACTATTGCAGACTAAAGCGATGCATGATGTGTTCTATTTAATAACTTTACTAAAATCCCAAGAAACCAGAGGCTACTTACGCCTGCCTGGTGCATTTTCCAATATACATACCATCACTGCTACAATGGTCAATCAAGCCAGATAGACAAAATGAAATATAAACCCTGATATGGCTTGGCTCTATATCCCCACCCAGATCTCATGTCGAATTGTAATTCCCAGTGTTTGGGGAGGGACCTGGTGGGAGGTGATTGGATCATGGGGATGGATTTCCTCCTTGCTGTTATCATGATAGCGAGTGAGTTCTCATAAGACCCGTTTGTTTAAAACTATGTAGCACTTCCCCTTTCCTGCTCTCTCTCCTACTCCTCCATGTAGCACATACTTGCTTCCCCTTCACCCTTCCGCCATGATTGTAGGTTTCTTGAGGCCTCCCAACCATGCTGCCTGTACAACCTGCAGAACTGTGAGTCAATTAAACCTGTTTTCTTCATAAATTACCCAGTATCATGTAGTTCTTTATAGCAGTGTGAGAATGGACTAATACAAACCCATACCACATTTTCCCTTCTCTTTTGAACCTGATCATCTCAGTCACATGATGATCCTGGGTTGAAGTAAATGAAAGTAGAAAAAAATACATAAGAGAGTTTTACTGCCTCATAAGACTTCATTTCAAAAACTGCTAGAGGGCAATATTAAGAATAACAAGGGTGTATCAATCAGGCACTCTTGCTCTCCAGTGCCTCTGAAAGATTTTCTCTCTTGTGAAGTTTAGGCATAAGGATGTGAACTCTAGCCTTAACTGAATCCTCTTGTATTAGAGATTTGGGTAAATCCCTCAAGTTTAATCTTGACCTTTGTTTGGAAAATAAATGGTGGGTCTCCAGTGACAACTTCTGAGAGCTCAGTTTACAAGGAGCTCTGTCAAGGATCCTTAAACACTACACATTTATTTCTTGTGAGAAAATGCTTTAACTCATTGAAGCACAGGGGAAATAAGTTGTTGATAGACCTTCTTCTTCCAAACTGTGTCATGGCAACAACCCTAGACAGGAATCTTGCTTAAACAGCTCTGTTTATCTTCCCTGCCCTGCTCAGCACTGGAATCTTGAGCATAATGGTCAGTTAGAATTTTTCTGACTTGGCTTCTCATCTTTGATGCCTAAAGGGACCTCCTATACTCTAGACTTTATGAACAATACAAGAGTTTTAGTTGAAATAATTGAAACTGGACATTGGGATGGAAACTGTATAGAAGTTATCGTACCTTAAGCATAATTATTTATAAACTCTAAATAAAATAATTGTAGGTATCTGTCAAAATTTCTAACCCTTCCTTTCCAACAGTTAGCCAAGTGTGTGTCCAGTTTGGTTTCACTTGGGATTCTTTTCCTTTGTTATCTATAGCCCATTTATCTCCATAATTCTTGCTGTCCCCAACTGACCTTCATTAAAATGGTCATTTCTTTTTATACCTGTTTGTTAGCAACAGCAAAAAAAAAGAAATCTTGGTTATTGAATTATTTTACTTAGATCTTGAAGTGTATTGAAGGAAGGTGGTGGTCCCTCACACTGTTGGCCTCAAGACCCCTCCAGAATGATTTGCCTTTCTGTCTCTCTGGATCTACTGTTTTTTGCCACTCTTGGGCATCATCTGACTGCTATCTTCCATTCAGTCTGTTCTGTCTGCAATCTCCGTAATAGTAGAACTAGGCGGAATTGTTAATTCTGTTCCCTTTGGAAGGAAGAAAAACTTCCAGACTGAGTTTGAATTGAAAAGTGGATCTTGTACTTGGTAGAGAAATGGACGCCAAGATGGCTTCTATGTAAATACTATCAAATTTCTTCCTGCACTGCTGGGGATATTCAGGGCTATTATTTTTTAAAAAATCATATGTGACATCTGCAGTGTCACAAAGCATTTTAAAGAACATCCAGACATACTCCCCAGAAGCTCTTAAAATGTATAAAAGAATTTAATAGACATATTCTGATACTTTAAGAAGAAATGCATGGAGCATGAAATCCAGCAAACTTCAATAATCAATCAACACAAATACATTTATTGAACACCTGTATCATACTTCCATTGACTTGCCTATATCCTATTAGCAATGATGGATTATATACAAAGAATTATTTTTGCTGTTTGTCATATCATCATTTGTCATATAAGGTGATTTTCATGCAGTTCATGCACACTTTAAAAATGCTTACTATTCAGGTTCTGTCAGATAAATATGGCACAATAAAGAAAACATTTAGAACACTGATAGCAGAGCATATATTTTTAAGATAAATTAGAAGCAAGTGTGTGTGAGTGTATACCTTTTAATCAAGAAGGCCTTGATGTTTCCCTCAGCTTGACTAAACTTGACAGGCTTCTCTCAGATTCTGAGCCCCTGACTTCTTTTTTTCCTAGAGCATTTACAAAAGAAAAAATTGTAATTGTAAATCCTTTCTCTGCCCCTTTGAGATGTAAATATTTTTAAAAGCCTCTTGCCTGTTGTACTACTCAGGGAAGTCTTTCTCAAGTTGCTGGGAGCCAACCCTTTGAAATGTAATCATCATGAAAAATAGCACCCCTGTCTACCAGTCTCTAAGGGAGAGTAGGAGCCTAACTTCAATGGGTGCCAATTAGCCAGCAGAGATGACCTAATCACAGAGAAAAGTATTTTGCAAACTCAGTGTGCTTCACACAACCCAGTGATCAACCTGCCCCCATCCTCCAGTGTTCTCTAGTTCCCTTCCACTAGCTCATACCAGTCCCTAAAGTTCCTCCCACCCCTTGTTATAGTGGAGTTGAGCAGGCTGATTTCTGGCCTCTCTCTCCTATTGTAATTGTCTTGAATAGCATTTGTCCTTGCTGCTTAACTTTGTCGGATGCAATTTTTGCTTTCACAATATGTATGTATACTCACCTTCATATAGCTAACATACAGCTACAGATTGAAAGCCACTCGGAAAAAACAAAAAAAATTAATGCCTCATAATATTATAGTCTCTAAAGGGTTCAGGTTTATGTATGCATTCTGGGGTACATATTTTATGAGAACATATACCACTATTTTGTTTTTAATTCTTGTGTTGCCTTTCTATCTCACTTGTCTATTTTCCCACAGCATTTATCATTACCAACATACTATGTATTTAACTTATTTATTTGTTATTTTCTATCTTCTCTGCCTAGAATGAAGCTCCATGGGAGCAGGGATTTTTATGTGTTTTGTCCACTGCTGTATCTTCAGTGCCTAGCTCATGGAGTTGCTCAATAACTATCAGTTGAATAAATGAATGAATTAGCTATTAGTACTTTTGTTATTGTTAGTATTAGCTTCTGTTTTGTCTAGGAATTCTAAAAGCTAACCCAAGATTGAGCCAGAAGGCTGCAGACTGCTTCAGAGTGGGCTCTTTTCAGGGTTATTTTATACAGTCACACTCTGGTATGTTGTCATCAGCCTATACTGAGGGAAAAATGCATGTATTGCTAGAATATTATTGAGGACATTATTCATTATTTTTGTGATGTCCTCTCTGTGCAGACCAATAGTGAAATTTCTCTCTGCTGTCAGTTTCAGAATGTTTCAGGCCATTGGTTCATTTTCAATTTGTGGATACTAGAACTCCAGTAGCTGATGGTGTTTTCTTCCTTGTGTCAGCTGCCAGAAAGCATAGAACAAAATGTGTGTTCTATCGCTAGCAAGGATGGCATTTACGCTATGCACTGATCTTGTCCTTACCTGTTTGCTTTGCAACTTTTCTTTTCCCTTTGCCTTACTTTAGTTAATTATCTTAAATTCATGTTATATTTGTCTCGTGTCTTCAAAAGTCCTTTTTTTGAGATGTAAAAGTTGATCTAAATTTTAGTAACATTAAAGTTTGTAAGCTTTTTATTAACAAAATTACTCTAATGGTGATAATAGTAACAATTTAGTATTTAGAAATGCTTTCCTAGATATAATGTATTCAGTTCTTACACAAGTAATGAGAGACAGGCAGCTTAGGAATTGTATTTTCATATAGTAGCTGGGGAAACTGAGGCATAGAATGATCATGTGATTTATCCAAATTTAAATGGTTAACTAAACTGAGGAAGCCAGAGAGAATCCAGACCTTTGAATTGTTCCTCCAAATATCTCACCTCTGGTTGATATTCCTTCACTTGGTTCAACTTTTCTGGTTAGATAAACATTTTTCACATTATGTCTGGCTTAGCAGTACTTCCGTTGGATGACATGTAACTTCCATTTTTGCCATGGAATTGCATCATTTATGAGTATTTAACTTAGAGATAGACTTGAGAATTAAATTCAACTGCAGAAACAGAATAGGGCCTGAGCTCTGTAGTCAAGACTGTCTGCGTTCAAATCCTAGATCTGCTAATTACTAGCTGTAGAAGCCTATGAAAGATGCTCAACATTTCTGTGCCCTAGTTTCTCATATCATCTATAAAACGGAAATGAAGATACTAAGAATACCTATGTCATTGGATTGTTTGGAGAAGACAATGAAAGGATACATTTAAAGCTCCTAGAACAGCACTGGGAACATAGTAGGCACTGAATAATTGTTAACTGTTTTCTTAGGCTAGGTCCCAGGGAAATGAGCCAAACCTCAGCTTGTGTGCTAAAATATAAGACAGTTATTTGCAACTGTGATTCCAGGGAAGCAAGAGAGAAGAATAAAAGAGAAATGAGGTTGGGATAAAAGTAAAGAAAATGCAAGGTAGTATGTTTTTAAGCTGGCCATAATGTCATAAGAAAACAAAGATGAATGCTTAATCTTGTGGGACTTCATCTATGTAGGCTATACTGAACCACTGCATTCAGGGACAGTCCATTGAGGACAAAGGAGTAGAAGATATATATATTGTCTGCTTAATCCTTCTTATCTTCTGTTTCTCATTTATCAAAGTTCAGTCCATGGAACATTAACTCTCCTCTACTTCTAGCAGGTTGTGATACCTGGCCAGATCTCATGTCCTCAGATGTAGCATAGCCTCATCAGAGCTCAGAAGTATAAAGAACCAAAGACTTTGTAAGTTTGGCTGCCTGGGATGAGCATCAGAGCTGCTGCAATTTCTGCCATGGGGAGTGCAGTAAAGGCTGAATATGAACCTATATCTCATCCCAGGGGAGCTGAAACAGTTGCTAGTGTTAAGAGGTACAGGGGTGTTGAAGGTGGCTGGGACTCTTCTTTAAGAAAGTGGCTAAAGTCCAGGGACTGGCGAGGCTAAGAAAATCTAGGTAAGTACTAAATTAGGTCCATTACTACCATTACCTCCTGAAATCTTCTGTAGCAGACACAGACACGCACTGTTCAGATGTCCCTTCAAGAAGGGACTTGCTGCTATGATGAACTCCATTAGCTGAAGGCCATCAGCTATGATCACCTTCACAGTCCATCTTAGTTCTCAAGTAAAAGGAAAACCCATCTGGGGGAACTCTGGAATAAGCAAGGTGTTGGCGGCCAAGGTTTTATACTTCTCAGGATAGCTCTGGCCAAAAATTGAGCAAGGCAGTGGTAGCAAGGACTTAGCCTTTTCCACCAAGCTCTTGATAACATTACCAAGCAAATCTTGCTCTACAGCCCCGCTTCGGCCTAGACCTTGTCAGCCTGCAACAGGTTTGATGGCTATCTCTGCCCAATCCTGCCTTCTTTTCTTTCATTTCACCTCCCAGTAAATAAACCTTTCACATTTCTTGATACATCACAGGGTCTGCTTTCCAGGGAAGCCAATCCCAACACTTCCCTAAAGCAAACACATATATTAATAGATATTAATTATATGAAGGCTAAATCCTAAAATAGAAAGGAGGAAATACTTTAGTCAAGCAGAAGCTACTCGGGAAAATTTTAATACAAATGAATAGTCATCAGTGTATATTTACTATACAAAAGGGCCAACCATAGGTTCTTATTAGATACCAATAATGTATTCAAAATTACCCCAAAATTAATTTTAAAAAGCTTAGAAAATATGACTATGAGGAAACAAAATTTTTCTTATTGTAAATTATATAATATTAACAAGAACTGCCTTTTTGAAGACCTATGTGCTAGGTATTGTGGTAATCATATTATATATACTTTCTTGTTTAATCTTTGCAGTAACTGTGCTATTTTCTCTTGGTTTAGACAATAAAATCAAGGCATAGAAACTAAGAAAATTTTCAAAGATCTGACAGAGGCAGGATTTAGATCTAGATAAGATCTAGGAAGCTCAGATTCTTCACCATTACTTTATAATAACAGCTTGCAAATGCCAATGTTGTACATGCACCAGGCTGAACACTACATGTACTATTTAATCCTCACAATAGCCCCTTAGAGCAAGGGCCGTTGTTATCCACAATTGAGGTCAAGTGACTTTGTATGACTCAGGAAGGTTAAGCCTAACAGGTAAAAGAGTTGGGGTTTAAAACCAAGACAATTTTATTTAGGAACTTATCACTATTCTATGCTGCCTCCATCAGATGTAAATAGTTTGCCCTTGACCTGCAGTAATCCATCTTACACAAATCCATGGTAAGAGCATTATTGGTTATACTCAAGTTAAAGTCATCCACAGTAAAACTGAGAACTGCCTGTCAATTATGCTAAAGGACATACTGTACTTCCTTAACTTGATTCTCAACTTAGTGTTGACATGGGGGATCCTATAAGTCAAGATTATTTACCTATTAAACCTGTCATCTGCTTTTATAGAAATTCAAGTTTAATTTGTGGTAAGCCCCAGAAAGCCATGCATGCTTTTATATGCTTAGAGATTTTCCAGGTGTTCAAATGATAGTTAAGACCGATAGACCAGTCTTAACTTTTCACTGAAACATTTAACCAGAATGGTCTCTGGGTCTGAGTCTTTCCTATTTGGGATGTAACAGGGAAACGAGTAGACAGAATGTCTGTCTAACTGCCATTTCTCCAAAGATCACTGTCATGTCTCTGGGTCATTCCTCAAGCTGTTCCCTTTTACTAGAATTCCCTTCGCTCCTTTTACTATTGGACTTAAATCCTTTTAAGTCTTGAAGATCTGGCTCAACCCTTACTTTTTCCTGTGAAAACTTCCCAACCCTTTTCCTCTGGACTACAACTAACCATACTCTTTGCAAGAATGAGTAACTTCCATGCTCTCACTTTTTTATACCTCTATTCCAGAATCTCTCATTATGTATATGGTATATGTACATCCTTCATTGTTGGTTCTTTGAAGGCAAGAGCCAAATATTTTAATGATTCTTGAACTTGCTGTGCCTAGTGTAATTTGTACATATGGGTGCTCAGATTGTTCCATTACTATTTAAGAGTCAGAATATTCAAAGGCATAAGAGAAACACTACTTATCTAACCACATTCTATAGGACTGGAATTTCCAATAGGCATGTCGGGAACAATTCACTAACCACAAGTCAGGAAATAATTTTTTCTGGGACAATGTGAGGGCAGGGACCACGCCTATCTTATTTCACAACAGCATCTCCAGCTTCTAGTGTCACATCTGGCACATAGTAAGTTGCTGATCCAACACTATGAAACTATTGTTTTCACAATACTGCCATAGACACACTATGTACACTTCCACCAATACATTATTACTATGAGAATGCCCTTATTTTAAAAATTACTTTCCCATGCCAAACTAATTGGGAGAAACTCTTAGTTTAGACATTGACTTGGCAACCTACTATATCAATGTACACACAAACTTCTTTTTTCAGGCTCTCCATGATGTAATTTTGTAACAATCAAGATTTCCATGACTTTTCCACTCTCCCATTCTTTATTGGCTCGTATTACAACTAATTGTAAAATAGAGTTCCTGTAAATCACTCCTTTATGTGAGCACTGAAGAACAGCCTAATGAACTAGTGGGCTAGGTTTACTTACCTCACTTAAATACCTCTCTTTGTCTGGCAGCTCTTCCACCACTACATTCAAATCGAGCATAATTTGGCCAGCCCTCCACAGCTGGGGAGTCTTTTTATGCTTCTGAACACAAATTCAACCCTTTACACCCACACCCACCCACTCATTTGCCCATGTCTTTTCCCAGCCTAAACTTCATAATGGATCTGATGCCACATCTACAATGACCCTTTCCTTCTCCCCTGAGGGTCCTCATATATCCTTCAGTAAACTCAGTGCCATGTAATTGTTGAACAAATAGGTAATGAATCAGCCTGCAAGTGTGGATGGTGATAGCTTGTTTAAAGTGAGAATGAGGGAAGGGCCCCAGAGAAAATAAGAAAGGTAGAAATTTGCCAGAAGTCAACTTAAAAAAATAGTGAGGAATTTTCATCACTATGTTCTGTTAGTACAGGTTTTATCTTCTCCTCAAAACATACAGCTTTTCTCTTTATAAAGTAATTTTCTACATGAATATTTATAGCAACGTTGTTCATTATAGCCAAGAGGTGGAGATAACCCAAATATCCATTAACTGATTAATGGATAAACAAAATGTGGGATATTCGTACAATGGAGTTGTAATTGGGCCTGAAAAGGAATGCATTACTTCTTGAACAATACATAGGACAACAATGAGGAATCTTAAAATCACGCTAATGAAGAAAGCCAAGAATACACCACACGTTATATGATTCCATTTATATGAAACATCCAGAATAGGCAAATCTAGAAAGAAAATAAACTAGATTAGTGCTGGGGAGGATGGGGTGATAGGATGTTGATAGCTAAAGGCACAGAGTTTTCTCTTGAGTGATGAAAACGTTCTAAAATTGACTAATGGTGATGGTTGCACCTATTTGTGAATATCCTAAAACTACTGAATTAGACACTTTAAACGGATGACTTGTATGGCATATTCATTTGCAAGGGCTGCCATAACAAAGTGTACCATAGACTGTGGGTGGATTAAAAAACTGAAATGTATTCTTTCACAGAATGGGAGGCTAGAACTTTGAGATCAAGGTTTTGGCAGGGTTGGTTCCTTCTGAGGGTTATGAGGGAAGGACCAGTTCCAGGCCTTTCTTTTTGACTTGTCATTGTCTGTCTTCTTCCTGCCTTCACATTGTCTTCCCTCTATACATATCTGTATTCAAATTTCCTTTTTTTATAAGGACAGTAGTCATATTGGATTAGAACACCATAATAACCTCATTCTATCTTAATTACCTCTGTAAAGACCATATCTCCAAATACGGTTACATTCTGAGTTACTGGGGCTTAGGACTTCAGCATATAAATTTGATGGAGTGAGGAGGGGAGGGACACAATTCAGCTTATAGTATAGGGTATGTGAATTATATCTCAATCAGACTGCCACAAAAAGAAGAAAATTTCCCCTAAACTTTGAGCCTGCTTCTTAGATAGGACTGACCTGGGTAAGAAGCAGTGAAGTAAAGAACACACTTGTTTTCCATAGAGCAGTCCTCTGTGGCTTCTGTGATTGGTCTGGGATCAGTTTACTTCTAAGTCCAAAGGTGCACAACTACAAGAATGCAGTAGGAATAAACCAAAGTTCATATAATACAGCCTATAACTTGAATCCAATAACTGACATTTCACTTGGCCTACACCATGTTTTCACAATTTTTGAATAGAATCTCTGGATTAAATGCATGCAGGCATATTCCAGCTTGCCATAGTCCCCACCATTGCCTACTGTCTCATCCTTAGCTTGCTTCACTCATTTGGTAACTGTCTGAAAATTTGAGCTTGAGGCCACAGGAACAAACACATTGACAGATTACAACATCTCTTGGCACATCTAACACATAGCATTATTATTAAAAATGGCTGTTTCATAACTTCCTGATTAAAAGTCACAGTGCAGAGGGACACTTGCACAAGAGTTCAGATTCAAACTTATTGTGTGGAGTATGTTTGTTGGACTGTATGCAGCAGTTATAAATATAGGCAAGATCTAAATCTGTAAAAAGTTCAGTTATGAAGGGAGAATTGGGTAGTTGGAGGTTTCAGACATAAGAAAATGATTATCCTTTAATCTGTAACTCTAAAGGTCTTTAAAATGAGAAACTAGCGTACATTCAAGACATTTTCCTTCTGTAGTTTAATAAATCATATGTATGAGCAAGTAGTAGAGGACTTTGTTGTGGTAGAGCTACAAATATTTGGATATACCACGGGTTCCATTATTTTTCTTCAATAGAGAAATTTCATATGATGAAAGAGTTATGTATCTGGGTTAGTTTGCACTGGTGGTTTACAAAGTTAAGTGCACCAGCATCACCTGAAAGGTTTTTAAAAATAGATTCCTGGACTCTGTCCCCAGAATTTCCCACACAGTTCGGTTTAGGGTGATGCCCCCAAATTTGCATTTTTAATAAGTTTCCAGATGATGCTGATGCTGCTGGCTTGGGACCATGCTTTGAGTGTCATTGATCTACACAATGAATGTGAGCTCTGTCCCTCAAATTCAGCTCAAATATACCGTCAAACTAATTTTTAAAACTTTTGAAAGATTCTGGGGAAGGAGTGTGACCAGTTTGTCAGTGCCCAACCCTTTGATCAGTGAGGCAGGTGAGTCTGTCTGGGGAAACACACAAGGCAGGCACGCTTAGCAGGCTAGGACAATGTCCACCACATTCTTTCTTTCATTAGGGGAGAATAGAGTTTTTAAAGAAACTCTTTTTTCTTTAGTGTTATGGAATCTTCTGCTTATTTTCTGTGTGATAACATAGTTTGAGATTGTCAAACTCAAGGGCTTGATCAAATGATTAGTGATGACTAGACTTTTGTGTTTGGCATTGTGATCTAGGAAATAAAGCACGGACAGATTACATTTGTGAAATATGTGATGCCCTGCGTGGGTCTTAAAAATGAGGGGGAAAAACCCAGGAGAAAAGGAATAATGCTACTCATTTGTTCTTAAAAGCTAGGCCTTATTTTATGATAGAGTAAAATTTTTTTTATAAATTTGGACTAATCTCAAAATTGTATTTCTTTAAAAATTTAGCAATGTCCACTGAAGTTTTGTTTCTATAGCTACTGAAAATGCTGAAAGTAATAATTATTCATATAAATTCCACATTTTTACATAGGTGCTTTGTACATGTTAACTAATTTGAGCCTTACAACAACCCAACCAGGTATCATTGTCCATAATTATCCAATAATATTATCTATTACTATCTTTTATGTAAATTGAGGCTTAAAGTGTTCTAGTCACTTCCCCATGGTTACACTTCCAAATCTGACTTGCTTCAGTCTGGGGTTTTTTCTACTTTTCCATACCTCTTTCACATGATATCAAAAATGTTGTACCAGATAGTTACAACAAGGAACTGACTAAGGACATGAGAACAGTAAAGCAAAATAGCGATCCTTGAAATTCTCAGAGATTTGTATTTCCTTGGAAATAGAGATAAACATTGGGATTGTTTTTGGAAAGCATAAGGCTAATTGTTGGGGAAAAAAGAATAACATAATTGACATATTTTGTTAACTTTTGCCCACATTTTTAAGCCAAATTTTTGTTACCTTGCCCACATTTGAGAGCAAAAAACTGCCGAGAACTGTGGGGAAGAAAAAAAAAACACACTGAAAAAAAGATATTTATGACTAAAATTTTACAACAGGATAAACTTATTTTTGCACTAAATCCTTAACTTCAAAGTAATTTGCTATATTATTTCATTTCTGCTCATGCATCCAAGTTTGCATTTCTTCTTTTATAGTTCCTGACTTTAGGTCAGATAAAAGCATACATTATTTTTTTAAGGCTGAGAAAACTCAGTGGCATTTTCCCTGCAAGACTCAACCACAGGCTGACTGAGGGTGATGTCAACTCCCAATTAACCATACAGGAATAATGTTTACTGTTGTTAGACTTAAATGTGTGCAGACCATATCCTGTCCTTTAAATGACACACTCCAGTAGTTAATTCATGCTGATGTATGAAAGACGTAAGAAAATAGCCTCATGTCACCTTCTGTTTGCATGTGAGCATAAATGTATAAATCCATCTTGTATCTGCCTTGGTTTCTTTGCTAGGTGATTCTACTTAAAGTCTACAATTTCTCGGTCCAAAAGCATCAGGATCCAGCTTGACTCCTCTTATTCTCCTCCATGCTATGACCTATCTATCAGCGTATCCTGTCAGCTTTAGCTGAAAATATATTTGAAATTTGACCATTTCTCGTCACTTCGCTGCTTCTCTTCTGGCCCAAGCCACCATCATCTCTCATTTTGGGTCATTGCGATGACTCCTGACTGAATTCTCTGCCTCTGCCTTTGCCTCCTTGCAGTCAATTTCAACAAAGCAGTGGCTCCTCTTTCCCTCTTTGAGCTCCTCTCTATGCTCCAGCTACACTGGCCTCCCTGATCTCCATGCAACCCTTTCCCTCACCTTCTTCAGGTTGTTGCTCAAATGTTGACTTCTTTTCTATAAAGTTTTCCTTCACCACCTTATTTAAAACTGACCACTACCTGTCTCCCTGACACTCCTTTTTCTACTTTATTTTCATTACTCTGGTCATCATTTTATATACTTGACCTATTCTAAGTATTTTTTAAAACATCTTTCTTCTTCCTCTGGAATGTAGGCTTCATGAGGGCAGGGATTTTTTGTTTGTTTATGTTCATTGTTGTATCCAAAGTGCCTAGAATTGTGCTGGACATATAGTAGGCTCTCAACAAATGCCTGTTAAATTGAATACCTTTCAGACAAGAGTTACTTCCCACTGCAATTAAGACACCTCAAGTGAATATTTATTTTGGAACAAAGCCAGAGATTAAAAGAAACTTCCTGCCATCTCCCCTGGACTAGCAAGCAAATTGACTGAATATGATATGGTGTGGTATGGGAAGGTGCAGTGTGGTGTTCCAGATCAGGACAGCAAACACTCAGGAACACTTTTGAGAGAAATTATGCTAGTCCATCTGCACCCTGGTGTCCCATCTCTGCAATGCATTTATGAGTTGGATGGTTAGGTTAATGGCTTTAATCAGATCATGAAAGATAATGAGTTTAAAATTTAAATAGATTTAGCCATATCTCTGTCTTTGGAGAACTATTTTTGTACTAAGCAATCAACTGGTCACTGATACCATTGATTTAAAGGTGGTATTAAACACTGGGCATCTGATTTAGATCTAGAGAAACCGAGAAGAAACCATCCCTGACAATGCAATAGCATGTGAGTAAGATGTAGGTAAAACGGTGATTTCCCTAAGCAGAAGTCTGTATGTTAGTTTCATGGGTACATCTGTGCTATGCATTCTACCCACCACAAGGTCCTGAGCTGCCAGCTATGTCCCACGACTGCTAAGTGCCAGCCTTCTTGATCCTGTTGTAAATTGTCACAATCACTGAATAGGACCTTTTCTCTTTTAAAAGAGGCATGAGTTTTTGTGCTTCATAACTCCTAACAGACATGCCAAAAAGCTTAATAAATTATGCTGAATCAGAAGCAACATGGACTGCCAATTCACACATGTCAAAGGTTTCTTAGCACTACTTAAAGTTTGCTTTGACTACCCAAGCCTATGATGGTGTGAGTTTCCAGCATGTCTGGAATGAAAGATCTGGCAGAAAGTTATTTGTTTTCTTTTCCTTGACAAATATCCCCCCTACATTTTCCTGACCTTCCTGACACTCATTATGCCATGCCTCATCATGTTTAGGCCAAGCAACATCCCACATGCTGAAAAAAAATCCAACAATTTTAAGAAAAATAGAGGATTAGGTATCTTGTAGAGGTTGTCCTGAAAACTCAAATAAATAGCTGGTAGGCACACAGTTTGCTATGGTCATGGGTGCTAACACTGAAGGCTTCTGCAGTGCTCACTCTACTGGGCTATTAGTCTAGTAGTGGAGCCAGGTATTAAATCAAATTGGTGTGATATGGATGGAAAGCCAAGAGCTAGAATTGTGGAATAAGAGAAGAAAAGGTTAGGAAGAGTCATGCATATATACCTAAGGAAGAATGACAAAACCAATAGGAATTCTTTTATAGAAATATTAATATAAATGAGTTTTTGATTACTTGCCCTTGTTAAGCATCCTGTATATTGGCCCGCCTGTCCTCTGGCTCCATTATCCACCTTTTCTGCCCTGCTGTGTGCCCACGTTCTCTTGTTAAGACCCTGCCTGATACAGTAGTTGGTACCAAGAGTAGCCTCATGAAACAGACATTCTGGAGAAGATTCTGAAACTAGAGTGGCTCATATGTTTTATGGACACATGAATAAACTCCTTGCTAGACAGAAATCGCACCCTGTTAATGGGTGACAGGTAGCAGTGCCACGATTTCTAAAATTATCATTGGTGATGGTTTTAGGTGATGGAGAGCAAGGTTTTGAGTGATCACATAAAGGTGGCATCTGATTGCTATGCAACAATGGTGGTTACAAAGGTTATAGACACAGTGTGTCAACTGTGCCTGACTGTGTTAGAGAGCTTATTAAAAGAAAACAATAAGTTTAGGGCCTTGAACTGAAAACTTACATCAGGAATCAAGAGAAGACTTTTATAACGTCACAAATAAGGGTATGTACGAGCTCAGCCACAGCACATCAACAACGCTGATCTGGCTATGACCATTGCTGTAGCACAGAGGCCAGCAATGAGCCCCTGATAGAATATGATTCCTGGGAAAAATAGCTGGCCACCTGGAGAAGGCAAAGATGTGTCCACGTGGAACAGAGATGTATTCCAAATTCAAATTTGCTTTCCACGCTTGCAGTGCCTTTGCCCAGACCACTATTCCTGGATGACAGTGTGCCTTATTCACTGCCATCATATCCTTCTTCATAGGGCTTTTATCCAAGGAACTTATTTTACAGCAAAAGGAGTGGCAATGTGATAATACTCATGGAACTCACTGGTCTTAGGACAAACTACATCACCCAAAAGCAAACCGAAGTGGAGAGGAATGGTAGCAGTAGAAGTGATCTGCCTGGGGTGCAAGGAATAAGGGGATGAATTGCCTGCTGAGAATTAGAACCCACTAAAAGCCAGTTGCTTTTCATAAACACTAGGTACTTGCAATCCTAAACAAAATCAGTGAAAAGAGACTCTCCTCAAAGTTTACTCCTTCCTCTTTCCCTTCTTGGTTCTCCATTGAACACTGATTAAGATACCATTTATATTTTCAGATAATTCTTCACCAAAAATAACGTGCTACTGTCTGGGCTATGGGGTTTCAAAAAAAGGTTTTTCTGTAGAGTCTTCTTCCTGTCATGAGATAGTCTCTTACATTCTTTTACATTATGAAGTAGAAAACTTTACATCTGTACCTGAGGATTGCACTGTGAAAGGAATCAATTGGAGGTGCAAGTGTATTATAAATAGGGTGGCAGCATTATTCTTGGAATTGGATTCAAATCATTTAGTAAGAGAGTGAGAACAACTCCAGGTTACAATGTTGGAAGCTATTATTGAGTAAGAACAAATCCAAGAATGAGAGAGGTAAATATGAAATTATAACATTAAAAATAGACAATCATTTTTAAATTTGTGTCCTTCATTTTATCAGATAGGATGTGAAAACACTTATCTCTTCTGTTTAATACTGAGGACCTAACAGATTCTTTAGGTGTACCAGATATTACAAACAATTTTCAGAAAGTCTTTGGCAAAGGATGAAAAGGGGGAGTAAAAGATAGCATTGGGTTAGAGGAGAGAAAAGAAAAGTCTAGCAGACCTGTGATATGCCAGAAACCATCTGGATTTCAAGGCTTATTTCATCTTTTCGGTGCTCCAGGCATGGTGCTTATGATCTTTTCAATGACTGCTGTAGTGAACACTCTGTCCTGCCCAGGTGCTTCCCTCTCCAATTCCTTTCCCCAGCACTATGCCCTGTCCCCTCAGCGTCCGTATTCTCTTTTGCTAAAGGCTCCCTTGCCTCTGCAGAGGACTGTCTTTGGATATATAAACTGTCTCATCACTGAGGGAAGTGCCTGAGAATATTCCTATCCACTGACTGACAGCTGGTGATTGACTGATGGAAGGGTACAAAAGCCTGACTTATTTGCCTCAACAAGTGGGACAAAGCTTGCCATGTGATTTATACTCTAGAGCTCCCCATAGGATTAGGCTGAGATTGCAACTTTATCTGCAATTACAGCCTTGCTTGGGTTCTTCCCCTTCCCAGTCTTGCCCTGACTTCCCCACTACTTCTTTCAAATCCTTATCATTTTCTCCTAGGAATCCTTCTGTAATAAACCACTTGTTCATGAATCTTCATGTCAGGTTTTGCTTCTAGGAAACCTGACCCAAGACAACTAATAAAAATATTAGACAGCTAAAAACAAATTGGCATCAAAATAAGAAAACTACCACACTGAAATAAATAAATACATTAAAATAAGTAAAATAAATAAAGCTACCAAATGAAACAAATGTCTACAAAATTTGACAATATATCAAAGCATCAAGTGTAGGAGAATTTAGTCAATATAATTACATATACTATATTTAATCTATGTGAATATATTTTAATATATTAACTGTGATTGGGAATGTCATCTTCAAAGGCAAGAAGGCCACAGCCCTACCTAATTTTAGGAGCTGGTGGAGAAGGGCAATACCTTCTTACTGACATTATTAATAGAAGCTAGGCATGGTGGCTCACATCTGTAATCCCAGCTCTTTGGGAAGCCAAGGCAGGAGGATCACTTGAGCTCAGGAGTTAGAGATCAGCTTGGGCCACATGGGGAGACCCTGTCTCTAATAAAAATAAAAATAATTTCCAAGTGTGATGGTACATGCCTGTGGTCCCCGCTACTCAGGAGGCTGAGGTGGGAGGATTGCTTAAGCCTGGGAGGTCAACACAGCAGTGAGCCATGATCACACCACCGCACTCTAGCCTCGTCAACAGAGAGAGACCCTGTCTCAAAACAACAACAAACAAAATAGGTCTGCTCAGGAAGCAGGGACCATCTGGGTTGGGGAGACCAGATATTGTCCTTGAAGAAAAGATTTTCTCTTTTCAAATGAGAGAGACTGCCTATGGCTTGCAGTTATCTGAAGTCTACTGAATAGGAAAAAAAGAGCTTTCAAGCTACAATTATAGATCAAAGGCAAACACTACAAATACTTCTTGAGAAGTATATAGAGTGTGTATAGAAGCATATACAGTCACACTAAAGTCTAATTGGTTATCCATCAACTTGGGTAGATAAACCAAGTCATATCCTTGCCATTTTGAGTTGAGTTGAGACAAAGGCTGGCAGGCAGACTTAAGGGAATTGAATCCTTGAAAAAGAGGTGGTTTTAAGGAACATAGCAAAATGGCACTTGCAGGGAGGTTGTGGGGCATAAGACAATCTCAAAACAATTATTCTTGAGCATGGTCTAACTTTTCTTCAACTGAGTAATAGTATTTTGGAAACTATCTCTAAGGAGAGTCAACGTTACCTCTAAGATAGGTCAGTACAATGATAAAACTGTAGCCTTCTTCTGTTTCCTAATTTGGCCCTTATTTTGTTAGATTAATGATGTTAGACTAGTTTTTAGAGAGTCTTTCAGCAGGGTGCTCAGGTAGAAACTTAATTAAATATTATTAATAATAATATTCACCCACTTAATGCCAGAATTGTTTCAGGCATCCCAGCTGCGAAAGCTTCCTTTAGGAACAGCACTCAATTTGTGGTTGTTCAAGTGTGGTCTACAAATTATTTTCATTGGTCTTTGAACTGGAAAAGACTGAGGCCTAAACATTTGTTTCAGGCATTGTAAAGCTTATATGAATGCAAATGGTTTTCTAGAGATTTTCTTCTTCTTTTGCAAAAAAATAGGGTCACTTGGAATGTATTGTATTGATTACCGATACAGGTTTTTTTAAGATTATGAAAAACATCATATTCAGATGTTCTTGAAATAGAGCTGTTCTCCAACCATCCTTCTTACATCAGCAACTTCAGGATATTTTTTTTGGTGTGTCTTCTTATCCTGTAGATCACATTGCTTTAGGACTTCCCACTCATTGAAACAATGGGTTTCCGTGCTTCAGGGAAAAGGTGTCAGAACATAGTCCCCACCAGAACACAGGGGAGTCCTTGTCCAGCTTTGACTGTCAAATTAGATTTTAGCTTGCATCTACAACTTGAAAATAAGTTCAAAATCCAGGCTTTGTCAGGAAAAGAAGTCACATTTTTGTAGCATACCCAGACTCAAGTCTGGTGAACTCCTTATGTTTCTTCTGTGGTGCAGAGAGCAGGACAGAGAGGATGTCCCTTCCATCAATGATCCTCTTCCTTAGGCTTGCTGAATAGAGAGCAGATGCAATGAGGAGCAGTGCCTCTCAAACTATCTGTGGGAGAAACCACTTTTAAAAAGTTTCTAACACATCTTGTTCTATTGAAAGAAGTAAAAATATTTCACTCCCATAGACACTTCTTTCACATATTTTGAGACGGCTGTTCAGAGGGCCTGCAAACGGAAGTAGCCTTGCAAAGCTCTTTTGTGGAGATTTGCATCTAAAGAGAAAATTTACATTGATGCATCCAGGCTTTCTCTGAAACCTTCCCTTGACTGGATCTAGGAAAGATTAATGGGAGCCTGACACCTTTAAAGGTCTGAAAGAAATATTTACCATTTATTCTTTTGGAGGGATATTACCTGTGAGGTTTCACCTAGGTAACATGACCATCTTTGCCAGCCAAGTCTCTCCTCTCCCTCTTACCTGTCTTGCCAGTAAATCCTGATTTACCACCATAACCTTTTTGGCCATGCTCTGAGCCTTCATTCTTTCTGTAACCTCAAGATGGTAAATAAGCTTTTGCATCCCATTGAGGGGTTGTAGGAGTCACTCTGTGGTTCTCTCCGTGTACATGTTAATAAATCTGTATGCCTTTTCACCGATTAATCTGCCTTTTGTCAGTTGATTTTTTTAAGCAAAACTTTACAGCAGGGGCCCCAACCCCTGGGCCACAGACGGGTACTACTTCATGGCCTGTTAGGAACCGGGCTGCACAGCAGGAGGTGAGCAGCGGGCTAGCGAGCATTAACGCCTGAGCTCTGCCTCCTGTCAGATCAGTGATGACATCAGATTCTCATAGGAGCACGAACCCTATTGTGAACTGCACATGTGAGGAATCTAGGTTACACTCCTTACGAGAATCTAATGCCTGATGATCTGAGCTGGAACAGTTTCATCCTGAAACCAACCCCCAGCCCCCCTTTGTGGAAACATTGGCTTTCATGAAACTGGTCCCTGGTGCCAGAAAAGTTGGGGACTGCTTCTTTAGAGGTTGAAGAGGAAGTTTTCCCTGGGCTCCCACACTATCATTTAAAAAATACAATAAAAGTGAGTTATGAGAAAAATGAAATAGAAAAACAAAGACACATAAAATAAAAGCCTAACATTTTAAATTACATTTGGTAGATATGAAATTACCCTGTTAAATTGTATCTAGAAATTTACTCTTGATTTTTGTGTGTATCTTATTGTGGGCCAGTGACAGTCCATGGCCTGGCACTAGTCTGGGTAGCACTGGTGTAGGGAAATTGAAAAGCCAGAAATCTGCACCCTCTATTTCTAGAGATGTTGGAGGAGAAGAGAGAAAAAGAGCAAGAAGACAGAATACAAGGCTCTTGCAGTCTTTCTACTCCACCATCCTCCAAACTGGCTTTGTAGAATTCTACCTTGGTGGCACCTACTTCCTTCAAGGCCAAGGAAAATGCCACACTTCATTGGCTGAAGGTAGCAAGGAAGGCAGATGAAGAAGTCAGGGATGACTGCATGTTCCTTGCAGATGCTGAAGGAATCTGATTTGTGGGCAGTGAGTTACCACTGAGCTTTGAGGCAAGGCATCAAGTGACTGGGTTGGGTAGCCTAGGCCAAGATAGAAATGAAGAACATGCCACAGTCTTAGAGGGGTCTGCAGTATCAGTGTGATCCATGGTGAAGCTAAATCACTCAGTCATAGTTAGATGTGACTGAGAGAGGGACTATTTGGAAAGGGAGAGCAGTCCAGAACAGCCATGCATCAGCAGAGAAAAGAGAGGACAACACAAAGTGTGACTTCAAGAGCACTGCTCGCCCAGGGTATCATGAGGTCATGTAAACCCCATATCTTTCCTATTCATCCAAAGGTCTTCTTGGGGAGGAGCTGGGCAGGGGTAGATGGAATCTGAAGGACTGAGCCTTTCACCTAAAAAAGATTAAACAATTACCAAATAGACTATTTATTGAATCAGACTATATTTATGAAGTTGAACTAAAGTATAGTGTCCCCATCCCTGGTCGTAAGGAAAATATGATAGGTTACAGAGAAAATAAAGAAGTTGTATCTTGTCTGCACATCTGGGATGTAGTGTTTAAAACTGCAACCACTACTTCCAAAGAATATACACATCTGTGAACTGGAGAAGCAAGCCCTTGGTAAATTAACCATCCTGGTCCTACCCTGACATGTTTCTTTGAAGCAATGTAGAGACAATAACTTTACTCACAGTTGTATCATTCCTGGGATAGGCCTTGTCAGCAAAGAGAATTCCAATATCCTAACGTATGTATAATTCATTTTCCTTAAGAATGTCTGAAAATGATGGTAAACTCAAGGAAAATAAATCATCTGCCTTCTAGTCAAGTCATCTGCTCTTCCTCATGCCATTCATTTAGAGCTTGCCTACAAGTGAAAGTACATTGGTAAAAGGGAGAGAAGACCAAATTTCCAAGGACTTCATAGGCCCTTAAATGACACAGTCAAAACCTCACCCTTAAACAGAAAACGAAAGAAAGTATATCACATTGGCAAAGGATCCAGTTTCTAGATTTAGTAAATGTAATTTTTAGTGAATGGCACATGTCTTCCCAATCTCCAGGGAAAAATGGGGGCTCACCTTTTTTTCATTATCAATTTCTTTCAAGAGTATATTTTTAAAATATTCATTTTATGAAATTGTGTGGAAAAGTTGTGAGAGACATTCTAAAAAATTATTTGACATCTGGAACTTAGAGAAGTATAGTCAAATAACTACTCAGATATCAAAGAGACAATATTTAATAAGGTTTTCTAGTACAGTACATCTCAAAATTCAATATACAAAAGAATAATTTGATTCAATAGTCTGAGATGGGACCCAAGACTCTGCACTTCACGTTTCCAGTTGATGCTAACGCTGCTCGTCCAGGAGCTGCTCTTCAAGTAGCAGAGTGTAGAGGAGTCCAATTTTTCCATAATGCAGAGCTACTTTTCAAAAGTTTAGACTTCTCTGAAATCTAAAATTGACCAGTGCAGTCAGGGGTCCTTGACACAAGTTCTTGAACAGACAAGGAGATACACTTCATTTCCTTATCTGTCAATCTTTGTATATTGTTCGGAGACCTTCTTGAGGAAGGAAGGGCTGAACTTTAATTCCCTCACTGTATTTCCTCTGCCTCTACATTCTCCATTATCCTAAGATTGATTCTGCTGATTTTCTCCATGCTCATGTTAACTTCCTTTCCATTTCTGGCCTAGGTGATTACAGAAAAGCAGTTAATTATAACAGATCTGATTTCAAAACTTTAATGCCTCTTCTTCATGAAGGAGGCTGTCTATCATAGAGGTCTATATCTCACTGACAGATCTTAGAATAGTGACCACTTTTAAAATATCTTAATATGTATTCTGTGACTCACAATGTTCAGTAGTTTATTTTGAATTCAAGTAGGTTTACCTGACATAGGATTTAACTTTGCTTTTTTTCTAGAAATTTCAAATAGATATTGCTATAAATAGTGGAATGGTTGCTTAATTCATTCAATCACTTATTAATTCATTCCTATTTTGTTGAGAAAACCGTGTATGTTAGGAAGTTGGGAGAAGAAAAAGATAAGAAATGGTTTGGTTGATGTTCTTGAGGAATTATTTATTCTGAGATTAAATTTCAGGTAAATGTAACTAAAATCTTTAAAGTTTTGGTTTGAAAAACACATTTATTTTCCTCACATAGTAAGTCCAGTCGTGTGCTATATTAGCATTTGCTTTATACCTTGGGAGATCAGAACAGAGATTTCTGCAATGTTCTTGGTACTTTCCTTATAGTTAGCTGATGGCTGTTGAAACTCCAGCTTTAGTAATTGTGTCTATATTTTTCAGACGGGGGAAAGAAGAAGACAGTAGTGTTTATTCCAAGAAAAAAAAATGTCAGAAGTGTGCACTTGATTTCTGCTTACATTCATTGGCCAGACCTGTGTCACATGACCTATCCTTAGCTGCAAGAAAGATTATGAAATGCATGTGTTTTCTTTTTGTTTTGTTCTGTTTTAAGCTGAGCACATTGAGATCTCCAAGAAAATCATTAATTTAAGAAATGGAGAATAGATACTAGGTAGGCGTGTAGTTGGGTCTACCCAAGAAACTTAATGGGATATGTTATTAATCCTGTTTAACTTTTCTTCTAAGGAGTACAGAAAATTTACTCGTTGCACATATGCCAAAACACATCTTTCTAAATTCCCTCAATTAGAAAATCAAGACTCACTTCTGAGAATTTTGACCTGCTTAGATCACCTGCTTGAATATTTACCAGAAAAACATTGAAAATCTTACATGCGTTCCATTAAGGAGGTTTGTTTCACTGTGCACGTGCAAGTTCAGGCAGTGTTTCTCTTTTAAATTGCTGGTGTTCAAAATGAGATACCATCTCACACCAGTTAGAATGGCGATCATTAAAAAGTCAGGAAACAACAGGTGCTGGAGAGGATGTGGAGAAACAGGAACACTTTTACACTGTTGGTGGGACTGTAAACTAGTTCAACCATTGTGGAAGACAGTGTGGCGATTCCTCAGGGATCTAGAACTAGAAGCACTATTTGATCCAGCCATCCCATTACTGGGTATACACCCAAAGGATTATAAATCATGCTGCTATAAAGACACATGCACACGTATGTTTATTGCGGCACTATTCACAATAGCAAAGACTTGGAACCAACCCAAATGTCCAACAATGATAGACTGGATTAAGAAAATGTGGCACATATACCTCATGGAATACTATGCAGCCATAAAAAAGGATGACTTCATGTCCTTTGTAGGGACATGGATGAAGCTGGAAACCATCAGTCTCAGCAAACTGTCGCAAGGACAAAAAACCAAACACCACATGTTCTCACTCATAGGTGGGAATTGAACATTGAGAACACTTGGACACAGGAAGGGGAACATCACACACAGGGGCCTATTGTGGGGTGGGGGGAGGGGGGAGGGATAGCATTAGGAGATATACCTAATGTAAATGATGAGTTAATGGGTGCAGCACACCAACATGGCACATATATACATATGTAACAAACCTGCACGTTGTGCACATGTACCCTAGAACTTAAAGTATAATAAAATATATATATATATATATATAAAATAAGTTGCTGGTGTTGGTGGCAGTTTTTATCTGTCCATGACTGAACATAGATTAGTTTTATAAAATTCATCTATCTTTATGCAGGCCTGTGCATTCCACAAAGAAAAACTTGATATTTTGTTTTCATTTTACTATGGATATTGTTTATTCTCTCTGTACTGATTCAGACATAAAACAATACAGAGAGATTAATGGATTTCAAGGGCATGCACTTGTTGAAGTTTTACTCTGCAAATTATAAACCAGTTAAATATATTAGAAAACTCTGTTCAATATTTCCCCTTCATCAAACCATAATATTAACAAGTTATCACTTTTCCCTTAATAGTATGTTTCTAACTGGCTTCAAGATCAAAAATAGTTACTGAGAATTTTACCAGTTTGGATATGTTTCTGCTGTAGCATTTGATGATTCAGCAACTGTGTGATTAAAACCAGAAAAATGCAGGAATGGAGAGAAAATGGCATGTTGAGCCTTGATTTATAGTTAAGCAAGTGCCAAGTCAGAGCAAAATTTATACTTACCTGGAGGATTGTCCTAATGGCCTCCCCATCTATCTGGCCATCTATCCATCCATCCATTGATTCGTTATTCAACAGATGTTTATTGGAGGGTAAACAATGGTGAATAAGACAAAATGTTCCTGAAGAACCTAAATCCTAATAGGAATGATAACATAAACATACATTCCTTATAAAAAAGAAAAAGATTCTTGAATTTTGGGTTGGGGTGCCAGGGATGGTGGTGGAACATGGCCAGAGAAGGCTTAAAATGATAGCGGCACAGAGCTTTAAACCTGAAAGATTTGAATCTATGGACATTGGGAGGTGAGATGGAGAGGATGTTTGCATTTTAGAGAAAACAGAATACGCAAACATCATGAGTAAAGAAATGGCAGAATACGTGTAAGAAACTGTGGACTATTCAATTTGCCAGGAGCAAATAACTTACAAAGGGGAGTAACCAGAGATCATAGATATATATCTGTTACTTTCTCAGGAAGATCTTTCCTGTGTCTCCAAGGTGTCCAGGTGCCCTTGTTGTCCTCACATAGTATCCTGTGCTTATCTCCATCATAGCCCAACAACTAAACTATGGCATAAAAGTCTGCATGGGCAGTGTGTTTCAATCTGCAAGTTGTAGTTTGAAATCATTTTATCTATTTTTTACAGTTAATATTCATTTCGGTTTACCTACCTATTTATTTTTTCTTGTGCTCTTTGTATCTTCTTGTATGATTAACCTTCCATCTGGAGTAATTTTCCTTCTGCTTAAAGAACTCCATTAAAGATAATATTTCAGTAGTGGCAATAAAATTCCTTTTTTATTTGTCCAGACATTTTTATTTTGTCCTCAGTTGTCCTAGATGAAAAATTATAAGTTGGCAATTATTTTCTTTTAGCATTTTAAGAATGTCATTTTATTTTCTTCTGGTGTTCGACATTTCTGTTGTTCGACATTTCTGTTGAAAGATTTGAAGAGTCAGCTGTTGGTCTTTTGTTATTCCTCTGAAGGTAATAGTATTTTCCTCTGAGTGGTCTTAAGATTTCTCTTTGTTTTTAGCTTTCAGTGGTTTGTATCATAATGATGTCTGTAAGCATGGCTTTCGTTGTAGTTATCCTGCTTGGAGTACAAAGAATTACTTACATTTCTGGTGTCTTTCATCAGTTTTGCAAAATTTTTGCCCAGCATTCCTTTTCTTCTCCTTTAGGAATTTCGATTACACATATGTTGATCTTTTCTCTCAGTCTCAGATATCCTTTATGCTCCTTTTTGTTCCTCCTTTTGTCTTGCTATACATGAATTTTGATACTTTATATTGAACTCTGTTTCAGGCAATTGCTTCTGCATTCTGCTGTCTATGGCATTAAACCTGTTTCTTGAATTGAATTTTAACTATGGTTATTGTATTTTTAAAGTCCATAATTTGAATTGCCTTTTATTATAGATTCTAGTTATCTAGTAAAATTTTATATACTTTTAAATCTGTTTTCTTGAAAATGTTAATCATAGCTGTTTTAAAGTCTGTGTTTGATAACTTCAGTATCTGTATTATTTGTTGATCTATTTCCATTGTTTATTTTTGCTTTTTGGCTTCAGTAATGTGATTCTTTGTATAGACATACCTGTCAACTTGGATCGAATGTTGAACATTGTGTATGAAAAATTGTTGGAGATGTTAATTTTCTCCAAAGAGAATTTAATTTTCTTTTAGTAGGACAATATAGTACTAGCTGGATACCTTGGTTCAGTTAGGGAACTAATTGATTTGAAACTAGATTTCACAATTTGTGAAAACTGATAGGTTTATAATTTGTCTTTATTCCTATGGACTAAGCCTTTAAGGCTTTTAGGTGAAATCCTGGAGTATCTATCAAGCGGTATTTCCTTGACATGGTAAGAACTTCATTTCTTTTGTCTCCTATCACCAACGCATAGCTTAGGGATTAACAAATGCTTTAGAAATAAAATTTGTGCCAAATGTTGGGCTCACTTTTCTTAGTTCCTTCAGTAATGACTAATCTTTGTAGTCATGAAGTCTAAGTTTTGATGTCCCCCACGGTGAGACTGCCACAGAGTTTAAAACATGACTTTCCCTGGCTTTGGCGCACTGAGCTGTGAATCAACAAATGCCCAAGAGGAAAAAGTAGCAGCAAACGTAGACTCACCACAATGAATTTTGAGTCCCTCTGCATCCTCTATTCTTGGCTGCTTTGAATGCTCTTCCATGTCTTCAAACTCATAGTTAAGTTTTAACTGCCAACTCATTGTAAATGTGAGTGGACAAGCTATGCATACTCCATAGTGCGAGAGGAGCAAGAAATTTCCTATGGCTGCTGATATAAAGCCTCATGGCATTTGGCATTTTGTGCTTGTACACTTCACTTCTGAAATGTTCTGATCAGGAAAATACTTTCTTCACCATTTAATGACATTTTAAATACATATAAAGGTAGTTCCCATAAAACCGGGAGGAAGTGAATGAGAATTCCTTTCTTTAATTTTTTTCCCACCACTTTCATTTAAAGAAAGTAACAAATATTGTAAGATGCTACTTAAGACAAAATGGGGATAGATAAGTAAAACACAAAAAGCAGTTCTTCAAACTTGGATATGCGTTTTCTTTTTTAAAATAGATTTCTATTGTTTTTTGGTATCCTTCCTTCAATATGGAGGGTAAAAGTTCTTATTGATTTTTCAACGCTAGGAATTTATCAGAGTTCTTATGTGAGAATTCGTGATAGTTCTGCCAAATCAAATTTATTTTCAGAATATGCGTTGCTATGAGCTGTTTTAATTTTTTTTTTTTTTTTTGAGACGGAGTCTCGCTCTGTTGCCCAGGCTGGAGTGCACTGGCATGATTTCAGCTCACTGCAACTCCACCTCCCAGATTGACGCCATTCTCCTGCCTTAGCCTCCTGGTAGCCTCCCGGCTAATTTTTTGTGTTTTTAGTAGAGACGGGGTTTCACCATGTTAGCCAGGATGGTCTCGAACTCCTGACCTCGTGATCCGCCCGCCTCGGCCTCCCAAAGTGCTGGGATTACAGGTGTGAGCCACCATGCCTAGCCAATTTTTTGTATTTTTTAGTAAAGACAGGGTTTTGCCCTCTTAGCCAGGATTGTCTCGACCTCCTGACCTCGTGATCTACCCACCTCGGCCTCCCAAAGTGTGTTTTAATTTTTAAGTCACTTTTAGGGGTCACTTTTTCATGTTGCTAGTTTCGATTCCCAAAATAGCCAGGCACGGTGGCTCATGCCTATAATCCCAGCACTTTGGGAGGCTGAGGCAGGCGGATCACTTGAGGTCAGGAGTTCAAGACCAGCCTGGCCAACATGGTGAAACTGTTACGGGGAGTGGTGTGAGGCAGTCCTTGCTCCCAGAGCTCCCAAGATGGTGGACGGCCGCTTCCAAAATGGCTGTGGGCCACTTCCAAGATGGTGGCAAGCCTCATGTTCTCTGACCTGGGGTTCTTGGCCTCACGGATTTCAAGGAATGGAATCTTGGGTCATGAGGTGAGTGTCATAGCTCTATTAGAAGCTGTGGGTCACGGAAGAGAACCATGGAACCCAGTGACTAGTGTTCAGCTCTATTAGGACGAACCTGGGCACTTAGCCTTGCAGGAACAATGGCAAGCCTTTAGACCTATCGTGAGCGGCAATGGGCGCCTGGCTGGGTCAGGAGCACAGAGGACACCCTGCCGGATCTGAAGGGATGGAAGTCAGTGGTGGTCTGCGGAGGCGGCAAACAGCAGTGGTGGACAGTGAGCCAAAGCTCAGCTGGAGTAACAAACATGGACTAGAAGAGAGTGCTGTTTCAAGATCTAATAGAGTGAAAACATAGCTCCCATAAAAAGGGAGGGGACCCAAAGAGGGTAGCTGTTGCCGGCTCAAATGCCTGGGTTTATATCCTAATCATTGTCCCTCCTGCTGTGCTCTCAGTCAATAGACGATTGGCTATTTTTTTTTACCTCCTGTTTTTGCCTAATTAGCATTTTAGTGAGATCTCTTTCCTACCTGATTGGTCAGGTGTGAGCTAAGTTGCAAGCCCCGTGTTTACAGGTGGATGCAGTCACCTTCCCAGCTAGGCTTAGGGATTCTTAGTCCGCCTAGGAAATCCAGCTAGTCCTTTCTCTCAAAACCCCATCTCTACTAAAAATACAAATAATTAGCCTGGCATGGTGGCACGTCTGTAACCCCAGCTACGTGGGAAGCTGAAGCAGGAAAATTGCTTCAACCCTGGAGGCCGAGGTTGCAGTGAGCGGAGATAGCCACTGCACTCCAGCCTGGGCCACAGAGCGAGACTCCATCTCGAAAGAAAAAACGAAAACAAAAACAAAATTAGTACTACTTGGGCATCATTTAAGATGCAGTACTTTCTGGAGTTTGTTTGTTTGAGACAGGGTCTCACTCCGTTGCCCAGACTGGAGTGCAGTGGTGGGATCTCAGCTCATGGCAACCTCCACCTCCCAGGCTCAAGCAATTCTCCTGCCTCAGCCTCCTGAGTAGCTGGGATTACAGGCACATGCCACTACTACCCGGCTAATTTTTGGATTTTTAGTAGAGACAGGGTTCCACCATGTTGGCCAGGCTGGTCTCGAACTCCTGACCTCAAGTGATCGGCCCTCCTCAAGCCTCCCAAAGTGCTGGGATTGCAGGCATAAGCCACTGCACCTGGCCAACATGTAGTACTTTCTTGAAAGGATTTCATTGTTTTAACAAACCATTCCAAAATGGAGATAATAGTTGTTTAATTCAGCCTTGTTACTTGCTATAAACACCAGCTGCTATAATTGTAGGTCTTCCCACATGGAGGGTTTATACCAACTGTAAGAAAAAGATCTTAAGAGGTGCATAAGGCAATCTGGAAGTATAAAACAACACACAATGCCTTTAAAAAGTCAGAAAATTTAGTCCGTCTATAGCTCACAATTTATATTTGTTTCTGCCTGATAACTATAGATTTAGTTTTTCTTTTATTTAATCAAAATATATATTTAATACCAAGAAAGCCAGGATAATGCCCATTAGTTGAGGATTAGAAATAATCTAAAAATTTCTGAAAGGAGCAAATATTGTTTTCAAATTTTACTAACTTATATCAAAGGAAGTATCTACCATTATGTTTATGTGTAACAGTAGTATGACAATATGACACATTTTGCATATACATTTTGCATTTGGTTTATATGGAATGCTAACTTAAGAAATATGATCATAAAAGTCTCCTCTTAACCTATCTGTTAATATATTGTTATTTGTCCTTCTTCAAATGTTCTCTTCCCACTGGCGTTCTTACTCTATGAGTGGTCTGTCATCTCTAGTTTATCCTTTACTTGCTTCGTTTCACCTCTCTCAACGTGTCAACCACCAAGTTCTGCTAGTTCACCTCACACTCTTCTCACTTCTCCCTATCCACACTACTACTTCCTTAGCATAGGACATCATTATGTCTTCCTAAGATAACTACAATAGCCTTCCACCCGTTTTTTTCTGTTCTTATCGGTTCTCCAGTCAGCACCCCAGTAGACCTTTCAACGCAGAACTCCTCTCCTTAAAACAGGCCAGTGGTTCCCCATCCCATCACTTCAGCACCCCAAATCTCTACCAGCAGCATTATCACTCCAGCCTCACCTCCCACCCTTTCTACCTCAGACACTCTCCGTTCCTCAAGCATATCAATGTTCTCTCTCTCTCTCATCTTTTTTTTTTTTTCTTGAGACAGAGTCTTGCTGTCACTCAGAATGGAGTGCAGTGCTGTGATGTCACTGCAACCTCTGCCTCCCGGGTTCAAGCGATTCTCCTGCCTCAGGCTCCTGAGTAGCTGAGATTATAGGCACCCCCCCATCTCCACATCTGGTGAGTTTTTGTATTTTCAGTAGAGCCGGGGTTTCACCATGTTGGTCAGGCTGTTCTGGAACTCCTGACCTCAAATAATCCTCCCGCCTCAGCCTTCCAAAGTGTTGGGATTACAGACTCCCCACCCGACCTTCTCTTTAATCTTAGGGCCTTTGAAGATGTTCTTTTAGTTTAGAGCCCTTTTTGTTGAGCCCCTTTCACCTTCACCTAAGTCCTTCTCACCTTTTAGGAGTCATCTTGAACATCATTGTGAAGTAGTATTCAACCTTCTCCCTTTCAAGTCTGGGTTAGTTGTCCCTCATTTGTGCTTTCACTTCAACCTATACCTATATTGCATTGTTGCATATTCACTAGTGGGTATCTCTCATTAGACAGTAAATTCCATGATGCCAGGAACTGTGTTTAATTTGTTCACGGTTTTAAACTTAGGGCCTAACACAGTGCCTGGCATATGATAAATGCTCAACAAAATTTGTTGAATGATGTGTTATTGCTATTTGTTGTATCTTTTGCCTGGGACATATTAGGGCCCTCCTTTTATCTTCTATTTTAACAAAATTAGAGGTCCCTTGTACTGAGCCCCATTTACAAAGTTCCACATTATAGTAACATTTACTCTTACTGGTCACTAGGTCTACATGGTCCATTGATTATTATAAGAACCAAGAAAAGGGTGTGACTGGACCCACATAAAAGTATTAAAAACCTGGGTGTGCAAAAGATTACTCAAGGGTTCTAGTCTACCAAATAGACCCTGTATACCTATGTTCTACCATATATATCTGAGGAATTCTGGACAAGTAACTACTACTCTCTAGATCTTATTTGAGGATGTTATTAGTTACCAAAACATATTTCATAAAATACTGATCCCAAAGGGTGTTCCAGGGAAAAAGTTCCTATGAGCACACACATTTGGAAAATGCTGTGTTCTTTAACCCTCTAGGAAATCACAATTTTGTTAGCACATTAAGGTTTTCAGAATTCTTGCAGTAAAGCAGTCCTTTTTCTATCAAAATGCCTAATAATAACCTGTATAACATGCTTTCGAAAGCACCAGACCTAATCGCTAACATTAACTGTAATTTCCTGTAGAACTAAAAGTCTGGGTTCAGGGCTATGAAATATGTTGAGAGAATACAAACATTTTGCCTTATATTAATATAAAAATGAAAGCTGGGGGCTTTATTAGGAGAGGCATTGCTGCACATTTCCTAGAAATATTATCAGTTCTGGAAATGTATGAGAGACCATTAAAATGGGAGAACGTTGCTAGTGTTGGTTGTAGATGGATGACAAGATTAAAGAAGATGAGTGACAAATTTTTCCAGAGTTAACCCAGCCGTCAATAGAGCTGTGAGTTAGAATAGTTATGGGTTCAAACTTTGAGAGGTTTGCTCTGCTCTTTCTGAAATTTGAGCATTAAAGTAACAGGATGAGATATCTGGGTGAGAAAGAAGTGAACAAAGTTTGATCAGATGAGATGGTAAGAGATGGAGACAATGTTGTAAATCCTTCCAACTTGTGCTAAAATGGTTTGAAGCTATGAAAACACAGACTTTTCCACAATATTAATAATCAATACATTTCAACTTCAAATCAGGCTGATAGTTATCTGTCCAAAGACTCGTTAGTGTAGATGGTGCTAAGAACAATTTAATATGCTCTCTCTATATAAATAATATTTTGTTAGCTTTCTTTTAATATCTTTTATAAAGAAAATTTTAAGCACAACTAAGAGAAAAGAGTGTTATAAACACCTGATGTCCATTAATCTTCCTGACAATAAAAGCACATTATGAAAGTACAATGTGAATCTGGTCAATACTGCAATGGATCAGACAATCTCTCAGGTCCCCTCCAGACTGAATATTCTAAGTTATATTTTTAAGTTTATTTTTAAATCCATATTCTCTCCCTTGTGGGTATATATTATTGAATCCAAAGTATAATTTCCTCAAATGGAAAAAAGTATTACAGAAAAGTTGACCTAGCCTTATAAACTCAGGATAATAAAGGAAATTTAACTCGACCTGGAAAGGGGTTATGGAGAGGGAGAAACAGAATGTCTTATGAGCCCCCAGTACAAACTCCTTAAGAACAGTGCCCCCACTTTCCAGATTATTGTTGTTTCTGGACTGTCAAAGAGCGACAAAGCAAAATTATTGAATGGTTTCTGGATAAAATGCTTTTGGGGGATGATGACACTGCTGCTCCACCTAATGAGTACTGGTGACATTGCCATCTTCCCACAAAAATGTTTCTGTCCTTCACCTAAGTAGCTTTCTCTAAACCATCAGTCCTATAACAAATTCCAACATGAATGTTGGTTAATATTTTCATTTACATTAGTTAGCAAGATGAAACTGAAGTAATGAAGATGTAAGTCAGAGCCTCCTCACCTTATTGGTTAATAAATTATGTCAGTGACTTCTTTGCTGAATCTAATTCTTGACTATCGAAAGAATATTTTCAAATTATGTTTTTAACAATGTAACCATTACAGGCATGACATACTTTTTAAAGTTAAATTCTCATTATTAATGTTTTCTTTATCTCTAACATTAATATTATACATTGTATAATATATAATATATAATGTATATACACATTTTATATATAATGTGTATATATACATATATTATATATAATATATACATTTATATTAAGTATATATTATATATGCATTATATATGATGTATATTACACATGTATATATGTATAATTATACATTTATATGTTATACAATTATATGTACAACTGTACATTTAACACATATAATACATATAATTAGCATTATACACGTAATAATGTTAACAATGTGTAGGCATTCTTTTTTTTTATACTTTAAGTTCTAGGGTACATGTGCACAACGTGCAGGTTTGTTACATATGTATATATGTGCCATGTTGGTGTGCTGCACCCAGTAACTTGTCATTTACATTAGGTATATCTCCTAGTGCTATCTCTCCCCCTCCTCCCATCCCACAACAGGCCCCGGTTTGTGATGTTCCCCTTCCTGTGTCCAAGCGTTCTCATTGTTCAATTCCCACCTGTGAGTGAGAACATGTGGTGTTTGGTTTTTTTGTCCTTGCTATAGTTTGCTGAGAATGATGGTTTCCAGCTTCATCCACGTCCCTGCAAAGGACAGGAATCATCCTTTTTTATGGCTGCATAGTATTCCATGGTATATATGTAACATTAATGTGTAGGCATTCTTAAGTCTACGCAACCTATAAAACAGTAAGTCAGGAATAATGATAGTTCCTACCTCAAAGAGTTGTTGTAAATATTAAATGAGTTAATTCATGTAATTTAATATTTACAACAACTCTTTGGGGTAGGAACTATCAATATTCCTATATTACATATGAGAAAATTGAGGTGGAAATAGATTAAGTAACTTACTCAAAGTCATTAAGCTAGCAAGTATCAGAGTTTGAATTCAAACCCAATCAAATGGCAACAGAGTTCATGTTCTTAAGCATCATCCTATACTGCTGTTTTAGGCAATTTCAATACAAGTCGAACTTAAAGCTCATTTTAAATTATTCCTTTTGATGGAATGTCCGTCCTGCTTGGCTAGCTCAGGGTTAGTTCCTTCGCATAAGAGCTGAGTTCAGAAGAGCTGCACGTGGATATGGGAGATGTCAACATGGGCAAGGTACTTATTTATTGTTGTGCCTTTAAAATATTTAATAGTATTTTTAATGTTTAATTTTGGATTAAAGTAATATACATTTAGGAATAAAACAACAATTACAGTAACAGTAGTGATTACTATGCAACAGGCAGATGTGTCAGTCTACCAGAATGTCATCTCAATGAAGGTAGGGGCTGGTCTAGCTGATGCCCTGCTAAATATTGAGCACTCACATAATGCCTGGCATATAGATGGCAGAGTAAACATTTGTGGAACAAAAGAATGGACAAATGCATGTCTTATATACATTATTTTATTTAATCCTCAATATTCTCCTAAGGAAGGTGTTATTAGTGTCATTGCAGATGACAAAACTTATATTTGCCCCACGTTACGTAGCTGGTAAGCCAGGATTCACATGCAGGTCTGTCTGATTCCAGTGCTTCTGCTCTTAATAAGTATATCATGCAGTCATGATACATAGCAAGAAACAAGTATAACAAAGTCTTTTATAAGCATAGTACCGTAGCAGCTGCTTAAGTGCAGCGTTCAGGGAATGTTTAACAAGAATTCTTCAAAGTACAAGTGGTCACTTAGACAAGCCTTACTGTAGTTTAACAAGCGCTTTTTCCTTCTTTTACTCTACTTTGGGAAATGTAAGAGGCTATGAAAACAGACTTCAGAGGGTTTTTTTTTCATTCTAATTAACTCAGCAAATGTATATGAGATCAGATCATTTTTCATATACAGATATTTAAAGGAACTATCTGTTCAGCTTGCATGTTCCAGTAGCTCATTGAATTTTACCGATTTCTTATTCACTAGTGATATTTGCTGAATTGTTCTCACTGCAAGTGAAACCTGTGAGGCTCTACTTTACCATTTTATTGTCATGCATTTTAGATGAGCTCAGTGGGTAGTTAAATTAAGTGGCTACTATTAAATATCTCAAGTATGGGTCTTTATCCACACCCATTTATTTCATCTGCATCCACTTAACGAGATAATTAATAGACACATGGGGTTTAATTGTGGCAGGCTACTTATCTTAAATATAAGTATATTTTACACTTATGGTGAAAGTAAATTTCTCCAATAAAATGTTCTAAATTCATTTTCACTAGAAATAGTTATAAGGGAGGAGTTTGCATGTGTGATTATAGAAATAGTTATAAGAGAGAAGTGTGCATGTGTGATTGCAAGGAGATGACAAATTGGAGAGGAAAAGAAAGAAGCCAGGCGTATGGAAACACAAATATATGTTGACTTGACAGAATAATGGAATCATGGATGTCAGAGCTGGAAGGGTTACCAAGGGACAATCTGGAGCAATGCCTAACCTTCTGGCAGGTATCATTATCCTCATTTCACAAATGAGGCAAGGAGACTCAGACAGGTTACAAAATCTGCCCAAGGCCAATAGCTAATGGTAGAGAAGGCACTGGAAGTAATTATTGTAGTTTTTCTTGCATTGCCCTTTTTCCTAAACTAGGCTGAAAGTCTTTAGCATTCTGTTATGAATTTAAATTATATTTTGGAAGTAAATTTAAGAAGCATTTTCTGTAAAAGACCTCCAAGGAAACAGCTAGAGAGAGGTTTCCTGGTGGCTCTTTGGGAAGGACTTTTACATTCAAGATATAAAAAGCCCTGGCAACATAGTTTTCATCCACTTTCAACCTTCTCTAATCATTGAATAGAAATATAGGAAGACAGGAAAAGCCTGTAAGGATAGCCCAAAAAGGTTTTCCAAGTGTAATGAGCCCATCTATGCATTGAATAGCCTAAGAAGTCATGATGAGGTAATAACAGAAACGAAGGAAATGCAACAAACACAATTAAGTACAGCAAACTCAATAACCATGTGATTATGGGCTTAGAGCTAAATATAAATAAAGCAGCAGACGGGTAAAAATATTGAAACACAAAAGTGCACAGAACCTTGTTCATCATGCTTTAATATGCATCACAATCACACAGAATATTATTTTAAAAACTTGGATTCAAAGGACCTATTAGATCTCAGGTGGGATCTAGGAAATGCATATTTGGCAAACATTCTAGATGATTCTATTACAGATAGTCACTGGTTCACTTGAAGAAATTCTGTGAATTAGAATAGTGCTTCAAAAGCTATAATGTTATACAAATCACATTGCATGATGTTAAATGCAGATTCTGATTCAGTAGAGCTGGGCAAAATCTGAGATTCTGCATTTCTAGCAAGCTCCCAGGTGACATCTGTACCGCTGGTCCATGAAACACATTTTGAATACTAAGGAATGAGAATTCTGGTGTTTAATCAAATAATGTAGTTATTAATTGATATAGAAAATACTGATGGCAGTTTAACTGGTTGATAAAAAATTTGTCTACCATGAAAATTATTTTCCTATAACATATCTGAGTAGCTGGTCAAAAGATAATGAAGGAAATGTTAACGGTACTAAGTTTTTGTTGATTTTTTATATTAGTGATAGTATAGTCGTTATAATACTTTTTTTAATAAAAAATTCTGAGTTCTACCCCAACTCTAATACCAGCTGTGTTAAAATTCCGTCAATAAGATAGAAAACAATATGAAGGTAACATTTTTTATTTTATTTTAAAATTTCAATAGATTTAGGGGTATGAGTGGTTTTTGGTTACATGGATGAATTGTACAGTGGTGAATTCTGGGCTTTTAGTGTGCCCATCACCTGAATAGTGTACATTGCAACCAATAGGTAATATTCCATCCCTCTCCCCCATCACACTCTCTCCACTTCTGATTCTCCAGTGTCCATTATACTACTGTGTATGCCCCTGCATACCCATAGCTTAGCTCCCACTTATAAATGAGAACATATGATATTTGGTTTTCTGTTCCTGAGTTACTTCATTTAGGTTAATGGCCTCCAGTTTCATCCCAGTTGTTGCAAAAGACATTATTTCATTCTTTTTATGGCTGAGTAGTAGTCCTTGGTGTGTGTATGTAATATTTTCTGTATCCACTAATTGGCTGTTGGGCACTTAGGTAGATTTTATATCTTTGCAACTGTGAATTGTACAGGTGTCTTTGATATAATGACTTTTTTCCTTTGGGTAGATACCCAGAAGTAGGATTGCTGGATCAAATGGCAAATCTACTTTTAGTTATTTGACAAATCTCCATACTGTTTTCCATAGAGGTTCTGACAATTTACATTCCCACCAATGGTGTATAAGTTCTCTTTTCACTGAATCTGTGACAACATCTGTTGTTTTTTTGACTTTTTAATAATGGCCATTCCGACAGGAGTAATGTGGTATCTAACTGTGTTTGTAATTTGCATTTCTCTGATGATTAGTGATATTGAGCATTTTTTCATATGTTTTTTGGCCATTTGTATGTCTTGTTTTGAAAAATACCTGTTCGCGTCATTTGCCTGCTTTGTAACGAGAATATTTCTTTATTCTTGCTCATTTGAGTTCCTTGTACATTCTGAATAATAGTCCTTTGTTGGATGTATAGTTGACGAATATTTTCTCCCTTTCTGTAGGTTGTCTATTTACTCTGCTAATTATTTCTTTTCTGTGTGGAAGCTTTTTAGTTTAAGTCTCATTTGTTTATTTTTGGTTTTGTTGCATTTGCTATTGGGGTCTTCGTCATAAATTCTTTGCTTAGGCCAATGCCCAGAAGAGTTTTTCCTAGGTTTTCTTCTAGAATTTTTCATGATTTCAGGTCTTACATTTAGGTCTTTAATCCATCTTGAGTTAATTTTTGTATATGGTGATTGATAGAGATCCAGTTTCATTTTTCTGCATGTGGCTATTCAATTATTGCAGCACCATTGACTGAATAGGTGTCCTTTCCCTGATGCGTGTTTTTGTCTGCTTTGCTGACGATCAGCTGATTGTAAATATTTGGCTTTATTTCTGGGTTCTTTATTCTGTTCCATTGGTCTATGTGTCTACTTTTACACCAGTACTATGCTGTTTTGGTTATTATGGCTTTGTAGTATCATTTGAAGTCAGGTAATGTGATGCCCCCAGATTTGTTCTTTTTGCTTAGGATTGTTTTGGCTATTAGGGCTCTTTCACGGTTCCATATGAATTTTAGAATTTGTTTTTCTAATTCTGTGAAAAATTACAATGGTATTTGGATAGGAATTGCATTGAATCTATAGATTGCTTTGGGCAGTATAGTTATTTTCACAATACTGATTCTTCCAATCCATGAGCATGGGATGTTTTTCCATTTGTTTGTGTCATCTACAATTTCTTTCATCTTGTGGCAATCATTCATCTCCTTGGTTAAATATATTCCTAGGTATTTTGCAACATCCTTGAATTCCTAGAATGAAACCCACTTAATCATGATGAGTTATTTTATTGATGTGCTGTTAGATTTGGTTTGATGGCATTTTGTTGAGGATTTTTGCATCTATGTTCATCAGAGATATTGGTCTGTAGCTTTCTTTTTTTATTGTGTCATTTCCTGGCATTGGTATCCAGGTGATTCTGGCTTTTAGAATGAGTTAGGGAGGATGCCCTCCTTCTAAACCTTTTGGAATAGTTTCAGTAGGACTGGTGTCAGTTCTTTCTTGAAAGTCTGGTAGAAATTGGCTGTGAATCCATCTGGTCCATGGCTTTTTTGTTTGTTGTTGGAATATTTTTTATTACTGATTCAATGTCACCACCCATTATTGGTCTGTTCAGGATTTCTATTTCTTCCTGATTCAAACTTGGTGGGGTGTACTGGGCCATTCTTGCATTGGTGTAAAGAAATACCTAAGACTGGGTAATTTATATGAAAAGAGGTTAATTGGCTTATGGTTCTGTAGGCTGTACAGGAGGCATTGACTGCATCTGCTTCTGGGGAGGCCCCAGGGAACTTTTACCCATGGCAGAAGACAAAGAGGGAACAGGCACTTCACAGGGCCAAAGCAGAAGCAAGAGAGCAAGGGGGGCAGTGCCTTACACTTTTAAATGAACAGATCTTGTGAGAACTCACTAACCATTGTGAGGGCAGTACTCTCTCCTTGCTCTCTTGCTCCTGCTTTTGCCATGTGAAGTGCTTGCTCCCACTTTGCTTTCTGCCATGAGTAAAAGCTTCCTGTGGCCTCCCAAGAAGCATGTGCTACCATGCTTCCTGTATAGCCTGCAGAACCATAAACCAATTAAACCTCTTTTCTTATAAATTACTAATCTCAGATATTTCTTTATAGCGAAAAAAAAAATGGCCTAATACAGAAAATTGGTACTAAGGAGTAGAACATTGCTATAAAGATACCCGAAAGTGTGGAAGTGACTTTGGAACTGGGTAATGGGTAGAGGCTGGAATAGTTTGGAGGGCTCAGAAGAAGACAGGAAGATGAGAGAAAGTTTGCAACTTCTTAGAGACTGGTTAAATGGTTGTGATCAAAATGCTGATAATGATATGGACAGTGAAGGCCAGGCTGACCAGGTCTCAGATGGAAATGAGAAACTTATTGGGAACTGGTGCAAAGGTCATGCATGTTATGCCTTAGGAAAGAGCTTGTCTGGCTTGTGTCCATGCCCTAGGGATACGTGGAAGTTTTAATTTGAGAGTGATGACCTAGGGTATCTGGCAGGAGAAATTTCTAAGCGATAAAGTGTTCAAGAAGTGACACGGCTGTTTCTAACAATCTATTCCTATGTGCAGGAGAAAAGAAATGACCTCAAGTTGAAACTTACATTTTAAAGGGAAACAGCATAAAAGTTTGAAAAATTTTCAGCCTAAACATGTTACAGAGAAAAAAACATTTTCTTTTGGGAGAGGAATTCAAGCAGGCTGTGGAGGAACCACTTGCTAGAGAGATTTGCATAACTGAAAATAAGGCAAGTGCTGATAGATAAGATAATGAGAAAAATATCTCAAAGGCATTTCAGAGATCTAAGAAACAGTTCATTGCATCACAGGCCCAGAGGCTTAAGAGGGAAGAATGGCTTCATGGGCCAATCCCAGGGCCCCACTGCCCTGCACAGTGTTGGGACACTGCTCCCTGCATTTCTGCTGTTCCTGTTCCAGTCATGGTTCAAAGGGGCTCAGATACAGCTCAAGCTGCTGTTTCAGAAAGTGCAAGCTATAATTCTTGGCAGCTTCCACGTGGTGTTAAGCCTACAACTGTGCAGAATGCAAGAGTTGAGGCTTGGGAGCCTCCACCTAGATTTCAGAAAATGTATGGAAAAGCCACGGTGTCTAGGCCGAAGCCTGCTGCAGGGATGGAACCCGTATGGAGAAACTCTGTTAAGGCAGTGCAGTGGGGAAAGGTGAGGTTAGAGCCCCTTCCCAGAGTCCGCACTAGGGCACAGCCTAGCAGAGCTGTGAGAAGAGGGCCACTGTCCTCCAAACCCCAGAATAGTAGATCCACCAAGAGCTTGCACTCTGTGCCTGGAAAAGTTCCAGGCACTTAACACAAGCCCATGAGAGCAGTTGTGGGGACTGAATCATGTAATGCTACAGAGGCAGAGCTGCCCAATGCTTTGAGAGCCCACCCCTTGCAGAAGTGTGCCCTGGATGTGGAACATGAAGTAAAAGGAGATTATTTTGGAGTTTAAGATTTAATGACTTCCCTTCTGGGTTTCAGACTTGCTAGGGCCTATAGCCCCTTTCTTTTGGCCAATGTCTTCCTTTTGGAGTTGGAATGTTTACCCAATGCTCGTACCCCCACTGTATCTTGGAAGTAATTAACTTGTTTTATATTTTACAGGCTCACAGGTGGAAAGGAATTGCCTTGTCTCAGATCAGACTTCAGACTTTGGGCTTTTGAGTAAATGCTGGAATGAGTTAAGACTTTGGGGGATTATTGGGGAGGCATGATTGTATTTTGAAATGTGAGAAGGACATGAGGTTTGGGAGGTATCAGGGGCAGAATGATATAGTTTGGATGCATGTCCCCACCAAAATCTCTATTGAAATATAATCCCCAATGTTGGAGATGAAGCCTGGTAGGAGATGATTGAATCAAGGGGGTGGAGTTCTGGTGAATGGTTTAGTACGATCCCTTTGATACTGTCCTCACGTTAAAACAACCAGGTCTCACATGAGTGAATTTTCATGAGACCTGATTGTTTAAAAATATGTGGTACTTCCCCCTCACTTTCTTGCTCATGTTTTGGCCATGTGAAGTGCCTACTCCACCTTTGCCTTTCTTCATGATCGTAGGTTTCCTGAGGCCTCCCAGAAGCAAGCAGATGCCATCATGCTTCCTGTGGAACCTGCAGAACTGTGAACCAATTAAACTGCCTTTCTTTATAAATTATCCAGTCTCAAGGTTTTTAGTTAGATTTTTGGAGATGGAGTCTCGTTCTGTCACCCAGGCTGGAGTGCAATGGCATGATCTTGGCTCACTGCAACCTCTACTTCCTGGGTTCAAGCGATTCTCATGCCTCAGCTTCCCTAGTAGCTGGGATTACAGGCATGCACCACCACACCCGGCTAATTTTTGTATTTTTAGCAGAGATAGGGTTTTGCCATGTTGCCCAGGCTAGGCTTGAACTCCTGGCCTCAAATGATCCACCCACTTTGGCCTCCCAAAGTGCTGGGATTATAGGCATGAGCCACCAAGTCTGGCTCAACTATTTCTTTATATCAATGATAGAACAGACTAACAAAGCAGATTACATTTTTTTTTATTATTATACTTTAAGTTTTAGGGTACATGTGCACAATGTGCAGGTTAGTTACATATGTATACATGTGACATGCTGGTGCGCCGCACCCACTAACTCGTCATCTAGCATTAGGTATCTCTCCCAATGCTATCCCTCCCCCCTCCCCCCTTTGCTTCTCTTACTTCTAATAGTTTGTTTTGTAACCAATAGATTGAAACTGCCACAATTAATAACAATACATGAATACCAGCTGCCATTATGGGCTGTGTCATTTCTGGCAAGAGAGCTTTAATTTTACCTTTTTCTTCCTACTTATGGAAACATAGCAGAGTGCAACTGAATAAAAGTAAGGTTACTCTGATTTATTAAAAATATGTAAATTTTTATTGTTAGTGATCTAACCTAATTAAAGCTTAGCCTCTCAGTGGTTCTTTCTCTGCAAAGAATCACATTCAGAGAAACATCAGTCTGGGATTCAAAATGATTGGGAAGCAATTTATTCTTTAGTTCATTTATCTTGAAATGCTAAAAAGACCCTGCATTCATAATGCACAGGAAATATCATTAAAATAAATCCTTGTTCCTCATCTCTATTTTAGTTTTTCCAAAATATCCCCAGATGCCTCCAACTATCTCTCTTTTCATATTTCCCTCAACAACTCTCACAAGCCCACTCTAATTAAATTTTTATCCCTCTCCCTTCTGCTTTCTGGCTTAGCTCTTTAGACTGTAGATCAGTTTTGCTTGTCTTCCTTCTAGTAATTTTTAAGTCTCCTCTTTACCTGCATTCTGTAAAACAAACGGGCAGGGATTCAAAGTACTGATTCAGGAAGCAAGAAGCCTTTCTCTTTAGAAGTAGGGGCAGAGGGGGAGAGAGGAAACAGTTTTACAAATCTTATAGCTTAATATTTTTCACTCTTGTCATATTAACGATTTGTCATGTACCTTGCAAGTGATCTTGACACATTGCTTGAGAACTTATGCTATACTCCTCCACCATGTAAATCTTCTACAACTCTAAGGCAGTATGAGAAAACCTGATGTAAGTAGTTTTATATTTCCAGCCAGGTAGTTTCCAATACTCTTAAGGGGAGTCAGTAGTTTCCTAATCTACCAACTTGCTCCCCACCCTAAAAAATCTGATGACAGTTTTGAAATTGTGCCTAATTTTAGTTTACTTTGAGCTAAAGATATGCCCTACAAACGTTTTATTTTGTTAAAAAGGGTTATGACTCAATTTTTAAAGTAAATTTTTAGTCAGTCAGCAGAAAGTGTGATCCTTTTAGTTTAGGGGAGGCATTCTATGCCACTGTAACATTAGCAGCACTTGGTCCCTAGATTGGGATAGTAGTATTAATTTTGAAGCTAGCAATTATCCTTTTAATAAGTGGGATTGTTAGTCATATGTTACTGGTAATTTAGCTCAATTATAAAAATGATGCATAGTTTAACATACGAATACATAAGCCAGAAGTTATTATTCAAAGATGTCAGAATTTCATAGAATTAATCAATCTATATAGCATTCAGTTTAATCAGAGATCATGTACCTCAATTTGAAAATTATAAAGATTATCTAACAGATTCAAGAGAGATTAACCAAAAATTTTTGACTATTTTAAAACCTCAATTCAGTCTAAACACTATTCTAGTTTGAGCTTTTGTTATGAAAGTATGTTGGCCACGAAATTTGTTTTACAGACTTCTTATACAAAGCCTATTTTTAAATGCTTGGGGCCAAGTGAATTGAGCACATTTCCAATAATTCTGGGGCTACAGATCCTCTGACATTCTGACTGCTCAATCTAGATTAAAAACTATTGCTTAACAATTATACTTTTCCAAAATAATTTCAATTTTGGAATCATAGGTAAGGTTTGTACAAGTATTTGGATTCTAAAATAGATTTTCATTCATTCAAGCAAGGAAAACACCATGTAAACTTTTTATTTGGAACTCTGATTAGATTCAAATTTTGGAATCATCATTTTTGAAAAGTACAATTGTGTGTTGACAGTTATTGTGTCTACATTCAGAGGAGAATCTCTTGGTTACATTGGCAGTTTTGATCTGGTTTTAATCAAGATTTCCTGGATGTAATTCCCATAAGAAGAGATGAATGTGTACATTCATTTGACTTAGTAGCTGAGTCTTCTAAGAGACATTCACAGGGAGATGAGTGTGAAACAAGAGCACTCTTGCAGACAAAGGCAGCCATGCAGAACCTTCCCCAGGCTATTGTGACAGTGCGCCTTTGAGTCAGACTTTTAACCCTCCCACGTCAGGTTTGTCTCTCCTGCTTCTGTTAGGAGAGCAGTCATAATCCCCACCACAGGAAGGAGATTATCATAAAGCAAACCCTGTTGAAGCATACATGGAGCTACTGGAAAACATTTTTAAGCAGAGGAAATGGCAAAAATTGAGGTCCCAAGTGCTTGTGATGTGTGTGTATGTGTCAAGTTGGCTAGGTCACACAGCACCCAGGTATTTTATCAAACATTATTCTAGATTTTTCTGTAATGGTTTTTTAGATGATATTTACATTTAAATTAGTAGAATTTGAGTAAAGCAAATTACCGTTCATTATGTGGGTGAAACTCATTCAATCAGGTTAGGGCCTTAGTAGAAAAAGACTGAACTCCTCAGAATAAAAGGGAACTCTGCCAGCAGCCTGCCTTTGCACTCAAACTGCAACTCTTCCCTGGATCTCCAGCCTGTTGGTCTACCCTTGCAGATTTTGGATTTACCAAGCCTCCACAACTGTGTGAGCCAATTCCTTAAAGTAAGTCTTTCTTCTTATATGTATGAAGATATGTGTACTAACAGGATGTGGTACAGATCCTGTTGGTTCAGACACACACATGCCTACACACACATGAACACACACACATAGATATCCCCCCCCCACACACGCAAGCACACACATCCTGTTGGTTCTGCTTCTCTGGAGAACTCTGAGTAATACAATGCCTAATGGGCTGTGATGAGCAAGTGAAAGGGTAAAAAAATCTAAGTTACAATAATGAAAGAAACATACACTTAATATATCACAGCAAAATAAACAGATAAGCCAGAATAGAGGTTCTCAAGCCTGACTGCTGCCCAGGGGAGCATTAAAAATATCCTGAGGCATACGCCCTACCCCCACCACTAAGATTCTAACTTATTAGATCTGGGTGGGACCCAGGCATCAGAATATTTAAAGAGCTCCTCAGCTCCCCAAGTAATGCTAATCTGTAGCCTCATGCTATCAATCTTGCAGTAGAAGAATGGCCATACCTTAAGGCTGTTCATAAAGGAATGCTCCTCCGGCCTACGAAGAAATATCTGTAAAAAAAAGTAACTAATTGAAGGAACTTAAAATGAGAAAAATACAGATTATTTTGTATTTTTGTAAGGCAAACTCAATGCTCCATGAGAATACCATTAATTTATTCATTTACTCATTTAAAGTTATTTATTAAGTAGATATGTGCTTAAACTCTAGGCTAGAGTCTGAATGACAAGAAATTCAGTAAAACTGGGTATCTGGCTTTTAGGGGCTCAAAGTTTATTGGTGTAGACAGATACTTAAACAACTACAATAGAATAAATGAAATTCTTCTTTTAAGCAAACATTTATTGAACACTTAGGTGCTAGAGCCATATATGTATGATTTAAAAAAAATCCCCACAATAACTCTCTAAAGTAAATATTATCCCACAGTTAGTAGAAGGTAGACTTAAGATCTACCCAGGCAATCCAGCTCTGGAATCTGTGCTCTTAATCAATGCATAGTATATAATTATGTATAGTATAATCTAGGATTATATAATCCCAAAATTATGAAATTCTTAAGAAAGTTCAGCAGAAGAAGCCATTAGTGTACTTCACAAAGAACACACGATTAACTTTTAGAATGGTAACCTTATTCATTCCTATGATCTTAGGACACTAAGCAAGTTATTTGGGAAATCACAAAAAGTGCTGTGATACTTTGAGCATTGCTGTGCTAAACTGCAAAAAAAATTCTGGGAAACTCTGATTTTGTTGTGTAAGGGTCGTTTTCTGAGCATAGTATGAAATCTTATGGATTATATAATAGTAAAGTAGAAAAACATTTTGGAAAGGACTTCATCTAAATTTCTCATTTTGATATGAGGAGACTGATGCCTAAAGTGGTTAAGTGCAATCATTAAGACTACTCAACAAGTTAGCCGCAGAGCCAAAACAAGAACTCAAGGCTCAGTCTTGGTTTTAAAACTCATGTTCACATAGTGTACCCTCTAGTGGCCACTTTGTGCATGACGACTTAACCTCCCTTATCAAAGTTGAGTGTATCAAGGGTAGGAGTTGACCCACTGGTTCAATCCGACTCTGATTTTTGAAAATTTGGAATTGAGACCAATTGAGAGAAGGCTTTTTTTTTTTTCTTGTTGGTAGAAGGCTGTATTTGTAAAGCATAAGCTCTGAAGCCACAGGCTCCGTATTTTCCACACAAGGAAAGAAGATTTAGAGTGATACTAACTGCAATAGAAGATAAATCTTCAAATCTTAATAGCTTAACGGAATAGGTAGAACTTAACAGATAGCACTTTACTTCTCAGTAACATCAAGTCCATGGTGGAGGAGGGAGGTGTTGATGATAGGGCAGGGGGCATGCAGTTATTCAGGGACCAAGCTCCTTTTATCCTGTGGCTCCTAACCTCCTCCAAGGCTTTAGTTTTCATCATTCTGCCGGTAGATTAGGAGAGATAGAAAGTACAGAATTTCATGGGAGCTTATAGGTCAGAATTTGAAGTGGAAGCCAGAAGTGAGCTACGTGGTTACATCTAATGGCCCATGTGGTCTAGTTACATCCCCAGAAGAAAAAAAAGGAATTTGCTGAACAACCAGCCAATGCCTGCCACGTGGAAGAAACCAGTTGATAGACAGCAAGAGGAATGAACAGATGGACTGAGAGGAAGAGAGGTAAAATGGTGAGAAAATCTCGATGGCTTTCTAGGCTCTGGTGTCAGCCCCTTCCTGAGGCCCCACTGCATCCCTGCAGCTGGATTCTGTAAGACATTTAGGACATTCTGTATCCTTCTAATTCCCCTATTCTGCTTAAACTAGCTGATGCTGGTTTCTGTAGTTTACAACGAAGACAGTCCTAAGAAATACTCACATTCAGGAAGATTGTAACAGCTTGGAAGATACATATGTCTTCAAAATCACCCACAGTGTCTATAGAAATGTACTGTGAGTTTCATTTACTTGTATCTACTTCCGTAATGACATTGGCAGCCTGGAGATTAGTATTTACAATTGTGCTAAACCCCTTCATACAGATGCTGCAGCTTAAGTCAGCATAAAAAAAAGCAAACCAAGACAGTATGAGCAAGCTGCGCCAGAAAGAGTTGGTTATTAAATCACACACATTGATTTATAGCTTCAGTTTGCCTTTACCTAAATGTCTAGTTATTTAACAGCTGTTATGAATCAGCCAGATAGAGGATTAAGAAGGACTGGGGGTTAGGGGAGAAGTCGATGAAAAAATGCTTTAATCTTATGCTACAATAGAGGAACAAGTTGAGTCAGGTATCATGCAGTAATTTGGGTTCTCTGATGCTTCTTAAAGGGGAGTATTGTTCAGCTGGAACGTGAAACAGTGTAACATAGACCAGTAGGCTATGTACATGTTAACCACATCTGTGAGTGAGGTAAGTAATACTGGGTCCCAGGTAGGAAGCAATGTATCAATAAATATTGGAAGTAGCTGGCTCTGTCAAAATGTTCCCACTCTCATTGGCTGTAAATAGATAATTGACTTCAGAAGTTTGTTTGGGAACATTAAAATTTAACAAGAAGTAATATAAGTTAAGACATAGGTGACCAAATAGAAATCAAGGCAGAATTCGGTTAGGGTGGTTCCTTAGCTGATTATGTTTAATCTCCACACCAAAGTCTTGGATAATAATCAGGAAGGATTTACCAAGTGGAAGTATCTCTTTGTAAAAATTTCTTTTACACGAGAATTCATAAAGGCAAAAAAGGACTTGCTGAGAATATCTGAACCTCCATCTATTCTCAGATGAGGTCAGGGTAATGTTTACTCTTTGTATGCGTTCTGCACACTAAGAAGAGCATAAGCTGGCTGCTGAGGTGACACTCCACTCCTCGCCTCTAAAGATGATGCTAGGGCCAGATGCGGTGGCTCACATCTGTAATCTCAGCACTTTGGGATGCCAAGGTGGGTAGATCAGCTGAGGTCAGGAGTTCGAGACTAGCCTGGCCAACATGGTGAAACCCCATCTCTACGAAAAATACAAAAATTAATTGGGTGTGGTGGTGTGCCCCAAAATCCCAGCTACTTGGGAGGCTGAGGCAGGAGAATCACTTGAACCCAGGAGGCGGAGGTTGCAGTTAGTGGAGATCGTGCCACTGCATTCCAGCCTGGGCAACAGAGTGAGACTGTCTCAAAAAAAAAAAAAAAAAGAAAAAAAGAAAAAAAAAAAAGAAGCTAGGATGATGCCACTCCTTGCCTCTGGGGAAAAGATGCTATGCTGGTCCAGCAAGGATCCTCTTTGTGTCCTGACTTGCTTTCTCCTTACTTTATTTGGTCCGTGCTCAGACATTTTTCTTGCTGAAATCTTGGCTAAAATATTAAACTTGCACAAAGTATAACATCTTCATTGTTCCTTACTTGACACCTCCAAAAATTTTGCTTCCTTTTGAAATGTTTTACAAATTCCCACCTAGCGCTCTTACCTGAACTTTCTGTGCTGTAAACTATGTTGTCTTTGGAGGCCGCCTTTTCTCTGTAGACCAGTACCCTCCTGTGCATATTGTGAAGGAGGAGACTTTTAAAGACCACTCCTCTCCTTCAACACACACACTGGCTTTGTGTTGTATTTGAAAGCCAACACATGGCTGCTTTCTTGTACAGACTCATATACCTTGCCTTAAAGTTAAAAACCTCCTCGCCATGTCTAGCCCCTCTCAACAACAGAAGCCTGTGGTTGCCATTTAATTATTTTATGCCGAACATTGAGCAGGACTCAGTTTTAGAAAAGCTGATTTAAAAGAGAAATACCACCTCCACCACAGACATTATCACCACCACCTATATCCACTATACTTTGTAAGTCTCTTTACAACTACCTCAAAAAGCTATTTGCTAAAATGTTCCTGTACGGATTCTCCCAATGAAAACAAGACCTGAGAAGTTAGTAATTGTGTGGTTTGTCCAGAAGCACACAGCTTCTGGTGGGCAGCTCTTCTCATGCTGAGATCCACTGCTCTTCCTTCCAGCTAAACATATTCCTCCACATCTAGACACAGAAGGAGAGGAGCAATTCCAGTCTAAGGGGCACCTTGAGGTCCTAAGTCTGTGATTGAAAAAGTACATAGTAGCAAAAATTATATGAACTACAGCTGTACCTGTAACTAGTTCGCTCTCTAGGCATAGGGCCTTTGTACAGGCTATTCTAGCAAGACGCAAATATCTGAGCACAGAGTAAGGCAAAAGCTAGTCAGGACACAGGCTTTTGTATAGGAATGCTTTTCTACTCCTTTCCATTCCACCTGGTTAACTCTTTCTTCAAATTTCAGCATATTCAATTCCTTTTTTGACCTCCTGACTTGTCCGACAGGGCAATTATATCCTTTCATAGCTCCATGTAACTCTCCTCTGTAGCACTATGATTCTTGTAATTATTTGTGATATTCTTTTTGATTACTGTGTATCTCTCTCAATAGACTGTCTGCCCCATGAGGGTAGGGACTCTGATTTTACTCACTGGAACCCCCCATTATAGCACTGTGCTAGGGATAAAGTAGGAGCTCAGTAAGTATTTGTTAAATAAATGCATAAATAATGCTTTTGACATGTAACACAAGGCTATCACTAAGTTACAGATTCAGAAAGCAAAAATATCATAGAGAGAAGCATTCATCAAATCATACCTGCTAAAGATTTTCGCAGTGTGAATAAAAAGGAAAAGAGTGCAAACAAAAGATATTTCTCACTTGGTTGTTATTTAGGCGAAATGTTATCCCAGGTAAAGGAAGGGCAGAAGTTGGGGTGAGCTGAGGATGACTTTCCAAGGCAACCCCAGCAGCAGGCAGTCCTGCTGAAGCCAACCGGATACACAGGCTTCACTGAGTCTCCAGCATCTACGAAGCCTATTATAAAGCTTGTGTTAGGCACCAAGAGGTCTCTTAACTTCCAAAAGAATCTGTATTTTTGTTAGAGATAGCCGGCCATTTTATTTTATTTTATTTTTTTACTTTTTATTTTTTCTCTTTTTTTTTATTTAATGAATTCTTTTTTTTATTATTATACTTTAAGTTTTAGGGTACATGTACACAATGTACAGGTTTGTTACATATGTATACATGTGCCATGCTGGTGCGCTGCACCCACTAACTCGTCATCTAGCATTAGGTATATCTCCCAATGCTATCCTTCCCCCCTCCCCCCACCCCACAAAAGTCCCCAGAGTGTGATGTTCCCCTTCCTGTGTCCATGTGTTCTCATTGTTCAATTCCCACCTATGAGTGAGAACATGCGGTGTTTGTTTTTTTGTCCTTGCGATAGTTTACTGAGAATGATGATTTCCAATTTCATCCATGTCCCTACAAAGGACATGAACTCATCATTTTTTATGGCTGCATAGTATTCCATGGTGTATATGTGCCACATTTTCTTAATCCAGTCTATCATTGTTGGACATTTGGGTTGGTTCCAAGTCTTTGCTATTGTGAATAATGCCGCAATAAACATACGTGTGCATGTGTCTTTACAGCAGCATGATTTATAGTCCTTTGGGTATATACCCAGTAATGGGATGGCTGGGTCAAATGGTATTTCTAGTTCTAGATCCCTGAGGAATCGCCACACTGACTTCCACAATGGTTGAACTAGTTTACAGTCCCACCAACAGTGTAAAAGTGTTCCTATTTCTCCACATCCTCTCCAGCACCTGTTGTTTCCTGACATTTTTTAATGATTGCCATTCTACCTGGTGTGAGATGGTATCTCATTGTGGTTTTGATTTGCATTTCTCTGATGGAGCTGGCCATTTTATACTATTTGTGCCCCTAAAAAGTGATTTGGAAATTGGATTTCAAAGACAGTTAAACTAAATTCTAAATACACTAGGGAAGTGCTTCTTGACTTGGGATTCATGGAGCAAACTTCATACTCCAGGAGTTCATAAGACTATACTCAAAATGTGGTTTATGTGCAAATATAAGTGTTATTTTCTGGAAAGAAAATTTCAGAGCTTTTAATTAGATCGCAAAGGGATTTATAATTTCAAAAAGGTTAAGAATCATTAGTAGGAGAACATATTGGAAATGCTATAGCAGATTCCTCTGTAAAGCAAAGACTAATTTATCTATATTACATATAATTGTTTATTGTTAGTCTATTGTTTTAGACAAAGCCATTAGACTCATTTCTATCTAGAGTAATATGGGCATATTCATGGCTCCGTGGAACTTGCATATGCAGGGAAATGAAATTAATCAAGTATTATTCACAGGAAATTTTTAAAAATTACATTTATGCTTATAAGGAAATATTCATTATTGTTATTACTATTATTTCTTAGACCAAAACTGACTCAAAACTGAAAACTATAAGCTAACCACTAAGTTATGTTTTATATTGAATATTTTTATATCTAATACATGAAAGCAATTTTGACTGATTAAAAAAATCAAATTGAACAGTTATCTTGTGTGATGACCTTATAATATTTTTATGAGTATGAACTTAAGATCATTGAAAGAAGTGGAAAATTTTAATAAACTATTTTATCATTGTTTTTATCTGGAGCTAAAAATGTTGATTTATCCCAAATCAAAGATTTTTAACAGCGTTCCTGGGATAAGTGAGGAACATAGCCCATCTTCGTAGATTAGCAATGTTTATTACATGTTAAATAAAAATATTTTTATATTCAAACACATACCAATGTATTGATGAAAAAAATTTGCATTATTTTTTAATACAAGCCACAAGACCAAGCAATTTAAATATTGCAGTGGGTAATTTCTGTTTTATCCTCTTCACCCCAGAACACTGAAGACTCTTTGGATACAACATTGGTTGTTAGTAGCACTCTAAACATAATATTTTTTAAAAAGGTAAATCATTTGTCTCATGACCTAGAATGAAACTAGTACAATAATTACAAATAATTTTGTTTGTCTACATACAGAATTTTAGATTGGTGCTGTTTTACGAACAATACTGCACTTTTATGGTTATTTTGTGCAATTTTATAGTAATAGATATTTCTAGGTTCTCTGGTTTTCTTATACATGTTGATTTCTTGTTCTACAAACTACGTATTTGCAAAAATGGAGTAGAGATTTTAATTTGTAATCCACATTCTCATGAATTAATACCTATCCCCTTCTATTTTTCCCAAAGCTAATCAGAAAAGTTATTTTCTCTCTCTACAATACCTAACCTTTAGATACTTTTCTTTCATTCCACATGCAACCATTTAATCGATCAATAGCAATAAGAATGACAATGGCTATCGTTTGTAGAATATTTATTATATTCTAGGTACTGTGCTAAACTCTTCTGTATACGTGATTTTAAAAAATCCTCACACGTATCTTTTATGGTGGAAATACTTTTACTTCACAAATGAGGAGACTGAGGCAATAAACATGAGTAACTTTCCTGAAATAACACAGCTATGTCTAAGAAATTGGATCTAAAACTCAGCTATGATTCCAAACTCTTAACTATTACCTTGTAATCCTATCAATTTTTTAAATCTTTAATGTCTCACTTTTTTTTGTAGAAATCAGTCTGCATTGTGCTTTTACACATAATCTTCTTGTTATGACACCTGAGGAGCAAGAAGTGGAGAATTCTTAAGCAAGGAGGTGGTCTTTGTTCTGCATTTGGAAGGAGCTAAGCTTACTGCAGGTGTAATGAAGGCAAGTGGATGTCGGAAAGCGGTACAAACTTGTGTAAAAGTACGGAAGGAAAAGTGACAACTTGGTGTGCCTGGAGTGAAAGGTATGTGGTATGATATGCAGGAGATGAATGTGGTGCCAAGAAATTTAGAGGGCTAATCTATAACAGGGCTTGGTTGCCATGCTGAGGAATTTTGGAGTCTTAGTGATATGAGGGAGCCTTTGGAACCTACTAAGGGGGCAACTTGAGCAGGGTTTTTTTTTTTTGTTTGGTTGGTTTTTTTTTTTTTTTTTTTTAGGAAGATCATTCTGGCAGTGTTTCAGACAGTAAAGGGGACTGCCTGGTGTGTGGATGACAAGTTAGATGGTTTTTGCAAGAGCCACGGTGAGAAATGATCGGGAGCAATGAAATAAATGGCAGAGGGAATAGGACACTGGGGACAAAATTAGAGGGAAATCCTGAAGGGATCATTGGCATAACCTGGTAGCTAGTAGCCTCAGGAGTTTGAGGGAGAAGGAAGAATTGAGGATGTCCTGAATATTTGAATGAAAGTAATAACGTTTCCACAATCATTCTGTCATAAGTATGGACACAACTGTTGGCTTCCATTAAATTTAATGTGATTTCATTATTTGAAACCGATGGCCTCATTTAATTTAACATGCTATCATGCTAACATGTAAAAAAATTATGTATTCTGCAATTTTCAGTTATCATAAAGTCACAAAAAATTTCTGATGAAATTTTTCTGTCAAAAATAGCCAAATGAAGTATTTTAAAACAAATTTATTTGTTATAAAGTATAACAATATACCTAGAAGACATTATGATTGTGTAATAATATACCTAGAAGACAATTTACAGTAGAATCCAAATGGTGTTTATTGTGTGATCCACTGCGTAGTGGTTAAATGTGAGATCATTTGAGGGAAAAGATTGACTCTAGATTTTGGGGAATTTTTTATTGAAAGCAATTTATTAAAATAAGAAGTGATAACATTTGGATTCATTTAACATCCAACTGGACTGTAATCTAGTATACCATCCAGAATATGCCATGCTTTACTCAAGTTTCAGCTCTAGCTTGTACCAAAATTGAGACAAAAGGGTCAAATAGAAAGTGACCCAAATTCAACACAATTGTCAACTTATTAAATGAGTGAGCATGTATGAAACAAATTTGTCAAACAATGTTAATTCTTATCTAGAAGGACTGGAGAAAAGAAGAGAAATATGGGCCTGAAATGTGGCAGAAAGTAATAGTTCTCTGACTGCATCTGGCAAGTTTTTCTAAAAGCTGATACATTAAGAAAATGAAAAGTAAAGGCCAGACTGGGAAAAAACGTTTGAAATGCAAAGGATTTTTATCCAGAGCATATAAAACTGTTTTGAATGAATAATAAAAAGATAAAAACCCTAATTTTAAAAGAATAGGCAAAAGACTTGAATATTATAAAATAGAGGATGCATGCATGACCAATAAGCACATGAAAAGATAAATCCAAATGAAAGCCACAGTGATACCATTTCATACCAGCTAAAATGGTGAAAATTAAAGAGCCACCATGACAGTGAACAAAACAACATGGAGCAACTGGATCTTTCATACATTACTGCTGAAAGTGTAAAATGACACAGATGTTTTGGAAAAGTATTTGGCAGTTTCTTTTAAACCTTCATCTGCCCTATAGTCTAGCAGTTCCACTCCATGGTATTTACCCAAGAAAAACAAGTAAGTGTGCCCATAAAACAACATGCGCAAAAAAGTTTATACTAACTTATTCATAATGGCTGCAAACTGGAAACAATGCAGATAATGGATATACAAATAATGATATATTCATACAATAAAGTACTAGATAGCAATTAAAGAGAACAAATAAGAATGCAACAATATAGATGAATCTAAATTATCAAAATGAAACTAGACACAAAAGAGTACATACTGCATAGTGCCACTTATATGATTTCAAGAATAGGTAAAAATTAATTTATGGTGAGAAAAATCAGAAATATGATTGCTCAGAAGGAAGGGGGTTTCTTGGAGGAGGAAATTATAGAGATTTCTGTGGTGATAGAAATATTCTGTATCTTGTTTGGATAATATTCATATGGGTCTATATATTTATCAAAATTCATTTAATTATATTAATCTTTAGATTTCATTGTGTATAAATTTTGCCTCAATTAAAATATATGCATTGGGTAACTCAGATACATTTCGGATATAGATGACTGAATAAAGTACATAAAGTCACTTTTTTTTCCAAATGAGCAGCTCATCAATAACAAAGACAACAGCAGCAAGAACAAAAATGCTAATGTCCAGGCTTGATCTCAAATCAGTTAAATCGAAATTTCTCAAAGTGGGCCCTAGGCATTGGTATGTTCTTAAAAGTTATATAATCTATTTGAGAACAACTTAAACAGGCCAATAGCTAGGCAAATTAGTAGAAGAGCTACCTAATTTAATAAATTAAAATAATTGTTGTTATGGACTAAATGTTTGTATCCTCCCCAAATTTATATGTTGAAGCCCAGCTCCCAGTGTGATAGTATAGTATTTGGAGCTAGGGCCTATAAGGTAGTGATAAAAGTTAAATGAGGCTGCAAGCATGGGGCCATAATTCAGTAGAACTGGTGCCCTTGCAAGAAAAGGAAGAGACACCAGAGCTCTCTCTTTCTACCATGTGGGGATACAGTGAGAAGGCAGCCTCAGCAAGCCAGGAAGACAGCCCTTACCAGAAACTGAATCGGCCAGCACCATGATTTTGAACTTCTCGGTCTTCAGAACTGTGAGAAAATAAATTGCTGTTTAAGCCATCCAGTCTGTGGTATTTTCTTATGGCAACCTCAGCACAATAACATGATTGCCATGCTTGGAAATGAAAACTTGAGTTGTCAAAGTAGAAAATAAAATCAATGTTAACTGTGTTTGATTTTTTTTTTTTTTTTGCTTTTTAGAAGTTTATTTTAAAAGCAAGAAGTGGGCTAAGGGTGGGAGAAAATGAATTGCTTTATCCTCAGAGAGGCAGGTTCAGGAATGCCGAGGGGTGGAGAATAGAGACTTTTATATATACATACAAATTAAAATCTCTACCCCACTTTTACAAATACGTAGTTTGTAGAACAAGAAATCAACACGTACAAGAACACCAGAGAACCTAGAAATATCTATTACTATAAAATTGCACAAAATAACTATAAAAGTGCAGTATTGTTCATAAAATGGCACCAATCTAAAATTTTGTATATAGACAAACAAAATTATTTGTAATTATTGTGCTAGTTTCATTCTAGGTCATGAGACAAATGATTTACCTTTTAAAAATATTTTTTATATATAGATATATAACTTAATAACTTCTGCTTTGCTATTTGTTTTTGTTTTTTTTTTTTAATTTGTAAGGTTTCTTTTTTGGAGAGATTTACACCTCGCTATCTTCTCTGGCTGGCTCAACCTGAAGGATCCCAATTTTGAAAGAAAAAGCATGTGATCAGCATGGGAGTTTCGACCTGCTCCGTTTCCGACCTGGGCCAGTTCACCCCTCCTTAGGCAACCTGGTGGTCCCCGCTCCCAGGAGGTCACCATATTGATGCCAAACTTAGTGCGGACACCCGATACGCATAGCACACTACAGCCCAGAACTCCTGGACTCAAGCGATCCTCCAGCCTCAGCCTCCTGAGTAGCTGGGACTACAGGCACAAAGACCTATTTATGACAAACCCACAGCCAATATCACACTGAATGGGCAAAAACTGGAAGCATTCCCTTTGAAAACTGGCACAAGACAGGGATGCCCTCTCTTACCACTCCTATTCAACATGGTGTTGGAAGTTCTGGTCAGGGCAATCAGGCAGGAGAAAGAAATAAAGGGTATTCAATTAGGAAAAGAGGAAGTCAAATTGTCCCTGTTTGCAGATGACATGATTGTATATTTAGAAAACCCCATCGTCTCAGCCCAAAATCTCCTTAAGCTGACAAGCGACTTCAGCAAAGTCTCAGGATACAAAATCAATGTGCAAAAATCACAAGCATTCTTATACACCAATAACAGACAGAGAGCCAAATCATGAGTGAACTCCCATTCACAATTGCTTCAAAGAGAATAAAATACCTAGGAATCCAACTTACAAAAGAGAACTACAAACCACTGCTCAACGAAATAAAAGAGGACACAAACAAATGGAAGAACATTCCATGCTCATGGATAGGAGAATCAATATTGTGAAAATGGCCTTACTGCCCAAGGTAATTTATAGATTCAATGCATCCCCATCAAGCTACCAATGACTTTCTTCACAGAATTGGAAAAAACTACTTTAAAGTTCATATGGAACCAAAAAAGAGCCCACATTGCCAAGTCAATCCTAAGCCAAAAGAACAAAGCTGGAGGCATCACGCTACCTGACTTCAAACTATGCTACAAGGCTATAGTCACCAAAACAGCATGGTACTGGTACCAAAACAGAGATAGAGACCAATGGAACAGAACAGAGCCCTCAGAAGTAATGCCACACATCTACAACCATCTGATCTTTGACAAACCTGACAAAAACAAGAAATAGGGAAAGGATTCCCTATTTAACAAATGGTGCTGGGAAAACTGGCTAACCATATGTAGAAAGCCGAAACTGGATCCCTTCCTTACACCTTATACCAAAATTAATTCGAGATGGATTAAAGACTTAAATTTTAGACCTAAAACCATAAAAATCCTAGAAGAAAACCTAGGCAATACCATTCAGGACATAGGCATGGGCAAGGACTTCATGTCTAAAACACCAAAAGCAATGGCAACAAAAGCCAAAATTGACAAATGGGATCTAATTAAACTAAAGAGCTTCTGCACAGCAAAAGAAACTACCATCAGAGTGAACAGGCAACCTACAGAATGGGAGAAAATTTTTGCAATCTACTCATCTGACAAAGGGCTAATATCCAGAATCCACAAAGAACTCAAACAAATTTACAAGAAAAAAACAACCCCATCAACAAGTGGGCAAAGGATATGAACAGACACTTCTCAAAAGAAGACATTTATGCAGCCAACAGACACATGAAAAAATGGTCACCATCAATGGCCATCAGAGAAATGCAAATCAAAACCACAATGAGATATCATCTCACACCAGTTAGAATGGCAATCATTAAAAAGTCAGGAAACAACAGGTGCTGGAGAGGATGTGGAGAAATAAGAACACTTTTACGCTGTTGGTGGGACTGTAAACTAGTTCAACCATTGTGGAAGACAGTGTGGTGATTCCTCAGGGATCTAGAACTAGAAATAGCGTTTGACCCAGCCATCCCATTACTCGCTATATATCCACAGGAATATAAATCATGCTGCTGTAAAGACACATGCACAGGTATGTTTATTATGGCACTACTCACAATAGCAAAGACTTGGAACCAACCCAAATGTCCAACAACGATAGACTGGATTAAGAAAATGTGGCACTTATACACCATGGAATATTATGCAGCCATAAAACATTATGAGTTCATGTCCTTTGTAGGGACATGGATGAAGCTGGAAACCATCATTCTCAGCAAACTATCGCAAGAGCAAAAAAGCAAACACAGCATGTTCTCACTCATAGGTGGGAATTGAACAATGAGAACACTTGGACACAGGAAAGGGAACATCACACACCGGGGCCTGTTGTGGGGTGGGGGGAGGGAGGAGGGATAGCATTAGGAGATATACCTAATGTAAATGACGAGTTAATGGGTGCAGCACACCAACATGGCACATGTATACATACGTAACAAGCCTGCACGTTGTGCAGGTGTACCCTAGAACTTAAAGTATAATTAAAAAAAAAAAAATATATATATATATATATATATATATATATAAGAAAAAGCATGTGAGACTCAGAACGGGCGAGAGAGTGAGGGCCCGGCACGCTCCCAAGTCCCTGAGCCCCCAAGCTTGCCGCAAGGGCTCCCCTATACTCCTCACGGCAGCCATCGCTCTCTCGCCAAACAAAACCGAAGCCCCCAAACAGAAAAAAATGAAAAAAAAAAAAAGATTTTTCACAGATGAAGAAGTTCACATTCATTCCATTCATTGAGCCTGCTGCTGTCCCTGATGCATGGCTGCCGGGACCTGGGATCTGTCCGTAGTAAGCGGCTTGCTGTCTGTAATATTCTCCCCAGACTGCATTGTAGTCTGGCTGGCAGCCTGGGGGAGTTCCTGGACTCCCTCCGGTGGCCACTTGGCGCCTGCTTCTTGAAGTGCTCCTCCCAGGCCTTCGTGTAGTCCTGCTGCCGGGCGCTTCCGGCTGCTGGGGCTGCTGGGCCGATCTTTTTGTAATACTCTTCCCAGGCCTTAGTGTAGTCCGACTGGCCGGTGGGCGGGGACTGAGGGGGCTCACCTTGAGCGGGTGAAGCCCCGGGGACCTGCGCGGGGCCGACGACGGGGCGGGGACTGCTGGTAGTAATGTGAGTAGTAGGCGGCCCATGTGGCGTTGGCGTCCGCGGTAGACGCAGCTGCTTTGCTTGGATCGTGAGGAGCAGGCGGTTGCCACTGTGGGTAGGTATTGCCCCAGCCCTGGTAAGGAGGGAGCCCCCAGGCACGCGGGGGAGCCCAGGTGGCCCCTGGTTGAAGGGCCCCCTCGATAAGCTGCTCGGCGTGTTGGATCTGCTGGGGCGAACCCTGGATGATGAACGACTTGAAGTTGGGATCCCCACTGGATGGTAGCTGCCAGGAGATCTCTACGAAGGCTACAGTCTGCTGGTTTATGACTTTCACGTTCTGGCCACCTCGGCCGATGACCAGCCGGCGCTTGTGAGTGGGGATGGAGAAGGTCATCTCCCCGCCAGGGGGCCGCCAGTTGCCTTGGCCTCTTCCTCGGCCTCCCCGGGGGCATGCCTGGACCCCTTGGAGGGCCTGGGGGACCACTCCTGAGGCTCTGGAGGAGGTCGTTGATGATCCGGGCTGCGTGCTCGCACCTGTCTGGGGACCCCATTATATGAGCAATCTTCTCGGGCCCTGTCCCATCATCTTGCTTGAACTGTATCGGCACGCCAGCGTCATTCTGGATCTTCTTGATCATCTCTCCTCTCAGGCCAATGACCACGCCGACAGAATGCCTGGGCACCGGCACATCAATGTCCCCGCCAGTCCGAGATCCGTAATCATTCCAGTCCCCAAAGCCGCCTTGGTCACGTTCCCGGAGGATGTCCATCACCATCTGGCAGGCTTGCTGCACTTTGTAAGGATCCCCAGGGATCCGGAGAGGGTTGTCCACATTCGTGTTCTGAGAACCATCTTGAATTAAGATCATCTTCACTCCAGCGTATTCCTGCAGCTGCTTCATGGTCTCCCCGCCCTTGGCGATGACCAGGCCGGCGTTGCCCGCAGGGATCATGTCCTGTACAGTGCCATTCTGGCCCCCTTTGGCGGTGTCGTGGAACTGTCCTGGGGGCCCCCCATGACCCCGAGACACAATGTCATCCAGCATCATCTTCGCTTTCTGGAGAGATTCTGGGGCTCTTGTCAAGGACACACTGTGCTTGGGTAGGCCACTGCTGCCTGGAGTAATCTATACTTTGCAGGCTGAATCCTGTTAGATTTTGTCAATTTGTTCGCGCCCTCTGCCAAAGATCAGGCCCACCACACCGTCTGGGACCCTGCACTCTTCTGTCATTGAAGTCCTTGGGGGACGATGGATGGGTCCAAGTTGAGAACTGATTGAGTCTCCCTGGGAAGCCAGCTTCTTGCTCTCCGGTTGATCTCCATCTTCCAACTGTCTCTTATGGCCCCCTAGACCAAAATCTGGAGTGCTGTTATTCACTGTCGTTGCAGCATCACCTACAATTTTGGCTGCGATCTTGGGAGGAGCCAGTCTACAGCCCCAGAGGCATTGAGACAGCCCAGGAGCCGGTCTGTTTCCTGAAAGGAGGCAAAGTCCTCCCATTCTACAGACCTCCACCCCTCCAGGCCATGGGGAGGCTGTAAATGGAGCTGAAGAGGTCAGTCCTAGCAGCACGTGACACCTTCTTGTCATCATGCCTCAATACACGGTGGTGGGAGACCCTCTCCTCTTTCCCCCAAAGAGACAGACCACCTTTCAAGCCACCAAAGCTTCCAAAAACCAGTTCCTATACTCATTTTCCCCATTTCGCCCAAGTGCTCAGCCCTAGATAGTTCCTCTATACACTTTCCTGACTCAAGAGGAAGGACTGTCCGTCCCATCCCCACAATGCCCCTTCCTCCAAGGGAGGGAACAGAAATGGGATTGGGTTGGGGGCAAACACTGCCCTTTGCCCTGATATGGAGAGGAGAGTAAAGACCCTCGGCCCGGGAAGGTGGACCCTGCCTCCAGGCATGGCCTAAGGCCGGGTGAGGAGTGGGGGGCTGTCCCAAAAGTGTGACCTGGAGCTCCTGGGCACCTGAACACCCACGGGCTGCTCCTGGTGACTCCCTGTGTGCCCCTACCCCCTGCAGAGGGTCACCTCCAGGAGCCCACTTGAGGCACTGAAGGAGGGCCAGGCACCTGCCTACGGCCCCAACTATATTTGATTTTTATACCATGTTGGAAAGTTCACATTTCTACTCACTAAATACAGCAGTTTGATTTTGCATCATAACCTAGGCTTTATTTTATAAGTTCTAATTTATAAGTAGCATATTACTTGGGATTTTAATTGAGTAATAAACACATTATTTTAAATGTGCTCAGATGCAGCCAGCATTTCACACTCATCTGAGTTTGCAGGTGTTTTACTAAACTCAAATGGCCTTTCTTAAATTCAATAGAAACATGCTCAGAATTATAATACAACAATAATTTAATAGTTAAATATAAATTCATCAGTAACAGCACAAATAAATAGGTTTCCTCCTTAGAAGAAAATTAATTTTTATGAAAGTCAGAAGCTTGGTTTTACTTTTCTTTTTAATGTGGAATAAACTGAAATGTGTCAAAATCTCACCTTCATTTTTTTCTCAATAAATTAAACACCGATCAAAATCAGAGTTTACAGCATATTTGTTTACATTGCTTTAATAATTTTTAAATGCCAGTACTATCTTCCAATGTTTAGGCCAGTCAGTCAATATGAAGTAATAATATAGCTGTGATTACTGGTAGGTACATTCCAACAGAAAAAAACCTATGTTTTTGTTTTATAGGTTTATATGAAAGAAATATTTGCAATGCTGTCACCTTGCAGTTAGGAAATCTCTCTAATATATAATTAGTTTAAAATTCACTTGAGAAATGCAATAGTATTATTTAAAAATCGATATAACTTTATATTCTGTTCAAAAGGGTCTCAAATATTCAAGGAACATAAAAACACTAAAAATGCTTTTAGTATTTTTAAATACTAATAAAAACTAATAAAAACACTAAAAATATTTTGGCAGAAGAGAAGCATCAAACCCAATTCCCATCTGAATGTTAAAAAATGTTTGAAGTTTTATTTTGTTAGTCTTTTCAACATCTTTTAAATTGATCATCTTACACATGCAAGAAACTATCTTAGAGGCTTTAGAAAATTTACGGATGAAACAGACTCATGGGTATGTGGCTCAGGGGAAATAAGATATATATACAAATAAACAAAATACTATTGTATGATCCAGGCAAAGATGGAATTATGTGAGTTCAAAGGAAGAATAAATTCTTTCCAGAAAAGAGAATCAGGGAAGATATCTTTGTGGAAAAGGGAGAATTTGAGTGTAGCATTGTGACTTGGATATAATTTAGACATGTTATTTTATTGAAAATGATTGGATGTTCCTCAATATCCATGCCTGGAGGCAGGGTCCACCTTCCCCGGGGGGAACAGCATCTTTCCCTACAAGTCCCTTCAAGCACCAACTTTTCTGTGTCTTTTCATCTTCTGGATGGACTACTTACCTCTGAAATATCTTAAAATCTAACATTCAGTCCACTCAACATAATCTCCAATTCATCTAGGGAGCTTCTGCTTTCATCTTCATCTTTGCTTTGCTGTCATTAGTATTTATAGTCCTTAATTGAACAACTTTGGAGCTGAAAGACCTGAAGTCAAGTCCAAGCTCTACTACCTAGTAGCTAAAAAAGCTGCTAAGTTGCTTATTCATCCTAACTCTCAGCGTCCTCATTTTCAAAGTGGTATATATTACCGATAGTTCCCATCTCACAGGATGGTTGAAAGTATTCAATTAGGTAACGTACAAAAAGATGGTAGCACTCTGCCTGGCTTAAATAAAAGCACAATAAATATTAACTTCTGTGTTGTATATCTCGTTATTACTATTTACAAGTCCATTCTTGTCGTATTTTCTTTCTTACTCACACTGAACTATATGATTGATCATTTTCAAGTCTCTTTTATTAGAACTATCAAATCTCATCCTCTTGTCCTTCTGACACACACCGTGTAAACATCCAGACTTGGATCAATCAAATGGCTCATTCTTTTCTGTTCCTACTCACAGCCTGCTGAGTGCTGCTGGATGAAATCACCCAATAGTGGGTTTATTGCGTTTACAATGTTATAGCCTTCCACTATCCTGTGGCACTTAATGCCGCAGGTCAATTCTGTGACGTATCTCTGGCCAATTCTTCTCCTACTTAACTACTAAAAGCCTTTCCTATTCCTTTCAAGAATGACTGAACTTGTGAGACCCTCAGTCTCATCAGGGTACCTTGGCTATGAATTTGAAGAACCTTTTAGCAACCTCCTGCTTTCCTTCCACAGCAAGCTGTTCTATGAACACCCCATCCTTCCTGCCTCTCTTTCATAACTTATTGCTTACTTTAAAGGTGACACATTTGTTGAACTTCAGTCTACTTAGATCCAGTTATCACTTCTTAATTACTCTTGCTAATTGTAGACTGTTCTTTCAATTGCCCTCAAGTTTGAACATTTCTAAGGACCTCTTCTTTTCCACTTTTCTTTGCTTTTTGCAATTTCTCCCATTGAAGTCACAAGAATAGTTAAGATTCTATACAAGTTCTGTTATCAAGGACCCTAAATATTTCTGTCTTCATGCAAATGGTGCAATGAACCTAATTTGACATCCTCCTGAAATCATATTCACTCTTTAATCAACTTCATTTTGAACACTGAAATTACTTTTATTATATCTATAACATCTTTTAATCACCAAAATCAATGAGTTCATCTAATTTCTCAGATATCACACCTTCTTCTGATCCTTCATCTACCTCCCCGTGAGCACTGATTTAGTCTTCTTCCCAGGTCCTTCCGCCTATGTCTCTCCTGATATGTACATGTTGCTTAGGCTCCATCCCAGGTTTCTTCCTCCTTATACATACCCTCCCTGGAAAGTCTCCTCTATTTCCATGACTTCTGTAGCCTATATGCTAAGACATTTATTTCTTATCCAAATTTATTTCTTCAGTTCATTCCTCTCTCCTCATCCAGGTCATCCTTTCAACTGCTGATCAACCTCTTTACCTTGCATTCCAATAATGGCTGGTATTCATTCAGCCAATAAAAAAAATTTAGTGAGTATCTACTACATACCAGGCACAGTGTATGTACTACAGCTATGATGGAGATCAAGGAGACAGTATAGTTGGGATGCAGACCTACAAACAGGCAATATAACATAGTGTGATACATGCTATGACAGAGGTAAGTTCAAAGGAGAGGGGAAATTAACCAGTCTTGAGAATGGTTGCTAACTTTAACCCCATTCTGCCCCCTAGCATACCACATGGCACATATTAGGTGCTTAATACACATTTGTTAAATTAAGTGACATCAAAGGTAGAATTTGACAATGAGTTAGTAATACCAGGTGAAGGGGCTCAGAGAGGCTGAAATTATTTCCTAAGACTAAGAAATCTACAAAGGCTCAAGGGATAAAGTGTGTCTGGAGTGATCTTGAGGCAAGTATTTTGGAATAGCCGAAGTGGGACTCAGAAGCTCAGTATACATTAGTTTTCTTCTCCCCTTGTATAACTATTTTACATATATTGTCTCTTTAGGTTCTCAGGTAATTGTTTAAATTTGCACGCTAAGTATAATTATCCCAATTTTGCAGATTAGGAAACTGAGGCTCAGAGGGATTGGATGATTTACAAAGTCCCCTAGCTAGAGTCAACTTCATAGTCAGTGTCAGTGATGTCACCTGCGCAGCTGCATAGAAGTTGTTTTTTGTAAGTGAAGTTAGATGGGACAAGGGAACATATGCATAAGCAGATGGGCTACACATAGTGTGTGCTCTTTCCCATCCCATGAGCACAGAATTCTGTTGTGGAATGTGTGAGGTCAGTAAAACCAAAAATCAGTACAAAGTAAGTGTGTCATATCTATGACTGAGCAAGCTTACTATTCAAACCAGAATTTGCTTTAAATGCAAAAAGAGGGCAATAGTGTGCTAAGTAACACAAACGACAAAGAAATCTTTTATACTCATGTTACTTCCCTGTACGAGCCAATCCTTTATGCTGAAAATTATAACACAGAAGGAAAAGGAAAGATAGGGCAATGCACACTTTTTAAAAAGTCTTTCCTTATTTATTCATAAGTTGAAAGGAGAGAGTGTTGGCAGAATGTGAGTGTTCTATATCAAGAAATGAAATAAAACAGTTGAAGTAGTGCAGTGTTTTCACTGTTCTGGTAAGAATAAAATACATGGGTGTATTCAAACTAAATGCTCTTATATATGCATTTCAAACTGGTATTGCTCAATATAAAGATATATGATGAAATGATAAAATTCATGCCAATAATTTAAATTAAAATCTTCTTTATTTAGAACATTAAATAACAAATAAAAACACCATAAGAAGCTGAAGATGGTCTGTCAAAGGAAGAAAAAAGATTTCATTTTAGTACTTTTAATGGCACTCTTTTTCTACCTTTTTAATAAGGGACTCCACATTTTCATTTTGTAATAGGCCCTAAAAATTATGTAGCTCATCTTGTCTGCAGCTAATAAATGATCAAGCTGAAATTTGATCTCAGGTTTTCGGCATCCAAATTACACAACATACCCTATTTCCTGTGATAGTATGTGGTATTAATCCAGTGAGGTCTATGCATCATTTACCATTTTGACTGCCATAGCTTCTCTTGTCTTTGAAGGATGAAACTATATTAACTGTAGTGGATGCTGAATACCCTCCCCAAATTTCCTATTCATGACTGAGACATTTATTGCCCCAGCTGCCACATTAGCTGTTGAAGGTTTACAAATGTGTCCCTGCCTCAGAAATGCCTTTGGCCAAAGAGAGCTCCTTGCCTCAATTTAGGACAATTCTGAAAGGCCATCCCAGCTCCAGAGCTCCCCAAAGGACTGACTGTGGCCTTCATTGCTACTGAATTGCAGATCAGCTTCTTTCTCTGCCAGTTCTTCCTTCACTCTCTCCTGGGTCTTACTCCCAAAAGTCCCACAATAAACTTCCAGTACACAAATCTCTGGCTCTGGGTCTCTCTCCCACGAAATCCAACCTAGGAAGTCAACAGTGGACACTGAATTGTAACAAATATGTCTTGCATTTTTCAAATGGACAATTTACAGTGTATTCATTTGCTAAACGTTCAGTTTTCTGCTTACTTTTACTGTAGCCATAGCTGCAATTACCTTTACTTTTACTCATACCCAGTGAGAACCTGTTATTTTAGTGTTTTACACTGTGGAGTCTCTTTCTGTAAGTTTGGTGGCTCAGCTCTTGCTGAGCTGGAGAAACCGTAATTCCTAAACAAACCAGGAACCCCTTTTACAACCAGTTTAAAATGCAGTTCCTGCTCTTTTAAGCATTTTTCTCACTCAAGGGGAGAAGTATCAAAGCCAGTCATTTGAGGGTGAATCCGTTATCCACCTGAATCATTTTAAAGAAATTATTAAATATCCATGTCTCTTTGTCACCTTAAATGCTTTTGAGTTAAATTTACTCTGAAGTTTTCAACTTGAATTTTCTAAACTATGATCTAAATATTATTCTTTAAAGCAGACTTATTATGGGTCAGGTTAGCTATAAAAGTAATTCTTACTCATGTTCATTTAATTAAAAACATCTCGAAATACATAAATGTCCCAGGCACAAGTTGGTACTGCCCCAGAACAAGTCTGCTGTATACAATGACATTTATTATGATTAAGTGTACATTCTGTAACTCATTTTGGAAACATTTGACTGACTCAACCCTAACTGTTGGCTACCAGAATCAGGAAGATGAAAATATAATAGCTTCTGAGTCATGAGGTGTGGATAAATATATTTTGTAATATATTTAAGAAAAGAAAATCATCCATAGAGAGGACATTTGATCATTTTTAGACCTTGTGGATTTTCCAACCAGTCCAGATCAAATCCTGGATATTGGTAGTTAGCAGAGGATCAAATGTGCCACAAATGTGAAAGAGTCAGTATATTTTATTTTGATTGGATCATGGACTACACCCTTTCTTTTACTCTCTCTCCTTGTTCATGTCAACCACACACATATACGTGGATACACAACTAAACTCTATTCCCCAATGTTATCTGTTAAATAAAACTGAACTCTGAATACAAAAACAAACTGTTTTAAAAACCTCACCTCATATCAAAAGGCAGCTCTGAATGTCCAAAGTGAAACTAAAACAACTGAGTCGATGATGTCCGGGCCCAGAGCCACATGTATTCCTGAGTGCGCAGATGGCAGACACTTGGATGTGTAGTGCTGTGATGAGACAGCAAATTTTGTCATGTATTAATACATGTGGCTTGTGGTCATTCATAGAACAATGTGGACTCCAAAGGGAGCCAAAAGGAGCCGCTTGCCAGGACTGTATCTCCCAAGGCCTAGAGTCATTCCATCAATGCTTTGGCTGTGAAGCGACTAAGGCAGCTGCCAATTGACCCCTCATTTATAAAGACACAAAACAAAAATCAATTTAGGTCCTAATAAAGCAGGCCAAGTGTGAGAATATCGGAAATAGGAAGCACTGGAGGCCGGGCACGGTGGCTCATGCCTGTAATCCCAGCACTTTGAGAGGCTGAGGCAGGCAAATCGCTTGAGCCCGGCAAATTGCTTGAGCCCAGGAGTTCAAAACCAGCCTGGGCAACATGGTGAAACCCTATCTCTATGGAAAATACGAAAATTAGCCAGGTGTAGTGACATGCACCTGTAGTCCCAGGTACTCAAGAGGCTGAGAAGGGAGGATGGCTTGAGCCTGAGAGGCGGAGGTTGTAGTGAGCTGAGATTGTGCCATTGCACTCCAGTCTGAGTGACAGAGTGTGATCTTGTCTTAAAAAAAAAAAAAAGAAGTACTGGAAAGCCCTGAAACCATATCAAGGGGCAACTACTGCTCAGCTTTGTTGTCATAATGTGGTAATGTACAATGTAGTAATGCCAAATCTTAGGGGTATCAGAAATCAGATGTTATAAAATACATTACTTTTAAACTGTGTTTGGATTAGCAGAACACATTTCCCAAGTCTTCATAATGGCTACAAACAGGTGTTTGCTACTTCTCTAACCTCCTTCCTACAAGCCTCCTACCAATCTCTCACTCCCTCTGTCACCACCACATTGACCCAGCTGTTCCTGAGCTGTGCAGTGCACTCTCCTGTCTCAAGGCCACTGCACCAGCACTTTCCTCATCAGGAGCACCCTTTCCCTACATAGCCACATAGCTCATTCCTTCATCTCCTTCATGTCTTTTATTAAATGTCTTCACCTCAGTGAGACCTTCCTTGACCACCCTATTTGAAATCGTATCCTCTCCCCACACTTCCTCCCAACTTGATTTTGTTCAAAAACACTTGTCTTCCTCTAATATTATGAATTTTATTTATTGGATTTGTTTTCTATCTCTTCCAACAATAGAATGTAAACTACTCGAAGACAGAGATTTTAGTTTATTTTGCTCATGGCTATGTCCCCAGTGCCTAGAACAGAGGCTGGCATATAGTAGAAACTTCATTAATGATTTTTTAAATGAAGGACTGAATACATAGATGAATCTGCAAGCCATCTTTGTTCTGTGGTTTGGGCTTCCAATTTTTGACATCTTATTTACACTGAAAATCTTATAGCACACCCTGAAGGAAAGAGAGATGATATAGTTTGGGCAGTGAACATCTAAATTATTCCTTTCTAGGAAAGTCAAATAATCAAATGACATCATCCACAAAATTGCAGAGCATTTCTTTCAGTTATAATGTCCTACATAAGCAAACTAAAGCGTACACAATCATGTCAAACTTATTAATCTCATGATATTTTAGTCGCTCTATTTTCATTCAGTGTTTATTCAATAATCATGAGGCCTTAGAATTTAAACTGCTCAGAACAAGTCCCCTTACCCACAATGTTGAGCTTCAGGTTAAGTCTAAAATTAAGCATATTTCCTTTGCTGATTGGGAAATGAAAATAAATATGAGAGAGGCAAGAGGGAGCAAAGATTAAGCCTGATCTTTGTGAAGGAAAAAAGTTAATTCACGAAGATTATGTTTTCTCTGAAAGACTCACCTTTCCCCTTTACTCTGGCCTATATGAGTCAAAATTTTGGATGCTATTCTTAAGAATTCAGGTCATTTCTCTCTCTCCTTCTACTCTTTGCTCAGAAAAGCTTCAGACAAAGCCACTAAATTTACAAACTAAAATTCAGGTTGTGGGTGTGTGTATTTTTGTGTTCTCTGACATAAGAACAGACCAAACATATAGCACTCTTCAAGGACATAGGATAGATGAACATATGTTAATATACAACAGATGTCATGAGAAGCATGAAATACATTTCATGACTCCATAGTAAATTTTGTAAGTCATTGCCACAAGAATTGGTACATAATGAAAATATAAACGTTTGAAAAAGATGAATTCTTACATAAAAATAGATTCTTAATAATTTATGAAAGGTGAATTATTTGGATATATTCTTTGCCCCTTCGAAGTATGTGACAAGTAGGGTTTAGTCTAAAACAGAAACCTCTTTAGCTATTCAATCAGGAAATTTAATTTAGGGTTTACAAAACATTGTAAGACAAGAAAATCAGGGAAACTGCCACAAGTATTCAGGAAATCAGGTAAGGCAGGAGTTGCAGGGGACCTTCATCACCTGTCTCAGTTGTCTGAAGCACCTAAGTAGGTGATTTTCAGGCAGACCCCCAAAAGTCACTGGCAAAACCTCAGATCTGCTATCTGCCAGTGACCCTGTACCTGCTCACTAACTCCAGAGCAATAACAGTGCCTTCTCTTCCACCTTCTCGTGCAAGTGTCTCTCGTTAGAAGACCCTAAATCAGAGCACTACTTACAAGGAGTCTAGAAAACATAGCCTTTATGTTTCTGGGCCTTGCTTCCAGGGAGAGTGAAGAAGGCCCCATGCTGAGACACCAACAGACAATCCTGCTCCAAGTTGAAACCAGTGGAAACAGCGTACTTTTCCTCTGTTTTCTGCAAATGGACTCAATCCATTTAGGCTGAGGCAGGCGAATTCTAGCATGACCCAGTATACCAAACTGTTCTTATGAAAGAACCAGCCACTCCCAGAACCACCAGTGGGTTTAACAACCTTTTTTTTTTTACGGCGTTTTCATTCTCTTAATAAGACAATCCCAGTCTTCTTTTCACTCACATTCACTGATTCCTTTAAAGAGTTAATTCTGCTGAAAGGTCTTGCTCTATGTGTACATTTCTTAACTGGCATCCCTACTAAGAATAGGGAGCAATGAGGAAAGGTTGTGGAAACAAGGGAAAATTAGTTTATGCAAATAAGGCAGAATGATATTTTACCAGGCTGACACTAAATTTATCTTAGTAAGATTGGTATTACAGTATAGTCTAGCAATTTTCCTCCTGCATCTCTGAAACCTTCCTAGCCTGTGACTCAGTTTCCTACATTAAGGGGCTGTTGCCGCTGTAGTTAGGGTAGTCAGAGGAAGGAAATGCTTGCTCACCTTTGCTGTGTTTGGAATAACCACTCCACATCAAAGAGGTGACTCATTCTGTCCACTTGCCAGCTCTGAGCTTGCTTTCTACCTCCCACTACCCTTTCCTGGCTGTGCTGTTCTTGGCTGGAGAGACTTTTCACCAGCAAGTCCAGGTTTGTGGAGCCTGGCACACTTACCTCCCTGAATGATGAGGCTTTCCAAGGTGGGTTGCTCTACAGGTTGGGACCTGAAGGTGACCACCAGTTTGCCCAACCTACCATTCAAGGTGTATGACTCAAAGTCAAGAAGCTGGGCTTTACTGCTCCTCAAACAGCGAAAGGGAAATGAAATCATTTTATTTCCCCCTTCGTGTTAACAGTAAATATGTAAGCTGAAGATGTTATAAGTTCCTATTTTCATTGGATTTAGAGAAACATGTTGCTGCCTGGAATCACAGAAGCCATCAGGTTCATTTCAGTGAACTCGACAGTGTTACTGTAGTGTGGGGCAGATGGTAAATGCTCAGAAAATATTTATTCGTGTTAGATATACCTCTGTCTGGATGAAAACCATCTTGTGGTAAATAACTTCACTGTAGACATTCTTAGAGAGGGAAAATCCACACTTCATTTAATAAAATCCACTACAAGATTCAATATAGAGGAGAATGTGGGCATGGAAAAATAAAGGACTTTGGAATTAATAGAGATAGGTTTGAGATTAGATGCTCTGGGCAACTCCCTTACGTTCTTATCAAATAATGCAGTGTGTGGTAAAGGAGTCTGGAGTCAGATTGATCTGTTCTAGAATCTCAGAGGCCCACTTAATAGCTACATGGCTATTGACGGTTGACTTCCTTAATCTTCAGCTTCCTCATGTAATACATAGAGTAATAATGAAATTTTCCTCATAAGCTTGTTGTAAGGATTAAATAAGACAGTGCAAATAAATGTTCTAAACAGAGACCCTAGGACACAATTAGTATCCAATAAATTTTAGATATATTCTAAACTTGTTACCTAACTTGGAAAAAGAAAAAAATAAAACATGCCATACTCTGCTGCAAAGGGATTTTACAGATTCTGTGAACATGAAGAAAATGCCTCCCGAGTGTGATTTGTAAGCATTATCTAACTTGCTCATTGTCATGAGCCCATTCCTTTTCTCCAGCATTTGAATGTGGGCTTGCTGCTATTATCTTTTGGCATAGTCCTTGAAAATTTGCACATCGGTTTAACAGACCAGCATTTAGAATGTATGCACATGCACCCTGGAACTTATGGAAAAGAAAAAGGATGCTTAGAGCTCTTGATTACTTCCATTAATGATGAGTTTGACAACCTGCATCTGCAAAATCCTCAGATACTTTACCATTGAACGTTCACATTGCCAGCATTCCCTCATGCTTGGATATTTAGGGGAACTGAAATCGACTCCTGGTGGTAGATTGGTGGTCTTCCTTTGACAGACCCTCTTCAGCTTCTTATGGTGTTTTATTTGCTATTTAATGTTCTAAATAAAGAAGATTTTAATTTAAATTATTGGCATGAATTTTATCATTTCATCATATATCTTTATATTGAGCAATACCAGTTTGAAATGCATATATAAGAGCATTTAGTTTGAATATACCCATGTATTTCATTCTTACCAGAACAGTGAAAACACTCTACTCATTCAGCTGTTGTATTTCATATCTTAATATACTACACTCACATTCTGCCATCACTCTCTCCTTTCAACTTACGAATAAATAAGGAAAGACTTTTTAAAAAGTGTGTGCTGCCCTATTTTTCCGTTTCCTTCTTTGTAATAGTCCCTGGACTGACACCTGTTGAAACCAGACCCTTCCAGGATGGTACTGGCAGTAGAATGACCTGACCATGTTAGAGCAAAGCTCCTCTTTCCCCACCTTTCCTTTAAAGCAGCCGGTTAACCTTCTTTGGCCTGCTCTGCTAAGTAATAATGCTTCTGGGGCATTTGGAGAAGAATTGGTGTGAATGGGTTTATATATTACCCAGATGGCCTCACTATTACTCATAGTCAATTGGGAAATTTCCAACCATTTCTACTTCTAATTACCTAAGGGATTTGAACAGACATCTGCTATTGAGCTCATTTGAAAAGAGCATGTCTGAGTATTAGGTTTCACTCAACAAACATTAAGTGAGAACCATTAGTAAGGGAGTGGGGTGAAATAGAAGAAAGTCCTTCTGGTTTCACGAAAATATCAATTTAGGTTCAGTCCCCAATTCTGCCACTACTGTGTGTATAACCCTGAGAATGTCAACCTCAGAGCATCTTACTGATCTATAAAATAAAGTAATATCTCTTTTCAATGTTGTGAGGAATAAGAAATATTTTTGTGCTTAAAAACTCCTCAGTAGTAATAAGTGTTTAATAAATGGCAGCTGTTATTAGTGTTGCTTTCTTATTATTCTAAACTTTTCTAGCAAAAGGAAATGCTCAGAGAAACTGTCCGGTTCTTCTTTAGGTGTTCCTATCCCATAAGGCTGTTATATTTAATACAGAAAATGGGTGGAAAAATGCTTAGTAAAACAACAAATATAGAGTTACTATGGTTATTTGGAGAAAAGGCACTTAGAGCCTGAGAAACACTGTAGACTAGGCCAAATAGAGTGACTTTCCTTTGTTAGAATATAAGACAAGAGGACAAAAAAGGAATTAGCTTAGGGCATAGCTGAGATAATGTTTCTCATACGCTTCTTGGATTGATTTATTCTTTAATTGAAGCAATTCTAACATAAATTTTGTTTGGTGGTGTTTATGTGTACCTGTGTTCATGTGTGTATGTATGTGTGTGTGTGCCTCTGTGCATGTACACACTAAATATTTTTATTTGACTGAACAACTTTCGTTTTATTGATCTTAAGGATTAGGACACAAGAAGGAACAAGAAGGAAAGCTGGAGTTTGCTCTTAATATATTACTAAAAAAATGAAGCTAAAAATATCCTAATATTGCTAGCTGGATGCATTTACACATATTCTAAATCTATAAGGCTTAGGAAATTGCTTATACGAATACTCATTAATTCAGTCTATTCTTTGTCTCTGAGTAGTGGATAACCTTTTTGAAAAGTTGAATTTCTTTACTAACCTGGAAAAACCTACACTATTTGCAGAACATTTATTCTCCGTAAGCTATCCTGACTAAAAGTCTGGCATTAGGAATTGGCTGTGGCAACATAGGCCATGTGATAAGGGGGTTATTAGATTACCTGAATAATTCTATCAGTAAAGACAGCCTATGTAGGCATGTAACTCAGTCCTCTGAGCCTTGTGGTTAAGTTTTATTTGCTTGCCTTTCCTGGGTAATTACTCAGATTTCCTCATCACTTGGCTATATAGACATCGTGAAGATTTTTAGCTCAAGCTCAGAGAGTTAAGAAAGGCTGATTCGCATAATTGGTATTCTGCCTTTAAAACATCTATTCATTAATGCTTAAATGAATAATTTGCCTGAACTTGCCTTTTGAACTTTCTTGCGTGGGATGCTATTTGCCATCCATGACTATGAGGTTTTACAAGTCTACCTAGAAATACATAGCCTTCTTAAAGTCCTTTCTCCCTTCCTCTCCCTCTTCCTTCCTTGTTTTCTCCCTTTCTTTTTTTTCCTTCCAAATGTTTTTTATAGAATTATATAATGCTAGATCTTGACAGAACCATGGAAATTGTAAGTCTTCTAGTTTTTCACAAACTTCATTAATTCCTACACATGAATTTTAACATATCTAGTTATTTAATATTTTTTCTAAATAGATTATTTTTTTAAAAAACTAAAATATCCTTTAGATACCTTCTAAAAAACTATATTCAAGGATCATGGACTTAGTAGATTGACTATTTTTTCCTGATAAATAATAAAAGAAATGTGTATCAAGTCAAGTTTGGACATACACCACTTAAAATCATCTCAGTTAGCTTTCGGAAACACTGTCCCAGGCTTCAAATGAGAAAACTGAGGCCCAGAGAAATGTAGTGAAGTTTTCCAGAGGCCAATTAGGAATATAGCTAATAGTTGAAACCATGCTTTCGGATTCTTAAATCCAGGCCTTTCTTGGTGTAGCACACTGACTTGTGTTTCTTATCTATTTGTCAGGTTTTAAGAAATAATCACAAACTGTTACAGAAAAACCATCAGTAGGCATGCAGTGAAAACAGCCCATCTTCCTATTTATTTTTTCTTTAATACTTCTTAGGTCACCAAGTGCCACAGATGCAAGACAGTGGTCCTCAACAAAAGTACTTATATGGAGGTTCACAAAGACTTTCTAAGGGCATGGATAATGTTAAGGATGTTTTCACAGCCACACGTATCCTGTGAATTCTTTCCTAAAAAACGGTCTGTAGTTACAAAGAAGCCATGCTTTTCCTCCACCTGGAATCTTAATATGAAGCATTGTCTTGGAGGGAAAAACACTTCAGCTGGTGTAGGCGTGGAAGAGGGAGAGTTTCATGTCTGGGTAACAAATCACAGGGGGGCTCTAATTCTTTGCCTTCTGCTAAAATGAAGAAGGGCTAAACAAATTTTTCGCTGATAGATCTTTAAAAATACTTTTGCATTGACAGTAATTTTTGGCACAAAAGTTGTATAAAGGTCCAAGAATTAAACGTCATAACTGTAATTAAAAAGTGTTTTCATTCTCATTCATAAATAAAGGTTTTGTTTGTTTGTTTTAGCGTTTACCTCAGTTAAAATGACAAGAATAGAAGTAATATCAAACTCTAACTTATTCTAGCAATAAGTAGCATTCAGATACAGATCTATGAGGGAAAAACCAAAACCCGTTAAGAGATAATTTTGTTCTTTTAGATTTAATGTATACTTATCAATATTTTAATATTTTAATTAGTTATATTAAATGATTCAATAATAGAATGTATTTTGATACATTATTAATACATGCTTACTACTAATACTTGTAATATTACAGAAGAAATATTTTTTAACATTTACAACCTGTTAGGAAATTAAAAAATTATATTTCTTTTATATTTTTGCTGCAAAGAAGTATAACAGGGTCATTAGTAGAAGATTTAAGAATAAAATAAAATTATATTTTGTGAATTAAATTATATGAAATTTGGATAAAACTTGATGCGAAAGGGAACTTTTAAAATAGGCTTAAAAAATAGAGAGAAGATGTAAAATTTCCAGATGTTAATGAAGAGTTCATTTATGGATTGCTATTTTCTTAGATTTCTGATGACAGGAAATTAAATCACTTTCTTATCTAAATTTCATAAGATGCATTTTAAAATTATATAACAATTTTAAAACAATATAAAACGATCAATATTTAAGAAAAGTTGGAAGTTACACAATTTGTAATATTTACATTTTGGACAAATTTTAGATATCACTTTAAACTTTTGCAAGAGGTTATGGAGATTTTCATGTTCTTTTAAGGGGTAAATGAAGTTTGGAGAACATTGCTTTCAGGGCTGGAATCAGTTTCCTGGCTGCCAAATGCTCCTTAGGGAATTCTTAGCCTGATACTGGTTTCCAAGGAATGAATACAGTGACTGTCGAAAGGAGCACACTATCATCTGGGTGCTGCCAGGATTCTTGGGACAGTCTTTCAAATGTTCTGGACCCAGCTGAGCCTGGCTGCTCTGTGGTTTTTCTACCTGTCAGACTCATATCTGCAGAAAGTTCAAATTCTGTTAGGAAACTGCTCTAGTTATAAAGAAATCTTCTTCAGCTCCCCATACCACTGTAGATTGTAATGTCTATTTACCAGGTAAAATAAAATGGTTCTTTTCCACATTCTTATAAAAGTTAGAAAAATCCAAGGCAGATAAGAAAAACAGCAGCATGTATTTAAAATAGTTGCATATACAAATGTGTACTTTTAAAAATATGTGTAACCGTGACATTGTTGTTATTCAACTTTTGAAGTGTAATTTGGTATTAAAGTTCATGCTAAAGTTGTCTTTAAAATTCAGAACATAATACTTCACTCTAGTAAATTACTTATCTAATTCTGCTATCCCAGTGAAATACAAATTATTTATGACCTATTTCAGTAACATTATGTTTTGTATCACCAAAAGTTTATAATAGAAGATATACATGAAGTTTCCTTTAACTCTCTTTTCTAATTTTTGAATTTTTTTTTGCAAAAAATAAAAAAGAAGGAAAGCAAATTTTCCCATACATTTAAAATAACTGGACTTTTAAATAATTACAAAAGTATAAAAATTGCAAAAAAGGATCTTGCTGAAATTAATAGTCTCAATCAAGACTTAATAACACATTTCAACCTGATTCTAGGTTAGAAGCAGTTTTTGGCTTCAACTTCAGAGCATTATAAAATATAAATTATAATCTATTCTATTAAATCTTGATTATATTCAAAAGCGTTGACCTCTCTTTCCCAATAGCATTTATGCTCATTTTGGGAGAAATAAAACAAAAGATAACAAATTTAACACTGCATGTGGACAAATTTAACACTACATTGAATTCTTCTACAGAGCTGAGAATCTGGAAATAAACACATTTCTTTGTAATATCATATCATCCTCAACAATTATAATTTTGCCTTATGTCACTCATATTTTACTTCCAGAATGTTTCAAAGAAGCCGTGGAAACTATTATCTTTAGAAGAAAAGTAATAGAAAAACACATTTTCATTTAAAAAATTTGTTTCTGTTCTAGACTGGTAAGAGATATATGATAAATACCATATTGCCTGAAAAGTCAGAAACTTGAGAAATTATTTGGAGCAATTAGGAAAAGCAATTATATGTATGTATAGATTGCTTTGGCAAACTGAAACAGGTCTTCAAATACTGTAAATTAAAAAAAAATTCCCGAAGTCCCCAGTTGTTTTACTTATATTACCTCTTAGATGAATTAATAATTTTTAAAAAAACTGAATCCAACATTTTTACTGGTGTCACAGAGATGAAATAACCCGTGATTGGCTCTGACCCATTGAAAAAAAATCACAGGACTCATCCAAAGAATAGAATAGGATGACTTGATAGAAAAGATGGACAAGTGGGAGGACGTATTTGGATTTAATCTTAGTGTGGGTGCAGCATGGTGTTTAGGTCATTTACTTAAGAGAAAGGAACTGATGAGTCATACCTTGCCTTTTTGATAAAAATCACGCAGCAATTCATGCTTTATTCAGTGTTTAAATTAGTATATCTATTTATGATATTTACAATAACCATGTTCCAAGCTGATTAAGCTTTAATCACACCTGACTAAGCAAGTAGGCATGAAAGACAGAGAATAAGTCATAATTATTACTTGCTTACACATATCCTTATAACATTCAGGGATTTAGAGTCACTTTCAGTCTCTGTGGCTAATTTTACCCTACCTTCTCTACGGAAGATAAATTAACTTGTGGCATAATAAAGAAATCGAAAGTGCAGAAAATATTTATTTGATAGCCTCTCAGGTGTTACTCAGTAATCTGCTGTTTTCACACAGGTTAAGAAAGCTGTATTTCCCCAAAATGTCAGGGAAAATTGAAAGTCAAAAAAGCTGTGCATTTAACTATCCCTTTCTTTACACATTCAATCAGAACAGAAGCACTTAGCTCCCATACACAGCCATATGAAATCTTCTCACTTTCTATGGGTTTGGGCAAGTCTGGTCTTCAACCTTTGGCTTGGCAGGCTGTGGGATAGGAGAATTTAACAAATTAAGCTCTTATACTTTGCTCTGAAATACTTTCTTTAAATATGAATAAGAATTAGCTGAATCATTTGGATTTTTTAAATTTTTATTTAGTTTTCAATTTTTATTTTTTAAGAAGGAGTCTGCTGTATCACCCAGGCTGGAGTGTAGTGGTGCGATCTTGGCTCACTGCAATTTCCGCCTCCTGGGTTCAAGCGATTCTCCTGCCTCAGCCTCCGAAGTAGCTGAGATTACAGGCACACCCCACCACGCCTGGCTAATTTTTGTGTTTTTAGTAGAGTTGGGGTTTCACCGTTTTGGCCAGGCTGGTCTTGAACTCCTGGCCTCAAGTGATCTGCCCACCACGGCCTCCCAAAGTGCTGGGTTTACAGGGGTGAGCCGCCGCACCTTGCCCATTTGGATGTTTTCAAGGTGTAAACAAAATATCTGCTGAAATATCTTTTTAAATATCATTAATGACAACTTATAATCTTTAGCTTACTTATAGCAAGGAAAATAAAAAAACAATATATCCTCTTTACATGTTTTATGTTTGATGTTAGATTTCAAACATTTTTAAAGTAAAATACCAAAATGTGTGGTGGTATTTTGTTTTGTTCTGTTACAAATATAATAAAAATAATGCTCGTAAATGTCACTTAGCTCCAAAATGTAATTGAAGAGTAACCCTGCAGATGTACTCTAGGAACATTACAAATGTATAAGAACACTTATATAAAGTTCATATAAAGTTGAGAGCATAGTGCTATGGAAGTTTTCTGTGAGTTCTCTTAATGTGTCTAAACTGCTAATAAATATGGATTCAAAATAATGGAAAAAAGGGAAAAGAAAAATGCCCCCTTTTGCAAAACAACAATAACAGCAACAACTTATTATAAGACCTTTATTGGTTTAAGCATATGCAATTTAACTTTTACAAAGCAAAGGTTCAACTAGGAATAAAGGAGAAAACCCCAAATCTTTGAAAAGTGAACTCAGAAGTTGGCAAAAAATTTCATTTTTTTCATTTCCTCCTTCTCTCCCTCCCTCTTTCTTTCCTTCTTTTTTCCTTCCTTTCAGTATAAAGCCTGTATTCTCCTTTCCTTTTATCACACTTGTGGAGAGTATTATAATTGTCATATTAGTTTCTCATATATTACAAATGTAAATGAAAGTAAGTATCATTATGATATTTAGTAAATGTCTACACAGTGATTTTCCAAAATGATGGTTGCTGCCATGTCCATTTATGTTTAACATTCTGCTTAGAAACACTTTTCAGTGTAGAAACTTTCCTGGAACGTTGTTGCTCATGGTTCCCCCTCATTGGAGGGTTCTACCTGGTTCATTCTCTCTGTCTTTCATTCCACCTCCTACCCAGTGATCGTGTGGGAAATATTTTGACAAGTCTAATGCTTTCCATCAAAGTACAAAGCACTTAACTAACAGCAGCACACTAAGAGAAAAAAATCACTTCTAAAGGCTTCACTATTTGTCAGTTAAAAAAGTGTCAGATCAAAAACCTGATTAGTAAGTTTTTTACCTAATAATTTCAATAACTGACATGCTTGTTGGTGGCACATTGTATAATTTTTGTCTTATTTTTAAAAATTTTTTGGAAAAGTTTGAAAGGAATGAATACCCAGGGCTCATATTGCCTATCTGGATAATTCATACACTTTTTGATTTTAAATCTGAAGTAGTATCATCCTGTAACTTTGAATTTAGACATGCATTCATCTCATAATTTCAGACGATGGCATTAAATTGGAAGGAAAATTATGTCACAAGTTGAGGCACATTATGTATTTCCATGTCTCCTGCTCCTTATGGCCATCATGCCTCTATGAAACTAAACTTACAGAGTGCTGGAGACCAAAGAGACATGATAAATCATTTAATGGCATTTCTTCTCTTTACAGATGAGCAAACTGAAGTTCAAGGAGCCAGTATGGTTTTGTATAAGGGCTTGAGTTTTGGAGTCAAACAGAACCAGGCTTGAATTCTGTCTTAGTAACTATATAAACTTAGACAAGTTACTTGAGTTTGCTGATTCTTGGAATTTTCTTTCATGGAATGGAGATAATAATAATTACTTGCTAGGAATGCCATGGAGGTTTTAATTAAAATTGTATATTTTTAATGCCCGGTAAGCGGTAGACAGTTGGTGCTTCTTAGTTCTCTTGACTTCTCAAGGTAACAAAGTAAATTAGTGACAAAAACTTGCTTTAGAAGATTTTGAGCAAAACAGACTTCTATTTTATGCTACTTCTATCATAATTTGCTGTGGAGTCCCTAAGGAAGCCTCTGCTTCTGGAATCGAAATCCCTCACCCTGCCTAATTCACCACTTTTGTCAACAAATGAGGCATCTTTATCCAAGTCTGGAGCCTCTATGGTTTGTCCAAGTGGAGATGAGAGGTGCAGAAATCACTTCCTAATTATGGAAGACCAGTGACTCAAGCTGAGGTAATAGTCCTAAACTGAGGGTGTGCCTGTTTGGATTATCAATGACAGTTTATTACTCACTAAGTAATATGTTATGGAATTAATATCCAAGCCTTTATCATAGACCTTATTATGCCAGAAGTTATTTACTCATAGACCCTTAATGGCATAGTTGCAGAAGATTCCCAAAACCCCACTTTTCTAATTCCAGTAAATTTCCATTCCCCCTTTCCACCAAGTAATCTGAAAGCTACATTTTCTTTTTTTCCCCATCATAATTCATTAATACCCACTGTTCTAACAGTTCTTTTTGTAGGCTTTTTAGAACTTAGTTTTCCTACAATAAACATCTCTCAATCCTTGAACGTTTTCTTCGTTCCCTTCCAGTGTTTCGGTATGTAGCAACAACTTCTAGTTTGTTGCCCCAGCTGAGAGGTTGAAAAGCTATAGCCCTGTAGGCCAAATCCAACCCTCTGCCTGATTGTATATGACTAGTAAGCTAAGAATGGTTTTAATATTCTTAAATGGTTAAAAAAACTTTAAAAGAAAAATATTTCATGGCATAAAAATTATGTGAAATTCAAATTCCGACGTCTACAAGTAAAGAGCAATTGTAACATAGTTGTACGTATTACGTATTGGCTATGGCTGCTTTGCACTACAATAGCAGAGTTGAACAGCTGTAACAGAGACGATAGAGCCTGAAACACTTAAAATCCTTATTATCTGACCCTTCATATAAATTTGCAGACCGCTGCCAGACTCTCAGAAGTCAGCTCTCCCCCTGACCTTTAAAACCAAGTTTGTCAGTTGTACTTGGATATATTTCTCTAATCTGCCTGTCTCCATCCTAGACAAGCTGCCATCACAGTTCACATACACTACTATAATTGTCTCCTAAATGGACTCCTAAAATATATTTTCACCCCTCCAATCTATTTACCATGCATAAAGAAAATTGTAAAATTTGATCATACCAGTTAATCATACTGCCTAATATCATTCAATTCCTTCCCATTGCTCTTAGAATAAAAACCAAATTCTTTTTTTTTTTTTTGAGACAGAGTCTCATTCTGTTGCCCAGGCTGGAGTGCAGTGGCATGATCTCGGCTCAGTGCAACCTCTGCCTCCTGAGTTCACGCCATTTTCCTGCCTCAGCCTCCTAAGTAGCTGGGACTACAGGTGCCCGCCACCACGCCTGGCTAATTTTTTGTATTTTTTAGTAGAGATGGAGTTTCACCATTTTAACCAGGTTGGTCTCGATCTCCTGATCTCATGATCCGCCCGCCTTGGCCCCCCAAAGTGCTGAGATTACAGGTGTGAGCCACTGCACCCGGCCAAAATCCCAAATTCTTAATATGGTTTTGATGGCAAACTTTAATGGCAAAAACTGCAATTACTTTTGCACCATCCAACCTAGTACTTAGCTCAACCCTCTCATATCAAGAACAACGTGACTTTGATGCTATTGCTTATGCTATTTTCTACCTATTCTTATCAGCCATCTTTTTGTCCCTATGTTCTCCCACTTTTCTCATTTATAGTGCGCATGTTCAGGAGTAGACTGTTGAGTTACTTATATTCCTCTGTTTGGGGCAGCTTTCCATTATTTTTCCATGCCAAGTGTCTCCCTTTTTTCTTTTCTATTTTACCTTCAATTATTTTAGTACATAGCTCACAATCCTTTTCTCCTTTACATATCATCATCAGTGTCAATGATTTGATCATCCATGGTGCTGACTGCAGTGATTGGTCTCACTGTACTTTATCCTTCCCAATAGAAGTGACACAGCTCCACCTCAAAGTTCTTGGGCTCCTAAATTCATTCCCCTATATTGGGCTTTTTCATTCCTTCACTCCAGTCAGCTCTCTATCCTCATTATAATTTTTCTCTTGAACGCTTCAAAGGTCTCTTAACACTTTGAGTCTCAGGGTGCCTTTATTGATATCCTAAATGACTTTTCATGAGTGGGTCACAGTGTAGCCATGAACACAGCAGCAGCCACCAGCCAGGGGAAGCTCATGTTGCCTTGCACTTCTGTACTTAATCTCAGGAATCCAAGCCTTGGTTTATTACAAGCTTATGCTCACTGACTTCAGCTGGACCCTCATTACTGCATAGCAAGGGTATGGTGAATCACTCATCATTTTTCTAGAACTGAATACCTCTCTCTAACTTTCTCCATGAGAACTGATAGACTTAATAGAGTCTTCGGCTTCAACTATGCTCAGAAACTTCAGGCCTTTTTTGTTCATTTAGCATCCCTTGCTTCCACCTCAAATCTCTTTGACTCTATGTTTTCCTTTAGTCTCTACCTGCCTCCTAACCCCCCTCCAAATTTCTGACAAAGAAGAGACTTCCTTTCTTCTATATTTCTTCTATGTTCAACTTCTAGGACTTGTTTTTATTTTTAACATTTTCATCCTCAAATTCTACTTCTCCTGGCATTTTTTCCTTGCCTACAAACATTTTTAGTCCTCACCTAGTCTATAATCTCTTCCCTCAAATCTGTTATATTCAAAACTGTCATTTTTTCTTTTTCTTTCTAATGTTTTAAAAGACTTGCCTCCATGTCTCACTACTAGCTTACTCTCAATTACTATCAGTGAGCTTCAGTCCCAACTGATTGCTGAAAATGCTGTATTTAAGGAGAGTAGTGACCTGTGATCTCAAATTACAGAGAACTATTCTGTGTTTTTATCCCTTTCAGCCAATCTGCAGTATTGATCACCACCGCGTACGTCCTGCATTAGCATGAGTGACATAATGGATTCTTCTCCTATCCCTTTGACTGCTTCTTGTCATTTCTCCCTTCTACTGTAGCAAGTACCCCTGTTTTGCTTAATGTCACAGGTATTTGTTTCTCCGTCCCCAAACCTGTGGCTTTTCCAGGTTGTAAACTTTGCAAGCAGAACTGTATTCTTCTCTTTGATTTTCTGAAGCAGAGTCTACCATAGGGAAAAAAATAAACAAATGAAAAATAAATACTTATTGCATTGCATGAAAGAGTGACATTCTAACCTTTTTAAAGCAGATCATTTGGCACAGTCTCAGCATGGTATCTTATGCAGTGAAATGATTTGAGCATAAATAATAGAGACCAATTTTTATTTGTAGTACAGACTATGAAAAAAGCAAAAAGGATTGCATTTTTAATGTATAACAAATATTATTTAAATCTTTTTCTGTTACTTTCACTTTAATTATATTTTCCAAAACAGCAGCTACTAAAATCTTCCTCTTTTTATTTTCTCTAGTTCTGGAGATGGTAGATTAAATAGATAGATAGATATAGATTTGGGTATATCTGTTTATCTCGTACCTCTTTCAACCATGTGGGCTTTCTATCTGTCTCCCTTTAGAGTAAATTGCTTAAGAAAGGTAACAGATTGATAGCTCTGGATGAGAGATGATGGATCCTATTCAAAGTCAAGCTTTCTAATGATACTTTCTTACTTCCCAAGAATACGTTCTTCTTTATTTTCCAAATATTTCATACAGACCACTGGACCTTCTTTAAGGTCTTGAGTTTTTTTTCAGGTTAAATGCATGTAAGTAGTAATTTTCAGAGATATGAGAAGGCAGTGGAGAAACAGAAGATCAAAAAATCTACACATAATAGAAAGTAAGTTTTCACCAAAATGATGATGACCAGCAACTAACCAACGTTAAAAGACTCAAATAAGAGCCCAGACATCTTAGCATGCCACAGTTAGCTGTGAAGTATATGACAAAAAAATGCACAACTAATAAGGTGTCAATGTTTACAAAGGACTTATTTCATTTATTTATTTATTTATTGAGACGGAGTTTTTTGCTCTTGTCACCCAGGCTGGAGTGCAATGGCGTGATGTCAGTTCATTGCAAATTCCACCTCCCGGGTTCAAGCGATTCTCCTGCCTCGGCCTTCCGAGTAGCTGGGATTACAGGCACCCACCACCACATCTGGCTAAATTTTGTATTTTTAGTACAGATGGGGTTTCACCATGTTGGCCAGGCTGGTCTCAAATTCCTGACCTCAGATGATCCACCTGCCTCGGCCTCCCAAAGTGCTCGGATTACAGGCATGAACCATCATGCCAAGCCTGCAAAGGCCTTACTTTTAATTTTTCATAAATCATGGAGGATTTAAGATTACCTTTCCAACAACATTGCTTCTACTCAATTGCATTATACTACATTTACTTTGGGAGAGAGACAGACTGGCTGGGAAATAACACTTTTAGAATCAGTATTTAGCACAGTATATAGCCTGCCTTAACTACATTGAAACCTAAGAGAAACTTTGCTGATATACTAAAAATAGTTGCAAATGAATGAAAAGTTTGATATTTGATAGTAAGGCAGGACTAGCTACATACACCTCTTGTTTTATTTGGGAAAATGTATTGATGGGGCATCTGAGTCATATTCTCATTCTTCCTTGAACCTCACCCCAAACTCGGGGGTAAGAACCTTGTGATAAGGCAGGGTGAGACAAACCACATCGCTTTCATTTTCTCTCTTTTTCTTCCTGCCCAAATGGAACAGACAGAAGCCCAACTAGCAGCATAGTGAGGTAGCAACCTCAGGCATTTAGACCAAAACTAAACACAGATGAGACAGAATCAGGGAAGTTCTTTGTCAGAGGGCAGATATTACATTTGGACCCCACTTTATTGCAGGAGGCATGAATCTATTAAATTCAACATTTCTTATTCAATTGGGTAGATATTATCCAAATATCACCTCTGGTACCTCTTTCTGGGGTCTTACCTGTTCCGTAACAGAATAAAACTTGATGTAGATAGCTTCAAGTATAATTACTTAGTAGAATAAATAAGAAAACCCTACTTAGTTTCAAAAGTCATTGAATTTAGTAAACACTCCCCCTCTTCAACGAAAATCATATACAGTAAGAAAGAAAAATAGAAATAGAAAATAAGCAGTAAGGATAAGAAGAATGCAAATGCGATGACAGTAAAAGTTAACATAATAGCCATGTTTAACTTTAAAATTAGACACTAAAATCTGGGCGACTAAGGAAGAAAACAATCAATCATCCATAGCCTTTTGTGGCTGTCGATCACCAACATCTGCATGACCTGGGATTTTGTTAGAAGTGCAAATTCTCAGTACAGCCATTATGGAAAATAGTTTGAAAATTTCTCAAAAACTTAAAAATAGAGCTTTCGTAATGTTCCAGGAATCTCACTTCTGGCTATACATCCAAAGGAAATGAAATCAATATGTTGAAGAGATATTTGCACTCCTCTGTTTATTGCAGCACTAGTCACAATAGCTAAGATACAGAATCAATCTAAGTGTCCATCAACAGATAAATAGATAAAGGAAATGTGGTGTATATACACAATGGAATACTGTTCCACCATAAAAAAGAAGAAAATCCTGTCATTTGTGACAACATGGATGAACCTGGAGGACATTATGGTAAGTGAAATAAGCCTGGCGCAGAAAGACAAATACCGCATGATTTCCCTTATATGTGGAATCTAAAGAATTGACTTATTAGAAGAGGAGGGTGGAATTGTGTTTACCGGGGGCTGGCAGGGTGGGTTGAGGAGATGCTTGTCAAAGGGTACAAAATTTCAGTTATATTGGAGAAATAAGTTCAAGAGATCTATGATACAACATGGTCACTATAGTTAATAAAAATGTGTTGTATTCTTGAAAATTGCCAGGAGAGTAGATATTAAGTGTTCTCATACCACAAAAAATAAGTATATAAGGTAATATATATGTTAATTAGCTTGATTTAGCTGCATATATTTTACATATAATATATTAACATATAATACTATAATACCTATATAATATAAAAATATAAAAGTATATATTAACTTATAATACATATATTAATTAGCTCGATTTAGCCACATATATTTGAAATACATGTTTATAATATTTCAAAACATCATGTTGTACATGATAAATATATACAATTTATATTTGTCAATTAAGAAAAATAAATGAATAAATCAGAATAAAAAGAAATTCAAAATTTCAGGCATAACTCTAGACCCACTAAATCAAAGTCTTGGGAATAAATTCCAGGAATCTTTATTTAACAAGCTTTCTGAGCGATTCTGATACCTTTTAAAGTATGATAAGCTCTGCTGTTTCATAATCAGAGGTGGTAAATTAGGGAAAATTCTTTTGGGGCAGCAACAGACCACCAGCAATGTGCTTCAGCTTCAAGTGCTGAGTGAGCAAGCAAGACCCTGATTGGAAAGAACCTTTTTGGAGCCAGCTGGCAGACCCGAAACAATTCTGGGCACGAATATTCTGGGCACAGGGACTCCACTGTGTGGCTGCCAGAGCCTACCTCTCAGAGAAGCACTGGGGCCAGCCAAGAAACAAATGCCATTTCTTTCACTTCCTTTTTCTTCTCTTTCCTGACCCAGTGGCACTGGTGACCTGCCCGCCAGATTTAATTACAGGCTGGGAGAGAAGTTCTAGTGTTTAGATTTGGTTCCCTAAGGAAATAATGACTGATTTCAGCTGGTGAGATTTGTGCTTTCAAAAGGATAGAAGGACTGCATGAGCTCAGAAGCCTGAAAGATTAGCATCCTCTGTGAGAGCATCCAACCAACCTCAAGGATGAGCTGAAAACAGGATGAACAGTGGCCAAGAAATGTAGTTCACCTTGCTGGGATTTATGGCGCAGCCAGGAATATTTGTAGGAAGCACAGAAACCTGTCCAGGTTCAGCACTAGCCCACACACATTCCTGGAGACTTGTTTCTTCTTTATCATATAGTGGTTAGCAACATATAACATATATATTGGGTTCACAGGTCTAGGCTCATATTTCCCAAAAATAAGCCTAGTGCATCCTCTTTATTCTTCTCACACTTTCATTCTGTTTCTGGTACTTAAGGCAGATGTCAGAGTAAATGTTTGTCTCCCCAAAGCATCATAAATACACATAGAAGGATTTAAAATGAGAAATACCATCTCCCTCATAGGATTAATAACATAAATATTATCCATTTTTCACTTGCATGGAAACTTATAGACCTCTTTTTTGTTGTTGTTAAATTGTGTCAAAGTTTTGCCTAGAGGCTGAAATGCAGTGTCCATAAGAAACTTCATTTTCCTCTTCAATTTAAAGAAGGTTTCAATCACAAAGATAATTATAATGGAACATGAAAAACTAGTATTAATTCTTCCTCATATTTTAACATGTCCTTATTGAAGTTTAAAATGAAATATATATATCAAGTTGATCTTTACGTAAAATATTGACTAGAACCCAGAGATACAAATAGTAAGAACTACTTGGTGTTCAGTTTGGTCGTTGCAATGAAAGAAAATGCTCATTTCCCACAATCCTGTCCAAATTAAAAACCTTTTTGAACGAGTGACCTATTATGATAAGGAGACATCTCTGGTTACAACTCTTACAAAACTTCAACTTTTTTTCAACACAACAAGCATCACTTTTGACACTTCTGCTCCACAGAAGACAGAAGCCCTTACAAATTTGCTGTCTCTCAATCAGTCCCATTCTTTGCGTTAGAGGTCAGAGGCTCGAGGTAATAAAGTTGGTGTGAACTTTTTGTGATATCCAGAGGGAGAACCCAGCTTTACATGCAGAGAAATGCTAAGAGAGAAATTATTTCTTTTAAATATTTTGGAAAAATTGTCATTTTTCCCTATACAAATACAATAGAACAACGAGTAGAGTGGAAGATATCTTGGATTTGACACTAGAAGTCACTGGTTCATGTTCTAGATCTCCTCACTAAGTTTTTGAGCCTGAATGAAGCACTTGAAGTGTCTGAGTTTCTATTTTCTCATTCTATAAAGTAGGTCATAGCAAGATCCAGTACCACCTTTAGACCCTGAATTTTGAAGGGCTCTGATCTAGTTTTCCTATGGTGTCCCTTCACAAAGGGTTAAAGGTCAAAGGGACCAAGGGAAGCCTGGCTCACCCAGACCTTTTCTAGACTATGATCTGAGACACAGCTTTCTAGAGTTCTATGTCCAAAGTGGACCCAAGCTCTATTCTAGGAATAAGCATGTTCCCTGGCCCATCCTCCTGAGGGCATAGCATAGGCCAAAGAAGTGGCCAAGGGAATTCTATTTGCATAGTGTGGACAGACCTTGCACATAACAGGCTAGAGTATCCACATACAAGTTTCAAGGTCCCTTATGATCTAGGAATGAGTGAGGAATGAGAAAAGCAAGTTGGGAGGCCATGGACTGAAGGTTTCCATTTGTATTTTTGCTGGGACTTCACAGATGTCATGGGGAGGTCCACTGTATCTGCCTATCTTATTGCATCATTCATTCCAAACCAGATACTGAATGGCTGTTCTTGTCTGACATAATGTAGTCTCTGTTAACAGAAAGACAAGGAACCTCATACTTTAGAAATCATCAGTCTAATGGGAAGGCTTCTAATTATAAAGACATATTTTCTTTTCTTTTCTTTTTTTTTTTTTTTTGAGGTGGAGTCTCACTCTGTCGCCTAGGCTGGAGTGCACTGCCACAATCTCGGCTCACTGCAAGCTCAGCCTCCCAAGTAGCTGGGACTACTGGCGCCCGCCACCATGCCCGGCTAATTTTTTGTATTTTTAGTAGAGACGTGGTTTCATCGTGTTAGCCAGGATGGTCTCGATCTCCTGATATTGTGATCCGCCCGCCTCAGCCTCCCAAAGTGCTGGGATTACAGGTGTGAGCCACCGCACCAGGCCTGTAAATATATATTTTCAACAGAATATGTAAAGGGCTATAAAACGCCACCTTCTTCTTACCCCCTGCATCAGCTCAAATGACAGCAGACTCCTGAGTCAGCCTTGTCCAGTCATTGGAACAAATGTCAATCAAGATCACACTGCATGGCAAGAAAGCGCCATGAGGAGAAGATTCTACAAACAAGTTAATCTCACTTTGTGTATATGACACAGGACACGTTTGTTGTCCCCACATTTGTTGTAGGGATGTGATAGCAGAGAAGTCAAGAGCCACCAACTCTGGAGCCATAGACACTGGGAGCTGAACCTCTTTTTGCCATACACTATTAATATTTCTTATGACTAATAACTTTTCTAAGCTCAGTTTCTTAATTTGTAAAATGGAGATAAAGCTCTTTTCCTCCTATGCAAAATGGAACTACTGTAAATATTATAGAAAATAAAAATTTTAAAGTACCTAGTATAGGATCTGGTATATAGTGAGCACTAAATAAATGAAAGCTATTATTAAAAAGCTGAGGAAGTCAATTGGATTTATGTATCATTTCTTTATATGCACAGCATATATATTTTCTATAACTCTATATTGCATTTTCCAAGAGTCATTGCAAAATAAAATTTTATATAATCTAAAGAAGCAGCATCCAGCTTTTAATGTTTCTTCTTGATTCAACTTCTTTGTGGGTAGAGATTGTCTTATTTATGTTTTTCTTTCTTTATACCTAGGATGGTCCCTGGCATGATATGTTTTGGCGGGCTGAATAAATACATGAATTTAAGAGAGAGGGAGAAAACATTTTCAGTCATGTTCAATGTCTATGATCACTTACCTTAAACTGAAAACAAGACAGTTATTGGAATTTCTCTAAAGGCAGATGCAGTAGGAGCTTTGCCCTCCTCCTCTCAACCAGAACAAACTGAATTTTATGGAAGAAAATTCTTAGCTGACTCTTTAAGACTGTAAAAGGACATCGGAAATAGAATCATTTGTGTATAGTGATTGGCTTTACATATTCAGCTTTCATGGAGTTAAGGAGACTGTTCTAAGAAATAAAATTTAACTTGTTATCAGTTGAATATTTATCCAAAAGATGACTAGATGACATACTCAATCCTTTTATGACCTATACATCTGGGAAATAAAAGATACCAAGACCAAGAAAAACAGAAACATCTTTTCAAGTGATTGTTGTCCCTCCCTCCCAACTCCTATGAGAACATACGTCTGAAAACATTAGAAATCAATGGGAAAAGATAATTAAATATTCGAAGTTTCTCTTTATCATAACTTTTTTTTTGTTGTTGTTTTTGAGATGGAGTCTGCCCAGGCTGGAGTGCAGTGGCGTGATCTTGGCTCACTGCAACCTTCGCCTCCAGAGTTCACGTGATTCTCCTGCCTCAGCCTGCTGAGTAGCTGTGATTACAGGCACCCGCCATCATGCCTAGCTAATTTTCGTATTTTTAGTAGAGACAGGGTTTCACTGTATTGGCCAGACTGGTCTCGAACTCCCGACCTCGTGATCCGCCCACCTCGGCCTCCCAAAGTGCTGGGATTACAGGCGTGAGCCACTGCGCCCAGCCTATGCATAACTTTTTAATAGTAAAGACACAAGTGGTATATTTCAAGGATGTTAGGAATCAGATAATTTCCTGTTTAATTTTTTTTTTTTTCCAAACAGAAGCTCACTCTGTCACCCAGGCTGAAGTTCAATGGTGTGATTCTAGCTCACTGCAGCCTTTAACTCTTGGATTCAAACAATCCTCCCACCTCAGCCTCTTGAGTAGCTGGGAGTACAGTTGTGTGCCACTATGCCAGGCTAATTTTTTAAGTTTTGTAGAGACAAGGCCTACCATATGTTGCCTAGGCTGGTCTTGAACTCCTGGACTCAAGCAATCCTCTGGCCTTGCCCTTCCAAAGTGCTAGGGTTACAAGCATGAGCCACCACACCCACCTATTTTCTTTATATGTAGCTTGGTTTAATACAAAATTCCTAGGTCTCACTTTTATTCTTGAAGGAGATGTTGTTGTCAGTCTGTGATCTTTCAGAAAGCATGTTTACACATATACACATTTTAAAAATAAGCTAATTTCTGCTCTTTTGACAGTAAGTTGTAATAGATGTTTTTTTTCTTGCTTAGATGCTTGTAGATTTTATACAATTTAACACTTTGTCACTTTCTGTGATACCATTGGTTTTTTTGGTGTAAATTTTTATTTGACTAGTCTGTGCCATAAATGATTATGTAGGGAACTTGAATCAAAACTTCAGGCAAGATAGTGTATACATAGAAGAGCAATCTTGGAGAGCGGCTGAAGACGAGGGAAGGGTTTTTACTCACTGCATACAATTTGAATGGAGACTTATAGAAAGTGGTATAAGTTTCAAGCTATGATACATTCTGGAATGAGAGGGAGAGTATCTGTGGCTAGCAGGAAAGTGGGAACTAAGGAACCTCCAGGAGACTCCTTCTAAGAGTCAGCAGAATGGAGCCATGATGGAACAGTGAATATAAGTCTTAGGCTAGTGGACATTGACATATAAAGGATAAGAAGATAGCAGAGGGGACTTTCAGATCTCACTAGAAGTTGGTGTCTGAAAATTACCTAAATCATAGTTCCTGCAAAGCCTGGGTGGACATAAATAATAGGTAGGAGGCAGGACAAAATTGTATAAACCCTGGGAATCAGGAAAAAAGTATAGGTTCAGTGAAACTGATGCCCTAACAATTTGGGGTTCAAGGCTCTAGAATAATATCAAACCCATTGACTGGTAAGGAAAGGCTCTCAGACCTCTGTGGTGCACAGTTTTCAAATAACTGGCTTGCATACCCAGCCTGGAGTGATCAGAGGCTAAGGAAAATCTTAGTGGGAAGAGTGAAGTGTGGACAACTTTTAAATGCTACTTATATATTGGTGTCGCACTAGCTTGTTTGATTAATGCCTTTCTCTTTAATTGTCACAACCCTTTATGAGGTAGAGATTATAATGCATTTTAGAGATCAAAAACAGGTCTTTAAAAATGGTAAGCACTTGTGAAAATGTCACAGAGCCTAGCAGTGCTTACTTCATGTTATTTATTGTGCTTTCTGGGGATTTAAAAAAATAGTTTCATAAATATTTTAGCAGAATTTCTCTAGAAGGTATTCAGGTGTCACCTCATTTTACCATCTTCATATGTCTCCCATATACTTTTGTTTTCTTTTTACAGTGTGTACAAAGAAGTCCGTCTAGCCATCTAGAACAGTGGTTCTTGAAGTTCAGTATGTATAAGAAACACCTGGGACCTTGTTACAATTGCAGACTCCAGAGAGTTTCCCCGAGCTTCAGTAGGGCTGGAGCAGGATATAGGTGTCTGCATTTTAAACAAGCATCAGAAGTGAGTTCAGATGCCACTCATCTAAAGACCATGAACTCAAACAAATTTACAAGAAAAAACAAACAACCGCATCAAAAAGTGGGCTAAGGACATGAACAGACACTTCTCAAAAGAAGACTTTTATGCAGCCAAAAAACACGTGAAAAAATGCTCATCATCACTGGCCATCAGAGAAATGCAAATCAAAACTACAATGAGATACCATCTCACACCAGTTAGAATGGCGATCATTAAAAAGTCAGGAAACAACAGGTGCTGGAGAGGATGTGGAGAAACAGGAACACTGTTACACTGTTGGCGGGACTGTAAACTAGTTCAACCATTGTGGAAGTCAGTGTGGCAATTCCTCAGGGATCTAGAACTAGAAATACCATTGGACCCAGCCATCCCATTACTGGGTATATACCCAAAGGATTACAAATCATGCTGCTATAAAGACACATGCACATGTATGTTTATAGCGGCACTATTCACAATAGCAAAGACTTGGAACCAACCCAAATGTCCAACAACGACTGTATTAAGAAAATGTGGCACATATACAGCAAGGAATACTATGCAGCCATAAAAAAAGATGAGTTCATGTCCTTTGTAGGGACATGGATGAAACTGAAAACCATCGTTCTCAGCAAACTAACACAAGGACAAAAAACCAAACACCGCATGTTCTCAGTCATAGGTGGGAATTGAACAATGAGAACACATGGACACAGGAAGGGGAACATCACACACCGGGGCCTGTTGTGGGGTAGGGGGAGGGGAGAGGGATAGCATTAGGAGATATACCTAATGCTAAATGACGAGTTAATGGGTGCAGCACAGCAACATGGCAATGTATACATATGTAACAAACCTGCACATTGTGCACATGTACTGTAAAACTTAAAGTATAGTAATAATAGAATAAAATAAAATAATAAAAAAAATAAAGACCAAGTGTGGAAATAGTGGATAACAAAGCAGTTTACAAAGTAGCATTCATCTCCACACTTAGCCCATGACCTCTTTTCCTCTAGCAACATTTTATTACAGAATTAAAGTGGTAGTCATGGAACTACCCTTATGCCCTTCAGGTGCTGCAGGTAGGGGAGGAAGAAAGGGGAAAGTATGAAAGCTGGTGAGATGTAGGTCAAGGAAGAGCCATGGGATGCTCTTACACAATGCTGCTTTGACTGGCAAGTACTGGATTACATGGTCCAAGCCAGAGTGGTATGGAACCTCTCCAAAGCAGAACAGATAAAGATAGAGGCCAACTTAAACAGGAAATACCTATTAGCAATTTAATATTTTGTATTCTTTAAAAAAATTCTGGGGTAAAGGCTGATCATTTGTTAATTTAAGTAAAAACCTGGTGGTTTACTAGGGATTTCCCAACAAATGTTAAAATATTGAGTACTATTGGGTTCATGCCAGAAGGAAATATATATATTTCTTACGTATAAAGTATATATTTATATCATATATATAAACTATTAGATATTTATTTATTGCAAAAGTATTTTAATTGATAACATAAGTGTATGGCAAAATTAATAGCTTTTTTAGTTTCCAGATACAAATCCAAACTTTTAAAAGTAGGATTTTTTTTACTTACATGCATACATAGGGTAACTCACTTAATGTAAGAGATTAATTTCTGAAAATTTGCTAGAATATGGAGTTCTAGAAAACTGATTATGTTGAAAACTTGTCATTTACTGGAATTTTGCAATCAACCCTTCTGTGGAGAAGAAAAAATAACCACCCACAAATTTATCCATCTTGGAAAATCTGGACTTAATTTTGTCTCCATGCACTTATGCAAATTTTGGCAGCATTTGAAATACTACAAAATAAATGAGGCCAAATTAAAAGTGCCTTTGGAATGAAGAATTTTATAGCAAGGGAAAAGATGATATGGAAAATTTTCTTAAACTAGGCAACCCTAAATATAAACAGTCTTCACTTTGCAATGAATCAATATTTACAGTAAGAGGATAGCTAATGTAAGTTATAACAGCAGAGTATAAAAATCGCTACAATAGGGAATTTCATAATTCATTTATCATGACAGAGAATATGCTCTTATCTGTGGACCAGAACGATTCTACCAAAAATGAATAAGACCATAGCTGGGAGTGCCAGGTGTCAAATTAATGAAGGACTTTAACTATCAAAGGAGGTTGCTTCAGTGCATCTGGCTTCTTTCATGGAAACTGGCAAAACATCACTAGTCCTAATCCTACAAATGTAGATGTTTAAAACAGGTTGAGGCAGCCACATTTTATAGGCCAGCATGAAAAGGAAAACAATCACAGGAAAGATATAATTACAGGGTAATAAAAACGTAAACACCATTAAATGCATTAATTTTATATTTGAGGTTTTTTTCCGTGGTTGACTTACCAACTTATGAGTGCGAGATTTTGAAAAAATTATAAAAGTTTTTTATGTATTCATTCTAATACACACATATTGGATTTGATCATTTTTATAGGAGATTGGTAAAATTGGCTATTGAATAGAATAGAGAATTTAGAAGGATTTTTATCAAGTCCAGAGACAGAAGGAGAGAGAGAGAAAAATCGTTGCCACCTTGAACTTCTTAGATACCTACAAATTAATACATTATCAGGAGTAACTGTTCCTTTTTATTGTCCTCTTGAAGCTATCGATACTTTCCTTCTTCAACTTCTATTAAAGTACAGGCATATTAGAAGACAACTGTGTAATCTTGGCAAGCTGTTTAAACTTCCCAATTCAGTTTCCTCGATTGTAAGATGCAGAGAATAATCACTACTTCATAGGGTCGTTTTAAGGGGAAGAGACAATGCAGAAATGCTTTATACAGTGTAAGTTTCAATAAATGATGGTTATGACTTTAGTGCCTGAAGAAAAGCCAGTCAAAAAGAGGTGCCTCATGTTGATCCTCCTATGCAGCCCCTGGTGAATATAGCTGAAAGCCAGCACCTCACAGGAATGTTGGCTCGCAAATCCATGAGATCAGCAACAGGAACAAAACGAGCTCCTTTGTGGATACCACCCGAAAGTATGACTCCTTTTCGGGAGGTGAAAGTAGTGTGCATGTTCGTGTGTGTTTGTGTGTGTGTGTGTGTGTACGATGTGCCCATATTGTGTGTTTAAATAGAAGTAGGCATTTTAATAAGAATTAAACCACATGAGATATGCAAGTTTTAAAGAGAATTTGTAGATAACTTTTTCTGAAACTGAGGGGCACCAGCAAATCTTAAGAAACTTCAGAGAAGCAGCTCCATGCTTCTGGTGTACATGTTTGCCGAGGCTGTGGGATGGGCCATTCTAACGCTCCTCTTCTTCAAGGACAGTTGCACTGGGCAGTTCCAGCCTTCAGCTTCTGGCTCTGCTTTCTCACCTTAAGAAATCCATTCCACCTCACCTTAGATGGTTGAGCTGCTTCATCCTTACTGTGGTTACCGAGATACCTCTAATAAATATAGATCAACTTTACTCCTGTAAAATGCTTCATTGAAAAATAATAATGTGATAAGATATGTTTGGAAACGGTTGCATATTAGAGCCTCATTTATGGATATTCACACTCTAAGGTAGAGTATTAAAGGCTTCAAGAGGTCTTATTTAACCCAATTTCCTGAATATTATTTGATCACTTAAATTTTTTCATGTAATTTTATTTGATATCCTGCATAATTATTGTTCTTAAGAATATACTTCAGGAAACACTAATTCAGACTTAGCTTTCTTGTTGTCACAGAGGTTAAATTGTTTTTAATGCAAATATATTACTATAGCAATATAACATTTTAACTCATCTCTTGCATTTTTATTCATTTGCACTTTTTCCATACATTCTCATTTTACCCTGTCACCTCTCCTTACATAAAGGTTCCATGGTACCTAAGGGAATGGGACGGCGTGGGTTTCCTTTCCTGGTTTCTGTCTGTTTTCCCCACTTTTTATGGCCCATTTGTTGCATTTTAGAGTCTCAAATTCACTTGACATTAGATCTGAGGAAGAAAAAGAGACAAAATGTTAGAAACAGGAGAACAGAATCTGACATTACTGATATTTTAATATATATACATATATTTGCAAACATTTTATCCATCAGACATAAAGGAGCATAAACCCTCCATGTACAGAGCCTCACACCACTACTCATTTTACTCAAAGGTAACCTGAGTATAAAGAGTACAGAACTCCTACATCCTCACTCTGCAAATTCTAAGCTCATAAGAAATTCGTAAATAACAAGGCCATCTGAAGATCCACAATTCTACCCTGATAATGTTAAAGTGTATAGTGAGGTGGAGAAGGTGTATATTACTGCTTCTCAGAAAAAATATCTGAGCTTTGCCCTATGGTAGCCACTTACAATTTACCTATAGACATAACCTAATTTATGAAGAAATTCTATCTTCCATCTCCATCCAAAATGGAAGGGCAAATCAAAATGTATTGATTTTTTTCCAGGGCTTGGGCTAAGTAGAGGCAAATTGTCCTCGCTGGTGACACAATGTAAAGTGATATTCTATAAAAGTTGATATGTGGAATAAGGACTGTCAATCTAAATACAAGCTTTCATATGGTGTCCAATTACCTAAAATGGCCTCAGTTGAATGTTAAAGACTCACTGTTACAGCAAGGAAAAAATATCCAAAGCAAATCTAAGAGGACAATAGACATAAGGAGATCAAATAAAACTAGCACGAGGTATTGTTTGAACCATTGGCAATTTTATCTCCAGACCTTTGGTTTCCAACCACATTCTCCCACAGCAGAGAAAAGAGCAAACAAATTCCAGTGAAACTAACTGAACAATTTTGAGGACAAGCAGTGTGTGAAACAAGTCCCTGGTATCAGCTTCATGTTAGCCAAACAATAAATGAATATGTCTCTTAGTATGCAGTCTGGGTCATTTCCAAGCTGTATGATTTGACAAACAGGGCCCACAAGCCATGAGCCTAATTCACTTCTTAATTTGGTGACAGAGAATGAAAAGGACATTCAGTTGTAAGAAGACCAAATGCAAATATATACATTAAAAATATGTTTACTGGTGTCAAAGAACTAAATGTTTTTCTTTGAGCAAATAATTTCACTTATCTGTGCCTCAATTCCTGTATCTTTCACGTAATAAAGTTATTCTAGACAATGTTTAAGTTTCTTTCCATCTTAAATTGCATGATATAGTAACTGTTTTCCTAACTTTTTTCTTTCTTTTTTAAGAACTTAGTTATCCCCAAACATCAGTGTATAGACTGGCTGTGTTATCTTCTGGTGAGTTTTGCAAAAATATAAGTTCTTAGGCTCTGCTCCTAGAGATTCTAATTCAGTAGGTCTGGGTGATGTTCAAGAATTTGCAATTTAAAAAAGACTCACCCAAGTTATACTCATTCTAACATATATCCACAGGCTTGGGAACCCTAACCTAGAGCTACAGCAGCCAGGAGTAAGATTGATGTTGCTCATTTAGAGCAAATCACTTAGGATGTTTCAGCTACTAATAACAGAAAAACTGGGAGTCTGGTTTACACAATAAGGATATTTATAATCTCAAATAACTGGAAGCTTACAGTTTGGGCATGCGTCATGTTTTGGTTACATTTTCCTTTGATTTGGCAGCTCTGCTGACTCTGAAGTGTTTTCAACCTCAGAATTTTGGCAAGTCTCTTTGTCTCTTGTATTTGCTTTGGGAGTTAAGCAGTCTTTCCCAAAGTTTTCCTTTAGCCTCTGCCTTAAATTTTGTTAGCAAGAATTGAACCACATGCTCATGTGTAAACTGGTTATCAGCAAAGGTATTACCAAGAGCGGTGGTTCTCAGCCTTGGCTGCACAGTGGAATCCCCTGGGAAGTTTCTGAAAATTTGAATATCTGGATCCAACCTCCTGAGTTTCTGATTTAATTGGTCTGAGATGTGGCCAGGGCATCCAGAGTTTAAAAAGTTTCTCAGGTTATTCTAATGTACACCAAATTTGAAAACCATTTTCCATCTACAATCCACATTCCATCCTGGGATGGAATGCTGCTGGGGAGTCAGCTACCATGACCACTAAAATCCTTTAAAATTCCTGAAACAGAAAGTACTTCTAACTTATATGGGTCCTACAATCAGTTAGAAGGCTTGTAGACTTACCCAAGGAAGAACAACTAGAAAGTGACAGAAATATGTCTTTTTTTGACTCTTAGACTAGTGTGCTTTGCACCATGAGATGCCTACTTCTGTGCCTGGAGTCAGTGTGAAAAGGAGGACAAGCTACATGGAAAGCATTGTAGTTTATCCTGGGTGATTCCAACACTGTCTACGTTTGAATGATGTCAACTAGAACTTGCTGTAGCCAGTAAGGGGTGCCCGTAAAAAAAGTAAATAGATATTACAAAAAGGAGCACATCACAGGAATGGAAAATGATAAATTTAAATCATAGAAAATTTCCACTTTTGTTGTGATATACCATGAGATCATCACAAAAACAGCATGCTCTTTGATATGCATTGAGAAAAATTCTTTTAGAAAATCCCTCCTACAAAAATCTCTTCATAATGAAACAGGGCAGAATCTATAAGAGGGAAAAGACCTCAGTATAAAGGGGAGAAAAACATTACAATTGTTAAAATAGACTTTAAAATATATACTTTCCAAAAATAGTCATAGAATTTAGCAAACTGGCTTTTAACCAAAAGAATGACTGAGTTATTTACATGCCTGAAATCACCAAGTAGATTTTCCTAACTATACATTTACATTACGTTTACAACTTTGGATTTTTTCAGCTTGCATTTGATAACATTCAAGTTCTCATAAATGTAAATCAAAATGCCTTTCTTGGCATTTGCTGGGAAAGACTTTGTTCTGATGTTTGTAATGAAATGTTTGTAATGAAAATGTTGAAAATTCTCCTCTCAGATTGCAAAGGAAAAAAATAAGATAAAAAGAATTCCTTAGGCTAAAATGATTTCAGCTAAAATGAATTAGGAGCTATGTTTAAAGTTTAACAAATCAGAAGAAAAAGAAATAGGGTAGCTATGAACTAATTCACTTATTAATAAAATCCTTATATTAAATTTAGGAGGCGCCTAAATTTAAAATAAAACTTGAATAAAGATGATTTGAAGCCTCCAAATTAAATACTATTATAGTCCAGACATGGCGACTCATGCCTGTCATTCCAGCACTTTGAGAGTCTGAGGTCAGAGGATGGCTACAGTTCACAAGTTTGAGACCACCCGGGGAAACAAGGTGAAACTGGGTCTAATGGTACATGCCTGTAGTCCCAGCTACTCAGGAGGATGAGGCAGGAGGATTGCTTGAGCCCAGGAGGTTGAGGTTGCAGTGAACTATGATTGTGCCACTACACTCCAGCTTGGACACAGAGCAAGACCCTGTCTCAAAAAAAATAAATAAATACTATTGTGTAGCTGACATGAATGTTTGACTTTTTGTTAGCTTAAAGAGAAAACACAGGTTGAATATATGGTTTTGAAAAGATTTTAGAAAAATCTCTGAATGATAGCTCCATTCTCAGTCACTAGAGATGATTAAAAATTGATCATAATGAGGGTGTTTTACTCTTTTCAAAATGTATATCCTAATGCCACTGTCAGAACCAAAAGGCTTGACTGGCAAAGGATATGATTTTCTTAACCTTACATTATTAAGGTACTCACTGCTTTTGGTGCCACACTGAAAGCGTTGTTCCCTGGGGAGAAAACCATCCACCCTTGTTACCCCACCTCATGTTCATTTAACAAGCAACAAATGTTAGTGGAACTTGATCAACAATAAACCAGGAGGTGTACCAGACTCTGGATATTAGGTACACATAATGATAATAGAAAGACCCCACCATTAAGGACTTCTTGTCTAGAGAAACAATTAAGAAAACCAACTGTGGCAATTCAATGTGTTCCTCAACATAACAAAAGTAAGTGTGGAAACACAGGCAGAGAAAAAGTACCAAATTCAGCCAAGAGCCTGGGTTGGGGATGAAGAATGGAGGATGTAATAATTAATTTTACGTATCAATTTGACTGGGCTAAAGAATGCCCAGATAGCTAATAAAATGTTATTTCTAGGTATGTCTGTTAAGAGTTTTTCTGGAAGAGATTAACATTCTACTTAGTAAACTAAGTAAAGAAATTATGCCCCCCATGTGGGTGGGCATAATTTCATTCTGTTGTGGGCCCAAATGGAACAAAAAGGTGGAGGAAGGAAGAATTTTCTCTCTCTCTTCTTAAGCTAGCATATCCATCTTCTTCTGTCCTTGGACATTGAAGCTCCTGGTTCTCAGGTCTTTGGACTCTAGGACTTACACTATTACCACTCATACCCCCATCTCCTGGTCCAAAGGACTTTAGACTCACACTGAATTATTCCAATGGCTTTTCTGGTTCTCCAGCTTGCAGTTTCAGCTTGTGGGATTTCTCAGCCTCTATAATCATATGAACCAATTTCCAAAATAAATCTATCTATACACAGATATAGATATATAGATATATTATTGGTTTTATTACTCTGAAGAACTCTGACTAGTATAGAGGAGTTTATGGAAGATATAATGCCAGCATAGGAATTAGCCAGGCAGAGATAGAAGAGTTATTTTAGTATCGTGAGGAAATATTATGTGTAGAGGAGATAAAAATAGCCAAGTTGGCTCACACCTGTAATCCCAGCACTTTGGGAGGCTGAGGCGGGAGGATCACAAGGTTAGGAGATTGAGACCATCCTGGCTAACGCAGTGAAACCCCGTCTCTACTAAAAATACAAAAACTTAGCCAGGTGTGGTGATGGGTGCCTGTAGTCCCAGCTACTCAGGAGGCTGAGGCAGGAGAATGGCGTGAACCCAAGAGACGGAACTTGCAGTGAGTCGAGATCAAGCCACTGCACTCCAGCCTGGGCAACAGAGCGAGACTCCATCTCAAAAAAAAAAAAAAAAAACCAATAGCTAAGTTTAGCTGCCATATAAGGTTGCAGGTAGGGAACTGGTGAGAGGGCTGAACAAGGTGTTAGACAGGGATCACATCACAAAATATTGTAAGCCACAACATTTTAGCCCATAGATGGTATCCTGACATTTTCTATGAGACTTGAGCAAATTTCCCAACTTATCATGGTCAAAGAACCAAATGGTTGGAAAGATGTTATAGTAAAAGGACATATAACCTACTTGCACAAAATCATAGCAATCTGTTTATATGGAAAGTCAGGCAGAAGTGCTGAGTGGACAATTTTTATTGATCACTTACTTTGTGACAGGTACTATATTAGATGCCTTGCATACCTAATTTCTAATGTTTACAATAATTCTGCAAGTTAAATATCATGTTTTATTTTACAGATGAGAAAAGTGAGACTCCAAGAGATTGAAGAGTTTACATCGATCCTGACTGCTTCTGGTGAAATGGAAAACAGGATTTATTAAGATATATCATAAATAAATATTATGAGGTTGTTTTTTGTTCATAATACATTACTGAGATTAAAAAAATAATGTGGACGAATATATTCCCTCCAGCATCAGTGACCAATGTACACTTCAAATATCTACTATTCAGCAAATTAGTAAATGAATCACCTTTACTTCTTTTCCTAGGCTAGCCTCCAAGAAAAAAAAAAATCATCATTTTAAATGAGGGTGTCAGCATGGGATTGAACTCTGCCCCTTTTCCCGCATCACTTAACTGCATGTAGGTCCAGCATCTACTGGCTCTTTGAATTAGCTGATTACAATCAGAATCTTCCAGTCACTACATGGGGCAAATACCTTTGTTGTACAGTCATAAGCGTTGCTTTAATAACATCTCTATAGCAGATGCATGGACAAGCGACTCAGTGTTTCTCAGGGTATTTCTTACAAGATTATTGTGTTGATTAAATGAGAAAATATGTTTTAAACCCTTAATACTGACTTTGGAACATAGTAAATCTATAGTATACGGCAGCTATTATTGTCAAGAGCCATCAAGACGTCTCTCACCTCTACCACCTCCACCCATCCCCACCAACACACACGCAAAAAGGTGCTCAGGACTTAGAATTGCATTTTAAAACAGAACCACTCAGTACATTCACTGAGGTCTCAGGTTGGGAGAGTAAAGGTCTCAGTTGCCCTATACTTTGGATCCATCAAAACAGAAAATCTACTAATAACTAGACAATAAACTCTCAATGCTTATATAACAGGCAAACCATCCCTCTGATTAAGAAAAGTAGTTTAACTCCAGCTTTATTTCCAGATGAGAAATCCACAACACAAAGAGATTATATAATTTACTCAATGACACACAGCAAGAAGAGCTTGGGATTGAATTCACACTTCTTGATTGCAGGCCATTGGCTAAATTTCCTAAAACACAAACCTGAGATTACTCACTTGCACAAATTTTCCTTGACTATTACTTACTGAATACAATTCAATATTTTTAAACTGGGATCCAAAGCCTTTTATAATCAAGTCCTAAGCTCTCTTTCCAGGCTGTCTACCACCATTAGCTCTCCAAGTACCCAGAATCCAGCCAAATACAACTATCGCCATTCCTTGGATAAGTGCAGCATTGCAACACTTTGATGCCTTTACTCATTCAACTTCTTCTGCTTAAGATGTCCTTCCCTTTTCCTCATCTATCAAAATCATACCTGTTTTCCAAGTTCCCATTCAAATGTCAGCCTCTGCAAGAAAACTGACCAAATCTGTTCAATCAGAAGTGACCTAAAGTGATTTAAATTTCTGGTCTGCAGCTCCCAGTGAGATCAACGCAGAAGGCGGGTGATTTCTGCATTTCCAACTAAGGTACCTGGCTCATCTCACTGGGACTGGGTAGACAGTGGGTGCTGCCCACAGAGGAGGAGCTGAAGCAGGGTGGGGTGTTGCCTCACCCAGGAGCTCAAGGGGTTGGGGAACTCCCTCCCTTAGCCAAGGGAAGCCGTGAGCAACTGTGCCGTGAGGAACAGTGCACTCTGGCCCAGATACTATGCTTTGTCCATGGTCTTTGCAACCCGCAGACCAGGAGATTCCCTTGGGTGCCTATGCCACCAGGGCCCTGGGTTTCAAGCACAAAACTGGGAGGCCATTTGGGCAAACACCGAGCTACCTGAAGGAGTTTTTTTTCCATACCCTAGTGGCTCCTGGAACACCAGTGAGACAGAACTGTTCACTCTCCTGGAAAGGGGGCTGAAGCCACAGAGCCAAGTGGTCTAGCTCAGTGGGTTCCACCCCTACAGAGCCCAGGAAGCTAAGATCCACTGGCTTGAAATTCTCACTGCCAGCACAGCAGTCTGAAGTCGACCTGGGATGCTTGAGCTTGTTGCAGGGAGGGGCGTCTGCCATTACTGAGGCTTCAGTAGGTGGTTTTCTCCTCGCATTATAAACAAAGTGGCCTGGAAATTCAGACTGGGCGGAACCCACTGCAGCTGTGCAAAGCTGCTGTAGCCAGACTTCCCTACTAGACTCCTCTCTTGTCAGGGCATCTCTGAAAGAAAGGCAGCAGCCCCAGTCAGGGGCTTATAGATACAACTCCCATCTCCCTGGGACAGGGCACCTGGGGGAAGAGGCGGCTATGGGTTCAGCTTCAGGAGACTTAAACGTTTCTGCCTGCCAGCTCTGAATAGAGCAGTGGATCTCCCAGCACAGCACTCAAGCTCTGCTTAGGGACAGACTGCCTTCTCAAGTGGGTCCCTGACCCCTGTGCCTCCTGACTAGGAGACACCTCCCAGCAGGGGTCGACAGACACCTCATACAGGAGAGCTCCAGCTGGTATCTGGCGGGTGCCCCTCTGGGATGAAGCTTCCAGAGGAAGGAACAGGCAGCAATCTTTGTTGTTCTGCAGCCTCCACTGGTGATACTCAGGCAAACAGGGTCTGGAGTGGACCTCCAGCAAACTCCAGCAGACCTGCAGCAGAGGGTCATGACTGTTAGAAGGAAAACTAACAAACAGAAAGGAATAGCATCAGCATCAACAAAAAGGACATCCACACAAAAACTCCATCCGAAGGTCACCAACATCAATGACCAAAGGTAGATAAATCCATGAAAATGAGAAAAAAACAGTGTAAAAAGGCTGAAAATTCCAAAAACAAGAATGCCTCTTCTCCTCCAAAGAATCACAACTCCTTGCCAGCAAGGGAACAAAACTGGATGGGGTATGAGCTTGATGAATTGACAGAAGTAGGCTTCAGAAGGTGGGTAATAACAAACTCCTCCTAGCTAAAGGAGCATGTTCTAACCCAATGCAAGGAAGCTAAGAACCTTGAAAAAAAGGTTAGAGGAATTGCTAACTAGAATAACCAGTTTAGAGAAAAACATAAATGACCCGATGGAGCTGAAAAACACAGCCTGAGAACTTCGTGAAGCATATACAAGTATCAATAGCTAAATTGATCAAGCTGAAGAAAGGATATCAGAGATTGAAGATCAACTTAATGAAATAAAGCATGAAGAGAAGATTAGAGAAAAAAGAATGAAAATCAATGAACAAAGCCTCCAAGAAATATGGGACTATATGAAAAGACCAAGATGAAATCAACATTTGATTGGTGTACCTGAAAGTGACGGGGAGAATGGAACCAAGTTGGAAAACATTCATCAGGATATTTTCCAGGAGACCTTCCCTAACTTAGCAAGATGGGCCAACATTCAAATTCAGGAAATACAGAGAACACCACAAACATACTCCTCAAGAAAAGCAACCCCAAGACACATAATCTTCAGATTCACCAAGTTTGAAATAAGGAAAAAATGTTAAGGGCAGCCAGAGAGTAAGGTCGGGTTATCCACAAAGGAAAGCCCATCAGACTGACAGTGGATCTCTCTGCAGAAAGCTTACAAGGTAGAAGAGCCTGGGGGCCAATAGTCAACACTGTTAAAGAAAAGAATTTTCGACCCAGAATTTCATATCCAGTCAAACTAAGCTTCATAAGTGAAGGAGAAATATAATCCTTTACAAACAATCAAATGCTGAGAGATTTTGTCAGCACCAGGCCTGCCTTACAAGAGCTCCTGAAGGAAGCACTAAATATGGAAAGAAAAACGGGTACCAGCCATGACAAAAACATACCAAATTGTAAAGTCCATCGACACTGTGAAGAAACTGCATCAACTAACGGGCAAAATAACCAGCTAGCATCATAATGGCAGGATCAAATTCACACATAACAATATTAACCTTAAATGCAGACAGGCTAAATGCCCCAATTAAAAGACACAGACTGGTAAATTGGATAAAGAGTCAAGACCCATTGGTGTGTTATATTCAGAACACCCATCTCACGTGCAAAGACACCCATAGGCTCAACACAAAGGGATAGAGGAGTCTTTACCAAGCAAATGGAAAGAAAAAAAAAAGCAGGGGTTGCAATCCTAGTCTCTGATAAAACAGACTTTAAACCAACAAAGATCAAAAAAGATAAGGGCATTACATAATAGTAAAGGGATCAATGCAACAAAAAGAGCTAGCTATCCTAAATATATACGCACTAAATACAGGAGCACCCAGATTCATAAAGCAAGTTCTTAGAGACCTACAAAGAGACTTAGACTCCCACACAATAATAGTGGGAGACTTTAACACCCCACTGTCAATGTTAGCTCAATGAGACAGAAAATTAACAAGGATATTCAGGACTTGAATTCAGCTCTGGACCAAGCAGACCTAATAGACATCTACAGAACTCCCCGCCACAAATCAACAGAATATACATTCTTCTCAGCACCACATTGCACTTATTCTAAATTGACTACATAATTGGAAGTAAAACACTCCTCACCAAATGCAAAAGAATGGAAATCATAACAAACGGTCTCTCAGACCACAGTGCAATCAATCTAAAACCCAAGATTAAGAAACTAACTTCCCACACACCTACAGGGAAACTGAACAACCTGCTCCTGAATGACTACTGGGTAAATAACAAAATTAAGGCAGAAATAAAAAAGTTATTTGAAACCAGTGACAACAAAGACACAACGTGCTAGAATCTCTAGGACACAGCTAAAGCAGTATTTAGAGGGAAATTTATAGCACTAAATGCCCACAGGAGAAAGCGGGAAATATCTAAAATTAACACCCTAATATCATAATTAGAAGAACTAGAGAAGCAAGAGCAAATAAATTCAAAAGCTAGCAAGAAGACAAGAAATAACTAAGATCAGAGCAGAACTGAAGGAGGTGGAGACACGAAAATCCCTTCAAAAAAATCAATGAAACCAGGAGCTGGTTTTTGAAAACATCAACAAAATAGACCACTAGCCAGACTAATAAAGAAGAAAATAGAGAAGAATCAAATAGATGCAATAAAAAATGATACAGGGGATATCACCACTGATCCCACTGAAATACGAACTACCATCAGAGAATACTGTGAACACTTCTGTGCAAATGAACAGAAATGGAAGAAATGAATAAATTCCTGGACACATACATTCTCCCAAGACTGAACCAGGAAATGGGCAAAGGATATGAACAGACGCTTCTCAAAAGAAGACATTTATGCAGAAGTCAAATACCTGAATAGACCAATAACAAGCTCTGAAATTGAGGCAGTAATTAATAGCCTACCAACCAAAAAAAGCCCAGGACCAGATGGATTCGTAGCCAAATTCTACCAGTGGTACAAAGAGGAGCTGGTATCATTCCTTCTGAAACTATTCCAAACAACAGAAAAAGAGGGACTCCTCCCTAACTCATTTTATGAGGCCAGCATCGCTCTGATACCAAAACCTGGCAGAGACACAACAAAAAAGGAAGATTTGAGGCTAATATCCCTGATGAACATCGATGCGGAAATCCTCAATAAAATACTGGGAAAGCGAATCCAGCAGCACATCAAAAGACTTATCCATCACGATCAAGTCAGCTTCATCCCTGGGACGCAAGGCTGGTTCAACCTATGCAAGTTAATAAACATAATCCATCACATAAGCAGAACCAATGCCAAAAACCACATGATTATCTCAATAGATGAAGAAAAGGCCTTCAATAAAATTCAATAAAATTCAACACCCTTCATGCTAAAAACTCTCAATAAACTAGGTATTAATGGAATGTATCTCAAAATAATAAGAGCTATTTATGACAAACACACAGCCAATATCATACTGAATGGGCAAAAGCTGGAAGCATTCCCTTTGAAAACCAGCAAAAGGAAAGGATACCCTCTCTCACCACTCCTATTCAACATAGTATGGGAAGTTCTGGACAGGGCAATCGGGCAAGAGAAAGAAATAAGTGGTATTCAAATAGGAAGTGAGGAGGTCAAATTGTCCCTGTTTGCAGATGACATGATTGTAAATTTAGAAAACCCCATCATCTCCGCCCAAAATCTCCTTAAGCTGATAAGCAACTTCAGCAAAGTCTCAGGATACAAAATCAATGTGCAAAAATCACAAGCATTCCTAGACACCAATAATAGACAAACAGCCAAATCATGAGTGAACTCCAATTAATAATTGCTACAAAGAGAATAAAATACCTAGGAATACAACTTATAAGGGGTGTGAAGGACCTCTTCAAGGATAACTACAAACCACTGCTCAATGAAATAAGAGAGGACACAAACAAATAAAGAAACATTCCATGCTCATGGATAGGAAGACTCCATATTGTGAAAATGGCCTTACTGCCCAAAGTAATTTATAGATTCAATGCTATCCCCATCAAACTACCATTGACGTTCTTCACGGAATTAGAAAAAACTACTTTAAATTTCATATGGAACCAAAAAAGAGCCCATATAGCCAAGACAATCCTAATGAAAAAGAACAAAGCTGGAGGCATCACGCTACCTGACTTCAAACTATACTACAAGGCTACAGTAAACAAAACAGCATGGTACTAGTACCAAAACAGATATATAGACCAATGGAACAGAACAGAGGCCTCGGAAATAACACCACACATCTAAAACCATCTGATCTTTGACAAACCTGATAAAAACAAGCAACGGGGAAAGGATTCCCTATTAATAAATGGTGTTGGGAAAACTGCTAGCCATGTGTAGAAAACTGAAACTGGACCCCTTCCTTACACTTCATACAAAAATTAACTCGAAATGGGTTAAAGACTTAAAGGTAAAACACAAAACCATAAAAACCCTAGAAGAAAACCTAGGCAATACCATTCAGGACATAGGCATGGGCAAAGACTTCATGACTAAAACACCAAAAGCAATGGCAACAAAAGCCAAAATTGACAAATGGGATCTAATTAAACTAAAGAGCTTCTGCATGGCAAAATAAACTATCCTCACAGTGAGCAAGCAACCTACAGAATGGGAGAAAATTTTTGCAATCTATCTATCTGACAAAAGGCTAATATCCAGAATCTATAAGGAACATACACAAATTTAGAAGAAAAAAAAAAAAACAACCCCATCAAAAAGTGGGCAAAAGAGATGAACAGACACTTCTCAAAAGAAGACATTTATGTGGCCAACAAATATATGAAAAGCAACGCATCATCACTGGTCATTAGAGAAATGCAAATCAAAACCACAGTGAGATACCATCTCATGCCAATTAGAATGGCGATCATTAAAATGTCAGGAAACAACAGATGCTGGAGAGGATGATTAGAAATAGAAACACTTTTACACTGTTGGTGAAAGTGTAAATTAGTTCGACCATTATGGAAGACAGTGTGGTGATTCTTCAAGGATCTAGAACTGGAAATACTATTTGATCCAGCAATCCCATTACTGGGTATATGCCCAAAGGTTTATAAATCATTCTACTATAAAGACACATGCCCACGTATGTTTATTGCAGCACTGTTCACAATAGCAAAGACTTGGAACCAACCTAAATGCCCATCAATGATAGACTGGATAAAGAAAATGTGACACATATACACCCTGGAATACTATACAGCCATAAAGAAGGATGAGTTCATGTCCTCTGCAGGAACATGGATGAAGGTGGAAACCATCATTCTCAGCAAACTAATACAAGAACAGAAAACCGAACACTGAATGTTCTTACTCATAAATGGGAGTTGAACAAATGGACACAGGGAGGGGAATATCACACACTAGGGCCTGTCAGGGGGTGGGGGGATAGGTGAGGGATAGTATTAGGAGAAATACCTAATGTAGATGATGGGTTGATGGTTGATACAAACCATCATGGCACATGTATACCTATGTAACAAACCTGCACGTTTGGCACATGTATCCCAGAACTTAGAGTATAAAAAAAAAATTTAAAAAAATTATGAAAATTAGAATATCTTTGTATTCTCTCCAACAGAACCAGAGCATGCAGAAATTAGCATTGAAATGGATTTTAATCTATCTGATGTGTATTCACTACTTTCTTTTCTTTTTTTTTTTTTTTTTTTTTTGAGATGGAATCTCACTCTGTGCCCAGGCTGGAGTGCAGTGGCGCGATCTCGGCTCACTGCAAGCTCCGCCTCCCCGAGTTCACGCAGCTGGGACTACAGGCGCCTGCCACCACGCCTGGCTAATTTTTTTTTTTGTACTTTTTTTTTTTTTTTTAGTAGACACAGGGTTTCACCCTGTTAGCCAAGATGATCTCGATCTCCTGACCTCGTGATCAGCCTGCCTTGGCCTCCCAAAGTGCTGGGATTACAGGCGTGAGCCACCGCGCCCGGCCACTGATATGTATTCACTACTTTCAATAAAGGCAAAAATGGATGTAGAAGAATAAATTAATTAATAAATTCATTAATTTTCACATTTGACATCTATACTGTTTGTTCTATGTTGAGCCTGTTTTCATATACTTAAGTTCCCCTATATATGTCTCTTTCCCCATTTAATTGTAAGCTTCTTACGGTCAGAGACTGTGTTTTAATCATCTCTGCATTCCTATAATCTGAAATAGTTCTACACATTATAGATGATAAAGAAATATCTTTTGAATGAATGAAAGACTGAAAGAATGATAACTCAAAATTTCATATGTTTATCTAAGATACTGATTAAAGTAAGTCAATAAGGAAGGTTTGCTTATGTGGATACTTTTTTCTGTTTTGTCTTACATATTCAAACATCTCAATTATCTCCACCAAACAGTAGAAGAATACTTGAGCTGTCTGCATTCTGGCAAGAAAGATTTGAGTGCAGGAAGTTTATAAAGAGTGCTCTGGATAAAAACACCTGGGAGAAATTAAAGCGGCAGGATTGGTCAGAGGGTAGCTGAACTGCAATTGGGTCACACAAAAAAAACCTCTTTGGGGTGGGGGTTGTTCTTGAGAGTTGATGTAAGAGGGCCAGGCCTTTGTACCCAACATGATCAGTCAGCCATGTGATGCATGGTGTATCTAGGAAGGGGAAAAAGCCTTGGGCAAGGCAGCTCCCTTTGAATGAGGTAGCTCCTAGGTAGGAACATAGCTTTGTGCTGTTGGCAGCTGGGGGAATGAGTGATTCGGTAATAAAGGGAGAAATCTGTGCAGTGCATCACAGCATCCATCCTCTATACTGGGTGGTCCTTTGCACTGGATGGTCTACTTGCTTTGTATAGTAAGTTTGTCCTACCTGGGAACAGCCCCTCCAGGATTTCTTCAATCCGTTTTGAAGGCAAAACTGAGGAATGTTAGTGGGGCAACCTACAATCCTTGCAGCTGCACAATTTCCCCTAGTGGGTCACAGGGAATGACGATAAGTAGGACTCCTGCTACTTCCACATCTTCATTTTACCTCTTGTGGATTTAACAGCACCATGTACAGGGTATTGATTTGGAGAATATACTACACCCTGAAGGATGCTGCCGCTTCCTTGAAGGGTATCATCTCTAAGCTGGAGCCTCAGCTGTGCCTTCTATAGGACAGTCCTGTGTTCTATCAGGCCAGCTGCTTCTGGGTGGTGCAGATGTGAGAGGAGCCGATGGGTCCCATGATCACATGCCCACCACGACACCTCCTTTACCAAAAAGTGCGCTTCTTGATCTGATGTTATGTTCAGGATTCAATATCTGGACCAAATACTCTATAAACTTTCAGATACTTGAGCTAACCAAGGCATATGCCCACCAGTGACAATAGGTGTGAGCTGAGGAAGGGGCCAGTGCAACAGTGATGGATCACACGTGGTTCTGGGATAAATATTTTCGTACTCTGAAGTTCTCTATTTTCTGAAATTCTTTTTGTTATTTTTCCACTGAAACTTATATTCCTATGTCATATTCCATCAGAATATAGGTCTCAGCTAGTGGTCATGGGAAAAGCCATCTATCAAAGTGGTATGTACTCACAAATTAATAGCTCTTTCTGGAGGCTCCTGGAAATGGTCCCCTTAAATCAAGGTGATCCTTATACATTATATGTATCAAAACATCACTATGTATCCCATAAATACATATAATTATTAAGTGTCAATTTAAAAAATAAAATGAAGTATTAAAAATACAGGTAGCCTCTAGTGATGGTTAATAGATGTTGGAATTCTATTGAGAAATATGCTTTTGATTAGGGAATATGGAGAAATATATTTTTATCCCTCAAACCAGATACATATAAAGATATTACAATGTGTGAAAGTACCAGTTTCTCAGGGGGGTTTAATGGTATTATAAAGGAATTTTCACTGTTCCCATGATTCTCTGTCATGGAGAACCCATTTTCAATTATTACTCCCAGTATAAAGAGTAAGTATAACAGAGGTTTAACCTATCTCCTTTCTACTGTCTGTCTAATGTTAAGACAACTTTGGATTCTTAGGATAGATAATCTTTAGCCATGAAGTAGCATCCTTTTAGTATAATGCTTTATTAAATTTGCTGATTTTGTTTAACTTTAAAAAAAATCTGTGTTCAAGGGTGAGACTTACTTTTAATTATCCTTTCTCATACTGTCCTTTCCAGCTTAGTAATTAAGTTCTACTAAACTCATTGAATGAATTGGGAATTATTCCTTCTTTTTTGATTCTCTGTAAAAACTTTTATACAATTGGGATTATCTATTTCTTGAATGTTTGGTAAAACTAACTTAAAATCATTCAGACCTGGTGCTTTCTTCATGGAAATATTTTAAAATATGAATTCAATTCCTTTAATAATTTGTTTAAATGTATTTTTCTCTTCTTTTTTATCTTTTAATTTTTCTATTTTTAATTTTGTGGGTACATAGTAGATGTATATATTTATGAGGTAAATGAGATATTTTGATACAGGCATGCAATGAATAATAACCACATCATAATCATAGAAAATTTGGTATCCATCCCCTCAAGCATGTATCTTTTTGTTACAAAATCATCCAATTATATCATTGTTGCTATTTTAAAATGTATAATTAAATTATTATTGACTATAGTCCCCCTGTTGTGCTATCAAATATCAGGTGTTATTTATTCTATTTTTTGTACCCATTAACCATCCCCACCTCACCCCTGCCCCTACGACTCATCTCAACCTCTGATAGCCATCTTTCTACTCTCTGTGACCATAAATTCAATTGCTTTGATTCTTAGATTCCACAAATAAGTGAGAACATGCAATGTTTGTCTTTCTGTGACTGGTTTATTTCACTTAACATAATGACCTCCAGTTCCATTTATGTTGCTGCAAGCAACATGTTTTTTTCTTTATCCATTCATCTGTTGATGGACACTTAAGTTGCTTCCAAATTTTAGCTACTACAAACAGTGCTGCAACAAACATAGGAGTGTCAATATCTTGTCGATATACTGGTTTCCTTTCTTTTGGATATGTACCCAGCAGTGAGATTGCTGAATCATATGGTAGCTCTATTTTTAGTTTTTTTGAGGAAACTCCAACTTTTATCTACAATGGTTGTACTAATTTACAGTCCCATCAACAGTGTACGAGGGTTTCCTTTTCTCCACATCCTTGCCAGCATTTGTTATTGGCTCACTTTTGCATATAAGCCATTTTAACTGGGGTGAGATGATGCTAATTGTAGTTTTGATTTGCATTTCTCTGATGATCAGTGATGTTGAGTACTTTTTAATATGCCTGTTTGCCATTTGTATGTCTTCTTTTGAGAAATGTCTATTCAAATCTTTTGCCCATTTTAAAATCAGACTGTTAATTTTTTTCCTATAGAGTTGTTCGATCTCCCTCTATATTCTAGCTATTAATGCCTTGTCAGATGGGTAGTTTGCAAATATTTTCTCTCATTCTGTGGGTTGTCTCTACACTTTGTGCATATTTTGTTTTTGTTTTTGCTGTACAGAAACTTTTTAACTTGATGTGATCCCATTTGTCCATTTTTGCTTTGGTTGCCTGTGCTTGTGGGATATTACTCAAGAAATTTTTACCCCAACCAATGTCCTGGAGAGTTTCCCCAATGTTTTTTATAGTAAGTTCATAGTTTGAGGTTTTAGGTTTAACTCTTTCATCCATTTTGATTTGATTTTTGTATATGGTGAGAGATAGGGGTTTAGTTTCCTTGCTCTGCATATGGAATCCAATTTCCCAGCACCATTTGTTGAAGAAACTGTCTTTTTCCCAATGTATGCTGTTGGAAACTGTTGAAAATGAGTTTACTGTAGGTGTGTGGATTTGTTTCCGAGTTCTCTATTCTGTGCCACTAGTCTCTGTGTCTTTTTATGCCAGTACCATGCTGTTTGGGTTACAAAAGTTTTGTAGTATAATTTGAAGTCAGATAATACAATTGCTCCAGTTTTGTTATTTTTGCATAGGATAGTTTTGGCTATTCTGGGTCTTTTGTGATTTCATATAAATTTAAGGGTTGTTTTTTCTATTTATTCAAGAATGTACCTGGTCTTTCGATAGGACTTTCATTGAATCTGTACATTGCTTGGGGTAGTATGAACACTTTGACAATATTGAGTCTTCCAATCCATGAACATGGAATACCTTTTGATTTTTTTGTGTGTCATCTTCAATTTCTTTCATAAGTGTTTTATAGTTTTTATTACACAGATCTTTCATTTTTTTTGTTAAGTTAATTCCTAGGTATTACTTTTTATTTCTTTTTCAGGTTGTTCATTGTTGGCACATAGAAATGCTACTGATTTTTTTTAATGTTGATTTTGGATCCTGCAACTTTACTGTATTTGTTTATCAGTTCTAATCATTTTTTGGTGGAGTCTTTAGGTTTTGCCAAATATAAGGTCATATCATCTGCAACCCCTTCATGAGTTCAGTTTTTTAATCTAAATTTTCAAATTTCTTGGCATAAACTTGTTCCTGGAAATTTTTTATCCTCCTAGTCCTTTGTGTTAGTAATTATATCTATTTTTAATATTTAATATGTTTTGCTCTACATTTTTATTTTTTAATTGGTATTAACAACATTTTGTCAATGATATAAATCTTTTCTAATAAAGTTTTGATTTTGTCAGTCCTCTCTATTTTAGCTTTATTTCCCAGTTAATTTCTGTCCTTTTAAGATTATTTCATGTCGTTTCTTTCTTTCATTTTATTTTGTTTTCTAACATTTTCAATTGTATATTTAGTTCATAGTTATTTCGTTTTTTTCTCAATAAATATATTTGGAGTTACACATTTTTCTTTTAGTACTGCTTTAGCTGTATCCCATAACTTTTGATATGTATATTTATCTTATGATTTCTTCTTTGACACGTTGTTTTAAAGTTTTTTTTAATTTTTAGACATGAAGCCATAGTTTTTTTTTTTTTTTTTTTTTTTTGAGACGGAGTCTCGCTCTGTCGCCCAGGCTGGAGTGCAGTGGCGGGATCTCGGCTCACTGCAAGCTCCGCCTCCCGGGTTCACACCATTCTCCTGCCTCAGCCTCCCAAGTAGCTGGGACTACAGGCGCCCGCCACTACGCCCGGCTAATTTTTTGTATTTTTAGTAGAGACGGGGTTTCACCGTTTTAGCCGGGATGGTCTCGATCTCCTGACCTCGTGATCCGCCCGCCTCGGCCTCCCAAAGTGCTGGGATTACAGGTGTGAGCCACCGCGCCCGGCCGCCATAGTTTTTTTATAAAGAAGTTTATTCATAAATTTAGTCGACATACATAATTAACCTAAAAACTTTAATGGAAGGATAAATTTTTAAACCATTTGGAAGGCCATCTCTTAAAAGTGATTTTCTCAGGATGGTAACCAAATGTAACCTAACTGGACACCATCTTAATTGGCAGAGGTTCAATGAGCTGGAACTGTGTTCTCCTTCTCCACAGAAAATTTACACAAAGGGTTTTTGTCATACTAAGTCCACATAGAAAATAACTTCAACATTGTTTTCTCTTAGTGGGGGAGAAAAATCTCATCCTAGTTATGAGACTGACTACCACACAAGGAAAACGTGCACTAACTAGTTAAGAATATTGATAAAAGGTGATGCTGGTGTGAATGGCTCATATTTTCTTATAGAGCCATTATAAATACAATCGCCCAGTTAGTGTTTGTATTATCAGTTAGGGGTTAGTTAACATGTGGTAGAATAAGGACTTATGTAAGGTATGATATCCACATAGCATTTTACTACTGTGAAAACAAGCATAATTTAGTTAGGAGAAAGGCAACTGGACTCCAAATGACACACATATTAATGACAATATTAATGACTATACCTCTTATAAATGTAAAACATTTAATTTAAAACTGTTGACACTACAATACATAAAATGGCTATTATAAATGCTCTCCTCCTCCTCCTTCTTCTTTCTGTCCTCCATGCCTTCCTTCCTTCCCTCCCTCCCTCCGTCTCTCTTTCTTTCTTTCCTTCCTTCCTTCCTTCTTTCTTCTTTCCTTTCTTATCTTTCTTTTCTTTTTCTTTCTTTTCTTTCTTTCTTTCTTTCTTTCTTTCTTTCTTTCTTTCTTTCTTTCTTTCTTTCTTTCTTTCTTTCTTTCTTCCTGTCCCTCCCTCTCTCCCTTCCTCCCTCCCTCCCTCCCTTCCTCCCTTCCTTCCTTTCTTGAAGCTGTAAGTTACACTATGGTTAAGACTTGTATCTTCACCCTGGAAAAAGCCCACATTCTATCAGAGTGATATATGGTCAGATTTAACAGTCCTGATTGTTAAAATCTTGAATCAAGTCATAAAGTTTTATTGCAAAATAACCTTGTGTAATTTATTTATCAATCTATTACCTTAATAGCTACTCAACAAGTCATTAACATACATAAACTTGCATAATGAGGAGCACAAAATATTCCCTGGCTCTTCTGCATGTTAGCAACTCATTACTCCTGAGCATCATTGAGGTCTGTGAATACTCAGTCACTTTTCACATTCGTCTTGAGTGAAAGATGGAGTGACTTCAGTACAAATGCAAAGCATGGAAAGCAATTTCTTAGCCAAAAAAAAAAAAAAAAAAAAAGTCACAGACTAAACCTAATCAAAGTATTTTGCAGACTTTATTACAAAATACCATAAAATCTGCCTTCACTTAAGGTCTCTCCCCAGAGAGAGCTCTCTCCCAGTTCTCTCGCCTCTTCCAGAGAGCCAACTGGATGGATGTCTTTGGGCATAATGGTGAATCTCTTAGCATGGATGGCACACACGTTAGCACCTTCAAACAAACCCACCAGCTAAGTTTCACCAGCCTCCTGAAAAGCACTAATGGCTGTGCTCTGAAACCTCAAGTCGTTTTGAAATCCTGGGCGATTCCTCACCATCCTCTGGAAAGGCAGTTTCTGGATGAGAAGCTCAGTCAGTTTCTGGTAATGACGAAGGGTCCGGCCCTGCAGTGACGCGTATTCTTCACCCCATTGGCAGAGGGGGCTCTTCTGGCAGCTTTAGCGGCCAGCTGTTTGCGGAGGTGAAGGTGGAGGGGCTCCCACCAGTGGAACCCAGCAGTCGGCTTGGTTCGGACCATTCTCTTTCACACAACCCCTGAGTCAGGCCACTTGTACTGCCCCGGGAGAAGCCGCAGTCGCCCGGCAAAGGAAATGTGCTCCTTCAACGAACAATCAAACCGCTCTGCACCTAAATTATATTTTGTTATTAATTTCTTGTCGAATTCTGTTGGTGTCAGAAAAGTGATCTGTATATGAGACTAATTTTTTAAACTCATTTTTGCTTGCCTTATGGCTACATATGTGGTCAATCCCATGTGTGCTTGAAAATAATGAATTATCAAATTACTGAGTACAAGGCTCTCTCTATACAGACAAATATCCATTAGACCAAGTTTATTAGTTATGTTGCTCAAATATTTTATATCCTTGCTGACATTTTTGTCTACTTGATATATCAATTGCTGAAAGAAGTTAATATCTCCCCTTATGATGATGGGTTCATACATTTGTTTGGTACTTTGGTTAAATTTTGCTTTAGGTGTTTGGTGCTATATTTTAGTGCGCATAGAATTATTGTATCCTCTTGGTAATTTGAAGTTTTTGTTATTATACACTGGTCCTCTTTAATGATTCTCTTCAACCTTAAAATCTATTTTATCTTAAAATCTATTTTTGTATATTTGTTTGCTTTTGATAATCATCTCCTCAATAAAAAGGCTGTCATATAATATCCATATATTTATTACATTTATACAATCTTTTTATTATCCCTTACCTTTTTTAATAGACTTTATTTCTAGAAGAGTTTAAGGTTTATAGAAAATTTCAAAGATAGTGTAGAGTTTCCATATGCTTCCTTACTCAAGTTCACCCATTGTTAACTTCTTACATTAGTATGGTACTTTTGTTACAATTAATGAACCAACACTGATTCATCATTATTAACTGAAATTTATAGTTTATTCAGATTCCTTAGTTTTTACTTTTTCTCCTCCAGGGTCCCATCCTAGATACCACATTCATTTAGTCATCATGTCTCCATAGGCTCCCACTGGCTGTGACAGTTTCTCAGACTTTCCTTGTGGTTTTTTTTGTTTTGTTTTGTTTGTTTGTTTGTTTGTTTGTTTTTTTATGACTTCAACAGTTTTCAGGAGTGCTAGTCAAATATTTTGTAGGATGCTCCTCTATTGGAATTGGTTTGATGTTTTTCTCATAATTAGACTTGGATTATGAGTTTTAGGGAGGAAGATTATAAAGTGCCATTCTCATCATACCATATCAAGGCTTCATTCTAGCAACATGATTTATTATTCTTGACATTGACCTTGATCACCTGGCTGGGATAGTATTTGTCAGGTTTCTCTACTATAATGTTACTTTTTTCTCCGCCTTTCCATAGTGTGCTTTTTGGAAGGAAGTCATTATGCACAGCCCACACTTAAGGAGTGGGGAGTTATGTCACTTCTCCTCGCTGGGGTGTATTCACATGACTTACTTGTAATTCTTAGCAAAGGAAATCAGTTCCTTCTCCCCCATTTATTTATTTAATCATTTAGATATCATGGACATATATTTTATACTTTGGGTTATAATCCAATACTACTTTATTATGTTGCTGAAACTGGTCTGGTGTTTGCTATTGCGAACTCATTCATTTGGCTCCTGTGCTCTGTTAGAGAGAAAGGGGTGTGTGTGTGTGTGTGTGTGTGTGTGTGTGTGTGTGTAATTCTTTACTTTCTGGCACTACAAAATTCTCCAGGATTATCATTTATATTTCTTATCCCAGTCCTAGAACCAGCCATTTATACAAGGATCTCTGGATCCTGTTATCGGAGAATGGGCGTTAGAAACCAAATCTGGACACTAGGTAAGTTTGTTACTACTGGGTTACCATTGTTTCTAGACCTCTCAGCAGACAGAGCAAAAAAACATATGTGACTATATTAGCTGATTTTATATATATATATATATGTGTGTGTGTGTGTGTGTGTGTGTGTGTGTTTATGTGTAACCATTTATATCTGTATTAAGCTAACAAAAGTTCATACTGGTGTCTCCAACACTATCTTCTGATAGATTTCTTCACCCTTATCTTTCAGTTTTCTATTTCTTCACTTCTCTTATTGGAATTTTAATTTCTAAAAGTGTTTGAAATTATCTGAATGTACCTTAAATGTAATGATCCATTCTAATTTAATGAATGCAATAGCTTTATCTGTTTGAAAATATTGTTTTCATTTTAATTGTCTTCTTCCTGCATAGTCTCTGTTTCTCTGGGTTACTGAGCCTCCGCTCCCTCTGCCATTTACTTATTTAATCACTGTATTTTATATGCGATGTTTTCTTCATGTGTCTCTGGGTCCTTGATTATCTACTCATTTTTAAAAGTAGGATATATAATATCTGCTTGGAAGCTCTGAACATGTGGGTGGAACAGGTCAATTATAAGCATCACTCTAAAACAGGACATCTTAGCCTTTTTTGTGCCACTAATCACTGTGACAGTCTAGCGAAGTCAATGTACCCTTCTTAGAAGTATGTTTTGAACTATACAAAACAGAATACACAGGATTAAAAAGGAACACATTTTATTTAAAATGAAAACAAGTTCTACAAAATACAGTTATTAAAATTTATAAAAAATCAGTGATACATATGTGTATTGATCACTAGTACAGTGAATAATATATAGTGGCATGTCTGATAACTACTTTAATTTCAATAATGAATGTAAACAATATTTTGAGATATCTGCAACACTAGAATGTGATAGACATTATTCAGTTATCACTGGATTCATTCGCTAATATTTTATTTAGGATTTTTGCACATATACTTATGAGAGAGATCACCTTGCAATTTTCTTTTTTTGTAATGTTTTTGTCAGATTTCAGTATCGAAGTTATTTTGTCTTCAGAAAATTACTTAGGATGGAACCTACTTTTTTCTTGTTTTCTGGAATAATTTCTACGAGGTTAATTTATTTATTAGATTTGTGAGATTAGTTTTTAAATAGTTGGAAAAATTGAATGGTGAAGTGATTTGGATCGGGAGATTGTTTTCTTTGAGGGTTTTAAATTATATACTCAATTTCTTCAACAGACAATAGTTTTAATCCTCTAATCAGTTGCTTGGTTTTTCTGACATGACCAGACTCTTCCTCAACAGTATCTAAGGGCTTTTCATGAGTCACCCCACTAGTAGAAACTCAGGTATACTAGTGACACAATAATAAAAAGTTATGAATAACAAAAGACACTCCTATTAGGAGATTCTGAGGGTTTTGGAAGCTGTGTGTCAGGAAAGCGGAACCAAAGAAAAAAGACCAGATAAATTCTTTCTTCTTGCACAAGTAGTTAGGGAATTTCTATTTTTTTTTTTAACATTTCTCATAGCTTATTTCCACTATATTCAGAGAACATACTGTAAATCATTAAAATTTGTTGAGACATGTTCTTTGACCTAGAATATGATTGATTTTGATTAATATTCCATATACACTTGAGAAGAATGTGTACTCTGCAGTGGTTGGGTGTAATGGTTTAGAAATGTCAACACGATCAAATTTGTTTTTAATTGTTACTTTAGAGATTTTTGCATGGAAACTGTACTTGTTCTCTCTATGATTGTGGAATTATCTATTTCTCCTTCCAGTTCTCAGAATTTTTGCTTTATATGTATGGTGAAGCTACATTATTTGGGGCATATAGCTTTAGAATTCTAACATTTCCCTGGCAGATTGATTTCTTCATCTTAATGAAATATCCCATTTTTTGTGCAGTCATGCTTCTTGCCCTAAAGTCTACTTTGATGTTAAAAGATTAATAGCAGCTTTCTTTTCTTTTTCATCAGCTTTATTAGGGAAGCCACCACCGTAATCATAATACAGAATAATTTCATCACCCTGAAGTTTCCTAGTGCCCATTAGGAGTTATTCTGTTGCCCCTCAATATGTACTCCTGGCAACAATCAATGTGTTTCTATCTTTCCTAGCATTTTATATAAGTGGAATCCTATGGTATGTAGTCTTTACCATCTCCTTTTGTTCATTTACCATGATTATTTGAGATTCACCATGTTTTTGTGGGTCTTAGTTATTTGTTCTTTTCTATTGGTAAATAATATCACTTGGTATTGATGGGACACAAATTTTGCCAGATTTGGCCTTTCAAACTGGTTCTGTGTCATGTTGACATGTTCTCAACATTCTTGGATCATTTCCTTGCTTTCTGGCAAAACAAGATGTTCTTGGCTCATTTTATACCTCTCCAACCCAGCTCTAGATTCTTTCCTTCCTTCCTTCCTTTCTTCCTTCCTTCCTTCCTTCCTTCCTTCCTTCCTTCCTCCCTCCCTCCCTCTCTCTCTCTTTCTTTCTCTCTGTCTCTCTCTTTCCTTTCTTTCTTTCTCTCTTTCTTTCTTTCTTTCTTTCTTTCTTTCTTTCTTTCTTTCTTTCCTTCTTTCTTTCTTTTTTTTTTTTGAGACAGAGTCTCGCTCTGTCACCCAGGTTGGAGTGCAGTGTCATGATCACGGCTCACTTCAGCCTCAACTTCCCAGGCTTAAGTGCTCCTCCCAACTCCGGCTCCTGAGTAGCTGGAACCATAGGCATATGCCACCATGGTCAGCTAATTTTTGATAGAGATAGCATTTTGCCATGTGCTCAGGCTAGTCTCAAACTCCTGGGCTCAGGCAATTCTCCCACATTGGCCTCCCAAAGTGCTGGGATTACAGGCATGAGCCACCATACCTGGGCCTTCTCTCTTTTTTTTTTTTTTTTTTAACTTGTATTTTAGGTTCAGGGAAACATGTGCGGGTTTGACACATAGATAAATTGTGTGTCTTAGGGGTTTGGTACAGATTATTTCTGCCCAAGTCATAAGCCCAGTACTTGATACGTAGTTTTTTTATTCCCCTCCCTCCTTTCACCCTCCACCCTCAAGTAGGCCCCGGAGTCTGTTGTTCACTTCTTTGTGTCTATGTGTACTCAGTGTTTAGCTCCTACTTTTAAGTGAGTATACACAGTATTTGGTTTTCTGTTTCTGCATTAGTTTGCTTAGGTTAATGGCCTCCAGCTCCATCCATATTCCTACAAAGGACATAATCACATTCTTTTTTATAGTTGTATAATATTCTATGGTGTATATATACTACATTTTCTTTATGCACTCTATCACTGGTGGGCATTTAAGTTGATTACATATCTTTGCTATTGTGAATACTGCTGTGATGAACACACTCGTGCATGTGACTTTATGGCAGAATGATTTATATTCCTTTGGGTATATACCCAATAATGGGATTGCTGGATCAAATGAAAATTCTGTTTTGAGTTCTTTGAGAAATTGCCAGATCGATTTCCACAATGGCTGAACAAATTTACATTCCCTCCAGCAATGTGTAAGCATTCCCTTTTGCCTGAAACCTTGCCAGCATTTCTTATTTTTTGACTTTTTAATAAAAGCCCTCTAAATGGTGTGAAATGGTATCTCATTGTGGTTTGGTTTGCATTTCTCTAATGATTAGTGATGTTGAGTATTTTTTTATATGCTTGTTGGCCACATGTATGTCTTCCTTTGAACAGCATTCATTAATGTCCTTTGCCCACTTTTCAATGGGGTCATTTGGTTTTTGCTTGTTTATTTGTTTATGTTTCTTACAGATTCTGATATTAGACCTTTGTTGAATACATAATTTGCAAATATTTTCTCCCATTCTGCATGTTGTCTGTTTACTCTGTTGATAGTTTCTTTTGCTGTACAGAAGCTCTTTGGTTTAATTAGGTCCCATCTGTCAATTTTTATTTTTGTTTCGATTGCTTTTGGCTACTTCATCATGAAATTTTGCCAGGGCCTATGTCCAGAATAGTATTTCCTAGATTATCTTCCAGAGTTTTTTTTTTATAGTTTTAGGTTTTACATTTAAGTCTTCAATGCATCTTGAGTTGATTTTTGTATATGGTGTAAAAAAGGGAAGCATCAGCTTTAATCTTGTGCATATGGCTAGACGTTATTCCAACACCATTTATTGAATACAGAGTCCTTTCCCCATTGCTTATTTTTGTCAGCTTTGTCAAGGATCAGATGGTTGTAGGTGTGCAGTATTATTTCTGGACTCTGTATTCTGTTCCATTTGTTTATGTGTCTGTTTTTGTACTAGTATAATGCTGTTTTGGTTAGTATAGCCTTGCAGTATAGGTTGAAGTCACATAATGTGATGCCTCTAACTTTATTTATTTATTTTTTAATTTTTAATTTAATTTTTTTTTTTTTTGAGACAGAGTCTTGCTCTGTCGCCCAGGCTGGGGTGCAGTGGCATGATCTCGGCTCACTGCAACCTCCACCTCCTGGATTCAAACGATTCTCCTGCCTCAGCCTCCTGAGTAGCTGGGATTACAGGCACCCACCACCACGCCCAGCTAATTTTTGTAGTTTTTAGTAGAGACAGGGTTTCACCAGGTTCATCAGGCTGGTCTCGAACTTCTGACCTCAGGTGATCTGCCTCCCTTGGCCTCCCAAAGTGCTGGGATTACAGGCATGAGCCACCGTGCCTGGCCCCAGCTTTGTTCTTTTTGCTTAGGATTGTCTTGGCTATTCGAGCTCTTTTTTGGTTCCATATGAATTTTAAAACAGCCTTTTCTAATTATCTGAAGAATGTCACTGGTCGTTTGATAGAAATAGATAATCTGTAAAATTGCTTTGTGAAGTATGGCCATTTTAACAATAATGTTTCTTCCTATCCTTGAGCATGGAATGTTTTCCCATTTGTTTGTGTTATCTCTGATTTCTTTGAGTGGTGTTTTGTAATTTTTGTTGCAGAGAACTTTCATCTTCCTAGTTAGCTGTATTCCTAGGTATTTAATTCTTTTTGTGGCTATTGTGAATGAGATCAGATTCTCGATTTGGCTCCCAACTTGGATGTTGGTGTATAGAAATGCTACTGATGTTTGAACATTGATTTTGTATCTTGAAACTTCGATGAAATTTTCTATTAGATCTAGGAGCTTTTGGGCAGAGACTATGGGGTTTTCTAGGTATATAATCATATTGTGTGCAAACAAAGATAATTTGACTTCCTCTCTTCTTATTTGGATGCCTTTTATTGCTTTCTCTTGCCTGATTGCTCTGTCTAGGACTCCCAGTATTATGTTGAATAGGAGTGATGAGTGTGGGTATCCTGACCTTGTTCCAATTATCAAGGGGAATGCTTCCAGCTTTTGCCCATTCAGAATGATATTGGCTGTGGGTCTGCCATATATGGCTCTCATTATTCTGAGGTGTGTTCCTTCAATACCTAGTTTGTTGAGGGTTTTTAACATGAAGCGATGTTCAATTGTATTGAAAGCCTTTTCTGCATCTATTGTGATGATCATGTGGTTTTTGTTTTTAGTTCTGTTTATGTGGTGAATCATTTATTGATTTGCATATGTTGAACCAACCTTGCATCCCAGGATTAAAGCCTACTTGATTGTGGTGGATTAGCTTTTTGATTTGCTGCTGGATTCAGTTTCCTAGTATTTTGTTGACAATTTTTGCTTCTGTGTTCATCAAGGATATTGGCGTGAAGTTTTCTTTTTTTATTGCTTCTCTGCCAGGTTTTGGTATCAGGATGATGCTGGCCTCATAGAATGATTTAGGGAGGAGTTCCACCTCCTTAGTTTTTTGAAACAGTGTCAGTAGAAATGGTACCACCTCTTCTTTGTACATTTGGTAGTATTTGGCTGTGAATTCATCTGGTCCTGGGCCTTTTCCGTTTGGTGTGTTTTTTATTACTGATTCAATTTCAGAACTCATGATTGGTCTGTTCAGGGATTCAGTTTCTTCCTGGTTTAATCTTAGGAGGTTGTATGTTTCCAGGAATGTATCTGTTTATTCTAGGTTTTCTAGTTTGGGTGCATAGAGGTGGTTATAGTAGCCTCTGAAGAATTGTTTATATTTCTGTGAGGCCAGTGTTAATGTCCCCTTTGTCATTTCTGTTTGCGTTTATTAGGATCTTCTCTCTTTTTTATTAGTCTAGCTAGTGGTTGTCAATCTTATTTATTCTTTCAAATAACCATCTTCTGCGTTTGCTGGTTTTTTGTATGGTTTTTTGAGTCTCATTTTCCTTCAGTTCAGCTATTATTTTTGTTATTTCTTATCTTCTATTAGCTTTGTGGTTGGTTTGCTCCTATTTCTCTAGTTCCTCTACGTATGATGTTAGGTTGCTAATTTGAGATCTTTCCAACTGTTTCATGTGGGCATTTAGTGCTATAAACTCTCTTAACACTGCTTTAACTGTGTCTCAGATATTCTGGTATGTTGAGTCTTTGTTCTCATTAGTTTCAAAGAATTTCTTGATTTCTGCCTTAATTTCATTGTTCATCCAGAAGTAATTCAGGAGCAGGTTAATTTCAATGTAACCATATGGTTTTGAGTAATTTTTCTTAGTATTGATTTCTATTTTTATTGCACTGTGGTCCAAAAGTGTATTTGGTATGATTTTGTTTTAGTTTGCTGAGGACTGTTTTATGGCTAACTGTGTGGTCAATTTTACAGTATGTGCCATGTGCAGATGAGGAGAATGTATATTCTGTGTTTTGGGGTGAAGAGTACTGTAAAGGTCTATCAGATCTATTTGTTCCAATGTTGTGTTTAGGTCCTGAGTATCTTTGTTAATTTCCTGAATCTATGATCTGTCTAATACTGTCAGTGGAGTGTTGAAGTCTCCCAATATTATTGTTGGGAGCCTATGTCTCTTTGTAGGTCTCTAAGAACTTGCTTTATTAATTTGGGTACTCCTGTGTTGGGTGTATGTGTATTTAGGATAGTCAGGTCTTCTTGTTGAATTTAACATTTTACCATTATTTAATGCCCTTCTTTGTCTTTTTGATTGTTGTTAGTTTAAAGTCTCTTTTGTATGAAATTAGAATAGCAACCCCTACTCTTTTCTGTTTTTATTTGCTTAGTAGATTTTTCTCCATTCTTTGGATCCAGCTTATGGTGTCTGTATTAGTCAGGGTTCTCCAGAGGAGCAGAACTAATAGGGTATATGTATATATGAAAGGGAGTTTATTAGGGAGAATTGGCTCACACAATCACAAGGCGAAGTCCCATAATAGGCCATTTGCAAGCTAGAGAAGAAAGAAGCCAGTAGTGGCTCAGTCTGAGTCCAAAAGCCTCAAAAGCAGGGAAGCTGACAGTACAGCCTTCAGTCTGTGGCTGAAGGCCTGACAGCCCCTGGCAAATCACTGGCATAAGTCCAAGAATCCAAAGGTCAAAGAACCTCGAGTCTGATGTCCAAAGGCAGGAGGATCAGAAGGAATCATCCAGAATAGGAGACAGATGAAAATCAGAAGACTCAGCAAGTCAGCTTATCCCTCCTTCTTTTGCCTGCCTTGTTCTAGCCATGTTGGCAGCTGATTGGACGGTGCCCACTCACATTGAGGGTGGGTCTTCCTTTCCCAGCCCATTGACTCAAATGTCAGTCTCCTCTGGTAACACCCTCACAGACACACTCAGAAACAATACTTTACCAGCTATTTAGGCATCCATCGATCCAACCAAATTGACACCTAAGATTAACAGTCACAGTGCCATTGAATTTGAGATGGGTCCCTTGTAGACAGCATGCAGTTGGGCCTTGCTTCTTTATCCAACTGTGCCTTTTAATTGGGACATTTAGCCCATTTACATTCAAGGTTAATGTTGATATATGTGAGTTTGATCCTGTCAATGGGTTGTTAGCTACTTATTCTGCAGACTTGATATGTGGTTGTTTTATAGTGTCAATGTCTATGTACTTAAGTGTGTTTTTGTGGTGGCCAGTAATGTTCTTTCCATTCCATATTTAGTACTCCCTTAAGGACTTCTTATAAGGCAGGTCTCTTGTTAATGAATTTCCTCAGCATTTGCTTTGTGAAAATGATCTTATTTCTCTTTCACTTATAAAGCTGAGTATGGCTGGATATGAAATTCTTGGTTGGAATTTCTATTCTTCAACATTGCTGAATATAGGACTCAAATCTCTTCTGGCTTGTAATGTTTCTGGTGAAAGTTCCACTGTTAGCCTAATGGGGTTCCCTTTGTAGGTGACCTGCCTCTTCTCTTTAGCTGCCTTTAACATTTTTATTTCATTTCATTCTTGGAGAATCTGATGAGTATGTGTATTGGGGATGATGATCTTGTATAGTATCACGCATGAGTTCTCTGCATTTCCTGGATTTGAATGTTATCCTGTCTAGTTAGGTTGGGGAAATGGCATCCTCAGATGTGTTTTCCAAGTTTCTTGCTTTCTCTCCCTGTCTTTCAGGGATGCCAGTGAGTCATAGATTTGGTCTTTTTACATAATACCATATTTCTCTGAAGTTTTCTTTATGCTTCTTTATTTTTCTCTGACTGAAGTTATTTTGCAGAGACAGTCTTTGAGTGCTGAGATTTTGTCCTCAGCTTGGTCACTTTTGTTGTTAATACTTGTGATTGCATTATGAAGTTCTTGAAGTGAGTTTTTTCAGTTCTAACAATTCAGTTCAGTTCTTTCGTAAAATAGCTATTTCATCTTTTAGCTCTGTGCCCATGTTTCTTTTTGTTGTTGTTGTTGTTCCTTTTTTGGGGGGTAGGGGGTGTTCTGATTCATAGGTTCTCTCTGGCAGGGACCATAGATGACATACAGGTCATATCCTTGCTGGGTCAGCCTGAATCTGCTGTCTGAGTGCTTCCTGGGGGAAAATGGGGTTGCACCTGCCCACAGAGTTAAGGCAGAAGTGGGACCACTGAGCTGGAAGCTGTAGCAGGTGTGGCCTGTCTGGCTACCAGAGGTGGGAGTGGATGAGTTGCCTGCCCTGCTGTCTGGCTGTTTCCTGGACACACCCCTCAGCAAATTCAGGCAGAATTAGGACTGCTGGGTTGGAAGCTCTAGCAGGCATGGCTTGTTTGGCTATGAGAGGCAGGAATGGGTAGAATTACCCATTCTGCCATCTGAGTGTTTCCCAGCACAACGGAAAGCTGTGCCTGACAACAACCAATATTCCGACTCTAAGGGAGTTCTGGAGGTTGGGAAGCCCAAAACCAAGATGCTGGCAGATTTGGTGTCCTGTGAGGGCCTGCTTCCAGGTTCATAGATGGTGCATGCTCATTGTATCCTCACATGGTGGAAGGGGTCCCAGCTCTAGATTCCAACTTAAAATTTAACTTAAAAATTTTTGCCTTAGAAAGTTTTTTACCCATGCAAATTCTGTGTTTTCAGGAGTAAATATTTTGAGAGCCAAAGGTAGCTTTGAAATCTCAGAGGAAGGTTTTTGGTTTTCTTTCCTTTTTTTCACCTCTACCCAGAACTTAGAACATGACAGACATTTTTTTTTTTTTCTGTTTGCTTCTCTGTGGGATTTTCATTTCATTTAAACTATGCTTTCTCTTATTAAAGTAGCCAGTGATGTACAGGTAAATATTTAGCAAATTACTGTCTGACAAGAAAAGGGTGCCCTACTTTATAGCCTATGTGGGTTTCTGTGGAGTAAATACTCTCACTATGGCTTATTTAAAGCCACTAGTATGAAGCCATTCAGCTGGCAAAATTCCTGAAAATGTTACAATTGATTTTTACAAATAAGTACACTCCCTCAGCTTGGCATTATGTGGGTTAGACCCTAAGGCCATCTAGTCTGTACAATCCCAAGACTTAGAACACAGCCCCCTCCTTCCTGTGAACTTTTACGTGTGAAACCTCTTGGTCACAGAGTTCTATACATGTACTCAAGGGATGTGGAAGTTTCAATAATCATTTTCCTTCATAGACTGGTTTGTTTTGTTTTGTTCTTAGCCTCAGATGATTCTTACCTCTTCCGTTATCTTTCATTGATTTAAAAGTATGTGTGTATATGTCTGTATGTGTGTGTTCTTGTACCCCACATCCCCAGATGTTTTATATCTGGAGGATTCCAGGATTCATGTCTGTCATATTGCTAGAAGTGGATGCCTGTAAATAACTTTCTCATGAGATACTAATCCACCAAAATCTTAATTAGTTGTCATAGGCAATAATTTTAAAAGATTTTATTTACAAACTAAACACATGACAGTATCTATTAAAAATGCTTTCTTCCACATACATTGCTATGGATTATGTAAAGAATGCCAAACTTATGCATTTATCACCATTCTCATAATAAACACTTCAAAATGTCAAGCATCATTTTCCATGAATGAGTTTATGACGCATTCTATACATTGCCTGAAGGAGTGGTTTTCAAACAGCTTTCAGACTTTCTCTATGAAAGTCTTATAGTCCCATGAATTTGTTTCAGGACACTGGAATGGACAAAGAGAATTGGTAAGGGGCCTATTCCAGCTTTCAATTTGTATTGGACATCAGTATAAGATTTTGTTTGAAGACCAGTTTCATAGCTATTAAAAATTTGCAACTCCCTTTTTTTTAATTTTGACTTCCATCTCTAGAGGCTCGGAGATGTAACCTCTAATAGAATTTAGGCCGTATTATAAATAACCTGTGTTTCTTAACTGGGTCTGTATTTATTCAGGGTGCATGTTCTAATTTCCACTAATTCCATCCTACCAGACAGTATTGACACAGGAAGAGCTGGTGAATATTGCGTAGCTCCTGTCATGAAAATGTTTCTGGGTCCTTAGAATGCTTGTAAGTTGTGTATGGTTGCCATGGACAATTTGCTGCCTTAAAAATCTTTTTTTAAGTCAGCTGAGAACCATTTTTAGTATCTCATTTTCCTTGTTACCTTCTTTGGAGTCTCTATCAAACAGATAAATCATCAAAGGGAAGATAACATTAAAGGAAACCATTAGCAGAAGAAAAACGGAAAAAAGAAAACCATAAATGACCTCCTTGAAAGTCAAGAGCTCACCAAGATCCTTTCAGCAGCATAAGTAGCCACTTCTTTCTTAAGTACCTATAATGTGTATGTATGTATGTGTGTTTTTGTGAGTGTGTATGTGTGTGTTTCAAGACTTTAGTATTTGATCTTTTAAATGAAGTCAAGTGCACAATTTGAAAATGGGACTTGGAGGTAGTGAGTTAAAGAAAACCTTGGTTATCTTGTTCCCCACAGTACATCTGGAAGCCCATTGTTTTCTCAGCATAATTGGGAACGGAAGGGATAAAGTCTTGTAATGTTTGCTTTTTACCCAGCCTCTCCACACTCTTACTCTTGCTGATATAAACCCATCCAGGATTTTATAGTGTTTTTTCTCTCTCAAATGTTCAGTACAGCTAACAAGCAACTTATACCAAAACTTAACTCCTTCAGTTATTCAGTCTCATCAACTCAACATAGGGAGGAAAATTATACATCAAGGGCCAAACCCACTCAGAGAAAAAGAACTAAATATACATGTATTTGAGTTTGAAAAAAATATATAGCTTTGATGAATTTGTGCTTGCTAAAAAGTTGGGGGGGTGGAATGGAAAACTGTCATAATCTGAAAGGTGGAAAGTTATTTTTTTTTTACATTTTCAGTACAGTTATTGTTCAATGACTAACACTTGGCAACACCTCTAGGTGCCAGACCTGGGCGTCATCATTGCCTTCTCCTTCTCCCTTTCCTCCAGCATTATATTAGTGAGGAGTCTCCTGAGAAATGGTAACAGTAGACATATGATTAAATATATTAATAAGAAAGTGGTCTATATAAAAATACTTATGTAAATACATATATAAATTATATATCTTATTGGTACATCTGAAAGCCCACTGTATTCTTAGCATAATTGGGAAGGGATAAAGCCTTGTAATGTTGGCTCTTTATCAAAGCTCTCTTGCTGATATCAACCCATCCAGGGTTTTATACTTTTTTTTCTCCAGTGGGCTTCCATATTTCTCTTTCTACATCTATCTATCTATCTATCTATCTATCTATCTATCTATCATCTATCTATCTATCCAGGGTTACAGTGAAAATTAAATGAGATCAGGTGTGTGCCATAGTTATAGATAGATAGATAATTGTTGATAATTTATTGATTATTATAAGGAATTTGTTCACATGATTACGGAGGCTGATATGGTTTGGCTCTGTGTCTCCACCCAAATCTCAACTCAAATTTTACTCCCATAATTCCAATGTGTCGTGGAGGGATCTGGTGGGAGATAATTTGAATCATGGCGGAGGTTTCCCCCATATTGTTCTCATGGTAGTGATTAAGTCTCATGAGATCTGATGGTTTTATCAGGGGTTTCCGCTTTTGTATCTTTCTCATTTTCTCCTGCCACCACTATATAAGAAGTGCCTTTTGCCTTACGTCATGATTCTGAGGCCTCCCAGCTGTGTGGAACTGTAAGTCCAATTAAGCCTCTTTTTCTTCCCAGTGTTGGGTATGTCTTTATCAGCAGTGTGAAAATGGACTAATACAGTAAATTGGTACCAGGAGAGTGGAGTGTTGCTGAAAAGATACTCGAAAATGTGGAAGCGACTTTGGAACTGGGTAACAGGCAGAGGTTGGAACAGTTTGGAGGGCTCAACAGACAGGAAAATGTGAGAGAGTTTGGAACTTCCTAGATACCTGTGGAATGGCTTTGATGAAAAGCCTGGTAATGATATGGACAATAAGGTCCAGGCTGAGGTGGTCTGAGATGGAGATGAGGAACTTGTTGGGAACTGGGGCAAAGGTGACTCTTGTTATATTTTAGCAAAGAGACTGGTGGCATTTTGCCCCTGCCCTAGAGATTTGTGGAACTTTAAACTTGAGAGAGATGATTTAGAGTATCTGATGGAAGAAATTTCTAAGCAGCAAAGCATTCAAGATATGACTTGGGTGCTGTTAAAGGCATTCAGTTTTATAAGGGAAGCAGAGTAGCCTGACAATGCAATAGAAAAGAAAAACTCATTTTCTGAGGAGAAATTCAAGCTTACTGCAGAAATTTGCATAAGTAACGAGGAGCCGAATGTTAATCCCCAAGATAATGGGGAAAACGTCTTCAGGGCATGTGAGAGGACTTCACAGCAGCCCCTCCAATCACAGGCCCAGAGGCCTAGGAGAAAATGATTTCATGGGCCAGGCCCAGGGTCCCCTTGCTGTGTGCTGTGTGCAGCCTAGGAACTTGGTACCCTGTGTCACAGCCACTCCAGCTGTTGGCTGAAAGGGCCCAATGTAGAGCTGGGGCCATGACTCCAGATGGTGCAAGCCTCAAGTGTTGGCAGCTTCCATGTGGTGTTGAGCCTATCAGTGCACAGAAGTCAAGAATTGAGGCTTGGGAACCTCCGTCTAGATTTCAGAGGATGTATGGAAATGCGTGGATACCCAGAGAGAAGCTTGCTGCAGGGGCAGGGTGCTCATGGTAAGCCTCTGCTAGGGCAGTGTGGAAGGGAAGTGTGGGGTCAGAGCCCTCACACGGAGTCCCTCCTGGGGCACTGACTAGTGGGGCTGTGAGAAGAGGGCCACGGTCCTCCAGATGCCAGAATGGTAGATCCATCGACAACTTGCACCATTCGCCTGGAAAAGCCACAGACACTCAACACCAGCCTGTGAAAGCAGCTTGGAGGGAGGCTGTACCCTGCAAAGCCACAGGGGTGGAGCTGCCCAAGACCATGAGAACCCACCTCTTGCATCAGCATGACCTGGATGTGAGACCCGGAGTCAAAGGGATCATTTTGGAGCTTTAAAATTTGACTGCCCTGCTGGATTTCGGACTTGCATGGGCCCTATAACCCCTTTGTTTTGGTCAATTTCTTCCATTTGGAACAGGCTGTACTTACCCAATACCTGTACCCCCATTGTATCTAGGAAATAACTAGCTTGCCTTTGATTTTACCAGCTCATTGGCTGAAGGGAGTCGCCTTGTCTCAGATGAGCCTTTGGACTGTGAACTTTTGGGTTAATGCTGAAATGAGTTAAGGCTTTGGGGGACTTTTGGGAAGGCATGATTGGTTTCAAAATGTGAGGACATGAGATTTGGAGGGGACAGGGGCAGAGTGATATGGTTTGGCTCTGTGTCCCCAGCCAAATCTCATTTGAGTGGTACTCCCATAATTCCTACGTGTTGTGGGAGGGACCTGGTGGGAGATAATTTCAATCATGGAGGCAGTTTCCCCCATGCTTTTCTCATGGTAGTGATTAATTCTCACAAGATCTGATGGTTTTATCAAGCGTTTCTGCTTTTGCATCTTCTTTGTTTTCTCTTGCCACAACCATGTAAGAAGTGCCTTTTGCTTCTTACCATGATTCTGAGGCCTTCTCAGTCATGTGGAACTGTAAGTCCAATTAAACCTCTTTTTCTTCCTAGTCTTGGGTGTGTCTTTATCAGCAGCATGAAAATGGACAGATACAGAGGCTGAGAAGTCCTACAATCAGCCACCAACAGGCTAGAGACCAGGAGAGCCAGTGGTGTAGTTCCAGTCCTCGTCCAAAGGCCTGAAAACCAGGAGAGCTGATGGTATAAGTTCAGGTCTGAATTCAGGAGAAAACCAATGTCTCAGCTTGAAGACAGGCAGGGATAGAGAATTCTCCCTTTCTCCACAGTTTTGCTCTATTTAATCCCTCATTGGATTGGATGATGCCCACCCATACTGGGTTGGGCAAATTGCTTTGCTCAGTCTGTGGACTCAAATGCTAATTTATCTAGAACGCTTTCACAAACACACTCAGAAATAATGTTTAACCAAGTATCTGAGCATCCCATGTCCCAGCCAAGTTGACAAACAATCACCCATCACAAAAATTATAAGGCACTAAATCATGTGCACTCTGCTTTCTACTATCTGTCAAATCTATCTGTTCTCCTCTTCCATGGTGCCTCTTCTCTTAATTCAGTTCCCCAAATCCTTTCTCTCTCTCTCTCTCTCTCTCTCTTTCTCTCCCTCTCTTTCTCTCTTTCACTCTCCAGCTTCCTAAATTATATCCACGCCCTCATTTTGCTAATTTTCTACAGGGTGTGTTGCGGAAAATAATGTGGTGCAATGGCAAGAGAGCTAGTCTGAGACTCGTAAGCCTGGTGAGTTGTTAGACCCTGTGCAAGTCATTCAGCTTTTCCCAGTTCCCAAGTTTCATTAAAGAAATAATTTATATGAAAGTTTTGTCACATAAATGACATAAATATATCTCAAAGTTTTGCAAACTGTGGGGAACTATACAAACATAACATAAGAATGATATATTATTGTATAGAGGTTATTTTCTGTGCTCTAAGAATGGAACCTGAAAGCACCTAGACACCTCTTTGGATGCAGAATTTGAATCTTCTCATTCTGTCTTTCAGAGTTAGGGACAAGCATTGAGTTAGAGAAGTTAAATTTTATTTGTTCTTTGAAGAAGAAAGAGTATATCATATATGCTCAATGTACCAATTTTTATAAACATTTTATACAGGCATTATATTCTAGAGTCACAGTAGTGCATGGTGCTTAAAACTATGGACTTAGAGGCAGACTTCCTGGCTTCGATCTAGTACCTGGCTGTGTGATTTTGGTTTAGTGCACTAACTAAACCAAGTTTTGGTTTCTTCAACTTCAAAATAGAGATAATATTTTCTTAGCGTTATGGTAAAATTAAATAAGATCAGCTGTGTGCAACAGTTATAAATATCAGCCCCAAAACTGAGGCATGTCAGAGGTAGATATTTATTTTAATAACTCAATTTAATTTGTTTTTAGACCTCCCACTCCACCTGGCTGTTTTGTAAATTAACCTCAGCCCTTTGTAGATTGCCCCTCTACTCTCAGGGTTGTTCCAAGTTCTAGACCACTGTTCTTAATAGATATATAAGGTGAGTTGTATATGTAACTTTAAATTTTCTAGAAGACACATTTCAAAAACTTAGAAAAAACACATGAATTTAATTTTGATGATATATTTTATTTAACTCAATATATTTAAATATGATCAATTAAGCATATAATCAATATCAAAAATTAATGACGTGTTTTACATTAATTGTTTTGTATGAAGTCATTGAAGGCTGGTATGTATTTTACATTCTTAGCACATTGCAATTCAGACTAGTCACATTTCTTGTGCTCAATAGCACATGTGGCTCATGGCTAACGTATTGGATAGCACAGTTCCAGACTCTCAGACAATAGCCAGTTGTTTGGGAAGGAGGGAGGGGATGTGGGATCACACTGGTTATTGCTGAGACCCTTCACTCCCCTGACCCACATTTCTCCTTCTGCTTTGACTTTCTAATTAAATCAGGTGAAAGAAAAGAGAGACATACAGAGGAAAACAAAAATTACTATCTCAAAACCTCGTCTCATCACATGTACTTACTTCAGTGCTTAGTGTTACTATACAAACATGAGCAACTAATCAGTGTTAACAATCATTATTATAACTAAAATCTTTTTCATATTATCATAGCTCTCATTTGAGGTTCATTTCCTCATTAATATATTCCTCCAGACTTACAACATATAGTTTTCCAGAAAAAGGTAAAGAAGCTCTTAATCTAGCATAATTCTGCTTTATAACATAAGCCTTCTTTGTTCAGAGGAAACAACTAGAGAAAGAGACAATTTTATTTATGAAATGAGTCATTGTTCATTAAAAATAAAGACATTAAAAAATAGCATTCCTCACAAGTATTCCTTTAAATACCTTTTAGAACTCACTTTTAGGGGTTATTCTGTGCTATTTTTAAATGCACAGAAGAATTAGAATAAAATGTATTGCATCTTAGAAATCCAGACGTCATGTTGTATTGGTCTTTCATATATTTGCATTTCCAACATTTCCTTTGTGGATCTCTCAGTTAAGGGAGAATTAAATGAAATAATTACACATAAGGCTGTTAGAAGTCTTTAGAGACAGGCCTATCACATGGTGAGTACCCAATATTAATCAAGTGCTGCTCAGACACTATCTTTTTTTAATTACTGCAACAATCCTATGAAGTAACTATTATTAAAATCCCTCCTTTATACACAAGAAAACCAAGATTCATGAAGAGTAAGTAAGTAGCCCTGGGGCACACAGATGGTAATGAAAGAGACAGTGATCCAGCCCAGATAGCCTGACTCTAAAGCCCACACTCTTCATTAGGCTCTACACTCTCCCTGGGCTCTGTGACCCGAAGTGTAAGAGGCAGAGAGCCTTTATCAACTCAATTCACTTGGAGGCTCTGAGTAGCAGGTTTATATACTTCGATTAACACAAACTGATGAAATTGTTACTTGATATATGCAACTTCTTTACCGGGTATGCTCTCTTAAAGTACAGATGTATATATACCATGCTTGTATGGTATCTATATATCTAAATCACCTATATTTATATTTATATTCTCCCTTGCTGATGAAAAGGTAAGGAAACTCAATCTGACTTCCCCTTGTAGTAATGATGATAAGGTCATTTGGATTAACTCTTCTGTACACTGGAACTACAAACAGCAAAAAATTAATAAACACAGACATTCACAGCAACCTAGATGAATTGCTCTTACATACATTGAGTAAAAAAAGTCAGACACAAAAATATAAACTGTATGATTCCACTTATATATGAACAAAACTAAACTATTGTACTTAGGGATGTATGTTTAGATGAGAAAAGAGTAAAGAAAAGCAAGAATTCGAGTATCAGCAAAGTCATGGTTGTGATTCTCTTAAGAGAAAAAGAGGGTATTATGAAGGGAGGGGTCACAAGGTGGGGATTCTAGAAAGTGGCAACTTTCTATTTCTTGACCTGGATAATGGTTACACAGCTTTTTGCTTTATAATAGTTTTCTAAGCTGACATTTAAGTTATCTCTATATTATATCTAGCAATAAAAATGTTTGGAATGAAAAGTCAAGAAAGTAGTACAACTATTAAGTAGCAAAGAATCCCACTATAGTGATGACATCTGTACAGTGATGAATAATTAGAAAATATAAAGTTTCTCAGTTGTGATTGGGTCAGGAGGACCCCCTACAACAGAAGCACTAAAGGGAATTTTAAAGGTGCAAGTTCCCATGATGTCTTCATACTAGATTTTCATTCATTTATTCACTATTATTTATTGAGTACCTGTTATGTTCCAGGTACTGTAGGTGCTGAGGATACTGCAGTGAACAAAACGACAAATCCTTACTCTTGCGGAGCTTATAGTCTAATATGGCTTCAGAAAGAATCTCCATTTTTACAGGATTCCTGTGTGATTCTTAAAATGAGAACAACTGGCCTATGCACTAAGCTTTTCTTCAATCATTCCCAGTCTGCACTTGAAAGACTCGTGTGAATAAAGTTAGAATTTAAAGAAAATTAGTCTCGATCTCCTGACCTCGTGATCCGCCCGCCTCGGCCTCCCAAAGTGCTAGGATTACAGCAGTGAGCCACCTGTAATCCTAAAGCACTTTTGTATAAGTTTTAAAAAATTTGTTACAGCAATTTAATAATTTAAATAGAATCACCTTCAGGAACATAGATACACAAACAAAAACTCAAGCAATTTAATTGAATGGTATATTTAAATGCACCAAATTCTTTAAAATCCTCCAGAATTGACTCAAGTTCATGGATATGAAAAGGTAATTTTGAAGTACTACAGACAAGCGTAAAATAGGCAAAGTCGTTACTTTGCCTTGACCAATAAGACGACAGCCTGTGGATACATTAGACATTTACAAGAGCACTTCTAAGAAATATTAGAGTGAAAAGTCATTAAAAAGGAACATAAATTATTTCATAAGGATACTTTTATAGCTAACAATTTATTTGGTTCTCCAAGGCTTACTTATTTTTATTTTAGAATACCAAACACAAGTTGAGTGTTCAGAATAAGAAATTAGTTAATGGGTACAATGTATGTTATTCAGGTGCTGAATACCCTAAAAAGCCTGGCTTGACCAACATGCAATCTATGCATGTAACAAAATTGCAAAAAAAAAAAAAAAGAACAAAAGTAAATAAATAAAATTCTTTAGCTAATACAGTCAAAAGAAGAAATACCTGTGTAGAAAATAATTCTTTTTTTAATCATCCTTCGAAACTTCAGGTCCCACTTCCCTGTCATTAATCTTTTGAGATTTAAAATTATTCCGCCCCCATCATTCTCATCCTGTGTGTATGTGTGTGTACCTGTGTGTGTTTTCTTAGCATAAATGGAATTTTGTAAGCAAGTGGTTCTTTAAAGATGTAATAAAGAAACTTCTCTGGTTCTGTTTTAATTCCTTCTCCATGACTTAGCTTCGACAGATAAAATTTTATTCAGGGGCTACAAGAGCTTCTTGAATTCCAAGTAGTACTCCTAATCTCTAACAAACGAATCTAAGTGTCATTAAAAAGATAAATAAAACAGGCCGGGAGTGGTGGCTCACTCCTGTAATCCTAGCACTTTGGGAGGCCGAGGCGGGCGGATCACAAGGTCAGGAGATCGAGACCATCCTGGCTAACACAGTGAAACTCCGTCTCTACTGAAAATACAAAAAAATTAGCCGGGCGTGGTGGCAGGCGCCTGTAGTCCCAGCTACTGGGGAGGCTGAAGCAGGAGAATGGCTGAACCCGGGAGGCGGAGCTTGCTTGCAGTGAGCTGAGATCGCGCCACTGCACTCCAGCCTGGGTGACAAAGCGAGACTCTGTCTCAAAAAAAATAAAAATAAAAATAAAATAAATAAAACAATCATATCAACAAAACCCAACAAAGATATGAGATCACTTTATTTAAAAATCTCTTATTTACTGTGCAGAACCCTCTTGATATAAAATGATAGAACTGAATATAACATAGAGCCCAGGTCTCGACGCCCATTCATTCACTCATGCATGCATGTATTCATTCATTCAATGTGCCAGGCACTCTTCTAAGTCCTGGGGATTCATCTGTAAACAAAACAGGAAAAAATTCCTGGCCTGATGATGGTTACATTCTGACTCTGTGTATGTAAAGGGGAAGTGGGAAGGCAGATCGTAAACAAAATTTAAAAGTAGGCTATTAGGAAATCAGAGTATAATAATTGCTATAGACAAAAATAAAGCAGGCTTTGAAAGAGGGAGTTGTGGGTAAGAATAAGATTTGAAATTTTACATAGACTGGTTAGAGAAGCCCTCAAGGAGAAAGTGACATTTCTGTAAAAACTTGTAAGAGGTGAGAGAGTGAACTGCTATGACGTCTGGGAGCAGAGCATTCCAGACGTGGGTATTCAGATTTGCAAGAGCCAGGGCCTGGGGTGGAAGCCTGTACTTGGTCACTTCTCAGAACCTGAGTTGTAAAATGAGCATATTAATTCACCCCACTACCTCCACCCCCGAGTGATTCCAAAGGTTATATGAGGTAATGGAGTTAGTCATGGATATGAAATCTGACACATAGAATTTCCAATTTTAAATTTACCAGTCATTTGTTTAACATCTAATATATACCAAATACTGAGTATATAACTATAAACAAGAACTGCTTTATGATATGAGGGAAATTGTAATCTTATTTTAGAGACACTGGTGAGGGGATAATTTTAATATGTGGTATTTTCTATAATAAATTTAGGGTATTATGGGAAGTATGTAGAGTAGAAAATATAATCCACATTTTTTGGATGAGAAAACTGAAATATAGAGATACTAACTGATGCAGCAAAAGATGGTGTGTGTGTTTTGAACTCTGTTTTTCTGACCTATGCTTGCATCAAATCCCTCTAGTATAATCATCTCCTAGGCTAGCGGGTGCGAACAAGTGACGCCTAGGATGAAACTCATTATTCCTCATTGCTCCTGCTACCATTTTACCCATTGCAGCATCACTCTGAGGCTAATCAACAAAGAAACAGCCAACTACCTGGCACATGGGCCTTTAGTCTGGGAACTTAAGATAAGCTTTCCTTCCCAGAGCCTGCAGAGCCAACGAGTGTAACTAAAAGTTGTCACTGGGGTTTGAGTGGGAGGGGGATTGATAGAGCAATCAGGATGTGGGAAATGAAAATAATCACAGCTTTCACTTGTTTTTTCACATCTGTTTTCTCTTTTGATCCTTGCAACAGTCTCACTAATTAAGCAGGAGTTGTTAGTTCTATAAAAAGCAAAACAAAACAAAACAAAAACCTGTTTAAAGACTATAAGCACTTTGCTCAAGGTCTTATGGTTAGGAAGTGGGAGAAACAGAACTGAAACCCAGATTTCCATCTCCCAACTCCATTGTTCTTTCACTGATTCCATTTGCATTGGAATAGGGGGAGCTAAGGAATAGAATATTGAGGACTCTGGGTCTAGATTCCTTCAAAGGTAAAATGGAAGGGGAGGAGCCATGGGCTAGGTGATATCGTGGATGCCTTTGCATAGGCTGTAACTTCTGCTAGAATGCCCTCCCCCTCCTCTTCCTCTATACAGGGATGCTAATATGCTTCTTATAGAAAATAAACTGTACATTTTGGAGCAGTTTCAGATTAACAGAATTATTGAAAGATAGCTCAGAGAGTTCCCATATACTCACATCCAATTTCCCCTATTGTTAAGATCTTACATTAGTATGGTAATGTGAGATAATTTGTCACAATTCATGAACCAATGTTGATAATTTTTATTAACTAAAGTCCACATTTTATCAAGTTGTTCTCATTTTTTTCCTGGTATTCTTGTTCTGTTCCAGATTCCCATCCAGGATACCACATTACATTTAATAGTCATCTTTCCATAGGCTCCTGTTTCCCTGACTTTCTTAATTTTCAATGACCTTGGCAGTTTTGAGGATTATGGTCAGGCATTTTGTAGAACTTCTTTCACTGAGATTTGGCTGATGGTTTTCTTGTGATTAGGTGGGGATTATGTGCTTTTGGAAAAAAGACCACAGAGGTAGAGCACTATTCTAGTCACATAAAGGGTATATGCTGTCGATATGGCTTATCAATTTTGATGTTAACACTGATGACAAACAAACAAACCAACAAAAACAATAACCTTTACGTATATTCCCAAGTCTGTCTGTCTGTTTCACTTCCTGTTTTTCCTCTCTCTTCTCTGATGTCATTGGAAAAATTAAGCCAGGTGTGGTGGCCAGCACCTGTAGTTACATATATTCTAGAGGCTGAGATGGGAGGATCACTTGAGCCCAGGAGTTCGAGGCTGCAGTGAGCTATAATTGTGCCACTACACTCCAAGATGACACTTTGTCCAGGATGACAAAGCAAAACCCTGTGTCTACAAAGAAAAAAATGTATATGAAAGAATCCTATCATTGGAAAAATTAGAAAAAATGAAAATTGGATAAGAAACAATCAGAAAAAGAAGTATCTCAAAAGAAGGTTGTTTTTTAAATTGCATCAGAAAATTTCAGAAAGGTATGTAATTTATGCAGATCTATGAACACAAATTCACAGAATTATGATGGGGAAAATAATTTATATTTTTTATCCCTGAGTATACTTTACATGTTTACTTCAAATGTACTGTGTCAAATAACTAAAGGCAGATTTAAGAACTAAAGAAGAAAAGAAATTTTCAATTGAAATCTAAGGAAAAGGATAATTACACATCATTCACTAAAATCAGAATGGAATTGATCCTCTCCTGAAAATTAGCCACGGGCTTTTCCAACCAACCTTCTAAATTTCATACGGAGTTAGTTTGTTGCGCCTATCTCCTTTTTCCATTACAAATCTACTTGTATGGAAAATTCAACTTAATATTGACTTTTCTATTTGTAATGAAATTTGTGTGAGTTCTTAAATAAGAAAAAAAGGTGAAATTAAGCTTCCCTTACACTGTTCATGTGTCATTCATAATGAATTTGGGAATCAGAGTGCTCTCTACATATTTTAAATGTCTATTTACATTGCATTGAAACTTTCTTAAATTGCTATAACTATAAAATAATTATTTTGGCAGGAGACAAATATATGGACATTAATATCAAAGCATAACTATACCTGATTGAACTTAAGGTCTCAATGAACATTTATGCCATCTACACTAGTCTTTACAATGTTAAAAACTCAAGAATGTTTTATTTCTTTCAACACTTATGGTCCTGATAGAGTTTGCTCAGGATTGTGACATCCTAGATTGAAAAGGAGCCCTAAAAGACAGTGTGGGGCTGGGAGCAGTGGTTCACACCTGAAATCCCAGCACTTTGGGAAGCCGAGGGGGCAAATCACTTGAAGTCAGGAGTTTGAGACAGGCCTGGCAGCATGACGAAACCGCCTCTCTACTAAAAACACAAAAATTAGCCAAGCGTGGTGGTGGGCGCCTGTAATCCCAGCTACTCTGGAGGCTGAGGCAGGAGAATCACTTGAACTCCTGAGGCGGATGTTGCAGTAAGCTGAGGTTGCGCCACTGCACTCCAGCCTGGGTGACAGAGCCAGACTCTGTCTCAAAAAAAAAAAAAAAAAAAGAAAAGAAAAGTCAGTTTGGCTTAATGGAAGGTGCAGAATGAGGGATCCTGCTTCTCTGCCTCTACTTCTAATGAGGGGAATGACCTGGAGTTACTCAATTAGGAGCTACCCATTTTCTTTCTGTAAAGTGACAGATAGTACCAGGTAGTCTCTAAGGCTTCATTCTGCTTCAACATTTTTTGACTACAGAGCATCATTTCTTTTTTTTTTTTTTTTTTCCTGAGACAGTGTCTCGCTCTGTTACCCAGGTTGGAGTGCAGTGGCATGATCTCGGCTCACTGCAAGCTCCGCCTCCCGGGTTCACGCCATTCTCCTGCCTCAGCCTCCTGAGTAGCTGGGACTACAGGCGCCCGCCACAACGCCCGGCTAATGTTTTGTATTTTTAGTAGAGATGAGGTTTCACCGTGTTAGCCAGGATGGTCTCGAACTCCTGACCTCAGGTGATCCGCCCGCCTCGGCCTCCCAAAGTGCTGGGATTACAGGCGTGAGCCACCGTGCCTGGCTACAGAGCATCATTTCTAAACACTTAACACCAAAGCCATAAACTGTTCACAAAACATCTTTCTATAAAGATTTCTGGGCATATGTTCTCAGAAACTCCCTGTATATAACTAAATTATTGCCTTTTGTTAATAAATTAATAGTTTATTATGTTGATGTTGCCATAACAATGCTGAATTAAATTTGGCTTGTGCCTATGAAGGTATTTATCCATTCAGAGTGATGATTTTCAAATAAATGCCTTACTGAGAATATGATTATTCCCACTCAAAAATGAAATGAAAAAAATCAATCTCCCTAATTTCTTTTTGTGAAATAATTTTGGTTGTTTGCATTATTTGGAAAGTTGAGCACCATGTGAAATTGCCTCTGACTGCACAGTTTCCTCTGTAGGTAATATAAATTCATAGGCTATTCCAAGATTGACATACTCATGGTTACTCATTTGAGGGAATAGAGTTGTGCATACCTGCACATCATAGAAAAACACCCACACATACAAAGACTGCATTTTACCAAGACCTGAAATGCGAAAATAAAAGAGCTAGAATGCCTTCTTACCACCTCCACCCTAACCACACCTTCCTGCCCTAAGCCTATTGCCCAAACCTGGCTATGCCCCAACCACTGCCTCTTTGAAATTTGAAAAGATGTGGAGAGGAAAAGGTGAGTGAAAGAATAAGTTTAGAAAGAGAAACTTGTGAAAAATAGATGAAGAGCAGGAAATTCAATTGGGTGGGGCTTTCTAGGGTGAATTGTCATTTGGAAATGTAAGAATGCAATTAAGCCTGTAAAAATAACTAGGATTTTGCTCATTCTCATATTTCCTTTGCTAGGCTGAAACACTAAGTGAAGGTTGAACAATTCAGTTGAATTAGACAAATAAGAGTTGTTTTAATGACATTGAATACATTTTTGCAACAACCAGTGGTAGTTCAAGAAACTCAATGAAATGCTTTGGTTTGATCATTTGGTTTGGACCACTTAAAATAGATGACTGTCAATTTAATTTTCTTCTCCTTATACCTCCCAGATTGTTCTTCATCTCTACAGAAAGATCAATAGTTCACTTCCATAGTGGCCTCTCTTGGAATTATCTTAATTCTTCCTTTTTTTCCCCTCTGACTCTTTGGACTTTGCTCTTAGAGTATAATTTGCTGAGTCTTTTTAGCCCTTGCACCTGCTTTGCAGCCATGCAGCCTGCTGAGTCCTTTGAAAGAACAGGTAAATTCAAAGACAGAACCCAAGAAAAACCAATAACAAGGAAGGGAAGGTGTTATCTAAAGAAAGCACTTATGTCAGAATGTAGCCAATCAGGAGTTCAATAATCCGACAAACTTGTGTAGACAGGGCAGATGGAGATGCTAATTTGGCAACTGAGAGTTGGGGAAATGTGCTGATGTGCACATTGATCTCCTGAGGAGATCAAGCAAAATGAGAATTATACAGGTCTAGAGCAAAGCCAATTGCTGCTCCAGTGTTAAGGCCAAAATGTATTGGTCTGGAGGGTCAATGTATTTTGCATCTATAAAGAATCTATGAAGCAAAAATTTGAGCCACTTATTTGGTTTTAGTCACTTTTAAGCAGATTAGCAATAGTAATTAAATTCTCAAAACCATAGCTTGGTTTGTAACTGTGTACTTCCCTTGATACAAATATGGCTCATTTCTTCATTTTTCATTCTGAAAAGTAAAGAAAAACTTAGACAAGGAAGAACTTGTAGCTTGCCAAAAGCACATAGTCCTAGGGCATTTATAATTAATAATCAAGCTGCAATTTCTGTAAGAGCAAAGAGGGCCATCTATTACATTAGCATGTACAAACAATTTGGTTTTATTCATCTGAGCTGAGCCAAGATGTTTGTCATACATCAGCAGCCTTGTCAGCATTGCAGAAGTATAAAAGTGAAAAATTTACCAGCATCAGCATTGATTCACTCACCCCTCATGTGGTGACTAAATTAATGAGTATCCCTATCTCTACCAAAAGAATCAGAGTTAGCCGGGCGCGGTGGCTCACGCCTGTAATCCCAGCACTTTGGGAGGCCAAGGTGGGCGGATCACCAGAGGTCGGGAGTTCGAGACTAGCCTGACCAAAACGGAGAAACCCCGTCTCTACTAAAAATACAAAAAAATCAGCTGGGTGTGGTGGTGCATGCCTGTAATCACAGCTACTCGGGAGGCTGAGGCAGGAGAATCGCTTGAACTCAGGAGGCGGAGGTTGTGGTGAGCCGAGATCATGCCATTGCACTCCAGCCTGGGCAACAAGAGTGAAACTCCATCTCAAAAAAAAAAAAAAAAAAAAGAAGAATCAGAGTTAGAGGTTACAACAGCTGAAAAATATCTCGGTTGAAAGTGGCAGAAAAGGAATTTGATTTAATTTTATTACAACGAACATTAAAATTTGCATATGTAATGCATTGTAGTGGCAACAGGCATCTAGAGTAAATAATACCTTCCTTTAAGCAATTTATGGAAGAAACAGTCACATACATGACTATAATGTGAGATATTGAAATAAGGGTTAGATGGAGGCACATCATAGTAAGTCAGGAGAGAATCAGTTCCTGAGTCACAAATAGGTGTGAGTTATAATCATGTCACCACTATTTATTATCAGTTTGAATTTGGGTAAGTTACTTAAACTCTTGAACCCTTCCTCATCTTCCTTATCTGTAAAATGGAGCTTATGAGAATTGCTTTATATGGTTGTTATAAAGATTAAATTGAATAGCATACTTACAGTGTTAAGTTAGGATTCTTCCCAGAGCTAGTGTTACAGAAAGAGGTCTGGATCCAGACCCCAAGAGAGGGTTCTTGGATCTCACACAAGAATTTAGGGTGAGTCTGCAGGGTAAAGACAAAGTAAGTTTATTAAGAAAGTAAAGGAATAAAAGAATGGCTACTTCATAGACAGAGCAGCGCCAAGGGAGGCTGGTTGCCCATTTTTTGGTTATTTCTTGATTACATGCTAAACAAGGAGTGGATTATTCATGCCTTCCCTTTTTAGACCATATAGCATAACTTCCTGACATTGCCATGGCATTGGTAAACTGCAATGGTGCTGGTGGGAGTGCAGCAGTGAGGACAACCAGAGGTCACTCTCATTGCCATCTTGTTTTTGGTGGGTTTTAGCCGGCTTTTTTACTGCAACCTGTTTTATCAGCAAAGTCTTTATAACCTGTATCTTGTGCCAACCTCCTGTCTCATCCTGTGACTTAGAATGCCTTAACTGTCTGGGAATACAGCCCAGTAAGTATCAGCCCCATTTTACCCAGCCCCTATTGAAGATGGACTTGCTCTGGTTCACACACCTCTGACACTAAAAACAATTAATTCTGATGAAAAAATCAGAGAAGTTATCACAGTGGAAGTTATAAAACTTTAATTTACAGAAAAAAATTAGTAGACGCACAAAGTTATTTAAGAATGTGGATGTTTGAGCAGTGTGGAATAGTCTAATGAGATTGAACTACAGAACATAGGAAGAAGGTTTGAAACCCCAGAGCTTGCTCTTTTAGGTTTTTTGAACCAGCCTGTCTTAGCTTTTCAGGTGATAATATCTCCCAGATTTACAAACATGAAAGGGAAGGAATTCTAAATATTACATTGCAAGAGGAGGCCATTAAATATATATCTGAGTCATCTTGACATCCCCATGTGCTTAGAGACATCAATATCAGTGTCAATTTCATCAAAACTAGGACCACCTCACAGCCTGAATCCACTGTCTCAGTGCTATTATTACCAGTTGTACCATCTTAAATCCTGTGCAGTTGGCTGCTGGCAAGTGCTCCATCAAGCTTGCTTTGCCCTGGACCTGTTTTGGTCCTCCTGAAAACTACACACAGGTTCTTGGAGCCTTAAGTTTCAAGGGGGTCTCCATAAATGAGTCATTCTCTACTGGTGAGTGCAGTATTTTATGTTTCAACAGGGAGGCAAAAGAAAACCCACTCAGGGCTACAGGCACACGCTCAGTCAACTTCTCACTCCATATGCATGTGAAAACTCATATGTCAGTGCTGGCCCTAGGATTTTGTGCAGACATACCCTTTGAACCCTGTACTAAAGGCAGGAGGAAGCAGCTTCTTCTCTTTTGTCCTCCCTGTCTCCGCTCCTCACTACATTTGGTCTTACAGCCAGAGTCAAATCATCTAAGTTAATGACAAGAGTTAACGCTCTATATAAAACAATTTTTCCTGTGACTCATTTGTTTTCGATGACGTCCTATGCATACTAACTGTAACGTTAGTACAAGTCCCAAATTAGTGCAAGTCAGCTAATTGTCCTAGAATGTGAAAGGCAAACACCTGTGGGACTTTAAATAATGGAGTAACTTCTGCTCTTGATAAATCATCTCTGCTTTAAATACAATTAAATACATGCAAATATACCTATTTGCATTGCAAATAGAACTAGTTAATTAAAACTTTTAAAATGATGTATACCAATTTCCAGATTAAACCAGGTGTGTGAATTCAACTGTAAAGCAACGTAAAGTGTGTTTTTAGATGGAATAGACTCATTATAAGCCATCTATGTGGTTTATGTGCTTTTTAATTTATTTCAGCTTCACTGCACTTGTTTCTTGTTATTTTTCTTTTAATCTGTCATGAACTAGAAAAATAGTTTAGTTTTTTAAAATTTATAGTTTATCTTCTATGACTTCTCATCTTATGCTTTTGTAATTTTGCATTTGCAAAGCACTTTAGTTAACAAAATAATTTTAACCATGCACCTCCCTTCATTTTTGATACAACAGACCTCCTCATTACCCGTTTGAGGAAACTAGAGGTTCAAGAACTGCAGTGATTTGTCATAAGTCACATTGCCAGCAAATGACAGAATGGTGACTGGAACATTGGATTTCTAAAGCGGAGTTCCCTTTTAACCACAGCTGCACACTGTTACCCATCCATACCACATGCTTTTCTGTCTCTAAGCCTTTACATACACAAATATTGCCCTTGCTTACTTACCTTCTACCTCCTACCCAGTTCACAGATTCTCTGAGGTTCTGCACTGTGTTGGAGGGGACTGTGCTGTGTCCAGGCTAGTTGGTCTGCTCTGATTCTCCATATGTTAAGGCTGAGACTAAATGTGTCCGATGGGCAAGGTAGAGGTTACATGACTCGCAGGAGAGATGTGAAGGTACAACTAGAATAGGTTTACTCCAGCAAATGTAAAATGTCCCCTCACAGTACAATTTGAGCTAAAAGCATACTCCAAATCATCTCTTTTACAACGTAGTCATGTTACCTAAAATATCCAGCAGTGGAGACTCCCTTAATGCATGACTTCTGTGAACATTTTCTTTCCCTCCCTTCCTTCCCTTCCTCCTTCCTTCCTTCCTTCCTTCCTTCCTTCCTTCCTTCCTCCCTCCCTCCCTCCCTCCCTCACTTCCTCCCTTCCTTCTTTCCTTCCTTCCTTCTCCTTTTTCTTTCTTTTCCCAATATGAAGATGCTTAGGTGGTAGTTACTCTTTAAAATTGGCCTCAAACAATTCTTTCTTTCCATGTGCACACATGTTATCCCATCCACCAAGAGATAGAGCTTATGTCCTTGTCTCTTGAATTCAGGCTGGGCCTACAAAGAAACTAATGTGCTGAGACTTCTAAGTCCAGGCATTAAGAAGGCCTGGAATATTTTACTTCCTTCCTGTTGGAGCTATGAGCCACCATGTACGAAGTCTAGGCCCATCTGATGGAGAGAGAGGTCCTGGAAGATGAGAAGCCAGGAAGAGAGAGCCGTGGAGGAGCGCCAAGGTATCAACCACCAAGTCCCATCTGCAGCCCAAATACCATCTGACTATAACCTCATAAGAAACCCCAGGTGAGGCCAGTAGAGGAATCATGCAGGTTCTAGCCAAACCAGAAAATCATAAAATGCTTTTTTAAATGGTTGTTTCTTTAAGCCACTAATTTTTCAAATGATTCGTTATGTAGCATAATTGGTCATTTACACTTTAGTCTGAATTTTCAGGAACCCTCAACCAGTCCTTGAAAAATATGGGCCCCCAAATAGGCCAATTTTGAACAGATTTGAGTGATCTAAAACAGCATGGTGGTAAAAAGTATATGGTGGTCTGTGAGTAGGGGAAAGATAATTGCTGCCAAAGATAGAATAGGAACCCAGAAAAGGGAAAAACAGGAAGAAAAAGCAATGCTTGTTAGGATTTTAGATTCAGTTCTATGTAACTCTGAATCTTTTTCTTGAGTTCCAAGTTTTGTTTAAAATAGAGACAAATGTCACCCATAGTACAAGTTTAACACTTCAAGGAGTGCATCTATTTCCATTTTTTGTGACCATTTCTGGGTTCAAAAATTAAAAAGGAAACTCAAAGATGAAAACTCACCAAATTATTCTTTTTAAGGGTTGGATCTTAGCATTACGGAAAACAGCACATTGTTTGGCACATGGTAGCCGTTTTGGACTTCCTTCCCCCAATTTAGCTAATATGAGGCTCTGCCAGACCCTCAGTAGTTAGGGTACAGGGAAAGAGGCTCTCATAGATATCCATGGGTTGGTTCTGGGCCCTGTGTTCCATCCAAAGGAGAAAACCTGGATCATCACTTGTCCATTTATTATTTAGCCTTGTAGTGTCTGTCTAGCTAATGCCCACAAAATCTTGGATAAAGCTAAGAAATTTAGAAGAGACATGTAAGTTAAAACGAGCTCAAAGTCACTTGCTTCTTCTATTTATTTATTTGGTCTGAGATGATTCCCACATTCACTTACCATATGGCATTAAATCATTCTGGTCCTTGAGTTATTATTACATGATTCAAAGAGTATAATTTACAGAATTGCCAGCCCAGGCTGCACTCTGTTCCACACCAAAAAAGGACCACAAGGAGGGGAGAAGAAAAATGACTGTTTCCTGGTAGCCCATATTTACGCAATTTTCTCCCACCACAGATTGTTTTGGCAGTCTAGACAGAGTCTTGTAAAATCCTTTTCTGATGTCATCCACATCCTTCCTTGATAAGTTCAAAATGAATCCGGAGCAAGCATGGCTCCTCTAGCCATGTCGTACAAATAATTAGTGCAGTGCCACCCGGAGAGGGTTTTGCACTCCAGTGATTTCCACATGAGAGGAATGGACTGATGAGCTGGCCACCAGATCATGTAAATATGTGGCAGAAAATTCAGCTGCTGAAGGGAAAGAAGAAACACACATGTGGGCATTTCATGTTTTAAAAGAACTTTGTGGAAAATGGAACAGATCAGAGAGAAAAGTAGTCGAGACTCAGGGAAAGAAAGATTAAGGAAGTTATTTTCTTATTGAAGCCAGGAACATAGTATAGAATTAATGATTCCTTAAAAGGCAATTTAAAATTCTATTTCTAAGGGAAGACATTAGATCATATTTATATCATAATTTGTAAAGTGGGAAAATGCTTCCAGGTTACGACTTGAAATTCTGGTTATAAGAGCTGGAATTTATTATTTCATCATTTTACTTATTTATCCATCAGTAGATGAATAAATTAACATACCAACATATGTCTTCTCTAGTAGAACATAAAATATACAAGACACGTTCAAACAGTTATCAGGCTTATAGCCTTATTAAAAATCAATGCCAATTTGTTAGAAAATAATTTATTGATCAGCAAACAATGACAGATACGTCCTCTGTTAAAGGCTTGAAATTTTCCTTTGCCCTAAGTTTTTATTTTCATGTGATTATACCCTTCTTGCTTTCAGCTGCAACTGAAAGAAAAATGCTTCTCCTATTGCACTTTTAAAATTCTCTAGTTACATTCTCCAAAAATAATGAAATTTTATAAAAGTGAGTAAGAAATATTCAATTCCATTCTTCTTGCATTTTCTCTGCAGTTGGTTATTTCAGAAAAAAAAGAATAGGAAATAGTTGACATGTGTTTTTGTTTTTTTTTTCCTGCATCCTGACATATTTCTCAACTCCTCACCCTCTCCTCTCTCTATCCTGCCTTGTTTCTGGCCATCTTCTCTTCTTGTTTGGCTGTTTTATTATCTTCCTCAGTGTTCTCCTGTACAATTTTCACACAAAACTCAAATCATGTTCTCTCCTCACTTAAAGCCATGTGATAGCCTCTAAACCCCTCACCATGCCCTGCCATCAGCCTCAGATTACATGTGCTCCTACCTACCCTTTGATGGAGCCTTACCTTTCACCATTGCTTGAACCTCCAGGTTCTCTGAAGCATCCAATGCATTGGCCAATTCTGCCCCTCCTTCACTTTGACTGCCTGGCAGATTACTACTCATTCTTTATGAAACAAACCTCATGTGCTCTTGACATCAATCTGTGTGGTCCTACTGGGCTTCTTTAATTGACCAGTCCCGGTTCCATATTCCACAGTTGACACCACATAAAAACAGACCTTGGTCACTCTTATACTGGCCACAACTTCTGGCTGAACTCACTACTGTTATGTATCTCAAGCTTATCTCTCCCAGCTCTGTGCCTTCCCAGTCTCTGACCTCTACTACATCCCTCAGAGAGATTTGCTCTCTGGCTCTGACCTTTGACTTTATTTTTGACTACCACCTGTGTCATCTTCCTTGATAATCCCACTCTCAGTTGTGTAAACATTTCACTAGGCTGGCTCTTTGGCCTAAATTACCTCAGCCTTACCCAGCAAAGAATCCCCTAATTTCCCTAGAATCCTTAGAGAGACCATGTGTTCTATTCTTTCCAGTAGAGATCATGTTGTATGGTCTTTATGTTTTCACCAGGCAGCAAATTCCTGAAAAGCAGGCATGATATCTTACTCTTTTTGGTATCCTCAGGGCATAATTTAGTGCCTGATGTATAGCAGTGTTTGTTGAATGAATGAATGTGATTTTTCTATTTCCTACCTATCCACTTCGTTATATCCACCTGTTTATCAGATTGTTTGGAATACAGTGGGACTTCAACAAATATATTTGGATTAAATGAATAAAGTTGTTAATATCCTCCTATAGCACTTGACTTGTTACAGTGAGCATAAATAGTTTTGTAATTTTTAAATTGAAAAGGAGACCAATAAAACATTTTGGAAAACAAAAATAGGTGGTTATGTCTTTCTAAGTTAAGCACTGTGAACTCAATTTAGAGACTAAATTAGGAATATTTCCTTAATTAATAATTTGCAACTATATGGAAAAAGGTGCTGAAGTACTGTTCCTGGGCAAAAAAGGGGCTTTCTAAATAGGTGCACAAGAGAAATAATATTAAATGTTGATTATTGTCAAACTCTAGAAAAATCAACTTGCCTACAAAGGAAAGTATTCAAAAAGTGTTTAATAATAGTTTGAAGAAATGTAACAATGACATATTTTTCAAAGATGTGTATCCCCAGTAATATTAGTTATGGATATATTATAATAAATATGTATGATAAATAATAAATGTAAAAATGTAAAAGTCATTAATGTAACTTGTTAACTGTTCCTTGCCCTATTTACATATCACATTTTCATTATTAATTCACTCAGCTAAGATGAATCAATGCATTCTCTGTGCCAAAGACTGGGCAAGTGCAAAGTATATCATATCCTGGAAGAAAGAAGCCTATTCAAGGCACAATTCCAGGAATAGTTCGGCTATCCAACTTAGCCTTCTCCAGGAGCTAAAATCTTAAAATAGATAGGGTCTGTATATAATTCAATTTCACACATAACTAGGGAAATAGAAATTAAAACCACAATGAGATACCATTTTCACCTATTAGTTGGAATAAAGAATATGAGATAGCAGATGCTGGTACAGATATTGGGCAAATGCTACTCTCACACATTGCTGGCACAGATTTAAATTGCTAAAGCCACACTGAAAAGCAATTTAATAAATATACAGTAGAATTAAAAATGTGTCCATGCTATGACCCAGCAGTTCCACTTGGGTACATGTCTTAAAAACAAAAATGAAAACATTCTTGATCTATAGGCTATACAGAGATATGTTCATTACAACATATTTTTTATTAGCAAAAAACTTGATGACTGACTTAATGTCCATTTGTAGATAAGAAATAGATAAACAAATCATAGCATACTTTTATGGCTGTCTATACCAGTTAAAATCATTCATAAATGTATCTAAAAATAATGTTGACTAAAAAATTATATATTTATTTATGTAAATTTAAAAGCACAAAAGTTTGACAGTAATGGATACTACTACATGTATATAAAAGTATAAAAACATATTTGGAAGTGCACACTCAAAACTAATTTTGGTAATAGTTTCTGGGAAGTGGGGAGAGGAATGAGCCTCAGGGGTTGTAATTAAGAGATATTTATATTTATCTGCAACTTTTAATTTCTTATATAACACTGGCAGCAAGCAACTATGACAAAATGTTAACAATTGTTAATTCTGGATAGTGGAAATATGGGTGTTTATTATATTATCCTTAAAACTTTTCTACATTTCTTTCATTTCTCCAAAAATATACACAAATAAGGGAGAGATTTCTGTCCTCCAATAAGCTTGCTAAACCCAGTTTATCAAGTTTTTTAAACAAAGTTTAAAACTTTTTTAGCTGCAGAATGTTTCAGAGCCTTAAATATTACATATTATGAATTTTCACGAAGTAATTATAGTGTATTAAAGAAAAGGAGTTATAACTCCAGATTTCAACACATTCTATGAAGGAGCAAAGAGGCACAGTGAAGACTGAAGGCATGGAGTGAGCGAGGGAACCTACACAGAGGACAATCATGATCAGGAATGGCCTCCCTTCATGGGTGATATTTACTTTAGGATGAAGAAAAAGAAGGAGTCTCCCTTTCAGAGTTAGGTGGAGGAAGGAGAGGAAGAAACAGCATGTGGGCAGGTTCCAAGACGGGCAAGAGCTTGGGGCAGTTGTGAAGTGAAACGAGTTGGTGGGACCAAAGAGGAGCCCTGTTGAGGTTCTATCCGAAATATGACAGGATGCCAAGGAGAGTTTACCCCAGATACCGTGGGTCACACTGCTGTCTTCTCTTCATGGCTGTGCTCCATGAGCCTCACTGCGGCCTGAGGAAGTGGCATTATCCTTGGCCTCAAAGAGCCAGTGTTCATAGTGGCAGATAAACATGTAAAGGAACAATTCAGGGTGCTAAGAGCATTGTAGAGGTTAAAAACAAATGACATGGGAGCACAAGTTAGGGACACAAACCCTGCGGGTGAGAGGCTCCTTCCAGAAGCACAGGTCTAGCTGTCCACAGCACATTAAATGGTTTACAACCCAGCTGCCCTCTGCCACCTGGTGCATTTCTGGTATCACATTGCAAAGGGATAATGCATATCCAGTGCCAATAAAAGTGTATCATAAAGGAAAAGTTAACTTTCTTCCTGTCATCCCTTCAGACTCAACCTGTCTCCTGCTGCCACTGCCACTGTGATCTTTCTACAACACATGGCTGAGCATACCACTCCTGAGGAGGTCCTTTGTCTACAGGATTATATCCAGGTTCCTTACAATGGCAAATCAAGTCCTTCTCAGTCTGGTTCCTCATATGTGTTGAGCCTCCACTTCCTCCACTCTCCCATGTACACCGTTCACTGTGTCCACATGAACGCCTGTCTGTTCCCCAAACAGATCATGCTCTTTCCAGCCTTCTTGTCCTTCCTTTGCATGCTGTTTCCCTGCCTGGGATGTTTCTTCCCCTCTTGCTCACTGAGGGTAATGTGTACCTTATCCGTAAAACCTTACATGACTCCATAACATGATGGCTCCACCCACTTTATATAAGCCCATTGTAAAGGATTGTTTGCACATTTGTTTTCACGGTAAACTGATTTCCTCAGGCTCGGGGATTCCATATTATTAATTTCTGTACCCCTGGTGTGACACAGTGACCAATCCACAATGGGCATTCAATACGCATTTGGTGAATTGAAGTGGAGATTAATCTGCAAGGGAAAAAACATCTCAGAAAGCATTTTTTAAAAGCCATTAAGAATAATCTTCATCATTATCTGTTGTTTTGGAGTATCTATGTCTTTGCTGCCCTCCATTAATGTAACTCGCGAAGAATTGTCATTAACTATAAGACTATTAGATAAAAAAAATACAGGCTTTTCCAAGAGGAAATATTAAGAATGTAAATATTACAGTAGTGGAAAGCTCTTGCTGGTTGAAAACTTGGGTTATCTCTCTCAGGACTCACTACAAGCATACGAGGTAAGTATTATTATGGCACGCATTTTAGAGATGAGAAAACTGTAGCACAGAGGCCAATTTGTCAACGTCACATAACAAGGAAGCTATGATTTGAGCCAGTCAGCTTGCTTCCAGAGACTAAGCTCCTAGTCTTCATGTCATACTACTTCTCAGTTTCTTCCTGCAATTAGTTCATGTGGCCAAGATTCATTCTTTCTTAGCTTCCGTCCTTCCTCCCTTCCCTCCCTCCCTCCTTCCCTCCCTCCCTTCTTTCCTTCCTTCTTTCTTTCCTTCCTTTCTTTCTTTTGAAGTTATTATTGGATACTCATTTTTTTTTTTCTTTTTTGAGACAGAGGCTTGCTTCGTTGCCTAGGCTGCAGTGCAATGGTGCAATCTTGGCTCACTGCAACCCCTGCCTCCCAGGTTCAAGCCATTCTAATGCCTCAGCCTCCTGAGTAGCTGGGATTACAGGTGGCTGCCACCACACCTGTCTAATTTTTTAACTTTTAGTAGAGATGGGGTCTCGCTATGTTGCCCAGGCTGGTCTCAAACTCCTGGGCTCAAGTGATCTGCCCACCTCGGCCTCCCAAACTGCTGGGATTACAGGCATGAGCCACGGTGCCTGGCTGGATACTCATTTCTTAATACAAGTATCACTACTTAAAATATTTCCATGGTGGTTGACAGGCAGGCACCTCTCTGAGACTCATGAGTAGCATCCTATTATTCTGGTCCTCCTGGTCCCACCACATGCCCAACTAAGGTCCAGTAACATAGAAATAAAGCTGGAGTTGCACTGACCACTGGAGTGGCACGGATGAGTTGGTATCCATGCAGTTCTTAAATATTTTTAATATCATCTCTAAACTTAACAAAATCAACTTATGAACCTTAGGCTAAAGATAGCAGTAAAGTAGGCAGGGAGAGGTTCTGTGAGTTTTTTAACAGGAGTTGGAAAGAAATTACAAATTTCTTCCCATCTTCAGAGGGGTTGCTGCCTGTGGACAGAGCATGGGCTTTGAATTAGATAGAAATGGGTTTGTCTCTTACCTCCACCATTTACTAACTATGGCTTTATGGCAATGAATTAACCTTGCAGAACTTCAGTTTGTTCACTTAAGGATGGTGCTAATCTTTCATGGACACTATGAGGATTAAGTAATAGAAAGTACATGAAGTGCTTAATTTAGTATTTTGTATAATACAAAGCCATTGCTCAGAAGATGTGAGATGTGCTAGGTACTATTATTATTATATAAAGTAGGCACAGTAGTAGCGTCTACTTTATAAGGTGGTTATAAACATTAAATGAGTTAAAAGCAAAGCTATGATTTTGAACCATGCTTGAATAATAAACCTTCAATATAGATAGATACTGGTTATTATAATTTTGTCATAAGTTAATTCTATTTAAAGTTTGTAATTTATGTGCTACTTTTTAAGAACAGACCTTCTACTTTTAAAAGAATTCTTTCTAAGCTGAAGCTCTGTGGAAAACAATACTTGGAAATAGAAACACTTTTTTCACCTTTGTATAAGAATTCAAATCCTAATATAGCTGATACAGCAATTTTAAATGATGTTTATGACTTTACTTTGTAAAATTGATAAAAACCATCTTCGGCTTAGGAAAAGCCAAACAAATATCTCATTTGTAAGCTCTATCACAAAGATGTTTTAATATTTTGTTTGAATACTTTGAGGCAGTGGTCGGTGTACTCTAATTTTGAGAGACAATTATCCAAAAAGGAGAGGATACAATGACATTAGTTTACATTTTATTTTCAATTGGTTTTGACAAAAAGAAAACGAATGTTGGAAGATCCTTTGGAAGAAGTTTTTGGAACATCTAATGGGGATTTTTTTTTTTTTTTTTTTTTTTTTAAGATGGAGTCTCTCTCCGTCGCCCAGGCTGGAGTGCAATGGTGCGGTCTCGGCTTACTGCAACCTCCGCCTCCCGGGTTCAAGTGATTCTCCTGCCTCAGCCTCCTGAGTAGCTGGGACTACAGGCAGGCACCACCACACTGGGCTAATTTTTGTATTTTTAGTAGAGATGGGGTTTCACTATGTTGGCCAGGCTGGTCTTGAACTCCTGACCTCGTGATATGCCTGCCTCAGCCTCCCAAAGTGCTGGAGATTAGGGTGATGGTCTCATGAATTCCCAAAATGAGATGAAATCCCACTGAAACTTTAGTTGCCACAGGCAACCAACAGAAACACTAACAGAGAGAGGGCTTTCTAGTTTTAAAGTAATTTACTACATAATTTCTGAAATTACTGAATGAAGAGTGAGAGAATTAGTTCCAGTTCTGCCTTGGCCATTGGTCACATCTATGAACTTAGGTAATTTGTTTAACCTCTCTGCCTCTCAGAACAATCATGTATAATGTTTCTTGGTCAGATGTGGTGTTTTTATTCTCCATTTCAAGTTCCTCTAAATTTAAGATTCCAGTAAGCAAATCTAGGGGAAAACAAATGACTAAAACATTTCTAACACTGCATGTGCTGGGCTTCACAATGAGCAGGCTGCTTAATTCAATTAACTCACATTTATTAAACATTTATTATGTGCTAGGCACTACAGATATAAAACTGCATTCTCCAGGAGCTCCTATTCAGGTAGAAGAGATAGTAGAATAATTTATAAAACTGCAAAAGATGTTGCTCGGTGGGTGTAGTCTGAGTCAGAAGATTCTGGGTAGCTTCCTGAGTGAAATTTGAAGGATGAATGTTGAGCATTTAGGCCATTCTACAATTAATAAAATTAATAAGTAAATGAACTTGCTGTCACTCTAAGTTGATGGTCTCATATGTATCTGTATGAAGTGGCCCCTTTGATGAAAAGGCAACCCTTTGGATGGCTACTGGACACTTTAAGTACTGTTGCTACTCAGCAAATAGTTTAGAGGTCTCTGCAGGCAATTCTTGCAGGACCATATTTCTAATGTTTTGTGAACAGCAGGACAAATCTCCCACTGTCACTACCGCCTTCCCTGCTCAGGACTCACTTCCTGTCCACTCCCATTAGGCAGGAATAGGGCAGACTCAATGCTATTTTCAGCCAATAGCACCTCTCAAATGAGTTACCAAGCAAGGCAGAGCATAAATTTAAAAAAGATAGAGTCGGTACAGCAAACGATGCTTATGTGGTGTTCTGTAAAGAGCCAAAATTGCTCCAAGAACTAAAGGAATGCCATTTAAAATCTACGGAGATATTGTCTCTAGCACCCCCAGAAAGCTAAATTCCCTCTTATAACAGCCAGTCTCTTCAAACTAAACTTCCAACCCTTTTTTTTTCTTGCCATTGGCTTTGCTCTACTTGCTTGTAAGATGATTTTTCTTTTCAAAAAGTTGTTTCCTCTACTCTGGGCAGAAAATTAGAACCCAGGAGAATGTATTATAATCTGTCTCCTCCCAAGGCAAAGCCCTTTCTTTAAGCCACTATAACCTGAATAGTAATTTTTACTGGTATGGTTTCTGTTTCCAGGATCCTAACTAACACAGTGGTAAATACAAGATGGCTTCACAGGAGCCCCCAGATGCCATAAATTGAGAAGTTATTGTGCCCTGAGAGCAAGATAGACTTGGCATTAAACTAAAGGGATTTAATGAAATGAACAGAATGAACTACTAGATTCATTATCAGGTAAGAGGAAATAATAGAACAAGGAGCCAGTTATAGAATGAATATGGTAGAGTGAAATAGGAAAATAAATTCTTCAACATTGTGTAAGATCACCTAGCACATCCGGTCAGGGTGGAATAAAGTCCTTTTTAATAAGGCAAAACAAGCTGAAACCAAGCATTTTAGATTTGTTGTCTCATGCCAGCCAAATGCCCATTTCTACTTTACAGATGAGCAAATTGAGGCTGAGAGTCATTAAATCATTTGCACCAAAAACACGTATTTAGCAGTGGGCTAGCTGGAGCTTAAGCCTAAGTCTGTGTGGTTCAAAAGCTCAGACACTTCATTTTACAGGGATGACCCTCCAATTTAAGAATTTTAGGTTCTTAAGTAATCTGTGATTTTATTTTTAACCTAAACATTAAACAGAAGACAGAGGCTATTCTTGAGAATCTTAGAATCTCTTTAGGCTACGTGGCAAGGGACTACATGTTTCAGCCTCCCTTTTATCTAAATAGACCCATGTAACTACTCACTTCTATTAGTAGACCAAGGTCACTAAGAATTAGGTGTGCTTTCTTTACTGGTCCTCTTTCTTTTTCTTCGAACTAGATATTTGCATCCAGGATAACCCTGGAAGACACTTGTTGAAAACGCTGGAGTATGAGCTGATCAAACAGCAGCCCAGCTAAAGTCAATACTCTCAGCCTCACTTGAGATGGCGTGACCATACAGCTAACTTCTGGCCAGGGGTTGTTTTAACAAAAGATTAGAATAGTGTCACACTTCCTCAAGCCCTCCCATAAAGATATCTTGGCTAGATGGTGGAGCCCACTCACTGGCAAAAACCAGGTCTTCATATCCTAGCCCATTGTTTCAATGATCATAACATATTAAGTTGAGAAAAAGAGGGAGAATAAGAGAGGCCAGTGATTGCCAGAAATTTTGAAGCACAAAATTTGTGCTTCAGCTGCAACTAGGCCATATGCTCTTGACACAGCAGTGCCTCTTTTTTGTCTGTATGCTCTTGATCTCCCCTCAACACAGTGCTCTGCAGACTTCTCTCATGAATGAGATCACCCTTTAAAAAAACACATAGCCAGGTTCCACTGAGGCTTCCTTCCCCAGGCTTAGTGTTACAAATTAATATCTCCAATGTTGAAAGATTAGAGTTCCCACTCCCCCCAAAATCCTCTCATAAATAATCTCTTGTTCTCTATTCTATAGCCTTTTCAGCTCTTTTGTAGCCTCATGTGAGTAACGGAGTTTAAAAGCTGTGTCAATCGTTTACAGGCATAACAGGTCTATCTCTTAACTGCTAAAAATGAAATATAGCATCTATTATCTTGCTTTAACTGAAAGGGAACCAGGACAGATTCCATTTTAATACCTGTGCCCACAAATAACAGAAAGCCACAAGCTAGGGAAAGCAAACAAAGAAATAGGGAGTATTTCTTAAAAGGATATATGAATAAAAAGGAAGTGTCCTACTCCATATAGCAAAAATGATTTTGAAAAAGAACAAAGCTGGTGAACTCACATTTCCTAATTTTGAAACTTACTACAAAGCTATAGTAATCAAAACAATGTGATACTGGTGTAAAGATGGACACACATACCAATGAAATAGAACAGAGAACCCAGAAATAAACACTTGTGTATATGGCCAAATGATTTTTGACGAAGATGTCACAAGCCATTCAATGGGAAAGGTGAGTCCTTTCAACAAATAGTACTGTGCAAACAGGATGTCCACATAAAACAGATGAAGTTAGAAACTTAACAAACAGCATATGCAAAAATTAACTCAAAATGAACCAAAGACTTAAAACTATAAAACTCTTAAAAGAAAAAACATAAGGCAAAATCTTTGCAACACTGGATTTGGCAATGCTTGTTTGGGTAAGACACCAAAGGTACAGGCAACAAAATAAAGAAAAGAAATTGTACTGCATAAAAATTAAAAATTTTGACCATCAAAAGACAATGCCAACAGGATAAAAAAGCAACCCATGAAATGAGAGAAAATGTTTGCAAATCATATATCTGATAAGGGATAAGGGACTAATATCCATAATATTTAAAGAACTCCTAAAACTCAACAACTAAAAACAAAGAATGCAATTCAAAAATGGGCAAAGGACTTATATAGACATTTCTTCAAAGAAGATATAAAATGGCCAATAAGTACATGAAAAGATGCTCAATATCACTGATCATTAGGAAATGTAAATTAAAACTATAATGAGATACTTCACAATCATTAGGATGGCTACTATTTTTTAGAAAGAGAGAGAAAATAACCAGTGTCGGTGAGATGTGAAGAAATTAGAACCCTTGCACACTTCTTATGGGAACGTGAAATGGTCCAGCCACTGTGGAAAACAGTATGGTGGTTCCTCACAAAATTAAAAATATTAGCAATTCCACTTCTGGGTCAACCTAAAAGAATTGAAAACAAGGTCTCAAAAAGATATTTGCACATTTATGTTAATAATAGCATTATTCACAAAAGGTAAAATGTGGAAGCAATTCAAGTGATGAACAGATAAACAAAGTGTGATGTATGTATGTATGTATGCAACAATAGAATATTATTCAGCTTTAAAAAGGAAGGAAATTCTAATAAATAAACTGGAGCATATTATGCTAAGTGAAATAAGCCAATCACAAAAAGACAAACACTCTATGATTCCACCTATATGAAGTACTTAGCGTAGTCAGATTTATAGAGACAGAAAGTAGAATGGTGGTTGCTGGGGGCTGGGGGTAGGGAAAATGGGGAGCTATTGCTTAATGGGTATAGAGTTTCAGTTATATGAGACGACAACAATATAAAAATGGATGGTGGTGATGGATACACCACATTATGAATGTATTTTAATCCACTGAACTATGTACTTAAAAATGGGTAAGATGGTAAATTTTATGTGTATTTTACCACATACAAAACAAAATGGGGAGAAAAAGGGGCATCCTATAGCTTCCAAGGGCAGGAATACAGCCAGACTTTAGGAATAGAAAGGAACCTGGTGCTGAGAAGTCAGGAACCTGGAATACTTCTCTGGATTCTCAGTTGCTGGCTCCTGCTTTTCTCTGAATAACTGTTTTATTCTTTTCTATCGGCATATTTGCTTTTTCTATTATTAATTCCACATGGTTACAGGTGGATGTCTCAGGGCTCTACAGTTTTTTTATATTCCATATTAAAGGAATTATCTAGAGTAAATTAGAATTTTTAATCTCAATATCAAATTTCTAACCAATAGAATGTGATTGGCTTAGCTTAGATCAGGTGTCCAGTGAACTATAGATATGGGGCGAGGGATAAGACCTGACTCCCTGAAAACTATCCTGTGAGTGAAGGCTTGAAGGTAATGTGCCATTTTTAGCTGGCTAGACACCTCAAAGTACCACCTTCATATATGGCAACAGACTGTGAAAAATTGAGAGAGATAATCAGCATGCCTTGAAAGCCAATAGAATTTAAAGGACTTAGAGAAGAGCAGGAGGCAAAAATGCTGACGGTAAAGTCAGAATAACTTAACTCTGAGGAAAGCAAAGGCCACTGATGGAAAAGGGAACAAAAAGATAATACTTTTAGTGTGGATGTATTGAGTTTAAGATTCTGATGTCACATCTGAATAGCAGTTGGTAAAATGGGCTAGAATTCAGGACAGTATGAGAGTTGGAGATATTAATTGTTTTATTTATTTAAATAAATAATTAATTCTGAATACCTGCTTTTTGGCCGATGCCCTTTTAGGCTCTGGGAAAATAGCAATGAACAATGTGGACAGGTGGTCTTCACCCAGGTAGTTATGTCCCCCTTGGTTTTATTAATAGGCTTAAGAAACTCCATGAACCCCTTCGAATAATGAAAACTATATGTATATGCTTAAGTGTCTTTTTGAAGGAAGAAAGTCCCTGGATTTCCACAGAATCTCAAAAGGGTACATGACCTCAAAAAAGTGAAGAATTACAGATATAAAACTATATTTAGACACTAAAAATAAAATAGGAAGAATAGAAGCTGTTCATTGACAATGTCTTGATTAACACCAACATTGACAGTGTGGGAGAATGAAAATAAATTAGAAAAAAGGAGTCCACAACCAATCTAGAAAAATAATATTTTGAAACATTATCCAATGTGTTGTATTTCTCCTTCTTGCCAATTCCTTTTATATGTAGTTAACTGTAAACCCTGATGTGAAGACTTAATGTGTTCAGGAAACAAAGAATAAAAGGGAAGAAATCCACCATGAAAACAGTCAGATTATTCTGTTCAAGTTTCAAAGGAAGCTCTCAAAAGCTAGTGATAGAGACAACTTTGAATGAGAAAGCTTTTTCTTTTTCTTTCTTTTTTTTTTTTTAAGGCCTCCTTCCACCTCCTACCAAGGCTAAGGGTCTGGTAAACTCAGCATTTTCTTCTTTAAACTATGGAATTTGTGACGATTCATGATCATTCAAGAGAAGATTTGCACCATAGATAGAAGTATTTGCGGGGGGCTGAGGGAGAAATCTGGAGAGGAATAGAGAATAGCAATATGATTAGATGCTGATGTGAGTGCTGATCTCAAAGTAAAAACCTGGTTGGGAGACGGAGATAGCCAGATGGGTTTGGAGACTGAAAACCAAGGAGTTGTATGTTCTTTTTTCAAACTATGGAAAGAGATAGCATTCCCAAGGGTCTCCTGCCAACATGGAGTAGCCAGAGGAAAGAAGACATATTTTGCGGGCAGATATAGGCGGAGAGTGGGTTGAGATAGCCTCTTCACACTTTCTCCACCTACCTCCCAGCCCTCTTGAATTTTTTCCTTGAGATGTATGAGATCCAAAAATGTTTTGTGTGTCTAATAAAACATTAGAAATAGCTGAGAGTTGAGAGGTAGTCTTCCTGCAAGGGGTTACCACAAAAGATGATTGGTCAAAATGACCAGTTACTGAAGAATAAAATGAGGCCAGGAGAGCCTTTTGCAGAAACTACAGGGTGGCCAGCAAAAGCCGTGAATGCAAGGAGGATGTGACTAAGCCTGAAAGGATCACAGTGCCAGCCACCCTGAGGTAGGAGTGAGTCAGCAGAAGCAGGCCGCTGAGTTTCCAACAGCAATCATCTTGCACTTGCACAACAGGGAAACAGGAGTGTCATCAAAAGTAAATTCCAGCCGAGACATTCTCTCCTATATGAGAAGCAAAAGTAAGTCCCTCTGAGCTTTTGATCAGTCTGGGGAGAAGGAAATGAGAATGCATAAGGCAAAAATCAGATAAATGTGTTTTAATCTAGAATAGCCTCGGTGATCCTGATTTGATAAATTTAAGTATTTTACCAGTAGTGAGCATGGAAGTCACTAGGTTCATTTGGAATGAAATAATATTTCATCTTTGTTTAAGCTACATGGTGTGCAAAGATTACAGCTGCTACAATAGAAGTTAAATCAGGAAAGTCAGGTGTCAGAAACAGAAGAGGGGGTTTCAAGAAAGAGCACAGGTTAAACTCTAAAAAATCCTGAAAAGGTTAAACAAGAAGTTTTGCATCTTGGTGAGCGTTGAAGCCAGACTGCAAGTAAGAACTAAGTGAGTAGTGAACAGAGAAAGTGAATGTAGACTACTCTTTCAAAAAAGATTAACAATGAAAGAAAGGTGAACAATAGCAAAATTTCCTTAGTCTTAGTTTTCTTATCCATGAAGTAAAGGAAAATAATAATTATTAATGTAAAGTTGATATTAGAACTAATGTATACAGCGGGAATAGCAGAGTGTCTTACACATATCAGATGTCTTATAAATATTTGGTTCCGCCCTTTATTTCATCCTCTTTTCTTTTTCTTCTTCTGGGAATGGAACAAGTCAGCAACCTTCTTACAATACTTTCTCATGTGTTTGAGCATTGTTATTGTAAACTCTCAGCCTTATTTATTTGAATAAATAACATGTACTCAGAGAGACATGATATGATAGGGCTAATAGGAGTCTCAGGTCATATCATTATAACTTAAGAAAGTAGCGATTCAGGTGAGTGAAGTAAGGTCTCCACAATGACATGAATAGGTAGGAGAGCCAGAACTAGAGCAAAGATTATTGTTTTCAACTATACTGTTCTTCCATTTAGAGTTTGATCATTTTCTGAGTAGTCGTACTTACTTTATTAGTCCAGTCTTTAATTTGTTCTCACATTAGCATGATCTAGATCCCATGTATCTTATACATAATTTAAAGTATTAGATTTAATCAGAACTCAAGAGATACCAAACTATATCCCTGTCTTAAGTCATCCTTATATGCATGATATAGCAGTCTGTGACTTGGCATGATTAGATCTTAATTAAACATTGGTAACTACCTTACAAGTCAGTTCAATCTGGCATCAGTAAATTCCCTCAGGTGTGAAAGAAGAAATATCAAAGATGATTTTTAGTGCACACAGGGTATTTGGCACCACTAAAAATCAAGGCAAACTGGGAAATATGAAAAATATGTCTTTGCCTTATAGCTGCCCTGTGGGACTCCCCTACATTTTTCAAAATAAGATATTTGTAAATAGAGCAACTGGTGGAGCTAGAAATGATCAGCCTCCAGCTTCCAGTGAGATGTCAAATAACCTACTTCAGTCTATGCTTCAAGCTAAATACTACTCATCATTATCTCTAGGCACTGGGCCATTGAAGAGACCAATGCCTCATCTCTTATGAAAGAGGAAAATAGAGAGATTAGGCATGAGCATATCTAAAAATGAAGATAGGAGAAACCATGAAAGATCACACTCTACTTCTTTTTTCATTCTAACAAATATTCATAATTCTTATGACTTAAGATTGCTCTGTCTTCTTAGAAATTTGGAATTTCCCCTCCATTAACTATGGTCACCTCCTATATTGACCTGTAGCTAGCAGCAATAAATATTTGTAGGAAGCATGAGTTTTCTGTTTTCTATTCTGCTGGTTATTCTCTTTCAGCTTTTTCTCCTGTCTGTTCGCTACCTGTCTCTGCTCTACTCTTTGTCTCTGAAAATTGATTCTTGCAAGCTGCACCCCACAGGCTCCCTTCTAGGCTGTTTTATAGTTGTAATTAGGCTGGTTTATAGTTGGGTTTAGCCAGTGGGAGGTACCGGCAATATATTGGAGGGAAAGGAGAGAGATAAGGGTATTTCTTCCCTACTGGCTGTCTGCTTTGGTGCTGTGATGTCGGTGCTCCTGCCACAGGAGTGCTGTGATGGACATTCGTCACTTAACTCTCTTCCCTTAGAACTATTTTCCACTTTTCTTGGCCCTGCATGGGGCCCAGAAGACTGACCTCTGTGGATTGTATCACTCTCATGCCCTTTGGCTTCCACTCGGGTTCAGCCAATGGGAGATACCAGGAGGAGACCAAGGAGAGGGTGTTTTCTGTTGTCTCACCTTGACGCTGTGTTTCCAGTTCCTTTCCTCCGTTGATTACAGATTCAGTCAAACAGCCCCTCCTCCATGGCTTCCGTTCTCATTAAGTTCCAGTGTTACCATAGGCCTAGTGATGGAATGGTTTCCCAGTGTTGCTTGTTGGATTCCTTAACTATGTCTATTTCTGTATAAACGATCCTTTCTTTAAAATCACTTCGCTTGAAACATCTGAGAGGAATTCTATTTTCTCCTGGGATCCTGATTGACACATCTGAAAATGGAAAGCATGACCAAAGTCCAAATTCTATACCCCGTTTCCCAAAATATTTGAAAGAAGAGACCCTCAAATGGAAGAATGAAGGGCAGCATCTGGAAAAATTGGGATGGTAATTCCTGGAACAGGGAGATGAGCTTGAAATAAGAACGTGATGAGCTTGAGCCAATAAACTGACTAGGACCAACAATTGTCTCTCAGGATATTACACTGCAGTTCTGGCCATACTTGTCAGCTTCTTTTGGTTCCTGGAATCCAAAGACTTACTGGGTTCTTGGACCATGTCATTTCTGCATCCTGTAACAAAACTCACTCTCTTCCATCCTCCCTGTGGCTATCTCATTCTCAACCTCAGGCCTGGGCTTTGATATTACCATCTCAGTGAGGATCTTCTGACCATGCTCTCTCAGGTTAATATCCTTTCATTATCCTATATATCAGTTCACTGTTTGAGTCCTTTATAAGATTTTTAATAGTGTTTAATTATTTTATGCATTTTTCTTTTCTGTCAATTGTCCCCACTAGACAATTGTATGTATGTCCCCACTAGAATGTATGTTTCATGAGGATAGGGACTATGACTTGTTCAACTTTATATCCCCAGAGCCTAAAATAGAGCCTGGAACATGAAAAATAATATTTGTTGATTAAGTGAAATAATGAAAGAATTGGAGAGAAAGAGGTGGCATGCATACTATATTTTTCCCTTTACCCCAACTAATTGCAGGCTTCTTAGGCCACTACAAATATCACTATGCCCCCCTAAAAACTCATTCTGTAAATACAGAAAATAATAGGTGGAAATACCTGAGCTAAGGACCTGACTAGAAGAATGTTTTGGGTGTAGTGAGAAAAATATAGGCTTTGGAACTAATAGCCACATATTAAATCCTGAATCCCTTAGTCAGTAGCTCTTTAGCCTTGGCCAAGTCATTTATTAATTCTGAGCCTTAGTTTCTTCATCCATAAATGGAGATAATAATTTTTACTTATGCAATTGATGGGCAAGTACTTGGCAACAATGTGCACTCTGTAGATGCTACTGCAATGGCAATACAATTACTCTTAAATAAAATTTTTGTTGTCAACATTTTCATTGATCAACGATCTTGTTTATCTCATCCATTGTTGTATTTATGGTGTATATAATATTGCCTGACACTTTCAGATGCTCAATAGGTATTTGTTGAATGAATATCTGTGCTTTAAGGTAATAAATTAATGACATGTATTCAGACATTCATGTATTCTGACATTTTGGTAAGCACTTTATATGCATCATATCATTTTACATCTGCATGAAGTAGATACTATTCTTTTTTTTCCATTTTACAACTAAAAGAGCCAAATGTTAGAAAAAGGAATTACTAAGTAAATAATCTAAATGCCTTCTCCTGCCATCCCATCAACTCCAACGCCTTATGAGGAAGACAGGTATTAGCAGCTTGGCACACTCTTTCTAGAAAGTTTCCAAACCATAACTTTAGTGTTTTTAGGTAGGATGATAACTTACTTCACGGATTTTCCCAGGTTCTAAATCTAATCTCTCATATTACAGTTCCAAGGCCATTCAGTGCATTTGTGCACTTTCATTCCAAACCTGCATGTTATAATACATAAAAACTTTGAACAATAATGTAGCCACTAAAAGACTACCTCTGCAGGGTAAATAAGTTATTAATTTTACTTAGAATACATTAAAAATATATTAAAGTAAGATATCTATGATTCGGAAATTTGGTGGCTCAGCTAAATCTCTGATGTACAACTAGTGTAATTAAAAAGGATGGGACTTAGATAGAACTGAATTTGTAGTCTGGCTTTACCACACACTAAACAAGTAATCTTGTCCAAGTTAGTTAGACTCTCTGAGGCCCAGTTTCTGATCTGTAAAATAGAGTTAATAATGCCAATGTCACTCAGTGTCTATAGGTATTAAATGGATAATCCACATAAAAGCAATTTGCAAAGTCAAGCACATGGTCAAGCAAATGGTGAAGTGTTCTACATAAATGCTCAATTTTCTTCCCTTTCATTATTTTATAATTGTCTTACCAATCAAGTAAATATTGTATATTCAATATTTTTAATCCATTTTTTCACTTGGTCTTCAAGGTCAAGGTAAAACACTTTAACAGTTTTGGAAACAGTTCTACTGCTACTATTGTTACTGTGTATTTTTCTCAATAAACTACAAAACTTAGGCTTCAGAATTTCACACCATGTTTTTTTAAACAGGGAATTTACTAAAATATAAACATGGAATAATTAGAATATGTGATTTTTGTCTTTTGGCATATTATGTGTGGATAAAACTCCTTGGATCTGCTAAAATCATCCCAGAATTTTGGAGTTTTTTGTTTTTGTTTTTGTTTTTTCCCAAGGCCAGAGATAGAAGATTGCATTTTCTAAAACCAACACATAATGCTTCAGATCAGGGCAAACTCTGATACTTTATGTTCAGGATCTTCTGCCAGAAGGTGTTTCCTTTGTTGATTCATCAATTATGCACAGTGCTCTGTGTAAGGCACTGTGTAGAGTCCAGACCATGCCCTCTGGAACCAGACCGTCCCCTGGACGAGAGAGAAAGCATATATTTTACTAGCCACGATACAAGGTAAACTTTGGTAAGTACCACAGGGATGATGAGGTAAAGTATTAGGGAATTTCAAAGGAAGGAGAAATGTCTCCCACTGGTGGAAGACTTTGAAGGGCTTTTTAAGTTTAGTGAATGGTAAAGGAAGAACATAAAAGATACTGCCATTAGATCAGGCACTGAGAAAGCATTGGTGATCCAGATCCTGAATCATGAGAAAAGAGAATTTGGGTGACAGCAGTACTTCCATCTTGGGAGCCCCAGAAGCTCCAAGGACGCTGTTAATTATAGGCCAGTAGAGGAGAACACTTCTGTTCACTTGATCCATCCTCAGTTACGGTGAGTCAGATTGCATTGTAGCCATTTATTTTTCTGGCTTCATGAGGAGCTGATGAACTCCTGGAGGGCAGAGACCTTGTCTTTCCTTTTCTAGCATGTAGCCAGGCTCCAGCAAATTACAGACACTCAACATGTGACTGTGTTGTGAAATGCAAGACCTATCAAAACAGAGAAACCAGGCAGGAAGAATGGGTTTCAGTGATGCCAGTATAGTTTAAATCCCTCACAGACAGAAGTTTTGGGGTCTGTCGAGGACAGTGCATTCAGGTCATGCAGGCATGAGGCTGGGTCTGAGCTGCTTCCAGAATAGGCCAGGGTTGGCTGGGCTACAGTGGCACACTGAGCCCAGGGAAGGTAGACTTATGCATTAGTCAGCCTTGCTCAGTCAATAAGGCTGGGTTTTTCTTTATTAGCCTCTGGCTTGAAGTTGGTGGTGGTGACATGAGACTTGAACACAGACATGTAGATGTAAGGATGCTTAAATAAGAAAAAACAACAATAGCAACAACAAAAACCCAACAATGTTGGAGTAAAAACTTGACTCAAAAGTCAAAGCTTAGAGAATACTTTCATTTTACTCTTAAATGTTTTTGGATGCATAGTATTCTAAAGGGGTAAGTTACAGATAAATCTGGAAAAAATAATGTAGAAGAGTAATTTTCAGAAAGTCTTGGCTCCTCTCTGTCTCCTCAAAGGCAAGACATGGACAAACGAAACCACTAGCCACCTGACTGGTTGCTGTAAGGATCCAGAGTCATGAAAAATTTCTGATGTTGGGGAAAATGCCATCTTCACACAGCTCCTCCTTTTGACTCTAAATTAATTTTTAGGCACTATTAGTTGGCCTGATGCACAATGTTTTCCAAAATACAAGAAGGGAGTTCATAGAAGAGACTAATATAGACAATGGTATATTCAAGGGCACTTAACTTCAATTGGTCAAGTTAAGTGTCTCTCGAATTATGCTTCTTGGACTGCCCATGTCAGAATCATCCAGCAAGTGGGTTAAAATGCAGATTTATCAGCTCCATTCAAGACTTAATCAATCAGAATCTCTGAGAAAAGAGTTCCAGAAATCTGCATCTTAAAACACACTTGTCACCCATTCAAGTGATTCTGTTGTATACTAAAATGTATGAATCACTGCTACATTCTGCAGCCTTTATGAACTAAAGAGTTCCTCTCATTGTGTTTGAAGATTAAGTTACTAAGCCTATGTGTTCTAAGGTCTCTTTTCCCTATCAGCCCAGAGCATGGAGCTGGAGGAAGTGGAAGCAAGGCTGAAGTAGACAAAGTAGGTATGGAAGGTCCTTGCATAAAGAGGGGCTGGAGTTCTAAATACAAGGAAGCCGAATACAACGGTTGGAACAAACTGGAAATCATTATGTTGGCAGACAGACAAGGCAGACAAAAAGCGGAGGACTCAAAAAAAGCAGACAAAAAGTGAAGGATTGCCAAATAGCTAATCAATGTATGTGGTTAAAACTTCATGTTAAAAACTAGAACATTGGGCATGGTGGCATGCATCTGTAGTTCCTGCTACTCTGGAGGTTGAGGCAGGGGGATCTGTGGAGCCAAGAGTTGGAGACAGCCTTGGCAACATAGCAAGACCCTGTCTAAAAAAAAAAAAAAATTAAATAAGGAACAAAGTCCACACCAGGCAGATCAGGAAAATGGAAGATCAGATCTGGGATGGCTACAACATAGAGAATCCAACTATATAAAGCTAAGTTTGTCCTCAGCCAACAGTCTTTAATTTTTTTTTTCTAAATAACAGGATCTATGGACCTAAATTGGGCTAGACTGAGACTTGAAGACAATTAGGAGAGGAGTGAAGTAGAAAATTAAAATACGTAGTACTACCCAGCCATTATTTCCTTCCTAAGAAACAGTATACAGTTTAAGTTCCTCAGCACTGTAGGACTTGTTTAAATAAAAACAACAGTTAATATTCATTGAATCCCTCTATGTACTAGGTACAGTTTTAAGCATCTTGCATGTATTCACTCATTTAATCCTCATAACAATCCTATGAAATAGGTACTATTGATATTGCTGTCCTTCAGATGAGAAAACAAGTAAAGAGAGGTTAAGCAACTTGCTCAAGGCCAGGTGGCCCCAAGTGCAGAGTCAGGATTTGAACTCAGGCAGTCTAAATTCAGGGTCTGAATTCTTAACCACTATTTTATACTGTCTGCTGCAGCATAAGTATGTCTATGGATTTTATACAGAAATCAACTCTCAGTTGTTGGATTTTATACAGAAATCAACTCTCACTTGCAATGAACTATTAAGGCTCAATCATTGTTGATGCTGTTATTTAATACAATTAGGAAGGCAATTTAGATGTTCTCTGTACAGCATTGCCTACTGTTTATGTTTAAAATGTACTCAATCCAATGTCTTATGTATAAATGCTAACATCTGAAATCACAAATATCTGATCTGTGATGTGATGTGGTTTCAAAGAAAACAATGCCAACGTAATTTTCATGGTAGGAAGGCAACCAAAGAAACTCCAGGAATCCGAGTGTGTCTGTGTGTGTGTGTGTGCAATTGATTATTTTGTTCTGCATGCATTCTTTTTTTCTTTATTCAGTGTTGGCTCAGATTTTGTGGACTTGTTCAAACATTTATTTTGAAATGTACCAGTGCACGTACACAGAAGAAGCTACACTTTTTATCTTACATCTCTAGAGTTTGTCTTCTTGCTTGAGGCTCCATGGCACACCATAGCTTAAGGGAAGGGAGAAACTTAAAGAAAGAAAACCCAGGTTGAATAAGAAAGCCTTATGATTATAAAACAAAGTGGAGTTATTTTCAAAGTGAATAAGAAATAAATGAAACAGAATAACATTTCCTAATGGTTTTGTCATGTTTTTATGACACTCACAGTTTTATTTACATTTGTAGATTGCTTTCTCTTTTTAAAATCCAGAATCAAGGATGTCTCTGGTAAGGACTAACCTTTCAAACTGCACTGACAATTGTTGGTGACTGCTTTATAGTTACCCCTAATTAAACACTGTTATCTCTCTCCATCATGCACATTTGAAATCCTTTTTAAGATAGCAGCAACTGAAAACACACATAACACACACACACCACCCCACATTAGAAGTGTGAACAACAGAAACAGAAACATAGACAAGGTTGCAGAGAGCAAATGTGAACTTTCCCTCCAGCATCTAGAGAATAAAGGCCAAGCCAGAAGGTTTTTAAGTTTATATGAACACATTTGATTTTGCATTCTCATCTGAGAAACTTTAGATTACTGGTTTGGGAGATGTCACTATGTGTCCAGTTGGAAATGTAGTCCAATGCATGGCAAATATAAATTAATGTATGTGAAAATATAAACTAGTGACAGCAAAAAGATGTACAAAACACATGTGTTCTAGTATAATTCTATCACAGGGAGATTCTGCTTTTGTTTCATTTTCTGTTTTTATGCTTTCTAATAAGTTGTTAAAATTTTCAAATAAAGTAATAAAATGCATTCCTGGCTTATTTGGTGAACTATAGGAAGTATAATAACATGATAAGAAAGAACTAAAATTTAATTCATTAGCTCAAAGTTATTCTTAGATACCTCTTATAACCCTCCAGTAAGCAAAACAAAACAAAACAAAAATACAAAAAGCAATCCTCTGAACATTATGAAAATTTTCCCTGGGCCCAGGTGCAGTGGCTCATGCCTGAATGGAAACACTTTGTCAGGGGGTGAGAGGGGAGGATAGCTTGAGGCCAGGAGTTCAAGACCATCCTGGGCAACATAGGGACACCTTGTCTCTACAAAAAATTAGCCACGCATGGAGGTGAGCACCTATGGTCCCAGCTACTCGGGAGGCTGAGGTGGGAGGATTGCTTGAGCCTGGGAGGTCAAGGCTACATTGAGCCTTGATGGCACCACTGCGTTCCAGTCTGGGTGACAGAGCGAGATGCTGTTTTAAAAAAAATCCCTATAGTGATATAAGGTAAATAAAGTGAATGCTTTCAGTTTTTAAAATTTAGTTTCTCCAACATTTTTTGACTTTTCTATTTGTCACTTTATTTTTACTCTTTTTTCTTAAAAATACCTGCCATGCAGGGTGAAACCCCGTCTCTACTAAAAATACAAAAAATTAGCCGGGCATGGTGGCGGGCGCCTGTAGTCCCAGCTACTCGGGAGGCCGAGGCAGGAGAATGGCGTGAACCAGGGAGGCGTAGCTTGCAGTGAGCCAAGATCGCGCCACTGCATTCCAGCCTGGGCGACAGAGCGAGACTCCCTCTCAAAAAAAAAAAAAAAAAAAAAAAAAAAAAAAAAAAAAAAAAAAAAATACCTGCCATGGTCATAAATTGTAAATCATCAGGGAGAGAAGATGTGAATTAAAGGCAGTAATAGTTGGTAATATTTTTGATACTTTTCAGAATAAGCTGAAAACTGAGGGAACAAAAGGAGAAAGGTAAAAAATAAAAGGTATTTAATAAACTGTAACAAGCAAGATATTTACGTCAATCAAATTACAGCTACACTTTAGGACAGCTTCAAATTTCATAACACTCCTCTAGATCATTTCCAGTGGCTTTTTCCCCCCACACCAGGTAACTGAGCAGAATTCTGATTGTACCAAGCACTTCTATGTACACATTGTAAGGTTGAAACAAGGGTATGATCCGCCAGATACGTGCGCATGTTGGGAGGCACGTGAGTGATTGGAAAGGGTGGGAGCAGAAAATTATGATTCCTGTCCCAATGCACAATCTCAGGAGTGGTTATTGCCTTAAAGACTTAATCAGTATCGTTCATGATATCCTTTTTTTTTTTTTTTTTTTTTTTTTTTTTTTTGAGACGATGTCTCGCTCTTGTCCCCCAGGCTGGAGTGCAAATAGCGCGAACTCGGCTCACTGCAACCTCCGCCTCCCGGGTTCAAGTGATTCTCCTGCCTCAGCCTCCCGAGTAGCTGGGATTACAGGCGCCTGCTACCATGCCCGACTAATTTTTGTATTTTTAGTAGAGACGGGGTGTCACCATGTTGGCCAGGCTGGTCTCGAACTCCTGATCTCAGATGATCCACCCGCCTTGGCCTCCCAAAGTGCTGGGATTACAGGCACGAGCCACCGCACCCGGCCCGTTCATGAGATTCTTTGTGCAAGTGTTTACTTTGGCTTTTACTTGTAAAACAACAATGATCCAGCAATAAAATACCTTACGTTGCCTATGCTCAGAAGAAGCCAGGACAAGATTTCTGTCACTCTCTAGGTTTCGTTTTTAAACTTCCTACAACCCTGTCTTGAGAGAAAATTAATTTACTGGGGCAGTGATAGGGGACATTCCAAAAGATTCAGAAAATATACAAATATACACATTGATTAAAAGACATCTATATTACCCTAAGATTTCTTTTTGCTTTTCTTCATTTTTGTTTCAATTTTGTCTCTTCTTTTCTTTCTTCTCTTCCTTTATTTTCTTTTCTGTACTTTTCTTTTTCTCTCTTTTTAATTTTTGTATTCTCTTTGATCTTCTAGATATGAAAGACTTGTAAACTGGAAAGGTGGCTTTTACCAATGATTGTCCACCCATTCAGACATGCCAAATAGCTTGCAGAAAGTTATGTACACAACCAGGTTAGAAAAGAGGGGAACCTGACAAGGTAAACCATGCTGGTAAGAAAAGTGAACTGGTATTCCATAGTTCACTTAAGATGTAGTTTTTAATTGAATAGTGGTACCATAATTTGGAAACTCCAAACACTCACCCGATGTTTAAGTGGTTGGTTTCTTTAGGAATAAAGAGCCTCCAATGGAAATAATTTAATGTGCCTGAGTCAGGTCGGCTTTTGGAAATAATTAACAAAAACAATCTAAAATCTGACCTGGAGGGTCCCGAAGAAAGATTAGTCATGCACAAATTGAGATAAGTAAGAACTACCTGTTTCTCTTGCAAGTACTCTTCAAATTGGGATTTTTGTCTAGTTTATGAAAATAATTACCTTTTTAAAAAAGACTCAGCTCCATTTTTGGCAACTGACATTTTGTAGATCACAAAATATAAATTCATGTTCTACCAAGTAAAACAAATCAAGTAAGTGAGAGATAATTTTCTCTTTTGCCACTTTTCTCCAAAATCAAATTTCTCAGTTCTGCAAAGCTTTAAAATTACACATTTTAAAAATAAAATACAACTGTACAAGAAAAAATGTGAATTATAAGAGCATTAAAGCAAATTTATAAAGGTTCATTTTACTTAGTATTAGAAACAGTTTTGCTTCAAGAAACTGGGATATTTTGCAGAGTTAAGTGGTCAGTAATCTGCCTAGTTTGAGAAAGCTGAATTAGCAATTCCTTCAGGAACAAATGGCTTACTCTTGTTATTTGAATGTTCTTTTTTGAAATATTTCATCAGCATCATACATACACCATTTCTTCATCATTTAATGATACCATGGTGTGTTTTAAGAACCCTTGTATCTATACTTTGTTGGCTCAGTAAATACGTTATTTTCTCTGAATCTACTGGATCATTACATAGCACATTTGTAGAGTTTATTTCACCCATACCTCAGTGCTAAATGTGATTATTCCTTGTTTCCAGGGAAATTTAGTATTGGAGAAGCACAGCAGGCGAAGCTAAACCTAGTGGTAAAATTAGATGGACACATAATTCTGAGTGTTTACTCAAAGGGTTCCAGTACTGCTTTATCAATGCAGGAAGAAAGATTTAATCTTCTCTGTATGATCAGCGTCTTTCACAATACCAGCCATACGTTTGATTCTTGAGAATGTTTGTTGGATAAACGAATAATATAAAAATTCAGTCATTATATGTTTTTTTCCATTCAGATATCAGTCTGGCATGCTACTGAGGTTAACACCAGTGTAGGGTGCTTGCATTCTGGTGAACACATGTTATTTCTCAGGAACCACAGAGTCTTTCGTGGCCTGACACAGGAGGTTGAGGTGGAGTAGAGTCTGGCATTAGGTGTCTTCTGTGTGCCAGTACCAGCTCAGTACTTTACCTTTGCTTTGTGATTAGCTGGACAAAAGCACTTCAAGGAGAGCATGATTATTCCCACTTTACAGATGGTTCAGGACTGTTTGGTCCCAAAGTCCTTGCTAAGGAGAATTTGTTTAAGAATAGAATTTAAACAAACGTTATAACAAGTTAACATTATTTGGCAGTGGCTGAGAAGTTATCAAGCACCAGAGAAGAAAGAATTATGTGAATCTTATTAATTTCCTCTCCAGACTCCATTTAACAAAATGCACACACACACACACACACACACACACACACACACATACACACATGCACAATATTAAAACAAGTCTTGGAATTCAGCCTTTGCAGGCCCCAACTCATACCTCCAATTACATTTATAAGCCCTTTTTATTACAGAAAATGCATTTAAGAGGAATTATGTAAGATTTATTTAAGGCGAAACCCATGAAAACTTTTTTTCTTTTCTACTTTTGTTTTCAAGCTCAGGTCAAACTGAAAGAGAAAGTAAATCAGGCAAAGAAACCTCTTTATTTTTCATTACAGTAGCACTCAAATGGTATATGTAAAATAAGCTAAATTTTTAAGGCTTCTTTGTAATTTTTAAAAATCACAAACAATATTAAAATTCCAAGTAGATTGGGATGCATACTCACTTATAAGAGTTATGACAAAATGAGGATTAAAATATTTATATACAAAAGGATTACACAAATTTAGAAGAAAATCAGTAAGACCATCCTGCATAAGAAAGATGAGAACTGACAGTTAACAATAAAGAAAGATAAATGGCTTAATAAACATTGTAAAATCTTTAACATCACTAACAATTAAAAACAAAAGTGAAGACAATAATGCAGTTATATTTTCTCCAATTAAGCAGCAAGGTTAATTTTTTATTTTTATTTTTTTAATGCACAATACAGGTAGAAGTGTAAATTAGCCAACAAGTTTTGTAAAGCAGTGTATAAATATGTATCAAAGAAGCTTTAAATATGTTTCTAGAGTGCTAATCTAAGGAAATACTCTGAAATGCAAGTAAATATTTAAATATAAAGGTATTCTTTGAAAATATTCTTTTATAAAGTAAAAAACCAGGAAATTCAATGTCCTCAAATAAGAAGCACATATGAAAACCATTTAATATGCTGGAAAATAAATTCTTGTGACCTAATAATAATAGTTATAAAACAGGCTATATAAAACTACATGACAGTATGATTTCAACCATGGAAAATGATACTTAGTGAAAGATGTCAATAGCAGTGATAACAATGGTTATCTATGCTTATTTCAATTATTTTTACTTGCTTCACTTTGTTTTTCTGTATTTTCCAAGTTTGCTGTCATCATTAGAAAAAAATTATAGAAGAAAAGAGAAAAACCAGAACAAAAGCAAAACTCTCATCATATAGGCTCAATTAGATGCAGAAAGAGAAGAGAAACTTAATGCTGGGCATCTCAAGTTGACGTGAGTTTCCTTTGTGGTCCAGCTTCTGTATAGCATATCTAGCATCAAAAATCCAACCCAAACCAGGTATTGATTTTAGTCGACCACCAGATCTATCTGATACAAAACAGAATGACAAAGTGACCATCCAAGTAAATACATCATTAGGATGCATCAATCTAATGTCCAGAACAAAGGAGGTGATGGCTCAGCCTACTGTGGACTCACCAGCCCCTGTCTGGATGGTATGGTTAGCGCTGTGCACCTGAAACAGAATGGTGAATAACTACAGTCTGTCCAGAAGAGGGTAGCCATAATGGCAAAATGTCTTGAAACCCTATGACATTGCTGCTTAAAACTCCTCCCTGTTTTTTTATTATTTTTGGAAAAATGTCCCTAAGTCTACAAAACCCAGCTTCATCTGGGAAGACCCTCCCTGACTCAAAAGTCTATTCATGCAGTTTTTGTTTCAATTCCTTCTATAGATCAAGTTACTCCTCACTTCAAAACTTAGAATCCCCTGGCTCGTACTTTGAATTATTTTTTGAATGAAGGAATGAATTCTGTAAAGCCTGTCTGTATATTTTTATGATCACCCTCCCCTTCTACATCTTAATTTCTACATAATGTTTAGAAAATGAGATTCTAAATCTGAAAAAGAGAAAACAGGTGGGAGAGGAGGGGATATGATTCCTTCTGTTTAACTCCATTAACTAGAATTAAGATTAATTACAGTTCTAAAACCATAAGGAAGAACGTTCTAAAAACTACATTTAAAAACTAGTATTGGTGCAAGGAACTCCCCTGTATGAAGTGTGTGCAAGTCATATTTGAGCATAAGCATGGGTTGGAGTTATCATAAAGGGGATTTTTCTGTCAGGTAGCTGAGTTTCATTACTCTCAAGAAATTACTTCAAAGTACGTGATTCTGTGACTTAGCAATCTCTTTGGCTATAGAGGCACTACATAAGGAAGAGAAGATTTAAGATGACAGGAGGCATAGAGCTAAACAAAGAAAAGCTTGGGGAAAAAAAGGAAATGTAACACTGTCTCAAAACATTTGATCTCATCATTTCGAGCCTTCTCTGAGGCTAGGGTTGGCAGGCCTCCCAGAGAAACCAAAACAAAGCAACGTAACAGGGCACCACAAAACAAAAGGGGACCTAAGCTGGGCAATGAGAAGATGAAAGCACTGTGTCCAGATTCACTGAAGAGAGAGACGAGATATGAAAGGCAGCCTTTCTCTTTAGGGTCCTTTTCAATTCACTTAAAAGCACACCTTTGAAATGAATGTCCTCAGCAGAGAGAGGGCCGTTCCCTGAATCCAGAAGTTGAGGCGTTAATTACCATGGCTAAAGGAATGTGTTGAAATGTCAGTGCAACTGCTTTCTCTATCTTCACTATCCTTAACCAAAAGTTGTGTCATCAGTCTGGAATGAGCAATGCCTGCTCAACAAACCCAGCTTTTTTCCTTCTCTTTGTATTTGCTTATTCACAGTTCAGAAATTGTCCAGTGACCTTCTTACTGTCTAACCAAGGGAATTCATATTGTTGTGGAAAGGAAAACAACTTCCATTTGGTTTGAGTGAAAGATCCACATGATGTTTCTGTTTGAGACGTGAAAGATGAAAACTGAGCTATACTGTATAGCTTAACCTTATTAAGGGGTGATTTGTTTCCCAGCTACAGTGTGGAAACTCCTTGTGAGGTAGAACACAAATGTTTTACCTTTTTTGACTGCTGCTAAAAGGTATTTATGTTTTTTGGGTGCTATGATGTTTATTGGGTTCTCACTATGTTTCAGGCAATGAGCCGAGTGATTTGTATGCATTATGTCCTAAATCCTAACAATAGCCTGGAAGTAGATCCAATTATAGCCCTTTTCACAGAAAAAGCCTAGAGCGGGTAGGTTGCTTACTTCAAGTCTACAAGCTTCTAAGAAGCAGAGCCAGTTATATATTTGAGAGTTTCATATATTTGCACATCACCTGTCCGCTGTAGTTCAGCATAAAACATTGTCATCTGCTGCTATGGACAGATAAATATCCTTCACACTTCTTGTTCATTATGACAGAAGCAGGTACAGTAAAAACAAATGATGTTCAGAGAATGGTTCATATCAACTGTATACTCTTTTTTGCTGTAAGAATTGGGAAAGGCCAAGGTGGGCGGATCGCTTGGGCCCAGGAGTTTGGGACCAGCCTAGGCAACATAGGGAGACCACAAATCTACAAAAAATTACAAAAATTAGCCTGATATTGTGCCATGTGCCTGTAGTCCCAGCTACTTGGAAGGCTGAATTAGGAGGACTGCTGGAGCCTGGGAGGTCAAGGCTTCAGTGAGCAGTAATCATACCACTGTACTCCAGCCTGGGCAACAAAGCAAGACCCTGTCTTACACACACACACACACACACACACACACACACACACACACACAAAATTGGGCAAGTATGATAGTATCAGAATTAGGAAACACATAATATTACATTTATTTTAACTTTGTTATTAAAAATTTCAAGTACATTTCAAAGTAGAGAGAATATTATAATAAAGCCCCACATATTGATCACCTAGCCTTAATAATGATAATTTTACTGTATTTCCTTTGGCTACTATCTCTTTGCTCAGTTGTTTTAAAGTAAGGTCCAGATACCATTACCTCAGCCTTTAAATTCTTTAGTATGGATCTCTAAAATTTGAAGACATTTTCTTACATACGATTCACTCCTAAGAAAATTAACAAGTTCCTTATCATGTCATACCCAGTTGGTATTTAGATTTCCCATATGTCCCCAATTTTCCACCAGTTTTTTTTTGTTTGTTTGTTGTTTTTTACAATTGTTGAAATAAGTTCTGCATGATAGTGATGAAAGGGATTTCAGAAAACTTACTTCTACAGACAAAGCAAATGTGGGATGGATTTGGAAGCAGAGAAAAATGGGATGGGTACCTGTCCAGGACTTACCACATGCAGTCTGGGAACTCAACTTAAGTCACCAACACTACTCTTAAACCCCACCTGGGTCTGAGCTTAAATGAAAAATCATAGCATGAGGATTAAAATCATAGGCTCTTTAATCAGAATGCCCAAAATTCTCCACTTACTAGCTGTGCAACCCTGGGCAAGTTAATCTCTTTGTGCCGTAGTGTTCTTCTATGTAAAATAGAAATATTAGTATTTATCTCACAGAGTTTTTGAAAAAATTAAATGAAATAATATGAAAATTAAATGACATTGAACAGTGTCTGGCATACTATATGTGCTCAATAAGTGTTAGCTGTTGTCAGCATTATCATTGTCATCATCATTGTCATCAACATCACCATGATAGTTATCATGATGGGGACTGGCTCCAGGCTAAAGACTGATCCTGCAGCTGATCAGTATACAGGAGTAATGAGAATGGAGAATGGGATCAGTGACTTCATACATTCTTTTTCCAAATTCTTTTTTATGTTGTCATATGATCCTTTTCATGAAGTTATTTTAAATCCACCTGCCTAGGGCTGGTGAAAACAAACATCCCAACAAACAACTTACTGTCTTAAGCTAGTGTCCAGCCCCTTTGCGTGGGTCTTCTCCAACCCAGCAGCCACTATCCAGGCTCTGCAGAGGAGGAATCTTTTTGTCCCATCTAAGCAAAGGTTTTCATGCACTCCATAAATGCCACCTTGGCTTACTTAGCTCTCCTAACCTCTTTAGCCTATGAACCTCAAGTATCATTTTCTACCACTTTCTAGCCTTGCCTTTTCACCCATTCATCAACTCAGTTTCTTTGAACTTGGACCATCCTCCCCTTACTCTCTTATTTCCTTACTGTATCTCAGCAGAAGCAAGTAATTCAACAAGCTGTATTGAACAATCTACTATGTGATAGGCACCATGATCATCACTGAGAATACAAAAATGGATAACACAACATTTGTACCCCTAAGGAACTCAGAGCCTGTATGCTATCACGTGGATAGCCACTTGCCTGGTCTGTTTTTGCTTCACGGGTGTGTCACAGACAACAAGATGTGAGAGTCTATATTATTGATCATCATTAGAAGAGGTAGAGTGTATTAAATTACACATTTGGTCATCAATTTAAAAAATTTTCCATTTATTGCATTCATATTTATGACTGCCATAAAATAATTTTGACAGTTTATTTTATGAGGAAAACCAAACTCAGTGTTATAGACTATTAGATTTACTGGAAGAGTAATGAAGAATTCTAAATTTGAACTGTCTAGCCATCACAAAGTAAAGGGGAGCTTTCCAATTATACATATGGCCACCAATTCTGCAGAATTCCTATAAAAATCAATTATTTCTCTTTCTTCCCAGCACTCATTTCTGAGCCTTTGTTGGTCATGCTGTTGCACAATTACTTCACCAAAGTGTACTACTGTCCATATTTTCAGCAAATGAAAAATTAAACGCAATTTAAGATGAAGTGACATCAAGAGGGAAGCAGAAAGACTAAAATTGTGCAAGCCTCAAATATTTTCTGGAAATAAATGACCCAACTCTGGATTTAGCTGGTCCCTTCCATCCCCAGATGCCTTCATTAGAGGTTTAGGACTGTCACGTGCCATCTTCCTTTCCTTCCATCTTAGGAAATTGGTTCCTTTTACCTACACTATTCACTTCTTTTATACATATTGACTGATAGTACATAAGAAGCTTCATCCAATTCCTGATTTAAGCACTAACTTCAAGAGTAGAAAAAATGATTTCAGTACTAGCCTCACAGGTAGAAAGGATGATTCATTCATTAAGCAGGGGTCCAGCAGAGGTACCAAAAAATGAAGAGAGAAAGCAAATGCAGAGACTGAAGAGTTCTAGAGTGGGCAAAATAGGATGTACAGAGAACATGAGACAGGTCAAGTAGAACCCACAGGGTGTCAATCAAAGGTTTTAGTTCCCAAGAATGGGCTGGCTGGAGCTGGTGGTATAAATTCTGTCTCTAGAACATCCAAACTGTGTTTTTGGCCCTTAATTTAATTTAGTTCATTTAATTTTAAAACTCAGACCAAGCAGAATATGTTGACTTATGGGTACTATCCCTGGAACAGACTGCCTACATTTGTGACCCTTTCTAGTTGGTGGCTTTAGATAAACTATTTACATGTCTGTGCCTCAATTTCCTCATCTGAAAATGGACATGACAGATGTACCAACTGCATGGAGTTGTTGTGAGCATTACTTTTGAGAATGAGTACAGGTACTCAGGGTAAAGCTCTTAACTACAGTGAGGGCTCGTTAATTAGCTGTTAAAATCTGAAAGAATATAAACTTGCAGTCTGCAACCATACTTTCCATCACAAGGAGAAAGTCATTCTGTAGTAGGAAAGAATAAAGTCAACACACAGAGATGAAGAGAGAGAGAGGAAGTCTACATTTGAGGAGTCCTTGGCCTTAGTTACTTCTGATGTTCACTCTACTCCTGCCCATGCAATTTGCCTACATGAAACAATACATTTTTAAAAATTTTTATTAGGATATCTTCAGTTGGGTTTCTGTAAATTGCAGCCAAAGAATTCTGACTTATAAAACCTAGTTTGTGACAGATGCAGAGCTATGTTTTAAATGTATATTTCATCTTACAATTCTCAAATGAGCCTGTTATGGGCAGGGAAACTGCAACTCAGAGAACCCTCTGCTCCACTGCTGCCCATTTTAAGTAGAAAAGCAGCATCAAATAGTGCTTAGAGGACACTCTGGAGCCAGAGCTACTGGCTCTATTGCTTACTAGCTGGATAATCTTGGGTAAGTTACTTAACCCCTAAGGGCATTCATTTTCTCATCTGTTAAAGGGGAGATATTAATAGGACCTACTTCATAGCATAATGTGAGGATTTAAAGGCAATTATATGTAAAGCACTTAGGATATACTGAGAACTCTAAAAATATTAGCTATTATTATCATGGAGACTTTTCATAATACCTTTTATAAAACTTTGTCATTCTCTGACTGCTCATCCAGCTTTTTCTTCCCAGATGTATTACACTTGACACAGTAAATATTTATGTACATGTATGTCATTGTCCCTTTACAAAAATGTAAGTTTTTGTTCGCCACTTTCCTAGCACTTAAAAAAGTAGCTGAGATATAGTAAGTGCTATCATAAGTACAAGTTGAGAATGAATAATCAACTTGTCAAAATTCTATAGCTAATTAGTAGCTGAGCTGAACAGGATTCCAGTTCAGGGCTGATTAGCTCCAACTTAAGCACTTTCTACTATAACATAATCTGAAATTTCCAAGTTTGTAGGTTATTAATATGTAAAGTGTCATTTTAAGTAGGAAAATACTGCAAGGAGAAACAGTATGGTGTAAAGGTAAGAACATGGAGTCTGTAGACATCGGGTTTTATCAGAAATGAGTTATGTGACTATAAGTTGTTATATCTCATTAGACTTTATTTCCTCATCTGTAAAATGAGAAGGTTAGATAAAATCATTTCTATGATTTCTCTCAGTTCAATTTTCCTGACTTGATTCCACAGTTAAGTAAACCAAATTTGTTAGCAAATAGTTTTTTACCATGGTATATTTTTATATTCAAAGCATCTCTCTCTGTATTTTCTCCTGCTACAGTGAATAAAGAGAGAAGCTACAAAATAAATTACAAAGAGAATTTGGTAACAGCTAGCAATCTAATTGTGCTGTAAGCTACATTGATTTTTGTCCTTGAAATCATCTTCTAAAATCAGAGTTATTCCAGAGAAATCACTTTCTGCTATGACACGGGCCCAAATGCTAAGGGAGTATTATCACCAGTGACAGAGAGAGGTGTCCGGGGGCAAAGCCGAGTAGGAACCTAACCTTCTAGCAAAGGTTGCCAGTCTTCTTAGCTCACTCCACTCAACTCCTCTTATTCTTCAGATCTTTAACACAAAAGAGAATACGATAAACCATTGTTTACCTAGTTAAGTGTGTTCTCCACCTAGAAGCAAAGTTATTGTGAGGTCCTAGCTTGCATTTTTGTATTCTTAGCCAGTGTTTAGTAGAAGGCAGGATACATATTAGATACCTAGTGAGTAATGAATTACTAATGAATTGTTTTCATCTCTGGAGTTCTATATGATCTGCCAATTGAACACCACTCTCCTAGTCTCCTCCATTCCACTTTCAATGATGTTTCTTTTTATTATCATCTCCTTTGCCTTTTACTTTATGTATGGCTCTAAACGAAGTTCATTCCTCTGGTCCTGACCACCTCTCATGTTCCTACAGAATAATCTCACCCCTTGTTACTGGCAGTATTGTGCTTGTTTCTATCTTTTAAATTCTGATTTTCTAAAGGTAAATATTGTACATTCCAGATATTTTTTGGTGGAGGTGGGAGGGTGGCTTGAGTATTAGCAGTGGTAAAGAGATAAACACTGAACAACATAAGGTGAAACGCAATACTATTTAAACAGACTTGCCTTTCTATTTCTCAGTCCACTGCTTGGATTTTCTTCCATTCTCTTACTTTGTCATTGAAAAGCTAAGCAATCCTCTTATTTGCTCATTTCGTATCGTATCAGTAAAAGGTTTATTTCTCCAAAAACACAGGAAGAATGTATGCATAAAGAATAAACGTGAAGTAATATTTTGATTATACTTACTAAAAGTAATCTGAAAAGCAGACAAGAAAATGAAAAAGACATCCCACTTGTGAGCTCTATTAGAATTCACGATAATTTTTTAAAAAATTAAATATACAAAGAAATAGAGGAAAATGACATTGTTCTCTACAGAGGTAACTTATTTTGGCAAGAGTTTGGCCTTTAGATAGCCTGCTTGGGCCCATTCCATCTCCAGTTTTCTGCAATTCCCCCTTAAAGTTCTTTAATGTTGAACTTGTATTATAAATGTATCTTAAAATATTTTGTTTAAAATAATCTGACAAACCAAAGTATGAAAACAACGCATTTCTGAGAAGGCACTTAGAAAACCAGAATTTGTACACCAGTGGAGAAAAAGAATGATGTCATATTAATTTAGCAAGCTACAGTTCTCTTAAATGCCAGAAAGAGCAATATCTTAACAAGTGAAGAATGTGTTAAGAGTTGGTGGACTAATATCAAATCCAGTGATTTAATCTAGTTTGAGCAAAGCTTTAATATATTAATTCCAAGATATTTTTTAAAAATAAAAAACACTTTCATTATGATTCAATAATTGCTTTCATATTTTTATTGCTTAGATGCATTTAAAATGAGAAAACTAAAACTAAAACTAATTTGGTTAGAAGATATATTTCATTCCAAAAACTCTCATCGTTTTTCTTCACAAATGTTAATATGGACTAAGACAGAAAAATTATTCCTCTAGAAATGCATATAACTTAATGAATGTATATCCAGTTTTCTCCTAAAATATTTTGGAAGTATGATGGGTATTTACACATAATCACATTAGTATACATAAATCTTGAGAGCTTAATTACAGGAAAATAAGAAATGTTAGAAACTAGTGGATACCATCAGCCTTGTGCTTTGCTGCTCTTAGTGTTTCCTCTGTTGTTATTCTTAAAGCTAGAAATCTCCCCCAAATATCTCTAGGTTCCATCATAGCTCATTTTATGAATTAAACTAAATTACTTTTCAATTTATCTCATTTTCCAGGCTGCACTTACTGCAGTGTTTAAGCCTTCAAGAGTTTACAACCTTATGTGCAAAGAAAAACATCTTCCCATCTATCTTAAAAACCACAATAAATGCTGGTTTGCATAGTGTTCAATAAAAGCGCATTTATTCAGTATTCTGTTAACTGGAACTCATTAATAAGCACTTATGTCCATGTAGGGTACCAAAATATTCAATTGTCAAAATGACACCTCTATGGTATTTGGCATTTTAGAAGAGTTAGATTATACTTAACATAAATTATTCTTTAAAAACTGGTAAATTTTACATATTATAATTATTATCACACTTGTATATTCATTCCTGATTTTACCCACAAATAGCTTTTTCTGTTGTTCTTTATAATTTCATGGATTCTAGGATTCAGAGAACAAATCTCTACCCTTTGTAATTTTATACATTTCAATCATCTTGCTGTTCCTACTATTTGCTCCCATTATCTTCTTAGATCTTTTTATGCCAGAGTGCATACTTTATGACTGCTATACAAACTGTGTATTAACACATTTATATATGCACACACTTTTTTATCTTTGTTCGTTCTCATAAAAGTTTTCATTTTCTGTTTTTATATCCTGCTTTTATTTCCGCATGTCAAGCTCTCATCATATTTAAGGATATTGTCCAAAGTGATGTGCAGGGAAGAGGAAAAAGCTGAAGAAACAATGTCGGGGAGGAAAGAGAATAAGCCTGCTTGGCAAACAGTCCACTTTTTAACCTATGAGTGTATACATATGTCTATAAATTTAGTACTGATTCTTAAGAGAAACTTGAACAAGCAAACAAAGTAGTCTTGTGTTAAGTTTGCATATTGTATTGTTTTGGACGAAAAAGACTCGATTGCTTTGAATTCACATTAGGCAATAAAAGTTTATTTTGATATTAGAAATACAATATATAATGGATTATACTAGCCTTTTAAAGAAGCTTTGACATTTGTTTTCTGTACATTAGGTTCTGTTTCAACTTTAAAACACACTCAGGTGAATGATGGCTTGTAACCTAATAGTTACATAGAAAACTGGTTATTTTGTGTATCGAATCTGAATTTTCTTCTTCTCCTGAGTTTTTCAATGAGCAGTTAGGTGAGATGGTACTTTACATGGTGATGTAAGAGACTTTAAGGAAATGCAATTAATTTGTTGGGAAAGATCGACTTAGTAGTTCCTTGACTTAGAGCCTTATGAGCTGGAGTCAAGTGCTGATTTTGCCATGTGCCATGTGTCATCTTTGTCAGCTACCTAATTTAGCTGAACCTCAATTTCCTCATTAAAATGGAGATTATGATTCCAACTTAAAGCATTTTTGTGAGGTTTACATGTGAATGGAGCTTGAACCCTGCCTGGAAGAAGAAACTCAGTGATGAGCTTTTCCTTTTGAAATCTTCCAGAGTGATGTGGGTTGAGTTTCAAAGTATATTTCAAATGATGAAAATAAATTTTCAAATAACCAAGTTTTATATAAGCAATAACTGTTTTCGTTACTTCAAAGCAAACAGGATACAAATTCATTATTTTTTAATACCCTGAATAGGAAAGAAAGACACTTTCCTGTATTATTATTCTATCTTTTAAATTGAAGATGAGTTCAGGAAACAATTTCCCCATGATTTCCAAGGTTATGTTAATTAAACATTCAATAAAAACATGCTAACAGAGTGTTTAGCAAAGATGGTTCTGAAAGTGGGAAAATGCCTTCCAAAGACAAAGAGGAGTCAAAACATTCTAATGATGTCACAGCACTCCTCCTTGTCCTCAGCAACGTTTTCTTTTGCTTCCATTCCCAAGTTGAACCTCTCTTTCCCTTACTTTTCCTTTTTACCCACTGCCTAAAACCTAATTACAGACTAGGGTTGATGTTTAAGTTAGATAAACAGAAAAAAGTCACAACTGCATCTTGATTTACCTCTTGATCACCTAATGTTCAATAATGTAGAGAATTTATTTGATACTAGGATAAAAATCTTGCTCTTCGACCTGTCTTCAGGGCCTAGTATAATGCCAGGCACATGGGAGGGATTCAACAAAAAGTTATTGAATCTAAGGGTGACATACATCTGGCATGCACTGATATGACTAGGTATGTAAAATATTGGTACTGTTCTGTATATATTGTTATATATCTTTATTGATATAGTTCTGCATAAACAGCTACTGCCCCACGGACCCTCCAGTGCCCCTCTTGCTTTCCTGGCCCCTTACCTGGGACACTCCTGTTCCTTGAGTCAGTAGCTTCTGACAGATCAGGGGTTTCTAGACCTCACTCAAGAGTTCTGGCTGCCTTTAGCTCTAGGTGACCAGCATCTGTACCATTCTAGCTGTGATGTATTTTTAATATCATCTTTACTATAATGAGTGTTAGTTTAGCATTATCCACTAGCCCTGATGTAACAAAATGGGGGAAAAGTAGTGGTCTGAAGAGTATAAAAGGAGGAGAAGTGAAAACAGGGAAGGCAGGAGAGGTAGGGAAGGTAGAAAAGAAGCAGGAGGAAAACCTGGTATAAAAGATCACCACCTGCAGGAATTTGATTCATACAATCACTTTTCTCATTTGCTATCCATTGTCCAAACCATCTTCCCAGAATGCTACAGAAAGCTTTTTGAAAAGTATAGGGTACCTGTCTAGAACCAGAGTTGTAATTACTGAGTTTACTATGCTGATACCATTGCCTGGAAAAATATTATGCCAAATATTTCCCTTCTTTTGCCCTTTGTGTTGGCTTACTTTGGGTAAAATAACATTAGTCAGATTCTTATCCAACCCAGGTGAAATCCTCGTACAAAATACTACCAGGGAGTGTCCAAATTATTTCATTGTACTGGGATTCCGTTGAATTAAATGTTGTTAAAAATCTAGTATTGTGAATCTTTTGGTTACACGGAGATTTCTGTTTTGTCAAAATGCTATTACACTCTGTAATTTAGAAAGCATTAAAGAACCATTGCTGAATGTTTGGACTGCTTTTGTTTGTACTAGGGCTGTGTTTTGCAAACTGTGCCCTGCTACACTCTAAAAAATGTGGGAGTGGGTTTTGATGGTCAAAAATGTTTGAGAAATACAATGCATGTTAGCCTATTAATGGGTCTGAGGTTTAAGCCCAAGATTTCTTGAACATCTCTCTGTCTCTCTTTTTTTTTTTTTCATGGAACACTTCATATGGGATACCAAGTCTGATAAATGCAAATGTTGGATCAGAGTATTCATTTCTGCATTTATCGAGGACCTGCCATGTGTTTGGAAATGGGTCAGGCTGACAAAACAAAGAAAAATAAAGCATAGTACTTGCCGCTGAAAGGCTAGCAGAGGAGATGCAATGCAAAGGATATTACAGAGTTGTCTTGTTTTGTTTTTTTAATATGGGAAAACAGCAGACAAAGCAACTGAGCATGGGAGGATGGGGGTGAGGGCTATGTCTAGGAAAACTTCCCCAGGGAGAAAGTCTCACCGTAAGAATATATCTGTGCAAGTATCAGGCACAAGAGATTTACAAAAAACAAACAAAAAACCCAGCAGGGAGAAAAGGACCCTCTCACATATCCTAGCCACACAAATGCCTTCTACCTCAGTGTATTGGATATATCAACATGTCTCCCTTATGACTGCCAGTTCTCATTTCAGATAGTTTCATGGAAGGTGAGTCGTGGCCATAAAGATAATCTGCATTTTTTTCTTTAAAACACACACATGCACACGTTCATAATTTGGGTCTCAATTGGACATCTGCTTAGATTTTAGCTCTCTTTCCATAGCTGGACAGGGATTTAAGAAGTATGCCTTGGCTGTAAACTTGTTTTTTCTTGTATTCAACATGCACAGGGGCATGACTTTTTAACTAGTCATTCATCGGATGGGGAGTGGGAATGGATTGGAATCCTTGATGTGGTTCCAAACATTGCTGGCTTTTTCAGCCTTAAAACCAACAGCCCAGAGACATTTGACGGTCTTTGATGTGTTCTATACTGAACACACTAGGTGTGCAGCAACACCATTACAAAGGAAGGGAAATGGAACTGGTGTTTCTCTCAAGTCTCTCTCTCTCTCTCTCTCTCTCTCTCTGTCTCTCTCCTTTTAAACATAAATGGTGTGCCCTGCACTCTGCTAACAAATTTATAAATATTATTTTGTTTAATTTTTACAGTACCATATGAGCTATACATTACAATATTTTTACTATTTTTACTGGTATGCAAATGGAGGGACAAAGATTTTGGAAATTTAATGAAGGTAAGTGTCAGAGAGGAGAGTAAAAATGAGATGCACTTCATTCCAAAGCCTGAATACATTTTCCACTGCACTCACTAAAATGCCAGAAAAAGGATTACTGACACGTGTCTTGTACCACTCTAAAATAACACTATTGCATTCTAATTTAGTGTGCTAGCTTAATGACAAGAGTCCTTTACTTTAAGCAGGATGCCCTAGCACTTTCTTTTCCTGATGGAAGTACCTGGCCATTGTTCAAAATGTGTCAAAACAGAGTCCATCATTTATTTACTTTTCTCCTTTTATCTAATAAATGCATTCCTTGAAGGAATAAGTCCAATTTCGAGTAAAGAATGGATGGCTGGGATTTAGGGTGCTATTCAGAACTCTTCAGCAGCTGACCTGCTATCTTTGAGAAAGACCAATGTTTTCTTTACCTTTTGTTTTCTCTAAGTCCTTTCTCTCTCTCTCTTCTTAAAATGCAGATTCTGATTTAGTAGGTCTGGGGTATCATCTAGGGTTTTGCATTTTAAATGGTCTTGCTGATGCTGATCCTCTATGGAGTCTTACTGAGCAGTAAGACCCTAGTAGTAGTTCCAATTCTATATCTCTACCACAAAGCACTTTAGAGCAGCCCCTCCCAGAATCCTGTCAGATAGATCCTTTCCATACTCCATCTCACCACTCAGCTAAAGCCTAAACCCACACAATGAGGAAGCCATCACCAGGTTGACAGGTAAGAGGGAGTAAACTGACTTTTTTCCTTAGAATAAAACTATTAGTGATGGGGGGTTGGTATTATATAGTCCTCTATCTACTTAACATGTTGTGCGTCTCTATAAATTGTAAGGTGGGTTACAAATAATGAGTATGAATAATTTATCTCTTTACATTAGAGCAAACTTAAAGTTGTTAAAAAACATTGCTTTCACTTTCTTTCAAGAGAGGAGAAAGAGATAAAATCAGAGTTAGCAAGAACTAAGCATTGTACTATAACAATCTAATAATTGTTTGGAAGCCCGTGTAGATATATCCATATCATCCTAGTGTGTTGGAGTTGAGAACCACCACTCTTCCTCATAGAGACCTCTGAAATCCTTTGATTCTTCAAAATATGGATGATTCAAAGATGAACAAGGCCATTGATAAGGAAGACTTATTTCTGAGCCAGAGATTAACTTTCTGTATGTTAACAGCTCATGAGGGATTTTTTTTTTTAAGCAGCTAGTGTTGTTGCCTGTATTTTCAATTAAGACAAGCTTCATGACGGTTCCTAAAATGAGGGCTGAATGGGCAAGGTTGAAAAATTCTGGAAACCGATTTAGCATTCAATAAATTTATGCATACCTAAAGACAACTGTACAATCCAATACTATGTCATTTCATTTTTAAGGGAAAACTATGGCTTTCTCTAAATGTTCTTATAAAAAATCATACCAGGAATAAAACAGAATATGGCTCATATTTTCATATTCAGTTTTTTCAATAATTTAAATATTTCTTTTCCTACTTCTACTTTACAGAAGTTAGGTGAAATAAAATGTGTGTTTGACTAAACGTTTAAAGAAAATAATACTACCAGGCAAAATAACATTCTAAACTTAGCATGGAATAAAGATACAATGACGTAATATTTTCAGCTTGTTCCTGTTTTACCTACAATATTTATTTTGAAAAGCATGACACTGTCTCTTTTAGAAAAATTAATTTTCACCTTTCTACATGTACCAAAAATGCTTCCTTCTCACCTCGCTCTTCACAGTGAGAACTGTATTATTCAAAAGTAGCAGGCATGAGATTGTAGCTACAAAAAAAAAAAAGGCTACAAATGGAAGATAATCCATTTAAATGCTTTAACGTGCTAAAGGTTATATAAGGATAAATGGGGAATCACAAATATTTTTAAAATAATTTCAATATTTCATTTACCGTTGTTATATATTCTTATTTCAACTTTTATTCTTAATTATGAAACATTTCAAAATGATGCCAGATATTCATACACCCACCATCTAGTTTGAACAGATAATAACATTTGCATAGATATTTATAGTGTTGTCTTTTTAGCAAGTTTTTCTACGTAAAGAACTATAAAATACTTTTTAGCAAGTTTTCTGTATATAAACTTTTTATATATAAAGTTTTTCTATAACATGTCTACTATAAAGAAGACATTAAAATATTTGTCGATGTCATCAGTCAAATCACTTAAACTGAAATTATCTGCTAACTTCCACATAAAAGCTTATTAGAACTTCAAAAAATGCCAGAGAGACCGCTAAGAAATTCTTTCCAATGCTTCTTGCACCACCTCATTGTTCAAAAACAATACTAATAATAATCACCAGAATTTGGGTTTGCTTACATGCAAAAACATTTCTAAATAAGTAAACTAAAAATGAAATGGAAAGCACACTTTGTATACTTTCTGTTAATAATTTATTTTATAATTATTATAAATATTTATTTTGGAAAAAGATTGTTTTGGCATTTCTGTTCCCATTTGTCCTGTACTTCATGTGTGTGGGTGCATTTTATATTTATATTTATATATATATATATACACACACACACATACATATGTATACACACACATACACATATGTATCTTAAATACATATATTTAAACTTTAAATAAAATAAAGATTGTATTCTACTCTCTTCTGAAAGTCCTTGATTACCAGTGGATGTATAAAGACGTGATAACTAATACAGAACAAGTTTTATGGTACAGAAATTATTAATCACTAAAATAATACATTAAGCTTTGTAAGTAATATATTTAGAAATAATTTAAATGCCAGTAGAAACTTTGACTTATTTATTCATTTTAGGGTACAACTAGAAAATGAGTAGTGGTTCATCTTTTACTTGCAGGTAAAGGTTGAGGAGGAAATTCTCACATTCAAGATGATGCTGTCATTATAATGAAGTAAGATGGAACAAAAAGTTGTATGTGAAGTACCCTGGGCAAGCCCCTTTGATAGTTTTAGCTACAGATGCCTGTGTGTTTGCAATGTGGGCCTCTTATGGCTGTATTCTATTAGCTCTGGGTTTACTGTGATATTATGTATATTTGTCTTGGGCCAAACAGCTTGCTTGCCTCAGTTGAAGTCTAAAAGATACTATGGGCTTAAGACACTTTTTGTTTATTTGCTATTTGAGGTGAATTATTCCTTCTTTGCTTCTTTGCTATTCATAATATTATGATATATAATTTTGGCTATGCAATTGTGTAATCTTTTCTATAATATTATTTTGGGCTTCTGTATAAAAGCTTAAAAATATGTTCCACGAATGAGATGCTTATGCTTGTTTATTCAATATTTTTTTCTGTTGGACTTTGGACAAAGTCTTGCCTAGTGGGATTCACATATAAGGAAAGCTTTTTTTTCTTGTTACTCACAGAATTACGATGTTTAAAATAGCTATTTGAGTTCAATGATACTATACTTTCCATAATAAATTTAGAGTACTTTTTTCACTTCAAAGAATGCTTTTGAGTTTTCCATGAATAGGTTTCACTAACTACATTTTTAAAAAGACCTTAGCTCTGAGGTTTATCCTCTTTTACATCTTAAGGTACATTTTTCATGATTTCTAAAATATTTGCTTTTTAAAAATACTAGGACTGTTAATTTTAAAAATTCATTTTTCAAAATTTTCAGAAATTTTAATATTAAGAATCTGTTTAATTTTTTTTATTTCTTGGTCAAGGCAGTCATATGGTTTGAGATTTCTCAGTTCTTTAAAATGGGAGTTCATAAATTCAACCTGTTCTAAGCTAACTGTAGTGATTCCTAGCTGTCGTTTACTTAACACTATTAACCATTAAACACTACTGACATCTCAACTCAAAACATACACTTAGGTATAGGAAATAGTATACAAACATTTTATTTAACCATATCGTATGCAGAAAATTTAAAATTTGAATCTTTCTTATAGTCCTTGGACTCAAATCTTCATGCAAATACAATTTATATAATCAATTATATTTGACTTGTGTTTTTTAAAGTGGCTAAGGAAATGAGTACCAACTTATTAGGGAATATTTGATGAATATTTTTCGTTTTGGTTGAACAAATGACTACGTAGAGTTATATTTACTTCAAAATCAATAAAATACCACTATTAACCTTGCTCTGACGCTCCCACCCCCACCCTTCAACTCGTAGAATATTTTTTGGTGGTAACTAGACTGACCTTTGCCAAAATGTAATTACATTCAGAGAGAAATACAATTTTCCCCTTCAAATCCAGGTGAAAGGCTACCATGCTGGGCTTGCGGAGGGCATAGTTGAGTAGGACAGCCAGAACTTCTGGCTAGGTCATCGGGTCGGATTACCCTGCCATGTACCCCTCAGTATTTACTTCCAGAGATGGGCAACTTACTATAGTCTTCATGTTTAAGGAATTCAAACCCAAATGAAAAGTGTTGTGAAAGCATAAATATCTCTGCTTGTATACTACAGTACTGAATATGAAACCACATATTGCAATAAAAATAACTAACGATGGCCCATGCATTTCACAAGGCGCTCTCATACACCTGAAGGGGCAGTGGAAAGGTTCAGAGCACCCAGGCTGTCCCAAAGAGGGCGGAATCAAATCTGGGCGCAGGTGGGTACCCGGAAAAAATTCTTGGTGGAGATGGCATCTGAGAGAGGCGTCGAAGGACACGGAGGGTTGAGGATAGGAGAGAGGCCACTCCAGATGGAAAAACACCCTCGTTTTCCAAATGCCAGTTATACCACGGGGCCTGTGATAGCCGCCACGTTTCTAGAAGACCCCTAGAAGAGCAGGGGTCCGACCAAGGAAGTACTTCCGCTGTTCAATTTGCTAAGTTTGCATTCGGAGAGTACAAGGGCGAGCTCTGGCTCTTGCAGGTGGACTCCCTCTCCCTTAGCTCTGACTGCGAGAAGCTCCCACCCGCAAAGGGCTACTGTGCCAAAAGCGAGCGTAGTGGCCGCCGCTTCCCCCACAAAATTCCGTCACTCGGGAGCTGCGTTGCAGTGGAGAAACCTGGGTCCCGTCCGGGCCCAAGGGAGGAGGCTCAGCACGGCCGCTCCCGCAGCCCCGTCCAGGCGCCTCTTCCCTCCCCCTCCTTTCCGCGGCGGTCGCGGCGGCGGCTGGAGCGGGAGCCGGGGGCGGCGAGGGGCGGAGCCGGGGCGGAGCCACGGCGCTGGCGGCCCCGGCGGCGGCGGCAGGTGTGGATGGGGCGAAGGTGCGGGAACGTCCACTCCCGCGCGCCCCTCTCGGGGACCAGGGCGGCCTCCCAGGAGGAGCTTGGTGAGCAGCTGCGACCTGTGCATAACTTGGGGCGCCGCCAGGGGCTCGCAGGTTCCACGTCCGGCGCCTGGAGAAGGAAGACGCGCGTCCCCGGCCGCGGCGCCGAAGCCGGCTGGGGGACCGCCTGGTCCCGGGCCAGAGCTGGGAGGCGGTGTTCCGTGAGCCGCCTGGTCTGGGGTGCGGGGGGCGGGAAGCGGCCCCTTCGTGTGCGCTTGGGCGAGGCCGGGCGGCGCTTCTGTCCTCCTACTCGGACCCGCAGGTAAGCTGGGAGAGCCTTGGTCCCGCTGCGCGCTGAGCTGGCTAGGGAGGCGCCCCTCAAGGAGTTGAGGAGGCTTCGGGGCCTGGGCACACGGCAGTGGGCACACGGCAGTCGACACCCGGGTCCGAGGACCGCCGGCGCCCGTTGGCGCCCAAACGAGGATGCGCCGCGGGGTCCGGCGCATCCCGGAGCGCCGGCCGCCCTTGGCTCTTCGCGGAACCGCCGCCTCCTCTTGTCCAAATCTCAGGTCGTCATCCTGGCCCGAAGTCACAGGTTCGCTCTCTGTCCCTAAACCTCGAGGAAGGAGTTGTGTGTGTCCATGAGCGTGTTGGCGGAGAGCGCTTTCATACAGCGATGTTTGAGTTGAGCTCATTTTACCACCTAAAATTACTGTCACTTTAAAACTTAACTAAGCTTTCCCTTCTTAGAAGAGAAATTAGGCTTGTGGTTTACACCCATGGCTAGTAGGATTAAAGTTTGTTTTTGCCCTGTACAGCTGAGAAAATGTTTTGTAAAATCCTGAATTTTCCAACAGTACTTCTAAAAGAGCCTCCGATTCTCCAGCGAGACAATGGCAGTCATTAAAAAAAACACAGCGGAAATGTTCACTTAGAGCGGCTTCACTAGGAGAGAAGTTAAGGAAACCTTAGGCAAAAGTGACCCCTTAATTGACACCTTACAGGACCGTTTTTTTGACCTTGTATTAGTGGTAATAGGACTAAGAATGACAGCTCAAGAACTATACCTGGTTTGGAACTGAGGCTGTGGCCAGACGCCCCTCACTTTCCGGGGACCTCTAGTTTCTGGAATCGGGCCTTTGAACTTCCTTATTGAAATCCTGGCAGCTTTGAAGTGAAATTAGGAAAATGATCCTATTTATTCGCTGGAGTTTATTAACTCTGCATTAAAGTGTTTATCTCCTGGGCCAAAATTGAAACAATATTGTATTTTGCATTTTGTTTTAAATAAATTTTTACCAATTCAGGTAAAAATTGGATTTGAAAATGACAGTTAAGTCTAGGTTTATTTGTTGTCGAGTTTTGTATGAGGGGGCTGACTTTTAAGTTGTTTTTTAAAGTCCAATCCTGGTTATTTTTCATTGTCTTCAGAGGTTAATCTTTAGGTGAGAACTTTATCTTGATTTTAAGGCAAAAAAAGTAAAAAAGGCAGTGATTTAAGTCACCCAAAGAACTATAGTTCCTCCTTTCTCTTTTTTTCCTTAACTTGAGACAGAGCTTCCTGAAAATTGGGCAGCTGCTTTAATCTTATCATATAAAAAATGTTTCAAGTTGAATTTGGGGCCCTAAAATGGAAAATTTTGATTTGTGTTTGTTTTAATAGAATCATTAGACCTTATGGAATTATCAGCTTGGAGTGTTTATTTTCTATTTATACCATATTACTACTTTGTTGTACATGTTAATATTGCTTAGATGATAGGTAAATGTTTAGAGAAACCAGACTTTAATAAAGTACAGAATTATTCATTGGATGAAATTTTATAATTTTTCAGTCTTATAAATTCTGAAAAGTGTATAACAGAGACAAAGTGTTTAACCTATAATGTGGATTGTTGGCCCTTTTTGGAATTTTAAACGAGAAGGGAGGTATGAAATGCTTTATTCTATATTTAAGCATCTTTTTAGAAGTGGAAATAAATTGGAGGATCACTTTTATGTACAGTGTAATGGCTAGATAGCTATTCTAGAAACTACAACAAATGCTTGAGGAAGTAAAATTAGAAGGTAGTATAAAATTGTGTATTATATTTTTACAATTTCAAGGAGATTGCATACTTATAAATTTCATATCCTCAAGTGAAGAGTGTTGAACTGAATAAAATAGAATTTTTCTACATACCATGTTTTTCTCAGATTAAAAAAAATAGTCATCTTGGTTTGCCTAAAAAACTAAGCTGTAGTTAAATTTGGTTGGTACGTATTTGGGATAATTAAAAATACTTTAATTCATGTACTTTAACAGTTCTTTTCTTCAGTAACAGGTTTTTATAAGAAATGTTTTACTTGAAACATTGACATTTAATGACAGATGTCATTATATTTTTCATATAATTGCCACAGTTTTTCTTCATTGTGTGTATCTAGGTAGCTTTGGCATATAAACATCGGGGGGGCTCTAAACAAATTTTAACTGTAAAAAAGCAAGAGATGCAATCCCAGATTATTAACATTTGAGGAATGAAATCCAGCTTTAAGATAAAATGGCTTTTTGAAGACACTTTAAAATACATATAATGATAGGATTCTTAGAGAGTAATGTTTTTGGTAGTTCTTTTAATCATAAAATGAATTAACAAAAGAATTGATGCTTAAGTTTGAACAGCTTCTTGGTTTCACAACTATTTCCTTAGAAATAATCTCCCAAGTGATTCAGAAATTTTTATGGAAGTGAGGAAAAAAAACAGCAACTTTTGTTGGATCTAGGGTAGGTCAATCTTAACTAAGAAACAGCGAAATTTGATCTTTGTGTTATAAACTGTAGTTTCACTGAGGACTTCTTAACTATGTCATCTTTTTAAATACAATTAAGTGTTTAGAAAGTAAGTCAGTTATTTTATTTGTACAATATAAGTGCTTGCTGTATTTATGGATATTGAGGCTTTTTTATCCACATCTTATGTGAGAAGGCAGTCCAGGAAATTATTAAAATAATTTTGGTAAGAGTCTAGATGAAGGGGAAAAATCGATTGTATATATGTGTGCTGGTTTGCAGTATGGAGGGGAGTAAAAAGAGTCTGAGAACAAAACTTACTTTCGGACTTCCTAGAAGTTTCTGCTTTATTATGTAATTGAATTTTTTTGTCAGGATGTAGTTATTGGTTGTACTAAAATACAGCAGACAACAGAAAAAATAAATCTCATTTGAAAATCCTTAATCATGGCTTTATCGAATACACAGCTTACTCTATTTTGTCTAAATACCAGCTTCCAAGCTGTCAGCATTAATTTAGAAGCCAATTTCTAAATTAAATGTGTTATTAAGTAATTTCCATTTAAGAGCAATGTCCAAATAGCACTGATTCTTTAAGTAAAATAATAATTATATTAATAAAAATTATACTTTTGGGCAAATGGCAGGGGAAAAATGCCATTTTTATTGGCCTTGGAAACATTTATGCTAAGCAGTTTGTGGCCCAGTTTCCATTTCTGTGATTGTGCTGCCTCTGACAAAGGATCGACTACTGAGCGGTGAAAGATTGTATAGGGAAAATTAATAAAACCTGCTACGTGGGTTGATCATAGTTCTGCCTGATAAGCCTGAGTCCATATGAATCTGAGCCAGTTAAGAAGTTCTGAGTCTTAATTCCCCACAGCTCTTTCACATTGATTCCTGTGAGTTAGCAGTAGTGAAGGAGTCCCCTTCTCTGCCATTTGCAAAGCCAACTTCATGATCCGCAGCAAATCAAACCCACGAAATGTTTTGGTCTTGTCCAATTCAGCTTTACTTCCTTGCCAGGGGCATAACAGTTGAAGTTAAAAGACTTAGACCCAAATGGGAAAATTAGTGCCATTTGTGTATAGGCAGTAGCCTTGTTCATACTACTTTCAACCTAATTAGAAAGAAATAAAGTATGATTTGATTGTAAGTCCGCCAGGGTAGGTAGCATATAGGGGAGTGTGGCTCAAGAATCTAAGTTTTTCACTTATTTTGAATTATTAAGAGTTTGCGTTATAGTTCTCTTTTTTGTTTTACTTCTATAGAGTGCTTCTACAATTTGGAAGAGGGGAAAAGTACAATAAAATGGCAAATATTAAAGTGACCAAGAAGGCATAGCATTGGTTACAGAAAAGTTCTTTCACTTCTCCTTAGGTAATTCTGTGTTGGATTTTCTTCTTTGTATTTTAAATCTAGGTTCTTTGCTTAGAGGTAATTTTGATTCTGAGGAGGGTAGCAGGAAAGGAAAATGAACTGCATCTAAAAACCAGTGTAATCCGACAACTGACGTCTTATTTCTGCCAAATTTCAGGTGGACTTGGGCCACGTTAGTAAATTGGATATGTATAAAATAAGATAAAGAAATCATCTCAGAAAGTCCTGCTCTAGAAGCTTCTAGTATGTGAGGTGAGACTATTTTAGAGTCCAAGGTTTGAATACAAGCAAAGGATTGATTTCCCCAAAAGTCAAACTGGTACGATCTTACTATCTAAAATAACTTGAGATTTTTGAGTTATAGCACATGTTGAAGTAGAAATTCCAGTCATAAAGTCATTATTGAATGATTATCCTGGGGAGTTTTGCCTCACTGATCAAACCTTTTACTGATTATCTCAACTTCATTAACTAAATAAAAAATTTCATATAAGAAGCAGTGGACTAAAGCACTAAAAGTGTGAGTTCTCTGAAGTAAAATCCACATAAAGTAAATGAAGCCTTAAAAATTAGGATTTAAGTAGCTTTTAACTAGAGTGGTTTTTGAAGTAAAAACTGGTAATATTGTCACTTGACATTTTCTTTTCATATTCTGTGCCGTGACTCAAAACTCATTTCCTTTTTATAGGTGAGAATGGAAGTAGATAAAATTTGAAAACAAATACACAAACCCCAGCTTTTTTGCAGCTGGACTTTAATAATTTTATAACATGGCTGCATGTTTCCTAGCACGTTAACAGTGATAAAATTTTACATTGCTTTTTATGCTTTTGGAATTGGGATTAGGATGATATAACAGAATGAAAACTGCAACATTAATTCACTTTTCAAATGAATATGTTTATGCAAATTAAATGGAGGTCTTGAAAAACAGTAGTTTGAATTGTAATTCAAAGTAAAAATTACAGGTTAATACCTGGACTGATATGTGTTAAGTAGCTTTCTAATTGCTTCTAATAATCGAATAATTAGAATTTTATCATAACTTTTTAATCTCTGGAAATAAATTTCTAGTTTTTATATGAGGAAAAATTTAATGACATATTAATGTTATTAAGTATTAAATAATATAAGCTAAAAGATATTTTCTTTCAATACCCAGAAATGACTGAAAATATTTTTGTAGACAAAAGAAGACTGTATGGAAAGGTAACGGAAAGAGATATAAAAGACTACCCAACTAGATGGTTTTTTGAATAATAAATCTTTAATATAAATTTTATTTTTGCTGCTAAGAGGTTTTCAAATTCTGGAGAAATAGCCATAAATCTTATGAACTGACAAAGATGATCAAAACATTTTAAAGATTCAGCTTCCTTTTAAAATAAATGTATTTATCAATTGGTCAAAGCTAATGTTCTGTATTTCCTTTTGTAAATTAACACACTGTCAAAAGGAAATATAAAAATGGAGAGCTAGTTATAGCCCAGTTAAGAATAATTTAAAAAACAGATTTATTTGAAAAGTAAATTTTCCTTTTGAAGATGTTCGTTATGCTAATCGTAAGTGTTGGTGGCCTTTTTGTTTTGCAAAATTTATTGAAGTAGAAATGATAAGACCACATATTTCAGAATAATGGGCAAGTTACTATGTGTTAGATAGTTCTATTAGCTAAGCTATAAACATAAATTTTACTGGAAATATTAAAATATAAATGGAAATAAATTATTAAAATATAAACAGAGCCACATAATTGACTGTTGTCTACTTTTATTTCAGATCACATCTAAAATACTAACTAGAACTAACACAAAACTGTTTTCTAAAACTGCCAGGGTGTCAGCTTCATCCAAATATTTTGTTCAAAAGTAAATATTAAAATAAAATGCATCCAACTCTTCTGATTGTCAAAGCAGTGATAACAATTATAGCGCTTTCTGTTGATCATTTCCTGGGTTCCATGCTTTACTTATATTACCGCAGATAAGCTTCAAATAACCCTCCCATCTAAGCGCCATGATTGTTCCTATTTTACAGAGAAGAAAACTGGCCTAGTGAGATTAAAGGGGTCAGACAGCTAATAAATGGTGTAGTACTGGGACTCCAATCCAAGTCTTTCCTATTTCTATGTCTCTGCTCTTAATTACTTTGTTATATATCACATTAATTAAGCAGAATATCTGTGGAACTCTTCTTGAAACCTGTTTGGGAGTCATTTGTACAGCATTTTGGATGTCCTCAGCTATAGCACATATTTTAATTTTTATTTTTAGAACTAATTCAAAGTCCTTCATGTCCAAGTCTGGCAAAAGACACAGATGGTATAGGTAGTAATTAATGTTTATGACCAAAAGAGGCAGATAGTGTCTTTAAAGTACTAAATCTGATATTTAAATTTTCTCTGAAGACCATACTAAAGGAACCATATAGATCATTGTTTTTAGAGCCATGGCACTGGAATTGGAATATAAGTATAGTCTTCGAGGCACCTAACCCAAAATTGGTGTTCATTGAACATTTATTAAAACAATGAATGAGACAATGAATAAAAGGATAATATGTCTTTGCCTATGAAAATTATAATATGTGCTTGCAAAGTATAGTAACAAGTGTGGGTAGCTTATCATTAAAAATGATAATTCCCTCTTCATTATTATCACACCTGACCTTTGGCGTGGATATATAGATCTTGTGTGTGGGTATAAAGTCTGTTGAAGTTGTGGACTTGAGACAGAACTGTCAGAGCCAGCCATAATTAAGATGTGTGCTGAAACAAGATTTCATAGAACTAAATTCACAAGAGAAAAAGTAAAAGCCAAAGAATAAGGTGGAAATGTTGCTTTGCTAGTATTAGCAAATAGTATTCACAAATAGTATTAGCAAATAGTATTTGCAAATAGTATTTGCTAGTATCCTACTATTAGAGGAAGGGATCTGGGTTGCCATGCTGAATCTCTAGTGTTTACTCCCATGTGGCTTTGGGTGAGTTGCCTGGGCTATCAGTGTGTAAACTGAGGACCCACTTCAGGGCTGCCTAAGAGTTTTTAAAATCTTCAAGGTCTCCTTGCTAAGTTTCACGTGACTGCTGTTACTGTAACTCTTCTAGGGAACTTATGGGAACTCCACATGCAAGGACACTACCATTCCATACACACACACACATCCATATCCAGGTGAAGCACTACCGGGACCTATGCTTTCCCTTTGGCTCTAGTCTACCTTCCCTCTCAGAGCTTCCCCACTGCTTTCTATCCCTGATGGCAGAGGAAGTTGGAACTAGTTTTTATTTTGTGGTGGTTAATGATCCTGCACTCCTGAATAGGGTAAATGCAAAGGCCCTTTTCAGGGCTCACATTTTGCAGTGTCTGAAATTCAGCATGGGGACACAATAAAAGAACCAAAACAGAGGACTAAGCAGTGAACGGAGTCAGTTTGCAAATGAAACAAAACAGTGATTAAAATGCAAAGAAACAAAAGGAGCTTTAATAGCAAAAACATTGATAACAGGGTATGTTCAAAGGTCAAAGCAAAAAGGTTAAAGACAAAACTAGACAAATTTATATGATAAATTTTATAATGGAAAATGGCTTTTAAATAGTAAAAGTAATTAAAGCTTTAGATTTTTAAAATCAGAATTTTTCTTTTGAGGCTCACCAGAGCAGAGTGGTTATATTCTAGGAAAGCAAAGCTTGTGCATGGGGGGAGAGGTTGAGAGCGGGATGATGTAAACCATCATTCTGGGACACCACCAAAGACAACCAAACCTCAACATTTTGAAAGAGATTCTGAACAAAAGAATATTCTAAAGCAGTTTGAAAAGAGGAAGCCATTGTCTCTTTTTGTGTCTGGAAATGAAAAACAGGGACTACATTTAAATTCATCTGAAACATAAGGTTTCGAAAGAAAAAAAGACAAACAAGTTTGTCATCAGAAATAGAGTTAGTGGAACCTATGGAATTCTAGAAAATGACACTAGTTTATGCATAGTCATGTATGAGAGTGAACAATGAGGAAATGAGCAGATGTTGCTTATCAGTTACCACGGCCTGTTCAATCTAAGCAGTACCTGGGTTAAGAGGGTTGCTGAGGACAGAAGAGTCTTAGCATACACCTTGGTTTCTCCCTCCCTGACCCCAAGATTACAGATGCCATGCAGAGTCATGAAATGGGTATGGACTTTAATGGATTAAAAGAAAGGATAACCTATATGTACACTGGCTATTCTTCCAGAGTAAAAGATTCCAGTTATACAATTTAAAATATCTTAAGGTTGTAATATGAAGAAATCGTGCCCTGGACAATACGAGGCATACTCATTTCACTTTGTATCCCAGAAAAGTACATCTCTGTCATGCATGGAGGATTCAGGCCAAACTTTTACCAGTGCACTCAGGGAGGAAGAGTATAGTGAATGACAAATAGTACACATACCCTGCAGTTTAAATACCTTCCTGGCCCCTGTCAATGATGGCTGAACAATAAGGTGGTATAAAACACTTACTTGGAAACCCAAACGAAAAGATAAATGTTTATATTTCATTTTTAAATTTTATTTTGTATTTTGCTGTTGTGCATTTGACTTATCAAAAATGGCAATAACTGAGATGACTCTGCTCCCATTGGTCTTTGTTTAAACTGTCAGCACTCACGGGATGTCTGATATATGTGCATTTTCCTCCCCAAATAGAGTTTTAGTTCCTTGAGGTAGCAATCCTTTCTTGCCGTATTCTGTGCTGATTTTATTTAGCACCTAAAAGATAATTGAGGAGATAATACTGGTCTACACTTTAGGTAGTTGAGATTTTTAAAAAATTGCACCATATTGTTCTTTGCTAGTTTTGCTTTCTGTTTAAAAAGTTAGACTGCATTTGCAAAAACACAACAGATAAGGCTAGTTTTTATATCATGTTCCTCTTGATTTCCCACATTGGATATTTGAGCTTCCTTAGTAACAGGAATTTGGGGAGCATAATTATCCTGGGAATTGTCATAGCTCTTCATTTTGCTTGACCCTGGTGTCCTTGACATCTGACAGTGCATGTCTTTGAGGTCTGCAGTGATATGCTACAACCAGGAGCATCAGAGAAGCTGAGACTTTCTGATCTGGAAGGGCTTTTTTTTTTTTTTGCGTTGGTGATCACTGAGGCCAAGGAAAGTCAAGGGCCTTACCCAGCTTCATGGCAGATAAGTGATAGACTCAAGAGCTGAATCCTGTTTATAGAGTCTCAGTATATGCCCTTTCACCACACCGGCCTTTCCCTAAAAGTGTTCAGTCCTGCAAGATTCTGCATAGGATTCTTTGGTCAGATCAATGTGAAATTCTCCATGTCCTATATTTTTTGCTTATTAGAGATTCCAAGCATTTACACAACAAAGAAACTTGTCTGATTTTAACCTACCATTTTCCAACTTTATTTTAACACAGAATCCTCTTTCACCCCGAGAATTCACCTAATAAAGGGTCATGCCGCATGGTGGTAAGCTTTGATGATGATGATGCTGGTGGTGATAAGAGTGACATTTATTTAGCACCTACTTATGTCATAGGCGTAGTTTTAAATGCTTTACATAAATCAGACTCAATCCTCACAACAACACAATGAAGAGGCACTATAATCATCTTTATTTTACAGATGAGGAGACAGGATCAGAGAGGCAGCTGGAGTATAGTAGTTGTGTTGTCCACGAAATATTATTGCACTGAAAACCAGGGTTTCTCAACCTTGGTACTACTGACATTTTGCCCATATAATGTCTTGTTATGGGGGGCTGTCCTGTGCATTGTGGGATGTTTAGCAGCATCCCTGTCTTTTACCCAGTAGTGTCAGCCAAAAATGTCTCCAGACATTGCCAAATGTTCCCTAAATTGTTCCTGGTTGAGAACTAAAGTTATAACAAAAATATGCTTTTTTTGAACAACCTTCTTAGTAACTTTTACAGTGACTCATGGTCATGATTGGGCAAATTACACATTGCAGGTTTTGTGACTACGTCAAGCAGCGTACACTTGTGTGGGGGTGCATGTGAGTTAAACCTGACCCGTACTGTTCTTTTCCGCTCCATTTCCTTACACTACTTCTGCTGAGAGCCAAAAGGCCAAAATTGTTGATTCTGCCTTCAAAGTCTTTTAACTGCCCGATGCACACACCCCCAATTTATATTGTTTCCATTTTTTATTTCCTCTTGGACATGAGCAATATAAACACACACACACACACACACACACGCATACACACGAGAGAGAGTCTTGTTTTTTCTCTGTGTAATAGAGGACTTAACGTATCTGAATTACTCTACAGTAAGAACTTATGTCGGAGCCAAGATTAACAGCTGCCAAGAAAAACATACCCAGCAGTGAATAACTCACAAAGATTTGGCAAAGAAAAAGTAAAGTTATGTGATGAAGTATATTACTAAGTTATAGGGTTTTATTTTTCCAACACGATAACTTGTTAACAATTCACACACTTCAAATGGGTTTGAGGCTTCTGGTCATTGTTTCTTTGTAATTTAAATGCCATTTTTAAGAGCAGCTGAGGTATAATAAAGAGCAATGAAATACCTAGTTTAAAATCCTGGCTCTGCCAAGCATTTACTAATTGTGTGACCTCACTTCTTTTTTCCAAGTGTTTGGTTTCCCACCAGTAAAATGGGTTGATGATATGAAACTAAATAGATTGTTGAAGGGTTGAAATAAGAAAATACATGCACTAATATCCAGTCCATGTTTTGGCAGGTCCTTCTTTCCAGTTATCAAGGGACTCTATCATGATTTGTAATCTTTTTTGGTAATTCCTTAAGTGTAAACTAATTGTTTTTGAAAATAACAGAGGCACCATCAAGTAGCCTAGTACAGGTAACTGTTATTAAAAGGTGGAGTTTGGAGAGCAGGGACGGTACATACAGTACTCAAAGTGATTGAATTTTGAAAGCTTTATATTTAAAGATAGCAAAGTAGCCAAAAGATGGAGTGCAAGGAGCTACAGAGGGCCTTCAGAAACCGAAGCTTACCCTCTGATCTTCTTAGTGGTCGTTTACTGATTCACCTCTTAGTGGTTATTTGAGTGCCCGCTCTGTTCTGGATGCTCTGCAAGCACTGGGGGTACAAACAGTGCAAAATAATAAAAATAGCTACTCTGTCCCTGCACTTTGTCCTCTTAAAACTTAGGTGGTGACTGTGTCCCAACTATAGTTGATACTCGCTGCCTGGAATGCTTGTTTGAAATGGGTTCTGAAGCTTAGCTGAACTTGCTGGGAAGAATGCTGGGATTTATGAATAATATGCCATGGGCAAGAAGATTTGATAGTCTTCTGGTATAATGTTTTTCAAAATGTGGATCTGATTCATTAGTGTATCATGAAATCAGTTTTGTGGGTCACCATGAGCATTACTTAAGAAGTTAAATAGAAATAGAGAAATATCATAGTGCATTGCACATAGCGGTAAGTCTTGCTTTGTAAAAGTTTTGTTTTAGTTATGTATGTATTGTGTACCAGGTCATGATGTAAAATGCATATCCTACAATGGTTCATGTAAAAAATGTGAGTCTAGTGGCTATATGAACTCCTACTCCTTTCTCTCTACATTCAAACTTTTTTGCTTTTTCTGAAATGACATGACACATTTCATAGTTTGAGCCCTATTAATCCAAACTATAGGATGACATATTCATTCTAGTAGCATTCTTCAATATGCAATATGTTTATCCTTTGAGTCTACTTTTATTTGAGTCTTTATAGTTTGTCTGGGATGGTTAATAATTATATTTATAGTCAGTTCTGGTGGGAGGCAAAAATATTCAAGTATTTAGAAACTTAGGTGCTGGAGTAACACTTGCTTTCCAATATAGACCATACCACTTTAGAGTGATGCTTTTTTACTGCATGGCCGGATGATCATATACACGTGGCAGAATTTGTAGAAACAGCATTAAACACAGAAAGTAAAAATGTATGTATATTGCAGGTGTTGGGAGCATGTCCACTGTGAATGGTTAGGAACTGCAAGCCCTATTTTATTACTTGATCTTTATTATAGATTTTGTATTTCTTGTAGGGTAAGAGGTCTCACTGAAGACTTGTTTTTATACTTTTCTGAATTGGTTAAATGAAGCTATTAGACTATCCCGTCTAGTTTAATAAAGGTTCCATCCAAATTTTCATATCCTATGACTCAATGGTTCTTTCTTCAATTGGATTATGATCTTCAGTGTCCCTCTTAACTTTTCTTCTAATGTATTATCTTGAAGGCTTTTCTGCTTCCAGTTGGCTTGAGTGGTAACTATACTTCCAATTAAAACATGAGCAAAAATAGATGCTCTGTTCCTGACACTTTTAATCCCTACCTCCTAAAATCAGTGGCTGTAGGGAGATCCCTTGTCTGTTTCCTCAAGAACTGCTGAAAGTAGGACTTCTTTTTGAGAAGTAATTCACAAAGTGCCAAGTGACAAGCCATACTTGCATGTGAACACAAAGCGATGTTTATCTTTGTCCAAACAAGTACCTGTTATGGCATGCACTTTATAAAAACAGCCAGAAAAATGCACCTCAGTTAATGGGCACTTTAAAAGAGCATTCATTCATTTGGGTTACTGAGAAGGACCAACTCAGAAATGACCCTGCTTGCCTAAGAGAAATATGCCACACCATGATTTCTCTAACCATTTCAAGAGTTTGCTGCCCTTGATCCCTGAATGATTTTGATGTGTATTTTCTGTTCCATTCCTCTGTAGGTTGGCGTTAACCTGTCTAACCACTCATAGCTCTGCTGGACTTTTTATATGAGAGTTTTCTGCTTGGTTAGTTATGAGTTTAAAAGACTTGAGAATACTGGTTTTAGGGGAAGGTTTTGAAATTGCCACCTTGCATATTGTAGAACACTTTATCACCACAGTTAAAATTGTAGGGGTTACTAATTGAGGAATAATACAAATTATATTTCAGTAACACAGAAGATAGCAATTTATTATCTTCCTGGACTTGGGGATACTTTTATCAATTAATTTCAAACTGCGGTGTTTCAAATTATTGAAATTTATGAATATTTAATTTTACCTTTTAAGAGTTACTAATTCAGAAGCATGATCTTTTAATACATATGATATGAAATGTTTACAGATTTACTGGCAAAATACTGTAATTATGAGTCCCAATGGAGTAAATGCTTTTAAAAATTGTATTCACTTAAATTAGCCAGCTGTGTTCTGCCTTTATACTGTTAATATTATTTTTCTCAGATTGTTATAAGCAATGAGCTTTCATTAAATCTTTGGACACTAGATTATAAATTTAGGAATACCCTGCAAGATACAGAAAAGACTAAATAAATAATAGTATGCAAAAATCAAAATTATTATTTAAATAGACCTACTAAAAATTAATGGTGTTTTAATTTATTTTAAAGTTGTTGGCTCATCCTTTAAAATGTTTTAAAAAAATGTTTGACATTCATTATCAGAATGAGGGAAAATTTAAACAATTCCGTTTCTTCTTTTGCTAGTAGGCATATTATGCTAATAAAATTACTAAATTAAAAGTGTGTCAAGGATTTGACAAACTGCCATTTTTCTCCAGAAGTCAAGCCCCTAAGTGATTGTCTAGAGGCAAGAATTTTCTGATATGTTGTCTCAACAATGCTTCTCACTTCGTCTTCAGGTGCCCCAACCCGCAAGTACACATACTATGTACTCACTTGAAAATGTAAAAAAAAAAAAAAAAAAAAAAGTGCTTTAAGGAAAGGCCACACAGTACAAAGGCTTATTAGTAGGCAGAAATAATGGGGGTGCAGGGTGGGTGGGCATCCAACCTCAGGCTTAACCGTGGGTTATAATTTCCAGCAAGGAAATCACTAGGTTCTTCTAAATTCTTAGAATTAAGTTCTCACTACTAGATGCACCAAGGATTTTGTCTTTTGAGAGATCTACTATTTAAAGTTTTTAAAATTGTTAATAATTATATAAATCAAATTTCCATTGTCAATCTGAATCATGCTTTTTGATGATAGAATAAAAGAACTGATTTCCAACACTTGGTTATTTTAGGTAGCACAGATAGTGTTGAAGCTCAGTAGAGTCTGCTTAGAGGATGTAGTCCACCTCTCCTCTCCTTTATAGTTATTGGAATTGTGGTCACTATCACACCAAGCCTATCTGGTCCATTTCTGTCTCACTGCTTTTAAATGCAGTGCCTCTTTGATGCATTTAAAACATGCATGATGTACTTAGGGCCTAAAAGTTGTGAAGAGCAAAATGTGTGAAAATAAGTGCATTTGTTTTTTCATACATGCTTGTATGTACTTAGGGCCTAAAAGTTGTGGAGAGCAAAACGTGGTGTGAAAAGTGCATTTGTGTTTTGTTTGTTTGTTTGTTTGGCTTTGCATTTACTTGAAAGAAAATACAGACAATATTCGTACATCTACACTGCCTCCTGACTTTGGGGGATATTAGATAAAAAAAAATCACAAAAAAATTATAGAATGGCAACTTCTTGTGATTTTATTTTTATTTTAAGAATAATTATTACTCGACATTTTATTTTATCCTCAAAGTGCTTGGTCAATGTTAATTTACTTTTTACGACTTTAAAGGAACTCAACTCAGCTTCCTTTTTCATAGTGGCCCATTGAAGTCAAGTGGTATAAGATTGAGCTATAGTAGAATTAACAAAATATTCTTTTAGGATGCCTGGGATTCAAAAAACAGAGATCTAACTGGAGGAAAGTAATGTGCATCTAAGAAAGTAATTTGGTTCATGCTGAAGAAAAACTGAATTTATTGTCTTGGCCAAATAAATTCACGGCCAAATAAAATGTCTTAATGGTGAAAAAATTGCACTGGGTATAAATTTGATTTCTGTACTATTCAGGAGACTGTAGAGTGACACTTGACCTAATATCTGCATTAACCATTTGTAGATTTTGGCTCACATAGACATATTAAAGAATTACATTTTTCAGTGTAATATATATACACCATGGAATACTACTCAGCCATAAAAAAGAATGAAATAATGTCTTTTGCAGCAATGTGGATGGATTTTGAGGCCGTTATTCTAAGTGAAATAACTCAGAAATGGAAAACCAAATATTGTATATTCTCACTTATAAGGGAGAACTAAGCTATGTGTACACAGTGGCATACAGAGTGGTATAATGGACTTTGGAGGCTCAAGAGGGAGTGGGAGGCAGTGGGGGGTGAGAGATTTAAAAAATACGTATCGGGTGCAGTGTATACTGCTCTGATGACAGTGCACTAAAATCTCATAGTTCACCACTATACAGTTCATCCATGTACCAAAAACCACTCGTACCTTAAAAGCTATTGAAATAAAAAAAAAGAAAAGAGAAAAAGGAAACTAGGTGAGTTCATCTGAAGTGGTAAATTCTTTATAATTGAAACATGAATAACCTTACCAAGTTAATGATACTTAACTTCCCAGTTATGCCTTCACTGATTGTATAAGTCTGTTTTCATGCCGCTGATAAAGACATACCTGAGACTGGACAATTTACAAAAGAAAGAGGTTTAATGCACTTACAGTTCCACATGGCTAGGGAAGCCTCACAATCATGGCAGAAGGTGAAAGGCAAGTCTGACGTGGCAGCAGACAAGAGAAGAGAGCTTGTGCAGGGAAACTCCCCTTCTTAAAACCGTGAGATCTCGTGAGACCTATTCACAAGCACAGGAATAGCATGGGAAAGACCTGCCCCCATGATTCAATTACCTCCCACCAAGTTCTTCCCATAACATGTGGAAATTCAAGATGAGATTTGGGTGGGGACACAACTAAACCATATTACTGACATTGTCATAATTAAACCCAACCAAAAGATAAAAAAAGAATTATGGTTTTCATAGTTAACTTGAGAAGTAGCAAAAAATAATCCCAGAATTAACCCCTTGTAATAAAATAAATGATTGAAAATGCCTACCATTGAAAAATATTTTCAAAACAATAAATGCAAAAGTTTAGAACATTCTACAATTTTAAAGTAATTTAATTCCCATATTGAACTTCTGAAAGATTTGCTTTCATTGAAGGTTTTACTTTTAAGGTGATTATTCCAGTATAGCACTCATTATTTCCTGATTAATTGCTCACCAAACTGCAGATATTTTTGCAATACTTCATTTCCACCTGCGCCTAAACCCACCCACCCACACATGTACATACATGTTGGACAGGTATCAGCATGAGTTAATATTTAACTCCTGTGGCAATGAGGAAGTGCGCTAGTAGGTAAATCCAAAACCTTGAACACCACCAATTTATCTTAATCCTTTCTATGTAATGAGAACAACTGATAGAATACGATAATAGCATATATACATGAGAATACTATGTAGATAAAGTAACTAACCACCCATCAGGGTGTAAATTCCAGGAATATCTAAGAGGGTTCTTACTTACCGGAGCCTCAGTTTTCTCATTTCCTCCATTAAAGACAAAACAAAATACTAGCTCAATTTTTGTCACTTAGAATGTTTTTCATAAATGCTTATTCCTTCCAGTCAAAGTCAAGATCCTTGCAAGTTTCTATTTTAGGAGAAAGAAAGCAGAGCTAAATCTGTTTAGTTCCTGGCTGTTTCATGCTCGAGAACATTTGCATGGGGGTGTTTCTTTCCTAGAAAAGCTTCATCCTGCCATATCTGGTTTTTGAACTCCTGTTTAGCCTTCAGAATCCTGCTCAGTCATCACTTCCTCTGTGAAGCTTTCCATGACCTCCTTCCAGAAAAAAAATTTATGTCTTTTCCCTGTATTTTTGTATCTTTAGATATTTCTGGTTTTGCTTGTATCATAGTGATTCATTATTTTTTTATCTGACAACCATCTCCACTTGGTTGTCAGGTCAGTGATGCCGAACTGCTTCAAGTTCATCTCTGTTCTCTATTCCCTGATATATCAAGGTAAAGTAGTAAATCTTTGTTCTGAAGAAGTGAAAATGCTTTAGCACAGTAACTAAAAGATTTTTAAGATTCAGTTTAAAATGTAGCAGCTTTTTTTTTACTGTGCTCCATTTTTAAAAAGTAATGTTATCTTTGCTATAAAATACATCAGTTTAATGGCAGAAATTTTGGAAAACATACATTTGTAAAGAAGAAAATTAAATTATTATTCCACTACTCATAAACATTAGTATTAGCATTTTGATATAGTTCCTCAGTCTATTTACTTAAAGATGTAAATATATGTATACATACATATTTAAATAAAATTGAGATTGTACAGCCTATGATATTTTGTAACTGCTCTGCTTTTTGCTAAGTAGTTTGTATCTTCACAAATGAGTAAATACTTGTCCAAGACATTTTTTTATGCTTCATTGCATTCTATGATATGAACCTTTATGGTTTATGATAAATAATAATTTATTATTGAAAATATATTTTTTCCAGTTTTGTTTGCTGTTATGTCATTCTGCATAAGGATTATTATTTGTAGGATTGACTGTCAGCCAGTTTAGCCACACTGGTTGTTAAAATACTGAAATATTTCCATATTGATGAGAAAACAGTCATATCCTGTGTTTCCCCGCCTCCCTCTCCTGGACTGCTGATGATCCAGTAAGCTAAGGGCACATAGCAGGTGGTATAGGTAGCATCCTTTCCTATTAGTCCTGATTGTGATATATCTGTCCAAAGTCGTTAATAACACCCCTGAAATTTTGCGTGCATCTCGTTATTTCTTTAAATACCTAGAAGTAGAAATCCTTTTTTTTTTTATTATACTTTAAGTTTTAGGGTACATGTGCACATTGTGCAGGTTAGTTACATATGTATACATGTGCCATGCTGGTGCGCTGCACCCACTAACTCGTCATCTAGCATTAGGTATATCTCCCAATGCTATCCCTCCTCCCTCCCCCCACCCCACCACAGTCCCCAGAGTGTGATATTCCCCCTCCTGTGTCCATGTGATCTCATTGTTCAATTCCCACCTATGAGTGAGAATTTGCGGTGTTTCGTTTTTTGTTCTTGTGATAGTTTACTGAGAATGATGATTTCCAATTTCATCCATGTCCCTACAAAGGACATGAACTCATCATTTTTTATGGCTGCATAGTATTCCATGGTGTATATGTGCCACATTTTCTTAATCCAGTCTATCATTGTTGGACATTTGGGTTGGTTCCAAGTCTTTGCTATTGTGAATAATGCCGCAATAAACATATGTGTGCATGTGTCTTTATAGCAGCATGATTTATAGTCCTTTGGGTATATACCCAGTAATGAGATGGCTGGGTCAAATGGTATTTCTAGTTCTAGATCCCTGAGGAATCGCCACACTGACTTCCACAATGGTTGAACTAGTTTACAGTCCCACCAACAGTGTAAAAGTGTTCCTATTTCTCCACATCCTCTCCAGCACCTGTTGTTTCCTGACTTTTTAATGATTGCCATTCTAACTGGTGTGAGATGGTATCTCATTGTGGTTTTGATTTGCATTTCTCTGATGGCCAGTGATGATGAGCATTTTTTCATGTGTTTTTTGGCTGCATAAATGTCTTCTTTTGAGAAGTGTCTGTTCATGTCCTTCGCCCACTTTTGGATGGGGTTGTTTGTTTTTTTCTTGTAAATTTGTTTGAGTTCATTGTAGATTCTGGATATTAGCCCTTTGTCAGATGAGTAGGTTGCGAAAATTTTCTCCCATTTTGTAGGTTGCCTGTTCACTCTGATGGTAGTTTCTTTTGCTGTGCAGAAGCTCTTTAGTTTAATTAGATCCCATTTGTCAATTTTGGCTTTTGTTGCCATTGCTTTTGGTGTTTTGGACATGAAGTCCTCGCCCATGCCTGTGTCCTGAATGGTAATGCCTAGGTTTTCTTCTAGGGTTTTTATGGTTTTAGGTCTAACCTTTAAATCTTTAATCCATCTTGAATTGATTTTTGTATAAGGTGTAAGGAAGGGATCCAGTTTCAGCTTTCTACATATGGCTAGCCAGTTTTCCCAGCACCATTTATTAAATAGGGAATCCTTTCCCCATTGCTTGTTTTTCTCAGGTTTATCAAAGATCAGATAGTTGTAGATATGCGGCGTTATTTCTGAGGGCTCTGTTCTGTTCCATTGAGCTATATCTCTGTTTTGGTACCAGTACCATGCTGTTTTGGTTACTGTAGCCTTGTAGTATAGTTTGAAGTCAGGTAGTGTGATGCCTCCAGCTTTGTTCTTTTGGCTTAGGATTGACTTGGTGATGCGGGCTCTTTTTTGGTTCCATATGAACTTTAAAGTAGTTTTTTCCAATTCTGTGAAGAAAGTCATTGGTAGCTTGATGGGGATGGCATTGAATCTGTAAATTACCTTGGGCAGTATGGCCATTTTCACGATATTGATTCTTCCTACCCATGAGCATGGAATGTTCTTCCATTTGTTTGTATCCTCTTTTATTTCGTTGAGCAGTGGTTTGTAGTTCTCCTTGAAGAGGTCCTTCACATCCCTTGTAAGTTGGATTCCTAGGTATTTTATTCTCTTTGAAGCAATTGTGAATGGGAGTTCACTCATGATTTGGCTCTCTGTTTTTCTGTTGTTGGTGTATAAGAATGCTTGTGATTTTTGTACATTGATTTTGTACCCTGAGACTTTGCTGAAGTTGCTTATCAGCTTAAGGAGATTTTGGGCTGAGACAATGGGGTTTTCTAGATATACAATCATGTCGTCTGCAAACAGGGACAATTTGACTTCCTCTTTTCCTAATTGAATACCCTTTATTTCCTTCTCCTGCCTAATTGCCCTGGCCAGAACTTCCAACACTATGTTGAATAGGAGTGGTGAGAGAGGGCATCCCTGTCTTGTGCCAGTTTTCAAAGGGAATGCTTCCAGTTTTTGCCCATTCAGTATGATATTGGCTGTGGGTTTGTCATAGATAGCTCTTATTGTTTTGAAATACGTCCCATCAATACCTAATTTATTGAGAGTTTTTAGCATGAAGGGTTGTTGAATTTTGTCAAAGGCTTTTTCTGCATCTATTGAGATAATCATGTGGTTTTTGTCTTTGGCTCTGTTTATATGCTGGATTACATTTATTGATTTGCGTATATTGAACCAGCCTTGCATCCCAGGGATGAAGCCCTCTTGATCATGGTGGATAAGCTGTTTGATGTGCTGCTGGATTCGTTTTGCCAGTATTTTATTGAGGATTTTTGCATCAATGTTCATCAAGGATATTGGTCTAAAATTCTCTTTTTTGGTTGTGTCTCTGCCCAGCTTTGGTATCAGAATGATGCTGGCCTCATAAAATGAGTTAGAGAGGATTCCCTCTTTTTCTATTGATTGGAATAGTTTCAGAAGGAATGGTACCAGTTCCTCCTTGTACCTCTGGTAGAATTCGGCTGTGAATCCATCTGGTCCTGGACTCTTTTTGGTTGGTAAACTATTGATTATTGTCACAATTTCAGCTCCTGTTATTGGTCTATTCAGAGATTCAACTTCTTCCTGGTTTGGTCTTGGGAGAGTGTATGTGTCAAGGAATTTATCCATTTCTTCTAGATTTTCTAGTTTATTTGCGTAGAAGTGTTTGTAGTATTCTCTGATGGTAGTTTGTATTTCTGTGGGATTGGTGGTGATATCCTCTTTATCAATTTTTATTGTGTCTATTTGATTCTTCTCTCTTTTTTTCTTTATTAGTCTGGCTAGCGGTCTATCAGTTTTGTTGATCCTTTCAAAAAACCAGCTCCTGGATTCATTGATTTTTTGAAGGGTTTTTTGTGCCTCTATTTCCTTCAGTTCTGCTCTGATTTTAGTTATTTCTTGCCTTCTGCTAGCTTTTGAATGTGTTTGCTCTTGCTTTTCTAGTTCTTTTAATTGTGATGTTAGGGTGTCAATTTTGGATCTTTCCTGCTTTCTCTTGTGGGCATTTAGTGCTATAAATTGCCCTCTACACAGTGCTTTGAATGTGTCCCAGAGATTCTGGTATGTTGTGTCTTTGTTCTCGTTGGTTTCAAAGAACATGTTTATTTCTGCCTTCAATTCGTTATGTACCCAGTGGTCATTCAGGAGCAGGTTGTTCAGTTTCCATGTATTTGAGCGGCTTTGAGTGAGATTCTTAATCCTGAGTTCTAGTTTGATTGCACTGTGGTCTGAGAGATAGTTTGTTATAATTTCTGTTCTTTTACATTTGCTGAGGAGAGCTTTACTTCCAACTATGTGGTCAATTTTGGAATAGGTGTGGTGTGGTGCTGAAAAAAGTGTATATTCTGTTGATTTGGGGTGGAGAGTTCTGTAGATGTCTATTAGGTCCACTTGGTGCAGAGTTGAGTTCAATTCCTGGGTATCCTTGTTGACTTTCTGTCTCATTGATCTGTCTAATGTTGACAGTGGGGTGTTAAAGTCTCCCATTATTAATGTGTGGGAGTCTAAGTCTCTTTGTAGGTCACTCAGGACTTGCTTTATGAATCTGGGTGCTCCTGTATTGGGTGCATATATATTTAGGATAGTTAGCTCTTCTTGTTGAATTGATCCCTTTACCATTATGTAATGGACTTGTCTCTTTTGATCTTTGTTGGTTTAAAGTCTGTTTTATCAGAGACTAGGATTGCAACCCCTGCCTTTTTTTGTTTTCCATTTGCTTGGTAGATCTTCCTCCATCCTTTTATTTTGAGCCTATGTGTGTCTCTGCACGTGAGATGGGTTTCCTGAATACAGCACACTGATGGGTCTTGACTCTTTATCCAATTTGCCAGTCTGTGTCTTTTAATTGGAGCATTTAGTCCATTTACATTTAAAGTTAATATTGTTATGTGTGAATTTGATCCTGTCATTATGATGTTAGCTGGTGATTTTGCTCGTTAGTTGATGCAGTTTCTTCCTAGTCTCGATGGTCTTTACATTTTGGCATGATTTTGCAGCGGCTGGTACCGGTTGTTCCTTTCCATGTTTAGTGCTTCCTTCAGGAGCTCTTTTAGGGCAGGCCTGGTGGTGACAAAATCTCTCAGCATTTGCTTGTCTGTAAAGTATTTTATTTCTCCTTCACTTATGAAGCTTAGTTTGGCTGGATATGAAATTCTGGGTTGAAAATTCTTTTCTTTAAGAATGTTGAATATTGGCCCCCACTCTCTTCTGGCTTGTAGGGTTTCTGCCGAGAGATCCGCTGTTAGTCTGATGGGCTTCCCTTTGAGGGTAACCCGACCTTTCTCTCTGGCTGCCCTTAACATTTTTTCCTTCATTTCAACTTTGGTGAATCTGACAATTATGTGTCTTGGAGTTGCTCTTCTCGAGGAGTATCTTTGTGGTGTTCTCTGTATTTCCTGAATCTGAACATTGGCCTGCCTTGCTAGATTGGGGAAGTTCTCCTGGATAATATCCTGCAGAGTGTTTTCCAACTTGGTTCCATTCTCCCCATCACTTTCAGGTACACCAATGAGACGTAGATTTGGTCTTTTCACATAGTCCCATATTTCTTGGAGGCTTTGCTCATTTCTTTTTATTCTTTTTTCTCTAAACTTCCCTTCTCGCTTCATTTCATTCATTTCATCTTCCATTGCTGATACCCTTTCTTCCAGTTGATGGCATCGGCTCCTGAGGCTTCTGCATTCTTCACGTAGTTCTCGAGCGTTGGTTTTCAGCTCCATCAGCTCCTTTAAGCACTTCTCTGTATTGGTTATTCTAGTTATACATTCTTCTAAATTTTTTTAAAAGTTTTTAACTTCTTTGCCTTTGGTTTGAATGTCCTCCCATAGCTCAGAGTAATTTGATCGTCTGAAGCCTTCTTCTCTCAGCTCGTCAAAGTCATTCTCCATCCAGCTTTGTTCTGTTTTTGGTGAGGAACTGTGTTCCTTTGGAGGAGGAGAGGCGCTCTGCGTTTTAGAGTTTCCAGTTTTTCGATTCTGTTTTTTCCCCATCTTTGTGGTTTTATGTACTTTTGGTCTTTGATGATGGTGATGTACAGATGGGTTTTTGGTGTGGATGTCCTTTCTGTTTGTTAGTTTTCCTTCTAACAGACAGGACCCTCAGCTGTAGGTCTCAGATGGAAATGCAGAAATCACCTGTCTTCTGCGTCGCTCACGCTGGGAGCTGTAGACCGGAGCTGTTCCTATTCGGCCATCTTGGCTCCTCCGTAGAAATCCTTGATTAACAAATATGTGTCAGGTATCAGGAGTCTATCAGAAAATGGCTCATTAAAATTAGGATAATTCATGGAAGGTTCAATAAAGGAACTATTTAAAAGCAAAGAGTAGAGTGTGAGCAACCCTGATAAAAGCCAAGATGGTTTTCACCAGTTGGCATAAATGTGATGGGGGGAGTAATTACTGCAACCTGCAAGGAGACAGCCACTTTGAGAAGAATGGAGAATTCCAGTTGAAGGTCACAGTCAATCTGTGGCAGCCCCACCAGGAGTAAGCCCAGAAAATGGGTATACCAGCTTCCCTCCTTTCCTATCCTCTGGTTTCCTGTCAGGGCTCCTCCTTGCTGGCCCTGACGGGAAGTCAGAGGACTGGGGAATCTGCTTCTGTCATCCCCTGCAAGTCAGCCTCCTATGGTGGAAGGTTCATTTGGATGAGTAAACTCAACAGAGAGCTGGCACACATTTATCCTCTTTATTCCATAGTGAAAATTTGTCTCCAGAAAAATGTTTTAGAGCCTCAAATGTACTCTGTAATCTCAATGTGAGTTGACATTTACTTTACAGGTAATCAGAATTGACCTGTAAGGGGGTGTAGTCAGGTGCAGTGTTAAGAGGGAAAAATCACAGCAGTTATTGAGTACCTGACAGATAAAAGGAGAGGGAAGAGCCACTGTGTTTGTAGGTGGACCTTGGATAAAAGCCTTCTGCCCACAAAATAAACCAGTGGGAAGAGTAACTGCGGAGAGCAAGCATCATTGTGATTGTCTTAAGTTCTTTTCTATGTAGGCCTGGTGGGCCAGTTCCAGATATTTATGGGATGTTGCAAAATTATCTCAGAAGAGACCTTAAAGAACATCTAGATCGGCTGTATTCAAACTGGTTTTGGCCACAGAACTCTTTCATGAAGTGAAGTTTCACACAGAAGCCTAACATATAAAACAAATACAGGTATGGCTGCCTTGGTTGGGAGTGGTGGGCCCTCCACCCTCCTTTCTCCCTCAGTTCTGTACCCCGGGGACTTAGATGACTTGCCTGAACTCATACAGCTTGCTGGTTATGAAGTCATCCCCAGGACTTACAGTCTCCTGACTATTGACTCCATCTTCTTATATCTATAGATAGAGCCTTCTCCAGTAGTTATCACTTCATCATGGAAACTTACCCTCATTTTTCTTCCACTCAACCCTGTTGGTTCACCACCATGTCAACAATAATAAGCTGACTATATGTAACATCCATCCATCTCAAAGCCTTATATATGTGTGGTCTCTTCCCCAGCAGCACATTAGAATTCTGTGGGAAGCTTTTATAAACATAACAATGCTCAGGCCCTATTTCTAGAGATTCTGATTTGTTAAGCTGTGGTGTCAGGGTCCAAGCATCAGTAGGTTTTAAAAGCCGAAAGGGTTCTAGGAAGCAGCAAGGGCTGAGAACCCCTGTTTTGGCAGAGTTCTAGCAAGCATTAGTATTCCCAGAAAGAAGAAAAGATTGCTTACTTCCAACCCCAGGCAGCAGCTTATACTCTCAGCAATTCCATCTCAACCCTGTGGTCACTGATCGTGAATTTAGAGGTAAATGAAAAGTAAGCTTCTTGTATTGAAGAAGGATTGGAGTCTGATTTTATGACATGGAAATTGGGACTAAATTGATCCCAATTATGTTGTTTTTAAGACATTTTATTTATTGGAAATAATCTGAGTAATAAAACTCTAGTGAGAGGCCAATATCCATGCTTACAATGTGTGATTGGAGATAAAGAGTCCTATTTCTCCAGATTCATCCATTGATATCCCGTCATACACTTTAAGTGATTACTGTGTGTGTGTATATTGCTTGTACAAAAATAAATGTAGTTCTTAAAATTGAAGTTTTTTGGGGGAAAGTATACATTTTAACTAGGGGTGGTCATATTTTTAATATTTCTAAAATGGCTCCGTAGAATTAAGTTACAGAGTAGATTTTTAGTAGGATTTCTGGGCATCATTTAAAGAGAGTAGTATTTCTAAAAATATAAATTTTCCCCTTATAAATAAATATTGTGAAGGTTTAAATATGAAACTATTACATGACATTTCTATAATTTGTTACTTAATGTTTTAAATAAATGAGCAGTAAGTTCTATTTTTTTGTTTACATTTTCTTTTTACCAGCAATAGTTATGAAATCTATGCATTCTTAATTTTATGTTAACCATCCCATTGTGTTTGAAAAGTGCCTTACTACCTGTTAGCTTCTTCAAGTGTGGTCCACTCTTGATTCTTTATTTCAGGCGTTTAAACAGCCATTGTCCTTAGAGTAGTAGATGTTTTGCAGTGTAATCAATGGAAGTTTGCATTTTCTTCTGGATATCAAACCTGATAGAACCAAAGTTGAACTTTTACTTTTTAAGGATTTTTTTTTTCTTACTCAAAGTCCAATACAAGTTAGAGCTCCAGAAGAGAAAACTAATTATAAATTAATTAGGAAAGGATTTTTTCTCTATTTCTGTTGTAAAAGTGTAACATGTTTATTTGTCTTAGAATGCCATGTGTTAATGTCTGTCATGAGGAAATGAAATAGTTTTTCTTTTGGGCTTCTTGGTAAAAGATAATTCCTCTCAATACAGGCAGAAACAAACTAATTAAGAATATATAAATGGCTCTTCACTGTAAGAAAAACAGATTTGTGATAATATGTTCAGTTCTATGGCAGACAAAATTCCAAAGGGCAGGGACTTCCTCACCGTATGGGGGAATAAGCACTTTTTCCTTGTGATTATATCAGATTACCAAATGCTGGTAGAAAGATTAACATAAAAGGCTAGTGATGACAATTTGAGTATGAGATTGCTACTGTGGCCCAGAGGGCAGCCCCGTCAACACCCTGCCAATTCACATTGTTGTTTGGACTTTACTTCTCTTCGCTGAAGTTGGACTTGGGGCTTTTAGGTTTTCAAGTCTTCTTTCAGTCTTCTTGTTTCCTCTCTCCTGTTTCTTGAGTTATTTGAGCTGCTCGTGGGTGTTTTTAGGGAAATGATTTATAAACTTTAAGAGGTATTTCCAGAGCAGCTTAGCTGTTTAGAGGAACTATCTAAAAATGCACACTTTTACTTTAATTCTTGTTTAACATGTATTGATATTTTATCTCTAGGTGGGACTTTGGAGATACATTTACTGAAAGGGGAGCACAACTGGAGCAGGTACAAATGAAAAAACTTGGTATTATTTTGTTTTTGAACAACAGAGAATTCCCTTTCATGAATCAGATTTGGGTTATGAATCAAAATCTGTATCAGATTTGGGTTACAAAGTATCATTTCTGTACATTCTATATAAAGAGAATAAAATGAGAATGAAGATGCTTACCTTGCAGTGCTTCAGGGAGGATTGGAAATAATTCAGTAATGCCTGCATAGAGCAGAAACACTGACAGCTGTCACTGTTGTTGTTGTTGTTACAACTTTTGTTTTCTCCTCCAGACTGTCCATCCCTCCACTCCCAACCCTAGATTACTTGTAACCTGTGCACTCTGACTTTGACTCGGCTCCTTAATGTAGTCAGACCATATTTCTTCCTGAAACTTCCTCTAATATCTAGCTCTTCTTGGAGCCTTAGTGGTCTTGGATCTGAAAACTGTCCTGTCATCATTAGTGGCTCAGGGCATTAGATTTTAATTAGAACAATAGCCTCTGCAAAAATGTACAGTGATTGGGCCCAGTTTGCTAATGTGCCTTCATCAGCAACACCAAAGTGACCTGCAAGGGAAAGTTGAAACAAAAAACAAACATCTAGTAAATATAATTTATCATTCCTTATCTAGTCTATTCCTTTGTTGGAATAAGGCGTTTGTCATCATCATCATTATATTTGTATGTTTGGAATGCTGTCACAAAATAGTATAAACTGGGTGGCTTAAGCAACATTAATTTATTTTCTCATGGTTCCAAAGTGGCTTAAGCAACATTAATTTATTTCCTCATGGCACCTAAAGCAAGGTGCCAGCTGATTTGGTTTCTCCTGTCCTGGCTTGCAGATGACCACTTTCTTACTATGTCCTCACGTTGCCTATCCTCAGTGTGTGCATGTGGAAGGAGAGAGAGCAGAAGCTCTCTGGTGTCTCTTCTTATAAGGCCACCAATCTTATTAGAGCCAGGGTCCCACCCTTATGAGCTTATTTAACCCTAATCACTTCCTTAGAGGCCCCATCTGTAAATACAGTTATACTTGGGGTTAGGGCTTCAAAATGTTGATTTTGGGGAGACATACACATCCAGTCCAAAATGATCATATTTATCATCATTATCATTTATTTGATGACTTTTATCATTCAGAAGAATGGAAAAGGATAAAATAGATTGCATTTTAGGTTGTATTGAAGATCTGCTAGATGCTAACTGCTGTGGCAAACTCGTACGTACATTATTTTGTTTAATTCTTACATCATTTTATTCTCACAACCCTATGAAGTAGGTATTATTTTCCCGATTTGGTAGATAGAAAAGCAAGACTCAGGTAAATTAAGTAATTTGGTTATTATACATTGTGCAAGTATGTATAAGGGCTGAGATGAGAATATATCTTCTGTCATTCAGCCTGTACTCTAAACCACCACATCACAGAATTATTATGAAGACACTTAAGAGGGGTGGGATGACTTTGATTCATCTGGGGTGGAGACCTTATATATTTATAGCTGTTTGACTTTATTCTCCAATGTAAGGTTCGTAGTTGACTCCCAGTTGGCTTAAATCACCTCTCCAGTCCAGCCTCTGAGGGGAATTACCTGTATAGCATTTTACCAAGACTCCCAAGGTAGGGAAAACTTCCAGGATAGCTGGGAATCTCTGCCAAGATATTAATTGAACCTCTCCAAGGCAGCCACAAAACCACCTCCACTTTTTTCTTCCTCTCAGTTTTATATCAATCCAAAATCTCAGCGGTAGATTTTATTGGATGTAGAAACTGACTTTTTGATTCCCTCCACCAAAGCAAATTGGGAAACTCAGATGTAGGTCACACACTAAAAAAATACTAGGGAAAGCTCTGATTGCTATGAAGAGAGAAATTAGGGAAGGAGGAGGAGACTCAGTTGGCACAAGGTTAATGTAATTACATTGATAATGGTCAACTTCATGTTCCTGAATTGTCAAATAGCTTGTTTATTAGATTTAAAAAACAACATATTTTTAACTTTATTCTTTGCTTAATAATTTGATGTACTATTTTTGAGTAGATGAAAAGGAGAAAGGAATGAGAACACAAAGTATTGCTATTAGAAATAATCCTAGCCAGAAATCCACAAAGGTTTAGACACAGAAGAATTTGTCATCATAATGTTATTTCCACAGGGCCCCTAGTCTCCACTTGGTTTCTCATTTTTGATTTGTGCTACCTTAATTTTTTTTGTGGATTCACCACTTGAGATTTTTTGCTTTCTTTTCTGTTTCACATCCTCCCATAGTTTCTACAGAAGGTTCTGCTGCCTGTGTAGAATTTAGCATACCCTGCCACAATGGTTTGCATAGCAAGAGAGCTATATTAGCACAGCCTTTCTGGTGAGTGCTGACCATCATCTTCCTTGAAAATAGGCTTAGCTGTGAATAAACATAACAGGCACACTTTGTTTTATTGTGCTTCACTTTATTGCACTTCACAGATATTGTGCTTTTTACAAATTGCAAGTTTGTGGCAACCTTGCATCCAGTAAATTTATCAGAACCATTTTCCCAACAGCATGTGCTCACTGGGTATCTCTATCGCATTTTGTTAATTCTCACAGTATTTCATACTTTATTTTTATTATTATTATATCTGCTATGGTGATCTGTAATCTTTGATGTTACTATTGCAGTTGTTTTGGGTGCCATGAACCATACCCATATAAGACAGGGGACTTAATTGACAAATGTGTGTGTTCTCACTACGCCACTGACCACCTGTTTCCCTGTCTTCTTCCTCTCCTTGGGCCTCCCTATTCTTTGACACACAAGGATATTGAAATTGGGCCAGTTACTAACCCAACAGTGGCCTCTTAAGTGTTCAAGTAGAAGAAAAAGTCACACATCTGTCACTTTAACTCAAAAGGTAGAAATGATTAAGCTTAATGAGGAAGGCATCTCTAACACTAAGATGGGCTGAAAGCTGGGCCTCTTGTACCAAATAATCAAGCTTTTAGTATAAAGAAAAAGTTCTTGAAGTAAATTAAAATTGCTACTCCGGTGAACACACAAATGATAAGAAAGCAAAACAGCTTTATTGTGATATGTAGAAAGTTTTAGGGGTTAAACTGTTCTTGTAAAATTTCATTTAATAAAGGATTATATTTATTTGACAAAAAAAAGAGAAAGTTTTAGGGGTCTGGATGGAAGATCAGACCAACCAGCCATAACTTTCCCTTACGCCAAAGCCTAATCCAGAACAAGGCCCTAACTCTCTTCAATTCTGTCAAGTCTTAGAGGTAAGGAAGCTGCAGGAGAAAAGTTTGAAGCTAGCAGAGGTTGCTTCATGAGAAGGAGCCTAATGTAAAAGTGCATGGTGAAGCAGCAGGTGCTTGTGTAGAAGCTGCAATAAGTTATCTAGAAGATATAGCTAAGATAATTTATGAAGGTGGCTGCACTAAACAGCAGATTTTCAGTGTAGACAAAACAGCCTTCTATTGGAAGAGGATGCCATCTAGGAATTTCATAGCTAGAGAGGAGAAGTCAATACGTGGTTTCAAAGTTTCAAAGGACAAGGTGATTCTTTTGTTAGGGGCTAATACAGCCAGTAACTTTAAGTTGAAGCCAGTGCTCATTTACCATTCTAGAAATCCTAGGGCCCTTAAATATTATGCTAAGTTGACTCTGCCTGTGCTCTATCAATGGAACAACAATGTGTCTGGATGACAGCACATCTGTTTACAGCATCATTTACTGAGTATTTTAAGCCCACTGTTGAGAGCTGCTCAGAAAAAAAGATTTCTTTTAAAATACTACTGCTCATTGATAATGTACCTGATCACCCAAGAGCTCCGATGGAGATGTACTAGGAGATGAATGTTGTTTTCCTGGCTGCCAACACAACACCGTTGCTGTAGCCCATGGATCAATGTTTAATTTTGACTTTCAAGTGTTGCTATTTAAGAACTACATTTTATAAGGCTATAGATGCCATAGATAGTGACTTCTCTGGTGGATCTGGGTTGCATAAATAGAAAGTCGTCTGGAAATGACTTATCATTCTAGATGTCATTAAGAACATTTATGATTCATGGGGGAGGGTCAAAATATCAACATTAACAGGAGTTTGGAAAAAGTTTATTCCAGCCCTTATGGATGACTTTGAGTCGTTCAAGACTTCAGTGGAATAAGTAACTGCAGATGTGGTGTGAACAGCAAAATTTGAATTAGAAGTGGAGCCTGAAGATGTGACTGAATTGCTGCAGTCGTATAATAAAACTTTAATAGATAAGGAGTTGATTCTTATAGGTGATCAAGAAAGTGGTTTCTTGAGGTGGAACAACTCCTTGTGAAGATGCCGTGAATATTGTTGGAATGACAATAAAGGATTTAGAATATTCCATAAACTTAGTTGATAAAGCAGTTGCAGTGTTTGAGAAGATTGACTCCAGTTTTGAAGGAAATCTTACTATGGGCAAAATGCTAAATGGCATCCCATGCTATTTCTTTAAAGGAGAGTTGATTAATGCTGTTTTAGTTAAGAAATTGCAGGGAGAGAGCAAGATGGCCAACCAGATGGACCCAGGAAGAACAGCTACCACTGATGGACCAAGACACTGGCGCACACTCCTAACAGATATTCAGAGGGAAGGCACCGAGAGTAGATGGAAGGAAGACACAGAAGCTGGGCTGAAGTGGGAGGAAGCTTGGAATTCTGCACAGGATTACCATGCACCGGGACTCATTCCTGGCCCTTAAAGACTCCAGGGGAACTGGTGAGTTGAACTGGCAAGGAGCAAGCCACTTTCACCACGGGCCTCTGGCTGCTTAGAGAAGTGGTAGGAGCCTCATGCCAGCTGAAGTGGAGCCCAGAGCTCTTGGTGTGGGAGTGTCTGTAGTAGAGCACTGCCAGGGAAGCCCATCTCCCTAGGCTCGACTTGCTCCCATAGGAGACCTTAGCCCTAGGGGAACTGTTGGACCTGAACTCTGCAGGGTGGTCTTACCCACCATATGGCGCCAGTCTGATCTGAGCACCACTTGGTGTGCTGGCCTCTCCTAGGTCCCAGCCTGGCCACACCTACTTGCAGGGCAGCCTCGGGTACCCTGGGGGCCCACATCATAGCTTCTGCACTGGTGGACCCTGCCTGACTAGTGGAGAGCTCCAGCAGAGCAACCCCCACAGCCACACACCAGCCCACCCACACCCTCCCCGCACAGCCACTTCCCCAGGGCCCAAAGCAACCTCCCACATTGCTTTGCCAGCACGTGTGTATGGGAGCAGGTTTTGCCACCTTTGTTCTGTCAGTGTGCCTGTGTGCGTGCACCCTCCTCTGCCACTGCCGCAGTGGGGTTGCACTCTGCTCTTTCTTCCCCTGCCAGACCACCATTGCAGTCAGAGTGTTGGTGGACCCATGGAAAATCAGCCCCACTCCCACTAGCACCACATCCTTGCACCAACACTGACACAGAAGTGAAACTAGGCACAGAGAACAGCAGACCCTCCCCTACCCTGAGAAACCACCCCTTCATGCAGTTCACAGAGAATGCATACAGACCTGTACCCACCAGCACCCTGCCCCTATGCATCCCCAAGACAGCACAATCATGTGTAATAATCACCAGCAGGGGTCCCCAACCTCTGGAACCCTGCTGTCTCCACCACTGTGGTGAACACCTGCACGGAGGCAGGCACCCAGTAACCCACTGGTACCCTGTCACAGCTGATGAGCATGTACCCTGCTGCGCTGTCACTGCTGCTGGCATATGCAAATGAGGAAGAATGCTGCTGCCACTGCACTATGAGCACACAGTCCTGAGGTTGGGAGCTGAGTGTTGGCCCCCTAAAACCTTCCAGAAACAAACCAGTAGACTAAATCCACCTTATACCACAAACTCTCAAGGTCATCAAGTAAGATAAAAGGAAAATAAAAACATCCAACAGTCAGCAACTTCAAAGATTGAAGAAGCACCAGCTCATAAAAATGAGAAAGAACCAGCAGAAGAGCACTGACAACTCAAAAGCCAGAGTACCTTCTTTCCTATAAACAACTGCAAGTGTTCTGAACTGGGCTGAGATAGCTGAAATGACAGAAATAAAATTCAAAATATGGATAGGAACAAAGATCACTGGGCTTCAGGGCACATTGAAACCCAATCCAAGGAAGCTAAGAATCACAGTAAAACAGTGCAGGAGCTGACAGACACAATGGCCAGTGTAGAAAAGAACATAACCACCCTAATAGAGCTGAAAAACACACTACAAGAATTTCATGGTGCAGTCACAATTATTAATAGCAGAGCAGAACAAGAGGAGGAAAGAATCAGAGCTTGAAGACTGGCTTTCTGAAATAAGACAGTCAGACAAGAATAGAGAATAAAGAATGGAAATGAATGAACAAAACCTCTGAAAAATATGGAGTTCTGTAAAGAGACCAAATCTGTGACCCATTGATGTCCCTGATTGGAAAGAGATGAGGAGAGTATGAGCAACTTGTAAAATGTATTTCAGGATATCATCCATGGAAACACTTCCAACCTAGGTAGGGAAGCCAACATTCAAATTCAGGAAGTGCAGAGAACCCTAGTAAGGTACTTCACAAGAAGATCATCCCCAAGACACATAATTATCAGATTCTCCAAGGTCAAAATGAAAGAGCAAATGTTAAAGGCAGCTAGAAAGAAAGGTCAGGTCACCTACATAGGGAAGCCTATCACACTAAGAGCAGATCTCTCAGCAGAAACCCTACAAACCAAAAGAGATTGGGGACCAATATTCAACATTCCTAAAAAAATTCTAACCCAGAATTTCATATCTTGTCAAACGAGTCTTCATAAGCAAAGGAGAAATAAGATCCTTTCCAATCAAGCAAATGCTGATGGAATTCATTACCTCCCAACCTGCCTTACAAGAGCTTCTCAAGGAAGCTCTAAATATGGAAAAAGAGTTATCAGCCACTAAAAAACACACGGAAGTACACAGACCAGTGACGCTATAAAGCAACCACACAAACAAGTCTGCATGATAACCAGCTAACATCATAATGACAGGATCAAACCCACACATATAAATACTAACCTTGAATGTAAATGGGCTAAATGCGTTTGCAGAAGGTTAAAACTGGACCCCCCTCCTTATACCATATAGAAAAGTTAAGATGGATTAAATGTAAAATCAAAAACTGTAAAAACCCCGGAAGACAACCTAGGCAGTACCATTCAGGACATAGGCATGGGCAAAGATTTCATGCCAAAAGCAGTTGCAACAAAATAAAAAATTCACAGATGGGATCTAATAAAATGAAAGAGCTTCTGCACAGCACAAGAAACTATCAACAGAGTAAACAGACAACCTACACAATGGGAGAAAATTTCTGTAAACTATGCATTTGACAGCGGTCTAATATCCAGCATCTATAAGGAACTTAAACAAATTTGCAAGAAAAAAACAACCCCATTAAAAAGTGGGCAAAGGACATGAACAAACACTTTTCAAAACGAGACATACATATAGCCCACAATCATGAAAAATGCTGAACATCACTGATCATTAGAAAAATGCAAATCAAAACCACAGTGAGATATAATTCTCAATCAGAATGACTATTATTAAAATGTCAAAAAAATAACAGATGCTGGCAAGGTTGTGGAGACAAAGGGATGCATATACACTGTTGATGGGTGTATAAATTAGTTCAACCATTGTGGAAGAGAGTGTGGTGATTCCTCAAAGACCTAAAACCAAATACCATTTGACCCAGCAATCCCATTACCAGGTATATACTGGAAGGAAGATAAATAATTCTGTCATAAAGACACAGGCATATGTATGTTCATTGCAGCACTATTCGCAATAGCAAAGACATGGAATCAACCTAAATGTCCATCAATAATAGACTCGATAGAGAAAATGTACATATACACCATGGAATACTGTGCAGCCATAAAAAAGAATGAAATCATGTCCTTTGCAAAAATGTGGATGGAGCTGAGACCATTATTTTTAGCAAACTAACACAAGAACAGAAAACCAAATACTGCATATTCTCACTTATAAATTGGAGCTGAATGGTGAGAACACATGGACACATAGAGGGGAACAAGTCACACTTGGACCTACTGGAGGATGGAGGGTATGCGAAAATAGAGGATCAGGAAAAATAACTAATGAATACTAGCTTAATACCGGTGTGATGAAATAATCTGTACAACAAACCCCCGTGATACAAGTTTACCTATGTAACAAACCTGCCCGTGTACTTCTGAAGTTAAAAGTAAAAAATAAAAGGAATTATAAGAAATATTTAACACAAAAAAGATTTTAAAAAATGGGTGAAATGCCCCAATTAAGAGGCACATAGTGGCAAGCTGGATTAGGAACCAAGACTCATTGGTACGTTGTCTTCAAGAGACCCATCTCACATGCAGTGAGACCCATAGGCCCAAAATAAAGGGCCAGAGAAAAATCTACCAAGCAAACAGAAAACAGAAAAATCCTAATTTCAGACAAAAGAGACTTTAAACCAGCAAAGATTACAAAAAGGATATCACATAATGGTAAAGGCTTCAATTCAACAAGAAGACCTAACTAATCTAAATATATATGCACCCAACAGAGGAGCATCCAGATTCATAAAGCAAGTTCTTAGAGACCTATGAAGAGACTTAGATAACCACAAAATAATAGTGAGAGACTTCAACACCACACTGACAATATTAGACAGATCATCAAGGCAGAAAATTAACAAGGATATTCAGGACCTGAACTCAGCACTGGACCAGATGTACCTGATAGACATCTGCAGACATCTCCATCCAAAAGCAACAGAGTATACATTATTCTCACTGCCACATGGTACATACTCTAAAATCAATGACATAATCGGACACAAAACATTCCTCACCAAATGCTGTATAATGAGTACTAGGCTCATTATAATAACCACCCTCTCAGACCACACCACAATCAAATTAGAAAACAAGACTAAGAAATCCACTTAAAACCATATATTTAAATGGAAATAGAATAACCTACTCCTGAATGACTTTTGGGTAAATAGTAAAATTAAGGCAGAAATCAAGTTCTTTGAAACTATTGAGAACAAAGATGCAACATACCACTCGAGTGTGCAGTGGGGAAGCCAACCTTGGACAGCTGAGCATGTGAGAAAAAAAAAAAGATGCAACATACCAGAATCTGTGGGACACAGCTAAGGCAGTGTTAAGCAGGAAATTTATAGCACTAAATGCTCACATCAAAAGTTAGAAATACCTCAGTTTAACAAGCTGACATCACAACCAAAAGGACTAGAGAACCAATAGCAAACAAACCTCAAAGTTAGCAGAAGACAAGAAATACCCAAAATCAGAGCTGAACTGAGATTGAGACATGAAAAAAAACATTCAAAATATCAATGAATTCAGGAGTGGGTTTTTGAAAAAATTACTAAAATAGGTAGACTGCTAGCTAGACTAATAAGAAAAACTAGAAGATCCAAATAAACACAATTAGAAATGTCAAAGAGGATATTACTGCTGACCCTACAGAAATACAGATAACCATCAGAGAACATTATGCACATAAACTGGAAAATCTCAAAGAAATGGATAAATTCCTGGAGACATACATCCTCCCAAGACTGAGCCAAGAAGAAATTGAAACCCCGAACAGACCAATAATGAGCTCCAAAATTGAATTAGTAATAAATAGCCTACCAACCAAACAGAACTAGAGCCAAATTCTACCATATGTACAAAGAAGAGCTAATACCATTCCTACTGAAACTATTGCAAAAATTGAGGAGGGACTCCTCCCTAACTCATCCTATGAGGCCAACATCATTCTGATAACAAAACCTGGCAGAGACACAACAACAACAAAAAAACTTGAGGCCAGTATCCTTGATGAATATCAGTGCAAAAATCCTCAACAAAATACTGGTAAACCAAATCCAGCAGCACATCAAAAAGCTTATCCACCACAATCAAGTAGGCTTTATCCCTGGTATACAAGTTGGTTCAACATACACAATTCAATAAATGTGATTCATCACATAAATGGAGCTAAAGACAAAAACCATATGATTATCTCAGTAGATACAGAAAAGGCTTTTGATAAAATTCAACACCCCTGCATGTTAAAATCTTTCAATAAACTAGGTATTGAAGGAACACACCTCAAAATAATGAGAGCCATCTATAGCAAACCCACAGCCAACATCATACTGAGTGGGCAAAAGCTGGAACCATCTCTCTTGAAAACGGACACAAGACAAGGATGCTGTCTCTCACACCTCCTATTCAACATAGTATTGGATGTCCTGTCCAGAGCAATAGGCAAGAGAAATAAAGGGCATCCAAATAGGAAGAGAGGAAGTCAAACTATTTCTGTTTGCAGACAACATGATCCTAAATCTAGAAAACCTCATATTCTTGGTTCAAAAGCTCCTTCAGCTGATAAACAACTTCAGAGTCCAAGGATACAAAATCAGGGTACAAAAATCACTAGCATTACTTTAGACCAACGACAGTAACTAAACTAGAAATGCTTTATACCAGTTTGGCCAAGAGCCAAATCAAGAGCACAATCCCGTTCACAATTGCTACAAAAGAATAAAGTACCTAGGAATACAGCTAACCAGGGTGGTGAAAGCTCTCTTCAAGGAGGACTACAAAACACTTTTCAAAGAAATCAGAGGTAACAGAAACAAATGGAAAAATATTCCATGCTAACGGATAGGAAGAATCAATATTGTCAAAATGGCCATACTGCTCAAAGCAATTTATAGATTCAGTGTTATTCCTATCAAATGACCAATGACGTTCTTCACAGAACTAGAAAAAAAACTATGTAAAAATTCATATGGAACCAAAAAAGAGCCCAAAACGCAAGAAGATCCTAAGCGAAAAGAACAAAGCTCAGGGCATCATGCTACCTGACTTCAGACCATACTCTAGGGCTATAATAACCAAAACAGCATGGTGCTGGTACAAAAACAGACACATAAACCATTGGAACAGAATAGAGAGCCCAGAAATAAGGCCTTGCACCTACAACTATCTGACCTTTGATGAAATTGACAAGAATAAGCAATGGGGAAAGGACTCCATATTCAATAAATGGTGCTGGGATAACTGGCTAGCCATATGCAGAAGACTGAAACTGGACCCCTTCCTTATACCATATACAGAAATCACCTAAAGATGGATTAAAGACTAAATGTAAAACCCAAACCTATAAAAACCCTGTAAGACAACCTAAGCAATTCCATTCTGGACATAGGCAAAGATTTTATGATGAAGACACCAAAAGCAATTTCAACAAAAGCAAAAATTGGCAAATGGGATCTAATTAAAGAGTTTCTGTGCAGCAAAAGAAACTATCAACAGAGTAAACAGACAACCTACAGAAAGGGAGAAAAATTTTGCAAACTATGCTTCTGAGAAAGGTGTAATATCCAGCATCTATGAGAAACTTAAACCAATTTACAAGAAAAAAAAACCCCATTAAAAAGTGGGCACAGGATAAAAAGGAATGAGTTCCTGTCCTTTGCAGGGACATGGATGGAGCTGGAAGCCATTATCCTCAGCAAAGTAACGCAGGAACAGAAAACCAAACACCACATGATCTTATAAATGGGAGCTGAACAAGGAGAATGCATGGAAATGGAGGGGAACAACACACACTGGGGGCTGTCAAGGTGAGGTCAGGAGGAGGGAGCCATCAGGAAAAATAGCTAATGCATGCTAAGCTTAATACTTAGAAGATGGGTTGATAGGTGCAGCAAACCACCACGACACACATTTACATAACAAACCTGTGCATCCTTCACATGTGCCCTGTAACAAAAAAAAAAAGTGGGTGAATGATGTGAACAGACACTTTTCAAAAGGAGACATACACACAGCCAACAGGCATATGAAAAAAAGCTGAACATCACTGATCATTAGAGAAATGCAAATCAAAACAGTGAGATACTGTCTCACACCAGTCAGAATGGCTTTTATTAAAAATTCAAGAAATAGCAGATGCTGGCAAGGTTGTGGAGAAAAAGGAATGCTTATTCACTGTTGGTAGAAATGTAAATTTGTTCAACCATTGTGGAAGACAGATACCTCAAAAACCTAAAAACAGAAATACCATTCAACCCAGCAATCCCATTACTAGGATATAAATCATTCTGTCATAAAGGAATATAAACCATGCTGTTATAAAGGAATATAAGTCATTCTGTCATAAAGACACATGCACGTGTATGTTCATTGTGGCACTATTCACAATAACAAAGACATGGAATTAACCAAAATGTACATCACTGATAGACTGGATAAAGAAAAAGTGATACAGCTAAATCCTGGAATACTATGTAGCCATAAAAAAGAACACGTAGGAACATGGATGGAGCTGGAGGCCATTTATCCTTAGCAAACTGACACATGAACAGAAAACCAAATACCAGGTATTTTCACTTATAAGTGGGAGCTAAATGATGAGAACACATGGACACATAGAAGGGAACAACAGACACTGGGGCTTACAAGAGGGTGAAGGTTGGGAGGAGGGAGAAGATCAGGAAACATAACTAATGAGTACGAGGCTTAATACTTTGGTGACTAAATAATATGTACAACAAACCCCCATGACACAAGTTTACCAATATAACAAAGCTGCACATATACTCCTGAGCTTAAAATAAATGTTAAAAAAAAAAGTGAGAAAAAAAAAATTGCCAGAGTCGCCCCAGCCTTCAGCTGACACCACTGTATGATCAGCCAGTAGCCATCAAGATCAAGATAAGACCTTCCACCAGTAAAAAGGTTACAACTTGCTGGAGGCTCAGCTGATCATTAGCGTTTTTTAGCAATATTTTAAAAATAAGATATGTACTTTTATTTAGACATAATGCTAGTGCACAGTTTATAGACTACAGTGTAATATAACTTCTATATGCACTGGAAAGCAAATTTGTGTCACTTGCTGTATTGTGATATTCACTTTATTGTGGTGGTCTGGAACAGACCCACAATATCTCCAAGATATGCCTGTAGAAGCTTCTCTAGACCTTTGATATTTGGCTGGATATTATAAAAATAAACACACCCCATTCCTGAATCCAGAAGTTTTTCAATCACAGTGTCAATATCTGTAGGTCATGAGCGTGCCCATTCAGCATTTATTGGGCTTAATGTATGTGCAGATTCTTTGGTGGGCCTTGGGATAAAAAGTTTAAGAAGACATGTCCATGCCCACAAAGAGCTCAAAAGCTAGTGGGAGAGGTATGTGTACAGTGAGAATAGGGACTCTACATCAAGGTGTGTGGTGGAAGTGGAGAGACACAAGCAAAGAAGGGGGCACTACCTAACCATTGTCTTAAAGGATTAATTCTGGTTTGCCAGGTAGACCAAGCGGCATGTTCAGGGAGTGTTACAGAGTTAGGGAACAACACTTGGAAAGGGCTCAAGACTTAGCATTCTAAGGGAATGCCACTTGTGGGTGATGGAAATATCTGGAAGCCCTTGACTTTTGGATTAGTTGGGAAATTCCTCTGAAATGTGTGCATTATGTCTGACTTTGGTCTTAGTTGGGTCACAGGCAACCATTAGCCTGATAATATAAATGTTTTGTATTTTATGTGTTTCGACAGTATTCTGAAGCTTATTGACAAACCAGAAAACGGAGTCATTTATAGTTTTGTTGTGAATCAACATGGTGAATCATTGTTTAGTTTTGTTTTGTTTTGAGCTCAGAATGCTTCCTTTTGGAATGATGAAGCAGAATGACCATTTGAGGAATATTTCAGGGGCAGAAGAAATGGCAGGAACAAAGTGGGAATAGTATGCCAGGGGGTAGTGAGGAGATGATTCCAGCCCCAAAGAAAAGCCCCATTGGTCCGTAGAAAATAAGGGTGGTAATGTTGGAAGTTAGTTTGGGGGCACAGATAGAATGCAGACTCTGAGGGAAGACATGCTGAATTCAGATTCTAACATTAACTAGCACTGTGATTGTGAACTAATGACTTAACCTTTCTGAGGTTTAGTTTTCTCAGCTATATAGTATAAAATGGAAAAAAATTCTTCAACAGCTTTTCAGTTTGGAGTTAGGATTTAATAAAAGAATAGATGTACAGCTCTTGACAATGTATTCTAAATACATCTTACCTTTGGTTCAGACTTTGGAGGATATAGAATATGAATTTAATGTGTAAATCAACCATTACAAATATTTTATTTTTTAAAGATATGCACATGTCATAGTCCATTTGTGCTGCTATAACAAAATACCACAGGCTAGGTAATTTATAAATAAGAGAAATTTATTTTTCACAGTACTGGAGGCAGGGAGATCAAGGCACTGGCAGGTTTTGTGTTTGCTGAGAGCCAGGTCTTCACTTCAAAGATGGTGCCTTTTTGCTGCCTCTCTCTGAGAGGATGGACACTGTGTAGTCACATGGCCAGAAGGTGGAAGGGCAAGAGAGTGCTCCCTTCAACCTCCAGCCCTTTTATAAGGATTCGAATCTCATCCACGAGGGTGGAATCCTCATGACCTAATCACTTTTCAGAGGCCACGCCTCTTAATCCTGTTGCGTTGGGGATTGTCTTAACATAAATTTTGGAGGGGCACCATTTTTCAAACTAAAGCAGCACTGTACTAAATCTTTATGGGTGGTGGCTATACAGTAATGAAAAAGTCCTTTTGAAATGTCTTTTTTTGATGAAAAAGTGCTTGCCTGGGCCTTAGGAAGCACCATATAAATACTGGTAAGTCACTGAGCTCCTCGTGTCACTCATAATGGTCCCAAATTCTCTACATTTCCACACATGAAAACGTTGTTCACCCACTTTCAGAATGCTTTGGTTTCTTTCCAGAAGTGTTGATGGGTTTGCATGGATCTCTCCCTACTTTCACCACCCTCGTTCCTTTAATGTCAATAGCACACATTTTTTAGGTGACTGACTAGGATTTGGGTGGCAGTCCATGGCCATGAAATCCAGAGAAAGTAGAATGGCTCATACTTAAAGACAGAAATGGCTCTAGTAGAGAATAAACATTTGAATTAACTAATGTGATAAGGTACATGTTCTAAAGTCTAGTTCAATTTTTAGATTCATGGAAAATTCGTGAAGCAGGAAAGAACTCATCCTCAGTCTCTAAAGCTGATTTTAAATTAGGCATGTATACTCTTTCCTTCTTAGGCTTAGTTTCCTTAGAAGGTTCAATATAGTTCAAGAAGTTTCCACAGTGGGGCTGTATTTTGCCATCTAGCAAAGGTTCAGCAGAGCCTTCCTTCAGGTCACTTCAGCTACATAAGGCAAATGAAGTTTTCTAGTGCAACAGGGAATGATTTAGTGTTCAAGGAATATCATTCTTCACATAAATTGATGTCACAGATTCTTTGAATAGATGTTCCCAGTGGTGGCCTTAGACTAGGATTAACTCAGAGTCTCTCTGAGTCTGCATTTTTAAAGTATCTGTTGTGTTTTTGAGCTCCCTATCAGTGAAAGTCACCACTGCTCATGTAGGAGCATAGAGCAGAAAACTGTTTTTTTTCTTGGTTCTTCCATTTTCTTAGGCCCTCAAGCCTCAAGCAAATTTTTCTCTTCTGCTTTCCAAATATATCTTGAATCTGTGTGCTTTCTTTTTCTAATCCAAGGTTACACCATCTCTGCACAGACAGCCTTGGTGGCTCCTAGATGGTTTCTGTGCATCCGTTCTGGCCCCTCCTGTCCGTTTACCCCTATAGAGCAGCCAAAGTAATCTTGTCAAACACAAATCTTGTTGTTTGGCTTCCTTACAGCCCTTTAGTGGTTTCCCATCCATCTTAATAAGGTAATCCAAATTCATAGTACTTTCTCATGTAACCAGTACTGACTGATCTCTCTATAAGTCTCTTTCATCACAGTGTATGCTGGGTGCACAGAGATAAGTAAGGCTTTCCTCCTACTCTTAAGGAACCTATAGTCTAGCAAAACAGTTAATCAATGTTTACTCATTTATCCATAAATGTTCATTGAAATCCTATCATTTACCAGCACAGTGCAGAATAAGGAGTTGGTGACTTTGTTGTTGTGCATGTGATGAAATGGGTGACTTGAATTCACATGGCCTATTTGCTGTTCTAATGACAATTTTGACCTGGTTAGCCTAAATCCAAAGCATGTGGTTTTAATCATTATACTTATATCAGTTATTTTCTACAATAATACTGCATAGCAAACAACTAAAAATCCTCAAATAAGTTCAGCAGTGTTTACTGCTTACACATCTGGGGTGGGTCACCTAAGCAGCTCTATTAATTTTGGTTGGCTTTGCTCACATGTTGGGGTTGGCTTGCTTTTGGCTGATCTAGATGGGCCTTGGCTGGGGGGATAACTAGGGAGACTTGGCCATGTTCTTTGCGCCTTATTCTTTAGTAGAGTAGTCTGGGTATACGCTCATGATGACAAAGGATCAAGAGAGCAGGCAGGCCTAGTCTCACCAGTGCTTTTTAAGCTCTGTTTGCATCATGTCTTGCTCACATCACAAGCTGACCAAGACAAATTATACAGCTAACTCCAGAGTCAGAATATGTACTGCAAAGTCACATGGCCACGATTTGGATTCAGGGAGAATTCAGCCATCATTGTAATCCATCATGATGCTGTATTTGTTCTTATTATAGCTAGTGTATAATTTGATGATAGGATTTACCAAATTATGTGAAAATATATACTGTCACCTCCCACTTGGAAACCCATTATAGGTAAAGGCCCTGTCTTCAGCACGATGCCTGGCATATAATAGAAGACCAACAAATGTTAAATTAATGGAATTATTAGTAGGTTGATGACTTTGAGATGTTTACTCTAGATAAACTTTTTCAGCCTCAGCTTAGTCAATTATAAATAGGCGATAATAATATCTACCACTGCCAGTTTTCTGAGGATTAAGTATGGGAAAAATGTAAAAGTATATACTGCTTACTCAAAAAAGATAGTTACTTCTCCCCTCATCCCCCACCTTCCCTTTTCAGTGGGTTTTTATGAATTTTGGAAAATAGGAAATGCTTTAATTTTGGCCCATTTTAAGCAAGGGGTTATAGAATAGAGAGCTCTGAATTCAAAATATCTTCCATATTTTCTACTAATTGCTAGTTTAGTATAATACTTGTCTCCTAAAAATTGGGATCCTTTTGGATGCTTAAGCTTATTAACAATTTGCAGTTTGTCTTGAATCCTTATAATGTAGGGGTAGATTTCCTCTTCCTCATTCCTATAGACAACATATGTGAAGAGGAAATGGGAATTTAGAAGGGTAGTGGAGTGGAATTTTGGGAAATAGGGCATTTTGTGGGAGGACAAGCCTGGTGTAGGTACTGTGGTGTGTCTGTATATTGGGGGGTGTGGGAAGTTGGATAGGCAGAGGGAAGAGAGTGTGAGGTCTTCCAGCAGGCAAGACAGGGCTGGTGGGGCAGAGAATAAAAACCTAACTCCTTTTTGTCAGTTTTTCTATACTTTGTAGTTGCCCTGGGGATCGTTTCTGATACCTGATAGAGATATTCAGTTGTATTTTATTAGTATTCCTAAATTTAAAAGAGTTATATTCTGTCTTTGGTGGTGTTCTTCCATAAAAAAGATTATATAAAAATTAAAATTACGTATGCTATATATGTGTATACACACACATGTATACATATACAGGCTTGCTAATGTAAAGACACTTCAAAAATCTTTGATTTTATAAATTCTTTTCTTAGCCATTCCTATAAGCTGCCTTTTTTTACTCTAAAAGTATCTGTAATTATTTCAGTATTTCTCCTCAATAATACTATAGATGACTGTTTAAGCACAAATAAATAAAATATTTTCTATTGTAATTGTTTTTTCCCTCATTGGTACTTTTTTGTGCGATATGGATAGTGATCAAGTGTACAATGAATGGCATTAATACATGGAACCCTCCATAGGTTTTGAGTCCTTCCAGGGGCCATAATGTTGTCTTTGCCAATTTATAAGAGATTATATTTATTCATTCATTTGAATATATATATATGTATTTATTTATTTTGAATATATGTATATATAATTGTACTCCTTTCTTCCTGCAAACCACTCCCCACAGATGTAGGGCAGAGACACATATGGCTTCTATCAATTTAGGGAGTAGCTTTGAGCACATCCTATTAAATTGTCTATTCCCAAAGGCAATACCAACACATTCAGTGAATGTTATTTTTTCCTACAGTTATATTCTTGATTGGACCACAAAGTTTTTCATAATACTGTACATGAAAAATAGGACATTCTAACTTTTTATACATAATCAACCCCTACCCCAACCCCTTTTTAGAAAACACTTTTTTAAAAATGAGGCGTTAAGTAGATTGTATTTCAGCTCTGAAAAGCCACAGTGAGTGTTAGTTACTCCATTTTTTTCAGTTACTGTGATTGAGTTCTTATTCTTTATGTCTGTGTATTAATTGGGGTTGGTATAGCTAATTCCCCCTTGCCCTTCATATGTCTGGAACATGCTAGATTTGCTGCCAGAATACTTTTATATCAGTTATTTAGAAGTAAAGTCACCTTATTAATTTTAAATGAATTTAAAGTTAGAATAATTTGAAGAATCCTAGACTTTGAACTTTATTTTGTTAGTTACAATACTAAAAGTTTGAAATGTAAAAGAAAATTTTTTCTTTTAGGAAAAAAATTATAAATGGGCCCTGCATTCTCTCCAGGGCATTTTTTTGTCAGCATTTTTCAAGGTTTAACCTTAACTGCTAAGGCCTATAATCAGGTATATATATATATACCTGATTTGTTTTCCCATTGTAACAATTCCTGGTTAGGTTAGAGTTTTGCAAGAAATTTGTTTAAGGTATATGTGGTGAGGGTGTGGGTTTTACCAGTAACCTGGTGAAAGCCATGATTCTCAGGATATATTAGAGAAATTAAAGAAAGCACCTCAGTTTCAACAGCAACAGCTTCTTCAAAAGAGTACAGTTTTTTTCTAGACTTTTCAATTACACATTGAGAAATTATTTGATAACCTAAAAAGTAAGTTTTCTTCCTCCTTTTAAATATTCAGGTATCTGCTACATCTGACTGGTAAATCAGATAGTTGCTGTTATTCAATTTTCTTTACAAAATGAATCTGAATTTTTTTTTGAGAAAAACCTCGCTCTGTCATCCATGCTGGAGTACAGTACTACAGCCTCAAACTCCTGTGCTCAAGCAATCCTCATGTCTCATTCTCCCAAGTAGCTAGGACTACAGGTGCATGCCACCACAGCTGGCTAATTTATTTTTATTTTTAGTAGAGATGGAATCTTGCTATATTTCTCTGGCTGATCTTGATCTCCTGGCCTCAAGTGATCCTTCCACCTTGGCCTTCAAAAGTTCTGAGATGTACTCAAGACCATGCCTGGCCTTGAATCTGAAATTTTTATGTGCAAAATGGAACTGAAAAAAGTCACAAGAAATTACTGTTTTCAAATATGTACCATATACCTTCTAAAATGATGCAGCTTGTACCTGCCTCTTAATTATGAATATCAGATATTAGTAATATTTTTTAAAATAATGAGTTTATTGGAGAAGCTTTATTCAGTTAAATCTTCTCAATTCAGAATTTTGTTACCTAACCTGTTTTGCATTTGCCATTAATTTTGATTCAATGCTCTGTACTTAATGATCCCCAAATTCCTAAATACCCTTACATTAATAGATCATGCAATTAAGTTGAATTGTATCCTAGGAAGTCAATTAGTACCTCTTCCACAAGTTACCTAGCCTCAGGACAAGATGTTACAGGCTTTTGTGCAATAGAACACTCATAAGTTCCTACCCTCACAAGAACAGACACCACATACTGTATATGCGTGGGTGACTGCATATGTGTATATCTAGTACCAGGCTTAGGTAATGCTGGACTTTTGTTTCTGGCAAAGGCAATTGATACTAGAATCATATTTAAAAGAGTATGCTTCTTCCTTATCTATACCTTGGTAGCACTATATAACAAAATGTTTTACCTTTATAGGTTACCTTACACTCCATTTTGGGTAAATAATACGTATTACTTACTAGTTTTTTAATAGAGACATATTAAAGAGGAAAGCAAACATAATTTATAATCCTATCCAATTTTTTTATTTAAAATAATAAATTGCTCATTTATCCTTTAATAAAAAACATGTATGTATGCCCTCCAGGTATGTGTCTGTGTATACATTTTCACTTGCACAAAAGTTATACATAATGTCATTATTCTTATGCCTTACTGTTTTGTAAGGACCACCAAATATTCTGTTGTATAACTATATTATTTATTTAGCCTGTATCAATCATACTGATGAGTGTTCAAGTTGTCTCCAATCTTTTACTATTAAAAACAGTGTTGCAGTGAACATCCTTGGACCTAGAACTTAGTGGTACTTTTGCAAATGTACTTGTGAAATAAGTTTCTAGCTGGGAATTTTTGGCTCAAAAGAGCATTATTTTTGGCAGGGCATGGTGGCTCATGCCTGTAATCCAAACACTTTGGGAAGTGGAGGCAGGAGTATGGCTTGAGTTTAAGGGTTTGAGACCAGCCTGGGCAACATAGCGAGACCTTGTCTCTACTAAAAATACAAAAAAAAAAAAAAAGAGTGATGGCACACACCTGTAGTCCCAGTTGCTTGAGAGGCTAGGGTGGGAGGATTCACCTGAGCCTGGGAGATTGAGGCTGCAGTGAGCTATGGTCGCACCACTGCACTGTATCCTGGATGACAGAGCAAGAATGTCTTTAAAAAAATCCAAAAATAACATTATTTTTAAGAGCACATAAAGCAGTGAACTAACTACACACTGCTGAGCCACAGTTTGTTATTGTTTAAATACATCTGAGTGGCAGAAATTGACCAAGTAAAGTTATTAGAGTAAAAATAAAATTGTACTGAGAGTCACTGGGATATTTTGTGGACTATAAATATGGTGGTAATAGCCTATAATTAACTGTCATCAACTTTAGACATTATTGATTTAATAAAATTTTTGTCACAATTTCATCCCTGTGGTTTCACAAGTAGTCCATAAACATTCTCGAGGTTCATTTTAGATCAAAGACCATTAAAAAAATGGAACTACCCACAAACCTCCTGTGCCTAACTACATCTTCAAAAGCGGACACTCTAAGGAAGACTATGTTGTTATGATCAGAAATAAGTGCGCTTTCAATTAATGAGTGTGTTTTCCCTCCCTCAGGTGAAAGGAAAAATTTTGGAAAAGTAAAACACTGAAGAGTCATAGTATTCTCCTGTAACTTGGAACTGGAGAGGAGGCAAGATGCTGGCATAGCTGTTGAACTGGGAACCTGCTATGCCAACATATTGCCATCTTTCCTGTCTGACAGCAGCCATGGCCACCTGCATGCCAGTCCTTCGTGTATTGCTGTGTATGTGCGCCCTTCCTTGGATGTGGATTTCCATGACATGGCCTTTCTCACCTTCCTTACTTCCTGTCCTGCTATGTATTGTGTCCTACCATGAATTCACTCCATGCTAGCCACATTGGCCTGTATGGCTATTCCTTGGACACACCTAGGATGTTCTTGCCTCTTAGCTTGCCTACCTTTCTCTCATCATTTGGGCCTCAGCGAGGATATCATCTCCTCAGAGAAGCCTTCTGTGACCATGCTATCTAAAATACTCCAGCACTTCAGTCACCCTTTATCCCATTACTCTGCTTTTTCAGAAACATTGGTGCTCCCTGAAACGTATTTGTTTACTTGCTTAGTGTCTTTTCTCCCGCACTACCATGTAAGCTTCTTGAGGGTTAGGGACCTTGTTAGGGATAACCACTGTATCCTTAGAGTGTGACACATAGTAGGTTCTCAATACATATTTTTGAAACTCTACCCTGATGCAAAAGAGATATCAAATAATTATAGTTTTTGCATTATAAATGTCTTTGGTGAAATCCCTGGCACAAAACTAATAATAAAGAAATAAACAGATAATGTTGAGTTCTGGGCCTGCAAACCTAACTCTTTAAAGCAGTCACAGTAAATGTGTCATTGGATCCATAGACTTGTGGAAGTCAGCATATTTTATTGGGAAAAGCATGAGCTTCAAAGTAAAACTTATGGTCAAATCTCATTACTGGTGCGTTCTTAAGTCATTTAACCTCTGAGCCACAGTTTACACAAATGTAAAATTAGAGTAATAATAGTGACTCCATAGGACCCTCAAGATAAGGAAATAAGGTATTTTAGTCAGATGATTCTTATCACATGTCTAAAAATTTAGTGTCTCTAAAATTCTTGATATATGCATACCAGTAGACACTCAACACATTTATTTCACTACTAAGAAAAAAGTTTTCTTTAGTTAGAGACAAGGGATTTTATGTGAAATGTGTGGAAATTCTATGCCAGAACGATAGTACATGTAGAATTCTTTGTAAAGATAGAAATCTTGAGAGACCAAGGAGTTAATTGTCAAGGATCTCAAGTTCTTCTCCTGGTTAGTTCACATTCCTCATCTTCCTTTGTTTCTGGAGTTACTCATTATCTGTAGATCTCTTTTAAAAGTGGTTTTTACACATTCACTTTAAAGAGTAAGAATGTTCAGTAAATACAATTGTATTTTAATGTTTAATAAATACTAATGTTTAATAAATACTGTTTGATGTTTCATGTTTTTAAGCATTGAAGTTTTAATAAAAAGCTTTGCTTTTAATAAATAAAATTTCATGTTAATTTTAATGCTTTTCCAAGAAATAAAGTAGCAGTCACTATTCTCGATTGTCATTATTTATTATTACTCAGGGTATTAAAACATACAGAAAGATCACATTATACCTTCATTTCATGCCTCTTGGAGTATATTAAACTAAGCTGCTAATTTAACAAAAATGTGTAGCACAAAAGTGAGGTAGTTTTAGTCTACAACTTTTATAAGCATCTCTTTATATAAGGATAATTTGTTTAAAGACATCATTGTACAAGCTGATCTTGCCTATGAAGGCTTTTAAGAACTCACAAAACAGCTTTAGCTGAAAATTAGATTCACAGTGCCTTATCCATTCGTTATATTAATGGTAATTTGTTGCAGGGTCAATTGGCCAGGACATACAGTTTATTACAAGAACTGGTTTATTTATTTTACCTATAACTTAGTTTTAAAAACTTGTTTCATCAGTTTATTTGGGCTTCTTTTGCCTTTTGCAGAGTTCCATGTACCCTCATCTACATCAGTTACAGACATATCCAGTGCCCCCTTGACCTCAATGTAGTTGATGAGCTGGGTTCCATGTGTGGAAATGAACATTGCTTGCCAAGCGCCATCCTCCATAGCTGAAACGTGTTTTACTCTAATTACTAAACACCTGAAGCTTCTTTTTTGATTCGAAGTGAACAATGTTTGTGGGGAGAAACCCAAACCCCTAAAACTTCAGATTTAGGAACATCAGTGTAAGAGACTAAAATAATAATTAATATTCTGAAGTGTCCAATAACTTCTTGAAGTCAGTGGTTTTTAAACTTCATTGTTGTATTATCACCTAGAGAGCTTGTTTAAAAATGCAGATTCCCAAACCATTCCCTAGACATTCTATTTAATGCATCTTGACTGAGACTTCAAATCTTCATTTTTAATAAGCATCCTCCTATTGATTCTGATCCAGCTTGACAACTGTGCTTTGAGGCCGGGTGTGGTGGCTCACGCCTGTAATCCCAGCACTTTGGGAGGCTGAGGCAGGTGGATCACCTGAGGTCAGGAGTTCGAGACCAGCCAGGCCAACACAGTGAAACCCCGTCTCTACTAAAAATAGAAAAATTAGCCAGGTGCAATGGCACGCGCCTGTAATCCCAGCTACTTGGGAGGCTGAGGCAGGAGAATTGCTTGAGCCAGTGAGGTGGAGGTTGCGGTGAGCTGAGATCACGCCACTGTACTCTAGCGTGGGTGACAGAGCGAGACTCCATCTCAAGAATATGTATATATATATGTATACATATTCTCTAGAATATATATATGTGTGTGTGTGTATATATATACTGTCCTAAGTCTTATACAATTCCCAGTATAGAACTTGGTCGTGGTCTTAAATGCAGCCTGCTTTCCGACTGTATCTGTGCTTATGAAAAACTGGAAAAAGGCTTTGTAATTGTCCTTCTTACACTGAGCCTTACATAAACAGCCTTATAACTATTCACAGGAGCACTCACTGCACCATGTATGGGGTGATGGTGATACGCTTCCACAGAGTTTTTAACTTCAATGCTTTTTTTCTCCATTGGCTCATATTATAATTTTCAAGATGTTTTCTTTTCTTTTCTGATTGCCTTGATACTGACCCAAATCCTTTACCTCTAAATATTCTTTCTCTAGGATTTTTGTCAAATTGTAAATGATATATGAGCTCTTTTCGGCTACAGACTAGGTCGAATTATGCAGAAGGAATTTTCAAGATTTTTAGGACTCTTACTGTGATAAGTCTTTCTGTAAACTAAAGGATCATATCTTGAGCTATTTCTTATTTTTGCAGATTTTAAAAAATTTGAGATGTCTTTTCCTTTATGAGGTAGTGTAGTGTAGTAGTAGGAGTGTCAGAATGAAATGCACAAAGATCTGGGTCCTAGTCCCATTTCTGCCATTTTGTAACCATGTACATGAGTTGGGGCAGATCGTTTAATCTGTTTTCTTATTTGTAAATTGGGGGTAATAGTAGAAGAGATTATATGGTGTATTAGAAAAGAGGGAAAAGCAAAATACAGCTGTGAAAACTATGTAAGCAAATTGGAAGACAATTTATAAAAAAAGTTGGGTTTTTTTAGTAATTGTATTTAAATTTATTTCAGTGTTTTATTGTTTTATGTTGTTTTTGTCTAACTTAAATGTGAGAAAAAAAGCAGAGTTCTGGATAGAAGGCAGATAACCTTTGTTCTCATCCAACCTGAAGCACTTATTTGCTAAATAATTCCAGTCAAAAACAGAAGAAACGTGGTATTTTAGTTTTATCTTGAGGAAAGGTCCTGCTTCTCTTACTCTATCTAAAAGCCTAGAAATAAAATGATAATTATTCTATGACTCATATACTTGCTTTTTATGTTATTGGCTTATTATGAGACTCAAATCAGGTAAGGTATATAAAACTGCTTTGAGAATGGTAAGAAGCTGTACAAATAAAAGTTCTAAGATATGGCTTATAAATTCTTTTCAACCCTCCGTTTTTCCTTTCACTCCTACAAAAGTTTGCTTTTGAAATGATTAAAATTTTTAAAAAATTAAAATATTTTATTCTAAGCCTGGCTATACTGTTTTAATTTGTAGGATTTTAATCGTTTACCATTGTATTTGTAGCAGCTAGACTGATAGGAGATTTGTGTTGTTGAGTCCATCCCCTTTCAGGTATCTCATCTAGGAATGCAGAAGCAGAAAGGTAGGGCAGACTGGCTGGATCCACTAGAATGGATTTCCTACTGAATCAATACTTGTCTCAAAACCATATTAAAGCGAGGAACAGTGGCATGCACCTATAATCCCAGCTACTTGGGAGGCTGAGGTGGGAGGATGGCTGCATCCCAGGAATTAAGGCCAGCCTGAGTAACATAGCAAGACCCTGTCTTGTAAAACAAACAAAACCAAAGCATTAAAACCAAAGTACTTTTAGTTTTCACTGAAACCTACATGATGTTCTTATTTCTATATAATGTTTTGTATATTAATATACATTAGAAAAATACACAGCATCTCCTTTTAAAAGTAAATTTGTTTTAATATTTTTAAAATTAATTTAAATAAAATGTTAAGGCATTTATAGTCAAGGAATATGACAAAAATTGTGAAAGTGCTGCTCAAGTAGCCAAACTTTGGGAAATCTAATTGGAATGTGGGTAAGCAAGATCCTCCTGTCGCGTAGCTGGGGGAGACTTTATAGATAACACGTTAGATGTTACCTAAGGTTTCTTGAATGCATGGTTCAGTTTAAGAAGTATGTTTAGTTATTACTCTTGGATGAAGAAAATATTAGTTTTAAGTGAGTGTTAATGGACTTTGCCCATGAACTGCATACATGGTCATATATTTTTACTGTTAAGAATTACTGATATGTCCCAGATGTAAAGATCATAGTTTTTATGTCCTTGAGAGCAAAGCCCAGTTGGTAAATGATAAGAAAGTTCATTATAAGTTCATTAGTCAATCTGAGTAAGTATTTGAGTAAGTATCAGGGCAGGTGTGTGTCCTTATTTGAAGATAAGATTACCAAAGAGTGGCAGTTTACACTGTCTGAGCAGGCACATAATCTACATGTATCCAACAAAAGCAGAAACCCTTTCTGTCAATAAAGTTAATTTGATAAGTTTAGGAGTCAAAATCTGGAAGTCCAAAAAGATGCATAGTGAGGAGAATCATCAAGCATGCATGAGGAAACCAACTGGGATGGCATTACAGGAAAATGATGTAGTTACTTGGAAGCAAGCCACCTTCGTGGTTTGCATTCTTTGGAAATATGTTCTATCTAATTGCTGAACTTTGCAAAAAAATGAGTGATTTGACTTGCTGATTCCAAGTTAATTACTTGGCCATTGAAAGTTTTTATAGAAGAGCATTCATGGAATTTGTGTGACCCAGAATGATCCCTGCCTGTGTTTTCTCACCTGCCTTTCTTCTTGCAAACCTTTCCTGATTTGTAAAACGTGTATAAGAAACTCAAATATTGGACTTTGGAGACTTGTCATAAAAAATTGTGTTGAGCTATTGCAGGATCTTGGAGAGACAGAGGTTATCTTGGGAAGGAGATCCAGGTCTAGTGTACTTGAAAAAACAATCGGTACTTGAGAATGAAAAAGAGGTAAAAAAAACAAAGGAAGCAAATATAATTGGCGGTAAGGTCACAAATCCAATAATAAGAGAAAGCCCATATATTAAAATTGAAATATTAGAGTCTATAGATGCATATTTCCCTAAATGTAACACATTCAAAGTTATTACATGGTGCTTATAATTATTTTGAATTAGATAACTCTTCTCTGCATCATTACCTGAATTGAATATAAAAGTTCTAGCAGTTTTATTAGAAGCACAGAAAGCCTTTTCCTGACTTCCTGTGCCATGACCTAGATTTTTTCAGTTATTTATTCATCATTCAGTATTTATTCAGCACCTCCCATGTACCATACATAGTCCGTACCTTTCTATGACTTGCAGTCTAAGAAAAAAGATAACCATTGCAAGTTTGATTATTATGGCGAAGGACTTTCTTGTTTGTGTATGGAAACATAACAAAGACACCTAATTTAGACAGGAAGTGGTAAAGGAAAACCACTTTAAGGAAGAAATATTATTTAAGTTCAGGCAAAAAAAAAAAAAAAAAAAAAGGGGGGGTCGCGGGGCAGGGGAAGAGTATCCCAGACAGCATATGTGAGAGCTGTGAAGCTAGAAATCTTGGCACATCAACAACTGACATGTCTGGAGTGTTGAGAATAGCGGTGAAAAGAGGAAATGGGGTGCGCAATACACGGACGGGGCCCAACACAGGTCTCCTAAGCCTTATGAAAAGTACAAGTAATATCATAAGTTAGATGAGGGGCCATTGAAGGATTTAATGTCACTGTCTCATGAAACAAAACTTTTTTCTTGGATATTCACATTCTCTCCACAGGTTTATTCACTTCTGCCCTCTCGTGTATCTAAAAATTAAACTTCCCTGGATGCTGTCACTCCTCTTTGTTACTGGCCCATCCATCATATTCTCTTTGTGCCCTAACTTCTAGCAAAAAGAGCTAATATTTATTGCATCTGTTTCTTCATGACCCGTTACAATCTATCCTCTGTTCTCATAATTAGATTGGAACTGCTGCTTCCAAAGGTGAGGTGTTCATGACTGAATCATCAGCGAACCCAGTAGTCACTCGCATTGTTGACCATTAGTTCCCTCAAGGCTCCCTTTTTGATGTTCATGGCACTACTCTTATTCATCACATTTCTAACAACTGTCTTCTCAGTCTTCTCTCTGACTAGTCACTGAATTCACCCTTCCTCTTAAAGCAGATTTTCAATAGTTTTCCAATCTTTTAAATCTTGATTTCTCTTTCTTCCTAGGGCATCTGTATCTACCATTTGGTTTTCAGCTCTTACACACACTGAAGATGTGCTACCTAACATTTTTAGTCCAGACTTCTCTGCTTTACTGCAGTTTTGCATTTTCTAGCTGCTTTTTAAATCCCCCCAAATGGCTGTGCCATTTGTACCACAAACTCAATCCTTAGAAAACCAGAATCCTACTGCAATCTAAATGGCTTCTTGTCTTATCTTGGTTAAAAGCTTTGCCAAGCATTCACATTGGGAACCTGAATGTTACCTTTCATTTTTTTTCTCACCTACTCTCACACCTCCTCCCCCCATCTAATCATGTGTCAAATCCTGTTGACTACATCTCTGCAGTGTCTCTCAGGTAGTCACTGCTTCCCATTACTGCTGCCATTGCCTTTGTTCATACCCAGCTCACAAGCAGCCAGCTTAAAATCTTCTAATTCATCTCCCAGCCTCTATTTCCTGCCTTTCTCCCAATCTGAACCTGTTTTCCATGTCTGCTAGAGTTATCCTCCTAAAACATACATTTGATGATCTTAGTGTCTTGCTTTTTTACTTAATAAAGTCATAACTCCTTAGCCTTATAATTAATGTGCTCCACAAATTTGCACCAAACCATTTTTCCTCTTGCATCTCCCAGGTACCTGTGCCCTAACCAAAGCAGACTGTTCTAAAAATCTAACACACATTTACATCGTCATGCCATTTTGTGTATTTTTCCATGTTTCTCTTTTTACTGAAGAACTGCCCATCCCATAATGCCCAGTGAAGATTACATTTCTTTGATGAAATCTTCCCTGATCCTCTTAAATAAAATTGTTTTTTTCCTATGTGTCCCAAAAGCATTGTATGTGATTCAATCATATAAAGCATTTGTTTCTGTAAAACATCATTGTGCACCTGCCGTGTTTAAAGGGCAGAATTTATTCTTCAGCTTATTCGTGGTTGTGAGGGAGAAAAAAGAGATCCTCCTCTAAGTATTGTTTGAAGATAGAGTGCATGTCTTCTCTGTATATTTTTATCTTCACAGTATCTAGTACAAAACCTTGCACATATAACACATTTGTTGAATATCTGTCATAGCAATTATCATTTGTTCTGTTTCATATACAAAGTACTTCCAAGGAGTCAGCTTTTAAGGTGTAAACACACACACACACAGACACACACGCACACACACACACACAATGCTGCAGTTGCTTTCAATAAATGAGGACATATTTCTCTGCTCAGGCTTTCCAGCAGTGCTTTATTATATAAGCTATTCTGGTTAGCTCTATTTTATGGATCAGATGCTTGCCCTGGCTACCTTGAGGAGAAGGGGTCCAGTGTAAGAATTTGTAAGGCCTGGGACCAGATGATGTCAGGAACCAAAGCAGCTTTAAGGGTATGCTCTTTTCCTCACCTGTCATTTTCTTTATGACTATGCTCAATGCTTCCCTGCTCCCCTCTGAGAGTCTTTTTCACTTTATCTTTTTTTTACTCGTTTTTCTCTTACCATAGACTTGTCTTAGAGAGAATTGTATGGGTACCATCATCTGTCTCTACTTCATGACCTTTCAGCTTCACCTCCCACCGTTAATTGTAGCAGTCTTTACCTGTCCCAGTTACAGTTCCCAAGAGAGAAACTGATGGGCCCAGTTCTCCTTTTGGACCAGTCCTCATTATAGGTTTCTCGCATAGGCAGCCCTTTGGTCATATATACCACCTCTGGTCCAACCACCTCCAGCCTGCTACACAACGTGGCTGGCTCAGTCATAGGAATTATGAATGGGGTAGTTCCTCTTCATAAGGGATGTGAGCCTTTTCTGCCTACACTCACCAAATGCCATCACTGGATAGAAGTATTTATATATCTAAGTACACTTAAAAAATTTGAATTATTTTCCTACTCTCATATCTTAACAGAACTTCCACAAACACTAAAATAGTTGTATTGATTTAAAAAATTATGACCCCAATTATTGATTCTCTCTTTTTCATAATGTGCCTTGTCCTTCAAGCCACACACTTAACAAGATTTAGGATTGCTAACATTCGAAAAAGTCTTAAATTTTAAAGATTCTTTTTCTTTATTCTTCCTCACCTTTTCTAAATAGAGCCCATGTAAATTCCCAACATTTCGTGTTTGCCCTCTCTTTTACTATCTCTTATTTTATTGCTTCCAATAATTTTAGATGAACTCTGGAGAAGATGTGAGGCTGAGTCTCTTCACTTTGCGCTCAACTTTAGGTCAAGTTCTTTTGACACACCACAAATGGATTTTATGTTCAGTGATTTGCTGAGTGAAGAAGTTAGAGAAGCCATGAAAATAAAAAGGATTTCTCTAGATTAAAGTCATCCAGTCTAATAGTCTGTGAAATTTCCAAGATTTTTCAACTTTGATTTCATTCCTAAGTTATGTAATACCAAATATCTCAGTAAATCATTTTATACCTATAGCATGAATATCCCATTTCTAATTTAATCTCATCTTTTGCTTGTCTTCATGTGCTCCTGAAAACAGCCTTTTATGGCTGTACCCAGAATCAGTTTAGCATTCCTTTATCCTAGTCTTCTTTAATTTTTTAAACATTAATGGACTGTTTTTAAAAGTAGTAATCAAGCAGCATGCTGATAATGCAAAGTCTTCCATGGCATTTCTCTTGCCTTTAGCTAATATTTGTAATTCTTTGTTAATATGTTTTGGTATGTGTGTTTTTTTCTGCAGCTGTTAGGACATGGCAAAATTACAGTTGAGTCTAAAAACTAGCAACTTCTTGTTCTTCTCAGGAAAGCCAAGAAAAACGATATAATGAAACATTAAAACCAATCTCTAAGGAATCAAATGTGGAATATCTAGGTTTCAGTGCTATCATTGGTAGGCACTCAGTAAATATTTGTTAAAATGACTGACAGAATTTTTATTAAGTGAATAGAATTTATGATCATTTCAAACCCTTACAATCTAGGTTTCAAAGGCAAAGCAAGTAGGTAAAAATCAAGTTTCTTTTTGGAGACACATAAGGCACAACTAATGACAGCACTGACTTCCCGAAAAGTCTCGAAGTTAATTGTGTATCACTCACTAGAACGTCATCCTTTGAAAAGACAGCCAACGACATCCACATTGCCTTGCATGCAATGCCCTACATTTCCACGGACCACATCCAGTGTCCTCATTTCTGTTTGAGGCCCAGGGGAAGCATGCCTGGTCTTTCTCTTTATTTCACAGCTTGAAATTACCCATCTGCCAATAGATCAATAGTATTAGTCTATTGTCTTGTAACTTCTTTAAGGGAAAGAACATCTAGGAGTCATGGTGCTTTTAACAGAACACGATGAAGTATTGCTATGACAACCTTAATTGTATATTATAGGCAAATCAGATACCACCTTGAGAAGACAAGATAAACAATTGCCTGCACTAATGGCTTAAGACAAATTTATGAGAAAAAAATGCTTATAATTTAGAAAGCTGTATCCATTAACTTGTGTATGAATTGGAAAATGCCTGCTTTTATTTAATTTTAGCAGTAAAGCACCTAGCTTCAACTTGCAAAATATTTGTTCCATTAAATCTGAGAACCAATGATCTTAGTGATTTACCTCCTGATAATTAAACAAAATGACAAATTAATCTATTGTAAAGTCTAATGTAAAATTTTTTAGACTTTCAGAAAATGTATCACTGCTTTTTTATTTTAAGAAAGTGCTTGTGTCTGTATTTATATCTCAACAAATTATAAAATGCTCTGTACCTATTGCCTCTCTTTTAATGCCCTTGGCTTCCTACCACACTTATCCTGTACCATGCACATATGTACATTTTCCTTTCACCATCAGTATGTAACTTTCTAGTTATAACCAGATATGTTAATGAGAAATAGACATTAATTAGAAGTGGAAAAGTTCAATTTTACTAATCTAAACTTAAACACTATAGTGTTCAGTCTTATATTTAAGAAAATAATCACTGTTTTTTTACTGTCTGGGATGGTGATGTGAAAGCCAAAATAATGCGGAGTTATGATTCAAAATTACACCCTTTTAAAAGTCCATGTGATGCAACCTCAAAGTCTTGAAGTACCACAATACTTGGTATCTAGGCACTCAATCCTAAATAATAGCTGTCTGGCAACTATTTCATAGTGTCTGTTTTCTGCCTTCCATAATAGAATTTGTTTTTTTTAATGCTTTTTTCTGTTTGGTACATAAATATGTATGTTGATGGTTCAGAAAGAAAAAAACAACTCTGAGGGCCTCAGAAACTGAAGTAATTAAACCATTTTGAAAATTATCGGTGCACCTCTAGCCAGGAGTTGATTCATTTCAGGGAGATCTTAATCTTGTCCTGACCTTCAGAATGGATGAGATGAGTAGGAAGAAGCTCAGTTCATATTCCCAAGGCAAATGAATAGTTTCATTATATGACCTGACTGTATCTACAGCACAGACTCAGTGACAAAGAGGACATTTGTTTCTGTGTGTTAAGATGTTTTTAAGAACCTTTATTCCTGCCCCAAACAGGAGAACTGTTGAACTGTCACCACACAGGATGCTTATCAAAGACACTGACATCTTTCCAGCCTTCTTCACCTGTGCCCCAATTGCTACCTGTTGTTGGGTGTGTGTTACCACTTCCAAGCCATCTTCTCTTGAATTTCAAGAGAAGCCACTCTGAGCAGCAGTCTCTCAGTTTCACGACTTTAGAATGACCTCTTTCATTTTGCATTTATACGTGACCAAAGGTGGCTCAGATTGGGTTTCCCAGCTTCCTAGGTTAGTCAAAGTGAAGTTTGACACCGAGAGATGGGGTCAAGCTAGGGTGCCCTCAGGAAGTTAATCAGGAAGATTAATTGGCCCAATATTTAAGTGTAATTAAGCCCAGAAAAAATTGAAATTGTATCTAAGTACATCTGTCTAACACTCTTCCCTCTTTGTACCCCAGGCACACCAGTTTTAGTCTTTATAATGAGCTTTACAGATCTAATATTACACTTTTAATTAAGATTTTTTTAAGCAGCAATATCTTGTCTTAGTTTTAGCTGATTTATTTAGAAAGTACCTTGTTTGAGATGGCAATTCTTATGTTAGCCCACAAGCGTATTTTTACCTGGCATTCAGATGAACTTGGGTTTCTGGCATAGCATTCTATAGGTCATTTGGATAGCCTCCCATCTGGTCTTTTGATACCACTTGCACCAATCTCAGTATTTCCTGTAACCATTTTAGACCGTAGCCTTCACACATCCTTTTGGTCCTGGCTGTTGACTGTGCCAAGAAAAATGTGTAACCAGGTAGTTAGACTTCGTTGCTCAGCAAACTCATTAATCTCTGGACCAGGTCAGGCACCAGTCTTCATATCTGATTTTTGGTAGTTACACAAAGTAAGCAGAATTGATTTTAGACAACTCCGTCATTTGGTAATTGCTTAGAGCCTTGAGAAATGTAGGCCAGATTAAGAAGGCAAAGGGCAAAGGTTCCAGTTCTTTAATATTATATCGTCTTCTCGTTTATTTTTCTCTTTGCTCTACCAAGGAGTGAAGTCAACTGAGTTCTTCTCAAAACTCAGATTAATGAATTCCAAATGTGACAAAAACCCTGTGAGGTTACAATGACTTCGCTGGTGTTTGTCTCTTTTAATCTTTCAAATATTTCTTCAGGAAAGGAAGAAGTGACAAGTCTAAACTGAAGAAGTTGACATCAGAGGGCCAGTGGAATGGAATCTTAGTTCAGTTCCCACAAAAGGAGGATTTCTTGGTACCAAGAGATAAAATAAATATGAATTGGGGGGCTGGGGCAGGACTTCAAAGGGTCAGAGAATAAATAAATATTAAATTACTAATGTCTTTACTAGGCAATTTATACATGTTATCTTCTTTAGTCCTTATAATTACTCTGCAAGTTAATCATCAGCATTCCTCTTTTACAGAAATGGAGCCTTACTAAAAAGTTAACTCTCTTCCCAAGCACTGTACATTTGGTAGGCTAGATTTCAGAGCCACTATTATCTTAGTGTAAAACACTGACACATCCAGTATGTTGTTTCTTCCAAGAGAAAAACAGAGCATTAATTCCAAGGTAAAGTTGACTTGCTATATTTCCTAAATTATATTGGTAGATCCTTTTCTGTGATGATTTCCACCTAGAATGCCTGTTACCTTTTTTAGGTCAGAAGAGCAGTATTCATTAAGACTTTGCATGCTATTCAGAGAAAAATATGTTCATTGATATCATCTGACCCACCCAGGACCAACCCCCTACACACACACACACACACACACATGCACACACACACACACTCAGACACACACACACCACATCACACCACACCATAACTTTTCCTGAGCCTGGGTCAGGCCTTCTAATCAGCAATATTTCTTTAGTTTCTTGAATATACATGAGAATTTTAGGGTTTTTCTCTATCAGCTATGGAAAAAAGATTTATGTGCCTATGTGTCAAGCAACATGGTAATACTTTCTTACCTGTAGTATCAATTATTGCTTTGTATGAAGTAGGCCTTTCTATGTTGATTTAACAGATGAAGGAATAAACTCAGTTTCCGAAGACTCATGTAGGTTTACCTAGTTGATAAGTTACAGAGCTAGAATTTGAGCCTCTGTCTATTTTGATTCTAAAACTGTTCTTTTCCTTGTGTCATGGCCATTTGTCCCTCTACTCATGGTCCCTCTGTTTGGGGTGACATGCATGCTTTTGTTGTTAGCTGTGGCTTTTTACAGAGCACCATACAATGGAATGCACCATGGAAAACGATAATACCTTACAGTCACATGGAGCTGACTTTTAATTTTATTTACTATCAATTGTCTTTGTTTGTTGTATTTGGCTATCTAATGACCTTTACAGATATTGTATTTTATATCTTGAACATTTGTTTCAAGATTTCATTTATTTTTATACTTAATTTCTTGTATATCTTTGAATACATGGAGCCTATTTATGATAGCAGTTTAATATTTTTGCTAATTCTATCATCTCATTTATTTTCTATTAATTTTTCTCCTGATTATAGTTTATATATTCTTATTTCCTGTGTCTGGTAGTTTTTTTTAATTGAATGCCAGTTATTGTGATTGTATGTTTTTGTGTGACGGATTTTGTTGTATTCCTTTAAACAGGTTGGATTTTGTTTCAGTAGGCAGCTATGGTAATTGTGGATTAGTTTGATTAAAGTCTTGTTTTTATGTTCTTTTAAGACAGATCTGTAGTAGTCTTTACTTTCGGGCTAATTTAGCCCCACATTTAAGTTTTAGCCCTTTTAGGGTCTTTTGCCCTGTGGCTGGTGGGAACTTGAACAATTTTCAGTCTTGAATGTGCGCTTAAGTTGTTTGGCTTAAAGCTCCCCAGCAATTATTCTTTCTTTGGAGGTTGTACTTGCTGGGCCTCATAGGGCTTTACCCAGTGCATGTACACATTAGCATTTACCAAAGACTCAAGGGGACCCTTATAAAAAAATTCTAGAACTCTTTTTCTGGGTAGCTCACTTCTTTTGGGTACTCTGTCTTGCAAATTTCATATGCTTTGGCTTCCTCAGACTTTTATCTCTGTCTCCTGAACTGAGAGAGATTGCTCAGAAAGGGTCCTCCTCCCTGCAACACAGTCTAAAAATTGCCCCCAGGCAAAAAGCCTCATTTGTTTCCCATCTCTCAGGGATCACAGTCCTGGATTGGCTATTCTTCAATGACTGAAAATAGTTGTTTCCTATATTTTGTTTAGTTTTTAAATTGTTTGTAGAGGGAGGGTAATTCTTGACCCTGTCAGTCCCTCATGACCAGAAGTAGAAATCCCAGCTGACCATGTTTGGAAATGTTAACTTTTCTAAATCATAGGTTTCTTTTATTTTCATTTTTAAAATGATCTTATTATCATAAGACCTGCCTCTCAAGAATATTATAAAGATTAGAAATAACATTATATTTATTCTCTCAATAATGCACACAACATTTGGATTTAATATGTCAGTAGCTCAGTTTCCTTATTTGTGCAATGGGGATAATAATAGTACTTCATAAGGTAGTTTTGTGGATTAAATAAATTATTAATAATATTTGTGATTCCTTTAGACAAATGCCTAGCACATAGTAAGAGTATTAAGTGTCAATAAAATAATTTTGGACAGCCAAGGGTGTGTTGTCTACTCCCAGAAATAAAACAATCTCATGGTTAATCAACAGTGAACACACCTAGAGTTAGAGAACATTCAAACTATCTCTTAACTTCTTTTAATGAGATGTTTTTCAGTCCACAGAGATCCATCTCAGATGGTTGTCCAGGGTTTCATATCTCTCATCTCCCCCACTCCATTTTCCCTCTGTCTTAATCTCTCCTCCCTTTTCTGTTCATGTTTTTGGTTCACTCTTGGACACATGATGAAACATTCTCAGAATCATGATGGTCATACTTGCCTACATCTTTTTTAGAGTGTTCATGTACCTTTTAACATTTACCTTTAAAAAGCTTAGGTTTTTAAATTTTGTCACAATGGAGCATCTGTAGGATAAATTTTTCTCTTGATAACTAGGCCACTTCTTGTAACTTTGACGTGTTGTTATGCTAAGAGTCTCTGTTTCTTTACTATATTTTACCGGAGAATCCTGCTGAGGATTAAGAGGGAAAGAAAAGAATTAGATGATGAGGACCAAATACATAAAGCTCTTCAAGAAGTGTCTTATACATAATATATACTCAGTAAGTAATGGCTGTTATTTCGATATCACCATTTGAGTGGACATACAAGTGACACTGTACATCTAACAGTGTGACTTGTGTATTAAATATTACATTGTACGTAAAGTGTTAAGACTAAAGACTAATATTAAGACTTAAACATGAGCAGAGGGTTTGGGGAGAACTACGTTGCCCCTGAATTTGATAATCTATGTACAATTCAAACTTATGTGTTGTAGATCATGGGGTCTAATACTTCTACAGCTCTCTTACCAATATCCTAGAATCCCTTGTTTCATTGTCATTCAGTTGACTCTCACCTGCCAAAGTCCCAACCTTGGATGGACTGTGAATCTTCTCTGCTTATTTAAATCAAGACAAATTGGTGCCTCTATTAATTTAGTTCACCAATCTATGTAAGCAGATACTCAATATTGCTCTCCTGTCTTTGTCAACTCTCCCTCACATTCTTTCTATCACAACCCTAAAATTTGCCCCCTCCCTTCAAGTTTAGAACACCTCTTTCTCCTCTATTGAATAAGTTCATTTATTCATTCAATATTTATGGGATATTTATTGGGTGTCTACTGTATTTTGGGCTGGAATGTAGTGTGCTACACTGTGTGGCTGCACTGTAAGCAAAATACAGAAACGGATAGGACCCTCTGAAGGGAGAGAGAGAAATTAGTCAAATGGTCACAAATCTTATAGACTATAATGATAGCTATGAATGGAGCTATAAGCCCATGTGTAAGAGCATGTCAGCTGGGTGAAGAGGAGTTGAATTGGGAGACAAGACAGGTTTCAAAGCAAAGAAAATAGAATGTGCCAGGGCACATGTTAATCTCATAGATGGTCCATCACGTGCTCTAGTCTTCCACTTCAAGAAAACAAATAGAAACCACCAGAATGAAACACTGAGCTTCCTCTTCTAAACCTGCACTCAAACCTGTGTTGATCCTATTCTTTTCTCCTTCCTGTTACAGACCAAGCCCAACATGAGGCTCTGGTTCCATTTCTTCCCTACTCTACTGGTTTCTTCTAATCAACAGAGAATATTTCTCACTTTAAAAAACAAAACAAGATAAAAAACAAAACTTGCCAAGACTGAACCTCTCACTCCTATTTTCAGTTAATTTTTCTCTTCGATGTAGTGATCAAATTTTTGTGGGCATATCCTATATCATTTTGTTGTTTATTTCCATTTCCTCTTATAAGAATTGAAATCTGGCTTCCACCCTAATACTCCATTGAAAATTCCGTTTGCCAAAGTCACTGATAATGTCCATGTAATTAACTTCAACATATGTTTTCAAGTACTTACTTTTCTTGCCCACTTAGTGGTGTGTGACACTGTTACACAATCCTTTGTTCTTGAAAACTGGTTTTCCTTCTGATCTAGACACTCTTTTTTTTTGAGACGAAGTCTTGCTCTTGTCCCCCAGGCTGCAGTGCGATAGCGCAATCTCGGCTCACTGCAACCTTTGCCTCCTGAGTTCATGCGATTCTCTTGCCTCAGCCTCCTGAGTAGCTGGGATTACAGGCACCCACCACCATGCCTGGCTAATTTTTGTATTTTCAGTAGAGACAGGGTTTCACCATGTTGGCCAGGCTGGTCTCGAACTCCTGACCTCAGGTGATCCACCCGCCTCAGCCTCCTAAAGTGCTGGAATTACAGGTGTGAGCCACTGCACCTGGCCTAGACATTGTTTATTTCACTTTTTGGTCTCCTCTTCTACTCATTGCTTAAATATTGGTGTTTCTTGGGGATTGATCTTGAGCAATTTGTTTGTGTCATTCTGTATACAGAAGGTCAATAACTTTAGAAAAAAAGAGATGCTCGTAATTGATTTTACTCTGGTATACATCTGCATTATAGAATGCTATAACAGGGGTCACCAATCCCCAGGCCACAGTCCGGTACTGCTCCATTGCCTGTTAGGAACCAGGGCCACACAGCAGGAGGTGAGCAGCGGGTGAGTGCGCAAAGCTTCATCTGTATTTACAGCAACTCCCCACTGCTCACATTACCTCTTGAGCTCTGCCTCCTGTCAGATCAGTGGCAGCACTAGATTCTCTCATAGGAGTGCGAACCCTGTTGTGAACTAGGCATAGGAGGGATCTAGGTTGCGTGCTCCCTGTGAGAATCTAGTGCCTGATGATCTGTCACTGTCTCCCATCACCTCCAGATGGGAAATATAGTTTCCCTCCAAATGAGAAAGATAGTTGCAGGAAAGCAAGCTCAGGGCTCCCACTGGTTCTACATTATGGTGAGTTGTATAATTATTTTTAGTATACATTACAATATAATAGTAATAGAAATAAAGTGCACAATAAATGTGATGTGCTTGAATCATCCCGAAACCATTCCCCCACCCTGGTCTATGGAAAAAATTATCTTCCACAAAACAGGTTCCTGGTGCCAAAAAGGTTGGGGACTGCTGTGCTATGTCATTTGCTTATACTCTACTATTTCTCCCCTTTTACCCTACCTAATCCAATCAAACTCCATTCCAGGGATCTTTATCTCTGTTTAACTGAACAGGGCCTGGAGCAATGCTAGGACCATAATAAGCAATCAATAAACATTTCTTGAATGAATTAATAACATGAGGACCAATACATGTCATCTAAGTGCTTCTAGAGTATGTACACACTTGGTTCTTCTTTCTTTGAATTAATTGACATTTGTTGAAAAAGCAGTTAATAGAAAATGGGCTTCATCTTATTTCCAGCTGTGACTGATTAATAGGGGCTACCCTCAGAGCATTTTGAAAGTACTTACCTAGAGCTTGATGGAACAGACTGCCGTTATCTATTAATAATATCATTTTAGCATAAATGATATTTTAATAATAACATAAATAATAACATTTATTATGCATGGCTTACATGCCATGCACTATACTAAACATATTAGGTGGATTATCTCAATTAGATTTCACAACAACTCCAAGAGACACCATTATTATACTTGTCTTAACATTGATGAAACTGAGACACAGAGAAGTTAATAGCTTGCTAAAAACCACACAGCAAGCAAGTAGTAGAGTTGGGGTTTAAACCTATTCTGTTGCACATTAAAGCCCATGTGCTGAGTATCATGTTATACAATTTTCATGAGAAGTGGTGGTCTTTTCCTTTCTACTGTGCTTTTGCCATTCTTGGCCTAAATTATGAAGAGGGAAAGGGAGAACAGTATAGTTGATGATAGTGTACAAAAAGAAGGCTATTCTGCTCTGTTAGACCTCTGTCATCATGTCTCAAATGTGGATTATTTAGTTAAAAAATACAAACACACTTTTTATCCTTTGAAATAATCATGAAAGTTGAAAATACAGGAGAGAGAATCTTATTTTTGAAATAATTTAAGTTGCCAAGCTGATGCACCAATACTGTCAAATACTTTAATGTGTGTTTCCTACCAACAGAGATATTTTCCCTGCATAACCACAACAAAATTCAGAAATTAACATTGTTACGTTAGCACCATATGATACTCAGTGTTCGTATTTAGATTTGTAGTCCCAATAATCCAATAATATTCTTTTTTTTTTTTGAAATGGAGTCTTGTTCTGTCACCCAGGCTGGAGTGCAGTGGCATAATCTCAGTTTACGGCACTCTCCACCTCTCAGGTTCAAGCTATTCTCCTGCCTCAGCCTCCCAAGTAGCTGGGATTACAGGCACCCGTCACCACACCCAGCTAATTTTTGTATTTTTGGTAGAGATGGGGTTACACCATGTTGGCCAGGCTGGTTTCAAACTCCTGACCTCAGGTGATACACCCGCCTCAGCCTCCAAAAGTGCTGGGATTACAGGTGTGAGCCACGGTGCTTGGACCCTATAATATTCCTAGTAGCAAATGGATCCTGTTCAGAATCATGCTATGCATTCAGTTGCTATATTCTTTAGTCTCTTATAGTCTGGAGCAGTTGCTGGGTCTTTGTTGATTTTCATGACCTTGAACGATTACAGGGCAATTGTTTTACAGAATATTTCTCCTCACTCCACTCAAGTTATGACTCCCCACAGCAGCCCCGCTCCACGGATGCTCTAATCACTCTTAGGCTGTGACACCCATGCCAGGTTCTCTCTCCACATAAACAGTCACCTTTGCCTGTCTGAGCTCCAGCAGTGTGGCTTCCTGCCCTTTCCAGCAAAATGCTTACATTGTTTTGTCCATCTATTGTCTTTAGGACTGAATTTTTCAAAAAGGGAAAGGGAAGCAGAGATTAGATATCAATTTAAGATCAATTCCAGCTCCAGAATTCTATGATAGATAAATTAATATGGTCAAATATTTGAAAGTTTATGCTCAGAAAATGGAGTAGAGCTGTGTCGATACCATTGGGAAAAATAACCATATCTGAAATAATAACTGAGGCCAGAGCAAAGGGAGGCGCTGAGTAGCTTGGGATAGGGCTAGATGTGGCACCCTGTGTGTGGCACGCTGGAGAGTCTGGCCAGAGCACAAGATCCCAGAGTGGTCAGAGAAGTTAGAATATGTTTACAGACGCCCCCACCCCCCGACCCCCAGAAAGGGAGAGGAGGTAGTAGATGGCCAGAAAGCAAGGCATGTCCATTAGAGTGGTCAAGGCAAAAAAGGAAAATATAACAATACTAACCAGCAAGTATCTTAATATGGATTAGACAGACTAGTGAGCTAATGTGTTATGGGAACAATACACCTGGTCTGAGTAATGTATTGCTGATCATACATTATCAGACCACTAGATACCATTAATTTGTGATATCTTACCAACAGCAAAGTTTATCCCAGGCTCTAAGTAATTGATATTATGCTGCCATCCTTTGGTTGAATTTAAAATGCCTCGTTTACTAACTGGAACTGTTTTTGTGTGTTTTAAACAGAGGGTATCACAATTTTAATTACATTTTTTAGATTGACAGTAATGATAAATAATTTATGGAGACAAGTGAATAAATAAAACTTGATACTTATGTAATAAATTTAAAAGTCATTGAAAAGCCCATTCTAGCTAAAGATGAACTACCAGTCGTTTGTTTAATTTATTTTAGAGACTTCGTCATACTGACTGATACTTAAGATTTAGCCCTTTTTTCATCATCATGACACTTTCCATTGTCTTTCTCTAAGCAATGTAAGCATGCAGTGAATTTCCTTAATACCATCCTTAGATTCAGACAAGAGTGACCTATGCTCTACTCTAGGTCTTGCCCTTTTGAGAAACCTGAATATCAGACATGATTCAATTTATACAACACATGTGTATGCACACACGGAAGTGCACATACACACACATGCATAGACACACACAACATTTTAAAAAAGCATCTAGTACCCACATCACTTAGGATCTGGTACTCAGTGCTCACATATGGCCCAATAACTCTAAATATACATGCTCATTAGTAATTCCATTTGGTACCCAGGGAGATATTTCTCCACATCTCTTGCTTTCAGTCCCCTACAAAAAATTGACTGTACCTGATGCCATGAAGGAGACGTTGCCTTGGAATGTAGGGGATTTGAGCTGCAGAGGAAAGAGAAGACACATTAATTGCCTAGTAAACCCTTCCTCAAGGACAGCAGGAACGCAATAGATTCTTACAAAATGAAATACCATGTCTCAATAGTCCCCAGTGTCCATTCTCTTGCTTGTCTTTACGTAACAATTAGTGATTCAGCTGTTTGGTGGTCTCTTCACACGGACGCGCATGAAATTTGGTGCCTTGACTCGGAACAGGGGACCTCCCTTGGGAGATCAATCCCCCATCCTCCTGCTCTTTGCTCTGTGAGAAAGATCCACCTACGACCTCAGGTCCTCAGACCAACCAGCCCAAGGAACATCTCACCAATTTCAAATCCGGTAAGCGGCCTCATCTTACTCTCTTCTCCAACCTCTCTCACTGTCCCTCAACCACTTTCTCCTTTCCACTCTTCAATCTCTCCCTTCTCTTAATTTCAATTCCTTTCATTTTCTGGGAGAGACAAAGGAGACACGTTTTATTCATAGACCCAAAACTCCGGCGCCGGTCACGGATTGGGAAGGCAGCCTTCCCTTGGTGTTTAATCATTGCAGGGACGCCTCTCTGATCATTCAGCCATGTTTCAAGGGTGTCAGACCACGCAGGGACGCCTGCCTTGGTCCTTCACCCTTAGCGGCAAGTCCCGCTTTTCTGGGGAAGGGGCAAGTACCTCAACCCCTTCTCTCCTTGTCTCTACCCCTTCTCTGCTTTTCTGGGAGAGGGGCAAATAGCCCTCAACCTCTTCTCTCCTTGTCTCTACCCCTTCTCTGCTTTCCTGGGGCAGGGGCAAGTACCCCTCAACCCCTTCTCCTTCACCCTTAGCGGCGAGTCCCGCTTTCCTAGGGGGCAAGAACCCCCAACCGCTTATTTCCATGCCCCAACCTCTTATCTCTGCGCCCCAACCTCTTATCTCTGCACCCCAATCGCTTATTTCCATGCCCCAACCTCTTATCTCTGCGCCCCAATCCCTTATTTCTGTGCCCCAACCCTTTCTCTGCTTTTCTGGAGGGCAAGAAACCCCCACCCCTTCTCCGTGTCTCTACTCTTTTCTCTGGGCTTGCCTCCTTCACTATGGGCAAGCTTCCACCTTCCATTCCTCCTTCTTCTCCCTTAGCCTGTATTCTTAAGAACTTAAAACCTCTTCAATCCTCACCTGACCTAAAACCTAAATGCCTTATTTTCTTCTGCAATGCCGCTTGACCCCAATACAAACTCGACAGTAGTTCCAAATAGCCAGAAAATGGCACTTTGAATTTTTCCATCCTGCAATATCTAAATAATTCTTGTCGTAAAATAGGCAAACGGTCTGAGGTGCCTGACATCCAGGCATTCTTTTACACATCAGTCCCTTCCTAGTCTCTGCGCCCAGTGCAACTCGTCCCAAATCTTCCTTCTTTCCCTCCCGCCTGTCCCCTCAGTCCCAACCCCAAGCGTCGCTGAGTCTTTCTAATCTTCCTTTTCTACAGACCCATCTGACCTCTCCCCTCCTCGCCAGGCCGAGCTAGGTCCCAATTCTTCCTCAGCCTCCGTTCCTCCACCCTATAATCTTTTTATCGCCTCCCCTCCTCACACCTGGTCGGGCTTACAGTTTCGTTCCGTGACTAGCCCTCCCCCACCTGCCCAGCAATTTACTCTTAAAAAGGTGGCTGGAGCCAAAGGCATAATCAAGGTTAATGCTCCTTTTTCTTTATCCCAAATCAGATAGCGTTTAGGCTCTTTTTCATCAAATATAAAAACCCAGCCCAGTTCATGGCTCGTTCGGCAGCAACCCTGAGATGCTTTACAGCCCTAGACCCTAAAAGGTCAAAAGGCCATCTTATTCTCAATATACATTTTATTACCCAATCTGCTCCCAACATTAAATAAAACTCCAAAAATTAAATTCCGGCCCTCAAATCCCACAACAGGATTTAATTAACCTTGCCTTCAAGGTGTACAATAATAGAAAAAAGTTTCAACTCCTTGCCTCCACTGTGAGACAAACCCCAGCCACATCTCCAGCACACAAGAACTTCCAAACGCCTGAACCGCAGCGGCCAGGCATTCCTCCAGAACCTCCTCCCCCAGGAGTTTGCTGCAAGTGCCAGAAATGTGGCCACCAGGCCAAGGAATGCCTGCAGCCCAAGATTCCTCCTAAGCCGTGTCCCATCTGTGCGGGACCCCACTGGCAATCGGACTGTCCAACTCACCTGGCAGCCACTCCCAGAGTCCCTGGAACTCTGGCCCAAGGCTCTCTGACTGCTTCCCAGATCTTCTTGGCTTAGCGGCTGAAGACTGACGCTGCCCGATCGCCTCGGAAGCCCCCTAGACCATCACGGACGCCAAGCTTCGGGTAACTCTCACAGTGGAAGGTAAGTCTGTCCCCTTCTTAATCAATACGGAGGCTACCCACTCCATATTACCTTCTTTTCAAGGGCCTGTTTCCCTTGCCCCCATAACTGTTGTGGGTATTGACGGCCAGGCTTCTAAACCTCTTAAAACTCCCCAACTCTGGTGCCAACTTAGACAATACTCTTTTAAGCACTCCTTTTTAGTTATCCCCACCTGCCCAGTTCCCTTATTAGGCTGAGACATTTTAACCAAATTATCTGCTTCCCTGACTATTCCTGGACCATAGCCGCATCTCATTGATGCCCTTCTTCCCAATCCAAAGCCTCTTTTGCGTCCTCCTCTTGTATTCCCCCATCTTAACCCACAAGTATAAGATACCTCTACTCCCTCCTTGGCGACCGATCATGCACCCCTTACCATCTCATTAAAACCTAATCACCCTTACCTGGCTCAATGCCAATATCCCATCCCACAGCATGCTTTGAAAGGATTAAAGCCTGTTAACACTTGCCTTCACTTAGACTGACCCTGACACCCATTAGGCTCAGCAAATTACCTGGGCTATACTGCCGCAAGGCTTCACAGACAGCCCCCATTACTTCAGTCAAGCCCAAATTTCATCCTCATCTGTTAGTCATACTCCTATTCACCGTTCTCAACTACTCATACATGCCCTGCTCTTGTTTACACTGCTGGTTTACACTGTTTCTCCAAGCCATCGCAGCTGATATCTCCTGGTGCTATCCCCAAACTGCCACTCTAAACTCTTGAAGTAAATAAATAATCTTTGCTGGCAGGACTATGCTGAATCTCCTTAGGCACTCTCTAATTAGATGTCCTAGGTCCTCCCAATTCTTAGTCCTTTTATACCTGTTTTTCTCCTTCTCTTATTCCATTTAGTTTGTCACTTCATCCAAGACCGTATCCAGGCCAACCAATCATTCTATATGACAGATGTTTCTTCTAACATCCCCACAATATCACCCCTTACCACAAGACCTCCCTTCAGCTTAATCTCTCCCACTCTAGGTTCCCACGCCGCCCCAATCCCGCTTGAAGCAGCCCTGAGAAACATCGCCCATTCTCTGTCCATATCACCCGCCAGAAATTTTTGCCGCCCCAACACTTCACTATTTTGTTTTATTTTTCTTATTAATATAAGAAGGCAGGAATGTCAGGCCTCTGAGCCCAAGCCAAGCCATTGCATCCCCTGTGACTTGCACGTATACGCCCAGATGGCCTGAAGTAACTGAAGAATCACAAAAGAAGTGAACATGCCCTGCCCCACCTTAACTGATGACATTCCACCACAAAAGAAGTGTAAATGGCCAGTCCTTGCCTTAAGTGATGACATTACCTTGTGAAAGTCCTTTTCCTGGCTCATCCTGGCTCGAAAAGCACCCCCACTGAGCACCTTGCGAACCCCCACTCCTGCCCACCAGAGAACAAACCCCCTTTGAGTGTAATTTTCCTTTACCTACCCAAATCCTATAAAACGGCCCCACCCTTATCTCCCTTCCCTGACTCTTTTCGGACTCAGCCCGCCTGCACCCAGGTGAAATAAAGAGCCATGTTGCTCAAAAAAAAAAAAAAAAAAAAAAAACAATTAGTGATTCAGGAGGGACTCATAAATTATGATGGGCATTGGCAATAGTTGTACATGGAGGCTGGAAAATATTTCTCAATATTAATCAATTTATTTTACTCTTAAATCTTAATTTATGTTGGTCTAGACATATGCTGGAAGTGTGATACATTTTTTTTTACATTGTTATCCATATGAACCTTGTAAGATAGAATTGCATGTAATTTTACTTTTATAAACATTTTTAATGCTTAATACGTTTTTAATTAAAAGGTTAAGTATATGCTTTATTTAAATACTGTCAGTTTAAATTTGATATTAATTATACCACACATGTTGTCTTTTAATTTTGATAGATAACATTGTATAAAATATTTCATGTTTTTTGAAAATATAAAATATGTAATATTTTTAACATTTACTTTAGATTACATTTTTTGTGAAAACATTTTCAAAATTTCTAGACTTTGAATACAATTATATTTTGTTTTTAATCTTTTAGATCAGGGTTCAGCAAACCTTTCTGTAAAAGACCAGAGAGTAAATATTTCAGGTTTTGTAGACCATATAGTTCCTATCACAACTATTCAGCCTTGCTATTGTAGCATGAAAGTGCCATAACAAATGAGCATCATTGTGTTCTAGTAAAACTTTATTTACAAAAGTAGGTGGTAGGCCAGATGCAGTGGCTCACGCCTGTAATTCCAGCACTTTGGGAGGCCAAGGCGGGCAGATCACGAGGTCAGGAGATCGAGACCATCCTGGCTAAAACAGTGAAACCCCATCTCTACTAAAAATATAAAAAAATTAGCTGGGTGTGGTGGTGGGCGCCTGTAGTCCCAGCTACTTGGGAGGCTGAGGCAGGAGAATGGCGTGAACCTGGGAGGCGGAGCTTGCGGTTAGCCGAGATCAAGCCACTGCACGCCAGCCTGGGCGACAAAGCAAAACTCCATCTCAAAAAAAAAAAAAAAAAAAAAAAAAAAGAAGAAGCAGGAGGTGGTAGGACAGATTTGGTCCATAGGCTATAGTTTGCCAACTCCCACTTTAGATTATTTATAATGAGAGAACCTCCACTTCTAGTCATGAGGGACAACTAGATTTATCATCTCACTTTGAACAACTAGAATACTGAGTAAAATATACGAAAAATAGTTTTTAGACATTGGATAACAGACAGCGTAAGATAATGATCCTTGAGAGAAAGGAAAGAAATACAGTAAGCCCTACAATTGCTCCAGCTTAATGCTGGATAGAAAATTGGCAGGCTGCAGCACAAAGAGGAGGAAACTCCAACAGACCAGTGTTCTCAATGAGTTGATATGTCATAGTTTGGAGTTCAGGGAGGCAGAAAAATATTGGAGAAGATATTGCTGCACAGAGGGAAATTGGGGAAGAATGAATGAGAGCTACGAAGATCTGTAAAAATGTCTTCAGGAGTCTTTAGCTAATGTGTGGTTTGTGTATGTGCGTAAAGGAGTTACCCGATTAGGAAAAGAACACCCAGAAAGGAGCAGGCAGTACAGGCTGTCCCCAGTGCTAACACAGGGCTGGGGATATTTCATGTTTCCAGCAGCCAGAGGGCAAAAATCTCCAAATTCAGAGAGCATTAAGTAGAGTCCTCAAAAGACTATATTCTTGGTTACAAAGGCATTGCCCTAAATTATAAAGTCTGCTTCACTCATGCTAACAAAGCCAATGTCAGAGGAATCCAATTCCAAGTAACTCAACTATACCCTAAAACAAAGTTCAACTGTACGTAAAGGACTTAACAAATCCAACTCCCATTAAAGTAAAATTTACAATGCTCAGAATCCACTCAAAAGTTACCAAACATGCAAAAGACATAGGAAAATAGGACCCATAAAGAGTAGAAATATAATTGACAAGACCAGACTCAGAAATGACACAAATGATAGAATTATCAGAAAAGGAGATTAAACACCTACTATAAATGTACTCCATATGCTCAAGAATGTAGAGGAAAAGATGAATGTGATGAGGAAAGAAATGTAGATATGAAAAAGAAACAAATTCAACTTCTACAAATGAAAGTATAATATCTGAAGTGATAAATATACTGGATGGGATTAACTGTAGATAAGATACTACCAAAGGAAATACCAATAAGCTTGAAGGCAGACTTAGAAACTATTAGAAATAAGACAGAGGAAAAGACTAAAAAGTAAATGAGCAAAGCTTCAGGGAACTGTGTGATAATATTAAACAGTCAAACACATCTAGAGATGTAGTCCCAGAAGAGATTAGGAAGGAGGGAATGGTAATAGAAAAATGTTAAAAGAAATAAAGTCTGAAACTTTTTCAAATTTGATGAAAATGATAAAATCATGGATTCACAAAGCTCAAAAAAAACCTTGTAAAAGAGACAAGAAGAAAATCACACCAAAGCACATTATTATCAAATTTCTAGAAAATAGTGATAGTAAATCTTAAAAGCTGCCAGAGAAAAAGAAGAAACATTATGCACAGAGGAATAAAATTAAGAATGACCACAGTCTTCTCTTCAGAAATTATGCAAGCCAGAATAGAGTAGAGCAACATCTTTACAGTTCTTAAAGAAAAAATATATCAACTTAGAATTCTATACCCAGCAAAAATATATTTCAAAAAGAAGACACAATACTTTTTCAGACAGACAAAAGCCAAGAGAGTTTATTTCCAGGGGACGTGTAATATAAGAAATATTAGTGAAAGTAGTGTAAAGAATGAGAGAGAGGAAATATAAGGATACTGTTATAATATCCCTACACTGTACCTTAAGTGGATTGTAATATTATTTGAAGGTAAACTGTAATATGTTAAATAAAGATGTATATTTTTAATCCTAGAGAAACTGCTATGAAAACAAAAAGTAAAACAAAGTGGTATTACTAACAAGCCAATAATGGAGATAAAATGGGCAATAGAAAACAACAACAAAAATTCAATCCAAAAGAAGGAAGGAAAAGCTTAAAAGTGAGAAAAAGAACATATGGGCAGTTAGAAAACAAACAATAAAGTGGTAGATATAAACTGAGCCATACTGACAATTACATTAAATTTAATGACCTAAACACTCTAATAAAGCAAAGATTGTCAGACAGAATAAAATACAAGGTCCAACTATACGCTCTGTACAAGAAACTCACTTTAATATAATAACATGAATAAGTTAAATTAAAAGATGCAATAAAAGACATATTATGCTAACACTAATTAAAAAAACAGAAATGATTATCAGAGAAAGTTGATTTAGGAGTAAGGAATAATGCAAAGGATACAGAGGAACATTTTAAAATAAAGGGGTCAATTCATCAAGACGACATAATAATCCTAAATATGATGCACCTAATACTAAAGTTCTAAAATATATAAGGCAAAAACTGATAGAACTGAAATGGGAGATAGGCAAATCTAAAATTATACTAGGGATTTCAGCTCTTCTGTCTTGATAGTTGATAGAACAAATAGACCATCAGAAAGGATACAGAAAATTTCAAACACTTTCAATCAGCTTAACCTATTTGACATTTATAAAACAGTCCAACCAACAAAAGTAGAACATTATTATTTCAAGTTCACAAGGAACTGTCACCAAGATAAACCATATTCTAAGCCATAAAATAAGTCTCAATAAATTTAAACTACATTCTTTAACCACAACAGATTCAAATATGAAATCAGTAACAGAAAGGCATCTGGAAAATCCCTGATCATTTGGAAATTAAACAACATTTAGATCATTTTTGTCAATTGAATGAAAATGATGAGAAAGCCTTATAGATCAGAGCTCGTTGTTATTAGATGGAGTAACTTCTGATATTCTTAATTTATTTTTATATTGTTTTCCCGAAGCTCAGCATTAAATATTTAAAGATTTTTTGAGACTAGTCAAAATTCTACTTTCCAGATAGATTGAGCATAATGTTATGAAACAAGTGTTATTCCTTTCGTATATTATATATTATCATATGTCTTTTCTCTCTCTTTCTCTTTCTCTCTCTCTCTCTCTCTCTCTCTCTCTCTCAGATAGGGAGGGAAAAGACCCTCTGTGGAGCATGCTGACTGAGTTTATTTCAACTTATTAATACTAGACTAAGTGACCAAACATACAGCTGAGCTGGTATATAATGAGACCATACATGTTTACAGAGTGCCTGTTTTTGACATTTAGGGATTCACCCAGCTGCCTGCAGAGAAATGATTAAAGATAAGACTCAACATCTTGTATTACTTTGTGTAGAACATATTAATTTATTCCAAGTCAACACATATTTATTAAGCAACTACTATAGTTGTATAGACAGCAAAGAAATCAGTAATCAGTGTTTATTTCACACTCTGAAGAGACTTTTAATCATGTAAGTACATAGTCAAGTATAAGACAGAACAAGAAAGGTGTCTTAAATAAGGTAGGTACAAAGTGTTGTGGGGATCCAGAAGATTATGGCTCCTTGGGGGAGATCTGGGCCTTAAAGGACAAGTAGTCTTTAGTCCTTGCACAGAAAGGTTCTTGAGGTAAAGGAGGCAACAGTTGATGTTTCAGAGAAAGCATCATCAATAAACACACACACACACAAGTGCTAGCTGTATTAAGGGAATACTAAATCACTTACTTTATCTGGAGTTCAGATTCCTTCACACTATATTTAGAGCAACAGTGGGATAAGATTGGAAAGGTATATTGGGGGCTTATTCAAGAGGAACTTAGAATATGGAACTGGGTATTTGTAATTCAAAGGACATTGTTAATGTAGAGATGTTCACATTAGTTTACCAGAGCTATCACTATTCTAGGGAATATACGCTAACCAAATGCCCCCAATCTCTCTTCACATATAATTTTGTCATCTATAATGGATATATATCATTTAATTATATGGCTGTACCAACATATATGTAATCATTCACCTGTCGTTGAACCTATAGGTTGTTTCTAATATTCTGCTTTGCAATAATATTATAACACTCTTCTTTTGCTAATTTTTTTGCATTGCTTCTATAGGCTAGAATCTTAGATATTAAACTGATAGGATAAGATATAAAATAATTTAAGATTGCTGATATATGTTTTAAAATTAATTATTTGCTCAAGCATTTGTGACAATTTACAGTTCTAATTGAGGTTTTAAATTTAGTAGTTTGTAGGTATTTTAAGTTTTGCCCCTGAATTCTTTATAGGTGCTGATAAGCCTTTGGTAAGTTTTACTCCATGAAAGACTATTACTGAAAAAAACGTAATCTCAATAAAAGAACTTTAATAAGCTTGACTAAATATTTAGAAAGCACATTGTGTTCAGTGAAACTTTGTATATAATGAATAGAATAATAAAAGATTATGTTGGATGACTAGTCTGTAATTGCCTCAAGGAAAGCATACAATGAATAAGTTATTTTGGTACTTCCTCAAAATAGCCAACACAATAGGGAAATGGAGAAAATGTACTCTGAACACCATGAAAAGGGAACCTGAAAATCTAATGTGTAAACTTGGAGAAATGACATTAGAAAACGAAAGCAACAAAAGAGAACACTCTCCAAAATAATCTGAGATGCATGAAAGGCAAACATTCACTAGAGCTGGAATTTCCCTAAGTCTATGCAGGGATAAGTAGCATATTTGACCTTCACCATGATTATCAAGCACTTCTTTGGAACTGTGTTGGTGCTGCTGGCCTCTACCACTATCTTCTCTCTAGATTTGAAACTGATTATCTTCCAGCAAAGACAAGTGAATCAAGAAAGTTTAAAACTCTTGAATAAGTTGCAAACCTTGTCAATTCAGCAGTGTCTACCACACAGGAAAAACTTTCTGCTTCCTCAGAAGTCTTTGAGTCCTCAGCAGTACCAAAAAGGACACACTCTGGCCATTCTCCATGAGATGCTTCAGCAGATCTTCAGCCTCTTCAGGGCAAATATTTCTCTGGATGGTTGGGAGGAAAACCACACGGAGAAATTCCTCATTCAACTTCATCAACAGCTAGAATACCTAGAAGCACTCATGGGACTGGAAGCAGAGAAGCTAAGTGGTACTTTGGGTAGTGATAACCTTAGATTACAAGTTAAAATGTACTTCCGAAGGATCCATGATTACCTGGAAAACCAGGACTACAGCACCTGTGCCTGGGCCATTGTCCAAGTAGAAATCAGCCGATGTCTGTTCTTTGTGTTCAGTCTCACAGAAAAACTGAGCAAACAAGGAAGACCCTTGAACGACATGAAGCAAGAGCTTACTACAGAGTTTAGAAGCCCGAGGTAGGTGGAGGGACTAGAGGACTTCTCCAGACATGATTCTTCATAGAGTGGTAATACAATTTATAGTACAATCACATTGCTTTGATTTTGTGTATATATATATTTATCTGTGTTTTAAGATTGTGCATATTGACCACAATTGTTTTTATTTTGTAATGTGGCTTTATATATTCTATCCATTTTAAATTGTTTGTATGTCAAAATAAATTCATTAATATGGTTGATTCTTCAAATGGGTGTATTTTCATACAGGCTGGCTGGGTAGATACAATAAAATATGCCACTAATGTAAAAATACTTTCCTTAACATAGAACTCCATTGCAATGATTTGCTTATTTGCCAGAAATTGCTAGAGACAATGAGAAATATTGGGAATAATTTGCATTTTAAGATTTGAAAATATTATTACACAGTGAATATTTACATTACAGGAGACACAATAGAAATATGGTGAAAGGACATGAACAGTTTGCAGAGAAAAAAAACTACATTAAAAGAGGTTCAATCTCACTCATGATAATAGAAATACAAATTAAATAGCATGCATGCCATTTATAGTACAACCACTATGGAGGCAATTAGGTGATATCTATTACAGATGCATGTAGCCTTTCATCTATAAATTCTAGGCCTGGAAATGTGTCCTATAAAAATACTTGCCCACAGCTGGGCGTGGTGGCTCAGGCCTGTAATCCTAGCACTTTGGGAGGCTGAGGAGGGTGGATCACAAGGTCAGGAGTTCGAGACCAGCCTGGCCAATATGGTGAAACCCTGTCTCTACTAAAAATACAAAAATTAGCCGGGCATGGTGGCGGGCACCTGTAGTCCCAGCTACTCGGAAGGCTGAGGCAAGAGAATCACCTGAACCTGGGAGGTGGAGGTTGCAGTGAGCCGAGATCATGCCACTGCACTCCAGCCTGGGCAACAGAGTGAGACTCTATCTCAAAACAAAACAAAACAACAACAACCACAACAACAAAAACTTGCCCACGTGTGAAATAACTTACAAACAATATTATTCTCTGCAGCACTATTAGTAATACCAAAAGTCAAGAAACCATCTCGATTTTCCTAATTAGAGACAGTTGAGGCATATTCATATAAAGGAACACTATTCAGCTGGAGAAACAAATGAGACGGTATTTCTTTTTAAAAAGTTGAAAATAGGCAAGATACAGAGCAGTGTACATAAAATGCTACATTTGGGGTGAAAATGTTAAATAAAACTTACGTTTGTCCTTACTGTGTATAAATAAAGAATAAGAAATAAATTACAATGATTACCTGTATTTAGGAGAAGAAGGAAGACTGAAGAAGGAGATTAGGGTGGGAGAGATTTTATAGCTCCTCTAAAAATTTTTATATTAAATTGTGTGAATATTACATATTAAGATAATAATTTAAAATGTATCTAACGAGTCACAGTTATCAGAAATATGCATGAGGGAGTCTGGCTGGTGAAGGTCAAAAGGAACAGGAGACTGAATTAGCCTGCCCCTGGTTGGGATGTCTGCTTGGAGGAGGGCTGGAGAGAAGCACACCCGTGCCAAGGGAGAGGGTTCCTGCTCCTGGGAGATGCCAGTGATGGAGGGATTCCAGCTCTTCTAGCCAGGAACTCTCAGAAGTCACCACGGAACAACGTGGGGGCAGAGAAACTAAAGTTGAGGCTTGGTGGCTATCCCACTTTCGTCCACTGTAAGGGAGCAGAGCCACAGCCCAAAACTCTGATGCTAGTTCTACTACCATGTGTCATGTTCTACGTCAGATGCATTGCATAATTGGAGGTAAAAGTTAGTAGTAAATGTAAAAACTTAGGAACGAAGCATACTCCAGTTCAGTTTAATTAATGCAAATGAGTAATGGCTGCTACTTTAGACTTGGTTTGAAAGGGAAGAGTAGGAACCGAATAGGATCCTGAAAGTGAGACAGTCACCTGCAATAGTGAAGAAGGGTAAGGAAGCAGAGGCTGTCAATCAGAAGCAAGTCTTTGCTGACTTCACATTGCAGCCAGGGGTTGATCTGTTTACCTTCAAATTCACACAAAGGTAGTGAAGTGGAGGAAGGAGAAATACCACAAGGAACTGCAAATATAAGTTACTTTTCTTCTCATGGTCTAGAAAATTTTTTGTTGTTCTTTAAACCAGGAAGTTTTTGGAACCAAATCCTTCATTTAACACATTATCCAATTTTCAAATTGACCTTACCAAGTGCCTTCTGTAATTATTTTTTTCTCAAGTGAGAACAAGACTGTAAAGGTGAAATAACATGCTCAAAGTAATGTAGCAAGCCACAGAGCTTGCAGATACCAGAGCAAAGATCTTATCCCAAGTCAGCCTGACTCAAAAGCCTGCACTGTGTTGTTGACAACTCAAACCTGAATAGCATTGTGAAATATCACTGCAAAATAATAATAACAATAATAATAATTTTCTCCTAGCTTTCTTTATTCAAGTTTACAATGGTCTCTGAAGTCTTGAATTAAAGAAAAGATATTTTCCTTTCTCTTGACATTGCTTCCTTAAGAACTGAGAACAGAATGGAGGAACTGTCAAATGGAAACGTTTAGAAAATAATACTCATATTTAGAAGTTTAAACTAATACTTTATATACTAATGTTTTCCCAAACATTTAGGTTTATTAAGTTGATATCCTGTTGTATAACCACCTCAATGCCTAGCACAAAATAAAAAATTGTTACTTCTAAATATGTGTGCCCTTTTAAAACTCCAAAACCAGAGTTCTAAACTTGGGAATATTGGGAAGGAGAGACGTATTAAAAGATTGGACTCCTGGCTTAGTAGCACATGGAAAGGCTTGGAGTATGGGTAGGTTCATTTGTATTTGCAGGCTGAGTTATATTTTTGTTACATCTATATGTATTGAGCTAAACAAATCATTAAATCCAAAAGCAGGTTACAAAATAATAACAGCATCATCATATTTTCTACAAATAAAACATTCATGAAAAGTATATGAAAAGAAATGCATGAAAATGTTCATAGTACTACTGTCTTTGGGATAGAATTTACATTCACTTAAACTTTTTGGATTAAATATTTCTCCCATGAATAAGGATTCCTTTTAGAACCAGGAAAAAAAAATTATTATATTTTTGAAATTTAAAAAAAGAACAGGCTGGGTGCAGTAGCTCATGCCTGTAATCCCAGCACTTCGGGAGGCCAAGGCAGGCAGATTGCTTGAGCCCAGGAGTGTGAGATCAGCCTAAGCAACATGGTGAGATCCCATCTCTACTTTAAAAATTAAAAACAACTCTTGTAAAGGGCACCTGCTGTAAGTTAAGTCCCACCTCTAACATGAATCAGAATCACCTGGAGGATTTGTTAAAACCCTGATTGCATGGTCCCATCCCACTGTTTCTGATTCAATAGGTCTGTGGTATGGCCTGAGTAATTCCATTTCTAACAGTTCTCACATGATGCTGTTGCTGCTGGTCTTGTGACTACACGTAGTAAGCCGTACCCCTACTTCTTGATAGCCTTGGTAAGTTTTTAAGAGATGAAGGCATAGTTTTTTTAAGGCTACTGATCTCATATTTCTTATGACATCTGGAGAAAAGTTAGCACCCTAGATAGGAGTTAGTTGATGAAGATATATTTTTTTTCTATCACTGCCTTTTCACAGCAGCAAATCAGACATTTTCCTTATTAAAGAAGCTGTATGTAGCAACTGTCATATCCTAGGTGCACCCCATGACAATATCTGCCTTTTAAGGAAAATGGACTAAAGCAAGTTTTGTTTTGTTTTGTTTTCTCTAAGGTTTCTGGTCCTCATACCGTGTGGTTGAGTGAAATCAAAACTTCCACGATAGCAATGCTGATTGGACAAAGAATGTGTTGTGGACACAAAACCAAACTCTGGAGGACAGAGGATTCATTCCAAGGTGAAAAATGGCAAACTTATCCAGTGATCTCCTCTATAGAGAAGTATAAATGTTTGGTAAATAGAGTTGGGGGCCATTTGTGGAATTGCCTTTGGCTAAAGTCATTTAGCCCAAGTTTTCTACTCCTCCCTAGGGTCTGCTTGTATTCAATGACTGGTCTACGTGGGGGTGTGAAGTCCCCTTACTCCACCTGTGAAGAGTCTTCCCAGTTTCAGACCACCCTCCCAGCCTCCTGTTATTGGCTAAGGCCATTTTGTGACTACACTGCAGGTTAGCTTTCCCCTTTGCCTAATCGTCCTGCCTTTTCTTCTCACAAATGTGATTCCATAGCTCTCTCCAATAAACTTGCATAAGAATCCTCATCTCAGAATTTGTTGTCTGAGCTTCAATTTAGGGCCACAGAAAACCTAAGCTCATAAGCTGTTTCTTTTGCTAGCTACATATTCTTTCCCTTATATGTGTTAATAACATTTCTGTTATTCATGATTCACTTAAAATTTTTCCCTTCACGGAGAGCCTTTATAGTCTGATTTGTCTGAACCTATTTGCTACTTGCCCATAGCACAAATCTTACCATGTCACTGACCTCATTGTACTGTAATGGGTTACTTCTCTTTCTTCCAACTAGAGTATTACCTACTTTGTAGTAAGGACATGGCTTCTTAACTCTTTAGCACATTATTCAACATTTAACAGGGACACTCTAAATATTGAATGAATGCAGACTTTTTAAAATATAGCATTAAAGGAAAGAAGGGAGATACCAGTACCATATTGTCATGGCCAATTAGACATATGAGGAGACTGTCTAGAAATGAAGCCTTTCTTGTTTGTGTGGTGTGCTAAGAAGTTAAGTTCTGATGTTTGTTTTTGAGACTCTCCATTATTCCTGGATGGACCATTTAGATATGCTACTTCTTAGAGTGAAAAATGAAGTATTTATCTTTTTCCAGTGAAATGGTGGGTTTTACACTTATATAGCAAGGGCACAATAAAATAAGAACATAATGTGTAGGGCAGAAGTCCAGATGGGAGCCTCTCTTCTAACTAATGGTTCTGATCATCTTAGACAATGCTTTCCTGAACTTTTTTTTTTTTTTTTTTTTTTTTTTTTTTGAGACGGAGTTTCACTCTTGTTGCCCAGGCTGGAGTGCAATGGCATGATCATGGCTTACTGCAACCTCCGCCTCCTGGGTTCAAGCGAATTTCCTGCGTCAGCCTCCAGTGTAGCTGGGATTACAGGTGCCTGTCACCACTCCCAGCTAATTTTTGTATTTTTAGTAGAGACAGGGTTTCACCATGTTAGCCAGGATGGTCGTGAACTCCTGACCTCAGGTGATCCACACACCTTAGCCTCCCAAAGTGCTGAGATTACAGGTGTGAGCCACCGTGCCGGGCCGACCCCACTCTTATGATGTGTCTTTCCTCCCAGTCAGCCGGGGTTGATGGTTGGTTATATCTTCAACTGCCAGGTAATACAGAAACCATTAGCACCATCTTGAGCAGTTCTAAAAGGATCTGTTTTTTGCTCAGCTTTTTAAAAAAACTTAAATTATGAAAATATTAGAACAGTACATGCCAATGGCATAAATGGCTCAATTTTACAATTTTATAAAATATAACACTCTTCCCATTATTCTAGTCAAAAGGCCACTCATTTGTTGTCCAAAATAGGTGGCCACTAGCTATTAATAAAGATTTGGTGGCAATTTTCTTCATTTCTTTGGATTTTATACATGAAGCATTATGAGTAGGCAGAAGATAGCCAGCATGTAGTAAGTGTTTAGAGGTAAGTAGCTAGGGTTACGTAGTAAGTATGCAGGAAGGGACCATAACACAATAACAGTCCTATGAATTTTGCCTTCAATGCAAAAAGAATCCAGTTTCTTAGAGGTGTGAAAAGCTGTTCAGTCAATTTAGGTAGAGATGTTTATCTCTTGGAAAGGATGAAGTGAGGTTTAAATAGAACAAAGGACAGGATTCCGTTGACTAATAAATCATGTAACTTTAGTCTACATAAGAGAGGTAAGCATACATTGTTTTAGTGAAATTTATTCCAAGTTATGTTTCAATATAAGCCTTACACAAAATAAAATATAGATCCTTGGAGAAAATTTAATTACTCTAAGTAATTAACTCTAAGATGAACAATGCAGTTACCAATCTGTATGAAAACATTTGGGATCAAAGTGAATTTATTTTGAAAGCACTGAGAATTGAATTCTTAGCTGGTGTATTATTCAGTGTATCAGATCTTTTTAAAAAAGTAATAGTTCCTAATCCACTCTCATTACTTTAGACGGAGGAATGAGTATCCGAGAAAGAGGCTAGATGAAATTGGAAAGAAATAAGCATATTTCCAGACTCAATGGTGGGATTTGAGGAGACATACTTTGAAGGACCCATTTGTGCCTAGTAGAGGGGGAAAAGAAAGATAATACACTCTGTGGATGGGATAGAGATCAGGAGCAGAAATAACTAAAATAATAAAAATGTACCTGAAATGCCTCTGGCTAAGTGGGTTCTTATTATGGGTTCAAATTAGAGAGGCAAAGAGAGGATTCTGTACATTTCAGCATTTATGTTGCAGCAGTCTGCAGGAATTGTAATTGAAGACACAAGATTAAGAGTCTCATCAAGAAGGGATTTTAGAGACTTCACTAGTAGGTTCATGCTGTAATTTCTAGCACAAAGTTTCCTTGGAGCACTTGGGACTGTCTGAGGGGTTGAACATAAACAAAATAAAACAAAACCAAACAAACAAAAAACACGTACGGTGTGGTGGGGAGGGAGGGAAGGTGGGTTACTGGGCAGTGGGAGCCATAGGGCTTAGGGTTTCAGGGCATGTATGTTGGGGAGGGTGGGAGAAGGTGGCTGAAAAAACAAAACACAACATGTGATGTTGAACACACACACACACACACACACAGAGTAGAGTGCAAAGTTTGAGATAAAAGATTTTTTTTCCCTAAATCATCTCTTTTAGATTGCCATGTACTGTCTTCTGCTACTAATAATGCCTGACATATTAAAAATCAAACAAAAAAAATAAAAAACACTAAATGACCTTCTCGTGCTCAACACTCAGGTAAATAGCTATGAAGGTTGAGCCAAGGGGTAACCTTAGTGTTACACCCATGGCTTTGTCAAAGTTGGCCTTCTACTGCTAAGCAGAGTTATTGTGACTGGACCAGGTGTGGATATAACTCTTTTCTTCCTTAGAATGGGTTCCTTTTTAGGATAAACAACAAACCCACTCTAAGACCATGATGCAAGTCCAGACAGGTCTAAGTCCAAGGACAGCACAGTTTAGGCTCAAGCTAAGGATGTTCAGTACGTGGGAAAAAATGTAAAATATAATCCATTATATAAATATGTCTAGACAATTCATATGATGTCATCAGATCCTGGATATACAGCCAATGAGCTGTGAAACCTATATCCAATAAAATCATGTTTTTGAAGAAATAGATATACCCCTACTGGAGTATTAAATCTGCTCCAGTCCCACTTGCTCCCTTGACTGGGCTCAAGGTTACAATCTGGACAAGAATGAGATCTTCAAGTGCCTGTATGAGAATCTTGCCTCTGTCATGACTAGAAGACAGGAAAGAATCCAGATTTCCTTAGGGGCTGATGGAAGATAGCTACCTGCCGACAAAAGATCATGCTACTGTGTCCCCTGCGAATAGCACCAGCAGATATTCAAGCCTTTTGTGACACAGAGATCTCATGCTAGTTGAGATGAAACCTGGATGGAGAAATTTCTTACTGGGCCTCACCAGTAGATGGACACCTAGAGGAATTAGAGATAGGAAACAAAAAGAAGCCTCCCTCCTGAGAAGTGAGCATGTTATTCTGCTTCTCTATGCCTCAGGTCATTCAGCTCTTGAGTATAATAAAAACAGCCCAAATCATTGGATGGTTACGAGGATGAATTGAATTATAAACACTTCAGAACAATGCCTGGCATGCTCAATAAGTAGAAAACATTATACCTAGTATACCAAAATGTAGGAAACAAATGCAAATCTATTAAATACTAGAAATATGTGTATGTAAAACATTTTTAAATCTTCAGACAGGAAAGCTCTTTCTGAGTAATACGAAAACTATGGCCACAATGGAAAAAAGAAATACATTTTAACACATTAAATGGAAAAAATAATCTATCCAGCAAAGGGCCATAAAGAAAATTCAAATCACATGGAAAAAAAACCCTTAAAATATGTGAGTATTAATATTTTAAATAAAAAGTTCAAATATTTTAAGAACCTGATAGAGATATGAGTAAGAAATATAGAGGCAGTTTACAAGAAGCCTAAATAGCTGTGAGTGGATAATATGCCAAATAATATGCCTCTCATTTCAAATAAATGAAAGATCTGATGAACAACAAAAAGATTACTTGGTGATGGTTGGGGTAAGAGTAGATACAGTAGAAGTATAAAATTTAAAAACACTTATAGTTAATTTAGTAAAATCTACCAAAATTATTAAACCACCAGACCCAGAAAATGCAGCCCTAGGTATTTATATTACAAAAACACTGTCCATATGCCAGCTCAAACATATATACAAATTTATTTATTGAAGCCTTATTTATACAAAAGACAGTTGTAGTGAAATTAATATGCTATTATAGAGGATTGGTTAAGTCAGCAATGGTCCCTTTGTATTACAGAATACCATACAGTCAATCAGTCTAATTAGGTAAAGAATATTCATTTACATCCAAACTTGTTCATAGTATGTTGAATGGTGCTGAGTGAAAACGCAAGTTAAGGAATAAGAGTGATTACATTGATGAGGAAACAGAGGGTAGAAATGAAATTTTAAAATTCTCTTTTAATTTCTGGAAACTAAATATCTCGTTTTCTCTTTTTTAAATTCTTAACTATCCATTTAAGTTGACTCGGATTGTATCCAGCATTTCTATTTTCATGAAGCAAGGGAGATTTATCATAGCTTAGTTTCTACTGTGGTTGGTACTGGAAGACAACACCTGCCTTTGGTATCACCAGGGGACGACGTGGAGGGACCACTTCACTGGCCACTATTAAAAAGTGAAGGTGAAACAGATAGAATATTGGATAAAAATCATATTTTCTAATAAGTAAATATGAGAATTTTAATATGTTTCTCTTTTAAAGAATAAACACAGTGATAGAGCTTTAGAAATAATTAAAATTCCAATTCCTGGAAATTGATGTCCTCTTTACTATATGGTTTTTTCATAGTCGTTTATGGATGAGTAAAGCACATTCTTATTTTTTTCTCTAGCACCATTCTAGATCTTGGAGCTATGTTTTTGCACCTCGTGATATTGACTTATTTTCTCTTTAAAGCAAAAGTTTGCACTAAGAAAGCCTCCTTTAACCCAACAGCTTGCTCTAAACTTATCTTTAGCTGATCCAGCAATTGCTGAATAAGTTACAACAGCAAGGTCTCCACAAATCTCTATTCAGTAGGAAGTCACACTCTTGGATTAAATTAAAATGAAGGAAAAAACTGCTTGAATGTACCTTATAGAAGAAAGATATTGAGAAAAGGTCCTTTGGTACAGAGTCAGAAAAGATTTCCTACTTGTAGGGATTATGAACCCAAAACAGACCTCTAAGAAGGAGGCATTTTGGATGAATAAGAATGGTCCCATGACAATAATCTCGAAGCCCATTGTGATGTTCTTAGACTAACGAGGTCAGGAAGCTCAGAAGGTAAGGAACTTATTTACGTCTGTAGCTTATTTGCATGTTACTTGAAGTATTTGCTTGTTTTGTGTCATTTTTAAGAGTAGACACAACTTATTAGCATTTGGTAAAGTCATTTTATTTCACTTATGATCTGAAGAAAACCCATAGTTTTGGCTTAAAGGCATAAATTCTACCAATGGATTTATGCTTTAACTGGAAGTAATATATTTGAAATATATCTTGACATATTTTCTATTCTTTGAAATCTGATTTTTCCTTGGTAGCTCTTCACTCCCTTTCCCAACCCACTCTCCCTCCTCTCCCTAGGGAAGGAGAAGTTAAATGTACATAGGAAAGGGGAAGAAGAGGAATAGCCACAATTCCTATCACATAGGAATGTGAGATAAAGGCCTTTCTGGTGCTGGGTAGCATTCATTAGCAGAGAAAGAGAGGAGGGAAGATATAGAATAGTATGGAGTAGCAGTGTCCTCAATAACCTCTTCCCCTGGTGACACCTTGGCAGGGGCAATGGATATCCAGATTAATCCAAGGGTGGGGTATTGTTCCTGGGTTTTCAGGGTATTGACTACCATATCTCTAGGAGACAAAGCATGTTATTCCAGTTTCCAAATGTAATTCCTATGTCAGATTTATGTGGGCCAATGGTGAGATGAATGGGCTCTATCAAGTACATTCAAATGCTAGGCCCTTTCCATTTTCTTCAATATGTGGTGTCCAAGGTTGCCATAGAATGGAAAGTGAGAAAAGAGAATCACCCATGAGAAATTTACATGAGCCAAGCCATCAGAGGGCCATGACATCTGTCCATATTGTATAGGTAAAAACTTAGTCATATGTCCTTGGCTAACTATAAGGAAAGCAGGGTGTAGCCCTGTGTCCAAAATGAAAATAAATTGGATTTGGTGCTCACCAGCAGTGACTTTGCTACATATCGACCTTCAGGTCACCAAATATTAATGTTTCTCTTTGCCCCCCATGTACGGCACGCTTATTCTAACTTGAAGGGACCAATCCAAAGTATTTTCTAGTAATTCCATCCAGCTCAAAGCTCAGAGTCTTTGGGTCATATGGAGTCCTCTTCATAATAGCTGGATATGACTCTGTGTAGTCTGAATGTAGAATGATCACAACAAAGACATGCATTCAGAATTGCCATGAATGGGAAACACAGCAGTTTTTATATCCTACTCGTAGGATTCTGAATTCCCTTGATTCTCTTTTAGCTCTCTGCTTGCATACTGAAAAATACTTTCTTGAACTCATATCTTTCTAAAGTTACTTGCCAAATGCAGTCAACAATTTTTCACACCTACTACTAATATCGTTTTTCAACCTCTACCCTTAGAGGTACAAGCTCAGTAGGCATATAATCTGCTTTCTAAATTAACGCAAGTTACAATTTTGTAAAAGTTCATTGTTGCCTAACATAAATAATTTGTATAAATGAAATTATTTATTACAATGAAATTATTGACTAAAACAATATAATACACATAATTGAATAAAACATGACTGAATCGTAACTTTTGAAAAATTTTTATTCATTCCTTTCATTTATTAACTTATACGCAAGTATTGTACGAATATATGTACAATGAAAAGACAAAAGGGACAAAATTTATTAATGAGCAATAGGAACAGAAATGATCAATAAAGTTGTATTCACAGGCTTTCTGATTACAGGAGCTTTCTCTAAGGAATATAGTGAGCTTTCCTGATTGATTCTTGGCCATGATGATGTATGGCATTGAAAAGAAAATAACTGGAAAGAATTTAAAGTCAATAGAGTTTTTCACAGTGAAAAGGAGGCAGGAAGAATGGGTCCAGGAAAGGACATAGGGGGAGGAAGAATGAGTCCAGGAAAGCAGAGGCATCATCTTGTGCTGATCTATGCCCTAGGTGGAGCAAAAGGTACAGCCCATCTCCTAGCATAGGTCTCTTTCCTAAACTTTCCCCCATGCTGATTTTATCCAAATGCATATGTTTAGCCTGGAAGTCATTCCCATGTTAAAAAATTATATATCCAAGTGCTCTCCATTTGAAACCTTCATTTTAGACCTAAACTCAAAGTAAGGTTATTCAAAACCAATCTCCTGGGGGAAAAATGATTTCTCTTATTCTTTTCCAGTTCTGTTAGTTGCAGTTCACATTTATAGGTTCTCACATAGTCATTCTTGACTCCTCATTTTCTCTCACATCACATCTCCAGTCTGAGTGCAATTAATGTTTTTGCACCATTAAGAGTTTCCAGGTAGGAACTTCATATAGCTCTTTATTTTGAGCATGTGTCTTAATCCACTGAGTTATAGTAACAGATTTTTTTAGAATTCTTGGATTTCTAGAAAAACAATACTCAATTAAGATTTAATATTAACCTGTCTCTAGATTATTTTTCTGATATTTTACTTGTAGCTATACGTAGATAATTTTCTATCTGTAGTAACTTTTTTTTTGTTTTGTTCTAATTCAGCCCTCTTCTATAATCAGTTTTATACTAGTCTCAAAAATAATTTTGGTGATTTTCTAATTTTTCATTTCCCTTGTCAAAAATTGTTTTTAATTGTTAAGAATTCCTTTTAATTCTAAAATAAGCAGGCGCTTCAGCATCAGTGTTTTTAAAACTTTTCAGATAATTCCAAAGTGAAGCCAAAGTGGAAACCACTGCTCTAGGAGATTGTATAAAGGAATTGTGAAACAAGTTATTCCTGTTATAATTAGAAAACTTCTCTCAGGGATCTGCTCCATATGGAGGTGTTTTGTGGTCACCTAGGAGAGATTATCAACCCTTGACCAATGATTGGATGTTTAGACCAATCCAATGGTGCCATTTGCCTACCAATGAAGTTTGAAATTTTACTACTCACATGCACTGGAACAATGTTTTTTTAAATTTTTTTTAATATATTTTCTTTAGATCTGAATCTGGATTTTGCCAGAGACTGGGTTTTGTTGTTGCTGCTATTGCTTTTCTTTTTTTTTTTTTTTTTTTTTTTTTTTACAGGGATTAAAGGGAAAGAGTCAGGTAGTATGCATAGCTTGAAACTTCATGCTGTTAGGAGGTGGGACTGTGATCGGGTTCCCCCAAGTAGACCAGGGTCTGCGGGGTTTGGAATTCTCACAAGTATGAGGGGACAGAAGTTGGGTGTAGCCCAGCTCTCTTGTTGGTCTCACAGCTGGTAGGGTAGGGGAATAGGTGGGATGGGACCAGAGAGCCTGTCAGAAGTAAAAATCAAATATGAGATCTTTCTCCTTATTACAAAAAGACTCTCCTGAGGATTCCACCTGTTTGCTTCTGGCTTTGTTCTTCACTTGTGGACAGAATGTTGTCTATAGAGATGAGGCTATAGAAAAACAAGGATAGGCATCAGCCCGCTTCTTTATGTCCTGGCCAATGACCACTATATGACCAACATTCAAAGGGCAAAGAATAAGCTTCTCACAGATTGAAGAAGACAGGATATACAATGTTAATGGATTGGAGGTTTCAATATTGTTAAGATGTTGATTTCTCAAAAAATCTCAATAAAATTGTAACAGATTTTTCTATGGAAATTAACAAGAAAATTCTGAAATTTACACTGGAGTACAAAAGACCTAGGCTAGACAAGTTTTAAAGAAAAGAACAAATCCAGAAGAGTAATACTAAGCTAGTCTGTCTGGGACAAAGATAAAAAATAAGTGGATCAGTAGAAGAGCATAGAGCCAAAATACAGGCCATATTTATGGTCACCTGATTTGTAATTAATATGTCACTGCAATTCAATAAGCCTAGAAGGTTTTTCTTAAATGTTGTGTGTCAACTGAATATCCATGTTACTCCCACCTCACTATGTACAATAAAGATGCATCATAGACCTAAATGCAAAAGCTAAACATATAAAAATGCTAGAAGAAAACATAAGAGCATATCTGTATGACATGATATTTATGTACTTGGTTACTGTAAGCAGTGTTTCCTTAAATAGGACAAAAGTGAAGTAACCATCAAATAAAATTTGATAACTTAGTCTTCATTAAGATTAATAACTTTAAGTGAATAAAAAGATCAGCTTCAATCTGAAAGATGTTATTTACAATACATTTACCCAACAAAGTAGTTGTATCTAGGATATATATAAAAATAACTAAAATAAAAAGAGAAATCAATATCAATAAGAAAAGGAGAAAGTGCTTACCAAAAAGAAAGATTGGAACAGGAATTTCACAAAAGAGACTATCCAAATGGCTCATAAAACTTGAAAAAAACAACACACTCAACATACATGAACAGTATGGATGATTTCACAGACATAACATTGAGTGAAAAAGCTAAATATAAAGAAAAACTAAAATGTGTTTTCATTTATAGAAAGTTCAGAAACTTCAAAAACCAATTTATGGTAATAGGAGGATACAAGAGTGGCTAGATTTATGATGTGATGTTCATTAAGAGGGAACAAAAGGAGCCTTATTTTTACCCTACATGACCAAATTGTCTTCATGTTATAACTTTAATTCCTCTTGCTTGTTTCATAATGTTTTACATTGTTATTATTTCACCACAATATTAAATATTTCAGGGGAAAGTAGACATTGCTGCCTTTTACCTAATTTTTTAGAAGAATATTTTTGTTTATAATTTCACTTGTTTAAAAAGAAACATGCCTGATCTCATTTGCACATATCTGTTTCTCATTAATTTGAAGTCTTAGAAATTATGACTGAATATAATTTCTTTGCAAATATCTCATCAAAATATTTGAGATGATAGTTTATTTTTCTTATTCAATATTGATGAACAGATTGTTTTAAATTGTTCCCAGTAGTTGGATCAAAAATCTATGTTACTGATCACCTTATCAATTGGAAAAACTAGTGTGGAAATAATTTTTAAAAATGTCTTCTATGGGTCTTTCAGTTTAAGTGGTAAATATATTTATGGGAATCTAGAATAAATAAATAACACAGAATAAAGTTTTAAAAGGTAAGCATAAAATCAGTGATATTAGCCTAATACTAGTTCTAGATTGTTATTTATTATCTAATCTGACCCCATTAGACCTTCCAATATAATTGTTTTTTAAGGGATATTTGGAAGCTTTTCCATCCTTATTTTTTATAACTTAGCTTTGTTCTCTGGTGTCTCTTTGATGAGCAAGGCATTTAAGCAGTTGAGTGTTGGTTAAAAAAAAAAGTCTTGGCTGGGTTCATTAATGATGAACATAACATGGCCTTATGTTAATTAACCAAATGTACTTACTAAGACACATGAATATCTAGAGTTATTTTGTTTCCTTACTGTTGATACACCTCATGTGCAAACACATTCCAGTGATGAATGCTAAATGTTATTCTGCCCTCTACTGGTTCAAACTGGACTCTCCCATTTAGATGCATTCCAGGAAAACAGCTTCAAGGTAGAATCTTTTTTTTTCTTTTTTTTTTTTTTAAGACAGGATCTTGCTGTGTTGCCCAGGCTGGAGTGGAGTGGCACAATCACAGCTCACTGCAGCCTCAGCCTCCCCAGGCTCAGATGATCTTCCCATCTTAGCCTCTCAAGTAGCTGGGACTACAGGTGTACACCATGCCTTTTCTATTTTTTGTAGAGAAGGAATTTGGCCATGTTGCCCAAGCTTATCTCAAACTCCTAGGCTCAAGGGATCCTCCTGCCTTGGCCTCCCAAAGTACTGGGATTACAGGCATGAGCCACCACACCCAGCTAAAGGTAGAATCTTAATGAACATTTCCCTTTATAAGCAAAACAAGTAAAACACCAGGAGAACAGAGCATGTGACCCCACCCACCCTGGCCACTGGCACTCAGGCTGTCAACAGCTGCCAGAGCTTCTGACCCAGTGTTCCTAATTCTGTGGGAACTTAAACAGTGGGTGCAGCCTCCTGTTTTCCCAGGAAGCATCTAGACAGCAGGGCAGGCATTCCCATCCACCCTTGCCACTGGTAGCCCAGATAAGCCATGTCCACTAGAACTTCTAGATTGGTGGTCCTATTTCTGCCTGAATTTGCAAAGCGGCACAGGTTCCTGTTGCCCCGGAAACACCTGCATGACAGGGAGGGTAGCCCCACCAACCCCCACCTCTCATAGCCAGATGGCCCACACCTGCTAGAACTTCCAACCCAGCGGTCCCACTTCCACCTGAACTCTGTGGACAGGTGTAACCCTGTGTTTCCCCAGAAAGCACACAGACAGCAGATTAGGGCTGACCTGGCATGGATACAGCATATCTGCCAATGGTGGCCCTGCCTAAGGGAGTCCTGCGGATCAAAACACCCAAAAAAAGAAGCACAGGCATGTAGGCAGTAATCGGGGGGGCTCCTCCAAGACCCAGGAGCAGACTAATATTGAAGCCTGTCAACTAAACCCAACTTATACCATAATCAAACCCCCAAGGGCATCAAAGAAAAAAAGAAAATATCCATCAAAAGGACAGAAACTTCAAAGATTGAAGGAACATCAGCCCACACAAATGAGAAAGAACCAGCACAAGAAAGAACCAGCAAAAAAGCCAGAGTTCCTTTTTTTCTTTCAAACAACTGCACTAGTTCCAAGCTGAGGAAAGAATCTCAGAGCTCAAAGACTGCCTCTCCTAAATAACTCAGTCAGACAAAAATAAAGAAAAATGAATAAAAAAGAACAAACAAAACCTCCAAGAAATATGGGATTATGGCAAGAGATGAAATCTATAACTCGTTGGCATCCCTGAAAGAAACAGGGAAAAAGCAATCAACTTGGAAAACATGTTTCAGAATATCATCCATGAAAACTTCCTCGACCTCACTTAGAGAGGCCAACATTCAAATTCATGAATTACAGAGAACCCCCACGAGATATTACACACCATCCTCAAGATATATAATCATCAGATTCTCCAAGGTCAAAATGAAAGAAAAATGTGAAAGGCAGCTAGAGAGAAGGGGCAGGTCATCTACAAAGGGAACCACATAAGGCTAACAGTGGACCTTTCCACAGAAATTCTGCAAATGAGAAGAGATGAGGGACCTTTAGGTAGCATTTCTAAAGAAAAAAAAATTCCAACCAAGAATTTCATATCCAGCCAAACTAGGCTTCATAAGTGAAAGAGAAATAAAATTCTTTTCAGACAAGCAAATGCCAAGGGAATTTGTTACTACCAGACCTGCCTTACAAGAGGTCCTGAAAAGAATGCCAAATATGGAAAGGAAAAAAACATCGCCAGCCACTACAAAAGCACACTTAAGCACACAGACCAGTGACACTATAAAGCAATGCACAAACAAGCCTGCTTTCTAATCAATTAATAGCATGATGACAGGGTGAAATCCACATATATTAATATGAACCTTGAAAGCAAATGGGCTAAATGCCCCACTTAAAAGGCACATTATGGCAAGTTGGATAAAGAAGCAAGACCCAATGGTAGGGTCTCTTCAAGAGACCCATCTCGAATGCCATCTGTATGCTCAAAATAAGGGCTGAAGAAAAATCTACCAAGCAAACAGAAAACAGAAAAAAGCAGGGGTTGCTATTTTAATTTCAGACAAAATGGACTTTAAGCCAACAAAGATCAAAAAAGATAAATAAGGTGAAATGGTTTGGCTGTGTCTCCATCCAAATCTCATCTTGAATTGTAGCTCCCACAATTCCCATGTGTTTTGAGAGAGAACTGGTGGGAGGTAATCGAATCATGGGGGGCGGGTCTTTCCTGTGCTGTTCTCTTGATAGTGAATAAGTCTCATAGTTTTATAAGGGGGGTTTATAGATTCTGATATAGTTTGGCTGTGTCCCCACTCAAATCTCATCCAGAATTCCCACATGTTGTGAGAGGGACCCAGTAGGAGGTAACTGAATCATGGGGGCAGGTCTTTCCCATGCTGTTCTCATGATAGTGGATAAGTCTCATGAGATCTGATGGCTTTATAAGGTGGAGTTTCCCTGCACAAGCTCTCTCCCTCTGCCTGCTGCCATCCATGTAAGATGTGACTTGCTCCTCCTTGTCTTCTGCCACGATCATGAGGCCTCCCCAGCCACTTGGAAGTGTAAGTCCATTAAACCTCTTTCTTTTGTAAATTACCCAGTCTCGGGTATCTTTATCAGCAGTGTAAAAATACACTAATACAGATTCCAGACCAAGTTGACTCTATTAAACAAAAACAAAAACACATATTTGTCCTAAACTTATAACTGGATAAATACTGAATATTATCATGTAGTATGAGGACGTTTTCACACTACTATGAAGAAATACCCACAACTGGATAATTTATAAAGAAATAAGATTTAATTGGCTCATGATTCTGCAGGCTGTACAGGAAGCATGATGGTGTCTGCTCAGCTTCTGGGGAGGCCTCAGGAAACTTACGATTATGGCCAAAAGGGAAGCGGGAGCAGGCACATCACATGGCCAGAGCAGGAGAGTGAGTGAGTGGGGAGGTGCTGCACACTTTTAAGTGACTAAATCTCGTGAGAAGTCACTTATTATTGTGAGGACAGCACTGAGAGGATGGTGCTAAACTATTAATGTGAAATCAGCCCCAATAATCCAATCACCTCCCACTAGGTCCCACATCCAACACTGGGGATTACAATTCAACATGAGATTTGGATGGGAACACATCCAAACTGTATCATGTGTGAAGTATTAATTTATAGCTCTAATCCTGAGCCTTGGTTTTACTTTTTTATTTTTGCATAGGAAGTTAAGCTGCCTCAGTCCTCTAGATTCTTTCTCTTTGTATGGTATTTATGGGACCACCTTTGGCAAATCAGCTCTTTAGTAACTGGACTCTGTCTTATTGACTGCATTATCCTCAGCACCAAGTCTAATGTACTCAATAAATAATTTTTACTAAAGCAATTTCTCAGATTTCCTCCTCATACTAAAAGGTGTTCATAAGTGACCACATTATTTTCCTTCATTAAGGCCATATTTGCTAGGATTATAATAGACAATGGCTAATATTTCCACTCTTCTCTTACTGAGTGTCGATAATGCTTATAGAGTTAATTGCCAAATGTGCTAGATATCTAGTTCCTTTAAGAAATATATGGCTGGGAATTCAAATGCAAGAGCAACATAATTTTCAGCTTTTGCATAGTACTATGTTAAACTATATTATGACTTCATCTCTAGTTTGCCCTCTACTTTTTTATAATAGAAATTAACCAGCCTGGTGTCATGTATAGAGCCACATGTCTAAACTAACTCTCCCTGATTCACACAGCTCACAGTAATTAGACACACTACTTTTTGAAGGTAGTAGTTCTGTGTCTCAAAATCATCATTTTTCCACCTTTCTTGCCTTTGTCAAGTGAGGCCGACTTCCCAGAGTGTGTGTGTGAGCTGTAAATTCATTTTCCATCACTCAGAAACCTAGGTTTCATGTCATTTGATGACATTTAGATGATACCATGATAAAATCAACATGTCTATATGAGGGTAGAGACCAGAAGGGAGCCGTTTTTTAAATAAACCAAGTAAATTTTAGTATTCATTATTTTTAATGATTTAACTCTTTATATTGTTAAACAATTAAAATGCTCAAAGTTTTGAAATTGAGACCAGAGTTTCCATAGTAAATGAGCTTTCTTTCTAAAAATATATTTTGCAAAATTAAGAACTTTTATTAGTTAATACAGTCAACACATTTTTATTGGATTTTAGAGTTCAACCTAATCATCATATCTTTCGAATGCAGGATAATTCTGCCAAAGCTATTTTTCTTAGTCTGTCAAACACTGGGAATGAAATGTTTTTCCCTTGTTCACTCAGATTGTTGGACCAAGTGAACTAGGAAACAAGTTGGGGTCATATGTATATTCCCTTTTCATGTGATATTGTACTGTGCAAATTTGTTTTGCCATTCCTGGACTTTTTTCATTTTCATTTTCAGCTTATGTCAATAAAGGAATGTAAATATGATGAAAACAAATGAAATGTACATTGTTTCTAGATAGTGTTGGGCAACACCCGGTGTCTTTCTTTCTCATTTCATTTTCCCAGAAAATAAAAGTGGTCTGATTTCATATCCCAATGCATGAAAACAAAAAGAAAACAATGTGTGTCTAAATGAGACTAGAATTTAAGAAGGAACACAATAGAAATTAGAAAATCTTTAATAAATGAAAATTAAAAGAAAATATACCAAAACCCATGCAATACAGTGAAAACAGTGCTAAGTGGGAAATTTACAGCTGTAAAAGCTGACACTAAAAAAAGAAGAAAGAGTTCAAGTCAACAATAGAACTTTGCACCTTAAGTAACTAAAGAAAAGTACAAACAAAACCCAAATCTAGCAGAAGAAAGGAAATAATAAAACTGGAGCAAAGATAAATAAAATAGAGAATAGAAGAGCAATTTTTAAAAATCACTGAAACTAAGAGTCGGTTTTTTTAAAAAAAGTTCAACAAATTGACAGACCCTTACTAGGATTATTTTAAAAAGAGAGAGAGAAGACTCATAAAACAAAAATAAGAAACACAAGAGGAGACACTACAACTGATGCCACAGAAATAAAAAAAGATCATAAGAGACAACTATGAACACGTATACTCCAACAAATTTTATAACCTAGAAAAAATGGATGAATTCCTAGAAACACCACTTACCAAGACTGAATCACAAAGAAATAAAAAATCACAATAGAACTATAAGGAGACTGAATCAATAATTAAAGCCTCTGAAAAAAGAAAAGCCCAGGACCAAATGGCTTCACTGGAGAATTTTACCAAACATCCAAAAAAGAATTAGCATGATCCTTCTCAAATTCTTCCATAAGATTATAGAGGAGAGAACACTTCCAAACTAATTTTATGAGTCTATATGGAGGCAAAAACCCTCAGCAAAATACTTGCAAACAAAATTCAACAGCGTATTAAAAGGATTATACACCATGGCTACATGGTTCAACATATAGAAATCAATGTAAGAAACTAAATAAACAGAATGAAGGGGGGAAAAGCATGATCACCTCAACTGATGGTGAAAAACCATTTGACAAAATTCAGTGTCCTTTCATGATTTAAAAATAGGATCAATAAACTAGGAATAGAAGGAAATTACCTCAACATGATAAGGGCTATTATATGAAAATCCCTCCATTAACATCATACTCAATAGTGAAAACCTAAAAGGTTTTCCTCTAAGCTCAGGAAAAAGGTAAGGATGCCATTCTCATCACTTCTACTTATCCATAGTATTTGAAGTCCTAGCCAGAGTCATTAGGCAACAAAAACAAATAATAAGCATCCAAATTATAAAGGAGGAAATAAAATGATTTCTGTTGGCAGAGGACATAGTCTTATATGTAAAAAATTCTAAAGATCACACACACACACACACACACACACACAGAGTGATAACTTATAAATGAATAGAGCAAAGTTTCAGGATACAAAATCAACAAACAAAAATCAGTCGTATTTCTATATACTAACAATGAATAATCCTAATAGGAAATTAAGAAAATACTCTCATTTACAATGGCATCAAAAAGCATAAAATATTCAGGAATAAAATTAACCGAGGAGGTGAAAGACATATCCACTGGAAACTATCAAATACTGCTGAAAAAATTAAAGATGACAAAAATAAATGGTAAGACATTTATTTATATCCATCATGTATTGGAAGACTTAACATTGTTAAGATCTTCATGTTCTCCAAAGTGATCTACAGATCTAAGGCAATCCCTATCAAAATCACAGAGGCATTTTAAAAATTTATTTATTTTATTATAATTTAAGTTCTAGGGTACATGTGCACAACGTGCAGGTTTGTTACATATGTATACATGTGCCATGTTGGTTTGCTGCACCCATTAACTCGTCATTTACATTAGGTATTTCTCCTAATGCCATCCCTCCCCCATTCCCCCACCCCACAACAGGCCCTGGTGTGTAATGTACCCCACCCTGTGTCTAAGTGTTCTCACTGGTCAATTTCCACCTATGAGTGAGAACATGCGGTGTTTGGTTTTCTGTCCTTGTGACAGTTTGCTTAGAGTGATGATTTCCAGCTTCATCCATGTCGCTACAAAGGACATGAACTCATTGTTTTTTATGGCTGCATAGTATTCCGTGGTATATATGTGCCACATTTTCTTAATGCAGTCTATCATTGATGGACATTTGGGTTGATTCCAAGTCTTTGCTATTGTGAATAGTGCCGCAATAAACATACATGTGCATGTGTCTTTATAGGAGCATGATTTATAATCCTTTGGGTATATACCCAGTAATGGGATCACTGGGTCAAATGGTATTTCTAGTTCTAGATTCTTGAGGAATTGCCACACTGTCTTCCACAATGGTTGAACTAGTTTAAATTCCCACCAACAGTGTAAAAGCATTCCTATTTCTCCACATCCTCTCCAGCACCTGTTGTTTCCTGACTTTTTAATGATCGCCATTCTAACTGGTGTGAGATGGTATCTCATTGTGGTTTTGATTTGCATTTCTCTGATGGCCAGTGATGATGAGCATTTTTTCATGTGTCTGTTGGCTGCATAAATGTCTTCTTTTGAAAAGTGTCTGTTCATATCCTTTGCCCACTTTTTGATGGGTTTGTTTGATTTTTTCTTGCAAATTTGTTTAAGTTCTTCATAGATTCTGGATATTAGCCCTTTGTCAGATGGGTATATTGCAAAATTTTTCTCCCATTCTGTAGGTTGCCTGTTCACTCTGGTGGTAGTTTCTTTTGCTGTGCAGAAGCTCTTTAGTTTAATTAGATCCCATTTGTCTATTTTGGCTTTTGTTGCCATTGCTTTTGGTGTTTTAGTCATGAAGTCTTTGCCCATGCCTATGTCCTGAATGGTATTGCCTAGGTTTTCTTCTAGGGTTTTTATGGTTTTAGGTCTAACATTTAAGTCTTTAATCCGTCTTGAATTAATTTTTGTATAAGGTGTAAGGAAGGGATCCAGTTTCAGCTTTCTACATAGGGCTAGCCAGTTTTCCCAGAACCATTTATTAAATAAGGAATCCTTTCCCCATTTCTTGCTTTTGTCAGGTTTGTCAAAGATCAGATGGTTGTAGATGTGTGGTGTTATTTCTGAGGCCTCTGTTCTGTTCCATTGGTCTATATCTGTGTTTTGGTACCAGTACCGTGCTGTTTTGGTTACTGTATCTTTGTAGTATAGTTTGAAGTCAGGTAGCGTGATGACTCCAGCTTTGTTCTTTTGGCTTAGGAGTGTCTTGGCAATGCAGGCTCTTTTTTGGTTCCATATGAACTTTAAAGTAGTTTTTTCCAATTCTGTGAAGAAAGTCATTGGTAGCTTGATGGGGATGGCATTGAATCTATAAATTACCTTGGGCAGTATGGCCATTTTCACGATATTGATTCTTCCTACCCACAAGCATGGAATGTTCTTCTATTTGTTTGTGTCCTCTTTTATTTCATTGAACAGTGGTTTGTAGTTCTCCTTGAAGAGGTCCTTCACATCCCTTGTAAGTTGGATTCCTATGTATTTTACTCTCTTTGTAGCAACTGTGAATGGGAGTTCACTCATGATTTGGCTCTCTGTTTGTCTGTTATTGGTGTATAAGAATGCTTGTGATTTTTGCACATTGATTTTGTATCCTGAGACTTTGCTGAAGTTGCTTATCAGCTTAAGGAGATTTTGGGCTGAGACAATAGGGTTTTCTAAATATACAGTCATGTCATCTGCAAACAGGGACAATTCGACTTCCTCTTTTCCTTATTGAATACCCTTTATTTCTTTCTTTTGCCTGATTTCCCTGGCCAGAACTTCCAATACTGTGTTGATAGGAGTGGTGAGAGAGGGCATCCCTGTCTTGTGCCAGTTTTCACAGGGAATGCTTCCAGTTTTTGCCCATTCAGTAAGATATTGGCTGTGGGTTTGTCATAAATAGCTCTTATTATTTTGAGATACGTTCCATCAATAGCTAGTTTATTGAGAGTTTTTCACATGAAAGCCTGTTGAATTTTGTCGAAGGCCTTTTCTGCATTTATTGAGATAATCATGTGGTTTTGTCTTTGGTTCTGTTTATGTGATGGATTACGTTTATTGATTTGCATATGTTGAACCAGCCTTGCATCCCAGGGGTGAAGCCAACTTGATCTTGGTGGATAAGCTTTTTGATGTGCTGCTGGATTCAGTTTGCCAGTATTTTATTGAGGATTTTTGCATCGATGTTCATCAGGGATATTGGTCTAAAATTCTCTTCTTGTTGCGTCTCTGCCAGGCTTTAGTATCAGGATGATGCTGGCCTCATAAAATGAGTTAGGGGGGATTCCCTCTTTTTCTATTGATTGGAATAGTTTCAGAAGGAATGTTCCATTAATTCTGTTCCATTAATTCTACTAAACCATATATTCCATCATTGGTCAAGGTCACCAGTGACTTCTGTTTTCAGATTCACTAGGATAGTTTGGTCTTCCTTCCCTGAAAGTACCACCATCCTTTCCTGATTAGTCTTTCCCTGATTCTTCCCTATTTTGTCTTCTAACTGCACTGGCTATCAGCCTCAGGGCGTTTTGCAGACTCTACTCTTCAGCCCTTCCTTTAACTGCTGAGGGTCTGCAGGATAAAGTTTATGTCCTCATCACATTCTCCCCTCTATTTATGTGACTACATCCATTCCCGTACCCCGATAATCAGACATAAAATAAAGAACCCCAAATTAACACCTTCCCCCATGGCATTCTAGACACATAATTCCCACCTGCCAATAAGACGTGTACTTACATATCTCCCATGCACCTTAGGAAGGATATCTAATATTTTTTCCTTCCAAGCACCATTTATACCTAAAGCTTCTGATGTGAGAACATCACTTTTCTTTACTTCTCTTTGTAGCATTTAACATAATTGAAATAATATAAATATTTGTCCTGTTTTTACGTCTCTTTCCCTCTTAGACTGAGAGAAACTGTGTTTGCTTTATTCACCTGTATTTCTTTAAGAAAACCCCACAGTTTGCCATTTACTCAATTTATACATATAATAGGAATGAAATGAATGAGTTAATACATTTTACCATATTTTCAATTTGGTTTACAAAAAGAGAAAGTAGACATTGTTTTTAGAATAGAAACATTTACAGAGTTTTCTTTGATATGAATTTAATAAAACAAAATGCAAACTTAATATGAAAAAGTGAATGTTTTATAAATTTTAATACGATGTGAAGATGAAAATATAAAATATATAAATATCATAAATACAAGGCATGAAAAAAAAGAAGGAAGATAAATAAACAGCATCAGGGCAGTTATCTCTGAGTTACGGATGCCCCAGGAGCTGAATGTTTTTGACATAAACTTGCTTTATGCTATTAATAAAGTATTTGCTAAAACTAATTCAATAATTTCTGATGAAACAGAAATGAGCTTTTTGAATATCCAAAGTCACATGTACAAGTGTGATATGGCAGATTAGTCAATGAGAATCATTTCATGATGAGCCCAGGTCTTCATCCTTACTTCTCAATCTTTCTTGCAAACTTGTGGATGAAAAGGATCTCATGATTTCCACTCTGACAACTTCCCAGGCACAATCTTTATTTCTTCTCTTTCAGGTAGAGATGGATTCCTGGAAATACCTCCTCAAGGCCAGTGTAGAGCCCTCAATCACCCACTGCCCCCAGCTTCTCCTTCTCCCATCTCCTGCACCAAGCAGGTCTCCAGGTGTTCCAGCTGCTGATGACGTAAAGTGTGGAGTTGGTCCAGGAAGGTCATGTTCCATGCAGCAGAGGAGCGCTTTGTGTGAGAAGTTGAAGACCTGCTGTAACACATCATAGAGGAAAGACATAGCCTGGGCCTTCTGCAACTGGCTGACTTCCACCTTCTCCTGGGGGAATCTGAAGTCACTTCTGTCCTTTAGACACAAGAAGGGAGAGATTCTCCTCATTTGGCCCAAAAGCACCAAGGTGTTCCTGCCTAGCAGGCCATGGTTCTGAGGCAGGTTATATCCTAGAGATCCAGAAGAGCCACAGCTGCACACCTCTAGGGCTGCCAGTAGAGGGAAGAGGAGGGCCATTGAGAAATCAGGATGCTTTTGGCCTGGTTGAGCTGAGGTCTTCATAGAACCTTGGATCCTAGGTTCTATGAAGACATTCTATCTATGCATGGCTTTAATGGAGCACAAATAGTTTTCATTTTTCTGAGCATTTCTCTAAATTTTTAATTCCATTTATTGTTTTCATTTACATGTCTTCTATATCAGCATCCACAACCTTTTGGCCACCAGTTTGGTGGAAGATAATTTTTCCACGAAAAATGGGGTCAGGGAGGGAATGCTTTCAGAGGCATTAGATTCTCATTAGGAGACCACAACCTAGATCCTTCGCATCTGCACTTCACAATAGGGTTCCTGCTCTTTTGAGAATCCAATGCCACTGCTGATCTGACAGGAGGCAGAGCTCAGGCGTTAATGCTTGTTGGTTGGCCTGCTTGCCTCCTGCTGTGCGGCCCTGTTCCTACCAGGCCAGGACCAGTACCCCGGTCCATGGATGGGGGTTGAAAAACCTTGTTCTATATGACCTAAAAGGAGGTCATCACTCTACACTCTTGATTTTTGCAATGGATGTTCAATATTCCCAGTAAACTTAAGATATATCAATCCAAATGAATATTGATCAATCAGATGAGAAACATCTTTGTGCTACTGTTAGAAGTATATACTTTTAGCCCAGATCCTAGCCTCCAGTTTTACCCTCCATTTTGCATAGGAAATCAGGATCCCTGGGCCCTATGGGTTTCTGTATTCAGTTAGGAAATTACCTATCTCTGGAAATTAAACTTTTTAGGACTATCTTTGTTTGATATTTGATTCACAGAAGACGTTGATGGTTATTAGTGAAAGAACTTCTCTGGTGCTTCCCTCCTTCTAGAATATATTCATTCAGGTTCATGTGGTTATGCTTCCCTGGGGGCTCAAGCTTAGATCAATGAACATTGCCTTTTTTGCATTATTTTCTTACTGGAGAAATATAGCACTCCTCAGGCTGCGCCAATACCCCTAAAAGAAATTCTGTTGGTTTGTTTTTTTTTCTTTTTTAAGATGCATATGGGTGTGGAAATTTTAATCTTAAAATAATGTTATTTCCTCAGCAGTGATGATTCACAAGGTATTTATCACATCAAGTCACTCCCTAAATGCAGGCTCACCACATCCTGATGACTTTAGAACTCCTTTTCCAGGGAGGTTCTTGCTTCTTTGTTGCCAAAACAATAAATCCTTTGTGACCTTTGTCCTTGCTCCTAGAATATTTGGGTGAAGGAGTATATGCTGTCAGTGGTGACCTCCTCTTCTTCTGACCCATGCCCTAGGTATCAAAGTCTCAACAGCCCTAGAACGCTGATAACAAAGGTTTGTTTTGTCTAAGTAGGTAAAGGAATTATCCAATTGTAATCATTTTATCTTCAGTAGTTAAATAATTTTTATTTCACCAAGTACAGCTTTTATTCTTTCTTTAACTCTTTTGCTATCTTTAATTCTTTTAAACTATTAACAGTTTTTATGCTTAAAATTTATGAGCTATGCACAGGAGAGTCAAAGATGCTGCTGCCTCTCTTTAGAGGCTCATATTACAGAAACTGGCGACCCTCAGTTGTTCACTAGTTCAGTGTGATCTGTTGAAGTTTCTTACATCTCTGTCTACATGAAACTTTGACGGTGCAGGGCAGTGAGCCCCATGCTATCACATTAAATAGTCATAGCCATCTTTCCTTTACTGATTTGTGATTCTTCATTTTAAATTTAAAGCTCAACAACAAATGAATTTTTAGAACACCTTTTTAACATAGTGGTTTACTGGGCAGTTTGTCTTGCTGCTACCACATTATATTCTAATTCATGATGAAGTAACACAAACAAAGGAAAGTAAAAGAAAGGCAAAAGAGCTACACTGCTTTTCTCTATAATTTCCAAAATTCGTGTTTTTCTTGTTTCTCATTTAAACTTTTGTAGAAAGTACTACTTGACAGTTGTTTGTAGGGAGAAAGAAAACAGAAGCAATTCTGATTGTCATGAAATTGAAATAAGGGGAGTGACTTTCCCCTTACTAACTGCAAAGTGTAAGTTAGCAAACTTCAATGCAGCAAAAATTGGGGACTAGAGAGTTTTCGAAGATCAGCTACTTGACTTTCTTTCACTTAATCCACATGTGATCAGCTCTGGAGAGAAGGCAGAAGTCACACCAACCAACTCCCAAAAGATTGACAACCAGGCTGCAGTTGCTAGAACACCAACAATGCTCTCTGGCAGGGTGTTAGACATTAAGCTTGTCTGAAGACTCTACCTAGTTAATAAATCCACCCAGGCAATGATAAGATAGGCTTGAGGAACCTGGAATTAATAGAAATAGAATTGGATGATCCCAAAAGTTTCTATTTTAATCTGGATGATGATAATAATAATACTAATATTAAAAATGATAACACCAACATTTATTGCATGCCTAATAGGAACCATCCACTGTTTTAAGATTTTCTTTTTTGAGACAGGGTCTTACTGTGTCACCTAGGCTGCAGTACAGTGGTGCGATCACGGTTCACTGCAATCTGACCTTCTGGGCTCAAGCAGTCCTTTTACCTCAGTCTCTTGAGTAACTGGGACCACAAGCATGCACGACCATGCTTGGCTAATTTTTCAAATTTTTTGTAGAGACAGGGTTTCAACATGTGCCCAGCCTGGTCTGGTGCTCCTGGGCTCAAGCGATCATCCTGCCTCAGTGTTCCAAAGTGCTGGGATTACAGGCATCAGCCACCATGCCAGGCTGTTTTAAGATATTTTTAAAATACTAACTCTGTCTTCTCAGTAACACTATTTGGATTACACCCTTTTATACAACTGTTTGGAGAGAAATATAAATCTGGAGGGATGAACTATTCTGACCACACCAATTGTGCAAGGTGAAAACTTTAGGGAGAATCAATATAATGGCTTTTCTGGAAGGGTCCTTTAAAGGAAGTGGGGGATAGATATGAACATAGAAAGTAAAGAAGAGGACATCAAATCAATGGAGCAGGGAGAGTGAGATGACTAGGATTCTGAGATGCATTTTGAATGTCAAATGGTTGCTGTCTATTGCTTTACAGAGCAACAGGGGGTGTAGTGTAAATGAATTGAACTGACTGCCTTAAGTTCAGTGGAAAAGTAGATGAAATACATTCCTTTTTTTTTTTTTTTTTTTTTTTTTTGAGAGAGAGTCTTGCTTTGTCACCCAAACTGGAGTGCAGTGGCGCAATTTCAGCTAACTGCAACCTCCACCTCCTGGGTTCAAGTGATTCTCGTGCCTTAGCCTCTGGAGTAGCTGGGACTATCAGTGCACACCACTATGCCCGGCTAACTTTTGTATTTCTAGTAAAGACAGGGCTTCACCATGTTGGCCAGGCTGGTCTTGAACCCCTGGCCCTAAATGATCCGCCTGCCTCAGCCTCCCAAAGTGCCAGGATTACAGGTGTGAGCCTCTGCACCCAGCCAATGAAATATCTTTTAAGTAGTAAAATGAAGTAGATTTGTCTGCCAATTAAAAAAATAAATCATAACATTTAATTAGTGATTTCTTCAAAAATATACTAAAACAACTCTATTAACCTATCAACTGCAAACTCCTAGAAGCCAATTTATTTTTTACTCTTGAGTTTTCTTGTGTATTTAAGAATAAAGAGAAAACAACTAATAATTTCTGGGACAGCCCAGCCATATGGACTCTGACTTTCTCCTCCTTCAGGACTCACAGGTCAGCCTGCTGCTCTTATTGCCAAGGAGAAGGATATTTCTATCCCCAGCCCATTCAGGACTTAATCTTGTGTACTGATTGTGTCCAGTGAAGAATCTCTTCCCCTCTTTCTCTTTCGGTCCATTGGTTGAGTTGTGAGTGCTGAAAAGATCATTCATATGACCAAGATTGTGATGCTTAGATGTTTATCCCCAGCAAACATGTAAACTATAGAAATCTCAGTTGTCTCCACCAAACATCTAAACTGTATAGCATCTAAGCAGCCTGAGGCTTTCACCAGATGCCCAGTCTTCCAGCCAGCAGCATTGTGAGCCAAATAAACATTTTTTTCTTTATAAATTACTCAGCCTCAGGTACTCCTTGTTAGTGAAAAGGAACCCAGGTTCAGCTGCTCATCTCTCGAAAACCAAACTCAAGAGAAGAGAGATGTTGAGGGGGAAGCAGATTCATTAGGAAAGCCTGCAAACTGAGAAGACGGTAGACTAGTATCTTCAAATACCATCTTAAGGCAGTACAAATTTCAGGCTCTTTTTATGTTAAGGGCAGGCAGAAGAGGAGGGGGGTCAGGATAAATAGGTGACCATCAATAGCAGACAACTGGGCACCAGCACAGGACCAAGGAATTTGAAAAATTCTTTGTTCTTTGTCAGGTCACAATGCTCCTATGAATCTTTAAGGTAACCTAGTTAGTTGTTTACATTCTTCTCCTTTAATCCCAGAGTTAGTTTTAAAAATTACATGATTGCTGTTTTTGCACATTATCTCTGCTCTAAAATCATCCCAACCTACGTGCAAGAATGGGTGTAGGCCCCGTAAACAAAATGGAGTTAGTTATGTTAGGTATTTTGCTGTCTCACTGCTACAATTGCAACACAAAATGAATGCTTTTAAAGGGCTGCTTGCCAAGGAAGATCTGGCTTTAACTACAGATTCAGCCACATTGCTTAGTATGGTTGTCTTTGGCTGTCTATGGTTGGCATTACAATAGATGATATTTTCCAGTCATAGTAATAGAAGGTTTTATCAAAAAATAAATGTTTACAAAGTGAAAATTGTAAGGAACACCTCTTACAACCAAGCAGTTCCAAAACAAACAGAAACAAATATGGTGGGCGCACTGAGCACTTTCATGCATTGTTGTGCATCTATATAAGTGTCATATGCTTTATGAATTTTTGTTTTGCAATCATTTGTACTCCTTCATTCATTTATTCATTTTCCAATCCACTTATTCCGTTTCAGGGTCAAGGGTGGCAGGAACCTATCCTCACAGATCAGGGTGTAAGGTGGAAAACCCCACTGCACAGGAAGCTATTTAATCACAGGGCACATTCAAACACACACACACACTCACTCACTGAGACTGGAGAAATTTAGACAAACCAATTAACTTAACATGCACATATTTGGGATGCAGGAGGAAACTGAAGTACCTGGAGAAAACTCATGCAGGCATGGGGAGAACTCCACACAGACAAGGCCCTGGTGGGCACTCAGTTTCTTCTCTCATCAGTGTTACAAGGAAATGACATAGAATGAAATGTCATTATTGGGAGGTCTTCCTGTGACCCTTCTGTTCAAGAATTGTCTTCGTATTGTTGGTCTTTAAAGGAGGCTGCATCGTGAGCAGAATTTAAGAGATCCCTTGTACTGCATTGTCCCCATGAATAATTTTCCCTGCACTGTGATGACTTGCTGGGTTCTAGGGAGAAATCAAAAGTTTGCATCTGGGAACGGACTAACCCCCATCCTTCCCAATATTCTGCAGGCTGCTGTGGTGTCAGTGTTACCGATGCCATGGACACTGATGTTGGCCACAGCTCAACAGAACTCTGTGTTCTCAGAATCCACTTCATCTTCTCTCCTTCTGATAAGAATGATCTGAACAGTTGACTTAATGGTGCTCGTTGGTATTATTCCATCTGCTGAGTACCTGACACTGATGTCTATGCTTTAAACATCTCTGTCCTCCTTCCACGTTCTCAGGCTGCTGCTGGCTTTTCCAGCTTATTCCAGTGCATGATGTGTGCTTTCATTGTTTGAACAAATGAGAGTCCTGTGCCTGGTGCAGTCTCTTCCTGAAGGAGTCAGAACGTGGAAGCTTCTAAACAGAGTCACAGATGAGCTCCTGCATTCTTTATCAGCTCAATGGACATAGAGGTATAGGCAGGACTCCCTTCATTTACTGCATTTTGATGCCAGACTGGACATCAGTGGGTCTACACCCCTACAGCTCATGACTCACCCGGCAGGAAGGGTGGAAGTAAGGCCACACGCACACTCCTGCTTCTGAGGCTTGAAAAACAGGACTATCTCCAGAGGGTGCTGCATGGTGATACCTCGCCATGTCTCTCTGGGCACCAGGCACTGATCCCTGCCTCCCCACACCTTTTCTCAGGTGGACTAGATGTTCCTGGGTGGAGGTGGGCCTGGGAGCAGTAAAACCTGTCTCCTCAGTGGGACGAGGGCAGGGCCAGCGGCCCAGCACTCAGTGCCCCCACCACTCCCCCTGCCTAGGTGCCTCCAAACCTGCTACTGGGTTCCCCAATACTGTAGATTATATATAACAAGTTGAAAACTGTGAGATATGAAATGAGATATGGCTATAGAGATTTTTCAGGGGAGGGTGACAATATGAAGCCAAATCAGAACTTTTACATATAAATATGGTAAAAAGTATAATATAAATGTAAGGAAAAAATTACATTAAAATGTAAGCAGTTACCCAAGAATGGAAGGGGTTCTAATATTTGAAAGGCTAATTAGGCAATCACAAAAGACAGAACCAAGTGAATTAAAAAATGTTGATGTTGTCCTGACGCTAAACTGGTTCCCTACAATTGGTGGAGGAGGAAAGGAAAAATGGTTTAACATGTAAATTAGGGCCCTCTAACCCACGAATAGAAGAGAAACAATCTAATGGTTGGGTTTCTAACCTGAGTCAGAGTTGAGAGATCCCTGCTAAATTGAATGCCTGCCTGGCTGCCTGAGCAACTGACCATGATTACTTCTTTAATTGCAATATTGCCAAGATGCCTCTCAATTCTACCCTGTTGACACCTGTGGCAGTCACTATATTCTCTGAAGTTACTTTATGTTAGTGCTCTCTAAAACTATTGAATCCAGATGGAACTGATGCAAGCTCATTCCTTATTCAAAGGGAAAGTAAGAATTTTCTCAATTATAAAGTCGAGGGGCATGATCTGATAGGAGGAGTAAATTAGTAAAACTGACAACTTACGCTAAAGAGTTAATGTACCTTCAATCAGGACAGTTTTCCTGATTTCCCTTGAAGTGCCACAGTCAGATGGGGTGGCTCTCACTTCCACGTGACCTGCAGTAAGTAGAGTGAGGGACGAGTCAGGAGGTCCTGGGAGGCTGCATAGGCTGGAGGCAAGGGACACCTCCTGCCCCTTTCTCTCCCCAGAGCTGCCCATTGTCCAAAGAGGACATGTCCTGCCTGAAGCTGGGAGTATATCCCCTCTCTAAGACATGAAATTTAAAGAAATGGGCTCATTCCAGTGTTTGGGTCAGTTCTTTCCAGGAAATTTCCTCCTTTTAGCTCTGAAGAAAAAGCTGGTGGAAGGCGACAGACTTATACAGAGAACAGACTTGCCCACTGTCTCTGGTCTTGGCAGGTAGGTGGCTCTCTCACAGTGTGAAGTTACCCTTGATACCCCAAAAGCCAAAGAGATCAGGGAACTCAAGGCAAGGGAGAGCAGAGCTCCAGATGCAAGAAGGACCCACCCATGACTCTTGGGGTTCCTGAGGAAGACAGAGGACTCCATGTAGTGGGGGGGTCTGTGGCACCTTTTTTTTTTTTCATTCTTCAAGGAATCCCAGGCTTTCTAGAAGTCTTCTCTACATCCCTTTATGTGGTAGCCAGAACTCTGATGTTTCTGCTTAGTAATTTTCCAACCACTGACCACTAAATGCAGAGGCAGGGGCTTGTCGATGATAAGAGAGACCTAGATGGAAGATTGAAGGTGGCAGAAGGAAGGAGGGACAGAAGTAAATGGAAGAAAAAGTCTTAGAGGAGCCAGACTGGGTAGGTCTTAAGCTTCCCAAAAAGGCCAATGAAGTTTTACTCTTTTTTTTTTTTTTTTTTTTAACCGGTAAAAATCCTGCCTACAAGAAAGGAAGCAAACAGAGGAATCAAGTTTATAATAAAAAAAGTTTAAGTTTACTGAAAAAAATTCCCATGGGATAAACAAGAACCTAAGGAGAAAATCAGAAAGACTCTTAAAAAAATGGTAGCCTGGATATCAGCTTTAAATTAAGCTATTATTTGACCACAGAGCTCTTTTAAAAAAATACTTTTAAATCCCTTATCAGATTTCAGCAAGAAAAAACAACCAATATTTCTAATGTTTGAAACTTTCTTTTTTTTCTCTTCTTTTAAAACAACGATACCTACCAAGCGACTCAGAACCAAAACCAAGTCTTTTGTGACTTAACCAAGGATACATGAGACATCATTAAAGAAATGTAAAGATGCAGCCCTCTCAAAATTCAGAGCTACCCCCACAAATAGCCAAAAGAAAGAAAGATTTAGATGCCTTGAGAGCTGGCAATAGGCAATATGTAAGCTTTTAATGGGAGCCTCCAACATTTGTTTAGCCCCCTTCACACACCAAAGTGTGTCCTGACAGGCAGCAAGCCAAGTTGGGTTCTCAGGACACAAAACAGGAAAATGACAGCTGTTCGTTGAAGGGAAAGGATCAATAACAAATGAGTCCCTGAAATCCAAATTTACATAAGAGAACAGTTCAAACAAATGATCTCCTGCTGACCTGCATTTGGAAAGTAAGATATAAAGATAAATTTTTACCTTTAGTTCTTGACCAGAAACTACAGGCAGAGATTCAGAACTCACCTTGGTAAAAATTCTTACCTTTATTTGCCAGCTCTTTATCAGTTGTCCCAGGACCTCATCAATAGGTGAGTCAGGTGCTTCAGACATCCCATCTTCATCATCAGAACTATAAGGGCAGAAATAGTGTGATCTCTTTCCTTCCTATCAAAAGGGTCACAGCTGACACGGCTATAATAAGGCAGGTTAACAAGCGAGAAGCATAGCACGTTTATTTAATCATCGTTTTATATAACTATGGAAGCCTTCAAAATGAAGACCCAAAGTACAGGAAAAAACTATCCATTTTTATGCTTACATTCCATGAGGAATGGGCAGCTGTGCAGAAATGTGATTAGACAAAAAGGGCATCATCTAATGCTAATATTCTGAGTAGGGGAAACCCAGCAAGGCCTTTCTGGTCAGATACTTCTTGGCCTCTCCATGCACCATTCCTTCCTCTTGGGTATGTGGCAGAGCTCTTTTTGGAATGGGGGTCTTAGTATCTACAATCAAACAAGGCAGGTCAGAGAATTTCTTTATGGCCAGTTCAGTTCTTACACACAAAGGTAAGGGAAAGTTCAAGTAATGTTTATAGGTTTTTATGGCTGGCTTTGGAGAGAAAGGGCTCTGGTTTCTATTACCAGCCTTGGGAAAGAGAGTTTCTACTTTTTATGGCTAGCCTCGGGAGATGAGGGGTGACAAACAGGAGGGCAGGAGAAGGCCAGAGAGAAACTTTGCTTCTGAGGCTGCTTCTTAGATCTTCACTTTGGCGTATTATTTTCCGAGCTTCAATAGGAGTGAAGAATGAGATCCAGAAAAGCTGGGGAAGAAGGAGAGAACTGTGCTGGGTATTGGAATCAGCAAATGAATAGTATGTCTATGTCTATTTCACTTAGGTTTAAGAAAATAAACTCTTCCAGATTTTTCTGTAAGATACTGTTTCCTGACTGAATATACAAATGAGACTTATCTTCAGTATGAAGGGTGACTTATTTTTCAGTTTTCTCCAGAATACTCCAAGAATTCTGCTTTTTATATTATATGTGTTACAGAGATTTAGGAGAGTATTCTCTTTTCTGTTCTTTCTTTCTTTTTTTTTTTTTTTTTTGATGGAGTCTCGCTCTGTCACCCAGGCTGGAGTGCAGTGGCGCCATCTCAGTTCACTGCAACCTCTGGCTCCAGGGTTCAAGAGATTCTCCTGTGTCAGCCTCCCAAATAGCTGGGATTACAGGCACCCATCACCACGCCTGGCTAATTTTTGTATTTTTAGTAGGGATGGGGTTTACAATGTTGGCCAGGCTGGTGTTGAATTCCTGAACTCAAGTGATCCACCCACCTCGGCTTCCAAAGTGCTGGGATTACAAGCATGAGCCACGGCACCCAGTCCCTTTTTTAATGTATATATATAAAGGAAATAATAATCATATATTTATAAAATAAGAAAATAACTGTAAATATACATATGTGTGTATATATGTACATATATATATCATAATGTGTGATATACATATGTGTGTATATATGTACATATATATATATATATCACAATGTGTGGCCTGAGGGATACATGAAGAGACTCCTCTGCAATTTCAGGCTCTTCCTTGCTGCTAACTCAAGAATTCACACAGACATCCTGTTGGAACATCTCAATGAAAATATATTGCTGATTACAAAAATACACCTCAAATCATACCAGAATTGATACACTTTGAATGAATAAACCTCACTAGCTCTCTGGTAACAATACTATTCTTTCACACTCATTAGCTCTTATGAGACTTCTCTCTTTTGATACCAAGGCAGAGTTTTTACTATTAAGTGGAAGAACTGTCAAGATCATAATTCAAAGTGACAATGAGAATATTATTTTATTTGTTAATGTTTGAAGTCTAATAATAGGAATGATCTGTGAAACTAAAATTGTACTATTAATAGCTGTTTAATGCACTATTAAACACGAACTTGTTCTGGATACTATTAAGTTCCAGTCAAGATTGGTCGGTCTGCCTGTTCCCTGGAGTCCCATACGTGGTATGTGGAGAGGGTGATCCTAGAGGCTGGTATGCACAGTGGTCTATAGGCAAGGAATACATCTCTCTCTATATCCTTATAACTGTCAGTTCCAAAAAATGCATGCCCTGATGGTAGCCAGAAACTGATTCTCTTTGTATTAGACCAAGGGTAAGGAACAGGCTTATGACAGCATTAGCATCTTTTCTTGCCAAGAAGTATAATTTTTGCAGCATAAAGAGAAATGCCCAGAAGTGATGGGTTTCTGCATAGATCAGAAATCAGCCCTCCAGTCTTGGTGGCTGCCCTTGTCACCTTTGGTTACCAGGTTGTGATTCCCTGAGAGGTTTTCAGGAGACTGCACATAAACTACATTCTGCTTTCTCTTTCCTTTTCATTAAGTTACTATTACATCATACTCAGCGGAAATTCAGGAAATCCTCTCTTGCAGGTAGTTCTGCAAAACCTAGAAATTTTATTTCACTTCTGCTTAGCACTTGTGGCATTCTGATCTTTAGGGAAGCCATCAAGCTGAAACCACAACAGAACAGAAAACAGCTCTGTGTGAATGGGCAGGAAGGTGAAGGGAGTAAAGCCAGAGAGAGAATGTGCCAGGTGCCATAATCAGTCAAGAAACATCACATGTCTTCTGCGCATCAATCTGCATGATTATTCTCTTGTCTCAGGTATTTATACAAGCCACCATTTCCTGACTGAATATAAATAGGACACTCTGAAGTGAGGAATGACAATTTTTCAGCCTCTCTACAGTTCATGACAGAATCTGTGGGTTTTTTTTTTTAGGCTGCTTCCTTTGAAGGTCAATTCCTGAAAGGTATGACACCACAGATCCTAAAAATTTTACAGAAAGACAAATACTATTCCCATCTACAGCTGTATGAAGAAAAGGAGGAAAATACTTAACATCGTTTAACTCCTTGAGTGAGGTGTGATCTCAGCTTACTGCAATCTCCACCTCCTGGGTACAAGCAATTTTCCAGCCTTAAGCCTCCTGAGTAGCTGGGATTACAGGCGCCCACCACCATGCCCAGCTAATCTTTGTATTTTTAGTAGAGACAGGGTTTCATCATGTTGACCAGGCAACATGGTGGAAGATACTGTGGTAGGTGCTTTAAACTGCATGTGTTCCTTTATGATCACAACTATATAAATTTTCTGAATCCATTTTATTTATGAGAAAACTCAGGCTCAAAGAGATTGAGTTTCTTAACACCACACATACATGTAAGCAGAATGAAATTTCAATGTCAAATTCTTTGTAATATAATGTAAATTATGGGTGATTTTGTCAGTTTTGTATTCTGAGTTTCAGTTATAATTGTTTTTGTTTTTTTTTTTTTTTTTTTTTTTTTTTTTTTTTTTTTTTTGAGACGGCTTGCTTGCTCTGTCGCCCAGGCTGGAGTGCAGTAGCATGATCTTGGCTCACTGCAAGCTCCGCCTCCTGGATTCATGCCATTCTCTTGTCTCAGCCTCCCCAGTAGCTGGGACTACAGGTGCCTGCCACCACGCCTGGCTAATTTTTTGTATTTTTTAGTAGAGACGGGGTTTCACTGTGTTAGCCAGGATGGTCTCGATCTCCTGACCTCGTGATCCTCCTGCCTCGGCCTCCCAAAGTTCTGGGATTACAGGCATGAGCCACTGCACCCGGCCCAGTTATAATTGTTAAATCTTTTTTTTTCCTTGTGAATTCTACACAACTCTTTCTTGCTCTCTGAATTTCCATGGTTCATACTGTATTTTCAGCTGGTTATGACCAACTTTTTCTTTATCTTAAGTATTGAGACAGAGATTCGTTGATTCCCTTTTCATTATTAATTTGTGAAGGAAGTTTTCAGTCTTTATGTTGATGGTAATTTAGTTATTTTTGGATTGGCATAAGATTGTAATATTCATAACATCAGGAAAAATTGCCAAGAAGTAATATATGAGCTCTACCAGAAAATAAAATGTGTTAAAAGCTGAAGTAAAATTATAGTAAACCAGTGTTACAATTACGCAAGTTAAGTAACTTAATTAATAAAGCCAGTAGGTCCAGGAATCATTATATTATCAGTATTAATTAAATATTGTGATGACGGATTGAATTAGTTTTCTATTCCCACCTACAGAATTAAGGCAGCTTACTGATATTCAAAGTAGTATTTATTTAAAAAATGAAAAATTATCATTGTAATTAAATATTTTAATTTAACATAAATATACTAAACATATCAATATGGTTGCCAGTACATCAGTTACATGAAATCTATCCGGAAAAAATATACTGCAAAAAAGAAAAAAAAACTGTGTACAAAAACAATAATCCACATTCTTTTCAAATTCCATTCTATTTCCATCTTCACTTCAGAGTCACTAACTTCTCTTACTTGGATCCTACTGCAGTATGACTTCTACTTATTAATTCCACCAAACCAGCTCTCTCACTAAGATTGCCAAGGCTATCTATTTCCCAATTACTGGGCAGTTTTAATCCGTATCTTGGGAAAATCTACTGATTCATCTTCCCCGCACATTTATCTTCTTAAATACACTTTTATCACAGTATCAGTCCATTGTTGCAGTGCTACAAAGAAATAGCTGAGACTGGGTAAATTATAAGAAAAGAGGTTTAATTGCCTCACAATTCTGCAGGCTATACAGGAAGCATGGCAGCATCTGCTTCTGGGGAGGCTTCAGAGAGGAAGGTAAAGCGAGAGCAAGAGGAAGGGTAGGGGTAGGTGCCACACACTTTTAAACAACTAGATCTCAGGAGGGCTCACTATCACCATGACAGCACCAAAGGGGATGGTGTTAAACCATGAGAAATAGCCATGACCCAGTCACCCCGCACCAGGCCCTACCTCCAACACTGGGGATTGCAATTCCACATGAGATTTGGGCAGGGACACAGATCCAAACCATATTAATCACCAATCTCTCTTGTTGTTAGTCTAATATAAGGGACACCACCTCTGGTTCCTCTGTGTCTCTTCTCTTCCCTCACTTTAAAGGTGGAAGGTCCTCAAAATCCTGCTTAAGTCCTTTTCTCTGTCTACACTCTCTCCACACATGAGCACTTCCATTTCTGGGATTTTGCTTGCCATGTATGAACCCCCAGCAACTGCATTCCTTGTAAGTTGCAAACTCATATATCCAACTGGCAATAGACATTTTCTACTAGATGTTTACCAGTCAACTTTTGAGGATATCTGTTTATTTTTATTTCCTCACCTGTCTCAGTTTACCCGCTGCTGAGAGAAATCATTAGTTGCTCCTTCTTCTCATAGTATTTAGGATAACTGATATTAAGTATGATTACCATCTTTAGTTTTATTCCATACAAAAACCAAATATGCAAGAGAGTAGGAAGTAGATTTATTGTATTCAGCTTTATATCTTGAGTACAACATACAACCTGGTTTAGAGAAAGGTCATTTTTACTTACATCTTACATATAATAATGATAAGCAAATAAAATATACCCTTTATTCTCTAATCAGGTTGCACAGTCAGGCTAGGAATTTCATATTAAAGAATGAACACATACAGGAAGTTCCTATAGTAAAAGTTTAATGAACAACACAAAATAATGGATTGAGTAAATATAAGGAACATGTTTTATTACACTAACCACAGTGTAAAGGTGCACATGACGTTATATGAACAAAAATAATTTAAATCTTATGAATAGTTAAATAAATATTTAAATAGATAAATCAGTTTATCAGCATGGTCATAGTTATAGCAGGGGTGAGAGTCTTTGAAATGACAGAATTCATGAAAGCGTGACCTGGTGTATGAGTCAATAAGAATTGTTTTCATGTTGGACCAGATGTTATTCCTTCCTCCTTAATCTTTCTTGCAAGTTTGTTGATAAAGAGAGGGATCTCATGATTTCTGCTCTGACAACCTCCCAGGCACAAGGGCTGTATTTCTTCTCTGTCAGATAGAGAGTGATTCTTCGGAAGTATTTCTTCACAGCCAAGATGGAGTCCGCATTCATCAGGGGAGTTTCTCCCACCCTCTCCTCCTGCATCACACAGGCTTCCAAGTCATTCAGCTGCTGGTAGAGTTCGGTGCAGAATTTGTCTAGGAGGTCCTCATCCCAAGCAGCAGATGAATCTTTTGTGGTAAAGAGGTTGAAGATCTGCTGGATCAGCTCATGGAGGACAGAGATGGCTGGAGCCTTCTGGAACTGGTTGCCATCAAACTCCTCCTGGGGAAATCCAAAGTCATGTCTGTCCATCAGACAGGAGGAAGGAGAGATTCTGCTCATTTGTGCCAGGAGCATCAAGGTCCTCCTGTTATCCAGGCTGTGGGTCTCAGGGAGATCACAGCCCAGAGAGCAGCTTGACTTGCAGCTGAGCACCACCAGGACCATCAGTAAAGCAAAGGGCGAGGCCATCGTAGATATTGCAGATACTTCTGGGCTTGCTGAGATGGGTGACTCTGAACCTTGGGCTCTAGGTTCTCTGAAGGCCTTGCTTCCTGCAAATGCCTTAAATAGGGAACATACTGATTTCCACTTTCTTAATGCTTCTGGGCCACTTTCCATTTCTGTTTTTGCTTTCCTTCATGCACTCTTTACATGAGTTTAGAGCCGTGTTTCTCAAATGTTTTGTTTTTCATTATTGTCTTCCCCATCTTGTTCCCAGAGACTTTTTAGATATCTTTTTCCTAATTGAACCCACCGTGAAAATTTAATAACACAGATACAATATGTATCTATTTATATACTATATGTATATCTCTATAATCAAAAAGTACAAAGTTTAATCTTTGTATTCAATGCAGGTTTAAAAATAACCAAATGAAAAATTTAAGCTAAAAGTTAAATTTAAAATCTATTCAAATTTTTCTTAACTTTATAACTAAATTTGCTTATGGACTTCAACGTAATTTATTTACTGATATAAATTGTACTGTAGGCCTGGCGAGGTGGCTCACGCCTGTAATCCCAGCACTTTGGGAGTCCGAGGTGGGTGGATCACGAGGTCAGGAGTTCAAGACCAGCCTGGCCAAGACGGTGAAACCCCATCTCAACGAAAAAAACAAAAAAAAAACAAAAAAAAAATTAGCTAGGCATGGTTGTGTGCACCTGTAATCCCAGCTACTCAGGAGGCCGAGGCAGGGAATTCCTTGAACTCATGAGGTGGAGGTTGCAGTGAGCCGAGATTGTGCCACTGCACTCCAGCCTGGGTGTCAGAGTGAGACTCTGTTTCAAAAAACAAACAAACAAATAAATTGTAGTGTATCAAATTACATAAGCAAATTAACAAATTATAAACATTTTCTAATGTTTATAGATAAACATTTTCTAAGTAATGAATACTTAAAAATTATTTGAAAGTGATAAACACTTAAAACTTTAAAATATTTTTATCATTTATTTTTAGTGTTCTTACGTTTTTTTAGATCTGATTACTCCTGAATTTCACCAAACATTTAAACAGAACCAAATCTTTGAAAAAATTAAGGAGGAATACTCCCAAACTCATTTTATGAAGCCAGCATTACCTTGATACCTAAGCCAGAGATGGACATTACAAGAAAAAAAAAAATTACAGCCAATATTCCTGATGAACACAGATGCAAAATCATCCACAAAGTAGTTGCAAATGAAATTCAAAAGCACTATAAAAGGATCATTTATTATGATCAAGCTTGATTTATTCCTGGGATGCAAGAATATTTTAATATGTTGGAATCAATAAATGCCATACTCCTTATTTACACAATAAAAGATTAAAAATCATAACTATTTTTATGCATGCCTAAAATTATTTTGACAAAATTTAAAATCCATCTCTAATACAATTTATAACAAATTAGGTATATAAAGAATATACCTCAGAATAAAGAGACACATTCCTTATTAGCTATAAGATAAGCCATTAGCTAACACTATAGTCAGTGGTGAAATGTTGGAATCTTTTTTCTGAGATTTATTATAAGATAAGGATGCCCACTCTCACTACTTCTTTCAACACAGTACTGGAAATCCTACTCAGAATATTAGACAAGAAAAAAAAGGGGCATTTAAATGAGAAAGAACAAGGTCTTATTTTCATGGAGATTAATGCTCAGAGTTTTACAGATTAGATTTAACATCATGAAAGCTGGTACAATCCAGGAATCAGAGGAACTGTCCCTGAGGACACAGGACTTCAGGGACATCAATTATTAAGAGGCTACATGAAAGCAGAAATGCTCCTGGATGTTTCCATTGTCTACACATAAAGTTTCAACAGATCAGCCCCAGCAAGTATAGGCACATTCCTCACTACTGTGGGTGATGAGCTTTTCACTCAAAGCAGAGATGTGAAACCTGACAGGTTTCAAAGACCACCTAAGTGCTCCATACCTTGACAGTCACTCCCACAAAGCTGAAACACCATCTGTTCCTGAGGGATCAGGTCATCATCTGTGACTTTGAGACACTGGCCAGTCAGGCTTCAGTTGACATGAGGCCAGTGATTTTAAGTGTAAAATGCCCAAACCATCATACTCATTAGGTAGATATTTGGAGGCCTGTGCACTTAAATGGGTTAGTGAAATGTCACACCAGACATATGACTGGGAATAGGGGTTTCCTCCTCTGCTCTTAGCAGCACCTTGGTAATCCAATAATTACCCTCCCTCATGCCTCCACATCCACATCTGCGAAAAAGGCACTGGTGAGTAGGACATTTTCATGAAGCCATAACCCATGGTTACTCCCTGCAAAGCTCTGAACTTGTGCATCCCCAGGCCAGGGGGTGGGTGTCTTTCAAAGGTGGCTGAACTTGCGCTCTGCTTGGAGAGAGTGGAAGGCAGCAGCACAGTGGCAGCATCTGGGACCTCAGGCCATTTCCCACAGCCAGTTAGGAAAGCAGGTGGCTCCAGGGGCTGGAGGAGGTATGATGCTCTTGGAAGACCCCAGGTGCTTGTATTTGTGACACGCTGACTCCCTTAACCGCAGGCTTCCTGCTTGTCATGTTGGAAGTTTGATTTCTCACAGACCAACAAAGGGCCAGTCGCCTCTCCCGGCCTCTGTGGCAGGGTTGTACTTAACTTTTAATTTTGTTGCATGTGTGAAATTTTTTAACTTCACTAGCTGCTAGTCACCTAAATATTGTCAAGACTTTTTTCTTCGATGCTTGACCTAATTATTGATGTGCTGAACAATTTTTGTAGAATTAATAAAATATAAATTATCCTCAAAGCCCACAACACAGTTAGAAATGCTAAGGATCAAAAATAAGCAACAACTATAAGATGGCCAGTGACAAAACATATGTATGCAGAGGACACATCTCTTGATATGACTGTGAGATCTAGTAAGCCTTGGAAAGTACTGCAATCACAGCCACTCATTTTCCATAGGTTTGTAACACTGAACTTATATACATTTTGTGTATCTTCCATGAACTTAATGTCAATGCTTCTCATGTGATACACAAGAAAACCCAATGGGGAGAAAACAAAAAACTAAGGAATAAGACTTTGTTAGATAGGGTTGAACTTTGAAGGGCCACAAATCATTTAAATCTGTAAGATTTGTTCCCACTCTCAAGAACTACACTTTTACACCCTTGGGAGTAGCATCATACTCAATGAGAATACACAATTGAAAAAATATCCTCAATTTGATTAAAAACACTTTTTTGCATGAAAATTCAAATTTCCAAAGAAACTTCAGAGGTTCTTTGTTGATTCTGATCCAACTAAAGGAAACCATCTTTGTCCTAAATGTTCATAATGAGATGTAAATGTTATAACATAAATGACTTGTACAGTTGTTTTCCATAGCATGCCAGACATGATATCTTTCTTTCTCTTTTCATAAAAAGCAAAAATTGTCACTTTTTGCACCCTAATGAATGGGGACAAAAATAAAACAAAAATATATCTAAATGTGATTAAAATGTAAATGGAAGTAATATCCCACTAAGAAAAAACAATGACAAAATGTACCTTAGCTGCATTCAGCCCAGCCATGATGGAGGTTAAGGGGTGGGAAAGAACAGAAGCAAAATGGTAGAAGGGATATAGGTCAAAGGTAGCAAATAAGTATGGGCTGGAAGAAAAGTAATTACTCCTGGTCCACAGGGTGTTTTCAGATTTACTGAAGCCCATCTTGCAAACACACCAACTGCAAGCATTTATACACAAGAAAGGCAAACTTTAGAGAGTGCAATATTCTCTCTGGAAAATAGTTAAGTGTTCATTGCACCAAGCTCTCCACTAGTGGATAAGTACACTCCAAAGATCAATTTTTTTCTTGTTATATTTCTAATAAGAAACAAGAGACTTGATAATTTCAAAGGACACTTCCCCAACTTAATAGAGTTATATAATAAAGATAATGTTAATAAGAGGAATGAGATATCTAAACTCTAGACAGTCTTTATTTTCAGTCAGACACTGTTTTTAGCACTTGCATAATCGATGCTCACTTAGCCAATAAAGAATACTTTTGTTTTTCGTATTTACTGAACATCTACCATGTCCCTAACCCCATTTATTCACTGGAGATATCACTGACCAAGGCACACAGTGACAGATTTTACTATTGTCCCCATTTACAAAAGAAACAATGAAAGCACAGGAAGCTATTAAGTTTTGGAGCTACAGTTTGGATGCAGAAAATTCAACTCTGAAGTCTTAGCTCTTACATGCTCTCTGGGAATATTTCGGGCCATAAGAACCAGAGCTGATTTATAGACCAGTCAATCCTTTCCTAGTAGAGTCCTGCCTATGTAATGACAGAGTCTTTCTCTTCAGTTTCCATTTGTCTCCTTCACTGTAATGCCCCATTTGCTCATGGCAACATTACAATGAAATTGGGCCCCGCTTTACTTATGCTCCTTGTAAAGGAGTATATACGTTATATTCTAGTTTTGTCTTCTTGAGGATACACTATCATAAACATGAGTGTATTTGTAAAACATGTTGTTTGCCCCAGTAAATGTATTCATAAACCCTATATATTTCTATCCATTTAAAATTCTACATAGTACTATTCTTTTAATCAAATATGCACCATACTTTAGATTTCCACCTGTGTAGCACAAATTTAAGAAAGAACAAGTCATTGTCAGGCTACAGACATGAACTAAATCAGAGCTAAACCAATGAACTAAGGCTCAGAGCTCAGGGAGAGCACACCTGGAAAGGTTAACTAAAGTAAAGGAATTATTAAAGGTGTGGAAATGGAAACACTTCTGGAGAAATGAGGAGAGTCCATGGCATTAGAGGATGAGGACTGAGATGACAAAAGACCCTGAGTCACCTGACTTGCCAGCTGGTTCATGCCTTTTATGTTGTAGGTCACCAGAGTATGCTGCAGTGTTGATTGTACTGCCTTAATTTAAGGATCTGGTAAAGAAAAATTTATTCTGACACTTGGTATAACAGTAAGGAAGGCTTTATTTAAAAGTATTGCAACAGGTGTCAAAACTATCATGATAGGTGCATTAGTTCTTGCATTACTATACAGAAAAACCTGAGGCTGGGTAATTTAGAAAGAAAAGAGGTTTAATTGGCTCACGATTCTGCAGACTCTACAGGAAGCATGGCTGGGGAGGCCTCAGGACACTTACAATCATGACAGAAGGCTAAGGGGAAGCAGGCATGTCCTTCATGACCGGAGCAGGAGGAGAGAAGCAGGGGAGGTGCTGCACAATTTTAAACAACCAGATCTTGGAATAACTCACTCTTGCCATGACACCACCAGGGGGATGGTGTTAAACCGTGAGGAACCGCCCTATGATCCAATCACCTCCCACCAGGCCCCGCCTCCAACACTGGAGATTACAATTCCATGTGAGATTTTGGCGGGGATGCTGACCCAAACCATATCAATACGGGAGAGAGACCCATTGGTGCTCAGCTCATAAATCAGCAAAGACAGCCTGGGGTTTATACCCAACAAGCAGAATGAGGGGGTCAGTGGATAGAAAATCACTAAAAGGAGACATCAAAGGTAGGGGGATCCTTGCTAACCTGAACATAATTCTTTCTAAAGGCAAGCCAGGGTAATTATATATTGAGTGCGTGGGATGAGGATTTGATCAGATATCAGATTTTCATTAATTAAATTAGAAATATCTTTTTTCCTAAAAAACTGAAGTGTATGTAGAAATGTGAATACTCATACACAAAAATGCCCACATACATTTTTTTCATATATAAATATTCTCTTCTATGTCAGGAGCAAAATTTTTGCCCTGATTCTAAGCTACATTTTACTCTCCATGCTTTACATAGGAAATCAGGCGCCCTCTACCGGATAGGTTTCTGTATTTGGTTGGCAATTTACCAGACCATCTGCGACAATAAGCTCTTTAGAACAAATAATTGGGTTTTGTTAACTCTTTTATTCACAGTAGAAGCTGTGATCATGTTTCTCTTTCTTCTAAAATACATTCATGCGGGTCCATATGATTACGCCTCACTGGGGCCACCAGGTCAGGATTACTATAGACATAGCCCTTTCTTCCCATAATGTTCTTACTGAGTGCTCCTCAGTCTGTGATAATATCCTGCCAAGACCAGCCCGGTCAGGGCGACCCTAACCCAGGGGCGCTAGAGGAATTAAAGACACACACACAGAAATACAGAGGTGTGAAGTGGGAAATCAGGGGTCTCACAGCCTTCAGAGCTGAGAGCCTGGAACAGAGATTTATCCACATATTTTTACAGCAAGCCAGTCATTAGCATTGTTTCTATAGATATTAAATTAACTAAAAGTATCCCTTATGGGAAATGAAGGGATAGGCCGAATTAAAGGAAAAGGTTGGGCTAGTTAACTGCAGCAGGAGCATGTCCTTAAGGCACAGATCACTCATGTTATTGTTTGTGGCTTAAGAATCCCTTTAAGCAGTTTTCTGCCCTGGGTGCGCCAGGTGTTCCTTGCCCTCATTCTGGTAAACCCACAACCTTCCAGCATGGGCGTTATGGCCATCATGAACATGTCACAGTGCTGCAGAGATTTTGTTTATGGCCAGTTTTGGGGCCAGTTTATGGCCAGATTTGGGGGGGCTTGTTCCCAACAATATCCCTAGCAAGAATCCTGGTCTTTTCCAGGTGCATGGGGATACGGCGATTCAAATTCTAAGATAATTGTATTTTCCCACCATCACTTCACTCACAAAGTTTTTATCACATCCAGTAACACCCTTTCCTCTAGAGTGACAATGTCCTCAACTCAAGCTCTCCCCAGCTCATTCCCTGAGGCAGGCTGACAACTTTTGAACTCTTTCACTAAGGAGGGGACTATTTCCTTGAGCCAAAATAATTAGTCCTCTAAGACCCTTGCCCTTTCCCCTAGAGTGTTTGTGTGAAGGACTCTGCTTCTCAGTGGTTACCTCCTCCTGTCCTGACCCCATATCCCCAGGTATCAAATGTGTCCACAGTGCTCAGATACTGATAGCAAAATTTGTTTTGTCTAAGTAGGTGGAAGAATTATTCAATTGCAATAATTTTTACTCAAGTAAGCAAACAATTTGTATTTTGCCAAGTATAGCTTTTATTGCTCCAGTCTTATTTTTATTATCCAATACTTAAAACTATTGAATACTTGTTATATTTGACCTTTCAGAGCTAGGCACAGGGGATTCAATGATGATTTTGTCTCTCATAGAAACTAATATGACAGAAACTAGTGACTTTCAGTTGTTCATCCACTCAGCATGATTCTCTTAGGGTTCTTTGTTACTCTGTCTCACCCTGGTAATGCAAGGCAGTTAGGCCCAGGCTATTATGTCAGGGAGAAATAGCCTTCTTTCCTTTACTCATTTGTGGTTTTCCATTTTAAATTTTTGTATAATTTCTGTTCACATGATTTACTTACTGGGCAAAGTTTGTCTTACTCTTTCTGTATTACATTCTAATTCATGATGAAGTAACACAAATAAAAAGAAGTAAAAGGCAAATAAGCCACATAGTTTTCCTCTGTACTTTTCAAGATTTCAGATTTTTAGTTTCTCATTTGAACTTTCCTAAAAAGCAAAACATGACATTATTTGTGAGCAAACAGAAAACAAACGTAAGTACAAATGTCATGAAAGTGAAAGAGGGAAGTGACTTTCTAGTGACAAAATTGCAAAGCGTAAGCTAGCAAAATTCAATGCAACCAAATTGAGGAGTAGGTGCTCTGGCAAAGAAGAAGAATGAAGGCCAATGTTGAGGTATACAAAGGCAGGGAAATGGCAGCTTCTGCTAGAGGCTCCAAGAAGAGCAACTCCTGGGTCAATGAACTGCCCTCAGTTTTGCAAAACCAGCTACATGACGTTTCTTTCATTGAGTCCACATTACTTATTCCCTTGCATTTTATTATAATATGTATTTTTTATTTTTCTAATACATAATATTTGTACATATTTATGCGGTAATGTGCTATTTTAATACATGCATAGGATATGTAATGATCAAGCCAGAGTATTTAGGATACCTATCACTTTTAGTATTTATATTCTTTCTTCATGTTGGGAACATTTCAACTCCTCTCTTCTAGCTATTTTTTAAATATATGATACATTGTTTTTAACTATAGTCACCCTACCATGGTATCTAACATTAAAACTTATTTTTTCTATCTAACTGTATGCATACATGTCATCAGCTCTGAGGAGAAAAGGGAGGAGTCACACCAACTGCCTCCCAAGAGACAGGCAATCAGACCCCAGTTGTTATAACACCAATCCTCTCTGGCAAGGTAATGGATATTACCTTGCCTGAACACTCTACCAAGTTAATAAATCTACTCAGGCAAGGAAAGGCAATAAAAAAATTTCTTCCATAAACCTACAGTTAAAAGAGAGGGAATTAGATTATCCCAGAAGATTCTGCTCTTAACCTGGCTAGTAGTAATTGTGATATTTTTTAAAAAAAGTAGATTAAAAAAATTTAAAAAAAAACAAGATCGCATGCTTGCAATGAATGATACACTATTCTAAGATCTTTACAAATATTAATTCAGGCCTGGGATATGGTCACACAGCTGCTCAGCCATCCTGGGGATATGTCTGCCGGGGTGGCCCATGGGGTTGTTTCTCAGGCCAGGGACTCAAGCACAGGGCATCCAAACTGGAAAGGAGGAAGTCAAATTGTCTCTGTCTGCAGACAATATGTTCTTATATGTAGAAAAACCTACCAAAGAGAGGCTCTTTGGAGAGGCTCTACCAAAAAACTCTTAGAACTGATAAACTAATGCAGAAAAATTGCAAGATACAAAATTAACATACAAAATCCATCACATTTCTATATACAAGCAATGAACTAGCTAAAAAAGAAATCCAGAAGGCAATCCCATTGACAACAGCTGCAAATACAATAAAATACCTAGGAGTACATTTAACCAACAAGATTAAAGAGCTCTACAAGGAAAACTATAAAACACTAATGAAAGAAATTGAGAAAAATACAAACAAATGGAAAGATATCCCATGCTCATGGATTGAAAGAATTAGTATCATTAAATGTCTATATTACCCAAAGCAATCTACAGATTCAATGCAATCCCTATGAAAGTACCAATGATTCTTCATAGAAATTGTAAACAATATACTAAAATTTGTATGGAACCATAAAAGACTTCGAATAGAAAAAATGATCCTGAGCAAAAAGAACAGCTGGAGGCATCATGCCACCAGATGTTTTGTATGACCAAGATGGAAAAATATTTTCCATTTCCTGCACTGAGGCAGTGAATGCTTTTAAAGGGCAGCTTACCAATGAGTTTGGCGTTAATGCCAAACTCAGCCCACCTACCTAATATGGTGGTTTTTATTTAATTTATAAACTCATCTTATTAAAAATCATAAAATAAAATTGTAGTATTGAAATAAACATATCATTAAAATCAGCACTAATTGATAAAATGATAAAAGCATTATTATTTTACCAAACATGTTCTTTGGAACCTAATCCTCAGGAAGTGGAAAGTAGGCACTTTAAATGTGCCAACCAAGTGTAGAAGGCACCCACTGGGAAAAAAAAAAGAATTGAGCCACCAATGATCTATTTTCAATTGAGTTAAATAAATTTTAATAAAGGTCTTTGCTGCTATTAGCAGTTGTGATCACCAAATACCCACATTACTAGTATCTGTCTTGCTGGGAAAGCTCTGCTCCAATTGTTGCTAAATGTATTCAAATACCTACCTGTATATCTTCTGCTCAAATATTATTTCATTTGTTTTGTTTTCAAGGGAAGCTGTATCAAGACCTAAATTTAACAGTTTCCTTTGATTGCATTGGCCCCATGAAAAATTTTCCCTGCAGTGGAATGACTTGTTGGCTCCAAGGAAGAAACCACAAGAGGCAGCAGGTAGTCAAATACCTCATCCTTTCCAGTAAACTACAGGCTCCTGTGGCATCAGTGTCATCCACCCTGGGACGCTGATGTTGGCCACATCTCCATAGGAGAACTCTGCTCTCAGCATCCACTTCAATCTTCTCTCCCTCTAATTAGAATAATCTGAACAGTTGACTTCATGCTCTCATTGGAAGTGTTCCATCTCCTGAGGACCTGTTGCTGTTCCAGTCTCTGTTCTCCTTCCATGTTCTCAAGCTGTGGCTGGTTCTTTCAACTTCTTCATATTGCACGTGGGCTCTGCTTTTTTGAACAAATGAGAGTCCTGAGCCTTGTGCAGTCTCCTCCTAGGAGAATTAAAACATAAGAGTGCCTAAACAGGGACAGATTTGCTCCTGGATTCTTTACCAGCTCATTGGGTATAGTCTGTGGGCAGGACCCCCTCTATTCAGTGTTTCTGTGCCCAGTGGGACATCCTTGACGTCTGCAGTCCTGAGCTTGGCAGGCAGGGAGAGTTCAGGCATGGCCACATTCACACTCTCACTCCCTGACCTGACAAAGCCTCAGTGTCTCCAGTGCTGCACCACGATATTTGTTACTCCTCCAGGGATCCAGGGAAAGAATCAAGGCTCCATGTGTCCCTCTTGAGGGGTGCTTCCCAGGCACCTGTGCAGGGCAGCCTGTGATAGAGCCCTCACTGCCAACTCTGCCACCCCCTCGCTTCAGTTCTCCATTACTTTAGGATTCACAAAAAATTAACTCTGGATATGATCAGGATATGATTACAGAGATTTTTCAGGGTAAGATGAAAATGCAGAGCCATATAATATAATTTCTGCTGACTGAACATAACATTAGAAACAATAAAAAGTAAAACCACACTAAAGAAATCCGCAGCATAAAAATCAATAAAAGAATAGAAGAGATAGTAATATCTGAAAAGTGTAAAGCAATCACTAAGACAGGGAGAGAGAGAGAGGACCAGGTAAATTCAAAATTTTTAATGTTTTTCTATGCTCTTAAACTGGGGAGAAAAAAAGACAGGAAAGTGAAAAATATGTGGCTAAATATAACTGAGTTCTCCAATCCCTCTCCTCTCCCACTTACAAAGAGCAATCTAAAGGTTGAGTGTATAACTGAGCAAAGATTTGTGAAATTCCTTCTAAATTGAGGCCCTTTCCTACTACTTCAGCAATTCACACACACAGACACACACACACACACACACACACACTTCCTGATTAACTTCTCGAATTACATTATTTTGCAGATTACATTAAACTTCCCAATTTCTACCCAAATAGATACCTCTGCTGGCTGACATTTGCAAGAATTGTATCCTCTGATCCCTTTGCAAATGTCTCTGCTCTCTCTTACTACTAAAAGTAGAAAGAATGCAAGTTGAGTCGTTATTCAAAATAACAGAGAATATTCTCCTAATTATAAAGTTAAGTGACATGATCTAAGGAATAAATTTGTAAAATTAGCGACTCACTATTAAGAAAGAACTAATGTACCTTCAAACAGGAGATTTTTTCTTCATTTCCCTTGCAATTCTACACCCAGATTGGCAGGCTCTGCTGATTCCTAGTTTAGGACAATACAGAGAGGGAGGGATGTTTCAGAAGGTCCAGGGAGGCTCTACAGGATGGAGGCAAGGGACATATTCTCACCCTTTCCCCACATAGCTATTCTTTGCCCAAAAGACATGTCCTGCCTGAAGCTGGAAGTGTTTTCCCCTTCTACAATACAAAAGCCATGGAAACAGTCTTTTTCCAACAATAGAGTCAGTTCTTTCTGAGAAAGAGCCCCTTTTACCTCTGGAGAAAAATCACCTGCAAGGAGACAGCATACTGCTATAGAACAGAAAAGCTTGCTCTCCATAGACTTGGAGTATGTCTTTGTCATCTTGGCCAGTAGGTATCTCTCATCCTCTGTAAATATTTTAACAGCCTCCAGAGTAAAATGGATCTTGCATTCTTTGTCCTTTCTGCTACAGCAAAGGTTACATTGTAATGGGGGCATTCTCTTATTTCCAAAAAATATTCACCAGGAGAAGAAAAAGAAAGGCCTCTCGTATGGAAGTTTCTGCAAAACCAAAAACTTTCACTCAACATTTGCTTTCAGTTGAAAATGAACAGCCAGGAACCACACTGGAACAGGAAGCAGCTATACTGATGCAAATACAAGTATCAATAGCCAAATTCAAGAAGTGGAAGAAGTAGTATTAGAGCTTGAAGCCTGTCTTGCTGAAATAAGGCAGACAGATAAGATTAGGGAAAAAAGAATGAAAAGAAATGGACAAAATCTCTAAGAACAATGGGACTATGTAAAAAGTCCAAACCTACAACTGATTGGAGTACCTGAAAGAGATGAGGAGAATAAAACCAAGTTGGAAAACACACTTTAGGATATCATCCAGAAGAACTTCCCCAACCTAGCAAGACAGGCCAACATTCAAATTCAGGAAATCCAGAGAACCCCAATAAAATACTCCACAAGAAGAACAACTCCAAGAAACATAATTTTCAATTTATCAAGGTCAAAATGACAGAAAAAGTGTTAAGGGCAGACAGAGAAAAAGGCCAGGTCATCTACAAAGGGAAGCCCATCAGACTAACAGCAGACTTCTCAGTGGAAATCCTACAAGCCAGAAGAGATTAGGGGGCAATATTCCACATTCTTAAAGAAAACAATTTTCAACCCAGAATTTCAAATCAAGCAAAACAAGCTTTATAGGCAAAGGATAAATAAATTCCTTTTAGACATGCATATGCTGAGGAATTTCATCACCACCAGGCCTGACTTGCACTGACTTCCTGAAGGAAGCACTAAACATGGAAAGGAAAAACCAGCCACTACAAAAACACATTGAAGTACACAGACCAATGACACTATGAAGCAACTACATTAACAAGTCTGCAAAATTAACCAGCGAGCATTATGATGACAGGATCAAATTCAGATATAACAATATTAACCCTAAATGTAAATGGGATAATTACCCCAATTAAAAGACACAGAATGGCAAGCTGGATAAAAAGACAAGACCTATCAGTGTGCTGTATTCGAAAGACACATCTCACATGCAAAGACACGAATAGCTCAAAATAAAGGCATGGAGGAAAATTTACCAAGCAAATGGAAAGCAGAAAAAAGCAGGGGTTGCAATCCTAGTTTCTAACAAAATAGACCTTAAACCAACAAAGGTCAAAAAAGACAAAGAAGGGTATTATATAATTGTAAAAGGTACAATTCAACTTGAAGAGCTAACTATCCTAAAAATATATGCACCCAATACAGAAGCACCCAGATTCATAAAACAAGTTCTTAAAGACCTACAAAGAGACTTAGATTCCCATACAATGATAGTGGGAGACTTTAATACCTCACTGTCTGTATTAGACAGATCGTTGAGACAGAAAATGAACCAAGATATTCAAGGACTTGAACTTAGCTTTGGATCAAGTGGACCTGATAGTTATCTACAGAACTCTCCACCCAACAACAACAGAATATACGTTTTTATTGACACCACATTGTACTTACTCTAAATTTGATCACATAATTGGAAGTAAAACACTCCTCAGAAAATGCAAAAGAACGGAAATCATAACAGAGACTATCTCAGACCACAGCACAATCAAATTAGAACTCAAGATTGAGAAACCCACTCAAAACAACACAACTACATGGAAATTAAACAACCTGCTTCTGAATGACTTCTGGGTAAATAATGAAATCTAGGCAGAAATCAAGAAGTTCTTTGAAACCAATGAGAACAAAGAGAAAATGTACCAGAATATCTGGGACACAGCTAAAGCAGTGTTAAGAGAGAAATTTATAGCACTAAGTGCCTACATCAGAAAACTAGAAATATCTCAAATCAACAGCCTAATATCGCGATGAAAAGAACTAGAGATCCAAGAACAAACAAACCCCAGAGCTAGCAGGAGACAAGAAATAACCAAGCTCTGAGCAGAACTGAAGGGGCTAGAGACACGAAAAACCCTTCAAAAAAATCAATGAATCTAGGCACTGGATTTAAAAAAACAAAAAACAAAAAACAAAAATACAATAAAATTTACCACTACCTACACTAATAAAGAAGAAAAGAGAGAAGATTCAAATAAACACAATCAGAAATGATAAGGGGGATACCACCACTGACCCCACAAAAATATAAACAACCATCAGAGAATACTACATACACCTCTGTGCAAATAAACTTGAAAATCTATAAGAAATGGATAAATTCCTGGGCACATACACCCTCCTAAGACTGAACCAGGAAGAATTTGAATCCCTGAATAGACCAATAAAAAGTTCCAAAATTGAGGCAGTAATATATAGCCTACCAACCAAAAAAAACCCAGGTCCAGATGGATTTACAGGTCAATTCTACCAGAGGTACAAAGAGGAGCTGGTACCATTTCTTCTGAAACTCTTCCAAACAGTTGAAAAGGAGAGGCTCCTCCCTAACTCATTTTATGAGGCCAGCATCAACCTGATACAAAAACCTGGCAGAGATACAACAAAAAAGAAAACTTCAGGCCAATATCCCTGATGAACATCAATGCAAAAATACTGAGGAATAAAATACTGGCAAACTGAATCCAGAAGCACATCAAAAAGCTTATCCTCCACGATCAAGTCGGCTTCATCCCTGGGACGCAAGGCTGGTTCAACATACTCAAATCAATAAATGTAATTCATCACATAAACAGAACTAAAGACAAAAACCACATGATTTTCTCAATAGACGCAGAAAAGGACTTTGATAAAATTCAACATCACTTCATGTTAAAAACTCTCAATAAACTAGGAATTGAAGGAACATATCTCAAAATAATAAGAGCCAGATATGATAAACCCACAGCCACTATCATACTGAATTGGCAAAAGCTGATAGCATTCCCCTTGAAAACCAACACAAGACAAGGATGCCCTCTCTCACCGCTCTTATTCAACATAGTACTGGATGTTCTAGCCAGGGCAAGCAGGCAATAAAAAAAAAATGAAGTGTATTAAAATAGAAAGAGAGGAACTCAAATTGTCTTTGTTTGCAGACGACATGATCCTATATCTAGAAAACCACATCATCTCAGCCCAAAAGCTTCTTAAGCTGGTAAGCAACCTCAGCAAAGTCTCAGGATACAAAATCAATGTGCAGAAATCACAAGCATTTCTTTACACCAATAACAGACAAGAAGAGACTGCAATCATGAATGAACTGCCATTCACAATTGTTACAAAGAGAATAAAATACCTAGGAATACAGCTAACAAGGGAAGTGAAGGACCTCTTCAAGGAGAACTACAAACCACTGCTAAAGGATATCAGAGAGGACACAAGCAGATGGAAAAACATTCCATGCTCATGGATAGGAAGAATCAATATCATGAAAATGGCCATACTGCCCAAAGCAATTTATAGATTCAATGCTATTCCCATTAAACTACCATTGAGATTCTTCCAGAATTAGAAAAAACTATTTTAAAATTCATATGGAACCAAAAAAGAGCTCATACAGCCAGGTCAATCCTAAGCAAAAAGAGCAAAGCCAGAGGCATCACGCTACCTGACTTCTAACTATACTATAAGGCTATAGTAACCAAAAGAGCATAGTATTGATACACAAACAGGTACATAGACCAATGGAACAAAATAGAGAACTCAGAAATAAAACCACACATATAAAGCATCTGATCTTTGACAAACCTGACAAAAATAAGCCATGTGGAAAGGAATCCCTATTTAACAAATGGTGCAGGAAGAACTAGCTAGCCATATGCAGAAAATTGAAACTGAACCTCTTCCTTACACCTTATACAAAATTTAACTCAAGATGGATTAAAGACTTAAATGTAAAACCCAAAACTATAAAAACCCTAGAAGAAAATCAGGACACAGGCATGGCCAAAGGTTTTATGATGAAATTGGCCAAAAGCAATTGCAAGGAAAGCAAAAATTGACAGATGGGATCTAATTAAATTAAAGAGCTTCTGCACAAAAGAAACTATCATCAGAGCGAACAGACAACCTACAGAATGGGAGAAAATTTTTGCAATCAATCCATCTGACAAAGGTCTAATATCTAGAATCTTCAAGGAACTTAAGCAAATTTACAAGAAAAATAAAAAAAGAAACACATCGAAAGGTGGGCAAAAGACATGAACAGACATTTCTCAAAATAAGACGTACATATAGCCAACAAACATGAAAAAATCTCAGCATCACTGATCTTTAGAGAAATGCAAATCAAAACCAAAATGAGATACCATACCACGCCAGTCAGAATGACAATTATTAAAAAGTCAAGAAACAAGAGATGCTGGTGAGGTTGCAGAGGAATAGGAACACTTTTACACTGTTGGTGGGAATGTAAATTCGTTCAACCATTGTGGAAGATGGTGTGGCAATTCCTCAAAGATTTAGAACCAGAAAGATCATTTGACCCAGCAATCCCATTACTAGATATACACCCCCAAAATATAAATCACTCTATTATAAAGCTACATGTGGCTGGGCATCATGGCTCACACCTGTAATCCCAGCACTTTGGGAGGCAAAGGCGGGTGGATCTCCTGAAGTCAGGAGTTTGAGACCAGCCTGGCCAACATAGTAAAACCCTATCTCTACTAAAAATACAAAAATTAGCTGGGCATGGTGGTGCATGCCTGTAATACCAGCTACTCAGGAGGCTGAGGCAGGAGAATCACTTGACCTGGGAGGTGCAGGTTACAGTAAGCCAAGAGTGTGCCACTGCATTCCAGCCTGGGCAACAGAAAAAAAAAAAAAAAAAAAAAAAAAAGAACTTACCAACCACAAAAAGCCCCAGACCAGATGGCTTCACAGCCAAATTCAAAGAAGAGATGGTAACAATTCTAGTGAAACTATTTCCCAAAAATAAATAAATAAATAAATAAGAGGAGGGACTCCTCCCTAATTCATTCTGTGAAGCCAACATCACCCTAATACCAAAACCTGGCAAAGACAATGAAAAACACAAACAACAGGCCAATATCCCTGAACAACATAGGTGCAAAAATCCTCTAGAAAATACTAGCAAACCGAATTCAACAGTACATCAACAAGTTAATTCAGCATGATCAAGTAGGCTTTGCTCCTGGGATGTAAATTTGGTTCAACATACAGAAATTAATAAATGTTATTCATCACATAAATAGAATTAAAAGCAAAACCACATAATAGCCTCAATAGACATGGAAAAAATTTTCAATTAAATCCACCATCCCTTCATGCTAAAAACTCTCAAGAAACTAGGCATCGAAGGAACATTCCTCAAAACAATAAGAGCCGTCTATGACAAACCCACAGCTAACATCAAACTGAATGGGCAAAAACTGGAAGCATTCCCCTTGAGAACTAGAGCAAGACAAGGATGTCCACTCTCACCACTCCTATTCAAAATAGTGCTAGAACTTATAGCTAGAGCAATCAGGTAAGAGAAAGAAAGAAATGGCATAGGAAAGGAAGAAGTCAAACTACCTCTCTGAGTGGAAGTTATAATCCTATACCTAGAAAACCCTAAAGACTCTGCGAAAAGGCTCCTCAAGCTGATAAACGACTTCACTAATGTTTCAGGATACAAATCAATGTACAAAAATCAGTAGAATTTCTAGACATCAATAATGTTCAAGCTGAGAGTCAAATCAAGAATGTAATCCATGTAGCCACACAAAAATAAAACACCTAGGAATATATTTAATAAATGAGGTGAAATATATTTGCAAGGAGAACTACAAAACACTGCTGAAAGAAATCATAGATGAGACAAACAAATGGAAAAACATTCCATGTTCATGGATTAGAAGAATCAATATTGTTAAAATGGCCATACTGCCCAAGGCAATCTACAGATTTGATGCTATTCCTATCAAACAACCAATGTCATTTTCACAAAACTAGAAATATACTATTCTAAAATTCATATGTAACCAAAAAAGAGTCCAAATAACTAAAGCAATTCTAAACAAAAAGAACAAAGCCAGAGGCATCACATTACTGGACTTCAAACTATACTATAAGATGACAGCAACCAAAAACAGACACATAGACCAATGAAACAAAATAGATAACTCATAAATAGAGCCACACACCTACAGCCATTTGATCTTCTACAAAGTCGACAAAAATAAGCAATGGGGAAAAGACTCCCTATTCAATAAATGGTTCTGGGATAGCTGAGTAGCCATATGCAGAAGAATAAAACTGGACCCCTACCTTTCACCACATACAAAAATTAAATCAAGATGGATTAAAGATTTAAACGCAAGTAAATCTTTAGTGTTCTCAGCGTGCATACAAAAACAAAACAACTATGTCAGGTGATGAATGTGTTAATTAGCTGTGGATTATGTAATGTGTAGAAATCATTACACAAGGTATATTTATACCTAATCCCTATGTTTTACACTTTAAATAATATATTTTTAATCATATCTCAATAAAGAAATATTTAAAGGTTTTACTCAAATTCAGCTATTCTTTGAAAATGATGCTCAGAAAACATTTGAAAAATATGCGTGGCAATGTTAACCCACACCCTCCTCCAGGTATCACCCTATTTCCTAACACCGCAAACAAGCTTCCCAAGATGATCTTCTATACATAGTGCACCTAATACCACTTCTTGTGTTTCTTCTTCAAACTACTCCCATCTGGTCTCTGTCCCATTCATTCTGCAAAACCAGATCATCCTAAAATCAATGGTGGAGTGTGTTTCAGGTCCACTAGGACAGGTCAGTCCCCATCTTCCCTGAACGCATTACTGTTCCCTTCATTAGTCTCTCCCTCATTCTTCCTTATTTCTTCATCTAAGTGCACTGGCCACTCTATCCCGGTGTCTTTTGCAGACTCTCCTTCTCTGCTGTACCTTTAAATATTGACAGTCTGTAGAACATAGATTAGTGCTCATCTAATTTTCTCCCCTTATTTATATGTGATCACATCCATTCCCATGCCCTGATTACCAGAAATGCAATAAAGAATCTTAAATTAATACCTATGCCCATGGTATTTGTTCATTCTAGGCCAGCATTCCCAGCTGCCAATAAGACCTCTGCACTTTCATGTCTCCTGGGCGCTTTGGGAAGACATCCATTTTTTTTTCCCTTCCCAGCATCATTTACACCTAAAGATTCTGGTGTGAGAACATAATTTTCCTTTACTTCTCTCTGAAGCACTTAATATAATTGAAATAATATAAACATTAGTATGGTTTTTATGTCTCCTTCCCTCTTAGACTGAGAATTCCAACACAGCAGAAACTGTGTTTGCTCTAGTCACCTGTATTACTTGAAGGAATTTCTACAGTCTGCCACTTACTTAGTTCATAAATATAATGTGAATGGAATGTATGAATAATTAAATTTTGCAATCCTTTCTTCAATTTGGCTTAGGTTTTAGAATAAACAAAATGAAAATTTTCTTTGATAAATATTTAACAAATCAAAACTGCTAATTTAATAACATTCAATGGTGAATATATTTTGTAAATGTTAATACAATGTGAAGATTAACATGTTATATGTAAAATATCTAAATATTATAAATACAATAGATGCAAAATAGTGGAAATAAATAAATAACATCAGGGGAGTCATCTCTTAGAGTCCCATGCCGCTGGAGCTAAATGTTTTGAACACATACTTGCTTAATATACTGATGAAGTATTTGCTGAATTTAACTCAACCAATTCAGTAACTAAAGCAAAACATCCAAGATCATATGTGAAAGTGTGACATGGCAGATTAGTCAATGAGAATTATTTTAAGATGACTCCATGTCTCCATTCTTACTTCTCAATCTTTCCTGTGAGTTTGTTGATATAGAGAAGGATCTCATGATTTCCACTCTGACAACTTCCCAGGCACAGTCACTGTTTCTTCTCTTTCAGGTAGAGACAGATTCTCTGGAAGTACCTTCTCAAGGCCAGTGTAGAGCTCCCAATCACCCAGCAGATTCTCCCTCTCCCACTGCCCGCACCAAGCAGGTCTCCAGGTGTTCCAGCTGCTGATGAAGTCCAGTGTGGAGTTGGTCCAGGAGGGTCGTGTTCCAGGCAGCAGAGGAGCGCTCTGTGTGGAAGAGGCTGAAGATCTGCTGCAGCATCTCATGGAGGACAGACAGGGCCTGGGCCTGCTGCAACTGGCTGTCATACACATCTCCAGGGGAAACCTGAAGTCTCTTCTGTCCTTGAGACACAAGAAAGGGGAGATCCATTTCATTTGGCCCAGAAGCACCAACGTCTTCCTTCCTGTCAGACCATGGTTCTGAGTCAGGTCACATCCCAGAGATCAAAAAGAGCCACAGCTGCACACAACTAGGACCACCACTAGAGAGTGAAGGCAGGCCACTGGGAAATGAGGGAGCTGCTGGCCTGGTGGAGCTGGGGTCTGAGTGTAATTTGGAACCTAGGTTCTCTCAAGACATTCACTATGCATGGCTTTTAACAGGAAACAAATAGTTTTCATTTTCTGCATTCCTCTACACTTATTTCCCTTTTTATTATTTTTTTATTCTTCATATGACCTAAGAAGAAACATCACTCCATACTATTAATTTTGCAATAGAAGTCTAATTTTCCTAGTAAACTTTAGAGGTGTCAATCAAAATGGATATTTATCAATTGCATGAGAAACATCTTTGTCCTAAAGGCCTAAGCGTATATATGTATGTAAATCACACACACACATGCACGCATGCACACACTATTTTTTAATATATAAACATTGCTTTTTCTGTTCTTGGAAAAGATTTTGAGCCCTGATCCTAGGCTCTATTTTTACCCTCCATACTTTACATAGGAAATCAGACTCCCTCACCTCTATGGGTGTATGAAGTTAGGGATATACCAGACCATCTATGGCATTCAAACTCTTTAGGACTGGGTTTGTTTGCTGTTTTATTCACAGCAGAGATTGATGGGTATTGGTGAATGAACTTCTGTGAAATTTCTCTTCCTTCTAAAATGCATTTATTGAGGTCCATGAGGCCGTGGTTCATGGGGGTCACAAAGTCAGGATTAATGCAGACCATTGCTGTTTTTTTCACCATTTCTTACTGGTGGACTAAGTGCTCCTCAGGCTGTGTCAATTCCCTCAGGAAGAATCCTGGCTGTTTTTCAGGTGCATATAGGTGTAGAGATTCTAATTCCAAGATAATGTTTTCCAACATCACCTCACTCACAAGGTAGTTATCACATCCACTAACACTCTCTCCTATAGAGTCACAAAGTAGCCTGAATCCAAAATCTTCCAGACAGATTTATTCCCTGAAAACAGGCTCACCACATCCTGATGACTTCAGAATTCAACCCCTGAGGAATGTCTTGTTTCTTTGCTGCCAAAATAATCTATCTTCTAAGGCCCTTGCCTTTGTCCCTAGAGTGTTTGTGTGAGGGACCCTAGCCCTCAGTGATGGCCTCTTCCTCTCCTGAGCCATGTTCCTAGGTATCAAAAGTCTCAACAGTCCTCCAATGCTGATAGCAAAGGCTTGTTTTGTCTAAGGAGGTAGAGGACTTATGCAACTGCAATCATTTTACCTTCCTTAGTCAAGTAATTCTTATTTTGCGAAGTACAGTTTTTATTGATGAAGACCTTTACTTAAACCACTGAAAACTTGTTATGCTTGAAGTTTCTGAGGTGGACACAGGGGATTCAGTAACAATATTTTCTTTTATTACAACCTAATTTACAGAAACTAGTGACCTAAAGTTATTTTATACAGTCAGCATGATTCTAATGGAGTCTTTTTCTGTGTCTGTCTCACTCTGACAATGCAGGGCAGTGAGGCTCAGGTTATTCAGTAAGAAAGAAATAGCCTTATTTCCTTACTTGTTTGTGATTTTTCATGTTGAATTTTTGTAACTTCTTCTTCTTCTTCTTTTTTTTTTTTTTTTAGATGGAGTCTCAGTCACCAGGCTGGAGTGCAGTGGCACAATCTCAGCTCACTGCAACCTTCACCTCCTGGGTTCAAGCAATTCCCCTGCCTCAGCCTCTCGAGTAGCTGGGACTACAGGTGCTCACCACCATGCCTGGCTAATTTTTTTTATTTTAGTAGAGTCGGGGTTTCACCATGTTGGCCAGGCTGGTCTCGATCTCCTGATCTCATGATCCACCTGCCTCGGCCTCCCAAAGTGCTGAGATTATAGGTTTGAGCCACCATGACTGGCCGAATTTTTGTAACTTCTTTTCACATAGTGGTTTACTGGGTAAGGTGTATCTTGCTTCTCCTACATGATATTCTTATTTATGATGAATTAAAACAAATAAAGAAAAGTAAAAGAAAGGCAAAGGAACCATATTGTTCTTCTCCATAATTTTCAAGATTTCAGATTTTTTGTCTCTCATTTCAACTTTCCTAGAAAGCAAACCTCAACAATTGCTTATATATTAAAAACAAAACAAATATAAGCCTGAATATCAGGAAGTAAGAGAAGTGACTTTCTGCTGACAAAATAGCAAAACATATGTTAGCAAAATTCAGTGCAGCAAAATTAGAGACTAGGGACTCTGTCCCAGGGGAAGGATGAATGTCATTGTTGAGGTACACAAAAGCAAGGGAAACGGCTGCTTCTGCCAGAGCCTCACAGAAGAGCAACTCCTGGGTCAATGGATTGTCCTCAGCTTTGCAAGACCAGCCACCTGCTCTTCTTTCATTGAATGCAGATGTTATCACCTCTGAGGTAAGAAAGGAGGAGTCACACCAACCAACTCACAGTAGACTGGCAACAAGACCCCAGTTGCTAGAACACTAGTCCTCTCTGGCATGATAATGAATATTAGCCTTGCCTTAGCACCGTACCTAGTTAAAAAATCCACCCAGGAAATGAAAAGATGGCATTTAGAAACCTGCAAAGAAACAGAATTTGATTTCCCAAAAGATTCTGCTCCTAGTTGTGTTATAACAATGGTGATTTTTTTAAAAGATAACACCAAAATTATTGCATTATAACTATAGGCCTGTGACTGTTTTAAGATCATTAAAACTGTTGACCCAATAACCATGTTTGGATTACACTCATTTTTATAACTGTCTGGAGAGAAATATAAATCTGAAGGAATAGAACAAAGACCTAAGGTCAAAACCACAGGGCAAACTGAGATAATAGTGAGTCTGGAGGAGTCCATTAAAAAAACAGAACTGGACATGAGATTCATGAACCAAGGAGAGGCCATAGCATGAAATAAGAAGAGCAGGGAGGGTAAGTTGTCAAGGGATTCTGGGTTCCACTTCAAATGCCCATGTGTTGCTGTCTATTGTTTTATAGGGCAAGAGTAGGTGTGCTATGAGTGAATTGAACTGACTGACTTTTAAGTTTTTCGTAAAAGTAAACAAAAGACCATCTAAATGGATATAAGGCAGCAGATTTTTCTGCCAATAAAAAAGTCTAAAAATTAATGAGCGATTTCTTAAATGAAATATATTTAGACCACTTTAAGAACCCATTAAATGCGTACTCCTAGAGGCCTATTTATTTTTGACTCTTGAGTTGTCTTGAATAAGCAAAAAGCACCTAATATTTTCCATTTTAATGCTGTTCTCATTCCCAAGGATGACAAATCAGTTTCTTCCCACCTGGTCAGACTGGACTTTGTGTTGTCTACTGATGAACCCACTGAAGATCCTTTTCTTCTCTTTATCTTTTTATCCAACAGTTGAGCTGTAAGTGCCAAAAAAAAATATTTTGTATGAGCAAGATGGAAAAACATTATGCACTTCCCACACCACAGCAGTGAATGCTTTCAAAAGGCTACTTACCAAAGTGAGTCTTCCTTTGACTCCAAAAGCAGCCACATTGCTTAGTAAGGCTGTCTTTGGCTATCTAGGATTGTCAATTGTTGGCATCAAAATGGATGATATTTTCAACCTCTTGCTTCTACAGTGTTTCTGTTTCTTAAGATTTAAAAGATGTAATTTTTAGTTTACAAACATTTACCAAAATCAGGAAATAAAATCCTGTCATTGCCAAGTTGTTGGCCTGCCTACCTGTGTGCACAAACATGTATGACCCACACAGAGTCACATGGAGCTTTTTCCACTGTCCCCAGACTGCACGTTCAGTCAACATGTGCAAAGACCCCATTCTGTGAAAAGGCTATATACGCAAAGCGGTCCCCAAATGCCAAAAGAGCCCAGAAACCAAAGAACAAGACAGATAAATTTAGTTTGTTGGTAAAGGGTGATTTTCTGGGGAGCTTACAGACAGAAACATGTCATTGTGTAGGAACAAAACAAGTAGGTCTCAGTGCTGCAGCCCCCTAGACCTAGGGGTTATATCTTGGGGGAAAAGTATATCTGCTCTGGAAGGAAGGTGTAGGTGGCTGAGAGAATGCTAAGAGTGTCACAGTCTGTGATTTCTGCAACGTCAAGGCTTATTATGGAGGAAAAGTAAGACTTACAGTAAATAGGTGTTTCTACGTAGAGTAATGCATTAACTAGATATCTTGGAGGCATTCCCAGACTTGGGGTTAATCAGGAGTGACATGGCAGATTAGCATCTAAAACAGTCACTTTTTTCCCTATAACCCAGATGCTCTGGCAATAATCCCTGTCAAGGTGTCTTGGCCATCTGGGGAGTTGGGATGGTGCCCTAGTGCCATCAGTACAGGATGTAGCTTGCTTCACATGAAATCACCGCAAGCGGAGCTCATTATAACTCCTTTAACAGGCACAATTGGAGTTTCCTTTTATACAACAAGAGATGAATTGTTTGTAGTTGTCTGATTCTCTAAAGATTTCATCATCACTAGCTTCATAATTGGCTGTCACAGGGTGCTATATAATACATTAATGGCTGATAGTTCTAATTTGTTACTTATTTAAATTTGATTTTTTGTTGTTGTTGTTTTATGGACTCTAATCTTCAGGAAGAGTTCCAAATTCTAAATATGCTGACTCACCGCAGAATGTACTAACTGGAAAGAAAACAAAGGGAATCAAACTGCCAATGTTTTATTTTTCAACTATTTTCATTCAATGAATATTGACAAAGGTCTTTGCTATCATTAGTTATTATGATCTTCAAATATGCACATTACTAATATCTGTCCTGCTTGGAAGGCTCTGCCCTACTTGCCTCTAATTATACTCAAATACCTGATATGTCCCTTCTGTTCAGGTATTGCTTCATTTTGTTTTAGTTTTAAAGGAGGCTGCATTATAACCAAAATTTAAGAGATGTCTTAGATTGCACTGGCCTCATGGAATAATTTTCCCTGTGGAGTGATGACTTGCTAGGTCCTTAAGAGGAAACAGCAGTTGGCAGCTGGCACTAGAATAAGGCTTGTCCCTTCCAAAACTCTGCAGGCTACTGTGGTCTATCAGTGTCTCCCATGCTGGAGTCACTGAGGTTGGCCATGTCTCTGTGAGACGACTCTGTGCTTCAGTCTTCATCCACTTTCAATCTTCTCTCCCTCTCTATGATCAGAGGATCTGAACAGTTAACTCCATCTGCTCATTCACGTAGTTCCATCTCTTGAGGACCTGCCACTGTTGCAGTCAATGTTTTAAACATCTCTATTCTCCTTCCAAGATATCAGACTGCTCCTCTTTTTTTCAACTTCTTTGTGTTGTGATGTATTCTGTTTTTTTTTGTTTTGTTTTGTTTGTTTGTTTTTAAACAAATGAGAGTCCTATGTCTGGTGCAGTCTCCTCTTAGGGGAATCAGAACATGGAAACTTCTAAACATAAGAACAGATGAGCTCCTGCATTCTTTACCAGTTCTTTGGGTCATAAGTATGGGGGAAGGCCTCCTTCCATTTACTGCATTTTGTGGCCTGACTGGACATCAGTGGGTCTGGACCCCCCACAGCTCATGAATCACCTGGCAGGAGGGGTCAAAACAAGGTCATATTCACACTCTTGCTTCCAAGGCTCTAAAAACTTAGCTGTCTCCAGCTAGTGCTGCATGGTTAGCCCTTGCCAAGTCTCCATGGGAACTGGAGTGCTTCTCCATGCTCCCTGTGGCCCTTCTCAGGTAAACTAGATGCACCTCAGCTGGGTTGGGAGTGTAGGGGGAAGTAATGTTTGGCACTACAGAGGGACCTGAATGGGTGGGGCATCTCAGCACTCACTGCCCTCCAACTTCACTCTCTGTCCTGGTCCTCCAGACCCACTGCTTGATTCCTGACTACTGTAGAACACATAACTGGTTAATAACTCCAGGATATGATGCAAGATATGGCTATAGAGATTTCCAGGGCAAGGTGACAGTTTGGAGCCAAGTCATAAAACTTTTACAACAACCTGAATATAATTTTTTTAAAGCATTGAAAAAAATGAAAGAGGTTATAACATTTGAAAGACATTATGGAGGGTAGAGCAAGGTGGCTGAATGGAGGGCACCATCGATGGTCCCACCCTCTCGGTAGGAACATCAAGTTTGACAACTGTCTATGCAAAGGGAGCATCTTCATAGGAACCAAAAATCTTGTGAACACTCACAGTGTCTGATTTTAACTCTATATCACTAAAAGAGGCACTGGAGAGGGTAGGAAAGACAGTCTTGAATTGCCATCCCCACCCTGCCTCCATCCCTAGCAGCAGCCACATGGCATGGAGAATCTGTGCACTTGGGAGAGGGAGAGTACAGTACGTGTGAGACTTTGCCTTAAATTCATGGCTGCCCTCTGACAGCAGAAAGCAGCACAGGGCTGTACTCAGCTGTGCCTGCCCATAGAGGGAGCATTTGAACCAGCCCTAGCCAGAGGGAAATGTCCTATCCCAGTGATGGGAGATTGAGTTCCAGCAAACCTCCCCACCATGGACTAAAGGGCTCTGGGACGCTAAATAAACTTGAAAGGCAGCCTAGGCCACAAGGACTGTAATTTCTAAGCAACTCCTAGTGCTGAGCTGGGTTCAGAGGCAGCGAACAGGAAGGGGGCGTGTGACCTACTGAGACACCAGCAACAAAGGTTAAAGGAGTACTTGCAACACTTCTCCCGTAACCCCAGGAAGCACAGTTCAGAACTCCAAATGAGACCCTTCCTTCTGCTTAAAGAAAGGAGAGGGAAGATGTATTACTTTGTTTTCATGCTGCTAATAAAGACATACCTGAAACTAGGAACAAAAGGTTTAATTGGACTTACAGTTAGTTCCACATGGCTGGGGAGGCCTCAGAATCACGGCAGGAGGTGAAAGGCACTTCTTGCATGGTGCTGGCAAGAGAAAAATGAGGAATTAGCAAAAGGAGAAACCCTTGATAAACCCATCAGATCTCATGAGACTTATTCACTATCACGAGAACACCATGGGAAAGACCGACCCCCATGATTCAATTACCTCCCCGTTGGTCACTCCTAAATTTCTCCATCCTCCCCTCTAGAGGACAGAAGAAGACTGCAAACAATACAATTTTTTGTAATTTGTCTAAGGCCCTGGTCAACTCCCAGTCTGAAAGCAGCAAATCCAGATGTTGAGTGTGTAGCTGGAGGAAAAGACTCAAGAGGCCCCTGTGCAGTTGTAGGCTCTCCCTCCCTGCTACCTCAGCAATTCACACACACTTCCTAGTGAAATAACTCCAGAATATATGGTGTCAATTATAGGAATGCCTCTCAATCTCTACCAAAATTGATACATTTGAATAAATAGACCTCGCCAGCTCTCAGGGAACAGTAATGCTATTCTTTCACATTCCTTAGCTTCTATGGGAATTCTTCCTTTTTCTAACTGGGCAGGGGTTTTACTGTTGAGTGGAAGAACTGGAAAGATCATTATTCAAAATGACAGTGAGAAAATGTTTTAATTTGTTAATGTTTGAACTCTGATATTAGGATTAAATCTGTGAAATTAAGATTGTACTGCTGGTTTAATGCACCATTAAACATGAGGTTTCTGTGAATAGTATTAAGTTCCAATACAAAACGGCAGCCCTACCTGTGCCCTGGAGTCCCAATGTATGAGGATGGGGTGATCCTGGGGAGTAGACTGTTCTGCACAGTAGGGTGGGCAGATATTACATCTCTGTGTCCCTATCACTGCGAATCCCAAGGAGTCCATGCCTTGACTGTACCTGGAAACTCATTCTCTTTGTAATAGACCAGGGATAAGGAACAAACTTGGACAACATTAGCGTCTCTTCTCGCCAATAAGTAGCTTTTTTGCAGCACAAAGAGAAATCTCCAGAACTGGTAGGATTTCTCCATAGATCAGAAACCTGCCCTCCAGTCTTGGTTGCTGCTCTTGTTACACTTGGTCCCAGGGGACTGTCTTTTTTATTTAACTTCTGCTTTCTACTTTTACTTTTCTGCTATTTAGGGAAACCATGAAGCCAGAACCACAACAGAACAGAAAGCAGCTCTGTGTGAATGGGCAGAAGGATAAAGGGAGTGAATGATCAAGGAAACCCTGGTGATATGAGACTGCATCCTGGAATGCTGAGAGCCAGGGAAGGAATGTACCAGGTGCCAGAATCAGTCAATAAACATCATGTGTCTTCTGCAGTTCAAACTAGATGCTTCTTCTCCTATCTCAGGAAAAGGAGCAGCCACCATTCCCTGACTGCATATAAATAGGACACATCTTTGAAATGAGGATTGACAATTTTTCAGCCTCTCTAGAATTCTCATTTTCTTAATCTCCTTCCATTGGAGGTCCGTTACTAAAATATAGGACATAGTTCCTAAGAATTTTATAAAAAGACAAATAATATTACCATCTACAGCTGTATGAAGAAAAATAGGAAAATACCTACCATAGTTTAACTCCTTATTCGATAAAAGATATTATCGTAGGTGCTTTAAAATGCATGTGTTCCTTTAATACTCACAACTATATAAATATTTTGAAACCATTTTATTTATGAGAAAACTAAGGCTCTATGAGAAAACTAAGGCTCAAAGAGATTAAGCAGAATGATCAACAATACACCTACCTCCCAGCAGAATGAAATTTCAGTATCAAATTCTTTAATGTAATTGATGGGTGATTTTGTCAGTTTTGTATTCCAGATTTCTGTCATAATTGCTAAATCTCCTTTTATTCATGAATTATACATAACTCTTCCTTGCTCTCTGAATATGCGTGGTTCATGTATTTTCACTTGATGTTGACCAGTTTTTTTCTTTACCTTACGTATTGAGAAAGAAAGTCTCTGATTGTTTCCCACTTTTATTTTGTGAAGGATGTTTGTCAGTCTTTATGTCCATAGTAATTCGGTTCTTTCTGGATTGATCTAAGACTACAATATTCATGAAATCAGGAAGAATTACCAAAGTGTAACATAAAAGAATTCTTATATCTAGCACTACAAGAAATTAAGATGGATTGTAAAGGTGCAGAAGAACTGTAGTAAACCAGTGTGACAATGATGCAAGTTAACAACAAATAAGGCCAATACTTCCAGGTGTCATTATATTATCATCATTAATTATTTCGGTGAAGGATCGAATTAGTTATCTCTTACTCCCTAACAGATGAACAGAAACTAGGTAGCTTACTGATAGCCAAAGTAGTATTAATTAAAACAATAATAAATTATAATTGTAAATAATATATCATGATTTAAAATAATATATTAAGTATATTAATATGATTTGCTAGTACATCAGTTACATGAAATCTATCCAGAAAAATATTAATAAAGGAAATACTATGCACAGAAAAAGTAACTCACATTCTTTCCCCCATCACATCCTATTTTTTTGCCCTCTTCAGAGTCACTAACTTCTCTTATTTATACTTCCAGCCACTACAGTATGGTTTGTTCTGATTTATTTTACCATAATAACTCTCATAAGGTTGCCAGTGCCATCTATTTTCCCGAGGTAGTGGACAGTTTCAATGTATATCTTCTGTAAATCTACTGATAACTCTTTTAAGAATATTAATTTTCTTAAACTTTTTTTCCTAGTATTTTCTCCTGTTGTCCTTCTAATGTGTGGCCTTTCCATCTGTTTCTTTGTGGCTCTTCTCTTTCCTTTCTTAAGTGTGGAAGGTCCTCAGAATCACGTTTAAGCCATTTTCTCCCTCGACACTCTCTCCCCACATGAGATCCTCCATTTCTGGGCTTTCAGTTACTGCATATGAACCTCTAGCAATTGCATTCCTTATTAATTGCAAACTCATATATCCAACTGGTAGTGCACATTTTCACTTAGATGTCTACCAGTTAGCATATAGAGGATATCTCTGCGTTTATTTTTATTTCCTCACATGCCTTGGTCTACCTTCTGGTGAGATAAATTCATTGGTTCTTTCTTCTCATGATAGCATTAGACATAACTGATATTAAGTATGATTACTGTTTTTAGTTTTCTTTCCCAACAAAAAACAAAGATATGAGAGAGCGGGAATTGTATTTGTTATGTTCACCTGGATATCTTGAGGGCAACATACAACCTAATTTAGACAAAGTTCATTTTTACTTATAATTTGAATGTAATAAGCATGGATAAAGGAATTGTACCATCCATTCTTTAATCAGTTTGCACAATCAGGGTTGGAGTTCAATTTTAAAGAATAAATAAAGAATTTTTCTATAGTAAAAATTTAATAAACAAGGCAAAATAATAAATATAAAGAACATGTTTTTGTTACACAATTCACAATGTAAAAGTTCACATAATATAATATGAACAAAACTAATTTAAGCCCTATAGATAGTTAACTAAATAAAGATTTAAATAAATAGATGAATAGATCCATCAGCATGGTCATCTGTAAGGGACTAGTGCCCATACAGCTGAACAGGATGTTGCTTAACACTCCTGAAAACACTTGACACATTTGATTCAATTCATAGCATGGTTTTGGCAGAAACAAGGGTCTTTGAAAGAGCACAACTTGTCGAAGTGTGAGCTGCTGTATTAGTCTATAAGAATCATTTCCGTGTTGTACCAGGTCTCATTCCTTACTCTTCAATCTTTTTTGCAAGTTGATTGATAAAGAGAAGGATCTCATGATTTCTGCTCTGACAACCTCCCAGGCACAAGAGCTGTATTTCTTCTCTGTCAGATATAGAGTGATTCTTTGGAAGTATTTCCTCACAGCCAGGATGGAGTCCTCGTACATCAGGGGAGACTCTATCACCCCCACTTCCTGCATCACACAGGACTCCAGGTCATTCAGCTGCTGGTCAAGTTCGATGTAGAATTCATCTAGAAGGGTCTCATCCAAAGCAGCAGATGAGTCCTTTGTGCTGAAGAGGTTGAAGGTCTGCTGGATCATCTCATGGAGGACAGAGATGGCTTGAGCCTTCTGGAACTGTTTATCATCAAACTCCTCCTGGGGGAATTCAAAGTCATGTCTGTCCTTCAGGCAGGAGAAAGGAGAGATTCTTCGCATTTGTGCCAGGAGTATCAAGGCCCTCCTGTTACCCAGGCTGTGAGTCTGAGGCAGATCACAGCCCAGAGAGCTGAATGACTTGTAGCTGAGCACCACTAGGGCCACCAGTAAATAAAAAGTCAAGGCCATTGTAGATGTTGTGGATGCTGCTGAGCTGGTTCAGATGGATGACCCTTAACCTGGGTCTCTGAAGACTTTGGTTTGTACACCGCCTTATATAGGGAACATATTTGTTTCCATTTTCTGAATGCTACTGCATTTTTTTTTTCTACTTCTGTTTTTGCTTTCCTTTATGTACTCTCTACATGGGCTTAGGAAAGTGTTTCTCAACCAGTTTTCTTTTCATTACTGCATTCCCTTTCTCAACCTCCAGAGTCCTGTTTGATAATTTTTTTCTAAGTAAACCCCTCCTGATAATTTAATAACACAGATATATTATGCACATATTTGAATGTACTACATTCCTATCCATGCTTTAGAAAACAAAGTGGACAGTTTACTTTTTTATGCAATGCAGCATTAAGAATAAGTAAAAATTTTATGTCAAAAGTTAAATTTAAAAGCTATTGGCATTTAACTTTATAAAAGTTATTTGCTGAGTGACTTCTAGTATATATACTTATATAAATATTAATGAATCAAGTGAAACATGCAAAGTTATAATATATGAAAATATATAATACCAATATAATAAAAATACTTATATAAAATATGTAATATCAAAAAAATAAAAATACTTAAAAATCTCCCAAAACTGCTAAGGGGCTATTTAAAATTAAATTATTCCTGTAACATTTAATTTATTATACTTAACTTTTAGCTTTGCTTCATATAGAAAATGATTTTTACCTTCACTAACTGCTAGATTTTCATCCAGATATAGTCAACATATTTTTCTTTTCAGCACTTCCTATAAGTAGTGATGTTTGAAAAAGTTTTATACAATTTAATCATAAAATAAAAACATTTGTATAAAAGAGTATAATACACTTGAAAGCACTGAGGATCAAACATAAGCTACATACCCAAGACAGCCAATGGCAGCCCATTCATATGCCGATGGAGACCACATCACATGGTATGACTCTGAGATTGAGCACATAGTGGAAAGTCCACCAGTGACAACCATCTATTTCACATTGGTTTGCAACACTAATCTCACATACATTTTGTGTATCTTCCATGAACTCAATATCAGTCTTTTCATGTAATACATAAGAAAACCAAGTGAAAGAAAATAAACACTACAGGATAGGGTTGTCTTAGAGTTCTGCATTGAGGGGCCATAAACGAATATAATATCTACAATTTGTTCACACCACAAGAACTAAGGTTTGTGCCCTTAGGAGCAATATCATCCCCAATGAGAATACACAATTGAGAAAACATCAATTATATTTTTCAAAACAATTTTTGCATTAATGTTTAGATTTCCCAAAGAACCTGGGGACATCCCAATTCTAGTTCATTCTTATAAAATAAAAAAAGCCATCTGTTTCCTAAGGTAAATAATAATATCTAAGTATGATAAAGTAAATGAGGTGTGCAATTGTTGTACATAGCATGCAGGATACCAGATATCTTTCTCATTTCCTTTTTCACAGAAAGCAAAAGTTGTTGCTTTTTGTATCCCAATAAATGAGAGCAAAAAGAAAACAAATGTATAACTAAATGTGATAAAAACATAAGAATGGAAGTAACATCCCAAAGGAGAAAAACAACTAACAAAATATAACTTGGATATTCAGCCCAGATTAGATGGACATTAAGGGGTGAGGAAGAGCAGAAGCAAAATGGTGCAAGAGATGTAGAACAAAGGTAGCAAATGGGCAGGAGCTCAAAGAAAAGTAATCATTACTGGTCCAAGGGGATGTTTTCAGCTTTAGTGAATTCAGCCTTACTAGACAGTTGAGGGTGATGAACCAAACATAAGACACTGTGCACCAGAAAGGCAAATTTGTAAGAGCACAATATTCTGTCTGTAGAATGGACAAGTATAATTATCTCAAGTTCTCCACTAGTAGACAGATAAACTCAGAAGATCAGTATATTGCATGTTATCTGTTGTGATGGTTAACATTGAGTGTTATCCTGATTGAATTGAAGGATGCAAAGTGTTGTTCCTAGGTGTGTCTGTGAGGGTATTGCCAAAGGAGATTAAAATTTGAGTCAGTGAACTGCGAGAGGCAGACCCACACTCAGTCACTGTGGGCACCATCTAATCAGCTGCCAGCATGGCTAGAATTAAGTAGGGAGGAGAAGATGGAAGAGGAGACTTGCTGAGTATTCTGGCCTTCATCTTTCTGATGGATGCTTCCTGCCTTTGAAATCAGACTCCAAGTTCTTCAGCTTTTGAACTCTTGGACTTACACCAGTGATTTGGAAGGGGGTCTCAGGCCTTTGGCCACAGACTAAAGGCTGCACTGTTGACTTCTCTACTTGGGAGGTTTTGGGACACGGACTGATCCACCACTGGCTTCCTTGCTCCTCAACCTGCAGACAGCCTATGGTGGGACTTTACCTTGTGACCGTGTGAGTCAATTCTCCTTAATAAACTCCCTCTTATATATAAACATATCTTCTTAGTTCTGTCCCTCTGGAGAACTCTGACTAATATATCTATCTAACAAGAAGCCAGGGAATAGATGATCTCAAAGGAAACTTATCTTGACTTAAAAGGACAATAATGATAACACTAATAAGAAGAATAAAAAGTTGCTAAATTTTATCATGTTTGCTATCAATCAGATATTGTTCTTAGCACTTACAAAAACTATTTTCACTTCATTCAATGAGAAATACCCTCATTTTCATTTTTATTGAACATCTACTATATGCCCATCCCTACTTAGTTGCTAGAGATATCAGTGACCAAAGCAGACACTGACAGGTTGTACTGTTGTCCTTTTTTACAAAAGGAAAACCCAGAAGCACAGGGAGCTATTGAGTTGTGGAGCTACAGTTGGAACCCAAAACATCTGACTCTAAATCCTCATTTCTTACATGTTCCCTGGGAATTATTTCTGGCCATAAGACCCAGAGCTGGTTTCTAGACCCCGGTCAATGTTTTCTTAGTACAGTTCTACATAAAGAAGGTCACGGCCTTTCTTTTCAGCTCCTTCACCCTCTCCCTCACTGAAAAGCCCTATTTGTTTATGCCTGATATGTTACATTATAATAAAGATGGGCCCCAATTTATTTACATGTTATATACTAGTTTTGTTTTTTTGAGAATGTATATTCATAAACTTGAATGTAGTTGCAAAACTCTTTGTTCACCCTAGTAATATATCCATAAACAACTCCGTAAAAACCTGCATATTTCTATCCTTTTATTCAAATATCCGTAAGGCCTTAGATTTCTATCTTAGCCCAAGTTTAAGACTAAGCAATGACAAGCTAGAGACATGAGCTAAATCAGAACTAAACCAATGAACTAAGGCTCAGAGCTCAGGGAGACCACATCTAGAAGGGCTCACTAAAAGGATTAAAAGTGGGAATGGAAGGTCTTCTGGAGAAATGAGGAGAGTCCAGTGTATTATAGGAGGAGGACTGTGATACCAAAGTCTCTGAGTCACCTGACTTGCCAGCTGGTTGATGCCTTTTATGTTGCAGGCCAGCAGAGTTTGCTGCTGAGTTAATTTTACCACTTGTTTTGAGAAACCGGGCAAACATGATGGGCAATATATGGAGAGAACTAAAGAAATGGGGTTGGAAAAAAATAACGTGTTTGCATAGGTGGAAAGATACTTGCTAAAAACAGGCCTAGAATTGGAGCAAACTATGCCTTTACTCCTTCCGTTTGGCCTTCCATTTTTTTAAGTGTGTCTTAAATAATGTGATAATTATGTCGCCTTATCCAGTGATTTTTTAAGATTCTCCTTGTACAAAAAATAGATGAATGACCATTTGCTTCTTGTTATCTCCATCCATTTTCCATGTGATAGTGAGGTCCATTTCTGTTTGATTTCCAAAATTTGGCATGTAATATTCAAAGTGCTACTTCAGGTGAAAAAACCGTGATTTTGGATTTTGAGTCCTTGGTCAGATGTTTTTGCCTGGTAGTGTTCTTATTCTCCCTTAGGCATGGTTATAATTTTCTCTTTTTTTGCTGTCTGAGATGTTGCCTTTAGTGATCTGACCTATTTTCTCTTTAGAATATTTTATCAGGACTCCATAAGATACTTATGGGCAGACACGTCATCTTATCTAGTCTTTTTCCCTGGCATCTTGGCCCAGTCCCTATCATTTCAGGAGCTCAGCCAATATTCATGAAAAAGAGTAATCACTATAAAACCAGTGGAAAGAATATTACCAATACATATTAGATACATAATTTGAAAGGAAAATACATCAAAAGATAATTTGTAAATTCTTCAAGGTTCTTCATTGGAAGTTATCATTGAAAATTATGTGGAATATTCAAAGAAAGAACAGCCACTTGCTTGTAGAATCATTTTCAAGTTTGTATTTTTAATAATTAGAATATCTGAATGAGAAAAAATGACTTGGACAAATGGAAAATTCCCTCTCCACTTTTCTTTCAGTGGTCTTCAAGTACCTGCAGAGATACCTGTCATAGTTTCCTTGTCTCCTCAGACAATAAGGAAACAATTTCAATTTTACAATGTGTTCCAAGGCCTTATCCCATACTCTTGGTCTTTTTTCAACTTTAGCCAATGGCTTTGGGAACCAGTTTAACCCTTTCTTTCAAAGAGTCAATGATGCCATAAACTCTAATAAATGACATCTGTGTCCACTTCCCTGCGTTTGAATTGTGAAATCAGATTTTGGAAGAGAGTTTTTAATAGAATATGTGAGCAAAAACATTGGTTGTTTTTCCTCCAAAAATAGCATTTGTACAAATATTATAAAAATGAAGATTAATCTTATTCAAAGAACTTGCCTTCTTTTCCTACTAGTCACCCAATTGGACTCCCTTTCACAACTTCTTTGCATCTTGGTATCCTGTGAGAATAAATCCAGGCCAAGTTAATTTGGTTGGAAGAGATTCTTGCCCTGTAACATCTTGGCAAGATGTGTATCTTGCCCTGTAACGTGTGAAAACAACTCCACGTGATGTACCACACAGTTTAACCTTTGCAATTGACTAAAATAGATTGAAGCACCACAGCCACATTTGGGGTTATATGTTGAAGATAGCAAAGCCACAAAATAAAAGGTACTCAGATCCCTGAATAGCCAACCCGAGTCATCTGAGCAGGAAGTCCTGCATTGAGCTTTTATAGGAAGGAAAGGTAAATTTGCATATTGATCTAATTACTAATTGTTTTCTATTTATCTGTTACAGCAGCTCTCATCAACTTAACTGACAAAGTCTTTTAAAATACTATCCTGAAGAAACTTTTCCATAAAAAATTAAATTTTCAACTTTGGAAACAGCAAATACCCCTCAAAGATTTAAGCAGATAAATAAAATAATAAATGATCATCTTAAGAAACTAATACGTGTTCTTTTCTGCAAATATTTTTTATAAATTTGTAATACACAATATAATTTTGATATAATCTACTGATTTTGGTTTCAGATTTTTCTAGCTGGTTAAAAAATCTGAGATGACATTGCTTTTTTGGCTCAGAAAACAATAATGTAATTGATTAGAGAGAGTCATGAATATATAATAACTTTCTTGTTTATTTGCTGTCTTTTCTTTGAGGATTGTTAACTAGGGAAAAGCACCCTTCAATTTCCCCTCTGACAACCTCCCAGGCACAGAGGCCTTATTCCCTTTACTTCACATAGGGAATGATTCTTTGGAAATATTTCCAGACAGCAATTCCTAAATAGAGACAAGATAGATTTTCTACTTTTGCAGAAATGTACTTTTGTCAGCTGCAGTCGTTCCAGACTGTGATCAAGTCTGGAGAGTCGTTTATTGAGGAGGATCTTATGCCAAACAGCCAGTGTGTCGTCCCTGGGGAAGAGGCTGAAGATCTGCTGGAGCAGCTGACGGTGGAAACGGATGTCTCCTGTCTTCTGGATTTGGGTGATAGTTCCTCGTTTCCTAGAAAACTTGAAGTGGGTTCTGTCATTAGGCATGATTGAGAGGGGATACTTTTCAGCTGTGTGAATAGCACTGAGGTTTCCTCCTGCCTTCCTTGTTTTCTAGCCATGGCTCCAAGACTTGTCCCTGCCAAGTGAGCAGGCAGCGCTGGAGATGAGCATGATGACTCCCGCCATTACCAGGGAGGTGTAGGCCACTGTGATTTCAGAGATTCACTAGCCGGCCTCGAAGGGGCGCGGGCCCGCTGCGCAAAGAGCGCAAAGCTCCCAGCGCTGCGCACCACGGCCGCAGCAAGGCGCCAGAATGGGTTTTCCTGATGCCCAGGATTTGGGAACCGCGGGTTTGAGTTTCGGGGCGTCCCGCAGCCCCAGGGAAACGTCGTCGCGGCTTATCGCGCCAACTTTGTGCAGCTTCGACCTGAGTAAAAAAATCTCTTTTGCTGCTCAGGAGGCAGCTCCGCCGTGGTCTCCCTTGAGACATCTTCCTCAGGTAGCCAGCAGGGCACCTTTTATTTTCGGGATTTTCCCCTGGGTTTGGGGCTTTTATTTCCCATAGAGACTTCAGCGAGACTTGTTTTTACAGAGGGACCCGTTGATTCCGGGACTTGAGGGCTCGAGATCGCACGGGTTTAATCTTGGGGATTCCGTTTGTGTGGGGGCGCAGGGCGGGGACGTCTTGGGGAAGGGGACACGCTGGACCCTGGGGCGAGCGGACGGGTCCTGGGAGCGCCCGGGGCTGGGGACGCCGCGCACCGGGCCAGGAGCAGAGAGGCGCCCGTGCCTGCCCCAGGGTGTGCCAGGAGCTAAGCTTTCAGCTTCAGACGCCAGTGTCGCTGAAACCATAATTCAGGTATGTTAAAACTCAACAGCATTATTTTAAATACTTTATACCAAAACAAGAATGTTGTGATCTTACTTCCCTAGCTTTAAAGGAAGCAAACTCAGCAATGCTTTCAAGATCCCTACTTTGTTTTATCTGGGAGAAGTGCCATGTCTGACATTTCCAGTGACTCAGTGACACTGAGATAATTTTATTTAACTTTGGTTTACTGAAAGCCCTTCCTCAAGACCCCACCTTGACTTGTGTTGCTGAAAAGAGAAATGAGCAGTGTTGCCTACAAAGAGTAGAGGAGCAGGTCAGAACTTTTTATTTTCTAGGGTAAGAATTTTATAGCCTGAGTGGAGTTTGCCATAATTTGTTACACTGGCCCCTCTCCTTTGTAAGACCCTCAGGGTCATCTTACATTTCCTGCCTTTACTTAATTAAAATTTTGATATTTGCCTCATCATGGATGTTTAGGCATTAATTTCCAATTTTAATATTGTATTAAAATAGTATTTGAGTTGATAATTTAAGTATATATTTTAAATATATAAAGGATATATATTTTTATATTGATCTATTTTATATGTGTGTTTCTGTACATTTAAATACTTACGTATACATATTTATATATTTCAGCATATACTTTATATAAAATTATAACATATGTATATATTTATATATTTAAATACCCATAATATATAAAATGTAAGTATATATTCTACATATACTTACATATATATATAGATATAGAGTTATAAACTAAAACTAAAAATAAAATACTAAGCCACCCATTGGCTGAACATGCCCCCTTTTGGCCAATGGAACCCCTAAAAACCTTAACTGAATTCTCAACCATGATGGGAAGCAGGATGGACACGCCTCATTATATCCCCCTCCGTTTTGGAGTATGGACACAAACTGGCCAGCATTGATGTTATAAGAGAGATAATAAGACAAAACAGACTTTGTGGCAATAAGATACCAAATTATAAGCAAGACCTAAGGCCATGCAAGGCGAGAGTTATGTACTGCAAACCATAAAATCTCCTTAAATGGATTTTTAAAAATTAACCCAGTAAAATGTGGCTCACTTTCTAACCTAACTCTCATATAATACCATATGGCAGATTGCAGACCCATTTATCTTAATTTAAGCATTCTTTTCTAATGACTTCAAGTCTTTAGACAAAGCTTAACTGTTTCAACCAATTGCCAGCTAAAGAATCCCTGAAACCCACCTGTGACTTTTAAATCCCCACTTTGAGATGTCTTGCCTTTTCTGGCCAAACCACTGTATACCTTCCATGTATTGATTTATGATTTTACCTGCAATTCGTATCTCCCTGAAATGTCTAAAACCAAATTATAACCCAACCACCTTGGGTGCACTTTTTCAGGACCTCTTAAAACTGTTTCTCCAGGATATGGTCACTCATATTGGCTCAGAATAAACTTCTTTAAAATATTTTCCAGTCTTACAGACAATTTCCTCTCCTAGAGTTTCCATTTAGGAGGCGCCAATGTGCAAGACCCTGAGAGTGTCAGGGGAGCTGCAATCAAAGCTTTTCTTGGATGGACTTGGTTGAATATGGACTATACAGATTATAAATACATGGTTGTATGTATATATATATTTTTTCTATATAGTTCACAAATGCAAACTATATAGATTATACTAAAGGTTACTATCTGTATTAGTCTGTTCTCATGCTGCTACTAAAGACATACCCAAGACTGAGTAATTTATAAAGGAAAGAGGTTTAATTGACTCACAGTTCCACATGGCTGGGGAGGCCTCACAATCATGGCGGAAGGTGAATGAGGAGCAAAGTCATGTCTTACATGGTGGCAGGCAAGAGAGAGCTTGTGCAGGGAGGAGAACCCCCATTTATAAAACCATTGGATCTTGTGAGACTTATTCGCTACCACGAGAACAATATGGGAGAAACTGCCCCCATGATTCAATTATCTCCACCTGGCCCCACTATTGACATGTGGGAATTATTACAATTCAAGGTGAGATTTGGGTGGAGACACAGCCAAACCACATCACTATAATTTATCATGTTCAGATTCTCAGCCAGTAATTTCCAAACTTTATTTCATTTAATCTTTACAGTTTCTAATATGACAACTACTAAAATATTCTGAATTTTTCAGAAGAGGAAATGAAAATCTGATGTTTAACTTGCTAAGAGTCACAGATTTTGTCAGAAAGTGGAGCTTTCTACTGCCTCCAACTCCCCTCTTGATTTGCTCTCAGTACTTCCTCTTGGCAGCACTGAGAATGCTAGTGCTTAATTAATCATAATCGTGTCTTTAATGTCTGGCTTTTGCTCCCTGGAGGGCAATCATCATCCTGTCTTATTATCCTTGAACCCACATTGCCAAGCACATTGTTTGTCCCGTATATGCAGTGAACACATTTTTAGTGACAGAATGAAGACAACTGGATGAGTTAACCGTTGGTATGCCAGTTTTATGCCCTGTGATCTGTAGATTGTGATCTGTGGCTCCTGTAAAGAAAGGTGGAAGAAATCAAATCTAGTGCATTAGCCCCTTAAAAGGGAAATGGAGAGAGGTGAGGAAATGTGTATTTCAGTGCAGTTTAATATGTAAAAATGGGCCAGGCACAGTGGCTCACGCCTGTAATCCTAGCACTTGGGAGGCCGAGGCAGGCAGATCACTTGAGGCGAGGAGTTCGAAACCAGCCTGGCCAACATGGTGAAAACCTGTCTCTACTAAAAATACAGAAAAATTAGCCAGGCATGGTGGCAGGTTCCTGTAATCCCAGCTACTTGGGAGGCTGAGGCAGGAGAATTGCTTGAACCCAGGAGGCAGAGGTTGCAGTGAGCAGAGATCGCACCATTGCACTCCAGCCTGGGTGACAGAGAGAGACTGTATCTCAAAAAAAAAAAAAAAAAAAAAGGAAAGAAAAAAAAGAAAAGAAAGTAAAAATGACATCTAAGATAAAACCTCTAAGCATCATTATTAGAATTTTAAGAGAAATAGATTGAGACTCAGACAGGTTTTTATTTAAACTAAACATTCTCATTCGGATGAATACATCCTGTTAGATCGCGATTTCTTTCATTTTCGGAGTGTTTAATTTCCATTATAATACAAAAGAAGTGCTGAGGTCATGACATTATCTGAGATCCATAAATAGAATAGAAAGTGAACAAAATGGAAAAAAAATTGAGATAAGTACAAAAACTGAAAATCCTTGCCTGGTAATGTAATAGTCTCACAACAAGAAAGTGCTGAGACAGCTGAGTGAAGGCTCACAAGGCCCGGCCAGCTGCATCCCACCAGTGGCCCTGCCAACCTTTTCACTAGTGACACTGAGGATGATGTTCTCCAGCTTTCTCTGTACCCTTAGCTGTGACCTGGCCCAGCCTGCCAGAAGCAGGAGACCTTCACAGTTCTTCACCAAATGGAAGAATCTTCCTTTTCTTCCTGTCTGAAGGACAAGAATGTTTTCAGGTTCTCCTGGAGCAGATGGATGGCACCAAATTCCAAAAGGCTCAGGCCACCAATATTCTCCATGAGATGATCCAGCAGATCTCCAATGTTTTCAGCACAAAGGGCTGAAATTCCTCACTGGGCTTGGTCAGTAGCTAGAATTTCTGGAGAACTGTTTGGAACAGGAAATGGAAGAGACCTTGGGTAGAACTCCAGCCTGGCTGTGATGGGTTATTCCCAAAGGACCAGTCTCTAGCTGAAAAAGAAAGTACATAGCTGCTGTGCCCAGGACATTGTCCTACCAGAAATTAAGAAGTAAAAATCAGTAAGTTATTTCTCTGTGCTAATAGGCTTATCAGAAAACTCAGAAGTTTGGAGAAGAGACTTAGACGTAAACCTCATTTTGGTCAGTTGGGTCTCATCTATTAATTTGTTGCTTTAAGCTCAATTCAAAGACTTTCCTTCTGCTTCTGTAATAAAATGTATTGAGTCATTTTTGTTAGCCTTTTTCAATAAGAAGAAATTGTATAGTACTTTTGAATATAAGGAAAGTACATTTTTAGTTTGTAACAATTACAATTTATCTCATGATACTTGTCTTCAAATTTTATTCTTTATAAACACGGTCAGCTTGCCTTTTTTTGTTTGTTTGTTTTTGCTGTGGAGTGTAGGAGGGAGTTAAATCTTAACTGTAAATGTTGGGTCTTAACTCATACTCTTGAAAAGATACAAAATGTCCATAAACCTTTAATCTGCCATCAATTTCAAAAAGAACATAAATGGTTTTATTTATTTCATTGCTTCATAAAATATTTTGAGTATATCTGTTTCAAGTAATGTACTTATTTAGTGAGTATATTGGTAAGTAAGACAAATGTATTATTTCTGTAGTGGAGCACTCTGGCAAAGCTGACAGGTCTTATAGAGTAAGTAATCGGTAGGAACCCTTTCTAGGGCTATGAAGAAGATGCACCAAACACTTTGGCAGTTTTACTAGCTGGAACTAATTCAGTTTTACTTATGTTTTTTGAAAAAGGCAGGAGGATAGCTTGAGCCCAGGAGTTCAAGCCTGCCATGGACTGTGATCATGCCACTGCACTCCAGCCTGGGCAACTTAGCTAGACCTGGACAACTTAGCTAGAAATAAAAATTAAATGTTCTTTAACCATTCACTCCATGAGTCACTCTTATCATGGTAGCTCCTTCTGAGCAAATGTGGTTTTTTTCCCCAAACACCTGCATATTCTTTCTTGTAGCCTCCTTCTACTTCTTGTGGGTTTCTTTCTCTCATTCATACCCGTGTGCCTTTCTTAAATGGGGCCAACTTCAGGCCATCATTTCTCTCCTCTCCTTGATTCAATATCTGTGATTTTACTTGTGAGTATAGATATGAGATCCTCTTTTTAGAGAAAGGGTTAATAATTATACTTGATAATTTTGTCTGTCATATATGATTTAAACTTGAAATATTGGGTCACAATCTAACCAATGTATTACAGGTGCTACATGAATGATTTCATGACGAAGAGACCTCAGGTTATCATGGTTATATGGCAAGGTTTCATTAAAATAGTTTTTATTCTCTACATTTGTTTGAGAATAAAGAACACATTCCTTGCTGCTGCCTATATTTTCTTATGGCACATTAATCCTGAATTGATTACTAATTAAATGTTTCAATGTTGCTCTGATCATGACCACCAAGGGCCTGACAGACAAATCACACAGGCTTCTTTCAGTCTTTATCAAAAATGGTGATGATGATGATAGCAACTACAAATTATTTTCCCCTCTCTGAGGGACTCATTTAATCCCCTCACTATAATCTCATTTACCAAAAAACTGCATGCTAACGGAGTGTATGTAACTAAAACAATCTAGTAAATAAAAGGCAAATCTAGGTTTCAAAACCTAGATTTTGTCAGACTCCAAACTCCACCTCCTCACCCACAGCATTACGTGTCTGTGCAAACTGCATGTACTGAATCATCACTTATTTTCTAGAAAGCCTTCCACTTTACTTATAATACACTGATGTTCCTTTATGGTCTACAATTCTCAAATTGATTACAAATTATCAGATACTTTCACCAATGTGTGCCTCACCTACAAATATGTAGATGTGTTGACAAAATGACAAGGAAATATCTTGACCATTTTATATAGTTGGCAAAATGAAATTAACAGTTGGTAATTATCTCTGAGAGTCTAAAGCGTAATCAACAAAGTTAATAATCATCATAATTATTGGTATAAAATAACCATATTTACTATGGCCCAGGTGGCTCTATATGTTGCTCAGTTAATTCTCACCGTAAGTTCACGAGGTGCGTGGGAGACAAGACCTGTGAGACTTATGACCTCTGGACCAGAGAGTGAGTTTCTTACAATTATTTCAGTGACTCCTGTAGAAAACAGAGCTAGTGGCTCTTGTGGGTGGAAAGGAGAGGATACTTATGCTTCCAATTTACATGACTATGGGAAATGATTGGGAAAATAGAAGATGACATATGCTGATGAGTGAAATGTGAAGGATGGAGGAGAGCAGAGCAGGTGAGGAGTGGCATCAGCAGAGATCAGGACACGGAGAATTTCAATCACCAGCACAGCAGTGACACTGAGCACGCGACCACTGCTAACAGCGCACAAAGCTGCCTTTGCTGTTACAAACAGCCGACAGAGGGCGCCGGACCAGCGGTAACGGACCCACCAGCGACCCTAACCCGCGGTCGCCCCTTCCTCAAGGAGACCCGCGCTTGGGGTCCGCAGAGTGGAGGCCCGGGCGCTTGGGGATTAGGGTCCGCAGGCCTCGTGAGCAGCGAGTAAACGCCGCCTTTCACGGCTCTGACTACAGAGGGAGAGCTCTACCGCCGCCTCCCCCGAGACATTTTTCTCATGGAACATTTTAGCGAGACCGTTTTACCAATGTGCCAGTGTATTGAGGGGACTGACGGCTCAAAATCAGATCGTGCCGTAGTCAGTGTTAGAGATTCAGGGCCATTTCTGCGGAGAAAGACCCGAATTCGGAGAAAGGGGAAAATCATGAACAATCAGGAAGCGAGCTTACAAAGTGCTGTCCACCTTTCAGTGGACAGGGCACCCCGGGGGAAAAGGAAAATGTGTGCCCCAATGTAGGTGATTTTATTAAGTTTTAATGGTTATTTTTTCCTACAACAAAGTAGTTGAAAAAACTGAAAACTATTAAAACACATTATTTTAAGTTTAAATATGCCAAGACCAGACTTTTTTTTTTTTTTTTGTAAGTTTCTGATTTTAATGTAGGCAAACATCAGAATATTTTCAAAATTACTTTTCTGCTTACTCATTTTCAATTAAGAACATTACCATGTTTGGCAATATCTCATGAACCAATAACTGTCTTCCTTAATTTCCACTTATAGGAACTTTTAAATCCTAGTTGTTTTAAGCAAGGGCTTTCTATGAAGCATTCAGCTTTATATGCTGTATAGTCATGGTTTTCATTGGAGAATTTTATTAACATTTTCCACTTGGTTCAAAATGTCATCCCACATAGATAAGTTGCATAAAAATGTGTAATCTCTTTGCATTAAGATGCTTTCCATTTCAGCATAATGCAGGTTTGCATTTGGTATCATTTACTGCTTAATACATATCTTAAGTGCCAATACATCGATTTTTATTTTTATGCCCTAGATATCCTTAAGTGTTTTTAATGTAGTGGTTAATACAGACATGATAATTTCCCATCTGCTAGTTGAATTCAAAAATGTAGATATACCCTTTGTACAATACTTTTAAAAAGTTATCTTAATTCACAAATGCAGATTTTTACATAAGATTATGAGCTGAGTAAGGCACAAATGTGACATAATCATTTTGGGTGGGAAATAATGGCTTTTATGCCTTTGTGTACACCTGCCACCATTGCCTCATTATCATATACTTGGCTAATGTCATTTTTATGTCCATATCATTTTCTAGTTTATTAACAATTTCATGAACTAGATATATTGAAGTTTTTCATTTTAAAAATGTCAAAACAATTGTTAACATCATTCTAAATGTGAACATAATGGACTATATATATTGTATAATCAAAAAATAAAGTATTTTGTTTTTATATTCTTTTTCAATAGTGGTTTATATCTAACATGATTACCTATAACATATGACTTATTTTGAACTTTATTTACAAATAAGACTCAGAATCTTTTGTATTACTAATTATATGAGTAGCTATACCAATATTATAATAACTGAAAAGCTCAACTAAAATTGAGAATATTCCAGAGTTTGGGCTTCTAATACTCTGGGACCTTCTAAAAGGTTAATTATTTTTTGCACAAAATAAAACAATATTGAAAATCACCTGCAAGAATTTTCTAACATTTTTGTTTCTCTGATTTTATTGCTTCTGTAAGCATCATCTAGTAACTTAGGAGATTGAAAGATTTTGTAAACTTTCTATTTTAGGAAACATGATGAAACATCAAAACTTCATGGTCACAAGTTTTGTTTGAGTTTTACAAGTCTTTGAATATATTTTTGAGGTGCTAATATTTGATTACATTGTATTACTGATAAAACGTATGCATGGAAAATTTTAAAAGGATTCTTTGGAATAAAAGAGGATGTCACAATGAATCAACTCTTCATTAGAACATTTTTACAAAACCAGTTTTTTGAAAACATTTAGCCATAATGGAACAGATTCTCAAAAAGCTGAATCTTGTCTTTTTTAGAGGACAAGCATGAACAACTTTTTAGAGGGCCAAATGGGACACAGCCATAGCAGACAAATCTATATACCATAGCAGACAAATATATATAATTACACATATTGTGGTATTTTTTTACCATGAAAATAACAGAGCCAGATGTGCTATCACATGCCTGTAACCCCAGCTAATCAGGAGGCTGAGGTAAGAGGCAGGAGGATTGCTTGAGCCCAGGAGTTTGAGACTGCAGTGAGTTATGATCATGCTACTGCACTCCCACCAGGGCAACAGAGTGAGATTCCATCTTAAAAACAAAAAAGAAAAGAAAAAGTATAATACACAGAAATTGCAAGTATCTTAGGCATATAGCACAATGAATATTCATACACTGAATGCACTCTGAAACTACCACCTGTGTGAAAAATAAAAGATTTTGCTCAGGACCTAGAAGCCTCCTGAGTGTTGCCTTCTCGTCACTACTTAAAACCCGCTTTCTTGTTTCTTCCCTGAGGGTAGCTACTCTGACTTCTAACAGTCCTAATTACTTTTAGTAGGCATACTTTGATGCCTTTTGTGTGTATTTACTCATTTAATCCTTACAATAATCCTATGGAAAAAAATACTATAATTGTCCCCACATCAAAGATGAGGAAACTAGGGAACACACGTTTAGGCTATTTTACAAGGTCAGAGCTGGGATCCAGGCTATGAACTATGGCTGCAGAATCACACTTTTTTTTGAGATGGAGTCTGGCTCCGTGCCCAGGCTGGAGTGCCGTGGCGCGATCTCGGCTCACGGCAACCTCCGCCTCCCTGGTTCAAGCGAGAATCACACTTTTAAATCAACAAACAACCCTATGAAAAATAACGGCAAAGCTGGAAAAGTAGTCCAGTTCAACACAATTAGATGTGTTGAAGAATAACCACTAACGTCCACATAACACTTTGCGGTGATTTTACACTCACTATTAGCATTCATATTTTCTAAATTGTGTCTCAGAAGGTTGTGGGGCGCATGAGGCTCGGGGAAGAGAAGAGATTTGCCTGAAGGCCACAACTGGCAAGGAACAAATTTGAGCACGGGGCAGAACCATTATTTTTTTCTTCTTTCCACAGAACAGGCAGAACCTGAGGCCAGGAGGGTTAAGAGTTGTAGTCTCCTCTCTCCAGTCGGCCCATCTCAGCACTCTGCACGTGGGGGATGCTAAACTAGTGTGAAAGTCACCCTTTGTTTCTGGACGTAATGTTGAGATGCACTCCAAACTCCCAGACTTCTTGGGGGAGCCTGGACTGCACTAGTGCTGGTGACAGAAGATTGGTTTATAACCTAGTTTCTAGTAGGATTAGAGGAGAATTAGGGGGAGGAATGAGGCACTGGGTGAGTAGAGCAGAGGTTCCCTTTAAATATGGGGCTCCACTAGGGTGACTTGGGAGTACTTGATCTGTCCTGACAGCCCACACAACTTTGGAGGAGGGGATCATGACATCTATAGTGGGCACACACTTTTACACAATATCGATATTTGGGTGAACTTAACTGTCAAAATAATTCTATGTAAACAACACGGTTGTAATTTTTAACAAATTTGACAAATTCTATCTGTGCAGTCAAGAGCCCAGAATACCAGATTTTGGGGAGTTTCTTACATTCCAAGTTCTCAAGCTGCTGCTGGCTCTAGGAACATCTTCACAGATCTTGATGTTCACTTTTGTTTATTAAGCGAATGAGCATCATATGACTGGTGCAATCTCCTCCTAGAGGACTAAGAACTTCAATGCACCTAAACGAATCCACAATGAGCTACTGGATGTCTTTACCGGCTTGTGAAGTATAGATGTGTGGGCAGTGTTGGTACTGCAGGTCCCTCTATTACTGCACTTCTGTGCTTGGCTGGTCATCTATGGAGACTTGTCTACTGCGAGGCAGGGCATTGGCAGGCAGGAAGAGTCAAGGTGTATCTGCCTTCAAATTCAACTGCTTCCTGCTGACACTGCGCTGATTCCGCAAAGACATTTGTGACCAACATAGTTGCGACCCAAGTTTCTCCTCATCCTCTTCCCAAGTGAGAATGTGCCTTCAGCGGCTAAAGGCCAGAGCCTGAGAGAGACTTAGCCCAGAGTGGATGAGTGGCTCAGTGCTGCAGTGGATCAGCTCTTACCCCCAGCTCTGCTGCTGCCAGCACTGCCTCTGTTCTCCAATTCTTTTGAACATGGAGTTGACCCTTGAAAAACACAGGTTTGAACTACTAGGGCCCACTTATAAGTGGATTTACTTCCACTTCTGCCACCTCTCAAGACAGCAAGACCAACCCCTCCCCTTCCTCCTCCTGCTTCGCAGCTTAGTGTGATGATGACCTTGATGATGATCCATTTCCACTTAATGAATAATAAATATATTTTCTCTTTCTTGTGATCTCCTTTTCTTTTTTCTAGCTTGCTTTATTGTGAGAATATATATTATGTATAACATACAAAATATGTGTTAATTGATGGTTTATGTTATTGATAAGGCTTTCAGTTGACAGTAAGCTATTAGTAGTTAAGTTTTCGGAAAGTCAAAAGTTATATGCAGATTTTTCACTTTGAGGGGAGTCAGCCTCTAACTCCTGTATTGTTCTAGAGTCAACTATGCATAAAGTCAATAGCTCTTGATATGGCTGCAGAGATTTTCAGGGCAAAGTGACAGCACAGTTAGCTAGGACAATCTTTTCACACTAAAAATAACCATGTAACAAAATGAACAAAAGTAAGTAAAATTATGCATATATGTATAAGTTATATGCATGCATGTGTCTATATGTATGTCTGTGTATGCATATATATACATATATATATTATACCTAATCTTCTACAGCATTCCATGACTAGAAAGGATCATAATAATTGAAATATGTAAGGCAATCAAATAAAGAAACAGAGATTCAATAGTTGCCAAGCCTTTCCCTTGCTCCTAACCTGGTCCACCCAGAAGCAGTCATCGAGAAAAGAAAAAGGACAAAAATCTACTAAAATATTACTAAGACCCTCCCCTCCAATTTACAGGGAAGCACACTAAAGCATTGGCTAGGAAATCTGAAACAATGATTCAAGAAACCCTCCCAAATTGATGTCCCTTCCAGCTGCCTGAGCAACCAACGTACACACACACACACACACATGCACACAAACCTCCTCATTAATGACCTCAAATACAAAATTGTGCAGGTTACAGTAACATCTCCCAAATTCTACCAACATCCATACGCTTGCATGAAAAAGCCTCTGACTGTCAGTTGACAATGTAGAATTCTCTAACAAGTTCTTAAAATACACCTGAGCTCTCTATTTGACTAATGTGATGATGAATATATTTTCAAATTATACAGGCAGACATTATTATCTGATATTCGTAATGAACCTGTGAAACTGGAAATTTACTGTTGACAAAGCCATTTCACACACTATCAACTATAAGATTTCCTGCTGATTTAAACTACCACTGCACTTCCACACTGAGTTTTTCCAGCTCCACTTCGTAGTGTGGGTAAGGAGTGTTAGTCAGGAGATTGTGACCTGCACAACAGGCTGGAAGCAGGAAGTACATTTTAATTAACTTTACTCATTTCATTTATAAGTTCTAACAATGTGTGTGTATCCCTGTGTGTGTTTGTAATCTTTAGGATTTTCTACATATAAGATCATTCTGTCTGCCACCAGAGATCATTTTACTTCTTCCTTTCCAATTTGTATGCCTTTTATTTCATTTTCTTATCAATTCCTCTGGCTAGGACTTCAAGTACTACATTAAATAGAAGTGGTGAGAGTGGAATTATTGCTTTGTTTCTGATCTTAGAGTAAAAGTTTTTAGTTTTTCACCACTGAATATGATGTTAGCTGTGGGATTTTCATATAATAGTCTTTATCACGTTGAAATAATTTCCTTCTATTTCTAGTTGAGTGTTTTTATCATGAAAGGATTTTGAATGTTGTAAAATGCTTTTTCAGCATCAATTGAGACTATTACAGTTTCTCTCCCTTCGTTCTGTTAATGAAGTATATGACATTCACTGGGTTTTTTTAAAAAAATGTTGAACCATCTTTGTATACCAGGAGTAAATCCCAATTAGTCATAATGCATAATCCTTTTAATGTGCTATTAAATCTGAGTTCCAAGTTTTTTGTTAAGAACTTTTGCATCAATATCAGTAGGGATGTTGGTCTTTAGTAGTTTTTGTGTCATGTCCTTGTCTGGCTTTGATATGAGGATAATGCTAGACTCATAAAATTAGTTTGAAAGAGTACCTTCCTCATCAATATTATGAAAGGGCTGAGAAAGACTAGTGTAAATTTTTCTTTAAATGTTCAGCAGAATTCTCCAGTGAAACCATGTGTCCCTGGGTTTTTCTTTGTTCAGAAGTTTTTACTTATTGATTTAGTCTCCTTACCAGTTATAGGTCTGCTTAGATTTTTTTGTTTCTTCACGATTCAGCCTTAGCAGATTTTATGTATATGTTTCTAGAAATTTATCCATTTCCTGTACAATATTAAATTTGTTGACATTTAATTGTTCTAATTGTCTCTTATCTTTTTTATTTCTATAGCATCAGCTCTAATGTCTCCTCTTTTGTTTCTGATTTTTGTTCTTTGAGTCTTCTCTCTTTTTTCTTAATCAATCTAGTTAGGGGTTTGACAATTTTTAAAAACTTATCAAAAAACCAACTATTACTTTGCTAATTTTTAAATTACTTTTTCTCTATTTTGTTTATCTTTGCTCCAATTTTTATAATTTCCTGCCTTGTGCCAGCTTTGGGTTTAGTTTGCACTCCTTCTTCTAGCTACATAAGATATAAAATTGGGTAGTTTATTTGAGCTCTTTCTTCCTCTTTTTTAGTGTAAGCTTTTATAGGTGTAAATTTTCCACTTAGTACTGCTTTTGTAATGTTGTCTTTTTATTTTCATTTATCTCAAGATGTTTTCTAATTTCTCTTGACTTCCTTCTTAAATTCTTACCTCATGTAGACATACATTTTTGGCCCTATGCATTGGGATGCAAAACCAGACTAATTTACTTTGTACAAAAAGAAAAATGAGAAAGAAATATATTTGGTCTTGTGAGCACTATATGGAAATACTTTATATTCCATTTGTTTCATCATATTCATATATCCCTTTACTAACATAAAGCTGAAGGTGAATAAAAAAATCAGGGTTAGCCAAACAAATTTTCATGGTCAAATACCACATAAAAAGTAAATATACTTAAGTTCCCAGCAAAATCTGAATTGAACGTAGACAAAATGCTCATTTCTCAGTGTTTGACAGACTTAACAGTTTGAGCCAATAAAAATGTACTGACTAGATAAACTACTAAAAGTTGTTAATTTTTGCAATGTATATTTCTGAAAAGAAAGTTTATCTATTATAGAAATTCCTGTGCCCATTTAAGAACTTTGAGCATTTTAATTGTTTAATAATATAGTTTAATTGCATCATGAAAATAATCAATAATACAATTTATTTGGTTTATTTAAAAAAACTGATTCTTTCTGCTCTCTCTATATATAGACTGATTTTATACTAATGTTGCCTAAAGATCACCAAATTGTTTGAAGCCTAGGTTTCTGAGGGATGGAAAATGATGTCACAACTATTTACAGTTCACACACACATTCTGGGGATTTAATACATCCTTTACAAGTGCAGGAAAGGTGGAAGATTGATGATTTGGGGGAATTAGAGCTACCACACCCCAGAGGGTGGTATGGTATGTTGTCTGTTGTGAGCTGTGTGAATCAGAGAGTTTGAATTTAGACATATATTTAGAAAGAGGAAAAGATGAACCAATCAAAAATAATAACTATAATGACTTTTCAAGATATAGACAATACAGTTAAGATATAAATGGAAACAAAAAAAGTTAAAAGTGGGGAGATGAAGTCTGATTTTTTGGTTTTTTTTTTTTTTTGCTTTTTTGTTTGTTTATGTAATCAGTGTTACCAGTTTAAAATAATGGGTTATAAGACACTATATGCAAGCCTCATGGTAACCTCCAATCTAAAACATACAACAAATACACACAAAATAAAAAGGAGAAATTAAAACACACCACCAGAGAAAATCACCTACATTAAAAGAAAGACAAATAGGAAGAAAATAAGAAAGAGAAGGCCATCAAATAATCAGAAAATGAATAACAAAATGACAGGAATAAGTCCTCATAAATAATAACATTGAATGTAAATGGACTAAGCTCTCCAATGAAAAGACAGGGAGTGGCTGAATGTATTTTAAAAAAAATATTACACCGAGCTGTGCGTGGTGTCTCACACCTATAATCCCAGCATTTTGGGAGACTGAGCCGGGTGGATCACTTGAGCCCAGGAGTTCGAGACCAGCCTGGCCAACATGGCAAAACCCTGTCTCTACTAAAAATACAAAAAATTAGCTGAACATGGTGGCACATGCCTGTGGTTCCAGCTACTAGAGAGGCTGAGGCAGAAGAATTGCTTGAACTTGGGAGGTGGAGGTTGCAGTGAGCTAAGATTGATGGAGCCACTGCACCCCAGCCTAGGTGACAGAATAAGACTCTGCCTCAAAAAAAAAAAGCAAAACAAAACAAAACAAAAAACCCTTAGACCCAATGATTCATTGCCTACAAGAAGTATGCTTCACCTTTAAAGACACATATAGACTGAAGGTAAAGGGATGGAAAAATATTCTATGCCTATGGAAACAAACAAAAAGAAGCAGAAGCTACATTTATATCAGACAAAATAGACTGCAAGACAAAAACTATGAAAAGAGAGAAAGAAGGTCATTATATAGTGATAAAGGGGTCCATTTAGCAAGAGCATTTAACAATTCTAAATATATATTCACCCAATACTGGAGTACTCAGGTATATAAAGCAAATATTATTAGAGCCAAAGAGAGAGATAGACAGACCCCCATACAATAATAACTGGAGACTTCAACACCCCACTTTCAGCATTGGACAGATCATCCAGACAGAAAATTAACAAACATCAAATTTCATCTGCACCATAGGCCAAATGGACCTAGTAGATATTTACAGAACATTTGATCCAACAGCTGTAGAATACACATTCTTCTCCTCAGCACATGGATAATTCTCAAGGATATACCAAATGCTAGGTCACAAAACAAATCTTAAAATTTAGAAAAAAAGTGAAATAATATCAAACGTTTTCTCTCACCACAGACTAAGAAAAAAAGAAGTCCCAAATAAATACAATCTGAGATAAAAAAGGAGACATGACAACCAATACCACAAAAAATTAAAGGATCATTAGAAGATACTATGAAACTATATGCTAATAAATTGGAAAACCTGAACAAAATAGATAATTCCTAGAAACATACAACATACTGGTCTGTTCAGGTTTTGTATTTTTTCATAGTACCATGAAGAAATACAAGAATTGTTTCTAGAACCATTCTTGTATTTCTTCATGGTTTTTGTATTTCTTCATGGAACCATGAAGAAATACAAAATGTGAACAGGCCAATAACAAGTAATGAGACAGAAGCCATACTAAAAAGTATCCCAGAAAAGAACTCAGGATCTGATGGCTTCACTGATGAATTTTGCCAAATATTTAAAAAACTAATACCAATCCAACTCAAATTATTAAAAAAATAGAGGTGGACAGAATCTTTCCAAATGTATTCTATGAGGCCAGTGTTTTTTCTGATTGAATCTCCCATTATATTTTAATCACATATAAAACCAGAGAAAGACACATTAAAAAGAAAGAAAACTGTAGGCCAATATCTCTGATGAACATTGATGCAGAAATCCTCAACAACAAATTAGCAAACTGAATTCAAGAACACATTAAAACAATCATTCATCATGACCAAGTGGAATTTGTCCTAGAGATTCAAGTGTGGTTAGGTATGTGCAGATCAATGGGTTTAATGTTGTCCAATGAACATAATGTCCTCCAGCTCCATCCATGTTCTTGCAAATGACAGGATCTCATTCTTTTTTATGGCTAAGTAGTACTCCATTGTGTATAAGTGCCATATTTTCTTTATCCATTCATCTGTTAGACACCTAAGTTGCTTCCAAATCTTAGCTATTGTGAATAGTGCTGCAATAAACATGGGAGTGTAAATATTTTGTTGACATACTGATTTCATTTCCTTTGGATAAATACCCAGTAGTGGGATTGCTGGATCATATGGGGGAAAATGGAGATGGCTAACGGGCACAAAAATATAGTTAGAAAAAATGAATATGATTTAGTATTCGATAGCACAATAGGATGACTACTGTTAATGATAATTTATTATATATTATAAAATAACTAAAATAGTATAAATGGGATGTATGTAGCAGAGAGAAATGATAAATGTTTGAAGCATTGGATACTCCATTCACCCTGCTGTGATTATTATGAATTGTCTGCCTATATAAAAATATTTCACTTATTCCATAAACACAGACGCCTCTTATGTACCCACAAAAATCTATTTTCAAAAAAGTTGCTCTAAGAATATAGTTATCAAGTTAAGTAAAATGTCAATAGCCTTTTAATTTAATTTTTAATTGTTTTATCATTCTTTGCAATAATAAAACATTAACTTTATACTTTTTAATTTAATGTATAGAATAGAGATATACATAGGATATGTAAATAGATACACAGTGTATATGTGATTAAAATATAATGGGAGATTCAATCAGAAAAAAGTTTCTAAAAAGGCTCTGGGGTAAAAGAGGAAGGAAACAATAATGAAAAAAATGTGGTGAGAAAAACAGCTGAAAACCCATGTAAAGAGTGCATAAAGAAAGCAAAAAGAGAAGTAGAAAGTAACACAGGGGCATTTGGAAAATGTAAACGAGTATGTTCCCTATTTAAGGCTAGGCACAAAGCAAGGTCTTCAGAGAACCTGGAGCCTAAGGTTTAGGCTCACCCATTTCAACCAGTCTAGCAGCATCTGCAACATCTACAATGGCCTTGACCTTTGCTTTACTGGTGGCCCTCCTGGTGCTCAGCTGCAAGTCAAGCTGCTCTGTGGGCTGTGATCTGCCTCAAACCCACAGCCTGGGTAGCAGGAGGACCTTGATGCTCCTGGCACAGATGAGGAGAATCTCTCTTTTCTCCTGCTTGAAGGACAGACATGACTTTGGATTTCCCCAGGAGGAGTTTGGCAACCAGTTCCAAAAGGCTGAAACCATCCCTGTCCTCCATGAGATGATCCAGCAGATCTTCAATCTCTTCAGCACAAAGGACTCATCTGCTGCTTGGGATGAGACCCTCCTAGACAAATTCTACACTGAACTCTACCAGCAGCTGAATGACCTGGAAGCCTGTGTGATACAGGGGGTGGGGGTGACAGAGACTCCCCTGATGAAGGAGGACTCCATTCTGGCTGTGAGGAAATACTTCCAAAGAATCACTCTCTATCTGAAAGAGAAGAAATACAGCCCTTGTGCCTGGGAGGTTGTCAGAGCAGAAATCATGAGATCTTTTTCTTTGTCAACAAACTTGCAAGAAAGTTTAAGAAGTAAGGAATGAAAACTGGTTCAACATGGAAATGATTTTCATTGATTCGTATGCCAGCTCACCTTTTTATGATCTGCCATTTCAAAGACTCATGTTTCTGCTATGACCATGACACGATTTAAATCTTTTCAAATGTTTTTAGGAGTATTAATCAACATTGTATTCAGCTCTTAAGGCACTAGTCCCTTACAGAGGACCATGCTGACTGATCCATTATCTATTTAAATATTTTTAAAATATTATTTATTTAACTATTTATAAAACAACTTATTTTTGTTCATATTATGTCATGTGCACCTTTGCACAGTGGTTAATGTAATAAAATATGTTCTTTGTATTTGGTAAATTTATTTTGTGTTGTTCATTGAACTTTTGCTATGGAAACTTTTGTACTTGTTTATTCTTTAAAATGAAATTCCAAGCCTAATTGTGCAACCTGATTACAGAATAACTGGTACACTTCATTTATCCATCAATATTATATTCAAGATATAAGTAAAAATAAACTTTCTGTAAACCAGGTTGTATGTTGTACTCAAGATAACAAGGTGAACCTAACAAATACAATTCTGCTCTCTTGTGTATTTGATTTTTGTATGAAAAAAACTAAAAATGGTAATCATACTTAATTATCAGTTATGGTAAATGGTATGAAGAGAAGAAGGAACAACCGATGATTTCTCTCTGCAGAAGGTAGATTGAGGCATGTGAGGAAATAAAAATAAGACAGAGACATTCTCTTTAAATTGACTAGTATACATCTATTAGAAAATGTCCATTGCCAGTTAGATATATAAGTTTGCAATTTGCAAGGAATGCGATTGCTGGGGGTTTATATGTGATAAGAGAAAGCCAAGAAATGAAGGTCATGGTGTTGGGAGAGAGTGTAGAGAGAGAAAAAGTTTTAAACATGATTCTGAGGACCTTTCGCTTTTAAAGGGAGGGGAGAGAAAAGCCGCAAAGGAAACATCCACAGCCACAAAGGAATGGCTGTACATTAGAAGGCAACAGCAGAGAAAGATAATGAAAGTGTATTTAGGAAGATAAATGCTTCAGCCCAGGAGTTCAAGGCTGCAGTGAGCCATGATCACAATACTGTACTCGAGCCTGGGAGACAGAGGGAGAGTGACCCCATCTCAAAATAACAAACAAACAAAAGGAAATAAATGTGCCGAGAAGAGGATTCAGTCGATTTGCCCAAGGTGTGGCTTGAAACTGCCTACTAATTGGGAAATAGATGGCATTGGCACCCTTAGTGAGAACTGATTGGGTAAAGTTAATACACAGAAGCCATATTGGAGGAAGTTTAAATAAGATAAGTTAGTGAACTGAAGTGGAGAAAGAAATAAAATGGGATTAGGAAAGGATGTGGGTTATGTTTTCTGGGCATAGTTTTTCCTTTTTTGCAATGTATATTTTTCTCAATAGATTTCATGTAATTGAGGTACTGGCAAATGACATTAATATATTTCATATATTTATTTTAAGTCACGGCATATTTAATTACAATAGTAATTTATCAGTTTTAATTAATACTACTGTGACTATCAGTAAGATGCCTAGTTTTGTTAATTATTTAGGCAGGAATAGATAACTAATTCAATCTTTCATCAAAATATTCAATTAATATTGATAATATAATGGTTACTGCAATTACTGGCTTTAATTAAGTTACTTAACTTGCGCCATTGTCATGCTAGTTTACTACAACTTGACTGCATTTCTCCGGTAGAGCCAGATATGATAAGAAATCTTTTATAATACTCCTTGGTAATTTTTCCGGATTTTATGAATATTACAATCTTACATGAATACAAAAATAACTAAATTACCATAAACATATAAACTGACAAACTTCCTTCACAAATTAAATTAGGAAACTGGATCAGAGAATCTCTTCCTCCATACTTAAGGGAAAGAAAAAAATTAGTCAAACCAGCTAAAAATACAACCCGAACCATGGAAATTCAGAAAGTACCAAAGAGTTGTGTATAATTCACGAGTACAAGGAGATTTAGCAATTGTAATAGAAATCCAGAAAACCAAACTGACAAAATCACTCATAATTTGCATTAAAGACTTTAACGTTGAAATTTCATTCTGCTTGGATGTATGTGTGGTGTTGATCAACCCACTTATTCTCACTGAGCCTCACTTTTCTCATAAAAATTGGGTTTAAAATATTTATGTAGTTGTGAATATTAGAAAAAACATGCATTTTAAAGCACCTACCACTGTGTCTCCTATCTAGTAAGAAGTTAAAATATGATAGGTATTTCCCTATTTTCTTCATACAGCTGTAGATGAGGATAATATTTATCTTTCTATAAAATTCTTAGGACCTGTGTCCTGCATTTCAGTAAGTGACTGCCAATGGCAGCAGCCTAAAAAAACTAGATTCTGTCAGCAACTGTAGAGTGGTTGAAAAACAGTCACTCCTCATTTCAAAGAAGTGTCCTATTTATATGCAGTCGGGGAATGGTGGCTTGTATAAATACCTGAGACAGGAGAATAAACATATAGATTGACGTGCAGAAGACATGTGATGTTTATTTACTGATTCAGGCACCTGACACATTCCCTCCCTGGCTCTCAGCATTCCAGGAGGCATTTCCATATCACCAGGGTTTCCTTGCTCTCTGAGGTGGATTTCCCATGGGACCCTGGTCATTCATTCTCTTGACTTTCCTGCCCATTCACACAGAGCAGCTTTCTGTTCTATTGTGGTTCTGGCTTCATATGGCTTCCCTAAAGAGCAGAATGCCACAAGGAGAAAGCAGAAGTGAAATAAAATTTCTAGGTTTTACAGAAACACATGCAAAGGGGGTTTTCTAGAATCTCCATTAAATGTGACATAACAGTAGCTTAGCAAAAAGGAAAGAGAAAGCAGAATTCAGTTTATACGTAGGCTCCTGCAAACCTCTCAGGGGAAGACAGTCCCCTGGGGCCAAGAGTGATAAGGGCAGCAACCAAAACTGGAGGGGCAGGTTGCTGATCTATGAAGAAATTCTACCAGTTCTGGGGATTTATCCACATGCTGCAAAAAGGCTACTTCTTGGCCAGAAGAGATACTCATGCTGTCATAAGCATGTTTCCTTACCCTTGGTCTATTACAAAGAGAGTGAGTTTCTGGCTAAAGTCAGGGCGTGGACTCCTTGGGATTTCCAGTTATAGGGACAGAGAAACATGTATTCCCTGCCCACAGCCTACTGTGTAGACCAGTCTACGCTCCCTAGGATCACCCCTTCCACATATATTGGGATCCTTGGGGATACACAGAACTGCCAGTTTGGATTGGAACTTAATACTATTCACAAAAATATCATGTTTCTTAGTGCATTAAACTCTTGACAGTGCAATCTTAGTTTCACAGATTCATTCCTAATGTCAGAGTTCAAACTTTAACAAATCAACATTTTCTTACTGTAACTTTAGGTAGTAATCTTGACAGCTCCTCAACTCAGCAATAAAAACTGTACCTAGTTAGAAAAAGGGAAAAATCCCACAGAAGCTAAGAAATATAAAAGAATATTATTATTATTATTCTCAGTGAAGTCTATTTATCTAAATGTGTCCATATTGGTAGAATTTGAGAGGCATTCCTGTAATTGGTACCATATTCTCATGGAGGTATTTCCCAGGGAGTGTGTGTGAATTTCTGAGGTAGCAGGGAGTGAGAGCCTGCAACTGCAGAGGGGTCTCTTGAATCTTTTCCTCAAGCTACACAGTCAACATCATATATCTATATATGAATATCTAGAACTTGATATATACATACACATATATGGCTATCATTTTCTTATTTTATGGATATATGGTTATTTTCTTATTTTATACATATTTATCAGAATATTGAACACTCTCCTCAAACTCAGTAACTACTACGTTCGAGAATGTGATAGTCTAAAAAACAGAATTCCTGGAAGCATTCTGGAGTAAATTGAAAAATAGTCAGCCTTCACATCGAAGGTAAGTTTGATTTGTTTATTTAGTCAGGAAATGGTAGCTTATGAAATATATGTAATATATTTCATAATATATTCAGTTTGTTTCCCTAAACTGAAGTAAAATATACATAATATGTACTGGCTGATTCTGATACCTAGCAGAATTCCCTCCTTCTTCCCCTGTTTTCTTGAATCCCATTCTTCACTTTCGTTGGGGATCAGAAAAAACAATACTCAAAAGTGATGGTCTCAGAAGCAGCCTCAGAAGCAAATTTTCTCTCTGATCTTTTTTTCCTCTCTTGTTTCTCACTCCTCGTTCTCTAGAGGTTAGCCATAAAAACTAGAAACCCCCTTTTCCAAGGCTCCTTTTCACCAAAGTAAGCCATAAAACCTAAAAATACTACTCTTACTTTTCTGTGTAAGAACTGGCTCTAAAGAAATTCTCTGAACTATCTTGTTTAATTGTAGGTTATAAGACCTCCATTCCAAAAGGATCTCTACCCCATGCCAGGGAGGAAGGAATGCTGCACGGAGAGGTCAAGAAGAATCTGACCAGAAAGACCTTGCTGGCTTTCCGCACTCAGTCTATTAGCATTAGATGATGCCCTTTTTGTCTAATCACATTTTTTACACAGCTGTCCATTCTTCATTGAACTTAAGCATTAAAATGAATTTTTTTATGTAACTCTGGGTCTTCATTCTGAAGGCTCCCATGTCACATAAAACTATAATTAAATAAATATGCTTTGCTTTGCTTTTCTCTTGTTAACCTGTCTTTCTTTTGTTAAACGGGTGTCAGCTATGACCCTTATGATGGGAAGGAAAGAGATCACACCATTTCTGCCCCTATAGTCCCGGTGATGAGGAAGGGATGGCTGAAGCAACTGACTCACCTACTGATGAGGTCCTGGGACAGCTGGCAAAAAGTTGGCAAAGAAAGGTAAGAATTTGTATCAAGGTCTGTTCTCCTGGATCTCTGCCTATAGTGCCTGGTCAAGAATGGAAGGTAAAAATTTCTCTTTCTTTTTTTCCAAATTCAGGATAGCAGGAGAAAATTATTAGCTTGGATTGTGATTCTTGTGTAGTTTTGATTTAAAGTACCCATTTGTTATTAATCTTTTCCCTTCCATAGACAGCTATTGTGTCCCTGTTTGTCTCATATTGTGTCAAGAGAACCTGGCTTGGCTTGCTGCCTGTACAACACACTTCGGCATGTGCAGGTGGCCAAAAAAAATGTTGGGGGCTCCCATGACAAGCTTACATGTCATTGACTGTTGCTAGCTCACAAAGTGTCTAAATCTTTCTTTTGGCTATTTTTAGGGGTGATTTAGGGGTGACTTTGAATTCTGAGAGGGTTGCATCTTTGCATTTCTTTGAAGATGTCTTATGCATCCTTGGTTAATCATAAAAGACTTAATTGGTTTCTGTTTGGAGTCACTTGGTAGATACCTTTGTTTTAAAAGAGAAAAGGAAAAAAAGAAAACAATTTCAAAAGCTAGAAATATTAGCTGTTTATTCTTGTTGAAATCTGATAAGAGATTTAAAATGGAATCCTGTTTCTCCCATGGGAAGTTTCTTCGGTACACCTAAACCTCTTTTTAATTATATGTTTGATCCCTCTGTTTGCCTCCCTTCTTGCTGGCATAATTTTTGCTGAAAAGAAAAGTGAAACTTCAATGGCCTTTTTGGGAAGCTTAAGATCTTCCCAATCTGGCTCCTTTAAGACTTGTTCTTCCATTTATTTCTGTACTTCCTTCCTTCTGCCACTTTCAATTTTCTATCTAGGTCTCTTTTATCATCGATACATTACCCTTCAAGCCCCTGCCTCCTCAATTTGGTGGTCAGTGGACAGAAAATTACTAGGCAGAAACATCAAAGTTCCGGATACCACAAAAGGGAATGTAGGAGACACTTGAAAAAAACCTAGGACCCCTTGAAGCATGCAAAAAGAGTGCCACGGACCCTCCACTACATGGGGTGTTCTGTCTTCCTCGTGGAGCTCCAAGAGTCATGGGTAGTTTCTCTCAGATGTGGAGCTCTGCTCTTCTTTGCCTTGAGTTCCCTGATCTCTTTGGGTTTTGTGGGTATCAAGGGTAACTTCACACTGTGAGAGAGCCACCTACCTGCCAAGACCAGAGACAGTGGCCAATTCTGTTCTATGTATAAGTCTGTCTCCTTCCACCGGCTTTTTCTTCAGAGCTAAAAAGAGGAAATTTCCTGGAAACAACTGAACAAATACTGGAATGAGCACATTTCAAAATTTAATTTTTGTATATTCTGTAAAATATGGGTCAAGATTTATCATTTTTATAGAGATGTGTATCCCAGCACTACTTGTTTACTCAATTTTTCTTTTTAAAAATTGAATGCTTTTTGTGCTTGTGTTGAGAATCAATAAACAGTATATGTAGGTTCTATTTGTGCAAACTATTGTCTCTTTCACTGATACATTTGTTTCTCTTTAATACTTCACTGTCTTGATTACTTTAGTAATATAAGTCCTAAAATTAGAGATTATAGATCTCCAACATTTTTCTTCATTTTCGAGTTATTTTGGTTATTTTTGTTCCTTTGCATTTCCACATAAATATTAGAATCTGTTTGTCAATTTCTACAGAAAAAAGTCTGGTGAAATTTTGACTGATACTGCATTGAATCTGTAGATCAATGTGATTATAACTGATATCTTAACATTACTGAGTCTTTTAATCCATTAGCTCAATATATCTCTCCATTTGTTTAGGTCTTATCTATTTTCTATCAGCAATATTTTATAGTTTTCAATGTATATGTCTTCCTATAAATTTATTCCTAAGTATTTTAAATGCTTCATAATATTATAAATTATATTCTAAAGATTAAATTTCTGATTGTTGCGCATATAAAGAAATATTATTGATTTTTGTATATTGACTCGGATAAATTGACTAGTAAATTCTAGCATATTTTTTAAAGAATCTGAAGAATTTTCTAGAGGATGAAGTCATTTTTCATAAACAAGTTTTACTTTCTTCTTTTCTATTTGGATGACTATCATGTATTTTCTTGTCTTATTAGGAAGCAGTGCTTATTTCAGTAATTTTTATTACTGAACATCATTAACAATGTTTCCAACATTGATTTTGCATTTTTTTGGGTAATGTATTGGTAGCCTAATCAGCAGCTACAAGAAAATAACATCAAGGACAGATCCTAAAGCTTATGTTCACGATTTCTCATAGACTGAAAGGACTGCAGGACCATGCCATTTGGAGGACATCAAGCTATTTGATACCTGGCAATCTGGATGAAAGTAAGAGGAAATGGCCAATGAAAACTTACTCATTAACACATATATTCAAAAGCCATTATATGATTAAACAATGAGAAGAAAACTACAATTATTTGGGGACACAGGTCATGATGATTCTCCCCATTCAAGTCCACTGGATGGTGTACATGGTTCCTTTAGATTTGAGTCATTTATTTAATCATTTTTGTTTTGTTTCTAAGACGTGATAATTTCATTGTCCTATCTTCAAGTTCACTAATTCTTTCTTCTGTCTACTCCAATGTGCCTTTAAATCCCTCTAATAAAATGTTCAGTGCTCATTTCAGTTATTTCACTTTTTAGCTCCAGATTTTTTTTTTGTTTTCTTTATAGGTTGTCTATCTCTTTATTGATAATTTCATTTTGTTTGTGCATCATTTTTGAGACTTTCTCCACATCTTCCTTTAATTCTCTGAGCATCTTTAAGAGTTACTTCAAAGTCTTTATCTTGTAGATTTGCTATCAAATCTTTTTTAGGTATGATTTCTGAGACCTTTTTTTGAATGGGCCATATTTTTATGTGTTAATGTACTATTAACACAGAAAATTGTGATTATTTTTATTGTTGAAAACTCGACATTCAAATCTAATAATGTAGTAATTCTGGAAATAAGATTAACCCCTTACCCAGTCTTTGGTGATTGTTGATATTATTTTGTTCTTGATTTGATTGTTGCAGGCTGTCTCTGTGTAAAGATTGTCCTGAGGTATGATCTTAAGGTCTTCTCAGGGTGTTTCTGAGTCTGCACCTTTCCCTAGACATATGCAGTCACTCTCTAACTTTCACCTTGAATGTCCTAGTTTTTAATGCCCGGTTGCCGAAAAGGGGAAAAAAATAAAGGAGGAGATGGGGAGGGTGCTGGCTGTTTCATACCTTGGAAGTCACTTCAGCTGGAGGGTGGGCCTTGCAACAAAGGGGATCAAAAACAGCAACCAGAAAATAGGACACAGGTCCCTGATATTTGGAGAAAGTATGCTTTTTGCCAACACTGGCTCCCATCAGCTCAGTGCAAGCTGCTCTTGGAACATGGGCACAGCTGCCTGCCATGGAGACTAGGTGTGGAAAACTGTAGAGGATCTGTTGATACTAATGTGATTAAAGCTAAAATTGACTGAAATTAATCACAATTTACCATCCAAGACTTCCCCTGGAAGTTCCAAGCCTGAAATATAGTCCAGAGTTCCAAAATAGTTATATCAGGTAGATTTTGCCATTGCAACTGTTATCTAGATGGGGAGACTGAGTTCTGGTGTTTTCTAATCCACCTTCTTCACAGAATCCTCTACAAGACCTTCAGAGGGCTCCATCATCTGGGAGAACAACAAGAATTCCAAATTGGGGAATATGTGAGATTCGATGTATATTTGTTGGTAATTAAAACAGTAGACTGACCTCAAGAGGGTCATCAATGCAACTAACAACGACCTAAAGGAGAAACGTCAGATCTTGCATGCTTAGGCACTGTCATGGTATAAATTGGTGGAAAGTTTTGTTCAGCTTTAAACTTACAAGAAAACTTCAAGTAAAGATAGATAAGCTGTGCCTGTATTCACTGGTTAAAACCTGGGGAACTAGTCAACAAAAGATGTAAATTGTACTGTATGTATTTTTAAAAAATCAACCACATTGGCAACAGAAACCAAAGTTGAATGGAGACTATGAAAAAATAATGTGATGAATATATGACAAAAGCCTTTTGATAATGACAAATACTCTGTCCAACCATTTAGTGACTACAGAGTGTAAGGCTGAAGACGAAAGAGCTGTACATAGGTATGACGCTTTAGGTGGTAGATTGGTTTCTCACAGGGATTCTGGTTAGTTGTTCTGGAACTACTTAACATGAATTACTAGGGTTAAATAAATAAGTAAAATCTTGTGGATAATATAAGCCAGGTATCTCAGAATTGGGAAAAGAAGTTTCAAATAATCAAAATGGTAAGGCTAGAATAAACCTTATTATGCTGGATTAGAATTTTGAAAAATTGATATATTCTCATTTTTTAGCATTTATTATTTGCTCAGCTAAATTGGCATTTAACCAATGTCCAATAAAATGCATGAGGACTTCTGGGAGAAAGAAATGATTCCAGGTATAGGGCATGGAAGTACCAGGATACTCTGGAGTATCTTGTGGTATCAGAAGATAGGGAAGGGCCCAGAAACAAAAACTATAGGTGCACATCAAAAACACAGAGGAGTCAACCTGAAAGAGCTTCCAATAGCCAAAGTTGGGACAAGTAGAGCAACAAAATAGTGATAGTATTTGATTATAACCCAAATAATAGAATAAATATCCATGAGTTCATACTGATATAAGTAAATGAGTGGGTGGATAATCATAAATCGGAGAGGAGGGCCAACTCTTTCAGAAACATTTTGAATAATAAATATAGAAACAATGAGAAAAATGGAATATCACCGAAAAATAATTGTAATAGGCAAGATTCACAGGCAAATCATAAAACAAGTGAGCAAAACTTTGAAGGAATTGAGGATGAACGCATATCCTCAATGTATCACCCTCCAAAAGATTTTTAAATTATACTGCTTGAGGTAATTTATAGATTCAATGCCATCCCCATCAAGCTACCAATGACTTTCTTCACAGAATTGGAAAAAACTACTTTAAAGTTCATATAGCACCAAAAAGAGCCCGCATCGCCAAGTCAATCCTAAGCCAAAAGAACAAAGCTGGAGGCATCATGCTACCTGACTTCAAACTATACTACAAGGCTACAGTAACCAAAACAGCATGGTACTGGTACCAAAACAGAGATATAGATCAATGGAACAGAATAGAGCCCTCAGAAATAATGCCACATGTCTACAACTATCTGATCTTTGACAAACCTGAGAAAAACAAGCAATGGGGAAAGGATTCCCTATTTCATAAATGGTGCTGGGAAAACTGGCTAGCCATATGTAGAAAGCTGAAACTGGATCCCTTCCTTACACCTTATACAAAAATTAATTCAAGATGGATTAAAGACTTAAATGTTAGACCTAAAACCATAAAAACCCTAGAAGAAAACCTAGGCAATACCATTCAGGACATAGGCATGGGCAAGGACTTCATGTCTAAAACACCAAAAGCAATGGCAACAAAAGCCAAAATTGACAAATGGGATCTCATTAAACTAAAGAGCTTCTGCACAGCAAAAGAAACTGCCATCAGAGTGAACAGGCAACCTACAGAATGGGAGAAAACTTTTGCAACCTACTCATCTGACAAAGGGCTAATATCCAGAATCTACAATGAACTCAAACAAATTTACAAGAAAAAAACAAACAACCCCATCAAAAAGTGGGCAAAGGACATGAACAGACACTTCTCAAAAGAAGACATTTATGCAGCCAAAAAACACATGAAAAATGCTCACCATCACTGGCTATCAGAGAAATGCAAATCAAAACCACAATGAGATACCATCTCACACCAGTTAGAATGGCAATCATTAAAAAGTCAGGAAACAACAGGTGCTGGAGAGGATGTGGAGAAATAGGAACAATTTTACACCGTTGGTGGGACTGTAAACTAGTTCAACCATTGTGGAAGTCAGTGTGGCGATTCCTCAGGGATCTAGAACTGGAAATACCATTTGACGCAGCCATCCCATTACTGGGTATATACCCAAAGGACTATAAATCATGCTGCTATAAAGACACATGCACATGTATGTTTATTGCGGCACCATTCACAATAGCAAAGACTTGGAACCAATCCAAATATCCAACAATGATAGACTGGATTAAGAAAATGTGGCACATATACACCATGGAATACTATGCAGCCATAAAAAAGGATGAGTTCATGTCCTTTGTAGGGACATGGATGAAATTGGAAATCTTCATTCTCAGTAAACTATCACAAGAACAAAAAACCAAACACCGCATATTCTCACTCATAGGTGGGAATTGAACAATGAGAACACATGGACACAGGAAGGGGAACATCACACTCTGGGGACTGTTGGTGGGTGGGGGGAGGGGGGAGGAATAGCTTTAGGAGATATACCTAATGCTAAATGACGAGTTAATGGGTGCTGCACACCCGCATGGAACATGTATACCTATGTAACTAACCTGCGCATTGTGCACATGTACCCTAAAACTTAAAGTATAATAATAATAAAAAAAAGAGAAGAGAAAAAAAATTACTGTGATGTTTTAATATACATCAACAAATTCTTGTATACATTGTTCTCTATGTAATTATCCTCCCTTTAATGTGGGCTCATATTCGTGATATGTTTCTGACACAAGCAGTATGGAAAGGGACAAATAGTAATTTTACATAGGAGAAACCTGGCAGACAACAACTTAACCAAGTGATTCATTTAATATCAGCAGCAATAAGTTATTGATATTGTATGCTTCCTATATTATTCGATGTAATGAGCATGTACTCCATTGTATTCATCCATTAAATCTATAATGTAACCATGAGAAAATTCCACACATCCAAATTGAGGAACATCCTACAAAGTAACTGACCAATATTCTTTAATAGTCCCCAGGTCATGAAAGTCAGGAAAGACTCAGCCCATGTTATAGATGAGAGGAGAATAAAGAGATGTGACAATGAAATGTAATATGGGACCCTGGATTGAATCTTAAATCAGAAAAAGGACATCAGTCAAAAAGTTAAGGAAATCACAATGAAGCCTGAAGTTTAGCAAATTTTTTCTTTGTTTGTTTTTTCTTTTTTTTTTTTTTTTTTTTTCGAGACGGAATCTCGCACTGCCGCCGAGGCTGGAGGTCAGCGGCGCGATCTCAGCTCACTGCAACCTCAGTCTCCCGGGTTCAAGCGATCCTCCTGTCTCAGCCTCTGAGTAGCTGGGACGACAGGCAGGAGCCAACAAGCCCAGCTAATTTTTGTATTTTTAGTAGAGACAAGGTTTCATAGTGTTGGCCAGGATGGTGTCAATCTCTTGACCTCGATCCACCCGCCTTGGCCGCCCAAAGTGCTGGGATTACAGGTGTAAGCCACCAGTGACTGGCCAAGTTTAGCAAATATTAATGCACCACTTTTAATTTCTTAGTTTTGATCATTGTTTCATGGCTATGTAAGTTGTTAACATTAGGAGAAGCTGAGTGAAGGGAAGAGAACTCCCTGTACTATCTTTGCAACTCTCTATAGGTCTAGAATTGTTTCGAAATACAAGATAAAAATGAATCGGCTTCCAGAATTTTTAACATTACTGATTAAAATTTTAAAAATATTTATTTCACTGATTAAAATCTTTCATTAAATGGTATTGTTTTCAAAAGACATAAAATTTAATCTCCCTTGTAACTGTTTAGCAGACAGTTCTGTCTCTTACCCCTTAAGGTTCTGACAATGACTCTGTCCTTTGCCAAACTTTAGTCAGTCTCCTCCAAACTCTCTCGTTGACTGGCTCGTGCCTTTGGGTCCATTCTTAGGTCTGCCAAGTCCAGTTGTAGCAGGAATCTTACTAAGTTAGTTTTATGAGAATGCTTCCACGCTTGATAGCTGATTTACCCTTGATATATGATCAAATTGTTCATCCCACACACTCAATATGTAATTACCCTGGCTTGCCTTTAGAAAGAATTATGTTCAGCTTAGGAAGGATCCCCCTGCCTTTGATGTCTCCTTTTACTGATTTTCTATCTGACCCCTCATTCTGCTTGTTGGGTATAAACCCCAGGCTCTCTTTGCTGATTTTTGAGCTGAGCACCAATTGGTCTCTCTCCCCTATTGATATGGTTTGGGTCAGCATCCCCTTCCAAATCTCACATGGAATTGTAATCTCCAGTGTTGGAGGCGGGGCCTGGTGGGAGGTGATTGGATCATAGGGCGGTTCCTCACGGTTTAACACCATCCCCCTGGTGGTGTCATGGTAAGAGTGAGTTATTCCAAGATCTGGTTGTTTAAAATTGTGCAGCACCTCCCCTGCTTCTCTCCTCCTGCTCCAGTCATGCAGGACATGCCTGCTTCCCCTTAGCCTTCTGCCATGATTGTAAGTGTCCTGAGGCCTCCGTAGCCATGCTTCCTGTATGGTCTGCAGAATCATGAGCCAATTAAACCTCTTTTCTTTCTAAGTTACCCAGTCTCAGGTTTTTCTGTATAGTAGTGCAAGAACTAATACACCTATTGTGATAGTTTTGACGCCTGTTGCAATACTTCTGAATAAGTCTTCTTTACTGTTATACCAAGTGTCAGCATAAATTTTTCTTTACCAGATCCTTAAATTAAGGCAGTACAATCAACACTGCAGCACACTCTGGTGACCTGCAACATAAAAAGCATCAACCAGCTGGCAAGTCAGGTGACTCAGGGTCTTTTGTCATCTCAGTCCTCATTCTCTAATGCCATGGACTATCCTAATTTCTCTAGAAGTGTTTCCATTTCCACACCTTTAATAATCCCTTTAGTCAACCTTTCCAGGTGTGCTCTCCCTGAGCTCTGAGCCTTAGTTCCTTGGTTTAGTTCTGATTTAGTTCATGTCTCTAGCCTGACAGTGACTCGTTCTTTCTTAAATTTGTGCTACACATGGGGAAATCTAAAGTATTGTGGATATTTGATTAAAAGAATAGTACTATGTAGAATTTTAAATTGACAGAAATATAAAGGGTTGATGAATATATTCACTGGGGTGAACAATATGTTTTACAAATATGTTCATGCTTATGATGGTGTATCCTCAAGAAGACAAAACTAGAATATAATGTGAAAGTAAAGTGGGGCCCAATTTAATTGTAATGTAACATGTTGGCATGGACAAATGGGGCATTTCAATGAAGAAGACAAATGGAAACTGAAGAGAAAGACCCTGTCATTACATAGTAAGGACTCTACTAGGAAAACATTGATTGTCCTAGAAATCAGCTCTGGTTCTTTTGTCCAGAAATAGTCCCAGAGAGCATGTAAGAAGTAAGACTTCAGAGCTGAATTTTCTCCATCCAAACTGTGGCTCCACAACTTAATAGCTCCCTGGGATTTCATTTTTTTTCTTTTGCATATGGGGATAATAGTAAAATCTATCACTGTGTGCTTTGGTCAGTGATATATCTAGTGAATAAATGGGGCTAGGTACATGGTAGACGTTCAGTAAATATGAAAAATGGATATTCTTTATTGATTAAGTAAGCATTGATTATGCAAGTGCTAAAAACAGTGTCTGACTGAAAATAAATAAAGACTTTCCACAATTTAGATATTTCATTCCTTCTTTTTTTAAGACGGAATTTCAATCTTGTTGCCTGGGCTGGGGTGCAAGTGGAGTGCAAAGGCATGATCTCAGCTCACTGCAACCTCCACCTCCTGGGTTTAAGCAATTCTTCTGCTTCAGCTGGGATTACAGGCATGTGCCACCACACCAGACTAATTTTGTATTTTTAGTAGAGACGGTGTTTCAAAATGTTAGTCAGGCTAGTCTCAAACTCCTGACCTCAGGTGATCTGCCCAGCTCGGCCTCCCAAAGTGCTGGGATTACAGGCGTAAGCCACCGCACCCGGCCTGATATTTCATTTCTCTTATTAACATTATCTTTATTATATAACTCTATTAAAAGTTAGGGAAGTGTCCTCTGAAATTATCAATTCTCTTGTTTCTTACTAGAAATATAAGAAGAAAAAAACTGACCTTCTAAGTTTACTTATCCAATAGTGGAGAGCTTGGTGCAATGAACACTGACCCATTTTCCAGAGAGAATATTGTACTCTCAAAAATTTCTCTTTCTTGTGTATAAACTCTTGCAGTTGGTATATTTGCAAGATGGGGTTCGGTAAATCTGAAAACACACTGTGGACCAGGAGTAATTACTTTTCTTCCAGCCCATACTTACGTGTTACCTTGACCTACATCCCTTCTACTATTTTGCTTCTGTTCTTTCCCACCCCTTAACCTCCACTATGTTGGTCAGGCTGGTCTCAAACTCCCAACCTCAGATGATCCGTCTGCCTCGGCCTCTCAAAGTGCTGGCATTACACATGTGAGCCACGACGCCCGGCCACTTGTGTTATCTTTTTGTTCCCATTAGTTAGGATGCAAAAAGTGACAACTTTTGCTTTCTATGAAAATGAAATGAGAAAGAAAGATATCTGGTGTCTGGCATGCTATGTAAAACAATTGTCTACTTATTTATGTTATTATATTTACATCCTATTATGCGCATCTAGGACAAAGATAGTTTCCTTTAGTTTGCTAGGAATCAGCAAAGAACCTCTGAAGGCACCTTGGAAATTTGAACTTTCATGCAAAAAATTTTTAATCAAATCGAGGATGTTTTTTCAATTGTGTATTCTCATTGCATATGATACTACTCCCAAGGATGTAGAAGTTAGTTCTTGGGAGTGGGAACAAATCTTACATATTTAAATGGTTTGTGGCCCTTCAAAGCTCAACCTATTTAACAAAATCTTATTCCTTAGTTTTTTTTTTTTTCTCTCCATTGGGTTTTCTTGTGTATCACATGAGAAGCACTGACATTGAGTTCATGGAAGATACACAAAAGGTATAAAAGTTCAGCATTACAAACCTATGGCAAATGGGTAGCTGTGATTGGAGTACTTTCCAAGATGTATTAGATCTCAAAGTCATATCATGAGAGGTGTCCTCTGCATACATATGGTTTGTCACTGGCCATCTTATAGATATTGCTTATGTTTGATCCTTAGCATTTCTGTCTGTGTTGTGGGCTTTGAAATGAAATATAAATAATTTATATTTTAACAATTCTACTGAAGTTGTTCAACACATCTATATTTAGGTCAAGAATTGAAGAAAAAATTCTTCACACTCTCTAGGTGAGTATCTAGCAGCTAGTGAAGTTAAAAATTTTCTCACATGCAACAAAATTAAAAGTTAAGTATAATAAAAATAAATGATAAAAATATTTTAAATTATTAAGTCTTTATCAGTTTCAAATAATTCATAAACATTCATTACTTAGCTGTATAATGTTTATCTAGAAACATTAGATAATGTTTATAATTTGTTAAATTTCTTATGTAATTTAATACATTACAATTTATATCAGTAAATAAACTATATTGAAGCCCACAAGCAAATTTAGTTATAAAGTTAAGTTAAATTTGAATAGCGTTTAAATTTAACTTTTATCTTAAAATTTTCATTTGGTTATTTTTAAACTTGCATTGAATAAAATGATTAAACTTTGTACTTTTTGAGTATAGAGATATACATATAGTACACAAATAGATAGATATTATATCTGTGTTATTAAATTTTCACGGTGGGTTCAATTAGGAAAAAAAATCTAAAAAGTCTCTGGGAACAAGATGGGGGAGACAATAATGAAAAACAAAATGGTTGAGAAACACGGCTCTAAACTCATGTAAAGAGTTCAAGAAGGAAAGCAAAAACAGAAATGGAAAGTGGTCCAGAAGCATTAAGAAAGTGGAAATCAGTATGTTCCCTATTTAAGGCATCTGCAGGAAGCAAAGCCTTCAGAGAACCTAGAGCCCAAGGTTCAGAGTCACCCATCTCAGCAAGCCCAGAAGCATCTGCAATATCTATGATGGCCTCGCCCTTTGCTTTACTGATGGCCCTGGTGGTGCTCAGCTGCAAGTCAAGCTGCTCTCTGGGCTGTGATCTCCCTGAGACCCACAGCCTGGATAACAGGAGGACCTTGATGCTCCTGGCACAAATGAGCAGAATCTCTCCTTCCTCCTGTCTGATGGACAGACATGACTTTGGATTTCCCCAGGAGGAGTTTGATGGCAACCAGTTCCAGAAGGCTCCAGCCATCTCTGTCCTCCATGAGCTGATCCAGCAGATCTTCAACCTCTTTACCACAAAAGATTCATCTGCTGCTTGGGATGAGGACCTCCTAGACAAATTCTGCACCGAACTCTACCAGCAGCTGAATGACTTGGAAGCCTGTGTGATGCAGGAGGAGAGGGTGGGAGAAACTCCCCTGATGAATGCGGACTCCATCTTGGCTGTGAAGAAATACTTCCGAAGAATCACTCTCTATCTGACAGAGAAGAAATACAGCCCTTGTGCCTGGGAGGTTGTCAGAGCAGAAATCATGAGATCCCTCTCTTTATCAACAAACTTGCAAGAAAGATTAAGGAGGAAGGAATAACACCTGGTCCAACATGAAACAATTCTTATTGACTCATATACCAGGTCACGCTTTCATGAATTCTGCCATTTCAAAGACTCTCACTTCTGCTATAACTATGACCATGCTGATAAACTGATTTATCTATTTAAATATTTATTTAGCTATTCATAAGATTTAAATTATTTTTGTTCATATAACATCATGTGCATCTTTACACTGTGGTTAGTGTAATAAAACATGTTCCTTATATCTACTCAATTCATTATTTTATGTTGTTCATTAAACTTTTACTATAGGAACTTCCTGTATGTGTTCATTCTTTAATACAAAATTCCTAGCCTGACTGTGCAACCTGATGAGAGAATAAAGGGTATAATTTATTTACTCATCATTATTATATGAGAGATGTAAGTAAAAATGACCTTTCTCTAAACCAGGTTGTATGTTGTACTCAAGTTATAAAGGTGAATACAATAAATCTACTTCCTACTCTCTTGCATGTTTGATTTTTGTATGGAATAAAACTAAAAATAGTAATCATACTTAGTATCAGTTATCCTGAATACTATAAGGAGAAAAAGGAATGAACAATGATTTCTTTCGGCAGGAGGTAAACTGAAACATGTGAGGAAATAAAAATAAACAGATATCCTCTATAAGTTGACTGATACAACATGTGGTAGAAACTGTCTATTGCCAGTTGGATATGTGAGTTTGCAAATTATAAGGAATGCAATTGCTGGGAGTTCATATGTGGCAAGCAAAATCCCAGAAATGAAAGTGCTCATGTGTGGAGAGAGTGTAGACAGAGAAAAGGACTTAAACGTGATTCTAAGGACCTTCCACCTTTAAAGGGAAGGAAGAGAAGAGCCACAAAGGAAACAGAGGGATGGACAAATAGAGACAATGGTGATTAATATGGTCTGGAACTGTGTCTCTGCCTAAATCTCAGGCAGACCAGCCTCTAGAATGTATGTGTGTGTGTGTGTGTGTGTGTATGTGTGTGTGTGTGTATATATATACGTACATATATATATATACGTATATATATGTATATATATACACACACACACACATACACACACACACTATATATATATTTTATATATAGTGTATATATATAAAACATATGTATATATGCTTATTTTCTTATTTTATAAATATATGGTTATTATTTTCTTAATTAGTGCATATATATCAGAAAAGGGACTGGGTGCAGTGGCTCATGTTTGTAATCTCAGCACTTTGGAAGCCAAGGTGGGTGGATCACTTGAGTTCAGGGGTTCAAGACCAGCCTGGACAATATGGTGAAACCCTGTCTCTACTAAAAACCAAAAATTTGGCCAGGCATGGTGTTGGGTAGCTGTGATCCCATCTATTCGGGAGGCTGAGGCAGGAGAATCACTTGAACCCCGGAGGCAGAGATGGCGCCTCTGCACTACAGCCCCTGGGCAATAGAACAATACTCCGTCCCCAAAAAAAAAAAAAAAAAAAAAGAAAAGAAAAGAAAAAAAAGAAAATGAGAAAACAGAAAAGGGAATGTTCTCTTCTCTCCTCAATCTCCATAACACATAAGAATCTAAAACGCAGAATTCTTGGAGTATTCTGGAGAAAACTGAAAAATAGTCACCCTTCGTACTGAAGATAAGTCTGATGTGTATATTCAGTCAGGATACGGTATCTTACAGGAAAATCTGGAAGAGTTTATTTTCTTAAACCTAAGTGAAATATACATACCATTCATTTGCTGATTCCGATACCCAGCACAGTTCTTTCCTTCTTCCCCAGCTTTTCTGGATCTCATTTTCACTCCTATTGAGGCTCAAAAATAATACCCCAAAGTGAAGTTCTCAGAAGCAGCTTCAGAAGCAAAGTTTCTCTCTGGCCTTCTCCTGCCCTGCTGTTTGTCACGCCTCATCTCCTGAGGGAGACCCTTTTCCCCAAAGCCAGCCATAAAATCTGAAAATATGACTCTAACTTTCCCTCACCTTTGTGTGTAAGAACTGAACTGGCCATAAAGAAATTCTCTCACCTGCCTTGTTTGATTGTAGATACTAAGACCCCCATTCCAAAAAGAGCTCTGCCACATACCCAAGAGGAAGGAATGGTGTATGGAGGGGCCAAGAAGTATCTGACCAGAAAGGCCTTGTTGGGTTTCCCCTACTCAGAATATTAGCATTAGATGATGCCCTTTTTGTCTAATCACATTTCTACACAGCTGGCCATTCTTCATGGAACATAAGCATAAAAATGGATAGTTTTTTCCTGTACTTTGGGTCTTCATTTTGAAGGCTTCCGTAGTTATATAAACCTGTGATTAAATAAATGTGTTATGCTTCTCTCTTGTTAAGCTGTCTTTTGTTTTAGGCGTGTGAGCTGTGACCCTTTTGATAGGAAGGAAAGAGATCACACTATTTCTACCCCTATAGTTGTGGTGATGAAGATGGGATGCCTGAAGCACCTGACTCACCTACTGATGAGGTCCAGGTAAAATGCTGATAAAGAGCTTGCCAGTAAAGGTAAGAATTTTTACCAAGTTCAGTTCTGAATTTCTGCTTGTAGTGTCTGGTCAAGAACTAAAGGTAAAAATTTATCTTTATTTCTTCCTTTCCAAATGCAGGTCATCAGGAGAAGATCATTTGTTTGAATTGTTCTCTTGTGTAAATTTGGATTTATGGGACCCATGTGTTATTGATCCTTTCCCTTCAATAGACAGCTGTCGTTTTGCTGTTTTGTGTCCTGAGAACCTGACTTGGCTTGCTGCCTATCAGGATGCCCTTCGGTGTGTGCAGGAGGCCAAACCAAAAGTTGGAGGCGCCCATTAAAAGTTTACATATTGACTATTGCCAGCTCTCGAGGTGTCTAAATATTTCTTTCTTGCGGCGATCTTTAGAGGTGGCTCTGAATTTTGAGAGGACTGCATCTTGGCATTTCTTTGAAGATGTCTTATGCATCCTTGGTGAAGTCAAAAAAGGCTTGGTTTTGGTACTGAGTCACTTGGTAGGTGTCTTTGTTTTAAAAGAAAAGAGAAAAAAGAAAGTTTCAAACATTAGAAATATGGGTTGTTTGTTCTTGCCGAAATCCGGTAAGGGGTTTTAAAGTAATTTTAAGAGCTCTGTATTCAATTATTAGCTTAATTTAAAGTGGGTATCAAGGCTACCATTTTTTAAGGGTCTTTCTGATTTTCTCCTTGGGATCTTGTTTATCCCATGGAAACATTTTTTCTGTAAACTTAAGCCTTTTTAAATTATATATTTGAATCCTCTGTTTGCTTCCTTTCTTGTAGGCAGGATTTTTGCTTAAAAAAATGTAAAACTTCATTGGCCTTTTGAAGAAGCTTAAGATCTCCCCAGTCTGGCTCCTCTAAGACTTGTTCTTCTATTTACTTCTGCCATTTTCAGTCGTTCATCTAGCTCTCTCTTATCATTGACAAGCCCCTGCCTCTGCATTTGGTGGTCAGTGGATGGAAAATTACTAAGCAGAAACATCAGAGTTCTGGCTACCACATAAAGGGTTGTAGAGAATACTTCTAGAAAGCCTGGGACTCCTCGAAGAATGCAAATAAAAAAGAGAGAGAGAGAGAAAGTAGCCACAGATGCCCCACTACATAGAGTTTCCTGTCTTCCTCATGAAGCCCCAAGAGTCATGGGTAGGTCCTTCTCATGTCTGGAGCTCTGCTCTCCCTTGCCGTGAGTTCCCTGATCTCTTTGGCTTTTGGGGTATCAAGGGTAACTTCACACTGTGAGAGAGCCACCTACCTGCCAAGACCAGAGACAGTGGGAAAGTCTGTTCTTTGTATAAGTCTGTCTCCTTCCAGCACCTTTTTCTTCAGAGCTAAAAAGAGGAACTTTCCTGGAAACAACTGACCCAAATACTGGAATGAGCCCATTTCTTTAATTTTCATATCTTAGAGAGGGAAAATACTCCCAGCTTCAGGCAGGACATGTCCTCTTTGGACAATGTGCAACCCTGGGGAGAGAAAAGGTCAGGATGTGTCCCCTGCTTCCAGCCTGTGCAGCCTCCCAGGGTCTCCTGACTCATCCCTCCCTCTACTTACTGCAGGTCACATGGAGGTGAGAGCCATCCCATCTGACTGTGGCACTTCAAGGGAAATCAGGAAAACTCTCCTGTTTGAAGGCACATTAACTCTTTTGAGTAAGTTGTCAGTTTTACAAATTTATTCCTCCTATCAGATAATTTCTGTCAACTTTATAATTGAGAAAGTTTTCACTCTCCCTTTGAATAAGGAATGAGCTTGCATCAATTCCACCTTGATTCAATAGAGAGACCACTGACATAAATAAAGGAACTTCAGAGAATGCAGTGATTGCCACAGGTGTCAACAGGGTAGAATAGAGAGGCATCTTGGCAACATTGCAACTAAGGAAGTAATAAGAAAATGTGTGTGAATTGTGCAGGTGTCAATTGCTCAGCTAGCAGGGCAAGGGTTCAATTTAGCAGGGATCTGTCAGCTGTCTGACTCAGGTTAGAGGTCCAACTATTAGATTATTTCTCTTCTATTCCCGAGTTAGAGGGCCATAGTTCACATATTAAACCATTTTTCCTTTCCTCCTCCACCACTTATAGGGAACCAGTTTAGGGGCAGGACAATGGGAACATTTTTTGATTCACTTGGTTCTGTCTTTTGTGACCGCCAAATTAGCCATTCAAATATTAGAACCCCTTCTATTCTTGGGTAACTGATTACATTTTTAAGGTAATTTTTCATTATATTTATATTATAGTTTATACTATGTTTATATTAAAAGTTGTGATTTGGCATCATATTGTCACCCTGCCCTGATAAATCTCTATAGCCATATCTCGTTTCATATCTCAGAGTTTTTAAGTTGTTATATATAATCTACAGTACTGGGGAACCCAGCAGCAGGTCTCGAGATACCTAGGCGAGGGCGTGGTGGGGACACTGAGTGCTGGGCCGCTGGCCCTGCCCTCGTCCCACTGAGGAGACAGGTTTACTGCTCCCAGGCCCACCTCCACCCAGGAACATCTAGTCCACCTGAGAAAAGGTGTGGGGAGGCAGGGATCAGTGCCCAGTGCCCAGAGAGACATGGCGAGGTATCACCATGAAGCACCCTCTGGAGATAGTCATGTTTTTCAAGCCTCAGAAGCAAGAGTGTGCGTGTGGCCTTACTTCCACCCTTCCTGCCAGGTGAGTCATGAGCTGTAGGGGTGTAGACCCTCTGATGTCCAGTCTGGCATCAAAATGCAGTAAATGAAGGGAGTCCTGCCTATACCTCTATGTCCATTGAGCTGATAAAGAATGCAGGAGCTCATCTGTGACTCTGTTTAGAAGCTTCGAAGTTCTGAGTCCTTCAGGAAGAGACTGCACCAGGCACAGGACTCTCATTTGTTCAAACAATGAAAGTGCACATCATGCACTGGAATAAGCTGGAAGAGCCAGCAGCAGCCTGAGAACGTGGAAGGAGGACAGAGATGTTTAAAGCATAGACATCAGTGTCAGGTACTCAGGAGACGGAATAATACCAACGAGCAGCATTAAGTCAACTGTTCAGATCATTCCTATCAGAAGGAGAGAAGATTAAAGTGGATGCTGAGAACAGAGTTCTGTTGAGCTGTGGCCAACATCAGTGTCCATGGCATGGGTAACAGGGACACCACAGCAGCCTGCAGAGTACAGCGAGGGATGAGGGTTAACCCACTTCCAGATGCAAACTTTTGTTTTCTCCCTAGAACCTAGCACGTCATCACAGTGCAGGGAAAATTATTCATGGGACCAATGCAGTCCAAGGGATCTCTTAAATTCTGCTCACAATGCAGCCTCCTTTAAAGACCAACAATACGAAGACAATTCTTGAACAGAAGGGTCGCAGGAAGACCCTCCAATAACGTCATTTCATTCTATGTCATTTCCTTGTAACATTGATGAGAGAAGAAACTGACTCCCCACCAGGGCCTTGTCTGTGTGGAGTTTGCACATTCTCCCCACGTCTGCATGAGTTTTCTCCAGGTACTTCAGTTTCCTCCTGCATCCCAAATATGTGCGCGTTAAGTTAATTGGTTTGTCTAAATTTCTCCAGTCTCAGTGAGTGTGTGTGTGTGTGTGAGTGTGTGTGTGTGTGTGTGTGTGTGTTTGAATGTGCCCTGTGATTAAATAACTTCCTGTCCAGTGGGGGTTTCCACCTTACACCCTGATCTGTGAGGATAGGTTCCTGCCACCCTTGACCCTGAAATGGAATAAGTGCATTGGAAAATGAATAAATGAATGAATGAGTACAAATGATTGCAAAACAAAAATTCACAAAGCATATGACACTTATACAGATGCACAACAATGCATGAAAGTGCTCAGCGAGCCCACCATATTTGTTTCTGTTTGCTTTGGAACTGCTTGGTTGTAAGAGGTGTTCCTTACAATTTTCACTTTGTAAACATTTATTTTTTGATAAAACTTTCTACTACTATGACAGGAAAATATCATTTATTATAATGCCAACCATAGACAACCATACACAGCCAAAGACAACCATACTAAGCAATGTGGCTGAGTTTGTAGTTAAAGCCAGACTTGCCTTGGCAAGCAGCCCTTTAAAAGCATTCGTTTTGTGTTGCAGTTGTAGCAGTGAGACAGCAAAATACCTAACATAACGAACTCCATTTTGTTTATGGGGCCTACACCCATTCCTGCACATAGATTGGGATTATTTTAGAGCACTGAGATAATGTGCAAAAACAACAGTCATGTAGTTTTTAAAACTAACTCTGGTATTCAAGAAGAAGGATGTAAACAACTATGTTTTGTTAAAGACTGTAGGAGCATTGTGACCTGACCAAGAACAAATAATTTTCCAAACTCCTTGGACCCTCGCTGGTGCCCAGATGTCTACTGTTGAAGGTCTCCTCTTAATCCTGACGCCCTCCTCTTCTGCTAGCCCTTAACATAAAAAGAGCCTAAAATTGGTTCTGTCTTAAGATGGTATTTATGATGCTAGTCCACCATCTTCTCAGTTTGCTGGCTTTCCTAATGAACCTGCTTCCCCCGACCCCAGCAACTATCATCTCTTGAGTTTGGTTTTCGAGGGGTGAGCAGCTGCACCTGGGTTCAGTTACACTGTCCAGGAATACCTGAAGCTGAGTAATTTATAAAGAAAAAAATGTTTATTTGGCTCACAATTCTTCTGGCTGGAAGACTGGGCAACTAGTGAAAGCCTCAGGCTGCTTAGATGCTATATAGTTTAGATGTTTGGTGGGGACAACTTAGATCTCTATAGTTTACATAGTAAGCAGAGGTTGATGGTTATTAGTGAATGAGCCTCTCTAGTGTTTTTCTTCTTCTAGGATATATTCATTCAGGTTCATGTGGTTATGCTTCCCTGGGCACTCAAGATTCGATTAATATGGACAAGGCCCTTTCTTTCATTAATTTATTTTATTTTTGGAGACAGAGTCTTGCTCTGTCGCCCTGGCTGGAGTGCAGTGGCACAATCTTGGCTCGCTGTAGCCTCTGCCTCTTGGGTTCAAGCGATTCTCATGCTTCAGCCTCCCAAGTAGCTGGGATTACAGACATGCCTCACCACACTTGGCTAATTTTTTTTTTTTTTTTTTTGTATTTTTAGTAGAGACGGGGTTTCACCATGTTGGCCAGGCTGGTCTTGAACTCCTGAGCCCAAGTGATCCATCTGCCTCTGCCTCCCAAAGTGCTGGGCATCTGGTGAAAGCCTTAGGCTGCTTAGATGCTATACAGTTTAGATGTTTGGTGGGGACATCTTACATCTCTATAGTTTACATGTTTGATGGGGAGGCTGACCTGTGAGTCCTGAAGGAGCAAAAAATCAGAGCATGTACTGCTGGGCTGTCCTGGAAATTGTTCATTGCTTTTTCTTTATTCTTAATACATAAAAAAACTCAAGAGTAAAAAAATAAATTGGCTTCCAGGAGTTTGTAGTTGATGGGTTAATAGAGTTGTTTTAGTATATTTTTGAATACATCACTAATTATTTTTTCACTTGATGATGGCTCATGCCTGTAATCTCAGCACTTTGGGAGGCTGAGGCAGATCACTAGAGGCCAGAAGTTCGAGACCAGCCTGGCCAATATGGTGAAATCCTGTCTCTACTAAAAATACAAAAATTAGCTGGGCATGGTGGCAGGTGCCTGTGATCCCAGCTACTTAGGAGGCTGAGGTATGAGAATCGCTTGAACCCAGGCTGTGGAGGTTGCAGTGAGCCAAGATGTCGCCATTGCCTGAGCGACAGAGTGAGACTCTGTCTCAAAAAAGGAAAAAAAAAAAAAAGGAATATATTTAGTCTACTTTTCCTTAGAACTTAAAGGCAGTTAATTCAATTCACTTACACCACACCCCCTGTTGCTCTATACAGCACGAGCAAATGTTTGGCATTCAAAATGAATCTCAGAATCCTTTGTCATCTCACCCTCTCTGCTGTATTGATTTTATGCCCTGGTCTCTCCTTGGTTGATAAATTCATATCTATCCCCCCTTCCTTTAATGGGTCCTTCCAGTCAAGCCATTATAATGATTCTCCCTAAGGTTTCGACCTTGCATTATTGGTGTGGTCAGAATAGTTCATCCCTGCAGATTTATATTTCTCTCCCAATAGTTTTATAAAAGAGTATAATCCAAATAGTGTTATTGAGAGGACAGAGATAGTATTTTCAAAACATCATAAAACAGCCTGGCACAGTGGCTGATGCCTGTAATCCCAGCATATTAGGAGGCTGAGGCAGGAGGATTGCTTGAGCCCAGGAGGTCAAGACCAGTCTAGACAACATGGTGAAACCTGGTCTCTACAAAAAATTAGCCATATGTGGTCATGCCTGCTTGTGGTCCCAGTTACTCAGGAGGCTGAGGTAGAAGTATTGCTTGAGCCCAGGAGGTCAAGCTGCAGTAAGCAGGGATCACACCACTGCACTCCAGCCTGGGTGACAGAGTGACACCCAGTCTCAAAAAGGAAAATCTTAAAACAGTGGATGGTCCCTATTAGGCCTGCAATAAATGTTGGTGTTATCATTTTTGATATTATCATCCAGATTAAAATAGAATCTTTTGGGATCATCCAATTCTCTTCCATTAATTCCTGGTTTCTCAAGGCTATGTTTTCATTGCCTGAGTAAATTTATTAACTAGGTGGAGTCTTTAGGCAAGGCTAATATGCATTATCCTGCCAGACAACTTTGTTGGTTGTCTAGCGACTGCAGCCTGCTTACAGGCTTTTGGGAATTGATTGGTGTGACTTCTCCCTTCTGTCTAGAGCTGATCACATGTGAATTATATGAAAGAAAGTCAAGTAGCTGGTCTTGGAAAGCTGAATTCAGTCCATTGACCCAGGAATTGCTTTTCTTAGAACCTCTGGCAGATGCAGCCATTTTTCTGCCTTTGTGCACCTCAACATTGGCGTTATGTTTTCACTCTGCCAGAGGCTCTAGTCCTCAATTTTTGCTGCATTGAATTTTGCTAACTTACACTTTGCAATTAGTCAGGGGAAAGTCACTTCCCTTCTTTCACTTTCATGACAGTCAGAATGGCTTCTGTTTTCTTTCTGCCTACAAACAACTGTCAAGTACTACTTTCTAGAAAAGTTGAAACAAGAGACAAGAAAACCACAAAATCTGGAAATTATAAAGAAAACCACTGCGGCTCTTTTGCCTTTCTTTTATTTCCCTTTGTTTGTGTGACTTCATAGTGAATTAGAATGTAATGTGGTAGCAGCAAGACAAACTTTGCCCAGTAAACCACTACGTTAAAAAGGCGTTCTAAAAATTCATTTGTTGTTGAGGTTTAAATTTAAAATGAAGAATCACAAATCAATCAGTAAAGGAAAGATGGCTATGACTGTTTAACATGATAGCATGGGAGCTCACTGCCCTGCACGATCAAAGTTTCACATAGACAGAGGAGCAAAGAACTTTAACAGATCACGCTGAACTGGTGAACAACTGAGGGTCACCATTTTCTGTAATATGAGCCTCTGAAGAGAAACATTACCTTTGAGTCTTTTGTGCCTAGCTCAGAAATTTCAAGCATAAAACTGTTCCATAGTTTAAAAGAGTTGAAGATAGCAAAACAGTTGAAGAATAAAAGCTGTACTTGGCAAAGTTAAAATTATTTAACTACTAAAGATAAAATAATCACAATAGGATAATTCCTTTACCTACTTAGACAAAACAAACCTTTGCAATCAGCCTTCTAGGGGTGTTGAGACTTTTGGTACCTAGGATCTGGGTCAGGAGATGAGGGGGTCACCACTGGGAGCAAATACTCCTTCACACAAAACTCTAGGGGCAAGAGCAAGGGTCAGGGGCATTTATTATTTTGGCAACAAAGAAGCAAGGCCCTCCTTGGGAAAAGAGTTCCAAAATCATCAGGATTTGATGAGCCTACACTTACGGAATAACTTGATGTGATAAATACCTTGTGAGTGATGTGATACTAAGGAAATAACATTATTTTGATATTAAAATTTCCACACCCACATGCACCTGAAAAAAAATAATGAAATTCCTCTTAGGGGTATTGGTAAAGCCTGAGAAGTGCTATATTTCTCCAGTAACAAAATAATGGACTGGGTCGGGTAGCTCACACCTGTAATCCCAGCACTTTGGGAGGCTAGGCGGGCGGATCACTTGAGCTCAAGAGTTCCAGACCAGCTTGGCCAACATGGTGAAACCCCGTCTCTATTAAAACACACACACACACACACACACACACACACAAACACACACACACAAACACACACACACACACACACAAAATTAGCCAGGTGTGGTGGGGCATGTCTGTAATCCCAGCACTTGGAAGGCTGAGGCATGAGAATAGCTTGAACCCGAGAGGTAGAGGTTACAGTGAGCCGAGATTGTGCCACTGCACTCCAGCCTGGGTGACAGAGCAAGACTCTGTCTCCAAAAATAAAATAAATTAATGAAAGAAAGGGCCTTGACCATATTAATCGAATCTTGAGTGCCCAGGGAAGCACAACCACATGAACCTGAATGAATATATCCTAGAAGAAGAAAAGCACTAGAGAAGCTCATTCACTAATAAACTAATTCCATTAGTCTATATGTCTGTTTTTATTCAAGTGCCATGCTGCCTTAATTATTGTAGCATCATAATATGTTTCAAAATTAGGAAATATGAGACCTCTTGCTTTGTTTTTCTTTATCAAGATTGTTTCAGCAACCCAGAGACCATGACGTTTAGGATATATTTTTTCTATGTCTGTTAAAAATGCCTCTGTGATTTTGATAGAGATTGCATTGAATCTGTATAACACTTTGGAGAGCATGCAGATTTTAACAATATTAAGTCTTCCAACCCATGATGGATACAAGTAAATGTCTTCCCATTTATTTTTGTCATCTTTAATTTTTTCAGTAGTATTTGGTAGTTTCTAGTGTCCATGTCTTTCACATCCTAGGTTAAGTTTATTCCTAAATATTTTATGTTTTTTGATGCTATTGTAAATTAGAGTATTTTCTTAATTTCCTATTAAGATTATCCACTGTTAGTATATAGAAATGCCGCTGATTTTTGTTTATTGATTTTGTATACTGCAACTTTGCTCAATTCATTTATAAGTTATCTCTCTCTTTTCTCTCTGTCTCCCTCTCTCTCTCTCTCTCTCTCTCTCTCTGTGTGTGTGTGTGTGTGTGTGTGTGTGTGTGTGTGTAATCTTTAGGTTTTTCTACATATAAGAATATGTCATCTGCCAACAGAGATCATTTCACTTTTTCCTTTATAATTTGGATGCTTGTTATTTATTTTTGTTGCCTAAATACTCTGGCCAGGATTTGAAATACTAGTTGTAAGAGCACATTCTTGCCTTTTTCCTGAACTTAGAATAAAAACGTGTAATTTTTCACAGTTGAGCATGATGTTTACTGTGGGATTTTCATATAATAGCCCTTATCATGTTGAGTTAATGTCCTTCTAGTCCTAGTTTGTTGAGTGTTTTTTTTTTAATCATGAAAGGATATTGAATTTTATCAAATGGTTTTTCAGCATCAACTGAGGTGATCATGGTTTTTCCTCCCTTCATTCTGTTCATGTAGGTTACTACATTGATTTATTTCTGTGTTGAACCATTCTTATATTCCAGGAATAAATCACATGTAGCCATGTTATATAATCGTTTTAATGTGCTGTTAAATTTGGTTTGCAAGTATTATGCTGAAGGTTTTTGCATCAATATTCATCAGAGATATTGGTTTGTAGTAGTTTTCATATCATGTCCTTCACTGAATTTTATGTCAGGTTAATGCAAGATTCATAAATTAGTTTGGAAGTGTTCCCTCCTCTTCAATCTTATGGAATAGTTTGAGAAAGATCCTGTTAATTTTTTGAAGTTTTGATAGAATTCTCTAGTGAAGCCATCTGGCCCAGGGCTTTTCTTTTTTCAGGGATTTTTAATTATTTATTCAATCCCTTATAGGTCTATTGCAAATTTTTATTTCTTTATGATTCAGTCTTGGTAAGTTGTATGTTTCTAGGAATTCATCAATTTTTTTCTAGGTTATACAATTTGCTGAAGCATAATTTTCATAGTTTTATGACCTTTTATTTCTGTGGCATCAGCTGTAGTGTCTCCTCTTATATTCTTGATTTTGTTATATGAGTATACTCTTTTTTAAAAAATAATCTAGTAAGGGTTTGTTGATTTTGCTGTACTTTTCAAAACATCAACCCTAGTTTTAGTGATTTTTTTTATAATTGCTCTTCTATTCTCTATTTTATTTATCTTTGCTCCAGCTTTATTGTTTCCTTCCTTCTGCTAGATTAGGGGTTTATTTATTTATTTGCGCTTCTTTTTTTAGTTACTTAAGGTGTACAATAAGGTTGTTGTATTAGTCTGTTTTCATGCTCCTGATAAAGACATACTTGAGACTGGGAAATTTACAAAAGAAAGAGGTTTATTGGACTTACAGTTCCACATGGCTAGAGAGGCCTCACAAACATGGTGGAAGGCAAGGAGGAGCAAGTCACATCTTACATGGATGGCAGCAAGCAAAGAGAGAGATTGTGCAGAGAAACTCCCATTTTTAAAACTGTCAGATCCTATGAGACCTGTTCACTATCAGATCACATCTTGTGAGACCCATTTAAAACTATCAGATCTTGTGAGACCGATTCATCTATCAGATCAGATCTTGTGAGACTCATTTAAAACTATCAGATTTGGGAGACCCATTCACTATCATGAGAACAGCATGGGAAAGACCTGCCCCTATAATTTGATTATCTCCCACCAGGTCCCTCCCACAACATGTGGGAACTATGAGAGCTACAAGATGAGATTGGGGTGGGGACACAGAACAAAACTATATCAGTTGTTGATTTGAACTCTCTTCTTTATAAGCTTTTATGTCTGTAAATTTCTCACTTAGCCCTGCTTTCACTTCATTGTATAAGTTTTGGTATATTTGGTTTTTTAGTTTATTATTTTCTAATTTCTATTGTGTTCCTTCTTAAATTTTTCTCATTTAGACATACAAATGTTTTATTTCTGTCTCTGTGCATTGGGATGTGAAATCAGACGACTTTTACTTTCTAGGAAAGTGAAATGAGAAAGAAAGACACCTGGTGTTATGAGGACTATATAGAAACATTGTACATTTCAGTTGTTTTTGTCATATTTACATACTCTTATTGACATGAAATGAAGATGAAAATAAAACATGTCCAGGAGTGGCAAAACAAATTTGCATAGCAAAATATCACATGAAAAGGGAATATACATAAGTCCCCAGCACAATCCAGGTAAACAAATAAAAATGTTCCAGCAGGGCATGGTGGCTCAAGCCTGTAATCCCAGCACTTTGGGAGGCTGAGGCAGGCACACCACTTGAGTTCAGGAGTTCGAGACCAGCCTGGCCAACATGGTGAAACCTTGTCTCTACCAAAATTAGCCAGGTGTGGTGGCATACGCCTGTATTACCTACTTGAGAGGCTGAGTCATGAGAATTGCTTGAACTCAGGAGGCAGACATTGCTGTGAGCTGAGATCTTGCCACTGCACTCCAGCCTGAGAGACACAGCAAGAATCCATCTCAAAAAAAAAAAAAAAAAAAAGGTTCCTTTTCCAGTGTTTGATAGACTAAGAATAATAGCTTAAGCAGGACGGTCCTGCATTCAAAAGCTATGATGATTAGGTTAAACTCTAAAATCCAATAAAAATGTGTTGACTGGATTACCTTATAAAAGTTATTAATTTTTGCAAGATACATTTTTGGAAAGAAAGTTCATTTACTATGGAAATTCCTGTAGCCATTTCAGAACTCTGAGCATTTTAATGATATAAAGAGTCTAAGTTAATTAATGATATAAAGAGTTTAAGTAAATCACTAAAAATAATAAATACTAAAATGCATTTAGTTTATTTAAAAAACTGATCCTATCTCATCTCTATCCTCATATAGACATGTTGATTTTATACTGTTGTCATCTAAATATCATCAAATGATTTAAAGCCTAGATCTCTGGGTGATGGAAAAATGAAGTCCCAACAATTTATAGTTCACACACACATTCTGGGAAGTTGGCCTTATTAAACAACGGCAGGAAAGTTAGAAGATTGATGACTTGGGGATCACAGGGGTACTACCCACAAAATGTAGTGTAATTTGTTGTCTGATTGCTGTAAGCTGTGTGAATCAGGGAGAGTTTGAGTTTGGACATTTGGCTCGATATTATGACACCAGGCTGGTTAATTTATATTATAAAATGTAGAGGGCAATTTAGACATGAGGTCATAATATAGTTTAATATAGTGCTACGCAAAGGCTGAAAATTATGTTGTGCTTGCATTTGAATTCCCAGTGCCGTATATACCTTAAAGGAATTAGATATCCAGTGGGTTTGGCAATACATTCTATAATCATTATTGACACTTAGTAAGAGTAGAGTGGAAATATTAGCCATTGTCTGTTATAATCCTAACAAATATGGCCATGATGGAAACAAAATAGCTTGGTCACCCATGAATGCCTTCTAGTATAAAGAGAAAGTATGATAAATTGCTTCAGCAAAAACTATTTCTTGAATAAGTACACTAGGCCTGGTACTGAGGATAATGCAGTCAACAGAACAGAGTCCAGTTACTAAAGAGATGATTTGCCAAAGATGATTCCATACTTACCATTTTAAGAGAGGGAATCTATAGGTCTGAGGCAACTTAACTTGCTATGAAAAAAAAAAATCCCAGCGCTCAGGATTGGAGTTGTAAGTTAATGCTTAACATGATAATATTTATCCAGTTATGAATTTAGGACAAAGATGGTTTCTCTTTGTTTAATAGAATTGACTTGGTTTAGAAACTATAAATATATGTTGAGGAATTTGAACTTTAATGCAAAAATACAAAAAAAATAAAATTGATGATATTTTCAAAGTTGTGTATTTCTATTGGAGATGGTATTGCCCCCAAGGTTGTAGAAATTAGTTCTTGGGGGTGTGAACAACTCTCAGATATTACAATAGTTTGTGGTCCTCCAAAGCTCAATTCTTACATAATCTTATTCTCTAGTGTTCACTTTCCTTATTGAATTTTCTTGTGTATCGCACAAGACATACTGACATTGAATTCAGTAGAAACAGACAAAATACATGCACAATCAGTGTTATAAATCTATGGCGAATAGATGGCTTACTGGAGGACTTTCTTTCCATCATTTGCTGTGATTGCCTTTCTTCCAGATGTTGCTTATGTTTGAGCTTCAGGGATTCTGAGTATTAGGTAGACTTTGAGAATTAAATACAAATCATGTATATGTTATTATTTAATTCTACTAAATATTTTCAACACATCAACAGTTAATGTCAAATGCTGAAAAGAATAAAATGCTGACACTCTGGATGAATATGTAGCAGCTAGTGAAATTAAAAATTAGTTTATTTTTTAAAGCAAAATTAAAAGTTAAGTACACTAAAAATCAAACTTAAGAAAACAATTTCATTTTTTACCTTTAAGAAACTTATGCATGTCATCATGTTTGTATTATTATGTATATTACTAATACATTCTTAATTTGCAAATTTGTTTGAGATAATTTATATAAACAAATAGAGTGAATTAAAAGTTGCTGCTCAGAGTTAAGTTAAATGTCAAATTTTTAAAAATTTAACTTTTAGTTAAATTACTTTGCCATTCCTAACAGATCAAGAAATAATAAAAGTAAACTTTATGCTTTTTCTTTTAGTGTGCAAAGTAGACATACATACAGTACATAAGGAGATATACAATATATTTGTTATTAAAATTTAATAAAAATTTAATTTCAATTAAGAAAAAAATTTCTTAAAAGACTCTGGAGGCAGGCAAGAGAAGGGAGTGTCAATAATGACCACATACACACACAAACACACACACAAAACTGGTTGAAAAACTACTCTATACCCATGTAGAGAGTAAATAAATGAAAGCAAAATCAGACGTAGAAAGTAAATTCTGAAAATGGAAACTAGTATGTTCCCTATTTAAGACCTACACATAAAGCAAGGTCTTCAGAGAACCTAGAGCTGAAGGTTCAGAGTCACCCATCTCAACAAGTCCAACAGCATCTGCAACATCTACAATGGCTTTGCCTTTTGCTTTACTGATGGCCCTGGTGGTGCTCAGCTGCAAGTCAAGCTGCTCTCTGGACTGTGATCTGCCTCAGACCCACAGCCTGGGTCACAGGAGGACCATGATGCTCCTGGCACAAATGAGGAGAATCTCTCTTTTCTCCTGTCTGAAGGACAGACATGACTTCAGATTTCCCCAGGAGGAGTTTGATGGCAACCAGTTCCAGAAGGCTGAAGCCATCTCTGTCCTCCATGAGGTGATTCAGCAGACCTTCAACCTCTTCAGCACAAAGGACTCATCTGTTGCTTGGGATGAGAGGCTTCTAGACAAACTCTATACTGAACTTTACCAGCAGCTGAATGACCTGGAAGCCTGTGTGATGCAGGAGGTGTGGGTGGGAGGGACTCCCCTGATGAATGAGGACTCCATCCTGGCTGTGAGAAAATACTTCCAAAGAATCACTCTCTACCTGACAGAGAAAAAGTACAGCCCTTGTGCCTGGGAGGTTGTCAGAGCAGAAATCATGAGATCCTTCTCTTCATCAAGAAACTTGCAAGAAAGGTTAAGGAGGAAGGAATAAGACCTGATCCAACACAGAAACGACTCCCATTGACGACTACACCAGCTTGCACTTTCATGATCTGCCATTTTAAAGACTCTTGTTTCTGCTATAACCATACCATGAGTTGAATCAAACGCGTCAAGTATTTTCAAGTGTGTTAAGCAACATCGTGTTCAGTTGCACAGGAACTAGTCCCTTACAGATGACTAAGCTGATGGATCTATTTATCTATTTATTAAATGTATATTTATTTGACTATAATATTTAATTTTTTGCCCATATAAAAGCATAAAATGTATACCTTTATATTGTTGATAACATAACAAAATATATTTTCTATGTTTAGTCGATGTATTATTTTGTTTAGTTTATTAAATATTTACTATAGAAAACTTCTTGGATTTGTTTATTCTCTAAGGAGAAACACCAAGCCGATTCTCCAACATGATTTAAAAATGTATGGTTCAATTCATTGATTCATTGTTATTATACTCAAGTTATAAGTACAGTACAAATTTACATTCTATAAGCCAGCTTGTAAGTTGACTTCAGGTTATAGAGATGAAGATACAAATACACTTCATGCTGTCTTTTATCTTTCTTTGTGTAGGGAAAAAAACCTAAAAACAAGAATAATCATTAAATCTGTTAGATAAATGATATAAGAAGAAGACCAAAAAACAGTATTTTTTTTCAGCAGAGCTGGAGTAAGGCATATCAGGAAACAAAAACAAAAGCAGCAGATATCTTCTACAGTTGACTGGTAGACACATAAGTGCAAATGTGCACTGGCAATTTGATATTTCAGTCTGCAATTTTCAAGCAATGCCGTGACCTGAAACTCCAGGAACAGCAGTGGTCATGTGAGAAGTGTTTACAGAATGACAAAATGACTGAAAATTTCCTCCTGCAACTTTCAACTTTAAAGGGAGGAAAGAGCTACAATGGAAACAGATTTGGAATGGCCAAATATTAGAAGGAAAAGAGAGAATGGTGATAATAATAAATTTAAAGGACTAAAACTGCTTAGAAGAATTGATGCATTCATGCAAAATATAGAGTAGATTGAAACTGCCTGGTAATTTGGGCATTGGTGATCTTAGTGGAAGTTGATTGGTAGAATCAACCAGTTGACTGATAGACTTAATCAGTAGAAACCATACAGGAGTAGGTAGAAGAGTAAATAAGAGAAGAGAAGGTAATGGCAATATATAGAGAAAACAATTTTGAGAAGTTTGCCTTCTTGCTGATGGCTGATGTGAGACCTAGATTCTTGTCTTGCTAGTTTTAAGAATTTAAACAAGAGACACACGGCGGTGGAGATGCAGCATGGAGTAATTTATTGCCAAAAAAAAGAAAACGAATATTTTGAAATCCAGGTGCAGAATAGACAGTACACCCTGAGACAGACAGGATTCAGGGCAGGCTGCTAGTAAGGATGAGAAAGTAAAGACTAGTACTAGGGAGACTCCTTTTATGGGAATCTTCCATGATTATCCATAAGGAGGTGGGAAGAGGCGTTACTAGTAAGCATGTTCTTGGTTGTCCTCTGGGTGCACATGTGCAGTAACTGCATATGCTTGTTGTAACACCGTATGTCTCATTAGCATCTTAAATCTTCTACCCACGGGTTTATTCTTTACTATTATAATGAGCAAAGGGTCACTCTGAGGACAGGTAAAATCAAAATGTGCATTCTCTCTACAGGGGAACTACAGCTTTGCTTGAATGAGTTCAATTACAATGTTAATGCTAAAGCTTATTGTGGTGATGGTATGGTCACCAAGGTTGTGACATCCTGATGATATGGTTACTTCCTTGACTACCTATCCTGCCTCATCATGAAATGAAGGAGAGAAGTAAAGTAGGACCTGGAAAAGGACATGAATTAATTTTTATATGCATAGCTTTCCATTTTTGGAAATATGTATGTCTATAGATAGATTTCATGGATTTGATTATTGAAAAATCATACTAGTATAATTAATATTTATTTTAAATTATGACATATCAAATTATTTATAATGATAACATCATTATTTTGGTTAATACTATCTTGACTGTCAGTAAACTGCTCTATGGATTGAAATCATCTACTACAGTAGAAAAACAGATGGAATTGGTGACCTTAGTGAAGGTGACTTGGTAGAATTTACAAGCAGAAACTATATTGGAGTAGGTGGAAAGGTTAAAAAAAAAAAAAAAAGAAAAATTCCTATTACCATTTTTTGGCCTGGGGAGTCACTTTCCTTCTTTCATGTTTATCATATTCAGATTTGCATTTGTCTTCCTTTCTCTTCAACATATCCAAATGCAATGACAATTTATAAAAACATTAATTTGGAGAAAGAATAAAAGGATGTATTGAAAATGATAGAAAATAATGATATGAGCTCTTTATGTTTCCATTTGTACTTCCCTATGTTGGTATTTACCTTAAGATAAAATAGAAAGTAATTCAGAAGCAGCCATACAGCACTTGACCAGAAAAATATGAAAATAAAAAAAAGAATATATGAATTGTTTAGACACTGAAACCAGTAAAGAAGAGCAGACTAATTTCATCTAGCAGCATTGCTGGACCTCACTGCCTTAAATTTTCACCTTGAGACAGATAATAACAAACCATGAAGTTCAGTAGAAATGCACTGACTGACTGATCTAGGGACATTTAGTAGTTACTACAATGTAATCTTATTTTTCTTTTCTATATTTAATTTTATTTTATTTTAGGTTCTGGGATACATGTGCAGAACATGCAGGTTTGTCACATAGGTAAATGTGTGCCATGATGGTTTGCTGGACCTATCAACCCATCACTAGGTATTAAGCATCACATGCATTAGCTATTTATCCTGATGCTCTCCCTCCCCATGCCTTCCAATGTTGTTTCCCTTCCTGTGTCCATGTGTTCTCATTGTTCAGCTCCCATATATGAGTGAGAAAATGTGATGTTTAATTTTCTGTTCCTGTTAATTTGCTGAGGATAATGGCTTCCAGCTCCATCCATTGTCCCTGCAAAGGACATGATCTCATTCCTTTTCATGGCTACATAGCATTCCATAGGGTATATGTACCATGTTTCTTTATCCAATCTATAATCAATGGGCATTTGAGTTGATTCTATGTATTTGCTATTGTGAATAGTGCTGCAATAAACAAACACATGCATGTATCTTTATAACAGAATAACATATATTCCCTTCGGTATATATCTAGTAATGAGATTGCTGGGTCAAATGGTATTTCTGGTTCTAGATCCTTGAGGAATCACCACACTGTTTTCCACAATGATTGAACTAATTTACATTCCCACCAACAGTGTAAAAGCATTCCTATTTCTCCACAGCTTCGCCAGCATCTGTTATTTCTTGAGATTTTTAATAATCGCCATTCTGACTGGGGTGAGATGGTATCTCATTATGGTTTTAATTTGTATAATGATCAGTGGTGTTGAGCTTTTTTTTTCATGTTTTTTGGCCATATAAATGACTTCTTGGAGATGTGTCTGTTCATAACCTTTGCCCACTTTGTGACAGGGTTGTTTGGCTTTTTTTTTTCTTTTGAAATTGATGTAAGTCCCTTGTGGATTCTGGATATTAGACCTTTGTCAGATTGATAGATTGCAAAAAATTTCTCCCACTACATAGGTTGTCTGTTCACTTGGATGATAGTTTCTTTTGCTGTGCAAATGCTCTTTAGTTTAATTAGGTTCCATTTGTCAATTTTTGCTTTGGTTGCAACTGCTTTTGATGTTTTCGTCATGAAATTTTTTCCCATACCTATGTACTGAATGGCATTGCCTAGATTTTCTTCTTGGGTTTTTTTTTTTTTTAATTATTTTACTTTAAGTTCTAGGATACATGTGCAGAACATGCAGGTTTGTTACAAGATGTACATATGCCATGGTGATTTCCTGCACCTATCAACCCATCATCTACAATAGGTATTTCTTCTAATGCTATCCCTTCTCTAACCCCCTACCCCCTCGACAGGCCCCAGTGTGTGATGTTCCCCTCCCTGTGTCCATGTGTTCTCATTGTTCAACTCCCACTTATGAGTGAGAACATGCAGTGTTTGGTTTTCTGTTCCTGTGTTAGTTTGCTGAGAATGCTTTCCAGCTTCATCCATGTCCCTACAAAGGACATGAACTCATTCTTCTTTATGGACGTGTAGTATTCCATGGCATGTATCTGCCTCATTTTCTTTATGCAGTTTATCATTGATGGGCATTTGAGTTGGTTCCAAGTTTTCACTATTGTAAATAGTGCTGCAATAAACATATGTGTGCATGTGTCTTTATAGTAGAATGATTTATAATCCTTTGGGTATATACCCAGTAATGTGATTGCTGGATCAAATGGTATTTCTGATTTTAGAACTTTGAGGAATCACTATACTGTCTTCCACAGTAGTTGAACTAACTTATACTCCCACCAACAGCATAAAACCATTCCTATTTCTCCACATCCTCCCCAGCATCTAGGGTTTTTATAGTTTTGGGTTTTACATTTAAGTCTTTAATCCATCTTGAGTTAATTTTTGGATAATGTGTAAGGAAGGGGTCCAGTTTTCAGTTTTCTCATATGGCTAGCCAGTTTTCTCATTTATTGAAGAGGAAATCCTTTCCCCATTGTTTGTTTTTGTAAGGTTTGTTGAAGATCAAATGGTTGTAGATGTCTGGCCTTATTTCTGAGATCTCTATTCTGTTTCATTGGTCTATGTGTCATTTTTGGTACAAGTGCCATGCTGTTTTGGTTACTGTAGCCTTGCAGTATAGTTTGATGTCAGGTAGCATGATGCCTCTAGCTTTTTCCTTTTTGCATAGGATTGTCTTGGCTGCATGGGCTCTTTTTGGTTCCATATAAATTTTAAACTAGGTTTTTTCTAATTCTGTGAAGAATGTCAATGGTAGTTCAATGGGAACAGAATTGAATCTGTAAATTACTTTGAGTAGTATTGCCATTTTCATGATATTGATTCTTCCTACCATGAGCATGGAAAGTTTTTCCATTTGTTTGTGTCCCCTCTTATTTCCTTGACCAGTGGTTTGTAGTTCTCCTTGAAGATGTCCTCCACATCCCTTGTTAGCTGTATTCCTAGGTATTTTATTCTCTTTGTAGTAATTGTGAATGGGAGTTCATTCATGATTTGCTCTCTGCTTGTCTACTTTTGGTATATATGAATGCTTGTAATTTTTGCACATCGATTTTTGTATCCTAAGACTTTGCTGAAGTTGCTTATCAGCTTAAGGAGCTTTTCCGCTGAGACAATATAGGATTATGTGGTCTGCAAACAGTCAATTTCACTTCCTCTCTTCCTGTTTGAATACCATTTATTTATCTTGCCTGCTTGCCCTGGCCAGAACTTTCAATACTATGCTGAATAGGAGTGATGAGAGAGGGCATCCTTGTCTTATGCTGGTTTTCAAAGGGAATGCTTCCAGCTTTTGCCCATTCAGTATGATATTAGCTTTGGGTTTGTCAGAAATGGCTCTTATTATTTTGAGATATGTTCCATCAATACATAGTTCATTGAGAGTTTTTAACATGAAGGGATGTTGAATTTTATAAAAGGCCTTTCCTGCATCTATTGAGATAATCATGTGGTTTCTGTCGTCAGTTCTGTTTACATGATGGATTACATTTATTGATTTGCATATGTTGAACCAGCACTGCATCCCAAGGATGAAGCTGACTTGATCATGGTGGATAAGCTTTTTGATGTGCTGCTGGATTTGGTTTGCAGTATTTTATTGAGGATATTCTCATCAATGTTCATCAGGGATACTGGTCTGAAGTTTTCTTTTTGTGTTGTGTCTCTGCCAGGTTTTGGTATCGAGATAATGCTGGCCTCATAAAACGAGTTAGGGAGCTGGTACCATTCCTTCTGAAACTATTCCAAAGTACCATTCCTTCTGAAACCATCCCAATTTTTTTTTTTTGGAATTTGGAGTGGTGAGAGAGGGCACCCTTTTCTTATGCTGGTTTTCAAAGAGAATGCTTCCAGCTTTTGCCCACTCAGTATGATATTAGCTTTGGGTTTGTCAGAAATGGCTTTTATTATTTTGAGATATGTTCCATGAATACACAGTTTATTGAGAGTTTTTAACATGAAGGTCCAATTTTTTTGGAATAGTTTCAGAAGGAATGGTACCAGCTCCTCTTTGTACCTCTGGTAGAATTTAGTTGTAAATCCATCTGGTAATAGGCTTTCTTTTTGGTTGATAGGCTATTTATTACTGCCTCCATTTCAGAACATGTTATTGGTCTGTTCATGGATTCGACTTCTTTCTGGTTTAGTCTTGGGAGGGTGTATGTATTGAGAAATTTATCCATTTCTTCTAGATTTTTTAGTTTATTTGCATAGAGGTGTTTATAATATTCTCTGATGGTTGTTTGTATTTCCGTGGGGTCAGTGGTGGTATGCCCTTTATCATTTTTTTATTGTGTCTATTTGATTATCCTCTCTTTTCTTCTTTATTAGTCTAGCTAGCAGTGAATTTTATTAAATTTTTTCAAAAAACATCTCCTAGAGTCATTGGTTTTTGAAGGTTTTGTTGTGTCTCTATATCCTTCAATTTCCTTTGATTTTAGTTATTTCTTGTCTTCTGCTAGCTTTTGGATTTGTTTGCTCTTGCTTTTCTATATCTTTTAGTTGTGATGTTAGAATGTCGATCTGAGATCTTTCCAGCTTTCTAATGTGGACATTTAGTGCTATAAATTTCCCTCTAAACACTGCTTTAGCTGAATTCCAGAGATTCTGATATGTTGTCTCTTTATTCTCATTGGTTTCAAAGACACATAACCATCAGATTCTCCAAGGTTGAAATGAAGGAAAAAATGTTAAAGGCAGCCACAGAGAAAGGCCAGGTGACCTACAAAGGGAAGCCCATCCGACTAACAGTGGACCTCTCAGCAGAAACCCTATAGGCCAGAAGAGAGGGGGGCCAATATTCAACACTCCTAAGGAAAAGAATTTCCAACCCAGAATTTCTTATCCGGCCAAACTAAGCTTCATAAGTGAAGGAGAAGTAAAATCTTTTTCAGACAAGCAAATGTTGAGGGAATTCATAACCACCAGGCCTGTCTTGCAAGCGCTCCTGAAGGAAATACTAAATATGGAAAGGAAAAAACAGTACCAGCCACTACATAAACACACTGAAGTACAAAGACCAAGGACACTATAAAGAAACTGCATCAACTAATCTGCATAATAACCAGTTAGCATCATGATGATAGGATCAAATTCACACATAAAAATATTAAACTTAAATGTAAATGGGCTAGACGCCCCAATTAAAAGACACAGACTGGCAAATTGGACAGAGTCAAGACCTATCAGTGTGCTGTTCAAGAAACCCATCTCACCTGCAAAGACACACAGAGGCTCAAAATAAAGGGATGGAGGAAAATTTACCAAGAGAATGAAAGCAGAAGAAAGCAGGGGTTGCAATGCTAATTTCTGACAAAACAGACTTTAAACCAACAAAGGTAAAAAAAAAAAAAAACAAGGCAACGAAGGGCATTACCTAATGGTAAAGGGATCAACTCAACAAGAAGAACTAAGAATTCTAAATATACATGCACCCAATACAGGAGCACCCACATTCATAAAACTAGTTTTTAGAGACCTACACGGAGACTTAGACTTCCACACAATAATAGTGGGAGACTTTAACAGCCCACTGTCAATATTAGACAGATCATCGAGATAATTAACAAAGATATTCAGGACTTGAACTCAGTTCGGATCAGGTGGGCCTGACAGATGTCTGCATAACTCTCCACCCCAAATCAACAGAATATACATTCTTCTCAGTGCCACGTAGCACTGCCTCTAAAATTGACCGCATAATTGGAAGCAAAACATTCCTCAGCAAATGCAAAAAAACTGAAATCATAACAAACAGTTTCTCAGACCACAGGGCAATCAAATTAGAACTCAAGATTAAGAAACTAACTCAAACCCACACAATTACATGGAAATTGAGCAACCTGCTCCTGAAAGACTCCTGGGTAAATAAAGAAATTAAGGCAGAAATCAAGAAGTTCTTTGAAACCAATGAGAACAATGTAATCTGATGGAAGCAAAATCATCATAAAATCCCCTGTGGCCAGCTTAGAAACTTAAAGCATAAAAAGTATTCAGCAATTTAATGAATTGAATTCAACGTAGATATAATCCACATTTGGAAAAATAAAATTAATTTTGCTATTCAACATAAAAATTTTGCAAAGGATAATTTACCCAACCCCTGCCCACGCTCACACACTGAACATAAATTTTTGCTCCTATCATCTGAAGGCTATGAAAATATTGACGTTAGTACCAGATCAAAAAAAGAGGAGATCACTGCTGACAACCTAGTTCAATCACAGCAACACTCTGCTGTCTTGGCCAATTGACTGTTTGAAGGACAAAAGCAATCATCTTCCAGTAATGATGTGCCAAAATTTCTCAATTGTGATGAGCTGACTCCTGCCAGCACATTTAGAGGGAGTTAGGGAGGGTTAAATTGGAAGATAGGTGGCTGTGTGCACATTAGGCCAGAGGGTCAGATTAAAGATGTGGTCTCTAACTTGAGGGGTAAGGAGGTGCTGGGGAAAGAATAAAAATGTTGTGGTTCTTGGGATTAGGATTGATATACCCACATCTGACTTACTACCACTGTTCGTAGAAAGCAGAGACATCAATTAGGCAAGGTAAAGAAAAGGGCCCAAATATCATTTTCCATTATTCTGAATTAATTATTGGAACACAGATACATCAGGAATGAGAGTACTGGGAAAAGATGAGAACATCATTAGACTTAGAGAACAGGCAAGGCAGGTCAGGGGAGACAGCAGGGCCTAGGGCTTCTAACCAAAGGTCACAAATAATTTATCTGAGTGTGAGAGAGGTCTTCAGAGTAAAATCCCAAACATTGTGATTCAGGGTTATGAATTGGCTGATGAAGGGAGTTCAGCACACTTGAACAGGACAGCCTTTCAATACCTTTTCATCAGCCACTTCCCCATCCCATCTCAGGTGAACCTGGGGACAAGCTTCTCTCTTGTGTAGAGCCAACATGGAAAGCAATGGCGAGCCCCTGGAAAAACTTTGATCTGATATGTACACATAGATAGATATAGATAAATATAGATATAGATAGGTAAATATAGATTAGATATCAGGTTAATAATAGCTATTTAGATAGATGAAATATATATATATGTATTGGCTTGGATCCCACTAGTCTTTGGAAATCTTAAGCTATCCCAGGAATTTTTTCTAGCACAATTGTTTTTTAAAAAGCAACTCATTTTTGAAAGCATAACACACAGAATGAAAGTATACACGTCTTACGCACACAGTGACATGGTTCCTCACACACTGAATACATTGTGAAAGTAGCAGCATGTCAGAAACAGTTTGCTCAGGACTTAGAAGCCTCTCTAGTGCTCTGTGCCAGTCAGTACCTAAGTAAGACCAACTCTTCTGCCTCTGCCCTGGGGATAGACACTCTCGCTTCTAACAGCAGTGATTATTTTTGCTAGGTAGTTTCAGCCATTTCGTATTTATTAATCTGATTGTTACAATAATCCTATGAGATCAATACTATTATTCTTCCCATATTACAGACGAGGAAACTAGGGAGCATAATGTTCATGGTACTTGCCATGGTCATATTGCTATTAAATAGCAGAGCTGGAATCCAAACCAGGAACTCTGGCTCTAGAGTCATACCCTTTAGTCACTAAATTGTGCTGTCTAAAATAGCATGGCAAGCTCGATCAACAGTCTGAATCAATACAATTAGATGTGTTTAGAGAAATAACCACTAACCACCACATAGCACTTTGTAGATTGTTCTGCACATACCTTTTGACTTCCTCCTACTTACGGCTCAGACCCTGTGAGCAGGCATCTATCTCTGAGGGAAAAAGACTTGCCCAAAGGCCACAGCTAAAAAGGAGAATATGTGAGCTGAGAACAGTTTGGGGTCTATTATTTTCTTCACCATTTCACAAAGGACAGGAGAAAATAGACCAAGAGGATTTCATGAGTAATCCTTTTCTCCAGTGAGGCCAGCTAGGCACTCTGGACATGGTTGGTGCTAAACTTGTAAGAAGTCCTATTCAGGCCCGTCTCTTTACTGAAGATTTATGTGTTACTCAACCCCTCAGAATCCTTGGGGTACCTGAGTTCTTCACTGCACTTATGCAGGTGATAGGAGGTCTGTCTGTGACCCAGACAGATGCCACAGGCAGGTAAGACAATAATTGAGGAAATGAGTGAAGCACAGTGAGTAGGGCAGACGCTGTGAGTTTGGGTCTCCAACAGGGTAACTTGTGAAGAAGAGAAAGAAAGAAGAACCTACCCGATCCTGATAGCCCCCAACCTTGGGGAAACATGATATCCACTGAGTGCATGAAGTTTTCCATCAGCACACCTAGACTCAAATCCTAACTCTGCCAATCACTTGTGCACTCTACGTGGATCACCTTTTCTCTCAGCGTCCTGCTTTCTTCATTGATAAAGTAAGCTTGATAGTATTACTATTTACACTGTAACTGGTGGATTAAAACATGTAACATATTATTTATTTTATAGATGGCACATAATAATAGATTTTTTCTTTCCCTGTTCTTTCTTAACACTGATGAAAGAAATCAAAAACAATGTTTTCTTTTAATGCCTTCTTAGTATTGAGTGCTCTTGTCAATTCTGCATTCATGACAAACAACAAAGTCTAACTTAGATACATTAAACACAGAGAAAAGAACACTGTACATACAGGTAGAACCAGCTATGAATCCTATCTCTGCCCCTCACCATTCACTAAATGGATGTCTTCAAGACATCTCTTATCAATACTGATCCGCAGATCACTCCTCATATCATCTCTGCTAAGAGAGAAATTTATAAAATGTTACCAAAGTATGAGTGGGTTTCATGACTAGGCAGTAGAGAATAGGAAACCAGTGAATCAATAAACTCACAACGTGGTGGTTTGCAGACATTCTCTGCATGGCAGCTAAATACACTTCCCTAGAAGCATCCCCATCTGGTCAGAGATGGCCTTTACTACGATGGCCATCCTTGTCCAGCCTTACTTAGGTTTCAGTATTTTTGCACAATTAGCATCCCTGGTGTACGAAGAATGTGATAAATGAGCTCTCTGAGCAGTCATCTACACTCTCTCTGAAGAGTATTTGGATTTTATTTATCCACATTAATAAAGAGAGCCCATTTGTTTGAAAGAAAGAAGTAGGATTTCAAACGCATTTTCCATAAGTTTTAGATGTTCTCAATTGTCTGGCAATAGGAGAAATGTAAAGGAAAATAACAGTTATATGTAAACAAAATCGAGAAAGTTGCATCATAGGGAATATAGCTAACATCTACATAAAGGGTTTATATATACTTTTAAGAGGGGCGTATAAAAGCATAATTCATAAGAACAATAAAAACTACAATTAATGCCATAAAATGAAATCTAAATAGAATTAAGAACAGCAAGTGAAGCAAATGGAAAGGCATTATAGCCCACTAGTACTCAAAAACTATTAAACAATTATTCTTGAAATTTTAGATTATTAAATAAGCAGTAAGACAATATAGCCTATGAAATAAAGTATTAATTTTATATGCTTTGTGCCATTATATCCATTCCCTGAAATCAATCCTAAATAAAAGTTTGTAAAAAGGTTACAAAATTATATCCGATAATACAAACACACATTTTTCTCCAGGTACTACCTTCTTGCTCTTCTTCCACTCACAGATAAACTTCTAAAAGAAGTTTCCATCCACTGTGTCTCCAACCTCTCCTGCTATTTACTCTAGTCAATATATTCCAATCTGGATTTTGCCAAATTAATTCTGGCAAACCAGTCCTTTCTTTTCCTAAATGTAAAACGTCATGTTTTAAACACATTTCTTCCCTTAAACACCCTCTTATCACAATTTTCTCCTGGTTGTCCTCCTATTTTGCTCCTGGATGTCCTCCTATCATTTCATTCACATGCCCTTTTCAGGTTCCTCACTCTGTTCACTACATTAAGATGTAAAGGTCCTCAAGATCCAGGTTTTGGTCTTCTGATTCACTACTCAATTTCTACCAGACCTCATCCATCCTTGGGCCTTCAGGAAAAAGGTATAGCCCAGCTCCCAAATGAACATCTCTAGCCATGCACTCTAAATCCCAGAACTGTGTATCCAATTTTCAAGGCTTAAAGTCTTCCAGTTTCTGATGACAAAAACCACTTTTCTTTTGCCTATGGTTTGAGTTTATGATAGAGTTGAAATTAATTAATTGGTTAATAGTTTTATTTCTCCCTCAGCAAAAAGTTTCAAGAGGGCTGAAGCTGTGTTTCCTTTATTCACTTTTCTATCCTGAAAAGTCACATATCAAGTGTTTCATACAGTGTGAATGGAATGAATGAACTGAACTTCACTTGAGGTTGCAAAACCAACCTTGGCATTGATTTATTGAGTAAGGCCAGGTATGGTGGCTCATGCCAGTAATCCCAGCAGTGTGGGAGGCTGAGGTGGGAGGATTGTTGAGGCTAGGAGTTTGAGGCTGTAGTGAGCTATGAACCTGCCACTGCACTCCAGCTTAGTGACAGAGCAAGACCTTGTGTTTGTTTTTTTTAAATAAACAAATGCAAAATGATCTGAAAGTAAAACTCGAAATAATAAAGAGAATAATTTTCAAAATATAAAGTGAGGGGCCAGGCATGGTGGCTCACGCCTGTAATCCCAGCACTTTGGGAGGCTGAGGCAGGCGGATCACAAGGTCAGGAGTTTGAGAGCAGACTGGCCAGCATGGTGAAACTCTATCTCTACTAAAAATACAAAAAATTAGCTGGGCATGGTGGCGCGCACCTGTAGTCCCAGCTACTCGGGACGCTAAGGCAGGAGAATTGCTTGACCCTGGGAGGCGGAGGTTGCAGTGAGCCGAGATCGCACCACTGTACTCCAGCCTGGGTGACAGAGCGAGACTCCGTCAAAACAAAACAAAACAAAACAAACAAACAAAATATACATAAAGTGAACACTTTTTAATGTAATTAGCACAGTGTTAAAAGTGAACATTTCATACAAGCAAAAATACTGAATACAATAAATGTAGTAGAATCAATAATTAAGTACATGGGTAAATTAATAATATCATCCATGGTGAGCTAATGCCCCTAAGAACTGGATGCTTTATCATACAGTTGCTTGACATTACCAACAAGTATTGTGACAAATTTGATTCAATCATTTCATTATGCAGGCAGAAAAGATAGTCTTTTAAAATAACTAAACATATGGGAATATAATGAAGAGTGTCTATAGTAATCATTTCATGAAGACACAAGTCTGTTCCTAAGCTATTAATCTTACTTGCAAGTTTGATGAAAAAAAGAAGGATCTCATGATTTCTTGCTCCAACTTCCCATGTACAGAGGCTCTCTTCTTTCTTTTCCAGATAGAGACTGATTCCTTGGAAGTAGCTCTTCACAGCATTAGGGAGTTGTCATGGCCTGAGAGAGCCCTTCCACCCCTAACTCATTCAACAAGCAGGGCTCCAGGACTTCCCAATGCTGATAAAAATTCAGTGAATAATTTCTCCAGGCCAGTTTCATTCCAACCAACCTCTTGTGTTGAATAAGGTGACAATCTGCTGGAGCACCTTGTGGAGGACAGTGGTAGTCTAAGCCTTCTGAATTTTGCTGCCATCCCTTGGAAACAATAGAAAACATTCAAAACAGATGAACTGCCCATCAACAGGGCACTGGTTAAATAACTTATGATGTAACAACTCAGAAGGCAACAACAGAATTGTTTAAAAATATAAATAAGCCCTCTACACTAATTCAGGAAGATCTTGAAGTGAAAAAAAAAGATGCAGAACAGTGTACATGGTATGCTATCTTTTACATAAAAACGAGGCGAGTGTAAGAAAAACATGACTACATTCTTACTTTGCATATGCATAAAGAACTAGAAGGATTTAAAAGACAGAAACTTCAAAATTTGGAAAATGGAAGAAATTGTGTCAAAGTATACATTTATTTGTATGTCAAAATTTAAATTTACCACTAATTAAAGAAATGCAAGTTAATAAAATACTCACAAAGGGAAAAGTCAGAAGAAGGGAAAGACACAAACATTGTTGGTGATAATATTTTGGAAATATTGTCTTGGATCAGTATTTTACTAAATATTATCCATAACAGGGCTAAAATTTTGCTACCAGATTGTATAAGTTTACTACCGAGTCTATAAAACAATGGAGGATAAGAAGGTACACATTCAGGAACAAACCAATGGGCAAAGGAAACTATAGTATGTATAGTTATTGGAAAATTATGTAGCCATTTTTAAAATTGTGGAAAACAAAGGCATTTCAAGCCAAAAATTTAGAATATATCATTTACATAATAAAGTAACAATCTAGTAAAGACAAATATTTTGCGTTTGAAATTGTAACAAATTTGAAAATATGAACCAAAATTGTAACTGAAGTATCTACTACATAATGTGGGATAACAATTATTGTTTTGTAGAGGAAAAAAAAAATTAAGCATCCAGGTTTCCTCTCAATTTATACAAATGCCGCATTTCACTGTTATTCAAAAAAACAGAAGCTAGGAAGCGTAAAGCTTTGAAAAATTATGCATTTGGGGAACGTAAGAGCTCAGATATGCGAAAAACTTATATCAAACGTGCAGCATAACACACTTGCTTGCACACATTCTGTCCTATTTGGTCCCACATACAAGGCAGCTCTAAGAGGCCGGGCTGGCGCCCACCCCACACAGCTCCGCTTCCCCAACCCTCGCCCTCCCGCCTCCCGGGTACTTCCTCCCCCTTCCCCACCCCCACCCTCCCGCTGACTGACGAGGTCTGGAGGCCGCGCAGCCGCAGTAGCCGCTAAGGCCGCTCCCACCCCGTGGTATCCTGGGACTAGGCTTTTCCGGAAGGAGCGGCTCGGTGTTGGGGCTAGGCCGGTATTCTAGGCCCAAGCCCAGGCCCAGGCCTGTGTTCCCGGCCCTTGCTCAAAGACAGGCCGGTGGCCGCTGCGACACTCTAGGTACAGCGGAGGGCGCAGCGGGCCGTTCGCTGAGGTGTCCGGACCCGCCGCCGAGCGGGCCGTGGAGCCACAGTACGTGGCGGCGCCTCTTCCTTGCCCGAAGCGGAACTGCTGAAGGAGCGGCAGCGCAGGCCGGACGAGGTGAACCAGGTCATTTAACCGCCTTCAGGTGATGAATCATCTGTCTAATAATCAGATTTGAGGTCCACAGCCCTTTGTGGTCCTGCTACAGGGTGATTTTCAGTGGATGACTGACTGGCGTGGCCCGAGGGGTGCCGCAGTGACTGCCTTCCCTTGATAAGGAAACGAGCTTTCTGTTCTTTCTGGACACCTCGTTACCTGTAAAACATTCCGGTTATAACTTCTTTATCCGGCTTGCATCTCTGTGCAAGAGGAAAGCTTTCACATGAAAGTGTCCCTTGGTAACGGCGAAATGGGCGTCTCTGCCCATTTGCAGCCTTGTAAGGCAGGAACCACACGCTTTTTTACCAGCAATACTCACAGTTCGGTGGTATTGCAAGGCTTTGATCAGCTTAGAATAGAAGGATTGCTTTGTGATGTGACCCTGGTACCAGGTGATGGAGATGAAATCTTCCCTGTTCACAGAGCTATGATGGCGTCTGCTAGTGATTATTTCAAAGCCATGTTCACAGGTGGAATGAAAGAACAAGATTTGATGTGCATTAAGCTTCATGGGGTGAACAAGGTTGGTCTGAAGAAAATCATTGATTTTATTTATACTGCAAAACTTTCTCTTAATATGGACAATCTTCAGGACACACTTGAAGCTGCTAGCTTTTTACAAATATTACCCGTTTTGGATTTCTGTAAAGTATTTCTTATATCAGGAGTCTCTTTGGATAACTGTGTTGAGGTTGGACGAATTGCTAACACCTACAATCTTATAGAAGTGGATAAATATGTTAATAATTTCATCCTGAAGAACTTTCCTGCTTTATTGAGTACTGGGGAGTTTCTAAAACTCCCTTTTGAACGACTTGCATTTGTGCTTTCCAGTAATAGTCTTAAGCACTGTACCGAACTTGAACTCTTTAAGGCAGCCTGTCGCTGGCTAAGGTTGGAAGACCCTCGGATGGATTATGCTGCAAAGTTAATGAAGAATATTCGATTTCCACTGATGACACCACAGGATCTCATCAATTACGTGCAGACAGTAGATTTCATGAGAACAGACAATACCTGCGTGAATTTGCTTTTGGAAGCTAGCAATTACCAAATGATGCCATATATGCAGCCAGTGATGCAGTCAGATAGAACTGCCATTCGATCTGACTCCACTCACTTGGTTACATTAGGAGGAGTTTTGAGGCAGCAGCTGGTTGTCAGTAAAGAATTACGGATGTATGATGAAAGGGCACAAGAATGGAGATCTTTAGCCCCAATGGATGCTCCCCGTTACCAGCATGGTATTGCTGTCATTGGAAACTTTCTTTATGTAGTTGGTGGTCAGAGTAATTATGATACAAAAGGAAAAACTGCTGTTGATACAGTTTTCAGATTTGATCCTCGGTATAATAAATGGATGCAGGTTGCATCATTAAATGAAAAGCGCACATTCTTTCACTTGAGTGCCCTCAAAGGACATTTGTATGCAGTTGGTGGGCGCAGTGCAGCTGGTGAACTGGCCACAGTAGAATGTTACAACCCAAGAATGAATGAGTGGAGCTATGTTGCAAAAATGAGTGAACCCCACTATGGTCATGCTGGAACAGTATATGGAGGCTTAATGTATATTTCAGGAGGAATTACCCATGACACTTTCCAAAATGAGCTCATGTGTTTTGACCCAGATACAGATAAATGGATGCAAAAGGCTCCAATGACTACAGTCAGAGGTCTGCATTGCATGTGTACAGTTGGAGATAAGCTCTATGTCATTGGTGGCAATCACTTCAGAGGAACAAGTGATTATGATGATGTTCTAAGCTGTGAATACTATTCACCAACCCTTGACCAGTGGACCCCAATTGCCGCCATGTTAAGAGGCCAAAGTGATGTTGGAGTTGCCGTCTTTGAAAATAAAATCTATGTTGTTGGTGGATATTCTTGGAATAATCGTTGTATGGTAGAAATTGTCCAGAAATATGACCCAGAAAAAGATGAGTGGCATAAAGTTTTTGATCTTCCAGAGTCACTTGGTGGCATTCGAGCCTGTACACTCACAGTTTTTCCACCTGAAGAAAACCCTGGGTCACCTTCTAGAGAATCACCTCTTTCAGCACCTTCAGATCATTCTTAGGTCTAAGGTGTAACACCTTTGCAGTACGTCATGGGTGATCTAATACTTCCCCTTCAGTTGTATCTTCTTACAGTGATTGGTACAGTTATTAGATATAAAGGTAACTGATGTTATTCGTCTTGTATGGCTTTTAGTATGTTTATCAAGTGGCTAACAAATGCATTCTGAAAATGTATTTAACATAGCTGTTTTAACAAATGAAAAAAAGACGTAGAAAAATGTTTAGATGTCTTTTTGTGATGTTATATAAAATTGTAGATGACTGTGGTAAATGTGTAATTATGTCCATTATGCTTCAAAGTTGAGTTTTCATCTTTGACTCCAAAATGTCAGAGGGAGGCCGCTCTAAACTAAAAATAACGAAAGGTTGCCAAGTATTAATACTAGTTACCTCCCTCTTTTCGTAGTTTTTGTCATGTCTGTCAACTTACTCGATTGTGTGGTTGCATTCAGAATATTTGAAGTTTCTTACGTAGACAGAAATAATAAAAATATTAACTAGGAAAAAACAGTATAGCACCAAGCCAGTATTTGGTATCTCTCTCTAGAGCGAGCAAGAGAGGGAGAGAGGAGGAAAAAATACACATAATACAAACATACATGCATGCACACATACATACATATGTATACACACACATAATTTGAAAACTGATTGGCACTTCAACGATGCTGAAATTGTTTTTAAATTGAAGTTTCTTTCTTCCACAAAGCAGCCGTTTCTATTCAAATGGAAATTCAGTACCAGAGAATAAATGTCTATGTAGTCATACTGAATTTAGATAGATAAGGGCTACAGCATACTAAATCGACAACCAAATTTGTCATGTGACTAAACCGTTACTTCAGATGAAGCTTACATTACTGTTTTCTGCTTGTGTATTTTCTGTAGAGTACTTTTACACAGATTGGTAAAGTTCAGGTTTCAGAGAACTGCTTTTGTGCAGAAAATTTAGGTTCTTTTTTCCACCTTTTTGGTCAGTAAAACTTAATGAAAAAAGCAAAGAAAAAAATATTCTGAACAAAGCTATAGGGTTTTAAGTTCAGCCTCCCAACTTAGTCATCCTAACATGATTATTTTGTGATTTGGGGTGCTTGCCCTGGTGCTGTTCCAGTCCATGTGCATCCTGAGCTGTGTGATCTGCCTCGAGGCTATGATCTGAGCAAGCAGGAGATAACATTTTCTTCTGCATCAAGTGAGGAAAAATGTGCTTTTGGCCATGTCTCAAAGACAGGACCAACTTCAGATTCCCAAAGAAGCCAGCTACAGAGCCTCTGGAACACTATGGTCTTACAAGCAGTACTAAAATCAACCCTCAGCCTCTTCAATGCCAAAGGTATCCCTATTGGTTGAGAACCACATGGTAATTTTTAATGGGACTTTTATCAGCAAATGGAGTTACAGGAATTCTCTGTAATGAGTGATTCTGAAGAGGTACTTTCCTGGAATAATTGTCTACCTGAAGAAAAAAAATTTATATATACATTGTGTGTGTGTGTAATACACACACACAACCCCCTATACCTGGAAGATTGTCAGCATGTAAATCAGGAACAACTTTCTCCTTATTGACAATCCCATAATAAAACTCAGGAACCAAGGCAAAATGAATTGGCTTCTAGGGGTCTGAACCTTACTGCCCATACAAGTGTTGATTCATTTTAATGCTGTTTATGATTTCTGCATTGGCAGAAATTTTCATACTTTCTATGTTTTTTTAATTACTCAGTTTTTTATTACTAAAAATAGCACATTTGAGTACATTTGAAAAGTAGAAAAATTAGAAATTATTAACTTTATTGAATAAGCAAGAAGTGCATCCTAATCCTTTGATTATTAATGAGGTTGAATATTTGTGTGCTATCGGTAGCTGTGTTTCTTTGATCAGATGTTCCTGTCCTTTTGCCCTTCTGTTATCTGTTGGAGTTGCTTTGTTTTTCGTATCAAGTTATAGGATCTCTTTATATAATAAATGTAATTTAACTTGCATTTGCTTGCATTTATTTCTTCCCTCAATCTGTTGTAGTTTTACAAAGGCAACGCTGTTCAGTTAATTTTTGAGATCAAATTTGTCTTTTTTTTTTTTTGAGACAGGGTCTCACTGTTGTGCAGTCTGGAGTGCAATGGCACGATGTGTGCTCACTGAAACCTCTGCCTCTCATGTTCAGGCGATTCTCCCACCTCAGCCTCCCGATTAGCTGGGATTACAGGCATGTACCACCAAGCCCGGCTAATTTTGTATTTTTAGTAGAGATGGGGTTAGGGGATAATTTTGATATGGTTTATTTTTTATGTAGTATTTCAGTGCTTATTCTGACATATCAAGGTGATACTGCCCTGCCTCTATTTTGTACAGGCTTTTCCTTTTATTGAAAAAAAGTACTTTTTATTACATCTTATGTCTGAACCTGGTGCTTCCTATTGAAATAAGTATTGCTTTACTAGGTAAACTGCTCTATCTACATCCCCCACCTCCAGCTTCACCCACCCTGCCTCTCATTTTTTTACTTTCCCGTATTCTGCAGTTGACAGTTCTCTTGGTAATCATACAGGTAGCTGACTAATGCTATGCTAATACAGGTTGAGCAGCCCTAATCCAAAAATCCAAATTGCTCCAAAATTTAAAACTTTTTGAGGGCCAACAGGATGCCACAAGTAGAAAATTCCACACCAGAGCTCATGTGACAGGTTACACTCAAAACACAGTGAAGACTTGTTTCATGCACAACATTATTAAGACTATTATAATTACCTTCAGACTACGTGTCTGAAACGTGAAATATAACCGAAGTTTTAAGTAATATTGTTTAGACTTGGGTCCCTCCCCCAGGATACGTCATGTACATGCAAATATTCCAAAATCCAAAACACTTCTGGTCCCAAGCATTTCAGATAAGGGATATTCAATCTGTACTGCTCATTAAACCTGGAGTTTCTTATAGAGAGAAATTTTAGGTGGTTGAAATGATTAAATGGAAAGAGATTTATTTTCATAAGCTGGTAATTTTTTAAAGAAAGTTCAGACTGGAAAAATATTTAGAGGATAAAAACTAAAAGCACATAAAGCATTATGTTAACATTTCTTGTTTTAGTTTTTCGGAAAGTATTCAAAAATTAACATTTGTTAGCTTTTTTGATATGTCTATTATAGAACGTACAGGAAAATAAAAGCAAACTAATTTATCAGTGATTCCACATGTTGAAGATAATTTCTATTAATAGTATATTATATATATATATATACGTACATATGTGCAGGCATTTGTCAAATATTTTTCAAGTATGCCAGACCTTAGGCTAAAAGCTGGATAATGAAAATAAATCCACCTTCCAAAGACTCCTATTATCATGACTTTCTCTTATTTTTTAAAAAGCTGTATATATTAAAAAATCATAAGGTGTTTTTTTCTAATTATCAAATGCACATGTATTTAGAAAAACAGATTCCATTTTTATTCAGATAAATCCAGACTTAAATTTCTTTCCCACTTGCTTACAGTAATATTTATGTAGTTGGCCTGCAAAGCAAACACATTTCACTCATGTTCAGATTTTTGTAATCAAAATTATTTTGTTCTCACTATAAAGGCAGTAAGCTCCTACAGGACATTTTAAAACTACATAAATGTGCCATCCCCAGCTCAACCGATTATAAACAACTGCCGAAAGATTGTGGGGTAAGTTTAACTCTCTAAAACTTCAGCTTTGTCATACATCTATCAGGTTGGGTGTGATCATTAATAATTCTATTTATATCAGATTTGTAAGGAAATAATATAAAGCGATTAGCATAAGATATGCACAAAAGCAGTGAATGATAGTTGTTACTAACAAAGTTGGGATTTTATAATTTTTGACTTTTGCTTCAGCTTAATGATTTTCAGGCTATTGTTCTTTGAAAGTGTTCAGCGTCTATACAATATTTCATTCCATGAACATGCCAAATTATTCCATTTCCTTATGTGTAGATATTTAAATGTCTACCATAAATTTTCACCATAATAAAGCAAGATGTAATATTCTTACATAAAACTTTGCCCATAGCTACTACCCTATGATAAATGCTAAGTAAAATCGGAATCATGTAGTGTTAGCTTTTTTAGGGTCTTAAAAAATATTTCCAGGATTATACCATATGCATTTTTAGCAGAACTGTGTTCAGTAACTATTTCAAAGGAAATCTTTGCAGTTCTAGTTATTTCACTGTTTGGATTTACATATCTTTAATTACTAGTTATAATTTCTTGTTTATTGAGCATGTGTATTTTTCATAAATCATTTGCTCCTGTCTTTTGCTTTAATTGTCCTATTTGCTATAAATACTTTTTTATACTCTACTTTTTTATTCAATTTAATATGATCAAGTATGTTCGTCTTTTTTGTATGTTGACCTTTCGGTGATATTTTTGTTTTTTTTAATTTGGGGTGTGTGTGTGTGTGGTGGTGGTGGTGGTTGTTATATAGTACTGATGTGGTATTACTTGTTCTTGATACTATAGCTCTATAGCTTTGTGATTACTAGTTCTTGACATGTTAGGGTGGCATTTACTGCTTGTCTCCTGTTCAAGTAGCTTTTCTTTCTAGTTAAAATGAGAATGAGATTTTCCTTAAAATTAATAAACTTACCTTTTTATATTGAGATTAATCATTCATTTTTTTTTGAGATGGGGTCTCGCTATGTTGACCAGGCTGTTCTTGAACTCCTGGTCTCCAGTGATCCTCCTATTTCAGCCTCCCAAAGGGCTAGAATTACAGGTGTGAGCCACTGCAACTGGCTATATTAAGATTAATCTTTATTCTCTATTTACAGCAAGTATTTGCCCACTTGTGTTCTGTGAGCAAAGAAATCAAGTGTTTTTCCTTTGTAACGTAGCACAATTAGTTTTTTTGTCATTTTAATGCTTTCTTGAATAATTTTTTTATCATTAGGTGGCATAATTATCCCAGTATTTTATGTTGTTATTATTGATACAACTTTCTACCAAACTTTTGGCATAAAATCTAATGTATTTTTCAAATTACCTAATTTTTCCATAACCACTTTTTGAATATCTTCATTTCCTTGCTGAATTTTTATGCTTTAAAAAAAATCATAAAATCTTATAGTCAATCAATTTAGAGTATTTTTCTTCACTTCCAATGATCTTTTTTCAAGTTAAGTTGTCTTTGATATATACGTGTGTGTGTGTGTGTGTTTGTGTATTTCTGCTTTGAATGGGATTTCGTTATGTTATATTCTGAACTCTTGGTAGAAGTAGGAAATATGTGGTTTTAGCATAATGGTTTTCTGTCTACCGACTCTCATTGATTCTTCAGTTTTTTGGGTCAATTCTCATATTTTCACCTTAACTAACCATTATCTGCATATTATAAAAGCCAATTTCATATTATTAGTTTAATGTGAAACATTAAAGCATGGTTCATACTTCCAGCAAAATTATAGTAGTGACCGAGGAATTGTGTCTTATGCGTAATTTTAATAGGGGTAATTCTAGTTTTAGGATTCCTTTGTTACAAGGAAATATCCTTGATCTTGTTCACGAAGTTCCTCATTAATTAGGAGTCTTAAAAAATTAGGGTTGTGTATCTTCATTACAAATGATTTCTGTACCAGCTGATCCAAATTTTTCTTAGTACCATCCATGGGCTGAAAGAAAGGCTATTTCTTCGCTGTGTGATCAGTGTGTCATTAACTACCCATTTCTTCATTTATTTAGTCAAATTTATTGAGATGATAATTTAATTTTTCTCATGTCAAATACTGAAAAAGAGTCTGTTTTTTAATTGTTTTCAACTGTTGGGTTAGAAAGGACTCTTACATATTGCTGAGTGCATTGTCAATTGGTTTACAGTTTAGAATGCAATTTGGCAAAAGTAGTAAAATGATCTTTCAAGTTTCATACCTTTTGGACAGTAAGTATATTTCTAGAATTAATAAGTGACAGAAAATAGGCCAGAAATAGTCATCTCAGCATGATACTATTATTTGCTTCCTAATAGGACCACATTAGACCTTCCATTAAAATACTTTTAAATGGATTTTTAAAGATTCTTCCCACCTTAATTTTGATACTTTATCTGCATCCTCTAGTATTCAATTGTTGAGCATATATTTGAATGGCTGGATGATGATTAGAATAAAAGACTTAGATATTCATTAAGGATGACTGAACACATAACTGTTGAATTGTGTACCTGAGCCAAATGCACTAGTACACAGAATAGGTCGTTCCTCTGTAACAGTCTCAGAGCAACTGCTTTCCAGGGGCTAATGTTATTCTGCCATCTACTGGTTAAAATTAAAAGTCTTTGTTTAGCTAGATTACAGAAAATATATCTCCTTTATCAAAACAACAGTAATAACAAAACCCAGAAATTTTTATAGCACATGTGAAAGTTCAAAGTTGGCAGCTTATATAAATTACATAAGTGAATATTAAAAACTTTTGGTAATTTTTGGGGTACGGTAGATCAAAGAGAAGAATTATTTTTTATATTACTTAAAAATACAGATTTAAATAGCTATGACCTTTATTTTATTTATAAATTCATATACATTTAATTTTAAAATCTGCAACATTTCATCTGGATTCTAAGCATTCATACCCAATACTTGCTTTTTCCTTTGAGTGGATTCCCCATACCATTTTTATTTTTAGTTTTTAGCAGACAGCCTCATCACAAAGACATGTATAGAGTAAATCTTTTCCACAGCAGAAAGGACGTAATATGCATTATATCTGGTTATAAGTAAATATGACAACCTCATAATATTTAAGAAATTTTTATATTGGTTTGCTCATTTGGGTATGAGGATCAAATCATGACTGCTATAGCCACATAATTTTCACCCGGCCAGCCAGACACACATATGCATAAGCATATACATGTGTTTGATGTAAAACAGCTTTTGGACCAGCTGATCCAGATTTTTCTTAGTGCCACCCATGGGCTCAAAGAAAGTCTATTTCTTGACTATGTGAACAGTAAGAATGGCATCAACTACCCATTTCCTCATTCTCCATGTTATTGTCTCAGAACAAAATATTCTCTTACACCAAGCATTTTTTCCCTCAAGATGGATGTGTATAACAACAAGTGATCTCTTAATAGTGCCTCCTGAAGGATATCAAGAGTGCACATATCTTTTCTACATAGAACTGAAGGAGCAAGATTAGATTTCGTGCAATCTTAGAACAAGATGTGTATAAAGCTGTTGACAGCAACTAAGTAACCCAAACTTCAGAAGTTTCGTTGTCTAGAGCCCCTTCTCCAATTGTAAGTCCAAAGAGTATGTCTAGCTCTTTACTGGTCCATCTTCCAAAAGACTATTACAATACAGCCTTACAATCTCTTATAATGGAAGTTTATCATTTTTTGCCTCATTTCACCCAAGTGCCAGTCAACAGAGTACATGTTTGTATGTGGTGGGGATGGGAGGCAGGTCTAACTTCTACTGATTCAAACAGCTTTATCTTACTTAGGGAGTATACTTTATCACTTAGAAGTCAAAACATTCTTCCAGCCAGGAATTAGTGATCCATTAAAACTTATTTCTAATTCATGTCAAATCATGAACCAAAACATACTCAGTATAAAAACCTAATGTGAGTCAGTGTAATGTTTATTTCTTCATACTAAGCAGTGTTTACTTCAATTTTTTATTACTCTCTCCATCTTTCTCCAGATAAGAAAATCACAGATTTCACAAAACCTTTCATATATGTATATACACATACTTGAAGACATCAATTAACTCAAAGATTAAGGAAAAAGAGTTTTTGTTTTGATTTTGTTTTTTGTTGTTGTTGTTATTGTTTGTTTTTTGAGATAGAGTTTCACTCTTGTCACCCAGGCTGGAGTGTAGTGGTGTGATCCTGGCTCACTGCAATCTCCGCCTCCCCAGTTCAAGCGATTCTCCTGCCTCAGCCTCCGGAGTAACTGGCATTACAGGCGCCTGCCACCACCCCTGGCTAATTTTTGTATTTTTAGTAGAGACGGAGTTTCACCATGTTAGCCAGGCTGGTCTCGAACTCCTGACCTCAGATGATCCGCCTGCCTGGGCCTCCCAAAAGTGCTGGGATTACAGGCGTGAGCCACCGCCCCCAGCCAGAAAAACAATTTTTAATTTTCAAGGCTGGCTCTCCATTAATAATCTCTCCCATGCCCTGGACTAGCTATACTTTATCCTGCAAGGGGAATAAGTTATGGATTCCATTGGTATGTCTACTTTGTTCACTTCTTGGGCTGCAATATCTACACTTCCCATTCACCCTTACCACTTACTTAGTAGATAGTCTAGCCACTTGCAAGAGGTTCATGGCTACCATTTGGGAATGCCTATAGGAGATCAAGGAGATCCATTGAAACTCAGCCCCCAAATCCAAAGTCACTTTCCTTTTGATATCTGTAGTTTCATCATCTGTCATAACCATGCCTACTTATCATCTGTAAAACACCCTTTCTACATTAAGGGATACTCACATTATGAATTCTAGTTGTGGTTGTTTTAAAATATATTCACAAATTTTCTCATGCTCGTTTCTTTCCTCCTTTTGACTATGTGTTGGATTTAGTGATTCCCATCTAATGAATACAATGAAACAATGGTGTTTAAATTATAGACTAGGTCATAAAAAATTGTGTACTTCCTCCATGTTTATCTCTCTTCTATCACTTCCTCTAGTACAAGCCAGCTGCCATGTTGTGAGCACATACCACATAGCTCCATGGAGATGCCCATGTGACTGTGATGAAGAGCTAAGACTTCCTGTCAGTGGCCGTGTGAGTGACCCATGTTAGAAACAGATCCGCCAGCCCAAACAGAACCTTCAGACAACTGCAGCCCCAGCTGGCATCTTGACTGCAACTCATGAGCGATTCTAAGCCCACCGAAGCTGCTCTTGAATTATTGATTCACAAAAACTTTTAGGTAATAAATGTGTGTTGTTTTAAACCACTGAGTTTTTGATTAATTATGCATCAATGGAAAACCAGATCACCAATGCAGGCAACATAATGTAAATTTCAAGCCTCCCTTGTAGATAGGACATGGGAACAAAGAAAGACTTGCCGATCTGGAGCACCTGCATGAGCTTTTGATCCTAATGTGTCCACAAGAAGATATAGGCTCTACGTGGTGTTTCTGTATTTATTGGCTGAGTTGGTGGCTTTCTATAGTGGGAAGTTCAGGTTTTAGGAAAAGAAATGGCATTAGAGAATGGAAGTTCCTTCTAGTTCTTACTAGAGCAGCATCATCAACAGTGGGTTTTTATATCTGGACAGTTCTCTGGTTTAATTTTTGATATTTTTATCTGGAGGCTTAGTCTAGAGCTTGTTTCTATGGCATCCCAAAAATTCAGCAGGCACCACATCTTAACACCTCTGTTTAGTCATCAGTCTTACATTCAGCTTTACTCTTTACTACAACGTAATAAATACCTTCCAAACCTATTACCTATCTCGTTGGGTACAATAACTATGTCCTAATGGGTCCACTTCCCACCTTTCTAACCAGTATGTGCAAGCAAATCCCAACCTAGTTTTCAAAGGGCAGCTGTAAGAGCTTTTCTAATATGTATTTGGTGACATCAATTCACTGCTTAAAACATCTCAATATTTCTAATGATCATTTCTGTGACTCATAATCCCATAATTGCTTGCAATGCCTTTTACAATACAACACCTGCTTCCTATTCTAACTTCTGCTTTCTCCCTCCCTCCCTTCTACTTCTACATAGTTCTAAACCTTCTTCACTGTTTGCTCCTGCATGCGCCCTCTGGCCGCTACGCATTCACATCTGCTGTTCCCTGTTTCTGACCCTTTGAGCATCACACATTTACTTGGTTAACTCCCACAGATCCTTGAGATGCCAGCTTAGCAGTTACTTCTCCTGGATGCTTTCCCTGACGGAAACAAGTGCTACACGCTTCCAGAATCTGATACTTTCCCTGTCACAGTCATTAGCATTACTTTAATTAAATGCTCACTTGCCCACATCCCACCAGACTGGAAGCTCTGTCATTCCCTGAAAGCAGAGAATGTGTCTACTTTCTTTCATTGTAACTAGCACCATCCACAGAGCCAGCAAATAAAAGGTATTTGCTACTTATTTGAAGTTTCAAGGTGGATGATTCCGTATTTCACTTTAGTTTCTAGTTCATGCAACTGCTGAAACTGAATCAACGGTCATCAGATATGACTTATCTAAGAAACATAAGTAAAACTGAATTCACTTCAGCTGGTATAATCTATGTGAATTGTTCATCTCCTTCATGGCCCTAGGATTCCTACCTACCTACTTATTGTTTAGAGCTGTCTTCTCAGGAAGAGTGCTCCACTGAAGAAAATAAAGTCTTTATTTAACTTACCAATATTTTCACAGTGACAAGTAAATTGCCTGGAGCAGAGATATTTAAAACGATTTATGAATAAATAGACTTAATGTTCCTTTTGGATTTGAAAGCAGATTAAAGGTTTAAGGGCACTTTGTATCTCTTTGAGGGTTTGAGTAAGACCTGACTTTTACTGTAAAGATTTAAGTACCCGCTCCATCCTCACCAAACAATAGAAACCAGAAGGCAAAGCTGACCATATTTATAAACAATAAATTTTGAAAATATAGCAATTATCATTGGATAAATTTTAATTATTACAAGCTAAAAATGTAATTTCTCCCTATTCAAAAGTACAATTTTGCCAGGTGCAGTGACTCATGCCTGCAACCCCAGCATTTGGGAAGCTAAGGTGAGTGGATAACTTGAGGTCAGGAGTTCGAGACCAGCCTGGCCAACATGGCAAAAATCCATCTCTACTGAAAATACAAAAATTAGCTGGGCATGGTGGTGCATGCCTGTAATCCCAGCTACTTGGGAGGCTGAGGCATGAGAATCGCTTGAACCCGGGAGGCGGAGTTTGCAGTGAACAGAGATTCTGCCACTGCACTCCAGCCTGGGTGACAGAGTGAGACTCTGTCAAAGACAAACAAACAAAAAAGTACAATTTCTTATTATTGAAACACAGTCTTACAAAAATGACTCAATATATCGATAAATGAAGCAGAAAGGAAAGTCTTTGAATTGAATGAATATTTACAAGCTCGAAGCCACATAATTAGTAGATGAGACCCAATTGACTGATACTGGGTCTAAATCTAAGTTTCCTTTCCAACCTCCTGGGATTTCCGATGAGCCTATTAACACAGAGAAAGCATTTATTGATTTTCCTTTCTTAATCTGCAGTCTGACAATGTCCCAGGCACAACAGATGTGTTCTTTCTTTCTCACATAGAGACTGATTGCTTGTGAATACTCCTTCACAGCCAGGCTGGAGTCCTCCTACTCAAGGTCTCTTTGATTTCCTATACCCAAACAGGTCTCCAGAAATTCTAGCTACTGATCAAGCCCAGTGAGGAATTTCAGTTCTTTGTGCTGAAAACGTTGGAGATCTGCTGGATCATCTCATGAAGAACATTGGTGGCCTGAGCCTTTTGGAATTTGGTGCCATGCGGCTGCTCTAGGGGAAACTTAAAAAACATTCTTGTTCTTCAGACAGGAAGAAAAGAAAGATTCTCCCAATTTGGTGCAGAACTTTGAAGGTCACCTATTTATGGCAGCCCATGGCTCTGGGCTAGGCCACAGCTAAAGCTGCAGAGAGAACTGCAGAATATCATCCTCAGTGTCACTAGGGAAGAGGTTGGCCGGGTCATTGGTGGGATACAGCTGGCTAGGCCATTTGAGTCTTTACCCACCTGTCTCAGCACTTTCTTGTTGTGAGATTCTTACATAACCAGATTAGGGTTTTCAGTTTTTGTACTTATCTCAACTTTATTTCTACTTTGTTCACTTTCTCTTCTATTTATGGGTCTCAGATAATGTCATGACCTCAACACTTCTTTTGTATTATGACAATGGAAATTAAACACACTCAGAAAATGGCAAAACTCTCAATCTAATAGGAAATACCCATCCAAATGAGGCTCAATGTTGAAATAACAACCTATCTGAGTCTCAATCTATGTCTCTTTTAAAATTCTAATAAGTATACTTAGAGGTTTGATCTTGGACATTTTTACTTCTTAAACTGCACTGAAATACATGTTTCCTCACCTCTCTGCATTTCTCTTTTAAGTGGCTAATACACTAGGTTTGATTTCTTCCACCTTTCTTTACAAGAGCCACAGCTTATAATCTGTAGATAACGGTGGCATAAAACTCGAAAACCCAGGGTTAAGTCATCCAGTTGTCTTTGTTCTGTCACTAAAAATGTCTTTACTGCATATATGTGACAGACAATAGGCTTGGCAATTTAGATTAACAGATAAGTAATACAGGATGATGACTACCCTCCATGGATTCAAAGAATGGCATTTAAGACATGATTGTGATTAATTAAACACTAGCATGCTCAGTGCAGCCAAGAGGAAGAACTGAAAGCTAATGAAGAGGGAAATTGGGAGGCAGTAGAAACTGCCACTTTGTGACAACATCTGTGGCTCCTGGGAGCTTAAACAACATCAGATTTTCCTTTCCTCTTCTGCAAAATTGAGACAATTTTAATAGTTGTCACATAGGAAACTGCAAAGATGAAATAAAATAAAGTTTGCAAATTACTGGCTGAGAATCTGAACATGGTAAATGATAGTTACCTTTAATTTCAATGTAATAAATAACATAATCCTGTATAGTCCACATTTAACCAAATCCAGACAAGAGAAGCTTTGATTGCAGCTCCCCTGACATTCCTGAGGTCTAACACGTTGATGTCCCTCAAATTGAAACTCTAGGAAAGGGGACTGTCTGTAAAACTGTGAAGGAGCAGAGCCCAGGTTCCCATTGTCAGAGTAGTGCCTTGCACAGAGGAAAAATTGTACAGCCCCCATGAAGCTTGTTCCAGGGAACCAGTGTCTCAGCAAGTTGCGATAGAAAATGGCTGCTCTGTGAATAGTATAAATAAATAAAATAATCCCTTTACTCAGATTCAGTTAGTTTCAAATCACCATTGATGATTATTTTTAGGCCCAAGTAAAACATATTTTGTAAACCATTTTCCTAGCCTTTACAACTCTCTAACTCAACCCTAAAAAAAAAAAGGTGATTTGAAACTAACTGAATATAGTATTATATAAAGTTACCTATAGATATATACAGAATATACACTTACATATTTATATATACATATTTAAATACAAATAAATAAGTAAATATTGTAATGTATTTAATAACATACAATATATGTTATATGCTATATTGTATATGTGTATATATAACATATCGTATATATGTTATTCTATATAAAGTATATATTGAAGTATATATATTAAAATATATAAATGTATACATATTTTTACACATTATATTTACATATGGATTTTTAAATGTACAAAAACATATATAAGATATATAAATATATATTCTTTTTTTTTTGACAAAAGTCTCACTCTTTTGTTCAGGCTGGACTGCAGTGCTGCTGTCATACCTCACTACATCCTCGAACTCCTGGGCCCAAGTGATCCTCCCACCTTGGCCTCCCAAATAGCTGAGACTATAGGTGTGCACTACCACACCTGGCTAATTTTTTATTTTTTGGTAGAGATGGTGTCTCCTTCTGTTGACCAGGCTGGTAAATCCTGGCCTCAAGCAATCTTCCTGCCTTGGCCTTCCAAAGTACTGGCATTATAGACCTGAGCCACCACGCCAGGCCTATATATTCTTTATGTATATTTAAATACATATGCTTAAATTATGTATACTTATATATTTAATAATATACAAATTTAATATATTTTAATATGTTAAGTATAATATAATAAGCATATATTAAATTATATGAGATTGTAAAAGTATATAATACTTAAAGCTGTATATACTTAAGTATACATAATTATATTTACACATATTAATTACAAAATACATAATCTAAAAATGTAATGTATATTAATATAAGTATATAAACTTATTTTATGTTACATAAAATTTAAGTATATACAAGCATATATATACATATATATATTTCTGGAGGGAGGGGGATTGGAAATGGGACTACCTTGATTTTCAGCCATGGAAAAATCACAATACTTTGCTGATTCTGATGGCTGCCACACTCTCCCTTCCCCCCTACTTACTGGAGGATCCCATTCTTTCATTTCTGTATGACATTAGTTTCCTCCCTCCCCAGCGTAGAAATCCCAGGGTGCTCTCCTCATTCACTCACCATTAACCTGCACTGCCATTCATACAGCTGCTTCCTGTTCCATTGTAATTTCTGGCTGTCAATTTTCCCATAAGAGTACAAAGCCATCAGCTGAAAGCAAAAGTTGAGTGAGAGTTCTAGGTGTTTCAGAAACATCCAAATCACTGGCCTGTTTTTTTTTTTTTTTTTTTTTTTACTTCCCTCCTGGTGAATAGTTTTGGAAAAGAAGGAATATCCCCATTACAATAATGTAACCATCCCTGTGGAAAAAGGAAATAGAATGCAAGATCCATTTTACTCTGGAGGCCGTTGAAATATTTACAGAGGATGAGAGCCACCTACTGGCAAAGACGTGCACCAAGTCTATGGAGGGCAGGCTTTTCTGTTCTGTAAAGAATATGTAACAAACCTGCACGTTGTGCACATGTACCCTAAAACTTAAAGTATGATAATAAGAAAATAAAAATAAAAAAATAAAAAATAAGAAAAAGAATTCTGTTCCCTTGAAGGAGATTTTCGTTCATTTGTAAAAGGCCATCTTTCTCGGAAAGAATTAACCCTAATATTGGAAGAAGCCCATTTTCTTAGCTTTTGTATCACAGAGAGAGAAAACACTCCCAGATTCAGGAAGCACATGTTCTTTGAACAATGGGCAGCTATGTGGAGAGAGAAAGGGTCAGAACGTGTCCCTTGCCTCCAGCCTCTTGACTTGTCCCTCCCTCTATGTTTTGTGCTAGACTGGGAATCAGTACAACCTGCCAATGTAGGTGTAGAACTACAAGGGAAATCAAGAAAAATCTCCTGGTTAAGGTACATTAGCTCTTTCTTAACAGTAAGTTGCTAATTTTACACATTCACTCCTTAGGTCATGTCCCAACTTTATAATTAAAACATTTTCTGTTATTTTCAATGATGAGTCAACTTGCATCCCTTGTGCTTTTTACTCAGTAGTAAAAGAGAGCAAAGACATTTGTAAAGGAATCAGAGGATACAATTCTTGCCAAATGATATCAAGAGAAGGTATCTATTTGTGTAGAATTTGGGAAGTATTAAAGTGATCTGCAAATAGTGTAATTGAAGAAGTTAATCAGGAGTGTGTGTGAGAATTACTTAGATAGTAGGAAGAGGCTTCAATTTAGGAGGAATTTCTTATTCTTTGCTCAGGTTACAGACCCAACCTTCAGATTGCACTTTTCAAATGGGAGAGGAGAGAAACTGGGAAATGGGAGAGGAGAGAAACTGGGAAATTCAGTTATATTTCACAATATGTCTCTTGTCTCTTTCTTTTACCACTGAATGTGGGGTACTCAGTTTAGGAGCAGGGGAAAATATTAAAAAGTTTAATATACCTGGTTCTCTCTCTTCCTTTCTCTGTTTGTATGATTGTTTAACGACTTTCAAATATTAAGTCTCCTTTAATTCTTGGTTATTTTCTATACTGCTTATTTCTTTAATGTGATTTTCCTTTTTGTTGCTTGTCATTTCAGTGGGCAAAAATTGTACGCATATTATCATCTTACCCTGAAAAATCTCTGTGGCTATACCCTGATCATATTCAGAAGTTAATTTTTTATATATTCTAAAGTATTGGAGAACTGAGGTGAAGTGGTGGCTGAGCTGGCAGCAAGGGGCATTGTCATAACCTGCCTCACACAGTTCCCTGCCTGTGCAGTGCCCCTGGAGAAGGACACATAAAACCTTGTTTCTGCCCTGAATCCCTTGGAGGAGATACAGGAAGTCGTGGCACAGTGCCACCTGGAGACAGCTAGGTTTTGTGAGATCAAGGATCCAAAATGAATATGGTCATGCCTGGACTCTCCCTGCCTGGCAAGTTCAGTACTGCAAAGGTTAAGTACTTGAAGTTAAATACTGCTAGGCACAAAAACATAGTCAATAGAGAGAATCTTTCCCACGTGATTATACCCAACGTGTTGGTAAAGAATGCAGAAGTTCATCTGTGCCCCTGTTCAGGTGCTTCTATGTTCTGATTCCTCTAGGAAGAGACTACACTAGGCTCAGGACTCTCATTTGTTGAAAAAAGCAGAGCCCACATTATGAAACATGAAGAAGAAAAGGCAAGCAGCAGCTTTAGAACTTGGAAGGAAGAGAGAGATACTTAACACATTGACTGGAAGAGCGGCAGGTCCTCAGGAGATGGAGCAATACAAATGGGAGCACTGAATCAACTACTTAAGATTATTCTGATCAGAGAGAAGATTAAAGTGGATGCTGAAACCACAGAGTGTTCCCATGGAGACATGGCCAACGTCAGTGTCCCCACCATGGATAACACTGATACCACAGCAGCCTGAGAGTATTGGAAGGGACAAGGGTTACTCCAGTGTCCGTTGCAAACTTCTGTTTCCTCCCTAGGACCCAGCAAGTCATCAGAGTGCAGGGAAAGTTAGGCATAGGGCCAATGCAATCCGAGGCATGTCATAATTCGGGTCATAATGCAGCCTGATTTAAAGATAAAACAAATGAAACAACAATTAAACAAAAAGGATACAGCAGTTATTTGAGTAGAATTAACAGTAACTGGGTCAGAGACATCCCAGCAGGACTGATATAAGGTAATGTTTGTTTTGAAAAATCACAGTTTCTAATGACAGCGAAGATCTTTGCCAAAATGTACTAGTTTATTTATTTAACTTAGTTATTTGGAAAGAGGACGTTGGTCGGTCAATTCTCCTTTAGCTTTTTTTCCAGTGGGTGCATTCTGCACTCAGTTGGCACAGTTAAAGTTAGAATTTGGACACTTTCTGAGGATGAGGGTCCAAAAAACAAGAAAAGTACATCCTTCATTTCTGACAAAATAATAATGCTTTTATCATTTTATCAATTAATGCTGATTTTAGTGATATATTTATTTCATTGCTACAGTTTTATTTTATGATTTGTAATTGTATGGGGTTAGAAATTAAGTAAAATCAACCACAGTAGGCAGCTGGGCTGAGTGTAGAGGTAAAGCCAAATTCTCCTTGGTAAGAAGCTCTTCAAAACCTTTCACTTCTGTGCAGGAAGTGCATAATATTCTCTCATCTTGGTCATATAAAAGGTCTTTTCAGCGCTCAAAATTCAACTATTGGATGGAAAGACAGAAAAGAGATTCTTCTCTGGACTCTATCAGTACACAAGATGAATGTCGGTCTGGGCTGGAGGTGAGAAACAGTGTTGTCATCATTTGGAATAAAAACAACAGGCTGGACAGAAGAAGGTCTCTTGTGGAATTAGTGAGGTCCTGAAGGAGATAAGACAGGCCTGATATGGTTGTACCATCAGTAGAATAAAAATTGCTGGGTGCTTTCTGTATATTCTTAAGCTCACAAAAAAGCTCAAGAGTTAAAAATAAATAAGATTCCAAGGGTCTACAACTGATAGATTAATAGTTATTTTACCATATTTTATTGCAGAAATCATTCATTAAACTTTAGACTTTGTTTTTCAGTTGGGAGGAAAAATCCACTCCCTTTTAACTTTTTAAACAATGTTCTACTTAGAATTTAGTCAGTAAGTTCCATTGACTTGTAACACATACCTGTTGCCTTTGTTCATATCTATTCTTCACTTGTCTAACAGACCCTTTCACACAAGCCAATTATCTCAAGTCCCCATAAGGTTTTCACGTTTCATTATTGGCATGTTCAGAATAGTTTATCCCTCCAGATTGTTATTCTTCTCCAAAGTGTTATATAATGAGTGTAATACAAATAGGTTTATTGAAAGAATCAAATTGATTTTTTAAAGTTTCAATTTTTTCATTTTTATATTTTTAATTGACAAATAATAATTGTATATATTCATGGACTATATAGTGATGCTTCAATGCTGATAATAGTGATCAGATCAGAGTAATTAGCATATCCATCATTTCAAACATTTATCATTTCTTTGTGTTGGGAACAGTCACTGTCCTCCTTCTAGCTAATAATATATAATATATTACTGCTACAGTGGTATAAAATACTAGACCTTAGCCTCTTACATAGCTGTAATTTTGTATCCTTTAACAAATCTCCCCCTGTCCATCCCATCCTCCTACCCCTCCCAGGCTACAGTATCCTCTGTTCTACTTTTACTTCTATTAGATCAACGTTTCTTTAGCTTCCAAGTAAGAGTGAAAACATGCAGTATTTAATTTTCTGTTCCTGGCTCATTTCTCTAAACATAATGTCCGCCAGTTCCATCCATGTTGCCACAAATGACAGGATTTTATTCCTTTTTATAGCTAAATAATATTCCATTGTGCAAATATACCACATTTTCTTTATCAATTTATTTGTTGTTGGGGAATAGATTCCATGTCTTGGCTATTGGAAATAATGTTGCAATAAACATAAGGGTGCAGATGCCTCTTAGATATAATGATTTCCTTTTCTTTGGATAAATGCCTAGTACCGGGATTGCTGCAACATACGGATGTTCTATTTGTAGTTTTTTAAAGAACCTCCACACTGTTCTCCATAGTGGCTGTACTAGTTAACATTCCAACCAATATTGTGTAATAGTTTCATTTTCTCCACATCCATGCCAGCATTTGTTATTTTTTGTTTTTTGTTTTGAAAATAGCCATTCTAACTGAGGTGGGATGATAATTCATTGTGATTTCAATTTGCATTTCCATGATGATAGTGATGTTGATCAGTTTTTCACATATTTGTTGGTCATTTCTATGTCTTCTTTTGAGAAATGTCTGTTCAGATCATTTGCCCATTGCATAATCAGATTATTATTATTATTATTTTGCTTTGAGATGTTTGAGTTCCTTGTATATTCTAGATATTAACCCCCTGTTGTATGACTGGTTTTGAAACATTTTCTCCATTCTGTAGGTTGTTACTCTATTGATTGTTTCTTTTGTTTTTTGATATAATCTGATTTGTTTATTTTTGCTTTCGTTGCCTGTACTATTGTGGTCTGACTTATAAAATCTTTTCACAGACTTCTCCTATGTTTTCTCCTAGTAATTTTAAAGTTTCAGGTATTAGATTTATGTCTCTCTTCCATTTTGAGTTTTTTTTTTTTGTATAGTGTGAGAGGAGGGGGTCTAATTTCATTCTTGTGCATATGGGTATTCAGTTTTCCCAGCACCATTTATTGAAGATACTATCCTTTCCTCAGTGAGTATTCTTGGCACTTTAATTAAAAATCAGTTGTTATTGATATGTGGATTAATTTTCCTGTTATCTATTCTGTTGCATTTGTCTATGTGTCTGTTTTTATGTCAGTACCATGGTGTGTTGATTACTACAGCTTTGTAGTATATTTTGAGGTCCAGTAGTGTGATATCGCCAGTGTAGTTCTTTTTGCTCAGGATTGCTTCAGCTATTCAGGGTCTTTCATGATTCCATACAAATTTTAGTATCTTTTTTCTATGAAGATTATTATTGGCATTTTGATAGGGATTGCATTAAATCTTTAGATTGCTTTGGGCAGTATGGACATTTTAACAATATTAATTATTTCAACCTATGAGCATGGAATGTTTTTCTATTTGTTTGTATCCTCTTCAATTTCTTTTATTTGTGTTTTCTAGCTTTCCTTGCAGAGGTCTTTTACCTCCTTGGTTAAATTTATTCCTAGGCATTTTATTAATTTTTGTGTAGCTATTGAAAATCTGGTAACTTCTTGATTTATTTTTTAGCTAGTTTGTTTTTTGTGTGTAGAAACACTATTGATTCTGTATGTTAATTTTGTGTCTTGAAATGTTACTGAAATTGTTTATCAGTTCTAAGAGTTTTTTAGTAAATTCTTTAGGTTTTTCTATATATAAGAAAATGTCGTCTGCAAACAGAGACAATTTGACTCCCTCCTTTCTAACCTGGATGCCCTGCACACAGGTCCTGTGACTCAAAAACCACCCCTTGAGCTGCCTCTGTCAAATTCATCCTTAGGCTGGCTGAGCAGCTTTCTGCCTATATTCTGGGCCTGAGTTACTATTTTTAAAGACCTTAGAATAGTGGATAGTCCATAATAAGCATTCAAAGAAACTCAATAATATATTTTTATGTTATGATTATTATTGCTACCCAGATTAAGAGCAGAATCTTTGGGGTCATCTAACACTCTCTTTTAAATTCTAGGTTTTCAGAAGCAATCTTTTCATTGCCTGAGTGGATTTATTAACTAAGTAGAGAACTCAGCCAAGGCTAATTATATACCTTATCCTACCAGAGAGGGTTGGTGTCATACTAACTAGGGTCTGATTGTCTGTCTCTTGAGAGGTGATTGGTGTCACTGTTCATTTTTCTCCTCGGAGCCAGTCACATGTGGACATACAATTAGATTAAAGGAATAAGTTCTAATGTTTGATAGCAGTTGTTAAAGTTAACAACAATGTATTATATATTTCCAAATAGCTAGAAGAGAGGATCTGAAGTGTTCACAACACAAAGAAATGATAAATGCTCAAGGCAATGGATTTCCTAAATATCCTGACTTGATCATTTACGACTTATGCATGTTTCAAAATAGCACATATATCCCATAAATATGTACAAATATTGTGTATCAATCAAAAATTAAAAATGTGTACTATAATACTATGCAAAAATTAAAAATGTGGATTAACTCACAGAAAAGTCAGATGGCTGGTCTTGCAAAGCTGAGGGCAGTTTATAGATTCAGCAGTCACTCTTCTCTGAGCCTCTGGCAGATGCAGGCATTTCCCTGCTTTTGTGTGCCTCCACATTGGCCTTCATTCATCCCCTCTGCCAGAGGCCCTAGCTCTCAGTTTTGCTGCATTGTGTGTGACTAACTTACACTTGGCAATGTGTCAGTAGAAAGGCACTTCTGTCCTTTCATTTTCATGACATTTGCACTTTTTTTTTTAAACCACAAATGACAATCAAGTTTTGCTTTCTAGGAAAGTTGAAATGAGAAAAAAAAAAATCTGAAATTATCGGGGGAAATTCAGCCCCCAATATTTCATGTGGGTCCTTTTCTATTTTCCCTAAGTGTTGGCTGGTCTGAGAAATAAAGGGAAAGAGTACAAAAGAGAGAAATTTTAAAGCTGGGTGTCCCGGGGAGACATCACATGTTGGCAGGTTCCATGATGCCCCAAAAGCCGCAAAACCAGCAAGTTTTCATTAGTGATTTTCAAAAGGGGAGGGAGTGTATGAATAGGGTATGGGTCACAGAGATCACATGCTTCACAAGGTGATAGAATATCACAAGGCAAATGGAGGCAGGGCAAGATCACAGGACCGGGGTGAAATTAAAATTGCTAATGAAGTTTTGGGCATGCATTGTCATTGATAACATTTTATCAGGAGACAGGGTTTGAGAGCAGACAACCGGTCTGACCAAAATTTATTAGGCAGGAATTTCCTCGTCCTAATAGGCCTAGGAGTGCTACGGGAGACTGGGGCTTATTGCATCCCTTATCTATAACCGTAAAAGACAGACATTCCCAAAGCGGCCATTTCAGAAGCCTCCCCCTGGGAATGCATTCTCTTTCTCAGGGATGTTCCTTGATGAGAAAAAGAATTCAGTGATATTTCTCCTATTTGCTTTTGAAAAAAGAGAAATATGGCTCTGTTCCACCCAGCCCACAGGCAGCCAGACTTTAAGGTTATCTCCCTTGTTCCCTGAACATTGCTGTTATCCTGTTCTTTTTTCAAGGTGCCCATATTTCTTATTGTTTAAACAATTTGTGCAGTTAACACAATCATCACAGGGTCCTGAGGCGACATTCATCCTCAGCTTACGAAGCTGACTGGATTAAGAGATTAAAGACAGGCATAGGAAATCACAAGAGTTTTTATTGGGGAAGTGATAAGCGTCTATGAAATCTTCACAATTCATGTTCAGAGATTGCAGTAAAGACCGGCATAAGAAATTATAAAAGTATTAATTTGGGGAACTAATAAATGTCCATGAAATCTTCACAATTTATGTTCTTCTGCCATGGCTTCAGCCAATCCCTCTGTTCGGGGTTCCTGACTTCCCGCAACAGAAATCATGGAAATCATAGAAAAAAAGTTGTGGCCCCTTTGCCTGTCTTTTACTTCCCTTAATTTTTGTTACTTCATCATGAATGAGAATGTAATGCATTAATGGCAAGACAAAGCTTGCCCAGAAATCACTAGTGCAAAAAAGTACAAAAAATTAAACTAAAAAAACACATACAGGTAAAAGAAAGAAGCCTATTTCTTCTTGACAGAATAGCCTGGCCCTAACTGCCCTACACTGTTAGAGCAAGGCAGAGACCCAGGAACAAAGAACCCCAAAGAAACACTGACTGGATGAACAATTGAAAGTCACTAGTTTCTGTCATATTAGTTGCTAACAAGAGACAACATCAACCTTGACTCCCCTGTGACCAGCTCAGAAAGGTCAAACCTAACAAGTGTTCAATAGTTTTGAGTATTGAAAAATGAAAGTGTGCGGGCGCGGTGGCTCACGCCTGTAATCCCAGCACTTTGGGAGGCTGAGGCGGGTGGATCACGAGGTCAGGAGATTGACGCTATCCTGGCTAACATGGTGAAACCCTGTCTCTACTAAAAATACAAAAAATTAGCCGGGCGTAGTGCAGGCTACTCGGGAGGCTGAGGGAGGAGAATGATGTGAAGCTGGAAGGCAGAGCTTGCAGTGAGCCGAGATCGTGCCACCGCACTCCAGCCTAGGTGACGGAGCGAGACTCCGTCTAAAAAAAAAAAAAAAGAAGAAAAATGAAAGAGTTGACTGATTGACTGATAAAAGCTCTAATTGTCAAAATAAAAGTTACTTGCTTGCTAAAGTTAAAATTATGGCAATTGAATACTTCCTTTACCTATTTGTATAAAAGGAAACTTGCTATCAACATCCGAGCACTGTGCACACATTTGATCCCTGAGGACACAGACCCTGGACAGGAGGAGATCACCATTGAGAAGCCAAATCCTTCACACAAACACTCTAAGGGCAAGGGCAAAGATCTTGGAGCATTAATTATTTTGGCTCAAAGAAAAAGACCTTTCCCTAGTAAAGGAGTTCTAACTTTGTGCCTCAGAGAATGAATCTGGAAGAGTTTGGGTTGAGGATATTGTCACTCTAGAGGAAAGGGTGTTACTGACTGTGATAACTGCCTTGTGAGTGAGGTGGTGCTGGGGGGAAAGAAAATTAACAAATTAACTTAGGATTAGAATCTCGCAGCCCAAATGACCAGAGAAGAATCGGGATTCTTGATGGGGGTATTATCACAGCCTGAGGAGCACTATAGACATTGAGTAAGAAAATGATGGGAAGAAAGGGCTGTTTCTACGTTAATCCTGACCTGCGGCTCCAGTGAGGCACAATCACATGGAATTGCATGAATGTATTTTTAAATAAATAGAAAAATCAGAGAGGCTCACTAACTAATAATCGTCAGCATCTGCTATGAATGAAACAATGGACAAAACCCAATTCTTTCTTCTAAAGGGTTTATTGTCAAAGCTGGTCGGATAAATTCTCAAATACAGATACCCAGATGGTAGAGAGAGCCTATGTAATGCATGCAGGGTATAATGCAACCTAGGATCAGGGCTGAAAACTTTTCACCTGACACAGAAAAGAAGAATATTTGTATGAAAAAAGTATATAAGTATTTACATTCCTACATACACTTCAGCCTTTATGACAATGACTGTTCTCATTTAATTGATAAATGTACATTTAGATTGGCACACCTGAAGTTTACTGTGCAAATTCTATTGCAAAAATTAAGGGTCTCAATTGATGTTGTGTTTTTAAGCCTAATATGCAATATGTAAATGAAAACAAAAAGTAGACATATAGAGAAATGTTCAGAAAATAAAAACTAGATGTCCCCTATTGAAAGCCATGCATAGAAATAATGTCTTCAGAGAACCTAGGTTCCAAAGTTCAACCAGACCCCAGCTCAGCCAGGCCTGCAGAACCCTCATTTCCCAATGGCCCTCCCAATGGCCATATTTCTTATTGATTTTCCATCCACAGATCCTGTCATTCTGCTTGTTGGTTACAAATCCCAGGCTGTCTGTGTCATATTCAGAGTTGAGCCCAGATTGATCTCTCTCCCCTATTGTGATAGTTTTGACATCTGTCGCAATAGTCCTAAATAAAGTCTTCATTACTGTAATACCAAGTGTTAGCATAATTTTTTCTCTACCAGTTTCTCAATGTAAGCCAGCACAATCATCACAGTAGCAAACTCTGCTGACCTACAACATAAAAGGCATCAGCCAGCTGGAAAGTCAGGTAACTCAGAACCTTTTGTCATTGCAGTCCTCCTCCTCTAATGCCCTGGACTCTCTACATTTCTCCAGAAGTGCTTCCCATTTGCACACCTCCAATCCTATTAGGCAGCCCTTCCAGAGGGTTTTTTTCCTGATCTCTGAGCCTTAGCTTATTGGTTTATTTCTGATTTAGATCATATTTATATCCCGATCATGGCTTAGTCTTACTTAGGTTTGCACTAAACTGGTAGAAATCTAAAGTATTATGGATATTTGAATAAATGAGTAGATATACATAGGGTTTCAAAGAGTTGCTTATGATGAACCAAGTATTTTACAAATACATTCAAGCTTATGGAAATACATTCTCAAGAAGAAAAAACTAGAATATAGTGTGTAAGTAAAATGGGGTCTAATTTAATTGTAATGTAACATGTTGGCAAAAGCAAATGGGACGTTTCAGTAAAAAAGAACAGCTGAAGAGAAAGACCCTGTCATTACTTAGGCAGGACTCTCCTGGGAAAACACTGACCAATGCAGAAATCAGTTCTTATGACCAGAAATATTCCCAAAGACCATGTAAGAGCTGAGGATTTAGAGTCCAATTTTGGGGTTTAAATAGTAGCCTCAAATTCAATACCTCACTGTTCTTCTGTTTTTTCTTTTGTAAATAGGAATAATAGTAGAACCTATCAGTCTTCTTTGGTCACTGATATCTCCAGTGAATAAATGGTGGGTAGGTATATGGTAGGGGTTCAGTTAATACAAAAAGAGGATATTCATTATTGGTAAAATGAGAATCAAATCTGTAAGTTCTAAGAACAATATCTGACTGAAAATAAACACCTTCATCAATTTACCTGTCTCCTTCCTTTTTTAAACATTATCTTCATTATTAAACTTTATTAAATTGGGGGAAGTGTCCTTTAAAATTGTTAACTCCCTTGATTCCTGTAAAAAACATAATAAGGGAAATATTGATCTCTTGAATGTATTTATACACTAAGGGAGAACTTGAGAATTAACACTTACTCATTATGCAAAGAGTACATGGTACTCTTTTAAAAATTGCCCTTTTTTTATGTACAAATTCTTGCGATTGGTGTGACTCCATGAAGGCTGGATTCAGCAAAGCTGAAAACACTGCGTGGACCAGGAATGATTACTCTTTTTTTTCAGCTCATACCCATTTGTTCCCTTTGATCTACATATCTTCTACGATTTTGCTTCTCCTCTTCCCCATTCCTTTATCTCCTTCTTTACTGGGATGAATGTAGGAAAGTTGCATTTTGTCATCCTTTTTTTCCCAGTGAGATATTGTCTCTCTAGAGGATATTGTCACTCTAGAGAAAAGGGTGTTACTGACTGTGATAACTGCCTTGTGAGTGAGATGGTGCTGGGGAAAATAAAACTAACAAATTAACTTAGGATTAGAATCTCCTAGCCCAAGTGACCAGAAAAGAATCAGGATTCTTTTATCACATTTAGATACACATTTGTTTTCTTTCTATCTCCATTCTGTAGGATTTTTAAAATCACATTTAGATATACATTTTTCTTTTTGTCTCCATTCTTAAGGATTCAAAAAGAGACAACCTTTACTTTCAATGAAAATGAAAATGAGAAAGAAAGATCTCTGGTATCCTGCATGCTATGTAAACAATTGTACAACCCATTCATGCTATCACATTTACATTACACTATGGACATTTAGGACAAAAATGGTTTTCTTCAGTTTGAGGAGAATCAACTAGAATTGGAACCTCTGTGGGTTCTTTGGAAATCTGACCTTTCATGACAAATAATATTTTTAAAATCAAATTGATGACATTTTTCTCCATTGCATATACTCATTAAGTATAATATTGCTTCCAAGAATGTAAAAGTTATTTCTTGGGGCCCTCTAAAGTTCAACTCTGTCTGACAAAACTTTATTCCTTAGTATTTTTTTAATTGAGTTCTTGTTGTTGTTGTTTGTTTGTTTGCTTGCTTTTTGAGGCGGAGTCTCGCTCTGTTGCCAGGCTGGAGTGCAGTGGGGTGGTCTCGGCTCACTGCAACCTCCGACTCCCTGGTTCAAGCAATTCTCCTGCCTCAGCCTCCCGAGTAGCTGGGATTACAGGCACGTGCCACCACGCCCAGCTAATTTTTGTATTTTTAGTAGAGACGGGCTTTCACCATGTTGTCCAGGAGGGTCTTGATCTCCTGACCTTGTAATCCACCCACCTCAGCCTCCCAAAGTGCTGGGATTACAGATGTGAGCCACCGCGCCTGGCCTAATTTGGTTTTCTTGTAACATCAGAAGCATTGACCTTGAGTTCATGGAAGATACACAAAAGGTATACAAGATCAGTGCTACAAGCATATGGCAAATGGGTGGCTGTTATTGGAGGACTTTCCAAGATTTATTAGATGTCAAAGTCATATCATGTGAGGTGGCCTCTGTATACATATGAGCTGTCATTTGCTGTCTTGTGTATGTTGCTTATATTTGATCCTGAGCATTTATGACTGTGTTTTGAGTTTTGAGGTTTCAATAAAAATACTTTATCTTTTACTATTTAATTCTACTAAAGTTGTTCAACACATCAATAATTATGTCAAGCACTGAAGAGAAAAAGGTTTTTGACAATATCTAGATCAATATCTAGAAGCTAGTGAATTTTTTAAATTTCCCTATGAAGCAAAATTGAAAGTACCCTAAAAATAAATGTTACAAATAATTTCAATTTTAATAGTCTTTAGCTATTTTGAATTTTTAAATATTTCATTATACTAGGCAATATTATATATTTTCATAATTTGTTAATTTACTTATTTAATCTGACACACTACAATTTATATAAGTAAATAAATCACATTGTTACTTAAACAAATTGAACTATGAAGTTAAATATCCATAAATTGTAAATTTAATTATTAACTTTTACCTTAGAATTTTCATTTGCTCATTCTTAATCCGGGACTGAATAAATTCTATTTTACATTCTATTACGCTGCTTTTAAAGCATTAAAGAAGTACAATATTCTCTCTCGATAATGGGTACTGTAATGTATATACATCAGCCAACACATAGTATATCTGTGTTATTAAAATTTAATGGGATTTTTAGTTAGAAAAAAAATTTCTAAAAAGCATATGTGGCAGAGGAAGATGAGGTAATAATGTAAAAATAAATAAACTGAGAAACACTCCTGTACATCTATGTAGAAAGAGCATAAAAGAAAGCAAAAAGAGAAGTAGAAAGTAACACAAGGCATTCAGAAAATGGAAACTCGTATGTGACCTTTTTAAGATCTGTGCACAAAACAAGGTCTTCAGAGAAGAGCCCAAGGTTCAGGGTCACTCAATCTCAACAGCCCAGAAGCATCTGCAACCTCCCCAATGGCCTTGCCCTTTGTTTTACTGATGGCCCTGGTGGTGCTCAACTGCAAGTCAATCTGTTCTCTGGGCTGTGATCTGCCTCAGACCCACAGCCTGAGTAACAGGAGGACTTTGATGATAATGGCACAAATGGGAAGAATCTCTCCTTTCTCCTGCCTGAAGGACAGACATGACTTTGGATTTCCTCAGGAGGAGTTTGATGGCAACCAGTTCCAGAAGGCTCAAGCCATCTCTGTCCTCCATGAGATGATCCAGCAGACCTTCAATCTCTTCAGCACAAAGGACTCATCTGCTACTTGGGATGAGACACTTCTAGACAAATTCTACACTGAACTTTACCAGCAGCTGAATGACCTGGAAGCCTGTATGATGCAGGAGGTTGGAGTGGAAGACACTCCTCTGATGAATGTGGACTCTATCCTGACTGTGAGAAAATACTTTCAAAGAATCACCCTCTATCTGACAGAGAAGAAATACAGCCCTTGTGCATGGGAGGTTGTCAGAGCAGAAATCATGAGATCCTTCTCTTTATCAGCAAACTTGCAAGAAAGATTAAGGAGGAAGGAATGAAAACTGGTTCAACATCGAAATGATTCTCATTGACTAGTACACCATTTCACACTTCTTGAGTTCTGCCGTTTCAAATATTAATTTCTGCTATATCCATGACTTGAGTTGAATCAAAATTTTCAAACGTTTCACACGTGTTAAGCAACACTTCTTTAGCTCCACAGGGACAAAATCTTTACAGATGATCATGCCAATCTATCTATTCTATCTATTTATCTATCTGTCTGTCTTCTATCTAATCTATTTAAATATTTATTTATTTATAAGATTTAAATTATTTTAAATTATGTTTGTTCAGGTAATATTACATCCACCTTTACTTTGTGGCTAATATAATAAAATATGTTCTTTATGTTTTGTCAACTGATTATTTTGCTTTGTTCATTAGATTTTTACTATTAATTGTTTGTTTATTCTTTAAAATGAAACTCCAAGCCTGATTGTATAACTTGATTAAAAACAGATGGTACAGTTCAGTTACCTATCATTATTTTATTCAAATTTTAAGTAAAGGAAGATTTTTCTTAAGTGAACATAATAAATACAATTCCTGTTCCCTTGTATCTTTGATTTTTGCCAGAAATTTAACAACAATAATTATGATTAATATGAGTTATGTTAAATGCTATAATGTGAGCTAGGAAAAAAAACAGTGAATTGCTCTCAGCAGAACGCAGATAGAGGCACGTCCAGAAAGAAAAATAAAAGCAGAGCTAGCCTCTCTAAACTGACTTTTAAACATGTAATTGCGAATGTGCATTGCTAGTCAGATACATGAGTTTGCAATATCCAAGGAATACAATGTCTGGAGGATCATAACTGGCAACCAAATGCCTAAAAATGGAGGCTGTCATGTGAGGAGCCAATGTAGAGAAGAAAATAAGACTTAAACTAGATTCTGAGGACCTTCCACCATTAAAGAGAGGGAAGAGGAGAGACACAAAGGAAACAGAGGTGGAATACCTTAAACATTAGAAGGACAAGAGGGAATGATGATAAAAATGTATTTAGAAAATAAATGTACTTAGAAGAAGAATCAATAGACTTATGGGAAATGTGGATTAAAACTGCCCAGAACATCAGAAAAATAGATGGCGGTGGAGATCTTGGTGAGAGCTGGATTGGCAGAATTAATCAGTACAAACCATACTGGAGTAGGTGGAAGAGTGAATCAGAGAAGAGAAATCAGTGATAACCATATGTAGGAAATAATTGTGACATGTTTGCCATGGAAATGGAGGGGGGAAATAAGGTTGGACTTGAAAAAGAATGTGTACTATTTTTTATCTACATAGTTTTTCTTTTTTGAAAATAGAGTTCGTGGATTCAATCTATTGGCAAGTCATGTTAATATGTTTAATATTTTATGTATTTAAATCATAATATTATTTGCATAATAATTTATTATTATTTTGATTAATACTATGTTACATGTCAGGAAAAAATGACAAACTTCCCTCATGAAATAAAATGGGAAACTGGATGAGAGAATCTCTTTATACTTTTGGCCAAAACCAGCTGAAAATACGTGAACCAAAGAGAAATTCAGAGTGCGGCAGAGAGTTGCATATAACTCAGTAGTAAGAGGAGATGTAATAATTATTACAGAAATCCTGAATACAAAGCTTATACCTCAGGTGTAAATAAAAATAAAGAATTTTACATTGAAATTACATTCTGCTTACATGTAAGCGTGATGTTCAGAAAACCACTTAATCTCTCTGAGCCTCAGTTTTCTTTTGAAAATATACTTTCTACATTAAAAAAGCAATACATATCACTGTTATTTTCTTTTAAACTTTTATTTTAGGTTCAGGGGTAGATGTGTAGGTTTGCTATATAGATAAATTACATGTCACAGACATTTGGAGTATGAATTATTTCATCACCTAGGTTATAAGCATAGTACACAATAGGTAGTTTATCAATTCTCATTCTCATCCCACCCTCCACCTTCAAGTAGGCCCCTGTGTCTGTTGCTCCTTTTTTTGTGTCCATATATACTTAATATTTGGCTCCCACTTATAAGTGAGAACATCCAGTATTTGATTTTCTGTTCCTGAATTAGTTTGCTTAGGATAATGGCCTCCACCTCCATCCAAGTTCCCATAGAAGACAAGATCTTGTTCTTTTTTGACTGCATAGTATTCCATGGTATATATGTACTGCATTTAGGATTTGGCTCTCAGCTTGACTGTTGTTGGTGTATGGGAATGCTAGTAATTTTTGTGCATTGATTTTGTATCCTGAAACTTTGCTGAAGTTGTGTATCAGCTCGAGGAGCTTTTGGGCAGAGAATATGGGGTTTTCTATATAGAGAATTATACCATCTGTGAACAAGGATAATTTGACTTCTCTTCCTATTTGGATGTCCTTTATTTCTTTCTCTTGCCTGATTACTCCAGCCAGGACTTCCAGTACTATGTTGAATAGTACTGGTGAGAGAGGACATTCTTGTCTTGTGCCAGTTTTCAAGGGGAAAGCTTCCAGGTTTGCCTATTCAATATGATGTTGATTGTGGGTTTGTCATAGATGGCTCTTATTATATTGAGGTATATTCTTTCAATACTTAGTTTATTGAGAATTTTTAATGTGAAGAGGTGTTGAATTTTATCAAAAGCCTTTTCTGCATCTATTGAGATAATAATATATTTTTCTCTTTAGTTCTGTTTATTTGATGAATCACATTTATTGATTTGTGTATTTTGAAACAACCTTGCATCCCAGAGATAAAGCCTATTTAATTGTGGTGGGTTAGCTTTTTGATGTGCTGTATTTCATTTGCTAGTATCTTTTTTAAGGATTTTTACATCAGTGTTCATCAAGGATATTGACCTGAAGTTTTCCTTTTCTTGTTGTATCTCTGGCCAGTTTTGGTGTCAGGATGATGGTGACCACATAGAATAAGTTAGGAAGGAGTGCTTCCTCCTCAATTTGTTGGAATCGTTTCAGTAGAAATATTACCAGGTCTTTTTTGTACATCTGGTAGAATGTATCTGTGAATTCATCTGGTCTTGCCTTTTTCTGATTTGTAGGCTTTGTATTACCAATTCAACTTTAGAACTCATTTTTGATCTCTTCAGAGATTCAGTCTCTTCCTGGTTCAGTCTTGGGAGGGTTTATGTTTCCAGAAATTTATCCATTTCTTTTAGGTTTTCTAGTTTGTGTGCATGGAAGTGTTTGTAATAGTCTCTGAGGGTTTGGTATATATATTTAAGATAATTAGGTCTTCTTGTTGAATTGAGCCCTTTATCATTATGTAATGCCCTTCCTTGTCTTTTTTGATCTTTGTTAATTTTAAGTGTGTTTTCTCTGAAATTAGAATAGCAACACCTGCATTTTTCTATTTTCCATTTGCTTCGTTGATTTTTTTTCCACCCCTTTACGTTGAGCCTGTGAGTGTCATTGCATGTAAGATGGGTCTTTTGAAGATAGCATATTGTTGGGTTTTGGTTCCTTATCTAACTTGACACTCTCTGCCTTTTAATTTTACGGCATTTAGCTTGTTTGCATTCAAGGCTAGTATTGGTAAGTGTGGATTTGATCCTGTCATAATGTTGTTATATAGTTATTATTCAGACTCCTTCATGTGATTTCTTTATAGTGTCATTGGTCTGTGTACTTCCTTTCCATATTTAGCACTCCCTAGAGAAACTCTCGTAAGTCAGATTTAGTGGTAAATTCCCTTAACATTTGCCTGTCTGTAAAGGATCTTATTTCTCCTTTGCTTATAAAGTGCAGTTTGGCCAGATATAAAATTCTTGGTTAAAAATTGTTTTCTTTAAGACAACTGAATATTGTTCCTAATCTCTTCTGGTTTATACAGTTTCTGCTGACAGGTCTGCTTTTAGCCTGACACAGTTCCCTTTGTAGGTGATGTGCCCCTTCTCTCTAGGTGCCTTTAGCATTTTTTCTTTCATTTAGACCTTGGAGAATCTGATGACTACGTGTGCTAGGGAAAGTCTTTTTCTGTAGCATTTCGCAGGGATTCTCTGCATTTCCTGAATTTGAATCTTGGCCTCACTAGTGAGGTTGGGAAAATTTTCATGGACAACATTTTGAAATATGAATCAAACTAGAACTCAGGATTAAGAAACTCACTCAAAACCGCTCAACTACATGGAAACTGAACAAGCTGCTCCTGAATGACTACTGGGTAAATAATGAAATGAAGGCAGAAATAACGATGTTCTTTGAAACCAACAAGAACAAAGACACAACATACCAGAATCTCTGGGACACATTCAAAGCAGTGTGTAGAGGGAAATTTATAGCACTAAATGCCCACAAGAGAAAGCAGGAAAGATCTAAAATTGACACCCTAACATCACAATTAAAAGAACTAGAAAAGCAAGAGCAAACACATTCAAAAGCTAGCAGAAGGCAAGAAATAACTAAGATCAGAGCAGAACTGAAGGAAATAGAGACACAAAAAATCCTTCAAAAAATTGATGAATCCAGGAGCTGGTTTTTTGAAAAGATCAACAAAATTGATAGACTGCTAGCAAGACTAATAAAGAAGAAAAGAGAGAAGAATCAAATAGACGCAAAAAAAATGATAATAAAGGGGATATCACCATCGATCCCACAGAAATATAAACTACCATCAGAGAATACTATAAACACCTCTATGCAAATAAACTAGAAAATCTACAAGAAATGGATAAATTCCTCGACATATACATCCTCCCAAGACTAAACCAGGAAGAAGTTGAATCTCTGAATAGACCAATAACAGGATCTGAAATTGAGGCAATAATCAATAGCTTAACAACCAAAAAAAGTCCAGGACCAGATGGATTCACAGCCGAATTCTACCAGAGGTACCAAGAGGAGCTGGTACCATTCCTTCTGAAACTATTCCAATCAATAGAAAAAGAGGGAATCCTCCCTAACTCATTTTATGAGGCCAGCATCATCCTGATACCAAAGTCTGGCAGAGACACAACCAAAAAAGAGAATTTTAGACCAATATCCTTGATGAACATCGATGCAAAAATCCTCAATAAAATACTGGCCAACGGAATCCAGCAGCACATCAAAAAGATTATCCACCATGATCAAGCGGGCTTCATCCCTGGGATGCAAGGCTGATTCAACACACGCAAATCAATAAATGTAATCCAGCATATAAACAGAACCAAAGACAAAAACCACATGATTATCTCAATAGATGCAGAAAAGGCCTTTGACCAAATTCAACAATGCTTCATGCTAAAAACTCTCAATAAATTAGGTATTGATGGGACGTATCTCAAAATAATAAGAGCTATCTATGACAAACCCACAGCCAATATCATACTGAATGGGCAAAAACTGGAAGCATTCCCTTTGAAAACTGGTGCAAGACAGGGCTGCCCTCTCTCACTACTCCTATTCAACATAGTGTTGGAAGTTCTGGCCAGGGCAATCAGGCAGGAGAAGGAAATAAAGGGTATTCAATTAGGAAAAGAGGAAGTCAAATTGTCCCTGTTTGCAGATGACATGATTGTATATCTAGAAAACCCCATTGTCTCAGCCAAAAATCTCCTTAAGCTGATAAGCAACTTCAGCAAAGTCTCAGGATACAAACTCAATGTACAAAAATCACAAGCATTCTTATACACCAATAACAGACAAACAGAGAGCCAAGTCATGAGTGAACTGCCATTCACAATTGCTTCAAAGAGAATAAAATACCTAGGAATCCAACTTACAAGGGATATGAAGGACCTCTTCAAGGAGAACTACAAACCACTGCTCAATGAAATAAAAGAGGATACAAACAAATGGAAGAACATTCCATGCTCATGGTTAAGAAGAATCAATATCGTGAAAATGGCCATACTGCCCAAGGTAATTTATAGATTCAATGCCATCCCCATCAAGCTACCAATGACTTTCTTCACAGAATTGGAAAAAACTACTTTAAAGTTCATATGGAACCAAAAAAGAGCCCGCACCGCCAAGTCAATCCTAAGCCAAAAGAACAAAGCTGGAGGCATCACGCTACCTGACTTCAAACTATACTACAAGCCTACAGTAACCAAAACAGCATGGTACTGGTACCAAAACAGAGACATAGACCAATGGAACAGAACAGAGCCCTCAGAAATAATGCCGCATATCTACAACTATCTGATCTTTGACAAACCTGAGAAAAACAAGCAATGGGGAAAGGATTCCCTATTTCATAAATGGTGCTGGGAAAACTGGCTAGCCATATGTAGAAAGCTGAAACTGGATCCCTTCCTTATACCTTATACAAAAATTAATTCAAGATGGATTAAAGACTTAAATGTTAGTCCTAAAACCATAAAAACCCTAGAAGAAAACCTAGGCAATACCATTCAGGACATAGGCATGGGCAAGGACTTCATGTCTAAAACACCAAAAGCAATGGCAACAAAAGCCAAAATTGACAAATGGGATCTAATTAAACTAAAGAGCTTCTGCACAGCAAAAGAAACTACCATCAGAGTGAACAGGCAACCTACAGAATGGGAGAAAATTTTCGCAACCTACTCATTTGACAAAGGGCTAATATCCAGAATCTACAATGAACTCAAACAAATTTACAAGAGAAAATCAAACAACCCCATCAAAAAGTGGGCGAAGGATATGAACAGACACTTCTCAAAAGAAGACATTTATGCAGCCAAAAAACACGTGAAAAAATGCTCATCATCACTGGCCATCAGAGAAATGCAAATCAAAACCACAATGAGATACCATCTCACACTTGTTAGAATGGCGATCATTAAAAAGTCAGGAATAAACAGGTGCTGGAGAGGATGTGGAGAAATAGGAACACTTTTACACTGTTGGTGGGACTGTAAACTAGTTCAACCATTGTGGAAGAAACTGTGGCTATTCCTCAGGGATCTAGAACTAGAAATGCTATTTGACCTGGCCATCCCATTACTGGGTGTATACCCAAAGGTTTATAAATCATGCTGCTATAAAGACACATGCACATGTATGTTTATAGCGGCACTATTCACAATAGCAAAGACTGGGAACCAACCTAAATGTCCAACAACGATAGACTGGATTAAGAAAATGTGGCACATATACACCATGGAATACTATGCAGCCATAAAAAATGATGAGTTCATGTCCTTTGTAGGGACATGGATGAAACTGGAAACCATCATTCTCAGCAAACTATAGCAAGGACAAAAAACCAAACACCGCATGTTCTCACTCATAGGTGGGAATTGAACAATGAGAACACATGGACACAAGAAGGGGAACATTACACACTGGGGACTGTTGTGGGGTGGGGGAAGGGGGGAGGGATAGCATTAGGAGATATACCTAATGCTAAATGACGAGTTAATGGGTGCAGCACACAAGCATGGCACATGTATACATATGTAACAAACCTGCACGTTGTGCACATGTACCCTAAAACTTAAAGTATAATAATAATAAAATAAAAAATATATAAATATAATAAAATAAAATATCATTATGCTTTACAGAGATAGTTCAGTTGACGGCATTAATCAGCAACAAAATACAACTTTTTAAGGATTACCAGCAATTTTGTGAAAATAATTAAGAATAATAGATCATAGTAAAAATACATCCTTTAGAAAAAAAAAAGAAATATGTTCTCCAAGTTGCTTGGTTTCTCTCTCTGTCTCTCAGGCATGCCAATAAGTCATAGATTGGGTCTCTTTACATAATCTTATATTCCTTGGAAGTTTTGTTTATTCTTATTGTTTTTTCTTTATTTGTCTCTGACTGAGTTATTTGGAAGAGCCAGTTTTCAAGCTCTGAGAGTCTTTCCTCAGCTTGGTCAATTCTGCTGTTAATACTTGCAATTGCATTATGAAATTCCTGTACAGTATTTTTCAGCTCTATCAATCAGTTTGATTCTTTCTTATAGTGACCATTTCATCTATTAGCTCCTGTATCGTTTTATTGTAATCCTTAGACTCCTTGGATTGGATTGGGTTTCAACTTTCCCCTATATGTCGATGATCTTCATTCCTATCCATATTCTGAATTCTATTTCTGTCAATTCAGCCATCTTAGCCTGGTTAGGAACCATTGCTGTAGAACTAGTGTGGATGTTTGTAGGTAAGAAGTCACTCTGGTTTTCTGAGTTGCCAGAGTTCTTGAACTGGTTCTTTCTCATCTTTGTGGGCTGATGGTCCTTCAATCTTTGAAGTTGCTAACCTTTGGATTGCTTTTATTTCTTTTATCCTATGTAACATTCTTTGGGGTTTAGTTTTGCTATAATGTGGGTTCAGTCAATTGGCTTAATCTATGGGGATTTAAGTGGGCCAAGGCTCAGCTTAGGAGCCCTGAACTGCATGATCCTACTGTGGGTGTCTACTATCAGGCCTGAAGCTTCATTCTGGGGCCCCTGGAGATTCGCAACCTGCCATGCTGAAGGGGCCTAATTTGCTCCTGAACCACTGGTCAGAACACTCTGATAGGTGGTGCCAGCCACAGTGATTCATAGAGTGGTGGCAGTGGGATCCTTCCTCATTTGCATGTGTCAGCAGCTTGGGAAGGCAAATGCTCATTGACTGCAGTGGGGCACTGGTGAGTGCAGGGGTGTTGGACTCCATGTAGGCATTCACAGTGGCAGTGGTGGCAGCACAGTGCAGAGGCTGCAGGAGCTCAGTTTTTTTATAAATATAATGGGTTCAAATATTTATATAGTTGTTATTCCTAAATGAACACATATAGTTTAAAGCACTGTGTGTGGTATCCTTCACAGAGTAAGGATTTAAAATATGGCAGGTATTTTTCTATTTTCCTTCATCCAGCTAGAGAAGAGAATATTATTCGTCTTTCTATAACATTCTTAGGAACTACGTCCTCCCTTTCAGAAACCCATCTCCAAAGGAGGCAAACTAAAAACCTAGAATTCTGTCAAAAAATCTGGAGGGGTTGAAAAATTATCCCTCCTTATTTCAAAGAAGTTTGCTATTTGTATTCAGTCAGGAAATGGTGGCTTGTATAAATACCTGAGAGAGAAGAAGCACCATCTAGATTGAAGTGCAGAAGATATATGATGTTTATTAGCTGATTCTGGCACCTGGCACATTCCCTTTCTGGCTCTCAGAATTCCAGAATATACTTCCATATAAAGTTAGTCTCCTAAACTGAAGTGAAATATACATAGCAACCTTTGCTGGTTCTGAGACCTGGCACACTTCCCCCTTTCCTCCCTGTTTTTCTGGATCCCATTTTTAACTCCCATATCACAATAATTTCCTTCCTCTTCTTCTAGAAATCCGCACTGTTCTCTTCTCTTCACTCTTCATTAACCTGCATTGCCTCTTCATACAGCTGTTCTCAGTTCTCTTGTGGGTTTTGTCCACCAATTTCCCCTTAAGAGTACAAAACCACAAATTAAAGCAGACGTTGAATGAAAGTTCTAGGTTTTTCAGAAACTCTTATATGAAAGGCTGTTTTTCTTTTCTTATAAATATTTCTGGATAAGAGGGAATGTCCCTGTTATAATGATGTAACATTAGCTTAGCAAAAAGAAAATAAAAGGCTGTTCCATTTTACTCTGAGGCTATTAAAACATTTTTAGGTGAAGAGAGCCACTGATGACGAAAATGCACCAAGACCGCAACCAAGTCTGTGGAGACCAGGCTTTTCTGTTTATGCAGAAGTCTGTCTTCTGGCAGGAGATTTATCTGCAGAGCAATGCGCATTGCAAGATCACAATTCCTAATACAGCAAAGACTTTTACAAAATTTATTAATTTAACTTAGTTAATTCAGAAGAAGAAGACAATGGCAGTTTAGTTCCGTTTCTTCTCTTTCCAGTTGGTGTACTCTGCACTGAGTAGGCTCATTTAGAATTTGAACACTTCCTGAGGATTAGGATCCATGAAACAAGAACATTAAACCTAGATAAATAACAAATTTGAATCATTAGTCATTAATGTGAGTATCTAAAGGTCTGTCATATAACAGCTTGTCACAGTTAATCATGAAGCTGGTGATTATGAAACCTTTAAAGATCAAAGACACATTCAAATAAAACCTCATATAAATGGAAATTCCAGCTAAGCCTGTTCAAAGGGTTATAATGAGCTCAAATTACTGTGATTCCATGTGAAGCAAGCTACATGTTGCACTGATGATGCTAGGACACCACACCAACTTTTTAGATAGCCACCAAGACACCTGGACCGGGAGTCCTGCCAGAGCATTAGGGTGGTTTCACACACTGACTCAATGTGCAGTCTGGGACCTGTGGAAAAGGCTCCATGTGACTCTGTGTCTGTGTGAGTCATACATATTTGTGCACATAGGCAGGCAGGTCAACATCTTGGCAATGACATTGTATTCTTCCCTTAAATCTATAACTTCAATCTAGTCATGAGAAAATACCATACAAATTCAAATCAGTGGACATTCTACAAAATAATTGACCAATTTTAATTAAAAGTCTCAAGATCATGAAAGACTAGGAAAGACTGGGCACGTGTTACAGATTAAAGGAGACTAAAGAGATAAGACAACTAAGTGCAATGTGGGATCCTGGATTGATTCTTGAAACAGAAAAATAATATTAGTAAAAGATTGTTGAAATCTGAAGCTTAGTTAGTAATACTGTACCACTATAAATTTCTCAGTTTTGATAACTGTGCCACAATTATGTATGTTGTGTATATTACTGGGATGAACAAAATATTTTTCAAATGCATTCAGACCTATGAAGTAAATACTTAGGAAAACAAAAAGTAGGATATAACAAGTGTAAGTAAAATAGGACCCAATTTATTCATGATGTAACATGACTGGCATAAGCAAATGAGACTTTACAGTGAAGAAAAAGAATAATGGCTGAAGAGAAAGAGCCTGTCATTACTTAGGCAAGACTCTACTGGAAAAGCACTGATCAGTCTAGAAATCACATCTGGTTTTTATGGCCAAAATATTCCCAGGGAGCATGTAAGACCTGACGATTCAGTCAGATTTTCTGGATTCAGACAGTGGCTCCACAATTCAATAGCTCCCTGCACTTCTGTCTTTTTTTTCTATAAATGGATATAATAATAGAAACTTCACTGTCTGCTTTGGTCACTGTATGACTCAGGTGTTTTCCATTACTCAGGTGTTTTCCAGTGAGACAAAATCAGTGGAATTACATTTTATCATTTATTGTGATCCCTCAAATCTTTTTAAGTTAAAAAGCTTTTCAGACTTCGTAACTGCACGAGCTAATCCTTCAAATACATCATTAGAGGGATTAGCTCATGCAGTTATGAAGTCTGAAAAGCCCCTCCCATGCCACATGCCATCTGTAAGCTGGAGACCCTGGGATGCTGGTAGTGTGGCTCACTCAAAGTCTGAAGCTCCCCACAGAACCAGAGAAGCTGATAATGTAACTCTCAGTCCCAGACCAAAGTCCTGAGAACCTGGTGGCTTCTGGTTTAAGCCCTAGAGTACACAGGTAGGGGAGCTTGGAGTTGTTGTCCAAGGACAGGGGAGAAAGAGTTCATCCCAGTTCCAGCAGATAGACCCACAGATAGAGTTTTTGTTTTCTTTGGACTGTAGAGCAGATTGCATGGTGCCTGCTTACATGGAGGTCGGATCTTACCCACCTAGAGCACTGATAATCTCCCCTGGAAACACCTTGGGATACACCCCAAAATAATGCTTGACCAGGTTGCTAGGTATTCCTAATGCAGTCATGTTGACACCTAAAATTAACCATCAGACACAATGATATCTACAGTGATTAAATGGAACTGAGCACTGGTAAGTTTTCAATAAATATGAAAAATGTGGGTGTTTGAAATGGGGTAAAATGAGGACTGATTTGTAAGTGTTACAACAATGCATGGCTTACAATAAACACCTTCTAGAATTTAGCGATTTTATTCTTCTTATTGACACTCTCCTCATTATTTAACTATTGAGTTGAGGGAAGCATCCTTTGAAATTATTCATTTCCTTGCTTCTTGTGACAGTGATGACAAGAAAATGATTACTGTTCTGAGTTTATTAATCCACTAAGAAAGAACTTAGTGCAATTAACACCCGTTATCCAGAGAGAATACTGTACTCTCAAAAATTTACCATTTGTGTGTAAACTCTGTTGACTTGGTTGATATGTCCTCAACTATGTGAAGGCTGGATTTCCCAAATCTGAAGGCCAGCCCCTAGACCAGGAATGATGACTTTTCCTTGGGCATATGCCCATCTACTGCTTTTGACCTACATCCTTGTCCAATTTCAATTCCTCTCTACCTCATCTCATAATCACCTCTTGGTTAGGCAGAATTTAGCCAAGTTATATTTGTCATTTTTTTCCCAGTGGAATAATGTTGTTTTGTTACATATTTTTAAAATTAAAATAAAATACAGTTAACATAATATTTACCATATTAACCATTTTTAGGTATACAGTTCAATAGTGTTAAATGTATTCCCGCCATTGTGGAACTAATCTCCATACTTTTCCAACCTGCAAAACTGAAATTCTATGCTCTTTTAACAGCACCTCCACATTCCTTCTGGCTCCCTCCACACCTCAGCACCTGGCAACCACTATTCTACTTTCTGTTTCTATTAATTTGATTTCTCTAGATACCTCATACAAGTGGAATAATATAATATTTGTTATTTTGTGACTGGTTTATTCACTTAGCATAATGTCCTCAAAGTTCATTCATGTTGTAGTATGTGTCAGAATACAGGTGAATAATATTTTATTATACATATATATCATATTTTGCTGAATAATATAATGCAGTATAATATTACATTGTATAAGGTTGAATAATATTCTGTACTATGTTTAATAGAATGCATATAAGGCTGAATAATATTCCATTATATGCGTATACCACATTTTATTTATCTATTCATCCATCCATTGACGAGCACTTGGGTTTCTTCCACCTTTGGCTATACTGATGAAAGCTTTTACAAACATTATGTACAAATATATCTTCAAACGCTTATTTAAAAAATTCTTAGGACATATACTCAGAAGTGGAATTGCTGGATTATATGGTAATTCTATTTTTAATTTTTTGAGGAACATTGTGCTGTTTCTCATTGCAACCAGGCTGCACGATTTCACATTCCCATCAACAGGGCACAAGGGTTTCAGTTTCTTCATATCATTGCCAACTCTTGTAATTTATTTCTATCTATACCTATACAATATCAACATCTATATCATCTATTTATATAGTAACCCCCTGATGGATGTGAAGTGCTATCTCATTGTGATTTTGATTTGTATTCCCTAACAGTTAGTGAGGTTGAGCATCTTTCCATATGTACCTTAGTCTGTTAGAGCTGCTATAACAAGTACCAACAACCTGGTAATTTACAAATAAGAGAAATTTATTTCTCACAGTTCTGGAAGCTGGAAAGTCCAACATCAAGGCCCCTGCAGATTCTGAGTCCACTAAGGGCCCATTTCTTGGCTCAAATGATGATGTCTTCTCATGGTATCCTCACATGCTGGAAGGAAATTTGGCTCTCTGGGGTCCCTTTTATAAGGGGGCTGATCCCATTAATGAGGGATCTGTCCTCATGGTTTAATCTCCTGCCAAAATGCCCACCTTCTAATACCATCACCTCAGTGTTAGGATTTCAGCATAAGAATTTAGGAGGAACATTCAGACCATAGAAATATACTAGTTGAACATTTGTATGTCTTCTTTAAATAAATGTCTATTCAAATCTTTTCCCTTTTAAAATTAAGTTAAATGCTTTTTTTTTATTATACTTTAAGTTTTAGGGTACATGTGCACAACGTGCAGGTTAGTTACATATGTATACATGTGCCATGTTGGTGTGCTGAACCCATTAACTCATCACGTTGTTGATTGTAGAAGTTCCTTATAGATTCTGGCCATTACTCCTTATTAGATATATTATTTGCAAATACTTTCTTCCATTTTTAAGATTGCTCTTTTAACTCTTTTGATTGTATCTTTGAGACACAGAAGCTTTTAATTTTGATGTAGTTTCCTTTATCTATTTTTACATTAGTTGCCTATGCTTTTGGTATCATATCCAATAATTCCATTGTTAAATCCATTGTTATAAAGCTGTTCTTGTAGGTTTCTTCTAGGAGTTTCATGTTTTCAGGTATTATGTTTAGATGTTTAATTCAATTTTAATTACTTTTTGTATGTAATGTAGGAGTTCAACTTAATTCCTTTCTATGTCCATAACCAGTTTTTCCAACACTGTTTGTTAAAAAGACTATTTTTTCCCATGGTGTACCTGTCTTAGTGTGTTTTCTGTATGGGGTAGGAGAGAGGGCAAAGGTGAGAGATTTGTTAATGAATGCCTTTTATTTCTTTCTTTTGAATCATCCAAAAAATGGATAATAAAATTTATTTGTTTTATTAAAAACTGATTCTTTCTGATATGTACCCTGATATACTCATGCTGGTTCTATACTAGTGTCACCTAAATATCATCAAATGATTGAAGCTTAGGTTTCTCAGTTGTAGAAAAACGATGTCCCAACTCCTTACATTTCACACACACATTCTGTGAATTTGGTCTCTCCTTGACAAGGCCAAAAAAATGAAGGATTAATGATATGGGGAACAAAGGGCTACTAACCTCAAAAAGGTAGCATGGTATGTTTTCTGATTGCTGTGAGCTGTGTGAACTAGGGAAATGCTTATCTCCTTCATCTAGTGAATCAACCACAGTAGGCAAGCTGGGCTGAGTCTGGCATTAAAGCCAGACTTTCCTTGGTAAGCAGCTCTTTAAAACCCTTCACTTCTGTGCAAGAACTGCATAATATTCTTCCATTTTAGTCATCAAAGGTCTCTTCAGCACTCAAAACTCGACTATTGGATGGAAAGATACAGAAGAGGATTCTTTACTGGACTCTATCAGTACACACGATTAATTCCAGTCTGAGCTGGAGGTAAGAAACAGTGCTGTCATCTTTGGGAATGAGATCAGCATGCTGGCCTGAAGAAGGTCTCCTGATAAATTAGTGAAGTCCTAAAGGAGATAAGTCAGACCTTACATGGTGGTACTATCAGTAGACCAAAAATTGTTAGGTGCTTTTTGTTTATTCTTAAACTCACAAAATAGCTCAAGGGTTAAAAATAAATAGGCTTCCAAGGGTCTACAAGTGATAGATTAATATTTATTTTAACATATTTCTCTGCATTAATCCTTAGACTTTGTTTTTCCATTGGGAGGACAGATCTACTCCCTTATAATTTTTTTTTAAATTGTCTACTTAGAATCTAAAGTCAGTCAGTTAAATTTACTTGTAACATCTTTGTTGCCCTTGTTCGTATCTATTCCTTGGCTGTTTAACAGGCCCTTTTGCACAAGCCAGTGATCTCAACCCTCCGTAAGGGTTTCACCTTGGATTGCTGGCATGTTTAGAACAGTTCATCCGTCCAGATTTTACACAATGAGTGTAATACAAATAAAGGTTTGTTGAAAATGATTGAATTAATTTTTTAAAATTTCTATTTTTCTTTTTAATAATTGACAGATAATTGTATCTATTAATGGCAAACATAGTGATGTTTTAATACTCACGTAGTGATCAGATCAGGGTAATTAGCATATCCATCATCTCAAACATTTATCATTTCTTTGTGTTGGGAACAGTCCTCCAAGTGTCCTCCTTCTAGCTATTTACAGCTATATAATATGTTACTGTAAACTAGATCCTACAGTGGTATAAAACAGTGGTCCCCAAACCTTTTTGGCACCAGAGACTGGGTTTGCAGAAGGCAATTTTCCCACTTCCACAAACTGGGGCGTGGTGGTTTTGGAACAAAACTGTTCCACCTCAGCTCATCAGGCATTACTTAGATTCTCATAAGGAGCACACAACTAGATTCCTGGCATGCGCTGTTCACAATAGGGTTTGATCCATGAGAATCTGATGCCATGGCTGATCTGACAGAAGGCAGAGCTCAGGCAGTAATGCTTGCTCGCTCATGGCTCATCTCCTGCTGCACTGCACTGTGGCCCAGTTCCTAACAGGCCATGGACCGGTACCAGTCTATGGCCTGGGGGTTGGGGACTCCTGGTATAAAACACTAGACCTTAACTTCCTATCTAGCTGTAATTTCGTCCTTTATCACATTTACCATTTGCCCCAAGAAATGAGTGCTGGTCATAAGCTGCACTGTTTTCTAAATGGGAAATTGGTTAACAAATTTCTCACTGTCACTTCCTTGCTTCTGGTAGCCTCTGTGTTCTACTTTTTACTTCTATGAAATCAACTTTTTTTTGAGCTTCCAGATATGAGTTAAAACATGCAGTATTTAATGTTCTGCTCCTGCCTCATTTCTCTAAACATAATGTCCTCAGTTCCATTCATGTTGCCACAAATGACAGGAATTCATTCTTTTCATGGCTGAATAGTATTTCATTCTTTATATGTACCACATTTTGTTTATCCATTCATCTGTTGTTGGCAAACTAGGTTAATTTCACATCTTGGCTATCAGGAAGAATGCTTCAATAAACATGGGGATGCAGATGTCTCTTATATATAACGATTTTCTTTCCTTTGGATAAATGTCCATTCATGTTACTGCAAATGACTGAATCTCACTCTCTTTTATGGCTGAATAGTACTGTCTTTTTCCTCAGGATTCTTTGTCTATTAGTGGTCTTTTGTGGTTCCATAAAATTTTTAGAATTTGTTCATTTCTATAGAAAATGTCATCGGTATTTTGTTAGGGATTGCATTGCATTGAATCTGTAGTTTGCTTTCAGTGGTAGTCTCATTTTAACAATATTAATTCTTCCAAGCTGCGAGTACGAGATGTCTTTCTACTTGTTTATATCCTCTTAAATTTCTTTCATTAGTGTTTTGAAATTTAGCTTCTGGAGCTCTTTAACTTCCTGGTTTAGACATATTACTGGGCGTTTTATTACTTTTTTATGGCTACTGAAATCAGGAAGCCTTCTTGATTTTTTTTCCAGCTAGTTTTTCATGTGCAGAGACACCACTGATTTTTGTATGTTAATTTTGTATCTTGCAAAGTTACTGAATTCATTTATCAGTTCTAAGGGTTATTTTGGTAGCATCTTTAGGTTTTTCTAGATATAAGATTATGTCACCTGCAAACAGAGACAACTTGACTTCTTCCTTTCCAACCTGGACGCCCTGCACCCAAATCTTTAGGTTTTACTATAAGTAAAATTATGTCATCTGCAAACAGAGACAATTTGACTTCCTCTTTCTAACTTGGATGCCCTGCACCCAGGTCTTGGGTCTGCAAAACAGCCCCTTGGGCTACCTATATCAGATTCACCAGCAGGCTGGCTGAGCAGCACCGTGCCTAGTGCTGGGACCTTAGTGTCCCAGACTTTAGAACACTGGATGGTCCATATTAAGCATGCAATAAAACTCAGTGTTACATTAAGAGCAGCTATTTTTTGGCTTACCTAATCCCCCGTCTTTTAATTCTAGGTGTCTAAAAGCAAGCATTTCATTGCCTGAGTGGATTTGTTAACCAGGTAGAATATTCAGGCAAGGCTAATATCCATTATTCTGCCAAAGAGCATCCTGAGCACCCTAAAGATGGAGCCATTTTCCTGCCTTTGTGTGTGTCAACATTGGCCTTCATTCGTCCCTGCTGCCAGAGTCCCTACTTCCCAATTTTGCTGCATTATATTTTGTGAACTTACACTTGGTGATTGTGTAGGTGGAAAATCACTTCTCTTCTTTCACTTTAATGACAAAAAAACTCAATATCACTGGTCATTAGAGAAATTCAAATTAAAACACAATGAATACTATTTCACACCAATCAGAATGGCTATTATTAAGATGTCAAAAAATAAGTGCTGGTGAGGTTGCGGAGAAAAGGGAACAATTATTCACTGTCGGTGGGAATGTAAATTAGTTCAGCCGTTGTTGAAAGCAGTGTGGCAATCCCTCAAAGAGCTAAAAGCAGAACTGTCATTCAACTGAGGAATCCCATTACTGAGTATATACCTAGAGGAATATAAATCATTCTACCATAGAGACACATGCACGCAAATGCTCCTTGCAGCACTATTCACGATAGCAAAGACATGGAATCAACCTAGATGTCCATCAATGACAGACTGGATAAAGAAAATGTGGTACATATGCACCATGGAATACTATGCAGCCATAAAAAAGAACAAGATTATGTCTTTTGCGGGAACATGGATGGAGCTGGCGGCTATTATCCTTAGCCAACTAATTCAGGAACAGAAAACCAAATACTGCATGTTCTCACTTATAAGTGGGAGCTAAATGACAAGAACTTACGAACACAAAGAAGAAAACAATAGACACTTGGGTATACTTGAGGGTCGGGGGTGAGAGGAAGGAGAGGAGCAGAAAAGATAACTATTGGGTACTGGGCTTAATACCTGAGCGATGAAAAGATGTATACAACAAACCCTCGTGACACGTGTTTACCTATGTAGACATGTGTTCACATGTATACCCAAACCTAAAATAAAGGTTAAAAATGAAATTAAAAAAAGAAATACTGCAAAAAGAACTAAAGGACAATGATGTGTATATATAACAAAAATTTTAGCTATGAATCATGTTGGAAAAAAAAACAATAGTAGACATCCTTTCTAAGGTGACTGGAAAACAATGTAAGTGTAGAAATCTCATTGACAATTGAGTATATTGGTCTAGAATTAATGATAAATGCACATGGGTGGAGGTATAAATTGTGACTTGTATTGCATATCTGGTAATGAGAGCATGGGAATGCAGAAAATATTTGTTTGATGGAGTCATCTGTAGTCTGTCAAACTATCTGATACCAGTGTCAGGAGGATATAAGGTTACATCTCACTACTTTCTCAGTTATATTCACACTTAGTAAACTGAGGAAGTGCTTAGGTAATGGTAAGAAAGCTAGGGAATATTTTGAGCACACCTGAAACCACCTAATACAGGAATATCTTACTGACAGAAGTAACCTATGCCCTGCCAAAGGGGGTTGAGTCGGGAAGAGTTGGATGTCAGGACACATGGCTGTGTGCATATTGTATTGATCAAGCTAGACTTTGTCACTTCAGAACATAGGGTGTCATTAGAGACATGACAATTACTTTTGAGGTGAGATGGTGCCATGAAAAGATGAAAATAATGCTGGTTTTGGAATTTAAATTCCCTCACCCATTATACCTGAAAATAACTAGGATTTGCACAATGAATATTGGCACCAACTGAAAGAGTCATTATACCAATAAGAAAAGAGTGGAAGAGAGAGCCACCTCTACTACAATCCTGGACACTTGTCCCAGGTGCAGGCCTTCCAGAAGTGAAAACTATTGTGTTCCTGATTTAAAAGGGAAACATGGTAAAAGATCTTCAGATAGCTTGAGGACCAAGATTCACACACTACACATGTAGCCAGGCCAGTAGCACCTACAAGATTTTCAGTGGCCTCCTCCATCTTTATAACAATGGTGCTAGCAATGTTCTTAGGCCTCCCTGCAGCATTCATGGCTGTGAACCACCAAAGAGCCAAGGTTTGATCAGCAGGGGAATATTTATGCTTCAGAGACAATGAGGAGACTTTCTTTCCTCCTGTCTAATGAACAGATATGACTTTGTACTTCCTGGGGGCAGTACAAAGGAACTGGATGGAGCCAGTTACAGAAGGCTGAGGCCACTGCTTTACTCCTTGAGGTGCTGTAGCAAATCTTTAATCTCTTCAGTGCAGAGGATGCCGTTGCTGCTTTGAATGAGACACTTGGTGGAAATTCCTCCCTGCATATCAGCACCAGCAGAAAGACTTGAAGACCTATTGAAATCAGGAGAAAACAGTAGAAGAAATCTCTGAGCTAAGTGAATACTTCCTGATGGCTATGAAGAGGTACTTCAAGGAACCAGTCTCTATCTAAAAGAAAAGGAATACAATGAGGCTGGGCATGGTGGCTTACCCCTGTAATCTCAGAACTTTGGGAGGCCAAGGTGGGCAGATCATTTGAGGTCAGGAGTTTGAGACCACCCTGATCAACATAGTGAAATCCTGTCTCCACTAAAACTACAAAAATAAATAAATAAATAAATAAAATAGCCGGGTATGCGGATGCACACCTGTAGTCCCAGCTGCTCGGGAGGCTGAGGCAGGAGAATCGCTTGAACCTGGCAGGTGGAGGTGGCAGTGAGCCAAGATCACACCACTGCACTCCAGCCTGGGTGACAGAGCGAGACTCTGTCTCAAAAAAAAAAAAAAAAAAAAAAAGAAAGAAAGAAAGAAAGAAAAGAAAAAAATACAATGAATGTGCCTAAGTTGTTGTCAGTAAAATATAAGACCCAGTTGTCTTTATCATAAATATGTTAAGAAAAGCCAAAATTTAGATGACCTTGTGTTTGGCAATGACTTTAGATAGAACAACAAAGACATGATCCATGATCTATTAGAGAATAAATTTGTAAACTGGATTTCATTAAAATTAAAAACTTATGCTTTTCAAAAGATGCTGTCAAGAGAATATGAAAAGCTACATATTGGGAGAAATATGTTTTCAAGGACATATCTGATAAATGGCTGTTATCTCAAATACGCAAAGAGTGGTACGTATACACAATGGAGTACTATAAAGCCATAAAAAGAATGAGATCCTGTCATTTAAAACAACAGATTCTGTATACCAAGGCAATTTTCACGGTATACAATGGCAAAAACTTTTTGTTCACCTTTAAAGTTACAGGAAAACTTGAGGTAAAAATAAATGAACTATAATTCTGTCCATTTGTTAAAACCTGTGGAACTATGCACCAAAAGGTGTGAATTTTACTGTATGTAAATTTTTAAAAACTCAACCACATTGGCAGTAGATACCAGGATTGAATCTAGATGATGACAAATTAATGTAATTGATGTATGACATAACCACTCTGAAAGTGACAAATACTCTGTCTAGCCATGTGGTGACTAGATACTTTAAGGTGAAACACAAAAGGGTTGTACACAAACACTGTATGCTAGTTGGTAGAATTGTTTCTCACAGAAATTCTAGTTAGTAGTTCCGAAACATTATGTGTATTATTAGACTTGAGTAAATAGGTAAAAATATTGTTACTAACAAAAACCAAGTATCTCAGAGTTGGAAAAAGAAGTTTCAAATAATGAAAATGGAAAGGCTAGAATTAACCTTATTGTGCTGGATTAGAATCAAAGATATTTGTATAGTCTCATGTTTGCTTTAGTCTTTACTTAGATATAGGTGTGGACAGAAATAAATATAGGTATGTGTATATAAAAAATTAGTATACGTATATGTACTACTTATATTCCTATCTCTGTCACTGAGAGGACCTAAAAGCAGTGACATCCTAGTACTGCTAAGCACATGTAGCTCTCAGATCTTGTCTTCTAAAATACCAATCTCCAATAAAAGGCATTAATACATCTTGGAGAAATGACTGATTCTTGGTCTGTGTCATGGAAATACAAGGATACTGGAGTATCTTGTGGTGCCAGAAGATGAAGAAGTATGCAAAAACAAAATGTATAGGTACATGTCAAAAGGACACAGAAGCCAGCCTTAATGAGCTTCCAATAGCCAAAGCTGGGACAACTAGAGTAACACAATAGATAATGATAGTATTTTATTATCACATAAAGAATGGAATAAATATCCATGAGTTTATACTAATATAAGTAATGAGTAAATAAATACATTTATTGGGAAGGGAGGCCAACTCCATCTTTCAAAAGCATTTCAAATAATAAATGTACAAGGAACGAGGAAAATAGAATATCATAGTCAGAACATCATAAATATAATTGCAACAGGCAAGATCTACTGTTGAATCATAAAATCAATAAGCAAAGCCTTGAAGAGAATGAGGATAACTGCATATCCTCAATGTATCTCCCTCCAAAAGATTTTTAAATTACTGTGAAGCTTTAACACATGTCAACAAAGTCTTTGATACTTCTCTTTCCATGGGGTGGAGCTTAATTTCCCTCCTTTTGAGTGTAAGCTCACATTAGTGACGTGTTACCAATATAAAGAGTATGGAAAGGAAAAATAGCAACTTTGTATTGGAGAAAACAGGCATATCCAAACTTTACCAAGTGAATAAGTTTAATATCAGCAGTAATAAGGCAACATATTGATATATATCTCCTATATCACTTGATGTGACAAGATTCACTCTATTGTATTCATCTTTTACATCTATAATTTTAATATAATAATGAGAAAATGCACTCACATCCAAATTGATGGGCATTCTACAAAAATAATTGACTAATATTCTTTAAAAAGTTTCAAGGTCATGAAAGTCAGGAAAGACTGAGCGTGTATGGCAGATTAGAGAAGAATAAAGAGAAATGACAATGAAATGCAATATGGGATCCTGGAGAGATTCCTTGAATAGGAAAAAGACATCAATAAAAAATTGAGGAAATCTGAGTGAAGTCTGAAGTTTAATTAGGGTTAGTACACCAATCTTGATTTCTTAGTTTTGATAGTTGTGCCATGGCTATGTAAGCTGTTAACCTTAGGAGAAGTGAGTGAAGGGAATAGAGGACTCTCTGTACTACATTTACAACTCTGCATATCTAAAATTGTTTCAAAATAAAAGTTAAAAAGTCCAAAATTCTTATACAGATGATTTAAATTTTTACTAGTGTATTTCATTAATTGAAATCATCATTAAATTCCCATTTTTCCATAAAAGATGTAAAATTTCATATGCCATTTTAAGTGTTTAGAAGATAGTTCTGTCTCTTACTCTTTATCCCTTTAGGGTTCTGAAAGGCTCTCTTCTTCACCAAATGTTAGTCAGGCTCCTCTGAGCTCTCTTTTTGAATAGACCATGTCTTGGAGTCCACTCTTAGTTCTGCCTGGTCCAGATGTAGCAAGAATCTTCCTAAGTCAGTTTTATGAGAATTCCTGTACCCTAGATATCTGACTGCCCTGGCTTTACTTTGGCAAAAATTCTGTTAAGTTGATTTAGCAAGGATTTTCTTAGTGATTTTCTATCCATAGACTTTCTCATTCTGCTTGTTGGCTACAAATCCAAGGCTGTCTTTGTTATATTCAGAATTGAGTTCAGATTGATCTCTCTCCCCTATTGTGATAGTTTTGGCATCTGTTGCAAGAGTCCTAAATTAAGTCTTCCTTACCGTAATACCAAGTGTCAGCATAATGTTTTTGTTTACCAGTTCCTCAAAGTAAGTCAGCGCAATCAACACAGCAGCAAACTCAGCTGACCTACAACATAAAAGGCATCAACCAGCTGAAAAGTCAGGTGATTCAGAATCTTTTGTCATCTCAGTCCTCCTCCTCTAATGCACTGGACTTCCCCATTTCCCCAGAAGTGTTTCTATTTCCACACCTTTAATCTCCTTAGAGAGCCCTTCCAGATGAGCCTTCCCTGAACTCTGCACCTTACCTTGGTTTAGTTCTAATTTAGCTCATTTCAATATCCTGATCATGACTTAGTCTTAATTAGGATTGCACTAAACAGGTAGAAATCTAAAGCACTATGGATATTTGAATAACTGAGTAGAAATATGTAGGGTTTCAAACAATTGCTTATGAATATATTTACTGCAATGAACCAAGTGTTTGACAAATACATTCAAGCATATAAAATATAATCTCAAGGAAACAAAACTAGAATATAATGTGTAAGCAAAATGGGACCCAATTTAATTGTAATGTAACATGTTGGCATGATCAAATGGGGAATTTCAGTGAAGAAGACTAGTAAACAGCTGAAGAGAAAGACTCTGTCATTACCTAGGCAGGACTCTACTGGGAAAATATTGATCAATCTAGAAATCGCTCTAGTTCTTATGACCAGAAATATTCCTGGGAGCATGTAAGAACTGAGGGCTCAGTCAGATTTTGGGTTCAAACAATGGCTTCATAATTTGATAGTTCCTTATACTTCTATTTTTTATTTTGTAAATAGGAATAACAGTAGAACCTATCAGTCTTCTTTGGTCACTGATATCTCCAGTGAATTAATGGGGGTAGACACATGGTAGGTGTTCAGTTAATATGAAAAATAAGAGTATTCATTATTGGTAAAGGGAGCATCAATTTTGTAAGTGCTAAGAACAATGTCTGACTAAAAATAAACACATTCAACAATTTAGGTATTTGGTTCCTTTTAATCACTATTTTTATTATCGAACTTTACTAGGTTGCAGAAAGTGTCCTTTGACATTATCAATTCCCTTGTTTCTTGTAAGAGATGTGATAAGAAAAATATTGATCTCTTGAGTTTATTTATACACTAAGGGAGAACTTGGTACATCATCACTTACCTATTATGCAGAGAGTATATTGTACTCTCAAATTTTTGCCTTTTTTATGTATAAACTCTTGTGGTTGGTGTGTGTCCCATGACTCTCTGTGAAGGCTGGATTCAGCAAAGCTGAAAACACACCCCTGACCAGGAATGATTACTATTCTTCCAGCCCATGCTCATTTGCTCCCTTTGATCTACATCTCTTCCACAATTTTGCTTCTGCTCTTCCCCTTCCTTTAATTTCCATCGTGACTGGAATTAATGTAGGTAAATTCTATTTCATCATTATTTTTTTCCATTAAGATATTTTTTCCTTTTAACATTTTAATCACATTTAGATACACGTTTGTTTTCTTCTTGTCTCCATTCTTTAGGATGCAAAAGTAACAACTTTTGTTTTCAATGAAAATGAAAATTAGAAACAAATATCTCTGGTGTCTGGCATGGCATGTAAAACAATTGTACAGCCCATATATGTTATCACATTTACCTCCCATCATGAACATTTAGGACAAAAATTGTTTCATTTAGTTAGATAAGAATCAACTAGTATTGGAACCTTTGCAGGTTCTTTGGAAATTTGAATTTTAATGTACAAATTTTTTTAATCCAACTGATTTTTTCTCAATTGTGTAGTCTCATTGGGTATGATATTGCTCTCAAAGGAACAATAAGTTAATTCTTGGGAGCAGGAACAAATCTTACCTATTTCAATGGTTTGTGGCCCTTTAAAGCTCAACTCTATCTGAAAAAAAACTTATCCCTTAGCATTTTTTAATTGAGTATTCTTGTGTATCACATGAGAAGCATTGACATTGAGTCCATGGAAGATACACAAAAGGTATATAAGATCAGTGCTGCAAACCTATGGCAAATGGGTGCTGTGAGTAGAGGACATTTCAAGGTTTACTAGATGACTAAGTCATATCATGAGAGGTGTCCACTGCATACATATGTGCTGTCATTTGCCATCTCGTGGATGTTGCTTATGTCTGATCCTTAGCAATTCTGAACGTGTTGTGGGCTTTGAGAATTAAAAATACTTTATATTATATTATTTAATTATACTGATATTGTTCAACACATCATTAATTGTCTCAGCACTGAAAAGAGAACAATCTTGACAATATCTGGATGAATATCTAGCAGCTACTGAAGTCAAAAGTTTTCCCCATGAAGCAAAATTAAAAGTTAAGTGCACTAACAGTTAATGTTAAAAAATAATTTAAATTTTAAGTCTTTAGCAGGTTTGAATGACTTTTAAGTATTTTATTATATTAGGTATTATTATTTGTTTTTATAACTTGTTAATTTGGTCATGTAATTTGACACATTACAATTTATATAAGTGAATAAATTATATAAAAATCACTTTAAAATTTAGATATGGAGTTAAGTTAAATATTCATGGGTTTTAAATTTAACTATTAACTTTTAGCTTAAAATGTTTAGTCATTCTTAACCCTCCATTGAATAAAAACATTAAACTTTATACTGCTTATATATAGAGATGTGTGCATAGAACATCAGCAGATATATAGTATATCTATGTTATTAAATATTAGTGGGAATTTGAATTACAGAGACATTTCTAAAAAGACTATGGGGAAGGAGAAGAGGAGGTAATAATGAAAAAGAAGTAGTTAAGAAACTGCTCTACAGCCCTGTAGAGAGAGCATAAAGGAAAACAAAAACAGAAATAGAAAATAAGAGAGGGGGCATTCAGAAAATAGAAACTAGTGTGTTCCCTATTTAAGGTTACGTACAAAATAAGGTCTTCAGATAACCTAAAATCCAGAGTTCAGAGTCACTCTCTCAGCCAGCCCAGTAGCATCTGAAACATCCCCAATGGACTTGCCCTTTAGTTTACTGATGGCTATGATGGTGCTCAGCTGCAAGTCCATCTGCCTCTGGGCTGTGATCTGCCTCAGGCCCACAGCGTGGGTAACAGGAGGGCCTTCATACTCCTGACACAAATGAGGAGAATCTCTCCTTTTTCTTACTTGAAGGACAGACATGACTTTGATTTTCCATCATCAGGTGTTTCATGGCAACCACTTCCAGAAGGTTCAAGCTATCTTCCTTTTCCATGAGATGATGCAGCAGACCTTCAACCTCTTCAGCACAAAGGACTCATCTGATACTTGGGATGCGACCCTTTTAGACAAATTCTACACTGAACTTTACCAGCAGCTGAATGACCTGGAAGCCTGTGTGATGTAGAAGGTTGGAGTGGAAGAGACTCCCCTGAGGAATGTGGACTCCATCCTGGCTGTGAGAAAATACTTTCAAAGAATCACTCTTTATCTGACAAAGAAGAAGTATAGCCCTTGTTCCTGGGAGGCTGTCAGAGCAGAAATCATGAGATCCTTCTCTTTATGAACGAACTTGCAGGAAAGATTAAGGAGGAAGGAATGAAAACTGGTTCAACATGGAAATGAGAAACATTTCCATGATTAATACATCATCTCACACGTTCATGAATTCTGCCATTTCTCATTTTTGCTATATCCATGACATGAGTTGAATCAAAATTTTAAAATGTTTTCAGGAATGTTAAGCAGCATCATGTTCAGCTGTACAGGCACTAGTTCCTTACGGATGATCATGCTGATGGATCTGTTTATCTATTTGTCTAAATAATTATTTAACTATTTATACTATTTAAAATCTTCTTTTCATGTATCATGTATTTTTACTTTGTGGTTAATATAACAATACATGTTCTTTATATTTAGTCAATATATTACTTTGCTTTTTTCATTAAATTTTTACTATGGAAAACTCCTTGTATTTGTTTATTCTTTAAAATGAAACTCCAAGCCTGATTATTTAACCTGATTAAAAAATAGATTATACGATTCAGTTACCTATTATTGGTTATAAGTCAAAATAGATTTTTCTATACCAGATTGTATGTTGTATGTTGCCTTCAGGATATAAAATTGAAAAAACAAATACATTTCCTGTTCTCATGTACCTTTGATTTTTGTGAGGAAAGAAACTTATAAACAATAATCGTTCTCAATTGATATCAGTTATGTTAAATGCTATAATGTGAGATAGGAAAAAAAAAACAATGAATTTCTCATAGAAGAGGATGGATTTAGGCATTCCAGAAATAAAAATAAAAGAAGCAATATCCTCAATAAATTGACTTCTAAACATACAATTGCAAATGTGTATTTCCAGTCAGATATATGAATTTGCAATTTTCAAGAAATACAATGCCTGAAGGTTCATAACTGGCAATGGAAAGCCCAAAAATAGAGGCAGTCATGTGGAGAGGAAAAAGAAAAGTAAAGGAAAAAAGAACCTAAAATTGATTCTGAGGACCTTCCACCTTTAAAGAGAGGGGATATAAGAGACACAAAGGAAGCAAGGGTGGAAAACTGTACATTAGTGAAGGAAAGACTTAATGGTGATAAATGTGTGTCTTGAAAATAAATGTATTTAGAAGAAGAATCAATAGACTTGGGGGAAATATGGATTAAAACTGTCCACTACATCAGAAAAATAAATGGCAGTGGAGATCTTAGTGAGAGCTGCATTGGTAGAATTAATCACTATAAACCGTATTGCAGTAGGTGGAAGCATGAATCAAAGAAGGGAAATCTGTGACAAAATAGATAAGAAATAGTTGTGAGAGGTTTCCCTTTAAGATAAAGGAAAGAAATAAGGTTAGACATGAAAAAAAAAGTGGATCACATTTCATTTTACCTGCATGGTTTATCCGTTTGAAAATATATATGTCTGCAGATTGATTTCATGCATTGAAAAGCTGTTAATATACTTAATATTTTATAATATCAAATTATAACATATAAAGTTGCAATAATTATAATTTTGATTAGTACTATGTTAATTGTCAGTAAAACCTGACAAACTTCCTTCATAAAATAAAATGGAAAACTGGATGAAAGAATCGCTTTCTCAACGCTTTAAGAAAACAAAAAAAGATTGGTCACAAGTATCAATAGCCAAATCAATCAAGTGGAAGAAACGATATCAGAGATTGAAGATCAACTTAATGAAATAAAGTGTGAAGGCAAGATTAGAGAAAAAAGAATGAAAAGAAATGAACAGACTCTAAGAAATATGGGACTACGTGAAAAGACCAAACGTACGTTTGATTCGTGTACCTAAAAGTGAAGGGGAGAATGGAACCAAGTTGGGAAACACTCTTCAGGATATTACCCAGGAGAACTTCCCCAACCTGGCAAGACAGGTCAACATTCAAATTCAGGAAACACAGAGAACACCACAAAGGTACTCCTTGAGAAAAGCAAACTCAATACACATAATCGTCAGATTCACCAAGGCTGAAATGAAGGAAAAAATGTTGAGGGCAGCCAGAGAGAAAGGTCGGATTACCCAAAAAGAGAAGCCCATCAGATCAACAGTGCATCTCTCTGCAGAAACTCTACAAGCCAGTAAAGAGTGGGGCCCAATATTCAACATTCTTAAAAGAATTTTCAACCCAGAATTTCATATTCAGTCAATCTAAGCTTCATAAGCAAAGGAGAAATAAAATTCATTACAGAAAAGCAAATGCTGAGAGATTTTGTCACCACTAGGCCTGCCCTACAAGAGCTCCTGAAGGAAGCACTAAATATGAAAAGGAAAAACCAGTACCAGTCACTACAAAAACATATCAAATTGTGAAGACCATTGAAACTATGAAGAAACTGCATCAACTAATGGGCAAAATAACCAGCTAGCATCATTATGACAGGATCAAATGCACACATAACAATATTAACCTTAAATGTAAATGGGAAAAATGCCCCAATTAAAAGACACAGACTGGCAAATTGGATAGAGTCAAGACCCATCGGTGTGCTGTATTCAGGAGACCCATCTCACATGCAAAGACACATAAACTCAAAATAAAGGGATGGAGGAATATTTACCAAGCAAATGGAAAGCAAAAAAAAAAAAAAAAAAAAAAAAAAAGCTGGGGTTGCAATTCTGGTCTCTGATAAAACAGACTTTAAACCAACAAAGATCAAAAAGAAAAAGAAGACAAAGAAGGGCTTTACATAATGTTAAAGGGATCAATGCAACAAGAAGAGCTAACTATTCTAACTATATATGCACCCAATACTGGAGCACCCAGATTCATAAAGCAAGTTCTTAGAGACCTACAAAGAGGTTTAGACTCCCACACAATAATAGTGGGAGAATTTAACACCCCACTGTCAATATTAGACAGATCAACAAGACAGAAAATTAACAAGGATATTCAGGACTTGAACTCAGCTCTGGACCAAGCAGACCTAATAGACATCTGCAGAACTTTCCACCCCAAATTAACAGAATACACATTCTTCTCAGCATCACGTCACACTTATTCTAAAATTGACCACATAATTGGAAATAAAACACTCCTCAGTAAACGCAAAAGAATGGAAATCAAAACAAACAGTCTCTCAGACCACAATGCAATCAAGTTAGAACTCGGGATTAAGAAACTCACTCAAAACCCCACAACTACATGGAAACTGAACAACCTGCTCCTGAATGGCTACTGGATAAATAATGAAATTAAGGCAGAAGTACATAAGTTCTTTGAAACCAATTAGAACAAAGACACAGTGTACCAGAATCTCTGAAACACGGCTAAAACAGTGTTTAGAGGAAAATTTATAGCACTAAATGCCCACAGGAGAAAGCAGGAAGGATCTAAAATCGACACCCTAACATCACAATTAAAAGAACTAGAGAAACAGGAGCAAACAAATTCAAATGCTAGCAGAAAACAACAAATAACTAAGATCAGAGTGTAACTGAAGGAGATAGAGACACGAAAAACCCTTCAAAGAATCAGTAAATCCAGGAGCTGGTTTTTTGGACAGATTAACAAAATAGATAGACCGCTGGCCAGACTAACAAAGAAGAAAAGAGAGAAGAATCAAATAGACACAATAAAAAATGATAAAGAGGATATCATCACTGATCCCACAGAAATACAAACTACCATCAGAGAATACTATAAACACCTCTGTGCAAATAAACTAGAAAATCTAGAAGAAATGGATAAATTCCTGGACACACACACCCTCCCAAGACTAAACTAGGAAGAAGTTGAATCCCATTTCAGCTTTCTACATATGGCTAGCCAGTTTTCCTAGCACCATTTATTAAACAGGGAATCCTTTCTCCATTTCTTGTTTTCGTCAGGTTTGTCAAAGATCAGATGGTTGTAGATGTGTGGTATTATTTCTGAGGGCTCTGTTCTGTTCCATTGGTCTATATCTCTATTTTGGTACCAGTACCATGCTGTTTTGGTTACTGTAGCCTTGAAGTATAGTTTGAAGTCAGGTAGCGTGATGCCTCCAGCTTTGTTCTTTTGACTTAGGATTGGCTTGGCAATGCGGGCTCTTTTCTGGTTCCATATGAACTTTAAAGTAGTTTTTTCCAATTATGTGAAGAAAGTCATCAGTAGCTTGATGGGGATGGCATTGAATCTATAAATTACCTTGGGCAGTATGGCCATTTTCACGATATTGATTCTTCCTACCCATGAGCATGGAATGTTCTTCCATTTGTTTGTATCCTCTTTTATTTCATTAAGCAGTGGTTTGCAGTTCTCCTTGAAGAGGTGCTTCACATCCCTTGTAAGTTGGATTCCTAGGTATTTTATTCTCTTTGAAGCAATTGTGAATGGGAGTTCACTCATGATTTGGCTCTCTGTCTGTTACTGGTGTACAGGAATGCTTGTGATTTTTGCACATTGATTTTGTATCCTGAGACTGCTTAAGTTGCTTATCAGCTTAAGGAGATTTTGGGCTGAAGTGTTTGGGTTTTCTAAATATGCAATCATGTCTTCTGCAAACAGAGACGATTTGACTTCCTCTTTTCCTAATTGAATACCCTTTATTTCTTTCTCCTGCCTGATTTCCCTGGCCAGAACTTCCAACATTATGTTGAATAGGAGTGGTAAGAGAGGGCAGAACAAAAATTAATTCAAGATGAATTAAAGACTTAAATGTTAGACCTAAAACCATAAAAACCCCAGAAGAAAACCTAGGCAATACCATACAGGACATAGGCATGGGCAAGGACTTCATGACTACAACACCAAAAGCAATGGCAACAAAAGTCAAAATTGACAAATGGGATCTAATTAAACTAAAGAGCTTCTGCACAGCAAAAGAAACTACCATCAGATTGAACAGGCAACCTACAGAATGGGAGAAAATTTTTGCAATCTACCCATCTGACAAAGGGCTAATATCAAGAATCTACAAAGAACTTAAGCAAATTTACAAGAAAAAAATCAAACAACCCCATCAAAAAGTGGGCAAAGGATAGGAACAGACGCTTCTCAAAAAAAGACATTTATGCAGCCAACAAACACATGACAAAATGCTCATCATCACTGGCCATCAGAGAAATGCAAATCAAAACCAAAATGAGATACCATCTCACACCAGTTAGAATGGCGATCATTAAAAAGTCAGGAAGCAACAGGTGCTGGTGAGGATTTGGAGAAATAGGAATACTTTTATACTGTTGGTGGGGCTGTAAACTAGTTCAACCATTGCGGAGGGCAGCATGGCGATCAGAGCTAGAAATACCATTTGAACCAGCCATCCCATTACTGGGTATATACCCAAAGGATTATAAATCATGCTGTTACAAAGACACATGCACACTTATGTTTATTGTGGCACTATTCACAATAGCAAAGACTTAGAGCCAACCCAAATGTCCATCAATGATAGACTGGATTAAGAAAATGTGGCATATATACACCATGGAATACTATGCAGTCATAAAAAAGGAGGAGTTCATGTCATTTGTAGGGACATGGATGACGCTGTAAACCATCATTCTCAGCAAACTATCGCTAGGACAGAAAACCAAACTCTGCATGTTCTCACTCATAGGTGGGAATTGAACAACGAGAACACTTGGACACAGGAAGGGGAACATCACATACTGGGGCCTGTTGTGGGGTTGGGGGAGTGGGGAGGGATAGCATTAGGAGATATACTTAATGTAAATGGCGAGTTAATGGGTGCAGCACACCAACATAGCACATGTATACATATGTAACAAACCTGCACATTGTGCACATGTACCCTAGAACTTAAAGTATAATAAAAAAAAAATTGAAAAAAAAAAGAAGTCGAATCCCTGAGTAGACCAATAACAACTTCTGAAATTGAGGCAGTAATTAATAGATTACCAACAAAAAAAGTCCAGGACAAGACGGATTCACAGCCAAATTGTACCAGAGGTACAAAGAGGAGCTGGTACCATTCCTTCTGAAACTATGCCAAACAATAGAAAAAGAAGGGCTCCTCCCTAACTCATTTTATGAGGTCAGCATCATCCTAATACCAAAAACTGGCAGAGACACATCAAAAAAAAAGAAATGTCAAGTCAATATCTCTGATGAACATCAATGCAAAAATCCTCAATAAAATACTGGGAAACCAAATCCAGCAACACATCAAAGAGCTTATCCACCAAGACCAAGTCGGCTTCATTCCTGGGATGCAAGGCTGGTTCAACATATGCAAATCAATAAACGTAATCCATCACATAAACAGAACCAACGACAAAAACCACATGATTATCTCAATAGATGCAGAAAAGGCCTTGATAAAATTCAACACCCCTTCATGCTAAAAACTCTCAATAAACTAGGTATTGGTGGAATGCATCTCAAAATAATGAGAGCTATTCATGACAAACCCACAGTCAATATCATATGGAATGGGCAAAAGCTGGAAGCATTCCTTTTGAAAACTGGCACAAGACAAGAATGCTCTCTCTCATCACTCCTATTCAACATAGTATTGGAAGTTCTGTCCAGGGCAATCAGGCAAGAGAAAGAAATAAAGAGTGTTCAAATAGGAAGAGAGGAAGTCAAATGGTCTCTATTTGCAGAAGACACGAGTATATATTTAGAAAACCCTATTGTCTCAGTCCAAAATCTCCTTAAGCTGATAAGCAACTTCAGCAAAGTCGCAGGATACAAAATCAATGTGCAAAAATTACAAGCACTCCTATACACCAATAATAGAGAGCCAAATCATGACTGAACTCTCATTCACAATTGCTACAAAGAGAATAAAGTGCCTAGGAATACAACTTACAATGGATGTGAAGGACCTCTTCAAGGAGAACTACAAACCACTGCTCAAGGAAATAGGAGAGGAAACAAACAAGTGGAAAGGACCTCGTCAAGAACTACAAACCACTGCTCAACAAAATAAGACAGGAAACAAACAAGTGGAAAAACATTCCATGCTCATGGATAGGAAGAATCAATAGTGTGAAAATGGCCATACTGCCCAAGGTAATTTATAGATGCTATCCCCATCAAGCTACCTTTCACTTTGTTCACATAATTAGAAAAAACTACTTTAAATTTCTTATGGAACCAAAAAAGAGCCCATATAGTCAAGACAATCCTAAGCAAAAAGAACAAATCTGGAGGCACCACACTACCTAACTTCAAACTATACTTCAAGGCTACAGTAACCAAAACAGCATGGTACTGGTACCAAAACAGATAAATAGAACCATGGAACAGAACAGAGGCCTCAGAAATAATACCACACATCTACAACCATCTGATCTTTGACAAACCTGACAAAAACAATAAATGGGGAAAGGATTCCCTATTTAATACATTGTGTTGGGAAAACTTGCTAGCCATATGCAGAAAACTGAAACTGGACCCCTTCTTTACACCTTGTACAAAAATTAACTCAAGATCGATTAAAGACTTAAATGTAAGACCTAAAACCAAAAAAACCCTAGAAGAAAACCTAGGCGATACCATTCAGGACATAGGCATGGACAAAGACTTCAAGACTAAAACATCAAAAGCAATGGCAACAGAGGCCAAAACTGACAAATGGGATCTAATTAAACTAAAGAGCTTCTGCACAGCAAAAGAAACTATCATCAGAGTGAACAGGCAACCTGCAGAATGGGAGAAAACTGTTGCAATCCATTCATCTGACAAAGAGCTAATATCCAGAATCTACAAGGAACTTAAACAAATTTACAAAAAAAAAAAAAAAAAAAAAAAAAAAACACCAAAAAGGGGGTGAAGGATATGAACACACACTTCGCAAAAGAAGACATTTATGCAGCCAACAGACACATGAAAAAAAAGCTCATCAGCACTGGTCAGTAGAGAAATGCATATCAAAACCACAGTGAGATACAATCTCACGCCAGTTAGAATGGCAATCATTAAAAAAGTCAGGAAACAACAGATGCTGGAGAGGGTGTGGAGAAATAGGAACACTTTTACACTGTTGGTGGGAGTGTAAATTAGGTCAAACATTGTGGAAGACAGTGTGGGGATTCCTCAAGGACCTAGAACCAGAAATACCATTTGACCCAGCAATCCCGTTACTGGGTATATACCCAAAGGATTATAAATCATTCTACTATAAAGACACATGCACACATACGTTTATTGCAACACTGTTCACAATAGCAAAGGCTTGGAACCAACCCAAACGCCCATCAATGATAGACTGCATAAAGAAAATGTGGCACCTATACACCATGGAATACTATGCAGCCATAAAAAGGATGAGTTCATGTCTTTTACAGGGACATGGATGAAGCTGGAAACCATCATTCTCAGCAAATTAACACAGGAACAGAAAACCAAACACCACATGTTGTCACTCATAAATAGGAGTTGAACAATGAGAACACGTGGACGCAGGAAGGGAAACATCACACACTGGAGCCTGTTGGGGGTGGGGGCTAGGGGAAGGATAGCATTAGGAGAAATACCTAATGGAGACGACGAGTTGATGGGTGCAGCAAATCACCATGGCCCATGTATACCTATGTAACAAACCTGCACATTCTGCACATGTATCCCAGAACTTAAAGTATAATAATAAAAAACAAAACAAAACAAAACATAGGGCCCAGGCGCGGTGGCTCACGCCTGCAATCCCAGCATTTTGGGAGGCCGAGGTGGGCGGATCATGAGGTCAGGAGATCGAGACCATCCTGGCTAACGCAGTGAAACCCCTTCTCTACTAAAAATACAAAAAAATTAGCCGGGCGTAGTGGCGGGTTTCTGTAGTCCCAGCTACTTGGGAGGCTGAGGCAGGAGAATGGCGTGAACCCTGGAAGCGGAGCTTGCAGTGAGCCCAGATAGCGTCACTGCACTCCAGCCTGGGTGACAGAGTGAGACTCTGCCTCAAAAAATAAGTAAATAATAAATAAAAATACAAAATAAAATAAAAGATTGGTCAAAATCAGCCGAAAATACAACATGAACCAAGGATATACAGAGAGCAGGAGAGAGTTGTGTATAATCCAGGAATCAAAAGAGAGTTAAAATTATTGCAGAAATTCCCAATACAAAGCTTACACATTAGTTGTAAATAACAATAAAAAATTTAACATTGAAATTTCACTCTGTTTGCATGTATGTGTGATGTTGAAAAAAAGCACTTAATATCTCTGAGCCTCAGTTTCTTATAAATAGAAAGGATTAGAAATACTTACATAGTTGTTGTGATTCTTAAATGAACGCAGGCAGTTGAAAGCAGTTTGCATAGTATTCTCCATAGTGTAAGGATTTAACACATGGCAAGTATTTTTCTATTTTTCTTCACACAGTTGTAGATGAGAATATTATTTGTCTTTCTACAAAATTCATAAGAATTGTGTCCTACCATTCAGTAACTGACTTTCAATGGAGACAGCGTTAAAAAAAAAAAAAAAACAGTATTCTGTCATGAATTCTAGAAAGGTTAAAAATTTGTCGCTCCTCATTTCAAAGAAGTGTCCTATTTGCATTCAGTCAGGAAATGTTGGTTTGTATGAATACCTGAAAGAAAAGAAGCAGCATGTAGATTGAAATGCAGAAGACACATAATGCCTATTAACTGATTCTGGCACCTGGCACGTTCCTTTTCTGGCTCTCAGAATTCCAGCATACGCTCCCATATGAAGTTAGTCTCCTAAACTAAGTGAAATATACATAGTAGCCTTTGCTGGTTCTGAGACCTGGTCCACTTCCCCATTTCCTCTCTGCTTTTCTGGATCCCATTTTTCACTCCCATATCACATTAGATTCCTTTCTCTTCCTCTAGAAATTCCCACTGTGCTCTCCTCTTCACTCTTCATTAGCCTGCAGTGCCTATTCACACAGCTGATTTCTGTTCTCTTGTGGGGTTTGCCCATCACTTTCCCCTTATGAATACAAAACTGCAAATTAAAGCCGACCTTGAGTGAAAGTTCTAGTTTTTTCAGACACTCTTATATAACAGGCTGTTTTTCTTTTCTTAGGAATATTTCTGGAAAAAGAGGGAATGTCCCTTTTATAATGATGTAACAGTAGCTTTGCAAAGGGGAAATAAAAGGCAGGTTCTGTGGAGTCTTAATTCGGAAAAAAGAGTAGGGCTGGTGGGAGCAGGAGAAAGCAAAAAGAGGAAGCAGGTAGAAAACAAGCTTGCTTTTCTTTATAGTCTGGGACACACAGTCCTCCTGCTCAAATCATTCATAATATTTCTGTACCCAGCTATCAGTAGACATCTGCAAGTTAGCTCACTGCAACCTTTGTGTTATCAATACCACACAAAGCCCTCTTCAACAGACAGCATAGATTTTATCCTATAAAATCTCCAGCAAGCCTTTCTCTCCTGGCAGTCAGCTTCTCTTCCACTGGCTGCCTGTTGTCTCTCTGGCAACATATTTTCCTAATAAATTTTCTGCCTTCCTTTACCTACAACTGTCTTGGTAAATCCTTTGAGCCCCATGCCACCAGCACTCAGTCTTCCACAATAGGCTCCATTTTACTCTGAGGCTGTTAAAACATTTACAGGAAAAGAGAGCCACCGATGACCAAAATGCACCAAGACAGCGGCCAAGTCTGTGAGGAGCAGCTTTTCTGCTTATGCAGAAGTGTGTCCCTGGCAGGAGATTTCATTTCAGAGTTAAAAAGAGGCTCTTTCCTGTCAGGAACTGACCCCAGTATGGGAATAAGCACTTTTTCTTAATGTTTGTATCTTAGAGAAAATACTCCCAGCCTCAGGCACATTTTAACTTTTTTTGGCAATGGATGGCTATGTGGGGAAAAAAGGGTCAGGATGTGTTCCTTACCTCCAGCCTGGCCAGCCTCCAAGGGCCTCCTGTTCCATCCCTCCCTCTATGTATTCTGTTATATAAGGAATCAGTACAGCCAGCCAATCTGGGTGCAGAACTCCAATGGAAATCAGGAAAAAAAATCTCATTTGAAGGCACATTAGCTCTTTCTTACAAGTAAGTTGTCAGTTTTAGAAATTCTTTCCTATTCTCAGATTCTGTCCCTTGACTTTACTATCATGAGAAAATTCTCACTCTCACTTTGAATAACAAATGAGCTTGGATCAATTCCACCTTGACTCTGAGTTAGAGCACTGCCATAAGTAAAGAGATTTCAGAGACTATAATGACTCCCAATTGACACCTGTTTGCTACCTATTTGGGTAGAATTGAAGCATACTGAGGTAATCTGCTCAAAATTGTTAACTGAAGAAGTTAATCAGTAAGTGTGTGTAAATTGCCCAGGTGTGAATTCCCCAGACAGTAACGCAGGGTTTCAACTTCGCAGAGATCGCTCAAATCTCTACCTCAGATTAGAGACCCAATTTTAAATTCCTTTTCTCCTATTGATGGGTTAGAGTGCTCTGATTTACATATTAAACAATGTTTGTTCCTATCTTTTCTTTCCTCTTCAATCACTTGTTGGGAAACCAGGATAGGAGCAGGGTGACATGCATATTTTTTGATAAACCTGACTCTGTCTTTGTGATTCCCTAACACCTTTCAATTGTGATTCCCTAACACATTTCAAATGTGATAACCCCTTCCATTATTTGGTTGCTGTTGTTTTTTTAATGTAACTTACTTTCATTATATTTTCTGGATGCAAATTTTTTATGACTTGGCTCCACACTGATATCTTGTCCTGGAACAGTAAGCTACAGCCATATATTTTTTATATCCTGGAGCTATTGTCAATGAAAAGAGTCAAATTTCATAAAATATTTGAAGAGATTTATTCTGAGCCAAATATGAGTGACCATTGCCTGTGACACTTGGCTCAGGAGATCCCAAGAACATATACCCGAGGAGGTTGGGGTGCAGCTTGGTTTTATATATTTTAAGGAGACATGAGACTTTAATCAAATACATTTAAGAAATACATTGGTTCAGTCCAGAAAGGTGGGACAGGTCGAAGCATGGGGGCTTCCAGGTTATAGGTAGATTTAAAATTTTTCTGACTGGTAATTGGTTGAAAGAGTTATTATTAATAGAAAGGAAAGCCTGGGTTGCAATAAGTTGTAGAGACCAAAATTTTATGCAGATGAAGCTTCCAGGTAGCAGGCTTCAGAGAGAATAGATTGTAAAAGCTTCTTATGAGACTTAAGTTCTGTGTTGATGTTAATGCCAGGGAGAGTTCCAATGAAGCATGTCCAACTGTCATGCCTGAACCAGTCTTTCAGGTTAAATTTTAAGAATACCCTGTCAGAGGAGGAAGTTCATTCAGGTGGTTTGGGGGCCTTATAATTTTATGTTTATAATTTACATGTTATATATGCTACAGTATTGGGGAACTGAGTGGCAAATCTGGAGGAACCTGGGCAGGGAGTGCAATGGAGTGCATGAGCACTGAGGTGGCTGACCCTTGCCCCCAGGTCCTGCTGCGAACTTCACTTTACTTCCTCCACCCCCACCCCAGGTAAAGTGCATCTAGTAAACCTAAAAAGGGCATGGAGAGCCCCCTGGTGCACAGGAAGACTTGGCTAAGGATCAATCACTATGCAGCACCAGCTGGAGACAGCCAAGTTTCTGAAGCCTCAGGGCAAGGGGTGAGCATGGCTTTGCTTCTCCTTCCTGCCAGGTGATTCATGAGCTACAAGGGTTACAACCCAAGGAAGTCCAATTCAGCACAACCATGGTTAGTGGAAAGCACCCTGCCCACAGATCTGCACCCAAAGAGCTGGTAGGAATGCAAAAACTCATCTGTGCTTCTATTCAAAAGTTTCCAAATTCTAATTCCACTTGAAGAGACTGCAGAAGACCCAGGGCTCTCATTTGTTTAAAAATCTAAAGCTCACAACATTAACTTGAAGAAGGTACTCAAGAGCTGGAACAATTCCAGTGGGAGCACTAAGTCAACTGTTCAGATCATTGCAATTAGGAGAGAAGATTAAAGTGGTTGCTAAGAGCACAGAGTTTCCTCATGGAGATGTGGCCAACATCAGTGTCTTCAGCATAGGTTACCCTGATACCACAGCAGACTGAGAGTATTGAAAGGGGCAAGGGTTATTCCAGTGTCAGCTGTAAAATTCTGTTTCCTCCCTAGGACTCAGTAAGTTATCACAGTGCAGGAAAAATTATTCATAGGGCCAATGAAATCCAAGACATCTCATGAATTCTGGTCACAATGGAGACTTCGTTTAAAAACAAAACAAAATGAAACAACACCTGAACAGAAGACATAAAGGCAGGTATCTCCCATAAGGAAAGATGTGATTAATGTAGACATTGCAAGATCACAATTTCGAATGCAGCAAAGACCTTTGCAAAATTCATTCATTTAACTTAGTTGAGAAGACAATGACACTTTAATTATCTTTATTTTCTTTCCAGTTGGTGCACTTTGCACTAAGTAGTTACATTTAGAATTAGAAACCCTTCCTGAGGATTAAGGTTGTTAAAAGAAAAACTTCAGCCAAATTAAATTGAAAGGAGTTTAATTGAGCAACGAACGATTCATGAATTGGGTAGCCCCCAGAATCACAGCAGATTCAGAAAGACACCAGGGTTGCCTTGTAGTCAGAACAAATTTATAGACAAAAAAAGTAAAATGACGTACAGAAATCAGAAGTGAGCTACAAAAACAGCTAGATTGGTTACAGCTTGGCATTTGCCTTATTTGAACACAGTTTGAACACTCAGCAGTGTATGACTGGTTGAGGTATGGCTGCTGGGATTGGTCAAGACTCAGCTATTGATACAGACTCATATTCTTAAGTTAGGTTTTCAATCTTGTCTACCTATTAAATTAGGTTGCAGTTCATCCACAAGGACTTAAATATAGAAGTATGGAGTCCTTCTCAAGCTGTATTTAGTTTGCTCTAACAGGGTCCATGAAACAAGGATATCAAACCTAGATAAATAATATATTAGAACTATTAGGCATGAATGTGAGTAGCTAAAGTTTTGTTATATAGCAGCCTGTGACAGTTAATCATGAAACTTGTGACAATTAAGTCTTTAAAAAGTCAAAAACACATGCAAACACAAACCTTATGTGAATGGAAATTCCACCTATGCCTTTTAAAAGGGTTGCTGTGATTCCATGTTAAGCAAGCTGTGTCCTGCACTAATAGCACTAGGGTACCACACCAACTCCCTCAATAGCCATCAAGACACCTAGACATGGGTATATGCACAAATGAACTGAATGTGCACTCTGGGACCAGGGGAAAGAGCTTCTTTTGTCTCTGTGCCTGGGTAGGTCATACATGTTTGTACACATAGGCAGGCAGGCCAAGATCTTGGCAATGATGGGGTATGCTTCTCTTAAATCTGTAAATTCAATGTTATCATGAGAAAATACCACACATATCCAAATTGATGGACATTCTACAAAACAGCTGATCAATTTTATTTAAAAGCCTCAAGATAATGAAAGACTAGGAAAGACTGAGCATGTGTTATAGATTGGAGGAGACTAAAGAAATAAAACAAATAAATGCAGTGTGGGATCCTGGATTGATTCTTGAAACAGAAAAATAATGTTAATGAAAAAAACGGATGAAATCTAAAGTTTAGATGGTAATATAATATCAATGTTAATTTATTTGTTTGAATAATTGTACCATGATTATGTTGTGTATATTACTGGGATGAACAAATTATTTTTCAAATGTATTTGAATTTATAAAGATAAATTCTCAAGGAGACAAAACTAGGATAGAACATGTGTAAGTAAAATAGGGCTCAATATATTCATTATGAAACACATCTGGCATAAGCAAATGGGACTTTACAGTGAAGAAGCATAACAGCTGAAGAGAATGACTTTTTTATTCCTTAGGCAGGACTCTACTGGAAAAGCATTGATCAGTCTAGAAATCACCTCTGGTTCTTTTGACCAAAACATGTCCCAAGAGCATGTAAGAGCTGAGGATTCAGAGTCAGATTTTCTGCATTCCAACAGTGGCTCCACAATTCAATAACTCCCTATACTTCTGTATTTTCTTCTGTAAATAGGAATAATAATATAACTTACCACTGTCCGCTTTGGTCACTGTGCTACTCACGGTTCTCCAGCAAGACAAAATCAGTATATATATGTATATAGATGTAATAAATATATATAATAATTACATATAATAAATATGGAGACCCTAGGATGCTGGTAGTGTGGCTCAGTTCAAGTCTGAAGGCCTCAGAATAAGGGAAGTGGATAATGAAATTCTCAGTCCCAGGCCAAAGTCCTGAGAACCGAAGGGCTTCTGGTTTAAGCCCTGGAGTCCAAAGATCGGGGAGCTTGGACTTGTTGTTGAAGGACAGGGGAGAAAGAGTGCATCATGGTTTCAGTGGATAGATCCACGCATCTGTCTTTTATCAGTTTCGTTCTCTCTAGATTCCCAGCAGATCACATGGTGCCCACCCACACTGAAGGTGGATCTTCCCCACTTAGCCCATTAAGACACATATGCTAATCTCCTCTGGAAACACCCTGGGATACACCCCAAAATAATGCTTGACCAAAATTGCTAGGTATTCCTAATGCAATCAAGTTTACACCTAAAATTAACCATCAGAGACACTGATATCTATAGGGACTAAATGGAATTGGCCACTGGTACACATTCAATAAATATGAAAAATGCAGGTATTCCTCATGAGGTGAAATGAGGATTAATTTGTAAGTGTTAACAATGTGTGACTGACAATAAACATTTTCTAGAATTTAGCTATTTCATTCTTCGTATTAACACTATTCTCGTTATTTAATTCTGTTAAGTTAAACAATGTGGGAGAAGCATTGTTTGAAATCATGTATTTCCTTGCTTTTTGTGACAGTCACAACAAGGAAATTATTGATCTTCTGGATATATTAATCCACTAGGAAAGAACTTAGTGCAATTAACACTTACCTATTATCCACAGAGAATACTGTACTTTCAAAAATTTACCTTTCTGTATATAAACTCTTGTGACTTGGTTATGTCCTTCTTAACTCTGAAGCCTAGAATAATCAAATCTGAAAGCCAACCCCTAGACCAGGAATGATGACTTTTCCTCGAGCCCATGCCCATCTGCTGCTTTTGGTCTACATCCCTTCTCCAATGTTGATTCCCCTCTACCTCATCCTTTAATCACTGCTTGGCTGGGCTGAATTTAGCTAAGTTATATTTTAGCATTGTTTTCCAAGGAATAATGTTGCCCTTGTTACCTATTTTTAAAATTAAGATAAAGTACAGTTAGCAGAAAATTTACCACCTTAACCATTTTTTGGTATACAGTTCAGTAGTATTAACTGCATTCACAGCATTATGGAACTAATCTCCAGACTTTTCCATCTTGCAAAACTGAAATTCTATGCTCCTTAAATAACATCTCTCCACTCCTTCCAGCTCCTGCCATCCCTAAGCCTCTGGCAACCACTATTCTACTATCTGTTTTTATGAATTTGACTACTCTAGATACTTCATATAGGTGCAATCATACAGTATTTGCTATTTTGTGACTGGCTTATTTCACTTAGCATAATGTACTCAAGGTTCATCCATGTTGCAGCATGTGTCAGAATAAGATTGAATAACATTTCATTATATGTATATACCACATTTTACTGAATAATATTATGAAAAATAATACTCCATTGTAAAAAGCTGAATAATATTCCATGATGTGTTTAATGGAATGCATATAAGGCTTAATAATATTCCATTATATGTATACACTACATTTTATTTATCTATTCATCCATCCATTGATGAGCACTTGGATTACTTCTACCTTTTGGCTACAGTAAAGAAAGCTTTTATAAACATGGTATATAAATATTTCTTCAAACCCTGCTTTGAAAAATTGTTTGGGATATATACCCAGAAGTGGAAATTTTGGATTATATAGTAATTCTATTTTTAAGTTTTTAAGGAACATCACACTGTTTTCCATTACAACTATGCTACATCATTTTATATTCCCACAAACAGGGCACAAGTCTTTCCATTTCTCTACATCATGCCAACTCTTGTTATTTGGGGTGTTTTTTAAAGTACTAACCACCCTGATGGATGTGAAGTGATATCTCATTGTGATTTTGATTTGTATCCCCTAACAGTTAGTGAGGTTGAGCATCTTTCCATATGTGCCTTAGTCTGTTAGAGCTGCTATAACAAGTACCATCAACTTGGTAATTCACAAATAAGAGAAATTTATTTCTTACAGTTCTGGAAGCTGGAAAGTCCAACATCAAGGCCCCTGCAGATTCTGAATCCACTGAGGGCCCATTTCTTGGCTCAAATGATGGTGTCTTCTTGAGGTATCCTCACATGCTGGAAGGAAAGTTGGCTCTCTGGGGTCTCTTTTATAAGGGTGCTAATCCCATTAATGAGGGATCTGCCCTCATGGTTTAATCTGCTGCCAAAATGCCTACCTTCTAATACCATCACTTCAGTGTTAGGATTTCAGCATAAGAATTTAGGAGGAACATTCAGACCATAGAAATATACTAGTTGGTCATTTGTATGTCTTCTTTAAATAAATGTCTATTCAAATCTTTTCCCTTTTTAAATTAAGTTAAATGCTTTTTGTTGTTGATTGTAGAAGTTCCTTATAGATTCTGGCCATTACCCCTTATTAGATGTATTATTTGCAAATATTTTCTTCCATTTTTAAGATTGCCTTTTTAACTCTTTTGATTGTATCTTTGAGACACAGAAGTTTTTAATTTTGATGTAGTTTCATTTATCCATGTTCAGGAAATAATTTTTCAAGTTTTAAAAAAGGTTTTGAATGACTTTTAAGTCTACCATTGTATCAGTGTTATAAATGTGTATTTATAAATTTTTAATTTGTGATGATGAGGATGTGGAGAAAAGGGAAATCTCGTACACTGTTGATTGGAATTTAAATTAGTACAACCACTATGGAGAACAATTTGAACATTCCTCAGAAAACTAAAAATCAGGCCACCTTATGATCCAGCAATCCCAAAGCTGTATATGTACACAAAAGAAAGGAAATCAGTATGTCCAAGAGATATCTACACTACTATGTTGCAGCACTGGTTACAACAGCTAAGATTTGGAAATAACCTAAGTGTCCACTAACAGATGAATGGTAAAGGAAATGTAGTTCATACACACAATGCAGTACTATTCAACCATAAAAAATAATGAGACCCTGTCATCTGAAAAATGCAGATATCCCTCATCAGATGAAATGAGGATTAATTTGTAAGTGTTAATAATGTGTGACTAACAAACACCTTCAATCTTCGTTGAATCCCCTGTGACCAGCTCAGCAACTTGAAGCATAAGAAGTGTTCAATGATTTAATGAATTAATCTCAACATAGACATCAACATTTGGCAAAATAAAATTACTTTTATTCTTTATAACAAGAGGGAAAAATTACTGATAATGTATACTAAGGTATATAAAAATTAGGAGTTTCAGGATGGGCATGATGGTTCATACCTGTAATCCCAGCTCTTTGGGAGACTGAGGTGGTCAGATCACTTGAGGTCAGAAATTTGAGACCAGCCTGGCAAACATGGTGAAACCCATTCTCTGCTAAAAAAGGACAGTAACAACAAAAAATTAGCTGGGTGTGGTGGCATACACCTGTAGTCCCAGCTACTTGGGAGGCTGAAGTGGAATAATTGCTTGAACCAGGAGGCAGAGATTGCAGTGAGCCAAGGTCACACCACTGCCCTCCAGCCTGGGTGACAGAGTAAGACTCTATCTCAAAAAAAAAAAAAAAAAAAAGGGATTAGGAGTTTTACGTAATTTTGGAACACACACCAATAGCACATTGATAAAGGGCAGATTAATGCTTTAATAAAACTGTTTGCTTTTATTTTAATGCTCAATTTAAATGAAAATTGAATAATACCCCTTTAACTTTAGCCAATATGATTACACACAGAATTTCTTCTGCAAGATTAATATTTCAGAAACCTTCCACAACTTGGTTAAACCTTTAGCTTTATCCTATCTAAATTAAAACAATCCTTAAATCCTCTAAACAAGACAAAAATCCACATTCCCATGCCTTTTTATAATCTTTTACCAAAAGCACATTTGACTTTCCTTACGTACCTTGCACGTAAAACTGTTTTTCAAGTAGTCTCAAATACATGTTACACTGTTTAACTCTTAGAAACTTTTTATGAAAACCTGGTGTATCACTCTGTTCACATGCTGCTAATAAAGACCTACCTGAGACTGAGTAATTTATACAGGAAAGAGGTTTAATTGACTCACAGTTCACCATGGCTTGAGAGGCCTCAGGAAACTTACAATCATGGTGGAAGGGGAAGCAAACATGTCCTTCTTTACATGGCAGCAGGAAGAGAATTGCTGAGCAAAGGGGAAAAGCCCCTTATAAAACCATCAGATCTCATGAAAACTCACTATCACAAGAACAGCAACATGGGGGTAATCGCCCCCTTGATTCAATTAACTCCCACTGGGTCCCTTCCACAACATGTGGGGATTATGGGAACTACAATTCGAGATGATATTTTAGTGGGGACACAGCCAAATCTTATCAGCTGGTAAGTAAGTAATTCTAATTATATATGAGGTTTTGAGCCTAGGATACCAGACAGAAATGCAGATAAGGTCTGACTCCAGTATAGCTAGGGTGCATGGCTAACTCTGTCACCAGGCCTTACCTAGCTTTAAAGCAGACAAGTAGTTGTATAGTTAAGAATCATAGTAACAGTTAATTAGCAGGCCTATTAACCTTTAAATTGTACAAGATTTCTTTCATAAATTTCCTTTCACTAATCTTTTCACAACGTGGGCCACTTATGACATACTTGGACTTTCTGACTTGTCCTAAATATCTTTCTTTTTAAACAACCAGTTATTTTACTTTGGGACAAGAATTTACCAAACAAAATTCTTTCTCATACAAAATCCATTTTCTTTATAACCTTCCTTCCCAGAAATACCTCTTTACCTTTATAACCTTTGAATCAGACAAGTCATTTTCCTTCTATTAGAAAGTTAAGGATTTTACTGCATGTTGCTGTGCCAGTTCTGTGAAGGGGGAGTAAATGAGGAGGTTATTTACATACTGTAGAAGTTATCTCCACTCAAGAGATTGTTCAGTTCAATTTTTGCTAGGGCTCGTCAACCTAAGTGTGGGCTATTCTAAACCCTGAGGTAAGACGGTCCAGGTTGAAGTTAATTTGTTCATGTTTTAGGTAGCTTTCCTGGAAGAAATAGTGCTATTAGAAGGAAAGATGAATTCAAAAGTTGTGTAAATACTAAGTAGGCATCCAACTTGAAAGTATATTTTTCCCCAAAGAGGTGCGAATCTTTTCTTTTGGATGAAGGAGGTGCCATTTTTTCCCATTACTCAGTAGCATTTGGAGGAGAGTTGCTCAGAGAAGGATATTAGCACAGAGTAGGCAGCTCTTGAACCCAAAAGGGAAATGTACAATGTTACTTTCTGCCTCCAGAGTTGCCCTTGGCTTTGTTCTGTTGATGATGCTTTCTGATTTGGAAGCCAGTCATAGCAGAGAGCCCCTTTGGCTCAAGGCCATCAAAGGTTGGGATCCCTTCCTCGGACCCTTCAGCCCTTGGGGCAGTCTCATTCCAGTGGCCAAGCTTGTGGCAGAGAGGGCAAGCTGCACATGGCTTTTTCCCATTTATCCCACCGGGGCAGTTTGTCTTCTAGTGGCCTGGATTGCCACACCAGTGGCAGTTACGTGAAGGAATGTCCTTAGGGCAACCTGGAGGGAGTTGGAGAGCTCCAGCCTCTATTGCAGAGCAGCCAATAGTTCAGCCTGCCTTTTCCCCCTGCATTTCTCTTTTTCCTTAGGCTTGTCTTCCTTGTCCTGATCTCAGTTATAAAAGACTGAGGAGGCTAATTTGAGGATCTCCTGCACAGAGGCACTGGGTTCCAAGGCTGACTTTTGTAATTTTCTCTGAGTTCATTTTTAGCCAAACAGTATTACAGTGGAAAACTAGGATTTTGGTTTCAAAGTTTCAGGGAATTAAACTTTTTCCAGTTCTTAAGGATGCATCCTAAGGGTGTGTTCTGTGGTATGGAGATGTGATTACCCATTTGCAGAGAGAGAACAGAGGAGAAAAAAAGGAAAAAGGAACAAGAAGTTGTCCCCTATTACTTTCCTATTATACTGAATGGGGTGTCCCCCATTTGTCCTTAGGGTTCTGGAATAAACTGGTCTTACTGTGTGCCCTTAACCCTGGTCCCATCTCATTACAATGACCCACTTGAGAACAGAGGAGATACCAGAGTGAAGAGAGGACCCTCCCCTGTTCATCCTTGGGGTTCCAGAATAAACCAGTCTTACCATGTACCCCTAACCTTGCCTTCATCTCTGTTCTGATGGTAATCTATTAGCCTGCGGCAAACCTTTATCTCTGTCCTATGGGTCTCTTGTGCCTGGGCTCTTGGGCTGACCTATCCTTGTCTCCATGATGTTATAGTAACTTTTGCTCAGAGCATTTTATCAACAAAATGATTATTTCTTTTCTCAGATTCCCATTTCTCATGTTCAAGTAGACAAGAAGCCTGCTTTTCAGCTAACTGCCACAAGGGAGCTAGACTTCCCCCACCCTTCAAATAAGACCATAAAGGTCTTGAAGCATACTGAGAAGGGTGTGAAAGTGATTTGAGAAATGGAGGCTACAGGAAGAAATAGGAGGAAGAAAGAGGAACACTCATGGAAAGCCTTCGTATGTTCCCCAAACCAAAAGCCCTTGGATTCAAGAGGGCAATGTCTATTTGCCCTCTTGACATAAAGTAGTAACCTCTAGAAGAGTTGGAGCTTGGGGTAAGAACTCACAAATGACAAAGAAAGACTATCTCCTCCTCCCAAAGGGGTGCTAACTCAGAAAAAGCAAGTGGGGCCACAGAGTGAGGCCTTATGCAGGTGGACAGATTGCTTCAAGGGCCACTGGAAAACTTGTCCCTGGGGCATAACAGGAACAAAAACATATGGTAAGTCATAAGTAGCCGACAGAGCCAGAGTTCCAATTAGTGTCTGTCCCAGCAATGTGCCAGCAGACAGGGGAAGGGTTGGAGGTCATCTGAGCTGGTAGGGTAAAAACAAACATAAATCTCAGAGGATATCCACAAGGTAGCCCATGTTTTTGCTCCCACGCAAATGCAGCAAGAGCCACAGGTGCCCAAATAACAAGGAGTGTGTGTTTAAGAAGTTATGTGGCATGCAAAGTGAAAGCAAAAAGTCAGACTTCCCCCAAGGCAGATGGTCAGAGATATGCAAGGTCATTTCAGAATATACACAGAGAAAACAGGAGAATAGGCAATTAAGGTTTGGGGGAAAGAGCTGATTTTAGGTGAAAAAGCAGAGGAAACCCCAGACATTGCATGGTCTCAGGATTTCACCATACCACTCTCATAAGCCTCCTGTCCAGGAAGATGTTTAGTGTCTCAGGTCTACTTGGTGTGAACCCCAAGGTCCTTCACACCCCTGCGAGCCACCCATCAGGTTGAGCTGAGAGATCAGCTGGAGGAACAGAGGAACAGCCACTTGCGGCTGAGAAAAGTAATTCTAGGGGTTGGTTAGTGAGCATTAGAGCAAAAAGGGAGAAGAGAACCATGTACTGGGGTTTAACACCTCCAGCCAAAGAAGGTGAGCCATCGCAGTATCTTACAACTGGGGAACATATCTGAATCACGCAGCAACAAATTATGTTATTAGCAGAATGTATCCAAGTCACGGCACCAAAGTATGTTACCAGCAGCAAATCCACATGAGTCTGTAGCAACCTCAATTCTTGCCTCCTCAGAATAAACAATTCAACTGAGGGGCACACGGCAGAATGAGAGACTGAGGCAAGTTTTAGAGCAGGAGTAAAAGTTTATTTAAAAGCTCTAAAGCAGGAATGAAAGGAAATAAAGTACACTTAGAAGAGGGCCGAGAAGGTGACTTGAGAGATCAAGTGCATGCCTCAGACCCATGGACTGGTTATCTGGAAGCCCTGATGCTTCCATTTTTTCCCTTGCCCAAACTTTCTGGAAGGAAGAAAGGTTAATTTTTGAACTGAAGGAGTTATTTTATTCTTTACTCCTGTGTCACAGCCCTGAGTAGACTATTATCCAATATCTGTAAATTGGTACTTTATACATTTTTTGACAGTTCTGTACTTGTTAAAGGCAGTAGGACATGGTCCAGCCTTCTTAATGCATCATACCTGAAACCTGTACTGTGTTAATTTTCTTTTTATAACCAAATCTTAAGTCAATCCTGTATTCCATCAAGATTTTACTTTCTTATATGAGAGTTTATATTGATATCTACCTAGATTGCCTGATTATCACCCTATAAACATTTTATTGAAAATTGATACAAACTTTCTCCTAAATCCTATTACCATGATAGTAAAATAATTTCAGATATTATATATTTTAACAATCTGGTTGCCTAATCTTACCCTTTGTCAAATTGCTTTCACTGTTATTATAAAACACTCCTCCATTTCTGGTAGAGATAGAAATGCCAAGAGTTATTCCTCTCCACTGTGTCCTTTAATCCTGATTAAATTATAGGTATGGTGTTATTAAACTACAGGTATGGTGATATTAAACTATAGGTATGGTGACATTAGATTAAACTATAGGTATGGTGATATTTCATAAAAATTATAAACTCTTAGGGAGTAATAAATAATCAATTTGTAACGAATATAACAGTCTTGGAATCTCCATAAGATAGAAAAGTGAAACTAGATCAGAACATTTCTCATCCCCAATATCTGAAGTACGGAGCAAACTTGGATGGAAATCAGTCAAAAATAATACTAAAATAGCAGCTATGACTAAAAAACAGAAAGCAAAATAGTGTGCAATTTTTTGATTAATTTGTATCTGAATTTCAAAATATAAAACTTAAGTAATTACTTGTAACATGGAATTTAAGATTCTGCATTGAATCTATATTTTGCCAGGACATGTCTGTGATCCTGGGTAACTTACTTAACTCCTCTGAGCCTCAAATTTTAAAGATGTAAAGTAAGGTAGAAAGATTTCTAGAGGAGTTGTGAATATCAAACAAACTAAAACATGTAAAAGAACTTAACAGATTATCTTCCACTGAGTCACGGCTTAACAGATGATGGATATTTCCTCATTCATTCATATAGATCTATCTGAGAATAGTCAACTCTCCCATCCCTCTCTATAACTGATTGGAAAATGCTGAGAGCCTAAAAAGAGAATTGAAGACAGTCTTAGAGAAGTATGAATATTAGATACACTTGACATTAAAGATAAGTCTGACTGATTTTTTATTCAATAAGAATGTGACAGCTTGTAAATATCTGATAAAGGAATTAGTCTCGTAGACTAATGTATTATAAATATATCTGTAAATTGGTACTCTATACATTTTTTGGCAGTTCTTGATAATGGTAGTGGGAAATGTAGCCTGATGTGTGTATGTGTATATATATATATATATATATATATATATAGTCTCCTCCTAGACTAACTATATATAAGTCTGGGAGATTGAATATCAGTCTAAGAGACTGATACTTGTTTCAGATACTATATATTATATAATATATAAATAGCATGGGCTTTATAGCTATCTATATTTATAGCATTCTTTGCTGATTCTGATGCCTGCCACACTCTCCCTTCCTCTCTGCTTACAGGATTCAATTCTTTCACTCCCATCTCACAATAGCTTCCTCCCTCTCCAGTGTAGAAATCCCAGCGTGCTGTCCTCATTCACTCACCAGCAACCCGCACTGCCACTCGTACAGCTGCTTCCTGTTCCCTTGTGGTTTTTGGCTGTCAGTTTTCCCCTAAGAGCACAAAGTCATCAAATAAAAGCAAAAGTTAAGTGAGAGTTCTAGGTTTTTCATAAACATCCATATCAGAGGTCTTTTTTTTTCCCTCCTGGTGAAAAATTTTGGAAATGAATGAATACTTTTGTTAAAATGATGTAACTTTCTCTAAAGAAAAAGGAAATGTCAAGATTTATTCTACTCTGGAGGCTGTTCAGTTATTTACAGAGGATGACAGCCACCTACTGGCCATGATGACAAAGACATACACCAACTCTGTGGAGAGTCAGCTTTTCTTTTCTATAAAGAATTCTGTCCCTTTGCAGAATTTTCTTCATAGGTAAAAAGGACTCTTTCTCAGAAAGAGCTGAACCTTATATTGGAAGAAGCCCATTTCCTTCATTTTTTTTATCATAGAGAAGGAAAGTACTCCCAGCTTCAAGCAGGACATGTCCTTTGGGCAGTGGACAGCTATGTAGAGAGAGAAAGGGTAAGAATGTGTCCCTTGACTTCAGCCCCCTGACTCATCCCTCCTTTATGTATTGAGCTGCACTAGGATTCAGTACAGCCTGCCAATGTGGGTGTAGAACTGTAATGGACATCCATTAAAATCTCCTGTTTGAAGGTACATTAGCTCTTTCTTAATAGTAAGTTGCTAATTTTACAAATTCATTCCTTAGATCATGTCACTTACATTCATAATAAGGAGAACATTCTCTGTTATTTTCAATAATGACTCAACTTGCATCCCTTCTATTTTCACTCAGTAGTAAGAGAGAGAACAGAGATCTGTAAAGGGATCAGAAGATACAATTCTTGCCAAATGATACCCAGTAGAAGTATCAATTTGGGTAGAATTGGGGAAACATTAAAGTGATCTGTGAAATGGTGTATTTGAAGAAGTTAACCAGGAAGCATGTGTGAATTGCTAGGTTAGTAGGAAGAGGCTTCAACTTAGGACAGATTTCTCAATTCTTTGCTCAAGTTACAGACCCAACCTTTATATGGCTCTTTTGAAATGGAAGAGGAGAGAAATTGGGAAATTCAAAGTTATATTTTACAATATATTTGTTCTTTGCCTCTCTTTCATTAGCTACTGAGTGTGGGGGGCCCAGTTTAGGATCAGAAAGAAAACATTAACACTTTTGAATATACCTGGTTCTCTCTCCTCTGTCTCTTTGATGGTTTAACACCTTTCATATATTAAAAACCCTTTTATTCCTGACTACTTTTAAGCTTCTTATTTCTTTAATGTTATTTTTGTTTTTTGTTGCTTATCATTTCAGTGGGCAAAAATTGTATGATGTGGCTGCATATTGTCACCTTATCCTGAAAAATGTCTGTAACTATATCCTGAACATATCGAGAAGTTAATTTTTTATATATTCTAAAGTATTGGAGACCCAATGAAAGGAAGTGGCAGAGCTGGCAGAGAGGAGCCCTATTATAGCCTGCCTCATACAAGTCCCTGGACAGTTCCTCTGGTGAGGAACACATGGAAGCTTAGTCCCTGCCCTGACTCCATTGGAACAGATACAAGAGATCATGATACAGTACCACCTGGAGACAACGGGGCTTTGTGAGCTCACGAGGCCAAAGAATGTAACCACCCCTAGATTTCCCTTACCTGGCAAGCTCAGCACTGCAGAGGTCAAGGATGTTTTGCTGGGAACAGAAACACAGTAAATAGAGAGAGTCCTGCCCACAACACTACACCCAATGAGCGGGTAAAGAATACAGGAGCTCATTTGTGCCTCTTTTTAGGGACTTCCAACATTCTGATTCCGCTAGGAAGAGACTCCACCAGGCTCAGGACTCTCATTTGTTGAAAAAAGCAAAGCCCACATTATGAAACATGAAGACAGAGCCAGCAGCAGCTTTAGAATTTGGAAGGAGGAGAGAAGACTGGAAGGTCCTCAGAAAATGGAGTAGCAATGGAAGCACTGAGTCAACTGTTCAGAATATTCAAATCAGAGGGAGAGAAGATTGAAGTGGATGCTGAGAGCATACAGTGCTCCCGTGGAGACATGGCCAACACTGTCCCCTGCATGGGTGACACTGATACTACAGCAGCCTGTAGAGTATTGGAAGGGACAGGGTTACTTCAGTGTCAGCTGCAAACTCCTGTTTCCTCCCTAGTACCCATCAAGTTCTCACACTACAGGCAAACTTATTTATGGGGCCAATGCAATTCAAGGCATCTCTTAAATTCTAGTCATAATGCAGCCTCCTTAAAGGCAGTAAAAAATGAAACAATGCCTGAACAGAAGGGACACAGCAGGTATTTGAGTACATTTCAATTGGGCCAGAGACTTCCCAGCAGGACAGATATCAATAATGCATGTATTGAAGAATCACAACTTCTTCTCTTTTTTTTGTATTCTTTTGTTTGTTTTTTGTTTGTTTGTTTGAGATGGAGTCTTGCTCTGTCACCAGGCTGGAGTGCAGTCGTGCGATCTCAGCTCACTGCAATCTCCTCCTCCCAGGTTCAAGCGATTCTCCTGCCTCAGCCTCCCGAGTAAGTGGGATTACAAGCATGCACCACCACACCCAGCTAATTTTTGTATTTTTAGTAGAGACAGGGTTTCACCATATTGGCCATGAAGATCTTGATCTCCTGACCTCGTGATCCACCTGCCTCGGCCTCCCAAAGTGCTGGAATTACAGGCGTGAGGCACTGCACCTGGCTGAAGAATCACAGCTTCTAAAGGCAGCAAAGATCTTTGCCGAATTGTATTTATTTAACTTCATTAATTGAAAAGAGGCATTGGTGGGTCAGTTCTCTTTCTTCTTTTTTCTTTTTTCTTTTTTCCAGTCAGTGTATTCTATACTCAATAGGCACATTCAAAGTTAGGATTTGTACACTTTCTGAGGATTCAAGTCCAAAAGACAAGCAAAGATCATCCTTTATTTCTGATAAAAAATACTAATGCTTTTATCACTTTGTCAATTACTGCTGATTTTAATGCTATATTTATTTCATTGCTAAGTTGTATTTCATGGCTTTTAATTGGATCAGGCTAGAAATTAAATAAAATCAACCATGTTGGGCAGCTGAACTAAGTTTGGAGTTACAGCCAGACTGTCTTTGGTAATCACCTCTTCAAAAGCCCTCACTTCTTCTGTATAGGAACTGCATAATATTCTTCCATCTGACAAAACGTTTTTTCAGCACTCAAAACTCAACCACTTGTTGGAAAGACAGAGGATAAGAGATTCTTCACAAGACTCTATCAGTACACAAGATGAAGTTCAGTCTGGGCTGGAGGTAAGAAACAGTGCTGTCACCTTTAGGAATGAGAACAGTAGGCTAGCCTGAAGAAGCTCTCCTGTAGATTTAGTGAGGTCCTGAAGGAGATAAGACAGATCCCATAAGGCTCCACTAGCAGCAAACCGAAAATTGTTAGGTGCTTTTTGTTTATTCTTAAACTCACAAAAAATCTCGAGAATTAAAAATAAATAGGCTTTCAATTGGTAAGTTAATAGTTATTTTCCTGTATTTCTTTGATGAAACTACACATTAAACCTTAGACTTTGTCTTTCAATTGGGAGAAAAAAATCCTTGCTTATAGCTATTTAAACAATATTTTGCCTACCTAGAATATAAAGCCAATCAGTTAAATTCACGTATAAAACACCACTGTTGCTCCTGTACATTGGTCCCATATCTATTCTTCACTTATGTAACATGCCCTTTCATACAAACCAATTAGCTCAACTCTCCATAAGGTTTTGACCTTGGATCATTGGTATGTTCAGAATAGTTCATCCTTCCAGATTGTTATTCCTCTCCAAAGAGTTATATAAGGAGCATAATACAAATAGGTTTGTTGAAAGTATTGAACTTTTTTTGTTTTTTTTATATTTGAATTGATAAATAACAATAGTATATATTCATGGAATACACGGTGAGATTTCCATATTCATAATGTGAAATAATTAGATTTTGTTAATTGGCTTATTCATGATCTCAAACATTTATTATTTCTTTGTGAAGGGAACAGTCACTGTCCTCCTTCTAGCTATTAACAACTATATAATATATTATTGTTAACTATATCCTACAATGGTATATAAAACTAGACCTTAACCTCCTACATAGCTATAATTTAGTATCTTTTAATAAATCTCTCCAATTCGTCTCTTCCTCCAACCCTTCCTACCCTCAAGTATCCTCTGTTCTACTTTTTACTTTTATGAGATCAATTTTTATTTTAGCTTCCAGATATGAGTGAAAACATGCAGTATTTAACTTTCTGTTTCTGGCTTATTTCTCTTAGCATAATATTCTCCAGTTCCATCCATGTTGCCACGAGTGATAGGATTTTATTTTTTTTATGGCTGAATAGTATGTCATTGTGTATGTATACGTATACCACATTTTGTTTATCCAGTCATCTGTTGTTGGAGAACTCAGCTGATTCCGTATCTTGGCTATCGTGAATAATGTTACAATAAATACGGGGGTGCAGATGTCTCTTAGATATAATAATTCTCTTTCCTTTGGATAAATGGCCAGTACTGGGATTGCTGGATCATATGGTTGTTCTATTTCTCGCTTTTTGAGAAACCTCCATACTGTTCTCCACATTGGCTGAGGTAGTTTAGAGTTCTCTTTTCTCTATATCCACACCAGCATTTTTAACATTGTCTTTTGAATAATGGGCATTCTAACTAAGATGCAATGATAACTCAGTGTGGTTTTGATTTCCATTTCCCTGATGACAGTGATGTTGAGCAGTTTTTCATATATTTGTTGGCCATATCTATATCTATTTTTGAGAAATGTCTGTTCAGATCATTTGCCCATTTTCTAATCACATTATTATTACTTTTTTGCTCTTGAGTTGTTTGAGTTCCTTGCATATTCTGTATACTAATTCCCTGTTGGTTGAGTAGTTTCAAAATATTTTCTCCCATTCTATAGATTGTTTTCACTCTATTATTTCTTTTGTTGTTAAAAAATTTAGTTTGATATAATCCAATTTGTTTATTTTTGTTTTTGTTGCAGTTTGTTTATTTTTGTTTTTGTTGTGACTTGTTTAGTTTTGTATTTGTTTCCTGTACTATTGTGGTCTTATTCATAAAACTTTTTCCCAGACTTCTCTTATGTTTTCTTCTAGTACTTTTAAAGTTTCAGGTATTGGGCCGGGCACGGTGGCTCATGCCTGTAATCCCAGCACTTTAGGAGGCCAAGGTGGGTGGGTCACGAGGTCAGGAGACTGAGACCATCCTGGCTAACAAGGTGAAACCCTGTCTCTACTAAAACTACAAAAATTAGCCAGGCGTGGTGGCAGGCACCTGTAGTCCCAGCTACTCGGGAGGCTGAGGCAGGAGAATGGCGTGAACCTGGGAGGTGGAGCTTGCAGTGAGCTGAGATTCCACCACTGCACTCCAGCTTGGCAACAGAGCGAGACTCGGTCTCAAACTAAATAAATAAATAAATAAAGTTTCAGGCATTGGATTTATGTCTCTGTTCTATTTTGAGTTGATTTTTGTATAGGGTGAGAAGCAGGGGCCTAGTTTCATTCTTTTGCATATGGATATCCAGTTTTCCCAGCACCATTTATTGAAAATATTATCTTTTCCCTAGTGAATGTTTCTGGCACCTTAGTTAGAAATTAAAGCAATGGCAACAAAAGACAAAATTGACAAATGGGATCTAATTAAACTAAAGAGCTTCTGTACAGCAAAAGAAACTACCATCAGAGTGAACAGGCAACCTACAAAATGGGAGAAAATTTTTGCCACCTACTCATCTGACAAAGGGCTAATATCCAGAATCTACAATGAACTCAAACAAATTTACAAGAAAAAAACAAAGAACCCCATCAAAAAGTGGGCAAAGGACATGAACAGACACTTCTCAAAAGAAGACATTTATGCAGCCAAAAAACACATGAAAAAATGCTCATCATCACTGGCCATCAGAGAAATGCAAATCAAAACCATAATGAGATACCATCTCACACCAGTTAGAATGGCAATCATTAAAAAGTCAGGAAACAACAGGTGCTGGAGAGGATGTGGAGAAATAGGAACACTTTTACACTGTTGGTGGGAGTGTAAACTAGTTCAACCATTGTGGAAGTCAGTGTGGCGATTCCTTAGGGATCTAGAACTAGAAATACCATTTGACCCAGCCATCCCATTACTGGGTATATACCCAAAGGACTATAAATCATGCTGCTATAAAGACACATGCACATGTATGTTTATTGTGGCACTATTCACGATAGCAAAGACTTGGAACCAACCCAAATGTCCAACAATGATAGACTGGATTAAGAAAATGTGGCACATATACACCATGGAATACTATGCAGCCATAAAAAATGATGAGTTCATGTCCTTTGTAGGGACATGGATGAAATTGGAAATCATCATTCTCAGTAAACTATCGCAAGAACAAAAAACCAAACTCTGCATGTTCTCACTCATAGGTGGGAATTGAACAATGAGATCACATGGACACAGGAAGGGGAACATCAAACTCTGGGGACTGTTGTGGGCGGGGGAGGGGGGAGGGATAGCATTGGGAGATATACCTAATGCTAGATGACGAGTTAGTGGGTGCAGCGCACCAGCGTGGCACATGTATACGTATGTAACTAACCTGCACAATGTGCACATGAACCCTAAAAATTAAAGTATAATAATAAAAGAAAAAAAAGAAATTAGTTGTTGTAGATTCGTGAATTAATTTATGTTTTCTTGATTCTGTTCCATTGGTCTATGTGTCAGTTCTTAATGCTAGTACCATGCTGCTTTGGTTACTACAGCTTTTTAGTCTATTTTGAGGCCCAGTAGTGTGTGATAGTGTGATAGTTCCAGCTTGGTTTTTTTGTTTTGTTTTGTTTCTTTTTTTTTTTTTTTTTTTTTGACTGTTTCGGCTATTTGGGGTCTTTTCTGGTTCCATACAAATTTTAGAACTTTTTTTCTGTTTCTGTGAAGATGTCATTGGTATTTGGGTAGGGATTACACTGAATCTGTTGATTGCTTTGTGTAGTATTCTCATTTTAACAATATCAATTATTTCAATCCACGAGCATGGGATGTATTTCTATTTGTTTGTATCCTCTTCCATTTTTTTCATTTGTATTTTGTAGTTTTCTTTGTAGAGGTCTTTCACCTCCTTGGTAAATTTATTCCTAGCCATTTTATTACTCTTTTTTTTTTTTGTAGCTACTGAAAATGGAATGGCTTCTTGATTTCTCTTTCAACTAGTTTTTCATGTGTAGAAACACTACTGATTTTTGTACATTAATTTTATATCTTGCAAACGTACTTAATTTATCAGTTCTAAGGATTCTTTGGTACAATCTTCAGGTTTTGCTATATATAAGATCATGCAGTCTGCAAACAGAGACAATTTGACTTCCTCCATACCAGGGTAAATGACCTGCACCTGGGCCCTGGGCCTGAAAAACACCCCTCGGGCTGCCTCTCTCAGGCTCATCCCCAGGCTAGCAAAGCAGCTTTGTGCCCACGTCCTAGGCCTGAGTTAGTATTTTTAAAGACCTTACAACAGTGGATGATCCATACTAAGCATGCAATAAAACTAAATGTCATATTTTCAAATCATGATTATTATTACAATCCAGATTAAGCGCAGAATCTTTTGGGTGCATCTAATTCCCTCTCTTTTAATTCTGCATTTCCACAAGTAATCTTTTCATTGCCTGAGCAGATTTATTAACTAGGTAGAGTGCTCAGGCGAGACTAACATCCATTATCCTGCCTAAGAGGATTGGTGTTGCAGCAACTGAAGTCTTGTTGCCCATCTCTTAGGAGGTGGTTGGTGTCACTCTTCCCTTTTCTCCTCAGAGCTGATTATATGTGGACACATAGAGGAAAAGAACAAGTTCTAGCATTCAATGGTACAGTATTTAAAGTTAACAACAATGTATTATACATTTCTAAATAGCTAGAAGAGAGGATTTGAAATGTTCCCAACACACAAAAAAAATGATAAATTCTAAAGGTGATGGATATCTTAAATACCCTGACTTAATCATTGTATATCCTATGCATTATCATAATAGCACATGTACCCCATATATATGTACAACTATTATGTATCAATAAAAATTTTAAATGTGTACTATAATACAATGCAAGAAATGTTTTTAAATGTGTATTAATTCACAGAAAAGTCAGGTGGCTGGTCTTGCAAAGCTGAGAGCAGTTCATGGCTTCAGAAGTTGCTCTTCTCTGAGCCTCTTGGAGAAGCAGCAATTTCCCTGCCTTTGTGTACCTCAATATGGGCCTTCATTCGTGCCCTCTGCCAGAACCCCAGTCTCCAATTTTGCTGCGTTATATTTTGCTAATTTATACTTGGTGATTGTGTCATCAGAAAGTCACTTCTCTTCTTCCACTTTCATGACATTGTACTTTTCTGTAAACCACAAACTACTATCAAGTTTTGCTTTCTAGGAAAGTGGAAATGAGAAAAAAAAATGAAATCATGGAAATTATAGAAAAAAACAATGTGGCCCCTTTGCCTCACTTTTACTTCTCTTAATTTTTGTTACTTCATCATGAATTATAATGTAATGCAGAAACAGCAAGACAAACCTTGTCCAGAAAATCACTATGTGCAAAGAAGCAAATTTAAAACAAAAAACCACAAACCAATAAAGGAAAGAAGCCTATTTCTTCCTGACAGAATAGTCTGGAGCCTAACTTGCCCTGTACTGTCAGAGTAAGGCAGAGATGCAGGTAAACAACCCCAAGAAAAACACTAACTGGATAAACAACTGAAAGTCCTAGTTTCTGTCATATTAGTTGCCAACAAGAGACAACATTATCAACATTATTAACACCCCTGTGGCCAGCTCAGAAAGGTCAAATCAAGCAAGTGTTCAATAGTTTTAAGTATTGAAGAATGAAAGTAAGAGTTGACCAATAAAATCTACAATTTTCAAAATAAAAATTATTTGCTTACTAAAGTTAAAATTATGGCAATTGAATACTTCCCCCACCTACTTAGAACAAATTTTTGCTATATTATTTATATTTACTCTTGCAACTTGTCATATTTCTAATATTTGTCTATTTCCTATAATAGATATTCACTTTTACATTGTACTAAAGTGTGTAATACATGTTCAACTTTTCATTTGATTAAAAAAAGTATTATTTAATACATTCTTAGTAAAGAAAAATTTTTGGATTTTTTGTTCTAAAAATAAATTCCAAATTCTGGTTTTCTAAACCCAAATGAAGAATGAATGACAATATTCATTTACTTTTTCTTTCATTCCCTTCATATCATATGTAAAAATTTGTCAGCAAAGTGATATATTATGGAATTGCTGTCAGGAAACACAGGTGAATAAAGGTAATACACTTCCTTCTTTGTGGAAACTTGAATTATTACAGAGAAAGAAATATAAAAGCTGTACTAATATTTACTTAATTTCACTTATATGAAATACTACAAAAAGAAGTAAAGGACAATGATGTTTATATAACAAAAATTTTAGGTATGAATCATGCTGGAAAAAAATAATAAATTTCCTTTCTAAGGTGCCTGGAAAACATGAAAGTACAGAAATCATATTGACAGTTGGGTATGTGGGTCAAGATTTAATGATAAATGCCATGGGTGGAGGTATAAATTGAGATTCTTTATTGCATATCTGGTAATGGGAGCATGGGAATACAAAAAATGTTTGCTGGAATCATGTGTAGGCTGTCAGACTATTTGACACCTGGGTCAGGAGGAGAGAAGGTTACATCTCGCTACTTTCTCAGTTAGCTACTTTCTCAGTTATATTCACACTTGGTAAATAGGAGTAGTGCTTAGGCAATGAGAAGAATGTTGGGGGATTATTTTGGGGACACTTGAGACTACCCAATAAAGGAATATCTTACTGACAGAATTAACCCATGCCCTACCAAAGGGGGTTGAGTCAGGGAGAGTTGGAGGTCAGGACACATGGCTATATGCATATTAATCAAGCTACATTTTGTCACTTCAGAACAGAGGGTGTCACTAGAGACGTGAAACCTCAGTATTCTGAGGTGAGATGGTACTGTGAAAAGGATGAAGATAATGTTGGTTTTGTAATTGAAATTCCCACACCCATTATACCTGAATATAACTAGGATTTGCATTACGAATATTGGCACCAACTGTAAGAGTCATACCTAGTAAGAAAAGAAGATATGTTTTTCAAAAATGTGTCCTTTTGAAAACATGGAAATCTAGATGACCTAGTGTTTGATGATAACTTTAGATAAAATACCAAAAGCATGATTCATTTAAAAAAGTGATACATTGGATTTTATTACAATTAAAACTCCTGCTTTGCAAAAGACACTGTCATGAGAATTTGAAAAGCCACATACTGGGAGAATATATTTGCAAAGACATCTGACAAATGGCTGTTATCCAAAATATACAAATAATACATACACATATACAATGGAGTACAATTGACACATTAAAAAAATGATATCCTATCATTTGCAATAACATGGATGGAACTGGAAGTCATTGTGTTAAGTGAAATAAGCCAGGCATAGAAAGACAAACTTCGCATGTTCTCACTTGTAGGAGCTAAAAATTAAAACAATTGAACTCATGGAAATAGTGAGTAGAATGATAGTAACCAGAGTCTGAGAAGGGTAGTGGAGGAGGAAAGAGGGAAAGGCTAAGGGATACAAAAATACCATTATATAGAAATGAATAAGATCTAGTTTGATAGCATAACATTGTGACTATAGTCAACACTAATTTATTGTACATTTAAAAATAACTAAAAGAGTATAATTGGATTATTTGTAACACGAAGGATAAAAGCTTCAGGTGATGGGTACCCCATTTACCCTGATGAAATTATTACTCATTGTATGCCTGTACCAAAATATCTCATGTACCCCTTAAATATATACATCTACTATATACCCACAAAAATTAAAAATTAACACACACACACACACACACACACATATATATGTATATATATATATATTCAAAGAATACTTAAAACTCAGCAATAAGAAAACAAACAACCCAATTAGAAATTAGGCAAAACCTCTGAATATACTCCTAATCAAACTAGATACAAAGATGGCAAATAACATATGAAAATATGCTCAGCATCACACATTATTAGGGAATTGCACATTAAAACAATAATGGGATACCACTACATACATATTAGAAAGGCTAAAATCCAAAAATTTGAAAACACACACATTATTAAGTTGGGAGAAGTGTCCTTTGAAATTATCGATTCCTTTCTTTCTTCTAAGAGACATGATAAGAAAAACATTGACCTCTTGAGTTTATGTATACATTAAGGGAGAGCTTGGGAAATAACACTTACCCATTATGTGGATAATATACTGTAGTCTTTAAAATTTGCCTTTTTTGTGTATAAACTCTAGCGGTTGGTGTGTGTCCCATGACTCTCTGTGAAGGCTGTATTCAGAAAAGCAGAAAACACACCCTTGTTCAGGAATGATTACTTTTCTTCTAGCCCATGCCCATTTGCTGCCTTTGATCTACATCCGTTCTACTTTCCTGCTTCTGTTCTTCCCCATTCCTTAATCTCCAACTTGGCTGGGCTGAATGTACGTAAGTTGCTTTTTGTCCTTGTTTTTTTCCCATTAATATATTGCTTCCTTTTTACATTTTTATCACATTTAGATATACATTTGTTTTGGGGTTTCTTTTGTCCCAGTTCTTTAGGATGCAAAAAGTGACAACCTTTGTTTTCAATAAAAATGAAAATGAAAATGAGAAATAAAGGTTTCTGGTGTCCTGCATGTGAAACAATTGTACAACACATTTATGTTATCACATTTACATCCCATTATGGACATTTAGGACAAAAAGGGTTTCCTTTAGTTTGATAAAAATCAACTAGAATTGGAACATCTGCAGGTCCTTTGGAAATTTGAATTTTAGGGCCAAAAATTTGTTTAATCAAATTAATGGCTTTTTCTTAACTACATATACTCCTTCAGTATGATATTGCTCCCAAAAGTGTAAAAGTTATTTTTGAGTGTGTTGACAAATCTTGGGTATTTCGGTGATTGGTAGCACTCTAAAACTCAACTCTATCTGACAAAACCTTATTCCTTAGTACTTTTTTTCCATTGGGTTATCTTGTGTATCACATGAAAAGTACTGACATTGAGTTCATGGAAGATACACACAAGGTATATAAGATCAGCGTTACAAACCTATGTCAAATGGGTGCTGTGATTGGAGGAATTTCTAAGGTTTACTAGACATCAAAGTCATAACATCTGAGGTGGCCTCTGTATACATATGGGCTGTCATTAGCCATCTTGTGAATGTTGCTTATGTTTAATCCTTAGCATTTCTGACTGTGCTGTGGGCTTTCAGAATTAAATGCAAATACTTTATATTTTATTATTTAATTCTACTAAAGGTGCTCAATACATCAATAATTATGTCAAGCACTGAAGAGAAAAAAATCTATACAATATCTGGATGAATATCTAGCAGCTAGTGAAGTTAAACATTTTCTAACATGACAGAAAATTAAGTTAGACTAAAAGTAAATGTTAAAAAATTAAATTTTAGTAGTCTTTAGCAGTTTTAAATGATTTTTAAGTATTTTATAATATTAGGTATTATTATGTGTTTTTATAATTTGTTAATTTGCTGATGGAATTGGACACATTACAATTTATATAGGTAAATAAATCATTTTAAAGACACAAACAAATTGAGTTAAATGTCCATGGGTTTTAAATTTAACTATTAACTTTTAGCTTAAAAATTTCATTTGGTCTTCTTTTTTTCTTTCTTTCTTTTTTTTTTTGAGATGGAGACTCGCTCTGTCACCCAGGCTGGAGTGCAATGTTGCAATCTTGGCTCACTGCAACCACTGCCTCCCGGGTTCAAGCAATTCTCCTGCTCCAGCCACCTGAGTAGCTAGGATTACAGGCACCTGCCACCATGCCCGACTAATTTTTGTATTTTTAGCAGAGACGGGGTTTCACCATGTTGGCAAGTCTGGTCTTGAACTGCTGACCTCGTGATCCATCTGCCTTGGTCTCCCAAAGTGCTGGAATTACAAGTGTGAGCCACCGGGCCCAGCCCATTTGGTCATTCTTAACACTATGTTAAATAAAAAGATTAAACTTTACACTCCTTATAAATAGATATGTACAGTATATCAACAAATATATGGTATGTCTGTGTTATTAAAATTTAATGGGACTTTGAATTAGAAAGAAATTTCTAAAAAGCCCATGGGGCAGGGAAAGATGAGGTAATACTGAAAATAAAAGTGGTTGAGAAACTGCTCTACACCCATGTAGACAGGACATAAAGGAAAGCCAAAAGAGAAGTAGAAAAAAACATGAAGACGTTCAGAAAATGGAAGCTAGTATGTTCCTTATTTAAGACCTATGCACAGAGCAAGGTCTTCAGAAAACCTACAACCCAAGGTTCAGTGTTACCCCTCATCAACCAGCCCAGCAGCATCTTCGGGATTCCCAATGGCATTGCCCTTTGCTTTAATGATGGCCCTGGTGGTGCTCAGCTGCAAGTCAAGCTGCTCTCTGGGCTGTAATCTGTCTCAAACCCACAGCCTGAATAACAGGAGGACTTTGATGCTCATGGCACAAATGAGGAGAATCTCTCCTTTCTCCTGCCTGAAGGACAGACATGACTTTGAATTTCCCCAGGAGGAATTTGATGGCAACCAGTTCCAGAAAGCTCAAGCCATCTCTGTCCTCCATGAGATGATGCAGCAGACCTTCAATCTCTTCAGCACAAAGAACTCATCTGCTGCTTGGGATGAGACCCTCCTAGAAAAATTCTACATTGAACTTTTCCAGCAAATGAATGACCTGGAAGCCTGTGTGATACAGGAGGTTGGGGTGGAAGAGACTCCCCTGATGAATGAGGACTCCATCCTGGCTGTGAAGAAATACTTCCAAAGAATCACTCTTTATCTGATGGAGAAGAAATACAGCCCTTGTGCCTGGGAGGTTGTCAGAGCAGAAATCATGAGATCCCTCTCTTTTTCAACAAACTTGCAAAAAAGATTAAGGAGGAAGGATTGAAAACTGGTTCATCATGGAAATGATTCTCATTGACTAATACATCATCTCACACTTTCATGAGTTCTTCCATTTCAAAGACTCACTTCTCCTATAACCACCACAAGTTGAATCAAAATTTTCAAATGTTTTCAGGAGTGTAAAGAAGCATCATGTATACCTGTGCAGGCACTAGTCCTTTACAGATGACCATGCTGATGTCTCCTTTCATCTATTTATTTAAATATTTATTTATTTAACTATTTTTATTATTTAAATTATTTTTTATGTAATATCATGTGTACCTTTACATTGTGGTTAATATAACAAATATGTTCTTCATATTTAGCCAATATATTAATTTCCTTTTTCATTAAATTTTTACTATACAAAATTTCTTGTGTTTGGTTATTTTTTAAGATAAAACGTCAAGCCTGACTGTACAACCTGATTTCAAAATAGATGATTTAATCAAGTTACCTATCATAATTTTATTCAAGTTATAGAAAAATACATTTTCTATACCAGGTTATATGTTGCCTTAAGGATGTAAACATGAATATAAAAAATACAGCTCCTGTTCTCTTGTATCTTTGATTTTTGTCAGGAAATAAATCTAAAAACAATAATAATGCTGAATTAATATCAGTTATACAAACTGCTGTATGGTAACGAAGTAAAAAAGCAATGAATTCTTCTTAGCACAAGGTAGATTGAGACATGTCTGGAAAAAAAAGTAGAGATAAACTGACTTTCAAACATGTAATTGAAAATGTACATTGCCAGTCAGATATATGAGTTTGCAGTTTCCAAGGAATACGATATCTGGAAGTTCATAACTGGCAATGGAAAGGCCAAAAATGAAGGCTGTCATGTGGGGAGGAAGTGGAGAGGGAAAAAAGACTTAAACTGGATTCTGAGGACCTTCCACCATTAAAGTGTGGGAACAGAAGAGACACAAAGAAAACAGAGGTGGAATACCTCAATATTAGAAGGAGAAGAGGGAATGATGATAAAAGTGTATTTAGAAAACAAACATGCTTATAAAAAGAATCAATAGACTTATAGAAAATGTGAATTAAAACTGAGCACTACAGGAAGAAAATAGATGGCAATGCAGAGATTACTGAGAGCTGGATTGATAGAATTAATCAGCAGAAGCCATACTGGGGTAGGTAGAAGAATCAATGAGAAAAGAAAAATCAGGATAACACATACAGAAAATTGTGAAAGATCTGCCTTTGCAATGGAGGGAAGTAATAAGTTGGACCCGCCAAAAATGTGGATTATCTTTTATCTGCATAGTGTTTCCTTTTTGAAAATACATGTCAATGAATAAATTTCATAAATGTGATGCACTGATAAATCATATTAATACATTTAATATTTTATATATTTAAAGCATAAAATGTAAAATTATTTACAATAGTAATTGATCATTATTTTGATTAATACTCTGTTAAATGTCAGTAAAAACTGACACATTTCTTTCATAAAATAAAATTGGAAACTGGAAAAGAGAATCTCTTTCTCAATACTTTAGGAATGGGGAAAGGATTCCCTATTTAATAAATGGTGCTGGGAAAACTGGATAGCCATATGCAGAAAACTGAAACTGGACCCTTCCTTACATCTTATACAAAAATTAACTCAAGATGGATATAAGACTTAAATGTAAAACCCAAAACCATAAAAACCCTAGAATAAAACATAGGCAATAGCATTCAGGACATAGGCATGGGCAAAGATTTTATGATGAAATTGCCAAAAGCAACTGCATCTAAAGCTAAAATTGACAAATGGCATCTAATTAAAGAGCTTCTGCACAGCAAACGAAATTATCAGTCATCACAGCGAACAGGCAACCTACAGAACGGGAGAAAATTTTTGCAGTCTATCCAATTGACAGAGGTCTAATATCCAGAATGTAAAAAGAACTTAAACAAATTTAGAAAAAAAAACATCAAAAAGTGGCAAAACATGAACAGACATTTCTCAAAAGGAGACATTTATGTGGCCCATAAAGATGAAAAAAGCTCAACATCACTGATCATTAGAGAAAGGAAAATCAAAACACCAATGAGATACCATCTCATGCCCCTCAGAATGGTGATTATTAAAAAGTCAGGAAACAACAGATGCTGGTGAAGCTGTGGAAAAACAGGAAAGCTTTTACACTGTTGGTGGGAATGTAAATTACTTCAACCATTGTGGAAGACTGTGGTAATTCATCAAGGATCTAGAACCAGAAATAGCATTTGACCCAGCAATCCCATTCCTGAGTAATACCCAAAGAAATATATGTCATTCTATTATGAAAATACATGCACGTGTATGTTTACTGCAGCCCTATTTACAATAGCAAAGACACAAAACCAACCCAAATGCCCATCAATGATAGATGGGATTTTTAAAAATTGTGCTTAAAACCTAGATGACAAGTTGATAGGTGCAGCAAACCACCATGGCACATGTATACCTATGTAACAAATCTACAGGTTCTGCACATGTATTCCAGAACTTAAAGCAAAATCAAAAAAAAAAAAAAGAAAGAAAGAGAGAGAGCAAGTTGGTCAAAATCAGCTGAAAATACAACATGAACCAAGGAAATTCAGAGAGCAGGAGATGGTTGTGTATAAATGAGGAAAAAACGAGATTAATAATTATTAAGCAAATCCCAATTCAAAATTTACACATCAGGTATAAATAACAATAACTTATTTTACATTGAAATTCCATTCTGGTTGCATATATATTTTTTTGGCAGCCTAAAAAAACAGAATTCTATCATGAATTCTAAAGAGGCTGAAAAATTGTCTCACCTCATTTCAAAGTCCTACTTACACTTAGTCAGGAAATGGTGGCTTCTATAAATACCTGACAGAGGAGCAGCATCTAGATTGAAGTGCAGAATACACGTGTTGATGGTTAACTGATTCTGGCACCTGGAACATTTGTTTCCTGGCTCTCAGAATCCCAGAGTACACTCCCATATGAAGTTACTCTCCTAAACTTAAGTAAAATATACATCTTTGCTGGTTCTGAGAGCTGACACACTTTTCCCTTTCCTCCATGCTTTTCTGTATCCCATTTTTTCACTCCCATATCACATTAGTTTCCTTCCTCTTCCTCTAGAAATGCGCACTGTGCTCTCTTCTTCACTCATCATTAGCCTGCACTGCCTCTTCATACAGCTGTTTTCAGTTCTCTTGTGGGTTTTACCCATCACTTTTCCCTTAAGAGCACAAAATCACAAATTAAAGCAGAAGGTCAGTGAAAGTTCTAGGTTTTTCAGAAGCTCTTTTTATAAAATACTCTTTTTCCTTTCTTATGATGAATATTTCTGTAAAACACGGAATGTCGCTGTTGCAATGACATAACAGTAGCTTAGCAAAAAAGGAAATAAAACGCAGGTTCCATTCTACTTTGAGACTATTACAAGATTTACAGGGAAAGAGAGCCACCAACTGGTCAAAGTGCACCAACACAGCAGCCAAGTCTGAGGACAGCAGGCTGTGAATGCAGAAGTAGGCCTCCTGGCAGGATATTTATCTTCATAGCTAAAAAGAGGCTCTTCCCAAGAAAGAACTATCACGGTACTGGAATTAGCCCATTTCCTTAACTTCTGTATCGTGGAGAGAGAAAATACTCCCAGCTTCAGGCATGACATGTCCTCTTGGGGCAATGGACAGCTATGGGGAAAGAGAAAGGGTCTGGATATGTCCCTTTCCTCCAGCCTGCCCAGCCTCCCCGGGACCTCCTAACTTATCCCTTCCTCTATGGATTGTGCTAGACTAGGAATGAGAAGAGCCGGTCAATCTGGGTGTAGAACTTCAAGGGAATTTGATTTGTGATCTCTCTATCAAGATTGTGGAAGCTTTCATAGACTATATCCTGAAATACATTTTCCAAGTTGTTTGTTTTCTCCCTGTCTCTTTAAAGGATGGAAGTGATTCCTAGATTTGGCCTCTTTATACCACCCCCTATTTCTTGGAGGTTTTGTTCATTGCTCTTCATTCTTTTTTCTTTATTTTTGTCTGATTGTCTTATTTCAGAGAGCCAGTCTTCAAGTCCTGAGATTCTGTCCTCAGCTTGGTCTATTCTGCTGTTAATACTTGTGATTGCATTGTGAAATTCTTGTAGTGTGTACATCTACTAGGTCCGTTAGGTTCTTTTTCATACTGGCTATTTGGCTATCAACTCTTCTCTCTTTTGATTGTGATTCTTAGTTTCCTTGGTTTAGGTTTTACTGTTTTCCTGAATCTCAATGGAATTCCTTTCTATCCCTATTCTGAATTATATTTCTGTCATTTTAGCTAACTCATTTTGGTTAAGAACCCTTGTTGGAGAACTAGTGTGATTATTTGGAGGACATAAGATGCTCTGTCCATTTGAGTTACTGTAGTTCTTGCATTGGTTCTTTCTCATCTCTGCATATGGGAGTGTAGCTTGAGTTCAATCAATAAAGAGACTTATTTTCTGGCTGTGTTCACAGGGCTGTAGCTTTGTGCAGGGTCTTTATTTGTAGCTGACATGTCTTTGGTTGAATGAGGGTGTGTTAGTGAGATTTGTTGGTGTTGAAGCTTTGGGCATGACCTAGTAGGTGACTCTTAGGTGCAGTGGTCAGTTGTCAGGCTCTTGCTCAGTCATGGGGCTCACCTACATTTCCTCACGGTTGTACACGTGCTCCATCTCAATGCTTTGAAAGTTTGGGCTCCTCTCCCACTTGAGTGCTGACTGTACCTTGTATCTTGGCACTCCCAGGCTGCCCACAACAGCTCTGGGGTGATCTCAGGGTTAATGTTTTCTCCCCAACTTGGAGCCATCGAAGGAAGGGACCTTAGTAGTTGTTGTAACTGAGGGTCTTTTGCTTGTCTCCGGGGGGCTCCACCACAGAGAAGCAGGTCAGCAGTCACTCAGTGCAATCAGCGTGGGATGGGAGTGTGTCCTGTGGGCCCAAGCCAGGGGTTCCCTGCCTGGTGATGTGAGGGGTGGGTGATTGACCAATGGCAGACAGACTGGCCTCCTCTCTTGGGTTGACGGCAGCTTGTTGGAGGTATGGATAAGGTACTTGAGGTCTCTGCTCCTTCATCAGTTCCAAGGTAGCTGGGGTAGTACCACTGCAGAGGCAGTGGTAGACAGGCTTTCTGTTGCCCCTGGGGTCTCCACCTCCAAGAAATGTGAAGCCATGTTAATGGCAGTGTTTAGCCAGAGGAGTGGGGTGGCTGCACTGCTGGTGTAAGCTTGGGGCTTCACTTTTTGGGTAATAGAAGGTGGCAATCTTACCAGGAGGAGAGACTGTTCTCACCATATGGTAACTGCAGTGTGCTGTAAGTTCATGTGACAGTGGCTTGCTGCAAGCTCGTAAACAAAGAGCTTCAGACTCTTTGTTTCTTCCCCAGACCCAAGGCAGCAGGGATAAAACTGCTGCTGTGGCAGTGGCAGAGGTAGGATGGCTGTGGGAGCCTCTCCCCAGGGAAACTCCAGGCAACTACCAGTGGATATGCTCAGCTATGGGTAGGTTGACTGTTTTGCAGTCATGGGCTGGGGGCCCTGCCTCCTGAAGAATAGGGATGCAGATTCTCAGGGAAGAAAGGCTGGACTCCTCTTTGTATGGTGGCTATGGTGTGCTGGAGGTGAGAGTGTAGTGACTAGGCCCTTTGTTCCTTCCCCAGCCAGAGGGCTGCTGGGGCTGTCCCACTGCAACAGTAGTGGTGGATGGGTTGTGGGTTGACTGTAGGATTTCTTCCTTTGAGAAATGCTGGACTGCCTGATTGAGGAGATGAGGCAGGGGAAGGGTGCCTGTGCTGGAGTCTGGTCAGGTGGATCTGCCCACAGAGGAGAGGTGACAACCAGGAACTGTATGGAGAACAGTATGGTCACTCTTCTGTGAGGCAGTTGCTCTGTTTTGGGGATCTGGACCAGCCACTGTTCCCTACAGACTCTCCAGAGCCTGGAGACAGCAAGGGCAAGAGCTGTGAGAAAGCAAAGATGGCAACCCACCCTTCTCACTGGGAGCTCTGTTCCAGGGAGATGCAGAGCTGTCATTGGCTCAATAGCCCCAACTGGTAGCTGCAGACCCAAGCCTGGCAGACCCACCCAGTGAAGAGAGAGGGGATCACGGACCGACATAACACACAATCTGGCCACTTTTCCATAGGGCTGCTGCAATATGCTGGGGGTCCAATCCAGACCATAGTCACTTCACATTTTTCAGTACCTGAAGATATCAACAGTGAAGGCTATGAAACAGTGAAGATGAGGGCCTGCCCCTCCCCCTGGGAGCTCTGTTCCAGAGAGGTACAACCTGTTGCCTCCTGCAACATACATGCAGGAGGTGGCTGGAGACCCCGGTGGGGATATCTCACCCACTGAGGAGAAACAGTATCAGGGACTCAGGTGAAAAAACAGTCTGGCCACTTTTTGGTAGAGCAGCTGTGCTGTGCTGGGGGTCTGCTACCACCGCCAGCACGAAGAATGGCATTTTCAAGAATGGCTAAGGCTGCTAAACGGCAACAAAGGCTACCTACCCTTCCCTTTGGGAGCGCCATCCCAGGGATATTCGAAACTGCGGTCCACTAGAAAACAGTGGTGGAGGTGACTGGAGACCCCAGTGGGGAGATTCCACCTACAGAAAAGAAACAGGATTTGGGATCGATGTGAATAAGCAATCTGACTGCTTCTCTGTAGAGCTGCTGGGCTGTGCTGGGTGGCTGCTCCAGTCCCTAGCTGCCTTGGACTCCCTAGAACACAAAGGCTCCAATAGCTAAGGCTGTGAAACAGCAAAGATAGCAGCCCACACCCTGCCGGTGGGAGCTCCATGTCAGGGAGGTGTGACGCTGCTACCAGTGTCTGGCTGGATTCCCAAGCCAGTGGGTCTTACCCTGAGACAGGCCATGGAAGGTGGGCCTGCCACTTGTCACTGCCCAGCACCCTGAATGAAACCCCTTTCCTAGGGGTATGTATAGGGGTCTAGCGTCCTGCTTGGCTGGAGTTATAGCTTCTTTTGTGGGGAAGCCTGGGTATCTAAGGCTCCAGGGTACCCATGCATGCCTGAGCAGCTGCTCTGCTGAAACCCTACGTAGCCCTGCATGTCAGACTGAAGGCTCTGGTAGAGTGGGTTCACTAGGAGATCTCCTGATCTGAGGATTGCAAAGATCCGTGAGAGAAGCATGGGTCCCCAGGGCTGCTGACTTACCACTTCCCTGGGAAGGAGAGGCTCCCCTGGCTCTGTGACACTCCTTGGTGGGCAGTCGTCCTGCCTTGCTTTGCTCTGTTCTCCATGGGTCAAGCTGTTGAGTCCCAATGTGTGTACCTGGATGTTTCAGTTGAAGGTGCTGTATTTACTTGCCCCTTCCATTTCTCTCCACGAGAGTGGCACACACTAGCAGCTTCTAGGTGGCCGTCTTGGCCAACCCTGAAAACTATTTGTTTCCAACTATAAGCCATGCATAAAAAGAATGCCTTGAGAGAACCTGGAGTCCAGGGTTCATCCAGACCCCAGCTCAGCTAGGCCAGCAGCACCCTCGTTTCCCAATGGTCCTACTGCTTCTACTGGTGGCCCTGCTGCTTTGCCACTGTGGCCCTGTTGGATCTCTGGGCTTTGACCTGCCTCAGAACCATGGCCTACTTAGCAGGAACACCTTGGCTCTTCTGGGCCAAATGCAGAGAATCTCCACTTTCTTGTGTCTCAAGGACAGAAGAGACTTCAGGTTCCCCCTGGAGATGTGGATGGCAGCCAGTTGCAGAAGGCCCAGGCCCTGTCTGTCCTCCATGAGATGCTTCAGCAGATCTTCAGCGTCTACCCCACAGAGTGCTCCTCTGCTGCCTGGAACATGACCCTCCTGGACCAGCTCCACACTGGATTTCATCTGTAGCTAGGATGCCTGGAGTCTTGCTTAGGGCAGGCAATAGGAGAGGAAGAATCTGTAGGGGTGATTGTGGCCCTACACTGGCCTTGAGGAGGTACTTCCAGGGAATCCATGGGAATCCAGAGAATCTACCTGAAAGAGAAGAAATACAGTGACTGTGCTTGGGAGGTTCTCAGAGTGGAATCATGAAATCCTTCTCTTCATCAACAAACTTGCAAGGACTGAGAAGTAAGGATGAAGACCTGGGGTCTGCTTTAGTCTTTCTTATTTTCTTCCTCTTCCTTACTATGTGTTTATTCCTTCTTTTTCTAGTTCCTTAACTTGTAAAGTTAGTTCATTCGTTTGAGGTCTTTCTTCTTTTTTAATATAAGCTTTTACAGCTTTCATTTTCCCCTCTACCTCTGTTTTCATTGCATCACATATGTTTTGGTATGTTGTGTTTTCATTTTCATCTCTCTCAAGATATTTTCTAAGTTCCCCTCTGGGCATTTTTTTTTTACTATACTTTAAGTTCCAGGGTAAATGTGCTCAACGTGCAAGTATGTGCCATGTTGGTTTGCTGTACCCATTAACTTGTCATTTACATAAGGTATTTCTCCTCTTACATGTTTATCACTTTTAGACCTACATTTGTTTTCTTTTTGTGCCCATAAATTAAGATGAAAAATCAGACCACTTTTACCTTGTAGGAAAAGTGAAGTGAGAAATATAAATATATTTGCTGTTGTGAATGCCACATAGAACGCCACATAGAATCATTGTATAGTCCATTTAAAAATTATATTTGTATTCTTTCATTGACACTAACGTGAATGTGAAAATGAAAGAAATCAAAGTATAGAAAAACCAATTTTCACGGTAGAATACAACATAAAAAATGAATATGCAAAAATTCCCAATACAATCTCAAGTGAACAAAGAAAAAATACTCTCTCCCCCAGTGTTTCAAAGACTAAGAATAATAACTCGGGCAAAATTGCCCTGTATTCTCAGGGTCTAATAAAAGGATGAGCCCAAAATTCAATAAAAATGTGTTGACTGGATCAACTACTAAATCAATGTACAAAATATACATTCCTGAAATGAAGGCTCCTCTAGTATGGAAACCCCTGTGCACATTTCGTAATGTAGAATATTTTAATTGTTCAATGATATAAAGAATTTAAGTGAATCATTTAAAATAATGAATAATAAAATGTGTTTGGTTATTTTCTAAAATTGATCCATTTCATAATTTCTACCTCATATAAACCAGCTCATTTTCTACCAGTGTCATCTAAAGATTATCACGAGATTTGAATCTGAAATTTATAAATGATGGAAAAATGATGTCACAAGTCTTTACAATTCACATACACATTCTTGGGATTTGATCCAGGGAAGGAAAGCTGTAGGATTATTTGGGGGAGAGAGGCTATTATTCCATACTTTTGGGAATAGTAAATTGTCTGATTCCTATAAACTGTGTGAATTGGAGAGTTTGAATTTAGATATGTGACTCTGTATTTGACACCAGGCTACTTATTTTCTATTATCACAAAGTAGAGGACAGATTAGAGATGAAGTCATAAATAGTTAATATAGTGCTAGGCAAAGGATGATATTATGCTGCTCTTGCAACTTGAATCCCCAGATCTACATGCACTTTAAAAAAACTGGAATCCCAGTGGTTTTAGCAGTAAACTAAATGGGCATTATTGACTCTCAGTAAAAGCTGAATGGAAATTTTTGTCATTATCTATTATAATCCCAGCAAATATGTGCATGAGGAAGCAAAATGGCTTCATTCTTGAACCCTTTCCAGTAGAAGAAAAAATGAGAAACTAGTAAAAACTCCACTTACTAAATAGCTGATTTGCTAAAGCAGACTTCATTCCATTTAAGGGTTCAGTATCTATAGGGCCTACTTATGCAAAAAAAAAAAAAAAAGTAGAGCCAGAGTTCAGGACCACTCTGAAAGTTAATTCTTTGCATAATAATATTCAATATTTATAAATTTATGAATTTAGAACAAAGATGGTCTTTTTTATTTGATAAGAATTGACTTGGATAGGAACTTCTGAAAATCTTTAGGGAATATGAACTTCAATGAAAAATGCCAAAAATGATTTAACTTATAATATTTCCTAAGTCACATATGTTTATTGGAATGATACTTCTTCGAAGAGTACAAAAATTAGTTCTTGTAGTTTATGTAAACAAATCTGACATATTACAATAGTTTGTGACTCTCCAACAACTCTATCCAACAAAATTTCATTGCTTAATATACATCTTTCTCATTGGATTTTCTTGTGTACGATATGAGAAGCACTGGTATTGAGTTCATGAAGGTAAACAAAATATTTGTAAGATCAGTGTTACAAACCTATGGCAAATAGATGACTGTGATTGAAGGACTTTTTGTCCATTTTTTGCTGGATCTTAAAGTCTTATCACAGTATGTGGCTTTAACCTGCATATATTTGGGCTGCCATTGACTATCTTATGGTTATTACTTATGTTTGATCCTCAGTTCTTCAGGATGTTTGGTAGACTTTGAGAATTCAATGCAAATAGCTTATGTTATATGATTTATTTCTACTAAAGTTATTCAACACATATACATTTATGTCAAGTGCTGAAAAGAAACAAGTGTTGGCAATATGTGGATGAATACTGCAGCTAGTGAAGTTTACAAATTATTTTCTCATATAAAGCAAAATTCAAAGCTTCATACACTAAGAGAAAAATTTTAAAAAATTATTGATTCTTATTTTTAGGAGTTTTGAATGATTAGGTATGTAATTATATTCATATTATTAATGTGTATTTATATAGATTTTTATTTTGCATAGGTACTTTGATACAAAATTTACATGAACAAATTACACTAAAAGTTATTTCACAAATATACTTATCAAGTTAAGTTAAATGTCAATAGCTTTTAAACTTAGATTTTAGTTTAACTTTTCTGTCATTCTTTACGTTAAATAAAAAAAGCAAACTTTATAGTTTTTATCTGTGAAGTAGAGGTATACATAGTATACATAAATACATATGCCAAATCTGTGTTATTAAAACTTCATGAAGATTTCGATTACAAAAAAATACCATAAAAGACTTTGAGTGCAGGGGAAAAATAGGCAATGATGAAAAACAATGAAAAACATTCTTAAACACATGTAGAGAGTGCAAAAAGAAAGCAAAAACAGACATAGAAAGTAAAACTAGGGCATTTAGAAAATGGAAATTAGTATGTTCACTATTTAAGGCCTATGCACAGAGCAAAGTCTTCAGAAAACCTAGAGGCCAAAGTTCAAGGTTACCCATCTCAAGTAGCCTAGCAACATTTGCAACATCCCAATGGCCCTGTCCTTTTCTTTACTGATGGCCGTGCTGGTGCTCAGCTACAAATCCATCTGTTCTCTAGGCTGTGATCTGCCTCAGACCCACAGCCTGGGTAATAGGAGGGCCTTGATACTCCTGGCACAAATGGGAAGAATCTCTCCTTTCTCCTGCCTGAAGGACAGACATGACTTTGGACTTCCCCAGGAGGAGTTTGATGGCAACCAGTTCCAGAAGACTCAAGCCATCTCTGTCCTCCATGAGATGATCCAGCAGACCTTCAATCTCTTCAGCACAGAGGACTCATCTGCTGCTTGGGAACAGAGCCTCCTAGAAAAATTTTCCACTGAACTTTACCAGCAACTGAATAACCTGGAAGCATGTGTGATACAGGAGGTTGGGATGGAAGAGACTCCCCTGATGAATGAGGACTCCATCCTGGCTGTGAGGAAATACTTCCAAAGAATCACTCTTTATCTAACAGAGAAGAAATACAGCCCTTGTGCCTGGGAGGTTGTCAGAGCAGAAATCATGAGATCTCTCTCTTTTTCAACAAACTTGCAAAAAATATTAAGGAGGAAGGATTGAAAACTGGTTCAACATGGCAATGATCCTGATTGACTAATACATTATCTCACACTTTCATGAGTTCCTCCATTTCAAAGACTCACTTCTATAACCACCACGAGTTGAATCAAAATTTTCAAATGTTTTCAGCAGTGTAAAGAAGCGTCGTGTATACCTGTGCAGGCACTAGTACTTTACAGATGACCATGCTGATGTCTCTGTTCATCTATTTATTTAAATATTTATTTAATTATTTTTAAGATTTAAATTATTTTTTTATGTAATATCATGTGTACCTTTACATTGTGGTGAATGTAACAATATATGTTCTTCATATTTAGCCAATATATTAATTTCCTTTTTCATTAAATTTTTACTATACAAAATTTCTTGTGTTTGTTTATTCTTTAAGATAAAATGTCGAGGCTGACTTTACAACCTGACTTAAAAATATATGATTTAATTAAGTTATCTATCATAATTTTATTCAAGTTATTAAAAAAACATTTTTCTGTACCTGGTTATATGTTGCCTTCAAGATATAAACGTGAACATAAAATATACAGTCCCTGTTCTCTTGTATCTTTGATTTTTGTCAGGAAAGAAATCTAAAAACAATAATAATGCTGAATTAATATCAGTGATGCTAACTGCTATAATGTGAGGAAGTAAAATACAATGAATTCCTCTTAGCAGAATGTAGATTGAGACATATCTGGAAATAAAAGCAGAGATATTCTCTGTAAACTGACTTCAACATGTAATTGAAGATGTACATTGCAAGTCAGATATGTGAATTTGCAGTTTCCAAGGCATACGAAATCTGGAAGTTCATAACTGGCAATGGAAAGCCCGAAAATGAAGGCTGTCATGTGGGGAGCAAGTGGAGAGGGAAAAAAAGACTTAAACTGGATTCTGAGAACCTTCCACCATTAAAGTGGGGGTACAGAAGAGTCACAAAGAAAACAGAGGTGGAAAACCTTAACATTAGAAGGACGAGAGGGAATGATGATAAAAGATATACCTAATGCTAAATGACGAGTTAATGGGTGCAGCACACCAGCATGGCACATGTATACATATGTAACTAACCTTCACATTGTGCACATGTACCCTAAAACTTATAGTATAATAATAATAAAATTAAATTAAATTTAAAAAATTAAAAAAGTGTATTTAGAAAATAAATGTGCTTAGAAAAGAAATCAATAAACTTATGGAAAATGTGAATTAAAACTGAGCACTACAGCAAGAAAATAGATGGCAATGCAGAGCTTACTGAGAGCTGGATTGATAGAATTAATCAGCAGAAGCCATACTGGGGTAGGTAGAAGAGTGAATCAGAAAAGAAAAATCAAGATAACACATACAGAAAATTGTGAGAGATCTGCCTTTGCAATGGAGGGAAGTCATAAGCTGGAACCCCCAAAACTGTGGATTATCTTTTATCTGCATAGTGTTTCCTTTTTGAAAATACATGTCAATGAATAAATTTCATAAATGTGATGCATTGGTAAATCATATAAATACATTTAATATTTTATATATTTAAAGCATAAAATATAAAATTATTTACAATAGTAATTGATCATTATTGTGATTAATACTCTGTTAAATGTCAGTAAAAACTGACACATTTCTTTCATAAAATAAAATTAGAAACTGGAAAAGAGAATCTCTTTCTCAATACTTTAGGAATGGGGAAAGGATTCCCTATTTAATAAGTGGTGCTGGGAAAACTGGATGGCCATATGCAGAAAACTGAAACTGGACCCTTTCCTTACACCTTATACAAAAATTAACTCAAGATGGATTAAACACTTAAATGTAAAGTTCAAAAGCAGAAAAACCCTAGAAGAAAATGTAGGCAATAGCATTGAGGACATCGGCATGGGCAAAGATTTTATGATGAAATTGCCAAAAGCAACTGCAACCAAAGCTAAAATTGACAAATGGCATCAATTAAAGAGCTTCTGCACAGCAAAAGAAACTATCAATCATCATGGTGAACAGGCAACTTACAGAATGGGAGAAAATTTTTACAGTCTACCCAGTTGACAGAGGTCTAATATCCAGAATGTAAAAAGAACTTAAACAAATTTACAAAGAAAAAACAAGCCCCATCAAAAAGTGGGCAAAGGACATGAACAGACACTTCTCAAAAGCAGACATTTATGCGGCCAATAAACATGAAAAAAGCTCAACATCACTGATTATTAGAGAAATGCAAATCAAAACCACTATGAGATGCCGTCTCATGCCACTCAGAATGGTGATTATTAAAAAGTCAGGAAACATCAGATGCTGGTGAAGCTGTGGAGAAATAGGAAAGTTTTTACACTTTTGGTGGGAACACAAATTAGTTCAACCATTGTGAAAGACAATGTGGCGATTCATCAAGGATCTAGAACCAGAAATACCATTTGACCCAGCAATCCCATTCCTCAGTATATACCCAAAGAAATATAAATCATTCTCTTATAAAAATACATGCATGTGTATGTTTATTGCAGCATTATTTACAATAGCAAAGACAGGAAACCAACCCAAATGCCCATCAATGAGAGACTGGATTAAAAAAATTGTGCTTAAAACCTAGGTGACGAGTTGATAGGTGCAGCAAACCACCATGTCACACGTATACCTATGTAACAAATCTGCATGTTCTGCACGTGTATTCCAGAACTTAAAGCAAAATCAAAAAGAAAGAAAGAAGGAAGGAAAGAAAGAAAGAAAGAAAGAAAGAAAGAAAGAAAGAAAGAAAGAAAGAAAGAAAGAAAGTTGGTCAAAATCAGCTGAAAATACAACATGAACCAAGGAAATTCAGAGAGCAGGAGATGGTTGTGTATAATTGAGGAAAAAAGGAGATTAATAATTAAAGGAAATCCCAATACAAAATTTACACATCATGTATAAATAACAATAACTTATTTTACATTGAAATTCCATTCTGCTTGCATATATATATTTTTATTTATTTATTATTATTATACTTTAAGTTTTAAGGTACATGTGCACAATGTGCAGGTTAGTTACCTATGTATACATGTGCCATGCTGGTGCGCTGCACCCACTAACTCATCATCTAGCATTACGTATATCTCCCAATGCTATCCCTCCCCCCTCCCCCCACCCCACAACAGTCCCCAGAGTGTGATGTTCCCCTTCCTGTGTCCATGTGTTGTTTTGAGACAGAGTCTCACTCTGTCACCCAGGCTGGAACGCAGTGGCGCGATCTCGGCTCACTGCAAGCTCCGCCTCCGGGGTTCACACCATTCTCCTGCCTCAGCCTCCTGAGTAGCTGGGACTACAGGTGCCCGCCACCACGCCCGGCTGATCTTTTTGTATTTTTAGTAGAGATGGGGTTTCACTGTGTTAGCCAGGATGGTCTCTATCTCCATACTTCGTGATCTGCCTGCCTCAGCCTCCCAAAGTGCTGGGATTACAGGCGTGAGCCACCACGCCCGGCCAATCCTTTTTACTTCTATGCCATCAGTTGTTATGTGTCCTCTGTTATTTCTGATATTTATTTGATTTTTCTCTACTTATTTCTTAATATAGTTAAGGGTTTCTCAATTTTGTTGATCCTTTCAAAAGACTAATGCTTAGTTCCATTGATTTTTTAATCTTTTCTATTCTGTATTTTATTAATTTCTGCTTTAGTCTTTCTTATTTTCTTCCTCTTCCTAGCTATGTGTTTATTTCTTCTTTTTCTAGTTACTTAACTTGTAAAGTTAGTTCATTGATTTTAGTCTTTCGTCTTTTTTGATATAAGCTTTTACAAATTTCAATTGCCTTTTTAGCTCTGTTTTCACTGCATCACATATGTTTTGGTATGTTGTGTTTTCATTTTCATCTGTCTCAAGATATTTTCTAAGTTCCCTTCTGGTCATTCTTTTTTATTTTTATTATTATACTTCAAATTCTAGGGTACATGTGCACGTCGCACAAGTTTGTTACATAGGTATATATGTGCCATGTTGGTTTGCTGCACCCATTAACTTGTCATTTACATTAGGTATTTCTCCTCTTACATGTTTATCACATTTAGACATACATTTGTTTTCTTTTTGTTCCCATAAATTAAGATGAAAAATCAGACCACTTTTGCCTTCCAGGAAAAATGAAGTGAGAAATATAAATACATTTGTTGTTGTGAATGCCACATAAAACCATTGTATAGCCCACTTAAACATTATATTTATATTCTTTCTTTTTTTTCAATTTATTTATTTATTTATTTATTTTTTATTATTATTATACTTTAAGTTTTAGGGTACATGTGCACAATGTCCAGGTTAGTTACATAAGTATACATGTACCATGCTGGTGTGCTGCTCCCATTAACTCATCATTTAGCATTAGGTATATCTCCTAATGCTATCCCTCCCCCCTCCCCCCACCCCACAACAGTCCCCAGAGTGTGATGTTCCCCTTCCTGTGTCCATGTGTTCTCATTGTTCAATTCCCATCTATGAGTGAGAACATGCGGTGTTTGGTTTTTTGTCCCTGCCATAGTTTACTGAGAATGATGATTTCCAATTTCATCCATGTCCCTACAAAGGACATGAACTCATCCTTTTTTATGGCTGCATAGTATTCCATGGTGTATATGTGCCACATCTTCTTAATCCAGTCTATCATTGTTGGACATTTGTGTTGGTTCCAAGCCTTTGCTATTATGAATAGTGCCTCAATAAACATACGTGTGCATGTGTCTTTATAGCAGCAGGATTTATAGTCCTTTGGGTATATACCCTGTAATGGGATGGCTGGGTCAAATGGTATTTCTAGTTCTAGATCCCTAAGGAATCGCCACACTGACTTCCACAATGGTTGAACTAGTTTACACTCCCACCAACAGTGTAAAAGTGTTCCTATTTCTCCACATCCTCTCCAGCACCTGTTGTTTCCTGACTTTTTAATGATTGCTATTCTAACTGGTGTGAGATGGTATCTCATGGTGGTTTTGATTTGCATTTCTCTGATGGCCAGTGATGATGAGCATTTTTTCATGTGTCTTTTGGCTGCATAAATGTCTTCTTTTGAGAAGTGTCTGTTCATATCCTTTGCCCACTTTTTGATGGGGTTGTTGGTTTTTTTCTTGTAAATTTGTTTGAGTTCATTGTAGATTCTGGATATTAGCCCTTTGTCAGATAAGTAGGTTGTGAAAATTTTCTCCCATTTTGTAGGTTGCCTGTTCACTCTGATGGTAGTTTCTTTTGCTGTGCAGAAGCTCTTTAGTTTAATTAGATCCCATTTGTCAATTTTGGCTTTTGTTGCCATTGCTTTTGGTGTTTTAGACATGAAGTCCTTGCCCATGCCTATGTCCTGAATGGTAATGCCTAGGTTTTCTTCTAGGGTTCTTATGGTTTTAGGTCTAACGTTTAAGTCTTTAATCCATCTTGAATTAATTTTTGTATAAGGTGTAAGGAAGGGATCCAGTTTCAGCTTTCTACATATGGCTAGCCAGTTTTCCCAGCACCATTTATGAAATAGGGAATCCTTTCCCCATTGCTTGTTTTTCTCAGGTTTGTCAAAGATCAGATACATGTAGATATGCAGCGTTATTTCTGAGGGCTCTGTTCTGTTCCATTGATCTATATCTCTGTTTTGGTACCAGTACCATGCTGTTTTGGTTACTGTAGGCTTGTAGTATAGTTTGAAGTCAGGTAGCGTGATGCCTCCAGCTTTGTTCTTTTGGCTTAGGATTGACTTGGTGGTGCGGGCTCTTTTTTGGTTCCATATGAACTTTAAACTAGTTTTTTCCAATTCTGTGAAGAAAGTCATTGGTAGCTTGATGGGGATGGCACTGAATCTATAAATTACCTTGGGCCGTATGGCCATTTTCACAGTATTGATTCTTCCTACCCATGAGCATGGAATGTTCTTCCATTTGTTTGTATCCTCTTTTATTTCATTGAGCAGTGGTTTGTAGTTCTCCTTGAAGAGTTCCTTCATATCCCTTGTCAGTTGGATTCCTAAGTATTTTATTCTCTTTGAAGCAATTGTGAATGGCAGTTCACTCATGATTTGGCTCTCTGTTTGTCTGTTATTGGTGTATAAGAGTGCTTGTGATTTTTGTACATTGATTTTGTATCCTGAGACTTTGCTGAAGTTGCTTATCAGCTTAAGGAGATTTGGGGCTGAGAAAATGGAGTTTTCTAGATATACAATCATGTCATCTGCAAACAGGGACAATTTGATTTCCTCTTTTTCTAGTTGAATACACTTTATTTCCTTCTGCCTAATTGCACTGGCCAGATCTTCCAACACTATGTTGAATAGGAGTGGTGAGAGAGGGTATCCCTGTCTTGTGCCAGTTTTCAAAGAGAATGCTTCCAGTTTTTGCCCATTCAGTATGACATTGGCTGTGGGTTTGTCATAGATAGCTCTTATTATTTTGAGATACGTCCCATCAATACCTAATTTATTGAGAGTTTTTAGCATGAAGGGTTGTTGAATTTTGTCAAAGGCCTTTTCTGCAATTATTGAGATAATCATGTGGTTTTTGTCTTTGGTTCTGTTTATATGCTGGATTACATTTATTGATTTGCGTATATTGAACCAGCCTTGCATCCCAGGTATGAAGCCCACTTGATCATGGTGGATAAGCTTCTATATGTGCTGCTGGATTCAGTTTGCCAGTATTTTATTGAGGATTTTTGCATCAATGTTCATTAAGGATATTGGTCTAAAATTGTCTTTTTTGGTTGTGTCTCTGCCAGGCTTTGGTATCAGGATGATGCTGGTCTCATAAAATGAGTTAGGGGGGATTCCTTCTTTTTCTATTGATTGGAATAGTTTCAGAAGGAATGGTACCAGTTCTTCCTTGTACCTCTGGTAGAATTCGGCTGTGAATCCATCTGGTCCTGGACTCTTTTTGGTTGGTAAGCTATTGATTACTGCCACAATTTCAGATCCTGTTATTGGTCTATTCAGAGATTCAACTTCTTGCTGGTTCAGTCTTGGGAGTGTATGTGTTGAGGAATTTATCCATTTCTTCTAGATTTTCTAGTTTATTTGCATAGAGGTGTTTGTAGTATTCTCTGATGGTAGTTTATATTTCTGTGGGATCAGTGGTGATATCCCCTTTATCATTTTTTATTGTGTCTATTTGATTCTTCTCTCTTTTTCTCTTTATTAGTCTTGCTAGCGGTCTATCAATTTTGTTGATCCTTTCGAAAAACCAGCTCCTGGATTGGTTAATTTTTTGAAGGGTTTTTTTGGTCTCTATTTCCTTCAGTTCTGCTCTGATTTTAGTTATTTCTTGCCTTCTGCTAGCTTTTGAATGCGTTTGCTCTCGCTTTTCTAGTTCTTTTAATTGTGATGTTAGAATGTCAATTTTGGATCTTTCCTGCTTTCTCTTGTGGGCATTTAGTGCTATAAATTTCCCTCTACACACTGCTTTGAATGTGTCCCAGAGATTTTGGTATGTTGTGTCTTTGTTCTCGTTGGTTTCAAAGAACATCTTTATTTCTGCCTTCATTTCGTTATGTACCGAGTAGTGCTTAGTGACCTACAAAGAGACTTAGACTCCCACACAATAATAATGGGAGACTTTAACACCACACTGTCAACATTAGACAGATCAACCAGACAGAAAGTCAACAAGGATACCCAGGAATTGAACTCAACTCTGCACCAAGTCGACCTAATAGACATCTACAGAACTCTCCTCCCCAAATCAACAGAATATACATTTTTTTCAGCACCACACCACACCTATTCCAAAATTGACCACATAGTTGGAAGTAAAGCTCTCCTCAGTAAATGTAAAAGACCAGAAATTATAACAAACTGTCTCTCAGAGCACAGTGCAATCAAACTAGAACTCAGGATTAAGAAACTCACTCAAAACCGCTCAACTACATGGAAACTGAACAACCTGCTCCTGAATGACTACTGGGTACATTGTTTCATTGACACTAACCTGAATATGAAAATGAAAGAAATCAAAGTATAGAAAAACAAATTTTCACAGTAAAATACTACATAAAAAATGAATACGCAAAAATTCCCCATACAATCGCAAGTGAACAAAGAAAAAATACTCTCTCCCCCAGTGTTTCAAAGACTAAGCATAATAACTTGGGCAAAATTGCCCTGTATTGTCCGGGTCTGATACAAAGGATTAGCCCAAAATTCAATAAAAATGTGTTGACTGGATCAACTACTAAATTAATGTACAAAATATACATTTCTGAAATGAAACCTCCTCTATTATGGAAACCCCTGTGCACATTTCAAAATGTAGAATATTTTAATTGTTCAATGATATAAAGAATTTAAGTGAATCATTTAAAATAATGAATAATAAAATGTGTTTGGTTATTTTCTAAAATTGGTCCATTTCATAATCTCTACCTTTATATAAACAGGCTAATTTTCTACTAGTGTCATCTAAAGATTATCACGTGATTTGAAACTGAAATTTATAAATGATGGAAAAATGATGTCACAAGTATCTACCGTTCACATACACATTCTGGGGATTTGATCCAGGGAAGGAAAGCTGTAGGATTATTTGGGGGATAGAGGCTATTATTCCCTACTTTTGGGAATAGTAAATTGTCTGATTCCTATAAACTGTGTGAATTGGAGAGTTTGAAATTAGATATGTGACTCTGTATTTGACACCAGGCTACTTATTTTCTATTATCACAAAATAGAGGACAGATTAGAGATGAAGCCATAAATAGTTAACATAGTGCTAGCAAAGGATGATATTATGCTGCTCTTGCAACTTGTATCCCCAGATCTACATGAACCTTAAAAAAACTAGAATCCCAGTGGTTTAAGCAGTAAACTAAATGGGCATTATTGACTCTCAGTAAAAGCTGAATGGAAACTTTTGTCATTGTCTATTACAATCCCAGCAAATATGGCCATGAGGAAGCAAAATAGCTTCATTCTTGAACACTTTCCAGTAGAAGAAAAAATGAGAAACTAGTAAAAACTCCACTTACTAAATAGCTGATTTGCTAAAGCAGACCTCATTCCATTTAAAGACTCAGTATCTATAGGGCCAAGGCAAACTAACTTCTTAGGCAAAAGAAAAGGTAGAGTCAGAGTTCAGGACCACTCTGAAAATTAATTCTTTACATGATAATATATTCTAAGTCACATATGTCTATGTGATACTTCTCCTAAGGGTTCTCGAAGTATAAACTAACCTAACACATTACAATAGTTGGTGATTCTCTAACAACTCTGTCCAACAAAATTTCATTGCTTAATATACATCTCTCTCATTGGATTTTCTGCTGTATCACATGAGAAGCACTGATATTGAGTTCCTGAAGATACACAAAATATTTGCAAGATCAGTGTTACAAACCTATGGCAAATAGAAGACTGTGATAGGAGGACATTCTGTCCATTTTTGCTTGATCTTAAAATCTTATCATAATATGTGGCTTTAACCTGCACACCTTTGGGCTGCCATTGACTATCTTATGGTTATTGCTTATGTTTGATCCTCAGTTCTTCAGGATGTTTTGTAGACTTTGAGAATTCAATGCAAATAGCTTGTATCATATGATTTATTTCTAGTACAGTTATTCAACACATCAATATTTATGTCAAGTGCTGAAAAGAAAAAAGTGTTGGCAATATCTGGATGAATACTGCAGCTAGTAAAGTTTACAAATTATTTTCTCATATTAAGCAAAATTCAAAGCTTCATACACTATGAGAAAAATTTTAAAAAATTATTGATTCATATATTTAGTAGTTTTCAATGATTCAGTATGTAATTACATTCATATTAACGTGTATTTATATAGCTTTTATATTGCATATGTAATTTGATAAAATATAATTTACATTAATGAATTACACTAAAAGTTATTCCAGAAATATACTTATCAAATTAAGTTATATGTCAACAGCTTTTAAACTTAGATTTTAGTTTAACTTTTCTGTCATTCTTAACTTTACATTGAATAAAAAGAGCAAACTTTATAGTTTTTATCTGTGAAGTAGAGGTATACGTAGTATACATAAATAGATATGCCAAATCTGTGTTATTAAAATTTCATGAAGATTCCAATTAGTAAAAAATACCATAAAAGTCTTTGAGTGCAGGGGAAAAATAGGCAATGATGAACAAAATGAAAAACATATGTAAACACATGTAGAGAGTGCATAAAGAAAGCAAAAACAGAGATAGAAAGTAAAACCAGGGCATTTAGAAAATGGAAATTAGTATGTTCACTATTTAAGAACTATGCACAGAGCAAAGTCTTCAGAAAACCTAGAGGCCAAGGTTCAAGTTTACCCATCTCCAGTAGCCTAGCAATATTTGCAACATCCCAATGGCCCTGTCCTTTTCTTTACTGATGGCCGTGCTGGTGCTCAGCTACAAATCCATCTGTTCTCTGGGCTGTGATCTGCCTCAGACTCACAGCCTGGGTAATAGGAGGGCCTTGATACTCCTGGCACAAATGGGAAGAATCTCTCATTTCTCCTGCCTGAAGGACAGATATGATTTCGGATTCCCCCAGGAGGTGTTTGATGGCAACCAGTTCCAGAAGGCTCAAGCCATCTCTGCCTTCCATGAGATGATCCAGCAGACCTTCAATCTCTTCAGCACAAAGGATTCATCTGCTGCTTGGGATGAGACCCTCCTAGACAAATTCTACATTGAACTTTTCCAGCAACTGAATGACCTAGAAGCCTGTGTGACACAGGAGGTTGGGGTGGAAGAGATTGCCCTGATGAATGAGGACTCCATCCTGGCTGTGAGGAAATACTTTCAAAGAATCACTCTTTATCTGATGGGGAAGAAATACAGCCCTTGTGCCTGGGAGGTTGTCAGAGCAGAAATCATGAGATCCTTCTCTTTTTCAACAAACTTGCAAAAAGGATTAAGAAGGAAGGATTGAAAACTCATTCAACATGGAAATGATCCTCATTGATTAATACATCATCTCACACTTTCATGAGTTCTTCCATTTCAAAGACTCACTTCTATAACCACCACAAGTTGAATCAAAATTTTCAAATGTTTTCAGGAGTGTAAAGAAGCATCGTGTTTACCTGTGCAGGCACTAGTCCTTTACAGATGACCATGCTGATGTCTCTATTCATCTATTTATTTAAATATTTATTTATTTAACTATTTTTAAGGTTTAAATCATGTTTTATGTAATATCATGTGTACCTTTACATTTTGCTTAATGTAACAATATATGTTCTTCATATTTAGTTAATATATTAACTTCCTTTTCATTAAATTTTTACTATACAAAATTTCTTGTGTTTGTTTATTTTTTAAGATTAAATACCAAGCCTGACTGTATAACCTGACTTAAAAATAGATGATTTAAGTAAGTTACCTATCATAATTTTATTCAAGTTATAGAAAAATATATTTTTCTATACCACGTTATATGTTGCCTTCAGGATATAAACTTGAACATAAAAAATACAGTTCTTGTTGTCTTGTATCTTTGATTTTTGTCAGGAAATGTTTCTAAAAACAATAATAATGCTGAATTAATATCAGTTATACTAACTGCTGTAATGTGAGGAAGTAAAAAAAAACAATGAATTCCTCTTAGCAGAACATAGATTAAGAAATGTCTGCAAGTAAAAGTAGAGATACTCTCTATAAACTGACTTTCAACATGTAATTGAAAATGTACATTGCAAGTCAGATATATGAGTTTGCAGTTTCCAAGGAATACGATATCTGGAAGTTCATAACTGGCAATGGAAAGGCCTAAAATGAAGGCTGTCATGTGGGGAGCAAGCGGAGAGGGAAAAAAAGACTTAAACTGGATTCTGAGGAACTTCCACTATTAAAGTGGGGGAACAGAAGACACACAAAGAAAACAGAGGTGGAATACCTTATCATTAGAAGGACGAGAGGGAATGATGATAAAATGTATTTAGAAGGAATGATGATAAATGGTGCTGGAAAAACTGGATAGCCATAGGCAGAAAATTGAAACTGGACCACTTCCTTACACCTTATACAAAAATTAACTCAAGATGGATTAAAGACTTAAATGTAAAACCCAAAACCATAAAAACCCTAGAAAAAATGTAGGACACAGGATGGGCAAAGATTTTATGAAGAAATCGACAAAAGCAACTGCAACAAAAGCTAAAACTGACAAATGGCATCTAATTAGAGAACGTATGCACGCAAAAGAAACTATCCATCATCAGAGTGAACAGGCAACCCACAGAATGGGAGAAAATCTTTGCAGCCTACCCAACTGACACAGGTCTAATATCCAGAATGTACAAAAAAGAGCTTAAATTTACAAAAACAAAGAGCCCCATCAAAAAGTGGGTGAAGGATATGAACAGACTCTTCTTAAAAGTAGACATTTATGAGGCCAATAATCATTTAAAAACTCAACATCGCTGATCATTAGAGAAATGCGAATCAAAACCACAATGAAATACCATCTCATGCCACTCAGAATGGCAATTATTGAAGAGTCAAAATCAACAGATGCTGGTGAAGCTGTAGAAAAATAGGAAATCTTTTACACTGTTGGAGGGAATGTAAATTACTTCAACCATTGTGGAAGACAGTGTGGCGATTCATCAAGGATCTAGAACCAGAAATACCATTTGACCCAGCAATCCCATTACTGACTATATACCCAAAGGAATATAAATCGTTCTGTTATAAAATACATGAACGTGTATGTGTATTGCAGCACTGTTTATAATGGCAAAGACACGAAACCAACCCAAATGCCCATCAATAATACACTGGATTAAAACAAATTGTGATTAAAACCTAGGTGACGAGTTGATAGGTGAGGCAAACCACCATGGCACATGTATACCTATGTAACAAATCTGCACGTTCTGCACACCTATCCCGGAACTTACAGCAAAATTTAAAAAGAAAGTTGGTCAAAATCAGCTGAAAATACAACATGAACCAAGGAAATTCAGAGAGCAGGAGATGGTTGCGTATAAATGAGGAAAAAAGGAGATTAATAATTATTAAGGAAATCCTAACACAAAATTTACACATCCGGTAAAAATAATAACTTATTTTACATTGAAATTCCATTCTGCTTGTATATACTGTTTTTAGGCAGCCTAAAACAACAGAATTCTGTCATGAATTCTAGAGAGGCTGAAAAATTCTCACCTCATTTCAAAGTCCCATTTATATTCAGTCAGGAATGGTGGCTTGTATAAATACCTGTCAGAGGAGCAGCATCTAGAGTGAAGGGCAGAATACACGTGTCGATGGTTAACTGATTCTGGCACCTGGAACATTTGTTTCCTGGCTCTCAGAATCCCAGAGTACACTCCCATATGAAGTTACTCTCCTAAACTTAAGTAAAATATATATCTTTGCTGGTTCTGAGAGCTGACACACTTTCCCTTTTCCTCCCTGCTTTTCTGTGTCCCGTTTTTCACTCCCATATCACATTAGTTTCCTTCCTCTTCCTCTAGAAATGCGCACTGTGCTCTCTTCTTCACTCATCATTAGCCTGCACTGCCTCTTCATACAGCTGTTTTCAGTTCTCTTGTGGGTTTTACCCATCACTTTCCCCTTAAGAGCACAAAATCACAAATTAAAGCAGAAGTTCAGTGAAAGTTCTAGGTTTTTCAGAAGCTCTTTTATAAAATACTCTTTTTCCTTTCTTATGATGACTATTTCTGTAAAAGACAGAATGTCGCTGTTACAATGACATAACAGTAGCTTAGCAAAAAAGGAAATAAAAGGCAGGTTCCATTTTACTTTGAGACTCTTACAACATTTACAGGGAAAGAGAGCCCCCAAAGTGCACCAAGACAGCAGCCAAGTCTGTGGAGAGCAGGCTGTTAATGCAGAAGTAGGCCTCCTGGCAGGAGATTTAATTTCACAGCTAAAAAGAGGCTCTTCCCAAGAAAGAATGGACCCTGGTAGTGGAATTAGCCCATTTCCTCAACTTCTGTATCGTGGAGAGAGAAAATACTCCCAGCTTCAGGCATGACATGTCATCTTGGGGCAATGGACAGCTATGGGGAAAGACAAAGGGTCAGGATGTGTCCCTTTCCTCCAGCCTGCCCAGCCTCCCCGGGGCCTCCTAACTTATCCCTTCCTCTATGGATTGTGCTACACTAGGAATTAGAACAGCCTGCCAATCTGGGTGTAGAACTTCAAGGGAATTTGACTTTTGGTCTCTCTATCAAGGTTGTGGTAGTTTTCATAGATGATATCCTGAAATATATTTTCCAAGTTGTTTGCTTTCTCCCTGTCTTTTTAAAGGATGCAAGTGATTCTTAGATTTGGCCTCTTTATACAATCCCCTATTTCTTGGAGGTTTTGTTCATTGCTCTTCATTCTTTTTTCTTTATTTTTGTCTGGTTGTCTTATTTCAGAGAGCCAGTCTTCAAGTCCTGAGATTCTGTCCTCAGCTTGGTCTATTCTGCTGTTAATACTTGTGATTGCATTGTGAAATTCTTGTAGTGTGTACATCTACTAGGTCCGTTAGGTTCTTTTTCATACTGGCTATTTTGTCTGTCAACTCCGCTCTCATTTGATTGTGATTCTTAGTTTCCTTGGTTTAGGTTTTATCATTTTCCTGAATCTCAATGAAATTCCTTTCTATCCTATTCTGAATTATATTTCTGTCATTTTAGCTAACTCATTATGGTTAAGAACCCTTGTTGGAGAACTAGTGAGATTATTTGGAGGACATCAGATACTCGGTCCATTTGAGATACTGTAGTTCTTCCATTGGTTCTTTCTCATCTCTACATATGGGAGTGTAGCTTGAGTTCAATCAATAAATAGACTTCGGTTCTGGATGTGTTCACAGGGCTGCAGCTTTGTGCAGGGTCTTTATTTGAAGTTGACTTGTCTTTGGTTAATGAGGGTGTGTTAGTGAGATTTTTTAGTGTTGAAGGTTTGGGCATGACCTAGTAGGTGAGTCTTAGGTATAGTGGTCAGTTGTCAGGCTCTTGCTCAGTCATGTGGCTCCCCCGTATTTCCTCACGTTTGCAGCCGTGCTCCTCAATGCTATGAAAGTGTGGGCTCCTCTCCCACTGGAGTGCTGACTGTAGCTTGTATCTTGGCACTCCCAGGCTGTACATAACAGCTCTGAGGTGATCTCAGGGTTAATGTTTTCTCCCCGACTTGGAGGCATTAAAGGAAGAGAACTTAGTAGTACTTGTAACTGAGGGTCTTTTGCTTGTCTCCTGGGGGCTCCACCAAAGAGATGCAGGTGAGCAATCACTCAGTGCATTCAGCTTCGGATGGGGGTGTCTGTGCTGTGGGCCCAAGACAGGGGTTCCCTGCCTGGTGATGTGAGGGGTGGGTGGTTGACCAATGGGAGACAGACTGGCCTCCTCTCTTGGGTTGACAGCAGCTTGTTGGAGGTATGCATAAGGCACTTGGGGTCTTGCTCCTTCATTAGTTCCAAGGTAGCTGGGGTAGTACCACTGCAGAGGCAATGTTAAGACAGGCTTTCTGTTACCCCTGGGGTCTCCACCTCCAAGAAATGTGAAGCCATGTTAATGGGAGTGTTTAGCCAGAGGAGTGGGGTGGCTGCACTGCTGGTGTAAGTATGGGACTTCACTTCTTGGGAAACAGGAGGTGGAAATCTTACCAGCAGGAGACTGTTCTCCTCACCATGTGGTAACTGCAGTGTGCTGGAAGTTCAGGTGACTGTGGCATGATGTAAGCTTTTAAACAAAGAGCTTCGGACTCTTTGTCTCCTCCCCAGACCCAAGGCAGCAGGGATAAAACTGCTGCTGTGGCAGTGGCAGAGGTAGGCTGGCTCTGGGAGCCTCTCCCCAGGGAAACTCTAGTCAACTACCAGTGGATATGCTCAGCCATGGGTAGGGTGACTGTTTTGCAGTCATGCGCTGGGGGTCCTGACTCCTGAAGAATAGGGATGGGGATTCTCAGGGAAGAGGGGCTGGACTCCTCTTTGTATAGTGGCTATGATGTGCTGGAGGTGAGAGTGTAGTGAATAGGCCCTTTGTTCCTTCCCCAGCCGGAGGGATGCTGGGGCTGTCCCACTGCAACGGTCATGATGGATGGATTGTGGGCTGACTGTGGGATTTCTTTCTTGGAGAAATGCTGGACTGCCTGATTGAGGAGATGAGGCAGGGGAAGGGTGCCTATGCTGGAGTCTCTGGTCAGGTGGCTCTGCCCACAGAGGAGAGGTGACAACCAGGAACTGCGTGGAGAACAGTGTGGCCACTCTTCTGTGAGGCAGTTGCTCTGTTTTGGGGATCTGGAGCAGCCGCTATTCCTTACAGACTTCCCAGAGCCTGGAGACAGCAAGGGCAAGAGCTGTGAGAAAGCAAAGATGGCAACCCACCATTTTCACTGGGAGCTCTGTTCCAGGGAATTGCAGAGCTGCTGTTGGCTCAATAGCCCCAGGTGGTAGCTGCAGACCCAGGCCTGGCAGACCCTCCCAGTGAGGAGAGAGGGGATCAGGGACCCACATAACACACAGTCTGGCCACTTTTCCATAGGGCTGCTGCAATATGCTGGGGGTCCAATCCAGACCATAGTCACCTCACATTTTTCAGTACCTGAAGATATCAACAGTGAAGGCTATGAAACAGTGAAGATGGGGACCTGCCCCTCCCCCTGGGAGCTCTGTTCCAGAGAGGTACAACCTGTTGCCTCCTGCAACATACATGCAGGAGGTGGCTGGAGACCCCGGTGGCGATATCCCACCCACTGAGGAGAAGCAGCATCAGGGAATCAGGTGAAGAAACAGTCTGGCCACCTTTTGGTAGAGCAGCTGTGCTGTGCTGGGGGTCTGCTACCACCCCCAGCACAAAAGAGTGGCATTTGCAAGAATGGCTAAGGCTGCTAAACAGCAACAATGGCAACCCACCCTTCCCTTTGGAAGCGCCATCCCAGGGATATTCGAAACTGCTGTCTGCAGAAAACAGCGGTGGAGGTGACTGGAGACCCCAGTGGGGAGATTCCACCCAGTGAAAAGAAGCAGGATTTGGGATCGACATGAATAAGCAATCTGACTGCTTCTCCGTAGAGCTGCTGGGCTGGGCTGGGTGGCTGCTCCAGTCCCTAGCTGCCTTGAACTCACTAGAACCCAAAGGCTCCAATAGCTAAGACTGTGAAATAGCAAAGATGGCAGCCCACCCACTGCCGCTGGGAGCTCCATGTCAGGGAGGTATGAGGCTGCTACCAGTGTCTGGCTGGATTCCCAAGCCAGTGGGTCTTACCCTGAGACAGGCAATGGAAGGTGGGCCTGCCACTTGTCACTGCCCAGCGCCCTGGATGAAACCCCTTTCCTACGGGTATGTACAGGCGTGTAGCGTCCTGCTTGGTTGGAGTTATAGCTTCTTTTGTGGGGAGGCCTGGGTATCTAAGGCTCCAGGGTACCCATGCATGCGAGAGCGGCTGCTCTGCTGGAACCCTACGTAGCCCTGGATGTCAGACTAAACGCCCTGGTAGAGTGGGTTCACTAGGAGATCTCCTGACCTGAGGATTGCAAAGATCTGTGGGAGAAGCGTGGGTCCCCAGGGCTGCTCACTTACTCACCACTTCCCTGGGCAGGAGAGGCTCCCCTGGCTCTGTGTCACTCCTGGGGGGGCAGTTGTCCTGCCTTACTTTGCTCTATTCTCCATGGGTCAAGTTGTTTTCTTGAGTCTCAATGTGTGTACGTGGTTGTTTCAGTTGAAGGTGCTGTATTTACTTGCCCCTTCCATTTCTCTCCATGAGAGTGGCACACACTAGCAGGTTCCAGTCGGCCATCTTGGCCAATCCTGAAAACTATTTGTTTCCAGCTATAAGCCATGCATATAAAAAGAATGCCTTGAGAGAACCTGGAGTGCGGGGTTCATCCCGACCCCAGCTCAGCTAGGCCAGCAGCACCCTCGTTTCCCAATGGTCCTACTGCTTGTTCTACTGGTGGCCCTGCTGCTTTGCCACTGTGGCCCTGTTGGATCTCTGGGCTTTGACCTGCCTCAGAACCGTGGCCTACTTAGCAGGAACACCTTGGCACTTCTGGGCCAAATGTGCAGAATCTCCACTTTCTTGTGTCTCAAGGACAGAAGAGACTTCAGGTTCCCCCTGGAGATGTGGATGGCAGCCAGTTGCAGAAGGCCCAGGCCCTGTCTGTCCTCCATGAGATGCTTCAGCAGATCTTCAGCCTCTTCCCCACAGAGCGCTCCTCTGCTGCCTGGAACATGACCCTCCTGGACCAGCTCCACACTGGATTTCATCAGCAGCTCGAATGCCTGGAGTCTTGCTTAGGGCAGGCAACAGGAGAGGAAGAATCTGTGGGGGTGTTTGGGGCCCTACACTGGCCTTGAGGAGGTACTTCCAGGGAATCCATGGGAATCCAGAGAATCTACCTGAAAGAGAAGAAATACAGTGACTGTGCTTGGGAGGTTGTCAGAGTGGAATCATGAAATCCTTCTCTTCATCAACAGACTTGCAAGGACTGAGAAGTAAGGATGAAGACCTGGGGTCTGCTTTAGTCTTTCTTATTTTCTTCCTCTTCCTAGCTGTGTGTTTATTTCTTCTTTTCTAGTTCCTTAACTTGTAAAGTTAGTTCATTGGTTTGAGGTCTTTCTTCTTTTTTAATATAAGCTTTTACAGCTTTCAATTTCCCCTTTAGCTCTGTTTTCACTGCATCACATACGTCTTGGTATGTTGTGTTTTCATTTTCACCTCTCTCAAGATATTTTCTAAGTTCCCCTCTGGTCATCTTTTTTTTTTTTGTACTATACTTTAAGTTCCAGGTTAAATGTGCTCAACGTGCAAGTTTGTTACATAGGTATACATGTGCCATGTTGGTTTGCTGCACCCATTAACTTGTCATTTACATTAGGTATTTCTCCTCTTACATGTTTATCACATTTAGACATACATTTGTTTTCTTTTTGTTCCCATAAATTAAGATGAAAATCAGACCACTTTTACCTTCTAGGAAAAGTTAAGTGAGAAATATAAATATATTTGCTGTTGTGAATGCCATATAGAACCATTGTATAGTCCATTTAAAAATGAGAATAAATGAGAAATTAGTAAAAACTCCACTTACTAAATAGCTGATTTGCTAAAGCAGACCTCATTCCATTTAAGGACTCAGTATCTATAGGGCCTACTTATACAAAAAAAAACTTCTTACACAAAAAAAAAAAAAAAAAAGTTAGAGCCAGAGTTCAGGATCATGCTGAAAGTTATTTCTTTGCATAATAATATTCAATATTTATAAATTTATGAATTTAGAACAAAGATGGTCTTTTTTATTTGATAAGAATTGACTTGGATAGGAACTTCTGAAAACCTTTAGGGAATATGAACTTCAATGTAAAATGCCAAAAATGATTTAAATCATACTATTTTCTAAGTCATATATGTTTATTGGATTGATACTTCTTTTAAGGGTACAAAAATTAGTTCTCGTAGTGTAAATGAATCTAACATATTACAATAGTTTCTGACTTTCCAACAACTCTATCCAACAAAATTTTATTGCTTAATATACATATTTCTCATTGGGTTTTTTTGTGTATGATATGAGAAGCACTGGTATTGAGTTCATGAAGATAAACAAAATATTTGTAAGACCAATGTTACAAACCTATAGCAAATAGATGACTGTGATTGGAGGACTTTTTGTCCATTTTTTGCTGGATCTTAAAGTCTTATCACAGTATGTGGCTTTAACCTGCATATCTTTGGGCTGCCATTGACTATCTTATAGTTATTAGTTATGTTTGATCCTCAGTTCTTCAGGATGTTTGGTAGACTTTGAGAATTCAATCCAAATAGCTTACATTATATGTTTTATTTCTACTAAAGTTATTCAATACATCAGTACTTGTGTCAAGTGCTGAAAAGAAAAAAGTTTTGGCAATATCTGGATGAATACTGCAGCTGGTGAATTTACAAATTATTTTCTCATATAAAGCAAAATTCAAAGCTTCATACACTAAGAGAAAAATTTTAAAAAATTATTGATTCATATTTTTAGGAGTTTTGAATGATTAGGTAGGTAACTACATTCATATTATTAATGTGTATTATATAGATTTTTATTTTGCATATGTACTTTGATACAAAATTTGCATGAACAAATTATACTAAAAGTTATTCCACAAATATACTTATCAAATTAAAATAAATGTCAATAGCTTTTAAACTTAGATTTTAGTTTAACTTTTCTGTAATTCTTAACTTTACTTTGAATAAAAAGAGCAAACTTTGTAGTTTTTATCTGTGAAGTAGAGGTATACGTAATATACATAAATAGATATGCCAAATCTGTGTTACTAAAATTTCATGAAGATTTCAATTAAAAAAAAACCATAAAAGGCTTTGAGTGCAGGTGAAAAATAGGCAATGATGAAAAAAAATGAAAAACTTTTTAAACACATGGAGAGAGTACATAAAGAAAGCAAAAACAGAGATAGAAAGTAAAACTAGGGCATTTAGAAAATGGAAATTAGTATGTTCACTATTTAAGACCTATGCACAGAGCAAAGTCTTCAGAAAACCTAGAGGCCGAAGTTCAAGGTTATCCATCTCAAGTAGCCTAGCAATATTTGCAACATCCCAATGGCCCTGTCCTTTTCTTTACTTATGGCCGTGCTGGTGCTCAGCTACAAATCCATCTGTTCTCTAGGCTGTGATCTGCCTCAGACCCACAGCCTGGGTAATAGGAGGGCCTTGATACTCCTGGGACAAATGGGAAGAATCTCTCCTTTCTCCTGCCTGAAGGACAGACATGATTTCCGAATCCCCCAGGAGGAGTTTGATGGCAACCAGTTCCAGAAGGCTCAAGCCATCTCTGTCCTCCATGAGATGATCCAGCAGACCTTCAATCTCTTCAGCACAGAGGACTCATCTGCTGCTTGGGAACAGAGCCTCCTAGAAAAATTTTCCACTGAACTTTACCAGCAACTGAATGACCTGGAAGCATGTGTGATACAGGAGGTTGGGGTGGAAGAGACTCCCCTGATGAATGAGGACTCCATCCTGGCTGTGAGGAAATACTTCCAAAGAATCACTCTTTATCTAATAGAGAGGAAATACAGCCCTTGTGCCTGGGAGGTTGTCAGAGCAGAAATCATGAGATCCCTCTCGTTTTCAACAAACTTGCAAAAAAGATTAAGGAGGAAGGATTGAAAACTGGTTCAACATGGCAATGATCCTGATTGACTAATACATTATCTCACACTTTCATGAGTTCTTCCATTTCAAAGACTCACTTCTATAACCACGACGCGTTGAATCAAAATTTTCAAATGTTTTCAGCAGTGTAAAGAAGTGTCGTGTATACCTGTGCAGGCACTAGTCCTTTACAGATGACCATTCTGATGTCTCTGTTCATCTTTTGTTTAAATATTTATTTAATTATTTTTAAAATTTATGTAATATCATGAGTCGCTTTACATTGTGGTTAATGTAACAATATATGTTCTTCATATTTAGCCAATATATTAATTTCCTTTTTCATTAAATTTTTACTATACAAAATTTCTTGTGTTTGTTTATTCTTTAAGATAAAATGCCAAGGCTGACTTTACAACCTGACTTAAAAATAGATGATTTAATTATGTTACCTATCATAATTTTATTCAAGTTATAAAAATATATTTTTTTCTGTACCTGGTTATATGTTGCCTTCAGGATATAAACGTGAACATAAAATATACAGTCCCTGTTCTCTTGTATCTTTGATTTTTTCAGGAAAGAAATCTAAAAACAATAATAATGCTGAATTAATATCAGTGATGCTAACTGCTATAATGTGAGGAAGTAAAAAAACAATGAATTCCTCTTAGCAGAATGTAGATTGAGACATATCTGGAAATAAAAGCAGAGATATTCTCTGTAAACTGACTTCAACATGTAATTGAAAATGTACATTGCAAGTCAGATATGTGAATTTGCAGTTTCCAAGGAATACGATATCTGGAAGTTCATAACTGGCAATGGAAAGGACGCAAATGAAGGCTGTCATATGGGGAGCAAGTGGAGAGGGAAAAAAAGACTTAAACTGGATTCTGAGGATCTTCCACCATTAAAGTGTGGGAACAGAAGAGACACAAAGGAAACAGAGGTGGAATACCTTAACATTAGAAGGACAAGAGGGAATGGTGATAAAAGTGTATTTAGAAAATAAATGTGCTTAGAAAAGGAATCAATAAACTTATGGAAAATGTGAATTAAAACTGAGCACTACAGCAAGAAAATAGATGGCAATGCAGAGCTTACTGAGAGCTGGATTCATAGAATTAATCAGCAGAAGCCATACTGGGGTAGACAGAAGAGTGACTCAGAAAAGAGAAATCAAGATAACACATACAGAAAATGTGAGAAAACTGCCTTTGCAATGGTGGCAAGTAATAAGTTTGGACCCCCAAAAATGTGGATTATCTTTTATCTGCATAGTGTTTCCTTTTTGAAAATATATGTCACTGAATAAATTTCATAATTGTGATGCATTGGTGAATCATATTAATACATTTAATAATTTATATATTTAAAGCATAAAATGTAAAATTATTTACAATAGTAATTGATCATTATTTTGATTAATACTCTGTTAAATGTCAGTAAAAACTGACACATTTTTTCATAAAATAAAATTGGAAACTGGAAAAGATAATCTCTTTCTGAGTACTTTAGGAATGGGGAAAGGATTCCCTCTTTAATAAATGGTGCTGGGAAAACTGGATAGCCATATGCAGAGAACTGAAACTGGACCCCTTCCTTACACCTTATACAAAAATTAATGCAAGATGGATTAAACACTTAAATGTAAAACCCAAAACCATAAAAACCCTAGAAGAAAACGTAGGCAATAGCATTCAGGACATCGGCATGGGCAAAGATTTTATGATGAAATCGCCAAAAGCAACTGCAACCAAAGCTAAAATTGACAAATGGCATCTAATTAAAGAGATTCTGCACAGCAAAAGAAACTGTCAATCATCATGGTGAACAGGCAACTTACAGAATGGGAGAAAATTTTTACAGCCTACCCAATTGACAGAGGTCTAATATCCAGAATGGACAAAGAACTTAAACAAATTCACAAAAAAAAAAAAGCCCCATCGAAAAGTGGGCAAAGGACATGAACAGACACTTCTCAAAAGTAGACATTTATGTGGCCAATAAACATGAAAAAAGCTCAACATCACTGATCATTAGAGAAATGAAAATCAAAACTGCAATGAGATGCCATCTCATGTCACTCAGAATGGCAATTACTAAAAAGTCAGGAAACAACAGATGCTGGTGAAGCTGTGGAAAAATAGGAAAGCTTTTACACTGTTGGTAGGAATGTAAATTACTTCAACCATTGTGGAAGACAGTGTGGCGATTCATCAAGGATTTAGAACCAGAAATACCATTAGACCCAGCAATCCTATTCCTGAGTATATACCCAAAGGAATACAAATAATTCTATTATAAAAATACATGGACGTGTATGTTTATTGCAACACTATTTACAATAGCAAAGACAGGAAACCAACCCAAATGCCCATCAATGATAGAATGGATTAAAAAAATTGTGCTTCAATTTTTTTAATCCTACTGAAGCTGTAGGATTATTTGGGGGACAGAGACTATTATTCCCTACTTTTGGGAATAGTAAATTGTCTGATTCCTACAAACTGTGTGAATTGGAGAGTTTGAATTTCAATATGTGACTCTGTATTTGACACCAGGCTATTTATTTTCTATTATAACAAAGTAGAGGGAGGATTAGAGATGAAGTCATAAATAGTTAATATAGTGCCAGGCAAAGGATGATATTATGCTGCTCTTGCAACTTGAATCCCCAGATCTACATGCACCTTAAAAAACTAGAACCCCAGTGGTTTTAGCAGTAAACTAAATGGGCATTACTGATTTTCACTAAAAGCTGAATGGAAATTTTTGTCATTGTCTATTACAATCCCAAATATGGCCATGATGAAGAAAAACAGCTTCATTCTTGAACACCTTCCATTAGAAGAAAAAATGAGAAACTAGGAAAAACTCCACCTACTAAATAGCTGATTTGCTAAAACAGACCTCATTCCATTTAAGGACTCAGTATCTATAGGGCCGAGGCAAACTAACTTTGCCAGAGTTCAGGACCACTCTGAAAGTTAATTCCTTACATAATAATATTCAATATTTATAAATTTATGAATTTAGAACAAAGATGGTCTTTTATATTTGATAAGAATTGACTTGGATAGGAACTTCTGAAAACCTTTAGGGAATATGAACTTCAATGAAAAATGCCAAAAATGATTTAATTGATAATATTTTCTAAGTCACATATGTTTATTGGAATGATACTTCTTCTAAGGGTACAAAAATTAGTTCTCGTAGTGTAAACAAATCTGACATATTGCAAAAGTTTGTAACTCTCCAAGAACTCTATCCAACAAAATTTCATTGCTTAATATACATCTTTCTCGTTGGGTTTTCTTGTGTATGATATGAGAAGCACTGGTATTGAGTTCATGATGATAAACAAAATATTTGCAAGATCAACGTTACAAACCTATGGCAAATAGATGACTGTGATTGGAGGACTTTTTGTCAATTTTTTTGCTGGATCTTGAAGTCTTACCACAATATGTGGCTTTAACCTGCCTACCTTTGTGCTGCCATTGACTATCTTATGGTTATTAGTTATGTTTGATCCTCAGTTCTTCAGGATGTTTTGTACACTTTGAGAATTCAATGCAAATAGCCTATATTATATGATTTATTTCTACAAAAGTTATTCAACACATCAGTACTTATGTCAAGTGCTGAAAAGAAAAAAGTGTTGGCAATATCTGGATGAATACTGCAGCTAGTGAAGTTTACAAATTATTTTCTCATATAAAGCAAAATTCAAAGCTTCATATACTATGAGAAAATTTTTTTAAAATTGATTCATATTTCTAGCAGTTTTGAATGATTAGGTATGTAATTACATTCATATTAATGTGTATTATACAGATTTTTATTTTGCATATGTAATTTGAAACAACAAAATTTACATGAACAAATTACATTAAAAGTTATTCCACAAATATACTTATCTAATTAAACTTAGATTTTAATAGCTTTTAAACTTAGATTTTAGTTTAACTTTTCTGTCATTCTTAACTTACTTTGAATAAAAAGAGCAAACTTCATACTTTTTATCTGTGAAGTAGAGGTATATGTAGAATACCTAAATAGATATGCCAAATCTGTGTTATTAAAATTTCATGAACATTTCAATTAGAAAAAAATACCATAAAAGGCTTTGAGTGCAGGGGAAAAACAGGCAATGATGAAAAAAAAAATGAAAAACGTCTTTAAACACATGGAGAGAGTACATAAAGAAAGCAAAAACAGAGATAGAAAGTAAAACTAGGGCATTTAGAAAATGGAAATTAGTATGTTCACTATTTAAGACCTATGCACAGAGCAAAGTCTCCAGAAAACCTAGAGGCCACGGTTCAAGTTACCCACCTCAGGTAGCCTAGTGATATTTGCAAAATCCCAATGGCCCGGTCCTTTTCTTTACTGATGGTCGTGCTGGTACTCAGCTACAAATCCATCTGCTCTCTGGGCTGTGATCTGCCTCAGACCCACAGCCTGCGTAATAGGAGGGCCTTGATACTCCTGGCACAAATGGGAAGAATCTCTCCTTTCTCCTGCTTGAAGGACAGACATGAATTCAGATTCCCAGAGGAGGAGTTTGATGGCCACCAGTTCCAGAAGACTCAAGCCATCTCTGTCCTCCATGAGATGATCCAGCAGACCTTCAATCTCTTCAGCACAGAGGACTCATCTGCTGCTTGGGAACAGAGCCTCCTAGAAAAATTTTCCACTGAACTTTACCAGCAACTGAATGACCTGGAAGCATGTGTGATACAGGAGGTTGGGGTGGAAGAGACTCCCCTGATGAATGAGGACTTCATCCTGGCTGTGAGGAAATACTTCCAAAGAATCACTCTTTATCTAATGGAGAAGAAATACAGCCCTTGTGCCTGGGAGGTTGTCAGAGCAGAAATCATGAGATCCTTCTCTTTTTCAACAAACTTGAAAAAAGGATTAAGGAGGAAGGATTGAAAACTGGTTCATCATGGAAATGATTCTCATTGACTAATGCATCATCTCACACTTTCATGAGTTCTTCCATTTCAAAGACTCACTTCTATAACCACCACAAGTTGAATCAAAATTTCCAAATGTTTTCAGGAGTGTTAAGAAGCATCGTGTTTACCTGTGCAGGCACTAGTCCTTTACAGATGACCATTCTGATGTCTCCTTTCATCTATTTATTTAAATATTTATTTATTTAACTATTTTTATTATTTAAATTATTTTTTATGTAATATCATATGTACCTTTACATTGTGGTTAATGTAACAAATATGTTCTTCATATTTAGCCAATATATTAATTTCCTTTTTCATTAAATTTTTACTATACAAAATTTCTTGTGTTTGTTTATTTTTTAAGATTAAATGCCAAGCCTGACTGTATAACCTGACTTAAAAATAGATGATTTAAGTAAGTTACCTATCATAATTTTATTCAAGTTATAGAAAAATATATTTTTCTATACCAGGTTATCTGTTGCCTTCATGATATAAACGTGAACATAAAAAATACAGTTCTTGTTCTCTTGTATCTTTGATTTTTGTCAGGAAAGAAATCTAAAAACAATAATAATGCTGAATTAATATCGGTTATACTAACTGCTGTAATGTGAGGAAGTAAAAAAAAATGAATTCCTCTTAGCAGAACATAGATTAAGAAATGTCTGCAAATAAAAGTAGAGGTACTCTCTATAAACTGACTTTCAACATGTAATTGAAAATGTACATTGCAAGTCAGATATATGAGTTTGCAGTTTCCAAGGAATATGATATCTGGAAGTTCATAACTAAGCAATGGAAACGCCAAAAATGAAGGCTGTCATGTGGGGAGCAAGCAGAGAGGGAAAAAAGACTTAAACTGGATTCTGAGGAACTTCCACTATTAAAGTGGGGGAACAGAAGACACACAAAGAAAACAGAGGTGGAATACCTTATCATTAGAAGGACGAGAGGGAATGATGATAAAAGTGTATTTGGAGGGAATGATGATAAATGGTGCTGGGAAAACTGGATAGCCATAGGCAGAAAATTGAACCTGGACCACTTCCTTACACCTTATACAAAAATTAACTCAAGATGGATTAAAGACTTAAATGTAAAACCAAAAACCATAAAAACCCTAGAAGAAAACATAGGACACAGGATGGGCAAAGATTTTATGAAGAAATCGCCAAAAGCAACTGCAACAAAAGTTAAATTGACAAATGGCATTTAATTAGAGAACTTCTGCACAGCAAAAGAAACTACCTATCATCAGAGTGAACAGGCAACCCATAGAATGGGAGAAAATTTTTGCAGTCTACCCAACTCACACAGGTCTAATATCCAGAATGTACAAAGAACTTAAACAAATTTACAAAAACAAAAAGCCCCATCAAAAAGTGGGTGAAGGATATGAACAGAATCTTCTCGAAAGTAGACATTTATGCGACCAATAATCATTAAAAAACTCAACATCACTGATCATTAGAGAAATGCAAATCAAAACCACAATGAAATACCATCTCATGCCACTCAGAATGGCAATTATTAAAGAGTCAAAATCAACAGATGCTGGTGAAGCTGTGGAAAAATAGGAAATCTTTTACACTGTTTGTGGGAATGTAAATTACTTCAACCATTGTGGAAGACAGTGTGGCGATTCATCAAGGTTCTAGAACCAGAAATACCATTTGACCCAGCAATCTCATTACTGAGTATATACCCAAAGGAATATAAATCGTTCTGTTATAAAATACACGCACGTGTATGTTTATTGCAGCATGTTTACAATAGCAAAGACACAAAACCAACCCAAGTGCCCATCAATGATAGACTGGATTAAAAAAAATTGTACTTAAAACCTAGGTGACGGATGAGAGTGACCTTGAACTGGCAAGACCAGGTCAGTGCAAGTGACATTGGTTTCTTAGATACTCCTCAGCTCCGTGTGGGTCTCCCGATTCTCAGTTCTGCCTGCTGACTTGTTCATTCATTTCCATGGCAGGGCTGCAGTTGGGTCGTGCCTGGTTTTTTGGCCTCCCAATGTCTCTTAATTAACTTAATATTACTTGGTAATACTAAAGCAATGATGAATTATGTGCATGGAGTCATTAATCTTCTGTGTAAATATCTCAAACACTGTGTCTTAATTATAGACTCCGTACTTAAAATATTTTAAAGCTTCTATTCATATATTTACTTAGAAAGACAGATCCGTGTTTCTATGGTGTCAGCACACTCAGTGGGAAAATGGTGTCCATACATTGGAGACGTTCGCATGAAAGAGTAGTTTCTCTGATGAGATGAATGCTGCCTGTTCTCCACTGACCCACAGACATTCTTAGCCTTAGCAATGAAGGGAGTTGGGGTAAGATAGCGCCTGGGGATCTGGGCCCTCTTTCGCCTTCTGACTGTTCTGTCTGTAGCAAACCATAGAGAGTTTTTCTGGACAGTCCAGGAAGGTGTAAGAGCAGCTTTAGATGGGGCAGCTATCTCCCTCATAGCAGAGCCAGCCCTAAGCCAGGGCAGGGCCTCCTCCGGGAAGAATTGTGCACCTCCTTCAGGGTCATCAGGGAGTTAGGTACATTGTGAGTATACTAACTTAGCATTTAGCAGTTACTCTGCACCGGGCACCATGCTGTTCCTGGGTGGTGGCTGGTGGCTGGGGCAGGGCAGTGAGTTTACATAGACTAGACACAGCAGTAATAGCTAATATTCCATGAGAACTTGCCATGGGGTTTGCCGCACGAAGACACTGGCTCTTGTTTACATAGGCTGCCTCATTTGCACTTACCAACAAACATGGGTAGCTTCTGGTGTCTGTATTCTCATTTTACAATGAAGAAGCTGCAGTGAGGAGGGGTAAAGTCACTTGCCCAAGACTGCATAGCTAATAAGTGGCAGAGCCAGAACCTGAGCCCACTGTCCAAGGCGAAGGTGCTTCCTAGCATGGTGGCCACCTCTAGGTAGGAGCTCAGCTGTGCCACCCACTGAGACAGATACACTCCCAACAGCTGTGATTGGGTAGGGTGGCTCCACCTCCCAGATGGGTCCTCAGTTTGCTGAGTGTTGGTTGGATAACTTGACTAACTTTCTCAGCAGTCCTTTGAGCAGCTGAGGTCATACTTAGATGTGACTTACGTGAGACAACAGAGGAGTCCAGGTGAGAGCTGGCAGGCATGGGACCAGGGTGGAGGCGTAGTTTTCCCCACCAGGTGGGTGGAGCCAGGTCTCTTCAAACCAGAGGGCACAATTGCTGTTTTTATTGTTCACGTTGACTGTAGCAAAAATAACTCAGGGCCTGTGAACCTCATCTGTGAAATGTAAATAACCCCTTCTCTGCCTATTTTTTTTTTTTTTTTGAGACGGAGTCTTGCTCTGTTGTGTAGGCTAGAGTTCAAGACCAGCCTGACCAACATGGTGAAACCCTGTCTCTACTAAAAGTACAAAAATTCTCCACCTATCTTACTCTGTAGCTTGGGAAATCACCGAGATAAGAGGTTGGAAGGTGATAACTGTCCAGGCATGCAAGTAGTATGTTTATAGGAATGTGACTGAGCAACAGGGAAATGAGATTTCTCTCTCTCTGTCTCTTTTTTTTTTTTTTTTTTGGAGATAGAGTCTCGCTCTGTCAACCAGGCTACAGTGCAGTGGCGCAATCTCGGCTCACTGCAACTTCCGCCTCCTGGGTTCCAGTGATTCTCCTGTGTCAGCCTCCTGAGTAGATGGGACTACAGGTGCATGCCACCATGCCCAGCTAATTTTTTGTATTTTTAGTAGAGATGGGGTTTCACCATGTTAGCTAGGATGGCCTCCATCTCCTGACCTCATGATCCACCCACCTCGGCCTCCCAAAGTGGTGGGATTACAGGTGTGAGCCACCGCGCCCGGCCGACATTTCATTTTTAACTCGGACGTCAATCAACGTAGCCATATACAGATTTGAAAAGCTTTTCTTTATCTCTGTTAATGGAGAAAAGGAATGACTGCTTTCTTGTCAGAATGAAAGTTTTCAGTTTTAAACTTAACCAGTTCCTGCCATTTTGAAATGTTCACTCATTTCTTACTTTTTTTTTTTCTTTTTTTTTTTTTGACACAGAGTCTCGCTCTGTCACCCAGGCTGGAGTGCAGCGGTGCTATCTCGGCTCACTGCAACCTCTGCCTCCCGGATTCAAACAATTCTCATGCCTCAGCCTCCCGAGTAGCTGGGATTACAGACTCGTGCCACCATACTCAGCTAATTTTTGTACTTTTAGTAGAGACGGGTTTCACCGTGTTTGGCCAGGCTGAGAGGCTAGAGAGAGGGCTCCGTCACCATTTCCCAAGCTCAGAATCCACATAGGCCTTTCCACAGGCAATTCCACTCCCAGGGAACCTGGTGGCTCCAAGAGGAGTTACTAGGGAATTATATTTAGTTAGGTGGCAAGGGCTGGTTAATTATCTCTACTCTTCTTTTGAAAGTAAATTTTATTTTTTTTAATTGCTTTCCTTGCTCCAAAAAAAAACCTTAGAGCAGCAAGAATATAAAAATTCAAAGTAGGTGAGATAGGGAACGTTACATGGCTGTTTAAAAGGAGAAGGCAGATCCACATGTGAGGGCAAGAAAGAGTGCCTACGATCTTATTATTCCAGATTATTACAGTGTGTAGTAAGAATACTGCAGTGGTATGAACATTACGGGCCCCTGGAATCTGAAAAGATGGTGACCTCTTCATAAGCCAGTCTGCAGGGCAAGCACTCAGAAGCAAAGAGGCTTGCCTCAGAGAAAAAGATCCTTGGGACTTTCCAACTCTACTTTTAGGTAGCTCTGATTTGTGTGAGCTTTTCCCATTGAGCATCTTTTACTTTAAAATTAGCTGAAACTTTAAATGTTTAGGACAGAATAAAGTAAAATGAAAAAAAAGAGGGAGGAAAATAAAATAAAAATAAGACCATTATAAAGATGTACCCTATGAAGACATGTCTTTATTAATAAGTCTGAGATTTTTGATAGTTAATGTAAAAGAAGGAAATCAGATCAGTGACACAAGTCACCTTAACCGTTGAATGAAACTGTTTCTTGGCACAGAACAAAATATTTCTCCAGAGGAATTGCACAGAGAAAAGAATCAGTTGACAATAGGTATTAAGCATCAATTATAGGAAATAGAATAACATGGAATTCCTGTCTTCATGAAATGTATACTGTAATGGAGGAGAAAGGATGGTTAAAATAAAATAAATACGAAATTAATTCAAAAAAAAAAACCTAGGTGACGAGTTGATAGGTGAGGCAAACCACCATGGCACACGTATACCTATGAAACAAATCTGCACGTTCTGCACATGTATCCCGGAACTTAAAGCAAAATTTAAAAAGAAAGAAAGTTGGTCAAAATCAGCCGAAAATACAACATGAACCAAGGAAATTCAGAGAGCAGGAGATGGTTGTGTATAAATGAGGAAAAAAGGAGATTAATAATTATTAAGGAAATCCTCACACAAAATTTACACATCTGGTATAAATAATAATAACTTATTTTACATTGAAATTCCATACTGCTTGTATATATTGTTTTTAGGCAGCGTAAAACAACAGAATTCTGTCATGAATTGTAGAGAGGCTGAAAAATTGTCTCAACTCATTTCAAAGTCCTACTTAGTCTGGAATGGTGGCTTGTATAAATACCTGTCAGAGGAGCAGCATCTAGATTGAAGGGCAGAATACACGTGTCGATGGTTAACTGATTCTGGCACCTGGAACATTTGTTTCCTGGCTCTCAGAATTCCAGAGTACACTCCCATATGAAGTTAGTCTCCTAAACTTAAGTAAAGTATACATCTTTGCTGGTTCTGAGAGCTGACACACTTTCCCCTCTCCTCCCTGCTTTTCTGTATCCCATTTTCCACTCCCATATCACACTAGTTTCCTTCCTCTTCCTCTAGAAATGCGCACTGTGCTCTCTTCTTCACTCATCATTAGCCTGCACTGCCTCTTCATACAGCTGTTTTCAGTTCTCTTGTGGGTTTTACCCATCACTTTCCCCTTAAGAGCACAAAATCACAAATTAAAGCAGAAGTTCAGTGAAAGTTCTAGGTTTTTCAGAAGCTCTTTTATAAAATACTCTTTTTCCTTTCTTATGATGAATATTTCTGTAAAAGAGGGAATGTCGCTGTTACAGTGACATAACAGTAGCTTAGCAAAAAAGGAAATAAAAGGCAGGTTCCGTTTTACTTTGAGACTCTTACAACATTTACAGGGAAAGAGAGCCCCCAACTGGTCAAAGTGCACCAAGACAGCAGCCAAGTCTGTGGAGAGCAGGTTATTAATGCAGAAGCAGGCCTCCTGGCAGGAGATTTATCTTCATAGCTAAAAAGAGGCTCTTCCCAAGAAAGAACTGACCCCAGTACTGGAATTAGCCCATTTCCTTAACTTCTGTATCATGGAGAGAGAAAATACTCCCAGCTTCAGGCATGACATGTCGTCTTGGGGCAATGGACAGCTATGGGGAAAGACAAAGGGTCAGGATGTGTCCCTTTCCTCCAGCCTGCCCAGCCTCCCCGGGGCCTCCTAACTTATCCCTTCCTCTATGGATTGTGCTAGACTAGGAATGAGAACAGCCGGTCAATCTGGGTGTAGAACTTCAAGGGAATTTGACTTTTGGTCTCTCTATCAAGGTTGTGGTAGTTTTCATAGATGATATCCTGAAATATATTTTCCAAGTTGTTTGCTTTCTCCGTCTTTTTAAAGGATGCAAGTGACTCTTAGATTTGGCCTCTTTATACAATCCCCTATTTCTTGGAGCTTTTGTTCATTGCTCTTCATTCTTTTTTCTTTATGTTTGTCTGACTGTCTTATTTCAGAGAGCCAGTCTTCAAGTCCTGAGATTCTGTCCTCAGCTTGGTCTATTCTGCTGTTAATACTTGTGATTGCATTGTGAAATTCTTCTAGTAGTGTACCTATACTAGGTCCGTTAGGTTCTTTTTCATACTGGCTATTTTGTCAGTCCACTCCTCTCTCCTTTGATCGTGATTCTTAGTTTCCTTGGTTTAGGTTTTATCATTTTCCTGAATCTCAATGAAATTCCTTTCTATCCTATTCTGAATTATGTTTCTGTCATTTTAGCTAACTCATTATGGTTAAGTACCCCTGTTGGAGAACTAGTGAGATTATTTGGAGGACATAAGATACTTTGTCCTTTTGAGATACTATAGTTCTTCAGTTGGTTCTTTCTCGTCTCTACATATGGGAATGTAGCTTGAGTTCAATCAATAAGTAGACTTCAGTTCTGGATGTGTTCACAGGGCTGCAGCTTTGTGCAGGGTCTTTATTTGAAGCTGACTTGTCTTTGGTTTAATGAGGGTATGTTAGTGACATTTTTTAGTGTCATGCTTTGGGCATGACCTAGTAGGTGACTCTTAGTTGGAGTGGTCAGTTGTAAGGCTCTTGCTCAGTCACGTGGCTCCCCTGTATTTCCCCACGTTTGCAGCCGTGCTCCTTCTCAATGCTATGAAAGTGTGGGCTCCTCTCCCACTGGAGTGCTGACTGTAGCTTGTATCTTGGCACTCCCAGGCTGTACATAACAGCTCTGAGGTGATCTCAGGGTTAATGTTTTCTCCCCGACTTGGAGGCATTGAAGGAAGGGACCTTAGTAGTAGTTGTAACTGAGGGTCTTTTGCTTGTCCCCTGGGGGCTCCACCCCAGAGATGCAGGTGAGCAATCACTCAGAGCATTCAGCTTCGGATGGGGGTGTCTGTGCTGTGGGCCCAAGACAGGGGTTCCCTGCCTGGTGATGTGAGGGGTGGATGGTTGACCAATGGCAGACAGACTGGCCTCCTCTCTTGGGTTGACAGCAGCTTGTTGGAGGTATGCATAAGGCACTTGGGGTCTTGCTCCTTCATTAGTTCCAAGGTAGCTGGGGTAGTACCACTGCAGAGGCAGTGTTAGACAGGCTTTCTGTTACCCCTGGGGTCTCCACCTCCTAGAAATGTGAAGTCATGTTAATGGGAGTGTTTAGCCAGAGGAGTGGGGTGGCTGCACTGCTGGTGTAAGTATGGGACTTCACTTCTTGGGAAACAGGAGGTGGAAAACTTACCAGGAGGAGACTGTTCTCCTCACTATGTGGTAACTGCAGTGTGCTGGAAGTTCAGGTGACTGTGGCATGATGTAAGCTTGTAAACAAAGAGCTTCAGACTCTTTGTCTCTTCCCCAGACCCAAGGCAGCAAGGATAAAACTGCTGCTGTGGCAGTGGCAGAGGTAGGATGGTTGTGGGAGCCTCTCCCCAGGGAAACTCTAGTCAACTACCAGTGGATATGCTCAGCCATGGGTAGGGTGACTGTTCTGCAGTCATGGGCAGGGGGCCCTGCCTCCTGAAGAATAGGGACAGGGATTCTCAGGGAAGAGGGGCTGGACTCCTCTTCATACAGTGGTGATGATGTGCTGGAGGTGCCAGTGTAGTGAATAGGCCTTTGTTCCTTCCCCAGCCGGAGGGCTGCTGGGGCTGTCCCACTGCAACGGTCATGGTGGATGGGTTATGGGTTGACTGTGGGATTTCTTTCTTGGAGAAATGCTGGACTGCCTGATTGAGGAGACGAGGCAAGGGAAGAATGCCTGTGCTGGAGTCTCTGGTCAGGTGGCTCTGCCCACAGAGGAGAGGTGACAACCAGGAACTGCGTGGAGAACAGTGTGGCCACTCTTCTGTGAGGCAGTTGCTCTGTTTTGGGGATCTGGAGCAGCCGCTGTTCCCTACAGACTCCCCAGAGCCTGGAGACAGCAAGGGCAAGAGCTGTGAGAAAGCAAAGATAGCAACCCACCCTTCTCACTGGGAGCTCTGTTCCAGGGAGATGCAGAGCTGCCATTGGCTCAATAGCCCCAGCTGGTAGCTGCAGACCCAGGCCTGGCAGACCCACCCAGTGAGCAGATAGGGGATTAGGGACCCACATAACACACAGTCTGGCCACTTTTCCATAGGGCTGCTGCAATATGCTGGGGGTCCAATCCAGACCATAGTCACCTCACATTTTTCAGTACCTGAAGATATCAACAGTGAAGGCTATGAAACAGTGAAGATGGGGACCTGCCCCTCCCTCTGGGAGCTCTGTTCCAGAGAGGTACAACCTGTTGCCTCCGGCAACATACATGCAGGAGGTGGCTGGAGACCCCGGTGGGGATATCCCTCCCACTGAGGAGAAGCAGCATCAGGGAATCAGGTGAAGAAACAGTCTGGCCACTTTTTGGTAGAGCAGCTGTGCTGTGCTGGGGGTCTGCTACCACCCCCAGCACAAAAGAATGGCATTTGCAAGAATGGCTAAGGCTGCTAAACAGCAACAATGGCAACCTACCATTCCCTTTGGGAGCGCCATCCCAGGGATATTCGAAACTGCTGGCCACTAGAAAACAGTGGTGGAGGTGACTGGAGACCCCAGTGGGGAGATTTCACCCGGTGAAAAGAAACAGGATTTGGGATCGACATGAATAACCAATCTGACTGCTTCCCCGTAGAGCTGCTGGACTGTGCTGGGTGGCTGCTCCAGTCCCTAGCTGCCTTGGACTCCCGAGAACCCAAAGGCTCCAATAGCTAAGATTGTGAAAGAGCAAAGATGGCAGCCCACCCCCTGCCGCAGGGAGCTCCATGTCAGGGAGGTATGAGGCTGCTACCAGTGTCTGGCTGGATTCCCAAGTCAGTGGGTCTTACCCTGAGACAGGCCATGGAAGGTGGGCCTGTCACTTGTCACTGCCCAGCGCCCTGGATGAAACCCCTTTCCTAGGGGTATGTATAGGGGTCTAGCGTCCTGCTTGGCTGGAGTTATAGCTTCTTTTGTGGGGAGGCCTGGGTATCTAAGGCTCCAGGGTACCCATGCATGCGAGAGTGGCTGCTCTGCTGAAACCCTACGTAGCCCTGCATGTCAGACTAAACGCCCTGGTAGAGTGGGTTCACTAGGAGATCTCCTGACCTGAGGATTGCAAAGATCTGTGGGAGAAGCGTGGGTCCCCAGGGCTGCTCACTTACTCACCACTTCCCTGGGCAGGAGAGGCTCCCCTGGCTCTGTGTCACTCCTGGGGGGGCAGTTGTCCTGCCTTACTTTGCTTTATTCTCCATGGGTCAAGTTGTTTTCTTGAGTCTCAATGTGTGCACCCGGTTGTTTCAGTTGAAGGTGCTGTATTTACTTGCCCCTTCCATTTCTCTCCATGAGAGTGGCACACACTAGCAGGTTCCAGTCGGCCATCTTGGCCAATCCTGAAAACTATTTGTTTCCAGCTATAAGCCATGCATAAAAAGAATGCCTTGAGAGAACCTGGAGTGCGGGGTTCATCCCGACCCCAGCTCAGCTAGGCCAGCAGCACCCTCGTTTCCCAATGGTCCTACTGCTTGTTCTACTGGTGGCCCTGCTGCTTTGCCACTGTGGCCCTGTTGGATCTCTGGGCTTTGAACTGCCTCAGAACCGTGGCCTACTTAGCAGGAACACCTTGGCACTTCTGGGCCAAATGTGCAGAATCTCCACTTTCTTGTGTCTCAAGGACAGAAGAGACTTCAGGTTCCCCCTGGAGATGTGGATGGCAGTCATTTGCAGAAGGCCCAGGCTGTGTCTGTCCTCCATGAGATGCTTCAGCAGATCTTCAGCCTCTTCCCCACAGAGCGCTCCTCTGCTGCCTGGAACATGACCCTCCTGGACCAGCTCCACACTGGATTTCATCAGCAGCTCGAATGCCTGGAGTCTTGCTTAGGGCAGGCAACAGGAGAGGAAGAATCTGTGGGGGTGATTGGGGCCCTATACTGGCCTTGAGGAGGTACTTCCAGGGAATCCATGGGAATCCAGAGAATCTACCTGAAAGAGAAGAAATACAGTGACTGTGCTTAGGAGGTTGTCAGAATGGAATCATGAAATCCTTCTCTTCATCAACAGACTTGCAAGGACTGAGAAGTAAGGATGAAGACCTGGGGTCTGCTTTAGTCTTTCTTATTTTCTTCCTCTTCCTTACTATGTGTTTATTTCTTCTTTTTCTAGTTCCTTAACTTGTAAAGTAGTTCATTGGTTTGAGGTCTTTCTTCTTTTTTAATATAAGCTTTTACAGCTTTCAATTTCCCCTTTAGCTCTGTTTTCACTGCATCACATACGTCTTGGTATGTTGTGTTTTCATTTTCATCGGTCTCAAGATATTTTCTAAGTTCCCCTCTGGTCATTTTTTTTTTTTGTACTATACTTTAAGTTCCAGGGTAAATGTGCTCAACGGGCAAGTTTGGTACATAGGTATACATGTGCCATGTTGGTTTGCTGTACCCATTAACTTGTCATTTGCATTAAGTATTTCTCCTCTTACATGTTTATCACATTTAGACATACATTTGTTTTCTTTTTGTTCCCATAAATTAAGATGAAAAATCAGACCACTTTTACTTTCTAGGAAAAGTGAAGTGAGAAATATAAATATATTTGCTGTTGTGAATACCACATAGAACCATTGTATAGTCCATTTAAAAATTATATTTGTATTCTTTCATTGACACTAACCTGAATGTGAAAATGAAAGAAATCAAAGTATAGAAAAACCAATTTTCACAGTAAAATACAACATGAAAAATGAATATGCAAAAATTCCCAATACACTCTCAAGCGAACAAAGAAAAAAATACTCTCTCCCCCAGTGTTTCAAAGACTAAGAATAATAACTTGGGCAAAATTGCCCTGTATTCTCAGGGTCTAATAAAAGGATGAGCCCAAAATTCAATAAAAATGTGTTGACTGGATCAACAACTAAATCAATGTACAAAATATACATTTCTGAAATGAAAGCTCCTATTTATGGAAACCCCTGTGCACATTTCACAATGTAGAATATTTTAATTGTTCAATGATATAAAGAATTTAAATGAATTATTTAAAATAATGAATAATAAAATGTGTTTGGTTATTTTCTAAAATTGATCCATTTCATAATTTCTACCTTATATAAACCGGCTCATTTTCTACCCGTGTCATTAAAAGATTATCACATGATTTAAAGCTGAAATTTATAAATGATGGAAAAATGATGTCACAAGTCTTCACAGTTCACATACACATTCTCGGGATTTGATCCAGGGAAGGAAAGCTGTAGGATTATTTGGGGAAGAGAGGCTATTATTCCATACTTTTGGGAATAGCAAATTGTCTGACTCCTATAAACTGTGTGAATTGGAGAGTTTGAATTTAGATATGTGACTCTGCATTTGACACCAGGCTAGTTATTTTCTATTATAACAAAGTAGAGGACAGATTAGAGATGAAGTCATAAATAGTTAATATAGTGCTAGGCAAAGGATGATATTATGCTGCTCTTGCAACTTGAATCCCCAGATCTACATGCACTTAAAAAAAACTAGAATCCCAGTGGTTTTAGCAGTAAACTAAATGGGCATTACTGACTCTCAGTAAACACTGAATGGAAATTTTTGTGATTGTCTATTACAATCCCAGCAAATATGGCCATGAGGAAGCAAAATAGCTTCATTCTTGAACACTTTCCAGTAGAAGAAAAAATGAGAAACTAGTAAAAACTCCACTTACTAAATAGCTGATTTGCTAAAACAGACCTCATTCCATTTAAGGACTCAGTATCTATAGGGCCTACTTATGCAAAAAAAAACTTCTTATGCAAAAAAAAAAAAAACAACAAAAAGGTAGAGCCAGAGTTCAGGATCACTCTGAAAGTTAATTCTTTACATGATAATATTCAATAATTATAAATTTATGAATTTACAACAAAGATGGTCTTTTTTATTTGATAAGAATTGACTTGGATAGGAACTTCTGAAAACCTTTAGGGAATATGAACTTCAATGAAAAATGCCAAAAATAATTTAATTCATAATATTTTCTAAGTCACATATGTTTATTGGAATGACACTTCTTCTAAGGGTACGAAAATTAGTTCTCGTAGTGTAAACAAATCTGACATATTACAATAGTTTGTGACTCTCCAACAATTCTATCCAACAAAATTTCATTGCTTAATATATATCTTTCTCATTGGGTTTTTTTGTGTATGATATGAGAAGCACTGGTATTGAGTTCATGAAGATAAACAAAATATTTGTAAGACCAGTGTTACAAACCTATGGCAAATAGATGACTGTGATTGGAGGACTTTTTGTCCATTTTTTGCTGGATCTTAAGGTCTTATCACAATATGTGGCTTTAACCTGCATATCTTTGGGCTGCCATTGACTATCTTATGGTTCTTACTTATGTTTGATCCTCAGTTCTTCAAGATGTTTTGTAGACTTTGAGAATTCAATGCAAATAGCTTATATTATATGATTTATTTCTAGTAAAGTTATTCAACACATCAATATTTATGTCAAGTGCTGAAAAGAAAAAAGTGTTGGCAACATCTGGATGAATACTGCAGCTGGTGAAGTTTACAAATTATTTTGTCATATAAAGCAAAATTCAAAGCTTCATACACTAAGAGAAAAATTTTAAAAAATTATTCATTCATATTTTTAGGAGTTTTGAATGATTGGATATGTAATTATATTCATATTATTAATGTGTATCTATATAGATTTTTATTTTGCATATGTACTTTGATACAAAATTTACATGAACAAATTACACTAAAAGTTATTCCACAAATATACTTATCAAATTAAGTTAAATGTCAATAGCTTTTAAACTTAAATTTTAGTTTAACTTTTCTGTCATTCTTTACTTTGAATAAAAAGAGCAAACTTTGTAGTTTTTATCTGTGAAGTAGAGGTATACGTAATATACATAAATAGATATGCCAAATCTGTGTTATTAAAATTTCATGAAGATTTCAATTAGAAAAAAATACCATAAAAGCCTTTGAGTGCAGGTGAAAAATAGGCAATGATGAAAAAAAATGAAAAACTTTTTAAACACATGTAGAGAGTGCATAAAGAAAGCAAAAACAGAGATAGAAAGTACAACTAGGGAATTTAGAAAATGGAAATTAGTATGTTCACTATTTAAGACCTATGCACAGAGCAAAGTCTTCAGAAAACCTAGAGGCCGAAGTTCAAGGTTATCCATCTCAAGTAGCCTAGCAATATTTGCAACATCCCAATGGCCCTGTCCTTTTCTTTACTGATGGCCGTGCTGGTGCTCAGCTACAAATCCATCTGTTCTCTGGGCTGTGATCTGCCTCAGACCCACAGCCTGGGTAATAGGAGGGCCTTGATACTCCTGGCACAAATGGGAAGAATCTCTCATTTCTCCTGCCTGAAGGACAGACATGATTTCGGATTCCCCGAGGAGGAGTTTGATGGCCACCAGTTCCAGAAGGCTCAAGCCATCTCTGTCCTCCATGAGATGATCCAGCAGACCTTCAATCTCTTCAGCACAGAGGACTCATCTGCTGCTTGGGAACAGAGCCTCCTAGAAAAATTTTCCACTGAACTTTACCAGCAACTGAATGACCTGGAAGCATGTGTGATACAGGAGGTTGGGGTGGAAGAGACTCCCCTGATGAATGAGGACTCCATCCTGGCTGTGAGGAAATACTTCCAAAGAATCACTCTTTATCTAACAGAGAAGAAATACAGCCCTTGTGCCTGGGAGGTTGTCAGAGCAGAAATCATGAGATCCCTCTCGTTTTCAACAAACTTGCAAAAAAGATTAAGGAGGAAGGATTGAAACCTGGTTCAACATGGAAATGATCCTGATTGACTAATACATTATCTCACACTTTCATGAGTTCTTCCATTTCAAAGACTCACTTCTATAACCACCACGAGTTGAATCAAAATTTTCAAATGTTTTCAGCAGTGTGAAGAAGCTTGGTGTATACCTGTGCAGGCACTAGTCCTTTACAGATGACAATGCTGATGTCTCTGTTCATCTATTTATTTAAATATTTATTTATTTTTAAAATTTAAATTATTTTTTATGTGATATCATGAGTACCTTTACATTGTGGTGAATGTAACAATATATGTTCTTCATATTTAGCCAATATATTAATTTCCTTTTTCATTAAATTTTTACTATACAAAATTTCTTGTGTTTGTTTATTCCTTAAGATAAAATGCCAAGGCTGACTTTACAACCTGACTTAAAAATAGATGATTTAATTAAGTTACCTATCATAATTTTATTCAAGTTATAAAAAAACATATTTTTCTGTACCTGGTTATATGTTGCCTTCAGGATATAAATGTGAACATAAAATATACAGTCCCTCTTCTCTTGTATCTTTTATTTTTGTCAGGAAAGAAATCTAAAAACAATAATAATGCTGAATTAATATCAGTGATGCTAACTGCTATAATGTGAGGAAGTAAAAAAACAATGAATTCCTCTTAGCAGAATGTAGATTGAGACATATCTGGAAATAAAAGCACAGATATTCTCTGTAAACTGACTTCAACATGTAATTGAAAATGTACATTGCAAGTCAGATATGTGAATTTGCAGTTTCCAAGGAATACAATATCTGGACATTCATAACTGGCAATGGAAAGGCCTAAAATGAAGGCTGTCATGTGGGGAGGAAGTGGAGAGGGAAAAAAAGACTTAAACTGGATTCTGAGGACCTTCCACCATTAAAGTGTGGGAACAGAAGAGACACAAAGAAAACAGAGGTGGAATACCTTAACTTTAGAAGGATGAGAGGGAATGGTGATAAAAGTTGATTTAGAAAATAAATGTGCTTAGAAAAAGAATCAATAGACTTATGGAAAATGTGAATTAAAACTGAGCACTATAGCAAGAAAATAGAGGGCAATGCAGAGCTTACTGAGAGCTGGATTGATAGAATTAATCAGCAGAAGCCATACTGCGGTAAGTAGAAGAGTGAATCAAAAAAGAAAAATCAAGATAACACATATAGAAAATTGTGAGATATCTGCCTTTGCAATGGAGGGAAGTAATAAGTTGGTACACCCAAAAATGTGGATTATCTTTTATCTGCATAGTGTTTCCTTTTTGAAAATACATGTCAATGAATAAATTTCATAAATGTGATGCACTGGTAAATCATATTAATACATTTAATATTTTATATATTAAACACATAAAATATAAAATTTACAATAGTAATTGATCATTATTTTGATTAATATTCCGTTAAATGTCAGTAAAAACTGACACATTTGTTTCATAAAATAAAATCAGAAACTGGAAAAGAGAATCTCTTTCTCAATACTTTAGGAATGGGGAAGGGATTCCTTATTTAATAAATGGTGCTGGGAAAACTGGAAAACCATATGCAGGAAACTGACACTGGACCCCTTCCTTACACCTTATACAAAAATTAACTCAAGACTGATTAAACACTTAAATGTAAATCCCAAAACCATAAAAACCCTAGAGGAAAATGTAGGCAATAGCATTCAGGACATTGGCATGGGCAAAGATTTTATGATGAAATTGCCAAAAGCAACTGCAACCAAAGCTAAAATTGACAAATGGCATCTAATTAAAGAGCTTCTGCACAGCAAAAGAAACTATCAATCATCAGGGTGAACAGGCAACTTACAGAATGGGAGAAAATTTTTGCCGTCTACCCAATTGACAGAGGTCTAATATCCAGAATGTACAAAGAACTTAAACAAATTCACACAAAAAAAAAGCCCCATCGAAAAGTGGGCAAAGGACATGAACAGACACTTCTCAAAAGCAGACGTTTATGCGGCCAATAAACATGAAAAAAGCTCAACATCACCGATCATTAGAGAAATGCAAATCAAAACCGCAATGAGATACCATCTCATGCCACTCAGAAGGGTGATTACTAAAAAGTCAGGAAACAACAGATGCTGGTGAAGCTGTGGAAAAACAGGAAAGCTTTTACACTGTTGGTGGGAATGTAAATTAGTTCAACCATTGTGGAAGACAGTGTGGCGATTCATCAAGGATCTAGAACCAGAAATACCATTTGACCCAGCAATCCCATTCCTGAGTATATACCCAAAGGAATATAAATCATTCTATTATAAAAATACATGCAGGTGTATGTTTATTACAACACTATTTACAATAGCAAAGACAGGAAACCAACCCAAATGCCCATCAGTGACAGACTGGATTAAAAAAAAATTTGTGCTTAAAACCTAGGTGACGAGTTGATAGGTGCAGCAAACCACTATGGCACACATATACCTAGGTAACAAATCTTCACGGTCTGCACATGTATTCCGGAACTTAAAGCAAAATCAAAAAAAAAGAAAGTAAGAGAGAGAAAGAGAAAGAAAGAAAGAGAAAGAAAGAAGGAAGGAAGGAAGGAAGGAAGGAAGGAAGGAAGGAAGGAAGGAAGGAAGGAAGGAAGGAAGGAAAGGAAGGAAGGAAGGAAGGAAGGAAGAAAGAAAGAAAGAAAGAAAGAAAGAAAGAAAGAAAGAGAGAGAGAAAGAAAGAGAGAAAGAAAGAAAGGAGAGAAAGAAAAAGGAAGGAAGGAAGGAAAGAAAAGAAAGACAAAGAAAGGAAGGAGAGAGAGAGAAAGTTGGTCAAAATCAGCTGAAAATACAACATGAACCAAGGAAATTCAGATAGCAGGAGATAGTTGTGTATAATTGAGGAAAAAAGGAGATTAATAATTATTAAGGAAATCTCAATACAAAATTTACACACCAGGTATAAATAACAATAAATTATTTTACATTGAAATTCCATTCTGCTTGCATATATTTTTTTAGGCAGCCTAAAACAACAGAATTCTGTCATGAATTCTAGAGAGGCTGAAAAATTGTCTCACCTCATTTCAAAGTCCTATTTATATTCAGTCAGGAATGGTGGCTTGTATAAATACCTGTCAGAGGAGCAGCATCTAGATTGAAGTGCAGAATACACGTGTCGATGGTTAACTGATTCTGGCACCTGGAACATTTGTTTCCTGGCTCTCAGAATCCCAGAGTACACTCCCATATGAAGTTAGTCTACTAAACTTAAGTAAAATATACATCTTTGCTGGTTCTGAGAGCTGACACACTTTCCCCTTTCCTCCCTGCTTTTCTGTGTCCCGTTTTTCACTCCCATATCACATTAGTTTCCTTCCTCTTCCTCTAGAAATGCACACTGTGCTCTCTTCTTCACTCATCATTAGCCTGCACTGCCTCTTCATACAGCTGTTTTCAGTTCTCTTGTGGGTTTTACCCATCACTTTCCCCTTAAGAGCACAAAATCACAAATTAAAGCAGAAGGCCAGTGAAAGTTCTACGTTTTTCAGAAGCTCTTTTATAAAATACTTTTTCCTTTCTTATGATGAATATTTCTGTAAAAGACGGAATGTCACTGTTACAATGACATAACAGTAGCTTAGCAAAAAAGGAAATAAAAGGCAGACTCCATTTGACTTTGAGACTATTACAACATTTACAGGGAAAGAGAGCCCCCAACTGGTCAAAGTGCACCAAGACAGCAGCCAAGTCTGTGGAGAGCAGGTTGTGAATGCAGAAGTAGGCCTGCTGGCAGGAGATTTATCTTCATAGCTAAAAAGAGGCTCTTCCCAAGAAAGAACTATCACAGTACTGGAATTAGCCCATTTCCTTAACTTTTGTATCTTAGACAGAGAAAATACTCCCAGCTTCAGGCATGACATGTCTTGGGGCAATGGACAGCTATGGGGAAAGAGAAAGGTTCAGGATATGTCCCTTTCCTCCAGCCTGCCCAGCCTCCCCGGGACCTCCTAACTTATCCCTTCCTCTATGGATTGTGCTAGACTAGGAATCAGAACAGCTGGTCAATCTGGGTGTAGAACTTCAAGGGACTTTGACTTTTGGTCTCTCTATCAAGGTTGTGGTAGTTTTCATAGATGATATCCTGAAATACATTTTCCAAGTTGTTTGTTTTCTCCCTGTCTCTTTAAAGGATGCAAGTGATTCCTAGATTTGGCCTGTTTATACCATCCCCTATTTCTTGGATGTTTTGTTCATTGCTCTTCATTCTTTTTTCTTTATTTTTGTCTGACTGTCTTATTTCAGAGAGCCAGTCTTCAAGACCTGAGATTCTGTCCTCAGCTTGGTCTATTCTGCTGTTAATACTTGTGATTGCATTGTGAAATTCTTGTAGTGTGTACATCTACTAGTTCTGTTAGGTTCTTTTTCATACTGGTTATTTTGTCTGTCAGCTCCTCTCTCCTTTGATTGTGATTCTTAGTTTCCTTGGTTTAGGTTTTACTGTTTTCCTGAATCTCAGTGAAATTCCTTTCTGTCCATATTCTGAATTATATTTCTGTCATTTTAGCTAACTCATTTTGGTTAAGAACCCTTGCTGGAGAACTAGTGTGATTATTTGGAGGACATAAGATGCTCTGTCCATTTCAGTTACCATAGTTCTTCCATTGGTTCTTTCTCATCTCTGCATATGGGAGTGTAGCTTGAGTCCAATCAATAAATTGACTTTGGTTCTGGCTGTGTTCACAGGGCTGCAGCTTTGTGTAGGGTCTTTATTTGTAGCTGACTTGTCTTTGGTTTAATGAGGGTATGTTAGTGAGATTTTTTTAGTGTTGAAGCTTTGGGCATGACCTAGTAGGTGACTCTTAGGTGCAGTGGTCAGTTGTCAGGCTCTTGCTCAGTCATGTGGCTCCCATACATTTCCTCATGGTTGCAGCCTGCTCCGTCTCAATGCTATGAAAGTGTGGGCTCCTCTCCCACTTGACTGCTGACTGTAGCTTTTGTCTTGGCACTACCAGGCTGCACACAACAGTTCTGGGGTGATCTCAGGGTTAATGTTTTCTCCTCACCTTGGAGGCATGGAAGGAAGAGACCTTAGTAGTAGTTTTAACTGAGGGTCTTTTGCTTGTCTCCTGGGGGCTCCACCCCAGAGATGCAGGTGAGCAATCATTCAGTGCTTTCAGCCTGGAATGGGGGTGTCTGTGCTGTGGGCCCAAGACAGGGGTTCCCTGCCTGGTGATGTGACGGGTGGGTGGTTGACCAATGGGAGACAGACTGGCCTCTTCTCTTGGGTTGACTGCAGCTTGTTGGAGGTATGGATAAGGCACTTGGGGTCTCTGCTCCTTCATAAGTTCCAAGGTAGCTGGGGTAGTACCACTGCAGAGGCAGTGGTAGACAGGCTTTCTGTTGCCCCTGGGGTCTCCACCTTCTAGAAATGTGAAGCCATGTTAATGGGAGTGTTTAGCCAGAGGGGTGGGGTGGCTGCACTGCTGGTGTAAGCTTGGGGCTTCACATTTTGGGAAACAGAAGGCGACAATCTTACCAGGAGTAGAGACTATTCTCCTCACCATATGGTAACTGCAGCGTGTTTTAAGTTCAGGTGACTGTGGCGTGCTGTAAGCTTGTAAACAAAGAGCTTCAGACTCTTTGTTTCTTCCCCAGACCCAAGGCAGCATGGATAAAACTGCTGCTGTGGCAGTGGCAGAGGTAGGATGGCTCTGGGAGCCTCTCCCCAGGGAAACTCCAGGCAACTACCAGTGGATGTGCTCAGCCATGTGTAGGGTGACTGTTTTGCAGTCATGGGCTGGGGGCCCTGCCTCCTGAAGAATAGGGATGGGGATTCTCAGGGAAGAGGGGCTGGACTCCTCTTCATACAGTGGCTATGATGTGCTGGAGGTGAGAGTGTAGTGACTAGGCCCTTTGTTCCTTCCCCAGCCAGAGGGCTGCTGGGGCTGTCCCACTGCAACAGTAGTGGTGGATGGGTTGTGGGTTGACTGTGGGATTTCTTCCTTGGAGAAATGCTGGACTGCCTGATTGAGGAGATGAGGCAGGGGAAGGGTGCCTGTGCTGGAGACTCTGGTCAGGTGGCCCTGCACATTGTGGCGAGGTGACAACCAGGAACAGCATGGAGAACAGTCTGTCCACTCTTCTGTGAGTTAGTTGCTCTGTGCTAGGGATCTGGACCAGCCACTGTTCCCTGCAAACTCTCCAGAGTCTGGAGACAGCAAGGGCAAGAGCTGTGAGATAGCAAAGATGGAAACCCACCCTTCTCACTGGGAACTCTGTTCTAGGGAGTTGCAGAGCTGCTATTGGCTCGATAGTCCCTGCTGGTGGCTGCAGTTCCAGGCCTGGCAGACCCACCCAGTGAGCAGATAGGGGATCACGGACCAACATAACACACAGTCTGACCACTTTTCCACAGGGCTGCTGCAATACGCTAGGGGTCCAATCCAGACCATAGTCACCTCGCATTTTTCAGTTCCTCAAGGTATCAACAGTGAAGGCTACGAAACAGTGAAGATGGGGGCCTGCCCCTCCCTCTGGGAGCTCTGTTCCAGAGAGGTACAACCTGTTGCCTGCTGGAACATACCTGCGCGAGGTGGCTGGAGACCCCGGTGGGGATATGCCGCCCACTGAGGAGAAGCAGCATCAGGGAATCAGGTGAAGAAACAGTCTGGCCACTTTTTGGTAGAGCAGCTGTGCTGTGCTGGGGGTCTGCTACCACCCCCAGCACAAAAGAATGGCATTTGCAAGAATGGCTAAGGCTGCTAAACAGCATCAATGGCAACCCACCCTTCCCTTTGGGAGCGCCATCCCAGGGACATTTGAAACTGCTGTCTGCCAGAAAACAGTGGTGGAGGTGACTGGAGACCCCAGTGGAGAGATTTCACCTGGTGAAAAGAAACAGGATTTGGGATTGACGTGAATAAGCAGTCTGACTGCTTCTCTGTAGAGCTGCTGGGCTGTGCAGGGTGGCTGCTCCAGTCCCTAGCTGCCTTGGACTCCCTAGAACCCAGAGGCTCCAATAGCTAAGGCTGTGAAACAGTAAAGATGGCAGCCCACACCCTGCCGCTGGGAGCTCCATGTCAGGGGGGTGTGAGGGTGCTACCAGTGGCTGGCTGGATTCCCAAGCCAGTGGGTCTTACCCTGAGACAGACCATGGAAGGTGGGCCTGCCACTTGTCACTGCTCAGCCCCATGGATGAAACCCCTTTCACTGGGGTATGTATAGCGGTCTAGCCTCCTGCTTGGCTGGAGTTATAGCTTCTTTTGTGGGGAAGCCTGGGTATCTAAGGCTCCAGGTTCCCCAGGTATGCTGAGTGGCTGCTCTGCTGAAACCCTACACAGCCCCGCATGTCAGACTGGAGGCCCTGGTAGAGTGAGTTCACTAGGAGATCTCCTGACCTGAGGGTTGCAAAGATTTGTGGGAGAAGCGTGGGTCCCCAAGGCTGCTCACTTACCACTTCCCTGGTTGGGGAGGCTCCCCTGGCTCTGTGTCACTCCTGGGTAGGCAGTCATCCTGCCTTGCTTTACTCTGTTCTCCACTGGTCAAGTTGTTTTCTTGAGTCCCAATGTGTGTACCTGGATGTTTCAGTTGAAGGTGCTGTATGTACTTGCCCCTTCCATTTCTCTACTTGAGAGTGGCACACACTAGCAGCTTCTCGTTGGCCATCTTGACCAACCCTGAAAGCTATTTTTTTCCAACTAAGAGCCATGCATAGCAGGAATGCCTTCAGAGAACCTGAAGTCCAAGGTTCATCCAGACCCCAGCTCAGCTAGGCCAGCAGCACCCTCGTTTCCCAATGGTCCTCCTGCTTCCTCTACTCGTGGCCCTGCCGCTTTGCCACTGTGGCCCTGTTGGATCTCTGAGCTGGGACCTGCCTCAGAACCATGGCCTACTTAGCAGGAACACCTTGGCACTTCTGGGCCAAATGTGCAGAATCTCCACTTTCTTGTGTCTCAAGGACAGAAGAGACTTCAGGTTCCCCCTGGAGATGTGGATGGCAGTCAGTTGCAGAAGGCCCCGGCCCTGTCTGTCCTCCATGAGATGCTTCAGCAGATCTTCAGCCTCTTCCCCACAGAGTGCTCCTCTGCTGCCTGGAACATGACCCTCCTGGACCAACTCCACACTGGACTTCATCTGCAGCTGGAATGCCTGGAGTCTTGCTTAGGGCAGACAAAAAGAGAGGAAGAATCTGTGGGGTGATTGGGGCCCTACACTGGCCTTGAGGACGTACTTTCAGGGAATGCATGGGAATCCAGGGAATCTACCTGGAGGAGAAGAAATACAGTGACTGTGCTTGGGAGGTTGTCAGAGTGGAATCGTGAAATCCTTCTCTTCATCATCAACAAACTTGCAAGAAGGACTGAGAAGTAAGGATGAAGACCTGGGTTCATCCTGAAATTATTCTCATTGATTAATCTGCCATATCACACTTGCACATGTGTCTTTGGTCATTTCAATAGGTTCTTTTTTCTGCAGTTGTCACAGAATTTATTGAATTAAATTCAGCAAATACCTTGTTAACAATAGTAAGCAAGTATATGTTAAAAACCTTTGGCTCTGGTCTTCAGTTCCTAAGACATGACTGCCCTGATATGTTTTATATACTTACTTATTTCCATTCTTTTTGCAGCTGTTTCATTTATAATATTTAGATATTTTACATATAATAACATATTCATCTTTACATTGTGTTAAAATTTACAAATATATTCGTCTTTCCATGTCATTAAATTTGCATTTGTTTTATTCATTAAATTCTCGTTTGTTTTATTCATTAAGGAAAATGCCTGGAAATCTTTTTTCTAAAAACAAAATCCACACCCACATTTTTAACATAATTGAAGGAAGGACAATAAAATATATTTACTCATTTATTCCATTCACATTATATGTATAAGCTAAGTAAGTGGCAGATTGTAGAGTTCCCTTCAAGAAATAAATTGAATAAAGCACTCTCCATCTTACAGAGAAAGAGATGTAAAAACAGGACTAATGCTTACTTTATTGCAATTCTCTTAAAAGCTTGAAAAAGAAGTAAAGGAAAACAATGTTCTCACACCAGAAGTTTTAGATACAAATGATGCCAGGCAGGGAAAACAATGTTAGATGTCCTTCTTAAGGTACTTGGGGTATATGTACAGGTAGCCCTTGAACAGCATGGGATTGAACTTCTGAACTGCATGGGTCCACTTATACAGGTTTTTTTTTTTCCAATACAGTTCACCTTCCATATCTGTATTTTCTGCATGTAAAACTAAACTGGATAGAAAATACAGCATTTGTGGGATGTGAAACTCGCATATATGAAGGGGACTGCAGGACTTGAGTTTTCACAGATTTGGGTATCTGGAGGACAGGTGTGGAGTCTTAGAACAAAAATCCCACAGATACCAAGGGAAACAGTATTTCCAGAATCTTATTGGCAGCTGGGAATATGGGTCTAGAATGAACAACAAATGCCATGGGCAAAGGTATTAATTTGGGATTCTTTACTGCATGTCTGGTATTGAGGACATGAGAATGGATATTAGGGAATCTGTCACCTAACATAGTTATAAATTGAGGGAACGATGAGACAGGATCTAAACTTAGTCCTGCAGATCCTCAACAGTCATTGGTAGGGCAGAGAAGGAGAGTCTGTGAAGGTCAAAGAGCACTTAGGAGGAGTGGTCAGTGCAGCTGGAAGGAGAAATAGCAAAGAATGAGGGAGAGACAAGCGAGGGGTAGACAGTGGTGTTTTCAGGGAAGATGAAGGCTGACCTGTCCTAACGGACTCAAAAACAGATGCCATCAGTGACCTTAGGTGGATCTAGGTTTAGTAAAATGAATGGGACAGAAACTTGATGGGAGTGGGTTGAAGAAGAAATACAATAAGGGTATTTGGGTGTTCTATGCATAAAAAATTATGGTGGGAAACTTGTTTGTGGAGTAGGGAAATAAGATGATACTTGTAGAAGAATGTGGGTTAAGATCTTCATGCATATTTTGTTAGTGTTTTCTGAAAATCATTTTCAAAGAATAGATGAATTCGAACAAAATCTTTAAACATTTTTTGTTGATATATAGTTGAGAAATTAAAATTTATGGATTTAAGGTGTACAACATAGTGTTTTGCTTTAATTATGCCTTGTTGTAATGATTCTGACAATCAAGTTAACACATCCTTCACCTAACATAGTTATAATATTTTATTGTGCATGGTGAGAACATATAATATCTACTCCCTTAGCAAATTTCAAGTATACAATGCATTATTATTCCATGCTGTACTGAACATCTTTAATATTTCATTTATTTAACCTATTAATTGTATTTTTTATTTAAAATGTTGCTTATTTATTTGGCTGAGAGGTAATTTATCATTATTCTAATTAATACTACCTGGTAGTAAATTTCAATAGTAACCCATTTACTTGCTAATTTAAATTCTTTTTTCAATTAAGTTTTACAATTTTGATTTTACTTTACCTGTTATTTCATTTACTCTAGTTTCAATGTTGTTTATTTACATTATTGATTTATAATTTTAGAATTCCTAATCATTGTCAAAACATTTCCTGCACATTGTAGCCATAATCTTTTGATGGATACTTATTCTTTATTTCATGTGTGTACCAAACACTAAACAGTTCCTTGTATATTTTTCCAAGCACTGTCTAGAACATAGAGCCACATGCCTCCTTAAGTCTTTTGATTTACACATATTCAGTTTCTGTTCTTGTAAATATGTTTTTACATTTAATTATGTAATATATTAGAGTTTTTTTAATATGCTATGAGAATCCAAATTAATTTTTGTTAGAGTGACAAGCAATTATTGCACAACATTCTATTGCAATTTTATTTTCTTTGTTATTAACAATAGATGCAGCTCTACCGTAAATCTCGTTAATTCTGATAATACAACTTTTTCTGTTTTTTTTTTCTGTATTAATATGGTTGCTAAACTTACAAACTGCTACACTTATATTACTTCTGATATTTTAAAACTCATTTAATTCTTCTGATTGAGCTACCTAAGTTCAAGAATCCCTTTATACATTTTAATATTATTGCTTGCATTATTTCCTGATTAAATTTAGAGTTGTTCTAAGATAGAGAGCACTGGCTTCAGGAAATCATAAACATTTGTGAATCCTAAAATGGCTAATTACATGATATCACCAAGAATGTAAGATAACATAAAAATGAATGAGGGAAACTAGATTAGAGACTTGAGTGTAGGCTGCTATTTAGTGATATGCTTCTACCATGTAGTGTGTAGAGGGCAAAAATAGTAACTTTATAGGACAGAAGTCTGGCAAACACCATCTTAACCAAGTGATTAAGTTAACATCAGCAGTAATAAAAGATATGTAATAAAAGATATCAATATCATGTACCTTGGATATTGTGTGATGAGACGATCAGATAAACTCTGTGGTTTCAACCCTTTAAACATACAACCTCAGCATAATCCTGAGTAAACATTAGACAAATCCAAATTGGTGAACAGTCTATGAAATAAGTGACCAATATTCTTCAAAAGTTTCAATGTCATGAAAGCCAAAGAAAGACTGAGCATGCGTTACAGATTGGAGGAGACTGAAGGTATGACAACAATCCAACAATTTGGATTGACAAAAATCAATCCAAATCAAGAATCAATTTGGACTGATTCTTGAAATAAGATAAAACATCAGTTTTTAAAAATCTGAGGAAATCTTAGTAAAATCTGAAAGTTAGTAATATGGCCCCAATGTTCATTTCTTTGTTTTGATTCATTACAACATGGTCATGTATGTTGTTAACATGAGAAGAAGCTGGGTTAAGGGCATAAGCAAAATTTTATAGTATCTTTGCAATTCTTTGTAAATCTAAAATTGTTTGAAAGTAAAAAGTTAAAAATGAATAGATTTTCAAGATTCTAGACCTTACTGGTTTAAAATTTGTTTATGTATTTAGTTGATTTAAATCATTCATTAGATTCCTAATTTTTTTCAGAAGACAGAAAATTCTATCTATAATGTAACTGTCTAAAAGATTGTTCCTTAGCTATTAGGGTTCCTCCAGTCAGAATGTGCAATCAACCCAGCAGCAAACCCTAAAAAAGGCATCAACCAGCTGCCAAGTGAGGTGATTCAGTCTTCGGTCATCTCAGTCCTTCTCCTCTAATGCACTGGGCTCTCCTCTCTTCCCCAGATGTGCTTACATTTCCACACCTCTAATTCCTTTAGTGAGCCCTTCTAGATGTGCCCTCCCTGAGCTCTGAGCCTTCATTTGGTTGGTTTAGTTCTGATTTTAGCGCATGCTTATATCCTGGTGATGACACAAAGGTGTGTGACAAACAGATAGAAATCTGAAGCCTTGTGGACATTTTCATAAATGGATAGAAATATGTAGGGTTTCAAAGAGTTGCCTATGGATATATTACTGGGGTGAACAAAATGTTTCACAAATATATTCAAGTTTATGAAAATACAGTCTTAGAAAGACAAAACTAGGATATATATGTAAGTAACATGAGGCCCAATTTCATAATAAAACATGTCTGGCATGAGCAAATGAAGCTTCTCAGTGGAGAAGAGGAATAAGAAGAGAAGAGAAAGACCCTCTCATTATTTAGGTAGGGCTCTGCTGGAAAGAAAAATGTGGACCAGAGTCTAGAAATCAGCTCTGGTTCTTATGACATATTACCAGAGCACATCTAAGAGCTGAGTACTCTAAATGGGATTTTCTGGGTTCCAACAGTGGCTCCACAGTTCAATAGCTCCCTGTGCTTAGGTTTGTTCTCTTAAAAATGAGGAAAATAGTAGAATTTATCACTGCCTGCTGTAGCCACAGATGTCTCCAGTGACTTAACAGGACAGGGCACATAATAGGTGTTCAACATGTATGCAACATGGGGCTTATTCTTCACTGGGTAAAATGAGGATTGATTTGTAAGTACTAACAACAATGTCTGACTGATAGTAAATATATTCTATAATTTAGCTATTTAGTTCTTTTAATTAACGTTATTTTTGTTATTTAACTCTATTAAGATGGGGGAAGTATTGTTTCCAATTATCTATTTCCTTACTTCTTGTTAGATATATGACAAGCAAATTATTTATCTGCTCAATTTATTTATATACCAGGGGAGAATTTAGTGCAATTAACATTTAGGACTACCCAGAAAAAAAAATACTAGACTCTCAAAAATTTGCCTTCTTGTGTATAAACTCTTCTGAGTTAGCTGATATGACTCCCTTGACTCTGTGAAGACAGAATTCAGCAAATCTGAAAGCCAAAATCTGGACCAGGAATGCTTACTTTTCTTTGAGCCCATGCCCACATCTTATCAACATCTACCATTTTAACCATTTTTAAGTGTACAGCTTAGCAGTATTAAGTAAATTCACATTGCCATGCAACTGATCATCAGTTTTTCGTCTTGGAAAACCAAAACCATACTCATTAAACAACAGCTCCTTATCTCCTCTCCCCTGGACCCCCACCCCTGACAACCGTTTTACTTTCTGTTTCTATGAATTTATCTACTCTAGATAACTCATATGATTGAAATCATATTACATTTGTCTGTTTGTGCCTGGCTTACATTAGGTCCTCACGCTGTAGTATATGTCAGAATTATGCTGAATACATTCCATTATCTGTATATACCACATTTTCCTGAATAATATGATAAGTCAGAATAATCATCCATGGTATAAGACTGAATAATATAGTCCATTATATGCTTAATGAAATATATATGAGGCTGAATGATATTCCATTATATGTATATATCACAGTTTGTTTATTCATCCATCAATGGACACTTGGGTTGCTTCCAACTTTTGGCTATTGTTATGAAGATGGATGTAAAAATGTATCTTTGAATCTCATTTTTAAAAAGTATTCTAGGCCAGGCGCGGTGGCTCATGCCTGTAATCCCAGCACTTTGGGAGGCCGATGTGGGCAGATCACGAGGTCAGGAGATGAAGATCATCCTGGCTAACATGGTGAAACCCCATCGCTACTAAAAAAACAAAAAAACTAGCCAGGCATGGTGGCGGACGCCTGTAGTCCCAGCTACCTGGGAGGCTGAGACAGGAGAATGGCGTGAACCTGGGAGGCAGAGATTTCCCAGAGCTTGCAGTGAGCCGAGATTGTGCCACTGCACTCCAGCCTGGGCGACAGAGTGATACTCCATCATAAAAACAAAACAAAACAAAACAAAAAGGATTCTAAATATATATCCATAAGTGGAATTCCTAGATTATATGGTAATTCTGTTTTTAATTTTTTGAGATACCTGTTTTCCATTGTGGCTGCGCTGCACCATTTTACATTTCCACCAACAGTGCACAAGGGTTCCAATTTCTCCACATCTTCACCAACACTTGTTATTTTATTTATTTTGATGGTAGCCACCTTGATAGATGTGAATTCAAATCTCATTGTGACTTTGATTTGCATTTCCCTAATAGTGATGTTGAGGATCTTTTCCTATGTTCCTTAGTTCATTCAGGTTGCTATAATGAAATATCATCAATTAGGTAGTTTATAAATAACATAAATTTATTTCTCACAGTTCTGGAGGGTGGAAAGCCCAAGAATCAAGGTACCAGCAGATTTGGTGTGTGATTGTGGCCCGTGTCCTATTTCACAATGAGCCACAATGGAATTAATCACATCCCAAAAAGGCGCATGTCCTAACACCATCGCCCTAAGAGTTAGGGTTTCAACATATGAATTTTGGCAGGGCACAAACATTCAGGCCAGAGAAATATGCTTGTTGGCCATTTGTATATCTTTTTTGAATAAATATCTATTCATATTCCTTACTCAAGTTATATTTTTTTGTTGAGATATGGGAGTTCCTTCTATGTTCTGAATAGGCTATTACTTTTATCAAATACATGATTTGCAAATATTTTCTGCCATTCTGAGGTTTGAGTTTTGACTCTTGATTTTGTCCTTGAATGCACAGTGATTTTTAATCTTTGTATACTCCAATTTATCTATTTTTACTTTAGTTACCTGTGTTTTGGTGTGATATCCAAGATTTCATTGCCAAACCCATTGTCTGAGCCTTCCCTGAAGATTTTCTTCTAAAGTTTTTACAGTTTCAGGTCTTATGTTTAAATCTTTGATCTATTTTGAGTTAATTTTAGCATATAGTGTACAGTAAGGATGCAACTTCATTCCTTTGCATGTGTATATACAGTTTTCACAACCTGATTTTTGAAGAGTTGATCTTTAACCATTGTGTAGCCTTGGCACTTTTGTCAAAGTTCATTTGACCATATACATGAGAGTTTACTTCTGGGCTTTCTATTCTCTCCCATTGGCCTATATGTCCATCTTTATATCAGTATCATTCCATTTCTATTACTGTAGGCTTGTAATGTGTTTCAAAATCAGGTAGGGTGAGGCCTCTAGCTTTGCTTGTCTTTCTGAAGATTGATTCTGGTCCTTCAAGATTCCATAAGAGTTTTAGGACAGATTTTTCTACTTCTGCCAAAAATGCCTTAGTGATTTTGATAGGGCTTGCATTGTATCTGTCTATTGCTTTGGATAGTTTGAACACTATAACGATGATGGGCTTCCCAACCATGAACAGAAATGTCTTCTCATTTCTCTTCCTTAATTTCTTTCAGCAGTGATTGCTAGTTTTCAATATATAAATCTTTTTCCACTTTCTTTAAGTTTATTCCTCAGTACTTTATTGTTTTGATGCTATTGCAAATGTGGTTTTTTTTTAAGTTTCCTTTTCAGATTTGTCCATTGTTAGCATATAAAAATGCTACTCATTTTTGCATCTTAATTTTGTATTCTACAACTATGCTGAATTCATTTATTAGTTCTAACAGTTTGTATGTGAGTGCATGCGTGTGTGTGAACTTTAGGTTTTCTACATACACGATCAGGCTATCTGCAAAAAGATAATTTTACTTCTTCCTTTCCAATATGAATGCTTTTTATTTCTTTTTCTTGTTAATTGCTATGGCTAGATCTACAAATGTTATGTTGTATAAAAGTGGTAACAATGGCATCCCTACTTGTTCCTGATCTTAGAGGAAAAGCCTTCAGTTTCTCACCATTGAATATAATGTTAATTGTGGGCTTTTCGTACATGGCCTTTATTATGTGGAGGTAACTTCCTTTTATTCCAAGTTTGTTAAATGTTTTTATCATGAAAAGATATGGCATTTTGTCTATTTCTTTTTCCGTATCTGTAGAGATTATTATGTATATTTTTCATTCATTTTGTTAATGTGATGTATTGCATTGATTAATTTTCATATGTTGAAACATTCTTCCATCCAAGTAATAAATCCCCTTTGGTCGTGATCTATAATCCTTTTATTGTGCTGTTGAATTTGGTTTACAAGTATTTTAGTGAGGATTTTTGTATCAACATTTATCATGGATATGGATCTGTTAGTTTTCTTTTCTTGTAGTGTCCTTGTCTGGCTTTGTTATCAGGAAAATGCTAGTCTCATAAAATGAGTTTGAAACTATTCCTTCCTTTTCAATTTTTTGGAAGATTTTGAGAAAGATTGGTGTTAATTCCCTAAATGTTTGATAGAATTATCCACTGAAGCCATCTGATTATGGTTTTTTATTGTTGTTGTTATTGGGAAGTTTGGTGACTGATTCAATCTCCTTACTAGTTATAGGTCTAGTCAGATTTTTTGTTTATTCATGATTTGGTCTTGGTAAGTTGTTTGTTTCTAGGAATTTATATATTTCTTCTAAGTTAATCAATTTGTTGGAGTATAATTGTTCGTAGTAGTCTGTTATAATCCATTTTACTTTTTTTTTTTTTTTTTTTTTTGAGATGAAGTCTTGCTCTGTCGCCCAGGTTGGAGTGCAGTGGCGCGATCTTGGCTCACTGCAAGCTCCGCCTCCCGGGTTCAGACCTATCTCCTGCCACAGCCTCCTGAGTAGCCTCGACTACAGGCGCCCGCCACCACGCCCGGCTAATTTCTTTTTTGTATTTTTAGTAGAGATGGGGTTTCACCGTGTTAGCCAGGATGGTCTCGATCTCCTGACATCGTGATCTGCCCGCCTCGGCCTCTCAAAGTGCTGGGATTACAGGCGTGAGCCAGCGCGCCCGGCTGATCCTTTTTAGGTCTATGCCATCAGCTGTTATGTGTCCTCTCTTATTTCTGATTTTTATTTGATTTTTCTCTACTTATTTCTTAAAATAGTTAAGGGTTTGTCAATTTTGTTGATCCTTTCAAAAGACTAATGCTTAGTTCCATTGATTTTTTAATTGCTTTTCTATTCTGTATTTTATTAATTTCTGCTTTAGTCTTTCTTATTTTCTTCCTCTTCCTAGCTATGTGTTTATTTCTTCTTTTTCTAGTTCCTTAATTTGTAGTTAGTTCATTGGTTTGAGGTCTTTCTTCTTTTTTAATATAAGCTTTTACAGCTTTCAATTTCCCCTTTAGTTCTGATTTCACTGCATCACATATGTTTTGGTATGTTGTGTTTTCATTTTCATCTGTCTCAAGATGTTTTCTAAGTTCCCCTCTTGTCACGTTTTTTATTATTATTATTATACTTTAAGTTCTAGGGTACAAGTGCACAACGGGCAAATTTGTTACATAGGTGTACATGTGCCATGTTGGTTTGCTGCACCCATTAATGTGTCATTTACATTAGGTATTTCTCCTCTTCCATGTTTATCACATTTAGACATATGTTTGTTTTCTTTTTGTTCCCATAAATTAAGATGAAAAATCAGACCACTTCTACCTTCTAGGAAAAGTGAAGTGAGAAATATGAATGTATTTGTTGTTGTGAATGCCACATAGAACAATTGTATAGTCCATTTAAACATTATATTTATACTCTTTCATTGACACTAACCTGAATATGAAAATGAAATCAAAGTATAGAAAAACAAATTTTCACAGTAAAATACTACATGAAAATTAATATGCAAAAATTCCCAATACGATCTCAAGTGAACAAAGAAAAATTACTCTCTCCCCCAGTGTTTCAAAGACTAAGAATAATAACTTGGGCAAAATTGCCCTTTATTCTCAGGGTCTGATACAAAGGATGAGCCCAAAATTCAATACAAATTTGCTGACTGGATCAACTACTAAATTGATGTAGAAAATATACATTTCTGAAATGAAACCTCCTCTATTATGGAAACCCCTGTGCACATTTCACAATGTAGAATATTTTAATTGTTCAATTATACAAAGAATGTAAGTGAATCATTTAAAATAATGAATAATAAAATGTGTTTGGTTATTTTCTAAAATTGGTCCATTTCATAATCTCTACCTTTATATAAACAGGCTGATTTTCTACCAGTGTCATCTAAAGATTATCACGTGATTTGAAGCTGAAATTTATATATGATGGAAAAATGATGTCACAAGTATTTACAGTTCACATACACATTCTCGGGATTTGATCCAGGGAAGGAAAGCTGTAGGATTATCTGGAGGACAGAGGCTATTATTCCCTAATTTTGGGAATAGTAAATTTTCTGATTCCTATAAACCGTGTGAATTGGAGAGTTTGAATTCAGATATGTGACTCTGTATTTGACACCAGGCTAGTTATTTTCTATTATAACAAAGTAGAGGACAGATTAGAGATAAGGTCATAAATAGTTAATATAGTGCCAGGCAAAGGATAATATTATGCTGCTCTTGCAACTTGAATCCCCAGAATCCCACTGGTTTTAGCAGTAAACTTAATGGGCATTATTGATTCTGAGTAAAAGCTGAATGGAAATTTTTGTCATTGTCTTATAATTGCAGCAAATATGGCCATGATGAAGAAAAATAGCCTCATTCTTGAACACTTTCCAGTAGAAGAAAAAATGAGAAACTAGAAAAACTCCACTTACTAAATAGCTGATTTGCTAAAACAGACCTCATTCCATTTAAGGACTCAGTATCTATAGGGCAGAGGCAAACTAACTTCTTATGCAAAAAAAAAAAAAAAAAAGTAGACCCAGAGTTCAGGACCACTCTGAAAGTTAATTCTTTACATGATAATATTCAATATTTATAAATTTATGAATTTAGAACAAAGATGGTCTCTTTTTTCATAAGAATTGACTTGGATAGGAACTTCTGAAAACCTTTAGGGAATGTGAACTTCAATGAAAAATGCCAAAAATGATTTAATTGATAATATTTTCTAAGTCACATATATTTATTAGAATGATACTTCTTCTAAGAGTACAAAAATTAGTTCTCATAGTATAAACAAATCTCACATATTACAATAGTTTGTGATTCTCCAACAACTCTATCCAACAAAATTTCATTGCTTAATATACATCTTTCTCATTGGGTTTTCTTGTGTATGATATGAGAAGCACGGTATTGAGTTCATGAAGATAAACAAAATATTAGCAAGATCAGTGTTACAAACCTATGGCAAATAGATGACTGTGATTGGAGGACTTTTTGTCCATTTTTTTTTTGCTGGATCTTAAAGTCTTATCACAATATGTGGCTTTAACCTGCATATCTTTGGGCTGTCATTGACTATCTTATGGTTATTGCTTATGTTTGATCCTCAGTTCTTCAGGATGTTTTGTAGACTTTGAGAATTCAATGCAAATAGCTTATATTATGTGATTTATTTCTACTAAAGTTATTCAACACATCAATATTTATGTCAAGTGCTGAAAAGAAAAATGTGTTGGCAATATCTGGATGAATGCTGGAGCTAGTTAAGTTTACAAATTATTTTGTCATATAAAGCAAAATTCAAAGCTTCATATATATACTATGAGAAAAATTTTAAAAAATTATTGATTCATATTTTTAGCAGTTTTGAATGATTAACTATGTAATTATATTCATATTATTAATGTGTATTTATATAGATTTTTATTTTGCATATGTAATTTCATAAAACAAAATTTACATGAACAAATTACATTAAAAGTTATTCCACAAATATACTTATCAAATTAAGTTAAATGTCAATAGCTTTTAAACTTAGATTTTAGTTTAACATTTCTGTCATTCTTTACTTTGAATAAAAAGAGCAAACTTTATAGTTTTTATCTGTGAAGTAGAGATATACATATTATACATAAATAGATAAGCCAAATCTGTGTTACTAAAATTTCATGAAGATTTCAATTAGAAAAAAATACCATAAAATGTTTTGAGTGCAGGGGAAAAATAGGCAATGATGAAAAAAAATGAAAAACATCTGTAAACACATGTAGAGAGTGCATAAAGAAAGCAAAAACAGAGATAGAAAGTAAAACTAGGGCATTTAGAAAATGGAAATTAGTATGTTCACTATTTAAGACCTACGCACAGAGCAAAGTCTTCAGAAAACCTAGAGGCCAAGGTTCAAGGTTACCCATCTCAAGTAGCCTAGCAATATTGGCAACATCCCAATGGCCCTGTCCTTTTCTTTACTGATGGCCGTGCTGGTGCTCAGCTACAAATCCATCTGTTCTCTGGGCTGTGATCTGCCTCAGACCCACAGCCTGGGTAATAGGAGGGCCTTGATACTCCTGGCACAAATGGGAAGAATCTCTCCTTTCTCCTGCCTGAAGGACAGACATGACTTTGGATTCCCCCAGGAGGAGTTTGATGGCAACCAGTTCCAGAAGGCTCAAGCCATCTCTGTCCTCCATGAGATGATCCAGCAGACCTTCAATCTCTTCAGCACAAAGGACTCATCTGCTACTTGGGAACAGAGCCTCCTAGAAAAATTTTCCACTGAACTTAACCAGCAGCTGAATGACCTGGAAGCCTGCGTGATACAGGAGGTTGGGGTGGAAGAGACTCCCCTGATGAATGTGGACTCCATCCTGGCTGTGAAGAAATACTTCCAAAGAATCACTCTTTATCTGACAGAGAAGAAATACAGCCCTTGTGCCTGGGAGGTTGTCAGAGCAGAAATCATGAGATCCTTCTCTTTATCAAAAATTTTTCAAGAAAGATTAAGGAGGAAGGAATGAAACCTGTTTCAACATGGAAATGATCTGTATTGACTAATACACCAGTCCACACTTCTATGACTTCTGCCATTTCAAAGACTCATTTCTCCTATAACCACCGCATGAGTTGAATCAAAATTTTCAGATCTTTTCAGGAGTGTAAGGAAACATCATGTTTACCTGTGCAGGCACTAGTCCTTTACAGATGACCATGCTGATAGATCTAATTATCTATCTATTGAAATATTTATTTATTTATTAGATTTAAATTATTTTTGTCCATGTAATATTATGTGTACTTTTACATTGTGTTATATCAAAATATGTTATTTATATTTAGTCAATATATTATTTTCTTTTTATTAATTTTTACTATTAAAACTTCTTATATTATTTGTTTATTCTTTAATAAAGAAATACCAAGCCCAAATGTGCAATCTCATTAAAGAATGGATGGTACAATTCATTTACCCATCATCATTGTATCCAAATTGTAAGTAAAAATTGACTTTCTCTAAGCGAGGTTTTATATTGCCCTTAGGATATCCAGGTGAACATAACAAATACCGTTTTCGCTTTCTTGTATCTTTTATTTTTGTAAGGAAAATAATAACTATACTTTCTAATACCTGTTACATTAAATGCTATAGTGAGAAGAAATAAAAACAAATGAAATTCAGTAAAACTGAAGCAAGGCATATCAAAATTTTTTTTAAAAAAGTAGTAGATATCCTCTATAGCAGACAAGTAGACATCTAAGTGCAAGTGTCCATTGGTAACCTGATATTTTTGTCTGTAATTTACAAGCAATACCATGAAGTGAAAGCTTGGGAACAGAATATGTCACATGGGTTGAATAGAATGAGAAAAACACTTAAAATTTATTCCTGCAAACTTCAACTTTAAAGGGAGAGAAGAGCCAGGAAAGAGTTTGAATGGCCATGCATTGGGACAAGAAAAAATGTTGTTAAAAGCATATTTAAAAGACTGAAACTGCTTAGAAGAATCAATGCATTCTTGCAAAATGTGGATTGAAAGTGTACACTACATCTGGAAAATAGATGGCATTGCTGCTGATAGAGATAGTTGGGTGGAATTAATCATAGTGGAGTAAGCTGGAAGAGTGAATCGGAGAAGAGAAATCAGTGACAATACATATAGAAAATGATTTTGAAGTTTGCTTTCAGAATTGGAGGACAGAAATAGAGTGGGACTTTGAAAAGAATGTGGATTTTTTTTCTCTGAATAATTTTTACTTCAAAAAATATATTTGTCTCTGGATAGATTTTGTGAATTTGATGGACAGCCAAACCACTTTAATATGTTTAATATTTTGATTTGAAATTATGACACTTTAATTAATTATAATAATCATTGTTTTTCTTCATTATTTTGATTAATACTATGTTAAATGTCATTAAACTGCTCTGTGGATTGAAACCATTCACTACAGTGGGAACACAGATCATTGCTGACCTTATGAGAAATGGACAAGTGGAAGTAATAAGCAGAAACCATACTGAGGTAGGTGAAAGGATAAGAGAAAACAAGAACTTCCATTTTCTTTTTTCATCTAGAGAGTCACTTTGTTTCTTTTACTTTTATTATATTGAGACTTACATTTCTTCTTTTGCCTCAACTTATGCAAATGTAATAACGGCTTATTAAAAAAGTTTAATGGAGAAAGAAAAATGATGACTTGAAAATTATGGGAAATAATAATACAGATTCTTTGCATTACCAGATTCTTTACATTTTTATTTCCCTGTTGAGGTACTAAACTCAAGATGAAATAGGGAGTAATTCAGAAGCAATAAGACAACCCTGGCAAAGAAAAATACTAATTTAATTATGTAGATAGATAGATAGATAGATAGATAGATAGATAGATAGATATAGAAATATATATATATAGAGAGAGAGATAGATATATATAGAAAGACAATGAGACCAGTAAGGAAGAGTAATTTTATCTAGCATCATATTCTGGACTTTATTGCCCCACATTTTTATTGTGAGGTGGAGAATGGTAAACCAAGAAGCTCAGTAGAAATGCACCAATGGAAAAATGAAGGGACATTCAGTAGTTACTTCAATATGACCTCCTTATAAGAAAAAGTAATCATTGAATCCTCTGGCTAGCTAAGAAATTTGGAGCGTAATAAATGTTCAACAGTTTAATGCATTGAACTCAAATTAGAAATCAACAATTGGCAAATAAATTTATTTTGCTATCTAAGATAAAAATTTAAAAAGGATAATTTACCCACCCCCTGACCACATGCACACATATTGAGCATACATTTTTGCTTTTGTCATCTGGAGGCTATGAAGACACTTGACACCTAAGTATCTGATCAAAGGAAGATGAGGTTACTGCTGCCAACCTAGGTCATTCACAGAAGTACTCTGGAGATATTTGATTGTTTAGGGAACAAAAGCAATCACCCTATAGTAAAGGTATACTAAAAGTTTCAAGTTGTGATGAGCTAACTTGTACTATCACATTAGTGTGTTGGCAAGAGTTAGATTGGAAGAGGTGTGTCTGTGAGCACTCAGATCCAGAGGGTCAGATTAAAGTTGTGCTCTCTGAGAGGTGAGATTGTGCTGGGGAAAGGATAACAATGTTGTGGGTCTTGGAATTAAAATTGGCACACCCATGTGCAATTAAAACATATAAGCTAGCCAGTGATTTTGACAACAATACTGAGTGAAAAACTCTTGCAACAATCCTGCACCTGAGGCCTTGGTGAGGCACAGTCACATGGACATGGCCACACTTGAAAGTCTTCCTGGTTTTTTTGTTTCTTTGCTTGTTTTCATTTTTGAGACAGTGTCTCGTTCTGTTGCCCAGGCTGGAGTGCTATGGCACAATCTCAGCTCACTGCAACCCCTGGCTCACAGGCTCAAGCAATTCTCATGCCTCAGTCTTCCAAGTAGCTGGGACTACAGGTGTGCACTACCATGCTCAGACAATTTTGTATTTTTATGTTTTATTAGAGATGATGTTTCACCATGTTGGCCAGGCTGGTTTTGAACTTCTGATGTCAAGTGATCTGCTCGCCTCAGCCTCCTAAAGTGCTAGGATTACAGGCATGAGCCACTATGCCTGGCTGAAAGTGCTCCTTTTTAAGAGAAAATCTGAGAACACTATTTGTTAACAACTGTCTTTTTTTTATGTTTTTAGCTACACCTATTGGAATGTGATAGTTGTTAATAATTGTATCCTACTGGAATATGATACTTGTTAATAATTGTATCTTGAGTCATTACTATGAGACCTGTGATAATGATAAAAGAGTGAACAAGATATAGGCCTTTCTCCTAAGGAGGTTACTTGTCAAAGGGGTCTAATAAATCCTGTCTCAGATGTATAGATTGTGAAGATTTTCTTCCACTCTGTGGGTTGTCTGTTTACTCTGCTGATGGTTTCTTTTGCTGTGCAGAAACTTTTTAGTTTAATTAAGTCCCACCTATTTATCATTGTTTTTGTTGCATTTGCTATTGGGTTCTTGGTCAAGAAGTCTTTGCCTAAGCCAATGTCTAGAAGGGTTTTTCTGGTGTTATCTTCTAGAATTTTTATGGTTTCAGGTCTTAGTCTTTGATCTAGAATTATATCTAGAAGCCAATGTCTAGAAGGATTTTTCCGGTGTTCTATTCTATTCTATTCAGGTGTTATATTCTAGAATTTTTATGGATTCAGGTTTTACATTTAAGTCTTTGATCCATTTTGAGTTGATTTTTGTATAAGGTGAGAGATGAGGATCCAGTTGCATTCTTCTACATGTAGCTTGCCAATTATCTCATCACCATTTGTTGAATAGGGTGTCCTTTCCCCACTTTATGTTTTTGTTTGCTTCATCAAAGTTCAGTTGGCTGTAAGCATTTGGGTTTATTTCTGGGTTCTCCATTCTGTTCCATTGGTCTATTTGCCTATTTTTATACCAGTACCATGCTGTTTTGGTGACTATGGCCTTATAGTATAGTTTGAAGTCAGGTCATGTGATGCCTCCAGATTTGTTCTTTTCACTTAGTCTTGCTTTGGCTATGCAGGCTCAAATTCCATAAGAATTTTAGGATTGTCTAGAGATCTGTAAAGAATGATGGTTGTATTGGGATGGGAATTGCATTGCATTTGTACATTGCTTTTGGCAGTATGGTCATTTTCAAAATATTCGTTCTACCCACCCATGAGCATGAGATGTGTTTCTATTTGTTTGTGTCATCTACGATTTCTTTCAGCAGTGTTTTGTAGTTTTCCTTCTAGAGGTCTTTCACCTCCTTGGTTAGGCATATTCCTAAGTATTTAATTTTTTTACAGCTATTGTAAAAGGGGTTGAGTTCTTGATTTGATTCTCAGCTTGGTCACTGTTGGTGTAGAGCAGAGCTACTGATTTGTGTACATTAATTTTGTATCCTGCAACTTTGCTGAATTCATTTATTAGTTCTAGAAGCTTTTTGGAGACCTCTTTATGGTTTTCTAGGTATAGAAGCATATCATCAGCAAACAGCAACAGTTTGACTTCCTCTTTACCAATTTGGATGCCCTTGATTTCTTTCTCTTGTCTGATTGTTCTGGCTAGGACTTCCAGTACTATGTTGAATAGAAGTAGTGAGAGTGGGCATTCTTGTCTGATTCCAGTTATCAGAGGGAATGCTTTCAACTATTCCCCATTCAGTATTATGTTGGCTGTGGGTTTTCATAGATGGCCTTTGTTTCCTTAATGCATGTCCCCTCCATGCCGATTTTGCTTAGGGTTTTAATCATAAAGCGATGCTGGATTTTGTCAAATGCTTTTTCTGCATCAATTGTGATGATCATGTGATTTTTGTTTTTAATTCTGTTTATGTGATGTATTACATTTATTGACTTGCGTATGTTAAACCATCCCTGCATCCCCGGTATGAAACAAGGACCTAAAACAAATTAGCAAGAAAAAAACAAACAACCTCATCAAAAAATGGGCTAATGACATGAATAGACAATTCTCAAAAGAAGACATACAAATGGTCAACAAACATGAAAAAATGCTCAACATCACTAATGATCAGGAAAATACAAATCAAAACCACAATGTGATACCACCTTACTCTTGCAGGAATGGCCATAATAAAAAAATCCAAAAATAATAGATGTTGGAGGGGATGCAGTGAAAAGGTAACACTTTCACACTGCTGGTGGGAATGTAAACTAGTACAACCACTATGGAAAACAGTGTGGAGATTCCTTAAAGAACTAAAGTAGAACTACCATTCAATCCAGCAATCCTACTACTAGGTATCTACCCAGAGGAAAATAAGTCAACATGTGAAAAATATACTTGCAAACGCATATTTATAGCAGCAAAATTCACAATTGCAAAAATGTGGAACCAGCCCAAATGCCCATCAATCAATGAGTGAATAAAGAAACATATATATATGTTTATATATATATATATATATATATATATACACATACATAAAAGTCAAAAGTTGACACCTAAAATTAACCATCACATCTACCATCACATTAATAGGGTTCCTGTATAATAACAGGATTTCAACTGAAAATAACTGCAAATTTTAGACTTAGACTTTAAGAAGGAATCTCTAGGGAAATCCAAAGACAAATTGGGAGACAAATGCAAGGACACAAGAGCAAATTTTAGCTTCTGACACATAAAGCTACAGGAAACAGGAAACGCAGCCTAACCACCAGCAAGATAACCACAAAGGCTTACACTGGGCTGGTCTGAGTGCAGTGGTGTTTACAACTAATCCATCACAACCAGTTACAGATTCCTTTGTTCCCTCTCCACTCCCACTGCTTCACTTGACTAGATTTTTAAAATACCCTCACATTAAGGGTCAATTTTCCTCAGCTCCTTTTACTCAATCCATCATGTCCACCTTTCAGCAAAAAATTAACAAGGTACGCTAAAAGATGAAACACATAGTTTGAAAAGATAGAGTAAGCATCAGAACTAAGTCCAGATATGACAGAGATTTTGAAATTATCAAAACAAATTTTAAATAACAATGATTAATATGCTAAGGGCTCTAATGCATTTCTATATTCACTCATATGCTTTATCTAAGATATATTATTTATGATATTTAAAGTAGTTCTTGTCATATAGCTTGTTCATCTTTATAATATATTAAAATATAATGAAATATGTTCACCTTTACCTTGTGTCCAATTATATTCTATTCATTTTTTACATTTATTTACTTTTTAAAATATTTATTACATTCTTCCCCAAAAGACTTCTTGGGTATGTTTCTTCTTAAAAAAAAAAGGAAATAATCTAAATTTGCAAGCTAGATTATTGAATTCAACTCCCTCATTCACTTATTTCAATCAGATTATGTTTTAAAATGGCATACTTCTATGCCATATTATGCAATTTTTCTGGAAATATATAGGTAAATAAAGCAAATGTAAAACATCCTCTCATAACTTTCCATTTTAGAGAAAGAAAAAAATAGTAATCATGGTTAATACATTTCAATTATGTTTTCATGAGATGTCGAGGACAAAGGATTCTCTCATCAGAAGCTTGAAAAAGGGATAACAAGAAAGGAAACAAACAGGTGTACTCCATAAAGTTCCTCTGAAACATCTAAAAACAGATGCCCCATTGGTAAATTCATATGTGGATTTGGAATCTTCAACAATGTATAAGCTGGACCTAATTTGCAGGAATCTGGTCATTGCAATGTATATGTTTATGTCCTATTGGTAAATTCATATGTGGATTTGGAATCTTCAACAGTATATAAGCTGGACATGATTTGTAGGAATCTGGGCATGGTAATGTATGTGTTTACTTATAAGTACAGTGTAGAATGAGAAGATGACCTAAATCTTAGGAAGATCGTCAATTTACAAGATTAGGGAAGAGAAGAGCAAAGCGTGCAGAAATGGAGTGGTGAGTACAGTTAGGAGACAATCAGGAGAGAATTATCATCAGAAAGTATTGAAAAATAAAATAAAGGGTTTAAAAATTGAATGATGCACTTAGGAAAGGTTAGGACTAAACTATCTCAGTGGATATGAAAACCTAGATGCCATTGGTGACTTTAGTAAGATGTGGCATGGCAGACTTGATGAGGCAGAAACCAGACTGGAGTAGGTTCAAGGATGAATAATTATAAAAGTGTGGTAAGTTGTTTCCTCTATTTTTACCTAGATGGGTCCTGCTAGAGTCCTAATTTAAAACAACAACAACAACAACAAAAAGCTTTTGTTTTCTTAAATTTGCTTTACAGTTTTTCTATTTCCTTGATTTTTCACTCTTCCCTTTATTGTTTCTTCTATATGTTTTCTATATAATTTTTGTTTAATTTCTTCTAATTCTAATTTGTTTTTTGCTTTTTTTTTTTTTTTTTTTTTTTTTAGAAGGAGTCTCACTCTGTCGCCCAGGCTGGAGTGCAGTGGCTTGATCTCAGATCACTACAACCTCCGCCTCCTGGGTTCAAGCTATTCTCCTGTCTCAGCCTACCGAGTAGCTGGGATTACAGGTGCACACCACCACACCCAGCTAATTTTTGTATTTTTAGTAGAGACGGTGTTTCACCATATTGGTCATGCTGGTCTCAAACTCCTGACCTCAGGTGATCCACCTGCCTCGGCCTCCCAAAGTGCTGGGATTACTCGGGTGAGCCACAGTGACTGGCATCTAGTTGTTAAGGTGGAAAATGCAGAATGTTGATTTTGGACTTCTCTTCTAAAATAAGCATTTAAAGACTTAAATTATACTTTAACCGTGTTTTAGCTGTGTCTCACAAATTTTGATATGTTGTATTTTTTGTTCGTTTCAAAATATTTTCTCATATCTTTTGACATTTCTTCTTTGATCCATGAATTACTTAAAAGTGTATTATTTAATTTTCAAATATTTGGGAGTTTTTCAGATATCTTTATGCTACTGGTTTTTGTTTTTGTTTTTGTTTCTGTTTTTGTTTTTGAGATGGAGTCACACTCTGATGCCCAGGCTGGAGTGCAGTGGCTCAATCTCGGCTCACTGCAACCTCCACCTCCCGAGTTCAAGCGATTCTCCTGCATCAGCCTTCCAAGTAGCTGGAATTACAGGAGCCTAATTTTTATATTTTTAGTAGAGACGGGGTTTCGTCATGTTGGCCAGGCTGGTCTCAAACTCTTGACCTGAAGTGATCCACATGCCTCAGCCTCCCAAAGTGCTGGGATTACAGGCGTGAGCCACCGCGCCTGGACTATGCTACTGTTTTCTAGGTTTGTTTCGCTTGAAATTAAACAGCATACTCTATCATTTTAATTCTTTTCATTATACAGAAACTTGTTTATAACCCAGCATATGATCTATATTAGTGTCCAAAAGAAGTCTGTAGAAGAACACATTACATACAGTAACCATTTTACTATGTATAACAAAATATAGTCATTTCTGCTTTCTAATGAGTAGTGTGTTCATGGTATAATTTTTCCATCTTTAATTGTAACCTGTGTTTTTATATATAAAGTTGGATCTTTTTGTTTGAGTCTTATTTTTGTTTGCTTGGTTTTTGGTTTTTGTTTTGCTTTTGTCTTCCCAGTATAGCAATCTCTACTTTTTTAGTGGAAAGTTTAGACAATAAAAATTTAATCTAATTATGCATATGTTTGGGTGTATGTTTCCCATCTTGCTTATTTTATTTCTTCCTGTGGTCCTTGTTCCTTTCTTTCTTAATTTCTTGCCTTCTCCTAAATTAGTTTACCGTTTTAATAATTCCCTCATCTCCACTATCATTTTATCAGCTATTCTTCTAGTCTGTTTTGTTTTTAGTTTTTCTGTAGCGTTCATCACATATTTTAAATTATCATACACTACCTAGACATTGAGCTATTGTGCTGTATTTATTATGCTACATGTGTTTTGTATCACTGAATAAATTTTTTATTTTTATTAAACAATCTCATACATTATTTTGTGTAGCTCCAAGCTTTCATCTGATATAATTTCATCTCTGCTTGAAGAACATTTTAAAACAATATTTGTAGTATAGTTCTGGTAGTGATAATTCTCTCAATTTCCATTTCCCTGAAAAAGTCTTAATTTTACTTTCATTTTTGAAGTATATATTTGCTGGATATAACATTCCAGGTTAACAAGTTTGGTGTTATTTTTTCCTTTCAACTTTTAAACATGCCATTTAATTGGCATCTACCTTGCATGCTATTTAATGAGATGTTTGAAAGCATTCTTATCTTTCTTTATATGTAATGTGTTTTTTATTGGTAACTGCTTTTAAGATTTTTATCACTTGTTCTCAGAAATTTTATAATGATGTGTTTTGTTGTGGTTTTAAATATATATTCATGTTTATGCTGCCTGAAATTTATTGAGCTTCTTGAATTCATAAATTTTTTTGTTTTGTTTTAATCTAATTCAGAAAATCACCAGATATTATTTCTTCAAATATTTTCATTAACTCTCCTCTTCCTTCTTCTGGTACTCCAAGTATCAGAGGTTCATTTCATTCCATGCCTCCTTTTTGACAGATTCTACTGCTATGCCTTTAAAGTAACTGAGCTTTACCTCTACACTTAATTATCTCATTTAAAGTACTGCATTTTTCATCTCAAAAAGTTAATATTGATTTTTATTTATATCTTCTATTTCTTTTCTTCACTAAACCTCCAGGAGGAGAGTAGGTTAATTGTGAAACACAAGATTTTTGTTTGTTTGTTTTTTTGTTTGCATTAGGGTCACATTCCAGAGCTGTCTGTCATCCAATTTCTGTAAAATTATGCTGCATATATTTTTTTGTCAGTTATGTCATTGTTAAGGTAGTAGGATAAGCTCAAGCCTTCATAATAAATAGTTAATAAAACTTGTACTGTACAAATTCTCTTTCAAAAAATCTAATCTTATGTCTGTCCTGTATTCCATCAAGATCATATTTTCATCTATCACTTGACAGGAGACTTTGCATTGATTGTTAGTAATCACGATCACCCTAGAGCCATTTTATTGAATATCACTTTTACCATTTTAATATCAGATAAGTTCTTTCTCCTAAATTTAATTACCACTATAATATAATATTTTTTAGGAATCATGTGTTTTAATAATCTGGTTACCTAGGTTTCTTTTTATCACATTGTTTTTACTGTTATTTAAAAACATGCCTCAGCTGAGTGCAGTGGTTCACACCTATAATCTCAGCACTTTGAGAGGCCAAGGTAGGCAGATTGCTTGAGCCAGGAGTTTGAGACCAGCCTGGGCAACATGGAAAAAAACCCATCTCTACAAAAGAAAAAAAAAAATTAGCTGGGCATGGTGGCACATGTCCTTAGTAGCAGCTACTAGGGAGGCTGAAATAGGAGAATGGCTTGAGTCCAGGAGGTCGAGGCTGCAGTGAGCCATGAGTATGCCACTGCACTCCATCCAGCCTGGGGAACAGCGTGAGTCACTGTCTAAAAGAAAAAAAAAAACAAAAAAGAAATATTTATTATTCTCATTATTCTTCTCTATCACTTCCTTTCTTTCTGACTAAATTAAGACTTGATCTATAAGTAGAACAATGATTTCATAAAAACTGTTAACTCTTAGGGATTCACAAATAATCAATTTACAATGAACATAACAATCTGGGACAGTTCCTTTATAAGATGGAAAAGTGAAACTGGATCAGAATATTTCTCTTCCCCAGTATCAAAATTAAAGAGCAATATAGGGTGAAAATCAGTTTAAATATACAACAGCATCCATGAATGAAAGATGGCTAATGAGCAAGAGTGTATAATTTGGGGATTAAAATGTATCAGAATTTCAAACTATAAAATTTAAGTAATTACTTACGCAATATAGAATTCTGCATTGAATCTAGATTCAGCCAGGACACATCTGTGATCCTGGGTAATTCAATTAACCCCTCTGAGCCTCAGTTTTCACAAATGTAAAATAAGATGGAAATATTCCTGGAGTTTCTGTATCAGAAAAACTAAAACATTTTAAAGCACTTAGCAGAGTATCTTCCAGAGTGCTTAAGAGATGGTGACTATTTTCTTATTGATTCATACAGATCTATATAAGAATAGTCAACTCTCCTATTCCACTGTCTGTAAGCGGCTGCAAAATGCTGACAGTCTGAAAAAAGAGAAATGGGAGTTCTGAAGAAGACTCAAAATTAGATACCATTTGACACTGAAGATATGTGATTAATATTTAATCAAAAATTGATGGTTTGTAAGTATCTGGTGCATGGATTAGTCTCCTAAACTGAAGTTAAAAGTGTATATATATTATATATTATTATATTATGTATAACTTATTTCAATATATATTATAATAATATATATTTTAACAATATATTACAGAGTATATAATATATAGTACATAATACATATAATATATAGTAGGTAATACATAATATATACAGATATGTGTATATATGTGTGTATATAAATGCCTATACACATTTGTGTGCATACACACACACACACACACACACACACACATATATTTCATTTGCTAATTCTGTTGCCTGCCAGTTTTCTTTCCTCCCTCTTTCCCATTCTTTCATTCCCATATCATAATAGTTTCCTCCCTCTCCAGTGTAGAAATCTTCAGTGTGCCCTCTACATTCACTCCTCATTAACCTGCACTGCCCAGTCATATAGCTGCTTTCTCTTCCATTGTGGTTTCTGGCTGTCAATTTCCCCCTAAAGTGTACACAATTACCAATTGAAAGCAATAGTTGAGTGCAAATTTTTGGTTTTTCAGAAACTCACGTATGAGAGGCCTTTTTCTCTCCTGGTAAATATTTTTGGAATTAAGGGAATATTACTGTTACAATGATGTAATAGTAGTTGCAGCAAAAAGGAAACAGAGGGCAGGATCCATTTTACCCTGGGGGTTATCAAAAGATTTACAGAGGAAGAGAGCCACCTACTGATCGTGACTGACAGAAACAGCAGCCAAGTCTGGCGAGCAGCCTTCTCTTCTACACACAATCCTGTTCCCTGGCAGAAGATTTTTCTACAGAGCTAAAATGAGCTCTTTCCTGAAAAGAACTGACCTCAATTCTGAAAGTTCATTTCCTTAGCTTTGTGTCTTACAGAGGGGAAATAATGCCAGCTTCAAGCAGGACCCGTCCTCTTTTTTGGGCAATGGGCAGCTATGTGGAGACAGAAAGGGTCAGGATGTGTCCCTTGCCTCCAGCCTGCTCAGGCTTCCAGGGCCTCCTGACTCATCCCTCCCTCCACGTATTGAGCTACACTAGGAATAAGTACAGCCTGCCCATCTAGGTATAGAACTGCAAGGAAAATAAAGAAAAACCTCTTGTTTGATATTACATTAATTCTTTTTAAAAAAATACCTTGCTAATTTACAAATTCACTCCTATTAGATCATGTCACTTGACTTTGTAGTTAGGAGAAATTCTCATTGTTGTTTGAATTTTGACAGACTTGTATCCCGTCCAGTAGTAGTAAGATACAGCAAGACATAAGTGAAGGAATTTCAGAGAATACAATAATTGCCAAATGAAAGCATGTGGTCCATTGGGTAAAATTTAGGAAGCATAAGTTTGTGCAATGTTGTAATTGAAGAAGTTAATCAGGAAGTTTGTGTGAATTGCTCAGCTAGCAGGAAGGGGCTTCAATGGAGGAGGAATCTTCCAAATGTTTGCTCACATTACAAACCCAATGTTTAGATTTCTTCTTGCTAGATGGGAGAAGGGATGAGTTGGGAAACTCAAAGTTATAATATTTGACAATATTTTTATCCTTGCCTTTCTTTCTTTGTCCACTGTTTATAGGGGCTCAGTTCAGGAGCACGCAACAAAAAATATATTTCTGGATTCACCTGGGTCAGTCTCTGTCTCTCTCTCTCTCATTGTTTAACACCTTTCAAATATTATGACCCCTTCAATTCTTTGGTTATTTCTTTATGCTGCTTATTTCTCTAATGTAATTTTACTTTTTTGTTGTTTGTCATTTTATGTTCAGTGGGCAAACATTGCATGATTTCGCTCTGCATTCTCACCTTACCCTGAAAAACTCTGTAATTATATCCCAATTATATCCAGAGTTAAAAGAAAAAATTTACACAAATTACATTTTGCAGAGTTTAATTGAGCAAAAACTGATTTGCAAATGGGGCAGCTCTCAGAGCAGAACATGTTCAGAGAAACTTTGAGGCTGCCCCATGATTGGATTACATTTATCAACAGAAAAAGGAAAGTGATATACAGAAAAAAAGAAGTGAGGTATATAAAGAGCTAGATTGGTTATAGCTTGGCATTAGCCTTATTTGAACATGGTTTGAATAAGCAGCCACCTGTGATTGAATGAAGCACAAGTGTGATGATTGGCTGGGACTCAGCTATTCATTACAGAAGTATACTCCAAATTAGGCTTTCAGATTATTTAGGTACTAAGTTACATTACAATTCATTACGTAAGAACTACGTGAGTACAGAAGCTCACTCAGGCTAAACTTAGTTTAATAAACTTTTCTTTGTGGTCAGCCTCTCAATTTTGAGAAATTGACCATAACTTTGGGTGTTGTTGCCACTCTCTGTTATCATTCTAAATGGACGTCTTTGGTCTCAGTATGAAATTCACAAGTCTCAACAACACATTAGTTGAAACATTCTTTATGTTCTTGCTGATCTAGTTAAAGATCATTAAATGCTCAATGGATGGCTGCATACAAAACATTTAGGACTGGAGAGGATACAGTGCACCACGGGGAATATTATGATGACTATCAAGAGGATAATTTCAAAAACCCAAAGGGTACTCCTTAACAAAAGTCCTTGTGAAATAAACTGAACCAAATCAAACAAGTCAAAGTGCAGGCAATCTAGGCAGTTAAGCAGTATTTGAGTCTAATTGTTCATAGTCTGTCTTAAGGGTGTGATGGTGATTAAGAACTATAATTCACCATAAATAGGCCTGATTTAAAGAGGTACCCACTTTTGTTGATAGTCTGGTAACACAAGTCATAATAACCTGAAGACTCACTAGAAGAAATAGAAAGATTAGAAAACCTTGGAAAACCCAACCTTGCCATCCCCTATTTAGGCTGCCTGCAAACCAACTGTTAGTTGCTCCCATAAACACTTTATGTGGGCTGCGTGTGGTGGCTTTTATCTGTAATTCCAGCAATTTGGAAGACCAAGGTGGGAGGATTGCTTGAAACCCAGAGTTCAAGATCAGCTTGAGAAACAAAGTGAGATCATATTCCTATGTTTAAAAAATACAAAAAAAAAAGTTAGCCAGGTAGGGTGGCATGCACATCTAGTTCCAGCTACTTGGGAGGCTGAGGCATGAGGATTCCTCAAGCCCAGGAGTTTGAGGCTCCAGTGTACTATGATCATGCCACTGCACTCCAGTGTGGACAGCAGAGCAAGACCCTACCTCAAAACATATACAAATACATTATGTGTTTCTTTCTCTTACGAAATTTTCTTAATGTGTTTGGTGGCAAAGTCTAAGAAAACAGCAGTATTAGTCACCTTTCTAATCTTTCTATAGTAACAAACTCAGGGGAAAGATAGGTACAGTATTCAGTTTTTTTCAATACCAAACATAAGCCTCCAACTTGGGCAAAATGATCTAAAGCTACATGATGTTTCACTAAGTGTTTTGGTTGAAGATATATGTTCTTATCTATCCTTCAATGAGTGGCTTATACCCATGTGAAACCCTGGAAGGTTTGATTGTCTACAAAATTCAAGATTTTTCCCAAATTAAAGATTAGCTTCCAATTTTACATAATCAGTACCCAACTACCACCAAGAACAAGACCCCAGGAGTCCCACTAGGGAAACTAGCTTGTCTTTGTCTATTTGAAGGTTAGTTAATTAATTCTGGTTATTGACTATTTTGGCCTCTGATCATATGAGCTATTATGGGGACATTCAGGGAAAGTTAATCCAAAGGCAGGAGTGAGCCAAGCCAAATAGAATGATTCAAACTAGTGAGGAGGCAGAATGGAATAAGCAGATTCTCCACAGACCCAGCCTTCAGTGGTTGGAAAAAGGAAAACCTAGTTGTGTTTGAGCAAGGATCAGTTAAATTTGTTTACCCGTAAATCTTCATAGCTACTGACAAAGCCCAATGGAAATTTACTTTTTTTTGGTGGTTTATTTATAGCAATCTGTAAGGGTATATAACCACATTTGCTGAAAAAGGACTTTATTTGATTTAATCTGGTGACATTATACAAGCAATTATTTTTACCAACATGGGTAATTCCTAAGTCTCAAACATGCATTACCTGGAAGCAAAATATACTTTTGTTCAGGCAACACTTGAATATGCTTTCTATATTTGGTAATGATCAGATTATTAATTGGAAATGTTAGAGTGCTGTTTCTACTGAGTGTAAAAAATCAAGTAACAGTGATGTTCAGAGCTTCATGATTAGCTTTTCACTCTTCCTTTGAAGTGTCAGTGTGAGTCTCATTGAGAACACAGACATTGGCATTAGTAGATTTGTTTTCTGACTTTTTTTGGTAGTAGCCCACAAACCCAACAATTGCTCTGGATTTGTGTTACAGCATAAGCTTAAGTGAAAGCTTGCACTGATTATGGTCGCGTGGACGTTCCTGTACAACAAAAATGAGAAATGATTAGGACAGCAGGAAATTAGGTATGCAGTTCCAAGAATCTGAAGGAATTTTTTTGAGTTGTGAGATGTGGATGAAAGGTTTGAGGCCTTGAAGGTTTACTGCAGTGTAGGTGATAAGAAGAACTTGGTATCGTCCCTTAAAATGTAGTTCAAAGTCAATATTCCTCTGATGTCATTTCTAAAAGACACAGACTCTAGGTTCTAGGTCATGAAGGATTTGATTGTCCTAAGTTGGTGGATCACGAAAAACTTCTGAAAGACAGAGAGAGAACCAAGATGGCCAACTAGATACAGCCAGGAAGAACTTCTCTCACCAAGAAAGACCAGATCATCAAGTAGACTGGCACATTTTAAACAGATCTTTGGAAAGAAGGCATGAAGAGTGGACGGAGGGATGATGCAGACCCAGGGCTGAAAGGGGAGGGAGTTGGGAACCCTGCATGAGGTTGCCAAGCTCCAGGACTCATTCCTGACTTGGAGCAGCTTCTGGGGAAGGGGTGAGTAAAATAGGCATACAGTGAGCCATTCTTGTCACAGACCTCTGGAACCCTAGCTTCAGGAGACCCCATAACCCCCACAGACATTTGAGATGGCAGGGATAGCTACCTGGAGAGTTGAAAAAGACAGAACTCCAGCCTGCGTGGAGCCGAGGGTTTGTGTAGGAAGAGGTGCAATGGAGCACAGCTCATTCCCCAAGGCTCACATGCTCCTCTAGGTGGCTTTAGCCTTTTTTGGCTGCTGGACCTGAATGGAACAGGGCTATCTTTCCCATGGGATGGGCCAGTCCAATATGAGCACCCCACGCTCTGCCAGCCTATCCCAGGGACACTGCCTGTCTACACCCACTTTCAGCATGGCCTCTGCTGCCAAGCCGAGGCACTTGCCAGTGGGCACTGCCTTAGTTCTTTCACCAACAGACCCTACCTAATAGTCAGAGAACTGCAAGTGGGCCCCTGCTGGCAAGCACCCACCCACAGCCCTCCCCAACCAGGGCTCACTCACTGTAGACTTTCCCTGCTGCTTTTCCAGCGTGTCATACATGGGGGCCCCTGCTGCCCACCACCTCCCCTATGAAGTATTTTTGGCAGCACCCCTCATTGGAGTGCTGTTGCCAGCATACAAGGAACACCTTGGCCCCTCCAGCATATCAAATGCTTAACCTTGAGGGACCACAGAAAAAAAGCCATAGTCCTGATCCCAGTACCCCCACACCCCAGCATTAAAACATGAAGTTCAGGAGTGCTGAGCTGAAACTTGTACCCCTGAAATCATCCAGAAATGAAACCAATCAACTAAACCCAACTTATACCATAGTCAAACTCTCAAGAGCTTCAAAGAATGTAAAATTTTAAAACCCCACCCAAAGGACAGCAGCTTCAAAGATTAAAGGAATATCAACCTATACAGATGAGAAAGAATCAGCACAAGAACTCAGGCACTTCTGGAAACCAGAGTGTCTTCTTACCTCCAAATGACCACACTAGCTTCCCAGCAGTGGTTCTTAATTGATGGCTAGAATGACAGACATAGAATTCAGAATCTGTATGGAAATGAAGACCATTGATATTCAATAGAAAGTTGAAATCCAATCCAAGGAATATAAAGAATCCAATAAAATAATACAAGAGCTGAAAGATGAAATAGCCATTTCAAAAAAGAAACAGCTGATCTTCTAAAGCTGAAAAACTCTTACAAGAATTATATAACACAATCAGAAGTATTAACAGCAGAATAGACTAAGCTGAGGAAGGAATCTCAGAGCTTGAAGACTCAGAGCTTCCCCAACCTTTCTAAAGAAGTTGACATACAAATTGAGGAAATTCAGAGAACCCCAGCAAGAAACTATACAAAATTAACATACCAAAGACACATAGTCATCAGATTCTTTGACATTAACATGGAAGAAAAAATATTGAAGAAAGCTAGAGAGGAGGGGCAGGTCACCTATAAAGGGAACCCCATCAGGCTAACAACATACCTTTCAGCAGAAACCTTACAAGCCAGAAGAGATTGCGGGCCTATATTCAGCATCCTTAAAGAAAAGAAATTCCAACCAAGAATTTTATATCCAGCCAAACTAAGCTTCCTTAGCAAAGGAGAAATAAAATCCTTTTCAGATAAACAAATGCTAAAGAAATTTGTTACCACCAGACCTTCCTTACAAGAGGTCCTTAAGGAAGTATTTAACATGGAAATGAAAGACTATTACCAGCCACCACAAAAACACACTTAAGTACCTAGCCCACTGACACTATAAACCAACTGCAGCCCAACTCTATATAACAGCAGGCTAACAACACAATGACAGGATCAAATCCTCACATGTCAATATTAACCTTGAATGTAAATGGGTTAAATGCCCCCATTTAAAAGACCGAGTAGCAAGATGGATAAAGAAGCAATATCCAAATGTATGCTGTCATCAAGAAACCCATCTCACATGCAATGATATCCACAGATTCAAAGTAAAGAGATGGAGAAAGATCTATCAAACAAACAGAAAAAAAAAAGAGAGTAAAGGTTATTATTCTTATTTCAAATAAAACAGACATTAAACCAGTATAATCAACAAGAACAAAAAATGGCATTACATAAAGAGCTCGATTTAACAAGAAGACTTACTACCCTAAATATATATGCACCCAAAACTAGAGTGCCCAGATTCATAAGTTTTTAGAGACCTACAAAGAGACTTAGATAACTACACAATAATAGCAAAAGACTTCCAAACCCCACTGACAGTGTTAGACAGATCAACAAGGCAGAAAACTAACAAATATATTTGAGACCTAAATGCAACACTTGATCAAATGTACCTAACAGATATCTACAGAACACTCCACCCAACAACAGCAGAGTACACATTCTCGTCTGCACATAGTGCATACTCTAAGGTCAACCACGTGCTTGTCCATAAAGCAATTCTCAACAAAATAAAAAAAAAATCATACCAAGCACACTCCTGGACCATGGTGCAATAATAATTGAAATTAATACCAAGAAGCTCTCTCAGAACCATGTAACTACATGGAAATGAGACAGCCTATTCCTGGATGACTTTCAGGTAAACAAAGAAATTAAGGCAAAAATCAAGAAATTCTTGGAAACTAATGAAAACAAAGATACAACCCTTCAGAATCTCTGGGGCACAGCTAAATCAGTATTAGGAGTAAAATTAATAGCATTAAATGGCTACATCAAAAAGTCAGAAAGATCCCAAATTAGCAAGCTAACATCACACCAAAAAGAACTAGGAAAACAAGAGTAGAACAACTCCAAAGCTTGCAGAAGAAAAGAAATAACCAAAATCAGAGTTCAACTGAAAGAAATTGAGATGTGAAAATCTATACAAAAAAGAAACGAAAACAAAGGTTTGATTTTTGAAAGAATAAATAAGGTTGACATACTGCTAGCTAAATTAATGAAGAGAAAAAGAGAGAAGATCCAAATAAACACAGATATGACAAAAGTGATGTTACACCAACCTCACAGAAATACAAAAAACTTCAGAGAGTGTTTTGAACACTTCTATGAACACAAACTAGAAAACCTAGAATAAATGGATACATTCCTGGAAACATTTAACCTCCAAAGATTGAATCAAGAAGAAATTGAATACTCGAACATACCCATAATAAGTCGTGAAATTGAATCAATACTAAAAAACAAACAAACAAACAAAGAAAAAACTTACCAACAATAAAAAGCCCTGCATCAGATGGATTCACAGCCAAATTCTACTGGACAAAAAAAGAAGAATGGATACCAATCCTATTGAAACTATTCCAAAAAATGCCTTGATCATTTTATCCATTAATGGTGATTATTATTTTATTTTACTTTGTTTTAGAGATAGGGTCTCACTCTGTCACCCATGCTGGAATGCAGTGGGAGGATCATAGCTCACTATAATCTCCAGCTTCTGGGCTCAAGCGATCTTCCCACTTCAGCCTTCGGAGTAGCTGGAACTACAGGTGCATACCACAATGCCCAGCTAATTATTTTTGTATGTACAATGTCTTGCTATGTTGCTCAGGCTGGTCTTGAACTCCTGCCTTGGCCTCCCAAAGCACTGAGATTATAGGGAAGAGCCACCATATCCAGCCAATGGTGATTTTTTTGACAAGTTTCTTTCAATCCTGTCATTGTATTTTAGGATTTTTTAAATATGATGAGGTTAGAAAAATAAAGACATCTATACTAAGTACTGTGGTGGAGTTTGGGGTTAAAACAAGATTATCCCTGGTAAGTATCCCTTCACTGCTTCATAGAAAGTACATATAGTCTGCCCTCTGGCTCATACAATAGGTTCTTTTTGGCACTGGACACTCAACCATTGTCTGGTAAGATTAGGAGGAGAAGAAATTCCTAATTGGAATCTATCAGTAGACAAAATAAAGTCTGGCCTGGAGGTGAGTTGTCCCTTTCAGGAATAAAAACAGCAGGCTGACCTGAAGGAAGTGTCCTGGAGAATCAATGACATCCTCAGGGAGAAACTCAGAGCCCATATGGCTGGGCTATTGTTAGACTAAAAATTGTTAGGTGCTTCCTGTTTATTCTTAAAATGACAAAAGAAAATCTCAAGAGTCAAATGTAAAAAGGCTTCTAAGTGTTTGCAGTTGATGAGTCAATAAAGGTTTTACTGTATTTCAGTGAATAAATTACTCATTAAATCTTGGCCCTTTTTTACAATTGGCAGAAAAATCTACTCACTTTTAACTATTTAAAAGGTCTACTTTTACTTAGGACTTAAAATTAGTTCAACTTACTCACAACATACCCCCGTTGCTCTGTCTACAAAGTAATAGATGGCAACACATTGGCATGTGACGTGGAACTCTGAATCCCTTGTCATCTCACCCGTCCTGCTCACCTGACTTCATGCCCTGGCCTCTCCTTGGTTTATAAATTCTCTACTCATATCCACCCTCCACTTCCATTGATAGAGTCTTCCAGATAAGCCACTATATTGACTCCCCCTAAAGGTTTGACCTTAAATCACTGGTGTTTTCGGAATAGCTCATCTCTCCAGATACATATTTCTCTCCAGAAAGTTGTATAAATGAGTGGAATCTAAATATGGTTATTGAAAAGATTGAGTTAATCTTTTCAAATATCTTTGAACAGAGGCTGGTCTTAGTCAACATGCAACAAATTCCAATGTTATCATTTTTAGTATCATCGTCATCATCATTATCCAGATAAAGAGCGGAATCTTTGCGATTATCCAGTTCTCTTTATTTTTTACACTGAGTTTCTCAAAGCACTCTTTTCCTTGCCTAGGTAGATTTATTAACTTGGTAGAGTGCTCAGGCAAGGCTAATATCTATTATCCTGCCAGAGGAGGCTGCTTGTTCTAGTAATTGGGGACTGGTTGACAATCTCTTGTGAGCCAGTTGGCATCATGCTTCCCTTCCTTCCTCAGAACTGATCCTATGTATATTAAATGAAAAAAGAGCAAATGTCTGGTCTTGCAAAGCTAAGAGCAATTCATTGACCCAGGACTTGGCCTTCTCTGTGCCTCTAGCAGAAACAGCCATTTCCCTGCCTTTGTGTACCTCAACATTGGGCTCATTCTTCCCCTCTGCCAGAACCCCTAGTCATCGATTTTGCTGCATTTTATTTTGCTAACTTATACTTGGCCATTTTATGAGCAGAAAGCCACTTCCCTTCTTTCACTTTCATGACATTCAGACTTATATTTTCTGTTTTCTTTCTTGCCCCAAAACAACTATCAAGTTTTGCTTTCTAAGAAAGCTGAAATGAAAAAGAAAAAAATCTGAATTCATGTAAATTATAGATCAAAATAGCATGGTTCCTTTGCCTTTCTTTTACTTCCTTTAATTTGTGTTATTTTGTCATAAACTGGAATGTAATGCAGAAGCAGCAAGACAAACCTTACCCAGTAAACCACTATGTAAAAATAAGGTACAAAATTTTAAAATAAAACAATCACAAATAAGTAAATTAAGGAAGGCTCTTTCTCCCTGACAGAAAAGCAAGGGTCTAACCTCCCTGCACTGTCAGAGTGAGTCAGAGATAGAGGAGGAAAGAACCCTTAGAATTGCAATGACTGGATGAGCAGCTGAAGACCACTAGTTTCTGTAATATAAGCTTCTTTTTTTATTATTATTATACTTGAAGTTTTAGGGTACATGTGCACAACGTGCAGGTTTGTTACATATGTATACATGTGCCATGTTGGTGTGCTGCACCCATTAACTCGCCATTTAACATTAGGTACATCTCCTAATGCTATCCCTCCCCCCTCCCCCCACCCTACAACAGGCCCTGGTGTGCTTCCTTACACCTTATACTAAAATTAATTCAAGATGGATTAAAGACTTAAATGTTAGACCTAAAACCATAAAAACCCTAGAAGAAAACCTAGGCAATACCATTCAGGACATAGGCAGGGGCAAGGACTTCATGTCTAAAACACCAAAAGCAATGGCAACAAAAGCCAAAATTGACAAATGGGATCTAATTAAACTAAAGAGCTTCTGCACAGCAAAAGAAACTACCATCAGAGTGAACAGGCAACCTACAGAATGGGAGAAAATTTTTGCAATCTACTCATATGACAAAGGGCTAATATCCAGAATCTACAATGAACTCAAACAAAGTTACAAGAAAAAAACAAACAACCCCATCAAAAAGTGGGCGAAGGATATGAACAGACACTTCTCAAAAGAAGACATTTATGCAGCCAAAAGACACATGAAAAAATGCTCATCATCACTGGCCATCAGAGAAATGCAAATCAAAACCACAATGAGATACCATCTCACACCAGTTAGAATGGCGATCATCAACAAGTCAGGAAACAACAGGTGCTGGAGAGGATGTGGAGAAACAGGAACACTTTTACACTGTTGGTGGGACTGTAAACTAGTTCGACCATTGTGGAAGTCAGCGTGGCGATTCCTCAGGGATCTAGAACTAGAAATACCATTTGACCCAGCCATCCCATTACTGGGTATATACCCAAAGGATTACAAATCATGCTGCTATAAAGACACATGCACACGTATGTTTATTGCGGGACTATTCACAATAGCAAAGACTTGGAACCAACCCAAATGTCCAACAACGATAGACTGGATCTAGAAAATTTGGCACATATAAGCTTCTAATGAAAGACAACATCATCATTGATCCCCTGTGCCCACCTGAGAAACACTGAGGATAACAAATGTTCAATAGCTTACGTAAAAGAATTGAACAATAAAAACCGTGTCAGGATTCCGAGCTGGGATACTGACACAGCCAGTGGAGCACTATTGACCTCAGTAAGCAAATGGTGGAAAATTATTTGACTAATGAAGGTAAAATGATTATAATTGGGTAATCCTTCCACCTTCCTTAGACAAAAGAAACCTTTGCTATCAGTACCTGAGGGCTGTCGAAACTTTTGATACCTGGACACATGGGTCAGGAGGAAAGGAGGTCGCCACTGAGAGCCAGGGTCCTCCAGACAAACACTCTAGGGGCACCGGCAAGGGTCTTGGAGGGTTAGTTGCTTTGCTCACAAAGTAACCACTACCCTCTCACCAAAAGAGTTCTGAAGTTATCAGGATGTTGTGAGACTGCTCCCTGGGAGCGAGTCTGGAAGAGTTTGGGTTGAGAGTATTTGTTACTCTAGAGGAAAAGGTATTACTAGATGTGATAACTACCTTGTGTGTGAGGAGACGCTGGGAAAGTAAAATATCTGCGAATTAGAATCTCTACATCCATATGCGCTTGTAAAGAATCAGGATTCCAGCTGGGATATTGACAGATAGGGGAGCACTATTGACCTCAGTAAGCAAATGATGGAAAGAAAAAGCAGTGTCTATATTAATCTTCACCTTGTGGTCCCAGTGAAGCGTAACCACATGGACCTGCATGAATGTTTTCTAGAAGGAAGAAAAATGTCAGAGAAGCTCATTCGCTAATCATCATCATCCTCTGTTGTGAATAAAACAGCAAACAAAACTGCGTTTTTGGCTCATATCTGTAATTCCAACTACTTGGGAGGCTGAGGCAGGAGGCCTCAGCTTCAGGCCAGGAGTTTGAGACCAGCCTGAACAACATAGTGGGACCTCATCTCTAACAACAACAACAACAAAAAAATTAGCCAGGCATGATGGTGCACACCTGTTGTCCCAGGTACTCAGGGGGCTGAGGCACAGAGATTGCTTGAGCCCAGGAGTTAAAGGCTGCAGTGACCTCTGATCATGCCACCACACTCCAACCTGGGTGACGGATTAAGACCCCATCTCTAAAAAACAAACAAACAACAGCAAAATGCTGTTCTTGGTTCTAAAGAGCTTATTTGCTGCAGATGATCTGGTAAACCTGAAGCAAATATAGAAACCTATAGGGCCTGACTTCCTACATAAAGTAAGGAGGGTAAAAATGGAGGCTAGAATAAGGGTTAAAATTTTGCTTCTAGAACAGAGAAAATGATTTTTTTCATATATATATGAATATATATTATATATACACATATATACATATATTCACTATAGTGTGTATACATAAATATATAATATATATATTGTTAGTGTAGTGTGTGTCTGATTATTTACATGCATATAGTATATACACTTATGACTTTAGTACCCAGACGTTTTTCATTTGATTAAGCATTCATTTGTATTGACACAGCTGAAGTTTACTGGAGTTTAGCTGAAGTCTAATGCAAAATTAATAGATTGTTGTCATCCTCTTAAGGTCATAGGGAGAACACACAAATGAAAACAGTAAAAGAAACTGAAAGTACAGAGAAATGTTCAGAAAATGAAAACCATGTGTTTCCTATTAAAAGCCATGCATACAAGCAATGTCTTCAGAAAACCTAGGGTCCAAGGTTAAGCCATATCCCAGCTCAGTAAAGCCAGGAGCATCCTCATTTCCCAATGGCCCTCCTGTTCCCTCTACTGGCAGCCCTAGTGATGACCAGCTATAGCCCTGTTGGATCTCTGGGCTGTGATCTGCCTCAGAACCATGGCCTACTTAGCAGGAACACCTTGGTGCTTCTGCACCAAATGAGGAGAATCTCCCCTTTCTTGTGTCTCAAGGACAGAAGAGACTTCAGGTTCCCCCAGGAGATGGTAAAAGGGAGCCAGTTGCAGAAGGCCCATGTCATGTCTGTCCTCCATGAGATGCTGCAGCAGATCTTCAGCCTCTTCCACACAGAGCGCTCCTCTGCTGCCTGGAACATGACCCTCCTAGACCAACTCCACACTGGACTTCATCAGCAACTGCAACACCTGGAGACCTGCTTGCTGCAGGTAGTGGGAGAAGGAGAATCTGCTGGGGCAATTAGCAGCCCTGCACTGACCTTGAGGAGGTACTTCCAGGGAATCCGTGTCTACCTGAAAGAGAAGAAATACAGCGACTGTGCCTGGGAAGTTGTCAGAATGGAAATCATGAAATCCTTGTTCTTATCAACAAACATGCAAGAAAGACTGAGAAGTAAAGATAGAGACCTGGGCTCATCTTGAAATGATTCTCATTGATTAATTTGCCATATAACACTTGCACATGTGACTCTGGTCAATTCAAAAGACTCTTATTTCGGCTTTAATCACAGAATTGACTGAATTAGTTCTGCAAATACTTTGTCGGTATATTAAGCCAGTATATGTTAAAAAGACTTAGGTTCAGGGGCATCAGTCCCTAAGATGTTATTTATTTTTACTCATTTATTTATTCTTACATTTTATCATATTTATACTATTTATATTCTTATATAACAAATGTTTGCCTTTACATTGTATTAAGATAACAAAACATGTTCAGCTTTCCATTTGGTTAAATATTGTATTTTGTTATTTATTAAATTATTTTCAAACAAAACTTCTTGAAGTTATTTATTCGAAAACCAAAATCCAAACACTAGTTTTCTGAACCAAATCAAGGAATGGACGGTAATATACACTTACCTATTCATTCATTCCATTTACATAATATGTATAAAGTGAGTATCAAAGTGGCATATTTTGGAATTGATGTCAAGCAATGCAGGTGTACTCATTGCATGACTGTATCAAAATATCTCATGTAACCAATAAATATATACACTTACTATGTACCCACAAAAATTAAAAAGTTATTTTAAAAAAGAAATACAGGTGAATAAACACAGTTTCTTTCCGTGTTGAAGAGCTTTCATTCTTACAGGAAAAGAAACAGTAAAGATGTACCAATTTCGCTTATATGAAACACTACAAAGATAAGTAAAAGAAAATGATGTTCTCATACTAGAAGCTTTAGGTGCAAATGATGTTGAGAAAGAAAAATATTAGATGTCCTTTTTGAGGTGCCTGGGAGACATGAAATTGCAGAAATCTTATGCGCAATTGGGAATATGGGTCTAGAGTGAACAACAAATCCCATGGGCAAAGGTATTAATTTAAGATTCTTTATTGCATGTCTGGTAACAAGGACATAGGAATGAATGTAGTCACTTATAAACAGAGGAGACAATGAGATGAGGACATAACCTTGTCCTGCAGACCCTCAACATTCAAAGGTAGAGCAGAGAAGGAGAATATGTAAAGGAGCCTGAGGTAAAGTTGCCAGTGCAATTAGAAAGAGAAATGGGAAAGAATGAGGGAGAGTCTAATGAGGGGAAGACAGTGGTACTTTCAGGGAAGGTGAGGGCTGAGCTGTCCTACTGAACCTGGAAACAGACTCCACTGATGACCTTAGGAGGATCTGGTTTAGTAGAATGAATGGGATAGAAACACGATTGGAGTAAGTTGAAGAGGAAACACAAAAAAGAGAAATTAAGAATACTGCGTATAGAAAATTATTTGGGGAAGTTTGTTTGTCAAGTGGAAAAAGGAAATAAGGTGGCATCTAGAGAAGAATGTGGATTAATGTTTCTTGTATTTTTTTTCATGTTTTTTGCAATATGTTTTTAAAGAATTATTTTCAGAGGGCGGGCGCAGTAGTTCATGCCTGTAATCCCAGCGCTTTGGGAGGTCGAGGCAGGCTGATCGCAAGATCGGGAGATAGGGACCATCCTGGCCAACATGGTGAAACCCCGTCTCTACTAAAAAAAAAAAATGCAAAAATTAGCTGGGCGTGGTGGCGTGGTGGTCCCAGCTACTCAGGAGGCTGAGGCAGGAGAATCGCTTGAACCCAGGAGGCGGAGGTTGCGGTGAGCCAAGATGGCGTCACCGCACTCCAGCCTGGTGACAGAGGGAGACTCCGTCTCAAAAAAAAAAAAAAGTTATTTTCAGAGAACGAATATATTGGTACAAAACATGTGAACATTTGAATATTTGATTTAATTAATTGCTTATTTGAATAAAATAATAATCTATCAGTGTTCTAATTAATATTATTTTGTAATAAGCTTCAACGGTTACCTATTTGCTTGTTAATATTCTTTTTTTCTATCAAATTTTACAATCAGATCTCATTTTATTCTGTTATTTATTTACTCTATATTTTATGTTGGTCATATACCTTATTTGTTTATGATATGATTTCTAATCACTGAGATGTACATTTCTCTGTATTTTATGTTGTCATATACATTATTTGTTTATGATCTTATGATTTCTAATAACTGAGATATACATTTTCTAAAAATTGTAGCCATGTTCTTGTGATGGACACTTGTTTTTAACTTTACCTGTATTCAAAGATCTGGACAATTCCTTTTTTATTTAAATTATGGAATGTCTAGCATGGAAAACTAAGCCTCTCTCTAATTGAATTCTACTTTTGACTTGACGTATATTCAGTTCCCTCTCATGTAAATCTGTTTTTATATTCAATTCTTTTAAATTTATTTTTGAAATTTACAATGAACACTTAATAATAATGTTTATGGGGTACAAAGTTATGTTTCCATATATGTATGCATTGTAATGATCAAATCAAGGTAAGTAGTACATCCATCACCTTAAACATTTACAATTTCTTTGTGATGAGGACACTCAAAAACCCGGGCAGGTGCAGTGGCTCAGCCTGCAAGCCCAGCACTTTCAGAGGCCGAGACGGGAAGATTGCTTGAGCTCATGAGTTCAAGACCAGCAGGGCAACATAGCGAAATCCCACCTGTACAAAAAATACAAAAATTAGCTGGGCATTGTGGTGCGCACCTGTAGTCCCAGCTACTCAGACAGCTGAGGTGGGAGGATTGCTTGAGCCTAAGAAGTGGAGGTTGCAGTGAGCAGAGAGTGTACCACTGCACTCCCCCCGGGGCAACAGAGTGAGACGGAGTGTCTTAAAAACAAAACAAAACAAAATCTTATAATTATTAACTCTATTCATCCTACTATTGTAGAGTCCATCAGAATTTTTCAAACGTGTGATACAAATGGTAATATAACTTGCTTTTTGTTAGAGTGTCAGGTAATATTCCTAGAATATTTTATTAAAATTTTCTTTTATTTTTTATTAACAACTGACACTGTAACAGTAAAACAGCAAAAGAACTATAACATAACTAACTTCATTTTTATTTAAGAGGACTTTATCCATTCCTGCACATAGGCTAGGATAATTTCAGAGCACTAAGATAATGTGCACAAATAGCAATCATGTAGTTTTTGAAACTAACTCTGAGATTAAAGGCGAAGTATGTAAGCAACTATGTTTTGTTAAAGATTTATGGAAGCATCGTGACTTGATCAAGGACAAAGTTGTCCCCAACTTCCCAGGGCCATTGCTGGCACCCAGTTGCTTGCAGTCCTCGGTCACCTGTTGATACCAGTCCCCTCTACTTCCCTATATTCCCCTCCATCCAGACTGAACAATTAAAGATGGCATTTTAAAATGCTAGTTTTGCTGGCTTTCCAAACAAACCTGCTTTTTCTCCCACCAATTCTCATCTCTTGTGTTTGGCTTTCTGAGAGGTGAGCAGCCGGATCTGGGTTTGGTAACAATATATCTTTACCATAAGTATAATTACCACTGATAATAGAACGTTTTTTGAGATTATTTGCCTTATAACTATATTTAGTAAACTTTCTTCATTGTTATACTTTTTTATTACCGATACTTTAAAACATTTAATTTTTCTGGTTAAGCTAGCTAAGGCTAGAAACCTACTCCCGCCACTTGACATCAATTTACTTAAATAATTCAATTTACTTAATATTTCAACATATATAGCATTATCAAAAATCTTAATCCATCTCCTTGCAGGAAACAACTTTATTAATAACTACAGTACAGTGTTTATGAACACACTGTTTGGCTCTTAAACTTACAGATGCCACTTATTTTCAAAATTACATAGGTCAGCAACTTTTACCTTATTCCCCTTCAGTGGGATTGTTTCCTACATTTGTAATTCATTTTAAATTGTTTTGCTAAATTCTGCATTCATCTTAGAATCTCCCAACCTCTGAACTGATTTTTTAAATTTGGATACAGTAAGGTCCACTCCTCATGCTATAAAGTTTTATAGGCTTTTACAAAGGCATAGAGACATATATCCACCATTATAGGATAATACAGAATAGCTTCACTGCCTTAAAAAACGTACTTTCATCTATTCACCACACACATGCTCTCTCCAAACTCTTGGCTACACTGAGCTTTTTACCATCATGATTTTGTTGCCTTTTCCATAATGTCATACACTTGGAATCATGTGTCCTTTTCAGGATGGCTTCTTTCACTAAACAGTATGCATTTAAAGTGTTTTTATGGCTTGGTGGCTTATTTCTTTTAATCATTTAATGTTATTATATTGCATGGGTATCACACCATTTTTATTAATTGACCTATTGATGGACATCTTGGTTGCTTTAAAGTTTGGGCAATTATTAACAAAGATAATGTAAACATTTATGAGCAAAATTTTTTGGACATGTTTTCAAAGCAGTTGGGTAAATACTTAGGAGCCCAATTGTTGTTTCCTATGGTAAAACTGTTTAATTTTGTAAGAAACTGCTAGGATGTCTTCCAATATGACTGGACATCTTGCATGTCCACAAGTAATGAATATGTGTTTTGTTGCTCTGCAATTGACAATAATTAGTATTGTCAGTTTTTTTAATTTTAGCTATCCTTATATATGTATAATGATAAATTTATTGCTTTAATTTGCAATACCCTAATGACTTATCTGGGGCTTTTGTTTCCCTAAGAGCTACTCCATTCAGCATTTCAATAGCATTGACCTGAATGACATGGATGTGAACTTACATGGCAACTTTGTTCACATTGACTTTCACGGTTTGAGTAGGGGTCCAAGGTGAGCCCTAGAAACACTGCATCTTAACCAGAAGTTGCAAGATCTACCTGTAGGGCGTGAGCTCTGGGTGTGCCCAAAGGAGATTTTATACATCTCTACCAAGGACATGAAGTTCAAAGGAGTCCTTCAACCCTAAAGGGCCAAACATTCACACTGTATTCTCACACTGTATATTTTCATAAAGAACTCCTGGAAAAAGGGCACCAAAGTGACTTACCCAAAATGAGACTGCAAATGTCCTGCAGACATCTTTCTGTTCAAAGGGCACCCACATAGTTTTGACAGGATAGCACCAATGTGCTCTACAGCGCCCTCATCAGTTGTAAGCATGTGGAGCCTGAGCCAGGTTGTGTGTGTCAGGAGAGAAAGAGGGAGATGTCTTGACTAAGAACGATGACGGCATTATCATTCCTTCCAACTCAGTGGGTCATTCCTCCCCTCTTCACTTGTTCTTCCTCTTTCCTGCTCCCCCAACCTCCACTTTCCTCACTGGGCCTCATTTATCTGCAGCCATTGGGTGGCTGCCTCATAAACATTCCCTTCCTGATTGCTATATGATATCTTGCCCTGCAATGATGTCATCAAGCTAGGCACCATATAGTCTCCAAGAAAAGGGGTTTCCCTTGGAGAAACTCAATGGGGACAATTCATTATTGAGTTCAAAATCTGTGTCTAAATAAACCCCACAAACCCATAGCAGATCACTTATTTTGTGCCTTGGCTTTGCCACATCAACTCCAGCAGTAACCACCTCAGCAATATCACACAAACACCACCTCCCCCTAAAGTTCAATCAGTTCTGTGTCCATTGGGGGTAGTTTTTCTAACAAATACCACTGTTTTCAGGAAAATATTTTTATCTCTGAATACTTTCAGATGTGGGCTGTCTTGTGGAGGTTCAGAGGTATATCAAGGTGACCCAATTTTCATGTCCCTAGCTTTGAAACCAGTTCTTTTCTACTGATATGAGGGCCACTTGAAGATACGTGGAGATTTCTTTCTCAAGGAGTGTGAGGAAATAGGAAGACATATGAAGATTTTTCCCGAGTCTGATAGTGTGTTCTCCTCCTATTCCAGATTTTCTAAAACCTTTATTCTGCCTTTTCTTGGGCCTCCTCTCCTTCCTCTCATCCTCCTCACCACCTGTACAGAGCCAGTAGATTTGGGGTCAGCTCTACTTTTTCATTAAGGCCAAGAAAAGAATTGTTGGAAGCAGTGCTCATCTCACATCCTATGTCAAGAATAGAGGGGAGATCTGGGGGCAAGTAGAAGCTATTCGCCATCAAAAGATTCAAAGTCATGGAGATTTATCCCTATCCTTCTGAACTTAGGGCTGCAAAGGTCTAATGCCATTTTTTGGATATATGAAGTGTCTTGTCTCCTACTGTTTTTACAGGCTGAATAGGAAATTTTTGGCTCTATGATGCCTGCTTAACCCCAACTACTCCATCCCATGACTGTATAATGTTATATTATTACATGGTCCTTATCAAGGGGAGGATTAATAGATTTTCTCATTTTATCTCATTTTTAAAGCCCCTGGGTATTTGTATTTTTGTTGTGTTTTTATGGCAATATTATATTAATAAGCTTTTTAAACTGAGATATAGTCAAAATGCAAATAAAGAAACCCAAAACGATGTCCGGTGTGCTATGTCACTGTCAGCATCCCTCCCTAGCCCTGATAACCTTCAAAAAGTCAAAACTGGCTCTCAATTTGGTCTGAGGTTGACTCATTTGGTTTTCTGAGCCCAAGCTCCTGGCTAACCCTAAACCTTTCCTAAATATGGCTGAAGAAAAGGCCACTTTTCTTTTTAGAAAAAAACAAATATATAGGGAAATATAGATAGACTACTTATAATAGAGACAATCTACTTTGGAGGATGTGGTAAATGAAAACCGATTAATTTTCTCTGATTTAGTGGAAACATTTCTTTGAGATAAATTTTGCAGGCAGTGGGGAATGCAGGAGGACATTCTGGTTGACCTGAAAGAAACATGGTCCCAGAGACAGAGAGTGGGCAGGGTGAAGAACAGCCTGATGGATCTCCGGCTGTGTTTCTGAAGTCATGCCAGAGGCCATTATCCAGGGCTTCACATAGCTGAAACATTTTGGGGACCCTCACTTGGAACCATGAAAGATGGAGGACAGTGAACTGAACCACTGGATACTTGAAGTGTGTCAGATTAGGGGAGTTGTTGAGATCCTGAAAGTGGAAGGATAGGATGAGGTGGGGCCAGGTAAGGAGGCAGTATCCAAAGATAAATGGGGTCTGGGTTAGAAATAGAGTTTGGTATCTGAGTGTGCTCTGGGTGTGGAAGGAAAAAGATAAGTTGTAGGGGTTTAAGATGGTCCTGACAATATAGGATCCAGTGACAAAGGAGGCTCTGACTGAGGAAGGAAATCCAATGGTTATACGGCTAAGAAGAAAAAAGTAAGTGGGTGATAAGGTCCAGTCAGTAGGTGGAGGCAAGAAGTAAAGAGGCCAGAGGGAGCTACAACTCAGAGAATCCCAAAGGTGACATCACAAGATATGTATCTTCCCCTGGCTTCAGGAGCAACATGATGTCTGCTTTTGTGGTTGCTCTAACTCACTCCTCAGATAAAGGATCTTGCATAAATCCTTCAGGAAGCTACTCTGCAAAGGAAGCTTTTGCAGGTGCCTGCAAGAGAGAAGAAGTGCAACATACATTCAGAAGCAGGACAGGATAGACGGGCCCGGCAGGGGTCATATTCTTCCACATTTCTGACTTCATGACACTCTTTTTCCCTCACTCTAAGGCTTGACCTCACATCACTTTGTCTATGGGTTCTCCCTCTCAGGTCAACTCCAGGCTTCACTCAGGTCCCAGATTTCCACAGGCAACCTAGGAAGAGAGATGTCTGGAATAATGAAGGAGTCTAATCACATTATCTGAGGAGAAAGTAGGTCTGATGCCTCTTCATCATCTTTGCAATGAGTTCTCCAAACAGAGAAGGAAGGAGCCTGAGTACATCAGGTGAATGCAGAATCTTGTAGGAAACTGAGTAGAGTGCTTCACTGGGAATAAAATCTTTTAAGATTGGAATCTGAATGCCCACGATTTAGGATTCAAGTCAAAGTTCCAAGGACAATAATAGTAAGGTTCACATATATAGAGAGCTAGGTCACTTTAAAGCACTTTCGCATACATTGTACCAAGTGATCATAAGAAAAACCCATGAGGTTTGTAGGTTGGCAATCTCTGAAACAGGGAATTTGAAACTTAAGGAAGTTAACTTGGAATATGTCCAAAAGCAGGACCCAGAAATATTGCCTCCAAATCCAACAGTCCTTTCACTACATCTCCCACGACCAGCAAGTTGGCAAGACCCCTGGCCCAACTCAATCATTGTTCGATTCCCATGGATAGGCAGAATAGATATTAGGAGAAATATCCCAGGCCTGATAGTCTTCGTAAAAGGCTCTCTTCCAAGATCATTATTTTCTGAGAATGAATGATTCCAAGAACTGATCTATTTTATGATTGTAGACCTGTGACCTCATAGAAGAGAGATATTAAGATTAACCTGGGGAAAGCCTGGCATTCAATAGCAGATCATCACCCTTGAAAGCCCCAGACATGGTTCTCTTCCTGCCTCTGTGTTTATGCTGAAAGACAAGAAAGAAAAATTACCTGGTAAGATAATTTCACTCCCCTCTTTCTAAAATATCAGCAGATGTTCATTATTATTAGGTTGGTGCAAAAGTAATTGCCGTTTTTGCCATTATTTTTAATGGCAATTACTTTTGCAGCAACTTATGGTAAATAATGTTATTCTCTACATTGATTTTTAAGATCTGTGTTCTTTCCATGTTAATCATTTTGATCTGGATAAGAATTTTTTTCTAACTCTTCTCTGAGAAACTAAAATACAGAATGGAATTCCGCACTTTTTAGAAAAATATTTCAGACACTAGTCCTCTGCTGAAGAAAGGCAAGGAATCTCAGATCTTCAGGATTGCATGTGCTCCATGTAATAGGACTTCCTGAGGACATGTTGAGTACTCTCTGGAGACTTTCAGAGGCTCAGCATTCCTCTCCATGTTGGCCCTGGGACAAAGGAGAGGCTTGGTCTAGAGACACCTGAGCTGGGAAAGAGGCTGATGAACAAGGCCTTGGGGCCTGTTCTCTTTGGGTGCCTTAATAGACCAATCCACAGCCTCTGCATCTGTGGTCTAAAACTTTATTCTGGAGCCATGTACCACACCCAGGTAGATAGTCTGTGAACAATGGATTGAAGTCTTAGTTCTCACTGTATCCCTCATCCTGACCATTCTGCTCTATGCTGATGATTTCCCAATCCCTCCTGAGACTTCCTATTCAAAAACTCTCTGTATTCTGATAATTAATTTAGAAAAGCAGAGAGAGAGAAAGAGAATATAAGAGTCCATTTATTTTTTGGACTGAACCTAGGGTTCCTTTACCAGACTGATATTTCAGATTTTTTCAAATGTTGGTAAATATGGACTCCACTGAGTGTATTTACATGACAGTAAGAAGATCCTAACGGCACACAAAACTAAAAGATGGAACCAAAGCCCCAGTACTAAATAAAATGCAGAAGAACCTAAAGTTCCTCATGATCTGAAGTGTGTTGCTGCCTCAGTAACTGGACACAGAGAAAACGTGGTTTCATATACAGTCCCAGGTCAGCACCACAAAGTTATACTATGATCCCAGAGTGTTCCTAAGAGTGGAGGAGGAGACAAAAAAGTGGAAAGGGAGCAGACAGCCCCTCCATACTCTCCATCCTAGCAGATCCTACCATGCCTCTGGTCTCTGGATCCTGCCGCTTTTCTCTGGGACTTCCTGCTTTCCAACTTCAATCTTACAGCATGTCATAAATATGTATGTATCTTAGTGTGATGAATAAGCTATCTGACCACTCATTTATCCACTCTCCAAGGAGCTGTCAGATACTATGTAGCCATATTTATACAGACAACCCATTCCCTGAATCAGGCATTGCAGCCTGAGATCCTTTTTCCTTAATTTGTTAGCTGTTCTCTGAGTAATCTTTAGCTTCTAAAAGGTATGTGTTTCAGACAATTATGCCTAAATTACCAGGTAATAATTTAAGTCACAGTAACATATTGTTCTTGCTAATAATTCCTATTCCCCTGTGGAATCTACCAATAGGCAAATTTGGTGCAAGGAGAGCCAGAGGGTCTCTCATGCACTCTAATTTGGCAACTGTGGCACTGTCATGGTGAGGACCAAGTGACAGCCATCAAAATCAACTGCTGATATCTACTCTGTGATAAATCAGGTAATATACTCAACTTGAAGGTGTTCTCAGTCTCTTGGGAGAAGACAGGACACATGCATATTAATTTGAATGCAGGATAATTGGTGAGTCAAAAACAGCCTGTGGAACAGGCTCCAGGAGCTCACTACTGACAGTGAAGAACTTTGTCCAGGATGTGGGCTTTTCACAGGGGTGAGGAGCAATTTCCAGGTAGACATAGAGCAGAACTGCATTCCTGCAGAGGAAACAGCTTGAGCAAAGGCACTGCATAACTGCAGTATGTTCCCTTTTCCATTTTCCAGCTTTAATTGATTAAAAAAATGACATACCATAAACTGCATATTTGAAAATCATGCAATTAGATATTTTAACATATGGATATGCCCATGTAACTATCACTATAAACAAAAAAAGAAAATATTTACCATCCTTAAAAATTCTCCAGGGCTCTTTTTAAATGCTTCCCTAACTTTTCCCTCCCCATCTTTAGGCCACCACTGATCTGATTTCTGTCATTGTAGATTAGCTTCCATTTCATAGAATGCTATAGTTATGGGCTGAGTGTCTCCCCAAAATTCATTTGTTCAAATCCTGCCGCCTAATGTGTTGGTATTAGGTGGTATGCCTTTGGGTGGTAATTAGTTTAGATGAGGCCATGAGGGTGGAGGATGGGATTCATGCCTTTATAAGAAGAGGAAGAGACATTGGAGCTTTTTCTCTGCCAAGAGAAGACACAGTGAGAAGGTGGCTGTCCGCAAGCCAGAAAGAGAGCCCTCACTAGAAACTACATTGGCCAACACCTTCATCCTGGACTTCCCCAGCCTCCAGAACTGTGAGAAATAAATGTCTGTTATTTAGGCCACACTGTTTATTTTGTTATACATGCCAAGTGACTAAAACAGATACATAAGTGGAGCAATACAATAGGGACTCTTTTGTCTGGCTTCCTTCATTCAACCTAAGTAAGATTCATCCATGTTATTGTGTTCATCAATAGTTCATTCATTTTATGGGTATATCATATTCCATTGTATGAATATACCACAATTTGCTTTTCTCTTTACTTTTTTATGGATATTTTATGGATTAGTTGTTTACAATTTTTGGTTTCACAAATAAAGTTGCTGTAAACTTTCTTGTACAAGTCTTTGCATGGGCATATTTCTGCAGTAAAACGTATAGGTGGAATGTCTTTGTTTCACAGTAGGAGTATTTCAGAAACTTCCAAACACTTTTCCGAAGTGGCTGCCCCATTTTTATCTCCATTAGTGATGTAAGTGTTCCAGTCACTCCACAACCTTGCCAATACTTGATATGGTCAGTCTTCTAAATTTTAGTCAGTCCAGTCATTCTAATTGGTGGGTAGTGGTATCTCACTGTGATTTTAATTTTAATTTTCCTAATTATCCATGATGTTAAGCATTTTGTGATGTTCTTGTTTGTCATTTGGGTATCTTATTTGGTAAAATGTCTGTTGAAATATTTTTGTCCATTTTTGTGCCTTCTTTGTTGAGTTATAAGCATTCTATGGTTTTAGTTACAAGTACTTTGTTAGATAAATGTTTTACAAAGTTTTCCCAGACTCTACCTTCCCTTTTCATTTTAATAAAACTATCCTTTTAAAAATAAGTTTTTAAATTTTGATTAAGTGAAATTTACCAATTTTTTCACAGATTGTGCTTTTAGTGTTTCTAAGTAAAAAAATTTTTAATAGCCTCAAAATTGTACGGTTTTAGGTTTTATACTTAGTTTTGTTACCAATATTGTGAGTTAATTTTTTCATATGGTATGACGCGTGTGTCAAGATTTATTGCTTTGCATAGGGATGCCTATCTCTTCCAACACCATTTGTTTCTTCAGTTATTTTTTTTTTGTTTTTTTTATTATCCTTTAAGTTCTGGGGTACATGTGCAGAACATGCAGGTTTGTTACATAGCTATACACATGCCATGGTGGTTTGCTGCACCCATCAACCCATCATCTACATTAGGTATTTCTCCTAATGCTATCCCTCCCCTAGCCCCCAACCCCCTGACAGGCGCCAGTGTGTGATGTTCCCCTCTCTGTGTCCATGTGTTCTCACTGTTCAACTCCCACTTATGAGTGAGAACATGCAGTGTTTGGTTTTATGTTCTTATGTTAGTTTGCTGAAAATGATGGTTTCCAGCTTCATCCATGTCCCTGCAAAGAACATGAACTCATCCTTTTTCATGGCTGCATAGTATTCGATGGTGTATACGTGCCACATTTTCTTTATCCAGTCTATCATTGATGGGCATTTGGCTTGGTTCCAAGTCTTTGCTATTGTGAACAGTGCTGCAATAAACATACGTGTACATGTGTCTTTGTAGTAGAATGATTTATAATCCTTTGGGTATATACCCAGTAATGCGATTGCTGGGTCAAATGGTATTTCTAATTCTAGATCCTTGAGGAAATGCCACACTGTCTTCCACAATGGTTGAACTAATTTACAGTCCCACCAACAAGGTAAAAGCATTCCTATTTCTCCACATCCTCTCTAGCATCTGTTGTTTCCTGACTTTTTAATGATCACCATTCTAACTGGCATGAGATGGTATCTCATTGTGGTTACTGTGGTTTTGATTTGCATTTCTCTGCACCATCACCAGTGATGATGAGCTTTTTTTCATATGTTTGTTGGCTGCATAATTGTCTTCTTTTGAGAAGTGTCTGTTCATATCCTTTGCCCACTTCTTGATGGGGTTGTTTGTTTTTTCTTGTGAATTTGTTTTAGTTCTTTGTAGATTCTGAATATTAGCCCTTTGTCAGATGGATAGACTACAAAAATTTTATCCCATTCTGTAGGTTGCCTGTTCACTCTCATGATAGTTTCTTTTGCTGTGCAGAGGCTCTTTAGTTTAATTAGATTCCATTTGTCTATTTTGGCTTTTGTTGCCATTACTTTTGGTGTTTTAGTCATGAAGTCCTTGCTCATGCCTATGTCCTGAATGGTAATGCCTAGGTTTTCTTCTAGGGTTTTTATGGTTTTAGGTCATATGTTTCAGTCTTTAATCCATCTTGAGTTAATTTTTGTATAAGGTGTAAGGAAGGGATCCAGTTTCATCTTTCTGCATATGGCTAGCCAGTTTTCCCAACCCCATTTATTCAATTGGGAATCCCTTCCCCATTTCTTGTTTTTGTCAGGTTTCTCAAAGATCAGATGGTTATAAATGTATGGAGTTATTTCTGAGGCCTCTGTTCTGTTCCATTGGTCTATATATCTGTTTTGGTACCATGCTGTTTTGGTTACTGTAGCCTTGTAGTGTAGTTTGAAGTCAGGTAGTGTGATGCCTCCAGCTTTGTTCTTTTTGCTTAGGATTGTCTTGGCTATGCGGGCTCTTTTTTAGTTCCATATGAAGAAACTCAATGGTAGCTTGATGGAGATAGCATTGAATCTATAAATTACTTGGGGAAATATGGCCATTTTGACAATATTGATTCTTCCTATCCATGAGCATGGAATGTTTATCCATGTATTTGTATCCTCTCTTATTTCCTTGAGCAGTGGTTTGTAGTTCTGCTTGAGGAGGTCCTTCACATCCCTTGTAAGTTGTATTCCTGGGTATCTTATTCTCTTTGTAGCAATTGTGAATGGGAGTTCACTCATGATTTGGCTCTCTGTCTGTTGTTGGTGTACAGAATGCTTGTGATTTTTGCACATTGATTTTGAATCCTGAGACTTTGCTGAAGCTGTGTATCAGCTTAAGGAGATTTGGGCTGAGACAATGGGGTTTTCTAAATATACAATCATGTCATCTGCAAACTTTTTGGTTGAATACCCTTTGTGATTTTGTTGAAAAAAACAATCAACAGTATATGCGTGGCTCTATTTGTGCATACTCCTGTCTGTTCCATTGATGTATTTGTGTTTTTTTTATTCTAATGCTTTACTGCCTTGATTACTTTACTCCTGAAGTCAGATAGTATAAATCCTCCAACATTTTGTGTTCTTTTAAATGTTATTTTGGTTGTTTTTTGTTCTACACATTTTCATATAAATATTAGAATCCATTTTTAAATTTCTATACAAAAAGCCTGGTGGAATTTTGATTGGTATTGCATTGAGTCTACAGATCAATTTGATTACAATTGATATCTTAACAATACTGAGTCTTTTAATCCTTTAACATGGTATCTCTCCCCATTTGTTTATGTCTTCTCTGTTTTCTCTGAGAGACATTTTACAGTTTCCAGTGTACAGTCTTGGCAAATTTTCTATCACATTTGTTCATAATTGTTTGTTACTTTTGATGCTTTTATAAAAATTAGAAATAGAACAACCATATGATGCAACAATCCCACAAGTGAGAATATATCCAAAGGAAATGAAATCAGTATGTCAAAGAGATATCTGCACTCCCATGTTCATTGGAATACTATTCACAATAGCCAAGATATGGAAACAACCTAAATGTTAATGAAGAGATTAATAGATAAAGAGAATGTATGAATAGTATGTACAAAATGGTATACTATTTGCCATTTTAAAAAGGAAGGAAATTTTGTCATTTGAGACAACATGAATGAATCTGGATGACACTATGTTAACTGATATAAGCAAGGCATAGAAAGACAGTGCATAATCTCACCTACATATGGAATCTTAAAAAGTTAAACTCATAGTAGTAGAGAGTGGAGTGGTGGTTACCAGGGGCTGGAGGAGTGTAGTATTGGGAAGATGTTGGTCAAAGGATACATAATTTCAGTTAGATAGGAGGAATAAGTCCAAAAGATCTATTGAACAATATGGTGACTGCAGTTAGTCATTAGTAACAATGTATTATATTCTTGAAAATTGCCAAGAAAGTACTTTTTAAGCGTTCTTACTACAAAAAACCATAAGTATGTGAGGTAATGCTTATGGTAATGCACTCAATTTGTCCATTCCATAACATATATATTTCAAAACAACATGTTATACCTGGTAAATATAAACTGTTTTGTCAATTTAAAAATAAACTTAAAAGGAAGAAAAAATTCTTTCTTTTGAATTGTAAACATATGTAGATGTTGCCTATGATAAACAGATGCGTTTAAGTATGCTCTCATTGAGAATAATGACAAAACCATGGAAAGAAAGGTTGGTTGACTTTTTATTGAAATAAAATAAAAAACTGGGTATGGCTTGCCTTATGAAATTTTTTCAATATATTGACATAAAAATGCTCTTGGCCAAGGATATGAAAATGAAGCAAAGATGGCAGATAGATAAATGGTGAACAAGCCATTATTTCCCTCAAAAATTGTTATGCTAAATTTGTGCCTACTCAACTAATAATTCTGATTTGATTTGTAATAATGTTGATTTGGTGACTTGAAATATGATACTCTTTTTTAGTATTGTACAAAGGATTAATACATTTTTGAGCTTTGAGCAATAGAATATCCTTATATCTGTCCTAAAAACTGTATTAAAAACATAACGGACATTCAATGGGGATCAAGAACAAACAAAATTATGGCACTTCACACACAAACTAAAGATGTTTATCAAATATTAATGATATAATATTAAATGACATAGTACATTGTGCTGAAATCTAAAGCATCTTGGCACAAAGAGACTGCACATGTTTATGCAAATTAATTTGGTGGGATATTTTGAACCAAGTAGGAAAAAATAAGAAAGCTTTATTTAAAAAGAAAAGTCTTTATATAAAGCAGCTGGCTTCATAGAAGACCTACCCTTTTGTTTACAACAAATGAAAGTAACTTTGAGAGTATGTTTGATAAATGTAAAATGCTAGTAAGAGATACGAATACACTTCCCAAATGTGAAAATAAATTCGAAAAATGTTAAGCAATTAGAAATGGAGACATCACTGGATTAAAGTATCAATTCTTACATGATCTAGGGATATTATTTAAAATAGGGGTTTATTCACATCTTAATTTCAACTCTGAAATGGAGATACGAAAATTTAAACTAAGCATCTTCAGATGTTAAATATTTAAGGGAAGCAATTTTTCAATGAATACATCTGATTTGCAAAAAAGTAGCTAGTAACTTGGCTCTTAAATATTCTGACCATTTACATTCTGTAGAAATTTCATTTTAAATGGTTTTAAGCATGATTCAACATCAGTAATCTGAAATGCAAAACCAGTTTCATGTTTAGATCTTCTGAAATGATTCGTGAATTTGGTTTAGTGTAATTGAATTCATATTTGGAAGTGGTCTTGAAAATTTTATAGAAAAGACAAGATTAAAAACCACATGATTATTTCAATTGAAGCAGAAAAAGGATTCAACAAAATTAAACATCCTTTTTAGACAAAAACTCCTAATAGCTTAGGTATTGGAGTAAACATCCTCAACATAATAAAGGCCATTTGTGAGAAAGTCAGAGCTAACATCAAAATCAATGGGGGGAAAAATAAAGCTTTTTGTCTAAGATCAGTACAAAGCAAGGAAGTTCACTCACGCTACCTTTATTCAATGTAGTACTAGAAGTCCTACCAGAGAAATCAGATCAAAAAAAAAGGAAGAAGAAGAAGAAGAAGAAGAAGAAGAAGAAGAAGAAGAAGAAGAAGAAGAAGAAGAAGAAGAAGAAGAAGAAGAAGAAGAAGAAGAAGAAGAGAAAGAGGAAGAGGAAGAGGAAGAAGAAGACGAAGACGAAGACGAAGAAGAAGAAGAAGAAGAAGAAGAAGAAGAAGAAGAAGAAGAAGAAGAGGAAGAAGAAGAAGAAGAAGAAGAAATAAAAGGCATCCAAAGGGGAAAGGAAGAAGTTATCTCTAATTGTAGATGACATGATTCTGTATGTAGAAAACGCCAAGGACTCCACCAAAACGGTTAGAACTAAGAAATAAATTTGGTTAAGTTGTAGGAGACAAAATCAATGTAATGAAAATCACTTGCATTTATATACACAAATAACTTAGCTGAAAAAATTCAAGAAAATAATCTAATTTATAATAGCATTAAAAATACTTAGGAATAAATTTTACCAAAGAGGAGATAGACCTATACACTAAAAACTATAAAACATTAATGCAAGAAATTGAAGAATACACAAATCAATGGAAAGTAATCCTGTGTTCACACATTGAAAGAACTGAGGTTTTTAAAGTGGCCATACTACACATATGTTGTATATTTACAGATTCAACATAATCCCTATCAAAATCTCAGTGATGTTCTTCACAAAAATAGGAAAAATAATCCTAAAATTTGTATGGAACAACAGAAGACCTCGAATAGCCAAAGCAATTCTCTTAAAATATCCTGTAAAAGTTGTATTCATAAATATATTGCAGTCCATGCATATAATAAGATCATAAGCAACAATAAAAATCAAGAACTACAACTGTTTACACAGAGATGAGCCTCACAAACATAATGGTGAGTAAAAGAAGCTGAATCTGAAAGAACACATATTCTATTTATAAAAAGTTTAAAAACAGGCAAAACTGGACCACATGGTTTAGGATAAAATTAGAAAGAAAAGAAGTGTTTGCCATAAAACTCAGAATAGTGGTTACTTCTAGTGAGCAGAGATAGAGATATGTCCAAGAATGGGCCCATGGGATGGTAATGGTGGCAGAGGTTCCAGTATATTGCAAAATCTGGTTGTTTTTATCAGTTAATGGTTACATGAGTATTTGCATAATTATTCCTTAAAATTTACTCTTATGTTTTATGCACTTTTGTGTATGATTGTTATATTTCACAATAAAAGAAAGTTAATAAACAAAAACATAAACTGGCAGGTATATTGTACTTAACTTCTTAGTGGATAATCCTGAAAAATATAAACCACAAGAGTATAATGTTTTCCCATATTTCTCGGTTTTCTAAATTATAATTTAAAAAGACAATTGGAAAATAGGCAAAAGATGAAACTCAAACTCACTATAGGCAGTAAGTATCCTTTCACATCTATCAGTTGTTCTCAAAGTGTGATTTGAAGACTGCTAGGACTCTTTCAGGAGTCATCAAGTTCCCCTCTTTTCCAACTACATGTCTGAGACTGGATTTTATTCACAGATGTCAAACAAAACAACAGATCACAAGAGACTGAATGCAGAGAAGTTACAAGAATCCATCTATCTTCTATTCAGCCAGACATTAAAAAGATTTGAAAACGTCAAAACATTGCTACTTTTCCCATTAATTTGTTGTATTAAAGCATGTAGTTATTTTCTATAAGACTCTGTTTTTATGTTAATATGTAATGGGCTTGGTTTTGTTCTTTTTAAGTGGATACATAAACATTTTCTTAATTTTAACTTATGATGAATATCAATAAATAGAAAAACACAACTACAATCTCTTTGAGGGGATGCCCATAATTTATGAGTATCAGTGAGCGCTGAAACGAAAACATCTGAGACCTGCTGGTATGGACATTTACAAGTATCTTTCTGGGTTTTTAATTGGGGTGACTATTATGAGTTTATAATAATATTAATCTCTTTTTTATTGGTTGTCCTTTTCAAACCACAGGAAAACAAATGTGCATTTTCCTGACCATGCATAGTGACTGTGGTGTAGCACCAGACGGCATTTGGAGGAAAGTCTGTTGGAAAAGGGTGGGGATGGGAGATAATGAGGACACAAAAAAGGAGGAAGAGCTTGGTTCAAAAACTGTATTTAAAAAATGAAGAGTAATCTCACCCAAAATGAGATTTATTGTGATTACTCCACAATAAAAAAATGAGGAGTAATCTCACCCAAAGTCTTAATTTAACTATAAAATTTTGCTTAACATACAGAGTTCCTGTAAAACTTGGGAATCACAAAGAAAAAGCCTAAGTTCGGGGGAAAGGAAAGAGAAGAATCTGTCTTCTTGTCTTCCACTTGTGGGCTCCTTCTCACCCTCACTCTGTGCCTGAAACTGCCTCTGCAGGCTGGGGTTCCTCTATAACAACAAGCCAACAGCTGATGGGGTAGAGAATCCACCTTCAGGCCTCTGACCTGAGGTGAGAAGGCAGAGCATGTGCCACTGGTTTCAGACATTTCTCTGTTCCTTTTGCCCTTTTCACATCCTTTGACTAGACTCATTCTTCAGTTTCCCTCCTGGTCACCTCAGGATCCAGCTGGATAATAGGCCACTGTGCTGGGGTCCTTGCCTAACTCCTGCTAATAACAACCCTCCTGATAGACACAAACACAACAGAGGGTTTACATACTTTGTGCCCCAGCCACAGTTGAAAGCTTCCCATCAATAAGTTGATGTCCCGGGGACATGCTAGGGCTGCCCATGTAATTTCTCCCACCATTCGTTGCCAGGATGTCCATGACTAGAAACTCCACATTGGCCCTATCTGATACAGACTCCAGTCAGCCTCCAGCCTGGATTTACTTTTCCCTTTGGATACCAGGTACTTTTCTGAGCTGGATGTATCTAATCGTCACAACTGTTCTTTGGGGTGAATTAAGCCAGGCCCAGGGTTAAGAAGAAAATACACCCAACATATTTACAGCAGCTTAGTTTAAAAACAATACCCACTACAATAATAAAATGAGGGGTAATCTCACCAAGTCCTAATTACGTTGGAAAATTTTGCTCAGCAACCTAAAAAGTTTCTGTGAAACTTGGGAACCACAAAGAAAAAGCCTAAGTTCAGGGAAAGGAAAAAAAAATCTGTTTCTCTGTCTTCCGCATGCTGTCTCCTGCTCACCCTCATTCAGTCCCTGAAGCTGCTTCTTCCCACTGTGGGCTCTCTCTATAACCACAAGCCAACAGCTTGTTGGGTAGGGAATCCACCTTCAGACCTCAAACCTGGTGTGAAGAGGCAGAGCATGCCATCTATGTGCCACTGCTGTCAGACATTTCTCTGTTCCTTTTCCTTTTCCCACATCCTGGATATCTTGTCATAGTCAAAAGTCTTTGACTAGATCCATTCCTCAGTTTCTCTTCTGTCACCTTGGAACCCAGGAGGAACTAGGCCACTTCACTGGGCAGGGGGGATGCGGGGGAGCTCTGCCTAACTCATGTTAATATCAGGGTTCCCGACATGCTACCCCAAAATAATGGCACCTTGAAAATTCAGAAAACTGCAGACTCAAGGTCATTCTCTGACCTTGTCTAACCTTTCTGTGTGAAAGTTGGCCATAAAATAATGCTTTGTCCTATCTCCCCTGAAAGTAGGTCGCAAGACCCCCATGTGACAGGTGTCCTTCCCTGCTTCTGGAGGAAAGGAATAAAGACACAGAGACACCAAGAATAATCTGAACAAGTAGGCCTTGCTAAGTCCCCCCTCAGTTTATTAACAATACTTCATATCCCCTTTTTGTCCAATATGCTTTTACATGACTGTCCATTTTTCAATAAACCTAAGCGTAAAAATAGACAGTTTCCCTGGGTCTTTGGATCTTCATTTCTAAATCGTCTTGTCTCTCATAAAAAAAATTGTTTCTAAAATTAGTTATGGTTTTCTCTTGTTAATCTTCTTTTATTATAGGGGTATTAGCCATGAACCTTGTAATGGGTGAGAAAAAGACACTACTTTTTCTTTCTCACAATAATGACCCTTCTCCTTTATGCAAACACAACCAGAGGGTCCTACACTCTTCACCGCCAGCCACAGTTAGAATGCTCTCATCAATGGATTGATGGCCCAGGGATACACAAGGGCTGTGCTGAGGCTCAGAAAACAATACCCCAAAATGACGGCCACAGAAGCAGCCTCAGAAGCAAAACTTTCTCTGACTTCCTCCTGCCCCTCTCTCTTTGACCCTTATTCTCTAGAATCTCTCTTCCCAAGGCAGGCCATAGAAACCAGAAATCCTTTCCCCAATGACAACCATAAAACCTAATCATATTAATTCAACCTTCTCCTTGTCTTTCTGCATAAAAACTGGCCATAAAGAAATTATTTTACCTGTTTTATCTAAAAGTAGATTATAACTCCATTCAGAGAGGGCCCTGCCCCATTCCCAGAGTAAGGAATGTTGCACAAAAAAGCCCAGAAGAATCTAGACAGACAGGCCTTGCTAGGCTTCCTCACTCAGTCTATTAGCATTAGATCATGCCCTTTTTATCCAGTCATTTTTCTACATAGCTGTCCAATTCTTCATTAACCTAAGCATAGAAATGGTGTCTTTGGCCCTTCAATCTGAAGGCTCCCATGACACATAAAACTATGATAAAATTAATTTGTATGCCTTTTCACCTATTAATCTATCTGCCTTTTGTCAATTGATTTTCACGGAACCTTCAGAGGTCAAAGGGCAAGATTTCCCCTGGCCCCTACAGCTGCCCACCCAACATCTTCTACCAGGTGCTACCTGGACTCCCTCTGCGAGAAACTCCACATTGGCTCTATCCAATACAGACTTCAGTGAGCCTCCAGCCTGGGTTTACTTTTCTCTTTCGGTATCAAGCACTTGTCTGAGCTGGACGTATTTAATCCTCACAACCACTCTCAGGCATAAATGCAGCCAGGCCTAGAGTTAAGAAGAGAATACACAGACAACACACAGCAGCTGCTGAATAAGCACCAGCTCCATTCCCTCCACAAACAGGTGAACATGTCTATTATCGGTTTTCTGCAGGAGCTTCCTGTCTCTGAAGCAGTTTCTGGCACTTCTTTAAAGTTAAACCAAAAACCCTTCATACCATTAAAACTTACAACTAAATGCAGTTTTATTTCATCATAGATAAACAGGGACTGTACAATGACTGCACAGGGACTGTACAGTGAACCGGATGGTGCAAAAATAACAATAAGAATGATGCAACAAGTGAAAAGGGAACTAAATGTGAGTTGACAAATTGGATTTGAAGAATGGAGCGGGGATTCCTCTCTTGCCTGGCACGTGCCTGAGGAGAGTGCAGCTTATCTTCACAGAGCACAGGATCCTTTTTCTGGCTTCCTGAAAGATGCCTGTGTTATTCTGGTGAAAGCTTTTAGCTCCTCAAATGGTAGACAGAACCAAGAAACCAGGAAAGTAAAGTGTGCCATTGTAGACAGCTGGTGTGTGTGTGCCAGGTAGCAGTGCTTCTGTCTATACCCTGGGATCTTTGCTGCAACATGCTTGCTTCAGTCACCAAGTGAATGGCTATTTCTGCCTCTCCATTGTGAGTAGTTGAGCTGGCATTAAAATGTTCCCTGGCCAGTTTTCTTGAAATTAACTCACTTTCCTGCAGAACTAGCACATTAGGGAATAATCCTCCAATCAGTTTCAAATAGGAGAGCTAACGTTTAAGTACCCTTAGTTAAGTGCCAGGAATCATTCTGAGTGTGTTATATAAATTAAACAATTAATCCTTGCCACAATTTTACGAGGTAGGACTATGGTTATCTTAATTTTACAGGTAAAGGAACTGGGCACACAGAGTTCTATTTCCTTTTCCTGTGTTAAGACATCCAAAAATAGTATTCTGCTCCTTGAAATAAAAAATATGATATGGAATATGAAAGGAAAATCTTCAGGGAAATAGCATAAATAAAAAACAATCACAACTTCTGGAAATCAAGGACACACTTAGAGAAATGCAGTTTTAGCAATAGAATTGAACAAGCAACAGAAAGAACTTCAGAGCTCTAAGACAAGGTTTTTGAAGTAACCCAATCCAACTAAGGCAAATAAATAAGAATTTTAAAAAAGAACAAAGTTTCCAAGAAGTTTGGTATTATGTTAAATGACCAAACCTTAGAATAATTGGTGTTCTTGAGGAAGAAGAGAAATCTAAAAGTTTGGAAAACATATTTGAAAATACAGTTGAGGAAAACTTCCCTGACCTTGGTAGAAACCTAGACATCCAAATACAAGAAGCTCAAAGAACACCTGACAAATTCATCTCAAAAAGATCATCATCTAGGCTCATAGTCACCAGGTTATCTAAAGTCAAGATGAAGAAAGAAGCTTAAGAGCTGTGAGGCAAAAGCATCAAGTAACCTGTAAAGAAGAAACCTATGAGAGTAACGACAGATTTCCCAGCAGAAACTCTACAAGCTAGAAGGGATTGGGGTCATATTTTAAGCCTCCTTAAAAAAAAAACAACTATCAGCCAAGAATTTTGTATCCACCAAAACTAAACTTCATCAATGAAGGAAAGATAGTCTTTTCCACATAAACAAATGCTGAGAGAATTCACCACTACTAAGCCAGCACTACAAGATCTGCTAAAAAGAGCTCTAAATCTTGAAACAAATCCTTGAAACACCAAGCTAAAACCTCCTTAAAGCATAAATCTCACAGGAACTATATAACAGTAACACAATGAAAAAAAAAGGTATTTAAGCGACAAACAGGCTGATGAATAGAATAGTCCCTTACACCTCAGTACTAATATTAGAATGGCAAAATGGATAGGAATTCACCAATCAAGTTTCTGCTGTCTTCAGGAGATTCACCTAACACATAAGGACTCACATAAACTTCAGGTAAAGGGGTGGAAAAAGATATTCCGTGCAAATAGACACCAAAAGTGAGCAGAAGTAGCTATTCTTACATCACACAAAACAAGCTTTAAAGCAACAGCAGATAAAAAAGACAAAAAGGGAAATTATATAATGGTAAAAAGACTAGTCCAACAGGAAAATATCAGAATCCTAAATATATATGCACCTAAAACTAGAGTTCCCAAATTTATAAAACAATTACTACTAGACCTAAGAAATGAGATAAATGACAACACAATAATAGTGGGGGACTTTAATACTCCACTGACAGCACAAGACAGGTCACCAAGACAGAAAGTCAACAAAGAAAAAATGGACTTAAACTATAGCCTAGAATAAATGGACTTAACAGATATTTATAGAATACAGGATAGAATGCTATCCAACAACTGCAGAATATACATTCTTTTCATCAGCACATGGAACATTCTCCAAGATAGACCATATGATAAGTCATAAAACAAGTCTCAGTAAATTTAAGAAAATTGAGATTACATCAAGTACTCTATCGGACCATAGTGGAATAAAATTAGAAATCAACAGCAAAAGGTACCCTCAAAACCATGCAAATACATGCAAATTAAATAACCTGCTCCTGTATTATCATTGGGACAACCATGAAATCAAGATGGAAATTTAAAAATTTTTTGAACTGAATGATAATAGTGACACAACCTATCAAAACTTCCGGGATACAGCAAAAGTGGTGCTAAGAGGAAAGTTCGTAGCATTAAATGCCTACATCAAAATGTCTGAAAGAGCACAAATAGACAATCTAAGGTCACACCTCATGGAACTGGAGAAACAAGAACAATCCAAACCCAAACCCAGCAGAAGAAAAGAAATAACAAAGACCAGAGGAGAACTAAATGAAATTGAAACAAAAAAATACAATAGATAAATGAAACAAAAGGCTAGTTCTTCGAAAAGATAAATAAAATTTATGGACCATTAGTTAGATTAACCAAGAAAAGAAGAGAGAACACCCAAATAAGCTCAATTAGAAATGAAATGTGAGATATGGCTACTGATTCCACAGAAATACAAAAGATTATTCAAGGCTACTATGAACACCTTTATGTGCATAAACTAGAAAACATAGGAAATCGATAAATTCCTGGAAATACACAACCCTCCTAGATTAAACGAGGAAGATATAGCAACCCTGAACAGACCAATAACAAGCAGTAAGATTGAAGTGGTAATCTAAAAATTGCCAACAAAAAAAGTCCAGGACCGCACACATTAACAGCTGAATTCTATCAGACATTCAAAAAAGAATTTATACCAATCCTATTGACACTATTCCAATCAATACTTTTTGTTTTAATACAGAAGCTTAAGCAATTTATATTTATTATTTTCACCATTATGTGCTCAGTTCTCAACTTTGGTTTCTGCTTTACTTTTTATGTTACTTATATATGTTTTTGATGTTTTAACTGCATTCAATTCTCCAATTATTATTAATTTTAAAACAATTCCTTTTTTAAAAGAAATTTAAATTTTCTCTTAATTTTTTATTTAAAATTTTTCATAATACTTTTAACTGATTTTACTCTTCACTGCCAGTTCTAACTAGGACTGTCACATTTTTAGTCAGCATAGTTTGTGTAACAGATATGATATTGGTAGACGTGCGTGTTAATTTATGTTCATATATAAATTGATAAGAATGACCAAGAAGTTAGTGAATAAAAAATTATTCCTGAATTTATGAAATAAAAATGCATTAATCTGAATGTTATTTGGAAGCAATACAATAGATTAGTGCCACTTATCCAAATATATTCAAGAGAAATTTTTTTAAGGTAAAGCTTATGACACCATACTCATTATTGCCATGTTCATATTTTCTATTTCTCATGATTCAGTCTTGGTAGACAGTATGCTTCTAAGAATTTCTGTATTTCTTCTATGTTATTCAACTTGTTGGTATATAATTGTTCATAGTAGCCTCTTATGATCCTTCATATTTCTAAAATATCAGTTGTTATGTCTCTTTTTTATTTATAATTTTAGTTGAATCTTCTCTCTCTCCCCCACCCCCCACCTTTTTTTCAGTTAGTCTAGCTACACATTTGTCAATTTTGTTTATCTTTTCAAAAACCACTCTTAGTTTTGTTGATTTTTTAAAATTTTTCTTTTTATTCTCTCATTTGATTCTGCTCTGTTTAATATTTCCTTTCTTCTGCTAACATTGGGCTTTGTTTTCTTTTTCTAGTTACTTGAGGTGAAAAGTGGTTTATCTGAAATCTTTCTTTCCTTCTTATGTACACATGTATCACTAGAAACCTCCCTCTTAGAACTGCTTTTGCTGCATTCCTTAAATTTTGCAATGTCGTGTTTCTGTTTTTGCTTCAAAATACTTCTTGACTTCTTTTTTAACCTCTTGGTTATTCAGGAGTATGTTGTGTATATATATTATCATATATAATACATTATATTATATATGATAATATATATAATTTAATATATATAATATATACAATTTGTAAATTTTCCAATTTTCCTCCTGTTAATTTATTTTTATTTTTTATTATAGTCAGAAAAGATACTTGATATGATTTCAATCTTTTAAATTTGCTTCTTCATTGGTTTACTGTAAACCATTCAAAATGATCCATCCTTTGTTGAAAATGGGGTATTGAAGTCTCCTATTATGATCATATTGCTGCCTATTTCTCCATTCAGATCTGTTAATATTTGCTTTGTATATTTTGGTGTTCTGATGTTGAGTACATATATATTTATAATTGTTGTATTCTCTTGATGAAATTATCCCTTTAACATTATATAATGACCTTCTTGTTATAGTTTTTTTTTTACCTAAAGTCTATTTTGTCTAGTATATTTACCCCAGCTCTCTTTTGGCTATCAATTGTGTGAAATAATTTTCTCCATCCTTGCACTTTCAGCCTAGTTATGTTCTAAAGCTAAACTGAGTCGTTTGAAGGCAGCATATTGTTGAACAATTGAGCATCTTTGAAATAGTATCAATAGAAAGAGGAGTGTAGGTACCAACAAGGAAAGGTTTGGAATGTAGTAGACCATATCTTTTGTTTTCACTTCTGTAAGAACAGCTCTCCAGCCATGGCAATGGGGCCTGCCAGCTATGTTGTTACTGCCTATGGCTAACAAAACCAGTACAAGTAAATCAGAAAATTATTCTAAGAATTTGACTCAAAAAACCTAAAGCCTTAGAGTTAGAAACTAAATAATGCTAATGAGAATATTCTGAGAACGATGAGATTTACCTAGTTCTCACCTTTTCTGAGGCCTGATTGTTTAATCTTTACTTGTACTTTGTGAGATATAATAGTATTGACGCAATAATTACCTTGCAGCCTGTATTGATACAGGTTGTCATATTTTGTAAAAAGCATGTGTGTGTGTGTGTGTGTGTGTGTGCATGTGTGCATGCGTGCTCACGTGTGTGTTAGGACAGAGAGAATTAAGTCTAATAAGTGCTATATAGAAGACTTCTCATCCCCCATCATCACAGTCATCATTGTGATTGTCTGAATTCCAGTCTCCCACAATCACCCCTCTGTTTTTCAACACGGCGTGGATCAAGGTGAAAAGTATGCTTCCTAAAGTTTAAGAATATAATGTGTTTCCCACAATAGATTCACAATGGGGAGTCAGCTTATATGTTTTTGCCTTCTTGTGTGTTTAATTTTTTTAGCATACTGCCCAGTTTCCCTCACACTCTGATTCGTTTATATTTTTTAAATATTTTCTTAGTGGTTACCATGGAAGTTACAATTAACATTCTATATTTACAACAATCTAGTTTGAATTGATACCAGCTTAGATTTAACAGCGTACAAAATCTTGACTCCTATGCTGCTCTGTCTCCCCTCCGACCTCTTGTCTTTAAACATTGTTTGCCCATTCACATAGATTAGTAATTATTGTTTTATGCATTTGACTTTTAAATCATATAGGAAATAAAAAGGGGAGTACAATAATATTATTTATATTTACCTACCTTTACCAAAGTTCTTTATATGCCTTCAAGTTACTGTCTAGTGTCCTTTTATTTTAGCCTAGAAGGCTCGTTAGCATTTCTTGTAGGACAGATCTACTAATGATGGACTCAGTCAGCTTTTGTTTATCTGGAAATGTTTTTATCTCTCTTATATTTTTGAAGAATAGTTTTGCTAGACATAGAATTCTTCGGTTATTTTTCCTTTCAGAATTTTATATATGCCATCCCACTACCCTCTGGCCTCTGTGTTTTCTAATAGGAAACCTGCTGTTAATGTTATTGAGGATCCTTTGTATGTGAGAGTCACTTCTCTCCTCCGGCTTTCAAGATTTTCTCTATGTTTTTGGCTTTCAATCATTTGATTATCCTGTGTGTGATCTATTTGTCTTTATTCTACTTGAAGTGTGTTGAGGTTTTTTGATGTGTAGACTCATATCTTTCACCAAACTTGCTAAATTTGGGGCCACACTTCTTCAAATATTTTTGCTGCCCCTTTTCTCTCTCTTTTCCTCCTGTAGTTCTCATTATATATATATGTTAGTATGCTTGATGGTGTTCCACAAGTCCTCTAAACTCTATATATTTTCCTTCATTCATTTTTTTGCTCTGTGGTCCTCAGCTGCATAATTTCAATTGATCTGTCTTCAAGCTCATTGAGTCTTCTGTCTACTCAAATCTTCTGTTAGACCCTTCAAGTGAAGTTTTCTTTTTCAATTTTTGTACGTTTTAGCTAGCAAATTTCTATTCAGTTCCTCTGTATAATTTCTTTCTCTTTATTGGTATTCTTTGATCTGATGTTGTTCTCCTGTATTCCTCTAATTAATTAGAAATGGCTTCCTTTAGGTGTTTGAACTTATTTAATACAGCTGGTTTAAGTTTTTGTCTAATAAATTTAATATCTGGGCTTTTGGGGGAAGTTTCTATTCATGACTTTTCCACCTGTGTATAAGACATAGTTTCTTTGCATTCTTATATTTTTTTGTTGAAAAGTGGACATTTTAATAATAAACTGCAGCAACTGTATAAATTAGTTCCCCATCCCCCAAGAGGTTGTTGTTGCTGCTTGTTGTGGGTTGTTATTTGTTTACTTGCTGTCTTTTCTGCACTAATTCTGTAAAGTCTGTATTCGTTAGCACATGTGCCCACTGAAGTCTCTAATCAGTTAGCTTAGTGGCCAGCTAATGACTGAACAGAGATTTCCTTAAGTATCTGGAACAAATAAATCTCTCAGTTTTAGCCAAGAAGCTCTGTGTGCATGTTGAAGTGCATGTTTAATACTTAGCCAGGCAGTTTTCAACCCTGCCTTGGCCTTCAGTTTCTGCTTATGATAAAAGTCAGCCAGAAGTGAAAGACTGGGTCTTTCCTGAACATGTGCACAAACTTACACATGTACAATGCCCTTCTAGATTCCCAAAAGTATGCTAGAATTTGTCAAAGCCCTTATAGACATCTCATCTCTGTTTTTCCTTTTAAGATTTTCAGTTGGTCATTATTTACTACAACCGTAATTAATCACCTCAGGTAGCAACTATATCAAAACACTGGCCTGTAAATGTCTTTAGTCAACACTCCTCAGGGAGAGTCTTTTAGCTTTGAGTGAGCTCCCAGACAGCTTAAATAAAGATAAGTCTTTCTACTAGGGTATTTCGAAGTCAAATAATGACAATCTTTAGGAATGAAGCTATGAAGGCACTCCAGATTTTTTCTATTCCCAGTGGTACCAGGAAGGAAGCCCATTGCTTTTTAAGGCTACCACTGAACTTGATAATGGGTGATGGGATTAATTCAAGTTAATATGCCACAAATCTGGCTATACTTACACTTACAGCTGTTTTCCTCAAATAAATGCTCCTGGGTTGTTGCATGCCTTGGGATAACTCATAATATTGTAAAAAGATTTATTCTGACAAATTTTGCTCATTTTTTCTTTACTTTTATGAAGGGGCAAATTTTTTAGAGATTTTTACTCTGCCATTGTTTCTCATGGCACCACTTTCTACCCATTTTTAAAAGCATCTGAGAAAACGAACCCCTAGAAACAAAATTGGGCCCTCCTGGAACATTAATTTGAACATAATGTCAGGGTTTAACAACCCTGAGGTTCAATTTTTTGTTTCATTGAAAACACAACACAAACAAAAATATAGCCTTGTTGTTCTGATTAGTGTCCTGTGTGAATGTATGTTCCCTTTTCTTTTTTAAATTACTTAACAAAAATGGGAAATAACAAGATTATCTTGGGAGTAAAAAAGAATACAGTGATCGAAAAACAAATTTCACATTTCTGGGATCACTATTATGAATTAGAGGTTTTGTGTGGGCTTCATTTATGCATTTGTTTCTTTGTTTTTACTTAGGCAGCACATCAAACTGTCCTTTCTTTACATTCTAATTTCCTGAATTATTCCCAGCTAATGACCATGGTAAAGTTATCAGTATGTCGTCTCTAAGCCAGTATTTGACGTATAGCCAGTAGATGGCAGTATAACATCAAGCGTACATACCTGGTTAAGAGTGACAGCACTAGTCAAAGCAACACTCCAAAGCTGAGGGTCTAGAGCACAGAAAAAGAGTTCCCTAAAATCTTTATTCTTCCATTGTTTTAGTTTGATCCTGTCCAACATTGGATCAGGATCACCAAAGAAAGGCCATTAAAAACCTACAGAAATAGATGGAAAGCATGGTGTAATGAGGGAACCCCTGGTGCTTATGTGCTACACTCAGACCCAAGAGAATTCATCTGCCTTCTTGGTAAAAGGTTGGGGTAGAGACATAGTAAAGGAAGAGTCTACATGGTGCTCAGGTAAAAGTTTCAGTTGTTTATTTCATTATAAATGTACCTTGCTACAGTTTCAAATATGTCTTGAAAAACACTTCAGAAGCTATAACAATCAATGATGGCAACAGTATTACCACTATTTTAAAAAGTTTTCAATTCCAGGATGAGAACTGTCTTCAGAGCCAGTTTGCAGGCTAGACAAGAATATCAAACTCATCACTTTATATTGATAGCATGTTTCTTCTTAAAATGAAAATTGTTTAAGTTGATCACTGTTCTATTGATTACATGACTCCTGAAACATGCAGGAATATATTTGGAATATGTGACGCTAATCTAGCTTATTGCATCCAAATGCATTCCTTCTAAGAGCATTTAAATTAATATGCTTTTATTTCCTAAAATCAGGAATGAATTTCTCTTCATCAACTTCGTGGAACTTCCCATATATTTATTTATGAACATAAATTCACATGCATACGGATCTACTTATCTCCTATCTCTTATACATACTATGTTGACCAAAAGCAACAGTATCAGTAAGAGCTGGCAGTAAATAATAAAATCAGTTAAAAGTTCTGAAATACTTTTAAAATGTTATTTTAAAGTACTATGCAATTTTTAGTTCAAAAATAAGAGAAAATTTAAATTTCTTTTAAAAATATATTGTCTGAAATTAATAATAATTAAATAATTGAAGGAAGTATAAATGTTAAAAACATATAAAAGTAATGCAAGAAGTAAAGCATAAAGCAATAAAGTGAAGAACCAAACACATAATAGTTAAGATAATAAATATAAGCTGCTTAGAGTTCCCTATTAAAAGAAAAAAGTCTTGATTGGCTTAAAACCAAACCCCGTTATTACTCTACATATGAGAAAAGCCTAAAATTAAAAATACTAAAACAGTAAAAGAAGAAGATGGGCAAGAAAGAGAAAAGCAATACAACAAAGGAAAAATAGAGGTGGCAATATTAATATCAATGAGATATTGATTAATATAAATATTGATACTTGTGGGAATTCAATGAACATTTGAGAAAGAGTATCAATATACATAGGAAACAAATAGGATTTATAACCAAATTATAAAAGACATAGAACTGAAATTTAATATACAATATACAGAAAAAAGTTAGCAAATATAGAGAAACAAACAAAAATGTCATTTTAATATTGACATTTTTAGCATTGTGATTTAAAATATAGCATAGAAAAATAACAAGAATAATTTCAAATATAATTGAAAAAGATACATTATTGGCTAAGATTCTGGGGCACTAAGTTACAACTTAGAATAAAAAATATATTTTTCATATATTTATAAATCATTCACAAAAATTACCCTGTATTAGATTACAGAAAACTATCAAATTCCTCCAGAGAAAAAACACTCTAAGTTGTATAATTAGATCACAATGCCTGGAATTATTCTTTTTAAAATGATTTTTAAAGCGAACATTTAGATATTTAAAATCATACTGACACATTCAGTTAAGTCAGGAAGAAAAAGTAAAATAAGTAGTTTAGTTAGTAATGGAATTAAAGCACTATTCTTAAAATATATTGAAGCAAAGCTACATACAGAGGTAAACATTCATCAAACATAGGAATTAAAAAGAGGTTAGCCTCACTCCTTAAAGTCAATGAAAAGATGTTCAAAATCCACTAATATAAATAATAAAAGCTAATGTTTATTGAATGTTCACACTGCAACAAGGACTGTGCTAAGCACTTTACAGGAAGCACTTTAAATCCTCACCAATCCTATCAAGCTCTTAAACAATGTCTTATTCTCCACAGCCTGCCAGTAAGTAATAATGACTCTCATTTATTGAGCACCTACTCTGTACAAGAATATCTATTATATAGCAGAACTATGATTCAAAGCTAACTTATCTTCCCCAGTTCCATATATTTTCCACTGTGACAACATTTAAAATCACATTAATAAATTAATTAATCATTATTAAGAAGTGTATCTTAGAAATGGAAGGAAGACTTGATGCTATAATGCATCATGTAACATTTCAGAGTTGGATAAGTGGTAGTTCCATAAGGATTAGTTGTAATGTGGAATTTAAACCAAAAAAAAATGAGTTTTCAAATTATGTTACATAGAAGTTTATGAATAAGCCATACACTGAATGGATCTCTTTTGCCCATGCTAAATTTTATAATATATGAATTCGTTATTTAGGAAATATTGGTTCACTGAGTTTTGCGGATGTTACAAATGTGTATTTAAATTTCAATCTATATTATCGAACGATTCAATGGCCTATATCACCACTATTATCACCACAAAAGTTTGAAGAATAAGGAAGTTATCAACCTCGTAATGACGGATACAAATTTTTCCAAAATTCCAATTTTCTACTAAGATCTCAAATGTTATCACTGGTGACAAATACTGGTGATTGTTGCCCTTGAAGTGACAGGTTCACTTGATAAATATTTTGAAAAACTGTCAAATGCCCAAGTCTCAATAACTACTGTTTGTCTGTCTGTCATTCTTTCCACTAAAAATGTTATTCTGCTAAAGAGTGGCTACTTCAGTTCACAACTCAATCGCATGAGTGCATTTCCTTGACACAATCATTTTCTATCAGTATGAGCCATAAGCACAGTCATGCAGAATATTAAAAAGACTATCACATAGAATATTAAAACGATTGTACTCAAAGTCAAGATGTTGAAAAATTAATAATTTTTACTGTGTTCTGAAGGGCATTCTTAAAAGAAACTGGTATTTTGTTTGAATTCAAGTACATCATAGTGAAAAATGTAATAATTACTACCGCCTTTTGATGCCACTGCCTTGATCAACACTCAGGCACCAGCAGTTTTACCCACCATTGTTTCTGCACCATCACTGCAAGTTGTTCACATGGTGAAAGAGACAAGTAATGTCGATTTATTACAAAAATAGTTTTGACCTCGTGGAGCCTCTTAAAATGTCTTGGGGACCCTTATGGTCATATGGACCACATTTTGAGAACTTTTGGTCTAACAAATATCTTTGTTAGTGCTCTGGTAAAGCACTCTTCAGCTTTACATGCCAAAGTAATTTTCCTTGCCTCTCAAGTCCAGCATCTTTAACATAAAGCTGTCACTGGGCCCTTTTCCATTTCCCCAGCATCATTACATGACACTTCACCATTTACCAGTCCAGTCTACCCACTCCAGTCTTTTTCACTTCTTTCAATTTTCCTGGCCCTTTCCAGCTACGGGGCCACTCTCTATGCAGTTTTTGTTTTTGTTTTGCCCTAGGAAATTTTGCCCTCCACAAGATACTTAACAAACTCCTACTTATCCTTCAAGTCTCTGACTTCATATTACTTCCCTGGGGAAGGTAGAAGGCAACCTAAATGAGCTGTCCGTGACATTCACTGCCATAGCCTCTTTTACTTCTCCTGTGTAGCCCAGATGCCAAATGTAAATTCCATACTAGATTATAACTTCTTCAATGGCTGTGTCCTTTGCTGTAATGTGAATTCCATAAGGGCAAGGATTATGCATCTCATACTCAAGATCTGTCACCAAGGCCAAAGCATGACTGTAACAAAAATTTTTATATTTTGCGTGCAGAATTCAGATTTGAGAAAAAGTTCTCTTTAAAAAGAGGAGAAAAGTCTTACAATAAACTTAATGAGTTTTTTAAAGTAGTATTTCTATTAACGAGGAAAATGTAAATATATGCTTATATAAACAATACAGCATATAAATACAAATACCATCAAAAATAAATAGACAAGTTAATAAAAATACATATTTTATAACCTGAGTTTCAACCACAAGATACCAGTGGCATTTCTTCCAATTCTAAAATTAGTTATATACAGACACATTTAACATTACTGATAAGAATATGCCAAAAATGGTTCAAGTTATTTTACCACTGAAGGCAAAAAGAACAGTTATAGAAATGACTGAACAGAGTGTGAGCTAGGACATTAGTCATTGAGAATTGGGTTTCCTGAATTTTCTTAATATATTTTATTTACACTCAGACAACCTCCCAGGTACAGTTCCTGAATTTCCTCTCTTTCAAGAAGAAATGTACTCCCTGGAAGTACCTCTTTATGGCCAGTGTAGGGCCCTCAATTTCCAGGGCAGACTCTTGCTTCCCATCCTCTATACCAAGCAGGTCTCCAGGTCTTCCAGCTGCTGATGAAATCCAGTCTGGAGTTTGTCCAGGAAGGCCCTATTCCAAGCATCAGACAAGCCCTTGTGTAAAAGAGGCTGAAGATCTGCTGGTGCATCTTATGGAGGGCAGAAATCACCTGAGCTTTCCAGACAGGAAAGAAGGAAGATTGTCCCCACTTGGCCCAGAACTTTCCCAAGCGAAGTCTTAGAGGCAGGTCGCAGAAAAGGGAATAGATGTGTCAGGAGATCATCACCAATGCCACCAGCAAGGAGACCATTGGTAAGTTCCAAAAGAAGCTCTTCTGGTTAAGATGGAATATTGGGAGCTTTGCCCCAGCTTCTCTGAGGACCTTCTGCTCATGAGCCCCTTAAATATTCAGCACACGATTTCATTTTCTGAATTTTCCTCAGATCTTTTCACTTCCCCACTTTGAACTTTTTCGTCTCTTCAAGGGCCTGGGAGACAACTCCGTCTATCTTCTTACAATTGAGTTAAAATTACTCACTAAAAAATTAAAAGTTCTAATTCCATGGGATGCTTATCACCTCAACAAAAATTGACTTTGAACTAATGATAGAGCTGTCTGGGTCTTCCTGATGTTCAGGACAACTTTTAAGAAAGCTTTACCAGGCTCCTTTTAAAAGATCTTTTCTATCCCTCTAGATTTCCCTCCTGAAAGTGTTGATATATTAGATCATGTATGTAAGATACATTCTTTTATTTTTTTTTTTTTTTTTTGAGATGGAGTCTCGCTGTCTCCCAGGTTGGAGTGCAGTGGCGCGATCTCGGCTCACTGCAAGCTCCGCCTCCCGGGCAAGCTTCGCCTCCCGGGTTCACGCCATTCTCCTGCCTCAGTCTCCCGAGTAGCTGGGACTACAGGCGCCCGCCGCCACGCCCAGCTAACTTTTTGTATTTTTAGTAGAGACGGGGTTTCACCATGTTAGCCAGGATAGTCTCGATTTCCTGACCTCGTGATCCGCCCGCCTCGGCCTCCCAAAGTGCTGGGACTACAGGCGTGAGCCAACGCGCCCCGCCAGAAGATACATTCTTCTTGTGCATAAATCTCATCTTATTCTTTGCTACATCCTCAAATACCAGGAACTTAGAAGTTTTCTTGCTTAATTTCTGTGTTTTTAATGAATAGGGTCCTTGGATTTCTTTAACCCGTTGGAACTTTCACCTGGCTCAAGATTGGTTCAAGGGACAATGAGCTAGAACAGAAGTTGTTCATCCTTATTACCATTGTATGAGTTGGTTGGACAATGGCCTCTGGCTTCTAATCCCATAGCATTATATTAAAGTTCACCATTATTATCTAGCTTTCCTGAAGTATCCTCTCACCTCACTGGTTTTCCACATATATAGTGGACTTTGCACTCAAGACTAGACTATGAGCATCTAGCTTAATATTTCAGACATCCACATTTCCACAATTGTAAACTTTTCTCAATCACTTCCTGAAAGTAAAATACATATGAGCAAGCTTCACCAGGACGCTTCGGACAATATTGTGTTAGGGGCACAATTTGAGAATTGGGGGCAAGCTTGCTGTACATACAAGCCTAAACTGTTTTATCTCTCAGGTTTCCTCCTTTGAACTCAAACATACCTAAGCAGAATATGTATATGAATATCCCACTATGGTCAGTAGTGACTTCCTTTTTTTCCTTGTGTACAATAAGTCTGCTAACCCCTTCTCTTCAAAAGGGGGAAGAAAAAGTAATTCACACACAAAGCCACCAAAAGTAAATAGGAAATGACAGAAAGTGATTGAGAAATTCTCGATCTAAATGAAAATGTCAGCTGCAGACAGGTCCAGCAGTGGGGGAAACTGGCTGTTTAAAGCAGGTTGTTACCTATAGGGCTAGTTTTCAGCTTTGCAAAATCAGGGAATTTATTTATTTAGTTAGCTGTGTATTTACTTTTTTTCACTATACACAGTGATTATCAGACTGCAAACAGTTAGCCACACCAACCACACTCCAAAGAGACTGGGTCATACACTGCGTGGCCATTTAATTCATGTTTGAGAGGTCAACTTTCCCATGAGCTAATAGGTGTTAGTCATTTGGAAGGGGCACTCTCTCCATTTACATGCTCATGTTCACAGTAAGAGGTGAAATTACAATAACAACGTTTATCAATGACCTGAGAATTAAAGGAAGAAAAGCAGATCTTTCCCAGGAAATTTCCACTCAATTTCCATAGTTGGGGTTGCATTCATTTTCTCCATTGTGGGAATGGCTAACACGTGCCAAGTGCTTATTTTATTCAGGCATTGTACTAAATACATAATATCATCCAATTCAATTTCTTTCATCAATGTTTCATAGTTTTATTGTAGATATCATTCACTTATGGTTAAATTTATTTTTAGGTATTTTATTTTATCTTATTTGTGTCTCTTGTTAATGGTATTACTTTCTTGGTTTCTTCTTCAGATTGTTTGCTGTTGGCATATGGAAATGCTACTGATTTTTAAAATTTTTTAAATTTTGGGGGGTACATAGTAGGTGTATCTATTTATAGAGTACATGAGCTACTTTAATACAGGTATGCAATGCATAATAATCACATCCTGGTAAATGAGATATCCATCCCCTCAAGCATGTATCCTTTGTGTTACAAAGAATCCAATTATACTATTTTAGTTATTCTAAAATGTACAATTAAATTATTATTGACTATATTCACCCCTTTGTGCTATCAAATACTAGGACTTCTTCATTCTTTCTAACTACTTTTTGTACCCATTAACCATTCCTACTTGTCCCCCAGTCCCCCATTACCCTTCCTAGCCTCTGGTAACCATCCTTCTATTTCTATATCCATGAGTTCAATTGTTTTAATTTTAAGCTCCCACAAAATAAGTGAGAACATGTGAAGGTTGTCTTTCACTTTACATAATACCTCCAGTTACATCCATGTAGTGACAAATGACAGAATCTCATTATTCTTTATGGCTGAATAGCACTCCATTGTGTATATATACCATATTTGCCTCATGCATTCATCTGTTGATGGGCAGTCAGGTTGCATTCAAATCTTGGCTATTGCAAATAGTGCTGCAACAAACATGGGAGTGCAGCTATCCCTTTGATATACTGATTCCCTTTCTTTTGGGTGCCTACCCAGCAGCGGGATTACTGGGTTATCCCACTCTATTTTTAGTTTTTTGCGGAACCTCCAAACTGTTTTCCATAGTGGTTGTACTAGTTTACATTTGCACCAACAGTGTACAAGAGTTTCCTTTTCTACATGTCTTACCAACATTTGTTATTGCCTGTCTTTTGGATAAAAGCCATTTTCAAGAAATGCTGATTTTTGTAAGTTCATTTTGTATCCTGCAACTTTACCAAATTTGTTTATCAGTCCTAATAGTATTTTTGGTGAAATATTTAGCTTTTTCTGGAAAAGGATAATTTGTCTTCTTCCCTGCCAATCTGGATGCCTTTTGTTTCTTTGTCTTGTCTAATTTCTCTGGCTGGGACTTCTAGTACAATGTTGAATAAAAGCGATGAAAGTGGTTGGGCTCTATGGCTCATGCCTGTAATCCTGGCACTCTGGGGAGCCAAGAGGGGTGGATCACCTGAAGTCAGGAGTTAGAGACCAGCCTGGCCAACATGGCAAAACCCTGTCTCTACTAAAAGTACAAAAATTTAGCCAGGCATGGTGGTGGGCACGTGTAACTCCAGCTACTTGGGAGGCTGAGGCAGGAGAATTGCTCGAACCCGGGAGGCGGAGGTTGCAGTGAGCTGAGATTGTGCCATTGCACTCCAGCCTAGGCAAGAGATTGGGACTCTGTCCCAAAGAAAAAAAGTGGTGAAAGTGTGCATCCTTGACTTGTTCTAGACCTTAGAGAAAGGCTTTGAATTTTCCCATTCAGAATGATACTAGCTGTAGGTTTGTCTTATATGGCGTTTATGGTGTTTAGGTATGTTCCTTCTATACCTAGGTTTTTTAGAGCTTTTATTATGAATGAATGTTGAATTTCATCAGATGCTTTTTGAGCATCAATTGAAATGATCATAAGGTTTTTGTCCTTCATCTTCATGACAACCTATCAAAATATGTGTGGTTATCATTTACATGTAGCGGAGGATAATAAGGTGCCCAAGGTTACAACATGGAGCAGGCTGAGGCTATGACAAGAACCCCAGCAGTCCAGCCACAGAGTCTCCATGGTAACCATTAGACTGCCCTTCTGACTAATACATTACATTCCTGTTCTCATTTTCCTTAGTTACCAAAAGGCACCATTCTCTTATTCCAGAGGCACTATAATACACTTGAATAGGATGCAGATAACTTTCCAGTTTCTAGTTCTAGCCCTGCCTTTCAAATGATAGGTTTTGTTGAGTTCAGCTGGATCTTTCAAACTTTCTATTCTCATCTCACATATTTTTAGGCATTATCCAGCTCTTTCTGGCTCTTTTGTACTTGCCCTATACACAGTGTGCAGATTTCAATCATGCTATGGTGCAGCAAGAACACTCTCACCAGATGCTGGTTGTGTATTGTTGGAGCTCCCAGACTCCAGAACTGTGAGCTAAATAAACTTCTTTTCTTTATACATTACCCACTCTGTGGTGGTCTGTTATAGGAACAGAAAACAAAGACCACTAGCCATGAACAATTCAAAAAAATTAAAATAAATATTCCATTTATAATAACATCAAAAAGAATATAATACTTGGCAATAAATTTAACAAAGGATATGTAAGAGTTGTCCACTGAAAACTGCAAATATTGCCGAACTAAATTAAAGAAGACCTATATAAATGGAAAGGCCTTCCATGTTCATGAAGTGGAAGACTTAATATTGTTTAGATGCCAATATTCCCCCAGAGTAATCTATAGATTTCATGCAATTTTGATTCAAATACCAATGGCTGGTTTTGCAGAAATTAAAAATCCAATACTAAAATTTATATGAAATTGCAAGAGACTCTGGATACCCAAAATAAATCTTTTTTTTTTTTCCTTTTTCAAAACAGAGTCTTGCTCTGTCACCCAGGCTGAAGTGCAATGGCACAATCTCAGCTCACTGCAACCTCCACCTCCTGGGCTCAAGGAATCTTGAAAATATAAGGGCAAATTTGGGGGGGCTCACCCTTCCTTGATTTGAAAATATATTACAAACTAGTGTAATCAAAACAGTGTGGTACTTGCATAAAGGTAGACATATAGACCAATGCAATAGAACTGAGTGTCCAGAAATAAACCCATATGTTTATAGTCAATTGATTTTCAACCAGGGTACGAGGACCACTCAATGTGGAAAGAACAATACCCAGTTGCCCTAGCAACTGGATATTCACATGCAAAATAATGAAATTGTACCCCAACTTCACATCATATAAAAAATATTTCAAATATATCAAATACCTAAATGTAAGAGCAAAGCCTTAGAAGAAAATGTAGAGATTAATCTTTATGATTTGGATTTGCCAATGAATCCTTAGATAAGATAGGAAAGGCATAAGCAACAAAAGAAAACAGATAAATTGGACTTCATCAACATTTAAAACTATTGTGCTCAAAAGACACTATCAAGAAAGTGAAAAGGCAACCTATAGAATGGAAGAAACTATTTGCAAATCTTATATCTTAGAAAGGACTAGTATTCAGAATATATAAATAACTTTTACAACTCAACCAAAACAGACATCCAATTATAAAATCTGCAAATAACTTGAATAGCCATTTCTCCAAATAAGATACACAATGGACAACAAGAACATGAAAAGTTGTTCAACATCATTAGTCACTGAGGAAATGCAAATCAAAACCACAAAAACATATCACCTCTCACCCATTAAGATGGCAATGATAAAAAAAGAAAAAGAAGAAAGAAAAAAATAACGTTTTGATGTGGAGAAATAGGATCTCTTGTGGGCTGCTTTTGGGAATGTAAAATGATGCAGGAGTTATGAAAAACAGTACGGTGGTTCCTCAAAAATTAAAAATTGAATTATTATATATCCAGCAATTCCACTACTAAGTATATATCCAAAGCAAAAGTACTCACAGTAGTCAAAAGATAGAAGTAACCCAAATGCCTATGGACGGATGAATGGATTTTTAAAAAATGTGGTCAATACATATCATGGAATATTATTCAGTCTAAAAAAAAGAAGGAAATTGTGACACATGCTGCAAGAGGATTCTGGAGCACCGTACACTAACTGAAATAAGCCCATCACACATATAAACAAATAGTATATGACCACTTATTATCAGGTATCTAGAATAGTCACATTTATAGATACAGAAAGTGTAGGATTTTGGGAAAGGGAGAAACAGTGAGTTGTTAATAAGTATAGGGTTTAAATTTTGCAAGACGAAAAGAGTTCTGGAGACTATTTTCACTACAATGTGAATATAGCACTACTGAACTGCACCCTTTAAAAGTATCTAAGGTGATACATTTTATGTTATGAGCATTTTACTTTAATTAAAATTTTAAAGCATGGTGGCTCATGCCTATAATTCCAATGCCTTAGGAGGCCAAGGTGGGAGGATAGCTGGACGCCAGGAGTCCGAGGTGAACCTGGGCAATATAGTGAGACCCTGTCTCTATTTAAAAATTTAAAAAGTAGCCACGTGTGGTGGCATGCACCCATAGTCCCAGCTACTCAGGCGGCTGAAATGGGAGGATTGCTGGAGCCCAGCATTTGGAGGCTTCAGTGAGCTACGATTGTGCCACTACACTTCGGCCTGGGCAACAGAGCAAGACATTGTCTCTGAAAAGACAGATAAATAAGTAAAGTAAGTTTTTTTAAAGCGCTGCACAAACATCTGATTATCATTATATTAATGAGGCTAAGATCATGAGATCTGTTCAGATTCTGAAACAGTATTTAAATTCTGGCTTCCCACTGATTAATTGTTTGACCTTGGAAAATATGCTTAACATTTTTGAGCAGCCTCAGTTTCCTTCTCTATAGAATGAGAATAATAACATCTTTTCTGTAGGATTGTTGAATTGATTACATGAGATAATGTATGCAGTACAGAACAATACTTGGCCCTTAAACTGGATTATCATTAATGTTGCTATTAAAACTGAGAAAAGTCTAATGAATTTGTCAATCAATACCTTGGTGATCATGAGTTAATCAGTAATGAGTTGATCATAGACTGAGTCCTATCTCTGCTTAGTCCATTGAGGTAAAGGTTGGCGAATCACAATGAAGCTTCTTATTCAGGAGCAAAAAGTCTACTTGACTGTTCAAAGTGGAGTAAAAAGAGCAAAGCAGGATGAAGCTCACAAAAAGATGGATAAGCAGATGCAAAGTTAAGTAACTGCCCTAAGGAGTGTTACTTTAGAGAACTAAAAAAGATTTCTTGAGTTTATTTATATTTATAAAAAATACATGAATGTATTGTCATGATTAAAAATTAGAATAATTCATACAAGTGAAAAGTCATATTGACCTGTTACCATCCCAATTTCACATAGTTAATACTTTAATGAGTATCCTTTTAGTCATTTCCTCATTTATTTAATAAATTTATACATATAGAAATATTCAGTGGATATTAAGTGTGTTTGTATTTCATAAATATCATGTTTCTTTTTTTACTTAATAATAGATCTTAGAGATTTTTTCTATTAGTAAATAAAAATCTACTGAATTGTTTTTAATTGCTTTATTATACATTTATACATAAATTCAATGCATTCCCAAACAACACGTCAACAAGATTTTTAATTGGAATTTGACAAGCTGACTACAAAATGTATCAAAAAATAATACATCAGAAAATCTGAGAAAGGAATAAATTTACAGAGGGACTTGCCTTGTAAAATATAAAATGATCTTGTAAGACTGCAGAAAGCGGGATTATTGCAAGAATAGAGAAATCGGTCAAGAAAACAGAATCAAAGTTAAGAAGAAGAAAATTGAATTTATTGTTTCTTTGCATACAGTAAAAGTGGCTTTTCAAACCAATGGGAAAAGCCCATGTTGGGACAGTCAACTAGTCATTTGGGGGAAAAAAAGCCTAATCCTTGTGTTACATTCTCACAGATTCTCCTTGCTGCTATAGGCCTAGTTCTACAATAACGAATGTGGAGGCACTACACACCTGCTCGAATGATCAAAGTTCAGAACGCTAATGGTACCAAATGCTGGCGACATGTGCAGCAATGGGAACTCTCTATCATCCTTGTAGGAATACTGCCCTACAGATTTCCAATTATGTGGACTGAGCAAATGTCTTCATTATTTTAGACTCAATTAGCTAAGTTGTCTGTTACTTATAGTAGAAGGCACTCTTAATAGATGCAATAACATTTATCAGAGTTAAACTGGTTCTAGCCTTGGTAGGCTAAGGTATTGCTTTTTAATTAATGTGGGAGTTTATTGGTACCTTGTGAGATCAGTATATTTTTTCCCTTTGTCACATACTAATAATTACATGAACAGATTATCGTATGCTACCATTGTATTCTTGGTTACATTCTAGTTTTTTATTTACAGCACATCTTTGGGTTTCACTTCCTAATATTTAACATGGTACTTTTATCTTCATGTTTATAAAAGTGTCCTATAATTTGTTGGCTGATCTTATTATCTGCGTTGTATGATTTTATTCTCATAAAATGAATTGGTTAGTTTTCCATTTGCTTCTATTTCCTGTTAAAACGGGAACTAAGTATGTTTTACTGAATAGACTTATGACATAATTTGCCACTTTGCTGTCTCTTCAAGGGCCTTAATGAGGAACTATATTAAAATTTAAAGACTTTTGATTATGGATTTGCATTTCTTTTGGATGCCAAGAGAGTCAGAGAAGGGGCAAGAAGACTCACATGTGTTGGGGCTACATTTATCTAAAATAATATTTAATGTTCTTTTCAACATAAATTGTATTCTCTTTTGAATTTTATTTTCCCTTTGTTCACATTGCCCATCAATGTGCTCATGAGATAGGTGGAGCTCAAATTCTTGTCAAGAGAATTCATTAAATGAACCCTCAGCAAACATTGCCAAGACAACTCCTTGATATCTGACAGTCACAAACTCATTGAAGCATATATTGCAGCATTATATTTATTCAATAAACAATACTTAACTTTTTACCATTGGCTACTGTGCTAATGACTGGGGAGACAAAGTTCAGATTTAAAACACGAATCTTCTGGAAAAGAGAGGATAAAACAAAACATCGATTACCGAACAGAATGATGAGTGTTCCGCAAGTGCTGAATTTGCAAAGAGCCATAGGCTCAGAACAGGGCGTAAAATGGAGAGACATCCACAAGTAACTAGCATTTTAGAACTGATGGAAGGATGCAAATGACATTGAAAATTTTGGAAAAGGGGAGAAAGGACAGAGATGTGCAAGTCATTTGAAAGCAAGAGCTAAAGCAAAGAGTTGGCAGAATTGCACATTTTCTAAAAATAAGAAATAAGTGAAAAATGAGAGCTAGGAATAAGACCAAGTTTTCTTCCCTCCAGGGGTCCAGAGTGAGAGATGGGAAAGGCCAACCAGGCCTTGAATGTTCCTACTAGAACTCAAGGAGCAAAATGCTATTTTGGGATGTCATAACGGGGAAAGGAAACAGACCTCTCGTTGCCCAGTTCCCTTATCTGTAAAATTAAGATAACCACAGTCCTACCTCATAAAACTGTGGTGAGGATTAATTGTTTAATTTATATAACATGCTCAGAATGATGCCTGGCACTTAAATAAGGCTGCTTACATGTGAGCTCTCCTATTTGAAACTGATTAGAGGATTATTCCCTAATGTTCTAGGTCTGCAGGAAGGTGAGGTAATTTCAAAAGAACTAGCCAGGAACTTTTTAATGCCAGCTCAACTACTCACAAGGGAGAGGCAGAAAGAGCCATTCACTTGGTGACTGAGCCAATCATTTCGCAGCAAATATCCCAGGATGTAGACAGAAGCACTGCTACCTGGCACACACACCAGCTGTCTACAATGGCACACTTTACCTCTTGGTTCTCTCTACCTTTCGAGGAGCTAAATGTTTTCACTAAAATAACAGAGGCATCTTCCAGGCAGCCAGAAGAATCTTCTGCTTTGTGAAGATAAGCAGCACTTGCCTCAGGCAAGCACCAGGGCAAAGGGGAATACCCGCTCCATTCTTCAATTCCAATTCGACAATTCACATTTAGTTTCCTTTTCACTTGTTGCATCACCCTCATTGTTATTTTTGCACCACCTGGTTCATCGTACAGCCCCTGATGATGAAATAAAAATGTAATTGGTTGTAAGTTTTAATGATGTACAGGGTTTTGGTTTCACTTTGTAGAAGCACCAGAAACTGCTTCCAAGATAGGAAGCACCCACAGAAAAACCAAAAATAGACATGTCCACGTGTTTGTGAAGGGAATGGAGCTGGTGCTTATTCAGCAGCTGCTGTAAGTGTGTTGTCTGTGTATTCTCTTCTTAACCCTAGGCCTGGCTGCATTTACCCCTGAGTATGGTTGTGAGGATTAAATAACATACAGCTCAGAGAAATGCCTGGTATCCAAAGGGAAAAGTAAACCCAGGCTGGAGGGTGACTGAAGACTGTATTGGATAGGGCCAATGTGGAGCTTCTAGCAGAGGGAGTCCAGGTAGCACCTGGTAAGAAATGTTGGGTGGGCAGCTGTAGGGGCCAGGGGAAAATTAGCCCTTTGACCTCTGAAGCTTCACTGAAAAATCATCTGACAAAAGGCAGATTAATAGGCAAAAAGCCATACAAATTAATTGTATAGTAGTTTCATGTGACATGGGAGCCTTCAGAATGAAAGCCCAAAGATACCATTTTTATGCTTAGGTTAATGAAGAATTGGACAGCTATGTAGAAAAATGACTGGACAAAAAGGGCATGATCTAATGCTAATAGACTGAGTGAGGAAGCCTAGCAAGGCCTGTCTGTCTAGATTCTTCTGGGTTTGTTTGTGCAACATTCCTTACTCTGGGAATGGGGCAGGGCCCTCTCTGAATGGAGTTATATTCTACCATCAGATAAGGCAGGTCACATAATTTCCTTATGGTCAGCTTTTACACAGAAAGGCAAGGAGGAGGTTGAAGTAATATGTTTAGGTTTTATGGCTGGCTTTGGGGAAGGGAATTCTGGTTTCTATGGCCTGCCTTGGGAAGAGGGATTCTAGAGAGATTCTAGAGAATAAGGGGCCACAGAGAGAAGGGCAGGAGAAAGTCAGAGAAAGTTTTGCTTCTGAGGCTGCTTCTGTGGCCGTCATTTTGGGGGATTGTTTCCTGAGCCTCAGCACAGCCCTTGTGCGTCCCTGGGCCATCAATCCATTGATGAGACCATTCCAACTGTGGCTGGCGGTGAAGACTGTAGGACCCTCTGGTTGTGTTTGCATAAGGCAGAAGTTGTCATTAGTGTGGGAAAAAAAAGTAGTGCCTTTTCTCACCTATTGCTAGGTTCATGGTTAATACCCCTATAATAAAAGAAGATTAACAAGAGAAAACCATAACTAATTTTTTAAACTAATTTTCATGGGAGACAAGAGGCTTTAGAAATGAAGATCCAAAGACCCAGAGAAACTGTCTATTTTTATGCTTAGGTTTAATGAAAAATGGACAGTCATGTAAAAGCATATTGGACACAAAGGGGATATGAAGTATTGTTAATAAACTGAGGGGGGACTTAGGAAGGCCTGCTGTTCAGATTATTCTTGGTGTCCCTGTGTCTTTATTCCTTTCCTCCAGAAGCAGGGAAGGACACCTGTCACATGGGGGTCTTACGACATACTTTCAGGGGAGATAGGACAGATAATTATCTTATGACCAGCTTTCACAAAGAAAGGTGAGACAAAGTCAGTGAATGACCTTCTTGATTCTGCAGTTTTCTCAATGTCCAAGGTGCCGTTATTTTAATATCATGTCAGGAATCCCGACATTAACAAGACAGGCAGAGCCCCCGTGAAGTGGCCTAGTCTCTCCTGGATTCTTAGGTGACAGAACGGAAACTAACGAATGGATCTAGTCAAAGGCCTTTGACTATGACAAGACATCCAGGATGTGGGAAAGGGAAAAGGAACAGAGAAATGTCTGAAACCAGTGGCACATAGATCTCAGCGGCATGCTCTGCCTCTTCACACGAGGTCGGAGGTCTGAAGGTGGATTCCCTACCCAACTAGCTGTTGGCTTGCGGTTATAAAGCCCAGCATGGAAAGAAGCAGCTTCAGGAACTGAATGAGGGTGAGAGGGAAACAGCAGGTTGAAGAGAGAAAAACAATTCTTCTTTTTCCTTCCCCTGAACTTAGGCTTTTCCTTTGTAATTCCCAAGTTTCACAGGAACTTTCTTGGTCACTGAGCAAAATTTTCCAATGTAATTAAGACTTTGGTGAGATTACCCTTCATTTTATTATTGTGGAGGGTACTGTTTTTGAACGAAGCTCTTCTGCCTTTTGCGTCCTCATTACCTCCCTTCCCCATGCTTTTCCAATGGACTTTTCTCCAAATGCAATCTGAAGCTACACCACAGTCACTACCCATGGTCAGGAAAATTCCACATTTGTTTTCCTGTGATTTAGAGAAGACAACCAATAAAACTAGAGATTAATACTATTATATGCCAAATTAACCACCTAAATAGGCTCTTGTAAATCTTATCAACATCAGCAGTTCTCAACTGTTTCGGTTTCAGAAGCCATCGACACTTAAAAATTGTGGACACATCCAAAAAGATTGTGCTCATGTGTTTCTATTTATTGATATTTGTCATATTAGTATTATAATTCAGGAAGTTTTAAATGTTCACTTAAAATAACAGAAAGACACATATACCTGAAATGTAATGAAAATTGGTCCCATTAAAAATTAGAACAGGTAATGAAAAAATAACTTTCTCTTCAAAATATAACAATAATAAAGCATAAAATACATTGGAATAAACTCAGAAACAATGCACAATACATATATCAAGCCAACAGCATAACTTTTTTGAAAGACATTTTTAGAATAGCCCAATAATATTCTAATATTCACTATTTCTATTTATGGAATGCTCAATATATATTATTAAATATCCTATAAAAATATAAATATTATTTACCAAGTACTTAATATTCATTAATACATTAATTAATAATAAATATTCATTAAATAAATGACTGTGTATTTATCAGGTGAAAGAAATAACTGCCTTGTCCTGGCCTTTATAGCATCCTGTTGCAGTCTGATTTCCCACCTTAATGATGCTTACCACCCACCATGTGCTTAAATGTCCCCTGCTCACTTACAAAAATAAAAAATGAGAGAAGTTGATTAATCTTCATTGGTGATCAAGGTTAAAAAAAAATCACTCTCAATTTAGAAATAACTATGTAGTAATATAATAGTTTTCATTGGTTTTTTGATCCTCTTAATTGAATTAAAAATTCAATTATAGCCACTTCTACATGTAAGGAGCTTGGAAATGGCCACTCTGGCCTAACAAGCTGAACAGACGTAAAATCCAAAAACTCTGTTTGGATCCATGAGAAGTGAGGACACAGAGACAATTACTACCTCCAAGATTGGAGAAACGGGCAGGCAAATCTGGAGAGTTATAGCTTAAACCAGAACAGAGATTCACCAGTGGAAACCACTAAGGGAACCAGGAAAACCTGGACTATAATTGATGAATTGGTGAAGGCTCAGTGTGGACAACTGAGAATTAAAAACTCAAGAGGACTTAGTTATAGGAGGGTCCTCATACTTTTTGCATTTTATGTCTAGGTGATTTAGCTGGTTCTCACAGGAAATATCAGAGAAAAATTCTCTAGTGCTTCCAGCAATAAAGGTGAGAATATTTGGATGCACTCCATTCCTCTTAACAAGGTCTGCAGTCAGAAAAAGCTAGTTGACTAGAATCTAATCTCCTGGAGTTTTATTAGAGCCTATTTTCAACTGACTTGAAGGAAGAAAAATACCCAACTCCAGCCAGTTCTAGCCATCCTGCTCCACCTAAAGGGGGAGGGAGGACACAGAAACACTTTCGAAGTTCACAGTCCAGAGGCACAGGCTCACTAAAAACAGAGACCTACTGGTAGGACTAGAGAACACCTCCCCTTCCTAATACCTTACTGTCACATTTTTAAAGGCCTATTTGCAGTAGTAAAATAACAAAGCATACTAAAATACAAAAAGACAGAATTTGAAGAGACAGAGCAAGCATCAGAACCAGACATGGCAGTGATGTTGGTATTATCAGACTGGGAATTTTAAACTATGATTAAGTGCTCTGACAGATAAAGTAGACAGCATGCAAGAACAGATGGGCAATGCAACCAGAGAGATGGAAAGCCTATGAAAGAACCAAGGCTGGGTGCGGTGGCTCATGCCTGTAATTCCCAGCACTTTGGGAGGCCAAGGTGGGCGGATCACAACGTCAGGAGATCGAGACCATCCCGGCCAACATGGTGAAATCCCTTCTCTACCAAAATACAAAAAATTAGCTGGGTGTGGTGGCGCATGCCTGTAGTGCCAGCTAGTTGGGAGGCTGAGCCAGGAGAATCACTTGAACCCTGGAGGTGGAGATTGCAGTGAGTCAAGATCGTGCCACTGCACACCAGCCTGGTGACAGAGGAAGAGTCTGTCTCAAAAAAAAAAAAAAAAAGAAAGAAAGAAAGAAAAGAAAAGAAAGAACCAAAAAGGAAATGCTAAAGATCAAAAACAGTCTGACAGTGTAGTGGAATCTTATAATTTTATGTTGCCTCAGCATCCATTTTGAATCTAAGTTTAACTTTGTCATACCAAAGCAGGGCTCAGTCACCCTTGGCACAGTTTATAGTTCTACACTACACCCAAATGGCCTAAGTCAGTGGTCAGAGAGAAGAACTTAGTGGCATCTCTCCCACCTAGCAGACTGGGCTCCCTGCTTTCTGGCCATTTCCTGTAAATCATTCAAGCATTTTCCTGTGAACTTAAAGTGACACATACCCTATTCCCTTATATATTCTGCCAGTTGCCCTCGTGATTTCTCTCGTTCTTTGCCTAACTCTTCATTCCTGCCTCATTACACCTTTCCTTCCTAGTAGCTATAAGAAAAGTCTTTGAACTTCTTGCCTATTGTGGTGGTGTACTAAATTTGAAGAAGTAGGAGTTGCCCCATGCCAGATTTTTTCTGGGTGGCTGGGGAGAAGACAAGTTCAGGCTCTTAGGACCAGGGAGATGGTCAGGCAGGCATAAGCTGTGCACAGGTGAGAAAAAATTCACACAGGCATCTGCCAGTATAAACAGGTTTCCCATGTGAGGGATCCGCTGGTCATGGGTTGGATATCTAACCATTATTCCATCTGCCAGGAAAAAGAACTGCCTCGTGAATGGCAAATTGTGAACACCCACGACCAGTTTCCTTTCATTTCCCATTAGGGCAAGGCTGCTAGCTGCTATGGTACTGGAAGCTGAGTTTAGACAGAAGTTCTCAGAAATCAAACAAAAAATGAAAAATGCCTTTGATGTTATTATTGGTAGACCAGACAAAGCTGAAGAAAAAAATTTCTGAGCATGAGGATTTATCAATGAAAACTTTCAAAACTGAAAAGAAAAGAGAATAAGATCTAGGAAAAAAAGAGAACAGAATTGCAAAGACTGTAAGATAACTACAAAATGTGTAACATACATGTAATGGAAATATCAGAAAAAGAAAACAGGGAAAGAAAGAGAAGAAATATTTGAACAACAATGACTGAGAATTTATTCAAATTAATGTCGGACATCAAACTACAGATGCAAGAAGCACAGAGAACACCAACTAGGATAAATGCTGGAAAAATTACACATAGGCATATCATTTCAAACTACAGAAAATCAAAGGTAAAGAATATATCCTGAAATAAACCAGAGGAAAAAAAATACCTTACCTCAAGAATTTAGAAAAAAAACACCAACCTAGGATTCTGTATCTTGCAAATTATCCTTCAAAAGTGAAGGAGAAATAGAGACTTTCTCAGACAAACAAAAATTGAGGGAATGTGTTACCCGTAGACTTGCTTTGCAATAAATTTTAAAAGAAATTTTTTTAGAGAGAGGGAAAATGATATAGATCAGAAACTTAGATCTAAATAAAGCAAATTTCTCAGAGAAGAAATAAGTGAAGGTAAAATAAAAACTTTTTAAAAAATCCTTAACACATAACAGTTTCTTCAAAATAAAAATAGCAACAAGTATAACTGATATGCTAAGAAATGAGAGAAAATAGACTTCTATAAAATGCTCAGTTGAAACCACAAAAGGCAGAAAAAGAGTGGAAAACAAAATTGGGAATGAAGAAAAAGAGCAACAAGTAGAAAACAGTTATCAGTATGGTAGATATTAATCTAATTACATCACTAATCACGTTCAATGTCAATAGTTTAAATGCACCATTAAAAGACAAAGCTTGGGTTGGGCACAGCGCCTCATCTTGTAATCCCAGCACTTTGGGAGGCCAAAGTGGGTGGATCACGAGGTCAGGAGATCGAGACCATCCTGGCTAACATGGTGAAACCCCGTCTCTACTAAAAATACAAAAAAAATAGCCAGGCATGGTGGCAGGTGCCTGTAGTCCCAGCTACTCGGGAGGCTGAGGCAGGAGAATGGCGTGAACCCAGGAGGTGGAGCTTGCAGTGAGCCGAGATCGCGCCAGTGCACTCCAGCCTAGGCAACAGAGCAAGACTCTCTCTCTCAAAAAAAAAAAAAAGAGCTTGTCAGAGTGGATCAAAAAGCAAGAACCAAATATATGTTGTCTACAAGAAATCCATTTTATTCTTTAAAAAAAATTTCCCAAACCAGGATACATTGTAATATAAAGTGGATATTATTAGACCAATGCAAATTTTGCATCATGCCAAAACAGTTCATTTAAATCATTACCACAGACAAGAAAACTATTTTATTGATAGCTATGGCTTATTACATCTGCTAAGATACAAGCAAAAAGTTCTAACTATTAATTTGAATTGGAGTCTCTAATTCTCTCAGATTCTGTGATGCATTGTAAAAGGGAAGCATGTAATTTTGGCAAAATAAAGTCACCCTTGACTTCATATATATATATTATATTGATATATATATATCAATATAATATATATTATATTGATATATATATATCAATATAATATATATTATATTGATATATATATAATATAATATATATTATATGTATTATATTGACTTTAATATATTATATTAATATATATATTTCAATATATTAGATATATTGAAATATATATATATATATTTCCACTTTAAACTTCATTCTGCCTTTGGGTACCATGGCCAAACATTCAGTTTGCCAAGAGAGACCTTGTTTGGAGACTGCTATTTTGGGTTATAGTGGACTCTTGAACAACATAGGGATTAGGAGTACTGACACCCGTGTAGTTAAAAATCTGTGTATAACTCTTGATTCCTCAAAACTTAACTACTAGTAGCCTACCTTTGACCAGAATCCTTACCTATAGCATATAGTTGATTGACATATATTTTTGTTATATGTATTATATACTGTATTCTTATGATAAGGTAAGATAGAAAAAAGAACATGTTAACAAGAAAATGATAAGGAAGAGAAAATATATTTACTATTTATTAAGTGGAAATGAATCACCATAAAGATTTTCATGCTTGTCTTCATGTTGAATAGGCTGAGGAGGAGAAGGGAGAGGAAGGGTTGGTCTTGTTGTCTCAGGGGTGGCAGAGGTGAAGAGGTGAGGAGGTGGAAAGAGAGGCAGAAAAAGCAGGCACAGTGTAACTTTATGGAAATAAATCATAATTTCTGTGTAACTTTTTTGCTTTTTTGTTCCTCTAAAAATTTTTATATATATGGTAGCAATCATTCTTCCATCATTTGCTTTAGTTGCAGTGCCCATGTTGTAGAGGGGTCCATGTCATAAAAGAAGCCAAAAGCAGTCTTGAATAATCAGAACTCTTCTGCCAGATTGTCTAATGCCAATTTGTTTCCTGGCACTTCTTCTCCTATATCTTCTTCCTCATTGTCTGGCACTGGTTCAGAAGCACTTATCTCTGTCAAGTCATCTTCTGTTAATGCCTCTGGTGTGGTGCCTATTAGCTCTTGAATTTCTCCAAATCTATATATTGAAACCTATCTCATTAAATTGATCTTCAATCTCTGATATCCTCTCTTCTGCTTGATCAGTTCAGCTCTTGTGTATGCTTCACGAAGTTCTTGTGCTGTGTTTTTTAGCTCCATCAGGTCCTTTACATTCTTCTCTAAACTAGTTATTCTAGTTAGCAATTCCTCTTTTATCAAGGTTCTTAGCTTCCTTGCATTGGGTTAGAACATGCTCCTTTAGCTCGGAGGAGTTTGTTATTACCCACCTTCTGAAGCCTACTTCTGTCAATTCATCAAACTCATTCTCCATCCAGTTTTTTCCCTTGCTGGTAAGGAGTTGTGATCCTTTGGAGGAGAAGAGGCATTCTGGTTTTTGGAATTTTCAGCCTTTTTGCGCTGGTTTTTCCTCATCTTCATGGATTTATTTACCTTTGGTCTTTGCTTTTGGTGACGTTCAGATGGAGATTTTGTGTGGTCATCCTTTTTGTCGATGCTGATGCTATTGCTTTGTGTTTGTTAGTTTTCCTTCTAACAGTCAGTCTCCTCTTCTGCAGGTCTGCTGGAGTTTGCTATGGGTCCACTCCAGACCCTGTTTGCCTGGGTATCACCAGTGGAGGCTGCAGAACACAAAGATTGCTGCCTGCTCCTTCCTCTGGAAGCTTTGCCCAGAGGGGCATCTGCCAGATGCCAGCTGGAGTGCTCCTGTATGAGGTGTCTGTCAAACCCTGCTGGGATGTGTCTCCCAATCATGAGGCACGGGTGTCGGGGACCCACTTGAGGAGGCAGTCTGTCCCTTATCAGAGCTCAAGCACTGTGCTGGGAGATCTGCTGCTCTCTTCAGAGCCAGCAGGCAGGAACATTTAAGTCTGCTGAAGCTGTCTGTGCCCACAGCCGCTCCTTGCCCCAGGTGCTCTATCCCAGGGAGATGGGAGTTCTATCTATAAGCCCTTGACTGGGGCCGCTGCCTTTCTTTCAGAGATGCCTTGCCCAGAGAGGAGGAATCTAGAGAGACAGTCTGGCTACAATAGCTTGGAGGCGCTTCAGTGGGCTCTGCCAGGCAGCTTTTTTTACACCGTGAGGGGAAAACTGCCTACTGAAGCTTCAGTCATGGTGGATGCCCCTCCCCCACCAAGCTCGAGTATCCCAGTTTGACTTCAGACTGCTGTGGGGGCAGCGAGAATTTCAAGCTAGTGGATCTTAGCTTGCTGGCCTCTCTGGGGGTGGGATCCGCTGAGCTAGACCACTTGGCTCCCTGGCTTCAGCCCCCTTTACAGGAGAGTGAATGGTTCTGTCTCACTGGCATTCCAAGCACCACTGGAGTATGAAAAAAAACTCCTGCAGCTAGCTCGGTGTCTGCCCAAATGGCTGCCCAGTTTTGTGTTTGAAACCCAAGGCCCTTGTGATGTTAGCACCCAAGGGACTCTCCTGGTCTATGGGTTGCAAAGACCATGGGAAAAGCATAGTATCTAGGCCAGATAGCACCATCCCTCACAGCATGGTCCTTCACAGCTTCCTTTGGCTAGGGGAGGGAGTTCCCCAACCCCTTGTGCTTCTCGGATGAGGCAACACCCCACCCTCCTTCTGCTTACCCTCCATGGGCTGCACCCACTGTCTAACCAGTCCCAGTGAGATGAACCGCGTACCTCAGTTGGAAATGCAGAAATCACCCGCCTTCTGTGTTGGTCTCGCTGGGAGCTGCAGACCGGAGCTGTTCCTATTCCTACAGTAAGTTTTATTCGTTCATGTTTTTATGTTATTAACTAGAATCCTTTTACTCAGCTTGAAGAATTCCTTTTAGCATTTCTTGTAAGTAGGTATAGTAGTGCCATCCTACCTCAGCTTTTGTTTGTCTTGGAAAGTTGTTATTTTTCCCTCATTTCTGAAGGTCAACTTTGTTGGGTAAAGTAATCTTGGTTGGCAAAAGAAACTTTTAAATATATTAAACTAAATGAAAATAACACAACTTAACAAAATATGTGGAATCCAGTGAAAGCAGTGCCTATAGGGAAATTTATAGCACTGAGTGCTATATTAGAAAAAAAGAAAGTCATAAAAATTAATCACCTAAGCTTCTGCTTTAGGAAAGTAGAAAAATAAGAGCAAATTAAATCCAAGGTAAGTAAAAAAAAAAAAAAAAAAAAGAAATAAAAATTAGAGCAGAAATCAATAAAATTGAAGACAGTAAATCAATAAAGAAAATCAACATAAAAAGTCTGGTTCTTGAAAAGATATATAAAATTGATAAGCATCTACCTAGGATAATTAAGGAAAAAAGACAGAGGACACAGATTACTAATATCAAACATAAAAGCGGGAACATCACTGCAAATTTTATAGGCATTGAAAGCATAATAAAAGAATACTATAAACTATTCTATAACTACAAATTTGATAAGTAAATAGAATGAACCAATTCCTTGAAAGACATAATCTGAAAAATGTAAAAAGAAGAAATAAACAATCTGAATAGCCTATATCTATTAAATAAATTGAATCAGTAATTAATAACCTCTCAAAACAGGAAGCACAATGCCCAGATGGGTTCACTAGTGAATTCTATCAAATATTTAAAGAAAAAAAAATTGTATCAACTTTCTACAATCTCTTTCAGAAGACAGAAGCAGAGGGAATACTTCCTAAATCATTCAACTAGGCCAGCATTACCTTAATACCGGAACTAGAAAATGACATTACAAGAAAAGAAAACAACAGACCAATATCTCTCATGAACAAAGATACAAACATTTTCAACAAAATATTAGCAAAAAGAATCCAAGAATGTATCAAAAAATATACACCACAACCAAGTAGAATTTATTCCAGATATGTAAGGGTGGTTCAACGTTTGAAAATCAATTAACGTAATTTGTCCCATCAACAGGTTAAAGAAGAAAATCACATGGTCATATTGATAGACACAGAAAAAGCATTTGACAAAATTTAACACCCATTCATGATGCAATCTCTCAGTAAACTAGGAATAGAGGAAAACTTCCTCAGCTTGAATGTACCTTCCTCTCAATTTTGCTATGAACCTGAAACTCCTCTTAAAAAATAAAGTTTTTCATTTAAAAAGAAAACAAAAAACATGGAGGAGCGTTGATGTATCTCATTTTAGACCAATCAGCTATGGATAGTTAGGCGACAGCACAGATAGCTGTTGTACTTCTGTTTCTGGCAATGTTCCAGACTACATTTAAAAAATTTTTAATTATAGACTTGTACTTAATGTTCAAGAAAAATATGAAAATGGCTTTGCCGTGTTAATGCTACTCTTTTTTAAAAAAAACTAAAGTTCAAACTTTATTTATATTTCATTAGTTTTTTAGCTACTGTTCTTTTTCTGTTCTGGGATCTCATTCAGAATGCCACATTACATATAATTCTCATGTCTCCTTGGGTTCCTCTTAGTTTTGACAGTTCCTCAGACTTTTCTTATTTTTGATGACCTTGACAGTTTTGAGGAGTACTGGTTAGATATAGGGTAATGGTTTTTAAAGTATATTTGTCATGATTTATACTGGGGTAAGGGTTTGGGGAGGAAGCCCATGGGGTAAAGTACTGTTCTCATCACATCATATCAAGGTTATATACCATCAATATTGCCACAGATGTTACTTAGCCTTTTAATATTTCTCTAATTTAGTGTATATGCAATGATAGTTCTCTGATTTCTGAGATTGAGTTTCTCATGTGTAATGATTATTTAGAGTTTCTCTTTCATCTGTTCAAATTTTTGTCTAGTTTTATTTTTTACTGATTTGTAAGACTTCTTTTTATAATCTGCATATTACAATTCTCTTTACTGGGGTGTTGCAAATATTTTCTGTCATTCTATGGCCTGACTTTTCTTAATGGTTTTTTAATTTTAAAAATAAGTCTTAATATTCATGCAATCTAATTAACAATCTTTTCTTTGTGGTTAGGACTTTGAGTCATAAGAAATTTTTCTCTACACTGAAGTCATGATGGCATGCTTCTATATTATTTTCTAAAAGATTTAAAGTTTTGCCTTCTCCATTTAGACTTATAATTCACTGGAATTTTTTTGTGTGTATGGTATGACATATGGGTTCCCTTTTATTTTTTACATATAAATATATTTCCCTGTTTTTCTAAAAAAGAAAAAGATCATCATTTTCCCATTGTAAAATGCCATATTTTTTTCATAGGTCACTTACATATATCAATGGGTCTGTTTCTGAGCTCTACTCTATTTTATCAGCCTCACTGTCTATCCCCACACATCTCATGCTTTGCTCTAAATCTTGATATTTAGTGGAACATTCTTTCCCATTTTGTTCTACAAGAATATTTTTGTTATTGTCTTTTGGGCTTCTATATACATTTTAGAATGAGGTTGGCAAGTTAACAAACAGCTTTTTTGGGGTGAACATATTGACTACAAATTTATGTGGAAAGAAAGTATACCTTCACAATATTAAGTCTTTTAGTTCATGAATATAGTATGTCTCTCCGTTTCTGCATTAACTTAGACATTCATTAATTTCTCTCACAATTTATAAGTTTATTTAGATCTTCATTCATTTAAATCTTCACTAACCTCTCATTTACAATTTGTAAGTTTTCTGGGTAACAGTCTTGCACTTCTTTGCCTAGATTTATTTCCAAGTAGATTATTTTCATACATCGTCTATGGTGTCATTTTTAAAATGTAATTTTTCACCTTTTTATTGCTAAAGAGAGATGACTGATTGTTAATATTGATCTTGTGCGTGGCGACCTTGCTGAATTCTAATCGTTTATCTATAAATTCTTTTGTATTTTGAATGTAAACAATTAGATCATCTGCATATAATTTTTAAAATCTGATAAGTCAACAAGAGATTGAAACAGGCTCTTCACAAAGAAAATATCCAAATGGTCAATAAACATATGAAAAGATGCTGAAACTTGTTAATAATCAGAGAGATGCAAATTAAACTATAATGAAGTATTATTGTACAACAATAGAATGACTGAAATTAAAAAGACTGACAATATCAAAGTTGGCAAGAGTCTGATACAACTGGAACTTCTCAAACACTGTTAGTAAGAATGTAAATTGGTACAAACATTTGGGAAGTCATTACAATATTATCTGCTAAATCTGAACATATACATATTCTATGAGCCAGTTACTTCATTCTAGGCATATACCCAAAAGAAGTATGTACTATTGTGCAGTAAAAAATACAGACAAGGAATTTCATAGGAGCATTAATTATCATGGCAAATATTTTAAAAAATTATTAGTAGTAGAAGGGATAAAACATTGTGGTATACTTCTAAATAGGGTAAAACACATTAATGTAAATTAATAAACTATACACACAAGATAGACGAATTTCGCAGACATTCTGTTGAGGGTAAGAAACCATTTATACAAAGCTCAAAAACAGACAGAATCTAGAGTGTTAAAAGACTGCATGGTAGTGACTTTGGGAGAAGAAAGTAGTGACGAGAGAGAGGAGAGAGAATAATGATTGCGAGGTGCTATAGTCTGAAGGTTTGTGTCCCCCAAATTTCACATGTTAAAACCTAATCCCCAATGCAATCATTTTAAGAAGTGGGTCCTTTAGTGGATAATTAGGTAATGGAACAAGAGCCCTAACAAATGGGATTGGTGCCTTATAAAAGAAGCCTGAGCCTGAGGGACCTTGTTTCCCGCTTCTACCATATGAGAATGCAATGAGAAGGCACAAAGCAAAGAGCAAGCCCTCATCAGACACTGAATCTGCTAGGGCCTTAGTCTTGGCTTTTCCAACCTCCAGAACTATAAAAAGAAATGCTTGTTGTCTAAAAGGCATTCAGTCTATGGTGTTTTGTTAGAGCAGCCCCAAGAGACTTAAGAGGGAACAAGAGGGCGATTTCTGTTGTGTTGATAATGTTTAGTTTGTGGTTACAAAAGAGTGCAGACGTTTTTATTTTATAACAATTCATTGAGCTATATACTTAAGATGTATGCGTAATTTTCTATGTATATTATTGTTTTATAAACTTTTTCTTAAAAGAGGAAATGGGAATTCTCCCTTTTATGTATTAATCTCTTATGAAAGAGTTTGTTGGCTTCCCAAGATATTTCTGAAAGATTGCTTTTGGCTTCATTTATGTTCTGCCACTGCTTATGCACCTCTCAATAACTCTTCATCTTGTATAATTTATCATTCTTTGATAGGGACCCTCTTCCTTGAAAAATAATTGAAGATATAAGGAGGAGGAAGAGAAGACAACTAAAATGTTTATTTCTAGATACATAGTAGTCCTGCATAGATAATTATATTCAAAAGAGGAGGACAAATTGGCTCCTATCTCTGAAATTTATAGAAAAGCATTTCCACATTAAAGTGATTTCAAATGACTAGAAATGTCATTCAAGTTTTACTTTCTAAATGTCACTCTGTCTCTCCAAACCTCATTAACCACAAGGAACTGGTGCAGGGACTGGAAGTAGTTTTCTCATACAACGGAAAGTTAACGAGGGGAGGAAAGGATGTGTGCAAAAATAACGTCCACAGAAGGGACAAATAACAAAGGGAAAGATGACAGGAAAGGGTTCGGGCACTAACCCTTACAATGCAGATACACACTGGGCTGGTCTAAGAAATAGGTTTCCCTGGTAGACAGAAGGTTAAATAAATTTTCCTGGTTATTCTGATACAACTCTAATAAAAGAAGAGAAATGAAGCTAAAACTTAAAATGATGTATTTAAAAGGAAGAAATTTTAACCCATTCATAGGTGAGCTTCTGCCAAGATTACTACTAATCCTCAGGAGAAGGGGTAGAGGAGAAACTCCATAAAGGCAACTGGAAGTGGAGTATTAGGAAGCACCTCAAGAACACAATAGCAGGAAGTAGCTAGAGAACAAAGAGAAGAAACCAGAAAAAAAAAATCCCTTTTTATTTTTCTGTTTCCATTCCTTTGGCTCCATTTCCACAGCTATGGCCTTTATTTTCACCCTCCACAGCCATGAGAGCCTCTGGGCAGGAGTTCTCCTCGCCTCTCCCTGTTCCAATCACCTCTAACATTTCTGCCTATTGTTCTGCCCAGGGAAAAAACTCCAGTCTCTTCTCTGTCAAAGACCTCTTGAATTAAGTCCAAATGCTACACTCTGGCATTCAAGACTCCGTAATACAGCTCAACCTGACTTTTCCACCCTCAGCCTCCTTGATTCCTAAAATGAAGCCTGTCCACAATTGAAGCTCCTTGTCTTTGCTCCTGCAAACTTGTTCATTCTCCTGGCTGTGTTTGTGCTGGTCTCTGTCTATCTAGAGCTGTGGATATCATGGTATCTATTGTCTATCATGCTAGCCATGAACCACATGTGGCTGGTGAGCATTTTATATGGTACTAGTCTAAATTGACATCTACTGTGAGTGTAAAAATGTGCATTATGTTTTGAAGACTGTACACAAAATTTAATTATCTCATGAATAATTTTAGATTGGTTATATGTTGAAATTATAATATTTTGGATATACTATGCTAAATAAAACATATTATTAAAATTAACTTCACCTGTTTCTTTTCCTCTTTCAATATGGCTACTAGAGCTTTTTAAATTGCATTATGTGACTTTATTGGACAGTACCGATTGAATGCCCTCAACCACATCACCTCACCACAGCCACCTCTACCTGTAGTGATCATACCACTTCTTTAGGCACACTGCCTGCATTAAGGGCAATGAATGCCTTTTCATCTTCTCCACTAGATGTAGTTTCTTTTTTCTTTGAGAGCCATCATCACCATCATGGTTGACACCATGAACCTATCTGAAGATGTCAGCCATAGACTGCTTGATATTCTACAGGAAAGATCACAGTTTTAAGTGCAATCTACCCATGTTATTAGCAGTGTGTATCTTTCACACATTACACAGCCTCTCTAAGCCTCATTTCTCTCCTCTGTAAGATGGGGATGATAATAACCCATCTCAAATGTTTACTATGAGGATTATTCAAAGAATGGCAAATAGCAAGTGCTTAATAAATGATAACTAGTACTACCGCCACTACTGTTGTTTTTATTGTATTAGATTATGAACTCTCTAAGGACCATTTCCGGATGGAGGATAAGAGACCATTTGATGTGGGCAGTGATGAGGCCTTCTGTTGCACCTGGAAAGGTCAACTATATACAAGCCTGCAAGTCATTCTATAGGAGCAGGCCCCAGTGACCAGACTCTATAGACTGTCTCCTCTTTCCTGAGAGGGACAGCCATCTCTAGGTTGACTAACCTCTGAAGCTCCTTGCATTGGCTTTTGTGCTATGAGCCATGGATGATTCCAGACTAATCCGAGAATGCTCGTCAAAACCCCAAGGAATTACTCAAATACTGACATAACAGACATTTTTGAGTGGAAGAGCCGAGTTTTTTTTAATATTCTGAAACTCATTGTTTTTAAAATGCATGAGATGGCCAAGGTCTTGCTAAGAGCTGGCCTGCAAAGGCCAAAAGGCCAGAGAGAATGAAACCCATAGAGAGGCAGAATAACCAGAAAGGTTGGGACTCGTTTATTTTATAATGTAAATTAGTCTATTATGAAACAATACTTGTTTACTGGTGGAAAATTGGAAAATACAAAGAATAAAAGGAGGAAAAAAATCACTCTTTAGTTTCACAAGCCAAATCAAGCCACTATTAAAATGGTGGTTTACTTCCTTTTATTAATTTTCTCTACATATTTTTGCATAATCATGTTGTATGTACAATTTTATGTTCTATTTTTCAATATTAACTGGTGTCTTTCAAATTTCCTAATGACAAAAATAATATATGCTCATAATAGAACATTTTAAATGCAAATAAAACAAAATAAATGTTAAAATTTAGTAATATTTATTAAATTTTCTCCAAGTGCACGAAATTACAAATGTAACAACCTAATTCCCTAGTGGCCTAATAACCCTATTTCCCAGACCTCTTCTCATTACAAGGAAAAACTCATATGCAGATAGTTCTAAAGGTATGAAGTGAAAAGATAAAGATTTTTCTTCCTTGCTGCATCCTCACCCCATCAGCATTATTCCCCAGGGTAACTACTATTAATAGATAGTAATTCTACCCAAAGGAAAAAATCATATGCATATAACAGCATCATATGTATACCTTTCTAGTAACTTACAAAACAAATGATAATATCATATCCTTTCTTATGTGTATTGCTCTTTTCACTAAATGTATCTGTGATATGTGTCTATATCAGCTGATTGTCCTTTTTGATGGCTGAATAATATTCCATCTTGTCCACGTGATAGTATTACTTGACAAGCTCCCTGCTGATGGACATTTGTCTTTGTTACTATGATAGTAATATAATCAACATTTATATATGTTTTGTATGTATCTATAATACACATGCACATACACATGCATATTTCTGCAGGGATAGCCATAGTAAATAACTAGTAACGGTATTGCAAGTTAAAGGAACAATCTCATTGCTTGAAATTTTAAATTTTGAAATACACTGCCAATTTTCATGGTCTCTCCTTGTAAGCTAGTTTGGGCTTTCTCACAGCATGACAGGCTCAGGGCAGTCAGACCATCCTGGCCAAAGAGCAGAGTGCCACAGACCACAACTGCTTCTAATCAGCCATCTTCCCAAAGCCTTCTCTTTTTTCTATTAATAACTTTGTATGAGATTCCATCTTAATACTTTTCTGTTGTTTGGTCTTGTAAGAGCTTATTTTTCCTGAACCAGGAAGTGGTTCAGGGCGGTTTTTCTAACTTCACAGAGCTCCCTCTTCTGTTAGCTTTTGTGAAATGGTCAAAAACATAGCAGCCTGCCTTCTGAGTTCTCCATCCCACCCTGGTTGGGCCTTCTCTATCCTTGTCTGTGTTGTTTATATCCTGCTGAAGTGTGATTCCACTTGTGGCAGTTTCTCCTCTGTGTAGGATCAAAAGGGCTGTGACTGGTTGGTTTGAAAATTTCTTATACCCTAGACTATTCCAGTGCCTTTCAGAAGTTTCCAAGGCCCTCTCACACTAATCTATTATCATATTGGGCAAAACTCCTTGCAGTTTCAGCTACTATTCCCTGATTGACTTTTCAGTAAATCTATCTCTCAGTCTTTCAGTATCCAAAGAAGATTGGTTCTAGGACCACCATCCCGCTGCCTCCACAGATACCAAAATCAGAGGATGCTCAATTCCCTCTTATAAAACGTTGCAGTATTTGCATATAATCTGCACATGTATTTCTGTATATTTTAAATCATCCCTAGATTACTTATAATACCTGATACAATATAAATGCTAAATAGCTGTAACACTGTATCTTTAAAATTTACATTATTTTTTGTTGTTGTATTATTATTTTTATTGTATTTTTAAAAAATATTTTCCATCTACAGTCAGTAGAATCCACGGATACAGAACCTATGGATAGGAAGGACCAACTGTATCTTTTAGTGTTTTGAGGTTCTTGAATTCTCAGGTCGTTTGCTTTCCTTTGCTTTCTCCCAAGTCTTGTTTTACAATTTGCTTTAGTCATTCACTGAAACTTTAAAAAACATTAGAAAACCTCACAGTTTGTAAATCTTTTTCCCTATTATATATATCATAAGATAGGAGCTTAAATAAAGAGTTTTAGAAACTACTAAAATGTAAATGACATAGGAAAACTGAAAGGGAGAAGTGAAAGTGGGAAATTCCTCTGAATAGAGAGAGGACCATCTCATATAAATAGGCCATACCCATGGAGAAAGGACATTCTAACTGCAACCTTTCGAAGCCTTTGCTCTGGCACAACAGGTAGTAGGCGACACTGTTCGTGTTGTCAACATGACCAACAAGTGTCTCCTCCAAATTGCTCTCCTGTTGTGCTTCTCCACTACAGCTCTTTCCATGAGCTACAACTTGCTTGGATTCCTACAAAGAAGCAGCAATTTTCAGTGTCAGAAGCTCCTGTGGCAATTGAATGGGAGGCTTGAATACTGCCTCAAGGACAGGATGAACTTTGACATCCCTGAGGAGATTAAGCAGCTGCAGCAGTTCCAGAAGGAGGACGCCGCATTGACCATCTATGAGATGCTCCAGAACATCTTTGCTATTTTCAGACAAGATTCATCTAGCACTGGCTGGAATGAGACTATTGTTGAGAACCTCCTGGCTAATGTCTATCATCAGATAAACCATCTGAAGACAGTCCTGGAAGAAAAACTGGAGAAAGAAGATTTCACCAGGGGAAAACTCATGAGCAGTCTGCACCTGAAAAGATATTATGGGAGGATTCTGCATTACCTGAAGGCCAAGGAGTACAGTCACTGTGCCTGGACCATAGTCAGAGTGGAAATCCTAAGGAACTTTTACTTCATTAACAGACTTACAGGTTACCTCCGAAACTGAAGATCTCCTAGCCTGTGCCTCTGGGACTGGACAATTGCTTCAAGCATTCTTCAACCAGCAGATGCTGTTTAAGTGACTGATGGCTAATGTACTGCATATGAAAGGACACTAGAAGATTTTGAAATTTTTATTAAATTATGAGTTATTTTTATTTATTTAAATTTTATTTTGGAAAATAAATTATTTTTGGTGCAAAAGTCAACATGGCAGTTTTAATTTCGATTTGATTTATATAACCATCCATATTATAAAATTGCCAAGTACCTATTAGTTGTTCTTTTTAAAATATACCTGCAAAGTAGTATACTTTCTGGCCCCTGCCTTTAAGGAATTTAAAATTCAAGAAAGCCATGTGGAATATATAAGGTAAGAGACAATAAGGGGACCTGAACCTTATGGGGGAATAAATATGGCATGAACTGCTGTGGGATTAAAAGAGAAAAGGAAAGCTGGAGGGTCTGGAACTAAACCTGGGGTTCCCATTCCTCCTACTGTGTGCTCCAGATTCTCTCATCATAAAGTTAGAATTGAGCTGGCCATCAGGAATAGCCAGAGGAATATGTCAGCTTTTGTGTTCTCCCTAACCTTCCCACGTTATTTGGGGGATACTTTGCTCCTCGAAAGATTTTTAAATAATTATGTGCCCCCCACCATCCCTGCAAGCTTAAGGGTGAGAAGTCCCATTTACTTCCATGACACTATTAAGCAGCAATCTCTTTATTCTGCTCATCATGGGACAGCCAAGATGTGTGGGTATCTTAGGGGAGCTGTGGGTCCCTGTCTGCTGGCATGGCACAGGCATCAGAGGAAGAAGAACCTTTTTATACCCTAGCCATCTGGTTAGTTTTCTCCCTAGTTTTTCAAAAAACTAAGCCTGCTTCCAGTCCCCACTGCCTTGTTCATACAGAATTCCAGGAATGTCCTGTCCAGTTTTCTGTTGCTCTGCATTGCGGACGCCACATAGTTCCTAAAGCCAAATGAAAGAGGTGCAGCAGTTTAAGTCCAGTTTCAAACCAAGCAAAAAGCCAGGAAACATAGGAGAAAGGGAAGTTTAGGTGGGATAGAGAGGGCATTAATTTTTCCCAGGGCTTACACCGGGAAAAAAATCAAGCTTTTCTAGGAGCTCTTTGGGCACCTGGTCAGCATGGACTGACTGGTTAGGTTTTTGTCTTTGTACCAAAACTCGGGAACTTGGGTTATAGTGGCTATTACTGCCATTAGCAGTTGCTGTTTACTGAGAAATTCTAATGAAATAGGCACTGTGCTGAGATCCCACATAGATAATCGGATTTAATCTTCTCCACAAGCACCCCTCAGGTAGGCACAAGTACATTATTGCCATTTTACAGGAGAGGAAACTAAATCTCAAAGAAATTTAGTAACTGCCCATGGTCACATAATGATTTCATTCAGTCTCTAGTGAATGGAGATTTTAAAAAGAAGTTCAAAGAGAAGCATCATAAAAGTCTTTATTTGTATCTAGGCATTTTTTCCTAGAGCAGTAAAGAAATCTGAATTCCTTTTAAAAGAAGCAGCTTTCAGGAGAAGTAATCTGTTCATTAAGAGTTCCAGAGAAGCTACTATTGTGTAGACAATGAACTCAGGGCTCCCCCTTCCAGTTCAAAGTGGATAACACACACACGGGCTATGCAAACAAGAAATGTCATCATGGGGGGCCTGCTGCCATTGACTCAAACCAGTCAAGCCCCCCTCAAGCTTCATCCTTCCCCCAGCTCTCCACCCCTGCTCTGCCAAAAGCCCTTCTGTAGCCGAACTCCTCTTTTTCCTGGAGTCAAGGACAAGATCAGCAAGTAGCAATGCGGAGTCCAGGCAGTGTCTAGAGCAGCCAAGAGGAAACTAAAGAAATCTCTCTCAGCAATGGGCCCCTATTGTCCACTGCTTTCTCTGAGCTGAACTGCTAAACTGGCCCAGAAACTGGCAAGTTCTTGAAAAGACCTGCTCTACCTCCGTGTTGGGGCAAGAATGACAGGAGAGAGGCCACTTCTGCAGAATTAGAAATACTGTATCACAGCTTAGCATGTCAACCCATCCAGAATGCCAAAAATAAGTCCATAACCAGTAGAAGATAAGTAACAATTAAAATTAATTCCAATAAAAATGAAGGCAACTAGCCCAAAGGTGCACATTTGCATGTGCTGAACCGATGACTAGGCATGAGGAATAAAGTAAAATAATAATATTACTTTGGCTGGCACCAGAATAAGGTCTTAAGGAAAACACTCTTTGTTTAGAAAAATATCTAATGAGTCTGTAGAAAAATATCTAATGAGGCTTCACTCAATATCTAGTGAGATTTTGAGGTTATGGGTGTGGCAACGGAAAAGACAGTAAAATATCAATAGCATGTTTTGTGTGTCAGCTTTTAAGGAGAAAGGAGACAGACAGAAATCCCCCAAAGCTCTGGAACTGTGACACTACGTGGAACAAGTCAGACAATGAAAATTTTGCTGGTGGGAATGAAAAAAGAATTTTCCAAACAGCGTAGCTCATGTGCAGCATGAAATTGTGTGCGCTGATGTATTGAAACTCTGTCCGACATCATCTCCAAAACTTCAATAAAAATGGCTACCACAAAAAGTCCTCTGCGTAAAACCTCTGTGTACAAATCATAGAAAGTGCCCGGTCTCATGTTTGAACAAACATGGGGTGGCCAGATCTTCATAGATGAACCAAATTAGAAGAAACAGGAGGCAAAACAATGACAACACAGCCACCTTCCCCCTTCCCATATCACACCTTAGGAATCCACAAAGCTGGATTAGGAGATGGAACTGTCTTATCTAGCTCTTGAACAGTAAGAAGGCACTGGTGAACATCTGGGTTACATACAAATATATGAATTTTGCTTAAATATATGAACATGCAGATGCAGGGCAATATCAGCACACATTTGTATAGTCTTTTTTGCAGTCAACAAAGGTGTTATTTAGGCATTTTAGGTGGCATTAAACACGTTCAAGTATTCAGATAACATCTGATCAGGAACTTATTCATAAAATACTCTTAAGAAAATGAAAAGAACATGCCACAGACTGGGAGAAAGTATTTGCAAATCACATATCTGATAGAAGACTCATCTCCAGAATATACTTTTTAAAATCTCTGAAAACTCAATAATAACAAAACCACTAATAAAACAATAAAATACATAATAAATAAAATAATAAAAATGGATAATATATTGGAACAGATGCTTCATCAAAGAAGACATGCAAATAGCAAATTAGTATATTAACATGGTAAAATCTTTCTCAAGGATTGTTGGTGGTGTAGGTCAGATAATGAATGTGAAATGATTTGGTCCCAGGGGAGCCCTTTCCATCATGGGGACCTGCCATAGCTTCTGTCCTTTCTGAGCAAAGTTCACCAGCCCTCTTGGCCAAGCTCTATTTCTGATGCATGAGAGGTCTGCCAAGCACAGACTGTGGGGGCCCTCATCAACATGGATTTCTTCTTGACGGGTTTGGCTGTGGGAAACACAGAGAGAGCCAGCATCTGGTAATAGAGTCAGAAGATGAATGTCACCCAGAGCCATACCTTGTTGACTGCAGACATTTTCTCTAAACACATTGCACTGGTGCTTGCTGAGCCTAAAAAATGAACTGTTTTATGAGTCCTTTTGTTCTCAACATTAATTGTTGCTTTTTAAACATTAGTTTAATTGCCTAAAATTTACTAGGATAGTTTAAGACAAACTCAAAAATTGGACTAGTAGTGCCAGCACAAAATTATACTCTCCTAATTTAGTAGGATCCATTTAACCATTTAACTCGTTAATTGACCTGATGGAGAGTACTCCAAAAACATGTTCACATCATAGTTATCACCAAATCAGACAATTATGTTTCAGTTATTATTCTGTTTTGACATTCATGTAGAGGGTGTTCCTAGAAAACCTATAACGCATTATTCAAATTATATCCCCCAACAATTAGCCTACGAATTTTTAAAAAAATGGAGCCCACTTCAAAGGACTCTCTTAAGAGGATTAAAAGACAGGTCACAGACTGAGAGAATATATTTGCAAGTCACCTCTCTGATAAAGAAGTTGTATTGATATGTAAAGAATTCTCAAGATTCAGTGATAAGAAAGCAAATAACCCACTAAAAGACAAACAGAAGATTTCAACACATATTTCAGGAAAGAAGGTACAGAGATGGCAAACAAGACAGGAAAGGACCAATAACGTTAACCTTTAATGTAATGCAAATTAAACAACAATAAGACACTGCTACATACTTATTAGAATGGCTGAAGTTAAAAGGACTCACCATATCAAGGATTGGCAAAGATGTGGAGCAACTAGAACTTTCAAAAAGTGGTCCAATGACTTTGGAAAACCATTTTTGCAGTTTTTAAAAAAGGTAATCATATACCTACCACATGATCCAACCAGTCGACTCCCTAGTACTTATCCAAGAGAAAAGAAAGGATTCTTTTCTGTGTATAAACATTCATATACACAGACTTGTATATGAATGTTTGTGGGAGCTTTGTTTGTCCATCACAAATGGATGATTAAAGAAATTGTAGTATATCCATACAATGGAATATTATTCAACAATAAAAAGGAATGAATCATTGATACACACAATAACATGGATGAATCTCCAAAAAAATTATGCTGAATACAAAAGGGCCAGGCACAGTGGCTATGCCTATAATCCCAGCACTTTGGAAGGCTGAGGCAGGCAGATCCCCTGAGGTCAGGAGTTCAAGACCAGCCTGGACAACATGGTGAAACCCCATCTCTGTAAAAATACAAAAATTAGAGGGCAGGATAGCGATTGCCTGTAATCCGAGCTATTCGGGAGGCCAAGGCGGGAGAGTCACTTGAACCCAGGAGGCGGAGGTTGTAGTGAGCGGAGATTGTACCAATGCACTCCAGCCTGGGTGACAGGGCGAGACTCCATCTCAAAAAAAAAAAGAAAAGAAAAGAGACCAAAAAGGAATAAATTTTGTATTGGCCTATTTCTATAAAACTCTAGAAAGGAAAATTAATCTATAATGACAGAAAGCAGATTAGTGGTTACCTGGGGGTGGGGGCAGTAGTACTGAGGAGTGAGATGGAGGGAGAGATTACAAAGCAACACAAAGAAACTTTTGAGAGCGCAAGGACATTTTCACTATCTTGACTGTGTTGATGGTTTCAGGGGTGTATATACATGTTAAAACTTATCACAGTGTCCACTTTAAATATGTACAGTTTATTACATGTCATTGTACTTCACTGAAACCTCTCGAAAAATAAAAAAGTATAAATTTACTGAAAAATAAATAAAATGGAGCCAAAGCATCTTGTTGTGTTCCCTTGTTAAACTCAACATACATTGTTTGATGTCTTAAGATCTCTTTTATAAGACTCCAAGATGAGATTAAATCAACAGGCTCTTAGAAATAAAAAATTATCTTACAGTCTAAGTTCATTGTCAGTTAGAGGTTAGATTGTTAAAAGTTTTTACTTATGGCACATTTGCAATACTCCATATTTTAAATGATAGTCCAAGAAGTGGATCACGATCCCTGCGTGCTAAAACTATGGGGGGAAAAGCCAAGAGCACTTCACACATTGCATATCTGCACCAAGTGCAATACAAGTTACATATTACAAATTCCAGTGCTTAAGGAAATGATTTTTCCCATTTTCATATTGTGGCAAAATATACATAAAATGTAGCATTTAAACCTTTTTTAAGTTACATTTTAAGTTCTGTAACATTAAGTACATTCATATTGTCGTGCAACCATCACCACTATTCATCTCCAGAACTCTTTCATCTTTTTCATTTGCAACTCTGAAGCCATTAAACACCAACTCTTCATTTGTCCTTCTCCAAGCCCCTGGTAACCACCATTCTACTTTCTGTCTCTATGAATTTGACTACTCTTGGTACCTCATATGACTAATTATATAAACTTTGTCCTTTCGTGACTGGCTTATTCTTCTTAGTATAATATAATGTCTTCAGGTTTCATCTATGTTGTTGCATGTTTCTGAATTTCTTTCTGTTTTAAGGCTGTGTGTGTTTGTGTGTGTGTACCACATTTAGTTTATTCATTGGTCCATTGATGCATACTTAGTGTGCTTCCTTTTTTTGGCTATTGTGAATAATGCTGCTATGAATATGGGTATACAAATATCTATTCATGTCCCAGCTTTTACTTCTTGGGCTATATACCCAGATATAAAATTGCTGAATCATGCAGTAATTCCATATTTAATTTCATGAGAAATCATCAAGGCAACTATTTTTAACTTGTGTCTTCATAATGGAAATATTTGCAATGATAGTACAATGCAAACACAACAATAACAGCTACATTTCTTAAGGACTTACTTTCTGCAAGGGATCTGCTGAGGATGAACTAGCTAGCTAGCTAGCTAGCTCGATAGATGATAGTTAGAGAGATGGATGGATGGATGGATAGATAGATAGATAGATAGATAGATAGATAGATAGATAGATAGACAGACCATCTTATTTAATCATCCAGAGAACATCTATGAGGTAAGTATTGTTCTCTCCTTTTTATACATAAGAAAACTGAGGCTCAGTAAGGTTAAGTAACTTGACCAAATCCACAGTAGGTAAAGAACAGAGACATATTTGGAACCAGGGACTATACTCTTAACTACCTGTAATCATCTACTACCACCCAAAATGCTATTTTTACCCAACTACATAGCACAAATATTGCAATTTAGAGAAGGAACAAGAAGCTCTACTGCCCGGCAGCTCATGCACAGCACAACTCCTGGTTTTGCTCCAAGTGGGTGCACTAACGTCCAGTGGCCTGTGGGGATCTTTTGCAGAAAGGACTGCTGTCCTCACTCAAGCAGTTGGTCTCCTTCCATCCCCATGCAGAAGGGAACTCTCTCTCTCTTCCTTTTTCTAAAGAGAATAGCAGGAAATTCCCATTTGCTCCTTTGCCAGACTCTACGGAGAATATTTTCTCCAAAGGTTTTTGTAAGCAACTGTCTGAATCATGAGTCATCGTTTTTCCCTTGGCAAGGCTGCATTTCCTTCTCTTGAGCACTACATTTTTATCCATGTACTAGCAAGACAGCCCTGTGTGCAGTTTCCCTCTCAAGTCTGACACAAGCTGATTTTGTTATCTCACAGGAATGCTTAAAAACTAAAATGGCTTACATTACTTAATGGAAATACACAGCAAATTTCTCTTTCCTTTCACTTTTTAATTTCTTGGCTCATTTTCTTTTTATGAAAGTCCAGAGGTAAAACAAATAACTTTCAAAGCAGAAAATGATTTACTAATCTAGAAATGCATGAATTGAAAGTCTGTGCATTGAAAGTACAAAGTTTTTTTTTTTTTTTTTTTTTTTTTTTTAAGTTTCCTATACTCTGATGGCAAAAACACAGGGCATGAAATAATACAAACCTGAGAGCTACTGTGGGTTCTGCCACTTTGTACCAGTATGGTCTTGGGCAAGTTAAATAAATTAGAAACAATCATACCCCAAACTCTTCAAGATTTCTATGAGAAATAAATGCAAAAAATGGGATGTATGACTTGGTCCAACACAGGGCCTTGTAAATACCACGGGATCTCACTTACATGTAAAATCTAAAAATGTTAATCCCATGGAAACAGAGCATGGAATGATGGTTGCCAGAGCTGGGACAGTTGGGATGGGCAGGAGAGGGCTGGGGAGATGTTGGTCAAAAAATACAAAATTACAGTTACATAGGAGGAATAAGTTCAAAGGATCTATTGTACAGCATGGTGATTGTTAATGATAATATATTGTATTCTTGAAAAATGCTAAGGGAATGGGTGTTAAGTGTTTTCACCACAAAAAATAATAACTATGTGAGATAATGCACTTGTTAGCTAGATTTAACCATTTCACAATGTATGTATAGTTCAAAACCCCATGTTGTATGCAATAAATACATGCCATTTTTATCTGTCAATTTAAAAAATAAATTAAAATAATAAAATGCCATAGAAATATTCAAGGGTTATTAAAATAACTTCTTCCATTATATTTGTTATAAGCCTTATAAATAGTTTAAAGCATGATATATTTTATATTTGGCGAACTGGCTTTAGACCAATTGGTGTCTATCAGGCATATGTGGCACCTTAGCATCTATTAAGGAAGAGTAGGCCACACAAGGGAGGAAAGCAATATTCAATACAGCTTCCTCCCCTCCAGGCTGCAACGGGATCTCTCCTAAACTCCAATATACCTTTGAGTTCCATGGATTATTTTCCTACTATAAGCCACACCCCTGAAATAATAAATGTGGTATGCATGAAAAATTCATTTTCTTTCTGTTTATCTAAATTTGTTCTTATTTCTTATGGTTTAATTGTGTTTATTAAGTCGCAAGTGCTCAACCTCCCTGGGTTATATTATAATACTTTCTGTAATAGTTGACAAGGAAGGGTTCATTTTCAAATTGCTTCATTCAAAACCCTTGACTTCATCTCAGGCTCCCATTGGCTTGGCAGGTATGTATAAAGAAGGAAGTGGGAGAGGTAAATAACCCTCCATTGCATCTACTACCTGTGTAGGACTTGTCCAGAAAAACTCCTGGCATATACTATCAATAAATGGTAGCTTTTTTTCTTCTTTGCAGGCAATTGTTACCTATTATTCTCTTGCTGAAATATAAGAGCCTCTATTTTAAAGCATCCCATCCCTATCCAAAGTAAAATTTCACAAAATCTGTAGAAATTCCCAGATAGTTCAGACAATTATCTCTGTAATTAAAAACAACACCATGACACCATGATCATGTAATTGTCTGGTCAATAAGAGCCTAACACAAAGTCCATGGGCATCTCAAATATATTCGTATAATTAGAAAATGACCTAGGCTCTTATCTTCTGACTGCATGTCCAATAAGCTTTCTCTCTTTCATTGCTCAGTTTCACAGACATTGTTGCCTGAACTCAGCCTCCCACTGGAAATCTCACTAGCTTTGGTGCCCCATACTGGACTTCTAGACTGATCTCTCTCCCTATCTCCTGGTAACCCAGCCACATAAATGCAGAAATGAAAAGGATGACAGGAACAGTGTTTCATCTGTTAGATGTCTTGTCACAGGGAACCGTTACTGGTCCCTAATAAGCCCCTGTTCCCTATTCTGTTCTTACTTCCTTATCCAGTCATTAATTGGGAATGGAAAAACACAGGCAACCCACCAGCGGAATAACTTGGGAACACTCAGACAGGGCCACAAAGCCTTCTAAAGGTTCTGAGAAGGGATTATGGCTATCAAGCTGTGGTAACTTCCAAGGAGACATCATCTTATTCAGCAGCAGCATTTTCACCAACAGTCTAAACATTCTTCTGATTTTTCCTTTTTTCCTCTCTCTCTCTCTCTTTTTGATTTGCCAGAAGTGATAAATGATAATAACCCAAAGGGAAAACAGTGGTGGAGGGAAGCAGTGAAAGAACTATTTACATTTCTGATATTTTGACCTTAATGAACTGCTCCCATCGATCAACTGGGAGAAGACTGGACCCTGTGGAACCCACTGCCTGATTGCATCTTGCTGTGATATTAAGTGGTCACCCAGCTGGTTGTGTGTGAAACACAGTTTGTCTCCAATAGAGAATAGCCTATCAACTGAACCAAAGTAGAAGGAAATACATTTTCATTCTTTCCCCCAGGTCTGACCATGCAGTAATAAGGTCTGGAGGTGCTCCAAAACGATGATCTTCAACTAGTTGCAATATTATTTCCCTCCTGGCCAAACAGTTAACCCAGAAGCACACTAGTCATAATGCCCTCTGCATGGATTATATCTTTCTCAATACAGCATTTGAATTTCAAAAATATATATATACTTGTCAAAGTGCACATTAGAGATCTGGGGATTGATAACTTAAATAATTTGCTTTAACTGGTGAGTAAATAGCAGAGGCAAGGTTCTAAGATATGCAAAACTTTAATTGGCTCAGGCAATGGTACTATTTAGTAACTTTTTATTTATTAAGTGGAAAGACTGTATTTAGGAGACATTCACATGAGTGACAATTGAGAAATTCTTAATTTTCTGTATATTTATTTACACACTATTCATTCTACACATGTGAGTTGGACAGCTTATAACATTCAAGGCATTAGAGCCACAAGGCCTGCCCTCAGGGAGCTCAGTCCTATTGCAGAAGATGAGCAGTTAAAGGCAAGATAAGTATGTTCACAGAGGTTTTAGAGAGCTATTGAAGCAGAGAATGAAGATAAGTCCTTCTTGACGCCCAGGACTGGGTTCCCTAGCTGGCAAAGCAGACAATCACAAATATCAACCTGCTTTACCCGTAGTGATGAGCCTGCCTTCTCTCCCTCAGCTTTCATTATTTTCACCAAATAATCCACATGCCCTCAAAGAAAAGAGGATTTCAGCTGCCACCCTCAGGACCCTTTCAGCTGAAAGTGATGGAAACTCAACTCCAACCACAATATGTAAAAATGGGATCTATTGCAAGAATAGAATTGCTCATAGCATCAAAGCAATTGTTGCAGGAAGGGCAGCTCAGGGGTCTCAGAAACAGGAATTGGAGATTTTCCTCTATCAGAAATCTTTTCTCCCCTCCTTTCTTTATACTTCTCCCTGAGGAGGCAGGGGGACTGGGCCACTCAGGAATCACACCCTTATTGCTCCGTGATTAGAGAAGAGAGAAAGAGTATTTTACATATATTATTGCTAACCCTTGAGTTGCTATAAGATAGCATTTTCATTGTGTTTGAAAGGAGGAAAGCAAGTAGTAGAGAATTAAGGAATCTGCTTCAAGTTCAGGGATCAGTGAAGAGCAGGGGAAGTATTCAAGGACAGGCTGGTCTTTCTGATTCCACAACTAACTAATTGCACCACACCACCTATCAACATTTGTTGAATGAATGAATACTTGAATACATAACTCATAGATCTGAATGAAAGGTAAACCCTTTTCAAATCCCCCTTGGTTCCACCAGAGGCAATCTTCATCTTCATCTAACCTACTGGCTGCCAATACTTTCATTATACTATACACAATCCCCCCAAACTAAGACAGTTCCAGCCAAAAATAAAAAAAATTCTGAAGCCTCTGATTGTTCTGGTTTTGATGGGTAGAGACTTTCTGCTTCCAGGAATCATCAAGGGCTCCTCAAGAGGAAATGCACCATGAGAGATGGAAGAATCTGGACTGGCAGCTGAGTACCATGCAAGAAGAGCAAAAGCATCTTCCAGGCACTTCATGTGACCGACAATATATCTCTCTTGATCCAATCACCCTCATTTTTGGAATCTGCTTTGAAAATAATGGATAAATGTGAACATACACTTGAAAACTCCAGCAATGGAAGTCCAGGTCTGTAGTAGCACAGGGCCACAATAGCTAACAAAGATCGTTGTGGTGTGGGGCATCCTGCTATCCATGCTTTGGGAGAAACACTGGCTTTTTAGAGCATCTGAGCTATATGACAGAATGAAAGTACCCCAGAGGAAAGGGGAAAATATTCTAGGTCATGTGAAGCTTGAGCCAATTAAGTATACAAAAGAGATGTGATATTCCTAGTTCAAGATGGCAAATAATCTCTCTTTAACCTCTTCCTCGTTCCAGCATCTCTTTGAATATAACAGTAAACACATAATTAAAGAGTGGAATCAGTCATAAGATATTGTCTAATGAAGATAAAACAAGAAACAAGAGATTTAAGTGTATCATTATACTCACATGTATTCCTACAGTGTATTATTTTATTATACTTATAAAGTTATCAGTGAAGAACCAATGAAGAATGAAAATAATATAACTATTTCTGTTAGGAATGCATTCAGCTACAGCTAACAAACAGCCTTATTAGCAGTAGCTTAAACTAAAGGGGTTTGTCTTCTCCACCTACAAAAGATCTAGATGGAGGCAGTTAGAGCAGGCCAGCTTTCTAATGATGTGCCTGGGAGCTGGGCACTCTTTTTCTGCTCTATTATTTTTACCATGTCACTGTTATATTTGTCAACTCACGGCTATAACATGACGGTTGTACCTGCAAGCATTGCCTCCACATTTCATCAAGTAGGAGGGGTATTATCTGAATTAGGAAGTGGAAGATCTCTCAGAGTTTCTGATATTTCATATGGAGCCTTAGAATGTGTTTATAGCTGGACACATTGCCTCTGTTAATAAGGAAAACAAAGAAATACAGAATGGGTAATAGTTATAAAAACAGCTGCAGCAATATCCAACAAAATACGGGAGAAAAGAGGAGAGGTGGAAAGTGATATAAATAAACTATAGTTAGAACATGAAGTCAAAAGCTATAGTCTAAATTGGTAAATCAATAAGGATTTTGGTACATTATGTAGATTTACATGGTTTATAATAAATGGCAAAAGAAAAGAAACAAAACGAAAAACAAGTTGCTTCCGTAGATTGGAAGTAGGGACGGAAAAGTGAGAAAGAATGTTTTTTCATTTAATTGCATTGTATAAATCTTTCTTACACTTGTGCATGTGATGCAGTAATAACTGTAGAGAGAAGAATGTGAGCTTGTTTTTGTACTTCAGGCAGGTGAAACAGGATGGAATTGTTACAAGTGTACCTAACATCAGTATTGAACACATAGTATTTGTGAATAAAAAAATTTATTTATAAAACCATTTTTAATAAAAGTAAAACTAAATATCTGCAAACTCCAAAAAAAATTAAAAAGGAGAGAAGAAGAAGAATCACAAAAAGTGACCAATGTTAGAATATCTGGCACTCTTCCATTTGGTGAGAGCCAGCCAGTACTTTTGATCAGTGCCTGGTCTAGGTTGGAAAGAAACTAATTTCTTCTGAGTCAATAAAGTCAGTACCTTTAATGTTCTTTCTTCTCAGGTTTCCCATCTATAAATGAGAATAAGAATATCCCTTGTAAATTTATTTTAGAGAGATTGCTTTTTAGAAAAGTGTAGGAATCTGTGTCAAACATCAATTAGCTTTGAAAAGCAACCAATAGTCATTGACTCCATGCTTTAGAAATAACAAGCACCCAACATTAGTATAAAAAAATGCATTGAATACAAAATAATATAATTTTCATATTATATTATTCTAGATATTCAAATATTTAGCAATTGGTATGATAGTGGAGGGCAGCAGAAAACAAGGCTGCCAAAAGCCTTAAAACTATATTCCCTTTGATTCAGCAATTCATTTTCTAGTATTTTGTCCTAAGGAAATAATTAGACAAATTTTCCTTTTTGTTGTTTTGTTTTGTTTTGTTTTCTTTGACATTGTTTTCCTTTTTCTTTTTAATTATACTTTAAGTTTTAGGGTACATGTGCACAACGTGCAGGTTAGTTACATATGTATACATTGCCATGTTGGTGTGCTGCACCCATTAACTCATCATTTAACATTAGGTGTATCTCCTAATGCTATCCCTACCCCCTCCCCCAACCCCACAACAGGCCCCAGTGTGTGATGCTCCCCTTCCTGTGTCCATGTGTTCTCACTGTTCAATTCCCACCTATGAGTGAGAACATGTGGTGTTTGGTTTTTTGTCCTTGCGATGGTTTGCTGAGAATGATGGTTTCCATCTTCATCCATGTCCCTACAAAGGACATGAACTCATCCTTTTTCATGGCTGCATAATATTCCACGGTGTATATGTGCCACATTTTCTTAATCCAGTCTATCATTGTTGGACATTTGGGTTGGTTCCAAGTCTTTGCTATTGTGAATAGTGCCTCAATAAACATACGTGTGCATGTGTCTTTATAGCAGCATGATTTATAATCCTTTAGGTATATAGCCAGTAATGGGATTGCTGGGTCAAATGGTATTTCTAGTTCTAGATCCCTGAGCAATCACCACACTGACTTCCACAATGGTCGAACTAGTTTACAGTCCCACCAACAGTGTAAAAGTGTTCCTATTTCTCCACATCCTCTCCAGCACCTGTTGTTTCCTGACTTTTTAATGATCGCCATTCTAACTGGTGAGAGATGGTATCTCATTGTGGTTTTGATTTGCATTTCTCTGATGGCCAGTGATGATGAGCATTTTTTCATGTGTCTTTTGGCTGCATAAATGAATTAGACACATTTTCAAAAGGTGTTATACAAGGGTGTCTATTGGTTCAGACTTTGTAAACACTCCAAATTTAGGAGAAAAACATACATTTCTAACCTTCGAAGGTTAATTTTTAAAATTATGCTAATAAAAATTATACTAATTAAGAAAAATTATGCTAGATTTCTGTGTGTTGACTCAGAAAGTATTCCATAGCCAACATATTGTTAAGTGACAGAGATACATTCTAAACAATATGCATAATATAACCCCATTTTGTGGGAAAATCCATACATATATGAATAGAAAAGAGCCTAGAATTTAATATATAAAAATAGTAAGGTAAAAATCTGAGTGATAAATTTGTGAATGAATTTTCTTCTTTGTATTTTTTCTGAATATGTAACACATTCAGTAGCAGGTAATGATTTTTACAATCATGTAGTAATAATAAAGCTATCTCAGTTTTAAGGACTGAAATATATTGTCTCCAATCCTATCACAATCCTAATGAGTCATTTGCTCTCGCTGTATCCTGACATTCCATTTACTACACAATGTCCCTGACAACAAGATAACTGAGAACATGAGCATAAGCTCTATTTGATATAGTTATAAGCCTAAACTTAATTTCTGAGAATCACATAATGATACTACTTTACACCTTGATGTAATTTTAAAGTATAATTACTCACTCATAAGCCTATATCATTAGTAGAAAATGCACCAGATTGGGATTTAGGAGGCTTCAGTACCTTTCCCTTCTTTGCTGCTGGCTCATTTGGGCAAATCGTTCTACAGGATTTCTTAGGGGCCCATTGGGGATTTCAGAGGCTTGAGCCTATGTGATTTTTACTTCTATCACTCAAAGTTTTAATGTTTTATCTGGTTTCTATCTCTCTTTAAGATTATAAGTGAATGTAAAGGACTTTTCCTGCTGGATTTTATAGATCTAAAACAGAAGGCCTGGATTAAAGAACATTTACGTTTGAATTTTCGCTCCAACATTTATAAATTTGTGTGACTTGGACAAATTTCTTAATCTCTCTGAGGTCTAGCTTCATTACCTTAAAAACTGGCTAATTAATGATCTACCTCTTAACATTTAAGGAATGAGATATTACATCTAAATCCCTTGGCACAGTTTCTGATACATAAGGTAAGGAGTGCTTGACAAATGTTAGTTGTTATTATTGGCTATGCGGGTTACTCACCTCTACTCAAACAAAGATTAAGCCCTAGTAATAAGAGAATATACTGGATTTAGAAGAGGAAAACTTAAATTTTGTTAAATACAAACAGACTTTCATGTTGATGATAAGCAGGAATTTATTAAATTGATGGAAAAAAGAAGAGAAGATCCTACACCCAGAATTTCCTGGGTACCATTAAAGGAGTTAATACAAAAGAACTCGAGAGTCATTTTGTATTATAATTAGTAAAACAATTTTTTTTAAATGTTTAACAGCAACTACAACTTAGAATGCACTAATGAAATCAGGTCTTTATTTCATAATAGCTAAATGATGATTTAATTAAAGTTTTTATTTCAATAGACTCCATTTCCATTCAAAAGTGTTCCTCAAAAAACTGCATTTAAACAGTTTTAATACCCAGGCTCACATAAAGATTGCCTGTGATTTCAGATAAACACAGTTTTTTCAAGCTGTACTTGAAAGCGCTCTTGTAATTTAACCCCTGAATTCTGAATTTCAAATGGAGAGTAGAGGATTTACCAAATATGTGATGAAGAATTGTGTTTTCATGTTCTTTCATTTTGGGAGGAACTCTTGTTTCAATTGAAAACATTCCCTTACCATTACAGAAACCCAGAGGGCAATCATGAGTTAAGACCTGGAAAATAAAACTGAGAGAAAAGACTGGAACAACATGTGGTTGTCATTTTCAGGGCCACAGAGAGGGGAAGTGGTTTTCCACTGCTAGCTAAGCAAAGGCAAGCACATGTAGCACATTAACGTGGAGGGCAGGCAGTAAAAATAAAAAGAGATGATGGTTTGCCTTTTTGTTTTATGGTGAAGCAGGTGCTGACTGGCCCTGCAGTTAGGACTGCATAGTTTAGGATTTTGATGCCATTTCATATTTGAGATAATAGCTTTTAATTTCCATTCATGACCTCCCAAAAGCACTGTGAGAGATGTGACCATCTTGCATGCTCAGGCTCCTCTTCCATAAAGATGAACGTTGGTAGGCTATGGGACTGCCCCATGAGCACAGTTAGAAGTTCAATTGGAAATCACTATCCCTGAATTTTCTATCTTAGAAATTGTCCATTACAAAAAAAAAAAGAAAGAAAAGAAAAAAGTGGTGTTTTTTGTTTTCTAATATCAGATTGTGAAAGCAGGATTAGCCTACAGAAATCATTATCATTTTTCCAGTTTCCTTCATAGTTTGTGGTCACCTTTTCTATCTTGCCTTTTTAATTTCCCCTTATTCACTCCAAACTTATATCCTGTTTCATTCACGCTCAAGCAAACAAGACACATACTAAGATAGCTTAACATTTACATGGGGATGGCAGCTCGAAGGGGAGCTGCCTTACCCCATAGCAGACAGTGCTAGCGGGTTACAGCACTCTTTTCACCTAGCCCAGATGAAGCCCTCTGAATCCTTCTCACTCCCTAAGACTAGTACCAATTGATTTGGGATTAAACCTCTTCGTCATCTCCAGTTTTGAGCACAGTCCCTCTAACCTTTACCCAACCTTAGCAGGTAAGATTGGGTTTCTGAGATTCAGGTTCCTCTCTTGTAAAATGAGGATCGTATAATTGCTCCACATTTAGTCCATAATGAGAATTTATATAAAAATATTATTCAGTATATAGGATGATTGTTATTGTCTTTAATATCATATGGTGGTTTTTTACTCCACTCATTTTAGTTTTTCTCATCATGACTAGCTTTTCCCTTCAGACAATTCTGGCCTGCCTTGTATTCTGACCTGCCTTGTATACAGTAGCGCATCATCTAGCACAGTGCCCACACATAATTTATTCTCAAAAAATGTCACCCCCTCACCTCATTCCTTACTCTTGGTAATATTACTCATTGATCAACTGTTGGTGTTCACAGTGCATTCAACACTACCATCTGCCCTAGTTAAATAAAATTACAAAGCATAAAATCTCAAAGGATTTTAAAACAGCATCTTGACTGGCTTCAGTACTCATTCATCCACAAGTCTCTGCAACATTCTTGCCCTTACAGAGCAAAAACCCCAGAGAGAAGTGTGTCAGTGGCAGGGGCAGCTAGGCCTTCTTCTCCCTAAGAGGATGGTGATGGTGATTATGGTCATTATGGTAATAAGCATTGATTGAGCACTTCCTCCGTGCCAATCATCAGTCACCAATCTTGCTAACAACCATCTGTGATAATATTTTCTTCACCTTAGACATCAGGAAATTGGCAGAGAGGTTAAACAATGTGCCATGTTTGAAGGGCTTTGAAATATAAGTTTATGATAAAATACAATTAGCTAAAACAAAGCCTTGAAAACCATGCCAAATATCTAAACGAGCATTTCACCCAGAGTCATCCTTGATTGGAACAACGACAAGCCTAAGTAGATGAAGGCAAGCCAGTACAGTCTATGCATAAAAATGCAAATTAAGGCAAGGATATCCACTGCTTTGTTGTCATGTAACTGATGGTTGATCTTTCATAGAAGATAGTTTATATCCATCACATTATAAAAGTAAATGTATGTATTGCTGTCTGGTGATGCTACAAAGCTTTTGTTTATGTTTGGAAAATAGTAAATGAAAAGTGGCAAAGACCACATGAAAGTACCAGTAGAGGTATCCTGAAACACCGTGCAAGAACAAAGCTCCCTCAGATATATAAATTTGGAGATGTGGAGCCTGCAGTCAGAGCTGATACCTGAGCTCTCTTATAGGAAGGAACAGCAGTGTGAAGGAACTCAACATGACTAGTCAATGCTTGCTGGATTGGGCCTTGGTGCTACTTCTCACCACTACTGCATTCTCTCTGGACTGTCACTTTCAAAGGTGCAAGGGCAACTGGGAGATTTTAGAACATTTAAAAAACCTAGGAGAAAAATTTCCTCTGCAATGTCTAAAGGACAGGAGCAACTTCAGATTCTTCCAGGTTTCTAAAAGTAACCTGTTTTCAAAGGAAAATGCCCTCATTGCCAAATAAGAAATGTTACAGCAGATATTCAACACTTTCAGCCTTAATGTCTCCCAATCTTTTTGGAATGAAAGCAGCTTGGAGAGATTCCTAAGTAGACTTTATCAGCAAATAGAGAAGACAGAGGTGTGTTTGGAGCAGGAAACCAGGAAAGAGGGCCGTTCACTCTTGCAAAGGGGGAATACCATATTTAGACTAAAAAATTATTTCCAAGGGATTCACAACTACTTACACCACCAAAATTATAGCAACTGTGCCTGGGAGGTCATCCATGTTGAAATCCGAAGGGGTCTACTATTTATTGAACAGTGCACAAGAAGACTCCAATACCAAGAAACAGGTTATTTACATAAATAACTAATTTGGAGTTGGTTACTAGTACCACTTCAGATGTCTCCAGAAATCTGTTTGATATTTTTAAGCAACTTTTAATTCGGTTTCTGTGACTTAAGATAATATTTTCGTCAATTTTCTGGATTAAAAAAATTATTTGAATCACAAATACTAATTTATCAAAAGATTTATCATATTAAATAGTATTAAAACATTAATATTAGAAGATTGTATATTTATACATAAAGTATTTTTTAAATTAAATATATTCTTTTATTTGGTTTTATAATCAATTTTTATTTTAATTTCATGGGTACATGTTCAGGATATGCATGTTTGTTACACAGGCAAACATGTGCCATGGCGGTTTGCTGCACAGATCATTCCATCACCTGGGTATTAAGCCCAACATTCCATTAGCTGTTCTTCCTGATGCTCTCCCTCCTTCTCCTTACCCTCCAACAGGCCCCAGTGTGTGTTGTTCTCCCCAATATGTCCATGAGTTCTTATCATTCAACTCCCACTTACAAGTGAAAACATGTGGTATTTGGTTTTCTGTTCCTATGTTAGTTTGCTAAGGATAGTGGCCTCCAGCTCTATCCATGTCCCTGCAAAGGACATGATCTCATTCCTTTTTATGACTGCACAGTATTCCATGGTGTATATGTACCACATATTTTCTTTATCCAGTCTATCATTGATGGGCATTTAGGTTGATTCCATGTCTTTGCTATTGTGGATAGTGTTGCAATGAACATATGCATGCATGTATCTTTAAATAGACTGTGTAATCAATATCTTTTAAGTTCAGTATTCTTATAACTTTACTCAAAGAATAATTTTCAGACTGCTTCATTTGATAGAGAAAATATTAAACTATTTTTAGGGTTATCACTATCCAGAGGGAAAGGCTATCTTTTTTATTTTATTTTATTTTATTTTTTTATGAGAAGGAGTTTCACTCTTGTTGCCCAAGCTGGAGTGCAATGGCACAATCTTGGCTCACTGCAACCTCCACCTCCAGGGTTCAAGCGATTATCCTGCCTCAGTCTCCCAAGTAGCTGGGATTACAGGCACGTGCCACCGTGCCCAGCTAATTTTTTGTATTTTTAGTAGAAACAGGGTTTCACCATGTTAGCCAGGCTGGTCTCGAACTCCTGACCTCAGGTAACCTGCCTACCTCAGCCTCCCAAAGTGCTGGGATTACAGGCATGAGCGACTGTGCCCTGCGGGGAAAGGCTACCTTTTAAATGCAGACAGATTATAGGACTATCAGCCTGATAAAGATTATGGCTATGATTAAAAACTTCGCAGTTCCTGTTCTCAATAAATCCTACACTTGAGCTAGGGAAACAGCAACAAGTGTTCCACCTGGAACCATCCCAATCCTCAGCATGCCCATTTGAAATTCTGGATGTTTTATGTGGTTTCCTAGAAGAATGAGAACACAGAAAGGCATGGGACAAAGGTGATGGCAGATATGGAAAACAGAAGGAAAGGGAGTGTCTTAGTCAGTTTGCACTGCTATAACAAATTATCATTAATGGGGTAGCTTATAAACAACAGAAATTTCTCACAGTTCTGAAGGGCTGGAAAGTCCAAGAGGAAGGTGCCAGCAGATTCCGTGTCTGGTGAGGGCTGGCTTTCTGACTCATAGACAGCTGTCTTTTCACTACCTCCTTATGTGGTGAAAAGAGCAAACAAACTCCCTTTGGTCTTTTTCATAAGGGCACTAATCCCATTCATCAAGGCTCCACCCTCATGACTTAATCACCTCCCAAGAGGCCCCACCTCCTAATACTATCACTTTGGGGGTTAAGATTTTAAGATATGAATTTTGGGGGAACATAAAATTGGGAGGACAAAGCAGGGAGAAAGATGAGGCAGAAATTCTTGAGATGCACTCCTACCAGCCTTCTCTCTCACACTAAGTAGAGATACCCTAGAAGAGGCCACTCCCTCTTCTTAGACTTCCTGTTATCTCCTCCCCACTTCAATCCCCCACCTAAGTCCACTAACAATAAATCATAAATTATCAACGTGTGTTCATTTAGTGTTGTCTTCAAGCCTCTGTGAAGCTTGGGACTACATTCTCAGTATCAATTTATTCTGTGTTTTTGTTTTTATTTTCATGTTTCTAGGTGGAATTGACAACTAACTAACTTCAGTTTTAAAAACAGAGCGAAAAGATTCTCTTCTTTGGTGAGTGACTGAATGAGAAACAAAATGATTGCTTAGCTAACAAGATACCTTCCTTTGCACAAGAAACCAATTATTTACAATTGGTTCGTAAATAACAATTAGTAAATTGTAAACCAATTATTTACAATTTACAACCAGGCGTGTACATTTCTCTGAGTGAGGTTGAATTTAAATGTACTGATTAACATCATTATTTTTTAAACTCTACAATAACTCCTTTTAGAAAAAAAATATTTCTAAAATGTTGCCACTTATCTTCTATGTTATGTATCATTAAATCTTAGTCACATGTATTTCCTTAAAGAAGGGAACTCCTATAATCCGCAGCTGAACCTAGGTCATTGTGCCCATTGTTAAGCCATTTTCCTTGTCTAAGATACTGTCCCACTTCATTCAAGAGCAGCTCTAACCAACAGGAGTTTCTGCAATAATGGAAAGGTTCTCTTTGCTGTCCAATATAGTAGACATTAGCCCTGTAGCTTTTAAGCACTTGAAGTGTAGGTAGTATGACTGAGAAATTGATTTTGAAGTTTTATTTAATTTTATTAATTTAAATTTAAGTAGCACATGGACTAGTGGCTATCACACTGGACACCCCGGTTCTGGATTCCCAAGGATTCTTGGGTGAGAGGGAGGACATAGGAGAAGGCAACTTCTTGAATCTGTCTTGGTTCCTTCTTGATGTAAAACACAATGTCCATAATACAGCATGTCTCAAATTACTTAGACTAGAATGGGTTGTTCCCTTCAGGCAATCCCTGATCACTTTATATAATTGTAACCCTCTACACCCTATCACTGTTCATCCTGTGTGTCTGCTTTATTTCCATCTGATAAAAAAATAAATTCTACTTATTTGTTTACTGCCTGTCTTCTCCCAATAGAACATAAGCTTCATAAAGACAGGCATTTTTGTCTACTTTGTTCAGTTATGTATATGTATACATACACATACATATGTCATGCCAGACCCCTATTAAGATCAGTAGGGATGGGAGTAGGTTTATGACGCCAAAGGAGAAACCAGAGCCAGAAAACAAGACATAGGGGTTTGGGGGTTGGTTTTTGTTTGTTTGTTTGTTTGTTTGTTTGTCTATTTGTTTTTCTGTTCCCAGAGACATAGAGTTTTATTAGCAGGCAACTTACATAAAGGGATGGCCCAGTGGTGGCAGGCTGGCCAGAGAAAAACATGCAGTTCATATAGCATTTTCTCTTAGCACTCTTCCCACAACAACCTCTACCTGGCAACCTTCATTTAACCCAAAACAAATGGCCTTGCTGCCCTGTATTAAACATGATCCACAAGACAGGCCAGGGATTTAGATGTTCCTCATAGACGAGGAATGAATTTTCAGATTGGCCATTCCTGGATTCCTTAGCTCAGAACTCCAAACACATATTCAGGTGCATCTGCCATACAGGGCATTCTCAAGGTGTGCTTAAGTTATCACTATCAGGTGCATATACCATACAGCATACACATAACAAATGGATGGCCATGCTCAGCAAGCCCATATCCCTGTTGTATGACTATTGATCCACCTGCCTCAGTAAAGGATAGTCTATACCATCAGCAAATTACGACAGGATGATTGAGTGGATCTACCATGTTTTTAGGGCCTCTGGGCCTCCGGAAAAGATTCTTTAATTTGGTCTTTGGGAAATAAAGAATTAATAGAACCCCAAAAAACAAACAAACCAAAAATACACTACAGTTGCTCTCTGAGGCTTACTAAACAGCTACTATAGACACATTGCATGGACACTTATAGTCTACTATAGAGCAATTTATATTCTGCATCAAAAGTCTATGGCTTAATTTAATCATCAATTCTTTCTCCCTAAGGTAAAGGGGTTCCACTATGGCTACGCATTAGAGCCCACTATGGAGTTTCCGAAATGTCTCCAGAATTTCCAGAGGTGAGGCCCAGACATGCAGAGTTCTGTGAAGCTAGAAATGAAACCCCGTTCCCTAAATGAAAAACTTCTTCTCAAATGGCAAATGTGGGTCCCATACTTGGCGTCCTTTTTTTACATCCATGAACTGTTTCCCCATCATCTGAGGTATTCTCTGACCTCCATTGCCTCTGTGCCCAAATATCATGACATGAATTTTCTGGACTTGAGCAATGGCATCCCACTTACCCTGTGCTGGATTGACTTTTCCTCATATTTCCTTATGTGTGATGCCTTCCATACCTATGCTTGGGCAGGTGTTTCTCTTTGCCACCTGCCTTTCTGTGATAGTTCTGGAGTTTTTTTTTGCATCAGTGGTTGTATTAGTCCATTTTCATACCGCTGTAAATAGCTACCTGAGTCTGGGCAATTTACAAAGAAAAGAAGTTTAATTGACTCACAGTTCCACAGGCTTAACAGGAAGCATGACTGGGAGGCCTCAGGAACCTTAGAATCAAGGCAGAAGGTGAAGAGGAAGCAAGGATCTTCTTCACGTGGTGGCAGGAGAAAGAGAGAGAGAAAGGAGAAGTTACACACTTTTAAACTATCAGATCACATGAGAACTCACTCACTATGATGAGAAGAGCAAGGGGGAAATCAGCCCCCATGATCCAGTCACCAACTACCAGGCCCCTCCTCCAATTCCACATGAGATTTGGGCAGGGACACAAATTCAAACCCTATCGGTGGTTCAAAAAACTTAAGTGTGTAAGAACTACCTGGGGAGTTTGCTGAGCCAGTTTCCTGGAGCCTATGCCCAGAGATTCTGGGTTACCAGAATGGGATAGAACCCATGACTTTGCTTTTTTTTTTTTTTTTTTTTTTTTTTTTTTTTTTTTTTGAGACAGAGTCTCACTCTGTCATCAGGGACCAGGGCTGGAGTGCAGTGGCACAATCTCAGCTCACTGCAACCTCCACCTCCTGGGTTCAAGTGATTCTGCTGCCTCAGTCTCCCAAGTAGCTGGGATTACAGGCGCGTGCTACCATGCCTGGCTATTTTTTGAATTTTTAGTAGAGACGGGTTTCGCCATCTTGGCCAGGCTGGTCTTAAACTCCTGGCCTCAGGTGATCTGCTCACCTCGGACCCCCCAGAGTGCTGAGATTATAGGTATGAGCCATTGCTCCCAGCCCTGACTTTGCATTTCTAACAAGCTCACAGGTGTTAAAGGAAACTAAATATGGCCTGAGAAGGACTTGTATATTTGGGTTCTTGTGGATGAACTGTAACCTATCTTAATAGTCAGACAACATTGAAAACCTAGCTTAGGAGTAAGTTAATTTAACCATCAATTATTTCTCCCTAAGGCAAAGGGGTCCCACTATGGCTATGCAATAGAACCCACTGTAGAGTTTCCAAAAGATCTAGATCTCCAGAATTTCCAGGGGTGAGGCCTAGACATGCAGAGTTCTGTGAAGCCAGAAATGAAAACCCCTGCTCTAAATGAAAAAGTTTTTCATTGCGCCTATAACAATAACAGTCCTGGCCAATCCCAGTGGCCATACTTCAACCACTCATAGACTGCTAAGTGTTCAAACTGTGTTCAAATAAGGCAAACACCACCCTGTAACCAATCCAGCTATTTCTGTACCTCACTGCCAATTTCTGTATGTCAATTCCCTTTTTTTTGTCTGTAAGTCTTCTTCCACCACATGGCTGCACTGGAGTCTCCGCGAATCTGCTGTGATTCTGGGGGCTGCCCGATTCACGAATAGTTCATTGCTCAATTAAACTCCTTTAAATTTAATTCAGCTGAAGTTTTTCTTTTATCACAGGTGAAACCCACACTTTGAGAACCACTGCTCTTAGGCAGTGCTCAGCCCACTTTGATGTGGATACAAATCACCTGGGGATCTTGTTAACATACAGGTTCTGATTCAGTACACCTGGAATGGGGCTTGAACTACTGTATATTGAATTAAGGCTCAGGTAATGTTTGATACTACAGTGCTGGTCTGGAGAACACATTTTGAGTATCCAGGATTCCAGGGGGTTCACCTATGGTCACTTGGCAGCATGGGGAATAGAACTGGCCACATTTTTCTTTCTGCTCTGTCAATGTTGTGGATTGAATTCTATCCCCAAAAAAGATATGTTAAAGTCCTAACCCTGGGTACCTTATTTAGAAAAAAGGTATTTGCAAATATTATCAAGTTAAAATGAAGCCATGCTGGATTAGGATATACCCTAATGCAATGACTGGGGTTCTTATAAGAAAAGGGAAATCTGGATGCAGACACACAGAAGAGAATGCCATGTGAAGACAGAGGCAGAAATGGGAATGAAGCATGTATAAATGAAGTGACACCAAGGGCTGCCATGAGCCACTAGAAGCTAGGAAGAAGCAAGGAAGGATCACCTGCTAAAGTCTTCAGAGAGACCGTGGCTCTGCCAACACCTTAATTTGGGACTTCTGGCCTCTGGAACTGGAAGACAAAGAAGTTCTGTTGTTTTAAGCCACCCAGCTCCCTAGGAAACAAATATAGTCACACAGCTCGGTGATCACATACTGACCCAACATACTGCTCAGTAACCACATACTGACCCAACCCACCTCAGGACCAGCAGTGGGCTCGCATGGATCATGACATTCTCCCACAGTCCCATAGTCTTCCATATTCCCACAGTCAGGTTTTCTTTTTTTAATTTGCTGATCTGTCTCACTACATTGAAAAGAAGACACATCTTCGTGACCTTGTTTTGAATGAAGAGAAAAAGAGAGTTTCTAAGAAAAGCCCACCTACTGAGAGATGGTACTCCTGGCAGCAATCAATTTTTTTTTTATGTGTGATCTTTTAGTGCTTCCACCTTTCAAATGTTTTCTTTGCTAGAGGCCTTCAGAAACATCTCATGGATTTTTCAAAATCTTCAAAAGCTTTTGTTTATTTGTCAGTAAGTTTAATAAAAAATATATGCCATATGTAATTTATAAGATTTAAGAATTAGGCTATAATAAAATACAGTAGTAAAAGTGACAATAATTTGATATTTTTTAAATGTTTCAGAAAGTATTTTCAAATTCTACCTATGGTAACTGAGGATACATACCCTAGAAATTAATTTTCACACAGAAAAAATGTATCCATAGCAATACTCAGAAATGTATAGTTAAATATTGCATAGCAAAGAATGCACAGTATTTAAGAAGCTTTTCCCTTATAACTAAGAGAGCTCATCAAAATTCGGGGGCATGTGCTTAAATATATTAGGTGAGTGCAAAAGTAATTGCGGTTTCTGCATTGTTGGCATTTGCCATTTGATATAGGAATACATTCTTAAATGAATGTGGTTATGTTACACATCATTTTAATGGGCATTTGTCACTTTAGGTTTTTTGCTAATGACTTATTACTCATTGTTTATTTTATGTTTATTTTAGACTATGAAAGTGATGTTGGACAAAAAACAAGTTCAAGCAATTTTCTTATTCAAGTACAAAATGGGTGGTAAAGCAGCGGTGTTTGCAACATTGACAATGCATTTGGCCCAGGAACTGCTAATGAATGTAGTGCAGTGGTGGTTCAAGAAGTTTTGCAAAAGAGAGGAGAACCTTGAAGGTGAGGAGCGTAGTGGCCAGTCATCGGAAGTTGACAACAAATTGAGAGTACTCATCGAAGCTGATCCTCTTACAACTACACAAGAAGTTGCCGAAGAACTCAATGTCAGCCATTCTACAGTTGTTTGCCATCTGAAGCAAACTGGAAAGGTGACAAAGTTCAATAAGTGGGTGCCTCATGAGCTGACCAAAAATTTTTAAAAATCATCATTTTGAAGTGTCGTTTTCTTATTCTATGCAACAACAACAAACCATTTCTCCACTGGATTGTGACATGCGATGAAAAGTGGGTTGTATATGACAACTGGCAATGACCAGATCAGTGGTTGACCCAGAAGAAGCTTCAAAGCACTTCCCAAAGCCAAACTTGCACCAAAAAACGGTCGCTGTTTGGTGGTCTGCTGCCCGTCTGATCCACTACAGCTTTCTGAATCCCAGTGAAAACATTACATCTGAGAAGTATACTCAGCAAATCAATGAGACGCACCAAAAACTGCAATGCCTGCAGCCCGCATTGGTCTACAGAAAGGGCCCAATTCTTCACGACAACACGTGACTGCATGTCCCACAACCAACGCTTCAAAAGTTGAGTGAATTGGACTAAGAAGTTTTGCCTCATCCACCATATTCACCTGACCTCTTGCCAACCGACTACCACTTCTTCAAGCATCTCAACAACTTTTTGTAGGCAAAATGCTTCCACAAGCAACAGGATGCAGAAAATGCTTTCCAAGAGTTTGTCAAATCCTGAAGCATGGATTTTTAAGCTACATGAATAAACTTATTTTTCATTGGCAAAAATGTGTTGATTGTAATGGTTCCTATTTTGATAAATAAAGATGTGTTTGAGCCTAGTTATAACGATTTAAAATTCATGGTCCAAACTGCAGTTACTTTTGCACCAACCTAATACTTAAGTTTCTTAGTTTTGAATCCAGTCATTGATAACTACAACAAGGAGAGGCAGTGTGAGAAGGAATGAGTACATGACTTGGGTCAGAAAATCTGGCTTGCAGTATGTATCAGGTGTGGACAGCTCTATGTCATGTGACTAGACAGTCAATCCCTCTGAAGCTCCAGTTTCCTTAAGTCTGAAACTAGACTAATAATATTTACCTTTCCTACTCATTAGGAAGATCAAGTGAGATACAGCATATAAAAGTACTTGGGAAAATGTTAAATAAAATGTGAAATCTCCTACCAAAATACATTTAAATTAAATCTCCTACAAAAAAATACATTTAAAGATAATTCAAGAAACTATTATTGCATTGTTTGCCACTTAAATATTTTAAACCCTAACAAAGCCTAATCAACTGCAACATATTTATTTAAGAAGCAAGTTACTGGTTTAAGAAGGACAATTTTGTTCCACCATAACTACTATGAGGATGAGGTGATACCTGTTTCATTAAGAAAAAGTTAACATGTCAATTTCTATTGATTAGTAGCAAAAATATTTTAGCACCAAAGTGAGTGTGCCATCCTTGCAAATTATATAGTTTAATCAATAATTTATTAAATTTTAGCAACAATGAGCCAAGCACCATGCTAACACCACACACACACACACACACACACACACACACACACACACACAGTGATGGGTGATTTGGGGTGTCGACTTAATTAAGGGATACCCAGATAGCTGGTAAAGCATTATTTACTCTGAATCATTGCATTAATCACCCTCAATGCTTCAGTGAGCTCTTCTGCTGAAAGAGAAAGCAGATGGTTTGGCATTTGACTAGAATGATTGGGCTGCCCCAGGTGTGTCTGTGAGGGTTTTTTCAGACGAGACTCGTGTGTGAGTCTGCAGACAGTGGGAAAGATCTGCCTTCAGCATAGACAGGCACCATCCAATCAGCTGGGGGCCCAGATGGAATAAAAAGGTGGAGGAAGGGCAAATTCTTGTTCTCTCTTCCAGAGCTGGGACACCTTTTTTCTCCTATTCTTGGATGTCGGAAGTCCAGGTTCTCCAGCTTTTGAATTCTGGGAGTCACACCAGCAGCCTCCCAGCCCCGTAGCTCTCTGGCCTCGGACTGACAGTTGCATCATTGACTTGCCTGGTTCTGAGGTTCAGACTTGGATGAACCACACCCCCGGCTTCCCTGGTTCTCCAGCCTGCAGACAGCCTATCACCAGACTTCTCAGCCTCCATAGTCAAGTGAGAATTTCCCCTAATAAGCCCCTTCCCATATATTTCTCTACATGTCCTATTGTTTCCTGGAAGAACTGTAACACACCAAACAAAGTATGACTTCTTCCCCACCACAATGCTGTGAAGTTAGAACAAATATTTCACAGACAAGAAAACTAGGGCTTAAAAGGATGAATGAGCACCTCACTCAATGTCTCTTAGGCACTAACTCTAACTTGATCATTATATTCATATTGTTTTTGAAAACACTTTAACATTTTTGACAATAAATCATTATGGCTTAGTTATCATCTTAAAGATTTTTCTCTTCAGTTCATCACCCATCGATGTTATCTGCTTCTAAACTATACTCTAACACCTGTGAGGATTGCATCCTCAAGATCTTCTGCAACACCCCAACACTGGTGTTGTGTATATTTTCCCATATACACATAAAGGGCAGGTCCATCCAGCACTACCAAGCCCATTTAGGGGCCTGTACACTGAGCTTGGGAAGCTAGGCTTACACAGCCCTGCACTCAGCCTCCCAGCCTGTGTGTACAATTCAAGTTTGTACCTTGATGAAATCACAAACATCTTAAAGGTATCTCTCAAATCAAAGCCAAACAAGCTAAATGCCTAATCACCAAAGATCTTCAACACAGTATGCTTCTAGGTGAGCTAACAATTTTCCTATTAGAAAATTTCTGATGTTCAAAGAAACTCTTGAAGACATTCCTTCTCTGAGAGAGAAGGAACCTTAGTTCAGGAACAGCAGAGCCAAGAAGGTGAGGACACATCCCTCTCCTGTGTATTCCTTGGCATCCTTCCCTTACCCCCTCTCACGATAATATCCTGTCTTTATTTCGTAAGCAAATTTAGTCATTTATTTTCCACAGCATTCTTTCCCTGGGTCTTCAAACATGCATAGCTTCCCAAGTGTGGAGAAAAACTTTGATAGTAATATCCACAATTTTCCTGGAGTATGGTTCTTTACCATCCCCAAGGAGTTGTTATGGGGTTACCTGGCAGTATTCTCAATAGCAGCTGTTTCAAACAACATTAAACCCCAGTTCATGAGTAGCTGCTCCTCACCTTGTATTGTGCTGGGTGGGGGTGAGGATACAAAGGTTCCTGTACTCGGAAAGCTGGAAGGGTGATAAGGAGGCACACATACAAACAGTATAGTTTATGAAATATGGAAAGCCTGAAATGAAAATGAGGACCCAAGAAGGAGAAGGAGATATGGTAGTGGACAGCAGCGGAGCACTGAGGGCTCAACAGCAGGAAGTGGTTAACAACTGGCAGAAAAGCCAGGAAGATGAGGTCTGAAAAGCATGCCATGCTTGGCTGTAAATGGAAAGAGAGAGATAAGGTAATGGCTGGAGCAGAAGGCACAGATAAGGGAAAGAGCCTTTAGTTGCATCTTAACCTGCCCTGAGGATGATAGATTCAATTGCTTTAACATGAAGATCTTCCCCTATGGCTGACAGCTGCCATGGAAAATGAAATGGTGATGGATGGGTATCTGAATAGCTTCAGATGTAATTAAGTTGCAGGGGGGAACATCCTGTGGGACGCAGACTGGAATTTTAGATTAGTGTAAATGCAAGCCAAACCTTCTGTTTAGTTAATACTGCCTTCTAGAGTTCTGAAGCAAATTTTAATTCAGCATTTGTAAAACAGTACATATGTGAAAGCACTGTTCAATCATTTGAGTAGGCCTGAGTTAAAATACTAGCTTTACCACTTGCTAGCAGTGCTAACTCTGGGTAACTCAGATCATCTGTGTTCCAGTTTCCTCATCTGTAAAATGGAAATAATAAACAGTACTCCCATTGCAGCTTTGTTGGAGGAGCAAATTAGTTAACCCACATAAAGTGTTCAGAATAGTGACTAGCAAGAGTCAACCCTCAATATATTTAGCTATAGTTGGCATTATAATTATTACCATCATTTGCTCTTATATTGATCAGTTTCTATCAAAGTCATTTTACAGATGAGGCAAATTGGCTTCACATGAGTAAATGATTTTCTTTGTGCCCAATCCCAAGCCAGAATTACAGCAAAATTTCCAAACTTCCACTCATACACAGCCTAGTCTCTGTTAAATATGAACAAACCTTTACATGAAGGGCATTACAATTGCAAAGCAGTCTAATTATTTTTACATAAGAATTGAAGCAATAAAAAAAATTAGGCTCAGGTTCATTTCGTCATACCTGCACTGGATCACAAGGTCTACAAAAGTTAAAACAAATTAATTGTATTGGAGGAAAAAATAACAGTAAAAGAAATTAAAAGGAAGAAATGTTGATATCTGGTAAAATATCCAACCTGATATCATTCATAAGCAGCCCTAAGTTCTGTGGGGCCTTGAAAGGGCTATGATATGAATATCAACAGAACAGCAAATCAGTACTAAGTTTTCATGTAAGAAACACACCAAGGAAGCCATTTTCATGATTTTCATTTTGTAGGGAGTCACAACACTCCTCTCCATCCTCGAAATGCCAGCACTTAGCACCTCACTTGGCACAAAATTTGTGTGTGACAATGTGGGTTTGAATTGAGTGGAAAAGTAAGTTAAAGAGTTGAAAATGATCTAAATCTCCTTTGAAAACGGACAGAAGTATACCATCCACTATAATACAGAAAATAAAATGGAAACATTCAATGATTCATAATCTGTAACAATAGAGATGATTCTAAAGAGATAAGACAAAAATCAGGTATATTAAGGATTGGAATGCACCAAATAATTACAACTTATAGATTTATTTTTATGCTATGCATAAACTAAGACAGGAATAATTTAGTTTTCCAAAGGTCAAATGGTGGGAAAAAGTAGGGGAAATGAAGAGAGATAGGGAACAACACTCACATGGATGTGGGTCCTACACAAACTATAGCAACATTCATAAATATCAAGTTCCCATTTCAAGAGCTCTTGAGGGGATCCATGCAGAATAAGGTTTATTTATAACTGCGACTAAGTTCTTGATAAAGGAGTAAATAGTATTAGTGTTTCATTTTGAAAATCAGAAAAGTGTATACTATATTTTACAACTTCTATAAGAAATCTTTACTTTTTTAAAGATTCCTGTGATTGAAGTTTAAGTGTCAGTTATATAGAGAGTTCACCTGTATAACAATTCTGGATTGGATGGAATAATTGGTATCGCACTGTAAATGATGATAGAACTTGACAATAAATCAACTCTATAAATCTTTCAGGCACTGGACAAGAAACAGTCCACGGCTATGGTCCCTGAGAGAAGGATAACACCAGCTTTCTGCCTAGGGGAAGTTTCCAAGCCATGGCACAGGGAAGTGAATTCCTATTGGAAAGCAGCACTCCTGCTGGAGAGAGAAAACAAATATTGGAGTTCAAGGCGGCTGAAGAGGCTAGAAGTGTGCTATTAGAAATTAGAAAGAGCCATGCAGTGATGGATCTCCAGATGTCTTCATAGGTGTCCTCTAGTGTCTTTTGCCAAATGCTAACCTATGCAATCACAAGGCAGGGATCTGCAATGCCTGGCTGACAGCAGCTACTAGAAGCTGAGAGCCACACAGAGACTCCAGAGGCTTTTCCACAGAGAAAGGTGTGGCAGTTCCAATCAGCCAAAAAAGAAAGACTTTACTGAAGACCCTGCTTATTTAGTTGAGACCTGAGACAGGTCATGTTTTAGAAGGGCTACTCTAACGCAAGGCTAATGGCCGCTCTACATCTGCCCTAAGCAAAAACAAGCTTGGGCAGGATCAAGCTGCCTGACAGTAAATCAACTGCCTGCTAGCACAAAATCCAATATTTTTAAAAGTATAACAAAATCCAGAAATGGTATGAGACGAAAAGAGAATCTATGTGACAGAATGAAGAGTTTCAGAAATTGTACACAAGTGGGTAAAGATTTCCTCCTCATTTTAAAATTTATATAAAAGGCAATTGACTTTCTAAAACAAAAACTAGGCCAGGCGCGTTGGCTCACGCCTGTAATCCCAGCACTTTGGGAGGCCGAGGCGGGCGGATCACAAGGTCAGGAGATCGAGACCATCCTGGCTAATACGGTGAAACACCGTCTCTACTAAAAAAATACAAAAAATTAGCCGGGCGTTGTGTCGGGCGCCTGTAGTCCCAGCTACTCGGGAGGATGAGGCAGGAGAATGGCGTGAACCCGGGAGGCGGAGCTTGCAGTGAGCCGAGATCGCGCCACTGCACTCCAGCCTGGGTGACAGAGCGAGACTCCGTCACAAACAAACAAACAAACAAAACTAAAATTTATTGTTTTATATGTAGAAGCAAAATGTATGACAGAATACAGAAATAGCAGAAATTAGGAAAGTGAACAAATGGAATTTTGTTGCAAGTTTCTTAAAATACAGCGAATGTGATGTGCTATAATATTCAGTGTATGTTATGATTATGATACATCTGATAATTCCTAGAGAGATCATTAAAAGAATCAAAATTGTAGCTAAAAAGCCAATAGAAGAAACAAAATGGGATTCCCAAAAGTACTTGATAATTCCAAAAATGTCAGGCAAGGAGGAAAAAAAAATTAAACAGGTAAATAGAAAATAAATAGCAAAATGGTAGATATTAACCCAATCATCGCGATGATTGCCTTAAGTGTAAACTAAATAATTAAAAGGCAGAGATTGGCAACTAGATTAAAAAAAAATAAAACCCAGCTGTGTGCTGTTTATAAGAGACACACGCAAAATGTTAGAAAAATGCTAAAAGTAAAGGAATAGGACCAGATATAACATGCAGTCACTTGTCATAAGAAAACTTTAGAGTAACTATTAGTGTCAAACAAAGTAGACTTCAAGCCTAATATACTGGCAAACAAATCTATCAACACATGAAAACGATGACACATCTTGACTAAGTGTGAGGTTCGGTCCAGTAATGCAAGCTTGCTTCATCACATTAACAAATATAATCTCAATAGATGCAGAAAAGTCCTTTGATGAAATTCCATACCTATTCCTGATTAAAAACAAAAAAAACTCTCAGCAAACTAAGAATAGAAGAAAATCTCCTTAATCTAACAGAATATCTACAAGGCTTCAACTGCTAACTTCATACTTAATGAAGAAAAAGACTTAATGATTTCTCCCTAAGAACAGAAATAAAGCAAGGATGTCCACTCTTACTACTTCTATTCAACATTTTATTGTGGATTGTATCCAGAGTAATAAGCATGTAAAAGAAATAAAAGGCATAAAGACCTGGAAGAAAGAAATAAAACTCACTTTCTTCACAGATGGCATAACCTCATTCTAAGGAATTTAACAAAATTAAGTACTAGAACTAGTAGAATCTTAGCAGAATACAAGGTCAATATCCAAATAATTGTCCTCTAAAAGAAAAAACAGGCAAATATTTTTGCCAATCTTAGGGTAGGTAAATATTTCTTAGAGATGACACAGAAAATGCTAATCATAAAGAAAAATCAAACTTTATCAAAATTAAAACTTCTTTTCATCAAAAAATACCATTAAGAAAATGAATCTGTCAGAATCTGAGTTAAAAAATGAATAGTTGTATATTATAATATATGCACAATACATACATCTGACAAAGGCCTTGTATTCATATTATACGAATTCTTATACTTCAATAATAAGACATACAACCCTATAAAATGGAGAAAACACTTGAAGAGACACTGCACAAAAGAAGATATATAAATGGTTAAATAAGCACATGAAACCACACTTAACATACTTCATCAGGGAAATGAAATTAAAATTGCAATGATATACTATTATATACCTATGGAATGGCTAAAATTAAAAACACTGATATATTACCAAGGATGTGGAACTCTCATTCATCATTAGTGGGTATGTAAGTGATACAATTACTCAGGAAAACTATTTGGCAGTTTCTTATTAAATATATATATATATATATTTACCCTATAATTCAACAATTCCATTCCTAAATATTTACCTAAGAGAAGTGAAAACAAATTTCTACAAGTAGACTTGTACAAGGATGTTACTAGCTTTCTTCATAATATTTTCAAATTGAGAACAATCCAACTGTCTATCAAGAGAATGGAGAAACAAATTGTGTTATATTCATAAAATGGAATACTACTCACCAAGAAGATGAACCACTGATACATGCAGCAGCTTGGAGGAATCTCGAAAACATTATGCTCAACAAAAGCCAAATATGAAAGAGTACATAATGAGCCCACTTATAGGTTTCAGAACAGACAAAACAAATCTGTAGTGATAGAAATAAGTCACAAGGAAGGGACATGTGACAGGAACCAGTCAACTGAGAAGACATGAAGAACTTTCTGGGGCAACGGAAATGTTCTATATATTCATGAGGAGTGAGTTATCTTGGGTATACGCTTTTTTTCAAAACTCATTGAATTTTATATTCAAGATTTTTGCATTTTACTATACGGAAATGATGCTAAATTTAAAAAGGAAAAAACATTAAATGGGCCAACTTATTCCCTGAAGATGGCCTACTGTCAATAGTATTTGAAACTGTGATATTTATTTTGTGACTAATGACCATCTTGCAACTGTTTGTGTGTATTTCTTGCGGTGTGTAAATCACTGTTTTACAAAAATGGGATGGAACGGTATGATGCATATATTCTACCTGGTCATATCTCGTTTTTTCACCAAATTTCACCAAATGCGCTGGATTGGTGCTAACTCATTTTATCCCTATTAGCAGAAAGTGTTACAGCTTCTTAAATTTTTTGCCAACTTGATGGATGTAAAATATGCTATTGTTACTTCAGTGTTTATTTCCTTGACTATTAAAGAGTTGAGCATCTTTCCATATATTTCACATAAATTTGGATTCTCGGCTGGGCACGGTGGCTCATGCCTATTATCCCAGCATTTTGGGAAGCCAAGGTGAGCAGATCACCTGAGGTCAGGAGTTTGAGACCAGCCTGGCAAACATGGTGAAACCCCATCTCTACTAAAAATACAAAAATTAGCCAGGTGTGATGGTGGGTGCCTGTAATTCCAGCTACTTGGAAGGATGAGGCAGGAGAATCATTTGAACCCAGGAGGCAGAGGTTGCAGTGAGCTGAGATCGTGCCACTGCACTCCAGCCTGGGCAACAGAGCGAGACTCTGTTTCAAAAAAAACCCACAAATTTGTATTATCTTTTCTGTGAATTGCCTATTTATCTTCTTTGCCTATTCTTTTGCATTAAAAAATCTATAATCCTATCTTGGTTGAACAGCTCTTTCTAACACACAGGTTGTCCAGATAATCATCTAAATTTTATAAAATGTTTTATTGCCTTTGTCTTTACATGTAATTCTTTACTTTTATGTGGTGTGTGGTAATTTTCCAAATTTACTTTCCTCCAGATGGATTAACCACATGTAAAAGCCATTTCTTAGATCATAATAGTTTCTCATTGAATTGACGTTTCATCTTTGTCAAACATTAAGTTTCCATATATAAAAAAAAATTCATTATTGGGATCTTGTTTATTTTCTGTTCAATTTGTTTGTTTCTATATCAATGTCATGAGGCTATGATACATTGTCTTGTAATTTTTTTAAATGTTTTTCTTACGATCTATTATCCTATAATTCAAGTCATTCTCACTATTCCTCTTTTTTATTAATTTCTTAGCTATTCTTAGACATGCTGTATGAACTTTAAGATTATTTAATTCAATTTTTTTTTTGAGATGGAATCTCGTCACCATGCCCGGTTAATTTTTTGTAGTTTTAGTAGAGACGGGGTTTCACCGTATTAGCCAGGATGGTCTCGATCTCCTGACCTTGTGATCCACCCGCCTCAGCCTCCCAAAGTGCTGGGATTACAGGCGTGAGCCACCGTGCTCGGCCTTTTTAATTCAATTTTAAAGCCTCTTTATGACTCTCATTGGAATTGCCTTCGATTTATAGGTCAATTTGGGAAATTTTAAATTTGGAGAATATTAAGGATTCCATTTGAGAACATGATATATTTTTCCTTCTGTTTCACCTTTTTAATATCCTATAATATGATTTTTTAAAAATCTTCCTTCTTAAGTAATCTGTATCTTCTTTATTTCTAGGGATCTTATAGTTTTGTTAGTATTGTGAATGGAATTTATAATTCTATTTTCTTTTTAACTGGTTATGGCTTTTATAGAGAAAGGTTTTACCAAAAAAAAATTTTTTTTATTAAAGCTCATATCTAGAGCATTTTGGAAATGTGGAAGGAGATTATCCCATCCCATAAAGGCAAGTCGGAGTCAACAAGATCATCAATTAGGATTCAACAGAACTAGTCCCATTTTCTTCTAAATCTCTGTCTCCTGGTGGCTCCTTACCTGGCTACTCTCTGATTTGGGCACCTATTTTGCAGTTCTTTTCTGTTCTTCCTTGACTAAATTCTACTGGTCCTCTACTCAATGCCTTCGCTGCTCATCAGGCTGGTCTAAGAGGATGCCTGCTGCTTCCTAGGGGCTGAGGCTGGCACATCTATGGATTTGGTCTCTCAGACAATACAGTAGGCACCACTAAAGCAATCTCCAGCTATATAGAATAGAACTTCATACCAGCAATATAAAACAAGTAACCATCTGCACCGAGGTCTTAAAAGTTTTATATGCAGTAAAGATTATTCCTAATGAGGAGATAAGAAACCATTACAAACTTGACGAGTGGACATTTAAATGTAGTTACATTAAGCTAATAAACCTTAAAAATTAACCGACTAAATCTCAAAGCAAGGTTAACCTGCACTGAGTAGGCCAAGCTTAAGTAGCCCACTACTAATGTTAAGGAGGCGAAGTTTTCTTTCTCTTCCCTTGACCCTGGTATCTAATGTGTAGAGATGCTATTTAGCCATCTAGCCATCCTCTGATACACCCTACAGAGACCCAGTCTCTACCTACCTTCAACACACCTAGCCAGAGACAGCGAAATCAGTTTTCTATCTGCCTAATAGGCAAATACAAGCATACTTTGCCTTTGACATCTCTCTGCCTCCTCTTCCTGCTTTTGTCTAGCCAATCCTTATCTAGAAAACCAGCCCAGATATTCCTATCTGGGTTCAGCCTTGACTTTTTGATTCCTTACAGAACCCTCCATTTCTGAATCCACCTCGTCTCTTCCCTTTGTCGCGCCCCCACCAATCTGCTCATTACCTCCTCTTCTATAATATGACTCCTTGTTTCAATACAGAAAATGTATTGAGGTCTAAGCTCTTGAACTTCATTGTGATGATAATTCCTTTGTCTACCATGGCTTGACCCCCACTTTTCTGTCTTCTATGGGGCTCCACATAATTTGACAGGCAGCATCCAGGGCTCTACCTTCAAACTTGCTTCAGGCAGGTTGTTTGCTGGGCTTGCCAGGACCTTGGCCTCCATATCATTTGAACTGTGACAGTTACCTCAGTTGATCCTCACACAGGAAGTACAATAGGGTCTGTAACAGCATTACTTTCACTTTAAAAATAAAGGAGCTGGGGCTCAAGAGAGGCTTTAATACTTTTCCAACATCACAGAGAAGCGAAACCTACACTCAAACCCAGGTCTCTCCAATAGGTCTCCTGAGTGAAAATTCCTTGCTTCCTGTAACTGTTTATTTCTGTCTCTGAGAATAATTTAATAAAAATTATTAAACTGTAATCTTCTTGAGTATGGAGGCCAGGTCTTTTTGCCTTTATATTTATTATCTCCCAAAGGAGATAATAAGGGCCCAGGTGTTACACAATAATTTTGATAAACAATTAGGGCCAATAAAGGCCCAGGTCTTACACAATATTTTTGATAAACAATTCTGTGGAAAGTATACACAAACAGCAGAGTGAAAATATAAAACCAAAGCATGAATGAAGAAGTACAAACATTAACAACATTTACAGCTGATGGCTTTTCTAGGAACAGCTTTTATAGAAAGCATATATTTGAGAAATTGAATTAATCATGGCATTTTAGAGTATTAGAACCAGATCATAAAAATCTTTATGATCTTCTTATCTAATCCCTCTGAATTGAGAGAATAGCCAACCTTTAGGAGGCAATACAGAATAAAAGAATCTGGAGAGTAAATCTTTTTTCTTGATCCCAGAAACCCATTATTCAAGGAAGAAAGGTTTCTGGTCATATTTTTCTGGGGACAAGCATTTCCTAGCATTGTTAAGTTTATATAAGTATATAATATGAACTGTGTTAATCTATTTAAACATCCAGTGAGTCAATAACTTTTCTTTTTAAAGAGGCTGGTCTTGAACTCCAGGACTCAAGCAATCCTCCCACCTCAGCCTCCACAGTTGCTGGGATTACCGGCATAAGCAACAATGCCTGGCTTTCAATAACTTTTAGACAAATTAATTTTAAATGCTTAGATCATGTCTTTTAATTTTACCTCTTTGTTTTTTAACTTTCCTTATTCAAAAATAGATTACAAAAGATGTTGCAGGGGCCAGTCACAGTGACTCATGCCTGTAATCCCAGTTACTCAGGAGGCTGAGGTGGGAGGATCACTTGAGCCCAGGAGTTCAAGACCAGCCTAAGCAACATAGCAAGACTCAGTCTCTACTAGAAAAAAAAAAAAAAAAGTTGCCGTTTTGCTTCTTGACTGTGTGTATATCATACAATTACAAACTCTTAAATTCTTACAGGCTCATTAGAAAACCTCTTACCTTAGACTACCAAAAAGCAACACTGCCTTTAATAATGACCAGAATATAACACAAATGATTTTATCTGAGATACTATAAAAGTTATCTTCTTTTGAAACTACTTATATCTGCAACCCAAATAATGTTCCCATCACCAAAAAACTAAACTCTAAAAAATTAGCATATAACTTGCTTTTCTCTGAGTGATTCTTCTAAGCAGTTTATAAGGTGAGTTAACCTAAGAAAAGTCATTTTCAGTAATCGTAGGCAATGATGTTGAACAAGAATATATAGAAATGAAAATTGTGAATTTAAATAAAACCTTAACTATATATAGCAGGAATAACAGTTTTGAAACATATTACAGTTGGCTCTCCATATCTGAGAGTTCTGTAACTGCAGATGGAAAATACTTGGGAAAAAAATTAAAAAATATATCACAACTATTTATATAATGTGTACATGGTATTAAATATTACAAGTAATCTAGATTGAAAGCATATGGGAGAATGTGTGTAGGTTATATGCAATTATGTCCTCTTATATAACGGGCTTGAGAATTCTGGACTGTGGTATCTTGGAGTGGGGCAGGTAGCCTGTCCTGGAACCAATCCCCCATGGATACCAAGGGATGACCGTAATATGATTTTCTTTTTGCATCTCTTTGCATGACCTTCCTAGCCTGCCAGAATCATCCTTTTTGCCTCAGGAAATTTGGCTTGTGGTAGGAAGAATGTAAAGGAATGAAATGGTTTCATGCTGGGCTTTTACCTATCAAAGTGGGCTCTTGCAGTCCCCAGTGAAGCACTGGCTTTGAATAAAAGGAATTTCTCAGTTCCCCCAAAGACTCTTTTTAGGATAGCAAAGCTTAGAGAGCTGTGGATTGAGTTTTACAATAAGCCACAGGGAACAAAAACCTAGGATATGAAAATACGGGGAGACATTCCTGCCTAGGGAATTAGTAGCAAGGTTTCTAGGATAGGAGGAAAGATATTCTAAAAAAGGAAGCATGGCAAAATGGAATGTAGAATTTTTAAAAAGCATATAGAATGGAAAGATCTACATAGCAAAGCCCCTATTCCCTCTCCCCAGCTCCCTACCCCAGGCCTAAACCAAAACCACAAATTAGGGCAGGGACTTAGTGAGAATAGGAGATGCCTAAGTTGCAAAATTTAAGCAGGCACCCCCTCTCAGTATTGCAAGGCTGAAGGGGAGCTCCTCCTCAAAGTCTGTACCCTAGGTGCCCTGCTAGCCTCATCTACCCCAGCCCTGCTACAAGAACAGAGATGTGGTAATAGAAATATCCTAAGCCAAGAGGAAGAATCACATGCCATAGGTTTAGTGTCCTTTCTCAGGCAGATGCAGGGAAACCTGTGAGCTCTTAGGGTAGCACCAAATTCAGGGCACAATGTGGGAGAGACAGGGCAGTGCCTGCACAGAAGTTTCCGAATGAACTGCCAGGGGGATGAGGAGATGGCAGAGAGAATGAAGAACGAATGGAGGCCTGGGGATGGAAAGGAAGACTGTCAAGGGAAGGAGAGAAGACAGGAGGTGATAGGGGGTCTTTAATTGGTATTAAGTGGGCCTAGGTTACTATCAACATATTGAATGAGGATACACCTAGTGTACAGACACCAGTGCAAGTAAGCCCCTCAAGAAGCTATCATGAACTAAAAGACAACCCAGGGGCCTATATGTACAGGTCTGCGACCCAGTATTCACCAACTGCAGATTGTGTAAATGCCATACGCTAAGGTGCCTTGGGGAGAAGGGCAATAAATCAAAGAGTCTGCCCTGGAGCATACTGAGTTTCTTTTTATTGAAAAATCTTGTTTTGTATTGTTTACTTTTCCCTTGAAAATCACAGGATGTTATATCATAAGCAATAATAAAAGTTATTCAAAACAGAAAACCCTACATTTCTCTTTATAAATATTAGTGTGTTAAATATTAGTGTGTTAGTGTATTAACAGCTCTATTGAGGTGTAACTAACATATACTAAACTGCAATAAACTGAATCAATTTAAACTGATAAGTTTTAAGATAGATACATGCCTGAAAAACCTCACCACAAGCAAAACAATTAACATTTCCACCTCTCATGCTCCTTTGCAATCCCTCCCTTTTTTCATTCCTCTTCACTATCTATCCTCAGACAGCCACTTATTTTCCTTCTATCAGTGATGATTAGTTTCCACTTTCTAGAGCCTTAAATAAGTAGAATCATACAGTATCTATTCTTTTTTTTTCTGGCTTCTGACATTCAGTTTGATTATTTTGAATTTCATCCATGTTATTGCTTGTATCAGTAGTTCACTTCTTTTTACTGCTGAGTTGGATTTCATTGTACAGTTATGCCATAATTTATTTATCCATTCATCTGTTTATGGAAATTTGGGTTGTTTTCAGTTTTTGGCTATTAAAAATAAAGCTGCTTATGAGAATCCCCATTGTGGCACATCTTCACTAACACTTGTGGTGGTTAACTCTTTTTCATCTTAGCCATCTTTATCAGTGTGTAGCGATATCTCATTGTGGTTTTATTTTCATTTCCATAATTACTAATTATTTTGACCATACTTTTATGTTCTTTCTTTGTCTCTTACTTGGTTATGTGTGTTTTCAAATCTTTTGCCTATTTTGGGGGGGTTTATTGTCTTCCAATTATTGAGTTTTGAGAGTTCTGTATATATTTGCAAACAAGTTCTTTATTAGTTATGCGATTTTTAAATATTTTCTTCTACTATATAGCTTCTTTTCACTCACTTGAAAGTGTCTTTTGAAGGCCAGAAGTAGCTAAGAAATGCTTGCTTAGCTATCTAAGAGGGCTTCTTAGATGAAATACCTAAGAAATCTCTACCTAACCCAAGGTCACAAAGAGTTTTATTCTGTGTTTTCTTTGAGGGAGAGGAGTGACCTCTGAAAACTCAAGGTGCTGAAAATAAAAAAGAATTTATTTTGTAGCCAGTCTGTTACTGCCATGAAATATATTTCAAGGTTTTAGCCTCCCAGATGGTGCTCTTTGGGATGAAAACAAATTGAAGCATTTGCCCAAGGAAAACAAAATTGACATGTTCGAATAATTTTAAAATTTCTTCTAAAGATTAGAATATATTAATTCAGTTGTTATCTTGGACTCTGACTTCTTCTGTACCAGTGGATAACTGAAAGTTGAATATACATACTTCAGTAATGTAACTATCACTGAATGTTTTGTTTTGGGTTAAAATTTTGGGAATAGAAAACTCATACTAGATTTAATTCATTCATCCAACATATTTATGGATACTTACTATGCCAAGCACTGTACTAGGGGCTTTTATCCATTTTCATCTATAAATTTTATTATTTGATCTTTCTAATAACTGTGTGCTTTTGGCAAAAGAAACTTCATTTTTAAAGGTTAAAAGTTGTCAAATTCTCACTGTTAGTGAGAGAGAAGCCTCTGAGAATCTATAATCTAGTTAAATAGTCAAGTACCTTGACAACAACAATACCCTAAGATAAATACCAACATAGACATACGTTAGCCTATGTGACTCCCAGAGGGGATCTTTGGGAAGGCTTTTAAAGAATGAATAGAATTTTGACAGGTAAGTACTGGGCTGTGATAAGGGGAGGAGGTAGAATAGAAAAAGTAGACGGGAAATTTTTCACAGAGGCACATTGGCCAGAGAATGCCTGGTGTGGTCATGGAACAGCAGGTTGCTGTGATTTTTGGTAAGGGGATAGGATGGTAGGAGATGTCAGCATGTGACAGGTTTAGGGGCAAGAAGAGATATACTGTAGCAGGCAACGGGGAGTCAGCAAAAGATTTAGACCAGGAGAATGGCTACATCAGAACTGTGTTTTAAGAAATATTTTTGCCATCCTTAAATAATCTATGGCAGTCTGGGTAGAAGGAGGAAAGAGATTGGAGGCAGGGAGGCTGGGGGAGGCCATCTTGATAATGCTGGCAGGACGTGGGCAGGACTGGGAACTGACCAGGGGAAAGGGAGAATTTCACTTTTCATACAAAATGTTCTCTCCTAAGCTCTTTTTGTACTCTTTCCTTGGGAAATAACGTAGAATCAGCTAACTGCTTGATTTGAAAGGATTTTTTATTTTTCGACTGATTGGCTTGTTCTTTTTTGGCAACTAAAAAGGGCCTCTTTTTGTGCAGCAGAAAGATATAACCCAAGACGCTCCAGAAAGTCAACTGAGTTATGATGTAAAGAATGGATGTGAGGGAGGCCAATTACTCCTCACCCAGGTACTGGAAAATAAGGAATGGACAAAGAACACTACTGATTAGTAGGAGATCTGGAAAGGATGGGATCAATCGAATTTGATTGGATGGGGTGCTTAATGATGACTCCCCAATTTAAAATCAAGTGGCTAGAAAAATGGTGGTCTTTCTGTGGGAAATAATGATTTAGGAAGAGAGATAGTATGCTTATTTTAAATAGGTTGAATTGGAAGACGTTCCAAAGATAGTCCAAACAATAGGACTTTCATGAGGAAATATCCAAAAGCTGCTCAAAGGCCAGAGATAGTATTCATAAAAGAAGAAAGGGCTGAAAATAATAGTCAAAAGTTGTCCACATGGAGATAAAGCCATGTGTGGTTGTCTATGCTGAGGGATAACATGGTGACAAATGGATGGTGACTAAGGGCAGACTTTTGAGGAAATACAGCAGGAGAAGAAGACCCATCCAGAGAGACAGAAGGGACATAAGGCAAGAGACGTAGAATATGTAGAACTTCAGGGGTAAATGGCAGACAGACAGAACTGGTAAAATGCAGCAGACCTGTCAATGAGGATGTGGATGCAGGGGCTGTGTTTGGTGACAAAGGATCAATTCTTCTGGGCAGGCTTTCCACCTTCTCCCTCCTGCCCCACTGCAGGCCATCTGGGACTTTACTTTCTCTCTTGCTGCTTAACCTGATCAGAGATAGCATTGATAATGGGTTAGCCACCAGTTTACCCTTTAGATCAAATGTTCTGTAAAAGCAAGGACCGTGGGGCATCATCCTGCAAGGTGATACAGGATAGGGATTCGGCGAAAAATTAACATGCTCGCGGACGGAGCAGTGTCAGGAGAGTCAAACTGTAAGGTATTATGGAACAGGAAGATGGTAGGAAATGAAAGAAGCACCTGATCAGAGAAGGCAGGCAGGGAGTTATTAGAAGATTCCATTGAGAGAGAAACAGAAAGAATACAATGTTTAATTATATGCTAAGAGAGAGTTGTCTATGTCCCTAAAGTGCAGTGAAAGCCAATGGAAAGGAGGGGATGACGATGCAAGAAGAGGCGATGGTTAACTACTGATGCAGTGAGTCTGAGAAGGGACTGGTAAACACAAAGTTGGGGTTAACCTCCGACTGAGGGCAGGGTATGAGAGAAGGTGCAGAGAAATGTAGAGGTGAGAGGTAGGCATAGTGAATGGAATGGACTATGAAAAAAGGAAGCCACGGCCTAATGGGAAACAAACAAGAAATCCCACCAACCTTGAAGTTCTGATACTGCCATTTTATCAATTGTGTGACCTGTGCCAAGTGACTTAACATTTTTTTAATGCCTCAACTTCCCTTTTGGTAAAAATGGGGGCGCTAACTTCCAACTCCAAAACCAGGTGCCATTGTCCCACTTACTTGCAAGTGCCTTCTTAGATGTTTCTGTTTTTGTTTTAACGTTTCCCTTTCTGGGCAGAGGAGCTTGAAGATGGGCTGGATCTTATTAGCAAAGCAGGAGGGTGGGTCATCTGTGTACGGAGACAGTGATGTCATAAGCCTGAGAGATCACGAAGGGGTTGTAGCAGTGCTGGGCATAGGCTAGAGAAATTAACACAACGTGAATAAAGATTTGCAGGCACCAGTGAGAACCCAAGGGAGATTAGAGAGCAGGGAGGCCTGATAGAAGAGGAATCAGGCCCCTAGCTGAAAAAGTGTTGGGGAGGTGTGCTACAAACTTCGTTTTATTTTTATTTATTTTTTGAGACAGGATCTCGCTCTGTTACCCAGGCTGGAGTGTAGCCGCGTGATCTTGGCTCATTGCAGCCTCGACCTCCCAGGCTCAAGCGATCCTCCCACCTCAGCCTCTGGAGTAGCTGGGACCACAGGCCCGCGTCACCATGCCCGACTAATTTTTGTACATTTAGTAGAGACGCGTTTTCGCTATGTTGCCCAGGCTGGTCTCGAACTCCTGGGCTCAAAAGATCCTCCCGCCTCGGCCTCCCAAAGTGCTGGGATTATAGGCATTAGCCACTGCGCCCGGCACAAGCTTCGTGTCTGAACCTGGCTCACCGGTGGGCATTGAGCAGAGCCCACCCTGGAATCCACTCATCTCGGGAGGTTTGGGGATGGGCTTCAGCGAGTTCGGAGGCCCCGGAAATCGCCCAGATGCATTAATTTCCAGAAGGCTTGCAAGGGGGTCTCAACACAAAGATTAGGAAGCTGTAACCAGAGTTTGGTAACCCCACCGGGAACGCGAGCCGCCTCCCAGCCTTGCGCCCTGACGCGCTCTAGCAGTGCTGCAGAAACTTCGAGAACTTCGTTTTCATCTCTTCCCCAACGCACGACCTCGGGCTTTTTCTTTTTGTAAACTGCTGAGTGTGGAGAGGCCCCGCCCTTCCGCGCCCAGCCGCGGGGCCGCCCCTGCCTCCTCCCCGGTACTCCTTCCTGGACCGCGCTGGAAGCCCTGGCGGCGGCGGCCCATGGGGCCCTTGGCGCTGCCCGCCTGGCTGCAGCCCAGGTAGGGCGCTCGGCCGAATCCCGAGGGGAGGGGGCGCGGGTGGAGGGCCTGGAGGCGGGAGCTCCCCTCTGCGGCGGGCGGGCGGGCGGCACCCCCCGCCCGCCAGCAAGGCGCAGCGCTACCGTGCCCAGGCACCCCTTGGAGCTCATGCAGGTATTTGCTAACTTACCCCTCTTGACCACCCTAGGAAGCAGGCTCTGTTATTTTCTCCATTTTACAGTTGAATGGGAAGGACAGGCTGCATGGCTACCCCTGCCCTTGTGAGCCCTCTGCCAGTACTTCCCTCCCCCCAGGAGCCTTCTCTTGACTTTCTCAGACGCAGAGTTGCGGGGTGATTTTTAGATGTAACAGCCGTGGAAACACCTATCACACGTATAGATTTCAGGGCCTAGTTCCGGCGGGGAACAGATTCAGTCATATAGCGGTAGGGCCTGGGGGTGTATATGTTTAACCCACAAGCCAGGTAATTCTGATACAAGCTGAAGGAGGATTTCCTCTTCCCAAACCCTTTAGCAGTTCCTGCCTTTATAGGGGAGGATGTCCCCAAATAAAAATCATTCTGCCTCCCAGCTTATTTTCCTTGTTTCTAGGAGGTTTCACATCTTCAAGGAGGAGTAAATCTTGACCACACTGGCAGGGCCACTCCCGTCACTCTTCTGAACTCCCAGGGAACATTTCAAACAGTGCTTTTCCTAACTCCCTCAAACCATCTATCTGTCAATCTTCTCTTAGTCATCTCCCCAGCAACTCACAACACATTGTTAAACCCAGCTTGACTTCCCTCTTCTGGTATGAGCAACTAAACTGCTTTCGATATGTATCTGATGAAGGAAACTATCTACCCTTGCAAAATGTTAATAGGCAGTGGCAAGATGTTAATACTAACCTCAATCACATAATGTGTTCAAAAGTCAGGTGTGTCCAATTACTGAATTACCCAACATTTGGATTACTCCCATCCCTACCCCCCTTCAGAACTAAAACACTGTGTCTCAAGTTCTGCACTTAGCAAGCTGAGCTACTGGAACACATAGTGACATGTCAACCACTCTGCACACATGGATTTTTTGTTGTTGTTGTTGTTTTGTTTTTTATTTTTTATTTATTTTTGAGAACAGAGTTTTGATCTGTCGCCCAGGCTGGAGTGCAGTGGCGCTGTCTCGGTTCACTGCAGCCTCTACCTCCCAGGTTCAAGTGATTGTCCTGCCTCAGCCTCCTGAGCAGCTAGGTAGCTGGGATTACAGGCATACGTTACCACATCCGGCTTTTTTTTTTTTTTTTTTGTAAGTTGCCATGTTGGCCAGGCTGGTCTTGAACTTCTGGCCTCAAGTGATCCAACCCGCCTTGGCCTCCCAAAGTGCTGGGATTACATGCCTGAGCCACCGCGCCCAGCCTGTTTTGTTTTTTTAAAGAATATTCAAAGCCACCTTCGCAGTGGTTTCTTTTATTCCTTGGTGAGCAGCAAGGTTAGAACTTTATCAAAGATGAAAGCAGATTTTGAAAAAGCACTATATTTGGTTTTAAGCAAACTCACTATACAGATGGTCCATGACTCACAATTTTTTAAACTTTGTGATGGTGTGAAAATGATATGTATTCATTAGAAACCGTACTTCAAATTTTGGATTTTAATCTTTCCCCAGGCTAGCGATGTGCAGGTATGATATCCTTTCATGATGCTGGGCCGCGGCATCAGGCCGCAGCTCCCAGTCGGCCGCATGATCAGGAAGGTAAACAACCGGTACTCCACAGTGCACTGTGTTGCCAGATGATTCCACCCAACTGTAAGCTAATGTAGGTGTTCTGAGCAAGTTTAAGGTAGACTAGGCTAAGCTGTGATGTTCTGTAGATCAGTTGTATTACATGCATTTTCAACTTATGATATTTTCAGTTTATGATATTTTCAGCTGATGGGGTGTACCAGGACGTAACTTCATCATAAGTGAAGAAGCATCTGTATTTACTTTAGCGGGTAGTGTAGGTTATGGCTCCCTTCAAAATCTGATATGTACTTGGGGGTAACCAGATAAAAGACTGATATGAAACAGTTTTCTTTTGCTTTCTCAGGTTGGCCAGTACATTAAAGGGCATGTGTACAGTGATGAAAGGATGATTATAAAAGAAGTGTTTAATGGTATTTTCCTGTATTTATAGGTATAGGAAGAATGCGTATCTTTTCATCTATTACTTAATCCAGTTCTGTGGCCACTCTTGGATATTTACAAATATGACAGTCAGATTCTTTTCATTTGGAAAAGGTAAAACTCCGAAACAGTTTTTTTATTTTTAACTTTTAATCCTTGTTTTCACCTCATCCTGCTTATATTAAATTTCTACACACCTCAACCTTCTAATATCCTTCTCTAAAATTTGTATTTTTTAGCAACCATGTTTATTGCAAAACCTTCTTGGGGAAGGGGGAAGGTGGGATAAGTAAGGGAAAGGGATTTGGCTTCCCCCTGAGTTGGCAGTTTGCCTCAAAAAAGAGATGGATGGCACTGAGGTGGTATCATTTCATTGTTCCTTTTCCATTCTGTACCAAACCTTAGCAGATTTCTAGTGTTTTGAGGAAATCTCAGCATAACATTTTATGCAGAGAAATCAGGAATGAATCAAATTCTTCCAGTGTTTGTATTATTCCCCAGGTTTGAGGTAACTGGAGACTACTAGTAAGTGAAATACAAATTTTATATTCCCCAAGCCTCTATTTGGTCCCTTTAAGAAGTAATATGTAAATGACACACTTTGTAGAGGGCTAACCACTTATATAGGAGTCAGCATTAATGGTTTAAGTCATAAACTTCCTCTAGTTTCCTGAAAAGTAAAGTCACTGTTGGGTGACTAAATGACTATCAAAATAACATTCTCTTCATGTTCCATCCGCACGTGGGTAAGTGTCCTCACAGTTTACAACTGTTGAGTGACTTGACAATCTAAGCAACTGCTGGCTTCAGCTAAAAACAAATGTTTAGAATGTAGCTGGGAAAAGTCATGCTGTGCTCATCATTTCAGACGTGTGTATCATAAGGAAGTTATTCTACTTGCAGGGTCCCATAAGCTATTTTATGTTGCTTTTTCTTACTGAAAATCTACAGATATAGTCTCGCCTTTGTTAAGGACCTCCAAAGATATAACCTAAAGCTTGAGTTTCAACTACAAATGTTGAGAGTTTTCAAGCACAGGAAAACACAGGTGATGGGAAAACTTCTTTTATATTTTTATTAAAAAGCCATCACTTCTAGCCCTTTGAGGTTTGCTGAGGCAGTGCAGGCATATTACATGTCATTGGCAACACAAGCCATGGACTGGCTTATGCTGTCTCACCTTTCCAGTGAGAAAAGTTGCCTTAGTCATCAAGTATTTCTTTTTCTTTTCTTTCTTTTTTTTTCTTTTCTTTTTTCTTTTTTTTTTTTTTTTGAGATGGAGTTTCCCTCTTGTCGCCCAGGCTGGAGTGCAATGGTACGATGTCACCTCACTGCAACCTCTGTCTCCCAGGTTCAAGTGATTCTCCTGCCTCAGTTCCCTGAGTAGCTGGGATTACAGGTGCCCGCCACCATGCCTGGCTAATTTTTGTATTTTCAGTAGACACGGGGTTTCACCACATTGGCCAGGCTGGTATTGAACTCCTGACCAAAGGTGATCCGCCTGCCTCAGCCTCCCAAAGTGCTGGGATTACAGGCGTGAGCCACTGTGCCCGGCTCGGCGCATTTCTTTCTCAGTTATTATCCTGCCATTACAATTGTAGAAGCTTATTATTAAAGAAACACAACCGATTCGTTCAGGAGACAGACTGAAAACAACTAAGTGTGGTTTCAGTACAATTTTTGAATCAATGTATAAATTATGTAAGTAGCTCAACAGAAACCTGAAACCCTGAACGTGTTATACCTGCTACCTTCTTCCTTCACGGAGCTGTGTAATTCATAATGCTCTGGTACAGCAAGTGCAGGGCAGTGGATAAGAGCATGGACTGTGTACTTCAGGAACCATCTCTGAAATGGGGATGATGATAATAGTGTCCATCTTGTGGAGCTGCCGAGAAGAGAAATCCTTACTGCTCAGTAAATTATTATTGTGTGAATCATCACTGGGCAGTAAAGAGAGCAAAATCTTCCCTACGAGTTTCTAAACATGGCAGGATTTCATTTTAGAACTTAAAGCAACACATTTATCCTATGTAGAGGAACATTTGTTTCCCTTCCATTTCAGCTCCAAGTGCACAGTATTTCATGTGAACCCTCTGCAATGCAAACCCCAAAAGTCCTGATCAGAGGCCCAAGTTCCAGTGTTTAACAAAATCCAGAAAAGCACTAACCAAATATGTATAGAAACAAAATCCTAGATACCTATGTTATTTGATATCATGGCATTATTAGTGTCATTTCCATAAAGTTTCTCCGAAATAATATTTTTTCTCATCTTTGTCATTTTCTTGTCAGTGGAGAAGCTGTGAGCACATAGTGTCCTTAACAAGCTCACTTCTATTTACACTTGAGGTGGTCTAGATTCTAGGAGGTTACTCTTATGTGGGAATTGCTTTATAATCTTATAAGTGGGGAATAAATGCTATGTGTATGTTTGGCCATGAAATCTTTCTCAAGTTTCGATTTCTTTTTGGAACAGGAGCAATTAAAATAGACTACAGTATGAAGTGCTTTGTTTGTTTGCATTGTATTGTTAATAATTTAGTAGCCTACTTAAGGAATTTTTCACATGTACAATGAAAAAGGAAGTGAATAATCTCCATTTGACTTCAAAGTGCTGCATAAATTTGGGTTATAATCCAGTTTTTTCTTCCTATATCTGCATTTTTAACCCACGGGATACAGATTCAATGGTTGACACTTTTTATGCTATTGGACTTGTGATGCGACTTTGCCAATCCGTATCTCTCCTGGAACTGCTGCACATATATGTTGGCATTGAGTCAAACCATCTTCTCCCAAGGTTTTTGCAGGTAGGTTTGAATCACATATTATTATAGAATCTGTTTCATTTTTACATTTTTTCTCTTTAAAGCTTCTCTTGACTTTATGGCAGTTAGAAAGCCAACCCTTGTCTTAGGTCACTGATAAGGAGAATTAATTTCATGGAAGGACAACCTTATTGTAAAACTGCCCAGTTAGAATAACCAGTTGGAAACACTGAGGGCAGTGATGCTTGCTGATCTTGCAGCACTGCATTGGTCCTATCCTGGAAGGAGATTTCGTAGCCACTTGCTACCCTCACTGTGTCACTGCCTGGGTTAGTAGAAGACAATGATAAGGCATAGGACTGGAGACTTAGGCTTGAAGCCTGGCTTTTCTGCTTACCACTATGGGATCATACCACCCATACTATGGGAACAACCATTGGGCTGTTGAGGGAAAGGACACCACAAATAATACCTGGCAAAGAGTAGATGATTAAAAAACAAAAGGCTTCCTTCATCTACATCCAGAGAATAGAGTACTCCTAGGCCATTTCTTGCTCATTCCCTCTTTTTTACTAAACGTCAATGGAAAGAGGAGATCATTTGTGTTTATCTAGTACAGCATCTAAGGATAGACTTGGGGAACACACAGACCCGGATTCAAATCCCAGTTCTACTTTGCACTAGTTGTATACATTTAAACAAGTCATTTAATCATTCTGAACTGCATTTTCTCATGTGATATGAAAATAACATGTATCTTATGAAGTAACTGAGAAAATGGATAAGTTCCTGGCACTTAGTTAAGAATACAATACTCGGCAGCTATTATTACTATTTTCTTAACTATTCTTTGTTCCCTCTTCCATGCCTCTAGCCCTAGATTACCATGTTCTTTGTAAAGACAGGTTGAAGGAAGATGGGAAATTTACTAGTAGTGACTTCATGTAGAAAATCATTGCTGGATAAAGGCAAAAAAATAAAAATAAAGATTTTCTGTAAATTTTATATAGCTCATATAGTTGTCCCTTTCTTATGGGACAGTAAAGGTTAGGCAACTATAAGAACACGAGTTTCAAGTCTACAGAAATAGGTATCTACATGAGTATAATTTTAGGTATCCTCAAAATAAATTTGAAAAATTGATAATTTTGACAATTTCACATTGTAAAAATAATGAAAATGTCAGAATTTTATGGTGTTGCCAGCACCTAGCAAAGTGCTTAGAATGTAAATGTACACTTTAAATTTTTGTTAAATGAAAGAGTGGTATAGATCCTTATATTAAAATTTGTCTAAAATATCATAAAAGCTTAAAAGATATAAATAGTATAATCCTAAGGAGCCTTTTAAGAACTGAGCATTACAAGTTTATGGAATATTTTAAATTTTGCTTATTAAGTAACAGTAGGGAAATAGTATCCATTAGGATAAAGACATTTAAAATGTTGAAATATCAAATATAAAATAAAAGTTAGGGTAATGGTGTATAAACTAATAACATAGTAGTCACTTAACTAGCTAAGACCTAGATGGAATTCCCTTTAGTATAGTTCCTTACAAAATAAACGGGGATACAGATCTGTCCCAACAGCAACATAGTATCTGGGAGCAAGATTTATTGGTGTTTATTACTTATTTACAATGTGGTGTACTTTGAAACAACCAAAATACATGTAGTACCAGCATCCCATAATGTTAATGTTGGAAAATAGAATTAACAACTAACGTTAAATAAAAGTTGTGTTCTATCATCTGGAATGATTTTGCTTGGAGTATGACTAAATTCATTTAAAATCTCAGTTATGTTTTCTATTGGTATTTTTTAAAGGCCTTTTTACTTTTTTAGGCTAAGTGGCTGCTACTAGTTTCATGGTAAACATTTTCAAAATCAAAAGTAGTGTTATTTAATTATTGCCAGTGTAGAGAATGCACCTACAGGGAATAGATAATTTTTTAAGGAAGAAAACTCACTGAGCACCTTGAATGTGCCTAGAAAATGTGCACATATGTGCTTTACAAAATTAGGCTTGTTTAGTAATAGAAATTATTATATAACTTAGAAATCTGATTTCTTGGAGGAATTCCAGAATATACACCTGATTTTAATCACTGCTAATTAAAACTTTAATGGCTTATAGAAATATAACTGTAATCAAAGAACCAAATCTTGGTTTGGCAATTTAAACATAGGGGCAAATATACATTGAGACCTTTTATTCAAAGGCGAGTTTGCAAAATCTGATGTTATCGGAGTGCAAATGATTTTTAAGTCTTCAGTTACTGGGAGAGATAAGTCAGAGATCACTGTGTTAGGGAAGAAAATTATTCTCTTCCTGAGCTGAATATTATCAATTTTTGTTGTGGTTGTTTGGCTTCCTCTTTTTATCTCTTTTAAGATTTTATTTGGCCCCTATTTCTTTTATTAATTTATCATCCTTTTTGTGGTTCCCACAATGGAAATGGTGTTGGATAAAGGTTCAGAAACATGCCTTTGTGCCCAAAGTTTCATTTTCTCCCTCCTTCCTATATTAGAATTATGCAGACAATTAGAATTCCCTCATTATGGGATGGCGCTGAGGCCCCTGCTTTAAAATAATGAAACAAAACTTTCAGATTGTGTAATCATTCTTGGTTTTCCTGTTTCCCCATTTTTAAATGAAGAAACTGTAGTTAAGAGAGTGGCTGCTTTTAAGTAAGCTAAAAAACCATGTCGATACAGTTGTGATGTGATTTTGATTATTACCTTCAAGAGATAGTTAAGTGGGCCAGGTGCAGTGGCTCACGCCTGTAATCCCAGCACTTTGGGAGGCTGAGGCGGTCGGATCACGAGGTCAAGAGATCGAGACCATCCTGGCCAACATGGTGAAACCCTGTCTCTACTAAAAATACAAAAAAATTAGCTGGACGTGGTGGCGCGTGCCTGTGATCCCAGCTACTCGGGAGGCTGAGGCAGGAGAATCACTTGAACCCTGGAGGCAGAGATTACAGTGAGCAGAGATCAGGCCACTGCACTCCAGCCTGGGTGACGGAGCAAGACTCCGTCTCAAAAAAAAAAAAAAAAAAGATTGTTAAGTGACAACTGAATTCTTCTTGGGGGGAACTGGTCCTCCACAATATCAAGAGAAATAATTCCAACCAACAGTAGGAACTGATTAGCTAGTTGAGCAATTGGCATTACACATATCAAGTAGTGGTGGTGTGTCCACAGGGGATAGGTTTGTTTTTGTGCTGTGTTTCTGTTTCTTGTGCATTTATTTTTTAATTTTTTAAATTATACTTTAAGTTCTAGGGTACCTGTGTACAGTGTGCAGGTTTGTTACATATGTATACATGTGCCATGTTGGTGTGCTGCACCCATTAACTCGTCATTTATATTAGGTATATCTCCTAATGCTATTCCTCCCCCCTCCCCCCACCCCACAACAGGCCCCTGTGTGTGATATTCCCCTTCCTGTGTCCAAGTGTTCTCATTGTTCAGTTCCCACCTGTGAGGGAGAACATGTGGTGTTTGTTTTTCTGTCCTTGCGATAGTTTGCTCAGAATGATGGTTTCCAGCTTCATCCATGTCCCTACAAAGGACATGAACTCATCATTTTTTATGGCTGCATAGTATTCGGTGGTGTATATGTGCCACATTTTCTTAATCCAGTCTATCATTGATGGGCATTTGGGTTGGTTCCAAGTCTTTGCTATTGTGAATAGTGCCGCAATAAACATACGTGTGCATGTGTCTTTATAGCAGCATGATTTATAGTCCTTTGGGTATATACCCAGTAATGGGATGGCTGGGTCAAATGGTATTTCTAGTTCTAGATCCTTGAGGAATCGCCACACTGACTTCCACAACGGTTGAACTAGTTTACAGTCCCACCAACAGTGTAAAAGTGTTCCTATTTCTCCACATCCTCTCCAGCACCTGTTGTTTCCTGACTTTTTAATGATTGCCATTCTAACTGGTGTGAGATGGTATCTCATTGTGGTTTTGATTTGCATTTCTCTATGGCCAGTGATGATGAGCATTTTTTCATGTGTCTGTTGGCTGCATAAATGTGTTCTTTTGAGAAGTATCTGTTCATATCCTTTGCCCACTTTTTGATGGGGTTGATTTTTTTTCCTGTAAATTTGTTCTTTGTAGATTCTGGATATTAACCCTTTGTCAGATGGGTAGATTGTAAAAATTTTCTCCCATTCTGTAGGTTGCCTGTTCACTCTGATGGTAGTTTCTTTTGCTGTACCGGAGCTTTTTAGTTTAATTAGATCCCATTTGTCAATTTTGGCTTTTGTTGCCATTGCTTTTGGTGTTTTAGTCATGAAGTCCTTGCCCATGCCTATGTCCTGAGTGGTATTGCCTAGGTGTTCTTCTAGGGTTTTTATGGTTTTAGGTCAAACGTTTCAGTCTTTAATACATCGTGAATTAATTTTTGTATAAGGTTTAAGGAAGGGATTCAGTTTCAGCTACATATGGCTAGCCAGTTTTCCTAGCACCATTTATTAAATAGGGAATCCTTTCCCCATTTGTTGTTTTTGTCAGGTTTGTCAAAGATCAGATGGTTGTAGATGTGTGGTATTACTTCTGAGGGCTCTCTTCTGTTCCATTGGTCTATATCTCTGTTTTGGTACCAGTACCATGCTGTTTTGGTTACTGTAGCCTTGTAGTATAGTTTGAAGTCAGGTAGCGTGATGCCTCTAGCTTTGTTCTTTTGGCTTAGGATTGTCTTGGTGATGCGGGCTCTTTTTTGGTTCCATATGAACTTTAAAGTAGTTTTTTCCAGTTCCGTGAAGAAAGTCATTGGTAGCTTGATGGGGATGGCATTGAATCTATAAATTACCTTGGGCAGTATGGCCATTTTCACGATATTGATTCTTCCTACCCATGAGCATGGAATGTTCTTCCATTTGTTTGTGTCCTCTTTTATTTCGTTGAGCAGTGGTTTGTAGTTCTCCTTGAAGAGGTCCTTCACATCCCTTTTAAGTTGGATTCCTAGGTATTTTATTCTCTTTGAAGCAATTGTGAATGGGAGTTCACTCATGATTTGGCTCTCTGTTTGTCTGTTATTGGTATATAGGAATGCTTGTGAGTTTTGCGCATTGATTCTGTATCCTGAGACTTTGCTGAAGTTGCTTATCAGCTTAAGGAGATTTTGGGCTGAGACGATGGGGTTTTCTAAATATACAATCATGTCATCTGCAGACAGAGACAATTTGACTTCCTCTTTTCCTAATTGAATACCCTTTATTTCCTTCTCCTGCCTGATTGCCCTGGCCAGAACTTCCAACATTATGTTGAATAGGAGTGGTGAGAGAGGGCATCCCTGTCTTGTGCCAGTTTTCATAGGGAATGCTTCCAGTTTTTGCCAATTCAGTATGATATTGGCTGTCGGTTTGTCATAAATAGCTCTTATTATTTTGAGATACGTCCCATCAATACCTAGCTTATGGAGATTTTTTAGCATGAAGGGCTGCTGAATTTTGTCAAAGGCCTTTTCTGCATCTATTGAGATAATCATGTGGTTTTTGTCTTTGGTTCTGTTTATATGATGGATTACGTTTATTGATCTGAGTATGTTGAACCAGCCTTGCATCCCAGGGATGAAGCCAACTTGATCGTGGTGGATAAGCTTTTTGATGTGCTGCTGGACTCGGTTTGCCCTGTGCATTTTTAAATGTTTTACATGCACATCTTTATTTTGATACCTAGGGAGAAACCATTATGAATTTCTAAAATTACATATGAAAGGAAAGGAAAAAACCCATTGACTAAAAGACAATAATCATTTGACTGACATATATTTTATTTTTTTATACGCTTTGGGGAAAAGGGCAAAACCATAGCGTAGCTATTTATGGACTTCCAATTTTTGAAATAATTACACGACAATAAAAATCATATAAGAAAATATAGTAAACTTTGATACTTTTACTTTTCAAAATGGAAAAGTTAAAATGGTCCAAAAGAAGCATAAAAGAAATGATAATATAAATCAAAACTAGGTATTTCTCCTCTCCAATCCCCTCCTCCGAAATGAGCTTGCAAACTTTATTAGCTTAGAAAAAAATGTTGAATTGGAAAACTAGTTGATTTCAGTAAATTTAATCAAAACAACTTGACTTTTATAGTACAGAAACACTATCAAGCCTGAAATGTTGATTTTAAGGGGCTTTGTTCAGTTTGCTTGTACAGAAGCCTGAGGAGGAGATTTTTATTCATGCTGCTTTAGGATGTTTCAACTCAAGAAGAGGGGAAAATAGCCAACACTAACCTTTGTGTCATAACATTAGACTGATATCCCCTATAGGAAACCCTTAATAGATTACTCCATCACTTTTTGAGAAATGCTTTAAATGCCAATATTTCATTTGTAATTGAATTAAAATGATTCAATTATACATCCTTCCCTCTGTGTCATAATAAACACTCCTGCACTATTAATTTTACACATTTTTACTCAATTTTTAAAATTTCTCAACCAAAACACTAAAAACTAATACTCCTAAATGATTGTGCTTACGGAGATTCCATTTATGAGCCCAAATCACATAAACTGTTTCTGTATTTGCCAGTAACACTTCTATTTCTGATCAGGGCAAGCAGGGATCTGTTTGTCAAAAATCCCTCTAAAGATTTCACAGTCACATACTCTTAAGAGAACAAATATGAAGGAATTCCCAAAGGAATTCCTTTTTGCCTTTTAGGCAAAAAGCCAGATTTTACCCTAATTTATTTTTAGCCATGAAGCAGGTGCTTATTTGCATTGCTAGACTAAATAATCTGACTTTCCATTAAAATCACATAGATTTTTCTCACCAGTTTTGAGCTTGGAATAGGCTTATATTGTTAGAGAAGAAACTATAAAAGACAGTGTTGAGTTGTAACATTCTCCAAATTTTGAAGCCTCCTGAGGGTGAATTACATGTCCAATTCACTCTGTAGGTAAGATTTTAGAATCTTCCTGTTTTTCACATTTGATCCATGTGTGATAAGTATAAAGCTATATTTCTAGTGTAATTTTACAGATGTTGAGATTGAATTTTTTAATTCACAGTCATTATCTACATAGAAAAATGTTTTCCTGTAAATACAATGTAAATCACTACATTAAAGTATATTTAAATACTTATTTTCCTAATCATAGCTTACATTTATTTGGGCTTTTATGTGTGTCAAACACTTTTCTCAGTTCTTTACATGTATTAACTTATTTAATCTTTACAACAACCTTTTCCTGTATATAATAATTACTATGTAACAATAGATGCTAATTATTATCTCTGGTATAATTACTTAACACAGAAGTAAATTATGCAAGGTCACATAGGTTTTGAATATTGTAGCAGACATTTAAGCTCTTTGGCTCTTGAGCTCTCAACTATTATGCTACATTTGTTTAGTGTTTCACCAAGTGTAATATAAATATCATGAAGGCAGGGGCTTGGTCTTGTTCACAGCTATATCCCTTGGGACCCAGAACAGTGCACTCAATAATTATCTATTGAATGATGAATAAAGAAGGAAGCAAATACAATTATTTAAATGCATTTGTCTTATAGAAGCATGTAATTGGTAGTTTTTGAATATATAGATTTCTGAAGTTCTCAGAAAAGTTCAGAGGATTGAGAGTTTAGATTTTCATTTTAGTAAAATAGTAGTCTTTTAGACTAAAACTAATTTTAAGATTCTAGAAATTAATTTTTCCTGTAGTTGAAGTATCATTTTTACCCTCCCATAGCTTATAAATCAAGTGCTACCTGCCATTTGTAAAGTAACAACTTAGTTTCAATTTTTGCTCAACCTGGAGTTTAGGATTCCCAAATAGAACATAAAAATGCCCAGCATTTTTATTATATAGTTATCACACTTTTGAGTAGATGACATTATCACTATGTTTAATGTAACCCAAGTTGTAGGATATTTACTATACCTTTTACTCTACCTGTTTGAGTTGTACTAAACAAGACCATTCTCTAGTAATTTGTCATATTTTCACAGGGTTTGTTAAAAATGACAAAGGGCTAAATTCTTCCATGTGTCAAGCTCTAAATAACTGGTCAAATGGTCATATTAGAGAAGACTGATAAATATTAAAAGCCTTTTCTTCAAAATTGTTTTGGTGTTAAGAAAATCAAGGAGGCTCTTGTTTTAAGGCTTAATTTTTAAGGAGAAGCTTTTTTAAAGAATAGGCTATAATCTGGATACTAGGTGATGGAGTAACTCATATCAAGTAACAATGGTGAAAGAGTCTTAGTATTTCAGGAATTTGAAGTCGTATTGTCTAGATGTTGATTCCAGACTTGTAGGTAAGTCACTTTCAGTTGGTAAAATGCATGTCTTTTGTAAAACGCCTAGAACAATAATAGCACCTACTTCTTAGGGTCATTATGGAGATAAAATGAGATGGTGTATATTTGGAACCTGGCACAAGGTAAACAATAAATATTAGCTTTATTTCAATTTAAGAACATCTCTGCCTAAATTTCCCCATTGTATTGCCATTGAATGGTCAAGTTAGAGTTGAATAACCATCAGATGATTTGTTAACGAATTAGATTGACACCGAATATAGAGGGAGTCTTCACTCGTGTGTATGTGTGTTGTGGTTTGGTTTGGGGGTCCATCCTGTTGCTGCTTTCTGTGCAGCTGGGATTTCATCGCTACCTTGCCACAGACAGTGAAGTGATGATTTTCAACAGGGTGAGTTTCATCATGCAGCTCCAGTCTCTCCCTTTTAGGAGATTTTCCCCTCTGTCCTCTTCAATTAAGGGATGACCTGACATCATGGATAGCTTACAACTCTGGAAACCAGGAGACTTCGGATATATATATGTTTCCAGGTCTGTTCCCAAATTCCTTGTTTCCAAAAAGGTGGGGCTGGGCTAGTATCAGAATGTTTTATCTGGAGGAGACCCTAGAGATCATCTTATTGAAAGGTGTCTAAGTTTTTTGAGTAGCCAGCCATGTAATTAGAAATCTGTATTTTATTCATGTATCCATTCATGTATGTGTATCTCCTGAGATTTCTAGCAAAAACCAGAAGGTTTTCCTAATAACCAAGCACTGATCAAATGTAAGAGAGGTAGAGCCTAAGAACTTATTTGTTGCTATGATCGTGTATCTGAAGGCTGAGAGGTGTCATGACATCAAGGTTGGATTGTTCAGTAATTATAATTGCAGTTCAGTAGAATTTATTATTGAAATTAAATCAATAGAGTATTATATTATAAAGAAAGACTGAAAAAAGAAAAACAGCTATGTAGATAGCTTCCATGGTTTGACTAAGGTTTGAATCATATATAATTCCCCTTAGCCAAACATAGACCCTCTTGACTCACCACTGTAGTCATGTCGTAAACATGCTGATATAGCTTATACACGTGGATTTCTGATCATGTGGCCCACTGTTGGCAAATCTTGGATTTCTGGGCACTAGGTGATTTTCCAGGACTAGCAGCCTATAAATGCCAAGTCACAGGTTATCCCAGTCTTTTCTCCTTGATCCACTTTTAAAATAAAGAAAAATATAAATCATTCCCCTCTTTACTGTGAATTTGACTGTTCAATCTTAAGTATATTTTCCTTTGACCATTAAGAGCAAGTAAAACATTTTATTAAAAACACACAAAATACAGAATGTACAGGATATATTAATATAACATAAGAAGGCACTTTATATTTAGGTTGGGAAAAAGGAATGTATTTTTTTATTTTTTGAGGCTAGTAATTGGGGCTAAGCCAAAAATGTGTGAAGTCTCAATGATTTGTAAATGCTGACTTGGAATATATTGAATTCTTTTCATTTTCTGCTAGCTTATAAGGGTTAGGATTATATTACTCCCCTACCAAAAAAAAGAAAAAAAAAAGCTACAAGTTTCTCTATTGGATGGAACTGAAATTTCTCAGCCTGTCTTTCAAAACCCTTCACAACCCACCTCCAAACATGTTTTCAATTTCATCTCCTTTTATTCCCTTCTATGCACCCTCCCCTCTAGCCCCCCAGTGGTTCACATTACTCCCCTGGGCACCCTACATTTTCATACCTCTGCCTCTTTGCTCAGGCTGCTCCCTTTGCCTAGGATGCCTTCTGTTATACCCAGTCTACCTGACAAACTCTTATTCATTTTTCAAGATCCAACTTGGATGAAATGAAATGTAGCATGTCTTCATTAATCTCTTTGCATTCTTTCTCCAGGCAGAAAGTATCTCGCTCACCTGTGCTCCCATATCTGGCACACACTGTGCTGGCTATTGTTCAGTTCTCCCACCACTGCTACCCTCTTTGGAGCAAAGACTGTGTTTTCATTTTGGCATCTGACACACAGTGGACACTCAATAAAGCCTTGTCAAAGTGACTAGAAACACATGCATGTGGCAAGAAGAAAGGAAATATCCTGATTCACATAAAATATATGTCATTTTTTCATTCATTATATATTATTTGTAAAATATAGACAAATGAGGAACTGAAATTCAGCCATAACCCTACTCTCTCAGAGGGAGGCATTGTTAACAGTTTAGTATACATATTTCCAGCTAAAGTATACTTTTGAAAGGAGATCTGGTTTTCAAAATTAGAAAATTACCTACATAGCCTAATAGATGTCCTAATTTCTGACTTTGCTGTTTCTTTGTTAGCTCACAGAAAGAATAATCATCCTTTTTGTGGTGATCACCAGTCAAGAGGAAGTCCAAGAGAAATATGTGGTGTGTGTTTTATTCGTCTTTTGGAATCTATTGGATATGGTTAGGTAAGAAGGCAAAATAATCTCTTAAAACAAGGCTAAATTGCTTTCTGCAGTGAAACCAGTACTAGCAGTAACCAGAGGTTACTTGGTACGAGAGAGGAAAACATAACCCCTTTTCAAATTATTTTATCTTGATATGGAAATGTATTTTTAGTGTTCTCCATAATGGGCATATCAAAGATAATGAAAACCTACCGTGGTATTACAAGAGTAAATCAGCACATTCAGGTTTCTGCAGAAGGCTTGGCATAAAACCAACTTGGAATAACCCTCAGCTGTTTCCTAACAAAGGCATTCCTCACAATTGCTTTAGTACGGTTGCTTTAATAAGCAAAGCAGGTCTTTTATTGTATCACCAGAATTTACAGTTAGTTTCTGTGCATTCAAGAATCTTTTAAATATAGGGCCTCTCAGGAAGAAAATGCACTCTCACATTCATTTACAATTCCAGTGGGTTCAAATGACTAACTTAAGTCCTTTTAGTGCTAATTCTAAAACTTTGCAGTGAGATGTGCCTAGTCTTACCTCTACAAGTGGTGGTGTCAAACAGTCCCCTTTGCTCAGTGAGTGCTTACGCCTCACTCTGGGGAGGTGTCCTAACTGCTAGGTCAGCTTTCCTAAATAAGAACCGTCCCTCCTACTTGAGAGATCTGGATTTGAATAGGTAACAAAAGAGCCCTAGTTTGTTTTTCAGCCAAGGGTATGTAAATTTTTTCATTATATTGTCAATAACTTAACTGAATTAAAATATGTTTAAATAATAAGTTGAGTCCTAGAGTGAATTAGAATGAAATCTTTTGCTGAAGTAAAATGAATTTAATTATGTATATAAATTAGTAATTTTTCATTTTTGAATTGATAGTTTAGTGGACTTGGGGCAAACTTCATGGACTTTTGTAGCCCATAACTTCTGTTCATGAGACAATGGAACATCATTTGGGATTGAAGCTTTCTAGTATGTTACTCTTGGCTATGCTTACTCTTTCAGTGTCAGAGAAGCTCAATAAATACATTGGAGAACAAAACAACATTTGCACTGAAAGAAGTAGCATGCTGTCATAGGAAGATTTTTGGACATAGAGGTAGAAGATCTCTCTAGATGAAACCCACCTCCACTACTTACTTGCTAAGTGATGTTGGGCAAATCACTTAACCTTTCTTATTTTAATAACAGTTTTATTAAGATATAATTTATATACCATAAAATTCACCCTTTTAAAATACAAAATTTGTGAGTTTTAGTATATCCAAAGAGATGTGCAATCATCACTACTATCCTAGAACATTTTGATCACCCATAAAAGAAACCTTATACCCAGTAGCAGTCACTCCCCTCTCCCTCTTTCCCTCAGCCCCTGGAAACTACACATATGCTGTCTCTATGGATTGCCTATCCTGGAAAGTTCATATAAATGGAGTCATCCAATATGTGGCCTCTTGTGACAGGCGTCTTTTACTTAGCATAATGTTTTCAAGGTTCCTCTGTGTTGTGGCATGTGCAGTACTTCATTGCATTTTGGGCTGAGTAAAATTCTATTGCATTGATTTACCACTTTCTGTGTATCCACTTATCAGTTGATGGACATTTGGGTGGTTTCTACTGTTTGGCCATGAGTAGTACTGCCATGAACATCCATATACAAGCTTTTGTGTGCACATGTTTTCATTTCCCTTATACCTAGGAGTGAAATTCCAAGGCACCTAACTTTTAGAAACTTTTTTTTCCTCTGTAAAATGGGGGTAAACTTATCATCCCACCCTACCCTAGCATTATTTTTCCTAAGTAATGAGCAAGAGACTTCCTCAGCCTGAAAAAAGCATCTATGAAAAATCCATACTAACATGATAGTTAATGATGAAAGACTGATGCCTTCCTCCTAATATCCAGGAACAAGACAAGGGCATCCACACTTGCCAGTTATATTCATCATCGTACTGGAAGTTCTATCCATGGCAATAAGGCAGAACAGAAAACAAACAAAATGGTATAAAAGGCATCTAGGCTGGAAAGCAACAAGTAAAACTATCTCTATTGGCAGATGACATCTTATACATAAAAAATTATCAATATGTAAAAATGAATTATTTTTATATATTTGCAATTAACTACCATAAAATGAAATCAAGAATACAATTCTGTTTACAGTAGCATAAAAATAATAAAGTACTTAGGAATAAACTTGACAAAAGATGCACAGAATTTATACATTGTTGAAAAAGCATTGTTGAAAAAAATTAAAGAGCTAAATAAATGAAAGGACATCCCACATGACTTGGAAGACTTAATATTGTTCAGATGGCAATATTCCCCAAATTGATCTGTAGATTCAGTGCAATCCCTATTAGAACCCAGATAACTTCATTGCAGAAATTGAGAAGCTGACCCTAACACTCATATTTAAACTCCAGGAACTCAGAATAGCCAAAACAATCTTAGAAGAATGTAGTTGAAGGACTCAATCTTTCCCATTTCAAAACTTACTACAAAGCAATAATTAAGTGTGGTACTGTGTAAGGATAAATCATGGAATAAAATTGATAAAGATAAACTCTCACACATTTTTGGTCAATTAATTTTTGACAACAATGCCAAGACCATTCAATGGGGAAAGAATAGTCTTTTTCAACAAATGGTGTTGGGACAACTGGATATACACACACAAAAAAATGAAGTTAACCACTCACATATAAGTGGAAAACTATGAAACTCTTTGAAAAAAAATAGGAGTAAATCTTGATGACTGGATTTGGCTGTGTTATAAGGTACACAACAAAAGAAAAAAAAGATAAATTGGACTTCATCAAAAGTGGCTTTTCTTTTTTTTTTTTTTTTTGAGATGGAGTCTTGCTCTCTCACCCAGGCTGGAGTCCAGTGGTGTGATCTCAGCTCACCACAACCTCCGCCTCCTGGATTCAAGTGATGCCCCTGTCTCAGCCTCCTGAGTAGCTGGGATTACAGGCACCCGCCACCACGCCCGGCTAATTTTTGTATTTTTAGTGTAGATGGGGTTTCGCCACGTTGGCCAGGCTGGTCTTGAACCCCTGACCTCAGGTCATCTGCCCAGCTTGGCCTCCCAAAGTGCTGGGATTACAGGAGTGAGTGAGCCACCACGGCTGGCCAAAAGTGGCTTTTAAACATGAAAACATGCTTACCCACTCTTCTAATATGAGGGGAAAAAGATGAGATACCATTTTTCACTTTGATTGGTAAAGATCAAAAAGCTTGATTATATGCTATGTTCAGTGAGGTCCTCCACTGCTGGTATATATTCTGTATAGTAAATATGCACATAGATATGCAAATGCAAAAACATTTTTGAAAGAATACCTAAGAAACTGACATTGGCTATTGTCTCTGAGGGGTGGAATTCAGGTCCTGGATTGAGAGAGATTTACTCTTCCCCATTCATGTTTTCAAGGTTTTTTGGGTAGTTTTGCCATATGTATTTATTGTCTGTCTATATTAGTAGTTCTCAAAGTGTGGTCCCTAGACCAGTGGCATCAGCATCACCTGGAACTTGTTAATACAAAGTCTGGGGTGTACCACAGTTCCATTGGATCAGAAACTTTGGAGTAGGGCCCAGCAATCTGTGTTTTAACATGCCATCTAGGTGATTCTGATATATGCTCAAGCCTAAAAACCAGTGTCCTATTCAAAGAAATAAAACACAACGTAGACTACTTTTTACATCACAGTGGTAGGCTTAAAGCTCCCTACTATACCCAAATCAGCTCCCAAGGCCAGTTCTTTAATTGATCACATAGATAGTACAACTGCAGAAGCAGAAGGATGCCAAATAAAGATTTGGAAGTCACATTTTATTTTTAAATGAATTCCTGAGATATTTACAAGTATGTCTGTCATTAAAAAACCTAGCTGCTTGCTGCAAAAAATGAGCTTGGCTTTTTAATGAAATTGAAGTCACTAATCAAGGAAATTTGTAACTGTATTTTTCTGAGGAGGGAGTAAGAGTTACTTGCTCTGTTTAGCTTTATAATTATTAATGATCTACCACATGAGACAAGCCAGATTGACATGGTCCCTTTCCCCCATTTAAAAAAAACTCTTCCTTAAATTATAGGAAATAAAATATACAATTTGTACACTTTCCAGTTGTATCTCTGTATTTAATTACACAGTAGTTTCTCCTATTTCCCAGATATTAGCAGAAAATGATGTTTATGAGCTTCTCATCTCCTTTCAGGTACACTTATAGCATGTTATCAGTCATAGGAATATCCTATGCTGTCTTGACATGGCTCAGTCAAACACTATGGATGCCAATTTATCCTTTGTGTGTTCTTGCTGAAGGTAAGAAAAGAGTGACTTGCTGTATTGCTTACTGACAAAAGCCATCTAGTTATAATGGTTCACTAAATTTTTTGATGATTAAATTACTATTTTTGCGAATGCTTAGCTCACTCAGTGTATCCTTACTGGCATATTTCCCTTGATGCAAAGAGGCAAAGTTGAAGAGGGAAGCAGCTCTGCACAGTAGACAAAATACTGGACAAAAAGCAACGGCATCTGAGGCCTTCACTTCATTAACTCACTGTGTGAGTTTTGGGTAACTCATTTAACCTCTCAGAGTCTGCTTATTCACCAAAAAGAAGTTAACATTTAGAGATTCTATGATTTTTAACTTTTAATGCACAGAAATTCAGTCCCCTCTGGTGAGTCTTTCCCACTTACCATTTACTATGTATCCTACCCTCTCTCAGCAACTAGTTAACTCTACCTTGAGATTAATCATCATTTTCTGAGGGAGGCATTCCCTGACTTCCTCAACTGAGTTCCCCTGGGTACAGTATCATGAATCTTTTATAGCAGGGGCCCCCAAACTAGGCCATGATCCCAGTCTGTGGCCCATTAAGAACCAGGCCGCATACCAGGAGGTGAGCAGTAGGCTAGCAGGTGAAGCTTCATCTGTATTTATAGCCACTCACCATTGCCCACATTATCGCCTGAGCTCTACCTCCTGTCAGATCAGTGGAGGCATCAGATTCTTATTGGAGCACAAACCCTGTTGTGAACTGTGCATGTGAGGGATCTAGGTTGTGTGCTCCTTATGAGAATCTAATGCCTGATGATCTTTCACTGTCTCCCATCACCCCCAGATGAAACCATCTAGTTGCAGGAAAATAAGCTCAGGGCTCCCACTGATTCTGCATTATGGTGAGTTGTATAATTATTTTGTTCTTACAATGTAATAATAATACAAATAAAGTACACAATAAATGTTGTGTGCTTGAACCATCCTGAAACCATCCTTCTTCCTCTGGTCTGTGGAAAAACTGTCTTCCACAAAACCAGTAACTGGTGCCAAAAAGGTTGGGGACTGCTGTCTTAACAGGGCTTATATCAGCATAATTACACATTTGTATGATTCTTTGATTAATGTCCATTTCCTTGACTAGACTGTAAGCTCTGGGGGGGGGGGGGGTACCAGGATGTCTGAGTCTGTTTCTTTGCTTCCTTCCTCTCTTTTATGCACCAGTATACATGCTCAATGAACACAGAATGAATTATTGAGTATGAGTAGGCTAATTATATAGCCTAAATATAAACCTAAAACTTAAGATCAAATCATTCAGATCATCAGTCAGCAGAGCTTGAGGATATTTGGAGAATATATGCTTTCTTCTGCAATGGATTTGGTAGACTGGTAAGGAGCATTCTGTAAGACATGATTAAAGTTTTCAAAACTGAAGACATAAAATAAGAAAGCATGTTAAGGTAACTAAGGGAAAAACATAAGGACATGGTGTTTAACATAAAATGATGACGACATTAACAATAACCAAAGTATATAAAAGCCAGTTATAAAACAAAAACACATATTTTCTATCTACTGATGAGCAGATAAAAAGAGCTTGTTACTGTAAATCATGTTAGAATTTCTAAATTTGTTTTGATTCAAAAGGAAGAATTATTAATTTTGGAATAGACTATGCCAAGTGGATCTAAAGAATAATTGTCTTGAAAACAGTAAGAACCTGATTGTCCATTCTTTAAGAATCAAGTAACCTCTCATTGAAATATCAAATACATTATCTTTGTTAAATCATAGTACTGTAGAGAATATAGAAAGGAAATTGGGAGCTGTTGGTCAAAGGGTACAAAGTTTGTTAGGAGGAATACATTTTTGAGATCTAGTGCACAGCAGGGTGACTGTGCTTAATAATGTATATTTCAAAATAGCCAAGAGTACATTTCAAATCTCACCACGAAAAGTAAGCGAGGTGGTAGATATGTTAATTAGCTTGATTTAATCATTCCACATTGTACACATATATCAAAATATCACATTGTGCTTCATATATGTATACAATTATGATTTGCCAATTAAAACTTAATCAAATTTAAAAGAATATATAAAGGAATAAGGTAGAAATATGACTAATCCCTTCCTAGGAATAAGGGGTGGATAAATGTATAGGAAACTTTTGCATTCTTGTTATTCCATAATTCTAATCCTTGTCTTTTCTAGGAAAGCCATGTTCTTATATGGTTGCCATACAACCCTTATTCTTTTATTAACTTCATAAACTTATTCTTGCAATTACAAAATAAGGTATATGCAGAAAATAGTCTAGAGATATATATGACAAAAATGTCAATAATGCTCTGGATGGTGGAATACAGATAATTGTAATTTTATCTTTCTGTGTTTCTGTATATGTTAGATGTCCCAAAGTATAAAACTGCGCAGTTAAATAAACCTACTAAACTTTCGATAACTTTAATTTTAATAATTTTAATAACTATAATTTCCCATCTGACAGATATAAGACAAAAACAAAGCTTATGTAAATAACAAAATCAACTAATTATACTGATAAAATGCTAGAGACATAGGTGCGGCCTGTGTTAACCTTAAACTGCATATTTGGTGTCAGTGGCAGATCCTTCACTGATGCTACTCATACCTCTGCTTGGCTCTAACAGTTGTGAACTCTTGCCTTTTCTTCATCTTTCTCTTTTTAAAAACTTTTTATGTAGGGATAATTTTGACCCATAAGAAATTGCAAAAATAGTGCACCATTCCCATGTACCCTTCACCCAGCTTACCCTAATGATAACATCTTACATCATGTTAGCATATTAACATTTCATTGCATGAAATGTTACCAAAAATATCTATACATGGGATACAATGTTACTGAACTTTAATCTTTTTTTTACCTGATACCAGCCCCCTCCCTCAAAATAATTTAGGCCAGCATTTCTCATAGAGTTCTTCAAAATACTTATTAAATACTACTGGTGGTTAAGAAGGAAGAAGGAGATATTCTAAGGCCAGTTACATTGAGGAAAGGCTAGGTGGTATTTTTTTATTACAGAATTTCTCACAATGTTAATATGTGTTCTACTATGTTAATGTGTGTTGTGAAACTCTAAGAGGAAAATATATGCACCATTTTCCAAGTTCATCTCTCTATCACCCCTATTTGTGGCTAGGTGGACAAATGTATTTTGAGATAACATTTTAAGAAACATTGTAAATTCTTCTGTAGGCACAATAAGGTATACCATGGACAAACATTCAACAAGTCATACTGCTGTAAGCACCTTGCCAACTTAATCATTTCACAGATTTCTATATTAAACTAGGTTTAGCAAAAAGATTCAGCAACTATTACAAAACTGTCATTATCAAATTCAAAATATCCTACAACTATGAAGACATATATACACATCCCTGTAACAACTTAAGGAGGAATACCTTTATGATGCCTTTCTTTTTTAACAGCATTTGCCATCTATCAATCGCTGCCTTATTTTGAATCATTTGGCACTTATTCCACCAAGCTGCCCTTTGACTTATCCATCTATTTCCCATATGTGCTGAAAATATATCTCATGATGCTCTTTATAGGTAAGTGGCTTTTTTGGTCTTGTTTTTGCATTTTTCCTGTACTTTTTGGTTAGTGCTTGCCGTCTACCTTAATATACAGGTTGGTAAACATGGGAGAGACCAAAGAGGAAGCCTGACATCATGAACTAGATCTTGCTAGTAAAGCCCCTGGAGGTTATAATGCTTTTTGCAGGGCATCATGGGATCATATATTTCACTTTCACTGTACAAATAAGAACAATTTTACTATCAGAAAATATAGCTGCATTATGTATGAGATATAGAAGTTTTGACCATGTGCACAGGTATCTACAAATAAAACCTAGATGTCAAACTAAGAAGAATTGGCTATTTCTGATGTTTCCATTTATATCCATTTTGTTTCTTGTTTGTTTGGCTTTTCAAGCTGGCACTTCCTATCAGGCAAATGGGAGTCGGTGTTACAGACTCAAGAGAAATGTATGGAACAAAAACTTACCCTTGAATAAATTTGATCATTAAACCTAATCATTTTCCAGGAAATTGGGGAAAAAACTTTCACTATTAAATTTTTGTTTTCCCAGCTCTAACCTTCACAAATCTCCAAAATAATGATTATCTCTAGAAGGTAACAGATATCAAACATATGAACAACATATAGAGAGAAAAGACAAAAATGTGAAACTTTAGAGGAAGGTGGAGAGAGCTATGCTAAAGAAAGGAAGACAATTCCTTGCATTAAAAAAAGTAGGATGGAAGAGTTTGATTTACCTCTCTTTCTGCATAAAATCTGGACACTTCTTTAAACATTCCTTCTCACATCTCCCTTGCAAGTGTCTTCTCCCTGGATTTGGGCAGCACTCTGACTGTATTTTAAAAGCATTGTTTCTTCCAGAGAAATAGTTAACCTTACTTACTTTTGCAACTTCTTTCTCCATATTAGGTATGTATTTTACCTACAGTCATCTATACTCAGAAAGAAGAGACATCCTCGGAATCTTTCCCATTAAAAAAAAGAAGATGTGAAGTACAGCATTCCAGTGTGACACGAGAAAAGACAGGCTGTGGATTCAGTGCAGTAAATAAAACACAGGAAGTATTCTGGTGGAAAAATACCTTGTATTTGATAAAAATCCATTACATGAAATAACTGCACATACCCCCAAAACTCTAGACATAACAGGCTATGTTTTTCACACATTGTATTTTTAAGACATATATATTCTCCATACCCTGCTTCACCAAAATTCCTGCTTCATTTGGATTTTATACAAGTTATACTTACATTGTATGAAGTCTGATTATTTTCCTGTAAGTTTAATGAGAAATAGGAGATTAGCTGCAATAGATTCAATTAAATTAAGAAACCAAACTTGATAACCTAAATTACATGTATTCTTTTTCACTTCCAAGTTCCCAAATAGATCTGTAGGAGAAGAGGGATGGAAAATATATTCCACAGTTGCCTAGAATAACATATTTCATAGACAGATGTCTGTCTTCAGATCTAATAATACTCACCCTAAACATTAGATATGTTTAGAAAATTAAATATCTTTCCAAGCCCTATGTCTTAGCTCAGGTTGCTATAATAGAACACCATAAACCGAATGGCTTAAACAACAGCAAACGCTTCTCACAGTTCTGGAGGCTGGGAATTCCGCTCAGGATCAAGGCATCAGCTAATGCAGTTTCTGGTGAGGGCCCTCTTCCCAGTTTGCAGATAGATGTCCTTCTTTGTCCTCACATGAGAGAGAGATCAACTCTCTTATGTCTCTTATAATGGCACTAACCCCATTCATGAGGGCTCTACCCTCATGATCTAATTACCTCCCAATGGCCCCACCTCCAAATACCATCATATTGGAGGTTAGGGCTTAACACATGAATTTTGGGGGAACACAAAGATTCACTCCATAGCATTCTGTACCTGGTCCTACAAAATTCATGTCCTCCTCACATGCAAAATACATACATTCCATCTCGACAGCCTCAAAAGTCTTAACTCATTCCTGCATCAACTCTAAAGTCCAAAGTCTCGTCTAAATCAGATGTGGGTGAGATTCAAGGTAGAATTCATCCTGAGGTAAAATTCCTTTCCAGCTTTGAACTTGTGAAATGAAACAAGTTATGTGCTTCCACAGTACAATGGTGGGACACACAAAGGGTGGACATTCCTATTCCCAAAGCAAGAAACAGGAAAAAAGGAAGGTGTAATGGGTCCCCAGCAAGTCCAAAACCTAGCAAGGCAAACACCATGAGATCTTCAGTCTTAGTAATAATCCTCTTTGGCCTGATACTCTGGCTTCAGGACCCAGTGAGGCAGAGGTATTGCCCCCAGGACTATGTTGGAGGAGGATGACCCCCATATCACCAGGCGGAAGCTGTCAGGCCTGTTGAAACCAAGGCAATGACTGCCCCTTTTGAAACTGAGAAGGTACCACTGATGTTCTCTGAATCATTGTTCCGGGTCAGTTTCTCCTTTTCTTGAAGAATAGTGTACATTCACAGCTGAATAGCTCTATGGTCCCAAATTCAAGAAGTCCAACAGTCTTCCCTCATTCTGTCCCATCTCCATTCCTTTCAATACAAACTAGCAGTGTTCCTGCTGGGGTGGCTGATTAGGTCTGTGGTTCACACCCACATAAATCTAATTGGATGACTTGTCTGCTACACTCTTAGTGTTCTCTACCAAACGTGTTTTCTTATCTTTTTGTAATGCAGACAGACTGATAATTTCCCACATCTTTTAAGTTCTGGTTCCGTTTTTGTTAAGAATTCTGTCTTCATTTTTTGTCACATTTTACTTTAAGCAGTCAAGATAAACCGAGGCACTCCTTCAACACTGGTTGGAGATCTCTTCAGTTCAATATCTAATTTCATGGCTCACAATTTTACTTTCCACAAAACACTAGAACATGAACACAATCATCCAAGTTCTTTGGCATATTATAACAAAGATCACCTTTCTTCCAGTTTCCCATAACAGGTTCCTCATTTTCATTTGAGACTTCATCAGAATGGCCTTTATTGTCCATGTCTACCAACATTATCTTCATGGTGATTTACGTGTTCTCTATGAAGATGGAGGCTTTCTCTCCCACCCTCTTCTCTTTGAGCCCTCACCAAAATCACCTCTATCAATCCCTTCATGGCAATACTGGCTTTTTCTAGCAAAAAAACTAGTACCTCAAAACTCTTCCAGTACTCTTCCAGGTACTCTAGTACCTCAAAACTCTTCCAGCTTCTATCTGTTACCTAACGTCAAAGCTGCTTCCACATCTTTATATATTGGTTATAGCATCACCACACTTCTTGGTACTAATTGCTGTCTTAGCTTGGCTGCTATAACAAAATACCATAAACTGGGTGGCTTAGACAACAAATATATTTCTCACAGTTCTGGAGGCAGGGAAGTCCAAGATAAAGGTGCTAGACAATTAAGTTCCTGATGAGGTTCCAAGGTGCTAGCTGATTCTTCTTCATGGTTTGCAGATGAATGCCTTCTTGCTATATGTTCACATGGTGGAGGGAGAAACCATCTCTCCCTTATTTCTTATTGTAAAGGTACTAATCCCATTTATGAAGGTTCCAGCTTCAAATGCCATCACACTGGAGATTAGATTTTCAACATGTGAATTTAATGGGGGACACCAGCATTCAGTCCCTAGTGCTCTGATAGAGTATTCATTAATGTCATGTATTTGTTAACATCTTGTAAGTTATTTGGGCTTTGATGCCTTAAAAGAAGACCCTGGCCAGGCATGCTGGCTCATACCTGTAATCCTAGCACTATGAGAGGCTGAGGTGGGCAGATCAGTTGAGGTCAGGAGTTCAAGACCAGCCTGGCCAACATGGTGAAACCCCATTTCTACTAAAAATACAAAAATTAGCCAGGCATGGTGGCGCATGCCTGTAATCCCAGCTACACGGGAGGCTGGGGGCATGAGAATCGCTTGAGCCCAGGAGATGGAGGTTGCAGTGAGCAGAGATTGAGCCACTGCACTCCAGCCTGGGTGACAGAGTGAGACTCTATCTCAAAAGAGAAGACCCTAATGAAAATAGTAAACCTTTAGCAAATACACAAATGATGCCCCATTCTGTATTCTTTTTAATTTTAAAAATAATGACACACACATACAGGAAGATAAAAGGTATAAAAATATACTAAGTACTTTTTAAAAAGGAAAATTCATGTTTTGGATTATTACTGAATTGTTGCTAATTACTGTAATGTAAGTCATATGTCCTTACATAGTTTTGAAAAATGCTTTCTTTGAAAATCTAAAAAAAGTGTGAATAACTGATAGTCATTGCTGTATCATTGATGTATCACTCAATTTTTGGTAAAGAATTATAAAGATCTTACCTAGAAACTATGTAAAAAGGTATTAAATATATTGTGATGTAAGAATAGGATAATAAAAATGTAATTTTAAAAATGGGTAACTTATTTCCACTAAAGAAAACATTTGGAAAGAAACAATTGAGTATTAGGCTACTTGAAATCTTTATAAATATATTTGGATTTTAAAAAATTATCCTTTTAAAAAGCTACATTTTTTCTGCTTTTATAGTTATCTTCTAAATTTCAGAAAAATTATGAAAAGCTTTAGTGTGCAAGGAGAACATAAACCCTTTGCAAATTTTAGGTGAGTTAATCTTAATCACTCCAAATAAAGATGGCTCCTTACACTGCCGAAGTACATGTACAATCAATCACTAAAACAAAGAGAAAATTAGAGAAACTACACTTTACTGGGTCATTATAATAAATTAAAATTTCATTATTAAATAATGCTTTAATTTTTTAAAACCAGATTAACTTAAAAACTTCTTAAAATTGAAAACCAAAAGAAACACAAGTGAATTTATAATTATTTTAAAACAGAAATGAGGATTGACAGTAATTTGAGATATCTGCAACAATTGTAACATAAAAAGATCTTACATTTCCTTTGGTGACAGACACAATTGTTAATACTACTGTGGTTGGTTGCCTGTATTCACAATGGAAAGGAATACTAAATTTCATTATCAATTAGTGAAAATAAAGGTGTAATTTCTTTTTCTACTTAAGTACATGTTCCCCAGGTTAAGAAACCCAGACATAGTGAAGTCAAGACAGTAACTATCTGGTTAATCGGATGTTACCAAAATCGCAAAGTTGATGTCTTTGACTATCTGTCTTAACTGTATGTTCACCAAATCCCTATTTCATTTTGTACAGTGTAGACAAAGGCTTACTTTCTCAAATCTAAGTAACATAGATGAAATAGGAACCATTAGATATTTTGAAAACATATCTAAGACAACTTTTTTCAGTAATTTTTTTATTGTGGTAAAATGTAAAATATACTATCTTATTCCTTTTTAAGTGTGCAGTTCAGTAGTAGTAAGTAATTTATATTGTGCAACCATCACCACTGTCCATCTCCAGAACTTTTTTTACCTTGCAAAACTTATACCCTATACTCATTAAGCAATGGTTCCCTATTCTCCCATCTGCCCTGTCCCTGGCAACCACCAGTCTACTTTTTGTCTCTATGATTTTGATTGCTCTAAGTACCTCATATAAATGTAATCATACAGTATCTGTCTTTCGTAATTGGCTTATTTCACTTAGCATAATGTCTGCAAGTTTCCTCCATTTTGTATATGTCAGAATTTTCTTCCTTTTTGAGGATGACTGATAAGGAGGGACTTACTCCTGTCATTTTGCTATTTGTTTTCTACATAGCTTAGCTTTTTTGTCCCTCATTTCCTGCATTACGTCTTTTGTGTGTAGTTTACTTTTTTATAGTGAAGCATTTAAGTATCTTTCTCAGTTCTTTTGTGTATATTCTGTAGCTGTTTTCTTTGTGGTTACCATAGGGTGACATTTAATATCCGGAAGGTAATTTGGACTTATGCCAGCTGAACTTCAAAAATATACAAAAATTCTGCTCTTTATATCTCTGTCTATCACTCCTTTAAGTTTCACAAAATTATATACACTGTGTGTCCAAAATCAATTTTTAAAAATGCAGTAGTCTCTATGTAGAAAACAAAAAGTGGAGTTACAAACCATTGTTACAAAAGTACTAGATTTTATAATTGCCCATGTATTTTTCTTTACTGAGATCCTTATTTCTTCATGTGGCTTTGAGTTGCTGTTTAGTGTCTTTCCATTTCAACTTGCAGGACCCCTATTAGCATTTCTGGCAGGGGCAGGTCTAGTGGTAACATACTTTCTCAGCTTTTGTTTATCTGGGGATGTCTTAATTTCTCTCTCACGTTTGAAGAACAGTTTTGTCAAATACAGGAAATGTGGTTGATGATATATTTTTTTCCTAACACTTTGAATATGTGAGCTCACTGCATTCTGGCCTCCAAAGTTTCTGATGAGAAATCTGATAATCTTATTAAGGATCACTTATATGTGATGAATTGATTTTTTCATGCTACTTTCAAGATTCTCTTTCTGTCTTTGGCTTTTGATAGTTGTGTGGATCTCTTGGAATTCATTCTACTTGGAGTTTGTTGGTCATTATCTGGCTGTTCTTCAAATATTCTCTCTGCTCCTTTCTTTCTCTCTTTTCCTTCTGGGATCCTCACAATGTGTATGTTGGTCTGCTTGATGGGTCCCACAGATCCTTATACCCTGTTCACTTTTTTCCAATTTTTTTCTATTGCTCAGACTAATAATTTCCATTGTCCTATTTTCATGTATACTGATTCTTCTGCTGCCCAAATCTGCCTTTGAATACCTCTAGTGAGTTTTTCATTTCAATTATCGTACTTTCCAGCTCTTGAATTTCTTTTTTGTATCGTCTTAGATTTTCTCTATATTGATATTACCATTTTGTTCATCCATTGGTTTTTTGACTTTTTCCGCATGCTCTTTGGTTCTTTAAAAAACATCCTTAAGGCAGTCGTTGTAGAGCCTTTAGTGGATCCACCATCAAGTCTTTTTCAGAGATAGTTTTTGTTTTTGTTTTCATTTGAAAGGGACATACTTTCCTGTTTCTTTGTATGCCTTGTTATTTTTTTGCTGAAAACTGAACGTTTCAATCTAATAATATGGTAACTACATCTCACTAAGGTCCCTAAGTTAATGTTTTTTTTTAAACTATTCCTTACTTTGCCTGCCTTGAGCAAGTTGTCAAATGTGAGAAACTGTATTTATTTCAGAAGTACAAATAGATACAATCTCAATGTCCAAAATATTTCCCCAAAGAAAGAATCTTACAATTATTTAAGTTTACTTATGGAGAAAACATTTTATGGTACTAAAGTGTTAAAGTGATTTAAAATTAAGGTTAAAATATGCTAAAAATTATCTTCCTTTACCCAGTATCTATCTTCCACTTGTTTATTACTGCTTTTTAATAATTATAATGTTTCCCGTTGGTTCGGATAATTTTAATATTCTTCTCGGTCTGAGTTATATGCTAATGTTGATATGACATGGTTCTCCAGGGTAGTGTTCAGATTGTATGTTCAGGGAGCAACAGCCACAATTAACAAGTTCACCTGTTTAGAATGCAGATTCCAGGGCTCCACTAAAGATAGTTGAATCAGAAGCTCTGGGAATAAGCTCAGGATCCTACCTTTTGATAGACTCCTCAAATGAGCCTCATGCACAGAAAAGTTTGAGAACCACTGCTTTTGAGTCTAAATTATTTCAGCTTTGGACAGAAAGAAAACTGCTAAAAAGAACTACTTATATAAAAGCCACCAATGTTTTCAGAACAGGGATGATTTTTTATGGCTTTAAAAATCCTTAAATAGTAGTTCTGAACATGTTTTTAACATGCCAAGTAAGAATTACTAACTAGTTTATTTTTGCTAAGGGTAGCTGGAGTTTTAAATCTCATCTAAAATAAGGTTAGTTAATTCCATATGAAAGTCAATTAGTAAAAGTATGCCTTAATTCATCACATACATGTAGGTGTCTATTGTTACTTCATGGTATTCAGCTGAATGATGGGGTTCTTGTGAAAGATAATGTGGTCTGGAATTAAGAGCACTAGGTTTGATTTGAGATCAAGCTCCATTATTTACTAACTGAATGACTCTTTGAGTTCCAGTTTCCTTAACCACTTAAAGTTATTATGAAGACTAAATGACATATGGTAAATTAAACTTTTGCAAATTATAAAGGGCTTTGCAGAAGTAGGACATTTATAACATGTTCTGTTCTTACTTCATGATGGTTTAGTGATTTATATTCTCTGACTGTAAGTTCCATGAGAGCAGGGATGACACGTTTTGTTCAGATTGTACCCCAGAAACTTGTATAGTGGCACATAATAGACACCCATAATTGTGTGTGCAACTCTATCTTTAAAGAACGCCACTACTACATCTAGAAATATATTTCAAGAAATCTATCGGCTTAATTAGGTAATGAATTTCAATTGTATCTCAAAGCGTTCCTTATATTTAGAAGACACATAAGTTTTGTTTTTTTCTTTCAACTTATATAAGTATCTTAACATGCTACTTCTAGAATATTTTAATTGTTAAGAACAATTTCTTAATAAACTTCCACTGTCTTCCTGAGTCCCCATATACATGTCAGAAATGTGTTCAAGCATTACAGCTATTTATTTGCAGTGAAACACACAAAAGTGATAACATTTCAATAACATTTTATAATTTATAAACCATATTTTTGTATTATTTATTTTAACCCTCACAGCTACTTTGTGAGGTAGATCATTTTATCCAAAAAATAAAACCAAACCTCAGGGAATAATCATTTTTATTCAGTTTCATATTTAATAATTTAGCTGGAAATGATCTTACAAGTTCCCTATGTTTGACAAGAATCAGATGAGCTTTCTAAGTTGTAGTTTTAAAGAAGTTTTTACTATTTATGAAGATTAACAGATTAAATGCAAAACTCACAACTTTATAAATAATATATATATATATTTATATATATCATACATTTAAGATGAGATTTTAAAGTTTCCAGGATCACAGTAATGTATTTCCCCCAGAAAATACAGAAGCATGTTACCTCGTCCAGGACCACAGCAGTGATGACACACATTCGTAAACGAAGATGATGCTGTTGGGTGTCTTTCCACAAGAGTGATGAAGAATGTGAACGGTTCCAGCCACACTCTGTCCCCTAGTTCCATTTGAAGTGGTTCCTATGAATAGGCTGGTTGGGTCAGAAATACAAACTGACCAAACAGGGACCTACCCTCGGGCTTTAACGAAGGCCCCATCTCTTTACCAAATGATCTGATTTCTCTTCTAAAACAGCAGTTTACTAAAGTGTTTGCTAAACCTCTAAAACTGCTGCTTGCTTTCAAAGTTACTAAGTTACTTCAAGATAGTAATTGAATCCTTAAATCTGACTCCTTATATAATTACAATACCACTATCTCTGGTTAAAATCATTTTGGAGACATTAATGTCTCACAGTTAACTTAAAAAAAGATTATTAACAGCCTTTTGGTTACCATGGAGCCATTACATTACAAATAAAACACAAAGAGGATTTTAGGCACTTGCATGGATCTTAACATCTGTTCCAAATGTATACTTTTCAAATCAAGAGTCAGAGTGTTTAGATAGTTCTGAGAGACCTATCAGGGCTCAAACCCCACACATTAATTTGTTAGTACATCTCAGCATGCTATTTGTCTTGGCCACTTATGTTTTTAAAAACTAACATTAGATGATTTGTAAGGAAACTTTCCATAAAGCTAGGAACATCTGGCCTAAAAATGCAGAGACTTCTGGTTTCTGGAGAATAAACTGAAAAATCCTAAGGGAATAATTTAATTCTCACCTGAGGTCATGCAGATAGCAAGAGAAAAGGTCTTATTAGTCTGGTGATCTATATCTTAGAATGTTTAGATGTAAGAACCTTTGGAGTTTTGAATTTAGAATCTTTAGAGGTTCCCATGAATAAGAAAATACAAATCTTATACTCAAGGCTGCTCAAAATAAAAAGAAGGAGCTGCGGAAAAAAGAATAAACATCTTATTTCCTCCCTTTTGTACTCTTCTGTTTCCTTGTCAAGGGCAGGAGCAGGGACAAAGTTTGAATGAGAAGAAACTGGGCTGAACTGAAAAGGGCAGTCTGGGGTTGGAAGACTAGGCTGATTCTTCATCTCTTTACTTGGGCATTGGTAGTCTCTGGCTGCAGACTCAAAAAAATAGAGAGTGGTTCTTTGGTGCTCACTTCCTCTTTACTACTCCTGTTTGCCATTCATGTTGCAAGCTGGCCCAGGAATCTGAAGTCCTTCAACCCATGAAGACCTACTCATTTACACTACAGACCTAAACTTCTCCGTTCCAGAGGCCTACCTATATGAGGCAGAGTTGTTTCTTTATCTGATTATAGCAATCTACATTAAGCATGAGTAAGGTTTCATCCTCTGTGGGAGTTTTCATCTTAAAGGAGGAGCTGATGAGCCTGGTGCATAGAAAGAGCAGTGGGTTCTCTGCCACTTAACTAGTTGTGTTTGCACCATTTTAAAATAGAAAATGCCTCGTTGTGGTATTGTTGCAAGAGTTAAATAATATAATACAACTGAAAGCTCAACTGTTCTGTCATTTTGATATTTGTTTTCTATCTGCTTTATAGGTATTTTGTCCCTCATTTCCTGCGTGATTGTCATCTATTGTGCTTATTTTTTTGTAATGAAGCATTTAAATACCTTTCTCATTTCCTTTTGTGTATATTCTATAGCTGTTTTCTGACACCGAGCAGTGAATGTTAGAATTCACCTAGCAGTGAATTCACCTAGCAGTGAATGTTTTGTGTATATTCTATAGCTGTTTTCTGACACCTAGCAGTGAATGTTAGATGAATTTCAACCTCTCATCAGTAGGAAATATAAGAAAGTGTATATAGATGGGAAGGAGAGGGAAGCTGGTTTCTAGAGTAAATTTTCTATCTATCTTCCTGTCTTCATTCAAATTCATTTTCCTCTAGCCTAACCTCTAAGGAAGTCATGTATTTGGAAAACAAAACTAGTAAAGCTATTTTTAACCTAAGTGGCAGGTACATTGGTGACAACATGAAGGTACAGGCCACAGGGGAATAATAGAAGCTCCATGGTGGTTGAGCAGCATCAGGCACTGTGCTATGGCATGACAGACACAAAGGTACATTATTTCAGTGGCATAATTTTTCTTCCAGTGATCCCATATACGTATGCATCAGTACGTTTATATGATTGGCTAAACACAGAGCCCAGATACTGGCTGTGAGGAGAGTCATTAGCAAATAGACCAAATTTAAATGCTGGCTGAGTCTCAAGCCATTGAATAAAATGCAACCCTTGAGAATATCGTCACAAACCTGCATTTACTTTAGTCCAGTAGTCACCCCGATTAAGAAAGAGATTTGTACTTATTTAAAAAATTGATCTTCAGGGGAGATATCTGTCATTTTTTTGCCAGCCCAGCACCCCATCATCTTTCTTCTGGAGGAAACCCAGTTCAGGTGGTTTGGGTGGGTCTGCCTTGACACCTCTCTATCCAGAGACTTAGGAGTGGACATATGACCCAGGCCTGGACAGTTAGCATTCCCCACCTCCCTGGGCCCAGATACTTGCTCAGAGACTCACATGTGACCGACCTCCCTGGGCCTAGGCATCCAGTCTGAACCAGAGTCCTCCTCATGTTGCTTCTGCTGTATCTGTGGGCAGACACCTTTCTTTCCCTTTGAGGTCACTGGCAGACATCTTGCCAGCTATGAGGAATGATTCTGAGAGGAACAAAGCCTGACGGCATCACTTGATTCACTGGATGCAGCTGTGTCAGATGAGATCTACTCTTAAATTTCTTAGTTTGTGAACTAATCTTTGGCTGAAGCTATTTGGAATCACAACTTTCACTTGCATTCAAGAGAACAAAGCATAAGGAAATGATAGACACCATTAATGAATCTGATTTAGCTAATATTCAATGTTATGCTTATTATTTAAATGTGTATAGCAGTTCCAAGAGAGTGTTTTATCAATAAGGAAATTTGTCTAACTCACTGAGTCAATGAATATCCTCATGGAGATTCATGGAAAATAGATCATAATGCCATTGTCACCAAGTGGTTCTGGCACCTTCCCCCATGCCTTAAAACAAAAGTCACACGCACAAAATTGACAACATTATTTTACTGGAATTTAGCAGGGAGAAGATAATATCTTCAAGCTTTCACAAAGAAAATCTCCACATTGAACTCAAGCCAAATAAAGAAAATCCAAGTTCCTGTTTCAGTCTCAACTGGCCCGGGTACTAAAGCAATGCACTCCTCTCTTAGGAGGCATGTGTCAAGCTGTCAGTGATGTGGCCATCTTTTCATGACCCTTAACTCTCTGCATCATGTCTCAGCAATACCAGGCATGAATTCTGAAAAACTTCTTCCACTTATATGGTTTTCCTCATCCAGCTGAGAATGCTGCTGGTTACTGCAAAACTGTTCACCAACCATATGCTCTGGTCCATACAGCTTTCTTCTTAAACTCTGGGAGAACTCTCAAGGACAGCAGGGTGGCTAAGGGGACAAAATATAGGTATGGCTGCATTTGAAAAGGTCATTTTGATCAAAAAGGTGTCAGAACAGAATTTGTCTTTTTCTCACTTGGCTAATGTTCAAGACTAGGGAGTTCCATCGATATTTTGGCAGGATTTTAATGGCAGAAAACCATTTATAAATGTTGGGGGGAAAGTTGTTTTTTTTTTTTTTTTTAAGTTACCCTGCAATCAGTTAATGGGAAATTCTGCAGAATTAAAATGAAAGCTGACTTCTGGGATGCTGGTGATGTTTTTTTCCTTGATGAGGGTGCTGACTACATGGCTGTGTTCCCTTTGTAAAAATCTCCTCACAATTTGTGCTCTTTTCTACATGAATATGGTATTTCCATTAAACATTTACTTAATGATAAAAAACAACAATGAATAACCTGAACCTATAATAAAGTTAGGTTCATGTACTCAATGGAGCAAGTATGACCATACTAAAGTATATCTGAACATCTGTCCCCAAACTATTTCTGATCTGTCACAGGTCCCTCAGGGATCAATTTAAAATAGGAAGTTCTGTGTACTTCCTTTAAGTAATTTTTTATATCTTATTTTAGAATATTAATACAAATGTATTGATATTTTATTTGAAATATAATAATATGAAGGAATGTAGGTAAGCCAGAGTTACACAATTATTGTATGTGAATCTAATAAGCCTACTATATAATCAAGTGAATATGAGCTTCCTTGGCCCGAATGATTGCTTTCCTCATCCATATGCGTTGTTATCTTTGTAACCTAAGAGGGTATATCTTTGGAGCAACCAACGTTATTATGGCCATTAAAAATGAGCACAAACTCCATGGGTCAAACAGAGTAAGCCCTAGCAGCAAGTCTCTAGGGATGGATAATGTGAAAACATGTCAGACCACAGCCCTGATTTTCAGTGAAGTTCTGTGGTTTATCAGAGTTATGTGGGAGCACTGTTGCAGCACACACATGCCTCCCACCACTTTGAGGAGACAGATTACAACCAATGAATTCTTACTTGTTTGGCAACCAATAAACTGTACCATAGTAATAGGTAAAATATGGATCATACACTGACTCCAGGCTGACCAGATAAATTATCACAGAATAGGCCAACAGGCAACTTTCTGAAGGTGAAAGTTTCAGTGGCAGCTGCTGGCAGGCTCCAGACCCCCAGATCACCAGACATGAAGGACAAGAACAAGCTGTTGTAGTCCATACGGCCAATGCCCAAATGACTTCTCAGATCTGAGTAAAATAATCTACATAAGTTTTACGGAAAGATCTTCCATGTTTGTGGATCCTACAGTCATAGTTAACAAAGTCGGTAGAGAAGTACAAAAGACAGAAATCATTTAAATGCCTGAAAGTAGGAGAAGTGTCTAGTTCCCCTGGCAAGATACTATGAAGCTCATTAAAAACACTACTTATAAAGCCAGTGTAAGAACAGGTTTAGATGTTTGAAAAAGAATGTTAAAATTAAAAAGGCAGTATTTGAGCTATGTGTATTTTCAATTGTATATGATTATAAATATGTAAGACAACACACACAGAAGCAGGAAAAAACTTCTTATGGAAAATATAAAAATTGTCATTGGGCAATGGGACTCTGGATTTCTCTTTGCTGCTTTTTAGTTTTCTGAATTTTCTGAATTTTAATTAAAAGAATATTTTACTATTACCATAAAACATTTTAAAACCATTTAAATAAATGGTAAATTTAAAGGGACTGGCATTCTTTTTAAGTCTACTTTCTGGTTCAAAATGCCACACTAAACAGCTCCAGATTATCTCTTTCAGAAACCAATATAGGCTGAGCATCCCTAATCTAAAAATCCAAAATCCTCCAAAATCTGAAACTTTTTGAGCCTCAATATGACAACACAAGTAGAAAATTCCACACATAAGTACTTAACACCAAGTACCTTGATTCATGTACAAAATTACTAAAAATATTATATAAAATTACCTTCCGGCCATGTATGTAAGGTATGTATGAAACATAAATAAACTTTGTGTTTAGACTTGGGTTCCATCCCCAAAGCATCTCCTTATGTATGTTCAAATATACCCAAATCCAAAAACATCCAAAATCCAAAACACCTCTGGTCCCAAGCATTTCGGGTAAGAGATACTCAACCTGCAACCACTAGAATGCCATTCTGCTCCACAGACAACAATAATGGTTTTTCCCCTATGTTGAGCATAAAACATGGAAGTAATACCTTTCAAAAGATCCCTGGACTGTGCTGAGAGGGCTTCTTTAGGGCTTTCCATGATGCTGAATAGCCAGTCAATGAACTAGGGTAAAAATGAAAAATAGTGTCAAAGAAGAGAATCCTACCATCAGCAAAAGAACAGTTATTCCCTTGGACCTATATATATGAGGTGATTTTCCTGCCTCAGCCTCCCCAGTAGCTGGGATTACAGTTCTTAGGCAATACCTTCCCCAGGTGGAGGAGATGAGACAGGGACCAAGCATAAGATATGGTAAAGTTGGATACAGCTCCCATTTAGTTAAATGACCTGGCAAAGTCAAACCTACTTCCCTGCTGAATACCTTGAGAGCTGATACAGGAGTTTTTTTTTTTTTAGATGGAGTCTTGCTCTGTCACCAGGCTGGAGTGCAGTAGCGCAATCTCGGCTCACTGCAACCTCTGCCTCCTGGGTTCAAGTGATTCTCCTGCCTCAGCCTCCAGAGCAGCGGGGACTATAGGCGTACACCACCACACCCAGCTAATTTTTGTATTTTTTTCTTAGTAGAGACAGGGTTTTACCATGATGGCCAGGATGGTCTCGATCTCTTGACCTTGTGATTCAACTGCTTTGGCCTCCCAAAGTGTTGTGATTACAGGTGTGAGCCACCATGCCTGGCTGCTGATACAGGTTTTAAGAGGGAGGTAGACATGGGCCCAGAGGGCCTCCTGTGTGCCAGGAACATTATCTCTCATCACTCTGATGGGCCCAGAGAGATTAAAAACCTTGCCCAAGTCCACCCTCAATGTATAGCCGAGTTAAGATTTGAACCCAAGTACACTTGGCTTCAGAGCCCTATGCTCTTTCTTTGCATCATGCTGCCTCCCACCTGGTTCTGTGTGCAGCTTGGTCTAGGCTCCTAGGCTGGGCAGTAAATAGAAAACACATCAGATATAAGCCCCCATTTCTGAAATAAAATATGTTTCTGTAGATGAGAACAGTTGTGCCCAAATGGATATGAAACAGAAAATTGAAATGCAAGAGAAATGGCATAAAATAATTCACTAGGTAGAGCCAAGCATGTTAACCATGAATAAATCCTGCAAATGAGGTGGAAACTCATAGTATTTATGAGTTTGGCTGATCTCTCAGGATGCAGCCTGAATTGTTTTTGAATTAGATACAGGGTAATTTAATCAATGACTGAATGCTGCCAATCTTGGTTCACTAAAAACACATACATTGGTGATAGGTAATAGGCATTTTAGTTTCACATATAGAAGCTAGATTGAAGAAAGAGTAAAATAGGGAGAAAAAGAAAATATTCCTAATTCCCTGCTTTAATCAAAAATTTTTTTCTTTGTTGATTTTCCTTTTCTCAGTTTTGTGCTATAATATCCAACCGATAAGCAAAAAAGTCAAGCACTACAAATATATAATCAATGCAAGAGGTCTACATTGTAGTCCAAAGGGAACGTGGTATCCCAGTCCAGAAATAATATATGGGAAGACCACATTTAAATTTTTTTTTTTTTTTTTTTTTTTGAGACAGAGTCTCAATCTGTCAGCCAGGCTGCAGAGCAGCGGAGGGATTGCGACTCACTGCAACCTCCGCCTCCTGCGTTCAAGCGATTCTCCTGCCTCAGTCTCCTGAGTAGCTGGGATTATAGGCACACACCACCACACTCGTCTAATTCTTGCATTTTTAGTAGAGACAGGGTTTCATCATGTTGGCCAGGTTGGACTCGAACTCCTGACCTCACGTGATCTGCCTGCCTTGGCCTCCCAAAGTGCTGGGATTCTAGGTGTGAGCCACTGTGCCCAGCCAAAATTTGATTTTAAATGGGACACAAAGCACAAAATTTGGGGCAGCAATACTAATGCTTATCAGGTTTAAGAAAAATAAAAGGCATTTTAGTTGAGATACTTGGTGGAGTTGTGCATAGCTAAACTATGGGTCTACAGTTCAGAAATGTTTTTAAAGATTAATGTTCAGATTTCAAGAATAAGCAAAAAAAAGTTAGTTTGAAGCTTTCAACTTCATAAAAATCCAGTTTTGATTAAATGAGATTCAAAAAAGAATCTTTCAACCAACTGTATTAAGGACAGGTCAGAAACATATAATGAGAAGTACAGTAAGCACAGTTATGCTTTGCAGAACAGCTAGTAGCCTGGGGAACCTCAACATTAAAAACCAAAAAATGTTTCCTTTTGGGTCATATGTTTTAACAATTCAAAGTAACACATGTTCACATACAAAGCCCTCAACATGACGCAATGTCATCTTCCCCTTCACCCAACTCCTTCTCCCGCCCCACCCCTACTCCAGAAGAGGAACTAGACTGAACAGCAAACTAAACAATTTAGGTTTTCCTGAGGGCAAGGGTGATACTATCAGACCTTTACAAAGCTCTGTTTGGCATCTAGCACAGACCAGGGCACACTGGGTGCCTGGAGCATATCTGTGCAATGGAATAAGCTATGGGGAACCTTAAAGATGCTACAAGAAGATGGATGCTCCCGACCCACATTTCCTGGCAGAAAACTTCCTGACCCACCCAGGCATTGTTGATCAACTCCTTCCCTTGCTCATCACCACTGTATCTTACTTATCACACGATTTGCAATCCTGAATTTGCCTTCCCGTCGACCCTCACCTTGAGATTCTGAGCTCTGAGACATACTCACCCTTTCCTCCCCAGGATCAAGAAAACAAGTGCCTTCAATAAATGAAGTATGGACTTTTCCTCCACCTCACTCCCAGCTGTAAGCAAGCTGCCACCTTGTTGTTTAATCAGCAGTTGCCCCGAGCCTGGGCTAGCCTCAATCTCTGAGACTCTGCATCTGGCTGAGATATGGGGCTGGGTAGGAAAGTCTGTGGTGTGATTCAAGACGCACTTAACTCCCACCTCAATTCTACAGTAGAAACTGCTGAAGAGACAATGGCTGCCTGCCCTGCTAAGCAGGTGGCTGCCAGCCTCACCTTCTGGGTCTGTTCCTTCCATGGCTCTTTCTGCAGCAGCAGAGCCATGCTATTGGGAAGGAGAGTGAGAACCTCCTGCAGAGTGACCCTGTGCATTGGACTCCTGCCAAGGAAGCTTGGTACTGGCCCAGCCGGGCCATTCTCCTGATGCCATGGCAACCAACTGGCACTGAGGCCGAGGAGGAGAGGGGCAGTGTGGTCAGCCCATGCAACCACTGCGGTTGCAAATATCAGCAAGAAGAAGTCCAAAGCCTACGATGAAAATAGAAATGACGTTAGGTCATATTTTTTAACAATTCAAAGTAACACATGTTCACATACACAGCCCCTGTCGTGAGGCAATGTCATCTTCCCCTTCACCCAACCAGTCCCTCCTGCCCTACCCCCACCCAGAAGAGGAACTGAACTGAACAGTAAACTCAGTTTCCATGTTTAATGAAGATACATTTTGGGGCTTTAGAAGATTTTTGAAGTCCCTTTATGTGAAGGCAGAAGACCCAACAGTTTCATTATTATCGCTCTAACATTTCAGGAGAAACATCGTTTATTCAATTCCTAATCACATCAAGATCCAAACATTCCTCTGTTTTGATGTTTTCAAAGAGCTTACAAAATGAAGAAATATTTATGGTTATGTGGGCAAAACTAATTTTTAAAAATATGTATACTCTGATTCTACTTTTGAGCAAGTCTTTCTTCATTTTTTTTAAAAAATGTTTTAAGAAATGGGGTCTCACTATGTTGCCCAGAGTGATCTTGAACTCTTGAGCACAAGAAATCCTCCTGCTTCAGCCTCCCAAGTGGCTGGGACTATAGACATGTGCCATTGTGCCCAGCTTCTTCATGCATTTTAAACACCTGTCCAGGATCTATCCATTTAGATTTCAGACTAATCTAGACAATCATAGAAATGGTGATTATAGGAGCCACCTCTGAGTAGTTGGATTACTGTGATTTAAACTACACTTCTTTCTGCTTATCTGTATTTTCTCAGTGTTTTAAGGTTTTTGTAAGAAAACAGAGAAAGTTAATAAAAACTTAGGAAATCAGAAGAAAGAGGACAGATCACGCAAGTTCAAAAAAAGTTTAAAAAGTACTTCCTAATCTCTTAAAATTCCTAAACTCACAAATTAAAATTTCAAAAAGACATACAACTCTTCAGAAAAACTGGGCAGAACTTCAAAAAACATCCCAGGTTATGCAAATTTGACTCACACAGCAAACAGAATACTCATGAAGCATGCCTACAGAAAAAAAATTCTGCTATTACAAAATGCACAGCTGCCAGCTAAGTCAACACAATGAAGGAAAGCAGGAAAGAGCTGTCTTCGTCTTATTAATCTTTTATTTTTAAACTTACCCAAACCTAATACTAGCGGTTCTTACTTTTTTTGAGTCATAGGTAATTTTGCAGGTGTGATAAAAATTCCCCTCCATATATGCACACATGCACATAAGTATTGGCACACATAAGATTATCTGCATACACTCCAGGAACCTCTTCAAAGCAGGCATTTTTAGCCATATGCTGGCCAGTGTGGAGGCCAGAGCCCTATATTCCCACATCCTTTATGGGATCAATCCCAGCTACACAGGAGCTTGGGTTCTCTCTCTCCCAAGTGTCCTTTGTGTTCTGTCTGTCAAGAAACATATTTTGTTGAAAATATTTCTCAAAGGGCAGCCTTGGGTGTCTCCAAGAGCTTGGTAAGAATACCAGTTTTCTTGCGGCATCAGAGAATCATTAAGTGTGTCTAAAATAAAAGGAAAGAGGGAAAGAAAAGCTGCAAACAGCAACGTGCTCCTCTTTTGGGAGCATATATTTTAGGTTGGTGCAAAAGTAATTGCAGTTTTTGCCAATTAATGGCAAAACCGCAATTACTTTTGCACCAACCTAATATAAGTTCTGTATTTTAAGGAAGCTATAAACTACTCCTCTAGATTTTACCTTGTCAAGAGCCGTATTGTGAAAGGATGTTGACTGGTAAGCAACATTTCTAATATAACCCATCAGTTCCAAGAGCCACTCCATTCTCTTCAAAACGCCTGAAATGAAAAGGGTATTTTCTTACTAGACCATGGTTTTCCTTTGAAATGTAAAACAGATCAGTAACAACCATCATAACTAAAGCAGAACACCTGGTGAGGATTCCATTAACCAGTTTCATGTTCCCTTGCAATACCCGAGACTTGTGACTGCCTGTGAGAGAGTTCTTTGACATTATTCACATCAGATAACAGTATTTTGGTCTTTGATTTTCAAAAGCCAATTTATTCTTTAAATCTCCCTGACCACTAGTGATAAAATGCATTTGTTGGAGTTTCTCTCTCAAAATTAAACACACTAGGAGAAATCTGGCATGCCAACTAACTAGCAATGTTGAATTGTTGACAATTATTTGTTTTTATAGTTCTCCTTTGCTTCAGTGTTCCCAATTTATGCCAAATCACAGAGGAAACCTAACCCAAAGACATGTAAAGAAAAACAAAATACAGCCATTATATTTCCATTAGCAGCAATATTGACTTTTTTCCCTTTTAATTTTGTTTTTTAAAAAAGAGGATTCCCAGCACAGTAAAGACTACTAAGGACATGTTTCAAAAACGGGAACTGCATTTGAGAGCTGGCTGGTTCTGGTTGGAACCAAAGGCAACATCAAATTTATTTCAGTTTATTGCATGTAACTTCATGCTTCATTTGAAACACCTACTAGATTTCTTCCTGATACATACACTTTTGGCTTAGAGTTAAAAAGTCCAGTTTCTCATCATAGGTTCATTTTTCAGTGGAAAGGCACAAATGCAGATATAAAAACTGTTTCAGACTGCCACAGGGGATGATGAATCAAAATTTCTTTTTTTTTTTTTTCAAGATGCAGTCTCGCTCTGTCACCCAGGCTGGAGTGCAGTGGTGGGATCTTGGCTCACTGCAACCTTTGCCTCCTGGGTTCAAGCAATTCTCCTGCCTCAGCCTCCTGAGTAGCTGGGACTACATGCTTACGCCACCACAACCAGCTAATTTTTGTCGTTTTAGTAGAGACAGGGTTTCACCATGTGGGCCAGGCTGGTCTTAAACTCCTGACCTCAGGTGATCCACCTGCCTTGCCTCCTGAAGGGCTGGTATTAAGGCGATACAGTCTTGCAGAGTATTACAATCGTGTTTGTCAGTTTTTCCTAAAAATCATAACAATACAAGAGATGGATGGGGAAAACCAGGCACAGAAGCATAAGCAATTTGTCCAGAGTCGCACAAGCTTCCCAGCCACATCTACCCCTCAGGAGCCTGGTGCCATTCAGAACTTGAATGTAGTCTCCAGAAATTGTAAATATGACCAACAACCTGGATAGAGCAATGGGGGAGCGCTCTTATTCAGTAATTATTAAAGCATAACGTCTAAAACGGTCTAAAAATTGCATCATGTGATTCATTAGCAGAGCTTCAAGCTTGCTAATGCAGACAGGGTGGCAGGATTTGATTATTCTCATCCCAGAGAAGTTCTTCTGTAAAATAACTAGTTAATTTTTTTGTTTCTGTTTTCTCTTGTTTGTTAAATGACTACCCAAAAGCCATTTTCATGAAATCATCAGGCAGAATCAATTGATATCTTGTGTGTTTTGGGAAACTGAAGTTAAACAGGCAGAAGCAGCTAACTTGTTTGTAACTGTGAGGGTCTACAGAGCCAAATAGAAAACAAAACCCCTCGAAAGAATCCATCCTCATTTCCAAAAAGTGGATGTTGTGAGCTATAACTGTTAATTTCTATCCAAGTTACTCCTCATTTGGCACCAGAAGGCCTAACCTGTGTCAATAAGCACTAAACTAATTTTTAAGTTGAGAACTCAAGTGCAACTTAAAAGCAACAGCAGGCAGATCTATTCCTGTTTCTGATGTTCACCCCAGGGTGTCCTCACCCGTATTGGCATGGCTCACAATCCGTGCCTGGTATAAGCTGTGCAGAATCATCCAGGCCAACACCTCTTTCTCACGGTGCTGCACAGCAACGCTCAGCATATCGGTCAGGTTCACCAAGGGGAATCGTCCTTGAGAGACTAAGTACAGTTTGACAAAGGCAGCTTTTTCTATGTTGCTCTGCAAAAAAAAAAAAAAAAATTGTTTAGTTACTATTAAATTAACTGAAGTAGCTACAGAATTTCAGGGCAAGGGCAAAACAAAAAAGATGAGTTGGATGTTACTATTCTGTTCATTTCCTGCAGCACATGACCCATCTGCCTGTGTGCTAAATTAACATGAGCATACAATAGAGGGTTGTAATGCCATCTCCTGCTCCTTCATTAAAACCATAAATTTGTTCAGGAGTTAGTCAGTGATGATATATAGTAAATATACACAAACAATAATAATAAAATGATGACTAACAAATACAGTACTTACTGTGTGCCAGGCATCACTCCAAGCACTTAACATGTGTTAATTCAGTGGTTTTCAAAGTATGGTACACAGAACTTCTGTGGAACCCCAAGATACATAAGAGGTTCTGTGAGGTCAAAACTATTTTTATGTTAGCACCAAAGTGTACTAGTATTCATTGTATATTGTACTGACGTTTATTTTTTTTTCACAAGCCAATTTCACTTAAAATATCCTTGTAAACAATAAAAATTATTAGTTCCATTAAACATTGGCCCTTGAGTAAATATTTTTAAAAATATTCTGTGCGACAAACTGAGAAATACTCATATGGGAACTGTGCTGCATACCCAGGTATGATGGTGGTCTCAAGCCAAGGAAGAACACGTGTAAGATTAGGCTGTGAAATAGCCACTCTTTTCACAGAACACTATTTACTTGAAAGAATAATTGATGGAAAAACTATGGTTATTCAACCTGGGTATTTGACAGATTATTTTCTTGAAACTGAAGGAAATGAACCTGTCACTTCAAGAAAAATACCTGGTAGTATTTGCTCCCAAATGATAAAATTTGAGCTTTCAAGAGAAAATTAGATTTTTGGAAAATTTGTTTCTGCTTCTATGAGCCTGGCAGCTTCCCAATATGTAAAAAGCTTTTCTGATGAGATTGGTAGTGCTATTAACAATACGATTATTTTATATTGTCAACATTTGGAAGATCTTCAAAACTCAGTGATTCAATATTTTCCAAATGACCAATGTATGATATTACAAAACCATGCATGGGTAAAAGACCCAAAGTGTAAAACAGACCTGTGGAATTTAATGTAACAAAGTATATGAGTTTCACTAATATGGTTTCAGATTCTACAGTGCAACTAACCTTTAAGGAACTACAAGTTGCTGGCCGGGCATGGTGGCTCAGGCCTGTAATCACAGCGCTTTGGGAGGCCAAGGCAGGAGGATCACCTTGAGGCCAGGAGGTCAAAACCAGCCTGGCCAACATGGTAAAACCCTGTCTCTACTAAAAATATAAAAATTAGCCAGGCATGATGGTGGATGCCTGTAATCCCAGCTACTCTGGAGGCTGAGGCAGGCGAATCACTTGAACCCTGAAGACGGAGGTTGCAGTGAGTTGAGATCATGCCACTGCATTCCAGGCTGGGAGACAAAGTGAGACTCAGTCTAAAAAATATTTTTTTTAAAAAAGGAACTACAAGTTGTTGAGTTTTTTGGTGAAATGTAAAAGAAGGATGTCCGTAATTATGTGAAAAGACTATTAGCACACGTTTCCCTTTTCCTCCTGCATATCTGTATGAGGCTGGAATTTCTTCACATACTTCACCAAAACAACCTCACAACAGATGGAATGAAGAAGCTGCCATGAGAATCCAGCTGTCTTCTATTAAGCCAGACATTAAGGAGATTTACAAAAATGTAAAACAATGCCACTTTTCTCACTAAATTTTTATGCTTTAAATTTTTTTATTAATCATGTTCATATATAATGGGTTTCTTATTATTGCTTTTAAGTAAATATTTAAAAGTTTTCCTAGTCTTTAAATTTCTAATAAGGAAAATGTCAACAGATATGACCCTTATAATTAAAAGCTCTTTGGCATCCTCAACAATTTTTAAGAAGCTAAAGTGTTCCTGAGACTAAAACATTTGAGAACTGCTGTATTTACTCATTCTCACACCAATTCTCTGCAGTAGATCACTATTAAAGTCCCACCTTTACAGATGGGGAAACTGAAGCACAGTGGTTAAGCAACTTGCTTAAATTAAGGTCACATAGCTACAGGTGGCAGAGTAAGAAACAGAACTGAGGGAGTCTGTGTTCTCTACCACTATCTTATTCTTACCTCTACCTCTATTCTTTTCAGAAACAAATAGAAAACTCTGACCTTGCTGAAGCAGACTAACTCTTTTGGGGACATCAGAACACTACTTAGTATGTTCCAGTGACAATGTTCTGAATGGTATTTTAGGTAGAAACTCAAGCGAGTAACAGCAACCTTCAGCTCTAGGTACTAAGAAGTAAATGACATACTTTATTTCCAATTACATGAATGTAATAATAGGATATAATTCATTACACATATGTAATAATTATGATAATAAATACTGAGTCCTTATCTTGACCCAGGCAGTATTCCAAATACTCAACATGGACTAACTCACTGAACTCTCAAAAGAGCTCTAAGTCATAGGTGTTATTATCTCTCCTTTACAGATAAGGGAACTGAGGCAGAGAGCTTATGAAGCTTAACCAAGATCGCATTGCTAGCAAATTGCAGAGCTGGATTTCAAACTGAAGCAGTGAGGCTCCAGAGTCCATCCTCTTAACTATTTTCTTATGTTGCTTCTCCTTGCTTAAAACAACCTAACTTCCAAAATGTTGATATTCCATATATTCTTTTTTTTTTTTTTTTTGAGACAGAGTCTCGTTCTGTCACCAGGCTGGAGTACAGTGGTGGGATCTCGGCTCACTGCAACCTCCACCTCCCGGGTTCAAGCGATTCTCCTGCCTCAGCCTCCCGAGTAGCTGGGACTACAGGTGTGTGCCACTACGCCCAGCTAATTTTTGTACCTTTAGTAGAGACGGGGTTTCACCATGTTGGCCAGAATAGTCTCGATCTCTTGACCACATGATCCACCCGCCTCGGCCTCCCAAAGTGCTGGGATTACAGGCGTGAGCCACCGCACCTGGCCCCAAATATTCTTTAACAGTGGTTTTCAAACCTTAGGATACACCAGAATCACCTGGAGAGACAATTAAAACATAGACTCCTGGGCTCCGTCTGCAGAGTTTCTGATTCAGTAGGCCTAGATGGGGGCTCAAGAACTCACATTTCTAATCATTTCCAAGGCGATGCTGATGCTACTTATGCAAAGACCACATTCTGAGAACCACTGCCATATGATGCAGAAATTCAAGGATCTGATTGAATAGGCAAACCTGCCATAAAGTAAAATAAATGACACGAAGTCCACCAGCTATAAGGGAGCTCACAGTTCTCTAGACCATTGGTATTAGTTGGTATGCAAAACTGCCATTCAAATACAAGTGTGTCATTTGGCATGTACTTGTACTAAGAAATGATTCATTATTGATCTGCAACTCAAATTTAACAAAATATCTTGCATTTTGTTTGCTAAATCTGGCAACTTTACTGATATGCTACTTTTTGCTCATTCATCGTTTGACTTGGGCATGGGTGTGGGAAATAAATTATCCTGTGTCAGGGCTAATAGTGCTTGCTTTTCAATCAACCACCTTCTTCATTCCTAAGGATAGGATCAGGTGAAGGACAAAGTGGGAGAAATCGGGTTAAAAAGTTATTCATCCATCTATCCATCCATACAACATTTGTTAAGCACCAACCACATTAGTAGGCTGAACAAGAGGCTCAACAATGTAAATGAAATATAGTTTCCTGAAATTAACCAATAACAAAAATGAAGCAAAACTTGCTTCAGCCAAACACTGAAATCAATTATTCAATCGTAATTTCTGGCTCAATAATGAAAAAAGGTATAGAAAGATATGTTATTACCTTAGTAACCTGGGCGATCCGATTGGCATCATCATCTGTCATTTCTAAGAGGCATTTTGCTATGCTGATATACAGCTCTAGATCCTTTCTCTGATAAAGAAAAATCCCAAACATGTCAACAAACAGTGTAAAATAACAGGTCAAAATGTTCTGACAAATTATTAGATTTTCTTATCCCCATGAACAGCAGCTGATGAGATTTTAATTTTAACCAAACCAAAACATTTGGCCAATTTTTATCATTTTGAAGACATCTTTCCTGTTACTTTGTGTTTTTTTGTTTTGTTTTGTTTTGGCTATACATTTTTCTCCTTATCAAAATTCCTTCATCCCAAATAAATTTCTAACCTCTTTGTAAAATTACAATTCAGAGGTCTTTTGGGGGAGGGAAGGGCGATGCTAAATTGTTTTATATAAACAGTATATGGGAACTCATGCCCACGGATTCTCCAGGTGTAAAGCGTAAGGACTTCTGAGCCTTCTCGTCTTCTACAAGAGGCATTTGGTAAAAACGCCTAATAGCAAATTTCCTGGTGCAGCACTGGTTAAACTGCTTCTAAGCTTGCTCAAAACTTTGGTTCTAAATATTCAACCTCAATTTAGATCTTGGAAACAAATACACTCCTAGTAAAGAATGTGGTTATTTCTTGCTAGCCTTCCCACCCACATTCTTAAAACATACACCTCCCCACTTTGCCAAGAAGCCTTTAAAATATCCCAAACATAAATTGTCAGGAATGTAAATATTTTTGTTCCTCACCCGAATCTTATTTGGCAGGAGGTCAAAAATTTTCCCAGTAGCTTCAGAGAGCAGACTCCAGAGGTGGTGGGCAGGGCTGGGCAGTTTCATGGCCTGGCTCAGACCGTGTAAAGCACTTGGGCATAGCTCAGGACTTCCAAGTGGGGAAGCTGCTTTAAAAACTGCCACCATTAAATTTTCAACAAAACCCAGGATCTGTTCATCAGAGATGTGTTTTATCCACAGAGGTGCAGATATCAGGAGATATCTCTTGGTATTCAGCTGGAAGTAAAACAGAAGGGGTTGAATGTAAATAGGCAAGTCTGGGTTTGCAATGTTCAAAACCTGTACATCATCACTGTGTTTGAGGGTAGACTGAGAGATAAAAGGTTCAGGTTACTTCCTTCCCCCTTCATTTTCCCACAGCTTCACGGTCCAATGGGCCACCAATGCATGTAATTTTGGCTTCTGCAGTTACTTCTGATCCAGGGTGAATCATGTGTTTATATGGGATCTGCCAACCCATCTGTGAACTACTCAGCTTAAACCTTGGATGTTTTCAAGGTTTCAGTGACGGGAATAAAATGCTACTTCTGAAAGTACATGACAGTTACTTTTCAGTTTTAAAAGGTCACATTCTCTGGCAAGAAAAGCTCTGGAAGATGAAAGGCTCAACTGCTGAAAATCAACTAAACAGAGCATCTGATACTATTAATTTCTTCTTCTGAGAAAAAATAAGGAAGTAATAAGGAGAAGTGACATGCTGGGACCATTTATGACCAAAGTAAAACCACCAGCTGAGCACGTAGAACTGACCAGGCACCTTAGAGTTCATGAGAGCCAAGAAAGGGCATGTTAGTAACAGCTCTGTTATATGACAGACTTCAACCAAGTGGGCTTCAAAAATTCTTAGGAACATAAACATGCTACTAAAGGGGCAGCAAGTCTAAAATAAGTGATCTAAAAATAAAATCTGGCAAAATAAGTGATCTAAAAAGTAAAATCTGGCAAAAACTTTTTTGTGTGCTATTTTTGTTTTTTCAAGATAGCACACAAAAATAGGGGAGGGACAGAGGAACAATGTTTTCTGCAAATTTCTAAAAAGATCAGTGTAGTTGCATGAGTTTTCTCAAGACCTCATTTTAAAGAATATGCCATCTCAGATCATTCTATATTTAAGAAAATGAACTCACAAACTTAATTTATTAACCAAGATAACAATAAAGATAAATAATCAAAGACAAATGCACAGAGTAGCACAGATCTAAAAGATAAATGAAAGGATAAGTAAAATTTAGGAAAATTTCGAAGGCCAACCCAACAGGCTGGAAATAGGTCTGATTCAAAAGTAAGAAGGAGTGAATAGAACAGGGCTTTGAACTCAGATAGATAGAGCTCTCTCTTTTATTAGCTAGGCAAACTTTGCTTGACCTCCATTTGCCTCAGTTTATAATTCTGTTAAAATGGAAATAATAAAATGTATCTCTCAGACATGAAACAAGACAGACATAAAAAAATTCATATTGTATAATTCCATTCTAAAGAATTTCAAAAATTTATATGAAATTTATATATAATTTATATAAAATTATATAAATAAAGGTTATTTTAGAAAGGCAATACTACAAATAGAAAGCAGATTGGTGGTGGCTTGGGTCTGAAGCTGGGAGTGGGGAATGACTACAAGCAAGCACAATGGAACTTGTCAGGTGATGGAAATATTCTTGGTGATGATTGAAAAACCTGTAAAGGTACTCAAATTCATCACATTTTACACTTTAAAACAGCCATATTTTAGGCTATATAGATTATAACTCAACAAAGCTACTTTTAAAACTGTCCCGTCAGGCTGTAGAGAAATTAAGTCTGATTTCTGTAAGTACTCACTGAGTGCTTGCAGGTACCAGGTGCACAGCAAGGGCTCAGTAAGTGGCAGGCAGCTGGGAGCCACTTGGAGCAGACAGGTGGAATGAAGTTAATACCTGACAGAAAGATGCAGACCTTGATAACATCCACTTTCAATTAAAGACAGTGAGGAGGAGTAGGAAAGGTTTAAAAAAACAAAAACAGGCCCAGCGTGGTGGCTCACACCTGTAATCCCAGCACTTTGGGAGACTGAGGTGGGCAGATCACTTGAGGTCAGGAGTTCGAAACCAGCCTTGCCAACTTGGTGAAACCCCATCTCTACTAAAAATACAAAAATTAGATGGGCACGGTGGTGCACACCTATAGTCCCAGCTACTTGAGAGGCTGAGGCATGAAAATCACTTGAACCCAGGAGGCGGAGGTTGCAGTGAGTCGAGATTCTGCCACTGCACTCCAGCCTGGGCTATGGAGCGAGAAACTGTCTCAAAAACAACAACAAAAAAACAGAAACAAGGCTGAATAGGGACAAAGGCCAAGAGACTGAGGAAATGATAAGAGGGCTTTGCACTATTCTCAAACAATTAAAGCCTCCTAGGACAGAAGAATAGTCCAGATTATGGAGACAATTAAAAGATGACAGCATTTAACTTACATCAACTGGTAAACCTCTAAAGAATCATGGAATATGTTTTTCTGTTCTAGTTTGAAACCTAATCAAAATTATACATCTTTACTAACTTTACATCTTTAAACTCTCTTGCCCTATTCTTCCTATCTGCCCTTGGCCTATACGTGAAAGGTGCTAGCCCCCTCTATCAAAAACACCAGACTCGGTCATTGCTTTCTCAACGCTTTGCTCAAGCTAAACAGCCTAGTAGAGATCTTTCATGCTCTCCACTTACACTCTCCCACCTACATCCCCTGGTCCCCTTGATGTGATACCTAACCAAATCATGGCCCACCTTAATTGCTGCCTCCTCTGGGAAAGGGGAAGGATAATACATGGATAAGTCCGGTACATATGGATTTCCTTTCTCTTAATATGTACTGAAATAATTACATATACTATATAATCAAATAAACATAAGTTCAAATAATTCCACCACTTTCTAGCTATATGATCTTGAGAAAGGAACTTTAATATCTCTGATCATCATTTTCCACTTTTGGTAATAAATGGTAGCTAAAGCATGAACGGTAATGGCTATGGCAGGGTTCTGAACTATATAATTTTCCAATATGCAGGCCAGCTACTATCAAACCCTCGATTTTTGTGAAGATCTCATCTGTCTCCTCTTGACTTTGAGAACACACACCCAAATGAATGTTAATATCCTCCTAAAGAACAATATCCTCCTGTTGGCCAACACCCTTAGTTACTACATACACTCAGACTGTGGATCAGTGGTGGTGTCACCCACAAGCCCAATAGTGCAGCTGCATTCTGGGATGACTGTGCCTGGGTCACCATAATTTCAAGGCACAGTTGCTGGATCTCTTCACCTGAAAGTCAAGAAAGGAAAAGAATTGAATATATAGTTACTTTCCTGACTCATTTTCAGGCTTTAATATCTCAAATCAAAGCATCTGCTTATGTGACTTTTGCAGGTAACAGAACTTCAGTAAACCAGAAGAGATATTTCAAGAGACTTGTTAGTTATGAGGCAAAATAACATGTCCAATGGCATCACAGTCCCACCTTGGAACTAGCAATGGGCTTGAACTAGATATGGGAATTTCTCTTATGATATCCAGAGGAAACTACACACTCAAACACTATCTAAAATATGAGAAAATTCTAGCTAGTAATCTCTGGATCTCTGTTTTTCCCTTCTCTCCATCTCATATGCAGACCATGAAGAAATATATCAAGGTGTGGAATGGCTTAAAGATAGAGCCACATTCTCTAGTCATCAAGCCTTTCTAGTAATAAGATTCCAATCAGCACCTTATTTTCCTTCCTTTCTCTAAGGACTTAAATGAAACACAAACATTTCAATATAGCACACCAAACAAGGAGAGGGATAGCGGAACACATTTTTCAAATGAAATCTCTGGAAACCCAGTATGGTGACATTATATCTTATATAGAGATTAGGTTTATATGAAAGCACTTAAGTGAAAAATTGTATGTAGTCAAAATTATCTTTATCTCTGAAACCACACATAAATTACAGTATAGAAGTTGTTTTATATATCATATGTAAGTATGCACTCTACTATAAATGATAGAGCACTCACAGCAGGCACAGACACAAACACACACAATTTTACAACACTGTTTAAATTGCTCTTCATCTCCCCTTCTTACTTTATTTTTGGAGTTAGGGTGGGGAACAAGTACATTAAATTATATTTGCATGTGTAACTCTATTCTGTATAAAATAGGTTGCTGTGGATGAACTGGAGGTGTTGAGGTGTGTATTCTGTTTGCCTCTCACCACAAAATAACTGTGGTAGGCAGAATAATGGTCCCCAATAATGTTCACATCCTGATCCCTGCAACCTGTGAATACACTACCTTATATGACAAAGAAGCTTTGCAGATGTGATTAAGGTTAAGGATTTTGAGATGGAGAGATTATCCTGGATTATGTAAGTGAGCCTATTAATTACATGAGTCCTTAAAGTTGGAAAACCTTTCCTGGCTACAGAGAACCAGAAAGATGATGGTGTGAGAAGATCTTAGCCCTCTATTGCTTGCCTTGAAGATGCAGAAAGGGGGCCACAAGTCAAAGAATGTGGGCAGCTTCTAGAGGCTAGAAAAGAAAAGGAAATGAATTCCTCCCTAGAACCTCTAGAAAGAAATTCTAATTTGCTGATACCTTGATCTTAGGCTGGTGAGAAACATGTTGGACTTCTGGCCTATGGACATGTAAAGATAATAAATTTGTGTTGTTTCAAGCCACTGTGGTAATTTGTTACAGCAGCAATAGAAAATTAATACAGCATCCCACATGGTACTTCTCGAAACCTATGGCTCTGGAAATGTAGTTTGATAACCACAAAGGCAAGCTTAATGGAACCTGTACCACATTCCCAGCAGTGCGCAAACCTCAGTCAAGCATTGTTTTTGGCAGGTGTATCTGGCCTGTGTCTTTAGACCTCTTCTTCCTCACCCTCAGGGGCTCAATGACTGAGTGAAAGTAACCCAGCCATTCCATCCAACATGACAAACCTCAAGATCTGAAAAGTCTATCCAGTCACTACACATTGTGACACAGAATCTGTTTTTCCATTCAGGTCAAATACTAAAATCAAAGTCTGAAGACTTAAAAACACATGATATTTACCAAAATTTAGCCTCATAAGTGGAGAGAGAAGTGCAGCCCAGTTCACAGGAGGATATTGGTAGCTTTCTCCAACAGTTGCTATGGGTTTCATCACTACTTTAAGAAGGGAAGGAGGCACAGATTCAGGACCTATAACAGACAGTGAAAAATAATAGTAAAACACCTGCATACTATCATGGAAGTGGAAAATGCCAACAATTCCTTCTTTCCTTCTAGCATCAAAGGATCTGATATCACATATTCAATTGCGATCAACGCTTCAATTCTGTGCTCTTAATTTCAACTCCATTTGCCAGAAAAGCTTGCTCCCTCTGTTCTTCTCTTTTTAAAAAATTTTTATAAATTTTTCAATAATATATAATAACTGTATATATTTATGGGGTATAGAGTGATATTTCCATACATATGTGCAATGAACACATCAGGATAAATAACATATCCATCATCTCCAATATTTATCATTTCTTTATGCTGAAACATTCAAAATCTTTTTATCTAGCTATTTGGAAATAACAATTACTGTTAACTATAGTCACTACCCTACAGTGCTTTAGAACACCAGAACTTATTCCCCGTATTTGAACTTATTCCTCATTTTGTTTCCTTTAACCAATCCCTCATTATTGCCCCATCCTCCTTCTCTTCCTAACCTCTAGTAACCACTATTCTATACTCTCTACCTCTATATAAGATCAACTTTCTTTGGCATTGCATATGAGATCAACTTTTTTAGCTTCCACATATGTGATATTTATCTTTTTGTGGCTGGTTTGTTTCACTTAACATGAGTTCTCCAGGTGGCCATAAATGACATGATTTCATTCTTTCACTTGCCTACAGTCTTTCCTTTCTGACTGGATAAAAATTTTCCACGTTGCTACTTAGCTGTCCTCTGCACACTCTTGTCTTTTTATCTAGTTTTCCAAATTAAGTAACTTCTTTTACATTAGTACCTCATTGCTCACTTACACCTCAATCTACTTCCAGCAGAGAGAATAAGGACTGCTCACTCAGGTACACTCCATTCTATGGACTATGTATTGCCTAGTCTCTGTAGTCCTAGACTGCATTCTGTACCTTGGGAGTCTCTAGTTTTTCTGCTTCCCAGCCTGTGCCATGGTGACCGTTCTAGAAGTGAGCATCTAAGGGCTGTGTAACAGCTAGTCCATCAGTTAACCAGCTGCCTATGACATAGTACCATTACTTTAATATTATATTCCTATTTAAAGGAAGTGTGTATAGGGTAATTAGAAATTGAAAAACAGATAGTAGAGCATTTGTGAGTGCAAACATATGGTGCAACCAGGAATAGAATAGCCATTAAGGGCCATGTAAACGTGAAACTACGAGGAGGCCAGAAATAGTATAACACATTAAAATGTAGAAGACCAAGGAGAAGCAAAAGGAGCAGGATCAACATCGGCAGTAGAAAGGAAATTAGCATCAGCAGAAAGAGAAGCAGAATCAACAAAAGGAAAAGTAGAGGTAGGAAAAGGAAAAGCAGAGGCAGGATCAGCAAAAAAGCACCTGAATCAGAAGATGCTGAAAAAGGGGGAATCAGCGTGGAAGTAGAGTCAGCAAAAGGAAAAACAGCTTCAGAAAGGAGAAGCATAGGAAGAAGGAGAAGCAGAGGCAAAATCATCAGAAAAAGTAGCAGAATCAGTAGATGCTGAAAGATGGGAGAAGCAGATGTGGAGCCAGAGTCAGCAAACGTGAAAACAGCAGCAGAAATGAGAAGCACAGGAAAAAGGAGAAGCAGAGGCCAAATTAGCAGATGCTAAAATGGGGAAGCAAGAGTCAGCAGGAAAAAAACAGCTACAGAAAGGAGAAACATAGGAAAAAGGAGAAGCAGAGGCCATGAACAGATGCTGAAAGAAGGGGGAAGTAGGGTAGAGTCAGCAAACGTGAAAACAGCAGCAGAAATGAGAAGCATAGGAAAAAGGAGAAGCAGAGGCCAAATTAGCAGATGCTAAAATGGGGAAGCAAGAGTCAGCAGGAAAAAAACAGCTACAGAAAGGACAAACATAGGAAAAAGGAGAAGCAGAGGCCATGAACAGATGCTGAAAGAAGGGGGAAGTAGGGCAGAGACAGCAAAAGTGAAAACAGCAGCAGAAAAGAGAAGCACAGGGAAAAGGAGAAGCAGAGGCCAAATTAGCAGATGCTAAAATGGGGAAGCAAGAGTCAGCAGGAAAAAAACAGCTACAGAAAGGACAAACATAGGACAAAGGAGAAGCAGAGGCCATGAACAGATGCTGAAAGAAGGGGGAAGTAGGGCAGAGACAGCAAAAGTGAAAACAGCAGCAGAAAAGAGAAGCACAGGAAAAAGGAGAAGCAGAGACCAAATTAGCAGATGCTAAAATGGGGAAGCAAGAGTCAGCAGGAAAAAAACAGCTACAGAAAGGAGAAACATAGGAAAAAGGAGAAGCAGAGGCCATGAACAGATGCTGAAAGAAGGGGGAAGTAGGGCAGAGACAGCAAAAGTGAAAACAGCAGCAGAAAAGAGAAGCACAGGAAAAAGGAGAAGCAGAGGCCAAATTAGCAGATGCTAAAATGGGGAAGCAAGAGTCAGCAGGAAAAAAACAGCTACAGAAAGGAGAAACATAGGAAAAAGGAGAAGCAGAGGCCATGAACAGATGCTGAAAGTAGGGGGAAGTAGGGCAGAGTCAGCAAACATGAAAACAGCAGCAGAAATGAGAAGCATAGGAAAAAGGAGAAGCAGAGGCCAAATTAGCAGATGCTAAAATGGGGAAGCAAGAGTCAGCAGGAAAAAATCAGCTGCAGAAAGGAGAAACATAGGAAAAAGGAGAAGCAGAGGCCATGAACAGATGCTGAAAGAAGAGGGAAGTAGGGCAGAGTCAGCAAACGTGAAAACAGCAGCAGAAATGAGAAGCATAGGAAAAAGGAGAAGCAGAGGCCAAATTAGCAGATGCTAAAATGGGGAAGCAAGAGTCAGCAGGAAAAAAACAGCTGCAGAAAGGAGAAACATAGGAAAAAGGAGAAGCAGAGGCCATGAACAGATGCTAAAAGAAGGGGGAAGTAGGGCAGAGTCAGCAAAAGTGAAAACAGCAGCAGGAATGAGAAGCATAGGAAAAAGGAGAAGCAGAGACCAAATTAGCAGATGCTAAAAGTGGGGAAGCAAGAGTCAGCAGAAAAAAAAAAAAAAGCTGCAGAAAGGAGAAACATGGGAAAAAGGAGAAGCAGAGCCCACATCAGCAGATGCTGAAAGAAGACGGAAGCAGAACAGGGCAAAGTCAGCAGAAGTAAATCAGCTGCAGAAAGGAGAAGCACAGGAACAAAGAGAAGCAGAGGCCACATCAGCAGATGCTGAAAGAAGAGGGAACCAGAATAAGGCAAAGTCAGCAGAAGGTTAAATAGCTGCAGAAAGGAGAAGCACAGGAACAAGGAGAAGCAGAGGCCACATCAGATGATACTGAAAGAGGGAATCAGAACAAGGCAAAGTCAGCAGAAGGTAAAATAGCTGCAGAAAGAAGAAGCACAGGAACAAGGAGAAGCAGAGGCCACATCAGCAGATGCTGAAAGAAGAGGGAACCAGAACAGGGCAAAGTCAGCAGAAGTAAATCAGCTGCAGAAAGCAGAAGCACAGGAACAAGGAGCAGTGGCCACATCAGCAGATGCTGAAAGAAGAGGGAACCAGAATAAAGGAAAGTCAGCATAAGGTAAAATAGCTGCAGAAAGGAGAAGCATGGGAACAAGGAGAAGCGGAGGTAAAATCAGCACACTGAAAAGGTGGAAGAAGAAATAGGGCAGAGTCAACAGAAGGAAAATAGCTGCAAAAAGGAGAAGCTATGTGGAATCAGCAGAAAAAGAAACAGAATTAACAGAAGTTGAAAAAGAGAAACAGAAGCAAAATGAATAGATACTGAAAAAGCAGGCAGAGAAAGAAAAATGAAAAACAGCAGAAAGAAGCATAGGAGAAAAGAGAAGCACATGCAGAATTAGCAGGAAAAGCAGAACAACTAGAAACTGAAAAAGAGAGGGCAGAGGGAGAATCAACAAAAGGAAAAAAGAGCAGCTAAAAAAGGAGTAACATAGAAAAAAAGAGAGCATATAAAAATGGGCAAAGAACTTAGACATTTTCCCAAAGATGATATACAAATGTCCAACAAGCATATGAAGATGACCAATATCACTAATCAGAAGGAAAAAAACCAAACCAAATCAAAACCACAATGAGATATCAGCCTATACCTATTAGAACCTATTTGTTGCTATAAAAACAATAGCAACAAAAACACCAGAAAAAGTGTTGCCCAGGATATGCAAATAATGGAACCCTAATGTACACTTGGTAGGATTATAAAATGATGTGACCACTATATAAAACAGTATGGCAGTTCCTTAAAAATTTACACATTATTTTATATAAATAGAAAATTATAACTAGAACTACCATATAATCCAGCAACCTCACTTTTAGGTGTATATCCCAAAGAAATTGAAAGCAAGATCATGAAGAGATCTTGCAAACCCATGTTCATAGCAGCATTATTCACAACAGCCAATTGGTAAAAGCAACCCAAATGTCCACTGATGAAAGAATGAATAAACAAAATGCAGTATATACATAACATGGAACATTATTCAGTCTTATAAAAAAAGAAAATCATGCTAGATGCTATAGCATGGATGAAACTTAAGGCCATTACATTAAATTAGCCATTCACACACACAAAAATGTATGATTCCATTTATGTGAAGTATCTAAAGTAGTCAAATTCATAGAAAAAGAAAATGGAATGGTGGTTACCAGGGGATAGGGAGAGGGGTGGGGGAAAGGGAGTTATTGTTTAATGGCTAGAGTTTCAGTTTTCTAAGTTCTGAAAAGTTCTGGAGAACTGTTTCATAACAATATGAATATACATTCACATTAACACTATTGAATGGAGAAATTCCATCTCATCTCTACTAAAAATACAAAAAATTAGCTGGGCATGGTGGTGCATGCCTGTAATCTCCGTTACTCAGGAGGCTGGGGCAGGAGAATTGCTTGAACCCGGGAGGTGAAGGTTATGGTGAGCCAAGATTGCACCATTGTACTCCAGCCTAAGCAACAGGAGCAAAACTCTGTCCTCCCCCACCAAAAAAAATAAAAAAAAATGGTTATGAGGGTAAATTTTACATTGTGTACTTATCACTACAATGTTTTAAAAAAGAAGATGCATATTCAGAAATAGCAGCATAATTGGTAGAGATAAAGAAAAAGTAGAAGTGGAAGTGGCAGCAGAGTTATTTTAATTTTTGATTTTGTGGTTACAGAGTAGGTGTGTATATTTATGGGGCATGGGGCACATGAGATATTTTGATATAGGCATGCAATGTGTAATAATCACATTATGGAGAAAAGGCAGAGTCCTTTTTGTTTTCCTTTTTTTGACTTCTGGTGTTCAAGGAAATCTCTGTCAGCACTAGCTAATCACTGGCTAAAAGAACAGAGCCTTCAGAGAGAAAGAAGACAGACAAACTTTACAATTTTGAGAAGTCACTGAACATAGCCCACAGCAAGAAATGAAAACAAACAATGAGGAAAAGAAAGACTGTAATACTCCAAGTTACCCTGTTACAATATCCAAAATGTTCAGTTTTCAAAGTTCTGAAGCTGGATGGTGGTGATTATTGCTTAATTAATGTTTAATGTGACATTAATGCTTAATGTCATAAAATCATATATTTAAAAGTTAAATTTTATGTTACATATTTTACAATATTTTGTTTTATTCTTGGAATAAAACTGAATTTTAACATTCAAAAAAGTCTAGTTTTCAAAAAAATATGGAGCATAAAATGAAACAAGGAAGCTTTGTCATTTCACAGAAGAAATTAACAGAAAATGTCCCAGAGGAGGTAAAGACATTGGACTTACTAGACAAAGACTTGAAAGCAACTCTCTTAAATATATTCAGCTAAAGAAAATTATGGACAAAGAACTAAAAGAAACCAGGAGAACAATACAAGAAAAGAAAAAAGAGAATATCAAAAAGAGTTCTTTTTTAAAAGAACCAAACAAATTATAGAGTTCTGTACTCTAAAAAGTACAGTAACTGCAATGAAAAACTCACTAGAGGGATTAAATAGCAGACTTGAGCAGGCAAAAGAATCAACTCACATAAAGATACGTCAACTAAAATCACTCAGTCTACAGAGAAAAAAGAAAGACGAAAAGTATGAGCCTAAGGATACATCAAGCATACCAACGTAGGCATAACAGGAATCTCAGAAGGATAGGAGAGAAAGGGGCAGAATGAATATTTGAAAAAGTAATGGCCTAAAACTTCTCCAATTTAATAAAAAAGACACAAATCCATACATTCAAGAAGCTCAACAAAGTCTAAGAAAGATAAAGGCAAAGAGATCCACACTAAGACGTACTGTAGCCAAATTTTTAAAAGACAAAGACTGAAAATCTTGAAAGCAGCAAAGAGAAGTGATTCATCACATACAAGGGATTCCCAATAAGATTAACAGCTCATTTCTCATCAGAAACCATGGAGTCCAGTAAGGAACAGGATAACACCTTTTACTGAAAGAAAAAAAAAAAACTGTCATCGAAAAATGCTGTATCCAACAAAACTATAATTCAAGTATTAGGGAGAAATTAAGACATATACAGAAAAACAAAGTTGAGGGAGTTTGTTACCCATAGACATGCCCTACGAGAAATGTTAATGGGAGTCCTCAAGGCTAAAATAAAAGGACACTAAATAGTAATCTAGATAATAATTTGAAGCTATACAAAGAAATAAAGAATTCTGGTAAAGGTAATTACATAGGTAAATATAAAAGCCATTATATTTTTGTTATATATCTATATATATATATTTTTTTATATTTTTGTTTTATAACTCCCCTTTTCACTTACTATGTAACTTAAAAGGCAAATGCATAAAACAATGATTATAAATCTACCTTAATGGGCACATAATGTATACAAATGTAATTTGGGACAGTAATAACATGAAAGGGAGAAATAGAACTTTATAAGAGCAGAATTTTTATATGTTGTTGATGCTCAGTTGGAATCAATTCAAATTAGATTAATCAAGAAATTTAACAATTAGAAACACATACAAATCAAACAGTAGAGCCCCCAAATATATAAATACTGACAGAATTGAAAGGAGAAATAGATAGCTCTACAGTAACGGTTGGAGGCTTCAATACTCTACCTTCAATACTAGATAGAATATCTAGACGTATGATTAATGAGGATATAAAGGATCCTTATTAATCAACAGTGTAAACCAGAGAGACCTAGCTGGCATAGCTAGAACAGTTCCACTCAACACCATCAGAATACACATTCATTTCAAGAGCACACGGAACATTCTCTAAGACTTACCACATGTCAGACCACAAAACAAGTCTCAATAAATTTTAAAAGACTAAAACCATACCAAGTATTTTCATAAACACAATGGAATAGAAATCAAGAACAGATTTCCAAAAAAACTGGAAAACTCACTAATAAATGGAAAGTAAAAAAGATATTCTTAAATGACCAATGGATTAAAGAAGAAATCACAGGGAAATTATAAAATACTTTGAGACAAATGAAAATAAAAATAAAAATACCAAAATTTATGGAATTGCACAAATACAGTATACTGGGGGACATCTACAGCAATAAATGCCAGTTTTAAAAAGGCATTTTAAAAAGTAGAAATAATTCTAATCAATATCCCTAACTTTATGCCTCAAAGAACTTAAAAAAGAAGAGCAAATATACCCAAAGGTAGAGGAAGGAAATAATAAAGTTTAGAGTGGAGATAATTAAGTATAAAATAAGAAAACAGGCCGGGCGAGGTGGCTCATGCCTGTAATCCCAATACTTTGGGAGGCCGAGGTGGGCAGATCACCTGACTTCAGGAGTTCGACAGCCTAGACAGCATGGTCAAACCCCATCTCTACTAAAAATACAAAAATTAGCTGGGCATGGTGGCAGACGCCTGTAATCCCAGCTACTCAGGAGGCTGAGGCAGGAGAATCACTTGAACCCAGGAGGTGGAGGTTGCAGTGAGCTGAGATCACGCCATTGTACTCCAGCCTGGGCGACACAGCAATACTCTAACTCTCCCAAAAAAAAAAAAAAAAAAAAAAAAGAATAAGAAAATACAAACAACAGAACCAAAAATTGGAACTTAGAAAAGATAAACAAAATTGGCAAACTGTTATCTAGACTAAGAAAAAAAACATAAAGAGCATGCAAATAAAATCAGAAATGAATATGGAAACATTTGTATGGACCTTGCAGAAATAAAAAGGATTACAAGAGAATTCTACGAAAAAATGTATGCCAACAGATTAGATAATCTAGATTAAATCGAAAAATTCCTAGAAGCACACAAATTATCAAAACTGAGTCAGGAATGCATAGAAAGTTTAACAGACCTATAACAAGTAAAGAGATTGTATCAGCAATCAAATATTTCCCAACAAAGAAAAGTTCAAGACCAGAAGGCTTCATTGGTGAATTCTCCCGGACACTTAAAGAATTAACACCAATCTTTCTCAATTTCTTTCAAAAAATAGGAGAAGGGAGTATTTCCTAACTTATTCTAAGAGATCAGCATTATCCTGATATCATAGACATCATAAAAAAGGAAAACCAGAGACTGATACATATTATGAATATAGATGCAAAAATTCTCAACACTAGCAAACAGAATCCAACAGCATATTAAAAAGATTATATACTGTGATCAAACACGATTTATCCCAGGAATGCAAAGTTTGTTCAACATAAGAAAATCAATCAGGGTAATATATAACATTAATAATACAAAGGAAAAAAGCCCGCAGGACTATTTCAATTGACACAGAAAAATCATTGACAAACACCCTTTTCCGATAAAAAACACACATAATACTATGTTAACATGATAAAGAAAAACTGTGAAAAACTCACAGTTAAATCATACTCAATGGTGAAAAACTGAAAGCTTTTTCTCTACAATCAAGAACAAGACAGGATTCCCAGTTTCACCACTTTGTACTGGATGTTCTAACCGGAGCAATTAGACAAGAAAAAGAAAAGGCATTCAGATTGGAAAGGAAGACATAAAACTATATTTGCAAATGATATGATCCTATATAGAGAAAATCCCAAACAATCTTTTTAAAAACTAATAGAGTTAATAAAGGAATTCAATAAAGTTGCAGGATATAAGACCAACACACAAAAATTAGTTGTGTTTTTATATTCTGGCAGTGAATAATCTGAAAAAGAAATTTAGAAAAAATTCCACTTGCAATAGCACTCAAAAGAATGAAATATCTGGGAATAGATTTCACCAAGGGTAAAGACTTATACACCGAAAAGTTTAGAATATGCTAAAGAGATTAAAGCAGCCCTAAATAAATAGAAAGACATCTTGTGTTCACAGATTCGAATACTGAATATTCTAAGATTATAATACTACCCAAAGTGATCCATAGATTCAATGCAATCCCTATCAAAATTCCAAGAGTCCTCTCCACTGAAATGAAAAAGTCAATCCTCAAATTCATGTGGAATTGCAAGGGGCCCCAAATACCTAAAAAAAAATATCTTGAAAAAAGAAAAATGTACAGAACTCATGCACACTAATCTTACTATACAGCTATAGTAATCAAAACAGCGTGGTATTAGTACATATAAAGACAGACATATAGACCAGTGCATAGGTTTATTTCTGGACTCTTGAGAGTAGAAATTACGTATATATTTATACCCAATTGATTTTTGACAAGGGTGCCAAGATCCTTCAATGGGGGAAAGAATGATTTCTTCAATAAATGGTGCTGAGACAACTAGATACTCACATGCAAAAGAATGAAGCTAGGTCCCTACCTAACACTAAATACAAAAATTAACGCAAAATGGGTTAACAGCTTAAATATAAGGACTAAACCAATCAAACTCCTAGAAGAAAACACAGGGGTAAATCTTTGACCTTGGATTTGGCAATGGATTCACAGATATGGCATTAAAAACCTGAGCAACAAAAGAAAAGCAGATAAATTGGACTCTGTCGAAGTTAAAAACTTGTTCATTAAAGGGTATTATCAAGTAAATGAAAGACAATCTATAGAATGGCAGAATTTGCAAATTATAAATAAGGGTCTATTTTCCAGAATATACAAAGAACTCTTACGACTCAACAACAGGCAATTTATTTTTTTTTTAAATAGGCAAAGGACTTGAACAGATAATTCTCCAAGAAGATATACAAATGGCTAATAAGTACATGAAAAGATACTTAACATTATTAGTCATTAGGGAAATGCAAACCCAAATCACGTGAGGTACCACCTTCACAGCCAATTAGTTGGCAATGATAATAATAATGGAAAATAAGTGTTGGCGAGAACGTGGAGAAATTGGAACCCTCCTATATTGCTTGCAAGAATGTAAAACAGTGCGGCCACTGTGGAAAAACAGTTTGGTAGTTCCTCAAAAAGTTAAGCAGAATTACCATACAACCCAGCAATTCCACTTCTAGATATATATATACACCAAGAGAATTGAAAAAAGGTGTTCAACCCAAAACTTGTACACAAATATTCATAACAGCATCACTTGCAATAGCCAAAAGGTAGAAACAACCCAAACGGCCATAAACTGATGCATAAATAAAATGTGGCATACCCATGCAATGGATTTTTATTCAGCAATAAAAATGAATGAAGTACTGATACTTGCTACAATGCGAATGAACCTTGAAAACATTACACCAAGTGAAAGAAGCCAATCACAAAGGCCACATATTGTATGGTTCCATTTAAATGACATTTAAAGGAAAGGAAAATACATAAAGACAGAAAGCAAATTATTGGTTGCTAGGATCTTGGAAAAATGGGAAATGGGGAACAACTGTTCAATGGGCTTAATGTTTCCTCTTGGGGTAATGAAAACATTCTGGAAATAGTCGTGATGGCACCACAATATTGTAAATGCACTAAATGCCACAGAAAACTTTCAAATGGTTAAAATGGCATGTTGTATACATTTTATCACCAAAAAAAGCATAAGAAGCTTAGAAAGGGATGGATGAGTCTTTAGAAGAAAAGTAGAAACCACAAGAGAAACTGATACCATGCAGCCCCTGAAAAAGAGAAAAAGAGAGATACAGTCTTGGCGCCTGATATCTTTCTGTTCTCGATACTCCCAAAAACAAAGTTTCTGTCTTTGGATTTCTGTGAAACCAAAGAATCCTTGCAACAAGTATTTGTGAGTCAGTTGAAGTCAGAATCATTGCTTTCTGGAATAAAAAGTACCCTAACACAACTGCTACATAGACATTGGCCCTGCCACTCCACCAAAACTACCCTGGCTAAGATTTCTAATGGCCATCTAAAAGCCAAATTCAAGGGTATTTTCTCAGTCTTTCTTTCCATACTTTTCCATATAAAAGAGTACCATGCCCTCATTCCTGAAATAACTGCTTCCTTAAGCTTCGGTGTTCTTCCTCTGTGAAAGTTCATCTACTTTCACAGTTTCAAATATTACTTATATGTTGATGAATATAAATCCATACTTCTGATCTAGGCCTTTCTCCCATATTTTAGACTTATTTCCCATCAGCACCTTCTCAAAAATCAGCACATTTCCTTAGGCTAGTGACCCACTAACCTGCTCCCTCCTGCCAACAGGTATAGTAGTGCGCCTTCCAGTGATGCTTCTCTCCCCTCCAACAAACACTCTTTCACTTTGTTGAAATGTTGATGCTCTGGCTCACGCCTGTAATCCCAGCACTTTGGGAGGCCGAGGAGGATGGATCATGAGGTCAAGAGATCAAGACCATCCTGGCCAACATGGTGAAAGCCTGTCTCTACTAAAAATACAAAAATTAGCTGGGCGTGGTGGCATGCGCCTGTTGTCCCAGCTACTTGGGAGGCTGAGGCAGGAGAATCGCTTGAACCCAGGAGGAAGAGGTTGCAGTGAGCCAAGATCACGCCACTGCCCTCCAGCCTGGCAACAGAGCAAGACTCCATCTCAAAAAAAAAAATGTTGATGCTCAACACACCTGCCACTCTTCTGTGCTATGCTACCAGTAATTGGTGTTGTAGTTCTGTTCCATCTTGAGATGTAATACTGGGAGTTCAAGAAATATTTTTAGAGAGTTAATCATTGCTATTATTATTATTTTTTCTTTTCTGAGACAGAGTCTTACTCTGTCACCCAGGCTGAAGTGCAGTAGCACTATCTTGGTTCACTGCAAGTAAGTGCAGCAGCACTAACTTGGCTCACTCCGCCACCCAGGCTCAAGCGATTCTCCTGCCTCAGCCTCCTGAGTAGCTGGGACTGCAGGTGTGCACCACCATACCTGGCTAATTTTTTGTATTTTCTGTATAGACGGGGTTTCACCATGTTGGCCAGGCTGGTCTCGAACTCCTGACCTTAGGCGATCTACCTGCCTCAGCTTCCCAAAGTGCTGGGATTACAGGCATGAGACACCACATCTGGCCAACCCCTGCTATTGTAAGGAAAAAAAAAATTCTGACAAATAAAGTAAATACATTTATAAACACACTCATTCATTCAACTATTTACCGAGTATCTATTAGGTATCAGGTACTGACTCTAGCAGCGGAGACAGTGTTGAACAAGACAGAATAGGTCCCTGCGCTCGTGGAGCTTATATTCTAACGTGAGAAGAAACAAGCAAGGCAAAATCAGGTGTAATAACTTCTGTGATAAAAAAATGCTGTGATAGGAGTTAACTGGTTGTCTATTCACATAACTCCATGCTGATTACACATATGCGCTAAGTATCTCTACACAACATTGGCTGCAGATTGCAGTCTTTGATTTCACAAAAAAGAAAACACAAAAATTAAGTTGCTTTTTGGGGTTTTCTTAGCACATGATTCATAGAAATAGTTTGATAAACTGGCAGACATTATAGTAAATACCTATGCAAGAATTACATCTCTCCATTTAAGAACAATGCATCCAATTCTGCACTGGAAATCATTAATTCATAAATAGATTTCTACTTAGAAAACTCTCAGAGATTGAGTATTTTCAAAATTACATAAAAAATTTTTTCCAGGCACTTTGAGAGAATCCACTACAAAGACTTTGGAGTTTCCAGAGGATCTAGGGAAACAGGCAAGGCGTCCAGCCTGCCTTCTAATACCAGGACCCCATGTGAAATATGACCATTTTCCAGACGTTTTATTCTTAAGATAATGAGCTCTCCTTTGACAGGACAACTTTCACCAGTACTGCACTTTACATGTTGCTTCTATATTCGCTAGAATTGACCTAATATACATGCAAGTGTCAGCAACAAAGAAAATTTGTAAAATGGAGAATAGGGTTGAAAAATCACATCAGTCCAATAATGAAATAAATCTTCCACATTTAAAAGGGCAAAGAATCAGTATTGAGTAGTATAACTACACTCACAAAAAATTTTCCACTATTTGTAGGGAACTGATTCAGACACTAACTGGAATGAGAGGAACTATAGTAGCTGTTGGAAATTGAGAAAATATTTGGCAGTTTCATGCATTCTGGAGGAGGTATGGAAAGAAAGAGAGGGAGTCCCAAAGCCAAGGGAGAACACAGTGAACTAGTTCCTTCCCCAGAGATCTTTAGCACTGGATAAAAGAATCCACATCTAAACAACAGGAATGATCAGTTCCTTTATTATAATGCTTTGTCTTTCAAACAAGTTTTTTAGATAAAAAGAAATAATGAAATGCTTTACGGACAATGGATTTGGAACTGAGAAGGCCTAACAGTACTTGTTAAAAAGATCCAGATGTTGTAAAACCTGGAAACAAAGTTACTTTAAATCTCTCATCCAGTTGACAGCCTCAAAGAACCCTGATATAAACAGTATATCCGAACATAATGCATTACAACAGGACCCATTATCGCACATACTTTGGCTACACAGAGGATCAGATCTCAATGCCACAATTCACATGTGTAATCCTTAGAGTAAAAGTCTGGCAACAAGTAGACTAACAGCCTGAGTCTGTATATTTTCCATCGCTAGCATATTGCTTTTGTGGTTTGGACATATCTTTACTTTCTCCAGCTAAATGCTGCTTATAGGTAACTTAGCTTAGAATTATCTAGTGTATGTATGTATGTATGTATGTATGTATGTATGTATGTGTGTGTGTATATATATATTATATATGTGTATGTTTAAAGTTATAGATAAACAAATATTAGAAAACTATTACATGCCAATCTGTTCTAAGTATTTACGATAAAACACAGCTATTCTTCCTGTCCATTGAGGAAATCACACCTAGTGGAAAAGACAGAGTTTAAACAAAGAAGTATAAATAATTATGAAAATGATGACACATATATTACGCACCATGAAAATATATAGGAAAGTATCACATAAGTAATCTAACTTAATCTGGGAACATCACGGAAGCCCCTATCTTCCCCCACCAAGGAAAGAATATTTAAATCAAGATGAAAAGGATGAGTACGATTTTTTTCTACACTAAGTCCATAGAAAACACAGGCAGAGAGAATTACAGCATTGCCTATTAGTGGGAACTAGGAGATGCCTAGCCCCCTGAAAGAAACTACAATCAAGACAGTTTTTAAAATAAATTGATGATTCTGATACATCAGACAGACACTAAAGGTTGATAGGTTTTCTATGTTAAGACCGAATATTTCAATAACATTTTGTTATTAAAAGCAAAAATATCCCAAGGCCTCTTAAAATCAGGAAGGCCACAAAGTAGGATGGCACCCAGTGGAGACCTGAGTGAGGAAGGCAGTTTAGGACCGTGGTCCAGCAGGGACAGGAGATTACTTACATCCAGGAGGATTGGGCAAATGAGTAAATATATTGAGGATAATGAGAGTCAAGTTTCTTACTGTCAGAGAAGGGAGTTACAAATACAAAAAGAAAGACAGATTGAACCCTTTTTATTACATATATAGCTAAATACAGAAATAAAAATACATGAGAGAGAACAAGAACATATGTTTCCCAGCTCTGTCCACTGAAACGGCCTAGAGACAAAGATTACCCCAGCAGCAATGAGATGCTTTGCACACAGATGTTAGCTTCTAAATACCATGCTCCACTAAAAGAAACCTGGAGTATCTATTACAGGGCTGGGGATAGTACAAAATAAACCTAGGACATCTTCTTGTGCCACAAAGGAAGCAGTCAAAGAATGAGGGGGTCATGTCAAAAGGACACAAGAGCCAACTTGTAGAGGTTCTTATTGGTCAAATTTAATATTTTGTTCAATTTATTGGACAAGTTAAAGATCAAAATAATAGATAACTGAATAGTTAAATAACATAGGAATTTACGAGTCTACACTAACACAGAGAGAGAGAGGGAGAGAAAGAGAAGAGGAGGGGAGCGGAGAGGAGGGGAGCGGAGGGGAGGGGAGGAGTGGAGAGGAGAGGAGAGGAGCCATTTCTTACAGCAGAACGCCTAATAAAAAACATAGATGGGTAGATTGCAAAAATTTTCTCCCATTCTGTGCACATGTATGTTTATTGTGGCACTATTCACAATAGCAAAGACTTGGAACCAACCCAAATGTCCATCAATGATAGACTGGATTAAGAAAATGTGGCACATAAATACCATGGAATACTATGCAGCCATAAAAAAGGATGAGTTCATGTCCTTTGTAGGGACATGGATGAAGCTGGAAACCATCATTCTCAGCAAACTATCACGAGAACAAAAAACCAAACACCACATGTTCTCACTCATAGGTGGGAATTGAATAATGAGAACACTTGGACACATTGGACACAGGAAGGGGAACATCACACACCGAGGCCTGTTGTGGGGTTGGGGGAGGGGGGAGGGAAAGCATTAGGAGATATACCCAATGTAAATGACGAGTTAATGGGTGCAGCACACCAATATGGCACATGTATACATATGTAACAAACCTGCACATTGTGTACATGTACCCTAGAACTTAAAGTATAATAAAAAAAAAATAGATGGATTCATGGATTTTTAAAAATCACCTTTTGACAACCATCACAGTAATAATTCAGGCAAGAAGTATTAGTGAATGCTAAAACTAATCGGTGAAAATAGGATGAAAATAGAATATTTGTGAAATTTCAAAACATCTCCACATGAAAGATTATTGAAATAAGGGTAAAAGAATAAGTTCATAGTGGAGAAACCTAGAAGACAACATCTTATCCAAGTGAGCAAAGCTCACCACCCCAGTGGAGGCAGCTGAGACGTCATGTGCCACAGATGGGATGCAGTGAGAAGCACACAGCTCCACGTCTGTCATACTCTACCAAAAGTGACCCACCTAACTCTAATATGAGAAATATCAGGCAAACCCAAATTAAAGAGCATTGTATAAACTAACTGGCTTCTAATCTTAAAACTCGTTAAAGTCAAGAAGTCACAGAAAAAACTGAAAAAGTGTTCAGGTTGAAGGAGACCAAAGAGACCAATAAATAAGTGCAGAGCAACATTCTAGATGAGATTGTTTTTCTATTAAAAACATCACTGGGATTGTTGATGAAACTTGAATAGTGCCCCTGGTTGAAAGGAATGTGGAGTTTTTCTTACTATTAAAAAAGGAAGACAATTTTTGCTACTTTTCTATGCATTTTACAACTTTTTTATGTTTGAGATTGTTTCAAAATAAAAGGGTAAAAAAATACAAATTTAAAAATAAATTCAGAACAGAGAACTCAGAAATTAATCTATATATCTATAGCAAACTGATTTTTGACAAAAATGTCAAGAACACTCAGTGGGGAAAGGACAGTCTGTTCAATATATGATGCTAGGAAAACTGGATATCCATAGACAGAAAAATTAAACTACACCCCCCAATCTCTCGCCCTACAAAAATCAATTCAAAATGCATCAAAGACATAAATGTAAGACACAAAATGATAAAACTGCAGGAATAAAACATAGGAGAAATGCTTCAGGACACAGGCCTAGGGCAAGATTTTATGAATAAGACCTCAAAAGCATAGAAAATAAAAGCAAAAATAAATGGGATTACATCAAACTAAAAAGCTTCTGCATAGCAAAGGAAATAATCAACAACATGAAAAGACAACCTGTGGAATGGAGAAAATATTTGCATATTATTCATCTGACAAGGGACTAATATCCAGAATATGCAAGGAACTCAAACATCTCAACAGCAAAAAATAAACAATCTGATTTTAAGATGGGGAAATTAACAGATATTTCTCAAAAGATGTACAAATGGCCAATAAATATATGAAAAAACTGCTCAGCATCACTAATCATCAGGAAAATGCAAATCAAAACCACAATGAGATATCATCTCTCCCCAGTCAGGATGGCTATTATTAAAAACAAACAAACAAACAAAAAACAGCAAATGCTGTTGAGGATGTGAAGACAAGGGAATTCATTCACTGTTGGTGGGAATGTAAACTAGTATACCCACTATAAATAACAGTAGGGAGGTTCCTCAGAAAACTAAAAATAGAACTACAATATGATCTAATAATCCTCCTACTGGGCAGGTATCCAAAGGAAAGGAAATCATTCTATCAGAGACATCTGTACCCCATGTTTATTTTAGTACTATTCACAATAGCCATGACATGGAATAAATCTAGGTGTCCAACAATAGATGAATGGATTTTTAAAATTTGGTATATATCCACAATGGAATACTATTAAGCCCTCAAAAAGAATGAAGTCCTGCTGGTCATGGCAGCATGGATAGAAATGCAAGACGTTATGTTAAGTGAAATAAGCCAGGAACAGAAAGTTAAATAGCACATGTTCTCACTCATATGTGGAAGCAAAAAGAAAGTTGATCTCTCAGAAGTAAAAAGTAGAAGAGAGAATACTTAGAGGCTAGGAAAGAGCAGGGGGAAGAAAGAGACAAGGAGAGACTTGTTAAAGGATACAAAACCACAATTAGATGGAAGGTATAAGTTCTAGTGTTCTATACTACTGTAGGGTGAGTATAGTTATCAATAATACATAGTTTCAAGTAGCTAGGAGGAGGAATTGAATGTTCCCAACACAAAGAAATGATAAATGTTTGAGATGAGAGACACACTAATTACTCTGATCTGATCACTATACATAATATCATCAGAACATCTCTATGTACTCCATGAATATGTATAATTATTCATCAATTAAAAATTTTTTTTAAAAATTTCAAATTTACTTAAAAAAAAAACCAACCTCTTAAACAGTAAATAAATGTACAGATGTTCAGACCTTCTGGCAATTATATGCAAATGAGAGCAGTCTTAAGGTATCATTTTATACCTGACTGGTTTTTATTGTTATCATTTGTTTTTTGGGCTGCTTTTTAATATGACATTATAAAAGAAGGAATTTATTCTTTATATTGTTTTATAAGTACTGTTACATAAAGTGACTCATAATTCTTACAAAACTCTATAAAAAACAGTCAATTATTTTCTCCATTTTACAGAAGTGGTCAAAGCTTACAGACACAGTTTGCCTGAAGTTATACAGCCAGTAAGTAGTGGAAGTGGGATATGAACCCAGGCAGCCTGACTCCTATGCTTTTAACCTCTATGTTTTATATTTTTGCAAATTCATACAGGGCTGAGGTACTGAAAACTGGCAAAGCTTTTTGAAGGGCAACGAGGCCTGGCCATCCCTATAGTCACCAAATCCTTGGACTCCTGCTCACTACATTACTGAGAATTTATCTGAAGGAAAGCTGTAGCAGAAGAGAGCTATATGCATAACGATGTTCACTAAAGGCCAGGTATGGTGGTGCATACCTGTAATCCACTTTGGGAGGCAGAGGAGGGCAGATAACTTGAGGCCAGGAGTTCAAGACCAGCCTGGCCAACATAGAAAAACCCCACTAAAAAAAAAAAAAAAAAAAAAAAAAAAAAAGAGAGAGAGATATCTATGCTATCTATCTATCTATCTTTGGGCTTGGTGGCACTTGCCTGTAATTCCAGCTACTCAGGAGGCTGAGGCAGGCCAATCACTTGAGCCTGGGAGGCAGAGGTTGCAGTGAGCCGAGATCACGCCACTGCACTCTAGCCTGGGCGTCAGAGCAAGACTGTCTCAAAAAAAAAAAAAAAAGAAAAGAAAAGATGTTCACTAAAATTGAAATTTTAAAAATGACCAATACGAAAATGATTAAGTTTATTATGACTTATGAATTTGATGAAATATTCTATAGTCATTTAAAAATGATCATTATGCCATGTACAGTGGCTCATGCCTGTAATCCCAACAATTAAAGAGGCTAAGTCAGGAGGATTGCTCAAAGCTAGAGTTTGAGGCCAGACTAGGCAACATTGTTTCCATCTCTACAAAAAGTACAGAAATTATCTGATCCTGGTTGTATGTACCTGCACTCCTAGCTACCTGGGGGGCTGAGGCAGAAGGATCACTTGAGCCAGAAAGTTTGAAGTTGCAGTAAGCCATGATCGTGCCACCGCACTTCACCCTGGGTGATAGAGCCGAGACCTTGTCTCAAAAATAATAGCTGTTATTATACAATTGTTATGGTGATATATGAAAACAGGGAAAGTTTATAATATAATATTAAGTTCAAAAATACAGGCCAGGCACGGTGGCTCACACCTGTAATTCCAGCATTTTGGGAGGCCGAGGCAGGCGGATCACCTGAGGTCGGGAGTTCAAGACCAGCCTGACCACCACGGAGAAGTCCCGTCTCTACTAAAAATACAAAAAATTAGCCAGGCGTGGTGGTGCATGGCTGTAATCCCAGAAGCAGCAAATTAAGTAATATCCAGAAATGATAATAGCTGTAGAGTCATGGGATAATTGGTGACATTTTTCCTTCCAAACATTTTCATGAGGTTTATGAAAACAAACCTCATGAAACAAAAAAGGAATCAAACACACCAAAAACATATGCTATTGACAAATGTCCAGAAACCAATGCAATAGGATTCTTTTCTTACTTCCTCAAGGCTTTTTTTGGAAGACATGGGTGCTAGTTATGTCCATTTGCATGTAAAGTCATTACTTTTTTTAAAATAGGACAATAAAATAATATACATTTTATGGTACAATATAACACATACACATACATATAGGAGGACATTATGAAGGACATATTTATAATGGCTATCTCCAAGTGGTGACATGACAGAGGATTGTCTTATTTTCTTCTATATACACTTTTAACTTAGTATTATACAGATATACTGACTTCTGATAATATTTTTTAAAGAGTTGTACAGGTAAACTATTTCTAAATTAAAATACTCAAAAATCACACATAACCTTGGCAACCAACTCCATGATTTCATCAGAAAACAGGACAGCTTTCTCGTATTATTTATTCTACTCAGAGTTCACTAAGTCTGTTCCCTTGGCATATTTCCTTCTTAACAATTACCTCTCATGGTAATAGTTCAAAAATGACTGAAGGAGCATATGCCTACCTGTACTTCGTATCCAAGCCCAATACTTACACACGCAGATCACTGACCAATTAGCCCATATCAAGAAAGAAAGCCATTCATAATGACTATTACGTGGACTTAAATATACTTTGCTTAGTTAATACTTCTTACTGTGAATTTTTAAAGCCTAATAGGAAAATATAAGCTTAGAAAGTGTTAGCCACATTCCCCAGCAATATAATAACAAAAATAATGCTATTACATAGAAATATCTAATATTAGCATTAGAAAGAATCACTTTTATTAAGTACTTTAAATATGTTTCTAATGTATTATAAAAGAAGTGGATAAAATCTTGATGAGATATGAACAGCCTATGATCTTGAGAAAATCAGAAATCAGACAAAAGAATAAAAGTAGAAAAGAAGCAAAAAAGTAAAAGTCAAAAGTCAGAGGTTCTTCAGGGGGAAAAAATATCCATGTTAGGAGGAATTAGATGATGAGCAAAGATTTTAAGGCTAGCGTAGTCAAGAAATGTTCACAAGAACAGATAATAATGACGACAAAAGATTAAGGAACAATATATCTGATAGAGGAATTCCAGGGCTATGAGAGAAGAAAGAAGAATGTCACATGGTATAGCAAAAAAAAAAAAAAAGACCCAGTTATAGTCAAAACCATGAATTGAATTATTTAAAAACTGAGGGAATCTCATCTATTTAGTATCTTTTTAAAATGTGGGTCTGCATGAAAGAATGGATGCTATGAACATCTTATATGTTCTATCACATGAGTACTAAAGTCAGTATCCTAAGTGAGAAAGCCCTAAACATTAGAAAACAGATTAACAGATTCACTATCTCAAATTTGATTGGCTAAATTTGAGACCACCATGCCCAAACTCATCCTAGCACAAATGTGGATTGGGGATGGCCCATCACATTTCTTTCCTCTAGTGAGTTGCTGAAGTTAAAAGTAGCAAGCAGAGACAATGAAACCATGCCATCCCTAAACTTTTCTGCCTATGCTAAGCATTATTTTTATTTTCTAAAACCATTTATTCCTCAAAAGAGTTCACTAAAGTTGCCATCCTTCCTATCAGCAGTCCCACCGGGCTCTGATGAGTGACATCCAGACATTTAAACTCAAAAGCTGCTTCAGAAGGGAGTTATTAAAATTCAAATGAGCTGGGTATATTGAAGAAGAAAACACTCGTTTGCATGCACACCTCCGCATTTGGCCATCCCATTTAGCCCCACAGAGCAGGGTCTGGTTTTGTTTTTGTAAATGGGCTTTGGAGGCGGAGGTCAGCCTCCCACGGCCCCCACTCCTCTGGGGTCATCATTAGTAATGTGTAAGGCTGAATAGATTTTCCTCTGAATCTAGTCAGCAAACCTGACAAGACGACAGCCCTCTCCCACAACCTGAAAATGCCAAAAATCTGATTGGTAATATGGCATTCTTAATACTTCATTTATTTGTTTTAAAACAGCTTTCAGCAAGACTGCACATAACAACACTGATTCCAGTTCCACTTGATTTTTCAGCCTTATAGCAGAACATTTCCTGTTGTATGATGACTACAGAATCATAAAAATGTTACATTCAACCGAAGATTGAATAAGATTCAGAGAAAATTCATGTCTGCCAAGAAATATGGATCTGGGGAGCTAGACTAACATTTTATTCACTAGAAAAGAAAAAGAGTCTATCTTCTACTTGACCTTAAGAGTTTTTACTTTTATTTCTCATGAAAATATCTCACATCATTTTAAAATTTCATATCAATAAGCAACCTAACAAAAAATATAGCAGAAATATATATGTATTCCTAGCACTAGTTTGGCCATGAAAATTTTAGATTCTCATTTAGTAAGAATTTTCTCCTAATGAAGCCATCTCTACTATAATATTTATTTTAAGTAGACTTAATTTATGGTAACATAAACAATGAACTAACTGTACATTACGTGTAATATATGATCTGTTTATATATAAATATGTCATGTACAACAATGACATAACCATATGTCAATTTTTACTGAGGATAAGTAAATCATGCTAATTCAGGACCCTAGAATAATAGCACAAATTCTAGAACTCCAGAAATTAATGGAATTTGTCTCCAGGCTATGAAAATATTCAAAATCTGGAAGCTCCAGGGATTACTGTACCCAGTGGGAAATCAGACAACACAGATTTAACTTCCCTTCCAAAGGTAACATTTTACTTCCATGACCCTCACAAATCAAACTGCCACTTCCAGATTTTTTCCAGTTTTTTTGTTTATTTTTTTCCTTTCTAAAATTGGGATGGTCTTGCTATAATACAGGCACTGATTTTGCCCAGACTGACCTAACCAAGGAAGACTGACCTAGCCAAGGAAGAATAAAATTAGCAAACCCATCAATGAAAGAATATCACGGTAACGAAGCTGATTCCTGAGCCATGACATGTTCAGTTCTAATCCATTTTTTCCTCACAGCCCTGAAAACTATATGTGTATTATTAAGGAGCATTTATTCAATAAGTTACATGGCACTGTTCTGGCTCCAGTTAAAAACAAAAGGCACTCAATCTCTGTCTTCAAGTTGCTTGTACTTTAATGGGGGTGGCAGCAATACAGAATCACAAAGGCTCAAATGTGTGCAAGGAAAAGAACACAAACTAAAAATAGGAACTAGAGCCAGTGATTTCAACAACACAGAATGATTATAAAAGATGCAGGGAGAAGATCTACTTGCAAGACAGATCCCGGGATAGAAACTGCACCCAGGTGTATTTTCTCTTTCTAGATCACACTCACTTGAAATGGATAGGAAAAGTAATCTGTGCTTATACTTTGGAAAGGGCCAAATGGGAGATTAAGATTTTCACAGAGCCACCCATGGTCGGAGACAGTGATTCTAAGAAACCACACAATGTGTATATTTACGTACCAATTATTGTAGCTAGCTGCTGGTCATCTCTATTGCAAAGATGGTTTAGCAGACGAAAATATTCACCCCTTCAGATTTATATTGCTTGATTCTACAGAGGCATGCTTAGGGTACACAAATTTACTTATAACAACATGGAGATAGAATGATAAAATTCAAGAAATGTGCTCACTTGCCTTTTTTTCCTCCTGTAATGAAGAAGCCAATAGCTGCTCCAATAAAACTGCTTTCAGGCAAGTAGCTATAGTCAGTAGGAACTGTGGAGACAGAAAATGATCAAATTAACCAGTGAACTTGGCAGGACTAATGAAGGAAAGATAATGATCTCATGCTGCCATATCAACCTAGAGACAAAGTGGAGATGTTTATGCCATTAATCTCAGCACAACACTTTGTGGCTGCAACTAATTCTATTAGATTAAGTGACTGGCCTTGAAGTAATCACTTAAGCTATGTAAGCAAATCTAAAATGGTGGCAAAGTTAGAAAAGTCTGGAAAAAAAATTACGGAGGATGAACACTTGAGTGAAGTGGTTTAAAAAAAAAAACCCTTTCCACATTGTCACATCAATAAGCCCTAATCCAGTGACCTCCTCAGCGTTCAGCAACGAGTCTGCCGAGCTTCAACGCTGAGACCACTGTAGTAGGTGCCACTTCAGGACATGTGGAATCGAATATATGAACCATAGAAATTCAACAACTAGTACTAACAGCACCAATCCCTTACCTAAGGCAGAGACCTGTAAGTGACCAACATGTGCAAATAACCAGATGTGGTTGCTGAGCTGGAATGGTGAAGCAGTGACATTTATGCTAGTTGAATCCTGAGTTTCTCCTAAATTCTTTTCCTTCCAGTTTCCCATAATTGTTTCATGAGATGGTTTTTACTGCAATAAATGACTCAATTGGAAAATTCCATCAGGAACAAGTAGCTGTACTTTTCCAGATACACAATCATTTTGTTCAGAAGAACCTGGGTATAAGATGATTCACTAGTACCTGATTTGAGTATATGTAGGCCAGACCAAGTACCCCATAATATGGCAATTAAAAGCCTACATAAAAAAATAAAAGCCTGCCATAAATATCCTATCTTACCAGGACACTGTGAGATCCCTGCCCTTCAAAACTAGTATTACCCAGGGCTTCCGGTATGACTAAGTTTTCTTCTTTTTTCCATTTTAATATGGTAACTTTAGCTGTCTAAAGTTCACTACATTGCCAAGGCTGTGGACCAGTTGTCCTATTTCCATAGCTACAGAATGACTGAAAGAAAGGAAAATGGTAATTTCAGAGGCCCACATTTACGTTAATGCCATCTGTAGACTACTTGTCAGTGGGTAAGTAAAACTAAGTTTTAATAAGGAATCATTGGTACCTGAACCTCTCTGGCCTGGGTCCAAGATAGCCAGTGGGTCAAAATTCTATAAAGAGCAAGGAGCAGATGTATTAACGGTCATGCCTTCCCCAGAAAATCTCCAAGTACAAATGCACATTAAGCATGTCGGGACTGCAAATATCTTTTACTGCTTTTACCAAAAAGCTAGAAATAGAAAAGGCCTTGTCATATTAAGGCCTAGAATTTCAATTCCAAGGCTAAGAAGGTACACACCTTTAAATGTACTACCCCATTATTTTTTCAAAATCGGAGGCCAGAAAAACTCCAGCCATATATGAAGAGACTTTTAATGAAACATGAATACTATACAAACTACCATTACATCTAGTAAAATAAATCTGTTCCAAGCTTTAAGGACCTGGTTCCTAGTTTCTAGATTTGTCACCAAATTAACTCTGTATGTAACTCATGTAATCTTTCCGAGCCATGAGTTCTTCGTTTGTGAAATACAGGACACTGAATGTCTAAACTGTTCTCTAAGGGAGGCAGAGAGAAGGAGTAAAAAGAGTATGAGCTTTGGAGGCCAAAAGATCTGAGTTCAAACCACATGTCCATCACTTACTGTCACATGACCCTGGGTAAGTCAGGAAGCCTTTCCATACACCATTTCCCTCTGACGTAAAACAGAGATGGTAATACCCATTACTTAGGGTTGTTGTGAAGATTAATGCTCTTAACAAACTACAGAGCGCTGGGTCGGCAATCCCTCCCTTCCAGCTCCAGTATTTTATGACTTTAATCTTACCAGAGGCTCTACTTTGACTTGAGGATAGAGTAGATAGATGAAGATGTCCAAGAAGCCAGACTGCATTTGACTGGAGACCAATCACCCCAGAGACACTAATGACCTACAAATAAAAAGGTAACAGTTCAATGATGGGATAAGATCCAAGTTCCATTCAATAAAAGGTCACTCACAGAAAGTCACCAGTCATTTAGGAGGTGGTGGCTTGGCTGGCAACGAGCAGTCCTATGACAAGATGTAATATCATGTGTCTAGTACGCTATACCTGTGTCATATAGATACTCAACAACTGTCTGCTGAATGAATGAATGATTCAATCAATCATTTAATCATGGCAGAAAGTACTAGTGGTTTTCTCAGGTTTCACTGAGTGAGACTGGTCTCAAATAAATTTTCAAAAAAATTGCAAAAGAACAAAATCCAGAAAGTACAAAAGGGGTGACAGTTACTTAAGATGAAAATACCTCTAAAAATGGAAGGAGATACATTTTGTTCTCTTCTGTAAATTATGCTCTACTGCTGCTTTATCATTCATAAGGATTTTTAAAATAATAATTTTCATTTACAGATTTTTTCTCCCACATTATGGTAACTTAAATTTCAGTAGAATTATTTTTTGAGAATATTTCTATTCATACATGCAAAAAAGAGTTTTGTCTGTTCAGAGATTTTTGTTTGCTTTTAAAAGTCTGAATTACTAAAACTCCTTTATGTGATAGGTATTATCATCAGCCACATTTTACAAGAACGAAAACAAGTATGCTAAATGAAAAGAATAAAATATAAAGTTCTATATACACTAAGAATACCAACTATGCAAACAAAAGAATACTTGAAAAGAAGTATGATGAAATATCAATAACAGTTGCTTCAGGTTTGAAGGACCATCAGTGATATTTTTTTCAGCTTCTTTCATTACGTGCTTTCAAATTTTATGCAACAAACATAATCTTTTTTTTTTAAATCTTAAAACAAAAAAACATTTCTTAGGAGATTAATATGTCTATTCTTTAGTCAAGGATAACAATTAAAATGATATGCCCAAACACTTTTATCAGGGACATCTGAATTAGTGCCTCTTGACCTTTCTACCAAGATCTGCCATGCCCTTTGATCACCTTCTATTTTTCCTTATCTTTAGGGCCTGACATTCCTCGCAGAATCAGGCTTTAATTTTTAAGAAAAACCAATGCCAACTTAAGTTTACTAAAAAAAATGCCAGCTTTCTTTTTTTCCCAAAGGTAGTGCATGTTTGTCAGTTAACACAGGTCCACACATCACTCCCAAATGCCTCTTGAACTCAGCGGGAATAACCAGAGACTTTCCCATTTTCCAGGTAAAACATGTTGTATCATGTAATAGAAAAAAAGACAACAAAGGGGGATATGTTTTCCACCCAAGGATTTTAAATTCATTTTCTCACCTGAGTTAAGGTTCTAATGACTTCATTAAGTCTGCCTTGAAAATGAGAGGTCTGGATGGCTTCTGATTTCAGCTGAAAGAATAAGAAGAAATACCCATCCCACCCACCCCCATAAAAAAGTTAAGAGTTATATTCCCGGTGCATGAGCTATCCATCTTCTAAGTTATAAAACAGTTTATCATTATGTCCTTCTATTTCAAATACATAAGCTATGAACTCCTCAAAGGCAGGGCCCCATGCTTTATCTATCATTGATTTCCTGGTACCTGTTCACTGTGGCATGTAAGCAATCACTCAATCAACTTTTAATGCATAAAAACAGAGCTCCTTTAGAATTACTTATAAACTTACACATATATATGTCCACTGTGAAAATATTTTGAAGTTAAAGAACAACCACATAGACATATATCAGACATTAAGATGCAAAATGGAGTTTCTTGCAAATAACTTTTGAAATTTCTTATCCTTCAATCATCTTTTCTCAGGCAGGGAAATTTGTGGAGAGCACCTAAGTTGGCCAGGTTTAATCTCTAAAAACCAAATTAAATAAAGAACAAACCTCTATAGAAATAATCCTTGGTTAAGTGCAATTATTCATACAGCAAGGCATTAAAAAGTCTGGTGTAACTATTACCATGAGCATAAATCCTTCTGTTCTTAGCATACTAAAACACTGGGTATTCTTCTCCCGCTATGGCTATGTACATATTTAGATGTCTTCCCCTCCATGGTTCCTTTCTTTACCTGCATTACATCCCCTTCAGAGCCTACCAAGGCCACCATGCCATGAAGAGCTGCCAGACAAAGCATTGTGGGAGTGCCCTGAAAACAAAGCATCAGAATATGAAAAGAGGGAATCAGTCCTTGGGTTTAGATTCTATAAAACTTCTGAGGACACGGAGAAATAAATGGTCGAATTGGTACCAAACTTATAGGGTCAACGTAACCTGTATAACTGAACCAAAAATGGCAGCAGACTAAAATAAAGTAACAGATTAAGGTTGTTAGATCATGGGTGGATTCTTGCTTTTATTTTTCAAAAAACAAAATGTTGTCTTAAAATTAAAACTCAGACAAAATAGCCAGTTCAAAAAAATTATAATAGTTGGCAGAATGCATTATTTATAAGGGATTTAAAAGTATGTGATCTCTTTCATTTAAAATTGCCTATTCTTTTACCATTAACGTATATATCTCAGCAACTCCTATAAATGATCCAATAAAGTAGTTCTTTTTCCATTATAAAAATATGAAATAGCATACAACAGGTGACCTCTACCTCTGTTAGAACAATTCTGATCCAGGCAGGGAGTAGTTTGCTGCCCAAGTCTTCAGCTTTTCCATGTCCACACACAGACAATCCATGAACTATGTTTCCTAAAGCCAGGGCAAAACCTGAAGTCTGATATAAATAAATAAAAATGGGGTAAGAAAAAGAAAAAAAAAAGACACAGATTTAGAATGTTTATAAATAGCAACATAAACACTTTTAGTGCTAACTTTCCTAATGACAAGCTGTATTTGTCATATGAAAAATCAGACTTAAGTGTTTTTTTGTTTTTTGTTTTTTTTTAATCTAGACTGGTTTGCATCATAAACTGCAGGGTCTAATTGCAAGGAATTCAGCTTCAGTGAGTAATTTATTTCAGGAAAGTAATACTGCACTATTGAGCAGCTTAGCTCAAACAATTTGAAGAGGTTAGGGTGAAAAAACCAAGGTAGACCACACAAGGTCAATCAACTCCTAAACAAAAAGAAAGCATCCCATAAAAAGCAAAGTATATGAAAAATTCTACATTTCAATTTTTCACAACTTACTCTGAATGTAAGTGAGCGGGTATATAACCATAAAACAGTAACGATAACATTACGAGCTTAAAACCAATGAATTCTGCAATAACCCATTATCATCAATATTAAGACAGTGGAGAAACCTTTAAAAAATCCACATGGGGAAATTCTATAGCATGTGTAATCAGATAAAATGTTTTTTTTCAGTTTTTTTAAATTGTATTAATGTACACTTAAAATTTATCATCTTTACTGTGAATACCAGTTCAGCGGCATTAAGTACACTCATACTGCTATGCAATCAATACCACCATCCATCTCCAGAATCTTTCCCTTGAAAAACTGAAACTCTTTACCCACTAAACAGTAACTCCCCATTCCTCCCTTCCTGTAGGCCCGAGCAACCACCATTCTACTTTCTGTCTCTATGCTTTTGACTACTCTACGCAGCTCATGTAAGTAAAAGCACACAGTGTTTGCTTTTTGTTATTTGTTTATTTCATTTAGCATAATGCCTTCAAGGTTCATCCGTGTTCTAGTACATATCAGAACTTCCTTCTTTTTTAAGGTTGAATAATATTTCACAGGAAACATTTTAAGGTTACTTAATTTAGTTTATAGGTACTTAAATTTTCTTATACATATTTGGTCATGAGTAGAGATTTTCTGCCTTGAATTTTCTGAAGTTTGACTTTATCAGAGACTTCTATGTATTCATATCGTCACAAATTTTTGTTTCTAACTTTACATAACTCTTATATTCCCTAGCCATATATTTTATGATCTTATAACTATAGAGCAATGTCAGAGAGAGAGAGAGAAAAGCATATCAATACTCTCTCAAAGAAAAAGAAATGTCCACAGAATGAGACAGGGGATAAGGAGAGAAAAAGACATCTGTGACTTTTGGCTACAGCTGTGAGAAAAGAGAATAGTTAGAAGTTCCTCAGTTCTAGACATGAAAAATATCCCATTATACTCTAATTCAGAGTAAGTCAAAAGCAAAACTTAGCAGCAGCATGAGACCCACAGAGAGAAATAATCAGGGCACACGTTCCAACCTGCTGGCTATTCTCCACTAACAGTCGAAGCTTGTTCATAACATCCTCAGCCTCTGTAGCCTCAATAATTCCAGCACTGAACGCTGATGTACATACACAGCTAAGTGTGTAGGCAAGGACCTGAGAAGAAAATACAGCAGAAAAATATGTCTTCAGGAGGAAAAATAAAAGAACTCGGTTTAGTTGACAAGATATTCTGTCAAACTCCCCCCCAGAGTAAGAATTGGATTCACATACATTTACCATGGATTGGGCACTGTTTTTCTGCCTAACTTATATTGTAATATTTCATAACACTGTCATGATGGGTATGATTATTCCTACTTTATAGATAAGAACTTTGAAGCTCAATTTCATGTAGCTAGCAAGTGACAAAGGAGGGATTCAAGCCCAGGTCTTTAGACTCATAATAGTAAATTTCTTCACCACATTATGCCAGAGCACAGCACCTATCAACAGCAGAAGGAAACAGATTTTCATCACCAGTGGGTGCTACTAATTAATTGCCATGCATTCCCATCCAAGGCCAAACAGGATAGGAAATTCAAAGAAGTGAAACACTGCTCCATTAAGATTCCCTAGGAGAAGTAGTGGAGCATAACTGGAACAGGAATATGGATTCTGGAGTCAGATAAATTGTATAAAATAGGAATACTAATACCTGCCTCATAGCACTAGTGTGGGAACTTAATATGTTGATGAATGAATGAATGAATGAATGAATGAATGAATGAATGAATAAATAAAATATGGGTAAAAAACAATGGTGGGAATGGAGCCAAGATTTGGGAATATGTCCCAAATTGACCATTTACTAGCGTAGTAACTTTGGGCAAGTCACCCAATCTATCTGAGTCTCAATTTTTGCACATCAAATTTAGTCATCCCCTCTCTGCTACCTCCTTTTTTCGTGATAAAAAACCTCCCTTATAAGAATGCTGTTAAGACAAAGTAGAAAATTCAACTTCTAGCACTGGTTGATATGGCATGAAAAATATAAGTGGTTTCTAAGGCAGAAGTTGAATAATAAAACATCAGAGGGGAGAAAAAAAAACTGCTTGCTTAAGGCCTTATAAATCAAAACATTACAGATGCATCAGTTATAAAAACATTGCTTTCATTTATAATTAATTTGCTCCTAGGTTGCAAGATTTACTCTTTTGGCTTAAAAAAAATACGTACTTTAAAATCACACTCTACACTGCTTTAAAAATGGAAATGTAGTGCATGTCTTAGAACAAAACTTCATTCCTCTGTGCCCAAAGAAATTCACCAATTCAACAAGTCCTATTGCTGAAAGCAGAGGAGCTGAGCAGGGAAACACAGCAGCCATTATGTACTCATCAATAGCTCATGGGCAGGCTGGGATAAAATAGAATCTGTTCTAATGAGAGAGAGAATCAGGCCAGGCCACGAGGTCATACCCTGCTCCTCTCAAAGAAGAGTACAAGCGGTCCAGCTTCACCTGGGCAAAATAGAGACAGGCATGACACATGCCTGAAATGTTCCATCTAAAAACATGGTTAACACCCATGAACTGGATCACATGAACTCCAATTCTGCATATTTTTGCACCACAACAGAAAAAAACTTTTCTCTAAGTGTGGTAAAGCGAATTTTCTCAATAATATTTTATGCTAGCTGACATTTTAAAAAATCAAACGCCTTTTGATCAGCAGTTTCTGAAGCTTATTCCTGGGCATTTTTGAAAGTTATATTTGGCTTGAGCACAATTCTAAAAATCTCGATTTAACCTTCTTCCAGAAATTGCAGCTCTTCTTAGAAAGTGCCTTCTAGTGATGCTGAGTTAGGTTTTGTATTCACTAAAGGCTCTTATCTTATATGCCACATTTAGGTTTAAGTTGATTTAAACTGCCACATAATATGAAAACCTTATGATCTAATATTGGTTGTTTGTCATTCAGATTTTCTCTTTGAGGAAGAATTTAATTTATAGGGTTACCAAAATATGGTAAGTCCAAAATAAGTGGCAAGAAGAAAACAAAAGAGAGCAGAGGGGAAAAAAATGTAGCCTCCATCTCTTACCTCCTGAAACGTTCTGCTCTGGCTCCCGCTGTCATCTACGTGCGCAGACAGCTTCCGGAGCAATGCTGCTACGTGAACGCGGGACTGCATTTGGCTGCTGTGGCTCATGAGGGACAGAACAAGTCCAACTCCCAATATACAGCCCGTGCTTGGAAGCCAAAAAAGATAAGATGTTAGGATCATAAGAAATCCACACAATTGCTCTTCACTTACCACGGGTGTTTACAGAGCTCTCAAACCTTGGTGAGATGGCTGGATTCAAATTCTGCTGCCTAGTAGATGGTGTGCCCCATCATCCATGACAAGTACACATACCTCTCCCCTCAAAATGAAAACCTGACATCAAAACATGTATCTGTGGCCCATGCTAGTGCTGTACACCCCCTAGATAAAAACAAAAGGCAGGAAATAGTTTGACTTAAACTTTATGGGTGAGAAGAGGAAAAGGCATAAACCAGCTTTATTTGTGCCCTTACAGAAATGCTGTAGTTTTCCCTGCAACACCCCTACCTGCATGTTGAGTATACTGTGATCAGCTGCATAAGGAGAGAAAAGACTAAAATTCAGGATGTGAGCTGAGGATATCTGACTAATAGCAAAGAAGATAAATGCAAGGCATGATTATGAGGTACTACTAAGTGTTTCATGTTTCCTAGTCAACTTCAACAAGTGGAATTTCTTTCCTAAAGAAACTGTTTGTGCACAATGACATTAATCCTTCTCTCCCCTCTGATCTTGCAGAATACCACTGGGTCAGAAGAGAAAATGGACAAATGACAGGCTTGTCAAAAGTTACCCCATGTGACAATTCAATTGAAATCTAGGGCTTTGTGCCCCCAATTCTCCTGAATGAATACATATCCATTTAAAGAAAATAATTGTTCTCTCAGAAAACTTCAAGATAGTATGGTAAGATAATGCAGCTTGTGGTAATGCTTTACTTTAAAGAAAAAAAGCTTTTGTCATTGTTTTTTAAATGGAGAAAATGCAATGTTTTTTCAGAAATCACCCTTACTCTGGCTTGCCTTGCCTCTCATCATGATATCTGCTGCCGAAGAAGACATTCCAGGGCATTTCTCCAATAATGTATCTCAATGCCCACATGTTAGGTCATTTTGCTCTTAAACAGCATCTACCCCCTTGGTCAGTGTCAAGAACATTTGCATAATTTTATGAACATGTTACTTACTTCCCCCAACGTGCAAATGGAGCACCCACACCTAAAAGAAGATACCCAGAAGGATAGACAGGCTACAGGATTTGCTCAAGGTCACACAGAGAGCATCCAGCAGAGCACGGCCAATACAAGGGGATTTTTTTTATTCCTAGCCTTCTGCCCCATCTGCCAAACCCAAAGCCCCTCTCAGTGCCCTTCATGGTGCCATGATGGAATACGTATGAGAAGGCACCGTATCTCAAGTGTGTTTTTCTAGTTTCTGTTGCATAACGATCAGCCATTCAAAAATCCTTCGTAAAGAAGCTACTACAGTAATAATCCATCATTAGTCAGGCAGAACTGCTGTTACAGCTTCGTAAACTTAACAAGCTCAATGCATTTTCAACCAGTTAAATCAACATCTAAGATCTCAATAGAACATGCTTTTGAGACTAATCACATTTACGGAAGAGGAAAGGCTACTCTTGATTAATATGAATGTAAAGCCTTTGCTATTATTTAGAATCTACAGGGAAGTTTTTTGGCTATCTTTGTATATTGATGCATATAACAATTTGACAGAATTAGACCAAAGATATAATTAGACAAAATTTGATTAATACTTAGACACATTTGACTGTTGTTCTCTCTTTGACTATTTAACTGCTACTTATGCTTAAGATTTCAAATGTTACTTCCTCAGAGACATCATCTCTCGCCCAGCAGAGAGCCTCTTTAATACTCTCCCACAGCACCCTGTGCTAATTTACTTCATACAATTTTAATTATAAACTCTGATGAAAATTATTTGGGGTATTGGTTGATTATTATCTCTTCCCTGGCCTGAAAGCTCCATAAGGGTGGGTATACCTTTTCTGTTTTTTTCCCTACCACAGTATCTGCTGCACCTAGTATACTGCTTGGCGTATACAGGCACTCAACCAGTATTTATTGAAAGCTGAAGAACTAACCAAATGAAGAATTTTAAGAGTCTAGAGTAGAGAGAAGATCTACAGAGGAAGAAGAAAAAAGCAAGGCTTGATTCTTATGTTTAGTAGTAGGCAAATTTTATAAGTAGTAAAATTCACTGAACGTATCATGCAAGATTCAACCAAGAAAATTCAGTTTCTGTTTCTTGCCAGACTAATTTCAGAAAGAGGAATATTGGGCTCATCTGGAAAACAAATTCCTCTCAAAGCTCATTCCAATAGGGTTTAACTTTCTGAATAAACAAGGAAGTATGTAAGTCTTGCTTTTCAGGCTATCCTGGGCACATAAATATCTCTATCCCCTAGATTGAAGCCCCTCTTTCATCATCTCAGGAGATAGATGTATTAAGGCTTTGAAAAACACATCTGTTTCTAGTTCACATTTACCTAAAATTTATCATAGCAATTATTACTATAACCTGAGCAACGTTATAATTCACTAGCGATTCTATTCATTGCTACAGCGGCAGTTAAGTGACTGGTGTAACATATGAATATATAACAGTGTATGTATATACATGCTATGGCATATACATCTATTGCCCCTCTGAATAGGTCCCCTCTCATTCATCTCAATTTTCCAGTATGCACCAATAATGTAGTCCTAAAACTTTATTCCTGATTTCCCTCTGATTTCTAAATCTTCTATATTTTAATGTGTTTATTCTTGTTCTAAGTCTTAAAATGTTCCCCCAGGTGCTTAGTTCAGCAATTCCACATATTTACCTCATTCTAGCTTCTCTTTGATATGTCTGCCAGCTTTGAACCAAGAATAGCTTGGGCAGAGGTAGCTTTTATAACTTTCTGTCCACTGAAAGCAAAAAGGAGTTAAGTGTTGGTGTCTCCAACAGAGGAAATAAAAACAAATTATAATATTGGGTATGAAACTGAACTTTGGAGTTGCTAACATAAATGTTCTATAAGAGTGCTAACAAATGATAAAGATAATTTGAGTTTTTAAATTCCATACACTATTATGTCATTACTTATTTGAATCTATTATCAGAGTATATTAAAATATCACCAGCAAAAGAAATCCTGAAACTTAAAAGCTAAGCAATTCTGATATTTGTGTTGCTGCATCAACTCAGATATATATTTTTTAAAATTAATCAGAGATGAATCTTCAATTCCCTAGTTTACTGTAGGCAATCCTGCAGATTAAGTACTAGGCCATCTAATAATTAGTTCTAATAACAGTTAACATTTATATAGCGCTTTGCCCTTTACAAAGCGCTATACAAATGTTATCGCATTTCTAAAAGCTCAGTAGTAATTAACCAAAGCTTGGGTCATTGATGACTGCATGACTACAGTTACGGCTGTGAGGATCACAATGGCACAATGAGCTACCACTAGATGGCAGTAAAATCTTAGTGATAGGCTCACGAACACCAGCCTGGCCAGGTGTGCGGGTTCTTTCAGCAGGGAGATGTCCATTAAATCGGGAAGCATGGTGAATTTGCTCTGGGTGAATTCTATCATTTGAGGGAGTACACTCCCGCATCTACTAACTACCTTCTAGTAAGACTTCCACTGTTTCACTTGAGGGAGGCTTGCCCTAGACTCCTGAAATCTCATTAGATAAGGGAATACTTTAAATCATGAGTCAGGCTTTCAGGTCTGGGTCTAGTTAAAAAGCAGAAGGAAGAATTAAAATATTAAAAAAAAAAGTGTGGGTGACACTTGCATGTCAGAAAAAAAATAAATACACAGTATACTGTCCAGCATCAAACTGCTTTCCTTCTATTGAAATGTGTTATCCATACTGTGTTATGTAAGAAAGAAAAATGGCTTTGAAGTCAGATGTCCCAGGTTTCTCTCTTGGCTCTGCCACTTATTAAGCATATGACCCTGAAACAAGCCTCCTATCTGAGACTCACATTCTTTATCTGTAAACCAAAGTGATGATGATTCCTACTTCAGTATCATGTTTAGGTTGTGACATGGATGTAACTCCATGAGAAACAGATGTGAAAATGCCTAGCTCAGTATGCAGCTGCTCAGTAAGTATCAGTTGAACCTGAAGCCAAAAAGAGAACTATGCTGGGTGCAGTGGCTCACATCTGTAATCCCATTACTTTGGGAGGCCAGGGTTGGGAGGATTACTCGAGGCCAGGAGTTCAACACCGGCCTAGGCAACACAGTAAGACCCTGTCTCTACAAAAAATAAAAAAATTAGTCAAGCATGGTTGCATATGCCTGTAGTACCAGCTACTTGAGGCTGAGGCAGGAGGATTGCTTGAGCCCAGGAGGTCGAACTTGCAGTAAGCCATGATTGTGGTATCACTGCACTCCAGCCTGAGCAACAGAGTGATATCCTATCTCAAAAAAAAAAAAAAAAAAGGGAGAACTGCACAAGGACTGACACCTAGAGAGCATTAGTAATGATGAAGCACTAAACTTCATTAACCGTAGAACTAAAAGTTTGGAGAGGATGGAAGAAGGACTTCTTGAAGGGCCTGAGCTTTTAATTGGGCTCTAACAGACAGGCAAGTGTCCACTAACTGGACAGGAAGTCCAGGCCTACCCGTCTCTCTCTCAATATAGTTGTTCATTAAAAAGGATAGAAAACCAAACGCAGCATGTTCTCAGTCATAGGTGGGAATTGAACAATGAGAACACTTGGACGCATGTTCTCACTCATAGGTGGGAACTGAACAATGAGAACACTTGGACACAGGGTGGGGAACATCACACACTGGGGCCTGTCGTGGGGTGGAGGGAGGGGGGAGGGATAGCATTAGGAGATACGCCTAATGTAAATGACGAGTTAATGGGTGCAGCACACCAACATGGCACATGTATACATATGCAACAAACCTGCGCGTTGTGCACATGTACCCTAGAACTTAAAGTATAATTTAAAAAAAAGAAAGAAAAAAAATAAAATAAATTTAAAAAATAAAAAATAAAAACAAAAAAAAATAAAATAAAAGAAGGTAAGAATCAACAAAGAAGGTAAGAATGAAGAAATAAGAAACTTATTAGTAACAAAAATAAATTTTAAAGTTAAATATGCTTGGACATACGAAATTTTTAAACACCTCAGTATCTGTATGGTGGGTAATTCATCCCCATGGTACTCCCCGCATTTAAACAACCTTCCTGAAAACTGATGGAGACAATGCCTGAAAGTCACTCCTGACTGTGCCACTGGCTAAAGTTGGCGGCATCTTAATCTCACATTTTTTCCCAACTTTATAACATCTTGAGCTAAGCTACAATGAACATCTTTGGGTGGTAAGAGGAGGCAGGAGGGATGGAAAGAGACATGAAAATATCTTATTCCTAGGTTGTAAAAGGCAATATAAATGCATGGATTAGGTTCAAAATCTCAACTCTTCATTGGATTCAAATAACAGCTAAATTTCCCTATTTTTCTCATTAATCATTTTCTATTTTCAAGATACTTCAACCATGCCATCAAACTCTTTCTTTACTCATATTCAAACCACACTCTTTTTTTTTTTTTTTTTGAGAAGAGAGTCTCGCTCTGTCGCCCAGGCTGGAGTGCAGTGGCACGATCTCGGCTCACTGCAAGCTCCGCCTCCCGGGTTCACACCATACTACTGCCTCAGCCTCCTGAGTAGCTGGGACTACAGGCGCCTGCAACCACGCCCTGCTAATTTTTTTTCTGTATTTTTTTTTCAATTTTTAATTTAATTTTTATTAAGGTAAAATATACATATAAAAGTACCATCTTTATCATTTTTAAGGGTACAGTTCAGTGGTAATAATACATTTATATTCTTTTTAAAAAGTAAATCAGCAAAATGACTGAGAAAAATATTTGTAATAAATATGGTAGACTAAAGTTCATGTACATAATATATAATGAATTCTTAAAAATTGGTAAGATAATCTTTTTTTAATATATCTACAATCTTTCTTTTCTTTTCTTTATTATAAGTTTTAGGGTACATGTGCACAATGTGCAGGTTAGCTACATATGTATACAGGTGCCATATTGGTGTGCTGTACCCATTAACTTGTCATTTAACATTAGGTATATCCCCTAATGCTATCCCTCCCCACTCCCCCCACCCCACAACAGGCCCCCGTGTGTGATGTTCCGCTTCCTGTGTCCATGTGTTCTCATTGTTCAATTCCCACCTATGAGTGAGAACATGTGGTGTTTGGTTTTTGTCCTTGCGACAGTTTGCTGAGAATGATGGTTTCCAGCTTCATCCATGTCCCTACAAAGGATATGAACTCATCCTTTTTTATGGCTGCATAGTATTCCATGGTGTATATGTGCCACATTTTCTTAATCCAGTCTATCATTGTTGGACATTTGGGTTGGTTCCAAGTCTTTGCTATTGTGAATAGTGCCGCAATAAACATACGTGTGCATGTGTCTTTATAGCAGCATGATTTATAAACCTTTGGGTATATACCCAGTAATGGAATGGCTGGGTCAAATGGTATTTCTAGTTCCAGATCCCTGAGGAATCGCCACACTGACTTCCACAACGGTTGAACTAGTTTACGGTCCCACCAACAGTGTAAAAGTGTTCCTATTTCTCCACATCCTCTCTAGCACCTGTTGTTTCCTGACTTTTTAATGATTGCCATTCTAACTGGTGTGAGATGGTATCTCATTGTGGTTTTGATTTGCATTTCTCTGATGGCCAGTGATGATGAGCATTTTTTCATGTGTCTTTTGGCTGCATAAATGTCTTCTTTTGAGAAGTGTCTGTTCATATCCTTTGCCCACTTGTTGATGGGGTTGTCTGTTTTTTTCTTGTGAATTTGTTTGAGTTCATTGTAGATTCTGGATATTAGCCTTTTGTCAGATGAGTAGATTGCAAAAATTCTCTCCCATTCTGTAGGTTGCCTGTTCACTCTGATGGTAGTTTCTTTTGCTGTGCAGAAGCTCTTTAGTTTAATTAGATCCCATTTGTCAATTTTGGCCTTTCTTGACATTGCTTTTGGTGTTTTAGACATGCAGTCCTTGCCCATGCCTATGTCCTGAATGGTATTGTCTAGGTTTTCGTCTAGGGTTTTTATGGTTTTAGGTCTAACATGTAAGTCTTTAATCCATCTTGAATTAATTTTTGTATAAGGTGTAAGGAAGGGATCCAGTTTCAGCTTTCTACATATGGCTAGCCAGTTTTCCCAGCACCATTTATTAAATAGGGAATCCTTTCCCCATTGCTTGTTTTTGTCAGCTTTGTCAAAGATCAGATGGTTGTAGATATGTGGCATTATTTCTGAGAGCTCTGTTCTGCTCCATTGGTCTATATCTCTGTTTTGGTACCAGTACCATGCTGTTTTGGTTACTGTAGCCTTGTAGTATAGTTTGAAGTCAGGTAGCGTGATGCCTCCAGCTTTGTTCTTTTGGCTTAGGATTGACTTGGCAATGTGGGCTCTTTTTTGGTTCCATATGAACTTTAAAGTAGTTTTTTCCAATTCTGTGAAGAAAGTCATTGGTAGCTTGATGGGGATGGCATTGAATCTGTAAATTACCTTGGGCAGTATGGCCATTTTCACGATATTGATTCTTCCTACCCATGAGCATGGAATGTTCTTCCATTTGTTTGTATCCTCTTTTATTTCATTGAGCAGTGGTTTGTAGTTCTCCTTGAAGAGGTCCTTCACATCCCTTGTAAGTTGGATTCCTAGGTATTTTATTCTCTTTGAAGCAATTGTGAATGGGAGTTCACTCATGATTTGGCTCTTTGTTTGTCTGTTATTGATGTATAAAAATGTTTGTGATTTTTGCACATTGATTTTGTATTCTGAGACTTTGCTGAAGTTGCCTATGAGCTTAAGGAGATTTTGGGCTGACACGATGGGGTTTTCTAGATATACAATCATGCCATCTACAAACAGGGACAATTTGATTTCCTCTTTTCCTAATTTTGTTTCCTTCTCCTGCCTGATTGCCCTGGTCAGAACTTCCAACACTATGTTGAATCGGGGTGGTGAGAGAGGGCATCCCTGTTTTTTTTGTATTTTTAGTAGAGACAGGGTTTCACCGTGTTAACCAGGACAGTCTCGATCTCCTGACCTCGTGATCCACCTGCCTCGGCCTCCCAAAGTCCTGGGATTACAGGCGTGAGCCACCGCGCCCGGCCTCAAACCACACTCTTAAGAAGTCACTTGACCCCAAAAGTGTTTCTTGAGAAACCAGGTGAGTGGCACTAGTTCCTCTCCAATCTCAGCCTGCATCTGAAAGAAGATCCCATAACTACCACCTATTAAATGGACATTTTACTTTATTTATTCCTGATGAAACCCTTTACACATGCAGCTACCACTACCATATCATTTACCCTTTTGTTAGTCTGAAACTAACAAGATAGAAAGTATGAATGTAGCTGTAAATCATAAGTTCCTAAAGGCCAGAAATGTAAACACTGATTTAATGCATATTTGAGCAGTGCCCATAATATCAAAGGGTAAATGAGTCAATAAACTGGAAGTTAGTGCTTATAATCTGTTAATTCCTAGTAACAATGAACACCAGAGGATTCATGCCTGACGTTCCAAAACGCATGGAAGTCTAAAAAACTACGATGTTGCTCCCTCAAAAATGTCAGTATTTCCGAAAGCCTAACAAAACCATACCATATATTCACCTACACAAGTCACACAGACTAACTGAAACATTAAATATCTCATAAAATGAGTGTGTTTAATTCTTTTTTTGATTATTTTTCATTTTTATCTTTCATTAATGAAATGAGAAAATAATTTTAAAGCATTTAGTTTAATAGACAAAACTTAAAAACCATGGGGTTAGCATGGGGAAGGGAAAGGTTCTTAATGCTAAGCAGGTTGGTAATCCCTGATATAACCTGTTTGCTTCCATTTCTACTTCTTAGGCACATGATTTCACAGGGAAACATAAATCATCGGTCAAAGGCCCTCTTAGCCCAATCAAATTCAAATGGCCTCAACAAATCTTTAAAAAGATTAAGTCGGCTGGGCAGGGTGGCTCACGCCTGTAATCCCAGCACTTTGGGAGGCAGAAGCAGGTGGATCACATGAGGTCAGGAGTTTGAGACCAGCCTGACCAATTGGTGAAACCCCATCTCTACTAAAAATACAAAATTAGCTGGGCGTGGTGATGTATGCCTGTAATGCCAGCAATTTGGGAGGCTGAGGCAGGAGAATCACTTGAACTCGGGAGGCGGAGGTTGCAGTGAGCCAAGATTCCACCATTGCACTCCAGCCTAGGCAATAAGAGTGAGATTATGTCTAAATAAATACATAAATAAAAATAAATACTTTAAAAAAAGATTAAGTCATGCATCCATGTCCCCATACATGTGCCTTGTATGATAAACGTAAGTCAAAACTAAGGTCTTAGTAATATAAGGTGTAAGCTGCAAGATGATAGTTGTTGCTTTGAATTTAAATAATTTGTCTATTGCTGAAACCTGGTTTTCAGAACAAGAAAGCTTTAATAATAAGTTTTTTGATTAATTATTACTGAAAACTCTCTGCAAAGGAATTCAAAATCACATTCTACAAATATTTCTCCATATGAATTTTAAGATTGTTTTATCTAGTTCTGTGTAGAATGATGGTAGTATTTTGATGAGAACTGCACTGAATGTGTAGACTGCTTTTGACACTATGGTAATTATCACAATATTGATTCTACCCATCTATGAGCATGGGATGTGTTTCCATTTGTGTCATCTATGATTTCTTTCAGCAGTGTTTTGTAGTTTTCCTTGCAGAGGTCTTTCACCTCCTTGGTTAGGTATATTCCTAAGTATCTTATTATTTTTTTTTGCAGCTATTGTAAAAAAAAGGGGTGGGGTTCTTGATTTGATTCTCAGCTTGGTCACTGTTGGTATATAGAAGAGCTACTGATGTGGGTACATTAATTTTGTGTCCAGAAACTTTGCTGAATTCTGTTATCAATTCTGGGAGCTTTCTGAAGAAGTCCACATAGCCAAAGCAAGACTAGGCAAAAAGAACAAATCTGGAGGCATCACATTACCTGATTTCAAACTATACTATAAGGCCACATTCACCAAAACAGCATGGTACTGGTATAAAACTAGGCACATAGAACAACGGAACAGAATAGATAACCCAGAAATAAACCCAAATACAGCCAACGGATCTTCAACAAATCAAAGAAAAAAAAACATCAAGTGGGTAAAGGACACCCTACTCAACAAATGGTGCTGGGGGTAACTGGTAAGATACATGTAAGCTTAATTGGCAAGCTACATGTAAGAGAATAAAACTGTACAGAAGGATCCTCAGCTCTCACCTTATCCAAAAATCAACTCAAGATGGCTCAAGGACTTAAATCTAAGACCTAAAACTATAAAAATTCTAAAAATAACACTGGAAAAACCCTTCTAGACATTGGCTTAGACAAGGATTTCATGATGAAGAACCAAAAAGCAAATGCAGTTAAAAACGATAAATAGCTTGGACTTAATTAAACGAAAGAGCTTTTGCATGGCAAAAGCAACAGTCAGCAGAGTAAACAGACAACCCACAGAGTGGGCGAAAATCTTCACAATCTATATACAACTGACAAAGGACTAATATCCAGAATCTACAACAAACTCAAACAAATTAGCAAGACAAAAACAAACAATCCCACCAAAAGTGGGCTAAGGACATGAATAGACAATTCTCAAAAGAAGATATACAAATGACCAACAAATGTATAAAAAAATGCTCAACATCACTAATGATCAGAGAAATGCAAATCAAAACCACAATGCAATACCACCTCACTCCCGCAAGAATGGCCATAATAAAAAAAAAATAGATGTTGGTGTGGACGCGGTGAACAGAGAACACTTCTACACTGCTAGTGGGAGTGTAAACTAGTACAATCACTATGGAAAACAGTGTGGAGATTCCTTAAACAACTAAAAGTAGAACCACCATTTGATCCAGCAATCCCACTACTGGGTATGTACTCACAGGAAAAGAAGTCATTATACAAAAAAGTACTTTCACATGCATGTTTATAGCAGCACAATTCACAATTGCAAAAACGTGGAACCAACTCAAATACCCATCAATCAATGAGTGGATAAAGAAACTGTGATACACACACACACACACATACACACACACGATGGAATACTACTCAGCCATAAAAAGGAATGAACTAATGGCATTCACAGCAATCTGGATGAGACTGGAGACTATTATTCTAAGTGAAGTAACTCAGGAATGGAAAAACCAAACGTCATATATTCTCACTCATAAGTGGGAGCTAAGCTATGAGGATACAAAGGCTTAAGAATCACACACTGGACTTTGGGGATTCAGGGAGAAAGCGTGGGAAGAGGGTGAGGGACAAAAGATGACAAATTGTGTGCAGTGTATACTGCTTGGGTGATGGGGGCACCAAAATCTCACAAATCACCACTAAAGAACTTACTCATGTAACCAAACACCACCTGTTCCCCAATAACCTATGGAAATAAAAAATAAAAATAAAAAATATTTCTCCATAGCATGCAAGACTTATGGCAGTGTAGGGAGCAATGTCTAAGTACCTGTGAGAGTGGAAATAGGAACAACATACTTGTATTCAAGACTAGTGTCAAAGCAGCAATTTTCCAGGGCATCCAACGACTTCATCAGAAGAAGGTTCATCTCTTGGCCAGATATATCACTGGTTAAAGATCAAGGGGAAACAATGAATTATTTAAAATTAGTCAACTATCCAAAATACTGAATACAATATTATACTCTCAATATTTTACTGGAAATACCAGCATTTCTCTTAAAAAAAAAAGTGACAATATTGATGAGTTGCCTATTCTTATTTGGTAGTTACAGAAACTAAGTCTGACCAATTATTCAATAATTGGATTTCTGAGCAGTATAATCACTTGCAAACCAATAAACACAAAATCTCCTATTTTTGATTTTTCTTAGCCTGTTCAAATTTTAAGCCATTGAAAAATAAAAAAGAAACTCGGAATTCCAAATATATATTTCTAAGGATGCTTAAGTGATTTTCTTCAGAATACTTAACGTATTAACCTGACATTATCAATAATCATTCCAAATCTTTCTTGCAAAGACTGTCACTTCTGATTTCATGTCTCAGTTGTGGAGGTTATAAATTCTATTCCTTTACTTACTTTTTTTTAAGGGGAGAAAATCCTAGACCTATATTTGTTTACATTTATACAGCAATTGATGATTTTATAAATGCCTGGGTGAGAAGTATGACTTGCATAGTAAAATAAAACTTAAAAGGTTCTATGGTTGTCCCTCCAGGCAGATTTGTGGGCTTCATCACTGACATTTTAGTAGCTACAGGTTCCTACGTCTTAACTCTCATATTGCTACTTCAGATCATGGTAAGTGGAATGTAACTCCAGGAATGACAACCAGGCAGAGAGCACTTTTTTAAACATTTTCCCAAACCAAGACTATAGCAGTTTTGCCCAAGGTGAAGGAATTTTTGCAATGAAAAACAAATGCCCACACGCACACCCCTCATATCACACACACAGACTTAATAGCTTTAACTAAATAAATCCTATAAAAGTTGTCCTTTGGAGTAAAATATACTTAAATATCCTAAACAAATGTTAAAGAGATCATTTTTGTATTTTCTGGGGGTTATGACAGAAGCAAGAAGCTGTGGAACAACATTCCACAGCTTCTGAATAAATTTTAGATGGAACTTAAATTCAGGAGACTTTTTCATAAGCCTTAGCAAAAATTGAAATGATTTTCATAATTCTCCCCCCCTTTTTTTTTTTTTTTTTGAGATAGAGTCTTGCATTCTCACCCAGGCTGGGCTGGAGTGCAGTGGCACAACATCAGCTCACTGCAACCTCAGCCTCCTGGGCTCAAGCAATTCTCAAGCCTCAGCTTCCCGAGTAGCTGGGACTACAGGCATCTGCCACCATGCCTGGCTGGTCTCAAACTCCTGGGCTTACATGATCTGCCCGCCTTGGCCTCCCAAAATGCTGCAATTACAGATGTGATTCATAATTCTCTTCTACATGGTGATTTCTTAGTCTCTGAAAAACAACATATTGTCCTAATTCTGTTCCCATTAAAGGACCACATTGGGACACATTTGATGTCACTGACTAGTCAAAATCAACAGCTCTCAAAACACTTGCTTTTAGAAAAAAATTTAAACTTTCTCCAAAGATGAAATTCTCTGTTAGCATTGTTACTACCTGGTAAAAAATTTATTAGTATCAAAAGGCAAATATTTGAGATTCCTCAATTCCAACAAATTGGGAAGGTGGGAGCCATGAATAGTTATGTTAGTAATGGCATTACTAACACACAGGCCCTAAGTAGAAGGAGGATGCTATCAAACACAGGAACGTTAGGGCAAAGTTAAAATCTGTAGTTATTCTGTGGGTGCTCAGCTAAGGAAGGAGCTTCCTGATGTCTTTGCCCAGGGTTTCCTTCAGGTGTGAATTCAAGTCAGACAGACAGGAATGGAAGACAACCTAGGAAGCAGGGTCAAGTGTTCTGGGGGAATCATCATAGGTTTCTCCAGGCAGCATGATTAAGTTAACCACAAATGCAAGCTTGTCAGCCTAAAAGCAGCAGCATCTCCTCCTAAGTTAGTGAAGAAAGGAGTCAGAGCCAGAATAGGATGAAATGAGTTGCCTAGAATTAAACTGCTACGGCTCATTTTTAGTTGCAAAACATGTTGCTTGAAAAGATACCAAAGAAAGAGCATGAACACAGATGGTGGAGAGACTGTCATTTGTAGCATAGTAGCAAAGGGAAAAAATCACTTTCAAGTTTTAAGTCTTTAAAAATAGTTTGTGTTCTGTCACACACACAAGATATGTAACAGTCAAATCACATGCAAAGGGCAGTTTTTTATTCATCTCCAGAACAAGACCTATATTTATTAGTGATGGTGAACAGGACGAAATGAATATTCTGGCCATATTGCACTTATGGTCTCAAAGACTAAGAGAATAATCCCAATCATCTGACAGATGTTTCTAAGAGCTGAAAATGATCATCTGAAATATGGTATTCCCCAAAATCAATAGCAATTCACATAAAAGTTTCACATACTTGTGTTTGTGAAGAACTTAATCAGTGGTCTCAAACTGAAATAAATATAGCATAGTGTCATCCAGTTTATCCACACCAACACCAGTTCTTGCCTTTGGACAACTAATTTCTGCCAACCAGGAATTTAAAAGAATCTAATATCACAACAGAATGCCTCTCCCTACTATCATATTTCCAAAGTAGGAAAACAGGGCTAAATGCCTAGTCATTGACATCAAAATATTCATGATAAGCAAGTATTCATATTGTAGCCCACTACAATCAATGTAGATATATAAAATTCTAAGAATTGCTAGAAAATAAATAATAAGCAGTATGAACAACAAAACTAAAGCAGACTGATGCACTAAAAAAACCTTTCCGATTTAGTGGAATTTTCCACCTGAGTCTATTCCATTAGCTCCATTCAAGGGTAAATAAAGTTAGCAGTCCAAAAATGAGCAATCAAAGTGAACAAAGCACACAGTATAATATGCACAGATTAAGACTCTTTAAGGATTATAAAAATGTGGCCAGGGCACAGGAAAAAAAGCAATATTTAAAGCCGGGTACATGTAGTTCTCAGGTAATTCAGTGATTCCCAACACCCCTTAGGCACTAGAGATATGCCAATCCTCTCCTCTCATTTTCAATGATATCAACAAAAGATTGGCAGTTATTTTCATCCCATACAAACCAGAAAAAAGAAGCTTTTTACTTATAGCACCATAACTTGACTTTTCTCATGTCCACCACACATAGGTACCTGGGGCTTTCATCTAAGCATGAAATGATTTTCAAGTAACCAAACACTTTAATACTAGCAACCCTTAAAATACATTAATACCTACACGATGGTATTTTAGATAGATAAATTTACTCCTAAAGAAGAATAAAGGATCAACTTGCCCATCTCAGAAAGTTTAGCAAACACATATTGCTCAGATACAATGTTTATATATAGGTGCATATGGGTGCAAAATCCTTTGCAAAAAATCACAAAGAAGAAAAGCAGGAATATTTTAATAAACTGTACCTGAGTTTCTCTTCACACAAGCGAGAGAGAAACATCCCTAAAGCAAGGCCCATGTGGATTTGCACGGCTTGAGACTCATCAGCACTTGGTTTCCCAGGTAACCTGGCAGTCAGCATGTTCAGGATTTCCTCAACCTTCTCTTTGCAAGAGATAATGAAAACTGGCACAAGGAGAGACAAAGCCGTGGCGGCAGCAGAACGGGCAATGGCACTAGCTGTGTTTTCACCAGAATAGGACTTCTAGGACATGCCAAAGAAAGAAAACAGGGTTAGCCTTAAACATGAAGGAAGCATACCTATCATAAAAGCACTATACAACCACACAAGCTTCTCTTAGATCCACCCCGGCCGACACCCAAAATAATACATTTTTTAAAAATCCAAACGTTTTTGTCTATAGATTATGTTTTCATTATTAATGAAATGTTTTGCTACTAAATAATTAATAATATCCTTTTAAATCTGAAAAACCAAATTACAAGCGTCTTCCTTTTAAAGGTTATAAATTCCCTCACTATAAGGCTTGAAACAATTTCAGTGTTCCTAAAAGCCCACATGTATATATATTAAAAAAACAAAAAAACAGAAAAACAAACAAAAAAAAAACTGAAGCTATCTGAGCTTGGACAAACCAGCAAGCCACATTATAAATGTCCAGAAAGCTAGGAGTTTTCCAGGGAAGAAAGGAAAAGGGAGGAAGAGAGTTTAAGTTTAGTATGGAGAAGCAAGTATAAATTTAGCACAGGGATCTATTGGCACATCTCCCAAAATTTTTGGTGGGAACACTTCCCAGTAGATGGATTATTTCCTACAGGGGGTTAATTCCTTTTAATTAAAAAGGAAGTTGAAATCCTAAAAGCCTTTGGTTACAAAGCAATAACCAGCTATTCAAAATGAAATGGAGAGCTCTATATGCCCCTTCCTACATGTAATTATGGGAAAAGAAATGAATAACAGCCCTAATAAAATGACAGAGCAGCTGAATATGAACAGCTTCTATAAGAATCCCAGGTTAGAGAGCTCTACCAGACGTTATATACATTTATAAATATGTCTCAAGTGGGAAAGAAAGCCCGTTTATCATTCCTCACTATTATCCAATTTAAAGTTTCAGACACACCATAAGGGCAGTGTTGTCCCTTGCAGTTAAAGCACATTAAAATATGTTTTTAATTCTAGGCCCATTCGCTCTCTAAGCTTTAGTACTTTAAGGATAAAAATCAAACGTACTAAGTTACACTTTAAATTAATATAGCACTGTTTTAATGATAATGTTACTCAAAATGATCCAGCTGGTAGCACACATGAAATAAAGTGACTTTTAAAACAGGGCTTTGAAAAGTATGGTAATGCAAAACCTCACAAAGGTAAGAGACAATCAGAGCTGACTAGTAAAGAGATTATTTTTATTGGTTTGCAAGAACTAAGCAGCATATGAGAAATTTCATACAGTGTCCTGCTCTGGTGAATACCTGAACTAGATAGTTATTGCAAAGACCTCCATAAGCATCTAAAGTTTTCATTCATCATTAAAGAAATAAGAACACTTCTGACAGAAAGTAAATCATCATAGAGCAATTAACTTTTTGAGCAAAATTTATCTTCCAATTTAATTCTACATCATCTGGTAAGTCATTTTTTTTTTTTTTACCTCAACTATGGTTAAAAATCTAGCTCTAAACCCAAAGCCCCTGATGAATACATACCAGATCTTCCCAAGGGCAGGACAGAGGCACACAAAATACACAGAGAAGACCTTCGGCATTAAGGTTTTAAGCTAAATTCATGATCTTAGCAACAGTTCAGAATCTGTGTTATATTTTTATTAAAATTAACTATAATCCTCTGCCACTCAGCTGATTGTCCCATGACCATTATAATTCCCTAGGCAATGGATAGTAATAGGGTAGGACCAAAATACTTCTACAAAGACACAGAAATAAAGCATGTACTACGACCAATAAAAGGAAAAGGAAACCAAAACAAAAAAGTGTTTTCTCATTTTGCTTCAAATCTTAGAATACAAGCATGAAGACAGAGGATGGGTAACAGGTGGCTTTTTTTTTTAAATGATCAACAACATTACTTTGTATTTATAGAGTATTTAACAGTTTTCAAAACTTTTTACATAAAGTATATTATTTGATCTTCACAATCTTTTTAGAAAGTTGGCAAAGCATTAATTTTTACTTTCATTTTGCAGATAAGAAAAATAAGAATGATGAAGTAAGTGTCAACAGTCACAAAAACAAGAAGTGGGGAGCAAGGGCTACAACTACTATAGATGATATTTTTCAATTCCTTCATTTTATAAATCAGGACAAAAAGACTCAAAGAGGTTGAGTGAATTGCCCAAAGTCACACAATCTGAAATGAAAAAAATCTATGACTAGAAACTTGGAGTCCCCACATTTCAGCCAATGTTTATTCTACTACAACTGTAGCTCTTGACCCTGACTACACATTAGAATAACTGAGAGAGCTCTCAAAATACTGATGCCCGGAGTTTATCCATGAGCAATTAAATCAGCAGTGGGGACTACACATTGGTATTTCTTTTATATATATATATATATGTCTATACATATATATTTCACATTATATATGCATATGTACGTACATATATAACATTAATATTTACACACATATTTCTTATAATTTACATATATAATATTTTCATATTTTATATAGATAATATTTCGTGTGTGTGTGTATTTAAAGTTCCCCAGGTGATTCTAACAAATAGCCAGGGCTGAGAATCATTACACTATATAATGGATTTCTTTTTTTTTTCTTTTTCTTTTTTTTTTTTTTGAGACACAGTTTTTCTCTTGTTGCCTAGGCTGCAGTGCAATGGCGCGATCTTGGCTCACCATTACCTCTGCCTCCCGGGTTAAAGTGATTCTCCTGCCTCAGCCTCCTGAGTAGCTGGGATTACAGGCATGTGCCACCACGCCCGGCTAATTTTGTGTTTTTAGTAGAGATGCGGTTTCTCCATGTTGGTCAGGCTGGTCTCGAACTCCCAACCTCAGGTGATCCGCCCACCTCAGACTTCCAAAGTGCTGGGATTACAGGCGTGAGCCACCGCGCCTGGCCTATATAATCGATTTCATGTGACCAACTGATGTCATAAGAGTCAATTCTTGAGTTTTCTGATCATTTTTTATTTTTTGCACTTACATAATAAAACCAGGAGAGAAGTTGCCCTCTGGGTTGGTAATGGCTATCCACAATGACCAAGAGTGTATCAAGTACCATGGAAACCCACTCTTTCATTGAAAGGAAATTAGGTTGAACCTGCAGATGAATTAAAAACATGAAATGATTACAGAGAAAACAAATCTAAAGATATTTCTAAATCTAAGGTGTAACTCCCTTCTATATTAAACAATAAAGTGCTGTTATCAAAAAGTAAACTTCATCTGCTTGGACTATAAGCATGCACGTATGAGGTATACAGGTAGTTGACAAATATACATCCTCACCTGTGCCCCAAAAGAAATAAGATGTATCTTTTATGAACAAATTAGCAGAAGAGGATAGATGCTGCAAAACAGAACTATCCAAGAGCCCTTCAGAGCTCTCCTGCGTTGAATGAATTATAGTGAAGATAATATGGAGGTTAAAAGGACAGATGTGCAAAAAACATAATTCAAAATTTCTCATTTCTATGACTTCTTATTTGACAAAGGAGGCAATAAGCAGCCCACAGAATTCAGATCAACATCTCTAGCATTTCTGGTGACTATTACCATTTAGTTGTCATTTCAAGAATCTTGACAACATTCACCCAACTCACTGAAAGATTAGGTAGAAAACATGAATCATCTTCAGTTTGAAAAAGAAGAGGAAGAGAACACAAAAACAAAACAACAAAAAAAACCCCACTCATTAAAAATAAAACTTGGTTATTAAAGTCATTCATGACCATGGATGTCAAAAGCATTCATTAACTCACATGGTAACTGGAATTATTGTAATTCCTTGAACCAAACAAGGCTGTCACATCTTCAAATCTTTTGTTGGTGGTCACATGCAGGTTTGAATAATGTTTGAAAGTTTCAACTTTAATCAAATAATGAGGTCTTGAATTTGCATTGAGTAACAGCCAAAGGCAAGGTCATCATGAATAAAAGCAAAGCCTCATCTTTGGACTGTGTGGTTTCTCAATGTGTGTTGGGGTGTGTTGGGGTGGAGGAGAAAGTAAGAGAGGCTGGAACTCAAACTCTGAGCTAGACCCCTTTATTATTGGGGAAAATTACTGTATAACTGGTAGTTCAACAAAAATAACACCAAAGTGAAGGGATCATAGAAAGGGGCATTGACATTTTAGGTTGTAGATCTATGCAGCATGTTGCCTCTGCTAAAATATTCCATGGCTCTCTGAAAGACATGAAACATTTCCTCTCTATAAAATTTCCATCTTTCTTATCGGTAAGATTCTAAGTTTAAAATTAAATTTTCATAAGGTAATTAACTAATATCATTCATGCAATAATCCCTTGGCCTCTTTCCCTTCCCTACATGTAATATATATCCATGGCTTTTGCCACACAGCACCTATTCTCTGTTTACTGGTAGTAACACCCTTTGCAGAGTTCCGTCTTCCCCACTGTTTGAAGGTTAGTTAAATGCTCAATCAAACTAGCTGTCCTACACTGTCCAAGGGGTAGGCCTAGGACCCAAAGGACTCTGAATTTTAAGTGACATGAGGATAATAAATGACTGAAGTTGTTCTGGCCCACTGGAGGTGGTCTGCTTAGATGTTTCATTAGTACCTGTTGCCTGGACTACCCAACTTGCCCTGGTTCTTGTTCTTCCCAAAATACAGTTTTTAAGCTTTGCCTTTAATTCCACGGGCTTCTAGATTCCATATACTTCCTGTTCCTTTTTGGTTTAAATGAGTCACCAGAGTTGATTTTTTTAGTGTACCACCAAAAAACCCACAACAACAAAAAAAGAATACAGATAGCCCATAAGATACTCATTGAGGACAGAGACAGACTGAATAATTTTGAATGGTTATTATTAATAAGAGCTTAGTATCTATGAGCTGTTGTGCTTCACATATATTAATTCATTTAATCCTTCGAACAATCCTATCTGGTGAGCATTGTTATCCCTCCATTTTACAGATGGAGAAATAGGTTCTGAAAGAGGAAATTGCTACAAATAGGCCATAGAGGTAGTAAGTGGAAGTAATAGGATCTAAATATAGGACTTTCTTATTCCAAAGCCTATATTTTTAACGACTCAGTTATGTCATCTCTAGATGATGACAGCTACCAGATAATGAGACTTAAAACAAGAATAAATCCATGCCTTTTTATTTAGACAGATATGAATTATCCAAGAAAGTACATTAGAAATGAACAGTGGCCAGCTCACCACATGTTTAATTAAGAAATAACTGCCTTGCAAAAATGAATAGGCACTTTGTCATTGACATATACAATTAAAATGCAAAGTACATTTTTTTCAGTCAATAAACACTGCTTATTTATCATTTTGACGGCATTGTTCACTTTCAGTAAGCCTAGTTAACCTTGTAAGATTGGTTACCATTGATGTAATCACAAAAAGATAACCCCTATGGCATAAAATTGGCACCTTCAAATAGAAATGACCACTTAACTGTGATGGAGAAAGGAAAACAGAAAAGCAGCAAAGTTAGGAAGACACTGAGGCTCACAGTATAAAGGCCCATCAAGTACTATAACTTGGTGCCATAATCACAGAATCTAACCTTGTAAGCCCAGGGCCAGGCTACCTAAAGCCAGGCTTAAAAAGACATAATCAAAGCCAATTGTTTAAATCACCCCAACTAACCTCCAGGAGCCCGTCAGAGTCTGAGGAGAGGCTGGCTTCATGTCTAGATACGACGACAGCAAGGCTGCTTAGAGCTAACAGCGCATTGCCTTTCACTACCGGACTCTCCCTGTTCAAAAGGAAAAAAATTTCAACAGAGAACTTTGGTATTAACCAGAAGAAGAGAAAGAGCTAATATAGGAGGGCAGGTGAAGTCAAAAAGCAACTTGTGTTCCTTCACAGAGTCTTGTAAATGCAGGTCTGTTTGTTGTGTTAGGCCAACAGTTTCTTTCCTTCCTTCTGACTCTAGAGCTGTTTCTGAATTCTTCTTATCAATGTAGTATGGGTCATTATGCCTTTTCATAACTTAAAAATCCAAGCTTAGTAAGTTGTTTCTTCCTAAATTTTTATTTCATCTATTAACATTACATTTCCTAGGATCTCTTCTGTGTCATCTTTGGCCAATTTAAAATTATTGATTTGTTGTAAAGACATAACTAAGACAGTTATGTCAATAAGCCCAGCAGAATAGAACAATCTTTGGCTTTTCTGAAGCACCGGTATGTTGAACTGGCTTCTAGCAAACCACTTCAGCCTGCATACCTTACAACTTGACACACAGCAGCTTTTCTTACTCATTTTTATCCTCTCCTTCTTTCTCTTAATATAGCAAAACTATCAACCTTAAACCCAGTTTGTAATATAATTTGGAGACCCCAGATAAGATGCAAATGAAAAAGGGCTGTTTTTAGACTATTTGGACTGAAAGTTGCCTTTTTACATCATCTAAATGGTAGCCTTCTAATATCAGCAATAAACTCTTAAGAGTTTGACTTCTGAATTTAACGTAAAAACCTGAACCTTTTTAATATACTTACCACTTGAAAATGTACATTTAATATTATTCCATAATTCCAAGCTGATCCTATAAAGTCCCCTATGGGACACCAATCAGATGCTCTAGGTTTGCCAATTCGTTTATAACAGAACTCCAGCAACAAGAGCACCCATACCATCAGATCGTTTAGTCCTCAGTCCTTTGATGTGGGTTCCCATAAATACAATGTTCCCCAAAATTTGGACTTCAAACCCGAATCTGAATTCAGTGCATGATCCAAGAACCACTTCCTGCTTACCTCAGGGCAGGACTATAACAGATATGAGGGATAAGGAAGATTTTCAGCTCTGCTCCCTAAATGAGCCTAGTACCTCAAGTCCCAAGCCATAGTCTCAATTGAAGACTTGAGTCAGTGGGTATTAAATTGCTGGCGCACATGTGTTCTTGCATTTCTGCTTTCATTTGGTAAGAATGGGACTCAGGACTTGCCATTAACAAATCCTTCCTATCTATTCGCCCATCCTTCCTTCCCCCTCTCCCTTCCACTTTAGAGTGGTTAAGCTCTGTGAAGACTTGAAGCCTTGATCATTTTGTTCACCACCACCCCCCCACCTCAATGTATTCCTCTATAAGGCCTGTCAAAAGTTAGCAAGACATCAACGTTTATAATGGGGAGGGTTGGAGGAGAAAATGGGAAGGAAGCCTTGAGGTCTAAGCAGATGGCCCCAACCTGGGTTTTGCTAGAGTTCTACAAAGAGAATTACAGAGCACTCATATAGCTAATAAGAAAACACAAGGAAACAAGGTGGGATTTGGTCATTCCTAGGTGCCCTAGCCATAAAATCATTTAACAAAAACAAAATTAAATCTTTTATTTCTAATATTATCTCTTTCTTTTAACAGAATATCCTGAGGCCTTTCCTACTGCAAAATGGTCATGAATCCCTAAAGGTGAGTTTTAAAAACAGTTCTAAATTTTGAGTGATCTGAGTATTAGAGTCCCAGTTTTATTACTCTGTAGAAAACGTGAGGTCACTAGAATCTGGGTATCAAAAGTCATAAAACAAATATATTAGACAAGATAACATAAAAAGTTCTTTTTAACCCCAAAATTCTGAAAGAGAAATTAGCCTCGGTTTTAAAACAGTACCAAAAACTATTTTATTTCAAATCCTTCACTAGTCTTGACATATCTGAGTATGTATTGTTCTTAAGTAATGGAGAAAAATTTATTTAAAAACACTGGTAATAATATATTTGGTTGCAGAATGAACACATATTTGGATAATAATCTTTGAATTAAAAACCTAGTCCACTCTATACAGTGCAGCCCTAGGCCAAATTACACATTTCACAAAGGTACCATGACTAACTCTTGATCATCTTCGCATTCCCTTCATGCCTGCCACAATGACTTATGGATAGAAGGTACTCAATACATACTAAGTGAAACAAATTCAAGGAGGAGCTGGAGAGGTGGGAATCTATAACTGGTTCAGTAAAAACTCATCACCTTGTTGCTCAAATAACTATCCCCTACCAGTCAAACAAGAGAGACTAATTTGCATAATAACATGTCAGCTTCCACAGAGTATTTATCTAGGCAACACCACCGACGTTTTAATTAAATTGTCCTTTAAAACAAAATGATGTTATTAACCTAATTAAAAAGCACAAGGAAGGCTGAGCTACAATGATGCTTTCTTAGGGACAAAGTATTACATTACATATTAGTAAAGTGACTCAATACTTCAGTGATTTTTATCTTCAGGTTTAAATCTGTTTAATAAATAATAAGGGAAATAAATTCACATCAATCATCAGGTTTTATACGTGTTCTGACTCTCCCTTACCCCTATCCCTGAAGCTTTAAATGTTCTTTTTTATTTTTTTGGATGTGAAAATTTGCTAAATTTTTATTGACTCGACTTTTTTTTGTTTTCACCTTCATTTATTTATTTATTTATTTATTTTTTAATTTTATTATTATTATACTTTAAGTTTTAGGGTACATGTGCACAATGTGCAGGTTAGTTACATATGTATACATGTGCCATGCTGGTGTGCTGCACCCACTAACTCGTCATTTAGCATTAGGTATATCTCCTAATGCTATCCCTCCCCACTCCCCCCACCCCACAACAGTCCCCAGAGTGTGATGTTCCCTTTCCTGTGTCCATGTGTTCTCATTGTTCAATTCCCACCTATGAGTAAGAACATGCGGTGTTCAGTTTTTTGACCTTGCGATAGTTTACTGAGAATGATGATTTCCAATTTCATCCATGTCCCTACAAAGGACATGAACTCATCCTTTTTTATGGCTGCATAGTATTCCATGGTGTATATGTGCCACATTTTCTTAATCCAGTCTATCATTGTTGGACATTTGGGTTGGTTCCAAGTCTTTGCTATTGTGAATAGTGCCGCAATAAACATACGTGTGCATGTGTCTTTATAGCAGCATGATTTATAGTCCTTTGGGTATATACCCAGTAATGGGATGGCTGGGTCAAATGGTATTTCTAGTTCTAGATCCCTGAGGAATCGCCACACTGACTTCCACAATGGTTGAACTAGTTTACAGTCCCACCAACAGTGTAAAAGTGTTCCTATTTCTCCACATCCTCTCCAGCACCTGTTGTTTCCTGACTTTTTAATGATTGCCATTCTAACTGGTGTGAGATGGTATCTCATTGTGGTTTTGATTTGCATTTCTCTGATGGCCAGTGATGGTGAGCATTTTTTCATGTGTTTTTTGGCTGCATAAATGTCTTCTTCTGAGAAGTGTCTGTTCATCTCCTTCGCCCACTTGTTGATGGGGTTGTCTGTTTTTTTCTTGTGAATTTGTTTGAGTTCATTGTAGATTCTGGATATTAGCCCTTTGTCAGATGAGTAGGTTGAGAAAATTTTCTCCCATTTTGTAGGTTGCCTGTTCACTCTGATGGTAGTTTCTTTTGCTGTGCTGAAGCTCTTTAGTTTAATTAGATCCCATTTGTCAATTTTGGCTTTTGTTGCCATTGCTTTTGGTGTTTTAGACATGAAGTCCTTGCCCATGCCTATGTCCTGAATGGTATTGCCTAGGTTTTCTTCTAGGGTTTTTATGGTTTTAGGTCTAACATGTAAGTCTTTAATCCATCTTGAATTAATTTTCGTATAAGGTGTAAGGAAGGGATCCAGTTTCAGCTTTCTACATATGGCTAGCCAGTTTTCCCAGCACCATTTATGAAATAGGGAATCCTTTCCCCATTGCTTGTTTTTCTCAGGTTTGTCAAAGATCAGATAGTTGTAGATATGCGGTGTTATTTCTGAGAGCTCTGTTCTGTTCCGTTGGTGTATATCTCTGTTTTGGTACCAGTTCCATGCTGTTTTGGTTACTGTAGCCTTGTAGTATAGTTTGAAGTCAGGTAGCATGATGCCTCCTGCTTTGTTCTTTTGGCTTAGGATTGACTTGGTGATGTGGGCTTTTTGGTTCCATATGAACTTTAAAGTAGTTTTTTCCAATCCTGTGAAGAAAGTCATTGGTAGCTTGATGGGGATGGCATTGAATCTATAAATTACCTTGGGCAGTATGGCCATTTTCACGATATTGATTCTTCCTACCCAGGAACATGGAATGTTCTTCCATTTGTTTGTATCGTCTTTTATTTCATTCAGCAGTGGTCCGTAGTTCTCCTTGAAGAGGTCCTTCACGTCCCTTGTAAGTTGGATTCCTAGGTATTTTATTCTCTTTGAAGCAATTGTGAATGGGAGTTCACTCATGATGTGGCTCTCTGTTTGTCTGTTATTGGTGTATAAGAATGCTTGCGATTTTTGCACATTGATTTTGTATCCTGAGACTTTGCTGAAGTTGCTTATCAGCTTGAGGAGATTTTGGGCTTACATGAACAAATCAGGATCATCCCATGATTGGTATGTCACTTTTTGCATTTAACTTCTAGCTCTGAACAAAACAAGCCATACCCTGACCCAAACCAGCCTGTGGCAGCCGTAGCTAAGGAAAGGGAAGCTAAGCTGGCAGCGGGCAGTGGTGAAGGCCTCATGTTGGAGGAAGCCAGTGGGAAGAAGCAGAGAGGGTGACAGAATGATTTTTTCCCCTGCTCTATCACCAATCTCTCAGCCTCCAGACCTAAAATATCTCTTATACACTTGCTACCATTCCTAGTATTGTCAAGATTGCTTTATTAAAATAAGGTCTATAAGATACTTTGTAAGTTTTTTTTTTTTTTTTGAGACGGAGTCTCGCTCTGTCACCCAGGCTGGAGTGCAGTGGCGGGATCTCTGCTCACTGCAAGCTCCGCCTCCCGGGTTCACGCCATTCTCCTGCCTCAGCCTCCCAAGTAGCTGGGACTACAGGCGCCCGCCATTACGCCCGGCTAATTTTTTTGTATTTTTAGTAGAGACGGGGTTTCACCGTTTTAGCCGGGATGGTCTCGATCTCCTGACCTCGTGATCCGCCCGCCTCAGCCTCCCAAAGTGCTGGGATTACAGGCGTGAGCCACCGCGCCCGGCCACTTTGTAAGTTTTGATGAGAAGGTAATACCATGAGAACATGAATTAGTTTTACTCATGTAAACATATTTTCTTTAGGTATTAGTCACGAAGTGATACTTTGTGAATATGAAAATTACAGTCACACTGGAGTAAAATTTTAGAATGGAAAATTGCAATATCTACTAGACACGAGGAATTATAATTTGCTTTAGGAGAAAGTTGGTAGTTTCTTCTGCATTCAAGTTTTTGCAGCAAATGTCAGAGCACTGCTTTTAATAGGATATATGTAGACTACATAAGAGAACAAACTATTACAGGTAAAGGTCAAAGACAGCCTGCATTCTCATCCCAGCATCCCCTCCCCCTCTGATATGCAACTGAGCCCTCTCCCACTATGTCTGCAATTCACCAAAGTGGGAAAACAAGACAAGAATGAGTCTCCATCTAAGCTCTCTGTACTTTAGTTTTCATTTTATCAACAGATATTTCCCAGTGCCTTCCATAGGACTGAGTCAGGGGAGGATTATCACTTCTATTTCTCTTTATCCAGAAGACATGAGACTGAACAGTGATAATCTGCTGAGATCAGACTTCACAGTTAAGTGTCTGTTTAAGAAATTATTGATAGAAAGCTAACTCTAAGGTAGATCATTTTTTGTTCTGTTTTTAAGGCAAAATCTATTTAGCTACAGAAGGTTTTGTGACATGAAAAGGATAAACTATACTACAATTAAAAATTTCTGGATGATATGGACTTTTAATACACATGAAATCCTCTAGGTCAAAGGTATATCTGTGTTGGTTGGAGGCAAGAAAGAAAGGAGTCAAACAGAAATGGCAGCAGTTAGAGAAGATGGTGGAAGGGAGTGTAACTGGCATGTAACTTACTGCCAGGAACAATTAGTCAGCTTGTCAGTTGACAAAGGAACCTGAAGAGATTGTTCAAGCAAGTTTCGGGTATTTTTTAGTGAGAGCTGGCTTAAGGTAAATAAAAAGCATCAAGGCAGTGACACTCAAGTAATTTTTGTTAAAACAACCATAAGCATATGACTAAAACTGCTTTTTAAATGGGCCTTGGCATTAGTTTTTAGTATTTAAAAATTCAATTTTTAGATATGCGGAACCCAATAACACCAATGGAACAAAAGGAAGTACTACCAACATAACTCATATTAGCAAGGATTCCTTTCTTTTTTTTTTTAATCCCCTCGAACTAAATTACAATCCTTTAAGTTTAAGCCAAAGCACATGTCATCTGTTAGGTATACAGCAGGGGCTCAACTTCAGTGACTCCTGATGTAAAAGTTATATGTTAGTACCAATCCTTCTGTATTTTCACAAAAAGACATGTAGTAAGAATTCACCTACTATAAGAAGGGTAACGATTAATTTTTTAAAAAAATAATTGAAAAGTACTCTAAAATCCTTAAAATTATGAAATGCCCTAAAAGGAGAAAATGTATGTACCTGCCAGGAAAAGGTATTTATAAAAAATGTTTGATAAAAGACTAAATGGATCTTACTTTGCAGCTGCCTTGGTGATCTCATCAGTCAGCATGTCTCTAACCCTGCAATAAAGATGGAAAATAGACGAGAGTTTATGTTAGAACAAGAAATCATTCCTTTCTCTTTTTCATCAATTAATAAGAACCTCCAGCAATGGCTCCAGATCTTAAAACTATACAGGTAGAATTTCAGTATAAGGTGAAAGAACTGTAATAAGGGCTCTGCTTTACAGATAGCTTCATCTTCCTGTTCATAAGGTCACTGAGTGGAGGCAAGGAGGAGGTGAATATGTAACTGAGGGGGGATGTACAGATAGCACTGTAACAGTATTATCTCAGACAGCGTGGTGAGTATACAAGTGTCCATTATATTACTCTCTTCAATGGACTGAATGTTTGCATACCCCACCAAATTCACATTTGAAATTGAATCCTAATCCCCAATGTGGTGGCATTTAGAAGCCCAAACTGACTAAGACAGTCTCTCTTTTTTACATGAGAGCTCACCAAAACATCAATTTACAATTTTCAAATTGTACATATGAAATAGTCGCTATGTGTTTATAGAAAATGCAATTTCAAACTTTGGTTATATAGTCACAGGAAAGCCAAAAGAAAATAATTATACTTGTGGGTTAGAAAGAAGGTAGGCACAATTCAAATATTTACAGAACCTAATTTTTAATTCAATATAGAATTTTCAATATGAAGTAAAAAACAACCACTTGCTGTCAAATTTACTTTTTTAAAAGGATCATTTTCAATATAAACATTGAATTTTATAAATTCGAAGGTTTTATAAATATTGTTAAAGTTGTTGCATTTAAATATAAATTATATTGACATTCATAAATATTTGCATTTGATATATAATAAAATCTTAGCTATTCAGCACTCTGAGAATGAGTCACTCTTAAGAGACAAGTTTTTCAGACAGGTGCAACACCTCCTATAGATCTCAATCTTGTATTTTTTAAAAGCATTTGACTGCAAATTTCTCTAAAATGTACTGTTTAATTTCCGTATTCCTAAATGGAATATAGTCCATTCAATGTAATATTTCATTGGTCAGTGTGGAATATTTACAAATGATGACCTATGTATACTTACATTTAAGGTCAAACCTTCCACTTGTGCACTAAAGCTACCTCTCTACTCCCTCCTCTCTGCTGCATCACAAATTTTTCCATCTCTACTTGTATTATTTCCCTTAGCATGTGAACATACTGTAGTATCTACCCTCTAAAAGAAGAAAGCAGAACAAGCCCACCAGCTATTGCCCCATTTCTTGGTCTGTTATACGTCAAAACTTGTGTAAAAGATTATGCTTGATGACTCTCGTTATTTCCTTCCACTCTCTCTAGATCCTTCTAGAACCTGGCTTTTGTCTCAATAACTCTACCAAAAGAGCTCCTGTCATGACCACCAATTATTTTCAAGAGACTGAATCTAATGCTCAATTCTCAGTCCCTATCTTCTGCAGCCTAACAACAGTATTTGACACAGTTGGTTGCTCCTTAGAATGCCTTCTTTCCTTGGCTTTTAAGATTTTACTCTCTTTTGGTTCTCTTTCTACGTCACTGATAACTAATTTTTCGTCTGCTTTATTGGTTCCCTCTTCATCTTCCCCACCTTTAAATATAGAATCAGGGCTCAATCTTTTGAAATCTTCTCTTTCTTTATTCACTCCCTAAGTGACCTCATCCAGCATCATGATTTTAAATGCCATCAATATGCTGATGTTTCCTAAATTCACCTCTCTAGCTCTGAGCTCTCCCTGGAACTATAGACTAGTCAACAACCTGCTTGCTATCTCTAATTGGAGGCTAATGAGGCATCTCAGGCCTAAGTCCAAAATCTGATTCCTATTCTACGCAGACCTGCTTTTCTCTAGTCTTCCTTGTCTTAAATGGAAATGCCATACTTTTGTTTAGAGTTAAAATCTTGGAGTATCTTTGATTGATCCCTTTCTTTCACATCCTTCATTTCAATTATTAGCATTTATAACGTATGATATCTGCCTTAAAATAGATTCAAAATCAATTTACTTTTCCACACTAACATCCTAGTCTAAAACACTATTATCTCTTGCCTAAATTATTGCAACGGACTCCTAACCATGCCCCGCAGGGTGTATTTTCAACATAACAGCTGGAGTGGTCCTTTTAAATCATGAGTCAGATTCTGTGATTAAGATCTGCCAATGTTTCTCCATCTCACTCACAAAGTCCTCTTTGTGCTGACAAAGACTCTCCACCCTGCAATCTCCCGAACTTCTCTACTCTCATGTCCACTACTTCCATCCTTGCGCTCTCCATGCCACACAGGCTTTGCCAGGTACACTCCCAGGGCCTATGATGAATTCGCTGTTTCCTCTTCCTAGAATGCTCTTCTCCAGATATCAGCTTGGCTCACTCCACCACTTCCTTCAGGTCTCATTCAAATGTCATATTATTAAAGAGACCCTGAACACCGTACAGAAAATGGTAATGCCACCCCTCAACCTCCCTCAAGCCTCATTCACTCTCTGTTCCCTCTATCGTACTTTATTTTTCTTCCATGAATCAACTTCTATCATATTCCATTTGTTTATTTGTTTATTACAGGTTTCCATCTACTCAAGTATAAGCTTTGGAGGGACAAAGAAGGGGCTTTATTCACTGCTGTTCCTCTGTGCTTAGAACAGTGCCTGGCACATGACAGACACTCAATAAATACTTTTTGAAATAATAAATCAAGTGATGACTTTACTTAGATTTGGGATTGTGTTCCAATTAAGTGAGGATGAGGAAGAGCTCACTTCAAGGTAGCTTATTAGTTACTGCAGGTTTAACTGTATCTTTTTTTTTTTTTTGGAAAGACAGAGTTTTGCCATGTTGCCCAAGCTGGCCTTGAACTCTTGGGCTCAAATGATCCACCTGCCTTGGCCTCCCAAAGTGCTGGGATTACAGGCATGAACCACCACATCCAGCCGAAATCATTCTTAAGAAACTTCTAGGGACCTAACTCCTTTATACTCATATATACACAGCCCATGAGTTTTCACTAGGAATATGTATTGATAGGTCTCTCTATATATTTTAAAGAACTTAGCAAATATACTACTTCACCAATTATCACTTTCAGATGATTAAATTTAAAATAGATGCAAAAGATAAGAGCAAATAGGATACAAAACCCTCTAATCCTAAATCCAATATCATAATGTTTTAAACTTCATTGCCATTTTTTGATAAATCTAGAAAATATGACTTAGAATACAATTAATCAAATACATACACACAGTTTCTCCTTTTCTACATGAGCCAACTGTCAGTAAATGAAAACCTATAATTAAATAATCTTCGGACAGATTTTTAGATTAAAGCAACCTGTGGTTGTAGGCAAAGCTATTTAGACTTTAGGCACTTTACTTACATTTAGGCTGGTGAAACACAAATCTGATAGAGTATTCTTCTCAACCCATGAAACAGTTTAAGTTGCTTTTATGAGCCAGCACTAATATATTTCTAGATGATATAGTGGGAATTCCCTGGGAAATGTCTGCCAAAGAAATTAAACCCATGACACGGTAAAGTTGCTCCTAATAATTATGTCTTGGGGAAGAGGGGAGCAGAGGAGGGGAGAAGTAATCCTTGACTACATGTGAGGTAGGAAAGCAATGAACAGAGTGGGAAAAAAAGAATTTTTCATTCAAAAGCATATAAAATAATCAGTTACAGGTAGAAAAGGGAAAAAGCAAACTGTTTCCACATTGTTTTAGAACGTGTGTGTGTGTGTGTGTGTGTGTGTGTGTGTGTGTGTGTGTGTATGTATAATTTATAAATAAAGCTCTCTATCTCCTATCTAGGGAATACACCTATCAGCTCTTCTGTCATTTCCCCTTCAGGCTCACATATAGAGGTTAAACCTGCTAATCTTAAAGCCTTTAAAGTAGTTACCTTTCCCCTCATAGCTCACTTCCCATGACAAATAATGGGCAGCTGAACATGAACACTTACCAGAGCCAGGCTGTGCTTTTTTTGTACTGCACCTCCTCAGGTTCTTCTTTTCCATGTTTTAACTGCAACTCCAGCTCTCCTAGTCTTCCCTGCAAAAATCACAGCATAAATCAGCATGTGAACTCGATGGCTGAAGTGATCTTAAAATTTCTTTGGAAAACACAGATATATCCTTTTCCATTTGGCCTTAAGTGTTCTGGGTAAGACATTAGATTATGAAAGAGGATGTGTGAGGAGAAATCATCACATCAATGCTCAGGTATTTCTACATTCACCAAAGAGGTAACATCCTAGAGAAGTTGTATGTTTGGCAAATTTAGTGCAGAGAATTTAATTTTGAGATACCTACTGAATCAAATTTGAATTTCAGAGACCCCATTTAAAAAATCTACCTGCTAGTGATCTGCCTTTGTTAGCAACTGATAATTTTAGCTAACACCAAAATATACCAAGATTGGGGACCATACACCAGTATTATAATAGAAAACTAGAAAACAAGCTAAAGTATGTAACACTTAAGATTCCGGTAAGATATAATATAAGTTATTCTCCAACAGCTCTACATTACACTTCTATTTCTTGAGTGAACTTATAAAAATAGGTACCATAATTCCCAAATTCTAGCATGTGAAAAAAAATATTGCTAACATTGTTCCTTTAAGTCCAAGGCCTTTAAATATGTATTATCTTTTCCATTTTTTTACTCAGAATTATTTTAATCAGATGCTTCCCCCTCTACTCCATCACCAATTACATTATCTAAATTATCTATAATTAAAATACTGTTTGTTGATGGGCCCTAACTTGGACAAGAATTCAGCAGTGTAATGCCCAACCATTATCAGAAGTAGATGTGCCAGTTTACATATCACAAGCAGTAAACAAGAGTTCTGGTTACTTCATATTCTCACCAGCATTCGGAATTGTCAGGCTTTTAATTTTTTCCATTTTGGTGGATATGAAATGGTCTTCACTATGGTTTTAATGTTATTTCATTGTTTACTAGTGAGATTGAGGATCTTTTCATATCTTCTTAACTATCAGGATTTTTCTATTCTGTCCATTTCTCTACTAGCTGTCTTTTTCTTATTGATTTTAAAGTTCTAAGATATAGTGTATAGAAGAAAAGTATGTATCTCTCCATACTTAGAAAAGTGATACACATTGAAGAGTTAAGGACATGGGCTCAGAATGCCTCGGCCTAATGCCATTTACACCTACTGGCTGTGTAAATTTAGGCAAGTTACTTCACTTCTCTAAGCTTCAGTTTCCTCATTTGTAAAAAGTGGCCAACAAATATCTTGTGGTATTAAAGCATCACATTAAATAGTGCCTGATAACAAATAATAGCTACCGTTATTAGATTTGTTGTCAATAACCAAAGATCTCTACCTCCCTCTTATTTTCTTACAAAACCGTCTTTCATGAATTTATCTAAATATCTCCTGAAATAATTCATATTTTTATCTGTATAATCTCATGGAGTAAGAGGTCCCAAAAATGTAATATCCAGACTATAAAGTTATATGTCCTTGTACTTCTCAAAGTTGCTCACCCTGTGAGGTCAAGGACTATTTATCGATCTACAGAGTTTGTGTATTTAGCACAACTCCCGACTCACCATACCCTGGGGCTCACCAGTTCAGGCACTCTGAGATGTAACGGACACTGTATTCACATCCTTCATAGTTCATTTGCTTCAATCATATCAATCCTCATTCTCCATACTTTCAAAGATAGAATTCTGGCCCTTTCATTCTCCCCTTTGTTTCTTGGAAATTAGCAAGATATTAATATTGGCCTCCCAGGAGTCCAGGCAAAACAAAGTATAAAACAATTTTTATTGCCTGTCTCAGTTATGCTTCTTAAATTATGCCTCCTTACTCCTAAAACATTTCCTATAATGCTTTTCCAAAAAAGACAAGGAACAAGAAATTTTAAAAATCCGTTTAAAGATAAACAAAACACAAGAAAACTAGAATACATGCACCTTCTTAAGAAGGCCTACCGTTTTAATCTTCCCTGCAGTCACAAATCAGCACGACCATTCTATTGTGACTAAGTAGTTTTCATGTTTTTTCTTTCTCTGAGTCTCTGTTCTTTTCTATCCTCTTTTCTGGAATGTCTCCCTTATTAATCCCTGCCACCCAATCTATGTTGGGCTATTTACTCAGATCCATGGCGCCTTCCAATTCTTGACTTACTGGTAATAGAGAGATCCAGCAGCATTCAACTCAGTCATCTCTGCTTTCTGATTAACATTTTTGGGAAAACACATACTGGGAGCAAAATGGCTAAAGTGATCACCTGAATTGAGATTTTTTTGGATTGCCTGTAGATTCCAATGATTAATCTAGCTATCCCCTCTGATTTTTAATCTTTAGCCTGTACCATAAGAACTTGCTGATTATAGTAAGCAATTTCACCTAGCTTCCTACACATTTAAAACAAAACAAAGATACACACACAAAAAAAGCAAAAAAGGTATAAATTGCCATAGAGTAACTTACTGGAAGCTGCAGTTCCTGATCTGGGCTCTGATTTCTGGTTATTTGGCAACTAGCTGGCCAATTCATGAAAAATGTCTACAGTCAATTTGCTTTCATACCTCTCTCCTGTTTGAGGTCACATTCACAATTCCAAAGAGCCCTTTTCAAAAAGGCTGGAGACCTTAACCTCCACAGCATCCCAGAAGGGTAACAAGATAAAGACTGCAGACGGCTCCTAACCAAAATGGCCTCTGTACTGTCAGTTGGCTTCTATCTGCATTTTTTATCTTAATGGGAAGAAATCTAAATACCTCTCCCCATGTCAACCACTTTGATATATTTATAGTTAAAAACCCCAAGTTCCTATGGAAAAATTAGGTAAGGCTTGAAGCAGACGTCTAAGCAGAAGCTACAAGTAGTGTTCAGATCTCAGACTTACATCCTAATTAGCCTCCAGGAAGTAATGGAGAATCTACCTTTTAGTGCATTTCCTAGGCTTAATTGAATAAAACATGGCACCTCTAAATGATCCTCTAGTTTAATGCTAAAAAATACATCTAGCACCAGATGGAAGTAACTGTAATTCCTGTACAGAAAAAGTGTCTTCTAGGACCGAAATTCTTGATATAGACAAGGAGTCTGGCAGTTGCTCCAATTATTCTAAGATACCATAAACTCTATTTAAGCGTGTGGACTCATTTAAAAAACTTGTTTAAGCATAAATGCATCAGTGTACTTTCAAGTAATAGTGATAGCCTAAATCACACTGCTGTATTTTTAAATAATACTGCAAATCTTATTTTAATCCATCCTTTCACTTTCTCTTCTTTTGTCACCAATTCTCAATGGAACTGGACTTACTAGAAATACAAAGTAAAGGGATTTTAAATGATAAATAAAGATACCAACCATCACCTTAATAGCAGAATAATTGACCTGCATTGCTAAAAATTATGAATAATCTGCAGGTTTTTCATAGATCAAATAGATTTGCCCTTTAAAATATTAAACAAATTTGCATTATTCATTATAACAATTAATAACCGTGTTAGGGAAAATACATGTCACAGTGGAAAACGCTAAGGCTCTGGAGTCAGGTTAAGTTCCTGTATTTTCATTTAGTGCTTGTTGGGTTCCTGAGCTGTTTGCTTTGCTTTCCTAGCTAACCCTGCTTTCCCATCTATAATCCCATTATACATGGGGTTAATAACATCTACTTCAAAGGGTTTCTGTATAGATTAATTGAAATAATATATGTTAAGTACTGGACACACACTAGTTACTCAACAAACCATAGCTCTTATTTAAAAATTCATGGCTTTTTTTAATCAATTGCAAGTCATCTGCAGAATTATACTATAACCCTATTCAATTTAGCCTTTCTTACACTAAGAGCTAAATAGAATTCTTAGTTCATTCTGCAGGAGGAGGAGCTCTTCATCCCTTTCTCCAGGTGCCCATAGCATTTTGAACATCCTTTATTAATGCATCAAAGATACTGTACTGGAATTGCTAGTGGGCATGTTAGCCTCTCCCAGTGGACTGGGAGCTCATTGTGAGGAAGGAGTGCCCTCAGTATCCCACACACTTAGCATGGGACCTCCCCAATAAAACATGTTACATAAATGTTTGGTGAAGAAAAAATTCAACATTGCTTAGGGAAAAATGAATGTGAGAAAAAGTACATACTCTGACTTGCAATCTTATGTTTCCTGACTAAAAACTGTAATTGGCTCTTAAAGAAATATAGAGACATGAGTCATTCATTCATTCACTCATGCATTTATCCAAAACATGCTGGGTGCCCAGATGCTGCTGAAGATAAAAATTGAGTAAGGAAACAACAAGCAAAAGAAAACGATGGTTCCAAAGGAACATCTTTAAAATGCAGATTACAGTACATTTAGGGGATCTTCTAAAACTGTTTGCTCTAAGTTTGGCTGGTAGACTACGTGGATTTAAATCACCTGGCAGCTTGTAAAACATGGAGATTCCTGGTCCCCTATTCACTTCTAATATATCAGAATCTCTGAAGATACATTAGTGTTTTACGAGTTCTAAGATCTGTAAGATGGGTTGTAAAAAGGTTTTAATTTGAGATTAGAACACCATTGCCCAGACAGTCATTCCTCTCACCCCATCCTATGCCCCACTCTCACCCCGCCCACCTCATTTTATAGGACAGCTGTTATCTCTAACCACAATACCTCACTTTTAAGCCTTCACGGAAATCTTACTCTGGGACATAAATTACTTCAGTAACATCGGATTTCTCCTATTATCCTTAATAATCAATTTTAAGCTACGAAAAACAATTAAGCTAGTTGTTTTCTTGTATTGTTAACTGTATATTCCCCAACTGATTAAAATTATTTCTAAATTTAAAAATTCACAAACTATAACTTATAATATTATTGGATCAAATAAACTCAAATTGAGTATATCTCATTCATTTAGTGAGCACCTAGTACGTTTAGACACTTATGTCAGGGCCAGAGACAACAGAGCTCCTGTCCTTAGGAGTACAGAGACAACTGGAAGTCCTCGCCAAATAACTAACATGATAAGGGCTTCAAAAAGGAAAGCTCAGATACAAGAAGGGCATATAATCCAGTGGGGAGAGAAGTAAGGCACATAGTGCCTGACCAGATAAATTGATCTAGAGAACAAGTAGAAATTAGGTGGGTAAAGAACAAGTAAAATTAGGTGGGTAAAGAGGGAGTGGCAGGGTCAGAGACAGAAAGAATAGTGTGTTTAAAAGCTAAGAGGTTAGGGAAGACATGCTGAGTTTAGGAAAACAAAGAAATTTAACAAGACTGAAACATAAAAATATGGGGGAAGGTTTAAGAGATCAGGCTGGAGATGTAAGCAAGTCCAGCTTGAGGAAGCACAGGTATAATGGAAGACAATGAGCTCAGTTTGGGATGCACTCAAGTCAGGTGCTGTGGGGCAGCCAAGTGAGGATGTCCAGAAGGCAGCAGGATGGAGGAGACTGGCACTCAAGAGGGAGTTCTGGATGGGACACATGGATTTGGGGGGCATTGATGTTTAAGTGCAGCAATGCTATATATATATGCCTCACATTCTTTTATGAGTAAAAATAACCATTACATTTTTGGTAGTGCTATTTTCCCAAGTGCTTTTATATTAAATACACATTTGTAGCAAAACATGAGATAAGGAGACATTTCGCCAAAGCAAACCTATCCTGTGGTTTCATTACCTGTAAAATGGCATGATAAGCTCGATTCATGTATGCAAGCCAGGCCTGTGGAAGAAAAATTGCACGGTGCCACTCTGAAAGCTGGATATGAACCTATGGGAAAAATGTACCACAACATATTAGGCTACACAGTATTAAAAAAGAATAAAATTAAAACTGTTTCATCAGTTCTTTCTTTTCCTTAAGTGGTTTAGATTCTGAAAACAAACCAAATCAGTCTAGGATCAGAACCACAAATAATATCTTTTGGATATTCCTAAGGAGAAGAGTTTAGAGTCTTGTGAAGACAAAATAAAGTAAGCCTAGAATTTTGTAAATTGAAGCAAATAAAATCCTACAATAATAACAAGTTAAAATGTACATGTAATACAAATCAACCCTCGAAAATTAGGGGGAAACTCTGTAAGGCCTCTTGCCAATGTCAGGAAACTTGGCATTGTCTAACAAACCCCCGTAGTAATTTTAAATAAAAATAAATATTGCTCATATCCTGGATTTCCAATATGACCATTCTGAAGTAATAAATTTATATTGCCAACAGAAATATCATGTTGTGTAGAAACCACAGTGGTAAGAGCAGGCAAATGAGTACTGCACACAGCAATTGTGCACACCACTAGATAAATGGCCTTTAATCAGTGTGGGTAAACAAGAGACAAATTATATATACCAACATGCAAACCCTGTTTCTCAACAGAGGCCCAGACAAAACATCTGGTTCTCATAGTCATTTCTGTTTCTACCTATTAGTACATGGCTATCTTGCAACAAATCTTCCCAAGGTCTGCTTCTGTTAAAGAAAGATCAATCAAGAAAAACAGTCACAGTGCATCACATTTCATGATTCCTGTAACACATCGAAAGTCAAACAGCTACAACTTTACTTTGTGTCCTACAGACCAAAAAAAAAAGAGAGAGAGTGAGAGAGAAAACAAATTTGTATGTAATTACACCAGAATCATGATAACTAGTGTTTAAGGACATTTTATTGTATTATAAGAATTAATATTCTCAAGTGCCTTGTGATAGGGAAGATAAGAAGATAATAGCCTCTCTGAATATAGTTGGTTCCCATGGCCTCTAGTATGTTCTTTAATCCCAGTCTTAGTGAGGGCCTACTATATACAAGGTACTGTGGAAAGATGAGATTATCAATCAGTCTGTGTCTGCAGAGACTTTTCCACCTAGTGAGAGACCCAGAAATGGACACAAATAGGAAGAATCCATGGGAATAAAAAGAACAAAGAGATTAATTCTTACTGCTATCTATTACTTCTCATGGCATTGCTGTTTTTAAAAAAAAAAAAAATCTCAAACAGTATAAAACAGATACTCAGCCATGAAATGAACTTAAAAGTAATTATAAAGACAGGACTTTTCCTGAATAAGTACTACAACGAGCAGGGTGAGGGCAGCCTTGTCAATAAGTCAACATAAATCCTTGAAGGAATGAGTCCTCCAGCTCTTGCTTCTTCTCCTGTTATCCAGGTGGCAAACTACAACCTAGGCTCTATTTCCAGCTGGCAAGGCATTAATCAGGTCTTGGCTCTGCTCTTTATTTCCAAAATGTGGGCAATTTTCTTCAACTTTTTTCCTATCAGTTCTGTTCCCTTTTCATAAAATATATTAATTATCTTCGAGCCCTATTTTGACAGCTGGATTTAACAGAAACAATACTCAATCACCACAACCAAAATGTTTATCTCTTACTTTACAAGCTTAAAATATTTTTAAATTTTTGCCGAATAATCCATAGATATCATTGTACTACTGAGAATACCCTTAGCCTCAGCAAATTGGCAAAAAGAGCAATTTGCAAGGAAGACAATGGTCTCACAAATGCTTTTTAAACTTGAGTTTAAAAAAGGAAAGGATTATGGAAAAAATGTAAATGAAAATGAGCAAATCAAATGTTTAGCCTCTAAACATGAAAACATTCATGCCAGGAAACCTATTTAAAAGGAGGTTATAAACTCAAGGTTAAAGCTAATCCTCTTCCTGCTGCTTCAACCACAGCTGAAGGTGGGTACAGGAGCACAGTAGAAAGCTTCAGCCTAGAAGCCAGCCTGAACTCCCCACGTTTTATGGGATTATACCCTAGACTTAGTGTTCTATGGAGTCAGCTGTGCACAAATCTCTTTAAAAATGCACTTTCTTGCTTTTTCTCTTAATGAAGACAGACTTTAGAGAAACAGCTTGAAGAAAGTCATGCCCTTACATTCCCATTGTGTCACAAGCAAAAAGGACTTCCCTGACCATTTTTAACAAAAACACATTTTAGAATGCTATTTCAATTTAATATACTGTATAGTCAGCCACATTGCCTATATTTTAGGTTAATGTTGCTAGGGTGAAAAATAAATTCAATTAGCATTTATAAAGTATGACAATTATGTCCAATTTGCTATACTTGTGAGAAGCCTTTGAAAAAAATCCAATCAACAAAATAAGTTCAAATCATGAAGTTGCAACCTAGTTATTCAGCAGATGATAAAGTAGGGTTCTCAACCACTGTCTCACTCAGTTTTAATGAATGTGTGAAATTTTTTTCTATAACTACTCATACTCTTGCAATGACAGCTATCTGATGGAGCATTGAGATGAACAGTCCTATGGCTTAGGGAAGACTAACAGTCAAGTTTCAATGTGTAAGAGGCAGTGAATTATAATGAAATACTACACATGTGCCCAAAGAAGAGCCCACAATAGGAGTATATACATGGGAGGGAAGAATGCTAATGAGGTGAGGGCAGGGATGCGAGAAGGTTACAGGGTTAAATAGGGTGGTTAGAGTAGATCTTGTAGAGAAGGTAAAGTATGGGCAAAAACTTGGAGGAGGTGAGGATGTAAAGACCAAAGTAAGTGCTAGTGGGAATAAAAAATGGTTCAGCTGGTATGGAAAACACTTAATGGTGGTTCCTCAGAAAGCTAAACATAGAAATACCATATGACTGAGCAATTCCACACCTAGGTATATACCCAAAAGAACTGAAAACAGGTATTCAAACAAATCCATGTATATCGATGTTCATAGCAGCACTTTCACAATAGCCAAAAGGTAGAAACAATCCAAATGTCCATCAACGGAAAAACTAGAAGAATAAAATATGTAATATGCATATAATGAAATATTATTCAGTCACAAAAAGAATGAAGTACTGATACACTATGGCTGAACCTTGAAAACATTATGCCAAAGTGAAAGAAGTCAGGCACAAATGGTCACGTGTTATATGATGTCACTTATATGAAATATCCAGAATAGGTAAAGCCATAGAGACAGAAAGTAGATTAGTAGCTGCCGGGGGAGAGGGGAAGGAAGACAGGAAGAAACGAGGAGGGAATAGAAAGTGGCTGTTTCATGGGTACATGAAAGGAGGAGATTGAAATGTTTTGGAACTAACATTTCCAAATAGAGGTGATAGTTGTACAACATTGTATATGTACTAAATGCCAGTGAATTGCACACTTTAAAATGGTTTGTTTTATGTTATGTGAATGACACCTCAATTTTAAAAAATGGTAACGCAAAGGTCCTGGGCAGGCATACAACTGACCTGTTTGAGAAAGAGAAAAGAGGTCAGTCTAACTACAATAGACAAAATGAGCAAAACAGAGAGTAGAAAGAGAAAAAGTTAGTGAATTAACGGGGACCCAGAGAATTCAGGGCCTTCTAGGGCACTGTTCAGGACTTGCTTTTATTCTTACTAAAGAGAGAACCATTATAAGCTTTTGAGAAAAAGAATTACATGATCTAATTTATATTGTAAAAGGACAATACTGACTGCTCTGTTGACAATAGACTGTAGGTAGCAAAGGTCAACACAAGAAAACCTACTCAGACGCGACGTCAACAATCCAGGAAAGAGATAAAGGCAGCTCAGACAGAGCTTTATCAGTAACACAGTAGAATGATGATTTTCAAACATTTAACTATGTAATTTTTCTACCCTACCCCAAATTCAATATAAAGTAAAATGCCAATATATAAGACAGAAAACCGAAGTAAAATTTGTCTAGATGAAGTGAAGATGAGGCTAGGAGCCTGAAGTTCAGCCCTCTTGGTCATGTGAGATTGTTAGGAGATGGAGGTGGGGAAAGGGCCTGACTAGAAAGGAGCATGGGGAAATGTTTGAGGGTGGTAGAACCTTCTCATCTTGACCGTGGTGCTGGTTGGAGGAATGTGTGCACTTGCCAAAATTCATACAACTAGACAGTAAAATGTGAGAACTCTAGTGTATTCATATTATACCCAAATAAAAATAGAATTGAAAATACCTAGTTTAAAAAAATCACAAGTTTTAGAACATGTACTTCTCAAACTTTCACCTCTCACCATCTATTAGACTTTGCACACTTCTTTGTCATCATCATTCGAAACCCACTCTTCCTGTTATCTTTCCTGTTCCCATCAATATTATCTATCAATGTTCCAGTTACCCAAGTTTGAAATTTCTGATTTATCTTGGGAATCTCCCTTGCCTTGAGACTCAATTCTTGAGTCTACTTCTGAAATATTTAATATATATGTCCCAACTTTTTCCTTTATTGGTTTAGTCCTATCTGATTCCTGCCTAGATTACTATGATCTAGTAACTGATCTCTTAACAGCTTAAAATCTTTCCTTGTCCTAACACATCCCCAATGGTGCTACCCTTACTGTTAATACATTAACTCAGAACTTTGCAAAACCTTTGATGGTTCATTAAAGAATAAAGCCCAAACTCTTTTGTATAATGTTCAAAGTCTTTTAGAATTACCTTAAGAAATAACTGCTGGCCAAGACCTTTAACCAATTTCTCCACCTGATGTCTTGCTCCTCTCTTTTATATAACCTACATTCTGGCTGCATCAAATTACGAACCGATTCCCAAGCTTGTCTTATACTTCACAGGACCTTTGCACTCACTGCTTCCTCTTCCTTGAATGACCGATTTTCCTCTCATTTCTACTTACTGAAATAATTTTTCTCATCTCCATACTTCCAGTATATATGTGCCTCTCCCACAACACTCCACAGATTCTGTCTTTAGATCTTAATCTCATACAATCCTAAGGAGCAGAGGTCATGTTCTATTCATGCTGGAATCCCTCCCATGGTACCCATAACAGTGTCTTGCACATAAGTGTTCAATTAAGGACCTGCGGAGTTTAACAGAACTAAATATGTAGCATCCTCTTTAAGACAAATTCCTATCGTGTGAAAATCATACTATCATAAGCAAGTATTTGTAGAAAATTATGGTGTTCAAGTTGTGATCATTCTGGAAACACAAAATTTAAAACTTTTTTTAAATAGGCACAGAGTTGTTGAGAAGACAGTTTTGCAGATTTTACAAAAGCAAGTCTAAAATGTTCTAGCCAGGAAAGGTTTAATTCCAGATAAAAACATATTGAATGACACAGTAAAATTTTAAAGCAGATATTATAATTTTTATATATTGAAATTCTGTAAACTTTTAAATCTGTATGATGTAAGCTTTAATTAAGTATATTTGAAATACTATCACAACAGGAAATGTTCTGCTTAGAAACATAATTCGCAATTGTAGGGGAATGATGGGAGAGAAAATGAAAAGGTAATCATGTTTCCTCATACATGTTTTACTACAAGGGACTACATATCCATCTAGTTAGTTAATTTACAGTTCAGAATACTTTGTTCAAAAATTTGTTATTGCATTCCACCTCTTGAGTGATCTTAACAAATATGCTTATTCCATCTACAAGAAAATACTCATTATAACAGCCCTTCATTAAATACTATAAATCAGGTAACAAACTTTGATGGCATTCTTTGATTGTCGAACTAGAATGGGATTGGAAGAGTAGCATGTAAAAATTGACAAGTAAACTAAGTATTTGCTGTTAATTTTAAAACCCCAATCTTACAAAGGCATTTTTCATGTTTGCCACATGTAAATGTTATTATCAAAATAAATGTATTTAACTTCAACTGCTACCCAGACACACATATGCATACTGAACCACTACATTTAGCTTTATGAGACACACACACACACACACACACACACACACACACACACACATTGTTTCCACATTCCCAGAAAAAAAAACCATTTGCAACTGGTATTAGAGACCCCAAAAGCCACTCAATATCCTATTGTTTATATACAAGAAATAATGGGCTTCAGTATTCCATCAACAGTAATCTTGTTGGGGCAAAATAATTTTTTGTTAGACCTGTCCTCTGACAGATAGTGAGAAGAAGAGAAGGGAGGACACTTTTTAAAGTAAAATGACACTCATCTCTTCCTAGGTGTTTTCTGGAAATTTAACATTCTCTCCCCAACCTTTTCTCCTTCCTTCCCTCTTTCCCTCCTTCTCTCCTACCTCTCCACTGTTTCCAATCAGGGTAACATTAGCTTGAAAGCTGACAATTAAGCTGACAATTCAGTCACATCTCAAGCAACCATTTATTCTGTTATTTAATAGAAGGGGAGAAACCCAGTTACCATAACAACTCACATCCACATGGTAATTATGGAGTATCTAAAATACAGCAAACCATACTTTTCACAGTATTTTCTAGGGGAAATGTGTAATAAGCACAGATACCACTTCTCCCCATTATTATTCACAATGTTCACCTAATTGTTTCATATTGCACAGATGCTAACATTATTCCTTGTACTTCATATCAAATATGTTTTTTAAAATAAAGATGACACTGAAAGAAAAAGGCAAATACACTTCTTATATTTTAAATGATTGGTTACAGCATATGTACTTTTCTAGGGAAAAAATTTAAAGGAGGCAGAAAAAAATTAATTTATTAGGTAAAAAGAATCAAATGATTATCACTTGAAAAAAAGAAGAAAGAATGTAGAACTAAAGATTTTATTTAGAACAGAGCTGCCAATAGGTCTGGATAAGTTTTCTCTGAAATAAAAATGAAAAGAGAGCTCATTACCTAATGCTGAGGCGGAAATATGGTTGGGTAGCAGCAGCAAGAACAGGAAAATTTGCATGTGCCCAAGAAAGGAGAAAGTAATGAATCCAGACTGCCATTCTCATCCAGGGAGAAATCAGCATCAGCCAATTTAGGTGAGAGTGTCATGTCAGAGTTAGAAATGCCAAGGATAACAAGACTGGCAGCAAATTTCAGGGAAGGAAACTATCATTCACCTTCAGCTTCCTCTGCAACAGGAGTCAAGTAAACCTCAGGATGAGAAGTAGGTATACATAAGAACAAAAGAGGAACGCCACTTGAGCTTGGAGAAGCCCTAGCACATCTGAAATGACCACTGCATGTCCCCTGTACAGAGGAGCAGAGAGAGAGGCCACTTCAGTTTTGGAGAAGTCCAAACAAGACTGTCATTCTGCAGAACTGCTCCTGGTATGTCAGGCCAAACCCAAATCAAACTTGGGTCTATGATTCTTCTAAAAGTAACAGGGGAGAATTTCACTTTAAGAAAAGACAAAAAAAATCCAAAGTTTTTGAAAATAAGAGGATATAATACTTTCCAAGGAAATTTATCACAGATTACATTAAACAGCTAGCTCTCCATAGCATTGAAAATTACTTAGTTTAGCAACCATGTAGCTCAAGAAGTATCAACAATGAACACAAAACAAAATACATTTCAAAATATGGAAAGCGAAGGTTTCTAGTCCAGCCTGTAAGGAGCTTGGAAGTCACTACTCCATCTTAACAACAAGTAAAAAGCTGAACAAACTATAAAACCAACAACTGTTATGAGATCTGTAAAAGAAAATCAGGTCACAGAGCAAAGTGCTACTCTCAAAGTTGGAGAGACAGACAGGCAGCTACAGAGAGAATCACAGCTTATCAAAGCAGAAACTCACAGACAGAAACCACCACAGTAACTAGGGCTGGGGCAGGAAAACCTGAATCATAGCTGATGAATGGCTGGAGGCTAAGAATGGACAAGTCTGAGAATTAAAAACTCTAGGTGTACCCAGGCATAGGGAGGGTCCCCACACCTTTATGAGTTTTAGCTCCAGAAGCTCAGTCAGTTCTCATAGTGAATATCAGAAAAAACTCACCTTGTGATCACAGCAGGGAGAGGGGAAAAACACTTTGAAATATAACAGCATTCTATTCTTAACAAGGTCTGCCATCAGAAAAAATCTATTTAACAGAGCCTAACCTAATAAGAGTTTTATCAGCACCTAACCAGCCTGGGGGAAAGCAATACCCATCTCCAAGATCCTCTAGCCTTCTAAGTGGGTGAAGGGAAACAGACAACTCTAGCCCATTCTAGCCATCCTATCCCACCTAAGGAATTAAAAAAGAGAAAAAAATCCAAATCCTGAGAAACACTTGTGAAAGTTCTAGGCTCACTATGAGATTGAGACCTAATTATAGGGTTATGGAATGACTCTACTCCCCCAACACCTTACCACTACATTACTAAAGACCTATTTACTTTATTTCCTTTTACCTAGTATGTTATGTCTGGTTATCAAGAGACAACTACAAGGAAGACTAAAAGGTAAAATACATAGCTTAAAGAGACAGAGCACATATCAGAACCAAGTAAGGATAAGCAGGGATGCTGGAATTAACAGACCGGGAATTTAAAGTAACCATGACTAATGTGCTAAAGGCCATAAAAGATAATAAAGACAATATGCAAGAACAAATTAACAATGTAAGCAGAGAGATATAAAAACCAAAATAATAAATGCTAGAGACGAAAAGCATGGTAACAGAAATGAAGAATGCTTTTAATGAGCTTATTAACAGACTGGACACAACTGAGGAGATAATCTCTGATCTTGAGGATATCTCAATGGAAACCTCTAAAACTAAAAAGCGAAGAGGAAAAAGAATAAAGCAAAGAAAACAGAATATCTAAGAACCGTGGGACAACTACAAAAGTTATAACATACACATAATAGGAATTCCAGACAAATAAGCGAGAAAAAAAAAACAGAAGAAATGTTTGAAATCATCTTGAGATGCTCCCAAATTAATGTCAGACATCAAACCACAGTTATAGGAGGCTCAGACAACACCAGGTAGGATAAATGCCAAAAACCTATAGGTATTTGTATATTGTATTTAAACTACATAAAAGCAATGATTTTTTTAAATTCTGAAAAAAGCCAGAGGGAAAGATACCATACATATAGAGAAGCAAAGATAAGTGTTATATCCATCTTTCTACCAGAAAACATGCAAGCAAGAAGAGAAGAGAGTGAAATAAAGTGCTGAGAGAGGAAAATTACAACCTAGAATTCTGTACCCCACAAAATGATCCTTCAAAAATAAAGGAGAAATAAAGCCTTGCTCAGACAAGCAAAATTTGAGAAAATCTGTTACCCGTACATTTCCCTTGCAGGAAATGTTTAAAGTTTTTTTAGGGAGTAAGCAAATTATAGAGATCAGAAGCTCAGATCTAGATAAAGAAAGGAAGGCATCAGAGGAGGGATAAGTGAACATGAAATAAAACTTTTATTTTCCTATTCTTAATTGATCTAACAGATAACAGCTTGTTAAAAATAATAATAGTAGTCATGTATTTGATTATATATGCTTATGTATAAGTGAAATGAATGACAGCAATGATACAAGGAATGAGAGAAAAAAATTAGGATTATTTGTTATTATAAAGTATTTGCACTACCTGTGAAGTGGTATAGTGTTGTTTGCAAGTAGACATAGTTGTAAATATATATTGCATACTGTGTGGCAATCATTTAAAAAGTAAAAAGAGAAACATAACTGATATGCTAACAAAAGAGAAAAAATCATACAAAATGTTCAGTTGAAACCGTAAGGACAAAAAAAGAATACAAAAGCAGAATAAAGAACATGAGCAACAAACAGAAAAAAAAAACAGTAACAAATATAGAAGATATTAATCAAAATATATCAATAATCATTTTGGAAGCAAATTAAGATTGTCAAAGTAGATCAAAAACCAAGACCCAACTACATGTTGTCTACAAGAAATCTACTTTAATGTAAAGACACATACAGATAAAACGTAAATGGATAGAGAAAGACACTATGCTAACATTAATCAAAAGAAAGCAGGAAGACCTATATTAATTTCAGACAGAGCAGACTTGACAACAAGGAAAGCTGTCAAGAATAAAGAGGGACATTATATAATAAATGGGTCAATTCTCGAAGAAGACATAACAATCCTTAGAGTGCATGCACCTAATAACAAAGCATCAAAATATATAAGGCAAAACCTGATAGAACTGCAAGAAGAAACAGATTAATCCACTCGTATAGCCAGAGACTTCAACACTTCTCTCTCAGAAATGGACAGATCCAACAAGCAGAAAAGCAGTAAAGACACAGTTGAACTCAAAAACACCATCAATCAACTGGATATAACTGACATCTACAGGCTATTTTATGCAACGGCAGCAGAACACAAATTCTTCTCAAGCTCACATGTAACATTCACCAATACTGACCACATTCTGAACCATAAAACACACCTTAACAAATTTAAAAGAACCATAACACAGACCTTAACAAATTCAACAAATTTAGAAATTAACATCAGCAGTGAAAGACGGGATATCACTACAGACTCTCTGGCCACTGAAAGGATAATAAGGAAATAATATATATAACTCTATGCCCACAAATTTGATAACCTAGATGAAATGGGCCAATTCATTCCCTGAAAGACACAATCTGCTAAAACTCACATGAAAAAAAGATATATTATTTGAATAGGCCTGTATCTATTAAAGAAATTGAATTGACAATTAATAACCTTCCAACACAGAAAGCACCACTCCCACATGTGTTCACTGGTGAACTCTACCAAACATTTAAGGAGGATATCACACCAATTCCCAACAGTCTCTTTCAGAAGGCAGAAGCAGAGAGAATACTTCCTAACTCATTATATGAGGTCAGCATTACCCTAAAATTAAAACTAGACAAAGGTATTAACAAGAATAGGAAATCTCACAGCAATATCTTTCATGAACATAAATGTAAAAGGCCTCAACAAAATATACGCAAATTAAATCTAACAATGTAAAAAAGAATTATACACCACAACCACATGGATTTTGGTACACAAGACTAAATCAATATTAGAAAATCAATTAATGTTTATTCCCACATATCAACAGGGTAAAGAAGAAAAATCACATAATCATATCAATAGATGCAGAAAAAGCATTTGACAAAATCGAACAGTTTTTCATGATAAAAACTCTCAGTAAACTAGAAATAAAGAACTTCCTCAACTTGATAAGAATATCTACAAAACACCCACCGTTAACATCATAATTTTGAGAAACTACAAGCATTCCCACTAAGATCAGGAGCAAGGCAAGGATGTCCTCTCTCACTATTCTTTTTCAACATCATACTGGAAATCCTTTCTACTGATGTAAGCCAAAAAGAGAAAGTAAAATGTATGCTGAAGGGAAGAAAGAAAGAAAATTGTCTTTGCTTGCAGATGACATGAGTGTCTATATAGAAAATCTGAAAAAGTTGACAAAAAACTCCTGGAACCCATAAGCACTTATAGCAAAATTGCAAGATACAAGGTTACAATACAAAAATCAATTGCTTTCCTATATGACAGCAATGAAAAAAATAGAAGCTGAAATTAAAAACACAATAGCGTTTACATTAACACCTCCAGAAATGAAATACTTATGTATAAACCTACATAAATAAATATATCTATATATATACACATATATATGCGCAGACATATATATATGTGTGTGTATATAATATCTATAGGAGAAAAATTACAAAATTCTAATGAAAGAAATCAATAATGAATGAAATAAATAGAGAAATATTCCAGGTTCATGGATTTTTGAAAGCTCAATATTGTCAGGATGTCAGTTCTTCCTAACTTCATCTATACATTCAATGCAATCACACTCAAAATCTCACCAAGTTGCTTCCTGGATAACAACAAATTGATTCAAATGTTCATATGAAGAGACAAAGGACAAAGAAGAGCCAACAAAATACTGAAGAAGAGCAAAGTTGGAGGACTGACATACCTAACTCCAAGACTTACTATAGAGCTACAGTAATCAAGACAGCATGGTATGAGCAAATGACGAGAGAAATAGATCAAAGAAACAGAATAGAAAGTCCAGAAACAGACGTATATAAATGTAGTCCGTTAATATTTGAGAATGAGTCAAACAATGGAGAAAGGATAATCTTCTCAACAAATGATACAGAAACAACCAGATATCTTGATGCAAAATAAAAAGAATCTAGACCCTGACTTTACACTCTTCATAAAAATTAACTCAAAATAGATTATAGATATCAACGTAAAACACAGTACTGTAACATTCCTAGAAGATAACACAGGATAATATCTATAATGTTAGGCTTGATGACAGCTTTTCAGAAACAATATCAAAGGCACTATGTATTAAATAAACAATGGATATGCTGGACTTCATTAAAATAAAAATCTTCTGATCTACAAAAGGCACTGTCAAGAGAATAGATAAGCCATAGACTCTAAGAAAATATTTGCAAAAGGCAGATCTGATAAAGGACTATTATCCAAAATATACGAAAAAAGTCTTAAAACTCAACTATGAAAAACCTAACAACCAGATTTTAAAATGGGCCAAAGAAATAGACACACAGATAAAAAATAAGCATATACAAAATGCTTCACATATCAGGGATATGCGAATTAAAATAACAATGAAATGTTATTCTACACACCAATGAGAATGGCCAAAATCCAGACCACAACACCAATTGCTGACAAGGCTTTGGAGCAAGAGGAAGGAGATGCGAAATGGTATAGCCACTTTGGAAGATGTTTTGGCCATTTTTTACCAAAACCAAACACACTCTTACCATACAATCCAGCAAGTGTGCTCCTTGGCATTTACCCGAGAGTTGAAAATTATCTTCAAACAAAATTCTGCACAAAGATGTTTAAAGTAGTTTTATACATATTTGCTAAAACTTGGAAGCAACCAAAATATCCTTCTGTAGGTAAATGGATACATCAACTGTAGTATTTCTAGACAATGGATTTTTATTCAACACTAAAAAGAAGTCAGCTGTCAAGCAACGAAAATACATGCAGAAAACAAATGCCTAATACTAAGTGAAATCAGCCAGTCTGAAAAATCTATATACCGTATGATTCCAACTACTTGACATTCTGGAAAAGGCAAAACTATAGAGACAGTAAAAAGATCAGTGGTCACACGGAGTTAGAGAGAAGGAAGGGATGAATGGGAGATTGCAGAAGGGTTTTAGAAAGCAAAACTACTGTGTATGATACTAAAATGATTATATGATTATATGCATGCCACTATGCATTTGTTCAAACCCATAGAATGTTTAACACCAAGAATAAACCCTAATATAAACTATAGACTTTGGGTAACAAGAATGTGTCAATGTAGGTTCATTATTTGTAACAAATATACCACTCTGGTGGGGGATAATGGGAAGATGAGAGGTAGGCATGAGGGCAGAGTGAGCAGGGAGTTGTATGGGAATGCTCCATACATTGCTCTCAATTTTGCTGTGAACCTAAAACTGCTCTAAAAAATAAAGTCTGTTTTTACAAATGAGGACAGAGCACATCTAAATTCAAAATAAAGTTCTTTTAGCCATTTATTCACTCGCTCACTCACTCTCATGTAGTTGTAGCCATTGTGAAGGGTATAGAATATCCTGTAAGGATATGGATTCTTTAGGGGCTGTTATTAATAGAAATGAATAACAACACAAACAGTACATAAGGGCTTATTCACATGCCAGTAAGATCCTATTTCTTAGTAAGACCACCGCAATCATTAGATTTATCACTAATTTAATAGTAGCATTTTTGGAAAAGGAAAACTATCCCACTATATGTACACAGGAAGTACAGGCACACCTCAGACAGGTTTGGTCCCAGACAAATGCATTAAAGCTAATAATCCAATAAAGAGAGTCATACAGTTTTTTTTGTTTCCCAGTGGATATAAAAGTTATGCTTACACTATACTATAATCTATTATGTAACAGCATTATGTATTTAAAAAAAACAATGTACATACCTTAGTTTTAAAATACTTTGTTACTGCTGGGCATGGTGGCACATACCCGTAGTCCCAGCTACTCAAGAGACTGAGATGGAAGGATCCCTTGGGCCCAGGAGTTGGAGGCTGTAGTGTTCTGTAACTGCACCTGTGGATAGTCACTGCACTCCAGCCTGGGCAACATAGTGAGGTCCTATCACTAAAAATTTTTTTTTAAATATTTGACTGCTAAAAAATGTAAATAATTATATAAATCTTTGGCAACTCCTAATATTTTTGTGAGTGGAAGGTCTTGCCTGGATGTTGATGGTTGCTAACTGATTAGGGTGGCTGATGAATGTTGGGATGGCTGTGTCAATTTCTTAAGATAACAATGAAGTTTGCTCCATTGCTTAATGTTTCCTTTCACAAAAGATTTCTCTGTATCATGCAATGCTGTTTGATAGCTTCATCCATAGAACTTCTCTCTAAGGTGGAATCAATCCTCTCAAACATTGATACCACATTATCAGGTACGTTTATGTAATATTGTAAATCCTGCATTGTCAGTTCAACATGTTCACAGCATCTTCACCAGGAGTAGATTCCATCTCAAGAAACCACTCTGTTCATCCCTAAGAAGCAACTCCTCATGACGGTAGCAGTTCAGTCACATCCTCAGGCTCTACTTCTAATTCTACTTCTCTTGGTACCCCTCCCACATCTGCAGTGACTTCCTCCACCGAAATCTTGAACCCCTCAAGGTCATCCAAGAGGGCTGGAATCAATTTCTTATAAATACTGGTTAACATTGATATCTTGACCTCTTCATATAAATCACGGATGTTCTTAATGACATCTACATGGTAAATCCTTTCCAGAAGGTTTTCAATTTATTTCTCCCAGATCCAACAGAGGAATCACTATCTATGCCAGCTATAGCCTTACAAAATGCATTTCTCAAATAAGACTTGAAAGTCAAAATTACTCCTTGATCCATGGGCTGCAGAATGGATGTTGTGTTGGCAGTCATAACAACAACTCCATCTCCTTGAACACCTCCATCAGACCTATTGGGTGACTAGGTGCATTGTCAGTTAGCAGTAATACTTTGAAAGGAATCTTTTTTTTTCTAAGCAGTAGTTCTTAATGTGGGATTAAAATATTCAGTAAACCATGTATAAACAGATATGCTGTCATCCAGGCCTTGTCCCATTTCTAGAACACAGAAGAGATTCAGCGTAATTCTTTAGAGCACTCAGATTTTCAGAATTTTAAGTAAAGTTGAACTGGCTTCAACTTAAGTCATCAGCTGCATTAGACCCTAACAAGACAGCCAGCCTGTCCTTCAGGCACTGACTTCTCTTCAGCTATAAAATTTCTACAAGGCATCTTCTGCCAATAGACAGCTCTTTCACCTACATTGAAAATGTGTTGGTTAGTTTAGCCATCTTCATCAATGATCCTAGCTAGATCTTCTGGATAACTTGCTGCAGCTTTTACATCAGCACTTGCTGCTTCAACTTGCACTTTGGTGTTGTGAAAATCGCTTCTTTCCTTACACCTCAGGAACCAACCTCTGCTACCTTCAAACTTTTCTTCTGCAGTTTCCTCACCTCTCTTAGCCTTCACAGAATTAAAGAGTGTTAGAGTCTTCCTCTAGATTAGACTTTGGCTTAAGGGAATGTTATGGTTGGTTCGTTCCTTTATCCAAACCACTAAAAGTTTCTCTAAATCAGCAATAAGGCTGTTTTGCTTTCTTATCACTCATGTGTTCACTGGAGTAGCACATTTAATTTCCTTCAAGAACCTTTTCTTTGCATTCAAAATTGGCTGTTTGGTGCAAGAAGCCTAGCTTTCAGCCTATCTCAGCTTTCAATATGCCTTCCTCGCTAATCTTAATCATTTCTAGCTTTTGGTTTCAAGTGGTAGATATGTAACTCTTCCTTTCATTTGAACAATTAGAGGCCATTGTAGTTATTAATTGGCCTAATTTCAATATTGTTGTGTCTCAGAGAATAGGGAGGCCCAATTGGGGGGACATCTGGTTGGTGAAGAAATAAAAAATCACACAACATTTATGAAGTTCATGGTGCTATGTGGGCACAGTTTGTTATACCTCAAAACAATTACAATCGTAACTTCAAAGATCATTAATCATAGATCATCACAACAGACATGATGATAAAAAAGAAATATTTCACATTTTGTTAGCAAAATGTGACACAGAGACATGAAGTAAGCATATGGTATTGGAAAAATGGTGCCTAGATAATTGCTCAATACAGGGCTGCCACGAACCTTCAATTTGTAAAAAATGCAGTATCTGCAAAGTGCAACAAAATGAGGTGTGTCTGTAGGTAGATACACAGATAGGTAGATTAAAAAAAAATAGCCTCATGTATACTAAATAAATGGAATTCACAGTTACAAACAGTCCTATAAAGAAAACTCCATGCCAAGATGCTTTCACTGGAGAATTCTACCCAACATTTAAGGAAAAATTAATAACAATTCTATACAAACTATTTCGGGAAATAAAAAAGAGGGGAACTCTACACAACTTGCTTTATTTGGACAAAATTACCCTGATAACACAACCAGGCAAAATTACTACAAGAAAACTACAGAACAACATGTCTCATGAGCACAGATGCAAAAATCCTTATTAACAAAATTTTAGCACACAGAATGAAGCAATATATAAATAGGCTATGATCAAGCGGAGTGTATCCCAGGAATGCAAGGTTGGTTTACATTAGAAAATCAATCAAAATAAGTAATCATATCAACAAATTTTAAAAGCGTTGAATCATCTCAATTGATACAGAAAAAGCATTTTACAAAATTTAACATCTATTTGTGATTAAAAAAAAAAAAAAACCTCTCAGAAATCTAGGACTAGAAGGAAACTTCTTCAACCTGACAAAGGAAGTCGACAAAATCTGTATATAAACATCATATTAAACAGGGAAACACTGAATATTTTCCCCTAAGTGAACGAGACAAGAATATTAACTCTCATCAGTCCTATTCAACACTGTAATGATGGCCCTAGATAGTGCAGTCCAGCAATAAAAACAATTGACAGGCATACAGATCAGAAAAGCAAAAATTAAAAGCATCTTTATTTATAGACAACATTACAGTGAAAAACAAAAATAATTTACAAAAAGACTGTAAGAATATATAAGTTGGTTTAGTAAGGTCATAGAAAAAATCAATTGGATGATTATAAACTAGCAATAAACAGTAAAAAATTAAAATAAAAAGTCCAATTTGAATAGCATCAAAATACTTAGGGATATGTAATACTTACGAACTTTAACAAAATATGTCCAAGATTTATAATACAAAAAAAATCAACATAGACAATTATACCTTGTTCATGGGTCTAGATACTCTATTACCAAGATGTCAGTCCTCTCTCAAGTTGACCTACAAATTCAATGCATTTACCATTGAAATCAGCAAACTTTTTTGTGGTTTCTTAAAACTGGTTTAAAATTCATATAGAAAAGCAAGAGATCTAGCATAGTCAGAACTTTTTTTGAAACATGAAACAAAGTTGGAAGACTCATACTACTTGATTTCAAGACATTATAAAGCGAAAGTTATTCAGCTATGTATGTCATTGCGGTGAAAGCACAAATCTACAGATCTCAATGGAACAAAAGTGAGTACAGAAATAGACCCAAACATATATGGGCAAGTGATTTTTGCAGAAGTGCCTAGGTAATTCAGTGAATAAAAGATGGTATTTTCAACAAATAACACATACATTATACAAAAATTAACTCAAATGGACCTAAGCTAAAAAGTAAACCTTAAAATGTAAAACTTCTACAAGAAAACACAGAAGGAGATCCATTAGCTGAAAGATGGATAAATTAAATGTGGTATATCCATGCAGAGAAGTATTATTCTCACACAAAAAAGAATGAAGTACTAATACATGCTACAACATGGAAAATCCCTGAAAACATTATACTAAGTGAAAGAAGCCAGACATTAAAAACCATGTATTGTATGATGGTATTTATATGAAATGTCCAGAATAGGCAAATCTACAGAGGCAGAAAGTAGATTAGTGGCTGCTGAAAGCTAAGGACAAGGGAAAATGAAGAGTGACTACAAATGGGTACACAGTTTCTTTTCTGGGTAATGAAATTGTTCTAAAATTGTTTGTGGGAATGGTTACACAACTCTGTGGATACACTGAAAACCACTGAGTTGTATACTTTAAATAAGTAAATTTTATGGTATATGTATCACACCTTGTATCAGTCCACTTTCACACTGCTGATAAAGACATACCCAAGACTGGGTAATTTGCACAAGAAACAGGTTTAATAAGCTTACAGTTCTACATAGCTGCAGAGGCCTCAAAATCATGGCAGAAAGCAAGGAGGAGCGAGTCACATCTTAAATGGATGGCAGTAGGCAAAGAGAGAGGGTGTGCAGGGAAACTCACGTTTTTAAAACCATCAGATCTCATGAGACTCATTCACTATCATGAGAACAGTGCAGGAAAGACCCGCCCCCATAATTCAGTCACCTCCCACTGGGTTCCTACCGCAACATGTAGGCATTACATTTCAAGATGAGGTTTGGATGGGGACGTAGCCAAACCATACCATACCTCAATTTCTAAAAGTAATTTAAAAGAATAAAAATAAAACACAGGAAAAAAGAAAATGAAAAATTTTTGTAATCTCGGATTAAACAAAAAGCAAGAACCATTTTGTAAAATTTGGTAAGTTGAAATTCTTCAAAATGAAAAGTCCACTCTTCAAAATACATTATAAAAAAATGAAGGCCAGGCGCAGTGGCTCACGCCTGTAATTCCAGCACTTTGGGAAGCCAAGGCAGATGGATCATGAGGTCAGGAGTTTGAGACCAGCCTGACCAACATGGTGAAACCCCGTCTCTACTAAAAATACAAAAATTAGCCGGGCATGGTGGTGCACACCTGCAATCCCAGCTATTTAGGAGACTGAGGTGGGAGAATCGCTTGAGCCCAGGAGGCGGAGGTTGTAGTGAGCTGAGATCGCACCACTGCACTCCCGCCTGGGCAACAGAGCAAGACTCCATCTCAAAAAAAAAAAAAAAAAGAAGAAAAAAAAAAAAAGAAAATGAAAAGACATGTAACACACTAAGTAAAAAAAAAAAAAATATCCAGAATATATAAAGAACACTCTTTTGAAAACAAAAGCCCCAATTCTAAAAATGGGCAGAAGATCAGAGCAAACACTTCAGGAAGAAAACAGATACATACAAAATAAACACATGAAAAGATGCTTCAACATCATTAGTTATTAAGGAAACACAAATTAAAACCACAAAGGGAAACTAATACTACTCATCTACAAGAATAGCTAAATTTTTTTAATTGACTATATCAAGCACTGACAAGAAGGCAGAGCAACTGAAACTCTCATACCTTGCAGATGGGCATTCAAAATAAGACAGCCACTAGGAAAACAGTTTGATAGTTTCCTATAAAGTTATATATGAATTTACCACATGACGTTGCACTCTCACTCCTAGGTATTTGTTTACTGAAAAGAAACAGAAAAATGAATGTTCACACAGGGATCTGTATGAGAATGTTTATAGAAACTTTAGTCTTAATCATTGAAAACAGAAAAAACCCGAAGGTCCATCAACTGGTGAATTAATAAACAAACTGCAATTCTCAAGAAATACTTGGAAATATGGCTGGGCACAGTGGCTCATGCCTGTAATCCCAGCACTTTGGGAGGCCGAGGCAAGTGGATCACCTGAGGTCAGGAGTTCGAGATCAGCCTGGCCAACATGGTAAAACTCCATCTCTACTAAAAATACAAAAATTAGCTGGGCGTGGTGGCGCATGCCTGTAATCCCAGCTACTCGGGAGGCTGAGGCAGGAGAATCCCTTGAACCCAGGAGGCAGAGGTTGCAGTGAGCCGAGATTGCACCATTGCACTCCAGCCTGGACAGCAGAGTGAGACTTCATCTCAAAAAAAAAAAGAGAAAGAAAAAGGAAAGAAAGAAGAAATACTTGGAAATAAAAAAGACTCAGGATAAAGTAATGGGAGGATCAAAAGCAGGGTTTGAAGAAATTTCATCTGGAAAAATCCCAAATTGATTGCAACAAAAGAAAGACAAGATGCAAGGAGATGATTTAAGAGAGCTTAGAGTAATCTTGGAAAAATCCAAATGTATTTCTAGAATCTTCTCTGATTAACCTGGGAGAGAAGATGACAGTTCAAGGACTATGGAGCCTCACTGCCTGGGTTCAATTTCCAGGCTCCTCTACTTGTTAGCTATGTGACCTTGACACATTAACAGCACCTACCTCACAGTGTTGAAAGTATCTAAATCGATTATTAGCTGTTATTATTGCAATTATTTTTATTAACCAGCTCTGAAAGTTCATATTATTTCTTGTCACATAGTTTGAGAAACTTCATGGGTCCCCCAGCCTTTGTGTTTTAAGCAAATGAACTACATATACTGAGCAGAATATGGAATCCAGTCTAAAATCCTACTATACATTTGGCAGAATTCTGTCCAATACGCCTTCTAATTGACCCCTAAAACAATGATGTTATTTTCTTTTCCCTTTGAAATTTTCTAGACTCTCTACAGCACAAGCAACAAGTATCTTAACCCAAAGATTTTCTGTGCTTATATCTCGGACACACCTCATAACTTCTGATGCCACTGCCAAAAGTTATCAGATGTCTTCTGCCATCCCCTGCACTAATGCTTTTTCTTGTTTCTGTTCTGATGGTGACTTTTTATTATAAATCAGCTTTTCAGTAAGACTTTAGACTTCAGTTTTCCTTCAAATATCTAAGTGCACAGCTTAAAACACAAAAAGGTACCACGTTTCTCCCTTCTCTATGCCAACTAATGAGATGCCAGGGACAAAAAAAACATAGAAATCACCTATGTCTGAAATTAAACCTTCCTCCTAGAAAAGCGTTGCTCTTCCCAGATCCTTCTTCTCTTTTTAGTTGAATGAAGACACTATATTAGGCAAAAAAAAAGCTTCTGAAACAAGTATTTACACAATTTTAATTCTAACTAAATATATGAAAGGAAAATGGATGGCAAAGGACAAAGATGGGTCTTGAAAAACCCTCTGAATTTTGCTGTGCTATGAAACTGGTGGCAATTGGTGTGATACAGAATAAAAGTGAATCAAATTAATTACAACCAAATGTATAAATTAGGCATCAAAATAAGATGTTATAGAAAGATATTTTAGAAATGCTAATTATTTTTACATCAAGTTCATTAAATCTTTACAATTCATATATTTTTACTTATAACTGATATATAACCTACTATGTCTGAACTATATAAATCTCTTTGCTGTGACATTTTGTTTTGTTATTCATTCATACATTTTAATTTGTATACATCATATGAGTAAGTGTGATAAAATATTTAAAAACAATAAAAATACATTTCCCAAGGACTTTCCAGCTTCCCTCTTCCCCTGGTTTTGCCATAATCTGCAATAATCAGATTTCATATAAATCATCTAATAGAATCACAGAACTTTATTTTTAAAAGGTAGCTGAAAGGAAAAGTAAAATAAACATTAAAACCAAGGGTTATTTTTCTAAAATGCTTTTATTTACTTTTAATTCCAAACACTCACAAAATACAAACACTGGTCCCCTACATAATTGCAAAGGATTAGAATTAAGATATAGGCAGTAGCATTTCTTTAAACAATAAATTGATATTTATTCTGAATAATGACAGTTAAGCATTGATGAAGTAAAGCAAATTCCTAGACATTACTCCCTAATAAATACGCTGGGCAGTGGGGGAAAACATGGCAGTTTCTTTCAGAAATACATTGAAATATTTGAGTATTCAGTTGGGTCAACTATTTTGGTGGCCTTTAAAAGCAACTTACATTAATTATGATCAAAAAAATTATTTCTAAACAAACAACTTCTTAAACATATCATGAAGGGAGAAAACACTAAAACATAAAGAAGAGGACACGGGAACCTACCTCATGTACAAGAGCAAGTGAAGTCTGCTTGAAACTTCGCCCTCTGCTGGCCATCAGTCTGTTCAATGGTTTTCCATCTTTACTCTGATACATGGAAACATCATAGCAAAATAACATACCACCTTTAAAAAAAATTATATAGACTTTATTTTATTTTTATTTTTATTTTTTTAAGACAGAATCTCACTCTGTTGCCCAGGCTGGAGTGCAGTGGTGCAATCTCAGCTCACTGCAACCTCCGCCGCCTGGGTTCAAGGGATTCTTCTGCCTCAGCCTCCTGAGTAGCTGGGACTACAAGCGTGTGCCACCATGCCCGGCTAATTTTTTAAGTTTAGTGGAGACAGGGTTTCACCATATTGGCCAGGCTGGTCTCTAACTGCTGACCTCATGATCCGCCTGCCTCATCCTCCCAAAGCGCTGGGATTACAGGTGTGAGCCACCGCGCCCAGCTTACAAAGACATTTCTTATGGAAAAACTTTACTAATTAGATTCTCAGTAACTGATAATCAATCTGGATAGAGATATTTATAACTAAAAGCTAACTTGTTAAGCAAATTATGATTTTTGACCATTTATATATAAGGAATAAAAAAACACAAGAGATTTAAAAAGCTAATATTTAAAATACTATTGGGACAGGCACGGTGGCTCACACCTGTAATCCCAGCACTTTGGGAGGCCAAGGTAGGCAGATCACTTGAGGTCAGGAGTTTGAGACCAGCCAGGTCAACATGGTGAAACCCCATCTCTACTAAAAACGCAAAAATTAGCCAGGCATGGTGGCGAACACCTGAAATCCCAGCTACTCGGGAGGCTGAAGCAGGAGAACCACTTGAACTAGCAGTGGAGGTTGCAGTGAACTGAGATTGTGCCACTGTACTCCAGCCTGGGCAACCAAGAGAAACTCTGTCTCAAAATATAAACGTAATATAATATAGTATATTACTTATTGACTCATAGCTTTTTAGTTAAGATCACATGTAAAATATTATTTACAATTTACTTATGAGTAAATAAGTATAAGTATAAATAAATGAACAAATTTGCAAGTCTTGACTTTGTGAACTGTTTAGTTCTAGAGATTCTATTAAGTTTTTTAAAAATTTCAATTAAAGAGAAATACTTGCACATATTAATCTTCATGAACACATGATAACATGGGTCCCTTTAGTTTATACTCAAAAGTGGACAAGCTTTCCCTCATTCCTGTATTCACATACACTCACTCTCCCTCTTCTCCCTGCCCTTTCCACAACGGTCAGTTAAGCTCTCAGCTGAACCTCCAGCTTATTTATGTTTTTTATTGCACTGAGTTTTATTATCTTTATTATTTCTTCCCTGATCCTTTAAGTTTGATTTGCTGTTCTTTTCCAAGCTTCTTGAGTTGGAAGTTTAAATACTGATTATTTTCCTTTCTTTTCTAAAATATACATTGAAAGTGTGAATTTCCCTAGAGGGGAAACAGTGTTTAAAAATACTATTTTAGCTGCAACCTACAGGTTGTTATATGGCTTATCTTCATTATCATTCACTTCAAACTATCTTCTCATTTCCATTTTGATTCTTTTCTCTGATCCATCCATTACTTATAAGTATACTGTTCAATTTTCAGCCAACTGGAGATATCATGGTAATCATTTTTGTTATTTATTTCTAGCTTAATCCCATTGTCATCAGAGGACAAACTCTAAGTGACTTCAATATCTTGAAATTTATTGAAGTTTGTGGTCCAGCGTATGGTCATTTTGGTAAATTTTCCATGTACAGTTAAAAGATATATAAATTCTATCACTATAAGGTACAATGTTCTACATGTCTATACAGTAGTTTGTTCATAGATTGTTCAGATATTTTGTGATCTTATAGATTTTCTTGTCTCCTTGCTCTGCCAGCTACTGAAAAAGATATTTTAAAGTTTCCATTATTATTGTGGGTTTGTCTATTTCCTCTTTTAGTTCTACTCATTTTTGTCATATATTTTGAAAGTATGTTATTTCATGTAGGCCAGTTAGAATTGATATTTTCCAAAGAGAGTGACTTCTTTATCTCCAGGAATCATTCCCTTCATTTCCAGCTTCTTCCTTTGTCCTGTGTCTAGTGCAGTATATGAAAGAACCACAGAAGTACTAAATGGTGTTATTGTCAATCAAAGAGTAGTTTTCCTCTCTCCTCTGTTAGGCAGACTGGGTGAAGGACTGATTACCTCAACCTAATCAGGAATTGATCTGGGTTAGGACTGATTATAACTTTTGTAATTTGAGTCCAGCTCTGGTTCACTCCTTTGCCAGGGTATATCTCCCCACAACACCCCCCACTAATTGGCAGTCTAATGAGTCTTTGACTCCTCAATCTGAAAAAATTATGAGAGATTTAGGTCTGCTCTCAGAAATTTTCAGCTTAGCTCTTTAGCTTTCCATCCCATAAAGCTTCAAAATGTCGCAAATAACTTGAGAGAAATTGGCCTTGTGCTCAAGGTCACTCAAGTTCTGAGTTGTGTCACTCTTGCTCCACATGATTGCCAAGATGTCTGCTGGTTTCTCCACCTCCTCACCAGCTTCTCAATAAAGTTGAGGCTGAATGCTCAGATTCCAGCTGTGGCCAGAATTAGTAAGTTCACCCAGGTGAGAGCAGTTGCAGATCTTCAGTATCAATTCACCATTCTCTCTTGGGCTTTTACCTCTTGCATGCTGTTTTTTCAAGCCCATTCTCCTAGCTCGTCTTTGTTTCCTAAGCATCAGAAGACTAAAAGGGATTTCACTTTGCCTTTCAGAAGCTTTCAGCCTAGCTCTTTAGCTCTTGGTGCAAATTCAAAATTCAGCAAATGTCCTGTGAGAAAAATCTCTAATTTGTCGCCCTAGTCCCAGGCAATCACTAAAAGCTCCTCTAGTTTCTCTTTCTTCCAACAGGCCATGCCTCTGGGCTGAGTGGGTATCCCCCAAGGTGGGGAGAAAACAGTTCTAAAATGTTATGCTGACTCTGAAACTTAAATCCATCTATTTGTCTTTGCTTCTACAGTTCTGCGATGTCTTTTAAAGTGCGATGATTTTTATAATTTATCCACATGTTAGTAGCAGCAGCAACACCCTGCCATGGCCCATTATATCCTACTTGAAAGTGGAAGTTAAATCATTACATGAAAAACCTGTATTTTTGATACTATGTACTACCCTTACCTGCAAGGCCAGGTTTCAGTCCTGGTTGCTTGTTTGTTTCATACATTTTCAATATAAAATTGGGGATTCCTGCTACAGTCTTTCCTTGGTCTGAGCGGGCACCTCCTTTTAATGCAGAGTGATATATCCCACGAGGCATATTCACCATTTCTTGCTTCACAAGTGATGTAAAAAATTCCTCCAAAGCTAAAAGAGGATAAAAGGAGACCAAAAGTAGAGTAAATACAATAAGCTAGAAGAGAAACATGCGTTCTTAACTCATATACAAACAACTAAGCTACATTTCTGGCCAAACCTTACATGGTAAAAAGAGACCTCTTGATACCTATCCCTTTCTTAGTCTTCCTCCAAATTAGAACATGGCACCAAGTTGCTCAAGCTTAATTCCTCTCTTTCCCTCACTTATTACATGTAATCCATTAGCAAGTCCTTCTGATTCCACCTTCAAAATCTATCCCAAATCCATCAGTTTCTCTCCATTTTTCACTGCTATTTATCTACTTATTATCTTTTGTCCTCCTCATACAAACTAATGTAAAAACTAGTTTACTGAATTCTTTTCCTCTTGACCATCCTCTATAAACCTTCCTCTGCCCAGAGGCCAGAATTTTGTCATTCCTGTCCCTAACACCTTCCAGTTGCTTTTCACTGTGCATAAAATAAAATCACAACTTCTGACCATGATCAAGACCTTTTATAATCTAGCCCTGACTCCCCCTCAGAGTTAATGTCTAATACCCTACCTCCTTGCTATGTTGAAGTCACACTTACATATGGCCTCTTTCCATTCCTCAAAAACACAAAGTTGATATTTAAGTCAGTGCCACTGCATTTGCTATCCCTTCCACCTGGAACATATCAGTCCCACATTTTCATGAGAATGGCTCCTTCTTATCATTTAAGTGTTTTCAGAAAAACCTCTTTCATAACTATCTATACTTAGCAATATTAGGACAATTATTTTAAAATGAGATATTTGTCCACTATCTTTGCTTGTGTTCTTTCTAATTAAGCCCAAGATCTTTATCATTTGACATTTTACTTACTATATAATAACAGAAATATGATGTCAGAAGACAACAGGATGTATAAACAAAATATTTGATAAGACTATAGGTTCATATTCAAATGTGATTTTCCTAAGGACCACTAGAGGTTGCCCAATACAGAAACAAACAAAAAAACAAAAAACATTAAAGCTAAACAAATCATATGTAGCGGAAAATGAAAAAAGAAAACCACTGCATGTGGCTCTTACAGAAACAAAAAGCAAGGGTCCACCTAACTGGAATTTCATTCTGAAGAGATCTATCTAAAAGTCTCCTTTAAATGAATATGATTAAATTAAAGGCAGCAAGAGCTCACTGGACCGTCTATTATATACCCATTTCTGACAGGACCCTCCTAGATGCAATCAAGATTCTCCATTCAAAGCTCAAAAACACCAATATGTGACGTTTTCCATTTACTCCTTCTTATCTATCCTCTATCCTTCTCAACCCTGCTCTGTGCTCTGGAAAAACAGTCTTTAAAGAAAGGCATTAACAGGCTCCCATGTCCTCTGGCTTCTGGTTGGTTTCAACCACTGGAGTCACTGGCAGGACATCAAAGGGTGAAAACAGTGAAGTCAGGAGATGTATTCCCCAGACACAGGGCTTCTTGCAGGATTGCTACAGGTTGCCTGCATTCCTCTTCTGAAAGTCTTGGCTCCCCTTAGGCACCCCAATTTATAATACAGATACTCTTTCTTCTTCCTCCCGTTATCTCTGTAGGCCAGAGACATTAAGCACTCTGAGACGGTTTACCATCTCTTGTGAGTTTCCCTTAACCTTGACAACACAACTGTAAATAGGTTCTTTATTAAACTCTCTCCAATTACTCAATCTGAATGTATCCCCCACCCTTTCTTGTCATAACAGTGATCAATACATCATTTACACAAAACAGATGAGTAATATCCGATTGCAGGCCATGTACCCCAATTTCTGCATACACATACACAGGGACTGCTTCAAAGTGGGTATAATTATAGACTTTACAGAATGCAGCTATGAATCAACTGTTTGTGAGGGTAGAGGCACTATGATGAAAGAAAGTAATTTCTTCCTTTCTCAGAAGGATCCTATTCTGGCAAAAGGTGAAACATGTCAAGGGGCAAGAACATATCTGCACATAGACTAACCCAGCAATGGAAGTTTTCTACTTACCAAGCTCTACAGTGAACTACAGATGTTTACCTAACACCAGCCCAGGGATTAATTTAAATGAGGATAAGATGCCAGGAGGCTAAGTGTAGTTGATGTATAGAGCTTCATCTTCCCGTAAATACTAAGTTAGCAACTAGAATTTTTCTCGTTGCTTTTGAGCTTTCCCCAATCTCTTTCTTACCAATGACCAGATGGGAATTTAAAAAGAAGCTGAAAATTCGTAGGACACAAAGTGTCAGACATAAATTCTCAAAACAACCCAAATGTCCTCAACAGCTGAATGGATCAACAAACTGTGTTACATTCACACAATGGAATGCCAGTCAGCAATAAAAAAGAAAAAACAATTGATACAGGTAACTATTTGGAATAAATATAAAAAACTAGTGCTAATAATAATCCCAAAAGACACAGTCCCACACACCATAATCCCAAATGCTGAAATTCTGGAAGATCAAAATCCCTTAAGTCTAAACTTCCTAACATCTAAAATCCCCAAAATCACAATCCCAAAAGGTTAAAATCCCAAATGTTGAAATCCTGAAAGCCTAATCCTGGGGAGGGAATTAGTGCATTTTCAGTTGTACACAGGATAGTTGCATCTGTTAGGCAGAACTATTACCTTGTTACTGTCTTTATTTGGAAGTTAAGGAGATGTGTATGGGTGCCAGTTGACAAGGGGTGAACTTGTGAACTTAAGTGTCAACTTGGCTGGCTTAAGGAATACCTAGAAACCTGGTAAAGCATTATTTGGGGTTGGGGGTTGTGAGGGTATTTCCAGAGGAGATTAGTATGTGAGTCTGAGTAGTGTACAGGGGAGATCTGCCCTCAATGTTGATGGGCACCATCCAATTGTCCAGAGACCCAGAGAGAACAAATGCAGAAGGTGAACTCTCTATGAGAGCTGGGACAGGCTTCTGCTGCTGCTTTTGGACATCAGAACTCCAGGCTCAACAGCCTTTAAACTACAGGACTTTCACCAGCAGCCCCCTGGGTCCTGAGGCTTTTGGCCTCAGATTGAGAGTTACACCACCCACTTCCCAGGTTCTGAAGCCTTCGGACTTGAATGGAGCCACACTACCAGAATCCCAGTCTCCAGCTTGCAGATAGTCTGTCACACAACTTAGCTACTGTAATCATGTAAGCCAATTATCCTAATCGGTCCCCTCATATATCTATATACATGTCCTATTGATTCTGTCTTTCAGAAGAAATGTGACTAAAATAGATTTGGTATTGGAGAAGCCAAATACAATTCCTTCTTACTATATTCCTTACAACAGAGTGGAAGAGATATGCGAAATTGTTCTCTCACGAAAAGGGGTTGTGATAAGTTATGTGTACAAGGCTACTTAATGGTGAAAGAAGTTCGAAAGTTAATTATTATTGATGCAGCAAAAGCAGAAAATTGCTTATTTCCAATGGCCGAGCAATAACTAGACTTTCAGATGGAGAATATATACTCACCAAATTTCTAGACCACAACCACTCTCCAAATACAAGTACAGTTCACATTTTGAAGATCACAGAAATGAAAACGCAGGCAAAAAACACAAGAAATCTCCCCTGCCAAATTATTTAATCATGTACAACTTCCGCCCCTTCACACATAGTGCCAACTTGCTATGCTATGTATTTCATTTTTGCATCTTTTCCGATACTGGAAGTACAAATTGTATAAAGACTTCTAAAGAGTTCTAATTGGTTTTATGCATTTTTTTTTTTACAAATATGACTCCACAAAAGTGCATTATCACAACACTGACTTTGTGTGTAAGTATTGTGTATGTATGTAAAAATGTTGAAACTTCCACAATAAGTAGAGATGTCATTTTTGTATATCTGCATTTGTGAAACATAAAATATCTCGAGATCTCAATTCTTTGAGTGACTGCATAAAGAGTGGTAACCCGTTGGGGTTTTTGTTTGTTTGTTTGTTTTTTTGAGATGGAGTCTCTCTGTTGCCCAGACTGGAGTGCAGTGGTGCAATGTTGGCTTACTGCAACCTCTGCCCCAGGTTCAAGCGACTCTCTCGTCTCAGCCTCCCAAGTAGCTGGAATTACAGGTGTCTGCCACCATGCCCGGCTAATTTTTGTATTTTTGGTAGAGGCAGGGTTTCACCATGTTGGCCAGGCTGGTCTCGAGCTTGAGGTTTTCGAATGATTTTGTCAAAAGACTTCAGTTGTGCATCAGAGTATTTCCGGTGACTGCAGTTACAAACCTGGGAGCCCACAACCACCAGTCATAGTGATAAGCATTTATACATATTGTTTTGAGGGCTATTTGTTTATGAATACAGTTCATCTGCTCATAATTGTTAGATTGTGGCTGTTGTTAGTATACCTGTTTATGATTGCAAAAATATGTACATTACTTTGCCTATTTTATTGTGTAAAGTGATCTATGAAGTGCTCTGCTGTGTTTTTATGTTTCTCAAGTAAATTGCCTTTTAAAATGTAAATAAACATCTTTTAAAGAACATTTTATTATTTTTCTAGAATTACATTTTTGAGATTTCAGAATTGTGATTTTGAGGATTTTAGACTTTAGATATTTTAATCTTTCAGGATTTCGGCAATTACAATTATGCTATTCGGGATTTGGTCTTTCAGGGTGATGGCCCAAACCCCTCAAGGACACTTGACGGGGAAAGAAATAGCTAATCCCTTAAGTTTATATACTGGGGGAGAAAACCCTATAAAATTCACATCGGTCTATAGTTTAAGTTAGTAATATTGTGCCAATGTCAATTTTCTGGTTTTAATATCATACTATGGTTATGTGAGATGTTATCAACTAGAGCACCAGGTCAAAAAAGGTACACAGAACTCTCTAAACTGTTTTTGCAACTTCTTGGAAGTGTAAAATTATTTCAAAACTATTTTTTAATAATCAATAGCAGTAACATCTCTATTTAAATAATGCAAATTCCTGGATTCACTTTACAGCTGCTTTTGTGTTCATTTGAAAGGAATTAAAAGGAGAAAGGGGCAGGATTCACTTAAATTCAGCACAACCCACTTTTCTGTCTGTAGCATTTGGTGACTAATATATATCATTCATCCTGTGCATTTTAGGGTATATATTCCTAAGGCTGGTGACTTTTTCCTGGTTCTTTTTCTAGTTCTGTAATAATCAAAGGGACACTTTTTATACTTCTCTAATAATCAACGAAAAAATGTCCATGGTGACAGTTTGCCAACATAGCATCTAGATCACCCACCTCACTCAAATTACTAAATTTTCTCAAACAAATACAGTTGTCGATCTCAACTCTTCCCCTTCTTTCTCAGTCGAAGGCACTGAGAACCACCAAGGACAAACAATGTAGAAGATCCAGGTAATAGCCATCATAGCACTGCACATTCTGTACTGAGAAGACAAACAACAGCACCCCTTGGCAACAAATATTCCCCCACTTCTCTTTCTAACACCAGAGACTGTGATGGGGGATACATGTACAAGTGAAAAAAAAATCATTTAAAAAGCCCCAAAGGACTTCTGACTCTAGGTTATTTCAGGTTAAAGAAAGAACTTTGGATAACTGAAGGCTTTTTCCTTCCTTGGACTCATGTTAACTTCAGGGAGGCCTTAGACTCTGAAAAGCTAAGAGGTAGGAAGTGGGGAAGAACAGAAGAGAGGAAGAGTGAACAAGTCTTTGAGGCTTCTTTCTAGATATCAGGAGAAGAGAAAAGGTGATCTCTTTGTCTAACTTGGCCATTCAGTTTTCTCTAATAAAAGGAGGCAGGGAACTGTAAAAGGAGCTTTGTCTAGAAATAAATAGTATATATTTGGCTGAATTTCACAGGAATTTCCATGTGGGATGAAACCAGAGGAAAAAACTTCCAACATTACAGGCTAGTATGGTTATGACTGAGAAAATAACATGACCTTTCTTGTTTTGATTGAACTTCATTTCCAGAAATTAAATTTTTATATCCACGAACATTCAAAGTAGAATTGTAACAAAACTAAGCAAGATGTTGTCTAATATAGAAAAGCTACTTAATCACAATAAATCACTTGAGGAATTTGTAAATAACTTTTTAATGATCAGAAAATAACATTCAAAATAAAATAATGTAAGTTCCTAATCACAGTCCACAATCAAACATATTTTTCAAATGGTATCGTCTACCATTTCTTGGGTAGGGCATATAGTAATAGGGGCAAGTGAGTACTTCTAAACACAATATACATATAGAATAATTACCACATATAAGCATTAGAATACTTTTTTTTTTTTTTGAGACACCTAGGCTGTCACCTAGGCTGTCACCTAGGCTGGAATGCAGTGGCATGATCCCAGCTCCCTGCAACCTCCACCTCCCAGCTTCAAGTGATTCTTGTGCCTCAGCCACCCAAATAGCTGGAACTACAGCATGCACCACCACACCAGGCTAATTTTGTATTTAACTCCTGACCTCAAGCAATCTGCCTCTCTCAGCCTCCCAAAGTGTTGGGATTACAGGCGTGAGCCATCATACCCAGCCTACTTTTTAAAAGATAAAGGCCCTATAAGCTTTACATCAAAGCTGAATGACCATACAATTTGATCCATCTTTTAAAAGCATTAATTTATAGCTCTGAAATAAATATCAGTAACATCTTTGGCATAACTCTATAGAAAGAATAAATGTATAATAATGAAACTACTCAGTAAATCTCTGAATAGTCTAATGATCTTTTCACTTGGCTTATGTAAGAAAGAAGTATTGTTTAAATCAATGACCTAGAGTACCAGTGCAAATTCATCTTGTGGAATACATTTAGCCTTTTAAATGAATTTTAATTATCAGTGAACACAATTGTTTACACTAGTTTTCTTGTTCAATCCTACTCAGATGTAACGTTTTTTCGTATGATTTAAACACCATACTACCTCAAGCTGTTTCAATAGAACAGATGGGTGCATTTAACATTCTGGTTAAAAAATAAGCACATAAGGTTAAACTATACTATGTACCTATCACAAAAGAATACAATCAGACAAATCGAACCACTAAAAAATGCTAGCTTCTCTACTACCAAATAGGAGTCACCTGGTAAAACCAAAGGGGGAGTGAGTGACAACAGTTTGAGATAGCAAGAGCCAGGAACTGAAAGATCCACATCCTCAACATCTTCATCGTCATCTAACTCTTCAGGAATGGGAATTTCTGGTCTTATCTGAAATGATAAGCGAAAAGATCATAGAGAGGATAATAATAAAACATTATGCAAAATCTTTTCTGTATCCTTTTTTGTGACAAGATTTTAAAATTTTGTTAGACTCCATCACTCTATAACATAAAAGACCACTGAAATTAATTTTTTAAAAATCTATTCATTTTTTAGATTAACTAAATGGTCATGACTCTAGTCATCTTATTAGATACAATCTCAGATCTGTATAAAAAGCTTATGTTAATACAGTAAATCACTGTAAGCCAGTATAAGCAATGATTATTATAGAAAACTAATAAAATTCTATACCATCCAAAAATAAAATGCAAACACTGACATACTCAATATATTTAACTTCTATAGCTCATAGTTAGATATTTGCCTTGTCTGAACACTTTTTAAAAAATTTGTGATTCTAGTCATATGTCCATGACAGAGCTTAAAATCTTCCAGTAGAATATACAGTAGAGCTCAGGGAACAACAGAATGCTTTAGTTGACTTCTTTTTTTTTAAGACTTGGCAGTTTGTTGCTGTGGAATACAAAAACACTAAAATCTGTAATTGGTAGCTGTACATTATTGTGTCTAATTTGCATTTTGAGGATTTTTGTGGCTGCTCTTTGATTAGTTAGGTTTGTTTGAACCAAAAATTAAAAATGTAAAAAGATTTCCACATTGTTTTCACAAGATATAACTGTTAAGCAATTAATTACATTTTTAATACCTTCAATGACACTCTATCATAATGTCCACATGGAGATAATTAAGCATTAGGGGAGGAAATCAAAATATATAAAAGTGGTTTCTATAACCATAAAGTGCCAGAATCCAGTCATCACCATTAGCCTGTATCCCAGAGTTATTTTTAGAAATAATTAACAATTCCTGCAGACTGCCTTCTTCATAGGTCCCCAAAGCACTGTTCCATTTAGGAAGTGCACTGACTCAGGATTCTTGCAGGGGGGTAGAAGAAACAGAAAAGAAATGCTTCTCTTAAGAATAATAATGTCAACTCCAATGAAGCCTTTCAACCATAACTAGTGTTCTCTTCACTAGTGAAGGAGAAGTGAAAGCAACCTGACTACCCGAGCACTGTCCAAGACAAGATTTAATTCAGATTCAGTATTAAGTACCTAATTCTCAGAGGGCGGAATCAGCCATACTTACAGAGATAACTATCAGGTATACTCTAGATAGGGTATGAAAGCGTCTGTCGAAATCACTGCATATCAGAGAAACTCTGGCATGTTCGCAAACCTTTTGATTCTGACCAGGAGGGTTTTTCAAGTGTCTAGTCTGTGTGCATACTCACAGTCTTCCAGGTTTACTCTCCTTGAGAGTTGTCTTAAAGATTCTAAACAATCCTAGTGGCCTAAAAAGTCCTGAGAAAGAAGTTGGTTCTGAGTTCTTCTGCCTTGCTTCCTGACATTTTACACATCATAGTAACGTGGCAAAACAAAAAAATAGAGTTACTACATGGCCTAGGAGTTTCACTCCTAGGTATATAACCAAGAGAAATGAAAATATATGATCATGCAAAAGCTTGCATACAAATGTTCATAGAATTATTATTTATAATAGCCTCAAAACATTCATGCAGCCCAAACGTTCATCAATTGATGGAATATATAAACAAAATATAGTATAAATCCATACCATGAAATATTATCCAGCCATAAAAAGGAATAAAGTACAAATACATGCTACACATGAAAGAATCTTGAAAACACTAAGATAAGTGAAGAAAGCCCATCACAAAAGACCACATCCTGTATGCTTCCATTTATAGGAAAGGTCCAGAATAAGCAAACTTACAGAGGCAGAAAGCAGATTAGTGGTTGCTTAGGTCTTGGAGAGGGAATGGAGTAATGGAGACTGACTGCTGAGAGAGTTTCTTTCAGGGGGGAAAATGTTCTAAAATTAGATTGTGGTTGCTCTGTGATTAGTTGCACAATTGTTTCAATATACTAAAACCACTAAATTGCATACTTTAAAGGGTAAGTTGTACAGTATATGAATCATATGTCAATAAAGCAAGCAAGCAAGCAAGAAAGAAAAGAAAAGAGAAAAGAAAGGAAGGAAGGAAGGAGCTATGGAGGGAGAGAGGGAGGGAGGAAGGTATGTAGGCATGCAGAAGAGGAGGAGGGGGAGGGGAAGAGGAGGGGAGTAGAATGAAAAGAGTAAGGGGGGGTGGGGAGTCGGGGAAAAGTCACTGCCACCACCAGAGGAACCTTAAAGTGCTGTGCAAACTATGTCAAATGACCAAATGCTTCCAGAATTATTTAGTATAAAAGGGATATGATCATTTCTGTACAACTTTTATCCTATCCTCCTATCCTGTCCTTCTGTGCAGTCAACCTAATTACTTAATACAAGTCACTGCACCTGGGTCATCAATATTTTTAAGAGCCACTAAAGAAAGATTGCGGATAAAGCAAACTGACCAACCCATCAATCTTAAATTGTCTAATTTCATATTCACGTAACTGTGTGCTATATTAATTTATCTTCTATGCAGTGAATAGCATATGTCTGCATCTCAAATGTGCATAAATTTTAGCAAAGAAATTACAAATGTATTATAATTTAAGAATAGATTATATACTATATGTATTTATAATGGTATGATCACTCCTTCAATTTTGTTTTCTAATAGGTGAGCTGATTCTCCTGGACAAATTAGCACTTATTATTTATTACATTTTGGTTCCATTAAATTTCCTTTCTCCTCTGATCACTTCTTTTTTTTTTAATTTTTTTTATTTTATTATTATTATTATACTTTAAGTTTTAGGGTACATGTGCACAATGTGCAGGTTAGTTACATATGTATACATGTGCCATGCTGGTGTGCTGCACCCATTAACTCGTCATTTAGCATTAGGTATATCTCCTAATGCTACCCCTCCCCCCACCCCCCACCCCACAACAGTCCCCAGAGTGTGATGTTCTCCTTCCTGTGTCCACGTGTTCTCATTGTTCAATTCCCACCTATGAGTGAGAACATGCGGTGTTTGGTTTTTTTTTTTAAATTTTTTATTTCCATAGGTTATTTGGGAACAGGTGGTGTTTGGTTACATGAGTAAGTTCTTTACTCCTCTGGTCACTTCTTAAAAGAATTATTTGTTCTACCTTCCCTAGGCTACTACCAGTCTTTCCCCCTGGTTGTGTGCAACAATTTAATAAGGTCAATGCGAGTAAAACTATAGAGAATCAAGAGAACTCAGTTGAAAGAATTCCTGTTAAGGTTATAAAATTTTGGCAATAATATTATATTAGCTGCTAAAACACTCAGAAAAATAAAACTGCATATGTATCTATTAGGTTGGCGCAAAAGAAAAAAACTGCAATTACTTTTGTGCCAACCTACTAAAACACACACACACCCCACCAACAAAAACGACCTGCCTATTATAACTAAGCTTTGTTAAAAAACTTAAATGGAAAGTCAAAAATGATAATTTACTTTGTTTTTTTTTTGAGACAGAGTCTTGCTCTGTTGCCTGGGCTGGAGTGTAGTGGCATGCTCTCAGCTCACTGCAACCTCCACCTCCAGGGTTCAAGCAATTCTCCTACCTCAGCCTCCCGAGTAGCTGGGATTACAGGCCCCGCACCACCACTCCCGGCTAGTTCTTGTATTTTTAGTTGAGAGGGGGTTTCACCTTGCTGGCCAGGCTGGTCTCAAACTCCTGACCTCTAGTGATCTGCCTGCCTTGGCCTCCCAAAGTGCTGGGATTACAGGTGTAAGCCACCACACTCAGCTGATAATTTACTTTTAAAACTTGCTTCAAATTGAATATAGATACTCCTTGATTCATGATGGGGGTTATGTCCCAATAAACCCATCGTAGGTTGAAAATGTCAGAAGACAAAAATACATTTAACACACTTAACCTATCAAACATCATAGCTTAGCCTAACATACCTTAAGTGTGCTCAGAACACTTACATTAGCCTACAGATGGGCAGAAACATCTGGTAACACAGAACACTATAGAATATCAGTTGTTTACCCTTGTGATTCAGTGTGATTGGGAGCTGCGATCTGATGCTGTTGCCTAGCATCACAAGAGAGTGGTTTACCACATATCTTAGCCTAGCCTGAGAAAAGATCAAAATTCAAAATTCGAAGTACCATTTCTACCTAATATGTATCACTTTTGCACCATCATAAAGTTGAAAAATCGTTAAGTCCAACCATCGTAGTTGGGGACCATCTGTACTGGAAAGTGTATCCCACAAAATGCCTCACTGTGGGTTCTGAGCCGGATAACCTTTCAATCAACTTTCTGTGTCTGTAACCTATGGAAATCCAAGAGTTTGTGCATAAACAGAGAATTTTATTTGGAACATGTCAAGTATCTGCATAAATTATTCAGTTAAAAAGAGAAACAGCTTCTGATGAATGCAGTGACATTCACTTTAAATCAAAGCCAAACGGGTTACACCATATTTATACCAACCCTGAATGCATAATCAGTTCTTTTATATTATTTCTAAAATTAACCCTAGAAATCAAGAAAACAAGTTTAATTTTTAAATAGGTGAATGTTTTTTAATGAAACCAAGTCAGAGAGAAAAGTCAGTATCTTCTACCTAAATGTTTATCCATTACTGATTCTTTTAACAAGGAAACTTCTCCATAGTTTTTTTGTTTGTTTTTTCTTTTGGGGAGGTGTGCTAAAGAAGACAGGGGAAGTGTAACTAGCTTTTATAAAATCAGAAAAAATAAAAGCTAAAAGGGAAAAATCATTCTTATCTATCTTTCAACATGACAATCAACATGTCCTCAAAGAAGTCCCCTGAAATTTTGGAACCAATTTTAGATCTGTGTGCTTTAAGTGATTAACAATGATCCTGTTACAAACCAACAAAATATATGCATTCAGTCAACATCCTCAGCTCTTCAGATCGGACCTAGCACTTAGTATATACCAAATAAATTATTATTAAACCAATGCAAGTATTACATGTCCATCACCTCTAATCCCACAGAAATTCTTAATAACAAATGACAAGAAAGATGAATTCATCAACATGGTATTCAAATTCTTAACTCATATTATTGTATCTCATTCAGCTCTACCATCTATCCAGTACATTACCTTAAATGTACTGTTTCATTCAACCCTAAATCTTTGTTCTGATATCTGCCAATCCTCTTACTCTTTTTGTTCTACCAGTCTGTTAACTTTCAACAAGTTATACAACATAAATTGATGTTCAGCAATCAACAAGAAATATTTAAGTAAATTTAAAGAAAATCAGTACTTTAAAAAGTAGCTGAATTATAATTCACAAAGTAGCCACATTTGTAAGGATATCTTATATATATATATTTTTTAGCTCTACTTGAAATTCACAATGGGCTCAAAAGTTTATTCCACCGGTTTCCATAGGTAAGAAGAGAGAATATGGACACACTTTCACTGGAAAAATAGGTAACCTTAAGTCTTGTGTGTAAACCAATTGCCCTTAGTGCAGAGTAATGTCTGTCAACAAAGAAGAATCTTAGTTTTTACATTACAGAAGTCTCACTTGACAGGAACTTCCAAAACATTTGAAAATACATTTTTATAGAAAAATGAGCTGCAGTTTCACATCACTGTTTTATAGTGTCACATCTACAAAACTAAGGTGAAGCACCGACCAGGCTGTATGTTTGGGAACTTGTTTGGGATATGAACACATTGAACACTTTCTGGACTTTTAGTCTTTAGGTGTTCGAACAGCCAAACTGAAATGTAGCAATCAATGAAAAGAAGAAGAATGCATGGTGTGGTCTTAGAAGCAATGATTCTCCATAAAGAGATAGGTCCTCAGTATCAGAAGCTGGGGTCAGAGTGAGGAAGACTCTTTCAAACCACTTACACCCCTCATCTCAACCTCAGTTCAGAATATCCACTGCAGTGAGCTATTGTTACTTTTTGGAATGGGTCATATCCCAGAAGGGGATTAGGGCAAGAAAAAAAAAAAGCTGAAAAGCATAGCTACAAAAGGATACGCCTTATAGCTTTCCTTTATAGCTCTTTCCACTCTGATGCTGAAAACCCAAACATATATAGAAAACCCCAACTCTAAGTACGTTTACCATTTATGTTGGAAGATATAAAGAGCTATTTATGGCTATTCAGGGATCAAAGAGTTTAGAAGAGTTAGATTAAGGAAGTAGCTAACACTTGGCTGAGTATAGCACTTATAAATTCTTGCAAACATAATTGGAAATTGAATATAAATCCAAAATCAGAAAAAAAATATAAGCATGTCAATATTTTAAAAAGTAGAGACTAAATGTCAAGAGTATGCTGGAGTTATTTAATAAAAGCTATTACTCAAGCTGGAATATTTTAGGAATGAAAGGTAAAAATAAGGGTAATTTTTATGCTGTGATTTAAATGAATAATTGCCTATTAAAAACAAGAATAAAAGGTGCCTCTCCAGATGCTGTAGCTAATCTATTGGCAGGTGTTTGCATATGAAATTTACATGTAGCTTTTTTCCTTTTTCTTTCCTGTTTTAAAGCAACAATGGGTATTGCTGGTCATCATAATGCAGTCTGAAGTCCCATCTTTTTTAATTGTATGAGTCATAACACATCTTTACCTAAGTTTTCCCATTTGTGATCACTGCATGACAAGCGGTCAATCTATCTTTGTAAGTCCTCAATGACACAGGAAATCCTGCCTGCCTTAGGAATTGGTTTTACAACAGCCTATTTTCAATCCTTTTTATATCGTGGCTCCAATTCAATTCAGTAAACAGAAATTTGCCTGGTTCCTACTGGCATCTAATCTCAGTATAAACGCAATCCAGAAGAAAAAGGCAAACCCATTTTAATGCCTGAGGATCCCAAGGAATTCACACCAAACCTTCTTGCCACGTAACTTCAAAGACAGATTCTGAGTAATGTTACACGTAACTTCATCTAACACAATGTCTGCTTGACACTTCAGAGGCACTCAATAAACATCTGTATGCATTTGAATTCATAGTGGCACTAAATAAGAAATCAGATATTTAACCCCTTAATAGGATCTACTAATTTAAAGCTGATTATAATAGGCAGATACTAGAAGAGGTTATATGTTTTTAGTTTAGTCTAAAAACTAAGATAATATACAATCATGTCATCTGCAAACAGGGACAATTTGACTTCCTCTTTTCCTAACTGAATATCACACTATGTGTTAACTCTTAAAAGATAGTGATACTTTCTCCATCCAGTTTTCTGGAGCTACCTATATACCATTCACAGATACTAAAAAAAAGCAGATTTTTTCATATGGCATCCCATTGTTTATCACAAATAGAGATCTTTGGCTGCACAGGTGCTATAAAATCTTAGTCTATGAAGGCCATGCTTGGATTAAAGTCCAGGATGGCATACTAATTAGGCAAAGTGATCCCTATGAGTGACTCAGATCTGGAGCAAGCCATATACCCAGTCACCTTAAGAAGATTTCATTTGCATCATAGGTGTCTTCCATCTGCTTCAAACCTCTACAGTCTTTTACATATAAACAAATAATGGGTATGAATTTGTATCTTGCATGGACAACAGATCTAGGGTTATGTATATATTCATCAGGTAAGTATCTCCTAAGATGAGAGAGAAAAAGTTGTAAACCCTAGCAAATTAAGAAATACCAGTGAGAAAGCAGATATGCCTACCTTTTCAGGCAGATGAAGAATGGTGTGTTCTCCTGCACTAAAGTTGGCCAGGGATCTATATGCAGCATTTGCTACAATTGGGTCCTAGATAGGGTAAAAAAAAAAAAAAAAAAAAAAAAAAAAAGCAAGCAAACAAAAAAACACAACATGCATTAAACATCAAATCTGGAGGGGGAAAGAAACCTTCCCTCACCAATCCCAAAGTTCTACAGTCAGTGCTTTGAAAATGGTATTAAAGCTTTGCCTAGCTAAAAGGATATTTACTAGCAATTTCAAAAGAGAGATCGAGAAATTTAATCCTCGTTTCAAAACAAAATATTGCAAAAAAAAGTGAAAGGGTCTGTGAAGGGAAGTAAGAACAACTGGAAAAAATTATCAGCATTAAACATTTTTCTGGAGAATATGCCCAATTAAAAATGGGCAAGGAGATCAAAAATACTAAATTTTTATCCTAGTTTGAACATTAAATATAAAGTAACTCATAATTGCTCAAGTCTCCATGAAGTAGTATGATTTAGCAGAAGGAGAACAAGGAGTTACTGTCTGATAGGCCTAGGTTTGGATTCCGATTCTCCACCTATTAATAGGGCAAGTTAGCCTTTTTGGAATCTAAGCTCATTCATCCATGAGTTAGGTATAACATCACCAGCAGTCTCTATATATAATCCTTGATTGGAAACAACATCTAAAAAATGGACTGGACTTTTTGTTTGTTTGGTATGCTTGTTGGTGGGGAAGGGGCAAAGCAGGAAAGGGGAAAGACCATATAAAAATATAAGATAATATCAACAGTTCCTCTTCCCATCTGTCAGATTCACCAAGTATTAAGTGCACTTTATGGTAAAAATGTATTAATGGGCATAAATTGAGCATAATTTTTAAAACCAAAACTTATGAATAATCACACTTTTTTTAAAAATTGGGAACCCATTATTTCAAGGCAGTTGTACTTTTTATCCTAAGAGTCTTATTTTACAAATGTCAAAATTATTTCCTTAGCTTTGTTCTGATTCACTGACAAGCCTTGTGATAGTACCTTGTTTTGAGTATGAGTCCAGAGGAAGCTGAGGACTTGAACTTTAAAATTCTGAAAAGTTAACATACAAAAGAATAAATTGTTAAGACCAAGCTAAAACTGAGACTAAATAATCCAAAGTAGCAAATAATGAAAATTAAGTCACTTTTAAAGTAACACCACCAGAAATTCACTTAATGTGTATTCACCCATCATTCATAAAATGTAAATATTCAGAAACAAACTCATCCTCTAAGCACATGGATATTTTAAACACATTAAGATTTTAAGATAATGAAATTTAGAAACCTAACCATTTCTTACTCTTAGTCCCTTCAAGTACTAACAGAAATGTCACTCTTTCATGCCACTGTTCTAGCCTACCCAGAAGAGAGTTTTCCTTTCTCCATGTGGCCATACGGCACATGGTACACCTCCACATCTAGCATGACTAACTCACTCGAGGTTGTACAATACTTAAGGCAGTGACTGCGTTTTTTTCATTTCAAAGACCTAAACCACAGAGCCCACACAGTTCCTCAAAGATGACAAATGTGTAATAAATAATTGATTAAGCATAAAAGCCATTTACCTTCCAACAGTCGGTGGTCTTCTTCATTGCCACCACATCTAACTTTTTGCCCCTCTAAATCATATTAGGTTCCTCTATACCTCCTTGCCTTTGCATATTCTAGTCCCCAAACTTCAATGGGAAGCAACAGTATATTAATTCTTCCAGTTCCAAGTCCAATAGCACAAATAATTTCCTTGGATTCTTGCTAAGAGTGTTTGTCATTTTCTCTACCACACTCTCATTGCCCTTTAATTAACTGTGCTCATCAAATGTTACTATAATTATCATCACTCACATCTATCTCCTTTACCTACCTTTGAGCTTCTAGAAGGCAGGGACTGATAACATGGTATAATGCGAAAACAAAGGATATGAAACTAGAAAGTCCTGGATTCAGACATCAGCTTTCACTTAGCTTTTTAACTACAGTCTTGGTCAAGTTACTTGCCTAGAACATAGCAGATACTCATAAATATTTGTCAAATAAATAGGCCTCTCAAAGGTTTAGTTTCTGTAACAATACAATAAAAAATGATACCTTCCTATCAGAGATTAGAACTAATTGGTATAAACTAGTAAGAGTGATGGGGATTGAATAGGTACTCAAAAATAGGGTTGACTATATTTATTAGTATCTCTAAGACCTAGCGCAGTTTTAATAAATATATTCTGATTCAATGAATAAGTGAAGCAAGCACTGTGCAAAGCAATTCAGAAAATACACTATAATTAAATCATGGACTCCATTTTCAATAAGCCTATAGTTGAATGGGGAAAATAATATATGCATACATATACCTGTAGTATAAAATAGAATAAACGTTCTTAGAACAGTATAAAGAACTTTGGGAACAAAAGACTCCAGCTTGCAGACAAACTCTCAAAGGATGGGATGAGTTAAAACAATCCTTTTCTTCCTAAAATATATTTTTAAATTAAAGAGGAAAAAGAAAGTAATTTTAGATAGAGGGAATAATATGAACAAAGGAAAAGAAATGGAAAAGTTTGGAGGAAGGAAAAGTTTGAAGGACACTGTAAGTGGTTTGGTTTTATTGGAGTGCAGCATACAGACCACTAATGAGGCCAGATTCCAGAATGCTTTATGGACTTGTTGTAAACAGGTTGGACTACATTTTAGGGAAACTTAAGCTAATGAAGTTACTAGGGATAGAAATGACTTAAGAAGCACTCTGGGAAAAATTAAATTCAACTTTGGCTCACATCCAGACAAATTCTAAGTAGTTAAAAAACCAATTATCTAAACACACACAGATGAAAGTGGGAGGAGGAAGGAGGGTCTCTCCCTTCTACATTTCTTCACTTCTGCTTTTAAGGGGACTATGTTCACTGAAGAGACTCCCCCTAACTGGGCAGGAAGAGATAGAGAGAACGGCCCCAAAGCAGTCCGTCTGAACAACAGAGGAACCCTAGTATAAGATACCAAAGGAAAAGAATGTAAAATCTGGAAGAAAAAAAAATCTGGTCCAAAAGATAATTCACAACCATGGATAAGCCAACACAAAAAACCAACACACCAGCCAATTCATAAATTAACCTGTAATAAAATCTGATTAACTCAAGGTACAAGCAATACAAAAGATATATGATTTTAGCCTCTGAAGACAGAAAGTAAATATACCCAATATGGCCTTACATTGGCTTTTAGTCTTAGCTCATTATCAGTAGCCCTGTGGACTCTCTGACAATATAAGAGCAAGTGCCTGTGAACTGCAGCCATAAGAAAGAATGTTGGTGAACTGTATACTCACAGTCACAAATTGATTCTTTTTTTAAGACCCTAAAAAAAGGCTACATGTAAGAATAAACTAAAATATTCTGTATCGATTCAATCATTCATTCAACAACTACTTACTACATATAGATTATGCACCAGGTACTGTGATAGGTATTGTATAGCCCAGTAAGGATAAATTTGATTTTATTCATTGTGCAGCATTTAGAATGAGTTGAAGTATCTTCTAAGCCTGTCTCAGTCAGATGATCTAAAACATATAAAGGACTATTATTGGAATCTGATGGCTGGAGTGGCAGTTTATCAAAGTCTGTGAAGGACTAAATCAAACTAGAAGTTTACCAAGACTGCAAGTGAAAATCAACTGCTGCTCTTTGAAGGAAAAGGAAAAATGGTAAGCATGAAAAAAAAAAAGTATGGCTTACAAATGTAGAGGCATAAATGTAATTCACTACCCTCTCATGCATTTCACTCAAAGAAGAGATAATTAAGAAAATATTAAGCAGTAATATATGAATCTTACAAAAAAGAATCTTCCACCAAGTATTTCAACTCATTACAATGACAAACACTGAGTAATTCACAAAGTTTGGAGAGTCTGTCCTGCCTTTATTAATGTCTTTGTGGCTTATTTTTTAGAACTTAAAACATTAACAAAATGATTTTTAATGGTTGGCTTTATGAATTCTATTATTTTGGAAACACTAGTTTTACAATATTGACTTTAAAATCTTGACAATACTCTCATAATTAAAAGTTGGTATCCTTTATGTAAATACATTTTAGACATAAGATTGATGAGGAGCTATCTTACTCCTAAGAGTCCATAAACATATCAACATGGTCTCAGAACAACAACAACAACAACAACAGATTAGGAATATTTATTCCAAAAGTTATTATAACACACATCTTTCCCATGAAGAAGCAGGCAATGTGCTGAGCTCCAAATGCATACCTCATATTCAGTTGTATTGACCGTTAAGGAAGGAACTAGAGAAAATAGTTCACTCAGTGTCTTCAGAATGAGAGGTCTTGTGTCACAACTCAGCTTTGGAGAGAGAGCATTCCAAGTGGAGCGAATGCAAACAACCTGTGAAGCAAATAGAAAAGGTCAACACCTAACAAGACTCCAACCTATATGAAGCCATTAATTAAGAGTACTATATTTTATTATAAGGAAACTTAAGAAACAAATAAGACTATGCCTAGAAGATAGGACTTAATAAGGTACCACCCCTCAAATGAAATAACTTAAACCAGTGTAAACTGTTGAAGTTATGCCTGCCTCACACAATTGCTTTTTTACTACTTCGTTTTTAGTTAACCAAGTAAATAACTCTCTCCTAAGCACACAAGCTCTCACTCCCACCGACACACACAAAATTAACTCCAGATTATCTAGCTATATGCATTGTTGAAGAATCAGCCCCTGAAACAAAGCAGGTAAGATAATGCTAGCCCATTTCTAAAGCCAGGTATCCACATTTTTTAGTTTTTCAGCCCTGTTGAAACAATATCACCACTCAGAAAATTGGAGTATTAATATATATAAATCAAACATTCTCAAATCACCTTACAAGCTTTTCAGAGGTAGGAGAATAACTACAGTATTTAACATAATAATTTAAGATGTCTTAAAAGTTAATTCCGGTTTTTTAAGAGGTCATTAATGATAAAATAAATCTAAAGCCCAGCAAAAATGTTGTATCATTTCTAACTTGACCCAATTTTCTTAAACCAAGTGTTCTTCATTCAATATCTGGTTTTATGGGTAGTCAAATATCTTCTTAAGTTCAATTCCAGCTAACACTGATGATTTTTTCACTGATAGATGTTTTATGAAAATGTTAAGACTCAGATAGGAAGAATGCAAACACAGATCAATTAGATAGTCTTTAATAAGAATTAATCTTTCTAAAATATTCCAATCTCTTCTTTTAAGCTGTAATTAACACATACAATTTATCTCTACCTACAAATATAAATTATTTAGAAAAACTACATAAGGTAGTAAATGAAAAATGTCAAAGATAAATGAGTAATATATACTTAAGGAGACAGATTAAGAAGAGGCTCAAAGGAAAGACAGTAGACAGAGTATTTCTGAGAAAACTTGGATTCAGTGCATTTGCTCTTACTTTATACTTCCTGTGAAACAGTAGAATAATAAATGCTCTTTGATTTGGGATCCCCTACATGATTTGGGTTCAACTAACCTTTCCTAAGGGCAGTATTGTAGACCAGGCATGACAGTAGGCACATTTACACAAAGAAGTAACTCTGATATTATAAATCATCAGCATTTGAAATAAAACCCAAACCAATTCTCTAAAAGCTATCAATTCAGCACAACTGCATACCCAGAGTGGTACATAATACTCACAGAAACAACAAAATATAAAGATGATCTAATCCTTCAAAAACTTGACACCTTATTGTAAAGGAAGAAAAAGATACATCACTCTAAATTATTGGAAACAAAAAGGTATATGATATGACTTTAAACTATTTCAACAGAAAATAGTTTCAAGAGGAATCTATGGAGGATAATAAGTCAATGGGTAGGAGTCATCAGGGAAGGTATCAAGAGATGATAAGACCTGAGAAGAGATTTGAAGAAAGAATGAACAGAAATCACACAGCCATGCCACAAGAAAATGGAAAGCAAAAGTCAAACAAAAAACAACATGTTATAGGTACAAAAAGCACAAGTATTGGTGGGGAAAGGCTGGTAGATCACAGCATACTTAGAATATCAAAGCAGTTGGAACCAAATCTAAAAGAAAAGGTAGGCTTTAGAGATTTCAAGTTAAGAAATACAAAACAATTTAAAAGCTATTCTTAAAAGATTCATTTGGGCCTGGCGTGGTGGCTCACGCCTGTAATCCCAGCACTTTGGGAGGCCGAGGTGGGTGGATCACTTAAGGTCAGGAGTTCGAGACCAGCCTGGCCAACACAGTGAAACCCTGTCTCTACTAAAAGTATAAAAATTAGCCAGGCGTGGAGGCATATGCCCCAGCCACGCACAAAAATCGCTTGAAACCAGGAGGCGGAGGTTGCAGTGGGCTGGGACAGCGCCTCTGCACTCGAGCCTGGGCTACAGAGTGAGACTCTGTCTCAAAAACAACAACAAAAACAAAACAAAACAAACAAAGAAAACAGTGCATAACAGGGACAAAGGCCAAGAGACTGAGGAACTAATAAGAGAGCTTTGCACTATTCTCAAACAATTAAAGTCTCCTAGGGCAGAAGAAAAGGCCATGACTGTAAGGCTTCCCCAGCCACATGGAACTGTAAGTCCAATTAAACCTCTTTCTTTTGTAAATTGCGCAGTCTTGGGTATGTTTTTATCAGCAGTATGAAAATGGGCTAATACAGAAACGTGACAACGAAATGCAATATGGGATCCTGGAACAGAAAAAGGACATTTTTAAACACACATGTCCATAATTCAGTTAACAGCACTGCACCAATATTAATTTCCTAGTTTCAATAACTGTATTATAGTTATATAAGCAAGATGTTAATATTAGGGGAAGAAGGGTGAAAAAACACGAAATAATGATCTATTTTCTCTTTTAACAACAGCTCTTTTGATATATAATTCAACTACCATACAATTCCTCATGTAAAGTGTACAATTCACTGGTTTTTGGTATACTTACAAAGCCACACAACCATCACATTCAAGTTTGGAACATTTTTATCACCTCCTCCCAAAAAAACTCATAATCATTCATCATTCTTGATTGTCCCCTAAGCTCCTCAAATCTAGGCAACCACAAATCTACTTTCTGTCTCTATAAATTTGCCTATTCCAGGCATTTCCTATAAATAGAATAATATAACATGTGCTCTTTGGTGTCTAGCTTCTATCAGTTATCGTACCTTTTCCAAGGTTCATCGATGTTGTAGTATGTGTTAGTGCTCACTTCTTTTTATATATATATATAATATATATATTATATATATAATACTCCATTCTATATATATATGCTTTAAACTTTTCCATAAGTTTAAATAATTTCAAAATAAATTTTTTTAAAGAATAGAAAAAAAAACACTAGTCAAAAAAGTAATGGCTAAGAATTTCCAAAATTAATAAAAGACATTAATTCTCTAACTTAACTTGTAATACAAATAAGCTTATATCTAAATACATTATAATATGACCATTAAACACCAAAGACAAAACAACAATCTTCAAAGTTAAAGGGAAAAAATACAGACTACCTGCAAAGGAACAATTGAGAATAATATTTTCTTTCTTTCTTTTTTTTTTTTTTGAGATGGAGTTTCACTCTTGTTGCCTGACTGGAATTCAGTGGTGCAATCTTGGCTCACTGCAACCTCCACCTCCCAGGTTCAAGCAATTCTCCTGCCTCAGCCTCCCAAGTAGCTGGAATTACAGGCATGCACCACCACACCCAGATAATGTTTTTTTAATTTGGATTTAGTAGAGACGGGGTTTCACCATGTTAGTCAGACTCATCTCAAACTCCTGACCTCAGGTGACCCACCCACGTCGGCCTCCCGAAGTGCTGGGATTACAGGCATGAGCCACCATGCCCAGCCAACATTTTTAAAATTAAGACAAAGAGACCATACAATAAGATCTTAAAAGTGCTGAGGAGCAAATGAAATATTCTCAAGGACAGACTATATGATAGACCACAAAACAAGTCTAAAAAAATTTATAAAAATGGAAATCATATCAAGTATCTTTCCTGACCACAATGGAATAAAACTAGAAATCAGTAACAGGAAGAATTTTGGAAACTATACAAACATATGGAAATTAAACAACATGCTCCTGAAAGACCAGTCAATGAAGAAATTAAAAAGCAAAGTGAAAAATTCCTTGAAACAAATGAAGAACACAAACATACCAAAACATATGGGATACAGCAAAAGCAGTACTAAGAGGAAAGTTGATACCAATAAAGTGCTTACATCAATAAAGTAGAAAAACTTCAAACAAACCACCTAACAATACATCTTAAATAACTAGAAAAGAGCAAATCAAACCCAAAATTAGTAGAACAAAAGAAATAAAGATCAGAGCAGAAATAAACGAACACTGAAAAGCAACAAAAAGATTAATGAAATGAAAAGTTGGTTTCTTGAAAAGATGAGTAAAATCAACAAACCTTTGGCCAGACTAAGAAAAAAAGAGAGAACATTCAAATAAATAAAATCAGAGATGAAAAAGGGGACATTACAAAAAACATTCACAAAATACAATACCACAAAAATTCAAAGGATCATTAGAGAAGATTATGAGCAACTATCGACAATAAATTGGAAAACCCAGAAGAAACAGATAAATTCTTAGACACATATGGCCTACCAAGATTTAATGAAAAAAAGAAATCCAAAGCCTTAATCGGCCAATAAAAAGTAGTGAGATTGCAGCCATAACAAAGTTTCCCATCAATAAAAGCCAATAATCTGATGGCTTCATTGCTGATTTCTACCAAACATTTAAAGAAGAACTAATATCGATCCTACTCAAATTATTCCAAAAAATAGAAGAGGAGGAAATACTTCCAAATTCATTCTATGAGGCCATTATCACCCTGATACCAAAACCAGACAAAGATATAACAAAAAAAAGAGAACTACAGGCCAATATCTCTGACAAACATAGATGTGAAACGTCAACAAAATGCCACCACAACAAATTCAACAATACATTAAAAAGATTGTTTCTCGTGATCAAGTAGGATTCATCCCAGGGATGCAAGGATGGTTCAACATATGCAAATCAATCAATGCAATATGTTATATCAGAATGAAGGACAAAGACCATATGATCATTTCAACTGATGCTGAAAAAGAACTCAATAAAATTCAACATCACTTCATGATAAAAAAAAAAACTCAAAAAAAAAAAAACTGGGTATAGAAAGAACATACCTTAACACAATAAAAGCCATATAAGACAGATCAACAGCTAGTAGAATACTGAATGGGGAAAACTGAAAGTTTTTCCATTAAGATATGGAACAAGACAAGAATACCCACATTCACCATTATTCAACATAATACAGAAAATCCTAGCTACAGCAATCAAGCAAAAGAAAGAAAGGGCATCCCAATAGGAAAAAAATAAGTAAAATTATTTTTCTTTCCAAATGATATGATCTCATATTTAGAAAAACCTAGAGACTCTACCAAAACAAAATTAGGACCATTAAACTCAGGAAAGTCACAGAATACAAAATTAACATTCAAAAATCAGTAGCATTTCTATATGCCAACAATGGACAATCTGAAAAAGAAACCAAGAAAGGAATTCCATTTACAATATCTACACATAAAATAAAATACATAGGAATAAACTTAACCAAAGAAATGAGAGATCTCTACAATGAAAACTATGAAACATTGATGAAGGAAAATGAAGAGGACACACAGAAAAAACAAATTGAAAGATATTCCATGTTCATAAATTGGAAGAATCAATATTGTTAAAATGTCCACATTACTTAAAGCAATCTATAGATTCAATGCAATCCCTATCAAAATAACAATTACATTCTTCACAGAAACAGAAAACATAATGCTAAAATTTATACAGAAACATAAAGACCCAGTATAAGGAAAACCATCCTGAGTAAAAACAACAAAATTGCAGGAATCACATTATCTGATTTCAAGTTATACTACTAGAGCTATAGTAACCAAAACAGCATGGTATTGGCATAAAAACAGACACATAGACCAATAGAACAGAATAGAGAATGCAGAAATAAATCCACATATCTGCAGTGAACTCATTTTTGACAAAGGTGCCAAGAACATACACTGGGAAAGGACAGTCTTCAATAAATGGGTCTGGGAAAACTGGATAACCATATGCAGAAGAATGAAACTTGACCCCTATCTCTCACCATACATAAAAATCAAATCAAAATGGATTAAAGACTTAAATCTAACACCTGAAAGGATGAAACTACTATAAGAAAACATTGGGGAAACATTCTAGGACATAAGTCTGGACAAAGATTTCTTGAGTAATACCTCCAAAGTACAGACAATCAAAGCAAAAATGGACAAACAGGATCACACATCAAACTAAAAAGCTCTGCACAGCAAAGGAAACAATCAACAAAGCGAGGAGACAACCCACAGAATAAGAGAAAATATTTGCAAACTATAAATTTGACAAGGAATTAATAACTAGAATAAAAATGGAGCTCAAACAACTCAATAAGAAATAATCTAACAATCCACTCAAAAAATGGGCAAAACATCTGAATAGATATTTATCAATAGAAGACATGAATGGTTAGCAGGTACATGAAAAATGCTCAACGTCATCAGAGAAATGCAAATTAAAACTACAATGAGATATTATCTCACCACAGTTAAAATGCTTTTTATCCAAATGACGGGCAATAATGAATGCTGGTGAGAATGTGGAGAAAGGGGAACCCTCGTACACTGTTGGTAGGAATGTAAATTAGTACAGCCACTATGGAGAAGACTATGGAGTTTTCTCAAAAAAATTAAAAATAGAACTGCCATATGATCCAGCAGTCCCACTGCTGAATATATAAATATATCCAAAAGAAAGGAAATCAGTACATCAAAGAGATATCTGCATTCCCATGTTTACTGCAGCACTATTCACAATAGCCAAGATTTGGAAGCAACCTAAGTGTCCATCAACAGATGAATGAATAAAGAAAATGTGGTATAGACACACAATGGAATATTATTTAACCATAAAAAAGAATGAAATCCTATCATTTGCAACAACATAGATGGAACTGGAGGACATTATGGTAAGTGAAATAAACCAGGAAAAGAAAGACAAATGTTTCATGTTCTCATATGTGGAAGTGTTAAAAAAAAAAAAAAAAAAGAATATAGGGGTAAAATGATGGTTAACAGAGGCTGCAAAGGGTGGCAAGGAGCTGGGGAATACAGCAGAAATGATTAATGGGTACAAAAATACAGTGAGAATAAGGGCTAGCATTTGATAGAATAGAGTGACAACAGTTAACAATAATTTATTTTATATTTTCAAATAACTAAGAGACTATAATTGAAATGTTTCAAACACAGATAAATGATAATGCTTGAGGTGATGGATACCCCAGTTATCCTGATTTGATCATTACACAGTTTGACTATATCAAAACATCACATGTATCCCATAAATATATACAACTATTATGTACTCATAACTAAATTTTTTTAATTTTAAATATTGAAAATGATAAAAATTAAAAAACAATTTACTTATTCAGAGACAAGGAAAAAACACTTAACATGGCTTTCAAGGTTTTTCATGATCTGCCTTCCATCTATTCCTCCAGTCTCATCTCTTCTGCTAGTTCCTTGACATATTTATTTAATAACTATTATTCATATTTAATGTTAGAAAAATAAGGAAAAGGAATATATACATTTTATTTACCCATGTATCACCATTTTAAACCACTATTTCTTATACATGGGAAAGTTTTAATAAATAAATGTAAAATTATAATGATGAAATAACTTTTCCTATGAGAATTTTTACCATATAACTCAATTAAATTTGTTAGACTATAGTTTTTATGGTTTAATGCTTGCATTCTTCCAGATATAACATTTTTTCCTTTTAAATTAAAAAAAGCTGTCTATTGCCATTCTTTGTAAAGCACATTCAAGTTTAACTTAAAATAAATATTAATTTAATTCTGTGAAAATTAGTTGAATTATTAAAAATGCAAATCAATGGGTATGCAGTGGTTTTTAGATTAGGAATTTAAAAAGTGCTAAGGAAACTGCCAGCCTACAATGCTAAATCTACCATTGAATAGTAGGGGCAAAACATGTAATCAATCAATCAATCATGAGGGATAATACCTAGAAATCATCCACATATAGCATACGAATATTTATGTACGAATGACTCAGAATGTTCTGCTTAGTCTGTCTATAAGATACTGAAGAATTCATCTCAGCCTAAGTGTTTATGTTATGCATACTTTGTTGCTGGGGGAGAATGATACTTTTCCCATGTCATTCTTCCGCAAGAATCTTACCAATTTCCCATGTTATTCTTCCACAAGAATCTTACCAACACTAAACAGTACAGATTAAAGAAGACCTTATGCAGTGTGGTAGGCTGGGAAGAGCACGTTTTAAAGTCAGAAATCCAGGTCTCTGATTTGGTAGCTGTGTGACTATGGTGAAGTCATTAATTTCCCTCAAACTCTTTCCCCAGCTGCAAAATGGAAATAATACTAGTAACACCTGCTCTATGTACAGCACAAGGTTACCAGTAAAGCCCATATGGAGACAACTGTACACCTACTTTATACACTGAAAAATATAGTTATTGTTGTTATAACCAACAGAAAAAAAAATAGTGAACCTCAGAAGAATCAGAGCCTTTCCTTCTAATTCCTGTGCTGTAAAAATGACTTTGTTCTTTTGCAGAGGAACAGAGAGCTATCTCCTAATTTTACTTTCAAAAGCTATTTCTAGAAATTCCTGAGAACAGCCTACTCCTTTTGTCCTGATTCTTTACTCCAACAGAGGAAAGCTTTATAAAAAACCTTTAGGCTATGAAAACTGCCTTATTTGCCCTTTTCATAATGAAGGCAAAAGAAACTGCCTTCACAATTAAAGGACTCAAGTCATCATCACGCAGTGAAGCCCTCTTAAGCTAATTCAGCACACACAATTCATAAAACAGGATGCTTCTGTTACCAAAACACAATAACGGGATAAGAGAGATTTTGAAGAGACACAATCAATGGAGCAGAAACAATGAGAAAAATAACATTCTTTCTTATCCTAATAATATAGGGTTAGGGGTTGTTAAGTATTTTAAAAAATGACTAGCACAGGTTTATTTAAGCAATTTCACAGCCTTTTAATGTCTGAGACTAGTTTATTATCAAGGCAGCATTGTAGGGAAAAAAGAAACAAACAGATATAGATATTGAGGTACCTTTTTAAAACTCACTTATAATCTAAATGACAGTAATTCTGATGATTTTCTAACATAGTTGAACAACTTTTGTCCTGTTCATGGCAAAGAATATAGATGAACATATCTAAATCCCAAACTATGCCTTAGAGAATCAAAAATATTTGGACTTGTAGTAAAGCTACTCTCATATTAACAACCCGTAACATCACCATGACATTTCCAAAAGAGGTGTAACAGAGACTTTTTAAATTATTCTGTATTTCTGAAAAACTATTTGGCACTTTGTAGTACATACTTATAATTCTAATATCTGAATAGAACAGGTTTAGAATTGTGTGACACAAGTAAAAACAGAGACATTTATTAAACAGATTGATCTAGACTATGAAGCCACCCAAGAGACTCACTACTCAACAGCCAGAGACGTTAGGTTTCTTTTTTATTCCCCCTAGTGAGAAATTACAGGTGCCTAGGATACTTCCACAAGGAACAGTATCTTCCAATGCAAATTCCATTGATTTCTCTGCAGGAACAGAAAGAATGACACAAAGAACTCCCTATAGGGACATTCACTTTTCAGTTTTGCTAGATTCTGTCTGTATGAGTTATCTATTTTTTGGTGGACATTCTTCCAGGATGAACTAGCAAATTCATAGGAAGAATATGTCAAAAAATTCCTTGACAAGAAAATGATTAGTGCTTTATTCCCCCACAATAATCAGAGGAAATTTTTTTCTAATGGTCACTCCTTCCTCTTTTCTAATAGAGGTTAGACTCCAAGATAATAAAGGAAAATAACAGAAATTAAATCAACATAGCTTAAAACTCAATAAATCGAACTACTGGGAAGTTGTTCAACAGATACAAAATTAAAAGTAAAGCAAATTGAGTATTTACTAGCAAAAAGAATAAAAATATCATCCATCTAAATGTTAAAAAGGGCTAAAGAGGCTGTAAGTGTACTGTAGAAAGAGACTGAGAAATACAGTTTACTGTCATTTCATATTTAAGAATCAATATGCTGTGTATCAAAAAAATTGATGAATTAGGCAGTCAATTCAGAAACACTAAGACCACTTTAGAGAAAAACTTTAAACTTCAAAGATAAAGTTTTTAGGAATACCTCTTGAGTTTAGTCCACTTTACAAAGATAGAATTCCACGAATGCATTTCTAAGTAACCAATGTTGAGAGTTCCTGAAACATAACCTGATTACACGTTCAATGAAAATGATTCTTCTATCCTCCCACCCCCACCCTATGTATCCACAGATCTGGGGATAACAGAACTGATGAATTCTTCATGGATAAACAATAGGGAAAATCAGTCTTTTAAGCCTGAGTGGCTCACACAACTAACTACAACTCCCTAATAACAAGGAACAAACATGCCTGTGGTCCCTTTTCATAGAAACAAACAAGTTCCTTCTTAGGAAAATCAAGACTAAAGACAAAACCTATAATCTACAAGTTCAACAAAGAAAAAGGAAACTTTTTAGTAAAACTTCTTAGGAATTACTTTGCTCTTCAGTGCTAGAAAGCTAGTGATTCACAACAAAAATGGTTCCCCCAAAGCAAGGTTTAAACAAGGATAAACAAGATTTTTCCACCCAAACAAAAGCAGCATCTAGCACAGTGCTTGGCATAAAAAAGCACTCATCTCAAAACAAATTTATAAATACATGGTGGTAACTGACCTATCACCAGCTAGGACAGGGCAGGGCACATTTTCTGTCAAGGGCCAGAGAATTAATATTTTAGGTTTCAAGGGCCACATGGTCACTATTACAACTACTCAGTTCTACCACTGTAGCAAGAAAGCAGCCATGGACAATACATAAACAAATGAGCATGGTTGTGCTCCAATAAAACTTTACTTACAAAAAAAGGTAGTGGGCTGGATTGGAAGAGTCAGCCATGGTTTGCCAACTCCTGAACTAGACTATGTGATTATTAACTGGATACAGCTTAGCAATTAGATTAGACCAATGCTTCTTTAACTTTAATGTACACTTGAATACCCTGTGGTGAAAGGATCTCATCACACTACAGATTCTAACTCAGTAGGTCTAGAGTAGAGCCTGAGATTCTCGTTTCAAGCTGCCAGGTGACACAGAAGCTGCTAGTTATAAAACCATACTTTCAGTTACCAGATATTAGACTTTATTAGTGAATTTACTTTAAAATTTCAAAACGGGTAGGAAATTAGAAATGTGACAGCAATAAGCCCTGGATTTGACTTGAATTGTTCCAATATCAGGAATTCTGATGTGTTGCTGCCATAAAGCAGTCAAATTCACAATGAATTCCAAAGTTTAACCTTCCGCACTGCTCTTCCACTTAAAAGAGGCATGAAGATAAAAGTCAGAACATTTATGCAGATATCTGGTTTTAGAAACAGGGACATCATATTTTCTAATCCCTTTCTTTACAGATAAAGACGCTAGATGGAAAAAAATTTTAATATACCAATGGATCTAAATAATAACACCCCCCCACCCCACGAAAAAAAAAAAACCAAAACTCTTTCATGGTTTTCAACTTTATTTGAAGGTGGTAACTTTTGAAATTATTCCTACAAAATATGCAAAGGAATAAGTTTTCACTAGAGATAGACAAGACAAACCCTGACACTTAAACCAACTTAAGGTTATCTAATATTTTCATAAGACTAATTATTTATCTTCTTTATTGTTCAGTTCAAGAAATGTGAACTGAGCAACTGCTATGTACCAGGTACTAAGCTGGACGCTTTGCAGGAGGAGGTCAGTTGCTAAAACATACTTTCTATCTTCGAGGACCTTAGCATCAGGTAGTAGAGACTGATACATAAACATGCATTACAAAACCTTGTGTTAAGAGAAACTGCAGAAGTTTCATACTAGATATAGAGGGGGAAATTACCTGGTTAAGGAAGAGAGCAGAGATCAGAAAGGAGTTCCTGGAGGAAATAATATTAAAGAGCAATTATGTACCAGATGCTCTGTTGTGTCTTTTTAATTTCCAATTATACCAATTTAAATTGTGCCAATTAAATCATATATGATAAAAGAAAATCAAGTTTAAAGCATAACTGAAGGTAGGAGTCTTTAAATACTTTTTGCTCATGCAACTCCTAAAAAGTTTTGAAAAATCATGTAAATTGGCATTTAAGAAGTATAAAGACTGCAAAAGATTTATTTTCTAACATATGGTAAATACTTCCATTTTAAAATAAAATTGCTATAACATTCTACTAAGTTTATACAATTAGATAAAATGCCATAGCAATTTATATCTACCATCATCCATTTCATAAAATCCACATAAAAAATGCCTCTAACACTCCAAAATTGTATAGATTTTCTTCCTCGACAGTGTATTTCTGTCATGTGACAATCCTGCACTTGTACCTCCTAAATCTATAAAAATAAAAAAATAAAAATAAAATAATACAATGTTTTTGAAAAAGAAATTGTATTTCTATTACAGTTATGCTTCATAATTTTATTCTAATATATTTAATGGTTCAGAGTCTGCTATTGGTCACCTCTCATATGCCTCTATAACAAAAATAACTTTATAAATTAAAATTATTTTTATTTCTTATGACCATAAGACTAAGAGTTTTTTTAAATTTTGAGTTGCATCATTGTTATGATTATTGCTAATATACAATTAATCAAAACATAAATATTACAAATATTGGAAAGTAATCACCAAACATAAAAGGTTTAAAAAATCAGAAATGGTGTGGTCTCAGTAGAAGAGCAAGATGGTTCCTTGATAAAAAATGCTTCCCCAAAAATCAATATTTTGAACTGTCTCTTTGTTCAATGCCCTGAAATTTTTATACCTGAGAGCAATGAACTAAGAAAGATTTACAAGTAGAGATAGGCCTTCTTTTTGCAGAGTAGAAAGGAGGCAATTATGAAAGGATAGCTGGGAAAGGAGAAACAGTTTAATCTAAGGCAGATAAATGTCAGGGAAGAGTACATAGTGAAGTTGAAGATCTGGACATGTAGTTACTAAAACTAACATGGCTGCCTATCCCTTAGAAAGTCTTCAAATACCCCATGTACACGAGTTTGTAAACCATGACGTTAATGATTTTTTTCACTGCAAATTAAAGATGCTAACTCTTTGGACCCAAATCTCTTGAGAGTACAGCAAAACCAAAGCTGTCCTAAGCAAATAATAAAGAGTTCAAAATTAAAACTATATGTAAAAACTCCACAAGTGTAAGTGAGCTATTAATGTTGGTTAAGTTATTCCTAGAAGTCAACATTAAGGTTGACTGACTATATTAGAATACCCCAGAAAAACATCTATAATATAACAATAGTTTAAAAAACAGAAAAAAAAAACCAGAAAAAGTTTCAAGAAGCAGACAGTAACTGTTGGGGGAAAGGAGAGGATAGATGGTTGATTTCCAAAAGAGTCCACATGCTGTGGAAAATATATTTAAAAACAAGAGGAAACAAAGGGCACCAAGAAGAAATGTTAGCAAAGTAGGAGAACCAAGAAAGTAGAGGGTCCTGGAGTCTAGGAAAGGAGGGAGATGTCTATATGGAAAGCTTTTCATGGCTCTTTTCACTCAAGAGAAGTGAAGGAGGTACTGGAAAAGTATATTGGCTTGGCCATTAATAAAATCCTTTTTTATATATTTTTTCCAAATTAAAAACAAAGCACCTTCTGTTTAAACTGCTTGCCTATTATGAACTGAGAGTACAGAGAAGTAATGCCTCTTTTTTCTCAATTCTTTTCAAACCTAATTGTCCATTTCACCAGAAATGCAAATCTACCCAATAATAAAGACACTTGCAAAGATAAAGATACAAAAACATTTATCACAGTGTGATTTATTAAAATAATAATAATAATAATAGAAGCAACTTAAGTATCCCACAACAGGAAATTCATAAACTACAGTACAGCCATGTCTTCATTCAATTAGATGTCAAAAGTGGATTATCAACATGACATAGTGCCCCTGGTAAACTGCTGGCTGAAAAAAACAAGTTGCAAAAGAATGTGTACGGCATGATTCCTTTCTCATTATACATACACCGTGGTTAACCCTGTGGTTTATAGTGATTTTTAACCTTCTTTTCTTCCCCTTACAGGTTTCAGAAAATGATACCCCAAAATGAAGATCTCAGAAGCAGCTCTCTCTGACCTTAGCTTACCCTCTTGTCTCTGACCCTTCCATCTTCCAAGAGGCTAGCCACAGAAACTAGAATCCCATGGAAACCAGAACCCTTTTCCCCAAAGCCAGCAATAAAATCTAAAAATATTACTCTAACCCTCCCCACCACCTTTCTGTGTAAAAACTGGCCATAAAGAAACTACCTGACCTACGTTATTGACTGTAGGCCATGAGACCTCTATTCCAGAGAGGGTCCTGACCCAGACCCAGAAGGAGGGAATGCATGCTTAGAGAGACCAAGAAGAATTTAACTGGACAGGCCTTGCTGCGTTTCCCCACTCAGTCTATTAGCGTCAAATCATGCCCATTTTGTCCAGTCATATTTCTACATGGCCGCCCATACTTTCTTGAAGCTAAGCATACAGACTGTTTCTCCTGTATCTCTGGATCTTCATCTGAAGGATTCCATACCATGTAAAACTATGATCAAATAAATTTGTATGCACCTATTAATCTCCTTTTTGTCAGTGATTTTCGGCAAACCTTCAGAGAGCAGAGAGAAAGTTTTCCCTTACCTCCTACACCCCATAATTTCTGACTTTCCTGTCATATACATAGAATACTTGAGTCACACTTTAAATGAAATATACTCAGTTTATGAATTTGATCCTTAATCATTTTTCTATAATTAAAATTAATTTTATTTTGCTCTTCACCCTATACCTTACATGAAAACTTTATTTTCACAAGACATCTAAAATTATTGTCTTCTCTTTTAAAGACATTTGGCAAAGTGATCATTCTTTCATAAGAACTGACATTTATGTTTTTTCTATTCACTCACTTAAATTTCGTTTTACAGGGAAACTTGGAAGTTTACTATAGCTGTTCTTATTTTACAATATAAAGCCAAAACTCTTCTACATGGAAAACCTAATATAATTCCAAGGATATCTTATGTACTCTTATTGCCAAGAATGATTATCGCCCCTCCTTCCCCAAAGCATAATCCAGGAATTAACAACTATTCTTGTCACACCAACTAAATATATGGCTGGTGGTAACTACACAATCCATAAACACACACCAGGAAAACAATACTGCATGAATCTAAAAAAAAAAAAAAAATCTGAGCAGATGGACTAAACAGCTTCCTGTAGGTTCTCAAAGAAAATAATAGCAGCATTATAAGAATTTAGACTTAACATACTACAACGTGCATGAACCTTGAAAACATTATGCTATGTGAAATAAGCCAGTCACAAAATACCACATACTGTATGATTCCATTTACATAAAATGTCCAAAACAGTCAAATTTATAGAAACTAAAAGTAGATTATTGGTTGTGTAGGGCTCGGGTAAAGAGAGATGAAGGATTGGGAAGGCAGTAGCTAAGGAATGCAGAGTTCCTTTTGGGGATGATGAAAATGTCCCAAACTTATTTGTGGTGATGATTGTACAACTCTGTGGAAAAACAATTGAAATGCACGATTAAAATGGCTGAACTGTATTATATATAAATTTTATCTCAATAAAGCTATTTACCAAAAGTGCTTGCATTTAGCATGGTTCTACTTGACAGATGTTTTGGAATCAGAGAAATCTAGGTCAAACTTTGCCCATGCCACTAAGTAGCTATGTGACCCTCAGTCTCCACATCTGTAACATGAAAGGTAATACTAATAACAACCTTACAAAGTTACTGTGAAGATGTTTATAAAAAGACTTGGCACAGTATTTGGCAATGGGTAAGCACTAAAATGTCTTCTCTTGGCATCAGTATTAAGATTACATTCTGTTACATTAACTCTTTAGCTTAGGGTAATTTTCCAGTGATGAACTGGACATTGGACCACCATCCATTTTCAGCACTAGGCTGGATACGTATCATTAGAATTAAACTTACATGGCAATCACTCTACTTTCTACATTAATCAACACCATTTCCAGAGTTTAACAAGCCTTGCTACATAGGGTGCTCATTTGGCATCTGATTCATCCAACACAGCCAAGTGTACAATCATGAAACTCCCATAATATTGTTTGAAGAAGGCTCCCAGGCCTAATATTAGAATTAAAGAGATTTTAAAAGCTGTCATTTCTCCTTCACTCTCTTTAATCCTCACAATTACGTAGTGGGCTTTTGGCTGCTAAAACAGTTTGGGGCTGGAGCTGACAAAGTCCAGTGAGAGGGAAAGAGGAGCAACCAGATGTTGGCTGTTTCCATCTAGGTTGGCTCTGGTTTTAAGCTTTAAGAAAGAGAAAAGGACATTCGGAAGTTCCCTTTGATTCTGTGCAGCCTAATCTCCAGGAGGTGAAAAAGGCAAAACTGGGCAAAAACTTCACACAGAAATAAAGAGTACACATTTCTCCACAGTGATTTCTTAGTTTCAGCCCTCAGAAACCTAAGTGTAGCCACAGATGAATGGACAGGGCACACGAGGCTGAGGAAGTGCTCTCCAACATAATGACTGAAACAGACATACTCTAGCCTGGAATCCCTGAGAAATGTGCCTAAATGTCTAACTTGAGTCTAGAAGATATCTGAGCACTCCTCCTTGCAACTCCGCAAGTCCATACTAATAGAAAGTAAATGTAAATTTCTAGTACAAAACCTCATAATAAACATTTGAGATTTCCTTCTATTTTCACATTTATTTCAATGCATCATATAGTTTATCCTCAGATAACTGCAACCAAATCATCAATAATGCTTATTATGTTAGCATTTGCACACAGTTCACATTTACTACATAAATGAAAGAATCAGAAATTTAGTTACAATGGTCAACAATGTTTTCCAAAACAAATATGAAGACACATATAAAAAAAACTTATATCCTATGCAGAAAAGCTTATAGAGAAAGCAGCACTCCCGTATAATACAGGTAGGAGTCCATATGGGAGAAATCTTTATAAATGGTAATTATACATCCTTGGACCGGCAGCCCCATTTCTAAAAATTTATTATAAAGAAATAATCAGAGATATGTGCTACAGTTTAGCTCTAAAGCTGATCACTGTAGCACTGTAGATGACAGTAAAAAATTGGAAACAATCTAATAAAATATCCATCAATAAAGGACTAGTAAATGGACAATACATGGCATGTACAATGATATACCACGTGTCATATATATATATATATATATATATCGAGGAAAAGATGCATAAAATATATCAAGAGGAGAAGAATCAGGTTCTACTAAATATGTTCAGTACAATCTCATTTCTAAAAATACCCATAGACATACAGAGATGTTCAGAAAAATGCATGAAATTATATATGGCAAATTATTATCAGAGTTATATCTGGATAGTGACATATGGGTAAATTTTTGCTTCTAATTCTGCTAATCCATATTTTCTGATTTTTGAGCATCAAATGTGTCTCATGCATTAAAAATACTTTAAAAACCAATATGCATATTCTAATAAGTAGAAACTGATTGAGTCAGTGAGGGAGGGATTGTGAAATTAGACATTTCCTGGACAACTCAAAATGTCTCATAAAGAAGCAGACACTGAAGTCTCATAATAAACTCTGCCCTCTATTAAGGACTAGGACTAGAGATTACGAAAGAAATCGGAAAGGGATTATGCCCCCAAAGTAGCTCACAGAAATACAAACATGAAAATAAACATTTACAGTAAGTCAAGTTGTCAAATATAGAAGGAAGCATGAAATAAAAAGAGAAGGACACAAACCTAAGGGATAGGAAAATTTCACGAAAGAGAAACAAAAATCACTCAATAAACCCATCACATTAACTTCATTATTAACTTAACAATTAGAAAATATCTCACTAATAATACTAATTTTACTGATATTCTCAGATTAGTTTAAATCCTCTAAATACCCAAAGTGACTTCGATCTCTGCTTTGTAGATTTCATCACAACTGCAAATAGGTAAGTGTACCATCAATGGTTAGATGAGGCCGGGTACAGTGGCTCACACCTGTAATCCCAGCACTTTGGGAGGCCGAGGCAGGCAGATCACCTGAGGTCAGGAGTTTGAGACCAGCCTGGCCAACATAGTGAAACCCTGTGTCTACTAAAAATACAAAAATTAGCCATGTGTGGTGGCACATGCCTGTAGTCCCAGCTACTCGGGAGGCTGAGGCAGGAGAATCGCTTAAACTTGGGAGGCAGAGGTTGCAGTGAGCCGAGATCACACCACTGCATTCCAGCCTGAGTGACACAGTGAGACTCTGTCTCAACAAAAAAAAAAAAAAAAAAAAAAAAAAGGAAATTTCCTGAGGGTTAGAACCATGTCTGCCCTTTATCTCATTACAGCTCTAACATCTAAAAGTGCCTTATGCACAGTAGGAACACAAATTTTAGGTGGAGAAATAAACATGAATGATTAAATAAAAATAAAAATGGTCAGTTGGCTAAATGGCCATCTGGGTGGTTTCTACTTTAGGGCCATTATGAATAATGCTATGAATATTCATACATAGGTTTTAGTGTATAGTTTACATAGTTGCACTTTTCTTGGGTACATTCCTAGAAATGGGCTTTTTGGGTCATATAGTAACTCTATGTTTAACTTTTCAAGGAACTGGAGTTGGCTTAGAAAGCAAGTTCACTTGCCTGGCCCAAGGTTGTCTTTCATTTCTAACTTAGAATCATAACTTAGAATCAAACCCTCTTTTAATATTGCTCTGTAACTGCTGACTCTAAACCCTAACCAGTCCTAAGTGGTTCTTAAATTTTCCATGGCTAAATACTGTCTCTCCAACTCTAAGCCACTATTCTTCAATCCCTTATTTATTAAGTGGCAGCCACTACTAGTAGCACACTAGAATATATGCGTATTTCATTACATGCTGTATACATGAACTATAGAGAAGGAAAATCTAAGGAAAATCCTAGAGGAGGTAGAAAGAAAGATCAAAATACAAAGATTTTTAAAGAGATAATAACAGAGAACTTCCCAAACCTAGAGAAAGATATCAATATTCAAGTACACAAAGGTTATGGAACACCAAGCAGCTTTAATCAAAATAAGACTACCTCAAGACATTTAAGAATCAAACTCCTAAAGGTTAAGGATTTTTAAAGGATCCTAAAAGCAACAAGAGAAAAGAAACAAATAACATATAAAATCGTTCCAATAAGTCTAGCAGCAGACTCTCTGTGGAAACATTACAGGCTAGGAGAGAGTGGCATGACATATTTAAAGTGCTGAAGCAAAAAAATTTCTATCCTTGAACAGTATATTCAGTAAAAATATCCTTCAAATACGAAAGAGAAAATACTTTCCCAGACAAACAAAATCAGAGGGATTTCATCAACATCAAACCTGTCCCACAAGAAATGCTAAAGGAGTTATTCAATCTGAAAGAAAAGGATGTTAGAGAGCATTTGGAAATCATCTGAAGACACAAAATTCACTGTTAATAGTAAGTACAGAAACAAATACAGAACATTATAATATTGTAATTCTGGTATGTACACTACTCATATCTTGAGTAGAAAAACTAAAAAATAAAGCTATCAAAAATAATACCAACATCTTTTTAACACATAGTATATAAGATATAAATAGAAACAACAAAAAGATAAAAAGCATAAAGGATGAAGTTAAAGTGTAGAGTTTTTATTAGATTTGTTTGTTTTTACAGAGTTAGGTTCTCATCAGTTTAAAATAATGGGTTGTAAGATGTTATTTGCGAGCTTCATGATAACCTCAAATCAATAACCCACAGGAGATATATAAAAAATAAAAAGTAAAAATTTAAAATATATTACCAGAGAAAATCACTTTCACAAAGAAGAAGACAGGAAGGATGTATGGTAGAGAAGACCACAAAACAACCAGAAAACAATGAATAAAATGGCAGTAATAAGCCCTTACTTATCAATAATCACATTGAATATAAGTGGCCTAAACTCTGCAATCAAAAGACAGTGGCTGAATAGACTGAAGAAACAACATTCAACTGTTTGCTGTCTACAAGAAACATACTTAACCTATAGAGTCAGACATAGACTGAAATAAAGGGGATGGAAAAGATAGTACATGCCAATGGAAACCAAAAAAGAGCAGGAGCAATGACAAAACATTTCAAGACAAAGTCTGTAAAAAGGATAAGGTCAGGATATAATGATAAAGGGGTTAATGCAGCATGAGGATAAAAAAACTATACATATATATGTACCCAACACTGGCATACCCAGATATAAAGGCAGATATTATTAAAGCTAAAGTGAGAAACAGACCCCAAGACAATAATAGCTGCAGACATCAACACCCCACCTTCAGCATTAGACCAATTATCCAGACAGAAAGTCAACAAAAAAAGTAATAAGCAGTACAGAACAAATAGACCTAATAGACACTTACACTGCATTTCATCCAACAGCTGCAGAAATACACATTCTTCTCCTAAGCACAGAGATCATTTTCATGGATAGACCAAAGGTTAGGCCACAAATAGTATTGTAAAATTGAAAAAAAAAATCATGTAAAGTATCTTTTCTGACCACAATGGAATAAAACTAGAAATCAATAACAAGAATAACTTTGGAAACTATACAAACACATAGAAATTAAACAATATGCTCGTAAATGACCAGTGGGGTCAATAAAGAAACTAAGAAGGAAATTTTTAAATTTCTTGAAACAAATAAAAATGGGAAAACAAGATACCAAAACCTATGGGATACAGCAAAAGCACTACTAAGATAGAAGTCAATAGTAGTAAGCACCTACATCAATAAAGTAGAAAAACATCAAATAAACAGGTTAATGACACACATCAAAGAACTAGAAAAGCAAGAGCAAATCAAACCCAAAATTAGAAGAAAAGAAATAACAAAGATGAAAGGGGAAATAAATAAAATTGAAGTCAAGAAAACAATACAAAAGATGAAAATGAAAAGTTGTTTTATTGAAAAGATAAACAAAACTGACAAATCTTTAGCCAGACTAATTAAAAAAAGAAAAAGAAGGCCCAAATAAAATCAGGGATGAATAAGGAGATATTACAACTAATACTGCAGAAATTCAAAGTATCAGTAGAGGCTACCAATGAGCAACTATATGACAATAAATTGAAAAACTTAGATGAAACTAATAAATTCTTAGACACATACCAACAAGACCAAACTAGGAAGAAATCCAAAACCTGAATGGACCCATAAAAAGTAAGGAGAGCAATGCCAAAATAAAGTCTTCCATCAAAAAAAAAAGCCCAGAAACTGATGGCTTCACTGATGTAAATGGCCTAAACTCTGCAATCAAAAGACATTTATAGAAGAACTAAACATTTATAGAAGAACTAAAATCAATCCTACTTAAACTATTACAAAAAATAGGGGACACAGAAGTACTTTCAAACTCATTCTACAAGGCCAGTATCACACTGATACCAAAATCAGAAAAGATAAACAATTTTCTTAAAAAAAGAAAATTACAGGCCAATATCCCTGATGAACACTGATGCAAAAATCCTCAGTAAAATAATAGCAAACCAAATTCAACAACATATTAAAAAGATCATTCATCCTAAGTGGTATTTATTCCAGGAATGCACAGATGGTTCAACATATGCAATTCAATATGACATATCGTATCAATAGAATAAAGCACCAAAATCATATAATCATTTCAGTTGATGCTGGAAAAGTATTCAGTACAATTCAACATTAACATCCCTTCATGATAAAAACTCTAAAAAAACTGGGTATAGAAGGAACATACATCAACATAATAAAAGCCACGTAAGACAGACCCACAGCTAGTATTACATTAAATGAGGGAAAGCTGAAATTCTTCCCTCTACAATCTAGAACAAGACTAAGGATGCCCATTTTCACTAGTGTTATTCAACATAGAACTGAAGTCCTAGCTAGAGCAATTAGACAAGAGAAAGAAAGGGCATCCAAATTGAAGAAGTCAAATTACCTTATTTTGCAGTTGATATAATCTTATATTGGAAAAAAACCTAAAGACTTCAAATTCAGGAAAGTTAAAGAATTAAAAAAAAAAACATTAAAAAATCAGTGGCATTTCTACAGGCAAACAGTAAATAATATGAAAAAAACAAAGTAATTCCACTTAAAATACTTATAATAATAAAATAAAATACCTAAGTATAAACTTAACCAAAGAAGTAAAAGATCTCTACATAAAATAAAATAAAATAAAATAAAATGATATACCTCTACATAAAATAAAATACCTAAATATAAACTTAACCAAAGAAGTAAAAGAGATCTACAATGAATGCTATAAAACATTGATGAGAGAAACTGAAGAGGACACACACAAAAATAAATAGAAAGATATTCCATGTTCATAAATTGGAAGAATCAATATTGTTAAAATGTCCACATTATTTAAAGAAATCTATAAATTTATTGCAATCCCTATCAAAATAACAAAGACATTCTTCACATAAACAGGAAATATAATCCTAAAATTTATATGGAACCATGAAAGACCCAGAATAGCCAAAACCATCCCGAGCAAAAACAACAAAACTGGAGGAATCACATTACTGACTTCAAATAACATTACAAAGCTATAGTAACCAAAACAGCATGCTACTGGCATAAAAACAGACACATAGACCAACGGAACAGAATAGAGTAGCCAGACATAAATCCATACATCTAGAGTGAACTAATTTTTGACAAAGATGCCAAGAACATACACTGGGGAAAGGATAGTCACCTCAATAAATAGTGCTGAGAAAGCTGGATAATCATATGCAGAAAAATGAAACTTGACCCTTATCTCTTAGCATATAAAAAAGTCAAATCAGGGCCAGGTATGGAATGTTCATAACACAAAGAAATGATAAATGCTTGAAGTGATGGATACCTCCATTAACCTTGATGTGATTATTAGACATCGTATGCCTGTGTCAAAATATCTCGTGTACCCCTTAACTATATACACTTATGTACCCATAAACATTAAAAATAAAAAAAAATTAAGTGATTGCATAGTTCAAAAAAAAGGGAAAGTAATTTTTGTGTGGAGTTGTGCTTAAGCATAACCATAAAGAATACAGAAATTCAGGCTGGTTGCAGTGGCTCACACCTGTAATCTCAGCACTTTGAGAGGCCTAAGCGGGCAAGACACTTGAGCTCAGGAGTTTGAAACCAGCCTGGGCAACATGGCAAACCCAGTCTCTACAAAAAATACAAAAACAATTAGTCAGGCACGGGTCTGCACACCTGTAGTCCCAGCTACTTGGAAGGGTGAAGCAGAAGGATAGCTTGAGCCTGGGAGGCAGAGGTTGCAGTGAGCCAAGATTGTGCCACTGCACTCCAGCTTGGGCAACAGCAGTAAACCTAGTCTCAAAAAAAAAAAAAAAAAGAAAGAAAGAAATTCCATAAAGCCAAGGTTAACAGTGCCTCACATAAACCTTATAACAATCCACACCTGGAATAAGCATGGCTAACAAAATGATGGAAACACACATACTCACAAACACACACACACACCCCTATATAGGCACACAACATAAATTCATATAACTGGTATGCATAAACTCCTAGGGAATGCTGTATTCTAACAGAGAGATGGTGCTACAACCAATCTTTATTGTGGAACTCTCCATTCTTCCTTCAGAATACCTGGCTACTGTACATAACACATGATCCTCTGGTGTAAGTGCAAGTAAGGAAACCACCAATCCATACGTTAAATATTAGTAAAGCTTAATTTATCTTTTAAAGATAAAAGATAAATAAGAAATACTCTAATATTTTCTTTCCATACCCCATGGGCAGGCTTATACATAAATCACTTTAGATACTGGTGTTCTTAAGAATGGTCCCAAACTTCACTAAACATCAAAGTCATGGGGAACTCAAATAATAAACAGTCTAAGCTTTATCTCTAGAGATTTGGATTCAGTAGCCTAAGCTATCTATAAACTTTGGAGATCCTACTCTACATAGTAGAAGTCACTGCCAATCACTTTTCTATGAAGTCCATAACATGGATAGAGTACCTGAGCCAAACAAGTGGAATAGAAGGAAATGCACTCCTATTGAGGTTACAAGTGTAGCATAAATGAAATAAGGTCAATGACATCACTTTGTTTGACCTGTTATTCTACCATTTCAGATCAAAGTCATATGACCTCGTAAATTGTTTAAGCAAGTAAATTGCTCAAATGACAATTTACATAAGTAGAGGCAGTGTGCCATGGCTCTGAAGCAAAAAGAATGTTCTCCCCCAGAGAACATCTTACTCATTACTGCTGAATTTAGAACCTAAGGCATAATACATTCCACCAGGCTATTGTGAAAAGAAATAAGCCCAGCTTTTAATAAAGCTCAAAATTAAAAAAAAAAAGACCTATGTGGTATAATGTCATCTAAATCACAAAAGATAACTAATGTATACTCAAAACATGAAAAAGGCTTTAGAATGACCTCCAACTAATAGTACAGACCACAAACTCTAAGAAATCCTATTCCTTCAACTATAACGTTTCTAAACTTAAAAATAAACACCTTTAAAAGAAAAGGTATACATTGCATTGTTTAAATACAATTTCTGGGCTTATATGCATGCTAGTGAGGCTTTCTGATAAATTATATAACTATGAAAAGACTTACCAGTCTCGCTGTCTTAATTCCAAATTTCCTTTAAGCAAGTTAACTTCTTTCATTAACAATTTCAGTATATGTTATTTTATTCATATAATCAAGGTTAAGTCTAATTTGGTATCACTAGAGTTTTTAGAAATGAGTCTCTTAGTTATTTTATCCTACGCATGGAGAAGGTGGGATGGTCTTGTTCTTATGGACATGTTTACATAGCACAGAAACGAGTTTAAGCCCAACAAATAACACCATTGTTTATAAAAGTTTAATTCTAGATCATTTGAGAGTACATGCTGAATAAAATACTTTTAAAAACAGATATAATAATTCTTGTACAAACATAATGCTTCCAATCAGATTTCAAATTCCAAAACCTTTTCAAAACATTAACGTCATTTTGTCTACTGCCCTACTTCAGTGACTCTGTCTCTACACTCCCTGTCCCCATTTACCAACCCCCCTCCCAAAAAAAAACCCTACCCATTATATAAGCTTAAACCAGTATATTTTATTCACTGGAATGGTAGAACAGCACACAATTACCATCATTTTAGTCATGTCATTATTTCCAGCTCAGTGGCATTTATTCAGATGAGCACAATTTGCAACCACTGAGCCCAGCTCCTCTGATGTTAACTGGCATCATTAAAACCCTCCCAGTGTCCAGCTTGTTTGATCTTTTAAAGAATGCCCTCGGTTTGTGACTGAGAGCCGGAAACTCACGGCTGGACACCCTGAACAGCCTTCAGGTTTGGTCACAGACTACTCATGTCAGCTAATAATCCTCAGAGACCATGATTTTGATTCAAGTGAGAGAACTTTTCATACAAAAAGCCTTGAGACACAAAATAAACCCCCAAAATGGATAAAAATAAAGCACGGGGGCAATGGAGATCCTAAATGTAGTAACTTCGAAAGTTGAGATTGTAAATTTTCAGAGTAAAGTGTCTTAAATGATGATAACAAATCTGGGAATACTAAAGGGCAGAGAGCAGAGAAAAGGGGACTGGAGGATAGAAGCAAAAATTTTAAGTGGTAAAATATTAAGGCCTCCATTTAAAATTTTCCCATTATAAGTTGGGATATAGCATTCAACTTTCCATGATCTCCAAATTTTTCTTAATAAAACAATCAATTAAAGAGCAGTCAACATAATTGTTTTCTTTTTAAGCAACAAACCTTTCATTTTTTAATTCCCTACCCGTTTCATATATGACTTATGTGTACTGAATGGTATTCTATTAAAAAAAATAACACAGTCAGTTAAAATTTCATTTTGATAATGAAAAACCATACTTAAAAATCTACTTGCAGGGTGACAAAGTGAATGTTAATAAAAGGTAAGTTCCTGCTGTCCTTTTAAAGTTAAAAATAAGGCCAAACTACAACTTTCGACTGCAAAGAGTCATTGTGTAGTATATAAAAAGCTCAGCATGGAAATAGATTCAACAAATGTACAAAAAGAGTTTTCATGCCCAGGAAGAACTGAAGGCATCAAAAAAACATGCCCCAACTACAAATAACATAGAGCGCTGTTCAAAAAGACCAACAAATTCATTCTCTAATGCATAGCAAATTAAATTTAATAAACTCTTCTGCAAGGTTAGACAGGCAATCCACCTTTAAAAGTCCCACAAACAAAACATAAGAACAACAAAAGAGGTTCCAGAGTGTAATAAATACTGAATCCACAGTAGGCGACAGAAGCCTTACTGTACACAGCTGAGAAAACCTGCCATCAGACAATGGATCACATTTCCATATTAAATTATATTTACCACGCTAAAAAATGCTTAAACAAAATGCAGGATTTCTATTGGCCATTTTTATACCACACTAACTCCCTAAAACCTTGCAAACCTGCTGAGTCCCATTGAAAATCATTCCCACCCCATAGTGCTCCAAAGGAGCCCCTAGACAAAGGGTTAGGATGATGAGAGAGGGCAGGGACAACTATCTTCCACCATGATTTCAGAAAGTAAATAAATAAAAGGGGATAGAATAGCCAAAACATAACCTTGGCACAGGGTATTTCCGGGGAAATCACTGCTGTGACAAATGGCCTGAAATGAACTCTTCTAGCGGTCAAGAATCCCCAGGAAAGGCCGCCCCTCCTCCTTATCTATTGCTCAATCATACAATGCTTGGCTTTGAAAATATAGCACCCTCTTGGAGCTGGGCAAGATGAAAGAGCTTTTCTTCATGATCTTGCAACGCCTATTAATTTTTGCTACAACAGACTCACAGCTGATTAGGAAAACACAGGAGTGGCACTGCCTCACATTCCCATCTCAAGACTTTGGGAGACAAAATGTTAAAAGTTAATCTCTCTCTTTCAGAACAATGTATTGATTTTAATTTCGGCACATCCTGTATTTCTTCTCCAACCCTGGACAATTTGTTTAGACTGAACATTCTTTTTCTCCTTGAAACATCAGTAGCAATGTTACTTGATTCTTACCCAGTTAGAGAATTACCTTTCAGAAATATTATGACTCATTCACCACAACATGGAGCACAGGTTGAGAAATCAGTCAATGGCTGATAGTAAAATTTAAATTGTTCCTAAACTACACTCACACTTTTATCACAATTAATAAGGCAACATGATACAACTGCAAAACCATAAGAATTATAGTCAAATGAAAGAATATCTCCAAATCTCCATGTTACAACACATTTCCAAGTTAATTTGGGTATGTTACTTAGACTTTCTAAACCCATTAGTAAATATCACCTACATTACAAGATTATTATGAAGTTTAATACAGGACGTAATGCACACCAAACACCAAACATTGTACATGGCATGAAAAAAAGGTAGCTTTTATACTTTTGATTTACTGAAGTAGAATAACATACTGTAAAAAGAACAGATCTTAATTGTACAGTTTGATAAATTCTGACAAGTATGTAAATACAGGTATAAAGGTATAATTACCACCTCAATTAAAATAGAGACCAAGGAAATACAATGTGAGCCACATGTATCCTTTTAAATTTTCTAGTAACTACATCTGAAAAGTAAAAAAGGTAAAATTATTTTAAATATATTTTATTTGACACAATACATCCAAAAATTCTCACTTCAATATGAAATCAATTTTTAAAACATTATCAATAAGATATTTTACTTTTTCATACTAATGTTATATAGTTTGTATGTATAGCACATCACAATTGGGATTAGCCATAGTTCAAGTGATCACTAGCCATATGTGGCTAACAGCTATTATACTGGATGGTGCAAATATAAACCACAGTCCAGAAAATTTCCTCCTGTCCCTTTCTGGTCTATCTCCCTACTCCCACCCCAAGACTACCACTACTCTGATTTCTACACACATAGATTAGTTTTGCCTGTTCCTGAAGTTCATAAGGAAGGAATCGCGTGGTATGTGGCTTCTTTCACTGAACATGTTTTCAAGATATATCTGTGTTGTTGCAAGTAGCAGTGGTCCATTCCTTTTCACTGCTACTAGTATTCTATTATACAAATACACAACGATTTGTTTACCCATTGACCAGATAATGGTTATTCGAGTTGTTTTCTTTTCTTTTTTCCAACTTTTAAGTTCCAAGGTACATGTGTAGGATGTACAGGTTTGCTACGTAAGTAAACGTGTGCGATGCTTGCTCCACAGATCAACCCATCACCTAGGTATTAAGCCCAACACACATTAGCTATTCTTCTCAGATGCTCTCCCTCCCCCTCCCCCACAACAGACCCCAGTGTGTGTTGTTCCCCTCTGTGTGTCCATATGTTCTCATCGTTCAGCTCCCACTTATAAGTGACAACATGCGGTGTTTGGTTTTCTGTTCCCGTGTTAGTTTACTGAGGATAAGGGCATCCAGTTCCATCCATGTCCCTGCAATGGACATGATGTTGTTCTTTTTTATGACTGCACAGTATTCCTGAATAAAGAACATCAAGTTGTTTTTTTCAAATATGCTATCCTTAACAAAGCTGAAATGAACATTCCGTACAAGTCTTTTACCTGAACATGTTTTTGTTTACTTGGGTAAGTATCTAGAAGTGGAATTGCTGGATCATCAGGTAGAATTATGTTCATATTTATAAGAAACTGCATAATGCTTTTCCACAGTAGTTGTACATTTACAATATATGAGATATCCAGTTACTTCATATATTCTCCAATATTTAGTATTGTCAGTCTTTTTAATTTTAGTGATTCCAGTGGTGTGCACATTTCCCAATGACCAGTGATGCTGACATTTTTCTATGTGTTTACTAGTCAATCATATAACTTTTTTGAAGAGCAGTTTGTGAAGTTGAAGAGAGAGTTGTTACAGAGACAAATTGAGATCACATATGAAGTTACTTGCAATGCTAAAATAAAGGACACACTTCGAAGGACTACTTGGGTCAGGCAGATGATGTAAATCTATAAGCCTAGAGAAGTGCACCAAATTAGAAAGCACACTCATCTAAAGGAAGCTTCTAACTGCTACTTAGCACCAAGTGGTCGCTGCCATGTGAAAAAGCAAGCCAGGTACTGCGAGATCTTCCTGTCTTATCAAGAGAAAGTAGATATTAGTATGTTTATCTTTAGTTAATATTGGAATCAATTTGAAAAATATTAATCCTATAATAATCAAAGAAAATAAGCCATAAGTTTTCAAACTTTTATTTATATAAATGTTAGTGGCTTTTATACCAGGACAAACATCCTTATTATAATAAACATTAAACCATTCAGGACTGCTATTGGTAACTCTTGAAAAATGATACCTATTGCTCAACATCACTAATCATGAGGGAAATTCAAATTAAAACCACTATGAGATATCACCTCACACCCTTTAGGATGACTATTATCAGAAACATAAGAGATATAGAATGTTGATGGAAAAAGGGAACCCTATTACACTATTGGTGGGAATGCAGATTGGTACAGCTATTACAGAAAACAGTATAGAGGTTCTTAAAGAAACTAAAAATAAAACTACCATATGACCTAGCAATCCCTCTTCTGGGTATATACACAAAGTAGTATATGCAACTTTGTAAAGACATTTGCATTCCCACGTTTATTAGTCACTACCTCATAAAGATATCACAGCCTTACAAAGATATCTGCACTCTCATGTTTATTAAAGCATTATTCACAATAGCTCAAATATGGAAACAACCTAAGTGTCCACTGATGAATGGATAAAGAAAACGTAATACATATTAACAATGGAATATTATTCAGCCTTAAAAATGGAGGTCCTGTCATTTGCCACACCATGGATGAAACTAGAGGGCATTATGCTAAGTGAAATAAGCCAGACACAGAAAGATGGGAAGGGTAGTGGAGGACTGGTAGGGAGGCAGGGATGGTTAGTGGGTACAAAAAGAAAAAAGAGAATGAATAAGATTAAGAATTTTATAGCACAATTGAGTGACTACAGTCAATAATAACTCAATTGTACATTTTAAAATAACTTAAAGAGTGTAATTAGATTGTTTGTAACTCAAAGGATAAATACTCGAAAGGATGATTACTCCATTCTCCATGATGTACTTATTTCATGTTGCGTGCCTGTATCAAAACATCTCATGCACCCTCATAAATATATATACTTACTATATACCCACAAAAATTAAAAATTAAAAAAAAAGAATGAAGGTAACAGCTAAAATGCTTCAGTGGTAACATCTATCCAGGAGAATCTGACTTATTTGGGGAGAACAGAAGAAAAGTACATGTTGGAGAGAATGTAAAACAGAACTGCTACTCTGGAAAACAGTATGGCATTCCTCAAAACAGTTAAGCATAGAATTATCATATGATCCAGCAATTCCACTCTTAGATATACACCAAAAAAAGGATGAAACTCATACGTTGACATGAAAGCTTGTACATGAAGGCTCATAGCACCATTATTCATTATAGCCAAAAAAATGGAAAAAAGCCAAATGTTCATCAACTGATACAGCCATACAACACAGTATTACTCAACCCTAAAAAGACACTATAAAAAGTATTGATACATGTTGCCACAAGAATGAACCTTGAAAACATTATGCCAATTGAAAAACCAAACACAAAGGGCAATATATTGTATGACTCCATATGAAGTGTCCAGAATAGGTATATCTATGCAGACGGAAAGTAGATTGCTGGTTCCCTAAAGCAGGGAGGTATGGGAGGATTGGGGTTCAATGCTTAAGGGATGTGGGTTTCATTCTGAGGTAATGAAAATGTTCTAAAATTGATTTTAGTAAGCTTTTCAAAACTCTATTCAAAAAGTCACTAAATTATGCACTATAGATAGGTGAATTGTATATTTATGAATTATATCTCAATATCACAGAATGTATAAAGAAAAAAGAAACATACAGGTGAGCTATTGAGCCTCTTTCCTCCAGTTCCTAATCTGTCTCTCTGCAACCTGAGGATGCTGCTTAAGGTTTGAAATATTCTGTTGATGTGTCTTCTATCTCTCCCCCGAACATTTCTAAATTTTAAATACATTTAGTGTACTTAACACCATGTTTCCCCTACCAGACTGTGAGCTCCTAGAAGGCCAAAAATGTCTCATAAATCTTTATATGCAGAAAGCCTTGCACAGCCTGGCTCAAGTTTTCAATATTTTTATTTTAAGGTTAACACATTTTGTGTCCTACCTACAGAAATCTCTACCTCATGTTTGTTGTTGCAACAGACAGGGTTTGAAAGAGAAGCTGTGCCAATGTACTTTCCCTTGCTCTCCTCACCACCTCTTCCTACCGGAGAATGAATAAATGATAACTGGCCTGAACACTGCTGAAAGGCTGCCAACCATTCTATTTGAACATCTTTGGGAACAGACAATAACCTTTACGAGATTATGATATCAAGAGGATCCCTTGTATACTTAAACCACAAACCCAAATACCTCTAGAACAACACAATGACAACTTCATCTTCTTTTAAAAGAAAAGGCTGTCCATAAAAAAAACACAGAATAATTGCTTTAAAACTACGGATTTAAATAAGATCCCTAGTCAATAAAATGAATTTCAAAAACATCCTTTAAAGGTAGTCATAGGCCAGGCATGAGATTATCATGCCTATAATCTCAGTACTTTGGGAGGCCAAGGTGAGAGGACTGCTTGAGCCAAGGAGTTCAAGACAACCAGCCTGGTCAACATAGTGAGACTCTGTCTCTACAAAAAATTTAAGTTAGCCAAATATAGTGGCATGCACCTGTAGTCCCAGCTACTCAGGAGTCTAAGGTGGGAGGATCCCTTGCACCCAGAGATAAAGGCTGCTGTGGACCATGACCACACCACTGCACTCCAGCATGGCCGTCAGAGCAAGACCCCATCTCGATAAACAAATAAGAGAGAAAAATGGGAAGCAACTTAAATATTCAATCAAAAATGAATCATTGATTACTAATATTTTCATTCAACGGAAAGTAAGCCATTAAAATATGTCGCTACATCAAAAATCTTTCTAGCAAAATGTAAACGAATTAGAGAACACAGAAACTCTGTGAAATAATGAATAAAGAAAATACAATGAAAAGGGATATGAAAAAATGAAAACAGCTTTGTGAGAGACTAATAAGTGATACTACTTTTTTTCATTACCCAAAGTAAATGTGATGCTTTAAAAACCTAACATCTTTGGAAATGGGATAAAAACACTTCCACACACCTTTAATATAAAGTGTAATATGCAATCAGTAAAACACTAAAAATTAATATATTTTAGCTCAAAACATCTTTTTCATTAAGACCTTTAGGCAAAGTCTTAATAATGCAAAACATTATACATTAACCAATCGCAAAGGAAATGGAGAAGGACAGAAAAAAAGTCCAAGTATCATTCTCAAAAAAAGTTTTCTCCAATAACACAACATGACAAGGTAAAGTGAACACAAACACAACCACCAAAAACACATAATAACAGCAAGTGAATTTTATCTTAATAAAAACTGTATTAAGACAGACCTAGGTTTGAGTCCTGACTACTACATTTTAGTTGTATGAATTTGGGCAATTATTCAACTTTTGTCAACCTCTCAGAAGAAAACGGTACCTGTCACAATTGGGGTTTTCTTCTATTGTAAGAATTAAATGAGATAATAAATATAATGACTTTATTATATATATGCTGTTAACTATATAGAAAGTACTCAGTAAATCAAGAGATGCTTACTACTGCTGCTACAAATATTATTAAAACATTAGCAGTTTTCCAGCTGAAAGCATTATGCTAATTTCATATAAAAACAAAGAAAATGTTACATGTGAACAAAGTAGCAAAGAAGAGCATGATATATGTTCATCTGATCTCTCCTATGGTTTGATAAGCTCTCTTTGTAGTGAAAGGCCCACAAACCAAGCTCGTGCTTTCCAGTATCTCTTACTTAGAGGCATCAGGACAGAATTCTTTTATTCATCATTTACATTTTTTTATTGTTAAAAGCAATGAAGAAAATATTCAAAGGATCTGAATAGACATTTCTCCAGAAAGGTAACAGAAGTGGCCAAAAATAATAGGAAAAGATGCTCAATATTAGTCATCGGGGAAATGCAAATGAAAACTACATGGGATATCACTTCACACTCATTAGGATGGCTATAGTTTGAAAAAAAAACAGATAATAAAAAGTGTTGGTATTAACATCACTGATCATCAGAGAAATGCAAATCAAAACCACAAGTTTATACTATCTCATGCCAGTCAGGATGGCAATTATTAAAAGGTCAAGAAATAACAGATGCTGGTAAAGTTGTGGAGAAATAGGAACACTTTTACACTGTTGGTGGAAATGTAAATTAGTTCAACAATTATGGAAGGTGCAGTTTTTCCTCAAAGATCTAGATCTAGAAATACCATCTGACCCAGCAATTTCATTACTGGGTATATACCCAAAATAATATAAATCATTCTATTACAAAGACACATGCGCACGTATATTCATGGCAGCACTATTCACAATAGCAAAGACATGGAATCAATCCCAAATGCCCATCAATGATAGACCAGATCAAGAAAATGTGGTACATATACACCATGGAATACTATGCAGCCATAAAAAGGAATGAGAGCATGTCCTTTGCAGGAACATGGATGGAGCTGGAAGTCATTATCCTCGGCAAACTAACGCAGGAACAGAAAACCAAATACCGCATGTTCTCAATTATAAGTGGGATTTGAACAATGAGAACACATGGACACAGGGAGGGGAACAACACATACCAAGAACTGTCAGGGGAGGGGTTGCGGGGAGAGAGAGCATTAGGAAAAATAGCTAATGCCTGCTGGGATTAACACCTAGGTGATGGTTTGATAGGTGCAGCAAACCACCATGGCACACGTTTACCTATGTAACACACCTGCATATCCTGCACATGTACCCCAGAACTTAAAATAAAAATCAAAATTTTTAAAAATAAAATCACTTTCTTGGAAAAAAAAGTGTTGGTGAGGATGTGCAGAAATTAGAACCTTCTTACAATGCTGGTGCAAATGTAAAATTGCACAACCACTATGGAAAATAGTCTGGCAGTTCCTCAAATGGTTAAACAGTGAGTTACTATATGACCCACCAATCCCACTCCTAGAGATCTACCTACCAAAATGAAAATATGTATACACACAAAAACTTGTACACAAATGTTCATAGCAGCATTATTCAAAATAGCCAAAAATAGAAACAATCCCAATGTCCATCAATTTCTAAATATATATTCTATTGTTTATGTTTGAGATTTACAACACGATGTCATGGAATACAAAGAAAGAGTAAAATGACTGTGACAGTGGAGCAAACTAATATATCTATCATCTTACATAGTTACTTTTTTTGTGACAAGAATACTTAAAATCTACTTTTTCTCTCTTTTTTTTTTTTTTCTTGAGACAGAGTCTTGCTCTTTCATCCAGGCTGGAATGCAGTGGCGCAATCATGGCTCACTGCAGCCTCAATCTTCCTACCTCAGCCTCCTGAGTGCTGGGACAACAGGTGTGTGCCACCATGCCCAGCTAATTTTTCATATTTTTATAGAGACAAGATTTGCCATGATTCCCAGGCTAGCCTCAAACTCTTGGTTTCAAGCCATCTGCCCACCTTGGCCTCCCAAAGTGCTGGGATTACAGGTGTGAACCAACACGCCCAGCCAAAATCTACTTATTTAATAAAAATCTTTAACAAAATAAAATTTTATTAACCTTGGGCCTCATGTTTTACATTCGATATCTAAACCTGTTCATACATACCTTCCATTTTGTATCCTTTAACGTACATCTCCTATTTCCTCTTCCCTCTCACTGCTGTGGTAAACACTGTTTTATTCTATATCTCTGTGTATCGGAGCTCTTTCTTTATTTTTAGATTCCACATACAGGAGAGATTATGTAATATTTTTCTTTCCGTGTCTGTCTTATTTCACTTATCAGAATGGCATCTAGGTTCATCTACACTGTCCCAAATGGCAGGATCTCCTTTTTTAAGGGGGAATAATATTCCATGGTGTGTATACATACATACATACACACAAACACACACACACACACACGCCACAATTTTCTTTATCCATTTGTCTGTTAGTGGCAAATGTCCATCATTTGATAAGTGGATAAATAAAATGTGGTAGAGCCAAACAGAATAATATTCAACAATAAAAAGAAATACAGTACTGACATGCTGTAACATGGATGAACCTTGAAAATATGTTGAGTGAAAGAAGCTACTTACAAAAGACAACACATCATATGATTTTGTTTATAAGAAATGTCCAGAATAAGTAAATCCACAGAGACAGAAAGTAGACTCATGGTTGCCTAGGGCTAGGAGAAATGTGGAATATGGAGATTAGGGGGTGACATCTAAACGGTATGGAGTTTTGTGGGGAGTTAAAAGTGTCCTAAAATTGATTGTGATGATGGTGGCATAACTCTCTGAATATACTTAAACTCATTAAATTATATACATTAAATGAATGAATTGTATGCTTTGTGAATTATATCTCAATAAAATTGCTTTTTAAAAAAGATTATTTCTTATTGGAGCCATTATTCTGTATTAAGACAGAAAGAAGTAAGAAAATTAAGGCAAATGATGGTGGCTGGGATAAAAAGTGATGAGAAAGCTCAATGGAAAAGATATGAAAAAGAGAATGCAGGAACATTAATTATTTTCCTTTGAAAATGACAAACTCATAGCGTAATGATAAATAAAACTACTACTTTCAATGCCCACATTTTTCAAAGGAAACAAGCCCGGGAGTAACCAAAGAGCATGAGACTTGGGAAGAGTCTTGAGACTACTTTTGTGAGCCATGTATTAAATTGCCAGAGGCTCTGTTTCTTCAATATAAAATGAAGTCCTACAACCCCTATATCATAAAATGTCCAAATTCACACTAGGTACTTATATTAATTAGGGTTCTCTAGAGGGACAGAAGAGGAAAGATGTATGTATGAAGGGAAGTTTATTAACGAGTCTTGACTCACACGATCACAAGGTGAAGCCCCACAATAGGCCATATGCAAACTAAGGAGCAAGGAAGCCAGTCTGAGTCCCAAAACCTCAAAAGTAGGGAAGCCGACAGTGTAGCCTTCATCCGTGGCCAAAAGACTGAGGGCCCCTGGAAAACCACTGGTTTAAGTCCAAGAGCTCAAAAGCTGAAGAACTTGGAGTCTGATGTTCGAGGGCAGGAAGCATCCAGCATGGGAGAAAGATGAAGACTGGAAGACTCAGCAAGTCAAGTCCTTCCAACTTCTTCTGCCGGCTTTACTCTAGTCATGCTGGCAGCTGAATAAATGCTACACTCCCAGTTTGAGGGTGGGCCTGCCTCTCCCAGTCCACTGACTCAAATGTTAATCTCTTTTGGCAAAACCCTCAGAGATGCACCCAAGAACAATACTCTGCATCCTTCAATCCAATCAAGTTGACACTCAATATTAACAATTACAGAACCCAAGAAATAGTAGCTGTAATTTTTTAAAAGCAATTCAGCCCTAAAAACAAACTTGTAAATTCCCAAATCAATACATCAACAGCATTAAGGAAGGGACAAATTTCTCTTTACCAATTCCAGACAGCCAGACTAAATTCTTGCCTTTATGGTCAGCCAAGATTCCTACAACCTTCCCTCTCTGTTGTTTGTTCAGCAAAGTAGCACTAAAGAAACCCATATTGAAAACACAATCTTTACCTTGAAAGAGTTGGAAGGTAGACAGAATCCACTCTTTTAATCTTTGATTGATGTCTAGGATAAATAATTAAGCAGCAATAATTCTAAACTTAATCTGATGCAAGCAAAGACAAAAGAATTTCATGATTATAACTTTCAAGATGAAAGAGTTCATTTTCAAACCTAAGGGTGAAAAAAGCACTACTTATTTTACAAAGGCAAAGTTGGGAAAGCCCTACAAAATCCAATTCTGGGTACTTTTCCAACTAAGGTATTTTCTTAAAGATAGAGTTATTCAATTTATTCTCTTATCTTTATTAATTTGTTTTATTTTACCAAATTAGGCTGTCTTTCTATATACCTAATTATATTTGATAGTCAAGGATCTAAACAGTAACAGATAGACAAATCATTACCAAATGCCACCAGGAAATGGATTTATAACTATGCTGAATGTTTTCCTTCTTGAAACCTTGACTACATCACGCTTCACACATGATATCAATTAGAAAACAAAATAACTGGCTTCACAGAATGCGAGCTGACCTCTGTGAATAGCACTCTGGACACAAAACAAAAGATGAGCCCCCAGTTAGTAAATGTGGCCTGGCAAGAGCTGGTGAATACCAAGTATACTTTATGACTGTAACACACATCACAGGACATAGCAGCAGCTTCACAAATAATGAACACACACACACACACACACACACACACACACACACACGCAAAGCTTGAAAAGCCTTAAACAAAACAGAAAGATATATTACTACCATCATCAAGCCTCAAAGGAAAATAGATTACATCTACTTATTTAAACACACAGCTATTCATTACCAAACATTAAAAAAAAATTATCACCAAAATTAATAGTAATGCAGTCATTTTCAACAAATTCCACAATTCTGGACATTGGTAATATCTATAAAGAAAACTGGTATATAACACTTAGTAAGCATCAATAAAATAGTTTGCTTTAGTAAGCATCGATAAAATAATTTACTTTCTAGACAAGAATGAACAGACGAAAAACAAGAGGTAAGAAAATAAGCATTCTTTTTCTAATAAAATGAACTTAACTAATTAGTGGTAGTGCTTTATTATTAATACCTATGTGAGCAGATATTACACTAGGTCTTTTTTGTGTATAATCTTATTTTATCCTCATTTGAAGGAACAAAGTTTCAGAGAAGCTAACTAAATTAGTCAAAGGACACATAGAACAACTGATATATATTATGTACACTAGTGCCTAAAAATTTATCTTCAGTACTAACCACAGTTAATGATGATGTCTTAGAGAAATGGAATGAGGAAAGTCAGTGCCAAACTCAGGGTATTTCTTATGAATTAAAAAGCATTGATAAACTGTACAGCCTTATAGTAACAGGAGGGGATGGGCAGAGAAAACAATGGAATCATAAAAGCAATAAGGCTAAATTACTATTTATTATAAGAAAAAATGTTAATTTCAGAAATTAGTTGATGCCTGTTAGGAAAAAATAATGAAAAGGAAATACAACAAAACAGTAAAAATGGTCACCTTTTGGTGGTGAAAGTTTAGAATTCTTTCTTCTCTCAAAACTGGTTTAAAAATAGATTTCAGGATTACTTATTATGAAAGTAATATAACTATTAAAGAGATATTTCCCAATCTCAGATGACTGACAGAAGCAGTAAAATCAAATGTCCTTGGGCATGTGTGGTATTCTCCTGCTATAATAGCCCCTTGCCATTAAGTTCTAACAACTTTTCCAAATATTGGGCACAGGATGTGAAAGCATTGTCCTTACCACACATCAGTTTTTAAACAGCAATGATGTTCACTGCCTGCTGAAATGAGTGTTCACCAAAAATAATAGAAGTGTATTCTCATACCAAGATCCGGCGTAAATATCTAACCTCTCTCTGGGGTCTATCTTCCTCATCTGTAAAATGGTGTTAATCCCTATACTGCAGAGTTGTTAAGAAAAATACATAAAAAGTGCTTAGCCCAAGGACACGAGCATAACGCTCAATATGGCTGTCACTTATATTATCAGATCATTATATTCATTACTATCATTATCAACCATAACTGACCATAACCTTAAGGTGGGAGAATTCTACTTAGTCTCATTCACTAAAAAACTACAATTGGGTATATATGTTCACTAAGTCAAAACCTTTGGTTAGGTCAATGAATGATCTTTGGTGCAATTACCACATTTCTCTAAAACATTTCTCTAAAACAGTAGATTCTCTCTGCTGTGTTATAATTCTGGGAACAGTCTGAAGTTCAGAAAATGATTTACAAGTTTAGTTCTAACATTTACCCACCCTACTCAGTCTAATCACCAGGAATGAATGGTTCTTTCCCAATCTTTTAGCTATAAAAGTGCCACTGGCCAACGACAATTTCTTCACCTCACCTGTTTCTAAAGCTCTCTAATCACAAAATTAAGAAGCAACTATATTCTAGAGTTCTCCTATAGGCATAACTTTCCCTTTTGTTTTAACAAAAATAAATAAGAAGAAAGAAAAATCTTAAGTCTGGTTTTCTTTGATCTCTAGAGAATGCCTACATGACTGGATGTTTCAAGATTCCCTTCTAGAAAGAATTTGTAAAGTAGGTCTTGCTTCACTTTTCCAAGAAAAAATTCACTGGGAATGAACACTCAGACTTCAGTTATTTGAATCTAATCTTACATTCTTGTACCCACTCTGCCTTATAAAAGATTTTCTTCAAAATTATCCAAAGCAATTTAAAAATGCCTACCTCAGCTTGACAGAGTGCATGAAGACCCTGTAATACCAAGGCTGCTGGAGTAGCTTGATCAGGCTTGGTGCATTCATTCAACACTTGAGAAATAGCTGCCAACATATCTGCACCATGTTGATATGGCCTACAAGAAATGAAAGTTTAAAAGCAAAATTAATGCTAAAGTGCAGTTATCACTCCCAGATCTTTTGCCTAAACAAAAAGCATCCATCATTTTCTATACTCTTGTGCCACTAAATGGTGACCCTCAAATATTAACACCATGTTTTTTCTTCAAAAATGTGCATCATGATCATTTTCTGCTATAATTTTATGCTCGTTTTTATATAGAAATAACCCAAAAAGACACTTTTTAACAAATTTCATTCACTCTAAATCACAAATCCTATTGTCTGAATTGAGAAAAACTCAAGGCTGTAATAATGGTAAAAAGAACTGAATTACCTAATTGAGATTAGTAAAGATAGAGCTATTCTGGCCTGATAGTATCAGATACTCATTACAAAAGCAGGAATTTGAAAACAGAAGATGATTTGTGGTAGTAGCAATACTAACTAGGGTGGTTACACCTATCATAATGATGATAAGGATAAAAATTATAAAAACTATAACCGACTGAGCTCCTATCTCATGCCAGGCACTGTGCTAAATTCATTCACTCATCCTCCTCCCCTTCCTCTCCTTTCTAATCCACATATATTGTGCTATCCCCAGAATACCATTAATTTCATGGTTATGCAAGTCTATTCCCTGAATTCCTTGTTTCCTTTCAATAATATCTTTTCTTTTATTAACAAAATGTAAATTGATGAAATTGCCTGTCAGAAATCTATTGTTTCACTGTCCCACAAGTGGAAATAATTTTCCAAAATGAAAAAATTTGACAGATCTGGAGGTAGTAACTGAAAGGAATACTAAATAAGTTAGCAGTAGACTGATCTGGTCTGATATTCAGTCTATCCTGAGCCTCAGCTTTAATTATATAGAATAAGAATGTCAGCCAATAACTTTTATCTCTGAATTTTTTTCCATGCCAATAGCTCAGTAAAATTCAAACTCCCAATTCTTGGGTTACACACATGTAACTCCTTTTTTTTTTTTTTTTTTTTTTTTTTTAGTAACTTTTACATTGAGGTCATTTTTGTGTTGCTAAAGATGGAAGCTTAGAAAAGAGGTAAAAATGCTAGGGCTTAGCTTCTGTATATTCTGATCCAAATTTTACTTGAAACAGGAATCATCCATGTTATCAGCATCTGGGCCAACCCACTGCACAGCTTCAGAGAGTAGCATTCACACTGCTGTCATTAACAAAAGTGAGAATGACGTTACCAGGAATTCAACGCAGTGGCTGATCAACAAATGAAACTGCAGGACTACAGTTTCAAATGCATCAAGTCCATTTCTTCTGTAAACATTTTTATCTTACCACATGCAAGAAAAAAAAATTTGGATATGGTAGAGCTTGACTTGTATTATTTCAGTCTTGTCACCTCCACCCTGTTTATTAATCCATAATCTAGAACAGCAGAGTCATCTTCCTAATTTCTTTATGTTTTCCTAAAAGCTTACAGCATACATAAAAATTCATCATCATTTTCTTCCTTGTTATAATTACAAATAATTCCATTTCCAAAAATAAGGTCTCCCCATTAAAACTACTTATCTCCCTACTTAAACAAAGGGAGAATATAAGAAAGAATAGTTTATGACAACAGTCTACTGTGTAGTTTTCAGGGATTCATATACAGAAAAATAGAAAACATAACATCACATGTTTTACTGCAATATTAAATTATTAATCAGAAAACGATATAAATATCCTACGAACCTAGATACAAGACTAGTCCTGAAAAGAAAAGACATACTTCTCAAAGCTATTGTTCAATATTATTACATTTTATAATCAGAAAACTTAAGTTAAAAAATTATTAGTACTTATATATCCTCTGCCTATCTTTTCTTGCCTCTTGCTTGCAATTAAAAAATTAAATACAAAATAATATATCATGATATACATTCCTAAGAGTTAATGACATCATACCTCTGCTTACATATATCTCTGATTGATGCTGCTTTTGCAATCAGTTTCTCCCATTGGACTTCCTTGCCCACCGAAAGAGAAGGTACATCAGACACAGCCATGAAACGCTGCAGTTCAGGATAGACTCGGTCCTACGAAGGCAATTTTACAAAAAAGGTAGTTTCCCAACTTGAGTTGAATAATCATTATCTTCCTTTTACTCAGCATTTTCACCTCCAAATCCTCCATTTGCATTGCAAATTATACTGTCGTTCTTCTAATCAGCAGAGAAGATTGCTATAGTGATTACTGGGGATTTTCTTATACACCAATGTACTGTTGATTTCATAAAACAAGAAGAAAGTGGCTAAATCTCACCCTAATTACAAAGGCTCTAATCATTTATAACTATATTTCCATTACTTTCTCAAGCAAATGGAAAGATACATTTCAGAAATAAAGAAATGAGATTTTATATTCTCAATTTCTCTGAAAGTTAACTAACTGCATTACAAATGCATCACAATAAATCAAAACTTTTTCAATGCAATCACTGATGCCACTCATTAATACCACTAAACCAAAGCATTGCCATATATGACATAATTATTTTCCTTCAGTGAAAGGAACATATTTAATACTCATGCAAGTGTATATCTGAAATTACCTGCTTTTCCCACAAAGATGTCAGCAAGCGCAAAGTGACAGCTCTTAGTCGTGGTGTGGTTCCAAGTAGTTGTATTATTCGTAGAATTTGTCCTATACACACCTAGAAAATATTGAAGAAACTCTAGTTGCATAAACTTGAATGCAGACAACCTCGAGGTTACCAAAAGCATTTTTAAACCCCTTGTTATAAAATGAAGACTGAGAAGAAAGCTTGCTGCAATATTACCCACCTTCTTAGAGGATGAAAAATAGCGTTGGAGGGGCTAGATAACAATCCTGGGGACATAAGGACCTAATCTCAGAGAATAGCCAAAGTGAAAACTTAGATACTAAGTAATTTAAAACAATTAATTATTAAATATTGTAATAAATACTTTTGTCTTTAGATATTACCTCCTAGCTCAACAAGAGAAGTAGTGACTATGGCAAAATTTAGGGCTTAAAATTTCATAATACCAAAAAGAATTCAAAGTATTATTCATGACTCACTTTTTTCGCCAACTAAATTAATTAACATACTAACCTTGTGAACACCAAGCTTAGGTAAAGTATACAATATATCATTATATAATATAGGTTCCAGTGGTCTTCCCAATTTGAACATCAAAACTGGAATCAGATTTGGCACCTAAAATGAATTTTTAAAATATATTAAATATGCCTTGTTACAAAAAAGTAATATATAATGGAATATTTATCTCTTTTTTTCCAGAGGAATAATATGAATATGAATGAATTGGAAGACTTAGAATATATCAGTTAGCTATTACTTGCTAATGATAATTTCATAGTGTCACTAGTATTCTACCACTTATAATTAGCTGCCAAACACCAATCGAAAAGTGCTTTTATTGAATAACTATAACATCACTTCTGAGAAATACAATAGTAGTTAAGATACACCCTGCCTTGCCAAGCATGGTGGCTCACACCTGTAATCCCAGCACTTTGAGAACGCAAGGCAGGAGGATTGCTTCAGTCCAAGAGTTCAAGACCAGCCTGGGCAACACAGGAAGACCCTGTCTCTACAAAAAACTTTTAAATTAACTGGGCATGATAGTGCACACCTGTAGCCCCAGCTACTTGGGAAGGTAAGGTGGGAGGATCACTTAACACTGGGAGCTCAACGTGGCAGTGAGCCATGATTGCACCATTGCACTCCAGCCTAGATGACAGAGCAAGACCCTGTCTCAAAAAAATAAAAAGATATATCCTGCCTCAAAGAAATGTAAAGTTCTAATGAACAGCCAACACTTAAGGTATGTAAACAATAAAATTTCACATAATGAAACATTCAATTAGGTTACTCCAATAAGAAGTAACTGAAGTCAGTGTACTATAAAGGAGCCAATGGACAAAAATTTCCCTCTAAGTCCTCATTTCAATCTCTATGCATGACACAATAAAATGTGAAAAGAAATACATTCATGGATTAGAAGACATAACATTGTTAAGACATCATTATTTCCCAAATTGATCTTGAAATTAAATGCAATCTTTATCAAAATTCCAGCTGGCTTCTTTGCAAAAATTGAGAGGCTGATCATAAACGCATGTGTAAAAGCAAGGAACCCTAAATACCCTAAATAATCCTGAAAAAGAAAAACAAAGTTTGAAGACTCAAACTTCTCACTTCCAAATTTACCACAAAGCTAAAGTAATCAAAACTGTATGGTACTGGCATAAGATTAGAAAGACAAATCAATGAAATAGAATTCAGAGTCCAGAAATGAGTACTTATATTTATAATCAATTGGTTTTTGACAAGGATCCCCAGAAAAAAACAATAAGGAAAGAAGAGTCTCTCGGAGGGATAGTGCTGGAATTCAACAACTGTATATCCACATGCAAAAGAATCAAGTTGGACCCCTTTCTCATACAACATGTAAAAATTAACTCAAAATGGATTTTAGAACTAAATGTACGAGCTAAAACTATAACACTCTTAAAGAAAATATAGGATTAAGTCTTTGTAACATTGGGGTAGACTAAGCTCTTAGACATGACAACAAAAGTACAAGCCACAAAAGGAAAAATGAATTTCATCAACGTAAAAATGCTTGTCCGTCAAAAGATACCATAAAGAAAGTGAAAGGACAATGTACAGAATGGGAAAGAATATTTGCAAACCATATAGCTAATAAGAGATTTGTACCCAGACTATATAAAGAACTCTTAAAACCCAATAATTTACCCAAAAAAAAGGTTTTAAAATAGGCAAAGGATCTGAATACACCTTTCTCCAAAGATGATAAACAAATGGCCAATACAGGAAAATATGCTCAATTTCATGAGACATGATGGAATGCAAATCAAAACCATGAGATACCACCTTACACATGATGCAAAAGCTATCATCAAAAGATGGACAATAACAAGTGTTGCCGAATATGTGAAGAAATTGGAACCCTTGTACACTGCTCGTGGTAATGTAAAGTAGTTCAGTCCCTTTGGAAAACATTCTATCAATTTCTTAAATAGGTAAACATAGAATTACCATGTGATGTAGCAATTCTATTCCTAGTTATCTACTTAAGAAAAAAGAACACATATGTCCACACAAAATCTTGTAAATGAATTTTCAGAAAAGCATTATTTACAATGGCCAAAAAGTGGAAACAACCCAATGTCCATCAACTGATGAATAAACAAAATACAGTATAACCATAAAATGGGATATTATTCAGCCATAAAAATAAATAAAGTACTGATACATGCTACAACATGGATGAACCTTGAAAACATTATGCTAAGAGAAAAAAAAGCCACAAAAGGCCTCATGTTATATGATCTCATTTATATGAGCAGAATGCCCAGAACAACCCAATGCCCATCAACTGACGAATAAATAAACAAAATACAATATAACCACACAACAGGATATTATTCAGCCATAAAAATAAAGGAAGTACTGATACATGCTACAACATGGATGAACCTTGAAAACATTATGGTAAGAGAAAAAAAACAGCCACAAAAGGCTGTATGTAGAGATAGAAGGTAGATTAGTGGTTGTCTAGGATAGGGCAAGTAAGAAGCAGGGGGTGGTCAGGAAGGGTGAAACAGGCAGTGACGTCTTATGGGCATGGGGTTTCCTTCGGGGGTAATGAAATGTTCTCAAATTCGTTGTAGTAATGTTTACAAAACTCTGTAAATATAATAAAAGCCATTGAATTGTACACTTCAAATGGATGAATTACATGAGATGTAAATTATATTTTAATGGTTTTTTAAATTCAATTCAAAATTATTTGGTAAATATCTACTATAAGCAAAGCACTTACTTGATAGCACAAACTGTAATGCCAAAAAATTTTATTTGCCATATGCTATATTTCAAAAGTTTATTGTCCAGCAGTCATTCCTCAGTATCTACAGGGACTGGTTCCAGGATGGTCAGACACACAGATACGCACACCTCATTCCATGGATAGCAAAATCCAGAAATGCTCAAGCATCTTATATAAAATGGCATAGGTATTTGTATACAACCTATGCACATCCTTTCATACACTTTAAATCATTTCTACACTACTTATAATGCCTAAAACAATGTAAATGCTATGTAAATAGTTGTTGTACTATATTGTTTATTCATATTATCTTTATTGCTAAATTCTTATTTTTATTTTCTTCCCCAAATATGCTCTGTCTGCAGCTGGTGAATCCACAGATGAAAAACCAGCTAATATCAAGGGCCCACTGTATTTGTTCATTTTCTCTATCTGTTCTATTCTTAGAAAGCCTGTTCCTTCTAACCTTCGAAGACATCTATTTTAATTCAATTTCAAAAAGGAAAAAATATCCTCTTAACTTTACCACCAAGACATTGACAATTAAACATTAATTCATTAATGACCCTGACCACGATATACCACAGCAGCATGTGGAGCTGTGCATGTAATAGCTATGATCTCACAACAGACAGCCAAAATGTATGATGTTTTTAACAAGTGCAGAGACTTGATTGGAACAGGAATTCTATCACTCTCACTTTCGGCAAATGAAAGGAGACAAATTTTTGAACTGACTTTTCAGTTCCCATTTTAATTAAAAACAGAAGGTTATCTTAAATTGGCTTACAGTGATCTCAACGCATTATCCCCTTCTAGAAAGATTTCTACCAAGACACAATGACAGATTCTTAGTTTTTAGAAGGGCAATGAGTATATTTACTGACATTTTATAAACTAGTGTATTTAGTTGTGTGACTTTTAAACAAATGCTATAATTATACTGTCAGGGGAGAAATAAAGTACTGTATTTATGTCTAAGAGTACACAGTTCCTTTATGAGACTTGGCCCTAAAAAAAGCACGTAAGGGTGTGTCTTTTCCTCTGGCCAGTTCAGAAATGAAAAAAGAAGGAAATGTTTACAGTAAATAATCTTAGACTTAATACAGTTCTCAAGGCATAATAGCCCAAATTCAGTCCCCAATTAAATGGAAAAAATAAAACAGGGACTGTTTCACTAGGAAAACACAGATATAGATAGACATCTGTGGAAAATAATTTTACATAAAAGATGGACTAATTTTTTATTATTATTATTTCCTTGTGAATATGTATTTACTTGAGATGTAATTACCAGCTCTTGATCCTCCTAATCTTGAATCTTATACCCTTCAGAGGCTGAAAATACAATGAATGCTCAGATTTCGCCTTTAATATAAAAGAAGCTGGTAAGTGTCCTATAATTGACTGTCTCAAGATCTGGCTTCATATAACTCAATGCTTTCTCTTCCCTCCTCCAGCGTTTAAGTTCCTTGATAAACAAATTAATTTATAATCATGGGACTGTTAAGGGAGCCCCTATAAGACTATGACTAGATTTCTCAGCAGAAATCTTGCCAGCAAGAAGGGAGTGAAATAATATATTTAAAGTGCTGAAAGGAGTGGGCAGGGGTGGGTGGGTAGGTACTGCCAACCAAGATACTGGATACTATATCTGGTAAAACTATCCTTCAAAAACGAAGGAGAGGCCGGGTGCAGTGGCTCGTGCCTGTAATCCCAACACTTTGGGAGGCCGAGGTGTTAGGATCACCTGAGATCAGGAGTTCGAGACCAGTTGGGCCAACATGGTGAAACCCCACCTATACTAAAAAAAAAAAAAAACTACAAAAATTAGCTGGGTATGGTGGTGCATGCCTGTAATCTCAGCTACTTAGGAGGCTGAGGCATGAGAATTGCTTGAACCAGGAGGCAGAGGGTGCAGCAAGCTGAGGTTGTGCCACTGCACTCCAGCCTGGGAGACAAAGCGAGACTGTCTCAAAAAAAAAAAAAAAAACAAAAAAAAAAAAACAAAGAGAAGTAATGATATTTCCAGATAAACAAAAGCTGAGAGAGTTCATCACCACTAAACATGCCTTACAAAAAATACTAAAAGTAGTCCTGCAAGGTGAAACAGAAGGACTCCAGACAGAAACATGAGAGCATATGGAAATATAAAGTTTACTGGTAATACCTAAACAAAGAATCCTATAATATTGTAACAGTGGTGCGTGAATCACTTTTAATTCTGGTATAGGGTTTAGAAGGCAAAAGTATAAATAACTAAAAAAACCATGTAAATGGATGAACTTTATTAAAAAGATGTAATTTGTGACATTGGTAACATAAAAAGGAGGGAGAAGTAAAAGAGTAGTTTATGTATGTGATTGAAGTTTATGTAACTTGTTATCAGCTTAAAATATTGTTAGATATTGATGTAAGTCCCATGGCAACCATAAAAAAAATACACATAGAACATGCACAAAAGAAAATGAGTGGCTGGGTACGGTAGCTCATGCCTGTAATCTCAGTACTCTGGGAGGCTGAAGGTGGATGGATCACTTGAGGGCAGGAGTTCAAGACCAGCCTGGTCAACATAGTGAAATCCCATCTCTACTAAAAACACAGAAATTAGCTGGGCATTGGTGGCACATATATGTAATCCCAGCTACTTGGGAGGCTGAGGCAGGAGAATCACTTGAACCTGGGAGGCGGAAGTTCCAGTGAGCCAAGATCGTGCCACTATACTCCAGCCTGGGCGACAGAGTGAGACTTCATCTCAGAAAAAAAAAAGAAAAAAAGAAAAAAGAAAAGAAAATGAGTGATGAATCAAAGTGTCACTATCAAATCAATGAAACATAAAAGAAGACAGCAAGAGAAGAAACAAGGGACCAAAAAAATGCTATAAGACAGACAAAAGCAATTAACAAAATGGCAATAGTAAGTCCTTTCCTACCACTAAGTACTTTCAATGTAAATGGATTAAACTGCTCAATCAAAGACATACAGTGGATTCCGAAAACCCAAACAAGATCCCACTATAATAACGTCTACAAAAGACTCACTTTAGATTTAAGGACACACACAGGCTGAAAGTGAGAAGATATTTAATACAAATGGTAACCAAAAGACAGCAAGGTTGTCCATATAAAAAATCGTCACAAGAGAGAAAGAAGGACATTATATAATGATAAATGGGTCAATTCACCAGGACAATACGATAATTATATATATGCAACCAACATCATAGCACCCAGATATATAAAGCAAACATTGACAGAACCAAAGGGGAAAATGGAAAGCAATACAGTAATAGTAGATGATTTCAATATCCTATTTTAAATAATGGATAGAACATCCAGACAGAAGATCAATAAGAAAACAGAGCACTTCAACAACACTGTAGACCAAATGGTCCTAACAAACTCACATAGAACGTTCTACCCAACAGCAACAGCATGTTCTCTCTCAGGTGCACACCGAACATTCTCTAGGATGGACCACGTGTGAGATCACAAAACAAGTCTTAACAAATTTAAGACTGAAATCACACTAAGTACCCTTTCCAACCACAAATTAGAACCATAATGAGATGTCACCTCATACCTGGTGGGATTAACATTATTTAAAAAATCAGAAGTATTGACAAGGATGTGAAGAAATTAGAACATCTGTGCACTGTTGGTGGGAATGTAAAAAAGGTGTGGCCACTATGGGTAACAGCATGAAGGTTCCTCAAAAAAAATTTTTTTTAATCTACTCTATGATCGATCTTGAGGTTGTTTATGCAAAAGAACTGAAATCAGGATTTTGAGGAAATATTCACATTCCCACATTCATTTCTGCTTTATTCATAATACTCAAGAGATGGAAACAACCTAAATGTCCATCCCGGGATGAATGGATAAACACAGTGTGGTATATGCATACAATGGAATATTATTTAGTCTTTAAAAAGAAAAATTCTATCATATACTACAACTTAGATGAACCTTGAGGACACAATGCTAAGTGAAATAAGCCACGGAAGGACGAATACTGCATTATTCCACTTATATGAAGTATCTAAAGTGGTCAAACTCTTAGAGCAGAAAGTAGAATGGTGGTTGCCAGACAGTTGGGGAGGGAGAAGTGGGGAGCTACTGTTCAATGAGTATAGAGTTTCAGTCATGCAAAATAAAAAAAGTTCTAGAGATCCACCGTACAAAAATATTCATATACTTAACAATACTGTACAGTACAATTAGAATTTTTTAAGGTAGATTTCATGTTATGTGTTTACCATACACAAAAAATCCTGGGATTGTTTTTTAAGAGTCAGAAGATATCTTATCAACTTCATTTAGCTTAACAACTTTATTTTACCGAAGATTAAACTGAGGCCCAAAAAGACCACAAAGTTAGATGATGGCAAAATGTGGATAGGAGTTTATGTCTCAGTTCACTCCTCCATTCTACCTTGGCAGAGTAACAGCAAACATAAGATTCCAAGCCATCTATAACAGAAACAAAGAGCCATCATGCAAGTCTTCACCCCATAAATTGGACAAAACATAAAGAAAAAAACACGCAGGAGAGACACAAACCAGCATCTCAGTGAAATCAAGCATATAAAAAACAGAGTACAAAAATTCAACTCTGGATTCAGAAAAAAACATACACGTTGGCAACACTTCATGAGGCTGCAAAAAAAGAGCATAATTTTTCAGACAGTTCTATAACGAAAATCTTAAGTAGTGTTATCTACTTATAAATTATGAGAAATAAAAAAGGGCTTTGTTACTATTCATCATGGTTAGAAGATGAGACAATACATAATGTTTATAACTATTCCTTTTTAAAAAAATATGATAGCTCATACTTTATTACTATATGAGATATATAGTAATAAATTAGTATAAATAGAAAAAGTTATCAGTGGAATGAAATAATTCAAGATATGATCAGCCAATGAAAGTGAGAGGCAAAACTCCAAAGCAGTGTCTGCTTTTAACTTTTCAGAGTCATGTTTTATAAAACTAGACCTGAATTACAAAAGTGTATTCTTAGTTCACATTTTACTCATAGCCTTAGATTCAACAAATGCTGACTCACTCAACTTTGCATAAGCCCTTGTCCTGAGGAAAAATTGATCTAAATTCTATATATACAAGTGTGTTTGCCATTTTTAAAAGAATGGTAAGATAATAGTGTGTATTCAGTTAAATTGAAAAGATAAAACATAAAATATAAGAATAAATATGCTTGCATGATATATACAGAAACATAATTCCTTAATAATCTTAATATTGGAAGAGACTTTTAAAACTTATTCATTCTACAAAAAATGACATGATAAGTGATTAAGCTTTTGAACATTACTTAATTCTACCTTCCTCAATTACTTGACATTTTTACTTATGATGTTTATTATTTAAATAGTCCATTGGAAAGAAGTTTATTGACAGAAGTGCTAAAAAGGTAATTACTTCCTCCACTTATAAGGAATTTGCAGGCATGTAAGCAACATCACAAAAAAAGGTAAACAGTATAATCTTACTCTTCTAAGATTCAAATTATATTTATATACTAACATTATAATTAAAGAAGTATTCTACAGTCTTGAAGTTTAACCTTTAAGAGTCAAATAAGGTCAAGGAAAGAAATGTATCTAAACTAGCAAAGGTCCCAACCAGACAATCTTTCTATAGTGATATATCACTCTAGCCTTATTCCAATCCAGCTTGAGCATCTGATCTGTAGTGATTCCTTGAATAACAACAGCTAGCATTTATTGAAGACTAACTATAACATTCTGTTAAGCACTTTGTAGAAAATCATGATTATCACCACATTTCAAACGGAAAACTGAAGCTTGTACTGAATTTCGGACTGTATCAAAGCAATCTAACACTAAAACCCATGTACTTGCCACTTAGCCCCACAAAGACAGGGATGACATCTCATAGACCTTTGTGTCCCTCGTTCCCAGCACACTGTAAATGCTTTTAGAGTATAAATTATGTCTAATTTCCTTGTCTCTTCAAATTCTATAAGCAAATGGATCTTATAATAATGTTGCAATTATTTGATTCTATGAAAAAGTATTAAAAGACTACTATCTGCCAATAAAGTTACTCCAAAATATATTCTGATCAAGTTAACTTAGAATCAGAAAAATTAGCCCATCCAATAAAGGTTACTAGGATGCCAAAAACATAAACATCATCAGAATCTGAGGTATAAATTTCCTAGTATGTAGAAAATAAGGTCAGCAATACAGGAGGTTCAAGTATGGAAAGACACAGGAAATACTGCAGACTAGAATAAGATAAAGTCAAATATCACATCACTTGAGGGGTTTGATGTAGAAGAAAATAGCCACGACCCTTCCTGGCCTAAACTTTATTTCCAGGTGAGTCTCATTAGCCATCTGACTATTATCTCTCAGAGTCAGAAAACTTATTTATTTAGAAAACAGTATAAGAAAAACTTAAATCATGATGTAATGGTTGGCTACATTACCAATATGTAACTACCAGCAGGGAAAAAAGGAATATAATCAACAGTTATATCCATTGCTAACATTCTGAAACTTACATAAATGATAACTATAGTGACTGAATTCCTGTATCCATAGAATTTCCTTCTTGGACAAAAGTAGCTACACATTTCTGCCACGTGAGCTCTAAATCTTTGGCAGTCTGACTAGTCAAATAAAAGTTAAAAGCCAATGTCCTATAAGTAAAGTATAATGTATAATTAGGTGCAATTTCTACTACTATGTCTGTCATTGGTAATGTGTTTTACACCAGAGTTAGAAGGAGGAGTTTGAAATCTCTCCAACAATTAGATATTATTAAATATAGCTCATCTAGGTAAGCAACTATGTAACTAAGCTAGATAGATTCAATATTTTGGGGTTTAATAAAATAGCAGATTTCCCAAAGAACCCATACATGTTGCCATCATTCAATGCTGAAGGAATTCAGTACACCCTGTGTGACTTCACTGGGAAAGGACTCTAGGAAGTTTGCACTTGATGTCTTCTTGACTTTGCCTCATGAACCTTTTCCTTTGTTAATTTTGCTTTCTATCCTTTCACTGTAATAAATCTTAAGCATGGTTACAGCTCTATGCTGAGTCTTGTGAGTTCTTTTAGAGAATAACTAAACGTGTTAGTCATCTTTGGGACCCCCAAACCAGGATCATTCCACATTTTGCTTTAAAAGAAAGTGGCAATTAAGAAAACAATGGTTTTTAGGATTTCTAAAAAGAATAACTTCTAGAGTATTCCAGCATCAATAATAAACAGAAAACTCTCTTATGAGTTACATATCCAGCCATCAAAAATATGTGAGGGCCAAATCTACACTGAGATTGTGTTAAGCTTTGATGACACAACTGACAAAAGACAGTCCCCCATCTCAAGTGGTTCACAGCCTAGTTAAGAAACTCACAACTATAATCTCAAGCACTATTAACTGAATAACTTGAACTCAACTTTAAAGATTAAAAGTATAAAAATCGTTTCTATAGACAAAAAGTAAGACAAAAGAACAAGGAAACATTTTAAGATAGTCTTTGAGGTATACAAAATAAACAGCATAGATAATGATTGATTTTCATTGTTCAGAAGAAGAGAGAGATTCTAGAGCTAGGTTGCCCAATACAGTAGCCACTAGCCACATTTGGCTATTTTAATTTGATTGATCAATTGAATTAAATTAATCAATTTGATTAATTTAAATTTGAATTTAAATTAACTAAAATTAAATACGATTAAAACTTCTGTTCCTCAGTCACACTAGCCAAATTTCAAGGGCTTAATAGTTACATGTGACTAGTGGTTACCACATAAAACTGCACAAATTATAGATCATTCACATGATAGCAGAAAGTTCTTTTGGACAAAGCTGTTCTAAAAGGCTGAGATGACTGAGAAGGCCTCAGATGCATGCAACAACAACAAAACCTTGGAAAACTTAAATGTCTATCAATAGGGAAACAGTTACATACATTAAATTGTTGATATGCTGTGAACACCGGCAGCCTCCAAAAACCATGAGTTAGATCTGCATAAATGTGGTAAAATGGCCATAACATCTTGATAAGTGAAAAAACTACAAAGAAACATGTGCAACGTAATGCTTTTGTGTACATTTCTGTGTATACATTTTTTGGGGGAATATATGAATACTGTACATACTATTTCATTGCTTGGATATTTTACATATTACTATTATATGTTACAGATTTAAAGAATGTTACTTCAGTAAAATAAAATGTTATTTTACTAAAAATTACTTTCAGCAAAAATGATAGGACTAAAGTGGATGTTAAATGTCCAAAGGACATAGAACTAGTAGGTAGCAGAGTAGGAAGTAGCTAAGCCGGCCACAGCACCCAGCAAAGGCTCAGTGGAAGAATGAGACAGAGGACAGATTTTCTGCCCAAAGATGACAGTCGATGCCAGGAGAGAAAGTCTAATCATGCTTCTCCCCTGCCTTCCCGATCAGCTTATTTTTCAAGGCACATCTATTCCCTCCTCCTGCTCACTGAACCTCGTGTATGTTCCTCCTTTTTTCAACCTGATAGTTCAACTATTGACACACAGAAAATATTCACACCCATAAAATATAATCTTTAAGGATAATAAGGTAATTGTCTGCCCCTTTCTAGGCAAAGAATACTCGAAGTACTGTTTGTCACTCTAACTTTATGCACACCTTTATTCCAGTATACTTAGGGTCACAGTTATTCATTCTCACACACACTAGCCTGTGAATGCCTTACAGGTGGCAAACCTGCCCCTATTCTTCTTGTATTTACCCAGGACTATAAATATAACAAGAACTCAGTAAACGTGAGCTGAGCTGAACTGAACTTACCAATAACTGAAAAAGGAAGAAAAGGTTAACAAAGTATAGGTATTGAGGCTGGCTACTTCTGCCACCAAAGACACCTGTCAGACATTCCATCGCGCTCTTAGTATCACCATGAAAACCCCATTTGAAAAACTCCTGTTCTTAATCGTTTCAGGTTTCTGTTCCACTGCAGAATCTGTGAGACTATTTCCAGCTAAGTAAAACCAATAAGGAGTATTTCGTTCTTTCTTTTTTTTTTTCTTAGACGGAGTCTCACTCTGTCGCCCTAGAATACAGTGGCGCCATCTCAGTTCACTACAACCTTGGCCTCCTGGGTTCAAGCGATTCTCATGCCTCAGCCTCACAAGTAGCTGGAATTACAGGTGTGCACCACCATGCCTAGCTAATTTTTTCTATTTTTATTAGAGACAGGGTTTCACTGTGTCGGCCAGGCTGGTCTCAAACTCCTGGCCTCGAGTGATCCGCCCACCTTCACCTCCCAAAGTGCTGGGATTGCAGGCGTGAACCACCACACCCAGCCTAAGACTACTTCTAAATACATATTTACATTTATATTGAAAAAGTGAGCATTGGGAATTTGTACTACCTTTACTGTTCAACATAGTAGCCACTAGCTTTATATGGCCACTGAGCATTTGAAATGTAGCTACTCTGAATCAAGATGTACAGTGGGTGTAAAATACATACCAGATTTGGGAGGCTTAGCACAAATACATATATATAACATACTTCAGTAATAATTTTTATGCTAATTACATAGTGAAATAATACTTCAGATATACTGGGTTAAACAAAACATGTTGAAATTAATTTCACCTATTTGTGTTCACTTTTTAATGTGGCTGCCAGAAAACTTAAACCTACGTATGTAGCTCATATTTTACTTCTATTGAACAGCACTATTCTCTGTCTCCTTTTTGCATCTAAATGTTGTTTAAAACAGGCGCGTGCACACACACACAGATAATAATTAATGTCTCTTTTTTGATGCACTTGGAGAATAAAATATGATGATAGCCCCAGAGGGGCAAGGAACATGTCATCTAGCTAAACAGTCTAGCACCGCTCCTGGAATATACAGTAGCAGATAAGTAATTGTGAAATGAACTTAAAAAGCTATAAAAATCAACTATAATTTTAATAATACATAACTTTCATCAAACACTGACTATAAACCAGTATTATACTCTGGATTATATCATTTAATCCACATGATGAATTTAATGAGGTGGGTTGTTTTGTTATTTTCATTTTAAAGACAGGAAAACATACTTGTAGAATTATAACAGAATCTCTTAATATATTTTGAAATATTACAAGAAATAAACCAATTCAATTTAATCTATGCAGAAGGTTTACACAACTTTCTTTAAACAATAAATCTTTCTTGAATGCCTGTTATCGTACGTTATTATACTGGGTGCTATGACACTAAGAGAAATCCCAGGTTAGTGCAACCAAAATATTAACAAGTATAGGCTAAATCCTGTTACAAATAAATTCCACTATAATCATACCATCTATTACCAAAATATTAATAAACCTAATAGCTAATAATCTAGTAACAGAAAATGCTTGAATTTAGATGATTATTAATAGATGGAATTCGATGTAAAAAACTAGCATTTGCATGGTACTTTACAATGTTTTTTCATGTACAGGATCTTTAAGTCCTTACAATGCCCCCGAGGGAAAGGTATTATTAAAGGTTGGGTGGGATCTTACAAGTACTTAGATTCATTATTTGATCTATGGATGCCCCTTATCAAGTTTTAATTCTTGTTCTGTAGCTTGTCTTATGGCTACTGCCTAGAATTTTTGAGGGGGAAGGGAGGAATTTTCGACAAGCCGCCTACAAAATTAGTTCTGGGTTCCAGATTCCTAGCATCTTCAGAAATAACAACCTTGGGCTGAACAAAGCATGCAGGTATAATTTTAAAATGTCTAAGAGGCCGAAAGAGGCAGGCTCCAAAAACTTGCCATTTGAGAAGGCAGGAAGCATTCAAATTTAAAATAATACTTCATATAGAATAATTTAAATAGTACCCATCAGCACTAAGTCATCTATATTAGGCTTCTTTCTGAAAACATATTTACTAGGGCTCAAATCTTGGACTACCTTGAAAAATAAAGCAATATTTGGTACACACTAAATGGTCAACTTAATTTTTAATGAGTAAATGACATGGCAAGAGTGGTCCAGGTGCTTGTAAATGCTAAATGTCTGGGTACGTCTTCATTGGCTTTTGAACAGTTTCAAAGAGCAGACATGAGGATTCATTAGCTCTTAGCACATATGAACCTGCTCCAAAGGCAGCCAAGAGAGTTGCCTAGCAACAGTGCATTTTGCATCTCTCATCATCCCCAAAGATGCTGCTGCAGCAGCAGCTAGGTCAAGCCTCTCATTAGCAACCTGACAAAGGGTTTCTATCTCCTATTTTACAAAATTATTTTTATTTCCAGGTGAAGCTCAAATATCTATGTATTATTCTTTCTGACAACGTATCCCCTTTCCCCTATTCCTTCGTCTTCCCAACCCCCATTTCAACAGATATGTTTTAATGAACCCATCAAGATACCTGTAACAAAAGCAGACAATGAGAAATCTAACAGAATTTATATGCTTATTCACATCACTGTTAACAGTTCCATATCTTTTGGGCAATAAAATAAGAAAGCTTTAGAAGAAATGGGGGAAAGATGCTGAAATCAAATAATGGAAGGAAGAGAAAGTCAGGTATTTGACCTGAAAATTAACAAAAAAAAAATTATCCAAATTATTTGCAATGTTATTGCTGATCACTTTGTTTCTTCCTAGTCCCCACAAAAACAAATCCCAACCATACAGCACAATAGCAAAAAGGCAGAAAATTCCAGAGTGGTATTAAACTATAACAAATGGATTGACAGCTTATAATGAATATAATCCATTGGAAAGGAACTCTGGTTCCCACTTGAATAACTGTGTTATAAAGCTTCACCTCAGATCAATAGTTATTCATTCACTTCTGAAAATATTTCTTAAAATATTTACTGTTCAGTATGGTTGCCATGCAGAACTAAAAATATATATTCACCTAATCCTCCGTACATGCATTCAAAGACCCTTAAAAGAAAATAAACAAAATAAGCAGATAGACTTTTCACTTCATGTACCTTAAAGTGCTTAATCTTGATTTCGACATAAACCACAACCACCCTGGTGTCTGGGCTTTCATGCTATCGTGAATTTCCCTGCGGAAACTATTACAGAACATGCATGACATGTTACAAAAGATAAAGTGCGGTCCTAATAGGCACAGATTAAGAAGGGTGTAATGGGAAACATTTAAGGGCAATTGTTAGCAAACCAAATCAAATTAGGTAAATTTTTTTAAGTGATCTGAAAAGAATAATGTGATTTTTCCCTGTGACCCCCACCCCCCGCCACTGATTTTTTTTTCCTACATGCAAGCAGCAAAGAATGAATCTTCAGAAGGATTTCCCGGAAGGGTGTCATTTACCGCTAAAATATTTCATTCCAGCAGTTGAAAGACCATAAAAGGGTGAATGTCCTCCAGAGTCTCTAATAACGGTAATAGATCTTGTGTTACTATTCACCAGTGACCTCTCAATCAGGCGATTTAATTTTTCCCCCTGAAGCATGGTTGGTTTCACACACAGTGTAATAACACTTTTTGCACAACAAGACAATTCATCCGATTAGAAGGACTGTATTAAGTCTTTCATGAACAGCATGTGTCACTATAGCTTCAGCCAGGGTTTGATCTAAGACAACCTAATATATGCATGCATGATTCTTCATTTTTCTACTGTTTTAAAAATGATTCCAGGACTTTCCTCAGCAATTTTGCAGACCATTGTCTGAACCCTCCCCGGCTTCAAAAAGTAACTAGGAACTCATCAAATGTTCACTGAGTGCTTTAAAACAGGCACCAAAAATTCTCTATCAAGCTAGTGAAATTCCACTGTTGTCTCAAAGGGGAAAAACATGAAAAGGAACAGAATGGGCATACTTGATTATAGCAAATACTTTTTTGCTTCATGATATTTCATCAATTTATCATTAATGGTAAAGACAATATGATGTCACCAAGGAAAGCTTAAGCTAAAGTGAATTTTGAGACTTCTACTTGTAAACCTCAGGAACACACAAAAAAAATTTAAAGTGGAAACCAAAGGAAAAGGTGTGAATCGAACCCACCTTCTGGCAATCTCTACTACAGAAAATGGTTCGGCATTATCAATCAATGCCCACTGAAGCCTAAACTTGAGATTATCTCCACATGTCTTACTCCCACACTGAGGAGATTAGGAAGGTTAAATTCAGAATCTCTGTGGCAAAGGGCCACAAAGTTAACTGACAGAATTCTCAGGGGTCCCCTTAACCTTACAACCTTTAATTGATGCTGCTAGGCTTGACTTCTCCACACCACTTCCATCTCTGAATCTGCTCACCATAGGGAGCAATGTCAGCACTCCTTCAACACTGAGTTAGGGTGTCTTCACCTCGAACAGGTCCCAAGGGGATTAACCTACTGCTCCATAGCAAGGAGCCCAAGTCTGCAAGATTAAGTTCTCTTTAGACTCTTGATGCAGGTGAGATACTCTCTAACAGAACAGACCACAACCCTTAGGAATCCTGCTTCTTTCAATAGAGTCCTGTACACTCCTCTAAGCAGCCCTATCATAAGAGATTTGAAACAATTCCCCTAGAGTTCTCTTGCCCATGTTCCCTATGTTCTGTCAAAGGGAACACTAACACATCTTTTACTTCAACAAATTCTAGCCATATAAGCCAATCCCTATACTGCAGTACTCTCTCCTTCACTTCCACTATCAAAACAACTAAGCAGACCATTACTCCCTTTTCAATTTTTCAGGGAGTCACCAATTCACTGTATCCATTTGTCCACCCCAACTACAAGGGGGATACACATTAAGCTGGACTGGGGAGAGAGAGACATGGGGCAGGTAGAAGGTAGGCTGAAGTCCCAGTCACTAGGCTTGAGATAAGGAGCTGCCACTGGTGGCACTCATAACCCTCTAGCAACTTTCCCCAGCAATCCTCCCTCTTCTTTTCACCTATCCTCTCATTTCCTAAAAACAAGGCATCTATAGTATTTCAAGCTGAATGATAATTCCATGATAAGTCCACTTAATGCAGATCAAGCTGCACCTCTAACATTAAAAATTTAACACAATCTGACACTAAATACATATAAAGTAAAATGTCACCAGGATAATTATTATTAATAATAATTCACACTACTGGAAATAATGAAAGGAGGCAATACGGAATTAGAGAAAAATGTTAAAGAAATAAAATTCTATTACTTTCACATATATACTGTAACAAACTAATTAGCCAAGTGTTACCAAGTACCAGTCCCTGCTGATATGTTAATGAACAGATAATTCGACCATTTGAAATCACCACATTCATTGTGCTAAAGCAAATGAGCAAATTCAAACTGCCTAAAAACAGTAGCTTCAACACCTGCTTATGTTTTAATTCCGCCTATATCAAATTAACCTGAGCTCTAAATTAATAGGATTTCATTTAATGAAATTTTACTGCAATCTAACCTAACCTAAACCCTGTCCCTGGACTCTACAGTGTTTCATCTATTAGTCTGAATAACATATGACAATATTGGAAAATAGTCTATTTGTTCTAGGACATAAGGTAGATACACCTAATATATTTATGTGTTAATTGAGTCAACAACACACATACCAAAGCCCAAGAACTGTCCAAGGTTACTAGGAGGTAAAAACAAGTAAGACATGGTTTCCCTTGAGAAATTCCTTTCATGAATTCTAAATCTAATTGTATCTACTAAAAATTCCCTTTGAAGACAGCTTACATTCAAGATAACTATAGGACACTTCAAAAGGAAGTGTAAAGACACTTTGTCCTTACTTCTCTTATTTAGCTTTACTGCTATTTGATTCTCCAATATAATAAAATTCAAGTCATATATATATATATTTACATGCTTGTTTTCTTTAGAGACAAAAGGAAAAACACACAAATTGTTTTCAATGTAGAAGTAATCCATTCTCACAAAAAAATGGTAACAAGCAAGAATGACAGGACACAGCTTCCAAAAGTCCAATCAATATACCATAAGCCTGCCAGGTAGAAATCATCCCAAATCACTTCTTAACTACCTGCCTGGCTCCACTTAGTTTGTAGCCATGTCTACCCATTTGAAATACATTAACGGCTGAGTGCCCAACTTCATTACATTAACTGTCCTGAAAACTTGCCTAAGAGTCTATTATAACAACTATCGTGAAAAGCTCAAAATTGTCATTGGTCAGGTAGAAGCACTGTGTGCTCAACAGACAAAGGGACTGCACTCGACACTTCTGGTAAAGGAGTTAACACAGGTGTCCAACTTGAGGCATTCTGGGGTTGACTTTTCCCACCAAATCCACCAAATCATAACCCATCATTTCAATTACAGCTATCACGTAGCAGCATAATTGTGACTGTGTGTGACTGCCTTTCTTTGACACCCCAACAAGAAAATTAAATCTGAAATACAATAGAAAAGTACTGCTACTGAAACTATGGTTCACAAAGTAAAGAACTAATACAGCACATCCAGATATGTATTTTACTCCATTCTTTGCTCAAAAATGATACTCAAGGAAGATCATATAGATGTCAAGTATAAAATAAAAAATGGCCCCTATTATGACTTTTTACAAGGTATAGCCTCTCTTCCCTATGCATTATGAGTGCCTCAATAACTGTATTTGTATCCTAAATTACAATTAAAATGTATATTCCAGGGTGGGCGCAGTGGCTCACGCCTGCAATCCCAGCACTTTGGGAGGCCAAGGCAGGTGGATCACTTGAGATCATGGTTTCGAGACCAGCCCTAATTACACACATAATTTTATTTCTTTCTTGAACTGATAATGGCCAAAACTGATATCAGACAGAATTCTGTCATTCCTAATTTCAACGGCATTGCTTGTAAATTTGACTTAATCATTATAAAACCCCCTCTTTATCCCATGTAACGCTTTTCACTTTGTATTCTATATTATCTAGCTTAGATGAATATATTAAAACATGCTGTGTCACATTAACTGTTCACCAATATTCGCTGTTCTGCAGCCTCCGCTGCTGATACCCAGGCAAACAGGGTCTGGAGTGGACCTCCGGCAAACTCCAACGCACCTGAAGTTGAGGGTACTGACTGTTAGAAGGAAAACTAACAAACAGAAAGGACATCCACACCAAAACCCCATCTGTACTTCACCATCATCAAAGACCTAACGTAGATAAAACCACAAAGATGGGGAAAAAACAGAGCAGAAAAACTGAAAATTCTAAAAATCAGAGCGCCTCTCCTCCTCCAAAGGAATGCAGCTCCTCACCAGCAACAGAACAAAGCTGGATGGAGAATGACTTTGACAAGTTGAGAGAAGAAGGCTTCAGAACATCAAACTTCTCCGAGCTAAAGGAGGAAGTCTGAACCCATGGCAAAGAAGTTAAAAACCTTGAAAAAAAATTAGACGAATGGCTAACCAGAATAACCAAAGCAGAGAAGTCCTTAAAGGACCTGATGGAGCTGAAAACCACGGCACGAGAACTATTTGACGAATGCACAAGCCTCAGTAGCCGATTCGATCAACTGGAAGAAAGGGTATCAGTGATGGAAGATCAAATGAATGAAATGAAGCGAGAAGAGAAATTTAGAGAAAAAAGAGTGAAAAGAAACAAACAAAGCCTCCAAGAAATATGGGACTATGTGAAAAGACCAAATTTACATCTGATTGGTGTACCTGAAAGTGATGGGGAGAATGGAACCAAGTTGGAAAACACTCAGCAGGATATCATCCAGGAGAACTTCCCCATTCTAGCAAGGCAGGCCAACATTCAAATTCAGGAAACACAGAGAATGCCACAAAGATACTCCTCGAGAAGAGCAACTCCAAGACACATAATTGTCAGATTCACCAAAGTTGAAATGAAGGAAAAAATGTTAAGGGAAGCCAGAGAGAAAGGTCGGGATACCCACAAAGGGAAGCCCATCAGACTAACAGCTGATCTCTCAGCAGAAACTCTACAAGCCAGAAGAGAGTGGGAGCCAATATTTAACAATTTTAAAGAAAAGAATTTTGAACCCAGAATTTCATATCCAGCCAAATTAAGCTTCATAAGTAAAGGAGAAATAAAATCCTTTACAGACAAGCAAATGCTGAGAGATTTTGTCACCACCAGGCCTGTCCTAAAAGGCCTCCTAAAGGAAGCACTAAACATGAAAAGGAACAACTGGTACCAGCCACTGCAAAAACATGCCAAATTGTAAAGATCATTGAGGCTAGGAAGAAACTGCATCAACTAACGAGCAAAATAACCAGCTAACATCATAATGACAGGATCAAATTCACACATAACAATATTAACCTTAAATGTAAATGGGCTAAATGCTCCAATTAAAAGACACAGAGTGGCAAATTGGATAAAGAGTCAAGAACCATCAGTGTGCTGTACTCAGGAAACCCATCTCACATGCACAGACAAACATAGGCTCAAAATAAAGGGATGGAGGAAGATCTACCAAGCAAATGGAAAACAAAAAAAGGCAGGGGTTGTAATCCTAGTCTTGGATAAAACAGACTTTAAACCAACAAAGATCAAAACAGACAAAGAAGGCCATTACATAATGGTAAAGGGATCAATTCAATAAGAAGAGCTGACTATCCTAAATATATATGCACCCAATACAGGAGCGCCCAGATTCATAAAGCAGGACCTTAGAGACCTAGAAAGAGACTTAGACTCCCACACAATAATAATGGGAGACTTTAACACCCCACTGTCAACATTAGACAGATCAACGAGACAAAAAGTTAACAAGGGTATCCAGGAATTGAACTCAGCTCTGCACCAAGCAGACCTAATAGACATCTACAGAAATCTCCACCCCAAATCAACAGAATATACATTCTTTTCAGCACCACACCACACCTATTCCAAAATTGACCACATACTTGGAAGTAAAGCACTCCTCAGCAAATGTAAAAGAACACAAATTATAACAAACTGTCGCTCAGACCACAGTGCAATCAAACTGGAACTCGGGATTAAGAAACTCACTCAAAACCGCTCAACTACATGGAAACTGAATGACCTGCTCCTAAAGGACTACTGGGTACATAACAAATGAAGGCAGAAATAAAGATATTCTTTGAAACCAATGAGAACAAAGACACAGCATACCAGAATCTCTGGGACACATTCAAAGCAGTGTGTACAGGGAAATTTATAGCAATAAATGTCCACAAGAGAAAGCAGGAAAGATCTAAAATTGACACCCTAATATCACAATTAAAAGAACTAGAGAAGCAAGAGCAAACACATTCAAAAGCTAGCAAAGGCAAGAAATAACTAAGATCAGAGCAGAACTGAAGGAAATAGAGACACAAAAAACCCTTCAAAAAAATCAATGAATCCAGGAGCAGATTTTTTGAAAAGATCAACAAAACTGATAGACCACTAGCAAGATTAATAAAGAAGAAAAGAGAGAAGAATCAAATAGATGCAATAAAAAATGATAAAGGGGATATCACCACCGACCCCACAGAGATACAAACTACCATCAGAGAATACTATAAACACCTCTAAGCAAATAAACTAGAAAATCTAGAAGAAATGGATAAATTCCTCGACACATACATCCTCCCAAGACTAAACCAGGAAGAAGTTGAATCTCTGAATAGACCAATAACAGGCTCTGAAATTGAGGAAATAATTAATAGCTTACCAACCAAAAAAAGTCCAGGACCAGATGCATTCACAGCCGAATTCTACCAGAGGTACAAGGAGGAGCTAGTACCATTCCTTCTGAAACTATTCCAATCAATAGAAAAAGAGGGAATCCTCCCTAACTCATTTTATGAGGCCAGCATCATCCTGATACCAAAGCCTGGCAGAGACACAACCAAAAAAGAGAATTTTAGACCAATATCCCTGATGAACATCCATGCAAAAATATTCAATAAAATACTGGCAAACCAAATCCAGCAGCGCATCAAAAAGCTTAACCACCATGATCAAGTGGGCTTCATCCCTAGGATGCAAGGCTGGTTCAACATACGCAAATCAATAAATGTAATCCAGCATATAAACAGAACCAAAGACAAAAACCACATGATTATCTCAATAGATGCAGAAAAGGCCTTTGACAAAATTCAACAATGCTTCATGCTAAAAACTCTCAATAAATTAGGTATTCATGGGACATATCTAAAAATGATAAGAGCTATCTATGACAAACCCACAGCCAATATCATACTGAATGGGCAAAAACTGGAAGCATTCCCTTTGAAAACCGGCACAAGACAAGGATACCCTCTCTCACCACTCCCATTCGACATAGTGTTGGAAGTTCTGGCCAGGGCAATCAGGCAGAAGAAGGAAATAAAGGGTATTCAATTAGGAAAAGAGGAAGTCAAATGGTCCCTGTTTGCAGATGGCATGATTGTATATCTAGAAAACCCCATCGTCTCAGCCCAAAATCTGCTTAAGCTGATAAGCAACTTCAGCAAAGTCTCAGGGTACAAAATCAATGCATTTTGATTTTGCAATGATTTTGCAAAATCAATGCAAAAATCACAAGCATTCTTATACATCAATAACAAACAGAGAGCCAAATCATGAGTGAATTCCCATTCATAATTGCTTCAAAGAGAATAAAATACCTAGGAATCCAACTTACAAGGGATGTGAAGGACCTCTTCAAGGAGAACTACAAACCACTGCTCAAGGAAATAAAAGAGGATACAAACAAATGGAAAAACATTCCATGCTCATGGGTAGGAAGAATCAATATCGTGAAAATGGCCATACTGCCCAAGGTAATTTATAGATTGAATGCCATCCTCATCAAGCTACCAATGACTTTCTTCACAGAATTGGAAAAAACTACTTTAAAGTTCATACGGAACCAAAAAGGAGCCCACATTGCCAAGTCAATCCTAAGCCAAAACAACAAAGCTGGAGGCATCATGCTACCTGACTTCAAACTAGACTACAAGGCTACAGTCACCCAAACAGCATGGTACTGGTACCAAAACAGAGATACAGACCAATGGAACAGAACAGAGCCCTCAGAAATAATGCCACACATCTACAACTATCTGGTCTTTGACAGACCTCACAAAAAACAAGAAATGGGTTAAAGATTCCCTATTTAATAAATGATGGTGGGAAAACTGGCTAGCCATACGGAGAAAGCTGAAACTGGATCCCTTCCTTATACCTTATACAAAAATTAATTCTAGATGGATTAAAGACTTAAATGTTAGACCTAAAACCATAAAAACCCTAGAAGAAAACCTAGGCAATACCATTCAGTACATAGGTATGGGCAAGGACTTCATGTCTAAAACACCAAAAGCAATGGCAACAAAAGCCAAAATTGACAAATGGGATCTAATTGAACTAAAGAGCTTCTGCACAGCAAAAGAAACTACCATCAGAGTGAACAGGCAACCTACAGAATGGGAGAAAAATTTTGCAATCTACTCATCTGACAAAGGGCTAATACCCAGAATCTACAAAGAACTCAAATAAATTTACAAGAAAAAAACAAACAACCCCATCAAAAAGTGGGCAAAGGATATGAACAGACACTTCTCAAAAGAAGACATTTATGCAGCCAAAAGACACATGAAAAAATGCTCATCATCACTGGCCATCAGAGAAATGCAAATCAAAACCACAATAAGATACCATCTCACACTGGTTAGAATGGCGATCATTAAAAAGTCAGGAAACAACAGGTGCTGGAGAGGATGTGGAGAAACAGGAACACTTTTACACTGTTGGTGGGACTGTAAACTAGTTCAACCATTGTGGAAGTCAGTGTGCTGATTCCTCAGGGAGCTAGAACTAGAAATACCATTTGACCCAGCAATCCCATTACTGGGTATATACCCGAAGGTTTATAAATCATGCTGCTATAAAGACACATGCACACGTATGTTTATTGTGGCACTATTTACAACAGCAAAGACTTGGAACCAACCCAAATGTCCAACAACGGTGGACTGGATTAAGAAAATGTGGCACATATATACCATGGAATACTATGCAGCCATAAAAAATTATGAGTTCATGTCCTTTGTAGGGACATGGATGAAGCTGGAAACCATCATTCTCAGCAAACTATCGCAAGAACAAAAAACCAAACACCGCATGTTCTCACTCATAGGTGGGAATTGAACAATGAGAACACATGGACACAGGAAGGGGAACATCACACACCGGGGCCTGTTGTGGGGTGGGGGCAGGGGGGAGGGATAGCATTAGGAGATATACCTAATGTTAAATGACGCGTTATTGGGGACAGCACACCAATATGGCACCTGTATACGTTGTGCACATGAACCCTAAAACTTAAAGTATAACAAAAAATAAATAAATAAATAAATAAAACATGCTGTGTCTTTTTTTTTTTTTTTTTTTTTTTCGAGACAGAGTCTTGCTCTGTCCCCCAGCCTGGAGTGCAGTGGTGCGATCTCAGCTCACTGTAAGCTCTGCCTCCCAGGTTCACGCCATTCTCCTGCCTCAGACTCCCGAGTAGCTGGGACTACAGGCACCCGCCACCACGCCCGACTAAGTTTTTGTATTTTTAGTAGAGACGGGGTTTCACCGTGTAGCCAGGATGGTCTCAATCTCCTGACCTCGTGATCCGCCCACCTCGGCCTCCCAAAGTGCTGGGATTACAGGCATGAGCCAGCGTGCCCGGCCCAAAACATGCTGTGTCTTCTTAATTATTTATCTAGCTTTTTGTTTTCATCATTTAATTTTCAATTTCAGGTCTGTCTCTTGAAAACAGTACACAAGTGAATTTTTTAAACTCAATACGAGCCTTTCTGTGATAAGGGAATGTAATTCATTCACAGTAATTGTGGTAACAGGAATACCTGAACTAGCTCCTAAAATCTTATTTTATGCAATATTCGTCATTTTTAAACATTTATTTTCCTTTTGTTATATTATTTGGAAATTTTAGAAGACTGATTGTTACTAATAAGGTAAGATTTAAGCTTATTTTCCTATCAACATCTAGAACTACTCAGTTGCCAAAAAACACTCTATCATGTTCTCACTCTTCACACTATCATATTACAACTATTCACCCCCACCCACTTTCCATGTTTTAATTAGCTAGGATTTTAGGTCCAGGGAGTTATCCTATTTTATATTTTACATAAACAATTATTTAACATTACTAATAAAATTTTCTGGATATTTTGATATCATTCAATATTTCTTCTCTGTTTGCTTAGATTCGTTTTCAATTTTGTATGAATATATTCTTGAGAGTAAGAAAAAAATTATTGAAATATTGAAACATTATCAAATTCTCACAAATCTAAAAAGGGCTTTATTGCCATTACTCACAAAAGACAGAATAATGGGAAGAAATATGCCAGGTTCAAAATTAGTTTTTTTCAAGAAACTGGAAGATAATCCACCAATGGTATTCCAATACCCAGTGTGCTATTAATGAGAAATCTAAGGTCAATATAATTTTAAGTAATTTTTTCTTTTCCTGTTCTTCTCTGAAATCCCTTACAATTTTCCCTTCATCCTTGAGGTTCTGGAAACATATTATGGTATTGATAAATTATCATTTGTGCTGCTTAGCTTTCAGACGGTCCTAACAATCTGTAGCCTTGTGTTCTCTTTCAGCTCAGGGAAAGAGTTTTCTGGTGTGTTTTAAGTTTCCATCCTTCATTTTCTCTGTTTCTTTCACCCTGGAATTCCTATTAGAAAGTTGTTAGAACACCAAGGTGACCCTCAATGTCTTCACTTTTTCAATTTCATCTTTTTGCTCTATATTATGAAATATTTAGATGAATATTTTACAAATCACTAATCTAATCTCCATATATACACTATGGCAATCACATTTTTAATTTCTCAAATCTCTTGCTTTCAAATTTCTTCTTTCTCTTGGTAGGATTTTTATACACAATACAAAACATATATACAGTGTCTTTCCAACATCTCTTAGGACATTACCTCCTGCTCTCTAAGTTCTGTTACTTCTAGAGACAGATGCTCTGGTTAGTTACATTGTTAAATTTTCTCTTAAGTCTGGTGAGCCTTAACTGTTCATTTATATTTATAAATCAAGGCCAAGTTGGTTGCAGGGAGCTGGCATGGTTTAATTCAAGAGACATAAATAAATGTTTCCTCAAATAAGACTGGCCTTTGATTTGAAGGGCTGACTGTGGAAGGGCTGAAGAATGATGAGACATGTCAACTTACTGCTCCACTTCAGGTTGTCTGGCCACGGTACAAGTATGGAGAGGACCGATCCCCACTTCGCCCTTCCCTCTCCACTAAATAAGAAAAATTTTGTTCTGGCAATGGTAGACTTCAACGTATTTTCCCTTGAGCAAAATTCCTCCTACCTATTATGAAATTCAAAGTTACCACAAAGCCTGCTCTGATTCCCCTCTCACAGCCCTTCAACAACACTAGAAGCCCATCACTTAGAGAGTTCTAACCAGAAGCAAACCTACTGGTCCCTGATATCAGTTGGAAGCAGATAGACTCCACTGTTCTGAATGCAGTTTTGGACTCCTTCTCCTCAAACTCCACTCCATCCTTTCTGATGCTTGCTGTTCAATGACACACCCAGACAAACGGATTTTGTTTCAGTACATTAGTAAGCATCACAGTGGTAGGGGTTGAACTGAAAAGTTACAATTCCTTCAATGAGAACCATCAGTAATTTCTAATCTGTAGACCAATCAGAAGTAACAGCCCAACACTAACGCCCAGGAATGCCAAGAAATTAACACAGAACTACTTCCCTGTGTATAAACTCTAGGCTTTTTGCACACAACCGGGAAAACACAAAAGGGATCAAATGCCAGCTGAAAGCTTTTTATCCTACAGATATATATGTAAGGTTTACAAAGGAGAAATAAACATATTGCCACGGGAGAGGGTACATGCAACTTGACCTTATATTTCAGTTGTGCTTCTCTTTGCCTAATTGCTTCATGCTGGCAGGCTCATCCCAATTTTTATCCAGGCATAATCGATGCTATGGTTACCAGGGAATAGTAGTACACTACTTCTTATCTATCAAGCTATTTATTAAAAGTACTGTACATTCTGGCTTCTTTTTGCTGGTGTGAAGAATACAGGTAGCCGACTGACTTCAGGGGGTAGCAATTCATAGAATTCGGTAACAACAGAACAGAGTACAAAGTGTCCAAAGACTCTTTGTGCAAGTTCTTTTATAGAATATATTTTCTCTTTTTCTCACAGCAGTAACTTACAGACCATTAAATTTCACACATTTCCTATTCATTTTCCATGTTAAAATATGGCTTTTGACCCTGGGTAGAACTATCACAGGGTTCTGCCCTATAACTCAACTTTTACATTTGATAATATATGACTTTTTAAAGACCAGCAAGTCATGGCCCATGAACCTAGTCACATAAGTGATTTCAAATGGATCAAATGTGTACACTTTTACACATGGAAAAAAATTGAAGCTCTGAAAACATCACAAAGAATAAAATAATCGAAGATTGCAACTGTTCCTATTAAGCAAGACCTTTAACTAGACTTAACAACCAAAATGTAAAAAGAAAATAAAATACCTCAGTGTTGTAAGATGCAAGTAAAAGAAAAGCAAAACAAATAAGCATGACTCTACTGCCACTTCCAAACAAGAGAAAAGCAAGTAACAAGAATTTGAAAGAGGCACTGAGTTTTGCAAAACTCAATTTGTCAAACTCATCAATGGGGATACGTTTTGAGGAAGGAACTTGTGGTTCTCTAAAATCAAATTTATGAGTTTTTGCTCTTTGGCATATTCTATTTTATAAATCAGTCAAAAAGAAATTGATACACCTTACACATAGTATTTAGAGTTATTCCATTGAAGGTGAGATATTAAACTATTTACACTTTTATTTTAGACCAACTCAACCTATCTCAAAATTACTCATCTTTGTGGTTGATGTTCAGTTCAGATACCTAAGTATTTAATCTTACCATAAACCCTTAAACCTTATGGATAGAAACATAGGAGGAAAACACATTTTCTCAGGTCTTAAAACCACAAACAAGTAGCCTTGATTTCCAAAACAATAAAATCTTTTGTTAGGTATTCCCTCTACAAATATTTATAAGATACTGTTAAGCATCCTATAAGGCTTCTACATACCAGGTGGCCAGAGGCTACCAGACAGAGACTTCAGGCAGCCTGAGCTAAGACAACTAACTGGCTGCCAGAATGCTGAGACAGGATAATATCTCGGCACACCTACCACATATACAGCATTTCAGTGTCCCCCAAAAGACAAACTGAGAAGTTCTGCTTTACATTTTTTGCCTATTTTGCACATTTCCACTTCTATGATGAGTACACTATCTATCCTTCCTTTGGGGGACCATCTCACCCCATTCCACATGAACCTGGTGGCAGAAACAATTTTAGACCTGATACTTCACCTACTTCTATTCTACCCAGGATGGCCAAGTAAAGTGCCCCATTATCCCATCATGATGGTTAGTCCAATGTAAACACATGACCTAAGCAAGGCCAATCTGAGCATTCTTTACTTCTCTCTTCCTTTTGAATTTTGAATATAAGGTTATAAGGCTTTGGGCTTCCAGCTAATTCACAGAGGAAAGAAACTGTACCTTGAAAATACTGCCCAGACCATGAATGTTCTAAATACTAGAGGTAATAAAAACTAGAAGAAAGGATTTTGAATGTTCCCAACATGCACACACAAAAATGATAAATGTTTGAGGTGATGGATATACTATTAATTACCCTGATTTGATCATTGCACATTTTATACCTGTATCAAAATATCACTCTGTATCCCATAAGTATGTACAATTATTAATTGGGAACTAAAAATAAAGGGGAAAAAACTTTGTGGCAGCTTAAGATGGGTTTCTGTTACTTACAATCTAAAGCATCATGCTGGATCAAATTTCCTGTGTGTGTGTGTGTGTGTGTGTGTGAGTGTGTGTGTGTGTGTGCATGCATATATATATAGATGCAATATATGTTTTCTGTCAGTGGTGTAGACAGATCAAGGTAACCCACTGTATAACTTCAAGGGAATCCTTCTTTAGATAATCTCCAGGCATTATCTGCATTAACTATTCTAGAGATTATCCTACCAAGTGTCAACACTGAAAGAAAACATTGGTTAGAAGCAGGATCACTACAGGAAATAAAAGGAGAGATAAAGCAGAAAGCAAGTTAAACTGATTCACATTACGCATACACCATGAAACAAAAGTATTTTGAGTACATTACAGATCCACTTGCAGAATCAGAACAGATGAGGTCCAGTCAGAGTGAAAACTCTTTGTGAGATATCAGCAGTTGTTTACATGACAAAAAGGAATGAGTATGACAATTTGAGGTTAAAAAGGAATTCCAAATACATTAACTTCATATCTGTTTTGTTTTTTTGTTTTTGTTTTTTGCTTTTGAGACAGAGTCCCAGGCTGAAGTGCAGTGGCGCAATCTCGGCTCACTGCAACCTCCACCTCCTGGGTTCAAGTAATTCTCTTGCCTCAGCCTCCTGAGCAGCTGGGATTACAGGTGCATGTCACTGCACCCGACTAATTTTTGAATTTTAGTAGAAACAAGGTTTCGCCATGTTGGCCAGGCTGGTCTCGAACTCTTGACCTCAAGTGATCTGCCCACCTCAGCCTTCCAAAGTGCTGGGATTACAGGCGTAAGTCACTGCACTCAGTTAACTTCATATCTCAGATAAACACATTTGCCCGTTTTCTACCATCAAATTTTTTCCTCTAGGAACACATCACTTTTCCATTGGGAGATGGAAGGTTTCTTCATCATTCTTGAAAAGAAACACAAGCACAGATACTAATAAAGAGAGGATAACAAAAATGTCAAAACTACTTGATTAGAAAACCTTTCCTTTATAGGAAATGCATTCTAGAGATTCTATCAATTGGAGAAAAAAAAAGTCACAGGTTATTATGCTAAATATGTGGTTAGTGTAAAAGGCTGGGGAAAGAAGTCTTATTAATGCCTGACTGCTTTCTCATTACATCCTAAGTTCTGTGCAGTTAGGAAGAAAAATTGTTTACCCTCATATCCTAGCATGCAGATCCGTACCATATATAGCAAAGAGTCAATATTTTTTAGCTATTAAATGACTCAATAAAGATAGTATCAAACTGCAAGAAGTTAAAAAGATATTAATGTCTATTGTATAGGCTCCCTTATCCTGAATTGATTAATCTGTGTCCACTTTAAATGATCAACATTAGAACTAATGGATATGTATCTTGGAATAGGTTCCAAGAGTTAGCAAAAGCATTACAAAATAGCAAATCCACCAAAAAATTGGAAGAACCAGAATAGCACCATGTGCAGATTTCGTTGTGAAGTGTGCTTTCATTTAAAAACTGTTTGCATCATTAAGTATACATCAACTCAGAGTAAGGAAAAAGAAGAAAAAAATGGAAGGATAAAGATAGCAAAAAAAAAAAAAATCATCAACCCATAATTTAAAACTCTGATGCAAATAATCCACAAAGCAGGAATAATCTACATTTCCAATGATTAAGCTTTCCTCTCATTATTGTTCCATTATTCTCTTGCTTTACCTGGGAGGAATCTGCTTGGGCTAATTCTGTAGTGACCTTGAGTATTTGGTGAAGATTTTGTCCTTTGTCTTCAACAAGGAGGTGAGCCAGCAGAAGAAAGGCAGGCGCAGGGATCACAGCAGTAATAGGAAGCAATGACTCTACTGAAGCCAACCAGTCACTTGCAGCAGACGAGTCTGTCATTACTTCAAGAATCCTCCAGGCTGTAAATATTGTACCATACATACTGGTTACAGGGCACACAAGCTTGTAGGAGAGCTGAAAAATAAAGACAAGAGAGGCATAAATAAGTGAGATAAATATATTTGTCAGAAATATGTTTCTGGCATTCTTATATTTCATTGTAAGATATCACTCCTTCCAACAAAATGAATACAAATTGAATTACTGCCAAAATCCTCTCTGCACATATTTGAGGTAATAGGATTACACAAAGAGAAAAGAGTTGTTAGATGGAACTCCAGAAGAGTTTTATCACAACTTTTCCTCATATTTACCATTCATTCCCCATTAAGGCAGAATATATGGATCAATATACAAAATCCAGAGGCAATTGCATTTGGAAAAAGCCATTATCACTAAAAAAGTATTCACCAATGAGAAGAAAGATTAAAAAAAAAAAATACTGTATTTGCCCAGCTCCAGGCCCTAGGCAGAAGCAGTCTGGGGCAGATGGCAGACTTGGACTGAGGACAATTCATTTCTGTAACAGACAGTATGTTGATAGGAACAAAGTTGGTTCAGCTGGAGCCTGGGAATTCATTAATAATTGTAACTTCTGCAATAGGAAATGGCCTGACAGCTCTAAGCTGAAACAATACCCAGAGATTATATTATGCTAAATTAATCTGAGAAATGGCTCCTCACAGAAATAAAGCAGTGCAGTCGGGGCCAGAGGGTAGCCAAGGTGAGCTCTGTAAATAAACAGCTCAGAAGTGGCAGACGTTAAAGAATCATTAGACATTGCTTGCTAATAAAGTAACTCAAATCATGTATAGTGCTTTGTGACAGACTGGAAATCTCTGGATTATAACTGTCTGGTTAATAGAGGCTGACTTATATGAATTAGGATAACAATTGAAAGGATGGAAAGTAAAAGTTAAGCTTTATCAAATTTTTAAATAACAGCTTTATTAAGATATAATTTGCATACTATAAAAGGCACCCTTTTAAAGTTTATAACTTACTGGATTTTAGTAATTCATTCCTAGAGCTGTGCAACCATCATCACTATCTAATTTTAGAACATTTTCATCAACCCAAACAAAAATCCCATACCCACTGATAGTCACTCCTTACTCCCCCAACCCTCCTCCAGCCCTTGGCAACAACTAATCTACTCTGGTTCCATACTGGTCATTTCATATAATAGGAAACACATAATATGTGGTCCTTTGTGACCAGCTTCTTTCACTTAGCATGATTTCAAGGTTCATCCATGTTGTTACTTCTATCAATAATTCATTTCTTTTTATTGCCAAATAATATTCCATTGTATGGATACACTATATTGTTTATCCACTATCAATGGATGGATATTTGGGTTGTTTCCACATTTTGGCGATAATGAATAATGATGCTATGAACACTCCTATAAATTTTTTCTGAGGTTATAAGTGTTCAGTTTTCTTGAGTATATACCTAAGAGTAGATATGCAATTTCTTTGACAATTAAATGTCACAGTAAAAACAAATGAGGAAGCTCTCACTGTATTGATATAAAAAGATTCCCCCAAGTGAAAATATAAGATACAGATAGTATGACTCGAGTGCTACCAATTTTTTTTTTCAAAGAGAGTGAGGAGAAAAAGATAATATATTTGTAGTTGCTTGTACATGCAAAGAAAAGTATGTGGACAAATACAGAAGAAATTAGTAACCACTAAATCATCTTCTGTTTTGGGGAGTGAAAATTGGACAGCTGGAATCAAAGGCAAGAAGGCTGCATTCATTATATGCAATTTTCTACTGTCTGAACCATTTGAATATATTACTATTTCAAGAAAGTTACAAATTTTAAAAATTAAATAATATCTAAGTTTATATAGCTCTAGCTCTCTAAAAATATTTTTCTTCCCATGAAGAAGAAATTCATTAACAACCATGGCCAAGGTTTTTAGACTAATGACAAACACCATAAAATTTAAAGGGCCAGGACTTCAGGATAGCCATGCCAGCTATCAGCCATTATGCAATTTTTCTAAGCCTCTCTTTACTCGTTTGTAAAATTTAAGAAATGACTACTTTCCTGCTTAGGTTATAATATCTATAAAACACCTAGCACAGTGCCTGAAGTTGCAAAATACAGGTAAATAGTATTGCTGTCATCTTCCGGAGAGAAAAATAAAACTTATGTAAATGAATATAATTTGGAAATTACCATGAACCTCAAGTTGAGTAAAAGCAACAACATAACAGAGACATGTAAGAGTAAACAATGAAACAGAAAAGCAATCCTAGGTTACTTGAACTGTTATGTCCAGGTTTAGGCTCTTAAGTTTGTTTGTTTATTTGTTTGTTTGTTTGTTTGCCTAAGGTTAGAGCAGCAGGAGAAATTGTCCCATTGAGTGACAGCTGCCACTGGCACAGTCCCAGGGCAAGGATGCAATCAAGCGTTTTCTCTCAGCACCAGCTACCAAATCCTGGCCCCATAGCCTGAGGGAGGACCTGTGAAAATGCTAGTAAGCTTTGCTTTTAGAGGAGGAAGTAGGTGTTTAAAAATAAAAGGTTTATGTTATGTGAATTATATATCAATAAAAAATAAACCACAGAAAAATACATTTAAATAAATACTGGGTGGTTGTAAGACATCTTTTACAGGTAGAAAATAATTGAGAATCTTTATTTTAAAAAGCATTTAATAAAAATGTGCAGACACATTAAGTAGTAACAATAAGATAAACATCTGATAGTACTTCTTTGTCAAAACAGGTCTGAAAAAGAAATTGTGAACAATATTGATTTTCATTAACTGTAAAGAATGGCACTAATCTATAATAGTGACTAAAACAGGTTTAACAAAAGTAGAGTGGATATAGGAACTCAAACATATAGACCTTTAAAAGTAAGATAGATTTTTGCTAGAGGATATTAATCACTCATCAGTCAAGCAGCAGAAGACTGGACTACATAAACCCTCAAGAGAGCCTTTCTAGCACTATATCACTATGAAGACTCTAGACAAGAGCTGAGAGATTTGGGAGTGGTTGGTTATAACCAAGAGATAACACACAACATGCTCAGTCCCATGTCTTTCAGAAGATGATGATAGAAGCACAACATCTAAGACTTACTAATTCCTTTTTAAGTTCCAATCAGAAGTCTAAAAAAAGTTTATTTCAATTTACTATTATCACAGTTTGTTCCCCTGTAAATCTGAAATGGAACTGTTATTTACGCCCAAGTTCAGCACAAAGATGATAAAATATTGTGCCAAAAAAACAAAGAAAGAAAACAAAATGAAAGTGCAGGTAACAGGATTCAGGCCCTAGAATCAAACAGTCAAAATCTGAATTCCAACTCTACCCTTCACTACCTGGGTAATCCAGAAAAGTTAACCGCTCTAATCTCAGTTTCCCGGCTTGTAAAATAAGTATTTTAAGAATACCATCAGGGAAATGCAAAACAAAACCACAATGAAATACCACTTCACACCTACTAGGATGTAACCATCAAAAAGATAAACAATAACAACAATTGTCGAGGACAGGGAGAAACTGGAACCCTCATACACTGCTGGTGGGAATATAGAATAGTGCAGCCCCTTTGGAAAACAATCTGGCCATTCCCCCAAACTGTGAAACATAGAGTTATCACCTTACCTAGCAGTTGTACTCCTCGGTATCTACTCAAGAGAAATGAAAACATTTGTCCACACAAAAACTGATACATGAATGATTATAGCAGCATTATAGCCAAAAAGTGGGAAAGAGCCAAAAGTTCGTCAACAAAAGAAAAGGAAAGTAAAATGTAAGGTATCCATACAATGGAATATTAGTCAGCTCTAAGAGAAAATGAGGCACTGCTACATGGCACATGCTACAACATGGACAAACCTTGAAAACATTATACTAAGTGAAAAAAGCCAGTCACAAAGGACCACATATTGTATGATTATACTTGAAGGAAATGTCTAGAATAGGCAAATCCATATAGAGACTACAAGCAGATTAGGGACTGCCTAGCCTGAGGGGTGAGGAAAAAAGGGGGGAATTAGGGAGTGATGACTAAGAGTGCAGGGATTGTTTAGGGTAATAAAAATAAAAATGTTCTAAAGTGGATTGTGGTAATGAATATACAATGCTGCGAATATACTAAAAGCCACTGAATTGCATGCTTTAAATGAGGGAAGGGCGCATGTGAATTACATTTCAATAAAGCTATTAAAAAAGAATTGGGTTCCCACTGCATGACAGTAAGTTATTTACCTTCTTTATGCCTCAGTTAACTCTTAGGTAAAATGAGATCAATAATTTTACCTACTTCAAAGAGTGTGAGATAAAATCAAACCAGTTAATATATACCAAAGTACTTAAAATGAAGCCTGCACATATGAAATGCTCAATAAACCACCCCATGAAGGGGGTGTTTTGTTGCCCATTTTACCAGGGCCCAGATACCACACAGATTCAGTCACTAGTCCAAGGCCACACAGCTGGAAATAGATTAAAAAAAAAAAGAAAGAAAGAAAAGACATCTATTTCATAGTTATTGTAAGAAATACGAGTTGGCCCACATAATAACTCCTGGCATATCACACATGTTCAATAAATGTTAACTTTAGCCATAAGTAGGACAATGACAATTCCTTGCGAATTTTCTGATTTTTAAGAAACAAATATTCTGCTTACTATATACTACTTCAAAGCAATTTCAAATAAAATCTACTTGGCACAGCTTTATTACCAAAGACCCAAAAGTACCATATTTAATTTTTAAAAACACATAAGAATGAATAAACACATGGTAGACCCCAGCTCAGTCAAGCTGTCTCTAAATTGTTATGCTGACTAAAACAGTTTCATAAAGATGAATTTTGCCCTCCTGTACAATTACAAGAATTTAGCTTTTAAGTCTCCTTTTCCACTTCATCTCACCCATCCACCCTTACTCCCCTCCAAAAAAACTTTTCCGATTCTTTCTTACTTCCTGAGCCAGTTACTCAATGTGTTACCTCTCAGCTCCACACCCACTCTTCTTTGCCTGACTATGTGATCCTACAGCTGTGCCTTTTCAACATTTCTCCTTTGCCCTCTGGTCTAGTGTTAGACCTTGTCAATAGAGAGCATAGGAGAGACACTGCAAGGAAAGGAAGAAGGGGCTTCTCTTCAGGTTCCTGTGTGCTTCTTTGATTCCTCCTACCATGGCTGCTAGGGACATACAGGATATCCCAGAGGTGGCTTCCAGTGGACCAGCTCAGCCAATTCCAGCCTGCTCACACGACAAGTGGTTTCCTGTGGACCAGTTCTAGCCTATGGCACCCCAGCAGACTATATCATCCAGTAGGCCTTCTCCACATTCTCTCCTACCAGGTCTGACTCTCAGCATTGTCTGGGGAGACTTTTTAGTTCCTTCCTTGGGAACTCTGCCTTGGTCTTAGCTTAGAGGTAGTAGCTGCTCCCTACATTTACTACTGTAATATTCCTTAGATGCTTTTTTATAAGGTTTTATAACTAAACACCTCTTGCTAATAATTCATTGCATTAAGTTTTCCTTGTTCAAATTGCCAGTGTGTTTTCTCTTTCCTGACTGGAATCTGACTCATATACTGAATGCATTCTCTCTTTTATCCCCCACATTCTCTTGCGGGAGTGGAGGAGAACAAGGAGGAAGCAGAATGTTTCAAGCCCTTTAGAATTTACAATTAGTGTTCAATTTTTTTTACTTTTTTTAATATTTATTTATTTATTTTGCCTGGGGAGAATGAAATAGGTAGTTTTAAATATCACATTTAATAGCCAAGATCACACCGCTGCACTCCAGCCTAGGTGGCAGAGTGAGACTCCGTCTCAAAAAAAAAAAAAAATCCAATAGTCAAATAATCTTGACTCAGGGAGGCTGAGAACATTTGGCTGAGTCTTGAAGGATGAATAGTTCAGGCAGCTGACATAAAACAGCATTCTGTGCAGAAGCAAAGATTCAGGAAGAGACTTGAAGAGTTTGGGGCATGTTAAATTCATAGGTGTGACTGGAATGTAAAGTTCCAGATAGGTGCAGGAAAAAAAAAAGCCAACAGTAAAATGTGGCTTACATTTTTTAAAACAGTGATCATATATCTACTCAAAGCCTCCTTAAAGCAACACAGTATCATAAGGAGGATATTTACAGCCCTAATAGTAATTCTGCCCCTCCTCTTTACCAGCTGCTAAAGAGAAAGTCCAGATATTAGTGTTAATAATAAGATTCACACACATCTGAGCAAATAGTAAACCAAGTACTTATGTATTAGAGTTGGGGTGATCCTCAGTAAATAACACTTGTGATTTAAAGGAGCAGAACTCTTGCCCTGCCAACTCTTGCCCTGCCCCCACTCCCATTCAAGATCCAATCATTGTTCTACATGGGCAAACCAAGAGGTAAAGTAAAAAAGCTACTAGAATTTTTTGATCGGATTTTGTACTCCTATTAGGGCTGATGCAAGAACTTCTCTCTCAATTCAAATCGATTACCTGTTTCAAGTTTTAAAGTTTTAGTCAAACAATTAGGATTTAGGAAGCTGTAGTATACATTCAATTTGCCTATAATTATGGGCCAGTTTCTGCTACATGCTCAAACAAGAACTAATAATGACTGGATTTGTGCTGCTGGAGCATTTAACATAAGAGGTATCTCTGCTTTTGCAGATGAAGCCACAACCATCACTCCAGTTTGTATTTACATAGTGCCTCTCTTCATGGAGATTTAAGATGCTTCACCAGCTTTATCTTATTCAATCCTCATTTCATCCCCATAAGAGGAGCTGGGAAATAATGTTTCATTTTGATAAAGGCAAAACTCAAATATCAAAACAAAAAAAGTCTGGTAAATCTAGGCCTAGAACCCAACCAATATCCAAACCATGACAACACTTTCACGTTATTGTAACAGGAAAAGCAAGACTGAAAAAGCGGAATGAGGCAGGCAGGATTGGAAACGGAATGTGGCAGGCCTGTTGTCTTCCAGTTGGAGGCAGCAGAATAGGGGCATACACAGGGGACATCGAGAGCCATTATGCCAGGGAACACGGCAAGAGGTGCCATATTAAATAAAGAAGTTTTAGTTCTTACTGATATGAGAACTTCCAGGCATTTGAGGACTATTTCCCACCTTGGATTATCTCAGATCTAGCAATATGCTGTACTTAACTAACAGTATAATTTTAAAAAATGATTCCATGTTCAAATATATTTGAGAAGCATTAGTTCCTTTTCTGAAGAACTCTTCAGGATCTTTAACTAGTATTGTGCACTGGATTTTCAGAGAAAAAAAAGATCATATAGCATTTTCAAACTTATTTCACAACAGGACTACTATCCCTTCTTATAGTCCAGAAGAATATGTTGAGATCTCCAACAGCACTACCTGACTGAATGGTGAAGTCTGATAACAAACAGATGCTTCATCAGGAGGCAAGATTATCCGTAAAGACCGAAATCCCACATCGACACTTTATTTAAGAGAAACAAGGATAGATTCATTACCTTTTGGTGGTCATCTCTGTAACATTCCTGCTGTATCATTTCCAAAAGGTTTAGAGCCAACTGCTGCCTAGAGGGACCTTCTTCATCCACAGATATACAGTCTTCCAAGGCAGTAGAAGATAGTATCTGCAGAATTGGCATCACTAGCAGCAGAGAGGACTTTGGGATTTTCTGATCCTCAGTAACAGAGAGGAGCTTCAAAGCTATTCATCAAAACAATAATGCACATTTTTAAAAATTAATACCACAGTCAAACAAAATGCAATTTTGCTTAAGAATGATATGCAAGAAAGTTTTCTTCCCTTTTATAACTGGGTCAGACACATAACTAGGTTGATAAATCTTATCCTAAAAGGAAATAAAAGGAGTATAAATAAACTATTATATAAAATAAGCTGTTAACATATATAACTGAAAAATTGATGATACTCTTTTAGGTTAATATGAATTTTTTAAAAAATACAATTCAACATTTGCCCTTAATATCCTCTGAGATGCTAGTATTGCCCTCAGCAAACAGAGCTAAGAGACCAAGAATTCCTGGATCAGTGGCTAACAAGCCCAACATACATGCTTCCTTTACAAAGGCAGCTAAGAATCCTATTAGCAGATGCTTAAGTAAACAGCAAAGTGAAGCAGGACTGCCCTTCAGCTGTAATTGCTAAGAAGCAGATTGTGAAAGTCCCAAAGTCCAGAACCAAAATAACAACAACAAAAAAAATTAGTGAATGGTTCTTTAACATGGAAACAACTTACACACCAGATACATACAGTTATACAATAACTGATTTACATGTAGAGTCTCTAGACTATTAACTGAATGAGTTAAGGCATAAATATACTTTTTTCACAATATTTTTTTCAAAGTGATGTAATTAACCCTGATTTACTAAAAGATGTTATTCAGGGGATTCAACGTTAAATTATCAAAATATTCAACTGATTTCCCCACTACAGCAAAAATTCTACAAGCCTTGAATCATGTCAATGAGTTGTCAGCATTCTATTTTACATCATCTGGAGGTCAAACCTTAACATGATATTAAGTACAAACACCTGTTACTCTAACACTACTAATTTACTTTTCTTGCCTAAATATTGGTCTTAATCCATAATTGTTTCTGAGATATTATGAAAATCCATTATCTTTAATATAACAGGAAATGAATATAATAGCAGTATTTTAATAGCCTAAATTATAAATCTAAATATTCCAGGCATTTTTATAAATTGCTATTTGTAATCAAGGCTACAGTTAACAACTACATAGTGTAATATTACATTAATATAAAAATTAATGTATAAATAAATCTTTTAAATTTGGAATAATCAATATTCTCTTGGTTATCCTATTTCTTTGAATACTCTTTCCCCACAGTTCTTCCTTACTTTCCAACATGATATATTGGCTTAGCAGTGTTCAGTACAGTTTATTCACTCTAAGGTAACTTCAAATCAGAGATATTGGTTTACGAGAGAAAGAAAAAGTCTGCTAACCAGGAAATAATAAAAGTATTTGACTGTTTGATACTGTATTATCTTTCTCTTACACATGAACCACAATATAAGAACATAGCTTCAGAATTTGAAATGTGGATTTTCTGAGGCTTTAGAATTTTTTTGTCAGAAAACAAAATCCAATCATATGAAATGTCTAGAAAAGGCAAATCTACAGAGACAAAAAGCAGATTAGTATTTCTCTGGAGCTGAGGGTGAAAATGAGGATTAACTACAAATGATCACAAGAAATTTTGGGCAGATGATAGACAGTGGTGCTGGTTGCACAAATCTATAAATTTACTAGAAAACACTTTATTCTGAATTTTATGGTATGTAAATTACACCTCAATAAAGCTGTTTTAAAAAAGAAAACTATTGCTGTCAGAAGTACCAGCACGGGTAAATTATACCTTTGGGTAGATCCCATGTGCACTGCTATAAGAAAAAGGCAAAAACCGGATCAGACTGTGGAGGGAAGGTATAAGCGAACATAAAGCCAGTAGCCAAATGCAGGGTAGGAATCAAAGCCTAGGAGCCAAGGATCCCCTCCATGTGCTAAAGCCATTTCCAAGGCACACTGTAGGTGAAAGAGCAATTCACTCCCAAAATCATGAATTAAAATGCCCAGAAGAATGAGCTATACAATAAGTATTTATCTCGCACACTTTTTTTTTTTTTTGAGACGGAGTTTCGCTCTTGTTGCCCAAGCTGGAGTGCAATGGCGCGATCTCGGCTCACTACAACCTCTGCCTCCGGGGTTCAGGTGATTATCCTGCCTCAGCCAACCAAGTAGCTAGGATTACAGGCATGCGCCACCACGCCTGGCTAATTTTTTTGTATTTTTAGTAGAAACAGGGTTTCACCATATTACCCAGGCTTGGTCTCGAACTCCTGACCTCAGGTGGTCCACCCACTTCGGCCTCCCAAAGCGTTGGGATTACAAGCATGAGCCACCGTGCCTGGCCTCTCACGTACTTTTTAAAACTAAGAACAGCAGCATATCAACATATCATGGCACTATACAACATAATTTAGAGCTCTCATTGTTATGTGGATTATTTTGGATCAGACCAAGTAAAGTGAGGCAGCACCAATGTAAAAGCCACATTTTAAAAGTATGACTTATTTGCCCGATAGGGCAACTAGCTTCTTTACCACATTCTTCTTAACTAGAACATTTTTGCCACCCTTGGCCCCCTCCTTCACTTTTCTTTAAGTCAATACTGGACTGTCAAAAGAATATTATCTTTCATTTGTTCTAGCTAGATTTACATTTTGAATAGTTAAGGTATGGAGAGTTTTAAAAATAACTACAACTACTAAACACTTTTCTTTCAAGGATTTTATACTAAAGCTTTCCATTTTGCTGTACAATGTTGAATAAGGTGCTATGCCATTCAATATATTCCTGAATGTTACTGCCATATAAGGTTAGATTATAACCTCTAACATGCAGCCGAGATACTTGGTAAATTATGTTATATTAAAACTTGCACAAGGTAACAACTTATTAGACAAGAAAAAAAATTCTATTTAATAATTTTAAAAATTACAGATGGAAACTCAAAATACACAAGATAGCAGGATACATAGTTCAAGTGAATCCTGTCAATACTCATGTTATATTTACATTTTACTCTAGTGACTGTATTTTTATTTACCTAGATTTAAGATTGGCTTCTGCTGACTTGCTGGAGTCTGTAGAAGTAGTAAAGCTATTCCAATTATGACCAGTTCAACAGGAAAATCCTAAAAGAATAGAGGGGGAAAAAGGAGTTGTTAAAGAAGTTCCCAGAATCATGGCTTTGTAACATGTATCCAGGAAGAATATATTTAATATGAAAGACTGCAAGCCTATTACACAAATTTATTTATACAGCAAGTGTGCTCTACTAAAGAAAGAATTGGTCGGCCGGGCGTGGCAGCTCACGCCTGTAACGCCAACACTTTGGGAGGCCAAGGCAGGTGGATCACGAGGTCAGAAGTTCGAGACCAGCCCAGCCAACTTGGTGAAACCCCGTCTCTATCAAAAAAATACAAAAAAATTAGCCAGGCTAATTTCCCAGCTACTCAGGAGGCAATTGCTTGACCCAGGAGGTGGAGGTTGCAGTGAGCCAAGATGGTGCCACTGCACTCCAGCCTGGGTGGCAGAGCGAGATTCCATCTCAAAAAAAAAGAAAGAATTAGTCAATGCCACACAGTCACACATAAATTCAAAATGATGTATTATATGGCCAAAAAGCAAGATGCTATAAACCAAATAATTCAGAGGAAAACTCAACACAGCAGATCAGCAAGTCTTCTAAACAGTCAATCTTTTTTTTTTTTTTTTTTTTTTTTGAGACGGAGTCTCGTTCTGTCGCCCAGGCGGGAGTGCTGTGGCACGATCTCCGCTCACTGCAAGCTCCGCCTTCCGGGTTCACGCCATTCTCCTGCCTCAGCCTCCCGAGTAGCTGGGACTACAGGCGCCCGCCACTGCGCCCGGCTAATTTTTTGTATTTTTAGTAGAGACGGGGTTTCACCGTGGTCTCGATCTCCTGACCTCGTGATCCGCCCGCCTCGGCCTCCCAAAGTGCTGGGATTACAGGCGTGAGCCACCGAGCCCGGCCTAAACAGTCAATCTTTAAAAACCATTGAAAGTTGCCTAAAATACTAAATTTAATAATATTTCATTTCTGAAAAGTAGTTCAATTTTCTGCTTACCTAATACAGACATGATTCATCTATATAACTTGCATAATGAATTACACTAAACAAATTTTAGTAAATCATGTCACAATAAAAGAAATATTAGTGCCAGGGAGGTAGAGATTATTTTCGAATTACCGTAATTCATTAAGCATATTTAAATGTAGCAGAGCAATGACCATAGAAATGGAAAACCATTAAGTTCACCAAGTATATAAACAAAATGAAAAAAAGATGTGTATATTAGGTTTTAATAAATATTAATAAAACACAAGAGACATGTTATTTGAGGTTTCTAAATAAAGAAAATCTTAATGTATTATGGCACTAAAGAAGAAAGGTTCAGCTAAAATGACTATTCTGAAGTTTACAGAAGTGCCTGCAGAGCAGAAGTACCTATGAACAATAAAGACAGTCAAAAAAAAAAAAAAAAAAAACCCACAGGAAAAAAAGGAAATCTGTAAGTTAGAGCCACATGTTAAAGGACCACCTGCCTGAGTGAAAACAATATAATTTGACATACCCAGAAATTATAATCTTGAAGATACTATCAAACTAACAAATACCCTCTAAAATCTCAGTTTTACCATTTGAAGAGTGAAATTAACCTACAAAATCCTCTCATGTGCTTGTTTATGGACTTTTGAAAAAAAACAACAAAAGAAAAAAATTCGTGAATTTTTAAAAATGGGATATATTCCAATCTATGTATTTTAGGAATATATGTGTTCATTGTTTTGAAATACAGTCGAAAACAATGAAGCAACTCTTATCTATTTGAGGATAATACATGCATTTTGAAACCAACACACTTACAGTATATACTATCATACCATTCTTTGCTATACCTTCCTCTATTTCATTTTAATTTCTGCATGTCCATAAAAAAACAAAAGGAAAACCAACAAGATCACTTAAACCTCAGATTTACTAGATTCCAAAACGATCAACAACAAAGAAAAGCACTGCTGTATAGTAATGCTATTATTGGAAAGCCTTTTTCACACAAGCTATTACTGCAAGGCCCATAAAGTAGCTTTTTAGAGTTCTGAAATGGAACAGAAGTATTTTTAAGTGGATGGAACTTAAAAGTATGAAGGCAAAAATGAAAATGGCCTTCTCCAGGAAGGGTGAGACTGGCCTGTTCAGAATAGAGGGTGAATGGAAAAGAGGTGGAGATTCAAGATCAAAAATAAGGAAAAGTAAATGGTGGAGGATTAGACCACATAAATCTTAAACTGCTTACAAGTCTAGTGGTTACAAGTTTTTTGATTGATTGATTTTTAATGGACACCAAAGGATAGTACCATTTAATAAGATCTTTTAATAAAACCCTGTGTCAGACATCCCCTTTGCACACTTCAAATGCTACAGCTACTGCTGTGGTAACTGGCTCTGCACAGGTGCAACCTAATGGTTCTCCCCTGAAGCTCCACCATGCACCTCTTGCTCCCTGCCCCAGAATAGCGCACTCTAGAAGTACAAGGAAGTTAAAGCCCCATAGGCCAAAGCTGACAAATCGGCAACAATACCCCATAGATAAATGCTTTCCCATTAATTCCAGATCCTTCTTTCATAAGGCTTCTCAGAAGATTCTGTGGGATCAAGCAACTAGTAGCAGTAGCCTACTTGATGATGCCTGTATTGCCTCTCCCACCTTCCATACTTCACTCCTTTTGTCCCTCTCCAACTGCTTGCTGGGATCACATTGTCAGATGAACTCTAGTCATATAAGCCTTTGCTTCTGTGGAAACCCAGGCTCTACTTTTGCCTTTAGGGAAACTCAGGCTAACTCAGAGCCTGAAAATAAAATAAATAAATAAAATACAATAAAATAAATAAGGAAATAAAATATATAAAATAAGGAAATTTTAAAAAATGAAATAAAATACAAAAAATGAGTAAATGCCTTTATACTCAGCCACAGATGTCGGAGGAGTCCCAGTAACAGAAAACAACCTGGAGTCCATACTTTTTGTCCTCAAGTCAAATGAAAATAGCACTAAACATCACCTATGCACCAGGCACTAAGGACATATGCTGGGTCTACGAATGCCACTGTGGACAAAATAGTCCCTTTTCTCAAGGATTTTACAGTATAGTCATGGAAAAGTATTTTTAAAGAGAAAACAAGGCATGAGAAGGTAGCAGACAAAACAAAGATGGTGGCCCAACCCACACAATCCTCCAGTGCTCTAACTTTGCTACGTACTCTGTTCCCCTGGCCAGAGCTTGATCAAGCCAAGATGGGCCAAACAGATCATTTTTCCTACAAAATCTGAAAACTTAAAATGAGACACACAGTGAAGAAAGTTGGTTGGAACTGAGTCATCAGCCAGTAGTGCTGCTGGGAAGTTTCCGACCCTTCCCAATGCTGAAATGTTTCACTCATTCTTCACTTCGAGAGCTACCCAATCTCCTCCCAGTGAGCATCATTTTTGCCTAATTTTGCTGGTCAGGGTACATCTGTTTTGCTTGAAATGGAAAGGACCTTAAGTTATGATTATTCTAATCAGGCTAAAAATGGCTCAACTAAGACCGAATCCACAAAAACTAATGCAGCCTAAGAAATAAATCCATTTTCAATGTACAATGATACAACGCTGATATAAGAGTAGAAAGAGAACAGAGTAGGAAAAAGTGAATATAATATTTGAACAAGACATCCAGCTGATAAACCCAGCGATACAGAAATGTGGGTATGGTGTCAAAATACATAAGACTACTTCATTCTACTTCATTTTATTTCAAATTGTAGTACATATAGACCTATAGCATATGTTCACAAATTAATTTTCCTAGGCTTACTTTTTTAACCTCAGGAACACTAAGATGGGGATGGGGGACAGAAAACTTCATTACACAAATATTTCAACAGTTCTACTAATTGTTATTTCCTTCTAAAACTGCTAAAACATTGGGCAAATGAGAGACATAAATAGGACCTTCCCTCACCAAAAATCTTTTCATTCTTCTAAATGACATTAGTATCCTGTGACTCTACATTATAATCAAAAACATTTTAAAAATTAGATTCAAGAGCCACTTATTAATAGATTCCCAGTGGCCAAAATAAGACAATTTAAAATTCAATATGGATAATATCTGTGATAGACTGAAGTGCATCAAATATGTTTAAATTCATGAATTCATAATATTTTTTAAAGTTAGTAAATAAAGAAAAAGGCAAAAGAGTACAGCATTTATTCTAACTTTCCTTTACCACTGGATAACCAACTAGTAGGTTATTGGAGGAAGGGTATTCTTTTTGTGGAAGTATTCCAGCTAATAAATGGAGAAGGAATGATAGGATTAGAACATTACCACTCTGCAACTCCTAATGAATTAATAGAACTAGGCATTGCGTACCAACAACTACTAACATCATAAAAAGAAAAGCAACACACATTGTGCCTCTTGATGACAGAACACACCATCCCCTGTAGTCTTGGAAACAAAAAACAAAATATCCTGAACCCAGTCAAGCCTTTAGAGCTAACTACCTTTGAACAGAGAAACACATAAAGCAGTGGTCCCCAGCCTTTTTTGCACCAGGGGCTGGTTTCATGGAAGATAATTTTTCCACACACCTGGGGCAGGGAATGGTTTCGGGATGAAACTGTACCACCTCAGATCATCAGGCATTATTTAGATTCTTATAAGGAGCACACAACCTAGATCCCTCGCATGCACAGTTCACAATAGGGTTCATGCTCCTGTGAGAATCTAATGCATCGGCTGATCTGACAGGAGATGGAGTTTAGGCAGTAATGCTGGCTCACTGGGCTGCTCACCTCCTGTGTGTGGCCCAGTTCCTAACAAGCAAGGAACCAATACCAGTCTGTGGCCCAGGCATTGGGGACCACTGTATTAAAGGGCACCATACGGTTGCAATCAGCAAAATCCAGAAGATAGGAAACTCTCCAGCTCACACAAGCCAGGTTATTCAGCACACAAACTGCAGGGAAGAAAAGTGGGGGAGGAAACGAAAGGGGATGACCTTTAATTGGAAAGACACTTAAAAGATCACACACACACACATACCCCAAAACATATTACAGTGATTAGAGATACACACTGAGATGACAAAACTATAAAGAAATGTAAGGAAGTAGTTACTATAGAAGTCTGAATAGTCAGGGGAAAAAGGAGGTTATGAATAGGACTGGGCTTGTGGAGAACTTCTGTGGTGGCTAGAAACCTCTATTTCTTGAGCTGTGTGATGGTTTCAAAGTTCTATGTTTTGATCTATGTGCTATTTGCCTTATGTGCAAAATAAATGATAAAAATCACCTGTGGGTGCTACTTTAAAATAGAGAATACTTGGGCCGCACTCAGACCTGCTAATTCAATATCATTAGGGATAAGGCCCAGGCATGTGCATTTGTAACAAACTCTGCCTAGTGATTTTTATGCACACTAGTTTGAACCATTTGACTAAAACATAAGCTTCATGAACCTTGTCTGCTTTCAACTAATTGCCATAGCAAAGTGTTTGCCATAGGCATCTGCTTAATAAATATATGCTAAAGGTGGGGGGAAATACACAATAAAATGGTCAGAGAATTATACTAAAAAGGACTAAACTGTATGAAATTATACTTGCTACTCACATGAATCTACTAAAAGTACCCAGGAAAAATATGGGTTTTACCCATGGATATTACATTTACAGTTAACAGAACTGGCAATTTATCTACATAATACTGATCTATAAAATATCTTTCTGTATAATATTTATCTATAAAACATCTATATATGCATTTATATACTATCTATATTATATATAACATGATTATATCTGTAAAATATAATTATACCTGATATATTATACATATATATATCTACTACACATAAGATACATATGTAACTGTATAATAGAAAACATGTTATTTAGAGTCCCAGTATATATAAAATCATTCTAATCATAAGATTGGCAAATTGACAAATGACTTGTAATACTTGAGTCTTCCTGGGCTCCCAACTTCCATCAAAATCTACATTTACTCTCTCATTTCCTCACCTGCCATTCACACTCCCTTAATTCCAATTTCCACGCCCCCCAACCACCACCACCCTGCTGAAACTGCCCCTCTAATGTTAACAATAAGCTTTTATATGCTATATCCTAAGAATACTTTCCATCCCTTACTTTTACATCATCGCTCCATGACACATGACACTGCTGACCACTCCCTCTTATTGAGATATTCCTTCCCTTGATTTTCTTGTCATCTGTCTCTGCTGGTTATATATGATCCTTCTAGACATATTTTCTCAGATTCCTCTTTATCAGTAAATTCCAAATAACCACCACAAACACCCCAGAGTTCCACCACAAGCCCTGTCACCCAGTCCCGTGTTTAAAATCCCCACCCCAAAGTTAATGTCTACAAATGTACACCTTTAGCCTAGACTTCTAGCCTAAATTTCAAAACCATATATCCAACGATGTATGATCCATACATACCTCAAGTCAAGCATATCTGAAATCTAATTAATCATCTTCCCTCCAACATCAGCTACCATTTCTCAAAGTGAATGGCATCATCCAGTAGCCCAAAATAGAAAGCTGAGATTCTATCAAGGACCCTTCTCCTTGACCATCTAATCAATCATAAAGCCCTACTGATTCTGTCTTCTATGTCTCCCTTTTCCCACTTCCATTTCCCTCATTAGGCCCTCACTATGGGCTGAACTGTGTCCTCTCAAAATGTATTTGTTAAAGCCCTAACCCTCAAGTGACTGTATTTGGAGTAAGGAAGTCATTAAGGTTAAGTGAGGTCATCAGGGTGGGGCCATAATCCAATCTGGATAGTATCCTCATAAGACACCACAGAGCTCATACTCTCCCTATCATGCGAGGAAAGCCAGCTGCAAGCCATTAAGAGTCCTCATCAAGAACAGAATCAGCCAGCACCCTGTGCTTGGACTCTCCAGCCTTCAGAACTTTGAGAAATAATTTTATTTGTTTATTTATGTATTTTGAGACAAAGTCCTGCTGTGTCGCCCAGGCTGGAGTGCAGTGGCACAATCTCGGCTCACTGCAACCTCTGCCTCCAGGGTTCAAACAATTCTCCTGCCTCAGCATCATGAGTAGATTACAGGCATGCAACACCACACCCAGCTAATTTTTTGTATTTTTAGTAGAGGCGAAGTTTCACCATGTTGGTCAGGCTGCTCTCGAACTCCTGGCCTCACATAATCTGCCTGCCTCGGCCTCCCAAAGTGCTGGGATTACAGGTGAGAGCCACTGCACCCAACCAATAAATACATTTTTGTTGGTTAAGCCACCCAGTCTGTGGTAGCCTGCCTAAGACATCCTCCTCACTTCCTACCCTATTAGTGGTGTGCGGTCCCAAACCCTCCTCCATCTTCCTACGAGAAAGATCTTCCACACATTAAAAAATGAGATCTGCTGAAAGGTCTCAAACAGCATGTCATTGCCTAGAGGATAAAATGTAAACTCATTTGTGTGGCATGGAAGACAAGCCCAGCCCTATTTGCCACAGCTTAATCCTTCAACAATACCCAACATCCTCTTGTTTTTTTGAATAAGCCAAGCCTGACTACTCTTTCATGTCTCTCTATTTGGGCACATGCTGTTCTACAGCTGGAATGCCCTTCCCAGGCCCTTGTACCAGGCACATTCCATTCAGTCTTCGAATCTCAACTCATGCCCTACCTCCTGAAACTTGTTCTCCCATTACATTTTAAATATACTCCCATAAAATCCTTTCTCTTATTGTACTATAATTTAGTTATTTGCATGTCTGTAAGTCTCTTGAGGTCATAGAATTTACCTTTTCATCTATGTATTCTATAAAGCCTGGCATATTACTATATGTTCTGCATGAATAAATGAAAAAAAAGTCACAGTGGTGATCTTTAATTGATGATCCGAAGAGTATTTTAATGATTTCTTTTTCTAATAAATGATATTACCAGTAGTGCAATAGCAATATGCGCTAATGGTATTAGATCAAAATGCCTCTAATATGCAAACTAAATGAGCAGATCCACCCAGTTATTGAAAGACTCACTTGAGTGATAACTGACACAATAAAACGTCTATCTGATATGGTTTGGATCTATGCCCCTGCCCAAATCTCATGTCAAATTGTAATCCCCAATGTTAGAAGTGGGGTCTGGTGCAGATGACTGGATCACAAAGGTGTTCCTCATGAATGGTTTAGCACAATCCTCCTGGTGCTGTTCTTGTGATAGTGATTGAGATCTGGTTGTTTAAAAGCGTGTAGTATCTCGCCACTCCTCTCTCTCACTCCTACACCAGCCATGTGAAGTGCTGGCTCCTGCTTCACCTTCCACCATGATTGTAAGTTTCCTGAGGCCTCCCCAGAAGCTAAGCAGATGCCAGCACCATGCATCCTGTACAGCCTGCCAGACTGTAAGCCAATTAAACCTCATTTCTTTATAAATTACCAAGTCTCAGGTATTTCTTAATAGCAATGCATGAACAGTATAATATACTACTATCCTTACCTCCTTCAGAAGTTCAACACTGTGCTCTAAAAGGTGAATTGAAGATGAACATTCACCAGTTATCTTTAAGCTGACTTCACTGACACACAGCAGCTGAAGACTCATCTGGGTAAGCTGAATTTTCCAGAAAACAGGATGACGCAAAAGGCTTAAACATACTTCCTCAATAAACATCATCGCCTCTGTTGTCTGTATCAAATCTTTTACCTGTTTAAAAAAGTCATTATATGATATTAAAAAATACACAAACCAAAAGATAATTTTAAAGTACACAAAAAGCTTTGAACAATGTAATTTTTTCTCTAAACCTATAAAGACTTAAAGGAGATGAAAAAAAGTTACAGAACTCCATGAAGGATTAACTATACAACTGCACCTTATCCTCTGGTTATTAACCAAAATCCAATTTGCTACTGTTTTTGTTACTGCTGGCTGGTACAAATTTCTTTTCTTTCATTTTTCTAGCTTGTCTGAGTGCAGATGTCTTAAAACAAGTTACATGACAATGACAACATGTTGAGGGAAATTAAGTTTAGTTTTGAATTCTCCAAATGAACTCTCATTTCTACAATTCCAACATAGATACCTGATAGTAAAGAGTCAGCATGTTATTCTAACACGGTACTAAGCCCTTTATCTGCAAGATACTTGCTCAGGCAGCCTTAACTGAGAGTATCATCTCCACACTTGGCAGATATAGTAAAAGACCATATTCAAATGGTAGAGTGTCTTCTCAACAGGCTAATGTATTAGATAGGAAGGACCTGGGTGCTCTTGAAAATCCCAATGCAATTCAAACCCAGCTGTTCTGATCAAAATTCTGGAGTTGGTATTAAGGATATGGTCCTGCTCACAGACACATTGGCATTTCCCAGAGATTACAAACAACGGACCATCTGCTTCAATCAGGAGCCTATGTCTGCTAAATTCATCAAGAAGAAAGCCTACGGTTGACCGGCAGTACCTTTTACCAGTGGTTATCACCATAATAACCCAAATGACTATTAGTTATACACAGAGAGAAAAATTAGTTGCTAGCAAACAAGAGAAAAAAGATATTAAAAGATCAAAGAGAAGAAATAGCAGAAAACATTGTTATAAAAAATAAACAGTCTGGTATAAATTATTTTGCTCTCTTGCAAACACACAGTAGGAAAGTCAAAAGGCCACAGAGAAGAGACGGATTTAAAATAAAGCCTAATGTTTACTTGACAATATATTTCCTTGAGTGCATTTATGTGTACATTTCTAATTTTCCATAACAAAAAAAGGTTCAAAAGACAATCTCAGCAACCTAGCATTAAAGGCTCTCTAATCTTTAACATTATCAAAGTTCTAAACAAGCATAATTTTGAAGTAACATTCTGTCTTTATGTAGAAATATATTATTTAATAATATAATAGGTAATATGTGAGGTGACAAGAGTCGCAATTAAAATGAAAAGGACTATTCTACATCTATAAAATGAAAGAGCAACTGGAAGGAGAAGAAACAGAAAAAGGAGTTTCACTGACCATTCTTTCATGATTGGTCAACAAGGTTGCATGGTTATTTCTAAAGCTTGTATTTTAAAATTTAAATGTGATTCTGTCTTAGTGCTCAGTATAAGTAAGACCACATCAAATCATGAGTGAACTCCCATTCACAATTGCTTCAAAGAGAATAAAATACCTAGGAATCCAACTTACAAGGGATGTGAAGGACCTCTTCAAGGAGAACTACAAACCACTGCTCAAGGAAATAAAAGAGGATACAAACAAATGGAAGAACATTCCATGCTCATGGGTAGGAAGAATCAATATCGTGAAAATGGCCATACTGCCCAAGGTAATTTACACATTCAATGCCATCCCCAGCAAGCTACCAATGACTTTCTTCACAGAATTGGAAAAAAACTACTTTAAAGTTCATATGGAACCAAAAAAGAGCCCGCATCGCCAAGTCAATCCTAAGCCAAAAGAACAAAGCTGGAGGCATCACACTACCTGACTTCAAACTATACTACAAGGCTACAGTCACCAAAACAGCATGGTACTGGTACCAAAACAGAGATATAGATCAATGGAACAGAACAGAGCCCTCAGAAATAACGCCGCATATCTACAACTATCTGATCTTTGACAAACCTGAGAAAAACAAGCAATGGGGAAAGGATTCCCTATTTAATAAATGGTGCTGGGAAAACTGGCTAGCCATATGGAGAAAGCTGTAACTGGATCCCTTCCTTACACCTTATACAAAAATCAATTCAAGATGGATTAAAGACTTAAACATTAGACATAAAACCATAAAAACCCTAGAAGAAAACCTAGGCATCACCATTCAGGACATAGGCATGGGCAAGGACTTCATGTCCAAAACACCAACAGCAATGGCAACAAAAGACAAAATTGACAAATGGGATCTAATTAAACTAAAGAGCTTCTGCACAGCAAAAGAAACTACCATCAGAGTGAACAGGCAACCTACAAAATGGGAGAAAATTTTCGCAACCTACTCATCTGACAAAGGGCTAATATCCAGAATCTACAATGAACTCAAACAAATTCACAAGAAAAAAACAAACAACCCCATCAAAAAGTGGGCGAAGGACATGAACAGACACTTCTCAAAAGAAGACATTTATGCAGCCAAAAAACACATGAAAAAATCCTCATTATCACTGGCCATCAGAGAAATGCAAATCAAAACCACAATGAGATACCATCTCACACCAGTTAGAATGGCGATCATTAAAAAGTCAGGAAACAACAGGTGCTGGAGAGGACGTGGAGAAATAGGAACACTTTTACACTGTTGGTGGGACTGTAAACTAGTTCAACCATTGTGGAAGTCAGTGTGGCAATTCCTCAGGGATCTAGAACTAGAAATACCATTTGACCCAGCTATCCCATTACTGGGTATATACCCAAAGGACTATAAATCTTGCTGCTATAAAGACACATGCACACGTATGTTTATTGCGGCATTATTCACAATAGCAAAGACTTGGAACCAACCCAAATGTCCAAAAATGATAGACTGGATTAAGAAAATGTGGCACATATACACCATGGAATACTATGCAGCCATAAAAAATGATGAGTTCATGTCCTTTGTAGGGACATGGATGAAATTGGAAATCATCATTCTCAGTAAACTATCGCAAGAACAAAAAACCAAACACCACATATTCTCACTCATAGGTGGGAATTGAACAATGAGATCACATGGACACAGGAAGGGGAATATCACATTCTGGGGACTGTGGTGGGGTGGGGGAGAGGGGAGGGATAGCATTGGGAGATATACCTAATGCTAGATGACGAGTTAGTGGGTGCAGTGCACCAGCATGGCACATGTATACATATGTAACTAACCTGCACAATGTGCACATGTACCCTAAAACTTAAAGTATAATAAAAAAAAAAGACCACATCAACAGCATTGTAGTCATCTCTAAGATGATCATTTCATAGTAGCATATTTTGAGCAACAATAAACTAGAAAATTCCTGGCAAAACAAAACAGAGAAAAGTTGGGAAACCATTTGCAATGGAGAGATTAAGAAAGTGAAGAAAAAAATAAGGAAGGGAGGGAGGTGAGGAGGAAAGGAAGGAAGGAAAAACGGGAAGGAAAGAAGGGAGAAAAATAAGATAGGATACAGATGGGGTTTTTTTAAAAGCTTATTTCATTTTGTTCTGAGAAGAATGGAAATGAATGAATGAGAAAAATGAAGGTCAAAAAGTACTTGCTAAAAAAAATGGTTGCCTTGCAAAATAGTACGCTTCCTCTATCACTAAAATATTCAATTAGCCATGAGATAGTCATGTTTCAGAGAGTATAAGAAACATCTGTATTGAGTGGTAAATGGATTATATTGTCTCTAAGACCACGTCCAACCCTCACACGCTTCATTCTAATAAAGCTGATTTGTTAAATTGATTAAGTATGCTACTGTCACTAGTTCCAGTACTTCCAAATGATGTATCCCCTTTTTTCTTACATAACTGTTAGGTTAAAAAGCCACAGATTCCCAGAAATATTCCACCGAGCTCATTTCTAAAAGCATTTAAGCCTGTCAACACAGGTTCATAAGATGAAGACAAACCTTTGCCAAGGAGCACAGAACAGGGTAATGCAGCCATGACGTGAAAAATGTACCCTAGTTCAAGATGTTCTGCCTATACATTGCTTTATTGCCCACACAAAACAAAAGCTTTGGAAAAGCCACAGGAGAATTCATTTTAATTAAATTTTCTCTGCCTTGATTACAGGAAAGCCTATTTATAAGTCGCAGAGGAAAGATTTACTCAAGTCACTCCCTGCTAACACAAACTTAAAGCAGGTCATGTGTGACCTCAAGTGATCGTTTTGAAATATGTTCACAGATTCCCTCCATCAGCTAAGCAGCATGGTGCTGCGATTCCAGGCAAATAGCAAACCTAGATGATGGGAAGAGATGGACTGATAAATGAATCACTACACTAAAATCACAACACCTGGGCAACTGGATTTTTTTTCATATGCAGTTATAGAGACAATGACTCAAATTTCTCTTTCCCCTGAACTGTGTCCGTGTTTTATCCATACCTCTGTTAACCACCTTTCATCTTTCTACTTTGAATTGTAAGAATATATGTACAGTACTTGTCCTAACTCATTTACTACATGTGTGCTTCTCAAGAGCAGGATCCCTGAGAGCTGCTGCATATGTTGCAAGGGGACATGTGGAAGCTGGAATCTAGCTGGCACTCAGCTGGCCAGGCTTTGCATCCTCAGAGCTATTTATGCTCTGAGACACATCTTTTTTTTTTTTCCAATGTGCACAGAGGTCTTTTTTTTCCTTGTTACTGTCCCAATGTCTACACAGAAGAAACTCAACTCAAAATCTTTTACCTGATAACTGTTTCTTAAACAAAGGAAAGTTTTCATGCTTGCTATTCCCAGAATGGACTATGTCGATTTATAATTTCTGTGTATTTAGTTAATATCGAATATAATATATTCATATTAAATCTAGATTTTGTTTCTTTCATCTTCCCCAAAAGATTGTAAGCATTTCTAGAGCGAGGATCATGTCTGAGTTTGCCAAATCACTTATGTTCTAGAACTACTTTGTCTATGACAATAACAACACTTACTGATGCTGACCTATATTTGTGGAGGAGGACAAAGACCTTACCTGCAAACATGGAACTATGTCACAACACAGTTGAAGTATCTGCTGTTCCAGTATTGATGGTTGATCTTTGTCACAAAGAACCTGGGGTTGAAGTAAGACTTTCAGCAGGGCTAGTCGGAGTTTAGCATATTCTTGTAACTGAGATGGTTCACAATACAGATACCACAGAAATGGTGCCATTATTTGAATGCATGAAACTTCTAACCTATAAGACATGAAATACATTAGCCAGTTATTGAGTTAAACACACTATCAAGCAGGTAAGTGGCAAATATCAACTTATAGTTCATGACATAACATAATCTACCATATCATCAAGTGTAACTTCTTTTTATGATTCTTCTATTCCGCTATGACCTGCCTACATCTATGCCAAACAGTTCTTTGTACACTGAGGAAAATTATTCAACACCTGGAGACTGTAAGCTAGATGCCCAGGATGAAGACAGTCTCTATTTGCACATTAGAATAGCAACTACATCTCTGAAATCAGTGTTTAGTGAACACAAGAATCATCTGGGCTGGGCACGGAGGCTCACGCCTATAAAAATCCCAGCACTTTGGGAGGCCGAGGCAGGCAGATCATGAGGTCAGGAGATAGAGACCATCCTGGCCAACATGGTGAAACACTGTCTCTACTAAAAATACAAAAATTAGCTGGGCGTGGTGGCATGCACCTGTAGTCCCAGCTACTCAGGAGGCTGAGGCAGGAGAATCGCCTGAACCCAGGAGGCAGAGGTTGCAGTGAGCCAAGATTGCTCCACTGCACTCCAGCCTGGCAACAGAGCGAGACTCCATCTTAAAAAAAAGGATCACCTGACAACCTTTCTAGAATTACAGATGTCAGGATCACCTCTCCAGGAGTATGACACAAACATGAATTTTTGGAAAAACTCTACAGGTGAGGATCTACATAAAAGAAATCCAGACAAACATCCCAAGATGATTATGATGACAGTTAACATTTACTTGTTAACCTGTTAACCCTTACAGTGTTCAAGTTACTGCATGTTATGTCTTTAAATCCATTTAATCCTCACCACAACCCTATGAAATAAAAAATAATATTATCCTTATAACACGGATAAAGAAACTGAAGGAGAGAGAGGTGAAATAATTTGTCAAGGTCTTCTTAAGCACTTCCCACCCTACAAATCTTTTGTATCTATTTAGATTTCACTATATCCTGAAAACTCCTAGTCCAAATTCACTAAAACACCGGAATGATCATCAAAAATAAAAATATGGTCATGTCATTAACTAGCCTAAACAGTATCTAGCCCAATTCACACACACCCTCCATCATTTGGCCTCTGTTTATCTTTCCAGCTTCATTTCTTGCTCTTCATTCACCACTAAACCACACTAAACTCCTTTCAGGTCTTTATCAAGCCATCTGGGCTTTCTTCTCACTTGCTATTCCCTCTACCTGTAATATTCTCCCCTTCTACCCGTCCTATTCCTTCTCCCTACCTAGCTTCTATCATCCTTCAGTTATCTGCTTTAAAATGACTTTCTCAGGTCCTTCCTTGACACTTCACCTTGATCAGATCACATCAGATGTGCTTTTAAGATACAATGCCTTTATTGCCATTACATTTTTTTAAGAGACAGTGTCTTGCTACATTGCCCAGGCTAGAGTGCAATGGCTATTCACAGGCACAATAATAGTGCACTTCAGCCTTGAATTTCTAGGCTCAAGCAATCCTCCTGCCTCAGTCTCCCAAGTAGCTGAGATTACAAGCTGTTATTATTACATACTTAATATCTGTATCCCCCTGCCAGACTATAAACCAAATGAGGCCACGGATTTCTGTTTACTGCTATTATCACCAATAACTGTACATACTAGGCCTTCAAAGAGATGCTCAATCATTTAATTAATTCAGTTACACTAAGTTACAGAGTAGTTTTATAATGAGCATGCAATTAAATGTCATGACTTTATTTTCTAATGTTTTTCACATTCTTATATATAAGGAATGATTAGATAAGATACAAAGATGAAATAAGAATTATCTATCCTCAAGAAGCATACAGTCTGACAGAGACAATCAGTTATGATCCTGAACTAGATGATAGAAAGTGACAACTGCCAAAAGAAAGGTATAAAGTGCAATTGCTTCACGGAAGAAACGGTATTTAAATTATGCTTGACCGTTCTCATTTAAGAGTGGGAGCTAAACCTTGGGTTCACACAGACATGAAGGTGGGAACAACAGACACAAGGGACTCCAAACAGAGGGTGGGAAGGAGGGGCAAGGGCTGAAAATTTTCCTGTTAGGCACTTTGTTCACTACGGGGTGACAGAATCAATAAAAGGCCAAACCTCAGCACTACACAATATACCCTTCCAACAGATCTGCACATACACCCCTGAATCTAAAATAAAAGGGAATTCTTTTTAATTATAATAAAATAAATAACACTTGACAACATAGTCTTACAATACCATACATTTCATAGCAATGTGATTTCAAAATGCCATTAAGATTAATAAAAATGTAAAAGTTACCAAGCCAATTAAATTTTATTCATTCATTAATTTATTCACTTGGTAAAATTTACTGATCACCTACAGTATACCTCACTCATCTACATGATGGAAACAAAACAAGAAATAAAAATAGATTAAGTTCCTGCTCTCATAGAGCTCACAGTCTGAAGAAATTTTTTTATCATAAGCTCAAATACTTATACAATCTATAAAAATCAAAAGGACTTTTCACTTCAAAATTATTACTGAAACATATATCTTTATCACACCTTCTACTTTCGGAAACTAAAAAAAGATAGATGAAGGAATCAGATAATGTATGTATGAAATACAAAGTGAAAGTTCCCAGAAAAGAGATTTAAGAAACTTCCTTCTCCATCTCTCTTTAATAATGTATTCCCCAAAGAATAAATACTATCCGGGTGTCAACAGCATCCATGGATGGCTTATCGGTTTTCTTCTACTTTGAGATGCTGAAGGTGAAATGTAAGGTTCATATAAAGAAATACATTTCCAAGATGCCATTATGATTTGACATCAGGAGCAAACGTTGAACTTCCTTAAGGACAATATACTATTTAAAAATCCCCTTGGCTTAATCTGTTCTGATTTTAGATTCTGCATGTGGTATCTGATGATTAATCATCACTTCGGTGGAGTAAGACATTACCAGGGCTTAGGAAAAAATGAATATTAAAAAAACAGATAATCTGAAATCCCAAAGTGATTTAAAATGTTTTCAAATGTAACCAATTATGTATGTACCTACACACAAGTCTTTTATATTTAAGTTCACCACAGAGGGAGAAGTACTAAAAAAAACAGACCTAGAGAGAGAGTAAAAAAATGGAGGCTTGGGCCAGGCACGGTGGCTCACACCTGTAATCCCAGCAATTTAGGAGTCCGAGGCGGGTGGATCATGAGGTCAGGATATTGAGACCATCCTAGCTAACACAGTGAAACCTCATCTCTACTAAAAATACAAAAAATTAGCCAGGCATGGTGGCGGGCACCTGTAGTCCCAGCTACCCAGGAGGCTGAGGCAGAAGAATGGCGTGAACCCGTGAGGCAGAGGTTGCAATGAGCCGAGATTGCACCACTGCACTCCAGCCTGGGCAACAGAGTGAGACTCTGCCACAAAAAAAAATAAAAATAAAAATAACGGAGGCTTTAGGCCCAACTCCACCACTAGCTAGCCAAGAAACCTTCAGTAAGTCGTTTAATGTTGCTCTCCTCGGTTCTCTCATCTGAAAAATTATGTTAGACTAGATAATCTTAAAGTAACCCAGCCTAAAATCCATGATATTATCAATTTGCACCATTCTCAAATTCTCAGTTCCTGAAAGGTTAAAGTCATAGGCCTTCAATAAATGAATGCAGAACTTAATTATAAAATAATACCCAAATACTGTGTGCAGAGGTGCATGCCTATAGTCCCAGCTACTCAGAAGGCTGAGACAGGAGGATCACTTGAGCCCAGGAGTTCATGTTCAGCCTGGGCAACACAGCAGACTCCCAATCTCTTAAAAATAATAATAATTGTAACGCCCCCCCCCAAAAAATCTAGCATGAAGATATATTGTCATTTTAGGACATATACATAATATTAAAATGAACATAAATAGCTAGCTATCCTTACAACATTTTGCTTTCTTCCCATAGTTGTGAATCGCTACTCATATACTCATTAACAACCTGTCACCCAGGCTGAAGTGCAGTGGTACAATCTCCGCTCACTGCAACCTCATTTAAAGAAATTCAACATTTATAAAGCACCTAGAAATGTGCCAAGCATCACTAATACAGAGAATAATGAAACACAGTCCCTGCCCTCAAGATTTCACAGTTAATACAGGAGAGTAATTATGATAATGTCGCAACTGTAAGGTATTATGTAACCATGCAAGAGACACACCTAATACAGCTTCTAGTAAGAAAAGACCCTAGGGCAAAAAAAATGCCTAAACAGAGATTTCAAATAAAGACATTTATCAGAAAGAGAGTGGGGTAAGATTCAAGAGAGTACAGTAGATACCAGTAAGTAAAAACATGGAGAGAAGGAAACAGCACTGCTTCCTGTGTGGAACACAAGGCAAGTCATTGTACTGCTAAAGCATAAACTGCGAGATGAAGATAAGAAAAGATAAAGCTGGTGAGATAGATTGGAACTGCATCATATACTAAGCCTACTATGACATATTAGATTTTATCCTATAGTCCAGGGAATTTCAAACTGTTTCAGAAACCAATCCTTTTTGTTTTCCCATAGAAAGCTTCCATAAGATATCAACAAGTAAGTGCTATGAAAACAGAGCCAAAGGGGTGGGAACATGCTCCATGCTTAGCCCATGCACTGCAAGTGCAGTTTGAAAACCACAGCCACAGAGACTTAAGCATGGGAATGATACTGTAAGATCTGCTCTCTTGATATATCCTTCTGAGGGATGTTTAGAGACTGGATTTGACCAGGACAAGACTGGAGGCAGAGACACCAGTTAGGAACAGGTGGCAAGAGCCACATCAAGAGATATTGAGGCCCTGAACCAGCGTCATGGTAGTAAGGATAGAAGAAAGGGGAGTAGCTTTGAGAGCCATCAGGAGGCCTTGGTGAAAGTACACTAACTGCACATATGGTGGCTATCTGATCCCACTTGGCAGTAATACTTTATCTCAAATGGCAGTTTTCTAATGGAGAGACTAACTCATTAGCCAGTGTCCAAGGGGAAGAACTTATCTCCTATATGTATTGTGTAGTAGCTTACTGAATTATTCTAGCCAACTTTCCTAACCACTTACCAATGCTTAACTTCCTTAATAACAGCTTTTCTCATATTCAGTATTTCAACAACCAATAAATCTGGTAGATTTTTTTCTTTTACTCTTTAAAAGAAAATAGAAAACTACAACCTGACATGAAGTCCTTGCCCATGCCTATGTCCTGAATGGTAATGCCTAGGTTTTCTTCTACGGTTTTTATGGTTTTAGGTCTAACATGTAAGTCTTTAATCCATCTTGAATTAAGTTTTGTATAAGGTGTAAGGAAGGGATCCAGTTTCAGCTTTCTCCGTATGGCTAGCCAGTTTTCCCAGCACCATTTATTAAATAGGGAATCCTTTCCCCATTGCTTGTTTTTCTCAGGTTTGTCAAAGATCAGATAGTTGTAGATATGCGGCGTTATTTCTGAAGGCTCTGTTCTGTTCCATTGATCTATATCTCTGTTTTGGTACCAGTACCATGCTGTTTTGGTGACTGTAGCCTTGTAGTATAGTTTGAAGTCAGGTAGTGTGATGCCTCCAGCTTTGTTCTTTTGGCTTAGGATTGACTTGGCAATGCGGGCTCTTTTTTGGTTCCATATGAACTTTAAAGTAGTTTTTAATGGCCTTGGGCAGTATGGCCATTTTCATGATATTGATTCTTCCTACCCATGAGCATGGAATGTTCTTCCATTTGTTTGTATCCTCTTTTATTTCATTGAGCAGTGGTTTGTAGTTCTCCTTGAAGAGGTCCTTCATATCCCTTGTAAGTTGGATTCCTAGGTATTTTATTCTCTTTGAAGCAATTGTGAATGGGAGTTCACTCATGATTTGGCTCTCTGTTTGTCTGTTATTGGTGTATAAGAATGCTTGTGATTTTTGTACATTGAGTTTGTATCCTGAGACTTTGCTGAAGTTGCTTATCAGCTTAAGGAGATTTTGGGCTGAGTCAGTGGGGTTTTCTAGATATACAATCATGTCATCTGCAAACAGGGACAATTTGACTTCCTCTTTTCATAATTGAATACCCTTTATTTCCTTCTCCTGCCTAATTGCCCTGGCCAGAACTTCCAACACTATGTTGGCACATATACACCATGGAATACTATGCAGCCATAAAAAATGATGAGTTCAGGTCCTTTGTAGGGACATGAATGTAACTGGAAATCATCATTCTCAGTAAACTATCACAAGAACAAAAAACCAAACACCGCATAGTCTCACTTATAGGTGGGAATTGAACAATGAGAACACATGGACACAGGAAGGGGAACATCACAATCTGGGGACTGTTGTGGGGTTGGGGGAGGGGGGAGGGATAGCATTAGGAGATATACCTAATGCTAAATGACGAGTTAATGGGTGCAGCACACCAGCATGGCACATGTATACATATGTAACCTACCTGCACATTGTGCACATGTACCCTAAAACTTAAAGTATAATAATAATAAAATTAAATTTAAAAAGAAAAGAAAACTACAACCTGCTCTAGGATGGTTCTTCAGGAGAAAACATTATAGATCAAAGCAGCTAAAAAGAAACAAACAAACAAAAAAAAACCCTAGCTCTAAAATTAGCATATACCATTCTGTCTCCCTCACTTTATTTTACACTTTTATTTTACATTACCTTTCAGGGCACTGCTGGAAAAACGCTGTCAGCTGCTGCAAAAACACTGGCCAGCAATCAGGTCTGTGTTCAAGCACAGTTATCAAAGGATGAGGATGATTTCTGAAAGACACAGAAAGTCACATGGGAACCTGTTATTCAGGACTACACATTTTCAATATCCAAATATAGCAGCAAAGAAGCCAGTACCTACCATCTAGAGACTTTTTTCACGATTCATAATTGTCACAAAATGATCACTTGCTCCATTTGTTGCAGAGTTGGTTCATCAGAACTGACTCTCCCCCCTGCCTTTTCCTAACATTTTTGCAGAAAACAAAATGGACACAGGAGCCTCAGAGATCCAAATCTGGGAATGGACTCTTCCATTTAACAGTTCTGTGACTTTGGCCAAGCTCCTGAATCCAGCAGCTCTCTCATATCCATCCCCTTGATCCTTCATTCCTAGAGGTTACAAGCCACCTCCTCCTCCTGCTACCGCTGCTCTCTTTCCAAGCCTGGTAAGTTCCATTTCCTCCAACCTTACCCGAACCCATAAGCTCTGTCTCTCCCTCTCTGTTTCCAGGTACTTCATTATTCCCATTGTATGGTTCTGCGCTTCCCCAGCATATTTAAGAATAGAAAAAAGGAAATATTCCTTCCATCTTAACAACTATCCAAACTGAAGATGCATAAAATTTCTGTTGAATGCAGATGAATCCGTTTATTTGAGCTACTTCTATTAAGATACCTAAAGAGACTATATAAAACATAAAATCTGAAATTTGAAGGATTCTCAAAGAATGGGGTTTAACCCCAAAAAAAAACAAAAAGTACAACCATGAGTTATTTTAAATAGTTCAAAAAGGCTACTCTACTAATAATTGTAAATTGGTCAGCTTTTTAAACTATTAAGTACTATACAATTTTTAGCTATTATTTATGTGGCTTTTTCCTCCAAGAAAATATTTAAATAAGATTTAAGGCTGGACGCGGTGGCTCACGCCTGTAATCCCAGCACTTTGGGAGGCCAAGATGGGTGGATCACCTGAGGTTGGGAGTTCGAGACCAGCCTGACCAACATGGAGAAACCCTGTCTCTACTAAAAATACAAAATTAGCCGGGAATGGTGGCGCATGCCTGTAATCCCAGCTACTCAGGAGGCTGAGGAAGGTGAATCACTTAAACTTGGGAGGCGGAGGTTGCGGTGAACTGATATTATGCTATTGCACTCCAGCCTGGGCAACAAGAGCAAAACTCCATCTCAAAAAAAAACATTAAAATGCTCATTGTAAAAACATGCAAACAATACAGAAATATCAATCTTTTTAGCATAAAAGGAACCACATACACGGAGCTAGTCTTTAATTTTAATATATCTCCAGCAATGATTTTTCAAAAAAGAGTAACAATCAGACCATCAGTTACACTCAGATGATTTTTTAAGATTGCCTTCATGGTGATTCTCAAAATGTGATGCCTTACTAGTAAGATCAACTGGGAACTTGTTAGAAATGCAAATTCTCAAGCCCTAGCCCAGACCTAATAAATAGCCCTGCAGGAAATTCTGATGCACTGCTATAAAGCAGTGGTTCCTATTCTTGGTTGCAAGTTAGATTAGCTGTAGAGCCCTTAATACTAATGCCCAGGTCTGTTATCTTAGACTGCTAGGAATGAAGTTTGTCCCCTAGCAATTTTTTAAAATTCTACAGGTAATTTTAATATGTTACCAGGATTCAGAACTGCTACAAGTAAAAACTACTGCACGGGTGTTGGGGGTGGGAAATGTACTATTTTTTTTTCTCTTTTAAAAACAGAAGAGTACATTAGATCTATCACATTGAAACACATGTGAAACACCTCTCTGACACTACCACACAGTTTGTGGGTATAACACTATCTATTTCTTCTTAACCTCACCTAACCTATCATGTACTAACTAACTTCACATGCTGGCAGCCTCCTGCTTGCTAAAGCACAGGCTATTTCTGACTGACGGGAATGCTACCATTGCTAAGGGATCACTCCAAGCAACTTTTTATGCCAAAACTCAGAAATCGTATCAAAATCATTCATGTTTCCCAATTCCAAACCCTTTGGCAGTTAAACCTACCTAGAATTTGCTTCCACTTTGGTTGCCACAAATACTAAGAAAAATATTACAAATTCTAAAAGCCTCTCAGGTATGTAGTATCAGATGAAATTCTTAGATTGAAAGTTCAGCAGGTCGTGTTCAATTAAAACCACAAAACAGGCCAGTAGCAGTGATTCACACCTGTAATCCCAGCACTTTGGGAGGCCAAGGCTGGAGAATTGCTGGAGGCCAGGGATTTGACATCAGCCTGAGCAACATAGCAGGACCCAGTCTCTACCAAAAACAAAGGAACAAACAAACAAACAAAAAAACACTCACTACATAAAAAGGAAGAAACAGCAGAAATAGCACCTACAATTATTTCAGCAGCTTTGGGTTCTTCTGATAAGAACCATATCGCTATAAAGAGTATCAGATATAATCATCCATTAATCTTCCAGATAATGGTGGCACTTATAAATATTTAAAAAGAAAACTCAACAAGTTATCACACAGTTTTTGTATGGTCATAAGGCACCGAAGTGCTTTTCAATATTCTTCCTTTATAAGTCATCTCCCTTCCATCCTTCACACCCCACCAAAAAAAACCGCTAAGAATCTATCTCCTTTTTAAAATACTCAGTTTTGTCCAAATTGAATCAGGTCAACAGAAATAAAAAATAGTATAAAATGAGATTAAAAGTGATGTATATGTGGCAAACAATTCTAATTTACATTTATGCATACCGAGGGAGCCACTCCAGCTTTGTTGCATGATGCTGAAGGCCTGTTTTGCTAGCTATTGGATTCAGCAGATTTTATTTAGTATCTCAGACCTAAATTCAAAAAATGAGATTAAGTAGAATATAGTAGGATAGGGATCATAAAGATTAATTACTGATTTAGACATCTGGATAATTAAGTTTTCCAAATAATTGATTATGTCAGAACTGAGTGGCAATATTGCAGGTGATGATACACAGTATTGATTCTAAGAAGCTGAAAAGCTTGAGGGAAAAGGGAAGTATAAGAGGAGAACACTGAATCTTCCTGTTGATCAGCATTTGATTACTAACATACCATTTCAACTAAGTATACTAACCTATAATCAATTATAACTGCCACAATTTTAATACTTTAATCATAATGAAGCAAACAGCTAAATTCTCCCTTAAGAGTCATCAAATTGGTGTGTAATACATATATAAAATAATCCATAAAGCCTTAGGCTCACGTAATATAATGGATGTATTTTTTAATTCAATAAACTTCATTGCACAACTGCCCATGCATGAGAGTTTCTCAGTCTTACCACTACTGACATTTTGGGCCACATAACTCTTTATTGTGTGGGTTGTCCTATGCACAATGGAATGCTTGGCAGCATCCCTGGCCTCCACCCACTAGATACAAGTAGGATTTCTCCTAGTCATGACAATCAAAATTGTCTCCAGACATTGCCAAATATCCCCTGGAGGACAAAATTGCTCCTGGTCAAGAATCACTCCATTGAGTAAATGACAAGCACTATGGAAGGCACATCACCGAAGAAAGCATTGCACCAGTCCCAAATTGTTAAAAAAAAAAAACACTATGCTTCCAGTTTCACCTTTCCTAACACTGAATGAAAAGTAGTTAATCGATCAAGATCAGAGTTGTGATTTTCTTATGGAAATATAGTTATCAAACTGGATGCACAAGAGTAACAGAACACACTAGAAACTAGAAGGCTTAAAATGGAAAACAAATGTAAAATTATTCCTTTGGAAAACATAGAATAAAAGGCATTAAAGAATATTCATGCTAATTTGGGTATGATAGAAAATGAAGTTATTTTCCTACTTAAAAAATTATAATTAAAGCATTTAAAATTCCATAAGGCTAAGTATTGCTCAGTCTTGCTGTATTCAAGAGTTGATTATTACATTTATGGATTACTCAAGATTTTTCTTTACTTTCTTCCTCTCACCCACTGCTTGTTAGCCTTTCCATTTTTTCAAGTACATCCAACTGAGAAAGGTCAAGGTAAATGAAAGGATCCACAATTTAACTGAGTCAAGTTAACAACTTTAAATTGGAAGCATTACTGATCAAAAAAGGGAAGAATGTGGTACAAAGAACGCCAAAACACAACCTGAGTCATGCCTCAAATTTCTAATTATCCCCAAACCAGCTATTCAAGTTATGAATACTAAGTTGCCTAACAACACTTTATTCAAAAGGATAGATGGGCTGATGAATCAGCCCGATCACTTGTAAATAAATCTAACAGTAGCAGACAATAACCTATACAAGTTTTGAAAAAATAAACACAAACACTGCACATTATCATCGTTATTATTATTTATATTAATATATGCAGTGGCTACAGAACACTATCATAATCATTTACTGTTATGTAGCCATGTCCATATCTCAGAAGAAAATAGAAGTGGAAAAGAGGGAATCCTCCCTAACTCATTTTATGAGGCCAGCATCATCCTGATACCAAAGCCGGGCAGAGACACAACCAAAAAAGACAATTTTAGACCAATATCCTTGATGAACATTGATGCAAAAATCCTCAATAAAATACTGGCAAACCGAATCCAGCAGCACATCAAAAAGCTTATCCACCATGATCAAGTGGGCTTCATCCCTGGGATGAAAGGCTGGTTCAATATACGCAAATCAATAAATGTAATCCAGCATATAAACAGAACCAAAGACAAAAACCACATGATTATCTCAATAGATGCAGAAAAGGCCTTTGACAAAATTCAACAACCCTTCATGCTAAAAACTCTCAATAAATTAGGTATTGATGGGACGTATTTCAAAATAATAAGAGCTATCTATGACAAACCCATAGCCAATATCATACTGAATGGGCAAAAACTGGAAGCATTCCCTTTGAAAACTGGCACAAGACAGGGATGCCCTCTCTCACCACTCCTATTCAACATAGTGTTGGAAGTTCTGGCCAGGGCAATTAGGCAGGAGGAGGAAATAAAGAGTATTCAGTTAGGAAAAGAGGAAGTCAAATTGTCCCTGTTTGCAGACAACATGATTGTATATCTAGAAAACCCCATTGACTCAGCCCAAAATCTCCTTAAGCTGATAAGCAACTTCAGCAAAGTCTCAGGATACAAAATCAATGTACAAAAATCACAAGCATTCTTATACACCAACAACAGACAAACAGAGAGCCAAATCATGAGTGAACTCCCATTCCCAATTGCTTCAAAGAGAATAAAATACCTAGGAATCCAGCTTACAAGGGATGTGAAGGACCTCTTCAAGGAGAACTACAAACCACTGCTCAAGGAAATAAAAGAGGATACAAACAAATGGAAGAACTTTCCATGCTCATGGGTAGGAAGAATCAATATCGTGAAAATGGCCATACTGCCCAAGGTAATTTACACATTCAATGCCATCCCCAGCAAGCTACCAATGACTTTCTTCACAGAATTGGAAAAAACTACTTTAAAGTTCATATGGAACCAAAATAGAGCCCGCATCGCCGAGTCAATCCTAAGCCAAAAGAACAAAGCTGGAGGCATCACACCACCTGACTTCAAACTATAATACAAGGCTACAGTAACCAAAACAGCATGGTACTGGTACCAAAACAGAGATATAGATCAATGGAACAGAACAGAGCTCTCAGAAATAACGCCGCATATCTACAACTATCTGATCTTTGGCAAACCTGAGAAAAACAAGCAATGGGGAAAGGATTCCCTATTTAATAAATGGTGCTGGGAAAACTGGCTAGCCATATGGAGAAAGCTGAAACTGGATCCCTTCCTTACACCTTATACAAAAATCAATTCAAGATGGATTAAAGACTTAAACGTTAGACCTAAAACCATAAAAACCCTAGAAGAAAACCTAGGCATTACCATTCAGGACATAGGCATGGGCAAGGACTTCATGTCTAAAACACTGGAAGCAATGGCAACAAAAGCCAAAATTGACAAATGGGATCTAATTAAACTAAAGAGCTTCTGCACAGCAAAAGAAACTACCATCAGAGTGAACAGGCAACCTACAAAATGGGAGAAAATTTTCACAACCTACTCATCTGACAAAGGGCTAATATCCAGAATCTACAATGAACTCAAACAAATTTACAAGAAAAAAACAAACAACCCCATCAAAAAGTGGGCGAAGGACATGAACAGACACTTCTCAAAAGACAACATTTATGCAGCCAAAAAACACATGAAAAAATGCTCACCATCACTGGCCCTTAGAGAAATGCAAATCAAAACCACAATGAGATACCATCTCACACCAGTTAGAATGGCAATCATTAAAAAGTCAGGAAACAACAGGTGCTGGAGAGGATGTGGAGTAATAGGAACACTTTTACACTGTTGGTGGGACTGTAAACTAGTTCAACCATTGTGGAAGTCAGTGTGGCAATTCCTCAGGGATCTAGAACTAGAAATACCATTTGACCCAGTCATCCCATTACTGGGTATATACCCAAAGGACTATAAATCATGCTGCTATAAAGACACAGGCACACATATGTTTATTGCAGCACTATTCACAATAGCAAAGACTTGGAACCAACCCAAATGTCCAACAATGATAGACTGGATTAAGAAAATGTGGCACATATACACCATGGAATACTATGCAGCCATAAAAAATGATGAGTTCATGTCTGTAGGGACATGGATGAAATTGGAAATCATCATTCTCAGTAAACTATTGCAAGAACAAAAAACCAAACACTGCATATTCTCACTCATAGGTGGGAATTGAACAATGAGAACACATGGACACAGGAAGGGGAACATCACACTCTGGGGACTGTTGTGGGGTGGGGGGAGGGGGGAGGGATAGCACTGGGAGATATACCTAATGCTAGATGACGAGTTAGTGGGTGCAGCGCACCAGCATGGCACAGGTATACATATGTAACTAACCTGCACATTGTGCATATGTACCCTAAAACTTAAAGTATAACAATAATTAAAAAAAAAAATGGAAGTGGAGAGGTGAGATAAAATTGTGAGGGAAAAGAACTGAATTAAAAGAATCAAAAGTTCCAAATTTACATCCTGGCTCTGCCACAAATCAAGTGATCTCAAGCAAGAGAATTAACCTCTCTTGGCCAAAGTTTCTTCACCAATAATAAAATAAGGCGATCAGACTAAATACTTTCCAGAGCGAATACTGTATAACCCAAGCCACCCATTAAAACCCTAACCTTAAGACTGCTCAGGACTACAGATGCAAACAAACCCTGTAAAGGCAAAAAGTATTAAAGGTGGCAGCTCTCAGCTACTAATAATTCTATGCCAAGCTTAAATGGCTCTAAGCCCAATGTCTAATAAAATCTAAGTCCTCAAAAAAAAGGACTTCTATTTTTAGCTCAGAGATAAATCACCCTATATTTTTTTATTTCAGAAGGAAGTGTTATGTCCAGGAAGAGCCCACAGAAATTTTTTAATCTGAATTTCCTAACTCCTGAGATAGCCAATAGATTCTGCTTTCTCCTTAATAGAGAATTGTATTATTTCTAAATATCAAGATCAATACAAACCAGGCAGTCAGGTCACCCTTCATTGGTCTCTAGTGCCTCTAATGTCTCCTTCACTGTGTGCATTTTTTGTTGTTGTTTTTCTGCAATAGATGATCCAATTTGTTGTACCTCCTTTGGCACTTCCCCATTTCGTGATTTGCAAATATTTTAATTGCTATTTTAAGTAAAGCATTTAATATAATATCTAGCAAATAGAAGAACTACATAAGTGGGTACAATTATGATTATCATCAAGATAGGTTTGTTTATTAAATTATAGCATAAGCAGCATGAAAGCTGGGTATGTGTCTTCTTAATCTTTTTGTTTCCCTTTCAGTGCCAAATGCCTATCTACAATAAACGTAATTATCACATACACACTTTCCCCAAATCACCTTTTTAAACTCTTAAACTGGTTGATTCATGTTGTTGCAAATGACAGAATAAACAGGATCATGGGAAGCCAATTTAACACAGTCCCTCTAGCACATTGTCCCAAAGTCAACACTGTTCAGAGAAGAAAAAAGCAGAGGAAGCACACAGAGTTGGTACCTAATATTTCAGTGTTCCCACTCTTTATTAATATCATCAACAGCACAGAGCAGTACAGTACATGCATCCTAACAGAATGGAGTGAGGAAGGAGTGAATGATAAATGCATGGTTCCCCCAGACTAGCACAGAGGCAATGATAAAATCTGTAACTGGATTCACCTTTCCAAGTATAAACACATCAATCCTAATAGAAATGAGGGGGTTAAAAAAAATAGTCTGTGATAGGCAAATCAAAAAGCAAAAGTTATTTGTAACCTTTAGGTCACCTCAACCTTCTTGCTACATCTCTGAATATAGGAAAGCTATGATTTGATTTACATCATAAATTCAGCGACAGACACAGATTGCCTTTTCTGTGTGAGGAAACAATGCCTGCAGTCACCATGCATTTTCATGTATGCAGCTGTGACCCTGGTGCTTTCAGAAGCATAGCATAGCACTTACTACATCAAATATGCATTTTAAAAGCATTTCTCTACCTGCTCTGAATTTTTATTTGAAACTGCTGGTTAGAAGCTAAAAAGAGATTTTTTTAATCTGCAGATTTTAAGTTAGAAGATGCATAACGAAAAATTATGAAGATTCCACCATGAATATCACTATAAAGAAGAAATAATAATTCAAAAGGAAAAACTAAACAATAATTGTGAATTTCTATATATCCTACAACACAATTTTAAGACAAATGCATCTTTATCCTTCCCACATAAGCTCCTAGAAAGACTTCGAGCAAAGCAACTTTAATTTTGTCATTTTTGAGTCACAACACCTTTTCTTTGAGTCTATAAGGCAGAGACAGCATAAGATTCCTTTCTGTGAAAATATACTTCCTATTACAACGATTCTCCCCCAACAATGAACCTTTCCCAGAATCCCTTTTAGAGAGCCAGGGTTTTAATGCAATGGTGCCTGCCAATGTCAGAAGTCTGGAACTATTTTAAGTACAAAGTAATTGGTTGGGGGGAAACATAAATGTACTTAGGGATCCACAACCTTCCTTTCATTAAGTTGTGTGCTATGATCACTGGGGGAAAAAAAACACCTAGAGACAAACAAATAGGATAATAGGCAAAAACTACAACATTTTTGTGGCCTTAAAGACATTTAGCAGCAAATTATAATCCCAATCTTTCAATTAAACATCTACAATTAGAAGAACATATAAAGTGTTTTCTGGTGGCTACTGCTAACTGGAAGACTGTATGATGGGTGCAGCTTATTCTAAAAGTCTGATTATAAATCTTAGGTGTAAACCCCAGGTGATTAGACCCATAAATTGTGAATAAAGACTTTCCTGAGTGGAAAAGAAGAAGGAAAAGAGGAAATAAAAACAGGAGCAAAACATGTAGCTAGAGAGAAAGAATGGAACTGCAAAGAGACAGATGGCCCTTGAAAAGTATTACTAGCTATGTTTTCTCAATTACTGCCCTACCTTCCTCTTTATCCTTAACTCCATTGGGCTTTTTCAGGAGTGAATCTGACTACATCCTTTCCCATCTTCTTTCTCTGATTTTTCTATAATGATTTCTACAAGCCCTCTGAAACCATATGTAAAATTTTTAGTATATATGCATGTGTACATTTTCTATAATAGGAGAAAGTCCAAAACTTTTATGTAATTCTTAAGAAGGTCCTGACCACCCTCCCAAAAAAGGCTACATACCAGTAAATTAAACCTAAGTATATCTTAGGTAGTTGCTACAACTCAGTCTCCTTAGAACTCCTGCTTTCAAAAAAACTATAAAGACCATTTCCAAAAAAAAATTTAAAAAGTTATATGATATGTTCTGTCCAGAAATGGTGGCTCCCTGAGTGTAAGTTGTTATAACTTCAGCAAAATAAAAATAAAATTAATTATTGTATTAATGTATTCCACTGGTTTCAATCCCTTATGGCAGCTTGATTGTATAGGTGTCATACTTACATTATGCTAAGTAAAACCAAACATTTATACCTCAGGAGATCCCTTCAGGTAATATATTCAAGTAATGAAATAATCAACCCCCCAAAAGCAAAATGCTCACTTTGACAATAAAACCATAAGATAATAGCTGATCGTCGATTTTTTTAAGAGTTAGAGGATGAGCAACATCATTAAGAAACAGTAAATGTAATAATGAAATGTATGTAGATATGAAAAACAATAACTAAACTACTCTAAAGACTACAGTTCATTTTCAATAACTTACAAAAAGTAGTTTACCTTTAAAATATATATAAAAGGCAAAAAAAAAAAAACACTAAAAATGCAAATGGTCTTAGCATCAAAAAATTCCAAGATAAATAAAATTTTATATCTATGGAATGGATTAAAAGGAATGAAGTATGGATGCATGCTACAACATGAATGAAACCTTGAAAACATTATGCTAAGTGAAAGAAGCCACACTGTATTGTTCCACTTATAAGGCAAATCCAAAGACACAAATAGTAGTGTTTTCCAGGGGCTGGGAATAGAGAGTATTGGGGAATGACTGATAACGGGTATGAGGTTTCTTTTTGGGGTGATGAAAATATTCTGGAATTAGACAGTGATTATGGTTACATAACTTCCTGACTATAATAAAATCTACTGACTTGTACGCTTTAAGAGTGAATTTTATAGTACATAAATTATATCTCAATAAAAAGGGATTTAAAATATTTCAGACTTAACTCAGCCACATACTATTTTTAATTTTAGAAAGCACATTTATCAGCAGTATAAGTATACTGCTAATGTAAAAAAAAATTTAACTTGGATTTCCCTTAGAAAATAAGTCCAAATCAGAATCTGATATATCTCCTTAATATCCTTGATTGATAGCTTAATAGTCATTTCCACCTCTAAACCAAATAGCTATCTCTTTTGCCACTAATAAACATAAAGGGAGTGGTGGAGTTGGGAAAATCACCATTTTGTAGTCATCACAGTGAAAATTGGTTGGGAGTGCTGAGCTTAATGAGGAGCAGAATATTTGCATGGTCTCAAAATGTATTCCCCACAGATTGCTTATTAGTTCAAAAAAATGATAACTATTCAGTACAGAAACCACACACTACCTCGACTGTGTAGCCAAAATTAAAATCCCCAATGAGGGGCAAGAGGGACACCAGTACCTCCAGATGTGATTAACCTCAGAAGGACACAGCGTCATTTATATGGAATTCAAAAATGCCAACACCATGAAAAACAAAGAAAGGATGAGAAACAGTTCCAGATGTTAAAAGGCTAAAAAGGTATGGCAACCAAAGGCAACAGGTGATCCTAAACTAGATCCTATACATTAAAAAGTAAGGCGGCAAAAGGCAGGACATTATTGAGACAACAGACAAAACTGGAATATGGACTGTATGTTATAAAAAGTATTATATCAATGTTCAATTTTATATTCTGGTTATATAAGAGAATATCCTTGTTCTTAGAAAACACACTCTTGAATGTTTCCAATCTACTCTCAAATGGTTTTTATTAATTATACAGAGATAATGATAATGCAAACATGGCAAAGAGCAAAAACACTGATAAATCTGGGTAAATGGTACATGGGAGTCTTTGGTGCTATTCTTGTAACTTTTCTCGAACTTTAAAATTATTTCAATACAGTAAGTTAAAAAGAAATGTTTTTAATGACTTCCCACGGCTCTTTAAGTAAAACCCGGTCTTTGCCATGGCCTTTCATATTCTAGCCCGTGCCTACTTCTCCTGAGCCAATGTCCCGGCCTCCCCTCCCTAGAGCACTAAACTCCAGCCACTCTGCCTCCTGTTAGTTCCTCTCATGTGCCAAGCTTCTAGGCACTTGCTTTTCCTTCCTCTGAAACACTCTTCATGCAGCTGGCTCCATGTCTTCCTTCAAAACAGACAATAGGAGAAAATGCAAAAACAATGCTTAAAAAGCTAGTTATTGAAATTAAAAATGGGGCTACATTTTGATATCCACAACCACACACTGGTCTTTGCGCACTTAAATCAGTATTTATCTTGGACTTGCTATTGCTTTTCTTTATTTGATGGCCTTAAGTGATGAACACATTTGCCCTCAGTGATAAGGAAATAAACCAATATAAATTACAAAATCTCAGCCTTTAGGATACACGTCTTTAAGTCCTTAAACTTAACTCTCCCTCCAAATAAACTATATACTATTACACAAATAGATGAACAAATACAAACATAGAGCACATAACTTTAATCTACTCAGGGTACAATCATCCATTACTGTTGGCCTAATTGTCCACTTCCGAGCACACCATCTGCCACGAACATTTAATATTCCCTTATTTCAGAAAGTACAGCTTCATGTTTACCAGACCAAACCTTCCCACAAATAAGATTCTTAACATTTGATATTTGTGCATGTCAGCCACTGTCTGGCACATCAGAAAAATACACGAATTCTGGAACAAGCAGTTACTGCTCATGAATTCACAGCTATTTCCTCACTTTAGCTGAGGGAAGAGAGATCTTTAAAAGATTGCCATAATATGAATATGCAGAGAAAAAATTAAAAGCAAAAGCACATGATAAAATTTAGGGGAAAAATGGCATCTTACAAAGCAAATAAGAAAATGAGCCTCTAATAATTTACAACCCATGAAAATTTATTTATTCTTCCCTGCAACCAAAACACTAGCGAAATATTGATTCTCTGCCCACTTCCTGCACGATCAATATTAGAAAATGTTTAAACAGGCCCAGTGCCATGGCTCACACCTGTAATCCCAGCACTTTGGGAGGCCGAAGCAGGTGGATCGCTTGAGCTCAGGAGTTCAAGACCAGCCTGGACAACCCTGCCTCTACAAAAAATTAGCAGGGCGTAGTGTCGCACCTGTAGTCCCAGCTACTGGGGGAGCTGAGATGGGAGGATAGCTTGAGCCTGGGAGGCAGAGGTTGCAGTGAGCCAAGACTGCACCACTGCACTCCAGCCTGGGTGACAGAGTGAGACCCTGTCTCAAAAAAAAAAAAATGTTTAAATAACTTAAATATAAGTGTGTTACACAAAAGAGGGGTTCTAGCTAAACAAAAGAAAATTCAGACCAAATAAAAAAGGGAGAAAAAAAGAAAGTCTGAACTAAAGGATACTACATAGTGGTTTAAAAAAATGTTAATTAGTATAACTAGAAAGTGGCTTCTGAAATTCTTGAAAATAGTACCTGCATCAGAGGTCACAAACTTGTTGCCCACTGATTGCATCTTGTGAGCAGATGTGTTTTGTCTACCTACCCTACATTTTGAAAAGTTTGAATTGGTTGTCAGCATTCAGTCAGGAGATTTCACATAAAAACTTTATTTATATTGAAAGATCTGAACGTGTGGCAACAATGAAGTCCCATTGTTTCATGGCAACAATTGGCCAGCAGTTCTCCACCCTTACCTGCACGCTGGAAATCACGTGGGAAGCTTTTAAAAAAATACCAACACCTAAGACCAACCCTTCAGTCATTCTGGGTAAAGCCCAGTCATCCATATATTTTAAAGCTCCTAAGAGGGCTCTAATGTGCAGACAGAGTTGAGACTCATGGGTCTAGAGTTTTATACTTGGCATATGCTCCTTAGCTAATCACAGTAGCCAAATGTACTGCACTATGCTTCCAGTTACAAAGGTAACTGAGAGTTGCAGCCTTATTTAAATATCTATGCCTAATCTTGTTTAAGCCACAAAGCTAAAGAAAAGACTGCTTAGAAAGGAGGGTCCAGTTAAGCAATATGAGCTGCATTAACTACATATGATTCTAATCCAGTGTTTCTCAAAGCCTGGTCAGTAAACCACTTCCATTCAAATCCCGTGTTAAAAATGCAGAAGTCTGGGCCATGCTCCAAACATTAAAAACTCCAAAGATGAGCTCCTTATGCACAGTAAACAAGTGTCAGTTTCTAAGAGGATGTTCAAGGTTCTCTTCCCCTCCTCCTCCCACAACCACCCACCCACCGTCTGACCATGAAGAACACTAACATGTGTTGGGGCCATGGAATTTTTTCATTGAACAAACCCATGATCTCTTACATTTTCTCTCTAGCATCCAAAGTTGGCTTGCTCTCTTTGGAGTGCTTTTCCTTTACAGTCACTGTTTGCTTCTGCTCTTGGCCTCTCTATTGTCCATGACTGACACATGTAAGACAAACTTGGTGCCTTGGTACTTAGGAAGATACAGACTTCTTGCCACCCAAATAGACAAAGAAAAGGAGGCATAGGTAAGCCACCCAAGATCCCCTCTAGTCTACCTCAAAGGGGACCTTGAAGCTCACGTATGGAACCATCAAGCTCCCAGATACTGAAGCAATAGTTCTCATGTGTAATCCACAAATGACATATTTCCATATCACTGAGCAAATGGGTAACATGCTGATTTCTGAGCCTCACACAAAACCCACTGAATGAATAAGAATCTCTGGCAAGTGGGATTCAGAAGCTGTACTTTTAACACGCTGCCCCAGTGGTTCTTATGCAAGACAAGTTTGAGAACCACTAACTAAGCTCTAGGTACAATAAAAAGAATACCATCTCTACAGCTCCTTCATAAAATTCAGAGGGGCTAAGGGAAACCACCGCCTAACATTCTTGGTTCTCATATCTCTTGTTTTCTGTCCACTCCCATACTGGTACAACTTATTTGGTTCAGCACAGACCATTTAAGATGACCAAGTATTCTGTTGCACTGTGATTCAAATTAATCAGCTATTAGAAGAAAAAGAAGTAAGAAATACTTAAGCCCCAGCTGAATACTGGCACAGTGCTTAATACCATAAAAACACAGATTAGCTGCATGCTCAGAAAGCTTACACTTATTTGCCATACTCCTTCTATTTTAAATTAATCCTACAGAATAACCAGAAAACACCTCTCAGTGGAGTTCTAAGTTTCTCATATCCCTTTTATGCTTTCATACACAGCTCATCAGTTGCCTCTCTAAGGCTGGATGATATTGCTAACCAACATGTGGCAAAGAAGGCTCTAAAACAGCATGACAATTTTATGATTGACTCAGGTAATCATAGCTCTCTTGAGGGGAATATGCTCTTCAGGCTCACCTCTCCTCTGTTTCTGCCATCCACAATCCCCCTTGGAGGAACTTAAGGCTCTTATACACTCAATTACTCTCTACTGATTTATAGTGCTAAACGGCCATTCACATAAGGGCTCTCCATAAACATTACCAGATTATGCCAACTCAGGTGATTGATTACGGACCTCTTAATGTGCCACGTATCTAAAGACAAGCCTATGTATCCAATTCTTCTCAGCTTCTCAAACTAGGCTTCCTATTCACACCTTGCAGCAATTGCCTTTTGAAACAAGACTGAAGTTAAAGGAACCAACTATAGGAAAAAATGAATTAAAAGGTCAAACATTACAGATAATTAAAGGTCTAACAATTGCACACGGTGAAGACAATCAGGATTAAAATGAGAGTAACCCAAATTCTCTGCATTATAGAAAACTTCTTTTTACCATCATCTAAACTGATGCTTCTTATACTTTAAGGTGCCTATAAATTACGTAGAAAATCTTTCTAAAATGCAGTTCTGACTCTGGCACTCTTAGATGGAGTCCAAGGTTCTGCATTCTTCACAGGTTCACAGGTATGCCGATGCGGCGGTAGCTCTGCTACTCAACAGTGTGGTAGGGCAAAAGCAGCATCAGCATCACCTGGGAGCCTGTTAGACAAGAATCTTGAGCCCACACTAGACTAAGGAAAAAGAATCTGCACTTCAACAAGGTCCCCAAGTAATTAGGATGCACATTTTAGAGCAGCTGACACACCACTTTGTACTCATTGTGAATGACAATCACCTAGGACACTTTTAAAACCACTAGGCCTCATGGCGGAGATTCGGATTCATTTTATCTAGGGTATTTGATCGTTACCATGTTTGTCTCTTTTTAAGCACACCCAGGTGGTTCTAATGGGCACCAATGTTGGGAAGCATTGAACTAAAAATACTTCCCTGAGAGGGGAGAAAATATGGAGTGACGGCTAATTGGTAAGGAATTTCTTTGGAGATGATGAAGATGTTCTAAAATTGATTATGGTGATGGTGGCATAACTTTGTGAATGGAGTAAAAGTCACTGAATCATACATTTTAAATGGGTCACTCATATGTGAATTATATCTCCATAAAACTGTTACATAAAAATTTCAATTAAAAACTTCAATAGCTTCCCTATTTAGAAATAAATAAGCCCATCTTAACAACAACTAAATTGAATTATTTTCTATCCTGAACTCTGGCCCAAGAGTTTGAATTTCTTTTTAAAAAGGAGGAAATGCAGATGTTTATTCAGAAATATTAAAATGTGCTCATTTACTCTGCAGGTTCAATTCTAGCCAAGGCAATGGATAAAGAATAAACCCTTACGTCACAAAGGACACCACTATGTTAAAAAAAAAAAAAAAAAAAAAAGCATATTTACCGATTTGGAAAGCTTTACTCTGCAGACCTCAAGTTTTCATAGTATTTTCAAATAAATAATTTTCCTTTTGCTTCCCTTATTTAAAAATAAATTAATTCATTGTACCACATTCTTCCAACTTGTATGTTTGAAGATATTCACAAAATATGTTAAGAAAAAATATAAAATGCAAATATGACTTTGTTTAAAAAAATGCCTTAAGAAACAATAATGTATTCATAAAAATAAGAGATCACAAATAGCACTAAAAATTACACGGAAGATCATGGTATATGAGATATACCACGACACAGACCATCCCATTTACAGTATATGAGATACTGTTTACTTATTATCAAAAAGAAAGCACTATAAATACAGGTAAGTGATAGACACCCCTCTGTATTTTGAAGAGAGACTCTCTCACACTTCTGATACCTGTGTTGTCAAATACTGAAGACTACAGGTGCTGTAAGATCAATTCAGTGGTGGCTCACAGCAAAAGTACCTGATTTCCTTTCCCTGTTTGATCACCATAGCCCATGTAAGCCATCTTCCCCACATGAATCAATGCCCTTCTTTATGGTTCCATGCTGTCATTCTTTTGAAGCAGACACATTCTGAATGCCTCACTGAACAGAGTTCCTAGGGCAACATACACTGATCACATGCATCTTCTGGGTCCTCTGCTAACTCAGAGCCCCTCTCTTAAGAGATGGCTTCCTGGGTCCTTCAAGGCAATAGGTAAGGTCACCTTCACAAGGAAGTATGATTCCCTCCCTTGACCACAACTCCCCCAGAAAATCCAATGCATTGTAGTATTATTGCTACTGTGTGTATTTTATTTTTTTAAAACAATTCTACCTTATTACATTCTACAGATGACAAAGAAAAGGCAAATCAACACTCCTAACTACTGACCTTGGCCTAAGTCACTTGGAAATAGCAGTCTCCTATTGCTTTTTATAGTAAGGCAGATTACCATCCTGCCTAACCTAAATCCCCCCCTGCTTTAAATATCTTTGTTCAATGAAGTCTTCCATTTTCATAATACTGTGAAGATGGTTACATATTCTAGAGTAAACAGAATAATCTGAGTTTTAGGTAAAAGATTTCAATTCCAAATTAGCAACCCTGAAACCCACATTGGTGATACTCATCTTGTCAACTCTATCTCAATCCTCTGAGTCTTTGAAACGCTAACTTCCTGAGAGGTCAACACCCACAATCACTGTGTGCATATCCTGCTGAATTAAATAACTAATTCTTACTGGATTATCATGTCACAGTTAATAATTTCATTAAAAATTCATATTTGTTTAAAAAAAAAACAGAAAAAAGGCTTACCTAATGGTATATATACTCTGAATATTCTTTTCCCCACCTTGTCCTTCCTTAAGAGCTTGCATTTGTAGTAAGTGCATAATGGCTTTTATCAAGCCATGTGTATTTCTGCAAAGAAATATAGCATGTTAAATGTTATAGATAAAAAGTGAATATTCTAATCAGGTGCTTAATCCTATCATTTTAAAATAATTTTAATACTTGCCACCCACATTAAACAGTAGCCACCCACAGGCCCTCAACTCATTCTATAGTACAGCCCAAACCCATCCAACACATTTAAAGGAGAAGAAATGGAGCTAAAGAATCAAACCACCAACTTATCAATCATCTGCCTACACATTCTTGGGGGAAAATCAATCAGGAAAAAACAAACATTAGCCCACATAATTTCAAGCAGTGACCACATTGGTTGCCCACACCGAATGACCAAATATTTCATTTATAAATATTAGCAGACTATGAAAAATAACCAAATATATGAAATGGATCAGCCACTCTAAAAAGTGGGCCAGGGAAGCAATCAAAGCAAATAACCCCCATCGAAATAGAGCTAATAGAAAGGGAATAGCAATTTAAATTTTTTCCTTATTTTTGTAAGAGATAAGAGGATAAACATATCAGAAAGAAAAATAGGCTGCCTTTCTTAAATAAAGATCTCCCTGGAAAATATAAAGAAAATCTTAGAAATAAAAAACTCACTATTTGTTAAATTTAAAAAGTAATTTTTTTTTTTTTTTTAGATGGAGTTTCACTCTTGTTGCCCAGCCTGTAGTTCAATGGCACGATCTCGGCTCACTGCAACCTCCATCTCCTGGGTTCAACTGATTCTCCTGCCTCAACCTCCCAAGTAGCTGGGATTACAGGCATGTGCCACCACATCTGGCTAATTTTGTATTTTTAGTAGAGACAAGGTTTCACCATGTTGGTCAGGCTGGTCTCAAACTCCTGACCTTAGGTGACCCGCCTGCCTCAGCCTCCCAAAGTGCTGGGATTACAAGTGTGAGCCACTGTGCCCAGCCAAAAAGTAATTATTGTTTAATTATGCTTGTTAACATTTATTGAGCATTACCATAAGCTAAGCACTTTTCTAAGTTCTTGCATTATGTCACTTACTTCAGAACATAGTTGATTAGAAATCAATGTTAACTTTATTTTTGGGTTAGAACACTACTTGGACTTAATTAGGTATCATTTGTGGCATTTATGTGAGATGTTACTGAGTGTATTTTTTTATGGCATTTAAGGTTTTCCAAGTGACAAAAGGTTTGGCCACTTAGTAGACCTGCACAGTCCAATATAGTAACAGCCACATGTGGCTACTGAGCACTAGTAATATGGTTAGTCCAAATTCAGATGTCCTGTAAGTACAAAATACATGCTAGATTTAAAAGACTTTGGGACACAAAAAAAAGAATATTAAATACCATGTATAATTTTTTATATTGATTACATGTTGAAATAATATTTTTGATATATTGGGCTACATAAAATATATTATTAAAGTTAATGTAATCTATTTCTGGTTTTTTAATGTGGCTACTGGAAAATTCTGAATTACATATGTGGCTTGCATTTGTGGCTAAGATTATATTTCTATTTCACAGCACTGCTGTAGACACTCAAATAGTTTAGTGCCTAAATGGATTCTTTGGGGAGTATTGAGGTTTCTCTTGCAGCTGAAGCATTTTTCACAATCTACAGTGGTATGTTTTCTCTTCCATATGGATCCTCTTAGGACCATTCAGTATAACTCATGGATGAATCTTTCATGACATATGTCACATGTGTATAGTTTCTCTCCTGTGTGGATCCTCTGGTGAACACAGAGGTCCCAACACTTCATGAAGCCTTCTCCATAAAGATTCTCTCTCCTGTGTGTGTTCTCCAATGGATGTCAAATCAAGATTTGGCTTGCTCACATGCTACACATTGGTACTGTGTCAATTCTATGGTACTTTGGCCCACAAAATGGCCAGTGAATCTCACTGTAACTCAGTGAAAATTAAAATGGAAATCTTTTTGTAAACTAGAATGAAGTGTAATTGCCTCAAGAAAGTCTGACTGCATGGCATCTCCTTGAGGACCTCCTTGGGTAACCAAGGTATTGCCTTGTCTTCTTCCTTTGGAACTGTTCACATTCTTCTGAGAAACTTCTCTATTGACACTGAATTTCTAGACTCCTCTTATGCCAGAGCTTAGGAAAAAGATACCTCAACATCCAAACTTTTAAAATAAACTCCTTCTTTGCAATTCTTCACACCATTTACTTTTTCAGAATCAGAACTTTTTGTAACTGAGAACTCTGGACTATAAGGACTGGTGTCTCCCACTATATCCTCCAGTTCTTCACAACTCTTCACAACACCTTCCTTTACAAAGACCTGGAGATCCCTCAACATAACTGCTCTATCACCAATTTATCAAGAACCTATACCTAGGTATAAATGTCTCGACTAAGTCACAGGGTAGAGTTCACACAGCCTCCTCTGAAGGTCTATGGGATCTGACTCCTCCAAATATATGAATTTTGTAAGCTAACTTACCAGGTCTCAGGGATGCAGTCCTGCAGCTCTGACCCAGGCCTGTGCCTAGATGTTAAATGATACCATGAAATATACAATCTCATCATCACTAATTGGGTGAGCCATTCTGAGAATCCAGTATCTGACTAAAGCCTATCATAGGGAGTCTACTTTGGTCTGTCCTGGAGAAAGAGTCACTACATGTTTAGAAGCATTCTTATCTTCTAGCCTTCAATGTCTATACAACTGAAAATCAGCTTTCAAGTCGTATTTAAGCTATTTATATACCACTGAAGAAAGGCCAGGCTTCACCTAGTAACCTCGTAAGACTGCACTCTGAGCCTAATGATTAGTTGAAATGACCAGTGTTGATGAATTTCTGACTGAATTTCTTCCAAAAAATACAAATTCATTAAATAATCCTTTTTTGCATGTGAAACTATATTGGTTTTCCTTAATTATTTATTTGTCATATGACTAGAGTTCTAGAGATAACAGATAACAGATCTATGGTTTTTATGGTGTCCTACCTTTTTATGAAAGCAGTGGAATCCAAGAGAAAAGAATAGACATCACATTTACTTTTAATTCCAAGGGATTCACAAAACCACCAATGCTGATAAATGAACTCCAATTTTTTAAACTTTAAGTTAGGTCTCACTTACTCTTATCTGTGGATCCAGATTTTATTGTGTAGATAACGGAGTCAATGCTGTATTTTCAGCAAGAGTGTAGCATGAGTAGATTATAATTTTTGAAAGATGATGGCATCAATCAAGTTACACATAGCGCCATTCAAATGGTTATACATTTGCCTTAAATTTAATTGAAACTATCCCCCTCAACCCACTTGAAATAGATATTATTTATATTAATAAATATTATGTTTAATAAATATTATGATTTACATATTTCAAATGGGTTGAGAGGGATACTTTCAGGTTAATATTTATTTAAACCCCTACTTCAATTTGAATTAACTAGGGAATCTTAGGCAAGTCACTTAATGCCTAGGGGTCTCAACATCCTCGTCTTCATAATCAAAAATCATAATAAGCCCATCTCTTACGTTGTTTTAAAAAATAAAGAATAGTATGTCAGTAAATTACATGCTTTTTCAAAAAGCTGGGATAATTCAAAACTTATACTATAACATAAAGATAATAATGTTCTTCCCTCTTTCAGATGACGCTGTGTAAGCACAGGCATCAGAGTTAATGAACGCTGAGGCCTGGAATTTGCCTAAAACTAACTACAAACTCATCCTAACTCCTAAAAATCTCTAGTATTTTCCATCTCTTAGCTCAAAATCTGCTTTTCTTGTTTTCAAGTCTTTGTTATTCTGGATCTGAGATCTACTCCTGCAAAATGAAAATTATTGTTGAATTCTGTATGATTTCATAAAGAGGTTACAGTAATTTGAATCATGCTAAAACTCAAAATAGTGAATTAGAAGAAAACATAACCACTGGAGAAGCAAAAGTCAAAGAAAATTTCACTGCACTTACATCTTCAAATTGAAAAAGCTTCCAAGTACTAAGCAAGATTTCTGAAATAAAATAATTGCTGACATTTCTCAAAGGATAAAAAAAATCCTATAACCTCTTAAATTTTATAAAACAAAAAAATTCATAAAATAAAAACAACTAGGCTTGCATCATTTCTAATTTGGCATCAGCATTCTTGTCTACAAACAACAAAACTGAATGAAGCAATGCATGTGGAGTTATAAGAGAAAGGCTTATAAAACTCAGTAAGTCCAAACACCTCCCCCAAAAAAGTGAGTAAAATACCAGAAAAGAAATATTTTCACACATAAAACTCTGAAAATTTTTCTTAAAGAGGTTCTCCAGTTAAATTAGAATGCATGATTGCACAGCCTTGTAACTATACTGAAAACACTGAATTACATACTTTGAAAGAGTGATTTTATAATATTTGAATTATATCCCAATAAGCTGTTATTTTTTTTTTTAAAGATAAAACAATTGAAGAGGCCAGGCATAGTGGCTCGTGCCTGTAACCCCAGCTACTCTGGTGGCTGGAAGCCAGAAGATCACTTGAGGTCAGGAGTTTGAGACCAGCCTGAGCAATATAGAGAGATCCCGTTTCAAAAAAAAAAAAAACCTTAAAAAATAAGCCAAGCATGATGGCACACACTTGTAGTCCTAGCTACTCAGGAGGCTGAGGCAGGAGGATCACTTGAGCCCAGGAGTTTGAGATTACAGTGAGCTATGATCTCACCACAGCACTCAAACCTGGATGACAGAAAGACATGTCTCAGGGAAGGAAAAGAGAAGGAAAAGAGGAGGGGAAGGGAGGGGAGGGGAGGCGGAAGGAAGGAAGGAAGGAAGGATTGACTGAAGAAATAAAAAGCATGTAGACTACAAGTAACTTTGGTATGCATGAATATCAGAACATACAATTATTTTTCAAATGTGACTATAAAGATTAAAGCAATTGCTTTGAAAGAATTTATGGAGAAAAAATGTAAAAAATAACAAAAAGAAAAATCTGTAACTAAAATTCCAGATAGTTTCAGCAAAGTTGGTAGGGAAAGTTTTTAGCAGAGTGAAAACAAAGTTAAGAGAGAGTCTAAGATAAAATGTTTACAGCATACATGCCCACAAAACAAGAAAAGCAACAAAATAAAGCAGATCATAAAATAGCAAACTGAGCAGAGAATAGAGATACACAAATCACAGAAGAATAAGATTCATAATACTCAGTGTTAAAGAGTAGGTGGGGGAAGTAAGCACTTTCATGTTGATATGTTGGTTCAGCCTTTGTGCAGAGCAAATTGACAGTATCTATGAAAATTTTATACCCCTTTTCCCATAAATTCTGCTTCTATGACCCCATCCTATAGACATACCCTTATCTATACTCAAAAGAAGATATTCCTATAATCCCAGCACTTTGGGAGGCCCAAGGTGGGCGAATCGCTTGGGCCCAGGAATTTGAGACCATACTGGGCAAAACCCCATCTCTACAAAAAATACAAAAACTGGCCAAGTGTGGTGGCATGAGCCTGTAGTCCCAGCTACTTGGGGGACCGAGGTGGGAGGATCACTTGAGCCCAGGAGGTTGGGGCTGCAGTGAGCCATGATCACGCCACTGCACTCCAGCCTGGGTGACAAAGTGAGATCACCTCAAAAAAGAAAAAAAAAAGACAATATTATACTGTATGTGTTATCTTTTAAAGAGGAAGAGAAAAAAACACATGTCTGTCATTAGGAAAATGACTAAAATGTGACTCCTCTTAAACAGAATACTCTACAGCTGTTAATAAGGTTGCAAACAGATTTATGCATGTGACATGGAAAAATTACCATCACATACTATGTGGAAAAATGCAAGTTTAAAAACAAAATACATTTGAACGGAATATTCAATTCTAAAACACTTGGCATATGTGCATATAAATGTTTTTTATAGGTCTAGGAATGGGATTTCAATGTCACTGGGGTTAGTTGGTTCCTAATTCCATGTACCTGGATCTGACTTCAGATTACCCTGGTTTTCTCTATATCCTAGCAGAAACCAAGACCAAGATTTGAAGGAACCTTTAAGACTCCCTATTAGCCCTGAGTCCTTCCAGTCCTGCCATTTCCTACTTTTCACCAGGGCTCAATAACAAAAGTGAATTTTAAGAAAAGAAAAAAAAGATGACAAAAAGTAGTTTCACCACTGACTTCCATTACCTACAATTTCCACTGTTTGCACAACTTTTATTTTGTATTAGTTAAAAAATATTTATAATCTCAAAGTGCGAAAAAGACTTTTTTTGTTTGTTTGTTTGTTTTTTGAGATAGGGTCTTGCTCTGTCACCCAGGCTGGAGCACAGTGGTGCAATCATAGCTCACTATAGCTCACTGCAGCCTCGACCTCTTGAGCTCAAGTGATGCTCGAACCTAAGCCTCCCAAGTATCTGGAGCTATAGGTGTGCATCACCATACCTGGCTAATTTTTTATTTTTTTTAAAGACAGAGTCTCACTATGTTGCCTAGGCTGGTCTCAAACTCCTGGCTTCAAGCAATCCTTCTGCCTTGACCTCTCAAAATGCTAGGATTACAGGCATGAGCCACTGTGCCTGGCCCAGTGAGGAAGGACTTCCTGAACACAAATGAAAAATTCATGTCCTTTTTAGGGACATGGATGAAACTGGAAATCATCATTCTCAGTAAACTATCGCAAGGACAAAAAACCAAACACCGCATGTTCTCACTCATAGATGGGAATTGAACAATGAGATCACATGGACACAGGAAGGGGAACATCACAATCTGGGGACTGTTGTGGGATGGAGGGAGTGGGGAGGGATAGCATTAGGAGATATACCTAATGCTAAAAGAGGAGTTAATGGGTGCAGCACACCAGCATGGCACATGTGTACATATGTAACTAACCTGCACATTGTGCACATGTACCCTAAAACTTAAAGTATAATAATAATAAAAAAAAGAAAAATTAAACGTGATCTCCTGGATAGACAGTATGAGGAGAAATTGAAATAAACAATGAAATAACCACGGTGTCTTCTGCTTAGGACCTGTATTCAGTCACAGTTTAGCACAGACACAAAAACATGTCATTTAATTTGAAAAAGCAGATTTCTGAGGAACATTTTTAGGGACTGGAATTAGACTTTAGATAAGCAGACTCTATGAGTTTGAGGTACACAGGTACCCGGAAGAGTTAATTAACAAATCAAGGTAAAGACTTTAATCAGGGCAAAAAAGAGCTGATTAGATATTATGCCTAACTTATTCATAGTATAATGTGTTCAGGGGATATCAACAAAAAAAGGCATATCCAGCTGCCTACTAGACATTTCCACTTCAGCATCTGAATTGTGCCTCATATTCAACACATCCAAAATTGAACCCATGCTCTCCCCCGACACACCTGGTCTTCTAATGTTCCCTATCTAAATGTAGAGAAAGCCAGAAATCAAGGAGTCACCTTTGACATATCCCTTTCAGTCATCTACATATTCAGTACACCACGAATGCTTCATCCCTTAAATATCTCACAAATCCCTCTACTTCCCCCATCTCTAGTGCAAGCAACCATCACCTCTCACTCGACTACAGCAACAGCCACCTAATCTCTGTGTATCCCATCTAGGTGCCTACCCCAAACCCAATACTTTCCATTTTAATCTTCATACTGCATTCCAAATGGCCTTTTGTGGAATCACTAACACCCGCTAGATAAAACACTTCAGTACATTCCTTCTCCACCCAGGATAAAGACCCAAATCATCAAGATTGTCAATCATGCGCTGCACTGTCTGAATCCCACCTACCTTTCCAGCTTCATTTCATACCACTCTCCCCTCACTCTTAGCATTCTTTCAGGCCATCTTAACAGCCAATCTCCTTCCCACAGCAGGAACTTGGCACATACTATTTCCTGTAACTGGAAAGTTTTACCAACTCCTGTTTGCCTAGACAACTTTTATTTACTCCTTCGTCTCATCTTAGGTGTCACTTCCTCAGGAAAGCCTGCTTTTACCACCATGACTAAGTCAAATCGTCATCTTAAAGGCATTCCCAACACAGTATACTTTGAATGAGTTTCTATAACTAGGCAATTATGGCAATCTCTCCATTGAAACCAAAAGCATCATGAGTGCAATAACTACGTCTGCATTCCTCACCACGGTATCACAGCACCTAGCACAGAAATACAAGAGATAATAAATATACTCAGGAGAGCATTAGGGAAAAGAGTTAATGCATGCTGGGCTTAATACCTAGGTGATGGGTTGATAGCTGCAGCAAACCACCACGGCACATGTTTACCTATGTAACACACCTGCACATCTTGCACATGTATCCCAGAACTTTAAAAAAATAAAATAATAAATAAATATACTCAATAAATATGTTTAATTGGCCAGGTATAGTGGCTCACACCTGTAATCCCAGGACTTTGGGAGGCTGAGGCGGGAAGATCACCTGAGGTTGGGAGTTCGAGACCAGCCTGACCAACATGGAGAAACCCCGTCTCTACTAAAAATACAAAATTAGCTGGGGGTGGTGGCACATGTCTGTAGTCCCGGCAACTTGGGAGGCTGAGGCAGGAGAATCGCTTGAACCCGGGAGGGAGAGGTTGTGGTGAGCCAAGATCACACCAATGCACTCCAGCCTGGGCAACAAGAACGAAACTCTGTGTCAAAAAAATACATATAAATATATGTTTAATTAATAGATGGATGGATGGATACAGCTCAGGTACTATCTTGCTTGGCTCCCAAGGTAACCTCTGAAGGTATTTCTAGTTCTATATTTACATAACTTTATAGATGCACACTGAAATTCATGTATCTGATCTCTAATATCAAAATTCATTATTTAGTTTTTTACAAAATAATATGAATGCTATTACTGGTTGTGTTTCTAAAAGGCCTTTCATTTAAGGGATCACACATTTAGCAAATAGGATAACTGTAAATACTGGGAAGATGAAATTCATGTAATATCCTTATATTATCAAGCAATGAATTCTATTGGGAAATGAAGTACTTTGTTGTTGTTGTTGTTGTTGTTGTTGTTGTTGTTGTTGTTGTTTTGGAGACAAAGTCTCGCTGTGTCACCCAGGCTGGAGTGCAGTGGCACGATCTTGGCTCACTGCAACCTCCACCTCCTGGGTTCGAGAGATTCTCCTGCCTCAGCCTCCCGAGTAGGAGGGATTACAGGCACGCACCACAGGCCCAGCTAATTTTTTTTGTATTTTTAGTAGAGATGGGGTTTTGCCATGTTGGCCAGGCTGGTCTTAAACTCCTGACCTCAGGTGATCTGCCCGCCTCAGCCTCCCAAAGTGCTGGGATTACAGGCGTGAGCCACTGCGCTCAGCCAGAAATCAAAGTAGTTTTTTTGTTGTTATGGGTTTTTTTTTCATTTAACTTATCTTAATCTACATTCCTACAACATTAAAACCAACTTAAGATTCCTGATGGAATAAGAAAAGTAAGAGAGAAATATTCAGATGTATGCAGAGATTTAACTGCTATGAGGATTGCCCATGACATAGCTAAATCTACCACCCTGTAAATTAATTCCTAAGAGAGTCTTAGGAATATTAGATGGTTCCTATGACTTAATATTAAGACCGGGGCAAGAAGTCCTATTTGGAAGATGCTGTTTCTTTCACTCCCCTCCATCTTAACTCACTTGTTATATATGAAAATCACTGAATAGCAATAAGATTTTTGAAACTTTGTAAATTCCACCCTCCTCTCTCAAGCTGCTTCTAAAGAGTGGATCCAAAAACAGCCTTAAAAATAGAGGAGAAGAGGACTGAAATACATCAAGTATGTTTAAATCCATAAGCTCATTATAATTATTTTATAAGAAAATGTAACTGGTCACCACTGAAAGGATGCTTTAAAAAATCATTATTTTGGAATTTAGTAAATAAAAGAATTACATATATATCCTGCCTTTCCTATATAAATTATACCTCTGGGTGTAGATATGGGGAAGATTCTCTTTATAGAAGTATTTCAGGTAATAAGTGAAGAAAAAAAACATAGAATTAGAATGTCACCATTTGAAATCCCTAATGAATTAATGGATCTAGTCACTGAGCATCAACAGCTGCTAACATCATCAAAAATGAAAACAATCAGATACTATGTCCTCCTGAGAAAAGAACACAATCCCACCTAAGAAAAAGTCTCCCCCAAACTCCCAGGGTTGTTTTGAGACTTAAGTGGGGAATTTTAGGTAAAGCTCTAAAGCACAAGGCAGGGCACACAGTTTATATTCAAGAAAGGCTAGTTTTCTTCCTTAACCCTCTTCCCCTAGAAAACAAAGCAGTGGTTGTTTCTATTATTATTGCTGTTTAGAGAGATAATTTATAATTTAAAGAAAATATTCTGGGAGGTGGGGGAAGTCAAGGCAGTATCCCACCACCACAATTAAACAATTATATTTGACACTGATTCTCCATTCACTCAATCTCTCCTCCTTCTATCCCTGTCTGAGCAACATAGATCTAGTATTAGTCACTTGTATTTAAGCACAATTATGTTTCAAAGCTAGAGCTGAAAGGCTGAGAAATACCTATTTCCATGTGGCTCTCCTCCAAATTCAGTTCCAGTGCAGAGGACTCCTCAGGAATAGCATTCCAGTCTCCTCTCTGTTTTGGAAATTACCACACCCTCTGCATTCATATGGTTACTGTATAAGTGATCCTAGCACACATATGCTCACACAATCAAGACACAGTGAGCAGAAAGTTAAATTGTGTCCCCCCAAAAGATACATCTAAATCCCAACCCCCAGTACCTATGAATGTGACCTTATATGGAAATAGGGTCTTTGTAGATATAATTAAATTAAGTATCTTGGGATGAGATCATCCTAGGTGGGTCGTAAATCCAATAACCGGTATCCTTATAGAGAAAGTACAGGGATACTGTATTGGAGACAAAGAGATATACAGGTAAGTCAGCCATGAGCATACAGAGGCAGAGACTGAAGTTACAAGGCCACAAGGCAAGGAATGTCAAAGGTTTCCATCAACCACCAGAAGCTAGTAGAAAGGCATAGAACAGATTCCCCCACAGAGCCTCCAGAAGGAATCAGTCCTGCTGACACCTTGGTTTTTGGCTGCAAGGCATCATGAAATCATGAAATAATAAATTTCTGTTGTCTTAAGCCACCAAGTTTATCATCTTGTGTTAGAGTAGCCCTAGAAAACTAACACTTGGCAGAGCTGACTGATCCAGCTCCAGGTCCCACCATTGGAAATCTGTAATTGTGGCCAGGAAATTCCAATCTCAGTCTGGCTGCCTCATATACAAGAGATGTTAAGCCAGGGGCAGGTGGTGCCCTGTGAACTAGGAGGCAGAGAAAGTCTGCAGGAAGAAAGAAGAACAAAACACACAGTTTATATCCCATTTGTTTCTGAGGCCTAGGTGCATATTTATTCTTGGGTCCTATGAGATACATACTCCTTTATCAAAAAAATTAATCCATTTTTGCTCATACTAGTTCAAGTGGATTTCTGTAACTGGTAGCCCAAAGAGACCTAATCCACACAGGAAACTGCTGCCAAAAGTCTACAATAAAGATCAGCTGGAATAAGTCCTTTCTTGGGCAGGTGCCAGGAAAAGATGAATTTACTCAAGAACCCTTAAAGAGAGCAAAGGAAACTTCAAAACTAAGCCACAAGCACAGTAGCAAGAGACAATGCAAAAAGGTGCCACAATTTTCACTAGGCATAAGAGCCAAGACCCACCTCTCATACAGACTAAGTATCCCTAATCAACAAATCCAAAATCCTAAATGCTCCAAAATCCTAAATTTTGTGAGCACTGATGTGACACCACAAGTTGAAAATTCCACACCTGAAGCCATGTGACAGGCTACAGACAAAATACAGTTAAAACTTTGTTTCATGCACAAAGTTATTTAAAATATTGTACAAAATTACCTTCAGGCTATCTGTATAAGGTGTACATGAAATATAAATGAATTTTGTGTTTAGACTTGGGTCTATCCAAGATATCTCTTTATATATATGCAAATATCCCAAAATCCAAAAAACATAAAATCTGAAACACTTCTGGTCCCAAGCATTTCAGACAGGGGATAGTTAGCCTATAATGAGAGGGAGTATGGGTCAATTATGACGTTGAAGATTCAAAAAAAATTTTTTTTTAATTTTTAGTCAAGCTCTACCAACTACACTAACTAGAAAACACTCAGGCAGACTGTTTTTGCTAGGTTAATATGGCATAATTACTACTGTGTATATGAATAACATGTATCAGATTCCCTTTGGGAATTATTTCATTACAACACTAAACACTGCTCACGTATGCTGGGTCTCTTTTTCAAAGACTACAAATAATGCTTGATTCTTTGCTTTCAAAATATACCAAACATGAGGTACAAGACTGTACCCATATTTGACCAGGGGTAGAATTAAAAGGGTTTGGGTTTGGGTTGAAGAGAATGACATAACATCCCAAGAGGGATGCATCCCTAGGTGTCATGGGAACAAATGTGGCCAAGTCCCTTTTTAACTGGAAAGGATTTCAGACCCCTGAACAAGATAATTCATCAGTCTTAAGCATAGTAAGTCATCAGCAAACAAGAGAATGATAAACACTAGAAAAATAATCAAATCATTGTCTAAATTCATTATAAAACTATATGAGAAAACTATAAAACTATATGAAAGAGATAAACAGAGACAAGAAGACACGGACAAAATAAACAGTTCTGAGAAATCCATGCTTAAATGAATGACCAAAAAAATGCTTCTTTAAAATAAAATCTAAGAGATGTAATGTTACTGAGCTTTTGCCTAACAAAGTTCTGTGCACTCATTTGTCTTCCATGTACCAAAAATGGCCTGATTTCTTCTGAAGCATTTTTCCATTATAAAAGTAACATGTGTTCAGTAGCCACTGTTCTTAAATCACCTAGAAACATCTTAGCATAAATACATGACTCTACAATGGAAGATTTTGTGACAAAGCCTTCAACCAGATCAACTAACTTAAAAAGAAATAGGGCAGAATGTGCTAGATCAGAAAAGTGGCTGGAACCACTTTTCTGATTAGGAACTGAAAGTTGAGAGAAATTCTGGGATTTTCAAGGGGGAAAAAAAAGGATTGGGGAACAAAAGGAAGGAGAACATCTAGAAACAAGCTAATAAGCTTAAAAGGAATATTTAAAAGACAAGATGGGAAACAGACATGGACTAGCAACTCTGTCACTCTCTACTAAAAGTTAAATAAGCCATAATATCAATATAAATATAAACCTTGAAACCACATCAAATTCAGATAGTAATGCTCTGACACCCCAGCTGCAGATTAAAATGTGCTGTCTTCCCTAAACCTTGGAGGAAACCTCATAAAGGCATCCTTCCTTGGTTCTTCTTCTCCTGCCAAATAAAATAAAGAGAAAGAAGCTAAATAATACAGAAAAGCTTCAATAATGTAACAAGATATGAATACAGTTGCTAGCCATTTCCTACATAACAAAGCAATTAAGTTTCCCAAGGAACAGGGTCATCAATAAAAGAGAAGACCCTGAGAGACAAGAATTTTCTCCATAAATCATCCTAAATCTTAACTCCAAATGATTCTCAGAATCATTTTTAACCACTGAACCTTCATCAGCCCATGATCAAAGACTCACTGAATCCAACAGCTTTACTTAGGACCCACTACAAGAATTTTTAATATCCTATGCTAAATTTCATTAAAAGGTAGACTTTAGAAGTCTCAGAAAATACACTTTAATACACTTTATATTCCCAAATACCTCGAATGCAGGTCCCTTCCCTGTCTGAGAGCACAAAAGGCATACAAATCAAGTGCTAGCCTGGTTTATCCAGAGTATAACCTTCTTACCAAGCACATTAAGACAAGAAATGGGGGAAGCAGTTGAGCTGAAATTACAGGCTGTCATGACACCTCAGTATCAAAACTGAATACCTGGTTCCGCAGGAGAGCAAGATTTTTTATTCACAATCCTGTTACTAAGCAACTGTAACAATGGTTGCATGAGCCTTCTAGAAGCCAGCACAGTTAAGGGGAAAAAAATTCTAAGGAAAGAAAAATGGTTTGGGACTCTATTCCAGGATACAGTCAATGTAAAGACAAAAACAAACAAAACCAAAAACAATCTAAACTCAAAACAATTCCTGAAAGGTGTACAAAACTATATGCTGCTATATATCTTTCACTTTATTTTCAGTTTCATTTCATTTCAAAATTCACATTCGACTGGTGATAATGATTTCCTTACTGTGTTTCTTTTGTGGTCCCCTTCTTTCCTTCACCCTCCCTAGGGAATAATTTTTTTTCAAATTTCCTTACTGATGAAAAGAACATTTTAGAGCTCTTAAATCCATTTCTTTGTTTACAGAAGCTATAAAAACGAGTTTACAATTGTTTCATGTTGCCTCAGCTTTGAACAGAGAACACTCTAGGACATGAAACTATTCCTTTGAAGAGAACAGTCTCTCAAGCACAGCCAGACCCTTTCCCAGCCACTCCCTGAAGTTTAGACAACCAGATCATTGCAAATGTCAAGTCTTTTTCAAAGTTAGACTATACAATGTAACCCGCTCTAAGCCACTGTTTCTCAAATTGTGGGCTTGGATTCAGGTGGGAGGCGGGCTTCCATACGTGTTCCAAAGGAATTTTATAGACTAGACTTACAAAGGATGAAGGAGCAAGTTATAAGGCTGGAAGAGATGGGCACATCTACTTTTCCTTCCATCTTTCTTTCACGCTTTCAAAATCTGCTCTAAATGCTGAAAAAATTCAATAAGCTACATTCTCTAAACATCTATTCTATAGAAGGCTGTTTCTCACTATTGGCTTTTTCTATCCACCCCCCTCTCTCTTTCTCAGTTCCTGAAGGATAGTAGGCTAGAAGATAAATAGGCAAGATGGAAAGATAAAATTTTAGAATCATTTTTCTAAAGCAAAGATAAGCAATCATGGTGTGTCTCAGTTCCCAAAGTGCCTTTAGATTCCAATAAACCTCTAATTAAAGAGAAGGCAGAGACAAGTAGAAATTTAAATAATGGAAACTGAAGACCCAAACTGTCTCACCCAAAGTCATTCCCTGCATTTTACTGATTGATTGAGTGATTGATTGATTGAGACGGAGTCTCACTCTGTTGTCCAGGCTGGAGTGCAGTAGTGCGATCTTGGCTCAATGCTACCTCTGCTTCCAGGTTCAAGCAATTCTCCTGCCTCAGCCTCCTGCGTAGCTGGGACTATAGGCATGTGTCACCAAGCCCAGCTAATTTTTTTTGTATTTTTAGTTAGAGACAGGGTTACACTTTGTTGGCCAAGCTGGTCTCCAACTCCTGACCTCAAGCGATGTACCTGCCTCAGCCTCCCAAAGTGCTGGGATTACGGGCATGAGCCACCACGCCTGGCCCATTCTTGCCTTTAAGTCCCAAAGACACAGATGGTTTTCTGTCTCAGAAGATTCCCTGAGGTTCATTTTGGAGGAGGAGGCTATTTGAGTGTCTTGTTTTTAATTAGCTTGTTTCTTAAAATGGATTCTCATTTTGTTGGGGTTTTTTTTTTGTAAACATAAACGGTACAAAGTATAGTCTTCGTATTCACTACACACCGCAAAGTTCTGCTACTTGAAATAAAGCAAATGAAGAAAATTACGTTTTCTGACATAAAAATAATTATTATATCCACTGGCAACAATAAGGAAAACTTAGCACTTATATATTTTATGATCAAATTGATTCAAAAATTAAATTGGTTAGCTTCAGCATCTATTCTGTCTATATCTCCCTGTGGATGACAATTTAGACAATATGAACATTCTCAGATAAGAAATCTTGTTTAAAATGTCCAGCATCCTTCCACTGTTAAAACTCCTATATTTGCTTATTATAAAATTCAAGGCTTTCTTCCACATGTTGGCCAAATAGCCAAAGAACCTTAAAAATTTATGGCCACCTATATGTATAAGATTAAGGACTGAAACACTATCTATTGTAAAAGATTAGAAATAATAGGAAATTGATAAATTATGGCTCATCCACACAATGGAATATTATGCAGCTAGAAAAAAAATAGAAAGCTGTTTATATATTTTATAGAATGAGTTCTGAAATGGTTTGGATGTTTGTCCCCTCCAAATCTTATGTTGACATATGATTCTAAATGTTGGAGATGAGGCCTGGTAGGGGGTGAATGAATTACGGGAGGCAGATCCCTTATGAATGATTTACTACCATCCCCTTGGTGACAAGTGAGTTCTTGCTCAGTTAGTTCACATGAGATCTGGTTATTTAAAAGAATCTTGGACCTCCCCCTCTCTCTCTTGCTCCTGGCTCTTGCCATGTGACATGCCTGCTCCCTCTTTGCCTTCCACCGTGACTGTAAGCTTCCTGAAGCCCTTGCCAGAAGCAGATACTGGCACCATGCTTCCTGTACAGCCTGTAGAACTGTAAGCCAAAATAAACCACTTTTCTTTATAAATTACCCAGCCTTAGGTATTTCTTTATAGCAATGCAAGAACAGCCTAATACAAGCTCCAAGATATATTTTTTCACTGAAAATGCAAACTAAAGAATACTATGTAATAGGCTACTATTTCTGTTTGTTAAGGAAGGAAAATATACATGTAAATACACATACATACAAATTTTCTATTATATATTACATAGAATATAATAAGACCTACTAACAGTTTGTCTTCCACAGGGGGGATAAAACACAGATACTGGGATAGGACAGAGGCTTTGCCTAAAATATCCAATGTGAATATATTATCTATTCAAAAAAACACACTACTTTTCTCTTTTGAGACCAAGTCTCGCTCTGTCACCCAGGCTGGAGTGCAGTGGTGCAATTTCAGCTTCAGCTCGCTGCAAGATCCGCCTCCCGGGTTCGAGTGATTCTCCTGCCTCAGCCTCCCGAGTAGCTGGGATTACAGGCATAAGTCACCACGCCCGGCTAATTTTTGTATTTTTAGTAGAGACAGGGTTTCACCATGTTGGCCAGGCTGGTCTCGAACTCCTGACCTCAAGTGATTCGCCTGCCTCGGCCTGCCGAAGTATTGGGATTACGGGCATGAGTCACCGCACCTCACCCAAAAAACACATTTTTAAATTTAAAAATAACCAAGGTTACCCACAAATTATAATATGCAGAGATGACAGGATAATTCACTATCTGCAAAGCTTATACTTTGCAATTTACAATAGGGAGGAAGAATTAATACTGATGTGTGAATGATACCTCACACCAGCATAATTTTCTAAGATTATCTTCTAGAATTAAAGGTATAATCTAACCTGCTCTAATTACACCTCAAATACACAGAAGATACTACATTGGCCCCATGAGCTGCTGATACTTTAACTTTTGAATATAAATAGTACAACTACACAATGCAATTACATTTTACATTTGCAGATTTTTAAGGCATTTGAAAATATGTGGGGTGGGGGGCAAAAAATACCATCCCTGCATTTCACAAATAAAAAAGGTAAGGTAAAATCTAGGTGGCTTGCACAAGATCAACCAATAAATGAGAAAACAAGAGACACATAAAAATCTTAACTTTTCAAAATTCTCCTCAAAACTACTTTTTTAATTGGTATACAATAGAATTATTCTAAAATTTTTGTGTTTATATGCGTGTATGTGAATGCGTGTAGAAACAGAAAGAGAGAAAGTAGTAAGTTTTCAGTCATGATCAAACCTTCACTTATTCAGAAATATCTGGGCATCTACTAAGTGTCAGAGAGAGTGCCAGATACCAAAATACAGGTTTAAAAATAACACACATAGGCACATACTGTGAAACAACAATTAGCGCAGCAGAGAAGTGGGAAGTGTCTGGACAGGAAAGAGGACATCTGAGCACAGCCTGAAAGGATAACAAAGATGATGTCAGACAGAGAAGGGGAAGGAGCATGCCATGCTGGTGTGGAACACACACAAGGGCTCAGGAAGACTGAAGAGTTGTGGATGTCTAGAGAAGAGGGTTCATGGGGGGAAACATAACTTGAACAGAAGGCTGGATCTAGTTTGGGAAGGGCTTTTCCTTTTGCAACCACAGACTGCAAAAGGAAAAGAAAAACCAAGCCAGGCATGCTGGCACACATTTGTAGTCCCAGCTACTTAGGAGGCTGAGGCGGGAGGACTACTTGAGCCCAGTAGTTTGAGGCTTGAGTGAGCTACAATAATGCCCAGGCAGCATAGCAAGACCCAGTCAGAAAGGAAACAGAGAAAGAAAGAGAGAAAGAGAGAGAGAGGGAGAAGGAAAGAAGGAAGGAAGGAAGGAAGGGAGGGAGGGAGGGAGGGAGGGAAGGAGGGGAGAAAAAAGAAGGGAGGGGAGGGGAAGGGAGAGGAAGGGGAGGGGAGAGGAAGGGGAAGGAAAAGGAAAGGGAGGGGAGGGGGAGGAAGGGGAGGGGAGGGGAAGGCAGGGCAGAACAGGGCAAAATTAAGACCAAGGTGCCAAAAAGACACAAAGAAATGATCTAAGGAAACAGGAAACGATTTATAAAGAAAGGTTAAAAGGCTAGGGGTTATTTAACCTAATCAACTTCAAGCCCAGGAATCTTTCCACAAATTTTTGTTGTTGTTGTTAAGATGGAATTTCACTCTGTCACCCAGGCTGGAGTGCAGTGGTGTAATCTCGGTTCACTGCAACCTCCACCTCCTGGGTTCAAGTGATTCTCACGCCTTAGTCTCCTGAGTAGCTGGGATTACAGGCACGCATCACCACGCCCAGCTAATTTTTGTATTTTTAGTAGAGACACAGTCTCATCATGTTGGCCAGGCTGGTCTCGAACTCCTGACGTCAGGTGATCCGCCCGCCTCAGCCTCCCAAAGTGCTAGGATTACAGGCGTGACCCACTGCATCCAGCATCTTTCCACAAATTGATAATTACAGCTGTACTCCATCTCCACTGAAGGCAGGGAAAAAAATTAAGTACTCAGCCCGATGATACTATAATAAAGGTGAGTGAAAAACACTGGAAAAACAAGTAGCTTCACCAAGGAGGAGGGAGGCTTGGTGAGAGGTGAGGGAAGGGGGCAAAAGCCCAAATGATTTGAAGTAGTCAAAAATTAGGACATATAGATCAAGACAATTTCTTGAAGCAAAGAGTGACAACTCTTTTTCAGGGAGTATTTTATAACAGAGGCTCACTGGTTCAAACATGGTCCTGTTTGACCATTTCTGAATGGAACCCTCTTATTCCTTATTGTCCTATTACCTCAGTCTGTAAATGGACGAAATATGGTCATACCAAACAAATTCAAAGAACAAAACATTATTAACTTTGAAAAATCAGGGGGAAGACATCCCTAAATCACAAAATATTTGAGAAATAAATGCCATTATTTTCTAATACACTAATGCCAAGGCCTGGCCAAGTAATGCCACTACAATGTATAAACTATACCACTGTGGAAGAAGCATTGCTTATGGACAACCTTCTTTCTTAAAATGTCAGGAATCTGCATTACATTTTTGAATTATAAACTGTTTAGCTATTTTCTTCTTAAAAAGGGCAACGACAAATTTAAGTAGAGCCCCAAAACTTAAGTACCGCAAATGACCACAAATTCTGAAACTATAGGGTTTAAATTAGCATGATATTTTCATATATGAAACAGCAACTCATGACATTTTAAGAGCAAGAAAAACAACTGGCAAGTAGGATGAATGCTGACTCTTAATAGTGATTTAGTGAATTTTTTTCCTAAAAACTTAAATCATTAACTGACCAAACACTGAGGAAAAAGTACCTGGTTGATGGAATCAAGTTGAGTATCCCATTGAGAACATAGCTGAACTCTGCATGATCCTGAGCAACGAGTGCCACCAGACCTTCACAGCAGGCTGTTCGAACCACTACATTGTCACTGCAACACTTCTCCCACAGCAAGTTCAAAGCAGGAGTCTGAAACCAAACCAGTGATTAGAAGACAATTCTGATGAGCAGCAAACACACACACACACACCTTTGGTCATTCATCAATGAGTAATTTGTTCACAGTAGGCTAGCTTTCCTTTATAAAGATGATGCTGTTGTCACTCTGTTCCTAGAATAAAATGAAGTCAATTTTCCAAGAGAGGTAATGGATGTGTTTTGATACAGCAACTCTCTCTCACCTGGTATCATGGCTATAAAACAAGGCTGGCTGCAGGCAGAGGTATGACCCGAGTTCAAGCAACACAACAAAGCTAAAACTTGGCTCTAGCACATTGCTCTAACCAAACAATTTAACCAGACACTAATAGTATATCAGCTAGCCTGAGTTGAACTCCAAATACTATTTATGCCATAAGCCTTCAATGACAATAACAGTTATTTTCAGAAGATGTTCCTTCTCTCCTACTACCAACCTCTATCACCTACATGCACCTTACCACCACCCACAATGCCCTTGCCACAATTTCTTGAAGTCTAACGTGGGCCCAGATATAAAGAGAGAAGTAGGACAGGCCACCAGCAAGCTGCTCAGTCCATGGCTACCAAAAAAAAAAAAAAAAAAAAAAAAGCCTAGGAAAACTGTTTGCCCAAGAAAGAAACTGTGACTTTCCCCCTCTCACACTGTGACTCTGTCTTCACTGATAGAAGAGCATGAGAAGGACATATAAGTAAATATAAGTTTTCATTTTAGAATACCCTATCAAAGCAGGGGTTCTAGCTTTTATAACTTTCTCAGGAATCCAGGACCACCAAAATGGTTCACTACTAACAATAAACCTATATGACTATATTGCAGATAAAGTCCATTTAGACTTACACACAGTTGTATTATAAAAAAAAAAGAACAAATAATGAAGCAATTTTTCCTTTTTCCTGATGCAACTTATTAGGGAAATATATAATTTGGGAAAAATTAATATCCCGGCTCCCAAAGAATAACTATTAATAAAAGAATGAAAATCAAGGCCAGGCACTGTGGCTCATGCCTGTAATCCCAACACTTTGGGAGGCCAAGGCGGGTGGATCAACTGAGGTCAGAAGTTCGAGACCAGCCTGGCCAACATGGTGAAACCCAGTCTCTACTAAAAATACAAAAAACTGGCTGGGTGTGGTGGCACACACCTGTAGTCCCAGCTACTCGGGAGGCTGAGATATGAGAACTGCTTGAACCCAGGAGGCAGAAGTTGCAGTGAGCTGAGATCACACCACTGCACTCCAGGCTGGGCGACAGAGCCAGACTCTGTCTCAAAAAAAAAAGAAAAGAAAATCAACATCATTTTGTACCCACTTTCCCTCTGTAGCTGGCTAAGAATCTTTTCTATCTTAGCATCCCACTATTAAAATAACAATACAGTTAACAATCACTACAGGAAGGAAATATTTATATTCCACTTCTCCTTTTATTCATAAGGACATTGTGTTCAGCTGTACTGACAATATCAAAAGGTTCTAAATGTCATCACTCTATTATTACACCGGAAAAACAAAACAAACAAATAAATAAACTGCTGCCTCAGGTAAGACTGTGTAAGCATTCATTTTTAGTAGAAGAGGAAACAGTTACAGGGATTTGACATTCAATAAATCCTGGCAGTTTAAGTAAAATCACTAGATCTTCTCAAAGTACACAATGTGATTATAGGCAGGATTAGGATCAGAGTTTTCAGAAAACCTAATTTATATGACTACATACAAACACCAGAAAAATGCCAATTAGTGAAGTGTGTCCTACACTTACTTCAACATGTCTGCAGAAGCAATAAAGAAATGTAACTTGGAGCAGCTAATCAAAAAGAATGTGAGACAAAGGAAATCAATTTATTTCTGCTGTGAAAAAAAAGAATCTTATTTCCATCACTTATGTTCCCTATAGAGGACACCTGAGAACACCTCTCTTAAAAGAAGAGTTTCCCAACTAGCAGGTCAAAACACACAACACTGATCAACCAAACCCCAAGTGTATCTCAGTAAGCTGGCATTGCTTCAACTCTGAGCATTCACCTGCTATTTGTGTAAGATGGAATTTTTCAGCTTTGACTGTCAATGTATGACCTTTCCAACTAAGAACTCACAGCTGGGGCTGAGCTGAAGCATGAGAAATCTACATCCAAACAGAGCCACTCTGTTCATTCTCTTCATTACCAAAATAATTCCCTCAGAGGTAACTCTATCAATCTTCTCTAAAGCATGCTTTCTCTCATTCCACCCATATTATTTTTCATTAATAGTCATAAGAATACTCCTCTCCAGCCCTTCCCTCCATGTCTCATTCCTAGAGGGTTTTAATAAATTTAAAACTTTTTTATTGCTATATATTAAAAAGGCAAACAAATAAACAAAAAAGGCAATGAAGTTCTCACAGTTCAAAAGCATTTCTACTGTGATCTGAACTATCAGGGAAACAAGACAGGTGCATATGTGATCCAGCTAGTAGCAATCTTATCTGAAGAGAATTAAAGCATAAAGTTAAACACAGACCTGATTTGTAGATTGGTGAATCTTTTCTGAAAAACCATTTTCCTTTAGGACTGCAGCAATAAGATGACCCACAGCCTTAAAAAGAAATAAAATTAATGAACACAGTCCCTTAGAAGTTCTTTCCAAATATCAATACTAGTTGATATGAGTATGCCAGGCAGTCAATTAGGATTAAGTAAAATTCCCATTAACTAAGTGTGTGCTATGTAGAAGGCATTGAATTAGGCACTCCACATGCACAATTTCTAATCTTCAGAATAGCCCTCAAGGTAGGCATATCTATCCCAGGTTACCAATAAGCAACTATAGTGCATAGAGGTTAAGAAAACTGCCAGATTTTTGGTTCAAATTGCTGTCAGTATCAGAAGATAACTTGAGATTGCTTACTCCATTAAAACATGAATGAGAAAGCCCATAGTTTTTAAAATCATCTTTGCACTGAAACGAAATCCACCATGCTTCATCACACTGTTAACGAATATGAAGAATATGTCTTAGAGCCAATAGGCTAGCAACAATCATTGCCATTCTGTGTACGGGTTGGAAACTACTTCACTATTGCTACAACTGTCCATCCTGCACTTGGGACCAAATTACGGTATAGCTGTGAATAACTGTCAGTCCTGCAAAGTCTCCAGAACAGCTCAAATAAAAACACAGCACCCACTCCTTCCTCATTTTTCTCTTTGTATTTCACACATTGGAACTGATTTAAGACCGTGGTGCTTGTGGTCTAGTTTTGTGATATAAGTCACTCATTTACATGAATATTAAGTTTAGTCCAACTTACTGTCTCTTATCTCCTAGTAAAAGGAATAGTAATAAGAACTGAGCACCCATGGATAGGTTGAGCTCCTGTTTTACAAAACATACCATATTTCATTGAATGGAACTGACCAGGAATTGCAAGTTGCACCATTATACTGTGTGCCACTAAGAAAGAAAAAAGGCTGCCAATTAGTCTATGATATACAGTGCTTCTTATAAGTCGGAATTTTGGTTTTATAGTCACACAAGAGTTCTTTTAGACTCGTGTAGAAAATCATGCCCAAGTTCACAAATGTGCAGGCAATACCAACTGTATCTCAACTGCTGCCATCAATTACTAGAGGCAATCCAATTTCAAAGATGTTAAAATCTGAAAAAAAACGTGTGTGAATCAAAGAAATATGGTGCTAACATCGAGCAGTGGTTACAGAAGAACAATAAGAAATATTTGCAAAGGACAGGACACAATCACAAGAACCTAATAAAACTAATATGAAACACAATAGGGACAAAGAAAAAGCTATAGTTCATATCTAGAAAAAGAAATAAAAGAAGAGAAGCTTAATTCCCCATTCCCCACCAGGTTGAATTTATCTAATATACTTTTCACTTCATCTTCTAACAAATCAGAGATACTAGCCTAAACTGATTTTTTAAAATACAAAACCCAAGGATAAATCAGCCTACATTGCTACTTAAGTGTTCTATAACAGAATTCAAATAGCCATCCTACACTAAACAATATAAATATATATATATATTTTTTTCACCTAATTTAACAGTAACACGTATGGGCATTTCTTGATTATCTATGTTAACAAAGAGACTCCAGGCACAGAAAAATAAAACTGTGAATAGTATCCTCCAAGCCTTCATCTTCTTCTTCATGGTAAGGACCTGCAGGATATGACTCCAACCCAGCCAGGTAGAAGGGAATCTTGCATAAGGAGTGTTCTACTCCTCATGGAAGGGTTCCCCACTACCCAGCTAAGTCAATTCCCACAGCAGACATCTCCGAAGTTAATTGTTGAAAGTATCCAAGGTGCTGTATGTTGTTAAGTCTTCAAGATGGCTTCTGCTGGTCTGTTAGCTTTACTCTCACAAGAAAAGACAATAAGCTATTATGATACCTTGATTAACCAGAATGTTTCTAGTTAGCTAAAGGCTACCCAGAAAGCCATCTTTGTTTTAACTATTTAATTATTGAAAAGCTCTTTAAAGTTATCACAATCTTCTATCTTAGTAGATATATCAAATTTTCTAATCCAGGATATTTTACTTATTAAATATCATTATTATAAAAATCTATATAAGGGGTAGGATATGTCTTCTTAAATATTAATCCCTCATACTCTTCAGACATATAACTGTTTACCTCTGTTCCCAATAATCATAGGCCAAAAAAAACCAAACAAACATATTCAGGGGCCTACTAGTTAATCAAGGTTTTATTATCTCTAGGAAGAAAAGTATGATATATAAACAGAAGCTGAGATTGATCAATTTCAAATATTTGCTTTCCATGTCAAATATATATTTTCAAATTAAATGTATATTTAAAGTTGTTTCACAAAATATAAATCTCTACATGTAGAATAAAATATTTAATATTAAATATATAAAGTTCAGTTAAAAATCCACAGAACAGGTTTATTTGTTACCATGAGCAAAAATAAACAAACAAAATTACCTGTGATTGGATAAGAGAATTTGGAAATTCAAACCTTTTCCTGATATCATCTGACATTTTTGCTTCTCTTACATGTATGTGTGCAGCTTCTGTAACCAAAACAAAAGAATATTTGTTAGTCTTCCAACTGGTCTGAATTGGGGCTCCAATTAATTATTCCTCAAATAATGTGAATGTAATCCATTCCAAAGATAACAATGGAAATAAAGCACAGGGCTCTGCAGAGTAATCCTTGGCAAAACTTCATTGTCATCCAGCACTCAAATGTCATGATTGATAAATAAACTAAAAATGCCCAACAGCTCTTGGTTTTTCCCATGAGAGCTAATCCTGAAAAAGATGAATTTGCACTACGGAAATGAAAAAAACATCCAAAAGTTCAACCACACATTTGAAATAGAAATTAATTCTTTTGTGGATCAAAACTTATAAGGGAGAAAGAGTCAAACGGTCATAAAATTACTTCATCTATGCCTCACTTTGGCACAAGCTTTCATCTAAGCACTAATCCAACTGCTAGTGACAAGTGTGAAGCCTAGGTGAACTTTTTTCAAGAAGTATAGAAAAGACCTAGAAGTTCACACATTAAAACAGACTGTTTCCTAAAGGAGGAACAAGCAAACAATTAGCACCAACTTTTAATATTTATATCTCACTTATCATTCCTACTGGGCTCACAAGAAAAGAAAAGTGAAAGAGAGAAAGAGAGAGGAAGGAAGGAAGGAAGGAAGGAAGGAAGGAAGGAAGGAAGGAAGGAAGGAAGGAAGGAAGGAAGGCAGGCAGGCAGGCAGGCAGGCAGGCAGGCAAGCATGCAAAAGGATGGGGAAGGCAGGTGGTAAAGCAGGACCATGGAACTAATAAGAGGATTTCCTAAGGATCCCAATTTATCCCATTTCCATGAAGCACTGAACCTACCAATTACATTATTTTGAAAAACAGGGCCCTCTAGGTCACCTACTTTTACAATATAATTAAAATTAAAATTTATGTCAATAAACAGCCCTAGATTAACTTATAACAAGCAGAAAAACCAAGTTCCCTTGATCTCAAAAAACAAAGCATATTGTAATGAACTAGCAGCCTTTTCTAACTGCAGGTTGAGCAACCCTAATCTGAAAATACAAAATTCAAAATGTTACAAAATCTGAAACTTTTTGAGCACTGACGTGACACTCAAAGGAAATGCTCATTGGAGCACTTTGGATTTTCAGATTGGATTTTCAACCGGTTTAAAGTATATGCAAATAGTCCAAAAAAAAATTTTTTTTTTAAATCCAAATCCAAAACACTTCTGGTCCCGAGCATTTCAGATAAAGAATACTCAATCTGTACTTTCCACCCTTTTATCCAAAGCTAAACTCCCTGAATGGGTAATTTATCCTGGTATTTTTCTTCGACATCTATGTCCAACTTTCCTCCCCGAATTTGACATTCCACAACACTAAAACAACTTGTTCTAAGATTGCAAACTATTTTCCTATCTAAATCTACTTTATTAGCTTAAGCAGGTCAAAAATTTTTAACTTCCCAATTGTGTCAATCACAACTTTCTTGTAGTTTTCTCCTCCTTTGAATTCCATAATACTCACAACAGAGTCTCCTAAAGTGTGTCCCTGGGAAACACAGGAAAAAAATATCTCCATGGGTGAAAGAAAGATTCTATGCGGACATATATTCCTATCTTGAAATTCATTCACTCATTTAACAAATACTTATTAGTTGCCTATTGTGTGTCCAGCACAGTTCTAGGTGCTTGAGTTATATCAGTGAACAAAATAGGCAAAAAATCTCTGCATTTATGGAGCTTACAGTCTAGTAGAAAGCAGCAGATAATTTTTTAAACAAATAATACATAAAATATGTTAGAAGATGGTAAGTGCTAATTAAAAAAAAGTGAAGCAGAATAAAGGAGATGAGAAATGGGAGAAGTGCACACTTTCCATTTTAAATATGGTAGTCCAGGTCAGTCTCTTCTAGAGAGGGTGGCATGTGAACAGACTTAAAGGAGGAAAGGAAGTTAGATTAGCCAAACAGATATCTAGGCGGAAGAGTGTCACAGGCACAGGAAAAAGCCCTAAGCTAATAAATTGCTTAAGCCCTGTCTTAGGAAGAATAAAGAGATGTGCATACAGCAGAGTGAAGGAGGAAAAGAATGGTAAATCAGGTCAAAGGATCAATGAGAAGCCAGGTCATAAAAGGCCTTGTAGGCCACTACAGGGACTGACACACTTATCCTGAGTGAAATGGAAAGCTACTGCACAAAGAGGCAGTAGGATTTCAATAGAATCACTTGGGGTACCAAGTGGTCACATTCTGGATATATTTGAAGGGAAAGCCAATGTGGCTGCTAATGGATTGGATAAGAGCACAGAAGAAAGGGCCAGGCATGGTAGCTCACACCTGTAATCCCAGCACTTTGGGAGGCTGAGGCAGGCAGATCACCTGAAGTCAGGAGTTCGAGACTAGCCTGGCCAACATGGCGAAACCCTGTCTCTACTAAAAATACAAAAATTAGCCAGATGTGGTGGTGTGCACCTATAATCCCAGTTACTCAGGAGGCTGGGATAGGAGAATCACTTGAACCCGGGAGGTGGAGGTTGCAATAAGCCGAGGTTGTGCCACTGCACTCCAGGCTGGGTGACTGAGTGAGATTCTGTCAAAAAAAAAAAAAAAAAAAAAAGAATATAGGAGAAAGGAGTCAAGGATGACTCCAAGGTTTTTAATCTGAGCAACTTTTTTTTTCTTTTTTGTGAGACAGAGTCTCACTCTGTCACCCAGGCTGGAGTGCAGTGGTGCGATCTCAGCTCACTAACCTCCGCCTCCCAGGTTCAAGCAATTCTCCTGCCTCAGCCTCCCGAGTAGCTGGGATTACAGGCACCCACCACCACTGGGCTCAGCTAATTTTTGTATTTTTAGTAGAGACAGGTTTCACCATGTTGGCCAGGCTAGTCTCGAACTCCTGACCTCAAGTGATCCGCCCGCCTCGGCCTCCCAAAGTGCTAGGATTACAGGCGTGAGCCACCATGCCCAGCTTGAGCAACTTTATTTTTTATCTCAATTCCTTTGGCCATTTTACACATGGAACAATATAATTTCTATGTTACTTCTTACCACGGCGTTTTTTTACTAAAAAGAAAAGATAGAGCTGCCATCACCTGACATGGGGAACCAAGTTTTGTGAGGAAGACAAAGAATTCCATTTTGGACAGTTAAGTTTTAGATGCCTCACAGGTATCCCAAGGGGAAATGTCTCGTAGAAAGTCGAATACAGGAATCTAAACTTGGAGGGAGAGATCGTAGTGGAGATATAAATAATGTTGCATATTATTAAAGAACATAAGAGGGTCTAATACAAGAAGTCTATTTAACTTTGCTTAACCCAGAATTTATCAAATCTATCTGGCCATGCAACAATGGAAATACCTGCTAACCATCTATACTATCAGTCTGTCCTGGGATACACACTGGGAAACACTGTTTTACTGACTCCTCCTGTTCCTCTGTCCACTCTGCTCCTCGAGTGCTATCTTCCCTCCTGGAGGCACTCCCCAGCCACTCTGCCTTGTGCTGTTGTCCCTCCATACAAACTCTCCCACAGCTATCAGTCGTCATCTGGCACAGATCTCCAAACGCTTCCATACTTTCTCTTAGGAGGCTCTAAAACACCAGAAATTAGGGACATCAAAAACAAAACACATATTTCCTTTCAAAAAACTGTCACTTCAGTTCATTTTACCCCAGTTATCCTCTCACAATTTCGTTCACCACCACTCTCTAAATCCAGTCAGCCACAAAATCGGCTTCCTTCTTTCCAGCACCTCAGAGGTTACTATTCCTCTTCATTCTACACTCATCATCTTAGTTCCTCATGGCAGGCTTACTCCAGTAACTGCTTAGTCTTGGGGCTCTCCATGCTGAGTTAGTACACTGCTGTCAGATTAGCTGTACTGAAATGCTGTTCCCATCATATCATTTCCCTGTGAAATTTTCATAGCGGGTTTTCAATTGTTTGTTGGATTAAATGCAAATCCTGATGCCTAGCTTTTATGCCTTCCTATCAACAGTCTTACCCATTCAACTTCATTTTCACTGCTGTAATTCTAATCTAGCTAAAACAGTTTCCAAAATGGTCCCACATGTTCAAAATCTGCTCAATCCTACAGGATTTCATTTCTTCTCTCCCACATAAAATGTCTCCTATATGCTTCCACTGCTTAAATATTAAACTCCTTTCATAGCACATCTCTGTTAAGCCTCTTCCAACTAGCTACATCTAACAGTAATCATATTGCTTTATATTCAGTGTTACTGCATTTTGGTCTGAGGCACATGTAACTATTTGTATCAGGACTAGAAATCTTTTTTCTGTAAAGGGCCAGAGAGCAACTACTCAAGTCTGCCATTGTAGCATGAAAGCAATAGGCAATACATAAATAAATGACTATAGCTGTGTTCTGATCAAACTTTATTTACAAAAAGAAGTGGGTGGCCCATAGTTTGCTAACTCCCAGTACATAAAACTATTTTTAAATTAATTTACAAAATTTCTTGACATAATTCCTACAATTAACATTCAAATTTGGCCCTGTGCTCCCAGGCAGCTAGGGTAAATAAACAAAATAAATGATACCTCTTTTATAATCTAAAAGGTAAGAAAATATCCTTTATCAAAGAAAACAAACATTTTTGTGACCTTAAACTCTGAAGGAAATTTCTTACATTGGGCTTTATAAATGGAATATAGAGTGATATAATATGCAATATTCTCAATAACAAAAGCAAAAGGAAATGTTATATTATTATTTTTTTTTTTTGAGACAGAGTTACGCTTTTGTTGCCCAGGCTAGAGTGAAATGGCGTGATACCAGCTCACTGCAGCCTCCACCTCTGGGTTCAAGCAATTCTCCTGCCTCAGCCTCCAGAGTAGCTGGGATTACAGGTGCCCGCCACCACGCCTGGCTAATTTTTTGTATTTTTAGTAGAGGAGGGGTTTCACCATGTTGGCGAGGCTGGTCTCAAAATCCTGACCTCAGGTGATCTGCCCATCTCGGCCTCCCAAAGTGCTGCGATTACAGGTGTGAGCCACCGTGCCCAGTAATATTACTTTTTAAGCAAACCCTGGATAAAGCCACAGGCAAAATGTAACATGTTATTCAGCAAAAAAAAAAAAAAAAAAAAAAATCTCAGCTACTGGGATCCAAGTACAGAGTTTTCTGATGATCTAATCTAACTCAACAGAAGGCTGACTTTACAGTATCCACAGAAGCAGGTAAGATTATTGATATGTCACAGAATATAATTACTCAAATATCAATGGTGATAGAACTATACAGAAGAAGATGTGGGGCTATGCACTCTGATCCAGGCCCAGAATGCTGTAATTCCAGTATGTCTTTGGGGACCAGGTGAGCAGCTGGGTAGGCTAATAGCTTATTATAGAAGTGAAGAAGCTGAGCCATCCAAAAAGATGACCTTGTTTTCAGGAGGTGGGCCACTGTGGAAAAACAGTGTTGTTTTTATCTAAATTACCTAAGTACAGATGACAAATACCAAAGATTACAAAAGACAGCCCTAATTTCAGTGTGACACCTCAGAGAATGAATATGTTTTTTAAATCTATAGTAACTTTACCTTTCCTAACAAATGGCCATTAAGCATTCTCAAAACCACTACCCAAGCTGCAATATGACTTTACATCATTCTTGATTTGCTATCACTGGGCTACAAATTGCAAGTGTCTTTCATTTGCTGAAGACTTATATTTCAAGGTTAATCACAAACATTGGCCTTTTCTAGGTATAAAACATCATATCCTCTTAGGGAATTTCAAAAAACAGTACACATGGTCACTTTAGCATTGGCAAGTGTAGTACGTGTCCTACTTTTTTTTTTTTTTTTTTTTTTAAGAGACAGAGACGGTTTCACTTTGTCACCCAGTCTGGAGAGCAGTCTACGTTATTTTCAAACTCAATTTCCTTTGGGTATTTTATACATTAAGGAAAAACAATTTATATATTACTTCTTGTCATGCCATTTTACTAAAAGGAAACCAGTAACAATATAATCCATAAACCACATGCTACAAAAATGCATGTTTGATTTTCAAAGATTTATCTCCAACCTTTCAATATGCCTTTTTTGTCTGTCTAAACCTAAATCAGAAAGAGAATTTTTAATGAAGTCTTTAAGTTCCCAGTGAATCAAAACAGTTGTTTAATATAAGCAATTATCACATTATCTGCCAAGGTAGTTCAGCCCCTAAGAATACTTCCAAGAAAATTAATCTATCAATTGCACTAATAAAAGAGCAGTAGATAAAACACTTTGGGTTTTCAACTTTCTCAATAGTTTCTCTAGGATATTGTACAACTATGTATCACACAAAAGTACTTAATGTCAAACCTCAAATAAAGGACACAATCTTAAAAGCAAGAGGAAATCTAACAATTATGAAAACCCAGCAGAGACAATAACTGATATACAAGGTAGTTGGAGGAGGAGGGTCCAATGATGACGAAGACAGACATTTGACTTTGAGCACTCTTGACTACCAAATTTCTATATAGGAACGGCTCAAGGGCAGTCATATGGCTGAAACTCAGGGCTAAACAGAATTTTTTTTTTTTTCCTTAAGAGACAGGGTCTCTCACTCTGTCACTCAAGCTGGAGTACAGTGACACAATCATAGGTCACTGCAGCCTCAAACTCCAGGGCTCAAGTGATCCGCCCATCCTCAGCCTTCCAAGTAGCTGGGACTACAGGCATGCACCACCGTGCCTGGCTAAAGTTTTTTTAAAATTTTTTGTAGCAACGGGGACTCCCTCTGTTCCTCGGGCTGGTCTCAAACTCCTGGGCTCAAGTGATCCTCCCACCCTCAGCCTCCCAAAGCACTGGGATTACTACAGGTGTGAGCCACCACATCCAGCCCAGAGTACATTCTTAAAGCTAGTTTACAGGAGCAGTATCATCAGCACACTGATAAAATGGCTGATAAAAAAATAAGTACTTCATTCACATTAATGGGCTCTATGTTTTAGAGACACAAAATCCAGGACTTTTCTTTTTCTAACATTTTATTAACTATTCCAATTATCAGTTATGGAATTTACTTAGTTTCTTCCTCCCACAAATTAAGCTATGGAACCATCAGCCTAAAACCATACTTTTAAACAAATATTTTGACAATTTTTATCTTTTTTCTTACTTGTTGTGGATGGCTTATAGAAAAGCTGATGGGCACTATCAATAAATTTTGAGCTGATTTTATAAATTTATCAAGACTATGGCTCAAGGGTGGATTCTAGAGTCACCAACTGACTGACCCTGTCCCTCAAAAAAGAGGGGGAAAATTCTGCCTATACTTTTCAAATGCCCACCTTGTTGTACTGTCTAATATGGATCTCTTTCTCATTCTTCTGCTGCTTAGCTTCTCATCTACTGCTTCCCAGTCCCTAAGTATTTCCATGTACCCTCTCTAAGATCAGGCAGCTCGATTGTTTCATCACCTTGTATGAAATCCTGACACCTGCTCACACTTAGCCTCAGCTCTTGCTTCAAAGGCTTAAAAAATCCAACTGCCACCAACACTCCCAAAATAACAGGACAAGATAATTGGAACCCTTTTAACCACAGTTGACCCTTGAGAAAAGGTCCACTTATACGTGGCTTTTCTTCTACCTCTGGCACCCCTGAGACAGCAAGACCAACCTCCCCTTTTCTTCCTCCTCCTCACCCTACTCAACACGAAGGTGAAGATGAAGACCTTTATGACGATCCACTTCCACTTAATGAAAAGTTCTCTTCTTTATGATTTTCTTAATTTCTTTTCTCTAGCTTTCTTTGTTGTAAGAACACAGTATATATAATACATAAAATGTGTACGAATCAACTGTTTATAATATCCATAAGACTATTGGTAGTTAAGTTCTTGGGGAGTAAAAAGTTACATACAGGTTTCTGACTGCATGAGGGATTGGCACCCCAAGACCCCAAATTGTTCAAGGGTCAACTGTATATGATTCATAAAAATTCATAAAAATTGAAAGTTTTCAACAATAAAGAGCAGGTGTAAGAAAACAGTAATTTTTAGTTATTATATTCTCAGAGAGACCATTAAGACACATTAAAATTAAACCCAGAGTAGAAAATACTTTTATCTTAGCCAATAATTTCAAAATCAAGCTGAAGTAGATAGCAACTCAGTGGTGTGACAGAGCCACTTGGTCAATATTATAATCAGAGAAAGCAGCAACCATATGATGTGGAAGAGACTGCTATTTATCCACCAATATCTGTTCTCTTCTTTTGTATTAACAAAACTGTAACCTGAACAACTTCATTACATTTCCCAGCCTCAAATATGGTACAGTAAGAATATGTGATCAAGTTCTCTCCAGTGGTGTTTGAGCAAAAGTGACATGCCATTTCCAGGCTGGGGTCTGCTTCCTCCACTCTCTCTTCGGAACCAGAGTGAATTCTGGGCAACAGCCTAGACACAACCACGCACATGAAGACAATGGCCCTGGGACTCTGTTGAAGAAACAAAATGGGAAGAACGTGGATCCCTAAATGATAGCTTGCTGCACGGCTACATACCTGGAACTCCAACTATTACAGGAAAAACTTCTACACTGTTTGAACCATTTCATTTTGGGGTCTCCTTGTTGCAATATCTAGCACTTCCTTAACTAATATAATGGACCTAACATCATCTCCCTCCCTACATATTTTCACTAGAGAAATGAAGAAACAATGTCAGAGAGGTTAAAGCAACTTGCCAAAAAGGAAAGTCATCATGACAGAGTTCAAGTGAGAACAGAGGTTTCTTGACTTCCAACCAAGTGTTCTTTCCACTGGACCATCGGTAACATGAGGCATGACCTGCACAATTCCATATCACTGCATCGTATCCAGGAATTTTAAGATCAATAATTCAAGTACTGAGAAAATTTACATGACTATGAGTTCAGATGATCTCACTGGCTGCCATTTAATAAAAGTACAATGAATTCTATCAAATTCCTGCCTTTACAATTTAGTTCCTTCTCAATATCACATGCTACTTACAGATTTTGAAATGGGAGCCTAAAATAAGATCAAAGGCAGGAAATTCCAAGTCAGAACTGATTGCTGTCCAGGAAAACAGGCATTAAAATAAAAAATAAAACTACAAACTTGGCCAGGCACGGTGGCTCATACCTGTAATCCCAAGACTTTGGGAGGTCAAGACAAGAGGATCACTTGAGCCCAAGAGTTTGAGACCAGCCTGGGCAACATAAGGAGACTCCATCTCTACAAAAAGTTTAAAAATTAGCCGGGTATGGTGGCTCATGCCCGTAGAAACAGCTACTTGGGAGGCTGAGGTGGGAAGATCACTTGAGTCCAGTAGATCAAGGCTCCAGAGAGCCAGGATTGTGCCACTGTATTCCAGCCTGGGTGACAGAACCAGCCACTGTTTAAAAAAAAAAAAAAAAAAAAAAAAAAAAACTTAAAACTGAATAATGCCTAACTAGTTACAAATTTTCTCTAATTATTCTGTGTTTTAACTTGTGGCATATGGATATGTATATGCTAAATATATGAGTATATCAATGAAAAATAGTTATTTTTTAAAATCTAAGGGCTTATGAATCTCTAGAATTTTTTCAGCATCCAATCTAAATCTTCAAAGTTGACTTTTTTTTTTCCAATATTATAATTTTTAAGTATTTTTCCTTCACCAAAACAATTACATATATTGCCCAGTACAAAACATTTTCTAAATAAAGACTTCATGTTCATATAAAATATTTACAGTATATTTAAAATAAAACTGATACCTAATTATTTTAAATGTGTTATTGGCCAATAAATGATCGCAAAATCTCCACATTCACAATCTTACTTCAAATACCATTCAGTTAACTAAATTAGTAAAACATCACAGAATGGATACTTTAGATATTTTGCTTGTATTTTCTCCCCTTAAAAATGACTCAAATTTTGAATACTCACTCTCTAAAATAACCTACCTAATTCTTAGCAGATATTAATATGGTACAAAGTATACACAGTGTAAGGATGTAATATTTGGGATTTTCTATAAAATACCCAAGTATTGAAAGAAAAATAAAAGAAGACTGATAGATGAAACAGGAATGTCTAAATGTTAATAATAGGTACACTGGAATTCATAATACTAGTCTCTATTTTTATGTTTGAAATTCTCCATAATAAAAGGTCTTTTAAAACCCATGTATGTGGCTCTTACTAGGGGAAAGGCAATATTCTAAGCATTTTACATGTATTAACTCATTCAACCCCCACAGTAACCCGGAGATAGTTACTCATTTTACAGATTAAGACACTGAGGCAAAGAAAATTTAGATAACTTTCCCAAGGTCACAGAGTAAGTGACAGAACTGGAATTCCAACCTAAGTAGTCTCGCTCCAGAGTATATATGCACAAAGAAAAGCCCGGAATGTACCAATTGTGGATAATTTTTATTTTTGCTCATTCCCAGTTTCTAATTGTTCTATGAGAATATGTGTTTTGTAATTTTAATAAAGTTACCAAAATAGGAAAATCTTGACTAACATTATAATACATTTTGTAGAAATAGAGGATATAACTTTCTGACACCCAAATCACTGAAAGCGTAGAAATCCATCACTAAAGGGTGTCATAAAGTGAGCAGCAATTTAGTAGAAAAATTGTTGATAAAATGATGAAAGATTACTTTGTTACTTATGTTTACCAACGCTTTATGAAAAGAGTAATATTGAAAAGGGGCCAATGTAATTCAGCCAGATAGATTAAGTTTAAACCACTTAAAAGCTTTCTTCCTTCATTTTCAAGGAGAAAAATAACTATTATAATTTCCCCAAGTAGACTGCTAGGAAATCTTCCTCCAAAATAAAATTCTTACTCTGGAAAAGAACTATATAGACTGATTACAAGTTTATTGGCAACATTTTTGATTGTTGCAAAGTGACCAATCAAGCTCATTTGGTATTTTTCATAAAAACTAAATTACTAAATTCATGTAGAATGGAATAGATATGGTTTAGCTATTTTAATTTGCATACTGAGTGCTAATGAAAGCTGAAGACCAAATGAACAAAAAAATTTTACAACAAGATAGTAAATTTCTCTATTTTCAACAAAGTCAATGTGCATACACGAAAATGGACATGGAGAGTATCTCTGTATTTGAGTCCTTAATGGTTACAAGGACAAAAACAAAGTTATCGCAGTACTGTTAGAAGAACCACAGTGAAAATGTTCAAATGAATAAGATCAATGGTGCACTGTGAAGCAATGACATATATGCTTTTGCAAACTCTAAGATTGTCCACAGAGAAGAATAACACCTTAATCTGATTAAGCTCACAGTCTTACCTACCTCTATCATCATGATAACAGAGCAACCTGACACAGACAGCAAAGCTCTGAGGTGCTTTGGGGAGCCCCCTTTGGGGGCTAAAGGGAGGAGGGAACCATAGACCTGGATGCAAATCCTGATTCCAGCACTAGGCAAATCACTTACCATCTTGGAACCTGTTTCCTCATTGGTTAAACAAGGTCTTGTGCATAACAATATAAAGTACGCCTTAAAGCCAAGAGAGTCTTGCACATAGCAGGCACTGTAGAAATGTGTGCTTCCTCCCTCCCTCAATACCATGTGGGACAGTCAAGGAAGGTGAATGATGGAAAAGAATTTGAATTTAAGTGATAAGGAATCTCTCATCAAGTGAGCAGTAATGAAGTAGAAAAATTGTTTTAATGATAAAAGATAAATTACTTATATGCAAAGATGGGATCTTGTATGCAAGTCACTAGAGAGAAATAAGACACCAGCCCCAAGGTTAGAATATACATAAGATTCCCATTTAAAATATAGTTAATGCAGCACTATTCACAATAGCAAAGACATGGAATAAAATACAGTTGACTTTTAACTCATATGCTGAAAACTTTTCAATGGCTCCCCACTGCAACTCTATAGGAAGGCCAAAAGGTTCTGGTCTTGCAACTCTCCTTCAGTCAGGGCACTTCAGCCACATTGGCCTTCAGTTTCTTCCTTAAACCACCCCGACAACCACACCCTCAGCTCCTTCGACATCTGGGTCTAGAACTCTCAGGCCCCTCAGCCTCAAGTGCTCTTGACTTGTTCAATTGTTCAAATAAGCTGTTTCTTCTCTCCCTTCACATGTTCCCTCGAACCTTCCCTATCCCCCCACCACCCCCATAGCCTCAAATAGTCCCCTACTTGCCACTGCAGTGACCCACTATTGTACCATTCATAGCTTTTATCACAATCTCAAATGATTGTCATTTACTTATTTCTGCTTCCCTACTCCACCCCCACCTCCCCAAATGCAAACTCTTTAAGGCAGGGACCGTTTTGTTTTGTTTTTTTTGTGAGATGGAGTCTTGCTCAGTTGCCCAGGCTGGAATGCAGTGGCACGATCTCAGCTCTTACCACTATCTCCCCAGCATATAACAAATACCTATTCAATAAAGATTAACTGAATAAATGCAAAGCATAACATAGAATTTGGAATACCATATTGGATTAAACATCTCCTATGTGCTAAGCACTCCACAAGACACTTTAACTAATTCCACGAGATCCTCACAACAACTTTGAGGTAAATATTAACTCCATTTCCCACAGGAGGAAATAGGAGCTCAGGGAAGAAGTCACTTGCCTGAGGTTATACAGTGGTATTAACAGCCAGGATTTATTGAGAATTTTACCATGTGCCAGGCAGGTACTGTCAAAGCTTTTTATACGTATTCTCTCACTCGATATTCAAAACAACCTCATGACATAAGTACTACTATTAACTTTATCTTCATATGAAAAACCAAGTGAGGAAAGGAGAGGTCAAAATTAATTGCCTAATTATGTAAGAAGCAAAAGCATGAATATAAACAGTCTGCCTCCAGATCTCACATGCTTAACCACTCTTTAATAAAGTATAGATACAGTTGACTTAAAGTTTTTGTAAAACTAAGATCATCAAGCAGCCGGTGGCTCATGCCTGTAATCCCAGCACTTTGGGAGGCTGAGGCGGGAGGATCACTAGAGGCCAGGGGTTCGAAATCAACCTAGGCAACATAGTGATACCCCATCTCTACAAAAAATTTTAAAAATTAGCTGGGCATGGTGGTACATGCCTTTAGTCCTAGCTACCCAGGAGGCTGCAGTGGGAGGACCATTTGAGCACTGGAGATTAAGGCTACAGTGAGCTATTATCATGCCACTGCACTCCAGCCTGGGCAACAGAACAATGCCCTATAGCTAATAATAATAATAATAATAACAATAACAATAATAAAGTTAAAAAACTAAAGCTAAATTAAGATAATCCATTAAAGCATTTTGCTCAGAGCCATGAACATAGCAAACGGTTTTTAAATGTTATTATTCTGAGTCTGAATCTAATACCTTGTTTTTTCCATTATATTTTGCTGCATCTCAGGAAATCAAATAAATCTTTAAATGAATTACCTGGGTTTGCACATACGTGTTAAATCAAATTCCCAAAGCAGCTTATCAGCATATGCAAACAGCTTTGTATCTTTGTATATACTGCAATCCTAAAAAGGTAATCAAGTCTAATGCGCAAACATTACATATTAAAGGATTACTCCTTGCCCAGAGCACAAAACATAAAAATTGTTTATCTAAACTTAACTTTCATCCTTGTGGCACCATCACCAGCAATACATCTCCCACATCTGTATATGTTCTTTGGTTATATGCCTTTATTTCATCATTGACTGTTCAGTTTAAGTTCAATGAGTAGGTAACAAAGGATAACAATTGGCCACTTCCATCACGACAATTGTCAATCTGTAGTAAATCTATACTTCTTGTCACTGATATCAACACTTTCACATCTACATTTTCTGTTTTTTTAAATAAGTAAATAATCACTAAAATTAATTAAAGCAATTATATACCCAAATGATTGCTTAAACACTACACACACACAGATGGCAATGCCACTGCAAATGAGTACTTAGCTGGCAGGAAACCTCACCATGTGACAGGTGAAAACACAGCTCAATGAGACAGGGAAATTTGTGTGTGCATGAGTTCACTTGTAAAAACAGGGCTTGAAATAATATTGGAACGCTCAGGAAGAAATGTCCAGAAGCAGGAAGATCAAAAGGAAGCCAATGCATGTTCTTTCTCAGTTCCTGCAGCTGCCTCAGAAAACAGGGCTTGAACTAAAACTTGGCATCACATTCCAGGCAGAGGGAATATGAGGATATGGTTTGAGAGGACAAAGTGGAGAGCTAAGATCAGTCTCTAATGTCCCTTCCAGCTCTGAGAGGGTTATAATCACTCCTCAAGACATTCTTGTCTCATTCTGAAGGGCCTAGTTTCCATCTATATAGCAGCTGCACCTGCTCAGATGCCAGTAAAGAAGAATCAGAAGTGGGAAGGGTCCCCACTGACCAAGCCTGCTGCATTATTACCCTGGACATTTGGATTTCTTAAGAGAAGCAGCTTCTTGTTCACCCCCTTCAGGGTCTGGCATGGAATAAGCAGTTAATAAATGTTTGCTGAATTATTGTGTTTAGCACAGTACCTAACAGTCTCAAAAATGTTAGAATCAGGATTCCACTGTTTATTTTGTTTTCAGATAAACTTTCCAAAACAGAAACTAAGAAATAGAGAGGAATCTATATCTTTTTCATTAATTAAGACTCATGAAACAAAGACCAAAATAAATAACAGCCAGAAGTAGAAAAATAAATGTTTAAACAACTTTATGTCCAAATTAATACAGTAACTTGAATTTAGTAACCAACACATTTAGGAATTGATGATAATTCTTTTTAGACACATCCTAAACTCCCAGTTTTTTTTTTTTTTAACTAGGCGAATCATTTTTGTGTAGATAGTGCAAAGGTGAACTTCAGCCAAATTCAAATCCAAAATCAGCAGAATCTACACCAGTAAAATTTCATTATGCTGTCATAAATTTTGGTACATTTTCTTTAAAAAAAAAAATCAAAGAACACATGTAAAAGCTAACAAGACTGTTTCTTCACTGTTTCCAGCTGAATCTAATAGAGATGGAAAATGGGTCTTTGTTACTTTAATACAACATAAGTTTTACATGAATGCTTCCATTGACAGCTATTATTTATCATAGCTATGTGCTTAATCTGCTATTTATTACAATCCTTTAAAAACCCACAGTATCACCTCTGTGTATTTCCCATTGGGGTAAAAGGAATTTTAAATAATTTCTTTAAAAAAAAAAGGAACATTTACTAATCTTCTATTATACAGCTAGCATTACTCATGGCTGTTTTTACTTATAGGGTACTAAATAATCAGATATTAGTTAACGTTTGCAATCATCCTGGGCAGGAGTTCATTAGTAAATCATTTCATATTAGCGTGGAAATATCAAGCAGCATATTCAAGAATCAGAAGAGGATCTTGGGGTGAAATGCTGACATCCAATTGACAGAGTACAGTATGTAGGATGTCTTTCAGATAAAGTTAGTTTAAGAATTTTATTTAAACAAACATGGAGGAGGAGGAGAACGAAGAAGGGGTTAAGATGTAATATGTAGCTCTTCATATATATATATATATATATATATATATATATATATATATATTTTTTTTTTTTTTTTTTTTTTTTTTTTTTTTTTTTTGAGACGGAGTCTTGCTCTGTAGCCCAGGGTGGAGAGCAGTGGCACGATCTCGGCTCACTGCAAGCTCCGCCTCCTGGGTTCATGCCATTCTCCTGCCTCAGCCTCCTGAGTAGCTGGGACTACAGGCGCCCGCCACCATGCCCAGTGTATCTGTATTTTTAGTAGAGACAGGGTTTCACTGTGTTAGCCAGGATGGTCTCAATCTCCCAACCTCCTGATCCACCCACCTGGGCCTCCCAAAGTGCTGGGATTACAGGCATGAGCTACTGCGCCCAGGTGCTCTTCATGATTTTTTTAATTTCACAAATGTTAAAACTAGTATATATGATTTTCATACATACAGGCCTAAGGGAACTTTTCAACACTCTGTTTTAAGTAAATGACCAACTAGATGAACAGCAACAGCCACTCCAAAGACCAGCAACTTACAATAAAGCCAATCTTCAAAAGAGTTTCATTTCACCCTCAAAGACTACTTCTGCCTTTCAGCCCAAATTCAAACACTATCTAAGAAATTGCTCCCAATCTGGCTTACTTCCAAACTGATAGAAAGGTTATCAAAGATCAGATCAGCTCAGGAACAAGCCACACAAATAAGGTAGAACCAGTATGATTCCCAGAACCACAAAAGTCTCCCCAAGTCCCACCTACCATACCTAATTTCATAGGGAACTTTAGCACCATGAAGCTGAAAGTCTGAGGTAAGCCAAAAACTAAATCATTCTGTGGTGGGCAGTCTGGGTACCACTTCCTGAGCATTTGATCTTACTATCTGACACTTCTTGGCTATATCCCAAAGTGTGGCATACATCCTTCAAGTTCTATTCAGCTCCCATTTTAAAAGTGAGTTAAGAATTAAAAAGGTTTAAAATCAAGCACACTTTTTGCAAAAGTATTAATGGACAAATCTAAAAGATAAACTAAGGACTATGCAGATAAAATATTGATCAGTAATTGAAAATAACATTTGTAAAGAGTTTTAATAATGTAAAGAAAAGTTTACAATAAAAAACACTTGAGAAATTTTTGCATACAACCATGAACACAACAAAGTTTAAAACATAAGCCGGGCGCAGTGGCTCACACCTGTAATCCCAACACTTTGGGAGGCTGATTTCAAGTCCAGCCTGGGCAACATAGTGAGACCTCATCTCTACAAAAAATAAAAAATTAGCCAGGCACAGTGGCGTGTCCCTGTGGTCTCAGTTACTCAGGAGGCTGAGGTGGGAGGACTGTTTGAGCCCAGGAGGTCGAGACTGCAGTGAGCCAAAGATTGCAGCACTACACTCCAGCCTGGGTCATAGAGCAAGACTCTATCTCAAAAATAAAAATAAATACACATATATGTGTGTGTGTGTGCGTGTGTGTGTGTATACACATATAGTATATATAATGTGTGCATGTGAGTAATATAGAGAGAAATATAGAATTAAAAAAACAAATAGGCAAAAATGTTGATAGGGTTATTTCTGAACAGGATGATGGATGATTATGTAACCTACTGTATTCCGCCTTTGCTACTTTTAATTTTGTTCTTACAATGGGGCATACATTACTTATTTTAAATTACAAAGAAATTAATTCTCCTCAAATAAAAAAATAAAATGTTTAATTGCAATTTTAAAAAAAGTGATCTTATTTATTCACTTGAAACCATGGTTTTTTATCATTCTCTAAAGAGGTGGTTTCACCACAGCACACGCCAAGGCAAAAAAAGTCTCACTTGATCCAATTATACCACTTATTAAGAACTATTTAATGCGAAAGTCACACCTTTGAGTTATTAGAAGCTATAATGGTCCTGCAGAGTTCCAAACAAGTAAGCTAACAGAATTACCTTTGATTCTAAATTGTTTGCCAGGAGATTAATCCATCTGCACCTGAGAAAAACATCAAGTGTTCCTCCACTGTGTTCAACATCCTCCAGTCTCATTTTAATCAAGTATGTTAGCTTCAGTCTAGAGGGCATTTTTAATTGCTTGAACTACAGTATAAGTAGTTTTTAATTTTCCAAATTCAAACACAACATAATACCAAGAAAATCAAAATTTTAGTCATCAATAGGTAAATTTTAGAGAGGTCTTTAAACGTTTTGGCATCTGCCGAAGAATAAAAAAAGCTCTTTCTGATAGTGACATTTGAACAGACACCTGAAGGAAGTAATGTGCAGTCCAAACAGAAGGAATAACCTTGAGATGGAAGCATGTTTGGCAAGTTTAGGAAAGACCAAGGACACCAGTGTTGGCTAGTGCAAGTCAGCAAGTTAGGCAGTGAGAGATTACAGAATGAAGCAGAAACCCAGATCATGTAAGCCTCTACAGGGTGCTGGGAGTCTTTGGATGTTTCTCAGTGAGATGGGAAGTCCTACAGGGTTTGGGAAAGAGGAATGGCATATATGACTGACATTTTAAAAAGATCATTGTGGCTTCTAGGAAGAATAGAGACCATAAGAGGGCAAGGATAGAAAAAAAGAAAAAGAGACGGACCAGTTAGGTTACATCAATAATCCAGGAGATAAATCATATTGCTTTGGACAAGGATAACAGCAGTAGAGATAGTGGGAAGAGGTCAGACTTAGGACATGTTTATTTTTTTCCAGATTTATTGAGGTATAATTGATGTCTTAGTCTGTTTTTGGCTGCTAAACAGAATATCTGAGATTGGGAATATTTTATAAAGAACAGAAACCTATTGGCTCACAGTTCTGGAAGCCAGGAAGTCTAATATCAAGGTGTCAACATCCGTGGAGGGTCTTTGTGCCACATCATCACATGGTGGAAGTGCAAAGAGACAGAGGGCAGGAGAGGACCGACTTTTACATTGGCACCAATCTCACCCTTGAGGGTAGCACCCTCATGACAATCACCTCTTAACAATTCCACCTCTTAATACGGTTACGATGGCAATTAATTATTATTATTATTATTATTATTATAAGATAGAGTCTTGCTGTCACCCAGGCTGGAGTGCAGTGGCATGATCTCAATTCACTACAACCTACATCTCCTGGGCACAAGCAATCTTCTCACCTCAGCCTCCAAAGTAGCTGGAAGTACAGGCTTGCGCCACCATGCCCAGCTAATTTTTGTATTTTCTAGTAGAGAGGAGGTTTTGCCATGTTGCCCAGGCTGGTCTCAAACTCCTGGGCTCAAGCCATCCACCTGTCTCGGCCTCCCAAAGTGCTGGGATTACAGGCATGAACCACAGCACCTGGCCAATGGCAATTAAATTTAAACATGAATTTTGAGAGGGACAAGCATTCAAACCATAGCAATTGACAAATAAAAACTGTATATATTTAGGGTACAAAATCAGATGTTTTGATATATGTATACAGTGTGAAATGATTTCCACAATCAAACATATCACCTCATCTTGTTACCATTGTGTGTGTGTGTGTCTGTATGGTGAGAACACTTGAAATCTACTCTCTTAGTAAATTTCAACTATACAATACATTATCATTAAGTATAGTCACCATGTTATATATACATTAGGTCTCCATTTGGTCAAAGGATACATGCCTGCAGTTACAAGTATTTCAGAAATATTTGGTAAGATTTGCTAATGGATTAGACATGAAATGTGGGAAGAGTGAAGGATGACTCCAAAGTTTGGGGTTCAGATAACTGAAAGAACAAAGCAGTCATACACTAAGATGCAGAAGTCGAAATCATTTATCCATTTCTAAAACAATGCAGCAATGCATGAGTCTCCTAAATTCTTGGAAGCTCAATTTACTTTTGTCCATATCAGCTAAAAAAAGCTATATGATAAAAGGATGCCACATGCAGACTGTATAAGCTTCATTTGCTTCTCAATTTTATTTGGGGCCAATCTTGACTATACACAACAAATGTTAAAATGTGTGTGCTTAGCTGCAGATTGGATTTATATTCAATTCATACCTAATACCAATGCTGCAGTCAACACCTGCCCAGGTCCTATCCAATTTCCAATCCCTGTAAGGCCTCAGTAGCCCTCTAAGCCATACTTATCCCACATAGCTTTTAAAATATTATAAACTGAAACCAGTAAGATACAGAGAAGGAGAGGAGACAGGTAAGTTAGTAGGTAGATGGGTGGATAATCCTTACTTCCCTACCTCGCCTTCCTTTGTTGTCCATTCCATTTCATATCTCTTTACAAGCTTTATGTCAAATGTTCAACATGTACTGAAGACTGTGTACGTGTATAAATGTAGGATGAGGGGACAGGGAAAAAACTGATTGTATTGTAAAAAGAAACGTGAGGAAAGAAAAAATGAAAGCATGTTTACGGGCTTAAGAAAAATCTTTACCAATATGAAGTTACTTTGTTAATAAATACTTTGATTTGTGAATGAATCATCAACTGTGGCTAAAAATATTAAGTTAAAGGAAGATAGGGAACTTTATATTAGAGGGATCAGGATGATCCCACTTGAATCCATTGATTCATCTTAGCATCACTAAAAGTAAGAATACCACACATTGTATCCTCATGGGTGATGGAATAGGACATACACAGGCTTCTGTAAAAATACTCTTACCTAAAAAAAAATTTGCCACTAATATACACAACTCTCTATATTTAATTACCAATTTACAAGAAATATATGAGATACAGGAACAAGGTACCTCTTCCAGGACAATACCACTTGCAGAGCAATAGATCAAGTCCAGAATCTGGGACACTTTACAGGACAAAGTACTCGGTTTCTCCAACAAATCAATGACATGGGAAAAAAGGAGTGGAGGGATTGTACAGAATAAGTGACTAAACAGACATAGTAACCAAATTATATTATATTTGGGAAACTTACATGATTCTGATTTCAAAAAACCAATTCTACTAAGACAATCTTGGCCCAACTGAGAAATTCTGAAATATGGACTGTATTGGATAATATTTAGGAATTGGTATTAATTTTGTTAGGGTTGTTAATGAATGGCCTAGTAATAGTACTTTAAGAAGTCCTTATTAATTAAAGACAATTACTAGGGAAGAAAAAATGTTAGAGAGAAAAACAAGATTGACAAAATGTTGATGTTGTTGAAATTAAGTTCATTTACTATATTCCCTATTAATCTGTGTATGTTTTAGTAAGACATTTTTAAAAATAAAAGAAAATTTTAAAAAAGTAACTAGAGATTGCAAGATTGCAATGTGAACTGTTAAAAAAAATTATTACCATTTTCAACTGCTAATCTGTGTGGATGGAAATTTCCTTGATGGTCTGCAACAAAACCAAAATACAAAATCACAATACAAAAATAAATTGGAGGCTGAGACATATAGAGAGTATCATTTTTATTCATAATCATTCATTTCAATATTACACTCCTTATAATAGCTTCATGGTTCAGATTGACTTTATAATAAGAGTATGCTATAAATTCAAATGTAAAATAGCTTTATTTTGAATAATAAAACCTTTATTTTGAATAATAAAACACTTCTCTTATCTGAAGTTCTCAGTAAGATATGTGGAGGTGGAGAGAGTCTAAGACCTTAGAAAAGGTTTGAAAATTTTCTGCCCTAGACTATTCCTTTCACCTGTTTCAGCTTTGCTTTGTACAAAAAATGTTATGATTTACAACTCAAAGTGAAGAGGTTGCTATTAAGTATCAAGAAAGGTATTGCATATAGTTAAGAGAACATGATAATCTTCTTGCAAAGAATAAATTAGAGTCTGGATGTGGAAGAATACTTGGTCTAGAAGACCTCTTTTAAAAAATGGATTGCAGCTGGGCACGGTGGCTCACACCTGCAATCCCAGCACTTTGAGAGGCCAAGGCAGGAAGATCACTTGAAGTCAAGAGTTCGAGACTGGCCTGGCCAACATGGTGAAGTGCCATCTGTACTAAAAATACAGAAATTAACCAGGCGTGGAAGCACGCACCTGTAATCCCATCTACTTGGGAGGCTGAGGCACGAGAATCACTTGAACCCAGGAGGCAGAGGTTGCAGTGAGCCAAGATTGTGCCACTGCACTTCAGCCTGGGCAACAGAGCAAGATTCCATCTAAATAAATAAATAAATAAATAAATAGTGATTGCAAAAGTACTTGCAAAGGAGACCAGGAATTTCCTCAGATAATGGTCCAGAGCTTTTCCATAAAGAATGGAAGAGATACCTAATCCTGAAAAAGGTTGCAGTACCTTTCATTCCTCCATTTAAGAAATATTTATGAGATGCCTACCTTGTATCAGACACTATACTAAGCACTGGGAAAACAGAGAAAAATCCCTGCCCTTATAGATTACATTCCTAGTAGAGGCAAGACAAGAATAAGCAAAATAGTAAATTACATAGCATTTCTGAAGATAAGTGCTATGGATAAAAGTAAACCAGAGTGGAGGATAGACAGTATTAGAGAGAGAGGTTTCTATTTTTAAAAGGATGGTCAGGGAAAGGCTGAGGAAGTACTCGAGTAGCCTGAAGGGGAGTAAAAGAGCAGTTTCGTCATCTCAGAAAAGAAGACTCTAGGCGGAAAGAGTAGCAGTGCCAATGCCATGGTGAAAGCATGCCTCAGATGTCTGAAGAACAGCAGAGGCTCATTTGAGCAGATTAAGTAAGAGAGAGAGAGTGGCTGTAAATGGAGTTGGAGAGGCAACAAATGGGTCAGATCATGGCAAGCCTCACAGGACAATCCCAAGACTGCCTTTTACTTTGGGTGGCAACGGGAAGCCACTGGAGAGTTTGGGGCAGAGAAGAGATCTAACTCACGTTTTTATAAAATCACTCTGGCTGCTGTTCTGACAATACTGTAAGGGGAAAGATAGAAGCAATCCATTAGAAGGCCAGGACAGTTTGCAAAAAATGGCCTCCAATTGCTCCCAATCTCTGTATACAAACTGCTTTACAAAGTGACTTTGCTGCACCCCCTCAGAAAAAAAAGTAGGCTAATTTTCTCTCCCCTTCATCTGGCTTGACCTGGTGACCTGCTCTCACCAACAGCAGGGAAAGTGAAGCTGTAGAAGTTCTAAGTCCCGGCCTCAAAAGGCCACATAGTTTCCTCTTGTTATCTTGCTTCCATTACACCACTACGTAAAGAAACATAAACATGAGATAGTTTACTGACCACGTAGAGCAGAGATAAGCCATCTCAGCTGAGGCCTCCAAACCTACCAGTGCCGATCACTACATGAGTGAGCACGGGCAAGACCAGCAAAAGAGCTGCCCCACATCTACCCCAAGTCCAACCTAAGCTGCCAACCACAGAATCACAAACTAATACATAACTGTTGGTTTAAGCCACAAAATGTTGGGAGTAGGTAACAATTGATAACTAATATAGAGGCTACTGCAAGATCCGGACATAAACAACGGGGGCTTAGACTAGGGTGATAGCAGTGGGTAGTGACAAGTACTTGGATTCTAAATACATTGTGAAGGTATAGCCAACACACTTTCCAAAGTAACAGTATATATATATAGATTGTGAGATAAAGAAGAGTCAAGGATGATACTCAGGTTTTTAGCCTATCTCATAAAAAGGATGGAGTTTCTGTTAACTGAAATAGGAAAGATTATAGGTAAAAAAGGAAATTTCAGAGTTTAGTTTGAAATATATATTAGTCATCCAAACAGAAAATGCTGAGTAGTCACTGGATATACGGAGTCAGGAGTTCAAGGGAAGGCGAGGCTGAAAATATAAATTTGGAAGCTAGTAGGGTATTACTAGTATTTAAAGCTAATACTTAGGCCAGGTGCCGTGGCTCACACCTGTAATCCCAGCACTTTGGGAGGCCAAGGCGGGTGGATCATTTTTCGAGATCAGCCTGGCCAACGTCTCTACTAAAAATAAAAAAATTAGCCTGGTGTGGTAGTGCGCACCTGTAGTCCCGGCTACTCAAGAGGCTGAAGCAGGAGAATCGCTTGAACCCGGGAGGCGGAGGTTGCAGTGAGCCGAGATCGTGCCAGTGCACTCCAGCCTGGGTGACAGAGGGAGACTCCATCTCAAAAAATAAATTGGCCGGGCTTGGTGGCTCATGCCTATAATCCCAGCACTTTGGGAGGCCGAAGTGGGCAGATCACGAGGTTAGGAAATCGAGACCATCCTGGCTAACATGGTGAAACCCGTCTCTACTAAAAATACAAAAAATTATCTGGGCATGGTGGCGGGCACCTGTAGTCCCAGCTACTCAGGAGGCTGAGGCAGGAGAATGGCGTGAACCCGGGAGGTGCGGCTTGCAGTGAGCCGAGATGACGCCACTGCACTCTAGCCTGGGGGACAGAGCGAGACTCCATCTCAAAAAATAATAATAAAATAAAATTAATTAATTAATAAATAATAATAATGCTAATATTTAAAGGCTGAATGATATGATCCAGAAGTATAAGGTCTAATGACTGACCCCTGAAGCACTCCAATGTTAACAGCACTCTTATCAGGGAGATAAGGAAGAACCAGTAAAGGAGTCTAAAAAGGGACAATGACGTAGGAGGAAAACCAGGAATTGTGGTATTTTTGCTAATAAGGGAAGAAAGTGCTTTAAGAAGCAGAGATTGGGCCAGCACTATGGCTCACACCTGTAATCCCAGCACTTTGGGAGGCCAAGGCAGGTGGATCACTTGAGGTCAGGAGTTCAAGACCAGTCTGGCCAACGTGGTGAAACCCCATCTCTACTAAAAATACAAAAATTAGCTGGGTGTGGTGGCACATGCCGGTAATCCCAGCTACTCAGGAGACTAAGGCAGAAGTATCACTTGAACCCAAGAGATGAAGGTTGCAGTGAGCCGAGGTCACGCCACTGCACTCCAGCCTGGTCGACAGAGTGAGACTCTGTCTCAAAAATAAAAATAAAGAAGCAGAGAGTGACTAGCTGTCTCAAAAAAAAAAAAAATGCTGACAGGTCAACTGAGAGGTAAAAATTTGGAACAGACCTTTAGATTTAGGAAAATGAAAGGGCCAGGCATGGTGCCTCCGCCTATAATCCCAGCACTCTGGGCCCAGGCAGGAGGATTGCTTGAGGCCAGAAGTTCAAAACAGCCTGAGCAACATGGTAAGACCCCCACCGCTACAAGAAATAGAAAAATTAGCCAGGTATGGTGGCACATATCTGCAGTCCTAGCTACTCAGGAGGCAAGGCAGAAGTACCACTTGAGCCCAGGAGTTCAAGGCTGTGGCGAGCTATGATCACACCACTGCACTTCAGAGAGGGCGACAGAGCAAGACTCTGTCTCTAGATGAAAAATAAAGTCACTTTTAGAAAAGTAACTTCTCAGAAAAGTTACTTTTAGTAAGAGTAATTTTTTGATAGAGGTGAGGGAGAAAGCCTGATTAAAGTGGGTTTAAGAAAGAATAGAAGGAAAGAAATTGGACAGGATTATAGTTATACCATAAGGGGTAACAAATAAATTGTACAGTGGCTTAAGCAGGAATGGGGTCAAAAGCTATTATTTTAACATGGAAAAATACCAGCATACTTGCATAATGAACGGAATAATCCAGTAATTAGGGGAAATGCAATGTTCAGAGAGAGAGATGCTGGAGCCAAATCCTTCGGAAGGTAAAAGGAATAAGACCTAGTGCATAAGTGAGGCGCTGTCCTTAGAAACAGACTCTAGGTCAGAAAATAACAGATGGCAATCTTAGGTAAATGCAGGTATGCCAATCTCCCACATTCATGGCAATTGCCATTCACATTAAGGCATTTCCTATACCTCTGGGCCCAGAATTGACCTAAAAATACTCAACATAACTTCCTAATCCTACCAATAGATAAGAATTGGCACACATGATGAAATGTATTTGCAAAAGTATTTTGGGAATTCAAAGACCAGGAAAAGGTACATCAAAGCAAATAGGCCACACTGTCCATCCTTTCTCCGACAGATAACACAAATATTCACTGGAGACATATATGTTATTTTTAAATTTAGAAACAGTACTATGCCAACTGTCCTACTCTGACAGAAACTATAATGACTTGATGGGTAAACGTTAACAACAGAAAGCTTCATCAAAATTTAAAGTCCCAACTACTAAAAGCTAGCCATATGCTTCAGAGAAGCGCTGTCACCCTTATACCCAAATCTAAGCTCTTTCTAACCTGTCTTCTCCTCTAAATAATCTTTACTCGCTCTCTCACTCCTTCCCAAGCTTTTACACTGACACCATAGTCAATAAGCTTTCTTATATCCTCAGCCTCTTCACTAGATGCTCCCCATACCTCCTAGGCCTAATAGAAATTAAACTCCCCTTCTTTGGTGGCCCCCACCAGTAAAGGCTAATCATCCTTCCAAGTCCCAAGGCCCAGAAGAATGTTTCCAGACCACTTACCCCATCCCACCCCCACCCGCTGTACTTTTGAGGGCATAACATCTAAGTATCTTCATCTCTCATCTATAGTGATCACCACCATAGGCAATCTAAACCTCGGAAATTAGGATCACATTCTACCCTTCCTCCCTGGGTACCACAGTCATCTACAGTCATCTGGGTGAGCAATTCATCGAATGCACCACCAGTCTCATTGTTCCTGAACACCTCCGTTTCTACCATCTATATCCACAGCCAAACCCTACACGCCATCTGCACCCTAAAAATCTTAAATTCCAATATTCTACTCTGACCAGAGGATTTCTATCCTTTTCATTATCTCCCTTTTAGCTACAAACACTTGTATATTTACTTCATCCAGACTTTTAATCCTTTGAACCAATTATGTTATCTCAATCTTTCAGCTCCTCCTGGCTCTATCGTCATCCCTATCCAGTCTAAACTTCACATTCCATCACTCTGACCATTCTTTCACCAATAGTTTCAACTCCTTTGCAATCTTACCATACGCACGTAACAAAATCCAAATACTGTATCAATCCAACTATTTATCATCTCTGGTTCTACTGAATTTTGCTGCCAAAAGTCACAGAATCATATGAACTAGTATTATTACAAATTAATGATCCAGGCCTATCTGGGAAACCTTCCAAAAACTGTAGTTAGCTCTTTCTCCTATTCCCTATGGCATCTGACCAGTCTCTTCTTGTTGGATTCTCTCCCTCCTTATCTTCTAGACATCCACTGTCATTAGGCTGTTCCTTCTGTCTTTTTCACTGGGTCATCTTTCCTACAGGGTAGTGTTTCCCAGCGTTTCCCTTCTGCTTTATTCTTTCTTATTCTACAAACTCTCTTAGGCATCATCCATTCTCACATTGTTTTAACTACCTATAAATTGATAGCATCCTAATCTCTATCTCCAGCCTAGAATCCTCTCTTTAACTCCAGGCCAAAGCAGCCAAATACCCACTGAACAGCACCAATTGTGTGACCTAAACCCATGTCCAAGACTACTGATCTTATTCTCCCCATACATCTGATATTGCTCATGTGATTCCTATCTCGGCAAGTCATAAACCTAGGAGGTATCCTTGACTCCATCACTCCTTCATCCCCTACATCCATCTGGCCACTAACTCAATCACCTTAATATATCTGGAATTCATCCTCTTCTCTCCAGCAGCACTGCATTTTCGGAGTTCTGTCACATGTAATGCAAATGTCTGCCTTACCCCACTACAATTCATTCCTCACATTGCCTCATGAAACTGATGTTAACTTTCTTCCACTTAAAATCTATTACTCATGGATCAACATAGCCTCCAGATTAAAGCTCAAAATGGCTAACACGGTGTGGAAGAGAACTTTCATTATTTACCCTTGTTTACTTTTTAAAGTTGATCTATTCTCTATCTTAACACATTAAGGGTCTATGTCCCGTTTCTAACCTATCTATTTGTCCTCACTGCTTTCTTGTGCCCAGAATGCCTTATCCTCTAACCTCACCAACTAATTCCTACTCACTTTCAAACTTCAATTCAGATGAAAATTCCTCCATAAAGCCTTCTCTGAATCTCCTCAAACCTTGCACACAGTTTTCTCTATCCCCCACTATACTATGTGAACGACTAATTATAATGTTTATCCCATTGTATTTTGGTGTTGTTTATGAAGTCCATGCAATACTGTAAGTTCCTTAAAGATAAGTTAAGGACCTAGCACCAAAGTAGTTGCTGTCTTTGCTGAATGAAGGAATAAATAAAAAATAATGAATACAATACCTTTAATAACTATGAGTCTTTAAAAATCACATTTACTTAAGTGTTTCAACAATTAAAAACATTTAATAAAAAGTTTCCTCCATTCTTCTCCACGTGTATGTCCTAATAGCATATACTAAAATCAGGTTTGGTTACATAAACCAACATGTGCAATGATTGGGAAATAGAGTAGAACTTAAGAATAAATTATGAAAGCAGGTAGGCCAAATAGAAAGGTTTGTCAAGAGAGAAGGGAAAGATACACCCTGGCAACCAAAAAAACTTCATAAAACTACAGTTACAACACCCACAATTACTGTATTACATTTGTTCAACATATGTATCAGCCAAATTAGCAAGAACTCATCTGACCAAAAGGAGATTAGAAGATACCTTCTCCAGTTTAGGAGCTTCAGTGGATGCTTCATTGGTCCCCGGGCAAGTAAAAAGATAAATCTTTAAATAATAGTAATAAACTGACTATCTATGCAAGTTGGATTCTCAATTTCCTTTGGCCTAAAGAAATGTTTTCTTTCATGAACAATGGAAAGCTATACAGTATTTAAAGTCAAGGGTTTTGGAACATCTTCAAAATATATAAAACTAAAGTAACTCAGACTAATTAAATGAAAGCCAATATAAACTTTTAAAATCATAAACACAATTTTATTACTTTCAATATGACCTGAGTAGGGGGAAAAAAAAAAAAAACTATGAGGCCAGAAGTACTTAGAGGGTTACAAAAACTACATTTCAATCCATTGTTTGAAAATAGATGGGCTCTTCCACATCACTTAAAACTTTGTTGTTTCAAATCATTTACATGGAGGAAATTCACAAATATCCCTTGTCCTATCAGCTTAGCAAATCTTGTTTCTTATCATGTGGAAATAGTAACAAAACCTCCATCAATCTATTACTAATTGTGAATCACAGACTTATACTCATATAAGTATACCATACTTTATTATACCATGCATCTCTAGATCTATAGATTTCTCATCTCCTAAAGAAATACTTACTACCCACTTGATCAAAATTTAAATTATCACCCTAATTTTCTTTTTGTGCTTAAACCAAGTTCTTTGTTATACATCAAGAAATACTGATTAAGATCAAGATTTGTTATAGACTAATAATCCTTAAACTATTATTTCCTTACACTTCCTCCAAATATAGTTATTATTTCTCATTGTGGTTTTTTCCCGCTAGAAGGTTAATGTCCTCAGCTCTTGAATTTTCCCCATTAACCTTGCAATCTTGATCAGGTCCATTTCTAGAACTGAAAGATGTAACACCAACGCGGAGGGATCACTTGAGGTCAGGATTTCGAGACCAGCCTGGCCAACATGGTGAAACTCCGTCTCTACTAAAAATACAAAAATTAGCTGGGTGTGGTGGCATGCGCCTGTAATCCCAGCTACTTAGGAGGCTGAGGCAGAAGAATCACTTGAACCTGGGAGGCGGAGGTTGCAGTGAGCCGAGATCGCAGCACTGCACTCCAGCCTGGGCGACAGAGTGACCCTGTCTCCAAACAAACAAAAAAATAGCAAATGCAAAATTTTAAGAAGTTATATTTTCTTAAATTTTCCAAACTCCTAATAGTGATATTAACAATTTAATTCAACTAATCACTTGTGGACAATATCCCAAAAGTATCATGAAGCTAAGAATATTATGTCTCAGACTGTTTCATAAATCATTTTAAACGGGGAAAAAGGCCAAACGATTTACCGGTAAGCACCATCAATCAATCAACAAATGAAAAACTCTGGTTATACGTCCATGAAAATTTTGATTTCAAACTATTTATTACAGGGCGCGAGGCTGTGTTCCGCCTCCTCCAGCTCCTCCTGATAACCTTTTGGTTATCAGGCGTCAACTGGAGACAACAATCAGTTAAAATCCAGTAAATTTGGGGTTAATGAAACAAATGTTAAAATAGATATAATATTGATAAACATTAGCCAAGAGATGGTAACTACCTAACATTGATTAAGTAAGCAAATAATCAAGGCAGAGGTTTTAGCTTCCACTAATCTATAAAAGCAAGTGAAAATGCTTTGAAAATTGCATTTTTATGCAATTGTTTCAATATCATACCTTTGTATGTAACATTAAAAAGCTCATGATTACTTCATTTCAAAATTCAGATGAGTCACAGTGCTTTCTACGCAGGAATTGGATGTGAATCAAAATTGTAAACATGCACTTGCTTGGTAGTCAAAAAGTGAATGTGGACAGATACAATGTTCGTTGACACAGTAAAACATAATCATAAAATGCATCCTGTGTTTTTAAAATAGTTACTTCCTGTTAACACAGTTCAGGAAACATGCCATCTACCCTCCTCTCCTGGAAAATCTCAAAATTATACTAATCCCATTCCTCTTCTTACAGATAGGCCACTGAAACCTGGAGTCATTACTGATACAGTTATCAGGATTACACCCTCAGAGCCACGATGGTTTCAGGGATACTAGAACCTGAAAATAACAAAAAAAAAAAAAATTTCCAACTCAAATCTAGACAATAAAACTAACATATAAACTGGAATAAAACGCAGGAAATGCCGATTTTAATACCTGGTATGAGGCTGACCATTAAGGCATCCATCAAAAAAGTTTGGAATGTATGAATGAATGACTGCATGAAATTGGCAGGATTTCATTCATTTCAAAAGCTCCAAATTCAGGAACCACACTGAGATATCAGGACGCCACAGCTGAAACTAAAACTCATGAAGGGTAAATGCAACATAACTGCACGTCTCCACGCGTTAGCTGCTGCGAAAATTTCAAAACATACATCTAACATACTCTTTCTTCAAGTAATTGCCGCAAGTGCGGACGGAGCCAGAGAACTAGGAGACTGAAAACAGGCCCTGCTCACCCATAAGCCTTTGCATTATAAGTGGACATGATCTGAGTGAGTCACCGGGAATGAGAAGGAGACAGTCACCCCAGGCCAGGCAGGACGCGGCCAGAATCTCCTGCTCTGCCCCCAACTAGGGAACCGGTCGAAGGAGAGTGGGACGACTGCAACCTGCTGCAGCTAAGTATGCAAGGATCGCGCCGACCGGCTTCCGAGTCGAGATCCCACTAAGTCCCACCGCAGTCACCACAGCCAGCCCTGCCCAGGTATCTCGGAGCTCCGTAACCTCAGAAGGCCTAGTCCTCCAGAAGCTGAGAGCCCCAGCAGGACCGGACGAGGGCAAAAAGCCCCCTCCCGGCTGCCCCTCGCCGCGACGCGGCCCTGCCGCCACATGCTCCACTGCCCCGTCTCCCAGCTCAGCCCCAGCCCCGCAGGGCCTCAGCCGCCCTCCATGCAAGCCGACCGGGCCGCAGGCGGCGCGACCCGGCGGCTCCCGAGCAGGGGTGCAGCGGTGGCAGCCCGCCGCCCCGCACGGCTTACCTCCCTTCTGCCACAAGCTCAGCCCAGCGCCGGCTGCCTGACGTGGCCCGCCCCGCCGCCTCGAACGCCCGGGGGCGGGGACTGCAGGAGAGAGCCAATGGGCTGCATATCGCGAGGCCCTGTTCCGCCTCCTCCGGCTGGGGCCCGCCCTCCCCGGCTCGCGCGCACGCGCGTCTAAGGCCCGGGCCGCGCACTGCGGTTGAAAGGCGGCGTGGGCGGCGGACCCGCGCTCTGCAGCCGAGCTGGTGCGGGGAGGGCTGCGCGCGGGGGCTGGCTGTGGAGCAGCACCGCAGTGAGGAGTTAGCCCAAGGAAAATCAGATTAAAGGAAACTGCCTAGAGATGCCACTGCAGCGTGCCCGGGTAGTCCTGTTGGCAGCCTGCCCCTATGCAGCTTTTGGCAATACAGAACAGCTTCTTGGTATTTGGAGATTTTGTTTCTCGGGGGAAATAAATAATACTGATAACATTAAGGATTCAGAAAATTTAAAGCAGACAGCCGACTTGCCGCGAAGACGCTTCGTTCTTCGCCTAATAGCTACTTGGTGTCTTTACTTCATTTGGCCAACACATAACACTGCAGCTCTCCACGCCACTGTGGTATATCCACTTGTTAGATAGTCCTGAGGTAGTTCTAGCCCAAGTGTTTCTGCTGATCTAATCTGGGGGGAATTGGCGCGAGTAATTATTCTGTTACGATTTTGCGCAATACTTACTGAATGATAAACATGTATTTTCTCGTGGGGCGGGGCAGGGGCTCCCACGTGAGAAGGCTGTAACAGACAGACAGCAGCCACGATGAAACACGCTGAAAAGAGCCAGCAGAAAAAAACGAGGAGAGACTGGTATGACGGAGTGGAATTCCGGTTGTGGATGACAGAATGGAAATTTTACGCAAGATGAAAGAGTTAAGACAAATTACTCTAAAAATATCTGACTTAGTTGTTTCTAAACCCTGGGGCACCCTTAGGAAAAAATAAAAATAAAAAAACAAGTGCCTGGGCCTCATCACTTGGTTGAAAAAGGTCTGCTGCCAGATCTTGACATTGATATTTTTCTAAGTTTCCAAAGTCATTTTAATGTGTAGACAAGAAGTTCTGTTTCTCATTTGTAGGAAGAATTTGGTTCCCCATCACCTCAGAAAAGTAATTATGTATCACAGACCGTTAACAGTTTTCCCAATAACCAACTATGCATTCACCCTCTAAGAATTTATCTAAATTAATCTTGGGGCCAGGTGGGGGGGCTCACACCTGTAATCCCAGCACTTTGGGAGGCCGAGGAGGGCGGAGTTCAAGACCAGCCTAGGCAACGTGGTGAAACCCCATCTCTACTAAAAAAAACATACAAAAATTAGCCCGGCGTGGGGTTGCGCGCCTGCAGTCACGGCTACTCTACTCAGGAGGCTGAGGCAGGAGAATCGCTTGAACCCGGGAGGCGGAGGTTGCAGTGAGCCGAGGTGGCGCCACTGCACTCCAGCCTCTGATGGAGTGAGACTGTCACAATCAATCATTCAATCAATCAATATTGAACCTACTTAAAGTTATTCAACCTCTGTTATCCTTTGCTTCAAAGGAGTTTTATAAGGCTTATAATTCCCTTTTTATGGACTTTGATGATACTCTCTTTCAGTCTTCCAAATGCACCAGTATTTCTTTTAGGACTATTTTAATATTTTTTCTTCTATTCCTATATTTCTTGAGGCTCATTAGTCAAAATTATAATTAAACACATAACTCTGTAAACAGCGCTGTTCTAAGTATATAAATTTATTTAATCCACAGAACAACTTTATGAGGCAGTTACAGTTATTACCCACATTTTATAAATAAGGAACCTGAAGTACAGCAAGTGAAGCATCTTGACCAAGGTCATGCACCTACCTAATGGCCAGGCCAAAACTTGAATCCAAGCACCCTGGTGCTCAATGAGTAAACGTACTGCCTCTGTTGTAGAAAGCCTGGTTTTAGGAACACACAGGGAAATGCCCATTTAAAGAATGATATTGAGTCTACTTTTGACACCGTCTTATTATGTTCAGGCTGCTATAACAAAGTATCTTAGACTGGGTAATTTATAAACAATAAAAATTTATTGTTCACAGTTCTGCAAGCCGGGAAGTCCAAGCAAGGTGCCAGCAGATTTGGAATATGGTGAGGTTCCATTCCTCATGGATGGTGCCTTCTGTGTATCATCACAGGATAGAAGGGGAAATAGATTACCTGAAGCGTCTTTTATAAGGGCACGACAGGAGTCCTCATAACCTAATCACCTCCCAATGGCCCCACCTCTTAATCCTGTTGCATTGGAGTTTAGGCTTCAACACATTAACTTTGGGGGACACAAACATGTAGGCCACAGCAGACACCTATCCTAGATTCAGATTTTGGGCAGGATTGAGAAACTTGACCATTAAACTTGGAGCCTAGAACCGATTTGACTGCTTTTACTGCAGATCTAGGGTTAAGCTGGAAGTCCATGGGCTCACCCCCTCCTTCTGGGGTATACTCCTTCCATACAGGAACTGCAATTCAGCAGGGATCATTTCACCTTTTAATTTATTTAATCTAATGCTATACCAGGCACTGTGGTAGGCACAGGAGATACCAAGATGAAAGACGTATTCTAGAGCCTTATGGAGCCAGCTCATTCTGGAGACCAAGTCAGCAGCCACCAGATTTATTTTGACAAGACTAGAGAGATAGGCTTTTAGAACTAGAAAGGATCTCAGAAGTTGCCAGTTCATGACAAAGTTTTCTCTGACAAATTCTGAAGTTAAAAAATATGGACAATGTATTAAGTTTTCATAAAAATAAATTTATTCAATTTAAAGGACTGTCCTTTTCCTGAGATTATGCTTTGTTCTTTTGTTTTGTTTTAATGTTAAAAGTACCCTCTCAGGCCGGGCATGATGGCTCACACCTATAATCCCAGCACTTTGGGAGGCCAAGTGGGAGGATAACTTGAGGCCAGGAGTTCAAGACCATCCAGGGCAACAGTGAGGGCCCCCGCCCCATCTCTATTAAAAAAAGAAAATAGAAGTTTTCTCATATGAAATGATAATAGGTTATACTTGTTGGGAATTTTATTTTAGTAAGCTTAAAGTCTTATGTTGGAACTCAAAATTTTTTTACGCTTCACTGATTTAATCTAATCAAGCCAATTACACAGAAGGGAACTAAAATTCTAAAAGGATACAGGTTCATCTTCAATTCTTCAATGTCATATGACTAATTGCTTTTTGTGGGGGGCTGTGGTTGGGCAGGGCTGTTTTTTGTTTTTGGCTTTGTTTTGGTTTGAGGCAGGATCTTACTTTGTCACACAAGCTGGGGTACAGTGACACGATCATAGCTCACTGCAGCCTCACCTCCTGAGCTCAAGCAATCCTCCCACCTCAGCTTTCCAAGTAGCTGGGTCTGCAGGCACACACCACAGTGTTCGGCTAACATACACATATATTCTACTACTACATTCTAATAAATAAATGTATATATAGAAATGAAGTCTCACTATGCTGTCCAGGCTGGTCTTGAACTCCTGGCCTCAAGTTATCCTCCCGCCTCGGCCTCCCAAAATGCTGGGATTATAGGTGTAAGCCACCATGGCTAGCTGCTAATATGTTTTAGAAGGACTAAAACCCTGGTTCCCTGACTCCTAGTCCTATCCTCTTTCTACTGCATACCTATTGAATAGCTTGCTTTATGCACTGGGATATAAATTTTTAAAATTTAAATTTTTTTTTGAGACAGAGTCTTGCTCTGTTGCCAGGCTGGAGTGCAATGACGCAATCTCAGCTTGCAACCTCCACCTCCTGGGTTCAAGCAATTCTCCTGCCTCAGCCTCCCAAGTAGCTGGGACTACAGGCGTGCGCCACCATGCCCAGCTAATTTTTGTATTTTTGGTAGAGACGGGGTTACACCATGTGGGCCAGGATGGTCTCTATCTCTTGACCTCGTGGTGGGCTCACCTCAGCCTCCCAAAGTGCTGGGATTACAGGCATGAGCCATCGCACCCGGACAATAACAACAAATTGTAAAAGAAATTAAGGTGAAGGCCGGACAAAAAACATTAGAACAGGTTCTAATAGTCCACCTATATTCTTAGCCAGGAGGAAAAAGATTCTGCCTGCCTAATTAATCACGTTAACTAAATAGCTTACTTTCCTTCTGAGCTGAAAGCAAAGAATGGAGCCTGAAGGAATGTAGCTACAATTTATAGTTAAATTTTGATTGAGCTATAACTTAGGAAAGATCAGTTTAACTTAGTTGGGCGAACCTACATCTGATGCAGATGTTTGTAGCTCTCTACAGCTGGTTCACTGACTTTCAGCCTGAGGAATATTTCTGAGAAACAGCAGAGAGAGGGTGGTCCTTCATAGGGGTTACAAGAGAATCACCTTTATTCATGTAACCTGTGGAGGGTGCGCTAGACTTAATTCCAGAAGGCCCAGCTCAGACGCAAATTTCACTTGAAGGATTAAAACACCTTTCAAATCTGTATTTTCTAGACATTGTACATGCAAAACTCTGCCTTTTAAATATTTAAGACAAACTACCGTCTTTAAGAGGTAGGCAGGCAGATAGTATTTCTGTTCAACTCCTTGTATTATTTCCACTGAAGTAGTTAAGCAGTTCTCTATTGTATAAGACCCTTTAGATAAGCACACATTTTGAAGTCAGTGTAGAAGGGCCTACTGACTTTAACAACAACAAAAAAAAAGAGAGTAAGAAAAATGTGCCCACTCCCAAGTCATTAACAGAGCTGAAAAGAATATGCTAACAAAAAAAAGACACTGTAGTCTGAATCCTGTACTGTAAGGAAGGTCATGTCACCCACAGCATCAGGAGAGAGACACAAAGCCTTGAACTCAGGCCCAAGCATGCTGGGCTGGCTCAACACGCCCACCCATTCATCATCAGGCACGAAGACTGGGAGGAGAAATTCAGTACTAAATCACAGAGCTCCAGTGTCAGCACATCACAGAAAGCAATCTATTAGATTTAATTAGATATACGAGTCTCCAATGGCTCCCCATTTCTTTCTAAGTAAAAGCGAAAGTTCTTACAAAAGCCAACAGGGCCATACATGATCTCCCTCCCCTGCACCACACACCTCCATCCCCAACACACACACACACACACACACACACACACACACACACACACACACACACATACACAGACTGTCTGTTGCCCCTTTGACCTTGTCTTCTACACTCCTGCCCAGCTCACTCACCCGGCCTCCTGGCTGCTGCAAGATCTTGGCATTTCTCCCCAGATATCTTTGTGACTCATTCCATCAGATCATTCAAGTCTTTGCTGAGATGTTACCTTCTGGATAAGGCCTACTCTATCAGTCAGGGTCCCAGCAAGAAACAGATGGTACAATCAAACTAGGAAACATTGAAGAGTTTAATAAAAGACTATAAACAGAGGTATGGGCAGGGATTAAAAAGATCACAAGGGAGACGCAGTAACATTGGGGCCCCCAAATCACGCCTAAGCTGAAAGCAGAAAGGAGAGAGTGTAGTTACAAAACACAAAGAAGCTGTGTTTGGGGCATTTGGTCACGTAACACAGCCAGTCCACAGTGATGCTACAGGGAGGGGGTTCAGGGAATTACTATCTTCACTTCCCTCATTCTCCTCTCTCTTGATCTCCTGAAGCAAGGGAAGCCTGTGCTGCAGTTATAGGTCGGCCTCCTGCAGCACTGTGAAGGGGCAAAAAGAGAATATCTGACACACTTACCTTGGTCACCTATAATAGAGATTGCTGTGTAACACACCACCCCAGAACTTAGTGGCTTACAATCACAAACAATTATTCATTCTCAGGATCCTGTGGTTTCCTAGGCAATTCATATTTAGGCTGGTTTTGCTGGTCCCTCCTGGATCTCTTTACATGTCTGCAGTCAGCTTAAAGCTTGGCTGGTCTAGGATGGCCTCATTCACATGCTTGGTAGTTTGCTCAAGGTCAGCTTGGGCAATAAGAATGATGTAGCCATGTATCTCTAATAACTACAACCACTTTTCTTAATAACAAGACAATATCAGATCCTTACTAATATTGACATACATTATTTCAATGTAATCCCCATGCTAAAAATAATCCAAATTTTTATGTGACTCAGTAATGTTCCCAGCACCAAGGGATAGAATATGTTTGATCTAAGCCAGCAATTTCTTTCTGAAATGGACCAGAGAGTAAATTTGCCTCAAGTCTCTTTTTGTTCTTCCTGATATGTTTTTAATTATTGGAGGTGCTGAGAGGATTCAATAAAGCAAAGGATATATAAAAACTTCAATATATCTTCATATACACACACACATACATACATTTTCTTTATCCAATCATCTTTTGACAAACAGGTTGTTTCCATATCTTGACTACTGTGAATAATGCTGCAGTGAACAAAAGTGCAGATATCTCTTTGGGATGCCAGGTTCATTTCCTTTGGAGGTATACTCAAAAGTGGGATTGCAGTATCAGATATAGTTCTATTTTTTAGTATTTTGAGAAACCTCCACACGGTTTTCTATCATGGCTCTGCCAATTTACATTTCCACCAACAGCATGTAAGTGTTCCCTTTTCTCCACATCCTTAACACTTGTTACCTTTTCTAACAGGTTTGAGGTTATATCTTATTGTAGTTTTAAATTTGTATGATGATTACTGATGTTGAGCATTTTTTCCTATATCTATTGGCCATTTGTATGTCTTCTTTGGAGAAATGTCTATCAGGTCCTTAGTCCATTTTTTAATAAGGTTATTTGGTTTTTTTGCTATTAAGCTGAATTCTTTGTATTTTCTATATTAACCCTTTATCACATAAATAGTTGGCAAATATTTCTCTCATTCTGTAAGTTGTCTCTTAATTCTGTTGTTTCCTTTGCTGTGCAAAAGCTTTTTGGTTTGATGCAATCCCACCTGTCTATTTTTGCTTTCGTTGCCTGTGCTTTTGGGGTCATATTCAAAAAATCATTGCTCAGAACAAGGTCAAGAAGCTTTCTTCCTATCTTTGCTTCTAGTAATTTTACAGTTTTAGATCTTATGTTTGAATATTTAATCTGTTTTAGTTGACTTTATCACATGGGGTGAGGTAAGGGTCCAATTTCATTCTCCTACATGTGAATATCCAGTTTTCCCAACACCATCTAATAAAGAGTCGATCCTTGTGTGTTATTGTTTAAGATCAGTTGACCATAGATACATAGATTTATTCGTGGGCTCTCTGCTCTGTTCCATTGGCCTATCTGTATATTTTTATGCCAGTACCATACTGTTTTGATTAGTGTAGCATTGTCATGTACTTTGAAATCAAGAAGTATGATACCTCCAGCTTTGTTCTTCTTGTTCAAGATTGCTTTGGCTATTCAGGGCCTTTTGTGGTTTGTTATAAATTTTATGTTGTTTTTTTCTATTTCTTAAATAGTATTATCAAAATTTTTTAGGGATTGTATTGAATCTGTAGATCATGTTGTGTGGTATGAACATTGTAATGGTATTCTTCCAATCCATGAACAGAGGATGTCTTTCCATTTATCTGTGTCTTCTTTAATAAATGGATTTTGATGTTTGAAAATTTCCTTTCCACTTGCATTGAAATCCAAAAATGCTATTGGAACTTTAGTTTGATTTTGGAAAATATATCTCCTGCAAATGTTTGTGGGAATGGAGCTCTTGCTTCTTTTTAAAACTTTGACAGCACAGGAACTATATTAAGCAGGTTGACATTACTTGTGATTGAAACAGCATTAGTTTTTGTTAAAATGACTTTACCATAATGTGAGTTTTGGACATATGCTCTGTTTGCCTTGTAATTTTATATTGAGAAACATGATGAAGTCTGCCACACAAGCTAATTTTCAAAGCCACTCATGTTCAATAACAGTAATTGAGGGAGGTTCTTCTCATTCCAGAAGTCTCAGGCCTGAGTTTTAAAAATTGCAACAAAACTTTACCGCTGCTAAGCCATAAAACTGCTGTGTGATAGGGCAAATCGGGATATTCAGCTTCTATTTTTGACAAAAGTTTGCAGAATTGATCATTAAGTCCACCAGAGTAAATGAAGTTCACCATTGGAACTTCTGGGTCAGAAACACACAATAGATTCAAACACTTTCTGCAAATTACCTGCTGATGAACAGCATAGTAAGTAACAATGGGCTTTAAGTCTCTCACATTTTCACAAGCTTTATTAATTTGTCCAACTAAGCTTTTTCTTCTCCATACACATTTTTATCACCATAAGTTATAAGGCATCTTAACAGATTCTACTTCAGGTTTTATTAATGTTTTCCCAACATCTTTGAAAATATATTTGCCCATAGTTGTTCTACGCAGACGATTCATAGAGGCTAATTCTTCAGTGACTTTAAACTCAGCGTTGACTCCTTGAATAAGCAACTGAGCACTATTGGTAATACCTGTCAACTCATCAAGAGCCAAGGAAAACCACTCAAAATCATCTACCTTGTTTTGTACATGACTATTGATGTTGCTCCCAGTGTCTTCAACTCTTCAAACAACAGATCTCACTGAAAGGTTAATCGTCTGAAACAAGTTTATTTTCTTGGGAAAAAATTTTTTCAGCTGCTGTGATCAAACATGATTTAATTAACTCATCATCAGTAAACAGCTTTCTTTGCTTGGCCAACAAAGAAGCCACTCAGAAAATTACTTTGGTTTCAACTCTTTTGTTATTTTTGTGAAGAAATTCTGCTGTGATGACGTTTTCCATTGTAAATTTTCACATTTTCTGACCATTGTCTCCCTGTGAGTTGGGAATATTGTGATGAATCTGGGAATATTGATGTATATTATCTTTTAGTACAGGTATAGTATCACTGCACAATAAACACATACTTTGTCATCCAATTTGATAACAAAATAATCCACAATCCACTGTGCCTTAAAAGCATGACACAAAAAGTTCACTTTTCTCTTCTTTTCTTGTTTTGACATGATGGCTATGCTCTGGTATATATTTTTATGTAAAAACTATTCTTAGCTTGAAAACATTCTAAAATTAGGTGATCATCCAGTTTTGACCCACAGACTATAGTTTGCCTACCCCTAACCTAAGCCAACCATGGCTCTCTTCTTCCCCTTTGCCAGATACTTTCCCAGACTTCCTTACAGCAAGTCATGGCCATGTGGTTCAGGGCTGGCCTATGAGACTTAGAGAACTAGATTTATAGAAGAAAAACTTTTTTAACCAGAAAAAGAGGGTCTTACAAGGAAGAAGTCAATTGCCCTTGACTGTGGCTCTTGCATTTTTGCAGAATATGTACCACAGAAGTAATTTGTTCTCTTGCTGCTTCCATAGGTATAGTTCTGCCCCAACTCTACCCCATCTCACCCTGGATTCTGAGACAACCTCTTATCCCAGGAACTTATTAAGTAGGTATTGGGGGGAAATTTTGAAGGAATCTATTCAATCAGGCTTCTTAAATTTCAGTCCTTATAACCATGGGGCAGAAGAAAAGCACAGCTATCATTTATTCAACAAATATTACTGAGTAAATAGTATCAGCTCAACGCCATGCTAAACACTGATTATACAGAGCAAAGTCAAATAAAATCATCATCGTCCTCCAGACATTCAAAGAACACATGGCCTACTTTCTCCAACTTAGCAGGCAAAGCTGACCAGTATCTTTTGATGCAACTTCATGAGAGTTGTTCCAAAGTGGCACCACAGCCTGGACTTCAAAGATGTGCTCTCAGCAAGGGTTGCTAGGGGTCTTAAAAAATTCTCTTCTGCTTACATTCTCTGTCAAGAATTAGGCCTTTGGAACATCTTTATAATATCCAGGCCTAATTGTCCAGTGGTGCGCTGACAGATGTTTAATTAGCAGCTCTTGGTGGAAAGAGATAGGGGAGAAGCTGATGTGTAGTGTTTGCCAACTTCCATGGTATAAATACAGTACTCCCACATGGTCAATTTCCATATGGAGTTGGGAAGAGGTGTACACTTACACATAATTGTATAATATTTCCACCATAGAGACAATAGCATAAATAACCTCAATAGCATAAATAATAATAAAATGTAGAAAAATAATTCAGAAGTAATAAGCTTAGAACATCTAATATATTTATTTCTAATACTAATATAAGATATTTAATTGTAAGTTGATATAATTTGCTTTTTAATAAGGACTGTGTTTAACAAGTAGTTTGCAAAGTTCCTGAAATTTAACAATTGGCTCTTGTGACAAACTGACTGCAACATACCACTACAGATAGACCCAGTGCCTCGCTTCTTATCCAAACTGGTAGCATAAGGTCTTGATTTAGCCTTTTTACCTTAAAGAACAATTGACAAATTTTCAACTAATTAAGAGTAAAGAGGAATGTAGAAAAACTTTTACAACTTGATAATTAAAAAACAATCTAATTAAAGAATTTTATTAATTAGGAGTCGGGCATGGTGGCTCACGCCTGTAATCCAAGCACTTGGAGAGGCCCAGGTGGGCAGATCGCTTGAGCTCAGGGGTTCAAGACCAGCCTCGGCAACATGGTGAGACACCACGTGTGGCACGCACGTGTAGTCCCAGCTACCTGGGAGGCTGAGGTGGGAGGACTGCTTGAGCCTGGGAGGCAGAGGTTGCAATGAGCCGAGATCACGCCATCACGCCACTGCACTCCAGCCTAGGTGACAGAGTGAGACCCTGTCTCAAAAAAATAATAATAATTAATTAAGTATAATTAAATAAAAATGTATAGATATTTCTTCAAAGTAGATATACAAGTAGCTAGTAAATAAATGAAAAGATGCTCAATATCATAACCCCCAGGAGAATGCAAATCAAAGCCACAGTTAGATACCACTACCAGGATAGTTATAATAAAAAAGACAATAAATGATGCCGATGCAGAGAAATTAGAACCCTTACACATTGTCGATGGAAATGTAAAAATGGTGCACTGTTATGGAAAAACAGTTCAACAGTTCCTCAAAGTGTTAAGCATAGAGTTCCGTATGACCTAGCAATTCCAATCCTATGTATATATCCTAGAGAAATTAAAACATAAACCCACATAAAAGCTTGTATTAAAATGTTCATAGCAGCATTATTTGTAATAGTCAAAAAATAGAAAAAACCAAGGGTAAAAACAAACAAGAGTAACTAGGCCTCCTCTTCCATTTCTGTCTATACTGGCCAAAATCTTCCCCAAAATACAATTTATCCCCCTACCATTCTGGAGTGGTTTTCAGACATTCATTGCCACTGCATACTCCAAGCAATGGGAATAAAATCTGAGTATCTTTACTGCTGGTACTGCTAAAAATGTCCATTGGCTTCCAAAATGAATACAAATTGATGCCTAATTATCAGTTTACTTCAATAAGTTATGTATTAGAAACTATTAGTTTATTTAAATAAAAGCAACTTGTAAATAGATTTAAATCCATGGAACTGAAGTTTGGTGAGTCCTGTTGGTGACCTAGATTGTTTAACCAGCTAAACAATAATATTTTAAGTAACATAAGTTTTTCCTGTGGTTCTTTGGTTATTTTTAAAAATAATTTATTTTTGGCCGGGCGCAGTGGCTCACGCCTGTAATCCTAACACTTTGAGAGGCCAAGGTGGGTGGATCACCCAAGGTCAGGATTTCAAGACCAGCCCGGCCAATGTGGCGAGACCCTGTCTCTACTAAAAATACAAAAATTAGCTGGGCGTGGTGGCGGGCACCTGTTGTCCCAGCTACTCTGGAGTCTGAGGCAGGAGAATGGCGTGAGCCCGGGAGGCAGAGCTTGCAGTGAGCCTAGATTGCGCCACTGCACTCCAGCCTGGGCGACAGAGTGAGACTCCATCTCAAAAATAATAATAATAATAATAATTTATTTTTAAGTTATAACTTATTGATTTCATTTGTTTAACTTAAATATGTGTTGCAGAAAGGCCATAGGGCTTGATATTTATCAATAAAGATGCTCAATAGTCAAACCAGCTCCCATAGCTTTGAAAAATTAATTTTCAATGGAAAACTTTATAAAAATTATACCATACTTCTCACTTCTTCTACAGAGTATGCCAATTATAATTCAACCTTCTGAATGACATTGCAATGCACTTGTAGTTGAATTTTAAAAACTGCAATATGCCAGCAGGACCTTTGGAACAGTCTTCTATAAAGTTTGCAGGAGTTTTACTGATTCATTTTTCCTTATTTGTTGCCTTCACACAAAAGTAGAGTATGGTTCCCTATCCCATGTACACACTATGGAGTTATGTTGTCTTTATAAGCTACAGTCAGTGGTGTGCTGGTAAACAGGCTCTCCAGGGAGGAAAAAAAAAAAAAAACTACAACGGTTGCTGATTTCTGTGGTGTAAATATTCCTATTACGGCCAAATTCAAACTATGAACCTGATGTCCCTGAATATGGAATTTGAAAGAGGTGTACACAATTAGCTCTCAGGAGCCTGTACAAGCCAGCGGCAGCACTCCATAGTGACAGCTATGATTTAGGTGTCTGTGTATGTCAGATTAGTTTTGAGAGAGTCGGCACATCACATCTTCAAAGGTGACTGTATTAGGGAGCAATACAGGAAACTTTTTGCCCTTTTTTTGCCTGCCAGGAGCATAATCATTTGCCCCAGCATCTGTTAAACAGTAACTCATTTTCTCTTTTCTCTCTGCATTCTTTCTTCTTTTTAATCTCTCCTCTTTTATTACATGTTACCATACTAATCTATCTTGTGAGAGAATGATGCCTCCCTTGCAAGGACGGCCAATAGGTGGAAACTGAACAGTCACCATATACACACAGATATTCTGCTCTCCTGTAGTGCACATTTGAATCTGGCTGCTCAAATCCTCCTGCATTCCACTTAGAGAAAGCTTGTTCTGGGCTGAAGCCATTCTTCAAGCTTAAGGATTTTAGAAGACTGGTATGAGATAACAGGATTGTCCACACAATAATTGGAGAAGTGAAATTTGTTTTCACTAATACTAAGGCATATTCCAGTCTCAAGAGCTTTTTCCTCTTTATTTTAAGGCTTCCAGTTCTTGAAATTTGCCACCGAGAGTTCAATATATAGATGTTTGTATCTATGTAATTTTATCTACGGTGCACATTTCAATATAAGACTAAGAGTTCTAATTGGCCTGACATATTTATAAGGTTGTATGTATCCATGACACAATCCGTCATTTATATTATATTATATCCATGATATAATAATTTCATTGTCTTATTACAGAAGATCAGAAATGTAATAAAATATAAGACTAAAAATATGTCTTTCTAAGGAGAGAATGTTCTGTAGACAATCAGAGTCTCTTATACAGTTAGTATTTACTAGCTGGGATTTAAAATTTTTACATAATAAGGATTGCTATTTTTTAATATCAAGTTAATAGAGTTGTTAGAGGTACAACTCAGTTAATGCCCAAAGACAATCCAAAAATCATTCAGTTCTTCAGAGTGCCTATTGTGGGCAGAGTGGTTAAGATCTTAGACTTTGGAATCATAGAAATAGGGATACAAATTTCAGACGTTAACCAACTCTGTGACCTTGGGCAAATTAACTCTCTAAGCTTCCGGTTCCTTATTATAAAATACAGATGATATGGTTTGGCGCTGTGTCCCCTGGCCACCCCACCCCAAAGCTCATCTCAAATGGTCATCCTCACGTGTCTGTCAAGGGAGGGACTTGGTGGGAAGTGATTGGATTATGAGGGTGGTGGTTTCCCCCATGCTGTTCTCGCGATAATGAATGCATTCTCACAAGATCTGGTGATTTAAAAGTGTGACACTCCCTCCCTTTCTCTATTCTCTCTCCTGCTGCTATGTAAGATGTGCCTTGCTTCCCCTTCACCTTCTACTATGATTGTAAATTTCCTGAGGCCTCCCCAGCCATGCAGAACTGTATCAATCAAACTTCTTTTGTTTATAATTACCCAGTTTCAGGTGGTATCTTTATAACAGTGTGAGAACAGACTAATTCAAGAGATACTAATGATATTTACCTCACTAGGCTTAAATGAGGATTTATTGATCATTAGGATTGATTTTTAGGATTAAATGAGATTATTCATATAAAGCCCTTAACCAGTATCTAAATTTAATCTACCCATTCATTACTTCAACAAATAAATACTTACTGTGCACCAGGCCTTGGGCCCCTAATAAGAGTTCAGTAACTATAGATATTATTGTTGTTAATGCTAAGTTCTTACTATGTAGAAAGTGCTCTAATAAACACCATGGGTTAAAAAGATGCATAATAAACCCATGCTGCCATCATAGGGCTTGCAAAATTTTAAATGACTTTTAATTTTATTTTCTAATACTTTTTCAGTTCTCACAATTCCTCAATGATTAACCATTTCATTTGCAAATATCTCAGAATCTGGGCTTCATGAGTATATGACCTATGTAGTCATGTAGGAACCCACACTAAGAAAGTTCCTGTGCTTGCTTCAATGCTCTGCTGTTGCTTTCTTGACATTTTCAGTAATGCTTACATGGGCGCCCTGTATTATCTTTTTCTTTTTCTTTTTTTTTGAGATGAAGTCTTGCTCTGTCACCCAGGCTGGAGTGCAGTGGCACAATCTTGGATCACTGCAACCTCTGCCTCCTGGGTTCAAGCGATTCTCATGCCTCAGCCTCCTGAGTAGCTGGGATTACAGGGTGCTTACCACCATGCCCAGCTAATTTGTGTATTTTCAATAGAGACAGGTTTCCCCATGTTGGCCAGGCTGGTCTTGAACTCCTGATCTCAAGTGATCTGCCCGCCTCGGCCTCCCAAACTGCTGGGATTACAAGCATGAGCCACAGCACTGTGCCATGTTTTCTTTTTTCACTGGCCTTACAATTTATGAAGCAACACATATCCAATCTTGACGAGGATAAGTTTCTGGGCCCAAGAATCCTGAATTATTTTAGAATAACCAAGTTTTCACCAAGTGCTTCTCAGGCTTCTGGTTTTTTGCTATTTTGGTTTGTGCTGCTTTGAAAATAAGGAACAGAATCCCTTCAAACTAGCTCAATTAAAGGAAGGGCTAGTGTAAGGAATTAGTGACAAAATAAATCTAAGGAGGGCCTCTCTCCAGTGCCGATCCTCCCCTTGCACAACCCTGAGAATGAGCACCCCCTTAAATTTTTTTCACCCTAGGACCTCACTTGCCTTACTCCAAAGACCAGCTATGGTCCTTGGTGAAGCACAAGGCCCCCAAGAAGGAAGAAACCAGGGAATTAAATATCCAAGAGCAGGGAAATAAATATTCTTTCTCTTCCATCCTCCGGTCTCCAAACAGGACTTCCTATGGAAGTCACAGGGCAAGGAATCACCTTTGATGCAGTCCTTTGAAAATGTCAGCCCAGAGATGGGTGGGGAGGCTAACCGTGAACCTAGAGGAGAAAACGGGGAGCGTGCCACACAGCCTGGGAACAGGATGGGCAATAAAGTTTGTCTGGTGTGATCACCACTCCTTATGCTATGCATTTTGTTTCCGTCCAGAATGTTGTTACTTTTGAGCTTTGCTACTTCATTCCTATTATTTGTTTTAAAGGTTTCTACAGATAAGTCAGGATTCAATCTCCTGACAAGGCTAATACAAGCTGTAGGCCAGTTCATATGTGGAAGGTGACCTCCTCAGAGACAGCCATTTACCTGGCTCCTGACAGATTCAATTACGACTAATGGATCTATTCAGTGGCCATCATGCCCTGTAATCATACCATTTAGGATTTGTACAATCTTTATAGCCTATCCTAATTTCTCTTCTTTTCCTCCCCCTGTAATTTTTTGATGTAGATGTTGCCTGATATCAGAACATAAAAAATGGAAATAGGAAAACAATAGTTAGCTGTTTGTAACTGCTTCTAACCACAAGGAGTATTTTATTGCACAGTATAATAATGCTAGTAAATAAAGCAACTTGCTTATATTAATAAACATTTATAAAATGTTTCCACTTGATTCACATTTCCATCTGAATGGGTTAAGAGGATGTCCTTCACTTTGCTTCTCTTTTTGTATCTAGTTGTTAAAATGGAGTCATTAAAGATCATATAATTCTGGGGTCATTTTCCCCCTTATGATTAAACGTTAAAAGTATTCAGCAATGAACTCTCAAATAGAGGAAAACAAAGGGAAATTTGTCATTACAATTTCACACTTCACTCTTAAAAATACAAAAATGAGATGCAAACAAAACCAAATTTCTTCTCTGCCGTATGAAATGTGGAAATGTATTTATTTACAGGAAACTACAATTAAATTGTATTTCATTCAGAAATTATTAGAGATAATAGATCTTCTTTCAGCAAATGTAAAAGAATACTTCTATTTCCCTGTCCAAACACGCTTAAACCTTTTCTAGTGGCATCTATAATCAACTAAAAAAAAAATTATGATTCAACTCCACTTCTGTTATCTACACCAGAATGATCTTTTTGATGGTATGCAAAGAAGAAAGAATCCCGTCTTCATTAGGGAGGTTTTTTTTCATATCTGGTTTTTATTTTTGTTGATGTTGCTGTTGTTTTTAATTTCTTAATTCTTTGGAAATCCAAGGTTTTCCACGCATAATCTCACCACAGACTGACCATGAAGCAGTATTATTCCTGTCACAATAGTGACCATGTCAGAAAGGTCTTCAGGTGTCAACTGTAAAGCACCTAAAAGATACTTGGAATTTCTGCAGTGGTTTCCTGGGTAATTCCTCTCTGTCCTCGCAGGGATGTTCCTGAACCCCAGGCTAATATTGCAGCATTAGAAAGAAAGATTCCTTTGTCAGGGATGTGATCAAAAAGTGGGATTAATTTTGGATGAGGTTAAAACAAAGGAGATCTGCCATTTATTGGGTACTTTTTCTTTTACAATTTAAATTCCCAATTATAAAATTATATGGCACAAACTTGTCCTCTTCCTTCTGGGTTAATGCATTTGTAGACTTTGCTTTAGCTTTAAGACTGCCAACAAGATTTATAAGTCCATTTCAATCTCAAATAAACGAGTGGATTATTTTTAGTTTTTTCCTAAAGTATATAGCCTTTGATTACTTATCAGAGTATTTTGAGTAGTGAAAATTTTAATTTTTAATTGATCAAGATGATAATATGAGACAAGCTATAACACGTGCATTTCACATGAGGATGATTTTAGTGACTTTATAAGATAGACAAAGAAAGAGAAACTAATTAGTGGTAGATTCGAAATTCGACTTAAATGTAATTATTAGTAGCTTCAGAGAACAATGGAGGAAACTGTGAAATTTGCCAAAATACAAAGTGACTTCAAATTTAAATCAATCGCTTTTTTCCTAATGAAAAGATGCAAAAGTAGTTTTTGTGGGTTTTTTTGTTTGTTTGTTTTTGCCAACTAGAATATTTCATATTTCAGGAATATCAAAGACATAGTCAAAAAATAATTTATGGATTTATTTACACATACATGTTTACAATTTCATATTGTCTAATATTGTAGAATGTTCCCCAATTGATGTGCTTTTCCCACTCATATACATTAAACAATTTTAATCAAACTCTTCGCAGACACCTCCAACATCAGTATTGTTGCCACCACTGGAACCACATTTTAAACCATCACCATAATTTTCTAGAAAACACCCTCTTCTCTTCCATCTAAATTGCCTAAGGTTAAGTATATAATAAATCCGTATAGAAGCTCTAATTGGAAACTTCATTCCAAATCATAAGTACCTATCTGAGTAAGAGTAAGACAGTTTTTGTTTGTTTGTTTGTTTTGAGATAGGGTCTCACTCTCACCCAGGCTTGAGTGCAGGGGAGTGATTTCGACTCACTGCAACCTCTGCCTCCTGGGCTCAATTGATCCTCCTGCCTCAGCCTCCCAAGTAGGTGGGACTACAAGCATGCACCACCACTTCCAGCTGTTTTCGTATTTTTTAGTAGAGATGGGATTTTGTCGTGTTGCCCAGGTTGGTCTCGAACTTCTGAGCTCAAGCAATCTTCCACCTCAGCCTCCCAAAGTGCTGGGATTACAGGGCAAGACACTGCACCCAGCCAGTTATTTTTTTATTCATGCTATATGTAATATTTATGGTCTTCACCAAATAATCACTTTATAGAATGCATAATAATATGGGTAAATAGTTTAAACAATGAGATAGTACTACAGAATTTTTAACAACAAATGAACAAACAAGCAAACAAAAGCCAGCAGTCTTCTGACCCATCCTTTCCCACACCTGATTCCAGATCTCTAGTGACAACCAGAGATAGAGATACAAAAATTAGCTGGGCGTGGTGGCGGGTGCCTGTTATCCCAGCTACTCGGGAGGCTGAGGCAGGAGAATCACTTGAACCTGGAAGGCGGAGGTTGCAGTGAGCTGAGACCACGCCATTGCACTCCAACCTCGGTGACAGAGCGAGACTCCGTCTAAAATATATATATATAATTATAAAATATATAATTTTTGTATTTTTAGTAGAGACAGGGTTTCACCATGTTGGCCAGGCTGGTCTCAAACTCCTGACCTCAGGCAATCCGCCTGTCTTGCCCTCCCAAAGTGCTGGGCTTACAGGCGTGAGCCACCGTGCCCAGCCATTAAAATAATATATTTCAATTATATTCTGGGTAACAAGAGATTAAAACCCGGGAAAAGCAAACATCCAAAGAACTTTTATTCCCTTTAAGAACTACTTTTCATTTTGTTCTCCTGCTTAGGCTTGTGCTGTCACACTTTTCACCAACATATTTACTCTTTTCCTTTTACTCTCATATTTCTAGAATCAAATAATTGTATAGACATATAAAAGGTGGATATGCACTTATTTGATCTTGTCCTGACACAATACAGACCACAATTCTGAGGAAGTGACTGAACTGAAATCACTAATCTTTTTATTATAGAATGAGATAAAGAGATGAATTAGCTGATTCGTCATTCATTAGTTACAAAAGATAAAGAGTTGGGCTTTATTGTCCTAAGCAGTGTAAATGTAGTATTTACATTTTCTGGGAGTCACTGCCTCCCAGAAAAGGCTTTGCAAATTAGAAGGTATTTATATTTTTCACTATCATCACTATCATACTCTTCTATAAGACTTGGAAACCTATACAATTATTCTAGGTCTTTAGATCTCTTGGGACTCAGTCTTAATAAAACTTCAAGCAAGGTTTTTCTTTTTCTTTAGCAGTCTCTAAGCCAGTAACTCTAGCTCTATTAAGCCATTAACAATCAACATGCCTACTTAATCTAGCAGAATACCCCCATACTGGAGTACTCTACCCTGGTTTATCATTTTCCTTTTTTAATTAAGTCAACTAATGTTACCACCAACTTATTCGTCATAAGGCAGAATACTAGTTTTATCATTTCTCTGTTTAAAAAAATGCAGTGTTTTCCACTATGTATAACATTTCAAAATACCAAAAACTGGTATTTTGAAAAATAGTTTTATTGAGGTAAATATGACATACATTAAACTTTATGTATTTAAAGTATACAATTTAATAAGCTTTGACACATGTATAAACTCTTGAAACCATCACCATTATTAAGATATCACCCTGGGCCGGGCACAATGGCTCACGCCTGTAATCCCAGCACATTGGGATGCTAAGTCAGGAGGATTGCTTGAGGCCAGGAGTTTGAAACCAGCCTGGTCAACAAAGCGAGACCTCATCTCCATGAGAAAAAAAAAAAAAAAGAAAGGAAAGAAAAGAAAAGAAAAGAAAAGAAATCACTCTGGCATTTGAAGCTCTCCACTATAAGGTTCCTTCTTTATGGGATTTATCTCTCCCTTCCTGCTTATTTGCCTTATTCCTCTTGAATATATTATAAACTTATAAACTCTTCAGAAAGACTGATGAAGCCCTACTTGTTTTTGGAGCCCTTAAAATGCTTAGTAGATAATATGCACTGAGAAATGAATAGCTCTTTCTAATTGAGGTCTGATTTGTTGAACCATTAAATAGAATCAGTATTAATTGAACTATTACTTTTTACCTCTTTTAATAAAGTAGGTGTTTCTATGGTCATACTAGATGTCAGATCACTTAGTCAATATGTCAGATCACTTAGTCAACCTTGTCTCACAAATAGATATAAATTTAATACTATAAACTATTTTTTATTTATATATGGGTCTAGAAATATAGAACTTTTTAAAAGGAAAACATATGTTATTTAAATATAGAACTTTTAAAATTAGATTTTCTGCAGAATCTTGAGGAGAAAACAGAGTTAATACATTCATTTCATTAATAATTAATAAAAACAACAATGCTGATATTTTCACTTCACTGTTGGAAAAGTGCTTTGAAATTTACTGTCTCAGTGGATCTCATTAAGACAAAATAACAACACAAAATAGGTAACTGGGAAAACAAGTTTAAAAGACATCATCCACTAGTGATTTACTTCATGACATTAATAAAGAATAGAAAGAAACATAATCCCTACATGTTTATTTGTTCAAGTATGAAGATTGGGAGAAAATATCATATAAAGTACACTTTGTAAGGATACTTGAGATGGTTTTTACAGAAAATGTGTTTTAGAGAAATGGAAAATGCAGAAGTCTGAAAAGGAAAGTCTTTCAGAAAATACTGTGATACGTGAAGCAGTCTCAGGCTTGAGGTTACGTATTGTTTTCCTCACACAAGAATTTTAAAAGCATTCTGGTACCATTATTGAAGTGGCAACTATATTGAATTCTTTGAAAAGAGGGCCCATGTCTTAGAATTGTTTTTGATGCATAGCATTTAATAAAATGTCTATTAAGTGATTAAGGATAGATGATAGATTGGAAGATTGCAAACATAGTCATAAACTGTGTGTATGTGTGTGTGTGTGTGTGTGTGTGTGTGTGTGTTCATGCACACATGCATACATGTAGTAGGTAATATGGACCGCTGATAGAAATATTTCGTTAAGGAAAAGAGTGCCTCTTAATTTTTTATATTATTTATTTGTTTGCTTGCTTGTTTTTTCAGACAGGGTCTTTCCCTGTCACTCAGGCTGGAGTGCAGTGCATGATCACAGCTCACTGTAACCTCAAACTCCTGAGCTCAGGAATACAGACATGTGCCACCATGTCTGACTAATTTTTTGTTTTTTATTTTTTTGTAGAGGCAGTCTCACTATGTTGCCCAGGCTGGTCTCAAACTCCTAACTTTAAGCAATCCTCCCACCTCAGCCTCTCAAAGAGCTGGGATTACAGGCATGAAGCTATCACACCCAGCCTAATTTAATTTGCAAACATAGCCACTGTTCCTTGATATTATCAGAAGTAAAAAACCTTTTGTTTTATAGTTTGTTTACTGAGAATAAGATACATTATAAGTGTTACTGTTAAAACTGTAACTTTAAAAGGTTATATTGAAATACATTAGACTCAAGACAACTGGATACAAATAATTTTCTATTATGTTATTTGAATTATTCCTTTAAGTTTAAATGTCTTGATTTTTCTATTAAGTATACTATGCATTGAAAACTAAATCTTTAGAATGTTATCAAAATATATTCCTGACTCTTCCAAAAGCAGGCTCTGAGCCAAAGTTTGGGTTGCAAGACGTTTATCAGGGATAAATATCTGGCTGGGTGCCGTGGCTCACGCCTGTAATCCTAGCACTTTGGGAGACCAAGGCAGGGAGCCCAGGTGTTCAAGACCAGCCTGGGCAATATAATGAGACCCCCACCTCTAAAAAAAAAAATTTAAAAATAGAAATAAAAAGGTATAAATATCTGTCAAACGTGTTGGGGAGTGGGGAGAGGAAGCAGAATTGAGCAGGAAAAAAGCTGAAACCAGATGCAGGCTGGACAAAGTCCCCAGTCACCCTGGCTGGGAGCTTAGGAGGCTAATATTGCCCTTCGGAGTTGTCCCAGACTAAAATGTCCCAGTCTTTATTCCCTTGCTTCTCTCAGTCACCAAATGTAAGCTGCCTTGGGAAGGGCATGACTTTGGCTAAGATGGCTCTTTACCCCCGAGGCTGACCCTAAAGGAGCTGACAGCTGGAGGCTTTTGTGCAGACTACGTTCTCCACAGCTGGGCAGTAATTAATTCCTTGTAATGGGATCTGGACTGTGCATCTCCATGGCTATCACAATGTAGCTTGTAATTATACACACACACACACACATATATGCACACACACACACATATATTTCCACTTTATGTTTAGCAACACAGCCACATTTAAAAAATAAAAACAATATAAAAAGTTTACTGTGAAATCATGTCCCATCCACTACTTGTAGATATTTTCAGTAGTTCTTTGTGCAACTAAGGCAAATATCATACATATTCATAATTCCCCATTTTTCATAGACAAAAGGTGCATACTCTACCACTGTTTTGTACCTTGCCTTTTTTTCACTTAATCTTGGTTATCTTTTCATGTCAATATATAAAGAATTTCCTCATTCTTTCTTTTACAGCAGCATTTTTTGATGGCCATTTCAGAGGTTTCCAAGCTTTTACTAATAACAGTGGTGCTTTTGCCCACATCATTTTGTACCTGCCTAAGTATATCTGTAGGATAAAGTGACAGAAGTAGAATTTCTGAGTCTAAGTGTAAATGCCTTTGTAATCTGGTATTACTGAATTAACTTCCATAGGGCTTGCAGCAATATGTACTCAATGTATCCTATGTTTAGCAATATGAAAATTAGACACAATGGCTGATTTTCTAAATATTGACCTCTTTTTCCCAGTGTGACAAAATGTAAAACAGTAGGAAGAGAGATAGTGAGAAAAAGAAGGACACTGAGAATATCTCAGTTTAACAGTTCCCTCTTAGACTTTAATTACCTGCCTAGTCTGTGCTCCTTGGCCCATCAAGTGAACAACTGCCTCCCAACCATTTAAATTCCCTCATTTTTAACACCTCCCTTTCCCCACTCCTCACAACCAAGTCAGGTTTTTCTATCACAGCCTGCTGCAAAACCCAGTCTTGAGACAATCTTATAATACATGTTGTCTACTCTTCCTCCTACAGAACTCAGCACATTGGAGACTATCATACATCTTTAAGTGGTGCTGACACTACAATTTCAATGTTTCTCCTGTCTATTGAGCCCTTCATGCTACTTCTCAGTCCTTTTACTAGTCTTTGGTTGTCTCCCAACCCATTCTCCTCTACCACATTTTTCAGATAACTTTGCTTCCGTACTTCTCAGAGAAGACCAAGAACATCAGAGTGAATGCCATCATTTTCAGTTGCCATTGCCAAACATCTCCACAGCCTCCTTAGCTCTCCAGCTGTGCTCTTAATTCTACTTCTCTAATTTCTCTAAAACATCCCTTCTCAAATTATTCCTCTCTGTCTTAAACCTCCCCTCTTCTGCTGACTCCTTTCCCGTGGTCTATGAACATGTTCAACCACTCCATTTTAATCACAGTCTTGTCATGGAATGTCCCCATAATTTTTGCCCAAATTGCTCTCTCTCTCTCTCTTTCTCTTTGACTGTCTGCCTCTCATATCCTTCTCTGCCATAATTCTTCTTTTATTTCTGTATGCTCTTTTTCTAACTTCTCCAGTCACTATGATCTGACTTCTGATCCTTCTCCCTCAAACCCAAATAAAATGACCCTTGCTGGGGCTACCAGCTTTCTCCTACTTTTCACATCCAGTGAACACTTTTCTGAGTCTGTTACTTGGTATCTCTGTGGCATTGATACTGTTGGCCACTTCTCATCTTGGTCTTCCTTCCATCATTCTAACCAAACTGTTGCTGTCTCTTCGGATCTTCTTTTTCTGCTGATCTCTACATATTGGTATTGAAATGTCCTCAGATTTTATACTGACTTCTTTTCTTCTCACCCTATAGAAATCTTCTTTCTAAGGGATCTGAATATTTTTCCATAATTTTAACTACCAACTACATGAAGAGGCAAATCACCTTGTCAAGATACATGCCCTAAAACCAGACTGTATGGGCTCATAGCCTGACTCTACACTTCCTGGCTGAGAGTAACTTTGGGTATTTTTTCTCTGCCTCAATTTCCTCATCTTTAAAATGGGAATAACAGTAGTTTCTACACCATAGGTCATTGTAAGGATATGTGACATCCAAAGGGTTCAGAATATTGCTTGGCGCCTGATAAGCCCTAGGTTAAGTGTTAACCATAACTACTATTATTGCTGTTATTATTGCTGATGGCTCACAAGTTATTGTCTGTAGCCTCTCTTATCTCCTCGTCTCCACATCTGGATATTTAGCTACCACTGAACCTGTCCATAAGGATGTCCCACAGGTACTCCAAGAAAACATCTCAAAAAACCAAACTCATTATCTTGAAAACAAAACTGAATTATCTTCCTATATTTCTTACTTCAGGCCTTGATGGCATATTATTCACCCAGCCACTTGAGCAAGAAACCTGGAAAATGTTGCCAACTTATCCACTCTCTCTCCATTAATTTTTACCTCTGAGCTATCTCTCATATCTCATTGCACCACTCCGATGGTCACTGCCTTAGTCAAGCCCTTCCCATCTCTTGCCTAGACTGATGCAATATCCTAACTGATCTGCCCACCTGCATCTCACTGCTTTCCAATGCTTTCACAATGCCATCAAAATGACTGCTTCCCTGCATAAAATCTTTCAATGACTATTACTACATTAGTTTGCTACAGCTGCCATAACAAAGTATCACAGGTTGGGTGACTTAGACAACAGAAATTTATTTTCTTCCAGCTCTGGATGCAGGGAAATCCAACATCAAAGTGTTAGCAGGCCTGCTTTCTCCCGAGGCCTAGCTCCTTGACATGCAGATGACCACTTTCTCACCATATCCTCCCATGATCTTTCCTCTATGTGCATACATCCTGGGTGTCTCTTTGGCCAAACTTCCTCTTCTTATATCTTAATCACCTCTTTTTCTTTCTGTCTGTCTGTCTTTCTTTCTTTCTTTCTCCTTTCTTTCTCTTTTTTTTTAGATGGAGTCACTCTGTCACTCAGGCTGGAGTGCAGTGGCGCCATCTTGACTCACTGCAACCTCCTCCTCCCATGTTCAGGCGATTCTCATGCCTCAGCCTCCGAATTAGCTGGAACTACAGGCACACACCACCATGCCAGGCTAACTTTCTTTTTAAATTTTTTTGTGTGGGGCGGGGGGAGGGGAGCAGAGTCTCACTCTGTTCCCTAGGCTGGAGGGCAGTGGTGCCATCTTGGCTCACTGAAACCTCCGCCCCCCAGGTTTAAGTGATTATCCTTCCTCAGCCTGCCAAGTAGCTGGGACTACAGGCGCACACCACCACAGCCAGCTAATTTTTTGAATTTTTAGTAGAAATGGGGTTTTGCCATGCTGGCTAGGCTGGTCTAGAACTCCTGAGCTCAGGCAATCACCCACCTCAGCCTCCCAAAGTGCTAGGCGTGAGCCACCACACCCTGTCACTTAATCACCTCTTTAAAGGCCCTATTTCCAAATACAGTCACATTCTGAGGTACTAGGGGTTGGAACTTCAGCATAGGAATTTGGGGGAAAACAATTCAACCCATAAGAATCACCTACCAATTAAGAATGGAGTTAGTTGCAGGGAGGAGCAAAGATGGCCGAATAGGAACAGCTCCGGTCTACAGCTCCCAGCGTGAGCGATGGAGAAGACGGTGATTTCTGCATTTCCATCTGAGATACCGAGTTCATCTCACTAGGGAGTGCCAGACAGTGGGCGCAGGTCAGTGGGTGCATGCACCGTGCGCGAGCCGAAGCAGGGCGAGGCATTGCCTCACCTGGGAAGCGCAAGGGGTCAGGGAGTTCCCTTTCCGAGTCAAAGAAAGGGGTGACAGACGGCACCTAGAAAATCGGGTCACTCCCACCCGAATACTGCGCTTTTCCGACGGGCTTAAAAAACGGCGCACCACGAGATTATATTCCGCACCTGGCTTGGAGAGTCCTACGCCCACGGAGTCTCACTGATTGCTAGCACAGCAGTCTGAGATCAACCTGCAAGGCGGCAGCGAGGCTGCGGGAGGGGCGCCCGCCATTGCCCAGGCTTGATTAGGTAAACAAAGCAGCCGGGAAGCTCGAACTGGGCGGAGCCCACCACAGCTCAAGGAGGCCTGCCTGCCTCTGTAAGCTCCACCTCTGGGGGCAGGGCACAGACAAACAAAAAGACAGCAGTAACCTCTGCAGACTTAAGTGTCCCTGTCTGACAGCTTTGAAGAGAGCAGTGGTTCTCCCACCACGCAGCTGGAGATCTGAGAACGGGCAGACTGCCTCCTCAAGTGGGTCCCTGACCCCTGACCCCTGAGCAGCCTAACTGGGAGGCACCCCCCAGCAGGGGCACACTGACACCTCACATGGCAGGGTATTCCAACAGACCTGCAGCTGAGGGTCCTGTCTGTTAGAAGGAAAACTAACAAACAGAAAGGACATCCACACCAAAAACCCATCTGTACATCACCATCATCAAAGACCAAAAGTAGATAAAACCACAAAGATGGGGAAAAAACAGAACAGAAAAACGGGAAACTCTAAAAAGCAGAGCGCCTCTCCTCCTCCAAAGGAACGCAGTTCCTCACCAGCAACGGAACAAACCTGGATGGAGAATGACTTTGATGAGCTGAGAGAAGAAGGCTTCAGACGATCAAATTACTCTGAGCTACGGGAGGACATTCAAACCAAAGGCAAAGAAGTTGAAAACTTTGAAAAAAATTTAGAAGAATGTATAACTAGAATAACCAATACAGAGAAGTGCTTAAAGGAGCTGATGGAGCTGAAAACCAAGGCTCGAGAACTACGTGAAGAATGCAGAAGCCTCAGGAGCCGATGCCATCAACTGGAAGAAAGGGTATCAGCAATGGAAGATGAAATGAATGAAATGAAGCGAGAAGGGAAGTTTAGAGAAAAAAGAATAAAAAGAAATGAGCAAAGCCTCCAAGAAATATGGGACTATGTGAAAAGACCAAATCTACGTCTGATTGGTGTACCTGAAAGTGATGGGGAGAATGGAACCAAGTTGGAAAACACTCTGCAGGATATTATCCAGGAGAACTTCCCCAATCTAGCAAGGCAGGCCAACGTTCAGATTCAGGAAATACAGAGAACGCCACAAAGATACTCCTCGAGAAGAGCAACTCCAAGACACATAATTGTCAGATTCACCAAAGTTGAAATGAAGGAAAAAATGTTAAGGGCAGCCAGAGAGAAAGGTCAGGTTACCCTCAAAGGGAGGCCCATCAGACTAACAGCGGATCTCTCGGCAGAAACCCTACAAGCCAGAAGAGAGTGGGGGCCAATATTCAACATTCTTAAAGGAAAGAATTTTCAACCCAGAATTTCATATCCAGCCAAACTAAGCTTCATAAGCGAAGGAGAAACAAAATACTTTACAGACAAGCAAATGCTGAGAGATTTTGTCACCACCAGGCCTGCCCTAAAAGAGCTCCTGAAGGAAGCGCTAAACATGGAAAGGAACAACCGGTACCAGCCGCTGCAAAATCATGCCAAAATATAAAGACCATCAAGACTAGGAAGAAACTGCATCAACTAACGAGCAGAATAACCACCTAACATCATAATGACAGGATCAAATTCACACATAACGCTATTAACTTTAAATGTAAATGGACTAAATGCTCCAATTAAAAGACACAGACTGGCAAATTGGATAAACAGTCAAGACCCATCAGTGTGCTGTATTCAGGAAACCCATCTCACGTGCAGAGACACACATAGGCTCAAAATAAAAGGATGGAGGAAGCTCTACCAAGCAAATGGAAAACAAAAAAAGGCAGGGGTTGCAATACTAGTCTCTGATAAAACAGACTTTAAACCAACAAAGATCAAAAGAGACAAAGAAGGCCATTACATAATGGTAAAGGGATCAATTCAACAAGAAGAGCTAACTATCCTAAATATATATACACCCAATACAGGAGCACCAAGATGCATAAAGCAAGTCCTGAGTGACCTACAAAGAGACTTAGACTCCCACACAATAATAATGGGAGACTTTAACACCCCACTGTCAACATTAGACAGATCAACGAGACAGAAAGTCAACAAGGATACCCAGGAATTGAACTCAGCTTTGCACCAAGCAGACCTAATAGACATCTACAGAACTCTCCACCCCAAATCAACAGAATATACATTTTTTTCAGCACCACACCACACCTATTCCAAAATTGACCACATACTTGGAAGTAAAGCTCTCCTCAGCAAATGTAAAAGAACAGAAATTATAACAAACTATCTCTCAGACCACAGTGCAATCAAACTAGAACTCAGGATTAAGAATCTCACTCAAAACCGCTCAACTACATGGAAACTGAACAACCTGCTCCTGAATGACTACTGGGTACATAACAAAATGAAGGCAGAAATAAAGATGTTCTTTGAAAACAACGAGAACAAAGACACAACATACCAGAATCTCTGGGACACATTCAAAGCAGTGTGTAGAGGGAAATTTATAGCACTAAATGCCCACAAGAGAAAGCAGGAAAGATCTAAAATTGACACCCTAACATCACAATTAAAAGAACTAGAAAGGCAAGAGCAAACACATTCAAAATCTAGCAGAAGGCAAGAAATAACTAAAATCAGAGCAGAACTGAAGGAAATAGAGACACAAAAAACCCTTCAAAAAAGTCATGACTCCAGGAGCTGGTTTTTTGAAAGGATCAACAAAATTGATAGACCGCTAGCAAGACTAATAAAGAAAAAAAGAGAGAAGAATTTAATAGACACAATAAAAAATGTCTTATCTCTTATGGCTATCTGTGATTAGTGATCTTTGATGTTACTCTTGCAATTGCATTGGTGCACCACAAACCACACCCTAGAAGACTTGAATTTAATTGAGAAATGTTGTGTGTGTCCTGATTGTTCCACGCTTCCACAGATCAGACATTCCCCCATCTCTCTCCCTTTGTTCAGGCCTCCTTATTCCCTGAGAAATAACAATATTGAAATTAGACCAATAACCCTAAGACTTCTAAACGTTCAAGTGAAAAGAAGAGTCACTCATCCCTCACTAGCAATCAAAAGCTAAAAACGATTAAGCATCTCAAAAGCCATGGTAGGCTGAAAGCTAGGCCTCTTGCATCAGTTAGCCAAATTGTGAATGCAAAGGGAAAGTTATTGAGGAAAATTAAAAAGAGCTACTCCAGTGAACACATGAATGCTAAGAAAGCAAAACAGCCTCGTTCCTGATACGGAGAAAGTTTTGGCGGTCAGGATATAAAATCAAACCAGCCACAGCATTCTCTAAAGCCAAAACCTAATCCAGAGCAAGGCTCTAACTCTCTTCAATTCTATGAAGGCTGAGACACATGAGGAAGGTGCAGAAGAAAATTTAGAAGCTAGCAGATTGGTTCATGAAGTTTAAAGAAGGAAGTCATCTTCAAAACATAAAAGTGCAAAGTGAAGCTGCAAGTGCTGATGTAAAAGTTGCAGCAAATTATCCAGATCTAGCTGAGATCACTGATGAAGGAGGAACACTAAACAACATATTTTCAGTGTAGATGAAACACCTTTCCATTGAAAGAATATGCCATCTAGAAATTTTATAGCTAAAGAGGAGAAGTCAGTGCCTTGCTTCAAAGCTTCAAAAGACAGGTTGACCCTCTTGTTAGGGGCTGATGGCTTTCATTTGAAACCAATGCATACTTACTATTCTGAAAATTTTAGGGCCCTTAAAAATGATGCTAAATCCATTCTGCCACTGTTTTATAAGTGAAATCACAAAGCCTGAATGACAGCACTTCTGTTTATAGCATGGTTTACCGAATATTTTAAGCCCCGTGTAAAGACTTACTGCTCAGGAAAAAAAAAAAAAAAAAGATTCCTTTCATCCTCACTGACAATGTACCTGGTTACACAAGAGCTGTGATGGAGATGTACAAGGAGATGAATGTTACTATTATGCCTGCTAACACGACATCTATTCCGCAGCCCACGGATCAAGAAGTAATTTCAGTTTTCAACTCTTTTATTATTACTATCGTTATTGTAAAGCTACAGCTGCCATAGATAGTAATTTGTCTGGTGGATCTCGGCAAAGTAAATTGAAAACCTTCTGGAAGGGGTTAACCATTATATATGCCATTAAGAACATTTGTGACTCATGGGAAGAGGTCAAAATATCAACATGAACAATTTAGAAAAAGTTGATTCCAACCTTCATGGGTGACTTTGAGGGGTTCAAGATTTCAGTAGAGGAAATCACTGCAGATGTGGCAGAAATAGCAAGATAACTATAATTAGAAGTGGAGCCTAGGGTCGGGTGGCTCACACCTGTAATCCCAGCACTTCGGGAGGCCGAGGTGGGCGGATCACGAGGTCAGGAGATCTAGACCATCCTGGCTAACACGGTGAAACCCCGTCTCTACTAAAAATACAAAAAATTATCCGGGCGTGATGGCACACGCCTGTAGTTCCAGCTACTCAGCAGGCTGAGGCAGGAGAATCGCTTGAACCCAGGAGGCGGAGGTTACAGTGAGCCGAGATCTTGCCACTGCACTCCAGCCTGGGCGACAGAGTGAGATTATGTCTCAAAAAAAAAAAAAAAAAAAAGAAAGTGGAGCCTAAAGATGACTGAACTGCTGTAATCTCATGATAGAACTGGAATAGATGAGGAGTTGCTTCTTATGGATGAGCAAAGAAAGCAGGGTTTGAGAGGATTGGCCCCAATTTCTAAAGAAGTTCTGCTGTGGGTAAAATGCTATCAAACAGCATCACATGCTACAGAGAAATCTTTTGCAAAAGAAAGAGTTAATTGATGCAGCAAACTTCATTGTTGTCTTGTTTTCAGATATTTCTGCAGCCACCCCAACCTTCAGCAACCACCACCCGGATCAGTCAGCAGCCATCAACGTTGAGGCAAGACCCTCCTCCAGCAAAAAGATTACAACTCAATGAAGACTCAGATGATTATTAGCATTTTTATTAGTAATATATTAATAAATATTGTGTTTTATTAATAGCAATAAAGTGTTTTTAATTAAGGTAAGTACTTTTTTTTAGACATAATACTGTTACAAACTCAATAGACTCCAGTATAATGTAAATATAACTTTTACATGCACTGGGAAAAAAAATTCTTGTAACTTGTTTTATTCTGATATTTATTGCAGTGATCTGGAACTGAACCTGTAATATGTCCAAGGTATGCTTCTAATCAGCCAAAATGATAAACCATCAGATTGAAAAAACTTCCAGAGTTAATATATTAAAAGGTAATAATGAATGAGAAATAATACTGTACCTTAGTAATCTTAACTCTTTTCTCTGTATACTTTTGTTTCTCAGCTAATGGTTCTATACTAGGGCACTGCAAAGTTAAAGGATTTTCTGAATACCAGAATTTTACTACTAATAGAGCCATTCTAGAATCTGGCCCTATCCATATTTTAGCCCATTGGCACATGATTTATCCATCTCTCTGTAATAATTTATCAATGCTATTACTAACAAATAGATTAGTAAAGGTTCTTGAAAGAACATAAGAAATATATAGTTCTTCTTTCACCCCACCAATAGTAATAATAACTGAATATAAAATGGTGAATTGTAATATAATTATATTTTATATATAATTATAAAAATAATTATATTTTATATATAATTATAAAAATAATTATATTTTATATATAATTATAAAAATAATTATATATATAATATTATATATTTTATATAAATATATATTATATATATAAAATATTATAATTATAACATAATTATAATATAATAATGGTGAATATAAAATATAACATGGCCATGTGCAATGATTCATGCCTGTAATCCCAAAAGTTTGGAAAGTCAAGGTGGGAGGATAGCTTGAAGCCGGGATTACACGATGAGCCTGGGCAACACAGTGAGATCTTCACATCTACAAAAAATAATAATTAAAAAAAATTATCTGGGTATAGTCCTATCTACTCCAGGCTGAGATGGGAGGATCACTTGAGCCCAGGAGTTCAAGGTTGCAGTGAGCTGGAATCATGCTACTGCACTCCAGCTTGGGAAACAGAGCAAGATCCTATCTTAAAAAAAAAATGGAGAGAGGTATGCCAAATGGATCATAACTAGTATATGTAAAATGGTGGTGAACAGGGCCTAGATGTATCTTTTATATATTCTTGGACCCCATAGCTGAAAACAGATGCAATATATTAAGTCAGTAAACTGCCGGCTGTAGCACCAGACACTTACATACAAGGTTTGACTAATCTTGGTCATCTGTTCAGGGAAGTACAGAACTGTGGTGTAACCATGTCTTCCCGTTTTTATCTCTTCAATGGGGGAGAGGTGGGATAGATGTGTCAGGCCAGATGCTGCTGGAACAAGAAGACAAGTGTCAGAGGGAGAGGGAGGCAGAGCTGAGACCAAGCGTGTCAGAGGGGTCGCCTGCTTTCCTGCCATTTGAAAACTCATTTCCTAAAGGACAGTTACACTGTGCAATGTAATAATATTTTATCACTAAAAAGACAAGGCAGCTCTACACTTACCAGTATGGAACAGGCTCCAAGTCATATTAAGTTGGGGAAGGGTAATGGGTGGAGAACAAAATGTAGTACAATGTATGTAATATGCTATCATATGTGTATATAATTAAATATATATTTATGTATGTATATGCTTACATACACGTAGAACATGTTTGGAAGAATATTGAAAATTTGGGAGCTGGGTATGGTGGCTCATGCCTGTAGTCCCAGTTACTCAGGAAGCTGAGGTAGGAGGATTGTTTAAGCCCAGGAGTTTGAGACCACCCTGGACAACATAGTGAAAGAAACCTCATCTCCATTATAAATAAAATAAATAAAATAAAATAAAATAAAATAAAACTTGCAAACCTTGGGGGAGGCAAACAACGTAGGGCTTCCATGTAAGGCCACACATGATGGAATTACAACCTTCCAGAGGCATCAATTACATAGGCTCTTGCTACTCAAAGGTGTGGTCTCCAGACCAGCAGCATCAGCATTACCTGAGAGTTTTTTGGAAATGCAGAATCTCAGCTTCTATCCCAGACTTACTGAATCATAATCTACCTTTAAAGAGGACTCTCAATTATTTTTTAATTGCATCAAATGTTGAGAAATACTGTTATAAATGCAAAGTGTATCGAGCCTTCTAGAGTTGTGCACTGCATAACCTTCATAACCAAGAGTAAAGGAAAGATCTGTGAGTAAAGGATGGGAAGAAGTCTCTTCACCATAGAGGCTTTTTTTTGTTTATTTTTTTGAGATGGAGTCTCGCTCTACTGCCCAGGCTGGAGTACAGTGGCACAATCCAGGCTCACTGCAAACTCCACCTCCCAGGTTCAAGTGATTCTCTTGCCTCAGCCTCCTGGGTAGCTGGGATTACAGGCATGTGCCAAAACACCTGGCTAATTTATAGAGCCTTTTTGCACTTTGTACATGTTGAGTCATGTGGTACAAAAAGAATTGTAAATATTGTAAGATAAACTAAAGCAAACAGCACTTTACAGCCTAAAGGGGATGACTTTAATAATTGAGAGTAGGCCAGGCACGGTGGCTCCCACCTGTAATTCCAATATTTTGGGTGGCCTAGACGTGAGGATAGTTTGAGGCCAGGAGTTCAAGACCAGCCTGGGCAACATGGCAAAGCTCCATCTCTACAAAAAATACAAAAATCAGCTGGGTGTGGTGGCACGTGTCTATACTCTCAGCTACTCAGGTTGAGGTGGGGAGCTGCGGGATGGTCAATGGGGGCTTAGGCAGGCGGATCACTTGAGCCTGGGAGATTGAGGCTGCAGTGAGCTACAGTTGTGCCACTGCACTCCAACCTGGGTGACAGAGTGACAGCCTGTCTCAAATAAATAAATAAATAAATAAATAAATAAATAAATAAATAAATAAATATTTGAGAGTAACTAATCATTATGGGATAAGACATTGATGAGGAAAGCCAGTCAATGACAAAGAGCATTTCAACTGAGCACAGTGGTGGTAGTTTTTGGAAGCCATAGAACTGTTTCATGCTTATATCTCAAAGAGATATTGGTTACATCGGGACATTAGTTTAACAACTTTTGAAGATAACTAAGTCTGGTATTGGAAAATCCACGTTATGTGTTTGAGTTCCCAAATGGGAGACTAATGCCTTAAGTGTGACTTCTGTTCTACCTCCCAGTCCTCCCACTTTCTGCCCTCCAGGACTTTTGTACTGTGCTGCCATTTATGAGGTAGCACCAAGCTCATATTTTGCTTCAGACAAAATCATTATTTAGGTTGCAGCCTTAGAGTTATTTTATCATTTCTATAATAAGCAAATAACTGCTGTATAAATGAGAAAATGGGGTAATGTTTTAAAATTTAATTATATTTACACTTTAGAATTATATACATTCACATGAAACAGAAAGTGTAAAAGGGGTACAAAGTAAGAAAGCTCTTCTCTATGGCTATAATCCAGTTATACTGTTTCCTTTTCTAGAGGCACCTAATATGAGTTTTTATGTATCTTTCTGAAGATAATTTATACATAAAACACAATTTACATTATTTTACATCCTGTGTTTAAACAAAAGATAGTATACTATACTTACCGCACCTTGCTTTTTCTGAATAACATTAGATCAGGGAGATCATCCTGTATCACATAAAGATGATCCCCATAGCTACTGTATCCCAATGTAGGGATACATTATTATGTATACACTCTATGGGTGAAATCTTTTGGTATTATAAACAATGCTATAATGAGTAATCTATTTCATACATGAGTGAATAAAGTCTCGGATAAATTCCCAGGAGGAAAGCTGTTGAGTTGCATTGTTAATTCTGTGAGATAATGGCAAATTGCCAACTTACACTCAACTAGGAATGTATGAGAACACACTGTCTAATCAAACCTTTATATCTTTGCTAATACAATAACTTTAAAATGATATTCCAGCCATTGGAATTTGCATTTCTGTTTTTGTGAATAAGACTGAGCATCATTTTATATATCTAAAGGTCCTTTCTTTCTTTCTCTTTTTCTTTCTTTCTTTCTTTCTTTCTTTCTTTCTTTCTTTCTTTCTTTCTTTCTTTCTTTCTTTCCTTCTGTCTCTCTCTCTCTCTCTTTCTTTCTTTTTTTGACAGAGTTTCACTCTTGTTGCCCAGTCTGGAGTGCAATGGCATAACCTTGGCTGACTGCAACTTATGCCTCCCAGGTTCAAGCAATTCTCCTGTCTCAGCCTCCCGAGTAGCTGGGATTACAGGCGTCTGCCACCACACCTGGCTAATTTTTTGTATTTTTAGTAGAGATGGGGTTTCACCATGTTGGCCAGGTTGGTCTCGAACTCCTAATATCAGGTGATCCACCCGCCTCGGCCTCCCAAAGTGCTGGGATTACAAGTGTGAGCCACCATGCCCAGCTTGGTCATTTTCTTACTGATTTTCAAATGCTCTCTCTGTATTAGAAAGACTAGCACCTGCCTATGTTATAACTAGCGAATATTTTTCCAAGTTTGTCATTTGTCTTTTGACTTTTTTGTTTATCTTGCAGAACTTTATTTTTATTTTTTATGCAATCAAATTTTTAAATCATTTCTGTTATGGCTTCTGAATGTTATGACATATTTAGAAATAGCTTTCCCATCCCCCAATTTTTTTAAAAGGAAGTCTTTAGAGCTTTCTTCTAGCTCTCTTATGTTTTCATTTATTTACATGTAAATATTTGAGCCAACTTGAATTTGTTTTGAGGTAAGTTAGGAGATACAGATCCAAATTTATTTTTCTTATATTTTCTAGATGTCTATTGGTAGTCCTAATAGTATTTTTATATAAATCATTTTTTTGCCACTGATTCAAAAGGCTGATTTTATAATTTACTAAATTCTGTTTCTGAATATTCTCATTTATTCCACTGATTCTTTTTAAGATATAAAAAAGCTAGTTGACCTTCACACTCTAGGCTTTTCCTACATTTTCCTAGATACTATTGCTTGTTATTTTTAAATATAAGCTTTAGAATTTGATTGGCTGAAATAAAAACATCTTGTCTTTTTATTGGATCAATCTGTGTGTGATAATGTCTTCCTGTTCAAGAATATGCTATGTCTTTCCATTTGTTCAAAGTTCTTTTGAGACTTTAGTTGCAGCTTAATGTTTTTGTTTTTTTTTCAAATAGATTTTCTACATTTTCATTGCTTTTGTAAATGGAATCTTTTTGTCCATTATATCTTCTAAACTAACAGTTAATACACGTTAATGAATTGACTATTCATTTCCGTATGCTAATTTTATACTTAGCCAACTTACTGAATTGTCTTATCATCTGTAGTAATTTTTCAGTTATCTCAAGTTTTTCAGAAATGCAATAGTAATATTTACAAATAATTATAATTTTGCCCTCTTCCTTTCCACTTTTTATACTTCTCATTTCTGTCTCCTTTCTTGTGATGGCTACTGTCTCCAAAATAGTGTCAAATAGAGGTGACAGATATTTTCACCTAGCTCCTGATTTTAATGGGACTTCTCCAGATGTTTCCCATTAACATGATGCTGGCTTTGGGGTTGAAATAGATGTATTTTATATACTATGACTATTCATTGTGCATCAAATTAAATTTAAATGACTAATGAAATCACTCAGGATCTCTTAGAGAGAGAGGGTACCTTGTTTGGTCCAAATTGGTAATATATGGCTGTTTATGACTTATCAAATACTTTTTACATGTATCAATTATCTCACTGGATCCCCACCGTAATCCTGAGTTAGATACCCATTCCAGCATTTTTTTCTAATTATTATGCCTTGTTCTGGCTTCTATCAGATCATTAGAAATGAAGTACAAATAATGAGAAAACATTCTTCCTTTGAAAGCACAACAAAGTGTTCAAGAATAGCAGAGATTTAAAAATAAACTATTTTATAGGACACAGTTTCTAGAGTATTAACAATATGTTCAGTGTCTCCTGTGGCCAAGAGATAGTTCAACCCCCCATTTTTCCTTGTAGCTAAATCAGTGAGTTCCTTATTACTAGAGGCTGAGCCTAAACACGCAAAGTGAGAGCTGGCCTGGAGGAAGAGATTTGAGAATCATCCATGGGCAGGTTATAATTGAAGCCATAGGATTAGATGAGATAATCCAGAATAATGTACTCTAGAAGGAGAAGATAAATAAATCAAAGATGGAAGCCTGGATAAAACCAATAACAAGGGTGAGTAAAAGAAAAAAGGTTCTAAAAAAGGGAATAAAAATGAACAGCAGGAGTTAAAGAGAGGAAAAAACACAAGAAAATTCATTACTAAAACAAAAGGAGAAGGGAATTTCAAGAAGTTGTCAACAGCATCAAAGTCTTCAGAGACTAAAATAATTCCAAGAGTTGAAAAGTATTCATTGTAATTAGCAAAAAGGTGATCACAGGCAAATTTGACAGCAACAATGTCAGTGGATGCCGTGGCTATTGTCTGCCCGGAATGCCTTTCTCTTCTACATCTGGCAACAAATCCTGCTTCTCTGTCCACAGGAGCAGGCACATGATTCAGGTTGTGCTAATTATAGCATCACATCTTCCTGGCTGTAGAGATAGGCAGCATTCAATAGTAGGCATATGGCTGGGCACAGTGGCTCATGCCTGTAATCCCAGCCTTTAAGAGGCTGAAGTGGATGAATAACTTGAGGTCAGGAGTTCGAGATCAGCCTGACCAACATGGTAAAACCCCTTCTCTACTAAAAATACAAAAAATTTAGCTGGGTGTGATGGCGTGCACCTGTGGTCCCGGCTACTTGGGAGGCCAAGGCAGGAGAATCATTTGAACCTGGGAACTGGAGGTTGCAGTGAGCCGAGATCACACCACTGCACTCCAGCCTTGGAGACATAGTGAGACTCTGTCTCATTAAAAAAAAAAAAAAAAAAAAAAAAAGAAGGCGTATGACCCAAGCTAGACCAATCTGAACATTTGCATGGAATTTTTCTGTCTGCAACTAATGAGAAAACATCTTTTTTTCCTTCTGAATGATGGAAATATCAGAATGAAGTAAATATACAGAGATATGTAGAGATGAAACATGAGCAATGGAGAGAGAGAGCAGGCGCATGCACTCCTGTGAAAGAGAAATATCTGCCCCACCTTTTTTTGAATCTTAATTCTATTCACTTAATTCTATGAGCTTCCTTAATGTCCTTCAAATAATTTCCGCTACTTCCCCCCTCTTTTTTTTAGTAACAAAAGAATTAAGATTAATAGATAGAAGTCAGATTGTAATTGGCTTAGAAATGAATGATATAAATACTTCAGAATAACCATAACAAGAAATGGACAGGAACTATATAAGTAAAACTACAAAATTTTACTTAAGGTCATAAAAGAAGACTTGAATAAATGGGAAGTCCTCACACGTTCCTGGGTAGCAATGACTATTATAAAGATGTCAGTTCTTCTCAAATTAATTTATAGGTTTAATGCAACTCCAATCAAAATCCAAATAGGATACCTTTTGGAGCTTGAAACGGTGATTCTACAGTTGATTAGCTTAAAAAAAAATAGAAAAGAGTGAGGAAATTAAAAAAAAAAAAAGGAAAATTGGTGAGGGGAAGAGTGAACAGCTATTAAGCATTCTCCCAGCTAAAAGGATGCAATTGGAGTGGCTCTGTAGCTCTCTCTCCTTGTCAAAGAGATCCTTGCCTCTGGGCACAGGGTCCATGGATATTCTCCCTTTTTCTTAAAGTAACTTAAATAAGTTTTTCTTTCTTTTAACCAAAAGAGTCCTAATTCAAGAACTTGCCCCATCAGACATTAAAACAGCACATAAAACACAGTATTACTAGTGTAAATGTTTATGAGCATATCTTTGAAACAAAATAAATAGCCAGAAATATATACTATCTCTTACTTATAAAACTGATGTAAATAATAAAGTTGACATCACATTGCAATATGTAAAGGAAAAATCATTCAATACGTTGGTTAACTGTGAAAACTTAAGTTAAATTGTCAACTTGCAATATATACTAAAATAAATTCCAGATATTAAATGTGAAAAGTGTTCACTGTAAGACAAACCAATGACTACTAAAACATGTGCCTGAAATATGGCAAAAGTTTGCCAAAGTGCAGGTTAAAAAACTAGGAGTTTATTTAGGGAACTATTTACTTGTTCTTGAGCTGAAGGAATAATTGTCTAAGTATAAAATCAATGGCCTAAACCACAAAGGAATCAACATCGGATATTTGACTACATGAAAAATTCGAGTCTACACAACAGAAGCCATCAAAACATGAAAGGTAAATTATAAAGTAGAAAAATATTTCAATATATCTGACAAAAAGCATGTAGTAGTTTAAATCAATAATGAAAACACTGAAACTTCAATGGAAAAAAGTACAATGTGCAGACAAATCTCAGAAGCAGAAATATAAATACCAATAAATATGTGAAACAATTCACTTTTACTGCTATAATACAAAAAGTTAACAATTTCAATGATATATCATTTTATTCTACTAGAAAAGTTATGAAAATACAAAATTTAAGGCTGGTGAGGTTGTTTCAAAAATAAGCATGATCGTACACTCCTATTAAGAGTCTAAACCAGTATGTATTTTTTAGAAAGCAATTTGGCAACATATCAAGAACTTTGTAAAAGATCCATATTCTTTGACCCAGATTCCCATTCTAGAACCTTTAAAGGCATAAAATGTATCCCCTTTTCTCAGAAGTGTACATATGCAAGAAGCATAAAGCTGACAGCCAGAGGGAAAGAAGGCAGTAGGAAGAAAGAGGTGGCATTAAGATTCTGGTTGTAGTCACTGAAGGCCCTAAAACGGCCCTGGTTCTTCAGAATCTGTGAGCTATCTCAGAACCTTTCCAATAAATCCTCCCCTATGATCCCTTAGTCTCTGTCCCCTGCACAAAAAGATAATTGACTAACATAATGACCCTGGCCTGAAATGTGTATTCTTTCCTTTTGCTAGATTAACCTACTGTATAATTTTGGGTAAAAGGTGCTGATTGCTTTGATTCATTGCAGTTGGTTCTAGTCCAAGCTTAATTAGTTTGGAATTAAACTGGATCCAATACTAGCACCTTTTATAGTGTCTATTGAAATACAATATTAGAGCGATGAAATTCTTCTTGAATGAGAGGTGTTGGTGAGATTTTTAGCCAAGACAAAGTCATGTTTACTAGCTGGATTAGCCAGGGTTTCTAAAGGGACAGAACTACTAGGATATACGTATATATGAAGGGGAGTTTATTAGGAGAATTGACTCACACAATCGCAAGGCGAAGTCCCACAGTAGGCCATCTGCAAGCTGAGCAGCAAGGAAGCCAGTGCGAGTCCCCAAACCTCAGAAGTAGGGAAGCCGACAGTGCAGCCTTCAGTCTGTGGTTGAAGGCATGAGAGCCCCCAGCAAACCACCCATGTAAGTCCAAGAGTCCAAAAGTGAAGAACTTGGAGTCTGATGTTCAATGACAGGAAGCATCCAGCACGGGAGAAAGATGAAGACTGGAAGATTCAGCAAGTCTGCTGTTTACAACTTCTGCTTGGCGGCTGATTAGGTGGTGCCCGACCAGCTTGAGGGTGGATCTGCCTCTCCCAGTCCACTGACTCAAATGTTAATCCCCTTTGGCAACACCCTCAGAGACACATCAGGAACAATACTTTGCATCCTTCAATCCAATCAAGTTGACACTCAGTCTTAACATTCACACCAGCCAAAATAGATCAGAAACAAAAATTAGAAGAAATTTACTGGACTTAGCCTAATTAGTGAGATAGAGCTGCTTCGTGCGGTGCTGTGGTTAAGTGATTAGGTAACAATGATCCAAACACAATAAAATTCAACATCCTGAGGTGATGCCTTATGAATCCTTTCCTCCTTGAAAAGCCTGTAACACGGTGGACTACTCTTTTCTTGTCCTTTTCCCTAGCCTTCACAATTCCACACTCTCCTGATACTTCTCATTAGTCACATTCTCCCCTGGTTTTAATAATAGTTGGATTAGCTTGGATAAAGGCTAGAATGAGGTAACAAGAGACAAAAAATACTCAAATAAGATAAAGAGTTATTTCTCATGTAATATTTTGTGTATATTGTCCAGGAATAATATGGTGGCCCAGTAGGTTAGAGAACCTGAGGTCCTTTTAATGTATGACAGCCACTGGGTACGACCCTCATCCATGTGGTCAAAATGACCTCACTATCATATTTGCATTCAACCCCATGGGAAGCAGCGACATGCTTCTTTCCTACAAAAGGCATAATTGAGAAAGTGAAAACATCATTTCTAATAAATCCCACAAATGAGAACCTAATCATATGGCCACAATTAGCTGCACAGAGGCTGGGAAATGTAGTCTATATTTGGGGAATCGTGTGCCCAGCTAAAGCTCTATTGTATAGAAAAACAGCACTTTCTAACACTAAGGTTTACTAAATATGTCTCATTACTTCAGATTTCTCTCCTGATGTTCACACCTAGTTATTCAACTGTTTACTGAGCATTTATTTATTCCACAAATATTTAACTGCGCTCCTGTGTTACCAGCCACACTAACAAAGATGCTTTTTCTATTTAGATGTTATTCAGAACCCTAACATGTCCAAAGCTGACCATTCCGCATTCCCTAAACTTTCCTCCTTCCTATCTAGGTTATTTGCACCATTATTCAACCAGCTGCCCAACTCAGAAGTGAAGGTGTCTCATACTTATATTCTTCCCTCTCTCATCCAAACTGTCACCAGGCCTAATCAAATCTACCACCTAAACAGATCTCCATTCTAGCCACTTTTCTCCACATACCTCCTTTTAACTGTCGTCTAGGACTCAGTCCTCTCTGTTTTTGAAATTGAAGTATAACATATGTACAGTAAATATGTGAAGTGTGCTAATATAAATGTAAAGTTTAATGGGTTTTACATATGTGCATACCCATTTAACCACCATCCAGATGAAGATACTTCTCAAGATTCTCTGTGTTCTTTCTCAATCAAGCACTATTTCTCCTGTTTAGATAGTTGTTTAAGCCTTTTCAATGGACACTGACCATCTTTCAGTTTCTTTATCTCTCTGTTTCTGACTGCCTGCTTGTCTCTCCACCTCTCTTTCTCTCTCTCTCTCTCTCCTGTGTGTGTGCGTGTGTGTGTGTGTGTGTGTGTGTATTTTTCCCTTGTCCCTGGGGCTTCATTTTACTTCTGTTCTCTCTCTTCCTTTTTGGCTGATAAATCCTTCTGTAACCCAGATCTCAGCTGAGATATCACCTTTATCAAGAAACCCTGTCAGTTGCTGGTATGGGGATTTGCCTAAATAACCTTGTTATGGTTATCTTAGCTTGGGAAAAGGAGAAATAAAACATGTTGAACATGTTTTGATGTAGAACATAGAATATATTTGTTTTGGGTAAACGAATTGGAGATAGTATTTTACTTGTAGGTGAGACCTGGTCACCAAAATATTTTCATTCCTAGTATTAGTTTAAACATTGCTGCTGTAAGTTAGCTATCACAGCAAATCAATAATATTTAAGTCATAGCTCCTTTCAGTGGATCTCACTAGTAAATAAGCCATTGAAAAGTATGACCATATTTATTTTTAGTGAACTAATGTTTTATAATATACATCTAGTAAAGTATACATAACTTAGTGAGTAGTCTGATGAATTCTGATGACTGTATACCTCTGGGTAACCAATATCCCAACTGGTTTCCAAAGTAGAACTTTTCCAGCACCCCAAATAATTCCTTTGTGCCTTTTTGGTCAATTCCTCTAAAATGCAGTTACTGTTCTAATTTCTACCACAATTCATTGGTTTCGCATGTGTTGGAATGCCATGTAAGTAGAATCAGATAGTATATGTATATTCATGTATTTTGCTTCTTTTGCTCAACATAACGTTTTTCAGATTCATTTATGTTGTTGCATATATGAGTAGTTCATTCTTATTTTATTACTGAACAGTATTCCAATGTAGTATATGTGGCACAATTTATCCATTTTACCAATTTTCATATTGGTGGACATACGGACTATTCCCTATTTTGGCCTATAACAAATAAATCTACTATGAACATTCTTACGTAAGTCTTTTTGTGAAGATATGTCTTTATGTTTCATAAACACCTAGAAGTTGAATCCAGATGGATCATAGAATAGGTATATTTTTATCTTTATTAGAAACTGTTAAACAGTTTATCAAAGATTGGTATTATTTTATACTCCAACTAGAAATGTATGCAAATTCTACTTGTTCCACATCCACATCAAAATCTAGTGTGTCAATCTTTTTAATGTTTGTCCTTTTAGAAGTGTGAAATGATTTCTCATTGCAGTTTTCACTTGCATTTCCCTAATGATTAAAAATGCTGAGCACCTTTTCTACATGTCTGTCCTGGAATCTTTAAAGTGTGGCTCTTGTTCTCATTCTTACAAAATGGTGCTGGAGCTCTAGCTGTCACTGCGCCGTAGGCAGAAGGAGGAACAAAGGGTCCAGATCTTACAGTCATGTATCTGCTGAGTCTTTCTCAGAAGCCTCACCCATGGGCTTCTCTTTCTATCTCATTGGTCAAAATTATGTCACATGCCTAACCAATCTGCCAGGAAGGCTGGGTAAAGCAATTTTTTAAGCAGATCTTCCAGGTTTCTATTACTGTGAAACAAACCAACTCAAAAGTTAATGGCTTAGAATGAAAATGTGTTTTTCTCACAAATAGGCCATTTGGGCAAAGCTTAGCAGAGACAGCTTGTCTCTGCTTCACTTGGCATCAGCCTAGAGGCAATTGTTGCTGGCTGCCGGCCAAGAAGACTCACACAGTTGGAACTGTGGTTAGAACACCTACACATGAGCTTTTCATGTGGGTTCTTGGATTCCCACACCACGATAGCTGAGTCCCAAGGGTGAGGGTCCCAAGAGAGACTGAGGTAGAAACCATATCGCCTTTTATGACCTGGAAGTCACACATTATCACTTGTGCTGTATTCTATTCATTGTGGAAAATACAAAGGTCTGCCTGGTTAAAGGGGAAGAGAAGTCGATTTTACAACTTGATCTGGGGGTGGCGAGGTATGGAAGAGCAAGTGGACCAAAATATTGCTGTGGGCTGGGCCCAGTGGCTCACGCCTATAATCCCAGCTCTTTGGGAGGCCGAGGCAGGTGGATCATTTGAGGTCAGGAATTTGAGACCAGCCTGGCCAACATGGTGAAACCCCGTCTCTACTGAAAAAATACAAAAATTAGCCAGATGTAGTGGCGCATGCCTGTAATCCCAACTACTTCAGGAGGCTGAGGCGGGAGAATAGCTTGAACCTGGGAGGCGGAGGTTGCAGTGAGCCGAGATCGTGCCACTGCACCCCAGCCTGAGCGACAAGACTGAGATTCCATCTCAAAAACAAAAAAAACAAAAAACAAAATATTACTGTGGCCATTTTGGGGAAATACAATCTGCTACAATTGGGCATGTTGCTTACCCCTAACTAAGCTGGGATTCTCTTCACAAGAAAGATGTGGCGAATAAATATTGGGTAGGCAAGCTGAGTTTCTGTCATGTTCTTTACACATATAACATTATAATTGTTTGCTTTCCACTAGACTGTAAACTCCATAAAGACAGCAGCCAGATTTGTCCATCTGTCTTTATTAATTATTGGTTCCTTAGGGCCTAAGGAAAAAAAAATAGGCATTCAAGAAATATTTCTCAATGAACAAGTATTAAACTAAATAAAACCATATATAGAATATCAGTTTTAGAAAATAAACTGTGATGAAACATTAGGAAAGAATGTAAAAATTGAAATTTTAAGTCAATAACCTGCCAGCCTGGAGCTGGGAGCTGTGGCTCACACCTGTAATCTCAGCACTTTGGGAGGCTGGGACAGGTAGATCGCTTGAGCTCAGGAGTTTGGGACCAGCCTGGGCAACGTGGCAAAACCCTGTCTTTACAAAAAATACAAAAATTTGTCAGGTGTGGTGGTGCATGGCTGTAGTCCCAGCTACTCAGGAGGCTGAGTTGGGAGGATCACTTGAGCCCAGGAGGTTGACGCTGCAGTGAGCCATGATTATGTCACTGTACATCAGCCTGGGTGACATAGTGAGACCCTATGACAATAAATAAGTAAATAAATAAATAAAAACCTATCAGGCTGGGCAACATAGTAAGACCCTATCTCTACAAAAATCTTTTTAAAAAATTAGCTGAGTGTGGTGGCATGCACCTGCAGTGGCAGCTATTTGGGAGGCTGAGGTGGGAGGATCACTTGAGCCCAGGAGTTCAAGGCTGCAGTGAGCCATGATCACAGCACTGCATTCCAGCCTGGGGGATAGAGTGAGATTGTCTCTAAAAAAAAGTCAATAACCTGCAGAAAGCCCAATAAACATATATGCTAAGGATTAAAACAAATCTCATTCTACTTTTTAAAATAAAAAACAAAATAAAGTGCTATTTAGTGAGGCAATCAGAGACCAAAAGCCAGTCCTTATGACTTTTCTATACATTACTTTACATTGGTTTAGAATATCCAGCCATTGACCATTATTTGCTATTGTTGGAGACAGTTTGGAAAATGCATGCTCCCTGATCCTTACTGGATCAGTATTGAGGTCAAGAATTTGTTCATTCTGTGAACTATCTCTTCTTCATCCTTAAGTACATTTTTAGCTTACATAGTTTAAAATCTTTATTTTCTCTTTTTATTTATTTATTGATTTATTTATTATTTATTTATTGCTTTTTAGTTTTAGAGACAAGGTCTCATTCAGTTACCCAGGCTGGAGTGCAGTGGCACTATCATAGCCCACTGTAACCTCAAACTCCTGGACTCAAGCAATCCTCCCACTTCAGCTTCCCGAGTACCTGGGACTACACGTGCACACCACCATGCCCAGCTAATTAAAAGAAAAAAAATTCCTTGTAGAGACGGGGTTTCTCTGTGTTTCCCAGGGCGGTCTCTAATTTCTGGCCTCAAGCAATCTTTCCACCTCAGCCTCCCAAACTGCTGAGATTATAGACATTAGCCACTGCACCCAGCCTTAACATTTTTTGACTTATGTTGTTTCATATATTTAAATATTTTCATCGTTTTCATTGGTTTCATATTCCCTTTTGAAGAGCTCTTCAATGTTTTGTTTTTCTTTTTCTGGTCCATTTAATAACTAGTTTGCCAGTAACCATGGCTTTGCATGGCACGTTCCTGAGGACTGTGACAAATATTCTCATACTGTGATCTGATTATATCATACCTCTGCTCAAATTTTTTCAGTGGTTTCTTGTCAGGCATAGAAAACTCTTAATCTGTTGAGCATGAACAGAATACCCTTTCTGAGGAGATTCCTCATCTCCCAACACTTTCCTTCAGTCAGACCTTAGAATAAGTATAGCTACTGAGCTTGCCATACCTTCTCCTTTCTCAGTGCCCCCCCACCCCCACCCTTCCTAGTGTCTTTCCAGGCTGAAGGAAGAATATCTGTTAAATGTTTGCTCCCAATTTCATTCTCATCCTTGTGACACCCTCTCCTCATCCTTGTGATAAACTCTTACCCTCCAGTATCATCTCAAGTGTTAATGCCTCAGTTATTCTTTCTCTAAGCTCCCATCTCAGATTGGGTGCATTTTCCTTGTCTTGTATTTGAATATGCAAATCTCAATTAGGCTTTTTTTTTTTTTTTTTTTTTTTTTACTTTCTCACAGCAAGTAGTTCTACACAAAATCTAGGTGGAAGAAACCAAGCACAATCATTTATTTAAATAGTATTTATTGTTTCTTCCTCTCTCTATGTCTTTTTATAGGAGAAGCGAGATATGAATTGGGGGGAGAGGAATCCTACTCTGTTGTTGGCTCTTTTTTTACCTACTATTGGCCAAAGAAGAAGACAGGTGGAGAGTAGTGATGCTCCTCCTGGAATGCCAAGGTGGAAGAGAAAAGCAAGTGATTTGAGAGGTGATTGCATAAGCTTAGACTCAAAGGCCCTGCTGATATATTTCCTATCTTTTACTTGCATCCTTCACCACATGAAGGAGGTTTTAGGGTATTTTTCACATCTGCCCATGGGACAACCCAGCCATTTTCTCTGTCCTCTGGGCTCCCTGCCTTGACAGAGTCTTCTTAGTGTGGTGCTGTCACAACAAGGCTGTTACTGTGATTGAAAGGAAAAGGCCAAAAGACACAGACAACGGAAGTTTATTTAATAGCCATGAATATATAAATGTACAGAAACAGTCAGACAAAGCAGAAAACAACATAAAGTACTCCCAGTTGGATTTACAGACTTTTCAAGTTCGCCACTGGGTCCTACTTAGGAAGAGTGAGTCATCTTCTAAGCCATTTTATCAGAGGATTTCCAATCCCCCTGCTCCTCCCTCTGCCTTTCTGAAGATTCTGCAATTGCCTTGCAGCTCTCCAGCTGCAAGCAACTGATGCAAATCAACCCTAGTACATTCCAGAGTGTTTATTGGGAGACTAGGTGAGTTGAAGGTGAATTTCTACTTGTAGCGTCTATAAGTAGAGCATCTTGTAGCAGGCCCAGATTTCAGGGTTGCTTTTGTTTGGTCCATTTCTACACATGGTGTTTCTATATTTACTAGAGTTATCCCTGCACTGTTATAAGAGAGAAAACATGTTAATAGCCTGGAGTATGGAATTAGATTGCCAGGGTTTGAATTTTAGGATGACCAACCATGCTGGTTGTGCTGGGACTGAGGAGTTCTATAAGGATGCAGGACTTGTCAGTACTAAAACAAGGACAGTGGTCACCCCAGAACATTGCTACTTACTAGCTCAGGTCTCAAATGGAAGTAAAAGTATTCCAGCATTATGGAGGTATTGTTGGAATAAGAGTTAATATTTGTAAAGTGCTTACAACAGTGTCTGACATATATAAGTGTGTGTTAAATCAAAAACTTATGGAAGACACGGTTTTTTTCTGGGCATAATCGCATTGTCCAAGCAATGTTTTTAATTTTTGCCATTATCTTAGGGGTTTACAAAAGTGAATTCTTATTTATCTACACATTTATATGTATATACTGTTTAAGTGAGTTTTTACCATCTAATTTTCACATAAAACAATACATACTCAAAATAACTTCACCATAGTAATGTTGAACTACAAAATAGCATGACTAAAAAGTGATGTGGATAGTAAAGGAGGATGTCCAATTGTGAACGAGTTCCTCCAAACCCTGCACCTCTTTCCTTTCTGCTCTTACTCTACCTTGATCAGAGCCCTGTTTAACAATGACTGTATTGTATTGGAATTATATGTCTGTTGCCACCAGAGAGGGTATGCAAAAGCAGAGCCTGTGTTGCAGCTGACAGTGTGGAGGGAAAAGAGATCTTGGGCCGGTGGCTATTAATTACTGGAAACTTTCACCAGAAGTGAAAGACTCAATGAATGTCAGACCCTCACCCATCAGATTAGCCATCCCTCCTTCAAAGCAGGGGTATGGGCAGTCCTAGAGAAGGCAAGAAGTATTCAGGCCATGTTCTATGGAAATGAGAAAGCTTTGGATCACAGATGTATCTCCCAGCCTACAACCTTTTGACTAAAAGCCTCCTACTTTAAAATATTTGTTAATAGTCTGAAGCTTTAAAAAAAAAAAAGTTTTTGAATCCCTTGTGGTTCAAATCCAGAGCAGTTCTTTTGACAAGAAATGAATGCTATGTGAACATAAATATTTTTAAATACCAAGACCTTTAGGTTTTCTTTGAACCTCATGAAAAGGACTCACAGACCTCCAATACTTCTTAAAAATCCTCTCTTCTTCTCCCATTGGCTAGTCTATTCAGCTAGGCAGCCTTATCTCTCATAGCCCACTTTCACTTTCCCCACCCCAACCCTCTTTCACCCTTAAGCCTAGAAGTCTTTGGGACTTTGTTCCTATTCTTTTTCCTACACCTCTGAGTTCTTTATTGTGTAAGAAATCATAATTTATTTAATTTATTTGCTAAATTATTGCCGTCTAATATTCTTAAATTCTAAATCTGTGATGTCCTTCCAACATGCTAGCACCATCTTAGCTATTGAGCCCTTGAAAGGTGGCTAATCCTATTGGAGATACACTGTGGCAACCTAAAATCAGTGAGAGACCAACTCTACAAAGCAAAGAGTTCATTCAGGAGTAGCAAGGGATTGCAATGAGGGATACATGTGCTATGAAAAACATAGGTGCATCCAAGAGAATTGGGGCAAAGGGGAAGCTTTTAAAGGCAAAATAAATGTCCATATAAGTCATTTTGAAACAAAGACCATTGATTACAGGGTCGTGTTGCTGGAGTTGTTAGCTTATTGGTGGAAATAGCCATTGTTAGGCAAGGGTCCTTGTGAAATCAGGTTACTGCAGTTTCGAGGAATTCCTTGCATAGTTCCCATTATAGGCATACATGTGTGAGGACCCCTCCTTCACGGCATCCCCGCTCCATTAAGTTAGGGTTTTATATTAGTGACTCCATTTTCATACTGATAACTTTCACAACTGCAAGTATATACACACTGAATTTCAAAGGCAGAATGAAAAGGAATGTAAAAGATAGCAATAATAATTTTTAAATTAATTTCAATTGAAATGATATTTTGGTTATATTGGGTTAAACAAAATACATTATTAAAACTAATTTTATCATCTTGCTTTTTAAAAATATGGCTACTAGAACATCTAAAATTATATACGTGCCTCACATTATATTACCTTTGAACAACACTGTTCTAGATTGGGTCAGCAAACTTTTCCCATAAAGGCCAGATACTGACAAAGATTTTTTGCTTGGCCAAACTTTAGTCAGTCTGCTGAACCTTCTCCTAGGCCCATTTGTGCACTTCCTAATTAAACTCAGTTTTAGCAAGAACCCCTACCCTTGGAATCTGACCATCTCAATATCTGATCAGGCTTCTCATCCTCCACCATCCTCCAGGTGATGTCTGGTCACCCTGGCCTGCCTTCAACAAAAATCCTGTTAGGTCGGTTTAGCCAGACTCACTTTTGCCCCTGATGTTTCCTCTTAGTGATTTCCATCCAACCACACCCTGCTCCTCGACTACGAATTTCCACTTGCCCATGTATCTGGAGTTGAACCCAGTTTCCGCCTCCACTGCCAGGCTCTGTTGTAGTGGTTCCTGTACCTGTCTCAATGATGCTGAGTAAAGTCTTCCTTATTGTGCTTTAATAGGTATCATTGAATAATTTTTTTTCTTTGAAAAGGATAAGCATTTTAGGCTTTGTGGGCCATGTGGTCTCTGTCGCAACCACTCTATTCTATCCTTGTAGCACAAAAGCAGCCATAGATATATGAAAACTAACGACCTTTGTTATGTTTCAATAAAACTTTATTTATAGGCTCTGAAATATGAATTTTAAAATAATTTTCACTTGTCATGAAATATCCTTTTAAAAATTGTATTCAACTATTCAAAGATGTAAAAGTTTTTCTTTAACAGACTTAGAGTCTGACTCGACTTCCTGGCCACAGTTCGCCCACCATACATTACCCACATCTGTTCTATATCAACAACAGGACCCTAAGGATGAGATTATCTTCACTACCACAGAAAGGGCCTCAAGAGCTGGGCTGCTTGAGTAAATGAGTAAATTGGGGAAATCAGAACTGTGGACAACTAGAGGAGGAGTACCTAGTCTAAGGGGGTAGCCTGAACTCCGCTTCAGCTGAGTCTTCTGGATAGGTAAGCCCTGGGTGGCCAGATTTCTGATTTACTTTTTCCCCAGGAGAAGCAGGGAATTCGAATTTTTATGTAACATTTTCCAAACTTGACATATTATCCACTACCTTAAACAAATAAATAAGCCAAAAATTTTGTTCAGTTCAAACACTATAGGATATAGGTTCAATTCAGTTCTCCAGCCACCACCTCATATCCTTTGTCTTAGCCATGGAATTTTATTCATAAACACATTTCTTTTAAACCTTGCAGATAAAGGCGACTGGTGTTTTACATGTTTATGTGTCTTGCCAGAATAATTTTAGGTAATTTCAGCGTGACATAATTTTGCAATTACTACTTCATGTTCTCAAAGATAATTTTGTGTCATGTAGAGACTTTTTTACTTAGTAAACAATCATAGTCTATAACTAATTCTCTCCCTCCCCCTTCTTGTATATGTCCTCCATTTATTATGGTTTTATTCTTTGCAAAACACATTCTTTTCTAAAAATGGCTTTTAAGTGACTAGTAGATGAGAACTTTCATGACTCAAAAAGGCCAGGCTTTTAGTTTTATTATCTGAGAGAGAATGAGTACTTAGAAAACTATATGTATTCACTGAAAGAAAAAGCAAACAAACATGAAAACTGATTTTGGGGTTCTAAAAATATTGTTGTTTTTACCTTTGACTTAACAGCTACTTTGGGCCATCTTTATTCTTAAGTTAAATACATTTTCTACTATTAGCTTAATGAAAAATTATTTTGAAATGATTTTTTTTCTATTTCTACAATAGAGTAAGATGGCTCAAAATTGTTATTTTGGGCAAGTCTGCTATTCCTGAACTCTGCCAGTTGGAGACAACCTCTCGTGTCAAAGAACTTCCTTTTTGAGACATGTGCTTGGCTCAGAATTACTTCTGCTCCCCAGTTTTGCCAAGTGGGCTTGCTTATACCCGAGAGTTCAATCATTTTATCTTTGACATTAAGGAGAAGTTTAGCCAATATATATTTAGGTCAATATTTTAAAAGGAAAAAAATGCTAAGACTGATTTAATGCCATTTTGTAGCATTTTTCATTTATCTGCTTGTAAGTTCAATGAACTCGTCTCCAAACATGTAAAATTAAATCATAAAGCCTCAGCAATTACCTTCAGATCTAATTTTTCAGAATTTCAACCCATGAAACACAAAGCAGCGTTTCAAAACAACCAATATGATAAAATACTGGAGTGGAGGGGAAAAGAATGAAGCTAAAGACTCCTGCTATGGTAAAACCAGAATCAGGAATGTTCTGATTTATCCCAACTGGAAAAATGAGGATTGGTGTACCTTAACCTTGACAAAATTCATTAGTAATGACAGAATCCTGTGTAATGACAAATGCCCTTGCTTCTCCATTTCTAAATTGTTATTAAATTCAAACTGTGCCTATATTATTTTATTCATATTGTTTCTCATTATTTAATGAGTAGACTTATGCTAGGAAACAGATCAAAACTCAAAAACTAAGTACTTGCAAGTTTTTCAACATTGCCTTTTAACAGATTTTCTTATTTCTCTACATACTTTGAAGTCTTTCTTACCTGTGCCTTTTTACTTCTTTTTTTTTCTAGAGATGGAGTCTTACTACGTTGCCCAGGCTGTCCTCGAACTCCTGGGTTCAAGGGATCCTCCTGCCTCAGCCTCCTGAGTAGTTGGGAATAGTTCCAAAACTATTGGAAATAGAGGCATGAGCCACGGTACCCAGCCTTTTCTTACATTTATCTCTTTCCTTTAACCAATATGGCTCCATCCAAATTAACTTTCTGTTGAATTCTATTTCAAGTTGCAGAATTTAGTTTTTTGTGCTTTATACATAATAGGTATACAGTAATATTTGTGAAATACATCTATAATGTTAGGGAAACTAGTTATTCTTTTCTGTTTTGTATTTGTTGAATATGTTATATCAATAGAATCAATAAACAATTTCATCCACTAATATGGTTATTGCCATTTTAATTAGAATAATTACAACTTCTTCCCATTCTCTCCAAAATAAAATAAAAATCAAAGCCTTGAGTGTCTCACTAAAAAATCTGTACCATGTTGTTGAGTCAAGGAAGACAAAATGACTTGGAATATTTTGCATTATGACCTGGAAACTGCGTTTATATCTTTTTCCTGCCATGTGCATATGATCACTGCCTTAAGGTTCAACTTTAGTTTTGGCTTGAAGTCAGACCATTGCGTTAGCTCTCTAATCAAAACGTCTGGGATACAGCAAGACCAGTACATAGTTTTAAATATAGGGTTGTATAAGAGAATTAAAGGCCTTGATTGAAGGAAAGGTTAGGAGGTCTGACATCTCCAAAAGACACTTCTGGTGGCTTTTGTTTACAGAGTACCACAACTTGGGTAAGAACCACAGTATAACAACTAATGAATTGAGAAACTACATGGACTGTTATATACAATTACAGCTTCCACATTGGGATTACTGAATAAAAATCAAAACCAGTCTCTGAATGCTTTGCTCTTACAGTAAAAAGAATTTTTCCAGAACACTGTCATCATATTTATAATTCCCATAAATTTTGCTTTATGGTCTAGTTTGGAAGTTTTTATCTTAAATTGGTTTGGATTTATTTTGTTTATTTGTTCTTTATTTGGGACCTGATTTTTTAAATTCACATTTTCACTTAATGACCTTCTCTACCCCTCACAGACATTTTAAGGAGTGAGTGGTGCCTTTGTGCATTCTCTCTCAAGTTTGGAAAGGAAACACAGAGCTCTCTACCCTGTTATTTAGTCTACTCTTTCCACATTCCTCTCTGGTACCTGGTTGGCAAAAAAATCTCCATAAAGATCCTGGGTATAAAATGACAGCTCAAAGAGCAATCTGTTCATCTGCTATTTGTTCAAAACTGCTGGCCAATCTTCAGACATTGCATTGGCTGTACTTGATCAAGAAAAGGTCCTATTTCCGATTTTGAGAAGTACTAACCTGACAGGTGTCAGAGGTAGGTGACCTTTAAAGAAAATATTAACTGAGAACAAAAGCATTAGATGGTTTCTAAATGAGCCAAGGCTACTCATCCAGCTGCCCTTGAGCAATAAAAAAGGAAAGTCAGTGCATTATACACCGGGTCAGTGATAAAAGCCATGAAAAAAATAATCTTTCTAAGTTAGACAATGCTGATATTGGCAGTCCTTGAATGCTATTAAAACACACATACTTCTTTTTGAGAAATGCTTAATGGGGCACAATTAAGCGGTCTGTAGAATTGAATGACCTTTAAATTGCTGTAATCTCATGAGGGAAACCTTTCATACACAGCCTCTACTTTTGAAAGAACATTCCATGAAAATATTGTCACTAATTCAGCAGGGCATGCCAAACCTATGTCTAGTTTCTTGCTCCCTTTGGAGTCCTTCATTCCCAGAGAAAAGCTGAGATCACCAAATAGGCTGACCTCAAACATGTCAGTCAACTAAAAGCCGTCACATGATTAAAATTCAAAAACAAATTTGGTGGTAGGCAGAAAGGAGAAAACATAAAATAGGTAAAGCTTTAAACTGACAAAAAAGAAAAGAAGAAAAAAGAAAAAAACTATAACCTCAATCTTTTACTTAAAAATAAAATCATTTAGATTGTAATATTTTCTCTTCTCATTTGTCCTACTTTTGTTCTTATTAAGCATATATTTTTAAGAAAAAAAATCATCAAATAACATATACAGAACATATACATATACATATACAGAACAGTGACTTCCTAAATTAGTTCTGAATCTTAAGAGCCAATTTTCCCCCTACAATTTATGTTTTGAAAAAAAGAGACTAGGCATGATGGCTCATGCCTGTACTCCCAGCACTTTGGGAGGCTGAGACAGGAGGCTTGCTTGAGGCCAGGAGTTCGAGATTAGCCCTGGCAACATAACAAGACCTCCTCTCTATAAAAAAATTTAAAAAAAAAATAGCTGGGCATGGTGTCTGGTGCCTGTAATCCCAGCCACTCTGGAGGCTGAGGTGGGAGGAGGATGACATAAGTGCAGGAGTTGGAGTGCTGCAGTGAGCTATGAATGTGCCACTGTACTCCAGCTGGGAAATAGAATAAAACCCTATCTTAAAAAAAAAAAAAAGACAAATTTACTGAAAAGGCAGTACAATGATCATTTCAATTCATTTGCCTTATCTCTCTTTTATCTTAATCTGTATCTTTATTATTTTGACTCACCTACTTGAGGGTAAGTTGTAGACATGACACGACCCTAACTACTTTGGCATGTATTTTCCAAAAACTAGGAGGGTCGCCTGTCTAATCACAATCCTATTAGCACAAGAAATTTAACTTTGATAATATCTTCTAATATACAGTATAGATTCAGATTTCTCCAATTATTCCAAGAATATCCTTTAGGCTATTTTGTGTTTATAATACATGTTTTTGGATCCAGAATTCCAGTAAGTATTAAACATTGTATTTAGTTGTCATGTTTTAGTCAACTTTAATCTGGACCTATCCTCGTCTTTTTGTTTTTTTGTGTTTTTGGTTTTTTTGTTTTGGCCCTTATGATACTGATATTTGAAGAGTTCAGGTCAGTTATCTTGTAAAATGTTCTACATAATCTGGATTTGTCTGATTACTTCCTCTTGATTAGATTCAGGTTAAACATTTTTGGCAAGAAAAATACATAGGTGGTGATGCTGTATGCTTTTTTACCGCATCACTTCAAGAGGTACATGATGTCAGCTCTTCCCACTAGAAATGACGGTAAGTTTAATCACTTGGTTAAGTGGTGTCCATGAGATGTTTCCACTGTAAAGGTCTCTTTCTCCCTTTGTAATTAATATGTAATCTGTGATACTATAACATTAAATTAAAATTGATATATAAAATTAATATGTAATCTGTAACACCAGATTTTGTGAATAATGTATTCTCCAAAATCTTTCACTTAATACTTTCAGCATATACTAATGAGCCTTGACTAAATCTATTACTGTTATGGAGTCTGCAAAATTATGACTTTTCTGATCCTATCGTTCCTTTTATGTATATTAGCTAGCATTTTTCCATAAGAAGAAGTTTTGTTTTCAACCTTCTTGTTAGTTTTTTAAAGTACCATTATGGAATGATAGATTCTTTCTGAAGTTCAAATTGTCCCAAATTTGACTAGTTGGATCCCTTCAAAGTAAAATTTTAATTTGGAAGTGCTTTCAATACTTGTTTTAATCTTAGTAAATAATTTCAGCCTTTTTTTTAAAGTAGAGGTTACTACAATGTCATGGCTAAATCTTTTTTTTTTTCTTAAATAAGGATACAAGTGAATAACCAGGGCTTATCGTTATGTGCTTAATAACATCTTTCATTTATTGTGGCAACCTGTCAACTTTAATTCAATAATTATGAAATGCCTTGAAATAAATGAGAGTTAGAGGCATCCTAAACTTACCCTGATTTGAAAGGACCAAGAAAAGTAGCTGACCTTCAATAGAAAGCCAATAAAAGTTAACTGAACACATTAAACTAATCATCAAACTAAAATGCTAAAGTCATGAAACATAAGAAAAGATTGAAATAAGAAATATTAAGGGTTTGATCATACAGAAATAAAGTTATTTAGCTATTTTTAAGTTATTTTCATCTCCTTGTTACTATATGAAATTTCTCCCAAACTGTTATCAATACAGTGCAGAAGACAGTTCTTCACTAACTTTCCCTTATTTGGATTCATAGAGCATATGTAATAGACCTATAATTAGGAATAGCCTTTAAGAGTTATTTTGATTTAGCAAATTGTAAATGAACATTCCTTCTTTCCCATTGATTGGTATTGCTTCCTAGATCAAGAATTTTTTGCCAAAGCACCCTATATCTGGGATGAAAAATTGGTTAATAAAATTTAGAAAGTTTTTCTTAGTAAAATTTAGAAAGAGCTCCAAAACAGAAAGAATGAAATAATATATAAACTTTTCTGTGAGAAAAACTATGAATGGAAAGTAACAAGTAGATGCAGTGATATACATTTTGTATAGTTTTAAAAACCCTGCCTATAACATACATTTACATTTAAAAAACCCCACAAACATAAATTGTGTCATTGTGGATTATCTGCAAAGTAGGTAATATACTCATGGATTATTCAAGGCTGACAGTAAATAGCTTAACCCAACCAGGATACTTGATCCTACCAGAAGGTAGTAAATCACTGGCTTCTTAGAGGCTTAGTATTATTTTCAAGCCACTGTCACACCATTTAGTAGATGGAAAGGAGTCATTTCTTTTTTTTTTTTGAGACAGAGTCTCGCTCTGTCACCAAGCTGGAGTGCAGTGGTGCGATCTTGGCTCACTGCAATCTCTGCCTCCCGGGTTCAAGTGATTCTTCTGCCTTAGCCTCCCGAGTAGCTAGGGCTATAGGCGTGTGCCATCATATCCAGCTAATTTTTGTATTTTTAGTAGAGACAAGGTTTCACCATGTTGGCCAGGATGGTCTCGATCTCTTGACCTCATGATCTGCCCACCTCGGCCTCCCAAAGTGCTGGGATTACAGGCGTGAGCCACTGTGCCCGGCTAGGAGTTACTTCTTTTTCCTAAGTTTTTGGCAGTTTTTGTTGAAGTTTGAGCTGTCCAAATTAGTTCATAGGCCTGATATGTTATTTTTCCATTTTTACCAAAAAGACAAAATATATTTTATTATTTTAAGATAAAGTGATTATTTTAAGCCCTGATTCATTATATGTGAGTGGGAGAGGTGAACTCATATATAAAAACAAACAGAATTTCCATTAAAAATAAAAGAGATCAAATCATTACATAAAGAAAGAAGGAACATTGCACAGTAGCGTTTGAAGAGATGCCAGAGATACATAAAGATATAGTCATTTGGTCTACTTTTTAGATAGATTGTTTTACAGCAAGCATTTTCAACTCAATATGTATTTTACCTAGAACTATTCCACTAAGCATCCTGTATATATTAGGGAGACTCTTTCAATCACTCTATATCAACTGTCCCCCAATACTTATTTTGTTTCATATTGCTGGTTTTACACGACATCCTTGATTAATTTTCAGGCCTTGAGGTGCTACTTATTAAATTAAGGATACAGCCCACTAAATTAATAAATTATTACAGTGGAGGCACTCTTGTCTTCTGCATGTATAAGTGCATTGCTTAAATTACTCTCAGGGAATAATTTACACATGAAGAGGCACTGGTGGTTAAAAAAGCTCTGTGTATTTCTTATCTCTGGAAATAGTCCTGGACTAGGTGCTCAAACGGCTATCAAAGCAATCTTTTTTTCAAAATAGTAATGAGTCTTACCATTCTAGTGTTCCCACACTATCCTAGAATCATGAATTAAATATAATGTTAAACATGTAACATTTTGAACCAAAAATTTCCATAAGAAATGGGGAGATGATTTCAACTGAGAATTGCTCATGATCTTGAAAAGACTTAGCTTTCTTTCATTGTGGGATTTTTTTTTTTCTCCCTAAAAGAGCTGTAAAAAAGTGAACATACAAAATACTTCAGATCAAGAAAAAGGAAAGTAGGAACTGGCTGCTGTTGCAAGAAAGATATCTGCCTCTCCCCACCTTTTAAGTATTAAAAGGTGGAATTAAGGACAATGACTCCTGGCTTCTAATCTCATGCCACTGTTTTTCCTGTCCTTGGGCTGTTCATGTCAGGTTTCTATGCTCCTCGCTTATATATGACACGCATCTTATCCCAAATTTAGCTGTTATGAAATTTAAAAAAAAAAAAGTTTTTGGCGAAACTTCTCCCCTGGTTTATAAACTCTGATATCAGGAATCCTGTCATTCTTACAGTCTTAGGGCCTAACTCTCTGCCTGAGACGTGGAATGATTTTGTGAATAAACACATGGATGCAGTACACAGAAAAAGGTGCACAATTATGGAAGAAGAATCCTTAATTACTTTGAGTCTGATTTTTGCAAAATGTCTATTTAGAGTCTGGCACATTTTCTAGTTTTTTCCATGCTTCTTCTTCCTCTTTTCTCCCCAAGTCTATACAGCAATGACGGGAAATAAATGGTAAATTTTTATTGATTTGAATTTGTGCATCAATTATCTATCACAACAAATAGATAAGTTTATTTTAGGATGCTCCTTAACACTCTAATTACACGTTAAAGGCCCTCTCTTTGTTCTGCCAGAAACATGGAAACTGGCTTTAGCTTCCAGACTAAAGAAAACAATTGCAAATAAAAAGGCTGGAGCCAAAATGATGGTGGTAGGGCAATGGTGATGGTAGTGGTGGTAGTGATCTGTCACAGACACTGTTCTCTTTTATTCTTCATCACGATTTTTATTTGATATGTTAATTACTTTTCTGATCTTCAAACTAACCCCATGGTGCTTCATACTGTGCTATATACAACAGTATGAATTTTGGTAAGATAATTATTCTTTGGATAAGTAGATGATTTTATCCCTCACCACTTCCATTTTAGTTATTATATTACTATTTCTGTATTTAGCACTGAAGTTTGTCTTAAAATTTCTTTACAGTACATTTTCTATAACCACATTGTCAAGTACACAAAAGGTTATTTTCCACATTTTTACCTCACGTTAAAGTGTGAAGATCTGCACAGGAAATTAATCGATTTTAATTGTTTTTAATGGCAAGCTTATTAAAATAGGTTGTAATTAATAAATTGACAGACTTGCATAAATTTCTTTGTCCAAAGTTGAAGGGAGAGTATTCAGTCTTGTGTTTTCTTTTCTTTCTTTTCTCCCCCTTCCTGATCTTTTTGTTGTGAAGGGGTCACGTAAGGACGTCCGTGGAAGAGCTCCGTGCGCCATCTACTGACGGAATCTAAATGTCCAGTATTTGGAGATTGGGAGTAACTACGTTGGGTTGTTAGAGCATTCTTTGAGGAAGGAGGGGTACTGGGAAAATACCCTTTCAGACTCTATGGCTTATTAGTGATTGCTGGAATAAATCTGAATTCAGCAAACACATAATTCAAAAAAGAGACCTCTATCTGTTGTGCGGGTACAAGTTTTGGAGACAATCTCAAGAGAGTCCGGTGGCTGGCGCCGGAAGAAGTTAAACCCTGAAATGAACTCAAACGGGGAATGGGATTGTTGTTTTTTGCCTGTGTCCTGAGCTACACTCGCTGTTAATGGTTACTTCTTAATAAGAAATGGCTTTACTAATGGCACGTCCAGATAACCTTTAGTTTCCAATACTATTATTACAAAGGACTGCTCTCAAATTTGATTATTTTATGAAAAGTTTAATAATGCACAATAAATAGGTCCCCCCTTCACGTAGATACTACCCACACAGCTTGTCTCTGCGAATATAAACGTAGTCCTTGTACATACATACAGACACAGCGACGCATATACCTACAGGATGATATGCAGTTATGTATATGTGTGTCAGTTGACAAATCTAAGCCCTTGGATTTAGATTAAAATGTTTCTACCTTCAGTCGTTTGCTCCATTCTATGCTAAATCCTGTAGAAGGCTGGGAAGAACTGGGGACCTCAAGCCAAAGAAGTTTCTTGATTATAACTGACAGGCAGCGGAATATCAGTTTTAGGGAATCAAAAGTTGAGTTGGAAGGCTGCTGGTTTGGAAACTAAGGTTGGTTCCAAGTGGTCCGACCTGATTCCCAGGATCTTTGTGAGAGCTGCTGGGAGAACTGAAAATTAACAGCGAGGACACAGGACGCCCTAGGTAACGTCCTCCCCGCTATTCTGCTCTTCTCAATTCAAGGGCCGAGACAACTTGCTTTTGTGGAAAAGGGAAGTAAAGGGAAAAGAGGAAAGCAAGGAAGTTCAGTCAGAAAGAGGAAGAGGGACAAAGAGGAAAGAAAGGGACAAAGAGGAAAGAAAGGGACAAAGAGGAAAGAAAGAGGGACAAAGAGGAAAGGCAAGGAGAAGAGAAGGAAAAATCAAGGTTCAGCAAGAAGTTGGAAGGCGAGGGAAAAAGGGGAGTAAAGAGAAGGCAAAAGAGGTCTAAGGGCTAGGAAGATGCAAGGATCTTTTTTTAACGAACCAAAGTCACATCCATCTTTCACTTTCAAATCAATCGTCTAGATCTTATCCGTTTCCTTTTTAAAGGTTATCTGCGTCTGTAAAGGAAGCCAGTAGTTGATACTCCTCTCCGCGCCCCACGCGTGGCCGCGCTGTTCTATCTCCGGCCACTGAGATCAAATACAACGCGAGTGAGAACATTTGCAGAGGCGCGACTCTGGGAACACTCCTGCGACTGGCTGTCACCCGGGAGTCTAACCGGATTAATACTCAGAGATGGATTACGCTGGTTGTCACCAATACGCCTAAAGATTATAATCCAATTTACGCACATTACAGTCAGTATTAACTTTATCTGCTATTTTAAGACTCCCGGTTGCCCCGCGCGTCCTCAGAGGACAATCCTCCACGTTCTGATGCAACTCAGTAGGCTGTCAGGAGGGGAAGCCCCCCGAAGAAAACAACTCCAAGCCTGGTCCCCGAGGGTCTGTACCCGGCACTCCCAGGTGTCTTGCTTTCACCTGGGCACCGCTTTATGAAGCTTCCCAGCCGGGGATTACCAAAGCGGAAGGCGTTCCCTTGCAAGGAAATAGCATCCTTGTTTCTCCCTTGTTCATTTCATTTTCAAATTTTCGGTGGCGGTGGCAGAAGGGCGGGGAGTGAGGGTGGCGGGCGGGTGCCTGTGAGTGGATGGGGCAGGGGGCCAGGGGATCGTTGCGGGTTAGAACAGCCTCAGTCATTGCTATTTTCATGCTCGTTTTTTGCAGGATGGCATTTCTCTCGCTCTCTTTAAGTAAGTTTGTTTGGGTGTGAGTTCTTGTCTTTTCAGCACAAAACCACAGAAATACGTGGTGGAAAGTAAAAGAAAGCCCACTCCCTCCTCCCCGTGCGTACTAGCTAAGGACTTGATTTAACACCCCCTCTCCGGCTGCTGAGGGCTCTAAGCAGTGGCTACATTCCAGCAGTTTTAATCCGTTTTTTATTGTAGGGCGAGCAGAGTTTACACAGGGGCTGGGATGGCTCCCCAGCTGGCCGCTCTCCCCACTCCTGCGTCCCCTCCCTGCCACCCCCCCAGCAGGAACCTGTTACTTTAAGCGAGGCTTTCCAGTGTGGCGCTGCGGGCCGCCGGGGTTTCGGGAGGTGGCAGGTGATTGGCTCTTTCGAGCTCCCCCTGGCTCGCTCGCTCTGCCTCCCCGCGCGCTCCGCCCCGCCCGCAAGCCCTCCCTCCGCCCTGTGAGGCTCGGAGCCCGGGTGTCAGGCGCCACGGCGCATGCTCCGCAATCATCTTCTTTACCCTGGAGCTGCTGCTGCTGCTGCTGCTTTTGCTTTTGGGGCTGAGTTTAATAAGCGAGCGAGCGAGCAAGCGAGCGCGGGGGGAAAAAGGCAGAGAATGTCCGCCATCTACCCTCCGCTCCTGGGCGCGCTCTCATTCATAGCAGCCTCTTCATGAATTACAGCTGAGGGGGGGCGGAGGAGGGGGGGGTACCACACAACACCCCAGCAAACCTCCGGGCCCCCAGGCATGGCTAGCTCGGTAAGTACGCGCAAAAATAATAATAAAAGCCCTCCCCCACTTTCCTTCCTCGCCCTGCGCCGCCGCAGCCCAGACAGCGCCAGCGCTCCGCGGTTCCAATTAGAGAAAGGTTGGTACGGCTTGCAGGGAGCTGCCGCCTCTCCCTCAGCCTCCGCTCCCCTCCTCCCCCACCCCCCCCCGGCGCGCACACAGACACACAGACACACACACACTCACACACGCTCACACTCGCCCCTCCACCCCCCGCGCCTCCCTCCCTCCTCGCCTCTTTGCAGTCACAAGAAGCGCACTCACACACTCCCTCTCGCTCACACGCGCGCACTCACACACACACACACACACGGTGGAAGGAGGCGAATAATAACTCAGCCATATTTCAGCCGCCGCCGCCGGGAGCTGCGGGCACAGTCCGGGGACGCGGCGAGCAGCCTCGGCGGCCGCACCTCCGCAAAGCGCCGCGGCCGCTACGATGGTGCGTTCTCCGCGGCGCGCGTGTGTGAGCCGAAGTGTGCGGGGCTGACAGCGGCGGGGCCGCACGCAACTTTGCCCCAGCGCCGGGAGGTGCTGAGCGCGAGCCGAGGCTCGGCGGCTGTCCGCCCGCCGCCCTGCCTTTCTGAATTTCATTTTTTGGGGGGAGGTGGGAGATACTTTGGAGCCACTTGGGCTCTTGAAAGTGTGTTGCGGGGGCTCGGTTCGACTGGCCTCGCCGATCGCGTGGGGCTTTTCGCTGGGGGGTGCGGGGTGCTCTAAGTTATGGATGCCTCGGCGTGTTTTCCTGCGGGCGTGTGTGTGTGTTTCAGTGTGTATGACGACGTCTCATTTTTGTTGTGCACGAACCCCGTGGCAAGAGCACGGGAGTTTGTGCCCATCAGCAGAGGCTGCCTGTAGTTTCCATTTCGCCTGGCACAGCGCTCCACACGCACGCACACACACGTACACAAAGACTTCCTCGGCGTGTGCCTGTCGCCGCGGTACTTTCGGGGAGGGGGCTCGCCAGGAGCCCTTCGGTCCCCCTGGGTCCCAGCCACCTCCCCTCCCACGCCGGGAAACCGCCCCGGCATCGCCTTCTGATTTGTTTCCGATGCATTTGTTGTCGTGCTTGTCGTGGCTGAGTGTGTTCTCCCTCTTTTCCCCGACCCCCTTCCCGACTGGGGATAACATTCCGTTACAATCCTGTCCGATGTAGATGCGGGGCCCGGGGCGCCTGGGGCCAAGCCGGGCCGGGCGGGCGGGTATATTTGGGGGTGTGGAGTGTGCGCGCCCACGCGCGTGAAACGTGGATGCAGAGGGCACCGCCGTTTCCTTTTATGTGCGTTTCAAGAAGGAGGAAAAAAATGTCAGGCGCAACGTTCACTGCCGAAACCTCGCCTTCCTGTTATTCACGGCTGTCTCTCCTCCCCCTGCCCGCAGTGTGCCGTGCAGGTGAAGCTGGAGCTGGGGCACCGCGCCCAGGTGAGGAAAAAACCCACCGTGGAGGGCTTCACCCACGACTGGATGGTGTTCGTACGCGGTCCGGAGCACAGTAACATACAGCACTTTGTGGAGAAAGTCGTCTTCCACTTGCACGAAAGCTTTCCTAGGCCAAAAAGAGGTAGGGCTCGAATACAAAAGGGTCTTGATAAAAAATGTCTTTGAAACAATCGCTTGGCCCGGGCGGTCCCGCTGTCCCGCTCCCCGCCCCCCGCGCCGCGCTCGCCGGCGTAGCCTCGGGATCCGGGTGCGCGGCGCCGCGCGGGCCAGGTCCCGGCTCCCGCCTGCCCGCGCGCGCGCCACTTCGGCTTGGTGAAAGTCACCGCAGAGAAAGGACCGTCAGGTGTCGAGTGTTTATTCATCCCAAGCCAGCCCTCACCAGTCCTCTGGGGTTAGCCGCGGGTTCTGTGGGGAAGGTGCAATTAGTTGTTGAGTTTGGAGATGTGGGGAATCGGGCTGGAGGGAATAAACACTTTGCGCGTGTGTGTGTGTGTGTGTGTGTGTGTGTGTGTGTGTGTGTGTTTTCCTAGAGAAATTAAGATTTACCTGTGTTATTAGCAAAGAATGTATTGGATGTAGTTATTGTTCGGTCTTGGCAAGTCGGTTCTCTTTAGGGTCTTCTGTGCTTTCCTGTCTGTGTATGAGGCACCAGGTGCCAGTTGCCATAGACTTTTCTTTTTGTGGCTTAGCCACCGCCACACCCACTCCAGTCTGGATTTTATGTTTACTTGGGGGGCTTACTCGTTCCTCCCTCCCACCCCCGCGTGCCACTTGACTGCTCCTTTGATTCTGAGCAACGTTCCAAAGTGTCTGCCGGATGTGATCTGCAGGGAGACTGTTCTTGCAAAGGTCGAAGCTAAGTTGAAGAGGAACGATGTGGAGGAAGCCTTTTGCTTTAGTCCCTCCCCACCTTGGTTCTTAGCCTTGGAGTCTAGTTTGCATAATCCTACTGGGCCTCTGTGGTCCCAAACATTTTCCATAATGGGCAGGACAGTTTTGGAAAAAAGAAACGGAGTGTCATTTTGAAAGAAATTTAAAGAGGGTTTGAGAAATACCGATTTCTTTTCCCTTCAACCTCTGGAAAACTAATGTCTGGTTGTTTTAGTTGGATTAGTGAAGGTAACAGTACAAATACAATAAGGTGCTTTGTTTGTGAGCAGGTTTATTTATCTAAGTCGACACAATGGTTAGTAGTTATCTTCCATTTGATCCGTAATCTTTATTGGCATCTAGAACTCCTGTCGTTTCTTAGAGTAATATCATAATAAATCCATTCTGCTTAGAGCTGTGTGGAAATTATTGAACATTCAGGGGGCTGAATAAAGAAAGGAGAAGCGTCGTGTGCCTTAGAGGTGGCAGAGGTTTGTATTGGTGCTTAGTTTTGTTTCCAGAGCTCATGTAATGGGAAGTAGGATTGTATTTTTTGCCTTTAGTGGTTTGGTTTATAACTCCTCCTGAAAACTTGAACGGTTGAATTTGATGGTCTTTGTTGGATGGTTAATAAATAAATCCAGTTTCTTATAGAGGGCTAGAAATATGCATGGCCTATAGGAAATAACATTTGAAATTTGTTAGCATTTTATGTTAAAATATAGTCAGAGATTATTATATTTCATATTTCCTCCAAACTGTGGTAAGGATGAGCGATGTCAAATTTCTATCGCTGATGAGGTTGATATGCTGCTTCTCGGATTCTCTCTCTCCCTTTCCATGTGTCTGTAGAGCAGAGGAGTTTAAACAAAAGAAACCACTTTCTAAGATCCTTGGTACACATTATTACTACTACTTGGCTGCAGTTCACTTCAAGGTGAAATAAGCTTTTAAAAAGCAACATTTATTAGGAAAATTAACTCAGTTGGCAGAAGATGTAGCTCTTAAGGTAACTTTGTTTAGGCACCTTGACAATCAACAAATTGGCATTATGAAATTAAAGATGATCAACCTCTATTTTACCATTGTTTTTCTGCTTCAGTGGATGTGTGCATTGATGTTATTTTTATTTCCTATACTTAATGATTTTCTGTCTGCCCTGAGGGAACATGAGGGTGCTGCTCACATAGGCCACACCTGGGAGTTGTTGCTAGGCGTGGTAAGCTGCTTGATAGCAGTGATGACTTCTCAGAGGTCTCTGGTGAGAGATGTCTGCTTGTTGGTTGGATTCCTCAATTTTTATACTCAACTGTGGAGGTTCTCTATGCAGTCTATAAGCCATTGTTTTAAAATGTTTATTTTTGGATTTTTATTTGTATGCGTGCTTCCCATGATGTGACAAGTCCTGGGAAAAGTGCCAGCTTACATCACCCAGGAGAGACCTTGTCATACTGTAATTACACATGATTCAGATTGCAAGAGAAGGTTTCTCTGTTCATTGGGAATAGTTGTAAGTTCAAGCAACACCAAACATGCCACTTAATCCTGGGACTTATTTTTTGGCTTATAAAGTCTTTCAAAATGATAAGAATAAATATAGAATAAGAATGCCAAGAATTTGTATGTCTACTTCCAGTACCTTTTAAAGTGTTATGTTAGCTATATTGTAGATCTATAAGTGATAGAGTAAAATTCTACCAATTGGAAATTGGAGAAACTGAAAATATGAATTTGTGAGAAATCTGAGTTATAAGATCTTTAAAAGAAATGCTCATATTCTATAATAAATAAGCTGTGTTGGCTATAGTGACAATCTAAATCACTTTCACTGTATACAGTAGCTGCTAAACAGAGATGAGCCTTAGGACTGAGGATGAACTGCTCAGCCACAAAGATGAAAGAGTCCTTAGTTTTGTAAATCTTTGGTTTGGAAAAGTGAATTGATTTTCAGGTTGATTTCCTTTACTTCACAGTAATATTAGAATTTGTAGGAGAAAAAATTATAGTATTTTTAACTTGTTGCTTAATGAGAATTATGTATACCATTTCAGAATTGAGCTAATTGGATTTGAATTAATGAGGTTTTACTCTGTCACAAAGATGGGTGGGAGACCTTCAATTTAAAACTAATGGCACAAAATCTTAGAAAAGAGATTTTGATGAAATGGTGAAGCCTGGAATGTCTATTAGCCATGACAAAACAGGTAGGTCAGAGTATGATGCATTTTTAAACTATTTACCTGCAAAAAAAGACAATATCTTATTTATTAGTACCAAAGATTTGTACTAGTCTGATATGACTGAAATGAATAGTCACATTCAAAACATTTCTTTTAAAATATTAATGTTTTTGTTTTTAGTATGATGTGAATTTGAGTGAACTTTTTTTCCAGTTACAGCCATCCTTACTATTGCAATTTGTTTCACTGACATTTATGATATGAAATCTGTTGCTTATTATTTTATGGAAGCTAATTTGGCCACTGGTAGGATTTGATAGCTTTTTATTTGTAGCCTTAGTCCTTTGAGTGGGCAGATAAAGCTTAATAAATCCACTCTAACAATTTTCCTTTAAGTGTATGAGGCCAGCTTTACTGCATAGTTTTGATTTGTGTTAAATGGTCTTCTGAAATAATTTGGGTAAGTTTTTATCAAGGTAACTAATACTTGAGGGCTTACTAGCTGAAGACGTTGTGTGCATCTGGTATATTTTCTCTTCAGAGTCATTTAAAAGATATAAGGAACAAAATGAAGATGAGTGACTGTTCTGATAGATTCAGCGAGTGTTATTTGTGTAGGGTTCTGTATGAAATTTAGATGACCAGTGAGAACAGTTTTACTGCTGTGCATTTTGAAGCACATAAAGTATAATTTTCCAAGGCACTTAAAAGCTGAATTGTTGGTGGAAATCTCATATTCTGTGGGTGAGAATGTAAATCGGGCAGGGGTATTTTGGAGAACATTGGCAAGGTCTATTAAGATTTTTAATGTTTATACTGTTTAGCCTAGCAAATTTACTTCTAGGAATTTTCTGACAAATATGTTCTCACAAGTACACAAAGATACAGCATGTTTCTTGTGACTGTTTTTGTAATAGTCAAAATTTGGAAGAAAGCCATATAGGGGCCCTCAACTGGATACAATTAAATGATGATAATCTATAAAAAGAGGTATATCTATTTGTAGATGCAGGAAGATCTTCAAGAATAATTAAGTGAAATAAGGCAAGTTGCTAAATCATTGTGATCTCATTTTTTCAAAAAAGTGCTTGTGCAGATAAGTATACGTATGTCTATACAAGTGTATGTCTGTAAATAAGTAAATTTGCATTAGCGGGCATCAAACTCTTACTAGTAGTTTAGTAGCTACTTGTGGTGGTGATGGGAGGTTATTTTTGTAGTGTTTGATTTTTTTTTAAAGTTAACTCCGTATATTTAAAACATTCAATGAGCACACATAACTTTTTAAAACTGAAAAAGAATAAAAAACCAATATAGAATATTGTTTTAAAAATAGGGATTAGCATGTAGCTATCTAAAAGTTAAAGATCTAAAAGTGATCTTTAATATCTTGGGTAGATATTGTTGCTTAAAGATGGAGAGAATTTAGGGTTAGGAATTACAGACTTGTATTCAAATGTTGGTTTAAGAGACTCCTTGTATGGTTTTGGACAAGTTACTTCTGTGTCTCTTTTCTCATTTGCATTATGGAAATGATGATAAAATAGAACTATTACCTCATAAGTTGAGGTTGAAATGTAAATCAACTGTTTTCATACTTATTGGGCTTAAGATCCTTTTACACTTACAAATTGAAGAACGCATAGAGTTTTTTTGTGTAAGTTATATCTATTAATTTTAGTGTATTAGAAATTAAAATGGAGACATTTTAAAGAAATTAATTTGTCTAAAGGTAGTAACCTATTATATGTTAACATACAGGTAACATTTTAATGAAAAATGAACATTTTCTTAAAAACAGTGACAAGAGGGGCATTGTTTACTTTTCTTTTCTTTTTTTTTTTTTTTTTCAAATCTCTTTGTTTTAATAGAAGACAACTAGGTCCTCTTACCAGCTTCTCTTTTCAGTCTATTGTGTTATCACATGTCCTGTAGCCTCTGGAAAACTCTGCTACACACTCACGAGAGAATGGGAAGGAAAAAGGCACATAACTTAATAGATTTTATTATATATATAGATTTAACGTCACCAATCACCTGAAAAGATCATAGGGATCCTGAGATCCTAACTCTACACTCCGAGAACTGCTGGTAGAAAGTATTCAGCCTACAATCTGGCACACATAAATTGCCCAATACATGGAAGCTGATTGTTATTATTGTTGCTAATAAAAACTTATTTAATGGAAAGAGAAAAGGTAAATCTTCCAAGGTATTTGCCTCATTAAATTCCGGTGAATGATTACCTAACAAAATTGTTTTCAGAAAAGGATAATTTAAACTTGGGTTTTTCTGGGCATATTTTATAGCTACTATTACTATCCATTCTTTTTTTTTTTTTTTTTTTTTTTTTTTTTTTTTTTTCACATGGTCTGGCCCTGTCACCCAGGCTGGGTTGTAATTGCGTGATTTCAGCTCATTGCAACCTCCATCTCCTGGACTCAAGCCATCCTCCCATCTCCTGGTCTCAAGCCATTTCCCAAACAGCTCAGACTATAGGCGTGGACCACCATGCCTGGCAGTTTGTGTGTGTGTGTGTTTTTGGTAGAGATGGGGTTTCACTATGTTGCCCAGACTGGTCTCCAACTCCTGGGCCCAGGTGACCCACCAGCCTCGATCTCCCAAATTGCTGAGATTACAGGCATGAGCCATTGTGCCCGGCCTATCACTGTCCATTCTGTGATGCATTACCTGAATTATGCAGAAGTCTTTTATATTCATTATTGTAGGTGCCCCTCTGTAGAACTACCTATCTTTATGAAGTAGGCCAGGCAGGGATATCACTTGGTTTGATAATTTTGCCTTAAAGGTCCTTTGTTCCTTCTCTTGGTTCTTTGAAGTTTCTTTCTCATGGGTCTTCCATGGACCAACCTTGGCCCCTTTCTTGCCTTTCTAGTCATTTATTACAGGTAATCCCCACTACATAACATCACTTTTACAGTTCTAAGATATAGAACTTTTCTTGTTTTGAATCTTCAAAAGAGATGTCATAGAAGCTGGGAAATTACATGGCACAATTTTGTGGTGTAGCTTTTATGAAGAACCTTGTTCATTTTTTTAAACAAATGAAATGTTTTTTTTTTCTAATTTGTAGATATTTGTTCATTGTAGAAAAGTCAAACCATGGACGAGTTATCTGAAATTTTCATATATAACTATAGTTAATATTTGTTAGACATCTTTATATATATACACATACACATCAATATTAACTATTAACATTCATTCATTCAACAAGTGTGTGCTTTTTTTTAGCTCCTACTATGTGCGTGCCTGCCTACCTCCCTCCCTCCCTCCCTCCCTCCTTTCCTTCCTTCCTTCTTTCATTTTGGGACAGGGTTTCCCTCTTGTCACCCAGGCTGGAGTGCAGTGGCATGATCTTGGCTCACTGCAACTTCTGCCTCCCGGGTTCAACTAATTCTCCTGCCTCAGCCTCCCGAGTAGCTGGGATTATAGGCATGCGCCACCACGCCCGGCTAATTTTGTATTTTTAGTAGAGACAGGGTTTCACCATGTTGGCCAGGCTGGTCTCAAACTCCTGACCTCAGGTGATCCTCCCGCCTTGGCCTTCCAAAGTGCTGAGATTACAGGCATGAGGCACCGCGCCCGGCCCTAGCACCCTTCTTAGAGCTGGAGATAAAGCACAGAGGAACATTCCTACCCTTGTGGCATATCATCTTTTAAAATTGTTGGATTTTTCTGGTATGACATTGTATATGGATTTATTATACTTCTTTTGGATTGTTCCCAGTTTTGATTTGTTATGAATAGTGCTGTGGTGGACATCTTTGACATTCATTTTAATGGTTTTTCTAATAATTTGTTTATGTTAAATTTCTAGAAGGGAGGTTGTGGAGTCAAAAGGTATACAGAGTTAAAATTTTGTTATATATTACCAAACTTTCCTCCAAAAAGATTGTCCCAGTTTATATTTCCTCAGGCATATAAACTGGAAATTAACAGCTTAAAAAAATCTTTGCCAATCTGTGTGGAAAAACTGCCTCATTTTGGTTTGCATTTATATGATTAGCAGTGCCACATATCTTTCATTATGTATTTATTTACCGTTTGTCTTTTGTGATGTGCCTTTTTTGTCCTTTGTAGTCCATGGCTGCTTTTTTAATTAAAAAAAAAAAAGCATGGGGAAATGCAGAGAATGATATAACAAACATTCAAATCCCCACTACCAAGAATGAATAAATGTTTACATATTATCTTATTTGATTCCTTGTTTGGATTCTGGAGAATTAACTATTATAGATGCAGCTAATGTTTTAAAATGCTTCCCAGCCTTTTCTTCCAACCCTTCAGTCTGTCTTCCATTCTATTTATTTTGCACATATATGTTGCTTACAAATAATAATGTATTGTGTCTTAAAATCAACGTGAAGAGGATCATGCTAGTGAATCTTTTTTTTACAATTGAGATATAATTCACATGCAAAATTTACCCTTTTAAAGTGTGCAAGTCTGTGGTTTTTAGTATATTCATAAGGTTGTGTAACCATTGCCATTATTTAATACCAGAATATTTTTATGAGTGAATACATTTGCATCTTGCTTTTTTCCCCCACTCAATTCTGTTTCTGAACCTGTCCACATTTCATCTATAAAGAGCCACGTCATTCTCTTTAATTTCTTCTGCTTAGTATTTCATCATGGGAATATATTGTATACTTTACTTTTCTGTTTTCCTATTAAGAAATAAATAGGTCATTTTCTGTTCTGTGCAGTGAGCATCTTTGTGCATGTTACCTTGTGCAGATGAACAAGGGTTTGGACATAGGCCTAGATTTTGAGTTATTGAGTTGTGGGCACGTGTGTCTTCATTTGTACTAGCTGCTGTCAGATTGCTCTAAAAAGTGGTTCTGACAGTTTATACTCTGTCAAGAAAATGAGTACCATTTTTCCTCTATATCTTTGCCAATTTTGGCTATTTTAATATTTCCTATTTTTCAGAGTTGAAATTTGGTATCTTTTTGTTTTCATTTACATTTCTCTGGTTCCTGGTGGGATTAAGCATTTTATATATATATATTGACTATTTTGATTTCCTCTTTATTGACTTCTTTTTATATCCTTTTTCTTAAAAGAAAAGATTGGGTTGCTTGTCATTTTCTTGTTTGTAGGATGTTCTTCCTTTGTTATTTTTGTTGAAAATATCTTGCCTCATTTTTTTCTTTTATCTTGATTTATGGTATCTTTTTGCCATATGCAAGCTTTTAATTTTGTCAAACTGATGTGCTTTATTTTGTTTTGTTTTCCTCTCTGGGCTTAGGGTCTTATTTAAGAATTTAGTTCGTGGCCATAGTAATGTGCTTAACCAAAAGGCAATATATATGTAGGATACAGTGAAAGACTGAGGGAGATACAAATAAGAGTAAGAGGAGGTCCCTGCCTTCAGTGTGCTGTGTCTTTTTAGAGCTGGAAAGGACACTTGAGATTCTTCATCTTCGATTACCCTTTCATTTTACTTTTAATCAGAAGCCTAGAAATGTGGAGCAATCTTGCATGTAGACACAATGAGTCACAAGTATGCCTGTGCAAAGATAACTAGTAATAAATGGTGGTCAATGTTTACTTTTAAAACATTGAGTAATAATTCACTTATATTAGCAGACAAATGTTCAGCAATAGCTGCTTTTGTAGACATGATCTAGGATTTAATTAAGTGGTGGTAACCATGGTAGATGCTGTTTAAAAGGAAAAAGTTCTATAGCTACTTTCAGACAAAATCAAATTCTCTATATGAATTAAAGTTTTCCTTTGAGATTAAATCATTAGAAAAAATTGTTGCTGGGTGGTAGTTATCTCCTGATATTTTGTCCCCAATTCACCCAGTGGTAAGAATTGCAATTACATGAAGGATGCAGGGTGTTGTTTTAAGAAGTAATGTTGCATGACTTAATCCTTTTGACTTAAGTGTGGTAAGTTTGCAGTGGTTGACGACTGAAGAAGGCTATTACGATAGAATTTCTAAAAAGATAAGGCCAGCATTTGGGTGTGATTTAGTTGGTATGTAGCAGTTAACAATTAACTTTTTGGATAAAATCAAGTCACCATTTTTTTTATTAAAGAAAATTATGGCTTATCTTTAAAATAGTGTTCATTAGTGATTATAAATATAATTAGTTACCTTTAATTAGTTACACATATTAGAAGGTTGATATTCTCAAAGCCAAGTTAATTTTTTTCTATTTTAAAATATTTGATTTTGTCAAAACTAGATTTTTTTTCTTTGTTCCTTTCCAGTAGAAATTATTAGTTATTTCCTCATCAATACCAGGCAAAATGCTCTGTGTGTGTATATTGATTTTTAAAAGCAAAATATATATTAACAGTTTCCTGAAGTATTAATAATAATAGCAGTGGCTTGGAGAGTAGGGAGGTAATTTGCCTCTTAATGTTTTCAGATATAAATTTTGTCTGAATGATGCCTTTTCATTTTTGCAGATAGGTTTTTATGTCCCATTTCCCCTGCCTCCCTCCAAGGATGGTACTGGGGATAGAATACTGTCTGATTATTCCAGGTATCTATTCATTTGATAAACATGTAAAACACTTTGGGTGTTTAAAAACCAGGTTCATTGTAGACTTTATATCATCTTTACCCTTTACCACAAATACTTCATTAATATGAATAATGAAAGCTAAATAATTACGACCTTTTTTATATTGAAGAAACATTCTTCTATTTCACATAGTATTTTCCTTCATTTTACTTATTTCTCTGTTTCTCTATAATAAGCAGCTGTTTTATAGAGTCAATGAAACATGGGGGATTTGGGCTGTTGAGATTTAGTTGCATTGAGTGGAACACGTTATTTGAAAATGTTGACCCAGTTCAAGATTGTCTGATGCTTGTTGTATGACTTTTTCTCTGTATGCACAGAAATAGTAACTAGTGGGCTGGAAGCTAACTTCCCTCATTTTATGGAGCACCAAAGCAGCACGTGTTATGTGTTACATGCTTTCATTAGACCAACACTCCCTTCTCTTTGTATATGTTATCTCTTTTTCCTCCTGTGTTGCATTAGAGTTACACATCAGAAAGGATGGGACCTATGTTATCACTGTAGATACTACTTATAGCTCCATCAATGTAATGTCTTGACCCTGGAATTTTTTGGCAACCGTATAAAGGCAGGTATTGCAAGTCAGAAAAAGGGTTTTAGAATCCCTGGCTTTACTTTCCACTCCTGTAAGTTATAAATTATTACTCAGATTTCTGAAACTCATTTCTTCTGCACCTCTAATAATTGACTTTGTGTAAACAGAACCACCACTTGAATTTAGCAGGAAACATTGTGTCTGCTGAGAATCACATTTTCTAGAATGTGTTCTAGCATTTGTAATAGGCAAAAATGAATTTTTCTCTTTTCTCTTTTTTCCCTTATTCTTTCTTCACTTACTTTGGATGCTTAAAAAGAAAAGCTAGACACAAACTTGAAGGACTTGGCCAGCTCTATCATTTTTTTACTACCTAATCCATGAAATACAACCAGCCTTTTAGCTTTAAAAATAAGAGTCTAATGTAATTCCAGTAACTGGTAGGAGCAGTATTTAGCAGTGTGGCAGGAAAGGCCCTGGCCTGGGAGGTAGAAAGGATGTGTTTGGACTGAATAAGCTGTGTGGGCTTTTGCAGCTCTGAAAATACTGTTTTTCCTTTAGTTTTAAAAAGGATAAATTCTGCAATTGTCATTGATCTAGTGTTTTTATAACAATGAAATAATAACTACCCTTTATTAAATAGCTATATTGGTTATCATGCTAGACAATAGACATGTGGAGTATTTAATTTCTGACTCTTCCTAAGTAGTAGTTCGGAGAATGATATTCTTGAGAAAATAAAATACCAATATATGAACATCAGTGTATTGGAATTTTATCCTTTCTTATGGTGAATGGACAGTGAAATGGGTGAAAGACTTGCTGCAGTAATAGGGAAGTAGAAGATAACATGAGTAATTCACCAAATAAGGGATTAAGTTACACTTGTAAAAGTTAATTTCTGATCATATCGGTGCCATTCACCTCAACCATCAACTATTACTTGTAGATTGGAGCATTTCAAGAACTCAGAAGACCACCCAGTGTTGATAGGAAACTTCTTCCTCAATTATGGCTCTTGACCATGCCATTAGATCGTTGGGTTTTTCATGCTTTTTTGTCTTTTACATAAAATAGACCTTGAAATTGTGTCACTTAATTTGCTTTTCTGAAGTATCACTTACCAGATATTACTTGTGTTTTTATTATCAATAGAGTAATAATTGAGGACTGCCCATGTAAGCTAATTGAGGGCTGTCTGTATTATCATGTGAACAGATTAGAAGAAAGTATATGAAATTTTTGATCATCCAACATACTTGCATACATACATATAAGAATAAATAGGGTTTTCTATTTAATAATTCAAATGCTGAATTGAAGTTGTTTTGAAAAGCAAGTACTTTTCTACTCTTCAGTTGTAACATGCTGTATAACTTTTAGGTCAAAGAAAAAATAATTTTAGTTAGCATTCCAATTCTGTAAAGGAAATTGTCAAGCAATTGACTAGAGCCGATAATTTATCCAAAAATACACAAATGCAGACATTTAAAATAGAGCTGCAAATAAATAGGAATTTTCTTACATTGTAAAGGCTAAACAATAGCTTATAGTTAATGCTTCTTGACAGAGTATCTTTTTTAGGTTAACATCATTGATTCAGTTCATTTTCTGTGTTAGAATGGCTAGATTTGTTCATCTTTACCCCACATTTTGAGAAGTATGTGATAGATAAAAATACATCACTGAAAAGATGGGAAGAAATACTATCGTAGAATGTTAATATAAGTGATCTCTGGGACGTGGGATATCAGGAACTTCTTATTGTTGTCAGTAAAATTCGTTGGCTTTTTCAAGTTTTCTTGAATGACTCATATTATGTGAAAGTAAAACTAGTATTTAAATGTATGTATGGGCACATTTACAATAAGATTTTTAGTTTTTTCTACAAGTAATTTGGAACATGATTAAGACTGTCTTTCCCAAGAAACATTTTCAAATTTTGCTATTTGACATTTTTGCCACCTTGTCGTTTTGAGTCTTTTCCTTTAATGTTACTATGAGTATTTGCACAATGTTTCATAAGTTGATCGTAAGCTTTAAAGGGAGACATGTAGATAACGTTCTTACCTTTCTTAACATTTTGTATTGAAGTTATAAAAGTAATGAGATTAACCTGATTTATAAATGTGTATTCATATAGGATAGTCTTGGTAACAGAAAGATACCCATGTGTAATATATCAGTACAGTATACATTTTTGGAGTACTTAGGAATGTTTTGAAAAGTTCTGGCCCTTTTTTCCTGTGGAGTTTTGATAACTTTGATAATTAACATGTCTATCTTGCTGTGTAGTGTTAAAAATTTTTCTAGAGCCTACATCTGACTTTAAAAATCAACTACAAATAAAAAGACTGTCATCATGTTGCTTAGATATATGGTGATTATGTTGAAGAATAAATAGTATTGATAATTGGAAATAAAAGACTCAATTCCAATGTGTGCATCTTTGTATATAATTTGGAAGTTAAACATGAACTTTTAAGAAATAAAAAGTACCAAAACAAGTACCAAACATAAGGCATAGAGAAAAAAAGATTTAGGGCAGAGAAAGAAGTGGTCCTTTTTGGATGGAGAATTCATGCATAATTCCATAAATTCAAACTATTTTGATACTAAGATGATTTTATTAATATTTCATATATAAGCTACAAAAATAACTAGAGGTTTTTACAAAGGGAAATTAGTACATAATTTTATGTTTTATATACAATGCAGATTGATATGAATATTCCTTAAGCATAACTAAAAATGATTTCCGCAAAATGAGGAGGTTAATTTTAGTTGTCTCAAGGGTCTCTCTGCAATCTAAAATTTATCTAATTAAGTCCATGATTTTATAGTCCGTGAGAAAACACATTTGCATTTTGACATTAAACTTTAAAAGTGTACTGTGCACTAATGCATAGCAAAGCTATATGTCAAATAAAAATAAGGGCATTTTCCCTTTAGTAGTAGATGATTTTACAAAATCCATAAAATACAAATAGATTAACTCTACCTTAGAATGTTTGTGAAATATAAACAATGATGTTTATGATCTGGGTATTTCTTATTAGCTGCTTGAATAAAATTGCAACTTCAAATTCTATTTGCCAGCATTTGGAATAAGATTATATTCCATGAACTTAATTTAGTTCTGCTGACAAATTTCTGCTTAACTATGTCTATTCCTTTTGAGAGAATTCTAAATGTGATTGATAATGGCCTGGAATCCCTTCTTCAGGATTAAGGTGTATACAAGAATGAGGAAAATATACTCTTTGGCACAATGAGTACAGATGGCAATGTTTATTTGCTGCTTTTATTAGTAAGTTAATTTATATAGATGTCTTAACTGCAAAAATAAAATAATAGTTTTAAAATTAAGTAATTGTTTTAAAACTTGTTATAACCAAATACCCCAGACACCAAGTTGAAGAGTGGAGAGTTTGAGCAATATGAAGACCTGGTTTGAGTATTGCAAAGAGATTCCAAATTGGCACCAAATTAAATAAAAATACTCATAAAATTTTGTTATAGGACAGACAAAACTATGGTAGATGACGATAGTGTACAAATGGCCCTTATTTGGAGCATATGGAGTGGGAGCATATTTTGCAGTGAAAGAGGAACCAGAGGACAAGGTGTTCTCTACTTGTAGACTTGTAAAGACCTCTGAGTTTTCTTTATGTTATTGTAGAAAGACATTATTTTTGCTTTGGTGTGCTTAAAACTAAAGGGCAAATGATCCAAAAGAATAATCTTGAAATTCAATAGCAAGAGAACTACTTGACATTGTGGGCTGGAGGCCAGCAAACGTGGGGCTTTCATTGAATGCGTGGGAAATGGGGCAGGCCTGGAATTTAAAGAGACAGGGTGCAGTACCCTAGAAAAGAAAAGCCCTCCTGTATGATTTGCTTACTTGGAGAAAAAAAATAGACTTAAAGTTTTCTCTAAAGGATCTTTATTGGATCAACTGTTTAAGGCATTGAAAGACACTGAGTGAATTTTTCCTAACTCCACCTCCCACACTCCCTAGCCATCTTCTCTTGTCTGAAATTGGTGCAGAGTAAAATTGTTTATAACAGAGCACAAGCAGCTTTTCAAATAAAAGTACTTTGTAGCCTGTTCAAATGGAGTATAATGTAATTCTCTCTGAAATTGAGCACTTATTACTTTGTTTATGTAGCTGTTTTAAAAGTACGGGTGGGTGAAGGGGGTACGGCAGGAACCTCTGCTTTAGAAATTACTGTTTTTTTCTGAGTTTTCCTCCCCCATCCACTCATGAATCCGCCTTCACCCCTCCCCCACCTCCTGCAATCCCTCAATAAAATAGTATTTAAAAGACTTGAATAACCAGTCCTATGTACCAGCTTCTTGCTGGAGGCAATAATGTTCTATTTTCAATGGGTGGTCTTGAATCTCCATGGGAGATTTTACAGGCAGTGGGCTCCAAGACCCACTAAGTGTATTATATGAACATAACCAGCTAAATTTCCCAGCCATAGAGAATACGCAGGGATAGTTTTACGTTATTGAATTCTCGTCATTAATTACTTGCAAACTAATTTATTTAATTTTATTTGAAGAAGTATGGTTTAAGTCCCTAAAGTGAAACATATTAACCCAGCATTTGGGAGTTACTTTTTAAAACCAGTAAGCCATTCATAAGTGTGTCAGTTTAGGAATATCCATTCGTGCACATACTTTAATTATTAAATGTTAAGTAATTTGTACTCCTTTACAAAACCAACACTTAGTAATTGTCTTCAAATGCTTAATAGTTGAAGTGAGATTTCTTCTACTTAAGATGGTATAAAATGATGATATAGGACTCATAATCAGAAAGTATGTTTGATATATTTATAATCAATTAGTATCTCTTACCTATGGCATATAGTATAAATGTTATACTAGCTTAAAATCTGACTAAAATTGTTCTGGCCCAAACCTTTGTGGAAGTAAACATGATTGGAATTATGTTAAATACTGGATTAAAATTGTTCTTTAGGCGAATTACTTGAGTAAGACAATATAGTTACATATGCATCATAAATATTGAAATGGGGAATGTTGTGTCATATCTATTCCCACATAACTTAGTTTGAAATTATTTTGGAGCTTCTTTCTAGTATGAACCCGTGGTTATTAACTAGACTAATAAGCATAACTTTGTTGGGTCACTTATTTAAATTACTTTGTTTCCGTTATTCACATTCTTCAGACACTTGATTTATAAATAAATAAATATTTATAAGTCCCAATTAGCTAGATGTCTGAAATACCTGTTTTCCACAGGGTAAGTAGAAAAGAATGTAGGAATAGGTATCTCAGATACATTGATAGTAACCAGATGATGATATGTAATGAGAGAGCTATTTTTGGTTTATTTTGAACAGTGTAAGTAGTTTTTGGTAGGAAATTGTAATCCTTGAGGAATTGAGTTTGTTTCTTTTATAAAAATCATTATACAGTTGTTTTAGGTCTTCTATAAAATGGTATAAATCCTGCAGTTTTCTTCACTGAAAGAATCAAACATCTATGGCTCAACAGTTTACAGCAATGACTAACCATTTGCCTTTTATTTTTTAGCTTAATATGTTCTTGAATAGCTAAAAAGTTTTCCAGTAGTTTTTATAAGTGAGTTTAAAGAAGTGATAGCCATCTGAAGTTTTATCTTGTGTAGCCAGTATTTAAAAGTTATTAAGATTATCTACACAGAAAAAAGATACAACTTACTTCTGGCCATATATGTGAATAAAAGTTTAACATTGTTAAAAATTAGCTTGTCAAGTAAACGTACTGACTGAGGCATAATTTTGTTTTCGTTATCCATTCCGTTGGCTGAAAATGAAATAGAAACGATCTGGTTACTAAAGACCAGTGCTGCATTGGATCACTTCCTTGAGCTTTTGCTATGATCGTTAAAGGCAAAGTTAGACAGCTGCTGTAGGTTTTGCCAGTGGCCTCACAAAATAAATTGTTTAACCCTATTAGTTTCAAACACTATCATTTCTACTTTGCAGATATGCTAGCTGTGTTTTATATGAATCTATATGACTATGATTTGAATTTCTGATTTACAGGAAGGTAGTATAGCAGAAAATGAGTAATTTTAACATGATTATATTTTCATGTCTTGGAATATAACAAATCTCAACATTTTTGCTTATATTGGGACAGATTTAAAAACTTCAGCTTAGACTGTTTAAAGTTAGACTTTGTTTTTTGTATCTGAAGACTTTTAGAAAACTGTGAAAATTGAGTTTGACTTATAATCCTTGATAATTGGATATTTAAATGTCATTTTTAGGCTTGAAGTTCAGAGGAAATACTAACTCATTGACTTTAAAATCTCATCTTGGATAAGTGTAGAGTTAGAATAATACCATGTACTCCTGGAATTGATGTCATAATGTTAAAAATCCCAACAAAATTTCAACAATGTTGGGTCCTTCTGTATAATGTGTTTGCGTTATTGCTATAGATTTAAAGGGCAGGGAAATACTTTATTGTTAAGTCTTAAGAGGGCAAGATTTTGAAACCCACTGCTACGTGATTAAATCAGTGTGTTTGCCCTGAGGCTTCAGCCATTCAATCTGAATTCATAGCCTGAAATTTTGGATACCTTCTGTGTTTGAAAATAATACTTCTTAAACAATTTTAAGACTGCCTTTGCCTATTCACATGAAAACTATTGAGGCAAATTACCAGGGTTAAGATTTTCATGTAATCAAGACTCTCAAGATAAATTTCAGTATTTTAAAGAGAAAGTTCACAGCCACTGTACATAAAATTTTAGTGGGCTTTTCATTAATCTAAAATAACTGGTCTATAAGTACTTTATCAGTGAAAACTGCTCAGCATGTAAAACGAGGAGTAGAAGAGCACAAAGGCTTCCTGCAAATTAAGGGCACAATGAGTACTAACGGACTTTCCAGCCATCTCCAGCTGTGAGATTATTATAGTTTTTGCAAACCCTTTTCTCTCAAAACTAAATCAAGAATGGTAGAGTCCTGATAAAAAGAAGTGTAGAAAAGCCTAACTAATCCTTAGATGAGTTACTTCAAACGTGCCAAAATAGAATAAAATCAGTTAATAGCATAGATTAAGGGTTACTTTTAATGCATTTTTATCACTCACATTGAGAATTTTGTTGTATGTTAATGCATTTGGCCTTAGTTAACAAAATTCAGAGGAAAAAACATAATGAAATTTGAGAGATTACATAATCACATTATTTTGAGGAAATTTAGTACTAAGTTGCGGGTGCCAGATTTGACCTAAGAGGTAAAAGTGGTGTTCTTGAGATCAGAGCTGAAACAGGTGGCTCTAAGTTTTCTGGTTATAAATAGAAGGCTAACCTATATACTTATAAGAGTTGGCTTATTATATAGATTTTGAAAAACAATGTGGCTATATGTCTTTGGATAAATATGTCCAAGTGGTTTCTTGGATAAGATTATAGAAGACTGCCAAAATCAGATCTGGATTAATGTTTCAAAAGTGCTTGATTCTTGCTAATGGTAAAGAGAAAGTGAGAAGGAGAAATTAGAGGCAGATTTTAGGTGCAAAGGTAGTCTTTATTTTATGTATATATCTAAAAATGATCTTTCATATATAGAGGGAGACTATATCATATCTACTTTTAATTCAGAGCCACATGTTAGCCAACTACTGAATTTGTGGAATTATGGCATATTATGATAAAGCTGCCAAAAATACTGGGTTAAGGAAAAATTGATTTGGCATGATGCCATTGGCAGGAGGAATTAAAAAGTGACATGTCTTTCTCTTTTTAGGTGGAGATAAATAAATATATGTGTGCATATGCTGTGTGTGTGTGTGTGTGTGTGTGTGTGTGTGTGTGTATCAAACTTAATAAAACATTGTTACAAGAGCCTGGCAGTAGGAGATTTGATAATCATGTTACATTTGCCACTCCTCCAAGATGCCAAATTCTAAGTGTCTCTATGAGGACTTAACATTTACTTCCTTGTAATAAATGTATTGCTTTTGCAGTGGGATAACAGGAAATAGTTTGACTGTCACTCCTGAGCACATGCGTGTACTATATGGGTTAGGTGTTTGTGTGTCTATGTGCCCATCCCACATATCCCATATACAAATGTAGATTTTTTTATAAGCCATGTGAGAGTAAAGTTCTGTTAATTTATAGTCAAAACATATAATTTGCCCATACATACAATTCCTTTATTGAAATTCTGACCACATTTAACCTTATTGAAAGCTTCTAGCTTGAATGAGTTTTGCTACATTGAATAAATACTATGCTGTATAGTTATTTATGTGCTTAAGAAGCTGAACTTTCATTCCATCCCAGTAAGTTCCCATGGGATAAGTTATTTTAGTAAATCAGAAAATTTCTCTGAAAGCAAAGTAATTCTTAATTTTTGGAGGCTTGAAAATGGAGAAAATAGCCATACGAGTTAGCGGGAAGAAGTTCTCATTGATTCATATCGCTAAAAAATAATTTAAAATACTTGTACTCTTAAATTATCGTGAGGGGGAAGAACCCACCACAGTGCTGCTGAATTGTTTTACTTCTGGGATTATATCTTTGTGTGTTTATAGGAGTGGGAACATTTTATCTTCTGTGTTTCTGTTGAGGTTGTTTTTCAGCAGTGCCCCAAGAAAAGTCCTGGAGTCTAGCTTTGAAGCCCGGTGGACAAGCTGGATATCAAAGAGCCAGAGGAATTCAGCAGTAATTGTTTTATGACTGGCCAGAAATCAGACCTATTTGTATAGGTAGCACACAAAATAGCTGTGATTTGACAATTTGGTGCTATTTATACCCACCATAAAAAGAGAAAAGAAAAAGTTAAAGGGATATTTTGGAAACAGGAACTAAGCTGTAAATGCAAATTGCTTCATTTTCTCAAAGGAACAAAAAAAGAAAGGGTTTAGGAAGTTTTTATTGAAGCTACATTATTGAGGATCTGTCTGCTTTCAGGACACTCAATATTGTACTCACATTGAAACTACACTTCTTTCTGTTTGCAGTTTTTTCCCTATTCCCATCTGACTAAAATTATTTTTGTGGAGCAAAAGAAACTCTGGGGGAGGAGGGATAGTGGAGTCACAAAGTTTCCAACTCTATCTTAGTAGACATTTACAGTTTCATATTGCTGTTGTTATTTAGCTTGGGGTAAGAACAGTCTGCTGTTGCTACAGCTAAGTATTTTTCCATATAAAAGTTACATATTTTCCACAGTCAGTTGCAGATCATTTATTATAGTGAAGTGTGAGACTTTGCTAGGTAAGTTTTCATGTGTTTTTTTAGAAACACGCAGAATAAACTTTCTACTTTCTATGACTATTTTTGATCTGGAAGCCAGAGACATCTTTTTGAATACAAAACGCCTTAATTATTTGTTCCTCTCACCTGGAGAATATTCTGAACTAAAGGTGGGCAGTGTATCATGGTATGTCTCTACTTAAGTGGGTAGCCCAAAGTGAAGTTTGTTTCCAGAATGTCATTCTGACGTTTTGACGTTGTCAAATGCTTCATTGTTTTGCCTCCAAACCCCAGCCCCTAGAGCAATCTGAGTCTGGGGGCAACGGTGCAGAGAAAAAGCAAACATGTCTGTGATTGACTACACTTTTTTTTTATTTAAAGAAACCCTAGAAATGCCTTAGGGACCCCTGGGGCTTTGTCACAATTTAAAGCCATTTTACCATTGAAGGTGCCGTTGAATTTTGACTGTATTAATTTGCTTTGGTTTAAATTTTTTCCCATTGGATTCTGATTCTCCCATAATAAGTAGAGTGATCTATGTCATGTATACCTTACTTTCTAGGGGAAGGCTCTATAGTTATGGCTGGATGAAAATAGTTCACTGGGGTAGGATAAAAGAAGTGGAAATGGGTGGAGATAATTGGGTGTTCAGGCAGTCAGTTCTGGCTTTGAAAGAAGAGTAAGGTTTAAGATGGTGTGTGAAGGATCAGAAGCTTCTGAGTAAGGATTTAAAATGGGAATCTCCCAAAAGCCTAAAATCTAGTTGGATTTCAAGGTGGGTTCCTTAATCGGGAAATAGGTGACATCACTCTATAGAGAAGAAACATTTGGATTGCTGTTATTCCTGAGGAGTGTGAACACTCAGATGGGAAAAGAAGGATACATCCTTACAGAATATTTTCATGGGTTGAGAATGTACACCAGTTGGGGTTGGTTAAGGAAGGGGTTGTATTTCTAAAGTATTGATTACTTATTCAGCCAACATTGAGCACCATCTATGTGCCAGGCACTGCAGTAAACATGGAGGATAGCAACAAAACAGACGTGGTTCTTACCTTCTGGAAATGCTTAGTCTGGCATCAGGCATGTTTTCCATACACACAAACACAATAACAGCACAACAAGATGAGTGCTTTTATGAAGCTATGAAAAATGAAGCTGTGGAAACAGAGTTCTGAGTGTTTAGTACTGCCCAGGTATCAGAATTTGAACTAAGTGTTTTTTTTTTGTTTTTTGTTTTTTTTTTTTGGACAACATTGCAAGTGAAATGTTTGATAAGAAAGAGAATCAGTGTGGATTTAAAAAAATTATCCTGAATCTGTCAAAGATGGATTTTCATCTCTTTGAGGGTTCTCTTTATAAGGCTGTATAAGTGCAGTGTTCTTGCAATTTCTGAACTCACTGGGTTAGCATCGTACAATATAATATTATATAGGTGAAAAAAGAAGAAAGCTAAGCAATTTATAGTTACTGAAGGTTTAATTTTACACCTTGTTATTTTACAGACGTGGCATCCAAGACTGAAGATTAACTAACTTGCCCATGGTCCATGTGGCCTATGAATATGGTGACTCTATGTCCTGTTTTGCTGAGGACAGTCCAAGTATATACCTATTGTCCTGTGTTGGTGTCAGAACTATTGCTCTTTGGATGATAGATTATATAGTCACCCTTTTTTAGAGTGGCATAACTAAGATTTAAACTCAGGCCTTTTGACTCCAAGTCCTAAGCTCATCACTGTTTTACTCTGTTTATACCATGCTTCTAGGTCATATCTCTACTTTTAGGTTGGTCTAATGAGAAGGATTCTGAGGCCTAAGTCTGGCTTAGTACAATATTCAGTTCTTGGTTATGTTTACCATGGACAATGGGGAGAAACATGAGAGGTTTCATGCTACCTTTTTTTTTTTTTTTTAAACATCTGGTTACTAATTGTTTCAGAATGTGATTTAGTTTTCCTTCAGAAATTCTGAAGGCATTTGAGGAACTTTATGTCTTAGGATTGTATTTATAAATATTAGTCATCATTGCATGATACTCAAAGAAAATTCTCTTTTTTTTTTTTTTTTGGAGACAGAGTCTTACTCTGTCGCCCAGGCTGACGTGCAGTGGCACGATCTTGGCTCACTGCAACCTCCATCTCCCTGGTTCAAGTGATTCTCCTGTCTCAGCTTCCTGAGTAGCTGGGACTGCAGGCGCGTGCCACCATGCCCAGCTAATTTTTGTATTTTTAGTAGAGACAGGGTTTCACCATGTTGGCTAGCATGGTCTCGATCTCTTGACCTCGTGATCTGCCCGCCTTGGCCTCCCAAAGTACTGGGATTACAGGCGTGAGCCACCGCGCCTGGCCTACTCAAAGAAAATTCTAATGATTTGAGTCCTCTGGATACGTGGAAATTTGGCACATCTCTTAATCATTGAATATTGTGCTTTTCCCTTTAATTTTTGTTTCCCTTTCTTAACCTAATCAGAAGCCTAAAGCAGCAGAATAGGGTTTGAGGAAAGTAACTCTAATTTGGAAAAGAAAATTGGAAACTTATGTTGTGATTTGCTTAAATTGATTAGCATTGCCACCAGGTTTTCTGGACAGCTTTTGAGTGAATCACCTTTATTTGGTTTCACTTAAATAGCTCAGCACTTCATAAAGGTAGTTTTAGAAGTGTACTGTCTATCAGGTAAATTAGCTAAAACTTAGATGGATTCAGTTTACTGATCATCACTTCTGGTAATTAGATAACTTTATTTTGTTTTGTGTCATTTGTCTTATATACTGTCTGAGCAGTGCTTCACTGAAGGCTGTAGTGTCCTCACCTAAAGAATGACTAATGGCAACTGTTAGAATGATAAAAGCAAAACTAAAGCCATTTTTGAGAACTTACAGGTTGGATGGTTATTGGGGTGGGATGGAAATGCCTTATGTTGCACATCCTACTTCTCTTCCAAATTTACACATCTAGTTAGACATATGGCTTCTCTGCCCTCAGAGACTCATATGTGGGGCGAAGGGGAGATAGATTTGTAAGTGGATAAATTTCAGTGTAATTTAAATAAGTTATAGTTTGGTAGGAACGGAGTTTTTTGGGAACATAAAGTGGTAAGTAGAGATTGAAGATGAGCACAGTAATGTTTCCATTTATATAGCAGATGTTTGAACCTGAATCTTTCATATTTTATATCATTTTTGGTTTCTACAGCATTTTATGTTGGTTTGCTTCTCTTTTCAGAGACTGTTTATGACCCAACTTGAACAATGTAATGAAATTCTTCTTTAGCTCAAGCTGTTATGAATCCAAAAATAGATCTGGGCTAAGATTAGACTTTGTGGCACAAATTGTGGTTTGTTAGGTTGTGGCTGTCTTTCTTCCAACAAATAAATGTAAATTAACAATTATTTAGAAGTAAAGCAAATGTTGCTGAGACAGAAACAGGACCTGGTTGATTTTAAATGGTGCTTTGGAACACTAAGCAGATATCTAAGTTTAAAGAACTATTTGGAAAAAAATTGTTTTAGTTAAAAAATATTAGTAAGCTTCTATAGAATGGCAGAATTGGTGACTGCAGTTCTATAGGAACCTTACTTATTGTAATCTCTTACTCCTTTTATTTTCCATTTCTTTTTGTTTCTCTTCTGAAAATTCAAAAGCATGAAATAGGCTTCACAGAAAGAAAAAACAAAGCTAGTAATTACAAGACGCTAAAACTTTCTTATCTTATTGGTCAAGTGCAATACATGACACCACTCTGCAGTAATACTGGTGTTCAGAAGAGTTATGGAAGAATCTAGTAATAAACATAGTAAGAAGAAGGAGGGATGAACCTCATTTGTATGGTTGAAAAGTAGATGGTCTTCTGAGGCTCTTAACAGTATATGAAGGTAAATTTGTTGTAAAGGAAATCTTATTCAGATTTTTAATATGATGTCTATACAAATTACTTGTGGGACAAGGATGATCTATTTCTGCAGTAAGACCTCTAGCTCCTTATGGACAGGATTTTTTTTTTTTTTAAGTCACTGTGTTACTCAGACCTTTGCACATAAGTGGTATTAAATAACAACTTTATAGTAAGACACCTTTGTAAGGCCCTAGATAAATAAAAGTACTTCAGTGGCCTACTGTGTGCCAGGCTGAGTACTGGGTACTCTCCAATAATTACCTTATTAGTCTAATGATCCCTATGAATTGAGGTACTACCTGTACTATCCCCATAATGGATGAATTTATCAAGGTTATAGCATACAAGATTAGTATAAAAAGATAGTATTTCTACGTACTTGCAATGAACAATCTGAAAATGAAATTAAGGAAACAATTTTATTTATAATAGCATCAAAAAGAGTAAAATACTTAGGAACACATTTAACAAAACAGATGTGAAATTTGTGCTGTGAAACTACAAAACATTGTTGAAAGAAATAGAGGACTATTTAAATAAATGAAAAAATATTCCATGTTCATGGATTGGGAGACTTAATATTACGATGGCAATACTCCCCCAAATTGCTTCAGGTTACATACAGTCCCTATCAGTCAGAACTCCAACTGGCTTCTTTGTAAATTGACAAGCTGATTTAAAATTAATGTGTAATTGCAAGGGACCCATAATAATATTTTGTGAGTGAGACTACATTTTTAATGTTTTCAAGCAGCTTATTATTTTATTTTATTTATTTATTTTTTGAGATGGAGTCTTGCTTTGTGGCCCAGCCCAGGCTGGAGTGCAGTGGCACATCTCAGCTCATTGCAACCTCCAGCTCCTGGGCTCAAGCGATTCTCATGCCTCAGCCTCTCAAGTAACTGGGACTACAGGCATGCACCACCATGCCCAGCTAATTTTTTGTATTTTTAGTAGAGACAAGGTCTCACCATGTTGGCCAGGCTGGTCTTGAACTCCTGACCTCAGGTGATCCGCCTGCCTTGGCCTCCCAAAGTGCTGGGATTATAGGCGTGTGCCACCATGCCTGGCCAGAGCTTATTATTTTAAATGAAAACTGCAAATCAGTTTTTAAAAATCAGTCATGAAAATAGGGACGTCTTAAATCAGGGTACTCCTATACATTTAATTAAATGCCATAGTTTTCCTGGTAATTCAGTGTTTTGGGGTAGGTTTAAAGCTTTATAAATTTAATTCCGCAAGCTTTTATTCAGCATTTATTTTTTGTAGTCAAGAAAACATGCTATAAGAAAGTTCAATGGAGGCAATTCCTGATACAGAATTATCTGGTGATAAAAGCTTATAAAATAGTTTTATAAGTTTTTCAAGTTTTCCCTTAAGCCTGCCCATAATTTAAGCTTGTGACTTTTTATATTGTCTTTCATGGCTAGGTTTGTTTATACCCTGCAGCAGTACTGTCTAAAACAATAGCCACTAGACATATGTGGCTTTTAAAATTTAAATTATTTAAAATAAAACATTTAATTCCTCAGTCACTTGCCACATTTGAGGACTTAACAGTCATGGGTAGCTAGTGGCTGCCGTATTGGACAGAGCTAGGTAGAGAAATGGTAACAGATTTCCCGGACTTCTTTTTACAGTGGGATTCAGATAGTATATGTGCTTTTGTGAGGGATAAAAAGTAGAGGAAAAGAATCTGATAAGACTTTTTATATAAAATCGTGTCTTTCTTTTTTTGTGGTTACTGCTACTAGCATTATGACACTTTGTATCTTTCAAACGTCATGTGCTACAATAATCTTTTCTCTAATGGTCTTAGCATCTACTGCTGATCTTTTTTTGATGAGCTTGAATTAACTATTTTATTGGGGTTGCAAATTGGTGATTTTCCTTCTTTGATAACGCTTATGTTTCAAATGATAGATACAGGATCTATTCTATTTTTCCTGTTTATGGTTTTGACAAAATTTTATATTGTGACAAATGTTTCCTGTGTCTGATTTTATGGATAACTTAGTGAAGTATGTGGTAATATAAAATTATAATATAAATTATAAAGTAATATAACCTTATTTTTCCAGTAATTTTTATTTTATTTTATTGTTTTTTGAGATAGGGTCTTGCTCTGTCACTCAGGCTGGAGTGCAGTGGTATGTATGAAGACGATTCACTGCTGCCTCAGTCTCCTGGGATCAAGCGATCCTCCTGTCTCAGCCTCTTGTGTAGCTGGATCCACAGGCACACACCTCCATGCCTGGCTAATTTTTTCTTTTCTTCTTCTTTTTGTAGAGATGGAGATCTCACTTTGTTGCCTAGGCTGGTCTTGAACTCCTTGGCTCAAATAGTCCTCCCGAATTGGCCTCTCAAAGTGCTGGGATGACAGTTGTGAGCCACGGCACCCTGCAACCCCCATGCCCAGTAATTTTTTTTTTAAGTGAAAGTAAGTTTATTAGAGAAGTAAAGAAACAAAAGAATGGCTACTCCATAGGCAGAGCAGCAGTATGAGCTGCTGTTTGGACATTTTTATGGTTATTTCTTGATTATATGCTAAACAAGGGGTGGATTATTCATGAGTTTTATGGGAAGGGGCTGGGCAATTCCTGGAACTGAGGGTTCCTCTCCTTTTTGGACCATACAGGGGAACTTCCTGACATTGCTGTGGCATTTGTAAACTATCTTGGCATTGGTGGGAGTGTCTTTTACCATGCTAATGCGTTATAATTAGCATATAGTGAGCAGTGAGGATGACCAAAGGTCACTTTCATCGCCTTCTTGGTTTTGGTGGGTTTTGGCGGGTTTTGGCTGACTTCTTTACCTCAGTCTGTTTTGTAAGCAGGGTCTTTATGACCTATGTCTTGTGCCAACCTTTTGTCTTATCCTGTGACTAAGACTGCCTTAATCTTCTGGGAATGTAGCCCAGTAATTCTCAGCCTTATTTTACCCAGCCCCTATTCAACATGGACTTGCTCTGGTTCAAACACCTCTGACATATTGCCCCCCTCCCTTTTATAAGAGAACCCTTAATCCTAAGGGTTGAAGAGGGATGAAGATCCATCTTCTGTAACTTCTTCAGGCTGAATAGAGGTGATAATATTCCTGCCTATTAGGGTCTCTTGTATTCAGGGTAGAGAGGAGCTCAGTCAGAAAGCATTAGTATGTCGAGGAGCACTCATAACTCTTGAGTTCCAACGAAAGGTGATATCTAGAAGATTAATAAATGTTTAATTTAAGAGAACATTGGTTGGGCACGGTGTCTTATACCTGTAATCCCAGCACTTTGGGAGGCCGAGGTAGGCGGATCATTTGAGGTCAGGAGTTCGAGACCAGCTTGACCAATATGGTGAAACTCTGTCTCTACTAAAATACAAAAAATTAGCCAGGTGTGGTGGTGGGTGTCTGTAATCCCAGCTAATTGGGAGGCTGAGGCAGGAGAATCGCCTGAACCCAGGAGACGGATGTTGCAGTGAGCCGAGATCACACCACTGCACTCCAGCCTGGGCAACAGAGCAAGACTCCCTCTCAGAAAAAAAAAAAAAAATGAGAACATTGAGTAAGCTTATCCTGCATTCCTACACATGGAGTACAACAACAATGTATTCTACAAGAGTAAAGCTAAATAAGCAAAGTTATCCTAAGTAAAATAATAAGAAGGCTTTCTATGAATTATGCAATTGTTGGAACCAAGCTGATAGTCTGAAGTTGCTGGCTGATTCCAGTACGTGCCCAGAATTAAAATACTGCCTCAGAGTTTTACATTACCCATCCCTATTGTTTCTTCTGAGTCACAGCCAGAGATCACTGGTTGGTTCACAGGAATAAGCAGAGTTAGTTTAAATTGCAGGAAAAAAACTGAGAAACAACGAATGAGACTAGAATCTAATAACAGATGTACCATAGTTGTTGAAACATAATTTTTCTCTCTCCAGTGTCCTATTTTTACTAAAGACAAATCATGGTAAAACTGATCTGCTTTATTATACTTGGCGTGATTATTTGTATAAAGTGCAGCAAGAAAAATTATTTTTCACATAGGCTTTTAAAACTGGCTTTGATGGTTTCATAAGGAATCTCAGATAAGACTTTCTTGATGCTAAGCCCAACAACGGGTTTCTGCCCTCAAATATCTATAAGTTTGTGTACATTCCTCTCCTCTCGAGGTCCCAGGATAACTTGGGGTTTCTGGGCCTGTCAGAAAGTGAACACACCCATTAATTTTTAAATGTTGAGATCTGAGGAGAGAGGAGGTGGTTCCAAGGGAAGAAACGGATTTGAGTCAGACGTTTATGGCCATTTAAATTTACAATATTGAAGCCCTTGTTTTTTTATTTTAAATATGCTTGTGGCTTCTGAAGAGTCATGCTATCTCAGAAGAAATTTCTGCTATAGTAAATTTAGCTACAGTACAGAAAAATTTGAGCTTTTATTAAGTTCTGGGCATGGTCATCAAAAATGCCATAATAATACTTAACAGCTTTGGTAGCAAGTGTTGGAATGTCACTATATAAACTCCACCTGCCCTTGCCTTCTCTTTCATTGCTTCTTTAGTTTTATCAGTGGGGATGGATGAGAAAGGAACTTGTCTGAAATTTTGTTGCTCATAGGAAGTGGCTTAAAATTCCCAGGATAGTTTTGGAACTGATTCTTGATCTTGGAATGTTGGAATAGACCTCCTGGTAATCGTATGGCTGAAGTGCACCTGCATTCTAGGAGGGATCTGGTTAGACCTGAGTGTGTTTTTCTCTTTGCTTGTGAGTATTTATTTAGGACTTTTTCAAAGTTTTTGAAGTAATGATTACTTTAAGTTATAAAAATTATAGCCAGTTATAATGTTATGTGCCAAATTATGTGCCCCCTACCCATGCACCACAAATTCGTATGTTGAAGTTCTAAGAATGACTATTTGGAGGTAGAATCCTTAAAGAAGTAATTAAGGTAAAATGAGGTCATTGGGGTAGGACCTAATCTAATATGACTTGTGTCCTTATAAGAAGAGAAGATTAGGACAGACACACCAAGAAAAGACCATGTGAAGGCACAGAGAAAGGATAGCCATCTGTAAGCCAAGGAGAAGCCTCAGAAGAAATCAGCCCTGCTGATATCTTCATCTTGGACTTAGAGCCTCCAGAGCTGTAAATAAATTCCTGTTGCTTAAGCCACCCCATTTGGGTTGTTTAAACCCACTTTGTTATAGCAGCTCTAGTGAAGGAGTAAGCATAGGTAAGCAGGTTATTCTGGTTTATATCTAAAACCACATGTAAGTTGGGGTAGGGGAGATGATAGGGTTAAGTAAGGATGGATTGTGAGGCTAAAAGTCTAATTTTTCATCTTCCATTTTAATTTTTTGGGATATGTGATTGGAATAGGTAGAATGTTTACTCATAGGCTTGCCTTATCTTTTTCTGATCTCTTAATCACTTGGGAATGAAAATATGATAATATAGGTTGGCGGCTCACTAATTCTTATTCATTCTATTCTTAATTTATTTTTATTATTAAAAAAATGTGTTGCCTAGGCTGGACTTGAACTCCTGGGCTCAAGCGATCTTCCCACCTCAGCCTCCTGAGTGACTAGCTACAAGTGTGCCACCGTACCTGGCTTCATTCTGTTTAACATTTCTTAAAAACACTCTTCCTTTCTTTTCCATTTGGGAATTAATTTTCTGTTTTTAGTTTCATGTTCCTTAGAAACCATCTTTCACATGGTTGTCACAAAAACTTTTTTTTGATACACATTCACTTATCTGCTTAAACACCTTTCTCTTAAAGTATTCTTTCTGTGAAATATTTCATATTCAAGATGCTCCCTAAATGGTGAGTTCACAGTTTGCATGTAAGTTTGGTAATTTTCAGGTGATTCTTTGTTCCCTAAACATTTCGCGATATTCTATAACTCTGCCTAAGTTGTTCCCCTCAGTCTGGAATTCCTTTGGTGTTCACTACTCATAATCAGTTCCTTTTTTATAGGCTTCTAGAATTCACAGATGGTTTTTAACATATCTGTTTATAAGTTCATTTTGTGGGCCAGGCTGAGTCGTTCTGTGGCTGCATTTGCTGAATACACCTCTGAGAATGCCCCCTACAGTCGAGTCATATTTTGTTAAAAATGCTTCCTCCACACTATCTGAGACCTATTGACTGGGAACCTTTTCAGAGTGAAATCTGGGAATGTGAATTTTTAAATGCACCCCCAGTGCCCAAATTGCAGCACCTCTGCTGTACAGTAGTGGCAGGAACTTACTCTTCTTCCTAAGTGTCAGGCCCCCAGTAAACTAGAAAAAAACATACTAAATAAATTGGAGAGAACAATAAAACTAGATTCAAAAAATAGGTCCAATAAATTCAGAATGCCACTAGGTATATACTAAAATTGATTTGGGATTGTGGGTTAATGTGACTAAATGTCCCTTGTGTTCTTTTTAAAAACTGTCAAGGCTAGGTACAGTGGGTCACAACTTTAATCCCAGCACTTTGGGAGGTTGACGTGGAAGGATTGCCTGAGGCCAGTAGTTCAAGACCAGACTAGGCAATGTAGGAAGACCCCATCTCTACAGTCAAATAATAAAAAAAAAAAAATTAGCTAAGTATGGTGATGCATGTCCATCATCCATCCCAACTACTCAGGAGGCTGAGGTCAGAGGATTGCTTGAGCCCAGGAATTCGAGGCTGCAGTGCATGATGATCAGGCCACTGCACTCAAGCCTGGATAACAGAGCAAGACAATGCCACTAAGGAAAAAAAAGAAGACGGCAATTGTATTAGTTCATTTTCACACTGCTATGAAGAACTGCCTGAGACTGGGTAATTTATAAAGAAAAGAGGTTTAATTGACTCAGAGCTCCACATGGCTGGAGAGGCCTCAGGAAACTTACAATCATGGCAGAAGGGGAAGCAGGCATGTCTTACATGGTGGCAGGCAGGTGAGAGAGTGACAGAGAGAGAGACAGACAGACAATGAACACGAGAGAATGAACAAGTGAAGCGCCACACTTTAAAATCATAAATTCCCGTGAGAACTCACTATCATGAGAACAGCGTGGGGGAAACTGCCCCCATGGTCTAATCACCTCCGACTGGGGCCCTGCCTCCGCATGTGGAGATTCATAGGGATTACAATTCAAGATGACATAGGGGACACATGCAACCCATATCAGCAGTAAGTATAGGGACTCTGTCTGGGTAGCACTGATGTAAAGGGGACTCATGAACTCATGCTTTCTAGGGAGGCACAACTGCCATTTTCATCTACCCTGACTTCTAGGATGTTAAGAATCTTGGAGAGAGTTGACGCCCATTGAAATGTGTGTAATTACAGCTCTGGAAGCCTACTAAGTTAGAGTGGTTGGTGAAAGGAAAGGTAGAAAAAGATTTTCCAACTTCTAACAGCTGACCTAGATGACTTTGTAAATGGGCTGTTCATTATCCACAGAATGGCTTCTCCTGGCGGGTAACTCAGCTCCACAGAGGGCTGCTTACAAATCACCAGTTAGGTCGGGCTGTAATCCCAGCACTTTGGGAGGCCGAGGCAGGTGGATCACGAGGTCAGGAGTTCGAGGCCAGCCTGGCCAAGATGGTGAAACCCCATCTCTACTAAAAATACAAAAATTAGCTGGGCACAGTGGCGGGCACCTGTAATCCCAGCTACTTGGGAGGCTGAGGCAGAAGAATCACTGGAACTCAGGAGGCAGAGGTTGCAGTGAGCCGAGATTGCACCACTGTGCTCCAGCCTGGGTGACAGAGCGAGACTCCACCTCAAAAAAAAAAAAAAATCACCGATTAAAACCATGGGCTGGGATACTATTGCCATCATAGAAGAAACTTTCAAGAAATACAAAGTTTTTGAATACCTCAATTCTCAAATTCTTTTTTTATAAAAAAATTTTCTTTTTTTTTTTATTATTATACTTTAAGTTTTAGGGTACATGTGCACATTGTGCAGGTTAGTTACATACGTATACATGTGCCATGCTGGTGTGCTGCACCCACTAACTCGTCATCTAGCATTAGGTATATCTCCCAATGCTATCCCTCCCCCCTCCCCCCACCCCACAACAGTCCCCAGAGTGTGATGTTCCCCTTCCTGTGTCCATGTGATCTCATTGTTCAATTCCCACCTATGAGTGAGAATATGTGGCGTTTGGTTTTTTGTTCTTGCGATAGTTTACTGAGAATGATGGTTTCCAATTTCCTCCATGTCCCTACAAAGGACATGAACTCATCCTTTTTATGGCTGCATAGTATTCCATGGTGTATATGTGCCACATTTTCTTAATCCAGTCTATCATTGTTGGACATTTGGGTTGGTTCCAAGTCTTTGCTATTGTGAATAGTGCCGCAATAAACATACGTGTGCATGCGTCTTTATAGCAGCATGATTTATAGTCCTTTGGGTATATACCCAGTAATGGGATGGCTGGGTCAAATGGTATTTCTAGTTCTAGATCCCTGAGGAATCGCCACACTGTCTTCCACAATGGTTGAACTAGTTTACAGTCCCACCAACAGTGTAAAAGTGTTCCTATTTCTCCACATGCTCTTCAGCACCTGTTGTTTCCTGACTTTTTAATGATTGCCATTCTAACTGGTGTGAGATGGTATCTCATTGTGGTTTTGATTTGCATTTCTCTGATGGCCAGTGATGGTGAGCATTTTTTCATGTGTTTGTTAGGAAAAGAGGAAGTCAAATTGTCCCTGTTTGCAGATGACATGATTGTATATCTAGAAAACCCCATTGTCTCAGCCCAAAATCTCCTTAAGCTGATAAGCAACTTCAGCAAAGTCTCAGGATACAAAATCAATGTGCAAAAATCACAGGCATTCCTGTACACCAACAACAGACAAACAGAGAGGCAAATCATGAGTGAACTCCCATTCACAATTGCTTCAAAGAGAATAAAATACCTAGGAATCCAACTTACAAGGGATGTGAAGGACCTCTTCAAGGAGAACTACAAACCGCTGCTCAAGGAAATAAAAGGGGTTACAAACAAATCGAAGAACGTTCCATGCTCATGGGTAGGAAGAATCAATATCGTGAAAATGGCCATACTGCCCAAGGTAATTTACAGATTCAATGCCATCCCCATCAAGCTACCAATGCCTTTCTTCACAGAATTGGAAAAAACTACTTTAAAGTTCATATGGAACCAAAAAAGAGCCCGCATCGCCAAGTCAATCCTAAGCCAAAAGAACAAAGCTGGAGGCATCACACTACCTGACTTCAAACTATACTACAAGGCTACAGTCACCAAAACAGCATGGTACTGGTACCAAAACAGAGATATAGATCAATGGAACAGAACAGAGCCCTCAGAAATAACGCCGCATATCTACAACTATCTCATCTTTGACAAACTTGAGAAAAACAAGCAATGGGGAAAGGATTCCCTATTTAATAAATGGTGCTGGGAAAACTGGCTAGCCATATGTAGAAAGCTGAAACTGGATCCCTTCCTTACACCTTATACAAAAATCAATTCAAGATGGATTAAAGACTTAAATGTTAGACCTAAAACCATAAAAACCCTAGAAGAAAACCTAGGCATTACCATTCAGGACATAGGCATGGGCAAGGACTTCATGTCTAAAACACCAAAAGCAATGTCAACAAAAGCCAAAATTGACAAATGGGATCTAAGTAAACTAAAGAGCTTCTGCACAGCAAAAGAAACTACCATCAGAGTGAACAGGCAACCTACAAAATGGGAGAAAATTTTCTCAACCTACTCATCTGACAAAGGGCTAATATCCAGAATCTACAATGAACTCAAACAAATTTACAAGAAAAAAACAAACAACCCCATCAACAAGTGGGCAAAGGACATGAACAGACACTTCTCAAAAGAAGACATTTATGCAGCCAAAAAGTTTTTCAATAAAGGATTTCTCTGTATTTGAAAGCCACATTATAGATTTTTTTCTTTTAATGGTTAAAATGAGTATTTTTTTTTCTTTTATCTTAGAATTTAGGCATTATTGTGAAGTGGAAAGAGTAGGGGGCCCCTCTCTTGTCTTGGAGGTGGGAGTCCTTGGTTTGAGTTTTGGCTCTCTTATGCACTGAAGGCCATGCAGTGAAAAAGTTTCCGTCACTTCCAAGAGTGTCTGCTTTCTTATCTGTAAAATGAGGAGAGACAGATGGGCTTCTCCTACCTAATTCATAGAATAGTGATAATAGGAGTGAATAAAGAAAAAGATTATATGATATGTCATTTTTATCTGCTTTGTGTCTTATTGGTTTCTTTGAAAGTTCCCTTTGCAGATATGAACCTATTGGGAAGTTGTTTTTTTTTTTTTTTTGGCCTAGCTATCTGCTATCTGTTGGAAATATGCAAAAATTAAAATATCAAACTTTTGTTTAAAAAAATCTAAGGGAAATTGGTATATTAACATTATTTTAAGCTGCAGAATCAAGTCTTTTATTTTGTACTTGGTTTTATCAAATAATTGGCTGGCTTCTCCTGACTCCTACCTAGAAAGTTTGAGGAAAATTAATTCATCACATCTTCTACTTAGGAAAGAATCATGCTTTTGTTTTAAAAACAGATTGAGGTTTCATTTCATTTTTAAAAAAAACAAAATAAAGGATGTAGCAGATAGATTGAAAATGGTATTATACTAGGAATAGTTCTTTCTTACTCTTATTTTTGCTCTTTTTTCTCCTCCCAACTTGCTCCCCTCTGCTGGCTCCTTAGAGGAATGGGAAACCATTTCCCCACTTCCCTAACCAGTGAGTCTCATTATTTCTCTACTTTTTTTCCCTTCATTCCTCTCCTCCCTTGGAAAGAGGTAAAAAAAAAAAACTCCTTGATGTTTATTAGGGGCTTTAAATTGGAGTTTGACTTGTGACCTGCCATAGTTTGAATAATTTGCCTCCATGGTATTTTGCCTATCTCAGTTTCCCAGCTGCATACCTAACTTCTGCCTCTCTTTTTCAGCAGGTTAGTTGAACTTATTTTTAAGGAGAACCAGTCCACTGCCACCCCTAAGCCCCCCAGTGATTTTCTAGGGGTTATGTACGAAGTCAGTGATATCACTTTTGGGATTTGGGCAAACGTCAATTTTCAATCTCCTTTTTTTTTTTTCTTTCCAGTCACAGAATGACTTTGATTTCCTGATTATGTCAGTACCCATCCATACCCATCCATATTACTTTTTTTTTTCTCTGAGATGGGGTCTTGCTCTGTCACCCAGGCTGGAATACAGTGCCACGATCATGGTTCACTGCAGCCTTGACCATCTGGGCTCAAACAGTTCTCCCACATCAGCTACCAGAGTAGCTGGGACTACAGGCACACACCACCACACCTGGCTAATTTAAAACATTTTTTTTGTAGAGATGAAGCCTCGCTATGTTGCCCGGCTGGTCGCAAACTCCTGAGTGCAAGTGATACTCCCATCTTGGCTTCCCGAAGTGCTAGGATTACAGATGTGAGTGATTGTTCCTGGCCTATATTTATTCTCTTTAAGAGGCTTTCTGGTTGAAAAGTCAGCAGCCCGTGAGGAAAAGATAATGGTTGCAGGTCTCTAACCAATCCATCCAGTAAGAGTCAGGCTGACCATTGGTGATTCTTATTCACTGTTTCTCCCTCAATTATAGCAGTCTGTTTAGTGTTTGGTATTCTTGACTGTATTAGAAAGGTCTTAATATATTGTTACTGGTTGGAGCCCAATCTTCTGCATTTCTAATAAGCAGTCCTGGTGATCATGCTCCAAGATGACCATGAGACCACACTGGGAAATAGAACAGTGAAAAGAGTATTTTGCGACACCTTGCCAAAGAAAATGTACAGATGGCAAATAAGTGATGAAAAGATGCTCAATATCACGTCATTAGAGAATTGCAAATTAACAAAAACAATGATACCACTACATACCATTAGAATGGTGAAGATTTAGAATCAAGTGCTGGGAAGGATGTGGATCCACAGGGACTCACATTCACTGCTGGTGGGAGTGCACAGTGACACAGCCACTTTTGAAGATGGTTTCACGGTTCTTTACAAAACTAAACACACTATTACTGTACGTTGTGGACTGACTGTTTTTGTGCCCCTACCAAATTCATACGTTGAAACCCTACCCTTCTACGACTGTATTTGTAGATAGAGCCTTTGTGGAGGTTAAAGGGTGGGACCCTGATCTGATGGAATTAGTGTCTTTATAAGAAGGGACAGGATGTTGTGTACCATAAATATGTACAGTTTTTGTCAGTTGAAAAATAAGAGACTGAAAAGAGGCCTGCCTGCCCCCCGGTTGTTTGAGGACACGGTGAGAAGTTGGCCATCTACAAGTCAGAAAGAGAGTCCTCACCGGAAACAGAATCAGTTGGCCCCTTTATTTTGGACTTTCCAGCCTCCAAAACTGTGAGAAACAAATTACTAAGCCACCAAGTTTATGGTATTTTGTTAAGGCAACCTGAACAGATTAATGCATCATGTGATTCAGAAATCATGCTCCAAAGTATTTACTCAAATGAGTTGAAAACTTATGTCCACACAGAAACCTGCCCATGAATGTTTATAACAGCTTTATTTATAACTGCCCAAAATTTGAAGCAATCAAGATGTCCTTCAATAGGTAAATGGAGGAGCTGGTGCATCCACACAATGGAATACTGTTTAGCAATGAAAAGAAATGAGCTATCAAACTACGAAAAGACATGGAAGAACCTTAAATGCTGATGCAGTTTGGCTGTGCCCCCACCCAAATCTCAACTTGAATTGTATCTCCCAGAGTTCCCACGTGTTTTGGGAGGGACCTAGGGGGAGATAATTGAATCTTGGGGCCTGGTCTTTCTTGTGCTATTCTTGTGATAGTGAATAAGTCTCGTGAGATCTGATGGGTTTATCAGAGGTTTCCACTTTTGCTTCTTCCTCATTTATCTCTTGCTGCTGCCATGTATGAAGTGCCTTTCACCTCCTGCCATGATACTGAGGCCTCCCAGCCACGTGGAACTGTAAGTCCAATTAAACCTCTTTTTTCTTCCCAGCAGCGTGAAATGGGTATGTCTTTATCAACAGTGTGAAAATGGACTAATACAGTAAATTGGTACCAGTAGAGTGGGGCTTTGCTGAAAAGATACCCAGAAATGTGGAAGTGATTTTGGAACAGGCAGAGGTTGGAACAGTTTGGAGAGCTCAGAAGAAGATAGGAAAATGTGGGTAAGTTTGGAACTTCCTAGAGACTTGTTGAATGGCTTTGACGAAAATGCTGATAGCGATATGAACAATAAAGTCTAGGCTGAGGTGGTCTCAGATGGAGATGAGGAACTTGTTGGGAACAGGAGCAAAGGTGACTCTTGTTACGTTTTAGCAGAGAGACTGGTGGCGTTTTGCCCTGCCTTAGAGATTTGTGGAACCTTGAACTTGAGAGAGATGATTTAGGATATCTGGCAGAAAAAATTTCTAAGCAGCAAAGTATTCAAGAGATGAGTTGGGTGCTGTTAAAAGCATTTAGTTTTAAAAGGGAAGCAGAGCATAGAAGTTTCAAAAATTTGCAGCCTGATAATGTGATAGAAAAGAAAACCCCATTTTCTGGGGAGAAATTCAAGCCCTCTACAGAAATTTGCATAAGTAGCAAGGAGCCTAATGTTAATCCCCAAGACCATGGGGAAAATGTCTTCAGGCCATGTTAGAGACCTTCATGGCAGCGCCTTCCATCACATGCCCAGAGTCCCAGGAAGAAAAAGTGGTTTTGTGGGCTGGGCCCAGGGTCCCCATGCTGTGTGCAGCATAGGGACTTGGTGTCCTGTGTCCCAGCTGCTCCAGCCATGGCTGAAAGGGAACAACGTACATCTTGGTGTCTGGCTTCAGAGGGTGGAAGCCCCAAGACTTGGCAGCTTCCATGTGATGTTGAGCCTGTGGGTGCAACAGAAGTCAAGGATTGAGGTTTGGGAACCTCTGCCTAGATTGCAGAAGATGTATGGAAATGCCAGATGCCCAGGGAAAAATTTGCTGCAGGGGTGGGACCCTCATGGAGAACCTCTGCTAAGGGCAGTGTGGAAGAGAAATGTGGGGTCGGAGCCCCCACACAGAGTCCCTACTGGGGCACTGCATAGTGGAACTGTGAGAAGAAGGCTACTGTCCTCCAGACCCCAGAATGGTAGATCCACCGACTGCTTGCACAGTGCTCCTGGAAAAGCCACAGACACTTAACACTAGCCCATGAAAGCAGCAGAGAGGGAGGCTGTACCCTGCAAAGCCACAGGGGCAGAGTTGTCCAAGACCACGAACCCACCTCTTGGTATCAGCACGATCTCTATGTGAGACCTGGAGTCAAAGGAGATCATTTTGGAGCTTTAAAATTTGAATGCATGGGCCCTGTAACTCCTTTGTTTGGCCAGTTTCTCCCATTTGGAATGGTTGTATTTACCCAATGTCTGTACTCCCATTGTATCTAGGAAGTGACTAGCTTGCTTTTGATTTTACAGGCTTATAGGTAGAAGGGACTTGCCTTTTCTCACATGAGACTTTGGACTGTGGACTTTTGGGTTAGTGCTGAAATGAGTTAAGACTTTGGGGGAGTATTGGGAAGGCATGGTTGGTTTTAAAATGTGAGAACATGAGATTTTGAGGGGCCAGGGGTGGAATGATATAGTTTGACTGTGCCCCCACCCAAATCTCAATTTGAATTGTATTTCCCAGAATTTCCATGTGTTGTAGGAGGGACCCAGGGGGAAGTAATTGAATCATGGAGGCCGGTCTTTCCTGTGTTATTCTCACGATAGTATGTCTCACAAGATCTGATGGGTTTATCAGGGGTTTCTGCTTTTGCTTCTTCCTCATTTTTCTCTTGCTGCTGCCATGTAAGAAGTGTGTTTCACCTCCTATCATGATTCTGAGGCCTCCGCAGCCATATGGAACTGTAAGTCCAATTAAACCTCTTTTTCTTCCCAGCAGCATGAAATGGGTATGTCTTTATCAGCAGGGTGAAACAGGACTGATACAAGTGCATATTGCCAATTGAAAGAAGCCAATCTGAAAAGCCTACATATTATATGACTTCAATTTTATAACATTCTGAAAAAGGTAAAACTATGAAAACAATAAAAAGTTCAGTGGTTGCTGGGGGTTTGGTGGGGAGGAAGGAAGGGACGAATAGGTAGAACATGGTGGGATTTTTAGGGCAGTGAAACTACTTTTTTTGATACTGTTATGAGTGGTTACATGACGTTATACATTTGTCAAAACCCATAGAACTTCCGTACAACAGAGAGAGAAAACCCTAATGTAAGGGATGGACTTTAGTTAATAGTGTGTCAATGTTGGTTTATCAGTTGTAGCAAATGTACCACCCCAATGCAAGATGTTAATAATAGGGGAAAATGAGAGCCAGGTAGAGTGGGGAGAGGGAATATGTAAGAACTCTCTGTACTTTCTGCTTAATTTTTCTGAAACCTAAAACTGCTTTAAAAAGTACAGCTTATTGGTTTTTTAAAAGAGTATTTTGGATTCACCTTAGTTTTGTAAGGAGAATAATTTAATATAAAAAATTAAAAATATTTTTCATTGCGGCTGGATTGAGCATCAGATATAGAACTTTGTTCTGTGGTTTCAAAAATAGGAGAGAAAAGGTTAGGCTCTTTTAAACCTGAGAGAGGGTTGCTCTCCTTAAATAGTGATATAGAGCCTTAAATGCATTTCTGTTGTTGTTGTTGATCACTTAGAGAAATAGCCAGAGGTAATGGTATTCCTCTTACCAAATTGAAGGATTAGCTCTGTAGAAATGTTGAATTTTAAATGTTTTCCTTGTACCTGATAGAATTGCATAGTGTTCCTGCATCTTATATGAGAGGTAGTTTAAGGTGCTTCATCAACTGTGGATGGAATCCTCAAAGTCCAGTCTCTGATTGGCTGCCAGGGGCCTAAACAGGTTGAATATTTTAATCAACTATACAGGAGTCAACCATCCCAAGAGTTAAAGAATTGCATAGATCCTTTAGTTTAAGGGAAAAAAAATTCCAAGTGAATTTCTGGTGTGAATTAGGGAAGACTTATTTACGTTGCCCTTTAAGTCATTAAAGTGGCCTCTTAGAACTCCTGATTTAATGAAAAGATAAAAATGTTTTGTAATTAGCAGATCAAAGTACTGCTGTGGATGGTGTTTACATTGTCAGTATGTAAATTAAATTTCTAAAGGGAAAGAAAGAATTTGTTTAACACCTCTTTAATTTTGTTTATGTAATTTCTTGCTTAAAAATCTCTTCCCACTCCCACTTACCATAAATGATCCTAAAATAAACACTAACTTACCACTCTCACCTGTGTATCAAAGAACTTGAGAAACAGCAATGTCTGAATTGTTGAACTTTGCTATATTTAAGACAGATTGAGTTTATCCTCCAAAAAGAAACATGGTCTTGAAAGGTTCGTTCAGCAGTCCTAAACTATAAATGAATCCACTGATAAATGGAATTTAAAGAAGCACCAAAATAAACGGGTGTGTTCATAGTCATTTTGTATTGGAATTTGGCAATATCCTTTTGTACAAATTACCAAATGCAGTGTAGCTTGGCATGCATTGCTTGTTTGGAATATAATGTAGGTTTAAAAACAAAATATGTTGACAGAGGCTTTTCTGTTCAGGTGGTTAGGCAGGTTAGCCCTGTGTAAATTGTTGTAGTTCTGGTTCAGTTCCTCTGAACTGGAGGGAGGGGTGCTCTCCTTACACATTGCTGTGTATGATTAGAATGCTACGTCTAATACAGTAAATATTTTATACAAAAATGAATTTTGACTGCTTTATTTCAAGGCTTTACCTCTAGCCATGTTTGTGAAGGAGTGTGTGAAGAAAACATTGATAAGCCATGCCTATGTGAAAGGAAAACTATATTATATTTCAAGTCATTCCATCCCTAGTCACTTTTTGATTAGCAGCCTTGGTCTTCTTCAGGACTAACCATTATAGGCAGAGTGTGCACAGGTTCCAGATAAAACTGCTCAAAGCAAATGGATTAAAAAAACTGTCCAAGAGAGTCTAAGAACTTGTTTTATGAAGAGTCTTGGCTCTCCAATGGTGAGTCCCAGTCTGAATTTATTCAAGACTGAAAGAAGTTGGAGCATGTCTGTGCAAGGGTATTTTTCAAGAGATTTTCTCTAAGAAATCGAGCTTAAAAAAAAAAAAGTCAAGTTAACTAACGTAACATGCAAAGTGTTAGATGGGACTCTTATCACTGTCTAGTTACAGCAATGGAAATTATTATTAATTTCCATAAATGGAGAGAAGGGATTTAACCTTTCTGTTTTGTTTTAAGAGTTAATGCTAATTAAATGCTCCCAAGGAAGAAAGAGTAAAGTAGTGGATAGCATTTGCATTTATGACCATTAGCATGGCTGGGGTTGTGCCTGTGTGAATGACTAAGATGAGTAGACTTTTTGTACTGTGAGACTGTGGTAGCTGAGCCAGAGCTCTTGGGTCTTGCTAAGGTGGTAAGAAGCTATGGCTTTCTTTATTTAATGGGCCTGTTTAGTGTAACTGGGATAGGACCTCACTGCTCCCTATTTACCTCACACGAGTCTGGTGAGATTTAATTAGTCTTACTTACAAAAATCTGCCTGGGGTCTACTTTAGGGTCTGAATTCACCCAGTGTCTTCTCTCCCCCTAGAGAAAACAAAAGGTTTCTCCCTCTTTGCTACCTAGGCATCCCATACTGAGCTCTGTGGATCACCAGGCTGGAGGCCTCACCTTTATGCTGTTACCATGTCCTGTCTAGCCTCTCATATGTGTCCCTAACTTGATTTGGACTTAGTAGTGAGTAAAAAGGGTGGGGTTAGAGCAAAGAGCTCTTTTACCCTAACCACAAGTCCACATTTCCTCATACCATACTTTACTTTCTCATAGGAAATTAATTTTGTGTGCCTCCATAATGGCTCTCATCAACTTCTTGTTTTTTAAAAGTTTATATTTTTTTATTCATGCGTCAGAATTGTGAAGAAATTATTTGGATACTTAGAAATCTTATTTGGAGAGATGTTTTTAAAAAAGTCTTCTCATGGGCTCTTTGTAGAAGGACATTTCCTCTTGTTTCTCGATGATACCAAGTTGTTTTGTTCTTTTGTATATATATAATTTTCATTTCTTCTCATTTCTTAATTTTTTTTTCTTTTTAATAGAGATGGAATCTTACTCTGTTGCCCAGGCTGGAATGTAGTGGCGTACTACTCAAAGCTCATTGCAGCCTTTGACTCCTGTGCTCAAGTGATTTTCCCATTGAGCCTCCAGAGTAGCTGGGACCACAAGCATACGCCCAGCTAATTTTAAATTTTAATTTTTAATTTGTTTAGAGACGTAGTCTCACTGTGTTGCCCAGGCTGGTCTCAAACTCCTGGCCTCAAGCAATCCTCCTGCACTTCAGCCTGGGATTACAGGAGCTGCGATTACAGGCACGAGCTATCATACCTGGCTTGATTTATCCTGTTCTTAACCCTTCTTTCAAAAATTGTTAAATGTTTTACATTCCTTAAGGTAAGCAACGCTGTACAATAGAAATATAATGCAAGTCACAGTTGCAATTTTAGGTTTTCTAGTAGCTTTACTCGAAAAAGTAAAAAGAAACAAGTAAACTTAATTTTAACAATATAATTTATTTAACTGAATATATCCAAAATATCACTTAACATATCTATAAATAATTAATAAAGTATTTCACTTTTTTTGGTGAAGCCTTTGGAATCTGGTATGTATTTAGATTTCATAAAATATCTACTTGGAAAATGTTAGCGTCATATACTTGAATTGTTCCCAATATAATGTTCAAGGGTTTTCTAGTAATTGATCATATTTTAAAATTTTTAATTAATTAAAATAAAATATAATTTAAAATGCAGGTCCTCAGTTGCACTAGCCACATTTGACGTGCTCAGTAGTTGCGTATGCCTGGTGGTTGCTGTATTAGATATCATAGTGTTCTTGACCTGTCATTCTTTATTTGATATGTTTCCCATCTTCTCTTCTTTTTCTTTTTCTTTTTTTTTAGAGACGTAGTTTCTGTGTTGACCAGGCTGGTCTTGAACTCTTGGCTTTAAGCAGTCCTCCCACCTCTGCCTCCCAAAGTCTTGGAATTACAAGTGTGAGCCACCACGTTCAGCCCCATTTTCAGATAATGAAACTGAGCCCTGGATTAGTAATCAATCCCTGTTTTTCATTATGCTTCCATAATACTTAGAATAGATGTTAGTTCAGAGTGATTCAAAATTTTAATACATCTTATGTGCCAGATATGACTAGGGAAGGGAGGACTTACATGGACTTCTTTTGAGTTTATCTAGCAGTTCTTACATTCTTATTTAGTCAAGGTCAGCAGAAGAGCTGACTGTAGTACAGATCCTCCAAATTGTTGTCTATCTCTTCTATCATGCCAGCCACTAATAATTCCCTTTGTGGTGGAGTATTTCCTTTTGCAAATGATAGGAACTTAAAGGAATCCTTTTCTGTTTAGTAGTATGTAGGTCTGGATTCAGTTGTTGATAGCAGAGACCACTTTAGCCAGTTTTAGCAGGGAGAGATTTGATACTGGGAACTACAGAGGATACTGGAGGATCAGGTTTTAGGTTAAATTTCTAGGAATGATTCCCAAATAATATAGAACTGGCCAGCCAGGAAAACTGCTATGTCTGCTGTAATCAGGAAGCTGAACACATGAGCAGTCTTCCATTATCACAGCAGCAGACTTCAAGACCCTAAAGCCTAGCTGGCAAAATGGTGTGTGTGTTCACTCTTCTCCCTTGAAGCTGAAAACTAAACACTAGGATTTATTCAGAAGCACAGCCCCACCCCACAGTGCTTATTTCTACCTTTCGAATCTGTCATGGCTGTGTCTGGCAGAAGTCTGTCTTCTATTGTGCAGTAATGGGGCTAGAATGGATTTGAATGGACAAGTCTGTGATAATTGCCCAAGTGGTTGGTATATTGGTATGAAAGTGAGAGATGGTCAAGGTGAATCTTTGCTGAACCTGGGGCTCTTTGTCTTGCTGGGAGAATTTCACAGAGATGTTGAAAAGGTACATGGGTTAAGAGAACAGGCGCTGTGAAATGAAAGTTGTGTTTTCTTCTCTGGAGGGCATTTCTTCAGATTCATATCATCTGAAAAGATAAAAACAAATGGTTATACTCCTGGATCAAACTTTATTATGTTGTGTTTTGAAAGATCTCAGAGCCTAACTCCACGTGAATATATCAGGTTAGTGTCTAGCCTACTTCATGATTTTTTTGTGCATCTGAACATTCAGGGCCTTAAAAATAGGAGGGAAGCAATACTAAATTGAAATGTTGTCCTACTATTGCTTTAACTGGAGTTATTAAATATATTAAATTTGTGTGGTGATAAATCACCACACAGAACAGTGTATAATTTTAGAAGAGACAGGTAGAAAGAGTTATATGTTTTGGGATTTTTAGAGGTCAAGATAATAGACATTGGACAATGTTGCAGGATTACTCCTGGTTTGAAAATAAAGTACAGGTATACTTCATTGTATGGTGCTTTGCAGATATAGTGTGATTTGGTTTTTGAGATGAGATCTCACTATATTGCCCAGACTGGTCCCAAACTCGTGGGCTCAGGTGATTCTCATGACTTAGCTTCCTGACTAGCTGGGACTACAGGCATGTGCCACCACATCTGGCTGGATATTGTGTTTTCGTAAGTTGAAAGTTTGTGCCACAACCCTTCATTGAGCAAATCTATTTGCTCCATTTCTCCAACAGCATGTGTTCACTTTATGTCTCTGTGTCACCTTTTGGTAATGCTTGCAGTATATCAGAATTTTTCATTATTATCGTATCTGTTATGGTGATCAGTGATCGTTGATGTTACTATTGTAATTGTTTTGTGTTGCCATGAAGCGTGCCCATATAAGATGGCGAACTAGATATATGCTGTGTATGTTCTGACTGCTCCACTGCTCCAGTCATTGTCTCATCTCTCCTCCTCTCCTTGGACCTCCCTATTTCCTGGCACAACAATATTGAAATTAAGCCAATTACACATCTTTCATTTGAAATCAAAAGCTAGAATTATTAAGCTTAGTGAGAAGACCATGTCAAAAGCCAAGATGGCCAAAACCTAGATCTCTTGTGCCAAACACTTAGCCAAGTTAAGAATGCACAGGAAAAGTTCTTGAAGGAAATTAAAAGAGCTACTCCAATGAACACATGAGTGATAAGATAGCAAATAGCCTTATTGCTGATATGGAGAAAGTTTTAGTGGTCTGGATAGAAGATCAAACCAGCCACAGCATTCTCTTAAGCCAAAGCCTAATCCAGAGCAAGGCCTTAACTGTCTTCAACTCTGAATGCTGAGAGAGGTGAGGCAACTGCAGAAGAATAGTTTGGAGGTTGTTTTATGGGGTTTAAGGAAAGAAACCATCTTCATAACATAAAAGTGCAAGGTGAAGCAGCAAGTGCTGATGTAGAAGCTACAGCAAATTATCCAGAAGATCTAGCTAAGATCATTGAGGAAGGTGGCTACACTAAACAACAGATTTTCAATGTAGGTGAAACGGCCTTCGATTGGAAAAAGATGTTATCTAGGACTTTCATAGCTAGAGAGAAGTCAGTGCTTGACTTGGAAGCTTGAAAGGACAGACTTACTTTCTTGTTAAGGGCTAATGCAGCTGCTGACTTTTAGTTGAAGCCAGTGCTCGTTTACATTCTGAAAATCCTAGTGTCCTTAAGACTTATGCTAAATCTACTCTGCCTGTGCTCTATAAATGGAACAACAAAGCCTGGATGACAGCACATCTACTTACAATATCTGCTTGCCACACTGAATATTTTAAGTCCACTATTGAGACCTACTGCTCAGAAAAAAAGATTTCTTTCAAAATATTACTGCTCATTGACAATGCACCTCATCACCCAAGAGCTCGATGGAGATACACGAGGAAATTACTGTAGTTATTATGCCTGGTGACACAGCATCTATTCTGCAGTCTGTGGGTCAGGGAGTAATTTTGACATTCAAGTTTTGTTATTTAAGAAATTCATTATGAATGTATACATTATAAATGCACAGGAAATAAAAATTTTGCACAAACCTTAAAAAATTTAATTTTAAAAATGCTTTATTGCTAAAAAAATTGCTAATGATCATCTGGGTCTTCTGCGAGTTGTATCTGTAATTTTGACATTCAAGCCTGCTATCTATGGCTATAGCTGCCATAGATAGTAATTTCTCTGGTGGATCTGGGTAAAGTAAACTGGAAACCTTCTGGAAAAGGTTCACTATTCTAGATACTATTAAGAACATTTGTGATTCATTGGAGGAGGTCAGAACATTAACACGAATAGGAGTTTGGAAGAATTTTTTCCCAGCCCTCATGGATGACTTTGAAAGGTTGAAGACTTCCGTGGAGGAAGTCACTAAAAATGTGGTGGAAAGAGAAGTAGAATTGGAAGTGGAACCTGAATATGTGACTGAATTGCTGCAATCTCATGATAAAATTTGAACAGATGAGGAGTTGCTTCTTATGGAAGAGCCAAGCAAGTGATTTCTTGAGATGGAAACCATTCCTGGTGAAGACGCTTTGAACATTGTTGAAATGACAACAAAGGATTTAGAACATTACATATAACGTGGTTGATCAAGTGACGGCAGGGTTTGAGATAATTGACTTCAGCTTTGAATGAAGTTCTACTGTGGTAAAATGCTATCAAACGGCATCACATGCTACAGAGAAATCTTTTGTGAAAGGAAGAGTCAATCCATGCAGCAAACTTTATTGTTGTCATATTTCCAGAAGTTGCCACAGCCACCTTAACCTTCATCACCCACCACCCTGATTAGTCAGCAGCCATCAACATCCAGGCAGGACCCTCCACTAGCAAAATGAGGGGATGGATGTGGCAGATACAACTTGCAGAAGACCCAGATGATCATTAGCATTTTTTTAAGCAATAAAGCATTTTTAAAATTAAGGTCTATGCATTATTTTTAAGACATAATGCTATTGCATACTCAATAGACTATGGTATAGTGTAAATGTAACTCTTAAATTCACTCAGAAACCCAAAAAATTGTGTGATTTTCTTTATTGTGGTATTCACTTTATTTCAGTCATTTGCAATGAACTTGCAATATCTCATAGGTATGATTGTACTTTACACCATAGTGACTTTTCACAGAACTTTTGTTCTTTAAAATGTGTGGTATAAATCAAATAACTGGAAAATTCAGACAGTGGAATTAGGTTCCTTTGAACATGATTCATTCTTCTTTTATTGTGTCTCTAAGTGTTTGTCATGTTTCTTTTTTATTGGTATAAAGCAGTGGGTCTCTTAATTGTGATTTGCAGTTAGTCCGGGCATTATCACCTAGGAACTTGTTAGAAATGCAAATTATTGGACATTATCTTGAACTTACTGAATCAGAGACCCTGGATGTAGTGTCCAGAACCCGGCAATCTGCATTTTAACAAGCCCTATAGGTGATTTTGATTTTCAAGTTTAAGAACTTTGATATGAAGTGATTTACTATTCTCCTTAATAGGAGTAACCAGTCACCAGTTCTTCTATTTCTATACTTTCTCAAACCCAAAAAATGAAACCAAACAGCAAAAATGCAACAGAATTTTATTTTTGAGCAAGTAACTTGATCTGTCTTGTACCTCAGTTTCTCACCTGTAAGATGGAAAAATTTATAGTTTTGGGTTTTGATGAGGATTAAATGCAATAGATGGTTTATGTAATGTGCAAAGAACAGCTCAATAATTAGTTACTGTTAACACTGTTTTTATTATGTTCCAGTTTTTCAAAGCCTTTTTGGAGGTAGCAACATGATTCCATTTTACCAAGGGGAGACGTATACCCAACCTGGTTTGGTTTTAGTTCTCTTAAATTGCTTCAGATCTTATAATTCAGACATCTTTTAACTTATTAAAGCTTTTTAACATCTACTTTAAACATTAACTTTATTTGCATTTTCTTTAACTTTTCTGGTCTTCATTCATTTCCATTTTAGTTTTTTATTTGTATTATGTCTTAGTGGTTTTTAAAATCTTCCTCGTGGCTGGCCACAGTGGTTCATGCCTGTAATCCCAGCACTTTGGGAGGCTGAGGTGGGTGGATTCCTTGAGCTTAGGAGTTCGAGACTAGTCTGGGCAACATGGTGAAACCCATCTTTATGAAAAATACAGAAAATTAGCCAGGCACAGTGGCATGTGCCTATAGTTCCAGCTATTTGTGGGGCCGAGGCAGGAGGATCACTTCAGCCCTGGAATTTGAGGTTGCAGTGAGCAGTAATTTCGCCACTACACTCAGCCTGGGTGACCAAGTGAGACTGTCTCAAAAAAAAAAAACAAAACAAAAAAAAACAAACAAAAACAGGAACAAAAACAAAACACAACAGCGAAAAAAAAAAAAAGTTCTCCTGTTGTGATAGTTTTACTTTGACCTAGTTTTCAAACTTGGTGGGAGATATGAAAGTATCAACAGGTGAATAAACCAAATGATTTCATTAAGTCTCCTAGTCAGTAATCTGGAGGTACTTCATTTTATATGCAAGTGTATAATTTTTTGAAGGAGAAACTATATCTATGGATGGAGAAAACACATCTTTGAGCAAGGAGAGGTTTTCTAATTTTAGTTTTCTTTCAACTAATAAAAAGGTAGTTCAGAAATTTTCTGTTTCTAGACCTAATTAACTGAGAAATCTGGATGTTACTGTTTACTTATTTATATATTATTATTTTTTGAGGTGGAGTCTTGCTCCATTGCCCAGGCTGGAGTGCAGTGGTGCAATCTCGGCTCACTGCAATCTCTGCCTCCAGGGTTCAAGCAATCCTTCCGCCTCCACCTCCCAAGCAGCTGGGGTTACAGGCGCCTGCCATCACATCCAGCTAATTTTTATATTTTTAGTAGAGATGGGGTTTCACGATTTTGGCCAGGCTGGCCTCGAATCCCTGACCTCAAGTGATTCGCCTGCCTCGGCCTTCCAAAGTGCTGGGATTACAGGCGTGAGCCACCATGCCTGGCCTAATATTTTGTATTAATATATAAATAAATAACAAACTATATATTTTTGGAGTATAATGTGATATTTTGAGAGCTTTATAGATTGTGGAATGACTAAATCAAGCTAATTAACATATCCAACACCTCACATACCATTTTGAGATGGCAAGAACATTTAATATCTACTCTCTCAGCAATTTTGAAATATACCGTATATTATTATTAACCGTGGTCAGCTTCCTATTTGATCTCCAGAACTTATTCCTTCCATTTAACTGCAGCTTTGTGCCCTTTGGCCAACATCTCCCCATTCCTCCACCCCTCTGTCCCTGCCCCTGGTAACCACCATTCCACTCTCTACCTCTGTGAGTTTGACTTTTTAGATTCCACATACAAGTGGGATTATGCAGTGTCTTTTCATGTCTGGTTTATTTCACTTAGCATAACGTCCTCTAGGTTCATCCATGTGTCTCTTTGACATACTGATTTCATTTCCTTTGGATATGTACCCAGAAGTGAAATTGGTGGATCATGTGATTGTTTTATTTTTAATGTTTTGAGGAACTTCCATACTGTTTTCCAAAATGGCTATACTAATGTACATTCCCACCAACAGTGTGCAAGGATTTCCTTTTCTCCACATCTTTGCCAATACTTGTTATCTTTTGTTCTCTTGACAAAAACTGTTCTAACAGAAGTGAAATGATATCTTATTGTGGTTTTAATTTGCATTTCCACAATGATTAGTGATGTTGAGCATTTTTTTCACATACCTGTTGGCCATTTGTTTTGTCTTTTAGAATGTCTTTTCAGGTCCTTTGCCCATTTTAAAATCAGGTTGTTTTCTGCATGTTCTCACTCATAAGTAGGAGTTGAACAATGAAAACACATGGACCCGGGATGGGGAACATCACACACCAGGGCCTGTCTGGGGGTGGGAGGCTAGGGGAGGGATAGCATTAGGAGAAATACCTAATGTAGAAGATGGGTTGATGGGTGCAGCAAACCACCATGGCACGTGTATACCTATGTAACAAACCTGCATGTTCTGCACATGTATCCCAGAACTTAAAGTATAGTAAAAAAATACATAAAATCAGGTTTTTTTTATTGTTATTGAATTGAGTTGCTTATATATTTCAGATATTATGCTCTTATTACATGTAGGTTTTGCAAATATTTTCTCCTATTAATAGGTCATCACTTCACTGTGTTGTTTGTGTGTGTGTGTGCATGTGCTTGTGCACACTATGCAGAAGTTTAGTTTGAGGCAATCCCATTGTGTAGTTTTGCTTTTGTTGCAGTTAAAAGGTTTTTGTTGGAAAGTTAAAAGCTTTTGTTGGAAGTTATAAGCTCACCTGCAGCATTATATGAAAATAAATCTTTGTTTCCCAAGGAATGATATGTATATGTGTGAGTACACGTGGTGGTCCTTGTTTTTTTCTGTGTGTAACTAAGCCACTGTGTGCTTTTCTATACTACAAAGACATGTCTTCTATTTTCAGTGAGTGATAAAGCCTAGAGTTTTACTCATGGCTTCTTAATTTTGTATGAAATACAGTTTAGCAATTGTGTAGTTAGTTTACAAAGTCTAGGTATGACTCATCTTCAGGCTATGGCTTTTTCAAGTTATGCTTAAAGGTCAGAATCTATTTAGTTCTTAACCCTGCCTTTTCTAAGTGGGAAGTTAGAGTCAAAAAAAGTAAGAAAATATGGAATTTGTTGGGACTTAATCCAGACCTATAGGTTTCTTATTTTATTGGGTTGCTTTTTAAAGAAGAACAATCGGTATTGCTAGGAATTTCCAGAATTTCTAAGTAATTTGAAAGTTAATCGTTTAACAGTGTTCATAAAAGTTGGACCTTTGGATTTTTGATTTTGCTTAAATGTTTGGTTCTGACAAATACAAAAATTGGTAAGGTTCACAATTCATTTTCTACTCATGTCATAAATGTACATATGTCTAAATCTGTTTTGTTGTTATAGACATTCCAGAAATCTCATTTAAACAAAAATAGTTTGATGTAAGTAGCTTAAGAAATTGTTAAAACTGTGATACATGTAGGAGAAATAATTTCCATGTTTGTTAGAAAGTGTAGTGTTTATGTTTAGCCATATTAATTTTAGTTTCATTTCTCTTAAGTGTTAGTGAATAACCTTGAAAAAACACAGTACTTTGACTCTGCTGTTGTTGTTTATTACTACCATGCTAGTAATGCTGACGGAAGAAAATTAAGATTCTATGACTTGATTCTTTGGAATTCTGACTGTTGTCACTGTATAAATAAAACAATCTCTGGCTGCTCATGCAGTTTTTGTCCCTTACAATATAATATCCTGGCATTTTTCATACTCTATTTTCAAAGCCAAGGTCTAGAATTTTAAGTGGGAAATTGGCTCTGAAATAATCAAATGCCAAACAAAGCCCATCTGAAAGTCCAATAAAGTAAAATTATAGTAATTGCAAAATAGCGTTACTGAGCTAAATCCCCACAGTTTGAGGATCTTTCATTTATAGAATAGATGCTGTTGTGTTGTCAGAGTGGAGGGAATGTAGTTTGGGCCAGCTGGGGGCAAATGAGGAGCCAACGGTTCATTTTTCTGCTAGGGTTATTGGAGGAGAAAGGATGTTTGCAGGTACAGACCACAGCGCATTAGGTGGGGAAGAAGACTTTACTGAGCTTCTGCTTCACATTGAGTGTCAAGCACTGAGCTTTACGTATACATAGGTATGTTAGCTCCACTAAACAGGGACTGAAATAGCTAAGAGATGACGTGCCCAAAGTCATAGAACTTGTGAGTGGAGAAACTGGGATTTGGAATGGTCTCTTCACTCCAAACCTTTAGAACTGGGTGTTCTAAATACCAAGGACACCGCTGAGTTTTCCCTAGTGCTTGTTTGCTGAAGTTTTATTATAGGTTGTCGTCATTGGCTTGTGTACTTTTTGAAATATCAAGCATATTATAAGTATGTTGTAGTAGATTTCTGTGTAGTCTTTCTAACAGCTCTGAGACTTTGAAAAGTCTTGGGACATCTTGGTGACTGTTTTGTGGGGTGTTAATTGGGGAGTGTAGATAGATGATTGCTATTATTGCTATAACTGTTTTTAAAGAGGGAATGAGCCTAGATTTCAAGGTACAACATTGGGTAATGGTGTGTGCAGTAACCCATGGAGGCTTTCTGGGTCTCGAAAACAGTTTTTGCCTACTAGCAGGTATCTGGAGCAGGTTACCTGGTTTCTCCGAGTCTCAGTTTTTATAAAATGGGAACGATAAGAGTTCCTTTAGTGTGTATGTGAATAAGACCATGGGAGGCACATAAGTAAGCATTCTGTAAATGCTGGCTGCTGTTGTTGATCTTATTGAGGCTTATGGAACTTTTCATTCTTCTTGATGTATTCCTTTTACAATCATTTGTTCCCCTTGGTCGTGAGCATGGACAGGAGGGGTGTAAGTGTTACCCTCACATAGGGTTACGTTGGAACCTGAGGCTCTGGATAGTTTTCCTTTGGGAATTTTTTGAAGTAGATGAATTATTATCTTTGTGTTTGGGAATTTTCTCTCCTATTTTTTTTCTCTGAGACATCTTAAAGACAAAGATGTGATTCTTAAATTCTTGGAATCCCTACTCCAACCCCACTCTATTTTTACTCTCTCAACCTCAATGTCTTTATTTCTGAAATGAAGGTAATAACTTCCTCTCAGGACTGTAGTGAGGATTAGATGTAAATACAGACAAGTTTTTTGTACATAACAAGGACTTAATCAACATTAGCTGAAAGGGGAAATAAACCTTGTTAAACAGATGATATTTTCCTTCAGGAAAAGAAATTAACTTGTCTTACTTTCTGTTGGGATATTTTTGTCAGATTCTTTTCATTCTATACTTGTTACATCCTCACTGGAAACTTTGTTTATATGGATTTTTGGGTGTGTACCCCTCAGGGGACTGTAGTTTTCTCTTAAGCTTGGATCTTGCTACAGCTTGGTTTGCTTGTATTAGAATGGCTTCTAAAGGCATCCAGAAGTATTTTGTAGAATCATTATGCTAGTTATAAATATTTTCTGAACATAAAGTAATATGATTCTTGTCAAAAAGCATACTGAATAAAATTATCCATAATCCCTCCATTAAGAGGTATTAGCATTTTATTTTAAGTTTTCAGTCCTTCCTCCCCAGCCTTGTATTATGGAAATTTAAAAATATTCAGAAAAGTAGAGAGAATAGTATAATTCTCTGTGTATTCAGTACTCAGCCTCAATAATTATTAACTCACAATCTTGTGTCATCAATACCACCATCTAAGCCTCCTTTCCTCCCTCTCTCCGACTGAATTTATTTTGAAGTCAGTCCTAGACATCAAATCTTTTAATCTATAAATATCTCAGTGGCGGATGCTTTTAAAATGTTACGTATCACAGTTTCTAACACACATACACACACCCCTCTTTTACTTTATTTATGAGTACTTATTTCTGTCACCATATTCTTCTTAACTAAGGTTTATTAATTGGGAATTATTGAATAGCCACAGAACATGGACTCCAAGTCAACATCTTAATTGTTCCTGAAGGCAGCTGTAGGTGGCGGGGATGGAGGTAAGTATTTTGGTGAGTGGGGTGGAGGGTAAGAGAGAAGAGTTCTTGAAACATGGGCCTTTCTCTTTTTTAAACCCCTTGCTCCCCAGTGGAATGAAGACCTGTTAGTTTCAGGGTTAGAAGCCAAGTGTTAGTGTATGTAGCCCTTCTTGACTCTGAGCCAAAAACCTGTTTGGTTAATGTATAAATCAATTTGTTCATTTCAAAATATACATTATTGTTGGACATGTACCCTGTGTCTTGGTCACTGGGACCATTCTATAAATCTGGGTAATGATAATATAGTCAGGGCTGTTGACCAAGTTGTGGAAAGTTTCTTGTGCCAAATCTTGCAGTTACGCTTTCTTGGAACCCTGGCAAGGAAAAGGAGAACTGTGATGATAAGCCAAATTAAATGAAATTTCAATGTTCAAATCTGAAGATTTACTAAAACAGAGTTTGACATAGAAGAGTTTCCTGTGCCATTTTATGTTTAGGCTCACTATAGCTTGGGGTGGCTATCAGTTGGTGGCTTGATTGCAACAGCAAGGCTAATAACCTTTTAAAAAAGTTAAAGAATTTATACTTCTATATTGAGTTGCATATTAATTGGTTAAATCGTTTGTGTTTTTTTTTTTTTTTTTTTTTTTTACTGAATATAGTACTACTTTCAGCTCTTCTTTTGGTTATAGAAACACGTTTAATTTAGATTCTTGGAGAAAAGGGACCCAGCCTAATTTTAATTTTTTCAGCCCTACTTTTTTTTTTTTTTTTTGACTTTGAGTGATAACATTTCCTCTTGTGCTTTTGGTTGCATCCTGAAGTTTCTGCATTTTTTCTAAAATGAGTTATAAATATTCAAACACAATTCAGACCCACTTTCTAATCCATAAATGATCTATTCTGAGGTTGATACCCTGAGAATCCTATATGCGGTTGCTGGACGGTGCCTTTAAGACAGTTAATAAGACTGCCCTTGAGATCAGGGACATAGCAGAATCCTAATGGATCTCCCTCTTTGGTCAGTTGCTTTGAGTATTATTATTATTTTTTAAAGATGGATATGCTGCTATTCCTCCGTATCCTTGTGCTGGCTAACCAGTGATCATTTGGTGTACCACCTGGAGCCCTAGGTTCAGATGCCCTCTACCCTTTTTCCTCCTTCTTAATCTCAGATGAGCATGGGCACAAGCATATGTAAGGACACAGACATGTGTTTCTCCTTGTTTCTGAAGTCCCCAGAAGACCTGCTTCTCTGTGGCTTTAACCGTTTGATTATTTCTTGAGTAAATATTTATTGAGCAACTATTTGTATCAGCAGGGTGCCAGGTACTGGATGCACAGGTGAATAGGGCATTTCTTGCTCTTATAGAGTGCACAGTCTGTTAGATATGCTAGATCTGTAAACTGATAAGCATGTATACGTGTTTAAGTATATAAATCAGGCTGGAAGGATACATAACAAATGGTTAGCAGGGATTGGAGGGAGAGGAGAGGACTCTGTTTTAACTGAATATGCCTACGTATTGTTTGAACTTGTCCTAAGCGTGTATTGTTCATGCAATTAAAAAGAACATGCATTGTGATAGGTACAATAAGTGTTTATTTTGTTAGGGGGCAGAAGGGTCCTTCACATCCCCTCTTCTTTTTTTTGAGATGGAGTCTCACTCTGTAGACTTGGTAGAAACTGGGTTTCACCATGTTGGCCAGGGTGGTCTCAAACTCCTGACCTCAAGTGATCCACCTGCCTCAGCCTCCCAAAGTGCTGGGATTACAGGCATGAGCCACTATGCTCAGCCCAAAAAGTGTTTAAAAATACAGTGGGAAAGTGGTTAATTCCATGTGATGAAAGTACACTTTATATATATATTTATATATATATATACACAAATATATATATAAATATATATATAAATAAATAAATATAAATAAATATATATAAAAATATATATATAAATAAATATATAAATAAATATATATATATATAAATATATATATATAAATATATATATATATAAATATATATATATATAAATATATATATATTTTTTCCTTGAGTAGGAGGAAGGAGGAAGTGAGGATATAGAGAGTGGACTTTTTCTGAAGAGGGACTAGAATGTGCCCACGATGGACAGAGTAGCTTTTTATGTTCAGGGTTTTGGTAGTGACTAGCTTATCTAGTCTAGGTCTCAGGGCACCACAGCTTTTCTTTCCTTGGGGGTGGAGAGGTAAAATGCAATCATATTTTCTTTGGGGATTTGGAATATATTAGTTTCAATATATTTAATATTTTTGAAAAGGTACCGTAATTCGTGGTTAGGTTTTCAGTGAACCTGGGCATGTTTTAAAAACTCATGGTATAGATAACTGTAGACTTGGACTGTGACTAACTTTGTTTCAATGGGAATATTAAGTTGAATTACCTAGCAGTGTGTATTAGATTATGAGAGTGGGGAGGACAGTACTTATAGCAGTGGTTCTATAAAGAAAGTGAACAATTAGGTCCTTGGGTCCACTGGGCTACTCTAGAAGTTTTCCTTTTTGGGCAGTGAGTTGGTAAGTTATTCGCAGTGTGCGCACCCCACCAAGAGCACAGTTGCATTACAGCTCACTGTGTTTTCCTCATCCCTCCCAACTCCTTAGCCCAAACTGTTCTAAGTGTAGCTGATAACCTAGCGGAACCGAAGCTTTGTGCATTGTACAGTTTGATCAGTAACACACTTACAGAAGATAATCTTGTCAATTGTAAACAAATACTCAGTGGGGCATCCTTTTATTCCTCCAATTGGTGGGAGAAAACTAAATACTGAGAAAAAAAAAAAACATATCAGTCAGTAAACCAGAGATTTTACCTAATATATGTGGAATAAAGCAGTTAATTCCTTGATTCTCTGTATATGCCAGTACTATAGTGATATCATATTTGAAAGATTCCAGTGTGTTTTAATTCTCTAACTTTTTACAGATAAATGGAAGACGTGTAAGCTGAGTTTAATGTAGAAACCAGTCATATTAAGTGCTACCCATACCGTGTGGTATTTCTCCCCTGACTACAAAACATTTGCCTTGTGGAAGAATGGATGGCTCAAGGGATTAGTGATGGGGAAGTGGAGGTTTTCACATTGGTTCAGATTTGACCTTGGTCAGTGATGCTTGAAAATCAGCACTATTTAATAGGCATTAAGAGAGCCCACTTTTTGATCCACTTCCAGTGGATAAATATCCATAGTTCTTTAATGCCATAGTTGCGGAACTAATTGGCAGAATTAAATGATTTAAGAACTTTACTCCCCTTTTGCCCTCAGAAAATAGTTGGTTGTTGTTTAAATCAGAATCTTGGAAAATGCATGAGTTGTTTCTGAGGACCTGAGACTATAGCTAGCTTTGCAGCTTTTACTGTATTGGGAAGCTTATGTACTTTGAATTACTTTTAGTAGGTGAGGCTGGAGAACGCAAAGGCTATTTTTTCTTTTAGTTTGCAATTTTGCCAAATTCGAGGCTTGCTCATCTGATCCTAGACACACTTAAAAACATACAGGAGTCATTTATTTCCAGAGATTCATTCTTCTTTTCTCCATGATCAAATAAAGGGAGTGTAAGAGCCATCTCTTTTCTAAGTCTCCTCATTTTCCCTCCCCTGGAAGAATTTCAAGTGCATGAAACTTTTCTGACACCCTGCTTCTGATTGATATGATGGACTTCTGCAGTGTGGCTTAAGTGAAGTTAGTAGTGTTTTACATTTTACACTGAGTAACTGCCAGTCTTGATCACTCTGTATTTATAGAGCATCCAGGGAAGGGTATGCACTCAGGGATGATATATTACCTGCTAATTTGTTTGCTGAAAGATAGGCCCGTATATTTAGAATGATGACAGATTAGAATATTTGGCTAAGTGTATTAGTCAGTGTCTCATTTTTCAAAACATGAAAACTCCAGCATGCTGCTCTAAAAATGCTGTGCTGGAGATGGATTTTACTTGCCAAATGGATTTCTATCCTGACTAGATTCACTTGCTTATTTATTTATTTTTAAAAGTCATCTTTTGTTATATCCTAAGTTGGATAATGAAAACTTGTGGCTGATTCTTTTTCTTCTTTTACAGATTCTGTTTGTCATTCCTGCAACTCACTTTCCTTTTTCTTATTATAGCAGTGTTGGACGCCAACGTCTTTCCCACATAAAGAAGGTCAAGTACAGAAATCTGTAGGTCTGACTACTCTTTGTTCTGTCTGTCTGTGGCCAAGAGGTATAGACAAGGCCTTCACTGAAGGATAAAGGGAAAAAAACAATGGGCTTTCTAACCCAGCTGAGAGGCTTTAGGATTGTAAGAGAAATTAAAAGCACCATCCAGGAAGGCAGAAAAGCAGTATTTATGCTTAGCAGGTAGAGATGCTGCTTGTTCCAGATGTCTCTGTGGACCTTTATGGAGCTGTTCTCTCCTTGTGCACATAAGGGAATCTGGAAATGTATTTAGCCTGGTTTGTCTGAATAGACTGTCAACAAAAAGAAAAGGAAAAGGCTGTTTCAATTATTATTTGTCAAATATATGACACCCCTCCCTACCCAGCAGGGACCTGGCTTTAGGACGGTAAGATTAGATAGTGAATAAAAGGTATTCTTAGTTCACCTGTTATAGCAAGTGATCTTTAAAAAAAAAAGTGTTTTAGATATTAGCAGATCAGATTCCAGGTAAACCCATTAATGTTGTTCCTCCACGACATGTTACTGATTTTCCCAGGACTGTGCTTGTAATCCATATGTTTTAAAGATATTTATGTCTGGAGTTGATCAGAGCTTCAGGGATAAATTTTTTCCTTTGAATTCTGCCTAGTGTGCTTCTTGGAAACTTTCCCCAGCATGTCTGACAGCTCTGATAGGTTACTGTGCTTCTTAGCTCTTAGCTCCAGGTTTATGAGATCTAAGCTAGCAAGCCAGCAGGGCTGTGAGCTGTGACTGGATGGGAATGGGGGACGGTAGGTGTTCCTAGAAGGTGTTTCATTGGGTACAGTATAAGTAAAATAAAGACAAAATGCAAAGAATGCTCTGGGACCTAGTGTTTTTGAGATTTCACAACTCTGATTAGTTAAGACTTGAAGCCAGTCTTAACTACTGTATCACCTGTTATACTACACAAAGTATTAGGGAAACACTTTCATTTTTCTGGTCTTACCAGGCAGAAAGATAGGCAGGGCTACTGAGCCTCTTATTCTTAAGAATAGTGTCTTCTCTTAGGAAATCAAAATGATAAATTATTTCTACCTGGTCATCCCCTAAAAACACTTAATGTATAAAATTGCACATGTATCTGGGAAATGATTCTTCTGCCATTAAACATATTTACTCCTTTTTTTCTTGTCACTCTTTTTTTGCATTTGCAGTTTCTTTTATTACACTTTTGAATTTGCTTAACCAAATTGTCTCTGAAATTATCTTTGCTGGTGCTAAGGGTCCATTGGTGGGTTGTTTATATTTATGAAGTAGTTTATTAAAATCTGTTAGTGTCATAGATCAAATTTTAAATTCCTTTACATGTTACTTTTGAGGTGCAAAGCTAGAAGTGTAAATTATTTCTAAACTTTTTTTTTTGGTGAGGATTGCATGAATGATGGTGGTGGTAGAGGTAGTGGTGGGAGTGGAAACAGCGATAGCAGAATTCAACCGCATTTTTAATTACTGTCATGGTATATTTTTGCTTTTGGTTCTGTGTAGCCAATGGCTGGAAACTTATAGTGATTGTGAAACTAGTATTACTATGGAAGCTACTGAGTCACTTAGTATAATAGCCCTTTTCACAAGCATAACTTGCATTACATGGTAAATGTTGACATGCATGGCTTTATATATCTCCTCAGTATAAATGGGATTAAATAAAGCATGAAAATATGACATAAAATATTTATAGAAAGATAATATTTAAATTATTGTGTCTGAGGTTAGGCTTAGGATTCTCTCCATCTCCCCTTGGTGATGTCCTTACTTCTGTTCCCTAATCTCTGCCCCCCCACCCCTCAAACCCAAACAAACCAAAACCCCAAAACTCTACATTCTTCAAAAGGATCAGAGAAAGTTAATTATAGTGATACGCAGCGAGTAGGACAATCATAGCTGTTGGTCTGTCCCAAAGCCTACAGAGGGTTCTTATTTCATAAGCAGAGATAATTTGTTTTTCTCTGTGTGCCATATGGTTTTGCAACTGCAGAGATCAAACAGATTTGTGGATGTAAACTTCAGTTCTGTACTTAAAAAACTTTGAGTCGTGTGGAGATTTTCATAATGTGCTTGAATCATTGATGCCAACCAGGTCTGTTGGAGTCAAGGATCTCTTGTCAGTTCTGTAAGCAACCATGTGTGGTGGTTTTTATTTGCCTTGGACTTTAAAGACAACTTTGGAAAGGAAACTTGGACACAGATTGTCAACTGGAATGCAATGATTGTCTTTTGCTATAAGGACGATGATTAAAACCAGCAATCATTAGCATAGAAGGATAATAGTTCTGAGGCTGCCCAGGTGGTCTCTGGAAAAGATTGGAGTTTTTTCTTAATCAGAAAAGTTTTAATTACACGAATTTATTTTGGGATTAATTATTTTGGGGATAGTCTTCAGAATGAAGAGTTTGAGTATCTTGATTGCTATTTTTAAAATGAGAAAAAAATGTAAGTGTGCCAATGATTTCCCTCATTTTTTGTCTATATATATAGTGCTCTGTCCTGCTGGTCTCAGTGTATATAATTTTTAATACAGTGCTCCATTGATCTAAAGTAGATACATGTTAACTAGAGAAATAAAATGCATGTGCTTGTGCACACACGCGTGTGTGTGCGTGCATGCATGTGTAACCTGGAGAAAAGTACAGGAGGCAGCACACACACACACAAAATAAAGTAGATACATGTTCCCTGGTCCCTTTGCTTTTCAGTTATAACATTTAACAGTATACCTAAATTATCTAAACTGTCTCAATTTATAGATATAACATTTGATAGTGTCTAATATTTCAAATATTTCGAGGTAGCTAGAAGAGAGGATTTGAAATGTTACCAATACGTAGAAATGATAAGCATGCAAGGTGATGACACCCCAAATTCCCTGACTTGATTGTTACACAATCTGTATGTGTAAAAAATACTCACATGTACCCCATAAATATGTAAAATATTATGTATCAATGAAAGAAAAATAATAAAAATAGAATAAAAAATTTTTTAATAAGAGTGTAAGGCTATCCTCTCTGCATAGAATGCTGTCTCCTGTTAGCCCACAATGCTCCCCGCCCACAATCCTTAAAATCTTAGATGAAATGTTATTCCCTGAGGACCTTCACACCCAGCTTCTTCTACTATTAGGTTTTCGGGCACACCCTATATCTACTTCTTTTGTGCATCAACATCACGTTTGTAAAAATTCTTTAATTTTGGCTTACTCCCTTGCTGTTTATCTAGCTCCAAAGAGCAGGAACTGTTTGTCTTGTTTTTGCTCTTTTCCCCAACTCATGGCTCATAATGGGTGCTCAGTAAATATGTGTTGAATGAATGACAGTATAGTTGGTATAAATCATGCTTATTTAGTATGTAAGATATAATATGTTTTCTTTTGCTAATTTTCGTATACATCATCTTTCAAAATAGTAGTTGTGGCTTTTTGCCTCCTTCTTTTAAAAATGACTACATACCTTCTGTTTGCATGTATTGAAGGGATCTGGTGTCTGGGTATCCAGATGTTATTTCTGATTTTTTTTTCTTCACTTTAACTTATGCATGGCAGCTATTATTTTGCTATTTCCCAGGCTTATAATTCCAGAACCCTCAGCAGGAATAAGCAGACAGTAATGAATTTCTATGTCAACTTCACAATATGTTTCATTTTTGTTGGTACAGAAAACAACACCTGAGACTGCTTGAAAAGTACAGGTTTATAGTGTGAGCTTTTAGGAATCATGTTATCCAAGTCTCCCTTATTTTATATCTGAAGAAACCAGTGGCACAGAGAATGTATCTGGTGTTGCCCAAAGTAAAATGACTAGTCTGGTTTGTGTTTACGTAGGGTTAAGAACATAGTCACTTGCTTCTGTGTTAGTACTCTTGCTGCTACAAAATCCTTGTATTTGTCAGAAAGTCAGTCTTTCTTTTTACCAAAACTATGTTGTGCATATTGAACATTCAGGAGTGACTATTCCATAAAATATGTATTTTATGCTCTCTCAGGCAGTGGTGATAACAGGTACACAACATTTGACAGCACAGAGTAATTTATCCTACATGACTCAGGTGGAGGAGGCACTCAAATTAAAGGATGCCATGTGATGCATTTCAAAGGGGTGAAGTGATTTGGCCAAAGGCTCTGCCATAGTAAAATTGGTCACCATGCCTCTGCCTACCCCTGCAAAAGGCATTGGCTTTGAAATAAATATCCCCATATAATAAACTCAGCAACTTATCAGATAAGTTAATGTGGAGTGCCAAAATAAAGAGAAGTTTTATTCTTCCGGAGTGCTATTCTTACCCTTTGCACTGGTGTAAAATGCCCCCACCCCTCTGCTTTCACAAAAACAGCTTGGAAACTGGAATGGCAACTTGAACACCACTTACTTTAACCAGTTAACAAAAGCTTTGTTTATTTTATGTTTCCTTTTAATAGCAAAAGTTAAAAGTGTCTCAGCTTTTAAAAGTACTCATACATATGTTTTGCAAAGGAGTATCCTTTGCTCTCTTTAGGAACACAAATATTCCAAAATACTTATATCAGTATTTTAAAATGGAATCGTATTATAAAGTATAACTTTACTTTTATATAAAATTATTTTTAGTAAAAACAAATTAGCAAAACTGCTCAGTGAATGATTCCCGAGAGACCATATCCCATGAAGCCCCATTTTCCTGCTACAGGGTTCCTGGGCCATAAAGGTGGACCTGGAACAGGATAAAACAACCATTGTGCTACAGTCTACCCTCATCATTCAGCCTTTTAGTGAAAAAGACAAGCAGCCGTCAGGGTGATTCAGACCCTTCACCAGGACTGTGACTAAGCTATGAGAAAGATGCTCTCCCCTTCCTTTCTGTTTGTAATGCTGGCAAGTTTCAAATCCGAAACAGTTTGTAGTCATGGTCCCAGTCTTGTGGAAACAGAGCTTGCTGATGCAAATGATGCCAACAGTTTCTCATAGTGGGCAAAGTAAGTATGAATTGCATTTGCTAAGTGATATTCCAGGGATGTCCTTCAGGCAGTGGTCATAAAACTACAGTGTACTTAAGAATTCCCTGGGGGTTTGTTTAAAAATGCAGATTCTTGATCTCTACCCCAGACTGAGTCAGCCTCTCTAGGGGTCCAGGAATCTGTATTTCACACAAATATCTCAGCTGAGTTTAATGCTTTTGGGTGCTGTTGAATTGATAAGAGCCTATTCTTCAACTTGGCAGCTGAGGATGTGATGCTGGCTTGCATTTAGGCACAAGTGAGGTTTAGGTTTATTGCAATGAAAAAGTTATATTGCAGTTCGGGTTGGAAAGATGCTTCCTGGTTGGGTGCAGTGGCTCACGTCTGTAATCACAGCACTTTGGGAGGCTGAGGCAGGCAGGCAGGCAGATCACTTGAGGTTAGGCACTTGAGATCAGCCTGGCCAACATGGTGAAACCCTGTCTCTACCAAAACAAAAACAAAAACAAAAAATAATTGCTTCTGAAGGCCAAATATGGGGCTGCGTTTATTAGGGCAAATCATTTGTTAAAAAGAAACATTCTTTCCTGAAGATATGATTTTGGGGATGGTTGTTGTAGTGGTCGCTGAAATCAATGGTTCTGTGTTCATACACCTGCCAGCCCATGTTCTCCAGAGCTGCTGTTTAGTACTGTCCTTGGCTTCCTTCTTGCAGCCTCTTTTTCTGTTTTCAACCAACTGTAAAAAGTGAACTACAGCCAACTGTAGGCCTGAACAACTGGAGAGGAGAGGAATAGGCAGTGATGTCTGTATCAATCGTCTATCCAGTTATTTTTTGGTTTTCTTTGGTTATCAATATAGGTTATCCCCCTCTAATTATTTTCCATGTATTGTCTCTTGATTCAAGATAAGGAATGAATGAAGCCCTGGGAATAGAAAGTGTGACCTTCTCCCAGCAGTTTCTTCCCAGGACTTGCCCTCTCCCGGTACTTTTTGCCACTAGATTTTTCTGTTTCTGAAACAGGGTAGAATTACTCGCTAATTAAAATACCTTTGCTAGTGTTTCTCTTCCTTAACCCCAGTTGATTTACACAGAGTTTTTATGGACCGTATTATATTCTCACTAGTGCCTTTCTCTAGGAAGGGACTAATGGGGTTCATAGATATTCTTGTTTGTTTCTTGCAAGTAAGCAGTGCCCTGAAATAGGTGAGGAAGTAGCAATTTATAAAGATGTGGGCTAGTGTCTACACAGTAAAAATCTGGACCAGGTGTGGTGATAGTCACTGTAGTAGAAATTTTGGTGGGGGCAATAACGATGATGTGGCAAAAACTGTCAAGCAGGGCTTTAAAGGTTTTAGCTATATTAATTCATTCAGTTTACAACACCCCCATCAGGTAATGTTGATTATAATTCCCATTTTAAAGATGAGGAAATTGGACCACAGAGAGATTAATTGGCTTAAACTAGTAAATTGTAGAGGCAGATTTTGAAACCAGGTAACCTGCTACCACATTCCATGCCCTCAACCCCACTACCCCACTATGTTATTCTGCTCTCCTACCAAATTAGCAGTTCACAGCACCTGACCAAAAGCCCCTGCTTAAGGAAGAATGGTGGAATTTGAGGAGGACTGGGTCTGTTTTCTTGGTGGTATGAACAGGGGCCAGGAGGTGGGAAAGTGCAAAGCTTGTGGAGGAAATGATGTTCCTGAGACTCCAACTGCAGGTGCAAACCGAGGAGCTGTTGTTAGTTAAAGACTGGAACAGTAGGTTGCGTTCTTCTTCTGAATCGTAGTCATTGAGTGCAGACCGACTGCTACTGGTATAGCTCCATGGTCTTCAAATCTTGTGCTGATTGCATACGTTGTCATTATAACTTAGGTTGTTTCAAAATACGTAATTTGGGGCATATTGTAAAAATTGGCTTTTAAAAATAGGCCTTTTACATAATATACTTAAGTAGAGCTGATGAAAAATCTAACATTGTCATACCAGCCACCATTCATTAAAAAAATCAGTGAACAAGCTCTTTAATTGGAAACTTATCTCTCCCTGTTTACTTGAACTCTTTTGTTATCTTATTTCTCCCCCAACTTTTATTTATTTATTTATTTATTTTGAGATGGAGTTTTGCTCTTTCGCCCAGGCTGGAGTGCAGTGGTGCGATCTCGGATCACTGCAACCTCCTACTCTTGGGTTCAAGGGATTTTTCTGGCTCAGCCTCCTGAGTAGCTGGGATTACAGGTGCCCGCCACCACGGCTGGCTAATTTTTATGTTTTTAGTAGAGATGGGGTTTCACCTTGTTGGCCAGGCTGGTCTCGAACTCCTTACCTTGTGATCCGCCCACCTCGGCCTCTCAAAGTGCCGAGATTACAGGTTTGAGCCACTGCGCCTGGCCTTCTCCCCCACTTTTTATTCTAATATAATACATGTTCATGTTTTAGAGTCTTTTATGGATTATCATGTCATACTTATGTAATAAAAATATATCAATACTGAAAATTAAAAATATCCTATGCCTCAAGGATTATTTAATCCAGAAGTAATTGTATAAATATTTCCATTTGTGGAATGGAGTTGATCAAAATAACATGATTATATTACAAATTCTGATAAATGATTGATAAAAAATAAAAATATTTCTGTTTATACATTCATCTATTGCATATATACAGGTGTTTTATTCTTTATAAATTCGTTTATTACTAGATGAGAAAAGATTTGGCATCATTTTTATTTTCCCTTTTTCTTTTCTGTGTAAGATGCAGGCACTGAAAAAACTTGTCAAAAATGAAAAAGGGAGTATTATAGCAGTGCCAGTCAATTGTTTGGAGTTTTTCTGAAGTTATATGGCAAAACTCACACAGTAATCTCATCAGAACTTATTTTTAATGATTTGTTGGCAGATGGCTTAAAGAATGGATGCTCCTGTAATTTTGTTTGAAGCAATCCAACTTGCAAAAGCATTTTGTTCCCTTTTAGACGTCTAGAAATGTTTCTTATTTATTTATTTGCATCAAGACCAGTTTGCTTCTAGTGGGTCTCCTCCTTGTTGCCTGGGAGGTTTTATAATCGTGGGCAGTGTGCCTAGTGAGATGAGGGGAGGGTGGTGGCTGAGAGGTATGCCCACTTTAGGAAGTGAGAGGCAGTTAGGAAAGAGAAGGGAAATTCTCAGGCATATTATTTTACAAGGAAGTTGAAGATGGAGAGATAGTTGTTTTCCTTTAGAGTTTTCATGTGCCCTAAATGTTATACATAGCCCGGTTTAAAGACCATCAGTGTAGAATGTAGTAGAGTAGTGAGATTTTAAGTTTTATGTTTTCTCAGCTTTATGGGTTCAAGAACTCAGTTGCAGCCTGGGTCTGGTGGCTCACGCCTGTAATCCTAGGACTTTGGGTGGGAGAACTGTTTGAACCCAGGAGTTCAAGACCACCCTGGGCAACATGGTGAGACGCTGTCTCTATTAAAAAAAAATAGAACTCAGTTTCAGCTCTAAAAATTTAGGTTGGAGGCTAATACTTACAGAGGAAACTGTGTTTTCAACCAAAATGCTATTTCCGGCATGAAAATAAACCAGAGAATCCAGTGTAAGATTAGGTTAAGATGATTTGTGGGGTCAGTTAGATGACCTTCAGGAGGAGTGCTATCTGAAGACTCGTCTGGCCACCCTGGGGAAGGGGATGATTGGGAGTGGCCACCACCATATGCTTTATCATATTTGTTTAGCTTCACGAAACACTTCTTAATTCGACACCAGCTGACTACTTGGTCTAGTTGTAGTTAATTAATTAGAAAGGAATAATTAAAATTAAGATTAAAATTATTGTTTCTTACAGACTTAAATTCTCTTTCCACCGTTCATTAGGCAGTTATTAATTTAGCCACTTCCGTTTGAGTATCTGCAAAGTAGTTAATTTAGTTTTTCAAAAGTAGTCATTTTTCACCCTCATTTTATTGGTTAACAAAATAATAAATTACTTAAGTACAAGAGCAAATGGTCAAGAACAAAAGCAAAAAGCCAGGTTTCGGAACAAACAAGATGCCTTGTACTAAGTATATTATGGGAGAGGTACTTAATAGCTATATACATTTGCTCTTTGGAGGGTGTCACCCATGTATTTTACAGAGGGAAAGTAGGTATCCTTGTCAGATTGAGAGGTAAGTGAAGTCAGTTAAAAGTTTAAAGTATATATAATCAGCTTTGTTTTGCTGAACTTTGTTTTATTGAGAGTTTTGTGCAATTTATAATATTGTTTCATTGATTTTCTTTCTTATTGCATCTTATATGGACTGTTGTAACATTCTGTGAGTATATTTTGTTCATGTCATCCATTTTTGGTGTTCAGTAATTTTAAAAATGAATTTTAAGTAGGGACAGGAGCTTGAATATGTAATTTGGTTTTATGTACCAGAAGATCCATCAGAAACTGAGTAGCCAAACTTGTAACAACCTGTATTGGTGCATATTCTGCCAGACTATGAATTTTCTTAAGTAATAGAGAACAGAGGTCTTTAAAAAATTGTGAACTGAGATTTTTTTAAAGGTGAAATGAAAGCAGTACTGTACAGGAAATTAAGTTTTTGGGTAAGGAAGTGGAATTGGTTTGATTGAAATTGTTAATGTCTCTTTAATGAGGGGTTATATGAAAAATGTTAGGCAGAAAGTGTGATCCAGTTAAAAATCCTAAATATGAAATTGATTCAGTTTGAACAAACAGTATTTGGAACTGAACAGAGAGGAAAAGGAAAATTCTTATGTGGAAGAAACTAGTCATTATCAAGGGTATGAAAAGCTGCTGGACCATTACAATTGATTTGCTTTTCTCTAAAGAGAAATACCTGACTCAGAGATTTGTGATTTTAGTATGTGAAGTTTTCCTCAAATTAGTATTTAGTATTCTGGGAACATTTTCTTTTGCCAGGAGGGTTGTGATTGTCTATTTTTGTGAATTGTAAATTAAAAAAAAAAAAGCTGTTTATTTTTTGTCTTGTACAGGCAAGGAAAGTTTCTAATGTAGTTATAAAAACTTAGTTACATATTCAAGCTCCTGTTGTTTCCTGTCTTCTAGATCTGTAAGATAAGAATGTCTAAAAGGTCAAGTAATTTGACCAGCCTTTTGGGGGAAGTCCAGTGAATAGTAGAATAATATTTAGAGATGAATTTTCTGTCATAGGCATGGGATAAACTCTATTTCAGTAGAAAGGCAAGATAATGAGCAGGATCTTATATAGACAAATCGTTCATTCCAAACATGCTGGCTCTAGGAGGTGTTCAGTGTGTTTGTTGAATGAGTGTTACAGATGAATTGAGGTCAGATGGAATTGAGGTCAGATTTCTCCATGAGTGGAGGGATTTTTTTTCTCTCATGTCCTGGGCACCTAACACCATGCCTGGCACATGCTTGTCAGCTGTCCTTTGTTGAATCTGCGAATAAATGTGAGGCCGACTCAACAACTATTACCTCCTTGTGGATATGCATATAAGCTCTTCTAGAGTATTTTGGGGGAAGAAATAACCAGAATGTCTGCCCTCTCTTCTTCCTTTGTGAAACTGTTTTCTACAGTTACATTTAGTGTCGAGAAATGAGGGCTTTTTTGTTTTGTTTTAAGTGGCTTTTAAAGTTGCTCCAAGATTCATGAGGTTAAAGTATAAAACTTTAATACTTTAGAAAAATAAGGACTTAATTCTGGATTCTGACCTCTGGTGGTGAAGAAGAAACACCTATTACTCATAATAAAAGATCAGATTCTCATATGTTCTGTAGTACTTTCTGGATGTCCAATGTAGGGAAAGTCTTAATTAGAAAAATACAAATTTTGTATGTGGTTTTGAATTTTCATGAGACAAAAATTTTATTTTTTTACCTTGCAACTTTTTGATAAGCATATAAAAAACATTTAGGTTGTACCTTTACAAGGCTCATTACTGAAAGTGGTTTTTTATTTGGGACCTTGCCTGATGAGAAAAAGTAGATTCTACGTGGGATTTTTATATGGTAATACTAGTCTTATATTTGACTTCTTAAACTTTCTATTAAAACTATTTCCTAAGTAAATCTAAGGTTTATTTGGATAACAGTTATATTGTTATCAAGAAAAACATGAATGTATTACTTGGGAGGAATGTCAAGGTAGATTATTTTGGGTCCTTAAAAATAAACTGCTTATCAGAAACTCAAAACTCGTCTTTATTATCACACCTATCACTGGGCTCATAGGTTCTGTTCTCGCCTCTTCTGCTCTCAAACCGTCTATTCTGCCCCAACAACAACAACAACGATAACAACAACAAACTGGGAAGGAGATGTTCTAGCAGCTAGAGTCTAGCTGCTAGTGGTGCCGCATGTGATGAGCTGATTCTGCTCACACGAGTGATGTCAGCCTTAATTAAAAAACAAAAACTTGAATTTTGGTGGCTGAGGAAATTAAAAGGGTAGATGGAACACTTGCTACCTTGCACCTGAACTCTACCTTGTATCTACTGGGTGGTCTTTTGCAAGTGACTTAACCTTATTTTTGGTGTGTGTTAAATAGGATTACGAATGCTTCCATTTCTAAAGTGTAAGAAGGCTCTGATGTGAGTGTAAAGTTCTTTGCAAACAAGACTCCAAGTAATAAAATCCTAAAAACATCTTTGCTACTGTTGCTCACTGTCCTCTGCCAATATGCTTCTGAGAATTGATCAGAGCTTTATAAAAGGAAAGTGGTTACAGTATGTCAGGAAGCAAAACCCGTGAGAAATAAGTAATCCATAAACTTTACAGTCATAAAGGGATCCGGGTGGGTGGATCTGATGACTTGGCAACTCAGAGAGGGAAGCAAGTGTAATTGTTGATTTTATCAGAGCAGGTTTGTGTATTTGTTTGTGCACGTAGGGGGATGGGGGTTGAATGAAGACTTAACAACATGAATTTCGTGAGGTTACAAAAGTCTACTGCTGCATAAATCGTAGGTAATATGTTCATGTCTATAGGGTGTAATGTTAATGTTCAATAAAAATTAATATCAAAGTCTGTCATAGATTTTATGTTTTGGGGCCTCCAGGTAAATGGTTTGTATCATCATTGGGAATTTATGGAAGTTGATTTAAGTATACAGTAGTTAGCACTCTATTAAATACTGAAGTCATGCACTGTGTCACCTTGATCAATGAGCAAGTTTTTTTTTCTTTTCTGATTCTGGAATTTCAGCACTTTCAGCTTTGAAGGTTGCCTTGGGTTTGTTTTTGAATTAAAAGTGTCACAGGAGAAAGGCTGATTGTTACATTCATGACCAATCAGAAGGGTCTGTAGGACTCAAAATGTTTGGTACATTCCTTAAATTAGAAGATATGCTTCTGGACTTTTCCCAGGGAAAGCAGGTCCATGTAATAATTTACCAAAAGGAAGTTGGGAAAATGAAACATCACCTTTTGTGAGAAAGAGGATGGGGTGGGGAGAGTGCTTTAAAGTGATCTTTGCTTTGTGGAATGCATTGGATTAAAGAGTCACAGAGGCCACAAAAAGCAGCTCAGTGAGTTATCAAATATAGGAGTACTTGAGAAATTAAACCAGGTATGTTATTATTCTTTCTTGGGGAGCCTAAAAATAAACTCAAGGATTGGGATTGTTCCTTTTACTTTCATATCTGCTGGCTGCTAAAGGCAATTGGAAATTTTAGCCAACATATTGACCTACTTGATTTTCACGATGAGTATTTTTTTCCTCAGCCGAATTGGCCATTTAAAGAAAACTTTGTGGCTGGGTGCTGTGGCCCACGCCTGTAATCCCAGTCTTTGGAAGGCTAAGGTGGGAGGATTACTTGAGGCCAGGAGTTTGAGACTAGCCTGGTTAATGTAGTGAGACCCCATTTCTACCAAGAAAAAAATGAAAAAAATTTAGCTGGGCATGATGGCACATGCCTGTAGTCCTAGCTACTTGGGAAGCTGAGGTGGGAGGATTGCTTGAGCCCAGGAGGTTGTAGTTATAGTGAGCTATGATCATGCCACTGCAGTCCAGCCTGGACAACAGAGTGAGACCCTGTCTCTTAAAAAACTAAATAAATAAAATAAATAAGACTTTGTAACATATTAAACAAGCTTTATCATATTAAAAAATACACACAGCTGGGCACAGTGGCTCATGCCTGTAATCCCAACATTTTAAAGAGGCCGAGGAAGTTCAAGACTAGCCTGGGCAACATAGTGAGACTCTGTCTATAAAAAAAAATTTAGTCATGTGGTGGTGGTGTGTGCTTGTGGTCCCAGTTACTCGTGGGGTGGGAGGATCACTTGAGTCTGGGAGGCCGAGGTTATGGTGAGCTGTGATTGTGCCACTGCATTCCAGCCTGGGTGACAAAGCAAGACCTGTCTCAAAAATAAAAAACAACAACACACACACACAGTGAAACGAATGGCACCAAGGAAGAAATCCAAGTGCAAGAAAAGAGGGAATCATACAATAAGAACAATAGGGTGGAAAGCCAGGGTGAAATACACATCTCTGATGAAGGAAGGGCTGTGTATCTGGGTCCTTACTTTTCCCCTTTTACTTGGGTGCTTCTGTCATTATTATTTGTAAGTCACTTCTCTCATGAAGTGCTTTGAGCTTTTGGGGCAAGTAAGAGTAGAGAAACTAGAAATAGTTGGCAATTCATTATCAACCTTGTTACGTGGGATTAGAACTATTGTCTAAGATGGGATTGTGAGTTTTTGAATTGTAGGTGAGATTTTAATGCGTGTGTCCATGCCCCCATTATTGAAGTGGGTTTGGAGTTCATGATATTAGAAGCAATTCCTTAGTTAGCAGTTCTTGTAGATGAGTGATGAGCCACAAGATTTCTGTTGAGATCAACATTCAGTTGTATGAAATTCTTGAGGTGCAGAGGGGAGTAGAATAGGAATTTCCTAATTTGGTTGGATTGACTCCATTTTGGAACTAGATTTTCTGCACGCATGTGCTAAGAAGAGAGATGGTGGTCACAGTGAATGGATCACTGCGCAAAGATCTTTGGTGAGTAAATGTGGAAAGAAGTTTTCATGTATTTGTATTTCTGTCAGGGTGGGATTAAAAGGTCTGAGTAGGTAGTGGTCTTTATAATTCTCAGACCAGCCAAGGTGAATTTGATAGTCTTGGCTGTACAGCGTAGTGGTTAAAAGCATGCCATTTGGAGCCAGACTGTTTAGGTTCAAACCTTAGGTCTTCCGCCAGTCGCCTGTGTGACCTTTGTTCATTAACTGTCATTTCCATACTTTCTTCATCTTCAGAATGGGTCGCATAAAGTACCTGCTTTCTAGAGTTGTTGGGCAGATTAAACGAGTTAACTACGTAAAATGCTTAGGACAGTTCCTGGCACGGAGTAAATGGCATATATGTGTTAGCTATTATTATTACTACTAATATTATTAGTAGGAACTATTTGAGTTAGTCGTTGTTGTTGTTATAAACCATGCTGGGTTGGTAACAGAGATTGTTACCAACAATTGTTGGTGTTTCTTTGTAGAGAAAGCAAAGCCTGATGTCATTTTTATCTTTGTGTCCAGTGTTTTGGCTCACACAAATTATAGCTACTTGGCTTTTCTCATTCTGATGTTGCCAAGGAATCTTATAATTTAATCAGTGATTTGAGTGGCCTGTGCCTTGTCAAATGAAGGCACTATTCCTAATGCCTCATTTTATTATTATTGTTATTTTTGTTAATATCTTTGAGGCAGGGCGTGATGGCTAATGCCTGTAACCCCAGCACTTTGGCAGGCCCGGGTGTGTGGATTGCTTGAGCCCAGGAGTTCGGGACCCACCTGGGCAACATGGTGAAACCCCCTCTCTACAAAAAATACTAAAATTAGCCGGGTATGGAGATGCATGGCTGTAGTCCTAGCTACTTGGGAGGCAAAAGTGGGAGGATCAGCTGAGCCGGGGGAGGTCGAGGATGCAGTGATGGTGCCACTGCACTCTAGCCTGGCTGACACAGTGAGACCCTGTTTGGAAAAAAAAAAAAAATCTTTGAGCAAAATATGTGTTTTGGTAAGTTTGAGAATATTCAAATTCCCAACAAATATTGCCCATCAGTCTTTCAAAGGCATTCAGGTGAGTAGTTTATTCTTTTTGCAGCTCCTTGCTGCCTTTTTATCAGCCTGCTGCCCAGAGCCCGCAGAAGAGATTACACCTGGGACAGGGGATGACTTTTCTTCAATCTTACTCTTAACAGGGCCATTCCAAATGGATTTTAGAACAATTTCACATAATTAGGGTAAGCAGGTTTTACCCTTGGTGTTTCCAATAATTAATTATTACAATTAAAATCCATTTACTGTATGTACTCCAATGGGATGTCAAATGTAATCTGTATTTAGCACCCCCCTGGAAAACTTAAAATATTTTCATTTACCATTGTTCAGACTCCAAATGCTGATGGCTTTTCAGAGAACAAAAATGTCTTCCTTGCGGAGGAGGTTAATCTCAGCCTGTACCAGTTAGATACTACGAGAGCCATCATAAACGCAATGTCAGAGAACTGGAGAAGATAGAGCCAACTGATGAGATAGATGCTTTTTCCTGTTCCTGTTAGACATATGCTGTCCAATATGGCAGTCACTAGGCAAATTTGACTGTTGAGTACTTGAAATGTGGTTAGATTAGAGAATTGAATTCTAAATTTCATTTAATTTTAAACTTAAACAAGAGGCTTGATTCAATTAATGGAAAATTGTAAATATGTTTAGAGCAACTTGGGTATGTGAATCTACCTTTTCAACTGTAAAGTTTTTTTGGACTCTAGATACAAGTCAAGTAGTCAAATGAAAATTTAGCATCTGAATTGAGATGTGCTATAGGTGTAAAATATGTACCAACTTTTATTTTGTTTTATTTTTGAGATAAGATCTTGCTGCGTTGTCCAGATGGGAGTGCAGTCATGTGATCTCAGTTTATTGTAGCCTTGAGCTCCTGGGCTTGAGGGATCCTCCCACCTAAGCCTCCTGAGTAGCTAGGACTATAGGTGTGCACTACCACACTTGGCTAATATTGTTTATTTTTTGTAGAGGCAAGTTATTGTTCTGTTGCCCAGGCTAGTCTTGAACTCCTGGGCCCAAGTGATCTATCTGCTTCCACCTCCGAAAGTGCTGGAATTACAGGCGTGAGCCACTGTCCAGTGTATGTACCTTTTTTTTTTTTTTTTTTGAGATGGAGTTTCACTCTTGTTGTCCAGGCTGGAGTGCAATGGTGCGATCTCGGCTCACTGCAACCTCCGCCTCCCAGGTTCAAGAGATTCTCTTGCCTCAGCCTCCCGAGTAGCTGGGATTACAGTGCCCACCACCACACCCAGTTAATTTTTTTGTATTTTAATAGAGACGGGGTTTCATCATGTTGGCCGGGCTGGTTGTAAACTCCTGACCTCAGGTGATCCACCCACCTCGGCCTCCCAGAGTGCTGGGATTACAGGCGTGAGCCACCATGCCTGGCCATGTATCAAATTTTAAAGACAGTATGAGGGCCGGGCATGGTAGCTCACACCTGTAATTCCAGCACTTTAGGAGGTTGAGGCAGGTAGATCACTTGAGCCCAGGAGTTTGAAACCAGCCTGGGCAACATGGTAAGACCTCATCTCTACAGGAAAAAAAAAAGTATATGAGTACAAGAATATAACATATCTCAATTTTTAATATTCACTACAAAGTGGAACTATTTTTGGTATATTAAATAAAATATTATGTTAATGTCACCAGTATCTGTTGTGCCAAACTCCTATTGACTCCAGTGGGGATGGCACCAGATTCAAGAGGCCAAAGAAGAGACCCAGAGCCAGCAAACAAGACATGGGGTGTTTCTGGGCCTTATATACGGGGAAGAATCCAGTGGCAGCAGGCTGGACAGGGTAACTGCACAGGCCAATGGCAGCAGGCTGGGCAGAAGAACTGCAACTGCTTGCAGAAGGCATGCAGTTTATGTAGCATTTTTACTTAGCACCCTCCTCTAACAGTCTCCACCTGGCAACCTTCGTTCAACCCGAAACAAAGAGCCTCGATCCCCTGTATGGCCCCTGCCTGTTCCACGGGACAGGATGGGAGTGAGAGAGGGTAAAGACTTGGATGTTCCTCATAGTTAAGGAATGGATCTCCGGGTTGGCCTCTCCTGGATTCCTTAGCTTGGAACTCTAAATGCACATTCAGGTGCATCTGCCATACAGGGTCATTCGCAGGTATGCTTAAGTTATCACTGTCAGGTGTGTCTACCATACACAGGTTCGTCTACCATACAGTAGATTTTTTTTTTTTTTTTTAAGTGATAGGTTCTTGCTCTGTTGCCCATACCAGAGTGCAGTGGTGTGATCAGAGCTCACTGCAGCCTTCAACCTCTTGGGCTTAAGCAATCCTCCTGCCTTGGTCTCCTGAGTAGCTAGGACTACAGGCATGTGCCACGACATGTGCCAGCTAAGTTTAAAATTTTTTTGCTGAAACAGTGCCTCACTGTATTGCCCAGGCTGGTTTCAAACTCTGGGCCTCAAGCCATCTTCCTGCCTTTATTTATTTATTTATTTTTTAAGTGGCAATGGGAAAACTTTAAATTACATGTGTAGATTGTGTTATATTTGTATCAAGCAACATTGTATTCTCTCTTTTTACAATCTGTGTCTTTGGAAGCATTTTGATAAACTCCTACGTTCCTGTGTGTTGGGAGTTCATGTTCTGGAAGAGGTCAGAGAAATAAAAATCATCTGGAAATAATATTAGCTTAATATATGTTGAATATGAAAATAATCTCAATCTTGTCCCTTTCATAATTTCTTTTTTTATGACTGTTTTTTTAGAGATGAGATCTTGCTGTGCTGCCCAGGCTAGGGTGCAGTGGCACGATCATAGCTCACTGCAGCATTGAAACACTTGAGCTCAAGTGATCCTTCTGCCTCAGTCTTTCTCGTAGCTGGGACTGGAGATGCTAATTTTTAATTTTTTTTTTTTTTTTTTTTTTGGTAGAGACTGGGTCTTACTTTATTTCCCAGGCTAGTCTCGAACTCCTGTCTTCAAGGGATCCTCCCATCCTGACCTCCCAAAGTGTTGGGATTACACATGTGAGCCACTGGACCTGGTCCCCTTTCATAATTGAATATGAATGTTTAACAAATAGATTTGCTGCTCGGGCTGATTTAAATCTAATACGGTTAAAGATGTATGACTAAAATACAAGGTTGTTAAATAATACTTTGTATATAGGTAATATATTCCTGTGTACTAATTGTTTTTATTGTGGCAAAAAAACTTTTACACATAACATAAAACTCACCCTCCAATAGTTTCCAAATGTACAGTATACTTTTGCCAACCACATGCATGTTGCTATGAAACAGTTCCCCAGAACTCCTTCCACCCACCCTGTGTGATTACAACTCTGTACCCATCTAACAATGGATCCCCTCCCCTTCACCCCAGGCCTCAGGCAGCCACCATTCTACTTTGTGTTTCTGTGAGTTTGACCACTGTAAATGCCTCATGTAAGTGGGATCATGTGGTATTTGTCTTTTTATGACTGATTTATTTCACTTAGCGTGTCCTCAGGGTTCACTCTTATAGTATATGACAGAATTTCTTTAAGACTCAATAACATTCCACTGTATGTATATAACACATTTTGTTTATTTATCTTTCAATGAACTTTTAGGTTGCTCCTCCTACCTCTTGGCTATTGTCAATAATGCTGCTGCTGCTTTTTTTTTTTTTTTTTTTTTTTTTTTGTAGAGATAGGTCTTGCTGTGTCACCCAGGCTGGATTGCAGTGGCGTGATCATGGCTTTCTGTAACCTCGAGCTCCTGTGTTCAAATGGCCCTTCTACCTCAGCCTCAGCTATAGCCTAGCCTGTAGCTAGGACTACAGATGTGCGCCACCACGTTGGCTAATTTTTAATTTTTTTTAAAGACAGGTTCTTACTTTGTTGCCTAGATTGGTCTCAAACTCCTGGCCTCAAGCTGTCCTCAAACCTTGGCCTCCCAGAGTGGTGGGATTATAGGCATAAGCCATGCCCGACTGAGTAATGCTTCATTGAACGTGGGGGTACAAATATTTATTTGAGATACTGATTGCATTTCCTATGGATATATACCCAGAAATGGGATTGCTGAATCCTATGGTAATTCTAGTTTTAATTTTTGAGGAATGTTCATAGTGTTTTCCATAGCAGCTCTACCATTTTGTATCCCCAATGACAGTGCACAAGGATTCTAATTTCTTTACATCCTTGTCAACACCTATTATTTTCTGTTTTTTCAGTAGTGGCCATCCTACGTGGAAAAGATGGTACTTCATTGTGGCTTCATTTGCATTCCCTGATAATTAGTGATGTTGAACATCTTCTCATATGCCTCTTGGCCATTTCTATATTTTCTTTGGAGAAATGTCTGTTCAAGTCCTGTTCAACCTCTTATCAAATAGATGATTTGGAAATATTTATTCCCATTTCATAGGTTGCCTTTTCATTTCATTTTTTTTCCTGCATGGAAGTTTGTGAGCGTGGTATATATAGTCCCATTAGTCTACTTTTGCTTCGTTGCCTATACTTTTGCTGTCATGCTTAAGAAATCCCTCCCAAATCCGATATTCTGAAGGTTTTCCCCTATGTTTTCTTCTAGGAGTTTTATAAAGTGTTATGTTTTGGTCTTAATCCAACTTCTTTTTCTGGCATGTGGAAATCCAGTTTTCTCAGCACCATTTGTTGGAGAGACTATCCTTTCCCCATTGTGTAGCCTTGGCATCCTTGTTGAAGATCATTTGTCCATATCTATAAGACTTTACTTCTGGGTTCTCTATTCTGTTCTGTTTATTTATATGTCTGTCTTTAGGACAGTACTACACAGTTTTGATTCCCCTGTTGTAGGGGAATCTTGTTTTATTGTGCTTCACTTTATTACGCTTTGCAGATAATGCATTGTTTACAAATGGAAGGTTTGTGGTAACCTTGCATCAAGCAAGTCTATTGGCACCATTTTTCCAATAGCATATGCTCACTTTGTGTTCTTATGCCATAATTTGGTAATTCTTGCAATGTTTTCAGTTTTTTTCCTCCTCCTCCTCCTTTTCCTTCCTTTTATCCTCCTCCTCCTCCTTCCTCCTTCCTCCTCCGTCCTCCTCCTCTTCCTCTTCCTCTTCCTCCTCCTCTTCTCCTTCTCCTCCTTCTTTTCCTTCTTCTTCTTTCTGGGACAGGGTCTCATTCTTCTGCCCAGGTTGGAGTATACCGGCACGATCATAGCCCGCTGTAGACTCAAACTCCTGACCTCAAGCAATCCTCCCTTCTTGGCCTCCCAAAGTGCTGGGATTAGAGGCATGAGCCACTGCACCTGGCCAGTTTTTCATTATTCTTATATATGTTATGGGAATGTGACTAGTGATCTTTGAAGATACTATTGTAACTGTTTTGGGGGCACCATAAGCCATACCCATGTAAGACTTGAACTGTGTATTCCAGTGAAAGGAAGAGCTGCATGTCTGTCACTTTAAATTAAAAGCTAGAAATGATTAAGTGCTGTGAGGAAAGCATGTCAAAAGCTGGGTGAGTTAGGTCAAAAGTTAGGCCTCTTGTACCAAGTAGTTAGCCAGCTTGTGAGTGTGAAGGAAAATTTCTTGCAGGAAACTAAATGTGCTCCTTCAGTGAACAGTCGAATGTTAAGAAAGCGACACAGGGTTATTGCTAATATGGAGAAAGTTTAGTGGTCTGGGTAGATCAAACCAGCCACAATTTTCCCTTGAGCCAAAGCCTAATCCAGAGCAAGGCCCTAAATCTCTTCAATTCTTTGAAGGCTGAGAGGAGTGAGGAAACTGCAGAAGAAATGTTTGAAGCTAGCAGAGGTTGTTTCATGATATTTGAAGAAAGAAGCTACCATTATAATATGAAAGTGCAAGGTGAAGCAGCAAGTGCTGACGTAGAAGCTGCAGCAAGTTATCCAGAAGCTCTAGCTAAGATCATTGAGAAAGGTGGCTACACTAAACAACAGATTTTCAATGTAAACCAAACAGCTTTCTAATGGTGAAGATACCATCCAGGATGAGGAGTCAATGCCTAGCTTCAAATCTTCAAAGGACAGGATGGCTTTCTTGTTAAGGGCCACTGCTCATTTACCATTCTGAAAATCCTAGGTTCCTTAAGAATTATGCTAATTTTACTCTGCTTGTAGTGTAGAAGTGGAAGAGCAAAGCTTGGATGACAGCACATCTGTTTACTGCATGGCTTACTGAATAGTTTAAACCCACTGTTGAGCCCTACTGCTCAGAAAAAAAAGACTCCTTTAAAAATATTACTGCTCTGGCTCACGCCTGTAATCCCAGCACTTTGGGAGGCCGAGGCGGGTGGATCATGAGGTCAGGAGATCGAGACCATCCTGGCTAACAAGGTGAAACCCCATCTCTACTAAAAATACAAAAAATTAGCCGGGCGCGGTGGCGGGCGCCTGTAGTCCCAGCTACTCGGGAGGCTGAGGCAGGAGAATGGCGTGAACCTGGGAAGCGGAGCTTTCAGTGAGCCGAGATTGCGCCACTGCGGTCCGCAGTCCGGCCTGGGCGACAGAGCAAGACTCCGTCTCAAAAAAAAAAAAAAAAAAAAAAATATTACTGCTCATTGACCATGTGCCTGGTTACAGAAGAGCTGTGATGGGAATGTATGAGGAGATTGATACTATTTTCTTGCCTGGCAACACAACACCCATTCTACAGCTCATGGGTCAAGGAGTAATTTTTGACTTTCACTTACTATTATATAAGAAATATATTTCATAAAGCAACAGCTGCCATAGATAGTGATTCTTCTGATAGAACTGGGTAAAGTAAATTGAAAACCTCTGGAAAAGATATACTATTCTAGATGCCATTATGAACATTTGTGATTCATGGGAGGGGGTCAAAATATCAACATGAACAGGATTTTGGAAGAATTTGATGACTTTGAGGGGTTGAAGACTTCAGTGGAGGAAATGACTGCAGATATGGTAGGTGTACTAAAAGAGGTAGAATTTGAAGTAGAACCTGAAGATATGACTGAATTTCGGCAATCTCATGATAAAACTTGAACAGATGAGGAGTTGCTTCTAATGGATGAACAACAAAAGTGGTTTCTTTGAGATGGAAGCTACTTGATAGGGTTTGGCTCTATGTCCTCACCCAAATCTCATGTCAAATTGTAATTCCCACATGTCAGGGGAGGGACCTGGTGGGTGTTGATTGGATCATGGGGGCGGATTTCCCCTATGCGGGCCTTATGATAGTGAGTTCTCATGAGATCTGAAGTTTTAAAAGTGTGGCAGGTCCTCCTTTGTGCTGTCTCTCCTGCTGCCATGTGAGATGTGCCTTGCTTCTCTCTCTGCCATGATTGTAAGTTTCCTGAGTCCTCTTCAACCATGCAGAACTGTGAGTCAGTTAAATTTCTTTTCTTTATAAATTATCCAGACTCAGGTAGTTCTTCATTGCAGTGCAAAAACAGACTAACATAGAAAATTGGTACTGGTAGTGTGGCACTGCTGTAAAGATACCTGAAAATGTGGAAGTAACTTTGGAACGGGGTACCAGGCAGAGGTTGGAACAGTTCAGAGGACTCAGAAGAATACAGGAAGATGTTGAAGTTTGTGAGTTCCTCAAGACTTATTGTATGGTTTTGACAAAAATGTTGATAGTGATATGGACAGTGAAGTCCAGACAGGTGGTCTCAGATGGAGAAGAGGAACTTATTGGGAACTGGAGTAAAGGTCACTCTTGCTATAATTTAGCAAAAAGGCTGGTGGCATTTTACCCCTGCCCTAGAGATTTGTGGAACTTTGAACTTGAGAGAGGTGATTTAGGGTATATGGTGGAAGAAATTTCTAAGCAAAGAGCATTCAAGATTTGACTTGGATGTTTCTAGCAGCATACAGTCATATGCATTCACAAAGAGATGTTCTGAAATTCGAACTTATGTTTAAAAGGGAAGCAGAGCATAAACACTTGGAAAATTTGCAGCCTGACCATGTCGTAGAAAAGAAAAACCCATTTTCTGGGGAGGAATTGAAGCTGGCTGCAGAAATTTGCATTAGTAAAGAGGAGTGAAATGTTAATAGCCAAGACATTAGGGAAAATGCCCCCAGGGTTATATCAGAGACCTTCACAGTAGCCCCTCCCATCACTGGCCTGGAGGCCTAGGAGGGAAAAATGGTTTCAGGGGCCAGGCCCAGGACCCTGCTGCTTTGTGCAGCCTTAAGACATGGCACCCTGTGTCCCAGCTGCTCCATCTCCAGCCCCACCCACTTCAGCTCCAGCCATGGCTAAAAGGGGCCAAGGTACAGCTTGGGCCATGGCTTCAGAGGGTTCAAGCCCCAAGCCATGGTGACTTCCACGTGGTGTTGGACCTGTGGGTGTGCAGAAGGCAAGAATTGAGGTTTGGGAACCTCTGCCTAGATTTCAGAGGATGTGTGGAAATGCCTGGATGTCCAGGCAGAAGTCTGCTGGAAGGGTGGAGGCCACATGGAGAACCTCTACTAGGGCAGTGCAGGAGGTAAATGGGTTGGAGCCCCTACACAGAATCCCCACTGGGGCACTGCCTAGTGGAGCTGTGAGAAGAGGGCCATCGTCCTCCAGTGACACCTTGCACTGTACACCAGGAAAAGCTGCAGACACTCAACACCAGCCCGTGAAAGCAGCTGTGGCGGCTCTACCTTGCAGAGCCACAGGGGCAGAGCTGCCCAAGGCCTTGGGAGCCCAGCCCTTGCATCAGCATGCCCTAGATGTGAGACACGAAGTCAGTGGAGATTATTTTGAAGCTTTAAGATTTAGTGACTGCCTTGCTGGGTTTTGGAGTTGCCTGGGGTTTGTAGCCTCTTTGTTTTGGGCACTTTTTCCCTTTTGGAATGGGAGCATTTACCCAATGCCTGTACCTCCATTGTATCTTGGAAGTAACTAATTTGTTTTTGATTTTATAGGCTTCTAGATGGAAGGGACCTTCCTTATGTGGAAGGGACTTGCCTTATCTCAGATGAGACTTTGAACTTGGACTTTTGAGTTAATGCTGGAATGAGTTAAGACTTCGGGGACTGTCATGAAGGAATGATTGATCTCACAGTGTGAGAAGGTCATGAGATTTGGGAGGGGTCAGGGGAAGAATGATATGGTTTGGCTATGTGTCCCCACCCAAATCTCATGTTGAATTGTAATCCCCGTGTGTCAGGGGAGGTATCTAGTGGGAGGTGATTGGATCATGGGTGTGGATTTCCCCCATGTTATTCCTGTGATAGTGAGTCAGTTCTCACAAGAATTGATGGTTTAAAAGTGTGGCACTTCTCCCCTTGTTCTCTCTCTCCTGCTGTCCTATAAGGTGTGCCTTGCTTCCCCTTTGCCTTCAGCCTTCAGCCATGATTGTAAGTTTCCTGAGGCCTCTCCTGCCATATGGAACTGTGAGTCAATTAAACCTCTTTTATTTATAAATTACCCATTCTCAGGTAGTTCTTTATAGCACTGTGAAAATGGACTAATGTACTACTCTTGGTAAAGATGCTGTAAACATTGTTGAAATTACAACAAATGTTTTAGAATATTGCATAAACTTAGTTGATAAAGCAGTGGCAAGGTTTGAGACGATTGACTCCAATTTGGAGGAAGTTCAACTGTGGGTAAAATGCTATCAAACAGCATCACATGCCACAGGGAAATCTGTTGTGAAGGGATGAGTCAATCCATGTAGCAAACTTCATTGTTGTCTTATTTCCAGAAATCACCACAGCTACTCCAGCCTTCAGCAACCACCACCCTGATCAGTTGGTAGCAATCAACATCCAGGCATTACTGCTCCCCAGTGAAAAGATTATGATTTGCTGAATGCTCAAGTGATTGTTAGCATTTTTTTTAAAGCAATAAAGCATTTTAAAGTTAAGGCATGTACATTTTTTAAACACATAATGCTATCGCACATGTGTATATTATATTATAGTATAAACATAACTTTTATTTGCACTGGGAAACCAAAAAATTTACTTGACTTGCTTTATTGTGATATTTGCTTTGTTGTGGTGATCTGGAACTGAATCCACAATATCTCTGAGGTATGCCTGTGCAGATTTTTAAAAAACATTGGTGTTTTATTTATGTTTTTAAGGGACTAAATAGGAATGTTTAAAAACTCGATTTGTAATGCCTTACTTCTTTAATTTTATATAGTTTATAAATTTTTGCATTTTGTATTCATTTTCTCTTTCTGGGAAGTGTAAGGGAATTTCCTTCTTTTCTCTTTTATCTCAAGCATGTTTGGAGCAACTTTGGTATACGAATTTACTTTTTCAAAAGAAATTGCAGATGGTGTGAATTTAGATAGGAATGTTTGCCTTCTCAGGTATTCCTGATATTGAGGTGGAGGTTGGAAGCCAGGAAAGAAGGTTGGGATTGTTTAATATGGCATGCTCTAGAAATGTGGTTAAGACTCTGGAGCCAGATTGCCTGGATTTGAATTTCAGCTGTGTTACTTACTTACTTATAAATTTTGGGCAAGTAATTTGACCCCTTTGTTTCAATTGCCTTATCTGTAAAATGAAGATAATGTTAGAAACTACCTCAGAGAAATGTTTCAAGAGTTAATTGGATTAAACACAGTGCTTGGCACTCATTAAGTGCTATTTCAATGTGGTATATTTTATTACTTTGAATTTTACAAATAAAAGTGAGAATAGTAGCTAAATTCTTAGGTTCTAAAAAAACTAACCTTTCTAATTCCATCAGCAATAATGAACACATGGGGCACAAATAATTTTTTTCCATAAGAATTCTAACACCCAGATGGTATAATGGGAGACTTTATCTTCTCAAGTCAGTGGAGGTTTCCAAATCTTTTAATAGTTATATGAACCTTGCATTTATATTAAGGAATATTATAAGTCTGCCATGTAGTTTATCATTTGTCTTCTGATTTGTAATTAGTTTTTAAAATATATGTTTCAAACCTAGGCTAAGATGAAGATTAATGTATTTGGACAGCATAAACTATGATACTTTGATGTTGGAGTGCTTATAATATGCCATGTCTGTCAAATACATTTTGCAACTTAGACTTTATTTTCATAGGGCAATAAATCATCTGCAGGATCTGAAGTTTATAAATTTAATGGTAGTGCTTTTAAATTTCTTCTTCTTGGTGTTTTAATTACATTTAGCTTTTGTAGCTTGCATTGCTTTATATCTGAATTAGTCCAAATATTTGAAAATAACCATGTGAAAATTCACATTGGAACCAAGGATTTGTTTGAGATGTATACATGTGAATTGGCAGGACTCCCTCACCCCCGCTTCTTTTTAAAGTGTAAATGGGTGAAAAATGTTAAGTGTTCTTTTATTAGGAAAACCATGCACTGGAGCTTATGACTCAAGATGTTTATGAAGGTGAGATAATCATCTGTAGGAAAATAAAAACATTCTTCAGATAAGAAAGCCTATCTAAAATATATTTTCTTGTACAAAAAGAATACATCATTTTCTGTAAATTGTACATTTCCGTAACAGATTAAAAAATAACTCTGCCCCCTACTCTAGACAAATGTAATATTTTCACTTATATGGAATACATTCTATTCTGTATGTAGTATGCATTGATTTGGCCTTAGCTCTTTCTTGCCCAGCTTTAATAACATTGAGTACTCATTTGCTTTTTTCAACCTATTTCAGAATGTATAATATTTTAAATATCTGTAGTTAAGAGAAAGGTAAGTGTATATGAATGCATATGTTGAAACAGCTCATATATGGCCTTAAATAATTGGCTACTTTGGGACTTCCCATCTATAGTTTTACAGCTGGCAATGCAGGGCACCTAGGTTTCATGGTCCTGGATGTTTGTGTTTCTGAAACCTTCATTATAAATGAAGAACCAGACGGTTGTTCTTCATTCAGGCTGCCATCATAGATGTTCTGGAAAGCTGCTGCTGTCTATAAATGTAGTGCTTATGTTTTCTGCACAGTATGTGCTTGTTGGCAGTTTTTTTTTTTTTTTCTAGTTAAACAGCTACTACCTGCAGGAGTCGTCCCATACTGGAGTGGAGAAAAAATAGTCTTGGCTAGGTAGTTTGTAGTAATTTTGTATTTTTAAAAGATGCACACAGTAGATTTTATTAAAACAAACAAAATAGGCACTACTACAAAAGATTACCCTTCAGGAAGACTCATCAGTAATCCAATTTAAAATTGAAGGGACTTTGATTACAGTATTATGCCTTACCTATGTTACTATTTTCCCTTTGGTTCACTTTTTCTTCTAAGCTAACTGTGGCTACAGTTGGCTCATTAGACTGATTCCGAGAGAACAGTAGGCATATAGCATTTTAATTTTACGGGCTAGCATTGCATATTGGTTTTTATGGCGTGCTCAGTATTAAAGGCAGTGGGGAAAAGGGTTGAATAATCCCAGTATACTCTTTTTGCCTAAATGATACCCATCAAAATCTGGAGTCAGAAAAGGCTTTCTCATGGTGTCTTCTTTTATTACTGTGTGCCCTGCCAAAACCCTGGACACTTGCTCACTCCCAAGGACAAGCATGAGCTAGAAGTATGAGCTCTACCTCACTTGTAGGATAAATACCACAAAGCCATTTTCTTCTTTCTGTTTTGCTATCCATTTATTCCCTGCTGTCCAGTTTTTTTGTTTTGTTTTGTTTTGTTTTGTTTTGTTTTTAAAGATGCTGGTAGTAATGGTAGTCGCATGGCTGAATTAATGACAAAGCATAGATTTCTGGCTCTTTGATTTTTCTAATGGATTGATTGGCTCTTTGCCTGCTTGACTACATTAAGAAAAAAAATCCCCCTTTAAAAATTACAGTCAGAAATATACCTGTGATGGACTTTTAAAAGCTACTTTATATTTAATAAGTACAGGAGGTCCTTACAAGTTTTGTTTAGTAATAAAATCACATAGTCATGTCTGCCTCTTGGTGGATTAAAAGGCAACCTCATTGGGTCTAATTTATGCATTGTTTGGATATTTCTAGCTTAAAAATGGATGGGCATCTTCCTATTTCTCCTAACACTTGCCGGTATCAAACAGTTTTTGCAGTGATGTCATTGAGGATGTGGGACATGTGGGAGTTGAGAGGATCAGCTAATGTCTCCTGAACTGAATTTAATTCTGGTGAGCATCTCTGCTGTACCAAGACCCTGCTGGTTCAGGGCTGGTCAGTACGTATTGTAATCCTAAACGTGTGCTCCTTGCAGAGTCTCTTCCTGCTGAGCGAATAGAATATGGTTTTCTTTCAGTAACTATTTTTTTGTCTCTCATTACTCAAATATTTTATGATTGATTTTTTTGGTTGCGCATTTCCTTTTTTCTTGGTTTCTATTAAAAGTTATATTGTGTTTAAAAAAGGCTTGCTGGCTGTGGCCTCTTTGGCACCAGGGCTTTCTGGGGTAGACCTGATTGACCCTGTGGTGCTGCTGTACTTCTTTTCTTACATTATGTGATGGAAAAACAGTGGTCCCCAACCTTTTTGGCACCAGGGACTGGTTTCATGGAAGACAATTTTCCATGGATGGGGTGGGGGGATGGTTTCGGGATGAAACTGTTCCACCTCAAATCATCAGATTAAATTCATCATTAGATTCTTATAAGGAGTGCACAACCAAGATCCCTCACATGTGCAGTTCACAGGAGGTTTCACACTCCTATGAGAAACAATCTAATGCCACCACTGATCTGAGAGGAGGTGGAGCTCAGGCGGTAACGCTAGCTCACCTGCCGCTGACCTGCCGTGTGGCCCCGTACCTAACAGGCCAGGGTTCCTAACAGTACCAGTATTAGGCCCTGGGAGTTGGGGACCCCTGCTATAAAAGACTTAGTCTTTGAAGTTTGATCTGCTCATTCTTGTTTGAGCAAACCATGATTAGTTCATGTCTTTGGTTCCTAATCTATTTTTTCTTTATAATTTTCTTCTTTTTATTTTATTTTATTTTATTTTGTTTTATTTTTGAGATGGAGTCTTGCCCTGTCCCCCAGGCTAGAGTGCAGTGGCATCATCTCAGCTCACTGCAAGCTCTGCCTCCTGGGTTCATGCCATTCTCCTGCCCCAGCCTCCCAAGTTGCTGGGATTATAGGCGCCTGCCACCACGCCCAGCTAATTTTTTGTATTTTTAGTAGAGACAGGGTTTCACTGTGTTATCCGGGATGGTCTCGATCTCCTGACCTCGTGATCCGCCCGCCTTGGCGTCCCAAAGTTGGGATTACAGGTGTGAGCCACTACGCCTGGCCTTTTCTTTATAATTTTCTAAGTGCTTATGTGTTTAGTGTGCTTATTGAGGAGAATAGTTAGAACACAGTGTTCTGTTCATCCAAGGAGGACAAAGCAGAGTGAAAAATGAAGGGGAATGCTACTAAAGTTCAGAACTTTTCACATGATTGCATGAATTCATAACTATTTCTAAACTTTAGATTATTTGGAATGATCTGTTTGATAGCTTATATAAAGGATTAAAATAGGGCCATAGGATCACTATTTAAATTGGACCTTTCTCTTTTTCAGATGTTGAAAGCTCTAAAGATGCATTTCTAATGAAGACTTTTTCCCATCGTTGCCATTGCTGTTCATTTGACTTGCTTTTTAAAAGTTGGGTCAGTTCTCCCACGGTAGCAACTTTCCGAAGACATGACTTACAAAATTTTTAGAAATAAATTTGCTAAACATTTCTCTTTCGAAATATCCCTATTTTGTATAATAACTGTTGAATATTCTGGTGGTAGCTTTTTTTTAAGGATGACTTTTATTTACTTAAAAATATTTAATTGACAAATTAGGATTGAGTACAAGTTATACAGCCTGATGATTTGATATACGTGTACATTGTGCCATGACTACCACAAATTAATTCACATATCCATCACCATCCATGCTATATATATGAGATCCCCAGAAGTTAGATTTTAACTGAAACTTTGTGCCCTTTGACTAACATGTCCCTGATTCTCCCACCTCTCAGCTCCTGGCAACAACCTTTCTTTGCTTCTATGACTTCAGCGTTTTTAGGTTCTACCTGTGGATCATGCAGTGTTTGTGTTTCTGTGTCTAGCTTATTACACTTAGCATAATGTCCTCCAGGTTCATCTATTTTGCTACAAATGGCAGGATGTCCTTCTCTTTTATGACTGAATAATATTCTGTTGCTTATATGTATCACAGTTTATTCATCTGTGGATGGACACTTGGCTTGTTTTCATATCTTGGCTATTGTGAGTAATGCTACAGTGAACATGGGGGTGCAGATATCTCTTCAAGATACTGATTTTATTTCCTTAGGACATATACCCAGTAGTGAGATTGCTGGATCATATGGTAGTTCTATTTTTAATTTTTTGAGGAACCTCCATACTATTTTCTATAATGGCTGTACCAATTTACATTCTGGTGGTAGATTTTTTAAACAGCCATCAAGATGACATTTTCTTTTCTTTTCTTTTCTTTTGAAGGAAAATTTGTTTTATTTTAATTATTTTTATTTCCAGAAAACTCAACAGTGTACATTTAACCCAGTTTGGTGGCAAGTTCTTTAGCCTTTGCCTTTTTGAGCTTGGCAATGTGAGCCACAGTCTAGGGACCCAGTGACGGCAGATCTCATCATATCTGTCATTATAATTGGTCCTGATGGCTTCCACCAGCTTAGTCAAAGCTCCTTTGCCTTCCAAGTTAACCTGTGTAAAGGTGACGGTGGTGCAGGTCTTCCTGTGAACTAGATGTCCCAGACTTGCCTTCTCCTTGGTAATGCACTTAAGGGACCCCCATTTTACGACACAGGGCAGGCAGGAAGACAGCCAGCTCAATGGGATCCATGTTGTGTGCAGTCACCACCAGCTGAGCCTTTTTGTTCTCCACCAAGGTGGTGATGATATTAACTCCTGCTCGAAGGACAGGTGATCTCTTAGTGGGGATGTGCCCTTTGCTGGGAGCTTTCTTCTCAGCCCAGGCCAACAAGCTCTGCTTCTTGTCTTGCTTTGCCTCTGGTCTGTACTTGTGGTCCAGCTTAAGCAGCTGAGTAGCTGTTTAATGGTCCAGGGCCTGGGTGAACTGGTTAATAATCTCAGGAAGTGCTTTCAGCCGCTTGTAATAGGATGGCTCTGCTGCTGCAACCTGATATAGTGGGGCCATTTCACAAAGCGAGTTAAGTCCCTTTTGGGCTGCATATCCTGTCCAATGCCAAAATTCTTAGGCCTTTTCTCAAACAGGAGATTTACCACTTTCTTGGCCTCCTGCTTTTTCAGGACAGCAGGGGCCGGAGCCACCTTCTTTCTCTTGGCCTTCTTTCCTTTGGGAACCTTGGGTGGCGGAAGGAGAGAGCAAGATGACATTTTCTTAAATGTTCTAATGACCTAGGACAGAATTTATGATACAAGTTGAAAATGTAGGCTCAAATTATATACTATATGACTGCAACTGTGTTAATTTTTTACGATTATGAACATATTACATTTTGGTGTCTTTTACTATTCCACAAATTTTCACAGTTGTTACTCTTGGGTGATGGTTTGAGTGATTTATATATATATATTTTTTTTTCCTATTTTTTTACATTTTTCCATAATGTATTTCTAACAACAGAAGGTAATCTTTTAAAGTATTGCTGGTGAATGTTTGCGAGGGTCACTTTGGCTAAGCAGTATTTTCTAGATTATTGTGAAGACTTTATCACATAGTTGAATATCTTCACTTTACAGATTAAATGATGGCTGATAAGGTTTAATGTTTCGCTTGAGGCCATGACATTTAGGGGCCGTTAACAAATCTGTAATGGAACATAGCTGTGAAAACAACTTGCAATCGTTTTAATTTGGTCATTTTTGTGGGCTTTTGAATAGTGCTGTCTGTCACTAAGCTAACGAATAGTGAATGTTTTGTAAATATTTGTTATTTAGTCTAAACTAAAATGAAAATTTTTAGCTTTTCCTGTGAAAGCTAAAAATTTTCATTTTAGTTTATATTAAATAACAAATATTTATTCCTGTGAATCAGTAGTTTACACAGATAATATTGAGAGGCTTTCTTGGGAATTTGAAAGGAGTCTTCAAATCATCCTTTCCCTCAGAGATGAAAAAATATTTTAAAAAAATTACTGTCTTGTATATTTGATATTTTGAAAATGGCAGGGAATCAACAATTTGTTAATCTGTTGTTAAGATCAGTTATACATTCAGTGGCATACTTCTTGTCTTAGAAATTGGTTGAAATTAATATTGCTAGTGAAAGTGTGGAAATAGAAACAGTTGAAAGGAAGACAAATGAGAAGTGGACCTTGCTTCTCATTGAGGATGCTGCAGAACTAGAGTGGTTGCCAGCAGGATGAAATCTCAATTAATTGCTTGACAGAGAATTAAAACAAAGGCAAGTGGTGCTTTTAAAAAAGATAAAAATAGGTGAATATAAAGTTGAAAGGAGGCCAGGTACAGTGGCTCACACCTGTAATCCCAGCACTGTGGGAGCCCAAGGTGGGTGGATGGCCTGAGGTCAGGAGTTTGAGACCAGCCTGGACAACATGGTGAAACGCTGTCTCTACTAAAAACACAAAAATTACTTGGGCGTGGTGGCATACGCCTGTAATCACAGCTACTCCAGAGGCTGAGGCAGGAGAATCACTTGAACCTGGAAGGTAGAGGTTGCAGTGAGCCGAGATCGCGCCATTACACTCCAGCCTGGGTGACAAGAGCAAGACTATGTTTCCAAAAAAAAAAAAAGCAACTGAATATTGGATAGAGAGGAGAAAAAGGGCAATGTATCAAAAAAAAAAAAAAAAGCTAAAAGCAAAACTGGATTATTCTTGGATTTTTCTTTTTTGGGAAAAAAACTAGAAGTATCTTAAAAATATAAGTAGATGAATTAAATTAGGTTAAAAAGATGTAAATAAAATATGTAATACATAATTTGCTCAAAATGTACAAGCAGCGCCAGGCACGATGGCTCACACCTGTAATCCCAGCACTTTGGGAGGCCAAGGTGGGCCGATCACTTGAGATAAGTAGTTCGAGACCAAGCTGGCCAACATAGTGAAACCCCATTTCTACTAAAAGCACAAAAAATTATCCATGTCGTGGTGCATGCTTGTATTCCCAGCTACTTGGAAGGCTGAGGCAGGAGAATCGATTGAAACCCAGGATGTAGAGGATGGGCTACAGAGCAAGCAAAACCCAAAATGTGCAAGCAATTTATACAGGACTTTTGGAATCATGGTTTACTGAACACCTGTTTATATTCAGTAACTGTTTTTATGCATGTATTTACCAGAGAACAAGACATAATATAGGTACGGATTTCTGAAAACATTTTGCACATCTTGAAGGGAAGTTGCTGAATAAATTCCTCTCTCCGTCATCTAGAAGCTGACAGCTTAACCCCTTTATCTTGGCAGATTTAAGCTCTGAACATTTTGATAGGTGACTTGGCTTTGAAGTTTTTCCACTGGCCATACATTTTGCCTTTCATTGTATGTGAATAAAATACGTATGTTAAATCAAAGATTTAGTAACTCTTACTTAACAGTTTCAATATTGAAATATGTGTGTGTTCTAGTCTTGGTAATTTTTTATCCATGTAGTGAGAAGTAAGGGTAACAATGAAAATCCAACCGTTGTATGACTTCCTGGTCTAATCTTCCTTCATTTGTGAAATCAGTTTATTGAGATACTGTTTTTGCCACCTTTGCAGTTATTCATCATACTAATCAAAGTAAAACATGGCGTTTCTAAGCAAAATTAACAAGCATTAACATTTATGCCCAACTGTTGACGTGTATAGGCTTTCCTTTGAAATAGGAGGCATTTCAAAAAATACACATTTCAAAATAGAATCAACTGACTTTTGAGTTTCCCTTCTCTTTCTCAGTAGTGGAGGTGGTAAACAATCCTAGGTAAGTAGATAAAAGTGCAGCCCCAGAAAGAATGAAGAGGAATCAGAGACAGGAAAATAAAACCCTCAGTTTGTGTAACTGGCCTGGTTGATAAAGAATTGGATTACAGTGGGATGCCATGGCTCATGCCTGTCAGCTTTGGGAGGCCAAGGCAGGGGAATTGTTAAAGGCCAGGCGTTAGAGACCAGCCTGGGCAACACAGTGAGAACCCCATCCCTACCAAAAAAAAAAAAAAAAAAAAAAAAGGATTGGATTAATCATCTTTTCTAGTCTCTGAATTTTGTTTGTCATTTCTCATGCCTTAGTGTAGTGGTCTTTGATATAAAAATAAAATCATGAAACAGCAAGTATAATTCTAAAATGATCTCAATATGATTATTTTCATGAGTGGCTTATTCCAAACAAGCATTTGATACTTTTAGAGAAAGGTCAATTAAATGAACTAACTGGCGGTTCCTTTTTATGAACTAGACATTTATTTTGTACTGTATTTGGGTTTGGGTTTGACATTCTGCTAACATACTCTGATTTGGCTAAAAGTGTCATGCATCAGTTTTTAGAACTTTTAATCTGAACATATTTTCAAATTAAGTTACAAACGTGATTTTTAAAGGAATCTTTTCTCCCTAACGAGAAGAGGTGGTTGCATTAAATTGGTAAAAAAATAACAAAAACAAACCAAAAACAGTTTACTGTATAATTAAGGTCTCCATCCTATTTTGTTATTCTGTTGGGCTAGTGGTTTTTCAAACCTGGTTGCACATTTGGATCACCTGAGTTAATAAAAAAAATCCAACCAAACCTAGGCTGCATACCCAGATTGTAAGGCGTAGTCTCAGGTGTGGCCCTAGAGTCAGTAGTTTTAAAATGTCCCAAGATGATTTTAATGTTCAGTCAGAGTTGATAACCCTGATCCAGGCTCTCACTACTAATAGACATCTGTAGCATGACACTGGTAGTCTTTGATTTTTCTTGATTTTGGCCTTCAGTGTACTCTGAACTTTCATACAGTACACATTAAAATTCCCTACCCTGTCTACAGTTGGGGCCTTGTATATTAACTGATGAGAATGCTCAACAGTTTTACAGTAGGCTGCTGTTGTAGGCCAAATGCTGGTTCCCCAAAATGTCCACATCCTAATACCTGGAACCTGTAAATTTTACCTTATTGGAAAAAGGATCCTTGCAGATGCGGTAAATTAAGGATCTTGAGATAAAGAGATCATCCTGGATTATCTGAGTTTTCCCTAAATTTCATCTTAAGTATCCTAGTGAAATGAGGGTGAGATTTGACAGACACACAGAGGCGAAGGCACTGTGAAGATGGAGACACACATGGAGTGATGGGGCCACAAGTCAAGGAATGTCTGTCCGTGGCCACCAGGAAAAGGCAAAGAACAGATTCTCCCCTAGAGCCTTTGTGGGGAGCGCAGCTCTGATGAAACCTTGATTTCAGTGCAGTGAAACTGATTGTGAGCTACTCGCCTCCAGAACTGTGGGGAAATACGTTTCTGTTATTTTAAAGCACAAAGTTTGTGGTAGTTTGTTAACAGCAGCCACAGGAAACTAATATAGCCACTTTCCTGTTACCAGTTGGGTTTTGGCGGTGTGCTATCCCTGTCTACACAGCAGTATATATTTGTGTAACAGATTAAATGCATTATCCCATTTTATAAAAATAAGTTGAAATCAGAGAATGGCTTTATGTATTTGTGTGAACACACACATGGATATATTTATACACACACCCAGTGGTATAGCCATAATCTTAATGTGATTGAGATAAAGATGGAAATCATTAGGATGGGTCTTTAACCTCAATTAGATGCTCATTAGATTTAAGCTGTGTTTAATGATGAGGCAGAAGAACACAGTTAATGAACATGTACCAAATGCTGGAACTATTTTGTTGAAGATTGTTTCTAAAAACGTTACAGATAATTAGGGATTTTAATAAACTTCTATTGCACTGGGAATAGATAATCTCTCATAACATTTATTGTGCTTTCTTGGTTCTAAGGTGTAACACTTTCCTCATTTCTGAAATCAGGATACCGTGTAATAAATGTGCTCATTTAATGTGTTCACCTTAAGATGTTACAGAATTAATGGTGTCATTCTGAAATACAGGTATTTTAGAATTGTGGCACTTCAGCAAGCCTGTTGTTTGACTTTTCCAGTTTGACTCTTGGATATTCAATTTGAGCACATTTTTTTGAAATGCATTATATAAGAAGACCAAACATTACCTATATGAAATTCTAAAGCTTTTGATGTTCCAGTTTAGTTATTGTTTTTGTCTTCAGTTCCCAGGAGCTACCATAGTGGGAACTTTAATTTTGCTTGTTGAGATACAGACTGTTCAGTGGAAAAATCATGGACTTTAGAAGTGGCAGACCTCAGTGCTTAGGCTAATTCCACTGCTGATTAGCTGTGACATTAGGTGACTTTTCTTTGGTAAATACCTATATTACAGGGTTGTGATTAAATGAGATAAGGTATTTGAAGTGTTAAGTAAGGTCTGTTCAAAACTCCATAGACTACTGTCATCTGCCCTCATTTTTATCCAACCTATTTTGTGCCCAGTAAAGATTTGAACCTTAGGAAAGATTTGACCCTTAGGAGAGGAAATTATGTTAATCCAGGAATAAGGCTCATTCTGAGTTGAATTTTGCTGCTTATGGCTCTTTATGCTTTTGCATATTGTTCTACCTGATAAATGTATTAAATTTCTTGATGGTTCACCTCCAGATTTCCCTTCTTTATATATTCTTCTCTGTCCACAATAACCTTAAATTGATTATTCCTTGTTCTGTGTTCCTAGAACACTCATAGGCTGGTTACATAACCTTACCCTTTGATCTTACACTGTTCTTTGTCTTTTCCCTGTGTGTATCATGTTCATACTAAATAGATTAAAAGCTTTGGACCAAGTACTTGTGTCCAGAATATATAAAGGATTTTGCCAAATCAATTCAGAAAAGGCAGCCAATCCAATAGAAAAAGTGAATGAAAGACTTCAACAGACACTTCGTAAGTGTCCAATATATACAATAAACATATGAAAGGTGCCTAGCCTCATTAGTCATTAGGGAAATGCAAATTAAACCACAAGGTGATTTCACTACACCACCACCAGAATTGCTAAAGACAATGAAGTATTGGCAGGAATGTAGAACAACAGAAATTCTCACTCTGCTGGTGGGAATGTAAATTGATGTGAGCACTTAGGAAAACTGCCAGTAAAGTTAAACATAAACATACCCAAGGATCTAGCTGTTCTACTCCTAGGAATGTGCATATGTGTGTGTGGGTACATGTACAAGACATGTACAAGAATATTTCTAGAGTACTACTTATAATAGCTTAAAACTGTCAATCATTGTAGAATGTTCCTACAACAGAATGATCTACATTAGTGAATATGAACTAACTGCTGCTATACTCAGTAATGTGAATGACTCTTAAGAAGCCATACACATAAGCATGTGTATTCTATGCATAAGCCATACACATAAGCAATACACATAAGCATGTGTATTCTATGCTTCTGTTAATAAAAAGTTCAGAACCAGGATGGTACTACCTTTTGGCAGGTCTAGTTTGTGGGGTGTAGTAATGTTAGTGGGTACTGGGGAAGGCTTCTGGGAAACTGGTAATGTTCCATTTCTTGAACTGAGAGGTAGTTTATTGGGTTTGTTGATTTAGTTTAACTTCATCAAACTGTATACCTATTATCATTGCACTTTTCTGTATGTATGTACACTAGTCTTTGATAAGCTTACTTTTTAAAAAAGTTCATTATTGTCAGCTAGCAGAGTGTTTGGCACCTCATGGGTGCCTAATGAACACATCTTTTGGTTTTACGTGATTTTTATACCCTAGTATTTTATGGAATTTTTTTCCATGAAATGTTACAGTATTTTCTGATCTTGAACATACATATCTTCTCCAAAGCAATGCTTCCCACCACCCTTTCTACCTTGTCAAACTCCAAGCCTTTCTTAGTGATAGCCAAAATTATAAAATGTATTGCTTTTTTGGTCTCAGTACAAATGTTCTTGCCATAATTTTCAATAAATTCTTAAAGAATGTCACAACATGTAAATTTAGAGGGTCAGGCTTCAACCTAGACTACAATCGGTCTTGTGAGACCAGTTATAAGTAATAGTTTGATGAAAGGTATTAAAAGCCTGGACTGACACATTAAAAGGGCTGAAAAGAATCTTACAGCAACAAGGTTGTATCCTAAACCTATTAAATGGAGAAGCCTGTGTGCTCAGTGACCTTGGGACTGACTAGACCTACATTTGAGAGTTGACAGGAATGGTTTACAGATGAATGAAATAAGAAGCATGTGTAGTGGGGATACTGTTAACATTTGATAGGAGGAATGAAAACAAGAGCTTTAGATTTCATTTAAAACCTCAGTACTGTAAAAAACTCTAAGATGTCTTTATTTTTTATTTTTTATTTAAGTCAGAGTCTTACTGTTGCCCAGGCTGGAGTGCAGTGGCAGGATCTCAGCACACTGTAACCTCCGCCTTCCGGGTTCAAGCAATTCTCATGCGTCAGCCTACCAAGTAGCTGGGATTACATGTGCACGCCACCACACTCGGTAATTTTTGTACTTTTAGTACAGACAGGATTTCACCATGTTGGCCAGACTGGTCTCAAACTCCTGACCTCAGGTGATCCGCTTGTGTCGGCCTCCCAAAGTGCTGGGATTACAGGCGTGAGCCACTGTGCCCGGCCTTGAATTTGTCTTTCTGTTTGTAGAACTTATAAATGTTGAGGAGCTAGCTACTTTTTTCACGCCTCTGTTTTTTTTTTTTTTTTTTTTAGTCTTTCTTCTTAATTCTACTTTCTTGTTCATATCCTCTCCCCTGTCTCCTTCCTTATACTTCTCATCCCTTTCTTCCCCTTCCCTCTTTTTCCCCTCCTTTATCCTCTACCCTCACTGGGCCAAGCTACTAGGTGCCTTCCTGAATGCTGAGGATGTTGTAGCGCCCTCTGTAGCCTGACAGGGTTCCTGCTCCCTTCTGACTGAAGCTGCTCACAAGGATTTAGCATTTGTCTTTTTCCTTTTGGAAGGACAAGTTTTGACTTCTTGTCTCCTTTGGGAATACATTTGTGAAAACAAGCAAGGTAGAGGGGGTGTGGAGTTGGGGAACCTTCAGGCAAGCAGTGCCCAGCAGGAACCTCATTCAGAGATTTGCTGGGCTGGGATGAAGGGAATGGGGAACAGGTATGAGTGATAATCACACTTGAGATATTTGGTAAAACTTTTGGTGGGTCATTCATGACAGCTACCCTGTGCCACAGTAATTTTTATTTACTATTTTTATTTAAAAATGTTATTTCTGGGAGAATTGCTAGAGCCCAGGAGTTTGAGTTCACCTGGTAACACAATGAGAGCCCGAGAGCCTGTCATTTTTTTTAAAAAAAGTTATTTTTCGTTAGTCACCGTTATTCCTTTTCTCTGCTTTAAAAAGTATGGAAGATGATTTTGATTACAGTACATTTCATCTGGTGGAAACATTTCAATATTCTATTGTACTATGCAGTAGTTTTATAGAAGTTTTTGCAGAGATTGTTATACCAGAACTGAGATAAGGATCTTAATTTTGTATCTTGATACAAATAGTATTTTAAGAAGCAAAACACTTACTTTTTAAAAATTTAGAGGAATTTTAGGTTTACAGCAAAGCCAAGCAGAAGGTACAGAGATTTCCTATGTAACCCCCAACCCCACACATGCACAGCTTCGTCCATTATCAACATCCCCTACCAGAGTGGTATATTCTTGCTGTTGTATACTTTATGGGTTAGGATAAGTGTATAATGACATCTATCCACCATTATAGAATCACATAGAGCAGTTTCACTGTCCAAAAAATCCACTGTGCTCTACCTATTCATCCCTTCTCCCTGCCACTTCCCCTGACCCCTGACAACCATTGATCTCTCTGTGTGTGTCTGTGGCTTTTTTTTTTTTTGAGATGGGTTCTGGCTCTGTTGCCTAGGCTGGAGAGCAGTGGCATGATCTTGGCTCACTGTAACCTCCACCTCCTGAACTCAAGCGAACTTCCCATTTCAGCCTTCTAAGTAGCTGGGACTATAGGCACACTCCACAATGCCTGGCAAATTTTTGTATTTTTTTTGTAGAGATGGGGTTTCTCCATGTTGCCCAGGCTGGTCTTGAACTCCTGAGCTCAAGCGATTGCCCTCATCAGCCTCCCAAAGTGCTGGGATTACAGGCATGAGCCACCCCATCCGGCCCATTGATCTTTTTACTGTCTCTATAATTTTGCCCTATCCTAAATGTCATATAGTTGGAATCATACAGATGTAGTCTTTTCAGACTGGCTTCTTTCATTTAGTAAAATGCATTTCAGTTTCCTCATGGCTTGATAGCTCATTTCCTTTTAGTGTTGAATAATATTCCATTGTGTGGTGGAGGTACCACAGTTTATCTCTTCATCTACTGAAGGACATCTTGGTTGCTTTCAAGTTTTGGCAACTATGAATAAAGCTGATATAAACATCCATGTGTAGGTTTTTGTATGGACTTAAATTTTCAACTCCTTTGGAGTAAATACCAAGAAGTTCCTTTGCTGGATTATATGGTAAGAGTATGTTTAGTTTTATAAGAAACTGCCAAATGTCTTCCAAAGTGGCTATACCATTTTGCATTTCTACCAGCAATGAATGAGAGTTCCTGTTGCTCCATATCCTCACCAGCATGAAGTGTTATCGGCATTCTGGAATTTGGCTATTCTAATAGGTGTGTAGAAATAGCTCGTTGTTTTAATTTGCATTTCCTTGATGACAGATAATGTAGAGCATCTTTTAATGTGCTTATTTGCCATTTGTATACCTTCTTTGGTGATTTGTCTGTTAAGGTCTTTGGCCCATTTTTGAATTGGGTTGTTTGTTTTTGGGTTTTAAGAATTCATTATATATTTTGTTGTTATTTTTATTTATTTATTTATTTATTTATTTTTTAAGACAGGGTCTCACTCTGTTGCCCAGGCTGGAGTGCAGTGGCACAATCACGTCTCACTGAAGCCTCGACTTCCTTTAGCTCAGATGATTCTCCTATCTCAGCCTCCAGAGTAGCTGGCCCTACAGGCACGCACCACCACATGCTGAGATTAGAGGTGTTAGCTACTGCACTGGGCCCTTTGTATATTGTATATCCTTTATCAAATATGTCATTTATTTCCTTCTAGTCTGTGGCTTTTCTTTTGATTCTCTTGACAGCATCCCTTGCAATTTAGAAAAAAAACAACTGTTTTTATTCTGTTTATTTTCTTCTCTACTCTTTCTTCTTACACTACACTACAGATTTCTGTATCCACCCTCCCCTCCAAGCGCATACTGGGCAGTAAGCTCTTCCTTACCTATTTGAAACAAGAGGGAATAAATATCACATATGACCTCAAAAGGGTAGTAAAAAATTGACAGGCAATAATTATATGTTCTAAGAGATTATATCTAAGAGAAGATATAATTACTGTTTTGGTCCAGAATGATTATATCATTATTTTGAAGAGGAAAAGCTAATTTTAAAATATGTTAATTGCTTTCTTTCAAATAATGTTTAAGCTTTAATATCCAATTTATCATTTAAATACAGCACAGAACTATTTTAATTTTTAAAATTCTTTTTTTTTTTTTTTGGTCACTTTCAAAGCTGGAAGGGATGACTTTGGCTGTCTTATTTGGAATGGAAACTACCTAACAGTCTTCTCTATGGAACTTGTTTCTGTACTACAGTAGTACTTTAAAAACATGAACAGTTTAGTGCTGGTAGTGGGAATCTTTCTTTAAATAATTTTTTTTTTGTATCAAAACTTGTTTCTGGGCTCTAGAAATAAATGTGTTTCTACATTTTTACATTCAGTTTAATGAGGAAAGTTTCCACCACATATTTCAGAGTGTTAAAAAAAAAAAAAACTGTGACAGTCAAAACTTAATTATAATTTTCCCTTTTAATATCACGTGCTGTCTCCCTTTAGTTCCTATTACATTTCTTGTTTTCTTCTTCATTCTTTCCTCTTCTTTTAGACTGCTGTTAACCTTGAATACTAAGCTGCATTGGATAAATAGAATGAGAATATTACGGCTATTTTTTCAGCAATTAATGAGTTCTAGCTGGTCTTAATTGCTTATGGCATCACGAACAATAAGGGATTTTTCTCCATTAAATCCAGGATTCAATACCTATTTAAAGAACAGAAAGCACTGAATTTTCTTTTTCATGCATTACTTGAGAACACATTTTCTTACCATTTCTTCCTGCTTAGAGCATCTATATCCAACATTGTCAGTTTAAACTTTGCTTTTATGATAGTTACTGTAATGTGGTAATGAATCAAAAGCCACCATAGAGGCTTGAGTTTGAGTTACAGTTAAATGATTTCTTCTTCTGTTTTCTTGAGGGTTTTGAACTCATTTCACATCCATTTTCTCTCATTTACACACACACACACACACACACACACATATACACACACAGCGAGAGAGAGTGAGCAGGAGACTCTTTTTTTGAGGAACAAATTCTCAATTGATTTGGTTTAAAGTTTACAGCTTAGGCTGGGTGCAGTGGCTCATGCCTGTAATCCCATCACTTTGGGAGGCCAAGGTGGGCAGATCACCTGAAGTCAGGAGTTCGAAACCAGACTGGCCAACACGGCGAAACCCCATCACTGCTAAAAGTACAAAAAGTAGCCGGATGCGATGGTGCATACCTGAAGTCCCAGCTGCTAGGGAGGCTGAGGCAGGAGAATCGCTTGAACTCAGGAGGTGGAGGTTGCAGTGAGCCGAGATCGCCCATTGTGCTCCAGCTTGGGTGACAGAGCAAGACTCTCTCCTTTAAAAAAAAAAGAAAGAACAAAAAAAAAGTTTACAGCTTAGCTGTGCAACTCATTTAAATTTAAAAAAATTATTTCAAAGGTTCTGTGAATTCTTCCACATCCTCAGCCTGTCTACAACTCTTTTGTCTTAGAAGAAATCCTGCCTTTTCCACTATTCTACATGTCCTGCTTCTCCCACTCTTAGTCTTCCCTCAGCTTTAGGACAGTTGCTGCGTCTCTGGCTTTTTCTGCAGCCGTGGCCATGGCCAGCATTCTCTTCTAACACTTTGCTATTCCCAAATGTTCCTTGGATTTTCCTGTCCCTGTGCCTTTAAGATGTTATCCTCCTTTCTGAGAACGTCCCCTTTTTCTTAGGATTGGCTAACTTGTGCTCCTAATTGAAGACTCAGTTCAACCATCTCTCTGTCTCTAGGGAAGTCTGTACTGTCTCCCAGTCAACCATTTTTGTTGTGTGCCTAACCCTTGTGTGTTTTTATTGCGGTGTTATTCATATTAGTCTCTATTCATTTTCTTGTATTATTTTTCACATTATTTTTTATTTATATGCCTTCCTATTTTGCTGGACTTTAAGTTACATGAAGGAAATCACTTTTCACAGCATTTAGGATGGAACTTAGCTGGTACAAAGTAACTCGAAATAAGTGCTTTTTCATTGATAGGATTTGTGAGCTGTTTATGTGACTGTCTCAATTTATTCCAATTGAGACTCAGTGATATTCTTTTTTTTTTTAATTTGACTTTTAAGTTCAGGGGTCCATGTGCAGATTTGTTATGTAGGTAAACTTGTGTCATAGAGGTTTGTTGTACAGATTATTTCATCACCCAGGTATAAGCCTAGTACCCATTAGTTATTTTTTCTGATCCTCTCCCTCCTTTCACTCTCCACCCTCCAACAGGCCCCAGTGTGTGTTGTTCCCCTCTATGTGTCCATGTGTTCTCATCATTTAGCTCCCACTTATAAGTGAGAACATGTGGTATTTGGCTTTCTGTTCCTGTGTTAAGTTTCCTAAAGATAATGGCCTCCAGCTCCACCCATGTCCCTGCAAAGGACATGATCTCATTCGTTTTTATGGTTACATAGTATTCCATGGCATATATGTACCATATTTTCTTTATCCAGTCTACCATAGATGGGCATTTAGGTTGATTCCATGTCGTTGCTACTGTGAATAGTGCTGCAGTGAACATATACATGTATGTGTCTTTATAATAGAATGATTTATATTCCTTTGGGTATATACCTAGTAATGAAATTGCTGGGTCAAATGGTAATTCTGTTTTTAGTTCTTTCAGGAATCACCACACTGTCTTCCACAATGGTTGAACTAATTTACACTCCCACCAACAGTGTATAAGCATTTCATTTTCTCCACAACCTTGCCAGCATCTGTTATTTTTTGATTTCTTAATAATAGGCATTCTGACTGACGTGAGATGGTTTCTCACTGTGGTTTTGATTAGTATTTCTCTAATGATCAGTGATGTTGAGCTTTTTTTCATATGATTGTTGGCCACATGTATGTATTCTTTTGAAAAGTGAGATTCAGTGATATTCTGTGAGTTTAACTATGTACGTCATTGTATATCATATAGTCAAAAAAGCCTATATATGGCTCTTAATATGGCCTAATATAATGACATGCTTCCATCTGGCAATCATTAGGTACCTAAAAGTGATGACATATAAATAAAAAACTTTTTGTCTTGGAATAAATTTAGGTCTACAGAAAAGTTTCATAGTATAGAGTGTCCCTGTATACTCCTCACTCGATTTCCTCTATTGTTAAAAGTCTTTAAGGGTTTTGTAAAAACTTTTGTAAAAACTGATAAGCTAATATTGGCACACCATTATTAACTAATTTCCAGACTTTATTCAGATTTGTCTAGTTTTTCTACTAATATCTTTTTTTTGTGTTTCAAGATCTAATCTAGGATACCACATTGATTGTATTTAGCAAATATTTATTTTAAAAGTCTGTAATTTAAAGAGTAATCTAAATTTCTTCTGGTTAATAAGTATTTCCAACTTTTTTCTATTTAATGATTTAAAAACACTATTCCTTTTTTACCTTTTATAGGAAGGAAGAATTAACTCATTGTTAATTAATGAAAGCATTAGTTAATTTAAAGAGTATTGCAGGGTCAGCAAAATCAGGATCCAAACCAGGATCCCACATTGCAGTTAGTTGTCATGTTTCTTTAGTCTCCTTTATCTGTGAGTTGCTCAGTCTGTCTTTGTCTTTCATGACCTTGATATTTTTGAAAATTCTTTTTCAGGTATTTTGTAGAATGTCCCTTGATTTGGGGTTTGTCTGATGTTTTCTCGTGATTAGACTGTGGTTACATTATTGAGAAGGACTCCATACATTCGATAAGCCCTTCTCATTCATTCCATCACCTCAGGGGTACATGGTACATGATATCAGTATGTATTACTGGTGTTAACCTTGTTCACTTGTTTAAGGTGGTATCTGTTAGGATCCTTCACTATAAAATTTTATTTTATCTTTATGATTACTAAGTGTCTTGGGAGAGATACTTTGAGATTGCGTGATATCTTGTTTGTGCTTAAAATTTTGCCCACTTATTTTTGTTTCCATTCTTGCATTTTGCCTGGAGCAGTTACCACTGTAATGTTCTCATGGTGTTTTTCTGTTTCTCTTATTTTCTTCTGCATTTGTTAATTATAATTTTTCTGTAAGGAAAAGTTGCCTTTTTTTGTTTGTTTGTTTGTTTGTTTTGAGACGGAGTTTTTGCTCTCTTGCCCAGGTTGGAGTGCAATGGCGCGATCTTGGCTCACTGCAACCTCTGCCTCCTGGGTTCAAGTGATTTCTCCTGCCTCAGCCTCCTGAGTAGCTGGGATTACAGGCGCGTGCCACCACGCCCGGCTAATTTTTTATTTTTAGTAGATATGAGGTTTCACCATGTTGGCCAGGCTGGTTGCGAACTCCTGACCTCAGGTGATCCGCCTGCCTCTGCCTCCACCTCCCAAAGTGCTAGGATTATAGGCGTGAGCCACAGCGCTCAGCCTACCATTCATTCATTCATTCATAGCACTATGCTTCATGAATATTTATTCTTTTGGTTATACTATTATTGCTCATTTTATTGTTTAAATTACGCCAACTTTGGCCAGTGTAATTTCTTGTGAGTTGCCTTCTATGCCTTCTGACAAGTCTTCATCTCTTTTGCCATCTGCTTCTCTATTTTGTTTTATTTGATTTCTCGCTTTTTTCTTTTTTTTTTCCTGAGACAGAGTTTTGCTCTTGTCTCCCAGGCTGCAATGCAGTGGCAGGATCTTGGCTTCACTGCAACCTCCGTCTTCCAGGTTCAAGCAATTTTTCTGCCTCAGCTTCCCAAGTAGCTGGTATTACAGGCACCACACCAGCACACCCGGCTTATTTTGTATTTTTAGTAGAGATGAGGTTTCACCATGTTGGCCAGGTTGGTCTCAAACTCTTGACCTTAAGTGATCCATCTGCCTCAGCCTCCCAAAGTGCTGGGATAATAGGCGTGAGCCACTGCGCCTGGCCCTGCTTCTTTATTTTCTGACCCCACAGGATGATCTAGGCACACCTTGTATTTTCACTGCCCTTATCTTGGGTTCAACCAATTTTCTTTTTTTTTTTTTTGAGACAGAGTCTCACTCTGTCACTAGGCTGACCCTAAAAAACCTTGGTTCCTTTTATTGGGGGATTGTATTTAGAAACCTCAATCTGGGTGCCATTTGTGTTCATTGTTACTGGGATGCCACTCCTTCTGGTCCCTCTCAGTGGATAGAGCTATGAGATTTGTGTTGTTCTTTTTTGATGTTGGTTTTGTAGCCCTCTACAGTAGGTAGAAACTGTTGGCCAATACCTTGTAAAAATCTCAATATAGCTTTTCCTTTTCTGTTTTTCTGAGGAAATTTTCCAAAATTCCAATGACATTATAATACACAGTAAATATTATATAATACTAGGCTAAGAGCTCCTTGAAGTCTGAAACAACCTATACTAGCACCTGGACAGTAAATCAATGCTTATTGAACAAAATGGAATTAGACTATTTTTAAAAAATACAAAAACTGCGTAAGTATATTATTTCCTATAGCTAATTAATAAAGTAAAACATTTATCCTTAAACTGCATAGCAGTTTCCAGCATATTACTGAAAATTTCTAGCATATTACTGAAAATTGAGTAGATGCTTAAAATGCATGAGTTGGATTTATTATAATACATTTTAAATTATCTCATCCTGTTGTAAAAATAATATACCTTCTAGGGACAGATTTTACCTTTTAGCCTGCCCATTGAACTTACTGAAAATATATTTGGAAACAGAGTTGAGGTAAAATGTGTTACCAATTTAACATTCCCATGTAATCTTTCTACATTGTTGTAACTACTTGTTAGGAGAGGCTCAGATTCTTTTTTGGTTCAAGAGTATCTGGAAATGATTCTGTACACTCCATAGATGATAGAGCATTCTAATAAGCTTTGATATAAAAAAGAAATAGATGTTTCTGCTCAACATTGCAAATAAACTTTATAGTATTATGTGCCTTTGGCATGACAGTTATTTAATACAATAGCATCAATAGCATTCCTGAGACATAGAAAATGAGGAATAACAAGGGGGACCTGACAGGTAATGAAAGTTTTGGAGGTAAGTCAAGAAATGAGAGTAGTAAGACTGTAGAAGCTCTAGCTCTGTGATTAACTGTAATTTAAAGTATTTTAGTGTGTATACATGTAGAGTGTTGTGCTTTTCTACATATTTTTGTGAGGCTGCCTATCAGATTGGAGTGCGATTAGAAAAAAAAAGTCACAATATCGTTTGTGCTGGTTGTGACCAGAGAGCCGTTTAGTGTAAACATTTGTTTCCAAGCTTATGTGATGGGGATACTTTCTCCTCCTTCATGTGGGTCACAGGTGGGATTGGTGAGTCCTTAGCGGAGTCAGGAGATATCTGAGGCAGTGCTGGTGTTCATAGTCACAGACTCCTGGAGCTGGGTCTGGGGTTTATGGCTGACATCTAGATATCTCTTACTTAACTGGCTTTGCTTCTGTGTTTTATTTTTTTGTCATTAGGTGTTATGCTCCCATGGCACACAATATAACATGTCTAGTAACATTGCTTGTGAGTCTTTTTCTTGTATAAAAGCAAATAGATGTTGCTCTGGTGTGGAATATATATTGACTCAATTTTCTTCAGACATACTCCCCAGCCGCAGAGTCTTACATCAGGCGGTCTGTGCTTGAGCTTTGGGGAAGGCCACAGCCTGATCCGGATAAGGTCAATGGGGAGATCCTCAAAAGAGGCTGCTGCCTGTTATGACTCCGGCTGATGGCAACCATAGTAGAGGTGGCCACTTACTATGGTTGCCATATGGGACCCCAGGAGCTCGTCAGATAAACATCCAAAGAAAGAAAAATAATTATTTAGCTGCCTGGCCATTCTAAAAGATTTTGCCAAAAAGAAAAAACAAAACAAAAAACAAAACGGTGAGTATGGGGAGAAAAAGGGACTAATGATCTCACAGTCTCTGGCCATCCCAAGAAAAGGCTGCTGCCTAGAGATACCTTCCTCCTCCCCCATTTTCTCCTATCAGTCAGATATAGGAACTAAAAATGGTGTTGGCTTCAAGCCCAAGAGGGAAAGAAAAGGAACTTTAAACCCTATAGTCCCTATTCACCAGGTCCCGCAAGTATGCCAGTCCTAGATTACTTAAAATTTCAAAACAAACTTGGCCAAACTTCAGGCAGGCCCCTCAGCACTGAATGCCCTGGCCTACAAGTAGTGACATCGTTACATTTATTATAAACAATTGGAGCATTGCCTAAAAATTGTTCCTTGAGGCCTGGCGCAGTGGCTCACGCCTGTAATCCCAGCACTTTGGGAGACTAAGGCAGGTGGCTCACGAGGTCAGGAGTTTGAGACCAGCCTGGCCAACATAGTGAAACCCCATCTCTGCTAGAAATACAAAAAATTAGCCGGGCGTGGTGGCGGGCACCTGTAATCCCATCTACTAGGGAGGCTGAGGCAGGAGAATCGCCTGAACCCGGGAGGCAGAGGTTGCGGTGAGCCGAGATAACGCCACTGCACTCCAGCCCGGGCAACAGTGCAAGACTCCGTCTCAAAAAAAAAAAAAAAAAAAAAAAAATTGTTCCTTCAAGGTAAGAAACACTGAGAATCTCCTGCCTTGAAGATATTACTGGTGGTAACCAGGAAACACATTTCACTTCCTAGAACACAATACTGGTTTCTTGGAAGATGCTTTCAGTAGAACTTTCATGTCCCTGACAGGTGTTAGGTAATGATTTAATCGAGAGGCATAATGATTTCCTCAAACGACTCCTTTTCAAATCCCAGCCCAACAAATAAAGCCCTAACAGTTTCTATCTTGCCCTAGGTCATATCTTTATACATTTGTGATCTTGCTGCCATCCCATAAAGGCTGGCAGCTAGATCAAGGGCACATTCTTTCCTGGGACCTATTAAAAATAGATTGTCCCATGGGCCAGGCAGTTTCTCATTTGATATGGGGGACCTATTTGAGCTTAAATCTCCACCACCAAAAAAAAAATAAAAAAATAATAAAAACCCCTATATGGTACAGCTACATATCATTTTGTTGAATATTAGTCTCATTGCTACTGGTTTGGGTGTTTAATGGTTTACAGTCCAGAGGCCTGCATCAGCTCGAGTGGGCAGTCACTTAAAAAGCCATACCCCAGTCTCACATCCCAGATGATATCACCCAACCCAGGACCTCTCCATTGGAGATGACTTTGCCCCTGTGATTCCTTCCCCTGGGACACTAAAACCTCCACTCATCAGGACACAGGACATTTTTTGGTTTTCTTCCTGAACCCACTGTTTCCTTAGCCCATGATCCTGGTATCCTCCTTGTTCTCCACTCAAATGTACACCCCTACACTTCCATACTGCAAGGAAAATCCGGAATGAGTTACTACAATTAATGGTGACTGTTGCTTTCCTCAGGAGACACCTGCCTCGTATCAGTCAACCCCTTACTCCCTAGGGGAGAGGACCACCTACCCACTGGTGTCTTTCCCTACTACCCCTTCCAACTTTCCATCAGAATCTCCTGACTTGTGCCTCTGAATATGACCACCAAATCCACTTTCTCCTTACAGTCAGTGCATCCACCCCTCAGACTTACACTTATCTGACATTTAAAAACTGGTGCCCAGGCACCAAGATGTGAATTACAGTGAATTTTTATAATTTTATGTTGCTTCAGCATCTATTCTGAATCTAGGTGTAACTTGTTTCACACAGAAGCAGGGCTCAGTCATCCTTGACACACTATCCACTCCCTGCCTCCTCCCGGTTCCTCAGTGTGGTCGAGCCAGATACCTGCCGTGTACAACCACCTCCCTCATGGACATACAGATACAGCCTACTTGACTGACCCCCCGTACCCTGCATGGACTGCTGCAGATACGCCACGGTAGCCACTCTCATTCACAGTGTGACTCCACAGAACTTTTGCCTGCTTGCTCTAAACCCACCAACTAGAACTTCCCACAGGAAACCTGCTTGGTTAGTTCCCTGGACCCCAATAAAGGCCTTGGCCCATAGCTCATTTCTCTCTGGCTGCCCATCTGCTGGTTGAGTGCATTTCCCTGCCATCTTGTCTTTCGCCCGCATTGGTACTCCTCCTCTCACCAATTTGTCGTACGTTGCTTCTGGTATTTCACATGTTTGTGTTGTATTTCCTCCTCTGTGTCTCATCGGACTGACAGACCCAGACCTAATTTTCCTCTTAGTCAGAGCTCTCCCAGAGAGTGGCTATCTTGGGAGGAATAAACTGGACACAGGTCAGACAAGGGCCACAAGGGTACCTGCCAGTATAAACCAGTTTCCTGTGAGAGGGACACCTGGTCACAGGTCAGACACTTAGGCATTAGGCTGTCTGCCAGGATGAAGAAGGATCTCATGAAAGGTACACTGTAAATATCTACAACTATATTTCCTAGAGCCCTATCAGGGCAAGACTAGAATTTATGGCTACTCTCCAGAGAGATACCCCCAAAACCAAATTGTAGAGAAATATAACAGAGCCTCACTTACAGTTCTTAATATGGTGTCTTATGTGTAGTGGATGTTTGATCATTTGTATTGAATTGTCCTATACCGTGGAGTATGTATGTATTATTTACTTAGTCACTTTATAGCTTGTGTTGCAAAATGGGCAATGCCATAAACAGGAGTTCTAACCAAAAGACAGGCTCTGCAAACTGCATGCTTAGTGTGGAGATGCGTTTAGTCATGTACTGTGCTTTGTGGCAGTATAGTTAGAAGCAGTTGTGGTGATGGTCATAGCTATTTTAGTAACTTCAGTTACTGACTTCTGGGAACAAAGTTTCTTGAAAATAAAATCAGCTGCATTAAAAAACCAAAAACAATAAATGAACTTTGCTTAATGACATAACATGGCATGCTAGTGAAACAGCATTTTTAACTATTAAACTTAGGGGGTGTATAGGATAAAAACACTTGTACTCATAGATGCTGTTTATAATGTATAGTTAGGGGCAGTGGTTCTGCAACAATAGCCATTATCAGAATCAGAACAAGCTAGACTCTTCCCCCAAAGTTTCTGATTCATTAAATTTGGGGTGGGGCCTGAGAATTTGCACTTCCAAAGGTTCCCAGGTGGTGCTAATAGTTCTGGAGTCACAGTTTGAGAGCCACTGTTTTAAGGTTAGGAGAACATACCAACCTATCAAAGTGGGCGGGCATCTGATATTGCTGATTCATGGTGGCATGCTGTTGCTGTATTAAACATCTAAGAAAAATCTACTGTGGAGTGAAAATATGATTGCTAATGGAATTTCAGATCAGGAGCCAGATAGGGAGACATCTGTTGTTCCACAGTCCGTAAAACAGCACCATTGCAGCCTTTCTTGGAGGCATATCAAGAATGAGTATTTTAGGTTAGTATTTATTAAAGGAATACTTTTGAAAGCTTGCTCTTGTAGTGCTAGGTTAAGTGCATGAAGAGGTCTGTGTCTCATCTTCAGCTCAGACTTGGGGGCTTTTTTCTTTTTATTGCTCCAGCAAGGTCAACTAGGCTTTATGCCTCTCCTACTCAGGGATGGGCTTCTTCTATTTTAGAACTCTGTACTGGTAATGCAATTCTGAGGCTGCTCTCTGCTCCACAGAGAAGAGTGCTGTGATAGATTATTAATGTCTGCTGTGGCTACTGTTGCCCTTCTCTGCCTTCAGTATGAGCACTTATAGGTGTTCCTCTTCTAAGCTTTACTTGCTGAAGAGGAAGGAGAGGCAGAGGTGTGTGTGTGTGCATGTGTGTGCGCATATGTATGTATGTATGTGTATCTGTGATGTCTGTGTATCTGTATGTGATGCATTTAAAAAAAAATCTTACATATTTTCTTAGGGACTATGTTGTGAGGCTGGAGTACAGTGGCTATTCATAGGCTCTGTCATAGGCCATGAAATCCTGGGCTCTAGCTGTCCTCCTGCCTCAGCCTCCCAATGTATGTGATACATTTAATGATGCTTCATAGCATAACGCCTTTTCTACCATCTTATAATGTAATTCACTGTTGCTTTTACTTCTGGTAATAGTTTGAGAGAAGGAATTGTACTGTAAAGATTCCAGCTTGTAACTCATTGTGTTATACTTAAAATTTCTTGGTAGATTAATTTTTTTGTGTTTGAAGAAAAGGTATTGCAATTGCAATTTTTTATTATTTGCATATGTTTGTATTTGCATATATTCTTTCCAATACTGGGTCTGATCAGTTTCATTTGTTCTTAATTATTTATTTTTTTCTTGAAGTTTTTTTTAAATTACAAAAGTAATACGTTTAAGTTTTATAACTCAGTCACCCCAGAAATTAATAAGCATCCTTCCATATGAACATGCACACACACATACACCACCACTCTAGTATTAGGCTCTAATAGACATGTTTAAAATGTTTTAATTTGTTTTAAATTTTATAATATTAAATAATACCAGTCACATGATTATTCTCTGACTTTAATTTTTCACTTAAACATATCTTGGACTTATTTTGAGGTTAATAGATGCAGATATATAATTCATTATTTTTAATGGCTGCATAATATTCTATAGAGAGAACCAAATGTGATTTATTTAGCCTTTCTGGTATTGATGGCAACCACATTTCCAATTTTTGTTCTTTTAAGCAGTAATGGCAAAGCATTCTTGAGTACATATCTTTAAATGCTGGTGCTTTAGTTCAGTTGAATAAACACTGAAAGTGGGATTCCTAGACTAAAGGATGTATAATTTAAAAAATTTAAATAATAACATTTTACCAAATGCTTTCTGGAAGATTGTAGAAACTTTCAAACCCCTCTCCCAAGTAATGTATGAAAATGTACATTTCCTTATAGTACTACCAACTCTGAATATTAACAATCACCAAGTTTTTGCAAAATGGATCTTTTTTTTTTTTTTTTTTTTCTGAGATGGAGTCTTGATCTGTCGCCCAGGCTGGAGTGCAGTCATATGATCTTGGCTCACTGCAACCTCTGCCTCCTGGGTTCAAGCGATTCTCCTGCCTCAGCCTCCTGAGTAGCTGGGATTAGAGGTGCACTCCACCACACCTGGCTAATTTTGTGTATTTTTAATAGAGATGAGGTTTCACCATGTTGGCCAGGCTGCTCTTGAACTCCTGACCTCGTGATCTGCCCACCTTGGCCTCCCAAAGTGCTGGGATTACAGGTGTGAGCCACCGCGCCTGGCGGCAAAATTGATCTTTTATTTGTGTATCTCTGCCAACCAGTAAGGTTGAGTACCTTTTCGCATATTTTAAGTTTATTCACATTTCTCCTATTCATTGCTCATTTTTTTCCTTCTTGGATTCTTTTTGCTTATCAAGTTGTTGGAATTCTTTAAAGACATTAACTCTTTTTCAGATGTGTTACACATATTTTCTTCTAGTTTATCATTTGATAGTGGTGGTGCCTTGCTCTTTCGCCAAGCAGAAATATTTAATATTTATCTAATATAGCCTGTCAGTCTTTCCTTCATGGTTTTAAAAATAGAATTTTAGGGTTTATAAAACATTTTCACATTTGATTCACATAATTCAGCTAAGGTAATGTTGATATTCTCATCTTTATGAAGAACCTGAGCTTCCAGGAAGCCAACTGGCCTGCCTAAGTTTGTAAGTGGTGGATATCAGATGTAAAAAAAAAAAAATAATAATTGTACCCTGATCATTATACTGTGCTCTGATTGACAGTTCTTTTACAATAAAACTTAGTTAATCATTTGGCAGGATATAAAACAAAAATATGTGGTAGTAATGAAATATCTGTTTTCAAGGCTATGTGTAAGACAAAGTTCAGGTTACATTTCGTTTGTTAGTGAAAGATGCAGTGCCATGTACGTTACAGCAGTGACTTGAACTGTGCTATTAATACAGTCTTGGCGTGGTGGCTTATTTTTAACATGGTATCATACAGTATTTCAATTATTTATGCTTAAACAAAAGCCAAAACCTCAAGTGTTGTAGATATTAATGCTTAGGAGAAAGACCAAGGTAGAAGAGAAACACATCTTCAACAAATTCAAAAGGGCCACCTCTTACTCAATGCCTGGGTGTTTCAATGACTTAAAGCCACTACAAGCACAACTAAAGAGTGAGAACCATTTTTATCTAGAGTCAAAGAATTATAAAGAAACAGTAAAAGCTTTTCCCCCACTACATTTCAGCTGAACTTTGAACAGAATAAATATACCTTTCAGTACATATTTTAATGAGTATACTGTCCATGGTGAACATACTTAAAAAAAAGGAATCCACCATAAAACAAAAAGATTGCCATCTTTGGTAGACTTCAGTGATTTGTGCTACCAGATGTTCTGGGTACCCAGTCTGGACTCTGAATGGAGAGAGTTTGAAGAACCCACTCAGAACTGGAGTTCATTAGATCTTCATGGAATGTAAACGGTTGTGGGCATTGTACATACATCATATGCAATATGAAGCCTAGGACAATAGATACCTCTCTTGCATGAAAAGAACAGAGACCTTGTGCTTCTGATTCCCACTGATGTACATTGACCTGTAATTCCTTGTCATGTCTTCACCACCCCTTTCCAAACACACAATCACCAGACTTTAAAAATGAAATTATTTAAAATGAAATCATATACCATATTCTTTTGGTTATGAGTTCCTTGAGGATGTAGAGACGACAGCCATATGAATTAGTGATACCATAAAATGGAAATGTTTTTCAGTATTGTAAAATGGGGATGCTTAGCCATATTTTGTTTTTGCTGGACCTATGGGGTTTATAGATACTTATTTTATACTTCCATTAGTGAACATGTCAAATCTTTTTAGCCGTTTGGGTTTAAAACTTTTTTTTATGAATTTATTACTTTTTGTTCTGTTAAGTTTCTTTAATTTACGAGGCTAGTCTACTTGAATTGTATGAAGTCTGACTTTGTAAAGCAGTGGTTTGTTCTTACCCATCTAAATCATTTCTTGTGCCTGAATTTTTAATCTTTTGTCTTCTTCATTCTTTACCTCTAAGATTTACTTTCAGTTCCTCCCTACAGTTATGACTGGGGTTTTGTTGACTAGAATTTCTTCTGCTTTAGGTCTCTAGATCCTGGGATGATAGTGTTGGCACTGCGGTAGTGTCCTCTCCTATCTCTTTCTACCATCTGTAAACACTTTCATTCTCCTTTTAGTGGATGGGCCTCCTGAGGATACATGATGCAGAGTGTTTGTGAAAGGAAACTGATAGGACTGAAGACATTTTTCTTTATAAAAGGGGAAGGGCGGAATGTGGGGTGAGAGGTAAGGGAATGGATCTGTTGTCATCCTTACTTGTTTCAAGTGTTCTGTAGGTTTTTCATTTACCTGCAGTTTTGTGAGACCATAAATAAGAACATTATGATGGGAAAGTTGCAGTATTTTAAATTTAGAGCAGTTTCAAAATCTGTGATTCTGGTTAGTAGGAGACAGATGCTAAACTATTTTATTGTGATGCATTGAAATAGAACCTCTCCTTTTGGATTAAGCAGCAGGGAATATACATTTGAATATCTTAATGTTATTGAATTAATTTCCAGATTTATTATGGCTACCTCTCCCCTCATGTAAACTGCTTTTATTCTTTTTTTAAACAAATGTGTTATATTTTGATGTCTAATCATGATTTTAGGCATACTTTATTTGGATTGTTATAGATTCTTATTGTGAAGAGTACCTTTCCTTTTCCTTTTATTCTATTATGATTTTAACATTAAAATGTTGAGCCAATTGATTTATCTATTTTTCTGGGCTTGAGATTTGTTTTTTTTTTTTTTTTTCCATTTTGGGAATAGACTACATGACATTTTGTGATTGGTTAATTTTCTTCTAATATTGCTGCTCTATCTTTGAGGAAGTTAATAAGCAAATTCTTGCATGCATGGGCAGGAAGAAATTGGGTAATCTTGAGAAATCATCTGCTGGCTTTGAACATGAGATTAATTTTGGTTTTGATTACTTTGTTAGACCAAAGATTTGGGAAGAAAGGAGGAAACCTATAAGGGTCTCTTTTTTAAAGGCAAGCTTTAAGAAATGTTATATAAACTAGGACCTTTTTATGAATACGTTTTTGTAGGGTTAACATTCTCATTTTAAAAAAATGAAGGAAGTTTTGAGCCTAGGCTGCAGTCAACTTGGGGGAGGCAATTTTAGGCTTCAGAAATATTTCCTTAGCTCTTCCCCAGACACTGATTTTCTTTTGGTGCCTTGTAAGTAAGAAGTAGATTGCCGAAAGATGCTCAATTAACAGATTATATGAATTTGTAGATTGTTTGTAAGCTTCAAAACTTAAGAGGTAGATATCGGTGGAACTTGATCTGGATTCAGCTAGTCCCCTTTCCCTTCTTTTAAAGGTCAATTAACTGCTAAAGTGATGTTTTAAGAAACAGTTCTCTTTCAAATGTAGACACCGTCTTGAAAATTTACTACTCACTTTCGCATTAAGCCAGGGCCTACTTGTTAAAGGTTTTAGGGGGTGCCTTGCACTCTTCATACTGCCAATTGAATAGTAAGTGTTGATTTGGAACAAAGAGAATTAATTTTACATGTTTGAGAAAGATTCGTTTTTAAGTGATACCCACCCCCTACTTAAATAGCAAGTGATTAACTACTACTTTAATTTTCAATTAATCAAATTAGGTTTCTACTGGTAGATTTTGATTACATGCAGTTCTAACAGCTTCCAGATACACTTCTCTTTCCCATATGCTTGCCATATGCTGACTAAAATGAATGTAGAATAAATTAGTGTAAAAGTAAGAACACTAAGTTCTTTTGTAGAGTTCATCTTGAATGACAGAAGACAGCTCAGAATCATTTTAGCTATGAGGCACCTTTTGAAAAGTGATATGGAAAAATAACCTATTTATGTGTGCCAAGGTCTGTTTTCATAAATGTAAATTTGAAAGTTCATTAAAATTTTGGCATGTGATTTGGAATGCATAATAACTGGAAATGAGTCAACGCCAGAAATCTGTATCCTTATACTAACAGCATGTTTCACTGAAGACTGGCTTTGTATAGTTGTTTAATATTTAAAAGGTTAAAAAAAAAAAGCATTTACTTGACGGTTATGGCTCTGGAATTGTATTCAGGATGGAGAGGCTGCAGAGGAAAGGGAGAGCCAGCAGTCTAACCAGTGGTCCCAGGAAGCTCATCAGCCAGTTCTCTTGAAAAAGCAGGGGCCGGGCACGGTGGCTCACGCCTGTAATCCCAGCACTTCGGGAGGCTGAGGTGGGCGGATCTCCTGAGCTCAGAAGTTCAAGACCAGCCTGGCCAACATGGAGAAACCTCGTCTCAAACTAGCTGGGCGTGGTGGTGTGCACCTGTAATCCCAACTACTTGGGGGACTGAGACAGGAGAATTGCTTGAACCTGGGAGGCAGAGGTTGCAGTGAGCCGAAATCGTGCCACTGCACTGGAGACTACATCTCAAAAAAAAAAAGAGAGAAAAAAAGAAAGAGCAGGGCTGGTGACTTTTAAACAGTGACTACTGTCAGTGACCAACTATCCCTTGTTTTTCAGACATAGCAAGACAGAAATGCATGTTTTCTGTACCATCTTTGGGAATGTAAAGTTGGACCATGAAGGACATTTTAGCTCACGTAACAACAGCTGAAAAATGGCTGAGCTGGGATCACACTGAGGGGGTATCTAAACTAGTGGTAGTATGAACAGTTAATGCTTGGATATATTCTAATGTTACATGCCTGGCCTACTGCTTACCTGTAACATAAGCCTTCCGAGGTGACGCAATACAGGCATAGAGGACGAGGAAAAACCTACCAACTGTTGGAGCAATCAAGCCCACTTCTTTGTAACAGGACAAATGTGTGTCACGATAGTCCTTTCAGACATCTTCAAGTGAGGCATAGGAAACAATGCCATAAGCCAAGGTAAGGATGAATGAGGAATTACTGAAATAGAAGAGTTTTTATTTTAGAACTTATAGGCTAACCTCTTCGAATTCTTATCCTCTGCCCACTTGTTATTTTTGCTGTTACATATGTGTACTTTGTACAGATTCCATTTTTATTCTGTTATTCATTTTTATGACTTTGTTTTTAAAGTTTCTTGTTCTCTGACATCTCAGGCACTCTGGTTTCTACATTCCAATTTTGTTGGAGGAAAAAAAAGTTTATAATTTAGCAAATAAGGTGATCACCATGATGAAAAGTCTTACTATTTAAATTTGTGATTATGTGTTGAGGTCATATTCTGTCACTTAGTATGCCATTTATGGATGATGTTTTAAAATTAACCAAGCTTCTTGCAGAAAGTGAGTTTAAAATCACTGTCATCTTGGTTTATTTCCTCTCTTAGCTTTTGATCTATTTGACTTTGACACATGCATCTCACCAACTTCTGTAGATTCTCATTTTGACAGGATGCTTTGATTACCACCAACACCCCACCAGCAACCACCCCCTGTTCTGGTTCAAGCCATCAGTCACTAAATTGGATGTTCTTGCATCTGTTTTGTTCACTTCATGTCTTTTGACTTATGGTGAGCCCTTCTTTTTTTTCACCTGAACTTAGTAATTTTTCCTACTTTTGGGCTCCTTTCCGTCAAACCATTTTTCTCATTGTGGACAAATACCTTTCTGAAAACATGGGTCTCATCAAGTTTTTCTACTTAAAAAAATAATTTTTTAAATTGAAAAATAAAAATTATACATATTTATAGTGTATAACATGATGTGGAAATCTGTATACATTGTGAAATGGCCAAATTGAGCTAATTAACATATGCATTATCTCAGGTACTCATCATGTTTTGTGGTGAGAAGACTTAAAATCCCCTTAATGTTTTTCAAAATAAAATACATTGTTATGAACTGTAGTCACCATATTGTACAATAAATCTCTTGAACTTATTCCTCTTATCAAGTGAAATTTTATATCCTTTGAACAACATCTCCCCAACTCTCCACCTGCCCCCACCCACCACCATTCTACTCTTTGATTCAATGAGTTCAGCTTTTTTAGATTACACATACACATGAAATCATGTGATTATTTGTCTTTCTGTGTCTGGCCTATTTCTCTTAACATAATGTCTTCCAGGTTCATTCATGTTGTTGAAAATGACAGGATTTCCTTCTTTTTAAAGGCTGAATAGTATTCAGCCTTTAATATAATTATATTTGTACACACACACACACACACACACAATTCCATTGGGGATATATATTTCACATTTTCTTTGTCCATTCTTCTCTTCATGGACACTTAGGTTGATTCCATATCTTGACTATTGTAACTAGTACTGCAGTGAAAATGGAAGTACAGATATCTTTTTGAAATACTGGTTTTGTTTCCTTTGGATGTATACACAGTTTTGGAATTGCTAGGTCAATAATTTAATTTTTGAGGAACCTTAAAATTTTCCATAATGGCTATACTAGTTTTCATTCCCACCAACAGTATACAGTGGATCCTTTTTCTCTGCTCTCTATATCCTTGCAAAAATCTATCTTCATCTTTTCGATAATAGCCATTCTAGCACGTGTGAAGTGATATCTCATTGTGGTATTAATTTGCATGTCTCTGATGATTAGTAATGTTGGGCATTTTTTCATACACCTGTTGCCTATTTGTATGTCGTCTTTTGAGAAATGTCTTTTCAAGTCCTTCACCCATTTTAAAATCAGGTTATTTATTTTCTTGCTATTGAGTTGTTTGAGTTCCTCATATATTTTGGATATTAGTCTTTTATCAGATGCATGGTTTGCATATATTTTTTTCCAGGCTGCAGGTTGTCTTTCAGTGTGTTGATTGTTTTCTTTGCTGTGCAGAGCTCTTTAGTTTGATGTAATCCCAGTTATCTATTTTTTTGTTTTTGTTTTTGGTTGCCTGTGCTTTTGGGGTCATATCCAAAGAATCATCACCCAGAATAATGTCATGGAGAATTTCTGCTATGTTTTCTTCTAGTATTTTTATGGTTTCAAGGTTTACATTTGAATCTTTAGTCCATTTTGAGTTGATTTTTATATTTAGTATGAAGTAAGGGTCGAATTTCATTCTTATGTGTGTGGTGTCCAGTTTTCCTAACACCATTTATTGAAGAGGCTGTGCTTTCCCCATTGTGCATTCTTGGCACCTTTGTTGAAAATCAATTGACTGTATATGTGTAGATTTATTTCTGGGCCCTCTATTCCATTCCATTGATCTGTGTGTCTCTTTTTATACCAGCAGCATGCTGTATTGATTACTGTAGCTTGGTAGTATACTTTGAAGTTAGATAGTGTGATGCCTCTAGCTTTGTTCTTTTTGCTTGAGATTACTTCAGATATTTGGGGTCTTTCGTGGTTCCATACAAATTTTAGGATTGTTTTTTCTATTTCTGTAAAAAATGTCATTGAAATTTTGATTGGGGAATCTGTAGATCACTTTGGGTAGTGTGGACATTTTAACACTATTAATTTCTCCACTTGTGAACACAGTATGTCTTTCCACTTATTTGTGTTGTCTTCAGTTTTTTTCATCAATCTTTTATAGTTTCTGGTGTACAGGTCTTTCAACTTCTTGGTTTAAATTTTTTCCTAAGCATTCTGTTCTTTTTGGTTGCTGTAGTGAATGGATTGTTTTCTTAATTTATCTTTCAGATAGCTCATTGTTAGCATATACAGATGCTACTGATGTTTGAAAAATGATGTTGATTTTGTTTCCTGCAGCTTCACTGAATTTATTTATTAGTTCTAACAGTTTTTTGATGGAGATGTTAGGGTTGTTTGTCTACAGTCATTCCTCAGTATCTGCAGGGGATTGGTTCCAGGACCTCCTGTGGATACCCAAACCCATGGATTCTGAAATCTCTGATATAAAATAGCATAGTATTTGCATATAACCTATGCACATTCTCCTGTATACTACACATTATCTCTAGATTACTTATAATAACTAATACATTGTAAATGTTATATAAATAGTTGGTATACTGTATTGCTTAGGGAATAATGACAATAAAAAAGTTCAGTACAGATGTAATTTTTTCTCCTAATATTTCAATCTGTGGTTGGTTGAATCCACAGATGTGGAACCCATGGATATAGACAAGCAACTGTATAAGATCACGTTGTCTGCAAGTTTTTTCACCTCTTAAAAATACTTGGTGGCTAGCTATTACCTGTAGAATTCAGCTCCTTACAGTGCTATGTAAGGAACATCACAGGCTGGCATTTGCCTACCTTGTTAGTCTCATGATCAGACACAAATATGGCTCTTTGTGGCTGGTCATGAGGCTAACAAGGTAGGCACCTGGAACCACACTTCAAGTCAGGTTCATTTGTGGTGCCCTGTCAAGCCAGGCATTCTGTATACTCTGGAATTTTTGCTTACATTTTAACTTTGTCAACAATCAGTACTCTTCGTTTTATTATTGTCAGATATTTACCTACTTTTCCTTAAAAGGTAGTCCCCCCCCCCCCCTTTTTTTTTTTTGAGATGGAGTTTCGCTCTTGTTGCCCAGGCTGGAGTGCAATGGCACCATATTGGCTTACTGCAACCTCCGCCTCCCATGTTCAAGTGAATCTCCTGCCTTAGCCTCCCCAGTAGCTGGGATTACAGGTGTGTGTCACCACCCCCAGCTAATTTTTGTATTTTTAGTAGAGACGAGGTTTCACCATATTGGCCAGGCTAGTCTCGAACTCCTGGTCTCAGGTGATCTGCCTGCTTTGGCTTCTCAAAATGCTGGGATTACAGGTCTGAGCCACCTCGCCTGACCTCTTGGGTGCGGTTTTTTTTTTTTTTTTTTTTTTTTTTTTTGAGACGGAGTCTCGCTCTGTCGCCCAGGCCGGACTGCGGACTGCAGTGGCGCAATCTCGGCTCACGGCAAGCTCCGCTTCCCGGGTTCACGCCATTCTCCTGCCTCAGCCTCCCAAGTAGCTGGGACTGCAGGCGCCCGCCACCGCGCCCGGCTAATTTTTTGTATTTTTAGTAGAGACGGGGTTTCACCTTGTTAGCCAGGATGGTCTCGATCTCCTGACCTCATGATCCACCCGCCTCGACCTCCCAAAATGCTGGGATTACAGGCGTGAGCCACCGTGCCCGGCCGGGTGTGGTTTTAACTGAGTCTCCTAGGTCTTAATGAGGGCTCCTTTGGATATTGTAAGTAATAATCATGGTTGTTGGTAAATTTGTCTTCATAGTTAGATGCCTTAACTATGTGAGGGGAAGGAAACTGTCTTATTTGCCTTCGTCACCTCACACATAGCAGAAGGCCTGGTATGTATTCAGTGTTCCATCAATATTTATTGTGTGGAATTTATTTTCCATTACATTTTATGGAGAATGAGAGAATCTTAAAGTAAATGAGGTGTCCTAGAAATGGTATATTTGAATAAAGATTTGTGACATCATGATTTATGGAAGTAGAAAGGGAAATATAGTAATTCCTAGGCATTTTAACTAGTGAATGGATACCATGAACCATAATTGGTAAATTATCCAAAAATCAATCATATTTAGCTAAGGAAAGTGGTGCACATGTGTGTGCATGTGTGTGTGTATCTGTGTGTTTTATAATGGGAAATTCACTTTAAACTAATGAAAGAATGATTTGAAACTCTGAATTATAGGCAATTCTTAATAATTATTGGGAGGGCTAGAGTGTAACCCAGGTTTCTGGGCATTGAACTTAAAGAAGACATTGAACTGGAGGGAGTTGAAAATGATGCAGCTGTGCATCAAGAGATTGCTATTAGTTTCTCTATATGACCTGTGGTAAGTAACTTCTGAATTCGGTTTTTGTAACACAGAACACCTGGAGGACCAAAGTCAATAGGGTATACTCAACTGTAGTAGACAAGATGGAAAACAGTATTGGGAGAAATAAGAATGGGGAAAATATTGAGCCTGGGCATGTCAGTGTATAGCTTTGCCTTAGAATTTAATTTGAACTGAGTGGTCAATAGTTCTTGATGCCCCAGGGAGAACTAGGATATATTCTGGGGCAAATTGAATTTTCCAAAGATTTCCGTAAAGTTATCTTTCACCCACATGCTCTTCTCACAGTTGATTTTGCTACTTCTGTCTTTGAGAGGTAGGGTCTTTGTCTTTTCTTTTTGAAGCTAGGTTGGCTTTTGTGCCTGTTTCAGCCAATAGAGTAGTGCAGAAATGATGCTATGTGATTTCTGAAGCTAGATCAGAAAAGGTGATGCTCCTTTCTTTGTTGAAATACGGTGTTCAGTTGTGAAACCTGCAGCCTTCATGTAAGCAGTCCAGCTGCTCAGAGGCCATTGTGTTGTGAGGAGAGACCAAGGGCCCTGAGAAGACCAACTGTATTAAGCAGCCAGACCTTTGCCCTGCTAGCCCTGCACCGCTCTTGCTTCAGGCACCATTTCAGTGCAGCCAAATGAGAAACTCTGAGCTAGAACCACACAATCAAACCTTTCTGAGTTCCTGACCCTCAGAGAAAGTAAAATGGCTATTACTGTTTTAAACTAAGCTTGATGGTGACTTATTATGTATCAATAGATAATTGGAACATGTTTCTTTGGAGAAGCATTTTTCCATTTTCTGTTAGGTGGTATTGAAGGAAGACAGGGATGGAATAAGAGGCATCTCTGAATGCAGATTTAGAGTTGTCACTGCATTAACACCTGTTCCCCCACATTTTTTTTTAAGAGACAGGTTCTTGCTATGATGTCCAGGCTGGATTCAAAGCCCTAGGCTCAAATAATCCTCTCGCCTCAGCCTTCTGAGTAGCTGGGACTACAGGAGGATGCTACATTTTTACACCCTATTTGGAGACAGAACAATAGAGATCTTAAAAGAAACAGTCATACAAGTTTTTTTCTTCATGTACCTTTACCTAACAGTTGTTAATAAGGGGACAGCTCAGGGTAGACCCTTAAGCTGAGCTGATTGTATTGCAAGGAATGCATCTATTTTGGGGAAATAAGACCATGGGTAAATTCTGCAAATGATTTCGAAGGTATCTCTATGAGAACAGTTATTGCAGCAAAAATGGACTGTTTCAAGGAGGTCAGAGCTTATGTCAAATAATTTATTGTTCAGTGTGTGTTTTTTTTAAAGACAATGTTTTTAGAGCAGTTTGAAGTTCACAGCAAAATTGAGAGGAAGATGTAGAAATATCCTGTGTACCCTCTCCCCTCACACATGCATAGCCTCCCTGTATCATTTACAGTGGGTTTTAAAAACATATTAAACACTAAATGCCTGTTATGGGCTGAGTTATATCCTCCCAAATATATGTTGAATCCTAACCCCAGGTACCTTTGAATGTGACCTTATTTGGAAATAGTGTCTTTTGTAGATGTGATCAATTTAGGATGAGGTCATCATGGATTACTGTTGGCCCAAGTCCAGTGACTGCTGTCTTTATGAGGAGATACTTTATATGAAGATACAGAGGCAGGAAGAAGCCCATGGGAAGATGGAGACAGAGATTGGAGTTATGCTGCTACAACTAAGAAATGCATTTCAAAGATTGCCAGCAACCTCCAGAAGCTAGGAGAGTCAAGGAAGGATTCTTTTCTAGAGCTTTCAGAGGGAATATGGCCCTACTGACACTTTGATTTCAGAATTCTAGCATGAATGGTTAAATTCCTGTTGTTTCAAGCCACCCTATTTGTGGTATTTTGTTACAATAGCCCTAGGAATCTAATACACTAATACTAAGGCAGTATGCTTTAGTGCTTAAAGTTATATTGAAACAATAAAAACAATTTGCTCTTCAAAAGTTACAAAAGTTAAGCCACAGCCTGGGAGAAAATATTTGTTAACATATGTCTGACAAGGGCATGAATCCAGATCAGGGGTGTCCAATCTTTTGGCTTCTTTGGGCCACATTGGAAGAAGAATTGTCTTGGGCCCCACATGAAATACACTACTGATAGCTGATGAGCTAAAAAAAATACAAATCACACACAAAAAAATCTCATAATGTTTTAAGAAAGTTTACAAATTTGTGTTGGGCCGCATTGAAAGCCATCTTGGGCTGCATGTGGCCTGTGGTCGGCGGGTTGGACAAGCTTGATCTAGATTATATGAATAACCTACAGCTGAATAATAAGATGGTTCAGTTATAAAATGGGCAAAAGATTTGAATAGACACTTCATCAAAGGAGATATACAGATGTGAAAGAAGCACAAGAAAAGATACTCGACATCATAAGTGATTAGGAAAATGCAAATTAAAACCAATAGAAGAGTATTACATTCTCAGTAGAATGGCTAAAATTTAAAAGACTGACCACACCAAGTACTGGTAAAGGTAGAACAGCTAGAAGAACTTTTTTTTTTTTTTTTTTTTTTTTTTTTTTTTTTTTTTTGAGACAGCGTCTCGCTCTGTCACCTAGGCTGGAGTACAGTGGCGCCATCTCTGCTCACTGCAGCCTCTGCCTCCACCTCCCAGGTTCAAGTGATTCTCTGCGTCAGCCTCCTGAGTTGCTGGGACTACAGGTGCATGCCACCACGCCCAGCTAATTTTTATATTTTTTAGTAGAGACAAAGTTTCACCATGTTAGGCAGACTGATCTCGAACTCCTGGCCTCAAGTGATCCACTCGCCTCACTGTCCCAAAGTGTTGGCATTACAAGCATGAGCCACTGCACCCATAGAAGAGTTCTTTTACCTAGCTGATGGACACTTAAAATGGTATAATCACTTTGGAAACAGTTTTTAAAAAATTTTCATAAAACATTAAGGACATACCTACCCAATCATTCTGCTTGTAGGTATTTACCCAAGAGAATTGAAAGTATATATCCATACAAAGACTTACACACTTATACAAGTTCATAAGAACTTTTTTTTGTAATTGGCCCAAACTGAAGGACACCCAGATGTCCACCAACAGGGAATGGATAAACAAATTGTGGAAATTCCACATCATAAAACACTACTCAGCAATAAAGAGGAATGAACTATTGATACCCAACACCATGGGTGATTCTCAAAGTAATTTAAATAATTACATTTAGTGAAAGATGCCAACCCCTGAAAAAGCATACACATTGTATGATTCCATGTATACAAAATTCTATAAAATGCAGCATAATTATAAGAACAGGAAGTGGATCAGTGGTTACCTGAAAATGGAGCCTAGACAGGGCAGGGAGGGGAAAGGATCATGAAGGTCGGGGAAAACTTTTAGGGGTTGATGGATGTTCCTTATCTTGACTATGGTGATGGTTTCCTGGGTATATATTTATGTCAAAACATATCAAATTGTATTACTTTAAATATGTGATTTTTAATGTCAATTGTGGTTAATAAAGATAGAGCAAAAAGAACATTGAAAAGTTATAGAAAAAAATGAAGGTTTGGGAGGTCAGAGGGGTTTAGACCCCAGGCCATATTCTACTGTCTGTCAACTGAATATCAGAAGGTGAAGTTTGCGTTGCCATTTACTACTGGATACTACAGCATGTCTTTAATGACAAGAAACCATTTAAATCTAGAGCCAACAAGTAAACCGTTTTGAGAATCAGTTGTGGTTTGATCACGGAAGAAGAACTCCAATGAGTTATTAGCATAAGGAATTTATTATAGAAATTAAATCTTAAGCATTTATAGTGGAAGCTTGACAAGTGAAAGTCCAAGAGGGAAGTTGGAGGATCAGTGGTGTCCCCACTTAGTCTGAGAAAGGCTCTTGGGGAAGTGTCTCTGAGAAGCTGTGCCTCAGTGTACCTATCATCTGTATAGGTATGTTGGGCCTAAAGCACTGTTTATCTGTAGAGGAAGTTGGACAGGGATTTGAGAAGAGCAAAGATAAGCCTGAATCCACTGGCATAGTGGACTGTCAATATAGTAACCATGACGATTTTTGGCTTCCAAATCTGTGCAAATTCTACTTTCTGGTTCCATGTCAACTTTAACCTAGAACCATACTGGAAGATCCTAGGAAAAGTAGTTTCAGCTTAACCAGGCTAACACAGCACAAACCACAACATCCTGCTAATTAATGAGCTTTGTAATTGTAGTGCTTATTTTTTTTAATGTGTGTGTGTGTTTTTACAGTGCGTGTTATGAACCTAACCTCCCCTGTACTCATGTGACGTGTCAATTATGCTAAACAAATATAGAATATAATTTGGAGTGATCTAATTGGGATAGAATGGAGTGAAGGTTAGTCCAGGCATGAATTATAAGCCTAGATCTTTCCAGAAACAGGGCTGATTACAATATAAACAATGGGGAGACTGCATCCCCTGTTACATGGAAGGTGTTTATAGCAACATAAACACCTTTTCAACACAGTAACATAAACAGTTTCTCAAGGAAACATTCTGTAGCATTCAGGAAATGTTTCTTTCTTTACAAACAAAAAAGTGTGTTTTTCTAAAGATTTAATTTACTTTAGGGCTCTGTTTAGAACAAGGCAATGATTGTAGAGGGATAAAGTTATTCCCAGAGCACTTTTGTGGTAGGTTACAGTTGAAATCCTTATAGAAAGCATCTTGTTAAAAATTCTGTGGACTAAGCACAGGTCAGTACAAGTGTGACATGTTGCATATTGGGCAAACCTATGGAAAGTTCTGCAAATTGTACTTTTGTGACTCAAACTGTGTTATAAATTTCCAGGAGCCTGTTATTTGGTATTGTCTTATGAAAATCCTTCTTGAAATTATGAGGACCCTTTGTTACAGGTATAACATTGACTGTCTACTGTGAGCCGAGGGCCTATGATAGGGGTTATGTATTTGTCTCAAGCATATTTAAATTAATTTGTGAAGTAAATGCTTCCTCAAATTGGTCAATTAGGATTCTTACATTAAGGTTCTTTAAAACATTTTTTAACTTGGAGCAACTAAAAATAGATTTCATCCACAAGACCCATCTTAGGCTTGAAAAAGAGGACAATTCTTTAGTAAGAATGCTTTGTTAATAGAGAATGGTGAACAGATATACCTATTTTCAGTATGTTATTAAAAAATCTAGTTCCGGTTGTGTAATGAAAACGCTGTTAATAGGCACTGAGCATCAGCCACACACGTTTTCTAAATCTATGTGGAAAGGCCACATTTAATTAAAGATTTACCAGTAATCTCTAGGAATGATTTATTCATTGCTGACTGTAGATTTTTTGCAGCTTTCTACAACTTAGAACGTGCAAGCAGGAGATAGTATATCATTCTGCCTTCTACCTTAACCTCTAGACTAGTGCTTCTCAAACTTTAATGTGCAGACTGATAACCTGGGCATCTTGTTAAATGCAAATTGTGATTCAGTAGGTCGCAGTGGGGAGTCTGAGATTTTGTAGTTCCAACAAGCTCCCAGGGGATACTGATGTCACTGATTTGCAGAGCACGCTGAGAAGCAAGGGAGTAGGTTTTCTGAGTGTAATTCTGGGTATGGTTGCCCATATTATTAAACTTTTTACAGTAAGTATGATGGACAGAGAGAAAAATGATTTATATAGGCCTAGTTCTTCTCTTGAGGGCAAAAAGATAATGGCAGACTCCCATTAATTAAGTAGCTTGCTTGTAGTTTGGCAGGAATGAAGTACAGAAATTTCCTATTCAGCTAGCTGTAAATGTATTACATTTTTTAATTTATGAAAGTGGGCCAATTTAAAAGCCAACCTCTCATCCAGATGCAAATTACCCTAGGAGGAAAAAAAATCATCTTGCATATATGTATAGTACAACTATGGGCTTACTCCTTTCCCTTGGGAAGATCCATTTGGTACCTGTAAAATTAATAAAACAGTTGTTTTTTCAGTTTTAATATATATGAAATTAAATGAATTGCTCGTGGGTATTCAAATAACAAACTCAGGACCACCTTGAGTAATTTTGAACAGCATTCCAATATTGAGAAAATGTCCGTGGTAGGGAAATTTGTCTGTTTCAAGGATGAAAATGGGGAATTAATTTGAAAAGACTTTTTAGCTGTCACCACTTTGTTTTACCTTTTAAAGTGGCAGCCTGAAAACACTGGTAAAATGCCATCACGTGCTGTTAAAATAGATAGGTTTTGAATATTTTTAAAGAAAACTTCAGGCAATTAGATTATATTTGGGAAATATCATTGCAGTATGACTTTGAGGTTAGGAAAAAATATTCCCAGAGATAAATTCAAATACTTCAAAGAATTATTTGCTTATTTCTTAAACCATTATTTCTTAATTTTAAGTTGACCCTTTATAGTGAAATTGATGATTAAAAACAAAACAGAGCAAATCAGCATCTTTAAAGCTTTCTGGATTTGTGCATAAACCTCTTCTCCCCTGAAGAATGGTAAAAGCTGTAGCCAAATGGCTATGTCTCTCGGTAGAGTGATATGATGGACCACAGAAGTCATTTAGCAACTGTGAAAATTCCTTAGGATCCTGACACAGGCTGATAAAAGAATTCCTAGGAATCATGGAAGCCAAAGTGTGTTTATATGCTGTAATGATTGTGGATAGTCAAATATATTTTTGACAAAGATATTTTAATAGTTTTCAGCTTGACTTTGTTATCCAGGATAATAAATGAAAACTTAGGAACTGATTGCATCTTCCTGAAGACAAGTCTATTGTTAGTTTCTATCTGAGAATTTTTCATCTGCATTTCAGATGGTTGAGTATGTTGGAAATGTGCGTTCCAGAAAAGTGAGGAAGGAGGTATGTGCTTCATGGGGACTAGGTGTTAAAATGGTTGTGGTACCAGCATATTTTAAAGAATGAGTAGTAGGAAAATAACTATGGTGTTACAGATTTAAAAAATTATGCATGTCTATTGTGTACCATTTGCAGAAAGACAATAATGTGAAAAACTTAACATACTTTATAGTATTTTTCAGTTTTTTAGAATTGTAATTATCCTATTTTTCATAGTTTCTTTAACATAAGGTATTTCTCATGTAATTATACATGTTTTGGGGTGAACATTGTTTTTGATGTCTCATTATATTTATAAGAGGAATGCCATTTAGGTAATAATTTTTACTTGTTGGATATTTAAGTGGATTCTTTATCTTCCTATGACAAATAATACTAATGAGCATCTATGTGTAATGCTTTTCTGTGGTCAAGATTTTTTCTTTAAGATAGCTTGCCAGAACTTAAATTTACATTCTTATAGGAAACCTTTCCTTAAAGACTTGTCTGTGAAGTTGAGGAACTATTTATAAAGAAATACTAACCCTTCCTGAGTGTTAAAAGATAAGGATGTTATTTCAGGGTGTTAAAAGCTAAGCTGGAGTTGGATAGGTCAGATTAACCTGGTTCTATCTTTAACATATTTTAAACACCTGTTGAAAAGGCTGGAAACTTATTTTTTGATAAATTACTATAGGATAGGTAGGATGCTTTTTGGAGAAATATGAGTTGTTTATGTGGCGAATGTCTTTAAACAATGTTTTTCTAATAACAAGAGTAGGAAGACACTTGAAGATAAAGTTTCTAATAATAAGAAAAAGTTTATAATGTTTAACTCCTAATCCTCTGAGCTTTCTTTACTGCAAAATATTGAAGTAGGCATGATCCATTAGGCAAATAGAAAAACAAATTGGAAATGGGAATAATACCTATAGTAGAAAAAAAAATGGAAACGGGTGCACAATTCAGTCTGTAAACTGACTTGTGACATTCATTCTTGGCCAATATTTAAAGGTAAGACAATCAATTGGATAGGTCATGAATCTATCCTAAACAACTCTAAACTTCTATTTAGCCTGCAGCATTTTAGTTGCTGGAGAGTGTTATGGCATTAAATTTATAGACAGAGAAAAAGTTTTTCAAGATCAGATCTATAAGCTATATTTTCTATGTACTTACTAAAATTCTTAGTTTAGCATATTAATGGATATTTAAGTTAGAGATTTTAGTTTTCAGGCGAATTCTTTTGCTTAGATATTTAGTTTAGAGATTTTAGTTTTGAAGCAGGTGCTAATTTCTCTTGAGTAACTATTTTGTGCTCTTATATAAATGATTTTTTTCTATTAAATCTAGCACATTAATATATATCTTAATATATGTGGGAAATTTAATTAGGTAGAATTAATGTGTGTGGGAAGTAATGAAGTGATGTTTTCATGATTTTATTTTTATGTTTATAACTATATTTTCAAGAAATTATATCGCCTCTTGAGTTCATTTTAAACTGTAACACTTGGAACATATAAATGCATGTAAAGTATAAACTGTAAAACAAAATAATAAAATGAACATCCTTGAAATGACCATCCAACCTAAGAACTAGGATATGACCAAAACTATCTGTAAGTTCTTTTTCTAGCCCATTCAGTTTTGCAGAGTTTACAGGTTAAAAAGGATCTTGGTACCTTCATTTTCTAAGTTACAACTAGTATGCTATCAGCCTTTGAAAAAATCTAAATAGATATATGCAATTTACTTTAGGAACACCTGCAAATAAATGATATCAATCCATATGCATAATTAATAATGACAAAGATGGAGGTTTTAAAAATAGGACATTAGTACAGAAAATATTAGCTATGGTTAGATTTAAGCTTTTAAATTTATTAGGCTAGAAATCATCTCTTTTTTTCTAAATAGGTTAATAAATGTTTTATTACTGAACCTAAGAGTGACATGAGTACAGTATCTGTACACAAAACACAAATAGGTGTTCATTTAATAACATACATTCACATTACTGGTTGGAATTCCAGGGTTGGTTTATTTGAGAAGAAACTCCATATTCCATATCATGCTATTCCTCAGTGCACGATCTTCTGTGTTCCCCAATCTTTCTTTGTACTATGCTCTGAAAGTCAACAATTCATGGTGAAAAGTCACACAAGAAAACATCAGCAGTAGAAGAAAGTGCTACTGATGAATAAAGCTCCAGGTGTATATGTGGTTATTTAAAGATCATCTCCCCAAATATTATTTCTCCCATTTGTACTTTTTGACACTTACTGTTTTGGAATATAACTGTTGTTGATTTCTCACTTGAGTTTTGACTGAGTCTCTCTTAACAGAAACTCAAATTCTTTTTAAATTTTTACTATCTTTAGCAGTAACTCTTTGAGGAGTAGGAAATGCCATTTATTCATCTTCTATAGCCATTGCATGTGATTGACTGGCTGTTTATCTTCCTCATAAAATAAATATTAGATTTCATTTTTGGTTTGTATTTTGCCCCTGATGTCTTTCTATATTATTGCGTTTATCTGGATTTTTCTGCTTTCTTGAGCAGGGATGTATCTCCTCTAAATAGTGTGGTACTGTATATAGTTCCTCATTTTTCTCTTTCTTGAAAAAACTCTCTCACATGGTTTTTAAAAATTACTTTCATTTTTTTCTTCATATAATACCATATTTAAAATGGTTTTGTGGATAAGAATTAAAAAAATTAATGTTAAAACGTAGCCTTTGATTGACAAAGTATTGCTCTTGATTTTTGAGTATGCAGGAAGAAGTACATAGTTACATAGGTTTGAATTTATTTTTAGTAATATTGTTTTTCCTGTTGGGTTGACTTAAGGACGTTATATGATATATTAACGTCACTTAAGGACATTATAAAAAAGTACCCCTCTGATTTAGAGAACCTTTTCATTTTAAACCATTTAAAGTTTTCTGATCTTTAAAATGAAAGTATTTCCCTGTTGAGTGAAATTTAGTCAAATTCCAGCTGCAATTTTTAATTCATATTATAACCATTATGGGCCAATTAGTTTTCTTGAATATACAGTAAACCACTCTAGTCATTACTAGATCCTAGATTCTGTGTTCTTAAGCAGATTATTTAAAACTCTCTATTCCTTAGTTTCCTCATGTGTAAAATGGAGGATGATAACTTTTCAGGGTTGTTGTGAGAATTAAATGGGTTCCTGTGTCCAAATACTTGCATATGGTAAGTTCTCGCATTAATTTTCTGTTGCTGCTATAGCAAATTAACACAAATTTAGTGGCTTAAAACGAGACTGTCTCATGATTCTCTGGGTCAGAAGCTGGGACTGCCCCAACTTGTTTCTCTGCTGTGGGTTTCCTGAGGCTGAAATCTAGGTGTTGCCAGCTGGGCTCTGGGAAGAATCTGCTCCCAGGTTCATTCAGGTTGTTGGCAGAATCTGGTTCCTTGTGGCTGTGGGGCTGAGGTCTCTGTTTCTTTGCCAACTGTTAGCTGGGCCATCCCTCAGCAACTAGAGGCATCTCTCCAGTCCTTGAATGTGGGCCCTTAACATTTCAAAGCCAGCAATGGCGTGACAAATTCTTCTCATGCTAGAATCTCTCTGACTTCTCTCTTGTACGCCATCTCTCTGACTGTAGCTGAAGAAAGTTCTTCACTTTTAAAGTCTCATGTGGTTAGATTAGGACCATCTGGATAATCTTCATATCCTATGGTCAGTTGATTAGTAAACTTATATTTGCAGAATCCCTTCACAATAGTACCTAGATTAGTGTTTGGTTAAATAGCCAGAGGACAGGAATCTTTGGGGGGCAGCTTTAGAATTCTGCCTGTCATGGTACTTAATCAGTGATGGTGAAGAGCAGTCATGGAGGTGACTGGCAGTGATGAAAGAAATCACATCTTTATCAGAGGAGCACAGAGTAAATTCCTTGAAGGTGGGTACCATGTATTCCTTTTTGTATCCTTAGCACCTTACAGTTTGCCATGTATTTATTTGAGTACTTGCCATTGGTTGTTAGCTTGAATGTAATTTCTCTCCTTATTTTTTTCATTTTCTTTCCCTGACTCAGAAAAAGTATTACAGGAGTTTGATTTGGTATCTCTGGCACCTGCTTGGAAAATTAATTACAACATGTAGTTTCCCTTTAACTTTTCCCCTAGGTTTGATTGTCATCAAATCACAAAATAAAATAGCTTGCCGTTTATATAGGAAGCTGCTACGACAGACTTACTGTCATTGGAGCACAGACCCTGAGTTGTTTTGCATTGTGCTTTTTCAGGATATGTTGGAATTTTAGGTACTCTTAGCCATGTCTTCTGTATCTTGTATTTGAAGATAGGTTGTAAGTACAGCTATTGTGATGGCTGAGTATAAAGTTAGCCAATTGCTCCAGCAGATAGAAGGGTTCTGTTAACGTCTTCAGGGTGGCAGCCCTAAATATTGAACCTACTGGCCAAAGACAATAGCAAGGTGATAATCACCCACAGTTTCTCTTACCATCTGTGGATGTTTTCCTGATCAACAAATCTGACTAAATCTCCCTTTAATGATTTTGTTAGACATATTAGAGACCTGCCAAGAAAGAGAATATAAATCTTCACCTTTAAGATGCCAAGATCTTTGAAAAGGTGTTAGACCTTCTAATGACATTGTTTATAGGATATTTACATAGGCCTGCCTCTGTAGATATAAAAAACCTATCTGACTCAGGAACCAATTCATTGAAAGAATTTTACGAAATTTATTTTTCCAATATTCTTTCTATTCCATTGACATGCCAGTCCCCTACCTCTCTACCCTTCCACCCGCTCTCCCTTGTTAAGCCAGGAGAAACAAGGAATTTGTTTAATATACTTTGTGGAATAGTGTTCACTTTGTTACTTCTCTTTGTTCATAAATGGTATTAATGTCTTGGAATCTTTCTGACACTTAGATACTGTCTAAAAATATGTCTATCTTCCCCCCAAGAAGACAGATAAAATGAAATACCTCTTTTGTGCTGAGTAGTTGAAACACTTTTTGCCAAAGTGCTTTGCTTGCCTTGCTGCCTTTGAATTTTATTACAGAGGCTGGCTGGGCATTCACATGGTGAGTCTTTTCAAGAATGCCTTTCTGTCTAAATCTGGATCAGCAGTGTCCACTCACCATTTATCTGATCTTTAAGTTTTACAGCCTTATCTGGCAGTACAATTTCTTTCATGGAAAACGGGGCATTTGTTCCTTTACATTAACCACTTTTCAGTGAATTGGAGCCTCCCTTACCAAATTTCATTTCAGGAGAGCAAATCTTTCAGAAGCTCTTTGAAAGAATCAGATTCTGTATATTGCTTTTTAAATTTTAACTATTTTTGGAGATCTATTCATGTTACAAGAATAAGTTTAAAGTATTATATTTGCTTCATTTGTTGAGAAAATTGTCATTCTTACTGATGTCATTAGTCTGTAATCAGGGAAATGATTCGCACTCTTTATTTAAAGTCTTCTAATTACTAACAAATTTTTAATCTTTTTCTACGAGTACACATTGTTCAATTTTTCATTCAGTTTAGATTATCAGTTTGATTATTAGTTTTTTTCTTTTTTATTGTGGTAAAAATATATAACATTAGATTTGCCATTTTCACCATTTTTTAAGTGTACAGTTCAGTGTCATTAAGCATATTCACATTGTTGCACAGTCATTATCACTATCCATCCTCAGAGCTTTTTTGTTACCCCAAGCTGGAAGTTTCTACCTATTAAGTAGTAATTCCCTATTCCCCCCTCCTTCTGACCCCTGGCAACCACTTTGTTACTTTCTGTCTCTATTAATGTGACTTAATTAATTTGTTTCTGTAATCTTTACCTCAAAAGCACTTATCCTTCAAGGAAGATTTGGTTTATGGGTATCAGATTTAATTTATTTAATTTATTGCACCTAAGGCACAATAAAAAGGTAAGTAACCTTACCTGCCTTGTGTACTTTTGATTATTTTTAATGTGCAGGATTTGAACATTTGGAATATATGAATATAACTTGTCTTTAACAGAGGTGCTATGCCATTGAAGAAAAAAAATAAAGCTTTGAACTTTGAGTTATGAGTTTTACTGATATTCATCTCTCTCAAATACTATATAATTTCAGTTTGGTTTTCCTCAGATCTTTTACTTACCATCTTGAATGTTTAGTCTATGGCTACTAGAATTCAATGGAAATAATCCCTTATTTTCTTAGACCACTAATGCCTTGATTTTTGACATAAATATGTCTCACATACCACAAGGTTGCTTTAAAATTAATTTGGTAAGAATTAGTTATTCCTAAATTGTGCCACTTGGATTGTGGATACGTTGTCTGATAACTAAATTATTGGTACAGATGGACCCTTCTAAAATAGAGGGAAATGGCCATCTTTCTTGTTGTAAGAAAGTGATGAATAGTACTGATTAGGGAGTATAAAACAATTTTCTGACGTTTGACATGGGAAAGCATGGCTCCGGTTGAAAGTAGGTTAGGTTTTTTCTCTTACGAGTGGCCATAAGCTTCTCCAGAGGCAGGTTTCTAGCTGCATTTGTTAATTTATTTTGTAAATAACTTAATCATATGTTGGGCATAAATAGAATTTCATCCTAGTAGCAAAAGTCCTATGATTTTGCTAGACAGCAGCAAGATTTTAGCCTTGGATAGTTAGAATTAAAGGTAAACAGAGTCCATTGCTTTATAAGGAGCACTTTTACCCTTTTTTCTCCTTACATTTAGCAGACCAGGAGAAGAAATGAAAGATGAGGTGAGGAATATTTTCATGTTAAACTAGCTCTGCTTCGCAACTTTTATTCGGCAGCTTTAGGACCTTTTTATTTAGCTAATGCCCTCTCTGCCATAATTCTAGGTGATAAACATAGATGAATACATGGATAAATAATTGATTTTTTATAGTCTGATTAATAATTGCATTTTGTTATCTTAACACACAACAATTGATAATCACAAATGCATTCCTATAACATTTCTGAAGTTAAGGTGATTTTATTATTATAAAATGTCATGAGTGTGGGTTTTCATTTCCTCCCAGATTCCCCTAGCACAATTTTCTGTTAATCAACAAGTACTGATATAAAGATAATAAAATTTATGTCCCTTGCTTTTGGAGAATAAACAAGCTGATGGAGGCTTAGACATCCACTGAAAGAGTGAGCAAATAAGGCTGTAATACAGTAACGATGCAATACTGCAGAGTAGGTCTGTCTGACAGTTTAAATCTCATAGATATTAACCAAGAGCTGGCCCTTGGAGAATAAGTGGAAACATTTGTTGCCACGTGTCTTCCAAAGAGGTGATACCAATTTGCATTGTAGGAGTGTAACCTTACCTTATTTAAAAACTTTCGCTAATCTTTCAGAAAATCGTGAGGTGGAATATCATTTCATGTATTACTAGCTGCTTTTTTCTGGAGGTTTGCCAGTTAGTATGCTTTAATGTTGGCCTGTAGAGGATAGGATGTTTGTTGGAATTGTGTTAAAGGTATAGAAAATTAGCCTTTTTGTGATAGTGTACCATTTCAGTCTAAGATCATGTTATATCTTTTTATTTATTCAAGTCTTATTTTATATCTCTCAGTAAAGTTATATAACTTTATAGGTAACCTGTGTTTCTTGAGTTCATTGAGTTTTTGCTGCTTTTATAAATGGGGCCCTTTGTTCTGTTGTATTTTGAAAATAGTTATTCCAGAAAGCAGTTATTGCTGCCATGTAGGAAAAGCTATATATTTTTGTATATTACCTTATTTCTGGTTATATGTTTTTGTATTATAACCAGAATCTTTCTGGGAAAGTATAGAATAGTGCTAAAAGAATAGAAAAAATGTTTATCATGTGACTGACAGATACAAATTTTATTTCAGGAAATGGATGACTTGACTATAACGTGTGTGAGTGAAGTGTTACTTCATGGCTGAAAATAATACAATACATGCATCTCTGTGTGGAAATTCTTATTATTTTATCACTATTTAGACATTATTCAAGAAGTGCTATATGTATATAGTACAAGGTTTAGACCACGTGAAGTCTGTTTGCTCAACCCTGTTATAATTAATGATACTGATTTATTTATTATTTTCAAAGTGTAAAAATTTCACCTTATTCCCCAATTTGCTTCTGGTAAGAAATCACTGTTTTGTTTTATAGCTTTCCAGTCTTTATGTATTAAATCACATCACACACACATGCACACACACACACACACGTGTGTATATGTGTATGTGTATATTCTTTTATTAAAATTGAGTGATTTAAAGCAGAAAATGTAGTGATTTTTTAAAAAAACTTGCCAATGTATTGTGTACCTTTTAAATGTGATTTAAAACATCTTGGCTTAGTGTCTGCATTATATTATTATGGTGGTGACATTTCATGGCTTCTTATGTTTGGAACGTGTGAGAAATAAACAAGTGTAGTGATATTATAGTAAATGAATTATTCGAAAATAAGATATATTGTTTAGGTTTTCATACATAGCAATCATTCTAGGAGCCAATTAGCCAAAAGTGGTCTCAAAATAATGTATGAAATTTATAGTTCCCTAAGAGATTTTCACCAATTAAAAGAAATTTTAACAAAACAGATATTTTACATGTAAAATAAAACTATTAACGGAGACTTGAATATGCTCTTGCTTTAAAATCTGGTGAAGAAATATAATTGGCCGGGCATGGTGGCTTATGCCTGTAATCCCAGTACTTTGGGAGGCCAAGGCGGGCGGATCACCTGAGGTCAGGAGCTCAAGACCAGCGTGCCTAACATGGTGAAACCCCGTCTCTACTGAAAATACAAAAATTAGCTGGGCGTGGTGGTGGGTACCTGTAATCCCAGCTACTGGGGAGGCTGAGGGAGGAGAATTGCTTGAACCTGGGAGATGGAGGTTGTAGTGAGCCAAGATTGCGCCACTGCACTCCAGTCTGGGCAACAGAGAGACACTCTGTCTCAAAAAAAAAAATAAATAAAAAAAATAAAAATAAAATTACAGATTTTGCAATAGGGGACTTATGTAAATTTGATTCATATTTTCAAAGACCTTTACCATACATACTCCTTATCTTTTGAAAATATTTAACTGCGTTCAAAATGTGGTTATGATTATATAATTACTGTTCTCTGGTTCATGTGCTTGTGTTCATGATTTATTTTCAGTATTTCATTAAACATTTTGAATACTTTGGGTTAAGCACCATATTAGGCACTGGTACTGTCTTGGGGGAAGGGCAGTTCTTTTTACAGACTTTACAGGTTACAGACTAATGGGAGAGACAAAGAAGCAAATTTCATGGATTCCGGGGAGAAATTGGTAATTTTGGGCTTAGGAGGAAGATGCAGAGAAATCATGGCGGTATGTGGTGGGGCAGACCAGAGAAAAGGAGTAATTTTTGGGTTAAGTTTACCCATATAGTTGGGTAGTAGGTGCATCTCATAGGGTTGAGGGAGTAAAAGCCAAAAGTATATAAATATTTCTGGTTCTATAAACTGCACACAGTTGAGTGTGGCAATTGAGGAAAAATTAGGCGATAGATAGCTTCCTCCAATACAGCATTACTACAGCAGTGTAGTAATGACGGTAGAACAATTGTTCTGTCAGAGGTAGGGCAAAGTTAAAAGAATAAGCTGGAGAGCATGGTGAAGGATGTATTACAGTTTTCTGATAATACTTTTTCATGAAAATTTTTAGTAGACCTAAATGGAAAATATAGTGATACTAGTAGGAAAATTTATTTGGTAAGATTTCTCTCCATTACCGGCTTGACTGGATTGCCTCTGTGTGCACATTATCTTTAGCCAAATCTCTTATTATATGTTCATGTGCCCATAAATAATTAATCACCTGTAGTTATATCACTATTGTATTTTATATATTTTAAGATCTACATTTTAACCTCTCTGAAAGTGGAATATATCTACTAATCTATGCTAAATTAAGAGTTTTACTGGGCCGGGCACGGTGGCTCACTCCTGTAATCCCAGCACTTTGGGAGGCCAAGGCGGGCGGATCATGAGGTCAGGAGATCGAGACCATCCTGGCTAACACGGTGAAACCCCATCTCTACTAAAAATACAAAAAAAAAATTAGACTTGCGTGGTGCTGGGTGCTTGTAGTCCCAGCTACTCGGGAGGCTGAGTCAGGAGAATGGCGTGAACTCGGGAGGCGGACCTTGCAGTGAGCCAAGATGGCGCCACTGCACTCTAGCCTGGGTGACAGAGCGATACTCCATCTCGGAAAAAAAAAAAAAAAAAAAAAAAAAGAGTTTTACTGACTGTGTTATCTCGTTAGTGTAACATCAAGTCATATTGAGTCTTACATTCAGGGGCATCTTACACTTAAAATATGGTATTAACAGTTTGCTGGTGGTTCTCTCCTTTTAAAAAATTAGGTGCACATATTTTCTCCTTTTAAAAATTGTAATCATTGGCCAGGCACAGTGGCTCATGCCTGTAATCCCGGCATTTTGGGAGGCTGAGGTGGGAGGATCTCTTGAGCCCAGGAGTTCAAGACCAGCCTGGGCAACATAGTGAGATCCTTAAAGTTAAAAAAAAAAATAGCCAGGTGTAATGGTGCATGCCTGTAGTCCCAGCTACTTGCGAGGCTGAGATGGGAGATCACCTGAGCAAGCCCAGAAGATCAAGGCTATAGTGAGCCATGACTGCACCACTGCACTCCAGCCTGGGCAACACAGCAAGAACCTGTCTCAAAAAAAAAAATAATAATAATAATAATTTGTAGTAATATAATGAATATCCATGATGGTTTGTAATGGAGCATTTCTGATCATTGCGTTAATATGGATTACTGGGTGTGGGATTTCTAGTTAGCTTTTAAGAGTCTGAAATGATTCACAGTTGGCCTCTAGTTGTCTTTTTCTTTTCCACAGTTTGTTTTTTTTTCACCTGGAGAAGCCAGAATCACTTGTCATTTGTCAGTTCAGTTCTTAGCATGTAAGTAGTACTGTACAATCCTAAGATCAGCAAAGAAAATTGAGGATAGACTGCTAGGACAAGAGGGTGGAAGATATGTTTCTAGGATATAAAAGTCACCTAACAGGTTATCGGGTAATGTGTTAAACTCATGATTTATGTAAGAAACAACAGGTATAAGTAAATGGCAAGGACAGAGGTGTGGGTGTTCCCTCTAATGGGAGAGATTTTTTACCTAAGAAATAAATATACACTCATTTGAACTCTTCTTGGATTAAAAAAGAAATGAAAACAATCCGCTAATGCCTCTTATACTAATTATCTTAGTATTATTCACTCTCTCCTTTAGGACTTATTGGAATGTTGTATTTTTATGATAATCTATTATTAAACCTCCTGGCTGGTATTAGGTAGGAAATCCTAGTAGCATATGTTGTGTTGTATAGGATATCACCTTTTAGATTATCAAAAGACAAAATTGAAAATCTAGTTTAAAGATCTTAATTGATTTTACTCGCCATTCTAGAATTGGGCAACACTTCATTTTATAAGGTAGAATGAGTGTTCCAATGACCCGAGAAGGGGAAATTGATTTTGTAGACAAGAGCTAAAGAAAGCAGAAAAAAGGAAAAAGTGGATGACCATTGCAAAGTTACTTTCCTTGTAAGGTGGGAACAGGGAAGCAGAACAGAAGAAAAATAACTGGCTAACATCAGGTTACATTTTGTTGTAAGGATTAAAGATAGAGGGAACTTTATTGTCATGCCGATTGAAACTGGTCTGTGGACTTTTAGAATGTGTGATTCCATTTGGTTTGGTCTGGTTTGTTTGGGTCTAATGCAGGAACTTAGTCCAAAACTATGGCCTCCTATAATTTTTATTTAACAAAATTCAGGAGTGACTAATATAGGGAAATACAATATGTGGATGAAGAGTCTAGCTTTTGACAGGCTTTCTTAGATTGGGAGATAATGTCTAAACAAGTGCCTTGTCTCTATAACTAGACAGGTAGGAGAGGACTCTTGAGTTCGAAGTACATTTCCTTAATTTTTTCAGCATGTTCTTGAGACCTTGGTTCTCTGTATTTGTTACTACCCAGCTGACCACTAGTGTGGTCTTAGCCAAAATCAGTGGCAATGCTGGTTCTTGAATGCTAAGTAAGGTATTCCTCTTCTAGTTGACTTTTTTAAAAAATGTGGTTTTAGCTTTTTAGGCACAATTTTGACTTTGGTAAGTAACTTGTAACCTCTGTCAAGTATATGTGAGGGAACTGAATTTTCTCCAATGCTCCATTCCTAAGAAGTGGAAGGGAGTTTTAACTGGTGATATGTCATTGATTGAAGGATCTGCATGGTAGGCGGAACGGAGCAGAGCAAGGGGATGTACAGGGTACTATGGGGGTGGAAGTGGGTGGGGAGCTATTTGATTCCTAACTCCCAGTAGGTTCCTCAGTCACAGTTGTCTCTTTGTATCTGAGAGGTGTTGGTTCTAGGAACCCCCATCCCCTCATTGCAAAATCCACAGATGCTCAAGTCAAGTACAGTTGGCCGTCCTTATGTTGGGGTGTGGGACTTGCGATATGGAGCGCCAACTGCATATCAGATAATTGTAGAACTTGAGGCCATCCCTTTAGGCATCTCTTAAATTGTTTTTGGTCTGAGGTCCTTCAGGTTCCTGAGGAAAATAGGAAAATGTTTGCTCCTGTGACAGCGATCGGGAAATTAAATCAGGATTTGGCCAAAATCTTAATGGGAGATTAAATAACTCTTAGCTGTCTGCATGTAATATGTGAGTCCATCATTAGGAAAAAGTATATTAATATTCCAGTTCCCAAACACTGCTCTGAGACAATTCATCAGGGAAAACTTGGCTTTAGTGGGACTGGCAATAGTTTGCCCATTCTTAGTTTTCTCTTTTACTTGAGGTTCCTGTCATAAATAACATTTTTACCAATAATACTTAGTTTTTAAGGCTAGTTTTAGGGATACCTCTTAAATACCTCCTATGAAACTGATCCTGACTCTTTTTTGTGTGTGTGCGTGCTTCGCCATTACTTTTAAAATTATAGTTCTCATGACAATTTATTTATTTATAGGTTTGCCTTTTATTCTCCTTTGAATAAGGTCCCTCTGACCTAGCTATCTTTGTGTTTGTAGTGCCTAGCATTTTATAGGTGGTCAGTAAAGAACTGAGCATCTACTATATACCTATCATTATATGAGGCCCTCTGAGATATTAAAATAAATGGGTTCCCAGTGGTTGGCCCTTTCTCACTTCCAAAAGTGTACAAAGGTTTGTTCGGTGAGTCAGTGCATTAGTGCTCTATGAATATTAATTGATTGTCTTCATGATCCCATTAGGGTGAACAGAAGCATACTTTTGTCTTGAAGAGCAAAATTGCTCTGAAGTGCCTAGCTCGGAAGACCTAGGCTATCTCTCCAATACGTGGAGGAAAAGGAATCCTGACCCTCTTTGCAGATGCAGTTTTGAAATAGGTCAACAGCAGGCTGGCTCCATCTGAAACTGTCAGTTCTTCATTGTTGAGTTTGCATATGGAAATTTGTCTTTGCTCATCCAAGCTCAGGAATTATTCAAGTGGATCTGTTTGCATGAAGAGAAACTTCCAGAACTGGAAGCCTTCCTATGAAAGGCAAGAAGCCACGAATAAGGCAGTGGAAGCCTTGGGGCCCATGAAAGAGCTATTTCATGCATTTATTTTTAGGCCCCCTGAAATGAAGGAATGAAATAGAAAGGCTCAGGAAGCCCCAACAAGTTTGTAGTTTACAGTTTGGCTCTCAAGAAGACAGCATGCGTTCTTTCTGCAAACTTTTGATTTTCAGTTCTCATGTTTTACTTTTATTTTGCTTACTTCTTTGCCTTAAACCTGCTTTCCAGAAATAAGTCAATGGCAGAAAGGATATGAGGTTTGGCAAAGAAAGAGAGCAGATAGAATACCTCTAGTATTTGTAGAAAGGACTGTACCTTGTTATAGGCTGTGATATGGTCACATTTTATATTGCAGTAATACCAGAAGCATAACTCGGCATCATGGGAACTCTCTGTTGCAATGGTTCAGAGCATGGACATTAGGTAATTTCTACTTACACTTTCACATAACTCAGCTGTTGTATCACATATACCATGGCATTGTTATGAGTTATGGAAAATAAGCCATTGTGATGCATTATTTCCCTGCAAAATATTTCATGGTCTTTATCCAAATTTGGTTATATATACAAATGAATGTTATCTGTATGATGTTTCAAATGTTGATTTTTATTATGTATAGAATATTTTTACTTAAAAACAAGTATTATTCACAGCATCCCAGGAAGGAAAGCTAGGACAGATACTATCACTCATGTCTGATTAAGGAAACGGAGTCATGGGAAATTTTTGACTCACCTGAAATCTCAGGCCAGGAAATTAGTGGCAGGCTGGAACTAGAAACCATAGTACCCAACTTCTCTAGGCCTTACTCCTTTCTCCTCTGAACAGCTTGCTTTGAGTCAAATGGAAAAGGTCTCAGCTTAGAACTGGACCCTAATTTGATAAACTAGTTTTTCAGGATTTGTTTAGAGTAAGGAAAGGAAATCACCCATTTTCCCTCTTGCTATAAGAAAAAAAAGGGTTGCTCTAGATGTGAAGGGAGGCCAACAGCAGTTAACAATATAAAAAGCAAATTAATTAGAGAAATAGTTCTAGTGCTTAAAAGATACCCCTTCACAGTAATTGCCTTGGGGTACAAGTACACAGTTAACAACTTTCCTAAGAAACCTGAAAGCATAAAAAGAGCCAGGAACCCCCTCAACAACAAAAACAAAAACAAACCAGCCAGCAGGATTATGTCATATTAGAAACATTTAAACTTGTAAAGGAAACCATTTTAAATCGTTCTTTCCAAATTACCCACTCCTCTCTAATTAAAGAGATTCATCATGTTGGGAATCACATAAGAGAAGGAATTCAGGCCCTGCCAGATGAGGGCAGACCAAGATCTCTTTAATTGAGAGCCTTCAAATCCAAACTGTCATCAGTTCCTGTCAATCTCATTCTTTGTAAAGTCTCTCAAGAGCATTCCCACAGCTGCTATTGTACACCAGGCCCTCTATGGAAAATTCCGTGTTGAAGTTTCTGGAGATGGAACTTCACCTCTGCTGAAGTTCCCTCCCTTTCTCCCCTTCCTCTCCTTCTCTCCTTCCCTCCAGGTGATTTCTTATACATGGCCTCTTTTCTAAATCCAACTAGACTATGAAGTAGAACTCCCTTGTTAAACACGAGGAAAGCTCCGAGGTTAAAATGACTTGCCCCGGGTCATAGCTATTAAGGAGTGGATTTAGAATTTAAACCAGGTCATCTTATTCACGGTCCTGTGCTCTTTTCACCTTGCCATAGCTATATCTTCCATCTTAACTATAGTGATCATGTGCAGAGCAAGAGATATCTGAGGTCATCTTTGAACCTAGGCTTTTAGGGCTTTATAAGACTACGATCAGTTGGTTGAGTTGTTCCTTGACGGGGCACAGTGTCTCACTCTGCAGTTCACCAGCCATGTTCTATGTTATATTTCTGGCTTACTTTCAAGAGGCATGTTAGTCAGTCCGTCTGTGGTTAGTGAGCATCTCTTCTGTGCCAGGTATTGTTTTAGTCACTGAGGGACAGTGCTAAACAAGACAGAACAACTCTTTTCACAGAACTTACATCTCTTCTCCTCACTGTAGCTCTTTAGTGAAAGCCAGAAATGTTTATAAAGGCCTTAGTGTATGCAAAGAATGCCGTGTTAACTTCAATTAACATATCTGAGAAGAGACTGCAGAGGTAGAGGAATAAGATGCAGCTTCTCAGTGCAGCCACTGCCAGTCCACCGAGAATCTGTGATCACCAAGCAGTTGCAAAGGATCTACCCAAGTTCTTGTCATGCCTGAAACACAGCGACACTAAGCCCCAGGGCAGGGTTTAGGGGACTTGTTATTTCAAGGTGGCTTTGTTTCTCTTGATCCACCTCTGATAATTATTGTACTTTTTACTTTGGCAGCTGTAAATAGAGGATGAAGTTGCAAAGGCTGGAACAGCGCTTCTTCTGCAACCTAATTAAAAATGAAATCCTAAATTGTTAAATCCAGTATTGGTTAATCTGTGAAACATACAGTCGTAGAAAATATTTCCTTCTCTTTAGGACTTTCTTTGTTGCTTTTATAGCAGTGTTGGTCATCTCATTTTAGGGTAGAAGTGAGCTTGCAAAAATAACTCATACCATTGGGATTAGGTTGATAATACTGTGCACCCTCTCTGTATCTCCCTGGAGTATAGGAGAACTGTAGAGCCAGAAAGGTCACTAGCTCTAGCCTTTATTTTATAGAAGAAACTAAGTCCCAGGGAGAAGTTGTGTGACTCTTCCTGGGCCCCAGAGCATATAGGAGAGGAGGGCTATTTATTTATTTATTAATTTAAAATTTTCCCTATCCAGTTTTGTCATCCTTCTGGTCATTAGGACAGTAAGCTCACATAAAGGTGATAGGTTGTCAGCTTCAGTTTTAGGTGGCAGAGTTTGTTTTAACTTATTGGGGTCTACTTTCAAAGATTTTTAGTTGGGGATGTGAGAGAGGCTGCATCAGAGTTTGTTAGTCAAATGCCATTATAAAACAGAGACTCCAGTTGTTTCACTCCTCTCTCTAAAATACTACTTTAAAAAACAAAGGGCATAAGCAACTTGTAGAGTGTGTTGCCTTACAAAGAAAGAAAAAAGAGCCTTGAAATTTCCAATCATGACAAATAGAGCAAACCTTAAAGTCAACACTTTTTCATTTTTGTTCCAGTTTTCTCCTGGCAAATAGAAGAATTTAATAAGAAAGGAACCCATGGTTCCAAAACAAATAGGGTCTAAGTCCAAGACATCTAAAGCTTGTGTGGAATCCCTCCGACATTCATCCCACTGGGCCCCAGAGAAGGGAGGAGACAAAAGTCCGTATCCCTGTTCTAGTCAGAGTTGGTTCAATTAAAGGTGAAACTGTCTGTCAAACTATTTATAGCATGTTTATAGCATGGTGGAAAAAACAAAAGACCATAGGTTTTAAAGCCTGGCCTTTATTCACAGATGGAAAAGACTTGTTTGTTTTAAAGGATAGATTCCTTAACGTATGCTATGGTTATTGATATAAATTTAAATCAGGACATTTTAGCTAGTTGATAATTTTCTAGATTGTAATCATTCTTAACAATTTCTATTTAATATTGAGAATTCAATGAAAATGTCAGTCTTTAGGATGAATACTCCACTTAAGATGGACTTCAAGGGATTCAAGATAAAATACTGTCTTCAAATGTAAAAAGTTTTTCATTTTAAATCCTTAGAAGGTTGGTTTTCATTGGCATTTCCAAGGAATCTCAACCAGGTACCATATGATTTATAGAGCCTCTGGTGTAATTTTATAAGCTTTTGTTTGGTTTCTGATTTATAATTGTATGTATTACCATTTATTTTTGAATTAAGTTGACATTACTTATTTGTTTTAAGGATATAAATTTTTTGGCAGTATTTTACAAGTGACTGATATAACTTAAATTTACACACTGTAATGAACAGGGAACATGTGGATAAGGCATGCTGAAATCTATGAGATACCTTTGTTAGACAGTATATTTAACTCCCGATTAAAGTGAAGTTGCTGTCTCAGGGTCTCTGTATACAAGTATTTCTCTGATTTGGGTCACTCTAACTTGCTTAAAAAACAAACCTGCTGACCTGCTTTGAGTCTTGTAGGAAGATGGCACAAAATCTGAAGAGTGTATGCATTGCTCAAGTACTATTTCTCCTCCTGTTTCATTAACCATATTTATCACATGGCATTTTATCTAGAAATATCTTCACCAAATAGAGTTTGAGGTTTACTGTGAACTATGATTGCGTGACTGCACTCCAGCCTGGGTGACAGAATGTGACCCTATCTCTTAAAAAAAAATACACAAAAAAAACAGCGCATTAATGTTGAGACAATAATTTTCCTGTTTTTGAATCAAATAAATAAGTTTGGAATAACTGGGAAAACTTTTAGGTAGCATTATCATATTTGCTATTTAGAAAAACATGTATCAGTGAAACGCATAGTTTGTTTCAGTAGGACAATTTTGTTGCTAACTGAAATAACACACTGACCAATAGCTTTACTGATATTCTCCCTTCAACCTATTGAAATGAAATATTGTGTGTATTTTGGAGGAGGACTCAACTTTGGTGTGTAAAAAGCTCTTGTATTTAAATTGTGCCAAATCCTGGTATAGCTAGGTAATGTAAATCAGTGTAATGGAAGTCAAATGTGATTTTTCCCATAAAACCAATGTGAGAATGAGGAGCTTCCATTCCTGACCCGGGGACCTGAACCAGGTTTTGTTTTGTTTTAAACAAATGCACCAAATACCATATTTAATCAGCTATAAATAATATATTTCTGATCCTGTTGAATTGTCCTTCATATATACATGACTTATTTCAATACAGCTGCCTAATAGTAGACAGTTGTATGAAACTTTATATGTTAACAAAATTTTAAATATTTCTTAACTGAAGCTGATTTATGCCTTCTTTTTCATGCAGCAGATCAGAATTTGAAATTATACCATTAAGATAAAGTGCAGGACAGCTTCCAAGAGGGGAGATTTGATGGGTATCTTTGTGAAAAGTTGTTAAGAGTTAGGGGATGGGATAAGTCTTTTTAGGTGAATTATTGAGAGATACCTGTTTGGCTACCCTCTTTCACATTGTAGAAATTTACTGCAGAAAGCACAGTCGTTAACAGTCAAGTGGCTGACATTTCTGCTGTATTTGAGTTTCCTACTAGAGCTGCCATCCCATCACAAATAACTTCACCTTGAGCCTTTAAAGTTGTATAAATCACACTGACCTTTAAAATGCATGAATCAACTCTTAAGCCAATGGATTTTTCATTCATTCATTCAGTTCCCACCCCCCGGCCATTTCTCATGCCATTACTTTATAGTGTCAAGTAGCCTTAAAGCTTTGGCTTGATGGGTTGGTGTACTAGGCTGACAGCTCTTTGTTGGATTCATAGCATTAAGTTACTCTAGTTTACTCCTGGATGTGGACATATGTAATAAAGTCCTCCAATATTTAGAACACTACTCCCTTTTACCTGTTAGCTATTTAAAAATATTCAAGTCTTGATGAGATTTGGAATAGATATATTAAAACATATTTTTTGCAAAAGAGTGTGTTTCTTTCAAGTGCTTTCTGTGGATGCTGTCTTCAAAACCAGCTTAGTAGCTGTGGGAGAAAATTGCCCTCATTACATTATAGTCATAGGATGCCCTTTGGTCTGCTTTTTTTTCCCCTCGTTGGTCAAACTGCTTATAGGGCACTATTTTCTTAAGCAAATAGCTAGATCAGAGAGGGGGCTGTATGTGGGAAAAAACAAATTAGGATGGAATACAAGGGTGTCTCTCAGGGTCTCCGCCGAATGAAGGCAGAGTCTTTTGGTGGTAGACCGAGCCTTGTAGTATATGGATGAGGAGACTCGTGTATAGGAACAGAATGACAAGATAGGGTAGGTCCATTTATATTAACAGCAATACCTTGAGAGTAATTGGCTTCACATAATGAATATTAATTGTGGGTCAGCTAGTCATTGAAAATGTAAGTATTCATAGTTGCATTTGAACATTAATATCTACACAAGCTAATTTCCAGGGTGTTCTGTTTAGATCATAACAGATATAAACTCTTTCATCACTTCAAATCTTCTCCAATTTTCTTTACACATTTCTTATTATAAAAATTTCTATGTGGTTTTAAGCCAAAATTACTGAAGAATCTTTTGTTCAAATCAGTCCAATAATTAGAGTGTTATAGAAATGGTGTCGAGGGCTTCAGAAAGATAAATCATAAGTTTAGGAGCCAAGAGACCGAAAAAGACACTCCCAGCCGACACTTGGAAATCAAAAGCAGCTGCAGCAAGGTCAGTGTCCTGAGTATCGAGAGGCTGGTTATATTATCATCGTTTAAGGGAATCAACTTTATTCCAAGTCTGTAGGCATTTGATACTTCTATTGGGCATCAACTCTGGCCTTCTAGGAACAGACATGAAGCAAGAGTGTGGTAGAATAAATTCTATTTGTGCAGTGACTAGAAAGTACAGTAGTAATTTACAAGTTGCATAATAATTATTTATGTATTGTACTTCATTGTTGTATATGAGCCAGGCTTTGAGTCCATTATTGTGAAGCAGTCTGCAGCTACTTTGTTTTTTTAGTTTATTAGCATAGTTAGTTTTTTTGTTGTCTTTTGCTTTTTTTTAAATGGTTTTCATAGCAGTGACATTATGAGATTACTATGTTCTTGACAGTTCTTATGGGAAATGTTTGAGTATTATCTGGTGGATTAAGCTTGAATATTGGACCCAGTCCTATTCTTTACCAACCAATGAAAAGCAACTGTTGTTTAGCCTCTGATGTTTAGAAAATTCCTTCCCTGACTGTGTCTATGTCTTCCTGGCAGTGATTGCTTGAACAGTAAACAGACGTACCTCTAGTGTTGTTATCACATTAAGGATCATAATTTTACTCTTGAACATTTTATTTTGTTGTTGTTCTTTGTTTTTAAAATTACATTTGGTGAAACTCAACATTATTAACAATTTTTGTATTATTAAAATAATGTTATACAGAAAAGGAAATTTTTAGGGGATGATTGTACATCATGCTCCTTTAAAAAAGTGTTTTAGAAAACGATGTAATTATTCAGATGAGAGAAGTAACTTTAACCATTTGGTGGACGAAAAAATAGCAGTGTAACTGAAGCAATAAGAAAAAGTGATTTGCAAAGAGAAAACATCTTTGCTTTGACTACGTGAGTATATGAGAAGATCTCTAGTGCAGTGGATGTCAAACTTGAGCAAGCATCGGAATCTCCTGGAAGATTTAGGAGAACAGATTGCTACGGACTACCCCAGAGTTTCTGATTTAAGAGATCTAGAGTAGAGACCAAAAACTGGTATTTCTAAAAAGTCTTTCAGGTGATGCTGGTGTTACTGATCCTGAGACCACTGTTCTAGGTGTAATTAAACTAATGGACTCTTAGCTAAGAAACTTTCTTTTCTTTTTTTTTTTTGTTAGCATAGTGCTAGTAAAAAGAAATAAATGGAAAGAATAGCAGTTGAAGTTTCTTTGGGAGTGTGGCCAACTTTTGAATGACTAGGAGAGGATTGAATTGCAATTACATTGCTGAACTAATATGATTAAAGAAAGGATATGGTTTAGAAGTTAAGATATTTCTAAATTTGGTTTGCTTGGTATTTGTATTAGCACTTATAGCTTATGAAAAGCTTTTTCTTTGGTTGTTAACAAGAACTGTTTCTTCAAAAACATGCAGGGGCTTATATATATTTTTCTTTATAGTTGGTTTAAGCCCATCTGAAGTTTGTTCAATCTAGGGTGTTCAACTACTGCTGCTAAAGACTTGGCACCTTCACTTGTTTAATGCCCAACCCCCAGTGGTAGGGGTGGGCAGTACTTGAAATTCTTAACTGGGATCTAAAATGCTTGGACAGAAAATGCCTAACTATGATCCTTTTGAGGATAAGCCCTTATTTCATTCATGCTTGCATTCTTAGTCCTGGTGTATAATAAATGTGCGATGTTTGGGAAAGGAATAAGTGAATGGCCGGCAACACATATGTTGAAAATAGGTGATGGCAGTGGCATTGAGGGTTGGAACCATCTCAGAATATAAACCTATCCCAGGAAATACATGGTAACTTGAAAAATTTGCATACTAGTTTATTAATATAGTTTCTGTTATGTCAGTAAATTTAAGGCAAATGAAAATCCTAATAGGATTAAATAATATCTGGGTTTTAACATAAAAACAAATCCCTAAAAACATATTTTGATAGCTATAACACATTATCTAAATGAAGCTAGAATTAAAGCCATGGAGAGATAATAAGAGCATTAAACTAAAACATGAAGTTCAAGTAAACCATATTTGTAAAAGAACTTCCAAATTTATGTCATTTATTTCACCTTAACAGTTTAACAGTATTATGCTATTCTAATAATATATTCTTTTAGGATCTTCATTTTCCTTGCTATTTCTTAGCTAAGAAACAGCTGTGTTGCTGTGTTGGTGGTAAAAGTGTATTATCCACATCCTACTAGAGTTTTCTATCCAAAAAAAAAAAAAATGGTAGGTGACATCCTTAGGGGCAGAATTATGTCTCAGTATTTCTAACACCTATCTCTTGGTTAGTCAGAAGTTTTGGCTCAGTGGCACCTTCTCTTTGTCCCCATTTAGTGGAAGTAAGCGTAACTGTTGGCAAAATATGTTTTAAGACGAATGTTTGGCAGGCATTTAGCATTTACAAATCAAGTTTCTCATAAAATAATGTGTTACATTGAATTTGCACAGCCATGCTTTCATTGTTTTATGGATAGGAGAATCTGAGATAGAGAGAAGTTAAATAACCTACCTAAAGTTAATTACTACAGCTAGGAAATGTCAGAGCAGCAAAGAACACAGTTTAGCTGGCTCTAAATCTGGTATCTTTATAAACTTGTTTCTTGTGTGATTTTCATAGGAAAAGGTGTAGAATGGAAAGTACGCATAGGTGGAAGACCTAGACCTCAGTCCTCCTTGACTTTCTGAATATTTCAAATTCCAGAGACCTTGCATTTCTCCGAATTCCTCTTAATTTCACTCAACATCGCATTACTGTTTTAAAGATTTTTCTTATTATTACAAGTAATAATTTTTGTTTTTGTAGAAAAATGAGAAGATCCAAATAAGCAAAAAGAAAAAAATACTTTTCATATAAGCATCCAGCACAAAGTGCTACACAGAAGCCTTTAATAAATATCTATTGATTGAATGCTAGGAATTAACTCACTGACCTCTGAGTAAATTGCTTAAGTTGTCATATTCCATCTTTAAAAAAGGGTGGCTGGCAGAGCTCTTGAGCTACTTATTTCCTTATGTTATAGATTTATGTGACATCAGTGATCTTTCAGGGACGTGATGAAAGGTGTTAAATAAATCATACCTTTATTGTTATCTCCAAGGAAGAAATTATTTGAAATTGGCTGTCTTTAAATGTCTCACTGCTTTTTGTTGCAAGTAGGAAAGAAAATGACTTATTTGCAATGTTTGATATGTGTTTATTTAGAAGGGGGTATGTGTGAGAGCAAATGCATGTATTTATACATAAAGCATCATTTTAAAATATTAAAATTTTCTTCCTGTGGTGTTAAGTACTATTGTTCAGTTTATTACTCCCTCCCTACCCTCCTTTGTACCTTTGGTTTAGGGTAGAAGCTAAACAATAGTACTTGACATCCCAGGAAGAAACTAGAGTCAGATGGATTTGGAATTTATCTACCAGCATTTCTTGATGAAAACAGAAAAACAAGGAAAAGGAATTGATAAGGTAGGTAAAGCTTATTCAGTTTCTTGGTAGTCTTTCTGGTTGATTGTATTTACTCCTGGGCATGGCATTGACATAGGTATACTAATTCACATGATTTACTTAGTTCATTAGCTGATATCAGCATCATTGTCCAAAAACGTTGCTATTTAGGAGGGAAAATTAAATTAGATAGTGGGTTTTCAACATACGAAATGACAACACACAGGGAGAGCAATTTTTTTTAATAAAACACAAATGAACCTGTTGTCTGATGAGAAATTTAAATAAACCAGGCTTCTCAAGATGGGATTATAATGCCTCCCAAATATTTGCTACTAACGTGATAAACATTTTTTTCTATTCTTTTAGCACTATTCTATACTTTCCACATTTTCCTAGAGCCAAGTTTGTATTTCCATTTTGAAGGTAGTATGTGTACACAGTGAGAAGTATATGTTCATCTTTTAGTTAAATACCCTGTTAGAAGAGATTGAAACTGGTGACTGGACATTCAAGTCAACAAAAAATAATACTTGGGAAACAAATTGCTGTTTTTTTCTTCATAAAATTTCTTTTCTTTTTATATAAATAAATTAGACTATAATAGAATTCTACACAAAATTAACTGGAAGGCTTTTACCAAAATTCATACTTCTGTTAATATTTGACATTTTATAGTTCTAGAATTTATTTTTAAATTACAATATGACAGCAAGATTTTAATCTGTGTTGTACCTAAGTTCCAGTCGATTCAAAATAGGAATGGTTCCCTGTGAATATTATTTGGGACTTAGCTCACCTTCATTCAGTTTTATAATTTATCTTTTAAAACAGACTCAGTGAAAGTTATTATGGTCACTCTTTAGGAAGAGAGATTTTTTTTTTTTTTTTCCTGATTGCACCGAATTAGTGAACACTAGCTAGTTCTTCAAGTTAGGCTCTCAGTTATTCTCTTGTTTGACCTTTGTCTGTAACATTTGGTTTGAGTTGTGTTCTTCTCTTTGACTTTAAGATTCAACTACTGGCAGAAGCCTTAATCTTTCTATTGAGCTGTTTCATCTCCTTGAATAGGGCATAAACCTATTCATCAACCTATCTTTCATATGGGCACGCTGTTCTGGAATACTATTAAGATTGACTGCATAGTGGCAGGGTGCATTCTATTTAAAAAGCAATGTAATATGCTTCAATGTGATTAAGAACAAGGGTGTTACAAGTGCAATATATAGAAAAATCATAACATTCAAGAGCTTTTTACATAACGTGCTATGCCTAATGTGCAAACAGTTGATTTAATTTTCTATTTTACCATTTTAAAGGCATGATATTTCTCATAAATGCTGCCAGGTATGTTCTGTTGTTTCATTTCTTAATACTGGAGTTCATATGCCACTCTAACTAAATTATACCAAGTTCCTGAGGAATCAAATTGCTGGTTTGATTTATACATGTAAAACAGGGTTTTACTTGACACATTTAAGGTGACTCCCAAGTAAGAATGGAAACAATGAAAATCTAATTTATTTTTTATTGCACGGGGGCAATATTTAGTATTCCTTTATATTTAGTATTTCCTGTTTTATTTAGTATTCCTTTATTTAATGGTCTAATAAAAAATATAGTTGTTCTCTCTTTAAGAAAAATGGCTTTACCAAATATATTTAAAACAATTCAAGTGTGATTTTAAATCCCTTCGTTTTTGTTGTTTGTTTGCTTGTTTTGTCTCAGTTTCCTGATCGTGTTAACAGCAGATGTGGTGTTTAGCTGATAAATGTTTTATGCTTAAACAAAGATAATGAAAAAATGCATTTGCTTTCAAGTTAGAGTAGAAGTAACATATATGACGTCGGTCCTTTGAATGTTAGGATTTTAGATGTGGAAGCAGCCTCTGAAATGGAAGCTGGCTTCTTATGTGACAGAGGAGGGCTAGAGTAAGTGGTTAAAGGACAAATGGCTAGTTTGTGATAGAAATGGAGCCAGAACCAGGTCCCCTGATTCCCCATTAATTTTTCTTTTACTGCATCACAGGACTCAAACTCAGATTACATTTCCATTTTCTACTCATTTGTTTATTGCAGTATTTCAGTGTTCCTGCTTTAGTACATAACCTCGGAAGCCTTACTTAAAGCTTTTTCACAATATGTGCTCACTTGGGCTTCACGAGTTTCTAGGTGGGCTGATTAGTGTGGCCTCACTGCTAATAGTACCTTTAGTGGTGGATTGAGCTAAAAGAACTCCAAGTGAGGAACATTTTCTTTTTTCACATATCCCTGTCAAGGAGCTATGACAGCAAAAATAAAAACAAATTTAGGAATATTTAATTATACTGATGGCAAATATATGTATTTCACTGTTTGGGGGAAGAAGTCCAAAAAATTCTCTAATATTTATGGCTTGCATTTGACTACTATTAGATAACTGAGTGATTTCTAGTTTTCAGAAAGTGTTTTAAAAGTTAAGGGACTATCTCATGCTTTCTAGCATGGATAACCTCTTACAGTTTATAGGAGCTATATGAAGTAGGCAATAGCATTAGCTTCACTTTGTAAATGAGGGAACTGAACATAATATGTCCAAGATGGGATCTGAACCTAAGGATCTTTCTCAAAGGCTCTGGCTCTCGACCACTAAACTTCTCTGTCTCCACGTTATACATACCTGCCTCTTCCGCAAAATGCTGCCTGTTGCTAAATTAAAGTTTTCAATGAGCCCTTGATTTAAGTGAGGAAAACACCTGCCAATTATTACAGTAAGCTTCAGCAGCATACATGATAATTCCTACTTTTGTATTTGAGGTACAGTCATAATTTCTGACAGCATCTTAACCTTCAGCCTCCTTTTTCCTCCTCTTTCTTCGTATTTAGTCTTCATTTTCTGTATTCTCTGTTCTCTTTGTTTATTTGGGGCAATAGGCAATATGCTTTGCGCATTATTTGGTTACCTTTGCTTCTATTCTCAAAATAGCGATTTTTTATTACTCCTAAATAAGATTAAATCTGCTCATCGACTTTTATTTTTTATTTTGTTATTTTATTTTTTGAGATGGAGTGCCACTCTGTCGCCAGGCTGGAGTGCAATGGCATGATCTCGGCTCACAGCAGCCTCCGCCTCCCGAGTTCAAGCGATTCTCCTGCGTCAGCCTCCTGAGTAGCTGGGACTACAGGCGCGTGCCACCACACCCAGCTAATTTTTGTATTTTTAGTAGAGACGGGGTTTCACCATGTTGGCCAGGATGTTCTCCTTCTCTTGACCTCGTGATCCACCTACCTCAGCCTCCCAAAGTGCTGGGATTACAGGCATGAGTCACTGAGCCTGGCCTGAACTTTTAAAATCTTAAGCAGGGCATGGTGGTGCAGCCTGTAGTCCCAGCTAGTTGATAGGCTGAGGCGAGAGGATCACTTGACGCCAGGAGTTCAAGTCCAACCTAGACAACATAGTGAGAGCTTGTCTCAATTGAAAAAAAAAAACTCTTTGCCAATATCCGGTTCTCTCTCTCTTTTTGTTTTTTAACCTCCCTCTTATTTTCATAGTGTCTCTAGTTTGAAAAGAACTGTTAAGAAATACCTAATTCAGTTGCTCTACTGTGGAATGTTTCATATATACTCTAGCTTGTATTATAACCTACTTATACCAAGCTTTTCTAGAATCATTACTGCTCATTAGAATTTTATTTTCTTCTTCCTTTTGACAGTCATACCTGCTTCCTTTAAAACAAACTAATATTAAGCCCCAGTGACTGACTCTGTCTCTGCTTCTCCCTGGTTTGTTCCCTAAGCATTTCAGTTTGTGAGCAACCTCCTATAACACTGACTACTAGTAGTTTTTATGTTTGTTTTGATTTCTCTTTCATTTATGTTTGTGCTCTTATATTTGTCCCCCTACTTAGTAATTCCTGCAATTCAGAGACCATGAGAGATACTATGCAATTAGTACCACATTTGATAATCAGAAGGTATTTTGTAAAAGTTGACCTGCAGAGTTGAATAAAAGCTGTTCTTTATCCTGTTATCTATTTAGCCCAAAGACATGCCAGAGTTACAAACCTGAGAGATCTGTGTGTTTCTCACTTCTATAGTCAGGGTAGGGAGAAAACAGTAAACTGATACTATGTTTGATAGGAGCAAGCAAAAAAACCCCATACTCTGTAAAAGTAGGTTTACTTAAATGATATAGCTAAAACTTCATAATGTAAATGCGTTTGAACAGTGGTTTCAGATTTTGTTTTAGCCATGGCTTTTTTTCACATAATGTTAAGGGGACACTAACACTGTGCAGGTTAAGTCTCCCTAACTTGAAAATCGGAAATCCAAAATGGCTCAAAAATCTGAAACTTTTGAATGCCAATATGACACTCAAAGGAAATAATCACTGGAGCATTTTGGATTGGGATTTTTGGATTTAAAATCTGAACCTTAAGTATAGGCAAATATTCCAAAATCCTAAAAAATCTAAAATCCAAAATCAACCTCTGATCCCAAGCATTTTGGATAGGAGATATTCAACCTGTATCTAAAACTAGGATGAGTCCTTCCACTGTTCAGTTTTTCATTGTTTGGGACAAATACCCTTTTTGTAGAATCACTTAAACAGCTTGCAAGGATGTAGGGTTTCCTGGAACACAGTTTGGAAATCCTTGCTTGAGAAAAGTGGAGAAACTGGATTTTCCCTGGTTTCTTGAAGAAGATTGAAAGATTGTCAGCCTAAACAGAAACTGTACTCCTATATGTACCCTGTATAAACTGTCGTCATCATATTAACATCACCCTCATTCAGTCTTTGTTTTTAATGTTTAATGGAGTTTAAATCAATTAGGATATTTAGGATAGGCTACCACTATGCCAAATGCCATGCAGGGGGGAAAAAGAAGTAGAGCTCACAAGATGCTGAAAAGAAATCTTGTTCTTAATCCTTCCTCTGAAGTTAGGACAATTTTGGATCCTGTCCTGGAAAAGGGAATAAAGCAAAAATTAATATTGAGCCATCACGTTTTGGTGTTTCTGTCGAGTTAGGTTCTGATGGTCTCCTAGGCTATTTTTTAAAACTCAGAAATGGGTTTTAATTTTGATTTATTATATTTGATTATTTTATAACACATTGCCATTTCTATCACCCTATGCAATTGATAACTGTTGTGTGTAACACAATTTTGTTGTCCTCTGCATTTGGAGAAAAAGGGTCAGAATAAAAAATGAAATTTCATGTTAGGTAAGAGAATATGGGTGTAGCGTATTTAAAAGTAACTCTCATACAGTGCATTTATTAAAAGAACAACACCCATCTATTTCAGTTGAAAATTATCCTTTTAAGGTGAATATACGTTTGAGAAAATTAGAACTACTGTATATTAATAATTTGAACATTATCTCTTTTTGTACTTTTCCCCTTTCTCTCCTGAACCATGTAATTTTTTTCCTGCAACACTATTTCCCTCCCTTGTGTAGATAGCTTTTCACCTGTTATCTTTCCTTTTCTTAAATTGCACTCAAAATCTGCTGCTTTTTTATGCTTTGGTATTCCTTAGTCCACATTCATTGTGTTTAGGAACTCTGAAATTTCAAGGGACAGATTGAAAAAGAAAAAATAGGTTATATAAATTCCCAAGAATTATGTCTACTTATAAAATCTTTATAATGTAGAGTCATTATAAGCTCTTGGGGGTTTATAGCTTTAGGAGAATTTAAGATATGAGAAACGAGATTATCATGAAATTATAAGAGCCAGACCTGTGTGGGTTATTACATGGTGAATTCATGGAAGAGAAGCCCAAGTAGGAAATGTTTAGGAAGGAAGAAATGGCTTTCACCTCAGTTATACAGGAAGAAATCAGGTAAGGGGCTAAGTAGTGCTGGAGGTGAATATAAGGACAGGCTTTAGATTGTTTGCACATCTTCCTCTGTAACCAATATAAATGTCATTTTTTCCTGCCAGGCCAACACATACCCTCCCCGCTTTTTTTCTTTCTTTCAGGTCTCAACTTAAATGCCACTTCCTTAAAGAGGGACTATGATTCTAAAATAAAAAAGAGCTCCTATTCTTTAAGTCTGTTTTATTATCATAACACTTTTATTATTCTATACTGTTATTTTTATGTAGCACTTGTCACTCAGTACTTTCTCAGTATTTTATATATGCATGTTGTCTTTCTCTCCACTTCCTCCCTTTGTCTCCCAACAGTGGATATAAGTTTATTAAGTGCAGGGGACCTGTCAATTACGTTTATTGCTCTATCCACAGTCCCTAGAATAGAACTTGTACTTAGCAGGCAACGGTCTCTGGTTAGACTGAGCAGGACTCGTCTTATCTTTGTAGCCTTAAGATTTTGTAGTGCTTGTTGAATTTAATTAATTTGGCTATTATTATTGAGAAGAAATGCGTTAATATTAATGAAAAGTATAATTTTATAAATTAACACATTAAAATTCTTTTTTTTTTTCTAAATAAAAAACAGTTCCAGTTTTAGCAATGGCTCGGCCAGAAGTAGTACATGGAAGCCTGGGTAAAATTTTGATGCCAGAGGGCTGTCCCAAGGTTTGTTTTTTCTGCTACCTACAGAAATCAAAAGGCGATTGTTTTAGGAAGTGATACTCTTCAATGGTTTTTTATATATTTTATTTTAAAAAGCCACCAAGAAGAACTGGGGTTTCAGATGACCAACTTTTATGATGTAGTAGTACACACTGAAATGAAAATGTTCCCACCAAATATGGGAACAGTTCTTAGTTACTTTCCTAGAAGATCATTTTCTGTGTAGCTAGTGTTGCTTTTCCAGATGGACTTTCTGAAATATGAATATTTTGCCCAAGGTTTAACTTTAAGAAAATGATAATAATTCTTGGAATACAAGTCTCAAGATTTTTCCATTTGTATTATTTTCAATAAAAAATTAGGTCTGTTTCTAGGTTGAACCTTCTCTGAAGATACAGTTTTTCTATTTCCCATCATATTAGCCTGGACATCTGTGTCCACTAGGCTAATCATTTGAAACAATTCTGTATACTGAGTTACATTGAAGGAACTTGGGGGAAGTTGCTAGGAGAAGCACTATCAATTTTAGTGAAAGATGTAAGCCTGAGAAATTATATTTAGTATTTCCTAGCAATTAATAATATTACCTAGTTTTGGGAAACTTCTGAATTTTGCTGGCTTATTTGTTATACGTTCCTTGAAGAAATGATTGTGAAAGCAGTCCTGTTTTAACATAGCTGTTATATTCCCTCAAGATGAAATGTATTGACTTAACCTCAGCTACATGGGCTTTGCTAACTCTAATGACTAAACTCCTTAGAAAGCTGAAAATGTTGTGCGTATGTTAAAGAAAATTTCTCCTCCCCCCCACCCCCTTGAAAGAGAAGCCAGGGATATACTGAATACATAAGTAAACATTCCAAGTTACTAACAAGTGAAGTAATTTTTATGTATCATCATTAAGATTTTTGCAATATAGCCAATTTGGAGTCTCAAATTCTTATTCCAAATCTAGGGGTTCTCTGTAACATTTCAAATTCAATAATCCCTCCTTTACGAGTGCAATCCATTTTTCCCCTCATGGACTTTTGACATGAATTTCTGAGTGTGTGTAGCATGACGTTCTCTATACAAATGTAAACTTTATTTGTATTGTCTGTTGTTTCATTGTTTTCAGTGTTTCTGCTTATACCGACTGTCTCATTATATTGAATTTTACTCTCCTGATGCCTTTGTTCACACTTTCTGCTTGCTGCCCAGGCCTTGTATACTTTATCCTCAACTGTCAGTCTTACTCTATCCCTTCTTTTAAAACTCATGCTAAAGTTATGTTTCACAAATTTACTCAATTTCATAAATGATGGTCTGGGATAAGGAACGAGAGGAGGTGTGGGAAACAGCATTAGCTTTTGGAAAGCTCTGAATTAAGTAGGGATGAGGATGGGACTTGATGGTAGCAGATGTATTAGGATTAGCTAATATGATGCAATGAGAAAAAGGTAGAAGAGAGAAATGACCATTTTTTGTTTTGAGTATTGGCAGAAGGCTCTCCAGAGGTGGTGCTATTGAGTCAGGCCTTGAGTGGTGAGTCCAGAGGAGGTGGACAGGTGGTCTGCATCTTCTCCGCTAACTGTATCTAGTTTGTGTCTTTAAAACTTTATGAACGTTAATTAGACAGTTATATTGGGTGGCTACAGTTCCTTATTGTATAGGAAGCAATTAGGTTTTTAGAATTGCATTTGAATTTTTTAAAAGATCCAAAAGGTGAGAACAACTCAACATACAACTCAATGTATTTGTTGATGTTATCTTTAATTCTTGTTCAAGGAAATGGAGGAAATAAAACACAAAAGAGGGAAAACTTTTTAAAATTTTGTTCTTTAGGAATAATCTGTTTTGAAGTGGGATGAATAAAATCAATGGTGAATCTTTTTGTGTGTGCTTTTAAAAATAAAAACAAAACTCAACTGTTGATTTTTGTTTTCAAAATGTCTTGACTGTAAAGCCTTGTAGTGGTAGGTGCGGTAAGCTACCCTCTGATGCTCAGACTTTCAGACGCTGGCTCTAGACTTCCAGATGCTTGTGCAGAACAGTTTGGGTGCGGAGAGATGGGCTGAACAGGATCTTGTTTGCCCCATTCCTGGAGGCTCTGATGTGGTAGAAGTGAAGCAGGAAGTGAGGGAGTCCAAAATACTAAAGCTGGAAGGGACATTTGGCACAAAGCAGTAGTAATAACCAGTCTATATATAGAGAGAGTTTGATGTGTTTCCTTCCTGAAGGGCTCTCTGCACAGTAAATAAAGTAAAGCCAATAATTATCAATGGGCAACTGGGCCATGTTCTTAACAAAAGTATTCAGATGGCCATAAATCATAGCATCAAAACAAATAGGGTAAAGGGATGCTCTGGAGAGGAATCTACCAGCTGTTTTCCTGAGGTTTCGGGAAAAAACTGTTGCCTAATAATACTTCTAAAGTTTAAATGAAGGTCTTATGGAGTTGGCAGCGTTTTTTCTTTTGGTGCTAAAAAAATAGTTCCTATTAATTACATTTATTTATTGAATATATATAAGTAATTTATTATATAAGCACAAATATATTTATTCATTTACAGAGCATTTATTTCTCTGTACCAAGCATAGCTCTTCGTCAAATCTTTTACTTCTAAACGAGAATATTAAAATTTTCAGTAAGGACTTTTAATAAGTAAGGGTTTGACTTATTTCTAACTAATTAAAAGTCCTTGCTTATTGCAAATTTGCCAGATCATTTTCTTTTCCCCCTTTCCATGTGTTTTTCTTCCTTGTGTACATGTTTTCCAACTAAAAATTAAATAGGTTATTGGTCAATGTATGGTTAGCATCATACTACATATTATATATTTGAATCTATATTGTGTCTGTTATTTTGAAAAGACATTTCAGGGAAAAATGCAATTAAACCCAATTACACTTCTTTTTAAACAAACAAAAACTTTGGTCTGTTTCTCTCAGGCATGAATTTTCATTATAGTATCCTAATAGACCTTACATGGTACATGGGATTAATTAGACAAAGAGAGTTTTGAAAACCTCTCCCAATTAGAGTCTTGGAGTACATGGGTAGTAATGTGTGGATGGAGAGGAGAAGGGGAGCGGTTATTTACGGCTGTTGAATATTAGTTTCAAAATGGCCTTAGAGATCTTCTGGCCCAGTTGATTAACTCAATTGCTTAACATGTGGTGCTCTCAGAACTAGGACCAGTTCCACAGTACTCAAGAAAAATTTCCTCTGTGGCAACACTTTTCTATCACCTGTGCCAATTTTTTAAAAGCTTTAAAAGTTTATGTTGATTGTAGCGAGTTTGGAGAAGAATTTGATGGGTTACTGTCAACTCACCACTTCTTTTGGAAAAACAACTTCTTTGGCAGTGGTAAATCAGTGAAGGGTAGCATGAGTCTTTTAAAAGTTAAATTTGACAAACATTTGTTGGGTACATATTATTTGGCTCAATGGTAGTGTCAGGCCTTGCAAAGATGAATAATTATTGTGGTTGCTGACTTTGAAGGGGGTCTGTCTAGTGGAGGAGTCTGAGAGGGAAATGACTTACCTTCTGACCTGTTCATTGCAACAAGATTATGGAAGAGAGCCAAGGGAGATGTTCTGAAAGAGCTAACATCTGGGCTGGATATTTACAGATGAAAAAAGCTTTTAATGATTTTGCCTGAATTAATATGTGAGAATGCATATGCATATAATAGAACATGAGAATTTAAAAAGTAAATGTTAATTATCCCATTTTATTGTCACCTAAAGATTTTAATGGCTTTCTAAAGGTGAATATTCATTCAGTAGCTTCTGAAACTTGGCCTTTTATGACATAGAGCTTAAGGATGATCTGATTCTTGAACAATCAAGAGGAAGAATTAGTTTCAGGGTTTAGAATGCTTAGCTATCATAAACTTGATGCAGTGAGAGAAGAGACTCTCAATGAAGAAGTGTTGCAAGTGACAGAAGGTGATCCCTCCCAAACATGGTTCTACTTGTTTAAAAAAGAATTGCTTTATATCTAATGTAGTATCCCTACTGGCTAAAATGTTTCTAAGTTTTAACCTCTGTTTCTTTTGAACTAAGAAACTCATACTAATTCTGATCATAAAATACCCAAATAAATAAACAACTTCCCCTAATTTGACTTTCTTCAGATTAGAACTGTAAGTTTTTTATTTACATGGCTACTGATTTTCTAGCCTGTTTATTGTGTGTAAAAAGTTCCTGTTGTTTGCTTCTAATTAAGAACTCAGGGGTTTACAGACATTGTTCATTGTTATTGATGAAATTGTTGCATTTAAAAATAATTATATGAATTGGTAAACAGTTTCTTATAAAATCACACTTCTATACAATATTAGTACGTAGCAAGTCATTTCCTTTAAAGGGTGGGGAAAAAAAAATCCAAAGATATTCAACGATAAGATGTGCTCATTAACAGCTGTTTCTGTTAATAGGAGCAATTTGCATTCAGAATAGAGAAAATGAATTATACTAAAGGGTATATAGAGGATCAGGTATAACTTCTCTGGCATGTGCAGCAGCCCACAAAATAAACTACCTTCCAATGACATTGGCATGATTAATCCCAAGCAACCTGACACTGAAATTGCTGTTCTGAAAAGGGGCTTTGCAGCCTGGAAGTGTCATAAGCGTAACACTAGCCTTCTTGCTAAGGTGGGGTGGGGGCTGCTCAATGCGTTTAGTGAGACTCTCTCACTTGTCTCCAGTGTTCACAATATTTGAATATTCATGATCGGTTGACAGGTGGTCAGTGAATGCAAGACTGAAGCCACTCTGGATCTTTTCACGTTTTCGTTTTTCTATTAGAGAAACTTATAAGGTCATGTGAGATGTCTCATTCTTGATTTACTTCTTCGGATGTCAGTTTGGGGCAATTTTCCTAAGGTGGGCTTCAGTTTACCTTTTTGTAACCATATTTCTGCTTGTGGAATGTCTAACCAATTTCCAGGTACATTATCAACATCATTTCTGTAATAAAAATGCCTCGCGCTTCTGTTTCCTTACATATAGTCTCCTTGTATGTCGATGGCTGTGCCTTCAGTTGTGTAGATGGTGTTTCCTCTTCTTTAAAGGGAGAGAAAATGTAGGCTGTCTAGAGAATATTCAATCCAGGGCTGTGGACCTGAGTCTTCTGACCCAAATCTAGGGCTCTTGCTTGCTGCATCCTGTTTATTTTCATCCAAAAGGCTACATGGCAATTGGGTGTTTTATGTTTAGATTTCCTCCCTGGCTTCAGTCACTTACTGAGAACTTATGCGCCAGGCCCTGTGCTGCATCTTTTACACACATCACTGTGCTTACCCATTCAGGATGCTTTAACAAAGTACCATCCACTGGATGGCTTATAAACAACACAAATGGATTTCTCACAGTTCTGGAGACTGAAAGTCCCAGATCAGAGTGCCAGCATGGTGGGATTCTGGTGGGGGCCCTCCTCAGAGTTGCAGACTGCTATCTTCTCACCATGTCCTCACATAGAGGAAGGGGCAAGAGAGCTCTCTAGGGTGCTAATCCCATTCATGAGGTTTCCACCTTCATGACCTAATCACCTTCAAAAGTTCCTACCTCCTGATAGGATTTCAGTTTACGAGGTTTAGGGGAATACAAACATTCAGTTCGTAACGGTCACCTTGTTTAGTCTTCAGATTGTCTAGAAGAGGAACCCAGAGATCTAAGATGAAATAATTTTGCAGAGGTAGCTCGCCTAGTCTGAGGAGGATCATGGATTGGTACCCAAGTATTCTGGGCTGCTGTCGCCTGAGCCCTTGACACTCTATCTTCTTGAGGTGAATGTGCTTCCTGTCCTTGAGAAGTGAAAGGAAATTAGCAGACAAGATCCTTCAAAATATGGTCATAAGGAACTCTGTTCAGTGTCAAGGTACTGATTCAGGCAGTTAACTTTTTGGGAGGATAAAAGGAAAAGAGATGGTAATGCTTTGTGGTCTAGAAAGATCTTGTGAAGAAAGTAGAATTTGAACTTGCAGAGGATACTAAGAGTAGCTTCAAGGTGTGGTGGAAGGGATAGAAGGAGGACCAGGCACTGGTGGGAAATGCTGGGCACATTTGGGGGAAATGCATTGGAATGAAGCAGAGGGGTTTTGGTAGGTGACAAAAGGACAGGTAAACTGGGGCTGCTGAAGAGGACTCAGGGCATCAGTGTGTGTGGCCTTGATATTTGGCATGTACATGTTTACTTTGTGATACCACCAAAATGCAGTCTTAACTAGAATGGTTTCAGTTGGCTTGTGACTGATTTTCGTTTAATTGAAATTTTAGTGGAATGAAATCCTGTTTGGCTTCTTAGGGTCTCTCATTCCCCAAGAGCTTGCCTAATAGTCTTGCTTCCTTTTAACTCCATGAGAAATAAAAGCCTTATTGTTTCTTATGTATTCTTATGATGTGATTAGATCTTAAGTGTTTACATGTATATTGGTATTTTAGTAAACATTCCTTTTGGGTGGGTGAAGGAGGGAGGTTATGCATCATTGAGAAACTCTGGGTTTGGGATTTTCTAAGGAAAGAGGATGGCATAGAAGTCAGGACATCTCTAGGCCAGGCATGGTGGGTCATGCCTGTAATCCCTACACTTTGGGAGGCTGAGGCGGACAGATCACCTGAGGTCGGGAGTTCAAGACCAGCATGACCAACATGGAGAAACCCCATCTCTACTAAAAATACAAAATTAGCCTGGTGTGGTGACGCATGCCTGTAATCCCAGCTAACTCGGGAGGCTGAGGCAGGAGAATTGCTTGAACCAGGGAGGCGGAGGTTGTGGTGAGCCAAGATCACACCATTGCACTCCAGCCTGGGCAACAAGAGTGAAACTCCGTCTCAAAAAAAAAAAAAAAAAAAAAAAAAAAGATGTCCTTGTCAGGACATCTCAGACAAGTCAGAAGTTAAGGTGGGGAGTGATTTGCATCAAAGACTAGATGCAGATAATACTCTTGTTAGGAAGCTTACAGTTCTTTTCAAACTTTGGGTCATAGGGAGCAATCATCAGTTTCCCTAAAGCTTTTGGGCAGGGTAATAACAAGTGAAGTTCACTCATTAATAATCATGGTTGACTGTGATGAGCTATTCTCCACCAAGATTTGAATAAATGACTTACATATCTGCTTTACATAAGAGCAATTATTGTTATAGTTTCTGGAGAAGAAATAAAGGATAGATCGGAGACTCAACTGGGAGTTTGGCAAGGGGCTATGAAAATTGCGTGTGATCTAGATGGTAGAATGGGATTTTTTTTTTTAAAAGAAGAATGTCTTTTTGTCTATTATTCTCATCTTACCTATTTTCTTTTTTAATGTTGCAGTGTGCAAAGATCCACCTTACAAAGTAGAAGAATCTGGGTATGCTGGTTTCATTTTGCCAATTGAAGTTTATTTTAAAAACAAGGTATGTAATCTTTACCCATTAATCTTTCAGTAGACGATCCACCATTAGCCAAATGATGTTTAAAATAATTTTGACTCATAAGCACTTCTGTCACTAGATGATTTTAAAATAAAAGTTAAATTTGTCTTCTAGGAATTTTGGCTATCATTACCCTTAATTATCAAGGAAGTGGCTAGAAGAAGATAATTTTAATTATATGAAGTCAGATTATGTGAAATTCATTAAGTGTTCCTTTAAAGAGAGGAGTGATTACCATTTTGGAAAAGATAAATATGTTTGTAAAATAGAAAAGAAGAATTATAGTTTTTCAGTAAAATGCTTCTTTTCTCATTTTCATGTCTGTAGAATTTTTTTGAGGCTTGCAAAGAATACTCTCATTTTATCTTTAGCTGGTACCCACACCATACATGTATATAGTTATTTCAACTTCAGATATATGGATTTTACTGGATTTAAAAGTTTTCAGGCCTGGCGCGGTGGCTCACACCTGTAATCCCAGCACTTTGGGAGGCCGAGGCGGGCGGATCACTTGAGGTCAGGAGTTCGAGACCAGCCTGGCCAACATGGTGAAACCTCGTCTCTACTAAAAATACAAAAATTAGCCGAGTATGGTGGTGGATGCCTGTAATTACAGCTACATAGGAGGCTGAGGCAAGAGAATCACTTGAACCTGGGAGACGGAGATGGCAGTGAGCCGAGATCGCACTACTGCATTCCAGCCTGGGTGACAGAGTGAGGCTCCATTATTTTTCTCAAAAAAAAAAAAAAAAAAAAAAGTTTTTAGCAGTACATATGTGGCATAACACACAGACTGTATAATACCAGACAAATTGGTCAACCTCTGTGGGGCTTACTTTCCTTATTTATGAAATGAGGAGATAAGAGTACTTACCTCATAAGGTGGTTAGTAGGATTAGATAAAATAAACTTATGCAAAGTACTTAGAATAGTAACTTATAGATAAGCACTTCAAAATGCTAATTATTATATCATATTCCTTATTTTTCCTCCAGAGATATCATAATTTCTAAAACCTGCTGAAAAGTCAGGTAATTGGCTTTTTTTTTCTTTTAAGGAACTACGCAAATAGAATGTCATGTTATCCAAACCAGTGCTCAGTAAAATATGGTTCTTTGGATAGCATTAGCATTACCCTAAGGGCAGGTTAGAAATGAGATTCTCAAATTCTACCCAGATGTATCAAATCAGAATCTCTGGAGGCAGGGCCTAGGAATCTGCATATTTGCTAGTCCTTCTGATGCTCAGTAAGTAAGAGAACCACTGATAAGCCACTCCTTAATGTGCAATCCCTTCCACTGGAACAGTGTCACACTGGCCTTTTTAACTTATAGCAGTCTCAGTCCTCAATTCAGCAGTTAGAAAGTGTTAAAACCAGATTCGTGATCTAGGTCTTTCTCTCCATTGGCTATGCTCCTAATTTCTGTGCCTTCTAGCAACAACTCTTTGCTAGAATAATGATTATCTTTCTTAGTGGTGATACCACTGAATCGTTGACATATTTGTCATCAAATCAAATTTGTCGAGATGTATTTATGTCTGTTGACGTGATATACTTTCATATTGAAGTGCTCATTTTTCTCATTTCAAGTTCAATTTCCCTTAAGAAAATGGTTTTTGGCTTTCTTTTATTTCTTCTGTTTTTCCTTCACTACCAATTTCTCCAATACTTGTTACTTGTTATTTTCTATTATAGTCATCCTAGTAGATGTGAAGTATACCTCATTTTGGTTTTATGTGCATTTCTTTGATGATTTATGAGTTTGAACATCTTTTCATGTGCTCGTTGTTCATTTGTATTTTTTTTGGAGAAGTGACTGTTCATATCTCATTTTGCTCACTTTTCAGTGTATTTTTAATTTAAGTGGTATGTTTGTGGGAAGGAATTTAGAGCCTGTCTCTATCTCCCATATTCCCCACTACCCTTTTAATATCTTAGAAGTTTAAGTGATGAAGATCATATGGTGCTTTTCTTCCCTCTTGTCACATCCTCATAGCCAGTGTTTTAATTTCATCTAGGGATCGGGCTACACCATAGGAATAATCTAGCCCTTCAAGCCAGCAAAGTTCTTAACTCAAAGAAATTAAAGAATAGGCAATTATGATCTCTTATGAGAAGACCATAATGGTTATGATTATATCACTGTCTTCCCACCAGCAAAGTTAGTTTGACATTGCATTGACTTCAGTTTTGAAATAATGATGCAATGAAGTATCTTCTCTCTTTTCTTGTTTTTAACTCTTCTGGTCATTTGTACAAGCTCGGAGTTGAACAGAGGAATCTGTTTTATGAATTGCTCAGTTTCCTGCTTTACAAAAATAACTGGAATTTCCCCATATGCCAGATTTAAGAAGAAAACAAGTAAAGGATGAAGAGGCAGCAAGTATCACTCCCTACCATACGCGCACGCACACACACGCATGCGTGTGCACACACACACACACACACACACTTCAGTCTTCTTGAAATTCATGGAACAGAGTAAAAGCAAGATATAATGAAGGCACATTGGGTAGTCATTATGACTGTAAAACATATATTCATTTTGTGAGGGATTTTATTTTCTTAAAATATAAAGGAAGAAAGCAGCATATGAGATGAAAAACATCTCTTCCTTTGTGGCCATTATAAAATAGACACATTTGGAACATCGTAGATTTTCTGTTTAGTATATAGATTAGCTTATTTCTATTTTCTAGTTTTAGGCTTTCTTTAAAATTTCATACATAATAATGATTGCTGTTTTCACATGTACACAATAATACATATATATTTCAGTGTTTGTAATATAGAAAAGTAGGATACACCTAATTGGCCCTATGTAGAGATGTGGATTAATAAATGGTAATTATGTAATCCATAGAATTCTGTACAGTACTTAATGTGGCAACATGAGTAAATCTCAAAAAATGATGACTTAAAAGTTGCAGAAATATATGTGCATGGTTATATCATTTGTGTATTTTTTAAAGAAATTATTGAAATGAGTAATGGTGTTCTGGAGAGGTATGTATTTAGTATAAGAGCATATGTTGGAATGACAACACAGGAACTTAAGGGCATTAGTTACTGGAGGAGAGGAATGAAGAAGCTTACATATATAAAGTTGGTTTTGTTTTGTTTTGGTGGGGTTTCACTCTGTCACCCAGGCTGGAGTACAGTGGCGCAGTCTCAGCTCACTGCAGCCTCCACTTCCTGAGATCAAGTGATCCTTCCACCTCAGCTTCCCAAGTAGCTGGGACCACAGGCATGCACCACCACGGACCCGGCTAATTTTTGTAATTTTTGTAGAGACAGGGTTTCACCATGTTGCCCAGGATGATTTCGAGCTCCTGGGCTCAAGTGATCTGCCCACCTCTGCCTCCCAAAGTGCTAGGATTACAGGTGTGAGCCACCCCAACTGGCCAAATTTTATTTCTTTAAAAGATAAAGCATATCTCTGGAAGTGTTATCTGTTTAATCTCAGTAGAAGGCACATGGATATAGCATTTTTAAGTACTTTTCTATATGTTACTAATTTCTTAATTAAAAAAGGAATTATTGCTTTGCCACTTTTTTGTTTTCTTAGGATGTCTTAGAAACCAAATATTTGCTATAGTCTGATCTAGGTCTCTGAGCTAGGTATATTTGTTTCTTTATTTTTTCTAATTTAACTTGTAAGAGCACCTAATGTGAGATATAGTTTCTTAACAAATTTTAAGTGTATTAAGTGTACAATACCTTATTGTTGACTATAGTTGCAATGCACAGCAGATCTCTAGAGCTTATTCATCTTACTTAATTGAAACTTAATGCCTATTGATTGACAATTCATTTTCCTCTCTCCCCAGCCCATGGTAACCACCGTTCCAGTCTCTGATTTTATGAATTTAAAATCTTACATGATATCTGTTTTAGATATCTCATGTAAGTGGACTTAGACAGTACTCATCTTTCTGAGTCTGGCTTATTCCCCAAGGTCCAGCTGGATATATTTTTTATTTTTCATGTTACTGAAATGATCCATTGGTAAAAATTTAATAGGTCTAGGCTCTTGCTTCAGAGTGTTCATTTCTTTCTTTTGCGTATTTATTATTTTATTTATCCCTGGAGTTTATACAACTCTGTCTTGAAGAATAAACATCCATTATAGTAATGGCATATTAGTCCCTTCTCACATTGTTATTAATACCCGAGACTGGGTAATTTATAAAGGAAATAGGTTTAATTGACTCACAGTTCTGCATGGCTGGGAAGGCCTCAAGAAACTTACAGTCATAGCAGAAGGGGAAGCAAACACGTCTTTCTTCACAAGGTGGCAGGAGAGAAAAATGCAGGCAAAGTGGGGAAAAGCCCCTTATAAAACCATCAGATCTTGTGAGAACTCACTTACTATCATGAGAACAGCATGAGGGAACACCCCCATAATCTAATTACCTCCCAAGACACGTGGGGATTATGGGAACCACAATTCAAGATGAGATTTGGGTGGAGGCACAGCCAAACCATATCAAATGGTTTATGAAAAAGTGTTGTTCAGAGTTTTCACAGGAATGAGGGAAAGCAGAAAAAATAATTCCAGGTAATGATGGAAGAGTCTTAATTCCACGTATTAAAGATATCCTGTCCTTGGTCACATCCCCATCCTGTGTTTTTCCTGCTTCTCTAATGAGCTCGTCTTCAGTTCTGCTCATTTATTTGAGCTGTCAGGGTCAAGAGGGGTGGTAGAGTGTCAGTACTTCTCTTGAGTTTGTATATGTTAATGCTGTCTTATTTTGTATTTGTGCTCAACAAAACAACCCTATTTGTGAGAATTGTGTGTTTCAGAAACTCTAAACCAACAGGGACACTGAAACATAATCAATTTATGTTTGAAAGGATCGCAGGCTTCTTTCTTTCAGTCTGATCTCAGAAAAGAGAGAGTAAATGTCAAGTACTGAAGCTTCTGCAGAGTGAGAGAGGGTAACTTGATATTGCCAAAAACAAATTTCCACCTCTAGGAAATGTATTATTTATATATAGAGAGCAAGCACATGCTTTCTCATTTGAACTTTGAAGAAGAATGTTTTCTAAGGAGCACAGACTGACATAATGTCGATGTCTGCCTTCTAAGAGAAGATATTCAGTTGGCCAGAGCACAAGTTGATGAGTACTTTTTTCTTACTTAAAAAAAATCTTTAAAAAAATCATACTCAGGATTCAGAGAGTCATTTTCTGTGGTGCTTACCATTGGTTTTATTGAAAAGTGATGTTTTTTGTTCTGTTTTAGACTGTTGTAGACTATAAAGTGATGTTGATATTACCTCATTCTTTTTATGCTGGTAATTAATGTGTATTCTTCAATATGTTTTTCTCTTTAAGAAAGTGTATAGGAGTATATATTTTCCTAGTAAAAGTATATGGAATAGAACTTAGGAGTTTTAGTCTTTTGACTACATTTAATGATTGTTGACTATTTGGTACAGTCTTCCCAGATTTCCCTCCATGTATTTGCATAGATAAAATGTGTGTCAGCGTAGAGATTGGCAGGGGCATGATTTAATATTTTTCTGTGACTTGCCTTTAATTCAGTTAGCAATATGCCTTTCAAAGTCAGTATTTTTAAACACCTGAATGGTGTTATGTGGTAATGATGATCATTCTTAGTTTCTTGCTATTCTAAGCAATGCTACCATGAACATTTAATAGTATATTTTTGTACTTATATCTGAATATTTCTATGGAAGAGATTCTTAGAGGTAGAATTACTGGGTCAAACATTATATATATTTGGTATGTTGATAGATATTGCCAAGATGTCTACCAAAAAGGCTTTACCAGTTTATGCTCCCAGTTACATGGCAGAAAACTGCCCTCCTTTTAAAATTAATTCTAAAGTTACATCTTCTGTTTTATAACTTAGAGGATAGACAGATAAATAAAAAATCATAACTAAATGTGATAATTACATTAATAGAGGAATGCCATGAGGGACATCTAATTCAGATTATATTGGGAGAGTAAGAAAGACTTTCAGAGGAATTAATGCTTTAGCTGGGTCTTGAATAATGAGTTTGCATTAACTAGGCAATAGAGGGGAAGCTATGCTGGGAGGGAGGACATTTCAGGTGTGGGGAGCACTACTTGTGAAAGGCCAAATGAATGAGTTAATGTGAAGTATTGGGGAACTGCAGATGCTTCAAAGTTGTGGAAAAACAGTATAGTAAGAAATCAAAAGAAATATAGGAAAGGTAGTAAGAGACTGCAATGGTTATTCCAAGGAAGTGGGATTTTACTGCAGAAAATGATGAACCATTAAAGGCTTTTATATCAGTGGAAAGCTGTAATCTGATTTTTGTGTTAGAAAGATCACTCTCTGGTCACTGTGGGAAGTAGAATGAGGTAAGTTCAAAATCAGGGAGGACATCAAATGAAGAATGGTGGTGGTCTAAGCTAGGACAGTAGGCCTTAGAGGAAAGGATAGGTAGATCTGAAAGTTCATAAGGACGAATACTAAATAGAACTTAGAGAAAATTTGACTGTAGTGAGTGAGGAAGAAGTAACAGTTGGGAATGATTTTTGTGTAATTTAACCTTGGCAAGCAGTTAGAATTGCTGTATTCCAAGATAACAGAGGATAGGACAAAAGACACATATGAAGGTAACTTTAGTTTAACATAATGCATGAATTGGATGCTGCCGTAAGTCAACCTGTGGACACATGTATATGGCAGTCAGTGAGAGCTGGGTTGGAGATACACTTGGGGGAGTCACTGTCACACAGGTGGAACTGACTCCTTGTGAATGGGTGTCATCTCCTTGGGAAACTTTGCAGAAAGGTAAAGGACATTTAAGGTCAGTGAAGAAAGAGAAGAAAGTCCTTGAAGAAGATTGAGAAGGAATAGCCAGTAAACTATGAGGAAAACCAGGAGAGAATGGCATCCTGATAAGAGAGAGGAAAAGTAGATTTCATGTCAGATTGTAGTGGAAGTGAAGGGGTACTGAGGAAATGAGTGGAGATTATGATTTGGGAAGTTTGGTGAGGAGGTGGAAACCATGAATTTTGAGTAGTTAATTCCTATATTCGGAGAGTTTCAGGTGCAAAGACCCTTGAGTCAAAAGAAATGGATTCAAATTATTTTGTTTCATCATTTATTAGTAATATAACAATAAAACAAGGCTCACACCTGCCCCAAAGAGAGCAGCGAGAATTAAATGAGATGTCATTATTATCTTGAGTCTGTATTTTCACCTTGCGTGGCTAAAGATCAATGTGTAGAGAGGGATAAATGTTCAGTCAACTTAAGTAACAGCTTGAGAGTTGAACCTGGGTATCGGAAATTCTAATTATTGTATTCTTTTGCATAGGATGCTATTTTGTCCTAGTTATTTATTCAGAAAAATTCCATTCTTATTAATCTCACAGATACTCACTGCATTTCTACTGTGTATAGGCATAAACTAGTCTTTGAGGGCACAATGATGATTCAAACATTGATCCTACTTTCAACAGTCTTCTGATCCAGCAGGGTAAATGGTGATAATAAGAAGGCAATTATTCTAAGACGTGGCAAGGGTGAGAGAAAGATGCATACATAGTAGAGGAGAGGCAGTGGGGAGTCGGGAGTTAAGGGGAGGTTTTCCAAAAGTGAAATCTTGAGTTAGGAATGGTGAGAAGTTATCTAGGTAAAGCAGTAGGTAGAGAAATGGAGGTAGGCAGTGAAGGTAGTAATGCAAAGCAAGAATGAAACCAGAGGTAACCTAGAACACAGTAGGTACTGGGAAGCAACCAGTAATGGGATGTTGCTAGGCCATCAGATGGACAGAAGGGGAATGGTGGAATATGAAGCCAAGAGCCAGATTATGAAGGCCCTTATGTGACATTCAAGTGAGATTAGGATTTTTAGCCCAATGGCTATTGGAAGCTGTTGAAATTTTAACTAGGAAGTGAAAATGGCTAGATTTTTATTTCATATAGATAATCTTAAGGCCTGAATGGAGGAGGAATTGAAGAGAATATATCCCAAAGTAGAGAGTTTATAGTTTGGGCCATGAGTAAAAGCCTAGTAGTAAGAGTTAGAGGGCTTGTTGAAGAAATATTTATGGAGAAAATGGCAGCCTTTGATGGTGAGTGTACTGGGGTGGGGAAGAGGAAGGAATGTGCTTGGTTTCTAGTTGGGTGGCTATGTTGCTGGTATCCTGTCACCTGAAAGATCATGGGGAAGAAGAGAAGTTTTTCTTATTTCATTTCCCCTAACACAAGAAACTAATTTGTCAGACATTTCTATTTTGTTTCACTGATGATTCCATGATACTTTTTTTTTTCCCAGTACTACTTTGACAGTTTAGCTGTTAGATGTCTTAGTTCTTTTCTATTTCTTATGAGGAGTAAATTTTTGCTTTTAAAATTTCACTTATGCCTCACTCTCTTTTTTCTTTCATAATTTTTGTTAACCTCCAGGAAGAACCTAGGAAAGTCCGCTTTGATTATGACTTATTCCTGCATCTTGAAGGCCATCCACCAGTGAATCACCTCCGCTGTGAAAAGCTAACTTTCAACAACCCCACAGAGGACTTTAGGAGAAAGTTGCTGAAGGCAGGAGGGGTAAGTGGCACTCTCTTGTGAAAAGCATTCCTATTAAAAAACAACAACAACAAAAAAAAAAACAAACAAACTAGTTCCTCATGTGTTAAAAAGTATAAGGTTTTGGGAGAGGTAAAAGAAATGATGTACCTTAATGGCTTAGCTGTGGATTCATGTGTTGAGATGAACAGGTAGACAATAATATTTTAGATAGGCTTAAGTTTGAAATTACACTATTTATTAAAACAGCCTTAAGATCTATGCAGCTCAAATTTAATTATGACAAAACCCCAAAACAAACAAGCAATAAACTCTCATTTAAGAAAAGAATAATATTTGAACTGTGTTATATCAGTTATAGAAACTTTTGGGTTAAGTTGCAAGTCACATTAAAAATTATATAAAAAGAAATCCAAATTTTCTTGATCACAATTATTAAAAAAGGTATCTTCACTCATACTACATGTTTGGGTCATTTAAATAGACATTTTTGTTTGTTTGAATTTTATGTTGATAAAAGATGGATTTTCCTTTTTAAAGTAATGGTAGCAAAAGTGTTGTAAACTTTTGCCCTTGTGATTTGACTAGTATGGGAAAGAATTTTAAGTGGTACCTCTTGGAAACATAAACATTTGGTGTGTTTGCTTCTGAAGCTGGGTCAGCTGTACAAACACTATTGATTGGTCAAAATCTATTTGACAATGAGTGTCACTGGGATCATCAGCTCCTACTGCACATGAACTTATGTGTCATATTATGTGGGCACTTCACACCCCATCTATTTTGAGATGTGTTCTTTTCTCCAGGATCATCTTCACTTAGTTTCTCTGGAAGGTTTTTGTGCAGTTTTCTATTTATGAAGTTATTTTCTATATGCATTTGTAGACCATAACCCATCAAGATGCCTTATATCACTGATAAACTCTACCTGAGGGCTTTGTAGGAAGCAGGTGGTTTTTTTGTGGCACAGTTTTCTTTATTGGATACATGAACAACCACTTTGAGAACCTAAGAAAAGCTATTGTTCCTATTATGAGAAAGTTGCCCATGTATATAATTGTGTGACTATTCTGGGTGATGTGGACCCCATTTTTTGAGTTCTGTTTTGCTAGGCTGCTGTCCTTTTACTTGAATTATGAATATGCATTTGAAGCATTGCAAGTACTTTTACCATATTTCATTCCTTATCATATATATGTCAATAGATTATGGTTTAAGTGGGTATTGAGCCAGCTTTGGAAATGAAATGCCACTTAGAGTATTCTATGGGAGAAATACAGCTTCATGAAGAAATGTATTTATTTTTGTAACACAACTTATTTTAAAATTAGGAACTTATTATAATTTTATTAAAGAAGTTGTTTGGAAAAGTAACTCTGTTTTACTCCTTTTATAGTTATCAGGAGTATAGTTTTGATGCCATTTACCTATGGCTATGCCATTAACAATCAACTAACTGGTCCATTTAAAATCCTAATCAATCTCATTTTTTTAATGAATTCGGCATTTTACATTTCTGATTATCTCTCTTGGGTTGTGTAGTTGGGTGGGTAAATTGGAGAGTGCAAATTATGTAACTTTAGTACGTCATGCTTCTGATAAGGGTCGTAGGAAAACGTAAATATGACACAAGAACTTTTTAAAGCAACCACTTAGTCCCAGAGAAGTCGAGGGTTGCCTGTGAGCTGGAAGAGAGGTTACAGTCAGTGATAATGCAGCAAAGTGCAGCACTGCATCCTGATAAGGTCTCTAGTTGATTTCTCATCTTGTGCTCTACTCAGCCTTTATCTCAGAATGATTCTTCTTGACTTCTAACTTTCCTTCTTTGTGTTTAAGTGCTGTTTGAAGCCAGCAGATATTTTCCTATTAGAATTAGATTGTGTCTTGACAACTCTAAAATAATAAGTTGAAATGTGAACTATTCCAGGCATATGCTGTTTGAAATATTACAAGTTACTTAAGGGACTAATCACAGTGAATTTTGTAGTAAAATAAGCATTTAAAAATTCATTAAAAATCATAATAATTCCACAGATTCTGTCTATTTCATATGGGAAGATTAAAATAAACTTCTATAGAAATGTAAAAAAAATCAGTAGACTAATAAACATCTTTTGGCTTACCTAGATTTTTGACTGCCTTATATTATTGATACCTGGCTTTAACCATTTGTCTTATCTTAGTATTAATGCAGCCTATCATGGTGTTACTAACTTATGAGCCATTCTGATTTAATGAGAAATGAGTTCACGATTATGTCTTCAGATAAACTTCTTCTTCTTCTTATTTTTTGGCCTGGGTTTTGTGGTGGGAGAGAGGATACTTTCCTCCTCATACTTAAAAATTATGTGTTGACATAGATGTATATATTCTACCTTAAAAGGAAAAAATAATTGAACCTCTCTTCTCATCTTAATATATAAGTTAAGGCATGGGTGGAGTAAACTTAGTGTTTGGCTATGGTTCCTTCTCTTTTATTATTTTCTTTTAAACTAAAAGTACATAGAGCTACTAAAAGTTGAGTGTTGCTTTTCAAGAGATCAGAAAGGTTGTTTTTAGAGCTGGGAGCATCTTGGAAAAAATGTTTTTCAGCTCTTAGAAGAAAATAATTCCAAAGAACTTTTTGCCAGAGAATCTTGAAAAACTGCAGATTTTTTCTACTTCATAATCTATAAGCCTATAACAACTTTTTTGGGAGAGGGGTCAATAACATTCTGTTTTTTTCACTGGATTTTGTTTTTAATTTCAATGTCATACTATTTCCTAAATAGTCTCAAAACTTGGTGTATGTCCCTCTTGGAAGAAATATACCCTGTGTTTTTCTGTGACATGGCTCCCTAATATTAAGTATATTCTTGTTATAAAAGAAGAAGTATTGTGGGCAGGGCACATTTAGATTCAAACATTATTTTCTGAGAGTATTGAATACAGAGTGATTTACTTTATAGGACCGTGAAAGTAGTTTCCTCTAAATTAGACAGCTCATGGGAGCTTGCTGGGGAAATTGTGGATTTGATTTAAGATCTAGCCCGACGAACTTTTTTTTTTTAATTGAGATGGAGTCTCACTCTGTTGCCCAGGCTGGAGTGCAGTGGCTTGATTTTTGTACACTGCAGCCTTGACTTGCCAGGCTGAAATGAACGTCCCACTTGAGCTTCCCAAATAGCTGTGACTACAGATGCACGCCACCACATTTACTAATTAAAAAAAAAAATGTAGAGACAGGGTCTTACTGTGTTGCCTAGGCTGGTAGATTTTTATTTTTATTTTTTGAGATAGGGTCTTACTCTGTCACCCAGGCTGGAGTGCAGTGGTGCAGTCATGGCTCACTGCAGCCTCAACCTCCTGGGCTCAAGTGATCCTCCCACCTCAGCCTCCTGAGTAGCTGGGACTACAGGCACAGACTACCACACCTGACTAATTTTTGTATTTTTTGTAGAGACAGGTTTTCCCATGTTGCCAAGGCTGATCTTGAACTCCTGAGCTGAAATGATCAGCCCCCCTCGGCCTCCTAAAGTGCTCTAACTACAGGTGTGAGTCACTGCGTCCAGCCCCTTGTAAGGCTTTAAGTAAGAGAAAGAGGGTAGGGGTTATGAAATGAGAAAGAACAACTTGAGAACTTACTTTAAAAATTATTATTCATATTTATTATATAAATTTTTGTATGTTATTATATTAAGGGAGGATATTTCCTTTGAGATCTTTATTCTTTGATTGGTAGAGGGAAGAGAGCAGTGAGCAGTAAACTTTTGAGGGCAAGAACAAACATAATATGTCTTTTAATTTTAAGCAAAAGGACCAAGTGTACTCTGTGGAGAAGCACCTCCCTATTTGCTGAGATATTTCTATTTATTTCCCATTTTTAAAGAATGAACTGATTGATCACTTTTGGATCAGTGATTCTCAAATTGTGCTCATTAGGATGTTAAGATTAAAAGGCTTATGATCACGACAGATAATTTTCTCTCTATTCCCTTATCACTTTTTAGTAGTTGGAATTCAGTCATACTGAAAACATTGCAGAAGAGTTTGTCATCTATTACTATAAGATAGATGAAAGAAGATGAGCTTTTCTTTGGGGTGTTGGCAAAGTAAACATATACTGTATATTAGATATTGTATATTGGGGAACTAAAATTTATTATTCTACTAACTTGTTTTTCTGAATTTCTGGTTGGAAAGAAGTGTGATACAATTGGAAAAGTTTTAAATTCAAGCTGGTTTAGATAAAACCTTTATCATCTTCAAGCTGGGTAACCCTGGGAAAAACCATTGCATCTTTTTGCATCTCAGTTTATTAGCTGTGAAACGGATATGGCAGTGTTTTCCTCATAGGGAACGTGTAACCATGGTGTATGGCACATAGTAGATACCCAGTACCTTAGTTCTTTTCCCCTCAGTTACTAGTTTAGAATATCAGCAGATGCTTAACCATCTTTATATCAGACACTTAAAGGTATGGTGAAAAAGATTTGCTATTCAGTGTAAGCTACTCAATATTTATTCACAGGAAAACATGTTTACCACCAAGTTAGTGTAACCAGCGCATTGATAGATCTGTGTTGTGTTTAAAGATTAGCCCGTGGTTTCTTCCTTCAAGGTGTTGGCACTCTGTTTGTATTTTGCTTGTATGAAGTGCTTGTTTGTATTTTGCTTGTGTAAAGGGCTCGGAATATTATTTTGTAAGATGTAACTTTTCATTAGAAAAATGGATTCTTAACATTGTTCTTAATTCTGAATTTTTAGCGGATTAAAGGCTTCTCAAGGCTGTGTGTTTCCTTAGAAGAGTTCACATATATGACCAGCAAGGTAGTTGGATCCTTGTGCTTCTACGAAGAAAGCACAAAATAGGCAAGCATCTTTGGAAAATCAAGTTTATTTTGCAGTTTCTTTTTTCTTTTTTTGGCCTGGAAACCAAATGGCCTGCTTTGGTTCTGTTGTTTTTTATGGGATGGTGGTAGGGTGTTGGGTGTTTGTTTGTTCCTGCTGCCTTTCTTTCTTCCTTCCCTCCCTCTTTCCTTCTCTCCCTCCCTCCTTCCTTCCTTCCTTTCCTCAATTAAACAGGGCAAAGTCTAAACATGTTGTTCAGTCCTATTTCTGAATCACTGGCAAGCAGTTAATTTTGAGGACTGAAAATTAAAACTAACCACAGCAGTTGTTAAAACTAGGGTTTCTATAGGCAGAAATCCAATTCTGTTCAGACACCACCTGTTTCAGTAGGACATTTCAGACGCCCATTTGGCAAGATTTGCTGGAGAAGACATGGGGAACATGCTTCCAGTCTGTATTAAATCTGCAGCATAATGCAGTCCTGTTTCTGAGAGTGACAGTTACATTTATATATGATCTGTTTTCACAAGGAATAAATTGGAATCTTTCTGAAATGCTGCTTATTGTCAAGTGAAATTCAGGTCCACAGTGGACCTCCAGCGAGGGGTTTTGCTTATTAAAGGGCCAAAAGGATCTTAGGATAAGGAGCTTTCAGTAATGCAGCTGTGTCAAGCCATCTGAACACAGCATTTTATTACAAGGATTTGGAATGAATCTTGTGTAGGGTGGTTTAGTGTTTCCTTTGTAGGGGAGTTGAGAACACTTCTAATTTCTCAACTGTATGGATCACAATCTCTTCTCTTCAAATTTTAATTTTTTTGAATAGGTAAATATACACACAGTGCATCATGACATACAGTTAGGTTTTCCTCTAGGACACCAGTAATACTGTAGTAAATAAACTCATACATAGTTCTTTGTGCACATGGATATGTCCGTAGGATAAATTCCTTAGAGTAGAATTGTGGGTCCAAGGCAAAGTGAAATTTAAATTTTGGTAGACATCTACACATTTCCTGCCAAAGAGGTTATACTACTCTATGCCTGCACCAAATAGTACGTGAGTGCCTTTTTCTCCACAGGATGATTTATTAAACTACCCTCTCCCCCAATCTGATGGATGAAAAATGGCATCTCATTTGTAATTCACATTTCTCTCATGAGTGATGGTGAGCAACTTTTCATATGCTTAAAAAGCCATTTTCATTTCCTTTCAAAGACCACATTTTAATGTATTTTAAATTGGAAATATTCTAAGTGTTTCAGTTTCAACTTAAATTTATGGGTACTCTTCCCACATACTTACATTTGGAAAGGTTACAAAAAGATACGGAAGCCTCTTTAACCAAGGTCTGTGTTTTCAGGCTTTCTTCGATGTGTAACAAATTATGTTCTTAGGAACTGATTTGTCAAGACTTTGGCTTCTAAAAATATAAGTGGCTTTTGTGGCAAACTCATCTAGACAGTGCCTAGAGATGGATAGCTGGCTGCTTATTTTAAAAATGACTCAAAGAAAATAATACAGAGAAGATTATTTTAGTGGCTGTCACTGGGCAGCTTCATTGGATTTTTGGATATTTGTTTTGGAATAAGTACCTTTTTGATTATTTTCTGATATATATAATTCTGTAATTGTCACTTCAAACGATAAAAGAATGCTGCTGCTTTTTTACTGGCACTGATAAAAGGTGGTTTATTTAAATAAATGTAAGACGAAGCAGGCTGCTTCATTTGTGTGGTTATTTCTTAGAAGCTAATTTTCTGTCATATTTGGCATTTTCTCCTTCTTTCTATAACCTTGTCGGCCACCTCCCCCCACAAACTCTGGAAAATTAAGTTATGAAAGTGGAACATACATATAAATGTTAAGTAGAAAGTCAAAATTGTGAGCCTTAATTCCAAATGTAATGTCGATCTCATAAATTATTTCAGGGAAAGCATGGTCATGACAGTACAAAGTTATTTATGTCACTCAACCTATTTAGTGGTTTTATGATTTAATGTCTTCTTAAAGTCACACACGTTGATTGCAGGGCAGTTACAGACTTTTGAAAATAGGTACCAGAAAAATCTGTGTGATAAAACAACTTTCGTGTCTTCATTTGTTCCTTCCTTCCCAACTACCTGTTTACCTTTTAAGTGACAAGGAAAAAAACAGGAGCAAACTTTCCACTCTGCTGAAAGCTCAAACGCCATTACTGCATAAACTAAGCAAAGACTGAAAGAAAAACAGAGGAGAGAGGGAGATGTTCCTAGAATGTGTACTAAGAAAAGTTGTTTTGAGTGTTTAGTTGTCAGTATTGGAAGGTGTGCCCCATTTCTTTCTGCAGACCTCCCCGAAGTAGCAGTTTAGCTGACTGTATGTACGAAACTCTTAATATAGTAACCGTAATTTAGTTTTGAAAGGAAATGCTGTGATATCTTAAAGTTGTCACTTAATCCTGCTACTACCTCCTGTCCCCAATTGCACAAAAAGCCAAGAAAATAAGAAATGAACAGAAAAGGAAAAATATGAAAGGATGTGAATGTTGGGAGAAGTTTCAGATTAAGAAATAATTGTTTCTCTGTTTAAATACAAAAATATTGCAGTTGAAAACTGTTGATTCTGTTTCTCTATTTCGTCTTTGCTTAGGTACTAGCTCTTTATGTACTTGTTTCAAGGATGCATACAAAGTGTATCTAATACTTTGTCTGAGTTCATTCTCTTCTAGGATGGTAAGGGAGTTGTCTGTGAGTGCAGATGCCTATTTTGACTGTCCCCACCAGATATTTTTGAGTTTCATACTCTATAATATTAAGTGAAAACAATTTTAGGGGAAATTGAGGAGGAGAACGGGGGCTATGATTAACATTTTGTTTTCTGCCTGTTTTCTTGTTCCATGAGTTGTAAGAAAACCTGACAATAATCAGGATCTGAAGGTAACACTTTAAGAAACAAATGTCTGAGACTCGAAGTAGGCATATGTGGTTCATTTTCAGGGGTTGAGGATAGATGGTAGGTGGCTTAATATAAAAACCTTCATTACCACAGGGGATATAGCCATGGTATAACAGAAAGAATGTTTGATTTGATATCTGAAGGCACAAATTCAATTGTAGGATCTGCTGCTAATTTACCTTGGGCTTAGGTTTGTATAAATCTAAAATAAGCATAATATCTCCTTTCTCCCATTTGAGATTATTAAATGCTATCTGGTACATAGTTAAGTAGTCAGCAGATAATTAGTTTATTTATTGACATGACTTTTTTTCTGCAGATTTATTATATTTTTGGTTAAACCATAATTTTCTGTTATCTGGAATGGTGAAAGTAAAAGGTTTCCATTACAAGGATTTGACATAATAATAATGTTCTACCAGAAAGAACATATTTTAGTTTCAAGAAGGAATCTAACATTTTCCCTGATTTTGAAATAAGTATGTGTTAATTTTAGAAAGTGTGGACATCTAGAAAAGCAAAAAAGAAGAAAATAAGTCATTGTAATCTTTCTGGTGACTATAACCTCTGTCAGTATTTCACATTATATTTTTATGTAGATGAGATCCCACTGAAAATCTATATTTTGCATTTAATATATTAAACATAACGCATAGATTTTAAACATATATGACTTTATTCTATGTCCTCACACTTCAGAGGATTGATATAAACTTTCTGGTTGTTGAGAACTTACCATTAATGTGTTCTATTGCTTTCTTTCTCCGCCATCCCCCCACTCCCCTTCCTGGTGCTCTGCTTCTCAAAATTAAACTTACTGGCTTAAGACCCAGAAATTTTAACATTGAGAACAAAAGAACTGTTTTGCACAAATTTGAAATTTTCTCTTCATGGTTTTGACAATACAGAAGTATGATGTACTAGCTTTTTTTTTTTTTTTTCCTGATGACTGTTTAGTCCATAGATCAGTTATTTGGAAAGATCTGTAAATATTTTGTTTCTGTTTTTGTTTTTGTTTTTGAGATGGAGTCTTGCTCTGTCACCCAAGCTGGAATATAGTGGTGCCATCGCGGATAACTGCAGCCTCTGCCTCCTGGGTTCAAGGGATTCTCCTGCCTCAGTCTCCTGAGTAGCTGGGACTACAGATGTACGCCACCACGTCCAGCTGATTTTTGTATTTTTTTGGTAGAGTCGGGGTTTCACCGTGTTGGTCAGGTTGGTCTTGAACTCCTGACCTCAAATGATCTGCCCACCTCAGCTCCGAAAGTGCTGGGATTACAGATGTGAGCCACCGCACCTGGCCTAAGATTTGTAATTTAATATAGATTATTGCAGGTGTAGATTTTGCAGCTTGTCTTTGCAAATATGATTCACACCTTCCCTTTCACTATAGGGTACATTGTGGGCCTGTGGGTAGTGTGAAATGGTAAAATAATGGACAGATTGAGTGAGATAAGGATCCCTATTCATGAAACAAACTGGTCCAATCAACTACAGTTAGAGTAAAATGAAGTAAAATAAAAATTTAGTTGGCCTTACAAATATCAGCCTTTACATGAACTTGTGGTGACTTAAGATAGGAATTTATATGGGTAATATAGACAGAAGTCCATGCGTATGGTGACCATTGTGTCTTTGGGCAAATTAAAAATAAATGTCATGCTTATAATCCCAGCATTTTGGGAGACTGGGGCAGGAGGATCACTTGAGGCCAGGAGTTTGAGACCAACCTGGGCCACAGAGTGAGACCTGTCTCTACAAAAAATAAAATAAAGTAAAATAAAATAAAATTAGCTTGGTGTAGTGACAAACCTCTATAGTCCTAGCTGCTCAGGAGGCTGAAGTAGGAGGATCGCTTGAGCCCAGGAATTTGAGGCTCCAGTGAGTTATAATTTCTGTTACTGCACTACAGCCCCAGCCTTGGTGACAGAGCAAGACCCTGTCTCTAAATAAATAAGTAAAGTGCTGCTACCTCTCCCCACTCTATAACACCCCAGCCCAAGGAGCATGGCATGGCTAGCATAGTGTAGCTGAATTTCAGCTAATCCTCATCCCATTGGCCACACTTCCTATGCAGGGTACCATCTGGACAACCATTTGCAGTGGCACTATTTATAGGTTCATAAAAAAGGTGATTTTGATGTTAAAGCTATCTTGTTTGATATAGTCTAGACAGAGTTATCTGGAGAAATAATAAATACATCTTTCTTGAAAATTTGTTATCAGAGTGTTCTGGTTTTGAATAGTCATGTTCTTTCAAAGGTTTAGCTTGACCTCTCATTCTGCCACTCTGCTTTGTGCTTTTAGCTTATAACACTATTGTCCAGCATTCATAGATATCTATAAAGGTCTGGTTTAAGCATAGGGAGCAAAAACTTTTGATAAGACTGTTTTGCTAAACCAGGGGTTTCAAATGCCAGTGACTATGAGACCAAGCTAATCCTTTGAAAGAACATGGCTACAAAAACTAGAGGACCAGCTGAATAATGTAGCCCTTGCTGTAGGGAATTTCACACAAAAGATAGTTATTTATTGTTTTTTTAAAGTAAAGATTAAGTGAAGTGGAATTTTCCTTTCTGATGATTTTGAGCTCTGAATACTTTGGCAAAGAGATCATCAGTGAGCTCTAAATCAGGAATATTCTAGATCAGCATTAATAAAAATACCTTCTACTATGTTCCAGTTTTAAGATGTACTTTATCTGATTTGGCTCTTCATATGGGTCTCAGGGCCAGGGCTAGAACTACTTCTAGTTGAGTCATTTCTCTTACGTCCCCTTTGTATTTTTTCTTCCTAGATTTCTGTTCCTACTCTTGAGAGAAGGGATTGGCTTCTTTCGTCCACTACACCCTCTCCCAGGGTCAGGTTTCTTGAGCTTCTTTACTTCTCTATACACACCAACCCCTGGGATCATTTTATCTGAAATCTCTTCTTTTTTATTTTTTTCTGGAAGATATTTTTGTGGCTTATATACGTACACTTAATTTTGGCTTCAGTTTATTTTTCTTTTTTAATTAAAAAAAGCTGTAATTAAACCTTTATTCTGATTTACCTTTTTAAAATGAAAATAGCTTGACATCAGATGTATGTGCCTCTGTACTGCAGAGCAACATAGAATGTGAATGTCTCACAGGTCTTAGGTTAAACTACTTTGGATTGATCAGCCTTAAAGATAATAGTGACACCTATAGAAATTGAGATGTGTAGTAACTTTCTCACTGCTCAATTTTCTGCATACTGATCTTGATTTTTTTTTAATGCAATGGATACAGCATAACAGTTAGAAAGGCAGACTCATAGCACAGCCCTTTTTTTCAAATGCTGGTATTGGTGCTTAGTAGCTGTGTGTCTTTGGGCACATTACTAATCTCTATCAGTCTGTTTGCTCATTTGTAAAATGAGGTGTTGGTACCATCTACCAGGATATAGTAGTTGTGAGGATGACTTGAGATAATGCATGAGAAATGATTAGCACAGTGACTGCTGTTTAGGAAAAACCCATGAACACTTTCATTATTTTTAATACATTTAGATTCTGGGCATGTGGATCAGGGTGTATTTTTATGGCTATAAAATGAGTAAATCATACAGTTTTGTAGCTGATGAAATTCTTTGATATAATAGGTCAAGGTCACCATTTTACAGATGAGTAAACTAAGGCATCAAATACTGAAATCAGTCAAGCAAGAGATAGCTGAGTCAGGGTTTTTGTTCATTGTTCTTGCATATTCTTTCTACGGTTACACATAGTGATATTAGCTTTCTTTTTGGAAATGCAATGAAAAGAAGACAAAGAATTAAAAAATAAAAATCCCCAGGGCCACTTCTCTTAGTTGCATTAGGACCAATGGAGCAATCTTGCATGAGTCTCCTTTCTGAAGACAACTTGGGTAAACTGCCAGTGAAGCAGTTCACTGGTTGGCAGCAACGGACTTCATATTTTTGTTTATTGCTTTGTAGACTAAAGTTTCCTGTATTTCTCTTGCTTCTGAAAATACAATTTATGTGGAGAATATGATAATTAGAAATCCCTTTCCCCTAAACTTTTTAAAGCCAGCATCAACCTATCTGTGGGGATTGGTTAAGTTTGCATTTTCTGTAAGTTAAGAGGCAATCATAATTTTTGGAGTTTTTCTTTTACTCAGTTGAACAGCAAGGTTATGCATGACTTTATATGTGGTCTAAAAATGGTTAATGCAACATTAATCAGCATATGAAAAAGCCTATCATAAAGTCAAGAAATAACTGTAATCTACCAGGGTTTTGAAAGTAGAGATACAAGTAAGCCATGGGGTATTGTGATTCTTTGAGTGCTTAGATATTAAAAGATTTTCCGCTCAGGGTAGGAAAGTAGGATGGTAGTACCCTTTAATAGAATTAGTTTACCGTGGCTGACTTTGCTACCTTTTCTCTGGGGGAGCTACTTTGGCCTCTTTATAGTCATATTCCACTACCCCGCCATGCGTGTACAGTCCTTAGCATTTATGATCTAAAAATGGTTGAGAATATTTGAATCTAGGACCGATAAGACAGGCTCAGGAAATCCAAGATGCTTTTCAAGTCCTGGAAGACTTCTGGCAGAAGATTTTTATTCTTTTGTTTCTGCTTCATAGATTGAAGTTCCCTATACAAAACTAATTTCTTTTGCTTCTGAAAATCAAGTTCGAGAGGACCTTCCTAAGTCTTCCCGTACTCCTTTTTCCTTCAGATACCATCCTTACACCTCCCACTTTCTGCCTACATAGCTCGGAGTGTATAAATAAACAAAAATAAAAATGTCCTTCCAAGAGGCATTTTTTAGCTTAGTGCTTGCCTTATCTGGAGGACATATAAATACTTTTCATTTTGAAGTATTTGAGTACCTACTGTGGGCCACACTTAATGCCAGATTTTGGGTATATAGTGAAAGATCACTGAGTTGTTTTGCTTTCTATCAAGCCTTAACCCTTGGTCAACTTTTAAGGGATAATAAATTCTCATCTTTTAATAGGATTGGAATAATCTACCTCAGTTTCTTCTTTTTTTTAAAAAACACTGGGTGTGGTGGTGAGCACCTGTAGTCCCAGCTACTAAGGAGGCTGAGGCAGGAGGATTGCTGGAGCCCAGGAGTTCGAGTCTAGCCTGGGTAACATACTGAGACCCTGTCTCTAAAAAAGAAAGAAAGAAGGAAAACAAAACAAATTCACAGCCACCAGTCCAGGCCGCCCTCATGTGCTTTCAGGAGAAAAAGCTGTGGTACTCAGACATCTGCTTCTTTTAGTGGGGTGCCAGAAGCTTTTTTATTGGACTCCATTCCCCATCCCACTCCAGGCAGGCTCTGAGTCTCTAAAGACTAAGGATGGCAAAAACAACATTTTTTTTTAAGAATGCTGATCTTTTGTGTAAATCATCAGATGATCAAAGTGCATGTGTGTAAAATTGTCTTGTTTCTACAACAAATCCTAAGTGAAGCTGATTTTCCCAACAAGATGTGGAAATGTTTTTCCCAAATACACCTTTGAATTTATATTACAAGTTTATTGTCTTTTTTCTGCAACCGAGACAATATATTTTAGTTGAGAGGAGATGAACTGAAGGCTTCAGATTATGCTTGTTTTTTGTTTGCTCTGTTTTTGTGTGTGATATAGATAGAAGAACAACCTCATTTGGCATTTTTGAGAGAAAACCACTGCCTTTCCTTTTATTAGAAAAGGCTTGATTTAGCTAACAGATCAACTAATTTGTATAAGGAAGCCTTTGTTCCTTTCAGGATGGCATTTCGATTCCTCTTAGGATAATATGGTGCAATTTAGGTCTGCACAGTATGTTATGGGTCCTTGAAGAGACAGCCAAGTGGAGCAAATTGAAACAGACTGAAGGCCCCTTGAAGACATCCTCTGATTTCAGTGCCCTTCCCAGAGTCCCTTAGTCCACTGTGCATAGATTGAGATGTGGGGCTTCCCCAAATACTATTTACTTACTTTATAATTTAAAAAAAATTGGAAATAATCTCACATTTACACTTGTAATACAAGTATGGTACAAAAAACTTTTCTTTCTTTGAGAGTAAGTTGCCAATATTGATGCTCCGTTGTCCCTGAATACTTTAGAATTTATTTCTTGCAAACAAGGGCATTCTCTTATATAACTACAGTACAACCATCCAAGTCAGGAATTAGCACTGATACATTATTAACTTGTTATCCTCAGATCCTACTCCAGTTTTGTTGCAGATTGTTCCAGTAATGTCCTTTATTTTTTTATTTTTTATTTTTTTGAGATGAAGTCTCACTCTGTCACCAGGCTGGAGTGCAGTGGCACCGTCTTGGCTCACTGCAACCTCCGCTTCCCAGATTCAAGCGATTCTGCTGCCTCATCCTCCTGAGTAGCTGGGACTACAGGTGCGTGCCACCATACCCAGCTAATTTTTTTTTTTTTGTATTTTTAGTAGAGACAGGGTTTCATCATGTTGGCCAGTATGGTCTCGATCTCTTGACCTCATGATCTGCTCACCTCGGCCTTCCAAAGTGCTGGGATTACAGGTGTGAGCCACCATGCCTGGCCCTGTCCTTTATTTTGATAGCAAAAGGATCCAGTCTACAATCATACGTAGCATTTAGTTGTCATGTCTTAGCCTCCATCAACTGGAAAGAGTTCCTTGGTCTTTCCTTGACTTTCATGAACTTGAAGATTTTAAAGACTTCAGGCCAGTTATTTAGTAGATATACATACTTGGTTATGTATATTTCCCTGCAACTAGATTCATGTTATGCATCTTTGGTAGGAATATCTGCACTCTTCTCATTGAACCACATCACATGATCCTGATTTCCACTGAGACATTACTGTTGATGTTAACACCCATTACTTGATTCGAATGGCATCCTCCAGGCTTCTCCACTGTACAGTTTCTCTCTGTAATTAATAAGTGTTTTATTGGAAGGTACTTTGAGAAGATGTAAATATCCCATTTTTCCTCAGACTTAAGTTTATTCTTATGTTTATTTTATCATCATGGACTCATGGGTATATATTTTTTCAATGGGTTATAACCTATTACTATCATTATTTATTTTGATAATTTAATTTTCCTGACTTGGCCAGTGGGAGCCCCTTTAACCTGGTTTCTTTGCATACTTTTTAACCTTTTTCTATAAAAAGATATGTCAAGTTCATTTTGTACTTCTTGTCCCTGCTCTGAATTCAGCATTTCTCCGAAGAGCAGGCCCTTTTGGTGGCTCCCAGCCCCTGTACGGGTGTCTCTCCACCTGTAGCCGTTCCTCCTCACCGTTGCCTACTTTGCTTGGCCCGACATAAGAGCTTTTGGACTGAATTGTTAAGGGGGCAAAAAGGCATAATTTCATCACTTGCGTTAGCTCCAAGTGGATGGGGACTATAATATATTTGATGTGGTATCCCCAGGTGCCTACTGTATAGTAAATACTCAATAAATGTATACATTCATTCAAAGGCACATACTTATTATGTGCCTTTTAGGGTCAGCCATTAGTCCAGGTGCTGGAGAGATACAACAGTGAATCAAAATTTAAAAACAAAAGCATACATATGTAGGAGCTCTGTGAAGGGAAATAGTTTTTTGTGAAGGATGGAAATAATTTTGTAAGGCAGCCGTTTCCCAAGTGTGTTTGTTTACGCCGATATGTATTCAATGAACAAAAAGATTTTGATTTTGCACTTTTAAACTGTTGTTCTTATTAAAGTGCATAGACTGAAAAAAAAAGCGATTTTTTTTCCAGCCTTGGTGACTTCTTTTTCTATATTAGGACAGCTCTGCTTTTTCCCCCCACCCTGTATGTGCCGCACATAGAGCTAACTCCACGTATTAGGACAAAGGGGTATTGCTGAAGTTACGTATCAGCTAATTCTGCCCTACGGTTTGTTAGTTTGTACACCTTTGACCAGCAATATAATACTTCCATAGAAAAAAGTGATTTGACTTGAATATTTTTCTCATTATACTTTTGGTAATAAGTAATATAAGGTAAAAAAAGGTAAGAATATATTAGTAACTCTTTAAAGTTATGTTATTTCATTTAACTCCTGTCAGTAGAACTATAATACTATATAATCAAACTCTGTCTCTTTTAATATTATAAAATTATTCAAGCATTTATTCACTGAGCACATACTTGATTGCCTATTCTTTATCAAGTACTTACCGCACAGGACTCTTTAAGAAGATTAAATGAGACACTGTGTTTGTGTTTTGCTCATAGCAGCTAATAAATAAGTATCTGCTGAATTTGAATGTGAATTTCTCTTCCTAGACTAGAAGATTTTGACATCAGGAATTTTGAATTTTTCTTATAATAAAAATGTTATATTACAAACCACTCTAACTATCTGTATATGCCTCTCACTCGATTCCTTTGCCTTCTCTCGATATAATTACCTTCCTAAAGTTTCTTGAGCTTTTAAACATGGTTTTACCATAAATGTATGTTTGTTTGCTCATCTTTGCTTATTTTTTATTGTTATGAAAATGGTATAATAGTATATGTATTTTTTATGACTTTGACTTGCTTTATTTATTCAGCATTATAAGATTTGTCTTTATTATTGTCTATTTCACTGCTGTGCATAGTCCAAAGAGTGATTATATCATGAGTTGTGTATTCATTGTCTTGTTATCTAGATATCTAGATTACCCCTTTTTATTTGGTTTTGCAATTATGAACCTTTTTGTGCATATGTCTAGTATACCCATGCAAGAGTTTCTGTAGGGCATTAGATTTCAGACTTTTATGACCGTGACCCATAGTAAGAAACCGGTTTTCCATAATGATCAAGTACCCATATACATAAATAAATATGCATGGACAAATGAGACAAAAGTTTCATAAACCATGCTTAACCTTTACTACATGGAATTCAGTCTATTTAATTTTGTACTGGTTGACTTATAAACAATTATGGAGTCTACTATATTGCTTTCCAGCCTTACCTAAACCAGTTCTGTTTGAATAATACTGCTGTAACTCAGTGGTTCCCAAACTCTAGGGTACATGAGAATTACCTGGAGAATTAAGAAACATGAGGACTCCTGGGCCCAGCTGCAGAGATTCTTATTTAGTAGGTCTAGGGTGGGGCCTAAAAATATAAATTTCTAATAAGCATCTAGGTAATACTAATATTGCTGGTCTGCCGACTACATTCAGAGAAATGCTGTCTTATATTGTATACCTATGAATAAAATTGCTGGGTCATAGAGCAGTCACCTATTTAGCCTTGGTTTATTTTATATAATAGTTATAGCAATTTAGAGTCTCATGTCAGCATGTAAAAGAGATCTCATTGTTCTATTTTCTTGTCAGACTTGTTCATCTATGCACATTTAGTAAGCACATAAAGTTGTATCATTATTCTCTTATTTTGCATTGCAGTGATTATATGTTCATTAATGAAGCTGAACATATATTTCATTGGCCATTCATGTTTCTTATTCTGTGAAATGTTTGTTCATGTCTTCCACTTATTTTTCTATTTACTTATTAGAGGTCTTTTAATATCCTGGAGATAGGAGTTCATTGTTGTTTCTATTTACTATTGACATATTTTCCTAGTTTTCTCAGTTAGTGGCTTTTTTACTTTATGGTATCTTTTGATAAACAAATTCTTAATGTGATCAGATTTTTAAAATAGTTAGTTCTTTTTAATGTCCCATTTAGTATATTCTCCTATACCAAGGTCATATAGATATTCTCCTGAATTTTCTGAAAAGTTTTAGAAGTTTTGTCTAACATTGAAATATTTTCAAATATCTGGAATTGATTTTATGTATGTATGAGGTAAGAGTCTAATTTAAATGTTTTCCTATATAGGAAACCAGCTCCAGCATGTTTTATTGCGTTGTCTATGCTTTTATCAATGATCCGCCATGTCAAGCATCAGCTTTTAAAATATTTATGAGTCTGTTTGGAAGGGTGTACATTTCTGTTCCATTGATCAGTTTGTTGATCTCTGTAGCAATACTACAATGTTGTAATTACTATCATTTCATAAAGAGGTTGGCTATATAATGTAACAAGTTCTAGTAGATCATTTTTTTCTTCATATACATTTTAGACTCAGTGTAAGTTCTCTGAAAAACTGTTGAGATTTGAATTGAAATTACATTGAATCTGTGGTTGAAGAATATTCTCATCTATGAACCTAGTTTCTCAATGAGTTTATTTAAATGTTATTTAATGTCTTTAAAGTATCTGTGTAGTTTTATGCTTTATTTATTCCTAGCTACTTTATATTTTGTTTTGCTATTATTAATATTAAATGTTTCCTGTTTGTTCCTGATGTGTAAATATGCAGTCTACCTTAGGATATTGATATGACTTCTAACATCTTACTAAACTTATTAATTCTTTACAGATCCTTTTGTATTTCTGTGTGGACAATTAAATGTGAATAATGACACATACCTGTCTTATTTCCAATTTTCCTATCCTTTTCCCCCCAGTGCATTTTGCAGTCCTGAGTTAGTAGGAATACCAGTAAAAACTGATTACAAAGGGACTGATTCTAATAATTTGCTATTTAGAAGGTTGTCTCCATGGGACTTTGGTAGCTACTCTTTTTCAAGTTAAGGAATTTATCTCCTAGTCATGTTTGTAAGGAATTTTGTTTGTTTTCATTTTTTGAAAAACCATGGATGAATTTTTGATTTTATCAGAAAACGTTTCAGTATCTATTGAGATGAACAGATGGTTTTGTTCTCCTTTAATCTGTTAATGTAGTGCTTGACAAGCATTTTTGTCACGCCAAAGTACTCTTGAATTTTGGGATTAAACCCAATGTGGTTTTGGTCTATTAGATTTTTTTCCTTTTTTTCCCCCCTACAATTGGATTAGTTATGCTAATATTCTATTCAAAAATTTTTGCATTTATATTCTTGAGTTAGATTAGGCCATATGCTTCTTTTTCTTACTCTTCTTGGTAGGATTTGTTGCTTTGATAATATTAACCACAGGAAATAAAATATGTTTCCTTTTCTCTATTATTATTAGTTTTTTAAGAGACAGGGTGTCACCCTGTTGCCCAGGCTGGAGTGCAGTGGTGCAGTCATGGCTCACTTCAGCCTCCAACTCCTGGGCTCAAGGGATTCTCCTGCCTCAGCCTGCTGATTAGCTAGGACTATAGGTGTGTGCCACCATGCCTGGCTAATTTTTAAATCTTTTTTAGCAGTGGGGTCTTGCTATATTGCCCAGGCTGGTCTTGAACTTCTGGCCTCAAGAGAGCACTCTTCCCACTTTGGCCTCCTAAAACCACAGGGATTACAGGCATGAACTACCATACCTGCCTGTCTTTTCTATTCTTTAGAAGAGTTTCTTTAACGTTAAAATTATCTTTTCCTAGAACTTGCTTCTAAAACCCTGTGGGCTTGATGTTTTCTTTGTAGGAAGATTTCAAACTACTTATCTGATATTAATACAGGATTCTTCCTAATTTTTATTTTTTTGGGGGAGTCAGCTTTGGTAAGTTACATTTTTCCCAAGGTTTGCTTTCACATTTGTTGCAATAAAATTATTTATGATATATTCTTATCTGTTTTATCTGTGCTATACTTGTAGATGTTTTCTTATTTTTTTCTTCCTATGCTGTATTTACGCTTTCTCTCCTTTGTTTTAATTCAGTCTTTCAGTGAGGACTGTGAATTTTATTAGTTCTTTTCAAAGTTCTTTCCTTAGGCTTTGTTGACTGTTTTATTAGGGTTACAAAAATCTTTGTAGTCTTTCTTTTGCTTGAGTTTATTATTCTTCTGTGCATTTATCATCCATCATTTTCTTCACAGACGAGGATTGGTGGCTAAAATTTTTTCAAGTCCTATTTTAATTCCACAAAATTAATGTAGCATTTTCTTTATCATTCAATGTGATGAAGTTGAAAATTTTTATTTTAATTTCTTCTTTAACCTGAAAATTATTGAAGTATATTTTTATAATTCCAAATATATACAGTTTTTTTAAAAACATTAAAACGTTTTTAAATTTTAGCATAATTATATTACCATAATGTCTTCTTAAACTAGTTTTCCTTATTCCTGATATAAATCCTGTGGATGTTCTTTTACTAAAAGGCTCCTGTTAGTAAACACTCAGTTTGTGTTAATCTATAAAGTTTTGATTATTGCCCCTATTTTGAAAGTGTTTTTTCTGGTTTTACAATTCTAGGTTTTTACTTACTTCCTTTCAATATTTGAAAATATTTTTCTATTGTTTTTGTGAAGTCTGGTGTAAGTCTGATTTAGGGTTTTTCTGATGTTTAGCAACTATCTTTCTGAGGGAAAAAGTCATGATTTTTAGTGTTTACTTATTTGTGTGGTGGAAATACTCTCACCGTATTATATCAGTTATTGCAAAGTTGGAAAGAACATACAGTTATGAATTATTTCTGCCATCCTATGCAACAGAGAGAATTACCTCAAGAAAACAGCAAATAATAATATGTAGTAAACTAATTAGAAAGTGCTGAGTTTTGATTATTAATTACCACTGCTTTTAATATTTCTCTGCTTGCAATTTTATATTATATAAAATAATAGTCTTGTTTAATTTATACAGTGCATTTACTGTTTAAAAACTGGCTGAAAAAAATTCCTAAAAATTTAACAGCTGGCTCCCAGTCAAGCCTCTATTAGCTGGCACCAGTGTACCACTAGCTCTTTTTTTAATACATGATCTCTTGTTTCTTACTGTCTTTATAGTTTTTTTGTTTTGGTGTTCTTCATTTTTAGTACAATGTGTCTAGGATTAAATTCCTTTTAATTTATGTATATTATTTTTATACTATACTTGGTTTATCTGTAGATTCATGACTTTGATCATATTTGGAAAATTTCCACCATTGTGTCCCTATGTTCTTTATTCTTTCTGGGTCTCTAATTTGATATTTGTTATTTTTATTCTGTTCTCCATGTATCTTAATAGCTTTTATATTTCCCATTTTCTTGTGTCTTTGTATTATGGCAGTTTATTCATATTTATCTTCCAGTTCACTAATTCTTTTCAGCTGTGTTCAGTCCGCTGTTTAACTAGTCCATTGAGATATTGATTCCAACAGTGTTTTTTTTTTTTCATTTCTTAAAGTCGTATTTGTTTCTTTTCAGTGGCCCAGTCATTCTTATTAATTTCTTATTGCTTGGTCGCTTTTTGGATTCCAGTGTTTTTCCTTTTTATACTTCATATATAGTTATTTATAGTCTGCATTTGATGATTTCCCTATAGTAAGTCTTTAAGGTCCTTTTACCTCACATCATGGTGGCTTGTTTCTTTGTGTTCAGGAATATTTTTAAATCGCGAATTCGTATTTGATTTAGGTGAACATTGGGAATCCTGAGACCTGAATTCAGAGTATTTTTCCCCAACAGCAGATTTGTAAAGGCTTCTTCTTGGTTTCTGTTGAGACTCTGAGGTTTAGGTCTCCAAATGTGCTATAGGGCCCAGGTTTGGTCTTTAGAGACCCAGGAGAACACAGTCATGCGTGTGTCCTTAGGGCAACCCCATCTTTCATGAGTGATTGTAGTTCACATTTTATGGCCTGCCTTTTATGTTTCTATTTCTCTTTCATATACTCTTGATTCTTGAACTTTTTCTTTATTTTTTTAACGGCCCAGCAATGAAGTTTTGTTGTAATTATCTAATATCTAGTTGTATCATAGTAAGAACTCCCAAAGAGTCCACCATATTGCCCAAATTAGACGAGTTGTTTTCTGCAAAGCCATAGTATTTAACAGTTTCAGCATATTCCTTTGCGTATGCTGGAGACCTCATAAATATGTATAAAATAACTACTGAGAGAAGGTAACAAGATAGCATAAACCTGATTATATTTTCCCATTGTTCAGTTGCATCTCTTTGGGCTTTTATTTATGCAGTATATTTATTAAATTTGTGTGTGTCAGGTACTGTTTTTCATTTTATACTTCCAGCCATTATTTGTGATTAGTAATATAATCTGAAGATTGGCTATTCTCTGTTATTTAACGATTATTTATCAAGGCTAATTATCAGAAATCAAGCTAGTACTAAGAGAGAAGGCTGGAATGATCTGGCCAATGTGTTTTTAAGCTGGTTTAATAAAGCAGGAACTGTACAAAGCTAAATATACAAAAACCTAGAAAGAGAAGTGATATAAATATTACTTCAAATTTTTAGTTTCAAACCACAAAGATAGGCAGAAGTTTACTTGAAACTACAGTCTTCTAAATATAACTTACAGTCAGTAGTACTTAACTATGATTTAGAACTTAAGCCATAGCAAGTCAGGGAGTATATATAAATAGGAGAATTTTAAATGAAATTGGATTCTGAAACAAAAGGATTTTATAGCACGTACAACATAGCTGAAACAAGTCATAGTCATTTGAGGAAAAAAGGGCATTATATATTTTGTCTATTTAAAATATTATTTTGTAAAATATTAAATATTTTTGCCAATCAGTACTTTACACTTAAGCTTCATTTAAGTGCAAATACAGTACTTCAGGATATTTTTAATATTAAAAAATATTTATTGGGTTTACCTTAAATTCTTTAGAACAAAAGGCTGGGCAAATGAAAATTTACTACTTATTCTTTTCTCTTCATAGTTGAAATAAATTTTTTCATGTGTTTCTATTTCTCAATTATAAATATAATTTGTAGATTTTTTTCATCTTATTAATGATGTAAGCTAAATGTATATAACTCAAAGTGCAATCTTAGTAAGAAGCTACGTCTGTAGATTGATGCTTGATTGTAGTTTGCTCGAAAACAGTAAGATAACAAATGACATCAGAAGGAAAATTGAAGTGTTTTTAAAACATAGAATGATACTAGTCACATTGTTGAATCATTTATCTTTTTATTTTTCTAATGCAAAATGTATTTCACAAAGTCTCTAAAGTGCAAATGAGTGCATGAAAAGGAAGAGGATAAAGTACATTTGTGAAGTCGAAGATATTTACATGGCTGAAAAAAATAGCGAAGTGTTTAACAAAAAGTAGAAGTCCTATGTTCTAATCTTCCTGAACCTCCTTCCGACTTTCTGGAAGGAACCACTTTAACTGTTTCTATATTTAAATTCTAAGGTGAATGTCCAGAGTTTCCTAACTATATGCTATGCTGCTATTTTTACATGAGAATCTAACCCATTTGCTCCATATTATACCATTTTAATGACACCTAATATGACACCATTTTAAATTGATCTCTTGGATACCTTTATAACTTTCTAGATGTTTAATGTAGAACTATATTAGTTGGCTCACCAACTATGGACAATGTCCCTTGATTCTCAAGTTCAGGTTATCCTAAAGTTATTTCCCTTCTCTTCTGTTCAGACACTTACGTTGTAAGGGTTGATAACATTGTGCTATGTAATAAAATGTTAAGTCTTCTGTGCTTGTCTGCACTAGTGGTGGTGGTAGTAATAGAAAGCACTCACATAGTTCCTGCTTTGTGCCCGGCCACATTGCATATACATGTTATTTATAAAGCACACACATATACAGACATAGGTACTTTACATATATTAAGCTTTTGTAATCATTAGGCTCACTTTGTGGTATAGGTAATATTGTGGTAATATTATGGTCCTCATTTTACTGACAAGAAAATTTAAGGCACTTAGCAAGTGGTGGAGCTGAGTAGATTAGTTTCCAAAAGTTGAAAATCAGTGAATATTGTTTATTGTTATCACTAGGTAGAATGTTTATTTGCAGCTAAAATGTTAGATTTTCTTTCTTGCACAGCCATATATTTTTGTAGCTTTTGGTTTTCTTTATTGCTGCCTGTTTTTGTGTAAAATATTTCAAATTCTCTCTCTTCCTAATGACAGCCTATAGGGGCCCTTATAAGATTCTCCAGTTTTCTTAAAACAGTGACCTCTCCCGCCTCATCCTTTTTGGAGGTGATTATTTATGTGATTTGAGCACTATAAATTTTTATGACTTCAAAATTTGAAAACATTTAATGTGAGATGAGAAGTATCTTGCAGTTTTCTGAAACCCTTTGAAATAATTGGAAGCATCATGTGCTCTGCCAGGGCATTATAGGAGAGGGTGATTTTTCTCAGTATCACAAGAGCCCTCTGAACACAACTCTACTAATAAGTTTATCAACTTAAAAATATTTATTTAGTACCAAAAGACTCAAAGTTTAACCCACTTGAAATGTATACAAGAAGAGCCTCTGATTTTAAAATAAATTACAGTTGCCTCTCAGTATTCATAGGGGATTGATGGGTTCCAGGACCTTCTCAGTTGCCAAAATCTATGAATCCTCAAATCCCTTGTACAAAATGGCATAGTATTTGCATATAATTTATGCACATCCTCCTGTATGCCTTAAATTATTTCTAGATTTGTTATACTACTCAACACAATGTAAGTGCTATGTAAATAGTTGTTATACTGTATTTTAAAATTGTGCATTATTTTGAGTTTTCCCCCAAATATTTTCTTTTCTTTGGAGATGGTCTTGCTCTGTTGCTCAGGCTGGAGTGCAGTGACTTCCTAGGCACAAGTGATCCTCCTGCCTCACCCCTCGCGAGTAGCTGTGGAACTACAGGCATGCACCACCACCACACTCAGCTAGTTTTTTTTTTTTAATTTTATTTTAGTAGAGATGAAGTCTCACTATATTGCCCAGGCTGGTCTCAAACTCCTGAGCTCAATATCCACCCGCCTTAGCCTCCTGAGTAGCTGGGACTACAGGCACATGCCACTACGCCTGGCTAATTTTTTTTTTTTAATGTAGAGATAGGGTCTCACTGTGTTGCCCAGGCTGGTCTCGAACCCCTGGGCTCAAGTGATCCTCCTTCCTTGGCCTCCCTAAATGCAGGGATTACAGGTATGAGCCACTGTACCTGGCCTTTTCCTGAATATTCTTGGTCCGTGGTTGGTTGAATCTGTGGATACAGAACCCTTGGATATGGGGGGCCAGGGGGGCCCATTGCATTTTTTAATCACCTGCCAAAAAATAATATTTTACCCCCTCTACTGGAAATAAATAGAACTTCATTTGTATAGTTCTGCCTAGACAACAGGCATATTTTTGATGATGTTCTTTTACAGTCATTGAGCCTCTCCCCCATTCTATATCTTCTTTCATTTCTGGCCCAGGTTATATTGGCAAGATTGACAGCTGATTTTGAAACCCACTGACTTTACAAGTGTAAATAAAAATGTAGTGGTTAAGACTATAAAAATATAGTGGTGGTGCATGCCCTTAGTCCCACAGCTACTTGCAAGGGGTGAGGAAGGAGGATCACTTGAGCCTAGAAGGTCACTGCACTCCAGCCTGAGCAACAGAGCAAGACCATCTCCAAAGAAAAGAAGTCAGACTAACTGGGGGCTTGAGTGTCAGTTTTATCACTAATTATATATGTGTCTTTGGGCACATTGATATTCGTACCTCAGTTTCCTCACTTATAAATTGGGGCTAATAATAGCTATTTCACAAGATTGTTGAGTTAATAATGATAAAACTTCTACATCAGTCTGGATTAGTAAGCATTCATTAAGCTATTACCGCTGCCACCACTGTCACCATCATTGTCACCATCACTGTCCCACATTGCTACCAGATGACCTTCCTAAAGTGATTAGTTAATATTGATCTCCTCTTTAAAGTTTTCAGGTGGGTTTCTTTTGTTTCCCAGATGTCACTACTCCCAGATGTCACTACTCTTTGCGGCTGCTATTAAGGCCTGTCTTTCCTAATAAATAATTGTCAGAATTCATAGTCAGGTATGGCTGAGGGGAATCTTTCATTATTCTCTCGAATCTCTCCTTGAACGGTCAGCATCATCTTTTGCTCTTTCATGTTATGTGTTGGTTCTTGCTTAACTGTTAGGATGATTGCTGTATCTTTCGTCATTAGTGCAAAATCCAGACTTATTTGTATTTCTGTAAGTGTGGTTATATCTATATTGGTTATTTTACAGATCTGGGTAAATTGAGGAATTTAAGGATGTAATTCTTTAGTTTTGTAAAACTGCTGCTCTTCCCTGGTCAGGTCTAGAAATGGCTTTATTATTTTGGATCTGCGAGGATATATTGTAGAGTTCCCTCTAACTTTCTGGTTGAATGTCACCTTAAAAAATGGGAGATTATTCAAAAGTCGAAACAAGTAAAACCTTCCAAAGCATTGTATTTCATAACAGGAGACCTTTCTTTTTCTTGAGTGTGTATAAATATTTTTTGTCCTTTTTGTGCACTGGCCACATATATTGTTTTGAACGAAAGACTCTTGGGCTTCTCAAGTGCCATTTCTCTTCCACTTGTGGCATGTTCTTTTAGTCTTCTGCCCATTGACTGAGACATGTTAGATTTTGGGTCTCAGTGGCTCTGTTTAGACTCGGTGTTTAAATAGGTTTTGATTCTTTAAAACACATTAATCCTACCAATTGTTAAGGTGTTTTCTGTTTTATAATTTTATTATAACATTAATTTTTAATAAAACATTTACAATATGAACTCATATCTTGCTAAAAATCCTATAAAAAGCATCAGCAGTCCATTTTGCTTCACTCTTTCCCTTAGTACATTCTCTCTCTCTTTCTCTGCCAATTGATGGGTTGATTCTTTTGGTATTTAAGTACCTATTTTGACATGTTTCTAAATTGCTGTCTCCTCATTAATCTTATTCCTTTTATGGAAAATCTGAGTTTTTAATTCAAGAAATTTTACATGCAAGAAATTTCACTTCTTTCAGTTAATGTAGAGAAGTAGATTGTAAATTTTCTTTAAGTCAGAATTAACTTGGCAAATTTCTCCTTAGGATTGGAACACTAAACATATATGTCAGGACATTATACAATTATATAATTAAAGCACTGATGTTGGTGAAACTTGTTTCTTTTACTTTCTTCATTATGTTGGGTATTATAATGTTTGCATGTTTTGTGGATCTTTTCCCAGTTTCTCAAAGTGAATACTAAGTTTAGCTTTGTACTTGGTTTCTCTCTTCTCCTTGTACCTCTTCTTTTTTGTTTAAAAAACAAACGCAATAAAGGCTATGAATTTTCCCTGGAGCATGTTTTTCTGTGCCTCCAGAGTTTTTTTTATATGAAGTGCTATTTTCATTGTTTTCTTTTGATTTATTTGTCTTTAATTTATTTATTTTATTTATTTATTTGAGACAGAGTCTTGCTCTATTGCCCAGGCTGGAGTGCAGTGGCGCAATCTTGGCTCACTGAAACCTCCACCTCCCAGGTTTAAGTGATTTTCCTGCCTCAGCCTCCCAAATAGCTTGGATTACAGGCCCTCGCCACCTGGCCCGGCTAATTTTTGTATTTTTAGTAGAGACAGGGTTTCACCATGTTGGCTAAGCTGGTCTTGAACTCCTGACCTCAAGTGATCCACCTGCCTCAGCCTCCCAAAGTGCTGGGATTACAGGTGTGAGCCACTGTGCCTGGCCTAATTTTCTAATTTTCTTGGAGTAGGGTAGCCAATGTAATCTATACAAACATTTTAAAAGGGGTGTTTTAAAGCTTATGTTACCTTATGATTGATTTTTATCAGTGTTCTATGGATACATATAAAACTTCTGAACTTTATTCAAGGATAGCATTAGGAGATACACCTAATGTAAATGACAAGTTAATGGGTGCAGCACACCAACATGGCGCATGTATACATATGTAACAAACCTGCGCGTTGTGCACATGTACCCTAGAACTTCAAGTATAAAAAAAAACGAGATAGAAAAATTCTACGTATAATTATTAAATGAGCGTGTGGGTTGTTTTGGTCAATTATACTGTGTCTGTACTCATTGTGTTTTATGAGGTCTGTCAATTTATGACAAAGATATATTGATTTCTCATTTAACTAAGTATTTTTAAATCTTCTTATTAAATACCTTTTGCTTTATATAATTTAGATTTTTACATTTTTTATCCTATTTGGTACTCTCAACGTTGAATTCCACATGATCTGATATTAATCTAGCACTCATACTTTCTTTTGGGGGCATTTAGCTGATATTTCTTTGCCCATTCCATTATTTTAAACTTTTTTCAATCAATTGATTTAAAGTATTTCTTGTAACAGCCTTTATCTGATCTTTGTCTTTTTAGCCCAGTCTGACAGTTTATTTTCCAGAGGGAGAATTCAGTTCTTCCATTTTTATTCTAAGTTATACTTGATCTTATTACTGTCTTTTCACCTTGTTCATTATTCATATTTGTGACTTTTTTCACTTTTCTTAATTTTGCCTATATTTTCAAGTTGATATTCATTTTCCATTTTCCCTTTATGTGACAGTTCTGCACTTTTCCATTTAATAAATGACCACCTTCCTTTCTAATTGCTCATAATCCAATTTTTATTCCACTTTAACATAAAAAAAGATACCAGCACTTTCTTTCACCTTGACACCCTAATCCTCTTTCATTCCTAAATTTCTGTGGAAATAATTTAGTTGTTTAGGTCCAGATTGTTAGACTTTTCTGTGTCAGGAATTCATGTTGAGGACTTATATTACAGTTTTTTTTTCATTTAGATTTAAATCTGTATATTGTGCAAGATACATTTTACCCCTCATTTCTTCCCTTCCCACACATAAAACGTTTCTGGTTCAGTTATTGTTTGACTAGACTCTTTTCTCAAGTCCTTTCCTTTGGCGGGGACAGTGGTTGATGTGCTATTTGAATTCTTAAATTTTGGCAAATACTTCTTTCGCAACAGACTGTGTGTGTGGGATATTTGGGTTCTACTTCTTTTTCTCCCAGCTGTCTGGATGTTACTGTTCTTTCTTCTAGATTTCAGTATTACAAATGAGAAGCACAATGTGAGTTTAATTATTATTCAATTTTAAGTAATTATTCTTTCTGGATACTTGTCAGGTTTTTTTTTTTCTTTCCCTTTTTTTTTAAGTATAGTGAGCTCTGTGAGATTGTAATTCAGCCCTCTCTTTAGTTTATGAAAATTTTTTTCCATATTACTTTAATTATTACCTCTTCTGTCTTTTCTCTTTCTTCCTTCTGGAACTCTTCTTATGGCTGTATGTTAGGTTTCCTTGATCCATTCAAGGCTCTTCTCTTTTCCCATTATGACTTTCATCGCTTTGTATTTTTACTTTGTGCTTTGAAATTTCATTCATTTGATCTTTTATACTGCCAGTTAGCATCGATCTTCTACTTTATCTACTGAATTATTCAGCTTGAGAATATAAATATTTAAATTTTAGTTTTTAATTAAACATTTTTTTCCAGAAGTTATTTTTTATACTTCACTTGATTCTCCTTAAGTAGTCATACTGCTTTTGACCTCAATATTTCATCTTTCTCCTCCAGAAAATCTGTTAGATCTGCTTCCTCCTATTTCCTCCCACCCTTAAGTATGTCACTTATATGTGCATTGGGATTGAGGTTGAGCTGTTAGGGGACTTTAGGCTGTTGTAATTCTATAAGTGATGAAAGGTACAGGCATCTCAACCTGCACAGTAGCAGCAAGCATATTATCTATTTCTTGTTTATACACCTAGAGGATTCTGTGCCTTCCTTCTGATCTCCTTACATTCTGCAGCCCTAAGAGCAGACTCTCCTCCTGTATCAAGTGCCTTCTGAGTGCTGGGAAGGCTGGCCATACCTGTGTGCGTGAAACTCTCCTGGAAGCTGGGTATGGTGGCACGTGCACCTGTCGTCCCAGTTTGTTGGGAGTCCAAGGCAGGAGGATCACTTGAGCCCAGGAATTCCAGGCTGTAGCATGTAGTGATCATGCCTGTGAATAGCCACTGCATTCCAGCCTGGGCAACACAGCAAGACCCCATCTCTAAAAAAAACAAATAAACTCTTTTGGGTCAAGCAGAGCAAATCCTGCACCAATTATTTTTCTCAAGACGCCCGTTAGCTCGTGGCCACATTCTTCAGGCCACTGCCTGCTGCCCCCAGAGCTAACTAGTTCAAGAGACGTAAATGGGGTTAGATTTGGGATTGAAGTGGGAAAAGTAAATCAAATTCAAGGCCTCCCCTGACCCCAGAATTCTGAATTTTAATACTCCATTCGTAGTTTCAGTTAGCAGTAATTGTGCCTCGCATAAACCTCATTGGCTATGATCCTGCCACTGCACAAAGCTATTTGTAGTTTCAGATGGCTTGTCATCCCTCTGTGTTATTCATTGTGTGTTTATTGACATTTTAGAGGAGACTTGTATTTTGGAACCTTACCTTTGACTGTCACGGTTTTTCCTACCCCTACATATGCATAACCTCTTGGACCACACTACAATTTTTAGGAAGTGTCCTTGTAAAAATGCAGTTTGAACAAATAAACTTCTAGGAGAGTTTGTTGGTTTTGATAAGTAAAACTCTTCTGGGAGAGTTTATTTGTCTATATGCAAATTTCATTGAACAAAATATGATTGATCTGAAAATCTTTCACAAGACAGAAGCCAGTTAAAGTAGAACAGAGACCAAAAATAAGAGGGATAGCCAGCGGGAAGAAACGGAAGCCAAGAATCAGCTATGAGTTGTCAGTGGTTCTTAAAAGTAGACTTGGAGATAACATGGAAACTGAAAGCCACATATAATCAGAAAACCTTATTCTGGCCAGTAGTTCTGATTTTTTTCTTAAGTCCTCCACTTGAGTTGCTGACAAGTAGTATTAGAAGAGATTAAACATTAAAGATACCCATTCTGTTCCAAAAAATTAAAACAAGGAAGCATTCAGTGCAATCTGAATAGATGAGAGAAAATATTGTATCCTATAGTCACAGGTTGTAAAGTTAGTGCAAATATATGTATATTTATGTTTAAACAATCATTTGCCTTAAATATTTGAGATTTGAATTATGCACACGTGCTCTCTGTGTTAGATTGCTTGATATTCAGTTTGTCCTAATCAGCCTCAGGCGAAGAGAATTTGAATTATACATGTGTAAACTTTACATTGAATGCTAATTAGTCTGTGCTGCTCAGTGGTACTTAACGTTGAGGTTAATGGTTAATTGAAAAATTTAAAAAGCCAGTGACAAGACCCCCATGTATATTATATATATATATCAGATATACATATTTATATATAATATATATATTTTTATATAATATATGTAAATATCAGATAGGCTGAAAATCAGCGAAAGCTTTTAATCTGTGTCAGTGACAGTTTAATGTCTGGCTGTGTATCTGAGCCACTGTTTTACATTTATTACATGTACAAACATGGAGACTGGTGACAAGACCCCCATATATATATAATATATAATATATATATATAAATATCAGATAGGCTGAAAATCAGTGAAAGCTTTTATTCTGTGTCAGTGACAATTTAATGTCTGGCTGTGTATCTGAGCTACTGTTTTACATTTATTACATGTACAAACATGGAGACTGGTGACAAGACCCCCATATGTATATAAGTATCAGATAGATAGGCTGAAAATCGGTGAAAGCTTTTATTCTGTGTCAGTGACAATTTAATGTCTGGCTGTGTATCTGAGCCACTGTTTTACATGTATTACATGAACAAACATGGAGACTGGTGACAATATATTTGAACTTTGACATTGGTCATGGGCCCAGGACAAAGAAAATGCTGCCTTAAAAACTGCTCTCTCTCCTTTTATTTTTTAAATTTTATTTAAGACATTGTTATGGAATGTGTTTGTCCTCTTTTGTTCTCTTAGCTTAAAGATTTTTGAGGTGGTAATTACAAAAAAGGAAAGAACAAGAATGTCTGGGTCACTTGCTTGTACCAAGATTTATTGAGTGGATAAAAAGGTAACAGTAGACATTCAATACCCAGACCAACATGAGAAGTAAAACATTATAAAAAGACATATTTCTAGAGTTTTGTACCTAGCATTATATGCATGTAATTAAAAAAGGAACTTAACTTTTTTATGACACAAGAAGCTGTGTCAGATACCAATGTGTACCCTGAATTAAAGAATTCCAGTTTGTTCTAAAGAAGGATTTTAAAAATATATCATGGAAGGATCTATACAGAAGTTTTATTTTCCTTCCTGGTGCTGGAGTGTTGCTGTTTTTTAATACTTAACATTAGAAATATGTTGGTAGGTTAAAAATTGTATGCTTTTAAAACTTATTTACAAAATATGTGTATAATACTTCATATAGGTTGAATATTAAACAGTGATACTTGAGTATTCTAGAGCCATAATTAGAATACTGATTGCAAATTTTCAAAAATCAGTAAGTCAACAAGCCTATTGAAAAAAACTCAAGGATATTAGATTTCAAAATGTTGTTCCTTAATTTGGTTTGTCCATTATACTTTATTTTAATTATTCATAGTATTGCTTAACATGACAGGAAATGTAATAGAATTTATAAAATAATGAAATTTTAGTAATATGAATCCTATCTTTAGAATTTTCCTTTTAAATCTCAGATTATGATGTTTTCTAAGGAATTATCTAATTTAGTGCATAAAAACAAGTCTTTGCTTAGTAACTTCATTCAGTTTAGAATTTTGAAACCACTCCAGAAAATAAATGGAATAATTTTGTTATATGTCATTTTGTTGTTGAGCAAATGAGACAAAAAAAAATTTATTAAGAAACCAAAAAATATATTTCTACTAATATAGAACAATAAGTTTTCATTTGGATATTACTTTGTGATGCTTATACATGTACCTATATATATATTTTTTGTTGTTTTGTTTTTGCATATACCCAATAAGTAGATTGTTCATTTTAGTGAAAAGCATAGCCCCTGCTTGCTTACTGTCCTGTGTCATGCTAGATATTTAAGGAATATAGGATTGGTTTACATATCATTGGCTTAAATGGGTGAGTTAGGGTGAAAGATAATAAGCAAGCCTGAAGATGTAAATTCTAGTTGAAAATCTGGACATTTATTTGTCTTTGGTTCCATTAGGAAGTGGAAGTAAGCAAGAAAGAGCTCTTCTTTTAGTATTGATGTGGATTTTTGCATGTCCAGGATCTTCTCTGTTTCTTATTCTTACTATTAATGGTAGAGGTTCACAAATATGGTAAGTATGGACTTAGATTTTGTTCCTAAACAGAAAGATTATATATAGGTTATATATTCTGATATGTTTATATGAGTGGAAAAATTGATCATATTTAAAATGAAATAGGCAGCAATTACGTCTTTTCTCATGATCAAAATACAGTAATTGCTAAAGACTTTCTAGTCCATTTGATGGTTAGGTGAAATCTTTGTTCTATTAACTTCCTTTTATTTTTCCTAGTGGGTGAGAGATACAGTTCTTAACTGATGAAATTTTATACAGCATAAAAATAATTGCTTTTTATCTCAAATTGAGAATTACTTTATTTCTTTTGGGGGGGTTTTATGATTCCTTATATTGCAAAGCCATTTGAAATTTAATGTAATCTGACCTTACTATGTGAAGCTGGGCTATTTTTCTGCCTCCTTCTCAATCTTGTTCTATAGCTGGGTGTTCCCCAAATACAATCTGTGCTTTGCTCCCTGTTGTTTTAGTTTATTCTGGTCCTTGGTCTCTTAAGTACCTTTCCATTCTTTTCATTCTAGTAACTACCTGTTTATCCTCCAGGACCTAATTCAGATGTTACTTCTTTATGAATTTTTGAATTATTCTTCGCCCCATGCTCCCAACAGAATTAATAGTTCCCGTCTTTTGGTTGTCAACATCTATCAATCATAGATACGTCATAGTTATTAAGGGTGGGGTCCATGTGTTATTCATCCTTGTATCTTCTAGGACAAGCAGTAGTTAACATTTGTTGAATTGAAATGTTTTAAAACTCCATGCTTCAGATGATTAAGAAAACAGCTTTCCTCATTAAATTATTTGATAATAACCTACTCTCACCTGTTTCTCACATACACTATTCTCACCTGTTATATTGTGGTTTTTGGTTTATATTAAAATATTTTTGGTATTTTAATGATAGCTTGAGAGGAATCAAAGAAGGATCATTTTATGTAGATCTCTTTTGACTCTTCATTGCTATTTAGTTTTGGGAGTTTCATTTTCTTCTCCCCTTTTTGCAGGACCCTAATAGGAGTATTCATACCAGCAGCAGCAGCAGCAGCAGCAGTAGCAGCAGCAGCAGCAGCAGCAGCAGCAGCAGTAGCAGCAGCAGCAGCAGCAGCAGCAGCAGCAGTAGCAGCAGCAGTAGCAGCAGCAGCAGCAGCAGTAGTACCAGTTTTTCAAAGCCTCACAAATTAATGAAGGAGCACAAGGAAAAACCTTCTAAAGACTCCAGAGAACATAAAAGTGCCTTCAAAGAACCTTCCAGGGATCACAACAAATCTTCCAAAGAATCCTCTAAGAAACCCAAAGAAAATAAACCACTGAAAGAAGAGAAAATAGTTCCTAAGATGGCCTTCAAGGAACCTAAACCCATGTCAAAAGAGCCAAAACCAGATAGTAACTTACTCACCATCACCAGTGGACAAGATAAGAAGGCTCCTAGTAAAAGGCCGCCCATTTCAGATTCTGAAGAACTCTCAGCCAAAAAAAGGAAAAAGAGTAGCTCAGAGGCTTTATTTAAAAGTTTTTCTAGCGCACCACCACTGATACTCACTTGTTCTGCTGACAAAAAACAGATAAAAGATAAATCTCATGTCAAGATGGGAAAGGTCAAAATTGAAAGTGAGACATCAGAGAAGAAGAAATCAACGTTACCGCCATTTGATGATATTGTGGATCCCAATGATTCAGATGTGGAGGAGAATATATCCTCTAAATCTGATGTGAGTAGTTCTTACTGGCTTTCTTCCTTTCCCTTATTTTCAGATTTTATTTTGGATAGCTTTGTAATAAAGAATGAGGGAAGAAAATGAATGCTGAGCCATAAAATGGTAGCACAGAGGTAGATCTGGCCTAGAAATGCATTTCCTTAACTAATGAGAAGGAAGAAATGAAGTCATTAAGGAATCTGCAGAATTTTAGGCTGTTATTTAAGTTGTTAAAGGAAAGATATTTCCATAGCATTATAATGGGTCATTTGAATAGCAGCAGAAAATTTTGTTGCTCATCAAAGCTTGGTATCTATGCTTTCCAATGAGTGATGACTTAGGAAAGTGAGAAGAATATAATAAAACTTGAATACAAGGGAAAATAAATTTAAAAGAGAAACTTAGAAAATATTAGGGCTATAATGTTGATGTTTTGATCATTGGAATGAAGTAACATGTTTATGTTGATAGAAGGCTGGTGATAGTATTTTTTTAACCAGTTTTATTGAGGCAAAATGATGTAACAATATACTACACATATGTAAAATGTATAATTTGATAAATTTTAACATTTGTGTATACCTGTAAAACCAGGCAGTAGCATTTTGAAAGAGAATATTTAATATTTTTCTTCATTGTTTAGCCACTGATTTGGAAGGGGTGGGGTATGTGATCTTCATTCACTACAAGTTTTTGCTAATGGGTAGGATTATCCTTTGTGGATGCCTAAGAGAGCATCTGACCATCTAATTCCCCTAAAAGGTGTTTTTTGATATTGGGGTTTAAACTTATAATTACAGATTTTCAGCAGTGGAAGGGATTTTCAGATTATCTATTTTAACCTCTGTAGTAAACCTTACACTTCTAGTGACAGGGTTGTTACTAATTCAAAAGTATTTGATAACGTTTTTGAAGAATAAACATTACTTTGAAGTTATCTCCTTACTTCACTATTTTTTCTAATTTTGGCCTTTTTTCAGTTACTTATTAGTAATGATCAGTCCCAATAATCTCCTTACATTGGCTTGACCGTATTTCTAGGCAATGGTCAAGGAAGCTATCTGGCTAAAAATAACTGGCAATCTTAGAACACTTTTCTTTCTGTCCCTTGGGCTGCCCACAGATGTCTCTAGTTTAAATGCTGGCAAAGGCTAGGAGGGCATAGTAGCAGATTTGCTGTGCCGGGTTTGTACTGTTCTGGGTAGAAAGCCAGTCAGGGTCAGGACATGGTGCTGACACTGATCCCCAGTGGTCCACAGATCTCCCTACTCTCTATAGCTAATCTCGAAATTTTGGTAGAAGATCAGATTAGGACAGTAGCATATAAAATACTGGACATTGGGAAAATTTGTTCCAGTATTTGGTAAAGGCTTTATAGTCATAATTTATGAAATGGAGATGAGAGTTGAATGTGTTTGTTCCAATAACTCAAGTATTTATTTTTCCTTCTTTGCTTCTTACCTTTCCTCTTAACTTGAAGCTTATTCTTAATGCAGATGTTACTTGGACCTTTTTTGTGTGTGTTTGACTTTTGTTTCCAATCACCCTGAAATGCTGTTGGGTTGTGATTATTCAATCAAAATTGTCAAATTTTGCAACTTTGCCATTTTATATTCTAACACATTGCAATTCTTCTAGTATAGAGGTTTTCAAATCATGGGTTGTGATTCACTAGTGAGCTGTGAAATAAATTTAACGTATCACTAGCATTAAAAAAATCAGAAAACTATAATTAGTATGGGTAAGTAATGGCTTATGAAAATTTTATTTCAGAGAAGGTGTGTGTGTTTCTTATAGTGGTCAAAATTTTGAAAGGCACCTTTTTAGAATGTTTGCCGATTTATGAGAAGACCAAATGGCGTTCATAAAGCATCATTGAAAGCTCTTTCTACATGAAACACAGATGGTCTTCCTCTTTAGGTAATTTTGTTTATTCTCCTTTTGTCTGCCTCTTGCTCCCTCCCATTTATATATGATTTATAAAGTATGTCTTCCTTTTAATAAAATTCTTGTTCAATTTGATGTATTTATTCAAAGTATACCTTGAAAAGTCTTCTGGAATGAAGAGTTAGAATTGGAAAACTTTACAGTAGGTAGTAAATTTTCAAAATGGTATATGACATATTAGAGCCACAAATCCAATGATTACAATAGTAGTTTTTGTAATGTACTCTGCATAGCATTGCTGAGAAAGCCTGTAAAGACTTTCAGGTACTATTTGTGTATAAAACCCAACAGCCGTACTTTCCTTATTAGTCTTCTGGTACTAGTAATGGCTTTATTGTTGTTGCTATTGGTTCAATACTTGAAAAGTAGGTAGCGTAACAGAAGAGAATTAACAAAAGTGATGTCATGTAAACCATGAACCCAAAGGCCTTTCTATGAGCAAAGGAAGGTGAGAGAGAATTGAAATTCCATTTATCCAGTAGAAAAGACAGGCTTTGTTTGGACTGTCTCCTACCTGTCCTACCTGGCATCCCTCCTGCCAGCAAGACAAAAGGAACAGGGGACACTTGTAATGGAGAACACTAAGCTATGGACTGCTATGGACTGCTAGTGCTCTCCGTTACAAGTATCCCCTGTTACCTTGGCTAGTAATTGACTTGGTGGCTTGGGGCAGGCCCAACTTCAGGGGTGACTGTGCACATTGTCCTAGTTGTGTGTCTGCCTCTGAGTAAGTGTGATTAGATGACCTGATCTCTCTAAGGTCCTTTCCAGCTTTATTAGTTGAATATGAGCCAGATTCGTATTCATTTGTGGGACATGGGGTGATGGGTGATTTTAGACATAATGGGCAGAGATCATGGACTTTGGAAACAGAAAAAAGACACAAATAAATCAGAAGAATTTGAAGTATAAGGAAGGCTGGGGAAAATGATTATTTGTCTAGTATGTCTATAAAGAAAACATCTCGCCTCAGTATAGGTCTTATAGTTTAAAAAGATGAACATTTTAAAGAACCTTTTCTAGAATCAAATTCTACTCAGGTTTTATATAAAAATGTCAGTAGTATTAAGATGGGTTAGGAAGCTTAGATTATTAATTGATATGGTCCTTTTTGGTAGGATTTTCATATCCTTTGTATGTGAGAAGAGAGAAAGAAGTTGGACATCCATGGTTTGTATGTCTGGCTGGTGTTTGAGGGATCGATCACTTATTTGTTGATAAGTGAAAGGTAGGTAGATAGGTAATTAGAATTCTGCTGTCTGGTGTCAGACAGGCTGTGTCTTAAATTTCAGTGCCACTAGGGATCTTGGGCAAATAATTTAACTTTCTCTGTTTCTTAGTTTCCTCTTTTATAAAATGGAGATCATAATAGTATCTTCTTTGTAGGATTATTGTTGAAAATTTAATAAATCAATGTGGGTGAAACGTTAACACACTAATAAAAAAAATGTAAGTTAGCTATTGCTATGTATGACTTGACTTCTGGGTACCTATATAACCTGTAGCTTTGAAAGAGATTTTTTCTCTTTCAAACTCAAGATTTTTTCTCTTGCAGAACTCTGGTGTCCTTTTTCAAGGTTGTGGGTTTATATGCTGCAATATTTGGTACTCTAAGCCACTTTGTTTTGAGTTTTGTCTTTTGTCACTTTGCTCTGAATTTTGTCGTCACAAGGTGTATGGTCTTGATGTTGATATGGTTCTGCTACATGATCAATGTAAAAATACAAGATAAAAAGTCTTAAGTTTTAAGCTGAAAGATAAGCCAAAGTGTCTCAGATCTTTCAGCTTTTTAATTAAATGAGATAAAGGACAAGAACATACCAAGTACTGCACTGGGTAGGCACTTGGTAGATTTTTGTTTTTTCATTTTTGTTTTCTGCTGTTGCTGTTAAAATATCCTAAGAAATGATTTATCTTTGAGTTACTGTTAATATAACTGAAAGAATAATTTTTAAATACATTTTGTGATTATTGAAATGTTTCTCATAAAGAGATGTAATACTGTCACATGAAAGTTTGTCAACAAATTTCCCCTACAGAAGAATTTGGTAGGGGCTTGGATAAGGTAGACAGGCAGAAGGACTGTGTTATAGTGGGTGAGCATTTAGCAAATACAGAAAGCATGATAGGGGAATGTTTTTGTTAAGAATATTTTACATTCAAGAACTGAGGCTATTCCCATTAGAGTACAGTGGTTCCTGGTTTAGGAGTTCATCTCTTTGGGGTACATGATATTCCACTGTACTTACTGTTTAGTAGGTAAGTGACTGGTGACTGACACTAACAGCTGCAAAGGGAGTGTATCAGTGTCAACTAAAGGTTTATAATTGTATTTTTTATTAACCTGCTTAAACTTTAATTGATAATAGGGAAAAAACCAAATATCTTTCACCTCTTCTGTAATTCCTGTTTTTGTTTTTCATATAATTTTGCTCCTGAAGAGAAGTGTATAGAGTTGATCTTGTCTTCTGATATGAAGAAGTTTGGTATTCACAGCAGAGGAGGAAAAAAACAGTAAATGAAAATTGAGATAACCACGTATGATCAGATTCAGTTATGGTGGTAGTTTTCTTATCATTGCCTTCCTCTTTCTTGCCTTACTTTGAGGATTTAATCATAATTTTAAAGTGAAGAAGTAAAAAGTTTTAATGATCTTTCCCTGAAAATGGACAAATTACATTTGGCAAAATGTTACATCCTTCAGCCTGCAGCATGAGAAGAGAGATTTCAGTCATGTCTTTTGATAGTTGGAGCTTACCAAGGGGTTTTCTTGGAGAAAACCTTCTTGAAGGAGAAAAACAAAATCTCATCAGTTGGCAGCATTTTTCCCAAGGGTGGATGGTGATTCCGATGCAGGATAAATGCTTTAAATCACCTTACCAGAAATTTCTTTCAAAAAGAAAGAAGGAAAAAAAAAACTTCCCTTCTTTTGTTGTTTCTCATTTCCTCCCGCCCCACCCTGTTCATTGCCCTGCTTAAACTGTCTGGAGCTGGTAGTAAACGTCCTGCTGTTGAAGCATTGGCCTTAGGTTTTTATGTGATGGAAGGTTGTTGCAGTCAGAGAAGAAGGTCTTTATTGTGTTTTCAAAGTGGCTTTTTAATGACTTGTAATTCCAGCACATGCAAGAGCTGTAAAGTCTGTAAGTATGGTGAGGGAGCAGCTGGAGAGGCCATTCATTAAAGGGCTGCCCTGGCTCTCCAGGGGGCAGGTTCTCATCGGAGGCTCCTGTTTTCTGTGTTTTATAACTGGAGGTAAAAATACCTGAACGGTTACAGTTCTTCCTCTGGTAAATTCTGCTCAATGTGGAACATTAATTGAAATTACCAGACAAAAGTTAACTTTGTTGGGTGCATGGAGATGTTTCACCTGTCCCTATTTTCTAACGCATTTTTTTTTTCTGTGTTGGGTGTGATCACACTGAGGAGGAGGCAGCCTTGCCAACCAGCTGTTCATTTATTCATCCATATTCCTGGTTTATTTGAAAAAAGCAGTTAAAAAGGAGATTAAAAAAAAAAACAGTTGGAGGCCTTTTTGTTTCCGTGTTTCAGTACATACTAGGGCCAGTGTGGTATCTCAGTTCTTAAATTAAGGAATTCCTTAGAAGCCCTTGGGTAGCAGAAGGTTGTGAATACACAGGGGCTCTATCTTTGCAAAGCTGGTTGTCATCAACAATTGGCAAAACTCAGCATTTCCACTGACATGTATTGAGCCAGAATCTCTCTTCCAATAAATTCTGTGAGCCTTCTTTAAGAGAGCTACATCACCTATTCAATGCATTATTGTTTCTTGCTTTATGACCTATGCATTTGATGGAATTATCCCATTTGTCATCTTTAGACATAAAGCCAACAATGGGACTCAACATGGGCTTTGCAAGACTAGCATTACCATACCACAGAGATGCCTTATAGCCATAGCTAAACTTGAGTGTTTAGTCTGTTAGTCACCCTTCTATGTACTTAACATGATTTAACTCATTCACCCCTCGAGACAGCTCTGTGAAATAGGTATTATTATTATTATTGCCATTTTATGGATGAAAAAGCTGAGGCTCCAAGATGAAGAATCTTCCCCAAGGTTGCCATCTTTAGAAGTGATGGAGCTAGGATTTGAACCCACTTGATAGGTAGTGTACCTACCTAAGAGGAGGTTGGTGGTAAAACAAATCTTATTCTTCCTTGGATTCATACTAAAATTGTAGAGGTGTGCTACATGAAGTTGGCAGTGCTGCTGGGAAAGCCTTGAATATCTCATGTTGTCCCCCATATGAATCCTGTTTCTTTGACCTATTGGTTTGGGCTTTACCAGTGGCCTTCAGGAGGTGACAGGTTGTCCTCATAGGTGGATTTGGCATGCAGAGCCAGGATTGAGGGAAGAGCTGTGAAACATCCAGGAGCCTCTAGCTTCTTACACATCCTCACTTAAAATAAAACTGACTCTCTTGGGTCTAGATTGCACCTTATTATACTATATCATCAGGATTATTTTTCTGTTTCCAGAGTTTTTCCCATGTGCTTTTGCAAGAGAATTTATGTTTCACAGAGCTGAGCTGCAATATCAACCTTTCCCAGAAGATGCCACCAAATAACAAATGGTGTCCTCCAGTTTGGAGACTCCTTTCTGAATTTCCTAGTTACATTTTGTAAATTCATGTTATAACCTCTCTAAGTTATTCAAAATGTAGGCTGTGCTTTCTTTGAATTAGGAGACAAGATAATGCAATGGTAGGAGTAGACAGAGGGTTGTTTTCTTTTGGTGTCTATGTAATTATTTAACCAAGTTTGAGAAATTGTTCTCAGAGGGTTACAATTTATGACTGTAAACTTTGCAAGCAGTGTCAAGGTCCACAAGGAAAAATCACCCCTAAGCAGCTTCCTTAGGTCACCAAAGGTGATTGTGCAGTGATATATTCCCAGATAAAGTCAAAGATCCTGCTATTAAGCAGGATAATATGGAGAAGCATTTACTAAAATGTTTGAAGACAACACTTTTATCTTTGAATTCTGAAAATATAGAGGTTAGGGATGTGGGAGTACAGGGATAGGAAGAAATATTCAGAATCTGTGACACAGAAAAGGTAATTTTCTTGCCTTTCACGGTCATAGAAGGAAAATACATATATGGGTCCCTCAGGTATTACTTTAAATAAATAGAGAAAGAAAGAAATTACTAGAGTGGCCCTGGTTTGAGACCTCAGTGCTTAGAATCACGGTACTGGTTTTTAAACAATAAATTGCTGACCTTTGCTTTATTATGTGACACTCCTATTTTTTTAAGTATGATAAACTATCATGTCACTTTAAGTTATTAAAAACATTTTCTTCTAGATGTGTTTAATGGTTTGTAATATTCTTTCATTACTCTAATAATGTTCAGTAACGCTTAAAAATATGTATGTGGTAGGTACTTCCTATGTACGGTCACTGCATGAGGTGGTCCAGATAGTACAAAGTTAGAATTTGAGCTGGTCTTTGAAGGAAAGAGGCATGAATTAGTAGAGATGAGGGTGTGGGGTCAGTGGGAGAAGACTTTCTATTTATTTTTGAGACAGGGTCTCGCTATATGGCCCAGACTGGTCTCAAGCTCCTGGGCTCTAGTGATCCTCCTGCCTCAGCCTCCCAAGAAGCTGCTGGGGGTACAGGAGAAGGCTTTTTTTTCTTTTTTTCTTTTTTGTTTTAGGTGGAGTCTCACTCTGTTATCCAGGCTGGAGTGTAGTGGTGCAATCTCGGCTCACTGCAGCCTCTGCCTCCTAGGTTCAAGCGATTCTGCTGCCTCAGCCTCCCGAGAAGCTGGAATCACAGGCGCATACCACCATGCCCTGCTAATTTTTGTACTTTTAGTAGAGGCGGGATTTCACCATGTTGGCCAGGCTGGTCTCAAACTCCTGACATCAGGTGATCCACCCTCCTTGGCCTCCCAACGTGCTGGGATTACAGACATGAGCCACCACACCCGGCCAGAAGGCATTCTTGATAAGAGGAAACAACTTGGAAAAAAACACAAACAATTGATGACAAATTGTGTAAATAGTTTGTGTTATCCTCTCTGAGAATGAAGAAGAATCTCATAAATAAATTCCTGCAGTTAATTTATCAAACTGGTTTACTGGGAATGAAAGAAACCTTATTGAACTCTACTCCCTCCATGGTAGACCTGTGTGGGACTCTTTTATTTTATATCTTCTTACTTAATCTATACAATAGGTAAGATAGCTTTTGTTCTCATCTTACAGGTGGAAGTGACAGAGCAAGAATTCGAATCCAGGTCTGAATAATGCCAAAATTCATGCTTCTTGTATTGTACCACTGATGATTAAACCTTGTTCAGAGGGAAGTCATGTCGAATTAAAACCACTGTGATATTGACTAAACACTTTTGAGAAAATAAAATTTAGTACTGTTAACCTTCCCATCATCTGACATCCTCTGACCATCTGGTAGTGGTGCCACATTCTGGTGAAAAGGGAAGAGTAAGAAATAAAATGTAGCCACAGTACTTGGAAACTTGGGTGTGAGTAATGGACTCTGGCATGATTTCTAAAATGCTGATTGAGTCTTGCTTTATGTAACCTAATATCATTTTCTGAGAAGCAGAATTGCAGAAAGTACTGAAAAGCTGTGGTACCTTAGAGTCTATCTGAGGGAACTTTTCCCTAATGTTATTAGGTTGTTTCATATATCTCATTTCTAGGGCCAAGGACATGGCCAGTGTTACTACGAGGGCTCCAACCTATTGTATTGATATTATATTGTATTATCTAAAGGTTGCACTCATGCATCTCCGGGTGGATTATGTCAGAAAAAAATTATAATAAAATAAATAAAGGTTGCGCTCATGGAGGATCTGAGGAAGGAAGGTAGGGCTTCCTTCCTTCCTCAGGAACATAGCCATACCTGGCCAGTCAATTATCTTTGTGGGCTCAGGAGGAGTGGTCCAGGAAGTGTGGTACAAGAGTCTACACTTGGAATAAAAAGACTAGACAGGCTGGGCACAGTGGCTGAAGCCTATAATCCCAGTGCTTTGGGAGGCCAAGGTAGGAGGATTGCTTGAAGCCAGGAGTTCAAGACCGGCCTGGGCAACATAGTGAGATCATGTCTCCACAAAAATATTTAAAAATTATCTGGGCGTGGTAGTGCACGCCTGTACTCCTAGCCACTTGAGACGCTGAGGCAGAAGGACTGCTTGAACTCAGGAGCTCTAGGCTGCAGTGAGCTATGATCACATCACTGCACTCCAGCATAAGCAATGTAGTGAGACCGTTTCAAAATCAAAAACTAAAACTAAACAGGTTTAGCTTTGTAGTAGAGAGCCGTAAAATGTGGATTTAATAATTAGTAATGCTCACCTTATTATAGATGCAAATTGCCATTCAGGTATTAGTTCAAGCAAAATATTAATGATGTCATAGATGAAGACAGCTTTTGTTAGGTAATTTTATCAATTGCATTATGTGAAGACCTGATGTTGGCAGGGGTTCTTGTAAAGATTGGGAGGCAAAACTGCAGTCTAGGAACCTAGTGATTTATAATCCATGATCACAGAATGTGTTTTTATTCTTGCATATATTTCTAAAACGTCATTTCCTATTTGGCCTAACGCTTCATTTTATTGGGAATAAAAGCAGAATCTTTCTCAAAGTCCACCTTAGTTTAAAATGTTTAGTATCTGACTGGGCGCGGTGGTTCACACCTGTAGTCCCGGCACTTTGGGAGGCCAAGGTGAGTGGATAACTTGAGTCTAGGAGTTCAAGACCAGTCTGGGCAACATGGAGAAATCTCATCTCTACAAAAAAATACAAAAATTAGCTGGGTGTGATGGTTCTCACCTGTAGTCCCAAGCTACTTGGGAGGCTGAGGTGGGACAATCATCTGAGCCCAGTAAGTTGAGGCTGCAGTGAGCCATGATTGTGCTACTGTACTCCAGCCTGGGCAATGTGAGTGAGACACTGTTTCTGAAAAACAAAAAAAAGTTTAGTATCTGATCAATTCTACTCAAGATAACCTAATTTCTAGGGCATTTTTAGTAATATAAAGTATTCACTCTATTTTCACGTGTCCTAGTTCACATTATTTTGCAGCGTTATTTTAATTTAAAGTGAGCCTCAGACTTGTTGATCTTGTGGTGGGTTATTTTAAAGTGCTAAGTTATCTGATGATCTTAGTTAAGAATCAGACAGGGCTAGCACATTTACTGTTGTTTACCAAGCCTCCTGTCATTGTCTATCAACTTTCAGAGACTTGTAACAAGTCACTTCCTCCCCTTTAAAGATAAGTCATGCATAGTCCTCTGTGTTTTGTATAATAAACCAATAAGCCTAATAGTTTACCTCCTCCAAAAAACAAGATTTGAAGGAGGGAGGTTGTGTGTTATATGCCACCCATCTCTTTATCTTCATTGGGCCTGTAGATACATTAACAGCTCTGTGGTCTCTCTTCTGTATTTAGAAAACCTCTCAAGGCTTAGGTACTCTTTTTGAAGGTTTAAGACCAAATTTAGAAATCACATACAGTTTTATACAGCATTTATTTCATGAGTTAGATAATCACAGAGTTTTTAGAACAAGAAACTTCAGAAATCTCATTCAACAACTTGAATTTTGCAGAAGAGAACTGGAAGCCAAGTTTAATAACTTGCCCAAGATCCTAGGGGTCTCATTGTTTTTTTTTTTTTAAAAGGGGGCCCTCGGATGCAGGCCCCCAGTTGGCATGCCATTATCGATCATTTCCAGTTTGCAGTGATTCGCACATCCTTCACTCACTTTCCCAAACTCTCCTCCTCTAGAACATTTTAAAGTGGTTCCTAGTGAGTTGTTACCATTTAAAAACTAGCCCTTACACACTTATTTAAGCCTGTCAGGCGTACGGCCAATGTGACCTCTTGGTCCAGCATCTCAGCCTGTGCCCCTATGTTGAATGAATGAACCTCATATCCCATATCCCCAGCTGAATTCCACCTGCAGTGCTTCATGTCTTGTCTAAAAAAGGGTAGGGTGCAAATCCCAAAGGATGTCATGTAAGTTAATTGGTGAGAATTTTGATAGACTTTGTGTCCTGGTCATCCTTTATTGTCTCTGGGATATTGCCAACCAGAATAATCATGACTTGATGTATTTCAGGGGGGAAAAAAATCACTAGGCAAAACGGAAAATGACACATTTAGGTATCTGGCAAATCAAAAGTCTCAGTATTGTTTCATAATAAAAACATGGAAAGAGGTTTTAAAAACTCCAGTGTAAATGAAGCCTTTACTTGGACAAACTGCTGTTCTCAGCGGACGAAACCCAGATCCTCCTCCGTTCCACCCTCCAGGTTCTTCAGTATCTGACTCTGTCCTGGATTGTTCTTCTTAGTCTATCTACAAATATAATGAGTCATCCTTCAGACCAAACATACCTCCCTGCAACTTTCCAGTGAACTCTGGTGCTTTTTAGACTATGGCACCTTCATATCCTTTCTTTCTCTGATGGACATCTCAAAAGCTCCCTTATTCCTCAACCCATTGTGGTCTGGCTTTTGCTCTTGAAACTGTTCTTAAAACTACCGCTGGAAAAGTTCACTAGTGCCTTCCAGATCCTAATGTAGAAACCATGTCCTAAGCATTGACTTTGACTTTACTGGCACTTTTGACTTACTTTTTGCTTGATTCCTTGACTCTGTTATACCTACCTTGATCTCACTCTGTGTGAGTCTCCTTTACCTGCTGACCTTCCTCTACCACCATTAAGTTAGCCATTCTCAGTTTCTCCTTTTCTATTATATAGTCGGTCCCTGGACAATCACCTGTTACCAATATATTTTTTACATCTTCTTCAACGCCAACTATTCTCAAAAGCTACCAACTGGACAATTCTGATCAACAGGTACTTGAAACAGAACAGATACCCAGGTACAACATATTCTAAAGTATCTCTTGCAGACACTGCTAGTTATCTATTCAATATCCATTATCCTCTTATTCTTCTAACAGAATGTTTATTTTATTATAACAGTAACATGCCTAACAAAAAAGTTTCCCCAGCCTTCCTTGCAGTTAGACATTATTCTGTGACTGAATCTGGCTAATGAGATATAAATGGCAGTTATTAGGTGGGAATTACAGGGAAGTTCATTAAAAAGAAGCTGACTCACTGGTAGGTACCATTTTGTCTTTCCCTCTTCTGCTTCTTGCCTGGAACTGGAACTTGGAAGTGATGACCGGTGCTCTAGCTGCCACGTTGTTAGAAGCATATGGAAAGTATGGAGGAACACAAAGACAGGAAGGGGCTGGATTCCTGATTCTTGACCTTGTAGAGCTGCCATGCTGATCCTGTCTGTCATACTGGGTTTCTCATTTAATGAAAAAAACAATGTTAGTTCATGATGTATACATTAGTGCCAGGTGGGCATACTCCCTAACTGATTTAGCTGTACCCATTATCCCAAAACACCTTCCTGTGTTTTCTAATTAGGTAAATATATATTCCATCTATTTTTATTAACCTAAATTAGAAAATCAGTTATTAACATATTTTTTCAAAAAATACTTACTGTCTATTATGGGTTATTGGGCACTGGGGATAATACAATGCTTAAGATAGGAGCAGAGCTTTACCTTCATGTAAAAGGAAATCTATAATTTTAGGTAGTGATTGGTGCTGTGAAAATTATTTCTTTTCCCTCAGATCTTATTTCATTTGCTTATGATTCCTTATCAGGTTTGCTCCAAAAATGTCTGTGACTCTCCCTTTTTCTCCTCCTCCTGCTTCTTCTATTCAGCGCTTAGTTTGGATTCTTATCACATTAACTCAATTGAGGTTGGAGATTTTGAGTTGTTCTTCCTATCTCCTGTCTCTTTCCTTTCTCAGGTTCTTCTCTACAAAACTTTCTAAAATACAAATTCTAGAAGAAAATATGCAAAAGGATATAAATCAACTAGTTAAAATTATGGTGTTATGGGTCACTTTCAAAATATTATCTTCACAATTGGCAGTTTAATGAAACATTCCATAGTTTCAAAACTGCAGCACTTGTATGGACTAAGTACCAAATTCTCTTTAACATGTTTTTTTTTTCTTTTTGTAATCCTTCATTATGAAGATTTTCAAGTATACATGAAATACACAAAATAGTAAACCCTTCATGGACCATCACTCAGCTTCAACAATTATTAATGGATGGTCAGTTTTGTTTCATGTGTAGTGCCATCTTCTCCTAGCCTGGTATGATTTTTAATAAGATCCAAGATACATTATTTCATTTATAGATATTTTAATATGAGTCTCTAAAAGATAAGGACTTTTTTAAAAAACAGAACTAAATACCATGATCACATCTAAAGTAATTAGTTAAGTCTTAATATCATCAAATATCTAGCCACTGGACAAATTTCCAATGGAATCAAAATATCGTAAGTTTTTTTCTCTACATTTTGTTTGAATTGAAATCTAAATAAAGTTCACATCTTGCAATTTGTAAAAGTATTACATTTCTTTAATCTATAGGTTCTCCCTCATCTCTCTTTTTTCACATGAAGATGCAAGAGGAGAAAAACTTGGTTGTCATAGAATTTCTGGTTTTGGATTTTGTTGACAGTATCTTCATGGTGTATTTTCTGTAAGTCAATAGTCAAAGTTAGAATCATGGTCAGAGTCATGTTAGGTTTTTTTGTTTGTTTTAGTTTTGTTTTTCTGGGCCAGACCATCTCATGGGTAGATTATATTCTTTTATTAGGAGGCCTATAATGTAAGATTATCTCTTTTTTTTTAATGATGTTAGCAACCATTGATGCTCATTGCTGTATAAGCATTAATTCATTAGGGATTGTGAAATGCTGATATTTTTGTTCCATCGTTCTTTCTTCATTTATCTGTCAGAGTTCACCTATAAAGAAAAACTGCCCCTTATCTACTTTCTCCCCCCAAACCAGCAGTAGTTTGTATAGAAAAGTAAAACACAGTGCTTGATTCTTTCCATTTATTTGTTTTCAAAAGAATGACTTTGGTACCCTAGCAGCCTCGAACAGTTTCACATGCCTCAAATTATATTTTAAGTACTGCTTTTAAGCCTTCTCCAGTCTGACCGTTTCATCCTTATCTTTCTTTCTTCTCCCCTATACTTTAGTCATCGTAAAATATTAGCAATCCATGATTCCTTGACTATTCCATGCTGTCTCATGTCCCAGTATATTACCCTGAGTCCTTTATGACCTGGTTAACTTTCACTTATTCTTTGAAACTTTTCTAAATAATCTGCCACACCCCAACTAACCCCTCCCTCCTTTGTGCATCTACCATGTATACAGTTTATGTATACTTGGATGATGATTGTTTTTCCGTCATATTAAAGTGTTTTTCTCCTGACCAGTGGACTATTTTGAGGGCAGACCCTGTCTCTTAATTTTCTAATCTCACAGCTCTTTGCATGGTCCCTGGCTCTTAATTGGCACTCAACAAATATTGAGTTTAATAGTGCAAAGATGTGTTAATATATGCGTATGTATTTATAGTTAAGACTCCTCTTAAGTAATTGATGCATGTCTAGTCGAGGAGTCTTAACTATAAATATGTCTGTGTAATCTGGAGATGGAATTTTTGGTCTGTCTTCTTTATGGAGGTGGACTAGACAGGTCACATGAGTGAGAGAACTCCCTGTACAAATAAGACAAGTCTTGGCCCTCTCAGAGGTACACAGTACAGGGTGTAAGCCACCCTTATGCAAATAAGTTTATATAACAAAATCCTAGGATAAATTGGAGGTCACAGTAAGCAAGTTGCATAAATTGGATTTCACTCTTACCTGCCCGGGCAGCCCCTTGCCTTTGTGTTGGAGTACATAAGCCAGCCAAGGAGTGTGTAGCTCTTGAAAACTCCAACAGAAAGAGAAGAGAGTTGTTTTTTTTGTTTGTTTGTTTTTTAGCTGATTTCACCGTGAAGGGTATTAAACCACAAAAATAACACAGGGGCAGCAAGGACCACAAACTAATCTTTTATTGAGACAGCAGAGGGATGTCAGAGTCTAAAATTCCGAGACATTTGCTTCTCTATTTTAAAAAAGCAAATAGTTTTCAGAGAAATTTCAATAACAGGATGTTGCAGTGAAAGAAATTTCTGCCTCCCTATTTCCTATAGGGGCTGTGCAGGGGCATGATAACATGAAAGTTATATGGCCACCTTGTTTTTGCTGTCTTTGTGATCGTGAAATATGATTATATTCCCTCTAATGTTTACAGTGCTCTTGAAATTATTGGAACGGGTAAAATGCCCCTTGTATACCGTGTAAAAGGGACTTGCTTCCCCCACTCCCCCAATTTCTGTGTCCTCAGGTTGCATAATTGTCAAGACAGAATAGCTTTAAATTAATAAGCTTAATTTGGCTGTTAAATATTTATTAAACCATCACATCTGAGTAACTACAACCGTATAATTAAATGTTTATTGTAGCCATGTAGCTCATGCCTGTAATCCCAACATTTGGGAAGCTGAGGCAGGAGGACTGCTTGAAGCCAGCCGTTTGACACCAGCCTGGACAACAAAGGGAGACTCTAAAAAAACTAAAAAATAAGCTGAGTGTGGTGGCACACACCAGCTGCTCGAGAGACTGAGGTGAGGGATTACTTGAGCCTAGGAGTTCAAGACTGCATGAGCTGTCCTTGTAACACTGCACTCCAGCCTGAGTGAGACCCTGTCTAAAAATAAAAAAAAATTAAAAATTAAAAATATTCATTGTATATGCAGAAGAATGAATGAAAAAATGCAAAAGATATAAGTTTCTAACTAAAAGGGGCAAGTATTGTGAAAGAGAGTTATATTGAACACTAGCATAGTGACAGAAACAAGATGTGGAAGATGAAGTTAGTTCCCCTAAAAATTAGGGTCTTAGTTGTGTCTTTGTTGGCACTTGTATTTGGAAATACATATATATTTAATTATATTCATTGGATACACTGTAGCATTTCTAAGAGTGGTTTTAAAAGAGCCATTACATCTATGAGACAAAAATTATACCCAAATATAATTTATCACTGTGGGATGCTGAGATTATTAAGAGAAAAAAAATGAACTCTAAAGACAGCAGTCATCATTTTAGAAAGGAAGATGTTATCACAACCTTCTGTTTTCTTAAGGAAAGGCATAGCCTCAGCACATGTACTTTGAAACCTTATTAAGACACCCTAAAACTTAGGTAAATATAGATTGATGGGTTGCCTCCTGTATTCACTTCTGGAGATCCCCTAAGTTGTAATTTGCATGCTGATGGGTCCTGCAGAGCTGCCTTTCTACCCAGCTTTTATAGGGCCCTACATGTTCCGCAGTCAAAAGAAGCTCAAGTAATGAGCCTGCACTGATAACAATTCTCTCCAATCGCCTGAAAAGCATACTCACTCTTGCCAATCGCTGGTGGGTGCTAGCTTATACTGTGTACTTCTGCTCCCAAAAGTTGAACGTTATACTCACTGAGAAGCCAATGTAGTTGTTCCCAAAGATATGTATCAGTTGTTCTTCTAATTATGTTAATTAAATGTTTTAGAAACCAATAATGTACAAAAAGCAATTGTTTCTATGAAAACTAAGTTGAAACCTGATGGGGAATCCCTTGAAAAAATATGCTTTCAAATAAGGTATAAAACACCAAGGCAGAAAAAATTATCAGACTCTAGAAGGACTCCTGCGTTCTAACAGCTATACAAGTCTCTGGCTTCTTGCTCATAAATGATGATCGTAGATAATGCATTGAGTGTGATTTATCTAAGAAAGATTTTTCAGACCCCACTGAAAACTGCTTGATTCTGCATCAAAGGATTGGTTGATTAATGTGTATTTATAAATTTTCAGTTAAAGCAAAATATTTAAAGTGTGTGTATGTGTTTAACTAGTTCTAGCATCTTTCACCTGACAGATCTCCACTAGCCAGAAATCTTGATTGTGCCTCACCTTGGATTGTGGTTCTTTTTTCCTTGATTTTTGAGTTAGGATAAGCCTTACTCCAGCAACAACACCCTTTGTTGCCTTTTCTTTCTTCCATTATTCCATTTTATCAATGACAGTGTCATACATACCTCACTTCCTGCATGCATTTCTTTCTAGATGAGTTTGTAGATTCTGTCAGCTTTGACGGCATCTACGCCCACCAACATTTCCCTTCTGAACTTGTGTGCTCCTGTAAATATATGCCAGGTGGTGCAGGAATCTGCTTGGAACCATAGCACTTTGGGCCCAGGCAAGCAGATTGTCCATATTTTGGTGAGGAACACAAACTGTGTTTTATAAACCAATTGAAAAACTAACACCCCAGAAAGACTCTTGAGACCTGGGAAAGGGCCCCAGGTCTGACAGTTTAACTAGCTCTGTGATCTGGGGCAAAATACTTATTAACAACTTTGAATCTTAATTTTATAATCTCTGATATGTGAATAATAGCTCACAAAATTGTGTGAATCAAAGGGTAGTAAAAAGTACCTGGCACATAGTTGGTAGTCTGTAAATTCCAGTAGAACCTGAATATTTCTAGTTTCCTTCTGTCTTCCCTCTTTCCTTCTTTCCATGCCTTACTTCACATATTGTTAGGGGGACTATATGTGTAAAAGAGTTCCCAAAGTTTAAAGTGCTACTCACAAGATGTTAAAAGAGATGACTTTCTCTTAAAAAAAAAACCCTGAAAATATGGTTTATAGTAGGCATTTTATCCTTTTAGTTGATAGTTTCTGTTCATGAGGTGACATTGCCATTATAGATGCTGTATTCGTATGTATTAGTTAACTTTTGCCTTTATGCTTCATCTTGTCTACTGAATAGAACTGGGAATTTAAAGGTAGGGATTCTGCTTTCTCCAAGAACAAGCCTATGCTGTCCTGAACACAGGATCCTGCATTCAGAAAATTCTACAGTACAGTTGTTACCGATGGTTTCCTTCATCCTGTTTACCTGATGCTCTGCCATCAGTACTTTTGTTGGCTCTTCAACAGCTTAAAGCCTATAAAAGTGCAGACTTGGCTGGCATGTTTTAATCTATCGGAGGGCATGTAATGTACCACACAGGAAAGATTTATGTTGCTTTCATTATATGTGGTTGTGAACCATGTCACTAAGTCAAAGGAAAAGCTTTTAATTATTACTGAAAGGACAGCTAAAAGGTGTTTAACCTAAATTTCTTTCCTGAATGCCAAATATCTATCCAGGGAGAAAGATGCCAAGTTTTTTCTGATGAGTTTATTACAGAGCAGTAAACACATAGCCAACATGAAAGGCAAAAACAGTTTTGCATTAGATTCATAGCTGCATGTTTTAAAGTAGCTTTAAAAGTTACCCCATTAGTACCTTTTAAAGCTACACATAAAATGCCACTTTACATCTGGCATCAGATCTATTAATTTGACTATTATGAATATGTAGGAATATTTTTGAAAACTCCTGTGGTCTTGTAAAGCCTCCAGGCCCTTATTAGCTAAAAAATCTTGCCTTCTGCCAGGGCATGAAGCCAAAGTAAGATCCTAAGTAGATAACATTTAGCGTTTGAAATAATAATAATGAAAGAGAAGTCCACATGGAGCTTTCAAGTTGTTACCCATTTGAAATACCCAGTATGGAGTTGGAGGCCAGGGGAGAAGATTAAGCAGATGTCAGGTTTGTTTCAGCAGGATGCGCTGCTTAACCACCTTCCCTCCAAAGTGCTTTGTGCCTAGCATCCTGGGAAGGGCAGTGACTAATTCATTTGCTCCATCTGTTGCCTTGGGAGACGCTATGGTTTAGTTCCTCTGACGCTTAGCTTCACAGGTGGTGACCATTGAACATAGGGGAGATTACGCCCTTTCCTTACTCTTGTGGGACCTTTCTTTCACCTGCTCTTCTCTCACATGGGTCACCTTGGACGGAAACCTCTTCCCACACCTCCCTCCATCAAAAAAGAAGTTGGTGGGGGAGGGTGGGCACAGCTTTTTAAATGGGCCCATTTTAAAAAGTTGAAATAAGCCAAGATTTCCTGTTTACTGGCATGTCATTCTTTTGTGGAAGCCTTATTTCTCCATACTGTTTCTCCAGCATTTTATTCCTTATTTTCTTTTCTGAGAAAGAGTTTAAAAATACGTTCCATGTTTGTTACAAAGTGTATCTTACAGCCAGTGTCTAACACTTTGTGACTAAAGGTAACCCCCAGAAAAGGTGATATCTCTGTGGTGGAAGTTACAACTAGTTCCATATTCTGAGTAGATCAGTTCTTGCCTCCAGATAGTAAAGTTGTACACCCAGACATGATGTCTCCTTTGTGGACCCCAAATTTACCTAGTGGGAATATTGAGTTAAGTTACCTTATCACCATCCCTAATGCCCCCTCCTTACTGCACTATCAGAACTAAGACACTGTAGTAGCCTTAAACAGTTAATTCTCTAACTCAGGGCCAGGTCACTAATTGGCTCAGTGTCTAGGTAGGAAGAATCATAGCTGGGTTTCTTAAAGCTGCGGCTCATCTTCTTTTTGCACAGCTAGTGTCTTATTTTGTGTTCAGATCGGAAGAACTGCTCTGCCTCCCTGCCTCCGTAAGTGGCAAATACCCGAAAGCTTCATTCTAATTCTGGAGGAGGTACCTGTCCCTCAATGCTCCCCCCAACCCTGGACCTTTTTCTTTGGGTGTCTGTGTTTGGTGTCTCAGCCTGCATCCAGAAGCCTATATGAGAATCCAGCCAGCTCCTTGCTGTGTTGTACAGGTGAAAATTCTATAAACTGCATATGAGTCATTTTCCTCATATGGAAAGAATCAGAATCAGGGATGGTGGCATTGAATGATTTGAAAGAGTTGTTGTGAAGGATAATTAAAATGACTGTAAATCTTTTTTAGATATGAAGCTTTACAAGAATGATAAATCTTATCAATGATGAAGTACTTTTAAGACAAGTATCAAATAATCAGAACCAATTTATTATATATGTTTAAAAATTGGTAATGCTAGTTATAAATATATCTCAAGTTACAGTTATCACTTTCTCTTGTTACTCTTAGTTTTCTATGCTCTTAAAATAGTTTTACCTGTTCTTGTTAGATTGGCACTTAAAAAATGCATGACTAATTACTACATAATTGAAAAAATCCAATAATGACTTTTCTCCTCTGTCAACTAGCATTACTTTTATCACGCAATAAAAAGTGGTTATGTAAGGCATAGCTGTTGGAGTAAAGAAGAGAGGCATTGCACATATTTACAGTCTTCAGGCACTGACCTTTTCATAGCATGTAACCTAAAACATTCAGACCTGTATTTAATTATATCAGTGAATATTTTTGAAATCGAAGGGAAATCTTTATAGCAAGGTCTACTGTAGATGATATAGTGCTACAGTTAAAGATAGCGTTCTAAGTGAGTAATGTGAGCATTTAGCCTTTGAAATGCAACAATCAGCATCCAGTGATAAAGTGAGCATAATCTTCTATGAGTAGTCCTGACAAATCCTCAGATTCCAGAAATTGCCGATTGGTAAGTCCTATAGTGTTTCCCAGTAAACTCTGGAATTGAATTTGAAATACGTAGTTAAGGAACATTTGGAAAAGACTGTGGCTGTCACTAGGTCCTACCTGGTTATTATACCTAACAATCCTAATTTCTTTATTTTTTATAAGGTTGACTAGAGAATGCAATGGCTCATCCTCATCAGCATTTTTTTTTAATTGAGATGGAGTTTTGCTCTTGTTGCCCAGGCTGGAGTGCAATGGCATGATCTCAGCTCACTGCAATCTCAGCCTCCTGGGTTCAATCAATTCTCCTGCCTCAGCCTCCTAAGTAGCTGGGATTACAGGCATGTGCCACCATGCCCAGCTAATTTTGTATTTTTAGTAGAGACAGGGTTTTATCATGTTGGTCAGGCTGGTCTCAAACTCCTGACCTCAGGTGATCCACCCGCTTTGGCCTCCCAAAGTGCTGGGATTACAGGTCATCAGTCTTTTAATGATACCTTAGGATAAGGTAGAAGAGGACCTGGTGATTCTTGAGATGGATGGATTTGTACTCACTCTACAAATGCATTTAAAGAGTCCATGTCAGCCTGTAAAGAGATCTCTTGCAGAGGGTTACAGGGCTTTGCCTTTTGTCCTGTCCTATTTGTTATGTTTATTGCAAATTTCATAAAGATATGGAAGCTGTGTTCACCAGTAACCCAAAGCTGGGAGGGATAATGTATTCATTAACCCCAGAATTATAAGAAAAAAATTCTCATCGAGTAGAAATGCTAGGGTAAACCCAAGAAAGTGAAATTTAACAAAGATAAATATAAGTTTCTTCATTTAAAATTAAGTAATTATTTTGATTAGTAAAGGAAAAGGGAGATGGGCCTTAGAGACAGTTTATATGGAGATGAGGAGGATCTTGGGGATTTTAGTAGATTGTCAGCTCTATATAAGCTACTTCAATCTAAGATTGTATTAATAGAAAAATTGTATGTCAGTCATATCAAATTACAGTTCTATCATCTTCTCCCGTCAGACTGCATCTGGGCCTTATGTTTGGTGTCACATTTTAAAGAGCTGACAAAATAGAAATATAGTTCAGAGGGCAATCTCTGGACCCTGAAGGTTCTTACAATTACCAGGTATGGTTTGAGGAAGTGAGATTGGGAAGACACATAGTAATTATCTTTATTTTGGAAGTAGTGCTCTTAGAAGTTTCTTAGAGTGTTCTGATTAACAGTAGATTTGGCTTCTTGGTAACTCAGGGAGCTCAGGAGGCCTCGGATAAGCAAATTGAAGGATATTTTTCCGGTGAAGTTCCCGCTTACCGACAAGGTGAGCTGATTCTTGTGGCAAGCCGCCAGTGATACGACGCTCCTTAGAAAGCCTATTGACTTCCATATAGTTTTGTCTTTTTCTTTAGTTGTTTTCTGTCTTTAACCTTATGTAGCACCTGGGCTTTATTATATTAATAGTAAAATAAAATTAGAGAAATCATAGATACATACTAAAACCTTAACTTTCACAAACTTGCATAATTTCTAGCTGCTAGTTCGACATTTATCACATACACATCTTCCTTCTACTAACTTAAGCTTGAGAGAAGTACATTTGATAGTGACAAAGAATTGTGTATTTTTAAAACCTGTCTTGTTTTAGGAAAAACATGGTAGTTGATGGAAGTAATATTAAATGCAATAACATTAGATTTACAAGAGGTAAATACGGAAAGTGGATCAGGAACAGATAAACATAGGCTGGCATATTTTCTCATGAAAATATTCAGTAAATAAATAGATGGATAGGTGAGATGAGATGATGATTCCCTGTGTTTCAGGCTGCTCTTTGATCCGCCTAGGCTCACTTTATGTTGCCTATTAGATCTAGCTTGAGGGCTTTCTGGTTTCATGCCTTAAAGTAATAATTCCCTCATACTGTCAGCCTTCCTTACAAAATAAATATGGGAAGAATGAGTACAGTTCCCCCTGGGTTACTACCTTGTTTACCTTATCTTGTTTACCTTGTTGATCACAATCTTCAGGCACCTGTTCCATTTCCTTCTCTTCTTTTTCCCTCTGCTTTTCCCTGTCCTAGAAATTAGCAAGGATTTTCTAAACACAGATAATCAGTCACTTAGATGTGATTTTATTCCTACAAAATGATTGATTGATGTCAATTGAGTTGCCTTAAAATTTTTTTCTACCCAATTCCCCAGGGGAGTTGGTAGGACCAAGCAAGAAATCCAGCAAATCACCTAGCAAACCGTTGTCCAAAATTGCCAACAGGTGAACTGTTCTGTATCTTGATCTGGTGGCAGTAACATGGGTGTAGAAATATATAAAATTAATTGAGCTGTATGCCTAGATTGTGCATTTTACTACATGCAAGCATGTAAATCACACCCCAATTTGCTTACTTAACCTTTTTTCAAAAAATGAGATGGGATTTCACTATGTTGCCTAGGCAAGTCTTGAACTCCTGGATTCAAGTGATATTTTCACTTCCGCCTCCCGAGTAGCTGGGGTTACAGGCTTGCACCACCATGCCTGGCACACCTCAATTTAATCTATAAGATATCTGATTTGTCTTACTATTATAGAAGGAAATTGTTTCTCCAAATGTTAATTTGTACTTCTAACTCAGCTTTTGAAAAAGAAACTTTAATGCTCCCTCTTATGTAAGTATTTTGGAGAAGTTGTAGTTTTCATATTTGAAGAGTGTTAGTCAATTTGCCAGAGTTCTTGGTATATGTGAAATATTGAAGCAAAGGCAGTTAAACTTTAAACAATAAAATACACTCCAAAGTCTCTAAGGTCAGGAATCATATCTGGGTTGTTGAGCACTGTTTGTCCAGTGTGCTAAGACATTTCTAGACACATAGTAGGCATTCAATAACATACAATTTTTGTATGTACAAAATTTGCTGATGTTTTACACAAAGGAATTAATTTATGATTATTTTGGGATCAGTGCTTTTATCTGATCTTTATACAATTGTAGATCCATCTTCATTTTACATTAGTGCTACTTTCTCTTTTTCGGTAGTAGATCTCATTCTATGTAACAAAGTTTTAAGTTTTGCTTTTAAAGCCCTAACTATATTTACAATCTCGGGGAAAATTAGTATCCTACTTTTAAGATCTCTATTTAAACTTACCACTTTTTCCTCCAAATATCTCAACATATTTTTCTAATTTATGTCCTTCTTAATGTAACACTATCAAATCTACTACTATTTTCTTTGGCTAATGTTTCATATTTTATCTTCAGTTCATTGGAAAGATTGCCGCCATACTCATCATTAACTTCCCTTGGTTGCTTCTCATAACGTTTCCATTTTAGGAACTTCCATAATAATCTGATGGGCCAAATGTACTACACAATGCCCTAAAGTATACATAACTTAATTACATTTTAACCTTTTAAAATATAGGAGCTGAATCAAGTTGCCTTACTGGACAAAATAAGAAAAGAAAAAATTTAATGAGCAATTGTCAATATATGTTCAATGTAACTTTTAAAATGCAACTTTGTTTAAATACAGTTCACCCATTTAAAGTGGTTTTCTTTCCCTTCCTTTTTCATTTCCCTTTCCTTCCCTTACCGGACGGGGTCTCACTGTGTTGCCCAGGCTGGAGTCAGCGGTGTGGTCGTAGCACACTGTAACCTTGAACTCTTGGGTTCAAGTGATCCTCCTGCCTTAGCCTCTTGAGTAGCTGAGACAACAAGTACATGCCACCACATGTGGCTTTTTTTTTTGTTTTAATTTTTGTAGAGATGGGGTTCTACTGTGTTACCCAGGCTGGTCTTGACCTCCTGGCCTCAAGCAGTCCTCCCACCTTGGCCTCCCAAAGCACTGAGATTACAAGCATGAGCCACCATGCCTGGTCTAAAGTGGTTTTTAGTATATTCCAGAATTGTGCAGCTATCCCCACAATACATACTGGAACAATTTCACTGGCCCCAAAATAAACCCATACCCTTTAGCTATCAACTCTCAATTCTCTTATCTCCCCTAGCCCTAGGCAATCACAGGCAACCAGTAATCTACTTTCTATCTGTACAGTTGCCTGTTCTAGACAATTGATATGAATGGAATCATATAATATGTGATGTTTTGTGCTTGGCATCTTTCACTTAGTATTGTATTTCCAGGACTTACTTATGTTGTACCATGTACCAGAACTTCATTAGTTTTTATGTCTGAGTAATATTCCATTGTGTGGATATACCACAATTTGCCTTTCTGTTCATTGGCTGATGGACACTTGGATTGTTTTCACCTTTTGGCTGCTGTGAATAATGCTGCCGTGAATGGCTGAAAACAGGTTTTTGTGGATTCAGTGTTTTTTTACATAATATGTTACTGATGAAACATTACTTTCTGATCCTACTGCAGCATTTGCAGTTTCTGACATTCTTGTTCATGTAATTTTCTATTTCTCTTCAGAGCATCTTGAGAAGGCTGAAAGAATTCTGATATATGTTGAGGGAGATGGTTGTTTTTCTCCCCACTGGAATGTCACGTTAGGTCAGTTATTACCAATATTTTCACCACACACAAAAAAACAAGATAAACTATATGGTCTCACCCACATTCTTATTCTTGGTGACATCACTCTTTTTCCCAATATGCTGGCATATAACTTTCGTGAGAAACTGTCTTGAAGGATCCCATCTTTTGGAATCATGGTGGTTTTTTTTTCCTTTCTTCCTGTTTATTCTTTGTTTTTGACAATTACCTTATTATTGTTTTTTAATGGGAGATTCTTTTGGAGAATAGTTTTGTTTTTTTGAGACCGAGTCTCACTCTGTCACCCAGGCCATAGTGCAGTGGCACGATCTCGGCTCACTGCAAGCTCCGTCTCCCAGGTTCACTCCATTCTCCTGCCTCAGCCTCCCGAGTAGCTGGGACTATAGGCGCCCACCACCACGCCTGTCTAATTTTTGGTATTTTTAGTAGAGACGGGGTTTCACCATGTTAGCCAGGGTGGTCTTGATCTCCTGACCTCGTGATCTGCACGCCTCAGCCTCCTAAAGTTCTGGGACTACAGGCCTGAGCCACCGCACCCGGCCAGAGAATAGCTTTCTTTATAAACAAAAAAGGACAAATTCTACTGTCATCTTCAAATTTCTTCAACCTTTGATTTTACTTTTTAGCTAATGGTTTAGTTTTGTTGTTTATTAGAATAAGTGTTCAAAAGAAACAAGTACATATTTTCTAAATCAATACTTGATCTTCCTTTTTGTTTTGAGGTCTATGCAAGAATCAATTTGGTTACAGAGTCTAGTGTGAAAAATTTCATCTAGGTAATAATCAAAATACTGATCTTCATAAACATCAAATTGGCCATAAAGCACAGGTGATTGTTTCATTTGATTAGGTATTTTTGGGGGGCAATTGTGATGTTAACCCCCACTCTCCGCTGCCCTCCTGAATGAGCCAGTCCTGCCTGTATTTCTGTTTATAGAACTGGAACTTCCAGATATTTAAAACTTATCCATTTAAAATACCTGAATTTTTGAAACAATGAGTTGCATTTGCTAAACGAGTGACCTTTAGATAGCCTTCCTGTGGTGGCTTGAGAATTCTGTTTGTAACTTTTCTCAAACTGCCTTTTCTAAGATGTTGCCATATCAAAGGAACTATCTGGTAGAGAGTAATTTATTATATTTTATTGATGAGACTTTCATTTGTATACATTCAACAATATAATTGGCATGAAAACTCACTCTTCAGGATAATATATCACAATTGTGTCTTCCACAGTAACTCTGAGAAACTTGGACAACAAGGTCAGAACACTGCTATTTTGCAGGATAAAATTGTTTAGCTGCCATAGGACAGAGTGTCTTTAAGGAATGGAAAACTGCATAGCTAGTGAAGGAGTTAAGCTTCCCCTCCACGACCGCAAAAACAAAAAAGCCAAAATTGTGTTTTCAAACAAAAATAGACCAGTAATAGGATAAACTAAATCAGAGAAATCTGATGTAACAAAGTTCACCAAATCCCTAACATCTTTAAGTGTGATATTGCTGTACTAAGTACCCATGGAGCAGGGATCAGCAAAAACAGCCTGTGAACCAAATCTGGTACACTGCTTGTTTTTGTAAATAAAGTTTTATTGAACACAGCCATGCCACTTGTTTACATACTGTCTGCGACTGCTTTCATGCTACAAGAGTAGAGTTGAGGAGCTCTGGAATAGCTCTGACAGAGACTGAACAGCCTGTGAAGGCTAAAACATTTACTATTCAGTCTTTTATAGGAAAAGCCTGCCAACTCTTGCTATAGAGGATCCGAAGTAAGAAAGACGTATTTTCTGTCCTCATCTTTATCTTTGGCTAGTGTGACTGCAGGGAAAAGTGGCTAATACAAACATTTAGATAACTTACACACAAAGCAAAAAGTAGAATAGTAGAATTTTACCAGGTATGAAAAGGATATGAAAAGTCAACTTAATACATTAAGACAATTAGAATAATAATTTCTATATTGGAGAGCAGTGGATATCTGGATAAAATAGTAATAGCAGGCCTATAACTTATTATTATCTAGGTTTAGTTCAGAATGTTATATATATATCCAGAAAATAGCCTGGTTTTTACCATAGGAGCAGACTGGCCAATACTAATGGCCATAAAATCCGGTTAGCATTTCTTACTGAGAATTTTTTGGGGTCTAGAATATTTGATGTAGTCACATATTCACTTGGCTGTCTCATTCCAGCACATCTTTAGAATAGGAGTTTGGGGCATCCATGGGATGGAGTCTGTCACTTCCAGTGATGACTGTGACAGCTGAAAGCTTCTGTCAATAGGCTTTATCCAATTCTGCAATGTTCATTACTCCAGCGACTGGGCCTCCAAACAAAGCTTGATGACAGGAGCCAGATCAACTCCTTGTTGGTCTTTCTTTAGCAAAGCTACAGCCACGAAGGAAAAGCCACACATAATTCAGAGGCTAACTTGTCAGACTTTGGGTTTATTGGCTTCTGAGGTAGTAGGCTTGGGACTGCTGACCAGAGAGGTATTTGAATGAATGACCCTTCTCCTTACTCTTCAACATGCTGTGCCTTGGAAACTCTCCTTGAAACATTATTTTGTGCCACTTCAGGCACAGAACAACACTTGCCCTAAACATAAACTGACTGGTAACACCATTCTTGTATTTACTTACTCTAATTGCAAACTCTTTTTCATTTCAGATAACATTATGTAAAGTATGTGCTTTCACATGGTACTTTTTGGACCCTGTTAACCAAATGGCACGGCATCTCTACATGTTCTGTATATGAAATACAGAAATGGCAGTGCCCATTGGAAATGGGAATTCAGTTTCAACCTAAGGGACAACAGGGCTGTCTCACCAGAACCAGAGTGGAGTGATTGTCCTCTTCACTAAAGGGAGAGATGCAACACAAATATCTCAGAAGGCAGATTGCAGTTTACTTCAGAATACACCTTAGCATCAATGCTAGAGAGAGACCATTGAAATGGATCTTATCAGACCAAAAGTATCATTTCATAATGGTCTTAAGATTAGAACATTATTAAAATGGAATCATCTGTCAATTAGTGGTATATAATTATATGAGACTCTTGTAGGTAACTTCTTGAGAAAACATTATCCTAGGATAGTGTCTCCCCTACCCCACCCCATTGGGCACTATCTGGAGACATTTTTAAATGTTGTGACTTGGGAGTGGGAGTGGTGTCAGCCAAAATTTTCAGCTGAGATTTTAACATTTTAGGACAAATTATTAAGTCTTTCTAAAATCTTTTTGGACTTGGAAAAGTATTTCTTATTGCTTTAGGATGTTCTCGATTGAACCAAAAACAGACATTTTGTTATTTTTATTCATATATTTCAAACATAATTATTGTAAAAATTTTTGAAAGGTACAGAATTGTTTTATAAAGAAGAAAATAAAAAGCACCATAATCCTACCATTCATTTGTACATTTTCTTCGAGATTCAAAATATCATGGAACAGATGGTTTATCAGAGTAGTCTCCTTAAGTAAATCAACTGGAAGTGGGATTTTTTCCTGGGATATTGCTTACATTATCTTTCCGTAGCCCCTTCTCTTTCAAATAATACTACTGTCACACAAAGTTTAGGGTCAGTTTATCAGAACGTGACTAATTATACTATAAATACCTGAGTAGAATTTCCAGCTTTAGGAGTTCTTACCGATATTTAAATAGACTCAGGAAAAAGTATTGTAGACCCCTTTATTATTTTCAGTGTGTATGTTAATCGGTTAGAGATTTTTATTAAGTACCTTTACTTATGGTAGGATTTATTAATAAATAAAAATATTTTGTAACTTTTCAGTCTGAGTCTAGAGGTAACTTTTTACTTTTCTGCAAGAATTTTTAGTTGATTATGAGATCTAAAAAGGCAAAGAAGAGGGAAAGACCAGATAATCTAGACCACCACATAACAGTGTCTCTGGACTTCAGAAGCCCCAGGAGGGTGCGGCTGGGGAGTGCTATATTTTCTGTACACTTAGTGAGTCAAATTTGGTTTGGCAGAGAATTTTTAGAAGTAGATCAGTCTCTGTAAGTAAAACTTTGCAGTTTTAGCCAAAGAAAACAGACTGTAGATTTGATGACTCTATTTGATTTATTAGTGCCATATGCAGGGCCTTTTGATCTTCAGGATTCAGTAAACCAATGAATTGATATTTATCAGAACTCCATCACATGGGAAGAAATCTTAATTTGACTGTCGTGTTGATACTAATATAATTATCCAACACCTGCATCCCATTGATGATAATTGTGTTAGATTATATTAAATTTTAATGATAGGTACAAACTGAGCATTAAGAACACGTTTTTGGATAACATTAACATTGACAATTCTCTTATTTCTTAGGAAATGAGTACATTAAACTTGCTTACTTCTATGTATAACAAAACCTCTTACTTAGGAGTGCAGGAACTGTGTATATGTAGTGATTGTAGTTTTTAAAGAAAAAAGAAATAATTGGCATTGATGATATACCACATGACCAGACGCTATATAATAAAGTGACTTACAATCTTAATTTGTCAGACAACACTAGAGAGTTTCAATTAAGTTTGAGGTTTTGGCCCACCTCTGTATTCCTTTGTAATATTTTATAAAGTAGCAAAAACTACAGACAAATATTTCTGCCATTAAGCAATCAGCATCCATCTGTTTTTGTCTTTTTACTACCAAGACAAGTTAACATGTGGCAGAAGCATATAAGTCTACAAAATTGAGATGAACTGTTAAGAACAGTATCATGATATTATTATTTTCTTTAAGTGGATCATTTTCTTGAGAGTCTTAGGGCCCACTTTTTCTGCAAAAGGAAAAACTTCTCAAACAATGTGATGCCCTAAATAAGTTTCACTTTCTTTTTTCTATGAATTCTCAAATATTACTTGACCAGGCAGTTCTTACCTATAGATCATTTGTGCTTAGATTAACAATCACTTTTTAATTCTCATCTTTGTTTATTCTGTTTGTATAGAAGTCCTTGCTAGAATGTCTTATATATTGGGCATTGAACTAGGTACTTTATCAGCTGCCTTCTCCAGGAGAAGTTTCAGAGAAAATAAATTTTGGATTAGTCTAAAGGAAGTTACCTTATTTCTTGAAGTGTCAAGTGTTTTTCAGGGAAGACTATCATGGGGGAGAGGGTGGACAAGCCAAATGGACTCAGACATAACTTTTTAATATCATAATTTTATATTTATTCCTATTGATGATAATAGTAACTAATATTTAGTCATCATTTATTCAGTGTTCTGTCCTAACTGCTTTGCGTTGTCAACATTCTAACATTAGCGATATGAATTGGTACCACTATTACTTATGTTTCCCCATTAGAAATGAAGGAACTGAGGCCTGGAGAGATGATGTTATGTGCTAAGGTCACATAGCTAGAAAGTGGTGGAACTGAGATTCAAACCAGGTTTGATGTTTTCAGAACCTGAGCACCAAATTATTATAGTGTTTCATTCTTTTCACCCTCATACTAATCTAGATTTTTCAAAATATTTGACATTAAGATTAAAATGCAAAGTTCATGTCAAAAGTAAAATATAATTATGTTAAAATTGTTTGACATTTTAAAATAACGTACCCCCCATCATAGAGCTGATAGCTGCATTTGTTTTCTGCTCCTCACCAACACATCTTAATATATATAAATCTCAATGTGTATGCATATATACAACACAATAGTGTTGTAGGTGTAGTTAATAGCTGCCAGCAAACAGTGCCATCTGTGTTTTCTCTTGTTTCTCACTTACTGGAAAATGTTACTGAAGCTCAAATTATGAGTAGGGGCTTAAAGTTCATGTTCAGTATCTCCACCTTTTAACTCTACCACCTTTTATTTGCACAAGAAAATGTGATCCTCTATAGTGACTTTACCCTGTTTACAGAATAGGAGTGTGTGCTATTACTGATAGGATGGGCAGGTCTTACAGTTTAAAAATACCCATAAGACAAATAGATCCTGCAATCTTTACATAGTCATTTCTTTACTTTGTACTTCATAAAACCCTGCAGGCTAGAGCAAGGAATTGATGTAAGTTGATGTCAAACTGACTTTACAAAAACATTCTGGAATTCTAAATCAGTGTGATTTAAGATCCTGTTATACTAAGAGAGGTAGTTAAGCATTTGACATCCGATCTCTCTAGAAGAATGTCTGCTTACCACACATACAGTAGTATCAGATGGGAGAAGCTAGTTTCTAAAACAGTTCGGGGTGGATGTTTGCCTCTGATTAGCCTGTGTATGTGTTAGATGAATGAGCAATTGGGAAGTCATGACCATGTGTTTGCTGTCATTTAAACTGCCAGTCTAATCTAAATATACATGTGGGTGCCTAAGGAGACTTCTTTCTTTTCAAGAAGATCATTCTTAACAGCTCTCCATTCCTTGCTGACACACATGAACTTAGGGGCACTTCTGTTTTCCTGAGGGCTACACCGTTTTCTTTTGAAAGAGGTGAGAACAATTTCTTTGCTTGCTGTGTTTCTAATTTTTAAAGATAAACTATATGTAAAGTTTATTTACTATGAGTAGTAATTTCATAGGCAAGATAGCTTCTGGGATATTATGTAAGGTAATGAAAAATGGGGTGAGAGGGATGGAACAAGGAAAAGCCACAGGAGGTTTTGATGTATAGAAAAATTCAGGAAAATCTTACAATTTTAGATGATTAATGTGCATATAACATGCATTCATCTAATTAAGAAAAAAATAGAGAAAAAGTTTTAAAATAGGAGCCCCAGTGTGCATTTGTTCTCCAGAGTGATTTAAAGTAGGAAAAAAGATACCCTTCTCCTCTGACTTCAGCACATTTACAAGTATTTTATCTACCAGTGAATTTTTAAGTGCATGTTAAAGAAATAGAAGCATTTTTTAACTCATGATTATCGTATTAAATAATTTCTCTTATTTTCTGAGAGAAGCTAAGGATTAGACCTCTAATTATTTTACTAATCTGAAATGAATCTTCTTTCAGAATAATATTGTTCTTACATTTTTCTTAATTATATAGCTTATCATACATTGAAAGTCGTTCATCCAAAATGATTTTCTCCATTCACATATTTTTAAATATAAAAGTAAACACTGCAAGATTTAACTTACCAGAAAAATAACAGAGTATCCCTTGTTATCTAACCACTAGGGTATTTGGTAAAAATTAGCCCTTAATTATACATTAAAATGTTGTTTTATTAAATTAAAAATATAACTATGTAAATTCTCATGCAAGTACATGTATTTCATTTTTAACTTGTTTAATAGTTATATGACTGAATGGCATTTAGATTGGTTTACAGGTTAATATACATGGCAAATATAATCTAATATAAGTAGTTACAAAATTTAAAGAACACAGCATTTGTTCAGAGTTAGGTGCTTTTTTACACATAGGCAATAAGTTCTGCCATTTTCTTCCTAGAGAAATATAACAGTTATGGAGTTTTATATTTGGAATATCGGAAAGCGTGCACATTCTTCAGCAGAAATAAATTTTCCTGGAACTACATTCAAGGAGAATTTGTCATGTGGATGTCTATAAATTAAATGCAATCACATGATGTCCAAATAGTTAATATTATATGTAAATGTTGTATATGAATGCTAATCCCGATAAAATTGTTTTTCTGATGCACTAAAACATGTTGCTTCTACCCAAATGTGGAAATATCTAAAGGTTTAAAATACTTTGTTGGAGCATTTTCTTTTGAGATTTCATTTCAGCACAATTTCAGAGAAAACAGAAGCTGATCATAATAAGTTCCTTTTATTCTAGGAAGAGTCATATTTAGTATATTATATTTTAGAGCAATAAGTGGAGCCTTAGTGTTTCTTTAAAGCTAGTCTCTCCCCTTCCTCCTGCCATTGCTCAGCCCATTCTCAGAGAATTCTGCAGTTTGCTCAGTTCATCAGGAAGATCATGAGACTAATAACATCAGTATTTCTGGCTTTCTTTCGCATTTTTAGTTTATAAGAAAACAGCACTTTCCAGTCTAATTTGACTTTCAAGTTTCCAGCAGCCAGCTAGAAAAGAGAATGTACTCTGTTACGCATTTCACATTGTTCCTAAGATAAAAACCAATCTCTTAGGAGATGTTTAAGTCAGATGAAATTAAGTGAAAAGAACGGTCTGTGTTTTCTCCTTGCTTTTCGGTCTATGGTGTTTAAGTGTAGTGGATAAAAGGTAATAAGCAGCCTTTACTACATAGGAAGAAATTGGAATGGCAGGTTACAACTAAATGTGTTGAAGTTTTAAAAGCATCCATATTTGAATTGTACGTGCAATTGTGTGTGGATAGTAAGGTTTGTAGAACTGAATAATAATTCCTGAATAATGATTCCACAAGTAGGAATTGCTCCTGTTTTATGAAGATTAAAAACAAGTTAGGCCTTTAAATCATTCTTGAGATATTTGAAATTGAATGAGTTTCTGAGGATCAATTCAGAAACGATCCCTAACCATCCCCTAAGAATGCTGTAAATCATGTGTGCTGTTGTTCTAATTGAACAGTGTGGATCTGGACCCTCACTAACTTGTCTGTAGGAAGAGAAAATTGAAGAGAGAGAGGAAGAGGCTGAGGAGAAGACCTTTACCGGTGCTGTCCTGAGCTGCCATTGTTGAAGGACATCCTGTGAGCTAATTTCAGTCCCATTTTAAAAAAAATCTGTTTAGTGATTAGTAACCAGTGGATAAGAGTAGAAAGCCCAAGTGAATAAAGGCCGTAAATACTGAAGTCTTTGGGATAACAGCCTGTAAAACTGTCAAAAACCATTGCTTAAGTGACAAAAGATAGCCTGAAGTAACAAGAATGTTAGCTCACTGGGCAATACTACATATTCATGAACGAGGAGATGTAATTTAGTTTTCTTCAAAAATAGAGATTCTTCTTGAATCCAGTACCTGCCTCACTTCATTTATTTATTTGTTTTGGATGGTGTCTATTTGTTTTAAGTTTATGGTTAACTGCTTTTGCTAGTAGGAGTCATGGTGCCTGTTTAAAGATAGCTTTGTTTCCAAAAGTGGGACTCTGATTACTGAAACTTCTGTTTAGATCCATCAAGATCTACTTACTTGTTAAGAATGTTAAGCCTAACTGGAGTGAATGGGTGAGTATGTGTGTGTGTATATTTTTAAAAGGCAGATGGTTAGGAATTAGATGCTGAAAAGTACCTTCTTATTGTTTTTAAATTAAAACCTAAAGTTTGTAATTCTTAAATATTTCTCCCTAAGGGGAAAAATTAAGTAAATAAAAACAGAGGAATGTTAAGTCTATATTGCAAACTGTTTTGTTATTCCTGCACAATATTGAGACTCAAATGATTAAAGTCTTACTAGCCAGTAATTTAGATTTGTTTTTAGGGCTAGAGAAAATTCAAGATGATGAATCCAGTGTCTTTATTCTAAATTCCAATTGTTCTCACTATGATGATGATTTGGGGGCTTTTGGGGGACAATCTAAATTCTGTGTTCTTTAGTTTTGTGGTATAACCTCTAAATCCCAAATGTATGTTTTAGAGATGGGACTTCAGTGTATTTAAAGTGTTGTGCTTCTTCAAGTTAGAGAATTTTATCAAGTTAGAGTATTTGCTTTTCAACGTCCAGGCTGTGAGAACTAGAGGTGTCATTCATTTCAAGGGAGCAGATGTTAAAGGTTCTTGCCCCTGCCTCCCTAATCCCAAATACCCTTGAAGAAGAGAAACGTTCTGTTACCCAAATAGGCATCTTTCTGATGGTGAGAAAAGGCGGTAAAAGGCAGTAAATCTGCCTTCTCATTATGAAGTGCAACAATAGATTGATTTATGAAGAAAAGCAACTGTTAGGCTTATATAAGATGTGTGCATGGAAATGCAGGTTCCTTTAGAGCCTTATAAGCAGCAGCATTCCTCCTATTCTGGACAGAAATCTAATATTACTAATCAGGAATATGTGATTCTGAATACCACATTTTTAAAGGGGCTACATTGAGAACACAACAGAAGAATCTACCTCCTAAGTTTTCACATGAGGGCTGTCTTGTAAATGTAGCATGTTTTTGCTACTTTAGTTCATTTTCACTAAGATAGAGGGACTTCTTAAAATAGATATATTTTTACAAACTTTTTATTAGGACTTAACATTTTAAATAGAAGTGAATGTAAGTATAGCACATTTAGACTGATTATAAACAATTTCACTTAATATTGTATAATTTTCTGTAAACACTATAAAAGCAAACTCTAAAATAGAGCCACAGATAATTTCAAACTTCTAGGGGGATTATGTAAAGTATTTTGTGTTGGGTTTTTAAGAAAAGCTATGTGCACTTCAAAATCTTTTAAATAAGTTTGTGTTACCTCTTCTTCAATAAGGAACTCTGTGTACAGTATAAATATAAAAAGTAAACTTTTAAGCTCTGAGTTTGATTGTTATAAAATACTGTAAAATGACAAAAATCTGGATGCTCTCTGTGTGAGTTATAATGAGACTGTCCTGTTTATTTAGCATGTATCACTCCAGAGCTTGAAATCATGTGATATAATTAAGATTTGAGCAGGTAAATTACAGAATTAAAACTTACAGAGTTGGTATTACAACTCATCTCTCCCTGTAAACCTGTATCCCCAATGTATGTACATTTCCAAATTATAGTAAGCCAACATATTATGTACAAGAATAAGTTATGCTGTACTTTCATATTATGTACAAGAAAACACATACAAAAAATTGAAAATTTAAAAGTAAAAGACTAATATGAAAAGAGGTCTTGTTATTTTCTTTTACTACTATGTATTATCTTACACACATCTATGTAAACATATACATTCATACCCACACCCAAAGAACTTTGGAGTTCCTTGATCTAGATAGAGGAAAGAGCTCCAGTATTCTAATTCTATTGAGGAAGATATAAGGCTTGTAGAGAAATAACCCTTGCAACTATCAGTAGTCCTTGTTTCATAAGCTGATAATGAGAAAATGTTGCATTTTTGACCTGGTGAAGATGAGGTAGTCTTAAGTCAACACTTTTTCCCCAGTGGATTTTGGTTATATTAAAAGTCAAACTACCATGGACATAAGTTCTTAGCAAATAAAATAAACTCTTAATGCCACTGCCATGATAGTAAATCCAGGTTTCACATTTAATCGGGAAAATTCTGTAAGATAGTCCAAAGATTAAAATTAATACTTCTTGACATCTGTGTAAATCTGTAAAGATTATATTGGTGTCAATCAAATGCTTTATGAACATTTTAAAGTGACACATTTTTTAAAAGGTTAAAGTTAATAAGGAAATGTAGTTAAATGTCTTGTCAAAATAATCTCTTCAGATATATATCTTTTAGTTATTTCATTTCATTATCACCTTTATTTCCTGAATTCATTCTATTTAATTTACTTTATACTTTTTTATAATCCCAAATATACTTTAATATTTATAATCCAGTACTGAGCCCTGTAGCCATAATGTACTTTTTATGACTTTGTTCAATTCAGTGTTCAGTTCAATGTTGCCGTTATAAATGTTGAGAAGACAAAAGTGATTTTCCACTATTTTAAATTTCTTATGCTCTGCACAGGAGGGTTACTTCACAAGTAACTGAATAGTTCTGACAATAATCTCAAGATCTCATTGTAAACTGACAAGTAGTGGTGTTTCGATGTTCATTGGTCAACTCCAATAACACTTAATTATGGGCCAGTTCTATCAGGAAACTTTTTTTCCTTCCTGTTTCTCTTCTGTGAGGAATTACAGCTCTGAGCCCTCTCACTTGTAACATTTTTCTTTCTCTACCCGTCACTCTCAAAACACACAAAAGAGAAAGAGAAAACACAGCTAAAACATATGTCTTTGGCATCACAACTAAGTGGTGTAGTTAAAGGTCAGTTGTGAAATTCAACTTCTGTACATGTGAACTTTGCTCAAAAATAGTACTGTGTTTATAGGTGGTGTGACTGTAAGTGGTCTGTTTTCAGATGATTTCTCATTCTCAAAGCTCTTAACAAGGATCCTTCAGCCAGTGATCTTAGAACACATCTTGCAACAACTGGATTTTTTGAAAGAGCACATGTTCTGGCTACAATCGTAGCAGCCTTTAAAGTACAAATGGTGATGAGAGATAAAAGACTTGAGGCTCTTCTGCTTAAAAGGGAGGAAGCTGAAAGAAAATGATAGCCATCCCTAAGTGTGGAAAAGGGTCTTATGGAGAGATTTATAGACCCCTGCTCCCCGAGGCCATTTTATTTCCTAATGACATTTTCTATTCTCAGACAAGTAGTGATAAGTCCAAATGACAGCATTTAATAATAATAGTAAAGGTAATGATAATAATGAAGAAAGTGAATGTAATTGTAAAAACAGGCACCTCAATGCAAGCCAATTATCTTGGCTTCCAGGATGATTTTATATCTGTAAGTTGAAAATATAACAGAAATAAGGACGTTTCCTGTTTTGCTAACAGTTGAGAGGGTAATTCTCAGGATCTTGCTCTATCATCAGAAAATGATGGGTATAACAATAGCTTTTGATAACATAAGAACTCAAGAGGCTAAATATGATTCTAATCTAACATCAAATTCATTCAAGTTGTCGTAATACAAATGGAGAGCATCTACTAAAAAGAGATGTAGAGTCTTCTCTGTGGTTACAGACTTGAGTAGGTGTCTAGCAATAAAGGTTGCACTCTAGTGTCCTTTCCCCGGTTCCACCTTGTTTTGAAAGAAAGAGCTGTTAACAGCTTATTTAAAGCATTAAATGGTATTTTTTTCTTGGATATTATGGGATTTATATTGAAGAGTTAGGAAAAGAACGTAGATCACTTGAAGGTAAATAAAATATATGATTTTACTGTGTTGCCTGATGTGCTCATTGGTCCTATTAATGCCAGTCTCAAGAGGATTAGGGCAGTTCAGAGAAGAAACTTCCCTGTTTTCCTTTATAAAACTTACTGAAGTCCGGGCGCGGTGGCTCAGGCCTGTAATCCCAGCACTTTGGGAGGCTGAGGCGGGCGGATCACGAGGTCAGGAGATGGAGACCATCCTGGCTAACACTGTGAAACCCCGTCTCTACTAAAAATACAAAAACCTAGCCGGGCGTGGTGGCAGGTGCCTGTGGTCCCAGCTACTCAGGAGGCTGAGGCGGGAGAATGGCGTGAACCCAGGAGGCGGAGCTTTCAGTGAGCTGAGAACCGCGCCACTGCACTCCAGCCTGGGTGACAGAGCAAGACTCTGTCTCAAAAAAAAAAAAAAAGAAAAGAAAAAAAAAAAAATTACTGAAATAACAAGGTTCCTAGCCAGGATTCATTGTAATATTGATTGGACAAATGTTAGAAGCAATGGATCAGACACATTAACTCCGCTGGGATGAAGTGTTTTGTTTTACCACTGGTTTGCTTTGGGTGTGGATCAGAAGATGTACCTTGGGGACAAAGGATATTCCTTACATCTTCTGCAGTGACAAAACTTTCTTCCCTGTCCCTAATTTATAAAAGGGTGTTAGTATGTTCAGAACACTGCTTTAAATTAATTGCCCTTTTTCAAAGTTAATAGTTGCAGTACAAATAGCATTGGATTAGAAGTCAGAAAATCCGGTTCTAATTCACCTAAATATTACCCCCGGTCACTTAATCTTACTGTGTGCTTCAGTTTTATCATCTGAAAAATATTGATCTAAAATGCACCCTGCTATCTTAGTCAGCTTGGGCTGCCATAACAAAATACAGTAGACTGAGTGTCTTAAGCAACAGCAATTTATTTCTCGCAGTTTTAAAGGCTGGGAAGTCCAACAAGGAATCTGGTAAGGTCTCTCTTCCTGGCTTGCAGATGGCTGCGTTCTTGCTGTGTCCTCACATAGTAAGAAAGAAAAGAAGCAAGCTCTTTGGTGTCTGTTCTTACAAGGATACCAATTCCATCAAGAGGGCCCTACGTTCATGACCTCATTTTAAACCTAATTACCTTGCAAAGGTCCCATCTTCAAATACTATCGTATTGGGACACTGGGGGTTAAGGCTTCAACATGTGAATTTTAGGGTAGAGGGGGCATAATTCCTATCACTCACCTTACTAGTGGTAGTGCAAATGAAATAAGGAATATGATAGAGCTACACAAAAATACATTATGAGGTTAGAGTTACTGATGTTTGTTCAATCTCATTTTTATATATCTTTTTATATAACAAAGTTTTGTTCTTTTAGCATGTTTTTGAAGCAGTTACTAATGTAAAACCAAATGATAATAAAATTTCTCTTGATTCTGGCTTTTAATAATTCGCTAGTGCATAGATTGTTAGGTTAACATAAGTAGAATATTGTTTTATCACTTTTCAATACTTCTTTGTTTAAATTTGGCCTTACCTTTTATTGGCATAGCTATCTCAATATTTTACCCATTAATGGGAATTGGTAACATAGATTTCACTCATCTAATGGAAAGCATTTTTCCACAATTGTTTGGCATGGATGTTATGTATTTTATTTTGAGACAGAGACTTGTCTTGTCACCCAAACTGGAGTGCAGTGGCATAGCCGTAGCTCACTGCAGCCTCAAACTCCTGGGCTCAGGGGATCCTCCTGCCTCAGCCTCCCAAGTAGTTGGGACTACAGGGACACTTCACCAAGCCTGGCTAATATTTTTATTTTTTGTAGAGATGGGGATCTCACTGTGTTGCCCAGGCTGGTCTTGAACTCCTGGCTTCAAACAATCTTCCTGCCTTGGCCTCCCAAAGTGCTGGGATTACAGGCATGTGCCGCTGCACCTAGCTTGTTATGTTATTTTTTTAAATGTACATTTAAAAATTGAGTGGATTATTTTCAGTTTCCTACAGAGGAGAAACTAAATGAGGTGGACTTTTAAGTGGTTTTTTTTTTTATGTTAAGCAAAAAGAAAAGCTATATAATGTGTAAGGTGATTTTTTTTTTTAATGAAAGAAGGACCAAAACTGTGAGAAGAACCTAATACTTCAGTCAGGCATAATGAAAATTGAACAGAGAAGTAAATAAAGTGTCCTATATTTGTGTTTTCTTCTTTCATTAGTATTCATCCACAGTCTTTCTGGATATTTGTGAAAGAAGAGATAATCTTTATAGCAGGCTCTAGGTGTTCTTTTTCTAGGTGAGGTTTACATTTTATGAAAAGTTACATTTTCGTAATGTAACTAATGAGGTTACATTTTATGAAAAGTGTAGCAATGTGTCTGAAATCATTTCTGTTTAACTAGTTATACTGTACTCTTTCCCTTTTCACTATTTTTATTTTGATTGCTTTAAAGATCAAGTCACCAAAATTCTGTTCATAAATATAGTTGCCAATTAGAAAAGACAGAACTACTTTTGACATCTGTTACCTAAAGAGGAAGTATGCTCTTAGTACAGGATCAGTGCCAGCTTATGCAGGCCTCCCCTGTGATCTACCTTGACAGGTGCTCGCTTTTGAAACACTTCTAGTTGTAAACATGTGGTTTTTCTTACTTGTCTTGGACAAAAGTAATACTCTGTAGAAAATCCATTACAAAATGATTTTGCATAGCCATTTAATGTTGAAGATTGTATTGCAAATCCTGGTAGGCCCATTGTTTTGGTAGTAAAGATATATCTTGTATTAGGCAGTAGAGGAGTATGTGACCTATTGTAAATGATAGTAGCAATCAAATGTTGATTAGCTGCCATTAGAACAGCAGTGTGCTAGGTGTTTTTACTTTATTATATCAATTTAAGGTAATCACTTCTGTATGAGGTTCAGTGCCCTCACTCTATGAGCAAACTAATGTTTAAGCAATCTTCACCAAAATATACTATCAAGCAGTAGAATTAAGATACTTCAGCATATGTAGGCATACCTTCGAGACACTGCAGGTTAGGTTCCAGACAATTGTAATAAAGCAAATAGCACAATAAAATTAGGCATGTGAAGTTTTTGGTTTCCCAGTGCATATAAAAGTTATATTTATGCTATATGGTAATCTATTAAGTGTGACAGTATATATTACCTTATTAAAATATACCTTGTTGCCAGAAATGCTTACAATTTTCTTGGCCTTCAGCTAGTCATAGTCTTTTTGCTGGTAGAAGTTCTCGCCCAGATGCTGATGACTACTTATCGATTGGAGTGCTGAAGATATGAGTGGCTGTGGCAATTTTTGAAAATAAGACAATGCAGGCCAGGCGTGGTGGCTCATGCCTGTAATCCCAGCACTTTGGGAGGCCAAGGCGGGTGGATCACGAGGTCAGGAGATCGAGACCATCCTGGCTAACACAGTGAAACCCCGTCTCTACTAAAAATACAAAAAAAAAAAAAAAAAAAAAAAAAAATTAGCCGGGCGTGGTGGCGGGTGCCTGTAGTCCCAGCTACTCAGGAGGCTGAGGCAGGAGAATGGCGTGAACGAACTTGCAGTGAGCCGAGATGGTGCCACTGCACTCCAGCCTTTGTGACAGAGTGAGACTCCGTCTAAAAGAGAAAAGAAAGAAAGAAAATAAGACAATGCAGTTTGCTGCATGGACTGACTGACTTTTGCAAAAGATTTATCTGTAGCATGTGAGGTTGTTTGATAGTGCAGTAGATCTTTTAGAATTGGACTCAATTCTTTCAAACCCTGCCACTGCTTTATCGACTAAATTTATATAATATTCTAAATTCTTTATTGTCGTTTCAACAATGTTCCTAGCATTTTCACCAGGAGTAGATTCCATCTGAAGAAACCAGTTTCTTTGCTCATCCATAAGCAGCAACTCCTCATCCATTCAAATTTTATGAGATTGCAAAAATTCAGTCACATCTTCAGACTCCACTTCTAATTCTAGTTATCTTGCTGTTTCCACCACATCTGCAGTGACTTCCTCCACTAAAGTCTTGAACCCCTCGAAGTCATCCATGAAGGTTGAAATCAGCTTTTTCCAAACTCCTTTTAATGTTCATATTTTGATCTTCTCTTGTGAATCATGAATGTTCATAATGGCATCTAGAATGGTGAATCCTTTTCCAGAAGGTTTTTTATTTACTTTGCTCAGATATATCAGAGGAATCACTATCTATGGCACCTATAGCCTTACAAAATGTATTTCTTAAATAATAAAACTTGAAAGCCAAAACTACTTCTTGATTCATGAGCTACAGAATAGATGTATTAGCAGGCATGAAAACAACATTAATCTCCTTGTGCATCTCCTGCAGAGCTTTCAGGTGACCAGGTACATTGTCAATGAGCAATAATATTTTGAAACGGATCTTTTATTGTGAGTAGTAGGTCTCAACAGTGGGCTCAAACTATTCAGTAAACCATGCTGTAGGCAGATGTGCTGTCATCCAGGTTTTGTTGTTCCATTCCTATAGCGCAGGCAAAGTAGATTTAGCATAATTCTTAAGGGCCCTAGGATATTTTCAGAATACTAAATGAGCATTAGCTTCAACTTAAATTCACCAGTTGCATTAGCCTCTAAAAAGAGTGTCAGCCTATCCTTTGAAACTTTGAAGCCAGGCCTTGACTTCTCTCTAGCTATGAAAGCTCTAGATGGCATCTTGTTCCAGTAGAAGGCTGTTTCGTCTACATAGAAAATTTGTGTAGTGTAGCCACCTTCATCAATGTTGTTAGCTAGATCTTCTGGATAACTTCCTGCAGCTTCTGTATCAGCTCTTGCTGCTTCAACTTGCACTTTTATGTTACAGAGATGGCTTATTTCCCTAAACCTTATGAACCAACCTCTGCTAGCATCAAACTTTTTGTCTGCAGCTTCCTCATCTCTCAGATTTTATAAAATTAAAGAGAATTAGGGCTTTGCTCTTGATTAGGCTTTGGTTTAAGGAAGTGTTGTGGCTGGTGTGATCTTATATCCAGACCACTACAACTTTCTCCATATCAGCAATAAGGCTGTTTTGCTTCCTTATCATTCATGAGTTCACTGGAGTAGCACTTTTAATTCCATTCAAGAACTTTTCCTTTGCATTCACAACTTGGCTAAATATTTGGTGCAAGAGGCCTAGCATTTGGCCTGTCACCTCTTGACATGCCTTTCTCACTAAGCCTAATCATTTATAGCTTTGATTTAAAGTGAGAGATGTGTCTTGGTGCAGTGGCTCACACTTGTAATCCCAGCAGTTTGGGAGGCCAAGGCAGGTGGATCACCTGAGGTCAAGAGTTCGAGATCAGCCTGGCTAACATGGCGAAACCCCATCTCTACCAAAAATATACAAATTAGCTAGGCGTGTTGGTGCACACCTGTAATCCCAGCTACTCGGGAGGCTGAGGCAGGAGAATGGCTTGAACCCGGAAGGCAGAGGTTGCAGTGAGCTGAGATCCTGCCATTGTACTGCAGCCTAGGCAACAAGAGCGAAACTCTGTCTCAAAAAAAAAAAGATTTGTGGCTCTTCCTTTCATTTGAACATTTAGAGGCCATTGTAGGATTATTAATTGGCCTAATTTCAGTATTGTTGTATCTCAGGGAATAGGGAGACCCAAGGAGAAGAAGGGAGTTGGTGATTGACAGGTTGGTGGAGCAGTTAGAGATACACAACATTGATTAAGTTTGCTATCTTACATGGGTGCGGTTTGTGGTGTCCCCAAAGCAATTACAATAGTAGCATCAAAGATCACTGATCTCAGATCACCATAACAGGTATAATAATAATGAAAAAGTTTGAAATGTTGCAAGGATTTCCAATATGTGATGCAGAGACATGAAGTGAACACAAATTGTTGGAAAAATGGCATGATGAAGCAAAGGATGTCTATACTTTTATCACTGTAGAACATACCATTGAAAGAAACTACATGCATAGCATTTCATTACCCAGTAGGTCAGGTAAGCATGTGGTTAGAGGATCAGCAAGAAGTAGTAAAACATTTTTTTGGTGGTGAGAATTTTGATATTTTACAAACAGGTGTTATATTAAGAAGGGGAAAAAATCAGAACCTCATTGGACTTCTCTGAATTTTTGGTTTAGCATTCACACATGTGCACGCCCTACATGTATACAGACACAAGCACATATTTAAAATGTTTCTTAGGGGGTAGGGTGGGGAAAGGAGATTATTATATCTTGCAATCCTTAGGGCCTGTAAAGATCTTCATATAAAGATCTTCATATAACCCTGTTGATGATGATTTTTTTGTGTGTGTAGAGCAAGTGACCTTCTTTAGTTTATATAATCATCCTTGGTTTGTTTTTGGAAGATAAATGTGACATTTTAAAAATAAAATACATAACTCACAGTGAACTGCAATTCTGTTGGTTGGGCTTGATGAAATGTAAGACAGTGTCAGCCTCCTCTAGTGGCAGAGTGGCTCTTTGAGCAGTTAACAGGTGAATTCTGTACTAGGCAGATTAAGTTAGTTTAAGGTGTCTCCCCCACAACATGGTTGTACATGCTTCATAAATGTTTTCATTAAGTGGCAATTGCGTTCTTTCAAGCTGCCTCTGGATAAGTCAATTTTTTTCTAATTTTTCTCATGATATATATAGTCATGCTTTCTTAAATTTAAAATTCTTTCAAAAATGTGTTTTTGTGTGTGTGTTTAAGGAAGAAAGGCAGACTAATATAGAATCAGTGGCCTCATCCTGTAGTTTTCACCAGTATCTCTTGTGAGCTTTTTATAAAAATGCCTGGATCTCCACTATCAACCTATTAAATCAGAATCTCCTCATATATAGGCTTCTCCCAGCTAATTCTGTTGAGTTTCTGTGATTATCGGTCTCTGGGTCCTCGATCAGTGGTTCTCATCAGCATGGTTGGTCCCTGGACCTGCAGCATCATCATTACCTGTGATGCTTTATAAATTCCAGGGTCCTGTCCCACTCACCCATGTCCCTCAACCTACTGAATCTGTAACTCCTGGGTGGGGCTGTAGGCTGTGTTTTAACAAGTCCTCCTGTCATTCTGTTGTCCACCAAAGTGTGAGATTCACTGCCTTAGATCATTTTAAAGGTCTCATCTTCCACAAATGCTTGTTCTGTCCTGACTACTAAAAGCTTTCAGGACATTGCCTTGTTGCCCACTCTTCAGCATTTTATCCTTTTTTATCCAGCTCTTTTGCTTTAAACTTTCTACTTTAATGTCCTTGTAGAATTAATGTCTTTTGTTGTAAAACTTCTCAAATACTTTGTGGCAGAGGCAAGGTCTTAATCATAAATGATGAATAAAAAGCCCTTTTTCCTGTTGTGTTATGTTCCTATTTGTGGGTTTTTTGGTGATCAGCAACTGTGGAATTATTAACCTTATTTATGGGTAAGAAGCTAAAAGAAGCCTGCCTCCTGGTTTGGTTCTGAGATTGACATGATGCTTGAGACAAATGAGTAATGTTTCATGTGGGGTAGTTGGAGAGATGACCACCATCTTCTCTTGTCATCCTTGCTAATATCATTCTCAGCAAATAGCTCTGGCAGAGTGGCTCCTTTAAGTCCAATACAATGTGAACTGGCCAGGCAAGATGAGGAATTAGAGCTCTCTCTGCTCACTGTAAGGAAACCTCCTTTTCGGCTCCCAGATGGTTTCCAGAGCTATCAAAATAATATCATTTGCAGGCACTTTTCATGGCTGAAAAGAGCAACTTGGAGAGGAAGAGGAGTACTCTGCAAACCCTGGGAGAAATGTTTTACAGCTGGGCAGTGCACATAAATGCCAACTGAATGCTCTTTCAGTTGTGTAACTCGCCATTGGGGCTCAACAGTAGAAGAGCCACTCAACAGAAATGAAGAGTACCTTATAGAGCATTTGTACGTGTAAACCAACTTTTCTTTGTGACCCACAAACAGCAATGTGTAAGACATTGTGCTACAGTACTCAAGTAAATGTTACAGTGCTGAAGGGTTGGTAGGCCGCCTGCTGCTCATTAGAGATCCTGTCTGGCTCTTTTCCTGCAGAATGAGTGCTAGATTGCTGGCACCTGCTTTCCCATCAAGCCTGAGGATGTGAATTGTGCATTAGGAATAAAGTGTTTCCTTGTGTCCAAGTTGGTAGAGCCTGGTGCTACCTTGGGAGAAGGGGGTGAGAATTCAGTGCTGGAAAGGGAGATGAACAAAGCATTGGTGAGAAACAAATATAAACTGACTGAGATTCTCATCCTCATTTAGTGATTTCTGGTTGTGCTCTTAGTTTGTCCTCAAATTTGGTCACCTTGAATTAAAAAGATTTGTTCTATACACAGGAAACCACAAATATTCTCAAATATATAGTTAAGACTATGAGCATATTAAAAATAGGATGGAAATAAATTTGGTTATGAGAACATGACTAAGTTATTGTGAAATAAATTTAGCCTTAAATATGTAAAATTCAAGTTTGTTGGTATGATTGGTATATTTGCACACTTAGGTCCATGTGTGTGCATTGCCTGTCTTTACCTGCCATGGAATCTTTCAAAAAAACTGTGGCAGAAGGTGGAACGCAGGGCCTAATGTACCGTCTTTAGTCACCGATAAAAAGTGCCTCTTGTATACAATGCATTATGCTAAGTACAAGAGGATTACAAGAAGCACAAGACAGACCCCTAATTTTTCAAGTGCTGGCAGTCTACAGACTATCTGGGGAGCAAAGACACATCAGAGGCAGTGCAATACTGTTGTACCTCTAACAAGAAAACATGATACTTCCACTATATTTCAGTGGTTTTGGAGAAGGAAGAGAACTGAGTTGGGTGGGTCAAAGAGGATGTGGAACTTTCTGGTTAGAAAAGGATAAGGAGAATTCATAGAGCGTAAGAGATTGGGGTGTGTGTATGACACTCTTTCCTTGCCACTAATAGGTTGTGGAATTAAAGAGAATTTACAAAAAAACAATGGCGACATTTTCCCTTGACTCATTTGGACCTGTCTGGGTCTTGTTATGAATATTGGCCTCCATTTGTGAACTGTGGATGAAAAGGGTTAGGGTTGGGTCATGGCCTTGGGCCACAGTTAAATTAACTGGCTCATAGTGTGATTGAACTAATGACCTTAGCCTCATTACCACTATGTTTTAACCAGTTGAGTCAATCGAACATTACAGAAAGGGTAATCAAGGTATCTCTTAGAAAGACAGCTGTATTTCTCTAATGACCAGTAATGATGAGCTTTTTTTCATATGTTTGTTGGCCGCATAAATGTCTTCTTTTGAAATGCAAATCAAAACCACAATGAGATATCCTCTCACACCAGTTAGAATGGCGATCATTAAAAAGTCAGGAAACAACAGATGCTGGAGAGGATGTGGAGAAATAGGAACACTTTTACACTGTTGGTGGGAGTGTAAATTAGTTCAACCATTGTGGAAGACAGTGTGGGATTTCTCAAGGATCTAGAACCAGAAATACCATTTGACCCAGCAATCACATTATGGGGTATATACCCAAAGGATTATAAATCATTCTACTATAAAGACACATGCACACGTATGTTTATTGTGGCACTATTCACAATAGCAAAGACTTGGAACCAACCCAAATGCCCATCAGTGATAGACTGGATAAAGAACATGTGGCACATGTACACCATGAAATACTATGCAGCCATAAAAAGGATGAGTTCATGTCCTTTGCAGGGACATGGATGAAGCTGGAAACCATCATTCTCAGCAAACTAACACAGGAACAGAAAACCAAACACCGCATGTTCTCATAAGTGAAGAGTTGAACAATAAGAACACATAGACACAGGGAGGGGAACATAACACACCAAGGCCTTTCAGGGGTCAGGGGCTAGGGGAGGGATAGCACTAGGAGAAATACCTAACGTAGATGATGGGTTGATGGGTGCAGTAAACCACCGTGGCACATGTATACCTATGTAACACACCTGCATGTTCTGCCCATGTATCCCAAAACTTAAAGTATAATAAAGAAGTATTTTATATCTAAGATGAAAAGAGGGAGACCTGTATAGCAGTAAACGTAGGAGTGAAATCAAAGCCAGGCCCTTTTCTCATGTAACACCCAAGTGTTTATCTCCTCAAGTTTTTATACTTGTTTCTGCATCTAATAAAAATACAGTGGGCACAACAAAAGACAACATGACTCTCCTGTGTTAGTAATTTGACATAATGAAATGCATCACGGTTTTTGCAGAGGATGGTTTGAGCAACAATACTGTTTTCAACTTTAGATGTGTGGTATCCCGTAAATTTATTGATGGTGCCTTTTTATTCTTCTTTAAAGTCTGAACAACCCAGTCCTGCCAGCTCCAGCTCCAGCTCCAGCTCCAGCTTCACACCATCCCAGACCAGGCAACAAGGTATCAACATCTCATGCAAACTAGGAGATGCTTTTCTCATAAAACACCTTAATGGCACTTTGGGAGGCTGACACGGGTGGATCAAGAGGTCAGGAGATCAAGACCATCCTAGCTAACACGGTGAAACCGTGTTTAGTAAACGTCTCTACTAAAAATACAAAAAATTAGCCAGGCGTGGTGGCATGCGCCTGTAGTCCCAGCTGCTCGGGGGGCTGAGACAGGAGAATCCTTTGGACCTGGGGCGGAAGTTGCAGTGAGCTGAGATCGCGCCACTGCACTCCAGCCTGGGTGACACAGTGAGACTCCGTCTCAAAAAAAAGAAAACAAAACAAAACAAAAAAAAACCATCTTAATGTCTTGATTTATCACCTTATACTGTTTTATTATTCGAATCATAACTTGGCTTTTATGCAGTTGTATTTATTTCCCTTAGGAATACAGTTGAGTATTGTTCTGATGTACGAGGCAAGGCTCTAGAAATTCCCCTTTTTCCGGTCCCTGCCATCAGATTGTCATTGCTACAAAAGGATTATAGACACAGCCCATCCCAGGGAGTTCCCAAAGGAAATACAATAGCAAAAGCTTTAAGAGGCTTTGACATAGGGAAATAGGTTTTCATCTTTCCTCCTGGACATATTTTTTTTCTACATGTTAATAGTCTTTAAGGCAATACTAATTGGCTATCTTTTAAATATATATTTTTCTCTACTCATGATCAAGTGTTAACTTGAATTCAGAATAAAGACATTTAAACTAGAATATTTAACTAATTATATTTTCCATTTTTGTGTATGTGGAAAATCTTCAAATATACACTCTTTTTACATGAAAAATGCATAGGTATCAAAGTAGAATTTGTGTTTTAGCATAGTATTGAACATTACCTTTTTCAATGACCACACTGAATTCCTGATGGCTTTGAATGTTTTGAAAAGGATTAAATTGTTGTATGTGTTTGGACTAAGGCTAAGCTTCCAGGAAAAAAATAAAATAAAAGACAGTAATCGTTTTGGCTATTCAGAGGTCTTGTTTCACTGACTTCCAAAGAAATAAGCCCACTACAAAAGCAGATAAATTTGGGTTTTGCAGAATGTGAGATTGTAGGGAGTCAAGATAGTAATAGCTCAGATATCCCTGTCATAGATGGGACTTTAGGAATTGCCTAATCCCGAATGAAAGTGTCTCTCTTTCTTCATTGTCTTTATAACCTCTTCTGTTAAGATTAAAACTATCTATTTTTCATCACATTTAGCCTAGTAAAGTGAAAATAAGCCACACTGATGAATTTGTGTTTGTGTGTGTGTTTTCATTTCTGTCCTGTCCTAGAATAAAATTAGAGTTTGATTTTTTTTCTTTTTCCTGTCTGATACTGGATACTGTCCTGATTTTTCTGTGTACCTGATTTATTACATGGTCTTGTTTATGTTTATACATGCTGGTATTGTGCCAGTAATTTCTTAAAAAGTAAAATGAAAATTGGCTGCTTAAAATTGCTGCAACAAGACCTTGTGTCCAAGATCAATGTGAAGATCAGAGGTAGGATATTACACCATGGAATTGAAATACTTTATAATCTGAACTTGACTGAAATGCTTGCTTGACCTGAAATTGACCTTGAAATAAAAGGAACAGCTAAACCTTAATGGATCAAAAAGTACCACACAAAGGCTGCATTGCCAAGAACAAGTTACAACCACAGTGATTTATTAATCTCAACTTCTCAATACATGGATTAACCTAACAAAACATTCAATTTACTGATAGATTTTTCTTTTTCTTTTTATGTATAATTTTTCTTAGGGAAGAAAAATACACAGAAAAAAAATTCCTAGAAAATAGAGATTCTTTAATAAATATTTTGGGAATCCATTATGAAAACAATAGTGTTTTGGCAGAGATTGCATTTTAGAAACTATACCAAATTTGCCTTGTAAATTGTATAAATATATATGATGATTATTTTTAACCAGTGTTCAGTGCTGGTAAGCATCCCCCTGTTTCTAATATGGCTAAGTGTGTTTGAGTATATGTTTGATTGCCTGTGGTTCATTGTCATTACTCAGGTCCTTTGAGGTCTATAATGAAAGATCTGCATTCTGATGACAATGAGGAGGAATCAGATGAAGTGGAGGATAACGACAATGACTCTGAAATGGAGAGGCCTGTAAATAGAGGAGGCAGCCGAAGTCGCAGGTGAGTATCTTGGAAGGAAAGGGGTTGCCTGTGATGAAGTCAGACTCTTTCACAAGCCCTGCTGGGATAATCACAGCAAAGGTGTGAAACACCAAAAACGGCAGTAGATGGTCACATTCATTTGATGCAGGGTCTCCTTGGTATGCCTACACACACTTTACAGGGAACTGTTTCTCCTTTTTCTCAGAAAGAGGCTTTTCCTCTAAAAATTTTTATAGGAAAAAGTCACATTAGATGTCCTTGTCCTTGGAAAAGTATGCCAAGTGGCAGGACTGACTGTTGAACTAAAGTCTGTTTTCATTTGAAGAGTTTGTGTTGATCCACTGCTGGAGATAGTCTCAGAATTTGAAGAAATGTGTTTGCTGTTTGTAGTTAGAAATACATAATTGGCTCCAGTGAATTATGTGTGTGACCTAATTAAAACTAGGATCACCTGTGTGTTTTCCAGAAAATAAATTCCTTTTAAGTGTGCTGACAATTAAGTGCCTTAAGTAGCTTTAATGCTGTGAGGCATAATTCCATGTTATAAGATGGTAATTCATGTCACTTATAATTAATACTCAACTTGAAATTGCCCTGAGGATTTTATTTCTTTATCATGAAGAAAACAAATAGGCATGCTTACTTTAATTTGTCTTGAGTGGAAAAAATACGAATCTACTTGAATTTAAAATCCAATTACATTTATAATATATTGCATTAAATCTTTCCCTGTTATCCATTACTATGTAGAAGACCCTAAGATTCAAAAAAAAAAAAAAAAAAAAAAGCGGTCTTAACCCAAACTGGAGAGACCGATGCTTCCTAATTGCCAATGCTTTGTCCTCTGAAAAGAGCCTCCTCAGGGTGTGTGCCCCATTAGATATCTCAGTGACTGTTTTTTATGGTCATATTCAACCCCTGTTTCTCTCCTTGTCTCTCAGACCAACCTGTCAGCATTCCTTTTAAATAGGAGAATATAACCTCTTTAATATGCCCATGGCCTTATAACATTTCCCTTTAGAAGTCTTTTGTCTGATAAAAAGGAAACTGATAGGGAAAAAAGACCTCAAAATGGACTGAAACTTAAAGTAGCTTACTTATACCAACCAAAATCCTGACCACTGGCTGCTCTCAAGTTTAGTTGATGAAAAACGTATGACCTATTTAGATGATTTCCCTAGTTGTTATTTAGAATATCTGGATATTCTGTGATTAGTTGTTGCCCACCTACTTATTGCTGCAACTCCTGAGTCTGTGTGGTCATCATGTAGGTTTGTGAGTCATCTGATACAGATACACATTTTGGGGGCTGCTTTTCTTGTTCCCTGCCTGACCGTGCTGTGTTAGCATGTCAGTGCCAGTGTAACATTTGATCTTCACTGCACTTGTGAAGTCTCAACTGTTTAATCAGTTTAAATACTTAGCCTTCCACTTCACTCAAGACACATTTTAAAACAGCACTTCAACTGAACACTTCATTAATGTAATTTAGTTAAGAAAAACAAGTTCTATCAGTTTTTGCTAAAAGGATGTCCCAGTGTATCCTTTTCATTTCCTATCTTGTATCTTGTCTGTCTGAATACATTATAGAGCTAGAATGTGATTGCCTATTCAGAGTGAAAGAAAAACTATCCTGATTTCTAAAACAGTTTCTGTTTCTGAGAAGCATATTACATTAGGTGCTATATAACCAGAGAGGAGGGGAGCAAATACGGAAAGAGGACATCTCTGAGGGAGGACTACATTCAGCACAGTAGAATAAATAAATCTCTCCTATTGTGGATAAAAGAAAATTCCATTTTCTTCTGAAAAGAAAAAATGGGGAGGAGGTGGTGTGGATTGTCTTTAGTTCTTTAATTTTTAAAATATATCATTGTAGTTTTCCAAAGCGGTTATCCCAAACATACCATTTCTTTGTGTTGTTGTAGCGTATTTCCAATGAATTGTTGTATCAGTGTTCAGAACTAGAGACAGCCTTGAATAATGACACAGTAGAAATGATTGGTAATGGTCCTAGCATGCCGGGCTCCACATGTTCAATCCTTAGATGTCACTCTGTGCTGTCAGCGGTGCAGGGCTGTTTTCTACATTCTTTATGAAGTTTCATTTATGTGGTTGCTTCTTCCCCTGCAGCGTGTATTCTAGACATGTTTGTAACTTTTTCATCTGTAACAGAGAGGGAGGAGGAAAGGAAAATAAAGGTAGTAATCAACAAACTAATTTTGCTGACCTTCTGTAAGCTTGAGTAGCATGCTTGATCATAGTAGGTAGGGAGAGCAGGAGAAGGGAGATGAATGAATAAATGACCCCAGTAAAGTATAGTGGCTGAGCACTAGCTTTGGGCCACTTGCTTGTATTTGAATTCCAGAGCCACCATTTTTACCTGTGTGACCCTAGATGAGTGACCCAGTCTTTCTGAGTCTCAGTTTACTCGTCTGTGAAACAGGAGATCATGAAAAGAGAAATGGCAGGTAAAGCACTTAACACAGTTCCAGTTACAAAGTAAGCACCAATATGTGTTAGCGGCTGTGAGTTAAAATGAACTTGTCAAGGGTTAGTGTTTGGATTCTGTGCTTTCCACGCCTATTTCTATGGGTATTTCAAGAATCATCTGTTTGTAATGATGTGCATAACTTGTCTGTTTCTTTTCAGAGTTAGCTTAAGTGATGGCAGCGATAGTGAAAGCAGTTCTGCTTCTTCACCCCTACATCACGAACCTCCACCACCCTTACTAAAAACCAACAACAACCAGGTAAATTGTGGGGTTTGCACTTTGCAAGACTCTGCAGAGCTAGGTGTAATCATTTTTACAAAGCATGCAAAACTTTCATCCCTGAATTTTAAACAAACTTCCTCTTGATGCCAAATAGATGGGAGGGAGGCCACAGCCTGTGGAATAAACACATAGTTAGGGTATAAGAGGTTCTGCTGTCATGAGAAGATGAATATGTTCCACCAGATGGGTTAATTAAGTTAGTACAATAAGAGAGGGTGACAAAAAGTATTGCCCATTTACCATTTACTCCTGATTTCTATATACTTTACACTTCAGCAGTAAGTAGGTGCCTTAATTAGGAAGAATATGACCTTTGGGCCTAGTATAGAGCTTGGTTCTTTACCACTGGTAATTTACTGGTGGGAAATTAACTTTTAGCTTTTGATTCTCAGTTTCCTTATCTGTAAATGACATTAACACTATCTTTTAGGTTATTGGGAAGATGACAAATAATATATGTAAAGAGCAAAAGGCAGTGCACAGCCCCTCCTTGGCACTCAGTTGATGGTAGTTTATTATTATAGGTGTTCGGCCTCAGTTTTCTCGTCCAAGATAGAAGGATTATTACTTGGGATTTTAAGGAATAATTAATAAAATGCTGAGAAAATAATGGTCATTATCATTGTTACAACTTGAGCTAAAGGAAAGCTTATTAATTTGATAGTCAACTCAAAATATAACTATTTGGATAAGATCTAGGCAGAACTTTGAAGGCTATGATAAAGAGCATTTGTTAAATAAATTAAATCGGGATATTTTCTTTACCAACTAAAATAAACTATTTTCAGTATCATGAATAATGTAAAAGCCTCATTGAGCATTGAATTGATACTCTCATTACCATAAGTTTTTCTTATCTTTTTGTGTCGACAGATTTCCTATGACCTCTACAATAACTGCTTAATTCAAGTTACTGTACGAATATTAACTTGAAAACTAAACAACTGTGTTTTTCTGAAAATACTGTTTCACAGGTGTCCTTCAATTTTAAATAGTCTTGCCCTTAAATCCGTGGTCTTTGTGTTACTTGGAAAATGTTAGTTTAGAGCTGAAGACTTTTTCTTTTTGCATTTTATTTAAAGCACTAGCAAAGATCTCTTATAGTTTAAAATTCCTCATTTATAAGGTTTGTCTATAATGCAAATCCGTTCTTGTTAAGTAGGAATGATACCAGTACTCTTTGTTGTACCAGTTACAGTTCAACTGCAATTTCTTTGTGTCCTACATTAAAATCAAAGTCCAGCCTCATTATCTCTTATAGATGGGGTATTCAGCAAGTTATTTACTTCTTTTTCCATATCCTGGCTCTTCCCCATCTTCAGGGCCAGCTGTGCTCATGGCCCAGCCGTCTTTTACCTCTGGTGTGGATGCCTGCCACCACAAGTCAGGCATTTCAGAGGAAAGTAAAAAGAGGAAAGACATATGCATCATGGCCAATCAGCTGAGAACACTGGACTGGTTAACTAGAAAATTTGGGATCCTTTTGTAAATTTGTGCTTCAGTGAGAACTAGCATTAGAATAGAATTTGAACCTTGGTGAGATTTTTTTTTTTTTTTTTTTTTTTTTTTTTTGAGATGGAGTTTTGCTCTTGTTGCCCAGGCTGGAGTGCAATGGCGCGATCTTGGCTCACTGCAACCTCCGCCTCCTGGGTTCAAGCGATTCTCCTGCCTCAGCCCCGCGAGTAGCTGGGACTACAGGTGCATGCCACCACGCCCAGCTAATTTTTGTATTTTTAGTAGAGACGGGGTTTCACCATGTTGGCCAGGATGGTCTCGATCTCTTGACCTCATCATGCGCCTCACAAAGTGCTGGGATTACAGGCATGAGCCACCGCTCCCAGCCGATGATATTTTTAAATCCAACCTAGGCATATTTCAGCTTGATTTCTGTATCCAGTGGGTGGTATATGAGAGCTACAATACGTCATGGGCACAGCAGTGGCAGGGCCAGGAGTGTAGGGCATTAGGCTCTGCTTTTGTGCCCCTCACTCATCTCCTTCAGTATCTCTCCCAATCATAGTGAAAAGTGGGCTTGCTAGGGAATGCAACTCCAGCAAGCACCTTTCATGCCCTTCAAACCTTATGGCTTCACTTAAGCCCTTCCTGAATGGGCAGTCTTGAACAGACCTTGGCTTTAGGGAAAGGTTTAGACTCTTTGTCAGACTGTTTTTTACCTGTCTAGCAAAACAAAACCAAAAACGAATAGTATCGTCTATCTGGAGAGGGTAAAAGTTACCTTATCTGATTAAGTAGCATACTCCTGGTTCCTTGGCGTGTTTATTTGGCAAGTGTTGCTTCACACATGTGAATCATCAGTCTGCCAATAATACTGTATTATGTGTCACTTTCTCCATGCACTTGTAAGCATGGTAAGAAAGTCCGTATGCTTCCACTTTTAGCTAGTCTGGGTTAGGAAATATATATACCACAGGAGGGCTTACCTTCTTAGAGCTATGTCTTGGAGCCGAGAGGACAAGTAAAGGTTTCTTAAACCTTGTTTAGTATTGGTTTCCTAGCCCCTCAAATCACTTGCACTGGGGTCAGGTGTGATGCTATCCCTTTAAGTCAAGCTTCTGGGACTTAAAAAAAATTACTAGTATATCTTAATTCTCTATGTTGATGGTATAAGAGAGTAAAAATTTCTTAAAAATCTAAAAGTCAACTAAATTTCACTCTGGAATGACTTTTTAGTCGTATTTGAATGTGTGTGTGTGTGTGTGTGTGTGTGTGTGTGTGCGCAGGAGGGAGGGAGAAAAGTAGGGGGAGAGAGACAGGGATAGAGAAAGAGTATGAATCTGAATTTTCACGATTAATAAAGAGTTGAGAACATACTTGGAAGGACTAACTCCGAAATGGGAACACTCTTGAGTTTCCTCCTTCCATACTCCTTGCCTGTTCTCTCTCTATGAATTGATAATGATCTCTGAGTTTGATAAAGCACCAGGCAAAGCTGAAATGTCCATTGCCTTTTCTCAAATCTTCCAGGGACTAGAGAAGAGGGGAAGTACTAATGGAGTCAAATATTTTCATACTGAATAAAAGTGAACATAGAGTCACACGTCAACCAAGCAAGTAATTAACCTGAGTACTGTTGGGAGCTACTGTCATTAGTATGAAAGATCTATCAGTAGAGAATCCATCTGTGAATAACTGAGTTGTCATTCTTCATAAAGTGATACAGAAAAATATAATCTTGAACGTTTGTCAAGACATTTTCTCAGATTAAAGACAAAAGTGCTACTAAACCACAATTCTTCTATTTTCAGAGACTGCTGTATCTATAAATGGAGTAGCTAGGCAGTCTAGGTAGCTCTGCTTCTCTCAGTACAATTTAATAGGTAATAATAAAGAGTGTTGCGTCATTTCAACCAGAGATGGTTTTTTCACTCCAAACCTCCCTTATGTGAATTTCAAACAAAAACAAAATACCACATCTTTTTTAGCCAGAAGCTTGGCAGGGAGGGAGGGGAGAAAGGACTTGAAGGAAGGAAGTGATCCATTGGACCCGGGTTAATATTCAGAATATCATAAATCACCTATCAGCCTGCAAGGCATGTTGAATGAAATTAAAAAGAGTCTATCCAGTTAAACTGGTTTAAAATAAGCCTGTGGAAGACAAGGTGTTGTACTTTTTTATTCTGGAGTTGTTTCCCTAAAGATAAGAAATGATCATAAATAAAACAATTGTCTTCAGCAGGGCTCAGCTCTCTCAGAATGAGGTTTTGACAAAGCTGTTTATTTTGGAGCAGGGAGAGATCAAAGAAGGAAGATTAACTGAGCCCTCTCTGGGCAGCCACTCAGTAACTTGAGGCGGGTCACTGACACCCGGAGCTTTTGTTCCTGCCACTGCAACTTCAGAAGAAAGAAACTAGGATTTCAATGTATTTTGGCCTTCTGTGCTGTAGCACTTACGGAATGTGTGGGGTGGGACTTCAGCGTCCAAATGTTCTATTTTCTGCTTTGAAGAAAAGGTGGCAGAACTCTCTAAACCTAGTTAGCAAAGTTCTATTGCAAATACAGCGTCCTCAAGTCACTTCAACACCCAGAGTACAGGAGTTGGAGGAGGGGATCGTGGGAGGCAGCGGGATATGATGGGAACAAAATTCAGTTCTGTAATGCACAAGTCAAGCAGGCAGGCACTTTTTTTTTCTTTTTTTCTTGCCTGAAATCTCAGCGGATTGTCTCTGCATGCCCAGCCCAGTATCTGAGTTGGCGAGGAGTGCCATCTACTGACCTACTTGCTCCTAGGTCTCAGCGCTGATTTTTCCCTTGAGATCTCACTTTCAACAACAATGGAGGAGGAAATTCTGAATGTAGTGGAGTATTTGGTTTCCTTTACAGTGGAGCATGTTAAAAACGATTGCCTTGCCTCTGTTAATACGTAATTTCCTTGTGTTGCCAAAAGTATTGTATTTTAAGTTAGCCTGGTCAAATTAGTCATTTGGTTATCTTCATATTAAAAATGATGAAAAAAAGCATGATTGTCAGGAAAGACTGTTAAAAGGACACTTTTTACTCGTGCATTATTCTCAATTAAAATAAAAATATGCCCCTTCAGGAGTATTCGGTCTTTTCCAGGATGTCATGTTCCTATCCTCATCCAGTAAAATGTTTATTAGTAATAAAAAATGTTAAAGCTGAATGGGAATCTGGGTCTTATCTTGTTCATCTCTCCCATTTCATCCTTTGCGGTCCAAAAATATTAAATAATAAGGCTGGGACTTGAACTTGGGCTTCTGAGCCTAATCAGTGCTCTTGCCACTACAGATTAAAAGTGGACTCATTCTTAAAATCTTTATGTTACGGAATGTGGTAAACTTGTGGACAGAAGTGTTACTAAGTTAGGGCACAGAATGGGTAAAGAGAACAGTAGGAATATAAAACCTCTTAAGATAAATTAGGTCCTTTATTTGGCATTTTCCTCCTTTAATATTAGTCTCCAGTTATAACAACTCACTTCATAATGAGTTATAATGAAAAAGACAAATTACTTTGCTTTTTGTGTTTATACACATGTGTAAGCACTCATCATTTATAAATTTAGTGGTTTCAAGCTTTTTCAAGTGAGGACCATTTAAAAATACTTCCCTTTTAATCCTCAGTTTTGAAGATGCTGTCAAAGAAATCAGCTGCATTTATTAAATAATAATTTGCTTCTCCTTTTTATTAAGTAGAAACATAGCTTCCCACCAAAGCTTCTATACAGTATGTAAAGCTATTCATAACTTAAGTTGTAATCAGTCCAGATAAAAGGAAAAGCACTTGGCGTTTTACCAAGGGTAAACACATCATTTCTTAAAACACAGAAGATAGTCGGCCATCTTCATTTCCAAAGCTGTATCAGTTTTGTGCATATGAGTAATTTTAGAATGTGAAAGTTAGGTACTAAAAAGGGCATTTGAGTATTTGTTTTTATCATCCCTAGCATACTGAACACTAGTAGTCATGCTGAAACAGCAGAATGAATAGGAAAAAAATTCTTGCCAGAGGGAACTATAATCTCTGTATAACTCAGCTGCTATACATATGGTGAGAGTGTTGTCGCAAAAGAGAAGCAGCCTTGGAAGCTTAGATCAATTTCCTTATCATCAACTGTGTTGTTTTTTTTTTTTTTTTTTTTTTAGTTCTACTTTTCTGACTCAGCATTTCAGATCTAAGTAATTCATTTTCCAAGGAAAATAAGATTAGAGAGAAGAAGGAAAATGTATAGAAAAGAAATGCTATTTGGAAAGCAAATGTTACTGTACATTTCATTCAGTGGATGCCTTTGTTTAGGTGGCTGGTTAGCTAAGAGATGCTTGAAATAAAATTTAACACAGCGTTCTCTTTGATCCCTAGATTCTTGAAGTGAAAAGTCCAATAAAGCAAAGCAAATCAGATAAGCAAATAAAGAATGGTGAATGTGACAAGGTAGGTTTCTAGTCTGTTACTAGGAGGGCTCCAACACTGACAAGCCTTCCGTTTCTTTGTGTTGCCCTTGATCATCCTTGCTGGTTCTCCTTTCATTTTCTTCATCAAAGTGTCCAAGATGCCCAAATGATGAGTATTTCATCCCAGTGCTTTGTAGTTTGTTTTCCATGTGTTGTTTATATCTTCAGTATTAAGCTTGGCCTTATGCTGTCATTTGCCATGATGCCTACGTTGCCAAGGGATTTCAGGCACATTGAATTGGGAATTAAGAGAATTGTGGTAGAGATAGAATATTAAGGAATCTCAGATGTAGATGAGCAAGACATCTGATGCTAGTGCAGTGTGCTTTCCCAGAGTGTGCGTCATGCTTCTGAAACCTGACTACAACACCTGGTGGGGTTAAGTTGCCTGGTTTGGGCAGAGCCCTAACCTTGCTCTGTAGGGCCAGGGCAGACCTCTGTAATGTTTCACAAATCTTTCATTTGCCTTTATCGCAAATGGTGCTGGGGGCACCCATGCAGTTACACTAACAAAGACTCGTGAGTCTGAGCATATGGAAAGAGAGGTACCCCCTCTCCCCTTTCAGGGGAGCTCTTCACAAATCAGATGATAATTAGATAGTGATCCCTGTTTTTCGTAATACATTCTTCTGTTCTTCTGTCACTTGCTGGCATTGCTTACTAGCAATGTTTGGTATGACCAGGAAGCCTTTTTAAAACAAAAACAAAACAAACAGGAAAAACCCCACAAAATTCCCCTGACTTAATTGGTAATGTACATTCTTGTTTCCATGTTCAAACTTAGAATTTTTTTCTCTTAGAAACCTTCTGAGATTCAAGAATGAAAAAAAAATGAAAGTAGCCTTTGTTAATATGTTTAAACTCACAATTTAGCATTTAATTTCCCTACCTTTTGTAGAGATATTGTTGGAGGAAAGTGAGTCTACTGACTTGAATCTTCATAAGAGCAATTAAGTCCAAGAATTCACTCCAACTCCCTTTTTGAAGTTGGTGTGATAAAGGTAATGACTGGTCCAAGACAGGCTTGTTCTGCAGAGGCCTTTGGGCACTGAGTGCACACAGCCTGGGCTAGAGTGGTGTAATGAGAAACCTCCAGCTGCTGCTGCCTGTGTGTTCTTACTTACATATTCATTTATTTTTGAACTACTACTTAAAGTGCTTGTCCTTTTCGGGGACATTCTTCTCTTTCAGGCATACCTAGATGAACTGGTAGAGCTTCACAGAAGGTTAATGACATTGAGAGAAAGACACATTCTGCAGCAGGTGAGAAATGCTTTTTAGCACAACCCTTTCCAGAAACTTCAAGACTTGGTTTGTCCTGCAGTAGTGTGATAGCACCTGGAGGCCACTGCAGCCCCACGCTATCAGAACCTGGCGAATGCCACCTGTAGATGTATTTGGGAAAGGTTCTCATTTCTGAGGCCACCTAGAAGTCTGCTCTGGAGCTCTATGGCAACTGTTCTCCCTCCTCTAGTGCAGTGGATGGTGAGAACTGGGCAATTTGGGAAGTGATACTGGATTGTAGTGATCCCTCAGATGGCTGGTGTAATGTGGGCTCAGGGAGGGGACAGTAGAAATGCAAAAAGCTTTGGGGCCAGGCTTCTGGTTTCATGGGAAAACAGTGATAAGAATTTGAGTCAAGTGTTGTAAACATTTGTGATTCAATTTAGTAACCTTTGCCAATGATATTCTAAGGAAAATAAATATTTTCTTCATTTCCCTTATCTTGTATGACATACATTCTATTATTATGAACTCAACTGTGGAATACTTGTAGTGGAATACTTGTAGAGTGGGGAAACTTCTATTAGTATAATTTGATGTTTTGAGAAGATAAGAAGGGTGGTTTTTCATTTTCATTCAGTTAATGATGTATGCCTCTGTTGCACTACCAGCAGCTATTGGTAATTTTTTTTAACACCCAAAGAGAAGAATGTGTGTTCTAAATTCCAGGGCAGACATGTAGATTGTTTCGCTGTTTGAATTTTTTTCTTCTTTTTTTTTTTACTACTTTCAAATGACTTGACGTTAGTACTTAATCTACCCCAGCTGTGTGTGGGTTTTTTTTTTTTTTTTTAACATTTAATGGCTGGTGGTCACATTTATATTCTGTGTACATTTTTGCTTACATCTATAAATATATACTCTCAAACTTGCCAAGTTTCCTGACTGGCCTGATAAGCTTTTTAACCCTTGTAGAATTTTAGATTTGAACAAAAGACTACAGACCTATGATTCTTAATTGCAGATAAGTTGCATTTCTTGCAGTTTCTTTTTAGTTAGTATGGGTAAGGAAGCAGGACTTAAGTGGCCTACCATGAGTGGTGGTCTAGTACTTTGCTAATATTCTTCTTAGGCCTCTTTTGAAGAACCGAACGTTGTTTTACCTGTCATTTTCCAAATATTTGGGGCTGGCATAATGCTGATTGCAGATCTATTGCATGATCTTTCTCGTCTCTTCCCAAACACCAGCTCTGAACCACTGTGGAGCAATTGTCCAATAAAGCTATTAATGCCCAAGCTGGGCCCAAATAGTGAGTCTCATAGGAGGGTGGGACAGATGTTTGTGCAGGGTTGGGACATCTTCACAAAGAAAGCCCTATCAGTTAGTCAAGGATACTAGGCCATTGGGCAGATCTTACCTTGGGGTGTCATTGGCATTCGCAATTTAATGTTGTCCTTTATTTTGACCTTATAAGAATTGCGAAGAAAGGTGGCTTACTGGAGAACTCCATCCAAGTGGATTATTTTAGTATTCTAGAGGGAGAGAGTAATATCTGTGAATTTTTAACCTGGCATAAAGGCACTCCAGGGCACACAGCATTTCACCCTAATTGCATTCCCAGGCCGGTTGAAAGCTCTCAGTCTTTGGCCTTTTGCCTTGTAATGCAGCTGAGGCTTGTGATTATGATACCATGATGCATGTCCTGTCACGGTTTACTGCTTAATTAATTCCTTTTGTAAAACATAGCACTATTGAGGACTAATGTTATTCTCCACCTTGAGGGCTGCTCATCTCATGGAATTCATTCCACAAAGTCTACGTATTCTCTGCCGTGCAGACTTGAACACCTGAAGCAGAATTTCTGGTGGGCCCAGGATCACATCTAGGTCCTTTCCTGTTAAATGCATCCTATCCAAAAATCTGGCCTGACGATTTTATTTGGCTCACAAAAAGCGGTTAATAACTTTGTTTTCCTCTGGGGGCATGCAGTCCTGGCACTCGGCAGCTAGTTTAATGAACAGACAGCATTGGATCAAGGAGCCTGTGTTCCTAAGCCACTTTTTCAAAGGGTATAAATACAGTAGAGTAGACACAGTCAAACCAAGAGAAGTGATTACCTAGGACTGATGAATAATTTGATTGCTCTTTAAACCACATGTTCCACATTTATTTGGAAAGTGAGATTGAACATATGTAACCTCCCCAGCAATTCAGCTCTAAGCCTGGATTTGCATCCACGTCTGGGGGAAGAAAACTCTGTGGGAAACCAGGTTTCCTAAGAGAGTAGTTTAGCAATTTAGAAGCCAGCCGTCATTCTTTTCGAATTGTCTGCAGGGAATGGGGAATCTGTGGCGTATTAGAATATTCCTTCTAAGAACCCAGAGAACCCTCCCTGAGAAATGTTCTGATGAAAATGATGTTCTCCATCCTGGGAAATTACTTGTCATATCTCAGCACCCCTTGTAGATTGGAGCCTGATGGCCTATCCCTTAACCAAGGGTAGGGCACACATTTTTATGTGGTGGTTGTCCGTGCTTTCCAGACCATAGTAGAGGCCATTCTATGGGAAGACCTATGTTATCCCAGATCTGGCTCTACTCCATAGAGAAGCAGTTAAAGTAAGGCCTGTTCATTACTCCCCACACAGCGAAGAGGCTGCTTCACATGGAAAGAACCCTGGTTTTTGAAATTATAATCAGACCAAAATCAATGCATTTACCTTTTTATAATTAAAAATTGGGGAAGGGAGCCACAGATCTGACAAGTGGATCTTACCCTGTTTAAAACAAAATGAGACATCCAACAGCCTGCGTAGTACCGCTTGAAAGGCTGATGTGGCAGGAAATAATCCATCATGAATGTTTTCACAACAACCATCATCTGAAGAATGAGTTAAGCAGTTTACACACTCTTCCTTTTCCACTACCCATATGTACCTGGTTGCCTGTTTTTCTTTCTTTCTTTTTTTGAGACGGAGTCTCGCTCTGTCGCCCAGGCTGGAGTGCAGTGGCGGGATCTCGGCTCACTGCAAGCTCCGCCTCCCGGGTTCACGCCATTCTCCTGCCTCAGCCTCCCAAGTAGCTGGGACTACAGGCGCCCGCCACCACGCCCGGCTAATTTTTTGTATTTTTAGTAGAGACGGGGTTTCACCGTTTTAGCCGGGTTGGTCTTGATCTCCTGACCTCGTGATCCGCCCGCCTTGGCCTCCCAAAGTGCTGGGATTACAGGCGTGAGCCACCGCGCCCGGCCGCCTGTTTTTCTTATCTGCAGTCACTCTATCTACTATTATTATTATTTTGGACAGACGTTAATTATTGCACTATGATGCAGAGTAATGACGTCAAGGTCAAGCCACACTGCATCAGCAAAGAGGGTATTCCTGTAGAAAGGCACAGTGGAGTTCTTCAGGCACTCATGGGGTGTGTTCAGGCTTTGTGGCCTGTGTCAATGGAATAAAGCATGTTAATGTTGTTTCTGACGTTCTAACTATCAGGATTCCTGGAAAGCAATGCACACTTATTTTTCTTTATGGAGCCCTTACTTAAATGAGGATGTGGGCACATGCTCTAATAATTCAAATCATTAATGCCATTCCCTTTGGCAAATAATTCCCAACTCCCCAGCTGCTGCCACTGCTACTACTTTAAGGCTGTTTCTCTGCATCTACCTTGATGTATTCTTGTGGGCTCTCATAAAAACGTGGGGCTCATTTAGTTAGATTTATCAGATCCCCTTTATATTGTTGTGCATGTGTGGCTGCAGGCCGGGCACAACATGGTGATAGAGGAGGTAGCGGGTGGTGATGGAAGTACTGGAGATCTGCAAGATAGCACAATGCATGAGAAATGCCCGGGCTGACGTTTCTAGTGGGCAAAAGTGTTTATATGCTTTAAAATTAAGTGGCTTTTTTTCTAGAAGGGATTTTTTTATTGCCCAGTTTTCTATTTGTTATTAAATAATTAGGGAACAACTATATTGGGTCGTGGAAAACTGTTTTCTTAAAAGAATGAGTTACAATTTTTTTTTTTTAATTCAAGCCGGCCTTTCTGAGTTTTAGTTTCTGCATTTTCTTGCCTCATTTATTTTAGTGCTAATGAAATGGCTAACACTCATTGGGGGCGAGAGGAAAAAGCATCAGGTCTATAATTCATGTGCAGTTTAGTCACCTCCCAGATAATTAAGGATCAGTTTATAAGGTAATCATAATCATGTTATCCTGACTTAGGTAGCAATTTACCATTTATAAGAAGCTTTATTTATGATACCTTATTTGATCATCTGCCCAAACTTGTACAAGTAGAACAGGTAGCATTACTCTCATTTTCCAGATGAGGAAACTGAGGCTCAAAGGTTATGATGTTCTGTCTAATACCATTGAAAAAGTTTGCAGAGTCAGAACTTGATATGCCAGATCCAGAACTCTATTCTGAATGCTTTGTCAATTACCTACTGGGCAGCTCGCTGAGGAAAGGAGTCAAATTCTGGTCAGCTTGTTATTTGCCTCCATTGCATAAATTTGAAATTATAATAGCTCTAAAGAGACTACTTGTTTCCATCCTGAAATTTACACATTTTCACTAGATTCATAGTATTTTTGCACAAAATGGCAAAAAAAAATTATTCCAGAAAATACATAGTCTTAGTTCAATTGATCTTAATTATATAGTAAGTATATGATTGACATGAAAAGCCTCTGTGGGCATAGCTGTGTGTTTGTGTTTCTGTATGTGTGTGGATATGTGTGGAAGACTTCTTGAAAGTTCTGTTACTAATAACTAATAAAACAAATGTGTGTCCATTTTAGATCTTTTAGTGTTAATAAGATCTTGTTGGATACATTTTTACATAAATGTAGCACTTTAACCATAATTGGGTACACTCCTTCTAAGAATTTCTTGATGCATGTAACAGAACCTTGAGTCTAGTGGTTTAAGCAAGTAAGGTTTTCTTCTGACTCCCTCCCCACCTATAACAGTAAGCCTGGAGGTAAGTAATCCGTGGTCGAGATAGTGGCTTAAAAGATGCCACTGATGACACAGGCTCCTTGTCTTTCTTTTCTTCCATCTTTCATAAGCTGTATTCGTCTTCTTAATGGGAAGACAGCTGCTGCACTTCCAAGCACTGCATTCCCATTGCACACAGGAAGAAGGAAAGAAGGCAAAAGATGCATACCCATTGTCCATACCCTTTTCAGAAATATTCCTGAAAACAGTGAGTTCTGACAAATAAATTGTAAATAGCAGCATCTGACAAGTGCTGCAAGTAGGTCTGGGGAGGCAAACATTGTAGTTGGGCAGCTCTCAGAAAAACGGCCTTCCGTTAATAAAAAAAAATTAAGGAATAAATCGATATTAGGGAGTTAGTTTGCAGCATCTGTTGTTGCATCCACTATGAGAGTAGCTTATTTTAATATTAAGGCTGTAGTTATATCCCTAAAAAATAGTTCCAGAGATTGGGTAAGACAATAACAGCTCAATCTGGAGTTGAGCAGTTAATTGGATTGAGAGTTAATATGTCATGCTTCTGTGAAAGTCAAATAATATGTCAGGAATGGGGAGCACATTTTCTATTAAGAGCCACTGACCTATAGGGAGTAGTTCACAAATTTACTGTATTTTTTAAAAGAAAGCTAATTGTAAGAAGAGAAGGTTAAAAGTTTCAGTTCTGCTGTTACTCAGCGTGGCATTAGGTAATCTAAAACTTCATTAAATAAATGATAGGCTCAATAATTAAAATTATTCTCTTTTTTAAGATTATTGACCTAAAGAGAATCAGAGGTAAGTGATAGAAAGAGAATAACAGACAACTCAAATCAGGTAGAAGTTTGTCAGCTGTTTACTCTGTGCAAATTTTCTTTTATTGCCCTGATACTAACTTTGCTGCCTCCCCCAAAAAACGCTGTGCCCAATACACTGCCCAGATACAGCATCCATGTCCAATAAAATTATTAGTAGAATAGGAATGGGAAGATACTTTACATGGTAAAAGAATCTCTCAAACCAATCATCACCTTCATTCTTAATGTTGAGACTTCAGAAGTGTTCTCCTGAAAGCCAGGGCAAGAGTAATAGTAACCGTCATCTCTGTCATTTAACATTTTTCTGAAAGTTGGAGCCAATACAAGAAGAAATGAGGTATAACTATTCCAAATGACAAGACAAAGGCATCCTTTCTTTTTCTAGATAATATTTCTATTTAATTGAATACCTTAAATATTTAAAATCTCCCCAAAATATTCAGGGGAATCAAGTGAACACAACTAAAAGTAATAAATATGTTTTTATTTTTATGTTAAAGTATAACAAAGCATTCAGGTAGATACATTTTCACCAAGTGACAACATCTTATGTAACTAGCACCCAAGTCAAACAACAAAACAGTTCCAGTACTCTAGAAGGCTCCCTTGAGCCCCCTCTGGTCACTATCTGTTAAGGGGGTGGGATTGTAGACAGTTTCTTTCTTTTCCTTTTTTTTTTTTTTTTTTTTTGGGAGTTCCTGTATTTTCCAAATTATTAACAATTATATAATGATAAAGGAAAATGATTTTATATAGGGGTGTGTGTGTGTATGTGTTTGTACTTAAGTAAAAGTAGTTTTGTTATTTCTCGGCTGGATTTTTCTTATGTCTATTAAGTATAATCACTGTCTATTGAGTCAGTAACTAATTTTTAAAGGAGTCTTGAAATGCTATCTCCCCCTAACTGCTCACTCACAGTTAAATATTCTGTTCATGACTTGAAAGCAGACATCAGTTTAAAGGGTATGAAAAGCAAGACAGGTTCTCACTGGGAATTTCTAAGGCTTAATATACCTTTGACTTATCAAGTTGACTGAGACAGTTTAATGCTATTCATGGTATGGGACCTTGTTGCTATAAATACGAATATTTATCACTTGATTCCATATTTGATCGCCCCTCCATTACTCTCTCTTTGCCTTTTGATGTTTGCTGCGTATTGCCCAAACTTTCTCTTCTTCACTCCTCTAGATCGTGAACCTTATAGAAGAAACTGGACACTTTCATATCACAAACACAACATTTGATTTTGATCTTTGCTCGCTGGACAAAACCACAGTCCGTAAACTACAGAGTTACCTGGAAACATCTGGAACATCCTGAGGATATAACAACTGGATGCATCAAGAACTATTGTGTTTTTTTTTTTTGGTTTTTTTTTTTTTTGGTTGTGATTTTTTGTTCTTGTTGTTTATATGAAAACACTCAAAATGATGCAACCAAAAGGGAAAAAATAAAAATCAAACAACCTTCAGCTTTATTTTTCTTTAAAGCCAGTCATCATCTCTTGATAAAGGAGAGGTTAAAGCAAACCAGCCTCAGCGGACCACTCTTCTCTCCAAGGAAATCCCCGGGAAGAGTTAGCCTGGATAGCCTTGAAAACAAACAAATCAAACACAACACAAGAAAACTCAAAGAATGTGTATGGTATCATGTATCTCTCTGTGGTGGTTCATTCCACAGGACGAATGCATATTCAACACACTGCCTTATTACATAACTGATCTATTTATTATCGCATACAGATATTCTAAGTCGTTGAGGGAATGACACCATCAGACATTATAAGTACTTGGTCCCGTGGATGCTCTTTCAATGCAGCACCCTTGCCATCCCAAGCCCAGTGACCTTACTCGTATACCGTGCCACTTTCCACCAACTTTTTCCAAGTCCTTTAACTCGTTGCAGTCTGTATTTTCCACCTTTTGTTTTTCCAGTTCCAGGACACAGATTATCAACTGGGGGGACCAAATAGCCACCTTGATTTTCTTCTTTGTGGTCTTTTTCCTGAAAGTTGGGGCCCAGTCCTTGGCTGTATCCATGTAATGATCTTGGACCATGGTAGAAAATGCACCAAATAGGATCATATGAATTGCTGTCTAGCCTTAGTCAATAAACTTGTAGGACTTTTAAACAAAAGTGTACCTGTAAATGTCCTGAATCCAGCATTGTTGAGCTGTCATCAACATTCTTGTGTCTGTTTTACTGTTACAATATTAGGTGAATATGGAAGTAAAGGCATTCCACAGGATCATCATTTAAAAAAAAAGAATTCTGGTCCTGTTTTCTAAAAAAAAAAACTGTTGTAGAAATTCTTAATTTGGATCTATTTATTAGTCAGAGTTTCAGCTTTCTTCAGCTGCCAGTGTGTTACTCATCTTTATCCTAAAAATCTGGAATCAGAGATTTTTGTTTGTTCACATATGATTCTCTTAGACACTTTTATATTTGAAAAAATTAAAATCTTTCTTTGGGGAAAAATTCTTGGTTATTCTGCCATAACAGATTATGTATTAACTTGTAGATTCAGTGGTTCAATACCTGTTTAGTTGCTTGCTAATATTTCCAGAAGGATTTCTTGTATTGGTGAAAGACGGTTGGGGATGGGGGGATTTTTTTGTTCTTGTTGTACCCTTGTTTTGAAACTAGAAATCTGTCCTGTGGCATGCAAAAGAAAGCAAATTATTTTTAAAAGAAAAAAACCAAAGTACTTTTGGTGTCATTATTCCATCTTCTCCATAAGTGGAGAAATGAAAAGTAAGAACAGCTCATCTTCAAAGTTTTTACTAGAAATTCAGCCGAAAAGAAGAGAAATGAAGAAATACTTCTGGATCCAAAGGTTCGTCACTGGATCAGCCTTAAGAAAGTCTCTATGTGTGCTAATAGACCAGTATCTCCCTTGTTTGTTCCCATGCCAGATGCTGTCTTTTCATACAGAGATTAACTAGTGTCTGTACAGAAAATGGTCTTTCCAGACCCATTCTTTTGGGCAGTTATATAAATGCAGATTGATAATGGAGTTATTTCTGCATTTTAAAAAGGGGATTTTTTACACTGTTTCTTTCTATCCAAAGAAACTATTTTTCCTTTAAAAAATTATAATACAGCCATGCTCCTTGTAAATTATTTCTCTGAAGCGTCCTCCCAGAGGACAAGTGTACTTTCTCAATAATGTTATGATTCTTAATGACGATTGGCATGAACCGTACTTGAAGCATTTGTTGTATTGTCCACTTCTTGATGTGCAGAGAAACTTTGAGTCATTTTGGACATTAGGTGATTGATGAATTGTGTGGTTTCAGTTGCGTTTTGTTTTTAACTTTATAGCTGGAAGGGGAGGGTAATGTTTATATGGAAATGTTGCAAATTTTTAAAATATTTTAAAATTTCTAACTGCTAACACATATTCTGATCAAGCCAGAAGTTTATGTGATTTAATATATCTGTGTAGTTTAACTAGAAACGTATATATGTAGTTTGGGCCATTTTTATTTCTGTAACTAAATTGTGGGGCAAAAAATATGATTTGCCAATGTAAAAATTTTTTCCTTTAAGTTACTAACCAAGAAGCTAGGTAAGATAAGAAATGACCAAACAAAAATAATGATAAGAAGGACAGCTATTATATGATAAACTTTAGACTTGAAAATTAGGTAATAAAGTTAATTTCTTCAGAATATCCTAAAATGTAAGTTTGTAAATTGATAAAGTTCAGAAAAACTTATCCATCTTCTACTCATCAAGATAGCAAAGTAAGTTTTTCACAAAATTAAGACTGAGAGTTACGTTATTTTTTTTGAAGTGGTAATCTTGCTCTCATCTAATTTTTAAATACAGAAATAAAAAGATCCCTTTGAATTAATTTCAAGTAGTTTTAATACCTCTCTTAAAGTAACCCCTTCAGTTCTGTCACATTTATATACACCCAACTTTGAAGCCTATTAAGAATATCTTTGACATGTGAGTACCCTAACAGTGGCTCTGGTTTCTTAAGCACAAAGGGAAAATGGCAGGGTTTAATTTCTTTGGTGTACATATATAAATAGATGTTTCAAATAAAATTAATTGGGTAAATGTGAATATGGTTTGAACCAGCCAGAGTATGATAAACTTTTAAAAAATTTTTCCTCAGTGATCAGCCAGGGGAAAAAATATATGTACAGAGCTCCTGCCCCTCTGCCCCCTTATAACTTAGCTTTTGCCTCTGGTTTTGCAGCAGGATGTGTGTTGGTGGGTTTGGGGTTCCTTCTGTCTTCGGATGTAACAGTCATGTTAGCAACAATATTTTGCAGTTACTTCACCATCCTCAGCATAATCTGCCTCTCTCTCAATCTTAATACAGACAAATAGGTATGTCTATAAATGCGTTCATATAGTGTCAAGGTAGGGAAGACTATAAAAACTTCAGATCAGGAAAAAAATATCTCTTAAGAGAGTGTCTTAAACATTTTAAATTGCTAGGCAATTTAAATCTCTCTAATCTGAATATTCACCTTTTGGTGGAAAGAGCCAGTAATATTGGTTTTCTTCCACTAAAAAGTTTCTTCAAAATTTTTTTTTTTTTTTTTTTTTTTTTTTTTTTGCCGATATCTTTTACAGGCCCACCTAATCTTTAAAAAAAAGAGAAGAAACAATTTTAGGCCTGTATAACATCCTATTTACTACTTCAAGCTCCACAAATGTAGTTAATATATTTGTTTAAGAGAGACTTTACTCTTAAATGTTTTAACTTTGCCTACTTAATGGAGTTGGATGTCCAGTGTTGGAAACAGTCAGTGTCTGTTTGGTGGCTCGTGTTTATTTTTGTCACTGTAGAAGTGATCTGCTCTGGAGTAATTTGCTGTATGCTTATTACTTTCCACCTTTAGCGTTTTGTGTACTAATGCTATGTACTGCTCCTATATTTATATATACATATATATATATATATACACATATATATTATCAGAGTAATCTTGCTTTGGACTGTTGCTCTAAAACTATGAATATGATGTAGAGACTACTACAGCTGCAGTGAATGTTAAGGAGTCAATTCCCATGGTTTAGTTTAGTCTCGGGCTGGAAGTCTACATCTTTTGACCTCTTTTGTTTTATATGATGCTTTTTATTATGTAGGCACTGCCATCCCTGAATATTCCTTGTAAAGATGCAGTGAAGAAGTCAATTTAAAAGGAAGACAAAGCCACCGCTGTCTGTAAACTGTAAATGTGTATTTTGGCACTTGTACTCCAGTATTCTGAAAATAGAGTTATGATGGAAATGCTGACAGATCCTTAATGGTGGCCAGAGCTACCATGCAGTGCAAAAATAAATTAAGTGAAAATGTATTATTGAGATTAACAGTGCAAGGCCAATACATTTTATAAATCTGTCAGTATCTTTTTAATGGACTGTGTATGTGTAGTTATGTTGAAAGATACATTGTGTATGTGTACATGCTTTTGTGTGAATTCAAGGCACACTGTAAGATGTATTTCCCTTCTCTAAAATCCATGTTGAAATGTAAGTACAGATTGATAGAAATAGGTGTTTTACTTAAACTCATATAATCTGTTTCAGCACCTTTTTTAAAATGTATAATTGTACTGATTTGCTGAGAGTCATTTGACCAAAGTTTGGCTTTATTTTGCATACAGGAAAAATTAGCCCCTAGCCTTTTCTCAAGAAGTGATGCTGTTTCTAAAGAAGAATAGATGGGGAGATCTGAGACATCCAGAGAGAGGACAATGTGTCCAAAACCAGCTGAAGGCAGAGAGTCCATGCCTCATTCATTTTAGGAGTCCCTCATGTCTAACACCATCTTCTGTGTCCTAAAGCCAGTATATATATAATATTTTTAAAACTCTGCAAAGATTGGAACAAGAAGTGGTGGGATACATTTTTTGGCATAAACTGGGCTATGTGTGCCCGGTATTTTTTCTTTCCCCCCTATTTCTTTGGAGGGTTTTGTTCAGAAACAATGTGCTATAGCCAGAGAGAGTCGATCTTACAAAGTCCCTGCATTTACTTTCACAGCAAGAACTGCTACCTTGATTAGACAGGAAGGAGAACAACTACTACAACAAAGAGAATAAAATACATTCAGTTTGGTAAATAACCAAGGAATTGGATGTGATGCTCTTACTTAATAGTAAGGAGATTTACATCAAATTTGAGAAACTGACTTTATCTTCATTCAGGCTGACAAGCCATTTAGGGGATTAGAGGGGACTGCTTTGTCTCTTATCAACCCGAAACTGAGTTTAGGTGTGGAAGCATCAGTCCCAGATGGGTTGGGGTGGCAGTAGAACTTTCTAATGACCATACTTGGATTGGACTAATCTGTTCCCTTGTTGTGGCATAGATACTCAATTTTATTTAAAATAATGGCCTTACACCTTCTCCACTGTATAGAAAGGGTCAAGATCAGCCCCAGGCCCTGCTGAAGCACACTCACCCAGGGGTGCACTGCACCACATGGTTTTCCCCAATAATTTGTTTCCTGTCTCTCCAATTTATGGCCCCATTTCGATATGCAAGGAAACCTGGAGAGAGATGACAGATAACCAAGCCTGACCCCCAGACCTCTCTGGTTGCTAATTCAGGGAAATAAGTCTCCAAAACTAGTGGTCTTGTTTTATTCTGATTAGTAGAACAACTAAGGGTATTTTATTGGTTTCCTTGCCAGGGATACCACCCAAATAGAAAACACGGAGCACATTTCAAAGCTTCTGCTTTCTCTGCCAGGTAATAGTATCCATACCTTCCTGTTTATGCGGTCCCCTTCTGTAGAGGCGTTTCCAATTTTTTCCAGAGGTTGTTAAATTGCCTTTGGCTCTCAGCTTAGCCTCTTGGTCTTAATTTCCCCTTAATTAAAGAAGGGTAACCAATGTGGTCCCTAGGAGCTAGTGAGAGAAATATACGGCACAAACCAGAAAACACTCTGATAATGATAACTGGGCCCTATGGCTCTTAAATAACAGCACAAATAGTCTTCGACCTGAATGAGAAGGCTCCTTGAGTCCACTTTTATAACAATTCAGGGTGACTACTAGGGCACTCGGCAGTCCGCATGGAATGGGAGGTGCCCACAAGGAGTGGGAGATAGATGGTGAGTAAAGACAACGTTATTTGCTCATTTTCCCCTTAATCATGTAGTCATGTCTCCCACCCCATGCAGTCCCCACCACAGAGTTCTGAGGCTTCAAAAGGGTAGAAAAGGATAAATCCAGGCCATTAAAAGAAAATAATCAAAGCTATTGAAAAGATAAAACAAATGAGTCGCACTAAAAGGGCCGTCTGTGCAAGTAACAAGGTTGAAATACTGATACTGATTTCCTAGCCGAACAGCATTCCTCACACATGTGGTTTGTGTATCCGTGTCTGGGTGGGTGGTCTGGTGAGAAGTGCTAAACGCAGCAAGATGGCTTAGTTTTTGAGCAGTGGAGGGAAGCTTTGGGACAGGCTCAGCCCGTGGCATCTATAGTCCCTGCAACATAAAGAGGCTTTCCTTTTGCTTTGTTCCAGGATGGAAAGTTTTAACTTGGCTTATTCATTTAAATGTGAGTCTCTATTCTGCACAGAACCAATCAGAGGGTAGGAGTGTGTGTGTGTGTGTGTGTGTGTGTGTGTGTGTGTGTGTGTGTGTGTCTGTGTGTGTGTATGAACCTTCTTGTCTCTCGCCACCCCAGCCCTAGGGGATGGGATGTGTGGCATAGAATGTATAACTCTTCATTTGTTGGAATGTATTCCCTGGGTGCTAAGCACCTATTAACATCTCTTTTGAAAGGGACGCTGTTTTAAATAACACCTCGGTCTAGCTAGGACAGGAAATAGCATTAAATTAAAGGTACACACGAATACGGTCCACAAGCAATCTAAATAAAGGTGGACTCCCCCAAAAGCACATCTATACTAATGAGAATGCCAAATGAAGCGCGCTTAGTTCAAAGGCGGAGACTTCTTAAGGGAAGCTTCTTTTATTCAGGAAACACGATGCCCGACGATGGCTTTTGAGAGACACAAATCATTGCCAACTCACATCTGAAGACAGGCTGCTTCATGAATATCCCTCAGAATTGTTAGATGTCGGGAGTTTTGACTTTGAATCAGTTGGGGGATAAATCATTGTTTTCCAAATTACAATACTTATTTGTTTCCATGTTTATTATCTGTCTCCCCCACTAGAACAGAAGCACCTGAGGGCAAGAAGTTTGGTTTGTTCACTGCTGATTCCAGGACCTAGAACAAGTCCAAGACATACGAGACACCTCTATTTATCAAATGAAAATGTGGGAGCATTTTGTGGAACATGAACCTCTTTTGACATTTCATGAGAAATGGTTTTGCGTTTAAGTTTGGAAAAATTGCCCAGTATATGACCCTCTTGGCAATTCATGACGTACTAAAATATTAAATCTTGGAAAGCCACATGTTCCACCAATAGTCAAACTTGTTTAACTTTATTTAATGCAATATTTCCCAAACAGTATGTAACACAATAGTAGTTATGCAAGATAATAATAGCTGTTTGGCATTTAAAATAATGTTTCTTTATCAAAATAGTTTTTATTTTATTTTATTGTTTTTTTATGAGACGGAGTCTGGCTCAGTCACCCAGGCTGGAGTGCAGTGGCGCGATCTCGGCTCACTGCAAGTACCACCTGCCGTGTTCACGCCATTCTCCTGCCTCAGCCTCCCAAGTAGCTGGGACTACAGGTGCCCGCCACCACGCCTGGCTAATTTTTTGTTGTATTTTTAGTACAGACGGGGTTTCACCGTGTTAGCCAGGATGGTCTTGATCTCCTGACCTTGTGATCCGCCTGCCTCTGCCTCCCAAAGTGCTGAAATTACAGGCCTGAGCCACCGCGCCCAGCCTCAAAATCGTTTTTAAACTGTATTTCATTCTTCAAGGTTTATAACATAGTTTGGGTAGCACAGTTTCAGAGAAGGACAACACGGCTATTACTATCTCTAGAAGTGGTTTTCTGGATTAGCTAACCATGTAACTTTTTGGCCAAACTGGAATTTTTTTTTTTTTTTTTTTTTTTTTTTTACATACAGGATTTCTCTACGTTGCCAGGGCTGTAGTGCAGTAGCTATTCACAGGCACATAATAACATGCTATGGTCTTGAACTCCTAGGCTTAAGTGAACCTCCCGCTTTGGTCTCAGAAGTAGTTGGGACTACAGGTCCATACCACTAGATCTGGCAAACTGGAACATTTTTGAGAAGGAAATGGGACACTATTAATAATCATCCCAGGACAACATGAATAAATCAAAGCTGTCTTTGGCAAATCAGGGCATGTGGTCACTGTAGTTTCGAGGAAAACACTTTGGGACATGTGGAACTGAAAGTATACCTTCAGATTTCTCTTTCCATCACTTTTATCATATGCACTTATGATGCATATGGTTTGGTTGGGCTGTGTAGGGTAGAAAAAATATCTTTCTTCACCCATTGCAAGGTTCATGGCTGACACCCCTACATTAAAAATAGATTAACAAGAGAGAAGCAGAGCAGATTCAACCAAAGTTTTGTGTGACATGGGAGCCATTAGAAATGAAGGTCCAAGAGACCCAGAGGAAGCTCCATTTTTATGCTTAACTTTGATGAAGAATGGACAGTCGTACGGAAGTATCCATAAAGGCGGTATGACCTAATGGTAATAAACTGGGGGCACTTAGCAAGGCCTGATTGTTCAGATTCTTCTGACCTCAGGGTATAGGGCAGGACTCCTTTGGAATGAGGATCTTTTTGACCTCCTTTCAGGTGAGGTAAGTCAGAAATTTTTTAGAAGGACTCTCGCCTTGTTGACCAGGCTGGAGTGCAGTGGCCTGATCTTGGCTCACTGCAACCTCCGCCTCCCGGATTCAAGTGATTCTCCTGCCTCAACCTCCTGAATAGCTGGGATTACAGGCGTCTGCCACCACGCCCGGCTAACTTTTTGTATTTTTAGTAGAGACGAGGTTTCACCATGTTGGCCAGGCTGGTGTTGAACTCCTGACCTCAGGTGATCCACCTGCCTCGGCCTCCCAAAGTGCTGGGATTACAAGCATGAGCCACCACGCCCAGCACAGAAAAATTTTTAAATGACCAATCTTCATGGGAGAAATGTGGCAAAAAGAGTGCTCTTTCTGCTTCTGAGTTTTGTCAGTTTCCTTCAGTTTAAAATACTCAGTATGCCAAGGTGCCATATTTTGGGATATTGTGTTCTGAACCTTGACAGCTGCTGCTTTGTGGTAACAATTGAGCATCTCCCTCATATTAAGGGTAGGCCCACAGGATCCAGGGTTTAAAGGGCGTTGTCAGTGTTGCTGAAGAGGCTTTGCAGGTGATGTGGTCTCCAAGCCAGCCCTTCCTTCCTCACCCCCGCCCTTGTGTTAGCCTATCAGTTGAACAGGTGAATAGGCCGGTATTGAACATCAGTCCTGCAAGGAAGAAGGGCGCATTCCATATTTGGGGTCTCTGGCCCCATTTCCTGAGCCTGTTGCATGTTGAGGTTGTGTTTGTTTTCCTCAAACTTGACACCTTTGTTTGAGATGCTACCTCTTCATTGTCACCTGCCAAGTCATTCTGGCTGCCGCTGCCATGTCCAGGGTGGAATTGCTCAGCTGGCAGGTCCTCTCCCTGTTAGAGCATGTTCTGGAACTTTGTAGGTTTTCACTGTGTCTCCAAGTCCTACTACCTGATACCCTTTGATATTTTGGTGATTCCAAGTCGTATGGGCACAATTCCTAGCGTAGACCAAATGCTCAAAAAATGATGAACCGATTAAATAAATGGCCGTAAATAAATATCTTCCTTGGCTTGCAAGTAAGTTGCTACCTTGATGCCAATTCTCTGCTGCCTCTTTCCTTAAAAGTGTGTCTTATTCTGCTACTGTATTAAAGGTAGTATAACATTAGAGGCAGAAAGATTTGGTTTTGAATGCCAGGTCTGTCACTCCTAGCCATATAACCTTAAAACAACATACTTTCCCACACTTTGGTTTTCTCATTTGTGAGATGAGATGAACAATGGACCTCTGTTTAAGGTGATTGTTAAAATTAGATGTTTGTAGCACACTTAGCACACTGTGCCTGGTCCACAGTAAAGTGCTTAATAAATGGTAGTCATGATGCTGTTGGAGTCTGATGAAACAATTCTCTATTCTCTAGTTGGTGGAGAATTTTGCCAATATGTAGGATTACACTGGTGCTGTTTGCCATTCAGCCCCGAGTGTCTTCAGCCTATTGTGATCATTGCCCTTCCTCAGGTGCACATTCTTGCAGGGCAGTCATCAGCTATGTAACTGACTGCTGCTCCTTCAAAGCTGTTTTCAGCCCATTGGAATGAAAGGGAGCCAGGTCTCTTGCCTCAGAGCTGGGCCACATAGGACTGATAGAGTTGAACCCATTTCCACCTGATGAGCTCAATTGCTAGAGGTAACACTGGTGAAGCTGAGGTCATAGGTTCAAGCCCCTTTTCAACCCACTGGTTTGCCCCCTTGCATGACTACACACTTCCTGAGCCTACACAAACATGTCATGAATAGTGCCCTGGATCATAGGAAGGACAGTGTGAGAGCACGCCCTTTCAAACATGGTTGTATAGTGCCTTCTGGAGAAGGGTGGGTATGCAGTATGAGCATCACTGTCATCTTTATGCAGCAGTGCCTTACACCTTTGGTGAGTGGTATTTGCGTGGGAAGCCATTCTCTAGAGAGTGTTGGGCATTCACCGGAGTAAGCCCAAGTTGTGATCTTGGTTAGCCAGACGTTCTACTCATTTATTTACCATGTACAAGACCTTAGAATGATGTCACTTTTTCTTAAGGCACATATACCACATAGAAATGGTCATTTTATTGTATAGTCTGTGATTTTATTTATAGCAAGCATCTCAGTAACCTTTATTTCACCATTATACTCTTAAAAGCCATATCACAGTTTTGAAAGGGATGTGGCTAGCCACATCATCTTATAGAGGATACAAATGTAGCCCTTTGCTATGTTGAAATGCAAAGAAATGCTAATGTAGTCACTATTATTCTCCAAATTATTTTTTTCTCTTAAATATTGTGTGATGTGTTAGTTTCCTATTGTTGTAACAAATTGCCATAAACTTTGTGGCTTAAAATAACACAGATTTATTTTCTTACAACTTCAGGGGTCAGAAGTGTAAAGTGAGTTTCACTGGGTTAAAATCAAACTGTCAACAAGGCTGCATTTCTTCCAGTGTCTTTTCTGGGGGAGAATCCATTTCTCTACCTTTTTCATCTTCTAGAGGCCACCTGCATTCCTTGGCTCATGGCCCTTCCTCTATCTTCAAAGCTAGAAGCATAGCTTCTTCCACTCTCTCTGTCTGAACTGTGTCTGTCTTCCATCATTTTTTTTTCCCCTGAGGCAGGGTCTCGCTCTGTCACCCAGGCTAGAATGCAGTGGCGTGATCACAGCTCACTGTAGTCTCGACTTCCTGGGTTCAAGCGATCCTCCCACCTCAGCCTTCCTAGTAGCTGGGACTATAAGCATGCACCACCACACCCCGCTAATTTATTTTTTGTAGATATAGGGTCTTGCCATGTTGCCCAAGCTGGTCTTGAACTTCTGGCCTCAAGCCATTCTCCTGCCTTGGCCTTCCAAAGTGTTGGGATTGCAGGCCATGAGCCACCATGCAGTCTTTCTTTCATCTTCTAATGAAACTTGAATTATCTTGGGACCACACAGATAATCTAGGAACATTTCCCTAGCTCAAAATCCTTAACTTTGCTCATTTACCAGGTACTGTAACATATTCACAGGTTCTAGGGAGTAGAAAGTAGTCATCTTTGGGGAACCATTATTATGCCTCACAGGTAGGGAGGTGCCAGCTTTGAAATCTCCATCCTTCAGAATGTTTAAGTAAAGTCTATTTAAATATCTAAGCAGAACTTATTTGGCCCACATTAAAATTAAAGCAATTTGCTGCTAGTTCCAGTTATTCATAGTAACATAATTCATGATGATGACTGTGGTGGCAATTTCTTCCGAAGTTGGAGACAGATCCACAGTAAGACATCTTAAAAGACTCATGTTTTAGCCATGGTAATGGGAATCATTCGTGAGATATTTACTGAGTGCCTACCATGTGCCGACCACTATCCTGAGGACCCTGTGAAAATATAGCTGCTGTGTCCAGAGTATTTCCTTTCCATTTTGCTGGTAGTAGAATCTCTTCACTCCTGAGCAACAATGTCATCATGTGGTTAGAACTTCTTTGAAGCTATATGGAAATCCTTAACTGGCAGACAGACTGAACACCATTTCTGGGCTCCCAGCCTCCTTATTCCCATTACAGATGGGACACTTTTTAATTTGATCTGAATTTCATAGGCTTTTTAGAGAGACCTGAATCAATGGTTCAACTTAAAGCTATGCACAGCGAGCAGCCTGGAGCACCAGCCCAGCTAAGTGGGTCCCAAAGTCGATGTATAGTTCCTTTTTGCTGCTCTGGCTTGGAGAATAAAGATTAAAAGCTGATAATCCCAGCTTCATCTTAAAGCACTCAATTCAGTGTTTTCCATATGCTGAGCTGTGGTCTGGTTTCATCACCTAAGGAGCTTTTACAAACTACTCCTCTTTGAGAGGTTCTGAGTCAGTCGTTTTGCATGAGGCCTTGGATACTGGCATCTTCAAATGCTCCCCAGATTATTCTAATATGCAGTCAAGGTGGGAGTGTAAAAAATAAAGTCCTGGTTCCCACTGCCAGGGATCCTTATTCAGTAAGTCCTACTGAATTGTGAACGTTCCTTTGGTGATTCTAGCGTGCAGCTATGTTTGGGGGCTGCCATCCTAGCAACAATCTTTTGGCACTTTTAGCTATCAGGATTCTGTTTTCCTTGTCACAAATGTAGATTTCTGAGGGCTGTCTCCATTCCAGGCTTTCTGACCCAGACTCTGGGGGCTGTCCCTAGAAAGCTGCAGGCTTAACACACATGCTTCAGGTAATTCTTATCAGAGAGTTGTAGGAAACATTGTGTAGTGGAGTGCTACAAAGAACTTAAAGCTGTGCCTTTACTTACTTAGAGCAAACTAACCCGCATTCTCAGCTCCAGCATTTGGCTGATTTTCCCTTGTGGCCAGTATTCCTGAGGCTGGGTTGGGAGTGTATGAAGGGCAAGGTTATATGCTGGTGGCATGGAATGTTTTGGTCCCTGATTGATTCTCCTCAGCCTTTCTGTGTGTTGATGGCTGCCTGGATAGTAGATATAGTTGCCTGTTAGGTTGTCTGGTAAGTTATCAATAAAAAAAGATGAAGAAGTCCTCTAAAGCACTGTAGATAAGAAAAAGTCAAATCAAATAAAACTCAATCTGGACAACAGTAAACCAGAAGAATGCACCAATCGAATTTTCTCTGAGGGAGACAACTATTGGCACTGAAAGCTTTGGTCTGTCCTGATTCAGCAAACCCACACCAAGTATAACTTTTTAAAGTTTCTTTTACATAATCAAATTTGTAGCAATTCTAGCGTAAGAAGAAAACTGTTTATTCTTGTTTCAGTGTTGCCTTTTTAATTTAAAAATATATATATACTTTTAAACATACAGAAAATAGGAAAAAATAGCACATTGAACACCCATATACACACCAGTTAGATTCATTAACATTTTGCCATATATGCTTCATGCGCATTTTGCAAAACCATTTTAAAACATTTTAAGGGACACTATAACACCTCATTCTTAAATCAGTATGCAAATGAAGGCATTCTTTTATAAACTACAACATCCTTCTCACAGCTCATAAAATTAGCAATAATGGTCTAGTATTCAAAATCTAGTCCATATTCAAATTTTCTCAGCCCCCTTAGGTTTAATCAAAGATTCCACATTGCATTAGGTTATGATGTCTCTTAAGTAGCTTTTAATCTGGAAGAGTTACCCGTTCCACCTTTTTTTATTTTTATTTTTGGCAACACTGATATTTTGAAGCAATGAGGCCAGTTATCTTCTATAACATTCTATATTCTGGATCTGTCTGATCGTTTCTTTAGTGGTGTCATTTAACTTGTTGCTCTATCCCTAGCATCTCCTGCAAACAGGAAATTAGATCTAAAGGCCTGATTAAATTTCAGTTAAAGTTTTTTGACCAGAGCACTTCACAGGTCATAGAGTGTACCAGTGCAGTATGCGTAGGTCATACCGCATCACAGGTCAGAAAACATGTCTGTTTTTTCTGACTACTAGTGATGTAAAATGTCATCAGAGCCTACGGAACTCTTTATTGTAAAAGTATATTTTTTCCACACAACCAACCAGTAAGTTTTTGGTGAGGTGATACTTTGATACCATGAGAATTCTAGTAGGGATGTAGCTCAACCTTTTATCTAATAGTTTTGGTATCAGAATGTCTTTAATACTGTTTTACATTAACCTTTCAACTTTTTAACATTTTAAATTTAAAAATATTCCAAGACATTTGCTTTCCACAAACCATAAAATTTTACAAAAGTAAGATTCACTTTTATAATAATGGCATATTTACTCATTAATTGGAACGTGAGCACTCTCCCTCTTTTTAATTTTGCTTGAGCCCTGTATAATAGCCAGTATGATAGCCACTTAATGTACCAAGAGATTAGCATACTTCATAAAACATTAACATCATCAAGAAAATCTAGACCTGTGGGAGGTGGTGGGGGAATTTTTGGTGGTCCAGAAGGAAATGGAGGCAGCAAGCATGAGGGGAAGCAGGGTGGTGTGGGTGGTGGGCTACTGAATTTGAGACCTGACCTGGCTTTCGTGGTCTCAGAATTCCATGGAGTAGCTTCTGACCTGATGCTAAATGGTTTGTTTCCAGGACCTGGAGTTCTCACTTTCATCCATTGAATCTTGACTTTCATTTTCATTCTTTTGAGCATTCTGTCCTATATTATTAGCTACAGAGGTTGAAGAAAGTAGATCAGACAGATTTGCTCCTCTCTATTTCCATATCCAGTGTAAATCACAACACAGCTTTCTCTCTTCATATCAACTGAAGCAATGGTAGCAGAGTAAATGCAGCTGTCTTCTGACCAAATGGCAGGACATTTGTCCCCAACTTTCCACTACTTCAAGAAAGTTACAGTATTCTTTTTTTGGCCTTTATGCTTCTTAGCAGGTTTTCTATTAGGCATGCTTTTTGGTTTATCTGAGGTTTCACAAATGTCATCATTCTTTAGAGCCTGTTTAAATGAAGCCACAGCTTTATCATCCACTTCTATCAGTGCTGTAGCATCCCAAATGTCAGAAACGTCACTCTGGCCTATGCTGCACTAGAAATGCACCAAATCTTCCTGCTCCAGGATGCCACAGCCACTGCTGGCACTGCCCATTGCCATCGTAAGCCTACTGCCAGTTTTACCTTTCAATGAATGCATTATTTCCTAAATACTAAGCACAGTCAAAAATTGTTTCCCTGAGATGATATAGCCTTCTCCTTTGGTGGCATATATTAACTTTGTTAGTCTCAATATGACTAACAGTTTGGATTTTCAAGTTCAAGAATGTTTGTGCAGAGTCATCTGAGTCCTCCCTACAGGTGGTTTTTTTCAGCACATTTTACTTAGTCAAATCATCAAACTATTGATCATGTCCCCACACCTAACCAATTTATAAAACTCAAAGCCATCTGCGTGGCACGGACTCTCCGTAGTCTTGATTGCAGAGTTGATTTATGACCTAAAGAAAGAGAGATTTTAGCTTAGCTTTTGGATATATTCCCTTCTGTTGATCAAAGATGATGGTGGTTTTCAGTAAGTTGACTGAGCAGGAATAGAACTTTTTAAGTCATCTCAGTTTTATAGGATTCAAGGCATTTCTTTTCCAAGGCTGATTATTAATTTTGCATTGAAATCCCTCATAACAATAAGCCTGTTGCATAGAAACAAATTTTTGATGAATCATCAAATCATCAAATATTTTCTCTTTCTTCAAAATGAAGGGCATCCATGCTAAGTTACTTCTGATTTAAAGATATTTTAAAAGGATCATCAAACATCTCCACTTGATGGCTATACTTTGTAAGAAAGACATTTTCTCTGATAAAGTGTAATTGCTACCTTCTTCTCTGAGCATTTCTTTATGAAAAGGTGGTTGGTTTCACTCCTTGAGTGATCCCTAAGTTGATTTAACTCTGGGTCAGTTTGTCAATTTTAGTTGGTAACAAATGGGGAGGAAGGCAGATTTCCTGAAGGGCATAAAAATAAGATATTCATTTTAAAATCCCCTCCTCTTTCTCTTTGAACTGATTTGGTACACCAGGAAGGTGAGTAGAACTGATATATAGCATGGAAACCTGAATAATTTTCACAAACCATGTGGAAGCCTTTCTTTTGTCTTAATGGAGGAATTTTGAGGATGAACCCAATTGGAAGGTGTAGGCAAATTCATAATTCCTTGGAATTTTCTTGCTTGTCTGATGGCAAACTTAGGATGAAATGTAATCCTTCATTGTGACAAACATGCCTACTGTTTGGCAGATTTGCTTTTTCATCCTTCTATGTGGCTTTTAATTTTGTATGCTACTAACCTTCCTGAATGTAGGTCCTTTACACTGCCTATTATTTCAATAGCATGGTATAAATTACAGTTAAGCCAATAAATAATTGTTTCTCCTTCTGGCACGTCCATCCCACAGTTATTCTTTCGTTAGTTGTTGACTGAAGTGATTTGCCAGACTGCAAACTAGCTCTGAGGATCCCAGGTTGAAGAAGAGGCTCAATACAGAGCTTACAGCTAGAGAGGTATTAGACAAAGAAACCAAAGGTTATAAGACAGGTGGACATGTGGTATAAGAGAGTTGAGAGGACAGTGTAAGGATTTGAATGGAGTTCTACAGAGCACCAAAGATGCTTGTAACTGAACCTGTACAGGAAGGCATTCTAGGCAGAGGGAACAGTAGGGAAAAAGAGAAAAGTATACAGCATTTGGGGCAACTACATGTAGTTTGGTATGACTTAAAGGCGGAGTGCAAGTGGTAGGAAAGCAGGAGATAAAATTGGAGAAATAGGCAGAGACCACATGATGTCAGACCTTGTTGCTAGACTAAGGAACTCGTGCTTGATTTAGTGGATAAATGGGCAGCTATAGTGGGGGTGGAGGTTGGAATAGCATGAACAGCTTTGCATTGTGAAGTAGGACCCCATACTTCTCCTCCAGAGAGTATCTACTGTAAGTATCCTATGATCCCAAGCTTCACACTTTTAACAAGAATCTTTGCATGTGTATCTCACTGAGTTTTCATTACATTTTTATTATATTGGATTATCTATTGCTGTGTAACAAATTGCCCTCAAAAGTCAGCAGCTTAAAACAATACATATTTATTATGTCACAGTTTCTGTGTAATCTAGATATGGCTTGGCTAGATCTTGCAGCTCAGGGCCTTTCCTATGGATGAAACCAAGTTACTGGTTCAACTGGGGCATGGTGTTTCCAAGTTCGCTTAGTGATTGTTGGCAGAATTCAGTTTTATCATGGGCTGTTGGACTGAGGGCCCCAGTTCCTTGCTGGCAGTTGGCTGAAGGACACGCTCAGTTTCTTGCCACCTGGGCTTCCCAAACTGCCAGATTGCTTTATTAAAGCCAGTAAGAGAGTCTGCTGGCCAGGCGTGGTGGCTCACGCCTGTAATCCCAGTAGTTTGGGAGGCCGAGGTGGGCGGATCACGAGGTCAAGAAATCGAGACCACCCTGGCCAACATGGTGAAACCCCGTTTCTACTAAAAATATAAAAATTGGGTGGATGTGGTGGCACGCGCCTATAGCCCCAGCTACTCAGGAGGCTGAGGCAGGAGAATCACTTGAACCTGGGAGGCAGAGGTTGCAGTGAGCCGAGATCGCGCCACTGCATTCCAGCCTGGTGACAGAGAAAGACTCTGTCTCAAAAATAAAAAAAAAAGTCTGCTAGAAAGATGGAAGTAATAGTCTTTTATAACCTAATCATGGAAATAATATCCCATCACTTTTGCCATATTGTATTTATTGGAAGCTAGTCACGATGTCCTGCGCTCACTCAAGTAGAGGTTCCCTGTGTTGCCAGGTCAGTAGGAGGAATCTAGAATGTCATCTGGATGGCTGTCCACTTTGAAGGCTGGCCTTCCTCCCTTTAGGAGTTTGGTGGTTGGATAAGGAATTATATTGTTTCTTGAACCAAAAGTGCTGGATACCTGAAGGCACTTCCTGATATCCCAGGCACTTGGACAAACCCAAGGAAGCAGGGGTACTTGTGGAAATTTTGTTCCTCAGTGGGGCTTCCTTCTCCTCCCCTGAAGGGAAATATGGCAGAGCTCTGAGGCCTGATGGGGCAGGAAGAAGAGATTATATAGAGAAAAAGTCTCAGCTGGGATTTTTTTAGACTGCTTGTTTATGGCTTCACCAATTCAACTTTCTGGTTGTAAATCATGGCCATTTGTCTTTCCCTCAGGGATGGTTTTGTTTTTGGTTTTGGGTTTTTTTTGTTTGTTTGTTTTTGTTTTTGTTTGAGACAGGGTCTTGTTCTTTTGACCAGGCTGGAGTGCAATGGTGTGATCTCAGCTCACTACAACCTCCGCCTCCCTGGTTCAAGCAATTCTCCTGCCTCAGTCTCCTGAGTAGTTGGGACTATAGGCACCCACCACCACGCCTAGCTAAGTTTTGTATTTTTAGTGCAGACGGGGTTGTAGATACAGGATTTCACCATGTTGGCCAGGCTTGGTCTCGAACTCCTGACCTCAAGTGATCTGCCCAACTCGGCCTCCCAAAGTGTTAGGATTATGGGTATGAGCCACCGTGCCTGGCCTCTGGGATGTTTTTAATGGCTGGAGAGCAACCCACCTCCTGACTGGCTGTTTGGAGGCCACATTTCAACAACATATATTCCCTCCCAGCACTGAGGTGGCAGATTCTGTCCAGGTTTCTCTCTTATAACAGGATATTCCATGCAACTATATATTTCATCTGTAAAACTTTCCACTGGGATTATGACTTTCTTTCAAATGTAACTGACCCTGCCCTGGCATTGTTTTCATACAACTGTGTGTCATTGCCTGGCCTGGAAAAGATGCCACTATCCAAATCTGCTCTTGCAGACAAAACTAAAATTTCATTTCCAAAGATATTTATCCATTCAATAACATTTATCGAATGCCTACAATAGATCATTCTTGGTGCTAATCAGGGAGAATATAGCACAGTAGCTACCCTCTAGGAGTTTACAGACTAGTGTATTTGAGGTTGATGTGTCTCATTTTATATAATCTTTTCCCTCACACAAACATTGCATCTAGTAAATGGTTCCAAGATACTTACAAATATTAATAGCAGTGTCACATTGTTCCTCAAAATGTCAAAAAATTTATATGATCTTATCTGTCCTGCACTTTAATGCTATGGTGTATATTTAATAAAGGATTGAATTTGGTCGATGTCAAGAGTGACGTGAGGAGACCCTACAAGATAAGTGAGTCTGGAGGAGTGTGAGTGTGCATAGCAGATTCCAGACCCAGCCTCCCGGTGATTTCTTGTTCATCTTGTTCCATCTCAGCTTCCCACTTTGGTCAAATCACCCCCAATTGAATGAGCATGGCAAAAATATTTCCCAAAAAGACATTTTGAACTTGCGAAAAAAGACATTTTGAACTTGGGAATAGCGGTTGGTGAGCCCATAGTACTAGTTGTACTTACTGGCTCTAAGACCTTAGTTAATTAACCTCCCTAAACCTGTTTCTCAACTGTAAAATGGAGATAAGAAGAATACTTTAATGCATTTATTTACTAAAAAATGTTTTATTGAAAACACCATTCTTGTAGGTCCTGGGGATTCAAAGTGAACAGAAGTCCTGTCCTTCTCCAGCTACTTTCTAGTTGGTGGAGACAGTAAACAAATATGTAGCAGGTTGACAGTGGGGGTGAAATGAAGAGAATGTGAGCAACGAATGGGATGTGGGGAGGAGATGAGGTACAATGTACACTGGGCAGCCATCTTCTCCCTGAGAAGATGACATTTGAGAGTAAAAAAGACAAGCATAGGGGAGAGAGGGGAGTTAGTTGACAAATGAGGGCAACCGCAAGACCAGCTAGAGTGCAGAACTGAAAGGTGATTCTCTAGAAAACACCATCAGAGAGCTCACAGGGGCCTCATGACAGCCCACAGTAGGACTTTACTTTTCCTCCAAGTGAGACAGCCACTGGAGAGTTCTGTGCTGAGAAGCATCATCATCTGATTTCTGTTTTAAAGATCATTCTGGAGTTTGGGGGTGGATCAAATGAGATAATGCCTGAAAATCAGCACAATGCCTGGAACATGGTAAACTCACAATAAAGATTAACTCCAGGGAAGAGGGGCCTACAATTACACAGCATCAAGCCTTTGGGAACACGTTTGTACATTTCTGTGTCCTTCAATCATATAGACTTGGATCCTAAGAAATTGAGTTTTTTTTAAAGGATGTTCACTCAAAACCAGTGCGGTTTACCCACTTTCAGGGATGCCAAGGGGCATAAATTGTAGAGAAGGCTTAGCTATTTAGAGTTTAGAGGCTCAAAATGATACCATGTTTAAGGATACCTTTGGAGCAGCTCAGAGCATACCCACAGAAGGCCGAGAGGCTGCCCTCTGTGCATTTTTGCTAACAGCTTTGCATAGACTGGATTTATGAAGTGCCACCCCATCTGCTAAGCCCCATGGAGATTCAGAAAAGCCGAGGCTGATTTTGATGGTGTGGAGGCATGAGAAAACCAACTGGAGATTGATGCAGGGATGAAGGTGGGTGCTGAGCCACTGTGCCAAATTTAGTGTCAACACTGAACCGGAAGGTAGGAATGAGTTTATACTGAGAAATAGCAAATGAGAGCCTGCTCAAGAGGTTTGCTGAGAATAAGTGCTTCTTAATGGATTACGTTGTGACTTGAAATTGAAAATTAATACACAGAAAGAGTCAAGCTCAGAGAAGGGCAACCTGGCTGCTCAACTCTGGCCTGAGAGATGGTCATGGGGGTTTGGGTAGAAGATGATTCCTGTTTGCAAGTATGAGCAAATTTTGAGTGGAGGAGGAAGTGTCTTGGAAACACAATCCTTCGTAAGTGTACATCCAAGGTGCCCATTACAGCAAGTTCTTGAGAACGGTGGGTCCCCGGATCCACCATGTGCCCAGCAGTTTCTCTGCAATCCAGGAAGTTAGGCAATGGGGCTTTTTCTCTCTCTTATCTGCAGAATAGAAAGGATCCATGGGGCATCACAGAGCACCGAGTTCTTTCCAGCCACGTTGCCTCTTCTAACAGCATTTGCTTCAGTGGTGGTTTGACAGACTTGGGTGTTTTAGCAAATGTGCAGGGCCTAAGGTCAAAGAAAGCAGGCCGGGGTGCACTCTGGTCCCCATTGTTCCCTTTTCCCTTCTTGTCTTCATTTCTGTTCTCCCAGGTTTCCCTCAGGTCTCTCCTCACTCCTTCCTTTTCTCCTGTCACTCATTGTTCTCTCTCATTTGCTTTCTTCTCCCGCCATTCTTTTATGCCAGATTTCTCTTCTTTAATCACCGCTATTAAGCATTTGAAGCAGTGAGCGATGTGTGTGTTCGGCTGCAATCGTTCCAAACATTGGTCGTTGCCATAGTGTTCCTTTAGCATGACGCCAGGGAAGTGTAGAAGGCTTTTGTGTCTGCCCTGGGGAAGGAGGACAGCCTCCTGAAGGGGTCTGAGTGCGGAGCAAGAGGTGGATAGTAATTTAGAAAGCAGGAATTTGCCGTCAAAGCTTTGGGGAGGTTTAGAAGAGGCTATTTATAATCCATCAGGGAATTAAAAAGAAAATAGGCAGGTTCTGGGATATTGCTATAGATCACCTAGACAAGATGAAAAGATAGAGCAGCTCAGGAAATGTGTTTACAGATAAGAGGCAAGTTTTAAAAGCAGGGCCGTGATCATGGGGACTTTGATTACACCTACTAAATAATGTATAAATGAATGTTATTCAACAACTACAGACATTGACTGACAAAACAACGGTGGGCAAATGGAGGCAAAAGCATGAGCCTTAGCAATAAATCTCTGTAGTCCAGGCTCCGCGCATGGTTACTCCCTTGTGGCCACGGCCTTTCCCTCTTGTCCTACAGCTAGGCTCCTTGCAGCTAGCTTTGGGGGGAGTTGATACATCATTCATTTGTGTCTTCATTTATTGTCACACATTTGAGTACCGACTTTGGGTTCAGATTGGATGCATTTAGGAGAAAAGATTCAGCCTCAGCCCTGAAGGACCTCATGGGAGGCAGACAGGAAACAAACCCAGCTAACAAAAATAAGACAATGAAACACGTAGAGATGTAAACAAAATGTACTGAAAACCTAGGAGGAACACCTCAGTATCAGAAGTAACTCAGAACTAGGACCTGGTGTTTTTCAACTCCAGTGGAAAGAGTCTTGAGATATTCCTAAATGGCATGGAGAGACAAAAATCCAGCAATCTTGGACTTCCCTCTTTCCTAGTCGGGATTAAATATAAATATCAAGAATGGCATACATTCAAAGTTCCCTGAGGAGCTAGAATTGAGTCCAAAATGAATCTAGCCTTCGTCATTTATTTCCCCCAACCCTCAAAATAAGCTGGTTTTTGGATTTTTTGTTGTTGTGTGTTTGTTTTTTTGAGACATGGTCTCACTCTATCACTCAGGCTAGAGTACAGTGGTGCGATTTGGTTCACTGCAGCCTCAACTTCCCAGGCTCAGGTGATACTGTAGCTATGCATCACCATTCCTGGCTTTTTTTTTTTTTTTAGAGACAATGTTTTGCCATGTTCCCCGGGATGGTCTCAAACTCCTGGACTCAAATGATCCTCCTGCCTTGGGCTCCCAAAGTGCTGGGATTACAGGCATGAGTCACCAAGCCAAGCCAACATAAGCATTTTTTAAAAAATTATTTGAGATAAAAAGATCCAAGTGGGCCAGACAATGAAGAGTTTGTTTCTTTTTTGTTACATGGAGAGAATGAGAATGTGGCAAATTTGGGGAGCACATTTTTCTATAGTTGGAGAAAACCTTGTTGATGACCAAGACTTTTGGATTAAAGTTGGGTTTAACCATGTGGGTTGCTTCTATGAGTCAATACTTTTAAGGTAATTCAATACAAAGACAGTGGGTAATATCTTGAAAATGGCAAGGACAACTGTATCTCACAGTCAAACATACCCTTTTCTTTGGGGGTCAATAAACTCTAAGCCACCAATCTTCAGTGTTGTGGGAAATTCTTAGAAACCTCAGAATCGTTTCACGAAGACCAGATGACGTATGTTAGTTTCACTAAAAATCTCAGGCTTCTATTTGGCACAGAAGGTCTCCTTCATCTTCAGATTTCCATCCAGAGAACTAAAGATGTCCAGTCATCAAAAGTCCATGGGTCATTGCTAAATGGCATCAAGGAGGAAATACAGGGGCTGTAGTAAACCAGGCTGGGAGTTTGGTTATAAGCACTCACTCTCTAAAACTGATTAGCAGTAATATTATGAAGCCTAGCAAAGATTAAAAGAAAACATTGTCCCAACCAAGAACAATTAAATTAGAATCTTTGGTGGTGGGGTGCCAGGTACCAACACTTTTTCAAGCTTCTCAGATGATTCTAATATGAAACTAGCACTAAGCATCCCAGCCCTCGGGGCTACTAATCTCGGACAGATGTGACTCAGTAACTGAGATCCAGCATAATTTTCAAGGTGATAGTTGTACATGTTGCTCAGTGCAGAAAACATGGAATTGGGTTACTCTAAATTTGTTAGAGCAGGGTCCCCAAATGTTACCTTTTGCTAGAAGTGTGGTTGGGTTACAACAAACAGATTGCTATGGCAGAAAGTCTGAGTAGAATGCGAATGAGCACAGGATGGGTTCATACCACTGGGGCTCACTAGGCCTTTCTTAGCTTTTGTTTTGAAAGTCCAAAATTCTTCTTCTCCCAGACAGGCATTTGAAAGACTGGAAAGATTTGGATAGGAAGCCCTAGAGAGATAGACATTTGCTGAGTTGAAGCCAAGGATCGAGTCTCATGCATGTGAAAATCTAATACAGGTAAATCTCCAACATATGGCAGCACTAATTCCTGAGAAAGGTCATGAGTGAGCAGCAAAAGCATGAACAAAGCCTTCAAGCCCAAAGCTTTGATTATGCAAAATAGCTATTTGTGGCACTTAAGTACAGTGGTCACCCTGGATTTTCCAGAGTGGTTTAGATTTTGGCTCCATTATCAGTGTGCTACATCAATGTCCAGTTTTTTGAAATCCCAGTACCTGATGCCGAGTGAATATACAGTCATGTTGGTTGAATTGAGCTAAAGTCCATTCCCCCCTCCAAGTTGCTCCTCACACAGAACCAAACTCTAGCCACACAGACACCCAATGAGCTGAGGGCAGGGCACCCCAGGAATGAAGGTCATGGCCCTGTGGCAACCTCACTGGATATGCAAGGTGGAAACTGGCTTTCTGCTGGTGCATAAGCCATTCCCTGCCTTCCCGTCAAACAGCCCAGCTCTAAATCTACATTTCCCACTACCGGAACTTCTTTTTTGGGTACTACGACTGTATCTCAGAGCAAAGATCTAGGCATGGCTCTCCCATTCCTACTAATTTTAAGCACTGACATCTGCTTTGGGACCCACACACCTGGCTCTAAGCAATACTACATCCCCACTCCACAGCTGTGGTTCCCCACATGGCCCCGCCATCCCTGTGGAATACAAAAATTACCTTGACAGAGCACTTGTTTGCATTATCCCCCTGGAAAACAGGGTGCATTATTCACCCATATATTTTGGTGAAGAAAAGCAGCTGTTTTCAGCTAACTAGTCGTTCTCAGCCCTGGCTGCACCCATGCCTATAGACCACACCCCTTCCCACAACCTTTTGTGGCAACCTCAGCTTAAGCTTTTGTCACTGTCTTGAAATCACATGACTAGTGTTTTTTCTTTTCTTTTTTTTTTCTATTTCCGGTAGGATCATTAGCTCATACAAGTCATCAGGGAAGGACTCATCCAGCTCCCATCTCTTTCTGTGGAGCAGCATAATGACTGTGTGCACGCATTGCAGGGAGCCTCAGGCACTCAGACCTACAGGGGACTGGTGTGAAGCTCCTCATTTCAAATGCTCCGCTCTATTGCTCTATCTGAACATGAGGACCTTCTCTTGGCAGCTTAGATCCTCTGTTACAGCAAAGGATTGGCTCCAACCAATGGGAGCCAGTTGCTGGTGGAAAATATGATTACCAACACAGAGGCAGCTGCTGTTGCTCTTTGTTTTTCTAACTTTCAAAAGTGTGGAACGGTAGTTAAAGCCCCCAACAATCTTACTCCTTTCTATCCCATTTCATTTCACCGAGGGTTCAAGGTAGCTGCACTCCAAGTAACATCTTCAATGATCATATTCAAAGCATGATGTCACACAGGGATAAGAGTAGCAATTTTTTTTTGAATCAATATGTAAACCTGACTCCTTCATTCAGGGTTACAGCTCTCCAGTGTTTTGGCCTCTCATCACATGGCTCTGATGTGTGGATCTTTTGTATAGAACCTCTTGGCTGGTGAAAGTCTGAACTGAAAAGGCACCAGTATCTGTTAAGACAATCCTGTTAGCCTGTTATTACCTGCCAATTACATTGTTCCTTGTTTAGAAATCCAGTTGAAAGAGGCACGCTAAGAACTCCATCAGAAGTAGCTGGTGTGGATTTTTGTAAGTATGGGTAGAGAATCTGCCTACGGCAAGTAACACCAGTGCTGGCATGCCCAGAAAATTCCAGCTGGAGGTGGGAGTAAGTGGCACTTGGCAAAGTTGCCCTCTTGACCTACTTGTTTAATTTGGATGGAAAAATGTGTTTTGTTTATGTATTTTTTTCAGGAAGCCATTATGGTGAGTCTTTCCAATATAATTTCCACTGAGACCTCTCTTATTCAGCTCAATTTTCTCTTGGGCTGAGGCTGACAGAGACATGGTTGGTGGGAGAATCTGTCACCCTGTGGAGCTGAACAGTCTTCAAGATAAAGCTGCCTGCTGGCCTTTCACTCCCAAATTGCCTGAAACCTGGTCACGTCCCAGCCAATGTCCTCTGCCTTTTGATGAGCTCCACTGTGAGGGGAGAACTAGAAACTGTGAGGAGTGGGTAGACTTTTTCCTACTGCGCAGTGAGATGGGAATTTGGTTACATTAAAAAATACATCTGTATTCCTTTTATCATGCAGATGAAGTAAAAAGGAGTATATAAAATAAATTTATAGTTTTGCATTTAAAAGAGACACAGACAGAGAGAGAAAGAGACATCTTTGGCCTTTGTTATTTGTTTGACATCTGCAGTCCTGCTGGACCACTAGCTTGGTGAGGGCAGCTGGCAGGCAAGCCTGTGTGCTGTTGTAGCCAAGCCCCTAGCACAGCTCATAGTAGGGGCTCAGTAAATGTTGAATTAATAATTAATCTCCATATCAAATTTCCTCTTTGTCCGCAGTCATGAAATTCATACGTGTCTTAAGTTTCAAAGCACTGAGTGAATATAGCTTGCCCTAAAGCAAACAAACAAAAATAGCATTGCTTGGAAAGATCTCGTTTAGCACCTTAGTTACCACAAGTGCTCATTAGGGCTTTCTTTTTCTCTTGAAGGTGTACATTTGGCTGAGCGTGTGTAAGTGGGTTATGTGACTAGCCAAATGCCTTCTCTCTTCTGTACTTGAAGCCCTGCTCTCCCAAGCTGAAGAGTAGATGACTACAGGGAAAATGTGACTCATAGCAAGTGTTGTTATTAAATCACCTTGAAGTGTCTCTTGTAAAAGATAACTCCCTGCATTGTAGAAATGTCTTTGACAAGAGAGGATTAGGGTGAAACTGCAATTACCTTGACATAAAGGAATGAATTAACTTTCCAACTTGCATTTTTGCAAGGCATAGATTCAAGCTGCTTGGAATATAAACATTGAACACATTCACAATAGCTTGGGGCACTTGAAAATTCTAAAGATGGGCAAGGAGCCCCAAGATGCTAGGCAACTTCAGAGGTATTTCTCACCACAGAGGGAGTGCCTGTCTGGACAGAAACCGCCAGTGCAGTTGTGCAGTGTCTGCTCATGTGTCAGCAGGGTTTAGGGGACCGTCAGGACGAATGCCTCCTGGAGCTGATGCCTGCAGGGTCTGCCCGGAGGAAACAGAGAAATGCTCTTCCAAGATTTGACTTCCAAAACTACCCATTCACTCGACTCAGGAAATATTGACCGAGCACTTACTATGCGTTGGGGCGTTGGGCCGTGAGTTCAGGCAGTCTTGGCTGTCAGGGACTTGGAAAAGTCACACGTTAAACAAATCGTGTGGGCATGAACCTCAGTCAACAATTCATGTGCAAAAATACACACTTTTGTTTGTTTTCTTTAAGTCAAAGCTGACTCTAAGCTCTCATCCTGCCAGGGCAGCAGGAAATTCCAACTCCTAGTTTTGCACCAGAAGCCCAGGGCCTTCACGAGGATTCTGAAAACACAGGAAGGGCCTCTGGTTTCTGGTCCATCATAGCTGCTGCCAACATCTCTATTTTACCTCAGTCTCCAGATGGGCAAGCAGGCCAAGATGTGAGGCAGCTCAGTGTGTTCTGCTGTGTCAGTGTGACCTGTGGGTATATGAATGTCCACCTGAGCTGGAAAGTCCATGACAAGGCCCTGGCGTCCTCAGGTGCACGCCTTGGCCATCTCTCTGAGGAATATTCACAGCTCCCTAGGCACACTTCTGTCGGAGACACAGGCAGGCTCTAACCAGGGAGGGGAGGGGGTGGTCTGCAGAATAGGGCCTGAGCCACCCTTGGATGATAGGGGAGTAGGTACTCTTGTCCAACTTCTAATAGGAGACTGGGCACTTAATTGTCCAATTTCTTTCCTCTATCATCTGTCATATTCTTAACAGCAGCCATGTCAACATATGACTTAAAATTGTTAAAAAGCCCAGCATGTTGGGAGGCCAAGGTGGGAGGATCTCTGGAGGCCAGGAGTTTGAGGCTGTAGTGAGCCATGATTGTGTCCCTGTATTCCAGTCTGGGTGACAGAGGAAGACACCAACTCAAAACAAAAAATTGTTTAAAAGGCTGAATTTTTAGTAAATGTATTCAGGGGAAAAGTATTCCACTAACACTTGGTTACATTTCAGTCTGGTCTCTGCTAAGCTCAGCATCTGTCTACCGTCATCCACCTTGAGAATTTCTCTCCTCTCTTCCTGTCATCGAAGGAAGGGCTCTCACCCTTTGCTTTGCCTGCAAAGGACTGGGTGTTTTACATGAAGAACAATGTCTTCCTTCAGCTTCCACTTTCTCTCTGGAAAAATCCCTGCAGCAAAGGAATGCAAAGCCAGGCACCTGGTAGAAATGAAGAAATGGAACCACAGAACACCCATGAATGAATGGTTCAGCAGACTGTCCCACCAGGCCCCAAATCACAAAGCGCATGAGGATAATGAAAGAGGAATTGCCTGCAGCCAAGGGGCACATGGTGGGCTGGTCTGAGGGGCCAGAGAAGGCCTCCTGGAAAACGTGTTGACTAGGATAAGGTCTCGAGGATGAAAAAGAAGTTCACCAGGGAAGCAGGGTTAGGATGTTTACAGGGCCAGGTCACAGAGGGAGAGGGGCAGTCAGAGAGGGAGCAGGTATGGCCTGAGATCTGAGCAAAAGCCCAAAGGGCAAGAGAGGAAATATCGATGGTGACCCAGTGGTTGTTGAGTCTGTCCTTGTCCACTGGGTCCCTTACAGGAGGGCTTTCCCTCATGTGGTTTGTTTGTATGGGGCCTGTGTATTTAGGGACAGCACAGATAGAGGCAAGAAGGAATCAGAATGGAACCTACAAACGTGGAGGGGAAGGAGCCACAGCCCCTAGAGCCACCACATGTGCAGACCCAAGTTGGAATGGATCTCGGAGCTGGCGCTCTGGAGTGAGCTACTGACACTCTCACAGTCTCGGCATCTCTGTAAGATTAGAACAGTAATTCTCACATCCTAAGTTGTGAGACTTTAAAGACTCATGCACAGTGGATATTAGGCCAGGCCTGGGCTGCTTGCCCTCAGCTCTATTCTCTCCCAATCCTTGCTCTCTCTGTGTGTCAGGAGGCCATCCCTGCAATCTCCGGTGTCAGCCAGATCTCTGGCCTGTTGAGGCCTTGGCAGGAGATTGGAGGGTGGGAGGATGAAAGAAGCCCAGGTATTTCTATCCTCTTTCTCTCCTCCTGCCTGGCTCCAATTTCCTCCTGACAGAGCTGCCATGGTCCTCATTTCCACTTAGTAGGTGACCCAGGCCCCAAGTCTTGCCTAACCCTGACATTCAATTTGTCTGTGCAGTTGAGGCATGGCAGCAGCTTTCTGCTCTTGCTAATCTCTGGGTTGTATGCTGCCTCCTCTTTGGCTTCTCAGCCTCCCTATCACCTGTTACCTCTTCTCTGCACCAAATCCCCTCTGCTTTAAACTCTCAGCATGATTTCTGTTTTCCTGGATGAATGATAAGCGTCACAGTGAGTAGCAGTAGTTCCTCTTCCCTGTGACCACTGCTGTGAGTTGAGTTGTGTCCTCCAAAAAATACTGAAGTCCTAACACCTGGTGCCTGTGAGTGTGACCTTTTTGGGAGTTAGATCTTTGCAGATGTAATCAAGTTAAGATAAGGTCATTAAGGTGGGCCCTAATCCAATGACGGAATCCTTAGAAGAAAAGGGAAATTTAGACACAGGAGAGCACCCATGGGAAGACAGAGACACACAGGGAGATCCCCATTTGATGACACAGACAAAAGTTGTCACAATGCAGCTGCAAGCCAAGGAATGCCAAGAATTGATGGCCACCACCAGGAGCCAGGTAGAGGCAAGGAAGGATCCTCCCCTTTGGGTTTCAGAGAGCATGTCCCGTGTGGCACTGATTTCAGACTTCTTGCCTCTAAAACTGTGAGACAATACATTTCTATTATTAATATTTTAAGCCATCTACCTTGTGGCATTTTGTTATGTCAGTCCGAGAAAACTGCCATGGTTTCGACGTGGGTTGCCCCCACCAAAATTCATGTTGACATTTGATTCCCCTGATGGCAGCGTTGGGAGGAGAGGCCTAGAGGGAGGCGTTTGGGTCCTGGAGTAACGCTGCTATCACCTCTCTCACTATGCAGGGAATAGTTCCAGAGAGAGCGATTGTTATAGGTGAGCCCAGCCCCTCTTGCCTGCCTCTTTGTGTGTGACCACTGGCCTTTCTGCTTTTCCACTGAAAGTGAAGCAGCCCATGGCCCTCGCCAGAGCTCAGCAGATGTCAGTGCCATGCTGTCGGACTTTCCCGCTAACAGAACTGTGAACTAAATAAACCTCTTTCTTGTATAAATTACCCAGTCTCAGGAATTCTGTTATGGCAACACCGAATGGATGAAGGCAGAAACGAATGCAACAGCCATGGCAGATTATCTGGGGGAGCCTCTTACATCCAGCTCTCCCTCCCCTCCTCTCCACTACCACTTTGTGCTGCCCTAAGTACTCTGGTCACCCACATGTAATAGACATCCTCTCCCCTGCACATGGCTTTGCTTTGGGGAGAGGTATGGAAGCTGATCTCAAGCTTGATAGCGGTTGCTTTGGCCTCACCTTTATTCTTCTGTTACAATCAATAGGAGGTTGAGATTTACCATGTTTTCAGTGTCTGTATAGGTTTTGATGTTTTAATTGCAAAACAAAACAAAACAAAAAACTGACAACCTAGAAACCAGTCAACTTGGCTTAAAGAAACGAAAAAAAAAAAAAAAGAAAAAGGGCATAAATTCTAAGAACCCAGAAACATCTTACAAAATATAAAGGCACTAATGTAACTGTGCCTGTGGAGGGGATTAGAGCCAGAAACTGGAAGCCTTCTGTGACTCATTCTTCTCTTTTTTCTTTTAGAGGACTGGAGTTTTCTGCTGCTGCTCTGATTCACATCTCCCATATTTATGTCTCATATTTCCAGCCGCATAGAGGCTGACTTGGTTCAAGTTCAAGTTCCAAATTGCCCAAAGAAGAAAATCTGATTGGATCAGCTTGAGTCAGGTGTCCGCACCTAATCCAATCAATTGTGTTTATGGTGGTGGAGGGAGCACACAGGACCAGGATGGTTGCTGGGAGCCCACCCCTATGGAAAGGGAGATTTTAAAATATGAAGGGCAGAGGTTATTGTAGGGTTCATTCCCCAAGAAAAAAGGTGTGTTCTGGGTTGGATGCCTTCTGGGCTGAGGCTGGGGTAGGAATTGTGGCTCTAGGCCAGCCCCTGGCTCTCACCTCACAGTCAGGGCCTGCAGGGACTCACAGGTGGCCTTCACCAGAACTTACCATCTGGGTGTGCAACAGAAAGAGTAATGGGAGAATTCACTCTACCCTAGTTAAACCTGCAAATCAAACCTCCCACTTCACTAAATGATGTGTGTTCGTGTTATGTAATCTGTGGGTAATAATAGCTAACATTTACTGGACACCTACAACAGGCCAGTTGCTAAGTGTTCAGAACATTTTTCTAATGCTCATAATTCCACAAGATTGATTTTGTTATTCACTGTCATCTCTGCCCCCGCATCTTCCCCATTAACACACGTCCTAATCTCAAGCCACAATGTAAAATGACTATGATCTTCAACTTTCTGCTACGTAGTTGGTTTTTAACAGGTGATGCAGGAACATGGTTCAGGTATATGTAAGTCTCCTTCCCATCTCTGTGTTTCAACCACATCCTTCCTCCCCTAAAGGCAACCACTGTTGCTGGTTTCTTACATATACAAGCATAAATGTGTGTATCCTTTTGTTTTTCTGGAAGTGATAGATGACTTTTCACATTATTATAAAAATTGTAACACTGTGTCTTGGTGGTGGTTAGCACAGAGAGCAAATCTTTGAATGGCTTCTGCTGAAATATTGTAAGGAAATGTCATTATCTGTGAAACTACCACCTTATTGATGATAACTGAGGTTACTTCCACTCTTTTGCTAATATAAGCAAAGCTGCAGGAATATCTCTGTGGCTACAACTTTATGCACATGTGCCAACATATCTATAGAATAAATTCTCCAAAGTAGAATATCAGGGTAAAAGAGTGCATGTGCTAGGGCTGGGCGCGGTGGCTCACACCTGTGATCCCAGCACTTTGGAAGGCCCAGGCGGGTGGATCACGAGGTCGGGAGATTGAGATCATCCTGGTTAACACGGTGAAACCCCGTCTCTACTAAAAATATAAAAAATTAGCTGGGAATGGGTGGCAGGCGCCTGTAGTCCCAGCTACTCCAGAGGCTGAAGCAGGAGAATGGCGTGAACCCGGGAGGCGGAGCTTGCAGTGAGCCGAGATCGCTTCACTGTACTCCAGCTTGGTGAACAGAGAAAGACTCCATCTCAAAAAAAAAAAAAAAAAAAAAAAAATACATGTGCTATACATTTTTATATGAGTATTCAGTTGCTCTGCACTGAATCAATTTATAAGCCTAGCAACAATTCAAGTGAATAGCTGTTTCTACTCTCCCAATAGTGCTCCATTCAAGGATTTGATATTTGATAATTTGCAATATAAGAAATGTAGTTTATTTGCTTTCTTTTAAATGTCATTTTAAGTGTTTTAAATCCTTTTGGATTGTGTATGTGTCGGGGGAGTGTGTGCCACAGAGAAAGACATGTCCATCCAGGTCCTTTGCCCATTTTCCTGTTGTGTTTTTGGCCTTTTTCTAATTGATTTTTGGTGACTGTATATATTTAGAGAATGAGTCCTTTCTTACATGTATTACAAATGGTATCCCAGGTGTGTTGTCATTGTCTGTCTTAATTTTGTGTGTTTCTTGAAGGCAATTTTTAATTTTTGTAGAGTTGTATACATTTTATTCTTTATGGTTCCTGGGATTTTTTTTTTTCTCATACTTAGGTCTTTCCATTTCTAAGATTATAAAATATTTTTCCGTGTTTTTCTAGTGACTTACACCCATCAGGAATTTACTTTGGTCTGATGGATAAATTTAGTAATCCTGCTTTATTTTTTTCCTAAATGGCTACCTAGTTGTCTCAACACCATTTGCTTAACTATGTGTTTTTCACCACTGATACAAAATGCCACCTCTGTCATATTTTACATTCTCATATGTTTTGGAGTCTGCTTCTGGATTTTATTTTTTAAATCAGGCCCATGATGTTTTAATTACTCTAGCTTTATGTTATACCAGCTGGTACATCCAGTCTGTCTTTCTTACTTTTCTTTTTCAGAATTTTTCTAAATATTCTCATTGCTATATATTTACCATATACGATTTAAAATCTGTTTAGTGAAAAAAGTTCTGTCAGTGTTTTCATTGAAATCACATTTCTTAGATTTCTAGTTATTTTATCCTTTAGGTTGCTGTTGGAAATGGGAACTGCTCTACTTTCCAAATGATTGTTGTTTTTATATTTGAGGCTGTTGATTTCTTTTTGGCACTAATTTTGTATATAGCTGACTTTTTAAGTTTTCTTACTTATTTTAATATTTTTTCCTACTTTTTTATTATTCCCCATAAATATGTGATCATATGGTCTGCAAATACTGATAACTAGACCTCCTGGCAAGTTCTGAATTGGTGAATTCCTTGTCTTTCCTAATTGTGTTGGCATGTATCACTAGACTAGTGTTAAAAGGTAGTAGTGAATATGGAAGTCCTTTGTTTTGTTGCTGACTTTAATGAGAATGTTTATTATGTCTTCCCATTAAGCATGGCCCTAGTTTTTGGGATATGATATATATATATTTTGTTTCACAGAACCTCACCAATATGGCCTGCTTCCATGCCTTTGCACATGTTAATTCCTTTCTGCTATGTGGGAAAACTGTCCTTATCCTTCATGACCCTTTCTAATGCCATTTTCTGTATGCTGTCTTCCTCATGACTCAAGGTATTAGTCATCCTCTCCTCTGTTTTCCCACAATGCCCAGCCCATACCTTCATTATATATAATACACAATACACTGTTTTCTAGCCATCTGCCTGTCTTTTCTTAGGTTGTGAGCTCCTTTAAAGCAGGCACTGTGTTCAGAGCTTGATAAGAAGTGGACCAGTCAAGCAGCTTCCAGAAGCATTGATCTAAAAAGGGATACTAATATATCAGTGAACTTAATCTCTGTCTACACTCTCTTGGCCCATGGCTTTTAAATACTGTCTACAAGAAAGTGATCCGAATTTATATCTCTTGCTTTGACCTGTCCACTAAGCAAGTACATCTAGCCGCCAACTTGATATATACAGATTCAGACCACACCATCTCATGGATCATGTCTAAAACAGAACTCTTGATTTCCTGTGCTTCCAAATCTGTTGCTGCCTTCCCACCCCCCATTTTCCTCATCTTGGCTAATGGACCTGGGGTTCTTCTCGACTCCACTCTTTCCCACACCTTACACCACACCACAGCAAGTCCTGTAGCCTCCACCTCCAAAACATATCTGGATTCCAACTGTTTCTCACCACCTCCACTGCACAATTGTAATCATCATGTAAGCCACCCTCATTTTTTGCTTAGATTCCTGTGATATGTTTCAAGTAGTCGTCCAATTCCCATTCTTTTTCTCATAATAATCTATTCTCTACATACTAACTGGCAGAATCTCTTAAAAGGGCAAATAAGATCATGTCACTCATTTTATTAAACCTTTTAATGGTTTTCCATTACATTTAGAAGAAAATGTAATCTTCTTATCATAGCCTGTAAAATCTGCCTCTCTTCTCTGCCCTTTCATTCCCTTATGATTTACCTGGGTGCTCCACTGCAGCCCTGCCAGCCTTCTGTCTGTTCCTCGATGCCACAAACTTATGTGGGCCTTTCCATTTGCTGTTGCCTTTGCCTGGGCTACTTTTCCCCCCAAGTCTTTGCCTGGGCCATTCTTTCTCAACAATCAGATCTCAGCTCAATTACAAATAAAAATCTAAATCAGCTCCCCTTCCCATGGTCAGAAAATGGCATATGTCTTGAGCTCTTGAATACCCAGCGTTCTTATTCTTTATCACATCTTCCTATTTGATTTCCTCCTTAGAACCTATCATTATCTAAAATTAATCCATAGATTTGTTTAGTTGTTTATTATTTTTCCCCACACTCCATTAAAATGTAAACTTTACATAAACAGGCACATTATGTAGTTTGTTCTTTGAAATAGGCTCAGTAGTTGGAACAGTCCTGGTACATAGTGGGCACATAATAAATATTTGTTGAATAAATGAAATAATATGTATGTAATAATGTATATGTACCAATGAACTCATTTACATGATATTATCCCTTACATGAAGGGCAAAGCAGGAAGGAGTTTTTCTTTTGCTGTAGTTGATAGCACCCTGGAATGAAAAGCACCTCTTTCTAGGGTCCAAGGAACATTGCTGAGAGTTTTTGTGACAAGCTCATGCAATTTGCAGTGAACCAATGGCCACGCTCTCCTGAGACCACTCAGGGGACGGTGGCCTAGCACCACCTAACCCTTTGATGAAGCCTCCAAATCTGATCGTGCGGGCTGCTTTGGGCTTGCTTCCCATAGGATTTGGCATGGCTGGCTTATTTGTAAAATCAGGTAGTCAGTCACAATTCTGAAACCACATAACGCTGGTAGAGTGTTGTTTATTGGCAATTATTGAATTATTTTATTGCCTAAACTCAAAACTCTTTAATATGTTTCCTGTCCAAGAAGTGGTCTGATTTAAAAACAAACCACAATTTAAAACAGGGAAGAAAACAAGAGCTCTAGAAATGAACATAAGTTGTTTGAACATTTTATTTCAACCAATGGAGGTAAAGTAGGTAAATTTACTGCTGCATACAATGATTATTAAATCATTTACTTCCCACCATCACTAAATAAATATCTAACAAATAGCTAAAGAACATTCTTTTAAAATAGTACCGAATAATTAGGCTGCTTGGGATTCTTCATCCACTGGACTGCCCTGAGCTTGTCTCATTCATCTTTGTTTTCCCTGTATCATCTCCCAGAGTTCCTGATAAGGCCCGGTGCACAGTAAAGTTTTCTGAAATGAAAGGGGGCAGGTGAGAGTCTTGAATTTTTCCTTGGCATCCAAACAGCTGAGAGATATTTGCACTCTCAGCACAGAATTACCTGAAGGGATCCATCCAATGTGGAAAGCATCCTCTGTTCCATTTGGCCCCTCCAAGAGTTTACAGCAGGAAGAGTCAGATACACAGAGCCCTGCCTTGTGTTTACATTACCCCAGACCAACAGAATAATGTGGTCCGACTTCATTACAGCCTTTATTCCAAGGCTTGAAATCTTGAAAACATCTTTCTGGGTGTATTGGAAATCTTCATGTAGATGCATTTAATGTAATTAGATTCAGCCAGCCTTGGTAGCTCTGGTATGTGTGATGTAATTAGTAAAGCAACTAGTTGAATGAATTTGTACGGCCTCTCGCCCCATTTGGGAGGAGGTGAGATACTGACACACTGTACAGAGACTGTGTAGCTATAAACATTGTCTAGGTTGATTGTCAAAGAAGGCTTGTTCTAATTAAGACTGTGAAATGGCTTCTCTTCCTCTAGCAGAGAGGTTCTCAGTAAATATTTCCTCTGGAATGGAACCTTTCATGTTTGGGCTCCACCCAAAGTGGAATTTAACTTTCTCTAAGTCTTAACATTATGGAGCGGAAAAGGGGTGGGACTGTGAAGTCCTTCCTTCCAATGCAGGAGGTTTAAAAAAAAAAAAAGAATTGAGCATGTAGAGTTTACAAAATGAAATAAAGATTCTTAAGGGTTAAGTAACCCAAAACTAGAAACACCTGGCTGAGTGTTTGGAGACTATGAAGGTGGTGATGATAGTGATGACTTGAGAAGTGATGCCGTTAATCTTACATAGTGTAAAGTTTTTGCCAAGAAATGGCTGCTCAGAGACAGACTGCATGTGTTAGGCAGAATAACAGCCCTCCAAAGATATCCACATCCTAATTCCCAGGAAGTGAGTTTGTTGGGTTACATGGTAGAGGGGCATTGAAGTTGCAGGAGGGGTGAAGGTGCTAATCAGATGACTTTTGATCAGGGAAATTATTGTGGATTATGCTTTTGGATGACATGTAGATAGCAAGGAGAGGTTTACCCAAAGTTAGCAATGGTAGTCATAGGAGGGGAAAGACAATAGGCAGGGATGGTGGTAACAAAGATGTACTTGAAGAGAAGATTGTGGGGAAAATGGGTACGTTGCTAATGGCAATGGCTGATCCAGTGGAAAGGCCACTGGTCAAAGGCCAGAAAGTCTGCTTTGAAGTCTTGGTTTTACCACCTCAACCTACGCCCTCTCACAGCATTAGAATTCTCATTGCAAAAGAGGGATGGTAAGACTTACCCTGCCTCCCAGGATTGTTAGGCTCAAGTGAGAAGCAAGCCTCAGTTATTTGTAAACTGTGATTTTGAATGCATAGCATGGTGTGATACCGCAAACGAGGTTTAAACCTCTGAGACAAGCCAGCTGTTTTCCCTCTGCCTACAACTTCCTTGAATTCTGGCTGATATATTTAAGGGCAACTTTGGAGCCACCAGGTCTGGCTCATAGCTAGCACCACCTAACCCTTTGATGAAGACTCCAAATCTGATCTTGCTGGCTGCTTTGGGCTGGCTTCCCATAGGATTTGCCACGTCTGGCTTATTTGTAAAATCAGCAGAAAATCCACCCCAGCTGGGAGACATCAATTCCCTCTAGCCAGAGCACGTGGCTTCCCTGCAGAGGAGAGACTTGCTTCTTTCTCCAAAGCACTTGGTGTTGGGTCTGAAGTGCCTCCTTCCTCAGTAGGAACTCAGGCAGGTAAACATCCATGAAGCTGGACACTGGGACACAAAGGCACAGTCTTGGTCTCCAAATCTCTCTGCCGTCTGTCGTGGGGAGAATATGAATGGCTTTCTGACTAAAGCCAATGGTGGATGTGGATGACTGTAGCGCTGATGGTGAGTTATGATGTGATAGAAATGAAGCCACCTATCTCGGCAGCCTTGTCTTATAATACCTATATGCCAGCCATCCTGACCTTTCTTTCTCGTCCTCTTCTCTGGCAAGCTTGTTCCAGATCAGGGCTTTTGCACCTCTGCCTGGTGTACCCTCTGTCCAGAATGTTCTGCCTCCAGATCTCCATGTGGCTGCGTCTTTCCCTGATTTGGGCCTTGGCTTGAATGTCATTTCCTCAGACCCAGCATCTCTGACTACTCTGCCAATGGTACCTACTGCCATTCCTGTTACTCGCTTGCATGATTTATTTTCTTCAGGATCCTTATCACTACTGAAATTCTTCATTCTTTATTTCTTTCCAGCCAACCTTGTCCATCTTTTCAGTGCTGTAGCCCCAGAGTCCGGGCATTATAGATCATCAATGCATGTTTGTTGACTGAGCACCTTGTGCCGCTCACCGTGTGCCAGGCACTGCATGCAGTGCCCTATAGACATTCTCAAGGGCTACTCCAGATACTTCTGGGAGAAGGAGTTTGCTCTCCTTGTTTTACAGATGCACTGACAGAGGCCGCAAAGGGCTGAGTGATCTGCCCTAGTTCCCACAGCTGGTAATTAGGGGACCCTGGATTAGAACGGTGTTCCAAGTGGTTGCAACATTTAGAGTGGTAGCTCCCAACTGTGAGCATAAGGACCACACAGCTGAAGGATCCACGGCTTGCAGTCCAGGATGACCACCTGATCACAATTTTTTTAAAGTAGTGCTTCTTGAACTTTAATGTGCATTGCAAATCACCTGGAGACTGTTAACCTGGAGATTTGGATTCAAGGGTGCAGTTAATCTATTGTGGGGCAGGGGGCGTGTCGTGGTGTGGGGTGGGGTGCTGAGATTGTGCATTTCTCACAAGCTCCCAGGTACTGCTGGTGGCCACCCTTTAAGAGCCAGGGCTTAGAGGTTCCTTTGATTTGAGAACTGCATCAGCTATTTGCAGAACAAAGGCAGGATGAGAGGGACCTGGTAAATCTTGTAGTCAAATCAATTGCTGCAGCTGAGCAAAGAGAGCCGCGGTCCCTCCTTCCCTGGGAGAAGCGGATGTTATCCCAGCACCTTCTGCAAGCTGGTCAGGGACCGAGTCCCGGAAACTTGGGTCTAGCATGTGTCTCTGAGCCTAGATTTGGTTTCCAGTTGTGTAGCACTTGGCTGAAGACCAACAAAGGGGCCGAGCCAACTATAGAAAGTCATCTCTTTAAGCAGTAAGTATTTCCTGCCGACCCCTCATTCCTGGACCCCAAGTATAGTTGTCTAACTCTAAACGCCAAATGAGAAGCTTGCTTGGAGTTTAGGAGTTTCTCACAATGCCTACAATTTGCTGGAATTTTCTCATTTAGAGGACAAGTGTAAAATGTCTGCTCTGGTTATATTAGAGGGTTGTTGTTAAAGTGCTTTGAAAAGTAGAAAGCAGCCTTTCCCAAATGTGGGTGGAATTGGTTTTCAGGAGGACAAAGTCGCAGCATTAGGGAATACTAATCACAGAGTGAAGAAGTTATTCTCTCTTCAAGTTTGTTTCAGCTTCTGATTAATTTATAAGAAAGTCTCACTTCAGGACTACTATATCTCAAACACTTCATTTACATGTCCCAATCCCCTTTTTTAAAAGCAGAGAAAGAGGTGGCAAACAGCTGTAACTAGCTAGAATTTAATAATAATTGTTTTTTTGTGTGTACCTTTTTATGGTTACTTTCTATCTGTGACAAATGATATAGATTTTCCATTTAAGATAATTATATAAACCTTCCCTTTAAAGATCGATGTAAACAAAACATAAGATGATTTAAAACATAGTAGGTAAAATTACAGGGTGAATGCAGATATGGTAGAAGTTGTGAGGGTGATATGAAGATGAGTCAGTCTAAGAAAATAACATTAAGATCTGTAATCCCAGCACTTTGGGAGGCTGAGGTGGGAGGATCACTTGAGGTCAGGAGTTTGAGACCAGCCTAGCCAACATGGTGAAACCCCGTCTCTACTAAAAATACAAAAAATTAGCCAGGTGAAGTGGCATACACCTGTAATCCCAGCTACTTGGGAGGCTGAGGCGGGAGAATCGCTTGAACCCAGGAGGCAGAGGTTGCAGTGGACCAAGATCACGCCACTGCACTCCAGCCTGGGTGACAGAGTGAGACTCCGTCTCAAAATAAAAACAAACAAAAAAAGAAAATAACATTAAGGACTGTAAAGGGGTGTAGCTGTGATATTATTCATGGGATGACACAAAGACACCCAACACGGCCCTGCCCAATTAGTGGATGTGCCACCTCCCTGGCTCTGGGCTGGTAATCCCGCCAGAGGGTCCTCAGGCAGGAGATGGAGGTGGATAGTAGCCCCAGGCAAGAATGTGCAGCTAAATCTCAGCCACAGGTTTGCAGAAGCCTTTGGGTCTTTCTCTATTTGTGGAACCTTTTGGGAAAAAATTAAGCAAGACAGCTATATAAAGGCTCAGCATCTTACATTTGCCTGTGGTAGAGACAAATCAATTGCTTTGCTTTGGGCCTTGCCTTGCATTTTTTGTTGTTGTTGTTGTTGTTCACTATTGTTAAAAGAACTATAGTGATTGTAAACAGAAGTTGCCAATTTCGTGGTTATTTTCTAAATCTCATTGCAACAGGCCAAAGGAGTTAAAGAATCATTCTGAATTCCAACACAACATGGGGTAGCTTCCAACATCACAGAGTTGTGTCAGAATCCTGGCTCACCCAGTGCTGTGGGCTGAGTTGTGTCCCTATCCAATTCATACATTGAAGTCTTAACCCCTAGTACCTCAGAATAATGTGACTGTGTTTGGAGATAGGGTCTTTAAAGAGGTTAGTTATTTAAACCGAAGTCATTGGAGTAGGCTCTAATCCAGAATGACAGGTATCCTTAAAAAAAGGACACAGACACACAGAGAAAAGACCACGTGAAGGCAGAGGGAGAAGATGGCCATCTATAAGTCAAGGAGAGAGGCCTCTGAAGAAACCAACCCTGCCCACAACTTGACCCCAGACTTCCAGCCTCTGGGACTGTGAGAAATACATTTCTGTTGTTGAAGCTGCCCAGTCTATGGTACTTTGTTAAGGCAACCCTGGCAAACCAATTCAGCCGCTTGCCATTGGGTGGTCTTGGTTAATTGCTTGACATCTTGGAGCCTCAATGTCCTCATCTATATACTGGGATAATGCTATTGACTTCGCAGAGTTATATGCTCAAATATGCTGACGTATGTGAAATACTTAGCATAGTCTCTGCTAGACTCTAGATACTGAATATGGATAACTATTTTTATTTACTTAGAGATCAGTCTCCCTTCCCCTCCCATTTTGAAGAGTTTAAGACAAAAACGACAGCTGTTATTGCTACCTCCTGACCTACATCTTTTAAAGATGTTAATTGCTATTATAAAGCCTTTAACAGATAGGTAGTCATCTACACTGACTCCTTGGTAACTATTAAAATGGTATTATCGGCTGGGCGCGGTGGCTCATGCCTGTAATCCCAGCACTTTGGGAGGCCGAGGGGGTCGATCATGAGGTCAGGAGATCGAGACCATCCTGACCAACATGGTGAAACCTCATCTCTACTAAAAATACAAAAATTAGCCAGGCGTTGTAGCACACACCTGTAATCCCAGCTACTCAGGAGGCTGAGGCAGGAGAATCACTTGAACCTGCGAGGCAGAGATGCAGGGAGACGAGATTGTGCCACTGCACTCCAGCGTGGTGACAGAGCAAGACTCCATCTCAAAAAAAAAAAAAAAAAGGTATTATCCTATTTGGTAGAATCCGCTTTCTTTAACATGCATGTCTTTAAATAACTTTGTGCTAAATGGTGTTTTCCATATCCAATCCACTCTCCAGTGTGGGTATATGAAGTGGGGAGTCATTTAAGTAGTTGGATAGAGGCATGGTATGATCATAAGACTCATTGTGGGCTGGTGGACACCGAGACTGGCAGTAGGGTTGCTGGGCAGTTACTGTCGTGACCCAGGTGAGCTCATACGTGTCTCTGGGATCCCACCTAGGACTATGTCCTTGCTCTGCTGCTTATTATCCCTGAGACTTTAGGCAAGTTACTTGTTTCTTCTCTCTCTAGCTTGGTTTCCTCCTCTATAAAATAGAGAAGTGAAAATAGTCCAGGGCTATCTCATTTTATATAAGGATTGTGTTCCTGGAGACCCAGCATAATTCAAACAAAATGTACATATTTAAATCAAGAGTAATTTACCTATAAGAATAAGCATATACTGGGTTTTATGTTTATTCTGATGGGTAAAGTAGGCTTTACATTATTTTTATACCTTTAACTTTGTACCTTTCTGTGTGATTGAAACTTTCCAAACTTACGCATGTGTTTTATATAAAATACCAATGAGAATTATTTGGCTGTTAAAAGTCTTTTTTTAAACAGAAAATTATCTCTATCTCTGTATTTTTAAGTACTTTAAAACAATTTTGAAAATGTGTTTATTACAATGGACTCTTTCTAAATATCTTCTTTACCCTTCAAAAAAAGATCACTCAGGCCAGATGGTCAGTTTCCCTCTGTGCTTTATAAGCCCTTTGCAGAATCCGCTCCCGGGGCTGTGGGATGAGAGTTTAGGAAGGGGGCTGGGGGTGGGTTGGCAGTGAGGGACAGAGCATCCAGCAGTGAAATAGTTAACCTGCCTGCCACTGAAGTGGAGAGACCCAGCTTGAGGCAATCCTGTGTGAGGCAGCAATAAATTCAAGCCAGGTTTTCAGAGTGGAAACTGAAGCTAGCCTCTTTAATCAGATATTTCAGAGTCACTCAGCATAAAACCCAAGACTAACGAATTAGTACTTGGAACTGTTTTATAGCTATGTCATGAAATGTAGCTGAGATTCTCAGTGGACTTGGATACACCTTATGTGGTCACTGTCACTTAGGGACCGTAAGGCTGAAGGTACTTTCTTCCCAAGTCTTGCCCCATCCAAACCTCCAAAGCATAAGATGCACAGCACCCACTGAGCTGAGAGCCCCCTGCCCTGTCTGCATGTTAGCTTCAGATAAGATGCAAAGACTAGGAACACAGTGAGGTTTTGCCGCTAGGTTGTCCCTACTTAAGAAAAGCATTGCCTGTGTCTCTATTAAAAATAAAATGAACCCTTCTGGTGGCAAAGTTCAATTAAATTTCAAGATATGGCTACAGTCAGGTGGAGGAAAGACTTCTACTCTTGAAGGAGGTAATAATTGGGCAGCTAAGGGTTGGACGATCTTCAAGGCTCTGGTGCAAATGTCTCTTGCTTGATTGTTTTGGCAAACCTCCAGTTATTGGAAGTATCCCTGGCTGTATGGGCTGGGGGCTATCATCTTTTGTGGCCCTTAAACTATGCTGTCAGAACGTGGGAACTAGATTACTTCATTCTGCTCCTGGGAAAGGGAACAGACTTGTGGGATTTAAAATGAATACGTTAAATTTGTTGATTATCAAAGGGAAAAATAGAGAAAAATAAATAAACTCTTACAAGATCTTGGCTGAAGTACAGGGGCCAAAGTTTAAATCCTTGCTCTCAACCATGTTAGGATTTTGTAAAAGACCTTCAATTTTCCCTCCCAATTCACTCAGGTGGGAGGAGGGATGTACCCTTTGGAGGCCCCTGTTTCCCCTCAGGGTTCTTTTTTAATGTAAATGGAATGGTAAGAAGAGGGATAGTAACTGTACTCCCGTGATGCATGAAAAAGGGCAGCAGCCTTATGATGAATTTTTCCTTTTTTTTAAAGAAAAAAAATACAGATATATCTATGTATCTTAGTAAAAAATATTTTTAAAAGTGTGATAAGATGGATATTGTCACATGCAGGTAAGAGGGTAAAGTGGTACTTTTGGGGATGGAAGTTTAGCAAAATATATCAGATACTCTAACAAGATTGAGACTCCATTTCTCTTTTAGGAATTTATCCAAAGGAAATAATCCAAAAAGTGCACAATTATCAATATGCTGTCATTGCATTGTTTACAGTAGTGAAAATCTCAACCTCAATGTTGATCATATGGGAAATAATTGGTTATATTAATGTTGGTTCAGCCCCACAGTGGTATCATCCTTGGCAATTAAAAATAAATGACAACACCACCAAAGGCACAATCCATGAAAGAAATAATTGATAAGCCAGACTTCATTAAAATTAAAAACTTCTGCTCTGTGAAAGACATAGTCAAGAGAATGAGAAGACAAGCCATAGACTGGGAGAATATATTTGCAAAAGGCAGTCTGATAAAGGACTGCTATCCAAAAGAAAAGTATAAAAAAAACTCAACACCAAAATATGAAAATAACCTGATTAGAAAATAAGCCAAAGATCTCAACAGACACCTCACCACATAAGATATACAGATGGCAAATAAGCATATGAAAAGAAGTTCCACATCACTGTCATTAGGGAAATGCAAATCAAAACAATGAGATACCATTACATACCTATTAGAATGACCAAAGCCCAGAACACTGACAACACTAAATGCTGACAAGGATGGGAAGCAACAGGAGCTCTCATTGATTGCTGGTGTGGGTGCAAAATATAACAGTATGGCCATTTGGGAAGACGGTTTGCCAGTTTCTTACAAAACTAAAAATATGCTTACCATACAGCCCAGCAACTGAGCTCCTTGGTAGCTACCCAAAGGAGCTGAAAATTGTACAAAAACCTACACACAGATGTTAATAGCAGCTTTATTCAGAATTGCCAAAAACTTGGAAACAGGATATCTTTCCATAGGTGAATAGATAAATAAACGGTGGTATGTCCATGCAATGGAATATTATTCAGCGTTAAAAGTAAATGAGCTGTCAAGCCATGAGGAAACTTAAATGCATATTACTAAGTGAAAGAAGTGAGTTGTAAAGTCTATATAGTGTATGATTCCAACTCTATGACATTCCGGAAAAGGCAAAACTGTGAAGACAGTAAAAAGACCAATGGTTGCCAGGGTTTAGCGAGGAGGGAGAGGTGAATAGGCAGAGTACAGAGGGGTTTTAGGGCAGTGAAAGTACTCTGAATGATACTATAATAGTGGATACCTGTCATTAATACATTTGTTCTGACCCACAGAATGTACAACACCAAGAGTGAACCCTAATGTAAACCATGGACTTTGAGTGATTATGATGTGTCAACATTGGCTGACAGTTGTAACAAATGTACCACGCTGGTGGGGGATGTTGATAATGGAGGAGGCTCTGCATGTGGGGGTGCATGGAGTATATTGGAAATCTCTGTACCTTCCTCTCAATTTTGCTGTAAACCTAAAACTGCTTGAAAAAAAAAAAAGGCTTTAATTTCTTTTAAAGTCTTCATCTCTTACTATGATACCCTGAGCATTTCCCCCAATGTCTTTAAGGGAAAAGAAGCTGGAAATAAAAGGGTAAATGTGTGGTAATGACAGCTTTGTGAAAGTATACACATAGAAGGGGAGAAATGCAGCAAAGTCATGTCTAGGTGGTAGGGTTATGGTTAAAATAATTATTTTCTTTTACATTTTTTCCAAGGTTTTCAAGATTGAACCTATACCATTTTTATAATAAGAAAAAAAAATGTACTCCCCAGACAACAATGGATGTGAAGCAATTGCCAGTCTTCAGCCTGTGAGACAAAGGGGGACTAAGAGCATGTTTACTTGCTTGGAAGGTAGGACTTTTAACCAATGTTTCTTTCACCTGCCAAAGGCTGAGAAGCCAAGAAGATACTGGAGGTAGAGCAAAGTGTGTGCCTTTGTGTTTTTGCTCTTGTTTGCTTGGGGAGCAATGTGCCTTTGTGGCCTCTTCAGGTGGGAGAAGAGGTAGAGGAAGAGCTCCTCCAGTTTTTAATCCCCTCATCTAATCACCAGACCTTTCTTGTGGTTTTCCTGGGACTCTTTTTACTCAATGGATGGATTGACACTGTTTGTGTGTGTATGTTGTACTTGGATTATGCCTTAATGTGTCACGATGATGACAAAAGGGTTTGCAACAGCAGGCAGGCAAATGTCCCTGCTTTTAATAGAAAGCACATTCCAGCACTTTATATTATCTGTAACACATAGAGCTGCTTAGAACAAAGCATTGCCCCTAAGACATGGTCCCCAAGAGTCTTTAATAAGTTCCAGACCTCTGTGAAGGTATTAATTAAATATTTTAAATAGAATGACTTTAGCTGGCTGGGGCATTTTTATGAGAGAAGGGAGTATATTTAAAACCAGGGCCGTTTCTGTAACAGGAGCTTGTTTTGAAGGAAATGTTCTTGGGTGGGGACTCTATGGGTACCAGGCTGTCAAATCTATGGGCCAACTTGATGTCAAAAACAGACATTCTGGATGTTTCAAACAATATTTGAATTGGGTCCTTGCTGCAGAATTTGGACATAATTCTGAAGCATGATTTTAACACAAAGGGGAGAATAGTAAGAGTCTATGGGTATACCAGGCACTGTTAGAGGTAGTTTCTCACAATAGTTCCATGAGAAGGGCTTTGACAAGGCCATTTTATAGAAAACAAACAAACAAAACCTAAGTGACTATTTTTCAAAGTCACAAAGTTTGATGGAGGAGCTCAATTAAAGTCTGTCCAATAAACTCAAAGTCTGTCCAATAACTAAAAGATATAATTGGATTGTTTTTAACACAAAGGATAAATGCTCAAGGGGATAGATACCCCATTTTCCAAGATGTAATTACCATACATGGCATGCCTGTATCAAAACACTTCATGTACCCCATAAATACATATATACCTACTATGTATCCATAAAAATTTTAAAAAAGTCTGTCTGCCCATCTATCCAACCATCATCTGTGTATTTACATATGCATTTTTCTACCTATCCATCTTCTATATTTCAGAATACTTTACTCTTTCTCAGGAAGTACTAGAAATAAAGATAAGCTTAAAAAGCAGATCCTGGTCCAATTGATAGACATTTCCTGAATTCAAAGTCATCAGAGTTATTGAATACTGTGTAGAGTCTAGAAGCACAGAGTTAGCTGATTTTTCTAGAAGGCAGCATGATGTAGTGAAAAGAGCAATGCACTTGGAATAAGAGGTCCAAGTTTGGATCCTGGCTCTGCCACTTATGGATATCTGTGACATCGAGCAAGTTTCTCCCTGAACGAGTTTCTTTGTCTCCAAAATTAGAATTGCATTTAGCATAGTGCCTAGTAGGTGACCAGGGAAGGCAAGTTAAACCTGAATTTGGTCCTAGTAGTGGGGGTAAGGAATAGGGAGAGGATTGTCCTTGAGTCCTTCATGGATCACTCTGGGTCTTCAGGAATCAGCAGTCCAATGGATTCATAAGGAACCTCCCCTTCCTGGCTAATGATAGCCAAAGTAACAAACTGGGGTAGAGTCACTCCCAAATGAGACATTGGAGCCCCCTCAAGGGAGTGATCATGTTCGATGGGCATCACAAGCATGGCAGGAAATGATTGATGCTGCTTTGGCTTCTTCCTGGATTCACTTCATTCCAGAGCCTGTCAATCCACTTCTTGGCATGAACAGCCCTTCTTGGGACCACCCTTAGTGTATTCCCACCTGCTCGAGAGCTCTATCCTTCTTCATGTCCCCAAGCTCCTTTCCCACATGCTATGTTGCCTCATACATGGAACCTTTGAATCCCTAAATAAAATAGGTATTCACATCTGTGAAGATCCTTTGTGACCTGGGACCCAGGGCTGTGTGCACGAAAGGGCTAATTTTTATTATTCCTTTAATGGGCCTGCCCTGCCTGCTCCTGCTCCCTCTCTATGAATCTTCAGAAGCCTCCAAGCTTTCCCATCTAGCCATTCTTGCTTATTTATCTCAAGACCTCAAATTGTCCTTCTCTGCTTTATTTGGGGAATGACTCTATGGGACTGTTGTATATACATCCCGACCCCCAAACCATCTCTCAGACCCTCCATGGCCGCATGTCCTCTAGGATCCTCCCTGTTCAGCACAGGTCTGTAGATGAGCTATTAAGAACTTAGAGTCATATGAGCCTCAGTCTGCCCCAACTAGCTGAGTGGGCTCTAGTAAGGAGAAGGGCAAAGGAAATGAAGAGCATAGGGGATAACTCACTACCTTTTTACCTCTCTCCTGCTGCTCAACTCTCTTGCCTCAGATCCTCATTTCTAAAATGAAGATAGTAGTTGTATCTTCCTCAGTGCTGTTTGGAAAGATTAAATGACTTAGTACATACAAAGCACTTAGTGTAGTGTTTAGCCCACAGGCTGCTGCTATTACTATTATGGCTGCTAATAGAAATCATTGGAAACATGATGATTTGAGATAGAACATTGTATATTAGGAAGAACGTATCTAGTTTTAAATCTAAGCTCTCTCACTTTAGTGTGTATGAAAATTAGTCTTTCTGGACCGGGTGCGGTGGCTCACGCCTGTAATCCCAGCACTTTGGGAGGCCGAGGCAGGCCGATCACCTGAGGTCAGGAGTTCAAGACCAGCCAGGCCAACGTGATGAAACCCCGTCTCTACTAAAAATATAAAAATTAGCTGGGCATGGTGGCGCGTGCCTGTAATCCTGGCTACTTGGGAGGCCAAGGCAGGAGAATCGCTTGAACCTGGAAGGTGGAGGTACAGTGAGCCGAGATAGCTCTGCTGCACTCCAGCCTGGGTGGCAAGAGTAAGACTCCATCTCAAAAAAATAAAAAAGAAAATTAATCTTTCTGAACCTCAATTTCCTCACACTCACAATGGACATAATAATCACTTGCTCACAGATCTGTGGGAATGTAAAGTCTCTGGGACTGTGCCTGGCACTGTCTGAGCTTCATGGGTATCAGTCACCTAGTTCTGTGGCTGTCCTGCCTGCTGTTGCTCCCTGCTGCCTGCTCCATACAGCCCTGGGGGTGCTGCTTCCTTATGGAGTTTGCCTCCACCAGTGCTTGGAGTGGGAGCATGCAAGGCAAGCCAGCCAAGGAGGGTTAAAATCAGGGAATATTGTGTACTTGAACTGACAGTGATTCACAACATGTCTGCACAGATTGCTCAGAGTCTAGGCATTTGCCAAAGTTGGGGAGATGGTGGGTGGGGGTGGAGCGTGGGGCTGTGAGCAAAGGATGTTCCGTCCCTGGGAGTATAAACACAGCACTGTCTGTAACCTAAAAAGGTTTGGTTGGGAGGGCCATCAAAGTCTGCTGTGCATTATTTGGACTGTGCTCAGCCTCCTCAAGGAAGCGCCCACGGATCCACCCGTGTTGCATCTGAGAGCTGTCACACGACAGAGTCAGCAGTGCTGGACTCTGCACAGGATTTCTGGCAGCTGCCTAGGTGGGGGCTGCCATTGCCATGGGTCTGTCCCAGACTTGTCACTGTCCCTGAGGCAGGTGGGTCCACCCATCTGGCCAGTGACTAATCAGAGTGAGACCCTTTCCTCATTTACAGTCCACGTGCCAAACCCTTCTTCAGGGCCAGTTTATATTCCTTCCTCCCATCCCACCTTCCCCTGGTTTCCATCCCCTTGGCCTTCAAACTGCAGCCTCGTTTCCTGTTGGCCACCTCACCCTGACCCCTGGAATCTGCTTCTTTGGTCTTCAGGTCTAGTTTCTCTCCTTCATCAGGGTTAATGTGTAAAATGGATGATGCTGATCCAGGTTTGGGTCCTAACCTGGATTTTGAGGCTCAATCTGTAACCTTCCCTTCAGGTTTTCCTGGAGCACAGTAGCACCTGGACAGTCTGACTGGCACATTGGTCATGAGGATGTTCTTTGGAATGGGACAGACCTGGGTTTGAATCCTTGCTCTCCCACTTGTTGGTGGGTTTAGGTCATAATACCAAAGGACACAATTCCAAACACCATAATCCTGAATGTTGAAACCCCAAAAGATCAAAATTCCTAGTCCAAAATCCCCAAAATATAATTCTGGAAAAAATAAAAATTCTTTAAAATAAATGTATTTACATTTTAAAAGGGGGATTTATTTGAGAAGCATAAAAGAATGACAGCATACTTCATAGACTGCTTTACAGAACAGACTAGTTAATAATAACGTGCATATTTTTGCAAGCATAAACAGTCAGGTGTACTAACAACAGTCATGAGAGCATAACAGTTATGAACTGTATACATGAAGAAATAGGTCAGAAAGTGAAATTTATAAATGCATACCACTATGATTGGCAATTCTGTACACCCAGCTTTATAACTGTGGTCATCTGAAATACCATGATGGGCAACCTCAATCTTTTGACGAGAGCAAACAAAAACCACAGTGGGTCACCACTGCATATGCAGTCACCCGAAGAATTGGGACTTCAAGAAATCATATCTTTCACAAATGCAGATGTGCAAAGAGAGGTCCTTTTTGTACATCTGCATTGTGAAAGATAAATTCTTTACATCTTCATTTACTGAGGAAGTTTCAACATTTTTTACATACATGCATAGTGCTTACACACAAAGTCAACATTGTGAATAAAGCACTTTCTTGGTGTCCATTTTTTATAAAAAATGTCTAAAATGAATTAGAGCTCTCTAAAAGTCTTTGTGCAATTTATATCACCAGTACTAGAAATGATGCAAAGATAAAACTCATAGCATAGCCAATTGGCACTATGTGTGAAGGGGCAGAAGTTGTATACAATAGAATAATTTGGCAGGGGAGATTTCTTGTGTTTTTCATTTGTTTTCACATCTTTGAGTTTGGAAACACTCGCTGCACTTTTATTTGGAGAATAGTTGTGGTCTATACATTTCGTAAGTATATGCCGTCCATCTGAGAGTCTGGATATTGCTTGGCTATTGCAATTAGGTGATTTTCTGCTTTTGCAGCACCAGTAATAATTAGTTTTAAACTTTTATCTTTCACCATTAAGTAGCCTCACACAATTAAATTAGAGGGAACAACTTTCACAGATCTCTTCCATTATGTTGTAAGGAATGCAGTAAGAAAGAACAATATCTGATTTCCCCAATACAAAATTTATATTAGTCAGGGTTCTCCAGAGAGATAGAACCAAAAGGATATAGATTTAGATATATAAGAAGGGATTTACTGGGGAATTGTCTCACGCAGTTATGGAGGCTGAGAAGTTCCATGATAGGCAACCTGTAAGCTGGAGACCCTGGGATGCTGGCAGTGTGGCTCTGTGCAAGTTCAAAAGCCTTAGAACCTAGAAAGCAGATGGTGTAACTCTCTGTCCAAGGTCAAAAGCCTCAGGACCCAGAGTGCCACTGGTGTAAGTCCCAGAGCTCAGAGCCTGAATTTCTGATGTCCAAAGCAGCAGAAGAAATATTTCTCTCAGCTTCAGTGGAAGACCAGTTCACCTTCTGTATCTGTTTGTTCAGGGCCTTTGGCTGATTAGACAGTGCCTGCCAACACTGAGGGCACATCTTCCTGCCTAGTTCATTCACACTCACACACTAATCTCTGGAAACACCCTCACAGACACACCCAGAATAATGATTTACCAGGTTTCTAGGTATTCCTTAATTCTGTCAAGTTAGTACTTAAAATTAAGTCCACAAATCCACTCCTTGTCCACTTGGCACCCTTAAACTATACTTAATTTCTAAACAAAGACACTAACAAGGTAATAGTTTGCCTAAGATGATGAAACTAATATGATGCAGCTCTGTGTACAACTGAAAATATACTAATCTCTCCCCTAGGATTCTGCTTTCAAGATTTCAACATTTGGTATTTTAATCTTTCAGGATTGTGATTTTGGGGATTTTAGAGATTAGGGATTTTAGATGTTAGGAATTTTAGACTTTAGGGATTTTGATCTTTAGGGATTTTGACATTCTGGATTGTGGCATTTGTGACTGTATCTCTTGAGGTTGCAATACACACTGTGTATGTGTGTGTGTGTGTGTATGTGTGTGTGTATATATATATATATATACATATATACACATATGCACAGATACAGATATGTTTTGTGGTTTTATCTTATTATTTATTTATTTATTTATACCTGATCTAAAATGGGTGTGCTTAGTAAATGACAATTTGAGTTTTGCCAGTATCTGAGTAGAGTGGTACAAATGTGACCTGAGGTTTGGGAAAGGAAGAGCTCAGGCTTGTAGGAACATGACCTTTGATGTTATACCAATGTTGGGTGGCCATTTGTACTGTGCTTCTGTCACCAACGTGCACTTGTGAGGTTGAGGATGGTGCCTTATTTCTCTTTTGTCTTTTGTGCCTGAAATATCATATTTGCCAGCAAATATTTATTGAATTAAACCAACTTCATTTTCAATTAGTACTGGTTTCTTCTTTAAGGAAATCACTAAGTGATTTCTGATGTCTTTAAAAGAACTGAAGGGCCTATACTCAAGTTTTTCTCTAATACAGAGTTGTCATTTTCAACATGTATCTTAAGAAAGCATTGAGTCAGCAGAACTGAAGAACTGGGGCTTTGAGGGAAGAGTTTGAATTATTTCTGAGACAAGAAAGAATGCCACGTTTCCTAAAATGCAGCAGCAGCTCTGCCCAGGCTGGTTAGTTGAGTGGAGCAAGCTAACGAGCTTGCCTCATGGGGAGTTGGGAAGCAACAATCAGCCCCTTTGAAATAATTCCTTCCTAGGGCGGGAGGTATTCCAATATTACCATTGTCACCGTGATGAGCAGTCACGTGGAGAAATGTGGCAGGGTTGGGTTGTGCCTGACTCATTCTCATGGCTTCTCTGCATTCAGGAAAGAGGGTCCATGGGAGACTAGGCCAGCAGGGTGCAGCCTACAGATATGGGATCTGTACTGCACTACAGGGTGTGGCTGTGCCTGGGGTAGCAGGCTGCTGATGTGCCATTCCAGGAGGGAAGCTGGTGCTTCAAAGTCCAGGAAACAAAACAAGAAGATGATGGTCTAGGAGAAAAGATGGCGCAGTGGAGGTCATGATGAGCAAATGTACAAGCAGTGGGGGTCCTTGTCAGGGTAAAGATGGGCTGGCCAGAGATACACGGAATGGGAGTCAGGGCCTCATTGTCCAGGCTCAGGGTGTCTGCCATAGCATCCTTCTTGTGTGGAGCCTGAGGACTTGGTTGGCTTACTATGTGAAGTTAAATGGACTGATCTCTGCTGAAGAAAGGACTAAGGGGGTGGGAGTGGACATTGTACTAAATAAATGTCTTCAAATATCTCTAGGAGGACCCCTTGTAGAAAGCAAATTGACAACAGAAAATAGAAGGGTTGGGGAAGGGATGGTATTCTTGACAACCTCTGGAGTTTCATAGTGAGTGTCATAGATCATAGGAGATGAGCAAAGATAATACTTGTGTATTTGTGCAGAAACCCCGCCCAGTGAAGGGTATGTGCATACTTGAGCCAGAAGGCCAAGAAGGCTCTGCCATCCCCTTTGACCAGAGTGAGGGTGGTAATAACAGTGCTTCCTTAGGAATACCTCAAGGTAGGGGAGGATCCAAATGAGCCCCTGGGCTTTTTTGGCCACAGCCAGCCAATCTTGCAGTTAGGATTTGACCCCAAGGACCAGTCATAGGGGTTCCCTACAATGACACCAAATCCACTCTGCCTCCCTGAGAAATTCCTAGAGTGGAAACCTAGGTGTGAAGAGATGAGAGAGGTCAGGGAAGGAATCTCTTAGATGAGGCCCTCTTTGGGAGCCAACCCTACCTTTCTGGGAGAAGGAACAGGGAAATGTGGGAGTGTTAGGTGTTGAGTTGTGTCCCCTTAAAAAGATATGTTGAAGTCCTAATCCCTAGTGTCTCAGAACTTGATATTATTTGCAAATAGAGTTGGTGTCGATGTAATTATTTAAGAAGAGTTTATACAAGAGTAGGACTGGTCCCTAATCCAATATGACTAATGTCCTTATAAGAAGAGTCAGGAGAGACACACAGGGGAAATGCCATGTGAAGATCAAGGCAGAGATTGATGTTATGCAGTGACAAGCCAAGGAACGCCAAAGATTGCCAGCAAACCACCAGAAGCTGGGAAGAGGCAAGGAAGGTTTCCCTTACAGGTTTCTGAGAAGGCCTGGCCCTGCTGATCCCTTGATTTTGAACTTCCAGCCTCCATAACTGTGAGACAGGGCCAGGTGTGGTGGCCTATGCCTATAATCCCTTTGGGATTTGGGAGGCCAAGGCAGGAGGATTGCTTGAGCCCAGGAGTTTGAGACTAGCCTGGGCAAGGTGGGGAGACCCCATCTCTACAAAAAATAAAGGAATTACCTGGGCTTGGTGGTGCATGCCTGTGGCCCAGTGAAGTGAAAGGATCACTTGAGCCCAGGAGGTCAAGGTTGCAGTGAGCTGTTTGTGCCATTGCACTCCAACCTGAGTGACAGAACGAGATACTATCCCAAAAACAAAACGAAACAAAAAACAGAACCGTAAGACAACGAATTTCTGTTGCTGAAGCCACCCAGTTTGTGGTACTTTGTTACAGCAGCCCCAGCACGTCAATACAGATAGCTAAGGGAGAATCAGTATGTTTGTGTTTCTGAACTATTTATTATGACTTTAAGTTCTCAAGTGAATTGGAGACTTAAGAAGGCGTATATGTGACTTACCTCATCTTTTCTCCCTACTCTTCTCTTCACCTTCTTTTTTCCCTCTCCTACATTTCTTTCTAAACAGATAAAATCTTATACTTAAAACGAGACTATTAGTGGAATAAAGATTTCCATGAAAGTGATTGATTCTGTAATAACATTCCAGTCTGATGACTTCATTTCTGTTATTCCCATTGTATCATTCCCCAGGAAGACACCAACTATCTGGGAGACAGAGGTACTGCAGTCAGTTTCCCCCTGCACAAGCAAGTCGTTTTTTGATTGGCTGGCTCCAGCATCGTGTCAGTACCCTCTGCTGTGTTGCGGTTGGGTGTGTAGAAACACAACACCCCAGCCTTTGCATCCAGGAGTCCAGTGCAGGCTGGCAGGACTTAATTCTGACAATTCAATGATTTGACCCAATTTTCCACCTGACACCCTTTCTAGTCTCCATATTGGCTTTTGAAATGGCCCTGCTTTTCCTTCCTGCCCCCTTCACTCCCTCCATTTTCCCCACCCAGAGCATAGCATCCTGCCTTGTTCCTCTCCAGTCCTTCCACCACAGGGTGATTTTCCTAGGTGCATTCTGATCATGTTGCTTTGACCATGAATCATGTCAAAAATGGCCAGTGGCTCTTCTTGATCCCTAGATCTGCTACAAAGTCCACATCTTTGTTACGTTCAAGATCCTCCATAGTTGTCATTCAAGATCCTCTATAATATATCCCCAAATTATTTTAGTGCTCCAGCGTCCAGGAAACAAAACAAGAAGGTGATGGCACAGTGGAGGCCACGATGAGCAAATGCACAAGTGGTGGGGGGTCATCATAAGGGTGAAGATGGGCTGGCCAGAGACACATGGAGAGGGAGTCAGGGTCAGAGCCTCATTCTCCATTTATAAGGTGTCTGCCATAGCATCCTTCTTGTGTGGAGCCCGAGGGAGATGTGAGATGTCATCTCTTGCATCCACTTAAAGCTCCAGACAAATTGGACTATGGACTGTCCCATTACATGGCCCTGATCTCCCCTCTGCCATTTCTTTGTTCATGCCTCTCTGTTTGAAGTGTCTTTGTGTACCTTTCTCCTTTTCATTTCAAATGCCATCTCTCTCTGCAAGCCTTTCTTGATTTCCCCAACCAGAAGCATGTTCTCCTCTTTGAATCCCTTGGCACTCTGTTTTTCTATTTCTCTCCTGGCCCTTCTCTTATGCTCTCCTGTGTTTTCCACGTCCATATTGCTAGCCTTGCTTGCTCTCAGTTGCTTAAGGGCAGGCATTTTTCACTTATTTTGTCCCCCTACTTCTCATCATGACTTCCGTATGCTCCTTGGAGCTCTTCCTCTGTTCATTGTTGATATGTGTGGTTGTACATGTTGTTTATTGCACAAGGACCCCTGGTCAAGAGGGTGAGTGGGGCTGAAATCCAGCCTATGCCCTGCTTGCCAGGTTGTGTACCTTGGTGCAGGGCCATAGCTCCAACTTTTAAAAAATTCTCATGAAGATGCCATATGGGTCAATGCTAGGTGGTCCAGTCCTCTTGAAATCAGCTGTCCTCTACCTTATCTGTGCCTCCTGGGCACAAGGTTGCAATGGCCTCTGAGGACTCCATCCCTTGCCCAGAAGAACCCCACTTCCATTTCTGCCTCTGCCTTTCTCCACAACCCCAAAGTATGCCTGCACTGGACTTCCACAGCTTTCAGATTGTATTTCCATGGTAGCATGTAGGCATCTCAGGCACAGCTCTCTGTAGCATCAAAAACGATTTGTCCCTGCTCTTTCCCCTCACCCTGCAGCAAAAACCTGCAGGAGCTGCAGGTGGTGGCGTCACAACAGCTTAGGATCCAAGAGACTCATTCCAGCCGCTAAAGCGCTAAGCTTTCTCTGTGATCACACATTTTGCACCAGCCAGAGCTCACACATGCCTCTACAGACCCGCGGCCAAAGGCATGTGGATATCAGCAACTGCTTAGAGAAGCTGGCCAAGGCTGGCCTGAAGAGGGGCAAGGGAGGGAGAGCCCAGATTACAGGCAAGATGAGATACATTTGAAACAACTGACAAGAAACTGTACATCAGAAATCAGAACAGCTGTGGGCTCCTCAACATGGCAGATGGGTATGCAGGGAATGCTGTGCAGCTTTAATCACATTTAACACGCCTGTCAGAGAATTGGGTCCATCTTAGTATTAAATCGGGTTTTCTACATTGTTGGTTTGACAGAGTTCAGCCTTATCCTGCTTGCTGCACTCAGTATGGCTAGAACGAAATTGATTTCTGTTCCTTGTTTTCAGCAGAGAATAGCTAGTGCCACTCTGCCGAGCTGGGGAAGTGGTGGGTTTGTGTTGGGGTTGGGTGCAGGGCGAAGAGACCTGTAAGCCACTGTTGTGGCTCAGAGGGCAAGAGCTCAGCCAGGGTTGGGGCAATAGTCCTTAAGGAGTGCGCATCCCAGCCCTGATTTATGAGCACTGTGTGATGCTACAATGTGTGTGTGGCTGTGTGTTTAAATTCTGAATTTTTGAATGCTTCTATGAATGGGAGATTCATAGAAGCGTAGGAAAAAATTCCAATTTTTCCATTCTGTGCCAACCCAGTACACAGTTTCCATTTAGTATTTGCCAAGGAAAATCAACCCTGCTAGTTATAAGCCCTAAGTGTGGCATCCTGATATAACAGGAGGAGGCATTTTGGGGCCTAGTGGATGGGAGTTCAATTCATTTGTTCATTCATCCAGGAAATGTTCATGGAGTGCCAGCCCTGTCAAAGGCCCCGTGCTGCTGGAGACACAAGACAAAAGAGCGCCTGACTCTGGGCCTGACTTTGTCTTCAGTGCTGCTTGTGTAGTTAAACATTGAATAAAAATTCCACAAAGTGGTACTATTTTCATCTGCATTTCACAATGAGAGAACCGAGACTCAGAGAGGTTAATGACTTATCCGAAGGCAGGCAGCAAGAAACGGGGAAGAGCCGGCATTCAAAACTGCACTCCTTTAATTCCTCTTAATAACTCCGGTAACCCTTGTCTTGTTCCCATGGAGAAGAAGGTATGACTGTGGACAAATTGCTTTGTCTTTCTGTGTCTCAATTTTCTTGCATGTGAGGTGGAGGTGATTACAATAATTTATTGGTGAAATGAAAGAGTGCAAGAAGCAAACTCTAAAGCAGGACATAAAACTTAACTGTTACCATGTTTCTGTGGTTATTGCTAAGAAAGAAGCAGTAAGCATTTGCATGCTGTTTCAGTTACTATGGCTGTATCACAAACTGCCCCCTAAACTTAGTGATTTGAACTAATGATGACCTATGTTTTGCTCACAGATCTACAAATTGCTCAGGGCTCTGTAGGGACAGGTTGCCTGCATCACTTAATGTCAGCTGGGGTGACTGAATTATCTTCAGTGGCTGAAGATAATTCCAGCCACTGAAATCTAGTGGCTGGAATTATCTGAAGGCTCTGACTCAGGGACTTGTCTGGTGGTTGATGCCGGCTGTCAGTTGAGACATTCTCTGATGCTGTCAGCTGGAACACCTACATATGACCTCTTCATGTGGCCTGTGCTTCCTGCCAACATGGCAGCTGAACTGTACTGAGGATGAGCATCCTAGGAGACAGCCAGAGCTAGGCAGAGAGGTAACGTAGCCTGGGAAGTTGCATTGTGTCTCTTCCATTGCATTCTTTTTTTTTTTTTTTTTTTTTTGAGACAGAGTCTCACTCCATCAGTGGCACAATCTCTGCTCACTGCAACCTCCGCCTTCCAGGTTCAAGTGATTCTTGTGCATCAGCCTTCCAAACAGGCATGTGCCACCATGCTTTGCTAATTTTTTGTATTTTTAGTAGAGATAGGTTTTCGCCATATTGGCCAGGCTGGTCTCAAACTCCTGGCCTCAAATGATCCACCTGCCTTAGCCTCCCAAGATGTTGGGATTACAGGCATGAGTCACCGCACCTGGCCCTTTCCACTGTATTCTATAGTTTGGAGAAGTTACCCATTCCCTCCTCTCCCACTACCCCACCTCCCGCACCCCCGGCATGCACTCATCCTCTAGATGCAAGAGGAGGGAACAGACTTTACTTCTTGGTAGGAGGAGTGTTGATGCCACCTTATAAGAAGAACATGAGGAATGAGAGGCTTTGGAAAATACAAACTGCCATATGAACCCTTGCATTACACCAAGTCTGACCTTCCCTGGCCTTGAGGTTCCTACAGGCAGATGCAGAAAATACTGATGTACTAATGTATACTCCCCTGCCCCTGCCCAGGTGATGAGCAGATGATGGTTGCAAGTCACTAAGTACTGCTTTTCCTTGTTTCTAAAACTCATTTCTCTCTGTATTTTCAAACTCATGAAATTTAGATGCATCGTATGGTCTGGAAATTTTAATGTGTGTGTGTGTGTTTTTTTCCTAACTCCTCCCTTCCCACTCCCAACCAAAAAAAAGAGAAAGTGTTATCAAATTGTTTGTATACCTTGCAATCAATATGTGTAAAAATTGAGAAAACTTTGTAATAAATGGACTTAGAGCATTTATTTCTTCATATGTGCATTTAACAGAAATTTGAGTATCAGCCAATATCAGGGAGTTTGACCTGGACTAAGGGAGCATGTTATGAACTGAGACTGAAGAATTAACTGGAAGAGATGGAGAGGTGGTTTTGGCACTCTGTAAGGGCTTGTAGCTCTGGAGGCTTCCTTCAGATCAACAGAGGCAATGTGTTAAGTATGCATTCACCAGTGAGGTTCTTTGGTGTAGGATTTCCCTCATTGCTCAACTGAAAGCTCTGCGAAGGCACGTATTTTGTGTATTTTCTCATCAACATATCCCTAGCACTAGGAATCTGACACAGAGTAGGTGTTAAAAAACTGTTCGTTGTATGAGTGAAAAGTCTATACTTGCTCTGTCTTATTTGGGTATTTTTTCTAGAGGCTACCAACCCTTTTGTTCTGTGGTTATCAGAATAGAGCTGGTTTCCTGCAACCCACCCCACCTCACCCCAGGGGAGTTGATAGGCTCAGCATATAAAAGTTACCTGGGCAGGAGTGAGGAGAGACACACCTCTGGCCATTGGGCTGCTATGACCCTCCCGCAGCCTCCCATGGGTCTGTTCACCTTTGCTCTCCCCAATGAGATGAATGTTTGCCTGGTTCCCAGATTCCCTAGGTAATGGCTAGTCCTTATCAGGAGGACCAGGTCCTGCAAGAAATGTCCCATTGTCCTTTTAAACTGCTGAGTCACAGAAGTTGAATAAATGTCATTTTTCTCCTAGTGAAAGCATGGTGGAGGATTTGTGCTTATTTATACAGGTTTGGTTGTCTTAAAACAATGTTTCCCGGAATGCAGCTCACTGCATCAGACTTACCCTGGCATGTTTATTTAGGAAGCAGACCTCCGGGCCTCTACTCTAGACTCACTGAATCCAAAGCCCTGGGGTAGGGTCAAGGAATCAGTATTTTTAGCAAGCACTTTAGTGTTTCTGAAGCAAATAATCTACATCTACATCCTTATAATCATAACATTCTAGTGCAATTGTTAAGGAGGATGAGTGTTGGGGTAAGAGTTAGTAGGGTTGGAATCCTCAATGTGTCCTTGGACAAGTTAAGCATCCTTTCTCGGCCTCCTCTGTAGTGCATCCAAACACTTTGTTCAGGAGAGTCCTGTTTTGTGCCTGCTGTCCTGGCATTATTATCAATAGCATCCCCTTCCCCAAGTGTCATGATTTAAATAGCAACTGACATGTATAATTTATCCATACTCATCCGTGCAAGGGGAAGGTGGCAAACACTGCTGTTGCCTGCCAGTAGTCATTCTCTCCTTCTCCCTCAGTTCTATTCTGCTAAAATGACAGATCTCAGCCCCCCCTTGCAGCATAACATAGAGCAATCTAATGAACTGTAAACAGGAGTTCTGCTTTTCTGTAAAACCTTTTTTAAAAGAGAAACTGAGTTGTCCTGTGCCTTTTGCTCATCATCCTTACTATTCTTCCTACCTGAATGCCAGATATGGAGTTATATTCTTGTTAGTACAAGGAAATAAGCAAAGAACAAAAGCCATGCATGAAGGATAGCTAAACAGCAGAAGCTTGATGGAGCCTGGATGTGACAGCTGCCACATCATCTCCCTGAGCTGCCTCATAGCCCTGGTCTGCTTTCTTCTGTAGTTATTGAATATGAGAAAAATAAGCCTTCATTTGGTCAAGCCATGGTAGCTTGGATTTTCTATTATGTGCAACCAAACCTATTCCTAACTGATACAAAGATATGCGCACCCACCTCTGGACAGTGTCATAAGGATAAATGAGAGCAGTGGGTGAAAAATGCATAGCTCAGTGCAGGCATAAGTTCTTCATATATGATGATTTGCAACAGGAAAGCTGTTTTCTCTTCCTTCCTGGGAAGGGGACTGTGTTAGTCTGCTCAGGCTGTCATAACAAAATACCACAGTCTGGGTGTCTTAAACAACAGAAATTTATTTCTCACAGTTCTGGAGGCTGGAAGTCCAAGATCAAGGTGTTGGCAGGTTTGGTTTCTCCTGAGCCTCTCTCCTTGGCTTGCTGATGGCCACTTGCTTGCTGTGTCCTCAAATGGACTTCCCTCTGTGCATGCCCTTCCTTGGTGTCTCTCTGTGTGTCCCAGTCTCCCCTTCTTATATAGACACCAGTCATATAGAATTAGGGCCCCACCCTTATGATCGTAATGTTTGAACCTTACTTTTCTTGTGATAGTTAATTTTGTATGTCAACTTGACTGGACCCAGAAATTTGGTCAAACATTCTGGGTACATTTGTGAGGTGACTTTGGATGAGATTAACATTTAAATTGGTAGATGGAGTAAAGCAGCTTGCCCTCTCTGATATCAGTGGCCCTCATCCTATGAGTTAAAGGCCTAAGTAGAACAAAAAGCCTGTCCCTCCCTCAAGTAGAAGAGCATTCTTCCTGCTTGATGCCTTGGAATTGAAACATCAGCTTTTTTCCTGCTTTCAGACTCATACTGAAACATCAGTTCATCCTGGTTCTAGGCCTTCAGCCTTGGACTAGAATTAAATTGCCTTCCTTGGTCTCCAGCTTGCCGATTCACTCTGCATATCAATGTCTTGCCAACCTTCATAATCACACAAGCCAACTCCTTATAATAAACCTCTTTCTACATATTATATATACATCCTATTGGTTCTGTTTCTCTGGAGCACTCAGACTAATATAAGGCCCTATTTCCACATGCAGTCACATTGGATGTTAGGACTTCAACATGAATTTGGAGGGCAGCATGATTCAGTCGGTAACAGGGATGCTTCTACCTATTTCCTTGGGAAGAGGTTTCCTCACATGAATATGACGTGCCACCTCCTGCCCACCCTGCTAGCTCTGGCCTATTGTTTGCGTCATTTTGGCCTGCTGGTAGTAAATATTAGGTAATCCTTACACTTAACATTTAAAAACTGCTAATAGAATTATATTTGGCTTGCTTGAATTGCAAAGGCATAAGAAAAAAGCAGCTTCTCAAACAATATCATTGTAGCTTTTATGTCCTTAAAATTCCCTGTAAGGCATTTACAGAAGCTGAATGTCTTTAAACATGTACATGCTGTCCTCAGGAAAACAATCCTTTTGTTTCTATTTGCTAGGGCCTAATCAGTGAAGGGAAGTAAGATAGGAGAGGCTGAGGACCCCACCCTACTAGGCTTTTCATCTGGCTCCTTGAAATCCAGGATTGAATGGTGCTTTATTGTGCTTGGTTCTCTACTTGTGAAACTCTACTAGTTTCACAGCTCTTGCAGGATTTCTTAAACTTTTCAAAATAAAAATTTTATTCTCTTTAAAAAAATCTCTTCTTTTGCTATGTAGTTAGAATCCTGCTGGGCAGAGATGTTGAATCTTTAGTCATTGGCTTGACTATACCACAAAAAAAAATGTGTTTTAAGCTTATTGACATGGCTAAATGAGGGGTTGAACTATGACATCTCAGAGATTTCTCTGCAGTTATTAAGATAATGTACCTGAGCTGCGCATGGTTGTGCCTGCCTGTAGTTCCAGCTACTCGGGAGGTTGAGGCTGGAGGATTGCTTGAGCCTAGGAGTTCGAGCCTGCTGTGAGCTATGATCACACCACTGCACTCCAGTCTAGGCAACAGAGTGAAACCCCATCTCTTTAAAAAAAAAAATACCTGAAAACACATTTGAATTATATAGACAAACAAAAGCTTCATGTGAGGATCACCAGTGATTTTGACTTATAAAGGGATCAAGTCCGTGGCTGTGTATGTTACAGGTAGTTAGGCATGAGTGGGGCAGGAGGGGGCTCTCCCCCACCCACTAGAAATGTCGAGTGATAGTTCGGCAATTATCGCATTGCCTCTATAGAAATGATAATTCGGCAGCCACGGAGAGTCAAGCCACTGATGGTCCACACCTGTTAACATTAAAAATGTTCATTGAATGTAGAACCCAGGGAAAAGCAGCTTTTTGGGCACGCATGTTAAGAGACAAAATGGTGAAGTATGACATTCCGGGAACACATGCCACCGGAAAAAGGAAAATGCCTCAGATGGGCATGCGTATAACTCCCTAAACACGCTGCCTGCTCAATTCCAGAGGGCAAGAAAAGCATTGCGCATGCGGGAATCCTACACCTTTCGTGGGAAAGAGGCGAGCCTATAAAGTTGTAGGATCAAGATTAAAGCCCCCCCCCCCCTTTTTTTTTCTCTTTTCTCCCTTGGACCTTCAGGTGCCCACTGGGTCTCTTCCAAGTGAATTTTCCTTTCTTTCCTGTTCTAACGTCTTTTAAAATAGACTTCCATTCTTGCTCTGGAACTTGCTTCAGTCTCTTTTTCTGCTTTATGCCCCTCAGTTGAATTATTTCTTCTGAAGAGGCAAGGACTGAAGTTGCTACTGACCCGTATGGATATTCCGGCCATAACTCGGGGTAATTCGAGTCTCTTCCACTGCTAACATGTAGACTTGTTTGCTGCTTCTAGGTCTGGAATCTGCAGAGGCCCGACTGGAGGAGGACAGTGATGATCAAAATCTAGAGTCCATACGAATTGCCAGCAGAGCTAACAAAATCAGATTTCCTCCCTCCAACCCCCATGCAGGGATCACTTTAGGTAGTCTGAACTGGGAATCAGGAATCGACCTGTTTCCTATGCACATAAGCATTCTAATGCAAGTGATCCAGAGAGCATTTGTTGAGAAACGGCAACATCCAAATGGACAAATACACATGGCCAATAACTAGATGCTCAAAACCACTGGTATTTAAAGAAGTGTAAATTAAAATATGATTTTTTCGACCTATCCGATTGGGAAATATTTTTCTAAGTGGTAATATCCAGCACAGACAAAGACACAGCAGATGGCCCTCTCTCTTGCTAAGGATAGGAAGAAGCTGTGACTTATCTGGGAGATGGGAGGGAAGGGAAGAGGAGGATTTGACCATGTGTATTAACAGTCTTAACATGTTTCTATCCCTTTGACTCAGGATAATACTTGGAGGAATTTATCATAAAGAAATAATCAGAGGTGTGTGCAAAGTTGCAATGATACAGATGCAAGGTTCATTGCAGAGTCATGTATTACATGAAAAATAGTAATAGTTTTATATGTCCAACATGAAAGGTATTTGGTTTAAATATTACAGTGTATTAACTGATGAAAAAGTATGCAGATGTTAGAATGATAAAGTTCAAGAGTATATAAACTCGTGAGGATATTATAAGTGATACTGAGTAGAAAATCAATGTATATCTATAAAATCATTTCTTTATACTTTTCTATATTTTTCAAAATTTCTGTAATGAACATGACTTTAATTTTAATAGTTGAAAAGATACCAATTCATGTTACTTCTAAAGATGGGGGTGCGGGGTTGCTGCTGGCATCTGTCAGGCCTGAATTTGCATTTCTATCACTGATAGAGTATGATTTGGGGCATTAATCTCTTGGATTTCAGATTCCTCAACTAGAAAATTGAATAAATGCAAACAGTGTGTAGGTTTGTCATGATAGATAATTGTGTAAAATGCACTTGACACATAATATGTATGTATAAATATTGGATTTTGTCTCCCTTTCAAATTTTTGAAATTAGAAAAAGTACTCACTCTCTGGCCAGAGATCAATGAAAAAGAGTTTATTTCTTTTACACAAACCATGGAATTTCAACTTATTTCTTTTGGATCCTTTTCTGGGAAAAGGTTTCTTGGGGCCTATTTGATACTGTTGGAAGTGAAAACTGGAATTTGTAGTTGGCACTCTAATTGGCTAATTGCAGCCTCTGGTCTTATTTGTTTTCCCTTTTGTCAGTTTTAATAGTTTGGGATATTTAAATAATCTTTCTCCTCCTATCATTTTAATAAAAGAAAATTTTAGGATTCTTGTCTAGAAAGGCAATAAAGCTCAGGCTGCTAAAATGTTCCATCTCCTTAAAATCCCACAGAGTCCCAGTGCAATTTATAATAGCATCAAAAATATAAAACACTAAGGAATAAATCTAATGAAAAATGTGCCAGTGTTCAACAAAGACTACAAAACAATATTGAGAGAAATTTTAAAAAGACTTAAATAAATGTACGTTGTTCATATTTTGGAAGATTTAGTACTGTAGAGATATCAATTTTCCCCAGATTATTCTATATGTATGTTTGCCAAAAGCTATAAACTAGAATTTTTATAGCAGCACTATTTGTAATAGCTAAAAATTGACAACCCAAATGTCCATTATTAGTAGAATGAATGGATCTACTATGAGATATTCCCCAAATCAAATACTATACAACAATGATGCTGAGCAGTTCATTACATGCAACATTATGGATAAATCTGACCAACACTATGTGGCACAAAAGAAGACACACATAAAAGAATATATACTGTATGATTACCTTTATATAAAGTTTGAAGATATGCAAAGTTAACCTATGTGATTAGACATCAGCATTATGGTTTTTCTTGTGGGAGAGTAGTGACCGAGAAAAGAGTACATGGAAGTTTCTGAGGTGCTGGTAATGTTCCGTTTTGGATCTGGGTGCTGGTTACATGATTGTGTTCAGTTGTGAAAATGTATCAAGCTCTATCCTAATGATATGTGCATATTTGAATATATGTGAAAAGTATATACTTCAATAAAAAGTATAAAAAGTTTATAGTTTCCTTAAAAAGTATAAATAAGATAAAGAGTGCTGTTGTAGTTATAGTTTCTTAAAAACTTCATGCTTGGGCTGGGCATGGTGGTTCACGCCTGTATTCCCAGCACTTTGGGAGGCTGAGGCTGGAGGATCGCTTGAGCCCAGGAGTTCGAGAACTGCTTGTGCAAGATGGTGAAACCCTGTCTCAACAAAAAATACAAAAATCAGCCAGGCATGGTGTCTCATGCCTGTAGTCCCAGCTACTTGGGAGGCTGAGGTTGGGGGATCCATTCATCCCAGGAAGTCGAGGCTGCAGTGAGCCAAGATAGTGCCACTGCATTCCAGCCTGGGTGACAGAGAGAGACCATTTGTTCCTCCAGATGCTCTAGGGAAAAATTCTATCCCTTGTCTCCTCCTGCTTCTGGTGGCTCCAGGCCTCCCTTGGATTCTGGCTGCATGGTCTGCACCTTCACATGGCTGTCACCTCTGTGTCTGTGTCTTCTGTTTCTTATAAGGACATTTGCCATTAGATTTAGGGCCCAAGCAGATAATCCAGGGTGATCTCATCTTGAGATCCTTCACCTAATTATGTCTTCTAAAACCCTGTTACCAATAAGGCTACATTCATAGCCTCTGGTGTTTAGGATGTGGACATGTCTTTCGGTAACCCACAATTTGACCTAGTACAGGGGCCCAAGTTCATAAATGAAAACAAAAACGAAACCATAAACCCAAAACCTGATGTGGCTCCAGTACCAGAGATGTTTTCCTCTTTAGTAACAATGGTCACCACTGATTCTTGCACAATCATTCAGGGCAACTTCTGAGGTGCCCAGCCCAGACCTCCCTTACCAGGCTGGTGCCTCCTGTGATCTAGGGCTGTATTGGCTGCTAATAGCTCATGGCGCCCTCTTCTGCAGAGAATTGCCTCTAGTCAGATGGAAGCTGCTTCAATCTAGAGGTTATATACCCATCTCCTCACCTCCCTCTGAAGGCCAATGACTAACAAGGGGTACAAAAAAATGGTACCTTGCCTGAAGATAGGACCACCTCTGTGGTGTAATTTGTATTCCAGGGCTCCCTGTGGGATCACACTGGAGCCACCTGAGCCACATCTTCGTTTAACTTTCTTCGGAGCCCCATTCAGCTTTTTTGCTCCCTTTCTCCCAAGCCCACTCCCCTAATAAACTACTTTTTCAAGAATCCCCATCTCAGACTCTGCTTCTTAGGAACCCAAACTAAGACAATGCCTCTGCCATAGGCAATAGCCTATTTTTCCCGCCAGACCCTGCTGCTTAGAATCCTTCATTTGTTTGGCAGGGGCACTTATGTGAGAATTTTAAAGATGGGACCATTCAGTAAGCTGAATCTCAAAGTCCTGATCCTCAGTGGTTTTACTGACAAATTTTATAAATACTCAGCTTAGAAGATCTACATCATCGATAACAATGAGAGTGTGTCCCTGAGACCTGGAGACCTGCTTATGACCAGCCATGCAAACCACCGGAAGGAACACTTGTTTTAATGGTGGAGGTGAAATGATCAGTTCAGTAACCCAAGGAAAAATTTTTCTACCCCTTAACATGTAATCTTATCTTCCTAATTATGCTTTACACAAGACAGTAAGAATGTATGATCCCTTGGCATTTAATTCTGCAAGTCAAGTAAACTATTAGTCCAGCAGAAGAGCTGTCCAGACCTCTTGGTTAGACATTGTTGATGGACTTGCAATATCATCAACATAGCTTTTTAAAAAATAGCCTTTATTTTTATTTTTTGTTTATTTTTTAAGACAGAGTTTCACTCTTGTTGCTCGGGCTGGAGTGCAATGGCGTGATCTCAGCTCTCTGCATCCTCCGCCTCCTGGGCTGAAGTGATTCTCCTGCCTCAGCCTTCTGAGTAGCTGGGATTACAGGCATCCGCCACCATGCCCAGCTAATTTTTGTGTTTTTAGTAGAGATGGGGTTTCACCATGTTGGACAAGCTGGTCTTGAACTCCTGACCTCAGGTGATCCACCTGCCTCAGCCTCCCAAAGTGCTGGGATTACAGGCATGAGCCACCATGTCTGGCCGGTTTTAAATAAACAATATATGCTTATATGATTTGGCTGTGTCCCCATCCAAATCTCATCTTAAATTGTAGTTCCCATAATCCCCATGTGTCATGGGAGGGACCTAGTTGGAGAAAATCAAATCATGGGGATAGGTTTTTTTTCATGTTGTTCTCATGATAGTGAATAAGTATCATGAGATCTGATGGTTTTATAAGCAGCTTTTCCCCATTTTGCTCTCATTCTTCTCCTTCCTGCTGCCATATGAAGAAGGACATGTTTGCTTCCCCTTCTGCCATGATTGTAAGTGCCTTGAGGCCTCCTAATCCTTGTGGAACTGTGAGTCAATTAAACCTCTTTCCTTTATAAATAACCCAGTCTAGGGTATGTCTTTATTAGCAGTGTGAGAATGGACTAATACAATAAATTGGTGCTAGTAGAGTTGGGTACTGTTGTAAAGATATGTGAAAATGTGAAAGTGACTTTGGAACTGGGCAGGTAAAGGTTGGAGCAGTTTAGAGGGCTCAGAAGATAGGAAAATGTGAGAAAGTCTAAACTTCCTAAAGACTTGGAGGGCTCCGAAGACAGGACGATGTGGGAAAGTCTGGAACTTCCTAGAGACTTGTTGAGTGGCTTTGACCAAAATGCTGATAGTGATATGGAAAATAAAGTCCAGGCTGAGGTGGTCTCAGATGGAGATGAGGAACATGTTGGGAACTGGAGCAAAAGTGACTCTTGTTGTGCTTTAGCAAAGAGACTAGTGGCATATTGACCCTGCCCTAGAGACCTGTGGAACTTTGAACTTGAGAGGTGATTTAGGGTATCTGATAGAAGAAATTTCTAAGAAGCAAAGCATTCAAGATGTGTCTTGGTTGTTCATAAAAGCATTCAGTTTTATTGATTCACAAAGATTTGGTCTGGAGTTGGAACTTATATTTAAAAGGGAAGCAGAGCATAAGAGTTCAAAAATTTTGCAGCCTGATATGTGATAGAAAAGAAAAACCCATTTTCTTTTTATTTATTTTTAATTTTTTTATTATACTTTAAGTTCTAGGGTACATGTGCACAGTGTGCCGGTTTGTTACATATGTATACATGTGCCATGTTGGTGTGCTGCACCCATTAACTCGTCATTTACATTAGGTATATCTCCTAATGCTATCCCTCCCCCTCCCCCAACCCCACGACAGACCCTGGCGTGTGATGTTCCCCACCCTGTGTCCAAGTGTTCTCATTGTTCAATTCCCACCTATGAGTGAGAACATGGAGAGTTTGGTTTTCTGTCTTTGTGGTAGTTTGCTCAGAATGATGGTTTCCAGCTTCATCCATGTTCCTACAAAGGACATGAACTCATCCTTTTTTATGATTGCATAGTATTGCATGGTGTATATGTGCCATATTTTCTTAATCCAGTCTATCATTGATGGACATTCGGGTTGGTTCCAAGTCTTTGCTATTGTGAACAGTGCTGCAGTAAACATATGTGTGCATGTGTCTTCATAGCAGCATGTTTTATAATCCTTCGGGTATATACCAGTAATGGGATGGCTGGGTCAAATGGTATTTCTAGTTCTAGATCCCTGAGGAATCGCCACACTGTCTTCCAAAATGGCTGAACTAGTTCACAGTCCCACCAATAGTGTAAAAGTGTTCCTATTTCTCCACATCCTCTCCAGCACCTGTTGTTTCCTGACTTTTTAATGATTGCCATTCTAACTGGTGTGAGATGGTATCTCATTGTGGTTTTGATTTGCATTTCTCTGATGGCCAGTGATGATGAACATTTTTTCATGTGTCTTGCGGCTGCCTAAATGTCTTCTTTTGAGAAGTGTCTGTTCATATCCTTTGCCCACTTTTTGATGGGGTTGTTTGATTTTCTTCTTGTAAATTTGTTTAAGTTCTTTGTAGATTCTGGATATTAGCCCTTTGTCAGATGGGTAGATTGTAAAAATTTTCTCCCATTCTGTAGGTTGCCTGTTCACTCTGATGGTAGTTTCTTTTGCTGTGCAGAAGCTCTTTATTTAATTAGATCCCATTTGTCAATTTTGGCTTTTGTTGCCATTGCTTTTGATGTTTTAGTCATGAAGTCTTTGTCCATGCCTATGTCCTGAATGGTATTGCCTAGGTTTTCTTCTAGGGCTTTTATGGGAAAACCCCATTTTCTGAGGAGAAATTCAAGCTGGCGGCAGAAATTTGCAAAGGTAATGAGGAGCCACATGTTAATCGCCAAGACAATGGGGAACATGTCTAGGGCATGTCAGTGAACTTCAAGGCAGCCCTTCCCATCACAAGCCAGGAGGCCTAGGAGGAAAAAATGGTTTCATGGGCCAGGTCCAAGGCCTTGCTGCTTTGTGCAGTCTTGGGATTTGGTGCCCTGTGTCCCAGCAGTGGCTAAAAGGGGCCAACATACAGCTCAGGCCATTGCTTCAGAGGGTGCAAGCCCCAAACTTTGGTGGCTTACACATGGTGTTGGGCCCACAGGTATACAGAAGTCAAGCACTGAGGTTTGGGAACCTCCGCCTAGATTTCAGAGGATGTATGGAAATACCTGGATGTCTAGGCAGAGGTGTGCTGCAGGGGCAGAGCCCTCATGGAGAACATCTGTTAGGGCAGTGTGGAAGGGAAATGTGAAGGGGGAGCCCCTACACAGAATCCCCACTAGGGCACTCCCCAGTGGAGCAGTGAGAAGAGGGACACCATCATCCAGACCCCAGAATGGTAGATCCACTGACAGCTTTCACCATGTACCTGGAAAAGCCACAGACACTCAATGCCAGCCCATGAAAGCAGCCAGGAGTGGGGCTGTACCCTGCAAAGCCACAGGGGCAGAGCTGCCCAAGACCATGGGAACCCAACTCTTGCATCAGCGTGACCAAGATGCGAGACATGGAGTCAAAGGAGATCATTTTGGAGCTTTAATTTGCCTGCCCAGCTGGATTTTGGACTTGCATGGGGCCTGTAGCCCCTTTGTTTTGGCCAATTTCTCCCATTTGGAATGGCTGCATTTACCCAAAGCCTGTATCCCCATTGTATCTAGGAAGAAATTAACTTGCTTTCTATTTTACAGGCTATAGGCAGAAGCGACTTAGCTTGTCTCATATGAGACTTTGGACATTTTGAGTTAAGGCTGAAATGAGTTAAGACTTTGGGGGACTGTTGGGAAGGTGTGATTGATTTTGAAATGTGAGGACATGATATTTGGGAGGGGCCAGGGGCAGAATGATATGGTTTGGCTGTGTCCTCACCCAAATCTTACCTTGAATTGTAGCTCCCATAATCCCCACGTGTCATGGGAGGGACCCGGTAGGAGGTAATTGTATCATGGGGGTGGTTTTCTTCACATGCTGTTCTCACGATAGTGAATAAGTCTCGCGAGACCTGAGAGTTTTGTAAAGGGGAGTTCCCTCACACGTGCTGTCTTCCCTGCCACCATGTAAGATGTGCCTTTGCTCCTCCTTCACTTTCCACCATGATTGTGAGGCCTCCCCAGCCGCATCAAATTGTGAGTTCATTAAACCTCTTTTTCTTTATAATTACCCAGTCTTGGGCATTTCTTCATAGCCATATGAAAATGGAGGAATACACACGTAGAATTTCAAAGATGTCAGTCACTATAGCTATATCTCAATCAACATATCATTGGAGTAAAATGAGATTGTCTACAAACTTGCCCTGGATATAGAGACATGAGGAAAAAGGCCTCATCAGAGCTGGGAGGTGAGTGGGTGTCTAAGAAGAGGAATGTATGGTACTATCTTAGGTGTGATCTTCTTGTTGGTGGCCTGAAAGCCAGACTAGCTGAGCAGAGGTAGATATTTCTAAAGCCTAAACATTTAGGAGCAGATGCCACTGTATCTATACACATTTTCACAAAAAAATAGAACCACCAGGCCTCAGGGCAAGGTAACTCTAGGAATTTGAGCAGAAGGAGTGTGTGATTTTTCTTGCAAGTGCTCTGGCATTAGTGTGAGTGAGCCATTTCCTGTGTCCTTCATTGGTACCGTGATTTTCAAGTCCTCTTTTCTTTTCTCTGCAGGTCTTCTCTCTCCTCACTTGTTTGCCGTAACCCCTAACTGAGCTCTATGTCTATGTTTACTTTTAGCTTCAGGCCCCACTGCTGAGAACTTCTTGCTGTTGTTATGTCTTAGTTCAGATGCCAGAAGGGGAATCCTACTGGCTGTGTTCATCTCTTCCTGCTGGGTCGCATCATCTTAGCTCCCTGGCCAGGCCTCAGGTATATTGCCTTGGATCAGGAGTCCACCCCTAATCCTGTCATCTAGGGTCTGACTGAGGTGGGGATTGAGGGAGAAAGTCATGCATCACAAAAGGCGGCCACTAAGGGTCACCTCTTCCGGCTAGACAGTGGCTGGGAGAGGCACAGTGACTGATGTCTAGTACCACCACCCAAGCTTCTGCACCGTGGCATGCTCATCCCACAGTGCAGAGAGGGGTCTGACAAGGGCAGAGTTTCTTCATCCCCAAGAGATCTCGGTGGATGAGGAAGCCATGGTCCACTATCCTTGGGGGACAAAGAGGGACAAAGCTTCTTCTGTCATCATTGTAAATTAGTGAAGATAGCCCAGGCACAAGGCAGGAGGCCTAGCCCTCCCAGAGCTGCAGTGTTCCCTTCACATCTCTGAGTTTCTTCATAGTGTTAGACTAGAGCCTTTCCAGGGTTCCCTTTACCTGTGAACTCTCTGACTCCACAGTGTAGTATCGCAGTTGGTAGAGAGACCTGAGTTTGACAATAGTTCCTCCTCTTTTTCCCTTGCACCTCAAAAGTTAATTCTCAATCCAGCAGCCAAAATTACCCAAGTGAAATATTAATTGGATCAGGACACTTTTTTGATCAAAACTCTCTAAAGAATTCTTATCTTATTTAGAATTAGAGTCAAAGTCCTTCATGCGAGCTAAAATGCCTTTCATAATCTTGGCTCCTCACCTCTTCCCCCACATAACCACATGATCTCCTCCACAATCACTCTATGTAGAAGAGCAGGCCCCCAGCACTCCTGGTCCCCCTCCCCTGTTTTGGCTATATCCATAGTCCTTGAAGCCACAACAGCTGGCATCATTATCTATGTATTTGTTCATTGTCTACCTCCTACCCACCCACACACTAGAATATAAGTGTCAGGAGAGAAGGAACTTTGGCTTATTCCCTCTTATATCCTCAGTGCTCAGAACAGTGTCTAGCACACATCTGGTGATTGAATGAGTGGAGACATACATCAGTAGGTATTGGGGATGAGGGGAGAAAAAGTCATATCTTTCTCTCATCCATCACAAGGCTCATGACTGATACCCATATTACAAAAGAAAGATTAACAAGAGAAAAGCCTAACAGAATTATTTAAATTGTATCTAACATGAGAACCTTCAGAAATGAAGACCCAAAGAAATGGGTAAAACTGTCCTTTTTATGCTTAGGTTTGATGGAGAATGGATAGTTGTGTAGAAATATGATTGAACAGATGGGGGTAAGGTTTAATATTGAACTGGGGAAACTTGGTGTATTAGTCCATTTTCACACTGCTAATAAAGACATACCTGAGACTGGGCAATTTACAAAAGAAAGAGGTTTTAATTGGACTTACAGTTCCATGTGGCTGGGGAGGCCTCACAATCATGGTGGAAGGCAAGGAGGAGCAAGTCACGTCTTATGTGGATGGCAGCAGGCAAAGAGAGAGCTTGTGAAGAGAAACTCTCGTTTTTAACACCACCAGATCTCATGAGACCCATTCACTATCATGAGAACAGCATGGGAAAGACTCGCCTCCATGATTCAATCATCTCCCACAGGGTTCCTCCCATAAAAGTAGGAATAATGGGAGCTACAAGATGAGATTTGGGTGGGGACATGGAGGCAAATCATATCACTTTGGATGCTTTTTGTTAAGATTCTTCTTGGCATCTCTGTGTCTTTGTTTCTTTTCTCTGGGAATAAGGCAGGATATCTGTTGCATGAGGGTTTTATAACTTACTTTCAGGGGAAGCAGGTCAGAAAATTCTTTTATGGCTAGCTTTCACACAAAAAGGTGGGGCAGTGTCTGAGGGTGACCTTTCTGCTTACGCTGTCTTCTCAATTTCCAGGAAGCCATATTTTGGGGGCAGTGTGTCCTGTGCTCCATCAGGGACAAGCATCATGGTTTTGGGCTGTCCACATCCTCTGTTGGGTGTGGTATTGGTTAGACACATCGTCTGCCTCACACTGTGGAAGTCACTGACGGTAGATCCTCTTCTTCCCAGACCCTGGCAGCCAGGATGTGGGCATGTGACCTAGGCTTGGCTTGGCCAAATGGATCCTAGCCTGGGATCAGGATCCAGTAAAGAACACACTGAGGGATCTTAACCTTTACTTGCAACACCTAAGGATATCACCACTGGGCTCCTTGGGGAATCCCCTAGTGCTGTTCCTATTGGCTTCAGCTTCCCATGCATTCTCAGTGGGCCTCTGATAATCTCCTAATAAACCTCTTTTTTGCTGTAGGGAGCCAGAGTAGATTTGTAGAGCTGGCAACCAAAGGAACCTTGACTGGAACAAGAGATGCCATTAATTTTAGGCTGCTATGCTTTTCTTCTTTTTGTTATTTTGAGTTGCCTGATCAGTCAATTGGTTTACCTTGAAGACTGGTTTGTATGTTTATATGAGAGTTATACTACAGAATATGGAGTTTTAGTTTCTCAGTTTTCCAACTTGCTTTAGAGGAGACGATGACCTTATTACAAAATCATCTCATTCAGAGAAGCATAGGGTCTTGTTTAATCTTCCAACCTTCAGGGTGTCAGGGTAGAGTCTAGAACACTACCTAGTACTCAGCTTACATTTGTGGAGTTGGAATAAAAAATTAGGGAGGCTGAGCTAAACATACTTGTCAGGATGAACTGCCACATTAAGGGACGGGTCGAACTATGAGACTCTAAAACAGCAGTTCTCTCTGGATGATGGTAGGAATGATCACAGAAATCTCCCTCTGACATCTGTTAGAGCATCTTGATGTTTGCTATACTACTGAGTCCCTTTTAGGCGGTCTCAAAAAGGACTTCATTTTCTAATTTTAGTGCTGGTGCTTCTCCCAAATTACTGGTTTATTCTTGAGTTTTTAACTTTTAGGCTCTACGAATTATGCAAGTCAGCCATTCTCAAAGGTGTATAATTGGCATTTCAGGCAGGACAATTATTTAGGACTGAAGCATTGCAGGATAATTATCCTTCCTGACCCTAAACCACAAAATGTGAGAAGTAGCCCCAAGTTCTTGTGAAAAAGTGAATGCGATCTAATAGTTTAACCTTTCCCCCTCCAGATGGGCAGCATCTCAGGCTGATCATGTTTTCCTCTTTGCTTTGGCCATTAGGTGGCATAGCACCAAATCTGATTAAGTACAAATTTTTGCAATATCCTTACAAATGGATAATCTAATTTTCTTTATTTTTTAGTTGAATTTCTTTATCCTTTTTTGCTCCTCTTTATATATTATATGCATTTTGCAAACTCATTCAAACCTTTCTTTAATAACAAAACGGAGTCCAAGTAAAATAAAATAACAAAATATTTGGATAGTGTGTGTTGCTTGTAGATGCTTTAAAAAAAAATTCAACATCTGTGTCAGTCTCTTGCTTGAGCTTTTCTTTCCTAAGATGCTTCAGGAATAAAATTAGTTGCAGAAACACGTCTGATATCATTTGTCTATTGCACCTAGCAGTGCTGTGAGTGAGAGAGCCTTCTGTGTGCTGATAATCTCAGTCATTTGTAAAGTGATTTCTCAGAGATGATCTGTTGAGTATAAGCAGAAAAAATAAAAAAGGAAATTCCATAAAAGAAAGCAGCAGCAGCATATATCTGGCAAAACCCACTAGCCCAGCAGCAGAGGATGAATAAAGACACACAGTCTCACTCTTGAAACTGCAGGAGAGCATATTCTGGGTAGGATGTAACTCCCCAGACATCTGTTGGTGACATCTACAGTCAGACATGCATCATTGAAGGGATCTGTAAATTATATGGGGGACAGTTTAATGATCTACAAAGCAGCACATCCAGCCAGCACAGACAACATCTTCGAAATAGGGCAAGAGAATTAATTTAGATGGGAGAGGAGAGGGTGCTGAGGTGGGTGAGTGGAGAAAGGGCTCTATGGGAGCCCTTTATGGGAAGGACTCCTTGGAGACAATAACCTTAAAGCGAGAGTAAGATAGAGTGAAGAGGATGGTGCTGCTTTGTGTATTTCAGGGAGGATTAAGCAAGAGACAGGAGGCTAGCACAACCTGGGGAACAGAGAAGAAAATGGTCCTTTTAAAAAGGAGGGAGATAAAAAAGGAAACTGGATTCCAAAGAACAAAGGCAAGTTCTTCCCTCTGTGCCCCATTTATTTAAGAAGACTAGGCAGGAATAGTAGAATTCTAAATGCTTTCTGAAAAATATTCTAAGACATCAGCTTTCAAATTTTTATTGTATAAAAACATTTTTGTTTTTAAAATAAATTTATGCAAAGTTCCACTAGAATGTGAACTCCATGATGACACGGGTTTTTGTCCCATTGTTAACTGTTATATCCCCAGAGTCTGTCACATAGCAGGCACTCAATAAATATTTGTTGAATGAATGAATGAGTAGGTATGCCTTTGGGCTGGGAAAGATCTTTACCTCTCTAGCAGAGACCAGAGCTCCTTAGGGAAAGCACTTTATTTTAGGGAAATACCTTGCTAAATCACCTTCAGGGAGAAGGCAACCAAGAAACAGCTAAAGGCTTTTTGTAAGTAATAAACTTGAATTTGATGGTGGGGATGGGTTGCAAAGAGAAGGGAGGAAGAAGGATGGAGAGGCTGAGTAACAAGGCTTGTCATGAATAGTTATGACTAATTCTCTTAAATTACGTCCTGTGAGGTACACAGGAAACTCCTTACCATTATTCCCAATTCTACAGTAAAAAATATAGCCTAGACATCTCCTTTATGTGTGAGATATGGAAGGGCAGTGCTATGGTTTTTTTATTCCCACCAAAATGCATGCTGAAATTTGATTCCCCAGTGTGGCAGTGTTGGGAAAGTGAAGCCTGGTGGAAGCTGTTTGGGTCATGGGGTTGGATCCCTTATGAATAGGTTGGTGCCCTTCTGGTGGTTGTGAATGAGCTCGCTCTCTGACAAGACTGGATTATTTTTTGCAGGAATGGATTATTTCCTGCTAGAGTAGGTCATTATAAAGCCAAGATGCCCCTCCAGTCTTCCCTCTTCACACGTCTGCTTCCCCTTTGAAATTCTCCACCATGTTATGATGCAGCATGAAAAATCTTGCCAGAAGGCAGGGCCATGCCCCTGGACTTCCTAGCCTGCAGAACTGTGAGCTAAATAAGCCTCTTTTCTCACAAATTACTCAGGCTCAGGTATTCTGTTATAGCAACACAAAACAGACTAAGACCAGGTATCAACAAGAAAGCGGTCAAGTCCTTTGTTTGGGTCAATGCCAAGAAGAAGATAAAAAACAAAAGGAACAAAGAAGCCATATGACTCAGATTGACAGATGTAGTAAAAACAAAGTATGAGATAGAGATGACTACCAGAAGGTAAGCCTCTAAGGAATTGAAAAAAAATCTTGGTGAGGGTCGGGGGAGCAGGTTGTACTTCTCCTTGGTTGTAGAATAGGGGTTTGGTTTGCTCTTATCTGGATATTAAAGGACATCTGCTATCAGGGGTACATGAAAAGCAGATGAAACGGAGCTGCTGGGAATGAAGAGAGACACCCAGAACACTCCTCCTTTCACTCGTGCCCCTTCTTACTGTACCCCACCTGCCTTTGAAGCTTTTACTTGCTGAGAACAGAGAAATGAAAGGAAGTTCAGGAGAGTCATGGGTGGGAGGAGGAGAAGAGCTGAGGAATGAGGCACTGGGGATTTGGATTCAAACCCATGGTATAGTAGGGATATTCCTGAGATAGCCATATCCCCAGTTTCCAACATCATGGATGCGTCTCCTTTTCTTACCTATACAACAGGGATAAAAACACCTGCCCTCCAGAGTACTGGAAAGATTCATATGCATTTATATTAAGGGAGAGCCACAAAACTTGAGATTTTGAGTGTCTAGACTCCTTCACGGCTAAGACCCCCTCCTGCACACCAACTTAGGTGGGGCATAAAAATTCGTGCTTCAGGCAAAAAACAAGTAACTCCCCACCCCCTGAAATCCATTGAGGTCACTTTTAAATTGTCAAAGCAGGAAATATTGCATCCTTAACTGCTAAATTGTACCTAAAAATAATTCTTAGCAACAATAACAAAAATCCTTAGCTGCAAAAGGGGTCCATAGTGGGTTCAACTCTTGTTAGCTGGCTGTTGAAGATGATATCCCTGAATGTGGAAAACTGAATGTCCCAGAATGGTACTCCCTTAAGAGTTCTCTTTCGTAGTTCCTCCACACACATACCATTTATTTTGGGCCAGAGACTGCCTGCAATGAGTCTGGGACAAATGGGAAGATATGTGAACTGAGTATATTCAAATAGGCCCTGGAAGGATGCCTGAATCCTTTACATGAGAGGCAAGCCTGAAGAAGTAGATGTCTTAGTCTGTTTTCTGTTGCTTATAACAGAATACCTAAAACTGGGCTATATAATTTATTTGTCACAGTTATGGAGGCTGAAAAGTCCAAGACTGAGGGGCTGCATCTGATGAGGGCCTTCTTGCTGGTGGAGACTCTGAGAGTTTTGAGGAGGTGCAAAGCAGCACATGGTGAGGGAGCTGAGTGTGCTAGCTCAGATCTCTCTTCCTCTTCTTATAAACCCTTCAGTGCCACTCCCATGATAACCCATTAATCCATTAACCCATTAATTCATTAATCCATAAGTAAATTAGTCCATTCACAAGGACAGAGCCCACATGACTCAATCACCTCTTAAAGGCCCCATCTCCCAATACTGCCATGTTGGGAGTTAGGTTTCAACATGACTTTCGGAGGAGACATTCAAACCATAGCAGTGGGGCATAAGGCCTGATGTAGAGGAAGAAGACCATGGGGCTATTGGCTGTGAGGGAGCGCCCTCTCCTCTGCTCCTCCCTATTGTCAGTTTTCAATGTACTGTCAACAACTCACACCTGAGCGTGAGAGGGAGTGAATCCTAAGCCATGCTTCCCACATCAGTGTTAATCTTCTCAAGCCAATGTGGCTAAGGTAGTTCACTTGCACCTCAGGCTACTCATTTCCCATTCCCTCCTTAAGGCAAAGGAGCTAAATAGCAGATAACGTGGCTGTGGGGCAGGAAGTGCATGAAACATCACGGTGGAGGAAGAAAAGTAGGGGCCAGGCAACCCAGTGGGATGGGGAGGTTAAAGGTAATTGAGAGAGGGTTGAGGGCCCTATTCTCACTTCCTGGCACCCAGTAGGAAGGGCCAATGAGAAAGCTCAAAGTCATTCACTCCTTACACGATTGACTCATTCACCCACTCTTCTTAGGTCCATGAACCAGGCCCTTTATAGATACTTGACACATGAAATTAAAAAAAATTGTGTTTCCTCTTGGCAACTTCATAAATGAGAGGCAAACATTCTCTAAATGGAATGTAGTCCTGCAATACGCCAAGTACAATTTATTCATTTATTGATCACCTACTATGTGGCAGACACAGTGCTGGGCTTGGGGAATGTGCACTCAAAAAGTGTTATCAGAGCCCATGAAAAGGTGAGGCATCCAATGCCTCCCCTTAGAGTCTTCCCTGAGCGCCTATTCTAGGCTGTGTTAAAGGCTGGAACCCCTTTTTCAGAGTGTTATTCTTCTCCTACCACCAAAGAGCCTGACAGGACAGTGTAGCTGTGGGGTGGTGGCGGCACTCGGGGGTCCTGGCCAGACAAGCACTAGGAGACGCCAGCATTCTGAACTCACTGACCTGAAGGTGAGTTTTCAGGGGGATCCGGGTAAGCAATTGCCATATTCTTATTCCAAACTTACCAGGAGACCTGGACAAATTTGAGTTGGTGTGGGGGTTAGAGGGTGGGGATGGTGATGGTTATTGTGAAAACTAGATTTGCTATATGATGTAAATATCTTTGTGATTAAAGAAGCCATTTAATTTAATCTCCACTTAAAATATTATAGGTTGGCATTTTCCAAATTGGGTCTGAAGAACACTTGTATCTTCACAGAAATTTGTTTCAAAAGTATTCTGTTTTATGATAATTTTTGTTTTGTCAGTTAAACCAAACCAGCTTTTTTTTTTTTTTCATTTCTTAAGAGATGGTCTTGCTCTGTCATCTAGGCTGGCCTCAAACACCTGGGCTCAAGTGATGTTCCTGCCTCAGCTACCCAAGTAGCTAGGACTACAGATGTGTTCCACTATGCCTAGCTGATTATTTTAATTTAGTTTTGTGGAGATGGGGTCTCATTCTGTTGACCAGGTGGGTCTCAAACTTCTGGCCTCAAGTGATCCTCCTGCCTCAGCCTCCCAAAGTATTGGAATTATAGGCATGAGCCACTGCACCTGGCATCAATTCCTTTTAATTACAGTACTGCTCAGTGTCTCCACTTTGATAAAGTGCACCGTGAATCTCCAAGGATACAGAGATTTTCAAACTTGCTTATGTAGAACCTAGACTAATTTTCAGAAAAATAAAGTTGTGAAATGTAGGTCTGATATTTCAGCAAGTTTTGGGATGCCATTGTTTATAATTTTGTGTGTCCCTGAATTTTCCTGGAAAGAAACATTTATTAGGTGCTTAGCAGATGTGCCAAAAAAAAAAATTACTGAGGTCTTTGTGGAAACTTGAAAAGCAGTTATCGAAGGGCTTTTCGTGGTCTAAGAACTATAACTATGAGAAGAGCAGTTATCTGGAGAATGAGTTAGGTCTTGAGCTATAGGGAACACCCAGAGACTGGGTATTGGGGAACCTGCCCCCGACAGTCATGTAGGTTCTTTTCTATTTTCACTAAGCATCAGCCGTTTAGAGAAATAAAGGGACAGAGTACAAAAGAGAGAAATTTTAAAGCTGGGTGTCCGGGGGAGACATCACATGTCAGTAGGTTCCGTGATGCCCCACAACCCACAAAACCAGCAAGTTTTTATTAGTGATTTTCAAAGGGGAGGGAGTGTACGAATAGGGTGTGGGTCACAGAGATCACATGCTTTACAAGGTAATAGAATATCACAAGGCAAATGGAGGCAGGGCGAGATCACAGGACCACAGGACCAGGGCGAAATTAAAATTGCTAATGAAGTTTCGGGCACGCATTGTCATTGATAACATCTTACCAGGAGACAGGGTTTGAGAGCAGACAACTGGTCTGACCAAAAATTTATTAGGTGGGAATTTCCTGGTCCTAATAAGCCTGGGAGTGCTATGGGAGACTGAGGCTTCTTTCATCCCTACAGATCGACCATAAAAGATGGCCGCACCCAAGGGGGCCATTTTAGAGGCCCACCCTCAGGGACTCATTCTCTTTCTAAGGAATGTTCCTTGCTGAGAAAAAGAATTCAGCGATATTTCTCCCATTTGCTGTTGAAAGAAGAGAAATATGGCTCTGTTCCACCTGGCTCACCGGCGGCCAGAGTTTAAGGTTATCTCTCTTGTTCCCTGAACATTGCTGTTACCCTGTTCTTTTTTGAAGGTGCCCAGATTTCATATTGTTCAAACACACATGCTCTACAAACAATTTGTGCAGTTAACGCAATCATCACAGGGTCCTGAGGTAACATACATCCTCCTCAGCTTATGAAAACGACAGGATTAAGAGATTAAAGTAAAGACAGGCCTAGGAAATCACAAGGGTATTGATTGGGGAAGTGATAAGTGTCCATGAAATCTTCACAATTTATGTTCACAGATTACAGTAAAGACAGGCGTAAGAAATTATAAAAGTATTAATTTGGGGATCTAATAAATGTCCATGAAATCTTCACAATTTATGTTCTTCCGCCATGGTTTCAGCTGGTCCCTCCGTTTGGGGTCCCTGACTTCCCGCAACAACTCGGCGACTATTCTTCAGCTCCCTTTTATGACAGTCAACCCAGGCCCATGGATACCCTGCCTTTACCAGGAATCCACACAGTAGACTGTGTCTGTTCACCCACTGCCGGCTGCTCTGACAGAAGCCATAGATGTCCGTCCTTTCTAATCCTCACATGATGAGGAAGGCTCCAGAAGTGCAGGCAGGCAGCCATTGATATGGATCTCCCGCTGTAGCCCGCTGCAAGAGCAGAGCCATTTAGCAGGAGGCTGCTTCTCCAGCTGGCCTGGATGTATCCTCAGGTGGTGAAAGACCCATGCTAATAGACCCAGATGTACCAGGGCTGGGAGCACGGGTGAATCCTAGATAGGCCTCTGTGCTCATTGCCGGAGTGGCTTAGGATTCTCCAACAGTCCAACAGTGACTCCTGAGCCGTCTTGAACTCAGAGATTACACATTTTAGAACTGATAGACCTCTGGAAGGCATTAATACCACCTTCTATGTTTTACAGGCATGTTGTTTTTTACAGGGATTAAGTAACTTGCCTAACTCCTTTAGGCCTCTGTTTTCTATAAAACAAAAAGTTTAGCGTCAGGAAAAAGAGAAACAAATATTAAGCACCTATATTTTACCACAGGTTATTTTTCATATGATCTCAAATATCACAAGGACACTATATAATTTAGATATGATTGATTGCTCTCATCTTCCAGAGGAGGAACCCAAAACTGAGATTGTCTTTTGTCCAAATTTCCATAGTTAGTAAGTGATGGACACAGAATTGAATGCCAATTGTGTTTGATACTTCACCTCCACCTCTTGTCATGCTACCATTCCACCAAGAAAAGATTTGTTTCAGAAGTTCTTGACTTGATGTTTTCTTAAGGAGAATCTTTGGAGAAGGGCAAATTCAGCTGCAACACATGAAGCAGGGGCAGCTGTCCTGACCTTTGGCTTTTTGGTGGCCCTGCCCACTGTGGATGAGATGAACTGAGTTATCTGAGAAAAGGGGATTACTTTGTTCCAAGTACTTTACAAGCAGGAACTCATGTAATCTTCCTCTCAAGGGAACTGTGAAGTAGATACTTATGCTAACCTTATAGGTGTGGAAACTGAGGTGCAGAGAGGTTGTGTCAGAACTGACATTTCAACAGAGGTGTTGTTCCTTTAGTGTCCTTGCTCCTAACTGCCTTTGTTACACCTGAGCATCTCTGGACTCATGCAATGCTTTGTGTTGCTTGGGATGGGGGCCCTCAGGGCTGACTACAATAGAAGTCAGATTGGCAGGAGGAAGAAGCATTGGGTCTCTCTTGTCAAGAGCTAATTATTCCAGATACGTGGGCCAGCTCAGAGGTGCAGAGCAAGAAAGGAAACCATCCAAACTTCTGAGGAAGAGAGGAGATTGCATCTGCCCAGCCAGACATGATGTTCACTTAAAGCCTTCATTGTGTTAGAGCCTTAATGGGGGGGGGGGGGCGGGTGGGATATCCAGGAGGGCACAAGGGAGAGGGGAAGCAGGTTTACTTCCTGCAACAATGGAAGTGTTCAGGATGGGCTTTGTCCCAGTGGCACCAAGGAACATTGCAAGTCTTCCAAAAGGAACACATACTATAGGGTAAAGTTAGTGCTAGCTACTAGTGCTGGCTACTACAAAAAGCATCATTCATGTAAACATGTAGTGCATGGTGATTCAGGACTGCTATTCACATGAAGCACAGTGTGAAGGTGCCCATGGAATTTTGCTGGCTTCCTAATTTTTCACTAGAAAGCATGTGAAGAATCCTTCTCTGATGGATGCAGTGGTTCCTGCCTGTAATCTTAACGCTTTTGGGGGGCCGAGGTGGGAGGATTGCTTGATTCCAGGAGTTTGAGACCAGCCCTGGAAACATAGTAAGACCCAGTCTCTACAAAAAATTTAAAAAATAGCCAGGTGTGGTGCACACCTGTGGTCCCAGTTACTCAGGAGGCTGAGGTGAGCAGCTTGCTTGAACCCAGGAGGTGAAGGCTACAGTAGCCATAATCACATCACTGAAGGCCAGCCTGGGCAACAGAGTGAGATCCTGTCTCACCCCCACCTCCACCAAAAAGAAAAGGATTCTTCTCTCTCTGTCTCCTCCATCCAGGTCTTGGTTAATTTTATTGCTGACTATCCTTCCAGGTTAACCTCAGAACAAACCAGTAGTGAAGAAACATAAAAGTACACATGAGTTTTGAAATGGGTTAGGTATTGGGCTACAAGAAACACCCAGTGATAGCACAGGTGCAGGCTCCAGTGGATTGAGGACAATTCATGAATTTACCTATTCCATTTATCTACCTATTTATTCCACCCTGATTTATTTCTTCTCTCAGGGAACATTAACTGACATTTACCAAGTGCCGCTCTGCCAAGCATTGGGAAGAATAAAACACCATGGTTCCTGTTCTCAAGGTTAGGAAAAAAAAGATTCAAAACCAACCCTGCAGAATAGAAAGGCACACATGGCAGTGGAAAAATGTACTAACTTCAGTGCAGACACCTAGGAGGGCGTGACGAGGGGCAGAGAGTGGGAAGAGAATGGGTGAGAACATTCCAGCAGAAGGAGTTCATTCAGGGAGCCAGGGGGAAGCAGCCAGATGGCAGATTCTAAACAAATTCAGCCGATGGTTTCCATTTTATACAGGCTGGTGCCCAAATATGAAATGAGATAATGCTCATGATAAGGTTTCATAAGTGGAAAATAAGCACCTCCCCAGTTGTAGATATTAGAGGTTATTTCTGGGCTGTACTGAGGTAAATGGGCTTTTAACGCAGGCAGCAGGGCTATGGTTAGCTCTGAGGTGCCAGTGGCCAGCAAAGCTGCTAGAAATCCTGAAAAAATTTCTGCCAGAGAATTCCTGAAAAAATTACTTGTGAGCCAACAATGACCACTTTCCTTTATTGGGCAATGTGCTAGGCACTTGGTCTTCAGTCCTCATGTATAGCCTGGAATAGGTCTGATTATTCTCATGTTATAGACAAGGAAACTTCGGCTGCTGGGAATAACTCATTTGCCAGGGTCACATAGGTAGGACATGCCAAAACAAAGATTCAAACCATGTTCGCCCAACCCCAGTGGAATCTTTCTCCTTTGGGGATGTCAGTTTTATTTGCTTATAAGTAAAACCCTGAGTAAGCTGGAAGCAAGCTTGGTCAGAGAATAATAGTATTACAGCATTATTTCTCTTTTTGGGGCTGCCTTTTCCTATCTGTACAGAGAAAATGTAACATGTTAGCAATGTTGTCTTTTGTTTATGGAGTTATTTAAAAAATGATTTGGTAGCCAGGCACGGTGGCTCACACCTGTATTCCCAGCACTTTGGGAGGCCGAGGCAGGCGGATCACGAGGTCAGGAGATCAAGACCATCCTGACTAACATGGTGAAATGCTGTCTCTACTAAAAATACAAAAACTAGCCAGGCGTGGTGGCGGGCGCCTGTAGTCCCGGCTACTCGGGAGGCTGAGGCAGGAGAATGGCGTGAATCTGGGAGGCAGAGCTTGCAGTGAGCCGAGATCGTGCCACTGCACTCCAGTCTGAGTGACAGAGCGAGACTCAGTCTCAAAAAAAAAAAAAAAAAAAAAAAAGATTTGGTGTTTTCTACAAATTTTCAAAATGGCCAGGCTTTACTTTACCAGTAGAAGATAGTAAACTTTATAGAAAAATGAAAATACAGTTATGATAGTACTGTGGTTTAAATGCATCCCCCAAAATTCACGTGTTGGAAACTTAATCCCCAATTCAGCAGTGTTGGGTGGTGGGGCCTACCAGGTGGTGATTGGGTCATGAGGGCGGCGCCCTCATGAATGGATGAGTGTTGTTATTGTAGGAGTGGGTTAGTTTTGGAGAGAGTGGGCTGTTATAAAGCAAGTCTGACCCTGGCACTCTTCTTTTTACACATGCTTGCTGGCCTATCCTCCCTTTTGCACTTCTACCATGGCATAATGCAGCCTGAAGGCCCTCACTAGATGTCAGCCTGTTGACACTGGACTTCCCAGCCTCCACAACCATGAGCTAAATACATTTCAGTTTTTTTTAAATTATGAAGTCTGTCAATTATTCTAGGTGAAGTAACTCAGGAATGGAAAACCAGACATTGTATGTTCTCAGTCATATGTGGTTGCTAAGCTATGAGAATGCAAAGGCATAAGGATGATACATTGGGCCGGGTGCAGTGGCTCGTGCCTGTAATCCCAGCACTTTACTGCCCGGGCTGAGGCGGGCAGATCACGAGGTCAAGAGATCGAGACCATCCTGGCCAATATGGTGAAACCCCGTCTCTACTAAAAATACAAAAATTAGCCGGGTGTGGTGGCAGGTGCCTGTAGTCCCAGGTACTCGAGAGGCTGAGGCAGGAGAATCGCTTGAACCCGGGAGGTGGAGGTTGCAGTGAGCTGAGATTACGCCACTGCACTCCAGCCTGGGCAACAGGGTGAGACTCTGTCTTTAAAAAAAAAAAAAAAAAAAAAAAGAAAGAATGATACGTTGGACTTTGGGGACTCGGAGGAAAGGGTGAGGGGTGGTGAGGAATAAAGGACTACACATTGGGTACAGTGTACACTCTTCCGGTGATAGGTGCACCAAAAGCTCAGCAATCACTGCTAAAGAACTTATTCATGTAGCCAAACACCACCTGTTCTCCACAAACCTATTGAAATAATAAAAGTAAAAAAATAAAAGCAATGGAGATGGAAAAAAGGAAATTACGAAGTCTGTGGTATTCTGTTATAGCAGAACAAAATGAACTAAGACAGTGTTTTAATCCTGAGCTATGTCATATGGATTTCTATAAAATGAAATTGAAAATTGATATCTAATTGTATTTAGCTACCCAGAAACCAAGATCCCTAGTGTTACAAAAGGTTCTCTACACCTCACTTTAAAAAGTTATTATTTCCCATTAACTTTCTTAATTAGTAGTTTTCTTTTGGATGACTGGCTTCTTAGTCCACTGTTGCTGCTGTATCAGAATACCTGAGACTGGGTAATTCATAATAAACAGAAATTTATTGGCTCCAAGTTCTAGAGTCTTTGAAGTCCAAGATTGAGATGCCAGTATTTGGCAATGGATTTCTTGCTGCATTATTCCATAGCAGGAAGTAGAAGGGCAAGAGAGGGCAAGAAGGGCCAAACCAGCCCTTTTAAAATGGCACTAAGCTCACTAATGAAGTTGGAGCCCTCGTGGTCTAATTGCCTCTTAAAGGCCTCACCTTTTATTTATTTATTTGTTTGTTTTTTGAGACAGGGTCTCACTCTGTCACACAGGCTGGAGTGCAGTGGCACAATCATGGCTCACTGCAGCCTCAACCTCTGAGGCTCAGGTGACCTCCAACCTCAGCCTCCTGGGTAGCTGGGACTACGGATGTATGCCACCCAGCTAATTTTCATATTTTTGGCAGAAATGGGGCTTTGCCATGTTGCCCAGGCTGGTCTCAAACTCCTGGGCTCAAGCAGTCCTCCCACCTTGGTCTCCCAAAGTGCTAGGGTTATAGGCATGAGCCACTGTGCCCTGCTAGGTCTTACCTCTTAATACTGTTACAATGGCAATTAAATTTTAACGCAAGTTTTGGAGGGGCCAAACATTCAAATCATAGCTATTGGGGACTGTTTGAATCTGAAGTCTCTCTCCAGAGGCTTGAGATGATTAAGACTTGAGATGACTACTGGGGACTATTTGGATCTCAAGTCTCTCTCCAGAGACTTGAGATCATTAAGTTTCAGTTGATGTCTCTGACTCTGTCCCAAACAGTAGGCATATAACTCATTCATTCTTTGAGGAGCTTCCAAGGGGTTTTCTTCAACCACTGCTCATCTCCTATCTTGGCTGGGCAGGGTAGGGCGAGTGTGATAAATATATTAAAAACAAACTAATTTTTTTTTGGTTAATAAAATTTAATCCTCCCACACAGCAGTATGATTAAAAAGAATTTTCTCTAGGGCTGGGGTGATGTGATTTTATCAAAATGGTTATAGTAATATCTGTGTGCATTAATTTTCTATTGCTGATGCAACAAATTACCACAAATTGTGTGGCTTAAAATAACATAATCTTTTAATCTTACAATTCTGGAAGTCAGAAATCTAAAATGGGTCTCACTGGGCTAAAATCAAGGTATCAGCAGGGCGTCAATTTTTCCTGGAGGCTCTAGGGGAGAATCTGTTTTCATGTCTTTTCCAATTCTTGGAAACAATTCACATTCCTTGGCTTATGGTTCCTTCCTCCATCTTGGAAGCCAGCAATGTTGCATCTCTCTTACTATTCTTCCCAGGTTTCATTTCCCTCTGACTCTCTCCTTCTGTCTCCCTCTTCCATGTTTAATAGTCCCTTTAACCACCCAGATAATCCAGCATACTCTCCCCTTCTCAGAGCCTTTAACTTAATGTTTTAGTTAGGGCTTTCCAGAGAGACACAATCTGTAGCATGGATGGATGGATGGATGGATGGATGGATGGATAGATAGACATTAGATAGATAGATAGATAGACAGATAGATAGATAGATAAGGTAGATAGATAGATAGATAGATAGATAGATAGATAGATAGATAGATAGATAAATGAGAGGAGATTCATTAGGGAATTGGCTTACAAGATAATGGAGGCTGAGAACACCCGTGACAGACCATCTGCAAGCTGGCGAACCAGAAAAGCCAATAGCGTGGCTTCATGGTGAAATTATTAGTCAGAGGCCAAAGGCTGAAAGGCCCATGGGCTGCTGGTATGAGTCCCAGAGCCCAAAGTCAGAGAATTTAGAGTGCTGACGTCTGAGGACAGGAGAAGAGTGTCCTGGTTCCAGAAGAGACAGCAGGAACTTGCCCTTCTTATAGCGTTTTGTTCCATCCAGACCCCCAGTTGTTGGATGGCACCCACCCATGTTGAGGGTGGATCTTCCTCACTTAGTCCACTGACCCACATGCCAGTCTCCTCTGAAAACACCCTCAAAGATAAACCTGGGGCAGCCCAATCATTCTAATCAAATGCCAAACCACCTGTGTTTCTCTTTGAACAGAGGAGGGATAGGCTCAGTGCTTACTGAAGCATTGAGAATAATTAATGCTTTACCAGCTATCTGGGTATCCCTTAATCTGGTCAAGTTAACAGCCAAAATTGATAATCACACATATTAATTTAATCATTTGGCAAAGACTCTTTTCCCATGTGATGTAACATATCACCGTTCCGGATGTTAGGACTTGGACATCTTTGGGAGTCATTATTCTCCCTACCACATGGGGTGTGTGTAGGGGGTTGGGAGAGGAGTTTAGGGAGAGGAAATCTATAATGCAAAAAGGTTTTAAGGTAAGGACACTATTGATTTATTCTCAGCACTCACCTTGCTCTTCCTAGTTAGGTCTTAAGGATATTTTTAGACAGCCCCCTTTTCTTAGCTGTTTACACACAGACTCCATGAGCTAAGGGACCATGCCAGTGTCATGGAAAACACTGTTTCTGTATGGTGATGTCAAGCCAGTGAGCCCACTCGTTTTAGAAAAACCAGAGGCTCAGGGGATGGGAACCATTATTTATTGAGGGTTTGCTATGTGCCAGGTCATTTCCATATATTATTTTATTTAGTTGTCATAACAAACTGATAAATTGGGTACTTTTGCTCTCATTTTACAGATGAGGAAGAAAGAAATTTAGAGATGTTAAGGAAACTGGCCTAGTTAATAAAAGTCAGTAACCGGCAGATCTGGGATTCAAACTCTACTCAGTCTGGTTTAAAATCACCTCTCTTTCTGTACTTATAAACATGCTTCTTTCCAGAGGCCCAATGACACGCCACTAGTTTAAGGCAGGAGCTTAATCCTAACACCAGTCCTAACACCAGTGCCTTTTCCTTTCTGCAGTACTAATGAATCTGGTATGATCAGAAGGATTGGGACCACAGATACAGAATTAAGTCAACTATAGAAAAAAAAGGGCACCAGGACTTACAATTTGACTGAAAACTATAAAGAGGTAGATTTTAACTCAGGACCTTGATGTTTCTAGAGATTGAGTGTTTCTCTTGTTTTTTGGAGTGTATTTGTTCCTAAATCTCTAAGCCTTAAAAAATATTTTTTAATCTTATGATGTATTTATCACTAATTGCAATTGGGATCAAACCAGTCTGGCTGTGTATACTGCTGAACAAGGGACTTTGGAAAATTTCTAGGCATTGGGTATAAGCTGAAATAGTAGACCTCAGAAGACCCACAACCAATTTAAAAACAGATTGATAGTGCCTCTCATTTACACGAGCTGAAAGTGCTGAAGTCTCTGATTCTCTGAAATGATTAAGCTTTCAGTAACCAAAGGCAAATACAAGAATCTTTTAATTGTGCAAAGAGAATAATACTGGCTCTGCATGCTCATTCACTTTAGGCAAGTGTGTGTGTGTGTGTGTGTGTGTGTGTACATGCTGGAGTTTTATTATTGTTTTTTTCTTTTTGGTTTCCTTTCTTTCTACCCTTGGGGACTATTTCATGCTCAATGGGCATGGCAGGAGCAAATAAAAAGAGTAAAAAGAACTACAAGTTTGCTTGCAACTCATTACCTCCAGAGGTTGCTTCTACTGTCTAGGTATGGTAGATGAATCATCTCCAGGGTATCAGAAAGCCCTCACTGAATGCACGGCTCTAGAAAATCTGATCCCAACCTCTCCCCTGAACCTAAGAACTGCACAGTTGGATTAGGAATCCCACAGCATTTATAATGCTTGATGGCAGAGCATGTAAGGATTAGAAAGGTGAAGAAGAGAACCCTTGGGACAGTTACCCAAGAGGTAGCAGTAGGGCAGGAAACACAACATAGAAAGTGCAAGCCCCAGTTGGTAACTGAGAGAGGAAAAAAAAATTGTGAAGTGCAGGCCCAGACACTCTACTTCCTGAAATGATTGGCAAAGTCTTGGCAGGACTGTCTGCCTTCATTGTGTAGCCTTTGGAGTTCTTGAGTATTCCCAGAAGAGCAGAGGCTTAGCAGGAAGGACACATCAGAGCAGAGCTGGTTGCAACTAGAGGTCTCACACTCTACACCATTTTATTTTCAAGCCATTAGTCTTGAGCTTCCCTTATGCTTTTCATTATGAACTACCCTAGCAAATACTATGGTTTAAACGTGTCTCCCCAAAGGCATGCTTTGGAAGCTTAATCCCCAAGGCAACAGTGTTGGGAGGTGGGGCCTAATGAGAGATGATCAGGCCATGAGGGCAGTGAAATAATTAATACTGTTATCACAGGAATGGGTTTGATATGAAAGGATGAGTTCAGAATCCTCTTGCTCTCTCTCACTCTCTGCCCTTCTACCATGGGATTATATATAAAGAATGGCCTCACCAGATGCCAGACCCTTGATCTTGGGTTTTCCAGCCTCCAGAACTGTGAGCAGATAAATTTCTGTTCATTATCAGTTACCTGGTCTGTAGTATTCTGCCATAGCAGCACAAGTGGACTAAGACAATAAACAATCGGAGCTGGGCTCAACTTGCTTCACAAAATGGAAGAATGATGTGGCAGATTAAGTATGACCATGAATTCTTTGACACACTTTCTATTCCTTTTAACCTGAATGTGTTCTATGACTGCATTGATCAGTAGAATATGACAAAAGTGATGTCGGGCCATTTTCTAGGACCAACTCTAAAGATCTAAGCAACTTCCACTTGCTGTTTCTTAGTTTCCACTCTCCATACTGTGAGGAAATCCAAGCAGCCTCTTAGATAGACTCGTGTGGAAAGGAACTGAGGCCCTCGCTGACAGCTACACCTGAGCTCTCAGACAATGTGAGTGAATCAACTTGGAAGTGGATCCTCCTGCCTCAGATGAGCTGCTCCAGATGATGCCATGTATACAGATATGAGCTATGTCCTGTGTGAGTTCTTCCCAAACTGCAGATTCACAAGGAAAACTAAGAACTGGTGTTTTAAGCCGCTAACTTGGGGGTAGCTTATTGTGGAACAATACAGCACTAGAACAAAGGAGATTGGGCAAAATCAGGGCTGGAAACTACACTGTTTAATGCCACCCCATGGCAAAACTTTTTATCTCACTGAGCCCAGAAATCTTATTAGCAGTACTCTAGGCAGTCATTACCAGTGCATCAAAGATAATGTGTAAAATGAAACCATTTGTCATCTCTCAGCTAAGTGGTAAGTGATTAAGGATGATGGCGTAGATATTAGACACGCTAAACCCTGAACTTTGGTCACATTTCATTCCAGAGAGGTAGAATAACAACTCATGATATGGTTTGGCTCTGTGTTCCCAACCCAAATCTCACCTTGAATTGTAATAATCTCCATGTGTAATGGGAAGGACCTTGTAGGAGGTAATTGAATCATGGGGGTGGATTTTTCCTGTGCTGTTCTCATGATGGTGAATAGGTTTCAGGAGATCTCATGGTTTTATAAAGGGGATTTTCCACACACATGCCTCTTGCCTGCTGCCATGTAAGATGTATCTTTGCTCCTCCTTCACATTCCGCCAGGACTGTGAGGCCTCCCCAGCCATGTGTAATTGTGCGTCAGTTAAACCTCTTTTTCTTTATAAATCATCCAGTCTTGGGTATTTCTTTATTAGAATTGTGAGAATGGACTAATACAGCCCCCATCCAGGAACCTGCTTGGAATCTGATTGTGTCATGAAACTAGAAGTTGTCACTTCTGCCTTTTTCATGGGCCACTAAGTGGTGGTCACTATGGACTTAGTCTAGGTACCCTCCTGGTCAAAGATGAATGCAGTTACCCTTCTCCTCCCTTCACCACCTGAAGCAGATTAATAGAGGTACAACTTGTTACATACAGTGACTCTACCACAAGTAATTGCCTGTATTCTTATCAGTCTGCTAGGGATATCCTGCCCCTGCATCACCCCACACAGTGCCTGGCATGTGTTGCTATTGAACACATTTGTTGAATGGATGTAGCCAAGGGATATCTATTCCCAGTACCCAGCTCCTAGCACAGAGCCTGGCACACAGTGGGTGCTAAACAAATGCTCATTAAATTGATTTTGATGGCATTATTTCTAAAATAGCAGCTTGATGAACAAGTGGAGTCTCACCCTCCCTAAGAAACATCAACTCCAAACAGAGGCATAATAGAGCCAGAGCTCAAAGTAAGAATTATTCACAAATTCCAAGTGCCTCAATCCATGGGTTTTAATGAAAGTCATTCTGCAATTGAGAATGTTGTAGTAATTACAGACAAGCTAATATCTCTGCCATATGGTTTGAAAGCAGGTCTGAATTCTGAAAGCTACTATCAGCAGTTTTATTTTCTGCTTCTGCTTCTCTGCACCCCACTCCCTGCCTGTCTTTGTCTCTCTCTTTGCTTTTATCTCTTTATTTCAACCTCATATTCCCTCTCTTCCACACCATTCTCCCTCATTGGTCCTCCTTTACCAACCCCAAGCCACATTTGTAAAGCATTTGGTATGAAGCATCCAGTGGTTCTAAGAAGTAATTGCGGTGCCCAGAACGGGTCATGACATACACCTGACCCAGTGCCAAGAAAGAGAACCAAGGATGCTCTGACCCCCCGTGAACTGACTGTGTCACTCTCTCCTCCAAGTGTGGTTGCATGACTGAAAGAAAAAGAATCCAGTTAATCTCTCTGCTACTGGATCACTCACGTGCAGCAGTTCACAACCCTGGCTGCACAGAGAATCACCTGGCGAGCTAATAAAAAGTACTGATGCCTGGGCCCCACTTCCCCAGAGATTAGATTCTGAATTAACTGGTTCAGAGTAGGGTCTGGACATCACATTTTATAAAAATCTCAAGATGATCCCAGTGCGGAGCCAAGGTTGAGAACCCTGCCCTGGATCATTGGCCTTGGATAAACAATAGTGAGATTTGGTCTCTCTCCTTTTATCTACCTGTTACACTTGGAAGTAAGATGGTACAAACAATTATTATTGAAGTAATGCCAAATTACAAGGTATCCACTCACCTAGATGCAACTGTTTAATAAAATAACTACACATCTGTTGAGCTCAAAGTGCATTCATGAATGCTTTGATAAAGTCTTGTAAAAACTCTGGAAAGTATGCTGGGCTGGAGCTAATATTCATATTTTGTAAATGGGAGCTTAGATACTAAGATCATATAGCAGGCATGTCTTCTCCCAGGTCAGTGCTCTTTCTACTGCATCATAATATTTTCTTTGCCCTGCTTTAGAATAGTTAAGAGACCAGGCTCCTAACTATCTAACAGTCAAGACTTCCCTCTAGCCTATCCTAAAATTCCCACTATAGGGGTAATTGCCTTGGGATAGGCAACAAAAGTGGGTGCCTTGTTTCTAACAGGCCATTGCTATTCTTCCCTAGAAAGGAAGAGCCTGGAGTCTTTCTTTAGCAAATTAGTTGATGAGATTAACTAATGATCCCATTGGAAGGTCAGAGAAGCCTGAGGCAACAATGAAAGGGGCGATGTCAGGAGCTCATAAGGAAGCACCAGCTACTTAGTTAGGCATAACAGACAGGAATAGAGTCTGGTACCAGAAGGGGTCCTAGAGTATGAAAATTTGGAGTGGGGATCCCATGTTTTTTGGAGACATGCTTGCTGATTTAGGATCAGGTGTTGAGAAGGAGCAAGGGGAAAAGACAACAACAACAACTGCCAATTGGTAGTAAAAAGCAAAACAAATAAAACCAGTTCAATTCATCCAAACCTGAGTTTCTTACCATCAGCCTGCTTGAACCTCAATATCCCTATCTGTAAATGAAGACAACTCCACCTTGCCTAATGTTTCATAATGTTGTTTTGGGAATCAAGTGAGATCATGATGTGTGTGTACTTTGGAAACAAGTGCTCTATCCCTGTTGAGCATTTTTATAGTGAAAGTCACGTGGTGTAGTAGAAAGACTAGTGAACTAAGTGTCAAAAAGCATGGCATCCTGTCCCACCTCTATCTCTTGCTAGCCATGAGACACCAGACACAGTGCTCAGCTGGTTCCTTTTCTGTGAAATGGGATAATAATTACAGTGTCATCCCCGAATACATGAAATATCATTGGGGAAGTTTGTCAGAAAGTACAATACAAACTATTAATTGCTACATAAATCTAAGGCAATATTAGGAATAAAACTCATATGCCTTTCCAGACATACCCTTTGGATGGAATATTTGTGGACTCCGAGCCCTTCAAAATGAGCTTTATAATGATCTTCTCATTGTCCATAGCAGTCTACTTTCATTCATAATGTGAACACATTGTCTTGTAGTCTTTGTGGCTGGCCTCCCAACATCTGTTCCAACTGAAATAATTCTCTCATGTTATTCATGGAGATCCCATTCCCTTTGACAGTGATTGGTCTAGGAATGGGCAGGTGACCCAAGTCCTGGCCAGTGAAGCATGTGGCAAAGTCTGGCTTAAGCTTCTGGGAAAGATGTCGTGTTTCAGTAAGGATACAGAGGCAGGCCAATCCCGTTCTACCTCTGGACATTGTGGAGCATGGCTATAATACCTGGAACTGCAGCAGCATCTTGAGTCCATGAGGGAAGCTGACTCTTACAACTGATATGTTGTGGGTGACAGAGGGATCTTGGAGAATCATTGAGCTGTTGAATCACCCATCCCTGGAACCATCTTAGGAGAGGTTTACTTCTAAATCTCTGGTTTCAAAGAAATATTTTTTTGTTTGAATCAATTGGAGAAGATTTTTAAAAATTGCTGCAGCTAAAGGTATCTTAACTGATATACCATGTAACTTGACCAGTTTATTACGTAATTCCTGATACTTACTTTATCTTATTAACGCTTTCTCTTTGTGAAAAAATAGCTCCCATCCTCCCTATTAAAAAGTGATGATTGTTAATGTCAGTAGATTGAGCAAACATGGAAAAGTTTAATGAAGAAAATGCAAATTGTACATAGCCTCCCTACTTAGAGAAAGTTATGACTATTATTTTGGTCATTTTTTTCCTTGGTGTTAGCATAGCTTTAATCTGAGTTTACTCGTTTGAAATGTTTGCAAAGAGGATGAGAAAGCTCATGAAGGAATTTGCTAGACTCATTCTGCTTCTATAAAGGATACTAAGAAGGGGATAAGGGTGGGTGGGGACAAACCTGGGGGACCTTGCTGAGAGGAAACACCTAAGAGTATGAGAGGCTTGGGAGGAGAAAGTAGTAGAGAAGTAGAGAGAAAATTCTCAGAGACAAATGTAGGCTTCAAGATTTTCCCAAAGGTTGGTTGTGTCTTTTGCTGGCTTTCCTCGTCATATAAAGGAAGATGTGCTTTTCCTTTTTCACTGCCTTCTTCTCTATGGGCTGAGTCCAGCAGAGACTAAATCTGACCCCTCTGTCTGGAGGAAGCGAACACTGGAGCCAGCTGGCGCCTTGCCTATTTTGAGTAGCTCATCTAAATGCATCTCAGTGATCTAATTAATCGAGGTGAGAAGTGCGCTTCGAGGAATCAGGCTGTCAAGCTTACAGGGATGCTCAGAATTCAGAGAATGGGAAGGATCACTAGACTTGGTTTATAGTTAAGGTTGCAAACTGATGGTGTATGTGACCCATATAGTCATTCTGTTTAGGCTACATAGTATTAAATAATTGGGAAATTTTGGATACCATGTAGATTTTAGATTTCTCTTTCTTTTTTTTAAATTAAGATATAACAATGTTGAGCTTTCACTTCAACATAGTAAAACGTTAGCTGGAGGTGAATTGGCTGTTCCTTAATCCATGACATAGGCTCTTGTGTTCAGCACACTCACATGAGGCGTGCATGGGTACTGACATTCCCACTCTTTTATTTATATCCATAACCAGCCTGGACCCTGCTATAAAGATTTGAGTTTTCATTCTTCAAGGTCTAGTGTCTGAGCAACAGAGAGATTTCATTTCACTTGCCAGATATGATCAAGTGGTTATGGCTCCTGAAGGGATCTATTAAAGAAGACTCCGGGGCTCATTAGGAAAGAGCTGTTGATTGGTGATGTCTGCCATGAACACCAGATGGGGGCTCATTGTCATCTGCAGTCTAAAGGTCACCCACTAAACATTTTGAGGAGAAGACCTGTAGGACTTCCAGAATGATTTTGGAGAAACAGTGGGCCAGGCCATCTGAGTTCTAATTCTGGTTCTACCATAGCCTAGCATGAGCAGGATGATTTATTATTCTAGTCTCAAGTTTCCTCACCTGCTAAGTGGGCTTGGTGATCCTTTCCCTATCTACATTACAGAGCTGCTATGGGAATTAAGTATGATACTATGCATAGAAAGACTGGGATAATCATAACAGGTCTTGCTATTGTTGTTCTCATGTATTGACTTGGTTTAAAATCCTTCTCTGCTCATTATTTAGCAAAAATTGAAAATTAGTTCCTCCCCAAGACAATTTATAAATGTAAATTTTCTGTTTTAGATTCTGAGTTACTTTGGAAATTGTACATATTTTCTTTTATTTGAATATGAAACCAGGAGGAGAATCTATACAGATGAGTCTATGTGTAAGGCTTATTTTCTGGGTGTAAGAGGTCAGTGTTGGGAGTCACCTCAGCTGCTGTGACCACTCCTTCCTCACTTCCAATTATAAATAATAATAGTCATGATTTTAATAATAGCAGATATTATTACTCAGTGCTACATGACATTTCAGACTGTCTCATTTTTTTTTTTTTTTTTTTTTTGAGACAGAGTTTCAATCTGCTGCCCAGGCTGGAGTGCAATGGTGCAATCGTAGCTCACTGTAGCCTCTGCCTCCTGGGTTCAAGCAATTCTCCTGCCTCAGTCTCCCAAGTAGCTGGGACTACAGGAGCCCGCCACCACGTCAGCTACTTTTTTGTGTTTTTAATAGAGATGGAGTTTCATCATGTTGACCAGGCTGGTCTTGAACTCCTGGCCCAGGTGATCCACCCGCCTTGGTCTCCCAAAGTGCTGTGATTACAGGCATGACCCACTGCGCTGGGCCCAGATGGACTATCTCATTTAATCCTTATGACAAACCCACAGTTAAGTATTATTGTCCCCAGATGACAGATGAGAAAACTGAGGCTCAGGAAATTAAGTAAACTGTCCATGGTTCACAGTTATACAATGGCAGAGCTGTGATAATTATAATCACAGCTAACATTTTGAGCACTCACAATATGCCAGGCATTGTACTAAAGGTCAATATGAACTATCTCAATTGCTCTTTGAGGCAACCAGGTTAGTTATATACTTTATCATCCATGTTTTTATCCCATGAAAAATTGAAGCCCAGAGAGATTAATCAACTTACCCAAAGTCACACAACTTGTGTGACTCATAGGCAGGCAGGCTGATTCCAGAATCTGCTTTACTTCATCGTCTTTGTCTTGAGAATAAGTTTGGCCAGCCTGAGCCTCTGCTGTGTCCACTGGGCTCCCTGGCCTGTGCAGGCTGTGGTCTACATTCAGCAACTTCCAGGGGGAGAAAGGGAGACCAGGACCAGGAAGAACCATGAATATATCTCTGGAGGAAACAACTATTTAGAGACTCTCTTATTGTCCTTAAGTGCCCTGTAGGAGGTCTGCCATGTGGGTGCCCCGGAGAAGTAAATGCTAACAATATAGTTGTACATTGTCAGGATTTGCAGTTGGATAGTTACTCTGTTCCTGATAAGATGAAAAATGAATCCTTAGAATTCTATTTGTGAGGCAGCGTTGGAGAAATGCTCGGTGTAGACTGAATGTGGCCCCCCAAATTCATATGGTAAAGTCTAAATCCCCAATGCGATGGTATTCAGAGGTGGAGCCTTTGGTGGGTAATCAGGTCATGAGGGTGGAGCCCTCATTAACGGGATTAGTGCCCTTATAAAAGAGACACAAGAGAGCCTGCCCCTTTTTATCTGCTCTCTTCCATGTGAGGACACAGCAGGAAGATGGGCATCTAAAAACCAGGAAAAGGGCCTTCACCATAAACTAGATCTGTTGGCGCCTTGATTTTGGAATTCCCAACCTCCAGAACTGTGAGAAATTTCTGTTGCTTAAGCAACTCAGCTTATGGCATATTTGTGATAGCAGCCCGAACCAAATAAGATGTGCTCTATTTTTGAAATCTTTCTTTAGTACCTGTTAGGGCCTTGAGCCAAGGCACAAAGATCCTCGATGTATAAAATCCATGTTGGAGATCTGGTGGGAGCTCCCATACGGGTTCCTTGCATTCACTATCAGTGCCAGCTGCAGCTGCCTCCCAAAAAGTCAGCTGTTTGGAATAATCCATTCCAACTCAGGAATCAGAAACTGTATCTCAGAGGCATTGAGTTTAACAAGAACACACGGTTATTTAGTAGGAGAACTGGCACTGGAATCTGGATTTTCTGACATCCACTTTCATGCTCTTTGCTTTACACGTGTGTGGACAGACAGGTGGATATAATCAAGAATATTTATTGAGGGCATTCCATATGCTCTAAGCCCTTTGTATGTAATAACTCAATTCTCATAAGCATAGCAGGAGGTATTATTATTATTCCCAATTCACAGTTAAAGAAACTAAGACTCATAGAGGTTAGAATCCTTTCCTAAGTTTGCACAGTAAATAAGTTTGAATTCAAACTCATGCTCTTAAACTGTTATGCTATGTGGCCTGTTGGTTCTTTGTGATGGTCGCCTGAAAAGGCTCCAACTCTGGAAAACAGTTGATTGTGAAAATTATCAAAGTATCTTACTCTGTTTGGGCTGTCATAACACCATACTATAGACTTTTGGCTAACCAACAATAGAAATTTGTTTCTCAGTTTTGGAGACAGAGAAGTCTAAGATCAAGGCACTGGCAGATTGGGTGTCTGGAGAGGGTCTGCTTCCTGGTAGACAATTGACTTCTCACTTTAATCTTACATGTTGGAAGCGGTAAGGAGTCGTTCTCAACTCTCTATTATAAGGGCACTAGTCTCATCCATGGGGGCTTCACCCTCATAATTTATTACCTCCCAAAGGCCCTACCTCCTAATGCCATCACCTTAGGGGTGAGGATTTCAACATACGAATTTTGAGAGGACATGCACATTCAGACCACAGCAGTGGGAGAGGCAAGGCTGGACCGTATGTGCTTGGAGTTCTTGGTGAGGGCCTGCTGATGCTTACGTAAGGATGATAGCACCATGGGATTTGCTTGAAAAGAAAATAATCTGTTGGTTCTTTAGTGGGTGGAGATGTCAGGAAATGCCCTCAGTTAGGGCATATATTCATAGAAATGCCCTGACTTTTATGCCACTGCTGAAAAATATTTCCAATAGAGAAACCTGTGAAGATTTCATGAGATAATATCTGAAAGTAAGCAGAGGCACTTAGCAGAAGGTGCTATCTAAGCTCAAGATATAAGTGGTCTCACATGTTATTTTTCTGTGAAAGGAGTCTCACTTCAAAATAATGCAATACACTGTATAATGGTCATGTAGCACAGAAATAAATAGGGATCCTGGTGCTATCTCCTCTGCATAGTTAAGGTAGAACAAATCTCACTCAGTAGTTGCATTGGTGTTGGCAGTGGAGATAGGGTGGTGGTGGCAGCTTCAGTTGGGACTGGTGCAGATGCAAGGAACCCTCATGGGTGCTCCTGTCAGGCTACATCTGGGCCTGGCTATACATGTGCCTAGCTATACAGGCAGACAGTACAACTGCAGTTGCTGAAGGATTCCAAGGCCCACAGACCAGGGCAGGCCAAATGTCAGGGGCTTCTCCCTTCCTTCCCATGATCTTGAACTTTGTGATTGAATTTTTTCCCTCTTTTCTTGAGGGAGATCTGCATTCTGTTGACCTGTGAGTAACTTGTCATTACTGTAGTCTTCTCATTAAATTCTATCAACACAAATGACTGAGATATATTTATTTTATTATTTCCTAAGCCCAACACACATGCTGAGTGGTTCGTAAAATTAAAATGAACTCTTTCCTCCTGACTGAATGTTTGCATGTTTATAGGGTGCTTTGCTTTAAGAAAATCCAGTATGGGTAATTCTGAAATTGCAAAAACAGGTGCTTAAGGGATGAATTATTTGTTTTGCAGAAGGAGCTATCTCTGAGTTAGAGAGTATGTGTTCAGCTGTGTGATGGAAATTTTTGCTTTACCAAAATTTCATGTACATATGTTTCACATGTGAGTGCTCCATAAATATTAATATTTAGATGATGCTATAACTCCAGCTCTGAAACAGCATCAGGTACAAAATAAGTGCTCAGGAAATAATATTTGTTGAATGAGTGCATCTTTCTCTGAGTGCCAGACCTATATTCTTAGCTATTTATTAGAAATCTCTACCTTGATATCCTGCAGCAACCTGAAAATTTATGTACACATGATCTTATTTCTTTTCCTTACAGAGCATGTTTCCTTCTCTGTGAACAGTATACATAGAGTTTTGGGGACGTTGGACAGCCTGTGTTCAAATCCTGGCTCCCCCTTATACTAATTGGTGACCTTAGGCTATTCACTAAATTTCTCCTTGCCTCATTTTCCTCACCTGTAAAACAACTATAATAATAGTACCTAAATTATAGGGTAGTCTTGAAGGTTAAATAAGGATTAGCATGGATCTGAATATAATAGCACACAGTAAAAGTTAGCTACTATTATCTCCTATTTTAGCCAAGTGCTCTTCTGACTAAGTTAAACTTTGTTGTTAAGTTTACCATCTACTTTTTCTCTCCAGATCCAATGTGACTTTATCGCTCCCTGCATTTTGTTCATCCTAATACTTCCATAGTCCAAAAATCTCAATTCGCTTGACCTTTTAACACAACATCTGAAGACCAAGCTGTTCTTTCTAAGCTCTGCTTATTCTCCTCACCATGGCTTGGGGGTCCACCTTCCTTAGTACAGCAATCTAAGCCTTTGATGAACTGCTTCTGACTCCAAACCCACACTTCCATTCCATCATTAGCCATTCCTTGCCACTCCCAGTCGCCATGCTCTACCCATACTGGACTCCTTACGGCTTCCAGAAAACATCATAGACTTCCACCTCTCTTTGGCTTTCTTGCCTCTCTCTGGGATCCTCTCACCTGTCTTGTCTCACCAATACCATCTAGGTGTAGGTTTCCTTGATACAGTCACAGTTCTGTGGAAATAACTGCTCCTTCATAGGTAACCCGTGAAACTTGATACTTAACTCAGTTATAGCACCTGTCACTTGGTATTAATCACAGGTATTTGTTTACTTGCCCTCTCCACCTTCTTCTCTCCTCCCACTAGATATCAACTCCTTGAGGGCAGGAACCATGGATTGTAAGATCTTTGTCTATTTTCTGTGTCACTAGGGCCTACCTAATGCATAATCACAGTTCAATAATTTTTTTTTATTTTTCCCATTATGACATATTCTCATGTCCGCTAAAAAACCTCCACAGGAATACGTGACTTAGGATGTGACAATTTCCTGTACTTTCTGCATCTAGCACTAACTCATTGAAAGGTTTATGTACATTATTTCAGACATTTGCAAAATGTTTAAAATGAGATGTGAGCAAATAATGATGCTGACACTCTATCAAAACCACAGATTTTTTTTAAAATAAGAGAAGTAAACATACTGCATTGGATGAAAGCAAACTACATTTCTGTTTTAAAGAAAATGTAGAAAAATTTGCTTCTATAAAGAAGCAGTACTGTTATTGTATAATACCTTCTGCTTTTACAGGATGCTTCCCCATCATAATTTCCCTTTTTGCTTGAAAAAGGAAACTATGAATGCATAAAGATGGTGAGGAGAGTAATTTCTCTTTTGAACCTAAGGGAAAAGCACATGCATCTACCAAACTTCCATTTAGCTTTGAAGGCAGAATGATTTTTCACTTGGAATCCAACAGAATTTCAAAGATGTTCGGCACTGGTGCGCCTCTTGGAGTGGTGCAAAGGCAAGCATAAATCTGACAGATCTGAGGGCTGCACGCATGCATTTCACAGGGCGCAGTGTGTAGGGGCTGGGCGGGTCCTCTGCCTGGCCTGGGGGTGAGGGCCATCTGGTCTCTTTTATCCCTCAGTGCTGGCTTAAAGGCTGTCTTTCTGATAATGTTCCCTCCTTCCTGCTCTTTACAATGCTGAAATGAGCATCTTATTTTTCACTTGTTCTCGCTTTCCTTAATTGTCTCCTTGGGATCTTGTAAACTCATTTTAGTGTCTGGCCCATAGCTGTTTAAAGGCACACGTTTTAACCGGATAGTTTATATTTTCTTTTCTTTTTTATCTGAGTTTATTTTTCTTCAAAACTACCTTGGATGGTCTGCCAGAGTCAGAGATGCTCCTTGGAGGCTTGGAGACTCTCAAAGGAATTAGTCCAAAGTGGCCCAGACTCCATGGATTAACTTTAAGCCATCCTGCATGGGCTGCCCTGCTGAAGCCAGCGCAGTTTCACAGGCTGGGACAGCAGCCGGACTTCCTGTTTGAGTTTAGAAATCTCCGCCTGATCCCCCTCCTCCCCACTCCCTTCCTCTCGAGGTCCCTCCTTCTATCCACCAATAAAACAAAGAAACCTGAGAAATTATCTCAGAAAGAAGAGACTTCTCAGGCCTTGATTGTCACACTGGCCTGGAGCCAAGCCAGAGCCTGCCTCAAAAATGGACCCAGGAGGCAAGCTACTGGAAGGCAGTCAAACACCCCCAAAAAGTGAGGTCATATGGCATCACCCCCATTGACCACATCTCATTTGCTCTGCTTTCCTTTTATTTTAAAGGAAAAATTAAAAGTCTTCTAAGACATTGTCTAGGCTGGTAATAAAACTCTAGAATGCTTTGTTCATATATATAACAAAATTGAGAGCAAATGTGTGTGTACATGTAAGTGTGTGTGTCTGTATGTGTAAGCGTGTTACAATCTGGCTAGTAAAATGATCTCAGATTGAAGATACCCTCAAATACTGAGGATGATGCTTATAATTTTCTAACATGCTTTAATATTTTTACTACTCATGTATATATGTATCCACAAACAGTATTATATACTGTTTAGTATGCTGCAAATTTTTATAAATAACACCTCATTGCATGTGTCAAATATTTCATAAATAGAATCACAAAAGCAGAATGAAGGAGCTGGTATGTCAGCATTCTGCTTATGTGTTTTTCTGATTATGATAGTCTCATGAGAAGAGGATTTTATGCATTCTCACTTGAAATACAGCAGATGCCAACCATGAAGGGAATGAAGGTGCTAATTTATAATTTTTTTAAAAATTGTGCAAAAAGAAAGTGAAAAGAATATAAGTGCGAGCTTAGCAATAAAAGGAGTAGTAAAAACACCCACAATATGGGGGGTGGGTGTGGAGTCCTTTCGTCTGTAACCAAGGAGGTCTGTAAGAAACCACGGAAGTCTCTACTAATTTGAAATTCCACCAGCTGAGAAATAAAACACTGCTGGGTTATTGAAGAAAGGTCTTGGCACCTTATGCACGGGAAATGAAACTTTTCGTTTTGCAAGTGGCTTGTAGATTGGTTATTTAACCACCACCCATCCCCCCAGTTTTTCAAAGGCTGAAGAACAGGCTGGAGTTAGAGATGTGGTTTGCATAGATTGCCTCGCTGACAGCACTAGATCACCAGTGAAAGATTAATTAACCAAATTGAAGGCAGCAAAGAAATAAGGTTTTAGCAAATGACAAAGCCATTAATGGAGCAATGTTTCCTTCCACTTTAGCTAAGCTCTCCGTTTTTAATTAGCATTAGGATGTTTTAACCGCAGCTATTTAGGAGGAGGCTCTTTCTCATGTCAGGTGTTGCATCCCGGAGTCAGAGCTGGTGAGAGAAGATAAAATCCGACACATCCACCTTAAGTTGGAATTTTCAGGAGTGTCCTCATGGCTCCCTGCCCTTCCCTGCACTCACAGCCTTGAAAGCTGGGGCCCTGACTTGGGAACAGCTGTCTTCTCCCATTGGACCACTACAGTCAGTTGCTGATTTGGAGGACAATTCTGAACATATGAAGCACATTACTGGAGCCAAAGCTCTGGATTTCCTCGTTTGCAGTTGATTGATAGGAAGCATTCAACCTTGGATGTGATAAAATCAACCCACTAACCCAGTAATGCATCGAGTAGGAAGTCTTTCCTCTTTAGTTAGCTATTTTAAGTGGCGAGTGTTTCTTTAGCCCTATTTCTCAGGACTCCACAAGCCTTTGTAATTTACAAGTCTTCTTCTACCTAAATGGTCAGAATGCATGCTTTTATTTTATGGACTGGTAGACTGAGGCAAAGGAGTGTTTTAGTCAAGTTAATGTTGGGGACTGTGGGGGGCAGGAAAAAGAATGTCAAATCTCCTGTGGCTTGGCCAGCGGCTGCCAGAATATTGGGCCAGCACCTGCTGGCGCGTTAGTCCATAGGATGGGCATGGTGGAGAGGATGATCAAAACAGGAGATGCTTTCGGTGAATGAGGCTGGCAGGTCATTAGAATTTCAAGAAGATTCTAGAGGAGAATGAAAAGGTGAACTTTAAAAGTGGTGGCAGCTAGATTTGCTTTAGAGAGGAATAGGCATTGGTGGAAGTGAAACAAGGTGGCGATTGATGTTGCAGCCATGTTTTTTAGAAGCTGTAATACTGTCTTGCATCTCTGCTCCTCCTGCTCCTTCAGCTTGGCTAACTCCGGGTTGATCATCTTCCCAGGTTTGGCTTGCACCCCCAACCTCCTCCCACTCCTCTCTACTCAGCCTTAGGCTGGGATTACTCGCTTATGGTCCCTTTAGCACTGTGGCACACCCCTCTCCTAGGACAGATGGCAATTTATCTTTATTTTCTCTCAAGGCTGTAAGCTTCTTGAGGACAGAGATCATGTAATCATCCTTGCATCCTTTGACCTATTTATTAAACAACTATTTTGTACCAGGTACTATGATGAAGGCTTGATAATTAATTCTCACAACAGCCCAATTAAGTAATACTCTCATAGTCTGTATGCTGAGAGGTCTAGGCATAGAGGGATTAAAATCACCTTCAAAAAGTCACACAACTAGTGGATGGTGAGGTACAGATGGAGACATAAGCGATGACCTCAGAGCCATCATTATGCTACATGCTTCCCTAGTGGACCCTCAACAAATACCTGCTGAATTGAACTGGTAATTTGTATTGTGCTTATTTTATTGCACACAGTAGGTGCTTAATTATTTGACTTCAGAACTCATTCAGATTAAAACTTTCATATAAGTCTATGGGAGTAATTTCTTTTGGGTCCTAATATGGTGAATGTAAGAAAACTTCAGTGTTAACACCAGGTGAGCACTGGATGCGTGTCTTTGCAGGTGTTGATAGATTCTGAAGACACGTGGTTTCATTGGTAAAGGTACCTACCTTGTATTATTTCATATCACATCTTCATTACTGTAATTTAAAACAGAATGAGAAATGCTTTCTTCCAGGAGGAGAGTGGATCTGAGGGAGGAGATGAGGAAAGAGAAAGCATCTTCTTATGAAGTTAAGACTCCTGAAACTGTGCCTCAATTCATCTGCGTGTGGTAGAGAATCTATTGATGCAGTAGCCTTTCAGGGGCAGAGACTCTGTAACTGGTTATGAGAGACCTTCCCAGGTGCAGAAGGGGCTGGTGAAAGTATTATGGTCACATTGATCAATCGATGTCCATTTGTACTCTAGGTAACCTCTTCTTAGAAGCCCTCTTCCTGGAATTTTCCTCCCCTTTGCTCACCCTAAATGCAGTACTTCTCTAGCCTTAGGGCCTCAAAACCCCCCTGAAATGACCAACCTCATAGTCATTTCAGTTCCTAGTCATTTAAAACCCCGCTACAATCTGTGAAAGAAAGGAACCTGAGTGCCAATCTTAGAGTTCAAAAAAGTTCTACTCCCATTAATACATCCAAGTTAAAAAGGAAGCTGCTTAGTTTGGCCCCAAGCCAGTTTGCCTTCACCCCCTACTTCTTACTCTTGACTTTTAACAAGGGAAACACCCTGAGTCAAATCCCACAGCGTGATGCTTGGGAATGAGACTGAAATTGAGAGAAGAGTCTTGAGCTTTCATGAGGTTCCAAGTTCATTTATATATTTCCTCCAACACTCAGCACTTAGCCTTAGGGCCAGCTTCCTTGGGTTCCCTTTGTGTGTATCCTCATGGTCCTGAGTTACAACCCATGGGATTAAGTTCTCATCTAGGCAGGCTCCTTTGAAGATGGAAAAACAAATAGGTGAATTAAGAGAATATTTACATATCTCATAGCATCTTCTGCCCAGGTAGGGTGGCTGCTCTGCTCTCTCTCCTCCACCTCTCTTTCCCTGCCTTCTTGAAAAGGACAGTGCCTCACCTACCCACCAGGCCCCAGAGACATGTGAATAACAGTAGGGGAGAGGGAGACACATCAGTTCATGGGCCAGAAGGGATCAAGTTCTCTCTCACCTCTCCTGAAATGCTTAGCCTAGTCTCTACTGCTAAGCTTCCCGGATGGTTACCACTAGACAGGGTAACCCTTTCCTAACCCATTCATGGGCAAATTGAAATACCTAACACCCTCTTCCAGTTCACAGCTGGTTCGAATCAACTCCGTGACAAAAAAAAAAAAAAGCCAGAAGGCAAGGAAACTCAAGCATTTTCATACCATATCTCTTTTTCTTTGACAATAGAAGCAGCTGGTATTGAGACTTACTATGTGCTACTATGTGTTAAGCATGGGGATAGTTTTCTCACAAATATTATTCCATGTAAAGCTCTGTTTTACATACAGTTCAGGTATCTAAAGTTCAGAGAGATTAAGTAACTTGCCCAAGTCTTATGATGGATCCTGGGTCTCTTTATTCCTAAATTCAAGCTCTTCTCATGTACTCCTTTCCAAGCTATCTGCTACCAATATTGCCCTTAGACCTGGGCAAGAGCAGCCCTTTTCCTAGGCCTCAAGCCTAAGAGGGCCCCTCCCCATGAGGTAGTCTGGGGAACAAAGGGCTGTGCCTATCCAAGGCCCAACTCTCCCTGACCAGGCCCCCTTAAACATTAGACAATGTTGTGAACACTGAGGTCCCTGGAGCTCCCTGACCAGAGCCTCAGTTGTGGTTGCCAGATTTAGCAAGTAAAAATACAGGATGAAATAGAAGGTGCATAGTTAAATTTGAATTTCAGATAAATAGCAAATAAAATTTTATTATAATGTCCCATGCAATGCTTAACACACAGTTAATACTTAAAAATTTTTTTGTGATTTATCTGAAATTCAAATGTAACTGGGAATCCTCTATGTTTTGTGTTTTGTGGCAACCCTAGCCTCAGTCCACTTACAGGACCAAGTGAGCTTCTGCTCAGTGGCTATTTGGATAGGATGTTGTATTAGTCAGCTCAGACTGTTGTAACAATGCCACAGACTGAGTGGCTTAAAGAAGAGAAATTTATTTTCTGGAGGCTAGAAGTCCAAGGTCAAGGATTTAGCCAATTTAGTTTCTGGTGAGAGCTCTCTTCCTGGCTTATAGATGGCTGCTTTCTAGATGTGCCCTCCCGTGGCCTTTTCTCTGAGGTCACTAGGAGGGAGGAAGAAGAGACAGGAATAGGGAGAGAAGGAGATCTCTCTTTTCCTCTTCTTATAAGGCCACTAGTTCTATTAAGTTAGCACCTCATCCTTATAATATCATTTAACCTTAACTATACCCTAAAGTCCCTATCTCCAAATATAGTCATGCTGGGGGTTAATACTTCAACATATGAATTTTGGAAGAATACAAACATTTGATTGACAACAGATGTACACAAAGCTAAGACATGTACACTGGGGTGTCCCAAAGCATGCAAACAAGGCCCCTCACAGTGCTAGAAGCAGCCCAGAGAGGGAGAAAATAGGGATTGACTGGGAACTTCCATTTATACTTTTGTTAGGGGTACACCTGCTCCCCAGGCCCCATTTAAAGCATTGATTGCTGTATTTTCTGACTAACTTAATTTTTAATCATAATTTCCTTGGCCAATTCAGTTCATAAAGCATGAACCCCTTTGCTTTCTTTCCTCGATCTGGGGTGGTATGGTGGGTGCTAGAACAAGCTACTCAGAGTTCCACTCTAAAGGAAATTTAAATGTTGCTGCAGATGGCTAAATTGGTTTTTCAGCCTATGTGTGTGAAGGTCGGAGTTTTTGGCTTTACTGTGCAAAAGGTGCCTGATCATGCATAAGACACTGCACCTCTCTGTGGCCCATTTTTTAAAATTCATAACATGTGAAAAATACTTCAGCCTCTTAGAGTGGATGTGAGGGTGAAATGAAATAACACGTGAAAGTATCAAAGTACTTGGCAGGTGTCAGGCCTCATAAATGTAGTTGAATCTGAATAGGCAGGAACAGACCTGGGCTTTTCCTTCTGTGGAGGCTCAGCTGGACCACCCACATGTCAGTTTCCAGCCCAAGGGTCCTTACGTCTTCTGAGAAGCCAAGATGACTCCAAGTCAGGAGCTCCAAATTAGGAGGTCCTGCACCATGGAGTGTGGTTGTCACCTCCACCCAAGCCTTCTGGGACATTTCAGTAAATGAAAACAGGGATATAGCCTTCCAGAACTACCTGACTCTAACTTGGCAAACTCAAAATGGATGACTCAACACTAGGGAAATGAGGAGACTACTTCTATCTAGAGGGAAATGAGGAGACTACTTCTATCTAGAGGGCAAGGAGGACTCTGCCTATGAAGATAGGGCTAAGAAACCCACCACAACAGAGGCCTGAATTATCCCCCTGCACTTTATTAAGACTGCTCAGATCAAGTCTTACTAAGAATCATTAAAAACAAAAAAAAATCGGAGTGCTTCCCAGTGCCAGGTGAGTGCTCTTTCTTGAGCATGAATAGCAAAACATAAAAAGAGAAATGCACATCATTCCCAAGTTCCAGATGGCACGCCAGTGTGCTCAGGGCTTCTCTAACCTTCTCTAGTCTGTGTCTTCAGTATCCTTCCAAGTTTCTTCCTTTCTTCTTTCCCTAGCAATCCCTAGGAACAGCTTTGAGAGAGGTGGTTTACTTTGATGCAGAGAGCATGAATGCTAGTGTCAGAAAGACCTGGGCCCCAACACTGCTCTGCCATCTTCTGGCTAAGTAATCATGGGTAATAGACTTAACTTTTTCCAGCCTGTTTCTTTTTTGACAGTGAATTTTATGACCTACCTTTACCTAGCACAGTGTCTGCCCCTAGAAGGTGCTCACTAAATGGTGGCCATTATTATCAAGGATGATGCTTATTATATATGATACATATAGAAGTATGCTTTATGCTCAAGCAGAACAAATGAATGAATGAAATACGATCTGAAAGTTTCCCTTTGCAAATTTCACAGTTTCACAAAGAAGCAGAAGATAGCCAAGGAGTAACCTGGAGGTTCCATCTTGCCCTGAGCCCCCAGATTAGATGCTCTTTTGAGTCTCTGGTGTTTGCGATTCAGGCTCCAGCTTAGCCTGACAGTGTGAGACACACCTGGCTTCTGCTTGCTTATTGTGTTTGTCTGTCCCCACCCCCTCCATCCTTCATTGATCTGGGTCACGTTTTGCTGTAACCATCCCTGATTTCCTGCAGGACCAAACAAGTAGGCAGCAATAGTTAGGAAATGACAGGCACATACCTTTCAGATAGCATAATCACCCTCATGTCTGGTACAAGTGCCCTGACAAGCTTGCTGCTGTAGTCCACTATGCAAACAGTTCCACCCGCCGCAGGTGAAAAGAATTCTACTTTTCAGGGCTGGGGAAGGCTGATTTTATGCAACAGAAGGTGTTTAATTATTCAGGATACTAGTGTCTTTTTTAGTTCAATTATTCAGGGGTTTCTGAGTACATGACTGTAAATTCAGCATTTGCTGGTCGTAAAGCTTGGACTTGATTGGTTTAGATCCAACCTGCTCAGTATGTCTCTCAAACATGACAGTAACATGGACAAGATAAATAGACATCCCTTCGACAGAGAATCAAGTACAGAGGAAAATTTATCTTTGAAAAATTTTGATTCACAGCTTCTAGCCAATACAAATGGAATGCTTACTTTCATGATGGCCTCCTCCCTTTCAAACCAACACTCACACAACAATTCTTGGAAATCAATAAACAGCTGTTTCTGTATAATGAAAGACATTTATTTTAGATTTACCTTTCCCCCACTCAGATAGTATTGTATGTATCTGTCTTGAATATTTAAAATTAAGGGCTGCTTGCTTACCTGTCAGGGTGCCATGCTTTCCTATCTCAGATGAGAAAACAAACTAAGGACAAAGTACCAGGGATTCCATGTTCTCTTTTGGAGAAATGATTTCTTTAGCACAGAGACACGTGTTACCCTAAGAAAGCAGATCTTGACTGCTGCTGATAGATACTTTATTAAAAATTCACCGCCTATCTCATTTGCTGTGCTGGGTTCTAATGAAACCTTCTATAAAGCGATATCTAGTTATTTCTCTTGGATTATTTATTCATTCAACAAACATCAATTGAGCTTCTACTATGGTATGTTAGGTTGCATAATGGGAGTACAACAGTATATGGATCCCAGTTCCTGTCCTTGGAAAGCTTACAGTGAGGCTCAAGACAAACATTAATTTTAAAAAAAGAAAGAAATAGCCTGGAGCCAAGAAGGCCGAATGGGAACAGCTCCGGTCTACAGCTCCCAGCGTGAGCGACACAGAAGATGGGTGATTTCTGCATTTCAAACTGAGGTACTGGTTTCATCTCACTGGGGAGTGCCAGACAGTAGGTGCAGGACAGTGGGTGCAGTACACCGTGTGCGAGCCGAAGCAGGGCAAGGCATTGCCTCACCCGGGAAGCACAAGGGGTCAGGGAATTCCCTTTCCTAGTAAAAGAAAGGGGTGACAGAGGGCACCTAGAAAATTGGGTCACTCCCACCCCAATACTGCACTTTTCCAATGGGATTAAAAACCGGCACACCAGGAGATTATATCCCGCATATGGCTCAGAGGGTCCTACGCCCACAGAGTCTCGCTCATTGCTAGCACAGCAATCCGAGATCAAACTGCAAGGTGGCAGCGAGGCTGGGGGAGGGGCACCTGCCATTGCCGAGTTAGCTGTTTGATTAGGGAAACAAAGCGGCGGGAAGTTCGAACTGGGTGGAGCCCACCACAGCTCAAGGAGGCCTGCCTGCCTCTGTAGGCTCCACCTCTGGGGGCAGGGCACAGACAAACAAAAAGACAGCAGTAACCTCTGCAGACTTAAATGTCCCTGTCTGACAGCTTTGAAGAGAGCATGGTTCTCCCAGTACGCAGCTGGAGATCTGAGAACAGGCAGACTGCCTCCTCAAGTGGGTCCCTGACCCCCGAGTAGCCTAACTGGGAGGCACCCCCCAGTAGGGGCGGACTGACACCTCACACAGCCAGGTACTCCTCTGAGACAAAACTTCCAGAGGAACGATCAGGCAGCAGCATTTGCGTTTCACCAAAATCTGCTGTTCTGCAGCCACTGCTGCTGATACCCAGGTGAACAGGGTCTGGAGTGGATCTCTGGCAAACTCCAACAGACCTGCAGCTGAGGGTCCTGTCTGTTAGAAGGAAAACGAACAAACAGAAAGGACATCCACACCAAAAACCCATCTGTACGTCACCATCATCAAAGACCAAAGGTACACAAAACCACAAAGATGGGAAAAAAACAGAGCAGAAAAACTGGACACTCTAAAAATCAGAGCGCCTCTCCTCCTCCAAAGGAACACAGCTCCCCACCAGCAACAGAGCAAAGCTGGATGGAGAATGACTTTGACGAGTTGAGAGAAGAAGGCTCAGATGATCAAACTACTCTGAGCTACAGGAGGAAATTCAAACCAATGGCAAAGAAGTTAAAAGCTTTGAAAACAAATTAGATTAATGGATAACTAGAATAACCAATGCAGAGAAGTCCTTAGAGGACCTGATGGAGCTGAAAACCAAGGCACGAGAGCTACGTGATGAATGCAGAAGCCTCAGTAGCTGATGCGATCAACTGGAAGAAAGGGTATCAGCGATGGAAGACGAAATGAATGAAATGAAGTGTGAAGAGAAGGTTAGAGAAAAAAGAATAAAAAGAAACAAACAAAGCCTCCAAGAAATATGGGACTATGTGAAAAGACCAAATCTACGTCTGACTGGTGTATCTGAAAGTGACGGGGAGAATGGAACCAAGTTGGAAAACACTCTGCAGGATATTATCCAGGAGAACTTCCCCAATCTAGCAAGGCAGGCCAACATTCAAATTCAGGAAATACAGAGAACGCCACAAAGATACTCCTCGAGAAGAGCAACTCCAAGACACATAATTGTCAGATTCACCAAAGTTGAAATGAAGGAAAAAATGTTAAGGGCAGCCAGAGAGAAAGGTCGGGTTACCCGCAAAGGGAAGCCCATCAGACTAACAGCTGATCTCTTGGCAGAAACTCTCCAAGCCAGAAGAGAGTGGGGACCAATATTCAACATTTTTAAAGAAAATAATTTTCAACCCAGAATTTCATATCCAGCCAAACTAAGCTTCGTAAGTGAAGGAGAAATAAAATACTTTACAGACAAGCAAAAGCTGAGAGATTTTGTCACCACCAGGCCTGCCCTAAAAGAGCTCCTGAAGGAAGCATTAAACATGGAAAGGGACAACCAGTACCAGCCACTGCAAAAACATGCCAAATTGTAAAGACCATCAAGGCTAAGAAGAAACTGCATCAACTAACTAGCAAAATAACCAGCTAACATCATAATGACAGGATCAAATTCACACATAACACTATTAACTTTAAATGTAAATGGACTAAATGCTTCAATTAAAAGACACAGACTGGCAAATTGGATAAAGATTCAAGACCCGTCAGTGTACTGTATTCAGGAAACCCATCTCATGTGCAGAGACACACATAGGCTCAAAATGCAGGGATGGAGGAAGATCCACCAAGCAAACGGAAAACAAAAAAAGGCAGGGGTTGCAATCCTAGTCTCTGATAAAACAGACTTTAAACCAAGAAAGATCAAAAGAGACAAAGAAGGCCATTACATAATGGTAAAGGGATCAATTAAACAAGAAGAGCTAACTATCCTAAATATATATGCACCCAATACAGGAGAACCCAGATTCATAAAGCAAGTCCTGAGTGACCTACAAAGAGACTTAGACTCCCACACAATAATAATGGGAGACTTTAACACCCCACTGTCAACATTAGACAGATCAACGAGACAGAAAGTTAACAAGGATACCCAGGAATTGAACTCAGCTCTGCACCAAGCAGACCTAATAGACATCTACAGAATTCTCCACTCCAAATCAACAGAATATACATTCTTTTCAGCACCACACCACACCTACTACAAAATTGACCACATAGTTGGAAGTAAAGCACTCCTCAGCAAATGTAAAAGAACAGAAATTATAACAAACTGTCTCTCAGACCACAGTGCAATCAAACTAGAACTCAGGATTAAGAAACTCACTCAAAACCACTCAACTACATGGAAACTGAACAACCTGCTCCTGAATGACTACTGGGTAAATAATGAAGTGAAGGCAGAAATAAAGATGTTCTTTGAAACCAACGAGAACAAAGACACCACATACCAGAATCTCTGGGACACATTCAAAGCAGTGTGTAGAGGGAAATTTATAGCACTAAATGCCCACAAGAGAAAGCAGGAAAGATCTAAAATTGACACCCTAACATCACACTTAAAAGAACGAGAAAAGCACATTCAAAAGCTAGCAGAAGGCAAGAAATAACTAAGATCAGAACAGAACTGAAGGAAATAGAGACACAAAAAACCCTTCAAAAAATTAACGAATCCAGGAGCTGGTTTTTTGAAAGGATCAACAAAATTGATAGACCGCTAGCAAGACTAATAAAGAAGAAAAGAGAGAAGAATCAAATAGACGCAATAAAAAATGATAAAGGGGATATCACTACCGATCCCACAGAAATACAAACTACCATCAGAGAATACTATAAACACCTCTACGCAAATAAACTACAAAATCTAGAAGAAATGGATAAATTCCTCGACACGTACATCCTCCCAAGACTAAACCAGGAAGAAGTTGAATTTCTGAATAGACCAATAACAGGATCTGAAATTGAGGCAATAATCAATAGCTTACCAACCAAAAAAACTCCAGGACCAGATGGATTCACAGCCGAATTCTACCAGAGGTACAAAGAGGAGCTGGTATCATTCCTTCTGAAACTATTCCAATCAATAGAAAAAGAAGGAATCCTCCCTAACTCATTTTATGAGGCCAGCATCATCCTGATACCAAAGCCTGGCAGAGACACAACCAAAAAAGAGAATTTTAGACCAATATCCTTGATGAACATTGATGCAAAAATCCTCAATAAAATACTGGAAAACCAAATCCAGCAGCACATCAAAAAGCTTATCCACCATGATCAAGTGGGCTTCATCCCTGGGATGCAAGGCTGGTTCAACATATGCAAATCAATAAATGTAATCCAGCATATAAACAGAACCAAAGACAAAAACCACATGATTATCTCAATAGATGCAGAAAAGGCCCTGGACAAAATTCAACAACCGTTCATGCTAAAAACTCTCAATAAATTAGATATTGATGGGACATATCTCAAAATAATAAGAGCTATCTATGACAAACCCACAGCCAATATCATACTGAATGGGCAAAAACTGGAAGCATTACCTATGAAAACGGGCACAAGACAGGGATGCCCTCTCTCACCACTCCTGTTCAACATAGTTTTGGAAGTTCTGGCCAGGGCAATCAGGCAGGAGTAAGAAATAAAGGGTATTCAATTAGGAAAAGAGGAAGTCAAATTGTCCCTGTTTGCAGATGACATGATTTTATATCTAGAAAACCCCATCGTCTCAGTCCAAAATCTCCTCAAGCTGATAAGCAACTTCAGCAAAGTCTCAGGATACAAAATCAGTGTGCACAAATCACAAGCATTCTTATATACCAGTAACAGACAAACAGAGAGCCAAATCATGAGTAAACTCCCATTCACAATTGCTTCAAAGAGAATAAAATACCTAGGAATCCAACTTAAAAGGGATGTGAAGGACCTCTTCAAGGAGAACTACAAACCACTGCTCAATGAAATAAAAGAGGTTACAAACAAATGGAAGAACATTCCATGCTCATGGGTAGGAAGAATCAATATCATGAAAATGGCCATACTGCCCAAGATAATTTATAGATTCAGTGCCATCCCCATCAAGCTACCAACGACTTTCTTCACAGAATTGGAAAAAACTACCTTAAAGTTCATATGGGACCAAAAAAGAGCCCGCATCGCCCAGTCAATCTTAAGCCAAAAGAACAAAGCTGGAGGCATCACGCTACCTGACTTCAAAGTATACTACAAGGCTACAGTAACCAAAACAACATGGTACTGGTACCAAAACAGAGATATAGACCAATGGAACAGAACAGAGCCCTCAGAAATAATGCGGCATATCTACAACTATCTGATCTTTGACAAACCTGACAAAAACAAGCAATGGGGAAAGGATTCCCTATTTAATAAATGGTGCTGGGAAAACTGGCTAGCCATATGTAGAAAGCTGAGACTGGATCACTTCCTTACACGTTATGCAAAAATTAATTGAAGATGGATTAAAGACTTACATGTTAGACCTAAAACCATAAAAACCCTAGAAGAAAACCTAGGCATTACCATTCAGGACATAGGCATGGGCAAGGACTTCATGTCTAAAACACCAAAAGCAATGGCAACAAAAGCCAAAATTGACAAATGGGATCTCATTAAACTAAAGAGCTTCTGCACAGCAAAAGAAACTACTATCAGAGTGAACAGGCAACCTACAGAATGAGAGAAAATTTTTGCAATCTACTCGTCTGACAAAGGGCTAATATCCAGAATCTACAATGAACTCAAACAAATTTACAAGAAAAAAACAAACAACCCCATCAAAATTGGGTGAAGGATATGAACAGACACTACTCAAAAGAAGACATTTATGCAGCCAAAAGACACATGAAAAAATGGTCATCATCACTGGCCATCAGAGAAATGCAAATCAAAACCACAATGAGATACCATGTCACACCAGTCAGAATGGCAATCATTAAAAAGTCAGGAAACCACAGGTGCTGGAGAGGATGTGGAGAAATAGGAACACTTTTACACTGTTGGTGGGACTGTAAACTAGTTCAACCATTGTGGAAATCAGTGTGACGATTCCTCAGGGATCTAGAACTAGAAATACCATTTGACCCAGCCATCCCATTACTGGGTATATACCCAAAGGATTATAAAACATGGTGCTATAAAGACACATGCACACGTATGTTTATAGTGGCACTATTCACCCTAGGAAGGACTTGGAACTAGCCTAAATGTCCAACAACAATAGACTGGATTAAGAAAATGTGGCACATATACACCATGGAATACTATGCAGCCATAAAAAATGATGAGTTCATGTCCTTTGTAGGGACATGGATGAAACTGGAAACCATCATTCCCAGCAAACTATCACAAGGACAAAAAACCAAACACCACATGTTCTCACTCATAGGTGCGAATTGAACAATGAGAACACATGGACACAGGAAGGGGAACATCACACACCAGGGACTGTTGTGGGGTTGGGGGAGGGGGGAGGGATGGCATTAGGACATATACCTAATGCTAAATGACGAGTTAATGGGTGCAGCATACCAACATGACACATGTACACGTATGTAACAAACCTGCACGTTGTGCACAGGTACCCTAAAACTTAAAGTATAATAATAATAAAATTAAAAAAAAAGAAATAGAAAAATAATCACACAAAATATAAATGAATATACTGTGATAAATGCTTTGATGCAAAAGTAATAGTATAATGAGAGCCTGTGATAAGGGACCCGAGACTGGGAAGCTCAAAGGAAAAGTTGACAAATGTATGGACTGAGTAATGTTACTTTTTGTATCCCCAGGCCCTTGCTTAGTGTCTGGCACATTGTCACTCTGTTGTATAAATGAAATAGTCTTTTATGAGGCTCTTTTTACTCAAGAGTCTCTAATTTTAACAAGTAAAAGCTTGTACACACTGTCTACTGGGTGTTTAACACAGACCAGGCACTGTTGTAAGTTCTTTATATATATTAGCCTATTCACTCCTTCTTCAAAAACTGATGAGGTAGATATTCATACCATACTTTCCTTATATAGAGAAGAACACCAGAGCACAACAGGTCAAAGCACTTGATCAAGGTCACACTGTTATTAAGTAACAGAGCCTGGATTTGAACCTTGGGCATCAGACTCCATAACCTGTCTTCACTGAGCTACACTGCTTCTCAGGAGGAAATGAGCTCTCCATCAGGCTGTAGGAAAGTGATGAGCTGTGATGAATGGAAAAAACAAGTGGAATTAGAAAATGGATTGTATGTACTCCCCTCAGGAATCAGCACTCTGGGGGTTACAAGGCAGCAAAAGAGAAATAACACAGTTATGTCACACCTCACACCCAGCTCCCAGCCTCTGCAGCATCACTAAGTCCCTTTCCTCCCCCAGAGGCCTTTATTGCCAGGGATGATTGACCCTTCTTGGTGGCCTTTAGGACTCCTAGAAGAATCTGCATCCTCCAGCCACCACCATGCTTCACCCTCCATTTACCAGTGTCTGTGCCCCTTCTACAGAGTGAACAGCCTTAGCTCTCCTTCCTCAGCTGGGAGCTCCGGCCTCTTCTGCTTTTCTCTCTCCTTCCTTTTCCACATACTTTGAGCTACACATGGATTAGGAAGGCACAGGCTGGATACTGGGTGCCACACTGGTTATACCCTCCTAAGGGTCATCACAATCTTTGCTTTTCTTCTAGGACTTGACCTCTTCCTGGATCAGAGACAATGGGGCGTTCACCCTTCTTCTCTCTTAGGGCAATAGCAGAGAACTTCTGAAGAAACTCACTCCAATGCACCCACCCTACAGCAAGCCAGTCTACTCCCTTCCACTTGGAGTCACCTTCACCTCCCCATTTTCCATCTTCATATTTGTTGCGCTTGGATTTTTTTTTAAAAGACAATTTGGGGTGCCAGCTCTCTTACTTGGGAATTCATGCTCCATCATCAGTGTTCCTTCTCTGGGTGTGTATGTGAGTGCAACTGGGAGCTGACAGTCTGTGACCCCCAACTCAGAGCGCTCTGTACTTTTGAGTGAGAGCTGGAACAGAGCTTGTGTTTTGAAAAGCAGAAGAAAAGGAAGTTCAAGGACTTTGACCTTGAGCCCTGATTCTTGGAAACCACTGTCTAGAGTCTCTTCTACTAAGAGGAAATTTAGGTCAAAGCATTTCCAAATTCCATTCTCAAATCCTGTGACAAAAAAGCTCTATAAAAATAATATTTGAAATTTAGTAAACTGGGAATATGCAAGTGAAGGATTTTTTCAGTTTCTGACATTCTAGTGTTTGTGTTATAAGGGGTGAGGATTTGCGGAAAAATAGAACCTGTTTTTAATGGAAGAATGACCTCAATGGGCCTTTGATTTTGCAAAGAGAAAATGAAGATTCTATTCTGGAGGGAAGAGAGTCCAGACTTGGCCTCCAAGAAGCTAAACTGAAACAGGTTGTTTTTATTGTGGATAGAGCAGAATTTCTGTGACTACATTTCCTTTGGGAAGAAAATATGTATTTCAGACTACCCAGTCTCTGAATATTACTGGTAGTTGTTGGGAGATGTGTGTGTATGTGACCTTGTTGGTGGCAATTATCCCAATAGACATGGGAAAACTTTAGGCAATAACATTAGAGATTCAGTCTTTAAGCCTGAGCTCAGGTGGCTATTGAACATAGTTGGCTGCCTAGACTGTTCTGAAATACCCCAAGGCCACGCTGATAGCAGGGCATAGAAGGGCAGAAGAGACACTATTTTTGTTATATTAATAGTACATTACAGAAATGTAGTTGCCTCACAGCTCCAGTCATCTTCATTCTGCTTAGCCTTTTTTTTTTTTTTTTTTAGAAATGTGTGAGCCTTTTCTTCAGAAAATGTGTAAGCCTTTTCTTTAGAAATTGTGTGATTATGCTTTTAGTTCTCCATGAGACCTTCACCTCACATGGTTGAGCTATCATTAAATATTCTTGAGGCCAGTTGGGTATTAAAACACCACAAAGATGATGCAAGTAAGTGTGGACCACTTGCCAAGTTAGTACAGGATCATGGCTCTGAAGAAAAGTGAGGTTACACACCATCACATACCAAAGAAACCATAAACAAATCAAAGATTTTCATTGGCAAACCATAGTTAAAATATTTCATTGACTCCAGCAGCAGAGTCAACATATCGTATTCATATTTTAAAACAATTGAGTCTGTGTGTCATGGCAGTTAGGAAAATCTGACCATTTTCAAAAAGGCAACCTGTCAAGGCCATTCAGAGCCAACGAGAGCATAAACAGTCTAAAAGGGATTTGTTACTAACGCTGAGATAAAGTTACCACCAGTGTTTGGATTTAGAGAATGAACAATGCAATTAATCCCTTAGAAAGGATTTGGGACGGACAAGGAAGACAGCTATTCAAGTTTGTTCTTACCATTAGGTTCCTCCCTGTTAGCACAAATCAGAACAAATACTTTAGTCCTAAATTATTTCCCTAATGATAGTCAGAGCCTACTTCGCTGGCTGGATGTATCTCTATTTGCAAACAGTCAGGTTTCCCCGTAGGGGTTGTAATACACACTCATGATTGATAGAGATTACACAAGTTGCAGAGGCCCATGCAATATGTAAACATATATATGTAATGTATTTAAAATAAAGACAGATGGAAGAATGTGCCCACTAGATGACGAGACAGGAATATGAATGTGTATTGTTTCAGGTCTTCATCAGGTATTGCTCCAGCTTCATGTCAGGTCTATATTATAGCCAAGAGAATATGTGCACACATACACCCAAGGGAGCCCCAAAGAAAGGAAATTGCAGTAGGCACACAATTCATCTCTGGCCGCCCACCTGCCAAATGTTGGCAGACTACTCAGGGTCACAACCCACATGTTGTGAACCACGGTTTTACCTCCCTGGTTAGCATGTGGTTTTGAAGGTAAAGGCTGTGAGTTTACATTCCCAGATGCCATATGTATGCAGTTAATGGACAACTATGGTCTCTTTATACGTACATGGCCACAAATCATTACCGACTGATGTCTGGCTGATGGACTTGATCTGCAAATTTCCCATATGCTTCACCTTAAGCCAAAATGAGCTGGAAGAAAATACATGGTTTTTGGATGCTTTTGACAGAAAAATGGGAAGCCTTTTCTTATGGCACTATGGTGTGTGGAGCTGCAATGGGAGATGGAAGAAGACTATCTTTTCCTCAATTTCCTTGCATATTCATAAAACAAATAGAAAAAAAGAAACAACCCACAGCTAGAATATAATTGGCTGCTGGAACTTTCTCCAATGTGGTTGATTCTGATTCATCCTTAGGAACTGAAAGGAGCAACCATCTCCACAGTTTCAGGGTTTTCATTGACAAACTGTATGATCCCGTTTCCTCCTTCCTTCACTTTCACTTTCCTTTTGTTCATTCTTCCCTCTCTCTCTTCCTCCCTTCTTCTCTCCTTCCTATGTATGTACATACTATGTTTCTCACTTTCTAAAGGATTTGGGAGAGTAAACAAGAGGAACAAATGCTGGGAAACAATATCCTCAGACCCATGGCCATTGAGAGCACAAGCTAACCATAAAGACCCATATGGTTTATTATTATTAACATCTAACAGTTCTCCCATGACTATCTTTGGAATAAAGATCAATGAAAGGAAATACAACTTACATATTTTTTATTGTCAAAAAGGAGGAAACAAATGACTTCCTCATGTATGTGTATTCCACAGGAGTGCATCAGGGAGATAAGTAGAATGGGTTTGAGTGAGGATTTAGAGCTCTCACATCTTGCTTTCTTTAAATGAAATTATATATATATATAATATATATAGTATAGAAGATATCACAAACATTAATGTACCCACTCACTTCCGAGCTTTAATAAAGTTGAATTTTTTCACATTTCTTAGAAAAATTATAAAGACAATATTTTAGATACAAGTGAAAATTCCTGCATATCCCCTTTGACTTTCATTCCCTTCCTCCTCCCCAAAAGTAGTTATGAGAGTAGGATTTATTGTTTCCATACCCATTTATCCATGCTCCTACTGATAGACATTTAGACTGTTGCCGAATTTTTGCCACAACAATGTGCATTGTTATACATGTTTCCTTGTGTAAGTTTGAAAGATTCTCCCTAGAGCAGAAGCATTCAAATTTCTAAAAATACATTTTACATTATAACTCAATATACATACACAAGCACTTAAAAATATGTACCCTTCTTTCTTAGGTCAGGTTCCCTAGCAGCAAAGCCTGAGACAGACTTTCTTGTGCTAGGGAAAACCTGTAAGGAAGAAAGAGGAGCAGGACAGAATAGAGGAAAGAGCTAAGCAAAGATGTGGTTTCCTCTGAGGTCTTGCCTCAGCTTGATCCCTCAGGAAATTGTGGAGGAGGGGGCCCCTGACTTTCATACCTCTTATTTGTAGTCATTGGCTGCTTGGTGGGGTCAAGAGAAGAGTGCAAGCTCCCAGACATTTCTAGTTGAAGTAGCTCCCATCAGCCAAGGGCAAGCTGTGGAAATGAGGGCAGCTGTGAGCAGTTAGCAGCTAATACAGCAGTTAGGGGTGAATCCATTAGCCCCACGAAAATGATCTGGGCAGGGCCCCAACAGCATGGACTACACCTTCCAACTGGTGATGCATTCTGGTATTTTTTCCTCTTCCCTCCCTCCATCCCTCCCTCCCTCTTCTTCTCTGCCTTTTCCTCCCCTCCCCTCTTCTCTTCTCCCTTTCCCCCTAAATTGATTGCATTATCTGTTAACCTGCAGTTTTAAAAACACTATTCTAGGATTTACCTTGAAGGCAACTTGCTAGACTATGAACTTCTACAATAGCAGATATAACCAAATGGCTCCTAAAGCAGTTTAATCAATCTATTTTTTCTGCCAGTATTGTATGAGAGCTCTGGTTTTATGACTTCCATGTCAATACTTGTCAGTGTTTTCAGGCTTTAATTTTTGCCAAACTTATGGTTATGATTGGATGTGTTATTACTGTTGTAAATTGAATTTCTCTGATAGTATTCAAATTGGGCAACTCATCGTGTTTGTGGCTCAGTGAGATTTCCTTTTCGCAACTAGATAAGAAATCCTTATCTAGCTTGAAGACATAAAGACATTCTACCTTATTTTCTTCTAAACATTTTAAATTCTTATTTGTCATATTTAGAGCTTTATTCATCTCTGAGGTTTTCTTGGTATAGAAAAGGTATTGTTTGGCTCTGTGTCCCCACCCAAATCTCATCTTGAATTGTAATCCCCATGTGTCAAGGGAGGGACCTGGTTGGAGGTGATTGGATCATGAGGGCAGTTTCCTCATGCTGTTTTTGTTATAGTGAGTGAGTTCTCATGAGATCTGATGGTTTAAAGTGTTTGTCAGTTCATTCCTCACTCTCTCACTTTTTCTCTCCTGTTTCCACGTGAAGAAGGTACTTGCTTCCCTTTCGCCTTCCACCATGATTGTAAGTTTCCTGAGGCCTCCTCAGCCATGCAGAACTGTAAATCCGTTAAGCTTCTTTTCTTTATAAATTACTGTCTCAGGTAGCTCTTTATAGCAGTGTGAAAACAGACTAATACAGGTACATAATTTTGTTTTGTTTTCCACCTAAATAACCAATTATTCTAGCACCATTTATTAAATAATCATCTGTCTTATCCTTACCAATTTGTAAGCCACATCCACTATATATCCATTTTTCCCATGTACACTGGCCTGTTTTTAGGTCTTTCTATCCTAGTCCATTGATGTATTTGTCTATTCACCTGCACCAATAGCTTACTCTTTTATTGCTAAGCTTTATGATAAATTATATTTGATAGCACCAAACTATTCATTTTGTTCTTCAAGATCTTCTTCTCAGTTTTCTTCCACAAACATTTTAGGATCAGCTTTTTAAATTACATGGAAATTTCAGTTGGGATTTTTCTGTTGTTGTTGCTGTGTTGACCAGGATGGTCTTGAACTACTGGCCTCAATTGATCCTCCCACCTTGGCCTCCCAAAGTGTTGAGATTAGAGGTGTGAGCCCGGCTTTTATTGAAAATGAATTTATATATCAATTTGAAAAGATGATATCTTTATGATATTGGATCTTTCCATCAATGAATGTGGTATTTATGTTCATTTATTAAGGTGTTTTTCTATGTACTTCAATGCTGTTTTAAAGCTTCTTCCATAAAGTTATAGTATATCTTTTCTTAGATTTACCCCAGGTGTCTTTTACATTTTATTGATGTTTAGAGTGGCATCTTTTTTTGTCTATTACATTTCCATGTGGTTATTGCTAATCCACAATCAGTAGGAACACTACTGATTTTTGTATAAACCTTAAACTTTCTTTTTGATTTTAACTTTGTATAGACTCTTTTTTATTTCCTAGATAATCATATCATCTACAAATAAGTAGAGGTTTGCTTGTGCCTTTCCAAGTTTAATGCTGCTTTTTTTTCTTCTTATTTAATAAGTTAGGACTTCATTACCGTATTAAAGCGAAGCTGTCACAGCAGGTGAAATGCTTTATTAAGATAATGCTTGCTGTAGTTTTACGGTGTTAAGGAAGTTCCCTTATCATTTATAATTCTAGTTGGCAGCGATTTTTTAAAAATCTTGACAAATATCACATTTCATCATTTTTTGCATCTACTAAAATAATTATATACTAATCTCCTTTAATCTGTACTTAAGGGGTATGGCATAGATTTTCTTCTATTGAACTATTCTTATATTCCTGAGATAAACCTCGTTTGGTTTTTACACTCTGCCAGATCATTTGCTAGTACTTTATTTAAGATTTTGCGTCTGTTTGTAAATATATCCTTTTCTTTTAACAGTTTGTCTAGTTTTGAATCAATGTGATACAAACATTGATATAAAATTAGTTGGATATTTGCCTTGTCTTTTATTCTCTAAAACAGAAATTACCAGATGGGATACCAAAACAAAATCTAGTTTTAATTGCCTACAAAACACTGTCAATACTAAACTTTGCTTTTTATTAGGTAAGCTTAAATACTTACGTTGATTGTTTTCTGCTGTATTTGAGTTTATTTCTATCCTTTCATTTTAGGTTTTCTATTGGTCTTCTTTTTTCTTGCTTATTTTTTTTTGACTCCCTTTCTTCTGGTACACCAATACAGTTTCTACATTCTTTTCTCCTTCCTCCTGTTTCATAAGCTAGATTATTTTCCCATTATTTTAGTTGTCACTCTTACATGTTTAACAAAATATTTAACCATACATTTTCTACCATTATTTCGTTATTTAATATTTATATTTTCTTGCCAGATATAACAAGATCTTAGCCTACTTTTACTACCAATGAGCAATGCCCCCACTCCCAGCTTTTTGTTTAGAGCTTTTGTTGTATCTTCAAAAATTCAAAATACTTAATTATTTTTATTTATTTTCTGTTCTCACTGTTTCATTTCTTTTTTCTGGGTTCACTTTTCTTCTAATTGAGGTAAATCTTAATAATTTCCTTCCTGAGTGTCTGTGGGCAATAAATACTCAAAGTCTTTGCTGGGTAGAAAATACCTTTATTTTGTCAATACAGTTGAAAGACTGGACATGAAATTGCAGGTTGACAGTTACTTCCTGTCAGCACTGAAGATATTATTCTGTTATTTTTGGCACTGACTGTAGTTAAGGAAAAGTCTGCTCTCTGAGAGCTTTAAACATCTTCCATTTTCTTTGATGTTCTGCCGGTTTGTTACAGTGTATCTAGTTGTGGATTTATTTTTATATATTTTGTTCAAGACTTGAGGATGCACTTCCGATCTGAGAACTTACATTTTTTCAATTTTAGATAACTACCATTTAGTATGGTTTTAAATCTTTCTTTTCTCCTTCCCTTTTCACCATTAACTTATTATGTCATACCTTCTCCTCTTAACATCTGACAACTCCTCTGTCCTCATCATTCAAAACAAGTCTTGTTTGTTTGTTTTATTTTTTCACCTAAATTAGTTTCTTTCATGGTAACTTTCTTTTCTTTTTCTCAAATTCAACTTACCAACATTTCTGTTGGTTCTAACTTAAAAATAAGCCCAGAAAATGGCCACTTCTCATCACTCTTACTGCTATCACTGTATCCTAAGCCACGATTAGCTTTCTGCTTCTACACTTGTCTCCCACAGTCTATTATTAGTGTTTACAATTTCAAATTGCACCCCCCACCCTGACACTCCATGTCACTCTTATCTTCTCCATGGCACTTATCGCAATTAGCATGATATCTTTAAAAAATGTTTTCTTCTTCTTCTGATTCTGCTTCTGATTATGTTCACTGTCTCTCTTCCTCACCACTCTATAAGCTCTGGTGATAAGGATAAGAATGCTTAGAAGAATCAGAATTTTTTGCCTATTTTGTAAACTCTGTAGGTTAAGCACCTAGAACAGTGTCACACATAGAAAGAATTCAGCACATTTTTGTAAAGGAATACATATGTTTTAAGAAAGAAGAATAAATTTTGCTTAGGTTAATTGAGTATTGGTCATTTCCTTTAGAGGTGAAAGTTCTTTAGACTTGATATTTTTCGTTTAGGTAGGTGAGGGTTGGGGAACTCTGAAAAATGATGAGAAATATATCTCAAAGAAGAACTGTAGAGAATCAGCACTCCATCCTGGATCTTAGCATTCACGTGCTTTTAAAAGTAAGGCCATCGTGACAGCGTTCTAAGTTAGGAGATGAGACATGCAGAAGAAAAAGAAATAGGAAACTCTGCAACCAACTGCCCAAGTGAAAGCTAAATAAACAAACAAACCAACCAACTGCCTTTCTGGGTTTATGATAGAGGTGCTGGAAATCACAGGAGACTTCCCTGGGACATGTGTTGTGTAACAAATCCTGACAAATACATGGATCATCAAAGAGATTTCTATTTTATATACTGAGAAGCTTTCTGATCCAGGAAGTGGTCAGGCCATCTGGGATCTCCTGCTTACCCATATGGAGCTCTGATTGAATATGTGAGAATAAGAGGAAAGCTCAATTTTAGTGAACATGAGCTGTTTGGAGTCAGCACGGGGGTGCATCCGAGGTGGTGATGAAACAAAGGTATTACTTTTCCACCAAGCCCTTTTAATGAGGGCCGAAAGTAGTCAGAGTCTGGGAAGATAGAATGACAAAGAAGGAAAGAATGACTTCCATTTCTCTATGTGACAATGTTATAGGTTGCAGTCATTGACCTAAACAACCAGACATTTCCTTGGGATGGGAAATCAGTGAGAAATACTTGGAAGCCATCATGTTATGAGGAGAAAAAAAAAATTAACTATAGGAATCAGCATGTAAAAGGAATTATTCTTTAGTAAATAATACTGAACTATTTCTTCAGTAAAAGGAATAATAAATTACACTTATATAGCATGTTACACTTTCTCAAAGCATAGAAGCCACCTCATTAGATATTTTCAACCCTGTATGGTAGGTAGGATAGACTCTCCAAAGCTCGAATTGTGTATAGTATAGTGCTGGATATATGAAGAGCACTTAATCACTCTTAATATGAATACTAATTTTACAGTTGAGATGGAAAGAAATTATGAAATTGTTTATTGACAAACAAATATCACAAGGCTAATTGTGGTACAGCTGGACCCAAGAGCAAGTCTAGTAAATTTTCAGTCTTGGACTCTCAATATTTCTTCATATGCCCTGCCAAATGTGCTACCGTCCAAAGGCCACACAGATGCAGAACAGGAAATACAAGTGTTCTGAGTTAATTATCCTGTGCCAACGGTCATTGATCTTCCTGAGGAAGAGCTACTGTTGATTCACCTAAAGTTTAATAATCTACCAACGAAGGCACTATTAAGAATAGCTTAACATAAGCGCAACCTGCCAGTTAGGAGAAACTTGGCACAGAATGGGTCCATTCAACCGAGGACATTTTATTATAATCTCCAAGATTGGCTTAGTCTTGAGGAAGCAATACCAAAGTGGCTGTAGAAGTACAATTCAGCCCTAGGTGATTTACTCAGAAGGTCTCACTCTTTGCTTTCTTCTAAAGTCAGTGTCCAACTCCAGCACTGGCATTGGGAACAGATCTCTGTGCTGCAGACTTCCAGTGCACTTCCCACATCTCAATGGAAGCCTGTGTTATACTGTCAGCATCTGCCTGCTGGTAGGAGTGAGTCCTCCCTCAGCTCATCTCACTAGCAAGTATACACAGCCTTCTCCACAGCCTCTGCCACATGTGTTAACAGTGTCTCTCTCTGAAACCATCCACTAATGGGAAGACTGAGGGCCACCCAACTCCATTGAGTAACTCAAAAATAGGGGATTGTACATTTACTTCCTTTCCTATTTCTCTCACCCTCACATACAATGACAGAGATCATATATTTCCCTAATTCTTGTCCTTTCTCAATCCTCTGACTCTCTGATTTTGTTAAAGTGAATTAAGCCCTCAGCACTTCATCAATAGGATTGCTGCATACACAAAATCATTCTGCTTGGGTTCCCAATGACTCTGAGCCTCTAATGAGGCTGCATTCCTCGCAGACACCTGGATTGCAGCCTGATGAGACTCGGTAGTGGAGAATCCAGCTAAGCTTGGCCTGGTCTTCTGACCTATAGAAACTGAGATAAGAAATACATGTGTGATTGAAGCTGCTAAATTTGTGGTGATTTGTTACATAGCAGAGAAAACTAACATAACTAGGCATTAAAAGATATGGGCACCCTTCTTTGGCTCAGTCCTGTATGAACTTGAATAAATGACTACCATATTCAACATCAGAACTAGAACTTCACAGGACATTAGCACTCCAAGGAACAATCTTACAACAATTACCCTGTTATAAATTTCTCATTCATAAAATTCAAGTTTAGAAACCCCTCACTTAAGAACATTCTAGATATAGAGTAGAGACTCTTCCAGGGTGGGTTTTAGTGCTCCCAACACAAGGACACACATTCCGACACAAGCAGACACACGTGTGTGTGGGTTGTGGTGGTGGTGAAAGTGTTTTATGGAGCCAGACTGGTTGGATGGAGCACTAGAAATCCAAAGGATTGTAGGCTAGAACAGAAAAGTCTAATTATAGACCAGTAACATAGCAAGGGTTCTTTTACAGAGGTCAAATCAAAGACCCAAATGACTGGATAGACAAATGTGAGGGACAGAACCCATGAATATTTTGATGTAACAACCAACAGGAGCAAATAAGTGGATGAATCTCGAGATCTAAGTTCTGATGATGGTAGCCTGCAGTGCCTTCCTAGTTCAGAATGAATTTCCTCTTTTATACCTTTTGGAAGCTCAAGGCTCAACATATGTGTATGTCTTTACCTTTCTGCAGGCACTCCTCTGTGGAAGCTAAGAAAATGGTTACCCCAATCCACAGATCATACCCAAAGAAGGCAAATAACTTGCTTAAAGCCAGAAATGAAGCTGGGGTTTCTAATGACTAGTTGACTGTTTTCTTTGAGTTCATTGGAAAACGCATATAACTGGTTTAATGAAATGCTTGGAGGATGCAAAAGTGAAAGATGTTGAAAGCTCCAGTGAAGATAGAAAAGCAATACAAAAGCAAACTGGGATCAGGAATATAGGCAGAAGATAGCCAGATGTGACTCAAATTGAAGTAAAGGAAGCCAAAACACATGGGTACAATAATTTGAAACAGATATTCTCCAGGAAAAAGCAATCTGGAAAGCAGTAGTATAGTGAGAGACTTGGGTAGCGCTGTTACAACAAATGGAGTCTCTAGTGCAGTTTCAGGCTTTAACCAACCTCTTTGTTTACCCCCCGATGTGTTCAAATTTTATCATGGCCTGTGTGTGCCATAAAATAAGAAAGGTTGGGACCCCCAAGCTTTTTTTAGGAAGACTAACCTGCTCCCAGCACCAGCTTGTTCTTCATTATTCCTCCTGTCAATTAAAAAAACTTACAATAAAGTGCTGCATACATGCAGAGAAGAGCACAAATGATAGGTTTCCAGACTGATCAATTATACAAAGGGAACACATCAGTGTAGCCAGTACCTGCATTAAGATGATGAACATCACCTGGACACCAGAAGTGCCACTACCCTCCTTGTAACCTCTTTCTGATCACTACTCATCCCCTGCAAAGGTAACTGCTAAGCTGAATCCTAACAGCATAGATCAGTTTTGCCTGGTTTTAAATTTTATATATATGGAATCATACAGTTGGCAATTTCTATGTCTGGCTTCTTTTACCCCACATTATATTTATGAGTATGACATATGTTGAGTGTAGGTACAGATTTTTCATTCTTATTGTTGTACGGTATTCCACTGTGTGACTATACCACAATCCATTTATTCATTCTATTGGTGATGGGCATTGCATTGTTTCTGTTTGGGGGTATCATGAACATTTTTCTTCTTGACTTTTGGTGAGCAAATGTATACATTTGATTCAGTTCTAACCAGCTTTTAAGAGTCTTTTGGGACAAACCTTCTCCAAATTCCCCTTATATGCCTGAACCCTCCATAAGTTTAAGACACATTTAATTATATTTTTTCTCTCTCTGCCTTGGGAAAAAGATGGAAACAACCAATCGTGACTATTAACTATTAATCTCAACTAAGGCACACTGAAATATTTGTATACTTTTCCCAGAAATATTTTTTACAACAAATGAGACATGTAATGCTTAAAAACATTCATTGAGAAGCATTTGTTCAAAAATTGAGATAGCTTTCTGTTCATTGATACTAACAAAGAACAGAGTGATAGTATCTGTCCATTTAACCTACCAAAAATGAGACACTGGATATCATCACTGCCCCAGGAGTGATAATAAAAGAGGGTCAGAACCCATGATTGAGACCAGAATTGTCTTTTGAAAGCCCCCAGATCACCTATCATACTCCTTTTTATTTTGACACTTTAACAGAAACATCTAACAATTATCTCCTCTCTGATAAAGACAGTAAGAGCTTTATTACCTAATGGGGTCCTAGATTTGTATAACACAAGTATCTTAAATATGCCTATTTCCTAGCTCCCTCCAACCATTTTCTGCTTTAGAAGAAATTCATTTTCCAAGGGAGAATATGTATGTCCTCTCACTGTCATTTGGAAGAGGAGACAGAGAAATAAACCAAAATTAAGTTTAATCTCTGACAGGTCATCCTTTTCATCTACTGCTGGTATTTCTCTAATGCAGCACACATTTTCCTGAGGCAAACGGGATACAACGTGGTGCATTATTTAGGAAACGTATTTTGCATTAGACTGACAGCCCAAGGCACCGTTGATATCAGGAGCTAATATTGCAAGGGAAATAGAGAAGGAGAAAAAAACCCTCTTATTTGGTTTGAATGGCTTTATGATTTATCACAAAATAGTAGATCTATTAATTAATGGGTTTCCCCTGCTGTAAGTAACAGAAGGAGACCCAGGCTGATTTGAACAACAGTAAAAGGATTCATTGAGAGGCTATTGGGAACATCACAGACTTGAATTAATGGCTGTACAGTAAGACCTCAGGATTGGGAACTAGCATGAGACGCTTGCATGCTTTCTCTCTGGGTGGTGGACTCACTTATTTTCACTTAGTGCTCACTCCTTGGACCAAACATAGTGGCTGGAGCCAGGAGTAATCTCACAGGCCCAGCCTGCATCATGGGTTCTCTACCTCAGGGGTGGATCTGTTACCAAAAAGGGTCAGAGGAGGTGCTGGCAGACAAAAGCCATGGCCTTGTACTACAAGGGTGACAGCTGAAGTCATCAGCTTACTGATAGAAATAGTACAAGAAAAAAGGAAAAGTGGTCTGGCAAAGGCGATAACATTGGTAAGTGTATATAAGAAGTCCTGGGCTAGTGACAGTGCTGGAAGACACAGGAAAAGGCTTTACTTGAGCACATACCATAATCAAATGCTACATTTGTTCAGGGTATTTGTTTGCTATAGCTAGACTTTTTTTTTCTATTAAAAATTATTAAACTTTTTTTTCAGGAAGGTAACTTTGTTCTTGTGAGTCTTCTCATTCTACCCATTGAAAGAATTGTTTTATAACATAGTTCTCGATAATATGAGGTTTCTTAGTGCTATGGTCTGAATGTTTTTGTCCCCCACAAAATTCATACGTTGAAATTCTAACCTCCAGGGTGATGGTATTTGAATGTGAGACCTTTGGCGTGTGATTCGGTGAGGCAGACAGAGCTTTCATGATTGGGAGTAGAGTCCTTATAAAAGAGACCCAAGAGAGCTAGCTATCCCCTTCCACCATGTGAGGACACAGTGAGAAGGCACCATCTATGAACCAGGCAACTGACTCTCACCAGACACTACATCTGCCAACGCCTTGATCTTGGACTTCCCAGCCTTGAGAACTGTGAAAAATAAATTTTTGTTGTTTATAGGCCATCTAGTCTATGGTATTTTGTTATAGCAGCCTGAATGAATGTACAGATATATGCATTAGGTAGAATTAGATGTACAGGGATATTTGCATTAGATAGGATTTTTGTATCTATATAAATAAGTGAGACTGTACGGTAATTTTTCTATGTTATATTATACTATGGTTACTCCCAGTGTTCTCATTGCTTCAATCAGTTGTTTATTGAGTTACATTTATGTGAGAAGCTTTATGTGAATGTCAGTTCTAGGAATATGAGGATGCTTATGGTGAACACAGTCCCTGTACTTGTAGTGCTTGGAATTTAGTAGGGAAGACAAATGATAACAGCAGAATGTAACAAACTTATTATCATTTTATTGTGATAAGAATACTTAACATGAGATTTACCCTTTTAACAATTTTTTTTTTTATTTTTTATTTTTTTGAGACAGAGTCTCACTCTGTCACCCAGGCTGGAGTGCAGTGGCATGATCTCGGCTCACTGCAAGCTGTGCCTCCTGGGTCCACGCCATTCTCCTGCCTCAGCCTCCCGAGTAGCTGGGACTACAGGGGCCCACCACAATGCCCAGCTAATTTTTTTTGTATTGTTTAGCAGAGATGGGGTTTCACTGTGTTAGCCAGGATGGTCTTATCTACTGACCTTGTGATCCGCCTGCCTTGGCCTCCCAAAGTGCTGGGACTACAGGTGTGAGCCACTGTGTCTGGCCAACAAATTTTAAGTGCACAAAACATTGTTGACTATAGGTGCAATATAGTACAGCAGATCTTCACAGCTTATTCATTTTGCTAGACTGAAACTTTATGCCTACTGAGTAGTAGCTCCCCACCTTCCTATCGCCTCACGATGCCACTCTTTGATTCTGTGAATTTGACTATGTTCATTGAAGCACTATTCATAGTAGTCAAGGTGTGGAAACACCTTAAATGTTCATTGACAGATAAATTAATAAATTGTGGTATATACCTACAAGGAAATATTTTTAACTCTTAAAAAAGAAAATTCTGCCACTCACGACAATATGGATGGACATTGAAGACATTATGACAAGCGAAATAAGTCAGTCACAGAAAAACAAATACTGCATGATGCCGCTTACATGGGCATGTAATAAGGGAAACACAGGGTGAAATGGAGATACAATGATATAGATCATAATACCTATCTTACAATGTTGTATGTCAGGGATAATAGATAAAGCACCTAGTATAAAGCAGAACACATAGTAGGCACTACAAATATTATTACCATTTTTGGCAACTTTTCCCAATTATTTTCTAGTTATTAGTTTACATAAGTTTTTAAGTTCCTGAGCAAATTGTGGTAATATCTATTTTTTTGAGAATATTGTTCACTTTATTATTATATTAACACAAAATTGTACAGAGTATTATTCAATTTAAAAAGCTCCATGGCTGTGGTTATCTATATCTTCTCTTCCAAATATTTATTTTCTTTTTCAGATTAAGCAGAGAAGGTTGGTAAATTGTAATAACTTTCAAAAGTATTATTTTATGTGTGAATATACATTTTTATTGATTTTACCTTTTAGGCTTGTAAATCTTTTATGTTATCCTCATTAATCCCTTGTATCAGTTTTTCTTAAAAATTTTTGTTTCTTTTCTGGCTTCTTAAACTTAATGTTTATTATATTTTGTTTTTCTTGCTTAATAATGAAAACATTTAAGAATATAAATTTTTGTCTGATGTAATTTGACTTCATCCTATAGGTTGTGATAGTTATTTGCTTTCTAAATAATGTATAAATCCAGTTTTTACTTTTTCTTTAAATGAAAAGTTGCTTAAAGGAGTGTTTTAAAACTTCCAAATGGGTGGAATTTATTTTCTTTTGACTTTATTTTCAGTTCTGGGATACAAGTACAGGATGTAAGGGTTTGCTACATAGGTAAATGTGTGCCATGGTGATTTGCTGCACTTATCAACCCATCACCTACATATTAAGCCCAGTATGCATTAGCTATTTTTCCTGATGCTCTCCCTCCCCACCCACACACACCCTCCGTCAGGCCTCAGCATGTGTTGTTCCCGTCCCTGTGTCTATGTGTTCACATTTTCAACTCCCACTTATAAGTGAGAACATGTTGTATTTGGTTTTCTGTTCCTGCATTGAATTGCTGAGGATATTAATTTTTTAAACGGTGTGGTCAATGAGATTGATAAAATTTCTGTTTTTTGAAAACATTTGTATTTCAGTATACATATATATTTTTATAAATATGTATATTTACACATATTTTATATACATACTTGTTTTGTTATTGTTTCATGGGAACCAAAAATATTATACATAGGCTACAATGTTTCAGAGATACATCTATAGATAGTTAGTAAATCACTCATACTTATTGTTATCTTTCAGCTCTCTTATTTCCTTATTTATCCCTGGCGTTATTGATCTTTCTAAAACAGAGAGGGTTCTGGTTTATTTACCAATTCTATAATATATATACATAGTATAGATGGACATATGCCTCCCGAGTAGCTGGGATTACAGGTGAGTGCCACCACGCCCTGCTAATTTTTGTATTTTTAGTAGAGATGGGGTTTTACCATGTTGGCCAGGCTGGTCTCAAACTCCTGACCTCAAGTGATCTGTCCGCTTTGGCTTCCCAAAGTGCTGGGATTACAGGCACAAGCCATCATGCCTGGCCCCAATCCTATTTTATTTCTGTCACTTTCATCTCGGATTTTAAATTTTTTTTTCCTTTGTATATTTGGAAGCAGGTAGTTTTTGGTATATAAAATTTCTTAACTCACATCTTTGTTATAAATTGAACCACTTATTGTGAAATTATACTTTTTGTCTTGTGCCTATTGTCTTGAATTTTCCTTTTTACTGATATTAATATTTTGATATCTATTTTGGGAAGATGCATTTAATATTTTTGTGTCTTTTTATCACTTGTCATAGACAATCACTGAATGTTTAAAATTTATTTTGAATTCTTTTGTAATAGGGAAGTTCAACCCATTTATTGATATTTGATTTTATTTCTGATATATTAATTATTTTCTTTAGGTTTCCTTGTTATTTCCAGTCCCTCCCCCACACATATAAACTATAATTTATTGGCTTTTATCTTCTATAGTGCTCTAGAAAGTTCATTTTCTATCTTAATTTTATTTCTTTTTAAGTAAAAAATTGTTCTTTGACCAATACCTCTTTAATTATTAAAGTAAAAAACAAACACAAACACAAATATTTTGAGACTCCTTATTTAAGACATATAGTTTAATAGCCTTATAATTTTTTATGTTCCCTTTCCTCGTTAACAATTTTTGAAAATATAAATTGGGGGTTTAGTTCTAGATTCTTGTTATTGTTGCTAAAATTATTATTTTACACCTTATTTCTAATCTTTTAAGAATAATGTTTGACAGTTTTTGTTTTTGCAACCATATTTAGTACAATTACTATAGATTTACATACATGTCTAGCTGATTTCAATACTCCAAGTCTCTAAGTTTTGCAATTAACATGTATTATTATTGTTATTATTCTTTTTTGAGATGGAGTCTCGCTCTTCTTGCCCAGGCTGGAGTGCAATGGTGTGATCTCAGCTCACGGCAACCTCTGCCTCCTGGGTTCAAGCAATTCTCCTGCCTCAGCCGCCCTAGTAGCTGGGATTACAGGCATGTGCCACCATACCCAGCTAATTTTGTATTTTTAGTAGAGATGGCTTTTCTTCATGTTGATCAGGCTGGTCTTGAACTCCTGACCTCAGGTGATTCACCTGCCTTGGCCTCTCAAAGTGCTAGGATTACAGGTGTGAGCCACCGCGCCCGGCCAGCATGTATTATTTTTATAATTACAAAAACAAACAGATATTTTCCAGAAGATAGGAAAGACTAGTGCTAACACCAATCAGGATAGCAAATGCTTATTCAAACTTTGTCTCTTTTTTTTTTGCCATTAGCTCCAGCAGCTGTTTATCTGATATATGTTTAATGGCAATAATAAAAAGATCTTTTTTCCTCTTCTTTCTAATGCCAAAGGCAGTCTTGTCCTTCTAAAACCTAAAGTTCTGCCTATTCCGGAACACAGTCTAGATCCAAAAGGTTTATATTGACTGTTCAGACTAAGGTAGACCTGAAGCGGGCAGCAACAGCAGTGGGATTGTGATGATAATCACATGTCAAATTTCTCTTCCTCTCCCCTCTCCTTGCTTACAAGCCCCATCCCTTGGCACCGTTCACGTGCACAAGAACCTTCTGTGGCCGGGCGCGGTGGCTCACACCTGTAATCCCAGCACTATGGGAGGCTGAGGCCAGTGGATCATGAGGTCAGGAGATCCAGACCATCCTGGCTAATACGGTGAAACCCCGTCTCTACTAAAAATACAGAAAAAAAAAAAAAAAAAAAAAAAAAAAAAAAAAAAAAAGCCGGGCGTTGTGGCGGGCGCCTGTAGTCCCAGCTACTCGGGAGGCTGAGGCAGGAGAATGGCGTGAACCCGGGAGGCGGAGCTTGCAGTGAGCCGAGATCGCGCCACTACACTCCAGCCTGGGCGACAGAGCGAGATCTGTCTCAAAAAAAAACAAAAACAAAACCTTCTGCCTTCTGCATGATGATTTTGTCCATCTTTTCTTCTCCCTTTAAATGCTATTTAGCCAAATGTTTGTCTTTTGTCACTGCTTTCTACCACCTGACACATTTTATTTTATTATTTAAGAGCCATTTGCTTACTGTCAGAAATTACTTTTCTAGTTACCAGCACTTGCTTTAAATGTATGTGATGTTAGTTTAAGCTGTAACTCTGGGAGGCCACCTGCTTCTCTGCCATCCTGCCAGGTGCTGGGTCTGGGTGTGTAGGTGCGGGTGTTAAACCTGTCCCCCAAAGAAAACCACAGCAGGTCTTTTATCCCTTTTAAAGCCCACCACAGTGGGCTTGTTCATCCTGTGTGAATGTAAACTTCAGAGAACTTGGTTCGTGGAATTCAGGAAGAAATAACACTTGCTAGAAACCCCTGACAATGAACTCTTCACAAGACCCCTTCAATTAAGCTGTCTGCAGGTTTTAAAAAGTGTTTCAAGGTTCTAACTACTTTCTTTCACTTGAGGTATTGAGAGATACCTATGAAAGGCCTTATGATCAAGGTCAAGAAGGATGGTGTTATTCTAGTTATTTCATATTTCAGGCGTACTTAAACCAAATGTATACTTTTGAAAGTCTTTCTTATTTTTTACCAAGCACAATCTTGATGTGGTTTCTATTGATTCCTGTTCCACTGTGGATTAGGTAAGAAAGAGCCACTTTTCTTTCATGGACACATTTGACTTTGAGGGGGTTTGTGGTCGGAAAAATATCAAAGTCTGTGATTACTTCATGCTTTACCCAGTCTTAGGGTGAGTGTGGCTGGCGTTTGGTTTCAAGGCGTTGCTGGATGTTAAATGAGGACTTGTGAAAGCTCTCAGGTCTGAATGGGGATTCAAGAGCCCCCAGTCTGGGGGTGTTGGTGAGTGACAGGATGAGAGAACTGCTATTCTCAAAACTGCAGTGTCTGTTCAGAGTAGTAAAGGAAGCAGTTGGCAAATTCGGGGAAGAGAGCTTGTTTAGCACTGTGTTTCAGATTTTAATAGAGAGGGGTTTCTTAGAATATTTTTACAGGACACAGAGGTTATGAGCAATAAGGAAGGGAAATAAAAAACCAAGTAGTTTTCTTGCATGGCTGTTTGGCTAGAATTTCATAAAATGAATGTTATCTGCAAGAAGACTAAAAACAGGGTGATTCATTACAGAAACTGTGTCCTTAACATGCTAATCAAGTAGTTACATATGGGAATAAAACAGTCAGTTAAGCTGGTCTTGAAGCCTGACTGATTTGAGACCTGGAAATGCTCTTGGCTGATTGACTGGTGTGAGCAATCATAATAGTAATAGGTAACATTTAATGAATGCTTTGCTAAGCCTTGAGTTACATCATCACATTTAATGCTCACAGCAGTCTATGAAACAGATACTACTTATGTCTCCATTTTACAGAGAGGGCATATGAGTGACAAGGTAAATAAGTTAACTGGGATCACAGAGCTAGTAAGCAGTTGAGCCGTAGTTTGAACTGAGGCACTGCACCTTAGTTACTCAACTAGATCCACGTTGCTGACTGGCCAGATCCACTTCCTTGCTCCCCATGTCCAACAAACCAGCTGAAGAAATCTACAGAGCTTTGTTAATATTCCTCCTGTTTCTGGAGGCAGCCATTAAGGAGGAGTAGGTCCCAGCTCCAGAACGGGTTTTCCCGTAACACGGTCATGACTCTCTTGAGTTATGTTTCAGCTTCTGGGCAGTAGCCTAGATGGGGGTCTATCTACTCGTTCTGGAAACAACCATAGCTGGGCTATTTTTTCCTTTATTTATGGGTCATGAGCACTGCCAGCAAATTTCTCTGAGGGGTGCATTTAAATATGCCACATTTGTATTACTGTATGTGTATGCTGGGTGAAACATTTATGATAAATCAAGGTTTTAGGTGCCCTATGGGAAAAGCACTGATGGAGAAATACATCTGAAGAAAACTTTTCTCTTAGCAGTAGTTACTTGAGGAAACAGTCTCCATTTATCTTTAGAGGCTTATGTGCAATGAATACAGACCACCCGGAATCATGGTTCTGCATATCAGAAGAGGAAAATGAAGCACTTAAGCTTAGCTCTGGGCTGCTTCAGCCTTCGCCGTGCTATGCGAGCCCCTCTCCCATTCCTCTAGCCCTTGCTCTCTCCAGTTTTCAAGCCTGGTAAAGCTGGCAAATGCCTGCTTTCCTGTGAAGACTTCTACCCCAGCCACGTTAACCTGCTTGGAATGCTCGTCTCAGCATTTTCCCTGTGGTTAACACCCACATGTGCCTACCCACCTGCACACATTTCCTAAGGGGTACCATTTCTGATCCCTTTTCCTTCCCTGATAATGATGTATCACTATTTTTCCTTCCCAATCTTGCTGACCATTTACACTTACATACTTACTTGTGTGATATTTGTTTAATGCCTGTCTCCTTTACAAGTCTTTAAGTCCATTGAAGGCAGAGGTTCTGTTTGTGTCTTGAATAAGTGTCTTGCTAGACATAGGTGTTCTAAATATTGAAGGAATGTGCTTCTCCTCTTTAATTATTAAAGTAAAAAATAAACACAAACTCTGTAGAAACTTGTGCATGTAGCTTGTTTATTATTTTCTGCCATTTATAGATCCCCCTCTCCCCCACTGGACCATAAGCTCACTGACATAAATATTTGTTATCCCCAGTGCCCATTGTAGTGGCTAACACATGTAAGTGTTCAATGAAAGTGAATGAAGTTGAATGGCCCTGGGTGACTTATACCTCAGATTTAACATCATGGATATAAAGCATTTCAGTTCAGTCTAACATTTAAAGCACCCATTAAGTGTCAGACTCTATGCATAGTACTAAGGATACAAAAAGGTGTGAGACAGTCTAGAAAGGAAGACAGATATAGAAAGATAATTATAGACAAATTGTTGCAGTGCAATGAAAAAGATATGGATAGAGTATTACAGGAGACAGTGAATAGAGTTGCCTCATTTCTTAGCCTAATTTTAATCTTAAAGGTTCAGAATTAGACCTGTATAGAGTGTGTGAGTGAATGAACTCTGAGTACTAAGGACAAAGATCAAGAGTGTGATTTAGTAGCAGTCTGATGCTGCTGAATCATGAGGCATGAGGCAAGGAGTAGTGGTCGTGAGGCTACAGGGGTAAGCCATAGATAAGCTTAAAAGGCATGTGAAAGAATTGTGATCTTTCCTTTATGTTTTTCTCTACAACCTGGTCATTGTAATTGCTGGAATTTTTCTTGGCTGTTTCAGAATGCAAGAAAATTTCAGATACTAAAGTCTGCATTATAGAATGAAAGAAAATTTCAGGTACTAAAGTTGAAAGATTCATTCATTCATTCCTATTTATTCCTTCAGTGAATGTTACTCAGTATTTACTAAATACTAGGTACTGAAGATGGTTACAGGTTCAATGAAAATTCAGTGTTTACCCTCAAGGAGTTTAATCATGTGAGGGGGGTAAATATGGAGTAAGTATAATGGCATAATGGCATAAGTCAACAGTTCTCAAATACTTTGGCCTTAGGACTTCTTTATTCATTGGAATATTATGAAGATCCGTAACCGCCCCCCCCAACTTAGTTTTTTTTTTATGAGGGTTATATATCATCAGTTTTTGTTATGTTAGAACTTAAAACAGAAATTTAAAAAAGATTTATTAATTAAAAGTAATAAAGCGGCCAGGCGAAGTGGCTCACGCCTGTAATCCCAGCACTTTGGGAGGCTGAGGCGAGCAGATCATGAGGCAGGAGTTCGAGACCAGCATGACCAACATGGTGAAACCCCGTCTCTACTAAAAATACAAAAATTAGCTGGGTGCAAGCCTGTAATCCCAGCTACTCAGGAGTCTGAGGCAGGAAAATCACTTGAACCTGGGAGGCAGAGGTTGCAGTGAGCCGAGATTGTGCCACTGCACTCCAGCCTGGGCGACAGAGCGAGACACCATCTCAAAATAATAATAATATAATAATAATAAACCAATTATGTATTAATGTAACTTTTTTTGGGAAAATTACTGCATCTTACCGTTATTTTTCTTTCACAAAAAAATTCATGAGAATAGTGCCATTGTTTTACATTTTTGCAAGTCTCTACGTCTGGCTTAATAGGTGTTGAATTCTCATATCTGCTTCTGCATTCACTCTCCTGTAATATGCTCTTTTGATTTAACTACATGTAGAAAATCCAGCCTGACACAGTTATGTAGTTAAAATGGGGAGATTATTTTAATATAGACTTTTCAGATAATTGTGTATATTCTTTGACATGATGCCAAAACTTGACAAGTGGTAGTTTCTTAAAAGTTAGTTGTAATGGGGAATCTAAAACCAATCAATAAACTTTTTATACTCTGTCACATAAAAATTTATTGGTCTATCTTATACTCTGAATGGATTTATTAACCAGACATGATTTTGTAACATTAGGTATTAGTCATTTGGAAAACATTGGTTCACCGAGTGAACCACAGATGCATTTCATTATAAAACATGAAGTCATGATATAAATACAGTATAAATATAATAACAATAAAAATCAGATAATTCATTAATATCATTGTCGACTTCATCAGAAGAGGCTTTAAGCACTGAGAAGCTGTCATGGTCATGGTGATGAGTTTTCCAAAATTCTAGCTTGTGCTTGAAAGTTTAACTTTCATAACTGATAGCAAATAGTGTCAGTTGTTTTCTTTAACATGTCAGTCTCACTTCGGTCATCTTCCAGAAAATATCTGCTAAATACCTAAATCTGAATAACCTGAGGTAAACGTTTTTTTGTTTGTTTTTTTTTTTTTTTTTTTTTTTTTAGATGGAGTCTCACTCTGTTACCCAGCCTGGAGTGCAGTGGTGTGATCTTGGCTCACTGCAAGCTCTGCCTCCTGGGTTCACACCAATCTCCTGCCTCAGCCTCCTGAGTAGCTAGGACTACAGGAGCCTGCCACCACGACTGGTTAATTTTTTTTTGTATTTTTAGTAGAGACGGTGTTTCACTGTATTAACCAGGATGGTCTCGATCTCCTGACCTTGTAATCCGCCTGCCTCGGCCTCCCAAAGTGCTGAGATTACAGGTGTAAACCATTGCGCCCGGCCTAACCTTAGTTTTTATGTAAGTCATTCTTTCACATAAAAGATGGCATTCCATGAAAAGATTGAGTAGTTCAGCTTGCAATTCAATCATGCAGATACTTTTCTTCAAGACATCCAGGAAAAAAAACCCATCATGCTTCAATAGGGAGAAATGCTTTGCGTGTACTCCCCATTTTCTCATACAGTTTTTTAAAAAGTGTGTTTATTAAGAATTCAACAAGTTATTTTGAACGTGGCAATGCTGTGAATTCTTTTACTGACTTTTCATCCTGCAGGCATTCAGCAATTCAACTGAAGGGTCGTGTTTAAAAAAAATTATACTTTTGGCTGGGTGCAGTGGCTCACGCCTGCAATCCCAGCACTTTGGGAGGACGAGGGAGGTGGATCATGAGGTTAAGAGGTCGAGACCATTCTGGCTAACATGGTGAAACCCCGTCTGTACTAAAAATAGAAAAAAAATTAGCCGAGTGTGGTGGTGCGCGCCTGTAGTCCAGGCTACTCGGGAGGCTGAGGCAGGAGAATGGAGTGAACCTGGGAGACGGAGCTTGCAGTGAGCCAAGATTATGCCACTGCATTCCAGCCTGGGTGACAGAACGAGACTCTGTCTCAAAAAAAAAAAAAAAAAAAGTTATACTTTTTATTGCATTATTAAGTGTATTCTTAAGTGAAATAAGTTTTTGCTTTTATTTGTTTCATTGTAAGTATGTCGTGATGCAGAATACAGTAACTACTGGCATGGTTTGGTGCTACTGCCATGATTTATGCCAAGGTGCCAGCAGCTTTACCTCCCATTGCTTTTGCAACACCAGTACGACATCAGCAAAGTTGGTCCAGGATAAGTCAATAGATTAAGGAAATATTCAACACTTTGAATATTTTAGCACCACTTGTGTGTGTTGTCAAGCATTCACATAAAAAATAATCTTCTTTGATGATTAGTTGGTTCTGATACTGGACAAATGCAAGCAAAATAGCCATGCTTGTAGATTCTTCTGTTTATAAGGCAAAAGTAAAATTATGCAGAAGACGTGGCAACGCAGTCTCTTTTTCCAGCTAAATTTTTAATTCAGTAAGTTACTTTGAAGGTGGCAATGCTGTGGATTCTTTTGCTGACTTTTCTTCCAGCAGGCATTCAGCAATTCAACTGTACAAGGTTTTATTATTTCTCAGTTACTATATATGTGTTTCTCTAGTTAATGCAATTCAATGACTTTACCCATTTATAGTTCAAAATATATAAGCAATAATTTTTGGCTTTTAGGAGTTCATTACATCTGAATTTAACATATTTAGTCCTTTATCTTTAAACTCTGAATGTGTTTTTAATATATTTTGTTGAATTTTCTTTTGTATTAATATATTGAGTATAATTCAGTTAAGGAGAGTAATGTGACTCTGTTTCTGAAAACAGTTTTTGTTACTAGGAAAAGAGTTTCACCCATCTACACTAAATACGTGTTGAATAAATACTCAAAGAATATTTGTTTGAAGGGATGCAACATTATGGGTCTGCTGATATGCATATACCATAGGCGAACCCAGCAAGGATGAACAATAAAGGTACCGCTGCCACAGAGTTTGGGTTGGGATGTATTTTTTCTTCCAGTTTATGTCACCACACCCAGCTAATTTCTTCTTCTGCTGCTGCTGCTTCTTCTTTCTTCTTTCTTCTTCTTTTTTTTTTTCTTTTAAGAGACAGGCTCTCACTATGTTTCCCAGGCTGGTCTTGAACTCTTGGCCCCAAGCGACCCTTTGGCCTTGGCCTCTTGAAGTGCTAGGATTATAGGTGTGAGCCGCTGCAACTGGCCAAGAAGAGGTTTTGAATTAGTAGCATGGACTGTTAGTAAGGGAGAGAATTTAGAAGTCATCTAGTCCTCTGATGCATGCAAGTCCTGAGAGCTTAAGCGGCTTGCCTGAGTTCACCTGCTAATTAATGGTAGGGCTGAGCCAACAAGTTAATGTTTTGGTATACCGTGGAGCTGAATTAAGAGCAAATTCACATGCTAACTTTCAGGGCAACTCCCTGCCATAAGAAGAACTGCATTATCTAGTTTAATTGCCACCACCACAAAAAGATCATGATGTATATTAAGGTAATAGGAGCTTCATGCTGAAAGGGAGGGGAGTAAAACCATTGCCAAGCAGAAATGCTGGAGATTTCCACTCTTGCCCTGTTCACAGCTTAGATTTGGTAACTAAGCTGTTAAAGAAAATCATGACATGCTAACCCAGTCTTTTTTTTTTTTTCCTTTTAGTCAGTGGTTCTCCAACTTTAGTGTGGATAAGAATTATTATTCAGGGATGTGTGTTAATTAATGGGGGATTTAAGGATATTCAAGCCAATTTTGCTAATAAGCAATATTTGCCAACCTTGAAATCTAACTCTGGTGGGATGGAAATCTACTTTACTCCAATGCATTAAAAATTTAGTATTTAACACATTTGAGTGTTTGCTAAATTAAAATTTTGAATATAAACTTCAAAAAGTAAAATTAAGTGTTTTGGGGAAACCCTGGAAATTACTGCTTTCTATGTTAATACCTACTAAGCCCATTCCTGGTTTCAAAGCCAGGGTTTAAGAGGTTTTATTATAATTACATTTTGTAAACTTCTACCCTTCTCTCCTTTTCTTTTTCTGTAATCCAGCAATATATCCGACTTGCCTTTCTCCCCTCTTCTTCCAAGTCCCAGAACATTCTTTTCTGGAGCATTTAAATCCCAAAGGAGAACTGTGAGCTCTAAGCCACCAATCAAAGCCAACTTTTACAGTGTCTTCTTTTGTCTTTCTATTTGTAGGCAACTCCTGCCCATCTCTCCACTCCCTGAAACCCACAACTATCCCCTCAGGCCCCGCCATAACTGCTTTTTCCCACCTGGCAAACAGCCTCACTGAATTCTGGGTGGCAGGCATTAACCAGACTTCAACACAAATGCGCCTGTCGAAAATGGCACCAAGTTAGGTGAAGAACAAAGACACTCTGGCTTCAAAGAGGAAGCTCCAGTTTTTGCACAGAAGGAGTTTCACACAACTTCGGTTAACAACAACAATCACCTCAGGGGAAGAAAAGGCCCAGACTACAAAGAAATGCCAAACAAGCAGTCCTCAGTCCTTCCTTTCTTTCTCTGGCGTGTTTTGCACAAAACCTGATCAGGAGAGGAGGGCTTTGATAATCACTTGGACCATGACTGCTGCTAGTAGCACTTCTTCTGCTTCATATATCTCAGCAATTTGCGGGCATCTGAGTGTTCCATGCTTACCCAGGTTTAGAGTGTGAACACACACACACACACACACACACACACACACACACACACACACCATGAAATGGGATTGGCTGGCTAGAAAAAGATTCTGGCGACTTCCCAAAGATTACAGGCCAAGTAATGTTTTTCCTTTTTTCTTTCTTTTTTTCTACAATTCCCTCTCTATTTTTCTTACTCTTCCAGTCAACTGCTGATGTGTGGCTGTACAGCAATGACAAATACATACTCACCCTAATTGCCACGTTTTTGAGGAAAAGAAGTTGAAAATGGTGGGAAAGTGGCAGCTGACTGCACAGGGAGACGGAATGAAATTTCGAAATAATGAACAATTTAAAAATGTTACTTTTCTCCTCTCTCTAAACTCAAAGCAGAGAATTTTTAAAAAACTGTTTCCATCTTGATAAAACCCTAATTAAAAATAAAAGGGCTAATTAAAAATAAAAATAAAAGGACTCTTTGTGGAATGAGGCAGGCATTAAATAAGTAAATCAGACAAATTCAATATGCTTTCATTTCTATACCTATTCTATTAAGTCACCTCTTCCAGGTTGTAACATGACAGCTCTCTTTTCTTCCTCAATCTCTCACTTTCTTTCTTTTCCCTTCTCTATCTCAAATTGTCGAGCTGTTACTGTCTCTTCTATCCCCTCTTGGTCTCTGTTATCACAGAAGTGGACAGGAGCCAGGTCTAGCTGTGGTTTTTTGCCATGTCAGTAGCCACACCAGTTGTTGATAAAAATCTGGCACCGTGAGATGAGGCCATCTGTGGTGAAGTTTAAACCTATTTACCTCCCTGGCAAGCTGGTTGAAGCCTCCCTTTCTCTGTATTCAGTGAGGCTGAAGATGACAAATGCAGTGGGATTAAAGCCATGGGATGAAGTTTGGGGCAAAACAAAACCCTTTCCCAAAGACAGAGCTCATGATAGCTATTAGCTGTGAGGATAAGCAAATCCCCAGTGTCTGGAGCATGCAGCCAAGAGACATTCCAGCTCTGTGTCCCACTCTGTGTACTTGAAGGAGACAGACAACTGGCTGAGTTACAGTCTGGACTTTGGGTACTGGGAGATGCAAACTGGACTCTGCCACTTCTTTGTTAAAGGACCTTGGAATAATCCTGGGCTGTATTTTGTGATTTGCAGGGTAAAACCCCTGTTTTAGAGAACTGTTCTCAAATATAATGAGCTACAGAACAAAACTACCACACTTGTGACCTCCAAATAGGACTCCACAGCTTGACCAATTACCTGAACCATAACACTACGGTCCAAAAGCTTTGGTTGCTTCCAAAAATCCAATCAACCCTTACAGCTACCAATGAGGCTATTCAGACATGCATGAAGTAAGCTCTGAAGTCAATGCCAAATGCTTTGGACAATGGCAGCGTCCCTGGGCAGAGGCCAATTTACCATGAAGCTAATAAAGCTGAAGCTTCTAGGCCTCTTTTGAGACCCCCAAGAAGGATGCTAGCAATGTGTCCCCATGTTTGTATTTTTGTTGCAAAATTTATAAAAGTAGGGTGTTTTAAGCCCAATGAGTTGACTGCTTTCTCTATTTCTACTTTCCCTCTGTTCGATTTCCCTTTCCGTTACACGGAGTTGGAGTGATCCAAGGCAGTTGAGTTAGAGATACATTTAGTGTGGGTTTAGCGGGATAAATTTGTGAGAATCAAAGTCTCATCCATATGCTGCTTTACTGGCTTTACTGCTGGCCATCAGTATAGGAATGGTTTCTTGGTCCATGCCTACAGCTCAGTGTACTGACCCACCTGGCAAGGTACACAGAAAGAGGCAGAGCCAGAAGTTGACTCCCAATATCTCCACATGAAAGTGTCCCGCAGTGTTTGGCACTGGAAATATGTGGGCAGTGGAGGAGAAACCAGATTTGAAATGTGTGGAGCCAGAGGCTACTCTGTGGAATGGAGATAATATCTATATTTTTAAGGTTATTATGAAGATTAAACACAATAAGGTATGTGTCAGTGTTAACCGGTATCTAGTATAAATGGTTGGTAAGGAAAAGTATTTTTGTTTCTTATTTGAAGGATCTGACTATATTCATTATGAAAACCAGATATCAGCTGGTCGCGGTGTCTCACGCCTGTAGTCCCAGCACTTTGGGAGGCCGAGATGGGCGGATCACCTGAGGTCAGGAGTTCAAGACCAGCCTGGCCAACATCGTGAAACCCTGTCTCTATAAAAATACAAAAAAAAAAAAAAAAAATTAGCCAGGCATAATGGTGGGTGCCTGTAATCCCAGCTCCTCAGGAGGCTGAGGCACGTGAATCACTTGAACCTGGGAGGCAGAGGTTGCAGTGAGCTGAGATCACGCCATTGCACTCCAGCTTGGGCAACAGAGCAAGATTCTGTCAGAAAAAAAAAAAAAAGAAAGAAAAAAGAAAGAAACCCAGATATCAGAATATCAGAATGCTTGGGAGATTGTGATAGCTCTTGAAACATTATTTTAAAAAACCTATTGTTACTTTTTTCTCCTTTTTTCTTTATTCTCAAAGTGAATTGAAAAATATTGAAAATCCTGCTATTTGAATTCTAGTTAATAGAGATTCTCCCACTCTAAAAGGATTAAAAATTTAAAACACTCTCAAGATGCCTCATAGCAACATTAGTAATAAGAATTAGGACACCCCCCAGATGCCAATGGTTAAGAAGCAAAGTCCATCTGATATTATTAAGCCGCTCTCTGCTTTATTGATTGCTAGGCTCTCTGAGGATGGGAAGAACATCTTTGGGTTTAGTAATATACAGTGCCTGTCTCAGCACATAGGTGCTCAACAGTGACTAATACACCTCTCTAATTGTTCTTTTTATTGGTTCCTAGACTCAGACTGGACTCTATCCCGCCTGAGTTTCACAGATGAAGTTGAAATGGACCACTTGCTCTCCATTTGGTATCATTTCTAAAGTAATGGCTGAAATCATCCCTAACTGGAGAGAGAAAAAAAATAAAATAAAATGACACCTGAAACATTCTTGTTAGTTAATAAGCAATAGGCTGGTTAGAAACAACTTTTTCTCTGTAGAAAAAGGTCCATACATCCTTGTCCCCTACCTAGTCTACCTTCTGTTTCTTTTCTATTTTTCCTGCACCATCCAAAAAAAAGAGGTGCCTCATTTAACTAAAAGCAAGTTTCCCCACATTGGACAGCCTGATCCACACCCCTTTTAGCCTCGGCATCACCTTGGTGAAACTCCAAGAATGTGCCCATACACAAAAGAGAATTTGCTCCTCTTTCTGAGAAACTGATTTCTCATGGCACAACCAGGTTTGCCAGAGCCAGTTGGAAGTTTAGCAATCTTAACTGTGCTTCAGAAGGTCAGACCCAGCCGAAACCCAGGCTACTAAGTATCTAGGTATTGGCACCTCGGGGTGGATGGCTTGGGGAGAGAGAAGGGGGTGGGGGTGGAGAGAGAGAGAGAGTGAGAGAGAGAGAGAGAGATGCGAGGGGACCCCATGTGTTCCACAAATTGCCTCTCCCCAACACCCACCCAGCCATGAGTATATGAAATAATTCCTCCTTTGTCCGCCAGCTGGCTTTCAAAGCTATTGGGATGAGCCTGCTGGACCTGTCTGGGAAGCTTGTTAAACTGCACGGAGTAAGTCAGGGAAAGGGAGGGGTAGGGAAAAGATTAAAGGGCGAATACAGTCTGTGTGAGGCAGTGGCTCTGACTCTAAAGAAGCAGATGATCTAAGGAAAGGAAGAGCTTCCCTCTAAAACCAGAGACTGCATGCAATGCAAATGACCTGTGTGCAGCTGCCTCTGGCAGGCAGCCACCCGCCTCCAAAGAATAAAGTCAGAGCAACAATTCACTCCTGAACCCTGAAGCTTAGTGACTTCAAACAAGAAAAAAGAAAAGTGACATGCTTTTTTCCCCCTTTCCCGAGTGAACTCATCCTTTCCCCAAATTGTGCTGATGACCTCATCATCTGCAGCTGTGTGCTCCAAGCTCTCTCACCCCCTCAATCCCTGGGGATCACATCTGGTGTGGAGCCTTGGTACCTGGGGCTACAACATCTGGAAATGACCGCCTTTACAAGTGGGGTGTTTTGTAACCACCTTTTACTCTGTTTGATGCAGCCAAGGGGAAGGGAAATCTTCAGCATCTTTTTCTTGGGAGATAGCCCTCTCGTCTTTGTGCAATAAGGATTTGCAGGGACAGTGATGTCAGGGTTAGTGTTTCAGGTACCTTTTCATTTTTCACCTTTACATTCATGAGTGACTGTTGGTCTAACCTGAGAAATGATATTGGTCTCTTTGAACCAATCCTGCTTGTGTTTGTTTGATGGTCTGGCTTTTGGTTTGTTTATGTCCTCACTGACAAAGGTAATGTTATTGTCGATATGAAAAATCACCCCAATTATGGCCTGGCTCGGCTCATGCCTGTAATCCCAGAACTTTGGGAGGCCAAGGTGGGCAGATCACTTGAGGCCAGGAGTTCAAGACCAGCTTGGCCAACACGGTAAAACCCTGTCTCTCTAAAAAATACAAAAATTAGCTGGGCATGGTGGTGCATGCCTGTAGTGTCAGCTACTCGGGAGGGTGAGCTGGGAGTATCACCTTAGCCTGGGAGGTCAAGGCTGCAGTGAGCTGTGATTGTGCCACTGCATTCTAGCCTGGGTAACAGAGTGAGACCCAGTCTCAAAAAAAAAAAAAAAAAAAAAAGAGAGAGAGAGAAAATACATCATCCCAATTAGCAGAATTAAATGGGCTTTAGAAACTACAATGGTGAAAATGGCCCTAAACTATTTATGTCTATGGGAAAACATATACATTTAGGAAGGGGACTCTTTTCCTATTGTGAGAATATACATTGATCCAACTAAGTTTGGAAAACAATTTGGCAATCCTCTCTATATAAAGGAACTTAAAAATGCTCATATACTTTCATTCTGAAATTTCATTTCTAGAAATCTCTTATCCAAGTAATATAGAAATTCTAAACTATAGTATGAGATCTTCATTCCAGTATTATTTACTATTTACTGCAATAAAACAAAAAGAATCCCCCCATCACATAAAACAGAGACAACCTAATCCAATGTTCAACATTAGAAGAAGGGCTGTGTAAATTATGTTACATCCATATAATGGAATGTTATGTAGTCATTAAAAATGAAAATTATGCAATGCCTTGTTTATATAATGCTAGAAAATATCAGAATATAAGCATGATTTCTACTTTATACAAGGCATATATGCATGGACAAAGGAATTGAAAGAATATATATGCCAATTCCACAAGTGTTGTTTTTAGGAGGGGATGATGTTACTATTATTTGTTTTTTTATGCATTTTCATGTTTTCAACTTTTCCACAGTGAGCTTGCTTTACTTTTATAATTAGGAAAATAAAGTTATTTTAAAAGGTGGGAAAATGCAAATCCTTTGCAGGCCTCCTTGGCAGAATGTAATGAATTATTATCCTATGCACTATAAACTAAAGTGGTGTATTAGCTAGGCCTGACATAAGAAAATGGCAAACTGTAGGGGAGTTTATATTTAATTCTAGCTGATTGTTATTATGAGAAAATATAAATGGCTCAGAGCCACTGAATCTGATTTTTCTAGATAAGTCCTAAATCCCGATTTTAAAGTGGAATCCACTGATTTTTAAATAAAGGCGATAAATTCACATTTAAAAAAATCAATTACATATGTTGGGCCAGCAAAATATCCAGCCTATGTGGCATTATTTTGAAACTCACTAGTTAGAAAATGCAAGTGCAGTCCTGTGGAGACAGTCACCAGCCTTGGGGGCTGCGGGGCATTTCACTTCACTTCATTACTATTAATAATGCTGCAGTGAAAGCCTTCTACTTATTTCTTTTCACAGCTAGGCAGGTATCTCCCTAAGGTAAACTGTAAAAAGATGGATTTCAGATTCAAAGATTACATTGATTTTTTATACATATTGTCAAATAGTGTTCCAGCAAGTTCAAATGCATTACTTCCATTAACTGTTCATGGTAGCCCTTCTTTTTCACACTATCATAAGTATAGAGTTTGGTCAAGCTTTGTCATAGATGAACGTTTATATCAAATTATATTTATATTATATTCGCTTAATGCTATTAAACAGATATTGTATGTTTATTGACCTTTGGTATTTCTTCTTTTATTATTTGCCTGTTCATGTTTTTTGCCCATTTTTAAGTTGTCTCTGACTTTTTCTTATGGTTTTATATAACCTTTTTTTTGTATACCATGGACAGTAGCTATCATATGAATTAAGTTAAAAAATTTTTTTTTCTTTTAATCTTGTATAATGGGTAAGGTTTTTTTGTTATTTTAATGTATGCCATGAGACTATTTTAAGTGGGAAATTAATTTTGCTTCAGAGAATATCTTGAGGAGTCACTTAGATGATAAAGAGTGAGGGAGCAGTTCATCAGGAAACTGTGAAGCAAAGGGCTAGCCAAACTCATAGGCAGGCTGGAAAACATTAAATGGAAGACACACTAATAAGAGAAAAGTAGGAGATTTTTGCAATACATATAATTGATAAAGGATTAGTATTGAGTATATATATGAATAACTTACAAATTGAGAGAAAAAGGCAGACAACCAATTTAAAAAACAGACTAAAGATTTAGACAGACACTTCACAAAAGAAGAAATCCAAATGGTCAATAAATACACGAAAATTTCCTAAAATCTAATGAGTAATCAGATAAATATAAATTAAAACATCAATAAAAACACACTTAGATGTTTGCTGATGCCAAATGTTTTTGAAGATGTGGAATATCAGAAATTCTCCTAAATCACTGATTGGACTATAAATGCCTAGTGTAGGGACACAGAAAAATGTGTGTATAAATAATAGTTATTATATTAAGGTATATATACAGTCATATACATTGAAGCATTGTTTATAATTTCCCCTAACTGGAAACAATGCAAATAGCCATCAACAGTAAAATAGATGAATAATTGTAATATGAAAACTATACAGCTGCGAACATGAATACATTAAAATTACATGTTCCAGCATGGACAAATCTTATCAACATGAGCTGGGGAAGAAAACTGAGACAAAAAGAACATATCCAATATTCCATTAATAAAAAGTTCAAAAAGAAACTAATTTACATGGTTTACGGATGTATACCTAGGTAATAAAACTATAAAGAAAAACACGAATGTAGTTACTAGCAATCTTAGAATATTATTTATTTCTAGCAGTGGAGTAGTGGTTGTGATGGGAAAAGATGTAGTGTGTGTGTGCATGCGTGTGTGTGTCTGTCTGTGTGTGTTTCCTAAAATGTCAATGGTGCTGTTTTACTTGATCCAGGTGTTCTCTATTTTTCTGCATTTAATAATCAAATAGAAATGTGGAGAGTTAGAAAAAGTAGAGAAATGAGAGGATGTGAAAAAAAATACTGTGAGAGACAGGGATAGACAACATGGCAAGAAACTAAAGCCTGCAGAAAAATATTGTTAATAATATATTCCAAATGGGCTATACAAAGGAGTTCTTAGGATAAAGCTACCTGATATTCAATTTGATATTGCTGGCATTTCTTTTCACATTCTAAACCTTCAATAAACTCTGTTAAATAAATATTTTGAATGAGATTTTAGGAAAATCAAAGAAAAGTAACCAACCTATAAATTAATTTAGAACAAGGATTTTTTGAGAAAGGTGAGGAGTGGCCATGAGCATGTGAGCCCCTGAATGTGTACAGTAATCTTGGAGAAGGGATGAAGAGTACCAAAGGATCTGGAATCGGGCTTCAGTCAAATGGATTTGAGTCTCTAAAGAATAGTGCCTTACCTGATGCCCAGAGATATTGGTTTATGGCAGTATTTTCTCTTCTTTCTTCCATACAGAAGTCTAAGACTTATAGGTAATCAGATTTATTGGTCTTTATTCTTTGATTTCTGGTTTTCATGACATGCTTAAAAGACATTTTATCATGTTTGAGCATCTAAATCCTTGATTTGTCCAGAGTTCTACTTAGTGGAAAGATGGAAGGAGTGCTTACTTTTGTTTTCCCAAAAAAAAACCCAGCTCAATCTTTTTCTCTGATAATTTGAAATACCTCATTTAACCATGTGTTAAATTTTCATATTTACACACACTCTGTCCTATTCCATTGATTCTATTCCTGTGCTACTTCTATTTGATTACTATAATTCTTTGATAAATCTTAAAGTCTGATAGGGAAAGTCTTCCTTGTCAGTATTTTCTTGGCATTGCCCCTTTGATTATTCTTTCAACCGATAGGATCATTTTGCCATATTTAAAAACAAAACAAAACAAAAACCCTCTTGGGACTTCTGTAGATAAGTCATTGAATTTACAAATAACTTTCAGTAGATACACAGAATATTCTGTTTAAGAACTTAGTGTCTCTAATTATTCAGTTATTTTTTGTATGTCTCTCTATTGGGTTACATATTTTAAAAATCAACATCCTAAATATTTATCATCTTTAAACTATCCTGTTTATCAGTTTCAGCATCCAGTATTAATTTTAGAATCTATATTGATAGACATTTGCTTATATATTAAAAGATCAACTACATTTCATTAGGGGATGTCAGTTGGGTGTTAAAATACATTACATATATTAAAAATAAATTATATATAATTTCTATTTAAGGGAAAGTCTTCCCAGATTCTGGCACTGGGTTGATAATCTTTCTTTTGGGTGGTGTGAGCTTTCAAGTTTTCTTGCTTTTCTTTTTCTTCTTAGAAATTTTAAAGGGAAGCTGGGAGAATACCCCAGGAAACTCTAGCCAGGTACCATTTTAAAGCAGAAGTCTGTTCACTGACTAATAAATAATAAAATTTCAAGGCATGATTTATATGCCTTAATGCTACTCAGGGTTACAAATCCAGTTTGTACTTTATTTCAAACCCATTCCTTTCACCTTAATTGGTATATGCATCCAATATTTTGAATGTAGATGATTTCAGGGTATACTCAATATCAAGGCATGTGGACTGTTCTACCACCTGTTATTGTTTCTTTTCACCAGAAGAAACTAGAGCAGGGATCTTGCTACTTTTATTTAATTCTGACTTTAGACCTCTTATGATAATCAAATGTCAATTGCCCAAGACTAGGGATGGAAAAGCACTATACTGTGTGCTGGGGGGTTCTTCAAATAAAAGATTGGGTAATTTATATTTTTAATATAAGTGATTTAGACCCTGAGGCTTTGATCTAATTAAGTAGAGAATCAAATTAGCTGGAGATTAAATGAAGATAGAATGAGGGGAAGTCTTGCTGGCTCTTGAGTTTTCTAAGAAAGGCTCTTTGCAGTGCAGTGGTTCTCAACCTTGGCTGCATGTTGGAATTAATCAAGGAGCTTCAAAAAAATACTGATGCCCAGGCCCCAGGCCCAGAGATTTCAATGCAGTTTGTCTGATGAGCAGCCCCCGTATCAGGAATTTAAAAGTCTTCCCAACTGATTCTATAATAATATGCAGCTGAGGTTAATAATGACATAGTTCTTAATCCCAGTTGAACTAAGTGCCACCTGGAGGCTGGTTTAAAAATATACATTCCAGGGCTCTATCTGGATCCCTTCTGATACAATGGACTGAATTAGGCTCTAGGAATCTGCATTTCTAATAAGTGTCCATGTGATTCTGATGTTAATGATTCCTCCTCTACAAGATGTATCTGACTGTAGTCACCTCTCTCCCCATCCACCTTTAACTCAGCTCTCAGAATATCTTTCTTAAATATATATATATATCTTCCCAATTTAAAACATTCACTGGCTGCCCCTTGTCTACAAAATAGTCTTTAGTGCAACTTTCCAGGCCTCCCCAGCCCCAGCCTTTGTCCATCTTCTTGGCCTTCTCACCCACTTCATCCCAATCTCTGTCTACCATGCTCATTGCATCCTTTCCTGATTAACTTCTGGCTTCTTTTAGAGTCTTTGCTTAAGCAGTTACCTCTGACTTCATAGACCTTTCCCATCTTCAACCACCTAATCCTGCTCTTCTAGCAGCTGGAATTCCAACACTTTCATGAAAATTTGTTTGATCTTCTAAAATTAGGATATTCACACTTTCCTCCACATGCCTATTGCAACTGATCTGCACCTCTCCCTTATTTGCTTTGGTTTGGTTGGACCTGAGCTGCGGAAAGTTGAGTTCATCTTACCCCTCTGTGCATAGCATCTTATCTTCATGGGTCAATGCCAGGATCCTCTAATATGTTTGAACTGTTCATAAACATGTGTGTACCCTCCTAAAATAAGACATGCTGCCTCAAGTATAGTTGGTTTTGTTCTGGAAACCTCACTCTTTTTTTCACTTCAAATTTCTTTTATGATCTATCCACACAACTAAAATTAAATCAAATTCATTTCATCTACCCACTGCATAGCATCCCTTAGAGGGCACTTACCACCACATTTTACTCTTCTTTTCCCGTCTTAATGGATATCTAGTTTGCCCTGAATTCTCTACTGCCACAAGGAGGCCACACTGAACATTCTCTTAGGTGGCCCCTGGTGGATCCATATGATAATTTTTTTAGATATATGCCAGAGAATGTAATTACCTAGCCATAGGGAATAAACTCTCTTAGTTTCTCCAGATACTGTCGGAATGCTTTCTGGACTAGCTGTGCAGTTACACCTCACTTCTGGTCTTAGGCACTCACCTCCTATAGTGTACTTATCCCTGGTGAGGATTATGGTCCCATAAATCATGCTGGCACGGGAAGGCACCATTTATGAACTTATTTATAGGAAAAAGTGAATCAGGATCTTGAAGTTGCATGTGATTGTGCAAAACCCTTTGAGATATTTTTATGTCCGCAGAAACAGTAAGTATATAAACTACATACTTACTAAGGAGATCATCAATGATATTTTATAAGCTAAAAGCAATAATAGATGTTTTTATGAATGGAAGTAAGAGATCCAAAGGTCTTGTCTGTCCTGCAAAAAAAAAAAAAAGGTCCGGAAAACATGGTGATTACACCTTGATTAGGCCAATTTTATGACCCTAAGTGACTCAAAGAGCACTTTATCTGAGATTTTTGCTGCAGGGGAAATAATCTTTCAAAGTCAATTCACAAATATTGAAGTTTTAGAGACGGGAAGAATGTTAGTGTGGAAATTGCTGTTAGAGAGCAAGCTCCTTGAGAAGAGCATGGAAAAATAATTGTGTACAGTTAACACTTTTGGAGAACTTTTTATGTACCAAGTACTGTACTAAACAATGTATAAACATTATCTAATCTTCATTAATCCTGTGAATAGGTACCATTTTTGTCATCCCTTTTTAAAGATGAAAACACTCAGAGAATTTACATAATTTTCCCGAAGTCATACAATTGCTAAGTAGCAAAGCCAGAATTTAAATCTAGGGATTTTTTTAATTTTTATTTTTTAATTCCAGATTTCAAGCTCATGACTAATACAGAAAAAGCACAGGTTTGGAGTCCAACAGACCAGGTTCAAATTCTTGATTTATCCATAACTTACTAGTTGTATGATGCTGGGAGAAATTATTTAACCTTTCTGAGCCTCACTTTTCTCTAAACAATGGGACTAGTAGGAGTATGTTCTCCAGAGAGTTATGAGTATAAATGAGCACAATATATGATGTATATTAGATGCTTAGTAAATGTTACTTCCCTTATTACATCGCTTCTTACCAGCTTCTGGCATAGGTTAGACATTTATATGTTTATTGAAAAACACAATAGATGATTAAAAATTTTTAATTATTATCTGAAGTTTCACCTTTATTAATTTGGTAGGACAAAGATCTGAGAGAGGTAGGAGGATGGGCCCTAAAAGGATTGTCTTGACAAGCCAGAGGAAAACCTAGGCTATTTTGCAGTTTCCCTGAGGACTGCCCTGGCATAGTCCCTTCCAAGCATAGTCAATGAGTTACCTGACTTATCTCCAGAAATGGAGAAACAAAGATACCAGCAGAGCAACCACATACAAGCTCATTTTGCCTCTTTTGCCAGGCTTCATGCAGGGAGTGTTGCGGGTTCACACAGCTATGAACCAATGCAAACTCTCCCAGGGAACCGCTGGAGAGGAAATTAATTAACCCCTGCCATGGCTTCCCAGTGGGGTGCCGGGAATTAAGCTGTCATTCCTCCTGGATGCTTGGATCAGTCCCACTCTGGCTGTCTTCGAGTCTGAATGAATAGCCCATCTCCCCTCCCCTCCCAGCACCCTTAGACTGAGAATGCTGCTCCAGGCAGGTAAGATGAGCATTCCCTTTCAGAGGCAGAATTGTGCAGTCACTGCCACTTGTTTCTAGGGCTGGAAACTTAGGAGAAACCTCTTCCAGGGGGATCATAATCAGAAATCCGTAGCTAAAGTAATGCGATTTGCAGAGACCTTGAGAAAGTAGCTTTAGCTGTGGACACCAAGGAAACTGCTCAGCATTTGGGATTCTCTGGCATCTAGACCATTGTTAGCTCTCCAAAGGGAGGCTCATGCCATGTGAAATTCAAAGCTGTTGAGAGCTCCACTTTTAATGAGATCTTTCAAAGGGGATAGCTCAAATGGTCCTTAAGAATCATAATGTCAGGTGGATTTCATGGTCTAGACAGATCTGACATTGCCCACTCCCCACACTTTCTTTCTTTAAGATTTCTTCCATAAACCAACAATAACAAAAAAATAAAGTTCTTATGGGAAGGTATTGATTTATTAATAGAAGCTACTGGTTTTCGGCATTGATGGTCCCAGGGACTTTCACTACCCAGTTATGATGACTGGCTTTCCCCACCAAGCCTCCAGAGCTCCCAGCAGTCGATTTATCAACACAGGATGACAACTTCATTGTTGTTCTCTGGAAACTCTGGCTCTTAAGAACTACTTGGGGTTTTAGGCTAGAAATGCCTTTGGGAGAGCATTCTTGTGTGGAGTAGTAAATCTGCTTTAAAAACACTGGATCTTTTGAAAATTGAGATCGAACCAACTTCTTGCTTTTCCCAACCAACATCCCGAAGGAAGCATGTTTTCTCCTGGAACTCTCTAAGAGCAAATCAACTGGGAAAAAAAAAAAAAAAAGAAAAAAAAAGAAAAGCCACCCTAATTTCTGGCAGTCTAGAACTGTGGGAGTTTAGCTTGGGTAACCCAGATATTATAACAGCTTGTGTAAACAAAGGAACTCACATTAATATGAATAACTCAGATTTCCTGCTTGTATTAATTTCCCAATGCTGCTGTAACAAATTACTACAAATTTGGTAGCTTAAAACAGCACACATTTTTCCTGTTACATTTCTGGAGGCTGGAAGCCTACCATCAGTTTTACTGGGCTACAATCCATGTGCCAGCAGGACTCGTTCCTTTAGGCAGCTCTAGGGAGCATCTGTTTCCTTGCTTTTTCCAGTTTCTAGAGGCCATCTTCATTCCTTAGCTCGTGGCTTCTTCTCCCGTCATCCTAGCTCCTGCTTCTGTTGTCATTTCCCCAACTTACCTGACTCTGACCCTTCTGCCTCCCTCTTGTAAGGACCACTGTGACTACATCAAGCCCACCAAGATCATTTCAGGCTATTCTCCCCATTTCAAAATCCTTAATAAAATTTTCAAGCCCTTTTCACCATATACATAAATGTAAAGTAACACTCACAGATTTTGAGAATTAGAATGTGGATGTAGCTGGGGAGCCATTATTCTGCTTACCACACTACTCTTGCTCTCATTTGCTCATGCAGGACCTTTGGCTCCTGCAATGATCCCTAAAGTGTTACTTGGAGTTCCTAATGGGTGCCCCTGACCCACCCCATTTGTTCACAGCAGACTCCCTATTGTTAAGGCTGGCCCACTCCTCAGAAAGTGAGCTAAGGAAACCTCATGATGGCACCCAAGATGGGAACTCCAAGGAAACCAGGGGTCCACTGTCCAGCAGCACTGGATCCCTGGAAGAGAAGTGGAGAGTGTTCTCTAATTTGGGGATGCACCTTGTCGCATGGACACTGTTTGTAGCAGAAATTCTACAAGGCCTCCCTTGAAAAGAGCTTCTGACTCTAATCCTCTTCTGACAGGATAGAAAACCAATCCAAGAGGCCAGGTGGGGATCAGGACACAGGCATGATGCCAAATTCAGCCCTATGATGTGCCAAGTACTGTGCTATTGTTGGGGCTTCAGAGATGAAAGACAGTCCCACCTCCTGAGGATCTGCACAGTCTAACTGTTAAAGCAGACTTTCCACATTTTCATGAGCGGAGGAATCATGTGGGATCCTGAGAAAATTAAAATTTTGATTCAGTGGGTCTGAGGTGGGCATAGAGATTCTGCATTTCTAACACTTTGAGTAGCAAGGGTCTAGGGGAGACTGACCATAAACAGATGATTAATTATGGTGTGGTCTGAGAAGTGCATTGCCACAAGATGCTCAGATGTCGTGGGTGCAAAGGAATGCACCTAGCTAAGAATGGGAGAAGGAGAGGGAATGACTCCTAGAGGAAGTGACCCCTGGACAGAGTCTTCAACTTTGAATGAAAGTTTTCCAGGTAAAGAACTGGAGAGAATGTAGGCAGGGAGACAGAGCAGCATGAACAAAGAGATTTGGAGAGAGGAAGTTCTAGAACTGCAAGAATTGAAGCATGACTGCAGCTGAGAGCTGAAGAATAGAGGAAGGGCATGAGATGAGGCTGTTGAGGTAGGCAAAGTGAGCGTGATCATTCAGGACTTTGTACTCCAGGCTCAGAAGTTTGGACTTGGTTGAGTAAGCAACGGGGGGTCAGGAAAAGGAGAAAATAAAGGCAGAGAATTCTCTCTTTTACTATCTGTTCTGAAAAATGTCCACCAAGTTTTGATTGGCAAATTACTGGGTAATTAAGTGAATGATAAAAAAAAACTTTGTTTTTAAAAAGTAGGTCTTATGTAGAACCTATGGGCATATCAAAACAATGCCATATTTGAGGTCAGCCAAGATCTGTTCCATTATAGAATGGTGCTAGGGGCCAAGCCAGGTTCTGACACCACTGGAAATAAGCCTGGGTGCATGGATGGGATGGGATGGGGATGGGGGAGAATAGGACCAGCTCTGCTGGCTCATGAGACAGGGAGCACTGTCTCCAGGCCTAGCTTTCCCTCAAAATGCCTTTTCTAGTCTAGTCAGCATATTACTTTAAAAAATCTTCATAGAGATGCCATTTTTGGAGAGTGTGCATAGGGACAAGACTCAGAACTTGATCCCCATGCTCCACTCCCACCCACACCCCTGCCCAAAGGTCAGAATGAAGTTGTAGAAACAGGCATGGATGTAATTGCTAAAGGAAAATTATAATCTGGAGGGTAAAGATGCCCAAGATGAATAAAAATGTCTCTCGTTGATTAAATACTTACTCTGTGCCAGGCTTTGTACTAGGACTTTAAAATATATCATAACATTTAATCCTATATAATTTGAGGAGATAGGCATTATTTTTCCTCTTTTTTTTTCAGATGAGAAAACCAAGGCTTAAAGATATATTTTCATTTTCCAAGGAGGTGCGGTTGGAGATTGTAAAAATTAGGATTTGAACTTGGGAATGCTTAACCATAAAGCTGACTCTACAAAATCACCTGAATCAACAGCAAAAGTAGGTTGTAGTTCAGGTAGGTAGCTGGCAAAGGATGAGTTCAATGTGTTGGAGTAGGGAGGTGGTCCAGGCAAAGTGGTTGAGAATCTGGGGGTAGCCATCCATGTGGCTCCAGGAAGACAGATGGTGAAGAGAGAGTCCGTACCAGGGAGGTAAGCCAGACAGTAAGTAGGGCCCCGGTTAGAATATCTCAGTCAGAATGGTCAGAAGAGACACTACAGAGATAAGTGTTCAGAGATAAGCAGGTTAAACAGGATAGAGGCACAGGGAAATCGACTGGGGCAAAAATCTACTTCTTTGAATATGGCACTAGGTAGAGATGAGCCTCAGAAACAAGGTGGACATCAAATTTTCAAGACTGGTCAAATGATCAGGGGCCATTGGAGCTCCTAAAGAGTCCCCCCTATTACGCTATGTGCTCACAGTGGACTCATTATTCTTAAGGCCGGCCCCCTCCTCAGAAAGTGAGCTAAGGAAGCCTCATCATGGCACCCAAGACAGAACTCCAAGGCTCCTAAACAATACATGTATTTTAATTGACCACTTGGTGTAAGCCCCAAGAGGCCAGGAACCAGTTTTCTTCCAATCACAAAAGCAAAGCAAACTGAGACCTTGGAGAGGGACTGGCATACAGCTGGAGTTCAGTACATCTCAGATAAATAAATGCCTGAGTGTGGGGGTGTCTGCTTTTCCAATTAAGCTTCATTTTGCAATCAAATCTAGCTTTTTACCCCCTTCCCTACCTGGCTTCCAGTCTCTACAAACTTTAGAGTGCTTGAGTCACCTTGGGGGCTATTTTAAAATGCAAATTATCAGGACCGCCTTCAGTAGATCTGAGGTTGGGGGCTGAGTAATGTTTTTTCTTTTCTTTTCTTTTTTTTTTTTTTTTGAGATGGAGTCTCGCTCTGTCTCCCAGGCTGGAGTGCAGTGGCGCAACCTCGGCTCACTGCAAGCTCTGCTTCCCGGGTTCACGCCATTCTCCTGCCTCAGCCTCCCGAATAGCTGGGACTACAGGCGCCCACAACCACGCCCAGCTAATTTTTTGTATTTTTAGTAGAGACGGGGTTTCACCGTGTTAGCCAGGATGGTCTAGATCTCCTGACCTCTTGATCCGCCCACCTCGGCCTCCCAAAGTGCTGGGATTACAGGCGTGAGCCGCGATGCCTGGCCTGTTTTTTCTTTTTTTAAAATTTATTTATATTAACAAATAATATTGTATATATTTATTGTGTACAATATGATGTTTTGAAATATGGATGCATTGTGGAATGTCCTAATCAAGCTAATTAACATATGCATTACCTCCCATACTTTTTGTGTGGTGAGAACACTTGGTAATTTTTAAGAATACGATACACGGTTAAGTATAGTCATCATGTTGCATAATAGATCTCTTGAACTTATTCCTCCTCTCTAAATACAATTTTGTATCCTTTGACCAACATCTCCCCAACATCCCTCCCTGCTCAACACAGATAACCACCATTCTACTCTGCTTGCGTAAGTTCAGCTTTTTTAGATTTCATATGTAAGTGAGATCATGGAGTATTTGTTTTTCCGTGCCTGACTTATTTCACTTAGCATAATGTCCTCCAGATATATCCATGTTGTTGCAAATGACAAGATTTCCTTAGGTTGAATAGTATTTTATGTGTATATATGCCACATTTTTTTTAATCCATTCATCTGTGATGGACACTAGGTTGATTCCATGTCTTAACTATCATGAATAACACTGCAGTGAACATGAGAGTGTAGTTATCTGTTTGACATACTGATTTCATTTCCTTTGGATATATACTCAAGCAGTGAGATTGCTGGATCACATATGGTAGTTCTATTTTTGATTTTTTGAGGACCCTCCATACTGTTCTCCATATGGTTGTACTAGTTTACATTCCCATCAGCCTATGCAAGGGCTTCCTTTCCTTCACAACCTCACCAGCACTTGTTATCTTTTGTGTTTTTTGTTTTATTTTGTTTTTGTTGTTTTTGTTTGTTTGTTTGAGATGGAGTCTCGCTCTGTTGCCAGGCTGGAGTGCAGTGGCGTGATCTCAGCTCACTGAGACCTCCACCTCCTGAGTTCAAGTGATTCTCCTGCCTCAGCCTCCTGAGTAGCTGGGATTACAGGGGCCCACCAGCATACCGGCTAATTTTTGTAATTTTAGTAGAGACAGGGTTTCACCATGTTGGCCAGGATGGTCTCGTTTCTCTTGATCTCGTGGTCTGCCCGCCTCAGCCTCCAAAAGTGCTGGGATTAACAGGCGTGAGCCTCTGCACCCAGCCTATCTTTTGCTTTTTTTGACAATAGGCATTCAAACAGGTATGAGGTAATATCTCATTGTAGTTTTAATTTCCATTTCCGTGATAATTAATGTGGCTGAGCATTTTTTCATGAACCTGTTGGCCATTTGTATGTCTCCTTTTGAGAACTGTCTATTCAGGTTCTTTGCCCATTTTTAAATTGGGTTATTTGTTTTCTTATCATTGAGTAGTTTGAGTTCCTTACACATTTTGTGTATTAACCCCTTATCAGATGTATGGTTTGCAAATATTTTCTCCCATTCTGTAATTGTATTTCTCTCAATCACTCTGTTGATTGTTTTCTTCACCATGTAGAAGCTTTTGAGTTTGATGGGGCTGAGTACTTTTTAACTAGCACCAGTGAAATTCTGATGCAGGTGATACAAGGTTTGCATTTTGAAAACCATTGATCTACACTCTTCTGAACCTTATAATCTGGGGCTACTTGACCCTTTCCCTCTCTCCCTCTAGGCCTACCTCTAGCTCTCAAGATCAGTCCTGACCATAGATATGTCTTGAGTCTATGCTTTCATCCCCCAAATGATTCCATCCTCTGAAGCCTCTTCCATCCTCTGCTCATCTAAAAGTTACCCATTCTTCAAGGCCCAGAGCAAGTGCATATCCTGCATGAATCTGTTCTTGCTAGCATTAGCTCTGAGGTTGGGCAACTCTACAAGTTGCTAAAAGCATTCCCTAAAAAGGAGCTTCTGTTGTCAAGTATGTTTAGGAAATAATTGTTATTCAAAGTTAAGCAGGTTCCTTTTCTGCTGTCTTCTCAGAGCCTCCAACATGCTAGTAAGCAATATAGTTTAGTTGCCAGTAAGCAACTCTCCAAAGGAACATGGCTGTGTTTCTGTAGAAAGCAGTTTTGAGGACATCCTGCTTCACTCTGCACTCATCACAACTTCTGTGATCTTCTTTCTTATATTTATGATCCATAATACAAAATAGGGCACTTACTTATATTATGGTTAATCTTCTCTTTCCAGCTGTGCCAAACACTCCCTGAGGTCAGGAATCAGCTATGATACTTAGTTCTCCCCACACCTATCTTTGGGATGTTTACACAATCAGAGCTCACTAAATGCTCCCGTGAAGATAGAATTCCTTTTCCCAAGTCCAGGTACGAGCCACTAAGGTAGATCTAGATTTTAGGTTCAGTTCAAAACTGTGGTCTCCCCAGGGAGTGTTTCTTCTAAGAGACTTTTTAAAACATGAGAGTTAAAAAAAATCCTGCCTTATCTTTTTGCAGAGAGGACTGAACTATTAAGCTCATTTTACAAATCAACTTTAAAAGGAATAGTTGCCTCTTAAAGGAATCTTAGAACATTCAGACAAGTAAAAAGATTGTGGCCCAATGTATACCTATTGTTACCATTTTGGTTCTTATCATGAAGTTTTATTTTCTGCCTTTATACTTATACATGAATGTGAATTCATTTCTTTTCTACCATGCTTCTTTTTTGTATCATACTTTAAATTCTGGGGTACATGTGCACAACGTGTAGGTTTGTTACGTAGGTATACATGTGCCTGTTGGTTTGCTGCACCCATCAACTCGTCATTTGCATTAGGTATTTCTCCTAATGCTATCCCTCTGCCAGCACCCCCGCCCCGACAGGCCCTGGTGTGTGATGTTCCCCTCCCTGTGTCCACGTGTTCTCATTGTTCAACTCCCACTTATGGGTGATAACATGCAGTGTTTGGTTTCCTGTCCTTGTGATAGTTTGCTGAGAATGATGGTTTCCAGCTTCATCCATGTTCCTGCAAAGGACATGAATTCATCATTTTTTATGGCTGCATAGTATTCCATGGTGTATATGTGCCACATTTTCTTTATCCAGTCTATCATTGATGGACATTTAGGTTGGTTCCAAGTCTTTGCTATTGTGAATAGTACCACAATAAACATAGGTGTGCATGTGTCTTTATAGTAGCATGATTTATAATCCTTTGGGTATATACCCAGTAATGGGATGGCTGGGTCAAATGGTATTTCTAGTTCTGGATCCTTGAGGAATCACTCGAGGAATCACTGTTTTCCACAATGGTTGAACTAATTTACATTCCCACCAACAGTGTAAAAGCGTTCCTATTTAACCACATCCTCTCCAGCATCTGTTGTTTCCTGACTTTTTAATGATTGCCATTCTGACTGGTGTGAGATAGTATCTCATTGTGGTTTTGATTTGCATTTCTGTAATAACCAGTGATGATGAGCATTTTTTCATATGTCTGTTGGCTACATAAATGTCTTCTTTTGATAAGTGTCTGTTCATATCCTTTGCCCACTTTTCAATGGGGTTTTTTCTTGTAAATTTGTTTGAGTTCATTGTAGATTCTGGATATTAGCCCTTTGTCAGATGGATAGATTGCAAAATTTTTCTCCCATTCTATAGGTTGCCTATTCATTCTGCTGATAATTTCTTTTGCTGTGCAGAAGCTCTTTAATTTAATTAGATCCCATTTGTCAATTTTGGCTTTTGTTGCCATTGCTTTTGGTGTTTTAGTCATGAAGTCTTTGCCCATGCCTATGTCCTGAATGGTATTGCTGAGGTTTTCTTCTAGCATTTGTATGGTTTTAGGTCTTACCTTTAAGTCTTTAATCCATCTTGAGTCAATTTTTGTATAAGGTGTAAGGAAGGGATCCAGTGTCAGCTTTCTACACACGGTAGCCAATTTTCCCAGCACCATTTATTAAATAGGCAATCCTTTCCCCATTTCTTGTTTTTGTCAGGTTTGTCAAAGATCAGATGGTTGTAGATGTGTGGTGTTATTTATGAGGCCTCTGTTCTGTTCCATTGGTCTATATCCCTGTTTTGGTACCAGTACCATGCCGTTTTGGTGACTGTAACCCTGTAGCATAGTTTGAAGTCATCTACCACGCTTCTTTATGTTTCCGCCAGAGCAGGATGACAGTGCTGGTGGACTTTAAAATACATCATCACATTTAGTCCTATATGATTTGATGATATAGGCTTTATTTTTTCTTTTTTTTTTTCAGATGAGAAAACTAAGGCTTAGAGAGATATTTTTATTTCCCAAGGATATACGGCTGTAGATTGTAAGAACTAGGATTTGAACTTGAGACTAGTTAACTACAAAGCTATTAGTCAGTATCCCTAACAATCTGGGCTCCAATTTGGTACCTGGAGTTTTCTCTCGAATGCCAAGAATTTTTCTGCATGGACTGTCTCTGAAGACAATTTCTTTTTGACATGAACATGTGCTGAAGGTGGCAGGAGGGGCTCATGACCAAAGAGAGCTGCCAAAGAGGAGCCCTGCTCTCAAGAAGGTGTCAGTGTCAGAAAGGACAGAGCCCACTGTAAGCTTAGTTCAGGGCAAGCAAGAGAAACGGGGAAGAAACAGCTCACTTTTAGTGGCAAGCTATGCTATTACAAGAAAATTAAGAGAAAGCAAAGCTCTTAACTTTCCATTTGTCTTCTCTTCTGTGTTAAGGAATATTATCTTTAAACTGAAGAGGAGCAAACCTACATGGCTTGGAGGTTTGTGTGTTTCCCTTGATGTAGGAAAAGCACAGGTTAGTTGAGGAGTGAACCAGATAGCAAAACTTATGCCCAAGTCTTTAGGCTCTAATTATTAATGTATCGGGAAACTTGAAATAATTCTAAATGTGATCATTCAGCCATGCCAATAATCTCCATGGAATTATTAAGAACTGGAGACATGCCAAAAAGTCCTTATTTTCAAAAGTAGTAGGAAAGACAAAGGATTTCTGAAACTTCCCTTGGAAAAATTTTTGGATGAATTTTTAAAAATGGATGGTTTATAAGTACTTGAAAAATTAAATGGAGATCACTGGAAGTCAATATGAGTTTATTACAAAGACGGGTAACAGACACACCATTTCTTTCTTAAAATAATGAGATTTAAATAAGACATCCATTTATTAAGAGATAATAACCAATATCTATATGGTGATTAATATTTATAAAATGTGTAACCTCAGCTGATCATAATAGCAAGTCTTGAATCAGGTGTTATTAGTGAATTTGTCCCTCAATTTACAAACAAGAAAACTTTTAAAAAAAGAAATCATAGAGGAGTTAAGTAAATTTTTACAATCTTCCTAGTAAATTGTGGAATTTAAAGAGAGATTTTCTAACTCCACAACCTACACTTGTTTCTTATACCACACTCTATCTAGATTTTGTGTATGTTGATTTTAGCCAGGCAATGGCCAAAATCTTTACTGATGTCCTCATGGGACATCTGGAGCACAATGGGTGACTGTAAATATACTGTGTTGGTTACTGGTTGAACCAATATAACCAGTGGATATTGATTTGTGGTTTAATGTCATCTTAGGAAAAATTTTTGGTCATAAGTGTGCCAAACTCCCTTTTGTGCAGTTCTGTTCAATAATTTTTAGCAATATTTAGAGAGAAATAGAAGCAATATGTTTATCAGGTAATACTAGCACACTCTGCAATTCAAAACTTAGTTTTGCACTTAACCCTCAGTCTGTCCTAGAGCATATAGTCTATTCTACTCCATTTTGTTATGCTGATTTTTTTCTAGTCAATTTAAATGTTATTATCTCAGTCTCAATCTATTCACTTTGGGATAAAGCACTGTCTTTGAAGGCTTCTTCCCCTTCCCTTTCCTTCTTCCTTTCTTTGGGAAGACATCTGTGCACAGAGGGAAGCTTTCAAAAACAACATCGTGGTTCCAGGAGGAGGGCTCCCTAGCTTCTGTGTCCTTGTCCAGTCTCTGCTGGTGATGAAATGGGTCCCATCTGGCCCTTGGGCATGGACCAGCAACTGCTGATGTTTGAATATTTTATCACCGCCATCAGTCATGATGATCTCATGTTCTGGACCACCTGTCCGTACACCAGGACATTTCATTCCTTTTTTTCTCCGATTGGGGCATGTGGGACTTCTCATTCTCTAGCGTGCTTTGGTCAAGCTATAGGGTATGGTGTGCACTACCTCAGAACCCTTGCCCTGAAGACATCCCATGGTTCTGTACTGAAGGGCAATATGCCTGAGTGGTTGTTTTCCAGACAAGCAAGGCACAGTCCCCTTGGGCCCCAAGAGTCGTCTTCCACTTACTCATGATTTCTACGGTCTTCTCTTCCAGCTGCCCCCAACCTTCAGTTTCTAAATTGAGATATTAGGAAACCTGGTGGGAAATGAGGGGATAGAGGGGGTCACAGTAATTCTCTTTACCTAGCTGGAGGTCTGCCATATGCAAGGGAATTTTTCAAACTCTTTGAAGAAGATTCCCCAAGTGATTGAAGTGTGATTTTGGACACAGGTCTTTCTGAGCCCAAGCTGGTCTTATGGAGTCATAGTAGTATGGTGCTCAGTAAAGGGTAGTTATTCTGAGCATCCTCCTAGGTATGTGGCTTGAGAGTATACCTGCTGACTCACTTGAGTTTTCTTTAAAAACTCTAAATGTATCAATATGTTGGAGAAGCAAGTTGTACTTGACACATCTCCTGGCACTTATATAAAAGAATCCTAGAAGCACAGGCAGTTTCTCTTTTATGAGACATGTACTAAAAATGTAGAGGCAGGGGTCAATGCCAGCCAGGCTAGGTGAGCTCTGTTAAGTTTATCCTCTGGGCATAAGTCTATTCCTCCTTATCAGCAGTTTTTCATATTTAGTTTGCCGTTTCACAAAGGATGGCAGCAGAAAAGTGAGTTCCTGAGGGGTGAGGTAGGGGAAGGTGGAAAAAGGAAACCCACAGCTAGCATTTGTCTCATTAAAATCTGTCAAAGTCAGAGGAACAGAAGGCAGCAAGGAGTTAAAATCAGATGTCAGTAGCTTTCAGAATATGTTGACATGTGGGGGAGCAAACTGTAGTGACAGTGTACCCTTCAGCTGCCTTGGCTCTCAGCTGGTAATAATAAAGCCCTTTGCACACTGCACTGGGGAGGCAGACAGCAGTCTAGCACCCGAGGACAGGAGGTGCAAAGGACAGTAACAGCTGATAGGTTATAGGACCTTACCATGACTTACTGTCTTTTAAGAAACATTTTCTCTTGCTGAAATTGGATTAGGAAAGCCAGTGTGATTTTGTTTGTAAGAAGTACTGTGAAGATGGTTTCACTCTGAACAGTTCAGATCATTAACCTTTTTACCTGTACTTGTAAGGCTGAAAATATTTACACTTATATTAAAGGAACAAACTGAACCTTATCAATCCAGACTCTATAGTTAATAGCAGATGCTGTAAGTGATACAGTCATTTACTTAGAATGGTGAGGTTGAATATTGACTTGAATTAAGGTATTATTGTATAGTGTAAAAAAGTAAGGAGGCAGATAGATAGGGGTTCAAATCTTGGCTCTCCACTTACTGAGCGTGTCCCCTCGGCAATCTCCGTAATTTCTCAGTGACTCAGTTTTCCTCATCTTCAAAAGAGAGATGCTTATTTCTTGCTTTCAAAGTCATTGTGAAAATTTACATAATAGTGTAAATAGTATAATAGTATACTGTATGTGGTATAGTCAACTCTCAATAGATACTAGTTTTCTTGTCTTGCATGTTTTCTTTATATTTTAGAATCTATTTAATCTACTTATATTTTAGAATCTGTTTATTTAATTTCTTGCTCACCCATAGCCTAAAGGATCAATTAAGGACTTATAGCTACTCCAGGATACACTTTGGTTCCCCAATCTTGCATCTGACTCTATATGTTCCAAACATACCACTCACTTCCTCTCAAGACTTGATCAGATCATCTAACGGGGTCAACACCTCTACCTAAATTCCTGCTGCTCAGAAAAAGGGTCATTTGTGCTCTTTTGGTGGCTCTGACCTCAGCCTGTAGAGTAGGTATTTTTCTGCTGCAACAAAGAAGACAAAGTAACTGCTGGTGAGAAATAATTTAGAGGAAGGAAAAGGATATTTCTTTCTAGAGAGGTTGGGGCAGGAAAAAAGGCGAAGTAAATACGGTAATAACAGGTTTGGATTAACATTTTTAAAATCAGAAATCAGGAAATCTGGCCTGGTAAGGCCTTTTTTTTACTTTTGAAAGTTTAAATAAAAAGTCATACTACAGATATGAACTTAAATTGACAAACAGATATTTAACAAATGGCCTATATCAAGAATAAAGATAATAAGTAAAAGTAAAAAACTTCACAGAAATGAGTAAAAATAAATGTCAGCCAATCTAATATTTGCTATGGAGACCTATGGTCAAAATAACCATGGTAATAATTTAAAATAGACATTTCTGTGAATCAAAGACTAAGAAGAGTGCATAGTAAAGACTGTGTTAATAAATATTGCTACTATTAAAACATATAAGGAACAATGGATAGTAAGGAAGTTCTAATTTTCCACACTTCTCCATCCTCACACTTTAGATAACTGTTAGAAGTTTGGTGCATATTTCTCAGAATTCTAAAGCTTTTATTCATAAGCATATATTTAATAGGCTTATTTGCAGATTTTTCAACTTGCTTTTTGTATTTAGTATCTTTACATTTCAATACATTTATATTTTCTCAAACTAGCAAGGGAAAAATAGACATGAAAGTCAACGTTTACAAGCAAAGTAGACCTAAGACCCATAGTCACCAATGTCTAACTTCCTCATTTATACCCCTGGCTGAATTCCTGGAAATAAAACTTATGCATCTTCATCGGTGTCTATGGTTGGCACTTCTCATCGGCAAGATAGTACACTGTGTTTCCAGCCATTGCTGTTTCCAGTCCCTTTCCGAGTTTATTTCTAGTGGGGAAGATTATAGGAAGTTATTTTAATGACTACATTTCTGAAAAAGGTTTTTTATTACTCTCCAAAACCTTTATTGACTTCTCTTTTTATACTGGAAATTTCAGGTAGAATATTCTCTGACTGATCTACAAGGCTGTTGATTGTTTTTCTGTGATTATGATTTACTATCTGATTCATCTAACTGAAATCACAGCTATAATGTTATAAATCATAAATCATTTGACCTTTTCCAGTAAAATGAAGTAAATCAGAAGATATTATACTCAGAAATGGCTCAATTGGGGCAAATAGAAGAAAAGACTCACTATTTCATTTTTAAGCCTCAAGATCACCTAACAAATCTGAGCTTCATGGAACCGTAGCCTAGAACCATGACCAAAAACCTGAAAAACCTAGCTTTTAGCATGTGCCTCTAAGGTAAGAACGAACGAAAAAGCCCAAGTGTTGTTACGGTTTCATGGAAGCATGAGACTGGTCAGTACCTCTCTATTTCTCTCTCACCGGGTCCTCACTTTATCTTTTTGCCCTTCCAAATCCTCCACATCCTTCCTAGCTCAGCTCACACCCTCTCCATGATCTCTTCTCTGGCTTTTTCAGACCTTAGTATTTCTCTAACCCACAAAGCTTCTTAAACCTTCAGTCTAATTAATTCATCCCTCCATCCTTCCATCATACAGTTATTTATCTAATAACAGATCTTGGAATACAAAGGTAAGTGAATTGATGATTTTCAATCTAAAGGAACTTACAGTTTACTTAGATTATCACTAAAGAGTAATAACACACTGTAAATTCTATCATTATTTCAAAACTGAGAGTCTTCTTTCTCCTAAAATACTAAGGTTTTAATATTTGTTTGTTTGCTTTAAAGAAAGTGTGTGACAGATTCTTTGTATTCAAGCCACAGAGAGCACTTTGACGGTTTTTAGTGTATCTTGCATTGTATTTAAAGTAACATAATAATTTTCCCACATATATTTCTTTTTTGATTTTTTAAAAACTGTGCTAAAATATACATAGCATAATATTTATCATTTTAACTATTTGTAAGTGTATAATTCAGTAGCATTAAGTAATTCATTATGTTGTATAACTATCACCATTCTCTATACCTCAAACTTTTTCTTTTCTTAAATTCTTTTTTCCCACAGGTTATTGGAGAATAGGTGGTCTTTGATTACATGAATGAGTTCTTTAGTGTTGATTGGTGAGATTTTGGTGCACACATCATCTGAGCAGTGTACACTGCACCCAATTTGTCGTTTTTTATCCCTACCGCCTTCCCACCTTTCCCCCTGAGTCCCCAAAATCCATTGTATCATTCTTATGTCTTCACATCCTCATAGCTTAGCTCCCACTTACGAGTGAGAACATACAATGTTTGATTTTCCATTCCTGAATTACTTCACTTAGAATAATAGTCTCCAATATCATCCAGGTTGCTACAAATGCCATTAATTCATTCCTTTTTATGGCTAAGTAGTAGTCCATCATATATATATATATATAAAAAATTCAGAAACTGATATATATATATATCAGCTTCTTTATCCACTCACTGGTTGATGGGCGTTTGGGTTTGATTACACATTTTTGCAATTGTGAATTGTGCTGCTATAAGCATGTGTGTGCAAGTATCTTTTTCCTACAATGACTTCTTTTCCTCTAGGTGGATACCCAGTAGTGGGATTGCTGGACCAAATAGTAGTTCTACCTTTAGTTCTTTAAGGAATTGCCACACTGTTTTCCATAGTGGTTGTACTAGTTTACACTCCCACAAGCAATGTAGACGTGTTCCCTGTTCACAGCATCCACACCAACATCTATTATTTTTTAATTTTTGTTTATGGCCATTCTTGCAGGAATAAGGCGGTATTGCATTGTGGTTTTCATTTGCATTTCCTGGATCATTAGTGATGTTGAGCATTTTTTCATATGTTCTTTGCCCATTTGTGTATCTTCTTTTGGGAAATGTCTATTCATGTCCTTAGCCCACTTTTTGATGGGATTTTTTTTTTCTTGCTAATTTGTTCCAGTTTGCTGTAGATTCTGGATATTAGTCCTTTGTCAGATGTATAGATTGTGAAGTTTTTCTTCCACTCTGTGGGTTGTCTGTTTACTCTGCTGACTGTTCCTTTTGCAGTGCAAAAGCTCTTTAGTTTAATTAAGTCCCAGCTATTTATCCTTTTTTTCTTTTAATTGCTTTTGCTTTTCGGTTCTTGGTCATGAAATCCTTGCCTAAGCCAATGTCTAGAAGGGTTTTTCCGACATTATCTTCTGGAATTTTTATAATTTTAGGTCTTAGATTTAAGTCCTTAATCCGTCTTGAGTTGATTTTTGTATAAGGTGAGAGATGAGGATCTAGTTTCATTCTCCTACATGTGGCTTGCCAATTATCCAGCATCATTTGTTGAATAGGATGTCCTTTCCTCACTTGATGTATTTGGTTGCTTTGTCAAAGATGAGCTGGCTATAAGTATTTCGGTTTATTTCTGGGTTCTCTATTCTGTTACATTGGTCTATGTGCCTACTTTTATACCAGTAACATGCTGTTTTGGTGACTATGGTTTTCTAGTATAGTTTGAAATTACATAATGTGATGCCTCCAGTTTTGTTCTTTTTGCTTATTCTTACTTGGGCTTTGTGGGTTCTTTTTTGGTTCCATATGAATTTTAGAATTGTTTTTCTCTAGTTCTGTGAAGAATGATGTGGTATTTTGATGGGAATTGCATTGAACTTATAGATTGCTTTTGACAGTATGTTTATTTTCACTGTGTTGATTCTACCTATGTACGAGCATGGAACATGTTTCCATTTGTTTGTGTGTTCTATGATTTATTTCAGCAGTGTTTTGTAGTTTTCCTTGTAGAAGTCTTTTACCTCCACGGTTAGGTATATTCCTAAGGTTTTATTTTTTGATTTTTAATTTTTAATTTTTGCAGCTACTATAAAAGGGGTTGAGTTCTTAATTTGATTCTCAGCTTGGTCACTGTTGGTGTATAGGAGAGCTACTGATTTGTGTACATTAATTTTGTATCTGGAAACTTTGCTGAATTCTTTTATCAGTTCCAGGAGCTTTTTGGAGGAGTCTTTAGGGTTTTCTAGGTATATAATCATATCATCAACAAACAGTGACAGTTTGACTTCATCTTTGCTAATTTGGATGCCCTTGATTTCTTTCTCTTGTCTGATTGCTCTGGCTAGGACTTCCAGTACTATGTTGAAGAGAAGTGGTGAGAGTGGGCATCTTTGTCTTGTTCCAGTTCTCAGAGGGAATGCCTTCAGCTTTTCCCCGTTCAGTATTATGTTGGTTGTGGGTTTGTCACAGGTGGCTTTTATTAAATTGAGGTATGTCCCTTGTATGCCAATTTTACTGAGTTTTAATCATAAAGGGTTGCTGGATTTTGTCAAATGTTTTTTCTGCATCTGTTGAGATGATCATGTAATTTTTGCTTTTAATTCTTTTTATGTGGTGTATCACATTTATTGTCTTGTTTATGTTAAACCATCTCTGCAACCCTGGTATGAAACCCACTTGATCGTGGTGGATTATCTTTTGATACGTTGTTGGATTTAGTTAGCTAGTATTTTGTTAAGGATTTTTGTATATATGTTCATTAAGATATTGGTCTGTAGTTATGTCTTTCCTGGTTTTGGTATTAAAGTGATACAGGCTTCACAGAATGATTTAGGAAGGATTCCCTCTTCCTCTATCTTGTGAAATAGTGTCAATAGGATTGGTACCAATTCTTCTTCGAATGTCTGGTAGAATTCATCTGTGAGTCCATCTGGTCCTGGACTTTTTTTTGCTGGTAATTTTTTTATTTCATGTTAAATTCACTGCTTGTTATTGGGCTGTTCAGGGTATCTAATTCTTCCTGATTTAAGCTAGGAGAGTTGTATCTTTCCAGAAATTTATCCATCTCCTCTAGGTTTTCAAGTTTATGTGCATAAAGATGTTCATAGTAGCCTTGAATGATCTTTTGTATTTCTGTGGTGTCAGTTGTAATATCTCCAGTTTCATTTCTAATTGAGCTTATTTGGATTTCTCTCTTCTTTTCTTGGTTACTCTTGCTAATGTTCTATCAATTTTATCTATCTTTTCAAAGAACTAGCTTTTTGTTTTATTTGTCTTTTGTATTGTTTTTGTTTGTTTCAATTTCATTAAATTCTGCTCTGATACTGGTTATTTCCTTTCTTCTGCTGGGTTTGGGTTTGGTTTGTTCTTGTTTCTCTAGTTCCTGGTGTGACCTAAGATTGCCTGTGCTCTTTCAGACTTTTTGATGTAGGCATTTAGGGCTATGAACTTTCCTCTTAGCACTGCCTTTGCTATATCCCAGAGGTTTTGTCACTATCATTGTTCAGTTTGAAGAATTTTTTAATTTCTGTTTTGATTTCATTGTTGACCCAGTGATCATTCCGGAGCAGATTATTTAATTTCCATGTATTTGCATGGTTTTGAAGGCTCCTTTTGGAGTTCATTTCCAGGTTTATTCCACTGTGGTCTGAGAGAGTGCTTGATATAATTTCAATTTTCTTAAATTTATTGAGGCTTGTACTGTGGCCTATCATATGGTCTATCTTGGAGGAAGTTCCATGCACTGATGAATAGAAGGTATATTCTGTGGTTGTTGGGTAGAATGTTCTGTAAATATTTGTTAAGTCCATTCATTCCAGGGTATAGTTTAAATCCATTTTTTCTTTGTTGACTTTCTGTCTTGATGACTTGTCTAGTGCTGTCAGTGGAGCATTGAAGTCCCCCACTTTTATTGTGTTGCTAGCTCATTTCTTAGGTCTAGTAGTAATTGTTTTATAAATTTGGGAGCTCTAGTTTTAGGTGCTTATATAGTTAGGATTTTGATATTTTCCTGTTGGATAAGGCCTTTTATCATTATATAATGTCCTTCTTTGTCTTTTTAAACTGCTGTTGCTTTAAAGTTTGTTTTGTCTGATATAAGAATAGCTACTCCCATTTGCTTTTGGTGTTCATTTGCATGGAATGTCTTTTTCCACCCCTTTGCCTTAAGTTTATGTGAGTCCTTATGTGTTCGGTGAGTCTCTTGAAGGTAGCAGACAGATGGTTGGTGAATTCTTATCCATTCTGCAATTCTGTACCTTTTAAGTGGAGCATTTAGGCCATTTACATTCAACTTTAGTATTTATATGTGAGGTACTATTCTATTCATCATGCTATTTGTTGCCTGTATACCTTGTTTTTTTTTATTGTATTTTTTATAGGTCCTGTGAGATTTATGCTTAAAGAGGTTCTGTTTTGATGTGTTTCCAGGATTTGTTTCAAGATTTGGAGCTCCTTTTAGCAGTTCTTGTAGTGCTGGCTTGGTAGTGGCAAATTCTCTCAGCATTTGTTTGTCTGAAAAAGAGTATATCTTTCCTTCATTTATAAGGCTTAGTTTTGCTGGACACAAAATTCTTGGCTGATAATTGTTTCCTTTAAGGAGGCTGAAGATAGGGCCCCAATCCCTTCTAGTTTGTAGGGTTTCTGCTGAAAAATCTGATGTTAATCTGATAGGTTTTCCTTTATAGGTTACCTGGTGCTTTTGTCTCACAGCTCTTAAGATTCTTTTCCTCTTCTTAATTTTAGATAACCTGATGACAATGTGCCTAGGCAGTAACCTTTTTGTGCATGAATTTCCTGGGTGTTCTTTGAGCTTCTTGTATTTGGATGACTAGGTCTCTAGCAAGGCCAGGCAAGTTTTCCTCTATTCTTCCACTAAATATGTTTTACAAACTTTTAGATTTTTCTTCTTCCTCAGGAACACTGATTATTCTTATGAAAGATACAATGAATTTCTGAGTTTCTCTTCAAAGATTTAGTCTGCTAACTTCCTTGTCCTTTGTTCTCAAACTCAACTTTCCTGTTTCTCCTTGTCCCTAGTTACTGTAAAACAGCCTACCCCCTTCCCATCAGCTCTAATCAATAACTCACATCTGTTCCCTTGGTTACCTGCACCCATTTTTCCCCCAAAACTGCACATCTCACAAGCTTTGCCACTGTACCCCATGTCCCCCTTGCCTTCCATGTTTAGAAAAATATTTTCAAGTAGCCAATCGGCTCAGCTCAGATTGTGCGTCTGACCCCAGCCCATGGGGGAGGGACACCGAGGTAGGGATTGTGTTAAGGAGATAAAAAACCCCTGGTCTCCTTTGCTCTCTGTGCTCTTGCAATCTTAGTTGATGGGAGTGCTACCCTTCTGCAGAAGTAAATTGCCTTGCTGAGACAACTTTTGCCTGAGTGCTGGTTTCACTTTGTGGCACCAAGCATTTATTCCTAGAAGTATTTTTATATCAAACATTTAGGTTTTGTTGTTTAACATAATCCCAGACTTCTTGGAGGCTTTGTTCATGTCTTCTTATTCTTTTTTTTTTTTCTTTTTGTCTTTGTTGGATTGGGTTAATTCGAAAATCTTGTCTTTGAGCTCTGAAGTTCTTTCTTCTGCCTGTTCAGTTCTATTGCTGAGATTTTCCAGAGTATTTTGCATTTCTATAAGTGTGCCAATTGTTTCCTGAAGTTCTGATTGTTTTTGCTTATGCTGTCTATTTCATTGAATATTTATCCCTTCACTTCTTGTATCACTTTTTTGATTTATTTAAACTGGCTTTGCCTTTCTCTAGTGCCTCCTTGTTTTACCTAATAACTGACCTTCTGAATTCTTTTTTCAGGTAAATCAGGGATTTCTTCTTGGTTTGGAACCATTGCTGTTGACCTAGTGTGATTTTTTGGGGGGGTGTCAAAGAACTTTGTTTTGTCATATTACCAGAGTCGGTTTTCTGGTTTCTTCTCATTTGGATAGGCTATGTCTGGGAAGGTTTAGGGCTCAAGGCTCTTGTTCAGATTCTTTTGTTTCATGGGGTGTTCCCTTGATGTAGTACTCTCCCTGTTTTCCTAGGGATGTGGCTTCCTGGGAGCCAAGCTACAGTGATTGTTATCTCTCTTCTGGATCCAATCACCCAGCAGGTCTACCAGGCTTCAGGCTAACACTGGGGGTTGTCTGCACAAAGTTCTGTGATGTGAACTGTCTGCAGATCCCTGGATTCCACACCTGCTAGTATTTGAGGTGTCTCCTGGGTCCTGCAGGAGCAATCCACTTCCTTCAGAGAATTTGTGAGTTCTCTTCACTTTCCTGATTTATTCCTGCAGTAGTCCTGGAGCAAAAGTTCATGACACGAGGCTCCACATGCTGCTCTGTCCATCTGAGTGGGAGCTGCAATCTAGTACTTTTTCCTGTCTGTCATGATCCTCTTAAATCTATACTCCAAACTTTTTCATGATCCCAGCATAAACTCTGTACTCATTAAACACTAACTTCCTTCTCAGCCCCTGATTATCTCTAATTCTACTTTGTCTATCTATGAATTTGCCTATTCTACATACTTCATGTAAGTGTGATCTTACAGTGGGTCCTTCTGTGTCTGGCTTATTTCACTTATACTATATTTTCAATGCCCACCTATTTTGTAATATGTATCAATATGTCATTTCTTTTAATGACTGAGTAATTTTTCATTGTGTGTATATACCACACTTGGTTTATGCATTCATCTATTGATGGACATTGGGTTGTTTACATCTTTGGCTACTGTGAATAGTACTGGTATGAACATTGGCGAACAAATGCCTGTTTGAATCCCTGGTTTCAATTGTTTTGGGATACACACCTGAGAGTGAAACTGCCGGGTCATGTGGTAGTTCTATAACTTTTTGAGGAATTGCCAAATTGTTCTCCACAGTGGCTGCATCATTTTACATTCCCACCAGCAATACACGAGGGCTTCAATTCCTCTACATTCTTGCCAGCACTTGTTATTTTACCTTTTCTTCTTTAGTTTAGGCATCCCAGTAGATGTAAAGTGTTATCTCATTGCAGTTTTATTTGTATTTCCCTAATAACGAATGATATGAAGCATCTTTTCATGTTCTTGTTGGCTATTTATATATCTTTTTTTGAAAAATATCTTTTCAAGTCCTTTGCCCATTTTGAATTGGATTACTTCCTTTTTTGTTGAGTTGAATGAGTTCTTTATATATTCTAGATATTAATTAGCAGATACATGATTTTTAAATATTTTCTTTCATTCTGTAGGTTATCTTTTTGCTATCTTGATAAACTGATAATTTGATGAAGTTGTATTTATCTATTTTTTATTTCGTTACCTGTTATCTTGGTGTCATATCCCATACTTTTTTAAGCTTTTTAGTTTGAAATAATTTTAAGCTTAGAGAACAGCTGAAAGAATAATACAGAGATGTCCAATTATACTCTTTATCAGATTGACTAGTTTTTAGTCATTTTGCCACATTTGTTTAATCTTTCTCTTTCAATCCTCTATAACTATCTATCTAGGTCTGATAGACATACATAAGTATAGATTGGTAGACATGTAGATTGATATATGCACACATCACATACATATATTTGAATACATTTTTTCTGTACCATTTGAGAGTAGTTTGCATGGATAATGACCCTATGGGACTTCAGTGGTTTGAAACCCTGATCAGTGTCAAACAAGGAAAGAGTGCCAAGGCTTTCTTTCCAGCTATTGACAGGTACAGCACAACAGCAAGAGGGAGAGGTAAAGCCTAAAAATTGCCAGCAGTCGAATATAAAAAAAAAAAACAGGGCTGGGCATGGTGGCTCATGGCTGTAATCCCAGATACCTGGGAAGTTGAGGTGGGAGGATTGCTTGAGGCCAAAAATTTGAGACTGCAGTAAGCTATGATCTTGCCACTGCACTCCAGCCTGAGTGAAAAGGTGAGACCCAGTATCTTGTATTATAATTCACCTCTGTTTTACTGATGATTGAAACATTTCTTACACATACTTATTGGAACAACAAGATGTTCTAGTCTCACCTTATACCTTGCCTGCTTTAGCAGTGGAATCAATCATTTGTCCAAGGGACACTGATCCTTTACTGGGGAATGGTATTTAGAAACCAAGATTTGGGTGCTAGGTGTGCTCATTGCTATGGGTGTGTCATTGCTTCTAGGTCTTTATCTGCCTACCTATATCTATCTATCTATTTGCAAAATCACAGATTTGAACTGCTGCCAATTTCAGCTGAACCCACAGGATTCTTTCTTGCCTTCCCCGATTCCATATCTGTATGTTCCTTTCTCCACAGTAAGAACTTCAGCTTCCAACAACACAAACACATTTACTCATTTTCTCAAACCTAAAAGACACAAAAAATTTTTTCAGAATTGCTACACAGACATACCATTATAAAAACAAATGTATGAAAGAGTTCAAGATTTGCTTGCCATTCTTTTTTCCCCTGGATTGAGAATGTATACAGTCAAAGTCTTTTGTTCAAAAGTTAATTAAACGTATCCTTTTATTTTTCCCATTCAGTGTGTTTACAACATTCATTTGAAATACAGTAGGATTGCAGGGTGCAGTGGCTCACACCTATAATATTAACACTTTGGGAGGCTGATGTGTATAGATTGCTTGGGCCTAGGAGTTCAAAACCAGCCTCTACAAAAATAAAAAAAGAGCTGGGTGTGGTGGTGTGCGCCTGTAGTCCCAGCTACTCAGGAGGCTGAGGTGAAAGGTTAGGTTGAGCCTGGGCAGTTAGGCTGTGGTGAGCTATGATTGTGCCACTGTGTTCTAGCCTGGGTAACATAAAATAAATTCAGTTGAGTTTATATGTTTCTGTTTGCATTTGGTATTAGGGTTTTTTCTTTTTCTACTGCCATCCTTACTGATTTAATTTTACCTTTTTAATATGAAGGACAGTAACACATTTCAAAAGTCAAAACCATACATAAAAGTATATCCAGAGAAGTATCCTCCCTCTACTATTCCTTTTATCCCTGTTCTTTCATACCTTTTGTAAGTAACCAATTGTACTATTTTCTGGCTTAAACTTACTGTGTTTCTTTTTGCAAAAATAAGCAGATATCTGCATTTTCTTTCTTACATAAGAGGAAACATACCATATATACTCCTGTACATTGTTATTTTTTCACCTAATAAGGTATCCTGGAAATAATTTTTATCAATTTACAGAGATCTTCTCCCTCTGTTTTACAGTTGCATAATAGATGTTGTTGATATACTTTAGTTTGTTCAATCAACCTTCTAAGACCCACCTGAATATGAACATGCTTAAATATTTGGTCCTCCTATTTTTGGACACTTAGATAGTTTCCAATGTTTTGCCATTGCAAGTAATGCTGTAATGAATAATCATATGCATATTTATTTTCATATTGTTAAAAGTTTAATTTCAAGATAGATTTATAGAGTTGGGATTGCTACATAGTAATTTTGTTGGATATTGCTAAATTCCCCTTTATAGAAGCTGTATCATTCTGCAGTCCTACCAGCAATGTGAGTGTGCTTGTTTCCCCAGAGCTTTGCCAACAGATTATAGTCAACTTTTGAATTTTTGCCAATCTGATGGGTGATAAATTATATTTATGTCATTTGAATTGTGTCAATCTTATAATGTTTAATTTTTTTATATGTTTAAAGTCATTTTTACATATTTTTGGTGAATTTTTTGCTCATGTCTTTTTTCCATTTTCCTATAGGATGTCTCATGTTTCCATCCCCCTTGCCCAATTTAAAAAAGCTCTTTATACATTTGGGATAATAGTTCTTTTTCTGTGATACATATTGCAAATGTTGCTACCAATTTGTCATTTGTTTTTGTTTCTGGTGTGTTTATTTTTTATGCAAAAACCTTTTACTTTTATGTGATCAAATTTATCAATTTTTTCATTGTCACACGTGGATTTTGAGTCACATTTAGAAAGCCTTTTTCCTTTACCCAAGTTATAGACACATTAATTAGGTTTTGTTCTAGTACTTATACAACTTAATTTTTAAAAAACATGGATCCCTGATACATTTAGAGTTTATTCTTGTGTATGGTGGGGGCAATGGTTGTATTTTTTTCTTTTTTCAAATGTCTACCCAAATGTCTTAACACCATTTATTTCTCTGTTTGCCTCAGTCATTTGAGATACCACTTTATTACATACTAAATATCCACATTAGAGTGCTCTGTTTCTGTTCTATTTCATTGATCTTTCTAGTCATGTGCCATTACCACACCTTTAATTACAGAGGCATTTTAGTACTTTTAAATATTTGGTAGGGCTCATAGCTCAACCCATATCTCTTCCTTTTCAGTTATTTTCCTAGCTATTTTATATGTTTATTTTTCCAAATGAACTTCAGAATCAACTTGTCTAGTTTGCAGGAAAAAAAAATTTGTAGCATTTTTATTGGGGTTGAATTGAATTTATAAATTAGTTCAAAGAGAACTGACATCCTGATGATGTTGAGATATTCTTATGAAGAATAAGGTAGTAGGCTTTTCCGTGTTATTTTCATATCTTTCTTTTTTTATTATTATTATACTTTAAGTTTTAGGGTACATGTGCACAATGTGCAGGTTAGTTACATATGTATACATGTGCCATGCTGGTGTGCTGCACCCATTAACTCGTCATTTAGCATTAGGTATATCTCCTAAAGCTATCCCTCCCCCCTCCCCCCACCCCACAACAGTCCCCAGAGTGTGATGTTCTCCTTCCTGTGTCCATGTGTTCTCATTGTTCAATTCCCACCTATGAGTGAGAATATGCGGTGTTTCGTTTGTTGTTCTTGCGATAGTTTACTGAGAATGATGATTTCCAATTTCATCCATGTCCCTAAAAAGGACATGAACTCATCATTTTTTATGGCTGCATAGTATTCCATGGTGTATATGTGCCACATTTTCTTAATCCAGTCTATCATTGTTGGACATTTGGGTGGGTTCCAAGTCTTTGCTATTGTGAATAGTGCCACAATAAACATAGGTGTGCATGTGTCTTTATAGCAGCATGATTTATAGTCCTTTGGGTATATACCCAGTAATGGGATGGCTGGGTCAAATGGTATTTCTAGTTCTAGATCCCTGAGGAATCGCCACACTGACTTCCACAATGGTTGAACTAGTTTACAGTCCCACCAACAGTGTAAAAGTGTTCCTATTTCTCCACATCCTCTCCAGCACCTGTTGTTTCCTGACTTTTTAATGATCGCCATTCTAACTGGTGTGAGATGGTATCTCATCGTGGTTTTGATTTGCATTTCTCTGATGGCCAGTGATGGTAAGCATTTTTTCATGTGTTTTTTTCGCTGCATAAATGTCTTCTTTTGAGAAGTGTCTGTTCATGTCCTTTGCCCACTTTTTGATGGGGTTGTTTGTTTTTTTCTTGTAAATTTGTTTGAGTTCATTGTAGATTCTGGATATTAGCCCTTTGTCAGATGAGTAGGTTGTGAAAATTTTCTCCCATTTTGTAGGTTGCCTGTTCACTCGGATGGTAGCTTCTTTTGCTGTGCAGAAGGTCTTTAGTTTAATGAGATCCCATTTGTCCATTTTGGCTTTTGTTGCCATTGCTTTTGGTATTTTAGACATGAAGTCCTTGCCCATGCCTATGTCCTGAATGGTAATGCCTAGGTTTTCTTCTAGGGTTTTTATGGTTTTAGGTCTAACATGTAAGTCTTTAATCCATCTTGAATTAATTTTTGTATAAGATATAAGGAAGGGATCCAGTTTCAGCTTTCTCCATATGGCTAGCCAGTTTTCCCAGCACCATTTATTAAATAGGGAATCCTTTCCCCATTGCTTGTTTTTGTCAGGTTTGTCAAAGATCAGATAGTTGTAGATATGCGGCGTTACTTCTGAGGGCTCTGTTCTGTTCCATTGGTCTATATCTCTGTTTTGGTACCAGTACCGTGCTGTTTTGGTTACTGTAGCCTTGTAGTATAGTTTGAAGTCAGGTAGCATGATGCCTCCAGCTTTGTTCTTTTGGCTTAGGATTGACTTGGTGATGCGGGCTCTTTTGTGGTTCCATATGAACTTTAAAGTAGTTTTTTCCAATTCTGTGAAGAAAGTCATTGGTAGCTTGATGGGGATGGCATTGAATCTGTAAATTACCTTGGGCAGTATGACCATTTTCATGGTATTGATTCTTCCTACCCATGAGCATGGAATGTTCTTCCATTTCTTTGTATCCTCTTTTATTTCCTTGAGCAGTGGTTTGTAGTTCTCCTTGAAGAGGTCCTTCACGTCCCTTGTAAGTTGGATTCCTAGGTATTTTATTCTCTTTGAAGCAATTGTGAATGGGAGTTCACTCATGATTTGGCTCTCTGTTTGTCTGTTATTGGTATATAAGAATGCTTGTGATTTTTGCACATTGATTTTGTATCCTGAGACTTTGCTGAAGTTGCTTATCAGCTTAAGGAGATTTTGGACTGAGACGATGGGGTTTTCTAGATATAAAATCATGTCATCTGCAAACAGGGACAATTTGACTTCCTCTTTTCCTAGTTGAATACCCTTTGTTTCCTTCTCCTGCCTAATTGCCCTGGCCAGAACTTCCAACACTATGTTGAATAGGAGTTGTGAGAGAGGGTATCCCTGTCTTCTGCCAGTTTTCAAAGGGAATGCTTCCAGTTTTTGCCCATTCGGTATGATATTGGCTGTGAGTTTGTCATAGATAGCTCTTATTATTTTGAGATATGTCCCATCAATACCTAATTTATTGAGAGTTTTTATCATGAAGAGTTGTTAAATTTTATCAAAGGCCTTTTCTGCATCTATTGAGATAATCATGTGGTTTTTGTCTTTGGTGCTGATTATGTGCTGGATTACATTTATTGTTTTGCGTATATTGAACCAGTCTTGCATCCCAGGGATGAAGCCCACTTGATCATGATGTATAAGCTTTTTGATGTGCTGCTGGATTCGGTTTTCCAGTATTTTATTGAGGATTTTTGCATCAATGTTCATCAAGGATATTGGTCTAAAATTCTCTTTTTTGGTTGTGTCTCTGCCCAGCTTTGGTATCAGGATGATGCTGGCCTCATCAAATGAGTTAGGGAGGATTCCCTCTTTTTCTATTGATTGGAATAGTTTCAGAAGGAATGGTACCAGTTCCTCCTTGTACTTCTGGTAGAATTCGGCTGTGAATCCATCTGGTCCTGGACTCTTTTTGGTTGGTAAGCTACTGATTATTGCCACAATTTCAGAGCCTGTTATTGTTCTATTCAGAAATTCAACTTCTTCCTGGTTTAGTCTTGGGAGGGTGTATGTGTTTCAAGAGTATTTTATGATTTGCTTCATACAAGTTTAGAACTTTTTTTGGTAAATTTATGCCTAGGCATTTTATTTTTGTTGCTAATATAAATGAAGTTTTCTCTTTTGAATTATATCTTCTAACTATTGTTTGTGTAGATGAAGCCTATTTTGTTTTTCTTTTAAGAGGTGTCTTGCTATGTTGCATAATAACATAGCTGTGAAACTGGCCTCAAACTTCTGGCTCAAGCAGTACTCCTGCCTCAGTCCCTGGAATACCTGAGACTACAGGTTCACATCACAATGCCAAGTTTGAGTTACTGAATTTTATAGGTTAATTTTATATCTTGCTATCTTGCTGAATTATTTAAGTTTTATCATTGATTCTCCAGAGTTTACCATTTATACTGTTATCCATCTGCATATAGACAGAGTTTTATTTGTCTTTCAATTCTTATGCATCTAATTATTTTGTTGTATGTAATCGCATTAGCTAGTATTTCCAGTAAAATATTAAACAGTAGCGAATATAGTAGGTTTTCTAGCTTTTTCCCAACTCCTATTGGGAATGTAGCATATCCTCATTAACTAAGATATATATGTAGATACATAGATATGTGTGTGGTATGATGTTTGTGTGTGTGTGTGTGTGTGTGTGTGTGTATCTTCATGTTTTCATGTCAAATAAATCAAATTAAATATCCAAACTGAAGAAATATGCATCATTCTTATTTTCTGGAGAGATTTTTTTAGGAATGGGTGTCAAATTTGTCAAAAACTTTTTCAGGATTTAAGGAGGTAATAAGTCTTTTAGACTTATTATAGGGAATTATATTAATATAGTTTCTCATATTGAACCATCCTTTCATCCCTTAGATAAACCTCACTTGATAATGATATATTTTCTTAATGAGGTATTAAAATCTGTTGGCTGATATGTTATTTAGGATTTTTCATCAATATTCATCAGGGATATTGGCCTGTAACTTTCTTTTTTGTACTATTTTTAAAAATCAGGTTCCTGTATCAATGTTACACTTACTTCAAAAAGAATTTTTAATTAATTTTCTGTGCTCTAAAACAATTTATGTAGCTTTGGGATTATCTCGTCTTTAAAGATCTATTAGAATTCCTCTATGAAAGCACCTGAGCCTGGTGATTTTGATGAGATAGCTTATTGATAATTTTGGTATCTTCTCTAGAAATTTGTCATTTAAAGCCTCTTGTCTCTTTTAATGTCAGTTTTGTCAAAGCTTATTTTCATAAGAATTTATGCATTCAATCTAAGTTTTCAAATTTAATTGTATAGAAGTGTATATAACAGTATTTCATAATTTTTTAAAGAAGTTTTATCCATATCAAGAGGTAATTCCTCCAAGTCATGTCATTTTCTACATTTATGTTTTCTCATTTTTTAAATTAAATTATTTGGTAGTTTTTTCATTTTATTGACTTCTCTTTTAAGGAACTAGTGTTTTGATATATTAACTTAATCTATAGGTTTTCTGCTTTATGCTTTATTTTCTGCTCTGATCTTTTTTGTGTTTTCTTTTGGCTTTTTTTTTCTGTTTTAGGCTTTTGAGTTAGAAATTATAATTATTTTTAAAACATTTCATTTGTATTATTCAAGATGTTTAAGGTTATGACTTTTCCTCTTACCTGTTATTTAAATGTATCCCATAGATTCTAATACGTAGGTTTTTATCATCATTATTTTTCGGAAATTCTGTAATTTCTGATTTTTCCTTTCGCTCACAAGTTGTTTAATAGAATATTTTATAATTTTTTACATGAAATGGTTTTTTTGATTTATTAATAATTGATAGTTAAAAAATTAACCAGTTTTGTTCATATTTGTACAATATAAAACATATTGATACTTTATAAACTACCATATCAATTTTTGTGAATGCCGCATATGTACTTGAGAAGAAGGTATATTTTCTATTATAAGTGTGTAATGCTTGACATATATTTATGATATCTATCATAATTTTTAGGGTTTTTATAACCTTACTTATTTTTTGTCCACTTGACCTAAGACAGGTCAGTATGAGAGTAGTATGTTAAAGTCTTCTGTTACTAATGTGTTTTTCTATGTTTCTCCTTGAGGTATGAGTAATTATTCTTTACACAGGTGTTTACAGTGTCATTTGGGACACAGGTATTTATAACTGTTAAATGTTCATTGACAATTGCAGCTTTTAGCACTATAAAGTATTTTCTGCTTCCTTTAAAAATGCATTTTGGTCTGAATTTTATGTTATCTGATATTAAGATTGCAACCTCAGCTTTCTTATGATTTCCATTATCTAGTAAGTCATTGGCCACTTCTTTATTTTTGCCCTTTATGAATTACTGTTTTAGGTGTGAGTCTTATGTTCAGCATAGAGCTATATTTTGCTTTACAAACCCATTTGAAAATATTTTCTTTTAATAAGCAAGGTAAGCCTATCCACACTTATTATTACTGATATTTCTGTATCAATTGTCATATTGTTATAATTTCTGTGCATATTATGCTATATCTACTGTGCTTATTTCTTCAGATGGCATGACTTCTTTGTATATTTTAAACTTTATTTTGGTATTTATCAAATACAAAATACCAAATACTACTTGTATTTTTGTTACATTTGTGGTTACCATTATATCTAGTTCTGCTTTTTGTTGTCTTTAGTCACCATTTTTACTTAATCTTTTATTATCTGATCTGCTGATATTAAATGAATGTTATTTGCTGACATCCACCTATTCCCTATACAAGGATAAATCATCTTATTTGACTTTTCCCTTTCTCTCTCCTTCCTCATTTTCTCACTTTTGGGGAATAACATTCTTTCTGCTTTGTCACACATACTACTCTTCCTCCCTACCCCTATCATTTACCGCAATCAAATCTGTTATATGCTCTATCAGTCCATCTCCATAAATTTCTACTTATATATTGGTTAAAATATGTTCATTCTGTAATACATCCATGGGGTGAAAATTGGTTTCTGGGGCCAAGGGTAAAAAAATCTTAGATGTTACAATGGTGTGTAGTCTTTCAAAAGACCATAGCATATAAAGAGATAGTGTATATGCAAGGTATTAAAATTTCATCGTGATGGGATGTGTGTGTAGGCAGGTCTGAAAAGGCTCCTAAGAGGGGCGTTAATGGGGGAAAAAAGTTGAGAAACATTGCTCTAGTAGACTCTTCAGGAATGGTTCGTGTGTATGATATTCCACATATTACTGCACGTTGAAGATTTTTTTATATAGTCGATTCTTGAAGCGAAGCTTGCCTTGGTATAAATCTTGACTTGTGCTTCCTTTCCTTAAATTTCTTGAAAATGCAATCTCTCAGTGGCCATATTTTGTTTTATGTTGCTATTGAGAACTCGAATGTAAGTAAGCCTAATATTTTTGCCCTCACAGATAATTTGATCATTTTGTCTGAAGATCTCTGAGGATATTTTTTCTTTGTCTTTAAAACAATAGTTTTACTAGGATAGTCTAGGACTTGATCAGAATATTTCTAATTCAGTTTTCCCAGATATATAATGGGTCCTTTCAACATAGATTCAGGATCCTTTTATTTTTGGAAAGTTTTATTTAGTTATAGTTTAAATATGCACAGCTGCTCCATAATTTTGTTTTTCCTTTCTCAGAGACTCCCATTATAAGTGCACCAAGTCTTCTTTGCCTTGTTTTCTCTGTGACCACTTTTACTTCCTTCTTTTCTCATTTTTTATTCTTTCAGTTATTTCCCTACCTTTTTTCAATATGTCTGTCTTATTCTTTTTAGGCTGCTAATATAAAATGCCATCGACTGAGTAATTAATTATAGACAACAGAATTGTATTTCTTATTGTTCTGGATGGGAAGTCTAGGATCAAGATCCTGGGAAGTTGCAAGTTTGATGTCTGATGACGGCCCTGTTCTTCATAAATGGCACCTTCTATGTGTCCTCAAATGGCATAAGGCGTAGAAGGGGCAAATAGGCTTGCTGAAGCCCTTTTATAAAAGCACTAATCTGAATCATGGGGGTGGACCCCTCCTGACCTAATCACCTACTAAAGGCTCCGCTTCTTAATCCCATAAACTTGGAGGTTATGTTGTAATGTGTGAATATTGGAGGGACACAAACATTCAGACCTGTGTAACCTCTTATTAAATTTTTATTTTAATCTATTCTTCCTTGTGCAACTTATAATTCATCCTTCATTTATGAGATGGTTTTGTCTTTTTATTCAGTTTCTTTCCTGAGTTCAGGCCATTCTTATTGCATTTCTTCCTGTTTCTTTCCATATCCATTTTTTAGTTCTTAAATTTTTGATTCTATGTATTAAAAGATACTTCTCTAAATGGTTGCTTAAGAATATTAATTTATTTTGGAGTTTAGTTATGGTTTTCTTCTGCTGTATGGTTTATTGGGAGAGAAGTTTCAACTGAAACTCACATTTTTGTTTGCTTACTTTCTTCTTATAGGATCTTTGCATAGCACTGGGTTGCTTTTTTAGATTTGATTCATAGATATTTTGTGGACAGGATTTCTAGTTTTAAGGGTACCCTCTTTCTTGGTATCATGAAGCACAGTTTCTCTAATAGATGATGCTAATGGTGATGGAAACAGGGAGAGGGGTGAGTATATTTTATTTCTCTAATTTCTGTAGGATTAATAATTTTATATTTTTCCTTTTTATTTCTCTTTTTCTCTTCACTGCCACATCTCCAATACTGTATTTTCTGTATTTGATTCTCCACCAGAAACAAGGTTTCTTGTGGAAACAGAAAGTACAGTTTTTCTGTATTTGTCTGTATTTGAGAGTTACTGGTTGCAACCTCCAGTATCTCTCACTTTAAAGTCCCTTTCCTATAGGTGTAGTTGTGAAATATGAAGTCCCAGATATGTGCTCAGTATTTTAGCAATTAATGTTGACTTTTATCTTTCCGAGGGTGGTTTTCTTTTTCTGTTTCACCCATGTATTCTGTTCAATTCCCCTGTTTTTCATGAAGTCTCTCAAAGACAGAGTCTTTCATTCCACTCTCTGAGAATATAGTGCCAATGGAGCTCTGTAGAAATTTTAAAATTAGTGTTATTTCTTGTGGGTAATTTGAAATTCGTGGCTTTTTTTTCAGGTGATGCTAAATATGTGGGTCATGTGTGGTTTATTTATTCCCTCTTATTGATCCTCCAGTTTGTAGGGAGATTTGATTCATGTGGCCATAATTGTCCTTAATAGAAAACACTCCTATGGTTTAACAAATTTACTGTGTTTTGTGTTTCTTCTGTGTCTTCCCCACTTACTTTTCAAAGTTGTGAGTACTTACTAGATGTGCAACAAATGAATTAATATACAAATTATAATAAATTGCTTTTTTAAAGTGGTTTTTGCCTTGTCTTATTGCTTTGGCTCAAAGTTATTGTGGCTTTAGTAAACGTTCTAGTCTTAGAACCAATAATTTCTCAGGATAACCACTCTTAATTGGAAAACCAATTACAACTTGAGTCTGGTGAACAGAAGGATCTCCTTCCTTTACCTTTGTCTTGGATCTTTGTATTATTGACTTGGAAAAATGTTAATTGATGTGTTGCAGTACTGCAGCAATAATTACCTTTAAATGGAAATAGCTGTTTTATACTTAGTGCACAAGAACAGTGCAAGGGTGCAAGACTCTAATACACAGATAAACTCTAGACATTGGTGGAACATTTGGTAGATGAAAAAGCTTGTTTAGGATTCAGTATAAACAGGAAAGGCAAAGACAACAGTAGGATGCCACTGTTTAACAAAAGGAAATTAAGTTTCCCTTTTTCTGAATTACTGGAGAGAGTTTAGCAACATATGTGCCTTGGGTGAAGAGTTGATGAATAAAAGATCTGAGACAGTTTGTGACTTCCAAAATGGCAAGTAATAAAGATGTTGCAAATAGGATCCAGCAGGAAGGTGGGGCTGACCAATAGACTAGAGAGATGAGGACTTTACTGAAATGGAGCTGAAAGGAATTATTCTGGGTCATTTCATAGATTCACTGTGTGATATGGTATAAGGTCTTGGGCAGCTGGGAGGTTAAACCCAGAATCAAATGCTTCCCAAGGCCTTGAATATCTGCTCCAGAGAAGGAATATAGTGTCAAGATTTGTGAGATAAATTTGTTTTGCCTAATTAGGTCATCTAGGAATACTTAGAGTCTATATGTATTTTGCCCAAGTAATGTTTGACATGAATATCATACAATATTTTCTGTTAATTACATTTCTCAACATAACATTGTGGTAAGAGTGCTTGTATTTTATAAAATCTCAGGAGTAGTGGTGAGGGAGAATATGCCATCCAGCAATGTTTCATGAAACTAATTACCTGAGGGAATTCAGAAAAACTTGTCCAGATGGATACACTACACAGGTAGAGTAATAGGCTTTTATAAAAGATGAAGTATTCTAATTATAAATAAATTATTATAATGCATGACAATTTTAAATTACTCTCCTTATTTTGTGTTGTATTTAGTTTTTATTGAAAAGCCAAACAAAGCAGATAGTAATTTGTCATCCATTTTTAGTTTTACTTTTTAATTACTTTGAAGTCATTCAGGATAGGTGGATTTTGATTTCAAATACTATTCAGAAACAATTTTTATTTACTTAAAATTAAACTATGATGAATACGTATTCACCTTTGGTTTTTAAAATTATGTTGATGGCATCTGAAAGAGTTAATAGAAGCTGCTTCAATTATGCCCTTTATATCTGTGTAACTCCTATTTTGCTTAATTTTCTTTCCATGCCTAAGGACATACAATAGTTATCATTTATTGTATGATTTTTAAAATGTTTATTAAATATTTCTTTCAATTTTTGCAGGAAAACATAAATATTCACAAAAACCACATATTCTTGGCTTCTGTTTTTTGTTGTTATAATTCCTTTAGTTACATCTGAAACAAACAGAAAAATCCACAAATATCTAAGAGGCAAAAAATAAATGATCTCTTCTGTAATTGTAAGATGATCTTGTTCTATAAATTCAGCCAAGGGAAGAGTAAAGAGAAAAAATAAAGTCAGTCCAATATTAGGAGTCCTTGCTTTCTCTATGTGTATACGTGAGTGGAGGCGAGGGTAAAGGTGATGGTGGACAGGTGGTATGAGGAATACAGGTACTTTTATTTTAAGCACTATTGGCTAAGAAGGCATGCATTTTAATTTGTTTGAAATATAACACTTACAATGCTCCTTGTTAATTCTCTACATAACAGCTAATTGCCACCCTAGTTTTTTTTTTTTTTCTTTTTCTTTTTTTTTTTCCAGTTGGGCAGAGACCACAGCCTGTGTTGGAAAGTAAAAACACAGCCCTTGCCTTCCTTCTTTCCTTGATGGGGATGGCCGTTTGACCCAATGGTGACCATTGATATTGGGAATATCAGTGAAGGAATTTGTTGAAGGAACTTACAGGAAATCTCTTTTTCCCTGATAGCGAGATGCTTGAGGAGAATTTCCTTACCCCTCTGGCCTTACTTGCCCCATTCCCACCAGGGTTGTATGAGCATATGATGCTTGGAATGGCTACAGCCATCTTGGGTTATGCAGAGGGCCGTGACACACAGAGGATGGCAGGGGGAAACACATCTGGAAAGTCTGGATCCCTGAGGTTGTTGAGTTACTGCATCAATCTGGAGATCACTGTACCTCTGGGCTTCAATTTTTCAAGTCAGTTTTAATCTTATATTCTGTTACATGGAGCCCAATACATTTTATTAAGTGGGTATCCAATTTTTTTTTTTTTTTAACCTTAGAAAACACTGAGTTGGCAAAGAATCTGACATGGTTATAACTACACCTTACGTAATGTTACCTGACTGATACCTATAGAGTCACACGTTTCCTTTTTGGAAGCCTAAGACCCATGGATTTCTTTATAATTATTGTAATTCCAAAACCCTGTTAAAATCCCATCTCCGCTGCATTTCTTTCGCATCTAGTGAAAACCGTTTAGCCATTTCTAGTTTGCATTTTAACCTTCCCCAGATTCTCTCCTCCTTTTTCATCTGTCCCACCAATCAACATGAAGTGCTCCATTGAATCCAGAAGAGTTCTCTGTCTAAACACACCAGGCTGTCAGTACCCAGTGTGACTTCCCCATTTGTCACCTTACAATTTGTGCTTGCTTTCTGCTCAGGCATCAAATAGTTTGATTTTATTATTATTTTAGTATACACACAGGTCTTTTTCATGATGGAAGTTTCTAGATAGGTGGAATCATGTATGTTTTCCCTAATTTGCTATTGTATCTCATTTATAGAGTAATCATATACATCAGACTAAATCAAACAACTGGAGTAACAGTATAGAGTAACCATATACACTAGACTAAGTTAAACCAATGGAACAAAATATCCATATTTAGAACTTTCCCAAGAAATCTGGGGTATACAGTTGCACAATTTATGCAACAGCAATCTGCAAAGAGCTGCTTAATAATTAGCCTACTCATCACACAGTATCTGTTGAATATTTACTCTTTTTTCCAGCAAAAATATTTATTAAAACATTTAAAAGCAACACATGCTTATATAGAAAATTTAGAAACTGCAGACAGAAATAAACAAAAATTACTCAAGTCCCTATATTCCAAAACAATGCAGTTAACATTTTGGTGTTTTGCCCTGCAATACTTTTTTTCTGCATAGGTTTCAGTAGGAATTTGTGTTCGTTTGTTTGAAGCTATTGACCAGACAGAACTGAGACTATAGGAGAAACTGAAGAAGTGTTATATTAGGAAAGCTTCCCTAAAACTCCTCCTGAGCCCATAGTAATCATAGAACAATAATTACAATTTTGATTGTTTATTATCTTCAAGATGATGTCCCTTCATTTTCAAAATACTGTAATTATGAAGTCATATTATTATTTGTATTTTAAAGATGAGGTACCTAGGTCAGAGAAATTAAAGAATTTGCCTGAGATGAAACACGTGGTAAGTCCTAAAGCTGGAAATGAAGTTCATGTCTGACTTGACTTCAAAGCAGGTGTTCTTTTTTCTCTTATGCTTTTACCCAATTACCAAACATCAGACCCAGCAGGGAGTTGTTTGGTTCCAGTCCTTTTATTTTATAAATGAAGATAGTATCAAGAAGGATGCTTTGGAAATTAGGCCTAGAGTTTGCTCTTTTTAGATTCAGTTTCTCCTACAGTCTCAGTTCTGGTCTGGTCAATAGCTTCAAACCAAAGAACAAAAATTCCTTCTGAACCCTTTGCAGAGAAAAATTGTTACAGAGCAAAACATCAAAATGTTAACAGCTTTGTTTTGGAATATAGGGACTTGGGTAATTTTTGTTTATTTCTTTTTGTCTGAGGTTTCTAAATTTTCTGTATAAGCATGTGTTGCTTTTAAATGTTTTAACTTAAGCTCTGTTTGTCGGTCTCTAGCCTCTTTCTGCCTTTCCCCTCTGTACAACCCCTAGTACTAGGCACCGTACAAATTACTCCAAATGGTGAAAATCAACAATCACTAACGCTCCAAATTCTAAGAGTTTTGAGGCACTCTTTGACAAAAGATAGTGCCTTTCACTTAATGTGCCCATTCTCAGATGCCATCCCTAAAAGCAAGGCCCCATTTTACACCCAATCCAGCTTTCAAAAGGAGTGAACATTTCAGGGAAGAGGAAGGAGGAGAGGTTACAGAGTCTAAAGCTGACAGAGGACAGCCAAAATCAGTTTATTTGGGGTGTACTTGCTTTCTTAAGCCTGCATCCTAGTCAAAACTGGACACAGCTGTCCTTTTTCAAGGCAATTTCACTCCCAGACTGATTGTTTGGATTTCAGCTTGTTGTTTAATAGTTCTAGAATTCAAACAGTCACCTTGAGGCAAGAAGGTTAGCACTCCATTAAGATGGATGGGGAAAGTTCACACCTCTCACTTTTACTTTATTTCTTTGCTTTTCTTTCCATTTGCCTGCAAACTCAGCAAAGCTAAAGCACATTTACTACACAGTCTGTTTTTATACCCACTGGGCTGAAAAGTTGATTTACTAAAGAACTTGGATTTTCCAGGAAAAGGAAAAGTCCACAGAGAGTTTTAAAGTCTGCAAAATACGTGGGATTATCAGAGGAATACGAAACCTTATGCTAGATCCTTTGGTTCTTAAATCAATCCCCAAAGAGGTTTTAAAGCTCATGTGCTTCTTGGATGATTCTTCTGGACCTTCTTATAAATATAAATCTCCCTCTTCATATAATATTTGTTAAGAGGGAGAGCTAAAACCGGCAGCATTTATGTGAAACACTAGGCTGGTGTATTTTTGTTCTGTTAGCTTTCACAAATGTTGATGGAAAAGCAATGGAAGGGAATTAATATTTGCTGAGTGCTTAGCATGTGAAAACCCAAGGCTGGATACCATGGGAGATGGTGAAGAATAACACCTGGTTCAGTCGCTTACCTTTGATGAAGGAAAAACATACAATTTTCACTAATATAAGCCCCAGACTCCGAGAACAGTTATAATAGAAATTCATGCAACAGGTCCATAAAGAAAGGAATGAGTTCTTTTGATTGGGGCATTTAAAACAACTTATTGGAGGTGAGATTCAAAACCAATTTGGGGGATCTAGTAGGGGAAAGATTAACTGAGTGGGAGAGTTCCTTTAGCAAAAGATGAAAGTGAACCAGAATATGTAGTATTGAGAGCTGAGAGCTACTCTTAGTTATCTATAGTGGGTAAGGCAGAGACTGGTGACATTCCCCACCCTTGCCTCCCATTTATGAACATAGAGAAAGACCACGTTCCTCAGTCCCACTTGTGGTTAAGTGGGGTCATGTGACTGTTTTCTGGCAAATGGAATGAAGGTAGAGTGATGCATGCCTTTTCTCCTAACTTTCTTGCCTGGCTTGTTTGGCTAGCTGAATGCAGAGGATCTAGCAAAGCCCTCTGAGGAAGCACTTACAGATGGTGGTCCCATAAAAGAAAAGCCAAGATACTGTAACCATGGAACAGAAGGCCATGCACTAAATACCTGAACAGACTGTGAAAGGAACAAGATTGATTGTGTTAAGCCACTGAGATTATTTGCTGTTGTTATGGAAGTCGGCATTATAGTGGGGATGGTAAGGCTGAAAGGGTAGGTTAAAAGATCTATAAAATCCTACCAAAGCAAGTCATTCACAGGAATTATGATAATAAAGTAATTTAAATAGTAATAAGCTTTGAATTGATATATGCCAACATTGGGAAGAGGGGAAGGCCCATTCTTTCTGATGTGGACTTCTATGAATCATTTTCTTGGGGTGGTTTTATGCTGATAACTTAATTAGGGGTTCTAAGTAAAAATGTTAGAAAGTGGGGAGTTTCTTCGCTACAGAGGATTCTTGAGCATTTCATAGCTTATGGAAAGCAGAAACAGACTTGGGGTGCTCTGAGGAGATAAGTCTAAAGCTGGCTGGTTTGGGATGACTTTTATTGCTTTATTTGATTGTAAGAGTAATACATATTCCCTGTAGAAAATTTGGAAAATATAAAAATGTCAATGGAATAAAATAACCATTTGTTTATGTTTCAGTGTGTTTTATTCCAGTTCTTCTCTTTGTCTCTTTCTCTATATATTACATGTAAATATAGGTAAAAATCATACTATATTTATTTTTCGTTATTAAATTTCTTTATAAACTTAATTTTAAATAGTTGTATAACTTTTTCATTATATGAATATGCCATAATTTTTACTATTTCTCATAAAGCTGAATACAATTATTTCCAGGGATTTTTTGTTATTTTGACAAGAATGAATATCATTATTCACAAATATTTGCCTGGATTCTTGACTATATTTTTAGGCTAGATTCCTAGAAATAGAGTTTGTAGTCCAAGAGTTTGAAAAATTATAAAAGACCTTGGTGGGCATAGGAAATTAGCTTTCTAGAAAGATTCCAGCAGTTTACTTTTCCATCAGCAGAATATGAGACTACCTGTCTTATAACCTATTCAATGCATTTAATGCATTGAATAGTAGCATTACAAATTATCTACTATATATAGTTTTCTTGATAGGTCACAGATTGAAGAACAATAAATCCATGATGTATGTGGTAACCTATTTTCAGTTGGCCAAGTGGCTGTCTCTTGCTGATATAAGAATAAATATTTCATTTTAAGGAACCACAGGCATCCTCTGATCATAGTCTGTAATAATCCAGTTGCATTTAGTACAGGCTGGGCTAACCTGTGAACAAATCACCCCAAAATTTCAGTGGTTTAACACAACAGAATCTTATTTCTTGTTCAAGCTATATGACCTGCAGGTCAGTTGCGGGTACTTCACCCATTCATAAGTACTGTAACCTAGAGAAGGGAATATGATAAATCATGTCTTTACTCTTTAATTTTTCACCTGGAAGGAATACATGTCGTTTCTATTCACATCTCCTATAGTCACATGCCACAGTGACTATAAGGGTGTGGGAAGTGACAATGCTACCATGTTCCTAGGGAAAGAACAGAGAATATTCAGTGGACAGCACTAATGACTATCACCCGTGACTGGCCTTTAACCTTTGAGGAAGGGGCTGTATCCGTAGCTAACCTCCTCTGTAGTGACTCCTAAAAGTGTCCCTTGGCAATTTTTTCCTACTGAGTTTCTCAGACATGGGTCAGCAAACTAGCCCGTGGGCCAAATGTGGCCTGCTGCCTGTTTTTGTATGGTCTGCTAGCTAAGAGTGTTTTTTACATTTTTAAATAGTTGGAAAAAGTCAAAAGAAAAGTAATATTGTTGACACATGAAAATTATATAAAATTCAAATATATGTCCATAAAATATTTTATTAGAACACAGCCATTTTAACTTGTTTATATATTACCTGTAACTGATTGCATGATGTAGTAGCAAAATTGAGCAGCCACAATGGAAACTTTATAGTCTGTATACAGAGTTAAATATTTATCATCGAGCCCATTACAGAAAAAGTTTGCCAATCTCTGATCTTAGACATGACCCTAAGGAAAATTAGGATCATTTCAATATGGCTGCCTGAAAAAAAATCATCCCTATGGAAGTTACTATTTGCTAACTTTATCAAATTCAGGTTAATATATTCAAAACAAAAACAAAAAGTCTCCTCATTGTTGGTGTGCATTATTACAGTGGTTGTGCCTGAGCCATAGATGGAAGAGTGATGAGAACTGAATCCCAACGGCCAAACTGGACTGAGATTAGAGAGGAAAGTCATTAGAGTTACCAGGAGTTTGCCTGAGTTGGATATTGCAGTTGGAAGCTGGACTAGATGAGTTTCTCACCAGGACTTTTCACCTCCTTGAGGATTTGTTATACAAATCTGCTCAGTGTTTCATAATCAACCTGGATACAAATATAAGCCCTCATTGCCTCCTGTTAAAATACATCCATTCATACATACATTAAAAAGGAAGGAAAGATTGGCTCTCCATGTTGAAGAAAACCCCCCGAGTTTTGCCATCTACTTTCCCAGCTTATTGCTGCTGGAAGTATTTCACTTACAACTGTGATTTTTAAAAAATGTTTTGAATTTCTCCTTAGACGTTTCATAAGCATTTAAATAGAATTGGCTTTCTGGGTGACTTACCAGCTGTGCCATGTGGGGTTTTCAAGGGGTATGTGCTCCATCCACTGTCAAAATATTCCTTGTGTTGAGACTGGGACTTCTAAAGTAACATGTTGGTCCAGGGACAAGTGCTATTTCTCTTTGTTTAGTGTTGAAATAATAATACACCAGTTAGTAATGCTAGGGATGGAATGAGAGACACATCACATGCATATTCCAACTGAGGTCAAAATCCATTCTTTTGAAATGTCAAGAATGACATTCGCTAATCCCCATGTATATAGATTCCATTTATTTGCGCACTTAAATTAACTCCTTTCTAATCCAGCTACACAGCTGCCAAAGACTTCCCTTGAAAGGCATCTTCTTTTAAAGTAGTCATAACTCACATCCAGCTCTGATTGCAGGAATGCCTCCTTTGACTTCATGCCCATAGTCAAAGGTACAGAAGCGTTTTATCTAATTTCAAAGGGTAAGTTTTACCTACTTGGAAACAGACACCTCTGATAGCTTTCCTTTCTTGTTGCATCCTCTTTCTTTTTTCACTTAGTTTTATTTTATACAAGACTTTTTAATCATTGACCATTCTATGTCATTCATAGGGAGGTGATTATTATTAAAATATTGTGTGTAGATTTCCAATTATATGATATATATTTACATATCTCATTAAAAATTAAGTGGCTACCCTTTCCCCTTTCAAATCGATGTAAAAATGCACACTTTGAAGAGTATACTTATCCGGACAGTCAGGCAGAACTTTTGAAATCCAGGTCACCCAGGAAAAGCTAGGATATACAGTTGTCTTGCCCATATAGTACCCATCTGACTCTAGAACACAGGAGATTCTTTAGACTGATTATAGAAAGTGATAATATGTCAATGACAATAATGCATTGTGGAGGTAAAGCATTCTCCTATACATTACCTCATTTAATTTTCCCAGTCCTCCTCTGAGACTGAGAAGGCAAGTGTTATTATCGACATTTCATGAATAAGAAAACTGAAACTCAAAAAGACTAACTGACTTGGATGAGGAAGTCAAGCCTTGGAAGAGATTAGGTCTAGTTTTCTTTGCCCCAGGTTAGTTGCACCCCTTTGTGATGCTGTCTCCCCAAGACAGGTAGAGTTGATACTGACCACGGGCCATCCTCTGAAATTTGTGAGTTTATTTCAGAAGGGAAGCCTCAATGTGATCTTCTTTTCTTGTAATAAACATATCTTCTGAAAGTGGAATACTGAAAAAAAGTCAGGTTAAGGGTTGAAGCCTATGAGTTGGGGTCTGTTTGATCAAGAATTTACGGCATATCTACATTGGGCACTTGCCAAACTCAGGAATAGCTCTTTTCTCTAGCTTTGGCCCAATTTTTATTTCTTTTAAAATAAGATATGAAACAAATTTTCAGACATCAAGACTTGACATGAAAAACCAATCAAGGCATAATTATGTTGCCCATTTATTTTTGTCTCAAAATGGTATTATACAATATTCACACATTACCACATGGTTTTCCTTCCCCTGTGAAATTTTTACCTTTTTTACATGTTTAGCAGACCTGGGGATCCTAACTTTGGAGGTGAGGCAATCTCAAATCTCAGAGGACTGGGCCTCCGACTCAAAGGAGAGAGCTGCCCTGGATCTTTTTATAACCTTTCTCCAGGCAATACTGAATGCCAGGAAAGGTATCCAAACCCAAGTCAATACTTCATTTGTGGTGAGTTCGTGATCAGGCATTTCTCTGTTCTTTAACAGCAAGGTAAACAGTAAACCAGGACAACTTTTTGACAAGAATTTATCCTTGAAACTTGGAAAGCTGGTCTTAGGGCCAGCTCATAGGGGGTTGTACGTTATTCTTTAAATAATAGGACACTATCATCACATGCTATCAAGGAGAGCAAGAGTGGAGACAGTGGAGTCAGCTGAGGGCAGTACTGATGTTGTACATAAGAGCCTGACTAGTGGAGTCGCAGTGGGAGTGGAGGTGAGAATTGTGAAGAGAAGAACATTGAGAAATTGACTTGGCAATGGATGCCCACTCTGCCACTGTCCCCCAGCTGTGGGGATGACAAACTCAGATCAAGGGTATCTCTTGCCTTCTAGGAGCTTACGGGTTACCTGCATTTGGAATTGAAAATACAGAATGGAGGTGAGGTGTTGATCATATTGATGACAGGGTGTCTTTCAGCAGGCCCCACAGGGTGGCTATCCTGTAGGTTTAAAAACCAATTTTACCACTATACTGAGAGGATCCATATCTCAGGGAGGATTTACAGAAACCCAGTACACAGACTGGCAGAGAGTTTACTGCCTGCATGTTCCCCTATACTCAGCTTTCTCAAGTTAGATCTTTGGGGAAACCATATTGTATTCATAATTTTGCCTAGTGAGCATAGAATCAGGATCAGAATAAGTTACAGGAATTAGGCAATAATAAATTATCTAATTATCACCTAAAATTAAAATTCTCACCTAAGAGAGCATGTGGCACTTGCTCCCCTCAGAGAGATACTTTGCCAGTGGAACTAAGACACCTGATGTCAGAGACTCAGACTTCCTTTTCTCTCAACACGACTCAGACAGAACCTACCAACATTTGCCTTCCAGACTCTCTCTGCTTCTGATGCTGATGATCCCTTGCCCCTCCACCTTACATTCTTTCTTTTGATATATTAATAACTCAGGCAAGTCCCAGTTCTCTGGATCACTATTTCTGGGACTCTACATTTTAGAAATAGTAACACAAATCAGTGAAAAAATATATTCACAAGAATGTTAATTGCAGCCTTTTTTAATACCCCAGATTGGCAATGAGCTATGTGTTCATCAGTTGGGGGATTGGGTAAATAAAAGATATTATAATTATTTAATGCCATACTATGCAACCATTAGCAAGACTGCATAGAAAAATATGTACTGACTTGACAAGATATACAAAATAAAATGTTAATATAAAACCAAATTATATTATAAAAACAAATTTTATATCTATATATATAGCAGAATCCCATCTTTGTGAAAAAGAAATACATGTATGTATGGCTATTTGTATATGACATATACATATATGCATATACACATATACATATATGTGCTTGTATATCAAATTTAAGCACAGAATAAATCCAGGAAAATAGTGCTTTTATATGTTAACAGTGGTTATCCCTGAGGAAGGGGTAGGATTGTATATGTTGGATGTGACCTGGGACTTTTGCCTCTTCCTGTATATATGTGTAATTGCACACGTGCACACACACACACACACACATACATGTGATGGAATCATAGGAGCAATTTACTTTTTTTTAAAAAAAAGAACTCCTTTCTTTTCTTTCTTTGCCCACCAGTTCCTGAAAATCTTACATTCTTAGGAAAATCACTATAATCGAGAATAAATTACTATTCACTGTTGAGATCGATGACTACTAAAAAAATATAAATTGATCCTATGGGCTTCTAGGAAACTGAGAGATTGCTTCCAAATGCATGGGGGTAAAAGTGGAGAGACAGTGAAGAGATGAAAAAATGTTATATCCCCCATGTTATATCCCCCACTATAACCCTTACTTTTGCAGACCATAAGGCTTGCTTTCATAGAGCAACGAGCCCACTTTTAAATAGTCTTTAATATTGCCCCTGCTGAAGTTATCAAAATGCCTATAAATTCCAGTATTGGGGGCACCTATACTGCAGCTCCCTGACTGCCTCTTGAGTTGGAATTTGCCACAGTTATTCCATATGAAATCCTGAATTCCAATTTTTGGTTCACAAAATACGTTTTCTCTACTCAGGTCTAACTACAGCACTTTGCCTGTAACAATTACTTGATAAGTAGTTGCTGCTCGGTGGATTATCAGGTGCGTTTAAGGAAAATAACATATCTGATGATCATCTTTAAACTCAAAAGTCTATTATCCTTCTTTGGAAGGACAGGATTATTGCTTGAGGCCTCTTCAAGCCATCTAATCAAGAATAGAAAACTATCAGAATGAAATGAACTAGCACCACTGAAGTTTTCTTTTTTTTTTAAACTAACATTTCCAAAGAGCATTTACAGAGTGTTTTATGAATGAATGCAGAATATAGCACCGAACGAGGCAAACCTTTCTTATGAGGACAGCCGTATAGTTAAATCCAAGCATGCAAGATTGAATGACCCCGATTGACAACCCTTGCCCTCTGTTACAAACAAATGGGACCAGGAATGTGGTCCCCCCACAGTGCACTGGGGGATGCCTGCACCCACTACCCTCTGCCATCCATCTCCTCCTCCTCTGATTTGTGTGTGTTTTTGTTAAACAGTGGATCTTGCTATGCTTTTCAGAAAGCTGACAAGAAGCAAGCTGAAAATTAAAAATGGGTGCCGAGAGGCTTTACGGGAGTCTAAATAAACAGCCCGACAGGAAAGACGTGTGGCAGGCTAAGGTTTCAGGCTAGTGGTCGGAGCGAGCTAACAGACATCCGTATAACAGAAGGCTGTGTTTGTTTTCCCTGTCCCTGCTCTAGCAAATTTATTGGGTTATCTGTCTTATTTTGACACTTGGGTGTTTAAGGTTTCTGTTTTAGGTGTCTAAAGACATAAAAAAATTATTGTACAGTTTACATTCCTGGCAGAAGCTTTGACATGTGCTAGCTGAAAAGTTCCTATCTGCCAGTGATTTCACAGAAAAAGCCTCAGAGAGTTGGGTTTTCATAGAGGGTCCAAGAATCCTCTGTGAAAAGCACCAAGAACAAAGGGTTTCTTCTTTTATTTCTGTCCTTATCTTCCTATTGTCTAGTGAAGAGTGGCCACCAAGCCATTTGCTTCCCGTTGTACTGGATTTTTACTTACCATGTAACATATAGGAAACCTTACCCCTGTCTTGTAGAGGAAGAGATTATTTCCATCAGTGGAGCTTGCACTCAACATAGATCAACAAGATACAGTTTGATTTGCTGTAGAGGTCAGGAAGGCACGGCAGTGTTGAGTGAATTCTAGATGTTATGATAACGCACCATCAAAATATTAGAGTCATATGTGTATAAATATTGACATTTTGATGATGGATGTACTAAACCACCCACAAGCAATGTTAATATATTTCTTCTTTTCAGAATACCAATTTGGAAATAATTTTACTTATAAATGTATACCTGCCTTGTTTCTCAAAGGTTTTGTGGCTGCAGTAACTAATTAAGGAGTGGTAGGGAATTTAAATAGCTCTCTGACATAAACCTATTTTCATTCATTCATTCAAATGGCATTCAATAAACACTCATGTATTTAATTGTTAGGAAGCAGAAACAGACATGGGAGAAAAGTATAAAACACAGTCTGTGGCTCCAATGGAAGCTTATAGTTTTTTCTCTCATCATCTTTTGCAGTAGACAAACTGCCTGGCATAGTCTGGTCGAATTTTCATGATACCAGGTGATCAGCACTAAGTCAAGGCAGGAAAAACAGTCTATTTTTTTCCCTAGGGCAAATAGCTTTGCAGCAGCTGAGGCAATTTGAGCATATTACTTTTTGTTTCTTTGTTCAGTTTTCCTTTTCTTCTGTATCTTTTTCTCCTCTTTTCTCTATGGCCCAAGATTGGGAGTTGGCAGCTGGTAGCTATAATTTCTCTGCCTCACAATGCTCTTGGCAAAGGCTCATCATTCCAGCCACTGGACAAATAGTTTTCTCTTCTTGGGCACTCTCTTTTCCCACCTGCTGCATTTGCATGTCACTTCCACTCACCTCACTATTGGTAAAGGCTGCCATTTTGTGCAAAAATCACAGATTTTTAGAATCAGCAGACCTACATTTGAATGCAGACTCTGTCACTTCATTGGTGGGTGACTCTGAGCCTCAGTTTATAATTGGTAAAAATGTGTATAGTCATATCTGTTTCACAGAAAGCTTACATGTGATCATGCATTGAATGGAGCGAGCATGGCCCCTGGCTCCAGCAGATGACCTCCTTCCTTCTTCAGGTCGTATAAGACATGGAAAGGCCGGGCACGGTGGTTCATGCCTGTAATCCCAGCACTTTGGGAAGCCAAGGTGGGTGGATAACTTGAGGTCAGGAGTTCGAGACCAGCCTGACCAACACGGTGAAACCCCGTCTCTACAAAAAATACAAAAATTAGCTGGGCGTGGTGGCAGGTGCCTGTCATCCCAGCTCCTTGGGAGGCTGAGGCAGGAGAATCTCTTGAACCCAGGGGTGGAGGCTGCAGTGAGCTGAGATTGTGCCACTGCACTTCATCCCAGGCTGCAGAGTGAGACTCCATGTCAAAAAAATAAAAACAAAATAAAAATAAAAATTAAAAAAGACATGGAGAAATGAGGCATTTGAGAGAGCCAAAGAAAATAGTTGTGTCGTAGAAACTTTATCGTTCATTGCTTTCCTGTTCATTTCAGACAAACGTAGTGTAAATTAATTTTTTAAAAAACAAAAATATTTAAGTGACCTTGCAGTCTGGTTTATAATGGATATATATTAATACTATGTCCATGTCTGAAAACAGGCTTTGGGAGGCAAATAAAAAATACGTAACACAAATTTTATTTGCTAGTAGCTTAGGAACAACTTGAAGAGACATTTGTACAATAAAAAGTCAAATATTAATAAAAGTAAGTACTTCATGGGTGTTACTAATCAATCGGTAATTATTGAGCAGGTAAGTATTCTTTCCTGCAGAACTCTTCGAAGAGCCTTTAATCTGTTAACATACAGTAAGAATCTCTAAAAAGGGAAATAGTAAGCAAAGTCTTCTACACCTATTTCATCATCGAACTCTTTAAATAATAATAATTATTATTATTTCAGTAGAGTCTCATTCTGTCATCCAGGCTGGAGTGCAGTGGTGTAATTTTGGCCCACTGCAACCTCTGCCTCCCAGGTTCCAATAGTTCTCCTGCCTCAGCCTCCCAGTTAGCTGGGATTATACGCACCTGCCACTACACTGAGCTAATTTTCGTGTTTTGAGTAGAGATGGGGTTTTGCCATGTTGGCGAGGCTGGTCTTGAACTCCTGAGCTCAAGTGATTCACCTGCCTTGGCCTCTCAAATGCTGGGATTACAGGCGTGAGCCACCGTGGCCCGCCTTTTTAAATTATTTTAATCTTATCTTTATAGCGTATTAGGTGCAGAAAGAGAGGTTGGGGTGATGGAAGGGCTTGAGTGAGCATAAGGACGCTACCCTGCAGTAGCGTCGTTTCTAGAAAGGGCAGCATCATGATTCAAGTATCAAAGAGATGTCTTAGAAAGGGTGTGTGGTGGTGATATACTAGATCATGAGGCAGGGCTTTCTCAAGTATTATAGAATGATCAGAATATCAGCCAGATGACAGTTAATTAAGGAGATGTTAGGCTGTGACATACCGTCAGCTGGTAGCAGAAGACTCTTCACAGTCATTTCAGAAGTGAAATATGAGACCAAGCCAAGAGAGTTGTAGCTCAAGAGGGATTATTCGGGATAGGAGAATTAGAGGCTTGATAGATTTTAAGGGTAAAACCACAACAATGAGACGACCACAAATGGTCTTGGAGTAAGGGGGGCTAACTGCAGGATCAAGTCCCTACACAGAGTAGAGAGAAATAAGACAGCGAGCGTAGGCCGGGGAAGCTGCTGAGACATGGAAGAGATAGAGGAAAGACAGCTGTCTTGCCTCTATCTCTTACCAGGTGAGCCTCATCAAGTGCTGTATTCATTCTTAATTATACCAGCTGTCCTGTGGCATAGAAATGGTGGTTTTCAATTTGTAGACATGGAAACTTGCCCAAGCTTACACAGCCACTACATGGTGGGCGGATCAGGCATTTGAACCCTGGTTTTGCTGCTCCCAAAGCCATAAAATATAAGTGATGATACAGAAATCTTCTGAGGAGGAGAGGAGAGATGATAAAGGAGCTCATGGTTAGTAGCCTCAGTTTTTCAGGAGGCGAGACAAGGAGATTGATTTGAGTGGTGGTTGAATTGGAGGTGAGGGAAAGCAGGTGAGCGGTAGAGGAAAGAGTTTGGAATTTTCAATTTTGGAAAGGCAGGACTTTCGTTTCTAAGGCAATGGAGACATATTTGCAAGTTAGCAGCAGACTCACACAGTATAAATACAATAATCATAATGTATTGTCCAAACCAGGATCCTTTTGAGAGAAGTGGGGGGTTGTGGGTGGATAACATCAAGAGCCTGGAGATGGACCATTATCATGGGATGGCTCAGGCCAAGTTTAGTACAGTGAGCAGCTAATATGGAAGGGAAATTCAGGGGGTGCAGAACAGGAGGTGAGAAATTCTGAGGTCAGGGTTTCAGATAGCTGATGAACTGAGAGCCAGAAATAAGGGGGTCTTATTTTTCTTTTTTGCCTGCTTAAGAACTGCATCCAATAGCTGTAAATACAATGGTCTATGCTTTCCAGTCTGCCTGAGTCTTCACAAGGGAATAGAAAGTTTACCATCAGAAGATGCCAAACACAACCAACTTGCAGCTGTGCCCAGCTATGGCACACCAACTGCAGCAGGCACCCAAATCTACCATGTCACTTGATCAGTGTGATTTACCTTTCACTTGAGTGCTTTCAACGCTGGCAGAAGCAGGTTTTGAACAAAAATGCATTCCACTCTCTCTGTGTACAGATCTGCCTCCCTCCCCCACAAAAGACAAAAACTCGGGAACACCTGAGTCAGCTTCAGTAGCTGGAAATGTAGCAGTTTAACAGCAAATAAAGGCCTGTCCAATGGCTGACGAATCAAATTAAATTCTAAACAAACAACTCTCTCGCCGCATCTCAGTCAGTTTTAGAATCAATGCAAGTGATTTATGGTTCCTTAGGGTTGTATTCTCTTTTCAATGTGCTGGGATTTCCACATGTAGCTACCATTTACCACTAATGAGCAGCACGCATCAGTCCCCGGGCACCTGGAAGGGAACGCACCGCATAGTCTCATTCAGCAGCACGGGCTGTTTCCATGCAAAAGGGGCTCCTTAGCTGGGTCAGGGGCCTGGGCCTGCTGGATAGAAGCTGTTAATGCAAAGTGCTGACAGCCTTCAGTCTTTTCCTCCCAGAAGCATCAGTGCTTTTTAATTTAATGGTTCTCTGGTGTGTGAGAACCCTTTGGGACAAATTTGTTTCTCCAGTCTTAGTGTGTGGATTCAGACAGGAGGCAGATAGGGGCAGAGGAGAGCATTGGTTCCTGTATTGTTTCCTTTGTTATCATTTGATAAAAGTGAGTCTTGGGTCTATATTTTTATGGGAACAAAATAATACCCCAGCACACAGCACAGCATCTTGCACATAGCTTCATAGATATTTGTGGAATAAATGAATAGATGACAGGCAAAGGCACACATAAAGTGTCTATATCTTGAATCAAGTGCTTTGGAATTCTCTGTACAGTGTGTGCTGGCCCAGGAGGGAGCTAGTCAAAGGGGAGAGAGCCCGGTAAAGCTGCCATTTTTTGAATGCTTTACACTATGCTAGGCCTTGTTCTAACTCTTAATTTCATTCATTGCTCACAATAGTCTTTTTAGGTATATATTGCTGCCATCCCCATTTTATGGGTGCGGAAACTGAGGCACAGAGGGACTAAAGCGACTTGCCTGAGGACTCACAGGGAGTAAGGGGTAGCCCTGGGATTTTAATACAGGCAGTCGGCCTCCAGAGGCCCTGCATTTAATCACTACATAATAGACAGTTCTCAGAGGCCTTTTCCATTTGGGTAGTAGAGTTGTTTCCCCAAGGCAGTTAAAAGACTAGCTGTACTTTCAAAATGGCAAAAAAACCCAAAAAGATGTATTTGCAGCCTCTGAGTTCTCAGCTTCCGTAGCAATTAGCAATGTAGAAGTGAATTAATTTACACAATTGGTTTCAGACCAAAGAAAGTGGAGGGTGACCATGAGGCGGGGAGGAGTGGGGGTGAGAACAGATTTCTAAGCTGTTTTTGAGGCAGATTTTATCTTTTTGAAGATGAAGTTGAAATAAGGAAAATAGAAAGGCAGAGACTTTGAATTGGCATCATCAATGAGGCCTTCGCCTGGGAGCGAAATGACTTCTTGAGGTTGGAACTTGAGCCTCATCTACTGGGGAGGATTCTTCTTTCCGACACAGACATGTCACCTCCTGTCTGCATGAGGTGAGTTAACCTTCTAGCGAAATAGAATAATAAGAACCCTGAAAAAGGTATTTTATAAATGAAACCTTAGTTCCCTGAGAAAATACAGCTCCTACATGAGCAAGGAGATTTAGAATCTTTCCATGAGATCCTGGGATAGAGGAGGAATCGCTTACTCCTAAGATTTTAAGTTCCGTACAAAGCTGAGGTAAATGCCCACAAAAATTGACCTCAGAACAAATAGTCTGCAAATAAAATAATAGGCAAAACATTTTGGAATCTGTTTTCAAACCTAACCTAAAATTTCAGGATCCAGATTTCATAAGGAAAAGAGAGTCAGTCACCTGTATTGAAATTTGATTTAAAAACTAGTTTCTAGAAAAGTAATAAGTAAGCTCCAGGACCTCCTGGGAAAACAAATGGCTCTTAAAAATCTTAAACTGCATTGTAGAGATTTTTATGAATGAGCAACATATGGATTAAATTACTCATATCTGAAAAAAATCAAATGACAAAGCACATTTGGCAGTTTTATTGAGCCTGCATTATTTGGAAAATAGTCCCTAGATACCTGGGAAATCCTAAATGAAGCCTAGTTTTACCAGCCATCTTTGAGAAATCAAATTTAGCTATTCATATCCAAAGGGCTGTCTCCATTAGAGTGTATAGAGGTTAGGATTAAAAAAAAGTTACCTTGGTTTTCTAAGTTCTGATAGGTTCCAAAGATAGTGGACCTGGGCAATGACCACATGTATAACTTCCTTAACTCTCAGGGCTGTGGACAATGGAATAATGTTCCTTCTCAGCTTCTTTGTCTCAGTTTCCCTCTTTCTTGGATCGTCTTAGTACTCATTTTGGCAGATAGGCTGAAAACTTGACTATTCACTCTGTTCTCTAACTTTTAAACTTAGTTATCATCAATATTGAGTGAGATATGTTTTCTGAAAAATAATCTGTGGTCAATTTATTGCAAACATTATGATTCCTGTGGCTGTTTTTCATTCAACATGTGAGGCTATTGGGGGAAACCTCCTTGACTCTGTTTAAAAATATTGTTACTGTTTGTAGCTCTAAAAATAGCCTAAACATTTATTGAGCGGTGTAGTAAGAGAACTAGTAAAGATACCCAAGGTAAATAAAAAGGTCCTGGATTGATTTTTATTATTAAGCATAGAAAGGAATAGAAGCCATGAGTTCCTGGCCCAGTGGCCTAGGGCTCTTTTACTTTCATATCTAGTTCACAGTGTCAACATATCACATGCCAAAATACAGACACAAGTATTTCCAAGACTATCTTAACATTTTGGACAAAAACTATAAAGATTTGATGTGACATGAGATGTAAGCCCTCTTTTTCAATAAGTCACAGTAGCAGAGCTTAAACCCAGCTCTTCCAATTTCAACTTCAGTGCTCTCTCTGCCAGAGTATATTCCTTAGACCTGTAAAAATCCTAGACTCCTCCACTGGCATTAAGTATTGAGCAGTGGAGACACATCATATATTAAAGTTTTTAAATTCAACTATGCAAGTGATCTTTTAAATACCATGAAAATGCCTTAAATTTCATTTGCATAGGTGCCTCTTATTATAGACTTTTATTACTGTATGCATTATTCATTTACACACACATCAATGAACAGGGTTTTCAACACAAAACATGTGTGTTACTCTTTGTGGGTGGCTTATGGGATGTTCAACAGTACTTTCGACCATACTTACTATGTGCCTCACATCCAAACTTCAGATGCCAACCTTGTGTGAGATGTGCCTCCATTTAATATAATGTTGATACATCAGAGAGCATTATCTCTCTTAATTAGCGTAAACACACCCTTTTTGCTAGTCATACTCAATTTGCCCATCTCCACTTCTTGCTTTTAATGCGGCGTAAAGTCCTTGTGAGAAGGTTAAAAAGGTGGTATTAAGAGAAAATGTGTTTAGACACATTTTGGGTAAAATTACTGTGCTGTTGGTCACTCTGAGGAAGTCCATCTTCTGCCAAAGTAAGACAGCTGAGAAAATAAGTGTTTTAGGGGATGCTCTGTTTCACTACTTTTCTGAATCATTGCTATTGTTATGTATTCCTTAGAAGCTGTGATCAGTTATCATTAATCCTAAGTGAGACCTGTTTCTTGAAAAAATAATTTGTGGTCAATTTGTTGCAAACTTTATGATTCCCTTGGCTATCTTTCACTCAGTATGGGGGGCAAAGTGGTAAATATGTTGGGGCAATTTCAGCATTAAGGCTTCCTTTCTTGTGAGAAAAATTGGTAAATGTGAAAAATGGTTTAAATTAATCTGAAGAACAATTCCAGAGAGTACAATCTAAGTGTTAAGTGTGGAATGATTTTTTTGGGTTGCCCTTGGTCACTTATCCTGTTTATTTGCCTTTGCATATACTTTTCTTTCTTCTGGGCATGTTCCTTCTCAGCTCCTTTGTCTCAGTTTCCCTCTTTCTTGAATCCTCTTAGTACTCATTTTGGCAGATAGGCTGAAAACTTGACTATTCACTCTGTTCCCCAACTTTTAAACTTAGTTATCATCAATACTGAATGAGATATGTTTTCTAGCTTTATCTAGCTACTGCTTCTCCTCCTTTAAAACTCAATTTAAGCACTATGTTCTCCAGGAAGCACTCTGTAACTAACCAGCGTTATTGAGTTGCCTCTCTTCCAGGCTTCTGTCGTGGGGTTTACTTGTTCTATAATAATAGATTTGTCAGTAAATACCAGAAATAGACCCCTCAAATGCAAAGAGGGGTTGTCATTTCACTCCCAATGCCCAGCCACCAGCCTAGTATCTGGCACATAGTAGATCTTCAGTAAATGTTTGTTGAGTGGCTAATAAATGAGTGGCTAAGTCGTGCTGCTGAATGTCCAACACCAATTTTGAGTGGAAATCAAGAAAAAGCCTTGCTCTTTCTTTATTATGTTTCAAAATGTGTCTTGTCTTTGGAAAAGGAAAAACACATTCTCCAACTCCACGAAATATATGAATATATTTTGGAGCCTGGAGCTTGAAGTTTCAGCCACAGAAATGCATTCTCAGAAATTAAAATTAAAAAAAAATAAGCAAAACTAGTTCGAGCACATAATTTTTCAGCCTCATTCACATGTTTATAGATTTCTGTGTAGTTGTAACCCCTCTGTGGTTATCACTTAAGGGGAGACATGATTGTTTATTAAGCATCTTCCACGACTCAGGCACAGTGATAAACTCTACGTATGTTATCGCAGTTAATACTTACAATGACCTCGTGTGCTAGAATCGTTATCTTCATATTGCAGATAGCTAAGTGCTCTCTGCAATTACTTACCCCACGATAAGCTAAGTAATAGTCTAATAAGTGGCAGAAACAGGATTGGAACTGACATCTGGCTTTTAATTACTGAGGTAATTAAAAATGAAAATTTTAAATTGTAATTAAAAATTAAAATTTTAAATTGTAATTAAAAATTAAAATTTTAAATTGTAATTAAAAATTAAAATTTTAAATTGTAATTAAAAATTAAATTTAAAAAATAAAAATGATTTTGTCAGGTCGAATTTCTTGGAATAGATTTATTGGGTTAGAATTTAAATTTGTCTGATTTTAAAATAATTGTTGCTAAATCAGTTTCCAAAAGGATTGGGAGAATCAATTCAGTCTTCTCCACCAGGCTGCAAATTTCTTGAAGGATTTGAGTCTTATCCCTTGATCTCAGAACCCAGCACAATGCTGGGCACATGGAGGCTTCTAAAAAGATGTCTGCTTAATAAATTATTGAATAAATGTACCCTGCCACCAGCACTATACATTTTCTTTGAAACTCACATAATGTGGTGCCTGAGAAATACATAAACCTACAAAAGGCAGACAGATTTTGTTTGTCCCTGAATATAAGAAAAAAGATGACTTTTTGGAAAGCAGATTTGCTTTTCTGGAGAAGAAGTTGATATCTGTACTTTGGCAAGCAACAAAAAGTATACCTTTCCATTTCTGCATAGCAGAATTTAGTGAGTCACTTGAATATATGTGATCTGAATAAATTCTAGACTGTTTAGTGGCCCAGGTGCAGTTAGACACACAGTCCAGCAAGCAAAAGTAATTAAAATATAGTTCCAGCCTTTATTAGAATTTTTCAAAGAAAACTAATGGGACTCTAATAACACTTTTCAAAATTTTCCTCTTTCTCTTGCCTCCAATTTTCTTACATCTTCAGTTGCTCTCATTCCTACCAATCTCTAAATCCCTATTCTAAAACTATGCAAAATTGTACTAGACTCTTTAACCTGAAGGCTCTTTCGGTTTCCTTTCTTGGACTCCCAATGGCCTCAACTCTGCTGGAAGTTGCTGTGAGGCCTTCAGACTCCAGTTGCCCTGGCCTCTGTGACTCCAGGTCTCCTTTCCTCCCTTCTCATTGGAAGTAGATTTCTTTTGTTATTGTTGTTTTTGTTTTTTAAGGGAAACCCTCCTTGAGAAGTTTAAAACAAATGACAACAACAAAAATCCTTAACTTTGTTATATGTATTTCTTCTTCGATATATATCTATCTTTGTAATAGGCAGTATTCAGAATCAGTTCATCCACCTGAAGCATTGCTTCTCAAATCATGGTAGACCTTTCAGGTGGCCTCACCAAGCTTTGCCAATTTTTCTATAGGAAGCTTTCTTGAGTATCTTTCTGGCTCTCCATATCCACAGCTTCAGCTCTCATCGATATCATAGTTTTCATGAAGCTGTGAATCTATGTGTACATCGTTGGGTTAGTTCCCTAAACTTTGTCCTCCATGGTCTGCTCCTGTTTTCTTTCACTAACACCTCCTTCTTTTCAACTCAGCCACCTCCAGCTATTTGGAAGTTTCCCCTCTGTCAAAACAGGAAAGATTCAAATAGAATTTACCTTATTAAGTTAAACTGAATTCATATTCAGATACTTCTCATAGGTATTTGTCTTTTAAAACTTTTTCTGACCCACTTGTGAAATAAAATCTCTTCACTATATCTTAGGCAGGCTGAGCTTACTGTTCAGTTGTTTGTTTTATTTTCCTGAATTAAACCACTTACCCTGATTCAAATTCAGTTTTATGGCTTTTAAGAGTTGGGTAAGTGATGTTGAGTAACTTTGGCAATGTATACCAATAAATAGAGAAATAATGAAGTAAATGAAACTTTTGTGTTTTCAGAAGATAGATTAGAATAATTATCTTAATCTTTCTTGTTTGTTATTTTAGACATTTGAAATATCGAGAAAAATTGACAATTTAGAGAAACTGCATATTAGCTTTGTGATTGTAATTTGCGATGCTTAATTATTATTTGTGTTTAATTTGAAAGTGAGAATATAGTTTTATAAGCAGTGTTGCATATTTAAGAAAAACTGATTTTTTAAAGTTTAAAATGTATCCTATTAGATTTATAAAAATTTTGCTTATATTGTTTGTAAGTTTGCCCTGTGAGATATTTTATGTTTGTGAAAGAATCAGTTATACCAAATTTGAAATGTGTAAATGTGTATCATTCAAGAGCTTAATCTGAGAAGCAGATCCAGTAGGAGATGTGTGTGTGTGTGTGTATACATACATGTGCATGCATGCATGTATGATTTATTACAAGGAATTGGCTTTTGGAAAGCAAGGGCTAAGCAAGTCTGAGGTCTGTAAGGCAGGCCATTAGAAGGGAAAATCCTCTGCCCTACTTTTTAGGCTTTCCAACTGATTAAGTCAGGCTCACCCAGAATAATCTCTCCCTTAGTTAAAGTGAACAGAATAAGGATTCAAATCTCTTCATAGCTGCATTGAGATTGAAATTTGGTTCATTAACTGGGGGACTGCAGCCTAGCCACATTGACAAATCAAAACACCATCACAAAATGTTTCTGATATTTTAATTAATTTAATTTTTAAATAGATTATACCACTTAGTAAGATCTAACCTGCTACATTTGTAGTTAAACATACTACAAACTAAAAGTAAAAGCTATATTTTTTGAGATTTTTAAAAACAGAATAACAAAATTTATAAATTGAACCTAAAAACATAAGAAAACCTAAGTTTTAGCATTTATAATTTTAGCAGTTATGATTAACCAAATAGCTTTAAATAATCCTTTCTGTGTATGAAACTTTGCACAGGTGTGAAAAATTGACAGACATACTGGCAGAGTGGAATTGGGTAGTCCAGGGTCCTGAGACATAGCATGAGAATTAGTGAAAGTGGAATCCACGCCATTGGGGAGTGAGATTTGAGGTCTTTAAAAGATATTTTTATCAGTGTTTGAGATAATGGTTAAAACACTTATAATGTGACCCATGTAGTCTAGTCTCCGAACTGTATCATGGCCCCAAAAAACCCCAAAAACTCAAAAAGCAAAAATCCAGCAATCCACAGAAAGTTCAAAATAACCTAAAGGTTTTACTTGCATTTCTTGATGCAATAGTGGATCACAGTAACACATTTAAAAGAATTCCTCTTGTCTCTATCATCTAACTCTTTCACATAGCACATCAGCAACTCTTGCAGCAAACTTTTCTCTAATTCTCGGTTCCAATGGGTGTGCTGATTTTTCTTTTCCCCTTTCTGCTTCTGCGCGGTGAAGCCCAAATAACTGTTCTAACCAAGGAGGACCCTCCTTGGAAGACAGGGAGATCTAAAGACAGGAGTAGGTAGAAGGGACAGACTGTGAAAGTTCAACTGCTAACTGGTTTGGGTTTGCCTCATGAGGACGCTAATTCAGTGTTACTATCAGAAAAAAATAGCCACATTTACAGTATTAATAGTATGGATACTAGAAAACTTGAAGTGAGAAAAGAAAAAGCTAAAATGTGTTCAGTTATGTAGCACAACAATTACACTTAATTACATAAACTGTTTACCATTTATGCCAAATTATTCCCAAAGCACAGTCACAATTATGCACCCCATTAGCTACATACATCAGATTAACCTGGCCATAAATTTTATTCTCTTATGACACTAAACCTGTGTGTTCATTCCTTTTAAATTATTGCTGCTTTTGCTCAATGGCCTGCATATGCTGCCTTGTCATCTGCTTATAAATTAAGAAAATTTAGAGGGACCCTTGTCTTTGATATGCCCAGCACATCCCTGAACCTTTTGCAGTCGTCTATAGCAGCTCTCCAGCTTTCAGCTTTTCTTCTTTTCCAATTTATTAACCCACAGGAATAAGAATAATCAAAAGCCTCCTATGGCTCACAGCTTTCCCTCATCACAGGAAAGCTCCTGAATCTTACTTCTTAGGCCTTTGACTTTTGCTACAACAAAGCTATATTTTCCTTTAAACAGGAAATCTGTGTGGGGCATCTTCCTTTAAGACCTTGGGCCTTTCCTGAGGAATCTGAAGTGTGAAGGAGTTTTGTTTTCCAAGGTATATCTTGACAGGTGTGCTTATCCCTGCATTCAAATTATTTGTCTACTTTGGATTCTGTGTCCACTTCATCTGCCTCTTGTCCAGTCATCATGCTAGTCCTCAAGCATGAACAGTGGGAAACACAGACGGGCCTGGAATCTGGGCGCCCTGTCTGGGCTTACATTGACAATGGGATTAATAATCTACTGTGAGGGGAGATGATATTGTGGCCTTTGGAGATCTCCTCCCACAGGGCTAAGAGTCTTTGCTCTCCTTGTGTGCACAGGGCGCGTATTGCTTCTTTGAAAAGCAAGCCCTGCTTTGAACTGCTGGACCCCCTTTTATAAACAGGAAGTTTCTGGATCTGGGTATTTGTTACAGAGCCCACATTCTTGAAAATAGAAGAAATCTCAGGCTATTGTTCTTCATTATTTTCGTCATTGTGGTTTGTGAATGCTGTCCCTCCAGCCCCCATGCAGGAGATAAGGGCAGGAAAGTCATGCTGGGACAGGTTACTGAGGCTGGGTCTGGGCAGGGTATCCTATGTGATGTCCAAAAAGCAGGAGTGGGCAATGAAAGGGTAAGGAGTCTTGGATGATTTTTTCCACCTTCACCATTCCCACACAGCTCTGGCCACCATTGCCTTGCATCTGCAATCTAACACAACAGTCTTCTAACTGGTCTCCTGCTCTGCATCCTACAACACATTCTTCACTTAGCAGCCAGAGTGGTGCTGTTTTTCAAATAGTAATCAGATCATGTTTTCCCTTGCCTAAAACTCTGCAATGGCTTCCCTCATAAACTTACAGGCCTTACAGGCTCTGATTCATTTCCCATTTCCTATTTCCTACATTTCCCATTAAATCAACAAATTCTCTACCCTTCCTAATTCTGCTTCAGCTAATCTAGCCTTTTTTAAACAACCCAAAGCCTTTCCTGCCTTAGGTTCTTGCTTGTGTGGTTTCCTTTGCCTGGAAGACTCTTCCCCTGAGATCCTTCTGAATGCAAGATTTCAGCTCACATGTCACCTCAGAGAGGCCTTCCTTGACCACCCAGGCTGAACTAGATCCCCCTCTCTCCCTATTATTTTCCATCGTGCCATCTATTTTATTTTTTTCATAACACCGAGAGCTTGTGAAATTACCTATTTCATTCATTTATTTCTTGTCTCTTTTCAATGAGCTAACTTTCTTGAGAGTAGATATTTATGGCTTATTCTCTGTGGTATCTTCAGTGTCTAAGACAATGGTCACCACATACTTGGAGTTTTGTACATATTTAAGAAATAAAATGTTCCTGGCATACAATTATTAGCTAGTCTTATAATTATACACAGGAGAACTGGGTTGCCATAAAGATGACAAAGGTGTGTGGTTGAGGATTAAGTTTTAGATTCAAAGGGAAAGACTCTCTAAATAGCAGCTTCAGATCAGAAGAAATAGAATTGCAGGCCAAAACTACCTTCTAGGAAATCTTAACCTCTGTGTGTGTGTGTGTGTGTGTGTGTGTGTGTGTGTGTAGTAAATTATACATAATATAAAATTTACCATTAGTTACATTTAGCACATTCCCAATGCTGTGCAAGCATTTCCTTTACATAGTTCCTGAACATTTTCCTGAATACCAAAGGAAGCCTTTCACTCTTCAAGCAGTGTCTCTTATTCTCCTCCCCATCTCTAATCCTTGGCAGTCATTAATCTACTTTCTGTCTCCATGGATTTGCCTATTTTGGATATTTCATGTAAATCAATTCACAAAACTTGTGGTCTTTTTTTGCCTGGCTTCTTTTGCTTAGCATCTTTTCAAGGTTCATCCATGTTGTAGCATGTATCAGTGCTTCATTCCTTTTTATGAGTGAATAATATTCAATTATGTGGATATACCATAATTTGTTTATCTGTTCATCAGCTGGTGGTCATTTAGGTTGTTTCCATCTTTTGGCTATTGTAAATAGTGCTATGTGAATATTCGTGTACAAGTTTTTGTTTGAACTTCTGTTTTTAATTCTTCGTGTAAATTACTGGTGGAATTGCTGGGTCCTATGGTAATTCTATGTTTAATGTATCAAACAGTTTTCAGCAGCAGCTGCACCATTTTACATTTCCACCAGCAATGTTTGAGGATTCTAATTTCTCCATATTGTCTTCACCAACTCACTTTTCTGTGTTTTTAAAATTATAGCCATTCTCATGGGTGTGAAGTATCTCGTTTATAGTTTTGATTTGCACTTCCCTAATAACTAATGATACTGAGCATATTTTCATGAGCTTGCTGACCACTTGTATGGCCATTTCTCTCAGAAGAAATGTCTACTCATGTCCTTTGCCCATTTCAAAAGTGGGTTGATTGGTTTTTTTTGCTGTTGAGTTATGAGTTCTTTATATATTCTAGATATTAGGCTCTTATGAGAGATATTATTTGAAAATATTTTCTCCATCCTGTGACTTGTCTTTCATTTTCTTTATAGTATCCATCGATGCACAGAAGTTTTTACTTTTGAAGTCCATTTTATATATTTTTAATTTTGTTGCTCATGCTCTTGGCATCATATGTACGAGTCCTTTGCTAAATCCAAAGTCGTGAAGATATACCCCTATATATTCTTCAAAGAGTTTTATGTCTTTTTCACTTAATTTTTGAATTAAATTTGTATGTGGTATGAGGTAAGGGTCAAACTTCATTCTTTTGCATGTAAATGTCTGATTGTCCAAGCACCATTTATTGAAGAGATTATTCTTTCCCCATTGAGCGGTCTTAGCACCTTTGTTGAAAATCAGTTGACTGTAAATGTAGGATTTGTTTCTGGATTCTTAATTCTGCAAAAAATCTTAACTTCACACTACAAATATATTCTGAGATCCTGGGGAAAAAGACCTTTGAAAATTCTGGGCTCCCTTTTGAATGTTGTTCTGATTAATATGGTTTTAACACATTAGAGTAATGCAGCCCAATAGTTAAAATTATAATTACTCTAGTTTTGAGATCAAAGTCTACTTAGATGCTATTAGCATTATTATTAGCAGTAACAGTAATAGGAATTATATATAGTCTCTATTTACTTGAATCTTAACATCTTTTAAGACATAAGATCCAACAATAAATATTAGATTAATGTTTCTCTCAGGGCCTGTGTCTCTCATCTGGCAACATTTGAAGATGATATCTCTTCCCTCACCAGTCCATTCAGAATCCTAAAAATTAAATGATGGACAGAGAAGAGAAGAAAAATTAGGTGGACTATAGTATGTATTTATTTCTAAAACACACAAACCATCTGCCTTTCCTACCCTTTCTTTCACCATAAAGACTTAAGCAGCTGACTTGGACCTGGGGATGTGGGTCCCCCTGAAATCAATCTGAAATTACACGATTTCATTTTAAAGCCCAGGAACATGAAGCAAAACCAAAAGGCTTAAGGAATGGAATTGGCATTCCTACATAGTAGAAATGCTACTACGTAGTAGGCATTGGTTGATTTTGGGCTGTGTTGCACCCACTTTCCCTTAAAAAAAAATTCTTCATTTTCTTTGGAAAATCAGCTATTTGATTGGGAAAAAAAATTGGGTGTTAATAGAGTGACCGTCTCTCCTCTAGTTAAGAAACTGCCACAAGACTAAAAATGCTAGTAATTTATTCATGCCTACTGCCTGACATTGGTCTAGTTGCTGCTTCCGTGCCCTCCAGAGCACTATGGTTAGCACTTCTTGCCATGACTGTTCCCTAACCTTCCCGTCTGTCTCTTATCCTTCTCATAAGTGTCCTTGATCTTAAGTTAGAACCCTAACTGGAACAATGACTTAAGTCTTTCCTCAAGTTATCTCATTGAAAATCTCTGCAATATACCTGCACATTAAATGTTTTACAGAGAAGGAAACAGACTCACAGAGAGGTCCCATCCCTGGAAAGAGATGAAACTGGGGATTAAACCCAGGTCTTATTGAAGACAGTATCCTTTATTTTTTCCATTTTTGCACCTCCTGAGCTGGGTAAGCTTTTGTGCTTAGAAGTTTTTCTGAAGTTAAAGAATTCTCTCCATTGTTGTTAAAATAACTAAAACATGTAAGTAATTGCCTTAATATAAAAATGATGTTTTCATAAAAGAAAAGGTTAAACTAAAGTTTCCTGGTTTCAAAAAAATATTAAAATCAATCAGCAAGATGAAGCCCCCTCCCTCTTTCAGAATGTTTGCTGGGGATTCTGGGCAGAGGCTTAGATAATTGAGAGGATTAGAATGAAGGAATGAAGGAGAGAGGAAACATTCCCTCAGGCAGAAAGGGAACCAGAGCATTGGGAAAATGTGTCTGGATACAACAGAAAATGTGGACAAAGCAAAAATATTTTTAAAGACATGAAGAGAAGAGGGGTTAGGGTGGGGTAAAGAAAAGGGGGAGAAGGCAAGAAAAATCTATAGAAAAAAAGAGATGAAATGAAGTTTGATCTGGTTTTAATTTATGTCAATTGACAAATCCATGAAAGCTGTTCTAGGCATGGCTATTCCCTCTGTTATGTAAGTAACTGAAACCAGTTCAGAATGTATTTTTTCTCCTCTTCCTAAAAATATGATATACCCTATAGACAGAGGCAACACCAATAAAATTCCCTGCCTCTGGCACTACATTCTCCCCCTCTCCTACACACATTCTGTTCCTGCCTACAATTCAGGACTGGTATAATTAAGAGAATTAAGGATATGCATGAACATAAAATATATGTGTGTTTAATTGTACTGTCAAACTGAAAACACAAAGATCAGTGGTGGATGAGCAAAATTCCTCTTCTAAGATTTTGTTGAAAACTTTTGATCCTTAAAGCCTCACTCATTTCCGGCACTTTCCCTAACTTTGGGGTAAGGATGAAAGAAAAATATGTTCAATTGTGTCAATTGTATTCAAATGTATTTTTAAAATTTAATGTGCTGAATTCTAAAAAGAATTTATGGATGATTATGTAGGCATGTATGGTGATGTTTCCACAGAAAATTAACCTTGCTGATTGATTGCCGTGGATAAACTAGTGGAAGCAGGAAGCTTAAGGGCAATTAACTGACAGAAGTTTAATATCTAGAAAAAAAAAATCTAAAAGTCAGTAAGTCAGTGAATAACCTAGTAGAAAAATGAGTAAAAGGCATGATCAGGTTTTCATAGAAGAACTATGAACATTTTCATAAATATGTAAATAAATGCTTAAACTACTCAAGATATTTCAAATTGAAACCAAAGAAAGATATGTTTTCACACATACTAGCTTGGCAAAAATTAAAAATGCAGGCAGAGGACTTTGGGGAAGAGTAAGATTGTAGAATAGAAAACTCCACCGATCATCTCTCCTGCAAGGATACCAATTTGACAACTATCTACACACACAAAAAAAACACCTTTGTAAGAACCAAAAATCGGGTGAGCACTCACAGTGCCTGGTTTTGACTTCATATCACTGAATAATGCCCTGAAGTGGCAGGAAAAACAGTCTTGACTAGCCAGCACCAGCCCTCCCCTCCCAGATCCTCTGGCAGCTGCAGAGTGGTGTGGAGAGCAATTCTGTATGCTGGAAAGAGGGAGAGCACAGCAATTGTGAGTAATTGAACTCAGCACTGTCCTGCTAGAGCAGAAAGGAAAACCAAACCAAATTCAGCTTACACACACCCATGGAGGGAGCTTTTAAACCAGCCCTAGCCAGAGGGGAATTGCCAATTTCCACAGTCAGAACTTGAGTTTCCACAACCCTCACCACCATGGGCTAGAGTGCTCTGGAGCCCCAAATAAACTTTGAGAGATAGTCTAGGCCACAAGGACTGCAACTCATAGGTGAGTCCCTAGTGCTGACCTGGGCCCAGTGGAATGAGGGGACACATTACCTACTGAGATACCAGCTGGGGCAGCTAAGGGAGTACTGGCATCACCTTCCCCTGACCCTGTACTATAAAATTTGTATAGGTGTCTTATAGTCTTATATGTATAGGAAGTTTTAAATCTGTACCTGTGTTGAGTGTATTTACTGACTATAAGACTTTTAAAGGTTTAAAAATAAGTGCCTATGTTATATTAATGCAACGTGCAGTTGAGCAGATAAAGGTTCAAATTCTAGTTTTGCAATTTCCTACTTTTGTGACCTTAGTCAAGTCACTTTCCTTCTCTGAGCCTTAGTTTCCTCATCTGTAAAATGAATACATATATCCAGGTCATAATAGGAGTTCTAAAAATTGAGTATTATGATTACTTTTATGTATGTATTATTTATTCTCCTAGATAGTAAGTTCCATGAGGACATAATCATATCTGATTCATTTTAAAAAAATCTCACAGCACCTTGTACTAATCTTTTTAAAGGAACTCTTATGAACTGGGCATTTTGTACTTGTTATTCATTAAAGCCTCATGGCAAGATTATGCAGTTGGCTTTACCACTTCACTGAGGCTCAGAGAAGTTAAGGTAGTTGCCTGTTAGTGAGCATCTGGATTTGAATCTAGATCTATTGTTTGTCCATGCTCTTTCTACCATAACAAGGTGCTACTTCCAGCTGTGTTCAGCATATGTTTGTTTTATGCATTTGATGGTCTTATCTTCAATAAATGAATCTTCCCTTGGGCTACCCAATATTCTTACCCTCTGTTTTCTCTTCTGAAAGTAATAAAGCCTCTGTTGATTATACTTACTGACTATAAGCAGATGTGTTGCCAGATTAGTTTAGGCAGAGGGCCACAGACCTAAGAGAGGGAACTGGGGGCACATTAAACTTTTATGGAGTGAGAGGATTATGAAAAGTCTAGTGCATAGGGCACCAGATTTCCACACTGGTCCATAACACATGAGAAGTGGGTAGGTGAGGGAATAAATGAAAGTTAGCATGAAGGCACTAGGTACGTAACAAAGGAAAGAAGAAAGGGAACAGAAAGATGTCAGCAGAAACTGAGCAGCAACATGGCATCTGAAGAAAAGTCATCAAAATGCAGTTGGCTTTGACGGTGGAAACTTGAATTTGTTTTCATTAAATTTCCCTGTATTCAAAATTTTTATAATGAGCAAGCTTTTGTAATGAAAAAGATACCAAAACTTTTTTCTTCTTCTTCTTTTTTTTTAAATAACATGTTTGCCTATTTTCTCTACAGGTTTATGGTACAGAATCAGATTCTTTTTTTTTTTTAAGCTTTTGGGAACCTTGAAAATATTCTAGTGTGAAGCCCTTCTCCCTTTCCTACTATAATCAAACACCATATCCTCCTGTCTATTACATACATGGCACTTTGCCAAGACAGGATATATTGGGAGGAATCGTATAGTTATGCTCAGGAGATGTATTGAGAAGGAAATTATAAAAGGAGTTACATATGCCAGGTGTCCACCATTGTATCAAGGATGAATAGAAAGTATTGGAAAGGCTGTTAACTCATTTCAGTGCATTCACAAAACAACTTTTCATGCTATTCTATGAGATAAAGATATTCCTGGTATTTTAAGCCTAATAATCAGGAATAGGGAAGAAGCCAAGGTTTTGAACAGTTAGGTATAGTATTTTCAAAATGCTAGTGAGCACTATACTTTGCATTTTCTTCAATATTTGCAGTAATAGTTTTTTGTTCTAGCCTCAAGCTCAACTGGAAGATAGTTGATGCTTACTATTTTTCTTTAATCCAGGAATTATCTAAAACAAGAGAGTGGAAAATTTACCAATGCTATTTTTAGAGAAGGAGAAATAATTAAAGCATTGTTACTTACTAGATGTGTGACGTTAATGATAATTACCACTGTTAATTGTTTATCTTATTTTTCTAGGCACTTTGCTTATATTAGCTCAGTCCACATGACAATCCTATGAGGCAGACGTTATTTTTTCTATTGTACAGTTATAGAAAATGTAATTGATAAAAGTTCAGTATTTTTTCAAAGTCTCATTCATATAAGTACAAATATAAGATTTGAAGCTAGATCTGCCTGATTTTGAGTTTATAATCTTGATTACTGTTCTGTACCTCCTACTTGGACAAGTTATTTAAACTTTCTGAATCTTTGCTTTGTCATTTGAAAAGTAGAGAAAATATTTCTTCCTTCATCATTTTGTTATGAGGAGAAAAATTAATAAACTATGATCTGAATGTTGATGCCCTCCAAAAATTATATGTTGAAATCCTAACCTTCAAGGTGATAGTATTAGGCAGTGGGGCCTTTGGGAGGTAATTATATCATGAAGGTAAAGCCTTCATAATTGGGATTTTGCCTTATAAAAGGGACCCCACAGAGCTAGCTTATAGTTTCCATTATGTGAGGACACAGCTAGAAGGTACCATCTATGACCAGACAGGAGGTCTTCACTAGATACTGAATCTGCCTTGATCTTGAACCTCCTAGCCTCTAGAACTGTGAAAAACAAATTCCTGTTATTTATAAGCCATCTAGTCTATTATAAGCCACCTAGTCTAGTTATAGCATCCTGAATAGAATGAGTCGAAAACAAAGCATCGAATGGGTGATCAGTAGATGTTGCTGGTCTTTAAGACAAGAGCTGAAATCTCCAGGAATGACATTTATTGACTGGCTCTCAGTAAAAATTGAACTGAGATTTAGGTCCTCATTTTAGATTTTCAAGTTTTATGGAAATTGGTCAAAAAAGAAAAATTGCAACACTAAAAATATGTGCGCTTATCCAAAACAAGGGCAAGAAGACAGGAAGATTTAATTTCAAATGATTTCTCTAGGCATCAAAAGAGGGGATAAGTCAAAAATTAAGAAGTAGAGTTTTTTTGTTGTTGTTTGTTGTTTGTTTTTTCGAGACAGAGTCTAGCTCTGTCGCCCAGGCTGGAGTGCAGTGGTGCAATCTCGACTCACTGCAATCTCTGCTTCCTGGGTTCAAGCAATTCTCCTGCCTCAGCTTCAAGTAGCTGGGATTACAGGTGCCCACCACCATGCCCAGCTAATTTTTTGTATTTTTAGTAGAGACAGGGTTTCACCGTGTTGGCCAGGCTGGTCTCAAACTCCTGACTTCAAGTGATCTGCCCACGTCAGCCTCCCAAAGTGCTGGGATTACAGGCGTGAGCCACCGTGCCCTGCCTAAAAAGTAATGTTTTAAATGAACAAACAACACAAATTCATGACATTGGGATCGAAATGCAATCAACTGCTTTCCCTTGTATGCCTGATTGTCAGCAAGTGTGCAGAACTATCGGATGTATAGGGAGCACTCTGGTCCTCAAAACAAGGGCGGGCTTAGTAGACAAGTAATCAGTGCATTTGCACAGGGCCTTATGCCTAGAATGGTTCCATGCTTGGTTAAATGCTCTGCTAACACTGTCTTGAAATTCTTGTAACTTGTGAACAAGAGACCCTTATTTTCATTTTGTACTTAACCCAGCAAATTAGGTATCCAGTCTTGCTTGGAACGTTTGGTGCCCCCAGCTCATCTCAGTGAAATGCCCTCAGTCCAATGAACACATTCTCAGGAGATGCCTTGGAATGCTGCATTAGCAGATTTCTCTTTTCCTTTTGTTTTTGTTAGCAAGCAATCTTCCGTTCATTCTTTGAAGTTGTGTATAATGCATGCTACGTGTAAAGCTCTAGATGTATAAGGATGAAAGTAATATAATTAAAAGGGGTCTGGATATTTTTTTAAGAAGGAAAAATAACAGCACCATCTCCAAGATGTATGTGTTAAGGACAATAATATTTTGGAATAACTTTTTTAGAGAGAAGTTTCAAATTTCTGCTTAGGAGTGGCTTTGAGTAGGGTCTGGATATCGGTGTTTTCTTAAAACACTGCATGTCTTTCTAATGTGCAATGAGGATTGAGAACCACTGAGTTATAAATTTGCTGGAAAAAATGGACATTCCCGGTAAGCACTTATAACACGTTTCTTCAGAAATCCTCTAGAGCATTTATATGTGATCAAATTTGTATTCCTGGGTAACTACAGCTTTGCATATAGTAGGTGCTTAGCCAAATTTTGTTGGCAGATGGGAAATCAAATATAACTTTAATCTATTTGTTAAATAACATTATGCACATGATCTTCCCATAAACTTTTTGGCCTTTAAAAAAAGTTTTCCAACCCCTGGACAAATATTTGCAAGGTGGTATTTTTAAAAATTTCATTTATAATAGCATCAAATAAATCTAACAAAAAATTTATAAGATTGTTACACTGAAAACCACATTATATTTCTGGGGAAAAATAAAGAAGGCCTAGGTAAATGACAGCTATACAAAGTTCATGGATTGGAAGACTTCATATTGCTAACATGCCATTTATTTCCAAATTGACCTATAAATGCAATTCAATTTCAATTGAAATCCCAATAGGCTTTTCTATAGAAATTAGGAGGTGATTCTAAATACAAAGGATCTAGTATGCCTGAAACAATTTTGAAAAAAAGACTGAGAAAGAACAACAAAGTTGGGGAGGAGCCATAGTACCTAATTTCAAAACTTATAAAAGTTCAGTAATTAAACACGTATACTGGTTAAAGAATAGGCAAATAAATAAAGGAAATAGAGTACAGTTTGCAAATAGGCCTATATATATATATACAATCAATTGATTTGCAATAAAGATGCCAAGGAAATTCAATGAAAGAAGATATTATTTTTCATAAATGGATCTGGGTCAATTGGATAACCAACCTTGATCCCTGTCACCATACAAAACATTAATTTGAAATAAATCTGAAAGTGATCATAAGTCTATAAAATCTCCAGAAGCTATGCAACCTTGGATTAGGCAAAGCTGCTGCTTTTCCTTATTTTTTTTTCCCCAACTTTTATTTTAGGTTCAGAGGGTAGATATGCAGATTTGTTACATGGGTAAATGTTACATGGGGTTTGATATACAGATAATTCTATCACCCAGGTAATCAACATAGTACTCAATAGATAGTTTTTCAGTCCTCACCCTTCTCCCAACTTCCACCTTCAAGTAGGCCCTAGTGTCTATTTTTCCCTTCTTTGTGTCCATGTATACTCAATGTTTAGCTCTCACTTATGAGAACAAGTGGTATTTGATTTTCTGTTTCGGCATTAATTCACTTAGGATAATGGCCTCCAGCTCCAACTCCAGCTGCAAAGGACATGAGCTCATTCTTTTTCATGGCTATGTAGTATGCCATGGTGTACATGTACCACATTTTCTTTATCCAGGCCACCATTTATGGGCATCTTGGTTGATTCCATGTCTTTGCTATTATGAATAGAGGCAAAGCTTCTTAATAGGGCATAGGAAATTTCTAACCATAAAGTAAAAATCTGATACATTTACCCAATCAAAGTTTAGATCTATTTTTCAAAACAGTGGAAAACTAAAAGGCAAGCCACAGATGAGAAAAAATACTTGTGTGTGAAGAATGATCAGAGAGATACAATGTTGCTGGTGTTAAAAATCAAGAAAGAGGGTAACAAATGAAGGAAAATGTGGGTGGTTTCTAGAAGCTGGAGTAGTCAGGGGAACAGATTGAAACACAGCCCTGCCGATGCTCTTGATCTCAGCCCAGTGAGACTTGTGTCACACTTCTAACCTACAAAACTGGAAGGCAATAAATTTGTGTTGTTCCGATCCTCTAAGTTTGTCAAAATTGTCACAGCAGCAATATAAAGTTAATACAATTCCTTAGGATTTTCTATGTAAACAATTTTGTTGTCTCTGAATAAACACAGTTTTACTTCTTCCTTTCTAATCTTTATGACTATTACTTTTTTGATTTCCTTATTGCACTGTATGGGAACTCCTGTACAATGCTGAACAGAAAAGATGAGCTCAGGCATTCTTGTCTTGTTTCCCATCTTTGGGGAAAGCATTCAGCCTTACACTATTCATTAGGATATTAGCTGTAGGCTTTTTATGGTTGCTCTTTATCTGATTGAGAAAGTTCTCTTCTTTTCCAGGTTTGCTAAGAGTGTTTATCATGGAAGTGTTAAATTTTGTCAAGTGTTTTTTTCCTGCAGGTATTGAGATGATTATGACTTTACCTCCTTTTTTTCTACCAATGTGGAAAACAACTGATGGATTTTTGAATGTTATACCAACTTTGCATTTTTGGAATTCCTGTTTTATATATCGATGGATTTGATTTTCTAAATTTTGTTGAGAATATATTTTTACTCAAATTTTATAATCGGCATAACAAATTACAAAAAAATGTAGTGATTTAAAGCAACATGTGTTACCTCACAGTTTCTGTGAGTCAAGAGCTGGCCATAGTCTAATTGGATCCTAGGCTTAGAGTCTCACAAGGCTACAGTCCAGGTGTTGGCCATGCTATATTCTCGTTGGAAGGCTAAACTAAGCAAAGATCTGCTTCCAAGCTTGATTAGGTTATTAGTATAATTATCTTACAGTTGTACAATTGAGGGCCTTAGCTTCTTGCTGGCTGTTGTCTGAAGGCTGCGTTCAGTTCTTGAAGGCTGCGTTCATTTCTTTAAAACCACTCTCAATTCTTTGCCATGTGGACCTCCCAACATGGCCACTTCTTCAAAGCCAGCTAAGACATTTCTCTGGAGTGAGTCTCCTAGCAAGACATAGTCTTAAATAATGTGATGAAATCATGAGAGTGACATCTCACCACCTTTGACATATTTTATTGGTTAGAAGCAAGTCACAGTACCCATCTGCACTCAAGGGAGGGGAGAAGATGATATCAGGGCATGAACACAAGGAGGCAAGACTACCCTATACTTGTTTACCACAGCATCTATGTTCATGAGAGATATTAGCCTATTATTTTTGGTCTTCTAATGTCTTTATCAGGTTGTGTTATTAGAGTTACGGAGGTCACTTTTGAAAATGATTTTCATTTTCATATGCTTCTTTTCCTCTTTTTTTACTTTTAACTGATTTTTCAGAAATAAATACCAGGTTGAATTGTAGATATAAATACCTAAGGTTTTGTTGGTAAAACATAGGCTGTAAAATAAAAAATAAAAAAAAACTTAAGAACAGCATCAATAGTTTTTTAAATATAAGAAGTGAATCCACAATGTCCAACAAAACTTGTTGGTTATCTCTCAAGCATCAGTCAGGGGCCCCTGGAAGCTTTATTCATTTATGTCTTTTTTTATTCGTCTTTCATAATGTTTCTAGTTTCTTGGTAGAATTTCAGCAGAATTAAACTTAAATTGTTCAGAAATGTATAATGAATTTCCTTCAACTTCTATGCAATGACTGATTGATCTGGGTTGGTAAATTAACAGCTGATAACAGCAAGGTACATACTGGTAGTGGCAGTTGGGTCTTATTGTGTAGTTCTTGTGCAATAAATAATTAAAGAGGAAGTTTCTTTTTTCTTTCGATTCTCACCAGCTCTACACAGGGGTAGATAAGTCGCCTATGAGCCACAATATGCATATTAAACTCTTGGGTTCAGAAGGTTGACTTACTCTTTATCCTAAGGCAGATTGGGCACTAGACATTCCTTCTATAATGGAGTAATAATTTAATATAAAGATGTGCTCATAGTTAAGCTGAAGGTGGTAAGACTTGAGCCCTAGAGTCAGTCAGACTCTGCTTAAAGTATGACACTGACTCTTACTAGCTTAATAACCTTGGGAGTTATTTGTAATATTAATAACAACTCTGATGCCCTCTTTCTTCATCTGTAAAATTAGTGTAATAGTATACTGATTTCAAAGACTTTCAGGAGAATTAAATGAGGTAATTCATGTATAATGCTCAGCATAAGTTTTGACACATAATAAGCCCTTAGTAAATGTTAGCAATTACTATTATTGCTATTGTAAAGGGGAAATAGTATGGACCTTGGAATCAAACAGACCTGGCACCGTTTACTAGGTATATGACCTTGTACAAGCTAGTTGACTTCTCTGAGTTTCAGTTTCCTCACTTTTAAAGCGACAAACATAATAAGTACTTTGTTAGATTGTCATTTAGCATACTGCCTATTGTCTACAAGGCACTTTTAAAAGCATTTATATTAGACACTTTAAAAAGGTGAATTTTCTTCCTCATCTTTTCTCCAGTACTCTCTTAGCAGGTTTATTACATACAAACGTGGCAGCTGGTTTCTTGTTGTCATAGTAAAGACATAGCTAGGCTGCTGTTACAAAAGACCATGAAATGAAAAAAATGACAGAATTATCTCTTTCATGTAAGAGGCTAGTATGTAGCCTGATATCAGAGATACAGTCTCCTTCCATGCTGTTGCTCTGTCCTCCTCCACATTGCAACTTCTGGGACAGGAAAGAAAGGAAGAAAAGAACATACTTCTTTATTTTGAGGAATTTTTCGAGAAGTCATATACCTTCCTTCTGCTAATACCCCACTGGCCAGAACCTAGTTGTCTGACCACACCTGCTTACAAGGGAAGGAGATGTTATCTTTGGCTGGGCATGATGATGGCGTAGTCGGTGGGGCTCTCAGTCACTGCCAAAATACATTACTAGCCTAATCCTGCCAGATGAAATGAAGGTGAGAGACTGGATTTCCTTCCAAAGTAGTAGAGGTATATTTCCTGGGGGTTGAGTGGAAAGATCATACAATTGTTCAAAAGATGAAAGCTAGTATGCTTGCAAGACTGATCTTATGTTTGATTATTAACAGGGCTTAACCTGACTGTGGCTGCTTTTGTTTCTCATTTCTCTCCTTTATTACAATTGGATGATCTAAGTTACCTATTATCTTCAACTTTCATTAAGCGCAGAAACAACTCTTCTTCTGCTCTCTTGCCTCAGAGTCAATGAACTGATCAATAAGTAGTTACTGAGCTTCTAGAATTCATTTCTTTATGCATCCATTCTCTCATTTATACACATTCCATAAGTATGCATTGAATTTTTACTTTGCAGTATGTTCTGGGAATATTAATACATCCTAGACATGATCTCAGGCCTAAAGGAACTCTCATTTAGTAATTGAAAGACAGAAGCATTGAAAAGACGGCACAGTATGGTAGGTGCTGAGAAAGAATTAAGCACAGGATGCTATGAAAGCCCATTGGAGAACTACGAAGAGCGAAGTTAGCCTCTGAACTGAATCCGTTGTTATGATGGATGATGTGATGAATTCAAGAGAAACATAGGACCTGGTCTTGTTTTCTGGGCACCCTCTATCAGAATGCCCAGAGAACAATGAATGCTTTCTTTGAAACCACACCTCATAAAGTGCTTAAGGGTTCTAAGATCTGCAGGCATTCAGAGAAGAGGAAGATCCATAAGGACCTAAGCAGACAGCAAAAGCTTTTGAATAAGTGAAGTGTCAAAGGTCTGGATACATTTAGAGCTATGAGAATGGCATTCTGGTGTGAGAGCTGTTTGAACAGACTCATGGTGCATGCTGGGCTCCTGAATTAGGAAAATGGACTAGAGTCTATTATTAAGTTTCTTTCAAATGGCACATATCTTACTTTTTGGTCTTGAGACAACTTCAGAATAATTCCCAGTAACTTCTGCCCTGTCCTGTGTGGCTTCTCACCAAATACAGTTCATAGAAATGGACAATGGCAGAATTGTGTTTAATGCTGCTTAAGATTTCCATTGTGAGTTGGCAGCCTTAGTATATAATTTTCTCAGATAAAAAAATCTCTTGCCTTGGGATTTTGCCAAAAATTACTTTGCCCCAATTAGATTCTAGTCTGATGCAATCATTGCTTAAAATTGTCTCAAATTGAAACCATCTAATAGCCAATTTTGGAATGAAGAAGATGGGAGAAATTCAACACACTATGGATAGTCCATTTATTGAGTGTGTGATCCAGGAACAGGAGAAAAGCAGAGCTCTCAATGTATTCTGCCTTGGACACAGTGTGTCAGTGAGTTTCATAACAGGGTGTTCTTCACCGGCAGATCCTTTTGTTGGCTTAGCATAAATCAAGCCTTCAAAGGAAGCACAATTTGATCATATCTTAAGAAATCAAGTTTGACGTGTTCATTGGATACTCTTCTTTCTGTTCATTGTACAGGCATTGTTGGGGCTCAGAAAACAATACCCTAAAGTGTGATGATTTGGCTTGCTGGGTACTTTGAATTAAAGGAAATTGGAGGTGACTTGGAAACTGCCTCAGAATCAGGGTCTTTCTAAGTTTCCCTTGTTTCTCCCCACAAGCACAGGAAAGAATTCTCTTTGACGTTTCCGTATCTGACTGAGGGTAGTTCTTCCAAAAGAAACACAATTGCCTTCAATCTCCTGCCCGAAATCTCCATTAACCAGGGAAGATTCATCACCAAAGAAGAAATTAAAGTTCTCCCTTTACCAATCTGGGCAGAATTTCATCTATTCTCCTGAGGGACATTACCTGAGACACTTTATCTGCATGATAAGATAACCTTTGTTTGCAGTGCAATTCTGCCCCTCACCTTCCCATAACTTGCTGCCACTTTCCCCAGAGCCCAGAGGAACTTTGTCCCAGGCTATTGTATGTTCTTTGGGCCCATTAATTTCCCCTAAAATTAATTGATTCTTCCTCTAAAATTTCCCACAACCCCCATTTTCCTCTCCTCTATGAAAAGCGTATTTAAGTTTCAACCTTCTGGCCTTTCTTTGAGTTTCATACTTTGTGTGACTTCTGTGCACTTGCATTTTAATAAATTTGTATGTCTTTTCCCCTGTCAGTCCGTCTTTTGTCAATTTGTTTTATAGAATCAAATTCTCAAGCTTTCAGGGGTAGAAGGAAAGTTTCTTTTGTCCCTACAGCATCTTACAGAGAGGCTGGCCAGAGGGTGTTTTGGAATTGGGCCATATCCTGGTTCCTCAAATAGTGACTGAGCACTAGCTCTCTGAATGGAATTTGGAGAAGGGCGTGACCCCACTGGTTGGTGCTAAAATGCGTGGAGATTCATAGCACATGGTAGATACTCATTATATTTATGAATGAATGAATAAATGAATTAATTAACATTATTGGGCCAGAATATCCCCTCCTCCATGACAAGATAGGCTTCTCTTCTTCCAAATATTTCTCCTTGGAACTTTTGGGATGGTGTACTGCATTATTCTTGGGTATTTTCTTTATTTCATTTATAAGAAAATATTAGCAGTAATGTCATGAAGTTCCTTGGAAACAGTTTGTCCTTTCACACCTTGCTTTAGGCTTTACTAGCTGGGACCGCAGCAGCCTTTAGCATAGGACTAGTTTAGCTCCACAACTGAGGTGATTACCTGATAAGCACTCTTCCTGATACCTTAGGTGTCATAAGGTTTTTCCACATGGTAGAGGGAACATAGACTTTTCCTGGCCCTGTGTGAGCTGCATGAATTATTTCATCTGTCCCCTTTGCGGTGGTTCTTTCCTTGACCTCAGATAGTTTCCTCACACAAACGTGCTATTTGGGAGTGGAAATGGGGGTTCCTGCGCAGATCTTTGGACCACTCTTTCTGTTCAGCTCTCTCTTCTCTAACACTGCCATGCAGACTCAATCAACCTCAGCCTCTCAGAACTCCCAAGCCTGTCTCTTCAAACCAGGAAAACCACTGGCTGCCATCTGGATTCTCTTTTCCTACGATGTGGTCTGGAATCACTTTCCAGGCAAAAAGTGGGGGCAATCATAGGGTTCACCTCATTTGTTTCCCCTCTCTCAGGGATTGCTATCCCAAGCTGCCTGTTGTTCAGTGGCTGAAACTATTGTTTTATATTTTTTTCTGATTGCTTTAGTTGTTTTATGTGGAAATGTAAATCTGAATGCAGTTACTCCATCTTGATTGAAAGAGGAAGTCAGTGCATAAAAATTTATATAGAAGACCATTCATCAAAGCATTATAGTTTATGAAGAATAATTGAAAATAGGCAAAAGGCAAGAGTATATATATGCTGTTTAATATAATGGATACACATATGTATGCATTTCACAACGTGTTCAGAGAAAAAAAATGACTTGAAAGCAAATATACCAAAATGTTAATAATGCCATATTTTACAAATTTTTATAACCAATATAGAATAATTATAGAAATATTAACCAAAATTTAAAAAGTGGACATTTCAGTTAAAAACTAGTGAAGCTAAGTTTCAGCATGTCAAGATATTTATCTGGCAATCTACTTTTAATGAACATAATAATCATCATCATAACAAATATAAATAGCTCTCTTTTACTTGCCAAGCACTATTTTATGTGCTTTTTACTATTAATCATTTAATGCTCAAACAGTCCTGTGAACAGTAATAATTCTGTTTCCATTGAGGAAATGGAGGCACAGAGAATTGAAGTCACTTTTCACAGCTGGTAAATGGTGCAGCCAGGATTTGGCTCCAGGGAGTGCGGGCATAGAGTCTGTTCTTCATCACCATGCCATGCTGCCTGGTTCCCTAGAACTATGGGGTTTGAAAGACCTGGAGTGATTTCTTGACCAGTCCTGGGGGAGAGCCCCAGATGACTTGGCCAAAGATCAGCAAAAAGACATGGAGATACTGCATTGCAAAAGAGGGTTCTATGCCCCAAAACTCTGAGGATGGAGCTCATGGTAGGGTGGCTGCCAGGCATGTCACATTAGCCAAACAGCTAATGTAATAGAGCCACAAGTTGAACCCAGAATTACTTGCTTCACTTGTGTCTTTGTTTTTTCCAGCCCTAACCGTGTGTCTCTCACCACATGATTGTTAGTCTGACGTTCAGAGATGGGAGACCTAACTTTGTTTTCTTGTACTCTACCAACTAGATAAAAGAAAGATGGTGGTAGGGCAGGGGAGGTGGGGGGTGGCTGGTGAGGGTAGAAGTCATGGGGGCTGTTCAAGATTGACACACTAAAAATTAGGTGATTCGCCTTCAGACAAGCCACCTCTCGGGTCCCCAGGAACCACACTCCCCAGCAAATCTGAGCAGGGAGAAAAAGGGCTGACACAGACCCTACAGAATGTCCATCTAGGCAGGGCTTCCCGTACACTGACACCCTGGGGTTATTATTGCTTTGAGTATATGAGATCACTCAGAATGGAATGCCTCATTATAGGTTTAAACCCAAGCTATAAATCAAACATTTTTCCTTTAATATGGGGAAGTTTCAGATTATTTTCAAGAAACCTGGTGCAAAGTGAGGTAATCTTTTATGGTAAAGAGGATGAATAACTTAAACTGCATTCCCATAAATTTCTTTAACCTGGAAGGAAGGCTTTAAGTCTATCTGCATACATAGCACATCTGATTTTTCCTTTGAATAATGTGTGAAGTGTTTTAAACAGACCAGCAAATTCACAGGGTTTTAAAGCCTCCTGCAGATTCGGCCTTGCTTTCTGCAGCCAGACAAGTGTCGAAAATTATCGAGGATTGTGTTCTTACTTTGACGAAATGTTCTTTTTTTTCCTTCAGGCAGAGAGATCTTGTTTACAATTATTTCTTCATTCTGTGTCCCAAACTTCCAGTTTGCAGAGATAGAAAAATCAATATGAATAGCTTAGTGCTAACAAATGAGGCTCCAATTACCAATAATTTTATGCAATATGACAAAGATTTTTGTCCAGTTAGCTCTACTTTTTTTCATTTTCTTAATGGTGTTTGGCATAGGTGGACCTAGTTATTATTCAAAACTATATCTGGAAGCGTGGTTTTCCTCTGTTTCTTCCAAATGTTCACTGATTTTAAAATGATATTATTTTGAAGATGAAAATCAACAAATCTTTACACAAGATTCTTCAACTTTTCCAAACAAGAACATTTTCATTTTAGATTTTTTTTAATCTTTTTGGTTGAAATAATGAAAGAAGGGCTGGAGAAGCATCCCCCAGTGGACAATGGGGACCAGATAATAGTCTCTTAATAAGCCATTAACATTCTGATGCTAGATTTTATTACATCTACTGATGTGTTAAACCAGTGCTTTTCAAACTTTAATGTCCATCCCAGTCCTTTGGGGAACCTATTAAGATGCAGATTCTGTCTCAGTAGGTCTAGGAGGGGCCCAGGAGTCTACATTTCTAACAAGCTCTCAGCTGATATAGATGCTGCTGCTCCATGAGAAGAAAGGATTAAAGCACTTTTGTATCAGTTAGGGCCCTGGTAGAAACAGATGGCATATTCAAATTGGAAATTTGAGAAGAGATTAATAAAGGGCTTATTTATAAATATGCAGACATTGTTTAGAAAAGCAATAAGAGACGGTGCAGTGCCTCTAGGCTAATAACACCTGGAGAGGGCACTAACCCTAGATCTCAAGAGGCAAGGAGAGAGAACAGTTAACACCTGGAGAGGGATAGCTGGACTGACAGCAAAGCCTGGGCATTCAGTAGGGAGATCTGGCTAACCTCCATGACCCTGTAGAAGCTAATGGGTGAGGGATAGGAATATATGTCTCTGTCACCCTCTTCCTGCTCTCCCACTCCTACCGGTGCCTCCCATTTGCCAAATCGAACCAAATGCAGTAGGGCAAGGGAACCAGGTTGATGCCATCCACCATAAGTCAGCTTCCCAGGGCTACTAGCAAGATGGAAAAGGGAAAGTGAAGCTAGAAGGGTGACAGGAAGATATCCAGCAGCACATTTTACTTGAATTCACAGGTGCTTTAAACATATCTACCATATTTCACCTTATGATCAAGTATATTTATAAGATGCTATTTTTTAAACATACTACCAAGAAAAAAAGTGCTGCCAATTAAACCTATGACATGCCATTGATTGTAAAATGGATCCTCATTTGAGAGATGTTAAAATTTGATAAAAACATATTTCAGTCTTAGAATTGGTGAAATATAGTATTGTGTTTTTCATAAATCTTGTTCAAAACCAGAGGAAGGAAAGATCACTATGAAACTATAATTTTTCAAATGATTGGATGCAAAATGAATTTTCATTGGATCAACATTTTTTTCCTTCCCTTAAAATAATTTAAAATTTAATTCTAATATCAATAAGAGTCAAGACAATTCACCAAAGAGAAGATCTAGTAACAATAGGTACTTTTTAGCCACACTTTTACTGACTCTGGGTGGCATAGAAGACTTGCCTTCCTGTAGTTTGGAGACCAAGAAAAGGAAGAGGAGACTGGTAAAACTGTAATATGATTAAAGTACACAGAGTCAGCCTTTGATTGTTATAATCACTTAAGTTAGTGTAAGAGTGAAAAAAAAAAGTGCATTTAGTGAAAGAAGTTGGACTACTTTGGGTGAGATTTTATTTTGGCGTTGATTTGATTATTTACAGAAGCTTTTAGACTGTTGATATCACATATCAACAGATTTTCTTGAATTCCTAACACAATTGGGTCAACTTCAGAGCAAAAGCAAAATTTCCTGCTATAAAATATACTACATGTCAATTATTTTCTTGCTTTAATATAGCAACTAAAAATTCTATAATATGGTGACCTTATGTTTAGGGTTTAAATGGTTTACAAAACCCCACATATCCAGAGGGCTCATTTTTAAAGCCAGTTGAAGCCTTAAATTTCTTCCGCTGTGGGCTCAGGTTCTTCATGAAATGAGTGAGTAGTACTAGATTTCTTCTAAAATCCCTACAGTTCAGATTACTTGACGTTGAAATAGAAAGCTTTAATATGATAAAAAATTAACCCTGTATATATGTAAGAAAAAAGAACACAGTTTCTTTGTGTAAAAAGAAGACAATAACTGCATAAACATGAGGAAATCTTTAAAGAAAAATGTTAATGGAAATATCCAGCTAAAATTCCAGAATCAAGTTGAAAAAGTGGCATCCCATATGACTGAAAGAAATTTGATTGGTATTATTTGTGTGCTCTCCTTGTGTGTTGGGTTCCTCTAGACCACGCCCTTGGGTTTGGTAACTACCTAGGAGGACTCTCAGGACTCAGCATGTAGTTGTACTCATGGCCATGATTTATGACCATGAAGGGATCCAAAGCAAAATCAATAGAGGGAATAGGTGTATGGGCAAACTCCAGAGGAAACCAGGAGCAAGTTTCCAAAAGTTTCCCAGTATTCACGCAAGATACACTTAATTCCTCCAGAAACAAGTTGTGATGACACATGTGAACTGTCATCTCCCAAGGGATGTTCATTAGGAACTCAGTACCCAGGATTTTTACTGGGGGCTGGTCACATACACACTCTCTACTTAGCATATACTAAAGCTTGAGACTTGCAGAAGGGAAGCAAGTATTCGGCATAAGCCATTTGCAGTTTAGGCACAATGAACCACTCTTGTCAGTTAGGGTCGTGGAAACATTCCTGAAATTCAAGTCCCTAGATGCCAGCCAGGGGCTTAGCTTGCAAGCAGGTCTTTCTGAGGGTAGCAGTCTCAGGCTTGCTATGTTAATTTTTTTCTGCATAATCTCGTTCACTAGTCTGCATTAGATTTGAGGTTACATACATAGTCATATATCACTTAAGGATAAATTTTGAGAAATGTGGGACTTTTTTGTCATTGTCTGTGAACGTCAGAGAGTATACGTACCCAAACCTAGATGACAGTATAGCCTATTACACACCTAGGCTGTATGGAATACTCTGTCACTCCTGGGCTACAAGTCTGTACAACATGTTACTGTAGTGAATATTGAAGGCAGTTGTAACACAGTGGTAAGCATTTGCCTATCTAAACACATCTAAACATGGAAAAGGTACAGTTAAAATATGCATTATCATCTTATGTGACTACTGTCAGTATATGTGCTCTATTGTTGACTAAAATGTTTTTACATGGCACATGACTATTTTAAAAATTATTTTCATTTATGTTTTCTTTTTTCTTAATTTTATTATTACTATACTTTAAGCTTTAGGGAACATGTGCACAATGTGCAGGTTAGTTACATATGTATACTTGTGCCATGCTGGTGTGCTGCACCCATTAACTCATCATTTAACATTAGGTATATCTCCTAATGCTATCCCTCCCCCCTCCCCCAACCCGACAACAGTCCCCAAAGTGTGATGTTCCCCTTCCTGTGTCCATGTGTTCTCATTGTTCAATTCCCACCTATGAGTGAGAATATGCAGTGTTTGGTTTTTTGTTCTTGCGATAGTTTACTGAGAATGATGATTTCCAACTTCATCCATGTCCCTACAAAGGACATGAACTCATCATTGTTGATGGCTGCATAGTATTCCATGGTGTATATGTGCCAAGTTTTCTTAATCCAGTCTATCACTGTTGGACATTTGGGTTGGTTCCAAGTCTTTGCTATTGTGAATAGTGCCGCAATAAACATACGTGTGCATGTGTCTTTATAGCAGCATGATTTATAGTCCTTTGGGTATATACCCAGTAATGGGATGGCTGGGTCAAATGGTATTTCTAGTTTTAGATCCCTGAGGAATCGCCACACTGACTTCCACAATGGTTGAACTAGTTTACAGTCCCATCAACGGTGTAAAAGTGTTCCTATTTCTCCATATCCTCTCCAGTACCTGTTGTTTCCTGAAATTTTAATGATTGCCATTCTAACTGGTGTGAGATGGTATCTCATTGTGGTTTGATTTGCATTTCTCTGATGGCCAGCGATGGTGAGCATTTTTTCATGTGTTTTTTGGCTGTATAAATGTCTTCTTTTGTGAAGTGTCTGTTCATGTCCTTCAACCACTTTTTGATGGGGTTGTTTGTTTTTTTCTTGTAAATTTGTTTGAGTTCATTGTAGATTCTGGATCTACAGTGAACTTTGTCAGATGAGTAGGTTGCGAAAATTTTCTCCCATTTTGTAGGTTGCCTGTTCACTCTGATGGTAGTTTCTTTTGCTGTGCTGAAGCTCTTTAGGTTAATTAGATCCCATTTGTCAATTTTGGCTTTTGTTGCCATTGCTTTTGGTGTTTTAGACATGAAGTCCTTGCCCATGCCTATGTCCTGAATGGTAATGCCTAGGTTTTCTTTTAGGGTTTTTATGGTTTTAGGTCTAACATTTAAGTCTTTAATCCAACTTGAATTAATTTTTGTATAAGGTGTAAGGAAGGGATCCAGTTTCAGCTTTCTCCATATGGCTAGCCAGTTTTCCCAGCACCATTTATGAAATGGGGAATCCTTTCCCCATTGCTTGTTTTTCTCAGGTTTGTCAAAGATCAGATAGTTGTAGATATGCGGCATTATTTCTGAGGGTTCTGTTCTGTTCCATTGATCTATATCTCTGTTTTGGTACCAGCACCATGCTGTTTTGGTGACTGTAGCCTTGTAGTATAGTTTGAAGTCAGGTAGCATGATGCCTCCAGCTTTGTTCTTTTGGCTTAGGATTGACTTGGCAATGTGGGCTCTTTTTTGGTTCCATATGAACTTCAAAGTAGTTTTTTCCAATTCTGTGAAGAAAGTCATTGGTAGCTTGATGGGGATGGCATTGAATCTATAAATTACCTTGGACAGTATGGCCATTTTCACGATATTGATTCTTCCTACCCATGAGCATGGAATGTTCTTCCATTTCTTTGTATCCTCTTTTATTTCACTGAGCAGTGGTTTGTAGTTCTCCTTGAAGAGCTCCTTCACATCCCTTGTAAGTTGGATTCCTAGGTATTTTATTCTCTTTGAAGCAATTGTGAATGGGAATTCACTCATGGCTCTCTGTTTGTCTGTTATTGGTGTATAAGAATCCTTGTGATTTTTGTACATTGATTTTGTATCCTGAGACTTTGCTGAAGTTGCTTATCAGCTTAAGGAGATTTTTGGCTGAGACAATGGGGTTTTCTAGATACACAATCATGTCGTCTGCAAACAGGGACAATTTGACTTCCTCTTTTCCTAATTGAATACCCTTTATTTCCTTCTCCTGCCTAATTGCCCTGGCCAGAACTTCCAACACTGTGTTGAATAGGAGTGGTGAGAGAGGGCATCCCTGTCTTGTGCCAGTTTTCAAAGGGAATGCTTCCAGTTTTTGTCCATTCAGTATGGTATTGGCTGTGGGTTTGTCATAGATAGCTCTTATTATTTTGAGATATGTCCCATCAATACCTAATTTATTGAGAGTTTTTAGCATGAAGGGTTGTTGAATTTTGTCAAAGGCCTTTTCTGCATCTATTGAGATAATCATGTGGTTTTTGTCTTTGGTTCTGTTTACATGCTGGATTACATTTATTGATTTGCATGTATTGAACCAGCCTTGCATCCCAGGGATGAAGCCCACTTGATCATGGTAGATAAGCTTTTTGATGTGCTGCTGGATTCGGTTTGCCAGTATTTTATTGAGGATTTTTGCATCAACGTTCATCAAGGATATTGGTCTAAAATTCTCTTTTTTGGTTGTGTCTCTGCCCGGCTTTGGTATCACGATGATGCTGGCCTCATCAAATGAGTTAGGGAGTATTCCCTCTTTTTCTATTGATTGGAATAGTTTCAGAAGGAATGGTACTGGCTCCTCCTTGTACCTCTGGTAGAATTCGGCTGTGAATCCATCTGTTCCTGGACTCTTTTTGGTTGGTAAGCTATTGATTATTGCCACAATTTCAGATCCTGTTATTGGTCTATTCAGAGATTCAACTTCTTCCTGGTTTAGTCTTGGGAGGGTGTAAGTGTCAAGGAATTTATCCATTTCTTCTAGATTTTCTAGTTCATTTGCGTAGAGGTGTTTGTAGTATTCTCTGATGGTAGTTTGTATTTCTGTGGGATCAGTGGTGATATTCCCTTTATCATTTTTTATTGCGTCTATTTGATTCTTCTCTCTTTTCTTCTTTATTAGTCTTGCCAGCGGTTTATCAATTTTGTTGATCCTTTCAAAAAACCAGCTCCTGGATTCATTAATTTTTTGAAGGATTTTTTGTGTCTCTATTTCCTTCAGTTCTGCTCTGATTTTAGTTACTTCTTGCCTTCTGCTAGCTTTTGAATGTGTTTGCTCTTGCTTTTTAGTTCTTTTAATTGTGATGTTAGGGTGTCAATTTTGGATCTTTCCTGCTTTCTCTTGTGGGCATTTAGTGCTATAAATTTCCCTCTACACACTGCTTTGAATGCGTCCCGGAGATTCTGGTATGTTGTGTCTTTGTTCTCATTGGTTTCAAAGAACATCTTTATTTCTGCCTTCATTTCATTATGTACCCAGTAGTCATTCAGGAGCAGGTTGTTCAGTTTCCATGTAGTTGAGTGGTTTTGAGTGAGATTCTTAATCCTGAGTTCTAGTTTGATTGCACTGTGGTCTGAGAGACAGTTTGTTATAATTTCTGTTCTTTTACATTTGCTGAGGAGAGCTTTACTTCCAAGTATGTGGTCAATTTTGGAATAGGTGTGGTGTGGTGCTGAAAAAAATGTATATTCTGTTGATTTGGGGTGGAGAGTTCTGTAGATGTCTATTAGGTCCGCTTGGTGCAAAGCTGAGTTCGATTCCTGGGTATCCTTGTTGACTTTCTGTCTCGTTGATCTGTCTAATGTTGACAATGGGGTGTTAAAGTCTCCCATTATTATTGTGTGGGAGTCTAAGTCTCTTTGTAGGTAACTCAGGACTTGCTTTATGAATCTGGGTGCTCCTGTATTGGGTGCATATATATTTAAGATAGTTAGCTCTTCTTGTTGAATTGATCCCTTTACCATTATGTAATGGCCTTCTTTGTCTCTTTTGATCTTTGTTGGTTTAAAGTCTGTTTTATCAGAGAATAGGATTGCAACCCCTACCTTTTTTTGTTTTCCATTTGCTTGGTAGATCTTCCTCCGTTCTTTTATTTTGAGCCTATGTGTGTCTCTGCACATGAGATGGGTTTCCTGAATACAGCACACTGGTGGGTCTTGACTCTTTATCCAGTTTGCCAGTGTGTCTTTTAATTGGAGCATTTAGTCCATTTACATTTAAAGTTAATATTGTTATGTGTGAGTTTGATCCTGTCATTATGATGTTAGCTGGTTATTTTGCTAGTTAGTTGATGCAGTTTCTTCCTAGCCTTGATGGTCTTTACAATTTGGCATGATTTTGCAGTGGCTGGTACTGGTTGTTCCTTTCCATGTTTAGTGCTTCCTTCAGGAGCTCTTTTAGGGCAGGCCTGGTGGTGACAAAATCTCTCAGCATTTGCTTGTCTGTAAAGTATTTTATTTCTCCTTCACTTATGAAGCTTAGTTTGGCTGGATATGAAATTCTGGGTTGAAAGTTCTTTTCTTTAAGAATGCTGAATATTGGCCCCCACTCTCTTCTGGCTTGTAGCGTTTCTGCTGAGAGATCCACTGTTAGTCTGATGGGCTTCCCTTTGTGGGTAACCCGACCTTTCTCTCTGACTGCCCTTAACATTTTTTCCTTCATTTCAACTTTGGTGAATCTGACAATTATGTGTCTTGGAGTTGCTCTTCTCGAGGAGTATCTTTGTGGCGTTCTCTGTATTTCCTGAATGTGAATGTTGGCCTGCCTTGCTAGATTGGGAAAGGTCTCCTGGATAATATCTAGCAGAGTGTTTTCCAACTTGGTTCCATTCTCCCCATCACTTTCAGGTACACCAATCAGATGTAGATTTGGTCTTTTCACATAGTCCCATATTTCTTGGAGGCTTTGTTCATTTCTTTTTATTATTTTTTCTCTAAACTTCCCTTCTCACTTCATTTCATTCATTTCATCTTCCATCACTGATACCCTTTCTTCCAGTTGATCGCATCGGCTGCTGAGGCTTCTGCATTCTTCATGTAGTTCTTGAGCCTTGGCTTTCAGCTCCATCAGCTCCTTTAAGCACTTCTCTGTTTTGGTTATTCTAGTTATACATTCTTCTAAATTTTTTTTAAAGTTTTTAACTTCTTTGCCTTTGGTTTGAATTTCCTCCTGTAGCTTGGAGTAGTTTGATCGTCTGAAGCCTTCTTCTCTCAACTCGTCAAAGTCATTCTCCATCCAGCTTTGTTCCGTTGCTGGTGAGGAACTGCGTTCCTTTGGAGGAGGAGGGGCGCTCTGCTTTTTAGAGTTTCCAGTTTTTCTGTTCTGTTTTTTCCCCATGTTTGTGGTTTTATCTACTTTTGGTCTTTGATGATGGTGATGTACAGGTGGGTTTTTTGTGTGGATGTCCTTTCTGTTTGTTAGTTTTCCTTCTAACAGACAGGACCCTCAGCTCCAGGTCTCTTGGAGTTTGCTGGAGGTCCACTCCAGACCCTGTTTGCCTGGGAATCAGCAGCGGTGGCTGCAGAACAGTGGATTTTCATAAACCACGAATGCTGTTGTCTGCTCGTTCCTCTGGAAGTTTTGTCTGAAAGGAGTACCTGGCCATGTGAGGTGTCAGTCTGCCCCTGCTGGGGGGTGCCTCCCAGTTAGGCTGCTCGGGGGTCAGGGGTCAGGGACCCACTTGAGGAGGCAGTCTGCCTGTTCTCAGATCTCCAGCTGCATGCTGGGAGAACCATGCTCTCTTCAAAGCTGTCAGACAGGGACTTTTAAGTCTGCAGAGGTTACTGCTGCCTTTTTGTTTGTCTGTGCCCTGCCCCCAGAGGTGGAGCTTACAGAGGCAGGCAGGCCTCCTTGAGCTGTGGTGGGCTCCACCCAGTTTGAGCTTCCCAGTTGCTTTGTTTACCTAAGCAAGCCTGGGCAATGGTGGGTGCCCCTCCCTCAGCCTGGCTGCCACCTTGCAGTTTGATCTCAGACTGCTTTGCTAGCAGTCAGTGAGACTCCGTGGGCGTAGGACACTCCAAGCCAGGCGTGGGATATAATCTCCTGGTGCACCGTTTTTTAAGCCCATCGGAAAAGCGCAGTATTAGGGTGGGAGTGACCCAGTTTTCCAGGTACCGTCTGTCACCCCTTTCTTTGACTAGGAAAGGGAACTCCCTGATCCCTTGAGCTTCCAGAGTGAGGCAATGCCTTGCTCTGCTTCTGCTGGCGCACGGTGCACTGCACCTACTGTCCTGCGCCCACTGTCTGGCACTCCCTAGTGAGATGAACTCAGTACCTGAGATGGAAATGCAGAAATCACCCGTCTTCTGTGTCGCTCATGCTGGGAGCTGTAGACCGGAGCTGTTCCTATTCGGCCATCTTGGCTGCCAGTCTTATTTATATTTTCTTTTTTTTTTTGGAAATGTCTTTTTTTTTGCAGTGCATTTTAAAAAGTATTATTATACTTTAAGTTCTGGGATACATGTGCAGAATGTGCAGGTTTGTTTCAAAGGTTTACATGTACCATGGTGGTTTGCTGCACCCATCAACCCGTCATCTACATTAGGTATTTCTCCTTATGCTGTGTGTCCCCTTCCCCCCCCACCCCCTCACAGGCCCCAGTGTGTGATGTTCACCTCCCTGTGTCTATGTGTTCTCAATGTTCAACTCCCACTTAGGAGTGGGAACATGCAGTGTGTGGTTTTTTGTTCCTGTGTTAATTTGCTGAGAATGATGGTTTCCAGCTTCATCCATGTCCCTGCAAAGGACATGATCTCTTACTTTTTTTTATGGCTGCATAGTATTCTGTGGTGTATATGTGCCACATTTTGTTTACTCATATCTCTGCCTAGATTAGTAGAAAATCTAGTCTCTCTCTTAGGACACTTTTTACCCCAGAAACCTTAGTTCTCCATGGGCTTACTCAATCTACAGAAGGTAGGTTTAGGCTCCAACTCTTTATAGAAATAGGGAGAACTAGGGACTCTGATCTGGCCATGGGTGAGTACCCAAGGTTTGATCATGTTGTTTTTGTGGCTACCACAGGGTGTTTCATTGTAAACACAAGAGCTTGCACAGAATGATACTGTCTCTGTCCTTCGGTATAAAGGAGGCTCCTAGGAACACTGAAAGAGAAAAAAGAGATCTTTCTCTCCACTGTTAAGCTCAGACGTGTTTGTCCCATGTCACTTTAGGCCTAGGCTCCAGTGTTTGTGAATCTTTAGGCAGGCTTTCAATGGTAAGGGCACAGTTTCCATTGGGATCACTTCTTTATACTGGTACCCTCCCTTCCCTTAAGGTAAGTTCCTCAGTGGCAGTTCTTGGTATCTTTCTTTTTTCTTTTCCTTAAAAAAAACATTTTTTTCAGACCTGAGTTGATACCATTTGAAGTCATCAGCAGTTATAATGTCCTTACTTTCCCAAAGGGAAAGGTCAGGTCTCCATTCCTTTTCTCCCCGGAAACTCCTTGGCCTCCTTGGTTTGTAAATTTGCCCACCCCAGAGATGTCTGAGTTTAGTCTTCCAAGAGGTATGGGTGGGGCAGCCTTTAGGAAGCCACAAAAGTTCTCTCATACTATTCTACAAGAACAATTAATGTCTATATATTAATATTTCTTAACTAAGGAGGCTGTTTTAATAAGTCTTCTGAAAACAAAGATCTGCCCCAAGGCAAACAGTTTCCACTAATAGACACTATATAGAAAGTACCAGCACTTTTTCATGGCAGCTTCTCATGTTATTGCACTACAGCAAGGTACTGAACAAAGGCTCTGAGGGTTACACTTGAATAGTAAGTCCAATTCTCAGCAAAATGTTGATGCAGGGGCACTTCTATTCCTCCAGCATCTGCCTTGGCTCTGCCTGCCCAGGGCATCGTTGCCGACCTTCAGACATATTTACAGAAAAGCAGATGAGAAGTCACTGAGACCTTAAATGAAATTTAAATAAAATTACAATTTATCTTGCTAGGATTTATATTTAAAACCACATTTCTGATTGTGAAATTCAGCACTCCACTTGCTAATGGAATTATCATCACCAGAAAGATGTGGGGGTGAAGGCAGGGTTTCCGCAAAATTCTGGAAATGAGACCATAGTTTCAAGGAAGGTTAGCCTTGCCTACTTGCACAAGTTACCACTGTGTATTTATACCTGTTGTTAAGTCTGCTTCTGGAGAGACCACAATACCTGTAGGAAGAAAATGTCTGTAAGAAATTTGCTTCTTTCCAAGATAAAAGGGCCAGGGGGTCAGGTAGTAGGAGGATGGAAAAAACAAAACAAAAAACCAGAAGCTATCCTTAAAAAGAGAAAATAATCAGTGTAGAAGGAATTTAAATAAATACTGTGAAATGAAATATTCAGACTGACAACTTGAATCTGTTGTAGTAAAAATAAATATTTTTAACTTTCTTATCAGTAGTAGCATTGGAATATTCAAAATTTATTAATGAATTACATAATTTAAAGCATTTGTTGAACACTAAGTGTCAGACACTGTGTTAGATACTGGAAATAGAGTAGTGAACTTGATGAAAGCCTTCCATCTTCATGAACTTAATGTCTAATGAGAAGCAGACCTTGTACAAATATCTGCACTTATGATGAGAAATGTGCAAGAGAAATGCACCTGGGTTCAGATGTATATAGTTGTGTAGTAAGTGTATCTAACCTAATATGGAACATCTGGGAAGTCTTGCCTGAGAAAGAGATATTTAAGCTGAGAACTAAAAGGTGAGTAGGAGGCCAGGCATAGGGACTTATGCTTGTAATGCCAGCACTCTGGAAGGCCAAGGTGGGTGTATGGCTTGAGCCTGGAAGTCCAAGACCAGCCTGGGCGACATGGCAAAACCCTGTCTCTACAAAAACAAAACAAAACAAAACAAAAAAACAAAAAAAACAAACAAAAACACACACACACACACAAAAAGTTAGCCAAGTGGCATGCGCCTGCCATCCCAGCTATGGCAGGGAAGCTGACGTGGGAGGATCACCTGAGCCCAGGAGGACGAGGCTGTCAATTGCACCACTGCACTCCAGCCTGGGTGACAGAATGAGACCCTGTCTAAAAAAGAAAAAAAAAGATGAATAGGAGAAGAAAAGGATATAAGCCTCATAATAAGAGAGAGTAATAAAAATAGTCAGCATGACACAAAAAGTCTTCATGAAATGCTCATGGGTGAGTGGTTATTAAAGGAGACTTGTGAAATTCCCATGAGTGGTGGGATTTGGGCATATTTCAGTAGAAGGGGGCTGGAGAAAAAAAATCCTTATTGACATTCTACCATTACCAAGGCCTTATGTATTGCAGCTATTTTCTACAAAATAAAATGGAACAAGTTATAGAATTGAGGTACCTAGGAAGTGCAGTTAAGTCTTGTTAGTCTACTTTGGAGGCAGGAAAAACTATAGCTTGAATCTCTGATTGTTTTATGTAGGGTTGATGTTTGGTCATCCCCTGGAAGGAGCCTGAAAAGGATTTTTGGGAAGTGTTTAGAGCCTGGCCTTTAATACAAGCACAAAACAATCTGTCTTCCTTTTATCCTCCTGGAACCTACTTTTTTTTTGTTAAAAATTGTTTTTGAAGGAAGAGCTCAGGGATTTCATTACAACTATAAGAACGTATAGGATATACACATTTTCATCAGTCTGGTGAACAAAGAGAAAAGTCAGTACCAAAAAGCAACCTGTGAGCAGATTTCAGTTCAGAAAAGGTAATGGTTTTGTTGCCTAAAGAAGAAGGAAATAAAGGTAAGTGCCCTTTTCCAGATGAATGAGTTATTACAGTTATATGATTTGTAATCGTCAAATGGCAAGGGATAGGCAGGGGACATTATCAAGTACTTTCTCCTATCTCTGGATAGAACTATATTAACATGTTTCAAGAAATATCATTGTCAACCATTTCTTTCAAAAGCCTACTAAAGAAGCTATACAATCTCCCTTGGGAAACCTATGCCATGTTATTATCATGCTTTGATGGGTAATGTCTAGTTTCCTCCAGTGACTAAGCTAAATTTGTCTGCTGCTACATGTACCTTTATCTTTTTGTTCTGTTGGCAGTGGAGGCAGCAAATACATTACCATCTGCATAATGATGTGTTTTAAAGCTTTTATTCCTTTGCTGGCTTTCTTTTCAGTAAGTTGTGTATATCCTAAATCAATACTTTGAAAGGAGAGCAGGGTCTAAAATCAGTGGCAGAACAGCTAAGAGAATGAGCTAGGAACACCTCTGAAAATACTAGACCAGAGTTACTCATTGTACCAGTAAAGAAACTGTGAGAGATTTTTCCCTAAAGGAGCTTGACTTGGATTTAACCATATCTTTCCCTTCGTCCTGTGTTTTACAAAGAGACAGTCACAAGTGAAACATGGATTCTCCAGAAATCACTTGCATACAGGCTTATAACCTGGCATGCTTGTTAAAGGGATATGATGGGTCTGAATGTTTCCTTCCACTTCAGGGACAAAGGGGAAGTGGCCAGTTAGTATCTTTGGGAAGCTGACCAAAGGCCTTTAGGTCTCTTAGGCCTAATGCTGAGTTTCTTATGTTTGGAGCATAAGGCCAGTTTCCTCTTTGGTCAAAAGGACAACATGGCTCCTTTGGTTTGGGCCTAGAGGGTAATGAAAGGAGATCAAATGGAAAGATAAGAAGTATATAATGCCATAGAAGTATTTCTTAGTATCTATCTTGATTCTATTTCTTTGAAATCAAAAAACCCAGCACCTGAAAAGAGTTTGGGCATCATAGCCTTATTTCTAACAAAAGTTCTAGACCTCCCCACTCATCTTATTATGGATTCCTGTTTGAGTTCTACATTTCCTTGCCTTGAGCACTAGTAATATAGTCTGATATCAATGAATATTTATGAATAAATGTTGTTAAATGAATGACCTTGAGTGTTATTAGTCAGTTATTAGTCATATCTGTTCCTTTGATTATTTTCAGAACCTGATAGCTAAGTAACCTTCTCTACTTTGACCCTTGAGTCTTTTCCCCCAGCTTTTATACTTTATATATACTTTATACCTGGTACCATCTTCTTAAGATTATTTAAGATTCGGGCCAGGCGCGGTGGCTCCGCCTGTAATCCCAGCACTTTGGGAGGCCGAGGCGGGCGAATCACGAGGTCAGGAGATCGAGACCATACTGGCTAACATGGTGAAACCCCGTCTCTACTAAAAATACAAAAAATTAGCCCGGCGTGGTGTCGAGCGCCTGTAGTCCCAGCTACTCGGGAGTCTGAGGCAGGAGAATGGCGTAAACCCGGGAGGCGGAGCTTGCAGTGAGTCGAGATCGCGCCACTGCACTCCAGCCTGGGTGACAGAGCAAGACTCCGTCTCAAAAAAAAAAAAAAAAAAAAAAAAAAAAAAAAAAAAAAAATTATTTAAGATTCTGAAACCCTGGATCCAATCTGGACATTATTCTACTTGGTCAGCAACCACATTGGGACTGTCTTAGTGACCTTAAAGGGAGAATCAGATACCCAGTCCAACCTGTAAGAAGTTTGATTTGTATTCTCAGTAGGAGAACTCATGTCATAGGGTTCAGAGTTATAAGAACTTAGAGACTGGTTTAATATCACCAGAGATCTCAAAGTGACTATTAGTGTCTATTAGTCTTCATTAAATTGACTCCCAACATCCAACTACAGTATTTTTAAAGATATAGAAGAAAGAGAAAGACTCATATCAATACTGAAGACTAAATTTGTTAGATAACTCAATGCCACTGTCTGGTGGTGAATCTTTGCTGACTATAATATAAAGCAGGTTGAAGGGTATTAAAAACAAGTTACTCAGAATTCACCTCAAGATATGATGAATTATCGGGCAATTGGAGTACTCTGTCCATCAGCTTTGCTCCCAATCATCCTATTATATCTACAGAGATAGAGGCCAACAAAATGAACTGGGCAAGAGGCAGGTAGGGAATCATGGTGGTGGCAGAGCTAATTCTCATAGCTGTAATCCCCAAGTATAGGATGTAGGGTGGACATTGGAGGAATATTTATTATAGGTGTAAGCCAAGAATTGTTTATCATGTATTATATTGATTTACAGTGGATGAAAATCAGGTTGTAGGGAAAAGAGAAGTTACTTCTTTAGTAAGTTTGAACTAGGTGAAAGTCATTGGGAATTGGATTAGAATTCAGTGCATGTCATTCTGCCTTCCAAGTGTAGATTTGGGAAAAAGACGAATCACCACACAAGAGGCAGTAACAGAGCCAAAATTACCTCACCAAACCACAGTGCTTTCTGAAAACAAAATGAAACAAAACAACAGAACGATAACAAAAAAATTTGTAAAGAATTTCCCAACTAAAGGATTAACAAAGAGAAACATTAAAAAAAAGAATATTCAATCCAAGCCAAAGAAATAAAACTCCAATGTAAGAAAAAACTGAGAAGAAAAGTATCTTTCTAAAATAATGTTTTCTTGTAAAATCCAGAAGAAACAACCAGGAAATTATTTGGAATGAGCAATAGAGAAGTAGAACCCATTGCCTCTATGAAACAGAAAGAGATTCAGAGATAAAATGCCAAGATAAAAAGGCAATAGAAATAATTGCAATGAGAGATGTATAAAATATAGAAAGATTAGTATAACAGAATTGAAACATACAGAAAAGTAAAAAGAAAAAACCGATGACAGGAAAGATAATTGACATGGAGAACAGGGAAAGGAGAGTCAATAACATGTGGATAATTAGTGTCCCTATAGGAGACTAAATCAATAATCAGTGATACATATAAGAAGATATTCCTGAGAGAAAGAATGAGTTATAGATTAAGGTGGCTCATTGAGTTAAAGTAAATAAAAAGAGACTCACTTTGTGTGATACCTGGTAATACTATGATACAAGGTTGCATACTCTATAACAACAGTTTTCAAATTTTTGGTCTCACAATGCTATTATACTCTTAAAAATTACTAAGGATTCTGTTTTAGGGTTCTCCATAGAAGAATCAATAGGATGGACGGACGGACGGACGGACGGACGGACGGACGGACGGATGGATGGATGGATGGATACAGATATGGTTTGGCTGTGTTCCCACCTACATCTCATCTTCAATTGTAGCTCCCATAATTCCACATGTTGTGGAAGGGACCCAGTGGGAAATAATTGAATCATGGAGGTGGTTTCCCCCATACTGTTCTCATGATAGTGAATAAGTCTCACAAGATCTGATGATTTTATAAGGGGTTTCCCCTTTTGCTCGATTCTCAATTCTCTTTTGTCTGCTGCCATATAAGACTTGCCTTTCGCCTTCCACCATGCTTGTGAGGCCTCCCCAGCCACATGGAAATGTGAGTCCATTAAAACTCTTTTTTTTTTAATAAATTACCCAGTCTTGGGTATCTTTATTAACAGCATGAAAACGAACTAATACAGATACCATAGATAGATACATAAAAATAAGGAATTGGCTCACACAGTTGTGGAAATGGGTAAGTCCTAAGGTCTGCAGAGTGAGTCAGTGAGCTGTTCAACCAAGAAGAGCCAATGTTTCACTTTGAGTCTGGAAGTAGAAAAAAAAGGCAATGTCCCAGCAGTCAGGGGGAATTTTCTCTCACGTGGAGAAAGTTCAGATTTTTAGTTCTATTCAGGCTCAACTGATAGGATGAGGCCCATCCACAATAGAAAAGGCAATCTGGTTTACTCAGTCTACTTATTTAAATATTAATCTCATCCCAAAACACACTTACAGAAACACCCAGAATAATGTTTGACCAAATATCTAGGCACCCTGTGGGCCAATCAAGTTGACGGATAAAATTAACCATCACAGGTTCCAAATAACTTTTGTTTACATAGATTATCTTTATCAATGTTTACCATATTAGAAATTAAATTTGAGAATTTAGGAAAATATGTGTTCATTTGAGTAATAAGCCCATTACATGTTAACATAGATAGGATACCTTAATGAAAAAACTATTCCAAAACAAAACAAAAATTGGATTTTTTTCCAGTTTGCAAATCTCTTCATTGTTTGGCTTAGAAAACAGGATGTCATATCTGCTACATTTAATTTGTTTTAATATTTTTTGGTTAAAGTATATTTAAAAATCTATCATCACACAAATATGTAGTTGGAAAGGTAGCTTTTTAATAGCTTTTTCAGATAATTATTAATATTTTAAAACTACTACACCCAAACTTGAAAAGTGGCAACTTTGAAAGGTTAATTATAATATGAAAACTGAAATATTAAATAACTTTTCATACTTAGTTGCAGAAAAATCCACTGGTTTACCATTTCAAATAGATCTTTACCTATATATATTAACATCATACACTGGTCATTTGGAAATACATTGTTTCCCTGAATAATTAAGATCTTCCAAACATTGACACATTTAGTTATACAAATTTTTTTTAACTGATAAAATTTTTATTTCACTTTTGAATTTTTACACTTTTCCTGATTATTCTGTGTAAGGTGAAACTAGAACTGTTCAAAAGACATACACAAATCTAGTACATCAATAACCGGTGATTTTTCTTTTTTGCTATACTATTTTCACAAATTTTTAAAATCACACTTGTTAATATTGTTGCAAACTTCATTAGAAAAGTCTAACTATTGAAAAGCTTACAAGCTCACCATGGTGGTTAATAGTTTTCCAAAATTCTGTTTTTCACATGGGAGCTTAAATTTTATCGTTGACCACAAATACTCGCAGTTCCTTTTGTTGTAGTGACAGGCTCATTTAGTTCATTTAAAGAAAACATCTGACAAATAATTGTTTAATTTAGCATAGTTTATCTGTTAGTTGTTCTTTCAAGTAAAAAAGGGTTTTCCAGAAAAATGTGGTTACTTTAGCTTGCAACTCAAACAATTGCCCATGTGATTTTCCTCAAGATAGTCATTCTTCTGTGATGTGATGCAGAAGTGCCTTATGAGTATTTCCCATTTGTCAAATAGAATATATAAGGACATATAGTATAATTTAATGTCACTGTGTTGATTCTTGTCAAGGCATCATTGCTTCGGACTATCAGTCCAAATATCAACACCTTAAAAGAAAATAACCTCTTAGTATTATGAAAATGGTTTTGACCTCATAGACTCCGTGAAAACTCTCAGGGACCACACTATTTTTTTATTTTTAAAATTTTAATTTATTTTAATTTCAAATTTCTGTGAGTACATAGTAGGTGTATATATTTATGGGCTACATGAGATACAAACAGGTAATGCATGATAATCATTTCAGAGTAAATCGGGTATCCATCACCTCAAGCATTTATCTTTTGTGTTACAATCATGTTATACACTTTTAATGATTTTAAAATTTACAGTTAAATTATTTCTCACCATTGTCACCCTATTGTGCTAGCAATACTAGGTCTTATTCTTTCTAACTACTTTTTTTGTACCCATTAACAATCCCCAAGGGACCACACTTTTAGAACCATTGTTCCGTAAGCATCCAAACAGAAAAACAACAGTTTTCTACAAAGGAATAAAACATGTTACCTCTATAATAATAAATGTGACAATATAATGGAGCAATAGAAATTTTGAGAGACAAAGTTTATGACCCAAGAAGTCTTACATATTTTTGGTAAATGTATTTCTGTATTAAAAGACAAATATTTCATGAGAATCAAAACCTCAAACTCATGTATATACTATTTTAAAGAGACAGACAAAAAAGAGTAACTCAAAAAAGATAAAAAGAAAAGGAGACTAAATGTACCCAAAAACCTGAAAATAGGCCGGGCGTGGTGGTTCACGCCTATAATCCCAGCACTTTGGGAGGCCGAGGCGGGTGGATCATCTGAGGTCAGGAGTTCGAGACCAGCCTGACTGACATGGAGAAACCCCGTCTGTACTAAAAATACAAAATTAGCCAGGTGTGGTCGTGCATGCCTGTAATCCCAGCTACTCAGGAAGGCTGAGACAGGAGAATCTTTTGAACCTGGGAGGTGGAGGTGGCGGTGAGTCGAGATTGCGCTACTGCGCTCCAGCCTGGGCAACGAGATCGAAACTCGGTCTAAAAAAAACAAAAAACAGAACAAAAAAACCCTGAAAATATAAAGTAAGAATCAAAATATTATATAAATACAATTCACATAAGAAATCATTAAACAGAGCTAAGACAGTTATTTATGTTGGCCATGATTTCATTCTATAAAAAAGAAACTATTTGCCATATATCACCTTATTCACCTTACCACCCAGTCCCTGGCAACCATCATTCTACTTTCTTCTTCTATGAGTTCAGCTTTCAGTTTTAAGATGAATAAGTTCTGGGGATCTAATGTATAGCATTCTGACCGTGATTAATAACACTGCATTGTTTACTAGAAATTTGATGAGACAGCAAATTTTGTGTCCTCATCCCCCTGCCCTGCACACACAAATGGTAACTATGGGTGGTGATGAATGCATTAATTAACATGACTTTGGTAATAAGCATACAATGTATCCATATATCAAATCATCACATTGTACACCTTGAATATGAACAATTTTTGTCAATATTTTTAATCAGAATAAGAAAAGCAAAAGGAAAGAACTATTGTCTAAAACCTTTATGAACCAAATATATTGTAGCGGAGGTGTCCAATCTTTTGGCTTCCCTAACACTAATACACTAACACTAATGATAGCTGATGAGCTTAAAAAAAATAAAAAAGTCTATGCATAAATCCCATAAGGTTTTAAGAAAGTTTATGAATTTGCGTTGGGCTGCATTCAAAGCCACCCTGGGCTTCAAGCAGCCCATGAACCACAGTTGGGCCAAGCTTATATTACATATTAAAATAAAAGCTAGCATACAAATACAAGTTGAAAGAAAAAGAATAGAAATGGTCAATTAACACATCTTTTTCTTTAAACTTTTATTTTAGGTTCAGAGGTATATGTGCAGGTTTGTTACACAGGTAAACTCATGGGGGTTTGTTGTACAGATTATTTCATCACCAGGTACTAAGCCGAGTAACCAATAGTTATTTTTTTCTGATCTTCTCCCTCCTTCCACTGTTCACTCTCAAGTAGGCCCCAGGGTCTGTTGTTCCCCTCTTTGTGTCCATGTGTTCTCATCATTTAGCTCCTACTTATAAATGAGAACAGGTGGTATTCGGTTTTCTGTTCCCATGTTAGTTTGCTAAGGATAATGTCCTCCAGCTCCATCCATGTTCCTGCAAAGGACATGACCTCATTATTTTTAATGGCTGCATAGTATTCCATGGTATATATGTACCATATTTTCTTTATCCAATCTGCCATTGATGGTCATTTAGGTTGATTCCATGTCTTTGCTGGTTATTGTGCTGGCTTCATTGTGTGGTTGCTTTATAATGTCACTGGTCTGTGAACTTACATGTGTTTTTGTATTGGCTAGTAATGGTCCTTCTTTTCCATATTTAGAGCTCTTTTCAAGATCTCTTATAAGGCAGGCCGGGTGGTAACAGACTCCCTCAACATTTGCTTATCCTTATCTGAAAGGATCTTATTTCTCCTTCACTGAGGAAGCTTAGTTTAGTAGATATAAAATTCTTGGTTGAAGATTTTTTTTTTTCCTTCAAGAATTTTGAATATAGGTCCCCAGTCTCTTCTGGCTTGTAGGGTTTCTGCTGAGAGGTGGTCTGGTAGCCTGATGGGGTTTCCTTTATAGGTGACTTGGCCTTTCTCTCTAGCTGCCTTTAATATTCTTTCATTCTGGCCTTGGAAAATCTGATTATATGACTTGAGGATGATCTTCTTATATAGAATCTTGCAAGGGGTTCCCTGTATTTCCTGAATTTGACTGTTGGCCTCTCCAGTGGGGTTGGGGAAATTTTCATGAATGACATTCAGAATATGTTTTCCAAGTTGTTTGCTTTCTTATCATCCCTTTCAGCAATGCCAATGATTCATAGATTTGACCTCTTTACGTAATCCCATATTTCTCGGAGGTTTTGTTCATTCTTTCTTATTCTTTTTTTTTCTTTTTCTTTTTTTTTCTGTCATTTCAGAGAGCCAGTCTTCAATTTCTCAGATTGTTTCCTCAGCTTGGTCTATCCTGCTATTAATATTTGCTATTGTATTGTGAAATTCTTGTGGTGTGTTTTTCATCTCTGTCAGATCAGTTAGGTTCTGTTTTATACTGTCTATTTTGTCTGTCAGCTCCTGTATCATTTATTGTGATTCTGTTTCCTTGGATTGGGTTTTGCTGTTCTCCTGAATCTCAATGATCTTCATTCCTATCCATATTCTGAATTATGTTTCTGTCATTTCAGTCAACACAGCCTGGTTTAAAACCTTTTTTGGAGAACTTGTACAGTTGTTTGGAGGACATCAGACGCTCTTGCCATTTGAGTTGCTGGAGTTCTTGCATTAGTTCTTTCTCATCTCTATATGTGGGTGTTCCTTTAACTGCAATATAGATTAAGTATAGTCAGTAGGCTTCTTTTCTTGATGTTTTCACAGGGCCAAGGATTTGTGCAGGGTCTTTGTAGCTCCCTTGTCTTTGGTTTCACGGCGGGGGTTGGGGGTGGGGGTGTTAGGTAATTTTGCTGTTGAATCTTTTGGTTTGACGGTGTGATCCAGTAGGTGATGCTTAGCTATAGTGGTCGGTTGGTAGACTCTTGCTCAGGCGTGGGGCTCCCCTATACCCCTATATTTCTTCACCAATTGCAATCGTGCTCCCTCTCAATGCTCTGATAGCGTGGGCTCCTCTCCCACTTGAGTGCTGGCTGTAGATCGCAACTTGGCACTCCCAGGCTACCCACGACAGCTCTGGGGTGATCTCAGGGCTTATGTGCCCTCCCCAACTTGGAAGCAGCAAAGAAAGGAACCTTAGAAGTGGTTGTGGCCAAGGGTTTTTTCTTGTCTCCTGGGGGCTCCACCCCAGAGAGATTCAGGTCAGCAATCACTCAGTACAATCAGCCCTGGATGGGGGCTCTGTGCTGTGGGCCTAAGCCAGGGGTTCCCTCCCTGGTAATAATGAGCAGGAGTGTGGGTAGGAGCCATGGGAGACAGAGTGGCTTCCTCTCCTTGGGTCAGCTGCTGCTTGTTGGAGGTGTGGATAAGGCACTTAGGGCCTTTGCTCCTTTTTTAGTCTGAAGATAGCTGGGTAGCACCAACACAGAGAAAGGGGCAGAGGGGCTTTTTGTTCCTCCTTGGGCCCTGTCTTAGAAACACAGAGCTGCAGTTACTGGGAGTATTCAGCCAGTGGAGAGAGGTAGCTGCACTACCAGTGTGAGCTTGGGGTTGCGCTTGTTGGGGAGCAGGGGGTCAAGGGCTCACTAGGAGGAGAAACTGGTCTCCTCTCTGTGCTGTGGTGTTCTGTGGTATGCTGTGGTGTGCTGTAAGTTCTGGTGACTGTGGGGTGCCGTAAGCATAGGTGTATCCCTCAGGCCAAAGGTAGCAGGGATAGAACTGCTACTGTGGCAGTGGTGGGCAGGGGGTGGCGGGGGGGCTGTCAGATGCCTCTGGGAGCCTCTCCCCAGGGAAACTCTGGGACACTACTAGTGGGCATGTTCACTCTGGGTGGGGTGACTGTTCTGTGGTCATGAGCTAGGGGCCCTGCCTGGTGAAGATTGGGAGTGGGGGTTCCCAGGGAAGAGGGGCTAGACTCCTCTTTGTATGGTGGCTATGGTGTGCTGGAGGTGCCTGGGTAGTGCCTTTTATCCTTTCCCCAGGCTGAGAGCTGTTAGGGCAGTAGCACTGCAATTGCAGTGGCACAGGGGTTGTGGTTTGACTCTAAGATTTCCTCCTTGGAGAAATGCTGGTCTGCCTCTGTGGTGATCAGACAGAGGCAGAGTGGTTGTGCTGGAGTCCCAGGTTGGATAGCCCTCCCCAGTGAGAAGTGTGGACCGGGACCGGGACCGGGACCTGTATGGAGAACAATCTGGTAACTTTTCCATGAGGTGGGTGTTCTGTGCTGGGGGTCCAGACCAGTTTCTGGTCCCTGCAGACTCACCAGAGCCTGGAGACAGCAAGGGCAAGGGCTGTGAAACAGCAAAGAGGACAACACACCCCTCCCACTGGGAGCTCTATCCCAGGGAGTTGCAGAGCTGCTACTAGCTCAATAGCCCCAGCAGGGGATGGCTGGAGACCCAGGCTGGGGGGACCCACCCAGTGAGAAGCTATGGGATCAGGGACCCACATAATAGTCTGACCACTTTTCTTTAGGGCGTGGCAATATGGTGGGAGTCTATTCCAGTCCCTAGTCACCTTGGATTTTCCAGTACCTGAAGGTATCAACAGTGAAGGCTGTGAAACAGCAAAGATGGTAGCCTGCCTCTCCCTCTGGGAGCTCTGTTCCAGGGAATTACAGACTTGTTGCTGGCCCAAACACACCAGTTGGGGAGGCTGGGGACCCCGATGCAGAGGTCCTGCCCAACGAGGAGGAATGGGATCAGAGACCTGCATAAAAAAATCAGTCTGCCCCCTTTTTTTGTAGAGTAGCTTTATTGCTTTGGGGGGGTCTGCTCCAACCTCCAGTCACTGTGGACTCTCCAAAGCCCAAAGACAACAACAGCTAAGGATGCAAAACAGCGAAGATGGTGGCCCATTCTCCCCTTTGGGAACACAGTCCCAGGAGGTTTGGAACTGCTGCTGACTGGAAAACCCTGGTGGGGATGGTTGTAGACCTAGGCCGGGAAATTCTTCCCAGTGAAGAGAAATAGGATCTGGGACACACATAAAAAAATAGTCTGGCCACGTCTTCATAGAGCTGCTGCACTGTGTCGGAGGACTGCTCCAGTCCCTAGTTGCCTCTGATTCTCTAGAGCCCAAAGGCAATAACGGCTAAGGCTGCAAAACAGCAAAGCCGGCAGCCTGCCCCTCCCTCTGGGAGCTCCATCTCAGGCGGAGGTAAAGCTGCTACCTGTGGCTGGCCAGAGTTCTAAGCCAGTGGATCTTATCCTGTGAGATGCCATGGAAGTGCGGCCTACCGCCTGTGGCTGCTCAGCCCCTGGATTCAGCCCCTTTCCTAGGAGTATGTATGGGGGTCCAACCTCCTGATTTGCCAGAGTTGCAGCCACTTTTCCTGGGAAGCCCAGGTATCTAAAGCTCCTGTGGTTCCATGTGAACCTAAGAGGCCTCTCTTCCAAGACTCTACATATCTCTACATGTCAGACTGAAGGTCCTGGTGGAGTGGATTCACGAGGGGATCTCCTGACCTGGGGTTGCAAAGATCTGTGGGAGAAGCATGGGTCCCCGGATCGCTCACTCACTCACCGCTTCCCTGGGTAGGGGACGCTCCTCTAGATCCATGTTGCTCCCAGGTAGGTGGTCGTCCTGCCTTGCTTTTCTCCATTCTCTGTGGGTTGGGTTGTTTTCTTGATGAATGCCAGTGCATGTACCTGGATGTTTCAGCTGAAGGTGTTGTACTTACTCACTCCTTCCATTTCTCTCCATGAGAGCAGTGCACACTAGCTGCTTCTAGTCAGCCATCTTGGCCAGCCTCCAACACATCTGTTTTGATCTTGCTAAAATCAAGTAGGAAAAAAGAAAGGCCAGCTCTAGAACATCCAAATAATAGATGTTAATTTTATATAATTTTTGCCTCCTGTGGAACAAGACAGGCTTTCATGGTAGAGAGAGGAAATATTATCTCTCTTTGAGATTTGACCAGTTGGATCTATACTTTGAGAGCAGATTTACACAAATTATTTCTTGAGTGGTGAGTCTAATTTTGAGGCTGAGATTTCACATGAGGCCTGATATATGAGCCCCAGAGATCAAGTGTATCTTGAAAACCATATCATTTAGATTTCTTGGCTTCTGTTTACGTTCCTATTGTTAATATCTATTCTTATGTAAACATTCCATTCTTGTTTTAGCTGTACTATAGAAAAGCTGAAGAGGATCAAGAATCTTCCCCAGTATCATCAGGGTTTAGAACAATGTCTGGCATATAGTAGGTGCTCAATAAATATTTATTAATGAATTAATTAATGTCCACATTTGGGACCAGAATGAACTAATGTCTGTCTCTAACTTCCAATCCTCAGACTAGCATGAGGGGAAGAGCGGGGAGAAAGGATAAAGCTCTGCACAGAATTCAGGCAAGAGCCAGATATATATGGTCCAGCTGCCATTTCCACATGGAAAATATAATCTTCACAGCCACCTTTGAAGTATCTGAGTTGTATTCTATTTAGGAAGGTGGTCATTTCCTTGCAACATCATTCTAGGGAAGAGCATAGATGGGAATATGTGTAGGGGCCTGTGTGTCAAAAACTCAAATAACCTCTTGTAAGTGTGGCTCAAGACAAGGCTCATGCATATAACTGCAACACCAGTGAGTGTCTTCTTCAGCTGTTCCAGATGCTCTGGGAGAAGGTTCTCACGGGCAGGAACAAAAAGAAAAGCATAATAATTTTCTCAAATAGCTTAGTATTTCCTAGGCTTTGGGAACTAAGTGGTACAAGAAACTAAGAGGCACACCAAAAAGAGGCAACAGAGGAGCAAAGGTTAGTGACCTAGAAATAGATACATGAGGCTGAGACAAGACTCAGACTGTGACGATAAAAACAAAACCTGTGAGGGGAGACCCCACAGCCAGAGTAGTGTTTATCAAAAAACTCGGTTGGGCACATCCACTTCTCTTGACAAGGGAACTGTCAGAGGCCAGTGGTTAAGGAAGTGACACAGCAAAGGCCACTATAACAAGATCAGGATTCTACCCTTTGCTCCTTAGTCAGAAATCCATAATAGGCAAACACAAACACATTAGGGCTTGGAGGCTGGGGGCTCAAGGTGAGTCCTGTGCTATGCAATGAATCTCGAGCCTCAGGGTCCCAGGAGACGGGGGTGAGCAGCCCTGAGCAGGTGCACTGGAAATACGGGCCATGTGGTCCAATAAATGAAACAGTGGAGAATGGGGAGGATGGGCTATTTGAGAACACCAGCAATATAAAGAACAACAGCAATATCAAGGACCAAATCTGGGTCCTTGGTGTTGCTGGAGAGGAGATGTTCAAAGGCTGCCATTATGAACATATTAGGAGATTTTTGATGGACTTGACTCTAACAAAGAGTTTCTCTGAGAGGGAGGAGCAACAGTGTCATCTGGTTTTATGCATCCAGTGAGCTCTGATGAAGGAGGACATGGGAGATAAGCAGTGTGCAATTTGCAGGGAGCATGGATCTTTCTGGGCAGAAAATCCTGCCAATAGAAGTTAAATCAACTCTGGACTCTCACTTTCCATGCATTTGCTCGACTATATTCAGGTTAAATTGGAGGGAAAAAAAATTCCAAAGGGAAAGCAGTAAAAACACAGGTTTAAAAAAAATTAATGTAGTGAACAAGTCAGGTTTTTAATACTAATGAGCATTGTTTGATGTCTGTATGTCTGAGCAAAAGCATATTTGAAAAAATTTTGGAAACTATTATGGGCTCATACTGAATATTTAATAATCAAATACAATAGCATAGTTAGCATTCAAATACACTATTGTAAATTGGAAACATATATTAATACAATAAAATTTTGCCATTTACTAGCTGTAACAGTGAGATGGTGAACTGAATGAGTAGAAAGAAAATTTACTTTCCATTTTGTACTCTTCATGCTACTTAAGTATTTTGAACAGCATGCTTATGTAATTAAAATGTTAGTCAAACAACGCTATTATAGTCTAGGCTAGTCCTAGAAATAATGAACAATTGAGAACATTTCTATTTGGAAGCATCATTCTCTTGACTCTCTTTCCTCTAGATCTTACATCCCCCATCAAAACCTTTATCCTTCATATTAGAATGTAAGTACTGATAAGAGTTTGCATAATGAAATTTTTATTCATTAATAATTAAAGCCTTAAGCTAAAATAATTCAAAACAGACCTTGGGGCCAGCTGCAGTGGCTCATGCCTGTAATCCCAGCATTTTGGGAGGCTGAGGCAGGAGGATTGCTTGAACCCAGGAGTTTGAGACCAGCTTGGGCAACATAGGGAGATAATGTGTCTACAAAAATATTTTTAAAAATTAGCTGGGCATAGTGGTGCTCTCCTGTAGTCCCAGCTACTCTGGAGGCTGAGGTGGGAGTACTGTTTGAGCCCAGGAGGTTGAGGCTGCAGTGAGCTGTGATCATGTCACTGCACTCCAGGCTAGGTGACAGAGTGAGACCCTGTCTCAAAGCAAAACAAAACAAACAGAACAGACCTTGAGACTTGCCCTGTCTTTTGCAGAAAAACTACAGATGTAATAACAGAAGCAATCCTTTCCCAATCTCCTGTAGCTCTCAAAACCCTCAACTGTACACACAACCTCTTAATATCTTTCATAACTAGATTCCTGAAAAGAAGAATTTTTTTTCTTTTTCAAAACTGAGCATAATCAGGCTCATGGTACTTTCATTGTTAAAGCCCCTTGGTTGTGATCTAGGGGAATATGTCAGAAGCTGAAGGTGTAGAAACTGAACTGAATGAGTTGCATAGAAATAATGAGCCTGGGGTCAGAGTTGGTGCTACCCAGGGAACAGCCAGACTACTTTCATGGTCAGCCTCCAGCAATGAATGAGGTCTTGTTACCCAGTGGTGTCTGGGGAACTGTCTCACTCTGGAGAGTTCACTGAGGTGGTGGGATATGGTGAATGTTTAATAATAAGTTCTGTGAAAGAAAAAAGGAGAGGGGTGGGAGAGGGGTGGGAGAGGGAGGGAGGGAAGGAAAGGAAAGGAAAAGAAGGAAGGAAAGGAAGGAAGGAAGAAAGGAAGAAAGGAGGGGAATTCTGATTTGTAGTGTTTCCCAATTGTTATGGCCAATTTCAGCCTCCCAAGCTGACATCAGGTCGTTGAACCTGGAGTGGGGAAGAGATGTACACCATTGGCTCTCCCTAGCCAGGACAAATCAACTAACTCTAGCACACCACTACACTTGAAGTACGCTACTTGAAAATTTGTTTTAACAACATGATTGTGTAATTAAAATGTTAGTTATTCAGCTTTCAGGTACCTGCTGAGAAGCTCACCAGTTTAACTTGGCAACACTATTTTCTTTAAGTGAGTTACAGGCTTCTGTGGGCCATGAGAAATGATGCTTTTTGTAAATCTCCTGCTCCACGGTGAAAAGCCAAGATCTGCTGCCTAATGAGGTATTATTTTTGGAGGCAAGCAAGCAAGCTCTGACCATTGGGTTATTATTTGCAATATTGCTCTGGAAACCCATTACCAAAGGAGCAATAGGTATATGGAAAGGAAAAGAAATTACTTTGGCTCAGAGCTAACAGTGTAACAGCGACATCGAACTAGAGGAAACGGGGTCTGGGATCCTGTGCATCAATTGGTAGGTAATGAGAGCCTGAACTCCTAAAGGAGAAACCCACAGTAGAGCCCTGCATTAGCATATGCCAATTTATATCAGGCTCTAATGTAGGCAGAGAGGCTTCTAAATGAATAATTGCTGAGGGGGCAATGGTGGGAGTCATCTTTCGAAGAGTTGTTTTATTTTTTTCTCTGGCCACTGCAAATATGAGCTTAATAATCCTTTCAGTGGGTACTGTGTTATCATAAAATAATCTAAATGCTACTAAATGGTATTTAAAATGATTTCCAGACACTGGCAGACTTGACTGAATGGCAATTCGCTGCTAATGCATCTCTAGTACAGCATGTGAGAAGCACGGTAATGAGGCCACATTGTTGGGATCGAAATCCTTCACCATGGTTATTTTTGCTTCCAACTTTGACCCCCAGCCAGTTTGTGGCATTCTGCCTCACCTCTCACTTATTTCCACCTTTTTTCAGGTCCCTGTTCAGACCTGGGCTATGGCATGAAAAGCATGGTGTCCACTGTTTCGTATCCATTTGCTCATTTGGTCAGTTGTAAGGTGCAGCGCAACTGCTGGGAAGGTGGAACTGGAGATGCAGGCAGTCCTCCCTGGAGCCCCAAAGAGCAAGTAGCTAGGCTGAGAGGCTAAAAAGAATGAAAGGTATTGGCAATGCACTTTTGTTCATCATGTCTCTCCCCTGAGTATATGTACTCCAATCACACAAGGTACAGTGGAAGTTGAGGTGGAAACAAAAGTTTCAGAAGCTCTGAATTCCTCATTGAATCATGTGCTGCCTGAGTGAGACATACAAGGAGATATGCTTAATGACCCCGGCACTGTAGTATGACACTGAATGGTTTATCAGCACCCTGGAAATCAGGGCATTCATGCCAAGAAAAGGCACATTGCCTGTGTGTTTCTCTATTGAGACACAGAATAATTCAGAGAGGAGAGAGACACTGTTTATATTAAAAATGCTTTATTTGGGTAGCTTTTTTGAAAGGAAGATAATGGAGTGCTTCCAGGTCTTAATTTTTGTTGTTGTTTGTTTTTCTTTTTCCTGTGGTAAATTGCACATAATATAAAATTCTTGTTTTTAGAAATAATTTGAAATCAATTCCAAGCTACAATCTCTGCCTCTCTTGCTCCCCCACCATGGGGAATAGAGGTGGGAAGCACAGAGCATCTTCCACTTTCCTTTCCAGATTACAGCAAAATGTCAAGAAGTGGTAAAGGAGGGCTGGAGGCACAAGAACATTTACATCTCACGCTGCTGACAGGCAGCCAGCTGGTGATGGTGCCTCAGAGCAGCCATGCAGAGAGAAAACCACCTCAGAGCATGGGAGGCTGGTGGGATCACAGGCCACCATGCTCCTGGCAAGGATGCGATGAGAATAGTGGATTTGGAGAACAGCAAATCCGCCACCTTGAATATCACTGACAGAACTCTGCAAATAGACATTGAATAAACTTGGAGAAGAGGGTCATGTGGATCCTTCCAAAACACTTTCTCCATGTGATTTTCCTGAAGAGGAATTAGCCAAAGAAGATAAGGACCTGGATCTCCCACACAACTGAGACAATGCACAGGCATACAAAATTGGGGTTAATAAGGGTGAGTTATCCCAAAAAAATACGGTAGCCTGCTCAGACAAGCACTCTGGTTGAGGGTATCAAGTTTGTATTCTTAATTCCTGGAATGTTGTCAATTAATGTCAAGTAATCACCAAATAAAATCTGAGTCAACTGGAACAGAGACTTAAGCTACCTCATGCTATAGACAAATTTATTTGGCATAAGATTGATGGAGCGCATGAAATTCACTCACCTCATCAAGCCAGGATTTCAAAAGTCAAAATATTTTTCAGGTTAGAGTGAGAATCCCCTGAAAGGTGATGAGGGATGGCTGGAATTAACCCAGTAGTACATATCAGGGCTGAGGGAACAAAGCTACAATACAATCCATCTGAGGAGGAAATTTTCCCTTAGGTTAGGGAAATAACATTAATTAGAATATTTATGTTGGGTTTAGGTTATAAATTCAGGCATAGAAATTTCTCTTTCCATCCCCACCCAATGATATCTGAGGAATATGAAAAATATAGGCCAGTAATGATTAAAATTGTGGATGTCATCTGTTGAGGTCCTCTCAAACCCTGTGACAGTGACACTGGGAACAATTCATTTGGAAGAGAATTAGGTAACACATGCCCTTTGACCTACAGGTTCCATTTCTTTTATTATTATTATTATTATACTTTAAATTTTAGGGTACACGTGCACAACGTGCAGGTTTGTTACATATGTATACATGTGCCATGCTGGTGTGCTGCACCCATTAACTCATCATTTAACCTTAGGTATATCTCCTAATGTTGTCCCTCCCCCCCTCCCCCCACCCCTCAACAAGCCCCAGTGTCTGATTTTCCCCTTCCTGTGCCCAAGTGTTCTCATTGTTCAATTCCCACCTATGAGTGAGAACATGCGGTGTTTGGTTTTTTGTCTTTGTGATAGTTTGCTGAGAATGATGGTTTCCAGCTTCATCCATGTCCCTACAAAGGACATGAACTCATCATTTTTTATGGCTGCATAGTATTCCATCGTGTATATGTGCCACATTTTCTTAATCCAGTCTATCATTGTTGGACATTTGGGTTGGTTCCAAGTCTTTGCTATTGTGAATAGTGCCGCAATAAACATACGTGTGCATGTGTCTTTATAGCAGCATGATTTATAATCCTTTGGGTTTATGCCCAGTAATGGGATGGCTGGGTCAAATGGTATTTCCAGTTCTAGATCCCTGAGGAATCGCCACACTGACTTCCACAATGGTTGAACTAGTTTACAGTCCCACCAACATTGTAAAAGTGTTCCTATTTCTCCATATCCTCTCCAGCAGCTGTTGTTTCCTGACTTTTTAATGATTGCCATTCTAACTGGTGTGAGATGTTATCTCATTGTGGTTTTGATTTGCATTTCTCTGATGGCCAGTGATGGTGAGCATTTTTTCATGTGTCTTTTGGCTGCATAAATGTCTTCTTTTGAGAAGTGTCTGTTCATATCCTTCGCCCACTTTTTGATGGGGTTGTTTGTTTTTTTCTTGTAAATTTGTTTGAGTTCATTGTAGATTCTGGATATTAGCCCTTTGTCAGATGAGTAGTTTGCAAAAATTTTCTCCCATTCTGTAGATTGCCTGTTCACTCTGATGGTAGTTTCTTTTGCTGTGCAGAAGCTCTTTTGTTTAATGAGATCCCATTTGTCAATTTTGGCTTTTGTTGCCATTGCTTTTGGTGTTTTAGACAAGAAGTCCTTGCCCATGCCTATGTCCTGAATGGTATTGCCTAGGTTTTCTTCTAGGGTTTTTATGGTTTTAGGTCTAACATGTAAGTCTTTAATCCATCTTGAATTAATTTTTGTATAAGGTGTAAGGAAGGGATCCAGTTTCAGCTTTCTACATATGGCTAGCCAGTTTTCCCAGCACCATTTATTAAATAAGGAATCCTTTCCCCATTTCTTCTTTTTGTCAGGTTTGTCAAAGATCAGATAGTTGCAGATATGCGGCATTATTTCTGAGCACTCTGTTCTGTTCCATTGGTCTATATCTCTGTTTTGGTAACAGTACCATGCTGTTTTTGTTACTGTAGCCTTGTAGTATAGTTTGAAGTCAGGTAGCCTGATGCCTCCAGCTTTGTTCTTTTGGCTTAGGATTGACTTGGCAATGCAGGCTTATTTTTGGTTCCATATGAATTTTAAAGTAGTTTTTTCCAATTCTGTGAAGAAAGTCATTGGTAGCTTGATGGGGATGGCATTGAATCTATAAATTACCTTGGGCAGTATGGCCATTTTCACAATATTGATTCTTCCTACCCATGAGCATGGAACGTTTTTCCATTTGTTTATATCCTCTTTTATTTCATTGAGCAGTGGTTTGTAATTCTCCTTGAAGAGGTCCTTCATGTCCCTTGTAAGTTGTGTTCCTAGGTATTTTATTCTCTTTGTCCCTGTTTGCAGATGACATGATTGTATATCTAGAAAACCCCATCGTCTCAGCCCAAAATCTCCTTAAGCTGATAGGCAACTTCAGCCAAGTCTCAGGATACAAAATCAATGTGCAAAAATCACAAGCATTCTTATACACCACTAACAGACAAACAGAGAGCCAAATCATGAGTGAACTCCCATTCACAGTTGCTACAGGTTCCATTTCTGAGAATTTATCCCACAGACATACTGTGCTTGCCAAGTACATGAAGATATATGTATACTGCTGTCATTGTTCCATTATTCAAAACTGCAAAATAACAGAAACAAACTAAATGTCCTGTTCCAGGGAGGAGTTAATATTTTTGTGGCCAATGTGCAGTATGTCCATGACATCTTAAATGGAAAAAATAAGTGGGAAAACAAAATAGTATTTCATTTGCATTAAACAAAAGGAAAAGCAAGGCATATGTATGTTTATATTTGCACAGAAAATTGCAAGAAAAGTAATGCAAAAAACTGTGTATGTTTACATTCAGAGAGGTAGTTGCATGGCTGTGCAACTTTAACAAGAGTATTTTTTCCTAGGGGTGTCATAACAAATTACCATAAATTTTGTGGCTTAAAGCAACATAACTTTATTTTCTCAGAGTTCTGAAGGCCGGAAGTCCAAAACCAAAGTATTAGCAGGGCTCTCATCCCTCCTTGCCTCTTCCAGCTTCTGGTGGCTGCATAACTCCAACCTCTGCTGCTGTGTCTGTGTTTTCCCTTCTTCTGGCTGCTGTAAGGACAATTATCATTGGATTTAGGGCCCACCTGGATAATCAGGATGATCTTATCTCAAGGTTCTTAATTATATCTGCAAAGACTCTTTTTCTAAGTAGGTCACATTCACATGTTCTAGGGGTTAGCATACGAACATTTCTTTTAGAGGTCACCATTCAATCCACTACAAAAAGTTACTAGTGTTCTAAGACATGAATATTCCAGGAAGTATAATTATACAAAGCTTATTAGAAAGCACATACAATTCTTCATTTCTATTTATCTATGTCCCTTTTTCTTCCTAAGTATTGATTGAGGGCTGCCATAGGGAATGCTTTTTGATGAGGATTGGGATAGGGAGGCATTCTTTTGGAGGAAAGATTCTTTAGGTTACGGCAACCTGGAGAGGGGGCTCTGAAAGGTCAGAGCTAAACTGGAAGGCATAAGAAAGAGGATGGTTGCCCAGCTTAGAGCTGAAGGAGTAGCCAGAAGGGAGATGGAGGTGGGTGGAATGGTTCTGGAAGCAGCTTCTCCACAGTCATGGCCTGCCTGGGTGGGATTGTTGTGGCTTTCACACAGCTACAGTTATTGAAGCCTATTTCTGGTTTGTGGAAGGGTGGAAGGGAGACAAGATAAACCTGACCATCTTGTTCTTGTACTGCTCACAGTTCACTTCAGTCAGTGGGGAGATGGTCAAAAGCCCCAGAAACCTATGCTGACCACTGAATCAGGCTCTGAAGTGGGTAGGGCAGTCTCAGCTGATGCTGCCATTCTAGTTAACTTCTCTGGCACCTGCTCTGGTTGGGGGTTGGGGAGTGGGGGTGGGGAAGTGGGGAGGCTGGAAGAATTGGGCAGTCCTTTAATAGCAACAGAAACAAGCTCATGAGGAGGTTCTGCTCAGAGTTGCTCCCACTTCCTACAGCAACTATGGAGTGCACAGTCTGGCACTGAAGCCTCTCAGGGAATTCTCTGCGTTGGTGCTCTTCCAAGAAAAAGGGGCAGCCTATAGGTTAATCAAGCATTTTTTTCTCAAGTGCTACTGAAAGACCAAGTGTAAACCAGTACCAGAAAGTATCCCCCAACCCCATCCCAGAGCTGTGCCAGCCCTGTGCCCACCCTGTGCCCCTCCTCACCAGCATCTGCACATTCCCTACATATTCTCTTTAGTGGAGCCTAACCTCTAGTTCTAATATAGTTCTAATTTAGTTTGCATCTATGATATATTTTCCTGTCACTTGGGAAGGGATGTTTTACAGATAAAATGGGTAGAAAAGTCACCCTATTTTTTTTCACTATCGCGGGTTATCTGAGAAGAAATAAGCAATCAAAAAACCAGAAAGGATTACCAGGGATGACTTGGGAATCAGAGTTGTCAAGCTTGCAACTATCACATGCTCTTGGGAGCTTTCTCAAGTAAATAGAGGTTTCTTCTTCTAAATTCTTAAGGTGCAAAGAATGATTAACTCCTTGGTATTAATTCTGGTCAAGTTTAGTATGAGACCCTAGAGGCACTTCTGAGTTTCTCCCCATCTAATAGCTCCCCAGAAAGCTGGGGGCAGCCAGTAGCAGCAGGTGCTCATCTGAAAGCTGGTCTTCTCTTGGGACTAAAGAAGGGGCCCCACACTGTAGAGCGCCGACTGTGAGGTAGAACACAACTGCCTCTGGAATTCTAGCTACTTTGTTTTAAAACATTTTTTTTATTTAAGAAATAAATTGTATTATGTATATTTGAGGTTTATGAAGGAATGTTATATATGATACATGTAGATAGTAACATAGTTACTATAGTGAAGCAGATTAACATAGTTATCATCTCACATAGTTACTTTTTGTTTTTTGGCAAGAGCAGCTGAAATCTATTTAACAAAAATCCCTAACACAATACAATTTATTAAGTAGTCTGTGTGTTCTATATTAGATCTCTAGACTCCTTCACCCTACATATCTGCTACTTTGTATCCTCTGACCTACATCTCCCCATTTATTCCTCACCACACGCTCTGCCCCTGATTACCACTTTTTTATTCTCTATTTGAACCTTTTTTTAAAAAGATTTCACATATAAGTGAGATCATGCAATTTTTTTTTCTGTGTCTGGTTTATTTCATTAGCTGAAGGCCTTCCATGTCCATTCATGTTGTGGCAAATGGTAGAACCCCCTTTTTAAGGCTGAATAATATTTCATTATATAATATATATACAAATATATATAAATGTGGTATATATATGATATATATATACACATATGATATGTATATATATATATATATATACATATGATATGTATATATATATCACATTTTCTTATCAGTGTGCCTGTGTCCCCATGTGCATTGCAGCAATATTCACAATAGTCAAGATACGGAAACAATCTAACTACTTTTTTTTGGCACTTTTCTCCATCTGCCCCTTTGTGTCTCCCTATCCCCCAGCCCAGGAACTTGTTCTTCCCTTTAGCTCTCTGTATTCGTTTCCTAGGGCTCCCACAACAAAGTGTCACAAAGCAGTTGGTTTAACATTTATTTTCTCAGTGTTCTGGAGGCTTACATCAAGGTGTCACAAGACCATACTCTTTCTGAATCCCGAAGGAGAGTCTTTCTTGCCTCTTCCCAGCTTCTGGTGTTTACTGGTGCTCCTTGGCATCCCTTGGCTGGCAGTTGCAATTGGCCTCCTTCCATCCCTGCCTCCATTGTCACAGGGGTTCTCCCTTCGTGTGTCTGTCTTCTGTAATCAGAACTTCCTGGCAGTAGGAAAAGCATCACACCAGGAGAGTCAAGAAACTGGGTGCCAATCTCATTCCTATCACATTGAGTAGATGGGTGACTTTTATAAACTAGGTAGCTCTCTCTAGTTTTTTATCATCTAGGAACTAAAAATGATTTCTAATGCTCATCTAACTGTGAAATTCTAGGGAACTTTTTGCTTTGACTCTTTTGCTCAGTCTTGAATTTTTATGTGTCATGTAGCCGGCCCTCTGTATCCATAGGTTCCGCATCTGTGAATCCCACCAAATGCAGCTCAAAAATATTCAGAAAAAAAAAGAATGATTGCATCTGTACGGAAAGCATTCAGACTTTTTTCTTGTTATTATTCCCTAAACAATAGAGTGTAACAACTATTTACATGGCATTTGCATTGTATTAGCTATTATAAGTAATCTAGAGATGATTTAAAGTATACAGGAGGATGTACATAGGTTATATGCAAATACGACACCATTTTATATCAGGGACTTGAGTATCCATGAATTTTGGTATTTGAGAGAGGTCCTGGAACCAATTCCTCATGGATGCCGAGGGATGACTGTATTAATTTTACAACAATTTCTCTTAAAATGGGTGGCAGGTGGTGGTAGAAAGTAGGCCATTTTTTTCCAGCAGTGTTTACTAGTAAAGGGGAATATTTGGGGATGCAGTAGTGCAAGTGTATCCCCCCCTGATTGTTCAAGCAAGCCATGGGAGAATGCTAACAAACAGAGATCCTGGGGAGTGTAAAATTTAAAAGCAGAAGGGAGTGAACCCACACCTACAAGCCATCTGATCTCCTACTCATAGCCTATAAAAAGGGTGAAGGAGGGAAGTGTGAGGTGTGAATTGTAGTCCACATTGCCCCTTTGGGTCACCCTACAGTCTAACAATGTTGGGCTTGATTGGCCATCCACAAGTTAGGGGTGATGTAAAAGCCTAATGCTTAAAATTACAGTCTTTGGAGTCCAGTGACACAGATTCACATTTGAACTTTGCTGCTAACTAGCTTAGGAATATGACTTTGCAAGGTTATCCAGTTATTCTAAGCCTCCATTTTCTCATCTGTAAAATGGAGGTAATAATCCTATCAGAGATTTGTCCCAAGGATTAGATAAAATATGTAAAGCACTCAACATGGTGTTAGGCACATACTAATTGCTCACTGGCTGACAGTTTTATCATTATTCCTGTTCCCAATTTCATTTCTACTTTGCTGTTAACAGTTAATATGAGTTATTTCCAGGCTGTTAAAAAGCAATAAAAGTAGTAATGCCAAAGTAGTGACATGAAAAAATATTACATAAAAAAGATACTGAATTTCATTTGGATTTAGTTCAACAGAAAATCAGAATTTTAGAGCTGAATGGAGCTTATACATTTCCATTATTTCTTACATGCAGAAACCAAGGTTCAGAGTAACTTGACAAAAATCCCATAACATATTAGAGGCAGAGTTAGGACTACAAGCCATAGCCCCTGTAGCTCATATCCTAGAGTTTTGTCTGTTGCAGTAGGAAACCTGATTTCCAAGAGAAGGCAAATGATAATAGAAAAATAGAAGCATTATTTATAATTTAGAATGTTAGAAAATATTCTAATATTCTAATCTTACTAGATCCTTGACAGCACTATAGGGGCAGCATATTAAATAGCAGCTTGATCTATATTGACCTGTGTCTTCTACCGGAAAGAGACCTGAATAAAGCAACTACAAAATAAAAGCTGTTCCCCTCCCCCTCACCCCCTTCCCGTCCCTCCCTCCCTCCCTCCCTCACTCCCTTCTTTCCTTCCTTCCTTCCTTCCTTCCTTCCTTCCTTCCTTCCTTCCTTCCTGCCTTCTTCTCTTCCTATTATTTCCATGAGGCTACTGGGCATGACCTAATAAGAACTGCCAAATTATAGCTGCAAAATGGTTGCCAGCAATACCATTAATTGTCCTAAATGAAACAGATAATAAATTGTTGGACTCCATGGTTAAGTGGCAAGGATGTGAGCCTTATAAACAGTATGTGTGCATTGAGCAATGATGCCATGTCAATTTCTTAGGCACACACACAAAGCAATGAGAACAGAGTATTAGTGCTTAATTGATAATGTTAGAAAATGAAAGCTTCCCTGGAGGTGTGAAGGAAAAACGCTATCATTTGTGAGGACTCATACCACAGTCTCCTGCTGGAAATTATTGGCATTAATGGCGTATAAATCAGAATTCTAATACAGAGGTTATAATGTGTTTTCTGAGAAGCAAATACTGATTATATGATGGAACAGTGGGTAGAGCTTCAAATGAGAATTCTTGAGACCTGGATTTTGATGCCAGGCTTCTACTGTCTTGCTTTTTTCATAATTCTGGGTAGCTCAGTTTCTCAACTTGTTTTTCTCTAAGATTCCTAATCTTCAGAACAATAATTTTCTCCACAAGGATATGTGTGTGTATATATACATACATATATATATATATATATATATCTCCCCACAAGGATATATATATATGTGTGTATATATATATATACACGCACATATACACACACAAATATACACACATATATGAAGTTTGTATTAGTATTATGCACATATACATACACAATGTATACATATATGCATATAGAAAAATAATTTTCTCCATTAGATTTTCTGCAAACTCTAGAAGGATGAGAATTTTAGTTTAAGATCCTAAGACTTTATGGAAAAAATGGAAATGGTGAATGAGTTTTAACGAGTCCTGTGGAAGTTAAATATACACATATTAATATCTCTGAAAACATTAAAATGGTACATTACATATAATAAATGACATTTTAGGCAAAATGTCAAAACTTAGGCAAAACTCTAAGATATGGTCCCCTATATTTCCACCCCCTGATGTACACACCCAGTATAATTCCCTCCCCTTAAGTGTTGGTGGGATCTATGAATAGAATGGGATATCTGTGATTAGGTTATGTTATATGGCAAAGGTGAAAAGATTTTGAAGATGAAATTATGGTCCCAAACCAGTTGACTTTTGAATTAATTAAAAGAGACATTATTCTGAGTGGGTCTGACTTAATCAGATGAGCCCTTTAAACAGATCATCTAGAGGTCAAAGATAAAGAAGCCAGAGACCCTCTCCCCAAAACACCATAACTTCTACAGCTTGAAGAAGATGCAATCTGCTAATAAGTATGGCTTAAAAGAGAATCCTAAGCCACAGATGATACTCCAGCCCCAGACAACAGCTTGATCACAGCTTGGTGAGACCTGAACAGCAGACCCTGCTAACTTGTGCCTGAATTCCTGACCTACAAAAACGGAGATAATACATATGTATTGTTTTCAGTCATAGCATTTGTGATCATTTGTAATACAACCATAGTAAAATTAAATAGTATCTTAATCTAGTGAGTGGGGCTGTGTGTGATGTCTCTGTGTTACCTTCCCGTAACCTCTATAACAAATCAGCACAAACTTAGTGGCTTAAAACAAAACATGTTTATTCTCTTACAGTTCTGGAGGTCTGAAGTCCAAAATCAGATTCAGCGGGTTAAGGTTAATGTATTAGCGGGTCTGCTTCCTTCTGAAGGCTGTGAGGGGAGAATCTGTTTCCTTGCCTTCTTCAGCTTCTTGTATTCCTTGGCTTATGGCTCCTTTCTCTATCTTCAAAGGGTGGGACTCTACTCTCTACTTATATCATTACATTACCCTCTCCTCTGACTCTGACTCCTCCTGCATCTCTCTTAAAAAGATCATTGCGATTACATCATGCCAACTAGATAATCTAGGATAATCTTCCCATCTCAAGATATCTGACTTAATCATATCTGCAAAGTCTCTTTTGATATGTGATATTATGATTATATGTTATATACAGATCACAATATATTATATAGATCGCTATATAACCATATACATATATATGGTTTTGTCCATAGTTCCTAGATAAGAACTCCCATAACAGGGAGTTACAGTCTTTTATTATAATCCTCGGGTACTTTAGGCCTCAGAAGCAGGCTTCAGGAAACAAAATCTGTCTGACCTTCTCTTGTCCTCCTTTCACCCACTCAAGGCAAGACTCTAATCTGCTTGTGGGTCATAAGACCCTCATTGCACAGAGGGTCCTGCCCCATACTCTGGAGGAAGGAATGTTGCACAGAGAGACCAAGAAGGATCTAAACAGATAGGCGTTGCTGGGTTTACATCATACACTTCTTGTCCAATCACATTTTGACACCATTATCCATGCTTCAATCATAGATAACCTATGAAGTCTCCATGAAAGGCTTAAAGGACAGGGTTTGGGAAGCTTCCAGAGAGCTTAGCACGTGGAGGCTGGCAGAAAGGTAAAGAACAACTCATCCACCTGCCAGGAGGGTGGCACACCCTAAGCCCACAAGGACAGAAGTTCCTGTGCTTGGGACCCTTCCAGACCTTGCCGTCTGTATCTCTTCATCTGCTTGTTTATTTGTATGCTTTTAAATATCCTTCATGATAAATCAGTCAGCCAAAGTAAGTGTTTCCTTGAGTTCTGTGAGCCGCTCCAGCAAATTAAACCCAAAGAGGAGGTTGTAGGAACCCCAACTTGAAGACTATTGGTCAGAAGTTCTGGAGGCCCAGACTTGCGACTGCAGCAGACACCAGCTGCGTGTCCACAGTTCAGTTCTGAAACTGTCTATCCAGAGATAGTGTTGGATTCCACAGGTTGGGGGCTTGGTTCCACAAGACCACCCAGTTTTCCCCTCTAGTCGTCTTCTGTGTTGATAATTGTTCTGGTGGTATGAGCAGAGGAAAAACATGGTTTGAGAGAGTTTTTCCTGAAACACCATATAATGTAACATTTATAAATTCTGAGGATTAGAACATGGACACATTTTGGGGGGCATTATTCATCCTACCACAGTCACCCTCAAGTCTTCAAAGAGGCACATCCATTGCACATGCAAAATACATTTCCTCCATCCCGAGCTCAAAGTCTCACCATTGCACTGTTGTTTTGATCATGAGACAATTCTTTGAGAGAAGAGTAAGGCATTGTTCATGGTAGTAATGATGGAAATGAATGGAAACCCTGAATCCCCTACCTCTTCTAATGAATGGAACTCCAATATCTCAGTTCTGTCTGCTCAAGGCTTTGGCAGACTTGCTGGCTCCATTATTCCATCCCACACTGTTATAAAAAAAACTACCTGAGACTGGGTAATTTATAAAGAAAAGAAGCTTAACTGGCCCACAGTTCTGAAGGCTGTGCAGGAAGCATAGCAGCTTCTGCTTCTAGAGTGGCCTCAGGAAGCTTCCAATCATGGTGGAAGGCAAGGAGGGAGTGAGATACTTCACATGGCCAAAGAGGAAGAAGAGAGAGAATGGGGAGGTGTTACACACTTTTAAATAACATCTCACAAGAACTCACTATCACAACAACAGCATCAAGGAGGATGGTGTTAAACTATAATAAACCACCTCTATAACCCAATCACCTCCCACCGGGCCCCACCTCCAACACCGGGGATTACAGTTTGACATGAGATTTGGGCAGGAACATAGATCCAAACCATATCACTGGCCATGACAAATATTTGTACAGACACCCTGGGAGTATTCTCTCTACCTTTTCTTAGAAAGCATAAGGTTTGGGCTAATCAATCTTGTTCTGAAGGTCTATTTGTAAATCCTTAGAGGGTTTTTGAGCATTAATCCTACCTTGTTCTGAGGGTCTATTCTTAGGTTATCCTAATGATCTTGCATAAAGTACAATCTTTAAGTAGCAGGCCTTTATAAACTGATTTTCATGAAAGACTTTGCCTCTGCTGTTATTCTGTGCAAAGTCCTAGATGCTTTAGCAGTTAGCAGGAATGCTGTGCTGTGCCAAAGCACACCGCCTTTCTAACCTGAATATGCTGCCTGCGGTTTCTTTGGTTCATTTACAAACTCAATCGTATGAACAATGATGGCTCCCTGAAAATATAATCAAAACAACCTGTTTATGAGACAAAGCTGAGCTTATTTTTACAATGATAAGAGTAATAAATGGTGATAAAGCAAATACTTGTACAATTGCCAGCCACTACCTTGACAGAATCTTAGTGCATCTCAGAAGACAGAGAGCAAAATCGAGACATTTATTGAGTTTTAGAGTCCTGTTTAAGGCAGGTTTTTCAGTGTGGAGGCTTGATTAGGATTGGGTAACAATCATAGTAAGTTAGGAATTGTACACCCAGCAAGGCAGATTTAGAGCCAAGAGGTTCAAAGAATCTCGGAGACTAAGAAGTTGTTTCAATTGTTTGATGCCATTGATTAAAGAGTTGGACAATTTAATGTTCATTTAAAGGGCTTTTAAAGGAAGTTTCTGAAATAAATAATAAATAATAAAAATAAGTCAAAGATTTTCCTGGAATAATAAAGTCATACTGATGAAGACGGTGGCATAATAAGGTCATGTTAATGTAGACAGTAAGTTGTGTAGATACAGATGGTTTTGGTTTTTAAAACAAATATTTTCTGAACACATACTAGGAAGTGGTGGAAATACAGTGGTGAATAGAAGGGACATGAATGATACTGAGAGTCCACTGAGGAGACAGATAAGTAAATAATCATTTATAAGAAAACTTTGGTTACATAAAATAATATGGATGAATCTTACAAATATAATGTTGAGTAAAAAGCAGGAGCAAAATAATGCGAACAGCATAGTGCCGTTTCTATAAAATGTAAAAAGAAGATCATAAGGCAACTGAACTGTATTACTTACAGATGTATACATAGGTGACGAAAATAAAAGAAACTAATTATTACCATAGATATCAGGATAGTGGCTACCTTCGGAGGGAAAGAGAATTGTGATCTTTAAAGGATGCCTGGATGGTTTTGGGGTGCCAGCAATGTTCTGTTTGTTGACCTGCATTGTAATTATACAAGTATTTGCTTTAGGACAATTTGTTAAACTGTACATATAAGTTTATACACTTTCTGTTTGCATGTTTATAGTTTATAATAAAAATATTTTTTAAATAGCCAATTATATATGGTATTATCTTATAAGTGCTGTCACGGGAAGATTACTGAAAGACCAATTGATACTAAAGCAGTACTTTATGGAAAATTTAAATCAATATAGGAGGCGAAAATTTACATTTGATAAAAATGTCTTAAAAGCTAATAAAACGATGTAATTCTGTGCATATGAAAGCATCCCTTACTAAGTTCAGCAAAGTGTGTAGAGTTGAATTTACATAATTTTAATGTAATGTTTTCAATCAAACATTTTGGTGGTTGCTTGGATAAGGGAGAAGAAAAAGTCAAGGATAACAGGCTTATCAAAGTAAACGTATGTTGGGATCATTGCTGGAGTAGGAAAAACAAGAGTAGTTTTGGGAGGTGAAAAGAGGATGAGTATAGTTTGGAACATTTTGAGTTTCTTGCACTCTTGGGATATCCAATGGAGATGTCTAATCAGCTGTTATATTTGTAGGTTTGATGCATCAGTGAAAGCTGTGAACTGGAAATAAAGAACTAGGAGTCATCAGAATAAACATGAAAAATTGAAACCAGAAAAATGAGTAGGGCCATGAGAAGATGAACAGGCTGACAGCAGGATCAGTTCATTTTCAAAACTTGTCCATATTAGTATGAGAAAGAGCATGGCCATTGCTACCTCCTTTCAGCCCTAATTTGGGCAGACAGTTGAAACAAATCCCCTATATTTTAGGGTCATGACACTTCCACGGAGACATCATCCAGCACCCCCAAGCAAGAGCAACTCCCAGGGAATACCACTGAATCACTTTATTTCCAATTTATGGCAATATAAGCATCCCCAAAACATTTATTGAGAGACTTAGCTTGAATGTTACCAGTTGTTCAGGAGGCAAGAGTTTTAGAGTTTTGTTTAAGGCGGGGTTTTCAGTGTGGAGGCTTGATTAGGATTGGGTAACAATCATAATATGTTAGGATCTGTGAACCCAACAAGGCAGATTTAGAGCCAAGAGGTTCAAAGAGGTACAATAATTGGGTGAAAATTGTAGTCAGAATGGCTATTATTAAAAAGTCAAGAAGGCTAGGTGCGGTGGCTCACACCTGTAATTCCGGCACTTTGGGAGGCCAAGGCAGGTGGATTACGAGGTCAGGAGTTCACAACCAGCCTGGCCAAGATGGTGAAACCCCGTCTCTACTAAAAATACAGAAAATTATCCAGGCGTGGTGTTGGGCGCCTGTAATCCCAGCTACTCAGGAGATGGAGGCAGATAATTGCTTGAACCCAGGAGGCGGAGGCTGCAGTGAGCCAAGATTGCACCACTGCACTCCAGCCTGGGTGACAGAGCGAGACTCCGTCTCCAAAAAAAAAAAAAAAAAAAAAAAGAGTCAAAAAATAACAGATGTTGGTGAGGTTGCAGAGAAAAAGGAATGCTTATGCACTGTTGGTGGGAATGTAAATTAGTTCAGCCACTGTGGAAAGCAGTTTGAAAATTTCTCAAAGAATTTAGAGCCACCATTTGACCCAGAAATCCCATTACTGGGTATATACCCAAAGGAAAATAGATAGTTACACCAAACAGACACATATGCTGATATATTCATTGCCACACTATTCACAATAGCAAAGACATGGAATCAACCTAGGTGCCCATCAGTGGTGGATTGGATAAAGAAAATGTGGTACATATACACTGTGGAGTTCTACGCAGCCATAAAAAGGAATGTAATGATGTCCTTTGCAGCAACATGGATAAAGCTGGAGGCCATAAACCTGACCGAATTAATGCAGGAACAGAAAACAAAATACTGCATGTTCTCACTTACAAGTGGGAGCTAAACATTGAGTACACCTGGACACAAACATGGGAACAATAGATACTGTGGACTACTAGATGGGAGAAGGAGAGAGAGTGTGAGTAGAAAACCTACCTATTGGGTACTGTGCTCCTTACCTGGGAGCATACCCATGTAAGAAACCTGCACATGTACACCCTGTATCTAAAATAAAAGTTGAAAAAAATTTAAAAATCAGACATAGAATTAAAATAACACAGGAGGATATGGTCACCACAGAATATGAAGACCAAGTCTTCTTATCGTCCTAAGGGCCTTACTTTATTTTAGCCCCATCCTGTCACTAGTGTTTGATGCAAGCATCCTGGGACATCATGAAGAGTTCAAATTATGTTTAAAATATCATGTAATAGTTCTCTGAAACCCTTTTTTGGAAGTTTAATGGAATGCATTATAACTAAGTAAACACTGTTTAAGAAGGCAAAGAAATGAATAATATATTTGACAAAGATTTTAAAACCTGTTAAAATCTAAAATAACATCTGTTTAATAAAAAGAAACCTTTGATATATAAAAAATACCATCTAGAACAAATTGTTTCCTGAGACTTCAAAACTGTAAACATTTTCCTGTTATCACTTTTATTATTGATATGTTTCAGGTGAGTGTGTTAAATGGGTTGGAATTATGTGAATGATTTCCTTAATGTCTTCTTTTCCTTGCATGTGGGGACCTAGATCACTCCAAACAATTAGCCTTTGAGGTCAATTCAACAGAAACAAGTCATTACCTGTTGCTTTTAATAAGAGTTTAACAAGCTTTTAGAAATCTGGGGACTCAGAAACAGTGCTTAAGTCATTTTGCTGAGGGGAGGTAGTGAGTGAGTGTGGGCTATTTTTATTTCCAAAACTATATTTCTTTACAAAGGATTCACTCCTAGTAGCCCTTTTTAAGCTGGGCAACTTCCCTGAACTAAAATACCATTTAATTAATACCCATGTTCCATAAATTTTTTATGCTTCCATTGTGCAAAGAAAGATAAATATGTCATAAAGCTGGGCTGTGCAGATGGACAGAATTCTCTTAAAGTAGGTCCTTAAAAAGTGGAATATGGATATAGACACAGAGTGAGACAGTCAAGTGTCAAAAGAAATCTGTCGGCTTTTTAGCAGTTGAATAATTCAGAAGATGTGCATTAAGCCAACTTCTTAATTTCCCGTTTCCCCCCTTTCTAATTCTTTCCTTTTCATCCTGTGATCTTTCTTCTCTCTCCCTCAAAGCTATTTGTTGCAGAGATGCCCTGGAAAGCAGGTGGTCTTCCTTATATGACAGCATCTGCTGCTCAGAATGAGAGCCTGAAGATCTAAAGGCAAAGGAAATGAAACCGCAGTGCTATAAATGCCTTTTTAAAAATAGCCTTGTTTTTTATTATTTTTTGTTGAATCAACTGGAACATTTTTATTGTTCACAATAAAGCAAATTGTCTAAAGGCAATGATCCTCCTCCCTTTATATTTCTGATACTAGGGTTTGTTTTATTCCCAGTCATTTACTGGATCAGGTTTCTTCCCTAAGATCTTACAAATGATGTGGGTGGCTGCAAACCCTCTGAAGGTTTTCTAAAGCCATTTGTTAATAATATCCTCTCAGCATTGACTCCAGCCTTTATAGTTGTGATTGTTAGTGAAGCTTCAAGGGCACAGTGGTGTGTTTTTATCCTTCCAGCCCTTGGGGAGAAAAGAATTCCCGGGAGGACTTTTGGCTGGCTTATTATCATCCAGAAACAAGAAATCAGAAAGCCTAAGCTAAAAGGCTGAACATGTTTTTAAACTATCTAAACATGATTGGACAGTGTGGCATATGTAATAAAAAGGAACAGGGGTTCAGGGTTCATATGGACCTGAATTTAAATCCCATATCTGCTACTTACCAAATGTGTAACACTGGTCACTTAAGATTTTAAGCCTTAGATTCTTACCTGTATATAGGTATAATGTATAATATTAGCTATTTTACAGGCAAAAAAGATTTTTGAACCCCAGTTTCTTGTAGGTATAACAATGTAGGTTATAACAATGCCCATGTCACAGTGTTGCTGGAAGTATTAAATAAAAGTACCTAATAGTGCTTGTCATGTGGGCCCTTGAGAAACGTTAGCTTCCTGTGAGGGTCACCTCCCCTTTCTCTCTCCATTCCTCTGTCCAGTCCACATCAAAATCCACAGGCATTTACAGGATATTGGGACTGGCATTTTTACTCTGTCCTCTGCCTTTTATGGGGAAAGTCTGGATGAGATGGGAACCTGTCCCAGCCTGTTGTGCTGTTGCAGTGAACTTTGATTCACAAGTGAGACCCTTTGTCTTGTCTGGGAGACTGCTGGAAGCAGGGTCTATCTCAGACCCCACTCTTACGCAGAGAGGAAGTGGGGCCACTCGGTTTGGCAGAAGACATTTCCTCTTTGAACCCCTGCCCAATCTGTCCTTTTCTGGTTTTCCCCAGAGCTATGAAATGTGATAGTGAGCTGTAGGATTCGTTGTTTTAGGACCATGAAACAAATGTTTGGGGTTTGAGAATACAAACACATGTCTCCAGCAGCTCATCGGTTGGATACCAGTTCTGGAATCACACAGATTGCCAGTAATGAAGGTTGTTTGCTCACATTTTGTTCTCACTACTCACTTTCACCTGCCTGTCCCTCCTCTTCTCCTCTAGGCTGGTATCACTTCCCTGCCCCAGGGTGACTGGCAGGCACATCAACTGTCATTCCAGTGGGATTCTCACACTGGGCTCTTTGGATGCATTGAACAGTTCCATGAAACATGTCTTCATGGATTCATATGCATATTGTATGCCTTTTATTCTCTTTAATCTCCTGGCTCTTCCTGATTTCTGCTTTCAGCTTCAGCGGTGGGTGCTTGAGATGTCAGTTGGCCAAGAAAGGTAGCCCCCATCTAAATACCTAATGCAGTAAAGGACAATTATCAAATCCATCAGTTGTGATCCTGTTTACATTTCCAATGGGAAAGTCAGAGAAATAACTGATTTGAAGAGCATAATTAAGTGCTACAATAAAAGTAAGCACAGTAGCCTGTGTAAATAACAACCTCATCTAAATTTTTTTCTTGGCTTTTTTTTCCCTTAAAAATTTAAACAAAAAATGTACAGCTTTATTGGGCAATAATTTATTTACCGTAAATTATAATTCAATAATTTTAAGTAAATTTATAAAGATGTGCAAACCCCAAGCACAATCTGATTTTAGAACATTTCCATTTTAGAACTTTTCCCTGAGTTCCTCACAAATCTGTTTGCAATGAATACCCACTCACACACTCCCAGCCCCAGCAACCATTGATCTACTCTCTGTCTTTATAAATATGCATTTTTGTGCATTTCCTATAAATGGAATCATACAGTATGTATCCTTGTGGATCTCACTTTTTTTTCGTTTACCATATTTTTGAGGTCCATCCATATTTTAACATGTATCAGTGTTTGCATTCCTTTCAATTGCTGACAAATATTCCACTATATGGATATACCACATTTATTCATTTATCAGATTGTTAGACACTTGGGTTATTTCTAGTTTGGGGCTATTATGGTAATGCTGCTATGAATACTTATGTTCAAATCTTTGTGCATATGTTTTTATTTCTCAGGTAGATTCTTAAGAGTAGAATGGCTGGGTTATTTGGTAAGTTTACGTGTAACTTTTTAAGAAACTGCTAAGCTGTTTTGGGTAGTGGATGTACCATTTTACATTTCCACAAGTAATTGATAAGGATACCATTTTTTCACATACCATTTTAGTTGATATGCATTGGTAACTCCCTGTAGTTTTAGTTTCCTTAATAACTAATGATGTCAAGCACTTTTAAATGTGCTTGTTAGCCATTCACATGTTATTTTGCTCATTTTCTAATTGGGTTGTGTTTCTACTATTGAGCTTTATGAGTTATTTTTATATTCTAGATACAAGTCTTTTATTTTTATTTTTTTATTATTATACTTTAAGTTTTAGGGTACATGTGCACAATGTGCAGGTTAGTTACATATGTATACATGTGCCATGCTGATGCGCTGCACCCACTAACTCGTCATCTTGGATTAGGTATATCTCCCAATGCCATCCCTCCCCCCTCCCCCCACCCCACAACAGTCCCCAGAGTGTGATGTTCCCCTTCCTGTGTCCATGTGTTCTCATTGTTCAATTCCCACCTATGAGTGACAATATGCAGTGTTTGGTTTTTTGTTCTTGCAATAGTTTACTGAGAATGATGATTTCCGATTTCATCCACGTCCCTACAAAGGACATGAACTCATCATTTTTGATGGCTGCCTAGTATTCCATGGTGTATATGTGCCACATTTTCTTAATCCAGTCTATCATTGTTGGACATTTGGGTGGGTTCCAAGTCTTTGCTATCGTGAATAGTGCCACAATAAACATACGTGTGCATGTGTCTTTATAGCAGCATGATTTATAGTCCTTTGGGTATATACCCAGTAATGGGATGGCTGTGTCAAATGGTATTTCTAGTTCTAGATCCCTGAGGAATCGCCACACTGACTTCCACAATGGTTGAACTAGTTTACAGTCCCACCAACAGTGTAAAAGTGTTCCTATTTCTCCATATCCTCTCCAGCAGCTGTTGTTTCCTGACTTTTTAATGATCGTCATTCTAACTGGTGTGAGATGGTATCTCATTGTGGTTTTGATTTGCATTTCTCTGATGGCCAGTGATGGTGAGCATATTTTCATGTGTTTTTTGGCTGCATAAATGTCTTCTTTTGAGAAGTGTCTGTTCATGTCCTTCACCCACTTTTTGATGGGGTTGTTTGCTTTTTTCTTGTAAATTTGTTTGAGTTCATTGTAGATTCTGGATATTAGCCCTTTGTCAGATGAGTAGGTTGTGAAAATTTTCTCCCATTTTGTAGGTTGCCTGTTCACTCTGATGGTAGTTTCTTTTGCTGTGCAGAAGCTCTTTAGTTTAATGAGATCCCATTTGTCAATTTTGGCTTTTGTTGCCATTGCTTTTGGTGTTTTAGACAAGAAGTCCTTGCCCATGCCTATGTCCTGAATGGTAATGCCTAGGTTTTCTTCTAGGGTTTTTATGGTTTTAGGTCTAACGTTTAAGTCTTTAATCCATCTTGAATTGATTTTTGTATAAGGTGTAAGGAAGGAATCCAGTTTCAGCTTTCTCCATATGGCTAGCCAGTTTTCCCAGCACCATTTATTAATAGGGAATCCTTTCCCCATTGCTTGTTTTTCTCAGGTTTGTCAAAGATCAGATAGTTGTAGATACGCGGCATTATTTCTGAGGGCTCTGTTCTGTTCCATTTATCTATATCTCTGTTTTGGTACCTTTACCATGCTGTTTTGGTTACTAAGTCTTTTATTTTTATTTATTGTTTCGAGAGAAGGTCTTTCTCTGTCACGCAGGCTAAGGTGCAGTGGCACAATCATAGCTCACTGCTACCTTGGACTTTTGGGCTCAAGTGATCCTCCCACTTCAGCTCCCATATTAGCTAAGACTACAGGCATGTGCCACCACGCCTGGGTATTTTCTTTTTCTTTTTGGAGAGATGCTGTGTTTCCCAGGCTGGTGTTGAACTCCTGGCCTCAAGCAATCCTCCTGCCTTAGCCTCCCAAAGCACTGGGATTACAGGTGTGAGCCAGCATGCTCAGGCTAGATACAAGGCTTTTATCAGATATATGATTTGCAAATATTTTCATCCACTCCGTGGGTTGCCCTTTCATTTCCTTAATGGTGTCTTCTGAAGCACTCTTAATTTTTGTAAAGTCCCGTTTACCAGGTATTTTTTTTTTAATGGCTTGTGCTTTGGTTTTAACCTAAGAACTCCTTGACTAACCAAAGGCCGTACAAATCTTCTCCTGTATTTTCTTCCAAATGTTTTATACTTTTAATTCTTGCATTGATATTGATGATCCATTTTGAATTAAAGTTTGTATGTGGTGCTAGCACAACCATCTATTGAAAAGACTATCCTTTCCTCATTGAATTGTCTTGGCACTTTTGTTAAAAATCAATTGACTGGCTGAGTGCAGTGGGTCATGCCTGTAATCCTAGCACTTTGGGAGGCTGAGGCAGGTGGATCATTTGAGGTCAGGAGCTCAAGACCAGCCTGGCCAAAATGGTGAAACCCCATCTCTACTAAAAATACAAAAATTAGCTGGGCATGGTGGCACATGCCTGTAATTCCAGCTACTTGGGAGGCTGAGGCAGGACAATCACTTGAACCAAGGAGGCGGAGGTTGTGGTGAGCCAAGATCATGCACCACTGCCTTCCAGCCTGGGCAACAGAGTGAGACTCTGTCTCAAAAAAAAAAAAAATCAGTTGACCATAAACATAAGACATATTTCTAGACTTCTGTTCCACTGATCCATATAGGTCTATCTTTATATGAATACCACACTGTCTTGATACTGTAGCTTTATAGTAAGTATACTTTGTTTTTCTTCAAAATTGCTTTATTTTAGGTCTTTTGCATTGCCATTTAAATATTAAAATTATCTTGTCAATTTTTATAATCCTTGAATTTTATAATCCATAAACATGGAATGTCTTTCCATTTATGGATGTATTTTTAAATTACTTTCAGCAACGCCTTGTAGTTTTCAGTATACAAATCCTGAGTTTCTTTTGTTACATTTACAGTTAAGTATCTTACTCTGTTTCATTTTTGTAAATGAAATTATTTTTTTTAATTTACTTTCTGGTTATTTGCTATAAGTTTATAGAAATACAATTAAGTTTTGCATATTGATCTTGCAACTTGTGACCTTACTAAAATCGTTATAGTAGCTCCACATTGTGTGTGTGTGTTCCCTAAGAATTTCTACATATCACCTGCAAATATAGTTTTACTTCTTTCTTTCTAATATGGTTGTATTTAATTTCTTAGGCGCACAGTTTTCTTTCACAATTAAGTATGTTAGCCAAAAATTTTTCATGGACACCCTTTAACAAGTTGGAAAAGTTCCCTTCTATTCCTGGTTTGTTGAGAGATTTTCATCATGAATCAGTGTTGGGTTTTGTTGAATGTTTTTTCTGCCTCTACTAGATGGCCATTTGGGTTTTGTCTTTTACTACTTTACAACGGTGTATAAAAGTAATTGACTTTCATATATTAAGACAATCTTACATTCCTAGGGCAAATCCCACTTGGTGTTAATAATAATCCTTTTTATATGTTTCTGAATTTGGTTTGCTAATATTTTAAGGATTTTTGCATCTATGTTTATGAGGAATATTGAACTATAGTTTTCCTGTGATATCTCTGTCTGACTTTGGTATGAGGAATAAAGCTGGCTTTTTGGAATGGGTTAGAAAATGTTCCGTTCTCTTCTATTTTTTGGGAGAGTTTGAAAAGGATTGATGTTTTTCTTCTTTAAATGTTTGGTAAAATTCACCAGCAAAGCCATCTGGTCCTGAGCTCTTTTTTGTTAAGTGGATTTTTTTTTATTACTAATTCAGTTTCTGTACTTGTCATAAGTGTTCTGATTTTGTATTTCTTCAAGAGCAAATTTTAATTATTTGTATGTTTTCAGGAATTTGTCCATTTCATCTAGGTTATCCAACTTGTTCATTTACAGTTGTTCATAGTGTTCTCTTATAGTCCTTTTTATTTCTGTAAGGTCAGTAATCATGTCTCCATCTTTATTTCTGCTTTTAGTGATTTGCATCTTCTCTCCCTTTTTTCTTCTTGAACTTACCTAATCGTGTGGCAAACTTGTTAATCTTTTCAAACAACCAACTTTTGGTTTCGTTGATTTTCTCTATTGTTTTTCTCGTCTCCATTTCACTTATCTCTGCTCTAATTTTCATTCTTTCCTTCCCTCTGCTAGCTTTGGTTTTAGTTTGAACTTCTTCTAGTTCTTTAAGGTGTAAAATAGGGTTCTCAATTTGCGAGAGATCTTTCTTCTTTTTAATATAGGCATTTACAGCTTGTTATAAATTTAACTCTGAGCACTGTGTTTACTGCATCTCCTAAGTTTTGGTATGCTATGTTTTCATTTTCATTCATCTCAAAGTATTTTCTAATTGCCTTGTGATTTATTTTCTGCCCAGTTTAAAGAGTATGTTGTTTAATTTCTACATATTTGTGGATTTTCCAGTTTTCCTTATGTTATTGATTTCTAATTGTTTTATTCCATTATGGTTGGAAAAGATATTTTGTAAGATTTCAATCTTTTAAAATTTATGGAGACTTGTTTTATGGTTTAGTATATGGTCCATCCTGGAAAATATTCCATGTAGACATGAGAAGAATGTACATTCTGCTGTTGTTAAATGGAGTTTTCTATGTATGTCTGTTAAGTCTAGCTGGTTTATACTGTTATTCAAGTTATCTCTATCCTTGCTGATCTTCTCTCTAAATGTTCTCTTGTTTCCCTCTTATGAGGACCCTTGTGAATACACTCGCCAAGCTGGATAATCCAGGATAATCTTCTCATCTTGGAATTCTTAATCACATCTGTAAAGTCCCTTTTTACCTTTTAAGGGAAGATATTTACAAATTCCAGGGATTAGGAAGTGGACATCTTTAGGATGCCATTATTCAGCCTCTCATATTAACTATATAGTCTTGCCTTAAATACTTATCTACAGTCAATGCACTCACTAACTGCACAGTAGGACAGGATTAACTCAGAAATAGGGAGAAGAGTGTGCAACTACAACAGCATGGGGGCAAAACACAGTATCAAAGTAGCATTTTGAAGCATTCCAAAACTGAATGATGGATGTTATTCTATCGGAATAAAAGGGGGACTCAACTTACAAGACAATGGAAATCAGGGTGGAAAACTGTACACACATACGTATGCATGTATGCATGTGTATGTGTTTTGTTAGAGACAGGGTTTCACCCTGTTGCCCAGAAGAGAGTATAGTGACTCAATCGTAGTTCACTGCAGCCTTGAACTCCTGGGTCAAGTGATCTTCCAAAGTGCTAAGATTACAGACGTGAGTCTCTACATGCAGCCTGTATTTGATATATTTGTTGTATTTAATGCGTCTTGGCAAGAGGTTTTACATGGGGGAGTCATTGTTACTTATGCTCCACTGTAGAAAAAATCTGAGTCTTTCCCAAATATTTGTGTGTGTGTGTGTGTGTGTGTGTGTGTATGAAGGGCATGGGTTTGTATCAGAAGCATACTTTGAGCCTCCAGATATAAGTTTTATGATATAGTTTTCATTCCCAATAGTAATAGTTATGGGTTTATTCCTCTGTGTGTCACACAAAATATGCTTCACAGTAGGGAGATTTTATAAATTAGGGTTATGTTTTCCACTGGGGTCTTTGTAATGAATTTTTAAAAATTTGTTGGTTCATCTTTATTTGTGTGACTTACATTATGTCTAGCTTGAAAGACCTTGATCTGACTTCTATTCAATTAAGTTTTATGTTTTTGTACTCCACAGCCAAACCATAACTATAAACCTACAAGAAAAGTTATGGCTGAAAGAAAGAACATCACAACATGTTAACTGCCCTCTTTCCATCATTTAGAAATCTCTAGTTGTGAGCCAGGAAGTTTCTGACCAGTGAGTTCAATGTTAAATGTTGACACTCCTTTGTTAGGCTTTATTTTAAAGTTTTTTGTTTGTTTGTTTGTTTGTTTACCAAAGAAAGGGCTTCTGAAGGATGACCACAAAATCCAATGGAAAATAACATGGGAATAGTTTTGATAGCCTACTGAACTGCAGTCAGATGATGTAGTTTCATATCATGGTTCTGATACTTACAACTTGACCTTGTAAAAGTCAAATATTCTCTATGAGCCTCAGTTTTCTCACCTGTAAAATGAAGATAATATCTACCTCACACAGTTTTAAGTTACTAGAATGTGCTTTGAAAAGTGTAATGTACTAAACAAATGAAATGGATTACTATTACTTACAAGTAGAAGAGGAACCTCTGCATCTTGAATAGTAATAATAGATTGCACATATGTAAATTTTCATTATTAAGAATGAATGTATTTGGTGAGAACAAGTACTCCATCCAACGGCTTGATAGGTTTCAAATATCCCATAGCTCATGAGGCTGATGGGACAAATGTGAACATTTTGTTTCTATTTATCTCCATGTAAGCAAGTGGAGTTTTCTCTCCATTTTTTAGCCACAGCTCCAACTCTGACCAGCCATCTCACAAATAACTGGTGTCTGGTTAGGAAGGACTAGGTAAATATGATAAATCTACCCCTACTACAGGAGAAAGGAGTTGAAGACACAAGCTCCTTTATTGATAGGTCAGAAGTGCGTAGTTTACATCAGTAAAACAAAATACTTGGCCAGGTACATCAAAAGATTAGGGAATGGGTTACTAATATTTAGAAAGAATTATTTAATAACATAATGAGCATCACACGCTCAAATTTAGCTTTTTTAAAAAAAGTGATAGTTATAGGGATAGCATGAGTAGTTCAGAGAGAATTTCACTGAGAATATGAATCTTCTGGCCCAATATTTGTGAATATATAGGTGATGTATGCAAATGCACATGCACACACACACATATACCCACTTGGGGTTCAATCAAGTGAACAAAAAATTACTTGGGATTTAAAAAATTATGTCTGTACTTTCCACTCTGGGTTTGAAATAAAATTAATGCTTTAGGGAGACAGAATTTCTCCCAGTATTACCCAAGAAGAGTTAAGGAAAATATCTCTCTCCAAACAATTTAAAATGATTGAGAGAATGCAATGGTGTAAAGAGAGGGGTTTTTTAAATTTTTATTTTGTGAAAGGAGTTTGTTCATTAGTGTCATTCAAGAGGATGGAGATGCATATATCACTTTCCCTCATGTTACATTGCTGGATTGCAGCCCTGTGGCCACATCTGCCTATCTATTGGTCTTGATGCCATGCAATCAAGCTTCAGAGACCAAAAGGGGGTTGAAGTGGCAGAGATCAGGTCATATGCCCTTGCTTTGGTTGCCAGCAGATGCAATAGTGAAAGGTAAGAATCTGATTTCCACTGAGAGTTATTCAACAGGGAATTCACACAGGTTAGGAAAACTTTTTGATACTGAGGAGCTAAATTAAAATTCTAGTGCTTATTACGTAATTAATTCATTAAGAAAAGCTGTGTACTCAAGATGATCAACACTGTAAGAACTTCAGATTATTAATCCAAACATTTGTTGGTCATTCACAGGATTAGAAATAGAACCTTTTGTGGTAGATTGTATTTTGCAGATGGTCATGATATCTCCCATCCCACATCCTTGTCTAACAATGTGACTTTGATTTCCTCTCCTCAATAGGGGAGTTTCTTTTCACTCCCTTTGAATCTGAAAAATATAGTCATTTATAGATTTTCTTATTTATAATAGTCTTCTATACAGCCATCCACCAATTTATTCATGAATATATACATGTACACACACACAGTGCTCAATTTGCCTTTTGTTTCTTGGGAAAAATGGATACTATCAGCAAATGCCAGGCTCTTTGCTAAATATATAAGCTCATTTAAATCCCACAACTTCTCATGTGATAGGTACTATTACCATTTTACATATGATCTTTTTGAGGCAGATGTCTTCTAGAACATGTTAGGTTCTTATTAGAATTTGTATGGTAAACTTCAATTTCTAAATTTTTAAATACTCCACACATCTTCTATTTCTACCATAGCATAGCTGTATAGTGGAGCGGTAAGAACATGAACTTTGGAGCTGGTATGTCTATTTATTTTTTTATAATTTTTTTATATTTTGGAGACAGAGTCTCACTCTGTCACCCAGGCTGGAGTGCAGTGGTGCCGTCTCGGCTCACTGCATCCTCCGCATCCTGGGTTCAAGCGATTCTCCTGCCTCAGCCTCCCTAAGTAGCTGGGGTTACAGGCTCCCACCACCACACCTGGCTAATATTTGTATTTTTAGTAGAGATTGTTTTTCACCATGTTGCCCAGGGTGGTCTTGAACTCCTGAGCTCAGGCAATCCTCCCTTCTTGGCCTACCAAAGTGCTAGGATTATAGGCATGAACCACCGCGCCTGGCCTGGTATGTCTAAGTTCAAATCCTGATTCTACCCCTTAAAAGTGTGTGACCATGTGCAAATCACTTAATCTTACTGTGGCTCAGTTTTCTCATCTAAAAGTTACAGATAATAGCTACTGAAGAGTTGTTATGAAATTTACACCCCCTACTAAACAGTTGTCATGAAAATTATACTTACTTAATATTTATAAGATGATTTGGACAGTGCCTGTCAAGTAGTTAAGCACTATATTTATGATTGCTAGATAAAATGTTTAAAATAAAACATAATTTCTCCCTTATATCATGTATTTTTCTTCAATTTTGCCTAAATTTTAATTTTGTGAATTACCTAATGAAAAATTTTGCAGAAGTAAAGACTTTTTTTGTGCTCCCATGAGAGCACTAGATCTGTAGCTATTTATTTAACTGGTTCATTCTGGGATGGTAAAAGTCTTGACGCAGCAAGGGGATGTGTAGGTGGATGGAAGGGAGCTTTATGAGCACTCGAGCCTGTCTGAATGCTCATAACTATACATTCCTGCCCCTCAAATATCTCCTTTTTTTGCTTGTCATATTCACTACTGATAGAATTATATTGTCTTTAGCAGAATGCTTCAAAATGTGGTGCAGGTAAACAGAATGACACTAATTCACCAAAGTAGTTAAAGGAAAACTATTTAAAGGATTATGTCATCACTTGTTTTTTATGATTGAGAGCATCATTACTAAGTTAATGCAATTATGAAGGTGGAGGAGGCAACATTAATCAGAGTGGCTGACTGTTGTATCTACTGGGTATCTATTTACTTATGTAATTTAACACTTCATACTAATTCCTCACCATGTTAGAGTTGTATTAGTCTTGGCCACATATTTTGTGCAGTGCAATTGGAGATTTCAATGCATTCACACAGCTTTACCCTATTAGGAGGTGGCTTTGCTCTCTCAAGGCCTCTTCTAAACTGAGGGATCTAAGCTATGAGAATGCAAAGGCATAAGAATTATATAATGGACTTTGAAAACTCAGGAGGGAAGCATGGGAGGGGGGTGAGGTATAAAAAACTACACTTTGGGTACCAGTGTATGCTGCTTGGGCGATGGGTGCACCAAAATCTCAGAAATCACCACTAAATGACCAGGTGCAGTGGCTCACGCCTGTAATTCCAGCACTTTGGGAGACCAAGGCAGGTGGATCACTTGAGGTCGGGAGTTTGAGACCAGCCTGGCCAACATGGTGAAACCCTGTCTCTACTAAAAATACAAAAATTAGCTAGGTGTGGTGGCGGGTGCCTGCAATCCCAGCTACTTGGGAGGCTGAGACAGGAGAATCACTTGAACCCAGGAGGCAGAGGTTGCAGTGAGCCAAGATCACACCACTGCATTCCAGCCTGGGTGACAGAGTGAGACTCCATCTCAAAAATAAAAGCATAAAAAATAAAAGAAAAGAAAAGAAAAAGAAAAAAGAAAAGAAAACTAGAAATCACCATTAAAGAACTTTTCCATGCAACTAAACACCACCTGTTTCCCCAAGACTATTGAAATTAAAATTAAAATTAAATAAAGACCCCTATCAAACTGACACAGACTAAGAGCAGCAACAGGCTCAGACTCTGGGGATTCCATTCAGGACAATGGATAAAAGTCAAGTAGAGGAAAGCATTAAGCTGCTCATGCACATGCAGTGCCAGATGGACCTAAACATTGATACAATGGGGAATTGGAAAGCAGCTAATGTGGCTGTAGAAAACGCAGGAGTGTCTTGGTATGTTTGGGCAGCCATTACAAAATACCATACACGGGGTGGCTTCTAAGTGACAGAAATTTATTTCTCATATTTCTAGAGGCTGGAAAGTCCAAGATCTAGGCCCTGGCAGATTTGTTATTTGGTGAGGGCCTGCTTCCTGGTTCATAAACAGCCATCTTTTTCCTGTAAACCTCCATAATGGAAGGAGTAAGGGAGGTCTCTGGGGTCTGTTTTATAAGGTCATAATCTCATTCATCAGGGTTCCACCCTCATGACCTAATCATCCCCAAAGACTCCACCTCCAAATACCATCACATTGGGATTTTGGTTTCAACATATGAATTTTCAGGGTTGGGGGAGGACACAAACATTCATGGTAGCAAGGAGAAAAAAGACTAGAAACGAAGATCAGAGCAAGGAAATAAAGTAAAACAGAGAGCATCTTTGTGAAGAGAGTGAAAAGAAAGGCAAACAAAAGGGAGGAAAATGCAAAATGGACAAAAAGTTACCCTCTCCTCAAAGCTTGTTTTATGCCCCTCTATTGTGGCACTTTCCCAATGTGTTGGAAATCTCTGGTTATATAGCCCTCCAAGGAGGTAGCACAGGCAAGGCAGAGTAGTGGTCAACAGATAATTATTTATAGGATGGCTGGATGAAGCAGAAGGATAAATAGGGATTTAGAATAACGAAGGAAAACTTAGAAGCAAGCAGAGGAAAGTGAAGTTGACGAGAAATCAACAAACACATCATTACTAACTAGAATATTAGAGACAAGATGGCTGTCAAATTAGGAAAACCTCTCTTCCCTGATTTGTCATATCTCAGTCAGTTTCAAATATTTTATATTCAATGAAACCCAAATACTGAGTTCCTGCTTTTAAAAAAGTGGAGATAGAGAGGATGAAATCCATATGTTTCTGATTCATTTACAGAAAACTCATTGAAATTCAGTTTAACATAGGGCGATTGGATGTCATATATGCCAGTGCGCACATAGTAATTATTTTAAGCTGTTTTTGATGCCCCAGGAAGTCTCTAAGAATAAACAACATCAAGTCCTAAAGGCCTAACAGTGCAGTCTGAAAGAAAAAAACACAAATATCTGAATAAGAGTCTACATTTCCAAATTTAACAGTCTGCTGTGAAGAATCCAAGGATATCTTATGATGCCCAGGATCCCAGGAAACAGCAGTCAGGGCATGACAATTGGAGAATAGGTAGAGTCCTCACCAGCAATGTCGTGAGGAAATGGAAATAAAATGAAATGAAGCAAAATCCAAATGGAGGAGAGAATGAGGCTCTATCTGAAAATAACTGAAGATGGATTGAAGCAAGAAAAAGAAAACCCATGGAAAAAACGGGAACAGAAGAAGATCAAGGAGTTAGAGACAAATTGAACCTTCAAAGAATACAGTTTTACAACTACAGTGTTAATTTGGTGCAATTGTTCCTTATTTCAGTGCCTCATTGTATTCTATACACTGGTTCAGTTACAGCCAGTGCAGAGACACACTGATCATAACGCCAAAGGAGAAGATGACAGAGAATGTCTTTGCCACCTAGTAGCTTCCATCTTAGTTGGGGGAGAAAGGCCATGAACTCATAGAAGGGGAGTTGGGATTCTGGTTTCAGCAAGTGCAAACATGACAATGCTGTTTACTGAGATGAGAGAAGAGTGGTTATGTTAAGTTTGAGATGGCTGAGCTATATCCAAGTGGAAATGTTAATGAAGCAATTAAATATATAAATTTGGGCATCATCAACATATCTAATCAGCAATATTGAAACCATGAGGGTAGTTGAATGTTCTGAATAATAATAGCTAATACATATTGAATGTTTCACTGTTCCGGGAACTATTTTAAGCACTTGATATGGATTATCTCATTAATGCTTACAGTGTCCTGCGAGCTAGAAACAATTATTATCCAGAGTTTACATATGAGAAAACGGGGGATTAAAGGATTCTTCTCAGTAAGACTAAACCAGCCCAGAGAAAAGACCATTGACAGTGACATTAGGGGTCCTTGTAAACAATGAAAGCCCTGCCTCCTATACTTGGAGCTTGAAACCAGCTCTCTAGTGTTCGAGTCCTAAAAATTAACAGCTCACCAAGGAGCACCATACATTTCAGAAAATCTTTGAAATGATATACACAGACCAAGACAGGCAAATGGAAGGTTGGGCTGGGAGCAAGCACCAAAAAAAAAAAAAAAAAAAAAAGAGAAAGAAAAAACCTCACAGAAACACAGTAACAAAGATAGAGAATGCCTTTGTCTTAATTTATGGCTCACTATGTGGTAATTTTTAGTAAATTTCAATGTATGCTTGACTAGAATATACTCATATTGCAGTTCTTGGCAGTACTGTTCTCTGTATGTCCATGATATGAAGTTTGCTAATCATGTTGTTGACATCTTATCTATCCATGCTGATATTTTTGTCTGTTCTATCAAATACTGAGATATATAAAATGTCCCAGTTTCATGATTATTATCTGTTTCTTCTTGTACTTCTGTCAATTTTCCTTTATATATTCTAAAGATTTTATGTTAGGTCTACCAAAAGTTAGTCTGAATAAATATTTAATATGATTTAAAGCATTATAATTATGAAGTGACCCTCTTTGTTTTCAGTAAACGTTTTGCTTGATATTAATATTGTTATTATTTTGATTAGCGTTAGCATGGTATATCTTTTCCTACTCTTTTATATTTAAATGATACCCTGTTTTCATTGTGTTACTTGTTAACAAAATATTGTTGAATCTTGTGTTTTTATCTAGTCTGACAATCTTTGTCTTTTAGCTGGTACGTTTAGTTCACTTAATATAATTAGTGATATATTTGGGCTTAGATCTACCATCTCACTATGTACCTTCTAATGTTTCCTCTTTTACGTATTTTTTCTTTTATTCCCTTATTTTGATTATTTAACTTTTTTTCTAGTTTTCTTCTGTTAATTTGGAAGTCATACACCCTTTAATTATTTTTTAGTTCAGGTTGTTCTCTGCCTTTTTCCAATCGTGACATCATTACAACAGGCAGTAAAACACAAACCAATTGATTAGGCTACAGCTTTATATTAGTTGCATCACTGATTGTGTGTTGTTAGTGAAAATTTTAAGTCAGGCCCAACATTATGTAAAACCAGACTCCAATATTTGCTTATTGTACTATGCTGGGTAATGTATTCACGTCATTGAGTTTCTTCACCTATCAAATAGAGTTGATACATCTTTATAACCTTGAACCCTGTAATAAACTTATGGAGTTGATGTGAGGATAAAGTCATATGATGTTCAAAAAGCATTAAACACTGATTCTCACATATAATAAGCATGAGGTCTCTATTCCTCTGTCTTTTCTAACCTCCACCATATTGAAAGACATCATAGATTCTTAGAGTCAAGTAGACTTGGAAAGTTAAATTGTCTTGCTAATGGATGGCTTTATTTATTTATTTGAGGCACAGTCTTCCTCTGTCATCCAGGCTAGAGTGCAGTGGTGCGATCTAGGCTCACTGCAACCTCCACCTCCCAGGTTCAAGCGATTCTCATGCTTCAGCCTCCCAGGTAGCTAGGATTACAAGCATGCACCACCATGACCGGCTAAATTTTTTTTTTTTTTTTTTTTTTTTTGTAGAGACGGGGTTTCACCATGTTGGCCAGGCTGGTTGGTTTCATTTATTTTACACTGATTCAATTAGCTTCAAATTCAGAGAGTGACAATTCTGATGTTGAAACCAAGTTATCTCTGTGTGTGTATGTTTGGTGGGGCGGTGGGGAGCAGTTCTTGGCTTGTTGATAACAGATATATTTCATACCATTTTCCTGCTCTGCTCCAGTCCATAGGGTGACTAACACCTGAAAGCTGTATTTCCCTGTGTCCTAGTATCTTGCTAGGTTTAACCAATGTGGCACACCAGCAAGATTATGGGCAGAGGGGAGGAAGAAGTGGGTTGTTTTCCCCTTTTTTCTTCGTATCTGGGCCCATCTTCCTGAGTGGCCATGTCTGTTCCATTGTGCTAACTTCCTCTGTAACAGATGCAGTGCGTTTCTAGCTTCTACCCAGTGATTGCTGCCAAAACTACCTTAATCCCTGTAGTTTATGGGTGACAACAGCTTCCTGATGTTGCTAAACCTTTTGGTTTCCTCTATGTCCCCTCTATGTGATTTCTTAAATATTTTATCATACTTAAGATAAAATTTTTATTTTATCTTAATACTTAACATATTTGTCATCTTTGTTACCAGTCACCTGGATTAAATGTTTTCTTTTGTAAATACTTAGTGTAGCTTTTTCTAGTTTGACCATGACTGAAACAATGTGAGTGATTAGTTGTGTGTGAGTGTGTCAGTGTTCGTATTTAGAGGTGAATTAAAGTAGGGTGTCACCTACTATAGTGACTGTGGCTTCCTATCCACATCCAAAAATGGTAACTAAACTATTTAGTTTAGTATACTATTTAGTAAACTATTTAGTTTAGCTAGCTAGATACTCCAAGAAAAAAAAAGTTCATTGGAGTCACGCAATAACTTAATGCGCTCACTCAGTGGAGTGTTACACTATGAATTATATGGACATTTTCATAGGTGTTCAAACATAGAGTCATTGATGGATCGATGTGATGGTTCTGGTACAATAACCATTACAAAATAGAAAAGAATCCCCTTCCTGTTTGGGCTACTTCCTCATTCTCTGAGAGAAAATAGAGTTTGCTGCCCATCTTAATATCTTGTCTGTTGCTAGATAAGCCAAGGCAAGCCCTTTCCATATATAGTTGCTCTTTAATGATACTTGTCCTCTAAAGTCACCCAACACTTTGGATTGCTGATAAAACGAGTTGATGGGTGCAGCACACCAACATGGCACATGTATACATATGTAACAAACCTGCACGTTGTGCACATGTATCCTAAAACTTAATAATAATAAAAAATAAAAATAAATAAAAAATACATAAATAAATAAAAAGGAAAAAAAGCGGAAAGAAGAAAAAAAATACTAATAGTTAAAAATAGGATGGGGGTGGGGAAAGGCCTGGATCTAAATTTTTCTGGGAAGATTTTTAAACTTTGGTTTTGCTACTTATAAAATCTTTTCACACTGGAAATATTGAGATTTTTTTTTTTAATGTACTAAAAGGAATTACTTGATGGAATTCCATTTTTCCCTCTTAGGACTGCTGAATGAATCGGTATTTCCCCACCCAGCTGAAGGTATACTTTTATTTTATTTGTCTCAGTGCCGGTTTCAGATTTTCACTTCCCTGTTTTGAATGTTGACTCCTTTAATTACTTTGTTATACATTTGCCAAGAAGAATATTTTTCAGACTAGCTTTGTGAGCCTGTAAAACATGAAGCAGTTTTTCTAAATAATATCCCATTTGACACATCATTGGCTTGGGCTGATTTCTTTCAGTCTAGACCAATGTAGAAAAGTGTTTTCGCCAATGTAGAAATATCCTAGTAATAGATTTGATCACATACATATGTTCTACTGTGCTTCAGGTGGCTAAAGGTCAAATGCCAATAATATTGCCTTCTCATTTGACTTATCAAGCAAATTATGTATATTGAAAAGAGATAAACTAGGAGTGCTACAAAATGTTTTAATGTCAACAACTATTTACTAAATACCTACTATGTGCTAGGCAGTGTGCTAAGCATTACAGAGATGTAACAGTGACACTCATAGTACTAAGGGGACTGTATTTAAACAAGTTGTTTAAAACACTTAGCATTGTTCCTGGCATGTAGTAATGCTCAATAAGTGGTAGCTGTTATTAACAATCTGGTGTCTTGCATCCCAATCCTGGGTTTTCCCTGCTGTAAAGAATCAAGATAGGATAGGATATGTGTATATGCCATGTGATCCTGACCATGCTTCTATTGGCTTCCCATATTAACTTCAACCTAACTACTAACCTATCTACTTTATCTGCCTACGACTACTATTATCTATCTACTACTAACTGTTATTTATCTATTACAAACAAACCTACCTGCTTTAACCTTCATCCTGCTATGGTCTGAATGTTTGTGTCTCCCCAAAACTCATGTTAAAATCCTAACCCCCAAGGTGATGGTATTAGGAGGTGGGGCTTTGGAGAAGTGATCAGGTCATGAGGGAAGGGCCCTCGTGGTTGGGATTAGTTTCTTTATTGAAGAGACCCCAGAGGGCTAGCTCCCCATTTCCTCTATGTACATTTACAATGAGAAGGCGGCCCTCCATGAGGTAGTGGGCTGTCACCAGACACAGTGAAGATTCAGTGTCTGGTGAGGGCCCACTTCCTCATGGAGGGCCATCTTCCATTGCAGATCTTGGACTTTCCAGCCTTCAGAAACATAAGAAATAAATTTCTTTTGTACAGAAGCCACCCAGTCTTTGGTATTTTGTTATAGCACCCCAAACTGACTAAGATACTGCTTTTCATCCCCTTATCTTAATAATGAAAATAGCTGACATTTAACCTGACTCTGACCTTTGTCAGGTATGGTGTTAAATGGTTTATAAGTATTATCTTATTGAATGTTATGCAGTAGACCCTATAACCCTCCCTTTTTTATTATTAGTAACTGAAGTTTAGAAAGATTGAGCAAACAGTCTGCATAGCTAGAAAGTGGCAGAACTAGAATTTAGGTCCAGGCAACTTGACTCCAAAGCTGGTGTTCTCAAATGCTAGGTCCTGTTGCCCGTTCCCTTGGGCCTTCATGTCAACATCACCTGTTGTAACTAACCTGTTGTAACCTCAGGCTGGACAGATGCTGTTCTGAGTCTCTGGTGCTGATAGGCTATTGCTGAACCCGGCTCCTTCCCAAACTCTAGTGCAAAGAGCTAGATAGTTATATAATTAGGGAAAGGAATAGTAGTCCCGTAAAAATAAGGGATCCCTAAGTGGTCTTCCTGGTTGTTCCATCTGGACACTAGAAAGAAGAATTTAGAAAAGGGAAAAAAAAGAATCCTGGGTCTTATTAGTAAGTAGATAGAAAGAAGCAGTACCTGGAGGATCACTAGGAAGAAAACTGTTTTAAGAGGAGAGAAAAACTTTGCTTAAAAAATTGAAAGGCAATAAGTAATATCAAATAGCTAATGAGATTCTCTGGGGATAAAGGAAGATGAGTAAGGGCCACTGTGAAAAAGTGGGCAGTGTCCCACCACAGAGTAGGTTTCCTTTCCATCTCTGCTTCTTAGGTTGCAAACTGTTTTTCTCTCATTCTGAAGACTATAGAGGTTCACTTGTAACTCTGAGTGTTCACTTTCTCCTTTTACTGCCCCCCGAACACATTGTGCACACTCAAGCTGTAGTAACCAAGTAAATCCTGGATAGCATTCTTAACAGAAAAAAATGTTGTTTTTATCCCAGAGGACATATGGCTTCAAGACAAAGATGAACTCAATTTGCATTTCCTTTGATAACCAATTTTAAGGGCCCATAAAAAAGCCCTTGGCATTGCCAATCTGGAGGAAGGTTGGGCATTGTCTGCCTAAGTGCTTCCTTACTCTGTGAGTTACAGTCACCAGATGCAACAGAGAAACCTTCTGGGTCTGCCTGTCTGCCTGTCCCTTTCTTTTTCTTTCCTTACTTACTTCAGAAGCAATTAGACAGTATGAAGATGGATGCTGACAAGCCTCTGTGTTGAGATATTTGCTGGCCACCCCACACAGTGGGCACTTGTCTTTATTTTGGGCCATTCAGCCTCAGTGCCTTGGCTTCCACAAGCATGTGTGTGTTAGCACCATGAAAGATAACTTACAGATGAAACAAGATGAGGACACCACACTCACCAGAATTCTTCTTCTGAAAGGAGAGCTGTCAGTGTTGGGACTTTTGATATGAGAGCAGCTAGGAGCCTGGCCAGCCTGGGGGTGAGTAGACCTGTTCTTTGTTGCCTGCTAAGGCACAGGTCCTTTGCACTAGTTGTTCTCTCCATATGTGGGGAGTGTGGCTCTAGAACCAGCCTACCAGGTTCAAACCCATCACTCACTGGCTCTTGGGCAAGACACTTGACCGCTCACACCTTGATTTTCTCACCGTATGATTAGGCACACTCATAGTAGTTCCAAACAGGATCATTGTGAGAATGATATAAGCATGCATGGACGGCCAGCAGAACAGTGTGTGGCACATAGTATTAATAACATGTGGCCCAGTGCAGTGGCTCACCCCTGTAATTCCAGCTCTTTGGGAGGCCGAGGCAGGCAGATCACGAGGTCAGGAATTCAAGAGCAGCCTGGCCAACATAGTGAAACCCCGCCTCTACTAAAAACACAAAAAATTAGCCTGGCGTGGTAGCGGGCGCCTGTAATCCTAGCTACTCAGGAGGCTGAGGCAGGAGAGTCGCTTGAACCTGGGAGGCAGAGATTGCAGTAAGCCAAGATTGTGCCACCGCACTCCAGCCCGGGCGACAGTGCGAGACTCTGTCTTGAAAAATAATGATAATAATAATAATAATAAGGTGTTCCTTTTTTGTGTTCTACTTAACCATATTAATTCTCACTCTTCTTTCAAGTCTTAGCTGAAGTATCATTTCCTTAGGGAGACTCCCCACCTAGTAGATCAGCTGCTTTGTACACGCTCTCTGAGAAATCTGTGCTTCTTTTGCAATTCTGTGTTTATTAATGCGATCATTTGGTGAGGTCTGTCTTCCCCACTAGGCTGCAAGCATCCTTTTTACATCGTATACACAGTGCCTGGCACAGGGTCTAGCATATAGTAAGTTCTCAATAAATTTTTGCCAAATGCATAGTATATCTATACGATCCATGTATAGAAATGTTTAAAGCACCTAAATTGATACATTTTATTTAATACAACAAAAATATACTGAGCACTAACTTTATACCAGACACTGTGCTAGAAGCTAGTCAGGCAGCAAGAGAAAAGATGGTTCCTGCTCTCAAATGGTCCCCAGTATTGTTGACAGCCACATACCAGATAAATCTTAACACTTGAAGATGTAACCTGTGTAAGTCATGTGCTCACCCTGTGCTGAGTCACTCTAAAAACAACCAAGTATGAGTGGTTGGGGGTAATTTTTGCTTCACTGAGTATTATGGAAGCTTAATGACTTAGTGATACTGTGTGCATGGTAGCATTAGGGCCTATATACAAAGAAACAAACAAAAAAATAGGATAATCAGAATTCTAACACTGTAGCAGAAAATAACAATTTGCATTTCTTTGGAGCTTTATAGCTCCACATCAGTTTTCTTTTATGATCTGGGTCATTGTATAATTTTTATCCCCAATTGATTAGATGAGATAAAATATGCGTTGTCCCAAGGACCCAGTGAGGACCCAAGCCCAGAATCTTCCACCTAGATATCCTGGTTTCCTTGACCCAGCAAAAGGAATGGAATGAGCGGTAACTCCACAGCCATGAGCACAACCCTGCCTCCCAATGTTAAGTGAAACTAAACATCCTCCCTGCCCTCCCCATGCGTTCATGGTGGTTCGGGGATCCTGTGCTCACAAATACTGCTCTTTTCAGAGCAGAAATGGTAGGTTCTGTCTTTTGTGATTGCAGACCTTTAGGCTTTAAGGCTTAGCATATACAGGAATACCTCAGAGATATTTCAGGTTCAGGTTCCAGACCATCACAATAAAGCAAGTCACCAACATTTTTTGGTTTCGTCGTGCATGTAAAAGTTACGTTTACACTATAGTCTATTAAGTGTGGAATACCATTATGTATAAAAAGTTTGCATTGTGTTTCAAAATATACACAATAAAAAATACTTTACTGCTAAAAAAAAAAGTGCTAGTGATCATCTAAGCCTTCAGTGAGTTATAATCTTTTGCTGGTAGAGGGTCTTGTCTTGACGTTGATGGCTGCTGACCAGGGTAGTGGTTGCTGATGGTTGGGATGGCTCTGGCAATTTCTTAAAATGAGACAACAATGAAATTTGCTGCATTGATTGATTTTTCCTTTTATGAAAGATTTTTTTCTGTAGCATGTGATACTGTTTGATAGCATTTTACCCACAGTAGAAATTCTTTCAAAATCGGTCAGTCCTCTCAAAACCCTGCCACTGCTTTATCAACTAAGTTTATTCTAAATCCTCTTCATCATTTCAACACAGCAACTTCATCAGAAGCATATTGCATCTCAATAAACTACTTTCTTTCCTCCTCCATAAGAAGCAATTCCTTATCTGTTCAAGTTTTGTCATGAGATTGTGGCCATTCGGTGCCATCTTCAGGTTTCACTTCTAATTCAAGTTCTCTTACTATTCCCACCACATCTGCAGTGACTTTCTCACTGAAGTCTTAAACCTCTCAAGGTCATCTATGAGGGCTGGAATCAGCTTCTTCCAAACTCCCATTAATGTTGATGTTTTGATCTCCTGGTATGAATCACAAATGCCCTTAATGGCATCCAGAATAGTGAATCCTTTCCAGAAGCTTTTCAATATACTTTGTCCAGATCCATCAGAGAGAATCACTATCTATGGCAGCTATCACCTTACAAAATGTACTTTCTAAATAATGAGACTTGAAAGTCAAAATTACTGCTTGACACATGGGCTGCAGAATGGGTGTTGTGTTAGCAGGCAAGAAAACAACATTCATCACTCTGTATATCTCCATATAGGTAATAAGTTTGTTTCACTTTCTTTTCGTTCTTTTGCTCACTGGAGTAGCACTTTTAATTTCCTTCAAGAACATTTCCTTTACATTTATACCTTTGCTAACTGGTGCAAGAGCCCTAGCTTTTGGCGTGTCTCAGCTTTCGACATGCCTTCCTCACTAAGCTTAATCATTTGTGGCTTTTGAATTAAAGTGAAAGGTGTGTGACTCTTTCTTTCACCTGAACACCTACAGGCCATTGTAGGGTTATTAATTGGTCCAATTTCCATATCGTGTCTAGGAAATAGGGAGACCCAAGGAGAAGGAGAGAAATGGGGAAAAGCCAGTCATTGGAGCCATTAAAATACACATAACATTTATCAATTAAGTTTTCCATCTTACATGGGCATGGCTTGTGGTGCCTCAAAGCAATTAAAATAGTGACATCAAAGATTACTGGTCACAGACCACCACAACAGATAAAATAATAATGAAAAAGTTTGAAATATTGCAAGCATTATCAAAACATGACACAGAGACATGAAGTGAGCACATGCTGTTGGAAAAATGGCACATAGATATTGTTGCCACAAACCTTCAATTTGTAAAAAACACACTACCTGCAAAGTGCAATAAAGCAAAGCACAATAAAAGGAGGTATGCCTGCATTCTCTGCTACTGAAAAGGAGAATATTGGAAGGATAAATGAACATGTCCCTTAGCAATAAGGCCTAGGACCCAGAAGGAAGGCCATGTCCTCTCACCCCTACCTTGGTGGGTGCTTTCTCCCATGACTCAGTCCCCTAGGGTTAGATAACTTTGGTTTTCATTCTTACTTCAGAAATCTTAGATCTAGGATTGCAGAATCAAGCTGTCAGCTCTAAAAGTCCTCTATAACATTTCTTCCAGAAGGCTCAGATGTCCTTATGCAAATGAAATCCTTGATGCTTTCTCAGATATTCCAGAGTTCCTCAGGGGTGTACACTCAGTTCAGATTTCTCTCTTGTGACTGTATCTTTAAGTGAAGTTGTTCTTTTCCTTTCCCTAGACACCACAAATGTCCACCATTTCTTCCTGCTTATTATTTAAATATACTTAGAGGCTGCCTTCTGGAAAGTGCTGGACTCATGGCAGGTTGGAGATCTCCAGAGCTGTGCCCTCTTGACCCCAGCCAATTCCTGCCACAGTCTGCCCACCAGGGACAGTGCTCCCCTCAGTGGCACATTTGCCAGGCCAGGAAGTACCAGGCAAATGTCCCACCACAAGATGACAGGCTCCCCACCACAGGTGCCAGACTCTTCTCCTTTGTCTCATGGTAGCGCTTGTAGCTGCTGCGGCCACAGTGCAGAGTCTGGCACCTGAGGGGACAGAAAGGGGGGCTCTCGGCAGCAAGCCTACCTGTCAAGTGCTTCTGGGATTAGGAGTGCGCATTGCCAACTCCCCACTCTGGAAGAACTTGATGGGTGGGCATCCTGCCAAGAGGCAGAGCTCAAAGCCCTTCTGTGCATGTGCTTCTTAGACCCCCGACTGGCTACTTAGCCATTTGGCCAGATACCAACTTCTCCAGCAGTGTTTTTGAGCCCTGCCCATCTTTCCTTTGGCTGAATTGAGCAGACCTCCTATCAAATACTATCAATTTTCCTTCATATGTATGAGGCAGACCCTGAAGCAGTTTGTTGGGTTGGGTCCATGTCTTTCCTCTATCGTAACTGCCCTCTCTCCCTCCCCACCACTGATTTTGATGATACAAGGCTGGTTTTGTTCTTTGGAAACAAAACCCCTGTCCTGGGTGGATGTTCCAAGTCAGAAAGCCTGGCTGTGTTTATCCCAGGCCATTGGCTGGGCATGCACATGCTTTTTGTATTTGGTAAGTGACAGTATTTGCAAAAGCTGATTGCCACAGCAGGCGGAACAGAGACAAGACTAGCAAAAACATGTGTCGGTAACATATGCTGTAGCCTTTTCTTCTTTGCTTGGAGGACTGACACTTCCTACAGGAAGAAGTAATTATTTTGCATGTGCATAGATTACACTGGAATGAAAAAGACAGAGGAGGGGCTGCTGCTTTGTATATGAAAGAAGAAATACCTCCCTATCTCTCTTTCTTTTTCTCATGCATGCTTCTGCGCGCACACGTGCGCACGCGCGCACGCGTACACACACGCACTCTCTCTCTTTCTCTCTCCTCATTCTCATATGCAAGCACACAGGTTAACCTGCTTTATTTTTAGACATTGCTTCTTTAAAAGAAAGTCGATGTCCTAAAAAAAATTCAGAGCCTGTAATTAGCAGAGCTGCCCTTTTTAGGAGAGAATAAAAGCATTACGTTAGGAATTAAACAGATCTGTGCACAGGTCCTGTCTCCCCTTCATATAGGTTGTGTGACCCATAGAAAATTATTAAGCTTCTAACCCTTGTCTGCCACAGGTAGACAAACGGCTCAACTCTTAGGCTTGTTGTGAGGATTAAAACTACAAAATACATGTGGAAAGCAGCTTGTGTAGGCTCTGGGGCTGTGCTGTCCTTTCCCTTCCCTGGGTTAGCTTTCCAGAAGGAAAAATAATTGTAAATAGCCATGATGCATCTTCACTGATGAATGACTGTGGGCAATCCCAGCTAGTTCTGCAACCACTTAGAACCTCAGAACTTAATTCATGTATTTCTATGTAGCCACAAAGAATAAGTCTAGAAGTGGATCTTGGAAAAGTAGAGCCAATGGGAACTCAGATTCCTGCCCTTGAAGGCATTTTTGCCTCGGTCATTTGGTGGGGGTTGAAAAGAAATGGGTGACGCACATTGGGATAGAGCCAGCAAGACCCTCTGGTATCTTGCTGTAAGCTCAGAAGTCCTAGCAACAGCATAACCACCATTTGATTCATTATTCCATCTTAACCAGCCCTCCTTCCCACCCTAAAGCTGGAATCATTCTGAACCATATTAGCATTAGCATGAGTTTCTCTGGCTGCTTTTCACATTCCTTAGAGCAAAATGTCTCTCAAACTTCTCCCATATACCTATTTTTGTTCTATTTATTACAACAAAACATAGCACCAAGATTTTTAATAGCACCAAAATCTTTAAACACTAACAACAACAAAAAATCGTTCCATCGCTCTTGACTTAGATTCAAGATGGTAAGTGTTGGTTACATGTTGAATGAATGAATGATGATAGCTTCCATTTGTTGAGCACATACCTTGTTCTTGGAACTGTGCCATGTACATGTTTACATACTTCACAACAATCAATTTATGAAATAATTTCAACCTTATTTTATAATCAAAAGTTAGTGTTTAGTTACTCACCCAATGACACAGAGCTGGGAAACGGAAAAGATGAGACTTGACCATACAACTTAGCACATATTTAGAACCCATCATTTGACCTCTGCCTAAGCTGAGTGAATGGATGAATAAATGAAGGAATATTAAAGCTACAGAGAACTTTCTCAGCATCCTCATATCTGGTATCCTTGGTCCTTGCTATCTCTTCCCTACAGTTCCAGCTCTGCCTCTTTCCTGATATGGGAGAGACTTTTTATCCTTGTTTCTGTGACTTGGTTCCTACCTCATTCTCCAATTCTTACAACTGAATCCCCATTTTCTTCCCCTGTGCCCAGTACCTCCAAGTTTCCAGCAGTGGGCTCCAAGTTGCCCTGACAGTGAGCCACCCCTGGGGAGTGGAAACATGTCCCGAAACCTAAGCCCAGGAACTGGGGACTTGCTGCCTATTTCCACAATGCCAACCTCCTGCCCTCCTGCTTGTCTCACCTGCTCCTAAATTCTTCCCAATATAGTTGGGTCACCCATGGGAATAACATTGTTATCACAGCTTCTGCTCCCTAATGTCCACCATTGTTCTTGCACCTTCCAGAAATTTCCTCCTGCCCTGGACTGGGTTTCCCTCCCAACCTTTCCCTCAGCCTTGCTGCCAGCTGCCGCATCCCAGTTGGCATCCCCAATTCCAGCTTCCAGGTCGTCTTCATCTGCCCCACTCCCCTGCAGTACACCAGGACAGGCCCAGGGTGGCTCTAGACATAGCAGAACACAGGTAGTCCCTTTGGGTCATTTGAGGCACAAAGAAGTTTGAGATTTTGTCAAGGTCACAGAAGAGACACACCAGGGCTAAAACTCAGGGCCAGCCCGTCTGGCTCAGCGTCTTTCCACCACACCATGCCGCCTCCTTTCCCCCTTCTGTCTATATTTTCCTCTTGCTTTCTTTTTCTCCTTCACCCACACCTTTTTAATTTAAGTTTTAACATCTGTTCTCTCTTAGTCCATTACTTCTGTGACATTTTATATTATGTTGAATTTCCATTTCTATTTAAGACGCATCCATTTTCTTACTTAAAAAACACATTTTAAGCCTGCTTTTAAAAAAATTTTACGAAACTTAAAAAATAAATTCAGTTTGATTTTCTCTTTCTAAGACTTTTCTCGACTTATCTTTCCTGCCTCCTTAGCAGCAGAAATTATTCTGTGCCTCCATGTGGTTTTACTCCTTCTATTATCTGTGCCACTGTAATATCAGGCCTGTAATCTAACAATCTGTAACAATCTGTTTTTGCTTATTATTTGTGAAACTAGTACTTTTAAAATGCAAATGAGGAGACTGTGACTTTTAGTTTAATTCCTGATTTTATCTTGCAAGAAAAGCCTTTTTTTTTTTTTTTGTTTGTTTCTTTTACTGACTCTGCTGAAAAAAAATATCGTAGAAAGGGAGAGGATGGGAGAAGAGAAAGCACTGCAAATAAAAGTGCCTCACACTCAGCATTTCTGCAGTGTGTTGAGTTTTTATTCGTAGGGTCACCTGCAGAGAGCACTGCGTTGAGTCAGGCTTCCAGGCTTAGGCCTTCCACCTCTGACACTGGATATATAATTCCAGCCTAGGAGGTAATCAAGGTCCTTACTGGGGTATTGGGCCAAAGACCCCAGTCACCTGAGAGGAAACAGTTGAAACAATGACAAGGGCAATAGCTATTATTATTAGTTAGCTCATTCATCTCTCATCTCTTGTGAGGGCTGTCTTATTATCTTCACTTAACAGACAAAGAAATTGAAGCTTAGAGGTTAACTTGTTCAAGCTTACACAGCTGGGAAATGGCAGAGGTGGAATTCAAGTGCAAGAAACTTAACTCTGGAGTCAATGCCTCTAATTATATGGGAATATTTTTGGGAGATTCAATTTTAAAACAGTCTGCCATACTTTGGAATTAAGATGACCCCAAAGAGCTGAAAACCTGAAACATCCAACATTTATACTCTCAGATAATGGAGAATAAGCTCATTTTCTCCAAACCCTCCCAATTCTGATGTTTTTTGATCAAAACTTTTGAAGTGATAATATTGTAATCATCCTAAAATAATTTTTTGATATTGCTTTTGGTCAGGATTTTCAAACCTCAGCATTTTTGACATTTGGGGCTGGCCCTTAGTTGAAGAGCTGGGCTCTTCCTTGTGGAATGTTTTGCAGCATCCCTGGCCCCCACCTACTAGAGGCCATTTACACAACCCATCCCTTGTCTTGTCCTTCTTCCGAGTCATAAACTCAAGACAATCCAAAGTGTCTCCAGACATTACCAAATATTTCTTGGGAGGCAAAAATGCCCCATAGTTGAGAACCACTGTGTTAGACATTGCCCAAATCATAAGCGCCTGACTTGTAAATAGTCTATTTGGGACCATGTTTTACATTTGACTCACTTACCCTTGCCCTAGGACCCCACCAGAATGTTACTGTCAATTCAGTAATCTCACTTCTGAGTATTTACCCTATGGATTAATGTGAAGGAGATATCTGTACACCCATATATATTGCAGCACTATTCACAATAGCTGAGTTATAGAATCAACCTAATTGTGCATCAACAGATAAATAGAGCAAATGTCATATACAGTCAGCCCTCAGTATCTGTGAGTTCTGCATCTGTGGAATCAACCAACTTCAAATCGAAAACATTCAGGCAAAAAAAGTGGATGGTTGAGTCTGTACATGTACAGACTTTTCTCTCCTGTCATTATTCCCTAAACCATAAAGTGCAAACAATATTTACATAGTCTTTACATTGTGTTGGGCGTGTAAGTAATCTATAGATGATTTAAAATATAGGCCAGGTGCAGCGGCTCACGCCTGTAATCCCAGCACTTTGGGAGGCCGAGGTGGGTGGGTAACCTGGGGTCAGGAGTTCAAGACCAGCCTGGCCAACATGGGGAAACTCCATTTCTACTAAAAGTACAAAAAAATTAGCTGGATGTGGTGATGGTCACCTGTAATCCCAGCTACTTGGGAGGCTGAGGCAGGAGAATCTCTTGAACCTGGGTGGCAGAGGTTGCAGTGAGCTGAGATCACGCCATTGCACTCCAGCCTGGGTAACGAGCAAAACTCCATGTATATACATACATACATATATATACGCACACACACACACACATATATACATATGTATATACACACACACATATATATACACATATATATGTGTGTGCATAGGTTATATGCAAATACTACACCATTTGATATAAGGGAATCAAGCATCCTGCATTGTGGTATCCTCCGGCATCCTATAACTGATCCCCCAGGGATACCGAAAGATGACTGTATATACACAATGGAATTCTATTCAGCCTTTAAAAAGGAAGAAATTTTGTCATTTGTGACAACATGCATGAAACTGGAGGATGTTTTGCTAAGTGAAATAAGACAGACGCAGAAAATCAGATACTGCATGTTCTCACTTACATGTGGAATCTAAAACAATTGAACTCATAGAAGCAGAGAACAGAATGGTAGTTACCGAAGACTGGGTAGTGGGGGGGAATGGGAAGATAATAATCAGAGGGTACAGAGCTTCAATTAGACGGGAGGAATAAGTTTGATTTTTTTTCTAAGTTCTATTGCACAATGTGGTAATTATAGCTAATAATTGAGTACTGTACATTTCAATATTGCTAAGAGAATAAATCTCAAATGTTCCCATTACAACAAGTGTCAAATATTTGAGGTAACGGATAGGTTAATTAGGTTGATTTAATTATTCTACATTATATTAAAAAATCATAGCATCACTTTGTGCCTCATAAATATATACAACTAAAATTTGTCAATATATAATGAAAATACAATCTGAATTAACAAATAAAACTAAAATGTTATTGCCGCTTGGGAGGTAGTATGGAGAGCTCTTTGAATCTACTTCGGTTTCTTTTCAAAACTTCTGCTCAGAGAGAATCACTCAATTCTTAGACATTTCATTCTCTCCCCATATCCTTTCTCTTTTTCTCTCTCCTTTCCAATTATCTTATAAATCACATTCATTCTCTCTTTCTCTTGCCTTTTATTCTTCCTTAGGACTCCTATCCGAGCCAAATTATACCCCTAGCCATTTCAGGCAAAGAATAACTGTTCTGCTATTGATAACTTTCTTTCTAGGGAACAGCAAGGCAGTGGTTTTGACATGAAATTGGATGAGAAGAAAACCTAGCACCATCAACTTTTAAACCTTTCAAAGGTTCAGAGAGATGTCCATTTCAATTTATTTATTTATTTATTGAGACAGGTTCTCACTCTGTCACCCAGGTTGGAGTGCAGCGCTATCCTGGCTCACTGCAGCCTGGACGTCCTGAGCTCAAGTGATCCTCCCACTTCAGCCTCAGCCTCCCGAATAGCTGGGACTACACATGTGCACCACCACACCCAGCTAACTTTTTTATTTTTTGTAGAGATGAGGTCTCACTATGTTGCCCAGATTGGTGTTGAACTCCTGGGCTCAAGCAATCCTCCTTTCTTGGCCTCCCAAAATGCTGGGATTATAGGTGTGAGCCACCATGCACAGCCTGTTTCAAAATCTTCTGCAGCTTCATTTTTCATTGGAAGTCTCCACTTTTTTCAGGAACTGGCATATTCTTGGCAAACTTATACATCTTAATTAAGTTTCCAACAGTTCAAAATGATTAATCCTGGTAATGATAGCTAATATTTATTGAGCATTTCCTATATAATGGACACTATAGTGCTTTACAAGTATTGTCTTATTTAATCACCCCACTTAACTTACCAAACTTATTTAGAACTTACTTCATTCCGGGTGTAAAATCAAGAGTTTTCATACCTAACTGTTGTGGATGTTCAGAGACCTTAAATGGTTTTCCTAATGTCAGTAAAAATTAGAACTAGGACTCAGCCCTAGTCTTCAAAATTCTACCACATTCATTGCTCTTATTTTTTTCTCAATTTCTGTAAGTATAATAATATGGTACTTTTTTCTAGTATATATATATTTTTCATTTAATTATACAGCACATTTTAACTATATTTTTTCTTGGGAAAACCTGGGAAGTGTCACAATTTACCATTTGTGACATTCCTATAGAGGAAATGGAGTATGAATTTCAAACATGCACGTTCACCAATGTAATTTTGTAATATAAGCTCCCTTAAAATGGAATCTTTTTTTCCTATTGAACATTCACCAACAATTGTGGAATCAGTGCTAGTTCCATTTTAAACAGTATCTACTGGTTCTTAAATCTTAAAAGGCAGGCCGGGCGCGGTGGCTCACGCCTGTAATCCCAGCACTTTGGGAGGTCAAGGCGGGCGGATCACGAGTTCAGGAGATCGAGACCATCCTGGCTAACACGGTGAAACCCCGTCTCTACTAAAAATACAAAAAAAATTAGCCGGGCATAGTGGCGGGCCACTGTAATCCCAGCTCCTCGGGAAGCTGAGGCAGCAGAATGGAGTGAACCCGGGGTGGGGGGTGCAGAGCTTGCAGTGAGCAGAGATCGCGCCACTGCATTCCAGCCTGGGCGACAGAGAGAGACTCCGTCTCAAAAAAAAAAAAAAAAAAAAAAAAAACTTAAAAGGCCAGAGTGTTTAAAATAAGTACATTTTCCCCAGCAGCTGAATCCATTTGTAAAACATCTGAAAGAAGGAAATGAAGGCAAAAGTAATGCAGTACCACAGAGAGGTGTTTCAAATCAGTTTAGGCATCTTTTATTTCTACAAAGACAATTTGCATAGAGCAAATCTTATGCTTTTACATCAACTTCTGCTATAAAACCTGAAGAATATTTCTATAATAAAAAGAATATTTTATCCAGGTTGAAACTATTTTGTAAGGAAGGGGTCGTGTAGATAATCAAGCAGGAAGGATAGCCAGTGAGAGCTGACAGTGCTTTTGAGGCATTTTCAATCCTTTTTAGATCTTTGGCAAAATTTCCTCCATATCTTTAACTTTCTCTCTTTGGTCAACTTTGTCCTCACTGTTACAGTCCAGTTTGGAAAAATATCTACAGTGCTAATGTGGTAATTTTGAGGTTCAGCCTAGAAGGCCACATGAGTTCTTGGCTTCTTGCAGGAAAGAATTCAAGAGTGAGCCAACAGAGTAAAGTGAAAACAAGTTTATTAAAGGAGTAAAAGGGTGGCTATTCCCTAGGCAGAGCAGCCCTAAGGGCTGCTGGTAGGCTATTTTTAAAGGTTATTTCCTGATCATATGCTAAAAAAGGGGTGGATTATTCATGAGTTTTCTAGGAAAGGGGCAGGGAATTCTCACAAGTAAGGGTTCCTCCCCTTTTTAGACCACATAGGGTAACTTCTGTGAGTTGCTGTGGAATCTTAAACCGTCAGGGCACTGGTGGGAGTGTCTTTTACCATGCTAATGTATTATCAGATACTGCTGTCTGGGCATATCATCGTAACCTTGATTTAGTAAATTATAATGCATTTCTTTAGCAATTATTCAGTTCTCCACACTCTGTAATAAGAATCCTGTCCATTGTCACAAATTATTTCTATCAACTCTCTACCCTCCACCTGTCTACTAAAAAGTAAAAGGGAGTCACAAACATTTCTTAAGACCAGTATTTTCCAATTCATTTTTTCATTTATTTCTCCTAGCAGTCCTGCATATTAGGTATTACATCCCTATTAGGTACCATATCAAGTATTTCATTGCAAGTCTCCACTTATCTGTGGTGGAGGAATTGAGGCTTAGAACAATTAAATGACGTGCTCAGCAATTAAGTGGAGAAGCTTGAATTTGGACCCAGGTCTGTCTGAATCTAATGCTGTTATTCTTTCACTATTACTACACTGCTCAAGGTCTTTTTGAAAACACCAGGTATGAGGGATTTTTAACCTAGAAAGCCACACAGTCATGTTTCTCAGACACATAAAACCTCCTTTAACTGCTTATTTAAGATGCAGATTTCTAAACCCTGAAAATCTAAATCTGTGAGTTCGTGAATGAACTTCAGGGGACGCATGAACTCTAAAATTATATTCAACCTTTTGTGCAGTGTTGAATATCTGATTCACCAAGGTATTTTTGACCCCAAAAGGCAAAGCATACCAGCTGTAAAAAGGGAAATCGGAGTTACGTCTTGCCATTTTCTAGTTTTCGGTCAGCCGCTGGGAATGAGGAATAGTTAAGTCAGCTTGCAATACACTGTGTTTTTCCATCCCTGCTCCTGTCCCTACCCTGCTTCACCTTTACCCCACTCCTCCCTGGGTTGGGTCCTTCCTGTTCCTTACTAGAACCAGCTCCCGCCACCACCTCATTCATGGCAAGAAACTCTAAGGGCAAAATGCTTTCTACGATAAATAATGCAGAATTGTTCATCTCCTTGTCCACATTAACTGAAAAACTGAGCACTCAATGACCTAAGTTGTCTAACATTTTACTGTAAACAGGATACAATTTATGTGAAGGAACATAGTTACCGTACTTCTCTGTCATCTACAGTCTGCAGAGAACAAAAAACAATGGTAACCCGACCCTTGGGCAAAATGCTAATGGCTACATAATTGATTTAGCAGATAATTATAAAACACAGTCCCATACTAAAACACAAAAGATGTAATTATTGCACTTTACAAACTAATTAATACTAATTCAATTCAATAATTAATAATTCATTATTTAACCTCTAATTAAATCATCATCCTTCTTTTCCCTGCAAACTTTGCTGGTGGCTTAATTGCTGTGGGTCAAATATACAAGAGAGCTCTCCTCTGTTAATTAAACAGTGAAAAGACGTGCAATCATTGTAACAGAGAGAATTAAGGAATTTAGATTGAAGTATCTCCCATTTGAAAGAGACAAGAGCATTTCCTGGCCTCAATTCCCACCCAAAGCTTTAATCGGTTAAAAAGGTCCAGGGTAACAAAAACTGAAGAACCTGATAAGATAGAAGGCTGTTCAAGGTATAGATCAGGCCTTAGGAAATACATAGGAGCCCATCAGACTAGACGCATAGTCAGAGTCCCTTGGGGCAGTCACGAGCTTGAAACGCAGACACTGACTCATAAGATCTGAATTGTGTCCCTCTCAACTCTAGGTTCTCTGATATCATATTGATATTTTGATATCGGTGATTATGGGAGTATTTACACAATTAGAATTGGTGCACACTACAAATCTGGGCTTTTTCTTTCTTTCTCTCGTGCTGTTGTTAAACATTTACCAGCCCACCAACGCCCCTACAGCAACAGAGGTGACTTGTAGCTGAGTCCTAGGTTGTCTGGATACAAGTGCCAAAATCCTAGAGTCAGGATTGGGGCTGACCAGCAGCCTGGAGTTCTATCCCTGGGGACCTGGGAATGGAATGATGTATATGGAGGCTGTGTTCTATAACAAGTTTTGTAGTGACACCTTTTACAGCTCATCTCAGTGAACCCTCACATAACTCTGTGATAGACATTGGTGTTATTCCTAGTGATCTTTTGATTTTTTTAAAAAAGTACATCCTTCTCTCACAATTATGGTCCACTAAATTTAAACTTATTTATAATCCATTCATTGGTGGCTTACTCTTTAATTTATAAAAATTTAATTCTTAGCATTTCAATGCACCATGAGATTTTTCTCTACTTTTAAAGTGTGTGTGTGCACATATGCGCACACACACACTTTATAAGTACAGAAAAAAATTATATATATATATATATATATATAAAGTGTGTGTACATATATATGGGCACACACACACTTTAAAAGAGAAATATATTTTATATATGTGTATATATATATATGCGCACACACACATTTTATAAGTAGAGAAATAACACACACACACAGGGTGTGTGTGTATGTGCAAAGTAAAGCAATTCTCTTCACCTACACATATATGTATGTGTATGTGAATATATATGTGTGTGTATACATATATATGTGTGTATGTGAATATATATGTGTGTGTATACATATATATCTATATCCATATCTCTCTCTATATTCTAAATATTGAAAGCAGAGTGGCATTATCACAGCATACATGATGTCTTTGGACGGGCCAAGGAATAAAGAAGCAGTCTAGCAAATCTTTTCCTCACCAAAAGGGTTTCTTTCCTCCAATAGGAAGTGCCAGTGACCATGTGAGGTGAGAGTAGGGTGGGGGTGAGCAGCGGGTGGAGTCATCACTTAGCTACATAGAATGACATATTAAGGGATACTACATTTGCAACTTCCTCATCTCTCTCCACTCTCCTGGTAGTTTCCTAAGAGGACTCATTTCACTAAATAGTTACTAATAGTTTTCTTATCTGTAAAACTGTGATTATGGTTATACCCACTTCATAACTGCCTTATATAAGCAAATTAAATGAGGTAGTATTTACAGAACTCTTACAACAGCACCTGGCACATACTGAAAAGTCTGTAAGTGATGCTGCAGTAGTGGAGAAAGACATGGAGCCAGAAAGGGTGGGGTTTGTCCAGAAAGTTGTGAGTATAGTCCCAGAAGATCATAGGCATACAGGAAATGTGATGAGTGACCAGATGACTGGCTCACCGTATTGGTGCAGCCAGTCAGTCCCCTTCCTCCTCATAGTATGGCACTTGGAGCCTTTCTGTGTGGTGCAATTGCACTTTCACACTGCCTTTCTGCATGGTTGTACAGGAGGAGCTCGGTTACCGTAGCAGCTCTCTCCAGACCTCAGATATGACTTCCCCTTCAGTATACCCTTTAGGTAGCGATTTATCTAAAACACCCAGGTGATCACAGAACTGCTCTCCTGAAACCCTTCAAGGTTCCCCATAACTTTCAGAAATAATTTCAAATGTGATAGAACAATTTAAAAGTATCTTCACATCTGGCCTCTGCTCCATTGCCAAGTCACTCAATGTCCTGCCTCCTCCCTCCAGTCCTGGGGAACCAGTGCAGGGGCTCAGTCCTGCCTGTGGTGCTGTATGCCTTTGCATATGCTGCTCTCTAGGTCTAAAATGTGCTCTCCAGAGAGCTCCTATTAAACTTTCTAATGCGGTAAACTTTTCTACTCCATCAAAGTTCACCTCCAATGTCACCTATTTTGTGATGCCATTTCAAAAAACCCTCAAGTTTAGTACAGGCCCATTTTCTATGCTGCCACAGCACCCTTTGTGCAACACTAACATGGGGCTTGTCACACCATAATATAACTGCTTGTTTCACCTGGTTCCTCCACCACACACACATACATGCATACACACACATACACACACACAGACACACACACACTTACCCATATCCCAGGAACTCTAGCTAGTATCAGGGTTAAAGCTCATATTGCCTGAGTTCAAATGCTGCTTCTAACATGGAATCCCATTTCCACCTTTGTAAAATGGAACTCATAAACATAACCATTTCTTGGGTTGTTGTGAGGGTTAAATGCAATAATCTATGTAGTATCTCAAAAACTGCCTGACATTTCACAAGTATAGGTGTGTTTGACTATGGTTGTTTTCCATTGAGATCAGGCAGTATCCAACCTTTGGATCAGTACTGTGGGGTGAGAATATCACAGCCCAACAGAGACCCATAAGAGCATGGATGCTGCAGTCAGATGGACTGAGGTTGGAACTGTGGTGTTTCTAAAAATTCTTTATGAAGAGTTCTTACCTCACATGGTTGTTGTGATAGTAAATGAAGTAAAGCAATTCACCTTGCCCATGAAAATCCTTTTAAAACATTAGGTGTCATTATTAGAGAGCACCTACTGAAAGTTGGAAATTAATGATGAGCATGCCAAGGGTGACACACAGCTCTCCTGCCACTTACTGCCTGGGACGTGGAAGGCTGCTGTCCCCCAGCCAGGCATGGACTCACGGGCTGTATCATAACCACAGTGCTCAGCTGTGTAGACCATGCTGGTTTGGCCCCTTTGCCTTCCAAATAGCTTTGGTGACGAAGATGTAGCTGTGGTCACAGTTGCACCTCAAGCCCCTACACTAAATCACAGTGAGTGAGAAATTGCTGGGAAGTGGGAGGAAGGGTGATGGAGGGTGTGTGTAGTCTGGCTTGAGAGGTTCACCCAAACTTTCAAGTAGCCTCCACAATAAATCCAGGACTGTCGCTTGGTGATTAGTTAGAGGAAACAGAAACGGCTGGACAAAGCCAGGAAATGACCTTAGAGACTAAACACGGTGTATTTTATTTTAGGGCTTTTTCTCACTTAGAAGTACTGCCAGGTTGTTTAAAGAGAATGAGTGTTATCAGGGAAGGATTTGGGGGATCTGCCAGGCTTTTGACAACATGTGGTAAAAGATTTACAAAGCCCGGAATCAAAGGAGGAGGACAGACAGGGGGATGTGTACTCAAGAGATGCCGCAGGTGGGCCTGAGATTGACAAAAATTTTTATTGCCCTTTGGGGAGCTTTCTAGTAAGCCTGATGGGCTCTGCAAGGCGGGGGCAGAAGCCCGAGCAGAATGGCACGTTTCTATGGAAGGCGGAAGAAGTGAGGGCAGGGTGGGGAGCCATTTGGGTCCTTTGGAACCCATGGATGTCAATTAGGGAAGGGAGTGGCAGGGTGAGAGCAGGCAGGACTGATGAGACTTTGGGCACTTTCCTGCCCCCATTTTTAGACAGATGGAAATTTAGGAGGTGTTTGAGCAAAAAATAAATAGCCTGAACAATGTAAAACTATTCACAGGAAATGAGGAGGAAGGAAGGTTAAAAGTATTGAACCCCTCTTATGCAGCAGAGTGCTGGCTGAACCATCAGTGCTAATGCATTACCATCCTTAATGTAACAGAGGAGACAAGCAAAGCTTAGGCTGGTAAAATCCCCTTGTGTGTTGCAGGTGGGGGAAATGAGGGCTGTACCCCAAAGTCTATCAAACCCCAAAGCCTTCTATGATGTTACCTTGGAAGGGATGGGCAGGTAGAATTGAATACCAGCTGGCAGGAATCCCTTCTTTTCTGCTTCCTTAAGCAACTGCTTTGCTACTCATCATTACAATGGTATCAGAGTCCAAAATGTATTCCAGGGGTCTCCCCTGCACAGCTTCCCTGCACACCATGGATGGTTCTGGCTTCCTAAACATGAGATCATTCACATTCTCTTATTTAACGACAACCAACTGCAGGCTTCTTTACTTATTGTATCACTGAATTGGCCTAAAGCCCATTTAAAAAAAAATTGACATTGTATGTTTTTATCATGTAAAGCATTATGTTTTGAAGTATATATACATTGAGTAGTGGTTATATCAAACCAATCAACAAATATATTACCTCACATAGTTATCATTTCTGTGGTGAGAGCATATTTTCAAGAATACCATATATTGTCATTATCTGTAGTCACTTTGCTATGAAATAGATCTTAAAATTTATCCCTCCTGTCTAATTGAATTCATATATCCCTTGACAAACACCTCCCCATCCCTCCTTCCCTTCAAAAACCTCAGCCTCTAATAACCACCATTCTGCTCTCTACTTCTATGAGATCAACATTTTTAGATTTCACATGAGGAAGATCATGCAGTATTTATCTTTCTGGATTTGGCTTATTTTACTTAACGTAATGTCCTCTACGTTCATCAATATTGTCACAAACAGCAGGATTTCATTCCTTTTTGTGGTTAAATAGTATTTCATTGTGTATATAGGCCACATTTTCTTTATCCACTCATCTGTTGATTGACACTAAGATTGATTTCATATTTTGGCTATTGTGAATAATGCTGCAGTAAACATGGGAATGTAGATATCTTTTTGACGTAGTGATTGCATTTCCTTTAAATGTATACATAGTAGTGGGATTGCTGGATCATATGGTAGTTCTATTTTTAATATTGGGGAAACTTCCCTACTGTTTTCCATAATAGCTGTACTAATTTACATTCCCACCAAGAGTGTACAAGGGTTCTCTTTTCTCCATGCTATCTTTGTCCTTTTGATAATAGTCATTGTAACTGGGATGAGATAATAGCTCATTGCGGTTCTGATTTGCATTTCTCTGATGATTAGTGATCTTTGAGCACTTTTTTAATATACATGTTGGCCATATGTATGTCTTCTTTTGAGAAATTTGTATTCAGATATTTTGCATGTTTTTAACTTATTTTTTTCTACTATATAGTTGTTTGAATTCCTTATATATTTTGGACATCAACCCTTGGTCAGATGGATAGTTTGCAAATATTTTCTCTCATTCTGCAAATTGTGTCCTCTGTTGATTGTTTGTTTGCTGTGCAGAAGCTTTTTAGGTTGACATAATCCCATTTGTCTGTTTTTTGCTTTTGTTGCCTGTGCTTTTAAGGTCTTATCCAAAAAGTCATTGCCCAGACCAATGTCACGGAGCTTTTCCCCTATGTTTTCTTCTAATAGTTTCATAGTTTCAGATCTTACATTTAAGTCTTTCATTCATTTTGAGATTTTTTTTAATATGTTAAGAATAAGATAAGTCTGATTTCATTATTCGGCATGTGGACATCCAGTTTTACCAACATCATTTATTGAAGAGGCTGTCCTGTCCCTATTGTGTGTTCTTCAAGGCCTGTTTATTTTTAATGATGCCATTAACTGGGGCACGCAATGGAGTAATTCTGAGGCCATTTATTTCCTCTCTTAAAGAGAATCTGCAAATGGTCCTAGGGATTTTTTAAATGTGATAAAATAATAGCTAATAATAGCTCCAATTTATAGAGTGCTTACTATGTGCTAGGCACTGTGGGAAGCATTTTATGATCATTGTCTTATTTAATTGCAGACTGATGGCATGCAGACAAATCTGGCCTGTAGGCTGGAACTGTGTTTTCAAAAGATAAATTTGAATGACTTTAAATGGGGCCTGTGCTATCCAGTTTTCTACAATCAGCACCATTCCCTATTTTTTTTACCACCTTAATTCATTTAATTATAATCAGGCCCCTGTAGACAGTTGCATTTTTAACTTCTGTCTTAAAACAGCCTGATAGAATAGATCTTAAAGAATCCCCATCCTATTGCTGAGGTAAAGAAAAAATATGCAATTTGACCAATGCCACCTAGTTAGGAAGTAGCAGATTAGGATTTGAAACAAGTTCTTCTGACTAGAGAACAAGCTTTTAATCAATACATAATATTCCTTACTATCATGGTGATGTTTCCACAGGATGGCACAGTGTCTTTTATTAGGGGCAAGAGAAATTGTCCTGAATAATTCTTTAATAGCAGTGATGCATCTTCTACCTCTCTTCTCTCTCCCTACTCCTCTGTTCACTGAGCAGATGTCTATAAAAACTGTTGGCAAGCAGATGTTGTCACTCTCATCTCCACCTCTCTTATAGATGTCATTTCCACTTTTCCATACCAGCCAAAGGTTATGATCTCACCTGGAATTCAAATTCCAGGTCACTTGGTCGTTCCAGGTCATTGGGAGATGACTTGGAAGAGTTCTATAGCAGAACCTTTTTAAGAACTGGAATTAGTGGCATTCATCTTCATAGCTCCTCTCCTAGCACAGAGATAGCTGGTACGTGGTAACTGATTAATAAGTGTGGGCAATCATCATTCTTATGGTCATAACTATTATTATTATTACTACCAGGGAGCAGGTAATAATGTTCACCCAAATACCTAAAACCACCACCTGAAGGGTGATATTTACCTTTTATTTTATATTTTTCCTGATTAATTTGTAGCTTAAATATTACTTCTAGGCCAGTCAATATTCTTGTTTTGTATACTGAATATAGAATATTAGCTTCAACTTATTCATTTATTGATTTACCACTCATTTATTCAGTAAATACTTACTGAGTGACCAAGTGTTAGGAGCTGAGATACAGAGTGATTAGAATACTTGTCCCTAAGGTTAATACATTCTAGCGTAGTGTTTTCAAACAGCAGGACACAATTCATTAGTGAGACATAAAATTAATTTAGTGAGTCATGACAAGCATTAAAGAAAATAGAATAGAATAGACTAGAAAATACCAAAGTGAACTTTGGTTAAGTATTGTTCGTGAACATTTATTTCCATAATATCTATGGAAGTATTGTGAATATCCTGGGTTGCATTGTAAAATATATTTCTTACAATAGGCTGAGATCAAAAAGCTTTGAACACCACTGGCCTGGTGGTCTAGGGAAGAGGGTACAGAAGACAGATGCTTGAACAAGAAGATGACCAGATGGCTGAATTACAATGGTTTTCTTTGCCCCTCAGGTGTTTCTCAGTAAGTCAACAGATGTCCACAAACTGAAAAACACTTGAAAATCCTAGTCCAAAATCTCTTTAGGCTCAGATGCTTCATGCTTTGGGACTAGTCCTCTTCTATGGCCTTGAAAGGTTCTCCCCACCCCACCTCACCCCGACTTTGTAGTAACTAAAATCAGTGACGTGTGACCTGATCTTCTTTAAAGCTGGACACGCACACACAAGTGAACACACACACACGTATTTTCATACTCTTTCTAAATTTGTAAACTTTAAGTCTTTCTTATCAGAGAACCTACTAATCCTAATCACATAACTAATCACATAATCTTATCACGTTCCCAATGCCACAGGTAGCTTAAATATTTACAGGGCTGAGTGCGAACCAATTAATGTAGAAAGGCTGTCAAGCTTGGAAGCCTTGTCAAAAATTCGGTAGTAACCTACTTGCTGAAGGCCAAAGCCAGGAAGGCCAATTCCTGTGCCAAATGTGGTTTCCAATAAAGTTCACATTTCTATTCCAGTCCCACTGCCTATGTGTGTGTGTGTATGTTTGTGGATGTGAGTTCACTGATTGTTTATTTTTTCTAAGCCCTTTGTGAGGTCTCTTGCAAATCACTTTCCAGGTCTGTGCTTGGAATTTTCTGCCGCACATTCCCAAGATTTTCAACCAAATCCAGACGGCACAGTTCCGTTTTGTTTAGATTTGTTTTCCTTTAAGTAGTCCTCCAACTAGGCTTTGAAGCAAGCACCCCAGGATGATAAATGAGAAAAACTCACACCTCTTTGAAGGACTGTGATTCCACTCTGTCTGCCTGGAGCCTAAGCAAAGCAGCTCTAAATTGATTTACAGAGACAACTGGGAAAATGGGAAAGCGTTTCCGTGGAAATGCAGCTAATTAAAGGCTAGATTAACCAGCTCTATCTTCTTTTCACTCTTTCTTATGCCTGAGCACCATGTTCCTTTATAGCACAGAGCTTCCTCACTCTAGGATGTCCACAGGGCCTTAATTCTTCGGAAAACATATTCCTAAGTAGAGTGGTAGACAATCCTTAAAACCATCAGTTTTGGAACCATTTGCCTTCTTCTAGTGGGGGGCAGGAGGAGTGATTGTTTTCCTTTCCAGTTTGTTTTAGAGGAACAGCTGCTTCTCTGGGCATTTGGCTAACTCTTCTCTAATTCTGAACAAAATCACTAGGAGCCAAGAGCTGGGTAAATGAAAAAGTTGGTACCTTAAGGCTAAACAGATTGTGCCTTTTCTCCCACATATGAGTGCTCTTTCTAAGCAAGATCTGAGAAAAGGTACTTTGACATATCTTGGGATTGGTGGTTATAGGTGGGGGGGCTTTCTGAATGCAAATGAAATGAACTAAATCCTTTGGCTTCCAGACTAAGTGAAATCTGAGGTCACCAATGAGTGACAGCTACAAAGATTGTGCACTTTCCAAAAGCAATAATTGCTACCCAGGTAATTATTAACAGTAACCAAGCCTGCTAATTCTCTCTCTTTTCTCTATTACCTCCTGCTCACTGCACTATGGAGTTCCCTTTGTGTTTCCATGGAAATACAGAGCAGTTTACATGAAATATTCTTTAAAATCAAGCATGGGAAGCCCATCCTCTGTGTATTGATCTTATTAACTACATTCTGTTGTAACACTGTAACACCAGGTCAAATGAATAATTTCAAACCTTGGGACCATACATTTTATTTCCATGTACTCACTCACATCTATTATGAAAATATATATTGGATATGATTTCAGAGTCAGTCTGTCGTGGCTTTTTATGACTGAGTGGACCAATTTTTCAGATTGCTCAGTGTCTAAATGGCAATAGATGCACAGTGTCATTTTCTCTTATGTTAGTAACTGAAGCATTTATTCCCACTTAAATTTAATTCCTTTTCCATATTATGTCTGCTATTGGCTCCAGATCCCCACCTTCTTCATGACCATACCTCTCTCTGCTCATCTTCTTTAGTCAAATACATTAATGTGGTGAACATGCATAGAATAATGCCTCCCACATAGCAGATATTCCAATACATGCTTTTTTATCAGATCTGTAATGCGATATTTTTTATTAGCAAATAGATGGTTGTTCCAGGGAACATATGCCATTCAAGGCAGGATAATAGCAAAGGATTCAGTTTGTTTGTTTGACTGTTCTTCTTTTTAATAACAGTCAACCAACATTCTTTGCCCTCATGTTCTTGCACTAAGGACCCAGAATGGAATTGGTGAGAGAGAAGCAGCAGAGATCTTTTCTTTAGTCATATAACTTAGTCATCATGATTCCATTGTGGGTGAGACAGTAAGCACGTGGACGAGGGACAACACTGCATGGACTTCAGCAACAGGAATTGCAACAGGGAGGGGGTACACTTACTGAGCACATGGCCTGTGACCCTCATTGACTTGGCTTAAATCCTGCCTCTACTACTTGCTGGATGTAAAAGCTTGGGCAAGTTGCATAATTGTTCTGTGCCTTAGTCCTTTAATTTATCAACTTTGGTTAGTAATGTACTTACCCCCAAGGATTGTTATATGGTTTAAATAAATATCTATGAATTGGCTTTAAAACACCTATTATATGATAAGGATTGAATAAGTTTTTGGTATTTTTATCATTCATAAATTACCTGTTTGTGGTATATGGTGGAAACAGATTTCGTGGGTGGTATAGAGAAGAAAATTTAAAAGATACAAGATGCATTTCATTTTAGACCCAGAGGGAGAGAGAAGACATTTCAGAAAGACATAAGCAGTAGTTAGAGTGTTGGATGGTTTTGATAAGAAAAGATACCTTAAATGTAGTTAACATTGAAGAAGGAAAAATGTATCTGGTTTAGGCAGTAGACATAGAGTAAATTAAATCAGGATTTTAGGGGAGGCATTGGAAGAAACAGGTAAGGCAAGAGTGTAGACTGTTAACATTCGGGTATTCACTAGAATAAGGTGATTCTGGATCATGGCAGGAGTTTAACCAACAGAGGCAGAGTCAGCAGAAACTGAAGAGCTGGGCATGGGCTGCTCTGTCCAGCACCTCAAGGTGTAGGAGGAGGTGATGACGGCTGCTTGGGGACCAGTGGCTTCTCCTGCTAATAATATACTGAAAATACTAGATGTAAAATAAGTAAATGATTATTAGGTGTAGCCCAACACATAGAGAGAAATCTGAGCTGAAGTTTGGGGGCCAGGGGGGAGTTGGAAAGCAGACAAAGGAAGACAGCACAAGGCAAATGGGCAGAATTGTCCATAGAGGAGATTATACTGAACCTGTGTGCTTGAAAACGTCTTTGGTACTGCCATGATGATTCTGCTTGAACCTACGTTGCCTCATCTGTTTGACCTAATGGGCTTTTTCCCATGGAAAGTATTCCAGGGCAAGAAAATCCAGAACTCGTTCTCCTGGTGCTGTGGCTTTTGTGGATCTATTTGGATTATTATTAATAATCCAATATTAATAGCAATTGGAACAGCTGCCTTAGATTATATACATGTATGTATGATTATATACATGTATGTGTGTATATATAAATATATATATATAAATCTGTCCCACAATTCTTCATAAAAACCTTAATATATAAAGAAGGAAAAATTAGCACAACTCACTACTTTTAAGAACAAATGGATTGTACACATACTACACGCTAACATGCATGTATCCACACTCACCTTCCAGTTTTACCTTCCTTGCCTTTTGTAACTTTAAAAAATAAAAATTATTCTATTATTTGTACAAAAACAGTTACTTAATGTGAAGATGTTAATTTTTCATTTACTAATCTTTATATTTGGATATGTGTGTACACATGTATAATTTATATGAATATACATGTGCATTTATATATTATGTCTATGTATACAGTATGTGATCTCAAAAGCATATGAGTGTATATGATGGGTAAACTTCTGATTCGTAATTCTCCAATTGGACAAATGAAACATAAAGACCAGTAGAAAAGAGCCACATGGGAACTCTTTCATATATCCTTATTTAAATGATGTTGAATATAATGAAACCTTTGATTTCCAAGTTTTCCTTTGACTTTCCTAAATTTCAAGGAGTAAAGGTAAAAGTGTTCGTGGCTCTACTTAGTGATGTAGAGGAAAAGAGCCTGAGCTTTGAAAGCCAATAGATTTAAATTTATCTTTCTTTTTTATGTTTATTTATTTATTATATTTTAAGTTCTGGGATACGTGTGCAGAACACGCAGGTTTGTTACAAAGGTATATAATTGCCATGGTGGTTTGCTACACCCATCAACCCATCATCTACAATAGGTATTTCTCCAAATGCTATCCCTCCCCTAGCCCCCCACCTGCTGACAGGCCCCAGTGTGTGATGTTCCCCTCCCTGTGTCCATGTGTTCTCATTGTTCCACTCCCACTTATGAGTAAGAACATGCAGTGTTTGGTTTTCTGTTCTTGTGTCAGTTTGCTGAGAATGATAGTTTCCAGCTTCATCCATGTCCTTGCAAAGGACATGAACTCATCCTTTTTTAGGGCTGCATAATATTCCATGGTGTAGATGTGCCACATTTTCTTTATCCAGTCTATCATTGATGGACATTTGGGTTGGTTCCAAGTCTTTGCTATTGTGAACAGTGCTGCAATAAACATATTTGTGCATGTGTCTTTATAGTAGAATGATTTATAATCCTTTGGGTATATACCCAGTAATTGGATGGCTGGGTCAAATGGTATTTCTGGTTCTAGATCCTTGAGGAATAGCCACACTGTCTTCCACAATGGTTGAACTAATTTACACTGCCACCAACAGTGTAAGAGCGTTCCTATTTGTCCACATCCTCTCCAGTATCTGTTGTTTCCTGACTTTTTAATGATTGCCATTCTAACTGGTGTGAGATGGTATCTCATTGTGGTTTTGATTTGCATTTCTCTAATGACCAGTGATGATGAGCCTCTTTCCATATGTTTGTTGGCCGCATAAATGTCTTCTCTTTAGAAGTGTCTGTTCTTATCCTTTACCCACTTTTTGGTGGTTTTTTTTTTTTTTTCTGGTAAATTTGTTTGAGTTCATTGTAGATTCTGGATATTAGTCCTCTGTCAGATGGATAGATTGCAACAATTTTCTCCCATTCTGTAGGTTGCCTGTTCACTCTGATGATAGTTTCTTTTGCTGTGCAGAAGCTCTTTAGTTTAATTAGATCCCATTTGTCAATTTTGGCTTTTGTTGCCATTTCTTTCGGTGTTTTAGTCGGGAAGTCTTTGCCCATGCCTATGTCCTGAATAGTATTGCCTAGGTTTTCTTCTAGAGTTTTTATGGTTTTAGGCCTTACATTTAAATCTTTTATCCACCTTGAGTTAGTTTTTGTATGGTACCAAAACAGATATATAGTCCAATGGGACAGAACAGAGGCCTCAGAAATAACGCCACACATCTACAACCATCTAATCTTTGACAAACCTGACAAAAACAAGCAATGGGGAAAGGATTCCCTATTTAATAAATGGGGCTGGGAAAACTGGCAAACCATATGCAGAAAACTGAAACTGGACCCCTTCCTTATATCTAAAATTTATCTTTCTAGCTGTATGAACTTGAACAAGTCACTCACTTTCTTTCTTTCTTTCTTTCTTTCTTTCTTTCTTTCTTTCTTTCTTTCTTTCTTTCTTTCTCTTTCCTTCTTTCTTTTTCTTTCTTTCTTTCTGTCTTTCTTTCTTTCTTTTCCTTCTTTCTTTCTTTTCCTTCTTTCTTTCTTTCTGTCTCTCTCTCTTTCTTTCTTTCTTTCTTTCTTTCTTTCTTTCTTTCTTTCTTTCTTTCTTTCTATCTTTCTTTCTTTCTTTCTCTCTTTCTCTGTTTCTTTCTTTGACAGAGTCTCCCTCTGTGTTCCAGGCTAGGAGTGTTGTGGCATAATCTCAGCTCACTCAACCTCTGTCTCTGGGGCTCAAATGCTCCTCCTACCTCAGCCTCCTGAGGAGCTGAGATGACAGGTGCACACCACCATGCCTGGCTAATTTTTGCATGTTTTGTAGACACAGGGTTTCGCCATGTTGCCCAGGCTTGTCTTTAACTCCTCACCTCAAGCAATCCTCCAGTCTTGGCCTTCCAAAGTGTTGGGATTATAGGTATACCACCCTACTTTTTAAGATATGGGTTTTTTTTCATGTATAAAATAGTAATAATAATAATACCTACCTCAATCAGGGGATGGTAAGAACTGACTGAATTTACATAGTGCCTGGTGTGTAGTGGGTTCTCAAAACCCTATTATGATTATGGTTACTGTTATCTGAAATTTACTTTTTATGTTTATAATTTTTAAGCTATAAAAGTAACACATATTTAAGGTAGGAAAATATAGACAAGTGAGCATGAAGAAGAAGGAGAAAATGGAGGAAAAGGAAAATGAAGAGGTGGAGGAGGAGAAGGAGAAGAAGCAACAGCATGGGAGGTGGAGAAAGATCACCTGTAATCTCCACCTAGAGATGATCACTCTAATGTTTTAGTGTATAGATTATCCTCGTGGCAATTCCTCTACACACATGCAAAAACAGACACATACACTCTTGATAGACAGATAGAGGAAGAAAGATTGAGATAGATAACATTTTTATAAAATTGCAATCACTCTGTGATGGTTAATATTGAGTGTCAACTTGATTGAATTTAAGGATGCAAAGTAGGCCGGGCGCAGTGGCTCATGCCTGTAATCCCAGCACTTTAGGAGGCCGAGACCGGCAGATCACAAGGTCAGGAGATCAAAATCATCCTGGCTAACATGGTGAAACCCCATCTCTACTAAAAATACAAAAAAATTAGCCGGGCCTGGTGGCGGGTGCCTGTAGTCCCAGCTACTTGGGAGGCTGAGGCAGGAGAATGGCATGAACCCGGGAGGTGGAGTTTGCAGTGAGCCGAGATCGTGCCACTGCACTCCAGCCTGGGTGACACAGCGAGACTCCGTGTAAAAAAAGAAAAGGATGCAAAGTATTGTTCCTGGATATGTCTGTGAGGGTGTTGCCAAAGGAGATTAACATTTGAGTCAGTGGATTGGGAGAGGCAGACCCACCCTCAACCTGGAAATCTGGGTGGGCACCATCTAATCAGCTGCCAACATGAAATCAGTCATGGAAAGAGCAGAGTTGCTGAGTCTTCTGGCCTCCATCTTTCTCCCATGCTGGATGCTTCCTGCCTTCAAACATCAGCAGTGTCCAATCAGCACTTGGACATACACCAGTGATTTACCAGGGGCTCTTGGGCATTTGGCCACAGACTGAAGGCTGCATTGTTGGTTTTCCTACTTTTGAGGTTTTGGGGCTCGCACTGGCTTCCTTGCTCCTCAGCTTGCAGATTACCTGTTGCAGGACTTTATCTTGTGATCATATGAGTCAATTCTCCTAATAAACACCCTTTCATATGTACATCTATCCTATTAGTTCTGTCCCTTTAGAGAACCCTGACTAATACACACTCTAAACATGCTTTCTAATGTGCTTGTTTTGTTAAACTTAATAATATATGATAAAGATATTTTTGTGCCAAAAAATAGAAAAATTTAGAATCATTATTAATATGCATACAGTGTTATGTTTAGAATAATTTATTTTGGGGCCAGGCGTGGTGGCTCACACCTGCAATCCCAGCACTTTGGGAGGCTGAGGCAGGTGGATCACTTGAGGCCAGGAGTTCGAGACCAGTCTGGGCAACGTGGTGAAACCCTGTCTCTACTAAAAATACAAAAATTAGCTAGGAGTGGTGGTGCACACCTGTAATCCCAGCTACTCAGGAGGCTGAGGCACACAAATTGCTTGAAGTCAAGAGACAGAGGTTGCAGTGAGCCAAGATCATGCCACTGCACTCCAGCCTGGGCCACAGAGTGAGACTCTGTCTCAAAAAAATTAAAATAAAATAAAAAGTAGGATTAATTTATTTTTATTTAGCAACTATGCCCTTTTAAATTAAAACTTATGTGATCTTTTAATTAAAATAGTGTTTGTTTCCTTAAATGCATATTCGTATAGTTTATATTCATTGTAAAAATTACAAGTGGAAGCCCTCTTTTATCTCTCCTGATACCCAAGTATGCCCCTCCTTCCTGCCTTCTGTGGTTTCACTCTCCTCTTCAGAGAACTGCTTTTCACAGCTGGGAGTGTATCCTCCCCTATCTTTTTCTACATTTGTGTGTATGTGTTTGTGTGTGTGTGTAGTTGTAGGTTTTCATTATACTTGCTGTCAACAAATCAGTTGCTGAATTTAAATATATTCTCCATGATTTAGAAACATTCAGTGCTCAGAGAAAATATTTACACAGCTTTAGTTGAAGAGTAAAATAAATCATACATAGTTCACAGTTTATTTATCTTGAATTATGCATAGAATTAGGTTAAATCTAGAAAATCAGTCACCTCAAATCCTTTTTGGTAGTGAATGGATATGGGTGAATGGAACATAAATCATAAGCAAAACATACTCAGGAAATCACTTAGGAGTCAATATAGAACATTTTACCAATGCAGTTAATTTGACCTCACAAACTTTTAAATAAGTTTATTATACATCCACATTTATATCCTGAGTAGATGTCTTCCTAATCTAAGCCTTAGAATTGGTATTGTATGTATAAATCAATAAAGTATCTATTACATTTTCATGTTTTTCCTAGTAATAATATTTCATGAAAGGACTCTGAGTTCTGTAATAATACAGTACAATCAAGCTAAAAAAATAATATTTTGGTCCCATAGAAATATGTTTCTTTGGAAGGGGAAGTATTATATAGCTAAGATAACAATGATCTACTTGGTATCAATTTATACATTCCTCTTATAGTTCAAAAAGCACTGGCCTATATTTTCCAATCTGTGGTATAGATCTGAATTAGTAAAATTGTGATGTACACTTTAAAATTTGTTATTACACTTGTGAACATGTTCATGCAATAATAGAAGGAAATGCTTAAATAGCTAAAGCTGTACATGGATAATCTAGTAGTGATCCCTTCTCTTTCAGAAGATTCATTTACATGCAGTCTTATGTAATGGGATGTTAAGTGGGACATTTCCTGTTGCCTTGGAATTGGTGACTTGGGTCCAAAGCTGAGAACAGGAAGAATCAAGAAGCCCACATTTAAAAAAGATCCTTAATAACTGGGCTAGATGCCATCCAGAACTATTGAGAGGTTAGCTCTGCTATCATTATCCACCACCCATTTCCTGTCTCCTTTGAATCTGTATGAGAAGACAGAAAGTGGGTGGGGAACGAGGCAATCACTGGAGTTAGAAGTCAGGCCTTGTAGTATTTTTGTACTAAGTCAACCTAGCTAAGTTAGAACTGTGTTTTCCAGTATTTTCTTCTCTGTATGGTCAGGGATGGGGTTGGCCACAGTGACATTTGCATGAGAATTGGAAAGCGGAAGTGAAGCAGCAGACATATTTACTCTCAGAAGGTCAGAGGCTGTAGCAGCTCAAGCATGTTGAGTTGATTTTACACAACTCAACAATCCAGCTCACAGCTCTTCTAACTCTCATCATATTTCCTCCTTCAATTAACTCCTGGGTCAGATGTATGTTTAGCATCTTGACACAGTGCACCTGCATCTACAAGGCTACCCATCTTTGAAGCTGGAGATTCAGAAGTGTGAGGCTGATGCAGGTTCCAGCTCAACCTTGCTCTCCTCCACTTTATGTACATCTTTCCTTTCTGATGCTCTGACCTGCTGAGGTTAGGCCCAGCACCAGATATGTAGAAGCAACAGCTGTATTATATACATGAAGATGGGACACAAGAGAATCATTTAGAGATTGAGGGTTCCCCAGTGAAGGCGGGAGACAAGAATCTCCCTACCCCAACTACATATTCTTTTTATTTCTTTTTTTGTTTATTTCTTTTTAAAACATATTATCAATATTTTGATAGACAAACTATAATTCTATACATTTATATGATACAGTGTGATGTTTTTGGTAAACGTATACAATGTAGCATGATTAAATCAAACTAATTAACATTTCTATCACCATACTTACGTATCATTTCTTATGGTGAGACATTCGAAATAATCTCTGTTATTTTGAAATATATAATACATAGCTATTGACTATAATCACTCTACTGCACAATAGATCTCAAAAGCTATTCCTTCTGTCTATCTGAAACTTTGTACCCTTTGGACAACAACTTTTCCTCCCTCTCTACAGCCTCTCTCCCCAGCCTCTGGTAACCATTATTCTCCTCTCTACTTCTATAAATTCAACTTTATCAGATTCCACATACAAGTGAGATCATGCAGTACTTGTCCTTTTGTGCCTTGCTTATTTCACTTACCATAATATTTGCCAAATTAATCCATGGTGTTGCAAGTGACAGAGTTTTTCCTCTTTTTAAGGCTAAATAGTATTCCATTGTGTGTGTGTGTATATATATATATATATATATATCACATTTTTCTTTATCCATTCATCTGTTCCATATCTTGACTGTCGTAAATAATGCTGCAGTAATCGTGGGAGTGCAGACATCCCTTCAACATACTGATCTCATTTCCTCTGGGTATATACCCAGAAGTGGGGTTACTGGGTCATACGGTAGTTCTATTTTTAGCTTTTGAGGACTGTCTACACTGCTTTTCACAATGGCTGTACTTAAATTCCCACCAACAGCATGTAAGAATTCCCTTTTCTCTGCATCTACTCCAACACTTGTTATCTTTCTTTTTTTCCCCCGCTGAGACATGGTCTTGCTCTGTCACCCAGGCTGGCATGCAGTGGCATGATCATAGCTCACTGCAGCCTTGACCTCCCAGAATCTAGAGATCTTCTGGCCTCAGCCTTCTGAGTAGCTGAGACTATAGGCATGTACCACCACACCCTGCTAATTTTTAAATTTTTTATAGAGACAGAGTCTCACTTTGTTACTGAGGCTGGTCTCAACTCCTGAGCTCAAGTGATTCTCCCACCTCTGCCTCCCAAAGTGCTAGGATAACAGGCATGAACCACTGTGCCCAGCCATCTTTTATCTTTTTGATAAACACCATTTGAATAGATTTGAGGTGATATTTCCTTGTGGTTTTAATTTGCAATTCCCTTATGATTAGCGATACTGAGCATTTTTTCATCTACCTATTGGCCATTTGAATGTTTTCTTTTGAAAATTTTCTATTCTGCTCCTTTGCCCATTTTTCAATCAGGTTATTTTCTTACTACACAGTTGTTTGATTTCCTTATATATTTTGGATATTAACCTTTTGTCAGACACATGATATTCAACTGTTTTCTTATGGTATTCAACTATTTTCTTCCGTTCTGTGAGTTGTCTGTTCATTTTGTTAATTGTTTCCTTTACTGTGCAAAAGCTTTTTAGTTTGATGCCATCTCATTTGTCAATTTCTGCGTTGTTGCCTGTGCTTTTGAAGTCTTATCAAAATATCATTGCCCAGACCAATGTCATGAAGCATTTCCCTCATGTTTTCTTCCAGTAGTTTCATAGCTTCAGGTCCTATATTTAAGTTTTTAATCTATCTTAAGTTGATTTTTGTGTATAGTGTAGGCTATAAGGCTCTAATTTTACTCTGATGAATGTATGTATTTGGTTTTTCCAACACTATTTATTGAAGAGACCATCCTTTCTCCATTGTGTGTCCTTGGAAACTTTTTGTCAAAAATTGGTTGACTATAATTGCCTGGGTTTTTATCTTATTTTTTTTTTAAGTCCTGTTTCATTGGTAGATGTGCCTGCTTTTATGCCACTACCATGCAGGCTTCATTACAATCACATTATAATATGTTTGAAATCTGAGAGTGTAATGCCTTCAGCTTTGTTCTTTTTGCTTAACACTGTTTTGGCTATTCAGAGTCTTTTGTGGTTTCAAATGGATTTAGAATTGTTTTTTCCATTTCTGTGAAAAATGGCATTGGAATTTTAATGGAAATTATATTAAACTTATAGACAACTTTGGATAGTATGAACATATTCACAATAATAATTTTTCTAATCCGTGAGTATGGGATATCTATCCATTTATTTGTGGTTTTTTTTTTCAAGTTCTGTCATCAGTGATTATAGTTTTCAACATACAAGTCTTTTACCACTTTGGTTAAATTTACACCTAAGTATTTAATTTTTTGTTGCTATTGTAAATGGAAATAAAGTATAAAGAATAAATGTATGATTTATTGTTTCTTTCCTTTTTGAGTAGTTCATTATTGGTATGTAAAAATGCTCTTCATTTTGTATCCTACAACTTTACTGAATTTGTTTACTGAATTTGTTTCCAATAGTTTTATGGGGGGATCTTTGGATCTTTTATATATAAGATCATGTCATCATCCAATAGAGACAATTTTACTTCTTTCTTTTCTATGATGTTGCCTTTTATTGTTTCTCTTGTTTAATTCCTCTGGCTAGGACTTTCTGTACTATGTTGAAAAGAAGTGGTGAGAGTGGGTGATATGTTTTGACTGTGTCCCCACCCACATTTCATTTTGAATTCCCACATGTTGCGGGAGGGACCCAGTGGGAGGTAACTGAATCATAGGGGCAGGTCTTTCCTGCGCTGTTCTCATGATGGTGAATAAGACTCACGAGATCTGATGGTTTAAAAAGGGGAGTTTCCCTGCACAAGCTCTTGTCTCTTGTCTGCTGCCATGTGAGATGTGTCTTTCACCTTCTGCCATGATTGTGAGGCCTCCCCAGCCACCTGGAACTGTAAATCCAGTAAACCTCTTTCTTTTGTAAATTGCCCAGTCTCAGGTATGTCTTTATCAGCAGCATGAAAATGGACTAATACAGTGGGTATCTCTGCCTTGTCCCTAATCTTAGAGGAAAACCTTTCAACTTTTCACCACTGAGAATGATGTTAGCCATAGGTTTGTCACATATGGCTTTTATTGTTTATGTTGAGTAAATTCCCTCTATACCTAATCTGTTAAAAGTTTTTATCATGAGAAGGTGTTGACTTTTGTCAGTTTTTATGCATCTATTGAGGTGATCATATGATTTTTATCCTTCATTTTGTTAATATGGTATATCACATTTGCTGGTTTGCATATGTTGAGCCATCTTTGAATTCCAGGGATAAATCCCTCTTGATCATAGTAAATGATTCTTTTGACGTGTTCTTAAAGTCTCTTGCTGTTTTTGATATTCTTTTTCTTTGATTTTTCAGTAATTTGTTTATGATGTGTCTTGGTAAAATTATTTTTAGGTTAAATTTGATTGGTGACCTCTGAGCTTCCTGTACCTAAATGTTATTATCTTTCCCCAAATTGGGAAATTTTCAGCCATTACTTCCTTAAATATGCTTTCTAGGCCCTTTTCTCTCTCCTTCAGGAATTCCTGTAACACAAATGTTAGTTTTCTTGATGGTGTCCCACAATTCCTGTAGGCCTTATTTGTTCTTTTTCATTCTTCTTTATCTTTCTCTTTCTAAGGGATAATTTCAAGTGTCCTGTGTTCGAATACCCTCATCTTTTCTTCTCCTAGATCAAGTCTGCTGTTGAAAATGTCTTTTGAGACACTTCTCAAAAGAAGACATTTATGCAGCCAAAAGACACATGAAAAAATGCTCATCATCACTGGCCATCAGAGAAATGCAAATCAAAACCACAGTGAGATACCATCTCACACCAGTTAGAATGGTGATCATTAAAAAATCAGGAAACAACAGATGCTGGAGAGGATGTGGAGAAATGGGAACACTTTTACACTGTTGGTGGGACTGTAAACTAGTCCAACCATTGTGGAAGACAGTGTGGCAATTTCTCAAGGATCTAGAACTAGAAATACCATTTCACCCAGCCATCCCATTACTGGATATATACCCAAAGGATTATAAATCATGCTGCTATAAAGACACATGCACATGTATGTTTATTGTGGCACTATTCAAAATAGCAAAGACCTGGAACCAACCCAAATGTCCAACAATGATAGACTGGATTAAGAAAATGTGGCACATATACACCATGGAATACCATGCAGCCATAAAAAATGATGAGTTCTTGTCCTTTGTAGGGACATGGATGAAGCTGGAAACCATCATTCTCAGCAAACTATCACAAGGACAAAAAACCAAACACCACATGTTCTCACTCATAGGTGGGAATTGAACAATGAGAACACTTGGGCACAGGAAGGGGAACATCACACACCAGGGCCTGTCATGGGGTGGGGGGAGGGGGGAGGGATAGCGTTAGGAGATATACCTAATGTAAATGACGAGTTAACGCGTGCAGCACACCAACATGGCACATGTATACATATGTAACAAACCTGCATGTTGTGCACATGTACCCTAGAACTTAAAGTATAATTAAAAAAAAGAAAATGTCTATTGAATTTTTCAGTTCAGTTTTTGTATTTATCTCTATAATTTATTTTTTTATTGATGTAGTGTCTAACTTCTCATTTTGTTCATGAATTGTTTTCCAAATTTTACTTAATTTTGTATCCATATTTTTTTATGGTTCCCTGAACTTCTTCAAGAGGATTATTCTGAATTATATGTCAGCCATTTTATAGATCTTCATTTCTTCTGCATCCATTAGCAGAGCTTTATTAGTTTCTTTTGGTGGTGCAATAATTCCCTAATTTTTCATATTGTTTGTATTCTTACACTGATCCTTGCTTATTTGAGGAGAAGGCCACCTCTCCTGGCTTTTGCAGGTGTTCTTTGGTGGTGAAACACCTTTATTATTTAGTCTAGCCTGGGATTGTGGATGAGTTGGCTGGTGGCAACGCTGAGCATGCAGACTTTGCTGTCAGTTTCTCAAGTTGGGCTGGGTTGCTTCTTGTGTTCTGAGGGAGAATGGTATTGCTGATTGTGCTCTGTGATTCAGCGAGACCACTGGCTGGACTCTGAAATCAGGTGGAGCGCCGCTGGCTGGGCACTGAAATTATATCTGATTGGGCAGGGTTGCAGTTTGTCTTCCCTGG